>NC_000001.11:79553835-89553835 GCF_000001405.40 Homo sapiens
GAGAGTCATCTTAATCTAGATTTACAGAAGAATATGTATGATGCTTAGTATTCTTTAATGTTGTAGCTCAAACATTTGTGGGAACACTGAGCAGAAGACATTAGCTTGATTTTGAAGTCCTTAATTTCCAAACATTTTGGTAATTTTATTGTGTATAACCTCTTATAGTTCAGGTCATTTTTGCAGATGCCAAATTCAAGAAAATTGAATATCTAAAATGAACGGTAAAAGAGCATAGCTATATTTTTCCTTAGCTAAGAAATATTAACAATAAAATGTCTTTCCTTATAAAATCTCTCATAATTTCTCAAAGTAAATGTTTTGGTTTATGATACAAAACTTGATTTCCTTTTTTATTGAAAATAAATTTATATATTCAAGTTATAAATACAGACATTTGAATTAGATTAACTTTGCTGAATATAAATGTAATTAAATGAAAGTTATATGATGGTATCTTCTATAATGTCAAGAATATCACATCTTAAGTGTGAAGAGAATGAGCACAGAAAGTTTCTCAAAGCTTCCTAGTAAAGCAATAATAAATAATTACATTTTGTACAATGAGATACAGATAACATAATACAATAGTTCAATTCTATATTCATAATAAGGAAATAAAATAATAAATTTTTCAAATATATCTAAGTACACCTAAGTCATTTTCTTTCACTCGGTCCTTGCTTTTCATTGAGATATAGTTTATCAGAGGTACACTGTCAACATTACAGCACAAAATATTTATTCTCAAGCCTCCAAAGAGGACTAATCCTGAAATAAGTGAATAATGCTTAGGAACTTATATTTTAGATATTTCACTTGTAGATGGACTTTTATGAGGTTTTATAAACCAACAAAAGCAACCAGGTTGCTAAGCATGTGAGTTAAGGAGAGATGTTGTATAAGACAAAATGTATTAAAGTGTTGGGCTCACAATTTCCAGTCATTCTGCCAGAAAAGGGGCATTTGGAATTTGCTCAGTCAGCTAATTCTCCATCCAGACTGCTTATTCCCTAACCTCCAAATCCTCCCCTTCCACTGAGGCTCTTGAGAAGAACACAAAATCTCAGCTATAACGTCTGCCTGGACTTGCTCTTAGAAATTCACTGTTTCTCTGAGGCATCTTACACGGTTACTGAGTCATAGCCTTTCCGAGGCTAAAGAGTCATCGAAGCTTCCTTATAATCTAGCCCAGTATATCGGGTTTGGAGATTATGTGGGGTTTTGGGCCAAAGCTATGGGTAGAAATATAGAATTTGTCTGAAGTTGTACCTGGCCTTTGTATACTTCCTAAAAACCTGGTATGATTTATCAATTATTTGGAGATTTTAGGTTCTAATTACTTCTTTTTATTGAATTATGACTAATCTATGTCATAAATATCTTTGTGTTGTTTTTAAGAAATGAAAATATACACATACAGGCACACAAACATATTAAAACACCAATCAGAGAGAGAAGTGCATTTTCACTTTACACTCTATATGTGGTAAAACTACTCTCTTTGGACTGATTGTGATATTAGAAGTCAAACAAAGATTATTACATTATTTCCAATTTAAGCTTTTTCTTCATTTTCCAATAATTGCATTTCTGAAGGCTCAAAGATATACTCTCAAATTTTAAGAACCTTGGGGAAATTAGCCAGTTTTGTACTAATAAATTAATGATAGTGTTGAAATAACCTTTTTCCAAGGTAACATAAAAGGCTGTAGCAATGCTCTACTTTCTTAGGTATAATACCTTTTTAATTGACCTGAAATAAAATGTGTATATTTTCCTTTCAGAAAAAGTAATTTGGCTTAATTTCAGTGAATGACATTGTATTTGGTAATCCACAACAACAAAGATATTTATGTATTTTTCCCATTCTTAATCATCTCTTAGACTGCTATTGTCCAAGGCTACTGTTAGTTTCTCTTTAAGCAACTGATACATATATTGAGAGATGCAGGCAAGGATGTTGATCTGTATGATATTATAAAATATAGTACAATGGTTCAAACTCTGCTTCAGAAAGCTACAATATCAACTTCTCTTCCCTATAAAATAAAAAGTTTTAAAAATACTCAAGGTTATAATTTTATTTTCTTTCTAGCTGTTTCCATTATTTCACTAAGTAAATATATACTTTATTGCAACATATTATACTTTATAGGATCTTCAAGGAATATTCATGAAGTAGTCAAGGAACTCTGTCTTTAAGGAGTTTCTATTTTATGCATACCTAATTTTGCTAATAGAGAATAATAATGTAATATAAATAAAATAAGCAAAAGCACATAGTAATTTAGATGGACATATCTGACTCCAAAAATTATAACAAAGGTGAAAGTGATCAAAACCCTAAGGCATATTTTTTGTATTATATTTTATGTAATTATTGCATTGTGTTTGGCTCATAATTGACAATCAATAAATGTTGGTGAAATTAATAGATGATGATGGACAAGAAGAAGAAACCTGATCTAAATTGAGAAAGAAATAATAATTCCATCAATAATCTCTTATTATAGGAATGTGTGAAATATCTGGGGGACATAAAATATGCCCCTAGAGGAATAAAATATGTCAGCAGTCTTTAGGAAGGTTATAATCTAGTTAATCAACTTTGCCAGTCACTGTTGGTTCCCTAGTCTCTTTTCCTCCATGGGCTGCAATGATCCTTTCCTAAATCCTTTAGAAATAGTATGACCCTGTCTATACCTTGATTTTGATTTTATAGCCTCCAGACTGTTAGAGAATATTTCTGTTGTTTTAAGCCACCCAGTTTGTGGCGACTTAAAACAACAAAAAATACTGAACAACATTGTAACAATTTGTTACAATTGCCACAGGAAACGAATGTGAAGTGTTAGGAAGGAAAGAAACATATTGAGGAAGGAAGGAAATGTATATAGAATAAATATAAAATAATTTGAGGCACCCACAATACTTAAACAAATTGTTCATTATAAAAAGATGGAGTTGCAAATACATTTGCCTGTTGATATTGTAAGACTGCAAAAAGGAATATGGCTTCTAAAGTCTCAGCAAGGCTCAGAGAACTTTTCAATTTCAAGACCCTCTTCTTGGCTAATTTTCTTTCATTTTTTAATTTAACTCATACCTGTGAAAGGTTACCGAGAAGTTTCTCATAACTCAGACTTGAGTTAATTTTCTGATTCATATTCTACCTCTAGCATTTCCTTAGATGGATGAATTTGGGAAAGTTACTGTATTAGTCTGGTAAGGCTGCAGTCTTAGTTACTTGGGTTGTTGCAACAAACTACCAGAGACTGATGGCTTATAAAACACAAAAATGTATTTCTCCCAGTTCTGAAAGCTGGAAGTCTGAGATCAGGGTACCAGGATGGTCAGGTTCCGGTAAAGGTCCTTTTTTCCTCACATAACAGAAAGGGTGAGAGAGCTCTCTGGAGTCTCCTTGAAAGGAGAACTAATCCTATTAACGAGGGCCCCACGCTTATGACCCAATAATCTCCCCAAGAGCCCACCTCTTTATACCATCCCACTGAGCTTAAAATTTCAAGATATACATTTCTGTGGGGAAACAAATTCAGTCCATGTTTTACTCCATCCTTCACCTCCTATAATTCATATCCTTCATTCCATCTCAACAACCCCAAAAGCCTTAACTAGTTTCATCTTCAACTCTGAAGTTTAAAGTCCAAAGTCTCATTTAAATATCATCTAAATCAGAGCCAGAAGGGTGGAGCAAGATGGTGGAATAGAAGGCTCCACTGATTATCACCCCCACAGAGACATCTATTTAACAACTGTCAACACACACAAAAAAGCACTTTCATAAGAACCAAAAATCAGGTGAGCACTCATAGTACCTGCTTTTAACTTTATAACACTGAAAGAGGCACTGAAGAGGTAGGAAAAACAGTCTTGAATTACCAATGCCACCCCTCCCCCATATTCTGGTAGTGGTGGGGTGGTGCAGAGTGTTCTGTGCTCTGGGGAGAGGGAGACCACAGCAGTTGTGAGGCATAAAACTCAGTCCTGCCCTGTGATAGCAGAAAAAAAAAAAAACTGGACCAAACTCAGCTGACTCCCGCCCATGAAGGGAGCGTTTAAACCAGCCCTAGTTAGAGAGGAATCACTGATCCCAGAAGTCCAAATTTGAATTCCCATAAACCTTGTCACTTTGGGGCCAAAGTGCTCTGGGTCCCAAAATAAACTTGAAAGAGAATCTAAGCCACAAATACTGCAAATTCTGGGTGAGTCCTAGAGCTGAACTGGGCCCAGAACCAGAGGACTGGAGGACACATGATCTACTGGGACACCAGCCAGGTAGCAAGGGAGTGTTGGCATCACCCCTCCCCTAACCTCAGGCTACACAGCTCACGGCTACAAAAAAAGACCCCTTCCTTTCACTTGAGGAGGGGAGAGGGAAAATTGGGGAGATCTTTGCCTTGCCTCTTGGATACCAGCTCAACCACAGAAGAATAGGGCATCGCTCAGAGTCATGAGGCCCCTGTTCCAGGCCCTAGCTCCTGGATGGCATTTCTAGTCACATCTTGAGCCACGGGGAAACCCTCTTTCTTGAAGGGAAGAAACTAGTACTGGTAGAATTAATAACCTGCTAACTAAAGAGCCCTTGGCCCCTGAACAATCAGCAGTGATACCCATGTGCTACTATGTTAAGAGCCATGGCTGACACTCTGAGATTTGCTGGCTTTGGGTGAGAATCTGCAGATTCCCAGCTGTGATGGCTATGGGGCAAGACTCCTTCTGCTTGAGAAAAGCTGAGGGAAAAGTAAAGGTGACTTTATCTTGCACCTCAGGTACCAGCTCAGCAACAGAGGGGTAGAGCACCAAGTGGGCTCTTGGAGTCCCTGGTTCCAAGACTTGGCCCTTCGATGGCACTTCTGGACTTACCCTGGACCAGAGGGGAACCCACTGTGCTATAGGGTGAATCCCAGGCCAGGCAGCATTTACCACAAGCTGACTAAAGAGCCCTTGGGTCTTAAGGGAACATTGGCAATAGTCTGGCAGTACTTCCTCTGAGCCTGTGGTGGTGGTGGTCACATGGTGAGGCTTCTCTGCCTTTGAAAATGGGAGAGAAGAGTGGGAAGGACTGTGTCTTGAGGTTTGAGTGCCAGCCAAGCTGCACTGCATTAAAACACCAGGCAAACTTTTAAGTTTTTGACTGTAGTACCTGGCCCCTGGTGCCTCTGGACCTGCCCAGGACCTGGGGGAACTCCTTGCCATGAAGGGAAGTAAACTGTCCTGGTTGGCCTTGCCACTTGCTGAGTATAGGAACCCAAGGTCTTGAGTGAACATAGGCGGTAGCCAGGGAATGGTTAAATCAGGCCTTGGGTGAGACTCAGTGCTGTGCTGGCATCAGGTCTGAACCAGTGCAGTCCTAGTCGCGGTGGCCACAGAAGTGATTTTGTCACTCCACCCCCAACTCCAGGTGGTTCAGAACAAAGAGACTCCCTTTGCTTGGGAGAAAATAAGGAAGGAAAACAAGAGACTCTGCCTGGTAATCCAGAGAATTCTTCAGGATTTTGTCTAAGACCATCAAGGCAGTATCTCTGAGTCTTCAAGAACCACAGCATCACTGGGTTTGTGGTGCCCCATAAAGCAGATGCAGCTTACAGCACAACATCCAAATCTTTTAGAATATCTGGAAACAGTAGGAGTAGGTTTACTTATATCAGAAAAAAATAGATTTTAAGACAAAAGCTGTAAGAAGAGACAGAGAAGGTCACTATGTAATGACAAGTGATTCAGCAAGAGATATAATAATTTTAAATATATATGTACACAACAGTAGAACACCCAGGTAAATAAGGCAAATATTATTAGAGCTAAAGAGAGAGATATATCCCAATACAATATTAGCTGGAGATTTCGAAACCCCACTTTCATAATTGGACAGATCTTTCGAACAGAAAATCAACAAAGAAACATCGAACTTAATCTTCACTATCAACCAAATGGACCTAATAGATATTTTAAAAATATTTCATCCAATGGCTGAAGAATACATATTCTTTTCTTTAGCACACAGCTCATTCTCAAGGATAGATCATATGTTAGGTCACAAAACAAGTGTTTAAACATTTAAAAAAAAAAAACCTGAAATAATATCAAGTAACTTCTCTTACCACAATGGAACAACACTAGAAGTCAATAACAAGAGGAATTTTGGAAGCTATACAAACACATGGAATTAAATAATATGCTTCTGAATTACTAGTGGGTCGATGAATAAATTAAGAATATTTAAAAGATTATTGTGACAAATTAAGATTATTGTGAATAAATTAAGAAGAATATTTAAAAGATTATTGTGACAAAAGATAAAAAAAACACAGCATACCACAACTTATGAGATACAGCAAAAACAATACTAAGAGGCAAGTTTACAGTTATGAGTACCTACATTAAAAAAGAAGACAGACTTCAAATAAACAACCTAATGATGCATCTTTAAGAACTAGAAAAAGCAAGAGCAAACCAAAGCCGAAATTAGTGGAAGAAAATAAATAATAAAGATTAGAGCAGAAATAAATGAAATTGAAATGAAGAAAACAATACGAAAGATCAATGAAACAAAAAGTTGGTTTTTTGAAAAGTTAAACAAAATTGAGAAATCCTTAGTGAGACTAGGTAAGGAAAAAGGGAGATCCAAATAAATGAAATCAGAGGTGAAAAATGAGACATTACAACTGATACCACAGAACTTCACCGGATCATTAGTGGCTACTGTGTCCGGAATTCGTAGGTTCTTGGTCTCACTGACTTCAAGAATGAAGCCGCGGATCGTCGTGATGAGTGTTAAAGTTCTTAAAGATGGTGTGTCTGGAGTTTGTTCCCTCTGAGGTTCAAACGTGTTTGGAGTTTCTTCCTTCTGGTGGGTTCATGGTCTCGCTGGCCTCAGGAGTGAAGCTACAGATTTTCACGGTGAGTATTACAGTTCATAAAGGCAGTGGGAACCCAAAGAGTGAGGAGCAGCAAGATTTATTGCAAAGCGCAAAAGAACAAAGCTTCCACAGTGTGGAAGGGGACCCAAGTGTGTTGCTACTGCTGGCTAGGGCAGCCTGCTTTTATTCCCTTATCTGGCCCCACCCACATCCTGCTGATTGGTCCATTTTACAGAGAGCTGATTGGTCCATTTTGACAGGGTGCTCATTGGTGCATTTACAAATCCCTGAGCTAGACACAGTGTGCTGATTGGTGCATTTACAATCCTCTAGCTAGATACAAAATTTCTCCAAGTCCTCACCAGTTTAGCTAGATACAGAGTGCTGATTGGTGCATTTACAAACCTTGAGCTAGACACAGGGTGCTGATTGGTGTGTTTACAAACCTTGAGCTAGACACAGAGTGCTGATTGGTGTGTTTACAAACCTTGAGCTAGACACAGAGTGCTGATTGGTGCATTTGCAAACCTTGAGCTAGACACAGGGTGCTGATTGGTGTATTTACAATCCTTTAGCTAGACATAAAGGTTCTCCAAGTCCCCACCAGATTAGCTAGATACAGAGTGCTGATTGGTGTATTTACAAACCTTGAGCTAGATACAGGGTGCTGATTCGTGCATTTACAATCCTCCAGCTAGACATAAAAGTTCTCCAAGTCCCCACCCAACTCAAGAGCCCAGCTGGCTTTGCCTAGTGGGTCCCGTGCCAGGGCCACAGGCAGAGCTGCCCGCCAGTCCCGCTCTGCACACCCTGCACTCCTCAGCCCTTGGGCGGTCGATGGGACCCAGCGCTGCAGAGCAGGGGGCGGCACCCGTTGGGGAGGCTCAGGCCACGTGGGAGCCCACCGCAGGGGGAGCTTGGGCATGGTGGGCTGCAGGTCCTGAGCCCTGCCCCACGGAGAGGCGGCTGAGGCCCAGCAAGAATTCAAGCATGGCATGGGCAGGCCGGCAGTGCTGGGGGACCTGGCACCCCCTCCACAGCTGCTGGCCTGGGTGCTAAGCCCCTCACTGCCCAGGGCCAGCAGTGCTGGCCGCCACTCTAAGTGCAGGGCCTGCCGAGCCCGTGCCCACCCAGAACTCGTGCTGGCCCACGAGCCCCACGTGCAGCCCCAGTTCCCGCCTGTGCCTCTCCTTCCACACCTCCCCACAAGCAGAGGGAGCCAACTCTGGCCTTGGCCAGCCCAGAGAGGGGCCTCCACAGCACAGCGGCAGGCTGAAGGGCTCCTCAAGTGTGGCCAGAGTGGACGCCAAGGCTGAGGAGGTGCTGAGAGCAAGTGAGGGCCACCAGCACATTATCACCTCTCACTACTATAAGCAATTATATGCCATCAGACTGGAAAATCTAGAAGAAATGGCCAAATTCCTAGACACATACAACCTGTGAAATCTGAGCCAAGAAGAAATTCAAAACCTGAACAGACCAATAACAAGTAACAAGATTGAAGCCTTCATGGAGAGTCTCCCAGAAAAGAAAAGCCCATGACCCAATGCCTTCACTACTGAATTTGACCAAAGATTTAAATAACGCATACCAATTCTAGTCAGACTATTCTGCAAAAATCGAGGAGGAGGGAATACTTCCAAACTCGTTCTATGAGGATGGTATTACCCTGATACCAAAACCAGACAAAGACACATCAAAAAAAGAAAACTACAGGCCAATATCTCTGATGAATATTCATCCAAAAATTCTCAGTAAAATACTAGCAAACTGAATTCAACAATATATTAGAAAGATCCTTCATTTTGACCAAATGGGGCTTATCTCTGGGATAAAGGATGCTTCGACATAGACAAATCCATCAAATCCATCAATGTGATAACAATAGAATGAAGGACAAAAACCACATGATCATTTCAACTGATGCTGAAAAAGCATTTGATAAAATTCAACATCCCTTCATGATAAAAACCCTCAAAAAACTGGGAATGGAAGGAAGCTACTTCAACAAAATAAAAGCCATATATGACAGACCAACAGCCAGTATCATACTGAACAGGGAAAAACTGAAATGCTTTCCTCTAAGATCTGGAAAAATGACAAGGATGCCCACTTTCATCACTGCTATTCAATATAGTACTAGAAGTCCTAGCTAGAGCAGTCAGACAAGAGAAAGAAATAAAGGGCATACAAATTGGAAAGGAAAAAGTCAAATTATCCTTGTTTGCTATGATATGATTTTGTATATGGAAAGACCTAAAGACTCCATAAAAAAACTAACAAAACTGATAAACAAATTTAGTAAAGTTGCAGGATAAAAAATCAACATAAAATATCAGTAACATTTCTATATGCCAACAGTGAGAAATCTGAAAAGGAAATAAAAAAGTAGTTCCATTTACAATAAACACAAATAAAATTAAATACCTAGACATTTAAAAAAGAAGTGAAATATCTCTATAATGAAAACTATAAAACACTGATGAAAGAAATTGAAGAAGACACACAAAAAAAGAAAAAATGTTTCATGTTCATGGATTGGAAGAATTAATATTGTTAAAATGTCCATACTACTCAAAGAAGTCCACAGATTCAATGAAATTCCTACCAAGATTTCAGGGACATTTTTTTTTACAGAAATAGAAAAAAAATCTAAAATTTATATGGAACCACAAAAGACCCAGAATAGCCAAAGCTATCTTAAGCAAAAAGAGGAAGGAACTGGAGGAATCACACTACTCAACTTCAAATTATACTACAGAGTGATAGTAAGCAAAGCAACATGGTATTGGCATAAAAACAGAAATATAGACCAATGGAACAGGATAGAAAACCCAGAAACAAATCCACACACCTATGGTGAACACATTTTTGACAAAGTTCCCAAGAAAACACACTGGGGAAAAGAAAGATTCCTTAGTAGATGATACTGGGAAAACTGGATATCCATATGCAGAAGAAAACTGGATTTCTATCTCTCACCACAAATATCAAATCAAAATAGATTAAGGACTTAAATATAAGACCTCAAACTACAAAACTCCTACTAGAAAACATAGGGGATACTCTGCAGGACATTGTTCTGGGCAAAAATTTTGAGGCTAATACCCCACAAGCACAGGCAACCAAAGTAAAAATGGACAAATGGGATCACAACAAGTTAAAAATCTTCTGCACAGCAAAGGAAATAATCATCCTGGAAGGTTCTACAGGAAGTTTATTGTTAATTTAGGCTACCCAGTGGCTGACTGATAGATAGGGCTGAAGATGATGGTGGTGATGATGATAAACAAGGTTAAGGAGGGAACAAATATTGCCATTTAAAATAAAAGCAATAAATCACTTTTTAGGGAAAACAAGGAAATAATTTTGTCAATCAGGTAACAGTTTGGGACATGTAAGTAGTTATACAGAGCAGACATTACAGAATTGATACATAGAAAAGAGGTCTCAAGATTTGCAGGCCGGGCGCGGTGGCTCACGCCTGTAATCCCAGCCCTTTGGGAGGCCGAGGTGGTCAGATCACAAGGTCAGGAGTTTGAGACCAGCCTGGCAAACATAGTGAAACCCCGTTTCTACTAAAAATACAAAATGTAGCCGGGTGTGGTGGTGGGCGCCTGTAATCCCAGCTACTCAGGAGGCTGAGGCAGAAGAATTGCTTGAACCCAGGAGGCAGAGGTTGCAGTGAGCCAAGATCACGCCACTGCACTCCAGCCTGGGTGACAGATCGAGACTCCATCTCAAAAAAAAAAAAAAAAACAAGATTTGTAAATTATCTCCCATAAATGCCACAGAGAATATTATTTAAGCTCAAAATAGAGTAGGTAGCTTTATATATATATATATATATGTATGTATGAAATGAGCTTAAAAAGAAGAGTCATGTAGGTAGAAGAGGGGCTTATTTAACTAGAGATGAGGTATTAATGCAGAACTTTTACATATCATTATTCCAAATATTGCTATATGTTATGCTGATGTTCAAGATATTCTCATACTTTTTACTTTTTATAAAACATCAATTAGTTTACTACTTAAAAACATTGTTGGTAGTTCTAACTTATTTGCAAATGGTGAGAGCTTTGTAGTTTATGCCCCTGTGGCCAATAAAGGATGGACTACCTATTTGGAGATATACATTAATTCTACTTTACGAATGACTTGTTCATTGACCTTGTTAATAGAACTGTAACTTAGCTCTTATTTTCTTTGTTTCTGTGGGAGAAGGTCAAAACACAATCATTCAAGCAAAATGATTAATTAATGAGTATACATACAAATCAAGTGAAAAGTCACTAAGGAGGTAAATATGTAGATCTTCATTCATTTTCACCTGCTTCCATTTATTTATTCCATAATTTTTTTGTCATATACTTACTGGATTAGTATTGGGATCTATAGCAGTGAACAAAATATACACAGATCCCTGATCTCATGCAACTAAATAGACAATAAACAGTACAAACAAAATTTATAATAACTTACATGGCAATAAATACTATGAAGAACGATTAAGCAAGAATGGGGTAGGAAGTGCAGGTCGGTTGAAGGTGCAATTTTAAAAACAAATAATGATCTGAGAAGCCCTTACTAAAATGAAGATACTTGAGTATAATCATTAAACCCATGCGGGAAAGAGATATGAGGATATATGGAGTAAGAATATTTGAAAAGGAGCATTTTAAGAGAGAACAAGCAAAAGGCACCTGAAGGGGAAGCACTTGAAGTGCTCAAGGAGAGTGGCATCTTAATAGACTAGTGTCTCACACATACAATGAGTATGTCAATCAATAAAAGATAGGGTCAAATTTATCAATGAATGCTCAGTAACTTTTGGAACATTGTATCTGTTGGAAGTAAAAACCTTACTGCTCTGTTGGAACATTGTATTGTTAAAAGTAAAAATTAAATTGAAATGAACTTTGACAAGAACAGAAAAAGAGAGAAAAAATCTATATAATCTATTTATATCTCTCTATATACATCTACATCTATATTAATTTTATATTATATACAAAATATTAATATTTTATTTATAATATAATTACTATATTATATATGTACATAGCCTAAGTATATTACATATATATATAATATAAAATCTCAAAGATTCTGGAAGAAAAAAGTAGCCATTTGCCTTTATTTCTGCCCCATTGCCTGTACAAGGGAGACTGATGAATCAATATACTGAAGAAGTTGTTGAGTTATTTTGTTGAGTTTTCCTTTCATTTGAAGCTGCTTGTTCATATTATACTTACCATTGCCTTTCCTTAAAAATATTTGCAAAGAAAAATGAGAAGAATTCTTCAAAGGCCCACAGAGTCAAAATCCTATTATATGTCATAAAGGGAGACATATTTTGAGATTATTTTTGGGCAGTCACGATGCTGGAAAACATTCCTTGTACATAGTAGGTGATTAGTTTGTTTGCATGCTGCTAATAAAGACATACCCAGGACTAGGTAATTTATAAAGGAAAGAGGTTTAATTGACTCACAGTTTCACATGGCTGGGAGGCCTCACAATCATGGCAGAAAGCAAAGGGGAAGCAAGACACGTTTTACATGGCAACCGGCAAGAGAGAGCTTGTGCAGAGGGACTCCCATTTATAAATCATCAGATCTCGTGAGACTTATTCACTACCATGAGAACAATATGACTATATTATTATATTATTATTATATATGTGATTATATATCATATATATCATGATTATATTAGCTCCATTTGGCCCTGCCCTTGACACATGGGGATTATTACAATTGAAGGTGAGATTTGAGTGGGGAGACAGCCAAACCATAACAGTAGGTGATCAACATGTCTCCTTTAATGGTGAGAGCCAATCTGGAGCTAAAAAACATGCAAGTAACTTATAAATTACATATACATATGTACATATATACACATATATAACTAGTTTTATATATATACTTTTTAATATATAAATGAAACATTATTAAGAAATCTCAAGTAGTTAACATAAAAAAGGAAATAGATTATGAGTTAATATAAATAGTAACAGAGAACCCTTCCAAAGTCAAGATATGTTTATAAAATTTAAATAAGGATTCAAGAAAAACCAATAGAAATTACATTATATTATTATCTTATAGAGTCATTTAATACACATTCATCTACAACAAAAAAAATAAATTTTAAAAAGTATTTAATAGTTATTCAATTTCATCTAAGTCATGAATTTTTTTTTCATTTAAAAGTCCTATTTGGTTTTTTTAGTCCTTGTGATCCTATTTGAACATTTTTAGTCCTTGTAATATTAAATTAAATTCAGAATACCTATTTTGTTACCTCAGAATTTCACCTCAGAAATAAGAAATACTATAATAACGTACAATAGCGCAGCATCCATGAAAAATCATCTTAGACAGGTACTATAATTGTATAAGGAACATGAACAAAAGAGGAAAGTCTTAGAGAAAATTGAGGTACTCAAAACATGTATTGTTCTCACTAATCAAATTTCAAAACAACAGATTTTACAAGAATGTTCCAAAAAGACAACGCTTTTTAGTTTTGAATTCATGGAGGCTAAAATTTTAAACAAAAGCTTGCTGACATGATTTTTATAAGCTGCCAACTATTTATGTTAGTTGAAGGCAAAAGATTTTTAAGGATTTTCAAGCAATAAATCTTATGTATACAATTCCTTTCACAAAGCATGTTACTAAAACATTTTTTCTGAATTAAAATATTTGGCTTTGCACAAAAAGTGAATGATATTCTTACATGCACCATTTGAAAATAAGAGTATATTTGGTATTCCAATGGACAGTATAGCCATCATGGAGGAAATTAGCCACTTACAAATAAGAGAAATACAAAATAATCGTTCTACACTATGTTTTCTAACTTTAAAATTTGGCTGATATAATTTCCAAGTGAAATAGAATTCATGCTTAACTTTAATTTATTTATTCTTCAACAATGGAAGTTCATTAGTCGTATTCTAAGATTCTAAATTTGTGTGTATGTGATTGAATAAACTGCTAAAAAAATCATTAAAATCTCTTCTCTGGTGATTCTATTCTATCAGTATAACAGCATGATTTAACACCACTGGGAATGGGGAGGTGGAATAGAGTACAGATTTTATTTGTATCCAGGTACTGGCATTTTTTAGCAAATATCAAAAAACCTCTTAAAAACCTCTCACTTATCTATAATTTATTTATCAACATTTTTATTTCCAATTATCTTATTTGCCTATTTTACTCAAGTTTTGTTTCTTCCAGTTCACCTAAATGACACTTCTCAAGCCACCAATGACTTCTGCCTTACAAATTCAAAGGTCAATTTTCTGCCTTGTGTCCTTTGAATTATCAACACCATATGACACAGTCAACTATTTCAAACTACTGGAATGATTTTGTTCAAACTATCTTGGAATTCCAGCATTTACATAACTTTCCTTCAACTTTTTGGATGATGTTACCTTCTTTTTTTGTTAGCTCCCTTTTCTGGCTAGGAGGTTGTCATATTTACTCTGTTCTCAAAAGTCTCTAGTTATTATCATCTTTCTAGTTGATTTCATGCAGTCATACGAAATTAAATGATATTTAGGTCCTGAAGACTTCTAGAATAACATCTCCTACCCTGAATTTTTCTCCTCCCCAACACCAGCAAATTCAAAGATTCAACTATGTTAACATCACTGTTAGAATGCTGAACAGTCTGCTGAAAATGAACATTTCCCAGATAGAATATATTAGTTTATTCTCTGGACTGTCAAGCTTCCAAATGTCCTGAGTACATGGCAGTACCATCAACACAGCTGCTCAAGCCAAAAATGTAAGAGTGTTTTTTAAATCTTTCTTTCTACCACCTACATGAACAATATACAGTCATGTGTTGCTTAACCACAGGAATATGTTCTGAGGAATGCATAGTTAAGCAATTTCATCCGTATGCAAACAGCACAGAGTGTATTTACTCAAACCTAGATGGAATAGCCTAAGCTAAGCTTTATGGTATAGCTTATTGCTTCTAGGCTATATACCTGTACAGCATGTTACTAGACTGAATATTGCAGCCAATTATTAAACAATGGTAAGTATGTCTGTATTTTATTTTAATGTATCTAAAAATAGAAAAGGTAACTTAAAAACTATGGTACAAGAGATACAAAGTGGTGCACCTGTACAGGACATTTACCATGAATATAGCTTGCAGGAGTGGAAATTGCTTTGGGTGAGTCAGTGAGTGAATGGTGAGTGAATGAGAAGGGATAGGACATTACTGTACGCTACCATAGACTTTATAAACGCTTTACACTTTGACGATACTAATTTTTTTTTTTTTTGAGACGGAGTTTCGGTCTTGTTGCCCAGGCTGGGGTGCAATGGCATGATCTCAGCTCACCGCAACCTCTGCCTCCCAGGTTCAAGCAATTCTCCTGCCTCAGCCTCCCGAGTAGCTGGGATTAAAGGCATGAGCCACCATGCTCGGCCTTAAATTTTTAAAAATTCTGAGTTTATTATGAAATTTTTACTTCATTAAAAGTTTAATTTTTTTAATCTTTTGACTTTTTTGTAATAACACTTAATACACATACTGTACAGCAGTACAAAAATATTTTATTTTTTAAAATCCTTACTGTATAAGATTTTATTCTATTTTAATTTTTTTTGTTTTACTTTTTAAGCTTAAAACAAATGCAAGACACAAACACACACATTAGCCGAGGCCTACACAAGGTCAGGATCATTAGTATCACTGTTTTCCACCTCCACATCTTGTCCCACTGGAAAGGCTTCAGGGGCAATAACATGCATGGAGCTGTCATCTCCTATGATAACAATACCTTATTATGGAACACTTTCTGAAAAATCAGCCTGAGACTCTTCTAAAAATAGCCTGAGACTGTTCTAAAAATTGCTTTAAAAAAAAGGTAGAAAAAGTACACTCTAAAACAACAATAATAAAATGTATAGCATAGTAAATGCATAAACCAGTAACATAGTCATTTATTGCTACTATCTGGTATTAGGTACTATACATAATTTTGTGTGCTATACTTTTAGACAGCTGGCAATGTGGTAGGTTTGTTTACACCAGCATCACCACAAACATGAGAGTAATGCATTGTGCCATGACATTAAAACAACTATGAAATCATGAGGTGGTAGAAAATTCTCAGCTGCATTGTAATCTTGTGGGACCACTGTCATATATGCAATCCATTGTTGACCAAAATGCCATTATGTGGCACCTGACTGTATCAATAATTTCTACATCTTTCCTACATCTCTACTCTTCAATTCTATACGCTATGATCTTTCACTTACAGCAGGAATATTCCATTATGTAATTTCCTTAGTTTCATCATTCTTTACACAGCAGCCAAAATAATCATTTTAGAAAGTAAATAAAACTTGCGTTAGTTTTGTTCTCATGAGAAGCAGACCCTAGACAAATAAAATCATGTGTGAGAATCTTATTTTGGAAGCAAAGCAATGTATGGAATAGGAGTGGGGAAGTTAAAAAAAAAAAAAAAAAGGAAAGGAGGTAGCCAGTAAAGGATGTGTTATCAAGCCAGCTACCTCCATGGATTATTAAAGCTTAATGCCCCCAAAGAAACTCTGGATAATGGCTCCTTGGAGTTATCCCACCAGAAGGGTGAGGGAGCTGGGGTATTTATATGCAGCAGTCACTGCCTGAGGGTTGCCTTAGGTGTGTGAATTTCCAGCACTTTTGCCTTCTTGTGTGAGGGCAAACCAATGTTCCAAAGCTTCAGAGAAAGCCTTAGGCAAAGAGATGTATCTATAGATACTAGCCATAAGAAGTCAGCTGAAGAATATTTAAGTGGTCAGATCCAATGGAGATGAACAGGACACATAAGCCATTATTTTCTTTCTTAAAACACTGCAAAGGTTTCTTATTTCATTTTAAAAAAGATCTCAGCTTCTCACCATAGTGTAATGGCCAACTTGGTGCTCTTTTATATGCTGAGGTTACCCACTGCAATGCTTTACTGAAGTGGGTTTTCTGCATGCACTCTTCCTCTAGACCATTACCTAGCATGCTCCTTCTCATCATTCAGGGTTCAGCTCTCATAACACTTTATCAGTGAAGCATCTCATACCTACCCTAATGAACTAGCATAGCCACCAATACTACACTGGCACACTCCTTTTTCATTCTACTTATCTTTTTTTTAAAGTCTTTATGATAATCTCAATATCTATTTATCTTATTTAAAATGGACTGAATCTTGCATGGAAGTGTAGGCCTCATGAGAAAAAAGAATTTAGTTCTGCATTATATCCCTAGCATTTTGAACAAAGCCTCGTATGTAGTAGCTGCCCTAAAAAATTATTGAACAGTTATTTTGATTATTTAATTCAATGTAGGACTTAACTCATTTTTTCAGTTTTCTTCATTTTTTGGTCATTGTTTCCCTAGCACACAATATGTATTTGAAATTTTGGAACAGATCATCTGAGTTCAAATAGCTCCATATTTATGAGCTATGAACTTTAGACAAGTTATCTGACCTCTTTTTGTAGTCCTTGCTTTATTGTTGTTGTATTTAAATGTGCTGACATATATATCATATATGATATATCGATGATATATATACATATATATCATATATGATATATCGATGATATATACATATATATCATATATGATATATCGATGATATATATCACATATGATATATCAATGATATATATACATATATATCACATGATAGATGATATATATACATATATATCACATGATAGATGATATATATACATATATATCACATGATAGATGATATATATACATATATATCACATGATAGATGATATATATACATATATATCACATGATAGATGATATATATACATATATATCACATATGATAGATGATATATATACATATATATCACATATGATAGATGATATATATACATATATATCACATATGATAGATGATACATATACATATATATCACATATGATAGATGATACATATACATATATATCACATATGATAGATGATACATATACATATATATCACATATGATAGATGATACATATACATATATATCACATATGATAGATGATACATATACATATATATCACATATGATAGATGATACATATACATATATATCACATATGATAGATGATACATATACATATATATCACATATGATAGATAGATGATACATATACATATATATCACATATGATAGATGATACATATACATATATATCACATATGATAGATGATACATATACATATATATCACATATGATAGATGATACATATACATATATATCACATATGATAGATGATACATATACATATATATCACATATGATAGATAGATGATACATATACATATATATCACATATGATAGATGATATATATACATATATATCACATATGATAGATGATACATATACATATATATCACATATGATAGATGATACATATACATATATATCACATATGATAGATGATACATATACATATATCACATATGATAGATGATACATATACATATATCACATATGATAGATGATACATATACATATATATCACATATGATATATAGATACATATACATATATATCACATATGTTATATAGATACATATACATATATATCACATATGATATATAGATACATATACATATATATCACATATGATATATAGATACATATACATATATATCACATATGATATATAGATGATACATACATATATATCACATATATAGATGATACATACATATATATCACATATATATAGATGATACATATACATATATATCACATATGATATATAGATGATACATATACATATATATCACATATGATATATAGATGATACATATACATATATATTACATATGACATATAGATGTATATATATACATATCATATATATGATACATATATGTATATATATACATATATATGTATATATGATATATATGTGTGTGTATATATATATATGATGATTCAGATAGTACCTGGCAAATAGTACTACACAAGTGTTAACCATTAGCTATTTTTTTCCAATAGACATTATTAAGGATTATATCCAAATATACCTTTTAGATCTAAAACTGAATTAAAACTTTGTTTAGGCCAGGCACAGTGACTGATGCCTATAATTCCAGCACTTTGAGAGGCCAAGATGGGAGAATTGCTTGAGGCCAGACATTTGCCACCAGCCTGGGCAGCATAGTGAGACCCTCGTTTTTACAAAAAAAAAAAAAATTCTTTCAATTAGCCAAGTATGGTGATGCTCCTCTGTAATCCCAGCTACTCCAGAGGCTGAGGCTGGATAATTGCTTAAGCTCAGGAGTTTGAGGCTGCAGTGAGCTATGATCACACCACTGGACTCCAGCCTGGGTGACAGTGAGATCTTGAATCTAAAAATAAATGAATAAATAAAATAATTTTTAAAACTTTGTTTAATGTTTCCAGAGTGGAAAGAGTAACTTAACAGCTTTAGAACCTGAATCAGGAATGTTCTACTTAGTAGCCTGTGACTAATTTCCCTTCTTGAAACTTCCTTTTTAATCCAAAATGGGGATAATAGTGCATATGATTTAGAGTTGTCTTGGAATAAATAAGAAGTATGTAAAACACATGGCATGTAGAAGTTGTATCCCACAGTATTGGTTTTTTTTGCCCCTCTCTCACTGCCATTAACTATTTGTATGATTTTAGAAAACTTACCCGAGGATCACATGAAATAATCGGAGTGAGGGAGAGGGTTCTTAAAATTGTTAATATGTCTTTCTAACTGAAAAGAAAAGAAAGCAGGGACACAGGGTCCTAATAAGTGAGGAAAATGTTTTTGAAAAGTCTTGATGCACATTTATATATTAAAATCTCTTGTAAGTCTGTGGGTAGAAAGCAAAAACAAAGAAACTAATGATTAACTTTTTCTTTAGGTTAATTTCACCCAACATAAATTCACAATGAAACAGCCTTTGGTCACTGCAAATCTACCAAGATCGTTGGAAACATTGGAGCTTTCTGCAAGATCTAAAACTCTTCCTGTTTTAGTTTCTGAAATTTCATAACTTTTCTTTTTCTATTAGTGCTATAAAGTTTATATCACTTTTAAACCGGTTAGGAGTCCAAGAGTTATAAAGCTTCATCCCAACACTTTCTACGTTTTGAGCATGATTCATTTTAGCTGTGTTCTTTCCTATTGCTGACACAGGCCTTCCTTCCTTATTACATTGTATCCTTTTTCATCCTACCTTCTAAACCCTTTTATGCTGTAGTTCTGTATCTCTACTTTCAAAAAATATTATCTTCTCATTTTCGATATTATACAGATCAAAATATGCAGGGAATATGGGCAATTCCATAACTGACATCCAAAGGGAAAGAAAAATGCTAATTATTTCTAATCATCCTATACTGGCATAAGAGAATTATAAAGAAAATTAAAAGATTTAAACATTTCAGAAACAAAAATGGCATATGAACTAGATTTTTTCCAGTTTTTTGCATGAATTATTTTTTCCTCATTACCAGTAGTTAAGGGGCATGCAAGTCCTCCTACAATAAGTTATATTAAGATCTTCTCAATCTGGTAATCAAATTATGCCAAATTTTGCAGTGGTCCATTTTATGTAAAAACATCATAATTAAATATCTCTTGCAATGTACATAGAAGAGTTTTTCTTGCCAATACATTGCAGAAAACTAGAATGGAGATAATTAGAGGAGGAGCTATTTAGTAAGAAACAACAACCAAAAAAAAAAAAAAAAATAGGATCTTAATCCATGAAATCAGTCTTAAAATCAAGTATAAATCTCACCCTAGAAAAATCTAATTTTTATCTGCTTTTTAAAATATCTCCATGGCTGCAATTGTTGGTAGTTTTTATAATCCTTGGACTCCTAACCAGCAAGAATATTCTTAGGAGTTGAGGAAAGGATAGGATACATCAAAACAAAGATGGTCAGATGCTATTAGTGGTCATTCTAATTCCGGCTGACCTATCTTGAAGGACAATTTGGCATTTCTTATTCCAAAGGCTACTTCATGTTAATTTTCATGGAACCAACCCATTCTGATCTCTTGAACCTTTCTTAATCAGCCATCCCCTCTATTTCTTCTACTCAGAACCTCTTCTTTTTCCCTGGAATTGACTTAAAATCCCTACTTGAATCGTTCTCATGAAACCCCATTTTACACTGCATTTTCTCCCACTGGCTGTATAAATAATCTAATAAGACATGTGTATGTAGTTTGTAAGAATATTATTAGCAGTGTTTCACTAATTCTGAGAAGTGTATATAATCATTTACCACATTTTACAGTAGAATCTTTGGGGTTCCGGTGAGAATGTGCACAAAAAAGTCCAGCTTTGTGGGCATCCAACCTGGGCATTGCATGAAGTCCTGTGTTCAGAAGGGCCTTGTGCTTAGTTTATGCTTAGTTTAGTGTCACTGCTTTGAAATTCTTAATAATCTTATCTTTGAACCTGTGTTTTATAAGTAAAGCCTGATGGTACAACACATTTGAGAAGAGGAGGTGCACACATTTTGGTATCCAAGCCATGCTTTGTCACACCATTGGCATATAGTTGTTCCAGTGCCCCACCAAGATCTCGAAATTCTGGTGGATCTATGATGCATGGGAATTCAGCAAGATTCAAAATGAGTAGAAATTAAGTATATCACATCCATGAAAGAGTAAGTGAAGAAAATGTCAGCCCCAAGAGGTCACACTGCCCATTGAAACAAGGATTTTCTTCAAGTGCAGAAAGAAAGCAATGGTATTCTAAGAACCATGGATGACAAATAAATCCTATCATACTCTATTTTTACTCATATTACCTCCCTCTATTAGCCAGACACGTATGTGGGCATTGATAGTGAGAAAAGGGAAATAGACCAATAACTCCATTTCCTTTCACCCTTTTCCTACTCCACAGTGAGTCACCGGTAGAAGGTTTTCATAGAATACACATGCGTTAAGAAGTAAAATGTAAACAGATGAATTTATTTTGTGCAGAATATCCACTATTGTGGTGAGAATAAAATATGTATGTATATATGAGCTACAAAATATAAATTATATAATTTTGGTGAGTCTGTATATTAAATGCTTTTATATTTGCATCTAAAACTGACATTTTTCATAATGATGAATGATAATTATGCTAATAATTTAAAATTTTAATTTTCCTATATGTAGAATAATAGATAATAACCATAACTACTTAAATCTTATTTATATTCTTTCATTTATATGTTTGAAATTATAGAAAACTTAAAGTATAATAATACCAGTATTATTACTAACAACAGGATTACTGAAAATAATTTTTTTCAGATTTCTTCTTAATCTTAGATTATAGATTAGGCATATATATATATATTTTTCAAATTAATGTATTTATAAGCACACACTTGAAATAATTTCTCTCTGGTTATGCCATCAACTCAATTAAGTCTATTTTGTATTGCTTTCAAAGTAATTATTTTAAAAATTTATAAATATTTGAAATATGATTATAAATGTAAATCTATAAAGAAAGATATATTCCAAGAAAACTATATTCTACATATATATGTATTTGTATATATGTGCATGTATATATGTGTGTATATAAATATACACACACGTTTATACACACATATCTATCTAGTACGAAGTTATATTTATGGAACATTCATTTGAGCAGAGCAAAGAGCAGAGCAACAAAAAGACTATCCACTTTTTTTTTGTTTTACTAGTGTACCTTAAGGATAGCCTCCTAGAAATGGAATGGCTCAGCTAAAGGTAGAAATATGTGTAATTTTTCTAGGCATTATCAAATTCCCTTCCATAGAAGTTGTGCCATTTTGCATTCCCGCTAGCAGTGTATGGCAGTGACTATTCCTCCCTATATTTGACAATAGAATGTGTTTTCAAACTATTAATCAATGTCTTTGCTCAAGAAAGTAGGGCAAATGAAATGAATGACAATTTATAGAACAAGAAAACTAAATGGAGAAATAAGTATTTAAGGAGCTGACCAATAATAAACAGAAAAATGGAGGTTACATACAAAACAGTACTTTTATCTCAGTTACATACAAAATGGTACTTTTATACATTAAACTCATCAGCAAAAATCTAAAATTATCACCATAACAAATATGTCAAAGTTATGGAGCTACAGAACCTTGTTGCCTTACATGTTGGTATTTTCCATTTATTTGTAGAACTATTGGTCTGATGTAGTAAAGTGAAGATGCCTGTAGCTTTAGAGACAGAATTTTTGTTTCTGGGCATATATTCTAGAGAAATCTTTTTTTTTTTTTTTTTTTTTTTTTTTTTTTGAGACGGAGTCTCGCTCTGTTGCCCAGGCTGGAGTGCAGTGGCTTGATCTCGGCTCACTGCAAGTTCACCCTCCCGGGTTCATGCCATTCTCCTGCCTCAGCCTCCCAAGTAGCTGGGACTACAGGGGCCTGCCACCAAGCCCGGCTAATTTTTTTGTGTTTTTAGTAGAGACGGGGTTTCAACCTGTTAGCCAGGATGGTCTCGATCTCCTGACCTTGTGATCCGCCCGCCTCAGCCTCCCAAAGTGCTGGGATTACAGGCGTGAGCCACCGCGCCCGGCCGAGAAATCTTTTTATATGTGTTCAAGGAGACATATATAAGATCATTGTTGCACCATTGATTGCAATAGGAAAAAATTATTAATAACTTAAATGTTTACTAGAAATATAAATAGTTGTAGATTCATAGGATTAAATGTCATGTAACAACACAGTGAATGAGCTAGAGTTCTAAGAATCAAATTGATAAATTATAAAATCTTAATTTAGTGCAAAAATAAGAGAAAATTGCAGATCAATACCTACACCATTTACATAACATTTGATAATATAGAAATAATATAATGCATATATTCTTTATTTAAAGTACATAGGTTACATATGGTAAAAGATATATGTGTATACATACAGAATGTAATATATATTCCTGAAATTATATAAATATAGAAGCAATAAAATATAAAATGTGCATATTTTATAGTTAAAAGAAAAGCACATAAAGTAAACATGTAAGAATACAGAATAATTAACAGTAAATTTAGGCTAGGCATTATCTTTAGGCAGGGACAGTTAATATGACTAAATGATATTCTGTTTAAAAATATAATATTTTAAGCTGAAAGATGCATATGTTAGTATTTATTATACTATTCTCCATACTTTTCTGTGTGCTTGAAGTATTTCATAATTACACAAATAAATCTACATGAATGCACACATACAATTATATAACCATTAAGTAGATATCAGATATTTAATAGTCTCAGGGCTTTTTATCACACTGAAAAATTGGGAAGAATTTTAAAAATTCAAGTTTGAAAAATAACACCTTTTTTTCAACATAGGAAGGCCTTGATCCAATAGAATTCAATCAAACTGAATCCTGAACTAGTGAAAAATTATTTGGCTTATCTTAAACTTTAGAAGAACGTTATAAAATATAGGAAAAGGTGTGTGTGTGTGTGTGTGTATGTGTGTGTGTGTGTTTCATAGAAATTTTAAGCTTCCTGTCTCCGTCTTGGAGTGAGTCAAATTTGTGTTAATCTTTATATCTACCTTTCCAGGACAATACAATATTGAGAACTTAGTTTCAGAATGAGATCCCCTCCAGGTGCTATCAGATACTCAATTATCAGCGAGATTCAATTATCGTTACCCATGTTTTACTAATATTAAAGTAGTAAATGAACTAATGCATTTGAGAAAGAAAAGAATTTTGACAACATTTTAAAGGAGTAGAATTCACTTGTAAAATGTAGTTGTTAAAAAAATACAATTAACCAGAACCAATTCTGGTTGATCAGAGAGTTAGTTACTACAATGGAATTAAATTCTATTATGTCTAAATTCGTTTCTCCATGAAAGAAGCCTACAGAATTTTTAATAAAGGGACCTTATATAAAACGTAAATCATGGCTGGGCATGGTGGCCTGCTCCTGTAGTCCTCATCTACTGGGAAGGCTAAGGCAAGAGGATCCCTTGAATGCAGGAACTCAAGGCTGCCTTTAGCTATGATCATGTTACCACATTGTAGCCTGGGCAACAGGGTGAGACCCTCTCTCTAAAAAACTAAATTTTGTTTTAAAGAAGGTACACTGAGAGTTCTGAGCTAAAATTTCTTGTAGAATGAAATAAGGGTGAATAATATGCATTGGCATATAATTAAGGTGCCTAATTGTATAATGTAATGAGACATTCAAAGAAAAGGATAAATCTCCGAGAATGAGAAGAACTACAATAAAATTTATAAGGGAATTTTAGATTCTCAAGATTACAAGAGTCTTCAAAAGTCCAGTCAATGTATTTTGAAGTTGGCTGTGCATAAGAGCTATCTTAGGTTGGTTTGTTGTTAGTTTTTATGAAACACAGATTTCTAGATGTCTTTGCTCCTTTAAATATTCTGATTCTAATTTATTAGGGCAAATTTCACCACCCTTCAATTCAGTGCTCACCTTCTCCAGATTTCATGCTGTTGGCTCCCCAATTGCTTTAAAATCTGAAACGTGTTTCAAAGGCTATTTTTTGACCACTGTCAAACAAAATATAATGCACCTTGTTGAATTATGTAGAGAGATTCTCTGAAAAAGGATCCGATATTTAGTTTCTACTAAATTTTCACCATGTTTATTTTCACAACAGTAAAAAAAAATGTAAAAAGGATAAGAAAAAAAAATTCCAGATAATTAGAACAACAAAAGAGAGGCACTCATCCATTCATTCACAGCAAATTTATTAAGCACCTACTATTTATCAGGAACTAGAGATGCTATGGCTTTTTTTCTTAACACTGGGTAAAATAGCGTAAAAGTTAGGATTCTTTCAGAGTAAGCTGCAAGTGTTGAACTGCAGTTACAAAATTATTTATTGGTAAAACCAAGTCCTAGGTAATGGAAAACAGCTACATTTTATTAAGCAAACAAGCCTAGACTTGTATTGTTAGAAGGAATTAAAACTGATTTGATTGAGAAAAGCCAAATGCTATTGAAGTTATAAGAATAATGTAATTTTGTGCATCTTAAAATTTAAAAAGCCAATTTAGGACATTGCCATCTTGCTTTATTTATTTATTTTTTATTATTAGCATGATGGTTCATTTCACTTTGAGATTTTGCACCACTAAGTTATTTTAAAATCCTTATATATTTTTATTTTAACAAATTTAATATTTAGTTTTAAATGCAATTTAAAAAATTATAGTTGGTATATATTTATGTGGTACAAAGTGATGTGATTCTTGAATACAATGTGGAATAATTAAATCAAGTTAATTAATATGTTTATCACTTCAAATAGATATCATTTTTTGTGGTGTATTCTCAGTGATTTTGAAATGCACAATGCAGTACTATTTACTATATCTACCACAGTATGCAATGGATTTCAAAGTAAACAAACAACTTCCTCCTATTTGAGGCATTGTACCCTTTGACAATTATCTCCCTAAGCCCCTCATTTCTCTCTACCCTCAGCCACTGGTGACCACCATTCTACTTTCTGCCTCTTTGAGTTCAATTTTTTTAGGTTCCACATATAAGAAAAACATTGTGCTTGCCTCTCTATCTCTGGCTTCTTTCACTTAGTATAATGTTCTCCAATTCCATTTACTTTGTTGCAAATGACAAAATTTCCTTCTTCTGTAAGGCTGAATAGTATTCCATTGTGTATATATTTCTCATTTTCTCTATCCATTTATTTGCTGATGGATAGTAAGATTGATTCCATAACTTTGCTATTGTGAATAGTGTGTCAATAAACATCAGAGTGCAAGCATCTGTTTAACATACTGATCTCAAATCCTTTGAGTAAATACCTAGAAGTTGAACTGCTGGATTATATGGTGATTTTATTTTTACTTGTTGAATAACCTTCATAAGGTTTTTCATAATGGCTATACTAATTTACTTTTCCACCAACAGTATACATTTTTCCTTTTCTCCACATTCTCACCAACACTTATTATCTTTTGTATTTTTGATAACAGCCATTCTGACAGGTGTGATTTAATACCTTATTGTGTTTTTAATTTTCTTATCTCTAATGATTAGTGATACTGAGCATTTTTTAATATATCAGTTGGCTATTTGTATCTCTTCTTTTGAGAAAAGTCTATTCAGGCCTCTTGCCTATTTCATAATTGGATTATTTGTTTTCTTTCTATAGAAAAGAGAGAAAATAGAATTGTTGAGTGTTTTATATATTTTGGATGTTAATCCCATATCAGATGCATGGCTTGCCAAAATTTTCTTCTAATCCTTAGGTTATATCTAAATTCTATTAATTGTTTTGTCTGTTGTGGGGAAGCTTTTTATTTAATGTAATCACATTCATCTATTTTTGCTTTTGTTGTCTGCAACAAATCAAAAAAATTACTGCCCAGACTAATACTGTGTAGTTTTTCCCCTATGGTTTCTTTTTGGTATTTTACAATTCCAGGTGTTATGTTTAGTCCATTTTTAGTTGATTTTTGTATACGGTGTGAGATAAGGGTCCAATTTCATTCTTCTACATATGGATATCTAGTTTTCTAAACACTATTTATTAAATAAACTGTCCAATTGCCAATGTATACTTGTCACTTTTGTCAAAAGTCAATTGACTATACATGTGTGGGCTCATTACTGGGCTCTCCATCCTGTTCCGTTGAAAGATGAGTGTAGGTTTATGTCAGTACAATGCTGTTTTAATTACTATCGCTTAGCAATATAGTTTGAAATCAGGTAGTGTAATACCTCCAGATTTGGTCTTTTTGCTCATGATTGCCTTGTCTATTTGATTTTTTTTATGATTTTCTGCAAATTTTAGGATTATTTTATTCTATTTCTATGAAAAATAACATTGGAATTTTGATAATGATTACAAGGAATCTGCAGATTATTTGGGGTAGTAAGGACAGGTTTGCAACATTAATTCTTCCAATCCATGAACACTGGATATTTTTCCACTTATTGCATCTTTGTTAATATTTTTAATTAATATTTTATAGTTTTCAATGTACAGGTCTTTCACCTTTTTGGTTAATTTTTTTCTTAAGTATATATTTTTTAGCTATTGTCCTTGGAATCTTTTCCTTTTCTGGATAGTTTATTGTTAGTCTACAGGAGTGCTACTAATTTTTATGTGTTGATTTTGTGTCCTACACCTTTACAGTATTCATTTATTAGTTCTAACAGTTTTTTTTTTTTGATGTGAAATCTTTAAGGTTTCCTATATATAAGATTATGTCATCAGCAGTGACAATTTCACTTTTATCTTTCCTACTTTCATGCCTTTTATTTATTTATTTATTCCCCTTGATTGCTCTGGCAAGGACTTCCAATACTATGTTGAATAGAAGTGGTGAGACAAAGCATTCTTGTCTTGTTCTGGATCTTAGAGGAAAGGATTTCCATTTTTCACCACTGTGTATTATACTAGCTGTGAGCCTATCATTTATGGCCTTTGTTGTGCTGAATTACATTCCTTGTATACATAATTTGTTGAATTTTTAAAAAAATCATAAGAGGATTTTAATTTTGTACAGTGCTTTTTCAACGTCTAATCAAATGATCACATGGTTTTTGTCTTTCTTTCTTTCTTTCTTTCTTTTTTTTGAGATGGAGTCTTGCTCTGTCACCCAGGCTAGAGTGTAGTGGTGCAATCTCGCTCACTGCAAGCTCCGCCTCCCAGGTTCACGCCATTCTCCCAAGTAGCTGGGACTACAGGCGCCCGCCACCAAGCCCAGCTAATTTTTTGTATTTTTAGTAGATACAGGGTTTCACCGTGTTAGCCGGGATGGTCTCGATCTCCTGACCTCGTGATCCACCCGCCTCGGCCTCCCAAAGTGCTAGGATTACAGGCGTGAGCCACTGCACCCAGCCGGTTTTTGTCTTTCATTCTGTTAATGTGATGTATCTGTTAATGTCCTTCACTCTATTTTTTTTTTTTTTTTTTTTTTTTTGAGATGGAGTCTGGCTCTGTCACCCAGGCTGGAATGCAGTGGCGCGATCTCAGTTCACTGCAAGCTCCGCCTCCAGGGTTCACGCCATTCTCCTGCCTCAGCCGCCCGAGTAGCTGGGACTACAGGCATCCGCCACCATGCCCGGCTAATTTTTTGTATTTTTTTCATAGAGAGGATTTCACCGTGTTAGCCAGGATGGTCTCGATCTCCTGACCTCGTGATCCGCCCGCCTCAGCCTCCCAAAGTGCTGAGATTACAGGCGTGAGCCACTGCACCCAGCCATCCTTTACTCTTCTAATGTGATTGATCTGCATATATTGAACAATACTTCTATCCCAGGGATGAATCTTACTTAATCATGGTGAACACTGTTGTTTTAATGTGTTATTGAAATTGTCTTTGCTAACATTCTGTTGAGGACTTTTGCATCTATTTCTAACAATGATCTTGGCCTGTAGTTTTCTTTTCTTGTTCTCTTCTTGTCTGGCTTTTGTAGTATCAGTGTGATGCCGGCTTCCTAAAGAGATTTTGGAAGTATTCCCACCTCTTCAATTTTTTCAGAATTTGTGAAGGAATTATACTAGTTCTTTAAATGTTTGGTAAGAATTCATGAGTGAAACCATCAGACTCTTGGCGTTTCTTTGATGGGAGACTTTAAATTACTGATTCAATCTCCTTACATATTGTTGGTCTGTTCAGATTTTCTATTTCTTCATGATGCAGTCTTTGTAGGTTGTATTGGTCTAGAAATGTATCCGTTTCTTCCAGGTTATCCAATTTGGGGGCCTATAATTGTTCATAATAGTATCTTATACTTTGTATTTCTGTGGTATAAGTTTCAATGTCTCTGCTTTCATTTCTGATTTTACTTGAGTCTTAACTCTTTTTGCCCATTAGTCCAGTTAAAAGTTTATCTTAAAAAAAAAAAAAAAACTTTAGTTCCATTGATCTTTTGTATTATATTTCTGCTCTAATCATTATTATTTTTTTCCTTCTGCTGATTTTAGGCTTAGTTTGTTCTTCACTTTTATATTTCCTTGAGGCATAACATCAAGTTGTTTATTCTTCTTTTTGATGTAGGCATTTATTGCTATAAACTTTCCTCTTAGAAGCTTTTGCTGCATCTCATAAGTTTGAATATGTTGTGTTTCCACTTTTGTTTTTCTCGAAATATTTTCTAATTTGTCTTTTATTATTTTTTGTTTACCCATTTATCAGGAGCTTTTTAAAAATTTCCATGTATTTTTGAATTTTCCTAGCTTCTTACTGTTATTGATTTCTAGTTTCATACCACTGTGGTCAGAGAAGGTACTTGATACAATTAGATTGACCAAGACTTGACTTGTGGATGAACATATAATCTATCCTGGAGAATATTCCCCATGTGCTTGAGAAGAATGTGTATTCTGTTGATTGATGGAATGTTCCATTTATGTCTGTTAGGCCTGTTGTTCAAGTTGAATTTTACTTATTAATTTTCTGTTTGGGTGGTCTGTCCATTTTTGAAAGTGGGGTATTGAAGTTTCCTACTGTTACTGTAATATATCCTCTTTTCAGATCCTCTAATATTTGCTTTCTATATTTAGGTGCTCTGGTGTTGATGCATATACATTTATAATCATTATAACCTTTTGAGGAATTGACCCCTTTGTCATTATATGATTTCCTTCTTTGTCTCTTTTTACAGCTTTGACTTAAGGTTTATTTTGTCTGAAATAAGTGTAAGAGTTAAAAAAGAGGAAAGAAACATGAAAAGTGATTCAATAGTCAAAGACAGGTTTATTTGGGGGAATAAACCTGAGAGGGGCTTCTGGCTGACTTCAGTCAGGAGCCCTCTCTCTTACAGACTAAGAGTATATATTGGTTTTAGGGTGAGGGGGGCTTATGGTAAGCTTGGAATGTTTCTGTGTTGGGGAGAAGTTTATAGCAGGGTTAGAGTATCTCTGGGCAGAGGGGAGGTTATCTTGGGGCTGACATCTTTTCGGCTGGAAGGGAGGTTATCTCAGGGCTGGCATGTCTCTGGTAGGGGGTGTTATTTGTGATTTGTGGTCATGCTGACCTTAGCCATTAGGCTGATGCCCTTTGGATTTAGGCAGTTTTTCTCAAGTTTTTCTCTAAAATGGCAGTACTTGTCCAAGATGGTGATGCTCCTGCTGTGTCAATAAGGACAGCTACTTGTACTCTCTTTTGGTTTCCCTTTGCATGGAATATATTTTTCCATCTTTTTAGTTTTTATTTATGTGTATCCTTAAAAGAGAGGTGACTTTCTTGTAGACAATACAGAGTTGGGTTTTATTTTTTTATATACATTCAGTTTGCCTTTGTCTTTTTAATGCAAAATGTATTACATTTACATTCAAAGTACTCTTGATCCTTATTTGATCAAGAGTACTTTGTAGTCAGTAAGGACTTATTACTTATCAAATAAGGATCAAGAGTACTTTGTAGTAAGTAAGGACTTACTACTCACATTTTTAAATTGTTTCTTTGTTGGTTGGTCAATATTTAAATTTTTTCTTGCTCTCTTCCTTTGTGATTGATGATTTTCTGTAGTGGTATGCTTTAAATACTTTCTATTTTGTTTAGTGCCTCTACTATAGATTTTTGCTTTGTGGTTACCATGAGGTTTACATATCACATCTGATACGTATAACAATCTATTCCAAGCTGACACTAACTCAACTTTAATTGTATACAACTATATGCTTTTATTTCTCACTCCAACATTGTATGCCTTTGATTTTAGAATTTACAATTTATTTTAGCTGTAGTTATCATTAATAGTTCTTTTAACTCTTTTACTAGAACTAAAATTGTTTTACACATCACCATTACAGTCCTAGAATACAGAAAGTTCCCAACTTAACAATGGTTTGACTTACAATTTTTTGACTCTTTGGGTTTATTGAGACATAACCCAACATAATTCAAGAGCTCATTATGACTTATGATGAAGATATGGTTTATATTGAATGTGTATCACTTTTGCACTATTATAAAGTTGAAAGTCTTTGTAATCTTGTGTCTTTGCATTGGTGTCTGTGCGCTTGAGGAGACCGCCAACTTTTTTTGCTTTTACTGGTGTTTTTTTGTTTGTTTTGTTTTGTTTTGTTTTGTTTTAAGGTCAGCGGTAGACCTTCATTATTTAGTGATTCTGGATGGGCCAGCTGATAGCAAATCTTGGCAGGCAAAACTTGCTTTCAGATTCTCTAGATAGCTGAACTGCTAAGTTTGGGTGGGGCAGCTTGCTGGACTCTGCAGTCATGCTGAGCTGCTAGATAGGCACTGCAATCACTGCATATCAGGTTGGGCCACAGGGTGTATTTCCTGGCCAGATGGTACCACTATTTGAGTTCAGCGATTGGATAGGGTTGCAGGAGGGATTCCACGGTAAGGTAGAGTTGCTGATTGGGATGGACAGGACCAGATGCTTTGCTCAGTAGAAATGCATGGTTGAGGTTTACCCCTCTTCCTATAAAGAACCTTGAGGCAGGTTTGAGGCTGAGCTGAGTACTGTTTAAATTCCTAGATGTCGTGCCACTAGCTTGTGCTCTTTGCCGTAATCTGCTGTGACAGTTGCTCTCTCCCTGGGAGAGGTCTGAGTGTGGGTTTTGAGATGATACTGAGTGCTGTTAAATTCTCAGGTGTAACTAACTAGGCCCTGCTCTTTCCCATACTTTGCTGTTGTGTTTGTTTCCCTTCCTGGGCACGGCCCTGGGGCAGGGTCGGACGCTTGTCCTGGAAACTAGCTGTCTAGGGATTCAAGCCAGGTAGAACTTCCCTCCTCTTCTGGAAGCAACCAACTCAGCTTTGTGTGTCGGCTATGCTGTTAGTTGATACCTCTGATTGGGTGCCACTGCTGGCAAGTACACACAGCTGCCACCAAGATCTCCATGCTGGTTGCTGCGCTTTCCACCTTTCTGCTTTGTTTCTACCTCACTCCCAGATCGTCTAACCATGCCATTTCCCTATGCATTTCCTTTAAGGTGAGATGGGAATGGGCTTCCTGGAAAGCAACTCAGAATGCTAAAGGAATCTGTGTGTTTGCTTCTGGTTCTTTCTTTCTGTAGAAACCATGAACCCTGGAAAATTCTCTCTACGGCACTATGCAGACTTGGAAAAGGAAGAGGGGTACACAGTCAGAGTGAGACTGTTTCTCCTATCGGTTTCATGTGATTTTTATTCCATTCTGTGGACCACAGAACAGACTCAAGTTTATTTGCAATTTTGGAGGTTTTTACCAAGGTATTCTTATCTGTGGATAATTGTTGGTTAAACTTTGTGGCATGAGAGTGAAGCCTGGAATTTTCTATTTTGCTATCTTCATATCACTGCCATCTTCCTTTAATTATATATTTTGTAAAGGCTTTTTGGCACACTATATGTCTATTGGAGAGGGGAAAATTGAAATTTTTAAATTTATTTTATTTCAATTTAGGGTAAAATTGCTGCCTTAAAAGATTCTAGAAAAATAACAAAATAACTAATGAATGCCGAATAATATTTGAATATTTTAAAGTACTACTAAAATTGTTTTGTGGCATTTCAATAGTGCAATGTATAATAGAATATGTAGGAAAATATAAGATGCTTCCAAAATAAAAATCTTCTGTGAGGAATGAGATATGTTGAGCCTACTCCCTATTATTCTGAATACATAAATTCATGATATCAACTTCCCCCCTTCTCTTTGGAAACTCTGATCTGCCTTTGAAGTCCACTTGAGGGCAAACTTGTTCCTTGTCTTACCTTTGCACACTAAAACAAAAAATTCATTATAGATTTGATTTAGCTCATATTGAAAGAGATGCATCACCTTTTGAAATGGATTAATCTTTCAATAAAAAGACCAATCACTTTCAGAATGAGATATAGTTCAGTCTCTATTAAATGAAATACATTATTCACTTAGTAATATCTATCACTTGTTAATTAAGATACTACATTTATGCCCTAGGCTCAGATCATATATATTATCTATTAAATATATCAATATTGGATAAAACAAAATAATGTTAAATGAATGTTTCAATAAACAACATTATTAAAAAATATTAGCATTTTAGTAATTTTCAATTTTAGTTTCCTCAAGGAAAGTGAGCTGCTTAGGTTTCATTTATTTACTTAACTTTTTTTATTTTTTGAAGATAGAAAAATAATACAACAATGATTTTCTTGAAAACTTGCTGGAACCATGATTCCCAGTTGTTATTCTTGACAAAGAGTAAATTATTATAAATGAGTTTGACTTAAAATAACACAATTTTTTTTAATATCCTTATTAGAATTTGAAGACATTTTATATATAAAGCAGCGGGAAAATTAACTGCTCTTCTCGGTGCCATAAAATTAGAAAAGCATTTTCTATGTTTGTTGTTTTTGTATGAACTTTTTGGTGCTTTCTTTATATGTAATCTGGCGTCCTAGCTCCCCATAATATATGTTTAACAAGTTATGTACTAAATAAAAAATGTTACACTAACTAATTAATCTGGATAAAGGACACTTAGCTTTTGCAACCTTAGTGTTGTAAATTAGTCAGTAAATACTCAGTTTTCCATGGCTATCTAGATTTTAGGCAAAAACAAATGGTTTGCTTAAGCCAGATTTTCAGATTACATGCAGCAAACTTTGAAAGGCTAAGTGTCCTTTATCCAGATTTAAACTAATATTGAAATTATGACAAACTCAGGATTTAAATCATTCCCTATTTTTCGGTCTTTTCTTTTTTGACATTCAGTGTTGTATTAATATTTTTGTAAAAAGTCCTGAGTTTACATCCTTTCTGAGAATTTCTCAATCACTGCAAATCTTAGCTGTCCTCCAAAAGGGCCACACCCAAATAATTTACAGGAGCTCAAGTAAAACTGAACTCAAAGGCACCTGTGTTTGAAGAATCCCACAGGGACATTACTCACAGAGGTGGAGGAAACAGAAAACCATTTATTTTCATAAAAATCACAAATCTTTTCCAATAGAACTCTGTGAGGCAAACTTCAGATTTGCATTTCTAAATGCGCATGTCCTTTCTCAACCTGGCAGCACTAACAAACACCTCTAATAGCCCATTTTAACACCACTTCAAATATTTTTCAAACTCTATTTTTTGTTCCAGGTTGATTTGGAGACTCCTTGGCATTTCTCAAGACCTCTGAAGTTTTCTATTCTCTTCCTTTGTGTTTGCTCCCTCTCTACTAGGATAAATTGGCTTTGTTGAGTCTTTTTTCACTCACCTCCAAATTTGCATCTCTGTCAGGATTCTCTCAAATTCTGGTGGCCTAATGAGTTCTTTTCTAAACCCTGCTTTGCTTCAAAACTGCCTCAAATCACATGTTTTTTCTCTCTCTTCGTTTTTCTCTTCGTATTTTGTTATTAAAAAAAACTCTTTTTAAATAGATGTGTGTTTCTACCTTGCTTGCATTCTATATTCTTTATCTGTAAATTTTACAATTTATAGAAAACATCATTTTCCCCCCTCAGCTTCTCGGTTTAATCAACAGAGCAATTTTACATGTATGTTTTTATCATTTATACTATTTTTCTTGTAGTTTTTCAGAAACACTTATTATTCTCTTATGGTCATGTAAATATGAGTTAACCAGAATAACCTAAAAAGCAATTGTACTTTTTCTAGGATTTATTTTAAATGCACAATTATAGATTACACAAAATATGGTTAAAAATTAAAGAACTGATATTTGTGGATGGTTGGTTGAGTAGGGCTTGTTATATTACAATCTCTAAATATGTGGACAGGCACAGTGTTATAAATTAGTCAGTAAATACTTAGTTTTCTATGGATTTCTAGATTTTAGGCAAAAATAAATGGTTTGCCTAAACCAGATTAGAAGTTATGACTCATATAAAAGTTACAAACGAAATTGTGGAATTTACTAGTTATATATAGTCTAATATTCCTTTTAAAATTTCTCCATTTGTCCCAACTTACCTTTCAGACAATCTTCTGAAATTCTGCTTCTATATATATATATATATGTGAAATTTACCACCAATGCCCTGATTAGAGAGGTTTCCTATCTTCCATTAATGCAAACACCCCAGAATATCCTTCCTCACATCAATAACCATCAACGCGACTAGCTCCTTTTATCTTGTCCTAAGGAAAATAATTTCATAATGAAAAAATTACATTTTCTACTTTTTATAGTATTTTTGCAAGGTTTTGCTTTCTATAAAGATAAAAAATAGACAATTAAGGATGCTAAAGAAAGAAACATCAGCAAAGGCAAATATGCCTCAAGGGAAAATGAAAACACCTCTGAATTTTAGATTAGAAGTCACTGGTGACAATTTGTAGTGTAAATTCTATAAAGTGGTGGCAGGAGCAGTCCCATTGGAAAAGGTTAGGCAAGAGTAAGTGGCACAGAAATGGAAGAAACAGGAACAGCAGGTTAGAAAAAGGCACATTGTTTCTTCTTTTTTTTCTTAAATTTTTAATTAATAAAGGAAATGGCTTGTTGGGAAATAAAATGAAAAATGATTGTAGAGGAAAGTAATGGCAATTATCTGTTAAATATTATATTAAGGGAGACAATCACCATTCAAGCATAACTGAAATATGTTTTTCAGAAAGAGGACTAGAAATAATGAAAGAATATGGTTACTGTTGATTTAGAGTAAAATAAACAAAATTTTGCTAGAAAAATATACTTATTCATTTACTCATTTGTTCATTCATTGACCCAACAGGCATGTATTCATGTATTAGGATACCTGAAATTTCTACACATTAGAAAAGGAAAAATGAATAAAATGTAGTTTTGGCCTTCAAGTTAGCATATCTTTGAAAGGAGAAAAGCATGTAGGTAAAGAAGTGGTGAATGTGCTAAAGAATTTAGCAAACTTATAAACAAAGTATGTTAATGACGATAATCACCATGTAGAGTGAGAGGTTGGAAACATCAGGCATATCTTTGCAAAATAAATTATCTTAATTTATGAGTAGGATGGGTACCTAGTAAACAGGTAGAATGAACACCCCTTTACTAGACAGAAAGTATAAAAATGCCTAGGGAACAGTATGAGGAAAAGGTAGAAATAAAGCAACTTTATCTATTTATGAACAGTTTCATGAAACTTACTCTAATCACTTTGGAATCCAGAGTGGTTGATAGAGTAGTACGAACTTATAAATGTAAACAGCATCATTTGATGTTTTCTTTCTACCTGATTACCCTCCCTTATTCCTATTAAAAACAGTGAAAACAGTAACTGATTATAACAGTTAATCTTAATTGTTACTGCTTGTTATGGCTATGCTTAGTACTTTTAATCTATTAATTTGTTTGATCTTTAAAACAACCCTATTGTGTGGGAATTATTTACTTCAGTTTATAGATGACAGAGCAGGACTTGAAGGCTTTAAGTAATTTACCTGAAATTTTGAGCTAGTGAATGAGAGACAGGTGGAAATCCAAAACTTTCTAGCTATCACAAAATTTTGTCTCTGTTAATATAACTTGTTTCTTTTAATGTCAATAAAGAATTTTATATTAGAAAATCAGCTTAATATGCTCCTAAGTACAATGTCGAGAAAAAGTAAACCAAGTCTACATTTTACATGCCATAAGGAAGAGCAAGTATTTTTCCTTTACTATATTTTCTAATTATAATAGTTATACATATTAGTTGTAAAATTTTAAATAATGAACTACACACATAACACATTTGTGAATATGTGTATTTGTGTTTGTGTGTGTGCATGTGTGTGTATAAACATGTTATATACCAAGGACCCTGTGAATAAATAATTATTTCATAAGCAAGGGTTTAAAGTGTATGAATAGTCTGAAAATTTCAACCTTAGATTCATGTCCATATGCAGATACATGATAATTAGAAGCTGTTCTTTACATTCTTTATGAGGATTAAAACAAAAGCAAGGTTTTAGCAACATCATAATCATCTAGGAAGCATCGGAACTTAGAATCGTCTCAGAGAAAAACGATTTATTTAAATTTCTCAGCAGCTAGAAGTATCTGCTTAGCATGTTAAGAATGCAGACCGTGTCAGGGAATTAGAAAAATGACTTGTTATGTCAATGAATCTCAGAGCACTGGATTGGCTAGAGCAATGCTAGTCTTAGAAACTTGTTCAGTTTCTCTCCAGTGCAACACCATTAAATTTAATTACAAAGAAAAACTTATTTTTGTTATACAAATAATATCCCCATGTAGCCTAATTTAAACTAATTGCCTACATAGTTTTCATTCCAAGGGGAAAACTAAAGTAAAATAAGTGCTGACTTATTGAAAATGTCTTTAATTATATTATCACATTGAATTCTGCTTTGACCCTTCTTCAAAAGTTACTTTTAAAATAAAAAATGTTACCGTAAATTGTAGCATACCTGCAATTTGTAGAGCTTCAATCATGCCTGACCTACTTTACCAGTTTTTTTTTTCTTTCTAACATAGAAAATACCTTTCTGCAGAAAAATCTCCAAGTGTCTACAATAGGACATGAATAGCTATGCTATTTTTCTTCATTATCATTTCTTGTTATTTTATTTTTTGTTGTGAGGAGAAAAACCTACCTATGAATCTGGAGGTGACAGAATAACCAGTATCTGGCCTTGGGGATGAAGGGATTTTTGCATACAAGCCTGCCTAAGGACTAGACAGTGTCAAATGTACCTTCTATAGAAACCTGTGGTGTAGCAACACCAGAACGAAGGGCTGGGCTCCTGATTCCTCTCACAGCATGGAAGAAATAAGATTTTTAATTGGATTCAATGATGGCCTCACCAGAGCCTTGTCACTAGCTTTATAAGGAGATAGTTCTTAAGCGACATCAGTCAAGCAGGCTAGAGGGCATCCTAACCCATCATTAACTCAAATCTTGATGACTGGCTAGAAGAAGCACTCCTGAGACATCAATAGAATAGAAAAACAATGCTGCCTGCACAGACAGCTATAATGTCAGACATTCCGTTGACTTCTTTCTCAATTTCCTTTTTAATTCTGGAGTGGACGAGAGGACCCAAATTTTCTCACTCTTGATCCTCATGCAAGAAATATAGCTTCTTTGAAAGGTAATTATTTAAGGACATGCATAGTAATGTAGCATACTTTAGACTCCCCAGAATTGTTATTTCTCCAGCTCTATATTGGAAATATACAAGAAGATGAAGTTCTTAGGAGACTGGGGAGGACTCTGGGTAGTGCTTCTTCAGCTTCAGCTCTATTTCGCAATGCACCTCCCACCCTGCTTTTAAAAAGTCATGTTACAGTTTAAGGTTTGTTTCATCAAAATACCATGAAGTTCAGAACTGTCAGAGATTATGTTCTCATAAGCTACTCTTTGCTATCTGCTTTCTGAAAATCTAATTTTTTTGTCTAACAGAGAAAAAGAAGTTTTTCAAATTTTAAGTGGTAACAAAGTTTCTCAACCTCAGCAATAATAACATTTTGGGTGAGACAATTCTTTGTTGTAAAGGGGTTGTATTGTGTATGGTAGGATGTATAGCAGCATCCCTGGCTTCCAACTGCTAGTTGCCAGTAGTATCCCCCTTCTCCAGCTGTGCAACCAAAAAAAGTCTTTATACAGTGCCACATGTCCCCTGGAGGGTAAATTTGTCCCCATTTGAGAAGCATGGAAATAAAACCAACTACTTTTTTTTTCCATATTTCAAGTTACTTAGTTCTAGCATGTGGAAAGGTCAAGTCGATTAGATCTTCAACATAAACATCCCTTACCAGCACTCTTAACCTGAATGCTCTATTTGAAAAGAAGAGAATGATTCAATTAAGCACAGTGAAGAATTTGTACTTAGTAGACTGTGTGTAAGAAGAGGAATAAATCAACCCATAGACAATGATCATGAGAAGGCAACAAACATAATGTCCTCTGAATAGTCTTCTCCCTGAATTTGATAAGGCATTCACAAAATTCTACAGTGGGACACCAAATAGGTGCTATTGAGCGGTGAAGCCGGCTGGGCTTCTGGGTCAGGTGGGGACTTGGAGAAATTTTCCGTCTAGCTAAAGGATTGTAAATGCACCAATCAGTGCTCTGTGTCTACCTAATCGGGTGGGTACTTGGAGAACTTTTCTGTCTAGCTAAAGGATTGTAAATGCACCAATCAGTGCTCTGTGTCTAGCTAAAAGTTTATAAACACACCAATCAGCACTCTGTAAAATGGACCAATCAGTGCTCTGTAAAATGGATCAATCAGCAGGATGTGGGAGGGGCCAAATAAGGGAATAAAAGCTGGCCACCCAGGCCAGCAGTGGCAACCTGCTCAGGTCCTCTTCCATACTGTGGAAGCTTTGTACTTTTGCTCTTCACAATAAATCTTGCTGCTGGTCACTCTTTCGGTCCACACTACCTTTATGAGCTATAACACTCACTGCCAAGGTCTGGGGCTTCCCTCCTGAAGTCAGTGAGACCGCAAACCCACCGGGAGGAACAAACAACTCCAGACGTGCCACCTAAGAGCTGTAACAGTCACTGCGAAGGTCTGCGGCTTCACTCCTCAAGTCAGGGAGACCATGAACCCACCGGGAGGAACAAACAACTCGGACGCGCCACCTTTAAGAGCTGTAACACTCACTGAGAGTGTCTGCGGCTTCACTCCTGAAGTCAAGGCGAGACCACAAACCCACCGGAAGGAAGAAACTCCAGACACATCTGGACATCTGAAGAAACAAACTCTGGACACACCGTCTTTAAGAACTAACACTCACCGCGAGGGTCTGTGGCTTCATTCTTGAAGTTAGCAAGACCAAGAACCCACCGGAAGGAACCAATTCCGGACACACTAGGAGACCTCAGTCACTCAGGTGTTTAGAGCACTGCAGAGCTCAAATCACACAGATAAATGATGGTCTCTAGATGAATGGGCACACTTAAAGAGTTGCTTCCTTACTATATTTGAAAATTTAAAGCACTATGAGAGGGGAACAAAACCTGAAATAGACATTTCCCTTGCGAAAATGAGACAGAAAAATACAAATTATATATATTTTCAATATATAATAATACTGTCTTATCTTTTATGCTTGAAGAGGTAAATGTGAAAGACAAACAGAAGTCTAAAAAATTATCTGAACTGATAAGAATTTTTAAGAATCTAGACTCTAAAGCTGTGGCAGCATTGGCATCAAGAGAAATAGATGTACATACCATCTACTCTATTAAAATCTTGCTTGAAACTTTGCATTTAAAGAAGGCTTGTGTCTTTTCCGTGGAAAAATGGGAGTAGGGATTGGACTGCCTAAAATTCCTTCTAGCTTTACATTGTTATGTTATGCTGTTTATTCTTTAATGAGGTAGGTACATTTCTGTTCTGTGTCATGTTTATGTGCTAGTTTCCCAAATGCAGTCTAAAGATATCTATCAGAAATTTCATAGTTTTTGCCATCATTGTCAAAAGATTAAAAGGCCAATGATAAGGCCAACAATTGGCTTTTAGAAGCAAATTCTTACATTTTTTTCCCCCAGCATTTGTTGACAAACACATACAATTTTTTTTTTGCAGGGGAATAACCCACAAAAATATTTTTCTGTATTTAAAACGTTTATAATTTGCTGGAAAAGTAGGCAAAGATGAATTTGTCATTCTCCCAGGTTTCATTTTATAAGCAGAATTGTTACTTTTTGTTTTATTTATTCACTTATGAGATGGAGTCTTGCTCTGTCACCCAGGTTGGAGTGCATTGGCGCAATCTCAGCTCACTGCAACCTCCACCTCTCCAGTTCAAGTGATTCTCCTGCCTCAGCCTCCCAAGTAGCTGGGATTACAGGCATGTGCCACCACACCTGGCTAATTTTTGTATGTTTAGTAGAGACAGGGTTTCACCATGTTGGCCAGGCTGGTCTCAAACTCCTGACCTCAGGTGATCTGCCTGCCTTGGCCTCCCAAAGTGCTGGGATTACAGGCATGAGCCACTGTACTGGCTTTGCTGCTTTATTTTTGTTTGATCACTGAAGCAAGGATTTTAATAATTTTTATAAGAAAATTCATGACCATATTTGAGTATACAATCAAAAGCTAATTCTAATGTGTTCCTAAGACTGCGAGGCACATGGTGAGTTATTACAGACTCACAGCAGCCTAATTTTAAATTTGGTATAATAAAAAATGACCACAGGTATGACAAAAATTTATTGGATTACTATACTTCTAAATTTTAATTTTGTAGAAAATTTGGCAGGAGAGTATGGTCACATGGTGTTAAACACTCTGTTCAGTTTTGATAATGACTGTCGACTTAGGTTTTTGACAGTGTGATGTGAAAAGTTCTGTTACAGAGAATTAGCTTCATAGAGAAAGGTAATGTTCATAAATTTGCTAACTGATATTATTTTATTGCTTTGAAGACTGATATTTAGGGTTTATCCACAAAGCCTATGCAGCACAAGAAGTAGCAGAATTGTGTTTCTTAAAGTGACTCCTGCCAACTCCAGCCAGCTAGGATGAACTCTAAGCTTAAGAAAGTACTTAGATCAGCAGAAGCATTTGAATCATTGTCTCACTGCCAAGAGCATGCCAACTAAGATGCTCTTTGTGTAATCTCCTTATTTTTGTTGTAAACAATATTGTTCTATGCATAGAAGAGAAATGGTTTCTATTTGATTCATTTGTATGCTTCCTTGAATGAGCGATTCACCTTATCTCATTTAACTACTATATATAATGAATATTATGCCTCTAATAGGTATGAGAAAACTGAAGCTTAGAATGGTCGAATACCTTAACCAAGCTAGTAAACTAATGAGGCAAACTGAAATTTCTTAACCGGATTGTTCTCACTCCAAGCCACATTTTTCACCATAGTCTTCGAAAACAAAAGGATTTAAGTAGTCTGTATTCTTTATTCATGACTTGTCTAAACTAAACCCAGTCTTGTTCCTTTTGTCCATCTATAAGTGAGATATAAAACTGAAATAAAGACATTCTTTTTACCTGAGGAGTCAAGGTAATTGTCATAGCTCCACTTAGAAAGCTTTTAGTGACACTGGTTGACCCAGGCAAGGATGGCTTTTAAATCTAGGGGTATTTTAAGTATTATGTGTAAGTTCCCATCACCTTTTGAAGACTACCAAATTATTTTTTTACAATAAATATTTACTATAATAAATATTCTGCTAAAAGTCATATTTCCAATTTTTGAGAAATTAAAACAAACCTTTTTTTTTTTGAAACAAGGTCTTGCTATGTTGCCCAGGCTGGAGTGCACTGGTGTGATCTCAGCTCACCACAATTTCTCTACCTCTGTACTCAAGTGATCCTCCCACCTCAGCCTCCTGAGCAACTGGGACTATAGGTGTGTTCCACCACTCCTCACTAACATATATATATTTTTTGGGTAAAGATGGTCTTTCACCATGTTGCCCAAGTTGTTCCTGAACTCCTGGGCTCAAGTGATCCACCCACCTTGGCCTCCCAAAGTGCTGGGACAAAACAAATCTTACAAGTAATTATATATTGGTATGCATATATCATCCCTGGCCACTTTCTGCTCTACTTCTTCAGAGATCTTATTTACATGATTTGCTCCAATGAGTTGTTTAATAATTAAGAAAAGAGTATATTTGGAATGTTTAAGGAATTTGAGCTGAGGAATATTGAAGAGCTCATGAGAGTGTGGGGTGCGGACAAAAGCATGGACTTTCAGGCCAGATTGATCTGGATTTGAGTTCTGACCCAGAGTCCTGCCTTGTAAATTAGAGTTTAAAATACGTATTGTATAGATTTGAGTGAGATAATTCTGAATATGAGACTGCTTTGCTGTGTGCTTGGCACATAGTACACTTTCAATAGATGACATTAGATGTGATGATAGGACAATTATAAAAAACTTACCTTTAACATTGATTTTCTCTTTTATTTGCATTTCTAGCTAGATTATAGAAAGAGCACATTTCAAACTTCAAATAACATGAATGAAAGCCAGAGATGACTACTACTCCTTGTGAAGATTTTTGGAATACCCTTTTAACTATCTTCTTACTTCCATTCCTTGTCCTTCTGCAGTTTATTCTCCACCCAGCAGCCAAAAAGATCCTTTTAATCACGAATATGATTATGTAATTTCTCTGCTGAAAGGCTCTGAATGCTTCCCTGTCTCCCATGAAGAAAAAACTTAACTATACTATTGGTGGAAATAGTGCAGCCATTATGGAAAACAATATGGAGGTTCTTCAATGAAATAGAACTACCAGGTGATACAGCAATTCTACTTCTGGGTATTTATCCAAAAGAACTGAAATTAGGATCTTGAAAAGATATTAGCACTCCCATGTTCATTGTGGAACCATTCACAATAGCCATGATGTGGAAATGGCTTAAATGTACATCAATAGATGAATGGATTTTTAAAAATGTGGTATAGATGTACAACAAAATATTACTCAGACTTCAAAAGGAGGAAATTCTGTGATATGAGCCAACATGGATGGACCTTGAAGACATTATGCTAGGTGAAATAAGCCAGTTACAGAAGGCCAAATACCATATGTTTCCATTTATGTGAGATATTTAAAATAGTCAATTGATAGAAGCAGAGTGGGGGCTGAGGGGAGGGGGGAAACAGGAAATTGTTAATAAGTGGGTATATAATTTCAGTTACGCAAGGTAAATAAGTTCTAAGGATTTTCTATAAAATATTGTGCTGATAGTTAACTATACTGTATTATACACTTAAAAATCTGTTTAAGGAGGTAGACTGCATGTTAAGCGTTCTTGCCACAATAAAATTTTTAAATTACTTTATTTATTTATAATAAAATCTTTGTGATTGCCTCTAAGGCTATTGCTACACACAGTCACGCTCTTATCTCAGGGCCTTGGCAAGCCATTTTCTCTCTGCCTAGATGTTCTACCCCAATATTCTGGTGGTTTCCTATTTCCTCACCTTCAGATTTTGCTCAAATACTATTATCCCAATGAAGCCTACTTTCAGTATCCATTTATGATTGTAACTCAGCCTCTTATAATCCTTATGCCCTGGCATTCCTCATATCTCAGCAAAACACAATTTTTGATTGTTTTTTTCATATAACATCATCATAATCCATATCACCTCTAATATACTATATAGTTTTATTTATTTCATGTTTTTTACTGTCTACCTTCTTCTGTGGGTCTAGGTCAAAGCAAGAAACTTTAAGGTCATGATGGAGTAGGGTAAATATTAGAAGTAACAGCTAGTCTTGCTCCATGACATATTTTCTGAACAAGAATGCAGAATGGCATAGATTTGCTTAACAAAAGTTTATAATCACTTCCAAAATAGTGAACATTCATGTTCTTAGAAAAAGGTACCTATAGCATCCCTGATTATATGATTCTTAAAGGCTGGAGCATGCCTTACCTTTTTCTGTATTCAGAGTCTATTTGAACATACTAGTACTATTAAATTAATATATAAAATGGACAAATAAATGTTCGACAGGTCCTTAAAAGCTAGAGAAACACTTATTATATTTCCATCCTTAAAGTCTATGCTCTGTGAGAGTACTCATAATGTATACACACACGTTACATAGTAATGTAGATGGAAAAGATACACACATACGGACACTAAGGTAAATGAATTAATTCAATGTTTGTATGCTGCTATAAAGATATTTTTATTCATATAGCTAAATGTGAGCACTTATGAAACTGAAGTAACCATTCTAAATCCAAAAATAGCATGCTTAGCATAATAACCAGCTCTGACACTTTTGCAATGAGATTAAATCATTGTCAGAAAAAGATAATGGACACAGCATGGTTCTACAACATCTTTGCCAAATAAACTGGATACAATCCAACTAACTGATGAAATAATACTGCCTCGGAAATGACAGAAACCTTCCAGCAGGCACAAGTCAGACCATTGGTTAATCACAGCCACTTAGAGGATCAAGACCCTGGCCCTGAATGCAATTACCCAAAATCTGAAAATTGTGCTAATCATTAACATCAATTATTCTTTTCGAAGGACCTCAGGTTTTACTTTAGTTCATTTAAAGATTACCAGAAATCAGAGATTATCTCTATTTTTATATTAATATATACCCCTTCTCCAAAGAAAGGAGCTGATACTGTTATTATCTAAACAAACCTGGTTTTCAGGTTTCACTAATATTTTTCCACTCATTAAACTGTATGTCTTAGCTTATATGTTCTAATTGTCAAAAACTGTTCAATATCAAATAATAACTGCAAGAATATGACTCAATATGATGGTCACTAAATTTGGGCATTTTGTATGTTTGTTAATTTTAAGGACTATATCCAGTAGAATGCTGAGGTATATACGATTAACATTCAGAAGCCTCTGAGTCCTAGTATCAATTATATGTGTTCTGTGTCACAACGAGCAAGTGTTTGAACCCAGTCTATGTCATGATGATGAAAAACACTAGTTTTCAAAATAGCCCATGTGGAATTTGTGCTGTCTTAAAGGGAAATTTGGTTTGGTATAGAGAACCTGATTATCTGTATTGTTTGAAATGGACAGAAATACAGAAATCCAAAGACTGTCTATTTTGTAGGCAAATCTGATTCTTGCAGCAAAACAAAAGGTGACTACATATAATCCTGAAAGTGTGTGAAAATCTTTTATCAGTTTAAAATGTTGTGAAATGTGAATGATGACAAAAAAGTATTTTTGTATAAGCTTAACCCTAATCCAAGCACCAGCCTGAATCCTAATCACAACCGGCCAGCCCTGATGGAACGAGTTCCACTGTGGATCCCAGTGTGGATCCTAAGAACTCAGGACCAGACCCATCTTTATGGACCCAGATGCCATGTCTCCAGTCCTGCCCCTGCAGACTCAGTCTCCAGGATTTCTCATGTGGACCTTGTTGCTAGACCCGTCCCTGTGGACTCTCTTGTCAGGCAGGCCCCCATGGACCCAGGATCTAAACTTTTACCTGTAGACCTGTGATGCATGCCTGTACATATAAACCCAGGCTCCAGGCTTACCCAAGAAACACTGGCATCAGGTCAGTCCACCCGAGAAGTTCAGCAGCAAGCCCATCCATGGACCCCACCAGATGGCCTTCCCAGAATGTCTAGATGGGTTGAGGGGGGAAGGGCTTTTCCTGCTGAAACCAGTCTATAAAGATGTAAGATATATCTGCTTCTTCAAAAGTGTAGATACCAATGCAACAATACAAGCATAAGGAGTAATTAGGAAAACATGTTACCACAAAAGGAACAAAATGAAGCATCAGTAACCAAACCTAAAGAAATAGAAATCTACAATTTGCCTGAGAAAGAATTCAAGATAATTGTTTTAAGGAAATATTAGTGAGCTAAAAACAAACAAAAACAGACAATCGGAAAACAATACATAAGCCAAATGAGAAGTTTCATATAAAACTAGAAACCGTAAAAAAGAATAAAACAGAAATTCTGGAGCCAAAGAACACAATAGCTGAACTGAAAAATTCAATAGAACTTCAATAACAGATTTGATCAAGTAGAAAAAAAAAATCAGTGAGCTCAAAGACAGGTTATTTGAAATTATCCAGTTAGAGTAACAACAATAACAACAAAAATGGGAAAAATTTAAAGAAGCCTATGGAATATATGGGATATAATCAAGAGGACCAATGTTTGCATTATGACATTTTAAGAAGAAGCAGAGAAAAAAGGGGAAGGATGTTTATTAAAAGAAACAATGACAGAAAACTTTCCAAATCTGAAACAGGAAATGAACATCCAGATTTAAAAAGCACAAAAAGCCCAACATAGGCTAAATATAAATGAATCTTTATCATTATAATCAGATTCTCAAAAGTCAAAGACAAAGAGATAATTTTGAAAACAAAAAAAGAAAAGTGACTCATTACGTACAAGGTACCCCTAATGGCTGTCGGCAGATTTTCAACAAAAAACTTTGCAGAACCAGAGAAAAAGTGGAATAATATCTCCAAAGAAAAAAAAAACTCTCAACAAAAATACTAAAAATGGAAAATATACACTCTAGAAATGAAGAAGAGATAAAGACATTTCCAGACAACATAGATGAACCGGGAAAACATTATTCTAAATGAAATAAGGCAGGTACCAAAAGAAATATACATCATGATTTTACTTAAATGTGGAATCTAAAAATGTTGAATATATAGAGAGAAAGTATAACTTTGGTTATCAAAGCAGGGAGGTCGGGAAAATGGGGAGATGTTGGTCAAAAGGTACAAAGTTGAAGTTACGTAGGATAAATAAGTCTAAAAATGTAATAAACAAGATGATTATAGTTAATACTGTATTATATTCTGGAAATTTACCAAGAGAGTAGATTTCATGTGCTTGCATCACACATAAAAGGTAATTATGTGAGGAGACTGATATGTTAATTTGCTTGACTGTAGTAATTATTTTACTATGTATATGTATTTCAAAACATTATGTACACCTTAAATATATAGAATTAAAAAAAAAAACTTTCTCAGACAAACTAAACTGTGGCAGTCCATCTGCACTAGATCTCCCTTAAAGACATACTTAGGGAAGTTCAACTTGAAATGAAAGGATGTGAACTAATAACATAAAACCATATGAAGATATAAAATTCATTTGTAAGAGTAAGAATATAGTCATCTTCAGAGTACTCGTATACTATAATGATAATACAAAGCACTTTTAACTCTAACATAAAAGGCAAATGTGTTAAACAATCACTGTAGCTACAAAAATTTGTTGCTAAATACACAATATATAAATGTTGAAATATGTTACAGCAATATAATTTTTTAAAATGTCTTCAGTTTTATATTCATCACTAGCGATAATCTTTTAATCTTCTTTCATACTTCTCAAACAATATTTAGAATTTCACCATTTCCAATTCATCTTCTACTGCAGTCAGACTTTCACCTGTAGCTTTCCATAGAGGTAGGCAAAAGTTCCCTACTACCTCCTAATCACCATGCATAATGGTCTCCTTTCAATTCTGAAAATATTTAACTTTTCTATAGCATTTTGCACTGTTGGTCATATTCTTCCTTTTGAAATTCTATCTTCTCTTGAATTGTATGGCACAAATCTTTTTCTCCTTAATTTAGGATGATTTTATCCTACTCCCCTTTCCTAGGTTCTCTTTAGACATCATCCATTGCATTTTGGTGTTCTCAGTTTATATTGTTTATATTCATTTCCTCTCTGTGCATTCTCAATTTTTCCTAGGACTTCAATTCCTATTATAAAATATTTTGATGATTTTCAATTATACTCGTCATTCTGTTGAGTGCAAGGTATTTATCAGTTTGCCCGCTGAAGAACTATACAAAAATACTGCACAGATAATTAAATTCAGATGTCCAGAAACAGTTACTTCCCCTCAAATATGTTTCTCAACTTCTATACCTTATTTATTATGATCAAAAAAGTACTATCACCTAGGTACATAACTCAGAAAAAAATTTTTTGCTTTTAATTTCTGTGTTTATTTGCTCTCTGTGTTATGTTTTATCATTACTATCCTATCCCATTTCACTCCTTGTGTATATTCAACCAGGCCCTAACTTCTGCCATTTCCACCTCCTTTGGATCCTCCTCTCAAATTTCAGTCTTCATTTTGTATTTCAATGCACTTCTTATCTTCACTTTTTATAACTGCAATTATTTTTCCTCAAATATTCTCTTTGCTTCTGTTATTGATTCCCTTCAATTCACTGTTGACAACTTATCTAGAGATACTGTCTCTAGAATAAAAATCTGATTTTGTGACACTACTAATTAAAGCTTTTTAATTTCTCTCTGACATTCGGATAATGTGCAAATTCTTTATTAGGTAAACTTCAGTTCACTTCCTTTAATGTATAGTTTACATACATATACACACACATACATAAAATACATAATATTAGATATGTTAAGAGAGGGTTTAAGAACAAGTTGGCAGAAGAAAATCACTGAAGAGATAGGATAAAATGTTTAAAGATGTTACCAGTTCTAGTTTTCTCTTAGAGATTAAGTATAATAAAAGCTGGAAGTCATATTTACGAGTTGATATCAGGAAGTCATTGTTGGCTCCATGGAATGTGGTGGTGATCAAAACCAGTAGAAGTGTCCTTCAAGAACATAAAGCTAATAGGAGAGAGGAAAAAAAAAAACAACCAAATAAGTCTTTATTTACATGCTGAGAAGTAAAGTAATGGAATGCTGTTGTAGAGGATAAGAGTAGACGTTTTCTACCTTTGGTAATCAAGGGAGGATTCATAAAGGTAGTGACATTTAGATTCTGAAAGTTATCAGTATTGAAAAGGAGTTACTAATGTTTAAACCCTAACAAAATGGAGCAAAGAGGTCATAAAAGAATGATCCTCATAAATGCATGCCTATGGTAGGAACTATGCAAAGAATTCCTCAAACTACAGTATTGCAGATAGGCTGCTTGCGCAAGAACAATTGCCTGACATGACTGTCTGCACCAATGCACTAACACCAACTACTGCAATAAGCTTCTGTAACCAATGGTCTTTGTTTCAGAACAGCTTATGTGGACTTCTTTTTGTTGTTAAAAGTTTTCTCTTGCCTCAAGCCCCTTGGATGCATCTATGGTCTGCCATAACACATGTATCCTCGATTAGAATTCCCTATTACTCCTGAATAAACTATTTGCTTTGGACAGTGGGTCTCTCTGTCACTTATTTTAGGTTGACATAATCTGGTATCAGTGTAAGGTCAGCCAAGAGAAAGGAAAAATAGACCCAAAGTTAGGCAAGTAAGTTTTTATTAACTTGCCATCTGCCCCCTTAACAGTCAGAGAGGAAGCAGAACCAAGCTTACAGAATGAGGAATTTATATTGGGGAGGGGAGTCTGAGGGAGTTCTTTGATATGGCTGCATCCCTGGGTTGTTTGCTGGTTAATTTTGCCACATATTTATTACAGGAGAGTGTAGGTAAAGTTTGTTTATGCTTCCCACGACCTCCCCCTGTGCGGTATGGATGGTTTGTAATTGGGGTTTGCTTATCACAGCAAGGTCTGATAAGCGAAGACTGCTGGATTCACCGTGGTGCCTAGATAAGGGCTTAGAAATACAAAGAGGCTTAGGGGAAGGGTGGGCAGCACGGAGAAGCGTTGCAGAGCACTAGGGGGAGGGGTGAGCAGCATCAAGAAGCTTTCTTGGGGCAGTTTGTCCCTAACATTCAGATGTGGGAATCAAAGAAGACAAGCATCCCCTGGAACGATGTGTGGTACCCACTTGAGGCCATTGTGCTCTCTGCTTCCCTGCATTGTATTTCTGCTGGATGTAAGTTCCTTTCATAAGGGAAATGATCAGATCCTGGTGCCTGGAGGAGAATTCAAATAGCAGAGTTGGGATGTGGCGCCCCCAAGCCCTTTTGCAGGCTCTCTAAGGCTGAGATCCTGGCTCAATACACTGTAGGAAAACAACCTCTTTTCTCCACCCCGGGTATATAATGCCCAGGCTCTCTTTTAAGTTGAGTTCTCTCCTTTTGGTTGAGCCCTCCAACTTCATATGTTTTGTAAAGGCTTAAAGGATATTGTCCTTCTGATGGTACACTTTTGGTTTTATTTTTTATCCGGTCTGGGTACCTTGTTTAAAAATTTGTTGAGTTGGGTTTTTTCCTTGTTTCTAAAAAACTTCTGAGGGTAACCATCTAATGGTGGACATTGGTTGACCAATAAGAGTTACTAGGGTGATTGCTACCAGTTCATGAGCACTTTGGTCTCCAAAGATCAAGACTCCTGTGAGAAGTTAAATTGGTAATGGATAGGCAAGATTACCACTATAGCCCCTGTCAGTCTAAAGAAAATTTTCATAGAACAGGGAAACCTTGGTCACAGGTCAGTTAACTAAAGTTAAAGCCATCTTCCAAGTGAAAGATATATCCCATGCATGGCACATCATAAAAGCAAAATACTTTACCTACAATTCCTAATTTTCTTACAAGATTATAGAATTTCCTTTTTGCCCTCAAAGAATTTATAAGATACATAATGTGATAGTCTTAGTCAATTTCTGTTGCTACAAAGGAATATCCGAGGCTGGGTCATTTATTAAGAAAAGGACTTTTTTTTTTGACTCATGATTCTGCAGGATATACAGGAAGCATGGTGCTAGCATCTGCTTATGGTGAGGGACTTGGATTGCTTTCACTCATGGTAGATATTGTGAAGGGGAGCTAGTATGTACATATCACATGATGAGGGGAAGGCAGGAGAGAGAGAAGAGAGAGAAGTGCCGTGCTCTTTTCAACAACCAGTTCCCATGAGAGTTGGATGAGAACTCACTCACTCTTGCAAGAGAGAATGACACCAGGCTATTTGTGAGGGTTCTTCTCCCATAACCCAAACACCTCCTACTAAGCCCCACCTCCAACATTCGTAATCAAATTTTAACATGAGATTTGGAAGCATCAAATGTCCAAACAACAGAAAGGATCATCAAATTCTAAGGCATGCAAAGATAATTGCCCCACAGGAACTCTAGACCTCAATATGTTCAAACATTATGATCCATCCTCACCTACGTGTTTGAAACTGATGGACGAATTACACCAAGGATAACTTAGAATTACAATGGCCAGTATCTGAAACTTTCCAAATGAACAAGACTAGTCTAAGAAGTACACTTGAATCCCAAGCTTCATGTATTAAGGAGAGAAAATGAGATTCTTATTTTAATTGGCACTCAGAAGGCTCAGAGAAAACAAGGTTCTAATATAAATATTTGAAAGATTTATTGTGAAAAGCAAATGACTCTTTCGTTTGGAGTATACATTCACTAGTAATTTTTTTTTCTTTCATGGGTAGCAGTTGCTTTTCTGTTTGTTTCATTTTCTATTTGTTGTACTGAGAACTTGATTTAAATTTTTGCTTGTCAGGAGCATGCAAGTTATTGAGCATGCATATGCAGGGAGCCAACCAATCATTTGAAAGCCCTTAGGAACATGCGCAGACAGAAATGTGGGTTGCACCCCACTCGTGTCTAGTGTATTGACTGTTGCCAATTCTCAGGTGTTGTCTAAGCCTTTCTTTCTTTGAATGACTTTGAGAGTGGCTTTGTATCATGGAAGGACTCCATATTTTTGCTCTCTCTTTGAAGTGTCTCATGAATCTATGGTTAAAGTCAAAAAAATACTTATTAGATTTGGCCTTGGATTACTTGTTAGGCATACCTTTTGTTCAGAACTTTGATCTATATTCAGCATATTCATGATTGAGTCCAGGTATAGAGAATGCTTTTTTTGTTTGTTTGTTTGTTTGTTTGTTTACTGTATTTGTTAATTAGCTCCTCCTTGGAATCAATAATCAAATTAAAAAACAAGCTAAGTTGAAAAGATTGCCTATCAATCTAAATTGGTCTTCAAAGTATAGCTTTCTTGGGATTTTGGAGGGCTATTTTGAAACTCTTTAGAAAATAAATATATAAGACAATCTTCATTTGTAAGGCCATCTCCTTCTTCTTACCTAAATCACTGGAGACTTTTCTAATGGAAAAAGGCATTGGCTTAAATCCAGATATTAGGCCTCATCTTCGATTATTTTATCTGAACTGGACTTCCTATTTATGTCCTTCTTTGTCTCACAAATAATGGTGTTTACAGCTAAGTTCTGGGCCTTTGAGATGTAACTTTTTTACCTTATTTCATCGAACAGTTATCCCCTTGCAAGTGCAAATTTAGGGTAGCCTGGCTAGCAATTGCTCAGTATAATAAAACATAGCCAAAAAGTGATAGTCTGAATGTAATTATATATATCTAAATGTATATATGTCTGCATATGATATATATATGCTAATATACAATGTTAAAATGTTCTGTCAGAGAAATAGGAAACTAACTCAAATACATTTTGGTCCCTGTGATTTGAGACAATACTTGATAAATAAAACTAGTCTTAAAATTGCTAGTAAAAAAAAATTCCTGTAAAATAAAAACAGGAATGTCTTCAGAATTAGCATTACTTATAATAAAAGCAGATATTTTTACCTAGATTTACTAGTCAAACAAGTTTGTTATCTCCTAGATATACAAGGCCATAAAGCTATAAATCTAACCACAGCAGAATATACAGTGAAAATCAATTAATTTTTTTGCTTCTGTAATATCTTAAACTCGTCTGATTTGTTGAAAACTAACTTAAGATAATGACTAACTCTGTTTTTCCTAAGAAATTCAAACATAATTGTTAAGAACAAGTAAATTATGTTAAAATAAATGGGATAAAAGTTTGCAGATGAAAATTGTCATAGTAATTGGAAATCTTTTTTTTTTTTTTTTTTTTTTTGAGACAGAGCCTTCTTGCTCTGTCGCCCAGGCTGGAGTGCGATGGCATGATCTTGGCTCACTGTAACCTCTGCCTCTCAGGTTCAAGCGATTCTCCTGCCCCAGCCTACCAAGTAGCTGGGATTACAGGCACCTGCCACCACGCCCAGTTAATTATTTTTTTGTGTGTATTATTAGTAGAGACAGGGTTTTGCCATGTTGGCTAGCCTGGTCTCGAACCCCTGACCTCAGGTGATCCACCGCCTTGGCCTCCCAAAGTGCTGGGATTACAGGTGTGAGCCACCACACCTGGCTGTAACTTGAAATCTTAAAGTCATGTTTAATTAAATAATAAATAAGTAGGAAATTTCTGAGTCATTTGTAAGTAACATTAATTGCTGAATGTAGGTTTTCAATGTATATAATTTGGCATTTTATTATTATATGATATAGAAAAGCTAAATATATTTGGATCTGTAAGCATAAAAATTGTTTTATGGAAATATGCTTTTAAAAAATATGAAACATATATTCACAAAATGTTGATATAACAGTTTGAAATTGCCTACTTCCCTGATTTTCACTAAAAATTATGGTTGCTGACAGTTTAAAAATGCCAATCAATATATGATAATTGGAACTAGAAATAAAAATGGATATAAGAAAAGTAAGACTTGCTTTTGGTAAGTAAATCTAAGAGGTATGAAGAATGCATTTTGACTAAGGAAAAAAGAAATTTTTTCCCTGAAGTAAAATGACTGACTGCTAAAATTTAATAAAAAGAGAAAAAAGTATACGACAAATAATTTTAAAAATATACTGTCAAAGGTTTGTAGAAGATGAATCTTATGAAAATAACTTTATCTGAAGAAAGCTGGTTAGAATTAGAAGAAAATTATGTTTTTTCTAAAAATTTGACATTTAATTAAAAATACACTAATGCAAGACTAGAATTGAATCTTCTCTGTTAAAACAGCAAGGTTTCCTTGGAGTATTGATATTCCCTTATTAGGAAATACAGATACTCTTCAACTTATGATGAGGACACATACCAACAATTCCATCATAAGTTAAAATTATTGTAAGTCAAAAATGTATTTAATGCAGATAACCTACCAAATACCATAGCTTAGCCAGGCCTATCTTATGCATACTCAGAACACTTACATTAGCTTACAGTTGGGCAAAATTTGGCAACACAGTACACTGTAGAGTATGTACACTGATCATGTGGCTGACTAGTAGCTATGGCTCCCTGACAATGCTTGACATAATGAGATGGTATCATAATGCTGTCTACTGCATGCATATCACTTTTGCAGCATCATAAAGTCAAACGAATTGTATGTCAAACCATCATGATTTGGGCACTGCCTATAGCAAAAGATTTTCTTTTACCTTTACCTTCCTAGTGTTATACTTTCAGGTAATTGGCCTAGGAAACAAAGATTCTGTGTTCTTTAAATATTATTTCTTTTGCTTCATGCTTTGTTTTATGAGGTCTTTGCTTGCATAAGAAAAGTGAGTCTCCTCTAAATTAAAAGATTTATGGTTTTTCTACAACTTTGTAACATTTCTATATTTGTATTTAAAATCTTTGTCATTTTGGAATTATTTTAAAGTGATTTCTGACCTATTTAATCAAGTGTTTTAAATCTTTTGACATTTTTAACAAACTTCACAAAATCAAATTTTGAATTAAGTCTTTTTGACCCCAAATTAACTTTGGGAAATTTCATGAAAGCCCCTGAAAATCCACAGAGACATATTAAACCAATTAGGCTTATTTGAAATGTTAAATTACATGGAAAGCATAGTCAAAATAAGAAATGATGTTTAACCTTCTTTGAGTTATATTGCATAGATATGTTAATATGTCTTCAAAAAATTATATGCAATTCCAAGAAATCTGATATATTTTCAGTCACAATTTATTATTATTACATGTTATATCAAGTTGTTGTATATCATAGAAATAACCAAATTGCTTGTTAACTGCATCGTTATTATAATAAATTCTCTTCAGATTTTGACCACAGCCATTCTAAGTCTTTGTCATCTACAGAGCTATTGTCTTAATACTTCTCTAAAAGCACTTGCAATCAGTTGCAGTCTAAAAATGCATTTTCTTCAAAGATAGTTTGCCTATTGGAAAAGACAATTGCAAAAAGATTCCCTCTAATCTTTCTGGAAGCACCCATCACAGGTCTTGTTAACCAATCCTGGTATCACAAACCTTAGAGGGATTGATTCCTGGATGCATGTATTTCCACCACTAACACCTTACTAGAACAACACTCTTGTCTATGAATTAATACTAAAAAAATTCCAGGAATTGAATTAGACAACATCTGTGCTAGACTGCTTCCTCAAGATGACTGGACAAGTCCTGTACATTTTTTCCTCACTTTTAGTATTTTACTTTGCTCTCCTTCTCTTCTTCTTGGAAAAGCAATTTCTTTATCCTCATTTCCAAGTCCACTGCCAAAGGAGGAAACCGTACTAATTATTGGAACAGTCATCATAAACCCTGATCTGTCTGTGATGCTGTCGCCCCTTTGCTTAATGCTATAATGAGCCTCACTGGTTTTTCAACACCAAATAACTGGTCCAATTGCATACTGGAACTTTTTTATAGAATTACACTTTCCTATTACCGTTCAGTTCTTATATTTTGTTTAACTTGTTTAAACCAGTGGCCTTCTAGTTGGGCCTCTGAGATCTGCAAAAGAGCAAAATTTACAAACCACTTCCTAGAAATCCCTAATTTTACAAACAAGATTATTGAAGTATTTTTTTTAAAAAAGGATTATTAACTGTATGCAATATCAAAACAGATCCATGGCTTAAGTCAACTGTTTGTAGAAACATTACTTCAAAAGAATCGTATGCAACCCTCTTGGATTTATTTATATTTCTGAATGGGGAAACTCAATTTGTTTAGATTCATGGATAAGGGGAGGCCGATGTGGACTAGAATATTTGATCACTTTGTTGTCAGTACATAATAGATCCAAAACAGATCACTGGGGTAAACATTGGACTAGCCCCCTTTCAGCACATCAAAGGGCCATGCTCCAGCTCCCTGGCAGAGCTTGGGAGTCTGGATTTGTTTCCTTTGTTAGAGCTTTTGCATCATAGTTTGGTGTTGCTGCAAATAAAGGGATGATTATAAATCTACTTGTTACTCTAAGAATTTTTATAGACGCCACTGCAAAGCCTAGCTCCACACAGCATCACTTATTTAATTCTAATTTTAGATAATAGAATAACTCCTGATTATTTATTGGCTGAATAAGGTAAAGTCTATGCTATTGCTAATATCATTCTGAACCTAGACAAACTTTCTGGGAAGTTGAGACCCAGTTATACAAAATAAGAGAACAAGCCATATGACTACAACAGCTCTTGCCCAGTGCCCCATGGTCATTTGATTCATTTAGTTGGTAGCTTTTTCCTAGGTTCCTGGCTCAAAAACATTATGCAAACTGGGGTTATAATATTACTATTAATTTTGCTGTTACCATTTTGAAGCGTTGTACTTGTGGCGTAGCAAATTTCTGCAAAACTACCACTTCTGAGAACTCTGATAGACAAAACTACCAATGGTGAGCTAGAATTAAAAAACAAAGAAACAAAAAAACTCTGGAAAGAAACTTGCTTTTCTTTGCCATGTTTCTGGTTAGAGCAAAAAGGGGAATACATGTCTTTTCTGAGAACTATTCATTGCAAATGTTCATATGGACTGGGATAGATTTCTCACTATTTATCTCCAATTGATGATTTAGTTTAAAACCTACATATCATTAGTAGCTGCTGAAAGCAAACTCAAAACATCTCTGGAAGAATACCCCTTAAACACAGGTCTCAAATAATTTCCACTAAGAAGTGCACAATAAAAGACCAAGAAAGATATGGAGAGCCATAAGAAACAAGAAGCTATAAAATCAGACCCACTGTGATACATTAATAATAAACAAACATAAAAATGCTTTATATGTTTAAAGAAGTAACAAGAGATGAAAATCATGATAAAGAAACAGGACATTGCAAACTGACATGGAAGATGTAAGAAAGAATCAAATACATCTACTGGAAATGAAAAAATATAAGAAAGTAAAAATTTGATAAATAGATATGAGGCATGTTAAATGCACTGATGGGAACAATAAGCAATCATAACATGAATCTAGAGTAAACTATCTAGAATGTAGCACAGAGTCCAAAAATCATAATTAAAAAAAATCATGAATGAAGATTTTAAGGGACATGGAGGATTCAGTGGGAACATCTTATGTATATATAATCAGAGTGCCTTAAGGAGAAAAATATGGAAAATAGTGGCAGGACAATGTTCAACAAGATAATAAGTTTTTCATAAGTAATAAAATAATTATCAGATTCATGAATTCTAGGCAAAGTAAATTAAAAACAAATCTGTACCTAATACAATATGTTAAAATTGTAGCACACAAAAGACAAAAATATATTAAAAGCAACTCAGGAGAAGAATGAATTTCCCACAAACAAAAATGGATAGACTGACATCTGATTACCCAGAAGGAATAGGAAGCTAGAATCAACAGAATAGTATCTTCAGTGTATTGATAGAATACAACGGAAAAATATGTAATTTATATACAATTGTTTTCTAAAGCTGGTTCAAAAATAAAACCAAGAAAGGGAAGAATTAAAAACTAGTGAATGTTGGGTTCTATGGCACATTTCCATAATCCTAGTGCTTCGGGAGAAGCCTAAGTGTAAGGATGGCTTCAGGACAGAAATTCATTTGAGGCTGCAATGAGCTACAGTAGTACCACCGCAGTCTAGCTTGGGTGATAGAGGAGACTTTGTTCAAAAAAGAGAAAAAAAAAATATAGATGGGACAAATTGCAGATTCCAAACAAACAGAAATTTAAAATCAACTCTAATGCTATTAAGTATAATCAACATAAATAAAGTAACTAATAAATTAAAAATATTTTAGGACAGATTTTTTAAATTTTAGCTATTTGTTAGAAGCAAACCTAAAATGTAAGGACACAACAAGTTTTGTTCTCTTTTTTTTTGTAAAATGATGTTAAACACATACCAGGCAATATTAACTAAAAGAAAGCCTGCATAGTACATTAATTTATCAAGGACACAACACCACCACCAAACAAAAAGACTAAAAGTTCAACAGCAAACAAAAATTTTGTGTAGCTCAAATGACTACATGTGAACAAATGGCCGGCTGATTAGTTCTGTTGATCTCTGCTAGGCACTTTTTTTTTTTTTTTTTTTTTTGCATTTGGAACTTGCCTAGCCTTGGCTGAACTCAGCTGTCACAACTTGGCTCTGATCTAAATGTCTGTCACCTCCCTTATGAGCCCATCAATTCAAGTTCAAGTGTGTGAATCCTCACCAAACTTCAGCTTGCATTATGTCTACTAAAATCTCATTGGCCAAAGCATATTCCATGCAGGAGGTAGCATAGACTGACCATACTGGGAAGATGGTGCATAAGAGAGTGTCTGGATACTTGATCCAATGACTGAGAAAGGAGTGAAGAATAGAAATTATAACACGAGCCAGCATAAAGCATTATATTAATATCTATTAAAGCTGGCTTTATAGCAAAGGCAGTAATAGACTACTACTGATCTATAAAATGTTTAATTCTCACGGAAAATAGAATGATTCTAAAATAATTTTCATTAAATAATATGCACGTTTATAATATAAAAAGTAAATGTGGCTAATATAGATGAAAAAGTAAATCCATAAAGTTAGTTTTAACCCATCTGTCTCAATAATCAAGGTTAATCAAAGACAAAAATCAGCAAGATCTAGATCAGCACTGTCCAAAAGAGATATGAGAGCCACAGATGTGATCTTCAAGTTTCTAGTAAGCAGATTAAAGAAAGTAATAAAAAAAGGTGAATAATACCTTAACATGTTGAACTATGTTAATAACATGTTTTATTTAACCTAGTATATCCAAAACATTATTTCCACAAGTAATCAGTACAAAATGTCATGTCATTTTTTCCACTTTTGCTTTACATTGCATTTATTTTTACAAGAATAAAGGAATAATTAATTGGTTAAGGGGAGGTAAATAATTAAGAGATCAGTATGTTATCTAAAGCTTTTCAATAAAGGTAATGGAAGTTGGGGCAAAGAAATGTTTTGAGCTAAATGCTGAAGTTTTTATGGAACAAGTGAAGTTCACTGGGTGACAGGATACAAGCCTCAAAGGAGCAGAAGATTTGTTTCTTATATTTTAATAAGTTGAGAAGTTGCAGGAAATTCTGCAGGCAAAGATACAAAAGCAAAAACAATACATACCTGTTGTCCTGATTCTGTCATAATTGGGATATATGAGGACAGACTCCACCCAGGGCAATCAAAGTTACAGTATGTTGCAAGAGAATAGCCAGGTGACAGCAAGAACAGAATATGGGAGAAATTTTGAAAAGAATTTGAGAATATGATGGAAGTGGTCAATCACCAGGTAAGCACTTTAAAAGGCTAAGTGGAACAAAGAGAAAGACAGAGGGGAGAGGAAAAAGGAAAGAAGAAAGAGGAAGAGGAAGACAGGAACTTGGCAAATTTGTTCAATTGAGGAGGGAAAACAGCAAGCGAAAGAGTGTATAGGAGAAAAATAGACAAGATAACAAGAAAAGCTTAGCCTTTGTGCCTTTCCCCATGCTTCTCTCTGTTTTGTATGTCCTCTACCTTCCCTGCTTTGAATCTTTATTATAATCTAAACAGATTTCTTTCTTATTCCTACAGTACAGTCATTATAGTTATTTATATTCAGGTTTCTCTCCCTCCAACATGTTAAAGGTAAGTTCCTTGAAAACAGGGATTAGTCTTTATCAGCTTTTAATGTCTCAGCTTCTATAGAATGTCTGGGACATAATAAGTGTTCAATGCTTGTTTTAGGAATGATTTATCCCTTGAATAGGTGCATTTGTGTATAGAATAGGATCCACAGTTCTAAGACTTGCAAGTACAAACTGAGAGCATAGCCTCAATTCCCTTCTCTCTGAAGTGAAAGTGTTTGTCCAGACTGACCTCTACGATTCTCTTCAGCTAGAAATTTTATGACTTCTAAATGACTAATCCTTTCATTTGTTCAAATGTTTCACCAGTGGCTTCAAGTTTTTACTTTCTGTACTAAGATGCCCAAGCTGGTTTTGAGAGTTTTTGACACTGACCTCTATTTTGAAAGCCTTCCACATCGAGTACCATATCACCACTTCTCTTTTAAACTTTTATATCAAAAAAAGTTAACTTTTATAACACATACCTTGCAGGAAAAAATAATGCTATGAATGATCTCGTTCTAAATATCATGGAAATGTTGTGTTTCTTAGAACCTAATATTTTATTTAATATTAGATTTTAAATTATTTAACTCAGTGCCCAAAATGGCTTAGCACTTTTTTCTTTTATAAGAAATAAGGCACTATAAAAACTTAAAAAAATAATATCTATAATAAATTATCTCTAGAAAATGGACTCCAGAAAAACCCAAAATTATTCACCATTTTGGAAAATCAGTTAAATAGAGTATTTAGGGTTTCTAAGTGCAATGATTACATATACATTATAGGATTATATACAACATTTATTATAAATGCATTCTCCAGAAGATGAAATTTAGAGTCAATATAAACAACCTTCTTTCTGTCTAACAAAATTTTCTTTCTTTTGGTTTAGTTTTTTTTTTGCTTATTCTTTAAATCTTGTTTCTTTTAATCCCTGAAAGTTTGAACTAAGGAGTCATCATGAAGAACATTTAATTATGCTTGAAATGTTTGCCTCACATGTTTGATATGAAGTTTGGAGTCTATAAAAACACCGCTTCTGAACTGTTTTGCACAGGTAGATGTCCAAGTATTTTGTCAGCAAAAATGCATTATTAACGAATGACAATTGGAATAAAAAGAGCTTTAAGAATATAGAATCATACGTTACTTATAAAGGAAATAATTTCAACTAATGTTCAACTGTTCTAATTAATTGTCTTATTCAGACAGAATGGACACCCTCAACACAAGGATCGATGAGACAAAAGCTGCCTCTTTTTTCTATCACCCAAGGCAGCATTCAGCTGGTTGAAAAAGTTTTTTATCACTGAATTGTCCCACCCTTATCTGTTAATTTGCTCTGAGATACAGTATTTGGAATTATAGCAATAATCATAAGGAATACTTGGTAAATGGCATAGAGCAGAGCAATAGTTCTTAAAGTATTGTTCAGGGATCCCTGGGATATGTAGATGATTCTTTAAGATGTCCTAGAATGGACTACTTCCTGTGTCAATTAATTTCCTGTGTCAGTTAATATGTGTCAAATTTTCACATATTAATTTGTCCAGTCAATTCTGGAGAAGAGGAATTACGTGGATTATGGGGCCACAAATAATTTTTTTTGTATCTTGTCATGTCTCAGAATTCTACCATAGTCTCTGATTCATACCATTTTTGTCCACCTAATAGTGATTTTACACCATTGCTCTTCTTGTTGCATTTGTAATTTTTAGGTAGAATTCCAGTAACGAAGGGGGACATAAAGTTTCCAGCAGGAAAATTTGGGCAAGTTTTCAAACACCAAGGAGCATTTGGAACAAACAAATTGCATGTAATGATATAAATTATAGAAATTGTAAAAGAGAAAAGCAGTAAATTCAAAAAAAGTAAATTTGCTTTTTAGAATTGATCAATACAATAGGTGGTCTTTGGCATGCCATGCCAAAATTTTAGTTATCACTTCAATGTGCTATGTTTACTAAATTTTCATTCATAGGTCAAAATGGTTTGGCTCTGTGTCCCTACCCAAAGCTCGTGTTGAATCGTGATTCCCCACTGTTGTACATGGGTCCTGGTGGGAGGTGACTGGATCATGAGGGTTGTTTCTATTGGTTTAGCACCATATTCCTAGTGCTGTTTGTGATAGAGTTCTCATAAGATCTGGATGTTTGAAAGTGTGCAGCACCTCCCACTTCACACACACTCTCTCTCCTGCAGCCATGTGAAGGTGTGCCTGCTTCCCCTTCACCTTCTACCATGATTGTAAGTTTCCTGAGCCCAACTCAGCAGTAGAAGCCTGTACAGCCCACAGAACTGTGAGCCAATTCAACCTCTTTTCTTTATAAATTACCCAGTCTAGGGTATGTCTTTATAGCAGTGTGAGAAACAGACTAATAGTTAGGTATATTTGTTTCCTATGACTGTTGTAACAAATTACCACAATCTTGGAGGCTTAAAACAATAGAAAGTTATTTTCTCACAGTTTTGGAGGTCAAAAGCCTGAAATGCAGGTGTTGGCCGGGCCATGAGACCTTCAAAGACTTTAGGAGATAAGGTGCTCTTGCCTCTTCCAGCTTTTGGTGGCTCCAGGCGTTCCTTGGTTTGGGCCACATCACTCCAATCTCTACCCCCATGGTCATATTATATCCTCCTTTTCTTTCTCTATCTCATAAAGATACGTGTGATTGAGAGTTAATTATATCTTTTAAGGATACATGTGATTGAGAGTTAATTACATCTTTTACCATATAAGGTAATATTCACAACTTCCAGGAATCAGGACTTAAACACATCCTTTTGGCTTTGGAGGTACTCCGCAGCGAGCAGGCCTATGCAAACCTACCCCTAAAGACTGAGGAAGCTGAGAGGCTGAAAAAACAGGCTGACAAATCCAGTTTCCCAGAAAGAAACATTTAATAGGGGCTTATGAACAGAAGCCATGTCCTTGGCAGTCACAAGACAAGATGGTGACAAGACAAGATCCCTGTGTCATTACCCTCCAGACCCAGGGCTTATATACTATAAGAAAAGAATGTGTCGGGCAATTGAAGTCAGCCCCTCAGGGAAAAGCAAGAATGCTATGTGAATCTGCCTAAGGACAAGTTTTATAGTTAAGGTTGTTTTGATACGAGAGCAGGATTTGCAGTAACTGTACATAAAGTAGAAACCTTAAAGGCATTCCTGGAACAGGGGTTAATCAAAAGTCAGCATGGTGGATTACCATCCAAGATGTAGTTACTTTAGCCTCCACAAGGGGCCATCACTTAGCCCACCACAATAGGCATAACAAATTGCATTTTTAATACAACTCAATGTAAAGATAATATGTCTTTCATGGCGGGGGCAATGATGAGAAGACAAATAACTAAATAATCTGTTATATACTATACCTTTTCAAATGACTACTTAGAAGAGTGATAGGTGTTAACATTTCCAGTTGTATCAATCTCTCATTTTGTTGTTCTACCTTCTGATACAATATTGAGAAATTAAAAAATAGCTTGTAATTTATTTTCCAAGAAAGCCAGTATTTATCCTAGAAATTGCCTCATCCTTAAACTTATAAAATTCACTTCTGCCAAAAGAAAGAAAAAATGGAAGGATAAATAGGCCGCTCATATGAAAATGACGACTTCATGTCACGTATCAGTTTTCTTTTGGAGACAATTCACAAGCCACCATTTTGCCCTAGGGAGAGATGTTGCCATTTGCACAGCAAAGTGTTTTTTTTGTACAGTAAAATGACAGTTTTCTTCAACAGTAAAACTGAATTAACTTCTGAAGGAAAAAATGCAGTAAAAATGTCAAACTCATAAAATATATCATGTTTTGAACATCTGCACATGTTTTTTGACTGACCTGACCAAGAAAGAAAATGTCCTCAAGGTACTAGTGATTCAGGAACTAGGTGGTTGAAGGACAGGTGGGGGTGAGGATGGGAGATGGGAGTATTGGGAATAAGGAGGATGGATTGTAAGTGTAACTTAGATACAATTGTATCATCCAGAAATAGCCCCATATCTTGAGTTCTAAGGTATAGAACTTCTGGGTGATAATAATAGATACGCTTGTTATTTGTGCAATGCCATATTAAATAGTCTAAAAGATCTTTGCAAGTCTAGAGTCAAAGTGATACAGCTCTAAACTAGAAAGCCTGATATGTCTCAGAGGAAAGTCTTCCTTCTTTACCTCCCATCTTTCTCCACTTTCTTCCTCTTTCCATCCTTCTCTCTTTTCTCCCTTCTCTCTTTGTTTTTCTCCCTCTCTTTTCCTCTCTCCACCCCTTTTTAAAATGTCTTTTCAGAAAAATGGTTTGGATTACTGAAAACAATATTTAGTCACAGACACTAAATATATGGATGTCAAATAATGCAACCTACAAGAAAGAGACATTGTGCCTCCTTATATTCTGTGAAAAGACGAGTTTAAATCACAAAGCTTTTAAAATATTCTACGTGAAGAGATAATTCAACATTTTTCCTCCTGACCAAGGGAAGAAAATCAAAACAGTTCCACACAGTGTCATGCCATGCAAGACACAAAAGAATAAGAGAATGAGATATTATGAATATCCATAACTTTACAACTATCTATAATTCTTTATTATTTATAAAACTATTTCATAATTCTTTAATTTTGTCATCATAAGAGCCATTGAAGTAAATAGGAAAGATAGTCATCCATTCAGTGTTTTGTAGAAGAAGACATGGATCCAGAGTCAACCTGAGATGTTACCTACTGGTACAAAATATCGGGCTCACTGCAGAAAGGGTAGATATCTGTGTCAATATCTGTGGCTACATATAATAGACAGAGCATTTCAAGATGCTTCGTCTCAGCATATTGTTTGACTCTACCTAAAGAGTTTCATATTCTTGGGACTCAATTCTATTCTTTTTATAATAAAGAAGGAGTAATCTATGATTTCTCAAATTCTTTTAAGCTCACACGAGTTCAAATTGTAGAAATCCTTTTCAGCAAGAGCCTTGCCTGCCCTCTGTGCATAGGAAAACGTTACCTTTTCTCTTTAAATTTCTTTACTCTGGCTGATAAGAGCACATTTTATTTTCGGAACCCAAACTTACCCCAGTGTGACGTTAAGCCAAGAGGATTGTTTGGAATAAGAAGACAATTCCAGGACTCTGAGTATTCTTCATTACCAAAGTCAGTTGTTCATAAGGCAGCATCTCAGGCTCTTATGTTTGTCTTTTTTGCTAGCCACCTTCCACTGGAACCATCATCTTGTTCTGTTCCTCTCAGTGGTATACCCTATTATAGCCAGCCAACTGATCAGATGAAGAAAGTTAGTTTTCAACCATGACTAATGTGCAATATATGAATGAAGGAAAACCTACACATAGGAGTTCTTCAAAGTTAATAATATAACTGTATCTGGCAATCAATTGAAGTCTGTATTTTTTCACATATCCTTGAGAAAATTCAGATGTTTCCTGGTTAATACAGAGAGGATGAGAGAGGGCCTGGTATGTAGTACAAACTTCTGCCCTGGCTGCTGCTCAGGCTCCTGTTCTGGTTTGTATTTGTATACATATTCTGAGAAAGTCTCCTAGACAAATACTCTGTATCATCATCTGTCATGTTACCTTTAGGATTGTGTGAAAGAGAGGATATTTATTCAAAGAAAGTATGTTATGAAGTAGGTATAATCTCTAAATAATAAATATAGATTCAAATTTTACCTTTTTTAAAAAGGCTAACATTATTAATTCACTGGATATTAATGTAATTTAAGGGATTATTTTTAAAAATTATTTAAGAAAAAGTAAAGTTGGAGATCATTAGGAAAGCAAGATGAAGTCCTTTCTTTAAACAATAAGTGTTTGCTATGTTATCCCATCTATCAATTCATGTATTTGAACCTCTTTTTCCCATTCATATTCCTCAAATTCCCCCAACTGGAAACATTTTTAAAACAGTTGAAAAAATTCAATAAAGTCACAATATTTTATTTAAGAAATAAACTCTGGAAGGAAGCAATAAGATACGATCTTTTGACTTCCTCTCTCTATAGCAGCACTCGTGGCCCCCTAATCCATATGTCACTTTCATTATATCTTTGATTGGTGTTCAGTGCCTGACTTGTTCTGATGGGTAATAGTAAAGGTTTGGCTACAGTTTCAGGTATTTTCCAAATCATGATGCCATTTTGAGGAAAGTGACAAAAGCTAGACTTTTGACCATCTATTACCCCATTGTTTCCATGTTTTCTGTTTCATTTGTCCCTTTATTTAAGATAAGATAATTTCATTCCAGGATACATCCAGATTTACCAAGATTGATTAATTTCTCAACCTTACTGAGCCTTGTTATTCTCAAATAACATGAGGTTGAACACCAGTTAGGTCATTTATTTTCTAAGGTGTGCCAGCTATCCTTGGTTTGTAACACCCTTTAAGAGCTAGTTTCTTGGCTGGGCGCAATGGCTCACGCCTGTAATCCCAGTACTTTGGGAGGCCGAGGCAGGTGGATCATGAGGTCAGGAGTTCGAGACCAGCCTGGCCAAGATGGTGAAACCCCATCTCTACTAAAAATACAAAACTTAGCCTGGCGTGGTGGCACATGCCTGTAGTCCCAGCTACTTGGGAGGCTGAGGCAGGAGAATCGCTTGAACCCAGGAGGCAGAGGTTGCGGTGAGCCGAGATCGTGCCATTGCACTCCAGCTTGGGTGATAAGAGTGAAACTCCATCAAAAAGAAAAAAAAAAAAGATCTGGGACCAGCTGTATGCCCCAGGAAATTAAACACCATGAAGCTCATTACCCAGGCTCCCTACTATCTGCTTCCAGTTGGGGTCAACCAATGAAAGACATAGTCAAGAGGTGGCAGAATGGAAAGAGAGAGAATGCTGGGTAGGTATTTTCTCTCTGCCTCCAGTTTTCACCAATATGCTAGCTCTGATGCATTCCTAGAGACACCACTCCCACTCCTGCTGTAAAAATTCTTATTTCACAGCTGCAGTCCTCACTGAGCACAAAAACCATCCATCCCTTCACTTGCCCTCCAGGCCCTGGGGTGCTAACACTTTGCTAGTTGTTTCAGGCAGTTCTCTGGGATACAAATTCTGAGAGGGGTATTTCTGTGGGGGAGCTTGGCTGTGATGCGAGCTTAGGAGAAACACACGCTGAGTTGGAAAGAAATGAGATCGGACAAAAAGAAATGTCCTCTGATGCACTTACAGTATTGGCTTCTGCTCTGAAGCTGAGATGGAGCTTAAGAGAAGTTTGAATCCCAATCAGCAGGCTGGGTATTTGTGTTCCTTTAGGACCAGTTTATGGATGTGGGCTGCTCAGAGAAGAGCCATAACCTTGGAGAAGGTAGCTCTTTCTGGCTGAGGACACTCAGCCCTCAACCTGCATAGCTGGAGGAAAGAGGAAATTATTCTGGAGGAGAAAGCTGGCAGAACACCACAGCATTCACTGTAATGGCCCCTCTCAGCTTTTCTAGCATTTTGTTGGTTCTTTTAACCTTGCCCAAACCTCTGCAATTAATCCCTTTATTATACTCACTTTGGTTAAACCCTTTGAAGAAGCATCTGTTTTAGTCCAGGTCTAAAATTAAAGTTTATTTAAAAGCTTCTCAGGCAGTCTCTTTTTTTTTTTTTTTTTTTGAGATAGTCTTGCTCTGTTGTCCAGGCTGGAGTGTAATGGCACAATCTCAGCTCACTGCAACCTCCGTGTCCTGGGTTCAAGTGATTCTCCTGTCACAGCCTCCCGAGTAGCTGGGCTTACAGGTGTGTGCCACCACACTTGGCTAATTTTTGTATTTTTAGTAGAGACAGGGTTTCGTCATGTTGGCCAGGCTGGTCTCAAACCCCTGATCTCAGGTGATTCACCTGCCTCACCCTCCCAAAGTGTCAGGATTACAGGTGTGAGCCACTGCACCTGGCTCAAACAGTCTTTTATGTTTCTACTTTTGACTCCTGGTTCTACCACTTACTCACCACTTACTTTGAGACTTTGATAGTGAGAGGTGAAGCTGGCTGGGTTTCTGGGTTGGGTGGGGACTTGGAGAACTTTTCTGTCTAGCTAAAGGATTGTAAACACACCAATCAGTGCTCTGTGTCTAGCTAAAGGTTTGTAAACACACCAATCAGCACTATGTAAAAATGCACCAATCAGCACTCTGTGTCTAGCTAAAGGTTTGTAAATGCACCAATCAGCACTCTGTAAAAACACACCAATCAGCACTCTGTGTCTAGCTAAAGGTTTGTAAACGCACCAATCAGCAGTCTGTAAAAACGGACCAATCAGCACTCTGTAAAATGGACCAATCAGCAGGATGTGGGCGGGGCCAAATAAGGGACTAAAAGCTGGCCACCTGAGCCAGCAGCGGCAACCTGCTTGTGTCCCCTTCCACACTGTGGAAGCTTTGTTCTTCCGCTCTTCACAATAAATCTTCCTGTTGCTCACTCTTTGGGTCCGCACTACCTTTATGAGCTGTAACACTCACAGCGAAGGTCTATGGCTTCACTCCTGAAGTCAGTGAGACCACAAACCCACCGAGAAGAACAAACAACTCCAGATGTGCCACCTTTAAGAGCTGTAACACTCACTGGGAAGGTCTCTGGCTTCACTCCTGAAGTCAGTGAGACCATGAACCCAATGGGAGGAACAAACAACTCTGGGAGGAACAAACAACTCCAGATGTGCCACCTTTAAGAGCTGTAACACTCACTGCGAAGGCCTGTGGCTTCACTACTGAAGTCAGTAAGACCATGAACCCATTGGAAGAAAGAAACTGGACACATTTGAACATCTGAAGGAACAAAGTCTGGACACACCATCTTTAAGAACTGTAACACTCACCGCGAGGGTCCGCAGCTTCATTCTTGAAGTCAGCAAGACCAAGAACCCACTGGAAGAAACGAATTCTGGACACAGTAGGTTATTTACAACGTCTGGGTTTTGTTTCTATCAGTATAAAATATAGATAATAATAGTACGTATTTGATAGGATTACTGTGAGAACTACTTAATCAAGTGATTAGAGATGTACTTAGTACGTGAAAAAAGCCAATGAAGATAACTTGTACTTTTACCTATAGTTTTCATTTCATCTCCAAAGAGCTGTTTTCATTAGATCTTTTTTTTTCTTTTTTGAGACGGAGTCGCTCTGTCCCCCAGGCTGGAGTGCAGTGCTGCGATCCCCTCTGGGGTTCATGCCATTCTCCTGCCTCAGCCTCCCAAGTAGCTGGGACTACAGGCATCCTACACCAGGCCCGGCTAATTTTTTTTTTTTTTTTTGTATTTTTAGTAGAGATGGGGTTTCACCATGTTAGCCAGGATGGTCTCGATCTCCTGACTTCGTGATCTGCCTGCTTTGGACTTCCAAAGTGCTGGGATTACAGGAGTGAGCCACCAACCCTGGCCCATTAGATCTTTTCTTTTTTTTTCTTTTTTTTTTTTTTTTTTGTGAGACGGAGTCTGCCTGTGTAGCCTGTGCTGGAGTGCAGTGGCGCGATCTTGGCTCACTGCAAACTCTGCCTCCTGGGTTCACACCATTCTCCTGCTTCAGCCTCCTAAGTAACTGGGATTACAGGGTTACAGGTGCCCGCCATCATGCCCAGCTAATTTTTTGTATTTTTAGTAGACACGTGGTTTCACCGTGTTAGCCATGATGGTCTTGATTTCCTGACCTCGTGATCCACCCGCCTCGGCCTCCCAAAGTGCTGGGATTACAGGCGTGAGCCACCGTGCTTGGCCCCATTAGATCTTTTAACAGTTTAAATCCTGTATTTAGCATTGCACCTAATTGTTATTAAGTTAAAAAGTTGTGGAAGATATTTAAAAATCCATTTTGCTGCACTGCTTTAGTGAAGTTTATTTATAATCTCTGCTGTTTTAAATGTCTAATTTCACCCATTTGTAAAATTTATGAGCTGGTAAATATTTTTCAGAAATATACAATTATAGATCATTTAAAATACCTTGTTTCTGTGCTGTTGATGTTATATAGTAGCTGCTTAACATTTAAATATATCCATAAGAACCTAAAATCATGGCGGTGTTTTAATGGTTAGGTGGTAGTGGTTAATGTTGTTAGTACTGTTTTTTACCTGATTGATTTGTATCTTGCCTTAATATGCTCTTGCTGTTGTTGTTTTCTAGTAATTATATTCATTCCTTTAGTAGTTTATCCAATTGAAAGTGAACAGAGTAGCTCACTGTAGCTAATGTCTGTCCAAGGCTTACATTTATCAAATTCGATCTGACTTTTTCTATGTATGCATTTGAAGCCAACTTACTAAAAGTAAAGTCCCTTGCCTTCATCCATGTTTTCTGCTTTTAGAAAGAAAGCTAATATTTTCTTTCTGACTTTAGCAAATGTGAAAATTACTTTTACCTGAAGCTAGAATTTGGACCAGAAAGGGAGCATAACAACTTTTGATTAAAAGAATTCCAGACAAATCTATTCCTGCTTGTCACCTGTCATTAAGTGGATTTAAGCCTCTGAAAGGTTGAAAATTGTTTTTCAGGGTGTTATTTAGGCTTTTATTATTGGAAGCGCTCTGATTATTCCATCTTTCGTACCCTTTTAAAAATGTAAATTGGGGGTTGACACTTTACTATTAATATATAGTTTCACTGTTGGCAAATGGAAAACAAATCTGAATGATTTTTCTTCGGGTAACTATCAAATTTTCCAAAGAGAAGAAGAAATATTTTTCACGAACGTGCTGAATAGCTTTCATCAAGCTTAATGGTGACAAAGAACATTATGTTTAGACACTAGAAAGATAATATAAGGATATTAGTGTGAGAACAAATTTCAGGCCTATTACAAACAACTCCATGTAGAAGAGTTATGTGTAACATATAAAACCAACTTAAAGGCTTTGGAGTAGGTCATAAAGCATTCACAAATGATGTCAAATATCTATGCAGATTAGAGATCATAGATGAAAAGATACAAAAGTAGACAAAAGTTTGGGTAAGAGAATTAAAGCTCTAACTTTTCATGTGGCTTTCTGGAACTACAGCAGTACAGATTTTATTTTCATCTTATGTATAGTTTATGAATTATTTATTACTCTAATAAAATAACATAATTTTACAATTAAAAAATCAGAGACAATTTCATAGGATTAAGATGTTGCTCTTAGATTGCATTTGGTTTTCATGAGCATTCTGATTTTGATGTGAATATTAGCTAGCCAACCAGGGCCTGACAAATACTGAAATATATTTAGTTCATTATGTAATGTGGAGTTGATTCAAATTTTGGCTTCTGTGTTGTAGGTATACATATGAATCACAACCTTTAACTTAAAGACTGATAAGTATGGTAAAGTGAAAATTTTTTTAAAATTTTATTGATCTATACCTGTTTTACACACACACACACACGCACTTACATGCACACACAATATTTTAATCTAAGTAAAAGGAGAGCAAGGAGTCTCCATGTCATCCTGTTGTTTCAGATCATGTAAGATTCAGACGGCCTCCTAAGGAGTATCCCATAGTGTACCGAGACTTATATGGCAATATAACTGCTGGTGCTTTATATTTATATGAAATTGTGCCTCCCTTTTCTAATAATGCTTTTTCACTTAATCTGTTTGCATCATTTGGAAAGGTAGTTTTCCTTTTTTAAAATCAATTTCTCTAGTCTCTGATCTATATCTTTCTTCTGTTGTCTATTTCTTTAAATATAGGATATAAAATGACAATTTAAAACCTGACCTATTTTTTTAGTAATCCAGTGACACATGTTCAAATGGGATATCTTGCATAAATTAATAATGGATATGTATTTGAAAAGAGGCAGTCATTAAAAACATGAAGATATTTTGTATGTTTTCTGTATTCCAAAGCATTTTAATATGGAAAAAAAGAATAATAGATTCATCAAGCGTTGTCTCTCAGATCTCAGCCTGTGTGGGAGTCTTGACCTCATACCATTGATCTAAGCTATTGGGTGGCAATTGGGAAGTTAAGAATATGCTGAATTATTTAAATATTCAAATTCACTCAGCAAAATAAATGCAAGGAGAATGAGAATTAGAGCATTTCGTTTAATTAATATTTACTACATAGATACAGGGTGCTTGGCACAAAATCATGTGCTGTTTGTACAGCAAATGTCCGTCTTAATGCAAAAATATTATATATGTTTTACTGGATATGAGCCTGGATTTACAGTTTCTGTTATAAGAAATGTCTTGTGAAATCTTATAAGCTCTCAAGAGATGTTTATAAGAGCATTGCTGGTAAGTTCACCATGAAAACATAGCCAGATTGACCTTTAGAGTTCAGGGTTAGTATACTGCTCCAGTAACATTTGCCTTGCTTTGCCTGGTTCTAAAACTTACACAAGCATCTCCTTCATTTCTGAATACTCACTGAATGAAAAGGAACTGAAGCCAGGGAAAGGTTATTTTTGACAGACTACTGTTCTACTATACTAGTATACTAGTATGCTGGTATACTAGTAGAATAGACTACTGTTCTACTGTAGAACAGTAGTTGGGAAACTAAAACTTTACAAGCCAAATTTGCTCCACTATCTGTTTTTGAAAATAAAGCTTTATTGGAACAGTCACACCCATTTACTGTGTTTTCATGTTGTCTGTGTCCTTTCACACTACAATAACAGTGGTGAGCAGTTGCAATACAGCATATAGAGCTCTCAAAGCCAAACGTAGTTTGGTCTGGCCCTTTATAGAAAAAAAGTCTGCTGGTTCCTATTGTAAAGAGTTATCCTTTTCATTTTGAGGAAGTAAATTTTCATCAACCCACACATAAGACAAAAAAGACACACAGGCACTTCAATGTCTGATCTAAGCTTGCTGAATTTGGAGGAGCCACAGTATTTCTAGGAATCCGAAAAGATTAATAGAGCATGGGAAATTCCAAAGGACAGATTTGTTTTAGAAAAATGTGAAGTCTGTCCATCCTAGTTCTATTCACACAGTGAGTGTCATTTTTTGAGTTGTTCTGACTTGAATGCTGTGTGTATACATGGAGCTTGAAATTCTTTTCTTCGGTTGTTTTCGCCTTGCTTTTTAGTAATATATTAGATTTATTTTCAATTTCATGTATACTTTTTTCCACTAAATGAATAGTAGCATATAATATCTTCAGTGGCTGATTTTACTTTAACTCACAAATTCTTTCTCCTTCTTGTCATATATATATATATATATAGCCATATGTGTATATATATAATCACAAGAGTCTATATCTCTGCATCATTTAATAAAATAGATAAAATTCTTGACTATAAATTTCCTTGTCATCTCAAAGAAAAAAACAGCAGGTACCTTAGGGCAAACAGAACCCAGAAATAGTACAAAATGTTACATGTGATGTGACAGAGGATGGTTGTGCCAAATCCCTCGTAAACATCTGCTACAATGAGAATGACCATTAATCTTTTATGTCCTCTCTTCCTTACTTATCTTCTACCCTTTAGGCAGTAGCAGTCTTTGGGGACTCAAATTCCTGAAGTTTCACAGAGAAGCAAATTACTTTGTGTAGATTTTATAAGCAGGCATCTCAATAATATTTATTGAGTATACGCTTTGCACAAAACAAAATTCCAGAAGTTCTTGAGTACTTTTGAAAAATCTTGAATTATAGTTCCTGCCCTGGAGGGGATTATACTCTAAATGAAGTCTTAGAAAAATAAAAGCTCATTTTGAGAAGAAAAAAAAATTGACAACTTTGTTTCTGTAAAAGTTGTATAATTGGTTTGCCATTACATCAGAAACAATAATTAATGAGACAAAATTTAGGAAAAAAAAAGCAAAACAAAACTGTTAACAAGAAAGAGCATATATCATTAGGAAGGCCTTTCATATCCTGTCATCACTAACTGCGAAGTCTATAAATTGATGATAGCAACAACAGAAGTTTTTAGCTCTTATGAAAATCACAGTTACATTTTCATAGAGAGTGATGAAGGAAATGGCATATTCATGCTTTGTAGCTGTGGTCCAGAAGACAGCTTGAATCGTTACCAATGCTACTGTGCTGTATTAAGTGTAATTGAAGCATAGAAGGCAGAGATGTTTGAAAGAGTCTTTTAAAATAATCTATAGTTCCTCCTAGGCTTTTCTAAATTGAAAACAACATGGTTACCACTTCATATTTGCCACTGAGTATTAGGGTCTTGTCTCTCAGAAAATGAGATAGCAGTTTGATGCCCATAAATCAAGAAGCATCTGTTTTAAAACAAATTATGATGACTTGGCGAGGGAGCTTAAAGGTATAGAGTATTGCATCAGAAATTACAGAACTAGTTGTGGCTCCCACATTTTCTTGGCATTCCAATACTGCATTTTTATGTGAATTTGAACACTGACAGTGTGTGTCTTAGGTCCCTTAGAAGAGATCTCTGCTTGGCTGTGTCTCCTGTGATCCATTCCACACACATACTCTCACTGTTGAATTCTCTACCTTTTCAGAAAGTCATTTGGAGGCACAAGTTATTTCTGCCTGTATGACCCCAAGTGGTCACATACGCTCTATGGAAAGCAGTAGTCGGCCAGCGCGGTGGCTCACGCCTGTAATCCCAGCACTTTGGGAGGCCGAGGCAGGTGGATCACGAGGTCAGGAGATCAAGACCATCCTGGCTAACATGTGAAACCCCGCCTCTACTAAAAATACAAAAAATTAGCTGGGCATGGTCGTGGGTGCCTGTAGTCCCAGCTACTTGGGAGGCTGAGGCAGGAGAATGGCGTGAACCCGGGAGGTGGAGCTTGCAGTGAGCCGGGATTGCGCCACTGCACTCCAGCCTGGGCAACAGAGCAAGATTCGGTCTGTCTCCCAATTTCAGAGGACGCACACAAGAGACTTGTTATGTAATTCATCTGAAAGCTCTTCAGGGCCTCAGATAAAGATACTTCCCACTTCCCTTGATGATGGGGAAATGAAACAGCTCAGAGTATACTTTCTATAAACACATTAACAAAGAATAAGATAGCCTCTGTTACAGCCTGGTACCTCTGTCAAAGCTTGAATTGTTTTAACATTTGGTTTCACCTGCCTATTATGATTGTTCAGTACAAGCGGAGAAAATAATTCAAATTACACCTAAGGGTCAGCGTCATGGAAATGTGGCCTCTGCAACAAAACAGGGGTCCATGCTCAGATGGGTTCCATGCTTAGCTTAATATTCTACTATTTCACTCTTGAAATTTTTAATAACTTTACCTTTGAACTTGTGCTTTGTAATTGAGGTCTGAAGGGACAAGAGACTTGTGCAATATGTATGTCCATTGTTTCTAGATTCCCATTCTTTTACAACATCCCCAGTGCTACCATAAACCTAAGATGCTGGTGAATCCATAGTGCATGGGAATTTAGAGGGACTCAAACCCAGTAAAAGGCGTGCTGTTACATATATGTCTAAGTAAGCAGGGACGCTGACAACCCTGAGAGTCCTCACTTTCCATTCAAACTAGAACTTGCTTCAAACACAGAAAGAAGGCAATATTGATCTAAGAAACACAAATAACTGAGAACCCCATTATAGCCTTTCTTGCTAATGCTACTTTGTCTATTACCCTGCCATTTGCACTAAAAGTCATGACAGAAAGGGAACAATAGGGCAACCCAGAATCCGTTTTAATTTCAGTCTTTCTTTATTAAGCGTGCAACAGGTAGAGAATGTAAATACTCACCTATCGGACAGTAAAATGAAAACAGTTGAGATAGTTTTGTGCAGCATTTCCACTATTCTTTTAAGAACTAAATACATGTTTATGCACAAATAATGAAATATGAATTATACAATTTTGGTGATTCTTATGCAAGTCAAAAGCCTTTATATTTTCATTTAAAATTGGCATTGTGCCATACAACAATGAATGATACAATTCATGTAACAATTTAAAATTTCAGCTTTACTAGAGTGAATTAAAAAGCAAAGAGAAAACACTACAAGAAACTGAGAGAAAGAATTTGAAAGAAAAGAGAAAGCCTTATATTTTGTGCATGCACATGTTCTTAAATATAATTATACTATTTCAGTTATCAACATGTCACAAAATAAAATTTATCCAAATTATTACACAGTCTTTTTAATAATTATTTTTAGTGGTCACAAAAAATTATTTGAATAGGTATACTATAATTAACTCAATCATACACTATATATTTTTGGATATGTAAATTATTTAAATTATGCAAAATAACATACTGTTGTGTAATTTATCATTTATTAAACAAATATTTTATATGTAAAGATTTATACTTAAGTAATTTTTCAACATATTGTAGCAGACATGTCCTCAATATTCAAATTATAGTAAACAAAATTTAGCAGATACAGACTGACATCTGAATTGAAATTAATATGCCACTTCTTTGGTTAACCACCACACAGACTTACAATATTAAATTAGGCCATCCTATTATATAATCTGGTTTCCATATTAGAATTAAGGTCAGGAGATTCTCTGCATGCATTTGAATAGAGTCTTTTTTAAAAAAAATACAGCATTAAAAAATTAAAAAGAAAAGAAATTGAAGCTCTTACTACAGCTGCTGTGACATTTAATTTTAACACCAAATTTTAGAACTTTAAATGTTTTGAAATGTAGTAAAAAATCATTAAGTCACTGAAGAAGGGGCTTTTTGGGTGCATAATAGCAGCTAAATGGCAATCGTAATATTTCTTAATATACATATCTCGCTCATTTGTGCTTTTAATAGTAAAATGTAAATAGCTCTAACAGCTCTATTACTTTTTTGATCCTAAAAGTGATGTCCCTTTGAAGAAAAATATATATAAATGTGTATGTACATATACACATATGTATATATGTATACGTGTATATATAAAATAATAAGAAAAAAGACGATTGAAGATTACACACACACACACACACACACACACACATAAAACTTTTACTATTGCAACTAACCCTGGTCTCTGAATCTGTTTCCTACAGAGAAATTCAGAAAGTAAACTTCTTATTGGAAGTCAAAGGAATGATTTTTATCATATATACATATATCTGTTTTAATACACATACTTAGAGTTGTCAAAATATGATTTCAAAACATGACTTTCATACAAATATGTAGTAACCCTATACCAAACTGTCTTTAAGTCATTAATGAAGGACCAAGAAGAATGGTAAAGCTGGCCTAAAGAGTGTTTGAAAAACATTTATTTATATAGTCCCTCATGAAAGACCTCAAGTAAGTTTGTTATATTGGAGACAAGACTGGTCAATGTACTTACTGTTAGCTAATAAAAATATAACAGTTAGGGTTACCTTTTCTACCAGATAGAAATAATGTGCCTTTTTATAGAATAAAAATCTATGAATTAACATGCAACTTCCTAGAATTTAGGTGCTAATGTAAATTGCAAATCAGATGAAAATATATTCTAGACCATGGATTGACAAACCTTTTTCATAAAGGCCAGATAGTAAATATTTTGCCTTTTCCGGCCACAGCCTCCTTGTATATTCTTCATTTTGTTTTTCTGTTTCTTTAATTTTATTTTACTGTGGTAAGAACATTTCATGTGAGATCTACCCTCCTAACAACTTTTTAAGTGTAAAATGCAGTACTGTTTACTATGAGTACAATGTTGTACAGCAGATCTCTAGATTGTACTTGTCTATCTTCACTGAAACTTTATACTCATTGATTAGTAACTCCCCATTTTCCCTTTTCCTGAGACCCTGTTTATTTCATCTTTTGCGACACTTAAAAAATGTAAAATACATTCTCAGCTTGAAGATCATAAACAAATAGGCCATGAATTTGGCTGACATACCATAGTTTGCAAACACCTGTTCTATTGATAATCCTTGGATAAGCTGGTTAGACAATGCCCAATGTGATATTCAAAGAACATTTGGCCATTCTATTGTCTTGCTTCCATATTTTGAATAAATGTTCTTAACAATCTTTAACTGTTATTTTACATAATTTCCAAATATGTTCACAAAAATGGTTAATCTCCTTTTTTGGTCGGTCTAAATAATTTACACAGGCACAGTGCAAATGTTAGCCATACAAGCCTCTGCGTTGTATAGTTAACAAAATCTAGACCCATCTGACCTTGAGCAATGATTAAGGCAGAGAGTTACTTTTCTTTTTCTTTTTTTAAAAGTTTTTTTGGATACATGGTGGGTTTAGAGAGTTACTTTTCATTTGAAAATTTTATAGAGAACCTAGGATTGCATTTTCAATATTTTCTATTATTCCAGAGATTTCTTTTTAATCACTCTTATTGGCTTTTTATTTTGGAGTCTCAGAAACCAATCCCCCAAAAATTCACCTCTACAGATTTCACTAGCAGTATATATAAATAAGGTTAAATTCTTTTCCCCTCAAGGTCTCCCAAGGTCCTGGTTTCCAGCCTGCTAGGAAGTGAACTTCCACATTATTACCTGTAAGGCTTGGAACCCATAAACCATAGAACAGTTATCAGGCCTGTTTCTGAGAAATTCTGTGTAGAAATTAATTCCATATATAAAGTACAATATTTTTTCTTAATTGTAAGATTATAATATGTGATCAGGTAAAGCACAAAACTTCAGTAATGATTTTGGATATATATTCTGTGCAATTATAGTCTTGCAAAAAGGATGACAAATTTTTATTAAGCCTACAAAAATAACTACATTGCCATTGAAAAGAAAGAAACTTAGTAAAAGTATTGTTTGTAAATTCCGAAAGGAGAGGGAAAAGTATGTTATTTAAATACACTTTATCACTTTGCAAAAGCATAGTCTATTACATCCAGGGCTAGAAATTGATCAAAAAGAAAGGCTTCCTTATCTATTTATCAAAATAGAACAGTAAACATAGTAGTAATAATATCGTCATACTTCCAATAAAAAGTAACCAAAATTGAATTTCCTTCATTGGTTCATTCAGTTCTTAATTATTTCTTATTCTTACTGGATCTTGAGTCATCAGGCTGCATTCTTGAGTCATCTGGTTCTCAAATAGAGAAGAGAAAATCATGACTCAGTTCCCAGTATAGACTGACAGTTTTCTAAGCAGTATCAACTCAAAATCCCATACACATGAATTTTTCCCTTGATGTCACAGTAGTTAAGAATACTTGGCACAGTTCTTTTTGTTCTACAAAGGCTTAATACTGTCCTTTGTTGAACATCCAACAAATTCTGTGGCTCTTGAGCCTTCTGTTAAGCATGAGAGGGGAGTAGAAGCAACCTGTTGATGTTGATGATGATGATGTTGACTGAATACGACTTGTCTCGTTACAGTAATCAACAATATCAGAGTGGAGGGGATGATTCTTTTGGGGTGAAGTAAATAACTCCTTTCAAAGGAATTGATCAGTTCTTAACACTGAGGGCAAGAACATATTATAAATAGTAAGAGCATTCATACGTTTCCTGGGAAATCCAATATATCTTGTAAAAAACATCATCTTTAAAACATATTTATTTTAATAATTTTTATTTGTATAGAATTAGCCTAAGAAAGGCTAAACTTTACTTTTCATTTGACACCTTTCTCTTGTAGATCTTACAATAATATTGAGCTAATTAATAAGAAGCATATAAAACAAATCTAATTATTTCTAGCATCTTCCTCTTTTTGAAGTGAAAGAAAAAATGATCATAATGTTTGCAAAGGCTATCTGGGAAACTGCAAAGATAATCTTGAGTATAAAAGACATCTTGAAAATTATACTTTTTTCTGAATTTAAGATGTAATCTTGGGATCATAAAATCAAAATAATTTTCAAATAAGCTATGGCCATTTGATTAAGATAGACATGTAGATACTTGAGAACAATAAATAGTGTTAGCTTAACTACTTATAAGTCAAAGGCAAAATGTAATATTTTTAAGAACATATAAAAGAAGATAACACAAAAATAATAGCTTTTTCTGAAGAAATACTTATTTTTTTTTAAAAAAATCAAGAATTAAGTCAATTCAGTTTGAACCACAGAAAATTATCCTAGCAAAATATAGAATCTCTATTACATGGGAAGATAATCCAAAAAGTAAAAATTACTTGTTATTACTATTTGTTAAGAGCAGACTAAATACTCTAAGACCAATTAGTTATTTTATCCTTCAAAAAACCAAAATTTTAGTTCTTCTTTAATATAACTTTTAGCAGTAGAGAATATACAATTTTTAAAATGGGCGAACCCCTAAAACTGAGTCAGATTTGATGTTTTAATATGTTTCATTGTTTCTTTTCAGATACATACCTATGGGAATTGTGATTCAATTTTCTGGGGCTGCCATAACATATTACTGCAACAAGTGGCTTAAATCAACAGAAATTTATTGTCTCTCAGTTCTAGAGACAAGCAGTCTGCAGGCAGGGCGGTGCTCCCTCCAAAGCCTTTAGGGGAGGATCATTCCTTGCCTCTTCTAGCTTTCGGTAGCCTCAGGCATTCTTCAGCCGTGGCAGCATAACTCCCATCTTTGCTTCCATGGTTTACATGTTCATCTTCCTCCCTCTGTCTCTGTGTCTTCACGTGGTGTTTTTTTCTCTGTATCTCTCTCCTCTTCTTATATGGCTCTAATAATATTGAATTATGGCCCTTTATAATACCTCATCTTTATTTACTTGATTATATCTGCAAAAGCTCTATTTCCAAATAAGTTGACATTCACAGGTACTGTGGACCATGATTCTCATATATATTTATAACTTCCCCCAGCCCCCTGCCCGAGATGGAGTCTTGCTCTGGAGTATAATGGCACAACCTCGGGTCACGCAATCTCCACCTCCCAGGTTCAAGCAATTGTCCTGCCTCAGCCTCTGGAGTAGCTGGGATTACAGACACACGACACCACACCCGGCTAATTTTTGTATTTTTAGTAAAGACGTGTTGGCCAGGCTGGTCTTGAACTCCTGACCTCATGATCCACCTGCCTCGGCCTCCCAAAGTTCTGCGATTACAGGTGTGAGCCACTGTGCCCAGCTTTAATATATATATATTTTTAAGACAAAGCTCAATTCATAATAAATTATAAAACAAGACAAAAAAAAATTCACTTCCTTCAAACAAGTTACAGATTGTATTACCAACTTAAATTTTGTCCTGTGCAATAGCCTTTCTTATTCTGAAAACAAGCTGACATTTTATTTTAGGGCAAAATGACTTTTTCTTTATCCCCCAAGGTGGAGAAAGAGGAGGAGACAGGGAAGAGAGGAACACATTCATTACTTTCAGTTGTATTTTGTTGCCACTATCATTCCTAGAATAGACTCAGCTACTATATTAATTCTAACTCTTAAGCAAATTAATTTCTATTTCACAGTGAAAATTAAGAAGTAGGCCATTGAAAACTACATGTTAATATACAAATATTTGAATGTATGAACAAAGTTCACAAACATACATAGGAGAAGCTTCTACAGCTCGAATAATTTCTTTAACACTTTCTTGAATGAATGAACATCTTCGTAAACATGAACAGGAGATATAGTTATTCAATGAAATATTAGATGAGAATTCTAAATTTTTTCTTACTTAGGAAAAGTAAGAAAAAAAATCCAGGTGTTCCAAGATTGTCATTAATTCAATTTAATTTTGTCCCAGGATTTTAAATTAATCAAGAATCTGAAAATTATGTTTAAGCTGGCATACTAGAGAGCATAATCACAGATGATATTTTAAAAGTCTGGCTGGAATTACAATTTAATATATTGGCACAGTATTATACATTGTTCATAATCTTAAACATTAATGTAGGAGTATCACTAGCTTACATGATCTGTATACCAATATAAGAAGTTTAGAAAGTTCATATTCATTAATCTTTTTATGAGAAAGAAACGCAAAATATATTTAAAATGTGATGTATTCTTGTATAGTTATGCAAATAAATAAAATCAGAGAAAGAACAAAGTATTTTTTAACCAAAATTATAGATTTTCTGATTTTCGCCAGGGATTCACCTTGATCATGTAAACATAGATTTTTATATAAATTGATTCTGAGTTAGTAGATTTTGAAGGAAGTTTGTTTTGTTTGTTTGTCTGTTTGTTTATTCAAGAATAACACTTCAAAATGTGAGGTTTTCTTCCCTTTCCATCCCTGGAAATCTTCTGTTCCTTATTATTATTTATTATTTATTACTTTTTTCTATAAGAAGTAAAAATAAAGCTTTTTTAATTTAAGAGACATTATATAATCTTGTGTACACTTATGAAGCATAAAAATATTTCCGATTCATAGAATAAATGGTAAAGCCTTTCTCAGTTTTGGATGCTGAGACACAGAGAACTTGCAACTTTGGTATGTGCTGTGACCAGGGTCAAATCTAAACAGAACATAAAAGCTTATAGGTTCAGATCTCAGGGTATTTGTCCTTTACAATGAGCATAAAATATTTTATTAATTGACCAAAACTCACTATAGACAAAGAGCAAAACAAAGAAAAAGACTAACAAGCAACACTCTTTCATTTCCAACCTTACAGAGATTCTCATTATCCCACCAGAGATCGGATTGTAAAATTTGATCCTCAACCATTGCTGTTCCTGATGGGGAAAAATGTCTTAACATAAGCAAACCAGAATAAGAGCTAGAAGCAAAAATAAAACCACAGAGTGAGAGAGAGGGAGTGATTGAAAAATAGAGAGAAAGACAGAGACTTATTGAAGGTAAATTTCTATTGTACCTTAGGAATTAATCCAGAGTCCCAAGGAGGGGAGGTAGAATACACCCAGGGATTTTACAAATCATAAAGTGCAAGGTGCATTTCTTTAGACATAAAGTTTAATTGCCTCAAGCAAAAGAGTCTACTTGAACGTTTCTTTGGAATCTCCAAAACTGTCAAGGTATAATTTTCATTGCTAAAATCATGACTCTCATACAGATATACAGTGAACACATATCAAAGATATATTCAACTAATTAATGAGGAATCCAGTAGAATAGTAACGTTGATTCAGAGCATTTGAAGCAGAAGAAATTTTATAGCTACTTAGAAAAGTCATGCTGAAATAAATTTGGTAAGTTAGAAACAAAACTGTTTCATGTCCAATAGGTCAATATAACTGTACATTTTGTGTTTATCTTTTCTATCAGACAGAAATCATTTGCTTCTCCTCTGGGCAACATTATACAAGTTAATACTAACCTTTACAAATTTGGGGCATAAATTAATAGTAAATAGCAAGTTAAAGGTCCATTCCCCAGTGAATTAAATAGTACTGAGTGGGCCTGTTATACAATGCTATAATGTTAAATGGACACACAGCAATTTTCTGCTTTATTTTCATGTCTGGATTATTTTTCTTAACAGATCTTTGGGACTTACTGTAGAAAGTATTTGTCAGCTCTTCCCTATTAATTGAAATAACATAAATAAATCAAATTTGAGATGTTTCTCTAAGAATAAGAGAATAAATAAGTCTCAGAGCCTTGGATATTGATAAAGAGATTACTGTATAAGTGTTTACTATGCATGATTTATAGTATTTTATACTGTTATTTGAGTTTCATTTTTCTTTCACTGTTTTACATATGGTCTCACAGCTGATTATAGATTTAAGTGTTAGTACATGGCAATGAAAATAATTTTTAAAATGACAGTATATAAGAAAATCTTCATTTAATAAATATACTTGTTAGTTTTGAAAACAAATATGACAACACTGAAGAGGGTATGTTATCAGTATTCTGAAATGATTTTGTTAACAATAGTCACATAAGTTTTCATTCTGTGTCTTAATTGTAGATATATAACTTTTAAAGAATAATTTATATCAATACAATGCAAACAGTAATAATAAAAATGACATTTATGCTTTCTGTGAACAGAATAAGTAGTAGAATTCTGACAGGGTTTAGGCAAATAGATTTCTCATCTTATTTTGCATCCAGACCTAGGTGCAGGGTTACTAGAAATATTGATCCTAGAGGGAGGAACTGAAACCAGAAAAGAGCATGTCTCTTGAAATGTGCAGTTCCTGAGTCTCTCTGAGGTAGCTTCTGTTTCATCTGCAGGTAGTTTTCAGGCATGTGTCCAAATTTTAAGTGTTCTACATCATACATTCCAAGAGGGAATAAATGTTGTATCTTTCATTTGTATCTAATGGTTATTTTACTTTCATTCGCGTCCTTGTGAAGAGACCACCAAACAGGCTTTGTGTGAGCAATAAAGCTTTTAATCATCTGGGTGCAAGCGGGCTGAGTCTGAAAAGAGAGTCAGGGAAGGGAGATAAGGGTGGGGCCATTTTATAGGATTTGGGTAGATAAAGGAAAATTACAGTCAAAGGGGGTTGTTCTCTTGTGGGCAGGAGTGGGGGTCACAAGGAGTGAGGGAGCTTTTGAGCCAGGATGAGCCAGGAGAAGGAATTTCACAAGACAATGTCATCGGTTAAGGCAGGAACAGGCCATTTTCACTTCTTTTGTGGTGGAATGTCATCAGTTAAGGCAGGAACCGGCCATCTGGATGTGTACGTGCAGGTCACAGGGGATAAGATGGCTTAGCTTGTGCTCAGAGGCCTCACATTCCTGTCTTCTTATATTAATAAGAAAAATAAAACGAAATAGTGGTAAAGTGTTGGGACGGTGAAAATTTTGGGGGACGGTATGGAGAGAGAATGGGCGATGTTTCTCAGGGCTGCTTCGAGCGGGATTAGGGGCGGCGTGGGAACCTAGAGTGGAAGAGATTAAGCTGAAGGAAGATTTTGTGGTAAGGGGTGATATTGTGGGGTTGTTAGAAGAAACATTCGTCATTTAGAATGATTGGTGATGGCCTGGATACAGTTTTGTATGAATTGAAAAACTAAACAGAATAAGAGAAGGAGAAAAACAGGTATTAAAGGACTCAGAATTGGGAGGACCTACGACATCTAATTAGAGAGTGCCTAAGGTGGTTCAGCATAGCCTTGCCAGTAAAGATTATTTATTTACTTTAAGAGTTAAGAGTGGTGGTTTGGGGATAGCACGAGGAGATATCAGCTGTGATGGCTTGGAGAAACAGTGTAAACTGGCAGTGTAAACAAGAGCAGGGCATGTATGAGTAGATGAGAACGGTGAATAGGAGTATGACTAGACAGAAGACAGTAGGGATGACAAGTTTTTTGGGGGCACAGTCTAAGTTGGTCTGATGTCTGGAATGAGACTGGGGCCTAATAAAAAGGAGCATTTATACAGGAGCTCAAATGGGCTGTACCCTGTAGCATTCTGAGGACAGGTCTGACTTCTGAGAAGGGAAAGTGGCAAAAGTATTGTCCAGTCCTTTTTAAGTTGGTGGCTGAGCTTGGTGAGGTGTGTTTTTAAAAGACCTTTAGTCCGTTCTACTTTTCCTGAAGATGGAGGACCGTAAGGGATATAAAGGTTTCACTGAATACTAAGAGCCTGAAAAACTGCTTGGCTGATTTGACTAATAAAGGTTGGTCTGTTATCAGACTATATAGAGGTGGGAAGGCTAAACTGAGGAATTATGTCTGACAGAAGGGAAGAAATGACTACGGTGGCCTTCTGAGACCCTGTAGGAAAGGCCTGTACCTATCCAGTGAAAGTGCCTATCTAGACTAAGAGGTATTTTAGTTATCTGACTCGGGACATGTTGAGTAAAGCTAATTTGCCAGTCCTGGGTGGGGGCAAATCCTTGAGCTTGATGTGTAGGGAAGGGAGGGGGCCTGAATAATCCCTAAGGAGTAGTAGAATAGCAGATGAACACTGAGAAGTTATTTCCTTGAGGATAGATTTCCACGATGGAAAGAAAATGAGAGGTTCTAAGAGGCGGGCTAGTGGCTTGTACTATAGCATAGCCTGCCTTTGCTGGTGTGTGGTGATGAGGCCTGGTGGAACTGCCATCAATAAATCAAGTGTGATCAGGGTGAGGAACAGGAAAGAAGGAAATATGGGGAAATGTGGTGAATGTCAGGTGGATCAGAGAGATACAGTCATGGGGGTCAGGTGTGGTATCAGAAATAATGTGGGAGGCCAGATTGAAGTCCGGGCCAGGAACAATGGTAATTGTGGGACTTAACAAAGAGTGAGTACAGCTGAAGGAGCCAGGGAGCCGAAAGTATATGCGTCAGGTATGAGGAAGAAAATAGATTTTGGAAGTTATGAGAAATATAGAGAGTAAGTTGAGCATAGTTTGTGATTTTGAGGGCCTCTAAAAGTATTAGGGTGGCAGCAGCTGCTGCATGGAGACATGAGGGCTAGGCTAAAACAGTAAGGTCAAGTTGTTTGCACAGAAAGGCTACAGGGTGAGGTCCTGGCTCTTGTGTAAGAATTCTGACCGCACTAACCATGCCTAGGCAGGAAAGGAGTTGTTTTTTAAGGGATTGAGGTTTGGGAGATTAATCGGACACAATCAGCAGGGAGAGCACGTGTGTTTTTATGTGAATTATGTGGAGATAGGTAACAGATGAGGATGAAATTTGGGCTTGACTGAGATAATGGGGGCTGTCTGTGAAGCCTTGTGGCAGTACAGCCTAGGTAATTTGCTGAGCCTAATGGGTGTCAGGGTCAGTCCAGGTGAAAGCAAAGCAAGGCTGGGACGCAGGGTGCAGGGGAATAGTGAAAAAAGCATCTCTAAGATCCAGAACAGAATAGTGAGTTGTGGAGGAAGGTATTGAGCACAAAAGAGTGTATGGGTTTGGCACCACAGGATGGATAGGCAAAACAATTTGGTTGATAAGGCGCAGATCCTCAACTAATCTGTAAGACTTGTCCAGTTTTTGGACAGGTAAAATGGGGGAATTGTAAGGAGAGTTTATAGGTTTTAGAAGCCCATGCTGTAGCAGGCAAGTGATAACAGGCTTTAATCCTTTTAAAGCATGCTGTGGGATGGGATATTGGTGTTGTGGGTGGTAAGGGTGATTAGGTTTTAATGAGATGGTAAGGGGTGCATGATCAGTCTCCAAGGAGGGAGTAGAGGTATCTTATACTTGTGGGTTAAGGTGGGGGAATACAAGAGGAGGACGCAAAGGAGGCTTTGGATTGGGAAGAAGGGCGGCAATGAGATGTAGCTGTAGTCCAGGAATAGTCAGGGAAGCAGATAATTTAGTTAAAGTGTCTCGGCCTAATAAGGGAACTGGGCAGGTGGGGATAACTAAAAGGAGTGCTTAAAAGAGTATTGTCTAAGTTGGCACCAGAGCTGGGGAGTTTTAAGAGGTTTAGAAGCCTGGCCGTCAATACCCACAACAGTTATGGAGGCAAGGGAAACAGGCCCTTGAGAAGAAGGTAATGTGGAGTGGGTAGGCTCCGTATTGATTAAGAAGGGGACAGACTTACCCTCCGCTGTGAGAGTTACCTAGAGCATCTGTGATGGTCCTGTAGGCTTCTGAGGTGATTGGGCAGTGTCAGTCTTCAGCTGCTAAGCCAAGAAGATCTGGGAAGGAGTCAGCCAGAGAGCCTTGGGCCAGAATTCCAGGGGCTCTGGGAGTGGTTGCCAATTGAGTTGAACAGTCTGATTTCCAGTGGGGTCCCGCACAGATGGGACACGGCTTAGGAGGAATCCCGGGCTGCGGGCATTCCTTGGCCTGTTGGCCAAATTTCTGGCACTTGTAGCAAGCTCCTGGGGGAGGAGGTTCTGGAAGAACGCCTGGCTGCTGCGGTTCAGGCGTTTGGAAGTTTTTGTGTGCTGGAGATGTGGCTGGGGTTTGTCTCACAGTGGAGGCAAGTAATTGCAACTCAGAAATACATTGCTACTTGGCTGCCTCTACTCTATTATTGTACACCTTGAAGGTGAGGTTAATTAAGTCCTGTTGTGGGGTTTGAGGGCCGGAATTTAATTTTGGAGTTTTATTTAACGTCAGGAGTGGATTGGATAATAAAATGTATATTGACAATAAGACGGCCTTTTGACCTTCTAGGGTCTAGGGCTGTAAAGCGTCTCAGAGTTGCTGCCAAACGAGCCATGAACTGTGCTGGATTTTTATATTTGATGAAAAAGAGCCTAAACGCTATCTGATTTGGGATAAAGAAAAAGGAGCATTAAAGTTGACTACGCCTTTAGCTCCAGCCACCTTTTATAAGAGTAAATTGCTGGGCAGGTGGGGGAGGGCTAGTCACAGAACAAAACTGTAAGCCCGACCGGGTGTGAGGAGGGGAGGTGATAAAAGGATTATAGGGTGGAGGAGCAGAGGCTGAGGAAGAATTGGGACCTAGCTCTGCCTGGTGAGGAGGGGAGAGGTCAGCTAGGTCTGTAGAAAAGGAAGATTAGAAAGACTCAGTGACGCTTGGGGTTGGAACTGAGGGGACAGGCGGGAGGGAAAGAAGGAAGATTTGGGATGACTTGCACTGGGCACAGAGACTAGGAAGGGACCGACGTGTAAAAGAATGCCTGGACGTCAGGCACCTCAGACCGTTTGCCCGTTTTACTACAAGAATTATTTAGATCTTGCAGGATGGAAAAATTGAAAGTGCCGTTTTCTGGCTATTTGGAACTACTGTCGAGTTTGTATTGGGGTCAAGTGGCATTGCAGAAGAAAATAAGATGCTTAGATTTTAGGTCAGGTGAGAATTGAAGAGGTTTTAAGTTCTTAAGAACACAGGATAAGGGAGAAGAAGGAGGAATCTCCTTCCACTATGGGTGGAAGGTTGTCCATAGTGAAGGAGGCAAGCCCAGAGAAAAGAGAGTAGAGACATGGAGGGAAGGGGTTTGGGGGTTCTTACCCTCCAGAAAAGTGGGAAAGGGGTCGGGGCACAGAGATACGAGGTCGGAGTGCGGAAATAAGGGATTGGGGCACAGAGATATAAGAGGTTGGGGCACAGAAATAAGGGATCGGTGCGCAGAGATATAAGAGGTTGGGGTGCAGAAATAAGGGATCGGGGTGCAGAGATATAAGGGGTTGGGGTACTTGCTCCTCCCCTAGAAAAGTGGGACTTGCTGCTAAGGGTGAAGGAGAAGGGGTTGGGGTTTCTTGCCCCCCAGAATGGCAGAGAAGGGGTAGAGACATGGAGAGAAGGGGTTGGGGTACTTGCCCCTCCCACAGAAAAGCAGGACTTGCCGCTAAGGGTGAAGGACCAAGGCAGGCGTCCCTGCATGGTCTGACACCACTGAAACCTGGGTGAATAATCAGAGAGGTGTCCTTGCAATGATTAAACACCAAGGGAAGCCTGCCTTCCCAGTCCGTGACCGGCGCCGGAGTTTTGGGTCCATGGATAAAACTTGTCTCCTTTGTCTCTACCAGAAAATGAAAGGAATTGAAATTAAGAGAAGGGAGAGATTGAAGTGTGGCGCCAAGATTGAAAGGAGAAAGAGGTTGAGGGATAATGAGGGAGGTTGTAGAAGAGAGTAAAAAGAGGCCGCTTACCAGATTTGAAATTGGTGAGATGTTTCTTGAGCTGGTTGGTCTGAGGACTTGAGGTCATAGGTGGACCTTTCTCATGGAGCAAAAAGCAGGAGGACAGGGGATTGATCTCCCAAGGGAGGTCCCCCCATCCGAGTCACGGCACCAAATTTCATGCGCGTCTGTGTGAAGAGACCACCAAATAAGCTTTGTATGAGCAATAAAGCTTTTAATCACCTGGGTGCAGGCGGGCTGAGTCCGAAAAGAGAGTCAGCGAAGGGAGATAAAAGTGGGGCCATTTTATAGGATTTGGGTAGATAAAGGAAAAATACAGTCAAAGGGGGTTGTTCTCTGGTGGGCAGGAGTGGGGGTCACAAGGTACTCAGTGGGGGAGCTTTTGAGCCAGAATGAGCCAGAAGGAATTTCACAAGACAATGTCATCAGTTAAGGCAGGAACAGGCCATTTTCACTTCTTTTGTGGTGGACTGTGGTCAGTTAAGGCAGGAACCGGCCATCTGGATGTGTACGTGTAGGTCACAGGGGAATGATGGCTTAGCTTGGGCTCAGAGGCCTGACACTACCACGTGTTTTTCACTATATGTATAATATCATATATTATATATTATACTTTATATATTATAATATATAACATATATGTATATTTGGAAAATTAATCATGAAAAACCATCAGATTTTAGGGAACTTTTTTTTTACCTAAACATATTTGACAATGATTCAATCATCTAAATTTTGAAGTTAGCAATTTACTATTCCCATTTTAAAGATGAGAAAAAGAAAGCTTATAGTAATTCAATAACTTGCCCAGTATCACCAAAATTGTGAGTGGATTAGAATTCAGTCATGATCTTACCAATTTCTTACTATTTCCAGAACTACCACACTACCCTAAACTACTCACATCTGTATTAGTATAAGAACCTCTTGAAGGTTCTCTTTGTTTTTATCATTCCTCAGTGAGCACCCTTCCTACCCAACTATACTGTGTATAATAGCCAAAGAGCATTTTTTAATTAAAAATTCTAATAGTGCCCAATTGTGTTCAGAATATACTTTACTCTACCATGGCCTACAAGGCAACATCGAATTTAGCTTTTGACTACTTAATGGTTCGGTATCTTTCCACTTCCTTTCTTCACTCCTCCCCCTCAATATCCACCCTCCTTACAGGACTTTTTTACTTCATACTCGCCTTTTGGCTACTAACTTATTTTTCTTATGAAATTGCCTCCCCCCCAACCCAGACCTTACTATGGCTATGCCTCTTTCCCATATCTCATTGGCCACATGAATGGCTCTCCTGACAACACCATCTAACATAGTCTTCAACTCTCATCAATTTCCATTCAACTAGTTTAGTTTATTTTCTTCAAAACATGGCATTACTCATTAATTCAACAATATTTACTGCGTACCCATGGTGCCTGTCATTGTTCTAGTCTTCAGAATACAGCAATAAATAAAATAGACAAAAAGATCCTAGCTACATAAAGTGTACATTCTAGTTGGGTGAGATAGTCAATAGAGAACTAAGTAAGTACAATCAATGATATGTGATGTGTTATATAGTAGAAGTAAATAAGTACAATCAATGAGCAGTAATGTGTTATATAGAAAAAATAAAGCAAGAAGATAATAGTGTTGTATAGTAGAAACAATGTTGCAATTTTAAATAGATGCTTAGGAAGAGCCTCTTTGAGAAGAATGGATTTAAGCCAAGACCTGAAGGAGCAGAGGAAATGAGCTGTGCTTATATCTGAAGAAAGAAAATTTTAGGTGCATGCTTTGACATTCTTGAAATATACTTTTATTAGCCTTTCCCCCCATTAGAATCTAGTTCCATGAAATCAGGACCTTGTCTGGTACTGTACCCTTAGAACTTACAATAGTGCCTGCCATATGAGATACACTTTCATATCTAACAATTTTCTTCTGTTTGTTTCCAGTACATTCCTCAGTGGTGAATTTTGTATTATTATTTTTTAATACAAAAGCATATTGGATTACTGTCATCAGGGAAATGCTGTCTAAATTCTTTTCCTGGTCTAACTGACATTTTATACATGCATTCTTATTATGCTTCTGTACTCATATTATCTTACACTTGAATGCATTCAAATTTCCCTGCCACTTTTCTAACTACTTCTGCAGCCTCATAAAATCTTCCTACTTTATAGCCATTAGCTTGAGATTTTGCTACCTGCCCAGAAGTTTAGTATTCTTTTCAAAATTATGAATCTTACTATGTACTTCCTCCCTGTCCCATGTATATAAATATTTATATAAATGTTGCGACTAGCCACAACAAAGTGTTTTTATTCTGAGGCTTGTGCACATATTCCTACCTTTTATCTCTAATTTCCACACTTTATTCCTGAAAAAACAAAATAATGAGTCTAGAATTTACCTCTAGACCTCAAGTTTCTTAAGTGTTTCTGATATTATCTGGTATGTGCAACTTTGGCAAAACCTATTTGTATGATTATTCCTTGTATTTCCTCTCCTTTCACTCTCCGACCCCAATATACCAACTTATTTCAATTCTTAATATTGATTATGTCTCCCACACCCACTTATTTACTCCATGCTAGTTTATTCTCTTCTGTTTTAGCTTTCGTTTTGATTATTCTTAACCCAGTAGGTATTATGAATCCAAGTCTACTGAAATTCCAATTACAAAAAAAAGTGTTTCTGTGCAGAATGATTTCTGCATTTATACAGTAAAAGCCGAAAGACTTTTCATCTTTAATCTGATTATAGAGAAACCTGAATCATAAAGAGTATAAGGAATTCTAAATAATTATGTTAAATTTCTTCTTTTTTTTTTTTAATCTTTGTAAGGGCATTTGTTAGATATGATTTTCCAATCATTTTCTGGTTTTTTTTTTCTTCATAAAGGTAGCAATATCCTAAATCAGGAAGCTCTTTGCATCTGCTAGATCTAAGTATGCCTTGGTTACAAAAAATTTAAAAAGTCAGACAACTTAATTCAGAGTATTTACATAAAACTGGCAAGAAGTCAAGTTTCCCATTTTGTGTTGAGTGAGGCACGCTGCCTCGCTTGCAAAGATCTGGTGGAGATATAGCAAGTAGCTGGCAGAGCAAGCAGTCTGCTGGGTGTCTCTAAGTTACCTGCAGAGCAGGCAGTCTGGATTATTCTCTCAGCCTCCTGTGCATATTTTACAGATGCCACTTCACATTCTTTCTGGAGTCCTCAGGAGCATTTGAAATTCAGAGGCTTGGCAAAGGCATGCTTATCTGATGCTTTCTTATTTGATCTTGCCGAAAGGGGTGATTCTTTGAAAGTGTGGAAATACCTTACCAAGGTACATCAACAGATGTATAGTTACTGAAACTCATTTTAAATACCTAAGGGGATTCATTCTCCTGACATACATTTAATTCCCATTATGATTAATGGGAGCATTACTTGATGTACAACATGCCCCTGCCTTTAGATGGCTAATGTCTGCAGAGGAAGGAACCGTCAGCAAAATTATGAACTCGATTCATGGTTCGGCTCTTAACTTAGCTTAAGTTAGATCCCATGACTTGATTATCAGTATTACTCTATCTACCCATATTGACAGAACCTCAGGTTTTATACTGCAATAATTTTTTAAAAATCTAACCTAATTAGGAATTTTCCACATGAGATTATTCACTGTCAAGTACTAATGACTGCAATAAAGAAAGAAAATTTTAGCTAAAACAAACAAATGATTAGACTCAGCAACACAATTAATGGCTTGACTAATTTGTCTTCCCTTCTTTCTACATTAATTTTTATATGAACTTTAGCAGGAAGATAGCTACCTAATTCCTTATATAAATAACATGTATTATCATTTAGCATTTATTGAAATATATATAAATTATCTAGGCACCAGGAACTGGTTTCATAAACATTAATTATGATAATGATGAAGATACCACAAAACCATACGTTAATATCTTATAAAATTTGCATAGTTTTAAATAGTTAATCATATTTCTATACTTTGTAATTTTTATTCCCTCTGCTACTTGGACCATCCTGGTCTATCTTTAAGAAGAATAAATGTAGTTAAAGGTTCAGTGAAAACTTTACGTTTATTTAATTTAAAAAATTTCAATTAAATTATTATTTGCCATCCTGTAGTCCAGACAAAATACTCAGAAAATTCCCAAACTTAGTCTTTTATACACATTTTCTCCTAAGTATTATTGTCTACAAACTTACCAGAAAACCACCACTTGAGAATTACATTGAAGACTAGAATTGGTGCTTTCCCTGTATACATCCTGAATTTTATATGCCAGTTTAGTCTTGTAGCTAGATGTGAAATCAACAATGCTGGTTCCAAAATGTTATGCTTAGAATAATCTTTTAATCTCTATGCCCATCTTGATATGCTGACTTAGCAAATCAGGAGGGAAGTCAGAATTCTATTTTTTTAAATTAATCACTACTATTGATTTCAATGCCATTAGTTTTACCATTTATTAATGCACTAAATATTAATTGAGCACCTACTATAACCTAAGCATTAGTATCGGCACTGCAGATACAGTGTGAACTAAAAGGATTTTTTTTTTTTTTTTTTTTTTTTTTTGAGACGGAGTCTCGCTCTGTCGCCCAGGCTGGAGTGCAGTGGCGGGATCTCGGCTCACTGCAAGCTCCGCCTCCCGGGTTCACGCCATTCTCCCGCCTCAGCCTCCCAAGTAGCTGGGACTACAGGCGCCCGCCACTACGCCTGGCTAATTTTTTGTATTTTTAGTAGAGACGGGGTTTCACCGTTTTAGCCGGGATGGTCTCGATCTCCTGACCTCGTGATCCGCCCGCCTCGGCCTCCCAAAGTGCTGGGATTACAGGCGTGAGCCACCGCGCCCGGCCCTAAAAGGATTTTAGTTGCCTTTTTGAGGCTTACGTTCTAGAAACACTGACTTAAAATATCTAATTTTTCTGCTGAATCTGGCATAATCACCAAAAATGGTTGTACAGATTCAGGAAAGAGGATGACCATTTATTTATATTGTGGCCTACATGAATAGTATGTTTAGGAGTTGTACAGTATACAGCATGAATGGCCCTATTCAGTAAAACTGACTTTTGTTTTAATTCTAGATGATGTACATAGCAGACAAAACATGCCTGTTTTCATTGCCTTCTATTGGTAAATAGATAAACCACAGTGATTCCAAAAACTGAAATACATTCTTACATAGCTAAATATATAAATAATTTATGGTAATTTGCTCTGACTTGATTTCCAGATGTCTCAAAAGACTTGCTTGCTTTACTGAGTCTTCTTTTAATATCATCATGGCCAAAGTGAAGCATAGAAAGTCATAAGAAATAGATACAGAGATCCCAGATAATTGGTGCTAAATACTGAAAATTGGGCACTACTGCCATTTTCTAAAATTGATGTCATCTGATAATCAATAAGCCTTTCTGGCTGGTGTTGATTCACATGCTTATTCAAAATCTGATTGGTAGTCTACAGAGAGTTTATAGGAATAAATGCTTCGCTAAACTCACGTTTTAAAAACTGACTGGCCACTAGCCAAGGATGTCAGAATTGAGTCAGTTTACCATATAATTCAGTATAAAGTGTATTCACTTGGAAAATATATTTTTCGCTATATATTTTGCTATGTCTTTTGGAGAAGCATACAAACTTTTGCTTGAATGTTTATTTTTTAGCCCAAACTTTAACCTTAATAAATCATTCATTATCTTTACTACAGTTGTCTTAATTGGAAGAAAGAGAAACCCATACAAATTAAAGTACGTTTTTTATTTGTTGGCTTGCTTTCTTTCTTCTCTTTCTTTCTTTCTTTCTTTCTTTCTTTCTTTCTTTCTTTCTTTCTTTCTTTCTTTCATTCTTAAAAATAAAGATAGAAATTCTACACAGCAATTAAAACTGGGCTTATCTAGAAGTAGGAAGTTTTCAGCTAGATATTCTGAGACTGGAGGCTAATGGATTCTGCACTTATTTTCCCTGGTGAGAGGATGCCTTTACTTAAGACAACTTGTTGAGAGGATGCCTTTACTTAAGACAACTTGTTCATGACCTCATCTCCTCATGACACTGGCTCCTGCCCACATTCTATAAGATCTTACTGGTGCCATATTTAACTGTATGGCTCTGTGCCCTAAATGCAAATTTTCTGGAAACAGAATATGATCAATTCTCTTTATACAATTATTATGCTCCTCTCTTTTCACATCTAACCCTAATTAATTAGTTGTAGTCATCAGGACAAGAATATGTGTTACAACTACAGCCATCTAAATCCATTATTTCTGCAGGCACTGTGAGTTTGGAGCAATTTCAAAAAAATAAGTATGATATTGTCAATAACACATGGATTTGATATTTTCATTTGTGCTAGGAGACTTACTACATCAACAGACTCTTGTCTTCTGGCTTTCCATTGGATTCAGACAATAGATTGATCCAACAGGTGACTGAGGAAAGAAGAGTGAGAGTGGGTTTTTTATTCTACTTGCTCTTTGTGGTGTCAACTTGGGCTGAAGGTTGGGAGACAGAAACTAGATTGTAAGGAGATGAAGAATTTAAAAAAACATTATTTTTTGAATAGTTTGAAGTTTGTTTGAGAAAGGAAGAATGGAGAGAGGTTGGTAGTTTGAGTGTACCATAGGATTGAAGCTGATTCTTTCCCCTCCTTGATTAGAAAATAAAGAGAATAGACATGCTTGTAATTGGAGAAATGTAATCTCATAGGGAAGAGACAGGGCATAATTGATAGAGAAAAATTGTTGAGAAAGGGGTTGGCAATGCATCTTGCATATGGTTGAAAGGATTAGACTTGTATGAGGAAAGAAATGCCTCTGTACTTGAATCCACAGAGGGACTCAAATCAGGATGAATTAGTTTAACTCTGAATTGAATTTAAATGTTTACTGAATTGAACGAGGTTTTCAGTTTTTAGATGAAGATTGTTTTGTGAATTTGAAAAATGTTTATGGATTTATAAACCTATTTTCTTACATGAGTCATTTACTGCTACTAAAATAGGCTATAGATAAGAGTAGTTATGCTTGAACTTAGCTAATTTGAGCTATAATTCTAAACTTTACACTGTGGAATTATAGGTAATTCTGTACCTACGTGAGGAACTAAAGTGATAGACCAAACAGAAGTTTATTTTGAGATAATCTGAAGATTCACATGAGTGGTAACTCATTTTATGGGAATAAGCTAAACAAAATGAATTTGACCTAATGTAAAAGTCTAGAGTATTTTATCTTAATAGAAGATGACGACTTTTATTTGTCATCTATAGTCTTCTATACCCATACCTGCATCTTAGGAATAAAAAGGACTAGAGATACCATTTCAATAGTCTCTGTGATGTTTTGATCCCCAAGCAGCACAGTAATGTGTTGCTGTAATATCATGTACTAGTAATCAGAGTATCCTCTTATTTCATTCTGATTTCCTGCAAGTCAGTGCAAAATGTCAAAGCTTAGAGGTATCAGGAAAAAAGTTCTGAATATTTCAAGTCATTGAGAGAGAATGTCTGAATTAGAGTTGGCATGAGGTTGAGAGACTATAAGAGAGGTAGAGTCTTCTGGAATGACTATTGTATCTGCATTTTCTGGGGTACCAGTTGTCCTGGCAGAGCAGAAGGATGCCTTCAGAGATTTCAAATGCTCTACAATCTAAAATCAAATGGAGAATGTACGGCAGCACAGAGTAATAATAGTACTTGTCAGAGCAGTACAAATATTGAGCTTACTGAGCCCATATATGATATCCCCTCAGAATTATCAGAAATAATCACAGGGGACTTTGTAGGGAGCTGAGGATCAAAAGGGACAATTAATGAACCAGAAAACAACAACAAAATATGAGATATTCTAGTAATGGTCCTTTCAGGTCCCCAGCATATCATTTAGTCATAATAAAGTACTTCATGTTCAGAACGTGGTAACGTATTTCAGTAAGCAGTTTATTTAATGCATGAGAGTGAATCAAACAGTGGGGAGGCATTCTAATTCTGAACCACCAAAAACTCTCCAAGGTATCAAACATAAGTAGATAAGCTTATGATTTTCTTTATATATACTTGGGCAATGTCATTTACAATCACATCTCTTAATATTAACAAAGCCACCACCAGCCAGGCGAAACTGTGATTTTTCTTTGTCACCACTTAAAACATACATTTCATGTGAATTACGTAAGTATAAGTATACGTTGTTGCATTCCACACTAATTCTTTTGCACCCACTAACACAGATTACAAATAGTATTGAAAAGGTTTTAAATCAATATTAAGAAACTAGAATTTTTAAAAAGATAATAAAAGCCCTGTTAATTTTAGGTTTCCTTTTGTATGGTTTTTTGGGGAAAAAAAACCCCTAATTTGGATAATCAATGTGGTTTATTGAAACCCTATTAAGTCTATCACTGTCTCTACCTCTATGTTTCTTGCTGTTTAAAAAGTAATGCTACTTCCTTCTTGCTCAGGGACTGAGGCATCTTTGTTTTAATATAGTCCTACTCAGTGCAAAGATAGAATGAGAGAGGGTAAAAACTGATGCAAATCTCATGAGATTGTGTAAAGCTAATAATAATGGCTTTAATGAGCCATTCGGGTGTTGCTTACACTGCAATCACAGACTCTGCAGAGTGGTGAAAGAAAACGCTGAGAGTGTGGGCTCCCAGAGGAGTAAGCTAAGATTAGGTGGTTAGTGGAGAGGGAAGAAAAAAAAATCTTTCTAGTGGAATGCCAAATTAGGTTGCTGAGACTGCTGCTGTAGCGTCTGACCAAGTACATGCATGTGATGAGTGACTGTCATGAGGATGAAGGGTTCATGTGTGATAAAAACCCCAAAATATTCAACCTTTTTGACCTCCTCTATGTCCTTAAGGGTAGTGAAATTCACAAGCAGCAACACTATTCATTCTTCAATGAATAGTGCAGTTCCTTATTCTTTAAGGGAGAAGACTTCTGAGATCCATAAGCAAATTCCAATATTAACCACCCTCAGCTCACATGGGAAAACCGTAGCTAAAAACAATAAGCTAAAAAATAATGAAAATTAAGGCAAGAAAATATAATTATCTGACTTCAGAATTTTTAGAATTTGAATGAGATCAAACATTTGTCAATAAGTTATGCAGAGTTATTTCTGTGTGTGTGTGTGTACACACGCATGTGTGTCTTTTCTCTTAAATTTTAATTGTTGGACTGAATAGTCTTGCTCTACACATTAAAAAAATAAATTGGGATGCTTTTTTGCAAATAAAAAGGTTCATTTTGCTTTAATGAAGATACTATTGGTATAGGTAATAGAATCAATCCTAAAATATTGTGAAATTCAGTGTATTTTGATCCATTTGTACTCATTGTCACCAAGATTCTGGATCTGTGTCTCTGTGATTTACTTTGTCCTGCTTAATGTATAGGTTTCATTCATAAGCTGGATTTATTATGATATCAAAAAGATTGTAGCATTTTACTTTCCAAATCAATACACTGGAGAGCAAGAGAGCCTGTCTGTCCGGGCAAACCAAGCTAAATTCTGAGGTGCACTCTGTTTGGACCCCATTCGTTTTCTTGCTGACCTTTTAATGTGACCTTTGAAACAGAGCAAACAGTTCTTTTAGTCTATTAATAGTTTACAACCCTCACTTTTGGTCTTTGGATGGATTCTACCTCCTCCTCATGGTTCCTCAAGTAGTTCCTCAAGGAGTCATTCAAAGGTCAAAGATGGATGTCGAGGAGGAATAAAAAATGCTCAATTTATTTGTTCTTCTTATAAACTGTATATCATTCTTAAAAATTGTTCACCCTGTGTTTGGCTTTGACTTCAACATGAAATGACTAAATTATCTGGCTAAACCAAGCATCCATTCCACTTCCCTGGATTCTTTTTCTCCATGCACTGAGCAACTGAGTCAACCTTTCTTCAATACATGTCATACATATTTCACTCTTGAAAAAAATTACCTAAAATATTTAGTCATTTCCAAATGATTTTACTGTCCAGTTCTTAAAATCTGAAATGATAATATATTTCTATCAGAATCAATATTATTCCTTATTTAATATTCCTACTGCCATCTAATCTTCTTATATCAATTTGCAATTGTGGAAGCAAATTTTAGGAAGATTTTTTAAGATGTTCCTAAGTGAGAGCCCATATAAGAATTTAAAAAAAGAGGCCAGGCATGGTAGCTCACGACTGTAATTCCAGCATTTTGGGAGGCCGAGGCGGGTGGATCACCTGAGGTCAGGAGTTTGAGACCAGCCTGACCAACATGGAGAAACCCCATCTCTACTAAAAATACAAAATTAGCTGGGTGTGGTGGTGCATGCCTGTAATCCCAGCTACTCAGGAAGCTGACCTAGGAGAATCACTTGAACCTGGGAGGCAGATGTTGCAGTGAGCCAAGATCACGCCATTGCACCCCAGCCTGGGCAACAAGAGTGAAACTCTGCCTCCAAAAAAAAAAAGAATTAAGAAAGAGAGATAACTAAGAAAAGCAAGACTTTGTTCCAGTTTCTTTTCTGACTCTCATTATTCTTACAAGTTATTTTCTTTAAATCTCTGGAATTAATTTTTCTATTTCTCCCCGTTTATTTTTGGATTGGAGAAAATATTATTGCAGGATTTTATTTTACTTATTTCAGCAAAATTTTCCACTTCTGTGCCCCACATTTTATACTAGCATTAATTTCTGCTGTTGTGAAAATACTGACAAATTTTGTCACTGATCCAAAACCTGGCAGGTTAAAATTTAAGTAGTAATGATGTGGTATTAATGAAGCTTGTGAATATTTATTATTGAAAGATCCAAGGTGGCTTGGCCACATGGAACATATTGCTCCTGTGCTATTCTGCAGCATATGGAGGGTTCACATTTGCATTTTAACCTAATCAAATATCAAATATTAATACAATCAGGAGGGCTCGAAATATTTTGAGAGTACTGTGACTTTTTAAATTATAAATATGAATAATAGACTTGGCTAAGTTACAAAACTTAAGTGTAATCAGAGCTTTTAACTTTTATTTGTTTCTATAATCACCCTTTCATTTTGCTTGTCCTGAATGTAATTAATATGTTTCTAATCGCAAATGTGCTTAAAATAGAGAAGAAAAATAGTCCCAGACAACTAGGTTTTATCAAAATCATTGTCCCCTTATATTGAAGAGTGGTATAAATGAATTTGATTGAAAATGTTTTTAATTCATATTTTTGCATGAAATATCTAGCAGTTTATAAACAGGACCATGGCCTGCTATTCTTGATTTGTGTTGTATTAATATGGTTTGTATAGAGGTAATCTTATTGTTTATCATTTAAAATATTACATGCACTTATATGAGAGGACTGTCATATAGGAATATTTCCTTCTGACATTGGAAATGCTATAAATATCATATGAAGTACCTTGCATTCAATCATACCATTACATTTTTTGACACGATGTATATTAAAACAATTGCTGAAAAGTGTGTCCTATTAAGGAATCCCGAAGTTCTATTGTAGTGAGCTATTCCTGGAAGATTAATATTGATCACTACTTGACAGGGTTTACAGTTTATTTTTTACTCACAGGGAAGACATCAAGGAAACAATAACACATGATACAAAGATTAGGACCATGTTTCATATAGTAAAGAAATAAAGGAAAAAAGTCAGAATGTTTTAGTGTTGGATATAGAATATCTACTGGATTTTTCTTCAATCTCATAGCTTTACTTTGGGTAAACAGGGTGCATGATTCAAAGAAAAACACCTCAGTTTCTATGTGATGTAGTTGGAATGGGATGTAAATCACATCTTTGTTTATGTTTAACATAAAAAACAAAAAATTGAGAAATTATTGTAACAACCAAAAGTTTCTTCTGGATATAATAGCAAAACTCTGCTGTATATACAAAGTTGTGTAACTATGAATTAAAAACTTTCTTCAATTTAGGTGACAATTTTCTGCATGGTAAACAGGATCAAATAATGTAGTTAAATATAAGGCATTTGATGTTCTTCACATTGGCCAGTGTAGTAAGAAAGTGGACTCTAAGATTAAAAAAAAAAATCGTGAAATAATGCTAACAGAAAAAAAAGCAACACACTTTTAGGAGCAGTTTGACATAAGCTTAGTGCAGTGAGCTTGAACTCTGGACTAGATGACTGAGTTCTCTTGCCAACTGAATAACCTTGGACATTTTTGTTAACTTCATTGCACATCAGTTTCCCCACTTATTAAATGGCCATTATAATAGTATAAATTTCATAGAGCTGCGTTTGATACACAGAAAGCACTCAAAACATTAGCAAGTATGTTTGGTCATGGGGGAAAGAAGGAAGTTTCCATTTTTGTTAGTAGTTTGTACATGGTTACACTAGAGTTTGATTTTCAATTTTTTCTTCCAAATATTTAAAACTTATAAATAAAGCATAGCTTTATTTTACTATTATATTATCTGCCTAATCTCATTTATTTTAGTGCTAAAATATTGCTCAATTCTAAAAATAGGTAAATTAAAATAATATAACTGAATAACTTATTTTTTTCTAAATGGAAAGAGACAACGGACTCAAGCTGGATTTCAACTCATATCTGAAATATAAAAGGCATATAATGTACACATGAAATCAAATCACAAAAGAACTAGATTTTTTATACAATCTTCTTTTCCCTATACACTATGTTGAACTTCTCTGCTATTATGAAAATATTTCAATAATGAAAGGCTGACTGCTTAACTGGTATATCAAATATTACTTTTGAAATGCCAAGTAATTACATTGCAAGATGCATCATTAGGTCCAAGAAATGTGAGGACAATAGCCACCCTATTATCTCAAGATTACCATAGATATGGAATGTGACAATATGTAGGAAACCTGTTAAAGATTTGGAAGAAAGCCTCAAAATAAATTTGGTTCTAAATGAATTTTAGTTTTAGTTAAGAATTTCAACAGTCATTCCAATTAATTTTTATTTTTCTAAGGATTTCTTACAATAGTTTCCAAATTAAAAATTCTCCAAAACTGTTTTCATGGCTTTCACACCTTATCCTTTTGTATGAGTATTATGATCAGGCTCTATGAGGTTAATTTGAAAGGGTTCTCAGAATATTGAGAAACAATGTAGAATTGTATTCAAATTAAATAATATTTATCTAATTTATAAATCTACTGTAAAAAGATGTACAATAAGATTCTGATTAATAAATATATTGGCACCCCAAAAGTGCAAAGTCTGCTTGAAAAACCCCATTAGAAATCAGGTAATTGTGTATTTTCAAAATTAATAATTAAGTATATTTCACATTCAATGTGCCGAGTAAGAAAGCAGTAAAAAATTTTTCTATATTTCATGCATTGTATATTTTTCATTTGCACACTAGACAAGATGTCTATTTGAAACAATCATTTATAGGTGCAATTCAACTGGATTCACAAATTTATTCAAAATTGTAGATTTTTTAAAAATTATGTCAGATTCTAAATGCATTTTTATTATTGCGTTACTTTTCTCTATCCAAATGCAGTGGATTATCTCCATCCAAATAGGTTTGTTTCAGAAAACGCTTTTAATGTATATGTGCTTAATACTATTAAAAATTCATTTTAAGGGTGGCCTGAAAAGAATAATAGTGCTTATCTCTTTTAACATTTTGTTAATAGAGTTCGCAATGAACCTGAGTGGCTGTAGATGCATCATTAGGGGCTGGCAATACATGGTTTAATAAAAATAGAATGCTAATGGGCACCTTATTTACTCATGAAAAGTTAAACAAGTCATATAACTGAAAGGTACACTTTTCTTATCTGGAAAATATGATTAATCCTCTGCTGACTATTTTACAGAGTTATTATAAACACGAAGTAAGTCGAATATTTGTAAAGTTGTTTGAAATCATACTGCTAGATAAGGGAAGATATTAAAATGTAGTTGACTATAGTCAGTCTCAATCAGTCTGCATAGTGGCATAAAATACAAAACACCTAATTTTATGTCAGCCTCTCAATTCTTGTGACCATTATCATTGGCAGCATGAATTTAACTTGCTGAATTTAGGATTGACCTAATGTGGTTACCACTTCCAAAAATCTATTACTTGCCCTCTCTGCTACTGATGGAACATTCAGCCTGAATCCATTTCGGCTCATGTTACAGTTTGTCCTCAATTGTTTTCAGATGCAAGGCAGCTGAAACCTATCTGGAAGAAAACCTAAAGGGAGTTCAGTACTGCTGCATTCTTGGCAATTACAGGCATATCTAATTTCAAATTTTAGGCATGTATAAGAAAAAAAGGGTGTCAGAGGGAGATTCACTGTACAGTACTCAATTTATCAGAGAGGAGACTATGATCACAGCATTTTGATACTTCATTTACTAAACAAGCTGTTTCTTATTGATAAATTTGGGAAGTCACTTCAGCTGTGTTCTCTGAATTTTAAAATATAAATGTAAGTTCCAAATGTGCAACATGCTGTACAAAAAAGTCAGAATCACAGTGGACTTAGCCCAGAACATCTGTTTTCCCTGTCAATATCCCTGCACACATGCCCTTTGGTCTTACTGTTTTTCGATGGCAACACACCATGGATGATAATGGTATTTCTGAAATAAAACCACTCTCTTTGGAAATTGGGCTGGACTCATTCTCTTTACATCATTCATTTAAATCAATTAAATTGAATGTATTTATCAAGGTTGTACTATGAGTTTAGGAGTGCATTACTTGAACATACTCATGGTATTCTTTTAACTGCATTATAAAAATGCTGCTGTGATTACCTTTCACCAATTTGGAACTCTGAAAGATTATTCAAGGACAACTTTAAACATCTGGCAAGAAATTATATGTTTGTATTTTATAATTTGGATGGTCGTGAAAAATGTCTTAAAAAGCACAGATTGAACAGGCCATGTCATCTTTGGTCATGTTAATTATGTTAATTAAATATTGTCTGTAGTTATAACTTTAACATTTTAAAACACATTAATAGAGGCAAAGTCTAAGCTATCAAGATTCATTAATTTCCAAATAAGAAATACTCCTATGGTGTTCATTCAGGCTAAGCGAGCTGAGAGGTGGACCAATTTATACCTTTTCGTATGAATGTTTTGACTATGTGTAGGCATAGCCTTCATCTTTACTGTTTTGATCAGAGTTTAACATGCCTTTCACATAAATAACAATAATACATGTCATATGTTGAATAATATTGGACCTAGTCTAACAAAAACTAAATTATACCTTGAGGGGAAACAAAAAAGCTTCTGGAGCACCTTAGGTAAATTAGCTACCAGGTCTTTAGGATTAATTTATTCATTACATTTACATGCAAAATATACTGAAAAATGGATTCATTTACTTGGATGATTGAGGCCTCAAGCTCAAGTTTTTCATTAACTACTCAGATAATTTAGGCAAGTTTTTTTTTCTTTTTTATACTTGAATTATCTTGATAATTGCTTCTTCACTTGATTTTATGTGGGGAAAAATTAGACAGAAAAAATCCTTCACAGCCTGCTAAGTATTTTTCTTATTACTATTTTTACTCAAAATGTCTTTTTTTTAATCCTGTGAAATTTAATGAATAATCAGTCACCTGTTTTCTTCCATGTATGCATTGATGATGGATGCTGTAGGAAGATATCTGGCTATCTACCCTTGTATCTATCTATCTATTTCCTGTGTGTGTGTATGTGTGCATAAATATGTTGTACTGGAACTCTATTAACTTCAATAGGGGTGGCACCAAGTTCAAGAGGCCAAAGGAGACACCCAGAGCCAGGAAACAAGACAAAGGGTTTATTGAGAGGATTTACTTACAGAGCAGTCCAATGGTGGCAGGCTGGATAGGAGAACCCCAACCGCTTGCAAAAAGCATGCAGTTTATATAGCATTTTCACTTAGCACCCTCCTACTAACAACCTCCACCTGGTAACCTTCATTTACCCCAAAACAAAGGGCCTGATTCCCTATATGGCCTGCATTCCATGGGGCAGGCCAGGGGTTTAGATGTTCCTCATAGGTAAGGAATAAATATCTGGGTTGACTACTCCCAATTACCTTAGCTCAGAACTCAAAACACACATTCAGGTGCATCTGCCACACAACATATATGTGTGTATATGTACATAGGTTACATATATACCCATGTGTATCATATTACATCTGTATGTAATACATGTATTCATGTATATACATATATATGAATTTTTTCCAGTTGGAAGAATTTTTTTTCTATTGGATTTGACGGTCCCACTGATGTACTTATTCAACATAATATTAGCTAGTCATATAATCACTAAATGTATTTCACTGTTCACTTTGAGTAATCATTTGGTTGTTAGGGGAAGTGGTGATGTAATTTATGCAAATAGATTGATGAAGGAGCTGCTGACATGGCAGTTTATATGTATGGCTCTTGTTTGAGGGGATTAAATATAATGACAATAGTAAGATTCTTAACAACTCTCTTCAGAGAGGCCGTGGGTGGACTTGATTGTGTAAAGAAACAGAAATTATGTATGTGCATATTTGGGCACTCCATTTCTCATTCAACCTGCCATTTGAAACTACTTCTAATCTTTCAAAATACTGTAACTCCTCTCAGGCCTTGGTGAGCCTGCAGATGATGCCCTCCCTTCCTGGAATGTCTTTGCCCCCTTCCTCTATTCCCTTGGATTGCCTGTATGCACCTCTTTTCCTTTTACGACACCCAGATCTTTTCAAGTTGCATAATCATATATTTTTCCTGACAAATTTCAGTTGCTGACACTTACATTAAAGTTTAGCCCCTCAACATTTTTCTCTCTGTCCTCCTATCACCAGTCAAGACTCAATCAACATCACAGTTTCTCGTTCGTTTGTCTGTTTTTGTCCTTTTCATTTACAATATTGCTTTCTCTGTCTCTTCCATCCATTCGCAGGATGGCAATATGGACCAGCACTGTCCAACAGAACTTTCTGTGTTGATGTAGTTGTTCTGTCTCTGTGAAATAATCATTAACCACATTTGGCTGTTTGTGCACGTGAATTGTGGCTAGTACAACTCAGGGACTGTATTTGTAATTTTATTTCATTTTAATGAATTACAATTTAAATTAAAACAGCCACAGGCTATTGAACAGTATGGCTTTGGAACTTGCTGCCACTATCAATTGCACAGGATGCAAAATCACACTGTAAAGCATTCTACTCTTGGCCCTTTATGTACAGATCCCATAATGTAATACTCTTACTTAAGTATATTTTCAGGCTCATCATGTACTCCAATCCTTTACTCTACCCTCATTTGCTTCATAGCCTGACTTCCCTCCTTACCTAGTTTGCATTTCTTCATCTATTCTTATAATTACTCCTGCCCCATTTTTCTTGTGTCATACTTAACTGACAAAACTACAAACCCTAACCCAACTTTTTGCAAATTTCAAACCAGAAAAAAACTAATTAAATGACCTGGAAGGAAAAACAGAATAATTCAAAACACAGATGTGCTGACCTGTCTTACTTTAAATTAAAGATCATGTATTGGTCTACACTGTCAAAAAAACTTACTATGTTTTCTGATTATTCATGTCTCTACTCTTCAAAATGAGCAGTTCATACCATATGTCTCTTCGAACATCAACATCTCTCTTTCATACTCAATGACACTTGATTATATTACCTAATGTTTCACTTGAGGAAGTTAGATAAGACTACTTAATCAATTTGCTGCAAATTTTATTTTCTATCTACATTTGTTCATATAACTTTGTTGACTGCCCTCCCTTTTCATCAAAAAAATGAGTTCCAAACTTAGATATTTTGAGAAGGGGAGATATGATTGTTCTCTTTCCCTCCTACAAATTGTTCTGTGTTTGGCTCCTTCCTGTCATTCAAGCTTATGTTCAAGGGGCATCTCCTTAGTGAGGACTTCCTTGATCAGATTACACATCCCTCTCTCCACTGAAGCCACCGATATCAATTGTAATCATCCTGTTTGATTGCCTTTATTGTATAAGGACTCAATAAAATTATATTGTCTACTTGTTTACTTATATACTGTCTCCCCTGTGAGGTAAATTAATCTCCTTTTGAACAGGAGCATGATATCTGAGTCAGTCTGTCTTCAGCAACTAGAGTAGTGCCTGGAATATTATAGAGCTCTAAAAATTTTCATTGAATGGGCAAACAAATTAAGAAACAAAATAATAAAATTGTCCTTTTGTACTCAGCCAAGCTATCATCTCCTCTTGATTTTTTCCCCTCTTCTCTAACCATATCCATGGTTCTAGAAAAAAGTGTCCATCCGTTGTCTTCTTATAGAAACCTTTAGCACTGACTGATGCTTAAGTATCAGTTTCCTTCATTCTGTCCTAGACTGTGAACTTGTGGGAAAATGTCTGAATATTATTGCTTTTATCTGCCATATCTAACACAATAGCGACTTGTAGTAAGCATCTCATTGGCATATCTGTCATGAATGTTCTTAATTTTGGAGTTCCTTAAGGTGCTATGCTATTTTTTTCCTTCCTTTAGTGCCCTTTCCCTGTTAATTTATCTATACTGATGATGTTATTGTCATTGTTACAAAAATAAATTATAATTTCCTATCTGTACTATAGATGTCTTTTTTGACCTAGGTATCTGTTTACCTGGCATGTCCTCACCAAACATAGTCCTCCTCCAGAATTCCCTACAGCAATAAATAATACCATCACACACTGAGAACCTCAGCAATGAGATGTTACTACTGACCCTTCTCTCTTACCATATTTAAGCTTTCACCAAGAGTTGACAATTCTATCTCTAAGATACATTGCCAAATCTTTCACTTCTCTCCTTCTTCACTGTCATGCCTATTGTCCTGTTACCATTTCTGGCCTGGAATTTTGAAATAACCAAATTAGTCATCCTTATGATCTACGATTTTCTCTTCCAGTCTAGTCTCCACACTATTGCTAGACTCATCTAAAAACTGGCTTCTGATTATATTACTCTACTGTTTTAAATAGCCCTTCAATGATTTATTATTATTCATTAAGCAAAAACTTGTATTAAATAAATTAACATGAGATGAAACCTACCTACCTCTCCAGAATTTAATCACATTACTCTCCTATATCTTTTCTCTACCTCAGCCCCTGTACTTTCCCTTGCTACTCCCATCTTTTGCACCTAGTGACGCATCCACTTGGAGGCTATCTTTATTGCTGATCTTTTAAATTGTTCCTGCTTATTCACCTTTCAGGTCTCAAGATCAAGTGTTACTTTATGAAGAACATAAAGTATAATCTTTATAAAGAACATAAGTTATACTCCTGTATACTTTCATAGCTCCCTGTCTGTATAAATTTCTGGTTGCATCAGAATAATTATGGTAGACTGAAACTGAAAGACTACAATGATAAATTTTCCTGTTCACTAGTTTTTGATTTTTTTTCTGTACACTGTATCTTTAGAATTCTATGAAAATGTGTAAACCTTATTTTACTGTACCTTCAAAATTACCATGTGAGTTCAACAGGCTAGGCATCATCATCCCCCATTACACAGGTGAGGTCACTGAGATTCAGATTGACAAATGCTAAATTCAAAAGTGGTACATGAAGCCAGGCGTCCTGATACTGAGCCCCATGTTTCTTAAATCAGGACAGCCATGTTGTTGTAATCATAATTCACATTTAAGTATGTTTTTTCAGGGTGTCAGATCTCAAAGTAACCTAAAAAAGTAACATGTTTTGGAATTTATAGTATTATGTTGTTTACAGAATTTTTTGTCATAGTTAAATGGCCTGGTCTTTATTTAAACTGACCCTACATTGTGTTCTTGATAGTTGTTCATGCCTTTTATTAAAGAGAGGAAGAAAATACTTCTTTTTAGGAGTCTGGCTTCAAGCTGTTGCAAGAACAAATTATTCTATGCTTACAATGTATAGTATAATGATAAACATTTTTTAAAAGAAAAAGCATACATATTATATTCAATGAGGAATGTTGTTTTCTTAGAGAACTATGAGGAACAAGGATTTTGAAACAATTTTGTTGTATATGACTCATGAATAAATTCTCCCTTCATTGTAGAAGGCACCATCTTTGCCCCATTACTAGATGAAATAAACCCAAGGACAAAGGAAATCAAGAGGTAATCCTTTTGGCAATCTTGTCATGCAGTTTCTGCAAAACATTCCCTGCAGTGCAGGATTGTTCAAAGCTTCACACACAGAGTCTTGCTTGCTGCGAGAAAAAACTAGCTGCCTCTTGCTGAGAAAGATTTTCTGATAAAGAATAGGAACTGAGTGACTTGCTATATCTGTATGGTCTAAGGTCTTGGCAGACCACAAGTCCATGTTTCAGTGATCCATGGTATTTGTTTCACATTCTTGTGCCCCGATTGGATGAGAGTATTTAGCTTTGAGAAGGAAACATCTCATTTAATGTTGCACTCCTTTTTCCAAGGAGCATATTTTTCATCATCAATTCCTTATTTCTCATACTTTTATTTTATTTACCTATCTCTGTTTTTCCTTAATCCTATTAGCCCTTGATGTTAAAAACATGCAGCATTATAAAATAACAAAAATATACAACTCGTGTGATATGTATAATACATATAAAACACAAATACTGAAGATTGTGTAAGAAAATTTCACCTTATGAAATTTCCCGAGTCACTGAGAGTGCATCAGAATTTCACAGTTTGGGAAGAAATACTTGGGATTGGAGCATGACACTTTCCCACTCTTGTTTACCTAAGAACTGAAGTTATATATTGACATAGAAGTGCATTAGAAGAAGATGTTGCCGAAAAGAAAACTGAAATTTTGCTGTATAAGTGTGAAACTGAACTGTCTAGTATACTATAGTAGATTGGCTATCTCTTAGTCAGTTGTCACTCATTCATACATTTGAAACAAATCTTTATTAATTGCATATATTAATGTAAGTAATACCGATAAAGTACACATTAGAAATCTGCATATTGTGCTGGCTTTGATATATAGCTGTGATTATAATGGTATTTTATTTGGCCAACATTCCACAAAAATATGAAATTGAAAAGTGTAAAAATTATTTTTTAGACTATTCTTTGCAAAAAAAAACTTTTCTCATGCTTTTATGAAGATTTAGAAAATTTAGAATTCTAAAGGCTCTCTTAAATATGACTTCTTTCCTTGTTTTTTAGACAATGAAACAGAGCTCAGAATGTTCAAAGTTTTCCAAAGATAGTGTAGAGGGGATGTTGAATCATTTCAGGCCAGTGTCTTCTATAGAACAGAATATTATATAATATTTTAATTATTTGTTGTCCATATTTAATATATGAAAATTCGATCAAGTGGAAAACATATCAACATCTAAAACAATAAAGTAAAAATAATAAAAAATAGTAAACAAAAACTTTCAATAATAGGACTTCACTTTTTGTGGTTGAAATTACTCATTAAATAAAAAGGTGACTGTGAAATATTTCTTGACATATCAATGAAGGAAACGGTTAAAAAGCAATTATCATCTTGACCTTTTAATTCAAATTTAGGCTCAAAACATTAATATGATCTGTAAATTAGAACAAATGAGATGAGAATTATGATGAATATATGGTGATTGTGGCTATATTTAGCAACCTTTTAAGAATAGCAGGTACTGGGTCCGGCGCAGTGGCTCACGCCTGTAATCCCAGCACTTTGGGAGGCCGAGGTGGGTGGATCACCTGAGGTCGGGAGTTCGAGACCAGCCTGGCCAACATGGAGAAACCCCCTCTCTACTAAAAATACAAAAAATTAGCCAGGCATGGTGGCGCATGACTGTAATCCCAGCTACTTGGGAGGCTGAGGCAGGAGAATAGCGTGAACCCAGGAGGCGGAGGTTGCAGTGAGCTGGGATTGCGCCATGGCACTCCAGCCTGGGCAACAAGAGTGAAACTCTGTCTCAAAAAAAAAAAAAAAAAAAAAGAATAACAGGTACTTTATAAATGTTTGTAGAATGAACAGATTTTGTGGAATCTCAGATTTATTTCAGCTTCTAGAAACTCTTGATATCATTCAATATTTTGACTATATCTTCTACAACAAGGTATAGTATAGTGAAAAAATAGACAAATATGAAAAATACTGTTTCCATAAGAATATGACTTCTTTGTTGCCATTTCAAATAATTCCTTTTAATACTTATTTTATTTTGTAAACTAAACTTTTTTTTTTTTTTTTAGTTTTGGAAAACTTGTAGATTTATGGAACAGTTGCAAAGATAATACAGATCATTTTCATGTACATATCATTCAGTTTCCCTTTCCCCCTGACATTAACATCTTGTTTATCTAGGGTACATTTGTCAAAATAAAGAAATTATCATTGCTAAATGACTATTAGCAGCAGATTCCACCAGTTTCTCCGTGAATGTCATTTTTCTGATATAGGATCCCATTTAGGATATTGGCATTGGGATTCCATAGTCTCCTCTGGGTCTGTGACAATAGCTCTGTCTTTGTTTTTAAACAACCTTCACAGCTTTGAAAGGAAGTAGGCGTGATGTAGAGTATCCCTGAATTTTGGATTGCCTGATGTTTTTCTTAGCTTAGATTGAAGTTATGGGTTTTTGAGAACACCATAGAGAAGTAGCCTTCTCATTCCAACATATCAAAGATTACATGGTATTAACATGACAAATCCCTGGTGATGTTAACCTTGATGGAGTTATTGTCTGTCAGGTGCTTCCACTGTAAGTCACCTTCTCTTTCCATACTTTATTCTTTGGAAGCAAGTTACTCTTCCATCCCACACTAAAGGGGAGGAGAATCAAGATCCATCTTCTGTAGGGAGTTATGTCTATGTAGATCATTTGGAATTCTGTAAGAAAAATTTGTCCTCATTTTATTTTGTAAATTATGATGAAACAACGGTATTATTGTACATAATTTAAATTTTATTTCATGATTCTACTTTTTTTTTTTTTTTTAGTTTTAAACCTAACTGCTACATCCACAATGCTTTCTTTGAGAACTTTAAGTGAATGTGGGAAAAAAGGAAACAGTCTATACTGTTTATAAAATTTGTTTTCATATATGGTCTAATTAAACTCAAATGCCAGAACAACCCTTCTGTTTCTTCAGTAGGAAATCATATTAAGAAGAAGTCTTATGTCCCTTGGTGGTCCTAGAAAATTATCAGTGTTAATCTCAATAAATTGGATAAAGCATATCAGTATACTCTATTAAAGCTACATATCTACTAAGAAATGGAGACATCAATGCTAAAAATAATATTTTTGAGATATAACCAAACACAACCATTTTTTTCCATGCACACAGATGGAATATAATGAATCAAAATTGCGACTACATTCCACAATCAGGGAACATATTTTCTAAAAGCCTTAGCTTCAAGGGATTTGAATTTATGCTTTGGAAAGACTAAATAGCCTGCTCATTGTGACCTCAATGGGCAACAAGGGACATCTAGAGACAATAGATCTGGCACAGATATTGGTCTGTGGCTATTAAGCGTCTTATAAGTGAGTAACAAAACTTTAAAATCAATACAGATTGTTCTGGAAAGTCAATGAAGAGACTTTCAAATAAAGGGTAATATGTTCAAACAGATGACTATCCATAAGGATGTGGCTGACTACATTTAACAGAGAATATGTTTTGGAAAGAGAACAGCTCTACTATCCCATAAGTAGAAAGTCTGAGTGATCTCAACTTTATAAAATATATTGTTAATATCACATTGAATATATTATACCATAAGAAAAGTTTCTTATGATGAGATAATGAATTAAGAAGTATTTTGCAAATGGTAAAATTCTCACAAATGTTAGTAATGATTTAGAGTTATTGCACCATAATTCTGAACTTACTGCTTGAAAAGATGTCAGTTTAGTAACAATTTGTACATTATAACACTGACAGCACTGAACTATGATTTCATCTGTAAGTGAAATAGTCAGTTTTGAGACATTTCAAGTTATTTTCCCTTCCTTTTCAATAAGTCCTGTCTAGAAGAGACTATTATTTTTCAACAATTAAATTATCCTTGGCTCATCTTTTACCTACTTCATGTTCAGTTAAGTAGGGACATGCCTATTCACTTGTGGTTTATATTTGCGTTTCTGACCAGAAATGACACATTAACAGCAAAGCAGGAAGTCCTTGCACTGAAAGTTCCCCTAAACCCACCAAAATGTGCATAACCTCAACTTGAAATAGGAAGATAACAGACCCAAAAGTGACATGAAGAGTTTGACTTCAACTTCTTTTGATTCTACCTATGAATTTCTCAAACTATTTGCTGTTCTGTCTCCTCACAGTCATTCTGGTTTGGACATCAGGAGCTCTCCCTTCTTCCCTATGCACACCCACCTCTGAATGGGTCCCTTTCTCTGCAGTTGTGGCTTTCTGCAAATCTGTTCTCTAAACCTCTGCCAGATTGATCTTTCTGAAATGTAATCTAGACATGCTACCCCCTCTTCTTAAAATCCTCTACTATGTCCCTATATCATTCAGATAAAGTCCAACTTGATTCGCTTGGCCTGTGAAGTCCTTCACAACCTGGACTTTGTTCACCTCTCCACACTCACCTGATCCAGCCTATATGCACTTCTCATAAGGAGCTGCTTCCACTTTTCAGTTTTTGGATCTCAGTTCCCTAATCCACTGCCTTACTGTCCTTTTGCATGTTGTTCCTTCAATCTGGAACATTCTTATTCAGTCTTTTGACACGGCTTTTCTATACCTGAGAGTGGTTTGAGTGCCTTGTAGGTGTTACAATAGCCACTCTGTGCATATCTCATTATAGCACCTCTGTACTCTTTTCTATCTATCCCCTTATCTTTCTTCTCCACCAGACTAAAAACTTCTTGGTCAGCTGCTGCATTGTTAATCATATTTCCAGTATGTAGGATAGCGGCCAATACAGAATGGATATTCATTGAATATTTGCTAAATATATGTTGAAGCTATGTTTTCAAGTATATGCTCAGTTAAATGATGTATTTCTATTATATGGAGTTATGCATTTGAAAAAGAGAACATTTTCAAGTACTCTCAGGTTTTTTTTTTTGGATGGAGTCTCGCTCTGTCTCCCAGCCTGGAGTGCAATGGTGCAATCTCACTGCAATCTCCGCCTCCCTGGTTCAAGCAATTCTCCTGCCTCAGCCTCCCTAGTAGCTGGGATTAGAGGTGTGCACCACCACACCTGGCTAATTTTTGTATTTTTAGTAGAGACGGGGTTTCACCATGTTGGCCAGGCTGGTCTCAAACTCCTGACCTCAGGTGATCCGCCCGCCTTGGCCTCCCAAAGTGCTGGGATTACAGGCATGAGCCACCGCACCCAGCCAGGATGTATTTTCTTAATAGTTATTCAGATTTATAAAATTGAAAACTATACTGTCTATATTTGAAAGAACTATGGAAAGAATTTATTGAAACCTCCATTAGCATTTTCTTCTCAATTTCATTACGAAGTTTTGTACCTTTTTTCAAAATTATCCTTAAAGTCTGTAATCCTATAATTTTCCTGAGAATCTAATCCAATTTTGATGGAATTTTTATCAATATCTATTGAGTGATGTTACAAATATGCAAAAGTAACTACAAAGAACATTTTTTAAGAAAACAGTTCACAATGGAATTTTTTACATATAGATAATTCAAAGTGAATGAAACTAAAGGTGACATATTCACATAAATGAAATGTAAGACATTGATTAAGGAGGCATATTCAATGGTGGATTGCTTTATCTGAGATGGAATGAAGGCACAAATAACAGCTGGTCTGAGCATTGTTCAAAGGCAGTGAGGCATAAGGGACCCCGCAGAAGGGAAAACAGTAAATGAACAGTCTCTGTGGTATTGTTGGGAAAACCTTATTTTGTGTAAGCCAAGATTACAATAATTGAGAACACTAAGAACACAGGAGCTAAATCAGTAAATGGCACTTTTTACCAAATCTCTACCTTTTAGTAGTTCTTCCAGGGTGAAAGAAGCTGTTCCCACCTGGGAATCATTGGAGTGGTCCACTTTCAACCAAATAGTCCTGCGTAGTACCCTAAAGAAAAAATGATCTCTTGCTGTCAATAGCACAATATTTGAATAACAATAGTTTAATAATAGCCAACATCAGTTTAGTACTAATCATATGGCAAGTACTTTACAAGTATTATCTGACTAAACTCTTAATACCTTCTAGGAGTAGTGATGTCACATTTTACATAAATATACAAATACAAAGGTATAATCACCTGTTTGAGGTAACACAGCTAAAAAGTAGCTGAGTAAGTATTCAAATCACGTCCTTTTGGCTTCACAGCCCAAAGTCTTAACTGAGGAAAATAACATGTTTTATAATCGAAAGAGAAAATTATCATATGTTAACTTTTTGTAGAAAAAAAATTCTATTTTCCTCATTCATTTGATTTTGTCAATATAACTTCTTTTTTTTTTTTTTTTTTAATAAAGTGGCTTTTGCTACCTCCAAACAGGAACACAGGTTTGAGAAATTTCATTTTCAAGTTAGGTAATGTTTTTTGTTCTGATGAGACCTCCGAAGGTGGCTTTGACATTTAAAAGTGATGTGAAGATAAAATGATCAAAGCTGTCAAATGATACTGCAACTGTAAGAATGTAGTAATTTTATCATCTACTTTCACCGTGAGTATTATATATGCTTTTTAGACAAGCATTTTTAGGGTGTATATGTTTGTTTGTTTAAGGCATCATGATTGACAGAAATTATTGCAAGATCAAAAGTAAATCAAATTTAGAACTTGTAACCCAAGGGGGCCAGCATGAACAGCTAAAAAACAAAAACAAAAAACAACCAACAAACAAACACCTGCATCTTGCATGAACTATCTGTTGAGAACTCTATAGTTCCTCTATGGATTCATAAATCCTAATTGCATAATCTTGAGTTCTCTGAAAATCATACACATCATCCAAAGCTGTTGTTAGCCTTTGGTACAATATAAGCACATTTCTCTTACTTTAGCAATTTTCTTTTATTTCTTTGGAATTATGTAAGGTCTATTAACTTCAAAGTTATTTTCACAGACTATTCAAGGAAGTAGAAAGTTGCCATGGTATCTAAGTCAGGTTTCTCTGTAGCACAAAGGATAAGTGTGAAAAAATATTTCTAGTCTTGTGAAAACCAAAGGAAATTATTGTAACACAACATTTCTGATCTTGTGGAAAACATTTTTGAAATTGAATAAAATTGCTGTGCTTTAAGGGAGACAGAGCTCTCAGTGTATTAAACTATATGTCATTATGTTGCCAGGAGTCTCTATTTTACATCGCAGTTAAACTTCATGGCTGAAACAACAAACAGACTTTCTCAAATATTCTTATAAATATCACATTTCAGTGAGTTAGTTGGTTCATATGTTCTGGGTGTGTAGAGACTGAAGTATCTGCTGTATCTGACTATTTTAAAGATCATATTAATACCATACAGTTTCAGTTCTAAATCTCAAAAGATTAAGGTTTATTAGCACATTAAGAAAGTCAAAAGGAAAAAAATCTAAATTAATACTAATAAAAAAGAAAAATATCTAAATAGATATAAACAATTATTTTTTTCTTGGTCTGAACATGTTTATAACTTAATGAATTAATTTCTTCTCATTTATTGTACAAATTTTGATTTGTATCTATAAGTCTTTTTAGCAAAATTCCCCAATTTAATGCATCCTATATGTACCCAGTAAAGGAGAGAAACACAGACAAGGTCAGTTTTCTGCCCAGGACTGAGTCCAGATACAAAGAAAAATATTTACCATGAGAATTCATAACTATACCTCTTATACAGTCAAGGTTTAACATTAGCATTAACAAAAACTGGTCTTGCAAAAGCTGCCTCTACATGATTCCTATATGTAAGGCCCTAACAATTAAAATACTAAAATCCAAAGTTACAAAACACAAAAGAAAATAAGTCACCATAAACAAGAGTTAAGAAACAGCATAGGCCTGTTGCGGTGGCTCATGCCTGTAATCCCAGAATTTTGGGAGGCTGAGGTGGGCAGATTATGAGGTCAAGAGATGGAGACCGTCCTGGCCAACATGGTGAAGCCCTGTCTCTACTAAAAATAGAAAAATTAGCTGGGCGTGGTGGCGGGCACCTATAATCCCAGCTACTCTGGAGGCTGAGGCAGGAGAATTGCTTTAACCAGGCAGGCAGAGGTTACAGTGAGCCGAGATCGCACCACTGCACCCCAGCCTGGTGACAGAGCGAGACTCTGTCTCAAAAAAAAAAAAAGAAAGAAAGAAAGAAAGAAACAGCATAATGAAGATTTGGAACCCCAACTAACTCAGATATTGGAATTCCAAGTAAAGATTATATACATAATATCAAGTAAATTTATAATATCAAATAAAAATATGTAAGAAAATAAGGAACAAGTTAGTACCTTTTTTAAAACAGACAGATTAGTCAAGAAAATAAATAGAAAATTGAGTACTGTTAATATTAATCATAAAGGACCTGTATTAAGTGCTACTAATAAAACTAATAAAATATTTTAAATAGAAAAATAATTATTATTGCTATAAAGCAAGTGGTCAGGTAAAACAATAAGCTTAATGCAGGTGAAAGAGAGAGTTAATAAATTGAAAATTTGAAAATACGCTAAAATGGCCGGGTGCGGTGGCTCACGTCTGTAACCCCAGCACTTTGGCAGGCCGAGGCGGACGGATCACAAGGTCAGGAGATGGAGACCATCCTGGCTAACACGGTGAAACCCCGTCTCTACTAAAAATACAAAAAATTAGCCGGGAGTGAGTGGCGGGCGCCTGTAGTCCCAGCTACTTCGGAGGCTGAGGCAGGAGAATGGCGTGAACCCGGGAGGCGGAGCTTGCAGTGACCCAAGATCGCTCCACTGCGCTCCAGCCTGGGCGACAGAGCGAGACTCCGTCTCAAAAAAAAAAAAAAAAAAAGAAAGAAAAAAGAAAATACTGTAAAATGAAGCATGAGACAAAGATAGAAAAATATGAGAGCTGAAGAGATATGATAGAAAGGAAGTCTAACATGTATGTAAGATGGAGACCCAGAATAAAAGTAAATGAAGAATGAAAATACATGCTTTATAAAAATGTATTAACTGAGAATTTTCTAGATCTCTTAATGACTTTAGAGTCTCATTAAAAACTACAACCCCCAAATAAGGTAAACTACAAGTTCACCCTGGGCAATATCATGATCATCCTATAAAATACCAAAAGAAAGAGGAAAAAGAAAGATTACTTATGAGATTAGAATTTTGAAAAATACTAGATGTCTCAATAGAAAAATAGAAACTGAAATAAAAATGTGTAAAGTTTAAGAAAAAATGAGTTTAAATTAGAATTGTATATCTGGTAAAATAAATTGAAGACAGTAGGTGAAATTCATTTTACAATAAACTAGAATTGAGTTTACTGATGACAAATTTTCACTTATAAGCCTATAGAATGCAATTTAGGGAGGATGAATTTGAACCCCAAGAAAGAACAAAAAAATCAAGCACTAAGAGTACGAAAAATATTAAGCATGCATAATATATACAGTAATTGGCTTTATAAAAAAAGAAGGGATAAAAAAAGCTTCTCTTATTCTTCAAAGGAAAAGAAAAGGTACAAGGACCAAGGCATAGCATCACACTCTATATTACTGATACATTATTTACTTTTTTAAGAAAAGCCCAATTATAATAATTGAGCCTTTGCCAGTCATTAAGTATTTATTGCCCATTTGCCCTCTTTCCTCACATGTTGAAAATAAATGTCAGTTCATTTTTCCTTAGGTTTATCTTGCACATCAACCTTCTCTTTATACTACTGTCTATATGACCTATAATTTTGTTGCTTCTTTGCAAACAATAATAACATTTCTACTTCTGTTATTTCTCTTTTCTATTACAGAACCACACTATTTTAAACTATTTAAAATTCCATCTGAAAATCTCTGAGAAGCAACTTTTTTGTTAATTTTAATGTATTTGGTCTTTCCATTATTTCAAAAATACATAGTGTGACTGTCTAGTTAAATAGAAAAAAACTTACTAAACAATTTGTTTCTCCATGGTGCTCAGAAATGAAGACATGGGCTGTTGACTAAAATAGGCCCAGATTCCAATCCCTCTGCAACCCTGAGCACTTTTCTTTTTAACAGTATCTTTCTCATTGTACTAGCTGCCTGTTTTCTTATATTTTATTTCTTTTTGTAAGTTCTAGTCTCAATCATTCATTCTTTTTTTAATTTATTTTTTATTTCAATAGGTTTTTAGGGAGCAGGTGGTGTTTGACTACATGAATAAATTCTCTAGTGGTGATTTCTGAGATTTTGGTGCACCCATCACCCGAGTGTACACTGTACCCAGTGTGTAGCCTTCCATCCCTCACCCCCCTCCCACCCTTTCCCCTAAGTCCCCAAAGTCTAGTGTATCATTCTTATGCCTTTGCATCCTCATAGCTTAGCTCTCACTAATGAGTGAGAACATGTGGTATTTGGTTTCCAATTCCTGAGTTATGTCACTTAGAATAATAGTCTCCAATTCCATCCAGGTTGCTGCAAATGCCATTATTTTGTTCCTTTTTATGGCTGAGTAGTATTTTGTGGTATACTAGCATTGGGGCTGGTTCCATATTTTTGCAGTTGCAAATTGTCCTGCTATAAACATGCAGCATGTGTGAGTATCTTTTTCATATAATGACTTCTTGACTTATTTTCCTGTGGGTAGATAGCTAGTAGTGGAACTGCTGGATCAAATGGTTGATCTACTTTTAGTTCTTTAAGGAATCTCCACACTTTTTTTCATAGTGCGTGTACTAGTTTACATTCCCACCAACAGTGTAAAAGTGTTCCTTTTTCACCACATCCACACCAACATCTATTATTTTTTTTATTTATTATGGCCATTCTTGCAGCAATAAGTTGGTATCACATTGTGGTTTTAATTTGAATTTTCCTGATCATTATTGATGCTGATTATTTTTCCATATGCTTGTTGGCCATTTGTATATCTTCTTTTGAGAATTGTCTATTAATATCCTTAGCCCACTTTTTGATGGGATTGTTTGTTTTTTTCTTGCTAATTTGTTTGAATTCTTTGTAGATTCTGGATATTGGTTCTTTGTCAGATGTATAGATTGTGAAGATTTTCTCTCACTCTGTGGGTTGTCTGTTAACTCTGTTGATTATTTCTTGTTTGCTGTGTAGGAGCTTTACAGTTGAATTAAGCCCCATCTCTATTTATCTTTGTTTTTGTTGCATTTGCTTTTGGGTTTTTGGTCATGAAGTCTTTGCCTAAGCCAATGTCTAGAAGGGTTTTTCCAACGTTATCTTCTAGAATTTTTATGGTTTCAGGTCTTAGATTTAAGCTTTTGATTCATCTTGAGTTGATTTTCATATAATGTGAGAGATGACAATCCAGTTTAATTCTTCTACATACATGTGGCTTGCCAGTTATCCCAGCACCATTTGTTGAATAGAGTGTCTTTCCCCATTTTATGTTGTTTGCTTTGTCAAAGATCAGTTGGCTGTAAGTATTTGGCTTTATTTCTGGGTTCTCTATACTGTTCCATTGGTCTATACCCCTATTTTTATGCTAGTACCATGCTGTTTTGGTGACTATGGCCTTGTAGTATAGTTTGAAGTCAGGTAATGTAATGCCTCCAGATTTGTTCTTTTTGCTTAGTCTTGCTTTGGATATGCAGGCTCTTTTTTGGTTCCATCTGAATTTTAGGATTGTTTTTTCTGTTCTGTGAAGAATGATGGTGGTATTTTGATGGGAATTGCACTGAATTTGTAGATTGCTTTTGGCATTATGGTCATTTTCACAATATTGATTCCACCAATCCATGACAAAAGGATGTGTTTCCATTTGTTTGTATTGTCTATGATTTCTTACAGGAGTGTTTAGTAGTTATTTTTTTGTAGAGTTCTTTCACCTCCTTGGTTATGTATAGTCCTAAATTTTTTTGTTTGTTTGTTTGTTTTTGCAGCTATTGTAAAGGGAATTGAGTACTTGATTTGATTCTCAGCTTGGTTGCTGTTGGTGTATAGCAGAACTACCGAGTTGTGTAGGTAAATCTAGTATCCTGATACTTTGCTGAATTCATTTACCAGTTCTAGGAGCTTTTTAGAGGAGTCGTTCGGGTTTTCTAGATGTACAATCATATAATCAGCATACAGAGACTGTTTGACTTCCTCTTCACCAATTTGGATGCCCTTTCTTTCTCTTGTCTGATTGCACTGGCTAGGACTTCCAGTACTATGTTGAATAGAAGTGGTAAGAGTGGGCATGCTTGTCTTGTTCCAGTTCTAGGGGGAAATGCTTTCAACTTTTCCCCATTCAGTATAATGTTGGCTGTGGGTTTGTCATAGATGATTTGTATTACCTTAAGGTATGTCCCTTCTATGCCGATTTTGCTGAGGGTTTTAATCATAAAGGGATGCTGTATTTTGTCAAATGCTTTTTCTGCATCTATTGAGATAATTATGTGATTTTTGTTAATTCTATTTATGTGGTGTGTCACATTTACTGACTTACATATGTTAAACCATCCATATGTTAAACTGGGTATGAAACCCAGTTGATCATGATAAATTATGTTTTTGATATGCTGTTGGATTCAGTTCACTAGTATTTTGTTAGGATTTTTGCATCTATGTTCATCAGGGATATTGGTTTGTAGTTTTTGTTTCTTGTTATGTCATTTTCTCATTTTGGTATTAGGGTGATACTGGCTTCGTAGAATAATTTATGGAGGATTTTCTGTTTCTCTATCCTTGGAATAGTGTCAGTAGGATTGGTACCAATTTTTTGAATGTCTGACAGAATTCAGCTGTGAATTCTTCTGGTCCTGGACTTTTTTCTTGGCCATTTTTAAAATTATTATTTCAACCTTGCTGCTTGTTGTTGGTCTGTTCAGAGTTTCTATACCTTCCTGGTTTAATCTAGGAGTGTTGTATATTTCCAGGAATTTATGAGTTTCCTCTAGGTTTTCTTGTTTATATGCATAAAGGTGTGCATAGTAGCCTTGAATAAACTTTTGTATTTCAAGGGTAGCAGTTGTAATATCTCCTGTTTCATTTCTAATTGAGCTTATTTGGATCTTCTCTCTTCTTAGTTAATCTTGCTAATGGTCTATCAATTTTATTCATCTTTTCAAAGAATCAGCTTTTTGTTTCATTTATCTTTTGTATTGTTTTTCTTGTTGTTTTTTTAACTTCATTTAGTTCTGCTCTGATCTTTGTTATTTCTTTTCTTCTGCTGGGTTTGGGTTTAGATTATTCTTGTTTCTCCACTTCTGTGAGGTGTGACCTTAGCTCTATTTGTGCTCTTTCGAACTTTTTGATGTAGGCATTTAATGCTATGAACTTTCCTCTTAGCACTACTTTTACTGTATCACAGGGGTTTTGATATGTTGTGTCACTATTATCTGTCAGTTCAAAGAATTTTTAAATTTCCATCTTGATTTCATGGTTGACTCAATGATCATTCAGGAGCAGGTTATTTAATGTCCATGTATTTGTATGTATGGTTCTGAGGGTTCCTTTTAGAGTTGATTTTCAATTTTATTCCACTGTTGTCTAAGAGAGTACTTGGAATAATTTTGATTTCCTTAAATTTATGGAGACTTGTGGCCTATCATATAGTCTATCTTGGAGAATGTTCCATGTGCTGATGAATAGAATGTATATCCTGAAGTTTTTGGATAGAATGTTCTATAAATATTTGTTAAGCCCACTTGTTCTAGGGTGTTTTTTAAGCCTATTGTTTCTTTGTTGACTTTCTATCTTGATGACCTGTCTAGTGCTGTCAGTAGAGTATGAAGTCTCCCGTTATTATTGTGTTGCCATCTATCTTGTTTCTCAGGTCTAGTAGTAATTGTTTTATAAATTTAGGAGCTCCAGTGTTACGTGCATATATATTTAGGATTGTGATGTTTTCCTGTTGGCCTAGTCCTTTTATCATTATATAATATCTTTCTTTGTCTTTTTAAACTGCTGTTGCTTTAAAGTTTGTTTTGTCTGAGATAAGAATAGTTAACTCCTGCTCACTTTTGTTGTCCATTTGCATGGAATATCTTTTTTCACCGCTTTATCTTAAGTTTATGTGAGTCCTTATGTGTTATGTAATTCTCCTGAAGATAGCAGAAACTAGGTTGGTGAATTTTTATCCATTCTGCCATTCTGTATCTTTTAAGTGGGTTGTTTTTTTTTTTTTTTTTGAGACGGAGTCTCACTCTGTCTCCCAGGCTGCAGTGCAGTGGCGCGATCTCGGCTCACTGCAAGCTCCGCCTCCCTGGTTCATGCCATTCTCCTGCCTCAGCCTCCCGAGTAGCTGGGACTACAGGCACCCGCCACCATGCCCGGCTAATTTTTTTGTATTTTTAGTAGAAACAGGGTTTCACCATGTTAGCCAGGATGGTCTCGATCTCCTGACCTCGTGATCCGCCTGCCTCGGCCTCCCAAAGTGCTGGGATTATAGGCTTGAGCCACCACGCCCGGCCTTAAGTGGGGTACTTAGGCCATTTACTTGCAACATTAGTATTAAGATGCGAAGTACTATTTATCATGCTATCTGTTGCCTGAATACCTTGTTGTTGTTTTTTTCATTGTGTTATTGTTATTATAGGTCCTCTGAGATTTATGCTTTAAGGAGGTTCTATTTTGGTGTATTTCAAAGATTTGTTTCAATATTTAGAGCTCCTTTTAGAAGTTCTTGCAGTGTTGGCTTGGTAGTGGCAAATTCTTTCAGCATTTGTTTGTCTGAAAAGACTATTTTTCCTTCGTTTATGAAGCTTAGTTTCACTGGATACAAAATCTTGGCTGATAATTGTTTCGCTTAAGGAAGCTAAAAATAGGACCCCAATCTTTTCTAGCTTGTAGAGTTTCTGCTGAGAAATCTACTATTAATGTTTTTGCCTTATAGCTCTTAAGATTCTTTCCTTCATTCTGACTTTAAATAACCTGATGACTATGTGCCTAGGTGATAACCTTTTTGCAATGACTTGCCCAGGTGTTCTTTGAGCTTCTTGTATTTGGATGTCTAGATCTCTAGCAAAGTCCGGGAAGTTTTTCTTTACTATTCCCTCAAATATGTTTTCCATATGTTTAGATTTATCTTCTTTCTTGAGAAAACCAATTTTTCTTAGGTTTGAATGTTTAACATAGTCTCAAACTTCACAGAGGGTTTGTTCATTTTGTACAATTACTTTTTCTTTGTCTTTGACAGATTGAGTTAATTCAAAAGCCTGTCTTTGAATTCTGAAGTTTTTTTCTTCTACTTGTTCAATTCTATTGCTGAGACTTTCCAGTGCATTTTGCATTTCTCTAATTGTGTCCTTGATTTCCAGAAGTTGTGATTGTTTTTTATTTATGCTATCTATTTCCCTGAAGATTTTTTCTTTCATATCCTATATCACGTTTTTGATCTTTTTTAATTGAACTTCACCTTTCTCTGGTGCCTCCTTGATTAGCTTAATAATCAACCTTCTCCATTCTTCTTCTTGTGATTCAGAGATTTTATTTTGGTTTAGATCCATTGCTGGTGAGCTAGAGTGACCTTTTGGAGGTGTTACAGAACATTTTTGTCATATTACAGAATTGTTTTTCTGGTTCCTTCTCTTGTGGGTAGACTATGTCAGAGGGAAGATCTGAGACTCAAGGGCTGCTGCTCAGATTCCTTTGTCCCACAGGGTGCTCCCTTGATGTGCTGTTTCCCCTCTTCCCCTAGGAATAGGGCTTTCTGAGAGCCAAACAGCAGTGATTGATTTCCTTTTCTAGATCTAGCCACCCAGTGGAGCTACTGGCCTCTGAGCTGGTCTTGGGGAGTGTTGGCAAAAAGTCCTGCGATGTGATCCGTCTTCATGTCTTTCAGCCATGGATAACAGCATCCGCCCCAGTGGCGGTAACAGGGGAGTGAAGTGGACTCTGTGATGGTCCTTGGTTGTATTTTTGTTTAGTGCACTGGTTTTGTGTTGATTGGCCTCCAGCTAGGAGGTGGCACTTTTAAGAGTGCATCAGCTGTGGTACTATAGGGAGGATGCAAACTTGCCCTAGGGATGCCTGGTTAAGTATTCAGGTTTCTCAAGTGGTAGGCAGGGCCATAGAGCTCCCAAGAGATTATGACTGTTGTCTTCAACTAACAGGGCAGGTAGAGAAAGACTACCAGGTGCAGGCAGGGATAGGCATGTCTGAGCTCAGACTCTGGCATGGGTGGGGCTTGCTGCAGCTGCTGTGGGGAATAAGGGTGTGGTTTTCAAGCCAATGGAGTTATATTCCTAGGAGAGTCACACAGGTGGCCTGGAAAGTAGAGGAAAGCTGGCAGTCACCAGCCTCACCCCACTCCCATGCAGCCTGTAGTCTTAAAGGATGGTCTCTGATGGGTGTGGTGGCTCACACCTGCACTCCCAACACTTTGGGAGGTCAAGGTGGGCGGATCACTTGAGGTCAGGAGTTTTAGACCAGCCTGGCCAACATGGTGAAACCCCATCTCTACTAAAAATACAAAAATTAGCAAAGTGTGGTGGTGCATGCCTGTAATCCCAGCTGCACAGGAGGCTGAGGCAGGAGTATCGCTTGAAGTAGATCCTGCCACTGCACCCCAGCCTATGTGACAGAGTGAGACTCCATTTCAAGAAAAAAAAAAAAAAATTAGCTGGCTGTGGTGGCAGGCACCTGTAATCCTTGAGAGGCTGAGGCAGGAAAATTACTTGACCCAGGAGGCGGAGGTTGCAGTGAGCTAAGATTGCACCACTGCACTCCAGCCTGGGTGACCGAGAGCGAGACTTTTATACATATATAGAAGTTGATCTCACTCCCACTATGGCCCCTAATGATGCTGAGTCTATTTTCAGGCAGCCAGGGACCAGGGTTGAGAACTTCCCCCTGACCACGAACCTCCTTGCTGAGAAAACAAGCAGACTCATAGTTTTTTTGCATCTCAGGAGGCCTGCAGCAGCAATCCAGTTCCTTCAATCATTTATTCTTGTATCTCCTATTGACCCCCTCTTCAGACTTCGGAATTTTTGCATTAATTATTTAACTATTCTGTTGGTTGTTAAACTATTATCTCTACAAACTATTATAGCTACAAATTTACCTTTGTTTAATCAGCTTGGTGATTTTGGGGCTGGGACAAAGAAAACTGTATTATCTTTTGTCACCTGGCTTCTTGATACAGGTCTTGCCAATGGAAACATGGGGGAAGACTGGCAGGGAGGAAGTGGGAATAAAGGCTTTGATCCCTGCTGTCTGCTTGATGTTGTTTTCAGCATCACACCAGCAATGGTCCATATCCCTCTGCCAGCAGTTGGTTCTAGTTTCCTGTTTCTTTTAGCACTCCCCAAACCAGCGTTGTTCATAACAGCAAAAAAAAAAAAAAAAAAAAAAAAAAAAAGAGGAAAAGGAAAATGTATGTCAGTAGTAGGATAGACAAATATTTCATGGTCAATCCAACAGTGAGAATTAACGAATTAAAGTAACATGTATTAACTTGAATGAATCTCAAAGACATGATGTTGAAGAGGCAAAACAGTGGAATACATAGAGAATTATTTCACTTATATATTATTAAAAAAAGTGGGACATATGCATAGGTGTGTTAGAACAATAAAGAAGAACAAGAAAATGATTACCTCAGAATTTAATGGTTCTCTGCAGAGCAAGGAAAGAGATGTGAATGGGGAGAGACATCTTCTGGACAATTATATAAGTAGCAACTGTATTGCAGTTCTTTAAACTTTGTATGGATTCTGTCTCAATCTTTTATTCCTAAACAATTTTTTCATAATAAAAATAAAATAATTAAAACAAAATTTCAAAAGCAGAAATAATAGGCCTTGGTAAGATAAACTGGTGTTCATATAAATAGCAGAGTGTCATGGTTTTTTCTCAACTCAAATATGGTAAAGAGAAAATAAACAAGTTTTAGAATTCCGTATGTACCAATGAGATGTTCAAAAATCGAAAAGGAGAAAAGAACGCATGTGAGAGAAGGAAGGAAAGAAAGAAGCAAGGGAGGGAGGGGGGAAAGAAGGAAGAAAAAATAAGAGGAATAAAAGGAAAAAATAATCTTACCCCTTCATAATTTCAAAGAGGAGTCTTCTAAAAAATTGGAATTGTATTTATGAGACTGTAAAATGCAAGTCATGATTCTCCTTGTTGAGTGAAGGTATAAAAAGTATGTATTTTTATCACAATAAAAATAAATGTCACAAAGAAAAATATGAGTATTATTCACCTGATTATAATATTGGGATAATGACCATGCTTCTTAGCTCTTAATCAGTTTAACTGTGACAAATGTGTTCGTTCAGGTAGACAATTGCATAGTTTCATGTATTTGGCAGACAATTCTTAATTTTTTTTTTTTTCTGAGACCGATTCTCGTTCTGTTGCTCAGGGTGGAGTGCAGTGGCGTGATCACTACTCACTCCAGCCTTGACCTCCCAGGCTGAAGTGATCCTCCCAAGTAGTTGGGACTACAGGCATGCAGCCCCACACTGGCTAATTTTTTAAATTTTTTAATTTTGTAGGATGAGATATCGCTATGTTGCGTAGGCTGGTCTTTAACTCTCGGGGTCAAGCAATCCTTTTAAAGTATTGAGATTATAGGTGTGAGCCACCACACTCAGACTTGATCTTCTTTAATACTCCTATTTTATAGTTGTTAGATGTTGTCTCCTTAAGATAAATTTAGTATTTTAAAATTAATAGAATCATATTAAATTTACATATTAAATATTACATTTATTCACTAAGTTATATTTTAAATAATATAATTAACATATAACATACTTAAAATATAATTATATTGTGTTATAAATGTTAACTTTATTAAATATTAAATTTATAAGTAAATATTATTACATTAACAAAATATTGTCTAACTCTTGTAAACTCAAAAAGGTGTCTTCTCCATTATGCTCTGTTCATTTTTTACTCATTCTCATTTCTCTTCTTTCTTTCTTTCTTTCTTTCACCACTTATTATCTGTTTCAGAGTTTTTAGAAGAGCTTGTAGAATTTTTACATAAGTCATAAGGTTTGGAAAATCACACTTAAATTAGTAGGAGTGTTGGTCTAAACCCAGGCAATCCTGCTGCATATACTCACACTTCTTCACTCCTAACTACATTAAAAAAAATTCATGGACTCTTTTTGCTTAGAATTGTACTTCTTCTAATAGGGAGGAAGCGGATAAAAGGTTCCTACTCATTGTTCATAAATTCTTCGTTTGCAAAATTTATCTACTAGCTAAAATTCATTTTTAACCTCAAGATCAAAACTCAAGGCACTTTGTAAGTCACTTGTGGACATGCACAGGGCAGGGAAAAAATGAGTTATTCAATGTGGATATTCACAGCTGAGGTCAAATAAGGAGATATTTTGCTTTCTTGTTCTAACTGTCATACTGTAAATGAGTGTCTTTTTATTGGTCTGTTTATTTGCCACTTTTTTTTTATTTGTTTGTGCTTATTGTGGTTAATTTTTCTGTTTAAAATGGCCCCCATCATGCAGAAATGCAGTCTAGTGTTCCTAAGTGCAAGAAGACTGTGATGGTCCTCACAGAGAAAATTCATGTTAGGTAAGCTTCATTCAGGAAGAGTTACAATGCTGTTGGCTGTGAGTTTAATGTACAAACTATATATTACATAAGGTATCTTTCAACAGAAACACACATAAAACAAAGTTATATATTGGTCAGTTGATGAAAATATGCAGAGGCTCACAGGAACCTAACCTTGTATTTCCCCTAGGAACAATAGCTCAACTTTCACTAATTTAGTGTTCACAGAGACTTTATAGGGTGTGATTAAAGTGAGTAGTGAGAATAGACTGTATTCTAACAAATAAATAACTAAGGAAGCACATGTATAAATATACATAGGAAGAGAATGAAAGCATGAAAACATATTACATATAGGACTGAACTCTTCAGCTTGACAGTATATATATATATATATATATATATACATATATATATACATATATATATACTTGACAATATATATACATATATATATACTTGACAGTATATATATATGTGTACAAATTTGTTTTGCTTGGTTGATTAGTGTATATATATAGAATATATATACATATTCTATATACATACACTATATATTCACATGAATATACACATATTCATATATATATATACACTAATCAACCAAGCAAAACAAATTTGTACATATATATACTGTCAATATATGTATATGTATAGTAGTGTATATGTTTAGTGTGTGTGCATATATATGTATATACACTAATCAACAAAGCAAAGCAAATTTGTACATTATTCACTTGAAAACTGAAAATTGGAAGAATTAAAAGTTTCTGGTTAGCCTGGGGTAATCAATGGAAATTAATTTTACAATGCATACTTTTTACTGTTTTATGGAAAATAAATGCTATTGATAGTCTTGTTATGCTGCCTGTATTGAATTAACTTAGCAAATACAAAGTCGTGTTTACATGTGCTTTTATAACTTGCCTTAAGTATATTCTGTCAGCAATAAACAACTTGGGTGCACATTCTAAAATGAATATTTTCAAAAACATAAAGTGTATTGTGTACATGTTCATGTTTGTATTGCTCTCATTCAGTACTCCACACTTCTTCAGTACATAAATTAGAGGGTAGTTCATCACTCAAGTACACCTCTTTAAGAACATAAGCTTTATAGTAGTACTCCCCTTATTGATAAGGCATACATTCCAAGATCCCCAGTGGATGCCTGAAACCATGGATATTACTATCCACAAACCCTACTTAAAATGCTTTTTTCCTATACACACATACTTATGATCAAGCTTGATTTGTAAATTAGGCACAGTAAGAGATTAACAATAATAACTAATTATAAAATAAAGCAATTATAACAATACTCTGCAATAAAAGTTATATGTGAATATGATCTCACTCTTTTTCTCAAAATATCTTATTGTACTATACTCAACCTTCTCTTGTGATGAAGGGAGGTGATGGAATGTATATGTAATGAGGTGAAATGAGGTGAAAGACATAGACGTTGCGACATAGTGTTGTTACTATTGACCTTCTGATGACAGGTCAGAGGGAGGATCATCTGCTTTGGGTGATCCTAGTTCATGGATCCATGTCCATGTCTATGTCCATGGTTGGATGTCAGGAGAAGATGATGTCTATGAATAAAGGGTGGGTAGTGTATATAATGTGGATACACTGGACAAAGAAAGGATTCTTTGTCCTCTCTTTAGTGGGATAGAACGGAGAAGTGCAAGATTTCATCACACTGCTTGGAGTAGCACAATGTAAAACTTACAAATTTTTTTTCTGGAATTTTTCATTTAATATTGTTAGATCCTGGTTCACTGCAGGTAACTGAAACCAGGAGAGCAAAACTGCAGATAAGGGAGACAACTGTATTAATTATATTATTTACTTTAAAATATATTGCCATGAAAATTTTTTTTAAAAAGAAAATTTTTGAATCTATTTAGGATATTTCTTAATCTTCCCACATTTGCTTTTCATTGTGTCTTTTTAAGGAAAACAACCTATTGTATGGATTCAAATTTGACTAGGTTCTTTGTGGAACTTTAAATATTCCCTTAAAAAGTGACATTTGTTTAACCAAATCTCTAATTTGTTCAACCAAATCCAATTTTCTTAACTAGATCTCTGAATGGTAGTTAATAGATAATTACAGATTATCCCATTATCCCTGACTTGATAGTTTTAACTAAAATTCAAATAGGTAAAATGAAAATGCAGTCAATTAATAGTGTTCCGTTTTTTGTTTTAGTTTTTGTGTTTCTCCAGTGATCTTCATAGACTTAGATACTATTCTCTATTAGTAAAACACTTTCTAATAGGATGAATACCTTGCCTATCACTTGGCTCTATTTTGAATATTTGGAATATAAATGAAGTAATTTTTCCCTAGCTTGAATAAGTATTTGTGGCCTTTTCCCAATGGTGTACCTACTACACTTCTCTGTTCGAGGTTAGATTTAATAGGCTCATTGCATTTTTCAAGTTTTTATAGCTTTTATTGACTAATATTTATAAAATTCTTTTGTAGAAACATATTTTCCCTTAGTTTACTCATAGTGATGGGAGTAACACTTTGGTGTAGTATCTATTTAGAGTGTTAAATAGAGACCACTCTAAGTAAATAGGTGCCATTTTGTCACCATGGCATTTAATCTTTTGTCCTTGTCACAATTAAAATGCTAAATAACCATTATGTTATTCACTCTAACCAGTTTTCTGAATCTAATCTATAAATAATTATGGGTTGCAGCAATGTTAGATGAAATTTCTTTATAAATTTTTAGTATCTAAGCATCAAAGTCACTATGAAATACATGCTCATTATGGGAAAAAAAAAAAGTCTCCCAAGCTGTAGTACTTTTATAATAGTACTTTTGTAATAGTTATGCCAGTGAGATAGAAACAGAGTTGACTATAGACACCCGTATTAGCAAGCATAAACTTCAGTATCATGAATTTCATAACTTAAGTAATATAATTGATGGTCTGCACTCCAAATAAATGTTCACAATTACAGCACTTTGCTGTAGTGATTTTTGTTTCTCAAATGTGTGAAGTCATATTCTAACTCTGCAGATGCACATCCACCTTAAGCATAATGTGGTATTTTTCAGAAGTATGAATTACCATCAGGTGTGAGCAGAAGGTATGAGGGAATCTCAGATCGGGCACGTGAAAAGGAAAATCAGAGAAGGGGAACAGAAATCCAAAATATTTTAGAAGGGCAAGGCTATCAAAAAATGGAAATAGGCCATGCTGAATCAAAATAAAATTGAAAAGATTGAACTACATAAAAATAACCCAAAATAACATTTTCATATAAATGTTCTTTCATAACTCTTCTCATTATCTTTGATTATTTATGCTGATAGTTAAATCCTTGAGTACCCAGGGGAAATCAATTTCCAAAAAATATCCACTGACCACCTTTTCTAAGGTACAACTTTTCTCTTGCAACTTGAAGCACACCTACTCCTAACTTACTCCATCAACTTTTCTGTCTCTCATTGGTGTCTTTGAAACACTATCACTCTGTTGACTTCTTTCAATAGTTATTTTATCATATTCATATCACTTCAATGATTCAAAACAACATCACCTCCCTTCCACCGTATAGCCCCCTCAATTATTCATTGTGTTTTTCCTCACAGATAATATCTGTAGTTATCTTTAGCACATTATTATTTTCACTTAACAATACTTTTCTCATTTTCAGAAACTTGCTATTTGGCCTCTGCCTCCATCAGCACTATTCCTGCAGTTATACAGTTTACCGGTGACTACTGTGACACTAATCTATGGGATGCTTTTCAATGCTTAGTTGTCCTGACTTCTACACTCTCTCTTCTCTTGAAATTCTTAAATGGCTCCTGGAACACAATTTTCCCTGGTTTTTTGCTTGTTTTGTTTTCTCTTCCCTTGTATACTCATCCATGCCAAGCCACTTAGAGCTCTAAATAAATTACGATCTTTCTTATCTTTAGGTAAGTTAAATGTGGCATGACCATCCATTCGGGTGTTCTGTTGCCCTTTTTCCAATTGCAAGGATATTCCAAGTCTGACTATTCCAGTTACTTCTGTTCTCTTCTTGAAAGCACATGAAATATTTGGTTACTGTCCAAGTATCAGGAGCATGGGGTAATTATAAAAGGCCACTGTTATCCTCTTGTATCCTAGTCATTTTTCAATGTGTCTGTCACACCATGCAGAGAACATTGCAAGACTAGGTGAGGCTTGCCGTTATCTTAAAAATAATTGCACAAGTTCACTGTGATTTCAGATTCTTCAAAAACCATTTTTGTTTTGCTGTAATTTTTACCTTGTCCCAAGACTCTACCTGGAGATCAGGAGCAAGAAATGAGGGTCTTTCTGAGTGCCCTTTCGTCTGAGGTTCTTTTTAACTAACTATAGTTTTTCTTTACTTCTCGAGCCCCAGAACTCTATTTATTTTCACTGACTGTTGCATTGTCTCACATCATTCCAATATTGTTCACCCATTCTGCTGTAACAGCACTTCCTTGAGACATGCAATACTGCAAGATGAACTTGATAGATTTCATCTCACCTTGTGGATAGGGCTTTATAGGTGGGGTGATAGTTAGATCTCTTACCATCTTTTTATCCTTGTAGATATTTTGTGCTTAACTTCTCCAGTCACACAGATTTTTGGATTTTTCTCTCCTTTTGCAGCAACATAACAACACTGGATTATTTGTAAGAGACATTGGAAAACACCTTGACTGCTTTTTGGGAAATCTGATGGTAGATGCTTGGGCTCCAGTTTTCAGAACTGTATTTTTTCCAGCCTTTAAAGGACAATATCAGTGAAGTGGTAGATATGCTCAATTTGTAAATAGTGACATTTTGCCAATTACCAAAAAATAAATTATTCTTAATACCTCATAAATTTTTTTAAGTATACTATAAAAATGGGAAAAATTTGAAATTTGGTCAAACCTATGGAGGTAGATGTCAGTGTGGCTAGAAAATTATGAAACATGGCAGAAACTATAAAAGACATGACCATGTCTTTTAGGGTCTGTGGGCTTCACCTACAGATGAAGTTAAATGAATCCCATGTAGAGGAGCATGAAATTCTAATGTTGGAGCCTCTCTAGCCTGGACATACTGATTGTTCAGGCTGCCCATATTATCACACTCTTTCACAAAAACTCCATCCTCCTTGTGTCACTGGGTCCTTTAATGCTGTATCTGTCATCCAGTTTCTTTACCTAAGAACATTAAAAATCCTTGATTACAATCAAATATTTCAGTAGATTTGAAATGTTTAGAATGTTGTGATAAAACGTTTACTTTGTTTGATTTTTTCCTAAATGAAAACGTTCTGATGATGGGTTTTTGAGCTGGCTGCAACAAACTTTTCTGCTTTTCAGTTACAAGGCTGCATAAGAAACAGGTCATTTCATATACTAATGAAGTACTTACTATCCCTTTCACATAAGGGTGGTCCCAACAGAAGGGGCATTTTAGACAGGGCTGTGGAGGGGCTGGTTTTCAGTACTATTGTACAGTAAAAAATATTTTTGTCTTGGTTTGCGCTCACCACCTCCTTTCACTATCTTTTTTTTCCTTTCCTATGTTTCTGACACTAATGTAGTTTTAATTTAAGATGATGAATGATCCAAAAGATACAACATGAATCACTAGAGGAATATAGACGACAGACTCTGCTTAGTTTAATTCTTTGTTTAAACTTAATTTTATTGGTTTACCATTGTCAATTATGAATGTTATTATAATATGTCTACAGTCTTGCTCTGGGGAGGAGAAAGTTACTTCCAGAAGGATAAAAACAATAGTTGCATACAGTACATACAAGGAACATTAAAGGTGGTAAGGAAACAAGTATCTAAGATAAACTCTTGGCTCCATTAGGGGGACATGAATTCCAGCAAGCGAATTGGCTCACGGAAATAAGAAAATGCATGAAAATATCACAGAATCCATAGTTTACATGACATAAAAGGGGCCAAACACACAGGCAGCCTGTAGGTTGGCATGGGCTTCATGTACTTTTCCATGCTTGAGGAAAAGTAATAATCTCTTTCTGCCAAGTCGGTCTCAGTGTTAGTACCAAGGAGAGTCTTCCCATGTTTGTGGAGATTGTTCAGGTCTGGCTCATATGCTGAAAGGGATGTACTGGAACCTTTACAAATATGAAAGCCAAAAAAAATCGGCAGAAAATGCTGAAATGTTTGTATGAGAATTTAGCCTGCTTAGGGAAGAAGCCTGGGCAATTATGCCAAGGAGGACAACAAAATATTGCACTACAGTGATGCAGCAATTTGCAGATTATTTGGGAAAATATCCTTCAATAAAATGTCTACTTGGGTGTAATGGGCAATGGAGACAAATTTCGATATCCTTTACTGAATCAAATGTGAGGTTAACTGAGGAGAAAATCAATCCTTTTTTTAAAAAAGTATGGTTATATGTGACCTGGTCAAAACTTGATTCAGCTACACAAAATTATCTGTTGTGTTTTATAAGACACTCACTTGGAATTAGGTGAGTAATATCTGGTTTACAAATATGTAGGTTAAAGTCACTTAAAAAGAAACGCTTCCAAAATATGTAGCTGTGCTAGAACATCTATTTCTTTTATATAGAGAAAATGAAGGGCCAATGAGAAGAAATCTGTACCCTAGAATGCATTTTCCTGTTCTTCCTATATTATTTCTAGTTCTAGAAACAGTTCTAATAACAAAGTGTAAAATTAAAATGCAATGCAGTGCAGTTCTTAAGACTATGGGCGTTTGAGTCAAATAGAGCTAAATACAAATTCTATTTTTGTCATTTACCGATTGAATGAACCTAGGAAAGCTATTGAACTAGCCAACCCTCGCATTTCCATTACGATAATGGGAATAATACAAACTTTATAGTTTCAAGAGGATAAAATGAGAGAATATATGTTAAAATAACAAAGTGACTGGCATTTAATAAATTCTGAAAGATTATTTCACTTACCTGAGTATTCAGAAATATTTATTGAACATTTGTGATATGCTAGACAATGGTTCTAGGGATATAACAGTCTTTGATATCAGGAAGTCTGATGAAAAGAAAATTAATAAACACTGAAACAAATAATATGTCAGAAGTGTGGTCTGGGATAAAAAATGCAGAGTGCTAAATGATAGTGATTTATGGGCTGGAGAAATTATTTTTTTATTTTTATTTTCAATTTTCATTTATTCACTTTTTACAGTGGTTATTTTATGACTGGTTTATTTCATTTAGCATAAAGTTTTCAAGGTTCATCCCTGTTGTAGTATATGCCAGAATTTTGTTCTTTTGTTTTTCAGCTTTACTGAAGTACTATTAAAAAATAAAAATGGTATAAACAGGTATTCAAGGCATACAGATTGATATTTTGATATGAAAATATATTGTGAAATGATTACCACAATCAAGGTAATTAACCTATTCATCACCTCAAATACTTACCTTTCCATTTTTTTTTTTTTTTTTTTTTTTTTTTTTTTGTGGTGAGAATACTTAAGTTCTACTCTCTTGGCAAGTTTCAAGTATGCAATACATTGTTATTACCCGTAGTAACTATGAGGTAAAGTATACATCATATAAAAATTATTCATCTTGCAACTGCAAATTTGTACCCTCTGACCAACCTCTCCCATCTCACCCATCTCCTGACCTCTGGTAACCACACTCTCTTTCTATGAGTTCCATTTTTTAGACTCTGCATGTAGGTGAGATCATGCAGTATTTTTCTATTTCTGGCTTATGTCACTGAGCATAATATCTTCCAGTTTCATCCATATTGTTGCAATGGCAGGATTTCCTTCTTTTTTAGAGTCTGAAATATTCCTCTGTGTGTGTGTGTGTATCAAGTTCTTTCTCCATTCATCCATTGATTTGATGGACATTTAGATTGTTTCTATACTTAACTATTGTGAATAATGCTGAAATGAATGTGGGGCTGCAGGTATGTCTTCACATTAGTTATTTTATTTCTATTGGATATATAGCCAGAAGTAGCTTGTTGAATCATATGATAATTCTCTTTTTAATTTTTTGATAAATCTCCATACTGCCTTCCACTATGGCTGCACCAATTTACATTCCCACCAGCAATGTACATGACTTTCCTGTTCTCTAAATCCTCACCAACATTTACTGTCTTTTGAATTTTTTTAATAATAAGCATCCTAAAAGCTGTGAAGTGATAGTTCTTTGAGTTCTGATTTGCATTTCCATAATGATTAGTGATGTTGAACACCTTTTCATGTACCTATTGACTATTTATATGTCTTCTTTGGAAAAATATCTATTTAGGACCCATGCTCCATTTTATATTGTGTTATTATTATTATTTGCTATTAAGTTATATAAGTTTCTTATATATTTTGGATATTAATCCTTTGCCTTATTGAATTTTCTATTGCTTATAATAGAATATCTGAAACTGAGTAATTTATTTTAAAAAATAAATATATTTCTTACAGTTACAGAGATGAAGAAGTTCAAGGCCAAGGGGCTGCATCTGGCGAGAACCTTCTTGCTGGCAAGGACTCTCTGGAGTGCCAGGGTCATGAAGGGCATCATGTGGAGAAGGCACAGAGCATGCTAGCCCAGGTCTCTCTTCCTCTTCTATTTTTTAATTTTTTTTAAATTTTTTTAATGTTTTGAGGCAGGATCTTGCTGTTTCACTCAGGCTGGGGTGTAGTGGTGCAATCACAGATCACTGAAGCCTTGACCTCCCAGGTTAAAGTGATCCTTCTGCCTCAGCCTTCTGAGTAGTTGGGACTACAGGTGCACACTACCATGCCTGGCTAATCTTTGTGTTTTTGTAGAGATGGGGTTTTTGCCATGTTTCCCAGGCTGATTTCAAACACCTGAGCTCAAGCAATGCGCCTGCTTTGGCCTCTCAAAGTGCTGGGCTTACAGGTGTGAGCCGCCATGCCTGGCCTATTTTATCTTCTTATAAACCAATCAGTCTCACTCTCATGAAAATCCATTAATCCATTAACTGAATAATCTATGAATGAATTAACTCAGTCATGAGGGCAGATCCTTCACGGTCCATTCACCTCTTAAAGGCCCTACTTCTCAATACTGCAAAATTAGAGATTAAATTTCAACATGAATTTTGGAGGAAACAAATATTCAAACAATAGCATTTTGCACCTAGCCACATAAAACTCATGTCCTTCTCACATACAGTTACACCCATTCCATCTCCATAGTCCCAGAGTCTTAACTTGCATCAGCACCAGTTCAAAAGTCCAAAGTCCAGAGTTTTATCTGTGAGCCTGCAAAATCAATACAAGTTATCTACTTCCATGATGAGATGGTGGTACAGGAACAAGATATTCTTATTCCAAAAGGGAAAAATAAGTAAAACAGAAGGAATAACAGACCTCTAGTAAGTCTAAAACCCAGAGACATTAAATCTTAAAAAAGCAAATAATCTCTTTTAACTCCATGTGCTACCTCTTGGGCACATTGAGATAACAGTTGGGTCTTTAAGGCCTCAGGCAGCTCTGTCCCCATGTCTTTGCTGGCTGTAGCCCACATGGCTACTTGTACAGGTTAGGGTTGGATACCTGAAGCTTTCTCAGGCAAGCATTCCATGCTGCTGGTGACTCCACAGTTCTGGAGTCTCCCTGGTCATATAGCTGCCATGGCTCCACAGGCATTGTCCTGGTAGGGACTCTACAACAGCCTCAACTCCACATTTTTTCTGCTCAGCACTGCCCTAGAAGGGGCTATTTGTGGTGACTCTGCTCTAGGACAATGGTCCCTAGGCTTTTGATGACATCTTTTGAAATTTGGGTGGAGGCTGTGAAGCCTCCACAGCTCTTGCTTTCTGCAAGCCTTTAGAATTGGCACCATGTGGATGTTGCTAATACAACTTGTACCTTATGGAGTTGCAAGAACCACAGCTGGGGCCACTGGAGCCAGGGCTGGAGTGGACATGGAGTGGTGCACTAGGGTGCAATAAGTGGGGTGCACTAAGCAGAGTCCAAGGTGGCCCTGGGTAATGAACCCCTAGAGAGCATCCAGGGCCTTCCCCATAAAACCATTTGGCCTCCAAGATCTCTGGGATTGTGCTGGGAAGGGCAGCCTTGAAAATCTCTAAAATGCTTTTGGGACTCTTTCTACCACTGTCAAGGAATAGCAGCTGACTCCCTTCTATCTATGCTAATCTCTTTAGCAAATTGTCTTTGGGCTACACCCAGGACAAAGTATGTTTTACTGAACACACGTTTTCACTCTTTCTATGGTGGAGCTGAGAATTTTCCAAATCTTTCTGCCCTGCTTCTCTTTTAATTTTAATTTCTGTCTTTAAATTATTCCTTTTCTCCAGAATCTCAGCATAAGTTGCCAAAAGTAACCCTGCAAATTCTTCCATATTTTGCATAGAAATTTCTTCTGCCAGATATCCTAGTTCATCACTCTCAAGTTTAATCTTTCACAAAGCCCTCAGGCATGGACATAATTCAGCCAAATTCTTTGCCAATTTATGACAAGAACGGCTTTTTCTTTTTTCAGTTCCCAATACCTTGTTCATCAGTTCCAACTGAAATTGCAGCAGAATAGCCTTTAATCTGCATATGCTTATCAGCATCCTGGTCACAACAACTTAATCAATCTCTAATGAGTTCCACACCTTCCCTAGTCATCTTGTCTTCTAAGCCCTCACAAGAATCTAGGCTTTTTATAGTCTGCCCCCCTAACTTCTTCCAGCCTCTCCCCATTACCCAGTTCCAAAGCCACTTCTGCATTTTCTGGTATTTATTATCAGCAATATGCCATTTTTTGGTACCAATTTTCTGTCTTAATCCATTTTCTGTTACTTATAAAAAAAATACCTGAAAGTAGCTATCTTACAAAGAGAAAAAGTATATTTCTTTCATTTATGGAGGCTGAGAATACCAAGATCAAAGAATGACAGGTTAGATCTCACTAAGGCAGGCCTCCATAACTACTGTTTCAGTACTGACTGAGTGGTTAAGTTAAATATTAAAAGCTAAAAAAAGCCAGTGCCTTTATTCAAAGACTGGAAGGTAACAAAAGGCCACCAAGAGTTTCTCCCTAGGCCTTTCCTGGGCCTTAAAGCATGATAAAATAATGGAGGGATTCTTAATAAGACCCATTTAAGATTAAACAAGTTTTATTCGGAGGTCTGAAGAAACTCCCCAGGCCTCCACAAACAAGTTTATTGGGGGTCTGAAGGAACTCTCCAAACCTCCCTGATTTAGCAGAAGATAAGATAAGGGTAATCACCCGAGCACCTGGACCAATTTAGATTAAGTAAATTTACTGAGGCTCCAGAAGAAGGTCTTTAGGACTCAGACCTTAATTATAGATTAAAAGAAGTTAATCACTTATGTCTTTAGATGAATGCACACTTACATGTAAACATATAGCTTAGAAGGTATATAAACTCTGGAAAACTGTAATTTTGAGTTGGTCTGGCAGTAATTTCCAGGCCTTCTCCCTGTAACCAGTTGCAGAAATAAAAACTCTCTTCCTACCCAGTTCATTTGCATCTTGTTATTGGGCACGAGAAATAGCAGCCCAATCCTCAGTTTGGTCAGGAACAAAAGGGCTTCATCTTTTGAGGGCCTTTGTGCTGGCAGGACTCTCCATGGAGTCCTGAGGCAGTTCAGAATGCAAATGCAATAGATTCATTGCCAGATGTGCACAGCAAGTCAATATGCCAAGACACCAATTTGCAGCAGGGAAAAAGTATTAATCATGGGGCTGCTGAATGAGCAGATGAGAGAAACTTCAAATTTTGGAGGGGGCCAAAGTGTAGAGATTATCAGTTGGTCAATGAGTGCAGGGTGAAGTTATGGGCTATGCATGCTAGCTTGGGTCTTTCTTCCTTTTCTTTAAAACCACTAGTTCTACTTCAGTGATAACCCATTAATCATTAACTCAGTAATCCATTAATCTGTAAATGGGTCCCAGTCACCTCTTAAAGGCCCCACTTCTCACTACTGCCACATTGGAAATTAAATTTCAAAACATGAGTTTTGAAGGGGACAGATACTCAAAGGATAGCATCATTATTTGATATATGGTTTGCAACTATTTTTTTCCCATTATATAGGTCACCTTTATATTTTGTTGATTATTTTGTTTGCTGTAAAGAGACTTAATTTTGATGTAGTCCCACTCGTTTTGTTTGTTTGCTTGCCTTTTATGCATGCGCTTTCAATATCATATCCAAAAATCATTGCCAAGACCAAGACCCTTGTAAAGGAGATTCTCCATGATTTATTCTAGGAGTTTTGTAATTTTAGATCTTACATTTAAATTATTAATGCATTTTAAGTCGAATATTGTATAAGGTGAAAGCTAAAAATCCAACCTCATTTTGTCACCAGTCAATATACAGTTTTCCCAATTTGATATACAGTTTTCCCAACACCATTTATTCTGTGTATTCTTGGCACCTTTGTCAAAGATTTGATCATGTATATGTGGGTTTACTTCTGGGCTTTTTACTCTGTTCCATTGGGATGTGTTTTTTTATGCTAATACCAAATTATTTTGACTAGGGCTTTGTAATATTAATTTAGAATCAGGAAATATGATGGATCCATCTTTGATTTTCCTACTCAAGCTTACTTTAGCTATTCAGGGTGTTTTGTGGTTCCATATGGATTTTATAATTGATTTTTCTATTACTGTAAAAATGTCATTGGAATATTTTCTTTTTTTTTGTGATGGAGTCTCGCTCTGTTGCCCAGGCTGGAGTGCAGTGGCATGATCTCGGCTCACTGCAAACTCCGCCTCCTGGGTTCATGCCATTCTCCTGCCTTAGCCTCCCGAGTAGCTGGGACTACAGGCTCCCACCACCATGCCCGGCTAATTTTTTTTATTTTTGGTAGAGACAGGTTTCATGCGCGTTTGTGTGAAGAGACCACCAAACAGGGTTTGTGTGAGCAACATGGCTGTTTATTTCACCTGGGTGCAGGCGGGCTGAGTCTGAAAAGAGAGTCAGCGAAGGGAGATAGGGGTGGGGCCGTTTTTTAGGATTTGGGAAGGTAATGGAAAATTACAGTCAAAGGGGGTTGTTCTCTGGTGGGCAGGGTTGGGGGTCACAAGGTGCTCAGTGGGGGAGCTTCTGAGCCAGGAGAAGGAAATTCACAGGGTTAATCACTCAGTTAAGGTGGGGCAGGAACAAATCACAATGGTGGAATGTCATCAGTTAAGGCGGGGCAGGGCCTTTTCACTTCTTTTGTGATTCTTCAGTTACTTCAGGCCATCTGGGCATATATGTGCAAGTCACAGGAGATGCGATGGCTTGGCTTGGGCTCAGAGGCCTGACAATCCTGCCTTCTTATATTAATAAGAAAAATAAAACAGTGTTGAAGTCTTGGGGTGGTGAAAATTTTGGGGGGGTGATATGGAGAGAGAATGGACGATGTTTCTCAGGGCTGCTTCAAGCGGGATTAGGGGCGGCGTGGGAACCTAGAGTGGGAGAGATTAAGCTGAAGGAAGATTTTGTGGTAAGGGGTGATATTGTGGGGTTGTTAGAAGAAACATTTGTCATTTAGAATGATTGGTGATGGCCTGGATACGGTTTTGTATGAATTGAAAAACTAAATGGAATAAGAGAAGGAGAAAAACAGGTATAAAAGGTCTAAGAATTGGGAGGACCTAGGACATCTGATTAGAGAGTGCCTAAGGAGATTCAGCATAGTCCTGCCAGCCAAGATTATTTATTTACTTCAAGAGTTAAGAGTGGCGGTTTGGGGATAGCACGAGGAGATATCAGCTGTGATGGCTTGGAGAAACAGTGTAAACCGGCAGTGTAAACAAGAGCAGGGCATGTATGAGTAGTTGAGAACGGAGAATAGGAGTATGACTAGACAGAAGATAGTAGGGATGACAAGTTTTTTTTGGGGCACACTCTAAGTTGGTCCGGTGTTTGGAATGAGACTGGGGCCTAATAAAAAGGAGCATCTATACAGGAGCCCAAATGGGCTGTACCTTGTAGCATTCTGAGGACGGGTCTGACTTCTGAGAAGGGAAAGTGGTAAAAGTATTGTCCAGTTCTTTTTAAGTTGGTGGCTGAGCTTGGTGAGGTGTGTTTTTGAAAGACCTTTAGTCCGTTCTACTTTTCTTGAAGACAGACGACTATAAGGGATATAAAGGTTTCACTGAATACTAAGAGCCTGAAAAACTGCTTGGCTGATTTGACTAATAAAGGTTGGTCTGTTATCAGACTGTATAGAGGTGGGAAGGCTAAACTGAGGGATTATGTCTGACAGAAGGGAAGAAATGACTGCAGTGGCCTTCTCAGACCCTGTAGGAAAGGCCTCTACCTATCTAGTGAAAGTGTCTACTTAGACTAAGAGGTATTTTAGTTTTTGTGACTCAGGGCATGTTGAGTAAAGCTAATTTGCCAGTTCCGGGGGCGGGGGCAGGGGGCAAATCCTCAAGTTTGATGTGTAGGGAAGGGAGGGGTCCTGAATAATCCTTGAGGAGTAGTAGAATAGCAGATAGAATAGCAGATGGAACACTGAGAAATTATTTCCTTGAGGATAGATTTCTACAATGGAAAGGAAATGAGAGGTTCTAAGAGGCGGGCTAGTGGCTTGTACTATAGCATAGCCTGCCTTTGCTGGTGTGTGGCGATTAGGCCTGGTGGAACTGCCATCAATAAATCAAGCGTGATCAGGGTGAGGAACAGGAAAGAAGGAAATATGGGGAAATGTGGTGAATGTCAGGTGGATCAGAGACATACAGTCATGGGGGTCAGGTGTGGTATCAGGAATAATGTGGGAGGCCAGATTGAAGTCTGGGCCAGGAACAATGGTAATTGTGGGACTTAACAAAGAGTGAGTACAGCTGAAGGAGCCGGGGAGCAGAAAGTATATGCATCAGGTATGAGGAAGAAAATAGATTTTGGAAGTTATGAGAAATGTAGAGAGTAAGTTGAGCATAGTTTATGATTTTTAGGGCCTCTAAAAGTATTAGGGTGGCAGCAGCCGCTGCACGGAGACATGAGGGCTAGGCTAAAACAGTAAGGTCAAGTTGTTTGGACAGAAAGGCTACAGGGTGCGGTCCTGGCTCTTGTGTAAGAATTCTGACCACACTAACCATGCCTAGGAAGGAAAGGAGTTGTTGTTTTGTAAGGGATTGAGGTTGGGGAGATTAATTGGACACGATCAGCAGGGAGAGCACCTGTGTTTTTATGAGAATTATGCTGAGATAGGTAACAGATGAGGGTGAAATTTGGGCTTGACTGAAGTAATGGGGGCTGTCTGTGAAGCCTTGCGGCAGTACAGCCCAGGTAATTTGCTGAGCCTAATGGGTGTTAGGGTCAGTCCAGCTGAAAGCGAAGAGAGGCTGGGATGATGGGTGCAAAGGAATAGTAAAGAAAACATGTTTGAGATCCAGAACAGAATAATGGATTGTGGAGGGAGGTATTGAGGATAGGAGAGTATATGGGTTTGGCACCATAGGGTGGATAGGCAAAACAATTTGGTTGATAAGGCATAGATCCCGAACTAACTTGGAAGGCTTGTCTGGTTTTAGGACAGGTATAATGGGGGAATTGTAAGGAGAGTTTATAGGCTTTAAAAGGCCATGCTGTAGCACGCAAGTGATAACAGGCTTTAATCCTTTCAAAGCATGGTGTGGGATGAGATATTGGCATTGAGCGGGGTAAGGGTGATTAGGTTTTAATGAGATAGTAAGGGGTGCATGATCAGTTACCAAGGAGGGAGTAGAGGTATCTTATTCCTGTGGGTTAAGGTGGGGGAATACAAGAGGAGGACGCAAAGGAGGCTTTGGATTGGGAAGAAGGGCAGCAATGAGATGTAGCTGTAATCCAGGACTAGTCAGGGAAGCAGATAATTTAGTTAAAGTGTCTCGGCCTAATAAGGGAACTGAGCAGGTGGGGATAACTAAAAGAGTGCTTAGAAGAGTATTGTCTCAGTTGGCACCAGAGTTGGGGAGTTTTAAGAGGTTTAGAAGCCTGGCCGTCAATACCTACAACAGTTACGGAGGCAAGGGAAACAGGCCCTTGAAAAGAAGGTAATGTGGAGTGGGTAGGCTCCATATTGATTAAGGGGACGGACTTACCTTCCACTGTGAGAGTTACTCGAAGCTCAGCGTCTGTGATGATCTATGGGGCTTTCGAGGTGATCGGGCAGCGTCAGTCTTCAGCTGCTAAGCCGAGAAGGAGTCAGAGAGCCTTGGGCCAGAATTCCAGGGGCTCTGGGAGTGCCTGCCAGGTGAGTTGAACAGTCCGATTTCCAGTGGGGTCCCGCACAGATGGACACGGCTTAGGAGGAATCCTGGGCTGCAGGCATTCCTTGGCCTGGTGGTCAGATTTCTGGCACTTGTAGCAAGCTCCTGTGGGAGGAGGTTCTGGAGGAACTCCTGGCTGCTGTGGTTCAGGCGTTTGGAAGTTCTTGTGTGCTGGAGATGTGGCTGGGGTTTGTCTCACAGTGGAGGCAAGGAATTGCAACTTTTTTTTTATTATTGTACGCCTTGAAGGTGAGATTAATGAAGTCCTGTTGTGGGGTTTGAGGGCCAGATTCCAGTTTTTGGAGTTTTATTTAATGTCGGGAGCAGATTAGGTAATAAAATGTATATTGAGAATATGATGGCCTTTTGACCTTTTAGGGTCTAGGGCTGTAAAGCGTCTCAGGGTTGCTGTGGAACGAGCCATAAACTGGGCTGGGTTTTTATATTTGATGAAAAGGAGCCTAAACACTTCTGATTTGGGATAAAGAAAAAGGAGCATTAACCTTGACTATGCCTTTGGCTCCAGCAACCTTTTTAAGAGTAAATTGCTGGGCAGGTGGTGGAGGGCTAGTCACGGAACGAAACTGTAAGCCAGACCAGGTGTGAGGAGGGGAGGCGATAAAAAGATTATAGGGTGGAGGGGCGGAGGCGAGGAAGAATCGGGACCTAGCTTGGCCTGGTGAGGAAGGGAGAGGTCAGATGGGTCTGTAGAAAAGGAAGATTAGAAAGACTCAGTGATGCTTGGGGTTGGGACTGAGGGGACAGGCGGGAGGGGAAAGAAGGAAGATTTGGGATGAGTTGCACTGGGCACAGAGACTAGGAAGGGACCGATGTGTAAAAGAATGCCTGGACGTCAGGCACCTCAGACCATTTGCCCATTTTACGGCAAGAATTATTTAGATCTTGTAGGATGCAAAAATTGAAAGTGCCGTTTTTCTGGCTATTTGGAACTACTGTCGAGTTTGTATTGGGGTCAAGTGGCATTGCAGAAGAAAATAAGATACTTAGATTTTAGGTCAGGTGAGAGCTGAAGAGGTTTTAAGTTCTTAAGAACACAAGCTAAGGGAGAAGGAGGAATGGAAGGTGGAAGCTTGCCCATAGTGAAGTAGGCAAGCCCAGAGAAAAGAGTAGAGACATGGAGAAGGGGTGGGGGTTTCTTGCCCTCCAGAAAAGCAGAGAAGGGGTCGGGGTGCAGAGATATGAGGTTGGGGCATGGAAATAAGGGATCAGGGTGCAGAGATACAAGGTTGGGGTACGTGCCCCCCCCTCCAGAAAAGCAGAGAAGGGGTAGAGACACGGAGAGAAGGGGTTGGGGTACTTGCACCTCCCCTAGAAAAGCGGGACTTGCCACTGAGGGGAAGGAGAAGGGGTTGAGGGGTTCTTGCCCTTGCCCCAGAAAATCAGAGAAGGGGTAGAGACACGGAGAGAAGGGGTTGGGGTACTTGCCCCTCCCCTAGAAAAGCGGGACTTGCCGCTAAGGGTGAAGGACCAAGGCAGGCGTCCCTGCATGGTCTGACACCTTTGAAACGTGGGTGAATAATCAGAGGCGTCCCTGCAATGATTAAACACCAAGGGAAGGCTGCCTTCCCAGTCCGTGACCGGCGCCGGAGTTTTGGGTCCACGGATAAAATGTGTCTCCTTTGTTTCTACCAGAAAATGAAAGGAATTGAAATTAAGAGAAGGGAGAGATTGAAGTGTGGCGCCAAGATTGAAAGGAGAAAGAGGTTGAGGGATAGTGAGGGAAGTTGGAGAAGAGAGTAAAAAGAGGCCACTTACCGGATTTGAAATTGGTGAGATGTTTCTTGGGCTGGTCGGTCTGAGGACCTGAGGTCATAGGTGGATCTTTCTCACGGAGCAGAGAGCAGGAGGACGGGGGGATTGATCTCCCAAGGGAGGTCCCCCCATCCGAGTCACGGCACCAAATTTCATGCGCGTCTGTGTGAAGAGACCACCAAACAGGGTTTGTGTGAGCAACATGGCTGTTTATTTCACCTGGTTGCAGGAGAGCTGAGTCCGAAAAGAGAGTCAGCGAAGGGAGATAGGGGTGGGCCATTTTATAGAATTTGGGAAGGTAATGGAAAATTACAGTCAAAGGGGGTTGTTCTCTGGTGGGCAGGGGCGGGGTCACAAGGTGCTCAGTGGGGGAGCTTCTGTACCAGGAGAAGGAAATTCACAGGGTTAATCACTCAGTTAAGGTGGGGCAGGAACAAATCACAATGGTGGTATGTCATCAGTTAAGGCAGGGCAGGGCCTTTTCACTTCTTTTGTGATTCTTCAGTTACTTCAGGCCATCTGGGCATATATGTGCAAGTCACAGGAGATGCGATGGCTTGGCTTGGGCTCAGAGGCCTGACAACGGGGTTTCACTGTGTTAGCCAGGATGGTCTCGATCTTCTGACCTCGTGATCCACCTGCCTCGGCCTCCCAAAGTGCTGGGAATACAGGCATGAGCCACCGTGCCCAGCCTCATTGGAATTTTAATAGGGATTGCATTGAATCTGTAGATCTCTTTGGGTAGTATGTGCATTTTGCCAATATGAGTCTCCTGATTCATAAACATGGTATATCTTTCAATTTATTTGTGTCTTTTTCAATTGATTTTATCAATGTTTTATATTTTTTTAGTGTACAATTGTGGGGAAAAGAAAGAGAGATCAGACTGTTACTGTGTCTATGTAGAAAGAAATAGACATAAGGGACTCCATTTTGTTCCGTCCTAAGAAAAATTCTTCTGCCTTGAGATGCTGTTAATCTGTAACCCTACCCCCAACCCTGTGCTCCCTGAAACATGTGCTGTGTCAACTCAAGGGTAAATGGATTAAGGGCTGTGCAGGATGTGCTTTGTGAAACAAATGCTTGAAAGTAGCATGCTTGTTAAGAGTCATTACCACTCCCTAATCTCAAGTACCCAGAGACACAATACACTGTGGAAGGCCGCAGGGACCTCTGCCTAGGAAAGCCAGGTATTGTCCAAGGTTTCTCCCCATGTGGTAGTCTGAAATATGGCCTCGTGGGAAGGAAAAGACCTGACCATCCCCCAGCCTGACACCCCTAAAGGGTCTGTGCTGTGGAGGATTAGTAAAAGAGGAAGGCCTCTTTGCAGTTGAGATAAGAGGAAGGCATCTGTCTCTGCTAGTCCCTGGGCAATGGAATGTCTTGATTGTATATTCCATCTACTGAGATAGGAGAAAGCCGCCTTAGGGCTGGAGGTGGGACATGCTGGCAGCAATACTGCTCTTTAAGGCATTGAGATGTTTATGTATATGCACATCAAAAGCACAGCACTTTTTTGTTTACCTTGTTTAGGATATAGAAACATTTGTTCACATGTTTTCCTACTGACCCTCTCTCCACTATTACCCTATTGTCCTGCCACATCCCACTCTGTGACAAACGCCCAATAATGATCAATAAAAACTAAGGGAACTCAGAGACTGGTGCCAGTGCCGGTCCTCCGTATACTGAGCGCTGGTCCCCTTGGCCCACTTTTCGTTCTCTATACTTTGTCTCTGTGTCTCTTTTCTCAAGTCTCTTGTTCCACCGGACGAGAAACGCCCACAGGTGTGGAGGGGCAGGCCACCCCTTCATACAGTCTTTCCCCTTGGTTGAATTTGTTCTTATGTATTTTACTCTTTTTGATGTGATTGTAAATGGATTGTTTTCTTAATCTGGAGTGGGGGGGATAGTTCTTTGTAGGTGTATAGAAATGCAACTGATTTTTGTATATTAATTTGTATCTTGTATCTTTACAGAATTTGCTTTTTATTTCTAACAGTTTTTTGACATCTAGGTTTTTCTATATATAAGATCATGTCATCTGCCATAGGGCAATTTTACTTCTTACTTCTTTATTTGAATGTTATTTATTTATTTATTGTCTAATTGCTCTGGCTAGGTCTTCAAATACTGTGTTGAATGTAAGTGGGGAGAATGGATATTCTTGTCTTAATCCTGATCTTAGAGAAAAAGGTTTTAGCTTTTCATCATTGAGTATGATATTAGCTGTGGGCTTGTGATATATGGCCTTTTTTGTGTTGAGGAACATTTATTTATTTATTTATTTATTTATTTATTTATTTATTTATTTATTTTGAGACAGAGTCTTTCTCTTTCTCCCAGGCTGGAGGGCAATGGCGTGGTTTTGCTCACTGCAACCTCCGCCTTCCAGGTTCAAGGATTCTTCTGCATCAGCCTTGCAATTAGCTAGGAATACAGGTAAGTGCCACGATGCCCAGCTAATTTTTGTATTTTCAGTAGAGACAGAGTTTCACCATGTTGGTCAGCCTGGTCTTGAACTCTGGACCTCAAATGATCTACCTACTTCGGCTTCCCAAAGTGTTGGGATTACAGGTGTTAACCAATGCATCCAGCCTTGAGGTGTATTTATTCTATATCTAATTTGATGAGCGTTTTCATCAGGAAATAATATCTAATTTTGTGAAATGCTTTTGTGCAGTTTTGAGATGATTATCTTTTTATTTTTCAGTTTGTTAATATTGTGTACCACATTTATTGATTTGCATATGTTAATCCATCCTTGCATCCCAGGAATAAATTTTGCTTAGTCATGGTGAATGATCTTTTTAATGTACTATTAAATTCAGTTAGCTAGTATTTTTTTGAGAATTTTTGTATCTATGTTCATCAGGCATATTGGCTTGTAATTTTCTTTTCTGGTAGTCTTCTGGTCTGGCTTTTGTATTAGGGCAATTCTGGCATTTTAAAATAAGTTTAGAGGTATTTCATTCTTCTCAAGTTTTTGGAAGAGTTTGAGAATGATAGGTGGTATTTTGGTTTTTCCTTTAAATAATTGATAGAATTTACCAGTGAAAGTATCTGGTCCTTGGGACATTTTTGGTTATTGATTCAATTTCCTTACTTGTTATCATTCTATTCAGAGATCTATTTCTTCATATTTCAGCCTTGGGAGGTTGTATGTTTCTCAGAATGTATCCTTTTTTTTTTTTTTTTCTAGTTTATCAACTTCGGGGCATACAGTTTTTCTTAGTAGTCTATGGTTTTTTTTTGTATTTCTGTGGTATCACTTGTAATGTCTCCTCATTTATTTCAGATTTTATTTATTTGATTCTGCTCTCTTTTTTTCTTAGTTTAGTTAAAAATTTGTTAATTTCATTTATCTTTGAAAAACTCCTACTGTCCTATTGTGTTTCTAGTCTTTATATAATTTATTTCTGCTTACATCTTTGTTATTTTCTTCTACTAATTTTGGTATTAGTTTGTTTTCTTTTTTTTCTTTTTCTACTTTCCAGAGGTGTAAAGTTATGTTGTTTACTTGAGATCTTTTTTTTTCTTCATTAGACCATTATCACTATAAACTTCCCTCTTTGAACTGCTTTTGCTGCATCTTGTAAGATTTAGTAAGCTGTGTTTTCCATTTTCATTTGTCTCAAGATATGTTTTAATTGTCCCTTTGAATTCTTTTTTGACCCATTGATTGTTCAGGACCACATTGTTGAATTAACATGTATTTATGAATTTTTCAGTGTTCCTCTTTCCGTTGGTTTCCAGTTTTGTACCATTGTGGTCAGAGAAAATATTTAATATATTAACTTTCTTGAATTGGTTAAGACTTGTTTTGTTTCCTAACATATTATCTATTCTGGAGAATGTTTGGTGCACTGGGTGCTAACTGGGTGGGATGCAGCTGTTCTGGCTCCAGTGAAGGTGTGGCAGCATAGTCTCTGTATAGCTTCATCATTTGAAGTCAGTATCAGTGAAGGTTGCAAGAGTCCTCAGCAGCTAAGCCAGTCAGTGTATGCAGTGTTGGTGAGGGCTGTTAGGGTTTTCGGTGGCAAAGGCTGTTGGGGTCTTCCTATTCTCTTTTCTTTTCTCATGAGGAAAGCCTTGGTCAAGGGTATCTCTCTTGGTGTGGGTTCTGGCTCACAGTTGTGCTCACAGTGGCGTTGGCACTGATGTCTGATACGCAGTGCTGCAGTGTTTGCAGTGTTAACTACCGAGCCAGTGTCTTGAGCTTGAGCATACACAAAACAGGTATGGCTTCAGGATTTTTGGTAAGTATTGGTTGGGGGGATGGCAACACTGGTCATGTGGCAACACAACAGCAGTTCCTGCTTGGATGTGGAGGGGCAAAGCAGCATCTTCTTCTCTGGGGGAACTGCGACAGCAGTGGCTGTTGGTTACTTCAGTGGAGAAAGCTGCAGATGTCCTCTGTGGAGTAGGCTGCTAGGGTCTGTTTTGATAAATGCTAAGGGAACTTTTGCTGTAAAAGTTGTGAGGAATCCATAGATGCTGCATGGGCTGTTGAGATTCTCTGTAACAAAGGCTGCCACAGCCCTCTGCAGAGTAGGCCACCAGGAATCGTGGTGGCACCCATTGTATAGCTGATACTGATAGTCCTCACCCTTCTTTGTTTCTAGCTGTTTCCAGATGTCAGGTATGCCTAGTAATCCCTTATGTTTGTTTTTTCTGTTTTCTGCTCCAATGTTTTGCTGTTGCTCTTAATTGGACTCTTGAACCTACCCAGGGTTATTATTATTTGTGGATTGTTAAGTCATTGTTTATTGTAGGGTGACAAAGACTGCCATCTTGCCATCTTGCTAACATCACTCTCTGATTTTTATTTTAGAAGAAACAGGAAATATTTTTATGAAAACAGGATATATGACCATATGCCTAATATATTTGAAGAAAGGAGAAATGCATTTCAGGGGACAGTAAATATAATTGTTCTGAGGCACTAGTGTTACATTAGTGTCATTCTTTTATTAATAAGTCCTCTATATTGATGGACAAACAGGCTGTATATGTGCACCCAAACACATGCTATCCTTTTGTACTGGGACAATCTTTCTGGTCATTTGCCATTTTTACTAGTTAACTTCTTTTAATTATTTAGATCTAAATTTAAATATTTCCTCCTACTCCCTTACTCTCGTAGGTTAGGTCATGTCCTCCTATGTTCTCACATCACCGCATACCTTTCATTTTTAATACTGTTGGTTTTACATTCACTTTTGTATTTATTCGAATAAACTTGGTTTCTGGCAGGAAACTGTGTTCCAAGAGGAAAGGATACATGTCAATTTAAAATTGTCACTATAACTTAGTGCCCAAAGTATTGCTGAGAACAGAATAAAGTTTCAATAAATATTTATTGAATACATGGGTAACAAAGGAATGAGTGCATAAATAAAGAGAGATAAGCATTTGAAAACTGGGACACACTTCTACATGGAATGTGAAGTATTAACTTATTGGAAAAAAATGAAATAAAAGGCAATGAAATATTTATTTTTTTATAGAACAAAACATTTCACTGATTTGTATACCTAACTGCAGTTAACTATATTTCCAGCATGATCCTCAGCCTAACAGTGAAGAACTAGAGAGCTCAGAAGAAATCTGTTAGCCTCCCCAGAAAATAGTATAAAGTGAATGCGCTTTGGATGATAGGCTATTAAGAAACCATGCTCAGATACTTAAAATAGCATATTCATTTGCCTAAAATTGTTTCTTTTTTGAAATAAGAATTAATGTTAAGCACTAACAATATTTTAAGTGGTTCATATTAACCATGGCTACTTCCATACCATAGACCCAACTACTGAGAAAATATAGTAAACCTCCATATTAAAAAAAAAAAAAAAAAAGAAAAAAAAACAGTATTTTGTATCACAATAGATGCATAAAACATTTTTGTCCTGGAGTAAAGTCACCATTAAAAAAGAAAGAGAAGAGGAAGTTATTTATTATTTATTTATTTCACCATTGGTAGATAAACCACATAGAATTAGGCCCATTACATCTCAATATGTTTCTTTGGTGAGACACATTGTATTGTTCCATAAGTAATTTCCTATTAAAAGTTTAGACATTTCATGGATCACTAGAAAATTATTAAATGAACTAATGTAATTATTTTACATGGTACTTCTGCATTAGAACTATTTAAATTGCACCTGTATTTGCATTTAAATGCAAATTGCAAAACATATATATTTATATTTTTTATTCATTCATACCCATTGATATACAAATACATACACATGAATAGAGAATATACCTAGCATTAATAAATGTAAACAATTTTATATTTGCCTCAAAAATTTATTTTTAAATTGTAAACATAATACAGATATGCAAAATACTCTTTGCAGTCTCCTTTCTGTCTCATTCTTGTCAGAGGCAACCAAAATGCTTACGTGAATTTGGCATGCATGTAATCTTTAGTGTTTTTGATTTAGAATTTCACTCAGATACTAGCATACAGAATGCATTATTCAATTATTTTTAAAAATTTTTTTGATTTGAATATTTGGCTATATATCTAGGTCAATATTTAATTACTTCTGAGGTTATAGGCTATGAATATTCCATGTCTTATTTATCCATTTCACTATAAATGGGTAGTTTGGGATTTTGTTTGTTTGTTTGTTTTTAGTATGTTAAAAGACTCTACATGACCTGAGCCACTGATACTTCTTTGATCACATTGGCTACAATTCTGCCATTTTCTCATTTTGTTCTTGCCTCCTTAAAATTCTTCAAAAGTTTGATAAGTGATTGTAGTTTTAAGCCACTAAGTTTCAGGGTAGTTTGCTATTCAGCAATAAATAACCAAACAACATACTCTTTCAAAATCTTTAACATCTTTGTTTACATCAAAACCTTAGATTTAGTTGCTATTGTGAATGGACTGTGCTAACATGCTATACCTGGTATCTAGAAATGCTACTGATTTTTCTTTATTAGCCTTGTGTTAGGTAATCTTGCTAAAGTATCTTCTTTTTTCAAATAGATTGTGATTGTTCTTGGGTTTTCTGTGTAAACAAGTAAATATATCTCTGCAAATAATAGAATTTTTCCTTTTTCCATTCTTTGTATCTCCTATTTACTTTTCTTATTGCACTAATTTAAACTTAAGTATGATGTTGAATGTCAGCAGTGGTAACGAGCATTCTTGTCATACTCTTGAGTTTAATGGGAAACTTCTTAATTTTAGCGTAAAGTACCTAGTAAATTTTGATAGATTTTCTTTATCATGTTGTAGGCCATCCAAAACCACAAACTATTAATAGTCCTAGTGAAGAAAGCTGATGATTCTCAGTCACAAACAAAGAGCCTATTTTCTGAGCCTCTTCAATAAAAAGAGGTAGTGAGCTTCTGTGACAAATAAGGAAGCTGTGGACATTTAGGTTGCATCCACCTGTGTTGTGTATTTTTAATTTCCTGTGGACTCTTTACATTGTTTGTTGGTTAAAGTGGGAATAAAACAAAATGAAAGTAACCATAGAAGAGATCAAGTTCTCATTCTGTCCAGCACTATTTCTAGATGAACATTAGGATCTGGCCTAGCTCACAGGTTAAAAATGATACTTTCTGTTTCTAGTTTGCCAAGCATCTGCTTTAAATTATTACTAAATTTTCAACAATATTATATCTGCATCTTTTCTGATATTTTTATTTTAATAAACAAATGAATACTTTTTGCATTACTAAGTTAGTTGTGAATTTACAGCTGATGGGGGGAAATGCCTATATTTCTATATCTATTATTTAATTTTTATAGCTAAAAATAGGCTGAAGAGCCATCTGAATTTTTGAAAAGAATGAGAATACAGATGCTCCCCAATTCGTCATGACTTGACTTAGGATATTTTTACTTTATGATTGTGCAAAAGCAACATGCACATCAATAAATTACCTGAAGTATTCAATACTTCATTGTAAAATAGACTTTGCATTGAATGATTTTCATCAACTGTAGACTAATGTGAGTGTTTTGAGCACATTTATGGCAGGCTAGGCTAGGCAAAGATGTTCAGAAGGTTGGGAGTACTGAATGCATTTTTTACTTCAAATATTTTCAACTTACAATGGATTTATTGGGAAGTAACTCCGTCAGGAGTCAAGGAGCATCTGTACATGATTTGCAAGAAACTGAAGATAACATAATTTACTTTTTTACTTCCCACATGATTTCCTTTGTAGCAGCTCCAGTTTTCAATCATTTAGCCCCAGTTAGAAGTTCTCCACTCACAAAATGGTTGTTATCATTTAAATAAGCACATGGGAATTGTAGACACCTATAATGATTAAATTCTTTCTCATATTAGGATGAACTATGCTTTGCTTACGTTCAATTAACTCAATATTCTGAAGTTATTCAAGATAAGCCTAATCTCTCAACTAAATGCTAGTTTATCAGGTTTCAGAGACAGCTATCAAAAATAGCTATCAAAGGCTCTTAAATTGTGTCTTTTCCAGTCTAAACACATAAGTTTACCATATATCACTGTTTCCAGACATAACTACCCTAGTCACCCTCCTAGACACTCTAATATTGTGATGCCAGAATGAAATTCAGTGGTGTCTGTGCACTTGGACCAGAAATAATAGCACATTATTATGTCAGTCTTTTCCTTGGATAGTAAAACTACGGTGCATTATTTATTTTGGTAGTCATGTAATACTGTTGATTCTTATATCACATAGCATTTACAAATTGCTTTTGTCGAGGTCACCAATAATTTTCATGTTTTTAAAACCAGTGGTACTAATTAACATTTTCTTGTTTGGCCTCTGTTATTGGTTGAACTGTATCCCCTAGAAGAAAGGTTGAAATCCTAGCCTGTGAATGTGATCTTATTTGAAAATAGTCTTTGAAAATGTAATCAAGTTAAGATAAAGTCATACTTGATTAGAGTGGGACCTAATCTGATATCATTGGTGTTCTTATAAGAAGTGGAGACGTGACCCAGATATACACATAAAGAGAACATCATTTGATGCTGAAGGCAGAGATTGTAGTGATGCATCTAAGACTTAAGGAACATCAAGGATTATAGTGTTCACCAGAAGCTAAGAAAAAGGCATGGAAAAGATTTTCCCCTAGAGCCTTTAACATGATCATGACCCTGCCAACACCTTATTTTGGACTCGTGGCTTCCAAACCTGTAAGAGAATAAGTTTCTGTTGTTTTAAGACACATCATTTGTGGTAATTTGCTATGACAGCCATAGCAAACTACTATAGATTTTTTGTACTGGAAAATGGTGGGGTGCCACTGTAATAAATACCTAAAAAGGTGGAAGAGACTTTAGGATCAGGCGGTAAGTAGAAGCTGGAAGAATCTTGAGGTAAGCAGAAAAAGCCTAGATTGCCTTGAAGAGATTATTGATACAAATATAAATGCTAAAGTTACTTCTTGTGAAGTCTTAGATAAAAATGAGAAACATGATTTTGGAAACTCCTTTAGAAAGGTGCCTTATTATAAAGTGGCACAAAACTTGACTTAATTGTTTTCTTCTGCTGGGTGAAAAAGTGGAACTTGTAGGTGACGTACTTGCATATTTAACTTAGGGGATTTCCAAGTACAGTGTGGATGTTGCAGCGTGGTTTCTCCTTTCTGCTTATAGTAAAATATTAAAAGAAAGAAAGAAAAAGGAAGCTATGAGGCAAATAAGAACTAGAACTTGAACATTTGAAAAATTCTCAGTATACCCATATTGCAAGAAATGATGAAGCACGCTCTGGAAAGAACACTAAGGGTGTCATGGGACTAACTTTTGCTGGAGAGATTAGACTTGTGACTCATGAGTTCACTCAACCATCTCAGTAGAACCTCTGCCCTCTTGGACTGAAAGGGACAGAGATTTGACAAAATGTAAGAAGGCAGTCAGACTTCTGGAATTCCTGGGTAGGAAATGGGCTGAAAGGGCTACTTGACAATGAATACATATCATTTTTCAAGAAAAGCAAAGCATGATTTTGAGAGTAGCTCAGAGGCCAGCAGGGCTGTGGAAGATCTGCCTACACACTGATTTTGGATTTCTAGCCTTCAGAACTCTGAGATAATACATTTCTGATTTTATACAACCTAGTCTGTGATAACTTGTTATGGCAGCACTAGGAAACAATGAAACCTCTCAGCGTCTTTTGATAGTGCTTAATATCATCTCAAAAATCCCTTTTACCATGACTTCTATTACACCAAGGCTTTGAGCTTGTTACTATTACTACCTGTTTTTAATGCATTTTCCATGTTGCAACCAGAGTGTTCCTTTAATTGCTTATGTAACAGTTTATTTCCAGTGATTCTGGTTACATGGAACTCCTGCATGGCTATCTGGTTTGTTTTTGTTTGTTTGTTTGTTTGTTTGTTTGTTTTGAGACAGAGTCTCACTCTGTCACCCAGGCGGGAGTGTGGTGGCACAATCTCAGCTCACTGCAACCTCTGCCTCCTGGGTTCAAGCAATTCTCCTGCATCTGCCACTTGAGTATCCGGGATTAAAGCCCTGTACCACCACACCTGGTTAATTTTTTGGTAGAGACAGTTTCACCATTATGGCAAGGCTAGTCTTGAACTCCTGACCTCAGATGATCCACCCGCCTCGGCCTCCCAAAATGCTGGGATTACAGGTGTGAGCCACCTCGCCCGGCCACATGGCTATCTTTACAGCAATGATTCAGAGACCAGGTTCCTGGCATCCTGTTGCTCCACCATTATATAGAACCACATAGAAAGATGTATTATTGATGGAGAGGGAATAATAAGTGAGAATGGGGGATCACGTATTGGAGATTTTAATGGATGGGACTGACCTAGAAGCAATGCACATCTATCTCTTCACATTTCATTGATTAGAATTCAGTGGCATTACCACACCTAGATAAAAAAGAAAAAAAAAAAGCCCAGAAAATACAATCTAATTATGTGGGCTGAAGGAAGAAGATAAAGATTGTGTGACACTTACAGGTGCCTTCACTACAGTCCATTTTACTCTTCATTAAAGATTCACTTAACTCATTTTACTCATTCACAGCCACTTAAAGCCCTTAATGACTCCCAAGCAATACAAAGTGTTTCCAGTCACAGTATCTAACTCAAAGTTCAGATGACCAGTTACCCAGAAGATGAACTATCCTCTCTATCAGATTCAGTTATGGCTCTTCCAGTTACGGGAACCTATGCATAAAAAAGACAAGTTATCCACATTCCCAATATACATATTCATTATTATATACTGAAGCTGGGACACAGTAACTCCAGTAATTACTTCCATGTAAAATGGGAAGCATAGGAGATATCCTGATGGCTAGAACTTATTAAGATCTTTTACCCTAAGTGTGGGTAAATATTTTGATTAGAAAATGATCCCCATGTTGTCTGGGAATAAACTTTTCCCTTGTCTTCTGGGTACTGGATTTATTTTATTTATTTTTTATTTATTTTTATTTTTTAAATTGAGACAGAGCCTTGCTCTGTGGCCTAGGCTGGAGTGCAGTAGCACGATCTCAACTCACTGTAACCTCGCCTCCTGGGTTCAAATGATCCTCTTGCCTCAGCTTCCCAAATAGCTGAGATAACAGGCACACACCACCATATCCAGCTAATTTTTGTGTTTTTAGTAGAGAGAGAGTTTCACCATGTTGGCCAGGCTGGTCTTGGACTCCTGACCTCAAGTGATCTGCCCACCTCGGCCTCTCAAAGTGCTGGGGTTACAGGCATATGCCACCATGCTCAGCCAGCTCTATTCTTTAGAAGGTTCTCTCATCCATTTTTCTTCATAGTTATACCACCAGTGGGTGTTGGGAAAACATCTTCATTGAGGCTGAAGAAAGTTTGCACATTACTTTCAAATGGTAAAAATTTAGAGTTTCAAATGAAAGTTTAAGACTTGAACAAAGATATTTAATACAGGCTCATGATTTCTTTGGCAATAGATTTCTCTTAAAAACTTAGCTAAACATGAAAGAAACTTAAATGCATGTTACTAAAAGACAGCATCTTAAGAGGCTACATACTATATGATTACAACTATATGACATGCTCAAAAAGGCAAAACTATGGAGATGGTAAAAAGATCAGTGGTTGTCAGGTGTTGGGGGCAGAGAGGGGTGAATAGGTGGTGCACAAGAGGATTTTCCAGGGAGTGAAAATATTCTGTATAATCCCATATAATGGTGTATACCTGTTATTATATATTTGTCAAAACCCATAGAATATGAAACACAATACTGAACCCTAATATAAACTATGGACTTCGGGTGATAATAAGGTGTGAATAAATATAGGTTCATTAATTGTAACACCATTTATCACTATGTTGAATGATGTTGATAATGGGTGAGAATACGTATGCATGGGGGTAGGGTGTATATGGGATATTGCTGTACTTTCCTTTAAATTTTGCTGTTAGCCTAAAAATTCTATTAAAAAATAATAAAATTAAAAAGAAATCACACAACCCAGCTGGCGTTAATTTATTTAATTCTACTTCATATACCAATAACTATGTTCCAATTTTTTCTTAGACCAAATTCCCAAGCCCAATTCACTTATCTGCTTCCATTCTTACTTGACATTTCTCAAATTAATGCAGGCTGTCTTGAGGATGCCTGAGACAATTAGTTTTGCTGTGAAGATAAAACCTTAAATTTGGTCATTTTTTTAAATAAAAAAATCTTACTAGAAACTTGTCACTGAAAACATCTCTGGTCTTTTCCTACCAAGATTTTGAAATTTGCTTTTTCAATACCTTGGGGCACCCCATTCCTGGACTTTCTCTATTAGCTTACATTTATACCTGAAATAAGCCTTGTTTTCTTTGTTTTCCTTATGTTTTCTTATGTTTGTGTTTTCCTTATGTTTTCTTATGTTTTTCTCACATTAGTGAGTGCAGCAGATGATATTCTATATACATTGTAATTCTGACTCCTAACTACTTGCTATAGAGCTACAACTTAATAAATGTTTGATTCTGTCATCAGTTAGTTATTGGTGACTCCTATACCAAATATTTTTCCATGAAATAGCAGATTTCTCCATCCCTCCAGGCTGCTATGCTTAATTTCTCATTGTCCTACCCACAACTGTAAACTAATGTTACATATATTAAATTTTATTTTATTTTTATACCATGCATTCACCAGCACCCCCACACCATTTTAAATATCAAATACTATGTCAGCCAGGATTCAGTTAGAAAAACAGAAAGGAATTTAATTTGGAAAATTATGTAATTATACAACTCTCTATGAAATTAAAATCAGGGAAGACTGTACATCAATCAAAAGTCTACAAGATTTTAAGGATTCCAGAAGTTGCAAGAAGGACAGGAAACTGCCAGCAATGATTATAGTTATCCCCACCTCAAAATGGGTGTGTGGAAGAAAAGTCTGAAAGGCCACTGTGAAATCTCACCTCTGACAAAATCCACATGTCTGCTAGAAGTAAAAATAATAATGGCTTCTGTTTCCTTTCTACCTTTCAAAACTTACACAATTGCTGCTCAGTGATGGATCTAATCCAGATCCTTACCATAGAAATTCTGGGAAATATAATGCCCAGATATCCAGCCCCTGAAATATGATGGTGGGGGCTATGGTTCTAAGTTGCTAAAAGTCTGTGTTTCAGCTACCAACCCATTCTGAAATCTTAAATTCATTTTCAAGGTTCTCTGAGCTCCTGCTCTGCGAACTTCTCACATTCACTCTATCCCTGATTTGCTAAGCCTCAGCCATTCTGGATTTCTTAACTGAAACACACCATGTTCTCCCTCAGATATAGGTTTTTCACATATTGTTTTCTTCCTGGAATATTCTTTCTCATTCATGTTCCCATTATTTGGCTAATACCTACTCATTCTTCAAATCTCACATTAAGTATCAACTCCCCAGAGTCTCTTTTGGAATCCCTAATACAGCTTAAATCACATTATTACATGTTTCTACTGCACCATGTTCCTTAAATGTCTCAGTTTTTAATGTACATCAAACTTGGTAGATTATTTAGCATCAGTTCCCACACTAGATTTTTATCTCCATTAAGTTATAGAGCATATTTATCTTATTTACTACCATTTCCTTAGCAGCATTTCTAGGATAACTCAACCTATTTCAAATTTATTTAACTTTATGTTACATGAGAATACTATTAAAATATTTTCAAATGCTTTCCTTAAATTCATATTATATCCCTTTCATCTCTGAAAAGGAGAAAGTAAAGTTAGTGTAACATGACTTGTGAGTAAATATTGTTTTAAAAAATCAATTTAGAATCAACTATATAAACACTAAAATTATGCTTCTTTAGAAAAAGTTATCCAGCAACAGAATGAACAATTGAGTCAGATAAAATAGCATTTATCAACTGTGTATTATGATAAAGTGTATCTACTCATTGCTGTAGAAAAGGCAAAGATTACGAAAAAATCTTGTTTCTTCAAAGAATTAAAATTTATTTTATGAATTCATTGAAGTAGGGGTACAAAGAATAAAATGACATCGACAACTACAAAATTAAACACAATCAGGTAATGTCATTTTATCCAGCTACCATTTGGAACTGATTTTTAAGAGACATTTTGTCAAATGCATTATATTGGAATCCACAAGTTTTGCATGAACTTTTTGTGTGTGTGTGTGTGGACAAGGAAGTATCTTTCCCTTCGTGGGGGTTGGAGAGAGGCACAAGTCAACTAACTAAAAGGGTCCACCTTGAATTAGCAAAACAAATACTAGGAATTCAGAACTTCTAAACTAACAGCAGAGCAGTTCTTTCCAAAAGCTAATTTGAGACATTTTTTTTGAGAGAGAGGCTGTCTTTTGGATAGGTTGATTACCTCTTCCTCCAGATTGTCTAAAGCTCTGTCTGTTTTAAATTGGGTATTTAGGAATGATATATTTGGATTTCATTATCTCAGCAACCCATAGAAAGGATTCCACTGAATTTCTTTTAATGTTAAAATTGAACCTTTTATAGTTGAACAATGTCCATGTTTTTCATAAGATTGTGTGAAGGCATCATCCATCCATTATGTTCTTCAATGTTTTTAACATAAGAAACCACATGTTAAAGTCTCCATTCAGTTTTGAGCCAAGAAAATGTTTGTGTATGCAGGCAACCTTGGGAGAAACACATTTTTCCTTTTTGCCTTGGCTGCCAAGATGAACACACATAAATTTGGTGTTTATCTGCAGTGATTGACTCATCACAGGTGCCTGGTAACAGCAATTCTTCTGTTCCCTTAAAGTGCTTTTGTTCTTGGCAGGCCCTGGAAGGAATGTTTAACAGAGTTGCTTTGTACTGTGTTGAAACTGATTCAAATTCTTTTAAAAAACAACAAAACAGAAAGCACTAAATATAAATAGTAAATAATCAAATAAACATAATAATTACATAATCCTGATCACCAGCGAATAATGCATTATCAGTAAAGGCTAACCTTAAGTTTTATAAAATGAAGGCAGTTACTTCATTTTATATTTTCTTTTCATTATGACAGAAAAAAAATTCACGTGAGTTAGTGTCCTGAATTTTTTCTTTAAGAAAAATATTGATTCATTTAAATTTTTTACATATCTATTCATCGATTCAAAAGTACATTTCAAGCATTTATCATGTATTAGTATAGCAGACATTGCTTAAAATAGGAAAAGTGGTATCAAATCTAAGAGATTAAAGAAATAAAAAAATAATTTGGGTGGGAATTATTACACATCACTTCTTCACCAAATAGACCAAAATTTCTCAGAAAAAAAATTGTGACTCAAACAGTAGACTGGACAATAATATATTATTATAGTAATGGCTAGAAAGTAAATATGTAAAATTTAGGAGGTTAATATACATAACTACATTCTTATGAAATAGTAACTGTATTGTGTCAGGCATGGATATTTCTGCAGAACTGTGGGGCTTTCACTACCTATCACTAATGAGAAGGATTTTTAGATCCTTATAAAATTTTTTTTTACATTGCAAAATCTAGCGGAATCTTGATCATTTTTAAATAACTTGATAATCAATAAAATTTATCACAAAATAAGCAAATTTAAAAACATTAAAAATAATTATTGGAGTACTGTGTTGACATAAAAACATCAGATAATATTTAATTATTGGTTATGATTTTTTAAAAAAGTATTAATATAGACAATAAGGTGACATTTTGACATTTTTTACTTGGCTTTTTGTTTGCTTACCTGTTTTGGAATAACAGCATAGTGTGATAAACCAGATTAATAAGTGACTTTCTGGTCTTTCTTCAAGTAGTAAAATAATAGAAACATTTTCTTAATATCTTATTCTTATATGAATGGATATGCAAATTGAGTAATCTTGTGAATTCATATATCAATAAAGACTATATATGCCTTGTTTATTGAAGTAAAAACAAAGATTAAGGAATTATAGCTCTGATCATTTTAAGAGAAAGAATTTTCCCGTGCTAATTCCCATTAACTAACATTTATTTCACTTCCGAGCTAGATATTATTAATGTAAATCTATTCTTCTGCAGTCTAACATTTGAAAGCCTCGGTATTACCAGAGGAAATATTGAATGGCCAATCCAATAGTTATCACTCAGGATTTTTATGTAGCCTAGTTTCCACCATGTGTACATGAAATATATTTTTTCAGCCATGGACATATCAGTGTAAAAAAAAAATATATCATCTGTGTTAGTCTGTTTTCATACTGCTTTAAAGAACTGCCCAAGACTGGGTAATTTATAAAGGAAAGAGGTTTAATTGACTCACAGTTCAGCTTGGCTGGAGAGGCCTCAGGAAACGTACAATCATGGAGGAAGGTGAAGGGGAAGCAAGGCACCTTTTCCACAAAGCAACAGGAAGAAGTGCGAAGCAAAATGGGAAGAGCTCCTTGTAAAACTATCAGATCTCTTGAGAACTCACTCACTATCATGAGAACAGCATCGGGGAAACAAACCCCGTGATTCAGTTACCTTCACCTGGTCCCTCCCTTGACACATGGGGATTATGGGGATTACTGGGATTACAATTCAAGATGAGATGTGGGTGGGGACATAAAGCCTAATAACATTCTGCCCCTGGTCCCTCCCAAATCTCATGTCCCTTTCACATTTCAAAGCCAATCATGCCTTCCCAAGAGTCCCCCAAAGTCTTAGTTCATTGCAGCATTAGTCCATAAGTTCAAGTCTAAAATCTCATCTGAAACAAGGTAAGTCACTTCCACCCATGAGCCTATAAAATCAAAAGCAACTTAGTTCCTTTCTAAATACAATGTGTGAGCAAGCTTTGGGTAAATACACTTGTTCTAAATGCGAGAAATTGGCCAAAACAAAGGGGCTGCAGTCCCCATTCAAGTCCAAAACCCAGCAGGGCTGTCAAATCTTAAAGCTCCAAATGATCTCCTTTGAGTTTGTGTCTTACATCCAGGTCATACTGATACAACAGGTGGGCTCCCACAACCTTGGGCAGCTCTTCCCCTGTGGCTTTGAAGGGTACAACCTCCCTCCTGGCTGTTTTCACAGGCTTGTGTTGAGTACCTGGCTTTTCCAGTCACACAGTGCAAGCTGTGGGTGGGTCTTCTGGGGTCTGGCAAATGGAGACTCTCTTCTCACAGCTCCACTAGGTGATGCCCCAGTGGGGACTCTGTGTGGGGGCTCCAACCCCACATTTTCCTTCTGCACTGCCTTAGCAGAGGTTCTCAATGAGGGCTCCACCCCTGCAGAAAACTTCTCTCTGGACATCCAGGAGTTTGCATAAATCCTCTGAAATCTAGCTGGAGGTTCCCAAACTTCAATTCTTGACTTCTGTGCACCCGCAGGCCCAACACCATGTGTAAGCTGCCACGCCTTGGGGCTTGCACCCTCTGAAGCAATGACCTGAGCTGTACATTGGCCCTTTTGGCCATGACTGGGACACAGAGCACCAAGTCCTGAGATTGCACCAAGCATCAAGTCCCTGTGCCCAGCCCACAAAACCACTTTTTTTCACCTTGCCCTCCGGGCCTGTGGTGGGAAGGGATGCTATGAAGACTTATGACATGCCCTGGAGACGTTTTCCCCATTGTCTTGGTGATTAACATCTGACTCCTTGTTATTTATGCAAATTTCTGCAGCCAGCTTGAATTTCTCCTCAGAAAATGGGGTTTTCTTTTCTATTGCATTATCAGGCCGCAAATTTTCTAAACTTTTATGCTCTGCTTCCCTTTTCAACAAAGGTTTCAATTCCAAATAATATCTTTGTGAATGCATAAAACTGAATGCTTTTAAGAGTACCCAAGTCACCTCTTGAATGTTTTGCCTCTTAGAAATTTCTTCCACCAGATACCCTAAATTATCTCTCTCAAGTTCAACATTCCACAGATCTCCAGGGCAGGGGCAAAATGACACCAGCCTCTTTGGTAAAGCATAGCAGGAGTCACATTTATTCCAATTCCCAACAAGTTCCTCATCTCCATCTGAGACCACCTCAGCCTGCAATTCATTATCCATATTACTATCAGCATTTTGGTCAAAACTATTTAATAAGTCTCTAGGAAGTTCCAAACCCTTCCACACCTTCCTGTCTTCTTCTGAGCCCTCCAAACTGTTCCAATCTCTGTCCATTACCCAGTTCCAAAGTCGCTTCCACATTTTCTGGTATCTTTAGAGCAGCACCCTACTCTCTGCAGTACCAACTTACTTTATTAGTCCATTTTCACACTACTGTAAAGAACTGCCCAAGACTAGGTAATTTATAAAGGGAAGAGATTTAATTGACTTACAGTTCAGCATGGCTGGAGAGACCTCAGCACACTTACAATCATGGAGGAAGGTGAAGGGGAAGCAAGGCACTTTCTTCTCAAGGCAACAGGAAGGACAAGTGCTGAGTGAAAGGGGAAGAGCACCTTATAAAACATCAGATCTTGTGAGAACTCACTATCATGAGAACAGCAAGGGGGAAACTTAACCCATGACTGAATTACCTCCGCCTGGTCTTTCCTTGACACGTGAGGATTATGGGAATTATCAGGATTACAATTCAAGGTGAGGTCTGGGTGGGGACCCAAAGCCTAGTCATATCATCATCAGACAATTTTAAAATTCAGAAGCAGATAGAGTAATATTAGACAAAGTAAGCATCACAGCAAAAAAAAAAAAAAAAAAAAAAATAGGACAGAATGATATTGTATAATAATAAAAGGGTCATTATGCCAAGAATACACAGTAATTCCAAATGTTTGTGAACCAAACAACAGAACTGCAAAATATGTAAAACCAAAACTGATATAATTGAAAAGACAAATAGACAAATGCATAAAGTCAGGGACACCAATACCCTTTTCTCAAAAACTGATAAAATCACTGAACCTGAAATTAGCAAGAATATAGAGGAACTCAATAGTATCATCAAATATCAACAACAGGATCTGACTGATATTTATAGAACTTTATATCCAATCACAGTGGAATATGCATTCTTTTCATGTGTCCATGAAATGTGTACTAAGACAGCCATACCCTGGGTGAGTCATAAAACAAACTTCAACAATTAAAATTATACAAATTGTTCCCTTGTGAAAATGGAATTAAACTAGAAATCAAAACTAGAAAGATAACAGGAAAACCCCTAAACATTTAGGAATTAAAAAACATACTTATAAACAACCCATTTGTCAAATAGGAATTCTCAATGAAAATTTTAAAAAATATAAGCATCAAACTAAAAATTAAAATAAAACACATCTGTATTTGTGGAACACAATAAAGCAATGTCAAGAAGGAAATGTATACTACGGATGCATACATTAGGAAAGAGAATATGTTTCAAATCAATAATTTTATTTTTCACTTCAAGAACTTAAAAAAAGAGAAAAATAAACCACATCAAGCAGAAGGAAGGAAATAATAAACATAACAGCAGATATCAATGAAACTGAAAACAGAAAACAGTAGAGAAAATACAATAAAACAAAGAGCTGATTGTTTAGATATATTAATAAAACTGACAAATCTCTATAATGACTTACAATAAAAAAAGACACAAATTACCAATATAACAAATGAAACAAGGGATATCACTACAGATTCAATAGATACCAAAAGGATAGTAAGAAAATATTATAACAACTCTAAACACAAAAATTTGTCCACTTGATTAAATAGACCAATTTCTTGAAGAACACAATTGTCACAACTCACCAAATATATTATAGAAAGGTAATTTGAATATCCTTTTAATTACTAAGTAAGTTGAATTACTAATTTAAACTTCCACAAACAGAAATCTCCAGTTCAAAATAGTTTCACTGGAGAATATACTAAAATGTTAAAGAACAATGAACAATAATTCTGTGAATCTCTTTCAGAAAAATAAAAGACTTGCTTCCCGATTCATTTTATGAAGCTAGCCTTACCCTAATATCAAAACCAGACAGGGAGAGTATAAGAAAAACACAAATATTATCATGAATATGACACAAAAATTCTTAACAAATTATTCTCCAACAGAATTTATCAATATATAAAAATAATTATACATTATGACTAAGCTGGTTTATTTCAGGGATTTAAAGGTGGCTCAAGATCACAAACTTATCAATATAATCTATTATACTAATGATCTGAGGAAGAAAAATCACATGCTCTATTAATTGATGCATAGAATGTTTTATAACAAACTTCTAGAACAATAGGAATAGAGGGAAACTTCTTCAGTGTGATAACAACATCTACAAACAACGTAAAACTAACACTATGTTTAATTGGGTAAGAATGAATGCTTTATCTGTATAATTAGAAGCAACACAAGGGTTTACTTTTTTATAATTCTTACTAAACAGAACACCATGTTATAAGTTGTAGCAGGTGCAATAAGGCAAGAAAAACAATAAAGGCACACAAATTGGAAAGGAAGAAATAAAAATGTTCCTATCATATTTGCAAAGGAAATGATGGTCTGCATAGGAAATCCCAAGGAATCTACAAAAACATTCTTAGTACTAATAAGTAAATTCATCAAGGTCACAACAATGAATGTACAGACACCAAAATTAAAATCCAGGATCCTTCACAATCATTAAAAAAAATACTTAGATGTTAACATATCAAAATATGTACAGGACTTGTAAACTGAAACTACAAAATTCTGATAAAAGAAATCAAAGATCTAAATACATGGAGAGACATACTGTGCACATGAATTGGAAAACTCAATATATAAAATATATAAGTTGTTCCAAAATTGATATAAAGGTTTAATGAAATTGATATTAAAATCCTAGCAAGATTTTATATATATAAATATGCATATATATGAGATTTATCTTTTATACATAAAATATGTATACTTACATATAAATATGTGTATATTTTACATAAAATATAGTTATATATTTTGTGTATATTTTACATAAAATATAGTTATATATTTTGTGTATATATAGAGAGATATGTGGAGAGATATTTCTATCTGTCTATAGATAGATGGTTGGACGGATAGATAGATAGATTTATCCAAAAATGCATGTGGAAAGAAAGGAATTCAAACAGCTAGAAAAGCGTGGGCTCTGTGACTCTTGCCTGTAATCCTTGCGCTTTGGGTGGCTGAAGAGGGAGGATCACTTGAGATCAGGAGTTTGAGATCAGCCTGGGCAACATAGTGAGACCCTACCTCTACAAAAAAATTAAAAAGTTAGCCAGGTACAGTGGGACGTGCCTGTAGTCTCAGTGACTTGGGAGGCTGAGTCAGGAAGATCACTTAAAGAGCACAGGAGTTCCAAGCTGCAGTGAGCCATTGCAATCCAGCCTGAGTGAAAGAGCAAGACATTGTATCAGTAATAATAATAATAATAGTTAAAATAATTTTGAAAACAAAGAATAAAGTGGGAGGAACCAATCTACCTGAAACCAAGACATTATATAGCTACAATAATCAAGAGTGTATAGTTTTGGACGAGGGATAAACTCAATGATCAATGGAACAGAATAGAAAACCAAGAAGTAGACCCACAGAAGTAGACCCAACGGATTCTTGAGAAAGGTGCAATAGTAGTTTACTAGTGAAAAGATAACATTTTCAGCAATAATGCTGAAATAATGGAATATTCACAGGCAGGCAAGCAATAAATAAATGAGCTTCAACCTAATTATCTCAAGTTATACAAAAATTGATGTAAAAATGGACCATGAAATTAAATGTAATACATAAAATTATAAAATATTTAGTGAAACACGTAAGAGAAATCTTTGAGATCTAGAATTAGGTGAAGTGTTCTTAGACTTGATTCTGAAAGTAAAATCAATAAAAAGAAAGATTGATAAGCTAGATAAAATCAAAATTAAAAACTTTTTATGAAAAGCATTGTTAAGATAATGAAAGCTACAGACAGTGAGAAAATATTTGCAAGCAACATATCTTACAAAAGACTACTATTAGAATATATACAAAGAACTTTCAAAGGTCATCATAAAACTTTCTATTAGAAAATGGGCAAAAGACATGTAGAAGCATTTTATTGAAGAGGATATCAGATGACAAATAAGCACATGAAAAGATTCTCCTCACCCCTAGCCATTAAGCAAAGGCTAAATTAAAACCACAGTGATAAATCACTATATATCTGTCATAATAGCTAAAATAAAAATGTGTGACAATAACATCAATTGCTGGTGAAGATGTATAAAAGATGTTCACTCATACATTGATGCTGGTTGTGTTAAATGTTACAGCTACTTTGGAAAACATTTAGGCATGTTCTTTAAAAACTAAAAAGCAACTATCATTCAACCTAGCAAATATACTCCCCACAAAGTTAAAACTTAGGTTCACACACACAAAAATCTATACATTAATGTTGATAGCAACATTATTTATAATAGCCCAAAACTGTAAACTCAGATGTCCTTAAATGGGTAAATGGTTAAACATCTGTGTTATCCATTTATACCATGGATAACTCTATAATAAAAAGGAACAAACTATTGATACATGTAATAATAACTGGATGAGTCTCTAGAAATTTATGTTGGGTGAATAAAATCAATCCCCCAAAATCACATACCATATGATTCCATTCACCTAAAATTTTTGAAATGACAAAATTATAGGAATGAAGAACAGATTCATAGTTACCAGAGTTTGAGAAGGAGGTAAGAGTGGGAGGCAAGTAAGTGGGTATGTCCATAAAAGAACAGCATGAGAAATTCTGATGACCAGGAGAGAATGGAAACCAATGGGTGAAATGGAGAAATTCAAAAGAGAATTAGGATAGGTAGAAAGAATCAGATCGAAAAATCTACAATTAAAAAAAAATCTGAAATTAAGAATTCATTAGATGTCTTTAAGAGGAGATTAGATATTGCAGAAAAGTATACTAACAAACTGGAAGTCAGGACAATAAATAACCAAAGTAAAGCACAGAGAGCATAAGTAACCAAGAATACAGCATGCAGCATAAGGGATATATGCAATACAGTGAGGAAGGTACAATATATATCTAGTTGGAGTTCCAGAAATAAAAAGGAAGAAAGAATAAGAAAGAAGAAAAATCTAGAGAGATAATAACTAATATTTCTAACTGATATAAGCCATTTATGCATAGATGGAAGTTCAGAAAATCTATAAATGCATAATTTATAATAAAATACAAAGTAAATTTTATTAGGCACATTATAGTCAAACTGCTGAAGAGAAAAATCTTAAAAACAGCTTCTTCAAAAACAACAGTGAGACTTAAAAGTGACTGATGACAGACATGGAAGACAGAAGAAAATGAAATGCTGTATTTAGAGCAGTGAAAGCTTCATTTCTATGCCTATTGAAAATATCCTCTAAAGATGGAAGCAAATATGTGCTGTTTCAGACAAAGTACATCTGACTGAGATAAAGTATTATTACTGAATCTGCAAAAATAAAATTCTGAATGGCCAAAGTATACATAATGGTATAAAATACTGTAAGTTATAATCACTGGAAAAGTTGAAAGTAGCAACATATTTTGCTCTGAAAATTGCAGCATCTGCCTTAATTGCTTTTGACTGTGGTTTTGAGTGCTTTTTTGTTTAGATTAAAAAGTTAAGTAAAAATATAAACTCCCTTTGTTCATAATATGAATATAAAATTAAAACTACATACAAGTCAAATAAATTATGCATAATGAGAAACAAGAAGTTTGTTTACTGAAAGCTGCTATTCCTACATCTCTCATAGCATTTGTCCTTTTATCCACAAAAATCAATCACCAAACTACAAAAGGTTTGAAAATTTACAACTATGCCTAGCACAAAGTGAGTAACCAATAAATGTTTTCTGAACATGTTTTTTGAAATGTAAACATGGTGATTTCATCAGTACAATTCTAATTAATACCATATAATCAGTTCATCAAACTGAAAATGGATAAAAATGCATAAATATCAAAAGCATATAGAAGTGTCAGAAGGTTTGCCTTGAAAAGTGAATTGAAAATCAACTAGCGCTCAGTCTAGTGGCATTTAGCATTCCTATCACCCATAAACAACTGCTATATGTGACATAATTATTATCAGTATTTACCCTGGAAACAGTTAATCCATTACTTAATATGTATTTGGAATTCAGTCAAGGAAAATATCCGATAGAAAGAAAGAAGTTCCGTGGTGATTTGCAGTCTTTGTCAGTAACTCATGCTTGTAAACCCAGCTGTATGATTGCCTCCATTTAATCCATCTTTTTCATTTTTAAAAAGCCACCAGTTATCTTGGAAATAAAATAAAATAAGCCTTTTTTTCAAAGATGGAAAATTGTATCTTCGTGTAACGGTAACATAATGCACTGATGCTGATAACAAAATGGAATAAAGAAAAATTAAAGGCATTTAGAGCCTAGCTCTTACAACATGCATTCACATTCCTTTATCTGACTTTATATAAATGAACACAAAAGAAATAATACACTCCAAAAGGCAAGAAAAGAATACAGCAGGAGGGCTGAGATAGGAAAAATATGTGGAAGGAGGATGGTGGTGCTGGACCAAAGACAGGAAAGTCATAAGTTGGCAAGAACGATCAGAACAAAATGAGCATATAAGGAAGAAACAGTGTGACTTTGGCACTAGCAGCCCATCTCAGATGCTGTATTTGGTGCTTAGGTTATGTTCAGTTAGCTGTTTGTGGGCTTGCAAAATGAGAAGAACGTGCAAAGTTCCCAACAGGATGGATATGTGAGAGGTGAGAAACAGATTTTCAGGCTTCTATCCCACATTTGTCCTTAAAATTTGCTACATACAAATTATAAGTAAAAGGAAGAGTCTGAAATATATTGCAGGGTACAAAAGAACCATGTGTCATGGTCATGCTTGCCAGGACCTCAGAATTGGGTCCCTCTACAAATTCTTCCCTCAGTGACGCAGAATACGGTACAGACATGTATTGTTTTTCAAAGTTACGTCTTAGGGTGGAATCAAGTATTGTTTCTCACATTACAATAATCTGAATTAAGAATCAGGGTCATATTTTTAGTACTGTTAAATGTACATTTTGTCCCAAGAATCATTATGCTTCTTTCATTGCTTTTATACAAATGTAAACACACACACACACACACACACACACACACACAAATTAAACAGCCCAAATACTAGAAATACTACAGCAGGAGCTCTTTTACAGAACTAGGCAAGAAGTAATGCATTACAAAGAGGATCATGTTACTTCCCTGCTAAAAACTCTCTTTGCTTAGAATAAATTCCAAATTCTTTAGCAAGGCACATAAATGCTTCACAATCTGGATCGTGCTTATGCAAACCTCCCTCCTCTCACTCTGAGGTATATACATAATAATACGTTAATAATAAAATGTTAAAAGAGCTAACACTTATGCAGTGCTATCTGCCAACAATCTTTCTAAATAGTAGACATATTAACTCATTTAATTCTTAAGTCATATAAGATACATGTATATTATTATTCCTATTTTAATATATTCCATTATTATTCCTATTTATAATTTTATCTATAAAATTCCTATTTTATAGATGAATAAATTGACAAAGAGAGAGGTTGAGTAATTTGTCCCATTTTATGGCAAAGCCAGGATTCAAACCCAGGTCCTTGAAATTCCGCAAGTGTGGTGTGCTTTCTCTGACCTCTGAGGCCTGAACATGAAACTTTCCTCCTACATGCACCTAAAGCCCATCCTAGGCTTACTCTCATTATGTAAAATAATTGTACCTTAGTGATATTTCCTGCTTATTTTTCTGCTCACAAGAATATAACACTACATTGAATATGGCTTTATCTTTTTCATCACTGCATCTTCCTATTGGTTAGAGTAAAGGCTCAAATTCAAGCTCCCACCACATTTGATAGATGAAGATTGGGGAGAAATTCCTCAATAAATTGGAGCTTCCATTTTCTTATCCACAACCACTTGGCAATGATTTCAACTATAGTTCATAAGGTCTAGGAAGGTCTAGGTGAATGCTGTTTATAAATATACATGATTGTATTTTAACTCAACCCTAAAATTAGCCCAGAGAAGAAAAGAGTGCTATCTAAAATAATGCTTGTTTTATGCTTGAAGTGAAATACATGTTTTTATAAGTGAATGAAGGATGCTCATATTGATTACTTACTCTGTTCCACACATACTGTTAGATTGTTAGTAGGTCTCCATGAGTAATGCTGACTGACAAAATTAATAAATGAGTGAGTCAATTGAGTGGACAGGTCACTTGCAAGTGTGATGTGACTAGAAATGAACTAAAGCCAAGAATTACAATTTCTGCTGATTTTTGGTAATGCTTAGAATTTCCATCATTCGATTAATTAAGTTAAAGACTGTTTCCAAAGATAACTCATTTGGGGATACTGGATCAATCTTTTAGTATTCGTTATTTCATCATTTTAATTCTTGCTCTGTCTCCATCCCTCTGCTCTCCCAGTCTCCTTGCTTTTACTGCTCAAGTTGGAAACACCTTTCTGTGTAAGGTTAAAATGCAAGTATTCCCCGAATAACAACAACAACAATAAAATATAAATTCCTCTTTCTAGCTTTAGGAATTACAGGATTAAACATAATGCTGGATTAAATGCCTTGTCATCTCACATCTGTTGGGAGGTAATACATTCTTACAGAGGTGGGCTGTTTCATGAACTAGAAGGCCTGATCATAGGGCATTTTCAAGGCATGTAGATCCAGGATGGGGCACGTGGGAAGTACTGGGTTGACAGAGGAAAAGATGATGTCATGTGAGACACTAAAATAAAACAGAGAATGCCTGTATTAGAGGTGTGCCTGATACTCCTACTGGTATCAGAAAAGGCCCAAATTAAAGCTCTTCACCAGATGCGATCGATGCAGATTTAGGAGAAATTCCTTAATAAATTGGAGCTTCTATTCTTCTATCCACAATCACTCTGTAATGATTTTAACTGTAGTTCATAAGGTCTGGGTGAATGCCGTTTATAAATATAGATGATTGTATATTAAGTGAAGCCTAAAATAACCCCAGGGAAAGAGAAAAAAGTATTATCTAAAAATGCAAACCATACTGTGGGGGCTGAGGCCCTGTAGGGACAGTGAATGTGAAAGATATTACTAAGAGACGATCACCTGAAAGGTGGGGATTCTGGATTGCAGAGAAGATGAGTGGGAAACCTACCCAGAAGGATGGGGAAGAGCAATACTACAATAATGTTCAACAGATGGCTTGGTTCATCAGGTCCTGACACAGTCATTGGATTTGCCATACTGCATCTAATGAGGATATCAAAATATCAACTAAGCTACTTAAAAAAAAAAAAAGAGCTTCACACACTCCCTCTGCCTCAGAACTCCTGGAGGAGCCCACCTACATTCCCCTTCTGTGCCCTTGAACCCCCCAGAGCTGTGATGGCTGATGAAAACAGCCATGGTCATCTCCCTCCTTCCGGCCAAGAATCAGCAAACCAAGAGAACTATGCATTTTCTGTTCATCTTGATCTGGAGCCTATTTACCACTTGAGTCTCCCTAGCCATATTCATAGACTTGCTGTTTTCAAGCATGACATGGTCTTCCATCCCTCTGTATCATTTTACAAACATCACCATCTCCCTAAAACGTCCTCTCTTTCCTGGTCTATTTGCTTAATACTTCCATCTTTTAAAGTTTTAGCTTTAAAGTCATTTTCCCTTTGAAGTCCATTTTTATATTTTCCATAAGGTAGATTTGCCTATTCCCTTTTTTATGCTCCTTCAGAACTAAATATCCTGTTCTTTGAGTTTAGCACATATAACATCTCATTGTACTTATTTATGTGTATGTCAAACTCCCTTCCCAGCAATATACTTTAAACAACTTGAGGAGTTTAACAACATTTAGCAAATAATGGGACATTAAATAAATATTTAACAACATTTAGCAAATAATGGGAAATTAAATAAATATTTGACTTAATAATGAATAAATTAATCATATAAAATAATATTTTCTGCCTTTACAATTTTCTCTTAGATGAGCTTGCAGTCAGAACATCTGGTGCATACAAAAGACTCAATATTTCATAAAATGTGGAAAAAAGCTTTTACTAAGAAATAAGGAAAAAAGTTTGGGTATATTTCCTTTGACAGCAATTAGTCCAGGACCAATTATTTCTGGTATCTGGGAATTATTTAAGTTTTCAAAATATAAACAGCGTCATCAATGGAATGAGTGTAACTAACAACAGCTTATTATTAATGGAAATGATGGAAATTAAGGAATGTTACTCTATATTACGCTGTGAATTTCTTTTCCCAAGATGACAAGTTTTCTTTGTGTGTTCTTCTACGTTAATTGGGATTTGCCCTGGCTAATATTTGGAGAATAAACAAACACTACAGACTCAGAATGTAAAAACATAACTACCATTCAGAAAAAGTGCATTGCAAAAGGAAAAGAGAAGGTGACAAGACCATAGCTTAACACATCAAAATGTCTGGCTATCTTTATTCCTTGTGTTAAACCAAAATCCCTTCTGAGATTTGCTTTGTTGTCAGAGAAGGAAGAGCTGTCTGGTGACACTGAGGCAGGGTAGGTTAGATCTGATGCTCAAACAGAAGGAAAGGAAACTGCATATTCTTAGGTTACTTCAAGAGTACTGATAATATTCATCTGAAAGGGAACATAATGTCTATCTGGAAAAAATAATTAAAATCAAAAAAAGCTTACAGGATTTGTCCAGGATGCTAAATAAGATTCACAAGATCAGTGTTTGACATGGGTGGGAAGTTGAGCAGGGAGTAGAGGGGAGGGCGACAGTTTAAAACATTAACTGTTCTTTGAGTTGAGATATTAAACTTTTATAATATTTGGCATGAAATCCTATTGATTGTGTAAAGGCTAATTTCCTTTTCATTGAATATAAGAGAAAAATATATATGTAACAGTGCCATAGTCAAGAGAAAATGTTTATTTCCTTGTCTTGTATGAGAAATCCAGATTAAGGACTAACAATGTACACAAAGAGTTATCAAATTAGATTGAGACAAGGCCCTATCATAGAAAGATTTCATGATAAGTTATTTAAGCCTGTTTTTTATACTTGCAAATTTATTTCCAGAAAGTTATGTTTATTTTCTCTTTTGCGATTTTCCACACATAGTAATTGTTCATTTATTTATGTCAGTTTTATTGTTATTTTCATAAGCATTAAAAAAAAGCACATCAAAATTTGGTAGGTGCTACTTGGGGAAAATACTTTCCCATTTTCCATTCTTACTATTTTATTTGGTTTATTTATTTTTTAGCATGTCCAGAGCATTTTCATAATATAGGAAAGTATACTGCTATTTCTGTGTAGTTTGAATAATATTTAAAATATTGATTTTTCCTTGTTCTTATCCAAGGACTGTGATAAGGTTACCTCTGTTTCTATTTTTTACTCTTTTTCTCTTATAGCTAATTTATCCACCTGGAGTTTAGTTTTTTCTAACCAATCTCCTCATGCAATTTAAAAATAATCATTTCTTTGCTTACCTTTTCGAAAAAACACTTGAATAAATATTAAATAATGAATTATTACTATTATTAAATATAATAAACATGAGTATAAAGCATGTGTCTTGTCTTGCCCAGTCACCATATGATTATGAGGATTAGCTTTATCCACTTGGTTTTGATAAGATGAACATGTAGCAGGAAACTACCCCTTATTCTATCTGGATGGTGCTTCACCAGCTTTTTTGTCTATTTAAGACCAAATAGATTACGAAATCAAATGAAATTTCAATCACTTCTTTACTGAGAATAGATAATCATTTCAAGCGATAGTGTACATGACTGTGGTGGTGGTTGTGATATTGGTTTCTGATCCAGGTAAATCATTCCCTTATTCAGACTGGAGTAGCATCTCATGCCCTAGAATTTTAGGGGTGCTCCCTGTGCTTTCAATGAGTCTCAAACACACCAACTCTCATCTTGAACTCTCTGTTTGCTCCTCAATTTTTGCAGCTCCTACTTTTTCTTCTTTTCCTGGGATTTCCCATTCTTCTCTACAAAAATGACCAACTCCCAGTTCCTGCCTGGGTGGAAGTGACAATTTTATTACTTTTTCTTTCACCTCGTGATTCTACAAAGGGAACAAATGAGCCCTGGTTTAAGGCTTGCAGATCCATTGGTGAGATGGGGAGGAGACTCTTTTATCCACAGGAAAAACAGTTGAGGGGGGGGTTCCTTCTTATACTGGTCTGCTATGACTGCCACATTAAAATACCACAGACTGAGTGGCTTAAACAGCAGAAATTTATTTCTCAGAGTTCTGGAGGTTAGAAGTCCAAGATCAGGGAGCCTCAGTGTGTTTATTTTTCCTAAAGCCTCTCGCCTTGACTTTCAGTTCACCGTATTTTCACTGTGTCCTCACATGGCTGTTTCTCTGTGCACATCCCTCCCCAGCCCCCTGGCTTTTCTTCTTCTTCTAAGGATACCAGACCTATTGGATTAAGGCCCTACCCTTATGACCTCATTTAACCTTAATAATCTCTTTAAAGGTTTTATCTCCAAATTGACACAATGGAGGTTAGGACTTAAACATATGATTTTGGGCAGGGGGCAATTCAGTCCATAACATTTTGCTTTTGGCAGTCGGAATCTTCCTAAAAAAGAAAAAAAATATATATATATGTACAGTTTATACTTCTAGGATTAGAACTTCAGAGAGGTCTTGATACTTGTTATATTGGATTCACATTCCTCCTATTAATGTAATTTTTACTTTATAATTTCTGAATATATATCTTTGATCCTATTAGAATTCACTTCAGCTATTCAAAAGTGATTTTTATTTTTCTCATCTTCATTGTGGTACAATACATATACAGGGTATAATTAACTTTAAAAAAGAAAACCAAAATGTCCAGGGAACTAATTGTATTTTTCATACGACACAATTTTGATATTGATGTAGTAACTTCTTCTTTCACTGAGTATGGTACTCAGAAAGCCTGTCCAGCTCTTATTGGTGTAATTACACACATGGAAAATCTTACCTTTTAGTGTTAAAACAGAGGAATACTATCATACATTCTGAACAGCTAGGATGCATTTCAAATTGATATGAGAAATATTCTTACATATTTATTTTCCTTGAAAATATATGACAAATATCTAAAACTGGTAGTCAAGCAGCCAAACTCCATACACAAATTTGTTTTGTTTCTTGCATTTTTTTGGTTTTATTTTTGTTTCTAATGACATAGAATGCTTTTCACCATAGTAAGCATTATTTCCTTCCAGTTCTCCACATCACTTGCCTACCTATAGAGACATATGATGCTTACATTCTCTGATTTAAAAGACAGAAAATATATGATATAGAAATATTTACAAAACATTTTTTTTCTACTATTACAGACTCAGAAACATCAGGGTGGATGACTGGGAATGAGCAATTTTAGGTGAAAACTAATTTTTATATATGCCTTCCATTTTTTCTGATGTGAATAGATAAATTATTATTTGCATATTTTAAGTAATTATATACAAAATCATGCCTTACTAAGATTTGGCCTAGATGATGTATTTTATTAAATAATAAATAGTATGCTTTGCCAGAAATTCAAATTTAGAAGACTTCATATTAAAATTCATATTATCTAAAGATCAGAAAAATGAAATTATTGTCTGCATTCCCAACAATCAGTATAGCAGAGTATTGATGTCCACTGTGGTCAGTCACATGTTCTTTTATTCACACAGGCCCAGCTCATCCCTATGGTTTTATAACCTTCTCAGTTTCTCACTCCTTTTATTTGTGTGATGGTCCTGGTCCCAACAGCTTTTGAGTATGTGACTACTACTTTATGTTCTCACTTAACTTGATGATAAATGCAAATAATCAAATTAAACAAGATTAAAAAGTACAAAAGGAGTTTATTGGCTCAAATAACTAAAAAGTCCAAGGATGAAGCTATCTTAAGGCACAAAGTTGGGGACCCAAATAGTTTTGTTATGGCTTTGATTTCTTCATTAGATTCCGCTTTTCTCTTTGACTTAATTCTCTGTTTAAACATGATTTAAACTAAATTGTTTGTATAGGTAGAAGTTTGAGAGCCAAGAAGGCACTTCTTGCTAATATCTTCAACAAACATCAGGTCTAACCTTCATTGGCTTAGACGAAGTCGTGGTTTGCTTTCTTAATATTGTGACTAGTGCTAGGAGTTATCCAATTAGGTTTTGGTCATGTGCCCAAACTAGATTTCATACTTCACTGGAACAACATATACTGATTGGGAGCTTGGCATGTAGAGATTCAGGTCAGACAGAACTAATTGCAGATATTCCCCAATTTCTTGCTTCCCAGCATTCACATTTTTTATTCAATACAGAAAAATTTTAAAACACCTGTACCTAACTTGGTATAGCGATACCACAAACCAATGTAGACATACTTAAATTTTCCCTAGTATAAGATTACTTAATACCTCACACAATTACTATAGCTAGTTACTAGTCCAAGCCAGGTGGTTAATAAGCCATTCTTTGGCTCAGTGTCAGAAGTGACTTCTTGTGGTCTGGAACTCACCCTCATCATACTCAATGTATCATGGCCAGTAAGTAGAATCTCTTCGATTATAACTTCATTTGGACAGTGCAGATGGGGAAAGAACATATGGTATTCATCTGTCCACACCAAGAATCATGTCCTCTATGTAGGTGTACAAAGGACCCCCTGTACTGCAGTAAAGACAGCTCCCTGGTAAACCAATCTGGCTATTTCTGATTCATCAATCTGGAAGCTTTCACGTTTATATTTTCCTATAATGTAACATCTGAGAAGGAGATTTCAAAAAATATATTTCTAGTAATTGCTATGATTTGACATTCCCCTCTCATTGGTACAGGTTTGGATCATGGTACCTGCAGATGATGTTAATAGTTAAACAATTTTAAGATTTTTGTTTCCCTAACTTGGGTTTATCAGGCAATAAATCTAATTCCATTTAAATTTCCGTTCAATTTTTCCCATCAATTTTCTCTCAGTCTACTCCTTAGGATAGTTACCAAAGGCAAGTATCTAAAAGCTTTTAATCTGTATTCCAGCATAGGTGCTGGTCTCTAAGTGGCTTCTGTCTGGGTTTTCACATCTAAAACAATACAGTTAATCTACCCCTACCTCAGAGTGAAACTCAATTAACTGCTTATTTTTTTATGGTGGACTTAATTTTTACCATTTTTAGACAGTTTGTGTAAATCTGAAGATACTAGGGAGGTATCCACAGCCAAACTCTCTCTCTTCCTTGGAACTTATTTTGTTTTGTTTCCAGCTTCCTTCCTTTAGTGCAAGGCTTGGAATGGGACTTTTAAGCAATAAAATGTACATGACTATCATACTGTTAGATATCTTAAAATGATGAAAACTGGGTATATTAGTCTGTTCTCATGCTGCTAATAAAGACATACCCAAGACTGGATAATTTATAAAGAAAAAAGGTTTAATTGACTCACAGTTTCACATGGCTGGGGAGGCCTCATAATCATGGCTGAAGGTGAAAGGGAAGCAAAGTCACATCTTACATGGTGGCAGGCAAGACAGCTTGTGTAGGGGAACTCCCCTTTATAAAACTATCAGGTCTTGTGAGACTTATTCACTATCATGAGAACAGCATGGGAAACATCTGCCTCCATGATTTAATTACCTCCCACTGAGTCCCTCTCTTGACACATGGGAATTATGGGAGCTACAATTTAAGATGAGATTTGGGTGGGGACACAGCCAAACCATATCACTGGGGCAAAGTTTTTTTCTCTATGTTAAGGCATGTGTGTGTGTGCGTGTGTGTGCGTGTGTGTGTGTGTGTGTTTTCCAATGTTCTGTTCAGATCAGATTCTATCTCATTTGTAGGAATTTACTTAAAGTCATGAGTAATCAACTGATTTACATGTCCTTGTATTTTTATATTAATTCTCTTAAAGTTCCAGCCAAAATAAACACTTGGCCTGAGTCACAGTATCCAACAACTAAAAATTTATCATGTGAAAAATATTGACTCCTTATAACCTGAGGTATATCATCCACCACCCCAGTCTCTGTAATTGCAAATTTGAGGATATTTTCAGTCACTAGGCTGGAGTGCAGTGGCTCGATCTCGGCTCAGTGCAGCCACAGCCTCCTGGGTTCAAGTGATTCTCCTGCCTCAGCTTCCTGAGTAGCTGGGACTACAGGTGCGCTCCACCATGCCCAGCTAATTTTTTGTATTTTAATAGAGATGGCATTTCACCATGTTGGCCAGGATGGTCTCCATCTTCTGACCTCGTGGTCCACCCGCCTCAGCCTCCCAAAGTGCTGGGATTACAAGCATGAGCCACCATGCCCGGCCTTGCATTTCAATTCTCAGATCTATTTTCTTCTGTAATGGTGTCATTATAAACCAAATTTTCTTAAAAAGTGGTGAAGATGGCCACCTTCTGTTGCCTTTATAGCCTAACCCATTAGAAATGAATCTCCTTTGCCTGCCTCACACATCATGGGCTCCTCACTGTGTCCCTCCACAGTATAAAATTAGATGAGATTACTGGATGGACAGGCCTGAATATGGGGCTCACCTACAGTGCTGGGTGATGAGAAGAGTCTTCTTATTCAAATCCTTGAAATGACATCAGGAGTGGTTCCCAAAAAGTAAACAAGAAAGGTAGACAATTGTCTATGATAGTCTACAATAAATGTTTTCTCTCAAACAAGAAGAAAATTGTCACAAAAAAAGATTACCAAACTCAAGTTAGTTTATGAAGGTATTTTGGACAATGATTACTTTATCCTTCTACTTGCCAAAAAAAGTGAAATTATATGATTCAATTGATACAAGCAAGATTGGCTAAGAAAAAAAATAGCTACATATATGCAAGTTAAATTATGACAGAAGCAACCAAATGAACATTTCTCATTTTCTTCCACAAAAGTACTTATTTATCGATTAAAGCCAGTTGCATTTTAAAAATATGCCCTCTCATTTCTTCTGCCACATCGCTCACTCCAATCTGAGGTCCTTTTGTTACTAAGAGTTTTAATGCTGGTTTCAAGTATAAGGAAGAAAAAATTACTCCATTACCTTATTAGGGTCTCCAGTTGGGCATAAGCATTAAACTGACGTAAGATAGATTCATGGGATAAATGCATATGCACTTTATAAATTTTACATTGACATGGGAGTCCTCACAAGATAATCGAGACCCAAAGGAGCAGTTAAGAGTTGAGTTTATATACTGAATTGAACAAAAAATGGTAAATTATGAAAATGTGACAAGACAAAGGGAGTTGAGATAGGGCAGTTAATGGTGGAAAAGTAACAAGGAAGGTCAGAGTTAGTTTACAAGGTTTACAGATTTCTCTCAGTCTGTACTCCCCATTCCTGATCGTAAGAATGTTATTTTCCTTCTGTTATAAGAAGGGCAACTTCCATAGAGTGGCTTTATTTCCCTCCTTCAGGATGAAAAAGGGGAAGTCAGAGTGTCCTTCTTGCACTTCCTGTTTTTCAAGTGCCTTAGCTCAAATAATACTTATGCCAAAGTGGCATATTTTAGGTGGCATGTTCTGCCACCCTGCACAAGATATTTGCAGTCTTTGTTGTTATTGTTGTTGTTGACTACCAACTGAGACTGACTAGTTTTATTAAAAATAGATTAGTATTCACTATCATCAGGAAAGAGCTTATGGTAAGATAACTATATTAAGCATCAAATATAAAACATGGGAAAATGTTTGACAAAGCATAACATACTATTTAAGCCTTTTCAACAGTGTGAAAAGACAGATTAGGAAATTGCTTTTGAAGTGTCTTATAATGGTTGAATTAGTTCAGGAAGAGTACTCTGCTATTAGCTGTAGTGGTTTTTGACCTCAATACGCTCTTCCTCTAATAAAGGCCCACGTAAATCAACAGTACAAATGAATTTAAAGCATAAGGTGTTACAAATGTCTAACTAATGCCAGTGGTTTTCAAACACTGCTACATATTTGAATCTTCTGGGCCCAGGCCCAATTTAGGGGGATTCCTATTCAATTGATCAGGGGTATTTAAAGCTCCTCTGATAATTTTGATATAGACACAGGGATAGATGCACTAGTTTCAGTGAACGTGGTTAGGATATCCACATTTGCCAGTAACAGTGATGTCCCTTTAGAAATAGAGGCAGTAGAAGTTTGAGTAAATAAACAATGTGCTTACTAAAGTGCAATTACCTAATTTGCACTTATTTCACATTTCACAATTACCTTATTTCACATTACTTCCATTAAAACCCACAAGAAATCTTTCTGGTAATACAGTGCTGAATTATTGTATAGTTATTTTACAGAATCAATTTATTTTTAGTAAGAAGAACTGATGAAATTGTATCACTTTCTTTTCAAGGTGTGTGGGAGGGTGGGGGTGCTGAATTCAAAGAGTGCATACTCTTCAGTAAGTCAGTTCCTTCTTTAAAAGGAAATTTACTGAGCACTAGGTAAGCATGATTATAGACACTAACCTAAAAATTAGAGGTACATGGGGAAGACTAATAAAAATCCTGTTCTCATCTATCTTGAATTATTATAGTATATATAACTTTATCGTCCAAAACAGTGAACACATTTTCTTTTTATTTTTCTTACAGCACAAAACAAATGTCTGCTATATTTGAATCTGAAATTAATTCCTTTGATTTGGGGGCCACTGAGCAAAATGTCCTAGTGCTTTAAAATGACTGAAAGAAAAGTAACATGTGAGGTTAGCAAAGTAAACAGAAAGAAACCAAAGATTATTTGGAATGAAAAAGGGACATAACTATATAGATGCAAATTATATTTTTTCAATAATAAGAGAAAATCATGGGCAATATTTGCCAATAAATTTAAAGATGTAAAGTAGATAAAGTCTCAATAAAATATAAAAGATTTAATATTAAAAATAAATTAAAATCTTGAATAGTTCAAAACCATTGAAGGAATCAAATTGTTAATTATAAATATCTTCCCAAGCACCAAAAACCAAACAGACAAATCAAAAAACCACTAGACCCAGTTCATTTTAAAAGTCAAACAAAATGTTTGTGAAAATGAAAAAATTATAAGCCAATATCATTTATGAATGTGGATGCAAAAATAAAAAATATTAGGACATAGAAGCCACCAACATATAAAAGTAGACATATATAATGACAAAAGTAGGTTTACACCAGAAGTGCTAAAATAATTTAAGATTAAACAATCAACACAGTTTATTCATTACATTAACATACTAAAAGTGAAAAATATTATTACAGTAGTAGATGCAACAAAAGAGCATTCAATAGAATCAGTTATCCATATATGTTTTAAAAATTCTTAGAAAATATGAAGAGTCAGACAATGTCAACTGTAGAAGAACTAGAACAATGGAAGCTTATATTAAATTTTGGGTGAGTTGAAAATTTGTATAACCATTTTAGAAAACCATGTATTATCATGAAGATTTATAAAGTATGACCTAACAATTTCATTCCTAGAAATATACTAGATACCAGTGGTTTTTTACACTTGAAAGTGCATCAGATTCACCTGGACAGGTTGTTAAAAACTGTACCCCATTGCCCCCAGAGTTTTTGATTCAGCAGTTCTGGAGTGAGGCTGAAGAATTTGCCTATCTAACAAGTTCCCAAGTGATACCTCTGGCCAGGAGGAGAAACTTTGAGTACCATTACTATGAAGATACACTTGTATTTGTGCAACTACAGACATATGAAAAACTAGAAACAAAAAAAAAATTTCCATGAGGAGAGGAATAGATACATAAAATCCAGTGGAATCTAGTACTAGTGACAATGAATGGTCTACAGCCCATACAACAACTTGGATGAATTTATGATATAAAAAAAGAGGTTGCAGAAGAATACATACAAAAACCAATTTGTGTAATTGTCAAAGCATGCAAAACACGAATATATAGTGATATGCAGTTTTTTGATAAAACGATACAAAAAAGCAAATGGAAAATATACATATAATTGAGGAGTGTTCACCTCTGATGGGAAATGAAAGATATTGGAGCAGAGCACACAGGGTTTTAAAGAATACATCTTAAGATGAATGGTATGAAAGTAGGTATTTCTTTTTCCTTTTTTTTGGTAATACATTTTAACTCTCCTGTGTGTTATAAACTAATAAATATATTGAATATTCTATAATAAAGGAGTAATCCCTAATTAGTACTAACCTTAATTCAGACTGCTAATCTCTACTTTCATTGTCTTTAATAGCTGCTTTTATAAAACTGTCTACATAGTTCTCCACCCTAAAACAATTCTAGGGAGAGACATTTCTTCTTTATCTCATAAACGTTAGAGGATCCTTTGTGTTTTAGTCTTTAGGTCTACATTTTGTAAAATGATGATAAATTTTTACTGCCAGCTGGATAAGCTATTTCTCTGTGACCTTCCTTAGAAACTACTCTTTCAGCCAGATATGTCCAATCACCTGCTTCATTCAGTTATGAATATAATTTTATAGAAATTCAAAGCAGTAATATTTTGAACTTGGATTTAAAGTTACCTAGTCCAGTCAAATATTTGTTGCATGTATTTCCCTTGCAATGACACAAATAAATGGCTTCCTAATCTCAGACTGAAGTTCTGTCATTGTAGGAAATTGAGTAATTAATGAAAGCATTTTTAAAAATATCATTGCAAAACTAAAACAAAAATAAAAGTGTCTGGAAGAAAAATTTCCCAGACTTCTAAACTTCAAATATTAATACACGCTTTGGAAGCAGAAAGAATAAGCCTGAATTCCAAATTATGCGAAAGTTTTTCAAGTACTTGTAAGTACTTTTCATTTTTCCTCTAAGTATTCTCCCCTTCAATATGAACATCTTCAGCTCTTTTCTTGTAACACTCTCCTTTGGACACACTCAAATTTATCAGTGCTTCTCCAAGACTATGACAGCACTCAAACCCAAATACCACTTATCATTATCAGAATATAACATTTATTAATACCTGCTATCATAATTTTAATTCATTTTTGCAGAAGTATGACATTGCTAACGTGTGTTGAGGTTCTGTCAAGCTAATGTTTTTCAGTCTAATGAGCCTTCTGTTAATACACAATGTTCACCTTTAGGCATAACTAACAGTCTATGTAAAAGTTTTGTTGTAATTTTTTCTATATGTTAAGGTTTAAATTAACTTTTATCTTGTCACATTTACATTATTAATCTATTGTGTTGGGATATTTTTGGATCTCAGATATGACATCCAACATATCATTATCCCCACAAGTTTTCTATAACCCACACAAGTCATAACCTATTTTCAATATCTTCATCAAAAGACATTGAAAAAAATTGAATTAGGATCTGGAACAAAACCTTAAACCATTCCCTTCAGGTTACTATTGATATATTAGTCAACATTTTCTGGTAAGTTTGTTTAAGTAGTTACCATTAATGAAATGTTTCTTAGTTTAAATTTCATCATGTTTTCCACTAACTTATTATGAAAGATTTCAAGTGCATTATATCTATAAAGCCCTCTTGATTTACCAGTCTCAAAATCCTTTCAAAAAGTAAATAAGGATAGTCTGATATATTTCATTTTCATTTCAATGAACATCAATGGTTTTTCCTAATTATCTCTGACATTCTTAATGTCCACAAAACATCTGTGAGCTAATCTGTATAAAAATTTTGCATCAGATCAGTAACAACTTCATATGTCTTTAGTATCCCCTTCTCTGGGATGAATATTTTATTTCTGTTTTCATTGCTTCAGTACCCCTCTCATTATTTTCCTGGTAGCAGAATCACATTATTTTGTGATAGAATCCATAGAATGTCTTCTCAGTGGGATTATTCTGAAAATGGTCCTGTGACTCTGGCCGGAGTGATTGGCTTAAGAATGGGTAGACCACCAAACCTTGCTCAATACCAAAACTTTTTTGATGAAACGATTATCTTTTTCTCTTGAGGTAACTTAGGTGAAAGCATGCACTTCCCTATTCTGGTCATTGAGGTGAAAATAATGGTGCTTGTCTTTTTCAGGGGGCAGTACTGACTATAACCAGATCACTATCTAGAGATAAGCAGGGCTGAGAGATGGAGAAATAGGCCTCTGATGTCATTATTTGTGTCCCCATATATCTTAAATCAGCTGCATATTTAAGTTTCTCAGTGGTGTGAAGCAACAAATTCTAAAGATAGGAGTCGGTTAATGTATTCTCAAACCTATCCAAAACTGTTTTAGGTGCTGTAGTGACTGAAGACATCCTTAATGAATAATAGAGTTTTGCTTTTGAAAATCAGCATTTGTCTACTTCCTCAGTGTACAGGCAAGTCTTCTGATTTCTCATAGATATTGTTTTGTATGTTGGCTCAAAAATAAAGTGAAACATTGAGAAATTTGCATATGTTAGTGGACATTTCACTTCTTTCATGTTTCCTACTGTGCTAAAATTATCTTTGTGTCTTTCATTACTCTGCTTCTTCCTTTCCTCTATACTCACCAAAATGTGTTTAATAATTTTAGGGCACATTTACAGATAATTGGCTTTGATTTCCCCAGTTTTTAGAGGAAATGTATTTAAAACAGTTTTTAAAAACTACTATTTGCATTTTAAAAATAAACTATTAAGAAATAATCTTAAAAAAAGTTTTATATATTTTTCTACTACTGTACAAAGGCATTAAAATAAAATTGAACATGTTTGTTGCATGATATGTGAACAGAAAACATATTTATATGTTACTTCACATTATCAATCACCATAATTTATTTTTTTAATATATGGTCATTTGATTTGTCTTTCTCATATGAACACTGAGAAGATACACCACAATTTGGAGACATAAGGTCTCCCTCTAGACTTTCTTTGATTGAGGCTGCTTCCTGCAGTACCCAAGATCATTTTGAAAAAAATTGAGCTTCTAGGCATTCTAATGAGAACACCATTTGGGAAATGAACCAATGAGCTGCTGCAATTTAGAGGGTGCTATAAGTCTGACAATGGTACTAGGAGAGGTACAAAGTTCTCGAATTAATCTCAGTGGACTAATTATGGTCACTTAAGTGTCAGTGTTGTTAACTTTTTTCATTGCAATGGAAAGAGCTAACTCCTTTGCTTTTCTAGGCCAGCAGAACACCCACCATAGCAGGAGGTGGCATTCATTTGAAATAATGTGCTGTAGGGAGAGCCTTTATGAACTAGATGTGCAGAAACTTGAATATTATTTTGATTAATTGGTTAATTGAAGTGCTGCTACTATTGTCCTTAAAATTAGAATGAAAGTAATCGTTATAGTGCTGTCAGCTAAAAAGTGGCTGGACTCCAACCGTGAAGTTTATAGAATTCTGTATTTTTATCTATAAAATATTGTCCACCGGCAGGGAAGACAGTTTACCTTAATAAGGTAATAAATATTTTTGAGGAAATATTTCTGTATCTTATAATACTACCTGGTATTAAAACCCAAAGAACATCCTAATAAAATAGTGAGCAAATGATAAATCTTTACTTTATTTCAAAGGATACTTGGAAGTTTTGTGTTTCAAACAGTATTCATCACTACCTTCTTTGTTGGCTGATGCTAGGCTAAAATGACACCAATAATTAGAATAAAATTGCATTGTGAAACTAACTAAAACACTCTACTGCGATTATTCGGTTTAGTACTTCCTTCTTCATACAAATACAATAAAGGTCATAATTGGTAGGGAAACATATCAATAGGTTATATGTCATAATAAAAAGATAACATAAGGAATTTTGACAAAACTAACAGTGAAATGTGATTTTTCTTTAGATACAAAAAGAGAAAGAAACACACTACATCTCACAAAAGAACTTTCATTTTGATTTCACATTCACATCCTCCACCTACAAAATGCTGAAATCACAACTACATTACCACAAAAAAATAAATTTTATAAGTTCACATAAACCATTTGGAAATGTGCATCCTTATGCAAACTTGTCATTATAATTTTGTATAAAATATTACCTCTTTCAAAGCATATTCGATGAAGTGGTCACATTCTAATATTCTATTAACCAGAACAGTTTAATCCCAATTATGTTTTTTAAAAAAAATCTTTAATTAAATAAAGGAGGAGTCTGGAATCACAAAACAATCTTTGCTTTGTTACTCAAAATTACTGCCTCAGAGTTCTCTAATTTTATACTAGATTAGAATAATCAGAATTCTACAGAGTGCCTTTTCGGTCATTCATCATTCATGAGTATAATGGAAAAAAATGTCTGTAATTATAATCAGTTAGATCATTAAAATCCTAAATTTTGATATCAAAAGAACAACACTTTAAAGAATTCTTTATACAAGATACAAAAGTGTATTTTTGACTACTTATTCCATGTGTGATGAGGCTGATGAGTTAGTTTTCCTTCCAAATTTCAATACTGGGATACTAAAAAAGAGAGAAAATTGATGGCCCTTAGAGATTCACTCAGCAACTACTATAACTGCTGTCAAATCGATCAACCAATTAATCATAACTGTGAATAAAATATAAGAAATGTACTCAAAATAATTAAGTATCTCTAAAGTTAGTTAGAGATATATATGTGTGACACACATATAGTATGGATTGTATGTATGCATATGTATATTACACACATATAATATCCATGTATATATAAAGATACATGAATAATAAAATTTTAAAGTTAAGTAATAGAAACATAAAATTTAGGATAGGAGAGAAACGGGATTATAAGAAAGGGGAACACAGGGATCTTCAATGGCTTTGGCAATGAAATCTTTCTAAGTGGAGTGGTGGGTTCAGGTCACTATCTTACACTTTATAAATTTCTTTGGGTGAACATTCTATATTAGAGAAGGTAATTATAAAGTAACTAGATTGATAGGCTTAATAGCAGTACATAAACAGCCTGTACTGTTAGGCATTCTGAAATAATTTAAAAATTTTTAAATTTCAAAGACTAAAGCAACTAATATTTTCTTATTTACATGTCTGTACATTGTAAACTAGTCTTGTGGTAGCTGGTAGAATCATAACAGAACAAGTCAAAACAAGCAAGCACATTTCAACCCTTTGTTTATTTCATATCCACTCACATTGCTACTACTAAAGAAAATCTCTATGCTAAGCTGAAAGTCACTATGGCTGCACTGTACACTTTGCCTGTTGTAGGAGTAGGACCTCAAAGCCTATTGAGAAAAAGCACGGATGTATATATTAAACATCTACTATAGGGAAGAAATGAAGAATTAGGAAAAATAAATTAATCTACCACATTACTAAAGAAAAAATTAGTGTTCTGGAAGTTATCAGAAAAAGAAAAAAAAGTGGAAGTATTAAGAGAAGAGTTGTTTAACTAGATTTCCAATTATTCCAATATAACTTTACATGCAAATAGGGATATTTGTTAAAATAATAAAAATATAATTTATTATTTAAAAACTATAATTGTTTTACCATTAAAACGTATGGGAAAATATTATAAAACTATAATTATAATATACCAAAAACATACACAACATATAGTATACGTATGTTTTATATAATTATATATGTATATATTTATTAAGCACATAAATAGAATAAGAAAATGTAATCTAAGTAACAAAAGATAAAACAGAAAATTTAAAAAAATGAAAAAACAAACATTAAACATCTAATGTTTAAAAACATTAGATGATATAAAAAGTGTAACTATAACACCAGTTACAATTAAAAATGAATTAAACTATAATTCAAAGTACAGAAATTTTATTTGTAAAAACATAATATATAATATATTGTCTACCTTTAAAATAAAATACTATAGAGAGTTTGAAAGCAGAAGTTAAAAAATTCAAGACAAGTAATCAAAATAAATCATTATTATGTTAATAATAGTCAAAATTAAAATGATAAAAACAGAAAGAATGTATTCTTTAAAAAAACAGAGATTAACAAGATATAATTAACAGCAATTTTCATATGCTTAATAATTTAGCCTTAGCTATACAAAACTACTCTCAGAAATATTGAAAGAAATAAATATTTCAAAACCTGTAGTTACTGAATTTAACATATTTATTTTAAAATATGCATTTTAAAGTTATTTATTTGTTTGTTGTTTGTGAAACAAATAACACATCACATAACATTTATCATCTTAACCATTTTTAAGTGTGCAGTACAGTAGTGTGAACTATACAGGCATACCTCAGAGAGATTGTAGGCTCAGTTCCAGACTACCACAATAAAGCAAATATTGAAATAAAGTGAGTCACACAAATGTGTTGACTTCCCAGTACACATAAAGGTTATGTTTATACGATACAGTAGTCTAGCAAGTGCGCAATTGCATTATGTCTAGAAAATGTACATACCTTAATTAAAAATACTTTATTGCTAAAAATTGCTAACAATCATCAGAACTTTCAGCAAATCATCATCTTTTGGCAGGTGGAAGGCGTTGCCTTGATGTTGATGGTTGCTGACTGATCAATGTGGTGGTTACTAAAGGTTGGAATGGCTGTGGCAATTTCTTACAATAAAACAATGAAATTTGCTGCACTGATTGACTCTCCTTTTTATGAAAGATTTCTATGTAGCATGTGATGTTGTTTGATAGCATTTTACCCACAGCAGAATTTTTTTCAAAATTGGAGTCTATGTTCTCAAACTCTGCCGCTGCTTTATTAACTAAGTTTCTGTAGTATTCTAAATCTTTTGTCATCATTTCAACAATGTTCATAACATCCTCACCAGGAGTAGATTTCATCTTAAGAAACCACTTTCTTTGTTTATCCATAAAAAGTAGGTCCTTATTTGTTGCAGTTTTATCAGAAGATTGCCAGAATTTCATGACTTCTTTAGGATCCACTTCTAATTCTAGTTATCTTGCTATTTCTACAACATTTGCAGTGACTTCCTCCACTGAAGTCTTAAACTCCTCAAAGTCACTCATAAGAGTTGGAATGAACATCTTTCAAACTCTTGTTAATGTTAATATTTTGACCTCTCCCATGAATCACAAATGTTCTTAATGGCAGCTAGAATAGTAAATTTTTTCCAGAAAATTTTCAATTTATTTTGCCCAAATTTATCAAATGAATCACTCGATCTATGGCCACTAGAGCCTTACAAAATGTATCTATTAATAAGAATTGAAAGTGAAAATTACTGGTTGAACCATGGCTTCAGAATGGATGTTGTGTTATCAGGCATGAAAAAAACGTTAAGCTCCTTGTACATCTCCATCAGAGCTCTTAAGTGACCGTGTACATTGTCAATGAGCAGTGATATTTTGAAAAGAGTCTTTATCTGAGCAGTAGGTCTCAACAGTAGGTTTAAGATATTCACTAAATCATGCCATAAACAGATGTGCTGTCATATAGACTTTGTTTCTCCATTTATTGAGCCCAGGCAGAGTAGATTTAACATAATTCTTAAAGACCCTGGGTTGTAACAGTAAATTAGTATTGGCTTCCACTTAAAGTCATCAGCCACACTAGCCCCTAACAAAGTCAGCCTGTCCTTCGAAGCCAGACATTGATTTCTCCTTTCTAGCTATGAAAGTCTTAGATTATGAAAGTCTTAGAAGTATTTTTCCTATGGAAGGCTATTTTGTATACTTTGGAAATCTGTTGTTTCATATAGCCACCTTCATCAATTATCATAGCTAGATCTTCTGGATTACTCAATGCACCTTCTACATCAGCATTTACTGTTTCATCTTGCCCTTTTCTGTTATAGCTGCTTTTCTTAAACCTCATGAACCAACCTTTGCTAGCTTTGAACTTTTCTTCTAAACCTCTCTCAGTCTTCAATAATTGAAGAGAGTTAGAGTCTTGCTTTGAAGTAGGCTTTGACTGATGGGAAATGTTGTGGCTGGTTTGATCTTCTGTCCACTAAAACTTTCTCTACGTCAGCAATAAAACTAGTTTGCTTTCTTATCATTTTTCTGTTCACTGGAGTAGCACTTTTAATTTCCTTCAAGAACTTTTTCTTTGCATTCACAATTGACCGTTTGGTGCAAGAGACCTAACTCTCAGCTTATCTTAGTTTCCAACATGCTTTCCTCACTAATTAGACATTTCTAGCTCTTTAGTGAGAAACACGTAACTCTTCTTTTCACTTAAACATTTAGAGGCCATTGTAGGGTTAGCAAATGGCCTATTTTCAATATTGTTGTGTCTCAGAGGAGAGCTGAGGAGAGAGAGAGATGGGAGGATGGCTGGTTGGTGGAGTAGTCAGAACACACACGCAACATTTATTGATTAAGTTTGCTGCTTATGTACATGCAGCTTGTGATACCCCTAAAACAATTATGATAGTAACATCAAAGATCAATGACCAAAGACCACCACAACAGATGATAATAATAACTAAAAAGTTTAAAATATTGTAAGGATTACCAAAATGTAATATAGGGACACAAAATGAGCACATAGTGCTGACTTGATACCACAAAGGGCTATCATGGGTGAAAGACAAACGCTTTTTTTCTTTTTTGTAACAATTTTAATGCAGCTGTTTGTGGCTTTTCATTTGCCTAGGGTGCTGCAACCTCTTAATTGGTTCCAGAGTTCTCATAAAGGCTTTTTGGATTATATATTCCTGTTAAGTCAGTGTCTTTGTAGGGGAAAATTGTCTGGGGATTTTTTTTTTTTTTTCTCTGATGGAGTCTCCCTCTGTTGCCCAGACTGGAGTGCAATGGTGTGACCTCCACCTCCTGGGTTTGAGCAATTCTCCTGCCTCAGCCTCCCAAGTAGCAGGGATTACAGGCGCCTGCCACCACACCTGGCTAATTTTTGTATTTTTAACAGAGACGGGGTTTCACCATGTTGGGTAGGCTGGTCTCAAACTCTTGACTTCAAGTGATCTTCCCGCCTTGGCCTCCCAGAGTACTGGGATTACAGTCATGAGTCACAACACCCAGCCTGTCTGGGGATTTTTATTCAACTGTTCTGCTGATGTCACTCAGAATACATATTACTTTTAAGAACATGTGGAATAATGATAGAAACTTATTGTGCGTTAGGCCACAAAAGAAAGCTTCAATAAATTTCAAAGAATTTACAAATGGACTGAGTTCTTAGACATTTGTGCGTGTGTGTGTGTGTTTATGATGAAATAATAGTAGCCTTAAAAAATATTTTGTTTCAGGAAACTAAAAAAAGCACTCTAAAAAATAACCCATGGTTACACCGGAAAGTCTCAAGGAAATTTAAAAATTATCAGTGTTAAATATAAATAAAAGTACTTGTCAAAATATGTGGAGTTTATTTAAGGTTGTCATTACAAAAACACTTTTAATGTAAAGAAGCACAAGATAGCCTAAATGCAAGCCTATGTGTCCATTTTAGTTAGAAAATAATCACCTGATTAAAACCAAACATAATAATAACAAACTAGTAAAGAACTTAGTAATGAGAATATCAGAACTTAATGAAATATAAAGCGATTAAAATATGAGAGAAAAGCAACATAATAAATGAGAGTCAATATAATATGACCATTACTTTTAATGGCAAAAACTGCCATTACTTTTGTATCAATCTAATAAAAGGGAGACTAAGTATAACAAATATAGAGGTAATTGGCTAAACCTCAAGACAAGAACTTCTGGAACACTTGTACACCTAGCATACTAGGAAGGAATAATGTGCTGTAGCTGGGATAGCCATCCTGTCACTTTATTTATTTATTTATTTATTTTTTTTTTAGATAGCCTGGATTTAAAATGCAACCCTCCATTCTTCAATTTTAGTTTTTGGACCTTACTAGCTTGTTACCTATAGCACGAACTTTAATCTCCCTATGGCTCCATTTTCTCATCTGTAAAATTCTCTCTCTGTTTGTACATGGGCTTCAGAAAGAGACAGAGGAAGAGAGAGAGAGAGAGAGAATTAGGTTGAGTCAATGCCCTTAAGCATTTATGACTAATTGTCAAACGCTGATGCCCAATAAATACTGAATTTTAATTGATTGCTCTGGTGGAAGACACTTTGTTCCTTTAGTAAGAAGAATGTGTTTGAGCCTTAGATCAGCTACTTGCAAGGTATATGACTTCAGCAAGTCTGTGAGACTTTCTTTCATAATCCATTAAGTGGCAATATTAATTTCTACATAATAGGAGTTGTTTTAAAGCGATAATGTATGTGGAAGTGCTTAATAAGAAATCTCAGTTTTATAATTAGGTTTAGTGACTGATTCTTCTTAATCCTCCTTTAAGGATTCTGGGACTTATTGTATGAAAACAAAATAGGAATTCTAACAAGTTTTTCTGGAGGGGATGCGAATAGTAGCATTATAAAAACTAATGCCCAAGAAGAAAAATAACTTAGCCAGGTAGATAAATTCTTTAGCATAATTTGTTAAGTTTTCACTTATTATGTCATTTTATTCTACTTTGAAAGATTATGCTGAAATAACATAATATTGATACTAAAACTGGGTTATTAAAAGGAATAAAACAAGACTAGTGTATAGTACTATTTGTCACACAATTTTCTGAAATGTTAACTATGATAATATCAAATGTATTGATTTGTAGTCCATAATCCAGTTATATAGGTAACAATTTATATTTTTGGAAATTGAGTTTTGTTTGCAAATAAAATCAAGGTTAGGGAATAAAAATTTGATGATGTCAGACAGATTAGATTGAACTTTTCATATACCTTAAAAATACAAAAGAATTAGAAAAACAATTTGTTTATGTGGCACAATTTCAGAACACAAGACATATAATGCTCGGGAGACTAGAAATTTGATTTACTCAATATTAAAAATATTGAGTAAATTTTCACTAAAGAAGTCCTAGCCAAGAGATTTCAGTTTTTTAAAAATTGAAACAATAAAAGTAAAAATGCTTGAGCTTATTGTATAGAAATATATTTTAGTTTTTAGAAGTGGTGAATTTTTCAGAAAGGTCGAAGTTCGCACCAGTTATGTCTCTGCTTCTCTCTGGGGAACTCCATTTACCTGAATCTAACTATCTCAACACATTCACCTGTGTATGTCTTCAAACCATCTGAAGTGCCATGGGTGTATTAAGTGGAAGAGTAAACATTGTGTTTTTTATTGCATTGTATATTTTAATGATTTGAATATGTGATTGGAGTTTCTGCTTGCATTACCAGATAAGGAAGAGTCAGTAAAGCAACACACATTAAGACAGTGAAGTAGGGCCGGGCCGGTGGCTCACGCCTGTAATCCCAGCACTTTGGGAGGCAGAGGCTGGTGGATCACGAGGTCAGGAGATCGAGACCATCCTGACTAACACGGTGAAACCCTGTATCTACTAAAAATATAAAAAATTAGCCGGGCTTGGTGGTGGGCGCCTGTAGTCCCAGCTACTCAAGGGGATGAGGCAGGAGAATGTCGTGAACCCGGGAGGTGGAGCTTGCAGTGAGCCGAGATCGCGCCACTGCACTCCAGCCTGGGCGACAGAGCGAGACTCGGTCTCAAAAAAAAAAAAAAAAAAAAAAAAGACAGTGAAGTACTTTATATTCCAAGTTCTGTACTTTTATTAAAGTCATTACACTAATAATATTGACTCGGTTTAAGTAATGAAATGTATCGTAGAATGCATACTGCTTATCTGTGTGTAGGCTATAGTTTAGCATATTTTAACCCCAAATTTATTTTAATTCAGAAAGTAATAGCCAAAATGTCTCATTTAATTTACCTTACTCCAAAGGAATAATGGCTATGTTGCTCTCGAATCATAGAAACAAGTTAGCTGATTGTTCAAAAGTACATAAACAATTTTCAGGAATGCTTCATTGCATAGTAACATTAGAAATCTATTTTAAGATTATGATAATTTTTCATAATCTCTCAAGTTTGATTTCAAAGGACTTTAAAATAAAATACCCAGCCAGGCACAGTGGCTTACACCTGTAATCCCAGCACTTGAGGAGACTGAGGTGGGAAGATTGCTTAAGGCCAGGAGTTTGACCTGACAGGAAACAGAGGGAGAATGCATCTAGACCAAAAAATAAAAATTAAAAAAAAAAAAAAAAATTACAACCCTAGCTATTCAGGAGGCCGACGTCAGAAGATCTCTTGAGGCCAGGAGTTCAAGGTTACAGTGAGCTATGATCATACCACTACACTCCAGCCTGGGTGACAGAGTGAGACTGTCTCTAAAAACAAACAAACAAACAAACACTTAAACATTTTTAAGAAATCTGTATTTCTGAAAAGAAATTTAAGCACAAATTTACCAAACAACACATATGCCAGTAAACAACTAGAGTTTTGATTTCAAAGTCAGTGATTATCCTATCTCATTATGATAATATTTGGGTCAAGAAATGTATGCTTTCTTTAAAAGTCATCCTTTTAATTCTTCACAAAGATAAAGAAGTTTTTTTTAAAGTCAATGACCAACCAAACAAAATCTCCCACTACTTCTTATTTGCTATATTTGGCTCTCATATGCACAGTTTCTGGTGTTTTTTTGTATTTATGAATATGCCCAGTTTTTTAAAAGTTGGGACTTCAACTTAGTATATCCACAGGCCCATATAGGTACCTGCTGAAATCGTAAGATCAAAGATGTTGCTAATACAATCTGTAGATTTTTAAGTTTGCCTAACATCAAAGGCAAAAACAAATTAAGCAAACACAAATCAGAAGCAATATCAAGTTGATGGAAATGAGTAAAACTACTTAGTATCTAACCCTATTGCTGCATGAGTTGTACTGAAGAACACTGAGGTTCAAGATGATTTACACAAATAGTGTCTCTTTTTCAGAATGTTTATTCTAGTAGACACATGCGTTCATATTGTAGGACATTAACATCTGATTTCATTAGTATATTACAAACCTGCAGATATAAATTTATCATATAAAACTGCACAGTTTAGCAAAGTAATACAGAGTGACAGCTCAAATTCAAATAAGATCATTTCATAGGCAGCCTATTTAAGACCTTCAATTATTTGGGAATCTATAACCAATCTTATTTTCCCACTAAGTAGAGTCATTAAAGGAAAATTATACATCTCATCTCAAACTAAAAATGCAGAAAATATACTACTACACCCTTCATAATATATCTCAATAATTCTGTTTAAAATATGCCTTTTTACTATAATTTAATTAGCCAATTTAGTGATATTTAGATGTATCATGCTTAATGTGCACATAGCAATAGAGTAATAGAATTCTTAATTTTCTTCAGAAATATAAATATTAAAACTCTTTGTGTATACATACATACACATATACACTTAAATATACACTTATATATACATATATACACACATATATACATATATATATACGCACTTAAAAATTTATACTTAAAAGTAATAAACTAAGAATTTTGGTCATCTAGACATGTTTGGAACGAAGTAATATGCCCCAGGTGGCCATAGCATTTCCCTATTTGTTCTCTCAACATAAACTATATGCCAAGTAATGTATTAAATATTTATATTACTCTATCATTTAACTCTCAAGAGCCTATAATAAAGATGCTATTATAACTTTCACTTAAAAGGTATGAAAAATGAAGCCGATTGAGGTCAACTGACTTGCCAAGGGTCACATAACTAGTTATCACTGGTGCCCGTGTAGCCTTACTCTAGAACCCATGTTCTTAGATATTATCCTATACCCTCTTTTCTTTCACTAGTTTCATGACATCATTCATGCATGCCTAGTGGATTGGAGAATGATGTGTTGTTCACCCCATATCCACAATTGAGAACACACTTTCCCACAGAATAAATGGCATAATAGATGATTAAGCCCCTAGGTGAAACATATAAACATGAACAAATATGTAGCTTGATAAGCAGAAAGATTCAAAGCAACCATAGGTCAATAACAGAAAATTTTCTTGAATTTATGTTTTACAGAACATTTAATGATATATACAGAGAGCACAGCAATATGCACTCATAAAATGCCTATCCTGTCTATACATATTTAGGATAGAAAAAAGGGACACAGATTAACTGCTACCAAGAATTAGTTGAAATGTGATTTTTATCATTTACATTTTTATGCCCCAAAAAACATTTTAAGTAGGTTAGAGTTATTTTAAGAATAAAAAGAAAAAAACAAAATGGAAACAAATAAAATCAAGTTATCATCAAATAATCAAAGTACTTTAAAATGATGGTTATTAAGTAAAGATTAATATGAATTTATACCAAGATTTTAAATTATATATATTCATGAATTTAAATTACGCATTATGCCTTGCCTAATCTTCACAATTACATTTTTTCACAATTAACTGGATTTTTCTTACATATATTTATTAGTTATAGAATGTAGAACACTAACCTTTTACTTTCTATTAAATTTTTCAGAAATACTTGACTATCCAACAATAAAGATTGGGAAAGTAACTCTATCAGATCAACACAAAGACATAAATTAGTTAAATAAAGAATTACATGGACTTTTGAGTTATTTAATGTCTAGCAACCACTTACATACCATAGTGGTCAACATGGCGAAACCCCATCTCTACTAAGATTACAAAAAATTAGCCAGGCCTAGTGGTGCACCTGTAGTCCCGGCTACTCAGGAAGCTGAGGTGGGATCACCTGATCCTGGGAAGTCAAGGCTGCAGTGAACCATGGTCACACCATGGCACTCCAGCCTGGGTAATGGGAGTGAGACCCTGTCTCAAAAAACAAAGAAAAGAAAAGAAGAGAGAAAAAGAAGAGAAAAGAGAAAAGAAAAGGTATATACTCTACATTCATTTCAAGCATGTTATCTGAAAAACAAGTTATTTTATAATTACTTATTTTCTAAGTTTGCAATATTATACTAGGTCATATGTATCATTCATCACAGTTTTAAATACACAATAAGCTCCCTAGAAATAGTTATTTTTATTATTTTATTTTTTATTCATGTAACTCCATTTGTAACTTGGGAATGCCTTATTACTTGTGCATTAGGTTTAATAAGATATAGATTTCCAGTTAAAACAAATACAGTTTGTAAAACTAACATACTAATTAAAGATAATTCTTATGTCAGTAAGAAAATAAATGGAAGCATTACTGTTTTAAGTCCCTTTATGTTTTAAATTATTTAATTATAACAACTATATTAAGATACTGAATGGGTGTAGAAGTGAGGAGTCATGTTGAAGTAGGATTATAATTAAGTGTTTATAAATCAATGGCTCATAGTTCTTAAGTACATGACAGTAAAGTTTCCATTGATCTCAAATCTTTAGTTCTTAATCCACAGAAGGATTTTAGAACAACTTCTATCTTGTGAACATAAACGGAAGATCTTAAATGATTTCAGCAAAACACTATTGGTGGACATATGAGCACTTTTGTAAAACATATTCTCACTTTCAGAAATACCAGACATCCTTTAATTATATCATGCTTCTTCTAATTTTTCCTTTCTATGAGATTATTTTCATTAGCATACAAGCATATCCTAATTTAACCCATCTTAAAAACGAAATCCTATAATCGAGCCCCTTATTGACCCCCTAATTCCTTCCAGCTATGTCTACATTTCTGTTATCCCTTTATAGCTAAAATGCATGGTAATCATATTTATTGTATTTTAGCCACATTGATTATAACATGCAATTAATGTATGTACCATTAAGACAGAAAAACTACTAAACTATGACCAAAACTTTCATATCACATAGAATTTTTATTTTATGTATATTGAAAGAGCTTTTTAATTTTATTTTTATGTAACAGTGATGAAAATATAAGTAACTATGAAAAACTTCATGAAAAAGCAGGCAATGACAACTCCATTGGAACAGCTGCCTAGGTACTCATAAGAATAAATGTTGTAATTTTTTTTTTTTTTTTTTTTTTTTTGAGACAGAGTCTCACTCTGTCACCCAGGCTGGAGTGCAGTGGCTTGATCTCGCCTCACTGCAAGCTCCACCTCCTGGGTTCACACCATTCTCCCACCTCAGCCTCCCGAGTAGCTGGGACTATAGGCACCTGCCACCATGCCCGGCTAATTTTTTGTATTTTTAGTAGAGACAGGGTTTCACCGTGTTAGCCAGGATGGTCTCAATCTCCTGACCTCGTGATCCACCTGCCTCTGCCTCCCAAAGTGCTGGGATTACAGGCGTGAGCCACCGTGCCAGGCCAAATGTTGTAATTTTAATCTACATCCTAATTTCAGAGATTTAAAAGATAAAATAGTGCATTTGTTAGAACTAATAAAATATAGGGTCTATACTCTGTCTCTAAGAGCTGTCCTTTCTGTTTGCTCTTCGATCATCTCTAATTAGACTTTTATCTATGCAACGGCAAATGAAAATGCTTTTGTAAACTTCTCCAGTGATCATGTGTTTAAATATTCAATTGGCAATTCTCAGTTATTTGTTTTAATCTATCAGCAGTATTTGACACAAGAAATTACTCCCTCCTTCTTGAAATGCCTTATTTTCTTGGCTTCTAGTGTGTGGATTCCCTATATTTCTCCCACTTCTTTTTATGCCCTTAGTTTTTTAGTTTGTTTGTTTCTGGTTTTGGCTAGTTCCTTTCTCTTTAACTCTAAATGTTGAAGTAGCTGTGATTCAGTTTCCGGATCTTTTCTCTCTTTGCACTCATTCTTTTGTGATCTAACAGTATTTTGCAGTTTTAAAAAAAAATTGGAAATAACTCTAACTGGAGATTCCCACATACTAATTTTTCATTCAGACTTCTTCCCCAGATTTCAGGATACTCAGTTACATACTTGAAACATCCATTTGCATGTCTCAATGGCATTTCAAAGTTAAAATATTGATCATTCCTTTAAACCCAGTGCCTCCATCTTTAGTCCCATCTCAGGAAAAAATCAATTTTATCTTTCCAGCAGCACAGGCCCACAAAGCCTCCATTTCACACTTGGCTTCTCTCTTCCACACTCTACATCTATATTATTATTTAAAAAAAAAATCCTATTGTAGCTACTTTAAAAATACTTTCAAAATCTGACCACTTCTCTTCTTCCTCCCCACTCTCACAGTGTCACAACCCTGGCTGAAACCGTGATTTTCTTACCTGCTTTGTTATACTTGACACTAGCTGGTATCCTTGTTGCCACTCTTGTTTCTTTATAGTCTTCTATTAACACAGAAGCCAACGTGATCCTTTGGAAATATAGTCATGTCATTCTATTCTTCATAAGGCCCTCTGATGACTTCCTATCCCACTACAAATACAACATTATAATGGCCTCTAAGAACCCTACAATTTGTATCACCACCACCACCACCACCACACTTCCCTTGCGTCTTTGCCTTTCTTTCCTCCTGTGTTGCCTTTATCTTTATATGCATGTGGTGATCTTCTTGATGCTCCTGTGACCAGGTAAGCTCTAGCCTCACTGCCATTGCACATGGGGTTCTTCCTATGTATAACACTGCTGCCTCAGATATCCACATAGTTGTACTTTCTCGTCTTCTTTAAGTCTTTGTCCAAAGTCTACATTCTCAGTGAAGAGCTCACTGACCACCCTATTTATTTATTTATTTATTTATTTATTTATTTATTTATTTAATTTTATTTTACTGTTCTTGAGACATAGTCTTACTCTGTCACCCAGGCTGGAGTGCAGTGGCATGATCTTGGCTCACTGCAGGCTCCGCCTCCTGGGTTCAAGCAATTCTCCTGCCTCAGCCTCCTGAGTAGCTGGGATTACAGGCACCCACCACCACACCCAGCTAATTTTTGTATTTTTAGTACAGATAGGGTTTCACCATGTTGGCCAGGATGGTTTTGATCTCCTGACCTCATGATTCGCCCACCTTGGCTTCCCAAAGTGCTGGGATTATAGGCGTGAGCCACTGTGCCCAGTCGTAATTATATCTTAATCTCTTAATAATGGTAACAATAAAACTAGAAAAGTTTCTAGGTATCAAACACCTACTATGCACTGGATGCTGTATGAATATTATTTCAAGCATTCCAACAAATCTCTCAAAAAACTTCATCATATAGATGAAGAAACTGAGTGTCAGACCAAATAGTAGATTGCATCATTATTTTCAATCTTTAGTCCTTCCTGTGTTCGTAAACTTTGCCTTTTGGCCAGTTCTTTCAAAATAGGAGTTGAGTATATTTCTCCATTCTTTGACTGTAAATGACTTATGTTGGAAAGTAGAGGGTGTCCAAATTTTCCGTGTAGGCCTTAAAAGGACTGGGGTGTTTCTACTTTCTTCTTGCAGCATTGCCGTTGCAAAATTAAGTCCACACTCTAGCTTGCTTGCGAGTCTGAAAATAAAAAGAGAAAATCGTAGCAGAGCTGCCCCACCTCATATACAGACCAGCAGAAATAGCAGATCCATCCAGCTATTGCAGGGTGAAACAGGGACTCACAGCTAAACCCATTCTAAATCAGATAAACTCTAATTAAACATCAACTGTCCTGTAGATGCATGAGTAAAAATAAATGATTGTAGTTTTAAGCCACTGAGTTTTGAGAAAGTTTGTCAGGTATGAAGAGCAAACCAATGCAGGAAGTTTAATAGTTTGCTCAAAGTATCACAGCTAGGATGTGGTGGAACTAGGTTAAAACCTTGAATAGTCTTACTATAGAGCTTGAACTCTTTAAACATTATGATTCTACTCATATCCTCCACTCTTCAAACCATCAAGAGTTAGTAATGACAAATATGAATCTATTTTAGGCCCATATTTCAAACTACTATCCATAATCAATAGGGTGATCATACCTTCAGATATACCTAAGATAGATCCAGTTTTCCTAGAATGCTTATTAATAGTGCCACCTTGTACTCTAAAAAAGTTCCATTTATTCACCAAATGAAACTAGTGAAGAAGTTTACCCTAGTGAACACTAGTTAATCTGATCATTAGTCATTCTGTGTTGTCTTCATTCTGCTAGAGAGCCAAAGAGAAGGAGCCAGTTGGAGAACAAAAGTATAATTTGGATTGAGGATAAAAGGGACACTATTAGCAATGTGGTTCTCAAGATCATCGTTCCATCAACTGTGATGGAAAACTGAATTTAGAGAAGACAATCAGTCTTACAACTATTGATTTTGGGTACACCAGGGGGTTAAAGGGATTGAGTCATTTATTTAGAGATGTTTTAATTTTGGAATATCTACAATATCCTGTGGATTTTAATAGGAAAAAAAGAAATTTGGGAGTCCATAGACAGAAAGGAATACAATTTCATCTTTGAATTAATAAACTGTATTATATTGGATATTTCAGCTAGTCTATGTAAATCTTCATTAGTCTTCCATAAACTAGAAAGATGATACTACATTATCCAACTAACAGGGTCGTGAGAATTAAATGGAATCACATTTAAGGAAGTGTTATATAGTTAGTACTGTTAATTTTAGTTTTAAACATGGTATCACTGGAGTGCTGAGAGACATTTAGGTTTTGCAGTAAAATTTAGAATAATATATTTGATTTTTAGGTATTTAATATAAAATGATTAAAATATTCATTTTTTCCTGCTTTATTGATTTATAATTGACAAAACTTATATATATTTATACCATACAATATGCTGTTTTGATATATGTATACATAGTGAAATAATTAACATAAGCTAATTAACATATCCATCACCTGACATAGTTAGCATTTTTTTGTATGTGGTGAGAACACTTAAGGAATATTATCTTAGCATGTTTCAAGTATAAAACACAGTATTATTAACTATAGTCATCATGTTTCTCATTAGATCTCCAGAACTTATTCATTCTGCATTACTAAAACTTTGTACCTTCTGACCAACATCTCTTCATTTCCCCCACTCCCCCACCACCTGGCAAACAACATTCTACTCTCTGCTTCTGAATTTAACTTTTTTAGATTCTACATTGAAGTGAGATAATGCAGCATTTTTTTTTGGCTTTTTTTTGTTATTTTTATTTTTTGGCTTATTTTTGGTTTGTGCCCGGCTTATTTCACCTAGCATAATTTCCTCAAGGTCCATTCATGTTGTTGGAAATGATGAGATTGTCTTCTCTTTTAAGACTAATATTCTATTGAATATATTCATATATAGTATTGAAATATATATATATATATATATATATATATATATATATATACACACACACAAACACACTCACAGACACACACACATAAAATACATTTTATTTCTGATTATTCACGGCCATAAAACAAAAAAGTTGTCTTTTTACCTAACATTAGCACTCTGACTGCAATCTCTAAAAAACTATACTTAACAAGACTTATAGTTAATAAGATTGAAGAAATATCATTTGGATGTAATTCATGTAGCTACCTGAAATCTGTGAAGATTCTTGGCCTGTACTTTGTGTACATTTTTTTTTTTTTACATATTATGATACCTCTAATCTCATTAGCCCATAATAATTAAAATACTATCATTTATGACTTCTGTTACTGGCCATGAGGAAATAGCTGTATCACATCAACCATTTCACTTAGAACAATTTTGAAACTATATAACGTTTTTTAAAATTGAGTATTGGAAAACAACAAAGACATTCAGAACTTGAGGGGACACTATCCTAGGAAGATTAATGAAGTACACAGAAGTAAGGACAACCATTTCTATAATTTTTCCAATAAGATAAATCCCTGATTTCCAATTTCAGATATAGAGGCCAGGCAGAAAATGAGGATTTGAAGCTTTTAACAGCCTCGTTGTGAATTCCTAAACTGGACTGGCTTCTGAGACCAAGAAAACAAACAGAAAGTGACTGTTAACAGGGCAAAAACAAGCAAACAAAAACACTAAACAGAGCTTCCTAAATTTAAATAAAGGGAAACTGTAATTCAGGAACTAGTAAGAAGAAGGAGGTTCGGTAAAAGCACAAGGCTTTCAGTTGTGACCCTTAAAAGATTATGTTTTCTAGGTGTAATGCCAAATCAGAAATAGTCAAATCCCTAGAAACTTGAAAATTACACCATCTGTCCTCTTGACCAAGTCAACTTGATCTGCTTTTATTACAATTTTGGGGCAGGAGAAGTTGAATCTTATCCAGAGGAAATTACCATCATTCTGATCTTCTATAATATGCACACAATTCACAGAATTTAATTTTCTAAAAAAATAGCATACATACCACTTGGAAAAAAAGTTAGCAGTGTTCACTAAAGTCAAATATATGCAATCCTATGGACCAGAAATGTTCAACAGAATTGCTTATTTGTGTCAGAAGGCATGTACATGGGTGTACATAGCAGAATCATTCTGAGCAGCCCCAACAAAACTATAAACAATCCAAATAATCATTAACAAGAGAAATGGGTAAATAATTTTTGTGTATTTATTTAATAGAATACTATAAAATAATGAAAATGAACTAGCTATTTCTACATGCAACAACATGCATGAATCTCACAGAACTAGTGCTTGCATAGATGAAGGTAAACACCGAACAGTAGTTCCTATGTGATTCTATTCCCAGGGACTTCAGTAACAGCAAAAGTAATCTATGATAAATAGAAGTCACAATAGAAGTTAGGGAACCTTCCAAGATTTTGTTGATGTTCTGTTTCCTTCCTGGGTGATGGTCTACAAACATGTTCAAATAGCAGATTTATCAAGTTGTATGTTTAAGATTTATGCATATATGTGTAATGTTTTTCTGTATATATGTTATGCTTCAAAAATTCACTAAAATATCCATAGGATAGTGTTTTCACTAATCGGTTTTTTCATTATTATGTAACTGATATTTGCACATTAGTAGGTGAAATGGAATGGAGCATTCAGATGGATGTAAGTTTGAATCTATTTTACTGTAAAGAAGACATTTTGAATTAGATGGTGAAGTGTGGTTTATTAAATTGGGTATGGAAGTTTTGATGAAGAAGATGAGATAAGACAGATAAGTAGAAGTTAGCCAAGTGAAGGACCCAGAGTTAAAAGAGATTACCTGAAAAAATCCTATAATCCAATCAAGTGCACATTGGTCAATCTGGTTATCTAATGAAAAAATGGCTTATTTTCTGTGTTGTTGATTTTGAGACCACAATAAGTGTTTTCTAAATTCTTCCTGGGTCATTATGCACTTGTTTATTTTCATCTGACTCTTCTGATATTTTTACCTTTTATTTCTGATGGAACTATAACAAATTATTATTGCTCTACTTTATATTTGAAACATCCTCAAGGTTCTCACTTTGCTCTATGTGCTATACCTATTGTTTACCTATAGTATCTAATTCAATCTTAACAGTAACCAAAAACAAATATGCATGTAAACATATATTTTAACAGCATATATAGACATATATGTGTGTGTCTGTTCATTTGTATATATGCATCTATTTGAATGTGTGTGTGTGATAATTGTAAACATGTGTGAGACCAAGGACAATGACATTTCTCTTTAACTTTCAGGTAAAAGGGGATTATGATCTACAATATTCTTGCATTTTTCTTTTAGATTATCCTTTAGATCCCAATTTAAATGTTTTCTTCTCTGAAATATTAATTCTTATGTCAAATGACATTTTTAATTTTATCTTCACACTTAATCACAGTTTTAAATTATAGTATGTATTTTATTATATATTTATATTTCTGTATTTTTTGTGTAATATCCATCTCTTCCAAAAAGGCGGGGGACTTGGTTGTCTCATTCAACTCTATGTACCCAGAGTCTAGAATTTTTTTTTGCATAAAAATAGTACTCAATACTCAATAATTTTTTATTGAATGAATAAATAAGAAAAAGAAAACAAAGTCAAGACAGAAAGCCTGAAAACTCTTACAGAGATATTGAAGCTGCTCAGACATCTGTTCATTATCTTTTCAGATTCAAGCATTTAACTTTGAGGAACTCTGCCATAGGAAATCCCAGAAGAATCATATTACAGTATATTTTCTATTGCTTGTATATCCAAAATACTATCTGAAAAGTAATACATTTATTATTTAAATAAATTTAGGTCAGGTTTTTTTCCTCAAGACATAAAATTTTAAGCAGAATAATACTATGAGAGATGAGATTTCTGAAAATAGTCTTTATGAATAGCTAATAGAAACATGTACTATTCAGAAATATGCCATATAAGAAGATTGTTTGAATGTGGTGACCTCAGCACAGCTACATAACCTTCTTTCTCAATTTTAGTCTTTCTTTTAGTCAGATGGCTCCTGCAGACAATGATCATCTGTGTTTAAGAAATACTTTGGGTTTTGGTGAGCCTTGACACAGAAAATTGTGGAAATTCCTCCTTCTTCCCCTTGTGCTAGACAAAGACCTAGAAGAAAATTCAAGACTCTTGAGTAGAACATGAAAGAGACTAAACATAGAAGGACATTGTCCCAAAGATATAAGAGAGAGGAAAGAAGGCTGGGAGGCTGTCTTAGTCTGTTTCTGCTGCTATAACAAGATACCCCAGACTGAATCATTTATAAAGAATGGGAGTTTATTTGGCTCATGGTTCTGGAGGCTGGGAAGTCCAAGAGCATAGCACTGGCATTTGGTGAGGGCCGTCTCATGGTAGAAAGCAGAAGCAAGCATGTGAGACACAGAGTAGAAATTGGGCCAAATTCCTTTTTTGTATCAGGAGCCCACTTATGTGATTACTAACCCACTCCTAAGTTAATGGCATTAATCTCTTCATAAGAATGGAGCCCTCATGACCTAATCATCTCTTAAAGTTCCTGCCTCTCAACCTTGTTTCAATGGTAATTAAATCTCAGCATGACCTTTGAGGGGGCCTTTTAACCATAGCAGAGACCTATGAGAATATATGAAAATATTTTACTGATATGGAAAACTTTAAATATTAAGAAATAAATGACTGTTCTAGAAAAAAAGTTTAACACAAATGGCAGACAGAGGGTTAATGTCTTTAATATAGAACGTTTTCTTACATATTCTCTAAAAATGGAAAATTTATACAATTAAAAAGTAAACATAATTCATTCAGTGAACTTTAATTCTTGAAGAGCAAACCCAAATGGACATAAAACTTAAATAAGATGCTCAAATTTAATGGTATTTAAGGAAATACAAAAAATACATTAAAGTACAGTAATCCCTCTGTACTTTAATATCCATGAGAGTTTGGTTCCAGGACATCCCACAGATACCAAAATACATGGATATTCAAGTCTCTGATGTAAAATGGGGTATTCCTTGCATATATCTACCCACAATTTCCCATATGCTTTAAATAGTCTCTATATTATTTATAATATTTAATACAATGTAAGTAGTTGTTATATTGTATTGTTTAGGAAATAATGACAAAAATCTGCACATGTTCAGAACACATGCAACCATTTGTTTTTTTTCTGAATATATTTAACTTGAGATCGGTTGAATTCATGGGTAGAGAACCCATAGATATGGAGGGCCAACTGTAAATGATGTATCATTTTATGATGATCAGAATAACTAAAAATAATTTTTAAAATCGACTGCTGGTATAATGTGAACCTTATAAGTTGAGGTGGACAGTAGTATATAAACAATTATCAACATTAAAATAAAAATTAATGCTTTTTTCATTTCACAGATTGGAAGACATCCAATCTCCAGTTATAAAAGCATCAGCACACATTATTAAATGCAAATGTAAAATCATTTTTATTGAAGTATTATTTTAGCTGGCAAAATACTCAAGGAGTATGCTTATTATTGGTGAAATGATGAATAAATTTTGGTACAACTCTATGGACTGTTCTAATTCCATTAAAAGAACGAATTGAACTGTGGTAGTTTCGCTTTTTTTGAGATGAAGTCTTGCTCTGTCACGAGGCTGGAGTGCAGTGGCGCGATCTCGGCTCACTACAATCTCCACCTCCTGGGTTCAAGCAATTCTCCTGCCTCAGCCTCCACAGTAGCTGGGATTACAGGTGCATGCCACCACGCCCAGAAGGTTTTTATATTTTTAGTAGAAATGGGGCTTCTCCATGTTGGCCAGGATAGTCTTAATCTCTCTTGACCTCGTGATCCACCACCTCAGCCTCCCAAAATGCTGGGATTACAGGTGTGAGCCACTGTGCCCAGACTTGCTACATGTTTTTGAAGGAGAAAAACAAGCTACATAAATATGTACATAAATGTATTTTTTGTTAAATTTATATACAGCTATACATCTGTCTATCTTTCTATTTCTCTATCTATCTATAAACTCCAATATACAAATTGGGAGAAAAAGAGTTGTTCTTGTGTTGGTGTGGATAAAGAAGAAAATAGATAGAGAGAAGCCAGTGATAAAAGCAACATCAAAGTAAATTACATTAAATTTCAATAAAATATAAAGACCCAAACACACCAGAAACTGCCAATCATATATGACGTCTGCTCTTATTCTCTGCTTTTTGTCTTGTACATTTTCTAAGCAATGGACAATTTCTTCGTCAACAAAATTCCATCTTCTCTCAAATATGCAAGAAAGCACACTACTGATTTTCTCCCATTATCGTTTTTCCCCTTTCCCCATTCTTTTGAGACTACTTCTATATCTAGCTACACCCAATTTTGTGTTCCCTTTTAAAGCAAAATTTCACAAGGACCTATTTATATCTTCTAGCACATAACTAAATATGCCCTTGTTAAATTCAGTAATGTCCTTTATGTTGCTAAATCCAATGGTCAACTTCCCATCCTCCTCTTTCTTGATTAATTAATTGATGCCTTTTAACTTATTAATTTTCCTTCAAGCACCTCTTCATTTGAGTTCCAGGACACTCAAATCTGATTTTATTTTTAAATTTCCTAATGGATTGTTTTTTGATTTTGTTACTCCTCCTTCCTCATCTACCTGAGTGTTGAATGATGGAGAGTTCCGAGCTAAATCTTTTCGACCTCTTCTTTTTTCTACCAATACTTATGCTCTTGGTTATCTTATTAGTCCCAAGGCTTTAAAAAATTTTATATCCAGGAGATAAAGACCAGCTTTCTTTTTCCCCTGAGTCTAGTGTAGATTTTGGAAAGAAATAATAATAATAAAAAAGAACTTTATCTCAATCAATAAACAACCCTATCTTGTTACCCTTGATTTCTCTTTTTGTTTTCCTTAGATACCAGGTCTAATTTATCGGTAAATCCCGTGGACCCCACCTCAAATATACATTTATAATCTGACCACTTCTCACATCTCTACTACCACCAGGCTAGCATAAACCAATGTCATGAATAGTCTGTATTACAAGAGTTTTCATAATAGTTTGTCTTTCTTCTGCACTTCAAGTCTATTCATAACATAATAGATAACTTGTTAGGTATGTGGCTCTGCTTAATTCCCCCCATAGGCTTCCCATCTGAATAAGTGCAAAAGTCGAACTCCTAGCATTGACTGACTATTGTCCTTTTATTTCTCTTTGTCTATCCTCTTTAGTTCACTTGCTGTATACTCTGCTACTCTGCCTCACTTGCTTTTTTCCCCCGCCTTTAGGTATCCCCATGGCCAATTTTCTTGTCTCTTTAAGATCTTTTCTCAAATTTCACATCCAGAGTGAGGTCTTCCCCATTAACTAACCTATTTAAAATTAAACCATAAGCATCACCCTAACATCTGCCCCTTATCCCAATCTCCTGCATTATTTTTCTCTATAGCATTTTTATTGCCATCAATATACCTGTGTTTCCCTTTGGTTTTCTTTACTGTCTATCTTCCACACTAGAATGTAAAGGCAGGCATTTTTGGCATGTTTTGTCCTCTATAGTTAAACGAGGCCTGGCACCACAGTTAGTACTTAATAAGTATTTGTTTAATGAATAAATGAAGGAGTAATATGATCTCATTTGTGCATCTTCATAAAAAATATATATATATGAATGCATAAATGTGTATTCTTTATACACATGTATAAAGAAATGTTAAAAATAAAATTAAAATGAATGTCTATATAGAATCTGGTATGATTTGAATATACTAAAAATCTGTTGGTCTAAGGAAGACATTTCTAATAGTTGAGCAATTTGTAGGAATATCGAAGATAGATGAACTTTTGAGAGATTTGATATAAATATAAAGAAGTTATTGTTACTTAATGTTTTTAAAAGACTATGAGGTTTTAAAGTATTTAAAGTTTTAAAAGAGCTATACATTAGATAATTTTAGAATATTCTTGCTATTTTAAGGTTGGCTTTAAAATATTTATCAGCACATTCCCCATGTTCTTCATATGTGGTAGAGGTAACCAAAGTTCTTTTTCCCTATATCTGAAAGCTTGAACTATCACAAATTTAATAAAGGAAACTCTATTTGTATGGATATTAAAAATAGTATAAAAAACCTCTCAAAACACATTTTTTATTATGTATTGAAAGCATTTCTATGCAAAACATAAATTTTTGGTTTGCTTTTCAAATAGACAGCACTAAAATTTTTAATTTAAAATGATCAATAAGTAATAGGAACATTATATCAGCCTTTCACTTCTTAAACTGACACTCAGAATTCTTTATGATTTGTAATAAGTGTGAGAACAAAAAAGAGGATTAAACATTGATTCCCAATAAATTGAAAGGATTAGTGTTTTCTTTGGCATAGAAACTTGCTGAGAAACTCAAGATAGAGCAGTACATTTTAAAATGGTAATTGATGTCTTAAAAACACACAGTGTGGTAGGTTTAAAAATGAAGGCTTGTAGATGAAAAAAAAATAAATTGACAAAATAGCTTCTCTCTGATACCATCTTTCAAATAACTGAATAAGTAATGCACATTTTTTAAATGAGAATTGCTGATGTAGTGACAATATACTTTCTACTAAAATGAACTATTTACTTATTCTATTCAAATAACAACTTGATTCATTGCAAAGCATTTTGAGGCTTCTTCAGAATGAAAGAATGTGGCAGCTGTAAGAATTTTCTCCATATACAAAGGCATGAATTTTTTCCATATACAATTGCATAATTTAGGAGAAAATCATCTACCTACACAGGGGCTTTGCTTTCTTTTTGGACATTAAGCCCATAGTACATATAGGCTTGATTTGGAATTAGTTGGACTATCAAATCATAGTCAATTCTACAAGTTACTTTATAAATTAATGAATTCTTACAGTGAAACTTGCTTAATAGATGGATATTATGGCATGGCTTTATTTAGTCATCCTAGGTAAGAAGATAAGAAACTATTTTAGTTTCTGGTTATCATGGATGGAAATTTTAGATAAAAATTATGACCCAATAGGTTTTCAGAAGGCTAAGAAGTTACGCACACTTGAAGTTGAGGGCCGTGCCATTCCACACATGTATGATCTTGGACAAATCATTTATCACATCTGAGCTTCAGTTTTCTTATTGAAATACATAACAATACTTTATTCAAAGGGGCTTTAGATAATGCATGCAAAAACTCAATACAATAAGCAAAATGTTCTCATATGAATTATTACAATGGAAGAAGGTGATTACAAATAGGTAAGATTATTGAGTAAATTATTCATGAAACAAGGACATTAATGAGTTGAGGATGATGGTTCATGTGTCATTGGCTTACATGGTGATAGCTATCACTGAGAATTTAAAAAATATTTTTAGAGATGAAAGGAGGTAAAATTGGTTTTTTGAACTTAGAGTCCTGGGGCTACATCTAGACTGTGTCAAGCACTCAGCTGGAAATTGAAAAAGAGATCAGTTTTGGTGTTTTTGTCCCCTCCTAGTTTGGGGCATTTTAAGGATTCCACAAATTTCACTTGCTTATTTAACTAATACCAGTCAACTATTTCAAGGGAATTTTTCACTCAGACTGGTTGATTTTCTGGCCCATTAAGACAGCTGATTCAATTCAACTGAGATTATATAGCTTAATCTCCCATGCATGTTGATTGTCCTACCAAGTGGCAGCAGGCCACAGCTATAGGTAATCTTTCATGTAAATTTATCTCCATTTGGTATTTCTTTGGCTTTTAATGTGGGGGCTAGGGGTTGGATCTCAAGTACTTGGAATTGCATCATTGATTCACATGCTGAAAATGATAGCTAGGAAGCCAAAAAAACTTAATATATTTGGCTTTTCATGAAGGCACATCTCTTAGTGGAGAACTGACTGAAGTTTCACTGCTAGAATCTGTTTCGAGGAATTAAAGACACAGAGCTGTAAATCTTGTCTTAAAGTGCTTTGGGTTTTGAAAAAGTTATCTTTTTAAAATGTCACTGAATTTGAGAAGACAATAGAGGTCTTTAGGTCAATTATTCTATTTAGAATAGATCAATATTATTTAGTGATTTGCTGATTCTAATAAATATGTCCAGAAAAATCTGATTAAACCATTTATAACACCTATTTTCCTTGATGTAGATTTACAGATCATAGTAAAAAGTTTGGATTTTATGCTAAGTGCAATAAGAAGTCACAAGCAGAAAAATGATGTAATTTTAATTACACTTACAGAGGAATACTCTGGCTACGGTGTAGAGGATGGTCTGTAAAAAGACGTGAATGGAAGTGCGATATTAGTTAATAAGCTATTGCTCTAATGTAGATGGGAAATGAAAGTGGCTTTGACTGAGGTTAGGAGCAATGAAGAAATTGAAAGTGCTTAAATTCTACATATACTTTGGAAGTGCAGCTGCAATGAGATGAGAATAGATTAATTGTAGAAGGTGAGAAAGAACCATGGTTGAGCTTGAGCTATTTTGATAAAGCAAATCAATAGGAGATGGAAAAGACTGCAAGAGAAGCAGGTTTGGAGATAGAAGAATAAAATGTTCTCTTTAGAACAAGTTAATTTTAGAACAAATTATATTCGGGACCACCAAGTGGAGGTGTTGGGTGTATTGTTGGCTATGAGTCTGGATTATGAGGAAGAGTCTGGACTGGAGATAGAAATTTTCACATTAAGTGTTTTAATCCATGAAGTTGGATAAAAGTCTGTCTATCAATATCTATCTATCTATCTATCTATCTATCTGTCTATCTATTATCTATTGATCTATCTACCTACCTACCTAACTTTGTACCTACCTATCATACAGAGAAAGAAGGAGAGAGAGAGAAAGCTATTTAAAGAAAAAGGGCCAAGGACCTATTCCTGAAGTTATTCAATATTTAAAGTTCAGGCAGAGAAGGAGCTAACAGAGGAGATTAAGACAAATAAATAGAGAAATAGTAGAATTTATTTTCATTAAGATCAAGGAAAAAATACTAAGATAAAAGGAGAAACATAGGGATCATGTGGTTCAGATACTGTGAAGAAGTTCTTAATGTATGGGGAAAGTAATAATTTTGGATTTTCAATATAAATTCACAAACATCAATGGAGTGGTAAGAATGAAAGTCCTTTTGGAATGTGAAGAAGATAGAGTGGGAAGTAAAGAAGTAAAGACTGAAAGGATACACTGTTCTTATGAATTCTGATGGACTTTTCCTTTTAGAAATATGAACAAAAAAGAATAAGTCCAAATTAAATATTCTTTAGAATATTATACAATAAAAGTAACATTATTAAGACAATATTTAATTTTTTAAGGAGATAAACTATAATTTGATTATCATGACTGCATTCTAATGAGAATAGATCCTAGTATAATTGGTGGATACTTTTTCATGGCTGTGGTTATTTGAGACTGGCTCTACAAGGGATAAGAAAATACAAGAAAATTCCTGGTTAAAGAAACGTGTCAAAGGCAGACAACAAACAAAGTTTGAAACTAGGAGGTGTATAATATAAAATCTTTGTCTCTCACATACAACAATTAGTAAAATTGCCTTTGCTTATTAATGCCATGGAGAGTGAATTTTCTTTTGGTCATATGTTAGCCATTGGGCTTATTTGCTTTTATATCTATTTTTGCACTTCTTTTTCTCTTCCTAGTATCAGAGCTGGCCCCTACAGGCTACCCTTTCACAGGCTCCAATTTCAAATAATTTCTGTAGGCTTTGCTCAATGGGAAACAATGACAAGGATTGAGAAGATGGAGGGAAGATATTCTAGGATATCCCTCTCCTACTACCTCTTCGGGGGGATTGTGTCCAGCAGTGGATCTATCTCCTCTATAGCTTTTGTTTCAACCATGTAGGCCCCCACGACCCCATCTGGGCCTATCTGCTAACACTGTCTCAAACCTTTGCTTTCTAGATTAAGGGTGATAACATCTACTTTCTGTTTTGGGTTCTCAGCTATTTCATCAATGATGTAACAAATTCACTGGATTAAATTTCTTCTTTTTGAAGTATTTAGAAAAGTTTCTTTTTGTCTGCTTACCCTGACTGATAAAAATATAAATATTATATAAAATATATTGCATCTATATATTAAAATAAATATATTTATAATTATATACTTTATTTATAAATGTATTATAATATGTATAAATTATAATCTAGGTGGGAAATGAGGTGGCTCCGACTGAGGTTGGGAGCAATGAAGAAGTTGAAAGTGCTTAAATTCTACGTATACTTTGGAAGCACAAATAATATACCTATAATAAAAATATATATTTATATATTTTATAAGAAGACTATATATATATATATTTATCAGTCAGAGTAAGCAGACAAAAAGAAACATATATGTGGCAGAGTTCTGATTCTTATTTTGTATGGGATGAAAGAAGAGGCTGACTGCAGCAGATAGCAGCTTCCATATACGCTCACAACAAATAACAGTATTAATACAGGACTATTTTAAGAAGCAAATCTTCAGAACAGTTTTAGTACAACTTCTGCACTACTCTGGATTATCAAATATACTGGAATCAGAACTTACAAGCGAATTTTTGTTTTCTCACTGATTTTTAAGACTTCTTTCTTTCATAGCTGTAAGTTTTATATTATCCATTATGCTTTAGTGGTAATATCCCTAACAAAAGTTCAGCAATATAGTTCCGACTCTTATTAGATATTTACCCTAGCATTCTTTTTTTTTTTTTTTTTTTTTTTTTTTTGAGACGGAGTGTCTGTCATCCAGGCTGGAGTGCAGTGGCGCGATCTTGGCTCACTGCAACCTCCACCTTGCAGGTTCAAGTGATTCTCATGCCTCAGCCTCCTGAGTAGCTGAGATTACAGGCACAAGCCACCATGCCAGGCTAATTTTTGTATTTTTAGTAGAGATAGGGTTTCATCATGTTGACCAGGCTAGTCTCGAACTTCTGACCTCATGTAATCTGCCTGCCTCGGCCTCCCAGAGGGCTGCGATTATAGGCATGAGCCACCATGCCTGGCCTACCCTAGCATTCTTGATAAAACTGTTTCTCTTTTCTTAGTTCCCCTCCTTAATTAAACTTCTGTGATATTTTCCTTCACCATTAAAGCTAGAGTTTATTTTTCTGTCTCCTTATAATTAGTTCCTTCTGAACATATAAAAGTTAACTACCTTGATAATATTCTTTTTCCAGTGACTTTTTTCCTGTAATCTGGATCAAATTTATCTCAGTACTACAGCAACTAACATTTACTCCATATTTACAACTAACTCAACCTTGTCCCTCGGTTCCAATTAACAGTGGAATAATGAAATATATTTTCCAATTTCGACACCTCAGGCATTTGCTCGTAGTTTTAGCAGCTTTGCTGAGATAACTTTAAAACAGGGATATAATCTTTTATTGTTTGCAAATTTTAACAACATTTTTCAAAATTGTGGCTCTTGACCAAACATTGTAGTGTTTATTTAATACAAATAGGATAGGGAATAATCTCTTTCAAGGGTAGAGCTAGAATCCAAATAAATTTCAACGTAACAGAAAAACAAAACTGTCCAAAAGTAGAATGAACTGACTCTAGAGATAGTGAATTTTATAGCCCTGTAGGATGGGTAAAGATCAGTAGGATGACAGCTTGGCATATGGATTGTAGAGGAGAATTAGCTATCCAGGGAAGGGCAGTGGAACATTATGGTTAAGACCATAAGTAAGAGAAAGAGAGAAAGAAGGTAAGCACTATATTTAAGTCCCAATTAAGACATTTAGTAGCCTTGTGTCCTTGAGCTAAATACTTAACATCTCTAAGCCTGAAATTTCTCAACTATAAAATGAGGATAGTGACTTTGGTGGACGTTGTGAGGGTTAAATAAAATTCAATGAGAAACTGTATGTTAAATAATCATAGTGACTACCATATAGTTAGCTCTAACACTCAGTAGATGTTTTTACTACTTTATTATTATTATTAGTCAGTTGAATTGTTTGATTTTATGGCCTCTACCAATTATGAAAACCTGTGATTACATAATTCCATTAGAATAGCAATCTCCTCAAAACTGACAATTGTATTTTAAGTTATGGCAAAGAAAATGCAGTGGTGTTTAACCATTACAAATAAAGTTATAAGGGATGTTATCAGTCTCTGTGATGTGTATAAAGACCCAGCTTTCTTATGTATATGCATATCTAGATTTAGCTCTACTTATGTGGAGCCTAAATAACTCCTACAGTTCTAAAAATTAATACGTAAAATAAAGGGGAAGGAAAAAACCCCTTTTTATGATTTTATCCCTTAGAGTTTATCAAATAAGAAGTAGAAATTTGGAAGTATGGGTTAAATTCTATTTTCCATAGAATAATATGAAAAGACAGACAAGAAATATTAGTGAAGTTAATGCTCTCTAATTTGCTTCTCTATGGATAAGGCAATACACTAAGAATTTAATAAACCCTATGGTGAAGCCTCATAACCACAATCATCCTGTTTTACAGATGAAGAAACCCATGTTTAGGAAGGTTAAGCAAGCTGTGCAGTGCCAAAATCTTAATATATGAATGGGGTCAAATGAACTCAGTTCTCAGCCTTTAAAATCTATGCACTCGTTTTTTTCCTTCGTAGTTTTATACAAAAGATTTGTTCTAAATTAGCAGAGTCAGCATTTATAGATAAAAGGCTAATTCAAGGAGCTGAAAAGTCACAATCTTTTTACTGTTATTTCACAATTTGGAAGTTAGTGCTCTTTCTGACTTCTAGATTGCATTTTCTAGCTAACCCCAAAAACACTGGAAACAAACAAGGTAATTTAGTGTTGATTTCTTGTAACAGGCCTTACCCTGACAAGACTTATCCCTCCACCACAGCCCCAGTGGCTATAGGATGAAGATGCTTGAAAGGCACAGGGTTTCCAACTGAAATACAAGCATCTCTTTAAACTATCTTCTTCTTTTTTTAACAAACTTTTTATTTTAGAATAATTTTATGGTTACAGAAAAGTTGCAAAGATAACACAGAGAGTTCTCATATATCTCACACCCAGTACTTTTTATTATTAACGTCTTATATTACTATGCAGTTGTCATAACTAACAAACCAGTAGTAATACATTATTATTAACTAAAGTCCACACTTTATTTAGCTTTCTTCAGTTTTTGCCAAAAGTCCTTTTTCTGTTCCAGAATCCCATTCAGGATATCACATTACATTTAGTTGTCACATTGCCTTAGACTACTCTAGACTAAGTTTTTCCAACTTTCCTTGTTTCTTATGACCTGGAAAGTTTTGAGGAATACTAGCCAAGTGTTTTGTAGATGTTCCTAAACTGGGGTTCGTCTAATGTTTTCTTCATTATTAGACTGAGTGAAGGGTTATGGGGAAGAAGCTTACACAAGTAAAGTGTCATTCTCATCACATTACATCATAAGTTCATACTATGAATATGTCTCATCATGTTGATTTGTTGATGTTTAACATGGTCACTTAACTGAAATAGTATTTTCAAAGTTTCCCCACTATAAAATTACTATTTTTTTCCTCTTTCCATAATGTACTCTTGGGAAAGTGTATTAATCCATTCTCACACTGCTATAAAGACATACCTGAGACTGAGTAATTTATAAAGAAAAGTTTAATTAGCTCATGGTTCCTGTGTACAGGCTTCTGCTTCTGGGGAGGCCTCAGGAAACATAATCATGGTGGAAGGTGAAGGAGAAGCGGGCACATTTTCAAATGATGAGCAGGAAAGAGAGGAGGGGGGAGGTGATACATACTTTCAAACAACCAGATCTTGTGAGAACTCTATTCCAAGACAGCACTAGGAGGATGGTGCTAAACCAGTAGAAACCACCTGTATGATCCAATGACCTCCCACCAGACCCACCTCCAACACTGGGAGTTACAATTCAAAATTACATTTGGGTGGGGACACAGAGCCGAACCATATCACAAGGCAATCAGTATGTGTAGCCCATGCTTAAGGGATTCTCCTGCATGCTACTGAGTTTTAATACCCAAACTTAATAAAATATATATATAGATATATCTTTCAAGATAGTTTTTTTGGCCCATGGATATACAGAAAAATTTATACCCTAAGCTCTTACAACATTTTAAACAAACAAAAAAATGTGCAAAGAAGTCTCAAGTTACATTACAAATGCAATTTGTAGAATGTCATAATTACTTGGACATGCTATGAAAATTGCTAAGTCTCAAAGGTGCCATGCTCACTGAGCTATTCTTTGCCACTGTGCACTTTTCTGTAACACATTTCTATAGTGTCTTTAATGTTTAGCTCTTGATTTTGCCTGGTCTTGTAAAGACTTCCAAATATTTGGAAAATGATTGAAGAAAATAGTGGTGAATGAAGCAAAATGAACAAAGAAAGCTGGTATAATAGAAGGAAATGTATCAGCATAAAAACAAATCCTTTGTTAACAACCTTAGTCCTTTTAAGTATTTTACTTTCTAATATGATGATTTATTTACATATATAATTTGTTATGGCTTATTACTTTCATATTTTAGAACTTAATTGAGGGATTATAATCGACATAAACATTAGAGTAACAGGAAACATCAAAAAGTAAAAGGGAAACTGGCTTCATGTTAACATATTTTCAAAGAACATTTGATTTTCAGGAATGGATTACCAAAGTAAGTGGTACATGTATTAAGTATGATGTCAACCTCTACTGGTCTTTTAGTAGTGAATGTATAGTCAAAAACTATGGTGAGTATTGAAGAAGTTATCCAATCAGGAGACACTTGTGACCTAGGTCACAAATACTGATCGTCCCCTCTGGAGATGCTAATGCTTGAATCTGTGAGGGACAGAGTTCTCCAAATGAATGTTATTTTTAAAGAAAGTTTAGAAAACTTTTGTAATAATCTTCAAATTACCTGCCAGGCCAATGCTACACTAAGGTCCTAAGAAATATACTTACTCAACCAACTCTTTTCAGCAAAAGGGTATCCACACAGACATTTAGGAAGTGGGATGATAAAAGATAAACTTCCAAAATTGGACACTAACATTGTTTTAATTCACAACTTTGACTTTTTAGTGGTTTCACATGAACTCAGTATTTCCAAATAAATTTTATTAGAAAATAACCATTGTATTAGTCTAACATTACATGAACTAGTCTACTGATATGTATAGTTTGTAAAAAATCTGCCACACCTGATTTCTGTGTTTTTTTCTCGGACTGCTTTCTCAGACTTAAATACTATTTTCCTTCTTTTGGTAGAAAATTCTTCCATCTTTCAACTCTCACCTGAAGCATTCTTTTTTTCTCTAAAGTTTTCTAATACCCCCTTCCACAATAAGCTCTACTAGTCTATTCACTATATTCCCACTGTGTAAATATTTCATCACTGTACTGATAACATAAAGATGTACCTATTTTAAAAGTCTGCTTATATTTTGCTTTATGATATACCTGATTTAAAAAGCAGGGGCTGGGGTCTTATTTATGTCATGGCCTTAGTGCCCTCTGTACTTTCTGAAACATAGTAAATGCTCAGTACACATTTATTGAATGAATGAAATGTGAAAATAATGCTATTGCACTTTTAACATTTATGTTTCTTTTGTTCTTTTTTAATTAAAATTTCTACTGAAGTCCCTGTAACTAGTTCGGCAGTGCACGCTTTAGCAATTTTATTCCTTTATAAAATGTATCACTGCATAGAGTAATGTTTTAAAATACAGATTCACATAGAACCAATATCTGAAGAGTATTCTTTAAAATAAAGAATGTAATGACCAAGTTGTTACACTTTGTTTTTAGTCATTTATGAATTTTATTATCAAACTGAGGAAAACAAAATTTCCCTGGCCCTCCTAGATGATTTCTTTAAACCCTGGAGCAAAAGGATTGATATATGCTGTGGTATCTGAATCTGGTGTAGATAGATAGTATAGCTGCAAATGTTATTCATAGTCATATAAATACCTAATCCCTGTGAATCGTGCTGAGCTATTTGCCTCAATGATTTACTTCACTAGTGAATTACAGATTGATTTTGAGTCATATTAAAGGTATTTCAGTTAAAATGTAGATATGAGTTCCCCCAATATCATCTTATCCTCATATTTTAGTACTTATTGAAAAGGGATGTCCAAAGAAGATTTTTGCTGAACCACCCATTAATTTTTGTGCCTATTAAATCCGTGTCTTGCTGCTATTGTATTCCTAAACACATACACAAACTATTTGCTTACTTTTAATTTAACAATTGAACACATTGCCAATTATTTCTTAGTATTTTCTAATAAAGTGCCTAAAATAAATACAGCCCAGTATGAGAACACCATTGATTGATGTAATTTCATTTTAATAGTTTTCATATCATTCCACATGCTCAAATTATTACCTAAAAGCATTCTATTGGCCACTTTAAATGCTTGTGCGCATTGAGCAGCGTTCTCATCGAACTCTCCATAACGACTTCTAAATGCTTTCCCTAAGAGGTTCAAGCTAATTCGGAACCTATTGGCATGGATGGAAAGTTTAAATTATGTTTCCTAATATGCATTACCCTGCACTTATCAGCACTAAATTTAATCTGTCATCACATTGTCCAATCATCCAGTTTAATTAGATCCTTCTGGATTTCCTCATAATCTGCATGTTTTTTCACTAACCTAAATAATTCTTGGTGATCAGCAGAAATGTAACACCTCACTATCTACTACATTCTCCTTATCACTAACATAGTTTAACAGCCCTCAGCCTGCTATCAGCATCTTGAGCACCCCGCTGTGAAGTTGCTTCCTCTGGAGAAATAGGTACTCTTCATTTCAAACAGCTTAATCCATATTTATCCTTAAGAAAGCATACCCTTCTGATTCTACCAGTTTTATGTGAGCTATCAATATATTTTTAGGGAATTTCACATTTAAACATATTTCCACAAGTATGTTTTGAAAGCTTAACCAGTTTGGAATAGTATATGAGTGGTGTGTTGGGAGAAGTTGAAGAATTAAAAGAGTGAATGAATTCTGGGGTTTCTTACCAATGTAAGAATATCATGTGCTTGCAGTACTGAGAGCAAGAAAAGAGGAAGTGAAGATTTACCAAGTACATTATAGTAGTTGCTGCCACACATGATTAGCATTGCCATGTGTACTTTATATGTACAAACTCAAATGCTGAGAACAACTTTATCATCACTTGACTACAAATAAGGAAACTGAAATTCGAAGGAGTCTATTCAAGTGCAGCACAGAGTTAAACCCTTCCCATTGGGTTGGGCAGGCTTCAAAGTCATTGATCACAGCCATTAAATTTATCCCAGACCTTCTCTTATTATATTTAACTCTTTTTGTTACATTTTATAGATTACATGGCATACACAAAATTCATGTGGTCAGTCATTTTATGATTTGCCATGTGGCATTATACAGGATGTTTCTGAATGTTTATTTCTAGAAAGTGTTTGCTTATGGATTTGTATTTTCTATGCTGCATAAATTGTTTCTTCAAATGACACCATACTTTTCAAGATGTGGGTCCTTTTAAACTTATGTGGAATATAAACAATACATTTAATAAAAATTACTATTTCTATATTATACTATCAGTTAGGACTTCTTTGGTTGGTAGTGAAGGAAAAACAAACTCAAACTGGCTAAAAACAAAAACATTCTTGTTGGTGTACTTAAATCACAAGGAAGGCTTAATGCCGAGGCTCAAATGAAGTCACTGCAACCCATTTCCCTCCATATTTTGATTCACTTATCCACCATGTTGGTTTTATATCCAAGTGCCACATGACAGCAGAGACTGTAAGCAGGTCTAGGCCTGCACTTCCAGGGTTAAACCCAATGGTAGAAAGCTCTTGAGCTTTCTGAACAAAACAGTCTGAGTCTGAACAAAAGATTCATTGTAATCTCTTTTCTCTGGTTGGGGCGTGTGTTCAATTCTCAACATTTTCTATGACCAAGGAATAAATAATCTAAGCCATGCCTTAATCACAAATTTGTACCTAGTACTGCAGTTGGAATCAACTATTCCAGAAAAACACAGACCAAGGGTAAAAGAGCTGGGTATTACTTTGTTCTATACAAATATATACCATATCTGGGGACATATTCCCTTCTACCATGATTGGCCTTAGCATACTCTTGTTCGGTAAGGTGCATAAAAAATAGTATTACTTAATATTTGTTGAATTAATTAAAAATTATGCGAGTACATAATGTATGTATAAAGACACATAATTCATGCATAAGTACATCAAACCAAGTTAATATTACAATTTAGCACATTAACCTTTAGTTTCTTTTCAGTGTTTTTCACTGTTGCTGTTATTATCTTTTTCCCGTGTTGGCTTGAACAAGTTACAGCAGATATACGTAATGATTATTAACAAGGCATATTCTCAATAAATTTGCCAGTCATATAGAAGCAAGCTAAATTTAAATATCCAAAAGTCTAGTTAGTTAGGTGATAATTTTACATTACAAATACTTTTAATCTTTGCATTATATTTTTGTTTCTTGCATACTTATTTCAGAAAGTAATTTGCAATTTTAAAAAAGAATGTGATACTCAAATAGATAAACAATAGAGAAAAGTTAGTATAATAAAGAGCACAGTTATCAAAGTATAGATAAAATCGTTGAAAAATCTAGGAAAATTTAATGGAATAAAAATTACTTAAAGAAGACAATTGACAAAAGCTTATATGTTTTTCTTAACTGTAAAAAATATCCTGGCCTGGTGTGGTGGTTCATGCCTCTAATCCCAGAATTTTGGGAGACCAAGGTGGAAGGATCTTGCAGCCCAGCAGTTTAAGACCAGCCTAGACAACATAGTAAGACCCCACCTCTAAAAAATAGAAAAAAAATTAGCCGGGTGTGGTGACATGTGCCTGTGGTCCCAGCGACTTGGGAAGCTGAGGTGGGAGTATCACTTGTGCCTGGGAAGTCAAGACTGCAGTGAGTTATGATTGCACCACTGGACTCCAACCTGGCTAACAGAGAGAGAACCTGTCTCAAAATAAATTAAAAAAAAAAAGGAAAAGATGCTGTCTTAAGTTTTTGTAGTTGTGAAAAACGCATTTCTATGTTACAAGCCAAAATAGTATCTATAGCGTGTATTTAATAAAAATAAAACAAATCCAATTAAAACATACCCAGCAGCTAAGAAGTAGATATAATCAGTGCTTTAAACACCCCTCAGTGGCCCTTGATCCCTGATGCCATGGGTAACCATTAGTCTCAATATTATATTAACAATTCCCTTGATTATCTTTCTGTTGTATGCTAAGATTTTATTGTTTAGTGGTATATATTTTGAACTTTAAATAAGTGGGGACCATATTTATTTTTCTGTGATTTGGTTCTTTTGTTAAGTTTTTTCTTTTTGAAATTCATCCATGTCGACACAATTGCAACTTATAGATTTATATCACTTTAGAGCATTTTAAAAAATTTATATTTTATTTATTTATCCTTTTATTCCTAGTTTTTTGTTTTTGTTTGTTTTGTTTTTTTGGCTTTTTTTTTTTTTTTTTTTTTGACAGAGTCTTGCTCTGTCTCCCAGGCTGGAGTGCAGTGGCACAATCGTGGCTCACTGAAACCTCTGCCTTCTGGGTTCAAATGATTCTCCTGCCTCAGCCTCCCGAGTAGCTGGGACTACAGGCACATGCCACCACACTCGGCTAATTTTTGTATTTTTAGTAGAGACAGGGTTTCACCATGTTGGCAGGCTGGTCCCGAACTCCTGACCTCGGGTGATCCACTCACTTCAGCCTCCCAAAGTGCTAGGATTACAGGTGTGAGCCACTGCACCCAGGCTTTGGCTTATTTTTGAGTGACAGTTTAAAACCTTAAAGATTTTAAATTGCTCGTGGAACAGCTTAAGGTGTGCCACTTGCAAAAACTGTGATTTGCATGATACTTTCTGGAAAGGTACATCTAATGGTTATATCAGTTAAGTTCTACAAGGAGTTAATACACTCTGCTAGGATTTGGAAAGGATTTTTTTCTTTTTTTTTTTTTTTTTTTTTTTTTTTTTTTTTTTTGAGACGGAGTCTCGCTCTGTCGCCCAGGCTGGAGGGAAGTGGCGCTGTCTCGGCTCACTGCAAGCTCAGCCTCCCGGGTTCACGCCATTCTCCTTCCTCAGCCTCCCGAGTAGCTGGGAATACGGGCGCCCACCACCACGCCTGGCTAATTTTTTTGTATTTTTTTTAGTAAAGACGGGGTTTTACCGTGGTAGCCAGGATGGTCTCGATCTCCTGACCTCGTGATTCGCCTGCCTCTGCCTCCCAAAGTGCTGGGATTACAGGCATGAGCCACCTTGCCCCGCCACTGGAAAGGATTCCTAATGAAGGTACAATAATAGAGGCGTGGGCAGTGATAAGGGAACAAATCAGAGATGTTGAGACACTAAAGGACTAACAATAGGAAGCCATTCACAGCCATTGGCCTGAAGATTCCTAGGAAATAGGGTTCTCAGAGTTGATTGGGAGCCGGGGCTCTGAGCAATGGGCAGCTGACAGAAGCCATGGGCTGAGAATGAAGCAATCAATGACCAGAACAGCTAAAGCAGGGCGAGAGTGGGAGGATAAATACCTGACCTGTTTCTCATTTTCTTCTTTCCTTCCATCTCTACTTTTAAAGTGAATGAGATTTGTTTTCCATTTCCTTTGATTCTCCTCTTTTAGCTTTAATGTTGTACAATTGAATTTTATTTTTTAACTTATTCCCTCCCTCCCTCCCTTCCTTCCTTCCTTCTTTCCCTCCTTCCTCTTTACTCCTGAGAATACAAATTTAACATGTACGCAGTGTGTTCGTTTCCTCTCCTTTCAATGAAAGAAAGCTTATAATTCTATTTAGCTTTAAAGTTATAACTTAACTAAAAACAAGTTTTTAGCTTTAAAATTATAACTTAACTAAAAATATGTTCCTTTCTCTTTACTCCTGAGAATAAAATTTAACATGTATGCAATGTATTCATTTTCTCTCCTTTTCATGGAAGAAAGTTTATAATTCTATTTAGCTTTAAAATTATAACTTAACTAAAATGTACTTTTATATACATGATATTTTTCTAATGTGCTCAATGTATCCAAGAAAAATATTAATGACCACCTTTCCATTTTTTTCTCCTTTCTTGAAAACTAATAAATGATCATCCTTTATTTAACATTTGGGTTGCTACTATTTTCCTTTCTCATACACACAAAAACTAAATTTTCTGTGCTTTAGAAAATAATTCAGTCTTAGTATAAGAATATGCAGTTGCAGGTTTCCAATAGGAGGGCTTCAGTTGATATTCTGTGCTATCGAGCATGTAGAAAAAGACTTTTTTTTTTTTTTAATTGGTCAACACAACAAACAACCTCACAAATAAGTCTGTTAGATATGACTTTAGGGCAGCTACTAGTACCAGTTTACTTAACTATTTTTAGCAATAAAACACTGTGAGGGTTAAGAAATCTTGAGAAATTCCTTGAAGCCTTGTCTTTATTCCCAGGTGGATTGTGTTGCTCCTTCGTCATCACTTCCTACTCTTCCTTCTGTCTTATCTACCCAGATCCACCTGCTACTGCTATATTTTGCCTGACATGACTAGCCTTATAATGCATTTCCCTAATAAGTCTAGGAATATTGTAATAAAATGGCATCTTCATGCTTCTTCCTGGTTTCCAAAATCACTTGCAAGAACTTTTGTATCACCAACCTAGACTTTTCTCTCTGGGCTTTAAACCTTTATCATCTTTATTACATAATTAACACATTTACATACACTAGTTAAAATGAACTTTCATAGATAAATGTTCTGATGTTCACAAACACATAAAGATACACGAAATAATTAAGATTAATTCTATTCCCATTATTCAGGTAGAAAATTTAGTCTCATAGTTGATAAATAGCTAGATTTAGTGTTGCAGTTTGTACAACCTGGAGCATGGACTAGAATGTAGTTCTTGAAAAACACCCTGTGTTCTTTCCACTACAGCATTCTGCTTTATCCTGTCTATATACATTCAAGGATTTTATACTCTCATTTAGAGCAGAGATTGTTTAGCTTTTTGCTTGCTAATTACCATGTCTGTCATTGACTACCTTAAATCAATTTACATAATTGTTCATGTCCTAATCATATGTCTACCATAAAATTTAATCATTCCTTTATTATTAAATATAAGGTAATATCCCATTTTTTGTTCCCACAAATAACAGTCATGATAGTCTTTGTACATAAATCTTTGCTCACATCACCTTAGGAAAAATTATGTTAGAGGGAATTGCTGGGTTAAAGAGTATGAACATTTTAAGGTTTTTGAAACATAATGCCAAATTGCTTTCCAGAAAGGTTGTATCAATTTATGTTTCTGTCAGTAGTTAATGAGAATTGCTGTTTTAATTTGCTTTGGGGTGGGGTTGGAACTAGGGATTAATAGTATCACATTTTTACAGCACTTGGGAGGAAATTTTTCTTCCTTCTCTCTATGTTACTCTCATGACTACAAGATTTTTTTTATGATAAAGGAAGTATTGAATCCATTGCTTATAACTCAGAACCACTAAGAGCTTTTCTGAGTCTCTCATCGATTAGCTGAAAGAGAAAAGATAGGATAAAAGGAAAAATACCAGACTAGATATAGAGGTGTACCTAAAAATGAGATTTTTAGGGTGCTGAATGTTATTTCAAGCCTTTCTCCCATTTTGTCATGAGACTTCTTTTTACTAAACAAAATGTATGTGAGAGATTCCATCAAAGTAGATTGCGCACTTGCAGAGACTGAAGCTGGGTCCACAATGCCCACCACCCCTGAGTTGGCTTTCTGCATCAACAGTGCAGGAAGTACAGGGCACATCAAAAGAGCAGTCAGCTAAAAATATAACCCCCATTCAGCTAATATCATACACACCATGGTAGTTTAGCTTAAAACGCTGTTTCTAGAAGCTCTTATTTATTTTAATACACCTAGGATGACTCTCCCAATAAGCTCGTGTTTCTGAAAGTGTTGTCTAAGGCCAACTAGCATTCTAATCAATAGGGTGTTTGTTTGGTTGCAAATTCCTGGACACTACTGGGGATTTATTGAATTAGAATCTCTGGGTGTGAAGCTCAAAAACTGAATTTTAATAAGCTCTGCTGCTTAGACTTTAATGTACATGCAAATCCCCTGGATATCTTGTTAAATGTAGATTATGATGGAATATATCTGGGTTGAAGCCAGAGATTCAGCATTTCTAAAAGGCTCCCAAATGAGGCCAATATCCCTGGGTCATGGGCTCCACTTTGAATAGCAAAGCACAGGAGTTTGAGAATCACAGCTTTAAACCATTATCTATTTTCATTTTGAATTTCTTTATTTATGGTTAGCCAATCAGGAGGAATTGAGCTAAAAACAGGTGATCCTGTGATTGAAGCCTAAATGGGATGCCACCAGCAAGAAATCAATCCATCATAGAACTGGCTATGAAGGCACCCAAATGTGGAGCAAAGTTTGTATAGAATAAGAAAGGAGAACAATATTAACACAAATGTGGCCTGTTTTATATTCAGGGTCAGGCCTGGAATTCATAACAATGACAAGGTCATTTTCCTACCCATTCTTCACCCTGCACATCCAATGCTGCCTCATGTCTCTGTCTCACTGCCTCCCTGATTTTCTTGTCCTTGTCATGGACTTTTGCCATGCTTTTTTTTTTTTTTTTTTGCTTTGGTTGTTGGAGTAAAATCTAAATTATATTATGTGGCAAATTCTGGCCCAATTTATAGATACTCCTTGGTTCCCCTTTTATCTGAGTTGAGAGGTCTTATTCTTTTCATAAAAATGGTTATCCTACCTAAAATTTTACTGACTAATCAAGTGCATCATTTTATGGTAAAACACCAGATAGACTATGTTACTTAAATTCAAGTGATCTTGAATTATCTTCATTTCAATGTTTAAACATTTAGGGAAACAAGATCTCTGAAGGATTTCATGAAGGGTAAGGTATCTATCCATTTATCTAGGTGAGAAAGTTCTAAATGTATTCTAAGAACTTCTGTTCTCTTAAACACTCTGAATAAAATGAACTTTTGAACAGAAGCTACATGTAGGAAATCTGTGCATATACCACAGCTTCTCTGGAACATCTGCAAGCACATCAGTACAATAAGACACTGAGAATTTAGCAACCAGCAAAATAAAGAAATTATTTTTAGACACTGTAAATACCATTCTAGGCATTTAAAAATCTACTTTGGTATTAAGTTAAATCATCAGAAATCTACATGCTTGTTCTAAGTCGCATTAGATACTACCTAAACACATATTGAACAGTGACTGTTAACCAGACACTACTCTAAGTACTTTATTGTGTTATCTCACATGCTTTTTATTTACTTTTCTCAGTAAAACTAAAAGGAAAATACGATTATTTTTCAATTTTATAGGTAAGGGAACCAAGGTATGTAGATGTCAATCAGTTTGCCCAGGGGTGCGTAGGTGGGAATCTAGTTTGTCAGATTCAGGGCTTGTGAAATCAAATAAAATACTTTGGTATTTTTTTTCCCATTTGTTTAGTTTAATGCCACCAGGTTATTTTGTTGTATTTTTTTAAACGGTCTAGGAATACTAACAGAAATATTTATTAATTTACCCCTTGTTTCTCTACCCACCTCCCAGAAAGAGGCACTGAATTAAATTAACTTCTCTTTCAATATCAGTAAGGATTATGCTTTTCCTGAATGACCATTTTTATTTTTATCTTATGGAAACTATGAGGCAGGACATTGATAGCATTTCCATTTTCTATGTTGGCGCTGGAAGGATTAGAGCTAACAAGCGAATAGTACTACATACGCTGTTCTAAGAATATTCTTGGAATCTTCAGTGTTTTTGCATTGTAAGTACAATGGTGAATAGAGAGAAATGAACTGTTTTGGCTTGGATAAAACTGTAGTCACCAAACTGCAGCTAAAGGGAAATAAGCTGGCTGAAAAAAACTGTTAGATTCATAGATTTTAGCGTTGTTGAAGTTGTAGAAATTTTTAGCCTGAATATTTCATACAGAGTAAAATAGATTCTTTATTTTCTTTTAGAGAGATCATGACAGGAACATCACAGCAAAACTAAGTCTGTTTAAATATCTTTTCAATTAAACAAGTCTTATTTGTCAGATGTGTCAGGTAATGTGGTATGTTCTGTCAAAACTCAAATATGACAAGGTCTCTGATCTCAAGGACTTTAGAGTTTATTGGGAGATATGAACAACTAAATCAACAACTATGCATAGTGGGAAACAAGGTGAAAAATGCAACATCTTAACAGCTGGCGCCACAAGTTATTTCAGGTCACTCTGCTTTTGTTTAGAGAAATACCTAAGTAATAATTTTGGGGTTGAAGATGAGACACAAGTACAGCAAAGGAAAAATCAACTTTTCTACATTAGAAATAATAGAAATTTAAAAAGAAGAAAAAGAGAAATGAAGAGAGAGAAGTGAGAAATATGTGTACACCTTATTAAATACGGAAATGACTGATCAAATTTTTATGACAAGAGTATGGAGCAATGAATTTAACTTCTTTCTCTTGCTGAACTATACATCTCTATCAGCTAAGACTTTTGTAGGCAGAGGCTCAAGCTAATTTTTGCAGAAAAAAAGGAATTTAATGGTTCATAGAAATGACAAGCTCATGGGTTGACCTCAAACATCATCTGACCTCAGGGGCATAAACAACATCGTTAGTAACATTTTCTTCTGGTAGGGCTCCTTCCTTTCACCTCTGTTTGTGCCTGTCCTCTTGCAAGCTAGGTATAGCAGCTCAATCCACAGTGTCTTAGATTCAAATCCAGCAGGAAAGAAGAATATATGCCATGCAGCTCCCACATAAATCCTAAGGTTCACTCTGTCAATTTCTGAAGCCAACACTCTGACTGAAGAATTTTCATGCTCTGATTTGCTGGGGAAACCAAATGTAAATGTTGTTTTAAGTTAACTTTTTAAATGAAAAATATCACTTGAAAATGTATACCAATTGCAACCCGAGGACTTCTGGCCTGACTTTAAAGCTCAAATATTTGCAGTAATGATTCAGACACATTATTATAGTGATCTTTATAGGAGAAAACTACAGAAAATGGTATTTTCATGGAATCTTATTAAAATAACCTTTTTATTTTAGACTGGTTTTAGATTCACAGAAAAATTGTGAAGCTAGTACAAAGATTTCACATACGCACAAACACCTATTATCAACATTTTATATTAGTATGATACATTTGTTACAATTAATAAACAGATTATCAATTTATTATTATTAACTAAAGTTCACACTTTAGTTTTTACCCAGTGTTCTTTTTCTGTTCCAGGATCCCATCCAGAATTCATGACATTTTTTTTTTTTTTTTTTTGAGACGGAGTCTTGCTCTGTTGCCCAGGCTAGAGTGCAGTGGCACGATCTTGGCTCACTGCAATCTCCGCCTCCCAGGTTCACGCCATTCTCCTGCCTCAGCCTCCTGAGTAGCTGGAACTACAGGCGCATGCCATCACGCCCAGCTAACTGTTGTATTTTTAGTACAGACTGGGTTTCACCATGTTAGCCAGGATGGTCTTGATCTCCTGACCTCGTGATCCACCCACCTCGGCTTCCCAAAGTGCTGAGATTACAGGTGTGAGCCACCGCGCCCGGCCAAAATTCATGACATTTAGTCATTATGTTTCCTTAGGCTCCTCTTGGCTGTGACACTTTCTCAGAATTTTTGGTTTCGGTTTTAGTGACTAAGATGGTTTTGAGGAATACTAGTAAGGGTTTTTTTTTTTTTTTTTTTTTTACATTTTTAAATAGAATGTTCCTCAATTCGAATTTGTTTTTAAAATGGGGTTATGGGTTTTGGGCAAGAAGACCCCAAGGGTAAAGTGTCATTCCTATCACGTGATGTGTATCAAGGATACAAACTATCAGCATGACTTATCACTGCTACTATTGACCTTCTTTACCTGACTGAAGTAGTGTTTGTCACGTTTCTCCATTGTAAGGTTGTTTTTACTACAAACAGATACAGGGATTGGGCAGGGAGGTGGGGGAGAGTGTATTTGGAACTACCATTAAAAGAGATATTGTTTGGAAAGAGTTTCAGGTAAAATAGAATGCAAAAAAAGAAACTGAGGCTTAATAAGAAAGGCTAAAATGCTTTTTTTAAGTTTAAATAATGTTGCATACCTGAATACAAATTTTTAAAAAAGTGTTCTTCAAAGAGCAGTTATATCATATAAGTAACGATAATTGATGGCCATCATCTGGATTTTAACTTCAGATTACGAAAAAAAAAAAAAGAAATACAAATTGGGCAACTTTGGAAAAGTACAGTAGATTGAAGAAAAAAAGTGATTCAATTTTCTTATCTTATAAAAATGGAAACCAATGATAGCATTTCACATTTATTTAGATAAGTGCATAATTAGGATGAGAAAGATTTGGGAAAATTGAAATAAAAGATTGAGACTGGGCATGGTAGCTCACGCCTGTAATCCTAGAATTTGAGGAGGTTGATGCGAAAGGATTGCTTGAGGCCAGGAGTTTGAGAACAGCTTGGGTAAAACAGTGGGACTCCCATCTCTACAAAAAAGTTTTAAAAATTAGGTGGGCCTGGCAGAGTGCGCCTATACCCCGAGCTTATTCAGGAGCTGAAGCAAGAGGATACCTTGAACACAAGAGTTAGAGGCTGCAGTGAGCCATGATCCTGCCACTGCATTCCAGCCTTTGTCTCCAATAAATAAATAAATAAATAACTAAATAAATGAATAAAGTTCAGAACTAAGATTTCTGAGGGGGGAAAAAAAAGACTGCTATTACAAGAAAAATATGATACAAGAGCTGGTAAAAGTTTTTAAAAACAAACTGAATACACTGTTGATAATCATTGTCACCGTAACATTTCCATGAGTGATACTATGTACTAGATCATCCTAAGACTTTTTTATGTATTATCTGCTTCTCACAACAACCAAATACGATAAGGTCTATGATCATTTTTACTATAAAGATGAAGAAATTAAGACTGAAAGTCACAAAGCAACCGTGGATGGCATTATAGTGTCTCCCTGATGACTTTTCTACCCTGCCTCATGAAGTAGAAGCCATGAGATTTGGCTGAAATTTATTCCACCATTAAACCAGGCTGGGCTCTGATTCATTTAAAGCTAATTAGTATAACCAGACCCATTTTACAGCTGTAGTTGATTCAAATAACCCTCCTTGCCCAAGCCAATCAGTTAATTCTTTCACCTTGGTTACAGAAAGTGATGGCCCAATTATTGAAAAATTTGAGTTTCATTTCATTGTGATTGGAAGAGACACACTCCATCCACTCTCTATGAAAAGGTAAATATGAAGATCTAATCCCCCTGGAGAGCTTTGGTAGCCTTAAGAAAAGCCACTATGAAGGTAGAACCAAAACATGCAGGGAGACAGAGCTGAGAGAATCCTGGAAAATGGAAGCCAAGTGCACGATGGAACATGCCTGAAGTCTGCCCTATCTCTGTACTCCCTGGTTACACCAGTCGACAAATCCTTTTTATTGTGTAAATCAGTTTAAATTTTGTTGTCTCTTACTTTCAGCAGAAACATTTCAGAATGAATCAGCTACTAACTGGTCCAGCCAAGAGTCTGCCTGAAACTAAAGGTTCTTACAAAAACTATGTAATAAAATGCCTAAAACATAGGAAAATAAAAGGAGATCTAAAATCACAAAACATAAAAGAGATGATAAAAAGAAAAACATCAGTTATAATTATATCTTATGACTCTATAATTGATATATATATTTGTATAATTGTATTAGATGTTATTTGTGTATAATCTATGACTGTCCACATTAATTATGAGTTTCATAGTCAGAATGACATAATGGAGGAGGGCACAGCTCTGAAGCACAATGTGTAGTTTTGGATCCTGGCTGTATCCCTTTCTAGTTGTGACCTTGGGAATGTTACTTAATACATCTAAGCCTTGATTTGCATCTTTAATATGAAAAATGTAATGGTACTAATAGTGATAGGACACAAATTCCTAGACAGACAGAGATACGTCTTTAGTGAAACTCAACCTTCAAGCCAAGGACAGTCTAATGCCTGAAAACAGAGCTACCATTTCTGGATAGAATCCAAGGACCAGAGTGAGAATTTCCATCCCTGTCTTACCCACTATCTCTTTATTTGATTTTTCTGAATGATGCCTTTTAACTAATCGAATGGTGCCTTTTCCAAGCCCATCCATACACCAATCAGAACGTACTCCCCAATTCTAAGCCTATAAAAAAACTCAGACTCAGCCTCACAGATGGCTACCCACTTTCAGGTCTCCCCTAGTTGTTGAGAGCTTTACTGTCACTCAATAAATTCTACTCTGCCTTAACTCTTTTCCAGCATCCGTGTACCTTCTTCCTCTTGGTCACTAGACAAGAGCCTGGAACTCACTGAACTGTGGGAGTGAAAGAGCTGTAACTCTCCTGCTCTCTGATCTATGGACAGGGGGACTAAAAGAGCTATAACACTCCTGCCTTGCAAACTACAGTAGTAAAAAAGAAACACAAAAGTACCATCAAAAGTTTCTGGTGAAAATTGAATTACCAAAAACATTGAAAGTGCTTAAAACAGTACCTGCAACATAGTAAGAGCTCAACAAACGTTATTCATTTATGTTCATAATTTGGATTGATAAATTACCCTACTGAAAAATAAATACTTTCAGATTGAATTTAAAAGCAATAATAAAATCTCTTGATGCTTAAAAGAGATGAACAAGACAGCAAATAAACTTCAATGCTGAAAATAAGAACAATATACAAATTTTTATCAAGGAAATCTCAGGGACCCTGTAAACAGTCGTTCTGTTCATATTTGTTGTTGTTTCTTTAGAGGAGGGCATCTAGGCAATAAGAAAACTGGAATGTGAAATCTATCTACTTTTCTGTTTCCAAAGCTCAGAATTATGTTAATTTTACTGAACCAACTAACAGGAGGGGTGACTTTTTGTCATTTATAGAAAAGCATTATAGATAATATTCAGGGGATTCACTAAAATAACAAGACACTCTGTGCAATTGCCTATTGGTATTTGAGTTCCAGTGTAAAACCTAAAATAATTTGTTTAAAGTTAAAACAGTATAACAACATGACTTTAAAAGTTATTACTTCACATTCCAAGATCAGAGATCCTACCATCTCTGGGGCCTGCCAAAAGTCGATGATACAGTCATTTCAGCAGAATCATTCACTTGATTACATAAAGGGAAGATTGGGAAAGAAAAGATGGTGACTTTTGAGGAGAGTGCAGAGTGCCTAAAGGAAGATCATTGTGCTTCTCTATCTGCTGTGATAAAGGGGAGAGAGGGACACTTCTCTCTAGCAAAAGATCTGCTTCTTCTGGACTTTGGACACAAGCTTAGGAAAGAATTGGCAGAGCTGATAGAGAGTGTCATTAGCAGAAGCATGCATTTCCACCATGTGGTTTGAAAAGTACCTATGAAATTTGCTGGGTTTGATGGACGCCACTGAGGGGAACCTGACTTGAAGCATCTTACTACTGCCCCTCCTGGAACCACTCTGTGCATAGGAATACTCAACTGATGACAATGAGTGATTTATGACACAACTGAAAAGAGAAGGAAGAAGCCGAGCCTATGCTGGGAATTCTATGCCCAGAGTCTGCATAGTGTACAGCTTTATAAAACCCCTAAATGTGTCTGACACAGAGTTTTCATTTGGACTTGCAGCCTTAGGAAGGAGCAACAGCCTGCAGAAATTCTTGTGATATTTTCAACGTACTTTAAGTGAGACACTGAAAATTTGCTACTCTCCCAATAATATTACGAATTATGAAGTCATGACTCATCTTTTCCATTATATAGCTTTATGAAATTCACTTAAAGATGATTATTTAAAAGCGTGTTTAGTAGGTAAGAATATACTAAGAAGATATTATTAAATGGTTTAATTATATCATGAATCCTTTTATAGTTTAGGAATGTTATTTTTAATTAGCAATTCTAGACATGACTGGATGGTGAGAACCAAGATCATAATGCCAGCTGTGTTTGGCTAGCATTAGATGTGATCTTCTGTTGATCTTGGTTTGAGCCTTAATCTTATCCTCCTTTGTTGCTATTGGATGGTAAAAGCACCATAATGTTGATCGTGCCAAAAAGGAATATTTAAACACTAACACTGCTCAAAGGTCTGAGAACTTAAGCTAACAAAATTATGGTTCTTTTTTTCCTCTCTTTCTGGCATTTGGTTAAATAGCTTCTAATTACCCAATTTGGGAGAAGTTCTGAAACCATGTCCCAAAGAGTTAAAGCAACCAGTGACTAACAGAAATTCTTGAGTTTGCAGAATGGTGGATAAGAAAGGAAACAACTTGCTAAAACACTGAAACTCCCTCCACTTATGAGATAAAAGAACTGGCTGAAATCAGTTTGGTCAACTGGAGTTTGTGCGGAAGTAGCTTGCTGACATCATAGCCTGAATTTTCATTGCATGTCTCATACCAACTCCCTCCAGAATCTGCACATGCAAATGAGTTAGCATAAAAAAGGTAACTGTGCATGCCCAAGGACTTTCCAGACCTCTCCTTTCCTTCCACCAATAAAACCTGATAATCTCAGAATCCAACCCCTGAATCTTTTCTAATGAAAATATAGTCTTGAAGCCAGCACAGGGAGACAGCTTGGAGCTTGACTCCTGTCTCCTCGGGAGTGGACTTTCAATATAAAGCTTTTCTGTCCTCAAAAACCTGGTATAGTATTGGCTTCTAGCGTATTCAGCAGCAAGCCCCTTTTGCTTGATAAAGTTCCAGGATCCTTCCTGCCAGAGGTTTTGCATGTCCCTCTTTTTCCATTGCTTCTCTTGGCCCCTAACATCTGTTCATCTCATTAACTCTTACTCTGTTTTTCAATTCAAAAACAATAATAGCTTTAAAGAAACATTCCTAACCTTCTCAAATGCATTCGTTTTTCTAATGTATACTTTAATAGAACAATGTACTTCTTCCTCTCATCTCTCTCACAACATAAATTTACCCTAGTGTGATTTGGTGATAAATATCTGTCACTATACTAGATTGTATATTCAAGTCATGTGGAGAATGTGTCTGTTTTCGTTCATGATGGTGTCTACATTAAATAATCCAATGTGACAAGAAATATTTGTTCAATGAATGAGCTCCCTGATGAATGGATAAAATGATGCTCTGATATGTATGAATGTTGATATTAGACACACTTATCAATTATATGTACTGTAAATAGCATGTAGTAGCATTTCAATGAGTATTTGCTGATTGACAGATTTGACTATCAATCCCTGCTCTGATTTCCTTTTGGGATTTGATTATATTCTTTGTACCCCTTCCAGCTTTATTAAAGTATAATTGACAAATAAGATTGAATGCATTTCTAGTGTACAATTTGATGTTTCAATATGTATATATTGTAAAATTATCAAATCAAGCTAATTAACGTATATATTGTCACACATACTTATTGTTTGAGGGCCTGAGAATCTTTAAGATGTATTCTCTTAGCAACTTTCAAGTATATAATGAATTAATATTAACTATAATCATCATGCTGTATAATAGATCTCTAGAACATATACATCCTGTCTAACAAACTTTGTACTCTTTGACCAACATCTCTCCATTGCCCCTCACCCAGCTCCTGGTAACCACCATTTCATTTTTTGCTTCTATGAGTTCAGCTCTTTCAGGTTCCACGTATAAGTGACATCAGGCAGTAATCGTTATTCTGTGCCTGACTTATTTCACTTAGCATAATGTCCTCCAGATTTATGCATGTTGTCTCAAATGGCAGAATTTTCTTCTTTCTACATGCTGGATAGAAATGGCAGTATTTCTATATGATGTCTCAAATGGCAGAATTTCCTTCTTTCTATATGCTGGATAGAATATAGAAAGAAGGAAATAAAAAGATAGCATGTGTATATATACATATATATATACACACACACACACTAGATTATCCATTAATCCAACAGTGAACACTTAGGCCAATTTCATATCTTGGCTATTGTGAATAATGGAATCATTATTCACAATGAATGTGAATATGCAAATATCTCTTCAAGATCCTGTTTTCAATTCTGTTGAATATATATCCAGAAGTAGAATTGCTGAAACATACAATTATATTTTAAATTTTCTGAGTAACGTCCATACTGTTTTCCCTGATGGTTATATTGATTTACATATCCACCAACATTGTACAAAGTGTTCCCTTTTCTCCACATCCTCATCAACACTTATTTTTTAAGAACAGCCACTCTAACAGGTTTGAGGTGATATCTCAATGTGGTTTTAATTTGCATTCTCTGATGATTAGTGATGTTGAACCTTTCTGTTGGCCATTTTTGTGTCTTTTTTGTTGTTGTAGAGAATTGTCTATTCAGGTCCTTTGCCCTTTTTGCATTGTTATTTATTTTTCTCACTGTTGAGTTGTTTGAGTTCCTTGCATATTTTTGATAGTAGCCCTAGTCAGATGCATGGTTTGCAGATATTTTCTTAAATTACGTAGATTGTCTCTTCACTCAGTTGATTGTTTCCTTTGCTGTGCAGATGCTTTTAATTTTGATGCAATCTTTTTTGTCAATTTTTACCTGTGTTTTTGGGGTTATATCTGAAAAATCATTTTTTCCACAGCAATGTCAAGAAGTTTAAAAAAAATTTTTTTCTCATAGTTTTATATGTTCAGGTCTTACTCTTAAGTCTTTGATAATTTTTAAAGTAGTTTTTGTATATAGTGTCAGATAAAAGTCGAATTTTATTCTTCAGCATGTTGACATCTAGTTTTCCCAACACCATTCATTGAGGAGACTCTCCTTTCCCCATCATGTATTCTTGGCATCTTCCTTGAAATTCAATAGACCGTAAATGAGTGGGTTTGTTTTTGGACTTTCTATCCTGTTTTATTGGTTGATATATCTGTTTTTATGCCAGTACCATGTTGTTTTGAGTACTATAGCTCTGTAGTGTATTTTAAAATAATATAGTACAATGCCCCCTACTTTATTCTTTTTGTTCAAGATTGCTATGGCTATTTGGGTTCTTGTATGGTTCCACATACATTTCAGTATTTTTTCTGTTTATTTTCTTTTTTCTTTCTTTTTTCTTTTTTTTCTTTAAAATGCCACTTTAAATGCCACTTTAAAATGATACTTTAAAAAGTATCATTTCTTTAAAATGATACTTTTCATCATTAAGTATGATGATGAACTTCTCATGTATAGCTTTTATTATGTTTATGTACATTCCTTCTATATCTAATTTGTTGAGAGTCTTTATTATAACAGGATGTTAAATTTTTTCAAATGCTTTTTCTGTACCTATTTAATTTATTCTTCATTGTGTTAATGTATCACACTTAATTGATTTGCATGTACTGAACCATCTTTGTAACCCAGTGATAAATCCCATTGATCATGGTGTATGATCCTTTTAATGTGCTTTTGAATTCAATTTGGTAGTACTTTATTGAGGATTTTTACATTTTTGTTCATCAGGGATATAATCCTGTAATTTTCCTTTTTAGTAGTGTCCTTGTCTGGTTTGGGTGTCAGGGTAATGATGGCCTTGAAAAATGAATTTGGAAGTATTGTCTCTTCTTCAATTTTTTGAAAGAGCTTGAGAATAATTGGAGTTAATTCTTCTTCAAATGTTTGGTAGAATTAACCTATGAAGCCATCAGGTCCTAGGTGTTTCTTTGTTGGGAAGTTTTTGAGTACTGATTCAATCTCCTTACATGTTATCTAATGTCTATTCAGATTTCCCATTTCTTTATAAATTGGTTTTAATAGGTTTTATGTTTCTAGGAATTTATTCATCTCTTCTGGATAAACTGGGTTATCCAATTTGTTGGAATATAATTGTTTATGATTGTCTCTTTTGATCCCTTGTATTTCTGTGTTATTGTTACAGGAAAGGGGTCCCGATCCAGACCCCAAGAGAGGGTTCTTGGATCTCGTGCAAGAAAGAATTCAGGGTGAGTCCATATAGTAAAGTGAAAGCAAGTTTATTAGAAAAGTAAAGGAATAAAATAATGGCTACTTCATAGACAGAGCAGCCCTGAGGGCTGCTGTTTGCCCGTTTTTATGATTATTTCTTTATGATGATATGCTAAACAATGGGTGGATTATTTATGCCTCCCCTTTTTAGACCATATAGGGTAACTTCCTGATGTTGCTGTGGCATTTGTAAACTGTCGTGGCACTGATCGGAGTGTAGTAGTGAGGACGATCACAGGTCACTCTCATTGCCATCTTGGGTTTGGTGGGTTTTAGCCAGCTTCTTTACTGCAACTTGTTTTATTAGCAAAGTCTTTATGACCTGTATTTTGTGCTGATCTCCTGCCTCATCCTGTGACTTAGAATGCCTTAACCATTTGGGAATGCAGCCCAGTAGGTCTTAGCCTCATTTTTACCCAGCTCCTATCCAAGATGGAGTTGCTCTTGTTCACAGGCCTCTGACAGTATCAGTTATAATGTTTTCTTTTTCATTTATAATTTTATTTATTTGAGTCTTTGTTCTCTGTTTCTTAGTTAGTCCAGCAGAAGGTTTGCCAACTTTGTTTATCTTTATAAAAAACAGTTTACAGGTGCTGGCCTGGGGGTTAGGATTGCAGGGGCTGCCCTGGAGCCTGGGCCACAGGGGCGGGCCTGCCACTGAGGTGGGCCTGGAGGCTTGGTTTGCAAGGGCCAAACTGGACCCTGGGTCTGCTGGAGTATGTAGGGAAGGGGGCTAGCTTGGATACTGGGCTCACAGGGGCCAGCCTGGTACTTAATGGGTCTGGAGCTTGTATTCATGGAGAGTGGTCTAGAACCTGAGTTTGTGGGTGGTTAACTGGACTGAGTTCTGTGGGGGCTGGCCTGGTGTTGAGGTGGGCCTGGAGGCTAGGTCTTTAGGAAATGGCCCATCACTGGGATTTTTTTGGACAAAACCTAAATCCTGGATCTCCTGGAGCATGGGGCTGAAGAGGTGGGGCTGAAGCCTGGAAATATAGGGGCTGGCCTAGAGATGAGGCCGTGGGTGCTGGCCTAGAACATGGGGTTGTGGAGGCTAGCCAGGTGCAGGGTTTCATGAGGGCAGGCCCGGTGCTAGGATCCACCACAAAGTCAGGTTCTCACTAACTTCACTCTCCTTCCCCTACAACATAAAGCATCCCTCTCTTTGAATGATGCCACCCAGGCTTGGGGGAGGAGTGACACTGGTAATATGAAACTCTTTTTCCTATCCTCTTCAATGAGTCTTTTCTTATGTCTGTGCTCTACTCAAGTGCTGCTATCTCTCACCATTTAGCCCTTGTGAAGATATTTTCACACATACTTGTTCAAATTGATGTTTCTCTGAGGAGACACTGAAAGTCCAATTCAGCCATCTTGCTCTGATTACATTCTTAATTGGATTTTATTTTCATTTATATTATTTGTCTCATAAATATAAGCATCACCTCGCCACTAAGTCTTATGTTTGAAAAGGCCCTGTGATCCCCTAGTGAATATGACTCCGATGACTAGAGAAACACCAGGGTCCTTTGTGTCACGCAGGAAGCAGTCCCTTATATTGGGAGGCTGGAGGAGGTGGTCTCTGGTTTGCATAGGGCCCAGGGGATTGGTTTGACCAGGTGGGTCATTCAGGTAGCCCAGGAAAAAACTAGCCCTCCCTCCCTCCCTAGCCTTTTAATATGTAAATACAGGTCACCATGATGATGTCATCTGGAGGCTGCCATGACACCCGGCACACATGGTGACAGGGAGAAGAAGGTTGCCGCCATATTGGGTGTACCTGATTTTCTAATCACCTGCATTTGCATAACAATGCTTGCTGGTCTGGTTTTTAAAGCCACTTTCTGTTAGTAAAGAAAAGTTCTGGGAGCTGTTTTTATTAAAAGAAAAAGCCTTACCAAGGACTCATTTTACCTTCTCTATCAGAAAAAGCCTTACCAAGGACTCATTTTACCTTCTCTATCTACCTAAAATAATTTCTTAATAACTGTGTCATGCTAGTACTCCAAAGAGTGCTTGCTGAATTAAATTGGTTTCATTTACCTTTTTTGTTTTGCCTCTGTCGTCTCAAAATTTTTTTTAATCATCATGTAAATTACATTACTATAAAGAAATACAACGTTTTTCTTAAAAAAAAAAAGTTCTTCTGCATTTGACCCTTCTGAAGTTCTTACAGGTTTTATGAAACTTTTAAGATTAATATCATTGTTTTTTCATACTGGTTTTCATTTTCATTCTCTTCATAACCACTATAAAACAAGTAGAGTTCAGTTAAGGAATGAATGTTAAATCAGAACTCTGACAGCTTTCAGAACTATTCAGGTTAAAATAAATGAATAAAGGCAAAATAAATGTTGTACTTCAAAAACCCGTGTTTTGATCTGAACTAAACATTTTGCACTTTTACAGCCAGTTTAGTATAAAAACTAAAGTTTTTCTAGATATGATTCTCTTATGCATAAAAATTTTGGTTTAATATTCATTCATCTTACTAAAATATAATCAAATAAACATCATTCATTTTTACCATAAACTTTAAATAATACAAAGATATTCATCAGATATCTTTCATAGCTATAGTGAAAATGTCTGACAGTTTTGCAAGCAAAATACAATGCTGCATATAAATTATATTACTGCTCATGTTTTATTTGAAATATTCATAATATGCATTTTGTAAATACAATATGCAGTACAAGAAAATGACAATATTGTAATTGGACTTCTATGAAAAATTTTGCCTCTGAAAATTTTACATGAAATCAATCTTTCCTGAATATTACTGGAGGTTAAGAAGACTAATTTGCTCATCTTCTTTCTTATTCTGGGAAGTGTATTATGTAAGACATTACTGTCACTCTTTGACTTCACTTTAATCAATAACCTGGTAAAAAAGTATAGCACAATTATAAACAAATATTCTTTACTTTTTACAGACCTCGTCATGCTATGAGTAAGCCCACACAAATATATGTACTTCAAAGTTTCCTATTAGATTGTTATATATTATCATTGCAACTTAAATAAGGTGGTTTTAATGTAAATATTGTATAAATATTGTGAGAATACGATGTAAGCTTTAAGTTTGAGGGACATATCATTACTCTATAAATATGTGTCATTATTAATGATACCTCACCATAATGAAAATATTATCATAAAGTTGCCTTTATGTGAATAATGGAGTAAAATGAATCCTGGGGCAACGAATAATTTAGAAGAAATATTATTAGAGTGTACTGGGTCATTGAAAGAGAACAAAATTAAATAAAATTTTCAATATTTTTTTCCTTGCCATTAGTAACCTTTTTAGGTCAAGAAGCATGATTTCCAAGTGATAAGTCTATTATAAAAACTATTCACATCTGATTGGCAGGTGTTAATTTTTTTGATTCAGTGAGTCAGATGATAAATAGCAATACAAATGCTTTTGAATTTCTTTGCAGTGTTTCAAAAGAAAAACAAAGCAGATTTTTTGAAATTAAAGCCAGCCTGTATTGTTAGATGGTCTTAGTAAATTTTCAAACTATCAGAATTGGGGATATTCTATCATATCATATATTTTTCCTAATGTTTTACAACTAAAACATCAAAGTGATCAAAATTTTTCCCCTTCTAAATGCTTGAATTATCTTCTTAAAATAAATAAAACTTTAGAGAATGCCTATCAATTTAGGAAGAATACAGTCTGTGGGGCCTGGAAAAAACATAGATAGTATATTTGTCTAGACTTTTGAAGGAGACTATTCATGATTTCACATTACATATGAGAAATATTACAATGCCCATTTATTCTGCCAAACCAGAAATAGTTTGAAGCATGAAGTTATGAAATCATAAGAGAATAATTTGCAACATGACTTGATATCACCTATACACTTTGAGATCAATGAGTTATTGCCTTTATTGAGTGAAGTTTGTTACCCAGCCCAATGAACTTATCTTTGTATATAAAATGGTAAAATATAAAACATTTCGAGTGTATGATGGCAAAAAAGAACACTGTCGAGATTTTTAAAACTAGCTTTTGTTTATAAACATCTGCAGCTAAAGAGGAATGGAAAGGAGTGTTCACAAACTGAAAGCTTGGTGATCGCCACAATCCAGACACTTAATACAAAGACATGATAGGCTTTCTTATATACTTCATTCTAATTTAGAGCCTCTTTCTAGAAATTCCTTGTAGTCAGTGAGGTAGCGGGGTCTCATAATGCTCAGGTAATACTCAGGCAAGAGAGCAGACACTTGCGATACTGAGAAGGGATGGGTGGATCTGACAATCATACGTTAACAAACTTTATAAAAACTATTCGGGAGAAGTGCAGAGAACCAATATTTGAAAGAGTTCAAGTTTTATAATAAAATGTTAATGTTTTATCATTTCTTTGAGACTTGAGGATTTTTTCTCTAATTATTATTACATTAAATGTATGTAAGAGTTGAATTCTTCATTATTTGCCTTTGTTCTCCTCAACTGAGAACCTTAAATAGCCAAAGAATACCATGATCTAGAGTGTTATTTTTTCTCTGATATGGCCTTCTTAGCATGTAGTTGAAACATAAAACTAGCTTACTGAAATTTGTAGTATGATGAAATGGTAAAAACAGGAGAAAAACTAGAGCTCATTAGTTGAAACACCTTTTTTTTTAACAGATAAGAAAATACTGTGTCTGTAACTGAAATGAATAATGCTTACAGTGCTTATGAGAATGAATTGGTTTACCTGTAGTGAATTTGTTAATATTTAGCTATCAAATAGTATATAAATTACTTGTTAATATAAAAGAGTTTTCAAGATAAAACTAGAAATAGACTCACATCTTTCTGTCTCTTATTGTTATTAATATGTTAAATATTGAATTGAACAGTGTTTCATTCAAAGTAGAAATTAGTGTGACTGTCGGAAGCTCCTTTTCTTTGCATATATTGTATGTTGATAGCTAATTAGATCAGATTTATCATATTTTACAGTGCCCCTAAAAAAACACAATATGTAAACATAAATTTATCCTAAGCAAATAACACTAAGATATTTGTTCAAATTTGTAAATCTAATAAGCATAATCAAGTGAAGAAAAATATCAGAAACAATCTGCTCATTTACCCATTTATAAAACTCTTATTTTTAAGAGTGTTTTGAAAAGAAGTAGAATTATTTTATTAGAAAATATTAGGAAAATAACTCTACTTTTAGGTAACAATAAATAAATGAATAATGTACCTATTGGATGGAAAGTGGCCAGCTTAGAAGTTTTATTCTGTGTAAATAAAACCAGTCCTTTGTAAGCTTTAGAACTTCCTTTCCACCTCTCAAAATCTATGTGCCAAATATTCTTCTGAGCATTGGGACCCAAAAAGGAAACAAAAAGTTTAGTGACTCTAAACTAAAACAGTCTATAATGTAATGGACCAAAAAACATTAATCAATAATTTTACGATAAATTAATATAATCAGTTATGATTGTAGGAAAACATATGCATATATATGCAAATCACAATAAGAAATAATATCTGCAGTTATGAAACTGTGTAATAGGCAGGGTTTAGGCTTAATTTATAGGGGACAGGGACAACTGGATCAATGAGTTTTATCGCAAAGAAGAGGGAAGTTATAGTAAGGTCAGAGCTTCTAAAGAGAGAATTTCAGGTGCAAAGTCTTGAAGTTATAAGAGAGTTTTGTACATTGAAGAGTAGATTAAAATATTCTGTAGAATATATTGAATGGCATAACAAGAAGCGTTAAGATAATTGGAAATAACATACATACTGACATTTCTAAACAAACAAGGTATCACTCATCAGACACATTTGTGTTGATTTTATTATCTTAATTTTGCCACATCCTTCCCTGGCTCTCAGTTTAGTTATCTTCTATTGCTACATGTCAAAGTCAGATTCTAGAAAGCCCAGTGGATCTAGATGGCAGAGGACCCTGCTTCCTTTAATAAGCATGCGCACTTTGATTAATCAAATCCCTTCCTTGCAATAAGATCCTAAGAAGAGTTTTCTTTCCTGGGAATAGATCAGAAATCCCAAGAAATCTGCACAAATTAATATGTACATGTTCTATCTTTTTCCACATTTATTCATAAATCAATATTTTGGTAGATATGTAATTCAGAAAAAAAAAATTGAGGACTAGATTATTGATATTGTACCTATTGGATCATAAATATATACTGTTTCCCTTTCTTCACTCTGCAAACCTTGAAAATCCATGGGGAAAAAGTATCTTTATTAATCTCTATATTCTCCAGGACCCAGCATGGTAGTTGTTAAAAGTAACTATGAAATGGATGCCTTGTTATATGTCTGTGCCAGGGATATGTTCATAGACATTATTATGTGGTGGCTAGCAACTGGGCAATGGTGACACAACTTTTTTTTGTTGTCGTTTTGTTTTGAGACGGAGTCTCATTCTTGTCACCCAGGCTGGAGTGCAATGGTGCTATCTAGGCTCACTGCAACCTCCGCCTCCCGAGTTCAAGCGATTCTCCTGCCTCAGCCTCCTGAGTAGCTGGGATTACAGGCACCCGCCACCATGCCTGGCTAATTTTTGTATTTTTAGTAGAGATGGGGTTTCACCATGTTGGCCAGGCTGGTCTTGAACTCCTGACCTCAAGTGATCCGCCCGCCTCGGCCTCCCAAAGTGCTGGGATTACAGGCATGAGCCACTGTGCCTGGCAGGTGAGGCAACTATTATACAAAGAGGAATGAGTAGGGAAATTAACAAACTCATTTCAGGAAGAAATGCGTTTGAAAACAGCTTTTTAAGAGGACAATCCAGTCTCCATTTTATGCCTCTTGGGGCAGTACTCTCACACCTTAAAGGGAAACTGTTCCATATTTGTATAGCCAAGTGTTAAACTGATCTAAACTCTGTGCTTTTATGTCTTCTGCCCATGGATGCAGACTCTGCTGCATAATGCAGCCCATAATTGCCCATAATGCAGTTCTCCAAGGATTTATAGGCTGCTCCCAAGTTTCGTCACTACGTTGCCCTGGACTCATTTGTATAATGTTTTCTTATAAGAAGCAGATTTTATATCCATCCTCATTCTTTCACCCTGCTATATACATTCTGTGAGTATTAAATAGTTTCATAAAGTGGTATCTATAGTTAAATTCATCAGAAGTAAAAATCTGTTAAGAATGGTGAATTATATTAGGAAAAAGAGCACATATGGAAAAAAACAAAACAAAGAAAGACAACACGAAGAAACAGCCAGGTCAATTTACTACACAAACGTTTTTTGTCAAGCAATTATATATCAGGCTGGGATTTAAAAAAAGAATAAGACACATTATTTTCTCTCAAGAACTTAGTGTCTAAATGAGAAAGATGGAAATGTAAGCAAATAATTTCAATTCAGTGTGATATTTGCCATAAAAGAATAATGTATTCTGAAATTGTTACTTTATTTTTAATTCAGGAATGTACTCAAACCCAGTTTCTTTCAGCGTTCTAAAATAATGTGAAAAAAGATTGTTCTCTGGATTCTTTCTCTTTTTCCTAGTAATTGCCATACCAAAACTTCACTGCCTATCTAAAAACTGACCACGGGTCTATCTATCACTTCCTAACATAAGTCTCTACAGCAACAAAGAAATTAGAAATAGAAATGGCTAGTTCTATAGAAGGTAATGGCACTTCAAAGGCCACGGAGCACACTCCAAACAATGTCTCTGGGTTATCTCCTTTCACCTCCTCCTGCTATTTCAGAAGAGCTAAGATTTCAGTCTCTTCCACATACAGCTGCCTTCTTCCTCTAGGTCAGTTCCTCCAAATTCATTATAAATGAGCGTGCTGACTACATCTTTTAATATGATCCTTAAGAAAGCCAGATATTTGCTCCCATCCTCTTTAGTGAATGGATTCTTTTTGATTTGATTTGCTGGGATTTGGGGCAGGGATATGCGATGAATTTAATTTTATTAAATTCAAAAGAAGAACATACTAAGGGAATCATAGGACTTTGTTTTCAATAGGTTCAATGGATGTGAGAGTAGGTAAGTGAAAAGATAATCCATAAAAACAAACTGCGTTGCTTGGGGTTTTATAACTGTAATTGTATTGCCCTTTGCCTTTCTCTTCCATCCCTTTCACACAAGTCCTCTATTCCAGAGTTATTTAAAAAACAATTGTTTAATGATGAACTTTGAATCAAGAAATAAGGCTTTCTGGTGATAAGTTCATGTTTAAGTGAAGGAGGCAATTTATTCACTCAGGTACATTTCAAAACTGAACATTTCGCAGGAGACTGAACTATTTCTCAGGAGACTTTTTACCAATTAGAAAGTGAAATATGTCTTTCTCTTTAAACAATACACTCACCCTGTTTGGGACAAATTATGTAAAGGATTAATACATCTACTAATAACCATAGGAGAATAGTATACATTACAATAAATCAGATTCCTACTTTATAAATAATTAGGGGATGATCAGAAAGGATAAAGATTGGAAAAAAATGTTATTTATAAACTAGACCTTTAACCTCATCATTTAAAAATTAATCCAATAGAGATGTTGTTACCTATTCTTTAGAAGTTTTCTCTCCGTGCCTCCAAACAGATATGTTGATATTTTTGGCATAGATATGCAGTCAGGCAAACCAATTACCTTCTTCCCTGTCTGCTAAGGATAAAACATAAGTTATGAGGTTTAGCCTATAGGTGACTTACACAGCAGTTCAAGGGAAAAAAATAACTTTTAATAAAGTTTTGAGTCCATGCTTTTTTTTCCCAAGGCACAATATAGCTGTTATTTATAGTTTCACTGAAAAAGCTAGTGGTGAATTTTCAGCACTTTCAGCTTTCTGCTTGGGAAGCCAACATTACATTCTAAAACCAGCTAAGAATTTGTCTCTGACAGCAAGATTTTAAAGGAGAGAAAGGAATCTTTTTGAGAAATCCATAATTAAACAATAACAGTGCTGGTATGAAATCAATTGCAGTTTTGTAAAATGTACATTTTTCCTTTAACTATTAAGAGAGCTTATTTCTTTATAGTAGTGCCATATCTAGGCAACTGAAATAAGGTAAAATCTTCAAGAAAGCACTTCATTAATGGATATATTAATTTCCTTCAAAGACTGGATGAAGCAGTTCTTAACCTAGCAGAGCCTGGGATATTCAGAAGCATGTCCCATCATTTGATTTTATTTAGAGAGCTACTTAACCCAATCTCTGTACCTGTATTTCAAACATTATCCATTTACCACCTGGGTTATTTTACTTTCCTTTTCCTCTCACTTATAGTGCAAAATTGGTGGTATTGTCAAATTGAGAAGATACTGACTACCTGATAGAATCTTCCAAACTATAATTGTCCTTTTGTCAGTGTGCTTTAGACTGTACATATATCCTTTCAAACTTACCTACAGGAGGTATTTCTCAGCTGTTCTTCCATGCTAAATTCCCAACAGTACCTCAGAGCTCTAAACCACTCTTTCTTCAAAAATATAGAGGTCTCTCCCCTCCTCTTAATCTTGAGGCTGTCTCAAATATCTCAGAAGATGTCTCTTATAAAACCCAATGGCTTTTTATGACTCAACCTCAGATATCCCTCTGCCTTTCTTTCACAGTAAAAGAATCTTTTTAGCTAAACCCATGGCAATCTAGAATAAAGACATGCCCTGATCTCCTTTTAGTTAGGAGTGAACAGAGCACTCATTCTGGCCAATGGGATTTAATCAGAAATGTCCTGACATATTTTTAAAATATTTCCTTTAAAGGAGAGGTCACAGCCTGCTTTCTCCTTTCTTCCTTGATATTGACTGTGATGTGCACATGATAGCTGGAGTTCTGGCATCCACACTACATCATGATTTGGAAGCAATAGATTGTGAGGCAGCTTAGTAGAAGGGGCCTCAATCTTTCACAACTTCATGTAACCACCCTACCCCAGAAGCATTCATTATTGACGTAAGATTCTTTTGGTTACTGCTTTGCCAGACAGAAATTTCTGTGGCCAGCAGCGCACCTGCCTGGGCTTCACTTGGCTCCAGGCTCACCGCTTGACTTGCTCTGCCCACTTGGCCCAGCAGGCTGCACTCAGCTCTCACTACTGGCCCGGGTCTTATACCTGCTGAGGTTGAGCCAGGTGTGCTGGCTTCTGTGGCAGGATGGGCAAATCCAGGAGCTGGCACAGGTGCCGGCTCCATGCAAGGCTGTGGCTGGACAAGACATACCACAGGTGGCTTCCACCCTGGGCTCTGGTGTCTGGAAGAGGGGAATATGGAGGGGCCCAAAAACCTAGGGGACACAAGCAACTGTGGAGCTTCAAGTGAGTGTTAAAGCATGTCACAGTTCTGGCTCAGGGAGTCCCCAGATCAGGGCCCCAGAAGTCTTGCAGCTTGTTCATATTACAGTTCGTTAGTTCCTGCCATCCACATGCTTTGGCAAATGGTGGCATGTCTCAGCTCATTTGGTCCTGCCACCCCACTCCAGCCCTCAGCTCTTGGGCTGGCCTGGCCCTGCTGCCACCACTTCCTGTCATGTGGGACCATGGCCCAGTGCTGGGGGAAGGTAGGATGGCTACAGTGTTACAGCTCCTTTCATACCTGCTGTTTGGTGAGTCCTGGATTTTTGTCCTGCATTCAAGAAGAATGAGGTTACATGGACAAGTGGAGAGTGAACAATGCGCAGAAGAGTTTTATTGAGCAACAGAACAGCTCTTAGTGGAGAGGGGACCTAAAGTGGGTAGCCCCTACCTGAAGGCAGGTAGTCCTAAAGTGTGGCTGAGTCCAGGGTTTTTATGGGCTCAGAATGGGGGAGTGCATGCTGATTGGTCCATGGCGGGCCTGGAAAAAGCACCATTTGATTGGCTAAAAGGCATTGAGGAAGTTCTCGCTCCAGGTCATGGACTTCACCCAGAACTGGCAGCCTGGTTTTCAGGCTTTAGGCTGTTTTTGGCTTGAAGATGGGGTTTCACTGGGGACCCACCTCTTTCTGCCTAGGAATCTGTCTGCCTCCTGCCTCTATCATTATCTCCAAACTTCTTTTACGTGAGATTGAAAATAAACCATTTTGCTCATCAGCTGAATCTTCTTAAAAGAGAACATTATGACATTGATTCTATACTAAACCAGTCTTTTTAGTCAGGCATTCTCACATCTTTATTTCTTCCTATGCTATTTATTTTCTCCAGAAGACAATTAAATTCAACACAATGATGTAGTAAATTTGACACACTGCCAGGCAAATATTTGATAATTTCCCACTCCATGGTGTATATGTAGTGCATTTTCTTTATCCAATCCACCATTAATCAGCTAGGTTGATTCCTTGTCTTTGCTATTGTGAATAGTCTGTGATGAATGTATGAGTTTCATCTACCTTTTTGGTAGATAAATTTGTTTTCTTCTGTATATATATACCCAGTAATGGGATTGTTGGGTCAAATGGTACTTCTATTTTAAGTTCTTTGAGAAATCTCCAGACTGCTTTGCACAGTGGCTGAACTGATTTACATTCCCACCAACTATGTATGTGTTCTCTTTTCTCTGCAGCCTCACTAGCATCTGTTGTTTTTTGACTTAATAATAATAGTCATTCTGACTGGTGTGGGATAGTATATCATTGTGGTTGTGATTTGCATTTCTCTGATAATTAGTGATTTGGAGCATTTTTTGTATGTTTGTTGGCTGCTTGTATGTCTTCTTTTGAGTAGTGTCTGTTCATGTCTTTTGCCCACTTTTTAATGGGGTTGTTTTTTGCTTGTAGATTTGTTTACGTTTCTTGTAGATTATTGAGTATAAGACCTTTGTTGGATGTATAATTTGTGAATATTTTCTTTCATTCTGTAAGTTGTCTGCTTACTCTGTTGATAGTTTATTATGCTGTGCAAAAGTTTAGTTTAATTAGATCCCGCTTGTCAATTTTTGTTTTTGTTGCAATTGCTTTTGAGGACCTAGTCATAAATTCTTTCCAAAGGCTGACGTCCAGAATAGTGTTTCCTAGATTTTCTGCTAGGATTCTTATAGCTTGAAGTCTTATATTTAAATCTTTAATCCATCTTGAGTAAATTTTGTGTGGGATAAAAGTGGTTTCACTCTTCTGCATATGGCTAGCCAGCTGTCTCAGCTCATGGATTAAATAGGGAGTCCTTTTGCCATTGCTTATTTTTGTCAACTTTGTTGAAAGTCAGATGGCTGTGGGTCTGTGGCTTTATTTCTGGGGTGTCTATTCTGTTCCACTGGTGTATGTATCTGTTTTCTCTTTTTCTACCAGTATCACACTGTTTTGGTTACTGTAGAATTATAGTAGTTTGAATTCAGGTAATGTGATGCTTCCAGTTGTGTGTTTTTGTTTGTTTGTTTTTTCTTAGGATTGCTTTGGCTATTTGGACTCCTTTTAGGTTCCATATTAATTTTAGTATAGTTTTTTTCTAATTCTGTGAAAAATGAGATTGGTAGTCTCATAGGAATAGCATTGATTCTGTACATTGCTTTGGGCAGTATGGCCATTTAAATAATATTGATTCTTCCAATCCATGCACATGGAATGTTTTTCCATTTTTTTGTGTGTGTCATATATGATTTCTTTCAGTAGTGTTTCGCAGTTCTTATAAACATCTTTCACCCCTTGTTAGATGTTTTCTTAGGTATTTTATTTTGTGTGTGTGGCTATTTTAAGTGGGAATGTGTTCCTGATTTGGCTGTCAGCTAAGACATTCTTAGTGTATAGAAATGCTACTGATTTTTGTACATTGATTTTATACCCTGAAACTTTACTAAACTCGGTTATCAGTTCCAGGAACATTTTGGTGGAGTCTTTAAGGTTCTCTAGGTATAGAATAATATTGTCAGTGAGGAGAGTTAGTTTCACTTCTTTTCCTATTTGGATGTCTTTTATTTCTCTCTCTTGTCTGATTGCTCTGGCTAGGACATCCTTGATATTAATTTTTAATTAGATTTATAGTCAACATAAACCTTGACAACCTTTGAGTAGGGAGGTGATATGATTGGGGCTTTGTTTAAAAAAATTTTAACTGTCAGTGATGAATGAGAAAGCTCAGAGAAGACTGAAGCGAGAGATAAGGAAACCTCAGAGGAATCTACATGTTTTTCATGTAGATAGTCTCTTTTTATTTTCTGCAGTTAGATTGTAATATCCTTGAGAGGCATCATATCGTGATGTATCTCAATGTCCATAATATACTTCAAGATAAGTATTTTGCAGTGTATTGTGGGCATATATTTTACAATATAATAGCATTTCAATACATTCTTATTATTGAATTGAAAGAGTTTAAATGCTCAAGTATAAAGCTATTTGGGAAAAAAATATGCTGAGTTGCCAAATCTGAAATGGATTAACTTCTATTTTACAGCAGGACGTAAGCCATTAAAAGGTTATTTTCCTATTCTTTCTAAAAACTAGATGCTGGTATTTATAACCAAGAAATATTTCTTGTACATGTGCTTATTTGAGCATACAGTTTATGTATATGGGAAATGCAATATAACAAATAAAAATTTACATACTTAAGTATTTATTATACCATGGCTTAAAAGTGATACAAAAGACATATTCACCAAGCTGCAAATGAAAATACAGTGCAATTGCGTAGTTCAGTTAAGTAAATGAAGAAATTGGAGAAATATTCTACAATGTCAAAAAATTATAAACCAAGAGAAAATGTCTAAGATTTAAAAAGTATAAACAGTTAGCTGAGTTCTACTTTATTTTTATGTATCAATCTCATCATCATTCAGCCAAGAGCATGTATTTAGCATCTTCATTTGCCAACCATTTTGAGTTATACAAATCCTTTCTCTCAAAACTCTCACTTGATACAACTTTAACAGTTCTCCTTGATCAAAAATGTGTCCTTTTGTACTCTGACCCAAACGTTGCCAAGTTTTTGCTGATAAACCATTACATTAGATGTAAAATTAAGATAGAATCATATTTTACGATTGACTAGAATGCCCCTCTGTGATGATTAATTTTATGTATTGATTTGACTGGGCCATGGAGTGCCCAGACATTTGGTCGAACATTATTCTGAAAGTGTCTGTGAAGATGCTTTTGATGAGATTAACATTTGAATTGGTAAACTGAGTAAAGTAGATTGCATTCCGTAATGTGGGTAGCCTTCATTAAATCAGCTGAAGTCCTGAATCAAACAAAAAGATGACCTTCCCTCAAGGGAGGGGAACTCCTTCTGTCTCACTGCTTAAGCTAAGACATTGTTCTTGCCTCTTCCTGCCTTCTGACTGGAACGAAAACATTGGCTGCTCTTGGATGTCAAATAAGAAACACCATCCAGCTACTCCATTGGCTCTCCTGGGTCTCCAGCTTGCCAACTTCAGAACCTGGGACTCCAGCCTTCATAACCACATGAACCAATTCCTTATAATATACACATACATACGTGTATACATATATCCTCTTCGTTCTGTTTCTCTGTGGAACTCTAACACATCCTCCTAAAACTTGGTCAGAAAGAAAAGGAATTGGTATTACCTAGAAAAGGAATTGGTATTTAAGTAGAAGTTACATGGTTAAAGCTCTCAAATACAATTTTAAGATGTTTAAAGGAGAATGGTCATCAAGTTGACCTTTCATATGTGAACTGGGCCAGATCTAACCTCAATAATATTATCTAAAAACAAAACAAGCAAAATATTATTTAACCACATTTTCGAAGTGAAAATACCTAATCAATGGGTAAAAGATATTACTATCTTTTACATTTAGAAACATATTCTCACATCAATTGCAATTCAATATATAAGTTTAATTCATTCCATATTAATAAATACTTATTGTGTATCTATATGTGCCTATTATTGCACTAAATTTAAAAATAGACCAGTCCTCTTCTTTTATGAAATTTATATGCATTTTTTGCATTATTTATAGAATCCACAGGTTACCAGTTGACTATTGAATCCTAAATATTTGCATAAATTATATACTATATAAAATGATATTATTTATCAGTTTCATCTCCTTAACATGTATACTAATATTATTTACCTTACTGAACATCTTTTGTGCCAATACTATAAAATTAAGATAACTGTTCTCCTTTTCTAATTAGAAAAGTTGCAAATGTCACACAAACAGACACAAACAAAACACACCATAAAGAATGTTGGCATTCATTTGGAGTTGTATTTTCCTTGTTTGTAGATCACCTTAAGCCATTAATTCGTGTCTATTAGAGATTTCAAAGTAAAGAGGGAGAAAAAAATTCAGCACTGTTTCAAGAAGTGGCCTTAATATGTGTTAGTAAATTGATGATAGCTTACTATGATTCTGTAGGCAGATATTAAACATCTCATGGTACTTGGGTGACTAATACCAATGTCATGCCGTGCACTTAATAAAGTAGCTCCTGATAGCATTATTAATGATTTAAGCATTCTTAGAGTGCTTCCTCTCTTCGAACACATTTTTTATAATGTCTAATGCTGTTTCTGTCCTGTGACTAAGCAGATAATCATGGCCATTTTTATTCAGTCAGTCACTTCTTGAATTGTTCGGTGTTGCCATGGGTATAAAAAACATCATGTAAAACACAATTCTATTCAATAAACATTTGCTCCTTTTTTCCCCTGAGAAAAACTAATTTGTAGAAAAAAAGACAGTTGAACTGAAGAGGCCTTCAGTGGAATGATGGTTCCCAAACTACTGTTTAACTGCTGCACAGACATTTCATATTCTGGTGTAAAACAGATGTAGTTAAAATAGTGAATTTACTGTTATTTCTGGTGAAATTATCCCTAAAAATGACATAGTCTTAAGTATTACAAAGAACTTTAGCTGCCAGATTTATGAATTGAAGTCATTATTCTTAAGTGTTCATAAAAACTTTACAAATTTGAAATTAACACCTTTGTTGATTTTGGTGATCTTTGTGTTTGAAAGCATATGCCTGAAAGAAAATGAAGGGGGTCTTCTTCAAACAATATTCTGCACACTGAATAAGCAACCAAATATCCTTAGATTGGCACTTAAAGCCACAAGCTCAGCTTGGAAATGATGTCTAGGCAAGACCTGGCTTTTTTCAGTACCTGTTGTGTAAAACATCATACCCAAGAGGTTAGGTTATTACTATCTTTTACATTTAGAAACATATTCTCACATCAATTGCAATCCAATATATAAGTTTAATTCATTCCATATTAATAAATACTTATTGTGTGTCTACTATGTGCCAATTATTGCACTAGACTAAATTTAAAAATAGACCAGTCCTCTTCTTTTATGAAATTTATATGCAATCACGAGATTTATAATTATAGTTTGTGCTAATTCCTATGATAGAAAGTATACAGCATCAACTGGAGCTCTTGTATATTGCTGGTAAGAATATAAAATAGTACAACAACTTTGGAAAACTGTTTGGCAGTCTCTTATAAAACTAAAAATACACATAATATATGACCCATCAATCCTACTTTATCCAAGATAAATGAAAACCTATGTCTATGGAAAGCTATATGCATGAAATTCCTAGCAACACTTTATTAATAATATACAAAATATATACCTCAGTGGGTAAATGAACAAACAAGTTGTGGCATATCAGTAAAATGGGATAGTTTTCAGCATTAGTAAAGAACAGATTGCTAATACATGGGTGAATTGCAAAAAATGTGAAAGAAGCCAGACCCAAAATAAGACATGTTTGTATGAAATTCTAGAAGAGAAAATTATAATCTGCAGTGCCAAAAAAACAGACTGGAGGCAGGGGCAGAAGCAGTGGCATTCACTGAAAACAGGCACAAGAAATCTTTCTGGGTGATGGGAATGCTCTACCTGCTGATTCAGTGATATTATTTATACAGATGTATAAATCTGTCAAAACTCACAGAACTGTGCATTTAAAATGGATACATTTTATTGAATATATGTTATATCTCAATAATCTAGTTTAAAATGTTCATGGTAATATAGCAGTGACTAATAAGGGATATATCTAAGTTTGGAAAGTCAGAGATGTCTTTCTGATGAAGAATTTGTTAATGGAAAATAAATCTGGTGAATTAAGTCATCAAAAAACATAGAGGTAAGAGGAGGCCTCTGAGAGACAGCCTGCTATAGCCTGCTGTAGGTGAAGGACTGGTGTATGCCTGGGCTTTAAGGCAGTGGGTAGTATACAATGTTTCAAAAACTAAAAGAAAATTGTAGTTGGAATTCAAAGGCTAATGGGAAGGTGAAGATGAAATGAAATGAGCTTGGAGAAGCAAACAAGTGCTACATCAGCCATGTATGCCATCTTAAGGATTTTGCTGCATCTGCAAGACAGCTTGATTAGAAAGGCTAGGAAAAAGGCAGAACCACCTCTCTCTATTTGCTGACTTTCTTGTGATGAATTCAGTAGCTACTAAGTATCTTCCATATATTATTGCAAAGAGTTGCTTATTCTTAATCAACTTTAGAACTTCAGTGGCTTGTAGATTCCTGTCCTGTAATCAGTGTGAATGCCCAGAAGGGTGTCCAGCACATAGCAGGCACTCAATAACTACACGTTTCATAAAAAGAAATCTTAAAATCTGTGGGAGAAAAAAAGAATTTATACAACATACTTCTATGTGGGTGATTACTTGTACAAAATATTAGAATGAGAAGCATAGAACAAAACCAAAAACTGCTCACTAATAAAAAGATTGAGAAAGAGCTAATTTCTTTAATTTACTATGTGTTCATAAAAAGCAATAAAAAAGTTGCCTGCCACAGAAACAGAAAAATTGAATTAAAAAAATTAAAAATATTCAGCAAACATTAGAAAAATTTCCATCGCAGTTATAATTTAAGAAATGCAAATAAATAGAAGATTTAAAAAATTTATCAGATAGTGAAACATGCAAATGTTTGGTAATATTCATAGTTTGTGAAGGATTGGGGAAATATACAGTTTCAAATACAATTGCTGCCAAATATTTGGAAGAAAATTTGGCAATATGTCTCAAAATTAAAGATACATATATCAACAGAACTAGATCTCATTGCTAGAAAGTTACTCTACTAGAATGCACATAAATTATATCAATATATTTACCACCAACATATAATGTTTGTTGAATTATACCTATGAACAATGACTATTCTTGAGGCTGATGAGAACGAGGTAAGAAAGGAAGGCAAGGTCCTTGAACATAATAAGTGTCACTAACTGAGGAGTTAACATCCTAGTTAGAAGCTGGTGAGACATGTATAAGAGTGGTCATTGAATCAGTAGGATACTTGTTAGTTAAGTGTTGACATATCTACCCAAAAGAACATTAGGTAAACATTGAAAAGAACCTTGTGGTCATATTAATTATTAATTAATTAAAAATGGAAATAATATGCACTTAAATGAAAAAAAGCAAGATGTGGAATAGTGCATGTAGTAATAGTATGATTCCTTTTATGTATAAAAAATATTTCTCCTAAAGATTCACACAGAAATTTGCATCTTTTTTGGAAAGAGAATTAACTTTTTTTTTTGGAAAGAGATAGGATGAGGAAGACAGTTTTCTATTGATTTTATATGTCTATAATGTCTGAATTTTTAAACCATGCCTAAACAATGTCAACAGAGATTAATAGGACCATTTAAAAATTTATTCCTTATACTTATATAATTAATATTAAATGCTAAGATTTTTTTCAAAAAAAAAAATCCAGAGGGGAAAAAAATAATAAATTTTGACTTCCTGAGACCATAGCTGGTGGAAAAACCCTTTCTTTGTACAGTCTGAGGGAACATACTCTCTCAAATTTATTAAAAAAGGAGAATACTTCACGTTTTCAAGTTTCTCAGAAAGCTGGCCCTAAAAAGCATGGTTTGCTTGTTGAATTCTAAGTTGGAATCTGAAATAAATCTTTCTGATTTCATTCTTGGAGTCAGCAGAAGCAGGAGTTGTTGAAGTGCTGACACCTTGCAAACTCTAGTCCTGTGCTCTAGTCCTAAACTGTAATGAGTGGGTCTCCTTGTGTCCCCCAAGCCATGGACTTTTTATTTATTTATACTTTGTAAAGTCTTATGAGGTTGATGGTCTGTATCACTTGCACTGTACAAGACTCAGGGTAAAATATTTTATGTGTTTGCTAAAGACTTTAGGAAATAGAAGATGTGTAAGCTTGATTTTACAAGTTAATCAAGAACAAAAAATATCTGTCAGCCAGGATTCTCCATCAAGATGCTGGATGTTGCTGAAATTTAATTTTTTTTCTAATGAGATGTTTTTGATAGCCACTGTCTCTTCTCTATGGTGCATGGAAGATGGATGTTATCTGCATTATTTATTACTGAAACGGTGGTATATCTTGGTTAGACTCTAAACTCAAAGCGGTTCTTATGACTAACCTTATGTCTCCCATAAAAATAATGAATTATGTAATGTTCGAATTTCTCCACTATAACATCACTGTTTCTGGCAAGCTAGTTGGCTATTTTTATTAAATGTTGCTCATCTGCCATATGGACTCCCATTTTGAAGTTAATTATGAAACAGAGATGAAGACATATTAAATTTCTAAAGTAACTTTCCAATTAAAAATATTTTAGGAGACCACACCATATAAAATGGTTTCTACACAGTTCTATACCTCAAGAGCAAGTGTTCCTTTCCCTAATTACATGTGAAATGACACAAACTGCTAAAATGTTTTATTCAGGTGGAGTCACCAACCATTGGCAACGTACCATTACTTCAAATGGAAACAAAAACCTTGCAGAGTTCGTTTGTATACAGAGTCTATAATACTTTTAATTGTCTATAGTCTTTAAAGTATCACTTAAACTGTTGTCAAATGTTTTTAAGTTTGAAAATTTTGTCAAATTGTTTGTTAAGATAGTATCAGTATGAACTTATGGTCATTATAATGAATGCTAATAACTCATCATTTATCATCTTTGAAATCCCCCAAATTATACCTTGTTTACCTTAAAACCTTCTCCTTTAATTGCATACATCCTCTGAGCTAACTGTTATTATTCTACGTAACCTTTCTTTTCAGTTTATATCTAGACTGCGTTTCCTAAATTAGAACTCTCTCCTTATTTATGGATTTTTTTTCTGACAAAGCAGTGTTGATCTTTCTGGCCATGTAACTAACTTTCATAAAAACCATTCTCTCAAAACTACCTGAGTTTTCTATGTATACATAATTACTTAGTTATATGTTAGGGTGATGAAAAAGAATGTATATTTTTGCTAAAATAAGGGGAAATATTGGATCTTTTTCTTTATCAGTTTACAGAAGTGTTAAACAGGAAACAAACTCTCTTATTTGTTCTCTAATTACTACCAATAAAAAAGAATAAATTAAGCCAAAAAAAAGGAGAATTTGAAGTCAAGTGGGAATTTCTCAGATCAGTTGTGAGTTCTCAAAGTGAGAGTTAACTAGGATCTCTACTATCAAGATCATGGGTGCTAATAACATTTCTTCTTAGGAATCGACATTATTTATTTATTTAAATCAGAAAAAATTTAGTTAGTGCTATGGCATGCAAAACTGCTAGACACCTTTGGGGCTCAAAGATAAAAGTGATTATTTCTTACTTTCTATAAGCTCTCAAAGAAACTGACATAATTATTTTAAGTAAATAAATGTATATTGAATAACTGCTATTATAATTATGGCCAAATATTCTTATTATATCCTCATAAAAAAGCCCAAATAACTTCTCCAAGTCACATAATAATGACTGATGGAGTAAATAGATTTGATCTGAAAATCCATTCCTTGTGTCCTTTTTAAAATATTTTGTTTCTAAAACTAGGAACAAAATTATCAATGTTTGTGGTTTTATTCTACCATCCAGTTTAGAAAATATCTTAAGAACCAGTGTGGGGTCTGTTCTGAATAGGAACTCAGTGAAGCAAGAGTATCAGGGCCTTTTATCCCTACTTTACAGGCAAAGAAGTTCAAAAGTGGAGAGTTTAAGGGACATGCAAGAAATAGCACATTAAGTTAACATAAGTCTATCTGCTATAACACATCCCCTCAAATATTAGCTGTTTAACTCCCCAAAAATATGTTGCTTTGTTTACATTAGTGCAAACCTCAGATGTGTAGATAGTGGAGGCTTACTTATGTATAGTCATTCAAGGACCTAGGCTGACTTACTCTCTGACTTCTTCACCATGTGACTTCTAGAGTCACCCTGGGCATCAATCTCCAAAAATGGAAAGAGAAGAAGTATTATATTACATGGAAGTTTTTTAATGCACTAAGATTGGGAATAGTGTTTAACATGTTCAGTGCACATCCTGTGGGCCAGAATAGTCATATGGCCTGAGTCATAATTGCATTAGAAAGGAGGTCGGCTCTATAGTCGTTTTGATTATTTATTACTGCATAACTAAAACCCCCACATCTTAATCTTTCAAAGAAGAATTAATTGTTCTCTCTTATGGTTCTGAAGTTGACTGGACTCAGCTGGATGCTTTTGGTCTCTTGTGGTTGCAGTTAGAGATTGGCTGGGTCAGTAATCATAGGAAGGCTAACTGAAGGCTTTCAAATCAACTAGGCTCGCTCACATAACAAGACTGATGCTGTTTGCTAACTGGTAGCTCAGCCGGGGCTATGGGCCTTCTGGAGTAGCCTTTTTAAGTGATGTGGGATTCTTACAAGATGACAACTGAGTTCCTAGTGGAAGCATCCTAAGAGCAAGCATTCCAAGGAACAGGAAGAGGCTGCCTGTTAAATTTAGAATTATGCTGGGACTGACACAGTGCCACCTCTACCATAATGTATTGGTCATAGAGCTCACTCTGTTTCAAAGGAGTAGACAAATAGACATTGACTGTTAGATAGGAGAATGGCAATATCACATTGAATGAGAGCATGAGAGATACAGGAGAAAATGTTGCAACCATCTTTAGAAAATACAAGTTGCCACTATAATGTAACTATATGCCTAGTAAGGCAGTGACACAGATTTGATGAATAGCTAGCCCATATCTGCCATATTCAGTTGATAAGACAATACACCAAGGACATAGACTCAACAGGCCTGATTACCCAGTATAAATACTGAATAATTAAGTTGGAATTAACTTTTATGATTATTTTGCTAATTATTCATCCTACTAAGAGCCAAAGAGTAATAACATTGGGCTAATCATTATTTGTACTGGATTATCTGCTACTTTTTTACTAAGCATTAGAACTAGTCAGCTACATGGTAGGTAAGTTAATCAGACCCCTCCCATTATAGAGAGAATTTCTTTTTCTTACTGGGAAACACTTATTCTAGAAATGGATTTGCTTTGTCTTCCTGCAAAGCTCCTGTTAGAACACATGTCTGCACTTACTTCATCATTATAGTTTTACACACACACAAAATTTGATTTTTGCTCAAGGAACTAATTTGAGCAAAATAAATAAGTAGTCATCTCACCTCGTGTGATGTATGGGTGGGTCTTAACAATTACCACATTACCCAGGTGCAGGTGACCTTAGAAAATATTGAAATAAGCTATTGAAGACTCAGTTACAGTCCCAGTTGGAAGAAAAACATTGGAGAGTCAGGTGCTATTCTGAATATGTCTGGTGGAGTAACCAACATATGGTGCTCTTTCTCTTATAACTAGACTATATTTGTCTGGGAGTCAAAATAATGGAAATCAGTATAACTCTAACACGTAACTCAGTAATGTTCTGCTTCACTTGGAGTTTGCTTTAGTTTGGACTTTTCTGGGTTAGAGTTTTAGTCATCATGCTAATTAATTTTATGCAAAGAACAAATAATCTCCAAAACCTTAGTGGCTTAACTCCACAAAGGTTTATTTTTTGCTAATGTAAAGTTTGGTGGAGTCTCTCCTCTATTGTGTGTGTAGGGAGTGTGGTTACAATCATCTTGTAGCACTTCCATCTTAAAACATGACTTCCAAGATCTGGCTGACCAGGAAAAAGAGGGATGAAGAAAACATATCATCTCTACAGTGCTACAGACCTGCTGCGGCATATCTCCATTCACATTTCCACTGGCCAGAACCAAATCACATGACTCTACGTCAACTTCAAGAAATGTAGGGAGGTCACTAATATTTGTTGATCCCTAATTCTCTCTGGCACAGACATTTTAATCAACACAAAATTGGTGCTTCCTTCAAAAGATACAGCAATGCTCCCAGTGAAGTACAAATTGAGACTGTCACCTTTTGGGTTCCTAATGCCACTGAGCCAACAGGCAAAGATGAATAAATACTACTCTATTTGTTGGAGTAATTAATACTGATTATCAAGGACAAATAACGTTTTTACTATACGATGGCAACAGGAAGAACTAAGACAGGTACTCCAGGGATGCTCGAGGGATGCTTGTTAATATTACTGTAACCAGGGGAAGAGTGCAGGTAAAAAATAAAGACTACAGTAGCCAGTGGAAGTGAGAGAAACTGTATTAGCTTTTGCTATATGACAGTAAAAACCACAACCACCACTAAAACAAACACTTGAAATTTCAGTGGCAAACAAAAATATATTGTCACAATCACAGGCTTGCTGCTGTATAACTCAGCTAAGATTAGGCTGAATTTGGAAAAATTCAGCTGAGCAAGGCTAGATTCCAGGTTTCTGAAGGGGTTCAGGTCTGCTCCAGAAGTTTTTAAAGCCAGGCTAAAGAGGCAGCATGACACTTTGCCCCTGCCTGGAACATGTGCTTTTCACATCAGACCACAGGAGAGCAAATCACAGTTAAGGCTCCTCCTCATATCACATTGGTTAACATTCTGCAGGTCAAAAAAGTTACATGGCTAAGCTCAATACCTGTATAGCGCAAAAAGTACCCTGACTTTTTTGGTGGTACAAAATTACATGGCAAAGGATGTTACTGAATAATCTATAACAGGAAAGAGTGAAGATTTGGAAATAATACACTTACTTAATACTACTTATGTAATAATGCTACCATAAGTAATAAAAGTTTCAATTTGTTACTACACCAAGTCATGAGACTCTGCTTAGGATAAAAAGAATGTGGAATTGGAAGTGAAAGAGAACAGTAAAGGTTATTTTTTAAGATATAAAAAGAGTTAGTTTCATGGAAACTAGCTGCTTTCCAATAATTAAAGCATTTAATCTTGGTCAACTATAATACTTGGATTCCAGTACCTCTAGTTACATCAGGAAGGGCATTGGTAGTCACCCAGTCACATGAAGATAATGAGTAAGGCCATTAGTTCAACAAGTTTTGGAACTGCAATCACAAGGCATGGGCACAGCCTCTTGATCATGTCAGGGAAGGGGTTGCTATTTCCTTTCCATGTATGCAGAGCTAGAAGGAAGAGGCTACAGCCAGGATTCTGACACATCATATGGCTGTTGTATCCCTGTCATTAATCTTGCCACTGCCTTTCTAATCAGAAGCGTCTAATAAACCGCCTCAAATTCAAGTTACTTAGCCTCGTCCTTAAAATCTAGTGTTTGTCTGGGCTTGATTTCTCTGTGCTATCCCTAGAATTCCAAGAAAAGAGGGGCTCGGCATGCCTGCTACTGCTACTGCTCCAACTTTGTGAGTTTTCCCCAATAGGCCTCCGGTGCATGTGTCCATGTGTGGTCTACCATTGGCTTTTGTCTGCTTGATCACTCACAAATCCTGATTTTCCACAGGACTCTTGATATGTTTTAGGTTCAGCTAAACATGAAATGCACTTATGTGATATTTAGAAGATGGAGGGGATATATAGAATAATTTGTCTTCCTCTGGAAGAAGTGGCAGATATTTGAGGGTTTTTTTTTTTCATTTATGACTCAAATTTTATTCCCTCTGAAGATCATGAATGACTTAGCTACTATGATGTAAGCAGTAATTTTCTGTAGGTGACAACAGCAACTTTGAATCTCCCAGGACTATAGCTGAACCTCTACTCAAAGTCCATCAATATTTACAGTTCTTCAGTTCCTCCCAGTGCATGGTAAGAATCTTATTTTTTTTCTTAAACCCCTTTCTATTTGAAATAGAGAGTGGGATTTCTTTTGTCCTGATTAATCCTTGAATGATGCCATATTGCTGACTGAACACTTTGCATTCAAGTCTGACTTTTCCCAAAATAGATGTTTCTGTCTTCATGGGTCAGAGTTAAAGGCTCATCTATTTTTTGATACTAACTTCTACCATGTCTTTTATTTTTTAATGCCTTGCATAATTTTATTATAACCTACCTTCAACCATTTAGGGTTGGCTGCCAAGTAAATTCACCCTGGTACACTATGTCTGTTAGAACTTAAAGAGTCTAAGTAGGCTTGTCTCCCAAAATAAATCAGCCATATCAATCAAATTCTCAACCAAAATAGTCAGGAATTTCACATGAACATACAGGTCAGTAAAACAAATGAATAAAACAAGTTCAGGCCAGGCTCAGTGGCTCACGTAATCCCAGCACTTTGGGAGGCCGAGGCGGGTAGATCACAAGGTCAGGAGTTTGAGACCAGCCTAGCCAACATGATGAAACCCCGTCTCTACTAAAAATACAAAAATTAGCTGGGTGTGATGGGAGGCGCCTGTAATCCCAGCTACTTGGGAAGCTGAGGCAGAAGAATTGCTTGAACCTGGGAGGTGGAGGTTGCAGTGAGCTGAGATCACACCACTGCACTCCAGCCTGGGCGACAGAGCAAGACTTGTCTCAAAAAAAAAAAAAAGTTCAAAATATATTTGACTACATAAACCATTCTGCTATCTAGAAGTTTGTATCAAAATGTTTTATAATTAGAAGATAATTGTGGCACCGTACTCCACCCTGGGCAACAAAGTGAGGCCTTGTCTCTAAATAAATAAATAAATAAAGATAGATAGATACAATTGTTTGGGAAATAAAAAGCTGATCATATGTGGACATTTTAACAGCTAGAGATCCATTGATTCCATTCTTTGGCTCAACCTAACCAGTAACTCTCTAACCGGCCAGATATCCACTAGAAGCAGATAGAAAAAGCAGATAAAGTGTGGCCACATTGATTGGAATTTTGTGAGCCTACATGCGAATCGTGTAGAAGTAGAGCTAATGATGCAATACGTTAGAAAGTTTAAGTTATTACAATGAAGAACTTAAAATTATCTTCACACATACAACCATTTAAGAAAACTATTCACAGATAAAACATTTTTATGGGTACTTGAAATGAAGAAAGACGGAAATGACATAGAATTAAAATCCTAATTCTGATTTCTTAAATTTCTCTCTTTCATATTGAGATGGGATAGGTCCCTTGACCCTCTTCACGGGCAGGAGCAGGAGTGGCTCCTTTCACTCAGCCCACCGCTAGCCACTCCTCACGAGAGGGAGCGTGTGAGCCAGCCGGTGTGGGAACTGGAGAGAACAAACGCTGGAACTGGCCAGTCGCTTTTCTCCGGTGGGAGCAGGCTCTGTGCAGGCCCTACAGCAGTGTCCAAGCATGTTACAACCAATGCTCTTTCAGCTCTGCCATCTGGGGATGGCCAAGTGCTAACCAGCTCAGTGGAGGGTCGGGGTGGCAGCAGGTTATTTTCCGGCATCCAGAAAGAATCAGGTCATAAGAACTGTTTGAAAGATGATGAATGCAGACTTTATAGGGCGGTGGGTTGCTCTTAGCGAAAAGAGAGGCTGGAAAGTGGATGAGAAAGTGATCTTTCCCTGAAGGCCTGCCGTCTCTGTCCTAGCCCCTCTCTGAAGCCACACCATCTGAAGTTAGCCACGTCTCTCCGTGGTTTCCGACGCTCAGCCACTTGTATCCTGGAGGTTCAGCCGCTTGTGTTGCTTTCCCAGCTGAAGTCTTATATGGGCACAGGACAGGGGCGGGGCAAGCCAAAAAGGCAACATTTGGGCAGAAAGACGGGGTCAGCTGTTTTCACTTAGGGCCGTAGTTCCAGGCTTAAGGGCGGCGGGGTTTAACCGGGAGCCCAGCCCTTCTGTATCAATATCACAACTTTCTGAAATACCTGGACGATCATTTACTATTTGCTCTTTTCTTGCCTCCAAAATTGAACTCACTAAACATCTGTTAACTGCTTACATGAAATCATCATGTTATTATCATAAGGAATACAAAATTGAGTCACACAACGTGCATAAAGTCCCAAAAGGGCTTAAAATCTAATGAAGGAGACAGGTATACCTGTTAATTTATTAAAAGCTACATCTTTGAGTGCTGAGTGAAAGAGAAGTCCACTGTACTATCGTACTATTTATGAGTTTGATTGAAGTAGCATGTACTTTCAATTGTGGATATATGCAAGAGTACATAGGGGAGAAAAAACTTAGGTAGAATTTGGAAGATGAAAATAATAACATGATAAATTATTTTGAATAACATTTCAATATCAACAAACTTATTCCTCATAATCTTATAATAAATTGAAAGTGATTTAAAAGTGATTTAGTAGGGGGAAACATATTTGTTTCATGTAAATGTACATGCATTACTCTCTTTAAACTACTGTGGCAATATATTAATGGACTGTGAAATCATTTAGTAGGTTTCCATCAACATTTTAAAAAATTAGTAAGAGAAAATATCAGCGTTTATTGCCTATGTGTAGCATAAAAATTCATGAAATATTGTTTCATGAATGTATGTGCATGTTTATGTGTCTATATAATGAGTAACTGTATAAAGTACTCCTGTTACATTCAAAATGTTTAATCTATACATATACAGTATCTATATGTATACTATATATGTTATAGTCTATACTGAAAATACATCAATCATAAGATTTAAATAATTCAAAAGTAATTCCATTAGACGTCTCAATAATGAAGCTTATTGTCTTTGTTTTGTAGCTTTCTATTGCTGTGCTCTAGAACTATGGCGTAACATTCTCTATTATTTTGGAGTTTTGCTATCATCATTCCAGGTGCTTATCTGGAGCATATGATGAGGTTGTTGGGTGAACCATTCTATCTTGACATCTGCCTTTAGCTATTTTTCCTTCCTCATCTTCTGTCTCCTCTAAGTGTTTTACTGTCGTTGTTGTTGCTTTATTCATGATGGATTAAACAGAAAACATGAGAAGCAAAGACTTAATACTTCCCAAACTGGATCAATGAGAACCGGCATAGATTTAAAAATTCTTGGCTCCCCAGGCTGAATTTTTGTCTCCTGTTGTCATAATGTACTTGACTCATTTAATATAACTTTTGTAGGCATCAGAAAACATAAAGTTTGATTAAAAATAATTTTATTGAATATTTAAAAAGAGTAGAAAAATTTCTACTTATCAAATATGCCTGGTTTCTTTGAAACTTGGTGAGTACAGATTTTACTTAACACTTGACCTAATAGTTTTCAAAGGGTTATAAAAATTTTGCATTAGATAGTCTTTGCAACATGTGATAGTGATAACAGAAACCTAGTCAAACCCAAGTTCTTCTCCTCAGAGAACACACACACACACATTCTCACTGGGTTCATCCTGCTTCAGAGTGTTCCCATATGGATTTTCTCAAGGAAAGAGATAAAGGCAGAGAAAGCCTTGGAGAGTTTCTGAATTGAAGCTGACTCCTCTATCTCCTAATTCAAAGACAAAGACCTTTGAATTAGGAGATCATAAGGATGGATCTTAGGTCAGAGACTTCTATATTCTCACAGGACAGATTTTGGGAATCAGAAATTGACCCTATGACTTGGTTGCCTTTAGTAAGCAATGTTATTATATATTCACAATAATAATAATAATAATATTTATATTTACACTTATTTTTACTACAGGGAACTCCCAATTAGCTTTTTTCTATCCGGAGATTTTAAATAATAAACACAAAACTTCCACTTAAAAAAAGTGGAATAGCAAAAATCTGTAAGATACGCTTTTTGTGTGAGATGATAGTATTCAAATTTGTTATTACCTAAGAGGAAATCAATATGTGACTGTGTGTGGATATGATTTAAGTGTTTTCTATTACTTATAACTCTAACAATGACAAGCATTATTTTATAGAATTTTTAATTATTATTTTATATAGGCAATGACTTGAAAATCCCTTTCAACTTCAAGTCTCCATGATAGGAGATTATAGGACAATAAGATACCTGGAAATACTGTAGAGTTTGTCTTCAATCCCACTAAGCTAATATATTGGCTAGTAGTCAGTTTGAAAAGCAAACATTTTATAGTGATTATAGAAATATTAATAAGTGAAATATAAAGCCCAAACACCTAATACTAATTAAATTGTAGATGTGAACTTCTAATTTTCCTTTTACTTTATGGTAAGAAAAAGTAATATATAATAGAAATGATTCATAAATCTGGGGACTTAATTTTTAAGAAATGTCCCAAGTTATTTTACTATTCTGGACTTTGTTTTACCTATCTGTGACATTTTTAAAAAACTGAACTTAATAGTCTTTAATATTTTATAAAATATATTTATTTTAAGGAGATACAAAATATGTTTATTTTTGAATCACTCACCTCCATTCTTCCCTTTGCATAGGAAGCATAATCCACTAGAGTTGGTATGAAAACTCTTGGTAATCTTGGAGTTTAATATAGATACTATAATGAATTGAACGTATTATGCTTGTATAATAAGTTAGTCTCACTTTTTTCTTTAAGAGTCAATGCCTAAAGGAATTCCAACTCTTTTAATAACAGTGTACATTTATTTTTGAAAAGAACACTTTTTTTAAAATTATGGTAAGATATGCATAAAATAAAAATTTACCAACTTAGCTATTTTTAAGTGTAGAGTTCAGTCGTGTTAAGTCTATTCACATTGTTGTACAACCAATCTTCAGAACTTTATCATCTTACAAAACTGAAGTTCTAGGCTTTAAATAACCCTATTTTCCCTTACCTCAACTCATGAAAACCACTGTTTTACTTTTGGTTTCTTCGAGTTGGACAACTTTAGATATCTCACGTAAATAGAACCATACAGCATTTCTCTTTTTGTGACTGGCTAATTTCACTTAGCATAATGTCCCCAAGGTTCACCCATGTTATAGAATGTGTTGAAATCTTCTGCCTTTCAAAGGCTAAACAATGTTTCATTATATCTATATACCATATCCATCCATCTGTGGAATTGACAATTGGATTGTTTATACATTTTGGCTCTTATGAATAATGCTGCTTTGAACATGAGTGTACAAATATTCTTTGAGACCCTGCTTTTAATTATTTCAGATATACATCCAGAAATGGAATTGTCAGATCATATAGTAATTCTATTTTTAGTATTTTGAGGAAACTCCATATTGTTTTCCATAGTGGCTGTGGATAGAACACCTTTTAAAAATTGAATTGTCTTGTTTAATGCAGCTTGTCATCTTTCCAACTATATTGTGATTTTCATGTTTTAGGTAGGGCTTAATTATGAAACTTTTTTGACTGTTATAAACATATTGAAATAAGTCTTAGAAGCAATAAGTAACTACTGATCAATCTATTCATTCAGTCAGCATTTATTGAACATTTACCATGTACTAGACATTGTTTTAGAGGCTAGGGATATATAAATAAGCCAAACACAAAATCTCTGTCTTCCTTTGCTGTGGGGGATGAATGAAAAATTATATAATATATTGTCAAATGAAATATATGGAAATAAATATGATAAGAAGATCGTGAATAAATACAAAACTTTGATGAGATAGGCAGGCAAATAATCTCTGGGTGGGTGTCATTTGAGCAGAGGATGCATGAAGTTGATCAATTGTAAAAGTCATAAGTCTCTAGAGATGGGAATAGGAATAGAGGTTTTAAGGAATGGTTTAGCCATTCTCATCAATGTATTTGCTTTTATAGGACTATTTTCTGCTATGTATATGAAGAAGTTCATTCTAAATACTATTCAAATCATAGAATTAAACTAGGAACATAAATTCTATAAAATTTATATTTTATATTTTGCTTTCATTTTCTGCTGTTGAACATGTAGCTCCTCAGTAACAATTATTCTGGAAAAAAACAGCAATTTCCTAGCGTTATATGTCTGATGATTTTAGACATGTCATTAAATTTCCTCATTTCCTCTTTGAGATATAACTAAATTTAACCTTTTACTTAGTTTAGCTGTTAAATAATGGACTTTAATATAACTTGCAAATATTTAATATTCAAAAGGTATTGCACAAATGAATTGACATTCAGCTACTAAATATTTAACATATTTAACAATGCTTCATTCTTTGAAAACAAACTTTCTCTCTAATATGTATTGCCATTTTCATGGCACAATGCCCTATAATGAATAACTCCTTGTACTCAAAAACACTTATTTTAGACCAAGATGAGCATCTGTAAAATATTTGACCTATTTATCCTAACAATAATTGGTGAAAAATCATAATCACTAGACAGAAAACAGGAAGTGAATTTCTGTACTAATTATGTACTAATATTACTCTCTGAAATAGCTCCTAAAATGTTTATATGTAAATTAAGTATTGTGTTATTAACACAGAATCCCAATATACAAGGTGAAGCGAGCTAAAAATACAGCATTTTCAAAAAGAAGATAAAAGTTAAACAGAAAATAATAAACAATTTTCATAAAACTGTCTATATTTCCAATAGGAAAGTAAAACCTAGTGCACCTCTACAGGACAATTTTGAACTGTTAAAAGGGACTTTGTAGTTTTAAAATATAACCTCTAATGTTGTTGGTTAAAATTGCATTAGTTCCATCAATTTATGCTTTGTGGTTTTACATATGGCTGGTTATGATTACTTACGTGTGGGTCATAAAAACCCAGTGTGTTTTCCAAGCAGTCAAATTGCCTGTCAGCTGCTAAAGGGACAGAATTAATGAGAAACTTACTCTATAGTCTGAAGAATAGCAGCTGGGGTCTGTTTTAACAAGTCCCGGGAAACATACATGGAGGGAAATTCTTTGTGGCTAGACTTATACCTAGCCTTATTTCTAAAAAGTTCTCATTGAATTGAACAGTCAAACAGACAAAAATTAAGGACATTATAATAGCTTTACACATCATTGATTACTAGTAAAAAAGTGGAGGACAATTTTCTCCTATGGAATGGAGCTCTGTGAAGGTCAAGATCACCTACGATGATTCCAGAGTCCCATCCCAGATCCACTGCATCAGAAATGTCTGGGAGTTGTGTCCTGACATCTGCATATTTATACCAAGATTCAGAGTCACTGTCCCAAACGTTTCCGGATATTTCACTTGACATACTTTGCCTCTTTATCCCAGACACTTTCCCTTTATACCCTTCCGCTCTACATAGATTTTGCATATCAATATTTACACATTTGTCTGTCACTTTGATGCTGACTCTATACTCATAAATGTATATATGAACCTGTCCTTTTATTATTAATATCAATATTTATGTAAGAAGAATGACTCACAGAATTATAATCCTTTGACGTTTTCACTTAATCGTTATACTTTCATTTACTCAGTGTTATATAAAGTAATAGACTATTATCCTAATCTTTTATATTTGAATTTTTATTCAGATAATTGTATATTCACATGCAATTACAAAAGTAATACATAGAGACCTCATGAACCCTTTACTCCCAATTAAATATTTCTCCCAATGATAATATTTTTCAAAACTGTAGAGCAATACCACAACCAAAATATTGACATTGATATAACCCACAAATCTTATTCAGATTTTCCACTTTTACATATACTCATGTAGGTATGGGAGATGTGAATGTGTGTATTTAATTCTATCAATTGTATCACATGCGTAGATCTGTGTATCAACCACCAGGATCAAGATACTGAACAGTTCCATCGCCACAGGATCTTTTCTCTTGCCCTTTCCTTAACACGACTGCCCCCCTCCCAGGCAGTCCACTTCCATAAGCCCTGGAAATCACTAATGTTTCCAAACTTTTGTATTTGAAAATGTTATATAAAGGGTTTCATAGAGTATAACTAACTTTGGGAATTAGCTGTTTTTACCAAGCGTAATTCTCTGTTGCATGTATCAATATTCATTCCTTTTTATTGCTGAATAGTAGTCCATGGTGTTTATGTAATACAGTAACTATTCATTTGTTTAGCGATATCTACACTGTTTGAAATTTTTAGCTATTACGAATAAAGCTTCTATGAGCCTTTGTGTACAGGTTTTTGTGTGAACACAAGTTTTCATTTCTCTGGGATAAATGCACAACAGTGCAACTGCTGGGGCACATGATAATTGAATGTTTATCTTTTTAGGAAACTGCCACGTGTTTTTCAAAAGTGGCTGTACACTTTAAATCATCACAGTGATGTATGAATGATCCGCTTTCTCCACATGCTAACCAGCATTTGATATTGTCACTTTTTTTTTCTTTTTTGCTGTTCTGATAGACATGTAAAGATACTTCATTGTAGTTTTAATTTGCACTTCCTTGATGATTATAAGATGTTGCACATGTTTTCATGTGCTTATTTTCCATCTGTATATCCCCTTCAGTGAAATGTCTGTTCGTGTCTTTTGCTCATTTTATAATTAAATTGTTTGCTTTTTACTGAGTGTTAAGAGTTCTTGATATACTCTAGATACTATTCCTTTTTCTGATACACAGTTTGCAAATATTTTTTATTTTTAGAAGAGAAATATAAAACCATTTATCTGGTTTTCTAAAATCATGGTTAAGACAAAATAAAATTATTTAATTTTACTTTAAAGTAAAATTCATGTGTAACAATAAATGAAAAAAGGAGATAAAGGAATAAAAAAAGGAATTAAAAAAAGCATAAAAAGAGAAAACGTGCCAAAAGTATAAAGATAACATGCACGGAAAGGAAAAGATAACATTTTCTTTTGCTGCTTAGTGGCATACTAGAATTTTGCCTCTACAGTCTAGAAGGTAACATTTGTATAAGCATCAAAGGAAGAACAAGTCAATATTATCCATAAGAAATGAAAAGCAAATGAGTTAGATGTGTTTTTTCATTTGGTTCTTTTCCAGTGTTTATTGCATCTCTTAAAGACAGTTAAGGATGTATTAAATGCCCAGAGTCAAGAATAACCAGACAACTTTTATTTGGATATATTATTCATGAACAATATGTAGAATTTTAAAGAAAATATTTTTGTTTATTATTTTGCAAAACACCCTCTACAAATATCAAAAGAAATGGAGTAAATTTGGAAAATTTTACCCTTAATTACCGTCTTTCTTTCTTGAACACTTTTTAAGTAGCAAATACTCTTAAAATTTTAAATATAAGGATATACATGTTAATATATATTAATATCAAAGTGTTCTTATAAATGCACTGAGAGTTTTTCCTCTGAAAATACTATTAATTTTTTGCTTAATTTTAAAATCAGCATTATCTAAAAGTCAACAAAATTTAATAAATTTTTGGTATATTAATAAGACAGCCCAAACATTCTCCCATTTCTTTTTCATCTTGCATTTCTCACTAATTCAACATGATTTTAATGCAGTTAAGGTAAGAAATCCATTAAAATCTCATTGTTACTCTCTGCCTAAGTTTCAGGAAACAAAAATAAACATAAAATATGTTAAGCATTTAATAAATGTGCAAAAGTTACAAAACAATATACAGCATTTTATTAGATGATAAAATAGCATATTAGTGAAGGTGAAATGAGTAACATTTAGGAAGTCAGAAGATTTATTATAATTTTGAATGGAAGTTTTATAGTATTAAAAAATAGATAGGAATCCCAGCTTTATGAGTTTGGGTAATCTTCTTAATCTCCCTTTGAGCTCAGTTTCTTATCAAATGGGAAATGTTATTATTATTGGTTATAATTAATGTAGGTTAAGAGGAAGATAAGGGATAGTCACAAATGTCTTTTATTAAAGAGGTAGAAAGTGAACTGGATCTGAGACATGGAGTTAAGTTGAAGATGAAAAAAAAGGAGTCATGGAAATCTTTCATAGAAAAAGTGGGAAGCAAGGTGTATCCTTAAAAAGTGGGTAAAAATTAGGTAAGGGGGAATTCAGTGAAGATGTTTTAGAGAGTGCAAGCACTCAAGTCAAGTCACAAAGACACACAGCCAAAGCCAGAGGATAAAGAACCTCTACGCCAGACTGGGGACTTTGGATGCACTGACAGTGAGTCTGAAGTTTTTGAATGAGGTATTACCATGATAGACACAATTATTTTGGCAGTATTGCCAAACATTGAAATGAGAAAAAGGCCATTAATAAAAATCATAAGAAAATCGGAAAACCTATGGTTAAGTCCCAAGGTCCAAAAAAATTGAAAAAAGAAAAACTTATCCTCTAACAAAGATAAAGTTTCTGCCAAGTATGTTGATGGCCTTAAACATGCAACCAAGCTCAAAATCCATGAGCTCAAAAAGTTGGCTGCTTGATTAAATGTATATTTTATCTCAAAATTTAGCACGTTAGTTGACAGGGTCCAGGTCTTTAAGTAGCAGTTTGCTCTAAAGGATGAGCTATATTTTCAAGAAATAGACTTTTCTTGAAAAAAGAAAAGTTGGGAGTCTCACTAGACTCTACTCTCTATTACAGTATAAGAATTTCGACAGAAAATGGAAAGGAAAATCCTCTGAAATATGTTTATCAGCAAATGACCTGATCAGCTATGATCCATCACAGGCAGATCATGGGTCTGTAAATCAGTACATCCCAGGAAGCAAGTTTAAATGGATTTGAGATTACTGACACTTTTTATTAAAGTTCCTTCATAACTCAGGGAAGGAAACTATAATACCCCAAATGTTGCACCTTTTAAAACTTCATAGGTTATCTTATTTAAAACAGAAAACTTTCTTATTTTAGGATTCTTTTAAACAGCTTAAGCCACTAAGGCTTAAAGGCAGAGCTGACAATTTTAAAAGGTTCTTTGAGGTTGTATGCCATTTTTAGAGCATTGAATGCTTCCTATCACAAACTTGATCAGTCTAAGGCAATTCTCTTGATAGCTTCCTCAGCTACCAGACAGAATGATATCATATACCATTCCAAGACAAGGGGAGTCAATGAGAATAGCGGCCCAAAGCACACTAAAACTATACAGGGGGTTCTTACTTTAACACTAGTGAAATAGACATTTGTTTTTACAGTCATCAACTTGGAAGCTTTCGTCTTTGGGCATAGCTAAATTAGAAAATGGTCCCTGTTTCTGGAGAGATACCCTGCTGGAGTCAGATTTTTCTAATTTGCAAAGCTTGGTTGACCTCAGTTCTTTGTATGACCTTAGATGTGAATCTTGAATACATCGTTTTCAGTAGTATTAATTAGTTTTACATACTTAAGCAGTATATGCAAATATATGGAAATCAATGTTCTTTTTTTATGTAACATAATATAAATATGCGTGCCCTAGATTCTTTGAAAACAGTTAAGCTTCTTTATTCAAGAGAAACTTTCACATTGGTCTTTCAATAACGGGGAAAAAAAAATCACCTGTAATACTTTTAAGTAACCCCGTAACAATTCTAAGCCCTTCAAATAACTTTTGTAGAAGGCATCTTTCAATATTTGTTTTCTCAATTTTAGACTAGAATTTTATGCTTTGTTTTTATTAACTGGCTTTGATCATTGTCCTTGCCAGATTTCATCAGACAGGATAAAGACATCAGAAAGTTCAACTAAAATCATAAAGTGTAAAGACACTTAGATTTTCTTATTATCACAGACCTCTGGGGCTCTTTTATTTCTTTTCACAAAGTTGATCCATCTTTATTTGTTGTATAGTCTGTTAAACAAAATGTCCTAAAGTAATTAAGACAAAATTAGTTTAATAAAAATGTTCAAGGAAGCACCTGACTAGGTAAATCCTGACATGGGTCTAAAGCAATATTTGAAAATAGTGGTTTATGTGTGTTATGGGAAAACTCTTTATTAACAAATGTTTTATATTTATATAACATATGGCACACAGAATAGAATCTTACTCCATACTCATGATGGTCACCTGAATCTTGGTTGTAATGGGTAAATTAGAGTTTATCCAGTCTTATCTATGACTATAACTGGAGGTATTAGTAACATTCTGATTATGGTAGAAAACATGAGTTAAAAATACACACACATGCACACAAGCGCACGTGCACCCCCCCCCCCACACACACACAAAGCATGGTATGGGCCTATAGGAATTTTCTATATAGTTTCAATATGAAAACATAGAAACTAAAAATAATATGCAGAACAAGTTCAAGAATTACAACAATCTTCATTCCCTAGGAATACTCAGCCCCATGTAGCTAATGATAATCACTGTCCTGGTCTCATTTAGCAACTTTTATTCTTTCTATATATACTCCTGTTAGTATATGAATGAATATTTTCTAGTATCAGGATTTATGTATAAATTTCAAGGAATTTTGCCTCTTTCTGCAATTAATAATATTTTTCGTGTTATTCTATCTCCACCATCTGGAGTTCTGTTATAGTTTTTCCAGAAGTGAATCACATTCCCCTAAAACATTATTAAATAATGTCTGTTTCAACCATTGTTCTTAATAGTGGGGTGTCTACTTTTTTACTGTTATTATTTGTTTCATAAAAAATTATACAATTCTTAGAAATAAGCAAAAAGGAATGGCATATACTTTAAATTTCATACTGATGCATTGTTTTATAAGCACATGGAATGATTAATTCTCTAGGAGAATGTACCTGTGCTTGGTTTTGCTGCTTATCTAATAGATTAGAAGCCAGATATTGTGAAGTTGCATGTTAATTTTTAGATTTCTATCTAGTAGAAAATATAATTCCAAAAGTTATGGCTTTGAAGCTGTTAAATTGTTTAGTCTGAAGCTGCCTTCTTACATATTTTAAGTTTGACCTAAAGGTTTCTCTGTAGATCATGAACTATAACCTAAATGGACATGTAAGCAGGCTGTAGCTACTCTTGTGCTGATCACAGAGTTTGGGCCAATCAAAGTGGCCAACTGTTCAAATTATGTTCAAATAAGGCAAACGCCAAGCTGTAACCAATCTGGCTGTTTCTATACCTCACTTTCATTTTCTGTAGATCACTTTCCTTTTTCTGCCCATAAATCTTCTCCCACTATGTGGCTGCGCTGGAGTCTCTGAGCCTACTCTGGCTTGGGAGGCTGCGTGATTCGTGAATAGTTCTCTGCTCAGTGAAACTCTGTTAAACTTAATTCAGCTAAAGTTTTTCTTTCAATAATGTCTTAAAGCATACTAATCAGTTTTGTTTGTATGACCCTATTCTAAAATTCATACTTACATGAACTTCAGTTCTCAAAGTCTTTTGAAACCAGTTTTATCATTTTTCTCCTTTCATTCATTAATGTGTTCAATAAAATATCTGACATATATCCTTTCCCTATTTGTATGAGTCATGTTTTAGCCCTTTGAAATTACACTTTGATCATTTCATGCATTATTTCCACCCAAGCTGCCCCAAATTTCACATTTTTGAATGCTTCATTCATACAAGAATGAATTCTCCTTTAAAAATATTCAAAACAAGCCTAAATCTAAAGGATAAATGTTTCCTCACCTCTTCTCGAAACCTACCTTCTGCTACTAAGCCAGATCATTTCCCAATTTTAACCATAGCGATTAGTTTGATGTTTTTCAACTGCAGCATTTTCTATGCTTTTGCGTGTATCCATATATGCCTATGTTAACTTAAATTGTAATAAACTGTATGAAATAGACTGCCCTATATGTTTTGATAATCTTTCCATTTTATTCCTCATTCTTGACTGCTGCATAATGTTCTGTGGTAATAAATGTCATAATTTGTTTAAACTTTCATCTATTAAGATGAATTTAGGCTACTTCCAATGTTTCATTATAATAAACAATGCCTGAATGAACGTTCTTATAAATATTTCCCTGTCCTTATTTATAAATATATCTTTAGGGTGAAGATCACAAATTGTAATTGCTAGATCATTTGCAATTTTAAATAAGAAAATGTATTTTCAAATGACCCTGCAAAAGAGCTCCATCTTACATTCCCATAAGCAGTTAGCCACACCAATAAATACTTAAAATATGAATATAATATTTTTTCAGCCCTTCAGTGAGATAATTCAATGGAATAGTATTTTTCAGGCATGAGATTCTGAAATCATCAAGGAAGAGGAAAATAGTGTATAGAAAAAAGAAAACCTCTAAAAATGTATCTGGTTTGCATACACAACACTACAGACATTTTTTAAATCAGTTTCTTTAAATTTTCCTTAATATATTTATTTTAAATATTGTGATGTTGTTTAATTCTTAAAAGGAAATACAGAAAAGCACACTTTTTTATAGTTTTTTTCTTACAATAAACTTAGAAGAATTGTATCTTAGTCTGTTTATATCACTATAACTAAATACCATAGACTAGGTAGTTTATAAATAATATAAATTTATTTCTCACAGTTTTGGAGACTGGGAAGTCCAAGAGAAGGCATGAGCAGATTTAGAGTCTGCCTGAGGGCAAATTTTCTGGTTTATAGGTGGTGGCTTCATACTGTGTTCTCACATGGTGGAAGTGGGAACCAGATCCCTTGACCCTGTTTTATAAGGGGAATGCCATTCATGAGGGCTCTCCCTTAAGATTTAATCCTGTCCCAAAGGTCACACTTCCTAATACTATCACCTTGGATTTAGATTTTACCATAAATTTGAGGAAGACACAAATATTCAGACCGTAGTATATTATATATTTTGCTTGAGACACAAGCTCATTGAGCTGATAGGTACAATTTAAATTTAAATTTTCTACCTTTCTATTTTATATAAACTATTTGGGAAATAGTGAAGTTTTTATAAGTTAAAATTGTGTCTTATGATATTCTGCACTGCAGCAAATTGATCTTTTAAAAATGTAAATCAGATCACATTTCTTCACTCTATTTACCATGGTATTGGTCATGCCCCACTATAATTTAAGATTTCCAGAAAGAAAAGTGTGTGACACACAGAAAATACTGGGTACATATTTGTCAAGCAAATGTCTTGTTGTTACCTGAATAAATCAACAAGTGGTTAGTCTGTCAATGTTCTATGGATACTTTTAAAAGTGTGAAATCTCAGCCGGGTGCGGTGGCTCATGCCTGTAATCCCAGCACCTTGGGAGGACGAAGTAGGTGGATCACAAGGTCAGGAGATCGAGACCATCCTGGCTAACACGGTGAAACCCCATCTCTACTAAAAATACCAAAAAAAAAAAAAAAAGTGAAATCTCTATTTGTTTCGAAATATATTGCATATCAACCTACTAGTGTAGACATCTCAATTGTGTTATTGCAATATTTGATCTGCTTGTTCCTTTTTCAGTCTATTTGATCTGTTGGCTTCTGACACAGGTGTGTTGAAATATCTTGCTCTGGTTTTGGATTTGCCATTTTATCAGGTGTCACTTTTTAAATTTTAAAGTACTTTTTAAGAGTTTTTTTTAATGTGCACAAAAGTTGGGGACCATTGCCTTATTTTGGTGTATTGCTATCCCTAAATATATACATTATGTCTCTTTATAACATTTAGGGAGTTTTGCCTTGAATCAGGTTTTGAAATTTTTTGTTTTATTCTGTTTTTATTTAATCTGAGCAATTTTGGTTTTAAAACATTAAAAATTTTAGTGAGTACTAATAGGTATCTTTACCCCAGCAAATACATTCTTTGTGTTTTCTACTTGACATGCTTGATTTTTATTATCTTGCTTCTCTTTCCTATCTTTTGTTAGAATGGTTGAGTGTTCATTATACTGATTTTCCATTTTAGTTGTTTGAATGGTATAGCTTCTTCTTCTAATCTCTCATTATGTATTTCTAAATCTAAATACCTAACACAATTAACTTTTAATTTTCAAACATCAAATGTTAGTGAGTACCCACAATTGTCTCCTACCAAGACAAGATTTATGAAATGCTTTCACTTGCTTTGGCTTTTTTACATACTCAATCTATAGATGGTGGTAGATATTATATGAGTATTTCATTTTATATTGTGAGATTTTTTGTTTATAATCAATATTTATTTATATTATATCTCTGGGACTCAATTTCTTTATGATACTTTGGCAGACATATTGTGTTTGTGGCTTAGCATCTAAATTCACTGAGCTAAATCACAGGCATTATTTTAATTATCTCCTCCTCTGTTTTTTTTCTGATCATATTTATTTGAATTTTCTTTATGTTAACTGTAGATTTGATGAATTCTCACTTTTTCAAGTCTAAATAATAGCAACTTAATTATATAAAGCACATACTTTAAAAAAGGTCTAAGAGAAATGGCCAGAGATGTCACACAAAAACCTACTCAATGGCAAACTCAAGAGTTAGACGTAGCAATCTCTCTATTTAAGATAGTACTAAGGTTCATTTCTAGTCCAATTGGCATGGAAACTAGCATAGTTATTTTTGCTTCTTAAACACATTCCAATTTTTCTGTATGCATAGTTTTTCTTTTGCTTTACCCTAACTATCATTATGAATTCAATCAACAAAGTAGATACCTGCTTAGATATTTCAAGTAGAAAGATAATCAGGATACAAAATTTTTGGAAATAGCAAAAAGATGGGGTTGCGTTACTCAGATCAGGAACTGTAGTAAGTTATGAGTTCTACCACCTAAGTCTGCACATCTCTGAGGCTACCATGTCCAGAGTCTGCGATTAGCAGCTACAGGAGTTCATGTTCATCTGCTGTTGTGTCTTTAAGAATTCAAACTGGGCTTTTCTATTGTCGACATTGGCATTGGAGAGATAGAAAAAGAACCCAACCTTTTGTCTTTTAATTTCATGTGAATGTCTCCCAGAGACAGAACCTAAACCAGAACTCCGGCATCAAATGTGTCTGAGAAATGCAGTTTCTTAGATTCTAGTCCTTGGAATACAATGAAGTACAGAAAATGTCAGAAATAATGCTATGACATCGAAAGAAAATTTTGCTTATCTGAAGGATAGGGGATATCTTTTTCCTTATCTCTTCCAGTTTATACTTGTTTATTCTCTACATCCATGTTAAACACCACTGCTTCCATGAAGTCATGTCATATTCCTAATATGATGCAAGCTCAGTGTTCTTTAAACTCCCTAGAGTATAATGCATACCTATTATTGTATTTGACATATTCTTTGTATTATGGTAGTTTTGTAGCATCTAATCTCTTCTCTCACTAGTCTGTGATTTGGTATGGAAAATCCCATACTAGATTTAACATAGGATTTAAAGTGAGGATAAAAATCATGAATTCAGATTTCTTTGTTTTCTGCTGATCTGAAATAGGTTTATATGCACTCATTGAGGAATGCTTAGCTAGGGGAAAAGAACTTCGTTAATTTCTGCTTTTCAAAACACCATCGAGATGCTCTTTTGACTAGACATGTCAAGTGAAATTGTTCTACTAGGCTTCAGTATCTCAGATCATGACAAATCATGACATTCTGTTATTGTGTTTAATACTGATAAGATATGTAAGTGAATAATAAGCCAGAAATACATCCAATGAAAATAACTTAGTAGCACAATACTTTTTTGAGTAGTTCGTGAAGGAAAGGGTTGCATAGGAAGAATATAATTATGTAAGTTTTGAAGACAAAGAAATGAATTTCCTACCATGTAAACTTAGTATTCACTATATCTTTCTGAGATCTATTTTCTGTCTAAAATATGAAAAATAATTAATTGAGAATTAAATGAAATAATACACATGATAGCATTTTGCAAATTGTCTTACAACTTTTTGATTGCTATTATAACAAGTATTATTACTACTTAACAATTATTAACTTCTTCCTACGTTCCAGGCACAGACAGAGGCACTTTACCACGATTAACTCATTTAGTCCGTATAAAAATCTTATAATCTATGTTCTATTAAGTTTTCCATTTTATAGATAAAGAAACCAAAGTTTAGAGAGCTCAAATAACTTGTGCAAAGTTTCTCAAGACACTGGTGATTGAGTTATGGAAAAAATCATAATTACCTCTGGAGAAGATTATGCTTAATCATTATCTGATACAGCGAAGCAAAACTTTTATCCAATAGTAGTAGGAACAAGAAATAGTAAATTAATTGAAACATGGAATAAAATGGGAATCATAAAAATATATTTAACATTTTTAAACAAAAAACATGCATATTTTGCCAATCTTTTAATAGTTCTGAATCACTTTCTTCCCTAAAACACAAATATATTATTTATCTACCATTTTTAATTTTTGTGTATTTAATTTGGAGTGAGGAGTTAGACAATTGCAGTTATCTGTGTGCAGAATGTCTCTTTGTCTGTCCAGTAAAGCGTTGTGATGATGGAAAGGTTTTATATCTGTGCCGTTCAATTTGGTAGCCACGAGCTCTATGTGCCTAGAAATCACTGAGCAATTTAGGAACTGAATTTTTATTTTATTCTAATTCTTTTGAATTTGACAAGAGCCACATGTGGTTATTGCCTATTGGCTATTGTATTCAACAGTAAAGCTCTAGATCTGTATGTTTCCAACTAATCCCTCCCCAACCCCAAATAATTTACCGTTTCATTGTTTACATCTAAATTCAGTAGCACTTTGAAGAGTTATAAGACTTACCAGCTTATGCCAAAGCACTTGAGTTTTTCATGGGAAAAATACCAACCATTTTTTCACTCTCTTTTTTCTTTTGGTTCATGCAATAATTAATATGTTTACCTAATTTCTATAGAAAGTTCTTATGGTGTAAAAGATGGTGGCACAATGTTTCTAACTCATGGAAAAGAGGCAACTCCACTGGTAGAAGCAAAAGTACATGTAGCAGGGGCAGTGCAATGGCTACAGATATGAAGTGTTGCTGTGAGCATTTGTAAGTATATTTTACAGGAGGAAAAAAGTGTGCCTGATATTGGGTTAATGGATTAAATGGAGATCAATTAAACCAGCCTTACTATACTATGATTATTACTGTAGAGCACACACCCTCAGCAAAAATTAAAGAAAGTGTTATATACAATAAAATAACATGGTAGTATAAAAATCATTTACACACAAAAATGTACATTCACATACAATACGGTTAATAAAAAGTATAAAGTCAAAATATTACAAAGAAGAAAAGGGAATTCAGATTTTTTAAACAGCTATTTTCTTAGTTGTAGAAATCTCATTTGAAAACATATTACATGAGCCATCTCATTCTAAGGCCACACTGATACGAAAGAGAAAAATCCTACTGATGTGCTTCATAAAAAATTCCCTAAAGCTGCCTGCTGAGTTGCTGTGAGGAAATGACTGGCTCAAAATGAATCCCAGGTAGCTCTTTCCCTCCATCCTGAAAGTGCCCTCTCTCAGTTACTACACCTGCAGAAACAGGTGTAGCCAGGTTATAAAAGGCAGCTTGATTGGTTATGTGCCAGATCAAAGTACAGTGTACATTTGAAAATAGAAAAATATCTGGAAAATAGGAGGCTTAAATGAATGTTACCCTGGGGACAGTAATAACAGATGTGCTGACAATTTATGAATATTTCACTATAAATGCTCTCTTCTTCTATTAAATAAGGAATTACGTAGTGCCAGACACCATATCACAATGCCTGATATTTATTTAGAATAACTTGCAATAACTGAAATTATCTGAAAAATAAGACTCAGGAATATGTGTTTGTTGGATGGATTCAGTTTTTTTAGGTAGGAAACACTTATGTATCTACATAAGGATGTACCCATCCACTAAATAGATATTTAAACAAAAAATATGTAATAAATATCAACACATTCACACAGCATGCACACTCATAGACAGTTATAGACTGGGATATTGTTTTTGGTGGTCCATTGCCTCTATTTTTACCATTAAATACTTTTGATGAAGAGTGACCTTTAAAACTTTTGAGAGAGAGGAGTTGCTAACATTTGCTTGGGGCACAGCACAGACGGGTCTTCACTAAACTTCTCCAAAAAGCTCCACTAACTAGATTGTGCTTTATATCTAGGACTGCATACAAATAGGCCATAACAAGAGAGAGTCATGAAGCGCTTCCTTTCTAACACCTCTTCTCCAGCAATACAAATCAAATCTGAATATGAAATCTGTACTACTATGAGTGTTATTTTATCAAATTAAAAGGGGCTGTAGAGTGTTCAGAATTGTCTAACATAAGTGTTAGATGGACTGATTCTGGAGTATGAAAAGTAAAAAATAGTCATTCCAAAACACTCATAAAATAGATCATAATGGATTCAAAGGAAATATCATAGACCATTACATTCTCAAAATTAGCAGCCTCGCCAAAACATTCCAAATAACTTTGAGGGGACCTTTGAAAATCACATGAGCTTCAATAATTAGAATGCAATTTAAATAGAAGACGAATACCTTTAGTTAAAAAACCTCCAAATACACAATGCATATTTTTTTGAAATACTACTTCCTTTGTGCTTTTCTTGAAGGAGAGAAAAGATTGGATTGTTGAGAATTGAGGAGCCAGTTCCCCAAGGAAGGCTGATAATACACAATTGGCACTTTAGCATGAATAATAGATTTGATTTTGGCTATTATTTGGAGAAATAAGGAAATTCATGAAGATAGAGCAACATGTTGATATTAAACCAAGAGTTGGAATTATACAAAAGAAAAACTAAGGTTGAAATTCCACTCCTGTCTCACACTGCAGCGACATGATCCAACTTTGTGTGGTTTGTTGCTTTGCATGACAAACTCATTTAAATGAAGATTTTAAAAAAAACTGTGATTATCTAGCCAAAAGACAGACTATGAGGCAGAAAGAGGTAAACACCGTCAAGATAAACACCATCAAGAGAATACTTGGTGTGGTAAACATTCATATAGGCTGTAGAAAAAATAATCCTCTAAAAATCATTGGTTAAATTTTCTTCCGTTTCAAATCCAATGCCAACCCAGTCTTAGCACTCAGAAGTGTGAAGGATTTACGTTAAGAGTTTTATGAAACATATTATTATTATTTTAGAAGATTTACCAAAATAAATACAAGGCCAAAACCTGACTTTTTTCCTACACTTAGTAAAAATAATGCAACTATTTCTTATTACGGCTGTTAAATTATTTAGCCCCCTCCAAAATCTAATATGTATAGGTCAGCTTTATGGTTAATAACAACGATGACAAAAAAACCCAGATTTACATTTTGTTGAAAGGAATTTTCCCAAGATTCCAGTCACATTATTCATTTATTTATTTTTCCTTATTTTTTGTCTTGTTTTGTTCAGAATAGTAGAAATCTCACAGCTTGATAAATTACATGTTGGAATAAGTTTGCTTATTTTTCAGGGGCTTGCATGTTTCATTTAAAAGATATTTTCTTTTAGTCTTCTTTGCTGTTGTTGTTGGTCACTTGGATGTATTGACAGGAAAGCAAAGACATAAAAACCTTTTGGTCAATTTATGATATCTATTTGATGTCCTTATTTAAAAATACAATAGGGCTTCCTAGATTGTTATGTATTATTATATAATAATATCAAAGAAACACATGTTTATCTTGCCTTCGAAAAATAAAATGATTTTCCATTGTAAATAACTTTCTGTGTACTGGAAATCACAAATATGCACAGCCCTGAAAGTAAATATTATTTAGGTAAATAAAGAAACTTGAAGTCAAGGGATGGACACAAACTTTAAATGTAGCACTAATTTCAATACTAAGTTTTACTTTTTTATAATTTCTTTCAGTTAATTAAGCGTGCTATATTGCTAGCATTTATGACTTTTTTCAATATTGTCTCTTAAAATATAATCATTGGATATGTCAAAGTATTTGTATCTGAGAAGAGCAGTATGTATTATGTAGGAACTGTGTGCTTACGATTCTGCAATAATGAGCCCATAAATAACAGATTTACTAATCTTAGAAGTAAATAAAAGAAAAATATGTAATGCACCTTTTAAAAAAGAATCTTGTTTGAAAAAATAATTTGTCTCCTATTAGAAATATTAATTAGCTACAAGAATGGTCTGAAGTCATCTAACAAAATTGTTGTAGAGAAAGACCATCATCATTATGCTAATAACTACCACTAAAATAGTGGGAAATGTGGATATGAATGATTTAGTAGGAAACAAACTCATTTATAGCCAAACTGAAATGAAACTCATACAGTTTTGATGGCTATTATTGAATTACAGGCCATTTATGAAATTGCAGAAATATGTTTCAGAGCCTACACAGTATACGTCTTGTTTTAGCCGTATATATAATGACCCCACTTTCTCCTCTGTAGCTTTCAGTTTGAAGCCCTAGGGAGAAAGTGACAAAGTAAGAACCAGATGCTTCGTTGACATTATAGAGTAGGCAAATTGCAGCTTGCAGCAAGAATTTCGGCTGGGTTTATGCAGTTATCATTCTAATTCAACAAATAGTAATCCATGTTGTTTAGGAGCCTAGTACTGTGCAAGACAAATTAAATTAGAATGAAAAAGAAACTCTGCAAATATATGTGTGTGAATGTGAGTGTGTGTGTATATTATATATATGCGTGTGTGTGTACACCCACAGATTCACATACAATTCTTATTAGAATTTTTCTCTTCCTTCATGAAATAGGTCATTTCAGTTTCTATAACTATTTGGTTCACAGAGGTTAGGTCTGAAATAGCTGGAGACACTGACTCAGAGTGATTTCAAAAGGCTTCAGAGGTTCAGTCTGCTTTTTCAAGGATTTGACTAATAATAGATTGACAGTATCTTTTTTATAACTATAACTTGCTATTATTTATTCAAATATCATTCAGTGAATATTTATCTTGCCCTGCCTGCATGAAAGGGGCCACACCAAACACTGAGGTTGAGTTTGGAATGAGGCAGACATGATCCCAGATCCTATGGGGCTAGCAGCTTTATTTCTGTATCTGATGGTGTCTACTTTAAGCAAGAAAAATAAACCTCTTAACTCATTAAATTGGTATCACCTTAAAATTTGATATCTTTTTAAATACATAAATTATAAGTAAGAAAGTTTGAGCCAAAAGACTTAAATTCTAAAATAATCAGAACCTAAATTTTATGTTATCCAAACCTAGGCATTTGAGCACATAATATATGCATTGCATGTATTAGATGTGGAGAACACAGTAATAAAATAATAATTCTCAGTTTACAAAGCCTCATTTAATTCTAGTAAAAATTTTGAAGTTTATAGATATAAATATTGAGCCGAATAACATTTTGAATTAAACCTAAAATTGCAACATGTAGAGGAACTTAGTGAAGCTTGGTTTGTTGTCTTCTGTATTTCTTTTTATTGCTAGCCTCTGATCAAGGTCTTTTTTTCCTCTTTCAGTACTCCTTTCTTTCAACCAGACCCTGTCTTAGTCTTTTCAGGCTGCTATAACAAATATACCCTAAACTGGGTGGCTTCTAAACAACGGAAATATATTTCTCATGGTTCTGGGAGTTGGTAAGTCCAAGGTCAGGGTGCCAGCACATTCAGTGTCTTGGAAAGGCCCATTTGCTGGTTAATAGATGACCTTCTCCCTGAGTCCTTACATGGTATTGAGTGATGGTTCTCCCTAGGGCTTCTTTATAAGGACACTAATCCCCATTCATGAGGTCTCTGCCTTCATGACCAAATCTTCTCTCCAAAGGGCTTCTAATACCATCACTTTGGTGGTTAGGATTCAACATAGGCGTTTTGGAGGACACAAGTAATGAGACCATAGCAGACCCCAATATTGAGGCCTGGTGTGCAAGGCCTTGCTGGAATGGAGGAGCATGTGCTTGGTATGTTTGAGGACTTGTCTGTCCATCAGTCAGCGGTAATATTCAAGTACCTTTTTTCTTTATGCTGTGTGTACTCCTGTTTAATTGAAGTTAAATATTATGATTTTAGCAAGACAGCCCGGGAATAAAAACTTTTTCCTGTTCCATTAAAAAGAAACAGAACATGTGAGATAAACAGGTTTATCCTCTCCTCCTTTACTTTTCAGTTCTTCTGTGTGCTCTGTAGCACTTCAGTGACACTCAAGTCTATGCTACTGACTGATAACACGATGAGAATTGCTTGCCAGTGTCAAAAGACAAAATTACAACAAATTTACTTTAAAGATTTCATTGACTTTTATTAGCAATTCTAAAATCAGGCAACACCTCTTTGTATAAAATGGAATGGGTTTTCCAATGAGCTGGACAGAGGAGTTTGGCTTTATAGGCAGAAAAGAGCTGAAGAAAGCAGAAACAGGGAACACAAAGCAGATTGGTTAGTATCAGGTTACTTCAGGTTACTTTCCTTGTAAAGGTTAAAGCAGAGGAGACTTCTTAACATGTTGACTCAAATTGGTCTATTCGGGGGTTTGGCTATTATTTCTCTTCTGATTTCTTGAAAGATCAGATAAACAAAGTTTGGTAATGTAGAACTTTAACACAAGTGACTCCATTTTGGTTTGGTCTGTTAGGGCCTGGGCGAGGAGCTCAGTCCAAATCAATGACCTCCTACAAGTGTTATTTAATATCAGTCTCTGCAACAGCCATAGTATTATGTTTACTACAGATAGAAAGTATTCTCTGTGTGTTCCTTTTACATATAACTTTTTTACATTAAAAATTATAGTTTGTACTATACTTCATACTGTCTTTCAAATGGATAACAGTGTCTATTGTTTAGTGACTTGGCTAAATAGTCATCCAGCCTTCATGTTCCACTCTACCTTTCTGCTATGCTAACAAAGATCAGGATTTCACTCAAAAGAAAACCTTCACTACCAGTGGCATGTATTTAAAAGAAACAAACACTATAGCCTTGTAACTCAAGTATATGAAACTTAAATTGTTTACCAAGATTTAGAGAAATAGTTTCCAAGCAGATACATTACACACGAGAAAAAAACCATTTATAATAGATACAAATTGGATGACAATGTTAAGTGGGTCTTGCTGAAATTCTTGAAATTTCAGTAAGTAACAAAATATTCATTTATGCCCTCAAAGCATATATATGCTTTTTATTTGTCAAGAACTAAATATGCTTAAATGCCACTCCCTGCCCTCTGAGAGCTCACAGTCTAGTTAAGAATATGTTATATATGCAGCATTTTATGTACGCTTACTTTTAAAGAGGGCCTGGGAGCACTGATATGAGGCTACTATCTCAGCTTGGAGCTTTTAATTAGTGAGTTGACATCTGTTGGTTTTGCCTAAATCACATGTCCCTTTAAGGATACTCCCAATTTTCTTTTGAGGTAATTCCCTTTATCCACTGCATGTAGTCTATGGGGAATGCTAATCGGGATTTTGTGTGTGTGTGTGTTGTTTGAACAAGAGATAAAAATGAATACATAGACAACCATTTAGTAAAAAAAAATAGGAATGATACATTATGTATGCTTGTTTAAAAATGAATAAAGTATCTTTGGAAAGAATCATGAGTCATGAGTGTCTTCTATCAGTGTTTGCTTCAAGGGGATAAAACTGGGTGGCTAGAGAACAGGGATGAGTAAGAGACTTATTTTTTTCTGAATAGTATTTTGCACATTTTAAATTTTTAAAAGATGTGTATATATAACCTATTCAAAAATATTTTTAATAAATATATATCAAAGCCAAAACAAAATGAAAACATCATGAAGGCTTGAGAGGACATGAGAGGTTCAAGAAAGACTTTATAAGTATTAGTTTGAACCATATGGGATTGCTAAGACTTGATTATTTTCTCTTCAAGACCCTGTAATTTATTATGGTTAACAAAAAATTATACTTTTATTTGAACAGTAGGCCGAGGTGGAAAGGTAAAAGGAGAGAGAATATAGTCAAGCTAATAAGAGTTAGTTTTTCTTACCAATTACTTATAGCCTTCTGTTGTTTTGCTTTGTTTATCCTAGTTTGTTAAACTCCATCTCTGTTTAATTATCTGGAACTTCTACTTTTAGCTTTAAGGTAATCCAAGATGGTTCATCACCCTAAGTAATACAAGTAATAAGTGACAGAAACAGGTTTTAGACCCAGGTATTTCTGCCTTGAAAGCCGATGTTTACTCAATTAGGCCACCCTGCCTTGGGACCCATAGTGGAATCACAGGTGTTTTGAATCCCGGACAAGACCTTATTTCAATCTTATTAATCTTTGACAAATCATTTAATCTTGCATATGCCTCGTTTCTTTAGCCTTAAAATTTGATAATATTCCTTATTCTGCTCACCTCCTACTGGTTATAAAACTGAAATAAAAATGTATGTGGGAGCACTTTATGAACTGTAAGATATATCCAAATGTATACAGTTATTATAGGTTATCAGTATTATAATCCAGACTGGAAGAGCAGCAGCAATATGTGGAAAGAAACAACAGAGTGTGGATAAAGGAAGAATAAGAAATTAAATAAGAATGTGAGTAATGTATTTTATTTTTAACAAACAACATACTTTGGGGTGCTGAGGCAGGAGGATCACTTGAGCACAGGAGTTTGCAACAAGCCTAGTCAACGCAGCGAGACCTCGTCTCTACAAAAGAAAAACTAAAAAATTAGTTGGGCATGGTGGCAACGCACTTGTAGTCCCAGCTACTAGAGAGGTAGAGGAAGGAGGATTGCTTGAGGCTCCATAATCACACCACTGCACTCCAGTCTGTGTGTTGGAGTGAGACCCTGTCCAAAACAAGCAAACAAAAATGACAATAAATACCAGGGAAGAAATACATGAAACATATACCACTTATTCCTAAATAAACAAGCCAATTATTATTCTGAAGGTGTTTAAAGAAATTAATGGTAATAATATTTGTCACTTCGAAACAACTGGCCTTTATTTTATGCAAAACATTGAATAAAAATGAGCATTCTGAGTGTAATCAAAGACTACAAATTTTAAAAAGTTAATTTGGTGGAAATAGATTTCAACAAAGAGCATTAACAAAGGCTTTCTCTTTTGCCTCTTACAACACATTTGGAATGATAAAACGGCGAATATAAGCACAATCGTTTTAAGATGAAATAACACATCTGTCAGCAAAAGACTTGAACAACTAGTCATTATACTTTTTTCCAGATTCTTTCAACCAAAGAGCCAAAAGGACCAGTAATCACTAGGCCTAAAGGACAGGAGTCTGCTGCTACCCTGGAACAGGAGCAAGCCCCAGCTGCAGCCGTCCCTGCAGGTTAGAAGGCCCAGGAATTAACTATAATACATGCAGCTGCAACACTTGGGGCTAGAGACTCAGCTACAAAACCCTTGGGAGATGCTTGCCTTTGTCTGGCCTTGGGCTCCAAGGTAACATTCTTGATATTAATCACCCAGGAGGACAAAGCAGCAGCAGCTGTAGAAGACGAGACGGCAGCCGCAGTGACAGTTCTCTGACCTACATTATGGCTCAAAAATGTATTTTTACCTATGATCCGCTGACTGTAACAACCCCTGTTTGCTGTACCCATCATTTCTAAAATGATATCAAAGGCTAATTAGGGCCCCCTCTCTGAATATAGCACAAGTTTCTCCTACGTTTGAGTGTTAACTGTAGTTATCCAGTGCTTCACTTGGATTCACCAAAGTGTTAGTAGCAGTGGTAATGCAGACAAACTTTCTGATTTTACAGAATATAATGTCTTTGGGTATTGTAATAATTACAGGTAGAATTCTTTGAATGCTTTTTTTTTTTTCTTTTTGTGGGGATGGGGGTATTGCTCTCTTGCCCAGGCTGGTCTTGAAATCCTGGACTCAATGGATCCTCTAGCCTCTGTCTCCCAAAGTGCTAATATTACAGACATGAGCCACCACACCAAGCCTTTGAATGCTTTCTTTGTGTTAGGCCTGGTTCTAAGCCCTTTGAAAGCATTACTTGTTTTACCACATTCCAGCTGTATAAAGTAGGTATATTACTATTCCTGTTGTTCAGATGAGGAAACTGAATGAGGCACATTGAGAGTAAATTGAGAAAGCCTTAAACACATTTTATCCAGCTGCAGAGACTGCAGCCTTAACCACTACATTTTGCTGCCTCTCTTTATACTTGAAAACTGGTTAATAGTAATAAAATCACATTCACTATATTGACAATGGAGAAATTGCTCCTAAATGAGAAGAATATTCCATGTATGTGTCTCTTCATGTTGCTCATTGTATATTATCTTCCTTTACTGAAGGCCTACTGAGTAAGCTGACAGCATTTGCTGAAGGCATATGGCAAAAATAGGCAACAAAGTATAAATTTTTGAAATAATTTTTATGTATATAAATAAATATACATATTTAAAGTATCAAGTAGTCACTTTGGCAAACCTCAGAACTTTGTTGACCGTTTTTACACATATTACATAATTTGCCACTCTTTCTATTTTGAATTATATGGTGTAGGGCTCCAGCATTTTTTTCTGGTAACTATAGAGTATAAATGCCTTAAATAAGATGTTATCTCATTAAAATGCCAAGCTGAAATTTCTAGTGATTTTTAATAACAATAAGCATAATCTTTTTTCTCCTTAAATGCCATCATGTTCATTTCAGAATAATACTAGTTTTATTTCCTAGACTTTTGTATTATGAAGAAAGAAACTTTCTTGTATACCATTTGTCAAATTAAAAAAAATCATCAGGAAAATTAAGTCTATATTATATATTACTACATTTTTACTATTTGTGATATTTCCTCAATATAGAAACTTAATTAAGTAAAAATAATGAACATGAAGGGCAATTTCAGGACTATAATGGTTGCTTGAGAAAATCTGACGGTTTTGCAAAAGCTGAGCCCAATAAATCTGTATCAGTCAGTGATCCCCAGGAAATGTCCTGCACTGAAGTCATTACTGCTTCTCAGAAAAATGCATGCTTCTGGATTTATTTCAAAATTATACCTTTGTTTTTATGGCTGATGCCATTTTAATTGCTTCTGCAGAATATTTGTGGATAATAAATGTCAAATATATTGGCCAATCACATTGATCAAGTTGCCTTTTGAATTCCTTTTGACTTAAAATCATATACCAGATTTCTTCATTAAAATTCAAAAGAAGGAAAAGAGTAATTAGATATGTTATTTGTTAAAATTCAATCCATAAAGAATGTTCATTTTCTGTTGGAAGAACAGAGCCCATTTAGTTGAACTCTACATTCCACTCACCTAAAAATATTACAAATAACTTTTTAACGTGCTTTTCCCCAAACTTGCCCTATTTATTAAACTCTAATATAGACAGCTGAAAATCTGTTGTAAGTCCTTGGAAACCCACTTCAAATATTTAACATATTAAATATTGTTAGTGATCTTGTAATTGCCATGAAGCTTTTGATTATTATTTTCTGTCACCCACTGATCAATTTGTTTAAATATTTATTAAAAGTATGTCCGATGGTAAAAATTATTATGGTACAGGTCAACCAATCATACTATTAAGAATCCAATTTATTATTTAAGAATCATTTGAAATAGAAAACCAATACCCTGCTTACGCCTTCCTAACTGCTGCAATTTACGGGACTCATTGCTTCATAGTTAATGTGAACATTTTCATATATGTCTTGATTTTTTAAGCTTTTGCTTTTGTATGTCTGTCAGTGAAAGGGAAAATAAGGGTTGACGTTTTTACCTTTTTTTTTTAAATGCAGACTCAGTACCCACTACCATTCCTTGTACATAGTATATCTTTAAAATATATTTTAAATGAAGTGAGGGTTACCCTTCTGCTTTTACAATACCTATTGCAAGGAATGTTAATTCCTTCAGGGTACTCGTTACGTTTGTGACAGATTATTAAAACAGTTAACAAGAGCTTGCAAAATCCTGTTGTATTATGTCAGATGTTCTTCTATCACAGGCATCTCAGGCTGAAATCATATTTCTGTGTTTTCTACAGCCTCTCAGCTGCTACTAGACCATGTAGGAAAGACCAGCAGGAGATGTTTTTGTCTAAGTCTGGATTGGTCTCAGTGAGCATTAATGTATTGGAATTGGTGATCCTCTACACCTGGCACCTGTGGAACCAGAATTTTCTATGAAATAGGACTCTAAAATTTTTATGCCCTTGTTTAATTTATAGTTTGTCCCTAGAGAAATGGCACACACATTAGAAAAAGGAAGAAGGAATTTGTCAAAAATAGAGTGTGCCTCTTTCCAATTGTAAGAAACTTATTCAAGAAAACCTTCTCAAATAAAGGAGTAGATCAAAGACTAATAGGTTTGAATGTCATTGAGTGAGAATGGATTACATAAAGGATATGTTTTACATGGTTTTAAGAATCCTGACTTAAGAAATATTTCAGATAGTTTTATAAAATATGTCCTTGGTTTTTCCCATAGTAATAATTTTTATGTATACAGAAAAGAGGATTAGGGGTCAACTGGGGCAATAGGAGCAACCAGGGAATGACTGGGGAAGAAAACTGAAGGGTGAGAAACAGCTGGAGTGTACATTATGCTGGGGCAGCTCTTTGATGCAATCATTTGGCAAGGACTACAAACCTCCTGAGAGGGAGAAAATAGTTAAATGTTTGTAGAAAATATATAGCTCATCTGTGTCCAATTTATTTATGCAGCTAGCCATATATATCCATATATGTGACATGAAATTAGGCACATCCTAATGGATAAGAAGAGATTCAATGATAGTTTTGTTTTCAAATTTACTTATTTGAAATATTTTAATGACATAAACTAAGAATATATTTTCGCATATATTTATGCATATATGTGTATACCTCTCTTTCTAAAATATTTTGACTTTTTATATTGCATTTATTAAAAATTCTGTGTCTGGATGTGGTGGCTCATGCCTGTAATCACAGCACTTTGGGAGGCCAAGGTGAGAGCATCACTTGAGCCCAGGAGTTCGAGACCAGCCTGGACAACATAGAGAGACCCCATCTCTAGAAAAAATACAAAAATTAGCCCTCATTGTGGCACACACCTGGTCTGTAGTCCTATCTACTCAGGAGGCTGAGGCAGGAGGATCAATTGAGCCAAACAGTTCAAGGTTGCAGTGAGCTATGATTCCGCCACCGCTACAGCCTGGGTGACAGAGCAAGACCATTTGTTAAAAAATAAATAAATAAATAAATAAAACAATTCTTATTTCTCCAAACCCAAAGACACAAATTAAAAAACAATATAGGACGTAGGACATGTGATTGAAACCAAGTTTGATGCAACATTTAGTGAAAGCAATCTTAGCAAAAGAAGGAGATAGAGGACAAAAGAAAGGAGAGGAAGAAATAGGAGAAAACAAAAATGCCTTAACAGCACTTCACCTGGTTTTTAAACTTTGGTCTTATTTGTTATAATCATAATCAATAGTTGAACTCTGTATGTTACTGTCCTTTTATCAATAATTACTTGGATATTTGATAGTGTTTGCTCCTGAGATTCTGTAACTTATAATTTATTTTTTATTATTTATTTTTTTTTTGAGACAGGGTCTCACTCTGTTACCCAGGCTGGAGTGCAGTGGCATGATCACTACGTGCTGCAATGCTGAACTTCTGGGCTCAAACAGTCTTCCTGACTCAGCCTCTAGAGGCGCTAAGACTACAGGTGTGTACCACCATGCCTGACTAATTTTTTTTTAAAATTTTTGTACAGATGGTTTCTCATTATATTGCCCAGGCTAGTCTTGAATCCTAGCCCCAAATGGTCCTCTGGCCTTGGCTTCTCAAAATGCTGAGATTACTGGCGTAAGCCAACACTCATGGCCAATTCTTTACCCTCTATTTTTTTTTTTCTCAATTACATGACTGTGTAAGCATATACTATATTCGGGGTCCATGAAATATAGTCATATTCTGATTTTTCTGAAGACCAGAAAGGACATAATATGTATTACATACATATTATATGTTCTATACCAATACTTAATATAATACCTGACATATAGAATATACTCAAAATATCTATTTTCACATGGAGCAGAAGAATGGGTTAAAATTTACTAAATTTATTAGCCCACTATATTGAAGCCTTACCACATTGCTACTTCCAGCTCTGGAGCTCATATCTCTTCCCATACTTTGAATGGGAAGTTAAAAAATTACCTGGAAGATTTTTTGGAGACATTAAATGAATTCATAAATGTCAGTATATGAATAGGAAAAGACTTTGCTAAAGAGAGTTGCTGTCAAAAATGTTTGAGTGATTATCCTTATGTGACCCACCAGCCCTCCAAGCTAATTTTCAAAGGGATGCGTAGCAATCCTCTGCTGATTTGGCTTCAGCAGTACTGAGGGTTGCTTTCATGAATGAAAATAAAGCTTGTTTTTAACGTGACCTCGTTTGTCCAGAGCCTTTGTTTATCTACCTCCGTTTCAAAGCTGAGTCCTTATTTAGTTGCCACTTACTGTGGCCATAAAATCTTCTGCTTTAGTGAAAGGTGATCCCACAGTGGAAAGTGCTATTTCTTCAGGGACTACACAATTAGAAAGCCTCAACTGGTTGGTGTCAATAAGCCAAGCCCCTCTGACAGCTGCCATTCATGAATCCATTTTCTGCACATGGAAATGTGGAACATAGGAGACAATGCAGCCTTTATTATTTGTATTTAATTATGCTCTAGTGGGAAATAATGGTTGTAGAAGATTTCTCTTTAATGGCCAATTTTAGCCATTTTGTGGCATGTAACGTCAGTTCGGCTTCCTGACAAAGTCTAATTTTGCTGCCTCAGGGTAAATGCTCAATTTTCCTAATATTAATTTAGACAGTTGCAGTTTCTCATCTAAATAATTAGTCTCTATATGAAACTTGGGTAATAAACAAAGTTTAGAATAAATAATGAATGAATCTCTTAAGTCAATAACATTGATCTAACACTCTCCTAAAATCAAATTGTGAAATAACAGTTTCTTTTGATTGGAATTATACTATACAGCTAGTAAATATGATTGGCACTTTACTTTTTTGATAAGTTACTGAATATAAAACATTTTAAGGTTTGGAGCATTTTCTATATTTGCTTTAATTGTATTTAAATACCATATAAAATATGTACCCATTTATGCATTCCAGCAAATACACAACTTGATGAATGTGCCAAAATCTAGGTAAATGCATATACTTAAAATGCCATGACTGCATTTGATAAGGAAATAAACTTTAAGATACCATTTCAAAAAAATAATGCATTTCCACTTGCCAGGCACTCAGCAATGTTTAGGACTAATGAAAGTGAGGACTTATCTTCTGTGGCTAGCGTTTGTAGTCAAAATATCTTAAGCTTCTAGTTGAAATAACACAATAGTCATTCTTTTCCTTTTTCTGTTTCACTTACAAAGCAACATTATGGTTGTTGTTTTTTTTTTTTTTTACCTTGTGGAATTGTTTCCTGCGCAAAATGATAAGAAAATGGGGTCTAGGTTTACCTCCCTGGATCTGATACAGTTCATCCCTTCAGTAACCCAAATCCTTTCTTTTATAAATATTCTGAGGTTTGTCACAGAAGGATTTATGTTCATTAGCATTAAAATGAAGCTTTATGTCTCCATTACCAAGGCAGCTTCTGAGATTCCAAACTGTCAAGCCATCTTATCTGAGTCCTGATTAATATATCTCCAACAGTAACCCCAAGGGCAGCTTGGCTTCAAATAGGTTCAGTGGCAGATGATCAGTAATGAACAGTTTGCTGAAGAACACTCAGAAAACCTTATGCTATGGAAAAAGCTTAAGGTCTGATATGGGTCACTCACTGTAAGGGTCCGGGAACCCTAATTCATCTATTTTCACTATTTCTATGTTTATGTAAATAATGCAATCTATCTAGCCCTCTGGTGTATTTTCTCGGCCTTCTACTCACTCTGTGAGCATCCACCATCCCAGCCTCTTGGAAGTCATTGTTCAAGGTCTCTTACAAACTTCTTCATTTTTCCTTTCCCCCTCAGATTCCTCCACTCCTAAATGAAAGCCACAGACTTTACCTTGTTCCCTCAACCTTTAAAATTTTCTGTTTCCTGACCTGTGAAAGAGTGATAAGCTATTTAAAATACCTAGCAAGTCTGCAGGCTCTTTTATTTATTTATTTTTGTCCTGAAGACATCTACTCACTGCTATCATCTACCCATTAATATGTGATTCTTTTTATGCCTCTCCTTCTGGTTCTCATTTTCTTTTAAGTTCTCACTTAACCTCCGAGTTCCAATTTACATGCCCATTCTCACCCAAGTCACATGTGCCCTGTCCTTCCTCTAAACTTCTAGAAGCTTTTATTATTTGTAGCAATAAAGGATTCTCATTATTTACTATTTTAAATTATTCATAATCATATCTTCTCTTTCTCACTAAATGGAAACTTCTCTGAGGGAAGGAAATGTGCCAAATAAATTATCCCTTCTTGTGTAGAACAGGACACCGTGACTCTCACAAATCAGTGTACCACAACTATTTTTGAAAGGGTGGTTGTTGGAATTCATCTTTGCAGTATACTTGATAGTTTTATTTGTTAATGTTTTGGTTCTCTATCTAAGTTACAAGTTCTTGGAGGGAAAGGGACCAGGCCTGTATCTGGACGAAAGTAAAAAGTGAGCTTACTTGGCAGTCACCATCTCTTCCTCATTTGCACTCTTTCTGTGCTCAATATTTTAACACTTTTTATATCGATAAAATCTGTTTCCATAGAAGATTGTTTACAGTGCTATGCATTTTCATTAATATGTTATTGTCACCAGTTGTCTTGACTTTTTGACTTTTTCATTATTTTGGATTAAGAGGCTTATCCTTGTGTCTTTTGTGTAAAAAATATACCATATTTGCTAAGAGTGTGAGCTCTGAAAGCAAACATTCTAAGTTAGAATTCAGTCTTAGGTACTTGTAGCTGTTTGACATTTGACAAGTTACCTTATTTATTTCTGGTACATTTGTATAATTCAGATTAAAATGTAACTAGTGACATCAGATTTTTAAGGTTGCTATGAGTACTAACTGACAAAATGGAAGTAAAATACTCAGCCCAGTGACTGACATATAGTAAGTGTTCAATAAATTTTAGTTAATGAATATGATAAAAGCAGTAAGTACAGATACTAGGAAAACAGTGGCAGCAACAAGGCTTCTCAATCTCTCTGAATCCTTGCATGGAAGCAACTAGATATTAAAGGCAACATTCATGGACAAAATTTACAACAAAACTAGGTAATAAAGTATCCCATTGAAACCCAAAGAGTGTAGGTAAATCCACAACAACTGCATGACCAACAACATATCATTAATATCTACTTAGGAAGAAGAAGAAAGCACCAGGGGCCAACTGAATGTCCTCAGAACTGAAGAGCCCTCAAATAACCAATATGTATTTGAAGATCACAACAGGGCCAAATGAAAAGACCTGTCAAAATCTAGAGGAAGTTTTGCCCATGATAAATGGCAGGTTGGTGCAAAAGGCACACAGTAAAAAACCTGAAGGAGCTGGAGCAGTCTCCCTCCACGAACTCTCAAAAATGATGGGTGAGAGATACCCTGCATTTCAAGGCCCCATGCTAAGAAAAAACTTCTGGGAGAGAAATCAAAATTGAGGAATGTAGGAATAATAAAGATGAAGAAAAAAAGGAGGTCCAGACAAAAGTGGGAGAAGAGAACTCAAAACTCAGGAAAAAATAAAAAGTCTGGCATATATTTAAACTTTATTAGAAAACAACAGAAGACAGTGTGAAAAAATAAATAAGTAATAAAAAGGAAAAGAAATCCTGGATACCAACTCACTCCAAAAGTTGAGGGAAAAATAACTAAAAGTGATACGCAACAAAATAATATCACTATGAACAGTGAAAATACGCCCAAAAAAAGCATACCTACAAAATCAAATCAAAACCATAACCTAGTATTCCTTAACCATCTAGAAGAAATTAAGAAAGATATTTATTTCTTAGGGCTGCTATAACTAAGTACCAGAAACAGGTGACTTAAAACAATACAAATTTATATTCACAGTTTTGAAGACTTAAAGTAAAAAACCAAGGTATCATAAGGGCCATGATCCCTCTGAAGTCCCTAGGGGGGAATCCTTCTGTGCCTTCTCTAGGTGCTGGTGGTTGCTGGCTATCCTTGGCTTGCAAGTGCTTTTCTCTGCCTCAGCCTTTACATTGCCTTTTCCCTTTGTGTCTTTGTATCTGTCCTCTGTCTTCACATGGTGAGTCTGTTTTCTGTGTGTGTCTGGGTCAAAATGTACCTCTCCTTATAAGGACATTGGTCATAAGATAAGGGACCGTCCTAATCCAGTGTGGCTTTATTTTAATCTGGTTATATCTACAAAGATTCTATTCTCAATTAAGGTAGCATCCACAAGTAACAGAGGTTAGGATTGTAACACATCTTTAGGGTGGACACAATTCAAATCACAACAAGTGTATAAATAATGAATATGTGAGGATAATTATATTAATCATAATTATAAAAATCAGAATAAAGTGGCATAATTCAGAAAAGAATTAGAAATAAAGGAAAATAAATTACTTTGGAAATCAAGACTAAATTAGAAGGAACATCACATAGAATAACCACCACAGGTTATACCTTAAGAGATAAACCAAGTAAAAACAAAAAAGAAAAACAAATAAAGGAAAAAGAAATAAAAGGTTTTTTTTAAGTTTTGAAAGTAAGTGAAAAATACTAAAGATAGTCAGTGAACATCCAACATATGACAAAATATGTCCTTAAAAAAGAAAACAAAATCAGAGGAATAAAAGAAATTCTAAAAATTATATCTGAACTAAATGTCCCCTGAAAATTTTTTTTTTAAAAAGCCATAGCTGGCCAGGCGCGGTGGCTCACGCCTGTAATCCCAGCATTTTGGGAGGCTGAGGCAGGCAGATCACGAGGTCAAGAGATCGAGACCATGCTGGCTAACACGGTGAAACTCCATCTCTATTAAAAATACAAAAAATTAGCCGGGCGTGGTGGCGGGTGCCTGGAGTCCCAGCTACTCAGGAAGCTGAGGCAGGAGAATGGCGTGAACCTGGGAGGCAGAGCTTGCAGTGAGCGGAGATCGTGCCACTGCACTCCAGCCTGGGTGACAGAGTGAGACTCCGTCTCAAAAAAAAAAAAAAAGCCATAGCTTCCTGAAGAAATCATTTTTCGTAGGTCAGAGACAGAAAAGGTACACAATGAGCCAGGAAAACTCCGTGATGCTGGATGTCAGGAAGCTTTCAAATGCTACTAATGTCATGTCAAATGGACTCAGGATAAAACTCGAAGAGGCTTCATTGGCCAGTGGTAGGACAATTTGAACTTCAGTGATGATAACAACTGCAATTAATTGAGCTCCATCAAATACATTTTAGCTGATGAGTTCATAATAATTGGTGAAATTGGGAATGTTACCAGTGGAAGTTATCAGAGTCACTGGTGGTGGTTCTGTGTGGGTCTGCAGCAACCTCAATTCTTGCCTCCTCAGAAGAAAGAATTCAATTGAGGGGCATAAGGCATAAAAAGAGAATGAGGCAAGTTTCACAGCAGGAGTGGAAGTTTATTTTAAAAGGCTTTAGGACAGGAAAGAAAGTATGCTTAGAAGAGACCCAAGCAGGCATGTGAAGGTCAAGTGCAGTGTTTAACCTTAATCCTAGGACTTTATAGGCTGGCCCGCCTCCTGCACCTTGCACCCCTTTCCCATGATTCTTTCCTGAGGGTGGGCTGCCCACATGAGCCGTGCCCTCCTTACCCTTGGGACATGAGTATGCAGAGTGTGTTTAGGAAGTTGTGCACGTGCCTATCCGAGGCTTTATTTCCGTTTCCAGTGGAATGCCCCAGAAGGTCATACTCTGCCATTTTGTCTCTTAATGCACATGCCTGGAAAGTTGCTTCTCCCTGGTGTCTACATTCGATTAACACTTTAGTGTAATAGGTATGGACCGTCAAGAAATATTCTCTCCCTGGTTCTGGCTGCCAGTTTACTGAACAGGAGAGTTCCCTAGCCTCCTCACAGGACGTGCAAATTGATCGCTGCTACTGTTCAAACCCCTTATAGGAGCAGGAGCACATGGATGGACAGGTGCAAGGGCCCAGGGCACTGTGCTCTAGCCCTACGGCAGCATCCGGGGTGGGAGCCTGTAACTCCTGGAGCCCAGATGGGCATGCGTTACAGTGTGCTTCTTTAGCCTTGCTGTCCACAGATGGCTTACGTATTAACCGGCTCAATGGACCCTCTGTCTTTGTGCAAAAGCAGAGAGCCAATGTGAACAGCTTTCTGTATCCCGAGCCCTTGTTCAACAGTCTAGAAGAATCAGGTCACACACAGACTTGAAGGATGGTGAATGTGGGGTTTTACTGGGTGGTGGAGATGGCTGTCAGTGGGATGGATGGGGATCTGGTCAGGGGATGGAGTGGGAAGATGATCTTCCCCCAGGATTTGGCTGTCCAACAGCCGATTCTTCCACCATCCACAGCCAAGCTCCTCCAGACTTTCAGATGCTCCTTCTCTTCGCTCCTTCTCTGCCATGTGGTTCTGCTGTTCGTTCACTCATCTGCTCATTTCCTCATCTGCTTCTGGAGTCTGGGGTTCAAGGTTTATATAGGGTTCAGGGTTTGTATAGGTACAGGATAGGGGGCATGGCAGGCCTTTTAAAAGGCAACTTTTGGGCATGAAAACAGGAATGCCTGTCCTCACTTAAGGTGGCAGATATCCAGGCTTGAGGGTGGGACCTTCACCAGGGAACTGCCCTCTTCTACTCGGTATTTCCCTGTCTCCTGTCCATATCATTGTCACCTTTAGGGAGGCAATATGATCATTGCAGAACCATCACCGGACGTTCCTAGTGGGAGGGGGAGAGCCTTCTACCGCCCTGCTCATGCCTGTCTAACTACCTTTAACAAGATGATAGGAAACAAGTTCATTATCCTGAAAACTGGCAAATGTATCAAAAAGTCAACGGTATCCCTGAGAAGCCAGATAATAAATGAGGGAAATGTCTGCTTATAAAAGATTCCGGGTAATAAAAGCAAGCTGTAGAATTAAAATAGTACATTTTGCAACCCCCAAAAAACAATGGATCTAGGCGTTAATCATTAACAGCTGTAAACATCTTAAAAAGAGAAACAATCATTACATGTTCCTTTTGCAAGAACACAATGCTATCTATATAGCTTGCCAAATAGCTAGAATCTGAGTCATAACATGTCTCTGGATTCAGCCACCATTTGCAGGAAATGATAAAGGCAGAGAAATAAGTGGAAATATCAGTGGTATCTAATCAGCAAAACCAGGAAAGGCAAAGGCCTAGGTTCTTCAAGAAGTAAATAGATAAACGGTTAACTTACTATTGTAAGGACAAGAAAGAGAAAATTTATAGATTGACACAGACTAAAATATATAATTTATTTTAATGAGGAAGACTACATTATGATGTCCCAAGAAAATCTGGGTAATACAGCTATAAAAGAATGCAAGAAAGTCATTTATAAAGGTTAGGATGATAGTTACTTAAGGAGTTGAGAATCAGGCCAGGCTATTATTGAAGCCACATACTTGCAAAGAGCTTCTGGGTTGACTGGCAAGTTCTGTTTCTTTATTTGGGTGGTACAATAACTCATTAAGACATATATTTATTTTGTGCATTTCTGTGTCTGCATTTTATTTTGGAATAAAAACATTTTTAAAAGAACTGGAAGTAGTAGCAGGCAAAAGGGAGGAGGTCCAATTACTATTTCCCTGAAAATCCCAAATAAATGATTACACATTTTTCCTAGGCGTTAACTATACTGTAGTCACTTTAAACAACAAACCAGCCAAAACCAACAGTATCTGGAAATTTTTGAAATAATATATCCTCATCTTTCTATGAAATGCCTTGTTTCCAGTATTCAAGATATTCTCATTCAGCTAACTTGAAAGGAGTAGTGCGATTTTAGATTATGTAAAAACCTTTTTCTTGAAGATGTCCAATTTATGAAATAGTCTCATGAATATCAAAGGACAGCAAGGCGTGGTGGTGTGTTCCTATAGTCCCAGCTACTGAGGAGATTGAGGCAGGAGGATTGCCTGAGTCCAGGAGTTCAAGGCAAATTTCAGAACATCTCTGAAAAATAAATATAAATCAAATGACTTTGATTTAGTACATTTTAAATGAATATAAGTTTATGTAATAAAAGTACGTCTGGATCCTGCTAGAAATCTTTTTAGGCTCATATGACATATCAAATTAACTTAAAAATGAGAAAACACAAATCTACCCATTTAGGCTCGCATTCTGCCCCTTTTGGTCAGCTTACCAGAGCTGGCTCACTAAATCCAAAGATAATTAAAATACCTTAAGATAAATTTTAGGATGCATAAGATGCTGGAATGAGGTCCAGGAATTTGCATTCACACATAACACAATCAACCTTTAAGAATCATGTTCAGTGAGTAATCTCCCCATTATTTCTTAATTAGCTACATATTTTTGACACTCCAGATAATAAGCACGAACTCTTTAAGAATCTCAGAGAAAAAACTGAGAAACTAAAGTACAAGCTATAATTGTCCTAAGAATATGCAATGATTTATAAAATTGAAAGTTTCTATTCCTTTTCTTCTTGAAGCCATATTGTAAACTGTTTTAATGAGACACAACTGAAATTTAAAATAATTTTCTTCCTTTTGTTTAAGTAAATTTGAATTGTTTTTGGCTATTCGTAAGACATCTCTCTATTTACTGAAATGTTTTCTGCTCCTGTGTAGAGATATGTGCTTTTAATTATGCTTGTCATAAACACTTTAAAATTAATTTTATTCAAATTTATTTTATATTATTAAATTACTGAAAATTTGATTTTCAGTTTTTTTGCTCTATTTATTAACATTGCTTTTGATACAGATGAAAGCTATCGAATATGATCTTTTTAAATCAGTTATCTTACTAAACAATCAAATATTCTAAATTTAGGACATTACACATTTTAAAGTACATTATTAATTTAACAATTATGCTTTACGATAAACATTTAAAAATCTAGAAAACAAAAGAAAGATATTCTACTGCATCAAAATTACACATATATTTTAAGTCACATTCTAATTTTGAAACCTTTGTAATATTTCTAATTTAATTAACATTCGAAAAGATTAATGTATGAAAAACTTTGTATCTTGTTATCGAGGACTTTTCTATATGATTGTTTCAAGGTGAAATTCATGGTCATTTTTAAGAAAAGAGCATATCATCAGCAAATAATTCGTTTTATTTTCAATTTCTTTTGCAAAATGCATCCTTAACAACTTTCAGAAACATGTTTAGCAATGAAATTTATAGTAGGTCACATTGATTTATTTTTGCATTTTGTAAAAATGTATCTAAGGTTGTCCTTTGATATAGTTTATTTGTGTGTGTGTGTATGCATGTATATGTGCATGTACATACATATATACTATATAGTATGTATATGTGGACACATACTGTATATGAATATATTTGTATGTATTTGTATAAGTAGGTAACACACATTTGTGGATATACATATGTGTGAGTGTGTATACATACATATAGGTAGTATATGTATATTCTCAGATTATGTATAGTAATGTTCATTTAGTTTTTCCATTTTCACTCTATCCATGCTGTTAATCACATTAGTCATTCCTTTATTACATTCATTCAACATATCTTTAGAGTGGCTCTTAGGTGCAAAAAACCCAAAGGTTAAGTAACTTGTTTATAATCAGACATCAAACCAAGGACAGAGCCAGGACCCAAAACACAACTTGGCAAATTGAAGTGAGGGCCTTATGAAAAGGAATACAGCTCTTTGAGAACAATTAACAACAACAAAAAAATCCCTATTCTAGAGTGTGCCTTAAGGACAAGTCATCTAAGGATAGGTAAGATTTAATGAGGGAAAGAAAATAATTAAAGGCTCTCAAGCCAGAGGGGTAGCCTGTACACAGGCCCTGCTCTGAGAAGAAACATGGACTGTTCAAGGGATTGACTGATGCTCAGTGAGACTGGAAACAGCGAAGAGGAACATATTTTGAGATGACATTGAAGATGGAAATAGGGGTCAAGCCATGCAGGGCTTTGTGTGTGAGGAAAAGATTTTGGCCTTCATCTAAAGAACATGAACAAATTTTTTTTAAATTTTATTTATTTATTTATTTATTTTTTGAGATGGAGTCTCGCTCTGTCACCCAGGCCGGAGTGCAGTGGCACGATCTCGGCTCACTGCAAGCTCCGCCTCCCGGGTTCATGCCATTCTCCTGCCTCAGCCTCCTGAGTAGCTGGGACTACAGGCGCCCACCACCATGCCTGGCTAATTTTTTGTATTTTTACTAGAGATGGAGTTTCACCGTGTTAGCCAGCATGGTCTGGATCTCCTGACCTCGTGATCCACCCGCCTCGGCCTCCCAAAGTTCTGGTATTACAGGCGTGAGCCACCACAACCGGCCAAGAACATGAACAAGTTTTAATTCCCTATGGAGAGTGGGGGGAAATGTGAGTATAAGGAATTGACATATATTCAAAATGGTTTTTGGAATGATTACTTTGTCTAAGATGAGAGAGGATGGGGAAGAGTGAATATAAGGGAGATCAGGTGGTAGTATATTACGATAGACCAGATGAGAGATGGTGGTAGTATTTATTAAGATGGTAATGCTGAAGATGGAATAAAAGTGGTCAACCTGAGAGATAGTGAAGATTTTGAGACAAATTAGAAATGAGAGTGAGGGAAAGTGAGGTAAGAAGAAAGGTCTGTAGATTTGTGGTGAAGCAAGTGGATAAATAATGGTGCCATTTTCTAAGGAAGAAAATACAAGAAGATGACCAGATTGGGGAAGTTGACAACGGTGGGGGAAATATTCAGTTGTTTCTTGATATACTGTTTGATTTGCCTTCAAGTCATGCAAATTCAGGAGCTAGCTTGATAGGTGGAAAACTAAATTGTCTAGGACAAAGCCTTAAGGAACCTAGATATTTTAGCTGCCGATAGAATAAAATAACGCAAAGAAGACAGTTTTAGCATCCAATGAGACAGAAGGAAAACTAGGGTACGGTGGTATTACAGAGTTCAAGGCACAGTGTTGCTTCAAGAAGGAAGGAGTTGTGCCAATGGCAGCGAATAGGCCAAGGAAGAGATGAGATGCTAAGTGTCCATTTGGATTAGTAACCAATAAGTTCCTGGAAACATTAAAGTTGTTTTGATGAACTGCTAAGTGTAATGCAAATAAGACTATGTTTACTTGTTAATGAGGGGTGAGGCAATGAAAATAATGAGTAATGAGAACTCTTTTAAAATGTTGGCTATGAAGAAGAGGGGAAGAATAATTAGAATGGCAACAGAATGACACACTCCTCTAGACCTTGTCAGGTAATAATAAGGTATCTTCAAATAATATAGTGTTTATAAGTGTTATAATCTAACATGTATTATATGCTGTAATAATATGAATCAAATGAGTAGACAATTTTAATGGTATTTAAATACAAAAAATTAGAAAATTGTGAAAATCTTTTTCATATTTGTATCTCTATTTTTTAATCAGTTACCTGCAGCAAAGTAGGCAAACAATAAATATTCATTTGAATGATTGAAGCTCAGCATGTTGCTTATGGTTTAAAGAGTAGACAGGACATTTTAGAGGTTTCTTCTTTCAAGTAGCTTTGAATTATTTCTAATTAGAAATGATTTTATCACTGTCTTTTGTTTGTTTGTTTGTTTTGAGACAGAGTCTCACTCTGTCGCCCAGGCTGGAGTGCAGTGGCACAATCTCAGCTCGCTGCAACCTCCACCTGCTGGGTTCAAGCGATTCTCCTGCCTCAGACTCCCAAGTAGCTGGGACCATAGGCGCCTGCCACCAAGCCTGGATAATTTTTTTTGCATTTTTAGTAGAGATGGGGTTTCACTATGTTGGCCAGGCTGGTCTTGAACTCCTGACCTCATGATCCACCCACCTTGGCCTCCCAAAATGCTGGGATTACAGGTGCGAGCCACTGCACCCCGTCAATTTTATCACTATCTTATGTACTTTTTTAAGAAAATTCCCAAATGACTTCTAACACCAAAATATAAATTATTAGCTAGCAACTCTTATTATTGTTATTCAAAAAGAGAAAATAATTTACAAAGTTGAACTTCGCAAAATGTTTACCATAAATAAAATGTACAGTCATCAGTGGCAAAGAAATTTCTAAGGGTTTGGGGCTAAGTAACTAAATGAGTATTCATATAATCGATAACATGGTTTAAAACATTCATAAATGTATATTTCCCAATAAACTTGAACTGTACAAGTAAACAAAATGATTCTTTTAAAAACTTATAAATATGTATAACCACATAAAATGTACAAATATGTGTAATATATAAAAACTGCTTAAATAATCCACAATATTTACTGGATAGCTCAGAACAGCACCATGGTGGAATACTTCACTGATATTCCCATACAACATGGTGACAGTTTGCAGGGCCACTGCTGAACAAATCAAATATTCTGAGGCTCAGGTAAGAAAATAAAATGGCCCAAAAAGATGTTAAAGGCACCGTAAAGGGAATTAATGGATCTGTAAGTTAACATACAAACATAGTAATAACACCTTTAGATCATCTTATGAAGGCATATTAGACCTAATGTAGGTCCCTACAGTGTAGCTCCCTTACATTATCCAGTTTTTTTATTTTTTATTTATTTTGAGATGGAGTCTCACTCCATCACCCAGGCTGTAGTGCCGTGGCACGATCTAGGCTCACTGCAATCTCCACCTCCCTGGTTTAAGCGATTCTCCTGCCTTAGCCTCCTGAGTAGCTGGGATTCCAGGGGCATGGCACCACACCCAGCTAATTTTTGTAATTTTTTTTACTAGAGGCAGAGTTTTACCATGTTGGCCAGGCTGGTCTCGAACTCCTGACCTCAGGTGATCTGCCCGCATTGGCCTCCCAAAGCACTGGGATTACAGGTGTCGGCCACTGCGCCTGGCCATATTATCCAGTTATAAAATGAATTTAAGAACTACTTGGGTTGACATGCTTTACATTAACTTGTTCATATTCAGCAAAATAAAAGTAATAATAGTAACAATAACAATAATTCCCTGAGTTCTTCAAATCAAAGTTAATATAGATATCTATGTTCAGGGAAATATGTAAATTTAAGAAATATATCAGAAATGACATTTTTGAGAAATACCACTTCAAAGAAAAATTAGTTGCACTTTTGCTTTCAAATTTTAGCCAGAAATGAAACTGTATTTTGGATTATGCTTAAGCACTATTTTGTCCCCATGCCTCTTGGGATTCTTCAACTATAACTAATCAGATACTTAATAGTGGGCCAGTAGATATCTTCCTGGCATGTGATTGCTAAAGATTCTGGAAGTCTAGGCATTAGAAATTTGAAGAGTCCTTTACTCAATTCAAGTGTTATTATTAGAAAGTTATCCTGTGCATGACTGCCTTTCTGAAGTCTGAAAGATATTTTTCAAAGATGCAACTGTTGACAACATGGCAATTTGCACTCAAGGATCATTCAAATTTTTAAAATAATAAAGACTTGCGTAACATTGATTAAAATAAGAAAACCATATTGCGTACAATGAGGTAATGAAAAAAAGAAAGATTAATTCTTACCAGTAAATGTCCTATGAATGAGTTATAAGTATCAAACAAATAATATATGCCAGAAACTAGGCATTGGGTGTTATTATCATTCCATTAAGTCTTATCTGCTGAAAGTGATGAATACATTTTCTGCTTAACTACATTAATAATACAGTTTTATATATATATAATATATATTTATATCCAACTGTAAATATATAGTTGAAGATAGTTATGTATCAATATGTATATATAAACATATTTAACACTGAAATTTTTAAAACAAAATATCTCACAAATATTTATTAACTCATAAATATTTTATAGTGAGTAACAATATTAAATGGTGCATATTGCTTATGAAGTGTATTTTACTATGTGTAAGTTTTCCTGTCTTCAGATACTGATAATAACATAAAAGCTGAACTTAACCAAACACAGTAAATGTTACTCTTTTCAGTTAGGTTTACATATTATATAAAATTTACTTAGGCTAATTGGCATGAAAAATGAATGTAATGAGGATACGTATTGTAAAATAGTTTATCACTACTATATAAATCTCTTCTGACAAAGGCTTAGCTTATGATTTCATTTTATATTAAGAAAATGGGTTTGGAGACAGGACTAGATACAATCAAAGTATAATTGGATGTCACCACAGTCTTATCACTTCAGGTACCTAAGGGGAAGGAAGATCCCCAAAGCGGGAGAAGCAACGCCTGGTTGTGTCTACAGAGGTAGACCATTGATGACCTCTCTTCTCTGTCCTTCCTAAAACATAAGTCTCCAGATCTCCTCTGATCTATGAAATGTCAAAGGAGTTGAACAGCCATCCCCAACAGAGATCAAAGGAATGAGTGTGCATAAATTCTGAGTGTATCTAACTAGAAATGTGTTTGTAGATCTTGTTATAGCTTGTTTCAATATCTCAATTTATTTTCTTTCTTTTGTTGTTGTTTTAATACTTTAAGTTCTGGAATACATGTGCAGAATGTGCAGGTTTGTTACATAGGTATACATGTGCCATGGTGGTTTGCCGCACCCATCAACCCGTCATCTACATTAGGTATTTCTCCTAATACTATCCCTCCCATTGCCCTCCACCCCACAACAGGCCATGGTGTGTGATGTTCCCCTCCCTGTGTCCATGTGTTCCCATTGTTCAACTACCACTTATGAGTGAGAACATTTGGTGTTTGGTTTTCTGTTCCTGTGTTAGTATGCTGAGAATGATGGTTTCCAGCTTCATCCATGTCCTTGCAAAGGACATAAACTCACTCTTTTTTATGGTTGCATAGTATTCCATGGTGTATATGTGCCACATTTTCTTTATCCAGTCTATCATAGATGGGCATTTTGGTTGATTCCAAGTCTTTGCTATTGTGAATAGTGCTGCAATAAACATATGTGTGCATGTGTCTTTATAGTAAAATAATTTATAATCCTTTTGGTATGTATCCAGTAATGAAATTGCTGGGTCAAATGGTATTTCTGGTTCTAGATCCTTGAGGAATTGCCACACTGTCTTCTACAATGGTTGAACTAATTTACACTCCCATCTACAGTGTAAAAGCATTCCCATTTCTCCACATCCTCTCCAGCATCTTTTTTTTCCTGACTTTTTAATAATCGCCATTCTAACTGGAGTGAGATGGTATCTCATTGCGATTTTGATTTGCATTTCTCTAATGACCAGCGATGATGAGCTTTTTTGCATATGTTTGTTGGACACGTAAATGTCTTCTTTTGAGAAGTGTCTGTTCATATGCTTCGTCCACTTTTTGATGGGGTTGTTTGTTTTTTTCTTGCAAATTTGTTTAAGTTCCTTGTAGGTTCTGGATATTAGTCCTTTGTCAGATGGATAGATTGCAAAAATTTTCTCCCATTCTGTAGGTTGCCTGTTAACTCTGATGATAGTTTCTTTTGCTGTGCAGAAGCTCTTTTGTTTAATTAGATCCAACTTGTCAATTTTGGCTTTTGTTGCCATTGCTTTTAGAGTTTTAGTCATGAAGTCTTTGCCCATGCCTATGTCCTGAGTGGTGTTGTCCAGGTTTTCTGCTAGGGTTTTTATGGTTTCAGGTCTTACATATATGCCTTTAATCCATTTTGAGTTAATTTTTGTATAAGGTGTAAGGAAGGGGTCCAGTTTCAGTTTTCTGCATATGGCTAGCCAGTTTTCCCAACACCATTTATTAAATAGGGAATCCTTTCCCCATTGCCTGTTTTTGTCAGGTTTGTCAAAGATCAGATGATTGTGGATGTGCAGAATTATTTCTGAGGCCTCTATTCTTTTCCGTTGGTCTATATATCTGTTTTGTTACCAGTACAATGCTGTTGTGGTTACTGTAGCCTTGTAGTATACTATGAAGTCAGGTAGCATGATGCCCCCAGATTTGTTCTTTTTGCTTAGGATTGTCTTGGCTATATGGACTCTTTTTTGGTTCCATATGAAATTTAGAGTAGTTTTTTTCTAATGCTGTGAAGAAAGTCAATGGTAGCTTGATGGGGATAGCATTGAATCTATAAATTACTTTGGGCAGTATGGCCATTTTCATGATATTGATTCTTCCTATCCATGAGCATGAAATGCTTTTCCATTTGTTTGTGTCCTCTCTTATTTCCTTGAGCAGTGGTTTGTAGTTCTCATTGAAAAGGTCCTTCACATCCCTTGTAAGTTGTATTCCTAGGTATTTTATTCTCTCTTTAGCAATTGTGAATGGGAGTTCACTCATGCTTAGATTCCCACACAATAATAGTGGGAGACTTTAACACCCCACTGTCCATATTAGACAGATCAATGAGACAGAAAATTAACAAGGATATTCAGGACTTGAACTCAGCTCAGACCAAGTGGACCTAATAGACATCTACAGAACTCTCCACCCCAAACCAACGGAATGTACATTTTTCTCAGCACCACATAGCAGTTATACTAAACTTGACCAAATAATTGCAAGTAAAACACTCCTAGGCAATTGCAAAAGAACAGAAATTATAACAAACAGTCTCTCAGACCACAGTGCAATCAAATTAGAACTCAGGATTAAGAAATTCACTCAAAACTGCACAACTACATGGAAACTAAACAACCTGCTCCTGAATGACTACTGGGTAAATAACAAAATTATGGCAGAGATAAGTAAGTTCTTTGAAACCAATGAGAACAAGGACACAATGTAGCAGAATCTCTGGAACAAAGCTAAAACAGTGTTTAGAGGGAAATTTATAGCACTAAATGCCCACATGAGAAAGTGGGAAAGATCTAAAATGGACACCCTAACATCACAGTTAAAATAACTAGAGAAGCAAGAGCAAACAAATTCAAAAGTTAGCAGAAGACAAGAAATAACTAAGATTAGAGCAGAACTGAAGGAGATAGAGACATAAAAAACCTTTCAAAACATCAATGAATCCAGGAGCCAGTTTTTTCAAAAGATTAACAAAATAGATAGACCACAAGCCAGACTAATAAAGAAGAAAAGGGAGAAGAATCAAATAGACACAATAAAAAATGAAAAAGGGGATATCACCACTGATCCCACAGAAATACAAACTACCATCAGAGAATACCATAAACACCTCTACGCAAATAACCTAGAAAATCTAGAAGAAATGGATAAATTCCTGGATACATACACCCTCCCAAGACTAAGCCAGGAAAGAGTAGAATGCCTGAATAGATCAATAACAAGTTCTGAAATTGAGGCAGTAATTAATAGCCTACAACCAAAAATTCCCAGGACCAGACAGATTCACAGCCGAATTCTTTGTACCAGAGGTACAAACAGGAGCTGGTAACATTCCTTCTGAAACTATTCCAAACAATACAAAAAGTGGGACTCCTCCCTAACTCATTTTATGCGGCCAGCATCATCCTGATACCAAAACCTGGCAGAGACACAACAAAAAAAGAAAATTTCAGGCCAATATAACTGATGAACATCGATGTGAAAATCCTCAATAAAATACTGGCAAACTGAATCCAGCAACACATTAAAAAGCTTATCCACCATGATCAAATTGGCTTCATCCGTGGGATGCAAGGCTGGTTCACCATACACAAATCAATAAACATAATCCTTCACATAAACAGAACCAATGACAAAAAACACATGATTATATCAATAGATGCAGAAAAGGCCTTCGATAAAATTCAATACCCCTTCATACTAAAAACACTCAATAAACTAGGTATTGATGGAATGTATCTCAAAATAATAAGAGCTATTTATGACAAACCTACAGCCAATATTATACTGAATGGGCAAAACTGGAAGCATTCCCTTTGAAAACGAGCACAAGACAAGGATGCCCTCTCTCACTACTCCTATTCAGAATAGTGTTGGAAGTTCTGGCCAGGGCAATCAGGCAAGAGAAAGAAATAAAGCATATTCAAATAGGAAGAGAGGAAGTCAAATTGTCTCTGTTTGCAGATGACATGATTTAGAATACCCCATCATCTCAGCCCCAAAACTCCTTAAGCTGATAACCAACTTCAACAAGGTCTCAGGATACAAAATCAATGTGCAAAAATCACAAGCATTCCTATATATCAATTTATTTTCAATAATTATTCTCACATTTGGTTTAAGTTTCCAGGTCCTTCTGTGTGGTTAACACCATTTATGGTCATGTTGATTGTTTTAATCAGTACATTTCACAAAGCGGTATTCATTGCTGAAATTTAATGCATAACCACACCTCATATATGAACTACTATACTTCATATTTCTCTTAATAACTCATCTTACCTCCTGCTATCCAGAAGGTCAAGAACTGCTTGGTATTTAGAGGTATCTTAACTCTTTCAGGTCACTAGAAATGAGCAATTTATTAAATGGATTCTGAGTACTTGCTACGAGTTAATGCGGTTTCAAAGAAGGGATTTGTTGCTATATCACTCAAAGGATCAGGTCAAATAGCCTTTCTCCCTTCCATTTTCTACAATTGCTAAAGATATAATTTGGGCTCCATTTTAAACTAAATCCTTGGATAGGGAGGCATCTGAGTCTGTCCAAACCAGCTCGCAATGCGTTTATGAGGCACAGGGTTATGGCAGCCTACTCCTCAGGGTTAAGCTCTCAAGTTGGGAGAAAGCTTTCTCTATCAGAGACCTGAAACTTTAAACTCTTTCTCCACTCAGAGACACCTCATTCTCAATATTACAGCATTTAGAAGAGGATGCAGAAGTTATTTTCACACTTAAGAACTCTCAGTCAGCCAAAGAGGCTAGTTGAAGGTCATTCTTTTTGCTTCACTCTGAATTTTATGTACTTAAATGGTAAGAAATGTATCTCCTTCCTCTTCTGTTTCCTTACTTTAATAGATTTCAGAGTTTTTCTTTGTGACAGATAAGTAGCAATATCTGCACTAAGAAAAGATCAAATTTCTATGCAATTATATTTCTTTGCAATTAGAAACGCCATAGTAACCACAATATGAATTTTTCTTTATCTATAAATGTCTAAATCATTTATATTGGTTACATTTACTTTCTTTTTACAGGTCTTTTTGTGTGATTAACACCTTTTACGGGTTTGTCCATTAATTAAATTATTTGGCTTCAATTATTTTGTATGCTATTGTAGGTACTACCACAAGATAACATTTTAATTTCTTGTATTAGTAGCTTGTAATAGAGCAGGAGAGTTACTCCAATTCAGCATCACAGGAGTGAGCAAGTTCAGGGACTGGGATCCAACAGGGAAACAAAGCAGAGGTGGGTTAACTATTATCAAGACAAGCAAAAGAATTGCTAGCAGTTTCATGAGTGGGTTCTTATGCCAAAATCCTGCAGGGATCTCTGAGCCAGACTGGAAAAAAATCATGATGTCTTGCATCTCAGTTGTCAGCCCTACAGTAATAAATTTTACCAAGGGAGATTTCTCTTCCTCCTGCACCAGCCTTCCACACAGCTGAAACCAAAATTCAGAGGAAAATAACAGTAGGAGTACAGGGCAACATGAAGTGGGAAGAAAAATGGGGCATATTACAGGAATAGCTTTAGGAACAGTTCAACGATGCCCAACTTCATGTTACCAACATCAGGGGCTGCCTGCTGGAATCAGCTGTTTTCCTCTGCACATATATTTGCCCTCCACCTGAGCCAGGTGTTCTTCATTACCAGTTCATCCAGGCAGGCCATGCTGGGATTGTTTCATGTATTCACAGATACTATGTTTAAACCTCTGAGTTGTGGCCAAAAAGAAAAAGTCAAGCAAACACATAAAATCTGGTTTCACTTATAAAGGTGCTTTCTTGTGTAGGAACAGGATATCTGCCCTCCTTATTCAATATTTTCCTCTTAGTTCCTGCAGGTGTCCTATGTTCTAGACTGCATAACAGACCCAGGAGCATGAGAAATGGCCCTGTAGTGAGATGTCAGAGCTAGTTTGGAGTTTCAGTTCCCACATAATTGGCTAACTGTAGTGATAATTGATAGGGTTTTGATCTGTGTCCCTACCCAAATCTCACGTCAAATTGTAATCCCGTGTTGGAGGAGGGGCCTGGTGGGAGGTGACTGGATCATGGGGGCGGACTTCCCCCTTGCCGTTCTCATGATAGTGAGTAAGTTTTCATGAGATCTGGTTGTTTTAAAATGCGTAGCACCTCCCCCTTCACTCTCTCATTCTCCTTCTCTGGTCATGTAATACATGCCTGCTTCCCCTTCACCTTCTGCCATGATTGTAAGCTTCCTGAGGCCTCCCCAGCCATGCTTCCTGTACAGTCTGTGGAACTGTGAGTCAGTTAAATCTCTTTTCTTTGTAAATTACCCAGTCTCAGGTAGTTCTTTATAGCAATGCAAGAATAGACTAATACAATAATTATGATGGCGAACCCTCCATAGTGGTAACCCCGTGCTGTGTGCTTTGCTTAATTTATCTCAATTAATCCTCACAACACTAGGTAGACTCAATTATATCCCCATTTACATGGATGAGGAACTATAAAGCACAGAGATCTTGAATGTTCAAAAAGTATTTCCTAGATATGGATGAATACATTCAGCCATGATGAATATATATTGGGTACCTTGATGTAGTCCCAGTCCTCATGGAAATTGTGTCTTATTACATAGCAAAGAAGGGCAGGAGGGAGGAAATGAGTGAACATGGAGTTCTGGAGGTAGGTGCAGGACTCAAAGGAGAGCAGGCACCATTGCCCTAGGCAGATTGAATCGTGAAATGAGTTGCAGTATGAAGAAGCATGACTTAAAGTTGGGGAAGTCAGAAGGGAAAAAAGGCATTTTTAAAAGCATGAGATAGGTGAGCTCTGATTCTCTAGTAAGGATGTTTGATCTCTGACCTGTTTTGTAATACCTTCTGCCTGTGGGTGGCCCCAGGGTTAATTGTGGCCAGAAGGGGCCCTGAAGCTTTTGGGCAAATCCACCCTGGAAGAGAGACCAGGACCAAAGATGCTGAAAATAATTCACGTTTCTGACAGAGTTTTTTTTTTTTTTTTTTTTTTTTTTTTTTTTTTTTTTTGCATTTGGAACATTCTACCTTGTTCTATATATTCTGAAATTCATGTCCTTCTGGTTCTTTGGTTCTTGTCTGTCTCTTGCTTCTGGCCTAATTTTTGTTTGTTTATTTGTCCTTACGCTCTTTTCATGTGCCAAGATCTAGCTTATAAATTAGAATTTGCCTAGTTATTTTGCTAACTGGTGATGACTCCTGCCTCTGCCTGGATTCTTATTAAAAACAAAACAAAAAAAATCTGCGTTGATGCTCTGCTTTGATGAATAGCCCCTGGGCCTCACCAGTATTTACCTCCTCTCTCAAGCAGTTGGACTGAACAATATCTGCCATTTTCTCCAGTTTTAGTTCCTGTAATTATATTCTATTATAGAATGATTTCTAGGATAACTTCTGTGATTTGTATTCCATGTCTGCCTAATCCATTCACATTGTTTAAGTAATTCAGTGCTTTTTAACACAAGGCAGGTTGGAAATGAAAAGAGACTTGTTCCTCAGGTACCTGAGAAAAATAAAAGATAGAAAGGGCTTCAATTACTCAGCCCTGGCCATTCTTTCTCCTTTGACACTAAGGTCAAGATTCTCATAGTCATGGCATTATTCCTTTCATGGTAGTGTGGTCCTGGCAACATTCACCCCTGGGCTGCTCAGATCTGTACCTCTTCTGCCTGAGGGAGAGACAGACTTATAGGTCGGAATCACAGGACACGATTTTAACAAAATGAATGGAACTAAAACCACAGAAATACAGCCCACATCATTTTCATTTTACTCTTTCTATCCTCTCTCTCTCTCACTTTCCATCCACCAAAGAAAGCCTATGCACACTGCTAGGACCCCTCTAGCTGCCACTGGAGTGGATAACCTCTTCTATTTCTCATTGCCTTAATTTCCTCTCGTTTCCAGCAGAGAAAGGAGATTTCACAACTGGCTCTAAATGCTTCTTTGTCTTACATAGGAACATACTTAATAAATACAGTTTATTCCACTGGCAATGTATAAGTAGTTAGTTATCTTTTGTTTCATGACCTTTGTTAGTCACATCATACTCAACCATAGAAGTGTGATTATATCAGTGAGAATTTTTGCTTCTGTTTTAAAGATTCCAAATACCTACTGTTTAGGTGTTGGTTAACCCTTTTTATTTTTTTATTTTTCACTTTTCTCATCTTTAAAATGGCGATCATAATAGAACCTACTTCAAATGGTTTTAAGAAAGACTAAATAAGTTTACATATGTAAAGCACTTAGAAAAGTCTGGCACACAGTAACTTGTAGGTATTATTATTATTATTATTATTGTTATTTTCTCATGCCATCTCTCAAAGTTATTTACAAACAAATGGAATTCTTGGCGGGTAGGGCCAAATGTCTGACTAGAAGCAGCTAGTGTGTGCCTTCAAGGAGAGAAAAAAGAGTAGTAGGTAAATACTAACTCTTCAACTGGAACATCCAGATGGACACATTGCACTGGGATTCATCAAAAAACCAACTCCATTCTTGGAGAACAGAGAGGAGCAGCGAGACAGGACAACTGCCCTCCTGGGAGTAGCAGGAGACAGGGGAGCCCCTGCCCCCCACTGTGGGTAAATGGTAAGTGAGTGGTTGTCCCTGGGGACTCACACTTCTGCCATCAACTTTTGCAACGCTGGGCTCAGGAGATCCCCATGAGTCTCCTCAGTAAGGCCTCCAGACTGACCTGGAAAGCTACATGAATCTGGGCAGAACCACGGCCCAGGCATATGTGCAGTCCCAGGAGCCTTGGATCCTTGGGCATCCCGACATTAGCAGCTGCAGCTCCGGCAATGGGGAAGGTCAGGCTTCCTCATACACCCCCAGGAAGGGGGCCAAGTCTACAGGGCTGAGCAGTGACAGACTGCAGGCCTCACCTCTACTGCACCTCGCAGGATAAGGCCCACTGGCCTGGGACCCTAGCATGGCCACACCAGGCATGCCTGTGCTCTGGGGCAAGTAGCAGCTCTGCATTTTCCTGGGATGGTGCTCCCAGAGGAAGAGGCAGCCCCCATTTCTGCTGCCTCACAGCCCTCACTCCTGTTGCCCTCAGGCTCTAGATGGTGTGCCATGATTAGGGACTAGCGCGGATCCCCAGCACAGTGCAGCTGCCCCACAAAGTGTCCAGATTGTTCTAACCCCGCTTCTCCTCACTGGGTTGGGCCTCCAGACCTGGGACTCCAGCATAACTATCCTGCCTCTGCCTGGACACTTCAGTGGGAGGTAGCTTTGCACTTCTCTGAGGAGGAAATCCCAGAGACAACCCATAGCCTCTCCACTACTGCAGCTGCAGTGGTACCACCCTAACCACTCTCAGGTTGGGGAAGGAACAAAGGGCCTGGTTGTTACAGTGGCACCTCCAGCACACTGCAGCCACCAAATAGAGAGGAGCCCAGTCTCTCTTCACTGAGAACCCCCATGCCCCCACTCTTCACCAGGCAGGGCCTCCAGCTCAGGACCACAGAACAGCCGCCCTAACCCCAGCTATGTACAACCACTGGTAGTGGCTTTGTGTTTCCCTGGGGAGTGGCTCCTAGAGCTCCCTAGGGCTCTCTCTGGCACTGCCATGGCAGTGGTTCTGGCCCTGCTGACCTTGGTCTGTGGAAGAACCAAAGAGTCTGAGGGCTTTACTCGCACTTCCAGCACAACACAGTCACCATACAGAGAGGAGCCCAGTCTTTTCTCCCTGGGAGCACTTGAGCCCCTGCTCTTCCCCAAGTAGAGGCCCCAGCTTGGGCCAGCTGTGCAGTCACCCTAACCCTGGCTGAACATTCCCAGTGGCAGTGGTTCCACTTTTCTCCAAGGATGAGCTCCCAGAGACAACCAAAAACTCCTCTGCCACTGCAGTGGTACTGCCCTTGCTGCCCTTAGATTGGGGAAGGAGCAAAGACCCTGAGTGCTTTAACTACACCTCCAGCAAGCTGAAGTTGCCCTAAGAAGAAGAGACCAGTCTGTCTCTCCCATGATGCATCCACCCTGTACATCATCACGCAGAGCCCCCCTGGCTTAGGCCACAGTGCAACTGCCCTACCATAGGTCAGTCATACTGATTGATAGTAGCTCTGCATTTCCCTGGAGTGGAGTCCCAAGAGACAAGTGAAAGTTTCCTCTGCCACAACCACTGCCAAGATCCCTTCCCCTGCTGCCTCTGGGAAGAGAACATAAAGACTGAGCTCACCCCAGAGCTGCGGTGTGCAGCCTGGGAATGACAAGTCAACATTTGTAGCCAGCACATAAGTGGGAGAGGAGTCCACACTTTCAGAGGACTGAGAGGGAGCACAGGTGCAATCATGAGGGAATGCAAAGGAGCCCTGTGGCTGAGCAAGAGCCTACCTACTGGCCATTACACATAAGTGTCACCTACGGAATCACAGCCCAGAACTTCAATATCAAAAATACTTTGCTAATACACCCCCCTGTGAAACCAAGACAATAATTTAGCTATAAATAGAGACCTGGCACAAATTGTCAGCCCTCTAAAAACATCCATATAAGAAGTCTGTTGACTGTACTTAATTTTCATCACAGTTAAAGAAACACCAGCACACACAGATAAGAAAGAACCAGTGCAAATACTCTGGCCACTTAAAAAGCCAGAGTGACTTCTTTCCTCTAAAAAACCACACTAGTTCCCCAGCAGGGGTTCTTAACCAGGCGGAAATATCTGAAATGACAGAAGTAGAATTCTGAATATGAATATAAATGAAGATCATCGAGATTCTGGAGCAAGTCAAAATCCAATTTAAGGATGTAAATGTTACAATAAAAAAATACAGCTGATAGATAAAATGACCATTATAAGAAAGACACAAACTGATCTGATAGAACTAAAAAACACACTACAAGAATTTCATAATGCAATCATTAGTATTAACAGCAGAACAGACCAAGCTGAGGGATGAATCTCAGAGATTGAAGATTGGCTCTCTGAACTAACTCAGTCAGAAAAAAGTTAAGAGGAATGAAAAAGAATAAACAAAACTTCTGAGAAATGTGGAATTACATAAAGAAACCAAATCTGTGACTTATTGAGTTTCCTGAAAGAAATGGGGAGAAAGCGAGAACCTTGGAAAATATATTTCAGGGTATCATCCATGAAACCTTCCCCACTATCACTAGAGAAGCCAACATTCAAATTCAGGAAATGCAGAGAACTCCTGTGAGACACTATACAAGAAGATCATCCCTAAGACACATAGCCATCAGATCTTGGGTCAAAATGAAAGAAAAAAAAATGTTAAAGGCCCCTAGAGAGAAGGGGAACATTACCTACAAAGGGAACCCTATCAGCTAACAATGGACCAATCAGCAGAAACCCTACAAGCCAGAAGAAATTGGGGGCCTATATTCAGCATTCTTAAAGAAAAGAAACTCCAAACAATTTCAAACCCAGCCAAACTAAGCTTTATAAGCAAAGGAGAAATAAGACCCTTTTCAGAAAAGCAAATGCTGAGGGAATTAATTACCGCCAGACCTGCCTTACAGGAGGTCCTGAAAGGAGTGATAAATATCAAAAGGGGAGACCGTTACCAGCCACTACAAAAACACAGTTAAGTACACTGACAATTGACACTATAAAGCAACCACAAAAACAAGTCTGCATAATAACCAGCTAAAAACATAATCACCAAAACAAATCCACATGTATCAATATCAACCTTGAATTTAAACAGTCTGAATGCCCCCAGTTAAAAGGCACAGGGTGGCAAGTTGGATAAAGAGGGAAGACCCAACGATGTGCTGCCTTAAAGAGACTCATTTCACATGCAATGACATTCATAGGCTCAAAATAAAGCAATGAAGAAAAATCTATCAAGAATATGTAAAACAAAAAAAAAGCAGGGATTGCTATACTAATTTCAGACAAAACAGACTTTAAAGAAACAAAGATCAGAAGAGACAAAGAAGGGCATTGCATAATAGTAAAAGATTCAATTCAACAAGAAGACCTAACTATTCTAAATATATATGTACCCAATACTGGAGCACCCAGGTTCATAAAGCAAGTTCTTACAGACCTATGAAGAGACTTAGACTTCCACACAATAATAGTGAGAGACTTCAACACCCCACTGATAGCATTAGACAGATCATCAAGGCAGAAAATTAACAAAGATATTTAGAACCTGAACTCAACATTTGACCAAATGGATCTAATAGACGTCTACAGAAATCTCCACCCCAAAACAACAGAATATACATTCTTCTCATCACCACATGGCACATATTCTAAAACTGACCAAACAATTGGACATAAAACAATTCTCAGCAAACTAAAAATAACTGAAATTGTACCAAAGGCACTCATGGACTACAGCCCAATAAAAATAGAAATCAATGCTAAAAAAACTGCTCAAAATCATACAATTACATGGAAGTTAAACTACCTGATCCTGTAAGACTTTGGGTAAAAAATAAAATTAAGATAGAAATCAAGAAATTCTTCAAAAGTTATGAGAACAAAAATAAAACATACCAGAATCTCTTGGACAGAGCTAAGGCAGTATTAAGAGGGTTATGGTACTAAATACCATGTCAAAAATTTAGATATATCTCAAATTAACAACTTAACATCACTACTAGAGGAATGAGAGAAACAAGAACAAACCAATCCCAAAGCTAGCAGAAGACAAGACATAACCAAAATTGGAACTGAAGTGAAGGAAATTGAGATATGAAAAACAATACATAACAAACTCCTCAACAAGTCCAAGAGTGAGTTTTTGAAAAATTAATAAGATATATAGACCACTAGCTTGATTAATAAAGGCAAAAAGAGAGAAGATCCAAATAAACACAATCAGAAATGATAAAGGGGATATTACTACTGACCTCACAAAAATAAAAAAATCCCTCACAGACTACTATGAATATCTCTATGCACACATACCAGAAAACTCAGAATAAATGGATAGTTTCCTGGACATATACAACCTCCCAAGATTGAACCAAGAAGTTGAATCCCTGAAAAGATGAATAATGAATACCAAAATTGAATCAGTAATAAAATGTCTACCAACCAAAAAACACCCAGGACCAGATAGAGTCATAGCCAAATTCTATCATATATATAAAGAAGAGCTGGTAGTGTTCCTACTGAAACTATTTCAAGAAATTGAGGAGAAGGGCCTCCTTAACTCATTTTATGTAGCCAATATCATTCTGAAACCAAAACCTGGCAGAGACACAACAAAGAAAGAAAACTTCAGACCAATATTCTTGATGAACCTAGATGCAAAAATCCTTAACAAAATACTAGAAAACCAAATCCAGCAGAACATTTAAATGCTAAACCACCATGACCAAATAGGCTTTATACCTGGGATGCTAAGTTGGCTTAATATATGCCAGTCAATCAATGTTATTCTTCACATAAACAGAACTAGAAATAAAAAATCCAAATGATTATTTCAATAGACATAGAAAAGACTAAAGATAAAATTTATCATTCCTTTGTGTTAAAAAAGCCCTCAATAAAGTAGGCACTGAAGGTACATACTTCAAAATAATAAGAGCTATCTATGACAAACCCACAGCCAACCTCATACTGAATGGAAAAAAGCTGGAAGCACTTCCCTTGAAAATCAGAACAAAACAAGGGATGGCCTCTCAATACACCCATTTAGCATCATACTGGAAGTCCTAACCAGAGCAGTCAGGCAAGAGAAGGAAATAAAAGACATCCAAATAGGAAGAGAGGAAGTCAAACTATCCCTGTTTGCAGATGATATGATTCTATGCCTAGAAGAGAATAGCCTCTGCCCAAAAGCTCCTTGATCTGATAAACAGCTTCAGCATAGTTTCAGAATACAAAATCAATGTACAGAAATTAGTAGCATTCCTATACACCAATGACAGCCAAGTTGAAAGCCAAATCAGGAACACAATCTCATTCACAATAGCCAAAAAAGAATAAAATACTCAGGAATACAACTAACTAGAGAGATGGAAAATTGCAACAATTAGAATCACAAAACTCTGCTAAAAAAAATCAGAGAGGACACAAATGGAAAAACATTCCATATTCATGGATAGGAAGAGTCAATATTGTTAAAATGGCCATACTGGCTAAAGCAATTTACAGATTCAATGCTATTCCCACATTCTTTCCAGAATTAGAAAAAAAAAAAACTATTTTAAAATTCATATGGAACCAAAAAGGAGTCTGAATAGACAAGGAAATACTAAGCAAAGAGTACAAAGCTGGAGACATCACGTTACCCAACTTCAAACTATACTACAGAGTTACAATAACCCAAATAGCATAGTACTGCTACAAAAACAGAAATGTAGACCAGTGGAACAGAATAGAGAGCCCAGAAGTAGTGCTGCACACCTACAACCATCTGATCTTTGACAAAGCTGGCAAAATCAAGCAATGGGGAAAGGACTTTATAGTCAATAAATTATGCTGGGTTAACTAGCTAGCCATATGCAGAAGATTGAAACTGGACCCCTTCCTTACACCATATAAAAAAATCAACTCAAGATGGAATAAAGTCTTAAATGTAAAACCTAAAATGGTTAAAATCCTGGAAGATAACCTAGGATATACCATCCTGGACATATGAGCTGGCAAAGATTTCATTATGAAGGTGCCAAAAGCAATTGCAACAAAAACAAAAATTGACAAATGGGACCTAATTAAACTAAAGAACTTCTTCATAGCAAAAGAAACTATGAAAAGAGTAAATAGGCAACCTACAGAATGGGAGAAAGTATTTGCAAACTATGCATCCAAAAAAGGTCTAATATCCAGAATCTATAAGAAACTCAAACAAACCACAAGCAAAAACCAAACAACCCCCCTATTACAAAGTGGGCAAAGGACATAAACAGACACTTTTCAAAAGAAGACATATATTTGGCCAACAACATATGAAAAAATTGTTCAAAATTGCTAATCATTAGGGAAATGTCAATCAAAAGTACAGTGAGGTACCATCTCACACCAGTTGGAAAGGTTATTATTAAAAAGTCAAAAAATAACATGCTGGTGGCCGGGCGCGGTGGCTCATGCCTGTAATCCCAGCACTTTGCGAGGCTGAGGCAGGCAGATCACAAGGTCAGGAGATCGAGACCATCCTGGCTACCACAGTGAAACCCCGTCTCTACTAAAAATACAAAAAAAAATAGCTGGGCATGGTGGTGGGCACCTGTAGTCCCAGCTACCCAGGAGGCTGAGGCAGGATTATAGCATGAACCTGGGAGGTGGAGCTTGCAGTGAGCCAAGATAGTGCCACTGCACTCCAGCCTGGGTGACAGAGCGAGACTCCGTCTCAAAAAAAAAAAAAAAAACAAAAACCCAAAAAAATAACATACTGGCAAGGCTGCAGGGAAAAAGGAACACTTATATTCTGCTTGTGGGGGTGTAAATTAGTCCAGCCACTCTGGAAAAGCAGTGTGGTGATTCCTCAAAGACATAAAAACAGAATTACCAGTCCTTCCAGCATTCCCTTCACTGGATATATACCCAAAAGAATATAAATTGTTCTACTGTAAAGATAAATTTGCACATATGTTCATTGCAGCATTATTCACAATATCTAAGACATGGAATCAACCTAAATGCCCATCAATGGTAGCCTGGATAAAGAAAATGTGGTACATACACATCATGGAATACTATGAAACCTTAAAAAATAACTAGATCACATCCTTTGCGGCAACATGGATAGAGGTGGAGGCTATTATCCTAAGTGAATTTACACAGGAACAGAAAACCAAATACTGCAAGTTCTCACTTGTAAGTGGAAGCTAAACAATGAAAACATGTGGACATAAAGAGGGAAATAAGACAGACACAAAGAGAGGGACAACAGACACAGAGGCCTACATGGTCCTGGAGAGTGGGAGGAGGGAGAGAGATTAAAAAAACTACCTATTAGGTACTATGCTTAATACCTGGGTGAGAGGATAATCTGCACACCAAATCCCTGTGACATGTAGTTTACCTATGTAACAAACCTACACCTAAAATAAAAGTTAACAACAAGAATACTTAAAGATTTCTTTCAGAAATGTACTAAGCAGTTTCTGACATTTTTCCTCAGTATTTTCTAATAACATTTTTCTTAATAGCAAAAATTTTGGAGTCAGAGGTACCTGTTCTACATCTGTTACTTACCAGATGATTGATTGGATAGGTTATTATTCTTTCTAAACTCCAGTTATTTTGTGTACATAAAATGAAGATATTTCTAATTTCTAGGGCTGTTACAAAGAATACCTATAGCATTGAGGGCATGTAATAAGCTCTGAATATATGATAGCTATTATTATCACACACAGATTTCTATGGGTGGTTAGGGGAAGATAACTCAAAATGTCTCTAAGATTCCTTTCTGTTAGATAAAATTGAGCTATTTCCTGGATAATTCAACTATCCATGTCTAGAAAGGTCTAATTAAATGTGCAAGTCCTTTGGACTGCAATGGAGAATCTCAGAGTGTAATTCAGGTTTGAAACAATTTCTTTTCTCATTGAATGGTAGTTGTTTTTCTCATGATACTACTCATGTGATGAGCATAGTGCTTATCACAATCTCAGGGATACAATGTTAGTCTCCATGGATCTGATTATCATATGTATTAGTCTGCTTTCATGTTGCTGATAAAGACATACCTGAGACTGGGAAGAAAAAGAGGTTTAATAGAGAACTCACAGTTCCACATGGCTGAGGAGGCCTCACAGTCATGGCCAAAAGCATGGAGGAACAAGTCATATCTTACGTGGATGGCAGCAGGCAAAGAGAGAGCTTGTGCAGGGAAACTCTCATTTTTAAACCCATCAGATCTTGTAAGACTCATTCACTATACTGAGAACAGTGCAGGAAAGACCCACTCCCATAATTCAATCACTTCCCACTGGTTTCCTCCCACAGCACATGGGAATTGTGGGAGTTACAATATAAGAAGAGATTTGGGTGGGGAAAGAGCCAAACCATACCATTCCACCCCTGGCCCCTCCCAAATATCATGTCCTCACATTTTAAAACAAATCATGCCTTCCCAACAGTTCCCCACAGTCTTAACACATTTCAGCATTAACTCAAAAGTTCAGAGCCTAAGTCTTATCCAAGAAAGCAAGTTAGTTACTTCCTAGGTACAATGAGGGTAGAGGCATTGGGAAAAAAAAAAAAAGCCATTCCAAAGGGGAGAAATTGATCAAAATAAAGGGGCTGCAGGGCCCATGCAAGTCCGAAATCCAACAGGGCAGTCAAATCTCAAAGCTCCAAAATGATCTCCTTTGAATGTGTGTCTCACATCCAGGTCATGCTGATGCAAGATGTGGGTTCTTATGGTCTTGGGCAGCTCTGTCCCTGTGGCTTTGCAGGGGATAGACCCATCCTGGCTGCTTTCATGGGCTGGCATTGAGTGTCTGTGGCTTTTCCAGGCACACGGCGCAAGCTGTTATTGAATCTACTGTTCTGGAATCTGGAGGATGGTGGCTCTCTTCTCACAGCTCCACTAGGTGGCACCCCAGTAGGGACTCTATGTGGGGGCTCCAACCCCACATTTCCCTTCTGCACTGCCCTAGCACAGGTTCTCCATGAGAACCCTGGCCTTGCAACAAACTTCTTCCTGGACATCTAGGCATTTCCATACATCCTCTGTAATCTAGGGAGAAGTTCCCAAACCTCAATTCTTGACTTCTGTGCACTGGCAGGCTCAACACCCCGTGAAAGCTGCCAAGGCTTGAGGCTTTAACACTCTGAAGCCATGGCCTGACCACTACTTTGGCCCCTTTCAGCTGTGACCTGAATAGCTGGGATGCAGGGCACGAAGTCCCTAAGCTGCACACAGCCCAGGAACCCTGGGCCTGGCCCACAAAACCACTTTTTCCTCCTTGGCCTCTAGGCCTGTGATGGGAGGGGCTGCCATGAAGACCTCTGACATGCCCTGGAGACATTTCCCCCATTGTCTTGCAGATTAGCATTCAGCTCCTCATTACTTATGCAAATCCGCAGCCTGCTTGAATTTTTCCTCAGAAAATGGGATTTTCTTTTCTATTACATTGTCAGTCTGCAGGTTTTCCAAACTTCTACGCTGTGCCTCCCTTATAAAACTGAGTGTTTTTAACAGCACCCAAGTCACATTCTGAATGCTTTGCTGCTTAGAAATTTTTTACGCCACATACCCTAAATCATCACTCTCAAGTTCAAAGTTCCACAAATCTCTAGGGCAGGGGCAAAATGCCACCCATATCTTTGCTAAAACATAGCAAGAGTAACTTTTGCTCCAGTTCCCAAAAAGTTCCTCATCTCCATCTGACACCACCTCTGCCTGGATTTCATTGTTCACATCATTATCAGCATTTTGGTCAAAGCCATTCAACAAGTCTCTAGGAAGTTCCAAACTTTCCCACATTTTTCTGTCTTCTTCTGAGCCCTCCAAACTGTTCCAGCCTCTGCGTGTTACCCAGTTGCAAAGTCACTTCCGCATTTTTGGGTATCTTTTCAGTAGCACCCCACTCTACTGGTACCAATTTACTGTATTAGTTCATTTTCATATTGCTGATAAAGACATACCCAAGACTAGGCAGAAAAAGAGGTTTAATAGAGAACTCAAAGTTTCACATGGCTGGAGAGCCTCACATTCATGGCAGAAGGCATGGAGGAACAAGTCACATCTTGTATGGATGGCAGCATGCAAAGACAGAGCTTGTGTAGGGAAATTCCCATTTTTAAGCCTATCAGATCTCATGAGACTCATTCACTATACTGAGAACAGTGCAGGAAAGACCCACCCCCATAATTCAATCACCTCCTACCTGGTTCCTCCCATGATATATGAGAATTGTGGGAGTTACAATTCAAGATGAGATTTGGGTGGGGACACAGCCAAACCATATCACCATAGATTCTGAATGTAAGCATTGAATGACAACTAGAAAGGTACTTGCTTCCATGTGGCATCTTTTCATTTTACCTGGTGGTGAAGTAAACAACGTTCCCCTCTTTCTCTGTTTCTGTCTCCCTGTTTCTCTCTCTTCCCTTCTACCTCACCCCAATACTCACCCACAAACACACAAACATTCTGTGCTGTGCTTTTTTCATTGTGATTTTATAGAAATATGTGATGTTTTGGATTCTTTCCTGCAAAATACATTAATTTAAAATAAACAGAGGCAATCCGTTTAAAAACACCGAGAGTTGAGTGATCTACTGAGAATGATCTGTATTGAAACAGGAGAAAATAACTCCTTTCTGATTATGGTGTGTGAATGTAAAAAAAAGTGTGTAAATTATGTAAATCTGTGGATATTTTACTAGAATATAGTAATATTTTACAAACAGAAATAATAGCTATGTTTTGCTTTCAATTATATTTAAAATAAGGCTAATTCCAATAGATGTATGGTTCATTGTTAGCTTGCAGTATAACTCTAAAAGGGCTTTTTTGCCTCATTTACTAAGTAATAGACCTAGGAGGCATAGTTAGTAGACTATTTTTATGCATACATCATATTAAATTGTACATATTCATTTTAAACCATTGCTTTATATATTCAGAAAAAATACCAAAATTAATTTCAGTTAATATTTTTCCTCTCTGTTTGCTTTAAGAAGACTCAGTGTTTCCCCATAAGTGTTTTTTAACCTCTAGGTTTACCTCCTTTAATTAGGGGTTTCAAATGAAAATACACCCTCCCAGGAAACAAGAGCCAAGTAGAATAAAGGAGAAATCATAGATGAGGCTACAAAAACTCAGGTCCTCAAAGCCATTTGTAAAGCTTTCATTAAACTCACTGCTGCTCCCAACGAAATCAGAATAGAATGAACCTACTGAGACAGTCTTAATAAAGATGTTTAACATAGCAGAAAGCAGAAGGGCAGAAGCGAGGGGTTTATCAGTTTAATACCAGTGATGCCCTATACCTTGAAGCAATTCACTTTAGAAGCAAAAGTGGGACTGATAATTGAGAACAATTTAAAGCCATTTAGGTATAGAGAATATCATTAGCCATGTCACATTGTTCCATTGTTCCAAGCATATCTATTTTTCAAGCCACAAATAATTTGGAAAATACTCATATCTCCATAGAAAGTTGAACCTTTGTCATATAATTAGTCATTCTGTCAATACTTTTGGAAGTGACTTGGTATGTAGTCTTTTACACTTATTAGATCCCAAAGAAATAAATGTTTTTGCATAAGAAGTATATAATAGAATGCCATTTTAGTCATTCCAATTGGTTATCATAAAATTTATATATTAGCTTACTGGTTATACTCTATTGGCTTACTCAAATTTATCTGTTTCTCTATCCTTTAAGTAGTTTAATTTTCAGAGATGCACAGAAAAATGTTTGAATAGAAACACCATCCAAACCATGGAATGTGTGAAGAAATTCTTAATTGGGTTAAAAAATTAAATTTTTCTTTTTTTTCCTTTATGTGCCCTTCAGTGAATGTTCATTATGGGATAACAAAGTTTGATTTCACAAAGTTTGGCTGTTCAATACAAGTAAATTAAAATAAAAAATGCTTCATTTCTCATAGTTGAATTAATCCAGTGGCTCTCAAGAGTGGTGATTTTGCCACCCAGGGCACACAACTGGTGATAAGGGTAAGGGCAGAGCTACTGACATCTAGTGACTAGAGGCCAGGGATATTGGCCCACACTCAAATAACTGGGCCAAAGTGTCAGTAGTGCCAATGTTGAGAAGCCCTGAATTAGTCAAACATAATTTAAGGGAGGGAGGAGGGAGGAAATGAAGTTAGACTTGGCAAAAATGGCTAAATCAGGCTGGATGTCAGATATGGGGGCATTTTTGGATAGAATATGAAATTTAATCAATGTATCAGTGATTTCATGTGTCATGGTATTTATCCTGCTTCTTTCTACCTCCAATGGAGATTTTGATTATCTTATTACATTTTGGATTTCTTTACATCCTTTAATACCTTTATCCATATGAATCTCTTTCCTTTTCTTGAACCCTTGTTCAAAGAAAAATGCATTATATATATTATATATACATAATGTATATATCAGGATGATTTTCTGACTAGTATTACCTTTTTTGTTAAAAAATGACTTTAGACATTGTTTCAAAGTTTTAAATGCATTAGAGCAATGATTAAGAACATACACTTTTGAGCCTGACAGACTTCAAGCAAATGTTGTCTTTGATACTTATAAGCTGACTGACTTTGAGAAAGCAGTTTAATCTCATTGAACCGCAATTTTCTTATCTGTAAAATGGGACTAATAATATCTAGCTCATAGGATCACTTAAGGAATACTGAATGTATTACACATTGTCCAGAGAATAAGCACCCAAGAGGTGGTCATTTAAATCTTAGTGTTTGTACTTGTGTACTCCTCTACCACTTCCCCACCATTCCATGTGTGTATTTACTCATCCTTAAATAAATATAGCCATACCAAGCTTGAGAGTTGACAGTGGACACTATGAGTGAATTGTCCTTCTATGTCTTCACTATCCACATGGGCCTTGTCTACTTCCTCTTCTTAGGTCTATGTCTATGTACTGAGAGTAGCTCCCTACCTGCTCAAGTAACAAAGGTTCTTAATTCAGAACATCACTGAATTGTATTGTTTTATTTCTCAACCACTTATCTGATATTAATGTGTAAAATTATCTGATTATCTTTAAACATTTTTGCTAATAGCTATGCATAGACCCAGATTAAGAATAAATGATCAGAAAATGATAAATGAAAGCTATTTCCACTGGTATATGAGAAAAAAACTTTTTTTTCAAATACACTTTTCCAAAAAAAATTCTTTCCCTTAAAATTTGTTTCATAGTTAATAGATCAAATCTGAACCTTCTTCCAGTTTTGCCTAATCAAAATCAGTTAGATTTAGTGAATGTAACTTAGTGAACATACATAATAAAAATCAGATACAAGAAAATTTATTAGCAAGAAAAGATACTAGTTACAGTTTTTAAAAGTGACCAGAGAAACGGGAGTATTTTATTTATTTATTTATTTTATTATACCTTAAGTTCTAGGGTACATGTGCACAATGTGCAGGTTTGTTACATATGTATACATGTGCCGTGTTGGTTTGCTGCACCCATTAACTCGTCATGACAAGCCCCAGTGTGTGATGTTCCCCACCCTGTGTCCAAGTGTTCTCATTGTTCAATTCCCACCTATGAGTGAGAACATGTGGTGTTTGGTTTTCTGTCCTTGCAATAGTTTGCTCAAAATGATGGTTTCCAGCTTCATCCATGTCCCTATGAAGGACATGAACTCATCCTTTTTTATGGCTGCATAGTATTCCATGGTGTATATGTGCCACATTTTCTTAATCCAGTCTATCATTGATGGACATTCGGGTTGGTTCCAAGTCTTTGCTATTGTGAATAGTGCCACAATAAGTATACGTGTGCATGTGTCTTTATAGCAGCATGATTTATAATCCTTTGGGTATATATCCAGTAATGGGATGGCTGGGTCAAATGGTATTTCTAGTTCTAGATCCTTGAGGAATCCCCACACTGTCTTCCACAATGGTTGAACTAGTTTACAGTCCCACCAACAGTGTAAAAGTGTTCCTATTTCTCCACATCCTCTCCAGCACCTGTTGTTTCCTGACTTTTTAATGATCACCATTCTAACTGGTGTGAGATGGTATCTCGTTGTGGTTTTGATTCACATTTCTCTGATGGCCAGCGATGATGAGCATTTTTTCATGTGTCTGTTGGCTGCATATATGTCTTCTTTTGAGAAATGTCTGTTCATATCCTTCGCCCACTTTTTGATGGGGTTGTTTGTTTTTTTCTTGTAAGTTTGTTTGAGTTTTTTGTAGATTCTGGATATTAGCCCTTTGTCAGATGAGTAGATTGCAAAAATTTTCTCCCATTCTGTAGGTTGCCTGTTCACTCTGATGATAGTTTATTTTGCTGCACAGAAGCTCTTTAGTTTGATTAGATCCCATTTGTCAATTTTGGCTTTTGTTGCCATTGCTTTTGGTCTTTTAGACATGAAGTCCTTGCCCATGCCTATGTCCTGAATGGCATTGCCTAGATTTTCTTCTAGGGCTTTTATGGTTTTAGGTCTAACATTTAAGTCTTTAATCCATCTTGAATTAATTTTTCTATAAGGTATAAGGAAGGGATCCAGTTTCAGCTTTCTACATACGGCTAGCCAGTTTTCCCAGCACCATTTATTAAATAGGGAATCCTTTCTCCATTTCTTGTTTTTCCCAGGTTTGTCAAAGATCAGATGGTTGTAGATGTGAGGTGTTATTTCTGAGGCCTGTGTTCTGTTCCATTTGTCTATATATCTGTTTCGTTACCAGTACCATGCTGCTTTGGTTACTGTAGCCTTGTAGTATAGTTTGAAGTCAGGTAGCGTGATGCCTCCAGCTTTGTTCTTTTGGCTTGGGATTGTCTTGGCAATGCGGGCTCTTTTTTGGTTCCATATGAACTTTAAAGTAGTTTTTTCCAATTCTGTGAAGAAAGTCACTGGTAGCTTAATGGGGATGGCATTGAATCTATAAATTACCTTAGGCACTATGGCCATTTTCATGATATTGATTCTTCCTATCCATGAGCATGGAATGTTCTTTCATTTGTTTGTGTCCTCTTTTATTTCATTGGGCAGTGGTTTGTAGTTCTCCTTGAAAAAGTTCTTCACATCCCTTGTAAATTGGATTCCTAGATATTTTATTCTCTTTAAAGCAATTGCGAATGGGTGTTCACTCATGATTTGGCACTCTGTTTGTCTGTTATTGGTGTACAAGAATGCTTGTGATTTTTGTACATTGATTTTATATCCTGAGAATTTGCTGAAGTTGCTTATCAGCTTAAGGAAATTTTGGGCTGAGATGATGGGATTTTCTAAATATACAATCATGTCATCTGCCAACAGGGACAATTTGACTTCCTCTTTTCCTAATTGAATACCCTTTATTTCTTTCTCTTGCCTGATTGCCCTGGCCAGAAATTCCAACACTATGTTGACTAGCAGTGGTGAGAGAGGTCATCCCTGTCTTGTGCCAGTTTTCAAAGGGAATGTTTCCAGTTTTTGCCCATTCAGTATGATATTGGCTGTGGGTTTGTCATAAATAGCTCTTATTATTTTGAGATATGTTCCATGAATACCTAGTTTATTGAGAGTTTTTAGCATGAAGATCTGTTGAATTTTGTTGAAGGCCTTTTTTGCATCTATTGAGAAAATCATGTGGTTTTTGTCTTTGGCTCTGTTTATGTGATTGATTACGTTTATTGATTTGCATATGTTGAACCAGCCTTGCATCCCAGGGATGAAGTCAACTTGATCTTGGTGGATAAGCTTTTTGATGTGCTGCTGGATTTGGTTTGCCAGTATTTTACTGAGGATTTTTGCATCGATGTTCATCAGGGATACTGATCTAAAATTCTCTTATTTTGTTGTGTCTCTGCAAGGCTTTGGTATCAGGATGATGCTGGCCTCATAAAATGAGTTATGGAGGATTCCCTCTTTTTCTATGAATTGGAATAGTCTCAGAAGGAATGGTACCAGCTCATCTTTGTATCTCTCTTAGAATTCGGCTGTGAATCCATCTGGTCCTGGACTTTTTTGGTTGGTAGGCTATTTGTTATTGCCTCAATTTCAGAGCCTGTTATTGGTCTATTCAGAGATTCAACTTCTTTCTGGTTTGGTCTTGGGAGGGTGTATGTGTCAAGGAATTTATCAATTTCTTCTAGATTTTCTAGTTTATTTGCATAGAGTTGTTTATAGTATTCTCTGATGGTAGTTTGTATGTCTGTGGGATCGGTGGTGATATCCCCTTTATCACTTTTTATTGCATCTATTTGATTCTTCTCTCTTTTCTTCTTTATTAGTCTTGCTAGTGGTCTATCAATTTTGTTGATCATTTCAAAAAACCAGCTCCAGGATTCATTGACTTTTTGAAGGGTTTTTCTTGTCTCTATCTCCTTCAGTTCTGCTCTGATCTTAGTTATTTCTTGGCTTCTGCTAGTTTTTGAATGTGTTTGCTCTTGCTTCTCTAGTTCTTTTAATTGTGATGTTAGGGTGTTGATTTTAGATCTTTCCCACTTTCTCTTGTGGGCATTTAGTGCTATACATCTCCCTCTACACACTCCTTTAAATGTGTCCCAGAGATTCTGGTATGTTGTGTCTTTGTTCTCTTTGGTTTCAAATAACATTTTTATTTCTGCCTTCATTTTGTTATTTACCCAGTCATCATTCAGGAGAAGGTTATTCAGTTTCCATGTAGTTGTGTGGTTTTGAGTGAGTTTCTTAATCCTGAGTTCTAATTTGATTGCACTGTGGTCTGAGAGACAGTTTGTTGTGATTTCTGTTCTGTTACGTTTGCTGAGGAGTGTTTTACCTCCAACTATGTGGTCAGTTTTGGAATAAGTGTGATGTGGTGCTGAGAAGAATGTATATTCTGTTGATTTGGGGTGGAGAGTTCTGTAGATGTCTATTAGGTCCGCTTGGTGCAGAGCTGAGTTCAAGTCCTGGATATCCTTGTTAACCTTCTGTCTCGTTGATCTGTCTAATGTTGACAGTGGGGTGTTAAAGTCTCCCATTATTATTGTGTGGGAGTCTAAGCCTCGTTTCAGGTCTCTCAGGACTTGCTTTATGAATCTGGGTGCTCCTGTATTGGATGCATACATATTTAAGATAGTTAGCTCTTCTTGTTGAATTGATCCCTTTATCATTATGTGATGCCCTTCTTTGTCTCTTTTGATCTTTGTTGGTTTAAAGTCTGTTTTATCAGAGACTAGGATTGCAACCCCTGCTTTTCTTTGCTTTCCATTTGCTGGTAGATCTTCCTCCATCCCTTTATTTTGAGGCTAAATGCGTGTCTCTGTACGTGAGATGGGTCTCCTGCATACAGCACCCTGATGGGTCTTGAGTCTTTATCCAATTTGTCAGTCTGTGTCTTTTAATTGGGGCATTTAGCCCATTTACATTTAAGGTTAATGTTGTTTTGTGTGAATTTGATCCTGTCATTATGATGTTAACTGGTTAATTTGCCCATTAGTTGATGTAGTTTCTTCCTAGCATCGATGGTCTTTAAAATTTACAATTTGGCATGTTTTCGTAGTGGCTGGTACGGGTTGTTCCTTTCCATGTTTAGTGCCTCCTTCAGGAGCTCTTGTAAGGCAGGCCTGATGGTGACCAAATCTCTCAGCATTTGCTTGTCAGTAAAGGATTTTATTTCTCCTTCACTTATGAAGCTTAGTTTGGCTGGATATGAAATTCTGGGTTGAAAATTCTTTTCTTTAAGAATGTTGAATATTGGCCCCCACTCTCTTCTGGCTTGTAGAGTTTCTGCTGAGATCAGCTGTTAGTCTGATGGGCTTCCCTTTGTGGGTAACCCAACCTTTCTCTCTGGCTGCCCTTAACATTTTTTCCTTCGTTTCAACATTGATGAATCTGACAATTATGTTTCTTGGGGTTGCTCTTCTCAAGGAGTATCTTTGTGGTGTTCTCTTCTCTGTATTTCCTGAATTTGAATGTTGGCCTGCCTTGTTAGGTTGGGGACGTTCTCCTGGATAATATCCTGAAGAGTGTTTTCCAACTTGGTTCCATTCTCCCCATCACTTTCAGGTACACCAATCAGACGTAGATTTGGTCTTTTCACATAGTCACATATTTCTTGGAGGCTTTGTTCATTTCTTTTTACTCTTTTTTCTCTAAACTTCTCTTCTCGCTTCATTTCATTAATTGGATCTTCAATCACTGATACCCTTATTTCCACTTGATCGAATCGGCTACTGAAGCTTATGCATGCATCACATATTTCTCGTGCCATGGTTTTCAGCTCCATCAGGTCATTTAAGGTCTTCTCTACACTGTTTATTCTAGTTAGCCATTTGTCTAATCTTTTTTCAAGGTTTTTAGCTTCCTTGAGATGGGTCAAACGTCCTCCTTTAGCTCAGAGAAGTTTGTCATTACCGACTTTCTGAAGCCTACTTCTGTGAACTCGTCAAAGTCATTCTCCATCCTTCTTTGTTCCTTTGCTGGCGAGGAGATGCGATCCTTTGGAGGAGAAGGGGTGCTCTGGTTTTTAGAATTTTCAGCTTTTCTGCTCTGGTTTCTCCCCATCTTTGTGGTTTTATCTACCTTTGTCTTTGATGATGGTGACCTACAGATGGGGTTTTGGTGTGGATGTCCTTTTTGTTGATGTTGGTGCTATTCCTTTCTGTTTGTTAGTTTTCCTTCTAACAGTCAGGTCCCTCAGCTGCAGGTCTGTTGGGGCTTGCTGGAGGTCCACTCCTGATCCTGTTTGCCTGGGTATCACCAACAGAGGCTGCAGAACAACAAATATTGCAGAACAGCAAATATTGCTGCCTGATTCTTCCTTGGGAAGCTTTGTCTCAGAGGGGCACCCGGCTTTATGAGGTGTCAGTCGTCCCCTACTGGGAGGTGTCTCCAAGTTAGGCTACACAGGATTCAGGGACCCACTTGTGGAGGCAGTCTGTCCATTCTCAGAGCTCAAACACTGGGCTGGGAGAACCACTGCTCCCTTCAGAGCTGTCAGACAGGGACGTTTAAGTCTGCAGAAGTTTCTGCTTCCTTTTGTTCAGCTATGACCTGCCTCCAGAAGTGGAGTCTATAGAGGCAGGAGGGCCTAGTTGAGCTGTGCTGGGCTCCACCCAGTTCAAGCTTCCTGGCTGCTTTGTTTACCTGCTCAAGCGTCAGCAGTGGCACAGGCCCCTCCCCCAGCCAGGCTGCCACCTCGCAGTTTGATCTCGGAGTGCTGCACTAGCAGTGAGAAAGGCTCCATGGCCGTGGGACCTGCTGAGCCAGGTGCTGGATAGAATCTCCTGGTGTGCCATTTGCTAAGACCATTGGAAAAGTGCAGTGTTTAGGTGGCAGTGTCCTGATTTTCCCAGTACAGTCTGTCACGGCTTCCCTTGGCTAGGTAAGGGAAATCCCCCAACCCCTTGCACTTCCTGGGTGATGTGATGCCCCACCATGCTTCGGCTCGCCCTCTGTGGGCTGCACCCACTTTCTGACCAGTCCCAATGAGATGAACCAGGTACCTCAGTTGGAAATGCAGAAATCACCCATCTTCTGCTTTGATCACGCTGGGAGCTGCAGACCAGCTGTTCCTATTCAGCCATCTTGGAACCACCTCCGAAACTGGAGTATTTATATTTGCATTGCAGATGTGTGCATTTACACAACCTAAGTTGTAAAATTAAACAATCAAATTAAAATAACTTGACTATTAAACTACATTATGTGACTCTGTTAAGTGAAAAGCTTTTTGGCTTAAAATGTTTACATGATTAAACATTATCCATAGAAAAAAGGCCAAACAGTAATTAATCAATAATATGCAGAAAATTTTATTTGAATGAAAGTTTATTGTGTTTTCCATATAAATTATTTTTAATAGAAGAAGAGTTTTTGATAATCATATTTTAAACCATTCTCACTTAATATAGGGTATAAATACCAGCAAAAGAAAAATGTTTATGATACTTATGAATTAGGGTGATATCTGAAATTTTACCAACTGCTACTATGTAAATACCAAGCAATGAGACAATAGTACTGACCAATCAGAATGGATGCTGGTGTACAAAATCCAGAATAGCCACATTAGTGCATAATTCCTGAACATTTGCCCTGCATATTGATTTAGAACACAACGGTATCAACATGTATATTCATATTTTGCCTAAGCTATCATTCCAAAACATTTGCAGGAATATTATAAAGTTTGTTAGTTTCTATTGGTACATGTTTTATAGAGCCAGAAGAAAAAATTTAAATGTCAAAGTAGTCAAATTTATCGCATGTAAGGAATGTAGTAAAATTTGAGAGCTTACTCAACAGATTCTTTCTTATCTAATTATCATTACTCTGTTTTAATTGAAAGTTACACAAATGTCAGACATTAAACGTAAGACAAATGTCAAATGGGATCCCACACCTGTACAGTAACATCCCAGGCATCTGCCTATATTTTAGCTGATCATTAGCAATTAGTAGCATTTATCTGTCCATTTAATTGTTCTCCCGATCTTTCCCAGATGATTTTTTTAGTTCCCTCAATGCATTGGCCCAGAGTTAAAATTCTATTGGTTTTTCATCATGCAACCATTTCATTAGGCTTTTAGCCTGGCTGAGCCCATTAAAATCACTGCTGCACACTTGGCCTGTGTTTACCCATGTGAGGTGAAGTGGAGCACGAGGCAACCACTCATAATTCAGGCCTAAGAAACTCTTTTGCCTGAAAGATTTAAATAGTTGAGACTAAGGGTTGTCTCTGCTTGAATTATAAGTATTATTTCAGTTTTCCTCTTCAGTTTAAGTAAAGCATTCTGAGCCCACATGTACATGTTGGATTATCTATCTCAGCAAGAACTGTTTTCTAGAGCTGTTGTAAAAGGAAGAAAACACGAAGTCCTTTCTTGGTTCTTAACATGTCTCTGTATTGAGCCTTTCTTGACCAGTCAATCAGATAAGGTAAGGGAGTCTTCCATAGATTCAGTACATCAGTCTATTAGGATGGGGAAGAGGAGCAGATGCTCCAGGCCTGCGATTCTAACCTAAAGCCCCCTGATCCCAGCCCATGTTCCTATGACTATCCTGCACTGCCTTTATGACCAGTGCTAAAAGAGTAAGAAAGCTGAGGTAGTTTTGGTTCATGGAGAACTTGGTACTCTTGGTCCAATTTCGCAGCAGCAGCAAAAGCTTCCTTTCCAAGTATAGTGCTGTCTGAGCACACAGTACTGAAAACCTTTCTGCATCATTGCCAGGATGAGAATCAGCCTGAAAGTGTCATAATCAGTTACTGGTAAGTAGTGCAATGTGTCATGGCAGCATAATAGAATGCCAAGTAAGGACAAATGTCTAGAATAAGAAGCAAACTCTTCCAATAAATAGTGCCCATAATTAAATTATCAGACAAAAATCAATCATGCAGAAATGACTTTAAAATATAACTGCATTACCTTCCATTTGTAGTCTACATGGACTGACTAAGCCACAACCATATACGTTCATTCATGCCCATATCACCATGGTTTCTACTTGCCAGCATCTATCACGTAGATGCTTTGGGGATGAGACAGTTTTGGCACCTACAGAGTATAATAGTACCTTACACATTTAAGCAGCAACATATCAATTTCAATTTTCTTTTGCTTTAATCAAGACTTTTATACAAAATGAACAGTAGTTTATAGTTTTGAGAAGTGAATATACATTTATTTATACATGCTAAATATTAGATGATTTTTTACCTCATTAACCAGTGTGTGCATGCATGTGTGTGTGTGTGCCCATGTGTATTTTTCTCCTAATATAGTTTTTTTTTCCCAATAACAATAGCTAACTTTAATAAGCCCTTCTTACATGCCAGGCACTGAGTCTGAACACTTATAATAAACACTTATAGAAAAAGTGTTTATCTAAACAGATATTGTAACCAATTACTCCCCATACAACTCTATGTAGTATTAATACCTACATTTTACAACTAAGGAATTTGAATTTAGAGAAGATAAATAATGTGCCTGGGGTCCCTCAAGTAGGTGTTAGAGCTGGGAATGTAATTCAAGTAGTCTGGCTGCAACATGCATTGGTTAAGTGTTTTATATAATACTGTTAAACATGTAGTCAGAGAAACAAATTTATCACGTGAACCTGATTTCCATTATGCTTTTCTTATGTAATTTTAATTTCCAGGTGAACTTTAATGGGAATGAAAAGACAAAAAGTTATTTTGTCTAATTTCATTTTCAAGTGACTTTCTAACTTCTAGAAAATATGAGGAAAGCCAGGTTATATGATTTATTAAAATTACTCTTTAGTATTTGACTATAATTTTACATTTCAAAACATTTAAAGAAGTTTTAGTGTGGCATATCAATTTCAGTTCATAAAAACTGATGCAAAAATCAGCAAACTGCAGTTTCATTCTGTGTTGACCACGCATAATGTACTGCTTGTTCCCTGGCTTCAGATCTTTCATGAAGATACTTGCTTGGCAGCAATCAAACAGTTTTAGTCAGGTCATAGTAGATCTGTAACAAGTTTTAAAATATTTTCTAGGATGTTATATAATGATGATTTTTTAAATCTCAGGGACTAACAATTTATATTAGTTACAAAAATACAATTCTTCCCTGCTCCTCCCACCCACCAACAAAAATGTGGACTCCACCAACCTAAACTGCCTAAGCATTAATTTGGAAATTTTATGGTTGTAATTACCTGTTTCTACCTCTGGATGATGCCTTTATTCTAAAACACTTAGGGAAGTTCTATTGTATCAAGCAATTAGGCCAAGGAGGGGGCAATGTGGTGTATACTGCTTCTCCCCTCCCCTAGGCACTTCTGATGAATCCAGCATGGTCTTTCTGATAAGCTTGGACACAGTGCAAGGCAGCTTTTCAGGAAGCTACTAATAATCAATTAGAATTGGGAAGTGAGTTGAAATTTTTTTATCTTCGCTATATTAAACCAAGTCATCATCATCATCATCATCATCATCTTTAATTAAAAAATCTAAACAACAAAAAGCAAAATCAAAAATCTTTCCAGGAAATAGATCAAGGACAAAAGTCTAGGCTGTAACATCATCACCAATTGAGTAACGGCTCCAAGCTGCAAGTCTTTTACCATTTTCCTTTCTGAAAAGCTTTAAGTCTAGGTTTCTGAAAAGAACTCAGTCATACATTTCCTTCTAGACGGGATGATTGTGCAATTAAACTTAATAATTTTAAAGCCTTAGGAAATTTCTGCTTTGGGTTAGATTTTTTTGTTTACTTAGGTTGTTAACTGCAAGTCTGTTGAAGGCAGAGGTCACACTCTTCATAACTGTCCTCCATTACATATTATTATTTGCAGTTAATAATTATTTAATATAAATTTTTGAGTAAATGATTCTCTAATCATTAACATATTTCTTGACTACTTTTAAAGGGCTTTTCTTTCTGTAAAGATCCTTGCTGAGATGTAAATAAATGTAAGTGTGCACATCAGGTTTATGAATGAACCAGTATCAATGGGGTCTATGTCTCTCTAAGCTTGACCTTCCCTGCCAGTAACGATGCCTAGAGCAGGTGACAAAATCTTGCACATTTATTTATTACCTAACAATCTCATATTCAATCTTAGATAGTCCAATCTAGTTGTCAGATTGAAATGTCAAATTTTTAATCTCTCATCCACTTTTATTTCAGTGACTTGATGGTAATTTTTATTTTTAATGTTTGAGTTAGTCAAGAAACCTGTTACAAAATGGGTTTGAAAATCACTTAATGACTCACATGTGGCAGGTTAGCGATTGATCCATTCAGTTAAAATGCTGAAACATCTTGAATATAACCTAAGATTTTATATTGTATTTTCAATGCAGTACTACAATGTCTTCTCATTTTTCTTTGCTCTTCTTGATTTAATTATTTCAAAAAATGTATTAGAGAGGGAGGTCTTTTACCAATTTTAGCAAATCAGCATCTACCTGTCATAGTTTTATAACCTCAAGAACACTATTATCTTTATTTTCTGTCTTAGAAACAATTATCTAGAGAATATGAATATGAGAAGAGCTCATTGGTTGTTGTGGTTAATTTATACTCTAGAGTTTTTTTTTTTCTATTTTTAAAACTTTAATTTACTTCAAACTTTTGGGTCTTCATCCTGGTTGTTGAAACAATTATGATAAGAAATGAGAAAACAAATCTACTATCATTATAGTAAACGTTTGACTTGGGTCTTCCTTCTGTTACCATGGATCGTTCTTCCAAATCTCTCTTTTCTTGACATGATTATTTATTTCTTCATAAGTCTCCAAGGATCATAAGACATTCTCTCTGGGAGAAAACAAAAATGTCTTATAGGGAAAAAGTGGAGGAAAATCGATGTTTTTCTCTACATTTTTGGAAGTCAATGGGATGACTGACCTCGTTCTGGCTGTTGATTCATATTTTACAGTAAGCATAGCCCTCTCCTACAGAATTGTCATGAATTACAGGACACACTACAGGTTTGGATTCTCCTTTTCCCCTCAACTCAACCCTTACCCAGGCCATTTTCCTTAGAGTGCAGGCCATGTCCATATTGTAAAAACAATAGTGAAGAAGGGAATTGTTTTCTTCTCTCTTCCTTCTCTATCTCCACTCCTGCTTGAGAATTTCCTAGGTGTGTAACAAGGGCAATCATTTGTAGCAGATGCTGTTATGTTCTGGTAATGGGAACCTTGGGGTGGCTGATCCCTACATGTTTGTTTTTTCCTCTAGGGAAACTTTCATGAGTGTTACAAAGATCAGCCCCATTTATCCCCTTTAGAAGGCTTTGCAGTGCCAGCCCAGATAACCAACACAGTCTCTTGCTATCTCTATCACTTTCGCCTCCATTTTCTTTCTGACTGTGTGTCCCACACAAACTAGTTCTGCTGAGTACAGCCTCCTTGGTTGGGTCTTTTCCAAGATTACTCACATGTGCATATCTTCTGTGGTTTCTATAGCAGCCTAGAGGAAATATGGTCCCTTTCCATAGACGTGCAGCTGGCTTCACTGCCATCCATCGGTCATCACAGCAAGTATTACAACCTCTCTCCTTTACATTTTTCCAGTCATGTGTCAGCCACCACACTTTGTGATCCACAAACTCTTGAAGTTTTTCTCCTGTGACTCAAGGGGAAAAGAGTTCCTCTCCGATTTAAGAAAAACAAAACAAACTTTAATTCTAGATTCAGGGATCCTCTCCTCATTTCCAGGGAAAAATATAGGAGCATCACATAACTCTGATGATTCTGTTCAAGGAAATTTTTACTCCTACTCTTATCTCTTCTGATAAACCTTGCCTTATCCTTTATATAAGGTGCAGAGGGATGAGAAGTTATGGTGACAGATTATTTCTGTGTTATATTCTTAAACAGTATGGCACAGAAAGCCTAACTGTTATTTTTAAAAGGGTGAGTGTGTTAGGGTTCTCTTAGCCCTAACACAGAGAAAGGAAAACAATAGCATGTATGTGTATAATTTATTATGAATATTGATTCACATGATTATAGATTCCAAGGCATTCCACAATCTGCCATCTGCATGCTGGAGAACAAGAAAAGATGGTGGTGTAACTCAGTTTGAATCTAAAGGCGTGAGACCCAGGAGGGACCTCTGGTATAAGTCCCAGAGTCCAAAGACCCAAGAACCAGTAGCTCTGATGTCTAACAGCAGGAGAAGATAAATGTGCTAGCTCAAGAAGAGATAGCAAATTCACTCTTCCTCTGCCCTTGTGTTCTATTCAGACCCTCAAGGGATTGGATGATGCCCACCCACACTGGTGAGTTCCATCTTTATTCAGTCTGACCAATGGGATGCTAATCTCTTTCAGAAACAGATACACACAGAAATAATGGTTTACCTGCTCTCTGGAGATTCTGTATCTAAGTTAAATTAACACATACAATCAATAATTATATTGGATATTTGAAATCCATTTTCTTGTTTTGAGACCTGAGATAAAATGACAAATCGAGAAAAATACCTGTTTGGCATCTTGCTACCTAAGCAGCGAGACAAATCCAAACAAGTAGAAAAATGTTAAGCCTAATGAGAGTACTCCAAATCAGCACTGCTTTTTTTTTTTGTTTCTAATATCAATTAGCAAACCATAATCCAATCCTCATTTGAGTGCATAAAGAACCAGATAGGAAGTGTGAAAGGAAAATCAGAGGTAACAAATATCTAATCTATATTTGTTTTGTAGGTAAAACTTTTGCCAAATGGGTTTACATTCACTATATATAGCCAGGCAAAAATGAAAAGATGAAGTCTCAGAAAATTAAGTAAGTTGCCCATATCTAAAGATATGTATTAAGTAATCTAAAAATGGACACAAACTTTTCACTTTTCATATACTCCAATACACATATAATTGTAATCAGAGCAAGCCTTGCAACTTATTCAGAATGAGCCTTATACAACTTATTCAGAATATTAATATGCTTCTTGTGGTGGCTGTATTTAATTGTGTGAAGTGTAAACATTTTTACTAATAAAACATTGATGATAGAAAAGCACAGTATTTTCTACATGATTGTTTACTGTGGCTTACTGAGTGCAGGTGAAAAGTGGGCATCATTATAAGAGGAAAGGAGGAGGTTAGGTTAAAAGAAGACTACTGGAGCTTTGGCTTTGGTGAAATAATCTTGAGTGTTTCAAAACAGTCTATTAGGAGTTTTCAATGTAAAGGCAAAGTGTTCCTCTAAGACATAACAAAGCAACTTAGATACATGAATTTTAAAGAGTACCTTTGTATTTTTGTATATAGACATAAATAGGCACTATATAGTGTTTGTTCAGTTTTCTTTATTATAGGAAAGTATATATAACTTTTTATATGAATAATTTCAAACACATACACATTAAACAGAATAATATAACAAACCTCTATGTACCCATTACCCTGCTTTAATAAATCATCAATGTTTCTTCCAATTTTATTTTATCTATACCTTCCTATACTTCCAAACTTCTCACTTGATTATTTTACATTCATTGACATTCAATGTACTTCAAATATTGATACATCAACGTGATCCATATACTAAATTATTAATGTTTTTAAGAAGAAATTTTTAGTATAAATAGTAGTTAATAAGCTTTAGACTGGCTTGCAATTCTGTTTCAACTTCTGTGAGCAAATCAAGACGCTTATTTGATGCCTGGACAATAAATTTAATAAACTTATTGTTTGCAGGCCATTTTGAATGTTGACTGAGACTGTCAGAAGTAACAAATATTCTTCTTTATATAGCTCTGTGCCGAGTAGGCTTAAACAGCCTCTGCCGCTATAATGCAATGTAATTATAAGACATGATTACAACTGATTATAATCAATCAGCATAGTCTTATGTGTAATTTATATTGCTGCAGCTGTGGTTAGATTAAATCATCACATAAGATACAATTTCCACTAGATACGTGAAATTATTTGAACAAACCCAAATACAATAAACCCATAATACCATAAATGCACAGTAAATTTTGCCAATTGCGTAATACTTTAGGACTCTGTTTATCACAAAATAAGTTTTCCTCCTACAGAGTTTAGTCCTTATTTGAAAGACAAAACTGTTGTTTCGCCACGGTTGGCAGATATGATTTCTGTCTGCTAGTTCTGCCCCTGCTAATATTTTATGTGCAATACATAGGGAGATTGTTGTTATATTTGAAAAGAAGTCCACAAAGATTATGTAGCTAGGTCCCTCCTGACCTCAGTTGAAGATGAAACAGAAGAAGGTTTCTAAATTTCATTTCAATCTCTAATGCAATCATTTCAATCCTGGCCTTACAGATGAAACTCAGATTCACCAAACATATATTTGTGGAGACTAAGAGGAGTGAGCAATTATTTTCAGTCCTAATCTCAATCCACTCACACTATATAGGTGGACCTATTACAAAATAAAGGATATAACTCTAGATACTTTAAACCTATAACAAGTAGAAAGAGAAAAGTGGCTTATAGAGTGCTTGGCAGAGAACAGGGTAAAGCTGGGACCTTTTTACATCTTAAGGTACCATTAATTCTAATCACACATAGATGAAAAATGAAAAATCCTTGCCCTTCTTCCAGTATGGGGCTGGTGTGAGGATCAAAAGATCTAATTCATATAAGTTCTCTGAACTCAATTAAAAAGTATTAACACCATTCTTAAATGATCTACTGTTTTGTTATAATTGATTTCATTTTGATCCTTGAGCCAAATGATGCAAAAATAACAAAGCATATTAAAATTTCAGCAGAGGTTTTTTTTCTATGTAACTTCTCTTCTAGGAACAATACCACTAACATAACACCGTCCACTTTTCGTTCACTCTCTGGAAAGGATTTTTATGTATATAGTAATTTAATCAAGTAACCTGAAAGTGTAAGAAGAGTAGTTTTGGCAGCCCACAGTTACAGCTGTTTGGCTGAAATACAAGTTCACTACCAAATAAGAAAACATGTTTTAATAACTTAAAGTCTGAAAAATACTCGTTCAGCTTTCAATGTTAAAATCCTGCAATATTTTGTGCAGACTCACAAAGCATTATTAAACTCAAATTAAATACTCAACTATTTTTTTCTTTTAAATTCTTGTCATTAAAACATTAACTTTAGCTATCAGAAGAGGTTAGAGGCTATACCACAGAAAATTTACAGCAGTCAGCTCTCCCTTGAGTGTTAATGGTTTCTAATGCATATTTAAGATGTTTGTGTTTTTTAATGTTTGAAAAGGAACAGCTTTTTCTTCTGCACTAATAAAGTATCAGCTTTCTCTGAAGATAAAACTTCTTAGTCTTTAAAAAGAATAGTGATATTGATTTGGGTACTGATTACATTTTAAAAAGCAGAAAAATAAGTCTCACTGTTGAGATTCTTATTTAAAATCAAACTCATGAACTATTGATATATCCCTAGGTGAACACTAAGTTTATATGAATGAAGAAGATTGGTGGGAACAACACACAGATAGTAAATACAGAGCCTGTAGAGGCCATCTGCCAGTAGATATTAAAAAATTACCTGCATTTTCATAAATATTTGATCTTTGCCTACTTCATAGCACCATTATGTTTCTTAAATAAAGAATACAAAATAATTCCATTCAAAGTCTAGACTATTTTATTAAGGTGAGCCTAATATATATTATTTTTCAGAAGTTTCTTGCCAAAACTTTTTCTTTGAAATGCAGGATCATAAAAATACTGGATCCAGCCTCTTTCTTCCTGGGTATAGTTATCTAAGAGAAGCTCATAATGTGACTAGGCACACAGGAGACAAGAACAAATGGTAGCAAGATCACCCATCAGCTGCAGTGGGTGCCGTGGACTTCTCCAGGTAGGGTTCCTTATAGGACCAGGCTTTGTAAGAATAAGGCCAGCATGTGGAAGCAGGTGTTGCAATCCAAGGCCAGTGGATAGATGTTTCCCTCCCTGACTGCTGTCAGGTCCTAGAAACTCCTTATATCCCACTGGGAACCATCTTAAGGAGGATGTGTGGCAAGAGTTAGAATCTGAGAGATTAAGAATTTTTAGGACAGGCATGGTGGCTCACACCTTTAATCCTAGCACTTTGGTAGGCTATATTAGTCCGTCTTCGTGCTGCTAATAAAAACCTACCTGAGACAGGGCAATTTGTGAAAGGAAAAGGTTTAATTGGACTTACAGTTCCACGTAGCTAGAGAAGCCTCACAATTATGGTGGAAGGCAAGGAGGAGCAAGTCATGTCTTACATGGATGGCAGCAGGCAAAGACAGAATGACAAAGATGCAAAAGCAGAAACCCTTGATAAAATCATCAGATCTCATGAGATTTACTCACTACCATGAGAACAGTATGGGGAAAACTGTTTCCATGATTCAATTATCTCTCACCACGTCCCTCTCACAACATGTGAGAATTATGGGAATACAATTCAAGGTGAGATTTGGGTGGGGACACACAGCCAAACCATATCATTCTGCCCCTGGACCCTACCAAATCTCATGTCCTCACATTTCAAAACCAATCATGCCTTCCCAACAGTCCCCCAAAATCTTAACTCATTTCAGCATTAGCTCAAAAGTCCACAGTCCAAAGTCTCATCTGAGACAAGCCAAGTCCCTTCCACCTATGATCCTGTAAAATCAAAAGCAAGCTAGTTATTTCTTAGCTACAATGCAGGTACAGACATTGGGTAAATACAACCATTCCAAAAGAGAGAAATTGGCCAAAACGAAGGGGCTACAAGGCCCATGCCAGTCCAAAATCCAGCAGGGCAGTCAAATCTTAAAGCTCCAAAATGATCTCTGTTGTCTCCATGTCTCACATCCGGGTCACACTGATGCAAGAGGTGGGTTCCCATGGTCTTGGGCAGCTCTGCCCCTGTGGCTTTGCAGGGTACAGCCTCCCTTCTGTCTGCTTTCATGGGCTGGTGTTTAGTGTTTGCAGCTTTTCCAGGCACATGGTGCAAACTGTTGGTGGATCTATCATTCTGGGGTCTGCAGGATGGTAGCCATCTTCTCACAGCTCCACTAGGTGGTGCCCCAATAGGGACTCTGTGTGGGGGCTTCCACCCCACATTTTCCTTCTGCACTGCCCTAGCAGAGGTTTTCCATGAGAGCACTGCCACTGCAGCAAACTTCTGCCTGGACTTTCCAGGGATCTTCTGAAATATAGGAGGAGGTTCTCAAACTTCAATTCTTGACTTCTGTGTGCCCACAGGCTCAACACCAAGGCTTGGGGCTTGCACCATCTGAAGCCATGGCCCAAGTTCTGTGTTGGCCCTTTTCAGCCACAACTGCAGCAGGCTGCGATGCAGGGCACCAAGTCCCTAGGCTGCCCACAGCAGGGGGACCAGGGCCCAGCCTCCAGACTGGTGATAGGAGGGGCTGCTGTGAAGACCTTTGACATGCCCTACAGATATATTCCCCATTGTCTTGGGGATTAACATTCAGCTCCTCATTACTTATGCAAATTTCTGCAGCCAGCTTGAATTTCTGCTCAGAAAATAGGTTTTTCTTTTCTATTGCATTGTCAGGCTGCAAATTTTCCTAACTTTTATGCTCTGCTTCCCTTATAAAACAGAATGCCTTTAACAACACCCAAGTCACCTCTTGAATGCTTTGCTTAGAAATTTCTTCTACCAGATACCCTAAATCATCTCTCTCAAGTTCAAAGTTCCACAAATCTCTAGGGCAGAGGAAAATACTGCTAGTCTCTTTGCTAAAGCATAACAAGAGTCACCTTTGCTCCAGTTCCCAACAAGTTCCTCATCTCCAGCTGAGGCCACCTCAGCCTGGACTTTAATTTTATTGTCCATATTGTTATCAGCATTTTGGTCAAAGCCATTCAACAAGTCTCTAGGAAGTTCCAATCTTTCCCACATTTTCCTGTCTTCTTCTGAGCCCTCCAATCTGTTCCAACCTCTGCCTGTTACCCGGTTCCAAAGTCGCTCCACACTTTTGGGTATATTTTCAGCAGCGCCCCACTCTATTGGTACCAATTTACTATATTAGTCTGTTTTCACACTGCTGATAAAGATATACCTGAGACTGGGCAATTTACAAAAGAAAGATGTTTAACTGGACTTACAGTTCCACATGGCTAGGGAAGCCTCATAATCATGGTGAAAGGCAAGGAGGAGTAAGTCACATCTTACATGGATGGCAGCAGGCAAAGAGAGAATGAGAAAGATGCAAAAGCAGAAACCCCTAATAAAACCATCAGATCTCATGAGACTTACTACCATGAGAACAATGTGGGAGAAACTGCCTTATGATTCAATTTTCTCCCACCAGGTTCCTCCCACAACATGTGGGCATTATGGGAGTACAATTCAAGATGAGATTTGGGGGTGGGAACACAGAACCAAACCATATCAGTGGTCGAGGTGGGTGGATCACTTGAGGTCAGGAGTTCGAGACCAGTCTGGCCAACATGGTGAAACCATGTCTCTACTAAAAACACAAAAGTTAGCCAGGCGTGGTGGCACATGCCTGTAATCCCAGCTACTCAGGAGGCTGAGGCAAGAGAATTGGTTGAACCTGGGAGGCAGAAATTGCAATGAGCCCAGATCATACCACTGCACTCCATTCTGGGCACTAGAAGAAGACTCCGTATCAAAAAAAAAAAAAAAAAAAAAAAAAAAAGCATTTTATCAGAATAGACTGAATCATCCAGGTTGAATGGGGGCTAGGGAGATACCATTTACACCAACCCACCTTTCATTTCTTAGGGGAGATACCATTCATACCAACCCCCCTTTAGCTCTTACTGAACTCTTAAACTGGATCTAGAAACCAAGGAGACACCAGGTAGATTAACAAGATAAAATTATACAAATTGTGTTAGTTTTATATGTACATGGGGATCTTCACAAGAGAGTAAAGTCTGAAGAAGTGGCCAAAGTAAGATGCTCTTATATTTTTTCAGACAAAGAGCAATAAATTTGAGAAGAAATAATAAGACAAAGAAAAACTGGTTAGGATGCTAAAATTTTATAGGGGATTCTCCAGGAGATATATTGGGTGGGGTGGGGGAGAGGGTAAAGCAGGTGGAAGATAAAGGTTGCCTAATTAAATATGTTCATTCAGGTCCATTGCAGCCATCAACTCCAAGTCTTTGGTGATAAGGGCTATTTTTCACTCTGGTATGGAGAGGGTATCCCTCCCAGGAGAATCTTTATCATTTGCTGAATGCAGGAAGAAACGAATCGGTTTGCCCTTTCTGAAACTACAATTTATTCCAGTGTTTTCAACTCTAAATCATCAATATACTAATCTGGCAATATTTGGAGTGGCACATCTATCACCCCTTCATTGTCCAGTCTCTGTTCCCCATTACCTGGGCAATACAAGAGGAAGTTTGTGTCATTTATAGAAAATAACAAAGCAATATTTTTAGACATTCCTGGTCACATACATTACATTTCCTCAGTCTTGTTATCCTTCCCTAAAATATTTATTTTCCTACTTCCAAAACAGTAATTGTACACTAGTTACTACTCTCTTAAACTTCTTTACTTCATCCTTTCCCTAACTACATTTCCAATTCCTCTTCCACCACTTATTTTGCCCCACTCTTAACCCCATTATTCCTTCTGCTTCACTCAACAAATGTTTGTTGATTTTACTATTGTTTTAGGGTTGTCAGAATTAGCAAATAAAAATACCAGATGCTAGTTAAATTTGAATGTTATATAAAATAAGAAATGATGATTTTTTAGTATAAGTAAGCTTCACATATTGCATGGGACATACTTATACTAAATAAAATTCATTATCTGCATTTGAAATTTAACTGGGCATTGTGTATTTTAACTGACAACCCTATATACTTCTCCATTTATGTAATTTGAGATTTCTTTTTCTCCCTGAATTATCCAAGCAATTAAAAGAAGCATGCCCCTTTGTGGAATACACATTGTTTTACTTTCTTTTTAAATTATCATAATAAGACAATATAAACAGTCTTTAAATATGCTAACATCTGAATTTAAATATACAAACAGGACACTTTTTATGCCTGTGAAATTAAGATTCACACTTTGATTTTCTATACAAAGGCTAGGTCGGTAGGCCTCCCTGTGGCTATTTTATAAACATAATACTAACTCAACTCCAATTAAGATAAAAAGAATTATTTTGATAGAAATTCAGGCTAGATTTTAAAAGACTCGAAATCCATTATATGCTTCATCACTCTTACTTGAGGTGAACATAAAAGTCACTCTTGTGGCAACCCCAATGCCCATTCCATTTCATTCTGCCTAATTACCATACTTAGTATCAAACCCCAAGCTAAGTTACTGATACAGTATCTCAGTTATCTATTCCTGTGTAGCAAACCAGCCCAAAACTTAGTGGTTTAAAAGACCACTTATTTTATTTGCTCATAGTTCTACAATGTGAGCTAGATTTGGCTGAATAGTTGTTTTGCTGTCTGGCTGGTGGTCTATTGGATGGACATATTCAGGGAGTAAGATGGCTAGAGACTCAGCTTTGCTAGAATCCTGGGGCATCTGGTTTTCCCTCGCTCCATGTTCTTCTGGGTCTTTCTTTATGTGGCCTCTTTAACTGCTTGTTCTAGGTGGTCTCCTTAGTAGAAGAACTGGCCTTGATTTTTCATGGTTTTGAAGTGTGCAGAATTGGAAGCTAGTAAGTCTTCTTAAGGTACAGGCCAGAAACTTGTGCATAGGTCAGTGCTCCTTCCACCACATTCTGTTGATTAAAGTGAATCACAAGGCCAGCACAACTCAAAGAGAATACCTAGAAGTATAGCTAATTTGGAGCAATCAGTGTAACAGACAATCACATTCAGTTAAGTGTTGATCAAAAGGTAGCAACTTGAACAAGTTAATTTAATCAAGTTTGATTATACCATTAAATAAATATTTTCTGAATTTATTATTTTTTAATTTCTTAAGTAAATGAAATCGGGGACAGATGAAGAAACTTGTTCCAGTACATGAAACTATTAATGTGAATAGAGTCCTAGATTCTTGTTGAATATATATTAGTTTATTTATTTATTTATTTATTGTGGCATAAGTAACATACAGGCAATCACACAAATCTTATTTGCACAAATTCATGAACTTTTACATTTGTGTGTTATTGTATAAATACTACTTAGTTGAAAATGTAGAATATTTAAAGCACTCCAGAACACTTCCTGTGTACCTTCTTCCCCAGTTCCTTCCAACATAACCATTATGACATTTATAAACACAGATTAATTTTACTTGCTTTTGTCTAAGCTGTGGTTTCTGTTGGTAAATATTAATGAGTACTTGAAATGAATATGCATACTGCAGTTATTGATGTTATACTTCTATACAGATCAATCAGGTAAATTTGATTAATGTTTGTCAAATTATCAATATCCTCATTAATTTTTTTCTGCTTATTCTACCAGATATTTGGAAAAGCATATTAAAATGTCCAACTATGTCTGTACACTTGTCTATATCTCCCATAACTTCCATCAACCTCTGCTTTTTAAATGTTGAAGATGGGTTGTTAGGTTAATACACATGGTTTTGAGGTACTTTAGCTACTTATGTGCTGAATCTTTTATTCCCATCTTATTTATTTCATATCTACTATGTACAGTAAAGTGTGCTAAGAAAACCAATTTTGTGTTTCCATAATAAACATACAGTATCACCTAAAAAAAATCATGGAATAAAATCATAGTTGTACACCTTTCCTTAGCTGTTCAATTTAAGTAGAGTATAAAATTTCAAATACAGAATATGGTCTCTGAAGTCACTATATGAGTCATTTTGGAATTTTTTTTTCATTTTGGATGATTTTATTTGTACACCTGTGGCTAACCGTATGCACTAATCACAGGTGTTATATACCATATCCTCTCCAAACACATAGCCATTTCCAGTTTATTTAAACATCCCTCAGGTTCCCTACATGAACAGATGCCTAATTCCTCTATAGCATTCAGTTCAAGTGGAAGATACGTTCTTTTCAAGTAGTGAAATTAGATCTAAAAGTTAAGATTTTTTTTCTCGCACTTCTCTGACCACAATGTTGATGATAAGTCATCCACATGATTATCCTGTTTGAAATAATACACACCCCACTGAAGGGAATTTAGTTTTTCTTGCTATTTGTCTCAGCAAATATCCTTAGATGTTAATTCAATTAGACCTACACCATCCTCAAATAAGGAGAAAGTAGCTTGATAACTTTCAATAAAAATTTATATTTGACAATTTCTTGCTCTTCTTTTGCATCTTCATTTTTGTTCTCCAAAGATTTTCCTACAAAGTATTTATTTTACCAGAGAGGTTAAATAAGACAAATTGAGAAACTGCAAATAATTTGCTGAAAAGTTACTCTGATCAAGGTCCAAGTGAATATTGGATACATCTGATAGAAGCACTAAAAAATGTTTTGTCAATTTCCCTTTATTTAATTATGGAGGATACACATACACACACACACACACACACACACACAGCTTGTATAATCTTAATATTCTATTATTAAACAACTTATTTTTTATTTATATACTACACATACGTAGTTCAACATGATTTTCATCAAGTCAGCATGGAAAATATTTTTTAGAGGTGCTCAGTATAATTACATATAATGATTTAGAGTTTATTGTAGAGATCACATTTTACTCTTATGTAACTCGATCATTACAATTTGCTATTTTTAAGAGAATTAAAATGTAAAACCTCAAAATGCCATATGGTGCAAATTGTATAAGAAGACCATTGGCACCTTCACATTTTAAATGAATATATTTTATAATTTAAGAAAATTGTAATGATTTTGTAATAATTTGATACATTTTGATAAAATTTTACCCAAGTAAAAAGATGGCAGTTAGGCTGCCATTAAGAGATCTGCCATTATCCAACCTACATATCTAACTAGCCAAGTTGATGAGCATAAGCTAATCATTTAAACTCCATGAGCATAAGTATTCTCATGTGTAAGATGGTGGACTAAAACAAGCTAAACTTTTTGGTAATCATAAGAATAAAAATTTATTAGAAAAGCCATTAGGAGAAACTACCAAAAAACAAGATGTTTCTCATATTTGACTATAAGAAAATTTTTGTTTGTTTGTTTGTTTTGGGGAAAATCTAAACAAGAAAAACTAGGCGAATGAGCCAAACATTAAAGAAAAATGGAAGGTATTTAAAATGTAAAATTGGATGTATTTATGTATAGTTTAATTTCTAAGTTGTAGGACAAGAACAACTTGGTCTTTCAAAAAGAAAAACATGGATTAAAACGTACTTACATGGAAGCTCAGCACGACGATTTCAATCACAAATTGGGTTAATTAACTGGTTCCTGTGTAACTTTGTAAAGGTTAAGTGTAAGGAAAAAAGGAAAATGTAACTCGTAATTTAAAATTCATTTGCTCATTTATTCTTTTCTAGTTCTATGAAGTGAAATAATATATAGATGGAGAAAAAGTAGGCCACTGAAAAAGGGAGTTCCTTCCTTCTGTCTTCTCCCTGACGGACTATGAAAGTCTGACTTCTGCCTGGCAATTGGAGAAAGCAATTGCTTAAAAAGCTGTTAAGTACTACTTAGGAGTTAATTGATTCTGACAATGCAGTGACAACACTAGCGTTGTGCAGTGAAGAATAGCAGGGAGTCCAAGACCAGTCTGACTTCCGGTTGCCCCAGTGGCCCTAAGATTGAAGTTTTTGCCTACATCCAGAGTCCAGATTTCTGTGAAAACTGAGGAATGTTTTCTGACTTCCCTAAAAAGAGAGAAAGTAGGCAGGGTGTGGTGGCTCTCGTCTGTAATCCCAGCACTTTGAGAGGCCGAGGCGGGCGGATCACGAGGTCAGGAGATCGAGACCATCCTGACTAACACGGTGAAACCCCGTCTCTACTAAAAATACAAAAAAATTAGCCGGGTGTGGTGGCGGGCGCCTGTAGCCCCAGCGACTCGAGAGGCTGAGGCAGGAGAATCACTTGAACCCGGGAGGCGGAGCCTGCAATGAGCCAAGATGGCGCCACTGCACTCCAGCCTGGGAGACAGAGCGAGACTCTGTCTCAAAAGAAAAAAAGAGAGAGAGAGAGAAACTAAATCTATTTAGGTATGTTTAAGTCTGCTTGAATAACATCCTGTCCTGATTTGTACCAAATACATGTACTGAGGTTTTTGTTTGCTTGCTTTAATATGGGTACTACACATACAAAACCTAAATGCATGATTGTGAGATTTCAATTTAGTTTAACCACCTTTTATTAAAGACCAGATATGCTAGATAGGTTTCGTGTTGGAGTATAAAAAGAATAAGATATGGCTTCAGTGTTCAGTTTTTTATCATGCAGCATGCCTCCTAATTGTTTACATTCCTTTTGTAAACGACTTCTCTTACTTCAACATCTTTTTTAAACAGTTGAGTAGGTCCACCCAAACAGTTTAATTTCGTTTTGTACAAGTGTGTATAATACACAAACATGAATAATCATTATCAAATCAACTACTATGTGCTTGACACTCTGCTGGGCTTGTTTACATAAAAGAAAATCTTATTCGGTCATCAAAATTGTTTTCATGTTATACATGGGGATAGTGCTTAATCCAAGATGATTCAATTACAATGTAATAGAGACAGAGGCTTACCATCCCTGATGATGGCAGGTTGTATGCTCTACACTATTGTAGCTGGGCTGCAGATGATGGCCGACCATGGGATTTTAGCGTAATATAGTGTTCCTGAGCAACCCTAACATATTAAAACTTGAAGTGTGGTTTCAAATTTGCCTATGCTGTGTTCTTACTAGAAGACCTTGGACAAACCACTTAAACTTTATGTGTCTTCAATTTCTCAATTTTACGTAGGAATAGTTTACCTCATAGTGTTACTCTGATGATTACTTTAGTTAGCATATGTATAGTTAATATATGAAGAGGTCATACTGATAAATGCATCAAGTTAGCTATTATTATCACTAAGTAAGAACAACCTTTGACAGATTTTCAACCTGATTGTGAAGTGATTTCACAGAGTTCTTGAGACTAAATAATGCTATCTCCAAAAACATGCTTAGACTTGTATCTGACAGTAAATATCAGCTACTATTATAGTAATTGAATGTGATTAACACCACATATTCACCCATCGTATGTCTCATGTGCAAATCATTCTGTCCACACTCAAAAATGGAGAAATACAAACTTAGGAGATTTCTTTTTTGGTGATAAAACTGATCTAATTAATTTTATTAAATAGACTTAATCAAACAAATTCTAATTTTTAACCAAAGAGAGCATCATCTATGACAAATATATGAAGAAACAGTAAAATTCAAGGGGCAGATTTCTTCATCAGTAAATGGGGAATGTTGAATGGAATTATTTTTAAGGTCTGTTCAAATTCAACTGCCTCTTTCCTGATCAGCCTATTTTCTTTATTTGATCAGCCTATTTTATTTAAACAAACAACAATTATATTTCCAGAATGTTCATGCTGGAGATGCATATGGAGTGGATGGGTTGTAGGGATGAGGAAGTATGAGGTGACTTATCTTGAACTGTGTATGCATAGGAAACACAAACTAGGTTTCATGTAGATTGAACATTTATGAACAATTTATATTTATGGTTGTCTAAAACCCTTCAAGAACAGACCCTGGCACTGACAGTATAAAACTAAATAAGTCTTTGCTTACAATACGTTGTGTATATTCATGCTTTGAATTAAAAATATTTTATATTTTATAAAAATCTGTAACTATTGATTTATTCCTAAAATGGAAAGAGAATTGACAAGGAAGGGTGTAGGGAAATGATGTTATGCCACAATTCTTGCAATGATTTTTTTTAGATGTTATGGATAAGTCATTTAATTCTACTCTCCTCAATTTTTTCACTGTAAAATGCTAGAAATGTACAAATTTCTAATACCCATTCTACTCTATTTGTTCATATATCTATGCAATGTTTACTACTCATTTTGTTTTTATTAATAAGTTGGCAATTTTATATTTAATAAAGAAGCTAATTAAATATTACATATTTTCTTATGGGTTGTAAATAAAGCAATATGTTACAGATGCATTGTTTTATTGGTTACAAAAGAATTTATTCCTCCAAAGTGGTCCTTTGGTATACATTGTATAACACAGTGGTCTTTAAATGGGACATTTTCAATCATAGACCCAAGCTAAATTTTCATTTCCCTTTCACTGGAACTATGTTGCTATCTGCCATCTGTATTATAGCAGGCCAGAGATTGTTTATTTATAAGAATATAGCTTTAGATCCTTAGACCATATGATTGCATAAAATCTGTCTGTGTCTGAAGAGATCTTGAATATCCCAAGGAAATAACCATCTCTGCACACAGAATTTAAAGAGAGAGCCTGTATTTTCAGTTGCACATTCACTTTAATCTGAAAAGCATGTAGTACCTTGAAAACAATAGTAAGATAATACATCCTGGTAAATTAGAGCCAAAGAAAGAGCTTCTCCCTTTACTGGTGTGTTCTTACAGCCCACATGAGTGTGGCAGTAATATTTAACTTGTCAGTCAAGATGTTTGAGAAAATAATCATATTAATGAGTCTTAGGCAGGAATGAAAGGATATGCCTGGCATACTTGTTTATGAAATTTGCCAGACTCATTAAAAGTCAGTTACATCGTATTAGTAATAATGGACATGTTGCTATAAACACAAGAGCTTGGCCATTTCTAGTTGTAATTACCAGTGATAAATTTGACTAAATATAAAGCTATATAAACAATACAATCAAAACTTTTTTAAGAAACAGTAACAGAAAACATTTTGTTTAAAAATCTCCTTAAAATGCCAGAAATATATTTTCCTACCTATCAGACATAATATATATTGATAAAAAACTAGAAATAACACTCCTTGTCCATAATACAAAGACATGCAAAATTAACATCTTTAATGAAATAATAATTTATGGCCTTTAATCTGTATTAACAAAAAGCAAGTATTAAGGTTATTTTCTTCACTGGCCGTTTCAAAAATGTTGGTACATTCATCATGACTCTAAACATGCCTTATCAGCTATACAATGTAAGCCTCAGAAGCATTCCTTATTGTTCCCCCATAGACAGTTCTGTTTGTATGTACTGATATATAAAAACTCTTCCATGCATTATAGTCAGCTGAATTAAAGGTTCATTCATTTATTTAACAAATATTGATTGGGCAAGTAACAAACTTGAGGCATAAACATTGGATACAAGCACTGTAGCCATATCAGTAAATAACATAGACACATAACTTGGCCACTTGAAACCTACAGATAAGTAAATCAATGTTGAATGTGGAGAGAGAGCTAACATTTTGTACTCGCCTTTAACAGTTCCATTCAAACATCACAAATGTCATTTTCTTAAGAAGACATATTGGAAACACCAAAGCAGCTCAGTGCCTCCTGTTATACCTAATAATGGTCTATTTTCATATATACACACACACGTATATATAAATTATATATATATACACACGTATATATAAATTATATATATTTTTAAATTTTAATTAAATAATTGGGCTATTAGTTGTTTAATGTCTGTTTTCTAGCTAGAATGTAAGCTCTGTAAGAACAGAAACTGTTTCTTTTAATATTCTGCTATATCTCTAGTGCCTGGAGATTGATTTACACAAAAGTTAATGAGCATGATTTTATTTGATTCTACAAACAATAGCATAATATTTGCAGAGTCAAACTAACTAATACAAACATACCAGATTTCTTGATTAATAGCTTTTTCCATTCAGCACTCTGAATACATTTTTCTATTGCCTTCTGGCTTCCATGGTTTTTCTCCATGAGAAACCAGCTGTAAATTTTATTGAGGATTTCTTGTATGTGGTGAGTCACTTCTCTACTGACACTTTCTGGATTGTCCCTTTGTCTTTAAATAGCTTGACTATGAAGTATTTAGGTGTGGATCTCTTTGAATTGGTATTGCATAGACTTCATTGAGGTCCTCAGACATGTAGATTAAAATTTTTCATCAAATTTGAGAAATTTTAGGCTATGATTTCTCAACATCCCTTTAACCCTTTCTCTCTCTCTTTCCCTTCCGAGACTCCTGTTATGCATATATTGGTACTCTTGGTAGTTTTCCACATGTCTTTGAAGCTCTGTTCATGCTGGGTGTTGGGGCATGCCTTCAAAGCTCAGGCAGGCAATTTCCAATTCTGCCTATTCAATTACTTGCACAGAACCTCAGAATCAGCCAGAGGTAAGAGCTTAAGTTCTTCCAAGATCTTTCCTAGGTACACATATCATCCATATATCCACAGGGTATTAAAAATACTCTCTAGACATCCCTTTCTTGAGCTTGTTTTCCAGTTGTTTGGTTAGCTTCTTCTTTGCTCCAGCTTGCAGTGCTGCCCCCAGATCTATTCTTTCCACTTGCTTCTATATTATTTCTTCAGGGTGGATTTTGAGGGTGAGAGGTAGCAGCCCGTATTAGTTTGCCACCATGTTGAAAGAAATCAGGTGCTCCCTCATATGTAAAATATGACAAGAAAAACGTGTGGAGAATTAATTGTACAATAAGAAAGCAATATGGAAAAAATGGTTAGGGAGACTATGACAGTGAGAAATGATGAGAGAAATGATGATGGTTTGGAAGTCAGTGGATCTGGTTATAATTTGTAGGTAAAGCACATGGGCTTGTAATGGAAAGTGTGTTGTGTTTGTGAGTGTTTAATCAATATAAAGTGTGAGGTGTGCAGCCAAACAACTGGTGGATGGTCATGCCATTTACTGAGATAGAATGAGGGATAGAAGGAAGGGAGTCAATGTATTTTAAGCACATTAAGTTTTAATCCAATTTACTCTCCAGATGCAAATGTTAAGTAGGATATATAAGTCTAGAATTCAGGGAAGGGATGCATATGGGGAACCATCATTAAATAGATAATAAAGAAAAGCATGGGATTAGGTGAGGTCACTTGTTGGAAGAATGCTGACATTAAAGAAAATGATCCAAGGTCTGAAATCTAGGTTACTTCAAAATGTAAACATTGGGCAAGGCGCGGTGGCTCACGCCTGTAATCTCAGCACTTTGGGAGGCTGAGGCAGGCGGATCACGAGGTCAAGAGATCAAGACCATCCTGGCCAACATGGCGAAACGCTGTCTCTACTAAAAATACAAAAATTAGCTTGGCATGGTTGCAGGCACCTGTATTCCCAGCTACTCAGGAGGCAGAGGTAGAAGAATCGCTTGAACCCGAGAAGCGGAGGTTGCAGTGAGCCGAGATCACACCACTGTACTCCAGCCTGGGCGAGGGAGAGACTCCGTCTCAAAAAAAAAAAAAAAAAAAGTAGTAAACATTGGGTAAAGGAAAAAGATAAGCAATAAAGGATGAAATATATGATGACTATAATACCAAGAAATGCATAGTCTCATTAAAGCCAGAGAAATTTAGTCTTTTAACCCAACTGGAATGAACTGAAGTAATAATGAGCATTGAGAAAGCAGAGATTGAAGAATAAAGAAAACCTTTGGAGGAATTATTGTAATGTAAAGTGGATGCTAGAAACGGAAAGTTAACATGGAGTAAAGATAGCTTTTATAAAGTGAGAGATAGTAAAGCAGGTGGGTGTGTGTGGGGGTGGGTGAGTGTTTGTGTATTGATATCAACAATCCGAGAGAGAAAAAAAATAGATGGTGTCAAGTAAATAGTCACAAAAATGAAGTCTAGAGTAGGTGAAAGGTGAGTAGAATCCACTCCTTCTCCCTATTAGTTCTAGTCAGACTAATCACCAAACACTTGCAGATGTATATATTTTTTTAAAAACTTGCAAGCAGATCTGGGTACATAGAAAGTACTTTGCTGTCTCTGCAAAAGTTACTTTGTAAATGTATTCCATGGTCTGTGTTGTATACTGTTATGAGGAGTGAGGATAATTTATTTCTAAGAGAATCAGCAATCGAGTAGCTCTAAATTCTTTCAAGTTCAAAGGTGTATATGACAAATTCCAACCAGGAAAACCAATACCACTTGAGATTTTTCACACTGATGGACTTTAATTTAAAACATTTGTTTCATGGCAATGGAAAATTAAAAAGCCAAACGGGATGTTAAGGGAATCTAGAAATTAGCAACAACAGAAAGTTATAACCATTCCTAGGCTGTTTGAAGAATTTGGTTTCAGCAGAGTGCAGAGGGGGCCAGTGGAAGCAGGAGATGTGTGGGAAGCAATTTTTGCAGAAATGACCCAGAAACAGAGAGGGAAGGAAAAATATCCTTCCTTCTTTCTTTTTTTTAACCTATAATCTTCTGCCAAAGCCTCTTATTGTCAAACTTTGCCAGAAACCAGAGAATAAGGGAGCCTAACATAGCACCCTCCATAAACAGAGTTCAATGTATGGGTAGGAATGCAGCTCAGAACAAATCAATAGTTGATTAGAATAGACAGTATTAATCTTTCATACTGATGAAAGATCAAAACAGTTGCAATTGCAAGAAATAGTGCAAGAAATTAATGCAACTGTATTCACAGATAAAAATAAAAATGATAAATTTTCCAGTAGAAAAAGTAAGACAACCATGATAATGTTTACTAAAAATGCATCTTCTTAAGTAAAATAATATATGTTACATGAGATTAGAAACTTTCTATTCTATGCTGTATCACTACAATCTAGGACAGTATCAGGAATATAATAACCATTATACAAATTTATTTGTTGTACAAATAAATAGATTGGAATGTTTCTAAAGTATTCAAAGCTGGCCAGATGTGGTGGCTCATGCCTGTAATCCCAGCACTTTGGGAGGCCAAGGTGGGTGGATCACGAGGTCAGGAGATTGAGACCATCCTTGCCAACATGGTGAAACCCCGTCTCTACTAAAATACAAAAAAAAAAAATTAGCCAGGCGTGGTGGTGCACGTCTGTAGTCCCAGCTACTTGGGAGGCTGAGGCAGGGGAATCACTTGAACCCAGGAGACGGAGGTTGCAGTGAGCCGAGACTGCGCCACTGCACTCCAGCCTGACAGCAGAGTGAGATTCCGTCTCAAAAAAAAAAAAAAAAAAAAAAAAAAAACACTGAAAACTATATTTGTAAACTTAAGATATCTTGAAAATGTGTATTTGTGACCTAAAAATGGGACTGATACTAGAACACATAACTATCTTCTTGTAACAAAACTTTTATTGATATAGTTGGTATCAGAAGAATGACATTAGAAAGGAAATGATCAAGTAAACAAAAAATAAGAATAAGTGTAATGAAAATATCTTACCTGTATAAAAAGCTCTGTGTGTAAGTATCTTAATTCCTTTGTGCACTAGTAACTATTGCAGTTTCTGGATGACATTGACCAGCCGGATATTCTGATCTACAGGAACATGGGGATATTTTTTATGGGCTAAGATTTAGTGCATCTCAAATTTTTGTTAACACAAATTTTTCTTTTAGAGTAATATTTTAGAATCAGACTTTCCTTTACCTCTGTTGACATAAGGCTTTGACACTAGTACACACATAATTTGTAATATTTTGTTAAATAACATTAACATTTTATTTGCTACTTCTATTCTAAAGTGATAATTATGTAATTTTTGTAGTCAATTTTTGTTGAGTCAAAACTGTGATTCCAAAATTAATATAATACTATACATGTAGTAGCTTCTCTAAACATATTTGTTGAGAATATCACTCTAAGTTTTGATTAACATCCTGAGTTAGTGTATCACTGTAAAAAAATGTACATTATCTATATACTTATTTCTACTCTATTAAAACTGAATTATGTGCATTTTAATTTAAAACTATACTGATATTTAATTTCCACTCTTGTCGATAAAACCATAAGAAGCCATCATTACCCAGGATATATTTTCTATGGGATTTACTTCATTACCGTGTTTATCTTGTTCAGATGAATTATTTGACATACAAATATTGAATTTAAAAAATATGACAAGTGTCAGTCTATACACTGCAAATGAGTTTGACCTTCATTTGGATTTCTTGTCTGCCAAAGTAAATAAATGAGGTCAGTTAATAGGCAATTTGAATTATTCTTATAGAAATGTATATACATAGGGTATGATATGTCCATAAAACATCCTAGGATAGTTAATTATAAGAATCTTTTAAATCAAGAATCAATCTTTTGCATTTATAAGTTCTTTGACCTTATCAAAGCTCTGGCATATAGGAAGCACTAAATCAATAGTTATTGAATAAGTAAAATATTCATTAATTTCATTTTCATATCAAGCTTGACAAATGCAATGGGATAAAAAAATCAAACATATTTTCAAGCATCTTCATAAATGACAGCACAATAGCATGATAAAGTTTGAAATATGTGAAGATTTCTTCTATGTTATATATTTGTCATGATTGATTAACTTGAAGATTTGTGTTACAAACTATTAATTTCATTTAAAGCATATTATTTCATTTTATGGTGCCAATTTCCTGTTGTGAATTATTTTTGCTTTTGACATAATTACCTGGTTATTTTGGCATTGTGTAAGTGTAGGTCTTTCTTTGCCAGCCAAGTTCCCTTTCTTTGCCAGGAAAGGCATGGGACCACTTCAGGGGAAGAAATGGGAACAGCTGTCCTATCTAGCGTTAGTGCCAACTTGAGTCTTTTTAGGCCAGTTCAGGCCAGTGACACTCTAGGAAGCTCATGCACCAAACTGGAAAAGTTTATTGGTCTTCTTATTAACAATTTTTGAGGAAAATGTATTATGTATACAAAATCTTCCTGCTTTTTTCATACTAAGCTTCATAGAAGTTAACTGAAAATTTACAGTAAGGGGGAGATTGCTGTCAGCAAAATGGATTTTATTCTCTATGCCAGACTAGTAGAGCTATTTCTACACAGCAGTTTTCTCTTCTGAAGCTGAACAGCAGCAAGGTGAGTAATTATTAGAAGCACAGCAAGTTCCTGGATGCAGCCAGCTTGGTGAAGAGCATATTCTAAGACATGTGAATGCATGTAGGGAGAAAAAAGGATTTCCAAAGCAAGCAGATATCTTTGAAGAGTTTATACCCCTAAAGTAATCCCAAAGGAACAATTTTAGCTGCTTGATTCTCTTTGTAAAGTGCAATATGACCTGATCTAGACTATATGATATTATGATAGCTATTTATTCAAAGGGATGGCCACATGTACAGTCCCAAGTTCCAGACAGAATATTTTTCTAGTTATGCACAGAACATTAGCTTAAAGTAGAGCCATAATCAGAACTTTGTTTCTGAATTACAGTTAAGAGAAAAATTTATTAAAAAGCATGCATCATTTGCACAGAAATTTTCTCCACTTTTCTTAAAAAGCATTTACCAATTCATTAATTTTTCCTTTCTTTTCTGGCTCCAAATGGCCATCTCTCAGCTATGTGCTGATGGAAAGGCAACCTTAGATGGTGAGGTTTATAGAGAGAATGATCTGTTTCAATGTACATTATACATGAAGACTGAAGAATAGGGTTGCTTAAGGACTAAACCTTATTTGCCCTCAAGCATTTAGGTTATAGAAATATTTATTGTAGTTACCAACAAGAAACTGGACTATAAGGTGCACAGTGCTTTCTAAAGCATAACTATTTGTGGTCAGAGTGATTTATTTATTTTCATTTCATATTTACCTTTCAGATGCCTTGGTCATGGGGGGCTTATTCCTTTTATAGGTCATGCATTTTAATTGTCATTTACACCTTGGCATTAGCACATCGATTTAGACTGTTAGTTTTTACATCATACTTGACCTTCAGGACATAGATGAATTACTTTTGAAGTTACAGAATGCCTAAAAAAGAGATGTACATTTTTCTGTATAATAACTCAAAGAAATAGTTTGATTGAGGAACATCATTAGCGAGACTAAAAAAAAAATACAGAGACAAATATGACACTACATTTTCCTGATGCCATTAGTATTTATTTCATAATTTCATTTTCTAATCTTTTGCCTCACTGCCCTCTCCTGGGATTAGGGCTGCAAAATCAAAAGACTGATTTATTTGCACTATAATGTGAACTTTGTAAGAAAACCTTTAGGGAATAGACCGGCAGTGGACTGATGATGGGTCATTCACTAGAATATAGAATATTCTGTAAAGAGATAAAATAATATTACAAGCAAAAACATTAACTTTTGCCTCAAACTATATTCTAAAATTATTCAACTCAGGACAAAACAAATTGCAAAGGAACATTCTGGAAGTACTGATCAGAGACAGTGAGTAGAACGTGGGTGTGTGTGTGTGTGTGTCTTCTGGGTAGGCATATTTGTAACAACATCGAAGATGCTGCTGAGATTCACTTAACTAATGACTGAAGGTCAATGTTGCTCCACTGTTTTTAAAAATCTGAAAAAAATTTATGAGTCCAGAGTTATATACCAAAAAAGAATATATTAGAATTTTGCATTTATAGAAAGGATAACATAAAGGCTCTGATATGGTTTGGCTATTTCCCCATCCAAATCTTATCTTGAATTGTAGTTCCCATAATCCCCATGTGTCATGAGAGGGACCTGATGGGAGGTAATTGAATCATGAGGGCGGTTACCCCCATGCTGCTGTTCTTATGATAGTGAGACAGTTGTCACAGGATCTGATGGTTTTATAAGGGGTTTTTTCCTCTTTGCTTTGCACTTCTCCTCCTTGCCATCATGTGAAGAAGGATATGTTTGCTTCTCCTTCTGCCATGATTGTAAGTTTCCTGAGAGCTCTCCAGCCATGCAGAACCATGAGTCAATTAAAACTCTATTAGGAAGTACCCAGTCTCGGGCGGTAATTTATAGCAGTGTGAGAATGAATCAATACAGTAAATTGGTACCACAGAGAGTGGGGTGCTGCTATAAGGACACCAGAAAATGTGTAAGCAACTTTGGAACTGGGTAACAGGCAGAGGTTGCAAAAGTTTGGAAGCTCAGAAGAAGACAGGAAAATGTGGGAAAAATTGGAACTTCCTAGAGCCTTGCTGAATAGCTTTGACCAAATTGCTGATAGTGACATGAACAATTAAGTCCAAGCTTTGGTGGTCTCAGAGGAAGACAGGGAACTTGTTGGAAACTGCAGTAAAGATCATTCTTGCAATGCAAAGAGACTGGCGGTATTTTGCCTCTGCCCTAGAGATTTGTGGAACTTTGAACTTGAGAGAGATAATTTAGGGTATCTGGAGAAATTTCTAAGTGGTAAAGTGTTCAAGAGGAAGCAGAGGATAAAAATTTGAAAAGTTTGCGGCCCAATGATGTGATAGAAAAGAAAAACCCATTTTCTGGGGAGAAATTCAAGCCAACTGCAGAAATGCACATAAGTAATGAGGAGCCAAATTTTAATCACCAAGACAATGGTTAAAATGTCTCCAAGGCATGTCAGAGACCTTTGTGGCAACCCCCCCCATCATAGGCCTAGAGGCCTAGGAGGAAAAAATAGTTTCCTGGGCCAGGCTTAGGACCTTGCTGCTTTGTGCAGTCTTGGGAATTGGTGCCCTAAGTCCCAGCCATGACTAAAAGGGGCTAACATACATCTCAGTCCGTGGCTTCAGAGGGTGGAAGTCCCAAGCCTTGGTGGCCTCCATGTGGTGTTGAGCCTGTGTCAGCACACAAGTCAAGAATTGAGGTTTGGGAACCTCCACCTAGATTTCAGAAGATGTATAGAAACACCAGGATGTCCAGTCAGAAGTTTTCTGCAGGGGTGGAGCCCTCATGGAGAACCTCTACTAGGGCAGAGTGGAAGGGACATGTGGGGTTAGAGCCCCCAGACAGAGTCCCCACTGGAGAACTGCCTAGTGGAGCTGGGAGAAGAGGGCCACCATCCTCGAGACCCCAGAATTGTAGATCCATTGACAGCTTGCACTGTGTACCTGGAAAAGCCACAGACAGTGCCAGCCCATGATAGCAGCCAGAGTGAGGCTGTACCCTGCAAAGCCACAGAGGCAGAGCTGCCCAAGGCTATGGGAGCTGACCTCTTGCATTAGTATGACCTGGATGTGAGACATGGAGTCAAAGGAGATCATTTCAGAGCTTTAAGATTTAACTGCCCTGCTGGATTTCAGACTTGCATGGGGCCTGTAACCCCTTTGTTTTGGCCAATTTCTCCCATTTGGAATGGGTATATTTATTTAGTGCCTGTACCCCCCATTGTATCTAGGAAGTAACTAACTTGCTTTTGATATTACAGGCTGATAGGCGGAAGAGACATGCCTTGTCTCAGATGAGATTTTGGACCTGGACTTTTGGGTTAATATTGGAATGAGTTAAGACTTTAGGGGACTGGCTGGGCACGGTGGCTCACGCCTGTAATCCCAGCACTTTGGGAGGCCGAGGCGGGTGGATCATGAGGTCAGGAGATCGAGACCATCCTGGCTAACACAGTGAAACCCCGTCTCTACTAAAAATACAAAAAATTAGCCAGGCGCGGTGGCAGGCGCCTGTAGTCCCAGCTACTCGGGAGGCTGAGGTAGGAGAATGGTGTGAACACGGGAGGTGGAGCTTGCAGTGAGCCAAGATAGCGCCACCGCACTCCAGCCTCGGTGAAAGAGCGAGACTCCGTCTCAAAAAAAAAAAAAAAAAAAAAAAGACTTTAGGGTACTGTTGGTAAATATTGTAACACACTGAAACAAGGTAAAAAGAGAAGCATTGCCTTTAAATAATGATCTATTTGTTATCTGTCTTCTATCTATCTATCGCCTCTATAAAGTATTTTACAGCACAGTTTTCTAAAAATTTTTTTGTTAGAGATTACATTTGAAATTAGCTTACTTAAAACATCTGAGATGCATCATGACAACTATTTATAAGTAAATCCATATATATAAATATCAATACAATTTTTATATACAAATATTTTCATTTTAAATATTACTTTTTTTGATTTAAAAATCTTTGACATACTCTGCAGCAGTTGTTCTCAACCTGTTTTCATAACTGTCCATAAGAAGACATTAGATACACTAAAAAGAAATATTAAACACTGAAGAATCACAGTTTATCTGTAGGTTTGAGCTCTGGAGGGCTAAAACCATTATAATATCTATTTATTTTTATTTCATTTCATTTCTCTTCTTTTTTTTTTTTTTTTTTTTCTCCTTGATATGGTTTGGCTGTCTCCCCACCCAAATCTCATCTTGAATTGCAGTTCCTACAATTCTCACTTGTCATGAGAGGGACTCAGTGGCAGGTAAGTGAATAATGGTGGCAGGTCTTTCCTATACTGTTCTCATGATAGTGAAGAAGTCTCATGAGATCTGATGCTTTTTTTTTTCTTTTTTTGAGACAGAGTTTCACTCTTGTTGTCCAGGCTGGAGTGCAATGGCATGATCTCAGCTCACTGCAACCTCCACCTCCCAGGTTCAAGTGATTCTCCTGACTCAGTCTCCTGAGTAGCTGGGATTACAGGCACCTGCCACTACGCCCAGATAATTTTTGGTATTTTTAGTAGAGATGGCATTTCACCATGTTGGCCAGGCTGGTCTCGAACTCCTGACCTCAGGTGAGCCACCCGCCTCAGCTTCCCAAAATGGTGGGATTACAGGAGTGAGCCATCATGCCTGGCCAATCTGATGCTTTTATAAGGGGAGTTCCCCTGCACAAGTTCTCTCTTACATACACTATGGAAGATGTTCCTTTGCTGTTCCTTCGTATTCGCTGTGATTGTGAGGCCTCCTCAGCCATGTGGAACTGGGAGTCCATTAAATCTCTTTCCTTTTTAAATTATCCAGCCTCAGGTATGTCTTTATCAGCAGTATGAGAACAGACTAATACACTGCCTCATCCCTAGACCAACTATTCACCCTTGGGTCAATATCTCCCCATTAAAAATCCCTGTTCTATAGTGATCATAACATTTCCATTGCTTCTATTTTTCTATTTTTCTATTTCCACAACTAGTTTTCTCAGGCTTCACATTTTCTTTTCAATTCAAAATGATTATAACTGATTGACTTACAATTGCTTTTGTTACTTTTATTTTCAAAGACTAATTTTAATGAAATTAAAATAAAAATTAAAGTGTTTTTATGTTATTTAATGTTTATTTTACTGAATTCAAAAGCTATTTTCGAAATGAGTTTTGATTTAGCCACCTCAAAGTTCTCAAGAATAAAAGCATAGATAGATAGATAGATAGATAGATAGATAGATAGATAGATAGATAGACTGTATATATGTGTGTGTGTATAAGAATATTACAGATTTTAAAAAAAAGCTTCTGCTTTATTGCATTGCTTCTATCCCTCTAAACTCATTTTCCCCTTTAAATTGCATGAATATACAGTCTAAAATAACACATAATATATTCTTGTCAATGAATATAATCAGGGTTGATTTCCTCAGTACTGTTGCCCCCATCTGTGTTCTTATTAGTATTTATTTTCTTTTCTAACACAAATTATTTCAAGAAAGGGAATTTTTTTTTATATATTTTCAAACAAATTACACTTGTAAATGAAAAACAAATCCTCAAGGAGTTCTGACTTCAAAGTGTCTAAAGGCCAAAACTGGTTATTGGATTACTGATTGTATCTAAAAAATAACTGCTACATATACAAATGGTTTAAAAGCAAATATATTTTTTAAAAGATACAACTTGCTGGATCTGGCTTTATTTAAAAAATCATTTCCTCTAAGTGTATTGACATACAAATATGAAAGAATTAATAGTTCTTAAGACTTTTAAAATAACTAACCAATACAAATTTTAGCCTTATTTTCTATCATTACAAAATTTACAATCCATAAAATGTTATGGATATTTTTAAGGGAAAGAAGGATTTAAAATTAGAACAAGTCCTTTATTTAGGGCACACTGCTTATAATATGTAGTCCCAATAAGTGATACAGTAATATTTTTCTCTAAATTTAAGAATGACAGCTAATTCCTTAAAATACTTAGTAATATACACAACTGTGATGCTGATTAAGTAGTCTAAAACTCTTTATAAGTTTATCTGTTTAGAAACTGGAATTGAAACATTGGCTTAATTGTATCTTATAATTAGCTGATTAAAGACATGGATAATTTACAAGAAGCTGTATAAAAAAGCAATTGTTTTATAAAGTCTTCACATTTAGTTTTATTAAAAATGTGATCTTATCATGACATTGTTAGGAGACAGCTCTTTATGGCTCTGTCACATTTCTGCATATCTTTTTCTGGACTGATCACCCTTCTCTAGACTATCTCAGCAAAGATGTTTGTAGAAAAAATGACCTTGAAAGATGAAGATCGTGCCCCTCCCCATGGACATGCACATCCTGAGCTAATGGCAGTTTCCTTTAGTTTTCATTTTCTGCCAGCCTTTATAATACTTTTTACATTATAAGTAGTTCTTGATAGTCACCTCCCTGCTTAAATGTTGTGACGGTTAATACTGAGTGTCAACTTCATTGGATTGAAGGATGCACAGTATTTATCCTGGGTGTGTCTGTGAGGGTGTTGCCAAAGGAGATTAACATTTGAGTCAGCGAGCTGGGAAAGGCAGACCTACCCTTAATCTGGGTGGGTGCCATCTAATCAGCTGCCACCATGGTCAGTATATAAAGCAGGCAGAAAAATGGGAAAAGGCTAGACGGGCTTATCTTCCCAGCCTACATCTTTCCCCCATGATAGATGCTTCCTGCCATGGAACATCAGATTCCAAGTTCTTCAGCTTTGGGACACAGACTGAATTCCTTGCCTCTCAGCTTGCAGATGGCCTATTGTGGCACGTTGTGATTGTGTGAGTTAATACTGTTTAAAAAATTTATATATATATGTATATATATGTATATATATATTTTATTAGTTCTGTCCCACTACAGAACCCTGACTAATACAGATTTTGGTACCAGGAGTTGGCTGCTTAATATGATTAGACCCCAAAATGCTAAAGACTCTACTTCTAATACCATGGAGAACACTGATAGTCCTTGGTGTCAGCTATTTAGAGAGTTATGCAGAATAAATACATTTAATACTCTTGATTCACCACTTGTGACAGGCAAGGAACTTAGTAACTATACATAATACCTTTGACATATGTGGAGAACAAAGGGACATAACAAAGTTGGTTGGTTGGTCCTAAGTTCACTGGACAAAGTGATGAAAGAAAATGGTGAACTCAGGGATTGCAACTCCCAGCTTCAGAAGTAGATATTGAGCCTCAAATCTGGTAATATTGCCCTGAGTGAGAGTCTTATCTCCTGTAGAGAAAGAGCTGAAATTGTGGAAAAATAGACACAAGTTCTTATCATGTGAGTGGCTGACCTGCAACAAAAGGTGCATGCACAGCCTCGCCAGGTGTCTACGTGAAAGTGAGGGCATTGATTGGAAAAGAATGGGACCCTGCTACTTGGAATGGGGATATGTGTGAGGACCCTGATGAAGCTGCAAACACTGAGCTTGTAAACGTTGATGAACCTTTTTTGCCAGAAAAACAGCTTCCCCCTCCCTAGTAGTGGCAACATTCCCTTCCCAACCCATGCTGCAATCAGTTTTTCCACCTTTTTCTGAAGAGATAAACCCTGCACTGCCCGAGGCAACAGTGATGGTCTCCCCTGAGGCAGTTGTCAGGCTGATAATGTTGTTTCTCCTTAGGAACCACCCACAACACACCTGTTTGCTTCTAGACCTATAACTAAAGTCTCAGCAGGCCCCTAGAGGTGAGGTTGAGTGTGACCCATGAAGAGGTACCCTACACTCAAAAAGAACTGCTTGAATTTTCTAATTTATATAAGCAGAAATCTGGAAAGCAGACATGGGAATGGATATTAAGCATGTGGGATAATGGTGGAAGGAACATAGAGTTGGATCAGGGTGAATTTATTGATTTGGACCTGCTAATACAGATTCTGCATTTAATGTTGCAGCTCAGGGAGTTAAGGTTCTTCTAGTTTATTTGCTTGATTAGCTGAAATATAGATTAAAAGATGACTCACTGTGAGTGAGCTGGAAATGCCTCATCTCCCCTGGTTTAATGTAAAAGAAGGGATCTGAAGGCTTAGGGAGATTGGGAGGGTAGAGTGGATTAGTCACTTTAGACCTACTCATCCCAACTGGGAGGGGCCAGAAGATATAACCTTGACCAATGTTTTGCAAAATAGATTTGCAAGGGCAGTACCTGCGTCTTTGAAGAGCCCCGTAATTGCTTTTCTCTGTATGTCAGATACAACAGTGGGAACTGCTGACACTCAACTACAAAACTTAAACATAATGGAAGTAATTGGATCCTGAGGTGGTAGGGGCCAAGTGGTGGCACTCAACCATCAAAGGCAAGGTGGACGTAGCTACCATAATGGACAGCAGAGGCAAAGCAATCAGAATAATTTGATTCATATAGAGCTCTGGCATTGGCTAATCACAGTGTTTTTAGAAGTGAAATTGATAGGAAGCCTACTGCCTTTCTACTTAATTTATATAAGCAAAAAACTTCCAGGTCGAATGGACAAAAGACTAATTTGAATTATAAAAACAGACAATCATGATCCGTCAATCAATTTCCAGACTTAAGCCAGTTTACAGACCTGGAACCCCTCGAATAAAGGGGTGGCTCAGTCCCCTTGAGAAAGGACCCCACTACACTACAGACAATTTATGCTATTAATCTTTCTCCCATCCTTCTCCAAGGAGACTTCTGGCCTTTTACCAGGGTAACTGTGCATTGGAAAAATGGAAACAATCAGACATGTCCAGTAGTCCACTGGTTCTGAACTGATGTTGATTCCAGGGGACCCAAAACGTCATTTTGGTACTCTAGTTAAAGTATGATGCCATTCTAGCTGCCTCTACCTAGAAAAATAGTAAATCAAAAACAATGTCGCATCCCTGGAGGGATTGCAGACATTAGTGCCACCATCAAGGACTTGAAAGACACAGGGATGGTGATTCTCACTACATCCCCATTCAACTCTCTTATTTAGCCTGTGCAGAAGACAGGTAGATCTTGGAGAATGATGGTGTATTATCATAAACTTAACCAAGTGGTGACTCCAATTGCAGTGCTGTACCAGATGTGGTTTCATTGCTTGAGCAAATTAACATGTCTCTTGGTACCTGGTATGTAGCCATTAATTTGGCAAATGCCTTTTTTTCCATTTCTGTCCATAAGGCCCACCAGAAGCAATTTGCCTTCAGCTGGCAAGGCCAGCAGTACACCTTTACTGTCCTACCTCAGGGTTATATCAACTCTGTAGCTTGGTGTCATAATCTTATTTGGAGAGACCTTGATCGCTTTTCACTTCCACAAGATATCACATTGGCCCATTACGTTGATGACATTATGCTGATTGGATCCAGTGAGCAAGAAGTAGCAAACACACTGGTCTTATTGGTGAGTCATTTGCATGCCAGAGGATGGGAAATAAATTTGACTAAAATTCAGAAACCTTCTACCTCAGTAAAATTTCTAGGGATCCAGTGGTGTGGGGCCTGTTGAGATATTCCTTCCAAGGTGAAGGATAACTTGCTTCATGTGGCCCCTCCTACAACCAAGAAAAAGGTACAATGTCTATTTGGATTTTGGAGGCAACATATTCTTTATTTTGGTGTGTTACTCCGGTCCATTTATCGAGTGACCCAAAAGGCTGCCAGTTTTGAGTGGGGTCCAGAGCAGGAGAAGGCTCTGCAACAGGTCCAGACTGCTGTAAAAGCTGCTCTGCCACTTGGGCCATATGACCCAGCAGATCCAATGGTGCTTGAGGTGTTAGTGGCAGATACGGATGTTGTTTGGACCCTTTGGCAGGCCCCCATTGGTGAATCACAGCAGAGGCCTCTAGTATTTTGGAGCAAGGCTCTTCCATCTTCTGCAGATAACTACTCTTCTTTTGAGACAGCTCTTGGCCTGTTACTGGGCTTTGGTGGAAGCTGAATATTTGGCTATGGGTCATCAAGTCACCATGCAACCTAATTGCCTATCATGAACTGGCTGTTTTCTGACCCATTTAGCTATAAAGTGGGTCATGTACAGCAGCATTTCATCATCAAATAGAAGTGGTATATATGTGATTGGGCTCGAGCATGTCCTGAAGGCCCAAGTAAGTTACACGAGGAAGTGGCTCAAATGCCCATGGTCTCCATTTCTGCCACCCTTCATTCACTTCCCCAGCCTGCACTGATGGCCTCATGAAGAGTTCCCTGTGATCAGTTGACAGAGGAACAGAAGACTAGGTCCTGGTTCACAGATGGTTCTGCACGATATGCAGGCACCACCCGAAAGTGGACAGCTGCAGCACTACAGCCCCTTTCTAGGACATTCCTGAAGGACAGCAGTGAAGGGAAATCTTCCCAGTGGGCAGAACATCGAGCAGTACACTTGGTTGTGCCCTTTGCTTGGAAGAGAAATGGCTAGATGTGCGATTATATACTCATTCATGGGCTATAGACAATGGTTTGGCTGGATGGTCAGGGATTTGGAAGAACCATGATTGGAAAATTGGTGACGAAGACATTTGAAGAACAGATATGTGGATAGACATCTCTGAGTGGTCAAAAACTGAAAATATTTGTACCCCATGTGAGTGCTCGCCAATGGGTGACCTCAGCAGAAGAGGAATTTAATAATAAAGTGGATGACCCATTCTGTGGACACAACTGAGTCTCTTTCCCCATCCACCCCTGTCATTGCCCAATGGTCCCATGAACAAAGTGGCCATGGTGGCAGGGATGAAGGTTATGCATGGGCTCAGCAAATGGACTTCCACTTACCAAGGCTGACCTGGCTATGGCCTCTGCTGAATGCCCAATTTTCCAGCAGCAGAGACTAACACTGAGCCCTCAATATGATATCATTTCTCGAGGTGATCAACCAGCTACCTGGTGGCAGGTTGATTATATTGGACCTCTTCTGTCATGGGAAGGGCAGAGATTTGTCTTCAAGGAATAGACACTTACTCCAGATATGCATTTGCCTATCTTGCACACAATGCTTCTGCCAAGACCACCATCCATGGACTCATGGAATGCCTTATCCACCATCATGGTATTCCACACAGCATTGTCTCTGACCAAGGCACTCACTTTATGGCTAAAGAAGTGCGGCAGTGGTCTCATGCTCATGGACTTCACTAGTCTTACCATGTTCCTGACCATCCTGAAGCAGCTGGATTGATAGAACAGTGGAATGGCCTTTTGACGTCACAATTACAATGCCAACTAGGTGACAATACTTTGCAGGGCTGGGGTGAAGTTCTCCAGAAAGCTGTGTATATTCTGAATCAGAGTCCAATATATGGTACTATTTCTCCCATAGCCAGGATCCCCAGGTCTAGGAATCAAGGGGTAGAAGTGGAAGTGGCACCACTCACCATCACCCTTAGTGATCCACTAGCAAAATTTTTGCTTCCTGTTCTCATGACATTACATTCTGCTGGCCTAGAGGTCTTAGTTCCAGAGGGAGGAATGCTGCCACCAGGAGACACAACAATGATTCCATTAAACTGGATGTTAAGATTGCCACCTGTACACTTTGGGGTCCTCCTACGTTTAAGTCAACAGGCTAAGAAGGGAGTTACAGTGTTGACTGGAGTGATTGACCTAGACTATAAAGATGAAATCAGTCTACTACTCCACAATGGAGGTAAGGAAGAGTATGCACTATGCATGGAATACACAAGATCCATTAGGGCGTCTCTTAGTACTACCATGCCCTGTGATTAAAATCAATGGTAAACTATAACAGTCCAATTTAGGCAGGAATACAAATGGCCCAGACCCTTCAGGAATGAAGGTTTGAGTCACTCCACCAGAAAAAAAACAAAAAAAAACAAAAAAAACATGATCTGCTGAGGTGCTTACTGAAGGCAAAGGGAATACAGAATGGGTAGTAAAGAAGGTAGTCATCAATACCAACTACGACCACGTAACCAGTTGCAGAAACGAGGACTGTAACTGTCATGAGTATTTCCCCCTTCTTTTGTTAAAAACATGTTTGTGCATGTGTACACTAGTTCTAAGAAAATATCTTCATTTTATTTCCTTTTTCCTTTATCATGTGACATAAGATTTATTTACTTCATATCAGCATTTAAGTATTGTTAACTTTATATAGCTTTTGGGTTGGGAGTTGGTGCGTTTCAAGTTGTACGAAGGATAGTTGTATTATGTTAGGCATAATTGTAACCTTATTATTGTCTTTATTTGAAGATTATATATGATCTTAGGAGATGTGTATGGGTTCAATTTGACAAGGGGTGAACTTGTGATGGTTAATATTGAGTGTCAACTTGGTTGAATTGAAGGATGCAAAGTATTGATCCTGGGTGTGTCTGTGTGGGTGTTGCCAAAAGGGATTAACATTTGAGTCGGTGGGCTGGGGAAGGCAGAGGCACCCTTAATCTGTGTGGACACAATCTAATCAGCTGCCAGCATGGCCAGGATATAAAGCAGGCGGAAAAACATGAAAAGGCTAGACTGGCTTAGACTCCCAGACTTCATCTTTCTCCAGTGCTGGATGCTTCTTGCCCTGGAACATCAGACTCTTAAGTTCTTCAGCTTTGGGACTCAGACTGACTTCCTTGCTCCTCTGCTTGCAGACGGCCTGGTGTGGGACCTTGTGATCATATGAGTTAATATTCCTTAATAAATTCCCCTTTATATGTATACCTATCCTATTAGTTCTGTTTCTCTAGCAAATCCTGACTAATACAAATGTTTTCTTTCTTTCCCTCTCGCTTTTCTTTTCTTTTCTTTCTTTCTTTCTTTCATCTTTCCCCTTCCTTCCATCCTTCCTTCCTTCTTTCTTTCTTTCTTTTCTTTTCTTTCTTTCTTTTCTTTTCTTTCTTTCTTTCTTTCTTTCTTTCTTTCTTTCTTCTTTCCCCTTCCTTCCTTCCGTCCTTCCTTCCTTCCTTCCTCCTTTCTTTCTTTCTCTCTCTCTCTTCTTTCTTTCTTTCTTTCTTTCTTTCTTTCTTTCTTTCTTTTTCTTTCTTTCTTTCTTCTTTCCCCTTCCTTCCTTCCGTCCTTCCTTCCTTCCTTCCTTCCTTCCTTCCTTCCTTCCTTCCTTCCTTCCTCCTTTCTTTCTCTCTCTCTCTCTCTCTCTCTCTTTCTTTCTTTCTTTCTTTCTTTCTTTCTTTCTTTCTTTCTTTCTTTCTTTCTTTCTTTCTTTCTTTCTCGGGTCTTGCTCTGTCACCCAAGGTGGAGAGCGGTGGCATCATCACAGCTTACTGCAGTCTCAACTTCACAGGCTCAAGCAATCCTCCTACCTCATTGTCCTGAGTAGCTGAGACTGCAGGCATGTGCCACCATGCCCCGCTAATTTTTGTATATTTTCTAGAGACGGGGTTTCTGCATGTTGCCCATGCTGGTCTGGAACTTTTTGGCTCAAGCAGTTCACCTGCCTCGGCCTCCCAAAGTGCTAGGATTACAGGCGTGCACCACTGTGCCTGGCCAACTTAAATGTTTTCAATGGTGGTACACTGCTTTTAGAATAAATATGAGAACATTCAAATAATCCATGGAATCTTCTATGTCCAAGGCTTCGCTTACCTCTTAAGCTCTATCTCCTCCACAATTTTCTCACATTCTCCTTGCAATAACACTGACCTTTCTTTTTATTCCTAATACTGGGAATTCATTTCCACGTCTCCTGTGCCCTGAAGGCTCTGAAAATCCCTTTTAACGTATTTAACATCTACTCATGCTTTAGTTTTTAGCACAGACACGACTCTTTCAAAGAAACTTTAGCTAAATCCCAAGGCACAAGCAGATATTTATGTTATACTACTGTATAACTTCTTCTAATATTCCTTACCATCGTTAATTACATTTTGAAATCAGATTTTTTTTTGTGATTTTTTAATGTTGTTTCACTTATTAGATTTTAAACTTCATGCAGGGAAGAACCAGAGTCCTTTGGGTGATAATTGCCATTCATAAGATGCCCAAAAGAATGTCACACATAAAACCTCACTTATACATAGTAGATAAAAATACATAATATTTATTGAGCATTTAATATGTCACAAGAACTTTTTTTTTGTTCGTTTTTGTTTTTGAGATGGAGTCTTGCTCTGTGATCTGGGCTGGAGTGCAAAGGAGCGATCTTGGCTCACTGCAACCTCCACCTCCCGGGTTCAAGTGATTCTCCTGCCTCAGCCTCCTGAGTAGCTGGGATTACAGGCGCATGCCACCACGCCCAGATAATTTTTGTATTTTTAGTGGAGACAGGATTTCACCACGTTGGTCAGGCTGGTCTCGAACTCCTGACCTGTGACAAGAACTTCTATAATTATGTAAGATACAGCAGTAACAAATCGTGGTTTGTAATGTCATGAACTTTATATTTTTTGCAGGAGAGAAAACACCGTAGAGTGATTAGACTTTCTGGTTCTGAGGCCACAGTGTCTGTTTATAGTCCTGGCTCTGCAACTGATAAACTGAAAGACCAAGATTTTAATAGCTTTCATTCTGACACAAAGTAAGCTACTCAATGAGTATCAGTTATTATATGTATTTCTAATGTGTGCAAAGTGCCTAAGCCATGGTAGGTAGGTGGCTATAAGCAGTTAAAATTCTTCCTGTTCTTCAACAAAAAAGTAATCATTGAGAAATTAACAGGAGAATTAAAACAACTGTCTACCCTTTCCCATGTGCCCTTTTTCTTTAGAGTTCACTCTGCTGAGGTCACTTCTTGCTTAGGATAAAATACTAAAATTATAAAAGTTGTCCCATGTCTTTTACTATCAAAAATCCTCCAAAAATTGTGGATAAACTCTTCTTTTTTTAATTTTTAGTAATTAAACTCCTGGGATCTAGGTTAAAAATTAAAGTTGGAAATTATTAAATAATTGTTATATAGAAGCTGATCAATCTAAGAACACTGAGTTGAAAAAGTATATATCCATACATTATTTTAAGCATCTGTGGCATTCTTAAAGCTAAGTATAAAAAGATGAACAAGCTTCTCATCCCCAATTTTTTCTTTCTGTCAAGAAAAGACTAGTTTTAAAATATGTCAGTATTTATATAGAAACAAAACTAGATTTACTACAAAATATGCACAATTTAGATAGTTCACGATGAGGTTTAAATGCTTCTGATAATTAAAAAATGCCATAGGTAAAGCACTTATGAGGATATACAATAGCAAGGAAGCCAAATGTAAAGTAAATTAAGGATGAGGTAGTCAAAAGGGTCGAGTTTTGCCGAATAAAGTTTGAAAGAAAATCATTGAAGAGGTGAGGTTAATTAAAAGTTAGTACCAAAAATCTATTTACCTAAACATGGGATGGAAAGAGTTCACTAAATGTAGGTAATAAGAAAAAGTGTGCAATCTACAACAGTAGCTAAATTAGAGAAGAACAAAGTTTATACTGGAAGTCAGGAAACAGGTTTTCTTCCTAGCTGTCTAACTAAATGGTAAAAAAAAAAAAAAAAAAAAAAGCAATTTTTGAGAAAACCTACTTCATAGCATTTTGTTCCATGAAACTAGAAAAGCAGAAATTTCTCTCAAACTCTTGTAGTCCATCTCCATGTGAAAGGTTTAAAGCAAAAGAAATGAAAATAACAATGTACTGTTGAATGTGAATTGGTGTTTCTAGGGGACTGGATTAGACCATCAATTTAGGTTTCAGATCAAAGAAGGCCTTTTTTCTACTTCAACCTCTTTCCTCATTAACCCAAGGTGAATATACTATAGGATCCCTACAATCCCTCAATATTTCCGAAACTGAAAAGTTCTTAGTATGCACAAACATTTTCCAAAGTTTGTGGCAAACTCATTCACTGTCATAAAACGACATACTCTAAATGTTCATAAGTTTTGGCAAATAATCACTATATATGATCTGATAATGTGTTAAACTAAGAGTCACTGGTCAAACTCCCACATTATTTGCCCTTACGATTTTGTAAGGGGTAGAGGCCCCAACTCCTCAGTATGTGCCATATATTCCTCTTAAAATATCAAAAACTCTGAAACCTGAAATTATTTTTTCTTGAATCTTCTCTCACCTGTGATGTTGAACTACACTGGTAACTTCAGTAAGAATGAGGCAGAGAGAGAAAAACTGCGTTGTTCCTTCTAAAGACTTAGTTATGAATAAACTTAATAGTCATGCTATGTGTATGGGGGGTGTGGGGAAGAAGGGAGAGTGACAGAAGATCATTCCTTGTAGGAATAGGCAATGACCCTTGCACTTCAGAAGAGAGAGAAATAAGAGATGGCATTAATTTTTTGTGTCTCTTTAAATTTCTATCCTTGATTATTATCAGTTTACAATCCTTCCTGTTGTGCAGGAGTAAAGAAATGAGTGCAAGAAAATGCCTTGAGAGCTTTCCTGCTTTGGATGCTAACACTAACTTAATATGTAGTTAAGATTCCAAGGCCCAGGGAAGTTAAATTTCCTGATGTCTTAAAGAGAAACTCTTCAAGTTTTGTGATAGTTTAATATCATGATACATAGAAAAACACTTTGAAAACATAAAGCTTTATAAAAATTAAAAGAATATGATTATTATTGTTGAAGAAAAATAGTTGCTTATTCAAATACGAGTCAAGATCCCTAATCTAAAAATCTGAAATGTTCCAAAATCTGAAATGTTTTGAGCACTGACATGACGCCACAAGTAGAAAATTCCACAGCTGATCTCACATGACAGGTTGCATTCAAAATGCAGGTGCACAACATACATTTTATTCAGTATATCCATGGGAAAACAGGCTCTCCTAGCCCCTTTTCTGCGCATGCCTAGATTCCCCCATGCAAGCACACCTACAAAGGGTCATAAAATGGCACATAAGCAGGCTACTTGTGCCAGTGGCAGGTTCTCCATGATCCTCCACATGAGGCCAAGACCTACATCTGTCACTCACTGCAGTTGTTGATTTTTTATTTATTTATTTATTTATTTTTATTTTTTTATTATACTTTAAGTTTTAGGGTACATGTGCACATTGTGCAGGTTAGTTACATATGTATACATGTGCCATGCTGGTGCGCTGCACCCACTAACTCATCATCTAGCATTAGGTATATCTCCCAATGCTATCCCTCCCCCCTCCCCCTACCCCACCACAGTCCCCAGAGTGTGATATGCCCCTTCCTGTGTCCATGTGATCTCATTGTTCAATTCCCACCTGTGAGTGAGAATATGCGGTGTTTGGTTTTTTGTTCTTGCGATAGTTTACTGAGAATGATGCTTTCCAATTTCATCCATGTCCCTACAAAGGACATGAACTCATCATTTTTTATGGCTGCATACTATTCCATGGTGTATATGTGCCACATTTTCTTAATCCAGTCTATCATTGTTGGGCATTTGTGTTGGTTCCAAGTCTTTGCTATTGTGAATAATGCCACAATAAACATACGTGTGCATGTGTCTTTATAGCAGCATGATTTATAGTCCTTTGGGTATATACCCAGTAATGGGATGGCTGGGTCAAATGGTATTTCTAGTTCTAGATCCCTGAGGAATTGCCATACTGACTTCCACTATGGTTGAACTAGTTTACAGTCCCACCAACAGTGTAAAAGTGTTCCTATTTCTCCACATCCTCTCCAGCACCTGTTGTTTCCTGACTTTTTAATGATTGCCATTCTAACTGGTGTGAGGTGGTATCTCATTGTGGTTTTGATTTGCATTTCTCTGATGGCCAGTGATGATGAGCATTTTTTCATGTGGTTTTTGGCTGCCTAAATGTCTTCTTTTGAGAAGTGTCTGTTCATGTCCTTCACCCACTTTTTGATGGGGTTGTTTGTTTTTTTCTTGTAAATCTGTTTGAGTTCATTGTAGATTCTGGATATTAGCCCTTTGTCAGATGAGTAAGTTGCAAAAATTTTCTCCCATTTTGTAGGTTGCCTGTTCACTCTGATGGTAGTTTCTTTTTCTGCACAGAAGCTCTTTAGTTTAATTAGATCCCATTTGTCAATTTTGGCTTTTGTTGCCATTGCTTTTGGTGTTTTAGACATGAAGTCCTTGCCCAAGCCTATGTCCTGAATGGTAATGCCTAGGTTTTCTTCTAGGGTTTTTATGGTTTTAGGTCTAACATTTAAGTCTTTAATCCATCTTGAATTGATTTTTGTATAAGGTGTAAGGAAGGGATCCAGTTTCAGCTTTCTACATATGGCTAGCCAGTTTTCCCAGCACCATTTATTAAATAGGGAATCCTTTCCCCATTGCTTGTTTTTCTCAGGTTTGTCAAAGATCAGATAGTTGTAGATAGGTGGCATTATTTCTAAGGGCTCTGTTCTGTTCCATTGATCTATATCTCTGTTTTGGTACCAGTACCATGCTGTTTTGGTTACTGTAGCCTTGTAGTATAGTTTGAAGTCAGGTAGTGTGATGCCTCCAGCTTTGTTCTTTTGGCTTAGGATTGACTTGGCGATGCAGGCTCTTTTTTGGTTCCATATGAACTTTAAAGTAGTTTTTTTCCAATTCTGTGAAGAAAGGCATTGGTAGCTTGATGGGGATGGCATTGAATCTGTAAATTACCTTGGGCAGTATGGCCATTTTCACGATATTGATTCTTCCTACCCATGAGCATGGAATGTTCTTCCATTTGTTTGTATCCTCTTTTATTTCATTGAGCAGTGGATTGTAGTTCTCCTTGAAGAGGTCCTTCACATCCCTTGTAAGTTGGATTCCTAGGTATTTTATTCTCTTTGAAGCAATTGTGAATGGGAGTTCACTCATGATTTGGCTCTCTGTTTGTCTGTTATTGGTGTATAGAAATGCTTGTGATTTTTGTGCATTGATTTTGTATCCTGAGACTTTGCTGAAGTTGCTTATCAGCTTAAGGAGATTTTGGGCTGAGACAATGGGGTTTTCTAGATATACAATCATGTCGTCTGCAAATAGGGACAATTTGATTTCCTCTTTTCCTAACTGAATACCCTTTATTTCCTTCTCCTGCCTAATTGCCCTGGCCAGAACTTCCAACACTATGTTGAAAAGGAGTGGTGAGAGAGGGCATCCTTGTCTTGTGCCAGTTTTCAAAGGGAATGCTTCCAGTTTTTGCCCATTCAGTATGATATTGGCTGTGGGTTTGTCATAGATAGCTCTTATTATTTTGAAATACATCCCATCAATACCTAATTTATTGAGAGTTTTTAGCATGAAGGGTTGTTGAATTTTGTCAAAGGCCTTCTCTGCATCTACTGAGATAATCATGTGGTTTTTGTCTTTGGCTCTGTTTATATGCTGGATTACATTTATTGATTTGCGTATATTGAACCAGCCTTGCATCCCAGGGATGAAGCCCACTTGATCTTGGTTGATAAGCTTTTTGATGTGCTGCTGGATTCATTTTGCCAGTATTTTATTGAGGATTTTTGCATCAATGTTCATCAAGGATATTGGTCTAAAATTCTCTTTTTTGGTTGTGTCTCTGCCCGGCTTTGGTATCAGAATGATGCTGGCCTCATAAAATGAGTTAGGGAGGATTCCCTCTTTTTCTATTGATTGGAATAGTTTCAGAAGGAATGGTACCAGTTCCTCCTTGTACCTCTGGTAGAATTCGGCTGTGAATCCATCTGGTCCTGGACTCTTTTTGGTTGGTAAGCTATTGATTATTGCCACAATTTCAGATCCTGTTATTGGTCTATTCAGAGATTCAACTTCTTCCTGGTTTAGTCTTGGGAGAGTGTATGTGTCGAGGAATTTATCCATTTCTGCTAGATTTTCTAGTTTATTTGCGTAGAGGTGTTTGTAGTATTCTCTGATGGTAGTTTGTATTTCTGTGGGATCGGTGGTGATATCCCCTTTATCATTTTTTATTGCGTCTATTTGATTCTTCTCTCTTTTTTTCTTTATTAATCTTGCTAGCGGTCTATCAATTTTGTTGATCTTTTCAAAACACCAGCTCCTGGATTCATTAATTTTTTGAAGGGTTTATTGTGTCTCTATTTCCTTCAGTTCTGCTCTGATTTTAGTTATTTCTTGCCTTCTGCTAGCTTTTGAATGTGTTTGCTCTTGCTTTTCTAGTTCTTTTAATTGTGATGTTAGGGTGTCAATTTTGGATCTTTCCTGCTTTCTCTTGTGGGCATTTAGTGCTATAAATTTCCCTCTAAACACTGCTTTGAATGTGTCCCAGAGATTCTGGTATGTTGTGTCTTTGTTCTCATTGGTTTCAAAGAACATCTTTATTTCTGCCTTCATTTCGTTATGTACCCAGTAGTCATTCAGGAGCAGGTTGTTCAGTTTCCATGTAGTTGAGCGGTTCTGAGTGAGATTCTGAATCCTGAGTTCTAGTTTGATTGCACTGTGGTATGAGAGATAGTTCGTTATAATTTCTATTCTTTTACATTTGCTGAGGAGAGCTTTACTTCCAAGTATGTGGTCAATTTTGGAATAGGTGTGGTGTGGTACTGAAAAAAATGTATATTCTGTTGATTTGGGGTGGAGAGTTCTGTAGATGTCTATTATGTCTGCTTGGTGCAGAGCTGAGTTCAATTCCTGGGTATCCTTGTTGACTTTCTGTCTCGTTGATCTGTCTAATGTTGACAGTGGGGTGTTAAAGTCTCCCATTATTAATGTGTGGGAGTCTAAGTCTCTTTGTAGGTCACTCAGGACTTGCTTTATGAATCTGGGTGCTCCGGTATTGGGTGCATATATATTTAGGATAGTTAGCTCTTCTTGTTGAATTGATCCCTTTACCATTATGTAATCGCCTTGTTTGTCTCTTTTGATCTTTGTTGGTTTAAAGTCTGTTTTATCAGAGACTAGGATTGCAACCCCTGCCTTTTTTTGTTTTCCATTGGCTTGGTAGATCTTCCTCCATCCTTTCATTTTGAGCGTATGTGTGTCTCTGCACGTCGAGATGGGTTTCCTGAATACAGCACACTGATGGGTCTTGACTCTTTATCCAATTTGCCAGTCTGTGTCTTTTAATTGGAGCATTTAGTCCATTTACATTTAAAGTTAATATTGTTATGTGTGAATCTGATCCTGTCATTATGATGTTAGCTGGTTATTTTGCTCTTTGGTTGATGCAGTTTCTTCCTAGTCTCGATGGTCTTTACATTTTGGCATGATTTTGCAGCGGCTAGTATCGGTTGTTCCTTTCCATGTTTAGCACTTCCTTCAGGAGCTCTTTTAGGGCAGGCCTGGTGGTGACCAAATCTCTCAGCATTTGCTTGTCTGTAAAGTATTTTATTTCTCCTTCACTTATGAAGCTTAGTTTGGCTGGATATGAAATTCTGGGTTGAAAATTCTTTTCTTTAAGAATGTTGAATATTGGCCCCCACTCTCTTCTGGCTTGTAGGGTTTCTGCCGAGAGATCCACTGTTAGTCAGAAGGGCTTCCCTTTGAGGGTAACCCAACCTTTCTCTCTGGCTGCCCTTAACATTTTTTCCTTCATTTCAACTTTGGTGAATCTGACAATTATGTGTCTTGGAGTTGCTCTTCTCGAGGAGTATCTTTGTGGCATTCTCTGTATTTCCTGAATCTGAACATTGGCCTGCCTTGCTAGATTGGGGAAGTTCTCCTGGATAATATCCTGCAGAGTGTTTTCCAACTTGGTTCCATTCTCCCCATCACTTTCAGGTACACCAATCAGACGTAGATTTGGTCTTTTCACATAGTCCCATATTTCTTGGAGGCTTTGCTCATTTCTTTTTATTCTTTTTTCTCTAAACTTCCCTTCTCACTTCATTTCATTCATTTCATCTTCCATTGCTGATACCCTTTCTTCCAGTTGATCGCATCAGCTCCTGAGGCTTCTGCATTCTTCACGTAGTTCTCGAGCCTTGGTTTTCAGCTCCATCAGCTCCTTTAAGCACTTCTCTGTATTGGTTACTCTAGTTATACATTCTTCTAAATTTTTTTCAAAGTTTTCAACTTCTTTGCCTTTGGTCTGAATGTCCTCCCATAGCTCAGAGTAATTTGATCGTCTGAAGCCTTCTTCTCTCAGCTCGTCAAAGTCATTCTCCATCCAGCTTTGTTCCGTTGCTGGTGAGGAACTGTGTTCCTTTGGAGGAGGAGAGGCGCTCTGCTTTTTAGAGTTTCCAGTTTTTCTGTTCTGTTTTTTCCCCATCTTTGTGGTTTTATCTACTTTTGGTCTTTGATGATGGTGATGTACAGATGGGTTTTTGGTGTGGATGTCCTTTCTGTTTGTTAGTTTTCCTTCTAACAGACAGGACCCTCAGCTGCAGGTCTGTTGGAATACCCTGCCGTGTGAGGTGTCAGTGTGCCCCTGCTGGGGGGTGCCTCCCAGTTAGGCTGCTCGGGGGTGAGGGGTCAGGGACCCACTTGAGGAGGCAGTCTGCCCATTCTCAGATCTCCAGCTGCGTGCTGGGAGAACCACTGCTCTCTTCAAAGCTGTCAGACAGGGACATTTAAGTCTGCAGAGGTTACTGCTGTCTTTTTGTTTGTCTGTGCCCTGCCTCAGAGGTGGAGCCTACAGAGGCAGGCAGGCCTCCTTGAGCTGTGGTGGGCTCCACCCAGTTCGAGCTTCCTGGCTGCTTTATTTACCTAAGCAAGCCTGGGCAATGGTGGGCGCCCCTCCCCCAGCCTTGCTGCCACCTTGCAGTTTGATCTCAGACTGCTGTGCTAGCAATCAGCGAGACTCCGTGGGCATAGGACCCTCCGAGCCAGGTGCGGGATATAATCTCGTGGTGCGCCGTTTTTTAAGCTGGTCGGAAAAGCGCAGTATTCGGGTGGGAGTGATCCGATTTTCCAGGTGCGTCCATCACCCCTTTCTTTGACTCGGAAAGGGAACTCCCTGACCCCTTGAGCTTCCCAAGTGAGGCAATGCCTCGCCCTGCTTCGTCTCGCGCACAGTGTGCGCACCCACTGACCTGCGCCCACTGTCTGGCACTCCCTAGCGAGATGAACCCGGTACCTCAGATGGAAATGCAGAAATCACCCTTCTTCTGCGTCGCTCACACTGGGAGCTGTAGACCGGAGCTGTTCCTATTCGGCCATCTTGGCTCCTCCCCCCCATCTTGGCTCCTCCCCCCTGTTGTTGATTTTTTATTTTTTTTATTCTCCACTGTTCTGTGATGTAAAAAATATTGTTGAAAATGTGACAAAGACCTGCAGATATCCCTGTGGGTAACAGTAATAAGAAAAAGAAAAAGCACTTATGTTTATAGCACAAGAAGTCAAGCTATTGGAGAAACCAGACAATGGCATGTGAAATGTCTTATAGGAGATTATGGTGTTGGAATGATCACTATATATGCTCTGATAAAACAGGATAAACTGTTGGAGTTCTACGCTGAAAGTGATGAACAGAAGCTAATAAAAAAATTAAAGCTACATAAACTTAAAAATGAAGATTGTGTATTGAAAGAGTAGACCTGTCAGTATAGCAGTGAACACAAGCTCACAAAACAAGCAAAGATCTATCACAATGAACTTAAAATTAAAGGGAACTGCAAATATTCAATATTACTATTGGTTGCAGAAATTTAAGAATATAGATGGCATTAAATTTTTAATGATTTGTAGTGATAAACCATTTGCTGATCATAAAGCAGTGAAGAAACTGACAAGTTTTCTAAGGTCATCACTGATGAAAATGTGACACCAGAGCAAGTCTATAATGCTGATGACTGTAGCTGAAGAGACAGCCCCTGATAATTAAGGATGCCAAGGATAGAATAACTGTGCTGGGCTGTGCTAGTGCAGCAGGCACACATAAGTGTAAACTAGTTGTGATGGGCAAAAATTTGCATCCTCACTCTTTTTAAGGAGTGAATTTCTTACCAGTCAATTATCATACTAACAAAAGGCATAGATCACCAGGGACATTTTCTCTGGTTTCTTAAACATTTTGCACTAGCAGCTCATGGACACTGCAGGGAAGATGGACTGGATGATTACTGCAAGTTTTTTTATTTTATTCCTTTTATTCCTTGATATTGATTCTGCTCATCATCCAGTTGAAATTCTTATAAAAAATATGTGTATGTCATCTACTTTTCCTCAAATGTGATTTCATTAACTCAAACATCTGACCATGGTATCCTTAAATCAATAAAGTGTAAATGCCATCTTGAGTAGCATGCTGGCAGCAATGAACAGAGGTGTGGGTGTAGAAGACTTTTAAAAGACATTTAGCATGAAGGATGCCACATGTGCTATTGCCAATGCTTGGAACACAATGACTAAAGGCACAGTTATGCATGCCTGGCACAACCTCTGGCCTGTGACTATGTTCAGTCACAGATGATAATACAAAAAGTAGTAATTTGAAGGATTCTGTAGATCAAGTGAGAAAAAAAAATGATGCTTGATCTTCTTACACATGCAAATAATACACCCTCAGAATCCATCAGTAAACTGGAAGAAGTGGACTTGGAGTTTTCAATATTGATAATGAGTCTCCAGTTGTTTATTTATTGACTGATGGTGAAATCTGTCAAGGTAATTTTGATTATAGTAATGAAGATGATGATGTTAAACTACAGAGAAAGTGCCTGTGCATGACATAGTGAAAATGTGTGATGGGCTCATTGAAGGACTAGATCAGCATGTCCTTCATAATAGAAAAAGAAATCATGTTAGTTTATAGAATCAAAGAGAGACAGAAGTCATTATTAACAAGGCAGATTACTCTGGAGGAAACATTAAGAAAAAGCCACCCAGCAGAATGCCTCCTCATAAAGAGGACCAATTTCCTGGTCCCTCAACTACTTCTGATGTTTCTTCTCATCTAACAAAATAAAACACAGTGTACAGTAGCCTTTTAATCAAATCACAGCACTGTAGGTAGATACTGAAAGCCTGTGTTGTTTGTTGTTGTGGTTGTTTAACAGCTGATACAGGTATTCTGGTGATGCTACTGTGCTGCTTAGTTACTCTCAACACATTATTTTTTTACTCTATTAATGACATATCTTTTTTAACTGTTAAGTACTTATGTCTGAATAAGTATAAGAAAATGATTGCTTATCAGTAGCATATAAATTTAGAGTTAGGAATGACAGTGATGTCAAACATCCACATATCATTCACATGGGTGGCTGAGAAAATGATACCTTTGCTTTCTGATGGTTCAGTGTACACAAACTTTGTTTCAAGCACAAAATTATTTAAAGTATTATATAAGGCCTGGGCGTGGTGGTTCATGCCTGTAATCCCAGCACTTTGGGAGGCCGAGGTGGGTGGATCACTTGAGGTTGGGCATTCGAGACTACCCTGGCCAACATGGGAAACCCTGTCTCTATTAAAAATAAAAAAATTAGCCAGGCATGGTGGCAAGTGCCTGTAACCCCAGTCACATGGGAGGCTGAGGCAGGAGAATCACTTGAACCGGGAGAGGGAGGTTGCAGTGAGCCAAGATCACGGCATTGCACTTCAGCCTGGGCAACAGAGCAAGATTCCATCTCAAAATAAATAAAATAAAATAAAATAAATAAAATATTATATAAAATTACCTTCATGTTATGTAAGACTTATAAAAAAAATGAATAAATTTTGTGTTTAAATTGGGTCTTTATCCCTGAAATATTTTATCATTTATATGCAACTATTCCAAAATTCAAAAAATTCCAAAATCAGAAACACTTCCAGTCTTAACCATTTCAGATAAGCGACAGACAATCTGTATACATTTATGAAGCTAACTTATGCTTGATGTGTGATAAGAGAAATGGGTTTGGAAAGATATCATTCTGTTCTTTCAAGAATGTTTGTAAGATCCTTAAGGCAAAGGATCCAGCCATGTTCATTTATGACCTCACTGGACCTGCTAAAATATTAATTTTCTCAAATAAATCATGATAAATATATGCAGACTGAAGTATTGTTTTGAATGTTAGGGTAGTTAAGTGTTATAAAACAATATAGGCTGGGCGTGGTGGTTCACGCCTGTAATCCCAGCACTTTGGGAGGCCAAAGCAGGTGGATCACTTGAGGTCAGGAGTTCAAGACCAGCCTGGCTAACATGGTGAAACCCTGTTTCTAATAAAAATACAAAAAATTAGCCAGGTGTGGTGACATGCACCTGTAATCCCAGGTACTTGGGAGGCTGAGGCAGGAGAATCTCTTGAACCTGGGAGGTGGAGGTTGCTGTGAGCCAAGATCTCGCCATTGCTTTCCAGCTTGGGCAAGAAGAGCAGAACTCCATCTCAAAAAAAAAATATATATATATATATGTATGTATATATATATATACACATATCAAAAAAAATTGATGTGTGATATGCAGTATATCAAAAATTTGACATCAAATTTATATCAAATTTGATATCAAATTTTTGATATACTGAATATCACACATCAATTTTTTTGATTCTCTGATTAGAGAATCAAAAATATATATATTTTGATTATCTTTAATTATCTGATTAGATTCCCTAGTCAAAGAATTAAAAAAAAAAAAAAATATATATATATATATATATATGGGCAATCTAGCATAGAAAAAAGAAAAAAAGCACTTTTATTAACTGATTCAAAATAAAACAATTTTTTAAAATTTAAAGTTATTTTGATTTAGATGAAGTAAGGATAAGACATAAGTAGAAAGATGTATTTAACAGAACAAAGTTAATACAATTAAATACAGTAAAATAATAAAAGTGGATTCATTTTAAAATGTATCCCAATGATTAAACCCAAACATCTATACCTATGGCTCAATCAATTGGAGGAAAATAGTCTAAAATAGACCCAAAGTACTGATACAGTAGGACAGTAGGTATAGTGGTCACATGTGGGCACTATATCTATGGTAGGATATTATAAAAGAGTAAATATTATGTGTCTTCATAACAAGAAATAGCTATTAAAAATAATCTACATATTTAAAGAACAATTTTAGCAAACGTATTTATTAATTCAATACAGGAACAGATATTCAACAGCAAATTCAAAAGAGTTGTATTTACTTTGGAGACTCCCAAAGAATAATAGTTTGAAATGCTGCTGACTGTGTGGTAGGCAGAATACTAAATGCTTGCGTTCATATTATCTTCATAATAAAACTGTAGTTGTGACATCTCAAATCTTAATTTTATTAATAAAAAATAAACCTCGTAGAAGTTCAGAAATTCATCCAGAGTCATAAAGCTAATAACTGATAAAGTAAGGATTCAAAATGCCTTAATAATTCTTACATTTATACAATTATCACATACCATCTGTTGTGGGGTTGATTCTAGTTACTGTGACAGACTTTAATGAGGCAGTATTGTGATCGAGGCTTATGATCTCAAGTCAGCCTCTCTAGTTTCAACACTGGATCTGCTGCTACTTAGTGTGTAATCTTGGGCAAGTTGCTCAACTTTCCTAAGCGTTATAATTTTCATCTATAGAATAGAAGTATTAACAATACTTCCCTGTGTAGTCATCTGCATACTAGACTGCATTTTAAGGAAGAAAGAGGCAGCAGAGAGAAAATTGGGTTGTTTTAATCCTTAAGGATTAATTGCAATGATAAATTTTATGAAAAATTAAAAACAAAAAGCAGAAAAAATACCATAATTACTGTTAATAATTTGAATAAAAGTTTACTTTTATTATAAATGCCATCAACTGCTACCATGTTACAAGTTTTTATAACATTGTTAAAGAAGGTACTGTCAAGAGGAAAGTTAAGAAAGCCAAGGCGGAAATCCAGAGATACCTATAGTTAACTAAATGGAGGAGAAAGAGGGGCCAGAGAATCAATAATTGGAGGGGAATGACGAGGGTTTTAAGTAGACAGTGACATAGAAGTTAAAGGAAGCCAGGCAGGAGCCAGTGTAGTAAATACTGCAGTGGGCCTGAGCAAGACACAAAGTAAAAAGAGGCATTGGGTAAGTGGAACACACACGGGTTTGCATAAGCCTGGCCTAGTCCAACATGGGAGAATTTATAGAGCAGATCTGGAGTTCTTACTCATTTTGTGTAATGTCTATTCTGTTGTGATTTAAATCTAAATATTTTCATAACAATGGCAGAATGCTAATAGTTAATATGTAAGAATATATGAAAGCACTGGCTCATAATTATGTTGGCAGCATGATTAACACAAAATTATTGTTTATTTGATTTAAATAATAGGTTTTTAAAAACTGTATCAGCATTTGTCAGTGGTGATGACATTATTATTTACCACCACGTATCTCTTAAATCTCTCAGCCTCATGAGATATTTTTCCTCTAGATCCTTATGTTTTTTCATCCTCTTTCTTTAGGATCTTTGCATTTGCTATCACCTCTGTTGGGAATTTTCTTTTTCCTGTAAACTATTCATCTTTTCAATCTTTAAAGCTCAACTCAAATGTCGCTTTCTCAAAAAAAAAAACAAAAAACAAAAAACAAAAACTTAGGATATAACTCTCCAGACTTGGTCTTTTTTCCCTTACACATGTTCATACTGTTCTGTATATTCATTTGTGGTACAAATTTGTAATTAAAATGTAAAATCTATAATTTTTTACAGTCTTCATCACAACTAGAATACAAGCTTCACAAGTATAAACATAATGGCTGTCGTATTCTTCCATATAATGTCCAGTTCCTTGCACATACTAAAATCTATAGAGAAATGAGCAAATAAAAATTTCCCATGGGCTGTAGATTTTTTCAACACACTTACCTCTCTAGGATATAGCATCATAGCGGCTAATACATGATGGTTTAATTTTTCCATATATGAATGAGTCATACTTCTTAAATCTTTAACATTCCATAATTACATATAGTAACACTTGGCAGCTGATACTCTGCCAGACACTGTAAATTAAATCTATACCCTACAGGAGTTTATAATCTAACTGAGCAAAGCATAAAACCCCATGTGGTACAAAACAAATGATCAAAATAAAAAGAAAGTAAAGAAAATAAATTACGTTTAAGCACTTACAAGGTTAAAACCTTCTAGTTATTTTGTCTTTGAGCACTATACATTTTTCCAAAGAAGCTATCAAAATATCTCTATAGGTGAGTATGCTAAGGTATAGGAGCATGCTGCTCTTGAATCTCTTAGCCTGGAGTCAGGTCAGGAATACCAGCTGTGATAAATTGTAAAGTAAGTATGTACAATTTGACAAGCCAGGCAAGGATTTGCTTGTTGGAGTGTTCTAAATCTTTTGTTCTTAGTTTTGTCCCTCAAAATTTTCAAAGGTAGCCAAACAGCATGCAAAATCAGGCATAGGGAGTGTAGCAATTGCAGAGTACTGCATATTTGTTTTTCACTTTGTGGGCGCATTATTCACAACATTATTTTTCTGATCATCAATTTGCATTGCATTGTTCCCTCTCATATTTATGAATACTGTTTTCTCCCTTTGTAGTCATGCCCAACTACTCTGTCACTTCCCGTATCCATAAGTTAATACAATACACAGTGAAGTAAACACAATTACTGAGTCCACAGAGAGACAATGAGCCAATTGAGTCAGCTCTGGGACAATGATAACCAATGGATTTTAGATGCAAGGAGGAACACAGGAGCCAGAGTAAGCTAGAAGACCATTGCGAAAACAATTGAGTAAAGGGTCTCTCTAGGGATAGATTTGAAAGCCAAAAGTCACAACAGATGAATCCTAACAATCTGGATTCTTCTTATAATTTCTAGGAGCTTTGAGTTCATATGTGTATAAAGGATGAGGATTCACCATAGTCTACACCCAAATTTTTTTTGTTGCTGTAAGATAAATGGGCCATGCTATTCCTATGACTTTAATTTCAGTGTAACATTTTTAAATAAAGAAGCACAGCAAGAAACTGTTTTCTCCACTAGCATCTGGCTTTTCCGCAATTCATGATGTTTGTAAGCATTTGATTAATCGAGAAAACTGGAGTTCTTACCTCATTCATACAGCTTAGCTTTATTGACAGCTATTTATTGCCTTGTTTAATTGCCACCAACTAATTCAAAGATCCTGTGGAACTTGTGGTGTAAGCTTTTCTTTCTCACACACGTGCATTTGATTGTTTTCATTGAAAGAGGTCTTCAATAGGATTCAATATCTTAGCATGTTAGTAACAATAATTTTTACCCTGGTTCTGATGCTTATAATGGTAAAGAAGCAACGGTACCCGAAGTGACAGGCCTATGTACCAAACTGTACTATATTTATATTATAAAACGTAAGGTTATGGGAGTTCTTCCAATGGGAAATAAAATGTGTTGTTAAACAATGTGGCTGAAAGAAATAAGGATCAGGAGCAACAGTACATAAGAGAAAGAAATGTGAAGTTATCTAAGAAATGGTAGCAAAACGATTTAGCTGCCAATGCCTGCTTGCCATTTAACTTTGTTGTTGTTGTTTTTACTTACTTTGTTTTCCAGTACCTTATGTTATCTGAGCTAGCTTTCCAAAGGAATTTTCTATGTTTGGACCTCAACTTAATATACTTGCCCTCTAGCAATATTAACATAGCTAAGTAGGCAAATGACAAGTAGGTATCCAACTCAGTGAGATCAACACTTTGGGTTTAGAAAACAAAATACTCAAAAATTACTTTCCAGAAGCTTAAAATCTATCTGGTCAGGAAAAAAAGAAAAAAATAAAAACATACATAAGCAAACAGGTATTTAGCAACAAACAAGAAAAGGAAGTATAAGAGCAAAACGCAGTTTATTAAAGTGGGGCAGATTACTAAGGTCTAGGTGAGTGGAGAAAATTTATGGAGAAGTTGGCTTTTGAGCTGCTTTTGGACAAAAAATAACACTGACAACATTTGCATGCATTATAAGACAGATCCCAAAGATAGTTTCTGCTTACAGTTGCCACTGGAGGTCTTGCTTTTGCTACAGTCCCCAGCAGTAGAGATTTGCTGTCCTGTGTTCTTGGATAAGAAATTTATTGGTGGATTATCACAAAAAGAAGAATCATCGAAACAAGAAAAAAACAGCACAGTGAATATCAGGATGGCGATTTTAGTGAAATTGTGGTTTATCATCACGACTAAGAAAGAAATGTGAAAATAGCCCTAGACCCTTGAAAGCCTTGGCTTCTAGACCAGTAGATTTGATATAATCTTTCAAAACACACAAATGAATTCTTAAATTTCCTGATAAATAGATCTCCATTAAAATTGCCACCTAAATGTGAGTGCTATCTTAGGCTTTATTTTTATCTCCTTGGCTTTTAATTGCAACGCATTCTTAGATGACAAAACACACAAGCACGTAATAGTTTCATCTACCACCTATACTCTTGCAGGCCAATAAGAACCTATGTATGTGGTCTGAATCTCACCCCTAAGCTCTCCCTTTGTATCTCCTACTTCCTGTGTGAGTTCTCCATTTGGATGAATTCCAACCTCATGAAAATCAACATATACATAAAAAAAGTTATCATTCCTCATAAACATTCTTCTCTTACTGCATCCTTTTTTTTAAATTTAGGAGCCACAGAGTCATCTAAACTGGAAATTATTTTATACCATCCAACTCTATTTTGTGCCATTATTTTTCTTTCAATTTCTTACCTTATAATTTATTTTAGTTCAATTCAAGTAATATTAACTATGAGGCCACACTGTGCCACAAAAGCAGGAAACAAGATAGGAGGAAACCATCTAAACATGTGTTTTATAAGAAATGACATATATGATGATGATTAGGGAACAAGAAGTAAAGGATTGTGAGGAAATATGTAGTAAGGATATTTAGTGTGAATGAGGGAGTCTCTACTATCTCTTCTCCATATTCACTCTCACTTGATGACATGCTTTTTATTTTACAGGAAGACAGAAAAAAAAATCAGGACTTCTATATTCACATCTATTCTCTACCATCATCTTGCACAAACCTACCACCCTTTATCGGGCAAAATTCACCCCCGATATTTCACGTAGGTTCTTTTCTATTTTCCCAAAAGTGTTGGCCGGTCTGAGAAATAAAGGGACAGAGTACAAAAGAGAGAAATTTTAAAGCTGGGTGTCCGGGGGAGACATCACATGTCAGCAGGTTCCGTGATGCCCCCTGAGCCGTAAAACCAGCGAGTTGTTATTAGTGATTTCAAAAGGAGAGGGAGTGTACGAATAGGGTGTGGGTCACAGAGATCACATGCTTCACAAGGTAATAAGATATCACAAGGTAAATGGAGGCAGGGCGAGATCACAGGACCACAGGACCAGGGTGAAATTAAAATTGCTAATGAAGTTTCGGGCTCGCATTTTCATTGATAACATCTTATCAGGAAACAGGGTTTGAGAGCAGACAACCGGTCTGACCAAAATTTATTAGGCAGGAATTTCCTCACCCTAATAAGCCTGGGAGCACTACAGGAGACCAGGGCTTATTTCATCCCACTGCTGTGACCGTAAAAGACAGCTGCCCCCAAAGTGGCCATTTCAGAGCCCTACCCTCAGGGACTCATTCGCTTTCTCAGGGATGTTCCTTGCTGAGAAAAAGAATTCAGCGATATTTCTCCCATTTGCTTTTGAAAGAAGAGAAATATGGCTCTGTTCCACCCAGCTCACCAGCAGTCAGAGTTTAAGGTTATCTCTCTTGTTCCCTGAACATTGCTGTTATCCTGTTCTTTTTTCAAGGTGCCCAGATTTCATATTGTTCAAACACACGTGCTCTACAGAAAATCTGTGCAGTTAACGCAATCATCACAGGGTCCTGAGGCGACATACATCCTCCTCAGCTTACAAAGATGATGGAATTAAGAGATTAGTAAAGACAGGCATAGGAAATCACAAGGGTATTGATTGGGGAAGTGATAAGTGTCCATGAAATCTTCACAATTTACATTCAGAGATTGCAGTAAAGATAGGCGTAAGAAATTATAAAAGTATTAATTTGGGGAACGAATAAATGTCCATGAAATCTTCACAATTTATGTTCTTCTGCCATGGCTTCAGCTGGTCCCTCCATTTGGGGTCCCTGACTTCCCGCAACAACCCTTCTCTTGCTACTTTGGATGACACACTCACACTTATATCTAAGGTTAGATCCTGTACTTGTGTATGAAATCCCATTCCTGAAATCCACTCCCAGAACCTCTCCAGCATTTTTTTTGTTTCTTTTGTATCATTAATGCCTCCCTCTGTATATGCCATTTTCATCAAGCAATTTGCACGAGCAGCTATTAGGTGGTGACTATAAGAGAGTATTTGCAGGCTGGTGGACACAACCTTCTATGGTGAGAGGCACTGACCATTTGCTTGCTAATCTGCCAGTGCTGTCTCAAGGGAATACCATCTCTCCTGTTGGATTTTGGGCTAGCTACTAGAGTGTTAGGAAATGGAGGTAGTGATTAGTCAACAGAAGCCTTGGTAGGCTGGCCAGTAGGCTGGCCCTCTCAATGGCCTTTAAGTGTGGTTTCCCAGAGTCACAGGGATGTGTGTGGCACAAGGATGAGATATTCAAAATACCTGGGGGATCAATTGGTAGTGCTTAGGAGTTGGGACTTTTGGATGGTTGAAATGCTCTAGAATTGACTAACCAAAATAAATGCAGGAGGTAGAGCAGAACTCCAGCTGTGCCTGGCATTAACCATTCATTTATTAGATCATCTGCAAGCCCGGAGGTGATGGACTGTGTTAGTCAAATCACAAAAGAGTACTGGGAAGCTCAAGGCAGCAGGTAAATTCTCTCAATATTTTGGCCAATAGAACCACCTTGCCAGCAGGTAATGGGTTTTTATCAGTACTGTCTATCTGTATCTCTTATTCTATGGATTTATTTGATTGTATTTGTTTATTCTCTCCCTTCTCCCTACACTATAATGTGGCTTCCATAAGATTTTGTAAAAATGTTCCTGACACATAATTCGTAATATGGATTTGCTGAAGGAATGTATTGTTGAATTCTTCCTTGAGAAATGTCATTTAAGATAAGACTTGAAAATGAATAAATATTAGCCAGGGGAAATGAACAGGAGGTAAGTGACTACTCCTGAAAGTGAGAAAACTCTCCATGAAAGTTCAGAAGTGGAAAAAGCAGAATGCATTCCAGAACTTGAAGAAAATCTTTATGTCTGGAGTTTAAACAACAAGGGTTAGAAGTGATTAGTTAACAGATCATAGAGGACATTGTAAACCATAAACCATGTAAAAAAATTTGGGGTCCTGTTATATAGTCAGTGGGAAACCATAAAAAGGTCGCAACCAAGAATAGCATGATTTGAATCTCTACTTAAAACTCTCTCTCTGTGTGAAGCAGTGTGAAGAATAGACGACCATGATGCAAGGATTAGTGAAAGAAGAGAAAGATTCCAGGATATGACTTCTTGGTCATTGGTGGTAGCAGTGAGGGTGGAAAGAATCAAATAGTTTTGACAATTATTTTAGAAATAAAAATGAGGAAGCATATTAATGGTTAGATGTAGATGTGAAAAATAAAAATACTTGAGCAACTGCATGGAAGATGGTATCACTAGTTAAGATAGAAGATATTGGATGTTGAACATGCATGAAGAATAAATTTGGCTAAGTTATAGACATTTGAGGCTAATATTCCTTTAGGACAGGAAAGCAGTCAAATAGATATTTGGATATGATGCTCAAGGGAGAGAACTGGGCTGGAAGTTCATATCTGAGAGTCACCAGCATATAGAAAACAAAGTTATAAGAATGAATAAAATTGCTTAAGGATTGTATAGGGAAAAAATGGAAATGAAGATTACATCAAGCACCAGAGTAAATCCCAAATATATCAAAGATTTAAATGTTAAAAAAAAAAAACCCTCAAAATAAAGCCATACAAGTACAAGTAAGCTTGTTGTCTGAATCTAATCCATGCTTGAAAACATGTTGGAGAGCAAATTTTCAGGCAGAGGGAGCCTGTGTTACATTATATTAAATGGGAAAAATAATGATACAATCGGTCCATACACAACTTCAAACCAGTTTTTCCCAAATGTCAATAAGCACTGTAAAACAGCAATAACCAAGAACTTTTGCATAACATAAAGCTTTTAAAACATCAATTACCTAATAATTTAACACCTAATCAACTCATTAGTTTGTATGTTTGTATTTATTATGCAGTGATATTCTCTGATGTTCAATACAAATTATTCTTTGTTTCTACATTGTGATGACCATGAATGGTAATGTAAATATCCTCCATTAAATATTTTGTTACAAACATGTAAAATTACAAATAACAAATAGCAGAATGAACAAAAAGGATAATTTTAAAATCATAGTTGTTTACCACTTGAAGAAGTTGATATTTCATGGAAAGGAAAGACATAGTATTGACAGGCACTGTTGCTGTGGTGGTAAGTAAAGGTTAGTGAGCCTTAGAACATATAAACCTTTCTGGAAGGAGGTGTGATACTCCAGGGACAACAGTTGAGACATGACTGCAGGGCATTCTACATTCTCTAACCAGTTCTCATTAGTTACTTTAATGTTTATGCTATGGCACGTATGTAAATTCACCACAGTGAATTTTTAATTCAGAGAGTTTGTGGTAAAAAATAATGACATTCTGATTTTAGTGCGTTAAAAATCAAAAACTATTGCTTGACAATTCAATACCATAAAAAAGTAAAAATAAAAGTGAAAATATCCAACTGAGAAAAAGTATTTGCTACCTGTATCACAAAAGGTTAATATGCTTAATACAAACCCTTCTAGTAATTGATAATAGCAAGGCAAAACTCAAATCATTCAGAGAAAGAGTCTTTCAACACACGAAAAGATACTCAATATTCCTCTTGTAAAAGAAATGCAATTTAAAACTAAATTGAGATATATTTCTCACATACCAAGTAGGCCAAAATCAAAACAATTGTCAGCAAAGCTGTGAAAATACGCTTCTACCTATTGTCATTGTTAATTTAAGAAGGAAGGTGCTGTAAAACTATAAGGAAGAGTATTTGAATATCTATCAAAATTACAAACACACATGCCCTTTGACACAACAATCCCAATTTGAGAAATATAATTAGAATAGACACATAAACCAAAAATATAAAGTGATTTTGTATATATATGCATATGCAATATCATTTACATAAATAACCTTGTGTGTATATATGACATATATATTTATTATTATTGTATATGTGTTTATATGAGGGGATTTTTGTATATATTGCATATATATTAAAAATATTAGTGTATATATGAACATATATTATGTACATAATATACACTTAACCATTTGTTTATGTGTATATATATATATACACATAATGTTATGTATACAAGATATATACATATACACACATGCACACACACATATACAAACTTATTTATTGTGACTTTTTTTATACTAGCAAAACATTGGAAACAACCGACATATCCAGCAGTAGAGACTGGTTGATTTATGGTGGCATATCCATTTGATGGGCTACTACACAACTTTTAAAAATAATGTACGAATATGAAAAGAACTCCAGGATATGTTGCAAAGTTAAAAAAGCAAAGTACGGAATAATGTGTCCCATACACTAACTTTTGAGTAAGTTGAGAAAAAATACATAAGGTGTTTTGTTTAAATTGACAACACACACACACACATACATACACGTATCCACAAAGATAATCAATGAATAATAAAAATAAAAGATGGAAAAGAAGGGTCAGTAATGAGAATAAAATTTTCTACATATACTTTATTAACGAGTTATAACTTCTAATTATGTATATACATTAATTTTAAAAAATTTCATATATAAAAAAGAAACATAAGTCTGACCATATATCAAATCAATAATAAAATAACAAATAAAAATACATTTCAACAGATGTTAGAGTAAAATATATTGAATGAATTTGTTAGTGGAATGGATTCTAAGTAAATTAAGTAACTATATAAATAAATAAGTATATTTCAAACTGAGTATTTTGTAAAGTAAAACAAATAAAAAGAATTATAAAACCAAATACATTAAATAAAACCCCTGCACTGTTACAATTGACTTTGAAATATGGAAAATATAACTTAGGATTTTATTAAACATAAATATTCTCATTGCTTTAGTAAAATTGCCTGGAACTTTTATCATGCCTCCCCTGCCTCTGCTAATAGCAAAGAATATCCCTGGCAAACAAAGTGTCTTCTCTAATTCTGCTCTAACTCTATTTTGGAGGCCAGGAAGGTATATGGCAAGCCTAGGACATATTTTTATATTAGCAAACCAGAAAGCTGTTTTAGATTAAAGCAGTTATGTAAAAAATATATTTGAATAACGAGGAATGATTTCCCACGTTCAAGGTGTGAGAATTGAGAATTAAAAATAATAATAAATGTAGAATATGAAATGTATTCATCTGTTCTCACACTGCTGATAAAGATATACTCAAGACTAGGTAATTTATACAGAAAAAGAGGTTTAATGGACTCACATGGTTCAACATGGCTGGGAAGGCCTAACAATCATGGTGGAGGGCAAAGGAGGAGCAAAGGCCCATCTTACATGGTGGCAGGCAAGAGAATGTGTGCTGGGGAACTCACCTTTATAAAACCATCAGATTTCATAAGACTTACTCACTATCACAAGAATAGCACTGGTAACTCTGCCCTCATGATTCAATTACCTCCCGTCAGGTCCCTCCTATGACATGGGATTATGGGAGCTATAATTCAAGATGAGATTTGAATAAGGACACACACATATAAACCATATCATTCCATCCCTGGCCACTCCTAAGCCTCAACTCCTCACATTTCCAAACCAATCATACCTTCCCAAAGGTCCTCCAAAGTCTTAACACATCCCAGTATTAACTCAAAAGTCCAAGTCCAAAGTCTCATCTGAGACAAGGCATGCCCCTTCCACCTATGAGCCTGCAAAATCAACATTAGTTACCTTCTAAATACAATGAGGGTACAGGCTTTGAGTAAATACACCCATTCCAAATGGAAGAAATTGGCCAAAAAGAAGGGGTGACAAACCCCATGCAAGTCCAAAATCTGAAGGGCAATCACTAAACCTTAAAGTTCCAAAATGATCTCCTTTGACTCCATGTCTCACATCCAGGTCATGCTGATGGAAGAGGTGGGCTCCCACAGCTTTGGGAAGCTCTGCTTCTGTGACTTTGCAGGGTACAGTTCCTCTTCTGGCTGCTTTCACGGCTGACATTGAGTGTCTGTGGTTTTTCCAGGCACATAGTGCAAGCTGTAGGTTGATCTACCATTCTGGGGTCTGGAGGACAATGGCCTTCTTCTCACAGCTCCACTAGGCAGTGCCACAGTGGGCTCTGACCCCACATTTCCCTTCTAAATTGCCCTTGCAGGGGTTCTCCTTGAAGACTCTGCCCCCGCAACAAACTTCTGTGTGGACATCCAGGTATTTCCATACATCCTTTGAAATATAGACAGAGGTTTCCAAGCCTCAATTCTTGACTTCTATGTACCCTTAGGCTCAACACCATGTGGAAGCTGCCAAGACTTGGAGCTTGCACCTCTGAGGCCACAGCCTGAGCTGTACCTTGGTCCTTCATAGCCATGGCTGGGACACAGGGCAGCAAGTCCCAAGACTACACAAAGCACCAGGGCTCTGGCCCTGGACCATGAAACCATTTTTCCCTCCTAGGCCTCCTGGCCTGTTACATGAGGGGCAGCCACAAAGGTCTGTGACATGCCCTAGAGGCCTTTTCCTTATTTTTGTCGTGACTAAAATTTTGTTCCTTGTTACTTATGCACATTTCTGTAGCTGGCTTGAATTCCCAAAAAATGAGGTTTTCTTATCTGTCACATTGTCAGGCTGCAAATTTTCCAAACTTTTATGCTCTCTCACTTCTTGAACACTTTGCTGCTTGGAAATTTCTTCCCAAATCATTTCTCTCAAGGTCAAAGTTCCACAGATCTCTAGTGTAGGGTCAAAATGCTACCAGTCTCTTTGCATAGCAAGAGTGACCTTTACTCTAGTTCCCAACAAGTTCCTCATCTCCATTTGAGACCACTTCAGCCTTTACATTATTGTCCATATCACTATCAGCATTTTTGTCAAAGCCATTCAACAAGTCTCTAGGAAGTTTCAAATTTCTCCACATCTTCCTGTCTTCTGAACCCTCCAATTCTCTAGGAAGGTCCAAACTTTCCCTCATTTTACTGTTTTCTCTTGACCCTTCCAAACTGTTCCAAACTGCCTGTAATCCAATTCCAAAGTTGCTTCCACATTTTCAGATATCTTTACAGCAGCACCCCACTCTATTGGTACCAATTTACTGTATTAGTCTGTTCTTACTCTGCTAATAAAGACATACCTGAGATTGGGCAATTTGTAAAGAAAAAGAGGTTTAATGGACTCACAGTTCATTCCACATGGCTGGGGAAGCCTCGCAATCGTGGTGGAAGGCAAAGGAGAAGCAGACTTGTCTTACATGGTGGCAGGCAAGAGAGTGTGTGCAGGGGAACTCCGCTTTATTAAACCATCAGATCTCATGAGACTTATTCACTATCACTAGAACACCATGGGAAAACATGCTTTCATGATTTAATTACCTCTCACTGGGTCCCTCCCACAGCATGTGGGGATTATGGAGTTTACAGTTCACGATGAGATTTGGGTTAGGCACTGCCAAGCCATATCAATTAATATAGATCAAATCCACAAAAATTTATGAGTTCAAAATGAAAATAAAATGCAAAGAAACAAGAAAAAGGATAGTCTACCTGCCATACAGTGCTCTGAGTCATCTTGAACAGACCCAGTTCTCTCTCCCTTTCTTGCTTATAGTTCTCAGGAGTAAGTGTGTAATGTGCTGAGAATACAACTTGTGATAAGAGGAAGGTGGCTGGAACTGCCTGTGGTTTGTTCCTGTTCACTCCGAGAAAAGGATATCCTTCAACACTTCAGCCCAGCATTTAAAGGTACCCCCAGGGTATAATAATATCTAAGGGAAAGCTGTCTATCTCAGATCTCTCAGTTGTAGTGCAAGTGGGGCACATGGAGTTGAGATCCCATCACTATTGGTAGCTTTTCTGAGTTTTATGGGGACCAGCTCATAATAAATTCTAGGCTTCTGCTTTCCTTTACTGTCTATATGCAACAAACTCACTTTATGTAACTTGTTGTGTGTGGGAATGTTCTGTCTCACCAGACTCAAGACAAGTTGGAAAACAGTGCACAATGAACCTGCTTCACACTCCCTTTTCAACACTTGCTGTCATACTAAATCAATTTCTTATTTTGAGCATGTGTATTTAAGCATTGATATGCCTTTTCCAAGGGAAACTAAATTTCTCAGTAACATAGTAGTTTCAACTGATGAGAAAAAGCACTGGGTTATAAAAGAGTGCCAGTTAATAAATGTAGAAGAAACTAAATAATTTTTAAACCTTATTTTACAAATCCAAATAAAATTACCAATTCAAGCAAATGCCTATAAGTTCATTAGGTGGATGGGTAAAAAGATTTGATGTTTGTATAGTATGAAAAAATATGAAGATTATTTTCTATTTGCAGTGAAAAATTGTAACTGTGAAATAAAAAGGTGAGATTGCCATCACTCTAAAATAGTGATCAGTCTTAGTATCCCTCATGAGATCAACCAAATACTTTATCATGTCTGATGCAATGTACCTTGAAGTTCACACCATCTATTTGGTATTCTAGCCAAAAATGTTTAATATTCATTCGTCAGTCCTTTTAGATACACATTCCCAGTTGTCTGTCCATTATCTATCTATCTATCTATCTATCTATCTATCTATCTATCTATCTGTCATCTATCTACCTATCTATCTATCTATATCTATCATCATCATCATCATCTATTTTAAAAGAAAAAGCCAAATGACACTATGAGGAAGCAATGCCATAAGGTGAAACACTGCAAAACAGTGTTTGGTCAATGAGTCAATAATAAAAAGTCTGGTCAATGAGTCAATATAAAAAAAAGAAGTTTGGGCTAAATAAAATAGAACTTAACATAACATAATGACAAGACAAAACACATGGTCTTTAAAAAATACTGATTTTTCTTTGTTTTTTGAGACAGAGTCTCATGCTGTTGCCTAGGCTGAAATGCAGTTGTGTGATCGTGGCTCACTGAATCCTTGACTTCTTGGGCTCAAGCAATCCTCCTACTTTAGCCTAAAAATACTATTTTTTGAAAAATCAGCTGTAAATAACATTTTCAAATAACAAAGATAATTCAAATATGATCTAGACACCAGATGATAGAAAATTTACTGAACTAAATAGGTGGTGATTATTTACTAAAAAGAAAGTTATGATAAGATTTATGGAGTAAGATTTCATTTTGATAAATACATGTTTATATGTATATATGAAAGATGTAATGTGAGGCTATTATTATAGTAATGTCTGGGGGGTGGGGAGATTATATTCTTATTTCCTCAGTTTTGCATTTATGTATTTTCTTTTTTTAAAATATATAATTCTCCTGTATTGATTAAAGGTAATGTGAAAGAATAGAGAAAAAGTAATAAAAAGATGGAGGTAGGGGAGAGAAAGAGAAAGGAAAAGAGAAGGAGAAAGGATATGAGAGAGGGAGAAAGAGATGGAGAGCAAGAGGCAGAAGGAGAATGAGAGAAAAAGAGAGAGAAGAGGAGGAGAGAATGAATAGAGAAATCTGGCAAGTGTGACAGGATAAAGAAAGACAGGATATGCAGAAGAAGAAGTGTAATGTCATGAAAGTGCTTTTTAAATGGAGGGACTCATTTTATAAAGTAATGCTGGAATGTAACCAGAAGTGTAAAATGGTTCATCAGTCTTTCAGAGGGAAAGATATTCAAAGTATTTGTGAATGTCAGAAAACATTGTAATTCAACACAAGGAAAGAGTTAAGTCTTAAGAGAAATGTTGTCTCTTTTATCATATTAGTTAAGAAAGAGACCACAGATTCAAATACCAGCAGATGCGTTAATGTAGTAAGAAAATATGACTTTCTCTCTGATGACTTCCATTTTCTGTGTGAAGTAAGAAATGAAGTCATCCAATAAGAAGGGTTGGAAAGTTGAGTGGTGGGATGTTTTCAAGAACATAGAAAAGGTTAAAGCAACTACCATGAAGATGAGAAAGTATAGTAATAAAGAACTCATAAGAATTATCTTACGGTGTAAAGCAATATTAAGGGAACAATTGAGGTTCATGGAGGTATTTTTGTACAACTGTCCAATTCTATGATGTTCTAAATTGGTATACAGAAACTTAAATTTGAGTATGTAGAAAGGAGTTTGTTGGCTTCATCCAAGGGTTTTACCAGTTAGATACATTGGAAAGAAAAGGGAAAATGGTATATGAGGATATTGGCAAGTTATATGTCACAGAATATAAAGCAAATAGAAAGCTCATGAAGCTTTTGGATAAGTGCCTTTGAATATGAAACAAAATGTAGAGGGGCAGAGATGAACAATGAAATGAGGTGAAAAGAAAGTTTGGTAGAAGTAATTTAGTAGGTCCATGAAAGGCTAAGTAATTGTAGTGAAAATTGTGTCTTGGAATTTAACGTACTGAGGATTTAATTTTTCCATTCTTTCAAAAAATATGGAGTTTGACTTTTTTTGACTTCTCTTTATTCTTACTTCCATTTTTCTCACACAAATTATTTCTTGCTTGGGTTTTTGCAGTTGGCTTCTAATTGTTTTTTCTTTTTCTGATTTGCCTCACAATACACAATCTATTTTCCAAAACATCACTATGAAGATAATTCTGAAATGCAAACTCCAAAAATTAGCCAGGTGTAGTGGCATGCATCTGCAGTCCCAGCTACTTGGGAGGCTGATGTGGGAGGATCACTTGGACCCAGAAGTTTGAGGTTACAGTGAGCTACAAGCTCACCACTGCACTCTCTCCTGGATGACAGAGCAAGACCCTGTTTCTATAAAATAATAAAAATAATAATAATGAAATACAAATTTGGTCAAGTTCCATCTCATTAAAATTATTATTATTTTTTATTATGCTTTAAGTTCTGGGATACATGGGCAGAACATGCAGGTTTATTACATAGGTATACATGTGCCATGGTGGTTTGCTGCAACTGTCAACTCGTCATCTACGTTAGGTATTTCTCCTAATGCTATCCCTCCCCTAACCCCTCATCCCCCAACAGGCCCCGGTGTGTGATGTTGCCCTCCCTGTGTCCATGTGTTCTCATTGTTCACCTCCCACTTATGAGTGAGAACATGTGGTGTTTGGTTTTCTGTTCCTGTGTTAGTTTGCTGAGAATAATGGTTTCCAGCTTCATCTGTGTCCCAGCAAAGGACATAAACTCATTCTTTTTTATGGCTACATAATATTCCATCATGTATATGTGCCACATTTTCTTTTTCCAGTCTGTCATTGATGGGCACTTGAGTTGGTTCCAAATCTTTGTTATTGTGGATAGTGCTGCAATAAACATACATGTGCATGTGTCTTTATAGTAGAATGAATTTTAATCCTTTGGGTATATATCCAGTAATGGGGTTGCTGGGTCAATTGGTATTTCTGGTTCTAGATCCTTGAGGAATCGCCACACTGTCTTCCACAATGGTTGAACTAATTTACACTCCCATCAAAAAGTGTTTCTATTTCTCCATATCATCTCCAGCATCTGTTGTTTCCTGACTTTTTAATGATTGCCATTCTAATTTACACTCCCATCAAAAAGTGTTTCTATTTCTCCATATCCTCTCCAGCATCTGTTGTTTCCTGACTTTTTAATGATTGCCATTCTAACTGGCATGAGATAGTATCTCATTTTGTTTTTGGTTTGCATTTCTCTAATGACCAGTGATGATGAGCTTTTTTTCATGTTTGTTGGCCACATAAATTTCTTCTTTTGAGAAGTGTCTGTTCATATCCTTCGCCCACTTTTGGATGGGTTTGTTTGTTTGTTTTTATTGTAAATTTGTTTAAGTTCCTTATAGATTCTGGATATTAGCCCTTGTGAGATGCACAGATTGCAAAAATTTTCTCCCATTCTGTAGGTTGCCTGATAACTCCGATGATAGTTTCTTTTGCTGTGCAGAAGCTCTTTAGTTTAATTAGATCTCATTTGTCAGTTTTGACTTTTGTTATCATTGCTTTTGGTGTTTTAGTCATGACATCTTTGCCCATGCCTGTCTCCTGAATGGTATTGCTTAGGTTTTCTTCTAGGTTTTTTTATGGTTTTAGGTCTTATGTTTAAGTCTTTAATCCATCCTGAGTTAATTTTTGTATAAGATGTAAGGAAGGGGTCCAGTTTCAGTTTTCTGCATATGGCTAGCCAGTTTTCCCAACACCAATTGTTAAGTAGGGAATCCTTTCCCCATTTCTTGTTTTTGTCAGGTTTGTCAAAGATCAGATGGTTGTATATGTGTGATGTTGTTTCTGAGGCCTCCGTTGTGTTCCTGTGGTCTATATAACTGTTTTGGTATCAGATCCATGCTGTTTTGGTTACTGTAGCCTTGTAGTATAGTTTGAAGTCAGGTAGCATGATGCTTTCAGCTTTATTCTTTTTTGCTTAGGATTGTCTTGGCCATACGGGCTCTTTTTTTGTTGTTTCATATGAAATTTAGAGTAGTTTTTTATAATTCTGTGAAGAAAGTCAGTGGTAGCTTGATGGGAATAGCATTGAATCTATAAATTACTTTGGGCAGTATGGCTATTTTCATGATATTGATTCTTCCTATCCATAAGCATGGAATATTTTTCCATTTGTTTGTGTCTTCTCTCATTTCTTTGAGTAGTGGTTTGTAGTTCTTATTGAAGAGTTCCTTCACATCCCTTGTAAGTTTTATTCCTAGTTATTTCATTGAAGTTCCATCTCTTATTAAAATCTTTAAGAAATTCTTGCAAATTTTAGTATAGAGTTCTAAGTCCTCAGTTTAGCTCTTAAGACTTTTCCTCTGCTGGCCAGTAGCTGTCTGAAGTCTCATGTTCTGCTATCCATTACATCAACTTTTTTGTAGCCACACTAAACTATTGGGATAAATCAGATTTTTGTGACTGATGCATTTTCCGGCTCTGCAAGGAGAATGCTTTTGTCTGTAATTTTCTCTTTTCCTCATACAACTAGCTAATTTCTACTTTCCCTTCAGAACTAAGATTACAAATTACTCTCCTCAGAAGCCAGTTGTATGCCTCCCATTCTCATATACATGTTTTATCCCAAGATCAGTCAGTTTTTCCTTTGTTCTCATCACTAAAGAGTCTGGAAAAGCTAAATATCCACTTTTCCAGCTTGCCTATAGCTAAGGGTTCTTTGTGACACTCATGAGTAAAGTAAAGGAATGAATTCGTGGGGTGGCAAGGGAAGTTTTGTTTTTCTATGTATTTTCATTCTTTCTTTATTTGTCCTCCTTGGAAGAGGATGAGTTGCTCAGAGTGTCAGTACTCTTGCTACAATAAAGGAAAGTCCAAAAAATGCTAGGTGTTCTTTCCAATCCAAACATTATTGAGTCACTAAACCTACATTAACATTGACCCATAGTCTGAATTTTTTTTATGTGAGAAAAAAGATTGCTGTTATCACAGTAGTCTTGGTTTGCTATTCCTTACATCTAAAACATTCATTGTTCTTTTGCATTCGATGAAATACTTTAATAATTTATAAAATATTTTTTTGATCCTAGAGAGCAACGTCTTAAGAGATAATATCTTTGGGACTTGCACTGAGTAAACACAATCTTGCTTTTGAATGAATAAATAAGCAAATGCTGAGCTTTTATACTTAGTCTATACTATTTATAGTACTAATTTGGGAAAATTTAATTACATTATTTTATTCTTGGGAATCCTGAAAATATGTTTTCCATTTGGTGACAACAATAAGGTAATTTCGAATAAAATGTAACTTGATTCTACTTCCAAAACGGAATTTACTCATTTATTTAGTTACATTCTTTGGCCAATCCACTGACTGAGCAAATAATTTTCTGATCTTGACCATTTACTTGTTTATTGATTTGAATAAATTATTTACTTTTCAGAAAAGAGTAAAATCTTAGGAGGAATTTAAATTATGACACATAGATGTGGAGTTTATACTGATGCTGCGTATGATCTGAAAAATTTAGCATACTATAGCTAAACTATGAATAAAACTATTTTTAAAACTACTTTAAACTATAAAAATGTATCCAATATGTAACACCATTAAAAGCAAGTAGATTGTATTTGTTGTAGGTGATCCAAAACACAATAATGGTGTGAAAAATAAATATTAAAACAGCAACAGATCCAGCACTTACTAAATTTGGAAATGAGTACAATTGATCAACCACATGCAAACGTACTAGAACATTATGCACGAGCATGCATGTGAATCGAGTAGCACAAACACGTTTTAGTGCGTTTCAGTTATTCCATGCATGTCTCTTTTCACCCTATATCTCTCAATATTAATAAGAATTTATTTTTTCTGTAGTATGATCTAAAGTATTAAATTTGGCTGCATTATTGCCTTAATAGGTGTTTTGTGGAGAAATATAATAAAAAAAATACTAGGAACGTACTATAAGTGTTTTTCACACGACAATTTATTTGTCTCAAAACCTTAGCATGACTGCTGAAAATGATGTAGGGTCTCCAAATTGTTTTTGTCAATCAACTTTTTGGGCAAAGAATGTTGTGAATGAAGAACTCTGCCAAGTCTTCATCTGAAATTACAAAATAAATAAAAATTTTGTTTTAAAACAATGCCCAGAAAATCACAACAAAAATAACATAAGTATTTTTAAACTCTATGGGATCTCTATAGAGAAATTTGTCATTTAATTCTTCAGATAATCTCTTCATATTTGTTTATTTTTGAGTAACAAATGATGAGATTTTTGTTAACGCAAAGTCAATTTATTTTTTCAATCAGCATAGTTTTCTGACATCATGAAGCAGACTTTTTAAGTTATTTGACAATGACAGAACCATTGAAACCTTAATTTAAAAATATTTTTAAATTCATGGAGTCCAATCCTCATTTGAAAGGAAGAGGGGAAAACACATTTAGTTGTATTTACATGACTTTGAGATTCTTCTCATGTCACTTAAAACTTTTGGGGTTTATTTGATACTTTGGCAAAACGAGTTCCTAAACAAATTCCTGCTGTAAGCTGAGTATGTGAATAAGAACATGGATTAAAAAGTGACTCTAAATCTTTACCAAAATGCCTTCTTATTCTACCATACTTCCAAATATTAGAATATCCTCAAGTAAAATTTGTTTACTACTCCAAATAATTCCTGAAAATGTAAATTTCACAAGAGGAAAAACTGAACTTGAGTCATTCAATCTGTTGAAAGCATCATATTTTATTCTTCTTTTTCTTGCTTTTGTTTTGGGGGGGTGTGGAGTCTCACTCTGTCGCCCAGGCTCGAGTGCAGTGGCATGATGTCGGCTCACTGCAACCTCTACTTTACAGGTTCAAGCGATTCTCCCACCTCAGCTCCCAAGTAGCTGGGATTACAGGTGCCCACCACCATGCCTGGCTAATTTTTGATTTTTTAGTAAGGATGGGGCTTCACCATGTTGACCAGGCTGGTCTCAAACTCCTGAACTCAGGTGATCCGCCCTCCTCTGCCTCTCAAAGTGCTGGGATTAGAGGCGTGAGCCACCACTCCCAGTCTTATTATTCTTAAAAACAAACTACCAAAAATCATCTTGAAGGCTATACCACAGTCTTATGTATCATTCATTCATGAATTTATTGAAAATATGTTTGTAGAATATGACCACGTACAATGTGACTTACCATATAAACAAATACCCAGAGTTTCTGTTCTTATGGAAATTATATTGTTTGGGAGGAGACATAATAAACAGATATGCAAATTAATCTATAACATAGCTTGTGACTGTGAGAATAAAAAGAATAATCAACTAGGGGAATAGAACAGAAAATGACTGTGTGTGGGAGGCACTGCTGTATTTGATAGGGTGTTTAGAGTAGGGCCAACTGCTTAGATGACATTAAAATAGACAAAGTGAAAGAGCCCAGCTATGCAGATACCTGGAGAATGAGTGTTTCAGACCTAGAGAAGAGCTTGATTAAAGGCCCTGAGGGAAGGGCACTTTTAGGATATTTAAGATCCTCAGGAGACCAGAGTGGTTGGAGTAGTATGAACTGGGGATCAGAGCTACAGCTTGGGACTTACATGGACCAGTGCCTTTAAGAACATGATACAAACTTGAATTCTTTATTTCCATTTTGAGAAGCCAAGGTTATTTATTTTAAGAAAAACAAAACATTAGAAAATGTAAAACACAAATATTTAAAAAGTGTCTGCAAGTAGCAGATAAAATTACTAAATTTAAAAAGCAGACAATTTCAGAGATAATTATTTTCCTTTTCTTTTTATAAACTCACAGCTTACTTGAAGACTAGCTCCATGGTGAATTCTGACCTAAGCAATTTTAGTATAATAATGTTAGTTAATGAAGAAAATTACATCCCTATACACAATTCGTTTATTGTTTATGCATCCATTAGTTTATATAAATTTACAAGGGAAAACATTACTAAATTTAAAAAGCAGACAATTTCAGAGATAATTATTTTCCTTTTCTTTTTATAAACTCACAGCTTACTTGAAGACTAGCTCCATGGTGAATTCTGACCTAAGCAATTTTAGTATAATAATGTTAGTTAATGAAGAAAATTACATCCCTATACACAATTCGTTTATTGTTTATGCATCCATTAGTTTATATAAATTTACAAGGGAAAACATATCCGCACAGTCCAATCCTACCCAGGGAAACTCCTTAACTATGTTAGAAAATTGCTACTAGGATTAGGTTCATTTACTAATCTAGGCAATAGATTTTGTACTCACCAAGGAATCTACAAGTAAAATCTCACAGCAGGTGCAGCTGCAGGTGGCAGTGAAGCTTTCCAAATAGCCACTGAAGCTGCCAGTGTAGAAGATCTTATGTCATCTGGCAAATATCTCTAATGGACAAGAATAGCTGTGGGGCAAAAAATTCTCTTTTATGTAGAGAAGGAAAAAAAATGCTATTAAGCTTTGTATTTTCTTCTTTTTTTCAGTTCCAACAAATGGCAGATAGACTTTTTTCCCTTGGAAAAAGAGTCTTCAGATGTTTCTTTAAAATAAATTTAAAATATTTTTGATGATTTATGCTGAAATGGATCTGCATTAAATTTGTAATTGCTGAATAATTTAAATGTTAAATGATTAAAATAATTGCCATAAATTTCATAGCATGTGTTTTGAATATGTTTCACCTAAACTGTGACATTATGTACCTTATAGTTTCTCCCAGGATGTAAAGCATCATCTTCTGATTGAGAGCTAGAAAAGTCAGGCAAAAGGCAACCAAATGAAAGAAATCTCTTCAAGGTTTCTATAAGTACAATAGAGGGAATGTTTAGTGTTGTCACTTGAGAATAAGTATTTCTTCCTGACCACTAGTTAATTTTAACTAGTGGGTTGTGGTGTTTGTGAGACAAGGTAATGGGATAAAAATCATGCATGTTCCTAGGATTTTGCAGATTTAAACACATCATTCTGGAGAATGTGCTGTGAACTTTTCCTTCTGCTTTTTTTCTTTTTTAAAATCACACATTTGAATTATCATGGTCTATCACAGTCGGAATACTGCTAGCCGTGTTCCCTCTTAGTGCTGCTGAAGGACATGGGAGTCATGGTTAACACAAAGATTTGGGAAGGGACAGGAGAATGCGTTCTTCCTCTCCTGCTTCTTCCCTTTGCTATTTTCTCTGGCTTCTCAGGACCCATATTAAGAAAGGCACCCTGCAGCACCAGAAGGAGATTTTTTTGTTGTTGATTTATACAAGCTATTGAAGAAATGATGTTTATCAAGCGTATCATCACGAAACTATTTTTAACGATTATGGAAACATAAGTCTTTAATGTTCTCATTAAATTTAAGATGTTGGAACACATTTTTAGGAAGTGATAATAGTGAGAAGTTGGGAAGTCTCAAGGCAAAATAGTTGAGCAAATATGAATTAGAATTAAGAGGAAAACCTGCTTAGACACAAAATTATTCTTTTTCTTTTTTAAAAGAGAGAAAAAAAAGGAAAAAAATCTAATGGTTTAGAAACCTAATGAAGAAAATGTACAATAGAAGTGATCAATACTGAGAAGCTTAGGAACAGAAATATGTTTATGTTCTTTGAATCTTAGATTAGGTGTTCACCTGTTCTGGCCCAATTTAGGTTATTTTTCTGGGAATAAATCCTGGATTTAAAAAAAAAACTCATTGTATTAATTATTTGTTTATAAAATTTATAAAGAGAACCCAGAGTATTTTAGTCTCCTGAAAGTATTTTAAAATTTGAAAATTTAGTACATTCTGAATTTTCTAATTTATCATTCAGATTATGGAATTTTAAATGGAGTTCAAAGTTGGTTCATTAATTTTTATATCTAACATTGTAGTATCCTTCAACATATCATATAAAAAGAATGTTAAGAGAGTCCCCACGTGTATAGTATGAGGCTTAGTAAATAAATTAAAATAGAAAATAGAAAAAGTAGGTCACTGAAGCTTAGTATAGAACTTAGAGTAAGATCAATTTTAGTGTGATTAAAGAGGTTTAAGATGGGGATGAGGAAGGTAATAAGGAAGATAGGACGGTCTGGATAAGGAAAAGCGACTTTAACTTGTAAGCCTATATTCCCCATGAGCCGAAATATTGCAAGCTGGAGACACACAAAAGACATTTTGAATGTTATGGCAATCCAGGTGCTAGCTATTTTCTCTCTAAAAATTTCCCCCATATGTGCAACAGTTTATGAGTACTCAATGCCCAAGGACACCCTTCAAAGAAAGAAAGAACATGTATAACCTAAGTTGAAAATACAGATTTCAAATAAGCCATTCTTACTTAACCTACATGTTGTAAAATGCCTTAATTTTGTTTTCTGGAAAAGATATGAATTGTACAATTATTTATTCACAATTATTACAATATCCTTGTCATTTGAAATGCATTCACACAAAGCAAAGGGTTAAATTCTTTGCAGGACTCAGAACAATAGGTGATACCTGTTTATTATATGTATGAGGGTTCAAGTTAGCCACAGGCTATGAAAGTTTTCTAACTCTATTTTCTGTAAAACTTACTATTATAATTTGATTCTTTTGATTTTCTTTATTATTGTAATATAATATTCTATATGTATAAAAGATTATATTTAATTACAAATATATGTTATGAAATATAATACAATAAAGCCACTACTCAGGTCAGAACATTACCACATTTTTGCAGCTACCTAAGCTCTACTCAGAATTAGCCATCATTCTGAATTTTGTGTTGGCAATTCCCCGTAGCTTTTGAGAACAACACAATAAAATTCAAACAACAAGAAACTTAATTGAATCACAGGATTAACTCTCTCTATTTGTCCTTTTGCTAATTTCAGTGCCTGACATAACTGATACTATTTTCAAACCTCTGGTAAAAGATATATATATATATAAAATATATTAATATGTTCATCTATATTCATATATTCATATATATTCATATACTTTTTCATATTTGTATACTATTTCTATTCTTTTAATTTTTTGTTTTGTTGAAATTTAAAAAGAAAATAATTAAGGAAAAAATAATCATAAAGCCTACTACATAAAAGCAACAGTTATTAACATTTGCTAAACATCATTTTACATATTTATCTTTCTATATATACAGATAGGTGGACTAACAAACAAAAACAAGATCTTAAAATATAGTTAAATTTAAGTAAAATATATTAAATTTGCATTTGGTGTGTAAATATAGTGAAATGAATTGATAACCTGAGGAGATGAAATGTTAGATAAAACGAGTTAGAGACAAAAGTGGTTAGTGCACAGTCCACCTGATAAAAAGAAAAATTGTGAAAAATATTAAGGTTGTAGTCACCATATCTCTTAAAGTAATTATTTTGCTATCATACTATATTTATTTTTACCCTGCTATGAGAGATGAGAAAATTAGCACTTAGATCTCCAACCCTTTCTTCATTTCAATTACAGTAACTCCATATTAGATTTTCCTGAGAATTAGAATTCTTTATGTTCTTTCCACTTGCAGATACAAACTATTGCAGGAAAATTTTTTCTATTTCCAAACGTTTTTTCTGTCTCATTGCTCTATATTGATTATGAGGAAACTGAAAGGTAGACCTCCTTGGTTCAAAACCATAATTGTTTTTATTTATTAATTTTGTTTTCAAATTAAAAATTGTGTATATTTAAGATGCGCAATTTGATGACTTTCTTTTTGTGGTGAGAACAAAAAATTTCTAAAGTTTGGGAAATTTCAATTTATACAGTACAATATTGTTAACTATAATTCACACTGTTATACATTAGGCCTTTAGAACTTATCTTGTGTAACCAAAGCTTTGAACCCCTTAACCAACATCTTCCTCCAGTCCCTGCTAACCGCCATTCTACCCTCAGTTTCTAAGAGCTTAACTCTTAGATTCCACTTATAAATGAGATCATGGAGCATTTTTCCTTCTGTGTCTGGCTTATTTTACTTAGTGTAACGTCCTCTGGGTTTATCCGTGTTGTCTCAAATGTCAGGATTTCCTTTTTTTAAAGGCTGAATACAATTCCATTGTGTGTGTGTGTGTGTACATATCACATTTTCTTTGTTCATTCATCCATCAACAGACTTTTTTTCCCTAAATCTTGGCTATTGTGAATAATACTGAAATGAATATGAGAGTGTAGATATCTATCTAATTTTCCTTGGGGAGATGGAACCCTTCTTGGTAGCAGGGGTAGCCAGCAGGGCATTTGCCCACTTCGTGAAGCTAAGATGCTATAAAAAACATGATTACGGATTCAGAGATAGGAAATTATTCCAACATAACTTTAAAGGCTATTCATGACACCCAGATTCAATCTTTTATCTCATTTGGAATACTGATAGATAAGTTATTCCCTGAATTATCTTACAGACATCATACCAGAGCAAGCAAGTATGATTTGTAAGCAAAATTGATTTTCAACAAGAGACCTGTAGAGGTGACATATTCTTCTACTATTCACATGAAAATTGTGTAGCCAAATGTTTGGAAGGGTCTCAGAAATTTAGCACATTTGGTGTGAGAACCAAAGGCACAGTCAATGAATTCCATCTGTTTCCAGGAGAAGACTCATTACTGGGTGTTACTGGGGAGCATTAGGCCCCAGGGAGAGGATTTTCCTGAGACTTTTATTTCATGGTGCTGTATGGAAAAAAAAGAACACACACTCCTTGTGATATTTGTTATATCTTTGACACTACCCCAACTAAAAACCAAATAAACAGAAAACAAATAAAAAAGAAATAGACTGAACAGAGTTATAGAAGAAGTGACTGAACATTTAGGCAGAGGCTACTTACACTGAAGTTAAGAAAAAAATACTGCCTTGCAAGTTGCTTGAATGTACAGAGTTTACATTATTTTTCCCAGAGATGGCTATGTGAGTACTGTTTTGATAATTTCCTGGTAGATAGAAGTTGTATTTTATTTTAATAAGAACCAGTATGTTACAATAATATGATAAGAGAAATGTCTTGAGGACCTCAGCTTTTTTTTTGTTTTTTGAGACGGTCTCTCTCTGTCACCCAGGCTGCAGTGCAGTGGCGCCATCTGGGCTCCCTACAACCTCCACCTCCCGGTTCAAGCGATTCTTGTGCCCCAGTCTCTGGAGTAGCTGGAATTACAGAAGTGCACCACCACGCCCAGCTAATTTTTGTATTCTTAGTAGAGAGGTGGTTTCCCCATGTTGCCCAGGCTGGTCTTGAATTCCTGGCCTCAACTGATCCACCCGCCTCAGCCTCCCAAAGTGCTGAGATTACAGGCGTGAGCCACTGCACCCAGCCAGCTTTTTTTTTCCTTCTGATTTGCAAAAATGTGCCATATGGCCTAGTGGTACTCCTGTATGTAGGGCCGTCTTTTCTGAATGTTCATATATATAGTCATTTAGTCATCACAATTTCCAAATGAGAGTGGAATTATTGTATCTAATTTTCAGGCCAAGATAAGAAAGGAGTTAAATTGTTTACCCAAGGTCCCAGAAAAAATAAAGAATGAAATATTTAATTTCAGGAAATTGTGCACTTGTATAAGTTTAACCACTTGCTCTCTAGCCACGCACAGTAGGAGGGATGGGAGAGGAGACCTGATTTATATCATTTGACAATTTTCAGTGTCAATACTGCTACCATGTCAGATATCAAGCTTGCCTATATGAGGCCTTTGAATGTGGAGTTTCAGGAGTGGTGCCGTAGTATTCTATAGTATTTATATTATACAGATACATTAGATATAAATGGCATCACAAATATAGAAAATGGTAAAATGTGGTGAAAATAAAAGGTGATGAGTTTTGAGTATTTCTTACCTTTGTTTCTAATATTTAATTGTAGGTTTATACAGTTTAGTTTTTAATTATGTATGTGTTTAACTATGACTAGCAAAATCCCTGAAAATTTAACAATCAGCTCTCATGAACTGGTATGAATCAGCCCCAGACCACCATTGTGCCCAGGTTGGTTTACAGATCACAGGTTGTATTAGAGTATAATGTAGAGAAAAGATCCTGGGGTTACCACACCTGACTTGGAGATGGCCCCACCACCAGCCAACTTTGTGATCAAGGGCACATTATATCATCTCTCTGGCTCCAGTTTCTTTCTGTTAAATAGGGAAGTTGAAGTCCCTGGCTTTGCAAATTTGTAACCACGGAAAGCTTCTCTATTTACTATCCTGAAAACATTTCCATTGTCTCACTGAAGGCAAACTACTCAGGTTAAAGTGGATTGTACCTAGCACTTTGGGAGGCTGAGGGCGGATTGCCTGAGCTAAGGAGTTACTGAGCAGCCTAGGCAACATGGTAAAACCCCGTCTCTACTAAAAATAAAAATAAATAATAATAAAATAAATAGCTGGCATGGTGGTGCATGCCTATAGTCCCAGCTACTCGGGAGGCTGAGGCATGAGAATCGTTTGAACCCGGGAGGTGGAGGTTGCAGTGAGCTGAGTTCACATCACTGCACTCCAGCCTGAGCGGCAGAGTGACACTCTGTCTCAAAAGTAAATAAATAAATAAAATGGATTGTAAGAGTGGGAGACTGCTTCTCAAAGGCTTGCTACTCCATGTCTCCTTAGGACACTCCAAGGAACTCCTAATTTCTAAAGTATTTTCTGTTAATATTCTTTGATTGAATGTGTTTAGTACAAGCAATGACACATTTAGACGTTATACTACTAAATCTGTTTCAAATTACCTTCAAGGTAAAGTACTTATGACTCACTCTCCTGCTTTAGTTGCTCTTAGCAGCTAAACTAAACGCACACAAGGAAAGTTAACATTTCCAAATAGAACACCTGATTTTTTCCTCCAACCATCTTGCTCCTGATCCTTATCTCAGTTTATGGAGCCGCCACAACTCAACCATTTCTAAGGATAAAAACCCTGGAGTTTTCCTTGATGCTTCTGTTTTTCTCACATTAGATCTCTAATCATCAGTAAGCTGTGTTGCTGCTACCTTAATTTTCTTAGTTATATATTTTTAAAAAATGTTACTAGCCAATATGGACGTATCAGGCACAGTTCTAGGTTTTACAGATAGAGAATAAACTACAACCCCTGCTCTTAGGAAAATTCTATTCTAGTACAAGGAGAAAGAAAATAAACAATAACCAAATCAAACACTTGTTAATAGTGTGTCATGTATAAATCAATTCTGTGGAGAAAAAGAAAATCTGGTAAGTGGCTAGAAACTGATAGGAAGGGGTGGGAATTTGATAGGAGAAATGCTCTCTAAGGAGACAAAATGAGAGGAGAGACCTAAATGAAAAGGAGAACCTAATATTTGGAATACCTGAGGAAAGATTGTTTTAACGCTAAGTGCCAAGACTTTGGGGTGGGGTCATGCTTGACATTTTTGAGGGGCAGCAAGGAAGCCAGTGGGTTTGGAGCAGAAGGAATGCAGATGGGCTCAACAGAAGACAAACGTGGCATGACAACCAGTCATGCAGAGTATGATGAGAATACCTAGGATAAGAACTTTGGTTTTTATTCTGAATTTAGGTCTTAAGCACTATTGTGTCTTGAGTAGAGGTATTTTGTAAAGGCTCGTCATTCAGGTTAGTGAGTAATTACAGATTTAGGGGAAACTGACTTTAAGGTAGCAAGTAAGGAGCAGTTGGATGGTTGTTGAAATTATTTCAGTTAAGTGAGGGTGGCGTCTTGAACCAGTGTGGGGGCAGTGATGATGCTGAGAAATTATCAATTTCTAATTATAGACCTACATCATTAGGTCCATGATGGGGACCCTAATGTTAATTTGTTGCACTCTTTTTCTTGCCTTATTTGAACCATCCATATCAGGCACCTTGCTATTCCACAAGCTTTCCAAATCACTTTATCACTTGGCTGCTTCAAGCCCTTTGAATTTGATTTTTTTTTTTCTCTTTCTGGAACACTGGTTTCCCTAGGAGTCCCACAGCATTTTTTACTCCCTTTAAGTTCTTTCTCTATGGGCACCTGAAAAGTATCTTCCCTCTCTATCCTATCTAAAATACCAGCCACCATCATTCTTTAGTCTCCATTCCAATTTAACTTGTCAACATAGCACTTAATATTACTACTTCAGATACATTACATATTTATTTCATGTTGTGGATATCCCCCATGCCATGACACTTTGCTTTATTCATCACTGTCAAAACCGAATCCAACTTTCTAAAACATTGTGTCATTTCCCCACTTACAAACTGAATCATTTTGTATTTCCTAAAGTACTGATTGTCATATGGCGCTGATAAATGCAATGACCGCACCCTGGTAAGTACTGCCTTCCAATCACTCAATTTCTCCTATCACTCAGTGTTCAAATTTCAAGTAGGGAAAAAATCCTGCATATACCGCCTTTTTGGCACAGTTTGGCCTTGAAATAATATCCTTTATGTGTCTGTATTTCAGTATGCATTTTCACAGAACCAGCTCCCTGTTTCCAGCCCTGTCTGCCTGGATCTCACCTTGCTGTTCCAGACACAATGATACAAGGGGTGAAACATATTGACAAGAGCCAAATTATGACAATTGTGCTTGGTTTCTGCATGAAGGAAAGCATTGTATACACTGGCAGAGTCAGTATTGAAATGTTGCTCTTTGAGCTTTTATGCTGAGGAGATTTGAGGTGTATTTAGCTCAGTAGATTTCATCCCCATAAAGGACTTTTGTTGAAAATCTGCTTTTCTCCTGTTTCGTATTATTAACCAAACAGTCTGCTTTTGTCAAATTTGCAAAGTAATTGTTGTTTCTCTTTCCTCTCTCTATTACATTTCCTTGTGTCTTTATCTTCCTTCTCTTTTCATGATAAGCCCACCTCTCTTCTTCACCACCATCAATATCAACTCCCATTCCATTATTATATGCATTCTAGTTTTTAATGAATTCATCAGAAAATAATCTAAATAAGTATATTATACTAACTGAATAAACTGTCAATACACCCTGCTACCAACTCCCTCATAACACACACATTCATTTTTACCTCCAAGATTATTCGCTGTCTGAGCTTTAATCTCAGAGAGGCAATGTGAAGAAGTTGGATTTTGTATTGTCAGTTTAACCTAGGGTTCACTCTACAGGTAGAGACAGAATGGAGGAGAATTGCCCCACATTCATGAAGCCTTTCTTACTTATTAGAAGGAGAATATAAAGAAATGTAACTTAAGGCCCTTTAAAGATTTTCCGTGCTGTCCAAGAGAACATTTAGCATTTGAGCACTTGAAAAGTAGCTACTACAAATGAGGACGTATGATTTAAATTGCATTTATGTATTATTTATTTGAATTTAAATAACTACATTTGGCTAGTGGTTGCTGTATTGAACAGTATAACAATAAGGAACAGAGAGATTGACCAAGATGGGGTGGGGAATTTTTAGTCCCACGAGTTCTCAGAGATAGGATTTGAAGGAATGGACAGTGCCTCTCTAACCTTACTGCTAGCTCACGCTAAATGTTGCTAAAGATAGGAAGGTTTAGGCCAGTATAAACCAGGTAGGTGTGAGACCCTCCAGATAAGGAAAGATACTGCTGCTCGGCAAATTCTAACGGTGTTTTCTTTGGATATGGCTTAAAGACAAAGTTCTGTTTTATGTTGTTTCAGTTTCCTTTCCTTAGCTGTCCAAAGAAATATTTGGTTTGAAACAAACAAAAAGCTCACTAATAAAGTAATTATTATGTAACTCACTAGCAATTTTCATTTATGGCTATCATCTACCTTTCTGAATATTTTCTTTTATTACAACACTAATCCTTTATCATACATATTCAGTCAAGAGGCTAGACTTGTTTAACATGATAATGAAAGCCAGTGTAACAATAACACTGTGCTTTCCATGAATGGATGGAGCAGACCTATTCTAAGTGCTTTGTATATAAATTCCTTTTATACTGAGGAGTACATATTACTATGATTTTCATACAGATTGGAAAATAATATATTTCTTTACCTACATCCTTAAAATTTCAGGACAAATATTTCAACTACACAAGGAATGTTGAAAACTCTTTACTCCTAAAAATATGTATTTTAGCTTTTACAAACTGACTCATTATTTGATAAAAGTTGATACTTATTAAACCTGACATCGAAATATAAATTGATGATACAAATTAAAGTACAATTTTTCTTCCATTTAATTATTCAGTATATTTAGTCCACTATTTGTATTATAAATTTTTGTCAGAGAAGTGATATTACAAAAAGATCATCAACTCCTTTGGAATTTTTAGGAAACATTGTGCCTAACAGTTTTTAAGACAAATAGAAGAAAAAGACACCTCTGTAATCTTACCCAAGCTAGTGGACATAATTTTTATAAGCTATGTATACATTACTCTACTCTGTGCTGTAAACTGATTTTTCTTTATTACTTCCTTAATTATTTTATTATGAGTTTATATTTCCCTTGATTTATTATTTCGTAATGTGTGCCCATTGTACGTTGTGTAAAGGCCCTGATAATCTACTGATAAAATACCTACAGACCCTGGCGCTAATGTGTTCATAATCTATTAGTAGCAATGTGCAAAATGGAAGCATTCACTTAAGAAATATTTTTAGACTCAATTTTAGAAGCTTAAAATACATTTTTTTTAGAAATTCATAATAATCACATCAGGAAATACTTTGTGATATAGCTGTGGTCAAATATTCTAATTAATAACTTCATAAGGTTAATCTTCTGAGCCAACTCATCTTCTACACTCACTACGCTAGACTTGAAGAGGATGGATATCACAAGTAAGATTTTAATACGCTGTCATAGTGTTTTTCAAAACTGCTGACTGTAAATACGTGTCCTCTGAATTTATATTAGGCAATTATCCATGGAAGTCAAATATCCTCAAGTAACTGGGTAAAATTGCCTTTTGATTAAGCATTTTCTAAAAAAGGCAGAACAGCAGCAGTCTAAATAATTTTTAAATTATAATTATATTCTGTACCTTGATTTTTTTCATTGCATTACTATTAAATGGCTCTTTTTTCTGACATAGGTTTAAAGCATTAGTATTTTGAACCTCACTCTTTGAGCAAGAGGATCTGGATTTAAGTCGCAAGCCTCCAGCACCAATTGCTGTTAAATTATTGAAAAGACACAAATCTATATATTTTTTATACCTTTTATATGTTAAACACTGTCCTCCGTCATTGTCATGTCCTATTTTATTTTTATAGTTTATTATACATTTATTATAATTTTTTACAATTAGACAAAGGTACATGGGTAGGTAATTGGCAAAACTAGTATTCAAACTCATAGATTTAATCACCAAAATGTACATCTATCTCTTCTCTTTCTGCTTTTCCTTCTTTTATTTGCCCCTCATTACCACTAAGTGTGTCTTTTGGCCACCTCTTCAGCACCTGTGCTAGAAGCAGGGCTATCAAACACATTTCTTCAAAAAATAAACTCACAGACCAGGTAAAAGATTGCGCTGAACTTCACTCTCAATATTTTATGGAAAACAAAATTTGTTGTTAGGTTTACTGGTGTTGGATTCTAGCCAAGTGAATTTATATATATAAAATAGCATTTTGAAACTGAAGAACAGATCTCTCTTACCCATAAAACTGTCCCTAAAATTTGCTGCCTAATTTATCAAGTAAAATATAGCACCCACAGTTAAATTTGAATACTTATACTGAAAAAGAATTAGTTACTGTTAATCTGAAATTTAAATTAAACTGAGCATCCTGTATTTTACCTGACACCTTAGGGAAAACAATCTTTCACAAGACTCAAGCGGTCATGACTGCATATTTTAAAGAGAAAAAAAAGTAGTCAATTATGACCTTTTATCATCAATCAGTACAAAACACTATGCTGTTTTCATATATCAGAAGCTGCATAAGAACTGAGATAGTCGAGAACTTGATGACATTTTACATGCCAAAGAGACATGTGGACACTGTCAAGTACCACAAGGATACTGGCACTGAAAATGCCACTCTGCGTGTTACATGTCGGTTACATGACCAACTACATTACTAACCCAAATGTATTCAGTCCCCCAAAAGACTTCACACAGCAAGTAACAGAAGAACCCATACCTGAAAGTTTAGGTCAGCATTTTGTGAACTCATGATCAGTGTAGTACCAGGTCTCTACATTGTAAAATCTGTTTTACATATTTCAAAACATTTAAATTTTTTTAAATAAGCACTTTCTTGAATTAAATGTACACTTTCCCATTTTGATTCACATATGATCTTTATTATTTGGTTTCATCATTCAGAGCAATGACTGAGTAGCCAGACCAGCCCCCTTTTTCTTCCGGATCCTTTGAAGAACTTTCCAGTGTTTTTCCTTGCAGTAGGTTTATTTTTACTGATTGCAAATTTCTAGTGTCACTTGCCAGTTCAAAAACTTTCTGCCTCTGTGTAATCTGCTGCCCAATTCTTTCCCTATCCCCCAGAAGTTTTATCCTGAGGCAGGAATAATTTATTCTTCAGTGCTTATTCAAGAAGATTTTCCATGTCCATGCCAAAAAGCAAGTCCTTGCCAAATGGAATTCCTGTGTGGAGTTCTTTCAAAATCATGTCTTCCAACCAGAGGTGCAGCCAAAGAACTATCTGGGCAGCCACATTAGCTGTCATACTTTTCAAAATCACTGGCAGGCAGCCGATAGCACAGTCTGCCAAAACCTCTACTTCCATTTTAACCAGAGCACAGGTCTTCAAGGACGTTCTCTCAACTCTCATAGCCACTTAGAAATGGCTCCAGCGCCTCTGCCAGTTTCCTGCCTGAATGCAAGTTCCTGCTGCTTTGAAAGTTTGCTAAAGGGAAACATCTGCTTCTCTATGGGCTTAGTTCAGTTTCCATTAAGGCAGTGAGCTTTTTTCACCTTTAATGAAATGTTAGCAATTTCAGCATCCATGTTTTTAGCAGTTTCCTATATTTCAACCTTTAAATATAAATATGCTTTTATTTTATGGAGTTTCTTGGAAGCATTGAAGATTGATCTTTCGAGGCTCATATCACATCAGTATGATGTTAATTAAAATCTAATTTACTGTGTATTTTTTCTGTTGTCTAGTTTCTCCTCCTCCCCGATCCCTATTAGCCTTATATCATAGATATTGTTTTACATTATTATAAGTGGAGATGCTTGATTAACCCATATGTGCATTAATCATTATTTATCTTAATGAATTACTTACTCTATAGTTTATTTCTGAATGATTCAACCATTGGCATAACTATCTGGTCCTTTGCTTTCTCATCTAAAACAAGAAACCTCTGAGTCTGCTAAATGACCTTTGATACTTCTTCTAGTTCTAAAACTCAAAGTCCAGTTGGAGATCTTAAATTTTTCTTCTCAATAATATTGCAGAAATATTTTCTTTACAATCTGTTTAACAGGCATTTACTTTATAAAGCATTAAGTCCACAAACAACAATAAGGGAGTACCAAGGAAGATAATTAGAATTGAAAGGATAGACTTCAGAAACTAGTTATGTTTTGTTGTTGGCATTTAATGCCTTTTGTGGCCAGGCACAGTGGCTCACACCTGTAACCCTAGCACTTTGGGAGGCTGAGGCAAGCAGATCCCTTGGGCTCAGGAGTTTAAGACCAGCCTGGGCAACATGGTGAAACTCATTCTTTACAATAAATACAAAAATTATCCAGGCATGATGGCACAGGCCTGTAGTCCAAGGTACTCAGGAGGCTGAGGTGGAAAGATCTCTTGAGCCTGGGAAGTCGAGGCTGCAGTGAGATCACGCCACTGCACTACTGTCTAGGTGACAGAGTAAGACCCTACCTCAAAAATAAGTAAATAAATAGAGAATTGCCTTTAAAAAATTATTAAACTTGTTATTAACTGGTTATGTTGAAAAAAGCTATGTGTTAGGTCAGTCATAGCTAAGTTAAATTCTCTGTCATGTCAACTACTTCCTCATGATATGGCTATAATTTTCAAAAGTACATTTATATTACTGTTCTCTCTATGGACATTTCTACTGAACTGCTTCACAGGCATCCAACTTTAACTTAATATCTTAAAATATGTACTAAACCTCACTCGTCATTTTCTTTCTTTTTTTAAAATTTTTTTGAGAAAGTGTCTCACTCTGTCACCCAGAATGGAGTGCAGTGGTGCAATCTCGGCTCATCACAGCCTCAACCTCCCAGGCTCAAGCCATCCTCTCACGTCAGCCTCCCAAGTAGCTGGGGCTTCAGGTGTACCAACCACGCCTGGCTAATTTTTGTAATTTTTGTAGAGATGGATTTTTGCCATGTTGGTCAGGCTGGTCTGGAACTCCTGGGCTCAAGTGTTCTGCCGTCTGGACCTCCCAAGGTGCTGGGATTAAAGGCCTGAGTCACTCCACCAGGCCTCACTCATCATTTTTTTTTTTTTTTCTCCAATTCTTTCTATTTTCTTTGCTGTCACTGGAAATGGTACTGCCATCCTCTAAGATGAAAATGCTAGAAATCTCTATATCATCCTTGACTTCTCTTTTTCTTTTACCTCCAGCATCCAAATAGTAGCCACATTTTATTAATTCTACTTTTTAAATATCTCATCAATCTGCCTTTTCCTTCTATTCTATTACTTCTTTGATCTGTAACTTGATGATCTCAGTGCTAACTTTTAAACTGCTCCTTCAGCCTCAGCCCTGGTCCTTGTCTAATCCAGTATCCAATCAGGAGCCAGAATGTTGGTTCTGTAACATAAACATTACAATGACACAGCTTCACTTTAAATTTTTACTTTATTTATTTTTTAATTATTGTAGCAATGGGGTCTCTCTTTGTTGCCTAGGCTGGCCTCAAACTCCTCGCCTCAAGTGATCCTCCCGCCTCAGTCTCCGGACAAGCTGGGATTGCAGGCCTGAGCCACTGCATCTAGCTTGCTGTAAATTTTTAAATTCAAAGTTCTTAATGTAATGTAAAATAATTTTGTAGTCTGACCCCTATTTATCTTTTCAACCTCATAAATTGCCCCTCTAACTTCTTTGTGCCCAATATGTTAACTACTTAGGTCTGGGGTCTTTCTTCTTGTGGTTTTTCCATATACTGTTTCCTGGAATACATTCATTCCACATTATGAACCTGTTCACACTCATACTTTCTTCTCTGCATCTTGTTTTGTGCCCCAAGGAGGCTGATTTTGAGAGCTAGATCTACGGCTCTCTTTTCACCTTCTAATAGAGTTCCCTTAACAGAGAGCCCGAACAAAGGGTTGGAAGAGGGAGAGTGACATCTAAATATGTATTATTTGGACTCCTTCTCCACCGTGTTTCCATAGCTTGGGTGCCTCCCTTGACGTTTCTTGAACTAAGGTCATGGTTCCCTTAGAGCAGCCCTCTCGACGCAGCCTCTCTATCTCCAGGCTCCGGTAACCCCTCCCTCCCCTGTTATTTTCAAGCCCGGCACAGTATCCTGTGACCTTTCTTGTTGTGTCCTTATACCTTACTCAGGTCTTTGAAATTGTCTCCTGATTAAACTTGCTTCAAATTACCTAAATTTAATGTTCTATTCCTTTCCTTTAGGAACCTGACTGGGATCCTGAAAGAGGTATCTGGACACAATAGTCTGGAGCTCAGAGGAAAGCTTGTAAATAAGGGGGAAGGGGGAGGGATAGCATTAGGAGATATACCTAATGCTACATGACGAGTTAAAGGGTGCAGCACACCAACATGGCACATGTATACATATGTAACAAACCTGCACATTGTGCACATGTACCCTAGAACTTAAAGTATAATAATAATAAAATTAAAAAAATAAAAAATATACATATACATTTTGGACTCATTTATAGTATTAAAAAGTGCAAGTGGATTTAATGTCACAAGGTTGAGTAAGATTTCCTTGGGAGAAAAGCGTAGATAAAAAGAAGACCTGCCTAGGGCTAAGCATTGAATCACTCCAGTGCTAGGGGATTTAACAGAGTATTGTTAGGGTGGCAGGGATAGAGGCTGGAAGAGTAAGGAGAGCCGAAGGAGAGACTGAGAAGAAGTGAAGAAGGTGAAAATCCAGGCAAGAAAACAAAAGACTACCATCTCAACAATATATTAAAAAGCAAAACCAACAACAATCAACAAAACTTTGAAGTTATTGTTTTTTCCAGTATGTCAAATCCAAGACCATATTTTCAGGACAGGTTATCCATTATATTACCTGGGCGTCTATTTTGCTACAAAAAAATTGTGCCAAAATGATACTTCCAAGCATTTGGAATAGATTGCAGCTATAAGCTATAATGAGGTATATAGAAAAAACATATTTCCTTTCTGCGGCCAACAGTAGGACTAATGGGCTTTTCTCTGTTATAACTATCACTAAAACAACCACCAAAAATAAAGATTCAGTGAATCCTTCATTTATGATTTATTGGAAAGCAGACACCAATGAAGAACTAACAGACCAATTAGAGAACAAACTAGACAAATAATTAAAAGATATTTGGAAAATTATGATTAGGACAGTGAAGGATGTAAAAATAATATGACAACTAATTAACAGGAAAAAAAAGATAGCACTTATAACACCACTTGCATTCTTAGAAAGTAGATGCTGTTTATGACAGGCCATTTTTTGTTTGATTGTTTTCTGCTAAGCTGTTTGATGGATTGGGGAGTTGGGTTCTGAGAGAAGTGCTGAGATAAAGAGATGAAAGTGGCAAAAAAAAGTGAGGTCCATGATGTCAGAAGGCTTTGCTCTAGTTGGGGTAACCTGTCTTTGACACAAAAATCTTTAATAAACCAGACAGAATGCATAAAATGCTTGGTATGAGTAGACCTTGCTTTGCTATATGCTTATATCCAATGAAAGAAATGTATTTTATATCCAGAGTAAAATGAAGACTTTTAATGACAATTCAGGTGTTGGAAACAATGAGAACCATGAAGGTGTAAGCCACTAAGAATTCTTAAAGGTCATAGGATTTGATTTTAAATTTCACAAGCAATGGTATTGGCAAGTCAGGATCAGTGCTTCAGTCAAGTTTGTCTAGATTTCCTAGTGACAAGTAAACCCTAGCAGATAACAGGGTTATATAAAAACTAAGTGAAAGTTCTCGGCATGTTGAAAATGTTGGGAAGGGATAACAGCTTTCAATAAATATTAAAATGATTTGTAGGTGCAATTTAGTTAACTCAACAGATCTGTGTTGAACATTCTGACAGGCAGAGTGTAGTGGTGGAAAATGTGAATGCTTAGGTCGAACTCCCACTTTCAGCACCCTCTAGCTTCATAATTTAAGGCACTTAAAAAATCTGCTCTATTTCAGTATTTTTATTTTCAAGGTGAAGAGAATAATATATACTTTCTAAAACTGATAAAAAGATTTAAAATTATTTTATATGAAACACCTAAATTAGTGCTAAGTTAGTGTTGGTTTCATAGCAAATCCATAATAAATATTAGCTATTAGTAATGGTGATTAAAGTTAATTTAAATAGTCCTTTTGTTATATAACCTAGATTTTATTAGAAAATAATGTAACTAAAAACAGTGCTTTCTAAGGAGTTCAAACTACTGATGTGATTTCAATAAATGAAAGTTGTAAGAACTCAGATAATATCTTCATATAAAGGTGTCTACCAGAATCAGAATTTTCCCAAAATTGGGAAATCATATGCTTCATCTTGGTTAATATTTTGTGGAGGAGCAGTGGTTCTCACCATGACTGTAAATTAAAATGATCTGGGGATGTTTTAAAAGTACACCTACTAAATAAGATAATCTGCAGATGGTATCTATGTTTGTTTATGGTAATTTGCAACCAAGATTGAGAAACCTGCTGAGTTAATTTCTGCACTGGGTGTAGGTTTGGACCAGCTTTGAATTAGTCATCTCATGATAGGATGATCTGATTCTGCTATTACTGGACACATTGGTGTAATTGGTATATACCAATTGGTGCATGGTATAATATTTTTTCAAACTTTTTACCTTGCTCTTCAACTCCATTCTTTATATGGATGTTAGAGTAATTCCAGAATTATCCTTTGCTTGAAGAGATATAGAACTATGGCAAAAATGTGTTGCTTTAACGTTAGATTTTCAGCTATATCCACTTAAAACCAAGAACTTAAAAAGTTGATTTATTAGTCTCTTGACTGTAAATGGGTTTTGTAGGACATGATGTTTTCCTGACATAATTATTTCTAGAATGAGTTCCTCCAATTTATTTTTAAATTAAGAAATTTAGAACCATGGCATTCAGAGTATATACCCTGATTATTGAAATGTGCTATATGAATTGCCTAAGATCTAATCAGCACATTGTTGATAAATATTTCATACATATTTTAAATTTCCATATTTTTACTGCATTTCAGTATCACAAATTGTATTTTTCATTCAATGACTGGCCTATCAACCTAATACATATTTGTAAATCTTAATTCAAACTCAATGAGTATGGATCCATACAAGCTTAAACTGCAATTTCGCACAACTGTAGTTTTAAATTACAAATCATGAATGCATTTAATGTGCTCTGCTGTCTGGAAAGTGGTTTAGAGAGCTACATGTATAAAAGGTGGCACAAAACACTCTAGGGCAAGGAGAAAATTTGCTATCCTTTTGCTATTAATGATTACTCTTAATTCCACCTTCCTGTATTTCCCATAGTTACCTAATTTTCCCTTAAGAATATACTTTTTTTCATCTTTTCATATTTATGTTTCAAATCATAGAATTTTATGAACATTCTAAATGTGTGCAGCTTTTAGGGAGCTTGGCCTCTTACAAAGGCAGATACAGAATCACATCATTTAAATTTAGTACTGTTTTGGGAATGGCATTGTGTAGAGTTTATCAGCGCATTCATCAGGATAGAAGATGGCTCATGTATTTCCTGCGGGGTAGACATTGTTTATTCCAGAAGGACCACTCAGTATGTGAAAGTCATTTTCCCTAGTGACCGAATAGTTTCTCCACATTTGACTCCTTTTTATCCCCAGTACCAATTCTCTAAAATTATCTGGCTCTCCTTTTTCATTCATAGTAGAATTACCTTACTAAACCACATATTGTATATAGCATCCCCTCTTCAAAAATCAGCAAAGGCTCCCCACTGCTGACAGAAAATTAAATGACTCCCTGAAATGCCGTCCAAAGTCTTGCATGCTCTCCCTTTGAATTACAGTCTCTTCTCATTCACAGCATTCCTCTTCACACTCTTCTCCGCACATTTCTTCCAGGTGTGTGCCCAGCTCTATGATTTCGCTCATGATTTGCCATCATTCTCAAGTGTACTTTGTTTCCCTCTCTACTATTTTATTAAAGCCTCTGTCAGATACTCCTATTTGGAAATAAAAACTTCCTCCATCCCGCCTGTCAGAGATTTCCTTCTTTCTCTTCACAATCACATGTTACGTATGCAGCTCCATTTGACTGAACTAATTTTATTTCCTTGTCCCCAGTACATTTTGAAGGTTTTGAGGACATGGATGCTGTCTTGTTAGTCTTTGTATTTGTAGGAACTTGCACAATGCTTTGTTTAAAAAGTGATGTTTAAATATGTGAACTGAGAAAAAATAAAATGAGTAAGAGATTATTCCCCATTTTGGCCTTTAAAAATGCTAGAGTTTGTTTGAAACTGATATGCTAAATGAAAGCCTACTAATATGTCATCAGCAAGTATTTGTAAGCAAATGAACATGTTTTTCTGAGTGAATGGTCTATAATTCTGCAGATCATTGCATAATTTGTGGTTTTTCAAAAGCTTGATTATCTCAGATTTTTATATCCTTACAAAGAAATAGAAAGACAATTGAATTGTCTTTAATATAGTACTTTTTGAAAATGGTGCTTGAAATATTTTCAAGCTTAAATGTTTTTCTTGCATATAATTATTTTGATCAAATAAATATAGTATTTAATTATTATAGGCCGAGATCATTTTGTCAGTTTTAACAGAAAACCTTGTAAAACAGTAGAAGAAAATGCATGTTTAATCTTTTTCTTTATATTATCAGATATAAACAGACAAATATTAGAGACTTGATTTTACTCTACTTATAAAGAAAATGTTATATCTCTATTCTCCAAATATCATAGAATATTGAAGTAGCAAAGAATAAGAATCCAGAGAAGTAAATAAACTTTCTACAACAAACAAGAGAATTTCCTGTTATAATAGCTATGTGATTATTTGATTTGTAACCCAGATATTTGAATTTTTATCCTATTACTAGTGAATAGTTTCAAATCACAAACATAATTTAGTGTTTTAGTGTTGTTGTTTATTTCTAATATGAACTGGTAGAAAGGCATTAATCTTTTATGAGTACCTACTACGTACCAGGTTCTCTGCCAGGAAAATTATAAATGCTACGCTATCAAAATTGATATTGTGTTAGATTTATAGGTAAGAGAATAACAAATATAATTTCCTCTTTTCGATCTGTGAAATATTTTTAGAGCCCATTGTGTACTCTATTTCCTAAAAGCAGCCCCAAAACTCCATTAAATAAAAATGGCTGATGTATACAGACAGAAGGCAAAGTATTAGCGAAAAAAATACAAAAAGAAGTGAAAAATGGAAAAGTGGTAAGTTTATGGAAAATATGATTAAGAGACAGAATATATCTTTTTTTTCTCCTATCTTTAGTGTGATCATCTCAGAAAAGCAGATAAAAAGATTTATAAATGGCAAATGTATACGGACTGACTATTTGAGATTTTGATGTAGTCTTACAGCTGACTGAACTCTAATGAGTTATATTTCATAAAAACCTATGTGGTTCTTAAGGTACAACAATATGATGAGGCCCGGTGATAAGAAAACTGTGGCAATGGCCTACTTTAAGGAAATAAATTGTACCCCTGAGGGACTCTTTTGTATTTAATAAGTTACAGAATTTCTACAGATTATGGATAATTATTTAACTGGACCCTAAACCAGACTTGTCAAATGCAATGTTTTTATGGGAAAATTGCTCTCTGAAAATACCCCAGACATAACATTATCATTTAAATGGATGGATTGATATATACACACACTAAAACACAACTTAAGAAATGGGAAATATAAATACTGACTGAAGCAAATAGTCCAAGCTGCTATATGGTAATCAAAATAAAATAACATTAAATTTGACAAAAATATTATTTAAATGTGTATTTTCTGGTACAGGCGAATGCTGAGTTTTTATTTATTTTTAGCCCTACCTTATCTATATATGTCTACCTATATTTTGTATCTATTTATAGCATGGTTGACAATAATATGAAATAAAAAAAACTTTAGCATAGTACAATAAAACAAAGTTAACATTTGTTTCACAATAAAAGTATTGCTAAATTGCCATAAGATTATGTACCTTACCAAGACATACCCAACATAGGGGTCCAAAAAATTAAGGTTAGATTCTTAGTCTCATTAACAAGAAATCAACTTAGAGTTCTTGCTTTCAAATAATGGAATCAATCTAGCTGTTTTAGCTGTTTTAAACTAAAAGTCACTTTGGGAGCTAATCTCACAAAACTGAAATAAGCAAGAACAAAAGGCAATGCCTCAGTAGTTCCTACTTGGTAGGTAATCTGGCCAAAGGCTGCCATGTTGCCAGGTACCTTACATTTCCTTTATAAGCCTATTCCTTAGCCATTGGAGGATGAGAACAGGGAAGATTTGCTCTTTCTACTTCCACTTTGGGAGGCAGGCAACTGCTTTCACAAAACCAGGCACAATGAGGACTTATCAAAGTAGAAATTAGGTTGTGAATGTCAGCTAAAAGGGCCTTTGGAAACATGAATATGGTTGAGATGATATAAATAAAACTATAGCACTTAAGAGCAAAGGGATCCATGAAGGAGAAACAACCATTATGTGTAAAAGAGAATTCACATTTTAACAAAAATAGAGAGTACTTGCAAAGGGGAATTTTCAGTGTGGAGGTCAGGGAGAAGATGCTGCTAAGTTAATCAAGTGGAGACTGATGTAAAGCATATTTGAGCTGGCACATACTTGTGTAAAAGCTGAAAGCATGAATTGTGACAGTAAAAGTTAGGTGAACAGAAAATCAAAGGTATTATTTGTATGAGTACATTTGCTCTCTGATAATGAGTAGACAAGAAGTAAGTGAAGAAGAGACAGTGGCATAGAGTGTCCATTCTTATTGTTTTCATTTTAAATGACAAACTGTGTTGGTACACTGACAATTTTGAATGCCATCATATCCTTTCAAGAATTGCGTGGAGAATGATTTGTACTATCATTGACAATATGGAAGTATGTTGATTCTTGAGGTTTTAATTTTGAAGGAGACTCTAACCTCCCTCAGCCTTTATTTCTCAATGCTTCTAAAATGCTTTGTTAATGTCTATTATAAACCCCTTAGTTATTTTAGAGTTATTAATGTACCTCTTCACTAATCTGTAAATTCCCTGAGGGTGAAGAGATAACCTTACACAATTTGATATCACAGCATCTAGAACAGTGCCTAGGCTTTGGAAGAATGTACAATATATGTTAGGTTAATTAATAAGCACATTCATGGAAAGTTGGGAAGAGAATGTTCTCTAAGTCCACATTTTTACCAATTTCTTGTCTTAAAAGTTTGACACATTTTAACTGACATAATAAAGTTTACTAATAGGGAAGATTAAAAAAAACCTGGAGCTATTTTTCTTTCATTGATTAATCCTCTTAATTTAATTCAAAAAGCAATTACTGTGTCTGTTGTATGCCAGGCACTGTGTATGCCAAGTACTAGAAATACACAGATTGATAAGACCTATTCCTTCCCTTAAGGAGACTACAGTCTAATCTCAATGCATCATTATTGGATTCCTGAGCTCCAACCGAGATGTAGTGAAGCTGAATTTCTAAGGACACAGCCTGGGAATCTGATTTAAACAAGCCTCATGTGATTCTTCAGTGTACGAAAACTTGAGAGTCAGAGTCTTGGTAGAAAGCAGAGGTGATTTTATATATATATATATAAAACTATCAGTAATCTTCCAGAAAAATGGTATGAGGAATGTCATTAGACAAGAGAGCTTAAAAGGTGCATCCAGGGATTTTGATGGATATTCTTAAATTAACAGAAATATTGAAAATGGTGTGTAATATTTAAAGTCAGGTGACCAAACTCGAGCTGGTTTCTTTAGAATTTTACTAAATATAATCTAAAATAAAAATTTAAAAACAAAATACGGACGTAGGGTTATATATGTAAGATTATATATATATAAATGGATATGTATGTGTATTTGTATATATATGTATGTGTGTATGTGTATATGTATATGTATTTATATATGTTTGTGTGTGTGTACATATATATACACATGGCTGGATTAATCATGGAAAAACAACCAAAAAAACCTTTTATTTTTTATTTTATTGTTTGTCTTTTGTGTTTTTTTGAGATGGAGTCTCGATCTTGTCGCCCAGGCTGGAGTACAATGGCATGATCTCGGCTCACTGTAACCTCTGCTTCCCGGGTTCAAGAGATTCTCCTGCCTCAGCTTACCGAGTAGCTGGGATTACAGGCACCCGCCGCAATACCCAGCCACTTTTTTTCTTTTTTTTTTGTATTTTTGGTAGAGACAGGGTTTCACCATGTTGGCCAGGCTGGTCTCTAACTCCTGACCCCAGGTGATCCGCCTACTTCAGCCTCCCAAAGTGCTGGGATTACAGGCATGAGCCACCGCACCCAGCCAAGAAAACCTTTTATAACTTTCCCCATGTCATCTTATATTTGGATAATTCATCACAAATGCCATAATTTGCAATATTTATTCAGAAAATCTCCTGTACTAACATAAGAAAGGTGACACAGATCTCTGTCATGAGGAATTGTCAGCAGGTGAGTTACATGCAGCAAAATCTGTCTTTTACTTCTGTGTCAGAGAGAAAAGCAGATTGTTACTAAATCAATTGTATGATTTCAAACAAGAAGGAAAAAAGCAAAGTCTTCATAACGGTAGAGTAATCTATGATTAAAACACACTTATGTGAAACAGCAGGTTGACGTCCAGAATATTATTGGATATTGGCAATTTCTGTAAACAGAAGCAATTGTACAGCTTTGAAAGAATTTACCAGATAATGTCTGATTGTGAATGTAAGATAGATATGAATCTTATTATTTCTGTTCTCCATATGTTAAGTGTCTTTTATGATAAGAAAGAAGTGGCTTTTATTATTATAATCTACTGCTATTTTCAGAATAATTGTCTGCTTTTCAAAATATCGACCAAAAACTGTATTGTTAAGCATATATAAATGTCATATTGAAATGGGGGAGTTCCTTGATATTCCCCTCGCAGGACATGTAACAGGGGTGTAGTTTGCCAGTTTGGTCGCCCTGCTGCTCAAACCTTTTGCGGGACGGGGAGCATGCAGACAGATGGGTACAGAGGGTGGGATGAGTTCTTTGGGCTCTGGCCCTTTGGTAGTGTCTAGGTGTGGTTGCCTTCAACCCCAGTGTTACAAAACTCTTTCAGCTTTGCTGCCTGCAGATGGCTTGAGTGTTAACCAGCTCAATGGACCCTCTGCCTTTTCCAAAGGGCAGAAGGCCAGTGTGACAGCTTTCTGTATCCCAAGCTCTTGTCCAGCATCCTGGAAAAATTGGGGCACACATGGACTCGAAGGATGAATGCGAGGTTTTATTGAGTGGTGGAGGTGGCTTTCAGAGGGATGGATGAGGAGCTGCAAAGGGGGAATGGAGTGGGAAGGCGATCCTCCCTCAGAGTCGGGCTGCCCAGCGGCCAGACTCCTCTCCAACTGCCCCTAGCTGAACTCCTCTCTGCATTCAGATGTTCTTCCTCATCTCCCTTTCTCTGCTGTGTTGTTCTGTGTTTTCTGCTGTTCTGCTGGCTTGCTGGTCTGTTTCTGAAGCTTGGGATTCAGAGTTTATATGGGTGCAAGATAGGGGGTGTGGCAGGCCAAAAGACAGCATTTGGGTGTGAAAACAGGAATGCCTGTTCTCATTTAGGACTGCAGGTATCCGGACTTGAGGGTGAGGCCTTTGCCAGGGAACTGCCCTCTTCTACACAGTGTTTCCTTGTCTCCTGTCGGTATCAGTATGTATTTGTTTTATATAGGATATGTCCAAAGATATGATTCTGTGGAAAAATCATAAGTAAAAAAAAAGACATGGGGTTAAGTGTGAACCTGAAACATCTGTTTTCAAATAAACTAGACCTTCTCTGTTACCACATAAATGTTCTGCTAATAAGGAGGGTAGTAGAATGAGCAAAGGATGGGGCACAGATTAGGGTAAGAAGGATAGGCAGTAAAGGAATACCAAGAAATAGACAAGATGGAGATATATGAATAAATGTCTTATGAATTCTCTTTAGAGGAAGATTTGAAACCTAATACAAAAATTTAGGGTATTTTTATCTATGTTATCTATAATGGTAGGTAAAGTACATTTTTATCAATTATTACATATTTTGAAATTTATTATTAATATTAAGGCTTTATTATATATGTGCCCTAATTACTTATGCTTTCTTTATAAAATCCAAATTAAAAATATTTTAAATATAACATTAAATAGACATCAAAATCAAGGAGACTTCAAATCAGTACTTCAGTGAATATGCTTTTGCTCAGAGTTGGGGGTTCTTTACAAAATCCTGCCAAAAGGCATACCATCCTGACAAAGACATTGTAAACTACATAGTGCCAAATAAATGTAAAGGATTTCTGTAGATAAGCATGGAAAAACATTCTCTTTATACAAGGCTATTATTTTATTTTGTATTTAATTGGCTTACATCTTGCCCAGTGAAAGGTGGTTTAAGAGCCAACAAATGGGTTTAAAAAGGTAATCTCAGAAAGAAAGCCAGAGTTTGTAAACTAAGGTAACTATTCTGAATAAACAAATTGTGTCATGCATTCAGCTATGTGAACGTCTAGACGTTTCAGAGAAAACTGAGAAATAGTCTCCTCTCTTGGCTCTTTCTCTAATACTTAACAATTGATGGTTTATTTCATAAAGTTAATGTCTATGTAGGGATAATTTATTCAAATATCAAGTGCTTAAAAGGACTACATGTCGAAGTATTCCATATCCTATATTGTAGTCTCATTGCATTGTTTATAGGGATTGATAAGGAAACCATTGGGGCACTATCAGTGATTAAAAAATGATGAAGAAACATCTAAGTCATCTGCTAACATTACTTTCCAATACAAGAGAGATAATTTTAACATAACAGTTTTATGATATATTCCCTAAGAGATATAGGCTTATTTTAAAATACACCTTTTAGACACAAATATAAGATGGGAGATATTTTTAGTCATGCAGGACTTTATGTGGATCATCAATTGGAGCAAAAAGAAGCAAAGGAAAAACAGAAGTTAAGCCATGGACTTAGCAAATCCACCTGGTGGACAAACTTTTCATTTTCTGCTTCACCATCCTGCAAGCTCACATTCTGTCAGCACATGTGTGATGCTAGAGCTTGTCTCAATGCGTTTGCACTTCCCTGCACCTGTGGATCACCATCAGGCCAATCGCAAAAATGCCTTCCCTACAGCTTTACTTGAAGACGTTGCAATTTATTCAGGCCTAATGAGGTAAAAGAGAAAAGCCTCTGGGACCATCTGCTCCTGCTCCTAAAAACTGGACATTTTCTTTTTTTATCTCAACAATTACCTTCTTCTGTTATTAATATACAATAAAATGTGAAACTTAGGACTCATGGGTGCCCTTAGTTAGCCAAAATAATGATAGTTCCATGGACAAGGTGAATAATGGCTAAGTTGGTTGAAGATATGCTGCTTTTCAATCACAGTGATTGTCACTCTGTTTCTGTAATACCTAGATGCAGGAATAAAAATTCTTCTCAGTAGGTGCTAAGTAGAATGCTTCAGTTACAAGGTGGCTGAATATGTTTCATCATTATGCAAGAGAATGGAATTTGAGTAAAAGAACATTGAGATTATAGTCAAGATACTATGATGCTAGAATAGTGAAAAAGGTCATGAGAGACTGATCGACAATTTAAGCCTCAGACAAAATACATCCTGTTAATACCAAGGTTATTTCTCTAAATAATCACTACAAATAATACACTGTGATACTCTGTTGTCTCTGAGAGAGGATTAAAAGTTTAGATCCATATTGTCTTACCAAGGAGATTTACAAACATCAAAAAGAGTGCCAAAATATTATTCACTGGATCTTGGAAAGATTAATTTTACAAAACTTTCTCAGTTGCAGAATTCACTGTTAACAGATCTTTGCCTATGGGAAGTAAAAGCTACAGTTACACCATAGTAAATTAGGAGTCAAACCAAAATGATACATGGGGCATTTCTTTTACCATAATATTGAAAGCACATACAGAAGATGTCATAATTGATCTGAGAAATTATTGTGTGCATGTGGCAGAGAATAGTTTATAATGACTCAGCTAATTAATCTTAGAATTACATGTTACATGTTTATACTAAAAATATAGATATCCATTTACTATGTATATGTACACATATAGCATATAATATAATATAACATATAAGTACTTTCACATTTATGTATTGTGTGCATATGTGTGTATGTGTGTATCAATACACAGAAAAGCATTCCTAGTTACAATACATATGGGAAATCTTTGTCCATGGTTCAACTGCAGTTTTTCTGTGATGCCCTTCTTTTCAACCTCTTTTATTCACCCTACCCGGATGACTGTTCACTTTTTTTCTTGGCAGTCTCGTCACTGCCAGTTCATGCTTTTAAGTGACAGCAAAAACAGAACTCAAGTGTGTTTATGTATTTTCTTACATGCATGCCTTTCCTTATTAGACTGCAAACATCTCCAGAGCACAAATCATATTCATTCATCCTTGTGACAGAGTGTTTAATGCTTTCAAAGTGCTCAACAATTATTTGTAATTAATTGCCATACTTATTGAATATTTAATAAGCACCTACTAAGTACCAGATACAGTGTGAAGCACTGGGGCTACACTGCTGGGCAAAATAAACATGACTTAGGTGCTACTAAAAAGTATAGAAATTTATGAAAGCAAAATACTTGACTCTGATGGTCATTCAGGTAAGTCTTTCCTGAGGAAGTAGGTTTGGAGTTGAAAATGAATTTTATGTAAAATTTAATTAGGTAAAAAGTGAAAAAGCATGCCTAAGGCTTTTGGTTGGAAAGAAGCATGGCTTCCTTGAGGAATTTTAACTTCAACAGACTTAAGGGCATTTTTTTAATCCATCCAATTAAATGAGCATTACAGTAGATTTACTCCACATAAAGCCTCTATCCATTGCTTTGCACTACTGAAAATCTGTACTAGTTTTTGCAATGTGTGAACAACTGGTTTTTCTTTCAGTTGTTAGTATAGTGCTGTTTCGACTTTCAAAAGGCACATGTAGGTAGACTATAAGAAGGCTCACTGACATCTAAGAGGCAAGCTGCCTGCTGTTGTCTTTGTGCAGTAGTCAAGATCCAACCTGACTTGTCCAGTTGTCAAGCTCCAACCTGAAATTTTTCTTATAAGTGTTCTAACATGGTTATTCTGCTCAACTTGCAGAGCATCCTTCCTTTTCAGGTCACCACAGAGCAGCTTCTTTGGGGTTCCCCTGTTATTCTTCCTCCACACATGTCCAGCTCAGGACCCCGAGAGGCAACAGGCATTGTTTAATACTGGTGAACTGGCTACAATCCAGAAACTTGTCTTGCCATTTGACCAAAAGAATGGTAAAATATAAGAATCAGATGATACTATTAAAGTGGTAAGATAACCCGAATGAAAAAGTACCTGGCAGAGAGTCGACACTGAAATAAAATGATTAATGTAATTTTTAAATAAAACAATATCTAGTATTATAAAATACAATTGCTCTGTAACTTGCTTTGTAATTTCAAAATGTACTAATAATACATTTAGTATATAGGTCCCTGAATAATCAAAATATATGTTGTAACACCCAGGAATTCACAATCCATAGAAATGTATGCATGTTCATGAAATGAAAGCACTCCACAACAATATCCTGACTGTCCAATCACTGTCTCTTTTTGTTTTGTATGCTTCTAAAAGTTATAACTAGTTATTTGTGTATATCTATCTCTCTTTTTAACATATAAGCACCATAAAGGCTTAGAGCTCTATCCCGGTCCCTACCTAAGTGCTGGAAAATAGTAATAGTAATAGTTGCCTATAATAACTGCCATTGATCAAGTCTTAACTATTTTTCAGGTACTATTCTAAGCAATTTTCATGTATGAGCCCATTATTCCTTAATGCCTTAAAAGTTTGATTTCAGTTCCAATTGAAAGAATAAGAGTGCTCCATGTTGTCTGTTCCACTAAATACAGTTATGAAATCTGGATAAAATTTAAGGAGCAGCTCTTTGAGGACTCTAAAAAGTAAGTAAGAGGCCAGATAAAGAAGACTAAAATTTGCATCACAACTGAATTTGTATTGACTTTACCACATTTTTTCCTCCTCTAGTATCCCCTGGCTTGGACTTAATACAGCTGCAATCCCAGATATGACCATTCATTTGGAGAGAATGTCAGGAGAATCCTAGTTTTCTCCCTATTAAAAGACTTGAATTCCTACTTAAGAGTCTTTCATCTAAATGCCCACAAGAGAAAGCGGGAAAGATCTACAATTGACACCCTAACATCACAATTAAAAGAACTAGAGAAGCAAGAGCAAACAAATTAAAAAGCTAGCAGAAGACAAGAAATAACTGAGATCAGAGCAGAACTGAAGGAGATAGAGACACAAAAAAACCCTTCAAAAAATCAAATAATCCAGAAGCCTGGTTTTTTGAAAAGATCAACAAAATTGATAGACTGCTGACCAGACTAATAAAGAAGAAAAGAGAGAAGAATAAAATAGATGCAATAAAAAATGATAAAGGGGGTATCACTACCAATCCCACAGAAATACAAACTAGCATCAAAGAATACTAAAAACACCTCTACGCAAATAAACTAGAAAACGTAGAAGAAATGGATAAATTCCTGGACACATACACCCTCCCAAGACTAAAGCAGGAAGAAGTGGAATCTCTGAATAGACGAATAACAGGCTCTGAAATTGAGGCAATAATTAATAGCCTATGAACCAAAGAAAGTCCAGGACCAGACAGATTCACAGCCGAATTCTACCAGAGGTACAAGGAGGAACTGTTACCATTCCTTCTGAGACTATTCCAATCCATAGAAAAAAAGGAAACCTCTCTAATTCATTTTATGAGGCCAGCATCATCCTGATACCAAAGCCTGGCAAAGACACTACAAAAAAAAGAGAATTTTAGACCATTGTCCCTGAGGAATATTGATGCAAAAATCCTCAATAAAATACTGGCAAACTGAATCCGGCAGCACATCAAAAAGTTTATCCACCACGATCAAGTCGGCTTCATCTCTGGGATGCAAGGCTGGTTCAACATATGCAAATCAATAAACATAATTCATCACATAAACAGAACCAATGACAAAAACCACATGGTTATCTTAATAGATGCAGAAAAGTCCTTCAACAAAATTAAACAGCCCTTCATGCTAAAAACTCTCAATAAACTAGGTATTCATGGAACATATCTCAAAATAATAAGAGCTATTTATGACAAACCCACAGCCAATATCATACTGAATGGGCAAAAACTGGAAGCATTCCCTTTGAAAACTGGCACAAGACAGGGATGCCCTCTCTCACCACTCCTGTTCAACATAGTATTGGAAGTTCTGGCCAGGGCAATCAGGCAAGAGAAAGACATAAAGGGTGTTCATTTAGGAAAAGAGGAAGTCAAATTGTCCCTGTTTGCAGATGACATAATCGTATATTTAGAAAACCCCATCGTCTCAGCCCAAAATCTCCTTAAGCTGATAAGCAACTTTAGCAAAGTCTCAGGATACAAAATCAATGCACAAAAATCACAAGCATTTCTATACACCAATAACAGACAAACAGAGAGCCAAATCATGAGTCAACTCCCATTCACAATTGCTTCAAAGAGAATAAAATACCTAGGAATCCAACTTACAAGGGATGTGAAGGACCTCTTCAAGGAGAACTACAAACCACTGCTCAATGAAATAAAAGAGGACACAAACAAATGGAAGAACATTCCATGCTCATGGATAGGAAGAATCAATATCATGAAAATGGCTATAGTGCCCAAGGTAATTTATAGATTCAATGCCATCCCCATCAAGCTACCAATGCCTTTCTTCACAGAATTGGAAAAAACTACTTTAAAGTTTATATGGAACCAAAAAAGAGCCCGCATTGCCAAGGCAATCCTAAGCCAAAAGAACAAAGCTAGAGGCATCACGCTACCTGACTTCACACTATACTACAAGGCTACAGTAACCAAAACAGCATGGTACTCGTACCAAAACATGTATATAGACCAATGGAACAGAACAGAGGCCTCAGAAATAATACCACACATCTACAACCATCTGATCTTTGACAAACCTGACAAAAACAAGAAATGGGGAAAGGATTCCCTATTTAATAAATGGTGCTGGGAAAACTGGCTGGCCATAAGTAGAAAGCTGAAATTGGACCCCTTCCTTACACCTTATACAAAAATTAATTCAAGATGAATTAAAGACTTAAATATTAGACTTGAAACCATACAAACCCTAGAAGAAAACCTAGGTAATACCATTCAGGACATAGGCATAGGCAAAGACTTTATGACTAAAACACCAAAAGCAATGGCAACAAAAGCCAAAATTGACAAATGAGATCTAACTAAACTAAAGAGCTTCTGCACAGCAAAAGAAACTACCATCAGAATGAATAGACAAACTACAGAATGGGAGAAAATTTTTGCAATCTACCCATCTGACAAAGGGCTAATATCCAGAATCCACAAAGAACTTAAACAAATCTTCAAGAAAAAAACAAACAACCCCATCAAAAAGTGGGCGAAGGATATGAACAGACACTTCTCAAAAGAAGTCATTTATGTGGCCAACAAACATGAAAAAAAGCTCATCATCACTGGTCATTAGAGAAATGCAAATCAAAGCCACAATGAGATACTATCTCACACCAGTTAGAATGGTGATCACTAAAAAGTCAGGAAACAACATGCTGGAGAGGATGTAGAGAAATAGGAATACTTTTATACTGTTGGTTAAAGTGGAAATTAGTTCAACCATTGTGGAAGACACTGTGGCAATTCCTCAAGGATCTAGAACCAGAAATACCATTTGACCCAGCAACCCCATTATTGGATATATACCCAAAGGATTATAAATTATTCTACTGTAAAGACACATGCACATGTATGTTTATTGCAGCACTGTTCACAATAACAAAGATTTGGAACCAACCCAAATGCCCATCAATGATAGACTGGATAAAGAAAATGTGGCACATATACACCATGGAATATTATGCAGCCATAAAAATGAATGAGTTTTATGTCCTTTGCTGGGACATGGATGAAGCCGGACACCATCATTCTGAGCAAACTATCAGAAGGAAAGAAAACTAAACACCACGTGTTCTTACTCATAGGTGGGAATTGAGCAATGAGAACACTTGGACACAGGGTGGGGAACATCATACACCAGGGCCTGTCATGGGGTGGGGGGCTGAGGGAGGGATAACATTAGGAGAAATACCCAATGTAAATAACTTGTTAATGGGTGCAGCACACCAACATGGCACATGTATACCTATGTAACAAACCTGCATGTTGTGCACATGTACCCTAGAACTTAAAATATAATAATAATAAAGAGTCTTTCAAAAAAGAGGAAATCTTCTGGCCCAATGTTCATTAGTGAATTCTATCAAACATGTTTTTTAAAAAGTAATACCAATTCTACTTATTCTTTTTCAGAAAAATGGAAGAGGAAGCAACACTTCTCAACTTATTATATGAGGCCAGCATTGCCTAGTTATCAAAACCAGATATAGTATAAGAAAAAAATCTATAGACCATTAAAATGCAAATTTTAATAGAGTACTAGAAAATTGAACCTATCAATACAGTTGACCCTTGAGCAACATGGGTTTCAACTACATGGATCCACTTATATTAGGATTTTCTTCTGCATTTGCCACCTTTGAGAACAATCTTTCTCTTGCCACCTCTTTCTCAGTTTACTAAATGTGAAGACGACGAGAATGAAGACCTTTATGATTACCCATTTTAACTTAATTCAGTGAAGCTTTTCTGTAAGATACTGCAATGGTAGCTACATATCATTATACATTTGTCAAAATTGGTAAAATATACAAGACTAAGAATGGTCCCTAAGGAAAACTATGGACTTTGGGTGACAATAATGTGTCAATATAGATTCATGGGTTATAAAAAATACACCACAGTTTTCAGGAATGTTGATAGTGAAGGAGGTTGTATGTGGGAGGGAACAGTGAGTATGTGGGAACTCTCTGTACTTTTCTCTCAATTTTGCTGTGAAACTTAAACAGCTCTAAAAAAAATAAAATTTATTATTTAAAAAAAATCCACCACTAAAAAAAACAAGCAATTCAATTAAAAATAAGCAATAGACTTGAACTGATACTTTACCAAAGAAAACATATGGATAATGATAAATGTTATGAAAAGATGTTCAATGCCATTAGACATTATGTCAGTGAAAATGGAAAGAATGATGAGATATAACTGTATCTATGAGAGTGGCTTATATAAAAGAGGTACTGACAATACCAAATGCCAATGAGAATGCAGAGCAACTATCTCTTACATTGCTGTTAGAAATGCAAAATAGTAGCCTTTCAGGAAAACAGCTTGACAGTTCTAATAAACATGCACATAATATATGACTCATCAAACTTACTTTTAGATATTTACTCTGGAGAAATGAGAACTTATGCTCACAGAAAACCCATGTAAGAACATTCTATTTATAATCACTTGAAAGAACTGAAACATCCTTCAATCAGCTAATGAATAGAAAACAACTGAAGTGTCCTCCAATGAGCTAATGGATAAAAAAGAAATATTTGTGGTACATCAATACAATGGAATAGTACTCACCTATTTTTAGAAGATGAATGATAGAGGCACACAACTTCTATGAAACTCAAAAGTAATATGCCGAGTGAAATAAAGACAATCACAGGCTGGGCATGGTGGCTCACGCCTGTAATCCCAGCACTTTGGGAGGCTGAGGTGGGTGGATCACGAGGTCAGGAGTTGGAGACCATCCTGGCTAACATGGTGAAACCCCGTCTCTACTAAAAAATACAAAAAATTAGCCAGGCATGGTGGCGGACGCCTGTAGTCCCAGCTACTCGGGGGGCTAAGGCAGGAGAATGGCATGAACCCGGGAGGTAGAGCTTGCAGTAAGCGGAGACCTGCCACTGCACTCCAGCCTGGGCAACAGAGCAAGACTCCGTTTCGGAAAAGAAAAAAAAAAAAAGACAATCACAAACATATATGTTTGGTATTATTTCATTTATATAACATCTTCAAAAATACAATAATATAGAGTTAGGAAACAGAGCAGTGGTCATCATGAGATCATTGTAGGGGAAGGCATAAATTCAAAGGGATAACAGAGAGTGTTTGGGGGTTATGGGACTGATCTATATTCTGATTTTCATGATGGTTATACATATGTTAAAATATTAGAACTATACACCAAAAGAAGTGCAACTTACTCTATGTTAATTTTTATTTATTTTATTTTTTTTTTATTATACTTTAAGTTCTAGGGTACATGTGCACAACGTGCAGGTTTGTTACATATGTATACATGTGCCATGTTGGTGTGCTGCACCCGTTAATTCATCATTTACATTAGGTATATCTCCCAGTGCTATCCCTCCCCCCTCCCCCCACCCCACAACAGGCCCCAGTGTGTGATGTTCCCCACCCCGTGTCCAAGTGAGTTCTCATTGTTCAATTCCCACCTATGAGTGAGAACATGAGGTGTTTGGTTTTCTTTCCTTGCAATAGTTTGCTCAGAATGATGGTTTCCAGCTTCATCCATGTCCTTACAAAGGACATTAACTCATCCTTTTTTATGGCTGCATAGTATTCCTTGGTGTATATGTGTTAATTTTTAATTAATTGATTAATTTTCAATTTTATTTTTGAGACAAGGTCTTGCTCTGTTATCCAGGCTGAAGTGTAGTGGCATGATCATGGCTCACTGCAGCCTCGGCCTCCTGGGCTCAAGAGATTCTCCCACCTCTCCCAGCCTCCAGAGTAGCTGAAACTATAGGCATACACCACCATGCCCAGATAATTTTTTTAAATTTTTTTGTAAAGACAGAATCCTACTGTGTTGTCCAGGCTCACATGCTAGTTTAATAAAAAAAAAACAAAATGAAACTCTATGAATTTGATGAAATTATTATTCTCAATTTATTCCTAAGTGAAGTTAAAATGTTTTCCCAAGGTCACCTAACCAGTATGCATTAGGCTCAGTAATCAACCTGAAATAGTCAGATTCCATGAGTTATACTCACGCAGTAGAGAGAAGTTTCATAAATTATTGTTGAATTAGTGCAGCAGGCAACGAAGAAGCAATGAATCAAAAGTCTAATTACTTTGGACTCTGTTGCCAACATGTTCATCTACCTGGCAGGAATTCTCCCAAGGACCTCAGTTAAGTAAGTCAATAGATCCAGGTCAAACAAGACAGATGGCTATTTTTGAAAACACAGATCCCGATACAACAGCAACAATAGTACTAGTAAAGGTAAAGAAAGATTGGAGATAACCCAACTTATTCATTGACTCCCACAGGCACCTGCAACTCCCTTAAGCTCTGCCTCAGGGGGATGTAGGAAGGCCACACCAGAGCTCAAATATGTCAATCTTTCCCAGTCAGTAGTCAATGAAGTAAAGTAAAACTATGAGAACTGCTTACAGACAGTTTTATGAGATAATGTTTTCAAATTATATATATATATTCATACATACACATATGTACAATTATATATGTAAAATGTATACACATATATACACACATAGCCACTATGCTATATGATTTAATCTAAAATAATAAAAAGGAAATATTTTCAAAATAATAATTCTAGAATGATTTAGATTGTTTTTAAAAAGTAACAGAGCATTGACATAATTAGAGTTCAATCACTGTTTAGATGATAGAATTTTAATCTATGAATAGAATAATGAAGAATCCAACCTGGAAGTGTATTAAAATAAAGACTCTAACATCAGAACATCTTTTAATGGATATCACCACAGTTATTGGACAAAGGTGAAAAAAATTATTATTGCAATTTATATAATTTTTAAAACTTTTCATGTAATTCCTGAAGCTAATTTAAGCATTCATAACATTCTTATGCAAAGTGCTCTGTTATATATAAAGGTATTCCCTATAATATGATTAAGAACAACTAAAAATAAAGTATACTTTATACTTTGCTCAAGAAACTATGACCTCCTTTTTCATTTGTTAAATGCACAGTCTCATTTCTCCCTCAAAGTCTTTGCCTTTGTTGTTTCTTCCATTAATCTCTGCTTGATGGTCTTTTTCTACATCCAAGTTTTAGCTCAGATGTCAACAAATGGTGGAAATTTATTATTTCTTTTTGGCTGCCCAATATTTGAACTTCCAATCTGGCCATACCTCATATGGATCTTGACTGGTGACTGGGCTCCACAGCATACAATGGAGGGGAGGGAGAAGCAACACACATTCCTTCTCTTTGTTCCATGAGAACCAGTGTATGAGAACCACACTTAGGTTTCAGCAATCAGAGGCTGTGGCTTTAGGCTTTTGAGTATGAAGAAGTTACACAAAGCTGCAGGAATAGACAGAGACCATCTCTGTCAATGCCAGTGGTGGAGTAGGAATGGAATCAAGCATTCAGTAGTAAAGCTACCAGCAGTGGTCTCCTAAGCCACAGACAATCTTGTGGTGTGACCTGAGCAGTTCCCTGCTTTCTGGTCTTTTTTCGTTTTGACAGTCTCCAATACTGGTTCTTCACAATACCCATTAATGTCGTTAGCTATCCACATACATTTTTTTCTCTAATAAAATTATCTATAGCTGACTGTTATTGCTGGGATTTTAGGATCCTCAAAGATGTGCATCCCTTCAGAGGTGCTGTGTAGGCTCTTTTTCTTCTTTCTCTCTCTCCCCCTTTCCCCGCCCCCTCTGTCTCCCCTTCCCCTCCTCATTTTTCTTTCAGCCTTGTCCTCCTCTAAGGTTAATTCATTTATATAATTGTATATGGTGAGTTTCTCCTCATTTGACTATCAGCAACACAATCTTCTCAATGAACATCAACTCCATTAGAGTGGAGAGCTCAACTGTTCTATTACCAATAATAAACCACCAGCCCCTCTACATGAGAGCCTAGTCCACAGTAAGCTCCAAATAAATATTTACTGAAGAAGAGGATACTACTTGTAAACTATTTTGCAAATACATTTTATATATAAATGGTGAATAAATCATAATAAAATTATATGAAGGGAGGGATAAATGAAAAATATATAAACTTCCTCAATGGGAAGATGAACATTTTTAATTACCATTATATGAATTTATAAATTTAATTCACTTATAATTCAAAAATCAGAAAATTGGGAAATGGCAATTAATAAGAATAAAAATGCAAGAAATTTTTATTTGACCTATTAGAATATACTATTAGTGATAATAATTAAACTATGTGCTCCTTGAAAATAATATATAAATAAAGGAATAGAATAAAAAGCTAAAGAAACCATATATATGTAAGAATTTTCATTTTCGATGAAAGAAAGATTCAAAATACTGGCCATATACTAAGCTAAAAATTAAGAAAAATAGATTCAATTATTTTAGACAGAAAAGTAATATAAAATTAAAAGCATAAAATAAAGAGGATATATTAATTAATGTTAATCAGATCTCAGAAAATCTGAGTGTAGTTATATCATTACTAGTATCAATGAAAAAGAGCTTTCTAAATACAAAGGAGAAGAAAAATATAAAGTGATTGGCAGATTTGACTAGCAAAGAAGAAAAGATATTGCATGTATAAGAAACCAATAAAAATTACAAATATAAGAAAACTTGGTGAAATAGTTGCAGAATATTTGACAGTCAAATAAAAGTGATAGTAGTATATACTGCTTGCTAATTAATAAGAAATAATGAAATAATTTTATAATAGTCAATGCATAAAGACATAAAAGAAATTTACTACAGATAAATAGGAACATAGTCAGCCTCCCTACACACCAAAGAAATAAATGAAGCATTTTATATGTTATATTTGGTAAAGTTAGAAAAATCATATGATGACTTTAGATTGAAACATATCCAACTGCCATTTTTCTGTTAGTCAAAAAATCTTTTGAATACTGGCAACTTCATATGTTCCAAATCATACCCTACCATGCATTGTCAATTCCCTTTTCTGAAAGAAACTGAAAATAAAATAAAATAAATATTTTGATCATTTTAAAATAATTATAAGGAAATATAAGAAATATATACATAATTTTTGTACAAATATGCCTTTTTGTGTAATGTCATTACTAATATCAATGAAAATTAAAATGTAATAAAGACAATTAAAATATTTTCATAGAAATATAAAGTCACAAAATGATGACACACCTTAAGACACTATTCCATACTGAAGGGAAAAATTAATGATACTAACTGCAAAAAATACAATTTTGCCTATATTGAAAGTAAAAAAAATATGTAGGTAGATAGATGATGAAAGAATATTATAATAAGAATGTTAGGGAACAAGACAAAATATTAATGGAAGAAGTGGAACTTAAAATAAATATACATGCTAAAATTACTATGGCACATTAAACTGGGCTTAGTATGTATACTAGAGTTATAGGTTATTTATATTTTCTACTTGATTTTATTTTCTACTTTCTGTCCAATGAATAAATATTACTTTTCTAACGAGAGCAAAAATGAACAGTATAAGGAACAATGATAATGCAAAACTGTCTAGACAGTTAAATATATAGTATTTAATCGTATGTGAATAAATCTTTTTCTTGAATTTTATTCAAGGAACTTTTAAATATAACTATCTTTGAGAAGGTGGATTGGACGATATTCAAGGGTGGAAGTTGGAAAGGAGAAATTTTTATTTTTATACTATACTCTATTTTATTTTGTAATATACTCTGTTTTATACTATACTCTAAATTTAATACAAAATCATGTACATGGCTTACTTTTATTTTGTTAATGTTATGCAAATTTCTGTTGTAGATTTTAAATACCATAAATGGTGATAATAAAAAAAAAGTAGTTAAGCAGCCTATATTCATGCTTTTTAAGTGGTTTGGATTGTGTGAAAATATTCCTTGATCTATCCCACTTTACAAAAGTTGTATCAATTGAGTTCAGATATTACAATGACTCATAATTTATTTCATTCACATTTTTATACATTCTTCAACCACAGACAAAAATGCTCACTCTTAATTTGATTCTTTACATGGTATGTTCTTAATTTTGTTATTCTGAATAGTAATTGTCAATCAGTGCAAAAATTTGACATAGGAATGGCTTTTAACCTGACAAAAAAAATGGAATTAATACAGCCAACTACCTCTTCAACTATGATTCACCCTTTATTGTCTCCAGAGACTTAGTTCATATTGTGGAGTGCGATGGAGGCAGGTTTTTCAAAGGTGAGTGTACCAAAGTAGAAGGAATACTTGTCATTTTATAGCTGTTCCAAGAAAAATATTAAAAATTGCCAATAATTGGACAAGACATTGTAGTGATATAGTCTAACAATAACTTGAATGTTAACTACATTAAATATAGTGGGCTTCGGCTGGGCGCGATGGCTCACGCCTGTAATCCCAGCACTTTGGGAGGCCGAGACGGGTGGGTCACGAGGTCAGGAGATCGAGACCATCCTGGCTAACACGGTGAAATGCTGTCTGTACTAAAAATACAAAAAATTAGCCGAGTGTGGTGTCGGGTGCCTGTAGTCCCAGCTACTCGGGAGGCTGAGGCAGGAGAATGGCGTGAACCTAGGAGGCGGAGCTTGCAGTGAGCAGAGATTGCGCCACTGCACTCCAGCCTGGGTGACAGAGTGAGACTCCCTCTCAAAAAAAAAAAAAAAAAAAAAAAAAAAAAATATATATATATATATATATATATATATATATATATATATATATATGGCAGGCTTCTTTGATCATCTTTCATCTTGTTTTCTTACCTCATTTTCTCCTTTCCTTATATTCTTCCTTATCTCTTTATTTCTTCTTTTGCTTCTATTCTTGTCCTTTCTCTCCCTCTCCCTCCATCTTATTCCTCCTCCTTTGCTTCAGCCTCCTCTTCCTTCGCTTCCTTTAGTGTTATCTATGGCTATAGGCTTCTAATTATGATGTGCTAGAAGTTTTATGTTTTAAAATAGCTTTTACTGTTAATATTGTTTGCTAGACTGGTAAAATTAAATAAATGCTTGATGGGGAAACCAATTATTATTGCATTATCTTATCAATGTCCACTTTTTTGTTATTAGATATGCATACATACATAAAAGGGGGAAGAAACCTCCTCCTTACAACATAATGCCAAATAATAAATATTGAATGAATGATAGGATTTGAAAATTATCAATGGAAACTAAAACTAGTAAGTGAATGTTTGATTAGAAACAGATTATTTATATAGCCTCCAAGTACTTCCCCACAAATTACATATCAATTACAAAGAGAAAAATATTAATTCCATAGTGGAGAAATCTAGCCATTGCTACCTTAACAAAAGTTGTATCAATTGAGTTCACTGATCACTAAGTGATCAAAATTGTCACTTCCAAAACAGATAAAAATCAACATCATGTCACCCTTGAAATAATGCTCTGAGAAAAGTACATTCCCACTTCTGAAGTAACCCTGTTAAAAATATGTAACCTGAATTTATTTATGAGGAAACATCACACAAACCCTGCATAAGGGGATTCTACAGATAAAGGGGTTACCCTATTTTAAAACGTCACCGTCAAGGAAGGTAAAGAAATGCTAATGAATCATTTCAGAATAAAAGAAATAAAATGGACATGAAAATTAAATGCAATGTCTTATCCTGGATTGAATTGTGGAAACAGAAATATCTATAAAAGAATATTATTGTAACTGTACAAGCTGAATAAAACTGTGGATTAGATAAATGTATTTTATCAATGTTAAATCTCCTGGTTGTGATCATGGTATTGTGGTATGTAAAACAATGTAAAATGTATAGTTCTTTTTATTATTTTTACAATATTTCTATAAATTTTATATTGTAATATAATAAAAATTATTCCCAAATGGCATTTTATAGACTTGTCTTTCTAAGAAAAATGATGAATAAACCCCAAAATTATTTTCTTTCAGTATCAGAAAATACTTGCTTTTAAGTTGGGAATATCTTATACAGATATTGCCTTTAAAAGTAACAACCACAAGTTTTAAAAAAAACACAAATAAAAATAAATTTTCCTTTTTTAATCCTAAAAATTTAGTTGAGGTCTTTAATAAGTCAAATCTCAGAAAATAACACTTTCATGATTATGATATGACCCCTTCCCAAATAAATTTTATAACAAACAGGATGTAATTTTAGTAAAACTTTAAATTTGAGCAGAAGGGCATAACACTTTAAGTTCTCTAATTTGATTTTTTAAAATAAATGTATTTATAAAAGCAACCCCAGGGCAATTGTTATAGTTTATAGGAGTCTAAAATTAAAATTGCATTAATTATTTAATTACAAATTTTATTTATTATCATCCTTGGATGTTTTTCCTTCAAAGACGTAGGTTGGAATTTCAAGACATAAACAATTTTAAAAGTAGTTATTTAGCTTAAATTTAAAGACAATTTTTTTCTAGAATAGTAACAAAAAGTGTATTTACACTTTTTAATTTCAAAGTTTGTAGCTAAAAAAAGAAATGTTTTATGGGTGATTTTGAGCTATAAAAAGCATTGCTTTCTAATTTAAACACTAAGAGGAGTCTCATTTTCCCAGAGGTAGCCAAAGTTATTTAAGGCTTTTTATACTCATCACTGAAGCCAAAGGAGTCTCTCTACATGAAGGAAGTGGATAAGAAAAGGTATCTGTTTTATGAAAGAAAAGGAAAAAATAGATTTAGCCCATAGAGAAAGCTTGTGGGAAAAGGCCCGATGTTAAATTGTTAAATAGAATAAAATGGATTTCCATAATAGCTTTTGGAGAAGAAAATCAAACTTACTACTTTTTTAAGTCATTAGCTACTAGAGATGAAGTCTTCATATTATCTTAACCATTGCATTAATGCTTTTTTTACATACAGTTTTGTCTAACTAACAAAAATAGAAAAATATGAGGTTAAACATGTAGGTTTTTATCAGGGCCAGCTTCTTGGGTATATGTACCTTCTGCAGTTACACAAGGCATTACTCTTAGAAGGGCCCCAAGCTTGGTTTACAACTCTGATCTTCCTGTATGGAACTTCTTAATATTTTATAATAAGGAGGACATGCGCTTTTATTTTGCACTGTGTTGCACACATTGTGTAGCTGATTTGAATTCCTATTCTTTTAGCCTTTATATCATCATCAACTGTGCCTCAAAATTTCAGTCTTTGTCTGGTAAACAGATTTAGTTTATATCAAATAGATAATTTGTCTACGTGAAATTGTTGATGAGTTTTTCACATTTAACTTTACAATTTTGCCTGTAAACATTTTGAAATTTATTTTCGCCTTAGATTTTGGTATTGGTTTGTTTGTTTCTTCTAATCTTCTGCCTTCTAAGGGCAGAAAAGTAGCTTTCTAGAAAAATAAAAACAAAATATCTGAGAGCAAGGAAACCAGATGTGACTCTGACAGTGGAGTTGTTTGCTTTAAAGAAGGAAACATGTCTAAAAGAGAGTACTCAGAATCAAAAATACCCACCACAGGAACTGTAACCCAGTAAAATACCACTGAACCTACCTGAAACTTCATAGCACTTCAAATACAAGGATAATCTGGGCTGTGGGAACACAGGACAGTACTGGAGAACTACAATGATTCCCTTAACCCTAGGGGAGAGATTTCTTAATTCTTATAATGTGGTGCAAATGCTCATGTGGAGACATTTATAGGGATTGAATTTAACATCGTTGAGTTGGTTTGTGGTACTGCTGATGTTATTAATCTTAGTCTAGCTCTCAATAATACGCAGGGACCTAAAAGGGGCCACCATGTCTCTATAATCATTGTCTCTTTTTAATATAAACTTTCTACGTCATTAGAGGATACTGTTGTCCAAGGGGATAGTAAATGTCTATGGAACTTAAAAATTATTACAAGTAAGTTCAAATTATCAGGTAAATGTAGCTTGGTTAATAGTATCCAATTAAAGCAAATATATTAGGTTTTGCTGTTAATATAAAGTAAAATGGAAACTGGAATAAATGAAGGACACCGAGAATACATTTTTAAGATAAACTTTTCTATGACCGTATGTAGTTGGTTTGTATATATATACAATGGTGTGCATATATGAAATTGCTTTTTACATTTAAAAAAGCCTCCCAATGGTTTATCTATTATGGCTAAGATGGAAGATAGATGTTATAACTATCTATAAATAGTTATAACATAACTAATTATGGAATGTACGCATAAAATATGCATATCTTTGTAATGTGTTGACCTTGGAATTTAAATTCTACAGATTTTTGTTTTGTAACAAAAGATATTATGTTTTATAACATAAAATCTGCTCAAAAGGTTTATATAACTTTGAAAATTACAAGATTTCTGCTTTTTGCATTTTATAAGAACTATATTATATAAAAGAGTTTTAACAGAAGATTGAATTTGTTCCTAATGTACAATCACAATTAATTTGCCTTCGAAGGAAAATGTGAGTTGAGGAAGATTCTTTTCTAAAAAGATAAGCTTTTAATGTCCTCTTCAACTGACTAAAAGTAGTACAGTAACTATGAATACTTAATAATTGTTTAAAAATAAATAAACAGGCCGGGCGCGGTGGCTCACGCCTGTAATCCCAGCACTTTGGGAGGCCGAGGCGGGCGGATCACGAGGTCAGGAGATCGAGACCATCCTGGCTAACACGGTGAAACCCCGTCTCTACTAAAAATACAAAAAATTAGCCGGGCGTGGTGGTGGGCGCCTGTAATCCCAGCTACTCGGGAGGCTGAGGCAGGAGAATGGCATGAACCCAAGAGGCGGAGCTTGCAGTGAGCCGGGATAGCGCCACTGCAGTCCAGCTTGGGCGAAAGAGTGAGACTCCGTCTCAAAAAAAAAAAAAAAATAAATAAATAAACAAACAAAAAGAACAGGGTATCTGTGTATCTTCTTTCCTAGCCATTACTGATACTTAACAACCAAGACCATTTTAGTGCTAAAAAAAAATATTGTTTCGTATCACATGTAGCAAGATTGAATTTGGATTACAGATTATTTTCATTATCCATTTGCTATTTCAATATTATTCTGTACTTTTTACCCTCCTAACATGGAAGCTGATTCTTTTGCGGGGTATGCAGACAGCAAGGTTAAATCTATCAAAGAAAATATATTTAATGTATAGGTATATCAATCTTATTGCATATGTAACTTTGTATTGAAAAAATGCAGATTTTTTAAAAGATTCCAGAAGCAATAAATATTTCTTTTAAACGTATAAGATGTGAGCATGTTAAAAAAGCTAAAAAAACTATGAATCAATTTCTCCTGACTAGAAACTTGATTTGTCACATTTTCCATAAGAAAGTAACCCCTTACAAGGCCCACTTACCCCTAGCTCCAATGGAGATATCGTATTTCTAGCATAATTTGTAATCTCCTAAGAAATATAAGAAGAAGAATTAGTCTCCAAAATCATATGGAGCTAATACATTTGGTCACATATAAGTTATTCATTTTGTAGTTTACATGATTAGACAGCTTGTAAAAAAGAGTTAACATAATTGTCATTTGTAATTATGTGGGAGAGCATGAACTCAAAAACTTCAAACTCACTTTATGGTATCAACATCACCAAAACAATGATGAAGGGGAAGTCTTGCACAGCCAGACACTGCCCCATCAATCAGCTTGCAGTCAGGAGAAAAATTGACTTTGTCATGATATGTTTCTTAAAGAAAAAGTAATAAATTTTATACAAATGGCAAGCCTGCAGTGTGGCTAATTTATTCATTATCCACCCTAGAAAAATAATTAAGTCATGCTTTCTTTCCTGGTGCTTCATTACAGTTTAGCACACCCTCTTCCCCAACCTTTTTTGGAGCCATCAGTAAGAATGCTTATTAAAATAAATTAGCTGCAAAACTTTTAACTCTGTCTTGAAGAAAAACGAATCCACTTTTCTAGTGGAAGCAACATTGATTAAATAAACCCAGCTCCATGCAGAGCAGATTAATTCCTTTAGCCACAGTTTCCAACCTTAGATGATGTTGTATCTGTATTAGTTTGAACAGTGTGTAATAAGCTGTAAATTTATAATTGGCATTAACCTATTTTAATGTGTCTTTCTTTGTCTCTAATGGGTACATTCCTGATTTTAAAAAAGGATAGGTGTGAATTTATGTATTTGTTGTTTGTCATGTATTATTTATTTAATGAACTCAAGTTTTACACGGTCTATATTGATTAAACTTCACACAAAAGGACTTCACGGACTTTCTGTTGTAGATCCTGTCTAAATCAAACTTTCTCAGAAAAAGTCGAATAGATGACATTTACAGATTTTTAGCAAAATGATAGAGACATGTTTTTTTTTTAAAAAAAAAACCCTGATATTCTTTAGTTGCACATGTTGATTGCATTAATATCTATCTAAAAATATATTTCTACCTTCTTATAATTTTAAAAGAGCAATATGATAGATTATTTGCATACATGACTGCTTGAAATCCCTTTTATACATGCAGGCGACTCTTTCCAATAAGACATGAAATGCGTTGCCCAATAGTTATTTAGAAAAAACAATAAACAAAACTCTATTTTTCAAAAAACTATCTGAATTTGGGTTTGCCCTGTAATTTTCTTGAACCAATAGAATGAGATAGAAGTGACTCTATGTAATTTCCAGGCCAAAGAAGCTTTCATTTTCTTGGCATCTCCATGTGAAGAAGCTCAGGCTAGCCTTCTGAATGACTTAGTCCCAGTTCCATACACATGGTGAGAGAAGTTCCAAATGGAAGCCTCTGGCCACACGGTTCACTGCAGCTGAGGGGAAGCGCACCTGGGAGTGAAGCCACCCTGCATTTTCCAGCCCCAGCTGAGTTCCCAGGTGAAGGAAGTTGTGTATGTGATCCTGACCAACACAGTCTGGGACAGAGGAGCCTAGCAGAACCCAGCCAGCCCACAGCATTGTGAGGAATAGTACATCTCTGCTTTTTTTTTTTTTTTGAGACGGAGTCTCACTCTGTCTCCCAGGCTGGAGTGCAGTGGCGCCATCTTGACTCACTGCAAGCTCCGCCTCCCGGGTTCACGCCATTCTCCTGCCTCAGCCTCCCGAGTAGCTGGGACTACAGGCGCCCGCCACCACGCCCGGCTAATTTTTTTTGTATTTTTAGTAGATACGGGGTTTCACCGTGTTAGCCAGGATGGTCTCGATCTCCTGACCTCGTGATCCGCCCACCTCGGCCTCCCAAAGTGCTGGGATTACAGGCGTGAGCCACCGCAGCCGGCCCATCTCTGCTTTTTATGTCACTAATTTGAGGGCAATTTGTTATGAAACAATAGATAATGGTGATTTCTTGATTAAAATATTAAAAACAAGGAAGAAATACATTATTTTGCTATTACTAATGTTCTAGAATTAAACTGCATTTGAGACTTCTACTTGCTAAAATTATTTATTTATTTATTTTGAGACAGAGTCTCACTCTGTCACCCAGGCTAGAGTGCAGTGGTGTGGTCTCTGCTCACTGCAACCTCTGCCTCCCAGGTTCAAGCGATTCTTCTGCCTCAGCCTCCTGAGGAGCTGGGACTACAGGAGCACACTACCACACCTAGCTAATTTTTGTATTTTTAGTAAAGACGGAGTTTCACCACATTAGCCAGGCTGGTCTCGAACGCCTGACCTCGTGATCTGCCCACCTCGGCCTCCCAAAGTGCTGGGATTACAGGCATGAGCCACTGCGCCCGGCCTCTACTTGCTAAAATTATTAATTCCCCCTCTTTCTCTTCCTTCAGCACCCCTCTTTAGATACTAACTGCGTGGTCATTTCTGAATTTCACCAATCAGCTTTCTAATTAATTTAATAGCAAGATTTCATACAATTTCTATTTTCAAAATATAAAAATATTATGGGTTATAGTTCTAAGTTCATTGAATTGGGCTCGTAGGGATCTTCTGAGGAGAAATGTATTTCACAGTAAGGATTATTTGACCATGGAAAACCACATGTGTGCATTTGTTAAGACATACAAGCAATTCAAGCTGTATATGCACAAAGCCATTGTTTACTTTAGAGCAATGCATCTTATTTGCAATTTTAACCATTGTGCCTTTCTACTTAAAACTTTGTGTTAACTTGATGTGTATTTGCGACAAGACTGCCCTCCAGGTATGGCATGTAAGGCCCTCTTTAATGTGATCCCAGCACACCTCTCTAGTCTCATCTCTTTCCACCCCCCATGCTATATTCTCTCAGTTTTGATCCAGGTAGACTTGTCACATGTGTGTGTTTCTTTTCTTTTGCTGAATTTCTACTATTTGGCATGCCTCTTCTTTCCTTCTTTATCTTCCTTTTACTCATGCTTCAGGACTCATTGCAGGCATTGTCTCCTCCCTAACATCAATGCACTCCCCTGATCTGGCTCTCCTTTTGTATATGGAAAGTATTAAATGTACATCACTACCATAGTACTTATCACAGAGTATTCAAATTATGTGCTTACTTGCCAGCCTTTCTTATTTTCACAAAAAAAAAAAAAAAAAAAAATTAAAAAATGCGGAAACACAGGTGTTATGGTTTAAATGCATCTCCCCAAAAAGCATGTGTTGGAAACTTACTCCTCAATGCAACGATGTTAAGAGGTAGAACCGTTAAGAGATTATTAGGCCATAAGGACTCTGCCATCATTAATAGATTAAGACCAATATTGCAAGAGTGGTTTTATTATTGTGGGAGCAGTTTCCTTATAAAAGCACTAGTTTAGCGGCCTTTTCTCTTGCCCTCTCTTTGCCCTTCTGCTACAGGATGACATGGAAAGAAGTCCCTCACAAGATTCTGGTCTCTTGATAGTGGACTTCCCAGCTTCTAGAATTGTGAGCCAATAAATGTCTGTTTACTATACATTACCCAGTCTGTGGTATTCTAACAGGACAAAACAAACTACAACAGCAGCATAAGATGGTTCTATGACCATGTGACAGTAGTCAGATAATAAATTTCTCTAAAGGACAGGTTATCTAATAATTATAATAATTTTCTCTAAATGTTCTAGTGGATTTCAAGTAGCATAACTATAATGTTAATGCCATAAACTTGGCAAATTTTAATTCCTAGTCAACTCATTCATTAATGAGTCAGTTTAAATATTAAGTGCTGCTGACACAGTTATTTAGAAAAATAAAAATGCTTCTCTATTTTCCAAAATTATGGATTGAGATACATGTGATCTCTTCGACTTCCCAGTTTACATTTGTAATGAATTATTGAGAGTTGTTCATTGGAAAACAGAAGCTACTGAAACACTGATTTCTAAAGATCCAACTATTGAATGTTTACTCTCCTTTACTATCCTAAATAGCCATTTCTATAAGTAGGATTTGGTTATACAGTTAAAACTTATCTAGAAAATGTGGGAGATAATTATATAAATAAATTGATATTATTTGTTCAAGTAGTTTTAACACCACTATCTGGTTTATGTACTTTCCCACCACCAAAATCAAAGGATTATGGCTATGATGACCTCATCATTTTATAAAGCAACTGCTCGGAAAATGGTTAGGTTTCCAGATTCTTTTCCTACCCTCACGGTGCTGGGTGACGTCCCCACTGTCTCCCCCCATTCTCAGCTCCTTCATGCCCTTCTGTGGTGGATAAACTGAGGGCAGTTTCAGAAATTTTTTGACTTACTCCTGAGAGATGGGGATGGGCCATGAGGAGTTTAGAGCAGAAAATGGAGAACAGCTGACTTCCATTGACCATATTCCTATTGTGATATTCTAGTATGAGACCATGTCCCACACTACAGCCTTGTCATAAGTCCTACCTATGAAGAGTCCTGTCTCTGTGAGAATTCAAGTCTTTTCTCGCTGAATTATCCAGAAGAGACTCCTATAAACTTTCAGGGAAACTGAAACTAAAAAGTGTACCAGAGACTCCATTTGATTTATGTTTCCTGGGAACCTTCAACCTTTATTGACAATATTGAACTTCCTTATAGGGAGATGCATGCTTGGTACTTTGTTTTACAAAACTAAACAATATATGATTTAAGGTATTCATGCATGCTAGATAAAAATTAAAAGAAATTCAAGGGGAATGATGAGCACAAAAGTCAGGATAGTAGAAATGTAATCAGGGACACAAAGAAATGCTAAGGAGTTAATAATTTTCTGTTTTTAAAATCTCGATGGTGAAGATAAAAGCATATTATTATTTTTATTTAAATTATATTTATGTGGCATATATCCTTTTATATATTTCACAATAAAAAATTCTATTAGTTATAAATAAAAAGGCATATTTTAAATATGTCTAAGTATTATATTATTAAGCTAGAATATGCTTTCATAAATGATTAAAACATTAATGAAATATTAGATTGCTAACACTGGCATCTGAATTATATGATGAAAATATAATAATAAATTTATACTTTGTGTTTCACTTATTGTGAAGGTGATTGTTAGTTTTCTTTTAAGAATTCACAGTTTGTTAAGGGATCCAGAAAGAAAATAATTCTGAATACTACACAAATCCAGCTTGGAAAGTAACTTAAATAGAAACTCTGTAGTTCAAAACTGATTTGGCTCTAGAAATAGTTCTATAAAAAGAAGGGTTTTTTTTAACCTTTTTATTTTTATGCAGGTTTTTTTCTAAATAATCTTTTAATTTTAGAATACTTTTAGATTTACAGAAAATCTGTAAATGTAACACAAACAATTCCTATATACCCACACCAGTTTTCTCATTTTATTAGCATCTTCCTTTAGTACATTTGCCATAAACATGGTACATTTGTCATAAACAATAAACCAACATTACTAAATGATTATAAAGTACATACTTTATTAGATTTCCTTAGTGCTATGGTTTGAATGAGTTCCCTCCAAAATTCAGGTGTTGCCAATTTGATAGTATTAACAGGTGGTACCTTTATGGAGCTATTAGGCCATAAGGGTTTCTCACTCATGAATGGGATTAGAGCCATTGGTAAAGAAGCTTCACACAGCCCCAGATTCTCTTTTCCTCCTGCCTTGCGCCATATGATGACCCAGTGTTCCTTCCCTCTGGAGGATGTAGCAATAAGGTGCCATCTTGGAAGCAGAGAGCAGCCCTCACCAGACAACTGAGCCTGTTGGCACCTTGATCTTAAATTTCCCATCCTCCAGTACTGTAAGACATAAATTTCTGTTCTTTATAAATTATCTAGATGTGAATATTCTGTTGTAGCAGCACAAAACAGAGTACAACACTTAGTTTTTACCTAATTTAATTTTTCTGTTCCAGGATATCACATTACATTTAGTTATCATATCTCCTTAGGCTCCTCTTAACTGTCAGTGTTTCTCAGACCCTCCTTGTTGTTAGTTACCTTGATAGTTTTGAAGAGTACTGTTAGGTATTTCATAGGATGGCCCTCTATTGGAATTTGTCTGATGTTTTTCTCATGATTAGACTAGGTTTATGGGTTTTTTTGGAAGAAGCTCTTAAAGATAACATGCCATTCTCATCAATTCATATCAGGGGTACTTATTTATAATGTAATTTATCACTGTTGATTTCAAATTTGATCACTGAGTTGAAGTTGTACAGGTCAGGTTTTGTAAAGTTTTAATTATTCCCCTCTTCGTAGTGTATTTGTTGGAAGACAGTCACTATTTAGAGTACGTACTAAGGGAATAAGGAGTTATTCTCTACCTCCTTGAAGACAGAGTATCCACATAAATTATTTGGAGTTTTTCTGCACAGGAAATTTGTTTATTATCTATTTTTTATTTAATCATGAATAAAATGATTTATACTGTATTTATATTAGCATAGCCTCATGGTTATTTATTTTATACTTTGGATTATAACTCAGTGCTACTTTATTTTGTTGTTCAAATTGTTTCAGCTTTATCCATTGGGAGTTCGTTCAGTTGGCTCTTGTGTATCTTGACATACTGTTTTGTTGAGCATACATATTTTTTGTCGATCACTTCCTTGCTTTCTTCCTTTAAGCATTAGAAAGCATTCCAGTCTCATTTTATAAATTTCCTGCCCCAGTCCTAGAATCAGCCATTTCTCCAGGAATTCTGATTCCTTTTAATAAGAATGGTATTGAAAGAAAGATCTGAGCACTAGGTGTATTCTTTGGTACTGGAATATCCTTAATTCTATAGCCTTTCAACTGACAGAGGAAGGAAATATATGTGGGTATACTAATTTGTGTGTGTATATACCTACACAGTGATTTAGATATGCTTTCATCTGTATCTATATTAATCAAGCTAAACATGAGCTCCTACTAATTTCTCTAACTCTAATCCATTAACGTATGGAACATTCTAGATGTCCTTCCTTGCTTATATATAACTCCAACTCCAAGAGTAATAAATTTGGTTGCCATCAACCACCATCCATTTATTCATTTGTTTAATTAAACTATATTTGTGTATTGGTTTCAAAATTGTTAATCCATATAGAAAAGAACTTTATCAACTAGGTTATAGTTTATACACACATTTCTCTTTGCCACTGGTCTTAAAGACTCCACTGATTTCTAAAGGTGGTAGTTAGATGTTTGACTAAGCAACTAATGCCCAATATTAACGGAAATAATCCTGAATGCAATATCTAATCAGTCATTCAATCAGCTCAAAATGATTAACATAAAGGAAAAAGCTGTGTAAGTTTTGAAAAGAAAATGTGTAAGTCCCCCCAAAACAGATTGTTCTCTAGATCAGTAAGCAAAGCTGTGCATTAGGGGAGCAATGCTGCTTTAGGATCTTAAGTACAGGGTTAGGTTTCAAAGAAGTTAACATTTTCATGATTTAAAAAAAGATAAATCTAATAATATAACCCATATTTAATTTTTAATGTTTTTCAAGGGTTACTTGACATAAGTAAAATTATTATGTGTTGGTAACTAAATTAGTTTAAGTTTACACTGATGAAACATGCCTTTCTCATTCATATGAAATTACCTTTATCATAAAAAGCAATATTTCAGTATTTATGTCTGTAGCAATAGGTCAACCTATTTATCATTGTTTTATTTGATTTGGCAAAGAAGTCAATGTCAGCAAAATAAGTTTAGAGTCTCAACAGGAGAAGGGATTATTGTGAACTTTTTGCTTTCACTTTTCATCTCAAACATCAACTCCAACCCTAATAAGTACCACATTCATTTCATTATAAGGTAAAAGATGCTATAGAAGAAACCTATGGAGAACTGGTAAGCTGAAAAAGAGAAAAAAGTAAAGGGATCATATGTTTTCTTTAACAACTACCAGAATATCATAAAATTACATAAAGTAGAAGAACAGATACTACTGTTGGTTTGCACAAGTTAGCTTTTGACATTAAAAATGAATTCAAAAAGAAAATGAGAAAACGCCTGTAAACATCATTTTAAAAAAATGGCTCATGGAGATAAACTAATCACCCAATTAACTAATTGAAAATAAGGCTATGATTCTAGATTTTGACAGTCTGGAGGCAAGAAAACTTCTTGGTCACTTATATTCACTTTCAAATATTCTTTCCTTTGAATTCAAAATTTTTATTTTTGTATTTTGATTATACATATATATATAAATCTGGTGATAAACTGAGATACATTATGTATTATCTGGTGAAAATAAGTAAATAAATGGTTTGTGATTGTATTTAAATTAAAAAATTGAGTTATAAATATTAAAGGATATTTAGCTATAAATTTATAAAAATCATTCTAATCTATATTTGAGCTACAGGAAAATGGCAATTCATATGACTACCAGGTACTTTCCACTGAATTTCCACAAACTTGGGGCTAGGTCTTGTCCATATTTTCATTTTAGCTAACAAAGTATCTAGTAAAAATTCAACATAGAATTTGATATAAATATTTATTCATTTACCAATAACTAGTTTGTACTTTACTTGAAAATTTTACCTTCATGTCTGCCATTCTTTCACTTTGCTAAAAATCAAGTGCATATCTGAATTGAAAGTTCTACTAAGCATTACAAATTCATCAGTATAACAATATTTTAAAGTATACATATATAGTTTTGTGAGAAAATTTAACAAATTAATAATTGAATAATATTTATAAGGAGTTTCTATACATTTCAATACATGCAATAAGTAACACTAACTGTTGTTAGAACTCAAGATATTGTTACTTTTGACGACGTTAACAACAGAAAAAGGAAAAATTCAAAAGATGAATAGTTCAGATATAAAAAACATTAAACCTGTGCACCTTGATGAAAGTAGTATGAATTGTTTCTCTGTAAAATAACATAGTAATTCTTTAAACTCTGAAACTGTACACACAGAAACTCCTAGACTAAAAGACAAATTGTACTGCAGGAAGACATAAGCCAATGATTATCAATATCTGTTATATTAAAGGTCTGTATCTCTTGAAACAGGCAAAAAAAAAGGATTGAAATGGAGAGGTTGACATGTAATTGAGTATAAAGAAAATGTAGTGAGCATATGCTTTTATTTTGAAGGTGTGGTTCATCAGATTCCTTTGGTTTATTGGAAGACAGTCCTCCACAGTGATTCATGCATAACAGGAGAAGAAGGCAGCCTGTAGAGCCTGCTCATGTAGGGTTCCCTTCCATCCCAGTTCACAAACTAAGCAGAATATCGCTCCCCAGAAGAACCAAGTTTTGATGGCAAAACCAGCCTTTGCTTTTCTAGTAGGGGTGTTGACAGTCAATTAATCTTTTCTTGCTCTTTTTCTTAATCTGTATTATGGGGGAGAAATAAACAGAATTTGCCTTCCTTCCTGAGGTTTTCCATAGAAATAAGAAGTAAAAACTACACAATATAGCAGAAATATACCTGTTAATGTAAAAAACTGACTTTCTGGTGTTGAATTTGATCACTTTTTCTCTAATTATTATCTCTCTGCTCCACCTTTTTTATTTTTACTTTGTTAAATATACTTCAGTGCATATTAATTTAAGAAACTTTTGTAGGTGAATTTTACATCAGGAATACTTCTTATCATTAATCAAATTCAAATTATTACCTTTGCAGTTGAAAACCAAGATGTCACATAATTGATATAAGGGCACATAATGATTTAGAGGCAGCCTAAAAGAACAGAAATGTGGTATTTCCAACTTCTAATCTAATTTGTTTTCACTTATTTGTTGATATATACTTTAAAGATGGATGAATCTTTACTACATGGCATGTACTGTGTTCCAGGAATAGAGCAGCAAGCATTGTAGAGAGGTTCCTTTCTCTCATTAAGCACTCAGCCTACCCTAGATAAGGCAAAGTACCATATGCCAAATATTTGAAACTTATAAAGCATTGTTAAATAAAATATGTTTTATCCTTTTACCTTGCCAAATATTTCTTCATAACAAGAGGTAAGCCATATTAGAATTGTTACTCTTTGGAGTTTCACCCCAGAACACAGTGGGACAAGTTCTGTCAGCTCCTGGCTCTAGCCCTCAGCAATTTGTCATACACAGTTTCCCACACCCCATCTCCTCCCTATAACTCTTCTCTGTATCACACTCCAATGTCTCTTGACTGCATATGTGTGGACATCCCAACCCACATTTCTGAGCTCCAGTCACCCCTCCCTTTGGCCATCCTTTGGTCTTCATGGTCCAAACTCAGGAGAAGAAAACTTGTGGCCCTGGGAGCAGGTACCCGAAATGTGGACAGAAGACCAAAAAAAAAAAAAAAAAATGGCCAACTATAGGTATTGCCCTTGACTCCACAGAATCCTCAACCTGTGAGAAGAAGAAAACACACAAGAAGACCAAAGAGGAGCCCTCTAAAGCATGGGCCACTGCACAGTCCCTCTTATCTGATACTAATGGTGGCACTGGGCACAGAAGACAGACACCAAATAAACTATTACCTAAAAGGAAAAACATACAAAACAAAACAAAACAAAAAAACTCCTTAACAGTGTGATTAAGTAAGAAGTACATGATAGTATGAGAGTATAAAATGGTGACGTGGAGAGTGGGAGTCTGCCTTCAAATGGATGGTCAGGGAAGGCTTCCAGGGCAAAGTAGCATTTGAAAAACAAGTGAGAAGTTAACTAAGTTAAGACAAGGCACTGGAAAAAAAAAAAATTCTTCCAGACAGAAAAAACAGCCTATCAAAAAGGAAATAAACACACAGTCTATGGAAAGGACTGGAGGGGAAATGAACACACCTATTTGGAGGAAGAAATATGAAACTAAGCAAATTTGCTTTGATATATAATGAATTTCCGTGACCAAATGCAAGTGGGATGAAAAGCAAAGAGACTCCAAAGTAAAATCCCCTTAAAAATAGAGACTGAAAGCTGGTAAATCCAAGTCAATATGATAGACCCAGTGCCTTATGAGAAAACTAGTTGTGGCAATTCATGTGATGAGAAGTGTAAACGGACCCTACCACTCTAGCATTCTGGTCAACTTTGAGAAAAGAATTGTTAAGAACTGTGATGTTGGAGCTCTAATAAAAGGCAGAAACCCCATATAGCTGGCAGGGATCATGAACCAGTTATGTCTTCACTAAAACACCTATGGTTGCTGCTGCAATATAAAAGACCAATTTCAAAATTATTCATCAAGTGTGATGCTTTAATTATATGTGTCTACTTGGTCAACCTATAATTTCCACTTGTTTGGTGAAACACTAGTCTATATGTTGCTGTGAAGGTGTTTTGTAGATGTGATTGACATGTACAATCAGTTGACTTTAAGTAAAGGACATTACTCTTGATAACGTGAGTAAGCCTCATCTAATCAATTGAAGATATTAACAGCAAAAACTTTGGTTTCCCAGAGAAGAAATTCTGCCTCAAAACTGTAACATCAGTTCTTGATTGAGCTTTCAACCTGCCAGCCTACCCTACAAATTTTGAACTCAATGTTATATCAACTCTTGGTCTGAGTTTCTAGCCAACCAGCCTTCCTTACTACTTCAGACATGCCAGCCCCAAAATTGTGTGAACCAGTTCTCAGGAGAACCCTCACTGATAAAATCAGTGGAACCAATATGATTTCCAGGTGTCTCCTTTTCTAGTACAGTCATGCATCACTTAATAACAAGAATACACTCTGAGAAATGCGTCATTTGATGATTTCTTCATTGTATGAACATTGTACAGCATACTTACACAAATCTAGGTAGTATAGCCTACTACATACCTAGGCTATATGATATAGTCTATTGCTCCTAAACTACAAATCTGTACAGCATGCCACTGTACTGAATAGAGTAAGAAAATAGTAATACAGTAATAAGTATTCGTGTGATAAAAATTTTTCAGCTCTGTCACAATCTTACAGGACCACCCTCATTTTTGTGGTCTACCATTGACTAAAACATTTTTATGCAGTGCATGATTGTACTTAGAATAAGATCCATGACCACTGTATACTTCGTATGCCTCCAATCTTCTTGAAAAATTCATAACGGAGATTCAAAAAGGAGGTATTAGTCTTTCTGCTATTACTATTAGGTTGGTGCAAAAGTAATTGTGGTTTTTGCCATTAATTTCAATGGCAAATACAATGATTTTGCACCAACCTAATATAATGTGTTATCAACAAATTCCTCATCAAGCTAGAGATATGACAATATTTGCTTTCAAAATGTATATATCAGGTCACAGAGAAACACAGGGAAAAATCATCCTTTGTAACACCTATATTCAAAGTTAGAGTCGAAAGAAATTTTCTAGCTGATGAAACTTTACCTTTGGTTTTAAGACCTAGGCTTATTGAGTTTTTGTTGAGTTTAAAAATCTCAGATAGCTTTCACAGCAGCCTTTCAGAAATCCAACTCAAGTTTCTATAACTAAACATTGTAGAAACAATGTAGAGGAAAATTATTGTTTAGTAAGAATAAGTATTATAGTATTTACTGTGTTCTATGAATCTATGAGAGAAAAGGACGTTTACAAATTATGTGGAATTTTAATGAAAATCTAATTACTGCATGTAGTGATTTTATTATGTTTTAGTATCTAGACTGGTACAGATACTTGTGTATACACATACGTACCTATATACATACATACGTACACATACATATAGATATGTTTTTAATCCAAATTCATTAAAATAATACATTTTACTTACTCAAAGATAGTTACAACCTTTATTATATATTGCTAGTAGAATATAATTAAGTAAACAGGAACTTTGAAAAGAGGAAAAAATTCAAATAAGCTAACTATTAGAATTAACATAGATATCATAATTAGACTTAAACATTTGACCCATATACCCGGGAGGCGGAGCTTGCAGTGATCGGAGATCGCGCCACCACACTCCAGCCTGGGCGACAGAGCGAGACTCTGTCTCAAGAAAAAAAGGAAAAAAAAGTTGACCCATAGTACTTATACAGAAGTGCTGGAAAGGGAAGAGTGTGGTCCCTTTAAATGATACAAAACGGGGGAAGGGAAGTGGTAGGTAGAGGAGGGCGTGGTCCCTGACTAGGACTCCACCCCCATGGACCTAGGTAAGGACAAGCATTTCCTGCCCAAATGTTGTATTTCCCAAGACCAGCCTGGTCTGCCATGCCCCCCATCCTGTGCCTTTAAAAACCTTGAGACCCTACCAGGCAGGGACAGACTTCGACAGGAGCACATCAGCAGGCACCCGCACACCAGCAAGCCACCCACCAGCAGAAGCAGAATGATGCGGAGTTTGGCTGGGGCAGTCAGAGGAGGGGGGCAGTGGGAGGAGAGCCCAGGCCGCCAAGCCCCCGTGTGATCTGATTCTTCCACTATACCAGGGCAGGTACCCCAGGATGCAGAAAGCCCTCTGTCCTTGCGATAAGGCAGGGGTCTAAATGAGCTGACTAAGGCTAAACTAAAAGCACACTGTAACACACGCCCACTGGGGCTTCCGCTGTAAACACTCACCCGTGGAAACTGCTGTGGGGTCGGAGTCCCACAGCCTGCCCATCTGTATGCTCCCCGAGAGGTTTGAGCAGAGGGACACTGAAGAAGTGAGCCACACCCCCATCATATGCCCTGCGAGGGGAACAAGGGAACTGTTCCTATTTCAGTATCTCAGCATTAAAGACAAAATGTAATATACAATGTCTTTGATTTTTGGCTAAGCTTTGATGGAAGACTTCTAAATATTATTCAGATTCAATAAAGGTTAATCTTAAATATACTTATTTTAATATGAAAACAATGCATATTGACTTAAAGAATATTAAGAAAATTTAAATAATTTACAGTGACTTAAAAGAAGTACACAAATAATTTCTATGATCAACAAAATCACCATTAATAACTGTGGCAGTCTCTCTATGATGGCCCCGAATGATCTCCACATCTTGGGGTTCACTCTCTTGTGTTACTTCCACCCTTCAGCATGGGAAGGACCTATGACTTCCTTTTAACCGAACAGTATATGGCAAAAGTGATGAGATGTCACTTTGGTTATTAGGTCACCTAAGATTATAACATCCATCTTGCTAGAGACTCGCTCTACTGCCCTGTCAGAGTGCACAATTTGATGAAGCAAGTAGTCATGTTGGAGAAGCCCACATTGTAAGGAGCTGAGGGTGGCCTATGAAACCGCTGACGAAGAATTAAGGACCTTGGTCCAACAGTTTGCAATAATTGTAATCCTGCGGACAACCATAAAAGCTTAAAAATGGGTCCTTTTCCAGCAGAGCCTTTGGATGAGACCCTAGCTCTTGCAGACTCCTTGATTGCAGCCTTGTGAAACCACCTGAAACAAAGCATCCACCTAATCCATGCCTGGTTTTCAGACTCAAAGAACTGGGTGTTACGTTAAACTGATACATTTGTGGTAATGTGTTACTCAGCAATAGATAATACAGATTGTTAGGCCTGAAAGGGAGATGTTGCAGAAAAGAAATATTTACAAATGTAGGAGTAGCTTTAGAACTAGGCAGTGAGCAGAAGCCTACAAGATTTTTGAAGAAGTTAAAGAGCCTAACTTGCTTTAAGCAGACCTTTCTGGTCTTGGAGGACCATGTTGGTGAGGGCAAAAAGGAAGTGAGTAACAACACTTCATTCAATTACACTGAAATGTATTTGTCTATATCACACTTTGAATTGACGTTTTACTTATGCATGGTTTTGCAACATCATGACTGGTCATTTGGAAAATTATTGGTTCACTGAGCTATATAGATTTTCCAAAAGTGGACACATTTCATTATACAAAATCAAAAAATCACATTTATTAATTTCACCACTAATCTCACCAGAAAAAAATATTTGAATATCAGGAAGCTGTCAAGCTCACAAGATCACCAATATCAAGTGGTGGATATAGGTCTTCCAAAATTCAAATTTTTGCTTGAAAACTTGACTCTTATTATTGGCATCAAATGGTATCAACTGTTTTCTTCAAACTGACAGGATACTTATTTTTTGATAAGTGCAAAATTTTGATTATCCATAGTTTGTGTGTTAGTCATTGTTGGAAGAAAAAAAATGGTGGTACATTAAAAAAAGTGGCTACTTCAACTCACCAATCACAAAATAACACAAATGCTTTTCAAAGTGAAAATTATCATTTTTTTGGAATGCCACAAAGTGATTTTTTAGACACATCATATTTCATCATACATAATATTAAAAAGATGTGCCCAAGGACCAAAATGTAATAAAAGTAATTTTTTTTACTGTTTTATCAAGATATTGTCAATTGAAAACTTTATTGTAAAGGCATAGCAGTAAATAATACATCTACTCTTAGTAAAATTTGTTGCTCCTGACTTAATTTGTCCTAAGGTACCAAAAGTTTAATCCACGATTGCTTTTGCACCATCATGCAAATGTCAACACAGTGCAATAAGCCAAAAATGTCCTTTTGATCTTACAGATGCCCTGAGTCTTAGGAATCCCCAGAGGTCTGAGGACCATATTTTGAGAACTGTTGTTTTATTCTATAAATTCAGATTCGTAGCTTTTTTCTATCTCTATTTAGTTTCATCTAAACTCATCTTGCCAATATTAAAGCTCAAAGATCAGTTGAGGCATCAGACTCTTACAAAGCTTAAAATCTTCAGCCAGGTAATTGACACCAAGAGGATACGAAGGGGATAAGTTGTGTTATCTACCCTCCAGGGATTTGTCAGTGTAGATAAGCTCAGTACACCTAACAGGTAGAAGATATAAAGAGATATTACATTACATTTTCTTACCATAACTTATTTATGCTGTTGGTAGGTTTGCCAAAGGGAAAAATTATATGTCCAATGTTTAAGAAACTCTTGGCATGTTTTTACATGTTTTTATAAAATGAACATTCCCTCATCTCCTGATTCTCCATAAGTTCCCTCTCTTGATTCACCAGAGCTTCTTCTACAGTCTCATAGTATACTCATCCTAGGTATCTGTTAATTTCTTATTGCTATTTCTTTCTATTACCCTATCTTTAAAATATGAAGTACCTGGATGTTTGATTTCTATCATATAGTGTTAACAAGAGCTGGTGTTGTGTGAATCTATTTTTTCAATGTTCTTGTATTATGCTGTGCATATATATATATATGTGTGTATTATATATATACACATATATATTTAAAGCACTGTTCAAGCAAAGGTTTTTATATATATGTGTGTGTGTGTGTGTGTGTGTGTGTGTATATATTTAAAGCACTATTCAAGCAAGACAAACTTTTGTATTTTATTTGATTCTCCATCAAATAGTAATCAATTTTTCTAGAGCCATTTTATTAAGGTCATGCCATGGTCAAATATACTCTTATATTCTTCACTTCTCATCATCCTTATTCCTAACAATCAAACCCAAATTTTGCTATGGGTATCTCAATATATTTTTAGCAGGCTAAACTTACTTTGTGCCAGACATTGCCTCTGGAACTGAATATAACCTTGAAGAATTAAAATATATGTAAAAAAACAGAAATGTAGAAGATATATTACATTAATATTTATAATGTCCAAAGTGTTTCATAGTAGGAAGTTAGTTAATATTTGAATGCAATAAATTCTTAATTTAATTCTCCTGCATGTCTTCATATTGTTAACATCAATACATATTTTAAATACTTGACTACCCTTATCAAAACAAGATATTAGAGGAGGAAGCTACTTTAGCTCACACATGGGACAGACAAGAGCCATTTCATAATTGAAATTTACATATTTTGGTTATTAAAATTAGTTATAAACTTGAGAATAATCAGAAATAAAAGGATAATGGCTTTCAAGTAGATTTGACAGTAAAGTAATTCAAAGACACTTAGTATTAAATAGTGTATAAAACTAGGTTGACAATGTCCTGAGCAGACAATGTCCAATTGAAAAACGTTGGTTTCTCAAAGCAAAAGTACAGTGCTTGAACCAGAAGGGGAAATAAATGCTGCATAGCAAAAGTGACAAAAATCTTTTACAAATAGTAGTCTATCTATTAAATTCTCTTGTTCCTTTGCTTGAATAGACTAATTGTGAAAGAGGAATAGTGATTCCCAGGTGGTGACTATGGTTTGGGATAAGATGAGGAGAAAATGTCATCTTACATGAAGAAATCAGAGATAACATCATTCAGAAAATGTTATTTAAGTGAGATCAATGTTTATACCTGGGGAAATCATTCTTTTAAAGTGATCATCCTATGCAGAGGCTCTGAGGTAGGAATAAACTTTATTGCAAGTATAATAAAGATGACCGTGATACAAAAGAGTGAGCAAAGGGAAGAATAATAGGAAGTAAAGAAACAAGGAGTGGGATCCTGTATTGCTGCAAGAACTTCGGGCTTTTTCTCTAAGTAAGATGAAAAACTAGTGATTTTTTAGATATGTCATATTTCATCATACATAATATTAAAAAGATGTGCCCAAGGACCTAATATAATAAAATTAATATTTTAAAAATATTTAATTTTTTAAATGTAGCTTCCATTTCTTCCTGAGGTTCCTTCCATATTCACTCATTATATCCATCATTTCCTTTAAATCATTGACCAGCTTTATAATGGCTCTTATGAAGCCCTTATTTGTTGATGCCAACATCTTAGGTCATCTCAAATTCCATTTTCAGTGTCATTTTAAAATTTATAATGGATCATATTTTCTCGATTCTTCACATGTCAAGTATCTTAAGCTGTGGGTTATACTTTGTAGAATATCTACATTGTGTTTTCTTATTTCAGAGTTTTGGTTTTGGTTCTGTTAAAAATCTTTTTGACTGAGTCCTGTTTGGTTTTATTCAAAAATCTTTTTGACTGAGTCCTGTTTGGTTTCATTCTTTGCTTAAGTATGTCTATTTCTTTTCTTTCTTTTTATTTCTGAGATACATCTTTAATCAAGGTTAGGGTACTCACTTCAATGATGTGGCTTTTTGGAATTTCACGTGAATGCTGAGGCACCTAGTCAGGCCTAATTCTCATTAGCAAGGAAACAGTTACATAATCTTTCAATATGTCATGATCTCTTGCATTTCTGTTGGCATATTAGCCCCTAGCAGCTGCTGTCTAGTAGACCTCAGTGGAGACTTGGCCAATACCTGTACGGCCCATTCTTCAGACCAAGAACCCCAGGGAGACCCTCTGCATCCTTCTGTGGCTGCCTTCTATGCTCCTCCCTGTTCTCCAGTAACCTGTTTTACAAACTTTATCCAGCTTAGCAGCCCCCAACTCTGCCTTTCCAGCTCACGAAGACTGTCATGTCATTCGTCTATAATTCAGAAAATATCCTCAGGCAGAGAGTTTAGGTGAACATAGGGCTCACAGTAGCTATCCTTTTCTCATGGATCACAGATCTGTAATGTCTGTTTTCCAATGCCTGAAAACAGATTCTACATGTTGTGTCCATTTGTGTAGAGTTTGTATCAGAAGAGCAAGTCCTATATTAATTACTCTGCTTTCACCAAAAGCCAGTCTGTCCCTCCCATACATCTTGAAATATAATGAGTGTCTCAAATAATCTGAATTCCTAATCATAACTAACAAATATCACCACACTCTTTACAGTTAATAACAATATTTTTCTTCTAGTTGCTCAGAACAAAATCTTGGAGTCATTCTTGATCCTTCCCTTTCTTTCATATCCTGCATCAAATCCATCAGCAAATTCTGTTAGTTTTTACCTTCAAAATATATTCATAATATTTTCTCCTTTGTGGCATGAAATTACTGCAATAGCTTCCAAACTGGGACTTTTTTTCCTCAAACTTTGACCTTCTTGAGGCTGCCATTATCTTATGTAGCATTTTTTGGCATATTAGAAAAGGATGCCACCTGTGACCAAAACCCACATATACATATATGGTTCAGTAATGGACAGTATAGTGTGTGTGTGTGTGTGTGTGTGTGTCTGTGTGTGTATATATGTGCATATATATGTGTACGTGTATATATACATATATACACACACATGTACATAAACATATAAAAGAATGAGCAGTTTAATGGAACTATACTGTCACTAGCTTCTTACATTTTATGTGAAGTTACAATACTAAATATAAGTAGGACAGAATAAATTAAGAATGCATATTGAGATATCTAAAGAAACAAAATTAATATATTTATATACAAAATATATACATATAAACAAAAATATACATGTATATATTTATTTTTATATATATACACATTTATACATATATACACATATATGAAAGTATGACTAAAGTCCATAGAAAATGAAAAGGAATATTAAAAAAGTATTTAATTGACCTAAACAAAGGCAAAAAAGAAAGGGTTCAGCCATATAAATATTTTGTAAATTTGTAAACAGGTTAACTACTCCAATAAAATGATAGGGAATTAAATCCTCAGATAATGTAACTTCAGACATTAGGTGATGAGGGAGAAGCTGGAAAAGTGGCCAAGAAAGAGAGATTGGTGAGATAGTAATAGTGTGGGCCCCACTGCCAAATGAAGTACATGTTTTCAGAAGGAGGTTATCTATTTTGTCAAATCCTGCAAGATGAGTCAAGTCATATTAAGACTGAGAAATTACCAGTGCATTAATTAAACTGGAATTTCCTGGCAACTTTAACAGAAGCAGTTTGAATAAAGTGATGGGAGTGGAAGCTTGATTATAATAGTTTGAAGAGAGAATCATAAGAAAGGGATTGGGAAAATAATTACAGTTCACTGATTTAAAGCATTTTAAAGCATTTTAAGGGAGAATACTCGATCTTAAAAGAAAATTCAAAAGTAACAGAATTAAGGAGGATGAAGTTGATAAAAAATATTCCACATCTTTGTCTCAAGCTCAGATTTCTTTTTTTTCCATTTTTTAAATTGTGTACACATAACACAAAATTTACCATCTTGATCATTTTTAAGTATACAGTTCAGTGGTAATAAATACATTCATAATTTAGCCATAACCATTATTAATCTCCATAATTTTTTCATCTTGCAAAACCTAAACTCTATACCCATTAAACAATAACTCCTCTTTACTCCCATCCAAAGCCTCTGGCAACCACCATTCTACTTTCTTTCTATCTCTCTGATTTTGACTAATCTAAGTACCTCATATTAGGGAAATGATAGAGTATTTGTCTTTTTGTGACTGGCTTATTTCACTTAGCATAATGTCTTCAAGGTTCATTCATGGTACACCATATATCAGAGTTTTCTTCCTTTTTAGGGCTGAATAATATTCCATTGCATGTGTATATTTGTTTATCCATTCATCTCTTGATGGACATTTGGGTTGCTTCTACATTTTAGCTACTGTGACTATTGATGGTATGGACATGGGTGTACAAATATCTCTTTCAGATTTGGCTTTCAATTCTTTAAGGTATATAACTAGAAGAGAAATTTTAAATTTTTGGAAGAACCACCATATTGTTCTCCACAGTGGCTGTACTGTTTTACGTTCCCACCAACAGTGCTCAAGGGTTCTAATTTCTCCACATCCTAATTATTAGTGATGCTGGTCATCTTTTCATATGCTTATTATTATATACCTTCTTTGGATAAATATCTATTCAAATTGTTTGCCTCTTTGTTTTTTTTTTTTTGTTGTTGAGTTTTAGGAGTTCTCTATATATTTTGCATATTAATCCATTATCAGATATACAGTTTGCAAGTATCTTCTCTTATTCTGTACATCACATCTTTACTCTGTTGATACTGTCTTTTGATGCAACACATTTTTTAATCTTCATGAAGTTCAATTCATCTTTTTTTTCTTTGTGTCTTTGGTGTCATAGTCAAGAAATCAGGTTAAATGCAATGTTGTGAACTTTTTGTCTTGCATTTTCTTTTAAGAGTTTTACAGTTTCAGGTCTTACATTCAGTTCTTTGATCCACTTGAGTTAATTTTTGTACATGATATAAGGTGGGAACCCAATTTCATTCTTTTACATGTGAGTATACAGTTTTCACAGCACCACTTACTGAAAAGACTGTCTTTGCTCCATTGAATGCTCTTGTCATCCTTGTTCAAAAATCATTTGACCATATTTTAAAGGGCTTATTTCTGGACTATTTTATTCCATTGGTCTGTATGTATGTCTTTATGCCAGTAGCACACTGTTTTGATTACCACAGCATGGAAGTAAGTTTTGAAATCAGAAAATGTAAGTGTTCTGGCTTTGTTGTTTTTCAATATTGTTTAGCCATTCAAGGTAACTTAAAATCCCATATGAATTTTTAAATAAGTTTCTCTATTTCTGCAAAAAGCATCCTTGGAAGTTCTATAGGGATTGCACTGAATTTTTAGATCACTTTGGGTAGTACTGACATTTTAGCAGTATTAAGTCTTCCAATACATGAATGTAGGATGTTTTCCCATTTATTTATGTCTTCTTTAATTTCTTGCAGTAATATTTTGTAGTTTTCCTTGAACAAGTCTTTGGCTTCCTTGGTTAATTCCTAAGTATTTTATTTTGGGGGGTGCTTATTGTAAATGAAATTATTTTAATAATTTCTTTTTCACATTGTTCATTGTGTGTAAATGTGTTAATTTTCACAATTTTTTAAATTTATTAATTTTGTTTTGTTATTGATTTTTAATTTCATTCTGTTGTGGGCAGAGAAGATAAACTGTATTCTATTTATCTTTTAAAATCTATTGATACTCAATTTGTGGTCTATCCTGGAAAATGTTCTATGTGCACTTGTGAAAAATGTGTATGCTAATGCTGTGTAGTAGAGTGTTTTGTATATATCTGTTAGATCAAGTTATTTTACTGTGTTGTTTAAGTCCTCTATTTCCTTACTTATCTTCTGTGTGGTGATAATATTCATTGTTGAGAATATGGTGTTTAAGCCTTTAAGTATTATTGTAGAGCCATTTCTTACTTCAATCCTGCCAATTTTGCTTCATATATTTAATGGTTTGTTAGTAGGTGTGTAGATGTTTATAATTCTTATATCTTCTTCCCATGTTGAAACTTGTATTAATATATAATGTTCTTTGTCACTTGTAAAGCTTTTTTAGCTTGTAAAGATTTAAAGTCACTTGTAAAGATTTAAAGTCTATTTTGCCTGATATTTTTGTAGCCACTACTCTCTTTTGGCTACTATTTGCATAAAATATCTTTATTTTGAATAGAAAGGGTGCAAAATCTAGAAAATATGTTTAAATTTAAGCCAACCAAATTTACCAAAGTAAAAAAAAGAAAAAAAAGAAAAAATATCAAAAGCTCTTGACTTATTTGGCAAAATCTTAGTCTAAATATATATACACATATATGTGCCAGTTATAGCTTTACTTAAAATCACATGCTATTTTAATGCAAGTATGTTTAAAAAATGCCATGTATACTTTGAAGTACCATTGACCATTTTTTACATGTCATTTGTTATTTATCTATACGTAGTTATAACACTTCCATTTTCCTAAAATCTTTTTATGCTCAGAACAATTTGATACATACTCTATGCTGCCCCAGTAGCTCCTGCCAGTGTGAGGCTTGTGGCCTTAGGGGTAAGAAAGAAGCTGAGCAGCGTGGATGTCAGTGTTGTTCAATTAGCTAAGCTGCTAAACTGAACTTACCTCCTCCCTAGGATTCAGCTATTTGCACCCATAAAGATTGGGTAAGAGAATTTTTTTGGAATTTATCCACTGGAAATTATTCACTAAATCAAAGTGAAACTAAAATGAAAAATATATATTTTTTCAAATCTAGTGACTGGGCCCCCTATTTCATTCCCCCCAATTTCATGACTATAATTTAAAGAATAAAAGTGTTGTCTACTGAGTGTGCTTCTCTCACATGACTACTCTGTACAAGAAAGTACTACAGCCTGGGCTATTTATCACACATTGATAGAATTTGATTCCTCTGCTCTGCTCCTGCTAAGGATTACAGACAGAGAGTTAGCTAAACAGTTTTTCTGCTTACGAAAGTTTATTTTTAACCTAGCTAGTTTCTTAAAGAATGACTTCTTGGAAAATGTTATATACTAAAGCTTATTTGAACCTACACTCCAAAACAAAGCAATAATGTTTAAATAGATAAAATGTGCAATTTCCCTATAATAGCATTTAACTAGACTGTTTTGCAATCTATTCCTCTATCACTGATGAATTTCTTATCTGTAGAAAGTCCCCCACTGTGAAAAATTTGCTAGAGAACACCCAATAATCATGTAAAGGATTGCCATCTAAGCAGAACAGCTGGTTTTCTCACAGCTTTGGAAATGATTGGGTAAAGTTCACTGAGTTGGGTGCTTTACCTATAAAACGTAAACTTCACATTTCAGTTCTGTGCAGAAATCTCAGTGTGTATATTTCTACATGCTAATACAAGTAGAAATTATCAGGCGTTCAGATGAAACACTCTAGAATAAAATACAACTGTGTATGACTTTTCATGAACAGTGAGGTAAATCTTATCATAAGCAACACTATATCATTAATAGTCTGGTTGACTGGACTTCTTACATAATACTAATAACAAAATGTTTATTTACAATCTTTGCCTATTTTATGGTAACATTTTTCTATGAAGTTTTTCTTTTTAATCTATTGACAAAATTTACTCTGTTTTCTTGATTATTTTGATCTTTGTTTGAAGGCTATGCCATTTGCAATATTTTCCTGTAGTGGATGGGATATACTGGTAGCTTTCAAGACTTTAAAATTCAAAGTCCATCCTGTGCTGCCACAGAGACAGACTGCTTCCTTCCCATAATGGCACTCTATGTTTCCTTGTTTCTATCTCTAAACCAAGTCAAGTTCAGGAGACATTTTTCTCACAAATCTTGCCCCTTTACTGTTTTCTCAACATTTAAGTTATGTAACTATAGACACTGTTCCTGCCCTCCAAAGTATTTTTGCTAGCATTTCCTGAAACTGGCCACTTACTTCAAGGTGAGTTTTGCTTAATTTTGGTTTTGGAAATATGCATTTTAACTATGTAGCTTTTCTCCATCCCTTAGTTTTATTATGGCAGATTTTAAAATTTAGTTTATTTCTCTTATTGGTTTGTTACAGGAAAGGGAGGATAATTTTACTATAGCTCTGCTATATTTATCCAGTAGATCAGGACTTTTTTAACAATTGAAACTTTAGGAAGACTATAAAAGAATGAGTTAGAAATGACTAAGCTACAGTTTAGGGAAATAGCTTTACCTATTTAAGTGAATAGTCAATATAGCATAATTGCATAGTAAATTTGTTTATATTTTTATTTCTCTTTCAAGTGATTTCTATCTACTTTTTACTGGGATATGGCTTCTTTTTCCAAAATGAAAGGCACACAAAATTTATAGTTGGAGAAAGTGAAATTAAAATTTCAAACCACCCACATTCTACTTGGTTCAGTTTACACAAATTCATTTGTTGCTTTGTAGCTCGAATGAGAAAAATAATTCAGGACTCTTGGGGCTATTATGACATCTCTCTGTGGATTACCCAAATGTAAAAAAAGTGTATGTATTATTATGATTAAAATTACTGAAAAATAACATTGACAACTTTATTCATGTATTATACTTTATGTCTTTGAATGCTGAACTAATTAGGGAATATTAATTTATTTAAGAATAATACCTTGTATTTAGAGAGAGCTTAATCTTTTATGGAATATTTCTGTACACTTTATCTCATCTGTTCTTCACAACTGAGATAACAGTTATTTCCCTCATTTGTTTCCTAAAAGAATAAAGGGAATAATTGAGAGATTAGTAGTCACATATCTTTCCATCTCTAAATCTATTTATTTAAAAAATATTTATGGAGCGCTTAATGTTCACCATGGAGCACTAACAGTTCTCAATGCTACAATAATCTTTTGAAAAGTAGACTCAAATCTTTAACCTTTGGAGTTTGCAATATAGTGAGGAGACACAAAAAATAAAATAATAAATACAAGTTAATTACATATTACATAAGATGGGTATATGAATAAACATCATGAGATACAATGCCCATTTTTGTATATTAAGTATTTTTACCTTTATTATCTTCATTTGGGGAAATATGGTTTTGAACATAACTTTAAGCAGAATGCCAACATATATAACAGATAAGAGCAGGACTGCATGGGCTGAAGTGAGAACCAAGAATTGTAATGTCCAGTTTGCCCTTCATCAACCTGCAGCATTCTGTATATGTCTCTTTAGATTGCTAGAGATCTTTGTAATAATTTCTATACTGTATCAATAGCTTAAGTACAAAGGAGATTTAATAAACTTCATAAATGTTAAAGTAATTTTAAATTTATTAAACTTGCACAGAAGTCTTGTATTGTTTCCTATGAAAGACCTTGGGAATAAATAACTACTACATTTCAACTTTTCCCCTGGATGATTCTATATTCTATGTAAATATGCATATCTTGGTAAAACATGTAAAAATTCTGGAAAACTGTTTGAGCAAGTATATTTAGAAGGATGCTATAATCAGATAAAATAACTAAATTTACCAATTTAATTATTTTACAAAAATTCATGAAACTAAGCCTCTGAAACCAAATGTGTGCTCAGGAAAGAAATCTAAATACTTTAAGGGCATTTTAAAGTTATTTGCCATTGTGGTGGTCAAATTAGAGTGACAAGCCATATGTCCCAAATAATTATGTAATTTATGTCTTGTCTTGGTAATCTTCCTCTTCCAGAGGAAAAGTTAATTAAGTAATATTTTAATTTAAAAATATATTTTAATATTTATGAGTAATCCTTGCTCAATGCACATTCACGTAAACTTGTATAAGCTTGAATGTTACACTGAGCTGAAATTAAATTTCCCTTATAAACATAATAAAAAAAAGATCTTAAGCCTAATATACCATAACTATGAAAAATTTCACTTTGTAATGCCAAATGACCACATTAGGGAAGAAATAGAGACTAGATAGTGTTGCTTCTCATTCCACCATTACAAAATACAAAATTATATGTGTACATACAGACTTACTTTTTATGTTTACTTGGATTTTTAAAAAAAATTATATTTAATACTTCTTAGTTACTGTTACCCTTTCTCAGACTCTACTTTTTTTATAACTCTTGATTATTTAAATATTTACATGGATAATTTTTTCCCTCAAAATTCTAGTTTCTAAGTTTTCTTTTTAACTTCCTCTGCTCTTATAATCTCATTTTTCTTGCTTCCTTACTCCCATGGTATAACACTAGAACTTATCATTACAATGTTAAGTGCCAATGGTTTATATTTTAGATTTTAATTTTCTAACCATAAATTCCTATTCTTTTATCTCACTGCCTGTCATATGTCAAATCTTAAGAGCATCCAATGCCATCAGAACTCAAAACCATGTTTTTAGTACCTTTTCACTGTTGATGACTTTGTTCATGCCCTCACATCTCACTTTATATAGATTAAATTCTATGTTCAATCATTACATTTATTCACCTGTATATGTGCTAATTTCTCTTGCCCTGCTCTCACTTGATCTTATCCACTGGGCTAAACAATAATCCTAGTTAAACCCACCTTTCTAGCTTACATACCAGTGTAGTTGAATATGGTTGAAAAACACAGATGAACACAGCCTCCCACACTGATACACACATACACACACACACACGCGCGCGCGCGCACACACACGCGCGCGCGTGCACACACACATACATGCTGTCTGGTTCGCTTTAATTTCTTGAACACTGAAATCAAATAAGCCAACATTCTCGCAATATTCTCCTGGTAAATTATTTTCTTACTCCCCTAAATGTTACTTTCTTATCTACTCTCTCCTTAAACCTCCAACACTTTTCCTCCCATCCTTCCTCTCTTCTCATTTAGTTATAATTCTGATTTCACCTGGAAGATGAAAACAATCACTACAGAAATGTGAAAACTCACCACAGCAAGTATTCACTCTTCTGCATGCATCTGTGTCCGTGCACTCTGATACTTTTTCCAGACACTATGAATGGCCTGCCTGTGTTCCTACCAATTGCAAAACGCTCTTCATGTGTATTATTTCCCATCTTTTCTCATCTATTCAAGGCAATTGTTCTAGTAATATTTTTCTCTCAACTACTATATCAGTTTATTCCTCTCTAGTGTTTCTTCTCCAATATCAATAGGTGGAGGAAGAAATTCGGTCAATAAAGATAGTTTTAAGTAAACATTTTATTAAAATACAACATATATACAGAATGGTACGCAAATCAAAAGCAAACAGTTTGATGATTTTTCCCAAAGTGAGAACAACAATATAACCAGCATTGAGTTCAAAGTACAGGACCAGCTTCTCAGAAGTCCTCCTTGTGTCCCTTTCAACTCACTACCCAACAATGTTATAATAACCATTTTGATTTCTCAAACTTTTCTTTCCAATCTATATAAATGAAAAAGTATAATATATACTTTCTGTGTCTGCTTTCTTTTGCTCAACTTTATGTATGTGATTCATCTATATTACTGAGGGTAGTTGTAGCTCATTGGTTCTCATTGCTCTATGATATTGTATTGTATTAATATACCAGAATGTATTTACCCTTTCAACCTGTGATGGACATGGAAGTTGCTTAAGGTCTGGGATATTATAAGCGGTGTTGTTATGAACAATCCAGATTGTGTCTTTTTTGTCAAAAAAGATGTAAAAGATATGTTTCAGCTGGTATATAATGAGAAGTGGAATGATATATAATGAAATACCAGCATGCTTGGGTGCAAGAGCAAAGATTTTAATTGTATGAGATGGTATGAAATATAGTGTACAAAATTAATGGATATAAATACCATCGATATGCTTCAGTCTCACAAATATATTGATGTATTTCCTTTGCATCTGGGACCTTCTTCAGGACTCCAGATTCCCATGTCTAAAACCCAATTTGACTTTTGCATTTCACAGTCTGATGAATATCCTCAAATATTTCACACTTTAGTCCTTTGCCTAAACTTGCTCCTCCTTCAGTCTATTTTATCTAATATAATAGCAAGTCTGCACTTCAATTTGTTTTATTCAGGGACCTTGGAATCATCTTCAACTCTTTCATATTCTGCTTCTACCATTTAGCAAATCCCTTTTAGCTCTACCTTCGCATAGCCAGAATTTGAGTACTTCTCAACAGCTCCATTGCTAATTAGACAAATTAATTTAAATCTGTCAGTTATTCTGATCCAAGCCACTATCATCTCTCTGCTCAATCTGGCCATTGTCTTCTGGCTTTCTCTCTGATCCTGCTCTTCTCTTTCCATTTGACTCTTATCATAGGTGTCAGTGCAAATCCATGAACCCATAAAATCCCTAAACACTCTCCATTGTCTTCCAATCTCACTTCAAGTAAAAGCCGAAAATGTAATGACCTACAAGGTTCCACACTATTTTTCTCCCCCAAACTTTCATTATGCTTTTTTTTTTTTTCTGACGATTCTCTCCTTCTGTCATTCTGTTTTCTTACTCTACTCAATGGACACTAGTCCTGCTTCAATGTAGACTATTTGCATTTATTATTTCAACTTTTTGAAAGATCTTTTCTCTCAAATGTTTGCACAGCTTTCTCTATCACTTCCTACAGGTCTTTATTAAAATGTTCTCTTTGCTGAAAGGCTTTTCCTAGCTACCCTGTTAAAATTGCATCCATGAGCAATATCCCCCTTTCCCATACTTTGTTTCTTTTTAGCTATTTTGTGTTTTTTAATGAATTTTTTTAGCAGAAAGTGAACTCCACACATGCCAATAATTTTGCCTGCTTAGTTCACTTTATATTAAACTAGGAAGGTTTACTCTTGTACAAAACTGGAAATTAGGAAAGTGCTTGCCACATACTATTCACCTAACATATATATTTTTTGATTGATTGATTTTTTTTTAGAGACATAGTCTTGCTCTGTCACCCATGCTTTGGTGCAGTGGTGTGATAATAGCTCACTGCAATCTCGAACTCCTGGGCTCGAGAGATCCTCCTTCTTCAGCTTCCCAAGTAGCTGGGATTACAGGCACACACTACCACATCTGGCTCATTTAAAAATTTTTTTTTTGTAGAGACAGGGGTCTCACTTTTTTCCCCAGGCTGTTCATGAACTCCTGGCCTCAAGAGAGCCTCCTGCCTTGGTTTACTAAAGTGCTGAGACTACAGGTATGAGCCACCATGTTCAGCCCTAACATATATTATTAAACGAAGCAAACAATTAAGTAGATTTATTACTCAAGATTTATTATGTATTAGTTGAGATTCCTCATTGAACGTATTCCTATTTTTTGTAGCCCCAAATCTTACCCTTTCTTCTCTGTCAAGTCAAAAACTCAGCAAGAAACATTTTATAACTGCACACAAATTAATGGAGCAGGATCAGTATGAAGCTGTTTTGATTTTCTTTGAAAAAACTATAAACAAAACCATACATAAACATTCTATTAAGGTAAGTCCTCTAAGCAGTATTAACCATGTGATACTAACGGACATTGTAAGTAAATGAATCAAAGTTAATCACCCACTTTAGTTTCTTATTACACTCTGTTCTAAAAACTAACTAAATAAAAAGTAAGTAAGTTGCTTACAAAGGCTGTATCACATCTTTACTTTATTCCAGACATTTGTAAATTTAGTGGGTAAATGAATCTGTATTTTTCCACTTCAAAAACCTAGGAAGTAACTCACTGTATATATAAATGTATATAATTTTTAATGAGTTTGCAAATGTACTGGAGATTAGGGTCAGTCATTTCCTCCAACAGAATGGACTTTAGGATTTGATTGTGAGAAAAATCAGTCATTGCAGTCTAAAAACAACATTTACCAGATTTGTGAAATTGGGTCATCAATTTAATGTTTACGATCAGCAATTTCTTCATCTAGAAAATCATAAGACACATTTATTTCATTTAATAAGTTTTAAATGAACATCTACTACACAGACAGCACTGTGCTTACTGAGGACATGGAATCTACACCTACGATATGAATAGTATAATTAAAAAGTTTCTATAAATTAAATAACAAGTAAAAGAGAATTGCAAATTCTAAAACAAAATAAATATGTTAGCTACTTTTATTTTTTCGATTTTTATTTAGAAGTTGGAATATTTTCCTTACTGAAGGAGAACATTTCCAAATCATATTAAAAACTGAAGTTAAAGTAAAATGTTTACATCATTAACTGGATATACAAAAAGGAGCTTTAATGTTAATAGTAGGAATAGACTGTAAAAACAGAAGAAGAAAACTAGATAAGTAAGACTTTTGGTCATACATTAACACTAGGTTATCATTTATTCATTTATGTATTCATTCATTCAATTAACGCTTATCACAAGCTATGGATAGCCAATATGCTAGTAACTGTGGAACACTGAAACAAGAGTAAGATTAAATTATATAGTGGTGGCTACATTTTACTTGTAGGTTACTAGCAGTTTACATCAGACAAAGTGATAAGTGCTTTAAACATATTGTCTCATGTAATCCTCTGAACAAGCCAATAAGATTGACTTTCATTGTATCACAGTGGACATGCATTTTGGAATGAGAAATTCATAGAGTCCCAGCCCTAGTTATTCATGTAAGTTTTTAGCTATGCAACCTTAGGCATGCTAATTAACATCTGTAAGCCTCATCAGTAAATGGGGGAAAATGCATCCCATCTCATACAAATGAGATAAAAGATGTATGATTTGTATACTTATTTTCTTTTACACAGTGCTAAATAAATGTTATGAGAATAAGGGCTAAATATACGATATCTATTTCTATAAGGCTTTATTATCCCCATTTTACAGATGAATAACTGTGTCCCAGAGAATGTAAATAATACAGTAAATGTCCTCCTGCTGGTAAATAACAGAACTGGGATTTGAACTATAGCGCAGCTGGCCCCAATGTCTGTACTTCAAACTACCATTCCATATTGCCTTAGTTTCAGACTTTAAGAAGTTTTTCGTGTATTTGGTGAAAAATACATATGTTTGTAATCAGATATTAAAATGAGAGTATTTCTCTCATGAACTTTGAAGAAACGTCAAGAAGGACACAACAAACAAGGCAAGGAGACGGATTAGTTGTACAGAATATGCTGAGACACTATAAACATAGTTCAGCCAACATCAACACTTCACCTACCTTGAAGTTTTAAAATAATTGAAATTGAAACAACTGGTGTCATTCAGAGAGTGTTGCCAACAGGCTACATGTTATCTCATAAAGAATGGGAGGGACATGTCTTCCACAACGCAAGTTAAGTTTTGGGGGCCTCCCACAGAAAACACTTAGATAACTTGGCATGAGTCTGAAGTTTGAGGGTCACAAAGGTAATGCCTAACTTCACTGAGAAAATTCTAAGGGTAAAAGCCCAGGCTAGATGGATTTGGGATGGCATAGGTATAGACGGCTTTGTTGAGAGGGCTGACTATGTTAGAACCAAATGGCCTGATATCTTTCAAAGAGTAATCCCACATAGGACCACCTGGAAGGGCAAAAATACCACCCAGAGGCTTTGCAGATGGTGAGGAATCAGCAATGGGTACAGCCAAAGAAGTGACACTATCCACACCAAATGATTTCTGTCGATATTTCCCAGTGGAAGTTTCTATGAGGAACTTAGAGAAATACCCTATAAGATGATGGGCCTGAAATTGCACATCTATTATCAGACGACACCTGAGTCAGATTACGATTATACCAGTTAAGTAAAATCTTTTTTATCACTTTCCTCGTATTTCCTAGATCCAACATGGAGAGACTAGAAATTATAGCTAGTTTAGTGAATTGAGAAGGGCATGGATTGGGACTAGCGAACATTTTGATCCTGTACCCGCCTAGCCACCACATCACCACTTGAGGTATCCACCATGGCAGGAGAACTTTCCAAATGCTAAGAGCTTGAAGTTGTGATATTCACATTAGAACTTAATTACTAAAATGGGTCTGTAATCAAAATACAACGTATGAGACCTGTCACAAATACCATCACCTAAAAATTTACAGCACATCAGAGAGGATATCAAAATGCCTAAATGCAGATAGTGGCTTGGGAAAGGAAAGGTAGCCACAGCCTTTCAGAGCCATATAAGTTAGAATTTATAAGAACAATTAACTAATGATATAGAAGAAGAAAGAGTCTAGAAAATTCTCAAATTTTGAGTCAAGTGATATCAATTATATAACGATCCATATTAATGAAGAGAAAACAATAACAGGAGAAATCCTAAATCATGAATCTATTCAATGTTAGATAATTCATTACATAGTTCAGATATTGCACATGAATTGTCTCTTCTGGTCAAGAGAATACGGGTTAAAAAAACTCTTCTGTACCCAGTTATTTGGAAGAACAGTTCCAGCCCATCAAGCTAGGATAGTAATTTTTCTCCATCCTGAATTTTAGAACAGCGAGGATTTTATTTATATCTACAAATTGGTGTTTAATTTCTTCTCATGAGAATTCTGTCAGAATTTCCTTGGTGTCTTATATCCTTATCTCACTGTACCCGAAGCAGGTAGTATGCCATTCTTTATGTATTGTGTCATACTCATTTCAGACCCAGGGGCCACTTCCAAACTCGGGAGGATTAAGGAACTTTATCCTGACATTTTAAAATTCAAACAAGTTACTAATCTAGCAAGATGTTATATATCCTATTCCTATTAAAGAAGCTTTTGCCTCAGTCTGAACCTAGTGCTTTGCTCTGAAGTTTGGGAAATAGTTCCTGCTTCTCTCCCCTGGAACTGAGTCACAGTGCTGCGTCTCCCTCTTCCACCTCACTGGAGATGTCAGTTTTGCTGTTATCACTTCTTTTGTGTGCTATGACAATAACGTCCTAACACGTGTGTAGTTGTTTCTCACATCGAGTACCATGTTGCCAGAATGACTTATACAACTCGGAGCGATAGTAAAAATCTTCAGCATTGTGGAGGGCATAGATATTAATTACTCAGCTCTTTTGCTGTATGGAGCTCTGGAACAAAATTGTGGGGTTTTCCTTCTTGCTAAGCATGATGTTAACCTTCTGGTCATTGACTTATGGCCAGGTAGGAACTCCCAGGGGAGAAAATGGCAGAAGAGTTATAGGATGATACTCAAAGGCTCAAGGTGGTAACTATTTATATTTCCTTGTGTTTGTCAATTGGTCCAGCCATTTTTGTACATATCAGCTACATCTATGATCAAACCAATAATTGCCTTATTTGAAAGCTCATGCAGATTTGTAAGGGGAATGATGAATTCCTGGACTTATAGCTCAATTTTATGGAATGGATTCAGGAAAATCAGTGTTGGACAAATGTTCTAAGTTCACTTTCACATCTAATTGCGAGAGCAGTATTTCAGATCTATGAATTTGATATATAACTTAAATCCATAGTACTGACATTTAATACTGTAAACAGAAATGCAAAATGTATGCACTTTTCCACTGCAATTCCCTACCTTTTCTAAAGTCCAGTCATAAATACTTTTTTGAGTGCCTGTGTTGTTAATATTGTGTTATGACCAAAAAAAGAAGAAGAAAGGTTTTTGTCTTACATTTTGACGAGTTAGACATGTGATTCAATAATTATAGGACTATATGATGAGTGTTGATAGTATTATGTCCCAAGTTCCCTGGGACTAGATGTAAGAGTGACTCACCAAGCATAGCAGACCAGCAGAAAAAATGGAGTCAGGAAAAACCTTTCTAAGGCGATGACATCTGAGGTTAGTATGGATGAATGAGTAGGAGTTGAGCTTCACTGATTTTTGCAGAAAAGGAGAAAGTAGCAGGGCAGGCCAGACAGTTTGCATAAAAATACTGCAGCAGAAAAAGTAATGTCTTTTTTGGCAAAGAACACACAGCAGGGGAAATGTGAATAGAAGATGAGGGAACTGATCATAAATGACAATTACAGTATGCTATGGAGTTTTAAATTTATCTAGAAAGAGTTGAGTGGTCATGTTCCATGATTATAATTACACCCTTATAAACATCTTCAACTGCTCCTGCTGCCTTTAAAACTAAGTAGAATACTAAGATTTGAATTGAAGAAAGTGTATTTTAAAACTGATGTGGGTTGATGCTTTGTGATTATTGGATTATCTATCTCCCACATACATCTATACATTTTTTAAAAGAAGCAAGTGTGGCATGTTTATATTATAGGTCCTAGAATCTAGTCATTGCTCAATAAATATTTTGAATAAGTGAATGATGTCTTTAAACCAAACAAAAGAGCCACCAAAACAGGAATCTTTGTCTCTTGTTTTTCTACTCTATGGCCTTATGCATTTTATGAGAAATGTAAATATCATGCTATGATAAATTATTCCTGGGTTCAATGACACATGTAATTTAAATATTTTAGGAAATAGAATGACTTCAAAGTGTTAACCTTGCCATAAGTTCCTGTACTTGACCAGGAACATAAAATAGTTAATTTTATTAACTATTTTAGGAGAAGAGTTATTGTAGCAAGATCTTACTACTTGAATGAAATCCAATCATACTCAATCCAAGAAAGCATTTTCTCTAGACACTTGTTCTATACTTGTAGTGACTAGTTTTGGTACTATTTGTCAAGTCCTGACTCTAGGATGAGTTGTATGTGTCACTATGAAAGTCTATAACATCTGTGTAAAATCCTGCCTGAGTTTCAAAACATACTTGTGGGGTGACACAAGAAGATAGCTCTATGGGACAAACCCAAAGAGATTTATTATAATCCCTTTCCATGGCAAAGTAGAGCCACTGGTGAAGAAGCTGGGAATTAATTGGTCATTTGTGGACCACATCATTGATTGAGAGTGTCTGCCCTGCCTCCCAACTCTGCTGCCCTACCCTGGACTCTGCTTCAAAATTATTTGACCCTACCCTGGCAGGCCTTATGGCAAGTCTGTTAGCTCATAATTTATCAAGCACAGCATGTGGGACTCTCAGGAAATCCAAGTAAATTATTTCCTTTTCTGATCATGCCACTGTAATCTTTTAACTACATTTGCATATATAGGATGGGAAATGTTATTTTTTCACAGTAGAATCTTTCCTGTAGTCCAAATAGGGGTGCAAATAACATATCTAAGCAATTATCTAAAATTATTTAACAATCTCTGCCAGGGTGAAAGCCCAGAAAGGAGAAATTATAACAAAGTCCTGGTTACTTGTCTCTACTCTTCCCTTTTCCTCCTACATTGTATCCTCTTGCTACCATAGACATCATTTAATAAAAGATGAGCATAGGTATTATCTTTTATGTATTACAGAAGAAGCTGTGCACAGATTACTCCAGGATTGACCCTTGACATACTCAAAGTGGATTTTTTAAAAATTATGCTCCCTTTCTTGGTACAATAGCCTGACTTTCAGGGTTATTTTCTTACTGCAAAAATAATATTTTCAAGTTTCAGAAGCTGAAAGTTTTCTTGATAATGCTCTTTGATTTCTCTATAAGAAGTTCTATTATATAATATTACCACATACTACCATTACCACCACCATCCCCATCCCCTAGTCAGATACATGCCTTGGTTGGAGAAGAGAAAATGTCTTGGGTACAGAAAAACAAAAGGGAAAATAACATTAATATTTAAAAGGCAATATTACATGAATATGAAACTAAAAACTGTTCCATGAGTAAATGCATATGTGAAAAGCTCAAAGAAGCAAACTTAAACACATTCTTAACTTAGGACTTCATAGAACATTCAAAATAATAATGTAAAATGTGTGTATTATGATATATATAAAGGCAATATAAAAAATACCATTTTTTGGAGTGTGTTTTACCAGAAGTGGAACTACTGTTCTAAGTTAATAGAATGAATGTAAAATTAAATGATTTATGAGATTTTTTCTAGGCCTTAATGCTAATTATTCTATCACTTAGCATAAATTTAGCTTAAGTTGTCTGAAAAACAACTACATTATTGTTAGAAAAATGGATGTGCTGTGGTCAAGAATACGCCTAGGCAGACATCCAGTCCAGCATGACTCAGCGAGTTTAGCGCACAGGTGCACAACTCCGCTTAGCACAACTCCGCTTATTATGTAACTACGCCACGTGAGGCGCATTAGGTGATCACCCAGGTGAGCTCGTGCTTGGCTCAGAGCCACTGTTGTCTATAAAAGGTATAATTACCCTGCTAACGCTGTATATACGGCTCGCGCCTAGGCTCGCTTGCGCCCAGAGAGAAAGTAAAGCCATGTCGAAACTGTCTAGATTTTTTGAGTGTTTTTCCAGCTACCCACCACTCACCCATCTCTGACCTCAGTTAGCACCTGACAACTGGCATCACGAATAGGATCTCGGAGTGAGTGAGTCTTCGGTCCCCGCTGATTCCGGGTTGGCCATGTGGCTCTAACATGGGTTGTGGTATCCGGTGGCAGCTGTGCTGCTTGGATGGGCTCTGGTGGAAACTTGGGCGGCAGTAGACGGGTGCCCCACGAGCATGGAGAAGGCGCTGAAGCAGCTGGAAGCAGAGAGCACTGAGAAGGAACAAGCCTTTGCCGGCGGAGTTGGATGGGCATTTTTGACTGCGCTGTGAGAAGTACATATGCAGTCCCTGAGGGATGCAGAAGTAAGGACCCTCAGGCACAGGTGGGGTGCCTGGAGACCCGGCTACACAGCTCAGAAAAACAGAAGTTGCCGTGAATGGGGACCTCCAGGTGCCGGTTGGGCGCCTGGAGGGCCGGCTACCAAGCTTGGAAAAGTAATTAGAGGCCGCTGTGAGTGCAGGCCTGAAGGCTGTTGGCGGGACTGAGTGGGACTGAGGGGTTCATGCCATAAAGAAGGTGAATATGACCCGCCTGCAGGGGGTCCTCCAAGGGAGAAAAGGGGGCCCCAATGAGTGACATGTTCACAGATGTGGATAGATTTGATTTTGGCCTGGGTTGACTGAGAGAAAATCGGTAAGCAGCCTTCTTTATGGGAACCCAGGTAAGTTTTCCGGCAAACCTGCTTACATAGGTTATGAAGACCGGTCAGTGAAAGTGAAACCTGTATCTTTGCACCTCTGCATCAGCTGCTTGGCTCCCCGCTTATGCACTGTATATGTCTCTCTCACACCTGAATACATTCTGAGGGTGGACGTTTTACACGGCTTGGCAGCTATGCCGTCTGTCACGGACTTGAAGGACCACTTGACAACAGAATTACGACAGTACCGCGATGTGGTGGACTTGACCAATGCATTCTCAATTAGCATTACTCTAGAGATCCAGGAACAGTTTGGCTTCATGGGAAGGCAACAGTGGACTTTCACAGTGTTGTCGCAGGGCTGTATGCTTAGCTCCACCCTATGTCCTGGTCTTGTTGATGATATTGTTTACCTCTGATTCTCTGGCAGATTTAGAAGCGGCAATGCTCTTCTTGCTAGAATTAAAATAGTATGGCTGAGACCACCTTCCTGGCAGCCAAACGGGCTTTTCAGCAGGCACAAGCCCTATGGGTAGTTGACCAGGGGTGCCCGTTTGAGCTGGATGTGCATGTGACCACAGATGGCTTCGGCTGGGGCCTGTGGCAACGCACAGAGCACTTGAGAACGCCAGTGGGCTTTTGATCCCAACTATGGAAGGGAGCTGAGCTCCGCTATTCCTTGATAGAGAAACAGCTAGCAGCTGTATATGCTGTCCTGCAGGCTTGTGAGAGTGTGACAGGACCAGCTGTAGTGGTCGTGCGGACAACTTATCCAATAGCAGGATGAGTGCATTCATGGGTAATGACCCCCCGGACTGGGACAGCACAGACATCCACTTAACAACGGAGTACGCTGAATACAAGGCCCTTAGCAGCAGATTGCAAGAGGTCTTGGGACCTGTAGTCCTAATGCAAGATTAGGCCATGGGCCTGAGGCACCCCTAGACCCTAAGCCTTCTCCATTTAAGGAAAGGCATGCCCCCATTTCCAATGAGGCATGGTACACAGATGGGTCTATACGAGGTGCTGCTGCTGCCTGGACTGCTGTCACGGTCCAGCCTAGTACTGACACCATATGGTTTGAAACCGAGTGTGAACAAAGCAGTCGATGGGCTGAACCCAGAGCAATGTGGATGGTGATCACCAAGGAGGTGACACCTATGGTAATCTGCACCGGTATTTGGGCAGTTTATTGAGACTTAACCTTGTGGCTAACTACCTGGAAGTTACAGAAGTGGCTAGTCACCAGCCCATGTGAGGCCAAGCCATGTGGCAAGACCTATAGGAAGAAGGATGACCTTCTCCGACCACGTATGCAGACAAATGGTAACCTGTTGTTGCCTGCCCCAATGCCCCTAAAGGTAAGGGAACAAAAACCTGGCTTAATGTATAAAGCAATGTGTCCGGAATTGGTGGGTTCTTGGTCTCACTGACTTCAAGAGTGAAGCCGTGGACCCTCGCAGTGAGTGTTACAGTTCTTAAAGGCGGCGTGTCCAGAGTTTGTTCCTTCTGATGTTCGGATGTGTTCCGAGTTTCTTCTTTCTGGTGGGTTCGTGGTCTCAGTGGCTCAAGAGTGAAGCTGCAGACCTTTGCAGTGAGTGTTACAGCTCTTAAGGTGGCGCGTCTGGAGTTGTTCATTCCTCCCGGTGGGTTTGTGGTCTCGCTGTCTTCAGGAGTGAAGCTGCAGACCTTCGTGGTGAGTGTTACAGCTCATAAAGGCAGCGAGGACCCAAAGAGTAAGCAATAGCAAGATTTATTGCAAAGAGAGAAAGAACAAAGCTTCCACAGTGTGGAAGGGGACCTGAGTGGCTTGTCACTGCTGGCTCTGGCAGCCTGCTTTTATTCTCTTATCTGGCCCCACCCACATCCTGCTGATTGGTCCATTTTACAGAGAGCCAATTGGTCTGTTTTACAGAGAGCTGATTGGTCTGTTTTGACAGTGTGCTGATTGGTGCGTTTACAATCCCTGAGCTAGACACAAAAGTTCTCCAAGTCCCCACTAGATTAGCTGGATATAGAGTGTCGATTGGTGTATTTACAAACCCTGAGCTAGACACAGAGTGCTGATTGGTGCATTCACAAACCCTGAGCTAGACACAGGGTGCTGATTGGTGTGTTTACAAACCTTGAGCTAGATACAGAGTGCCGATTGGTGTATTTACAATCCCTCAGCTAGACATAAAAGTTCTCCAAGTCCCCACTAGACTGGAGCCCAGCTGGCTTCACCCAGTGGATCTCACACTGGCTCCGCAGGTGGAGCTGCCTGCCAGTCCAGTGCCGTGTGCCCACACTCCTCAGCCCTTGGGGCGGTTGATGGGACCAGGTGCCATGGAGCAGGTGGCGGCGCTCTTTGGGGAGGCTCAGGCTGCGCAGGAGCCCACCATGGGGGATGGGGAGGATGGGGGCTGATGGGGGGTGTGAGGGGGCTCAGGCGTGGTGGGCTGCAGGTCCGGGTTGGGGAGGCAGCTAAGGCCTGGAGAGAAATCGAGCACAGCAGGTGGCCCGGGTGCTAAGCCCCTCACTGCCTGGGGCCAGTGGGGCTGGCAGGCCACTCCCGAGTACAGGCCCACTGAGCCCACCCCACCTGGAACTCGTGCTGGCCCGCAGGTGCCATGCGCAGCCCCAGTTCCCACCTGCGTCTCTCTCTCCACACCTCCCCGCAAGCTGAGGGAGCCGGCTCCAGCCTTGGCCAACCCAGAAAAGGGCTCTCACAGTGCAGCGGTGGGCTGAAGGGCTCCTCAAGCATGGCCACAGTGGCTGCCAAGGCCAAGGAGGTGCCCAGAGCGAGCGAGGGCTGTGAGGGCTGCCAGCACGCTGTCACCTCTCAGCAACATTGGGGTAACATCACCATGGGGTGGTTACCCGCCATAACCTGGAGTTGTTGCTCTCTGTATTGTTGCTGTGGCTTGTGTGCCCAAAGCCTATTTATAAATTGTGTATTGGTCATTGTCTGCCCAAAGCCTATGTGCCAGGCTTGTTTGTCAGACCTGTGCGTCCAAAGCCTATGTTCCCCCTCGGCCTAGGGGGTGGAGTGTAAGGAAAATGGATGTGCTGTGGTCAAGAATGGCCAGAGGCAGACATCTGGTCCAGCATGACTCAGCGAGTTTGGAGTGCAGACAAACAACTCCACTCATTATGTACAACCACGCCACTTGAGGAGCATTAGGTGATCACACACATGAGCTCATTCTTGGCTCGGAGCCAATATTATCTGTAAAAGGTATAGTTACCCTGCTAACATTGCACATATGGCTCACACCCAGGCTCATTCACACCCAGAGAGAGTAAAACCATGTCGAAATTGTCTACGATTCCTCAAGTGTTTTTCCAGCTACCTGCCACTCGCCCATTGACTCCCCTTGCACCTAAGTTACAGCCTGACAATTAGTCTTGATTATTTCTATTGGTTTTAATAAACATTTTTGACAGAAATTTAAAAAACTAAACCAGCATTAAAATGAAAACTACCTAATTTCTAAGATAGTTGTATGAATATATTAATATTTTATTTTTGGTCATATTTGTTTGGCTCAACCACAAGTTTGAAAATAATATCTTCAAAATATTTTAATTTTCTTTTTAAATTTTTGTGTAACCTGGTAATCTCCACTTGGTTCATAATATTTTCTAAAAGACAAAATCATGTAAGTTATCTTTGGGTAAATTAAAATACCAACAATATCACAATTTAATTGCTGATTTTTTACCATAAAGCCATAAGTTATTTGTTACACATTAAATAAGCATGACTATCATATTTCAGCATTCTAAAGCAAATTAACCTCTGAGTGTTGTACATGAACACAGAATAGAAATTATCATAATCGTTATTAAAAATTTGTGTAATCATTGACTAAGTCTGGCAGTGATGTTTTAAATTCCTTATTGAATATTATGTGCTTTGAAGAGCCTTAGTATGTGAGGTAAACAAATACCACTTTAGACAGTTAATTTTAAAGAATTATGGACTGAATGTCAAAGCCATTGATGAGCTAAGATAAAATATAATTATTTTAGTACATTTTATAAAATAAAATCCATATTTAATAAACACAGCCATTATGTGATTGGTATGTACTTGAAAAGTAAATAAAAATTGATTACTTGTGGGTAAGATATTAAGTGCCATCAGCTGTTTCTAATTTGGAAGATGTTTTCAAATAATCTCTTGAGTTTACTTAAAATTTTTTACTCTAGAGAGCAAGAAGTTTTCCTGAAATAAGGCTATTGGCTACAATGAAAAGAGTATATATTTGTAGTATTTGTTTAGTAATTTGATAAGGTGTAAAAAGCTTTTGAAATGCATTTATTTAGTGACAAAGATAAATTTAAAATAGTGTATAGTGAGTGATTTAATAATTTGGTCAAACAACATTTCATGTAATGTTCAAATGTGTCTGCATCCTTGGAACATTAAAAATATTATATCTTTATTAATTACAAAATATCCTATGATGGTGTTTTACAGGAATAAACCATTTTCTCACTTTACAAAAATGATAGTTTATATTGTTTTCACAACTTTATTATTAGCTTAGCCTTACTGAGTAGTTAGCAGAGAAAATAAGATAGATTACCTAAAAAGGATATTCCTTTCACAAATCAAACTAGATTTTGTAAAAATCACCAATCAAAAAAGCATAAAATCAAAATTTATTTAGAGGAATATCTAGAGAGTCCAATAAAGACAGATAAAGTTACGTGAGCCCTGGAACTTATTCTATATGTCATATTTATAAAGTTATATAATATCATCCAATTATTTTTAAATATTTCCAATTTTTATAAAAATACAACTGATGTAATTCTACAATTTTATGTTGTCAGTCAAAACAAATGTTTGCTATCCCAAATCAAAAAGGACCATAAGTAATAGAAATGCTGTTCTTATATTGAATAAAAATAATAAGTGTAAATTTATTTAATTTTCTGATGCCAAAATTGGTGTTAGCACTGACCTACAGTAATTAAATTCTTAAAAGTAGAAAAGTTTGACTAGGTTTTGCAAAACACATGTGAGCCAGATTAGATTCATGTTTTTAAGTATCTAGGTAAATTAAAATTGTGTGTGTGTATGTGCTTGTGATTTTTCAAATGGTAACTTAGAAACTTTCAATAAACAAGCAACCTGTGGCTTCAGTAGGCAAAAGGTTGGGTGATATTCAGACACAAGTCTAAACATGAAGACAATAATAAAAGCTTCATTGACTCTTGGGAGTCAGAGAGTTGGAACAAAGACATTCCAACCTATCTTTTCTAATATTGACCATTAAATATTTAATATGACTTGTTGGCAAGTGAGTAAATAGTTGTTATATATCAAGTGTGTTTTACAGGTATAATCTAAACATATTTAAACATATTGCTAATTTATGTATTTTGCCCCAGTGAAATCTATAATTCATTTTCCAAGATTTTTGACTTGAGTTCGTATCTTTGCAAAATTTGAAATAGAAAGATAAATTGAGTGAGTGAAAATTATTTTTTCAATGATTTTTCTTTACAGGTAAAAAAACAAAATTTTACATTTTTTCCAGTAGAATAAATTTCAAAATGGATAATCTTAAATTATAATCTACCAGCAAAATATAAAAATGGAAACATATTTTAATCTCATCTATTGATTAATATATAATTATTTGGTAATTAATTGTATTACTGAGTAAAATTTCCTAACAAAAGTAATTTTATAATATATCATTATATTGTTAATAATGAAGCAATTAAAATTAAAAAATTTCTGGAGCATACTTCTTTTTCTCTGTCTCCTGTAAAATAGAAAAGACAAAGTTTCAAAACCACTGGAATATTAAATGACATGGTCCAAATACTTCAGTGGGAGTCACCTTAAATAACAAATTCTTATACACTTAACATACAGATTCTGCAAATATCACGAAGATAGCAAAACCAGGATTACAGTATGGATAGAAATGTTTTCTTTGTCAGGTTTGCCAACATTCCTACAGGAGGGCTACCCACACCCAACTAAAAATTTATGTACTAGTAGTAAGAAATTCTCTTATACCAAAATTATATTACCTTTTCTTTTCTAGAACGTAACTTTTTTTTTTAAATGATACCTGGCAATAATAAAAGTGTGAAGAAGAAATTTTAAAATTTCCCAATCTTACCACTCAGAAATAACTATTGTTTACTTTGTAATAGATAGCTCTATAGATATATCCCCAAAATAGCATCATATTAAATATATTTTTATTTTACTGTGAAACATAATATAGACATAAAAAGTACATAAACACATATTTTACAAGTAATTATAAGGCAAATAATTGCATAACCACTATCTGGATAAATAAAATGAACATTGACAGTCACATAAGGGTGTCTCTCTGTGTCCCTCACTGATCACAAAACCATCCTTCTCCCTGGAAGGTATCTTCTCTGACATTTTTCCTAATTATTCTCTTACTTTTCTTTTTGGTTTAAACATCTGTGTATAAACCCTTAAACATTAGAGCTTAGGGATTTTTTGAACTTTGTGTGTATGTGTGTGTATTGTTTCTTTGGTTCAACATTATATTTGTGAAATTCACCCAAGATATTGTATGGAGTTCATTTTCACGCCTGTACAATGCTCCATCATACAACTCTACCAAGAAGTACAAATTATTTTTGCAGTATTTGGATTGACTATTACATAAATTATTTGGGAGCCTTTTTATATGTGGACACTGATGTACTTGCAGATGAGTTCCTCTTTAAAGTAGGAATTTCCGTCATAGGTAAATTTATTTTCAACTTTCTAGATAGGGTTAACCTATTTTTCACTGAATATATTAATTTACTCTCCTAATGGTAGTGAATGAGATTTTCTGTTTTCCCAATTGCCACCTATAATGTTTTTAGTTTTTGCCATTTGATAGGTTTATGAGTGTGTCATTGTGATTTAAATTTATACTTCCTTGATTAATAAATAATAAGATATATGGACTATTTATTGGTCATCTGGATTTTTCCTTTTATCATATACTTGTATAGGCCTTTTGACCCATTGATCTCTTGGGCTGTCTTGTTTTGCAGGAATTTCTTTTATAATCTACATGTTCTAAACCATTTCTCTTCATATTCACAAGTTCTAAATTTTAATAAAGTAGACATACAATATTTCCTTCAATGATTAGAGATTTTCTTGTCACATTTCAGAAGTGTTTCCTTACATAATATTTATGAATTAATTTTTCTTTTACATCTAGACTTTTAACCCACTCAAGATTGATTTTGCTATACATAAGATGTTAAAGATCAATTTCGCTTTTTTTTTTTTTTTTTTTTTACCTGATAGCTAATTTTTCAAGGGCCAATTATAAAAGCATTTCTTTGTCTCCCAACTACCTAGGACACCCTTTGTCATATATCAAGTTTCTGTGTACACACATATTTGTTTTAGGGTTCTATATGATGTAATGTTAGTTTATATATGTCTATATCATTCTGCTCCAAGGCAGCATTGTTTTATTACTTAGAGCTAAAAGAAGCAAGTCTTTTAAGGTTTTCTTTCTTGAAGGATTTTCTAAGTATTCTTGGCGTTTTGTATTTTTATTTTAATTTTATAATCTGTTTGTCAAGTGGTACCCCCCCACACACACACACACATATACACACATATAGTACTCTGCTTCCCACCCTGATATTTTAAAATTTGAATTGCAGATAATCTATACATCTATGAACACAGTATAATCTTTGAGTTTACTTAAACTTTCTTTAGGGTCGGAACATGGGATTTTACACTTTTGTTCATAGACACCTTGGACATAGTTTATTAATAATATTCCTGTGTATCTTTCACTTTGAATGATAAATGACAGTTTATATTCTAATTGGCTGTCGCAAATATCTACTAATACAACACATTTTTCTGTATGGACCTCTGTCTAGCAACCTTATCAAAGTCACTTCTTAATTCTATAAATTTCCCTATAGAAATATTGAAGTTTCTATATGTACAATGTTATCTATAAGTAATACAAATTTTGCTTTTTTATTTCTAACTGTAAGCCTAGGATTTTTTTTTACTTTATTGGCCTGAAAAGAGATCCAATCCAAGTTGAAAATAAGTGGTGAAAGTGACCATTCTCATTCTATTCCCAAACCCAGAAGAAAGTTTAAAATATTTGGCCATTAAATACATAATTGCTTTAGGCATTTATAGTCACTTTTAAATCATAACATTAAAGAAATCTCTATTTCTAATCTGATTTTATTATTATAAATGGGTGACAAATTTTTTGCATCTGTTCACATGATCATATAGGTTTTCTCCTTTATTTGGTTATATTTATATTCCCATATATAGTTGATCCTTGAACAAAGTAGGGGTTAGGGACACATTTCTCCCACCTCGCACAGTTGAAAACTTGCATATACCTTATGACTCCCCAAAACTTAACTAATAGCCTACTGTTGACCAGATGACTTATGATAACATAATCAATTAGCATACATTTTGTATGTTACATATACCATGTACTGTATTATATACTGTATATACAAGCTAGAGATAAGAAAATGTTACTAAGTAAACCATAAGGAAGTTGTATTAGTTCATTCTCACGCTACTATAAAGAACTGCCCTAGACTGGGTAATTTATGAAGCAAAGAGATTTGATTGATTCACAGTTCCGCATAGGTGGGGCAGCCTCAGTAAACTTACAATCATGGCAGAAGGGGAAGGAAACACACCCTTCTTCACATGGTGGCAGCAAGGAGAAGTGCAGAGTGAAGCAGGTGGGTTGGGGAAAGCCCTTTATAAAACCATCATATCTCATGAGAACTCACTCACTATCATGAGAACATCATGGAGGTAACTGCCTGCATGATTCAATTACCTCCCACCAGGTCCCTCACGTGATACGTGGGGATTTGGGGAACTACAATTCAAGATGAGATTAGGGTGGCCAAACCGTAACAGAAGATAAGTACATTTACATTTTAGTAAGAGGAAGTGAATCATCGTAAAGCTCTTCAGCCTCATTGTCTTAGTGTTGAGTAGTCTGAGGAGGAGGAAGAGAAAAAGGAGAGGTTGGTCTTACTGTCTCAGGGGTGGCAGAGGTAGAAGAAAATTTATGTGTACCTGAAATTGTGCAGTTCAAAGTCATGTTCTTCAAGGGTCAGCTGTAAATACACACATGTATGGAGTGTATATATATGGTACACTATATATGTACATCTAATATGTTACACATATATGTACACACAAATATATGTATATATATTTCTGTTACAAAAGTATTTCTCAATTCCTATCATATTCTGTATTTTTTTTTAAATATAAAATGGGTTTTGGATTGTCTCAAGGCATTTTCAGCATCTATAGAAGTAATCATGGGTGTGTTTTTATCTTTTTATCTAATGATATAGTATGCGTTAATGATTTTTGAATATAAGGCTATTACTGAATTACTTAAATATTTTCTAATATTTAGAATTTATTTTATTTCTTATTTATAAAAAATATTGATATGAGTATTTCAGGCTGTTCATTTCTCTGTGATTACTGATTTATATGTATTGCTTATATTCTATCATGTGCTACCTTTAATCAATATTATATTTTTAGAGATTCTGTAATTTTCATTTGTATTTCTTCTTTTTTTTTTTTTTTTTTGAGACGGAATCTCACCCTTTCGCCCAGGCTGGAGTGCAGTGGTACAATCTCGGCTCACTGCAAACTCCACCTCCCAGGTTCACCCCATTCTCCTGCCTCAGCCTCCCGAGTAGCTGGGACTACAGGTGCTCACCACCATGTCTGGCTAATTTTTTGTATTTTTAGTAGAAACGGGGTTTCAGTGTGTTAGCCAGGATGGTCTCAATCTCCTGACCTCATGTACCGCCCGCCTTGGCCTCCCAAAGTACTGGGATTACAGGCGTGAGCCACCGCGTCCGGCCTATATTTCTTCTTTCACTGATAAATTACTTAATGGAAAGAGATTTTTTAAGCTTTTATGCGGAATGACATTTTTTGGTTTCTAGGATTATTATGTTTCAATATTTATTGCATTAGAATAAGAGAATGTTATTTGTCTTATGTTTATTTTAAGAAATTTGAGTTTTTTTTGTAATACAACGTGTGATAAACTGTTCAAAAAGATTCGTTTAAACTTGAGAAAAATATGCATCCTCTAATAATGGGTGTAAAGTTTTATGTATATTAACAAATCTACCTTATTGATTTTATTGTTTAAACATTTTATATCCTTACTTATTCTTGCCCACTTCATTTATCTTGAACTGATAACTGTCTCTCTCTATATATATGTATATATACACACACACACATAAAATATAGCATTTTAACAAAACATTAGATAACTATATATATCATAAAGCTTATTGTTATACTTCTATTTTCTGTTTCATTTTTGGTTTTTATGGGTTTTTCAGTCAATTCTTTGCTGTTTGTATGCCTAAAATTTTTGATTGACTGTCATATGTTTTGTTTAAAAAGAAAAACAACTATAAGGATGGCTCTTCTTGCATAGAGAGAATTTACTTTTTCTTCCCACAGGCAGGTAAATTGGTAGCCATACGCAAGAACCTATTGATTCTAAGCTGAACTCCAGTCTTTGCAAGCACTAGTCTATTGGTAATTCTCTCTTATTCCTAGAATATGGCCCTTGGGTTCTGAAGAGAAAGTCTGGATGATCACAGTATTCCTTCCATCCTGCATTCCTTGAACTCCCATTTTTATCCCAAAACTCCCATTTTTTGTCCCCTCAGGCTTGAGAGACTTTAAGACTGCCCATCTTCTCTGATTGTCACCTTTTGCTTCTACTCAGATTCTTAGTTTCTTAGATACTGCCTTCGAATTGGCAAGTGCCACAATAAAAAAAAAAAAAAAGAGTTTCAAAAATTAATTGCAGAATTCTGGTCTTCATTTTTTTTTTTCAGAATGGTGATTCCACAAGTCCTCGAATTCTTGGTAGCTTTCTGATAATTTTAAGTAGATAAATTAAACTTTTTCCCAGCTTTTCTGGTTGTTATCAGTGGGACACCTTGTCTGAAGTAAGCTGGCCTACAATTGCCAGCTGCACCAACTATTAAAATAAAATATTGGACTTTTGATTAAGAATTTCCTTGTTTATCTTTTTACTTAACTTTGTCAATAAATTATTCATTTACAGTGTTTTATGTACAAATACCATGATTTGGGGGAAAATTTAGTGCCTTAAAAATTCAAAATCTTTCCAAGACATCCTTAACTATTAAGAAGAGACAGAGTTAGGTAGATTTTTCTTTTCCAAAAAAAGAGATAGTATAGCTGATAAATAATAAGGAAGAAACAATAAATAGGATAATAAGAATAAATTAAGAGGATGATTAATTGGTTATGACCTTATGCAGCTTATAATAGTAAAAGTAAAAACTACTATTAAATAGCAAAGAAAATCTGTGTCATAGGCGGGGTGATTATACCCAAAGGATAAGTTCTGGTTTAAGATAATGAGTGTAGTTTTAATTCAACACAAAATTTTTATGGGCTTGAAAAATTACCCATTTCTCAGTTCAGGTGGGAGAAAGAATTAGGTGCTTATGAAATCATTAATAACGGTGATATGAAATTGGAACAATTATAACAAAGAAAACATTTATCCAGGTCCTAGGCTTATGACAACTATATTTTTAGATACTTCATTATAGAATTTTATATAATACATAAAGATTTAATATATGGCACAGGAAACTTCATTATCAGCTAAGTGCCTGTTATGCATATGGCGAGAACATTACTCATAAACCCTGGCTTAAAATTTACCTATGTTTATTTATACTTGACAGGAAAAAAATTTTTAAATGTACCCTTGAATATAAAGCTAGATTCTCAGTTCAAAAGAGGCATTAATTGGCATGGACAAAATATGACACATAATGAAAATAAAATATTAAATCCATCATATTCTATGTATTCTGCTTCGTGTCCATGTAAATTTTCATCCTGAATATTAAGAGAGGTCTAGCTGTACTTGAATATTAATATGAAATGAAAAAGATATCAACCAGTTAGTTCTTCTTTTGCAGTGTTGCCAACAACTTCAATAAAAGGCTAAACAACATTTAAAACTTGACCAGTAATTTAAATATTTAACTCAGTTAATCATAAATATTTTTAGCTTCAATTTGATTTATTTTTAATTAAAATATTTTAGAATTTATAAGGCACAGCCTAAAGAATGCATACGCGCACGTGCACACACACACACACACACACACACACACACACATACACATCTTTCAGCATTTTTTATTTGGAAATTAGAATCTATAAGTAACCTTCATAAGAGGAAGATAATAATGGTTAAGAACTCATGCACATCTGAGCTGTTATAGGTAAAATTAATGTGTAATGTATTTGCATGCAAGTGTAGGAATCATTTTATCTATGTTATTACCTTTTGGGAGATATACTTTCAAACTTACTCATCCTGGAAATTACTCATCTCACTAAGTGAAGATGGTTTAAAATTCATATCCACCTATTGCCTTAGCATAAGCAACAGTCGTTTCATACAGTAGGTACATGGCCAAAACATCAAGAAACACAGAGAAGACGAAGCAGAAAGTGTGTCTGCAGAAAGGGACAAAAACTTCGCAAGATGTCAGCCAAGGAAATCGTTACATGCTATGTACTTTGTAAAGTATATTGAATCATAAAGAATTAAAATTACCGTGCTATTTAAAGAAGTATTTTTAAAAAAGAAATTGTGTGAAAATATTAATAAGGACCTTAATGCAAAAAATGTAGAAAGGCAAGCAATAAAAATGATTTGGCCATATAGAAAAGTATCATGGGACTTGAATAGCATGACCAAGAACAGCAATACAGGCCTAACTAGAGGAAAGAAGAAATTCGAAATCAAAATTAGAAACTAGCCATCACTGCTAGCTCTATTTACATATCTATAAATCTCTATATCTATCTATTATCTATCTCTCTATCTGTTTATCTGGACAAACTTAAAAATGCTGAATCTTTGTAGTCATTTAAGAAATAATTAATGCCATATCTCAAGGTACGCAAAGCTCAGAAGCTGTCTGGATGAGCATGGGTGTGGGAGACTGCTTGGCCCTGTTGTGGGCACCCTTGCCATGGTCCTTAGCCCATCAAAGACAGGCGCTCCTATTTCGTGTCAGAGGCTCTGCTTCATTAGTGATCACAAAGCAAATGATGATGACACAATCAGAAGTGTCAGATGACAGGCACTTATGCAGCCACCCTTCCACGAATGATTACCTATTTTCTTCTTGTTGCCTGATCTCCTACTGGATAAAGTCTATAACTTCCTGGCTCCTCATACATTCCAAATACCGTCACAGGTAATGACTTCAATGGCCATAAATGAGAATGACCCTTGATGTCAGGCACTTTGCTAAATATTAGAGATAAAATAAAAGGGTACTATCTCTGACCTCAGGAGTCTTTAAAGATCATTGAGAGATGCATATAAGCAGGGTAGCACAAGTGAGTGTGAATCACTGGAGTGAGTTAGAGTGAGTCAGGCAACCTGTGTTTGAATACCAGCTCTATTACTTTTCAGCTCCATGACCTTGGGCGTTACTTACCCCTTTCCAAGCTTTGTTTTCCATACCTGTAAAATGGAAAGATTAATAGTTCAGATGTTTGAAGGTTAATTTAAAGCAGTAAATGGGAAACTCATATAAAATATTCAGAAGAGTCTTGGCATATAATAATTCAGTATATGACATTATTTTAATTATTATTAGTGGGAGTAGGTATAAGTGATATGCGATATATTAGAAAGGCATTGGGCTCAGATGATAGGGATGATTTCTGGGGGAAGTGACTAGCTGAAGGAAAAAGTAAGTCAGTGAAGGAGAGGAATAAGAGAGGGGATGGAACACACAATAAGACAGAACCTAAGCAGAGAGAGAGTCAGGATGTTCAAACATGTCAAAAATCTTATAGAAGAACAAAGCATTAGGAACCTGAAAGTTGTTCAATATGACTGGAGTTTAGACTTAAAAATCCAACAATGGAAGTACATAAAATAAAGACTTTTGAAATGTACCCAGGGTCTACATTATTTATTTCTGCAAGCCTAATTAAGGAAACCATAGTTAATTATAAGTAGTTCTTATTCTGCATTGTGTATTTAACAATTTCATAGTAATTATTTTGTTGTTTTAAGGTTATGAGATTATTAATGAAAGAAACTTCTGTGTTTGACATGTTTACTATGCTTTATATACACAAAAGATTATGCATAGACTATATCAGGCTTGAGAAAAATTACAAAAAAAATCAGTTAATTCTGTCACACATATGTACATTTATGTGTTATAAATATTTATCATTTTTACATATAAATGTACATACATAGATACAGTCCAGGAAAGGAATTTTAGAAGGATTGTGATTCTAATTTTATAAGCAAAGAAGTTGGAATTCAAAGAAGTTAAATAATTTGCCCAGGGTAATTTAGCTTGCAAATGATAGCATTTTAATCCAATATTCTTTCTGTTACACAGTTCAAAATGCCAGTTGAAAGGTATCTACAAAATTCTAGTTGAAAGATATCTATACTTCTCCCATTTATTTTATTTTTCTTCAACTTAATTAATTTTTGAATAGGTAATGTGTAAAATGAATTTCAAAATACTACAGGCTCTATTTACATTCTGAAATACATCTGCCTCCTAACCTTGCAATTCCCCTTCCTTGAGACAAGCCCACGTTCTGTAGAGACTGCTCCTTGTGCAATTTATCTCTTGGCCTCTATTATCTTAATTAAAATTACTACAGAAAAGTATAAATAGTAGGCTTCTAGTTTTATGACAACTGCTTTTTCATTCAAAACCTCATGTTTCCTTTCTGGCTGCCCCATCTCTCATATTTTCTCCCACTGCAGTTAGTCTGTTACTCAATTATTCACAAAGGCTGTGTAGGAAGCCTGTTTACTAGCCCTGTTTACCAAGCAATTGTGTGAATTTGGGCAAGTAATTCACCTTTTTTGTTCTATAAATTGTCTGCTGGTTGGAATAGCATGTTTTACATTCCTTCTGGCCTGTGGTCTGTAGTTCTTTGAAAGCTTCATCATCATAAATCAATTTCATTGTATCATTTCCCTCTCCAAACTGAAATTGCTCTTTGTTAGAGTCTCAAAAAGATCTTACCTCTGCAAACAATTTTTATTGTCTTATTTCTCGTTAATCCCTCTAATATCCCTTCCACTTAAGCCAGACGAATTGGGTTCTAGTCTATGGCCATCTTTCCTGCTTATGCTGCCAAGTTCCCAGAACTAAACCACTTTTTATTTGCCAATACATGCCTTCTACTTATGTTAAAATTTAATAGTGATTTAGTTTTTCACAGAAGAGAATTTTACTGATTTCTCGGCCCTTACTTTAGTGCTTTCCTCATTAAAAACAACAAACAACAGAAAAAAAAAAACAGCATTTGTCCTGTCAATAAATCACTATTAATTTATTTTGTCTATACTTCTGACATTCTAAGCATATACAAGGAAACGTGTAAACCAAAATGAAGCCTCCATGAGAGTAGAAAGTGTCTTATTTGCTTATTTATCCCAAGTTCATAGAGCAGAGTCTGAGACAGGACACATTCCATAAATATTGGATTAATGAATAAAACATCTTTTTTATTTCATTTCTTTATTATTTTATTTTATTTTATTTTTGCTAAATAAGAGAATAATACACACTCTATTTTGTAGATAGCATTTTATTTTCACTAAGGAAAATTGTTGTGATCTGTCCATACAGGCTAATTCAGAATTGTAGAAACAATATTGTATTCCACTGCTGTTATCTGGCATATTATCAGATAAATTTTATACAAAATGCCATTGCAAGCAATGCTAATGTCCTACATGAGTGAATAAATTCATAAAGTGTATTCCTGCCAATGGAGTCCACAGGACCAAGTACACATAAATTCTAATTGGTCTGTGTTCGAATACTCAGTAGAGGATATCTCATGTCGCACCTTGACCAGAAGTGTATGTGAGTTTTTGTTTCTAAAGTCCCTCAACATCCATTTTGTTATCAAACTTTTTTTTATATTTGCCAATCAGAGTGATTTAAAAAAATGGTTTCCAAAATGAAGTTTTAGGCTTTATTCTCTTATCATGGTTGAAGCTGCTATGTGTCACCTAAGGGCTGTTTTTAGTTCCTCTTATGTTCTCTCCCTATTCATTCCGTATGTCCATTTATCCAATGGGAGTTTTGATGTTTTGTTATTGATTTTAGTGCCTTCTTTATATATAGTTAAAGCATTCGTTTTTTTTGTTGTTGTTTTTTTTTTTTTTTTTTTTTCTGAGATGGACCCTCTCTTTGTCTTCTAGGCTGGAGTACAGTGGTGCGATCTCGGCTCACTGCAACCTCCGCTTCCCTGGTTCAAGCAATTTTACTGCCTCAGATTCCTGAGTAGCTGGGATTACAGGCACCTGCCACCATGCCCAGCTAATTTTTATATTATTAGTAGAGACGAGGTTTCACCATGTTGATCAGGCTGGTCTCAAACTCCTGACCTCATGATCTGCCCGCCTCGGCCTCCCAAAGTGCTGGGATTGCAGGCATGAGCCACCACGCCCGGCCAAGCATTAATTCTTACTCTGTGATTTCAATTACTAATTAATTATTTTTTTCTCAGTTTGTCATTTATATTTTGATTTCTTTTCCACTGGTGCTTATTTTAATGCAGTTTACATAGCAATATTTATGTCATTACCCATTTCTACATTATTAAAAACAATTTTCTGTGTGTTCTCTTTACACTTGTATAGTTCCTTTTAAATTTGAAGTCTGTTTTTTTCATAATTCTTGTTGTGTAAATTGCATCATTCAAGTTATTTTTCTTTTTTTTTTTTGGTTTTTGCTATCTGAAATTCTTTTTTTTTAAATTTTATTATTATTATTATATTTTAAGTTTTAGGGTACATGTGTGCAACGTGCAGGTTTGTTACATATGTATACATGTGCCATGTTGGTGTGCTGCACCCATTAACTCCTCATTTAGCATTAGGTATATCTCCTAATGCTATCCCTCCCCCCTCCCCCCACCTCAAGTTGTTTTTCATTTCTCATAGAGTCGATTCAATTGTATCAGTATCATTTGCCAATACTGATTCAGAGGCCATCTTTATCATGTACTAATTTTTAATATTTATTTTGGACTCTTAATTGGCTTTTCATTTATATATATATATTCAGGCTTCAAACCACAGTGCTCCATTGATGATGTCATATAATATTTTTGAATATAGGAGCAGAGGATTTAGTTTATCAAATTAGTCTCCTTTTTTTGTTTTTATTTATTTACTTTTTTGAGGCAGGGTCTCCTTCTTTTGCCCAGGCTGGAGTGCAGTGGCAAGAACACAACTCACTGTAGCCTACATTATTCTCTTTTAATTTAGACTTTTCTTGACTATACTTCCTTGCCATTTTTCCTTCCAAATGAATTTTAGAACAGTTCTGTGCTTTACTTTTTAAAAAAGAACTGTATGTATTTTTATTAAAACCAAGCTACAATAGAAGATTAATTTGGGAGAACTCATATTTTTATAATGTTGGGTCTTTTAATCCAAAAATGTGGTAAACCTTTTTGTTTATTTACATTTTGGGTTCTTGTTGCTGTTGTTTCTATTTTTCTTTTTTGTGCCTGATAACATTCCATAGCTTTTTTCACATAGCTTTTACATATTTATTGTTAAGGTGATACCTAGATATTACATTATTTTTGTTGTTATAAATGGAGTCTCTTTTAATCATATCTCCTACTACTGTTTCTTTGCATCATTCCTTGTATAATTGTGTACTTTTTACTTTACTAAGATTAACGTTATTTGGAGTTCAGAGTTTTTAATGTCATAGTGCAACTCAACGTTTATCAATGAAAGTGCTTTTCTTCACGTCATTGAATGTTTTTCACCAGAAATGTAATCTTCTCTGACAATAAGTTTGAAGTTTTTGATTTCCTTTTGCTGGAAAATCTGAAAGTCTTTCTCTTTTATTTTAATGTTGTGAGTTCCACGGTTTGTTATTTGGCTTAGGTGGCAAAAATTTAGATTTGTTTTGTGATAAAAACTATAACCTTTTATTCTCAGAGTTGAGTTTAGCTCTTTTATACTCATTGACATGATGAGACAGCCATCAATAAAACCATCAGTAGTGGAATCATCCTATTTTCATAGTTGCAAATAAATTTCCCTTAGATTTTTCCCAACCCATTCCTGCTCCTCACCTTGGAGAGTGGTGCCCTGTATTCTTTTTGTTATTCACTGTTTTGTCAATTTTAGTTTTGGGGATTCGGCATTTAGGAATCTCCTTTCTAGTTTCATTATGGATGAAGATCATGTATGTTCTTCCCATTTTTCTGTTTGTTTTTAAGTAATCTTTAAGCAGCAAGAAAGTGAGGTATTTTTCTGCCATTTAAAACCTGGAATTTCAAAGTTAACTCTTACATTTCTTGTAAGTCCAATCAAAAATTATTAAAGAGATACTTTGAAATATAGTAATTTGGATAAATTAGTATATTACCATATTTAAATTTAAATAAGGCCTGGGTCAATTATTGTTTTTCTGATTAGAGATTATGTTAAATCTGTGCAATAATAGATTAATGGGTGACAAAGTAAGTTTCTTAAAATAGAAAGTCAATCAAGGATAATTTACAACATATTATTGGGGGAAGCTAAATGTGAATGTTGCAAAAAAAATCTGTTCTTCATAATTAAAAACTTTTAGGAAATGTCAAATAAAATAAAGTGTAATAAAAATAGCACAAAGTATGAAGAATATTAGGTCTTTGGAATTACTTTTTAATTTTCTCAACTTTGTAGAAATAAAAAATTCAAAACAAATTTTTGACATGAAATATATAAGAATTTTAACTTATATGGAGTACATGATAATAAAATTAGGAGGATATAATAAAATAAGAAAACACTAACTAAGTTTTAAAATCTGTAATTATCAAGACCTGGCATAAAATTCACATGAAAAGAAGCAATTTAAAAATATAAATATATAAGTAATTAATAATATAAGTATTTGATATTAGAGAATACAAACCTAAACAACTTTAATACGTCACATTTTACCTGTTGAATTGACAAAGTCATTAAAAATTATAGTTTATGTATATCATGGTAAATTAATGCATTCTTCAGTGAAATAATTTAACAACACAATATCTGTATCCTTACACACAAGTATCTTTTTTTTTTGAGATGGAGTCTCTCTCTGTTGCCCAGGCTGGAGTGCAGTGGCGCGATCTTGGCTCACTGCAACCTCTGCCTCCCAGATTCAAGCGATCCTCCTTCCTCAGCCTCTTGAGTAGCTGGGATTACAGGCACTGCCACCATGTCCAGCTAATTTTTTGTATTTTTTAGTAGAGACGGGTTTTCGCCATGTTGGCCAGGCTGGTCTTGAACTCCTGACCTCAGGTGATCCACCTGCCTTGGCCTCCCAAAGTGCTGGGACTACAGGCGTGAGCCACCACACCCAGGCAACACGCAAGTATCTTATTTCTGAAATACATTCCAAAGATACACTAAATATATTTTAAATATTATATAAATATTTTAAGGAAACATTTGTTAAGCATATTTAATTCCCAAGGGTAGGAGATAAAAAAGATACTTAAGACATGTTTCCTGCTAACAAAAAATACGAACTCAAATTTGCAGAAAAACATATTAAATAATATCACATTGCCAGATAATAAATATAAAGTTACATAATGGGAACACACACACTATGGACATCTAATTAAAATTGAACTCATAGAGAAACAGATGTCATCAAATATTGTCTCTTGATTTTATCCCTAAAATTAAAAAAAGGTTAGCACTGAACAGAATACGGAAATGAGGCTGAGCACACTCAAGGATCAAAGAATATTATAATGTTAGTCAAGGAAATTAGGTAACTGTTCATTTAAGGAAAATTCAAGAATTAAATATAGCCAAAGTAAACAGTGATATATGAATGTAGAGAAAGATGAATCTGGAAATATTGTCAAAGTCCAGATTATAAAAGATTTTGTTTATCTCGGAAAAAATTTGAGAATTTATTTTGAAGATGATGGAAATTCTTTTGTTAGTTTTTAAGTTATGGGGGTATCATAATGAGATTTGGACTTTTGAAAAGTTTGTTTAACACAATGCTCTAAACAAGAGGATGTGGTTACTCAATGAAAAGTAACTAAAAAGAGCCCTAAGGGACCCAAATAGTAGTACATACACACATTTTTGTCTGGGAGCTTGTCATGTTATGGGAAATATATTTCCCCACAACATATATGTTCATGATTGTAGAACCAAGTGTTAGCTGGGAAAGCATGTAACCCGTAATGCATGCCAAATGCATTATGGTATGCAACTCAAGTGAATAAACTTCTGCTTCTCTTTGTGCTGCACCTTAAGAGATTCCTGCCTCATAAGCTTGGAAACTTTTAGTGGTGATTATTTCTCATAGTCTCAAATATGGACTGGAAACTATCAAATCTATTTACTTATATGAGGATGCAGTTAAGTAAAACTAAAAAGAAACATAGAGCATTCTTAAAACATGATACAATGAACTAACATGGACCACAAATACAGAGACATCTTGAAGAAATTATATCATCTTGTAAATAAATAAGATTTAACACAAACATGATTATACAACTTTTTTTTTCTAAAGGCAGAAATTGTTTAAAAATATTCTTTAGGAAAGCAATCACACAAAGCCTTTTGATTACAGCAGCATGTTAAGAAAACTTCTATACAGAAGCCATGTGTGATATAGGGCAACAGAATGGTAAACCAACGACCACCATAGAGAGGTTATTATTACCTATAGGAGGGAAAAATTCTCAGTCAGGAAAATATAAATCTCTTAACCAGCAGACAGTGTTTTCTAGAAGTAACAAATAACCTACCAAACAAAAAACAGGTATCACTTTAGTAATGAATATTGTCACTGAAATGAAAGAAAAGAAACAAAGATACAAAGCCATAAGTAGCCACTACTAAACACCCCAAAACTGAGAAGAAAATACAATGCATCCTTACGGAAGTAAGCAACAAAATGAACACCAAGAGGGCAGAATAAAAAAAAAAAAGGATTAATAGCTTTAGATTCAGGAAGAAATGTGGTACTTTAAAAGAAGGAAAAAAAGAGTCAGGAGACAAATTAAATGAACAATTAAAGTTTTTGTTCTAAGATACCTGTAATGATTTGGTTAATATTTACCAACTAACCAAATGGCCAAAATTGACTGATAAATTTTCGCTTTGTTGGATTGACTTAAACTCTTTTAAATACATTTAATGGACTATATTTGCATTATTAAAATGATCAAAATCAAGACAGCCTATTGATTCATTATATCATTATCTCTTAGGATGGATCAAATATAGTGAGTGATATATTAGAATTTTAAACATAAATTTAGGATCAAAAAATGTGTACTTGAATTCTAGAACCATTATTTCACAGCTTAAATGAAGCTGTAAAATGTGCCATCTGCTCAGTCTGCATTACATGTTAAAATGCATCATGTAAGTGATCTGTGAAAATACAATGTATGCCATAAACCCATGCCTGTTTGAGAGAAGGAAGAAGGGCAATTACAGTAACAATGATGCCATAAAATAATTTACATAAAAATTATCATGAAATATGGATATAAACCAGATTATTTTTTCTAAGAACACTGAAAAAAGTGGCGTGCGAATATAGTTCAAACTCTCTGCATCCCAAGAGCTAGTGTTTAATTTGCTCTTGGCATTTAAAAATATACATACTATCCTCAGGATAGAAAGTTGTCAGTGTTCAAGTTAGAGCTAGGCAGTCCATATTTTCAAGCTCCAATCAACATATACCAGATTTAGTTGTACTTGAAAATCTAGTTTCAAATTTTGAAATCATTTTTTATATTTTATTTTATTAACTTTTATCTAAAAGAAATAGTATACTCTATGTAATTAGAATAACACTAATTTTCGCTCATTTTTATTCTTGGCAAAAAATATAAATAAAATAAGGCCTCCGAGTGGACACAAAACAAATTCTTTCATTCACTCAATAAATACTAATTGAGCATCTAAAATGTACCAGACATTCTGAGACAAAGGAAATAAAGCACAGTTGTACAGTATTTGCTGCCATGGAATTTACATTATACTGTATTTGGGGGAGAGAAAAATACTTAGCAAACATGTCATACACCAAGTAGTTGATCTGTACTGTGAAGTAAAACAAGATAAGGAGACAGAGGGTGATGCAGTAGGAAGTTCAATAATGAAAGAAAATTCAGGGCAGAGAGAAATTCCACAAGTAATTATTGATTTCCAACTTAGTGTAATACCCCCTTGACCATGGTATCATGGAAATAGTGTTTGTAATCTAGTTTTAAGGACAAGATATACACACAAAAAGATATTTGTTATAACAAGAGGCTGAATAAACTCAGTGACAAAATTTCATAGATGAGGCCAGGCACAGTGGCTCACGCCTGTAACCCCAGCACTTTGGGAGGCTGAGGCTGGGGGATTGCTTGAGCCCAGAAGTTAAGACCAGCGTGGGCAAAATGGCCAAATCCTATCCCTAAGAAAAATACTAAAGTTAGCCAGGTATGGTGGCGCACACCTATGGGCCCAGCTACTCAGAAGTCTAAGGTGGGAGGGTCACGTGAGCCCGGGAGGTCGAGGCTGCAGTGAGCTGAGATCGAGCCACTGCACTCCAGCCTGGGTGACAGAACAATACTTGGCCTCCAAAAAGATTTCACAGACTACAAGAGCTATAGCATTTCTACAGGATAGAGAACTTTCTTCCATCTTAGGTGTCTCAGGAGAACTTCTGAGTCTTTGAGGAGTCACTCTCAGAAGACATGACCTATGTCTTGTTTACCATCAAAGCTCAAGACAAGCACTTATCACTTACAAGGTACTCAAAGGAATTTTGTTGAATGAATGAATAAATGAATAAGAGAAGTGGGAGCATACCTTTAAGGATGCATTGTGTTAGATCAAAAGGAAGTATAGTAAATTATACCTGGTAGAACAACATAAAAGTGGTGGAGGGCAGATGGTAGGTAAAATGGATGTTATATATGTGGAAAGCAGTTAGATAAATTACATAAAGGGTTACTGTGGTATTCAATGACATCCATGATCTGATTTTTAAGTGTTATTAGTAAATTGATAAATACAAAGAAGTTCAAAATAAATCTATGTGATTTGAATTTTATCTAGTATTTTTATGGACAAAGCATGTAGATGAAAATATTTTAAATTAAATAGTTTAGTACCTTTTTCTTAGTTTTACAATAAATATATAATACAACCTTAAGTGTTTTAGTCTTACAATAAATATATAATACAACCTTAAGTGTTTCTTGTTAAATTCTGTAAATCTGATATGCTCCCTGTATATCATTTTAAGTTGATTAAAATTTAGTAACAAAAGTGAAGAATCAAACAAATCACACTCCTTGCATTATCTTGGACTACTTTCTATTTACTCCTGACAAAAACACATTTTTAAAAGATGCATTTTTTACTTATAATAAAGCAGAAATATTACTTATAGTTTATAACATTTATGAGCATAAGTCTTTCTCATTTAAAATTAATCTTTCATTGAATTTATATTATCTTTATGTTTTAGCTTGTATTGTGTAATTGAGCCATTACAAAATATATTTATTTAGATTAACCAAGCATCATTATATATACTTGTAATAAAAATTAATAAATGCAAACTATAGTATTTTAGTATTGACTTTACTAAATCAATTTTATTTAAAGGAAAATCTTCTAAAATAATTCAAAAATATTTGATGACAGCCATTATAATGTTTGAAATTAGATGTTCTTAATATATTGGCAAAATAACAATGATTAAAATGTGCATATGTGTTCAGAGTCTGAAAATTTTGCCAGCTGTCACTCAAAATATATCCAATAAGCCTATTGAGGCTACAATATTTTAAATTAAGTTTCTTAAACACTAGACCAGAATAATATAAAATGAAACATTAGTCAGAATGGTTCTTCATTTAGAGATGAGAAGGCTTCACTGTCCAAACTTTACAAATAACTTAGCAGATTTGGCTTAAAGAACACAATGGGTGAGTCTACATTTGTGAAATTCTCTGGTGCCTGTTGTGTAACTAAGTAGTGGAGTATTCTAGCTAACTTTAGTTCTGCCTTGCAAAGAAGTGCACAACTAGGAATTACAGTATATCTGGTACTTTGGGGAAATTTCAAGGAAAATTATTCTCTGTATTTTAACTGACAATGAAAAATAAAGACTGTCATCGGAATGTCATGCTAGATTGGAAGTATCTATTGTTCCACACGCAGACAAGACAAGCTAGTCGTGGTGTTAAAGACACTTAATCTCTGCAGGAGACTGTGTTCTTTCTCTTTGTGCTATAAATTATTTTACATTTTCTATAAATCCCGGCATTGATGAGCTCTAAAATGAACATCTTCAAGACTACACTATTTTCAGCTAAGACAATCATCAGAGCTTAAGAACATTAAATAAATGAATATAACTTCATGCAATTTTTGAAAATTGTGCTTTTTAATGTGAAATATTTATAAGTGATTTTGACAAGGACATTTTTTAAAGTAAGAAATGTTAATTATGTCTTAAAGAAAATGTCTTAGAATATGGTAGTCGAATAATATATATTCATCTATTTGTAATCAATAGCATTAAGGAAAAACAATCTAGCTAGCCAATGTCCCAAATAAAAACAAATAAAAAAAAAAGCAAACTAAATGACGTGGTACAATCATTGCTTTGAAATACAACATGTTACTTATTTGTGTCCAATATAACATATAAGAACACAGATTATTTTTTATGAGGAATACAATAAATTATACCTGTTTCAATTATACCTGTTTTAAAAATTATGCCTGTTTCAAAACATTTATAATAGTAAAATGACAGTAGATGGGTCAAAGTACTAACTTATTGCAGAGCTAAAACTCTTAAGTTAGAATAATTTTTTTAAAAATATTATTCAGTACATAAAATTCTTACACATTTTGCATTAAAATACAACTATGGACAAAGAAAAGTTGTTTACTAACCCAGAAGAACAACAGCCCTTAAATTAATTTGCCCTACATAATTTTATTAGATTATATTACTAATTTAATTTGTCCTATGCAAAAGGTATCATTGGTTTTAATCATTCGAAATACAAAATGTGTAAGCGTTTTCTGTATTGCTAAAATTAGAATTTAAAAATGTACCTGAAGATTTCATATTTTATTTGAATAAAATGACATTGCCAAAAATAATAGCCAGAATCTGAATATAATTGAAACAAGGTATTATTTTTTGAATGTATTGAATTTTGCCATTATGTCTTTTACTGAGTATAAAAAAGAATGACTGAGAAATAATATATAAATGCTTGTAATCATTGATAAGATGTCAAAATGTCATAGGTACTGAGAAGGTAATGACAGAGAGTAGGAAAAAAATGGATCAAATCTCAGATTTGCTACTTAAAGATTAAAATCCTGAAAGTTTTTGTTGAACATGAATCTGCCTCTTACAGTTTTGAAAGCATTTGACATTTTCTATGACTTGAAGTGCATCAACATTTTTAAATTATTGCTCCCCAAAGAAATTACATATATGATTTTCGTACATGAAACACTATCTTTGTGTATGACCAAAACATATTGCTACATAAACTTAATACTTTCAGTATACAAAAGTAAGTTCCAGAATGAAGAAAATGGGGAGAATTCATATTCAAAGTCTACTATTAACATCTCTAAGAATGCTAAATATTTTATTCTTTTAATACAGAAAGGAGTTCTCTAAATTTTGTAATTAAAACCCAGTGACCCAAAGTTCATGCACATTATATTAGATACTAAAGATTAAGAGATTATATCATGAACAGCAGGGGTTATTTATTTTGAAAAACTTATATTTGTATTCACATATCTAATTTTTAGTAGTAATTTCTAATGTCAAATAAAAAACCAAAACCAAAACAAAAACCCTCTTTACATCTTTACTAAATACTCTTTTCAGTAACTACTCAGTTTTACAGATTTGAATTAATCAAGTCATTTTTATGTTTGAAATTTGAAAGTTTATTTTTTTTCCATACAATCTTTTGAACAAAATCCCATAAAATCATAAAAACCCTAGAAGAAAACCTAGGCAATATCATTCAGGGCATAGGCATGGGCAAAGACTTCATGACTAAAACACCAAAAGCAATGGCAACAAAAGCCAAAATTGACAGATTGGATCTAAAAGAGCTTCTGAACAGCAAAATAAACTATTGTCACAATGAACAGACAACCTACAGAATGGGAGAAAATGTTTGCAATCTATCCATCTGACAAAGGGCTAATATCCAGAATCTACAAAGAACTTATACAAATTTGCAAGAAAAATACAAACAACCCCATCAAAAAGTGGGCGAAGGATATGAACACACACTTCTCAAAAGAAGACATTTGTGTGGCCAACAAACATATGAAAAAAAGCTCATCATCACTGGTCATTAGAGAAATGCATATCAAAACCACAATGAGATACCATCTCACTCCAGTTAGAATGGCAATCATTAAAAAGTCAGGAAACAACAGATGCTGGAGAGGATTTGGAGAAATAGGAATGCTTTTACACTGTTGGTGGGAGTGTAAATTAGTTCAACCATTGTGGAAGACAGTGTAGTGATTCCTCAAGGATCTAGAACCAGAAATACCATTTGACCCAGCAATCCCATTACTGGGTATATACTCAAAGGTTTATAAATCATTTTGCTATAAAGACACATGCACACATATGTTTATTGTGGCACTGTTTACAATAACGAAGACTTAGAACCAACCCAAATGCCCATCAGTGATGGACTGGATAAAGAAAATGTGGCACATACACACCATGGAATACCATGCAGCCATAAAAAAGGATGAGTTCATGTCCTTTGCATGGACAGAGATGAAGCTGGAAACCATCATTCTCAGCAAACTAACACAGGAACAGAAAACTGAACACTGCATGTTGTCACTCATAAGTGGGAGTTGAACAATGAGAACACATGGACATGTTGAGTGGAATATCACACACCGGGGCCTGTTGCGGAGTGGGGGCCTAGGGGAGGGATAGCATTAAGAGAAATACCTAATGTAGATGACAGGTTAATGGGTGCAGCAAACCACCATGGCAAGTGTATACCTATGTAACAAACCTGCACATTCTGCACATGTATCCCAGAACTTAAAGTATAATAAAATAACTTAAAAAAATTTAAGAGGTAATGTTTTAATATGCAAATAGACCTACATCCTTTAAATTTTTGACCTTGAGAAATTAATGTGAATTTTTTGTTACTTTAAATCTTCCTTTTGTGTAATAATTAGTTTTGTACCAACTAATCTCCTGGTATATGGACCAGAGAAGAAAAAGTGCTATCCATGTATTTAGAATAATACACAGAGAAGCCAAATACTTGCATGTTGATTCATTCATTTATTCATCAGTCAAAACATGTTTTATAAGTATCTATTCTATATATCAGACATTGTCCTGTCTTCAAGAAAAGAAAAATAAATAAGGCAAGTTGTTTATCCAGAAAAGCTGTGGTGTAGAGTGGAAAATTTAGGTATGAAAACAAGTTACAATAATACTGTGTAAGTGTAAATAAGCCATGTTAATATAGGTACAATGAAGTCATAGCATTGAGATTGTTCTTGACTGCCAAGAAAACAACTCAGCTTTAGTCAGTGGAATAATTCTACCAAAATGGAGATGTCCAGCATAAGGAAAATTTATTGTAGATGTTACACAGTAATACCGGCAATAAGATTCACCATACTTTACCAAGTGTTCTCTGTGTGTTAAATTATCTTCTAGGCAATTTAAATGTATCCTCATAACTCTATGAGTTAGCTACTCTTACTAAATTCTTTTTCCTGTTACAGAAGCAGTAGTACAGAAACATTTTGTATCTTCACCATGGTAACACAGATAGCAAAAGGTAGAGCTGAGATTGGAACCTCAGCAATCTGGCTACAGAGCCCATGTGTTTAACTAATACACAATACAGAGGAATTGTATCCGTTCTACATAGAAACAGAAAACAAATGAAAATTTTCTTTTGACATCTCATAGTTAGAAGAACCAGATAATGTTTTTTATCAGGAAATTAATGTTTAAGCTTATAGCCTTAGTAAAGATACCTACCACATACTCTCTCAGAGACAAATTCCATTCAATCAACATATATTTATTGAGCACTTAGTATATTCCAGGTATTGTTCTAGGCTCCTGGGATACATCACAAAACAACAGACAGACATTCTTGCCTTTGTGAAACTCCCACAACCTTGAAATAACTGTTAAATTGCATAAACTCAATTGCCACTTCAGTAATTTCATACAGATAAAAAGCATCTTAAAGCTTTGAAGCCACAAGTCTCTGAGCTTCATCCCACAAATACTTGCCCCACAACTCTTTAAAACCATCTTTTATTTATCCCCATCAACTAATCAATCAAGTGTGTTAGTTTCCATGTCTCTACATTTGTAACTTATCTCCTTGTTTCTACTTAGCAGTTGTGCCATTGTCATAAGACCTCAAGAGCTCTCTATCCTAAGCAGATATATCTGGCATGATACGTGTGTGGCACATTATGTAAAAAGATTTATGTGCTTATAGAGCTAAGTAGGTGACCAAATTTTAATAATTGAGCATTAATATGGTTTGTGTACTACAGATTAAAATGAAACTACTGTTCTTAGAAATATTTGTGTTATAATAAGAACTATTTTTTTTTTGCACTTTAGAAATCAGAAGAACTTATATGAGTTTGTTTGACCCTGGGCTTTCTCTCAGGCAACAAGGTATGCAAACTTCAGGTTGTCCTCCAATAGCAGTGTTTATAGCTACCCAACCTTAATTCATGCTACTCTTTAGAGCCCTAAGGTGACAATTATTTCTGAATTCCTTAATAATTGGAAGTGTGATATGATGACAAAACCAGAAGAGCTGTGTGTGTGTTTTTCCTGGCGGCCTGAAGAATCCCTTGTGGCAGATAATAATATGTCACCCCTAATCATATTTCCTATTTCTAAAATGTATTTTCATTAACCCCTATTTTATGTTGTACCCTTCATTCTGACATAATATTTGGTTTGTTTCCACAACAATTTTGAGATACTTTATGGGAGGCTACAGCGTTGGGATGGATTATGCTCTCAGTACACAAAAATGAATACATCTCATTCTACATCATTTGAGGGGAAAAATATTCACCTGGCTTTAAGTGAACTCTTCCCCAAATTTCCAAATATACCAGTAAATCATGGATGAAGAAAAAACATGATGTCATTTGATGCACCAGTAATTTCTTCTAACATATAGGAAAACGCACGAAAGACTCATCCAGAGGTTACTCTCTCTACATAGCATCTCAGATTGGGTTTTAGGAAAAAAGAAACTTTACAAGCTAATATAAATATTCCTTTAACAGCTAAAGGAAACATAAAGTCCAGAAGCAATTATTTAATGGTATGCATATGCAAGAAAGAGTTGTCAGCAGAAGCATCTAGCACAGAAAGAACGCTCTGTCAGGGAGGTATATGCCAAACAAGCCAACTTAAATTCAGCCAGTCAGCAAACAGGAATATCTGTCAGTTTGCAAGAGAATATTTTGCTTTCCTTGGACAAACAATGCTCTTCTTCTGTTATAAATGACATGACTTAGCTTGACATAACAAGGTGCTTTAAACAAAGGACTCACTTAAAGGAAGAAATATTTATTTGATTAACTTGAAGAAACTGAAACACGGTAAGATTGATATAAAGAGGCAAAAACAATCCTACTTAGAATAGCTAAGTATGAGCAGCAGATTGACATACACAGAAAACATTGCGATACACAAAGGGGAGAAATGCAGCCTGTGGCTGTCTTAATAATCCAGTTTAACTAACTGCAGGGCCAAATGTAACCAACTGTGGAGAAATCTCATTCTTGGTGGTAAACAAATAAAAATTGAGATAAACTAAAACTTGCTTGTTTAATAGTCCTATAAAATTATTGGCTGGGCATGGTGGCTCATGCCTGTAATCCCAGCACTTTGAGAGGCTGAGGTGGGTGGATCATGAGGTCAAGAGATCGAGACTATCCTGGCCAACATGGTTAAACCCCATCTCTACTAAAAATACAAAAAATTATCTGGGTGTGGTGGTATGCACCTGTTGTCCCAGCTACTCGGGAGGCTGAAGCAGGAGAATCACTTGAATCCAGGAGGCTAAGGTTGCAGTGAGCTGAGATTGCACCACCGCAGTCCAGCCTGGCAACAGGGAGAGACTCCGTCTCAAAAAAAAAAAAAATTACTGTAAAATCAGCACAGATATTTTAAACAACAGAGGTTTCACAGATTTCATCTACTTCAAGTTTATTCTTTATTACTATCAGTAATATTAGTAATTAGCATGTCGCGACATCATGCTTAATGTTTTTATGTATAATTCTTACAAACTCCTCTAATTTAGGGACTGCACTTATCCTCATTTCAGAGCTAAGAAATCTGTTAACAGATGTAGTCAATCGCCAATGTCATTTAGCTAGTAACTTAACCTAGAAGCCTGTGTCTAGACTTCTCACTTTTAATCATCTTATTGGTGAACATACTTTCAAACTGTTGGTAAAATTATTTTATCATGGTCATCACAAAACTAATATACAAAATTTTAATCATCTTTTTCTTGGGAACTTAATCTTTTAGCTTGATAGAAGCTTTCTCTTCAAGTTTTATTCTATTTCGGTAAACACCTCTCATCATGAACTGAAGGACAGCTATTCAAATTTGGGAGGTAGCTACAAAAGCCTTTACTTTCTATGAGAGAAGTTTACAGTGATGCTTCACAATCAGTGGGCATTATTTACTGATAAATTATAATGGAATTCCAATAGCATAACATATTTTATTCACATTAAAGTCAAATGAGCTCACTGTGATTAATGTAACTAGAGTGAATGCCAAATAAATTAATAGCAATTATCTACTCATTGTAAGGGTGGCTGATAATTAGTGCTATTACACAAAAAAGATACATTTTAAGCAATTATCATCATACATGCATTTGATACCATTACAACACTGATCAAGATGAGTTCATTTGACAATCATGCAGCCAAAACACCTAAGTCCACCAAGTGTCTGTTTTAGGTTTGAGGAAAAAACGATTTTATTAAGGTCTTCCAATTCTACTTAAATACACATGAAACATAATTATCTTTCCTGAATATATTATTTTAGTAATGTATGATCATAAATGGTATACTTTGGTCTTTTTTAGTGTAAGACGTTTTTATATTTACAAGGCAACATTCACACATTAAGACATTCAAACTAAGCTTAAACTCTAAAATATTTAAAGATTTTATTATTGATTATGATGCACATTCATTCATAATTCCGCATAATTTTGGACAATATACTTTAATGATGTGAGAAAATTTCAGAAAACATGAATGTATGTGACATATCTAATAACGGGCACTGCCCCAAAACAAGAATTTAAGGCCAGGCGTGGTGGCTCATGCCTGTAATCCCAGCACTTTGGGAGGCTGAGGTGGGTGGATCATGAGGTCAGGAGTTCAAGAACAGTCTGGCTAACATAGCGAAACCCCGTCTCTACTAAAAATACAAAAAATTAGCCAGGTGTGGTGGTGTGCACCTGTAATCCCAGCTACTCAGGAGGCTAAGGCAGGACAATCGTGTGAACTTGGGAGGCGGAGGTTGCAATGAGCTGAGATCACGCTCTTGCACTCCAGCCGGGTGACAGTGCAAGACTCCATCTCAAAAAAAAAAAAAAAAAAAGTATAAGGGAATGGGTTATAATTTTGGAAAGAAGTTCTTGCTATCTCTCCCTTTTAACCTTGACAAAGATTTTGTGTTGCATACTTAATTTATCTCTCTGTTACTGTGACCCTTCTGCTTCAGATGATGATTCTTATGCAACAACAAAAGTGATAAGTAAGTGGATCATTGTCATTCCCTCAGAAATAAAATTAAAAAAAATTGTTAGGCCATAAGTATAGCTAGCATCTCTTTGTAATTAGGTATTTTATTTATTGTTGCAAAAAACACATAACATAAAATCTACCATAAAAGTAGATTAAAAATATTGTTGACTATATACAAATTGTTGCATAATAGATCTCTAGAACTTAACTACGTAACTTTAATTTTACAAAAGTTTTACATGTTCTTTGTTGCATTAATTTATTATATTTTCTTAGTGGAATGTTTATGTTAGAAAACCAGCTAGACTGGCCGGGCGCGGTGGCTCAGGCCTGTAATCCCAGCACTTTGGGAGGCCGAGGTGGGCGGATCACGAGGTCAGGAGATCGAGACCATCCTGGCTAACACAGTAAAACCCCGTCTCTACTAAAACTACAAAAAATTAGCCGGGCGTGGTGGCGGGCACCTGTAGTCCCAGCTACTCGGGAGGCTGAGGCAGGAGAATGGCGTGAACCTAGGAGGCGGAGCTTGCAGTGAGCCGAGATCAGGCCACTGCACTACAGCCTGGGCGACAGTGCAAGACTCTGTCTCAAAAAAAAAAAAAAAAAAAAAGAAAACCAGCTAGACTGCAGATTTTAATTAATTCAGCCATGAATCAGGAAAGGCAAGAAGTGAAGTATGGACATCATTTAAAAGATAAAAGTCTTAAGGTTTATAGGGTTTGCATCCATCACAAAGCTCACTTCCATGAGTTCCCACCACAAGTAAAATGCCGCTGTTCCATTTTGCTTTCTGCAAGTCATTATTGACAAAGGAAACTACTCAGTGACACCAAACAGACCTGTATTTGCTGAGTAACCTGACTCTTCTGGCACAAAATTATCTGTGAATGTGACATGATCTTCACTACCTCAATCTGAAAACTTCTGGTGTCTTTTAAGCAAGGAATATTCCTAGGAGAATTCTGTACTCACTGAAATGCTCTATTTGCTCTCATTAAATAATGAATTTGTTGGCTCTTGAGCAGAAAAAAGAAGGTTAATAGTTGTATTACTCATTTCCTTGAAAACTTCTTTTGATTAAAAAAAAGTGAAATAAAATATCCCACAGGAAGATTAGATTTTATTTATTGATGTGTTGTAATAGCTGCTGGAGAACGCAATCAGAGTTAACATGTTTAATATTTTTAGAGGAATGGGGAGGGTGGGGATAGAAACTTTAAAAAATTAAATTTCTGGGACTGCCAATGTACAAATCAACCGTATTTGAAAGTTTCTATTTGAAGTAATCGAAGTCAAGTAATTAGTGCTACATTTTCAGTTTTAAATCACTTCACTCTTAAAAGTACTTAATGACACGTAAATAGTGAAGTTCTTAGAACCCTGGTTTGAACATGGGCCCTGGAGTCAGGCTACCCTGTCTGGAAGCCAATTCTGCCTCTTTCTAAGGGACCTTAGCCAAAGCTAATTAATTTATCTATGACTCAGTTTCCTCACCTGTAAAATGAGAGAAGGTATAATAGTTGTTCCTACCTCAGAGGTTTTTTATATGCTGAAATATAAACTTGGATCAGCTGCAAGCACATACCACTCATAAAACATTGTTACTCTTATTACTGGTTGGTTATCTAAACCAGGGGAAAATAAATTGTAGCCCCTGGTCTGGATGTAGCTTAATGCCTGTTTTTTCGTTTTGTTTTGTTTTTGGTTTTTTTTGTCTATAAATTTTATTGAAACACAGCCACACCCATGTTGACAATGTCTGCTTTTAGTCAATGGTTGAGGTGAGTAGATCCAAGGGGATATTATGGCCTAAAAAAATACTGTTTGACATTTACAAAGAAAGTTTGCTAATCCTGGAACTCTGTGGAGGTTGACATTGGGTCCCTCTTAATGAAGCTTCAGAGATACTGCCATTAGTCCAAACAATCCAAAGGGGATGCTAGAAAGGAAGAAACCTAAATGAATGCAAAGTGCTTAAGATCAGAGTACTCTGAAGAATGTATTAGCATAAAGTACTAAATGTGTAATTTTTATAGTCTCTATTATTCAATGACTTTCAGTTTCATCTAAGAACCTCCTTGCATTCAATCAAGGGTGTAACACTCTGGGAAATTCAGAATTTCTTGGATAATACACATTTTGTCCTTAGCCATGTGAATTTCCTCATGGACTTCTTTCTGACCTGAATGATCTTCTCACTTACCTATATGTTGCATAGTCAACAGGCACAAGAACCAGGATTAAAACTCACAAAACTCTTTAACTTGTTAAAGTGTGCCCTGGGCTGACAGACAAAATGAACTACCCATGGCTAACTGAGGTGCTAAAAATGAAAACAGAACCAGGTGGCTACAGCTGGATGAGGGAGCGTTTACATACTTTTCATTATCAGGAAGATGTAGAGGTGTCACAGGACCTCCCTGTCTACAATCAAGCCAAAGCAGTTTCTATTGTCAATGCCAAGATTAACTGTGTCCCGAACCATACCCCTCTCTCCCACCACTGGCTGTTTGAAAGAAACATCTGACAGAAACTTCTGATTTGGGGCATAGAGACTACCCAATTAGGGCTCAACTATTTTGACCAATCACAACTGAACAAGTTTGAAATTTTCATTTGCATAAACAGATCTGCTTGAGAAACTGGATGAGAACTTTCCCTGTTTAAGCCAGCTCCTCCCTTTGTTCTTCAGAGCACAATTTTACTTGTATTGAAGTCTGTGCCTCCCTAATCTAGAGACTGTTTTTTATAGAAAATAAGGCTCTCCCTTTTTTCCTCTGCAAATCTCAAGGTCTTGGTGATGAGGATGGAATCTGAAGTGACCCCTGTGCTTTTCCCAACACTATCTGGCCCAAGGCATTAGTGCCCACAAGAGCCGTTTGAACTATTATATTCCTGGCTGTGCTGGGAAGGACTTGGGCATAAAATAAAAGTAAAAACCCAAGCCCCCACACCAAGTGAATAGCCCCTCTCTTGACCGTGGAGACCTCAGATAAATTGTAAAAGCTGAGTTTCCAGCCATGACAGAATAAGAGCTCAGGCATGCCTCATTATCCTCCCTCCCTTTTGCAGTTTAGACATAAAAACTGACTGGCATTAATGTTAAAATAGAGCTCTTAAGACTGACAGAATGGACTCTTTAAGGCAATGAAATACCAAACTATAAAGAAGAACTAAGGTCATGCCAGGCAAGGGTTAAGTCACACACCCCGACACTTAAAGAATAAACTATGCTCTCACTGCCACAAGGTTTTTCTTTTTTCCTAGCAGCTAAACAAGGACTGGTCTTGGGATAAACAATAGCGAAACAGTTGTAGCTCACCAACCATTAGACACTGACTAACAGATGCTCCACTTCCCTATTCTATTAGCCGTAACTACAGCTTTGGTTGGACAAGAGACCGATTTCAGTAACTCTCTCCTGATAAAAAGACCACTCACTATGGGCTGGTTCTGGCTAGTTTGTAGACGCTGAGAACTTGAGTGCATTTGTGTCCTGAAATGACATATTTACATATATTTTTATGTATAGGGCCTAATTGTAATACATTTAAATGTTAAGCCCCTGCTCCCAAATGAACATAGGTCATATATCATATGTATGTTTGTTCAATACTCATGTGTCAGGACATATCTCATCCTATAATCAGTTGAGTATGTATACTTGGCCAGCCCATTTAGCCTAAATCCCTTCCCAAACCCCTCCCTTTTCAAAGTGACTATTTCCAGGTCTCTACTGGAAGCTGCACTTCCTAGACTATCAGGCTAGCCACACTGCAAGCCACACTTTATTTACAAGAAATAAAGTCTCCTTTTCTAAGCTTATAATTCTTGTGATTTTTAAGTTAACATGGGTAAGCCCTCTTAGATCCAAGATTGCTCATTTTTAGGACAGTGTCTCAGACACTATTTCCTCCAGGAAGCCTGCCCATCTGGCTCCAGGGAGTACGCATTTGTGGAGTATGCTCGCACTTTATGATGTATGCTTGCACTTTGCGGGTTACTCTCATGCTTCATGGGATATGCCCACACTTCAGTTTTGCAGGAACACTCACACTTTAGTTGCACTTGAAGAAATGCCTTCATAAAGTGAATAATATGGGTAACCTAGGTCCTAAGGGAAAGGTCTCTGACCAGCCACCATCAGATATTCCAGCAGCTTGATCTCCAACCAACCAACAACATCTGGTACTCCAGGGGTATTTCAAATTTAAAATGTAAAGATTAAGGCTAGATAAAAATGATCCAAGAGATGCATCTAAATTGAACTATCAATACATGCAATTAAAACAAAGAGGAGTCTGGATTTTTCAAAGATAGAGGCTTTCTTTTAATTAGGACTTTTAAAAAAATATATTTTATTTTTTATTATCATGGGCTCATAATTATTATAAATATATATGAGGTACATGTGATGATATTTTGATACAGGCATACAATGTGTAATAATCAAATCAGGGTAATTGGGTTATCCATTACCTTAAACATTTATCATTCCTTTGGGTTACAAACATTCCAATTCTATTTAGTTGTTTTAAAATATAACAAGTAATTAGCTATAGCCATCCTATCATGCTACTGAATACTAGATCTTATTCTATCTAACTGTATTTTTATACCCATAACCATCCCTACTTTATTCTCCCCTCCCCACTACCCTTCTTAGTGTCTGCTAAACATCATTCTACTCACTAGCTCTATCAGTTCAATTTTTAGTTTTCTTTAGCTCCCATGTATGAGTGAGAACAGGCGATAATTGTCTTTCTGTGCCTGGCTTATTTCACTTAACATAATGTCCTCCAGTTCTATCCATATTGTTGCAAATGACAGGATTTCATTTGTTTTTTTTTTATAGCTGAATAATATTCCATTGTGTATAAGTGCACATTTTCTTTATCCATTCATCTTTGATGGACACTTAGGTTGATTGCATAGCTGGCTATTTTTTCTTTTTTTTATTTTTATTTTTTTTTATTATTATTACACTTTAAGTTTTAGGGTACATGTGCACAATGTGCAGGTTAGTTACATATGTATACATGTGCCGTGCTGGTGTGCTGCACCCATTAACTCGTCATTTAGCATTAGGTATATCTCTTAATGCTATCCCTCCCCCATCCCCCCACCCCACAACAGTCCCCAGAGTGTGATGTTCCCCTTCCTGTGTCCATGTGTTCTCATTGTTCAATTCCCATCTATGAGTGAGAACATGCGGTGTTTGGTTTTTTGTCCTTGTGATAGTTTACTGAGAATGATGATTTCCAATTTCATCCATGTCCCTACAAAGGACGTGAACTCATCATTTTTAATGGCTGCATAGTATTCCATGGTGTATATGTGCCACATTTTCTTAATCCAGTCTATTGTTGTTGGACATTTGGGTTGGTTCCAAGTCTTTGCTATTGTGAATAGTGCCTCAATAAACATACGTGTGCATGTGTCTTTATAGCAGCATGATTTATAATCCTTTGGGTATATACCCAGTAATGGGATGGCTGGGTCAAATGGTATTTCTAGTTCTAGATCCCTGAGGAATCGCCACACTGACTTCCACAATGGTTGAACTAGTTTACAGTCCCACCAACAGTGTAAAAGTGTTCCTATTTCTCCACATCCTCTCCAGCACCTGTTGCTTCCTGACTTTTTAATGATCGCCATTCTAACTGGTGTGAGATGGTATCTCATTGTGGTTTTGATTTGCATTTCTCTGATAGCCATAGCTGGCTATTTTGAATAATGCTGCAATGAACATGGGAGTGCATATATCCTTTTGATATACCGATTTTCTTTCTTTCGGATATATATGCAGCAGTGGAATTCCTGGATCATATGGTAGTTATGTTTTCAGGTTTTTCTAAGGATCTCCCATACTGTCCCATAGTGATTGTACTAATTTACATTGCCACCAGCAGTGTACAAAGGTTCCCCTTTCTCCACATTCTCACCAACATTCATTATTGCTCTCTTTTGTACAAAAGCCATTTTAACTGGGATCAGATAACAACTCTGTAGTTTTGATTTGCATCTCTCTGATGATTAGGGATGTTGAACATTATTTTGTATAACTGTTGGCCACTTCTTTTAGGAAATGTCTATTCAAATTTTTGCCTATTTTTAATTATATTATTTGTTTTTTTTTTTTACTGTAGAGTCGTTTGAAGTCCTTATATATTCAGGTCATTAATCCTTTGTTAGTGGGTAGTTTGCAAATATTTTCTCCAATTCTGTGAGTTAGCTTTTCATTTTGTTTATTGTTTCCTTTACCGGACAGAAGATTTTTAGCTTTATGTGATCTCATATGTCCATTTTTGCATTGGCTGCCAGAGTTTTGAGGATTTATTCCAAAAATCTTTGCCTAGAACAATGTCCTAGTGTGTTTTATCAGTGTTTTCTTCTAGTAGCTTCATAGCTTCAGATATTAGATTAAGTTTTAAAGACATTTCTATTTGATTATGTAAATGGTGAGGGATTGGGTTCTAATTTTATCCTTCTGCATATGGATATCCAGTTTTCCTAGTAACATTTATTGAAGAGACTGTCCTTTCCTCAATGTTTGTTCTTGGTCTCTTTGTCAAAGATGAGTTGACTGTAAATGCATGGATTTATTTCTGGGTGCTTTATTCTGTTCTTTTAGTCTGTGTGTTTTTATGCCAGCACCATACTGTTTTGGTTACTATAGCTTCATAGTATTATTTGAAGTAATGTGATTCTCCAGTTTTGTTGTTTATGCTCAGCATGTCTTTCGGTATTCTGGCTCTTTTGTGGTTTCATATAAATTTTAGAATTATGTTTTCTATTTCTCTGAAGGATGTCATTGGTATTCTGAGAGAGATTGCATTGAATCTACAGATTACTTTGGGTAGTATGGACATTTTAATAATTATTATTCTTCCAATCTATGAATATTAAATATCTTTCCTTTTGTGTTCTTTTTTTAAACTTGTGAAGTGTTTTTAATAGCAGGTGTTTTCTATAGTATGTTGCTGGAAATCAAGAGGTTTATTAGCATGATACATGTTCAGAAATGAGTTAGACACTTGAAAAGTCTAAACACACTGATTTAGGAGTGCATATGTTGCAATCTCAAGAGGGCTTAATAGGCCATATGGACTGAGTTAATGCTTGCCTCCGGGTAGCAGGTATGCTTGTAAATATAAAATAGTATTAGACATTAGCACCAGTGCAGAACATGCTCAGCATCATAAGATCCAAAACACCAGCACAAGTTTATCCATCATTAAAAAAACAATTACCTCCTTCCTAAAATGTCAGAATAGTAGGTAACAGATTAATAAATTCAATCCAAATGAATAACTCTTGTACATACAATTTCTCTTTTAGAAGTATATGTGAGAACCAATTGGCTAAATAGACATGTTTAACATTGAAGATCTCCAATATTTTTTAAACTGGACATTGCCATACACAGGGGGAACATGACTGAAAATAAAGTGACAAAAGATTCTTAAAACTTTTTTAAAATTCCTTCCCTGTTTATCAATAAATATGGCAAAATAATAAAAGAAAATCCTAGAAAGCCTGTTTTATTCATCATTCTTTCTATGTATGTTTTAATAAGTGGTGATGCTCCCATTGAAGGAATCCATTATTAACCTAATTTTCTAATGGAGGAAGAGAGAAAAGATAATTATCACTTTCTGTGGAATAAATACTCATCAACTTCGAACTAAATAATAGCAATCTAGGAAATTCAGAAACAGCAAAGATTTTTGGTTTATATTTCATGGATGGTGCTGCTGTTCCAGCCTTATAAAGTAAAGCTGTCAGCTTTCCAAATTCCAAAAATTAAAATACTATCCCATTTCACCATACTAGCTAGTGCCCGTTGGGTCTGTTTAGAACAAGGAAGGGTTACAGAGTTGTCAGTTATGCATGTACTCTTTTGATTTCACGTCCCTTCACACACAGAAATCATACCAAATGGCAAGACACTGCTTTTGCATAACAATTTATTACACATTAGCCAAATCAACTTATTTCACCTACCCAGTGTGAGGGGGCAAAAAAACCTTACCTACAAAACTACTTGACTTGACAGGATGTGTTTATTAATAAGTAGCTTAAACAACTTTCACCAATAAGGTGAGTAACTTGGCTTTTTAAATGGGAAAGTCACATATTTAAAAAGTAAACATAGTTGAAATGGTAAATCAGTTATAATTTGAACCTAATGAACCATGCAAGCAGCAAGGGTTAATAAACCAATGTGCTTTAAATTTGTTCAAGTACTGATATTTCTGTATACAAAGATTTAGCATATATATTCAACAGCCATCATGAGAAGTAAAAAAAGATTTTTTCCCAAAATGAAAATATTAAAACTAAATTAAAATACACATAGTTTTTCACACAAGATAAAATTTGACAAGTGAAAGTTTAACACGTCCCAGTTGACCACATGTGAAAATGCAAAGCAGGTATTAAAACTGGTATGTCCAAGATTTAAAACCAGTTTGTAATTGGGGGATCATCTAAATACTTAATTAAAAAACACAAATGAACTGAAAGCTTTAAACTGGTACACACTGTTCACATCTATATTTCAAATTTAGAAATGCATATTTGCATGCAGCAATAAAAAAGTATTCATGAAGAACGCATCATCTCTGAAAATTATGAAAACATCCCTGCTACCAATATATTTCTAAATACAAAATTGACTACCACATTTGTTTCTTCTGTGTAGCAAGAGGAGTTCATTTTTACAACTGATAAAATTCAGTCTTTAGGTGTGAATGGCATGAATGACAGTCTTTTTAAAAAAATTTCTTAGTCATTTGGAATCCTTAAGCATGCAAAAACTTTGAACAGAAAGGTTCACAGACGAACCAGGGTTGTCTCATGGTATCCAGCTAAGCCAGAGCTGGGAATGCCTCTGGGTCATCCGCATGAGGAGCAGAAGCACTTTACTTGTCAGTCCTGCTGCCACAGTTCAGACGTCTGCCACACCCACGTCTACCTTGTCCTCCCTCGCCATCATGTTCTGGGCAGCCAAGTTCTCCAAAATTAATCTTCAACTGAGACATTACATCATTTGCTGGCTTCTGGAAAAGATGGTCCATAACAGAGTCTGCAGCATGAGCCTCTTCACTCTGATTTATGAAAAACATATTTCATCTTCCACTGCCCTTCAGCAGCTTCATTTGGTTTTCAGATATTAAATTCCACTTTGCCCACTCCATATTTTCAATAGCCTTCAACTCATCCAAAATCATCTCTTTAGGACCCTCTTTCTTTACCTCTTCAACTTCACTCTCCTTATTTTCAGTGTCTGCCACTGGATGTTCTTCACCTACAGATGTTGCCTCAGTCACATTTGATCATTCCAAATCTGTTAATTCATCTTTAACAGTTCCCCAGTAGTGAGGTCTATTACCTCCATGTTTGTCCTTGTGCTTCAGGACAGATCTATCACTTCCACTATGCCTATAAAATTCACATTTGCCATGGGAATCGAATCCATCTCCTCAGCCCATTCCATGTCTGCAGCCCCCTCAACTTCTTCTAAGACCACCACGGCCTCGAATAGGTCAGTCAATAATCAGTCTATCAACTGAAAATTTGCCTCCACCCTTTTCTTCAAGTGGCTTTTCAAATCTTTGTTCTAGAGGTGATCGTCTCTCTGGTCTTCTATTATTTTTCCTTCAACCTGAAGTTGTTGATCAGGTCTTCTACCAACTCACCTTATTCCTTCTTTCTTAAGCACGATGAGCACCTGTGTCTCCTCTTTCTTGTCAACCATGCCAATGCTGGGGTGCAGTGGTTTCTTGTGGTCTTTCTGGGACTCTATACACAACTGTTTGCCTGCCATGTTGGAGGGCCTGAGCTGTGCTCTTGGCCCCAGGGCCCCCAGTGTCACCCCCGCTGCCATTTATTTTTTTGTTCTCCCCTGCCTTCAGCACCTCAAAGAGGTCCACTTCATCATCAAACAACTGGTCAAACTGGTTGGTGACCATGCAGCCAAAGCCTGCCTGTAAGTGTCCAGGCATCATGGTGGCTCAGCGACATATTCCTCCATGGGTTGCAACAGGCTATGCCAAGCCAAGATCTCCTGCTTCAGCTCTTCCTACAAGATCCATTTTTTATGTTCCCTCCAATTTTTTAACTCAGTGTTTTATGATTTTTATTATAAAGTTCTTTTACTTCTTCAATTGAGTTTATTTCTATGTGTTTCACATTATTTATAGCTATTATATATGAGATTCCTTTCTTTTTTTTTCTAGATTGTTTGCTGTTGGCATATATAAATGCTACAGATTTTTGTAAGTTAATTTTGTATCTTGCAACTTTATTGAATTTGTCAGTTCTAATAGTATTTTGGTGGGGTCTTTAGGTTTTTCCAAATACAAGTTTATAACATTTGCAAAGAAAGATAATTTCACTTCTTTCTTCCCAATTTTGTTGCCCTTCATTTCTTTCTCTTGTCTAATTCCTCTGGCTAGAATTTCCACTACTATGTTGGATAAAAGTGGGCATCCTGGTTTTGTTCCAGATCTTAGAGAAAAGGCTCTCAGCTTTTCCCTATTCAATATACTATCTGTGGGTTTTTATTGTGTTGAGTTATGTTCCTTCTATATCCAGTTTTATGAGAATTTTTATCAGGAAAGGATGTTGAACTGTATCAAATGAACTTTTTGGCATTAACTAAAATCATCATATATTAATAGATTTGTCCTTCATTCTGTTGATGTGATATGTCTCATATTAATTTATTGGTATATGTTGAACCATTCTTGCCTTCCTGGGATGAATCTCCCTTGATCATTATAGATAAACTTTCTAAAGTGTTGTTAAATTTGATTTGCTAATATTTAATTAAGGATATTGGTGTCTATTTTCATGAGTGATATTGGCTTGTAGTTTTCTTTTCACATATTTTTGTCTGGATTTAGTATCAGGGTAATACTGGCCTCATAGAATGAGTTTGAAAGTATTCCCTCTTTGATTTTTTAGAACAGTTTTAGCAGAATTGGTATTAGTTATTCTCTAAATGTTTGATAGAATTAAACAGTGAAGCCTCAGATCCTAGGATATTCTTTGATGGGAGACTTTTTATTACTGCTTCTGCCTAATTGCTTGTTATTTGCCTGTTCAGGTTTTGAATTTCTTTGTGACTAAATCTTGGAAAGTTGTATATGTTTAGGAATTTGTCCATTTCTTGTAGGTTCTCATTTATCAGCATATAATTGCTCATAATATTCTCTGGTGATCATTTGAATTTCTGTGGTATCAGTTACAATGTCTCATTTTTCATCTCTAATTTTATTTATTTGGGTCTTCTCTTTTTATTTGTTAGTCTGGCTACAGGTTTGATATTTTTATCTTTTCAAAAAACCAACTTTTAATTTCCTTGATCTTTTTTTTTTAGTGTTGATTTTATTTATTTCTGCTCTGATCTGTATTATTTCTCCTACTAATTTTGGGTTTGGTTTGTTCTTGCTTTTCTAGTTCTTAAAGATGCATTATTAGATTATTAATTTGATGTGTTTCTACTTTTTTTGGTGTAGGCATTTGTTGCCATAAACTTCTCTCTTAGTATTGCTTTTGATGTATTCCATAGATTTTGGCATGTTTTATTTCCATTTTCATTTGTTTCAAGACATTTTTTGAATTTTTTTCTTAATTTCTTTATTAACCAAATGATCATTGAGGAGCATATTGTTTAATATCATGTGTTTATACAGCTCCAAAATTCCTCCTATTGTTGATTTCTAGTTCTATTCCATTGTGGTTAAAATAATACTTGATATGGTTTTATTCTTTTTGAATGTTTTTGTGGCCTAACATGTGGCCTATTCTTGAGAATGTGTATGCACTGAGGAGAATTTATTTTTCACCATTTGGAAAAATATTCTATAAATATCTGTTAGATCCATTTGATGTATAGAGCAGATTAAGTGTAATGTTTATTTGTTGATTTTCTGTCTGGACTACCTTTTCAATGCTGAAAGTGGGGTGAACTCCCAAGGTATTGTTACATTGGGGTCTATCTTTTTCTTTAGCTCAAATAATATTTGGTTTATACATCTGGGTGCTCCAGTGATGGATGTATACATAGTTTACAATTGTTATACTCTCTGGCAGAATTGACCTCTTTGTCATTATATAATGACCTTTTTGCCTCTTTTTTATCAGTTTTTGTCTTGAACTCTATTTTATTTGATATAATTATAAGCACTTCTAGAGCTCTTTTTTGCTTTACATTGGCATGGAATATCTTTTTTTATACCTTTTTTTTTTTATTTTAGTCTATGTGTCTTGATGGGTGAAGTGAGTTTTTTATAGGCAGCACATAGTTGGGTCTTGCTTTTATATCCATTCAGCCACTCTATGTCTTTTGATTTATTTTAGCCCATGTATATGCAACGTTATTATTGATAGAAAAGCATTTAAAACTGCTATTTTGTTATTTGTCTTCCAGTTGTTTTGTTGGTCCTCTTTTTCTTTTTTCTTCTTTCCTTCCTGTGTTCCTTTCTGTAAGAGTGATTTTGCCTGATAGTGTATTTATTAGTCTGTTGTCACACTGCTGTAATGATACTACCTGAGACTAGGTGATTTATGAACAAAGGAAGTTTATTAGATTCACAGTTCTGCATGGCTGGGGAGGCTTCAGGAAACTTACAATTATGGTACAAGGAAAAGAGGAAGCAAGGCATGCCTTACATGGCAGCAGGAGAGAGAGAGAGTGCAGGGGAAACAGCCACTTTTAAAACCATCAGATCTCATGAGAACTAACTCACTGTCATGAGAATGGCATGGGGAAAACTGCCCCATGATCCCATCACCTCCCATCAGGTCTCTCCCTCAATACATGGGGATTACAATTCAAGATGAAATTTGGGTGGGGACCCAGAGACAAACCATATTAGTATATTTTAATGTCTTGCTTTTTTATTTTTTGTGTACATGTTATAGCTTTTTATTTTGTGGTTACTATAAGGCTTGTAAATATCATCTTATAACCAATTATTTTAGACTGATGACAACTTAACTTTGATTATAAAGAAAAGAAAAAACAAGCAAGCAAAGACAAAACTAAGAGACTCTCACAACTTAACTCAATCTTCTCCACTTCTTGACTTTTTGTTGTCTGTCTTCTTATATTGTCTATTTCTTAAAAAGGCATTGTAGTTATTATTTTTGATAGGTTTGCCATCCAGTCTTCCTGCTAAACATGTGAATGGCTTACATACCACAATTACAGTTTTAGAGTATTCTGTATTTGTCTTTGTACTTAGTATTACTAGTGATTTTCATACCTTCATATGATTTCTTATTATTTATTGATGTCCTTTGCTTTCAGATTAAAGATCTCCCTTTAGCATTTCTTATAAGACAAATCTGATATTGACAAAATCTCTTAGCTTTTGTTTGTCTGGAAATGTATTTATTACTCCTTCATGTTTGAATAACAATTTTGATGGACATAATATTCAAGGTTGGAAGTTTTTCCCTTCAGCACATTTTATATGCCATCTCATATTCTCCTGGACTGTAAGTTTTCTGTGAGAAGTCTGCTGCATTCATATCAGAGTTGCATTATATGTTTTTTGCTTATTTATCTTGCTACTTTTATGATTTTTTTAAAATCCTTAACCTTTGAGAGTTTTGCTAATATATGCCATGAAGTTGTTATTCATATTGAGTCTACTTGGTGTTCTATGAACTTCTTGTACCAGGATATTCATTTTTCTCTAGGTTTGGAAAGTTGTTTGTTATCATTTATTTGAATAAACTATCTACCTAAATCTCTCTCTCACTACATCCTCTTTAAGGTGAATAACTCAAAAGTGTGCTTTTTTGAGACTATTTTTTAGATCTTACAGGCATGCTTTATTCTTTTTTCTCCTTTGTGTATTTTCATGTAGCCTATCTTCAAATTAATTATGTCTTCTGCTTGATCAATTCTGCTGGTAAGAGTCTCTAATACACTTCAGTTTTCAATTGAATTTTTCATCTCCATAATTTCTGCATAATTTTTTTTATGATTTCAATGTCTTTGTTAAAGTTGTCAGATAAAATTCTGAATTCCTTATTTGTGTTACCTTGAAGTGTGCTGAGTTTCCTCAAGACAGCTGTTTTAAATTCTCAGTTTGAAAGGTCACATATCTCCATCACTCTTAGATTGATCACTGGTGCCTTATGTAATTTGTTTGTGAGGTCATGTTTTTCTAGATATTCTTGATGCTTCTGAATGAAGGTTCATTGCTGTCTGGGCATTGAAAAGTTAGGTATTTATTCAAATCTTCACTGTCTGAGCTGTCCTTGAGAAAGCTTTTCATATATGCAAAGTGTTGTGATCTAAGTCTGTGGTCACTGTAGGTGTATCAGCACTAGTGATGAACTGTGCCCAACAATGCTGCAGCTCTTGCCAACTTCTAGAGATACCACCTGAGTGGGCTTGTGTAGGATGAGGGAGAATTTCCTGAGTTACTGGGCAAAGTCTCTTTCTCTCTCGCCTCTCTTTCCCCAGTCAGAAGGAGTCTGTCTCTGTGCTGGATTGCCTAGTGTTGGGGTAAAGATGCTGTGACCACTCCTGTGGCCATCAAAACTGGCACTGCACTGGATCATACCTGAAGCCAGCACAGTACTGGGCCTCACCCAAGGCCCATTTTAACTATGGCCTGGCTACCACTGATGCTTATTCAAGTCCCATGGGCTTTTTAGTCAGTAGTGGATGAATCCTGCAGGGAGTGGGTTTGTTCCTTCAGGGCATCAGATTCTTTTCTGGCCCAGGGTGGGCCTAGAAATGTCATCCAGGAACCAAATCCTGAAAATGGACCTTCAGAAATCTGCTTGCTGCTTGATTTTACTGTGGCTGAACTGGAACTCAAGTTGCAAGACAAAGTCCTCTGTGTTCTTCTCTCTCCTTTTCCCACACAAAAGGAGTCCCCCTCTGAGCTGCACTCCCTGGAATCAGGAGAGGGGTGATGTAAGCACTTTCTTGCCCATCATGGCTGGTAGCATACTAGGTCACATGCACCCCAAATCCACTATCTCCAAGACCAGTGAGGTTCCAAGGCTTACCCAAGGACTGCAGTCCTTGTGGGCTGGCTGCCTCTCAAATTGATTCTGGGCCCCAGGCCACTTTAGCCAGCTGGGGGTGGAACATGCAGGGACTCATATTCCTCTCACTGGGACAGATAATTCCCTTCTGGTACAGAGCTGGTCTAAATGGTCCCTCTGTCAGTGCCAGAAGAATGCTGCCCTGTGTTGTATTCCACAATGACAGCACTGAATTCTGATGCAAAGTTCCACATATACTTTACTCTGTCTCCCCTAAGCCCACAGATCCTCATTCTGCATGACGTTGACAGGAGGTGGAGTAGAAGTGATATAGGCAAGCAACACTGACTTTCCTACCCTCTTCAAGGCCTCATTGCTTGATATTATGTTAAAACCAGGTACTGTGACTATTCACCTGATTTCTTGGTTTTTATAAAGGTGCTTTCTTGAATGAACAGTTGTTGAATTTGATGTTCCTGTTGGGGTATGATTGCTACAGGGTTCTGTTTGTCCATTTTGCTTCGCCTCTGACTCTGTGATTCTAACCAACATTTTTAAACATCCAAACAAAATTTGGAATTGTCACAGAAGATAACATTGTCACAGGAAACTAATCCTAAGACTTAAGCAATGTCTCCAAACTCAAAAAGCAGTCAGACCCTAAAACAGAGAGCCCTGTACTTCCCTGCTCCCCCATTTACATTTCAATTTTCCCTTCTAACCACAACCTTCTTCAGCAGGAACATTGCAAGAACTCACAGGTTGGTACCAGTATGGGTCTTTTGAGCCCCTCTGGCTACTCCATGATTGCAGATGACTGAGTCCCTTCTGAGTCTTTCCTGAGTCTCCCCTGAGTGCTGGACCTTCCAGTTTGCTGAGTCCTGAGTTTTATTCAGCCAGTTGTTCTCACTCCTTAGCAAAGTTTTAAGACTTTTCATTTCTTAAGACTTTTCATTTCTCCCTAAAGGGGGCAATCACTCTGTGATTCTCCCATGTATGCATGTTTATAAATGTGTGTGTCATTTCTCCTTTAATATCCCTTGTGAGTTGATTTTTTAGTAAACTGTCCAAGAGTGAAGGGGGAGGTTTCTCTTGACCCTGTACTTTTGAAACTGTGTGCAGTATCACCAAAGCCACTCTGCTCTTTTGGAAGTCATAGTAATGGGAACCAAGGACCTGATAAGCCAATAGATGGGTAAGAACTTCTTACAGATTAGGCTCCCAGGCTCTCTTTTTGTGATCCAGTCAAGCAGATGGTAAAAAAAATAAAAATCACTGTTTGTCTCCTTTACAAAATCATGATTAATGGGAAAAAATAATTTGTGTGACTAGCCTTGGATATGGCCACACTGGTATACATTTTGGTTTTGAATTGAATCGCTATTAAAATAAGTACACCGTTGGAAATTCTAACTGTCAATGACCAAAAGATAGATTATTTAAATTAGACTCCTAAATTTTAAAAATATTTTAGAAATATATCATTCTTAATAAATTGCTTTATTTGTAGTCATGTAAAGATTAAGTTTACACTAAAACACATGTAATTGTGCCATGGCTAGCCTTAGAAATTCTCTTGTTGATAATGAAGAGCAAAAATCTGACCTGAAACAAAGTTCAAATCCTTTGTATACACAAACTGCCTCTTTGGATCCCCTGGATAATTTACCGAAAACCACTTCACCCTATGCTCCAGTGGCTAAGGTCCTGAACTTTCCTGGTTACAGCACAGGTTTAATTCCTAGTCAGATAACTGATATCATTTGTTTTAAATTATTTGTATGACTCTTAACCTTTAGGTATACCCATTTTTTATTCATCCTTTTCCTTTCAATGGAGAGCTTTTAATTTTCTGTCCTTTCTGTCTGTGGAGTATGCAAGGATTTCGGACCTATATGGACAGGAACTCAGATGAGAGGATGACACCTTAAAGAATATGATCAGGCAGGTATGGGTTGTATTCCATTTGTGACTAGCAAGATTGTTTTCCCTTTGAGCTGTCTTTGGGGTTGTTCTGAATCTTGCAAAGACTGCTTGATATCTAGTTCATCCTTAGTTAATTCATGACCTTTGTTAAGGCTCATTGGTTTTGGTAAGTCACTTGAAAAGCACCTTTGGCTTAAAAAGAAAAAATAATAAGGCTAGATAAAGGGTTAATTAAAAATATGACCTCAGATAAAATATTCTTACTTTTTTATTCAGAGCTATTTATGCTATGTTCATACATGAAAAATGCTTTATTCTACTCTATTAAGGGGCTCCACTCTGAAGTCAGTAACCCAATCGAGAAATAAGCTAAATGAAAAGATCACCTAGCTAATTTAATTGGTCTCCAAACTACTTTTTGTCATTCAGCTGGCTATTTTGAAACTCTTTGTAAAAAATAAAATTACATCTATAAAATAAATCTCCATTTGTAAAAACATCTCCCTCTCTTCACCTAGGCCATTAGAAACCTTCATAATGAAGAAGACTTTGGCTTAAAATTTACATTAAAAACTTTACCTTTGTTTTAGATATTTCTGGCAATCTTGTCTGCACTGGGCCATTTCCTTAAGCCCTTCTTTTATGTCAGCAAAATGAAAGTTTTTTGCCCTTGTGATGTAAATTTTCACCTAGGCATTATCCTTTTGGAAATGCAAATTAGGGTTGCTTACCTAACAAGTGTTTAGAGATACAGAACAGGTAATTTAGAGATTGATAGTCTAAAGCAGGGAGATAAATTACTTAAAAACTGGTGAATAAAATCTTATAAACCTATAATATCTACTTCTGTCTATATATCTGTATGTTTATATGTTTTATGTGTATGTGATATTTGACTTCCAAAATATATGAAAGAGTTCTAAATAATTGGCTTAGAGAAGTAAGCAGTTGAATCAAATATTTTATCAGAAAAGTAGAAATTGAAATGCCATTTAGTTAATGCAACTTTAGTAATACTTTTAAAATAAAACTAGGCTAAAATTGTTAGCAAAATCAAATTAGAATGTCTTTGGAATTGGCAGTATTATGAAATGATTCATACATTTTGCCTGGGACTACTGGCCAGACAGGTTTAGGCTATTTCTGCTAGATGTTTTAAGTTCGTAAAACTGTTGCTTGTTTGATTTTTCTGTGAATTAAAGCTATAAGAGTTGGCTGCTGAGCACTGCTGAAGGTTTGCACACATATTAGTGTAAGCTTGTCTTTGTTTTTAAGCTTCTGCACCCTAGGATCTAGAGAGGTAGACACGGTAATGCCTGGGAACATGTCCTAGCATCTAGACCACCAGCACCAATCATAATCAAGCCCAATATGTCCTTGTCCTCCTAGTCCCACCTTTGTCTCCTGGCTATGTTAGGAGAGGTTATATCTTCCAGATCTGTCCTCTGTCCTATGTTCTATACTCGCATGTAAATTTAGCACTCAGGCTCTTTCCTTTATAGCCATCCTTGGGTACCACATGGATACTTAGGATACAGGGAAACTGAGGAAGATGTTGCGGGGGATGCCTGTATCATAGTTTCAAAATTCTTTTAAATAATTTAAAATCTTAAGAGCATGTTATGTTAAATTAAGTAATAGATAATTATAAAATGTCTGAGTCATTTCTGAGTATGTTAAAATGCTGAAACATTACTTATTACACATATATTTATGATTATATACTTTGACACCTTAATTTTATATGGTACAGAAAAGCTAAATCTATTTAGACCTGTCAATTTTTAAAAAATTGAGACTAAAATTATAAAGTAGTTTTCACCAACAAATACTGGTATGAAACAGTTCAAAATGACTTACTTCCTAGGTTTTTCATAAGAAAATTAGGGTTACTAAGAATTTATATACATAATTAAAACTACTCCATATAAAAGAAACAATTCTATATTCAAAGCATATAAAGAAAGTAATTTTTCCCCCAAGGTAGAATGCCCCCTGAAAAAAGTAAAGGGAAAAACCAAAGGTTAAAGTAAGTTGTAGAAGATTTGTGAAAGATTAATCTAATGAAAAAAATTTTATGTGTGATCAAGTTGGCTGCTGAAATTAAAAGAAAATTATTCATATTTTTTTCTAAAAATTGAACATTAATATCAAAAGCACACTGACAGAAGGCTAGAGTCTGGGCTCCTGTGTTGGAAGAACAAGGTTTTCTCACAGCATTGATCTTCTCTTTAATAGAAAATTGTAAAAGGTTTTTATTAACTTTTTAGGTAACTGACCTAGGAAACAGAGATTCCATTCCATGTTTCATGAAGATAGTTTCTTGTGCTTTGTGCCTTTAAAATCTTTTGTCATTTTGGTTTTAATTCATAATGACCTGTGATCCCCTTTTGATCAAATTCTTTAAAACTTTGATATTTGACAAGTTTCACAAAGTTAAATTTGAAATTCCAAAATCAAGTCTTTTTTACTCAAACTAATTTGGACATAACAGAAACTCCTGGATAGCCAAGGGAGATGTATTAGGGCTATTTGGTATGTTAAAAGTACACAGAAAGCATGATTTTAAAATGATGTTTAGTGTTCTTTAAGTTATATTTATATAAATGCATTATTAATACATTAATACAATCCAAAATTGTATAATAATTTTAAATTCTGACATGTCTTGGTATATGTTATGAGTCATAATTATGGCTATTATGTTAGGTCATTGTTTGCCACAGAAATATAAACATATTTTCTCCTCAATTGTACCTTTAATCATGACTACTCTAAGTTTTTGTCATCCACAGCTAATATACATAATTAAAACTACTAGATGTAAAAGAAACAATTCTGTATGCAGAGCATATAAAGAAAGTAATATTTTTCATAAAGTAAAATGGGCCCCCAAAAATGTATAGGACAAAATCAAAGGTTTTTTTTCTAGTGCTTGTAAAATGTATGTCTACACTATACTAAAGTCTATTGACTGCAGTGCTATTATGTTTTTTTAATGTAGATACTTTAATTTAAAAAATAATGTATTGCTAAAAAATGCTAACATAATCTGAGACTTCAATGAGTTGTAATCTTTTTGCTGGTGGAGGGTCTGGCCTCAATATTGATGACTGCTGAGTGATCAGGGTGATGATTGCTGAAGTCTGGGATGGCTGTGGCAATTTTTGAAAATAAGACAAAAATGAAGTTTGCCACATTGACTGATTCTCTTATAAATGATTTCTCTGTAGTATGCAATACTGTGTGATAGCATTTTACCCAAGGCAGAACTTCTTTCAAAATTGGAGTCAATTATCTCAAACCGTGCCACTGGTTTATCAACTAATTTAATGCAAAATTCTAAATCCTTTGTTGTCATTTCAACAATGTTCACAGGCTCTCCACCAAGAGTAGATTTCATTTCAAGTAACCAAGTTGTTCGCTCATCCATAAGAAGCAACTATTCACTTGTTTAATATTTATTGTGAGATTGCAGTAATTCAGTTATAATTTCAGGCTTTATTTCTAATTCTAGTTTTCTTGCTATTTCTACCATATCCTCCACTGGAGTCTTGAACCCCCACCAAGTCATCCATGAAGATTGAAATCAACTTCTTCCAATCTCCTGTTAATGTTGATATTTTGACTTCCTCCCATAAATCACAGATGTTCTTAATGGTATCTAGAATGATTAATCTTTTTCAAAGGTTTACTTTGCCCAGATTCAACAGAGGAATCGCTATCTATAATAGTTATAGCCTTGTGAAATGTATTTCTTTAATAATAAGAATTGAAAATTGAAATTACCCCTTGATCTATGGCTGCAGAATGGATGATGTGTTAGCAGGCATGAAAACAACAATAATCTTCTTGTACATCTCTATCAGAGCTTGGGTAACCAAATATTGCTGTTTATTGAATTTTCAATCAATTGATCAGATTATTGAATTTTCAATAAACAGCAAAATTTTGAAAGAAGCCTTTTTTTCTGAGCAGTAGGTTTCATCAGCGGACTTAAAGTATTCAGTAAACCATACTATAAACAGATGTGCTGTCATCCAGGTTTTGTTGTTCCACTTATAGAGCACACGAAGAGTAGATTTAACATAAGTCTGAAGTGCCCTAAGATTTTCAGAATCACAAATAAGCACTGACTTTAAGTTAAAGTCACTAGCTGCATTAGCCCCTAACAAAAGAGTCAGTCCGTCCTTTAAAGCTTTGAAGCCAGGCATTGACTTCTCTCCAGCTATGAAACTCCTAAATGGCATCTTCTTCCTATATAAGGCTGTTTGATCTACATTGAAAATATGTTGTTTAGTGTAGCCACCTTCATCAATTATCTGAGCTAGATCGTCTGGATAACTTGCTGCAGCTTCTATACCAGCACTTGCTGCTTCACCTCACACTTTTATGTTATAGAGATGGCTTCCTTTCTTCAACCTCATGAACCAACCTCTGCTAACTTCAGACTTCTCTTCTGCGGGGTTTTCGCTTCTCTCAACTTTCACGTAATTGAAGACAGTTAGGCACTTGCTTTGGATTAGACTTTGGCTTATGAAAATGTTGTGGCTGATTTGCTCTTCTATTCAGACCACTAAACACTTTTCCATATCACCAATAAGGCTGTTTTGCTTTCTTATCTAAGCTGTGTCCATTTTCTTCTAGAACTTTCCCTTTGTATTCACACTTTGGCCAAATATTTTTGCACAAGAGCCCTAGAATTTAGCCTCTCTGCTTTTTGACATGTCTTCTTAACTGAGTGTAATCATTTCTAGCTTTTGATTTAATATGAGAGACTTGAAACTCTTCCTTCACTTGAACATGCAGAAACCAATGTAGGGTTATTACTTGGCCTAATTTCAATATATTTCAGGGAATAGAGACACCTGAAGAGAGGGAGAGAGGTGGGGAAATGGCTGGTCAGTGGAGCAGTCGGAATACATACAACATTGCTTAACCTTGATGTCTTACATGGGTGCAGTTTATGGCACTCCAAAATAATTACATTGTTAACATCAAGATCACTGATCACATATCATCATAACAGATATATTAATAATATGAAGTTTAAAATATTACAAGGATTATCAAAATGTGACACAGAGACACTAAACCAGCAAATGCTGTTGGGAAAAAAATGGCATAGATAGACTTGCTTGAAGTAGGCTTGCCAAAAATCTTAATTTTTAAAAAGCGCAATATCTGTAAAGAACAATAAAGCAAAGTGCAATAAAGCAAGATATCACTGTATATCACTTATGTGCAGCTATCACTATATATCCAGTACATAATAGGTAATATTTAGGGCTATGGAACTCAGCCATTGAGTGAAGGAGCCATAAACATTATCAACAAATGGATGTGACTTTGTTTTAATAAAACTATTTATAAAATCAGGCTGTGAGGTATATATATATACACAAATATGTATCACTTATATATCGCCTATTATAGGATAGCATCATTTTAGGCACTGTGGATGCAGTGATGACAATTTTAGATGGTGATTAGTGATATAATTACTGGTTTATGTGGAAGGCTGGGAAGTGGTTGCCATTTTCCACAAGTTGGCCATGAAAGAACTCGCTGAAAAGGTGACATTTTACAAAAAATCTAACAAAAGAAAGACAGTCAGGCTGTCTATGGGAATCCAGGATACAGGCAGAGGAAAGGGCAGGTAAGGAGATCCTAAGGCATGAGTATGGCTGCAGTATCATTGGAAGACCAGGGATGCCAGCATGGTTGGGGTTTAGAGAGTGAGGGGGTATGGAGATGCAAGTATGAGGAGCTATAATGGACATTTGATAGCTTCTTGCATGTGTATTTCAGACATGTGCTTCTTTTCTCTTACCTTGTTACACTGGCAGATATGCATTATGATTCTTTCACATTGATCTCCCATGTATGTGACAAACACATTTGCTTTTGTTTATCTGCTAACACAGCACTTTGCCAAGTATTTAATAATTCATTATCAAAAGCTTGCAAACATGCAAGATATCCTGTGACTGCTGCTTTTATATTATTATACATACACTCTTTATTTGTATGTATATATATATATTTATGATCATAGGTAGTCATGGCAAACGTTAAATAGGTTAATACATATTATTTGTTGATATCTTCTTGTTTGGTAAGTTTATTTTTATGAAAGACTATAGAACACAATATTTGAATTCTAGAGTACTTTCAAGATTTAAAAGTCAATATGAATATCATACACATCATTCCATTGAGCAGATATAGTCCATTTATGATGAAGGTCACATTTTAATGTCTGATGTACAAAGGAAAATAAAATTCAGAGTATTTTCTCTCCCCATGTTATCATACTTTTAAATGTAGTTATTTGGATGCAATAATTTTATATTGTTAAGGGAGATAATCTGTCAAAGTAGTTTTTTGTTTGTTTCTTTTTATGTAACTATTCTTGTTATTTTCGTAATGATTTTATTAATCACATTTGGCTTAAGAATTTGGGATCTTGTTTTCTATGATTTGACATGTTATGCCTACATATTTCTTCTTTAAGTATCATAAAACAATATATTCTAACATTTCTCTAGTCCTTATTTTCATTCTGATTTGTTGATCAGATAAAAACAAAAACTGTTATGTCAAATCTATGCTGAAGGGTGTTCTTTCTAGAAACATGAAATATTGAGAATTACCAGAACTATCTCATGTTTATTCTATATATTTTCACATTGCCTAGCTCCATATCAGTTTAATAAATTAACAGTTATTTTAAATATTTAAGTAAAAAATTTTAAATCATTAATATATAATAAGAATTGATTTAAAAATTTAAAAATAGCTATTCTAGAGAAATTATAGTTTAATGAGAGCCAAGCAAAGTAAGGTTGCCATTGTGCATGATCATTAAATTCGATGCGATACTAACACTGACCCTATTAAGTTGTTGTAGAGATTAAAGTTATTTCATCATACAGAATGCATAGCATAATGCAAGCCAAATATTCAATATATCAGTGTGATGATGATGATAAAAGCATAACAAACAAAAGTGAGTAATCTTGTAAGTCGAAACAGAGGTTGCTCTTTCAGCCATTGTTTGTTGTTAGTTTTTAAACAATTTTGATATGAATTTATAACTTCTTAATCTGTGTCCTAAAGATGATTCTAATAATTTTGTAGTGTGCTGCCCGAAATTATTGTTCTGTTGATTATTGTTAATAAGAATAGAGAATTTTTCTAGTTGTCCCAGGAAAATTATGCTAATTAGAAATGTCTGAGTTTTTGCTTCTCCTGAGATTAATTTATTCATCATAATCAGTTAATCTCTATTCTTTACATAATTAGATAGCTTATGGCGGAGAGAAAGACCCTTTAGTTCTCTTAGAATGAAGAAGAATACTGTAGCTGACACTAGTGAACCTTAGAAGTTAGCTCAAAACCTTCTTAGCATATAGCATCCGTAATTGCATACTGATTAATGCTGCTATCATTGTTTTCCTAAGTAGGAGAAGACTTCAAGAAATATTAGGAAATTGACTCTGAAAAAGTACAGTCGTCTCATTATGGGCAGTATTCTTTTGTTTTATGAGTTATTCAGAAACTAATATTAGTACAGATATACTTTATGAAAATATTCCATCTCTGCTACTTTCCTCATGCAGCCTAACAAGCTAGATCACTACATATTATCTCTGAATGAGATATCATTACTGTTGTATTATTCTGGTTCTTTAATAGAGAAGGATGAGAAGAAGAAAGTCATACATTTTAAAGGTGAATAAATTCAATCAGTTGGCAATATAGAGTGAAAAAGTAAGTATAAGTAGGAAGAATGCAATTGACTTAACAAACGATCATTATTTTAGTAGAACATCCATTATCCCAGGAGGGGATGAGGGCCAGTGTCATTTAATTCCAAATCTCTTTTTTATAAACAACTGAAATAATCAAAAAACTTCTCTCCCAGAATTTCATTAAAAGAACCACTCAAATATGTATTTCAGGAAAAAAACAACTTCAGCCTAGAAGTATGTACTGAAAGGCAAGAAGAAGAAATATTCAAAGATATTGGTATAAAATTGGATATATTCAAATACATAGCTATTAAGCAAAATAGTTGATAATTTTGGTTAAGGTAGTGTATGAAAGTGACATGCCCCTAAAATATTGGAAGAGCATAACATGTAAGTTTGGCAAGGCAGAAGCACCAATTCTTTCAAAGTATTTTCAACACTTACATAGTTTAAGAGAAGGGCAGAATCAAAGAAAGTGATTGAATTGATTACAAAAATTGTTAGTTTTCCTACATATATATATATACACACACACACACACATATATATATGTTTATATATATATTAAATCCCAATATTTTATCATAAATTTTAATCAAATTCAGTATTAATAAAATATGATTTGTAAAAATTGACATCTTAGGTGATATAGTTTAGATGTTTTGCCCCCTCCAAATTTCATGTTGAAATGTGACCTCCAATGTTGGAGGTGGACCTAGTGGGAGGTGTTTGAGCCATGAGGGTGGATCCCTCATGAATGGCTTGATGCTCTTCCCGTGGTTATGACTGAGTTCTCACTCTATGAGTTTATCAAGAGCTGATTATTTAAAAGAACCTGGTACCACTCTTAACATGAATTACTCTTGCTTCCCCTTTGCCTTCACTGACTGTAAGCTTCCTGAGGCCTTCACTAGAAGCTGGGAAGATGCCACACCATGCCAGTAGGGCCTGGAGAACCATGAGCCAAATAAATTTTTTTTCATAAATTACCCAGTCTTGAATATTCCTTTATAGCATTGCAAAATGGACTAACACACTAAGCATATGCATTCATTAGTAAAAGACATTCACAAATTTTAAAAATTCCAGCACTATTCACATTAGGAAAGATATGGAATCAACTCAAATGCCCATCAATGATAGACTGTATAAAAAAAATGTGATACATATACACCATGGAATACTATGCAGCCATAAAAAGGAACGAGATCATGTCCTTTGTGGAGACATGGATGGAGCTCAAAGCCATTATCCTCAGCAAACTGACACTGGAACAGAAAACCAAACACTGCATATTCTCATTTATAATTGGGAGCTGAACAATGAGAACACATAGACATAGGGAGGGGAACAACACACAATGGGGCCTGTGGGGGTCGGGTGTGGGGAGAGCATCCAGATAAATAGCTAATGCATGGGGGCTTAATACCTAGGTGATGGGTTGAAAGGTGCAGCAAACCATCCTGGCACACATTTACCTATGTAACAAACCTGCACATCCTGCTCATGTATCCTGGAACTTAAATATTTTTTTAAATTAAGTGTTACTGTACTCAATTTTTGTTCATTTTGGTTTATTTTATTTTATTTTTTTACTTTCAACTTTTATTACAGATTCAGGGAGTGCATGTGCAGGCTTGTTACATGGGTATATTGCATTATGCTGAGGTTTGAGGTATAATTGATCTCATCACCTAGGTAATAAGCATAGTATCCCATAGTTAGTTTTTCAACTCTTGCTCCTTTCCTCCCTCCCCATTCCAGTAGTCCCCAGTGTCTATTACTGGCATCTTTATGTTCATGAATACTCAATATCTAGCTCCTAGTTGTAAGTGAGAATATGCAGTATTTGGTTTTCTATTCCTGAGTAAATTTGCTTAGGATAATGGCCTCCAGCTGTATCCATGTTGTTTCAAAGAACATTATTTTCTTTTTTATGGCTGCATGGTATTCCACAGTGTATATTACCACAATTCCTTTATCCAGTCTGCTGTTTAAGGGCACCAAAGTTGATTGCATGTCTTTGCTATTGTGATTATTGCTGCAATGAACATATAAGTGCATGTGTCTTTTTGTTAGAACAATTGATTTTCTTTTGGATATATACCCGTAATGAGATTGCTGGGTTGAAGAGTAGTTGTATATTAAGTTCTTTCAGAAATCCCCAAACTGCTTTCCACAGTGGTTGAATTAATTTACATTCCTACCAATGGTGTATAAGTGTTCCATTTTCTCCATAGCTTCACCAGCATTTGTTGTTTTTAGACTTTTTAATAATAGCCATTCTTCCTGGTGTGGGATGGTATCCTATTGTGGCTTTGATTTATATTTCTGTAATGATTATTGATTTGGAGCATTTTTTCTTTTTTTTTTGCCACTTACATGTCTTCTTTTGAGAAGTGTTTATTCATGTTTTTTCCCCACTTTTTAATGGGGTTATTTGCTTTTTGCTTGTTGAATTGTTTAAGATTCTTACAGATTTTAGATATTAGACCTTTGTCAGATGCATAATTTATGAATTTTTTCCTCCAGTTCTGTAAGCTGTCTCTTTATTCTGCTGATAGTTGCATTTGCTGTGTGGAGCTCTTTAGTTTAATTATGTCTCACTTGTCAATGTTTGTTTCTGTTGCAACTGCGTTTGAGGATTTAGTCATAAATTCTTTCCCAAGATTGATGTCCGGAATGTTGTTTCCTAGGTTTTCTTATAGGATTCTTGTAGTTTGAGGTCTTACATATGAATTTTTAATGCATCTTGAATTAATTTTTTGTATATGGTGAAATATAAAAATCCAGTTTTATTCTTTTGCATATGGTTAGCTATTGGGGGAACCTGCCCCCAATATTTCAACGTAGGCAAAACCAGCAAGTTTTATTAAGGATTTCAAAAGGGGAGGGGGTTCAAGAACAGGGATTAGGTCATAATATCACATGCTTCAAAGGGCAAAAAGGAGAACAAAGATCACATGCTTCTGAGGAAACAGGACAAAAGGCAAAACAGAACTACTGATAAGGGTCTATGTTCAGCCATGCACGTATTGTCTTGATAAACATCTTAAACAACAGAAAACAGGGTTCGAGAGCAGAGAACCGATCTGACCTCAAATTTACCAGGGTGGGGTTTTTCCCCACCCTAGTAAGCCTGAGGATACTGCAGGAGACCAGGGCGTATTTCAGTCCTTATCTCAACCGCATAAGACAGACACTCCCAGAGTGGCTGTTTATAGACCTCCCCCCAGAAATGCAATTCTTTTCCCAGAGTATTAAAATCAATATTCCTTGCTAGGAAAAGAATTTAGCGATATCTTCCTTACTTGCACGTCTGTATAGGCTCTCTGCAAGAAGAAAAATATGGCTCTTTTTGCCCAACCCTGCAGGCAGTCAGACCTTATGGTTGTCTTCCCTTGTTCCCTAAAATCGCTGTTATTCTGTTCTTTTTCAAGGTGCACTGATTTCATATTGTTCAAACATGCATGTTTTACAATCAATTTGTACAGGTAACACAATTGTCACAGGGTCCTGAGGTGACATACATCCTCAGCTTATGAAGATAATAGGATTAAGAGATTAAAGTAAGACAGGCATAAGAAATTATAAGAGTATTATTTGGGAAGTGATAAATGTCCATGAAATCTTCACAATTTATGTTCCTCTGCCACGGCTCCAGCCACTCCCTCCGTTCAGGGTCCCTGACTTCTTGCAACAGTTAGCCAGCTATCCCAGCATCATTAATTGAATAGGGAATCCTTTCCCCACTGCTTATTTGAATCAACTTTGTTGAAGATCAGATGGCTGAAGGTATGAGACTTTAAGAGTTCTCTTTTCTGTTCTGTTGGCCTATGTGCCCTCTTCTAAAGTATCTAATCTTCTATACATTTTGATGTATTTGTAGAGTTACTGTGTGAATAGCTCTTCTTCTATATTAATCTAATTTTGTGTATTTTCCCTATTTCTTGAAGTGGCTTTAGATTTTAAAAAATACTGCTTTAGCCACTGCACCTGTAATCTTGGCTACTTGGGAGGCTGAGGTGGGTTGACTGCTTGAGACCAGGAGTTTGAGATCAGCCTGGGCAGCATAGCAAGACGCTCAGTCTCTGAAACAAACAAACAAAAAACCTAGGTAAGTATGGTGGCTTGAGCCAATAGTGCCCACCCAGGGGACAGATGTAGGAGGATTGATTGAACACATGAGTTTGAGGCAGCAGTGAGCTATAATCATTTCACAGCATTCCAGTCTGGATGACAGAGTTAGAACTCTTCTCTAAAAAATAAATAAATAAATAAATATATTGCTCTAAAAAATAAAAAAAATATATAAATATATTGCTCTATATTATGGAATATTAATTACTGAATATATATTTAGCAGTTTTAATTGTATAAGAAGTATTACATATACATTATTATTCTCCAAAAACAAAATAACTAGGTATATACACTGAAATATGGTGACTATTTTCAAATTTCAAAAGTTGGTCATCAGATTTATAGATGATTATGTATCACCTGGGTACTATACAGTAAACATGTAATCTGTGTAAAAGTCACAACATAAAGCTTCAATTCTATCAATACTCAATAAGACTACTATATTAAATATACTTTATACATAGATATGAATAATGCATAACAAACAAGTGTATTTCAAATACTTAGGTGATGAGGGCAAATTTTGTCAAAGAGTAGAAATTTCAAATCAACCATAATGTGTCAAATAAGTTGGAAAATTTAATAGAAGATTTCTGATGTGTAAGTCTGCATATTGGCAAAATCTAGAACACTTTGCAAACAGTCATTAAAACAAATACATTGAAAATAATAAGATGTTATTCAGTGAATGGCAAGGCTATAAGATGACAGCACTGGACAATGTTAACATACACTAAGCCCTGTCAAAATTTAACACTGTCTAAATTTGGGACATTAAAAAAATATCTTTCTATCAAATGAATTCCTACCATTTCTGATCATTGTCATCTCAGATTCCTAGACAAACTAGAAATAGAACACGGTGTACAGAATCAGAAAAAAATGGTCCACAAAAAGGATCCACACAACTCTATGCCCATGCTTGTACTAACACACTTGTCCCATGTTTATTGTATTTATTAAGCATTATTGTGTACCTCCTTTATATAAAGAAAAGTATTTAGCATTGATGGATGTATAGTACAAGAGTAAGATAATCTCAGCCATGTGGGAACTCACAGTCTAATGGCATAAAGACATGAAACACATTCTGATGATGCAACATTATATTTTTTTAAAATAAGACTATGGCTGCTATGACAGCCAAAGGATGATATATAATTAATTTGGCATGAAGGAGACATCTGGGAAACTTGGATAGAAGGAGTAACATTTTAACTGAATCAAAAAGGATAGATACAAGTTTGCCAGTTAGGCAAGGTTCTAGGAATATTTAACTATAGGCGGAATACCTCTCTTCTTTCTCTCTCTCTCTCTTTTTCTGTCTCTCTACCTCTCTCTCTCTCACACACACACACGCACACACACACACACACACATACACACAAAAAGAGGCTCAGTGACTCTGATTAGGGTAAGAGAATGAGAGAGAAATAAGAGGTGAGTTATAAACGAATTATGCAGATACTTGAATGCAGTGTCTGGACTTTATTCTGTGAGTACTGGTTATCCATTAACAAATTTCTTGTGCAGGGACTGTTGTGATCAAAAGTATTTTAGAAAGGTCATGTTAGAAAGGTACAGACCTAGCTTTGAGAATGATGGATTTAAGACAGAAAAATGGCCATCTTTTTCACTATTTCCATCAGAGTGAATGGCATGATTTTCCATGTACTATCTCAAACCTGGTAGACATTTTGTCTCTACTCTCTTATTTAATCCATCACCAAGTGCTGTCTTATCTGTGCCCTGAAGTCCAAATTCTCTGTAACTGTATTGAGAAGATGAGTATTTCTAACCTGTGTTACATGAACAATCATATCATTGAGCCTTATGTCTTCATTCTTGACTGCCTTTCCCTGGAATTCATTCTCCCATATGACCATAGAGATGTTGCTAAAATACAAATCTTCACTGAAGAAAATCCATTAATATTTTTTGATTTTACTTAGAACAAAGTACAAAATCCATGCTATATCATAGAAGGGCCTTAATGATCTGGTGCTTACATAAATTCTCTGCCTTAGATCTTTATCTTTCTTTGCTCCCTTAGGTTATCTCTTTTGTTTCCTAACAACACAGAAATTTTCATATTGTAGTCAATGTTGTATTTTTAATCACCTGTCTAAACTATTATAGAAAACAACTAATTTCTGAGTAAAAAGACACTTCTATAGAGTTGTTTCCCAGCACCTAACAAAACAAATGGAAGGCAAGAGTATATATTAGAAAATACTTATTGAATTCATTTGGAATCTAGGAAAAAGAAAAAATGATTATTTACACTAAGTTAAAATACGGGAAATAACAATTAGAAAAAATGTTTATGAATATTGTGGTTCAAGATTTGGTGATTAAGATGATTTTAATGTTTCCAGATTATTCATTTGGGTGACACATGATTTCATTAAATAACTTGATTTTCTTTATAAAGCACTATTTTGGAGCAAGCTTCCAGCAAATCAAGGCAAGGTAGTAGTGGTGTCATGAGGATATTATGTAAGGACATGTTCAGAGGAGCATGGATGTACTTTATTTGGTCTTTACAAAAACTCTTTGACATTATTTCAATTTTATAGATCATGAACCTTATAGTATTTAATAAAGGGTTTGATCTGGGACAAGAAATCAGTTCTTTCTGACTTCAAGGCCCGTACTCTTAATCATGAGTCTGGGTTGCCTACAAGTAATAAAAGAGGGAGGAGATTTTTTTTTTTTTTAATGCCTGAGAGTAATTCTTAGAAGTAAGTTTAAAGAAGGGCTGGTTCTATACAATACACAGAAATATAAATTTAAGACCAAGTGGAAGGCCAAAATCAAATAATCAAGATTCTATGAATAATAACATGAAATAAATGTCATTTCAGAGATACCTATCCTTGAACTATACCCTGGTAAGAGTGGGCATCTATTCTTTATGACAGGAGTCACTATCAATATAATTTAGGCCTGCAGAGAGATGTTTTCTGAGAGAAACCAATAGGACTATTAACCAGAAGCTAAAGACAGGTATCACTATCACCAGATGTTATCTATGGAAGACACATGTAGAGACTCTGCCTGGGAGAAAATGCTGATTGAAAATTCTCTCTGTCCATGTGTGAGTGATTTTATACATTTGACTCCCTCTTATGATAGATTTTTCTTAGAAGAAAGAATAGACCCCAAAAGATTAATATGAAGACTGAGGAGGCTTCACGAGCATGTCAGGTGATTTATGGCAGGCTTGAATTGGAGCTTAATCAGAGTGTTACCAGTAGAGGGTGTCCAGGTTCTTGGCATCTTGAACAAAGAATTGGACAAAACGCACAAACGAAGCAAGGAAGAAATGAAGGGATTGAAAATTAAAGTACACTCCACAATGTGGGAGCAAGCCTGAGCATAGGGGCTCAAGGGCCCCGTTACAGAATTTGTAGGGGTTTAAATACCTTCTATGGGTTTCCATTGGTTACTTGGTATATGCCCTATGTAAAAGAGAGGATGAAGTAAAGTTACTTATATTTGGTGTATGCCCTATGGAGAGGCTATTTCCCGTCATAGCTGAAGTGTGAATCGGCTTTATGTTCCCTTCCCCCAGACCCTATTTTCCTGCCTCATTTTCTCTCTGAGAGACGTGATCCCCATAAATCTTTATAAGAGGCAGAGGGACCCACAGTCTTTCTTCTATAACTGCTTCATGCTGGCTTGAGATGTAGCTCCCAGCGACTGAGTATCACAGTACTCACCCTGCTCTGTCTAGTGGGGACAGGGTTTCCTTGATGGTCAGGGGTGGTGTCTTTCACCTGGAACTGGCTGGAACCCTTGTCACATGATCATCTGAAGCTTGATGGTCTCTAGGCAAGAGGAAATGAATTTCGTTAAAAGATTTAATGGGAACTTCAAGGAGTGGATACCTGTGCTGTCAAGAATGTTTGTTATAGAGATTTGTATGAGAAAAACAAAACCTGGTTTGTGTTGTGTTCTAGGATCTATGTGTTACCTTAAAGTCTTAGCACAAGCAACTCCATTATAGTTTGGTTTGGTCTGTTGGAGCCTAGTGCATGAGCTCAGTCCAAAACAATGGCCTTCCATAACTTTGTTTTAAAAAATCCCCCTTTTTGGTCAGGTTCTCACTTAGGTGAGAGGGTAACCAAAACTTAGGGCCTTAATAACACTCTCAGTTACCATCATTTTGGGTTTCAGTCTTAGCACATCATTCATAGGTTATGGTGTCCTCATGGTTGCTCATTTCTTTCAGCTCTTGTTATTTCAATTGAAGAGAGACCGTATGACACTCTAGAGATGGCTGCATGCAAACATTCAAAACCTTTGAGAGAATACAGCATGCCAGGAAGACTATTATTACGACTAATGGGAAGATAATACCAAGAATTTGGAGTATACTCCTTACCCAAGGTCCCCATAAACTGAACTTCCTAAAATCAAATAGATCAAAGAATGAGCTAGATAAACAGTTTACTACTTAACTAAGCAGTCCCTTTGCAAATTCTCTACCACTGAATTTCTATAATCTTCATTTGATGTATTTTTCCATAGGCCACAAGTATTAGCAGCTGCACAGATAATTTTCTGTTCAGCAAATTCTATTATAACTTTCACAAGACAATTTAAAGTCTTTGTGTAACTGTAGCCTTTACAGTAAAATTTGAGCCTATCATGAGGTGTACATTTCTAATCATTGCTTTTTCACTTTAAACCAAGGAAAAAGGACCTAACAAATGATGCTCTTCTGGAAGAGTGAAGGCCTACTGGCAATGTTCTCTTTAACCCATGATGTGGGCTAAGAGGAGTGAACCAATAAATAAAATAATAAAATAATCCAAATTGAATACACTGGTGTGGTAGCTTACAAATTACTAAAATAGCTTATAACCAATGCTTGACCCCATATTCCTGGGAAAACAATTAAAGCTTCAGGCACATTTGGTCACCTGGTGGGTCATTAAACATTTTGTAAAGGGATTTCATCCAATCATTATTTTCAATGCATGTCTTCTGGTTGTATAAAAGCTTTCCCATGCAAGAGGGCTGATGTTGTAACAATAGAAGCTCTTATCATTATTAAACCAATTAATTAAAGTTCTTTTGTTTTAACTAAAACTTTACAGAAGAGATAAACTGTGACTTTTACCTTTCATTTAACCAGTCTGCACAGAAAGAAAGAGGCCAGAGTCTGGTAAGAAATTCTCACACTTTTGCAGGCATGTCAGATTTAGGGTTATCTCTCCCTGAGCGGCTCTAGTGGCCCTGCTTGACTGTATGCAGACAAACACATTGCCATGAATTAAGAATATTCACAAAGAGTTTACAAATTTTGAATAAATTAGGCAGATAGATAAATATGACTCAAATTCTATTTACCAAAGTATACTCAACACTCTTAAAGTATCAGGAAACTTAAAATCCAAAAAGTTAGTTTAAGGGTAAAAGACTGGTGCGCTCCATCAATTCCTGTGGGCCGATAAAGGTAGCCTAGAAATTCAAGATAAATGGAAAGTAAACAGCAACCAAATTAAAACTAGAAGCAAAAACAAATAAACATAAAACCAACCCTAAATTTTTCCTGGTTAATCTACCCTGGAGGCTACAGTGTTACATAGGGCCCCAAAAAACCCACATGATGAATATTTTATTTCTGATACAAAATGTAATATCCTTAAGTTCACCAATATTATTATACATTCTGTGCAATCAAGAAATTCACTTAAGGCACATGACCAATAAATACTCTAGCACTGTCCACACAAAACAGTAAACATAGTGTAAAGCAATGCAAGCATGCTTGTGAAATTTGGCTCCTCACTAAATCCAGCTTCATGCTTAACTATATTTTAAAAAAATTGTCAAACTGCCGATGCATTTTTTTTTTTTTTGAGATGGAGTCTCGCTCTGTCTCCTAGGCTAGAGTGCAGTGGCACGATCTCAGCTCACTGAAAGCTCTGTCTCCCTGGTTCACGCCATTCTCCTGCCTCAGCCTCCCGAGTAGCTGGAACTACAGGTGCCCACCACCACACCCGGCTAATTTTTTTTATTTTTTGGTAGAGACAGGGTTTCACCGTGTTAGCCAGGATGGTCTCGATCTGACCTCGTGATCTGCCCTCCTCGGCCTCCCAAAGTGCTGGGACTACAGGTGTGAGCCACTGCGCCTGGCCGCATTTTTTAACAATACTTCTTATTTTGCTTTAATTAAGACTAAGAGCTTTTGGCCGGGTGTGATGGCTCATGCCTGTAATCCTACCACTTTGGGAGGCTGAGGCAGGTGGATCACCTGAGGTCAGGAGTTTGAGACCAGCCTGGCCAACGTGATGAAACCCGCCTCTACTAAAAATACAAAAATTAAACAGGTGTGGCAGCGTGTGCCTGTAATCCCAGCTACTTGGGAGGTTGAGGCAGGAGAACTGCTTGAGCCCAGGAGGTGGAGGTTTCAGTGAGCTGAGATCATGCCACTGCACTCCAGCCTGGGTGAGAGAGTGAAATGCCATCTCAAAACAAACTAAAAAAAGACTAAGAATGTTAATTAGCCAAATGTCTCCAATTCTCTATCAGGTTTTAAAAATATATTATTTAAACTTCTTCCATAGATGACTTCTGAATTAGAAAAAGAAAAATAATTCTTTTCTCACTAATAACATAGCCTTTGCTGGCACATTTTGTATACAGAATTACATGCTAACTAGAATTATTAACCTTAGTAACATAAAACTTTAGTGAAACCCTAAAAAGCAAGAATTCCTGAACTATCAGATATGGGCATTTATAGATAAAACAATTCCACAATTTAAAAAATATATTTTCCCATATCATAACCCTTTCTTAATCAGAAATGACCCAGATATTAAATGAGGAAAAATAAGATTGTAATTTACACAAAAGTTTACCTAAAACGTTTATCCCATTCATCTTACCAATTCTTTCACTTTTAACAAGGGAGACATGAGACAGCAATCAACATATGTAAAATGTATATTGGTTTGGTCTGGAAAGGCGAGAAAACTCAAAGTAGGGTAGGGGGATTGGGGCTTCCAGGTTCACAGGTAGGTGGGAGACAAATGATTATATTTTTCTGAGGTTCCAATTAGCCTTTCCAAAGGAAGGAATCAGATATGCATTTAGCTCAATGAGCAGAGGGATGACTTTGAATAGAATGGGAGGCAGGTTTGCCCTAAGCGTTCCCAGCTTGAATTAACAATGACATTTTAAAATATCTAGCAAAGACAAACATAAAATTCAGATAAAATGTATGCTGACAATTCTGAAGGCATTTCTATTTTTATTTTACCAATAATTTTAAAGCTAGCTTGTTTAATAAAGTTATACTTAAGTCATGTAAACTTGAAAATTGCAAAATTGCGTAGACTTATCTACTTAATTTATGAGCACTCTTTTCTTTATAAGCCAATTTGGTAGACATAATAGACACAACATATAACAATAAATGTACTTACAAATAAACACATCTAGACATGTATACACACACATAAATGAAAAATCCAATAGCTTGGAAGCTTAGCCATGAGATAGCAATACAAGCTTGTCGGTTTTACATTGTTTGCCCTAATAATCCAATGAAGGCTGTGAATCAAAATTTCGGGTAAAGCCACCTCCAGGACAGTTTGATTTTTAAAGGCCAAACCTCCTCAGACTCCAAAGAGCACTGGGGCCAAACAGCAGCAAAGGAGGATGTCACATGTTAAGGCACAAAAACCTGGATTTATGCAATGCCACTTCACTTTATTTGACAATGAACTCCAGATTCCAAAAAATTTTGGAGCCAAACAGCATTGCAACTGCAAGAGAAAATTCTAAGGACTTATTACCAGACTTCAGAACCTCTGCCAAGAGCGTTCCCTTTGGGGAGGTTGAGGTCCTCAGGATCCCCCAGAGTGTCCTCCCATGGGGTCCAATCTTAGAGTGTCAGATGTCTCTGACCTTAGGTGGACACCAGTGCCACTTTGCACGCTTTCCCTCCAGAGCCTGTGAGCTTTCCTTTGGTCCCTGGGTGTAATCCCCAACTTTTAGCATTCTTATAATTTGATAAGGCCATGCTTTCCCATGCTTCTTGTTCCATGAACTTTAATAATAGGAATCAGAGGCTGGGTGGGGTTTCTTTTGCCCTTAGTCAGTTGAACAGGGGAAGGGAAGAATTTAGCATATGAAAAGAAGGTGTAGGTCGTCTGAAACATGTGTGAGTTTGCTCTGAGCTGTGCCACATGTAGGGATCAGGGAACACACCTGGAAAGGATACAAAAAAGGAGTCATTTCCCTTTCTGGGTAGGGCAATTATTCCCATTCGTTCCTATGCCTTCAGGCAATACCAGGAAGTGATCCCAGCCAATTGCCCTCAATTTCCAAGGAGCTACTAGGAAACAGCTGCTGAAAGACGGAAAAGGAAAAAAGAAATGATGAAAAAGACCCAGGTCCCTTAAGTGAACCGGTCGGTGGCGGTTAGGTGCCTCCACATGAAAACCCCTTAGTTTCACTGGCCACAGCCAGAAACTTGCAGTTGCTTCCATGTTTAGGCACTGCCCACGAAGGGTCCCAAGTAGGAGAGGAAAAGAGAAAGAGAGAGAGAGAGAGAGATTCCCCTGTATGGAGCCCAAATAGGAAAGGAAGAGAGAGAGAGAGAGAGAGAGAGAGAGAGAGAGAGAGAGATTGATTCCCCTGTATGGTGCAGAAAGGTAAGGGGAAAGGAGAAAAATCCTAAAATTTGGGCCTACTTTCTCCCGGAATTTCTCCTGGCTGGCTCACCAATGTATGTTACCAGTAGGGGCTGTCCAGGTTCTTGGTGTCTTCAACAAATAATTGGACAAAACATACAAACAAAGCAAGGAATGAATGAATGAATTTATTGAAAAAGTACACTCCACAGTGTGGAAGCGGACCTGGGCATAGGAGCTCAAGTGCCCCGTTACAGGATTTGTAGGGGTTTAAATACACTCTACCAGTTTCCATTAGTTACTTGGTGTACGCCCTATGTAAATGAGAGGTTTAAGTAAAGATACAAAGGTTTACTAGGTGTACGCCTTATGAAGAGGATATTTCCTGTCATATCTGAAGTGTGAATTGGCCTTATGTTCCCTGCCTCCAGACACTATTTTCCTGCCTCAAGTATATGACTCATTAATTATTTCATATTGTTTCATTTGTTAAAATAGGCATTTGTTATTTGTTTCTCCAGTAACACATTTCCTCTTCAGGCAGCAGACCCTATTGGTTGGGAGTGGGAGGTAGGAAAGATATCACTCTTTCTCCACTTTCAATCCATAGTTTTGTGAGGTTACTCTACAGGAAACTTCCAGGGGAGGAGAATGCTCCAGCCTGGGAGATAAGAGTTAAACTCCATAAAAAAGAAAGAAAGAAAGAAAAGAAAGAAAGACAGAAAGAGAGAAAGAAAGAAAGAAAGAAAGGGAGAAAGAGAGAAAGAAAGAAGGAAAGAAAGAAAGGAAAGAAAGAAAGAAAGAGAAGAAAGAAAGAAAGAAAGAAAGAAAGAAAGAAAAGAAAAGAAGAGTGGAAAAATGTCCATCACTTGTCAACCACAAGTAAAGCTATAACTATATAGCCCCTGCAGCTGCTGGCAGACAAAATGGAACCCTTAGAAGGCAGAGGAGGCAGAGCCAAAAGAAAGAAAGGATCCAGTCTGAGGGTGTCATTTCAAGCCTTATGTCCAACTGCGCTGAAACCCCATCTTCCAAAGACCATTCAAACTATTTAACCCAATACATTCTCCTCCTCAGATGCATTTACATCTGCTTAAATGTTTTATATAACTTGCAATGTAGAGTTCTCAAAAATGGTTAGTATTTTCAATTAATGTTTAACTCACTTTTCAGTCACCATTACTGGTGAGAAAAATCCTTAAGGATTTTTCTTCCCCATCTTTCTTTCTGTCTCTCCTCTTCGTTCCTTTCTTTCTTTTTATTTCTCTCACTCTTTTTTCTTTCTCCTTCTTTGATACATTCTTCCATTCATTTGTTTGCTACTTCATCCTATTTTCCATGTAATATTATGTCATTGTTTTAAGTACTGTGGAGGTTACGAAGACTTCTGAGACATCAATAATGGCCAGCTTGTGATCTAGGGGATAAACATGTACATTATCTCACGCTACAAATACAAAAGGTCTAGGAGGAAAAAACACACACACTCCAGGTAGAAGGAGTAAAGAAAACCAGACATAAAGTGGCACTGATATGGATTTTAAGAATTACATATGCTTTCAATGTAAAAAATTGTGAGGAAAGGCATTTCAAGCAGAGAAAGCCACATGAAAAAAGTCATGTAGCAGGAAAAATGGAATCTGTACAAGGAAAACAAATATTTTACTTTGGCTGAAAATTTATGTCACGTTAAGAAGTCTGGATTTTATATAGTACATCCAGAACACAGCACAAGGTTTATTTTTTCCCCCCCTCTGGCAGCTTTCCATGAGTCAAGCTTTAAGTGAAAAAAACAACAACAAAAACAAAACAACAACAACAAAACAAACCTGTCTACCACTTAAAATTCTTTGGCCCTGGGAAAATTTTTGCTATGTGATTACATTATCATTCATTTGTCTCACAAACAATAAATTTTGAAAGTAAGAACCAGGGACGTTGAGCTTTTGCAATACTGGTCACTTGACATCTCTGCCAGATGAATTTGCTTTAAACATTCAGAAACCTCTTAATTTGTAAATCATTTAAGGTTAACCCCATAGGAAGCAAATTAGTATGTGATTTTAAAAAAGCAGTTAATTTGAATAGTATTATGAAAATCTTATTTTTCCTTTTCAAACACATAGAAAATGTAACACATTCAGTATCCAGGACCCCGCTTCACTAGGGAAAGAGATAATAATGAAGGCATGTGCAAAGTGGGGCAGGGAGCCTTGTGGTTAGAAGTTTTTATTGCCTGAGAATCACAGAAGCATTGACTGTCTGTGTGACATAGAACCTTAAATGTCATTTGATACTTATGTTTGAATAGATTCAATAACTCTGCTTTCCAACATAATTGACACTAGTTACGTAGTTAAAATTAAATTTATATTAATTAAAATACAAATGTAGCTCCTTAACCACATTACCTACATTTCAAAAGCTCAATAACTATGTTACTAGTGACTCAGTATTAGAAGCATCGATGTTTACATTATAGTAGAAAGTTTTATTTAATAGTGTTGTTCTATAACATTTCAACAAATGCTTTGAATCAATTCTTCTGTAACATAGAATTCACCATCCACTGAGGGAGTTGCCTCCTTTTAGGGAGTGATTCTGTCTCTTTTACTGGAAAGAATACCTGTCTTATTGATGCTTTTTACACTCTAGTTCTCATTTGATTCATCAGGGACATATAAACTAAAACTATCTTTCATTTGTTAGTACTTTATAAGACCAAATTTTAAATCCTTTTACAAGATTCTTAGGTGTTTAACATCTTCTCTTTGCAACAATTCAAGTTTCTTTAGGCACCAAATGCAAAAGAGGAAGGATAAATAAGAAATTCCTGCAAATTTCAGAATAAAAATCTAGTAGAAACCTAGTAATAATAATTATTATTTTATCACAATAAATTGCATATAGTTGGCAATAAATCTTTTTAGACATGAGCCTTTTTAAAAATGGTAAGTTATAACTATAAAAGTAATAGGCTATAATAAATTGAAATATGTTTATGGTTGTTTGTTAAATATAAAACATTGATATGCTGGCACAGATTTTGTTATAAATGCCTAGCATAATGACCACTATATAACAGACAAAACAAATGTTGAATGAATTGAAATAATATTGTAATAAAGTAATATAAATGGTTGAATGATTATCATTTTGTCTGCATTTAGCATGCCTGACAATCAAGACTTTAGAGTTTCTGCTTCTGTGTGGCAACTAGGGGATCAGGTCAGACTCAGAAATGGTGGAACACAGAAATTCTGTGTTCTTCAGCTGGCCGTTGGCTGCCACCACTCTTCAGAGCCACCTGCCGTGGATTATGCTGAGTGTCACTGACCAGGCTTTTCAACAACATTGTGAGGGAGTATTAATACCTGTATCATTAATGAAAATACTGTGGCAAAGAGAACAAGTAATTTGGGCTAGGTCACATAGCACGTTCTGGGAAATTCTAGATTGTTTAATAACCATGGACTCTAAGTACAGTGGTAACAGTAAAGAAATCCCTCACTTCATGAATCTATTAGTGCAGGATTATTGCAAGAAGTTGGCATCTCTGTTCCCAAAGGCTAAGTGGCAAAGTCACCAAATGAAACTTGCACAATGGCAAAAAAATTAGGCATTAACTTAAGAAAAACTTATGCCATCTTGATAGCATAATTCCGATAAGATGTGAGCTTTTCTTCCAGTTTGATGTCAACTTTAAGCTTGTTTTAGAAAATACGTTTTCTTTGCTTAAATGATAATGTGCAACTTTACAATTGTTGGAATTCTACAATTAATATGAGATGATTAGGAGACCCCATAATACTAGTGACTTAGGAATAACTTCTATTGGCATTAGGAAGCTGAAGTCCTATTTTTAGTTAAAATAAAATTATGGGGGAGGAAATTCTATTTACTACTCTGTATCTTAAAAGATGGAGGCTGTAATGATTCTTCCAAAAAATGGTGAAAGAAAATCTTGACTATTTATTTCATTGTAAAGAAAGGTCCGATACTTCCACCTCTTTTCTGGATGTACAAAATATAAAACCAAAGGAAAAAAAAAGTTGAGCACCAGAATGCATGCTCCATGAAGGCAGGGTTTCTTTGTCTTATTTGTTCTTCAATATATCCCACAATCTTAGAAGAGCACCTGACACTTAGGTAATCAGTGAATATTAACATTTATTAAGTGAACAAAAACCGACCTTAGAAATCAAATTCAAATGTATATTCCAATTACAGTTTGAGGTGTTCAATTAGTCCAAACCATGAAGGAGTTTTCGAAGATAGTGATTTCACCCATTAGATTCAAAAAGAGTCAATGTTGTTAGTTAAGTATATCATCCTTGTAAACTGCTATTTACTCATGATTCTTGGGCATACTTGAATGACACTTTTATTTGCCCAAAAATGAATCTTAAAAAATTCCTGTTTGTTTCACAATGAGTAATTTTTTCCTTGGGTTAATTTTTAGATTTTTAAAAATTAAAATAAAATACTATAGGGCCTTTCACAACAAATAAAAACTAGTTAGAAACTATTGTGCAGCCCAGTTAAAAAACAAAGCAATAATAAATTTTATGCTATTATATTCAGTCAATTTTTATTCAATTATTTGATCTTGACTTATTTATCTAGGTTTTTTTTTCAGAAAACAAATGACTGAAGGCAATATATATAATTTACAGCTAAATTTTCAATAAAATATATGTAATATATAATTTAGCTAATTAAGAGAATATTTATACTCATTATACTTTTTAAGTTTTTCTGCAACCATGCAGAACATAGAGCTTTATTTTTGTTGTTGTTATTTAATATTTGAACCACCTCTGATGAAATGCAGAATTGCTTTTGACATGTTGAGTACGGAAATATGGGGTTTCCAGAGTGCATTCAGATTTGGAAGTAAATCTACTAATTTTACTACAGTTGGCATAATACAACAATGATTTCTTGCCTATGACACCAAAAGCACAGATAACAAAAACAAAAATATACAGGTGAAAAGATATCAAACTAAAAAGTTTCTGTATGTGAAATAAAACAATCAATGAAATAAAAAGGCAACCTATAAATGGAAGAAAATATTTGCAAATCATAAATCTGATAAGGGGTTAATTTTCAAAATATGCAAGGAACTACTACAATTCATTAGAAAAAAATTAAAAATGAGCAAATAACTTGTACAGAAATTTCTTTAATTGTATTAAAAGATTTTTTAACATCATTAATTAACAGGGAAATGCAAATCAAAACTATAATGAGGTATCACCTTTTACCTGCTAAAATGACTGTTATCAGAAAGTCAAAAGATAGCAAATATTGTTCAGTGTATTAAGGTTCTCCAGAAAGACAGAAGCAATAGGATATATTAAATATAGGTATCTGATAGGAGATTTATTAGGGGAATTGGCTCACATGATTAGGGAGGCTGAGAAGTTCCGTGACAGGCTGTCTGTGAGTTGGAGACTCTGTGGCACTGATAGCATGCCTCAGTCCAAATCCAAAAGCCTCAGAATCAGACAAGACAAGGTATAATTCTCAATCTAGGGGGATGCTCATGTGAGTCCTGGAATCCCAAGGCCAGAGAGACTGGAGTTTTAATGTCCAAGAGGAGAAGGAGGAGAGTGCTGAAGGAAAGAGAGAGAGACAAAATCCTTTTCTCCTTTTCTGTTCTACCCAGGACCCAATCAATTTGGATGGTGCCTGTTCACATTGAGGGTGGGTCTTCCCCACTCAGTTTACTGACTCACATGCCAATGTCCTATGAAAACACTCACAGACACACCTGCATGTAATGCTTTATCTCTAGCTATTTCTTTATCCAGTCAAGTTGACACCTAAAATTAACCATCACAGAGAGAATGTGGAGAATGGTGCAGTCACTAAGGAAAATAGCATAGAGATTCCTCAAAATATTAAGAATAGAATTATCGTATGATCTAGTGTATCAGTCCATACCTGAGACTGGGCAATTTACAAAAGAAAGAAATTTAACCGGACTTAGAGTTTCACATGGCTAGGAAGGCCTCACAATCATGGCAGAAGGCAAGGAAGAGCAGCCACATCTTACTTGGATGGCGACAGGCAAAATGAAAGCCTGTGCAGGGAAACTTTCCCTTATAATCCCATCAGATCTTGTGAGATTTATTCACTATCATTAGAACGGCATGGGAAAGACCTGCCCCTATGATTCAGTTACCTCCCACCGGGTCCCTTCCACAACATGTGGGAATTCAAGATGAGAATTAGGTGGGGAAACAGCCAAACCATACCATTCCACCCCAGGCCCCTCCAAATCTCATGTCCTCACATTTTAAAACCAGTCATGCCTTCCCAACAGTCTCCCAAAGTCTTAACTCATTTTAGCATTAACTCAAAAGTCCAACTCCAAAGTTTCATCTGAGATAAGGCAAGTCCCTTCTGTCTATGAGCCTGTAAAATCAAAAGCAAGTTAGTAACTTCCTAGATACAATGGGGTTACAGGCATTGGGTAAATACAGCCATTCCAAATGGAATAACTTGGCCAAAACAAAGGGACTACAGGCCCCATGCAAGTCCGAGATCCAGCGGGGCAGTCAAATCTTAAAGCTCCAAAATGATCTCCGTTTTCTCCATGTCTCACATCCGGGTCACACTGATGCGAGAGGTGGAGTCCCAAGGTCTCAGGCAGCTCCGCCCCTGTGGCTTTGTTGGGTACAGTCTCCCTCTTGGCTGCTTTCACAGACTGACATTGAGTGTCTGCGGCTTTTCCAGGTACATGGAGCAAGCTGTCAGCAGATCTACCATTCTGGGGTCTGGAGGATGGTGTCGCTCTTCTCATAGCTCCACTAGGTGGTGTCCCAGTAAAGACAGTGTGTGTGGGCTCCAACACCATATTTCCATTCTGCACTTACCTAGCAGAGGTTCTCCATGAGGACTCCGCCCCTATAGCAAACTTCTGCCTAGGCATCCAGGCATTTCCGTACATCTTTTGAAATCTAGGCAGAGGTTCCCAAACCCCATTTGACTTCTGTCCACTCGCCGGCTCAACACCATGTGAAAGCTGCCAAGGTTTGAGGCTTGCACCCTCTGAAGCCATGGCCCAAACTCTACCTTAGCCCCATTCAGCCATGGCCAGAGCAGCTGGGACGCAGGGCACCAAGTCCGTAGACTGCACACAGCACAGGGACTCTGGGCCCAGTCCGTGAAACCACTTTTTCCTCCTAGGCCTCTGGGCCTGTAATGGAAGTGGCAGCTGCAAATGTCTCTGACATGCTCTGGAGACATTTTCCCCATTGTCTTGGGGATTAACATTCAGCTCCTCGTTATTTATGCAAATTTATGCAGCTGGCTTGAACTTCTTCTCAGAAAATGGGATTTTCTTTTCTATCGCATTGTCAGGCTGCAAATTTTCCAAACTTTTATGCTCTGTTTCCCTTTTGAAACTGAATGCCCTTAACAGCACCCAAGTCACCTCTTGAATGTTTTGCTGCTTAGAAATTTCTTCCACCAGATATCCTAAATCATTTCTGTCAAGTCCAAAGTTCCACAAACCTCTAGAGTAGGGGCAAAATGCTGCCAGTCCCTTTGCTAAAACATAACAAGAGTCACTTTTGCTCCAGTTCCCAACAAGTTCCTCATCTCCATCTGAGACCAACTCAGCCTGGACTTTATTGTACATACCATTATCAGCATTTTGTTCAAAGCCAGTAAAAAAGTCTTTAGGGAGTTCCATACTTTCCCACATTTTCCTGTCTTCTTCTGAGCCCTCCAAACTGTTCCAACCTCTGCCTGTTACCCAGTTCCAAAGACACTTTCACATTTTTAGTTATCTTTTCAATAGCACCCCACTCTACTGGTACCAATTTACTGTATTAGTCTGGTTTCATGCTGCTGATAGACATACATGAGACTGGGCAATTTACAAAAGAAAGATGTTTAACTGGACTTACAGTTTCACATGGCTAGGGAGGCCTCACAATCATGGCGGAAGGCAAGGGGGAGCAAGTCACATTTTACTTGGATGGCAACAGGCAAAGAAAGAGTTTGTGCAGGGAAACTCCCCCTTATAATCCCATCAGACCTTGTGAGACTTATTCATTATCATGAGAATGGCATGGGAAAATCCTGCCCCCTTGATTCAATTACCTCCCACTGGGTGCCTCCCAAAACACAAGAGAATTCAAGATGAGATTTGAGTGGGGACACAGCCAAACCATATCAATCTAGCAATTCCAAATAATTAAAATCTCTATCATGAAGAGATATCTGCATCCCACGTTGATTGCAGTGATATTCACAATAGCTAAGACATGAAAACAACACAAGTTTCTATGGATGGATGAATAGATAAAGAAAACATGGTCTATATGTACAATGGAGTATTAGCCTTTAAAAGAAGGAAATACTATCATTTGCAACAACATAAATAAACATGTAACCATGTAGGACATTATGCAAAATGAAATAAGCCAGTCACAGAAAGACAAATACTGCATGATTCCACTTATATGAATTATCTATAACAGTTAAATTCATAGAGTCAAATAATTCATTAGTGGTTTCCAGGTGATAGGGGTTGGGGAAATTGGGAGTTGTTAAATGGGTATCAAGTTTTAGTTATGTGAGATGAATAAGTTCTCAAGATCTGCTGTACACCATGTGCCTATAGTTAACAATATGGTATTGTGCACTTTAAAATTCCATAAGAGGGTACATCTTATGTTATGTGTTCATATTACATGCAAAGAAGCAAAACAAACAAAGAAACAGAAAACAAAAGGACACAATGACATTTGGAATGTATTGGATATGTCAGTTACCTTAATTGTGGAGATGGTATCACAGTTGCATGCATATGTCCAAACTCATCAAATTGTACACATTAAATATATGTAGTTCTTTATATTTCAATTGTACCTCGATAAAAATTGTTTAAAAATAAAAGCATGATATTGCTTATGTAGACAAAGCAAACATTAAACTATTGTTTCTCAAAAAATGGTCCTCATGAATGAAAGCATGTTGCAATGTCATAAATAAATTCCATGAATAAATTTTTAATACAAAATACACACTATTCTTTATTTCAGAAAATGTTTGAAGTTATAACTGCACATTTTAATAAACACTGAGCTCTTCCTTTGTGCAAATACTTTTCTATAGGTTTTTATATTATAAATTTTAGAATTTTATTGTAACTCTTTAAAAGATTGTGTAGTGTTTTTAGATTTGTAAATTTTATCTTAATTTTATATGCTACACAGAACAATGTTTCTTATGACAAGTTTATAATACAAATGCCTAGCTAGCAGAATTCCATATATTCAATAAATACTCTGAATTGTCATGAATTAAATTCAGAAGATATAATTTTCTGTTGACACATTTTGTCATGCAAGAAAGCATTATATGGATATTTGTAGTAAAAGTATATATGTATGTATATATGTGTTTTTATGTTGCAGCTAAATATATATATGTTGTAATTTAAAAATACTTTTTGATTAATAATCCAGTATAACTTAATAAGCAGGTTGGTAGTCAAATTAATTCTATGAACATTCATTCTCAACTGATATTGTTAATCACTCTGACATCTAAATAAAAGTAAATTTCCAAGGCTACTTCTATAAAACAATACAGTTTAGTGATTCTGATTCCAATATGTTACCAGCTTTGACTTTATGGAATATGAACTGCTTATAAAGATAAAATGGTGGAAAATGCATTCACTATTTATTGGAACTAATTATCTTCTCCGTACTACTTTTTAATGATTACTTCTGCTTTATTTGGAATGAATAATTGAATCAATTTTTGGGGGGAGAATAAAGAACTTTATTAAAAAGTTTTGAAAAATAGGAATTAGAACCAATCTCTGTTGTAAAAACATCCCTTGTATTAAAATAACTATTGTCACTTCTAGTTTTTGCAGGGTTAAAGCAATAAATGTAGACTACATTGACTCTGTATGCCATACAGTATGAAAAAACGATGACTTTTTCTTGTCAGTGATAGGGAGCTATTGAAGGTGAGGGAGTGACATATTTGTATTTGTAATTTAGGTGATGAACTGGTGATACTGGTGAGCATAGCTGGAGGGGAGGAGGCAATACAGGTTACTATTCAATAAAGGTGAAAAATGATGGAGCCATAAACAAAAAGTTTTATAAACCTGGAATAGGCAGGGAGTAGAAAACAAGATATTTCATTTACATTATGATGGACTACAGATACCATTTATGAGGTTGTTTGCTATAGATGTAAGAGATAGAGGAAAGCATATTTCAATCTTTACCAGACAGTTAATGAGTCCAGCAAAGCTTTCCTAATAGTCTCATATTATATCTTACATCATTTTACTCACTGCCCTTACATTTCCTGAACCTTAGTCCCTGTGTAAGGCAATAAGCTACACTTCAGGTAATCTTTGTGCCTGAGAAAAAGAAATGATGGTGTATCATTTGAAAAGAATGTCATAATTTTCTATACTACCATTGAAAGAACATTTTCACACTGTCTTATGTCAGTTTCCTAGGTTTATTAAGATATTGAACTTCTCAGGATAAACAACTGTTGGGTAATGGATGAAGTAGAATTGGATAGAAGGAGATGAATTGAAATTAGAAGCAACAAAGTCCTTGGCTCTGAGGCTGTCATGGCCCTTCAGTGTATGCCATATTTGAGGCAAAGCAGTCAAAATTTTTACCTTTATTTACTAGCCTTTGGATGTTTTACCTTTATTTACTAGTCTTTCAGGGAAAAATAAGTCTTGGACAGGATACTTTGGCCCAGTTCCTGGAGAGGGACGCAGCTGAGAGTGCTTCGACCACCAGTACATCCCCACTCCACCAGGCTTGATGCCTTGATATAAGTGTTTCAGTCCTGTAAGCAAAATCTGGACAAAATATCATTGCATCTACTACAAAATGAAAGACAGAAAATAACTTAAGAATTTTCAAATTATGGGCTGAGCATCCCAAATCTGAAAACCCAAAATCCCAAATCTCCAAAATCTGAAACTTTTTGAGAACCAACATATCATTCAAAGAAAATGTTCATAGGAGCATTTCTGATTTTTGGATCTGGGATATTCCACCAGTATAAAGCAAATATTTCAAAATCCAAGGAAATTTGAAATCCAAAACACTTGTGTTCCTAAGCATTTTGGATAAAAGATACTCAATTTATGCTGCCAAACACACATACACACACACACACACACACACACACACACATACACAGAACAAAATCAACAATGACAAAAAACCAAACCAGAAAGACAGTTCACTTTATGGGAATTGGTTTCTCTTTGATTTATGTTTATATCACATTTTTGAAAGAGGAAAATAAAGATAAAGGTCATGATAGCTGCATTAGTATGGATTGATCTGGCTCTGTGAACTGAATCCCCTAAATGAGAATTTCTAGAGTAGTTAAAATAGAAAGAACTTTTTAACAGGGACTTTGATTGATCACCATAACCTATACAAGCTTTTGCCTTAGTGATATGGTGAAGATGAAATGCTACAGCTTGTTTGAAATGAAGAATGGTATTTAGAAAGAACATTTTCTCCTGTTCATCGGACAATGTAGAGACTTAAGAGTCACGGCAACTTTCTGTTCTTTGTGCCTAGAATTTATTTCTGCTTACTATTATAAGAGCTAAAGTTCTCTGCTGAGGCAATTCTCAACTAAATCTCTTTTTCTTCCTGTAGTTATTGGGTTCAAAATCAAGTGAAATTCTTCACCTATTATATTTTATGAGAAAGGAAATTTAATTAATAATTTTCTTTTTCTCTTTTTTTTCTTTTTTTCTTTTTTATTTTTATTTTTTTATTATTATACTTTAAGTTTTAGGGTACATGTGCACATTGTGCAGGTTAGTTACATATGTATACATGTGCCATGCTGGTGCGCTGCACCCACTAACTCGTCATCTAGCATTAGGTATATCTCCCAATGCTATCCCTCCCCCCTCCCCCGACCCCACAACAGTCCCCAGAGTGTGATGTTCCCCTTCCTGTGTCCATGTGGTCTCATTGTTCAGTTCCCACCTATGAGTGAGAATATGCGGTGTTTGGTTTTTTGTTCTTGCGATAGTTTACTGAGAATGATGATTTCCAATTTCATCCATGTCCCTACAAAGGACATGAACTCATCATTTTTTATGGCTGCATAGTATTCCATGGTGTATATGTGCCACATTTTCTTAATCCAGTCTATCATTGTTGGACATTTGGCTTGGTTCCAAGTCTTTGCTATTGTGAATAATGCCGCAATAAACATACGTGTGCATGTGTCTTTATAGCAGCACGATTTATAGTCCTTTGGGTATATACCCAGTAATGTGATGGCTGGCTCAAATGGTATTTCCAGTTCTAGATCCCTGAGGAATCGCCACACTGACTTCCACAATGGTTGAACTAGTTTACAGTCCCACCAACAGTGTAAAAGTGTTCCTATTTCTCCACATCCTCTCCAGCACCTGTTGTTTCCTGACTTATTAATGATTGCCATTCTAACTGGTGTGAGATGGTATCTCATTGTGGTTTTGATTTGCATTTCTCTGATGGCCAGTGATGATGAACATTTTTTCATGTGTTTTTTGGCTTCATAAATCTCTTCTTTTGAGAAGTGTCTGTTCATGTCCTTCACCCACTTTTTGATGGGGTTGTTTGTTTTTTTCTTGTAAATTTGTTGGAGTTCATTGTAGATTCTGGATATTAGTCCTTTGTCAGATGAGTAGGTTGCAAAAATTTTTCCCATTTTGTAGGTTGCCTGTTCATTCTGATGGTAGTTTCTTTTGCTGTGCAGAAGCTCTTTAGTTTAATTAGATCCCATTTGTCAATTTTGGCTTTGGTTGCCATTGCTTTTGGTGTTTTAGACATGAAGTCCTTGCCCATGCCTATGTCCTGAATGGTAATGCCTAGGTTTTCATCTAGGTTTTTTATGGTTTTAGGTCGAACGTTTAAGTCTTTAATCCATCTTGGATTGATTTTTGTAGAAGGTGTAAGGAAGGGATCCCGTTTCAGCTTTCTACATATGGCTAGCCAGTTTTCCCAGCACCATTTATTAAATAGGGAATCCTTTCCCCATTGCTTGTTTTTCTCAGGTTTGTAAAGATCAGATAGTTGTAGATATGTGGCGTTATTTCTGAGGGCTCTGTTCTGTTCCATTGATCTATATCTCTGTTTTGGTACCAGTACCATGCTGTTTTGGTTTCTGTAGGCTTGTAGTATAGTTTGAAGTCAGGTAGCATGATGCCTCCAGCTTTGTTCTTTTGGCTTAGGATTGACTTGGCGATGCGGGCTCTTTTTTGGTTCCATATGAACTTTAAAGTAGTTTTTTCCAATTCTGTGAAGAAAGTCATTTGCAGCTTGATGGGGATGGCATTGAATCTCTAAATTACCTTGGGCAGCATGGCCATTTTCACGATATTGATTCTTCCTACCCATGAGCATGGAATGTTCTTCCATTTGTTTGTATCCTCTTTTATTTCCTTGAGCAGTGGAATGTAGTTCTCCTTGAAGAGATCCTTCACATCCCTTGTAAGTTGGATTCCTAGGTATTTTATTTTCTTTGAAGCAATTGTGAATGGGAGTTCACTCATGATTTGGCTCTCTGTTTGTCTGTTGTTGGTGTATAAGAATGCTTGTGATTTTTGTACATTGATTTTGTATCCTGAGACTTTGCTGAAGTTGCTTATCAGCTTAAGGAGATTTTGGGCTGAGACAATGGGGTTTTCTAGATATACAATCATGTCATCTGCAAACAGGGACAATTTGACTTCCTCTTTTCCTAATTGAATACCCTTTATTTCCTTCTCCTGCCTAATTGCCCTGGCCAGAACTTCCAACACTATGTTGAATAGGAGTGGTGAGAGAGGGCATCCCTGTCTTGTGCCAGTTTCCAAAGGGAATGCTTCCAGTTGTTGCCCATTCAGTATGATATTGGCTGTGGGTTTGTCATAGATAGCTCTTATTATTTTGAAATACGTCCCATCGATACCTAATTTATTGAGAGTTTTTAGCATGAAGCGTTGTTGAATTTTGTCAAAGGCCTTTTCTGCATCTATTGAGATAATCATGTGGTTTTTGTCTTTGGCTCTGTTTATATGCTGGATTACATTTATTGATTTGCATATGTTGAAACAGCCTTGCATCCCAGGGATGAAGCCCACTTGATCATGGTGGATAAGCTTTTTGATGTGCTGCTGGATTCGGTTTGCCAGTATTTTATTGAGGATTTTTGTATCAATGTTCATCAAGGATATTGGTCTAAAATTCTCTTTTTTGGTTGTGTCTCTGCCCGCGTTTGGTATCAGGATGATGCTGGCCTCATAAAATGAGTTAGGGAGGATTCCCTCTTTTTCTATTGATTGGAATAGTTTCAGAAGGAATGGTAACAGTTCCTCCTTGTACCTCTGGTAGAATTCAGCTGTGAATCCATCTGGTCCTGGACTCTTTTTGGTTGGTAAGCTATTGATTATTGCCACAATTTCAGATCCTGTTATTGGTCTATTCAGAGATTCAACTTCTTCCTGGTTTAGTCTTGGGAGAGTGTATGTGTCGAGGAATTTATCCGTTTCTTCTAGATTTTCTAGTTTATTTGCGTAGAGGTGCTTGTAGTATTCTCTGATGGTAGTTTGTATTTCTGTGGGATCGGTGGTGTTATCCCCTTTATCATTTTTTATTGCGCCTATTTGATTCTTCTCTCTTTTTTTCTTTATTAGTCTTGCTAGTGGTCTATCAATTTTGTTGATCCTTTCAAAAAACCAGCTCTTGGATTCATTAATTTTTTGAAGGGTTTTTTTGTGTCTCTATTTCCTTCAGTTCTGCTCTGATTTTACTTATTTCTTGCCTTCTGCTAGCTTTTGAATGTGTTTGCTCTTGCTTTTCTAGTTCTTTTAATTGTGATGTTAGGGTGTGAATTTTGGATCTTTCCTGCTTTCTCTTGTGGGCATTTAGTGCTATAAATTTCCCTCTACACACTGCTTTGAATGCATCCCAGAGATTCTGGTATGTTGTGTCTTTGTTCTCGTTGGTTTCAAAGAACATCTTTATTTCTGCCTTCATTTCGTTATGTAGCCAGTAGTCATTCAGGAGCAGGTTGTTCAGTTTCCATGTAGTTGAGCGGTTTTGAGTGAGATTCTGAATCCTGAGTTCTAGTTTGATTGCACTGTGGTCTGAAAGATAGTTTGTTATAATTTCTGTTCTTTTACATTTGCTGAGGAGAGCTTTACTTCCAAGTATGTGGTCAATTTTGGAATAGGTGTGGTGTGGTGCTGAAAAAAATGTATATTCTGTTGATTTGGGGTGGAGAGTTCTGTAGATGTCTATTAGGTCCGCTTGGTGCAGAGCTGAGTTCAATTCCTGGGTATCCTTGTTGACTTTCTGTCTCATTGATCTGTCTAATGTTGATAGTGGGGTGTTAAATGCTCCCATTATTAATGTGTGGGAGTCTAAGTCTCTTTGTAGGTCACTCAGGACTTGCTTTATGAATCTGGGTGCTCCTGTATTGGGTGCATATATGTTTAGGATAGTTAGCTCTTCTTGTTGAATTGATCCCTTTACCATTATGTAATGGCCTTCTTTGTCTCTTTTGATCTTTGTTGGTTTAAAGTCTGTTTTATCAGAGACTAGGATTGCAACCCCTGCCTTTTTTTGTTTTCCATTTGCTTGGTAGGTCTTCCTCCATCCTTTTATTTTGAGCCTATGTGTGTCTCTGCATGTGAGATGGGTTTCCTGAATACAGCACACTGATGGGTCTTGACTCTTTATGCAATTTGCCAGTCTGTGTCTTTTAATTGGAGCATTTAGCCAATTTACATTTAAAGTTAATATTGTTATGTATGAATTTGATCCTGTCATGATGATGTTAGCTGGTTATTTTGCTCGTTAGTTGATGCAGTTACTTCCTAGTCTCGATGGTCTTTACATTTTGGCATGATTTTGCAGTGGCTGGTACCGGTTGTTCCTTTCCATGTTTAGTGCTTCCTTCAGGAGCTCTTTTAGGGCAGGCCTGGTGGTGACAAAATCTCTCAGCATTTGCTTGTCTGTAAAGTATTTTATTTCTCCTTCACTTATGAAGCTTAATTTGGCTGGATATGAAATTCTGGGTTGAAAATTCTTTTCTTTAAGAATGTTGAATATTGGCCCCCACTCTCTTCTGGCTTGTAGGGTTTCTGCCAAGAGATCCGCTGTTAGTCTGATGGGCTTCCCTTTGAGGGTAACCCGACCTTTCTCTCTGGCTGCCCTTAACATTTTTTCCTTCATTTCAACTTTGGTGAATCTGACAATTATGTGTCTTGGAGTTGCTCTTCTCGAGGCGTATCTTTGCGGCATTCTCTGTATTTCCTGAATCTGAACGTTGGCCTGCCTTGCTAGATTGGGGAAGTTCTCCTGGATAATATCCTGCAGAGTGTTTTCCAACTTGGTTCCATTCTCCCCATCACTTTCAGGTACACCAATCAGACGTAGATTTGGTCTTTTCACATAGTCCCATATTTCTTGGAGGCTTTGCTCATTTCTTGTTATTCTTTTTTCTCTAAACTTCCCTTCTCGCTTCATTTCATTCATTTCATCTTCCATCACTGATACCCTTTCTTCCAGTTGATCGCATCAGCTCCTGAGGCTTCTGCATTCTTCACGTAGTTCTCGAGCCTTGGTTTTCAGCTCCATCAGCTCCTTTAAGCACTTCTCTGTATTGTTTATTCTAGTTATACATTCTTCTAAATTTTTTTCAAAGTTTTCAACTTCTTTGCCTTTGGTTTGAATGTCTTCCCATAGCTCAGAGTAATTTGATTGTCTGAAGCCTTTTTCTCTCAGCTCATCAAAGTCATTCTCCATCCAGCTTTGTTCCGTTGCTGGTGAGGAACTGTGTTCCTTTGGAGGAGGAGAGGCGCTCTGCTTTTTAGAGTTTCCAGTTTTTCTGTTCTGTTTTTTCCCCATCTTTGTGGTTTTATCTACTTTTGGTCTTTGATGATCGTGATGTACAGATGGGTTTTTGGTGTGGATGTCCTTTCTGGTTGTTAGTTTTCCTTCTAACAGACAGGACCCTCAGCTGCAGGTCTGTTGGAGTACCCTGCCGTGTGAGGTGTCAGTGTGCCCCTGCTGGGGTGTGCCTCCCAGTTAGGCTGCTCGGGGGTCAGGGGTCAGGGACCCACTTGAGGAGGCAGTCTGCCCGTTCTCAGATCTCCAGCTGCGTGCTGGGAGAACCACTGCTCTCTTCAAAGCTGTCAGACAGGGACATTTAAGTCTGCAGAGGTTACTGCTGTCTTTTTGTTTGTCTGTGCCCTGCCCCCAGAGGTGGAGCCTACAGAGGCAGGCAGGCCTCCTTGAGCTGTGGTGGGCTCCACCCAGTTAGAGCTTTCCCGGCTGCTTTGTTTGCCTAAGCACGCCTGGGCAATGGTGGGCGCCCCTCCCCCAGCCTTGCTGCCGCCTTGCAGTTTGATCTCAGACTGCTGGGCTGGCAATCAGCGAGACTCCGTGGGCATAGGACCCTCCGAGCCAGGTGCGGGATATAATCTCGTGTTGCGCGTTTTTTAAGCCTGTCAGAAAAGCGCAGTATTTGGGTGGGAGCGACCCGATTTTCCAGGTGCCGTCTGTCACCCCTTTCTTTGACTAGGAAAGGGAACTCCCTGACCCCTTGCACTTCCGGAGTGAGGCAGTGCCTCGCCCTGCTTCGGCTCGTGCAGGGTGCACACACCCACTGACCTGCGCCCACTGTCTGGCACTCCCTAGCGAGATGAACCTGGTACCTCAGATGGAAATGCGGAAATCACCCGTCTTCTGCGTTGCTCACGCTGGGAGCTGTAGACCGGAGCTGTTCCTATTCGGCCATCTTGGTTCCTCCCTCAAATAATTAATAATTTTCAAGCAGATGTTCACACCCACTTTTTGTTTGATTGAAACATATTAAGTGTTCACTGATCACTCTATTAGTACTTTAAATATTTTATAAGACCTCTCAATCTTTTATAGTTGAGAGAAAGTAAATATTAAAACAATTATTAAAATAACACAAAGAAAATAATGTAAACACTTTATAATCTCTCTAAGAATTTTAGAAACATGAAACAATTGCAATATAACCAGGAAGGACCAGCAATGTAACAGCTGAATAGTGAATAGCTGCATGAGGGAACTGATGATAAAAGAATCTTGATGCTGACCACGTCTTCAAAGTCAGAATGTAACTAGGGATAAGCCCTATGATTCTCTCATCCTTTGGTACATAAACTTAGTCATGAGAGGACTACAAAATAATAAATAGAAGAGGTGATTTTCTGACTTATATATGGTAAAAGATCTGCTTCTAACAAATAACATAAACAAACATGGAGAATATAAAACTACATGATTTAGGTTTTCAAAGAGACCCTAGTGATTAAACTCACTCATTTGACAAATAAGGATATTAAGGTCAAAAAAGTAACATTTCCCAATCAAAATAGCATCTGTAGAGGCATTGACACTCTTGCCTCTACTCTCCCAAATGTCCACCAGAGAACAAAGATGTAATCTTAGTATCTAGCACAAACCTTTTGTTTACCATGAATATGCTACCATGAACCCCATAATATTTTGCTGATTTCTAAAATGTTGAATAACAACTATTCATATATAGATCTATTGCTCCATCCATCTCTCAGTTTTTCTGTAAATTGTGGTATCTCTTATTTGTTTTGCTAAAGTAGCTATTGTCCACCTTGCATATTAATCTAATCACAGTGTATCATTGTCCCATTTTAAACATGAAATAAAGATAACTGGGTTATAGAGGTCAATTATCTTGTTCAAGGCCAAGTAATTATTTTGAGACAGATTCTGTTTCCAGACCCAAATGGCTCTAACTCCAACTTTGTTTCTTCATTCTAAATATTTGAATGGGCTTCTGATACCAAATAGAAACTCAATAATAGTGTGCTGAATTAATGAATGAATAAATAGTGGGCCAATAGTAGAATTTGTGTTAGAACATCTCCTCCTTGTAAATTTTAAGTGTGTTCTTTGCATTAATCAACACTATTTTCCCCAATTCTTCTATTGTATTTATTTAAAATTTCTTCTCTTTTAAAAAATTTAATTCCAGTAACATCTCTAAGAAACTGTTAATTTAAATGAGGCAAAACATCTCAACCTTTATTTAAATAAGAAATATAGCAGAGTCATAGACTGGGTTTCCTCCTCCTCTCCAAGCATGTGGGAAAGAAAGGAATTGTCAGTAATTCTCTCCTGGTTAATGAGAAAACGTATAAGCCTTCATTGTTTTAGAAAACAGAGATGTCAAAACAGAGATATCATATTAGATATTACCAAGGGCAACAAATTATTAGCTTACAATCAGTTAGAATCACAGATGTTAAGGAGGTTAAGACTTAGTTTCACAAGATATAGCAAACATACCCATAGTTCAGGATTCTTAGAATTGTTAAAATAACTCTTCAAAAACAGTTGCATAATGCAGAGTTACATCTGTTTTTCTACAGCTGTAAATGAGGAGGGGATAGTTCTTCTTTGTATCTTGCTGAGATTTCTTTCACTGCAGTTAGAAGGGTTTGTAGTTTTCAAGACCAAAGCTAGTTTCATTAGTTAGCTCCAAGAGAAGAAATGGTAGGCTAGGCCAAAGAAGCCCAAAAATCACAGCATGCAAAGGAAATGGCACAAAACAGGATAATTAAAAAACAGTATAGAACAAGCTGTATTTTTTTATCAACAAAGACTTCCCCAAATATTCTAGCTGCACAATTTTCTATCACTTTCTTGATTATCTTCACTAAACGTTAAACCATTTAATATTTTATTACATACTATCTCTTGGTATATAACTAGGTATATCTTATTTACCTACTTCATTTTCCATAATTTTTACTATAGAAATAACATGGTTCTTTAGGTCAGGATCCATAAGAGCTGTTCTACAGTGGCCTCTTGCAATAAATGAAATACTGCTTTGTAGGCATGATCTATCATGCTATATATCGAATAAAGGGAAAGAATGAGTCAAGATTAAAGATAGGGTGGTTTGACCAATAATAGTTAAGTTTCAGAAAAAAAAAATGGTTCCTATGAAATACATCTAACCCTTGTGTTCTATTTTAAAGAAAGCTTCATGTTGTTCAGTAGATAAGATGTATTCAATATTGTACACGCTAAAAATTATTATTCATCTTATGGTCTATTTTAGAGCCTTTTCAAAATGCTTTAAAATGCAAAATGTATTCACATGCAGGTTATCCTCTAAGAAAGATGGTTTACACATAAATATATATTAAAAATTAGCTATATAAGAAAAGAGCAACACTGAAAAACAAAACAGTAATCAGCAATGAGATATTTCCCACTGTTATTTAGCTTCACTGAGTGCAATATACAGTTTTTCCAACAAAGCAACATAGTACAATGGAAAGAAAACCATCTCTGGATTACCACAAATCTGACTTCAAATACTATTTTAAAAATCTACCTTCCTCATAACCTTGAGCAAACCATCTAATTTCTCTAAGACTCAGTCTTTTCAAATGTCAGATGGATAAAAACATTTTTTTCTTGTTTTTAGTCCAAAGTCATAAACATCTTCCAATGAGAGCATCTGATCAGCATGGATACTTTTACCACACTCAAATTTGTCACAAAGAGAATTCATGTTTTTATTAAAATTTGTCTAATCTTACTATAGATAACTGTACAATCCTTTTATGAATGTTACACCATTTTGAAGTACAGCAAATATTTATATAGCTTGATGAAACACACTTTGGGACAAATAAAATTTTGGGTCATCTAAAAGCACATTCCAAGAAGGGGCAAGATGGCTGACTAGATGCAGCTAGTACATACCTCTTTCATGGAGAGGAACCAAAATAGCAAGTAAATAATCACACTTAAAAGGCTGAGCGCAGTGGGTCATGCCTGTAAACCCAGCACTTTGGGAGGGAGAGGCAGGTGGATCATCTGAGGTCGGGAGTTCAAGACCAGCCTGACCAACATGGAGAAACCCCGTCTCTACTAAAAATACAAAATTAGCTGTGTGTGGTGGTGCATGCCTGTAATCCCAGCTATTAAGGAGGCTGAGGCAGGAGAATCACTTGAACCTGGGAGGTGGAGGTTGCAGAGATGGCACCATTACACTCCAGCCTGGGCAACAAGAGCAAATCTCTGTCTCAAAAAAAAAAAAGAAGAAAAAAGAAGAAAAAAGAAAGAAAAATCACAGTTAGAATACATCATCTGAGAGACAACACTGGGATTCAACAGAAGTGATAGGAAGCACCAAAAGCAAAGAAGAAGAGGAAAGCACAGCAGCCTGTTTGGTCAGGATCAGCTGGGGGCTGAGAAGGTCCGAGACATGGGGAAAGGGTAGGTGAGAGAACCCCAGGGCTCCATATTCTTTCCACAGACTTTCACAATCATAGTTGCAAGAGAGCCCCTCGACTTTCAAGGGCCTGCAAACTAACAAAGGGAGCCGTTTCAAAATTGCACAGAGGCACTGCTCCAGAGAGGGAACTCATGTTGAGTAGCACAAGCTTTTGAGCTGTGAGCAGCTACAGCATGGTACCGTTCTGAGAGCTCAGCCTTTAAAAGACTGGGGAGGGATAAGCTCTCCAAATTGGGGGGTGATGCCACCACTGTTGATGCTGGGCAAAAGAAAGAGCGGGGAGGCCAAGAACTTTCATGAGCCCCAAGGACAAATATGAACACCACTGCTGTTGGCTGCCATGGGACCAAAGCAGAATCAAATTTTGTACCCTACAGCTGCCTGTCTACATTGTGCCTACTGATAGTGGCTTCACCCTCCGTGGTGACAGGCCAGTAGCCAGCACCTGATGCCATTACTGCTGCTCCTGGAACAAGGAGGGAGAGTGTAGACTGGGCGCTTTTACATGCCCCAAGGACAAATATCACCACAATTGCTGCAAGCTTCTGTGGGACTAAGGCATGAGCAAACCGTGTGACCCACAGCTGCTTGCCTATGCAGCTCCCACTGAGAGTGGCACCATCCTCCCTGATGGCAGGCCCACAGAAGGGCCACTGCTGCCCCCATTGGAGCATTCTGCCGGTGACCTGGAAATCACCTTGTATTAGTCCATTCTTGCATTGCAGTAAGGAACTACCTGAGACTGAGTAGTTTATAAAGAAAAGAGGCTTAACTGACTCACAGTTCCACAGGCTGTACAGGAAGCATGGTTGGGGAGGCCTCAGGAAACTTACAATCATGGTGGAAAGTAAAGAGGAAAGAGGTATATCTTCACAGAGCAGAGAAGGAGGAAGAGATTGAAGGGGAAAGTGCTACACACTTTTAAACAACCAGATCTTGTGAGAACTCACTATCATGAGAACAGCAAGGAGGAAGTCTGCCCCCATGATTCAATTACCTTCCACCAGGCCCCTCCTCCAACACTGGGGACTACAATTTGACATGATATTTGGGCGGGGACACAGAGGCAAACCACATCACAGCCCATCCTGCCTATTATGGTCTGTGCCTGAACGCACTACCAGGGGACCTAAAGACAAGTTGGCTGGACTGTTCCCATCCCCCCAGTACTCAAGCACAACACCCAAGGTATTACCCAGCACAGTCCACCACTTTTGGCACCTGAAAACTCCTCCCGGGGTCTGAGGTCAGGACAACCCAATCTGCTGATACCACTACAGCTGTCGCCAACCTGCATGAGCCACCTGCATGCAAGGGACCTGGTTCATCTAATCCTTCATAGCCACTGTCAATACCAGCATGGACCACTTGGATTCCAGTGGGTTTCCTTATCACTGCTACTGCCATTGCCCACATCACACCCACTTCCCCAGGGCCCAAGCACCTCACCATATGCCTGGCCCACTGCTGGCACCTGAGCAAGTTGCCTGAAGTGCAAGAATAAGTCCTCCTGGTCCTCCTAACACTGGAGCCAGCATACACTGCTCTAGGGCTTAGGTGCAGGCATGCTCAGCCCACTGCTGCCACTGCTGGGACCCTCACTGGTCCACCTGGCATCCTAGTCCCCAGGAAAACTTTACCACACCTTCAATAACTGCACCTTGAGCCACTGAGGAGATCACAGATACCATTGATGCTGGTTGTGAAAGAAATCATACAAAGACAACACTACTGCATGCACACAATATCAAAACCAAAATGCCCTACCCCAACAACATATATAATTATCAGGAAAAAGTCCTTCCCTATAAAAGCAAAATCAAAAAATTGGAAGAATCAACAACTATTACACCAAATGTATAAATATCAATATAAGGGCACAGGAAACAAGAAAAAGCAAGGAAATACAACATCTCCAAAGAGACACAGTAATTCTACAACAAATCCCAATTTAAAAAATTACAAAATTCTGGATAAAGAATTCAAAATACTGATTTTAAAGAAGGTCAGTGAGATACAAGAGAATTCTAAAAAACCATACAGAAAAAACATTCAGGATATGAATGAGAAATTCACCAAAGAGACAGACATTTTTTAAATGACCAAAGAGAAATTCTGGAACTAAAGAATTCATTGAATTAAATAAAAAATACATTCAAAAGCTTCAATAATAGACTAGATCAAGCAGAAGAAGAACTCTCAGAACTTGAAAACAAGTCTTTTGAAATAATCCAATCAGACAAAAATAAAGAAAAAAGAATGAATAAAACCTTTATGACATTTTGAAAAACATAAAGTGACTGAATATATGAATTATAGGTATCCTGGGCTTTTTGGGGAGAGAATGAAAGGGTTAGGAAATCTATTTAATAAAATAATAAATGAAAAGTTTCCAAGACTAGCAAGAGACTTAGACATCCACACATAGGAGGCTCAAAATTCCCAAACAGATACAATGAAAATTATAGTCAAATGGCACATTATAGTCAAATTGTCTTAAGTCACAAGAGAAGATTCTAAAACCAGCAAGAGAAAGACATCTAGTCACCTATAACACCTGTAAAGGAACTCTCATCAGAATAACAGTGCATTTCTCAGCAGACACTTTACAAGCCAGGAGAGAATGGGATGACATATCCAAAGTGCTGAAAAAAATTGCCACCCAATTATATTATATCAATGAAAATTATGCTTTATAAATTAAGGAGAAATAGTCTTTCCCAGACAAGCAAATGGAAATTGATCACCACTAAACTGGTTATAAAAGAAATGCTGCAGGTCATCCTAAACCTGGAAATGAAAGGATGACATTTATCGTCATGAAAATCCAAGAAATTATAAAACTCACTGGTAAACCAAACACACAAATGAGAAAGATAAAGGACCCAAATGGTACAACTACAGAAAACCACCATACCAAAATGATAAGCAATAAGAATAAAATAAAGTAAAAAGGAATGTACAAAACAACCAGGAGACAACAATAGGACAGAAAAACTCTAACATATCAATAACAACCTTGAATGCAAATGAATTGGAAAATATAAACTGATAGAATGAATAAAAAAACATGATCCAACTATATGTTGCCTACAAGTAACACACTTTAACCTGTAAAGACACATACAGATTTAAGGAAAGGAATGAAAAATGATATTTTATGAAAACAGAAACCAAAAATGAGCAGGAGTAGCTATACTTATCTGAGATAAAACAAACTTTAAGTCAAAAATGATATTAAAAGAAAGGCAAAGAAGGTCACGATACATTGATAAAGGAATCAATTCAGAAAGAGGAAATAACCATTTTAAATATAAATGTACCTAACACTGGAATACTGAGATTCATAAAACAAATGTTACTAGATCTAAAGATTCAGATTGACTGCAATACAGTAACAGTGGGAGATTTAAATAACTCACTGTCAGCGTTAGACAGATTTTCTAAAATACAGTGGACTTAAACTGAATTTTAGACCAGATAGACCTAATAGACATTAACAAAACATTATATTCCAAACACCGCATGTTCTCACTCATAGGGGGGAGTTGAACAATGAGAACACTTGGACACAGGGCAGGTGTGAGGTCACAGGGCAGGGAACATCACACACTGGGGCCTTTTGGGGGCTAGGAGGCTGGTGGAGGGATAGCATTAGGAGAAATACCTAACGTAAATGATGAGTTGATGGGTGCAGCAAACCAACATGGCACATATATACCTATGTATCAAACCTGCACGTTGTGCACATGTACCCTAGAACTTAAAGTATAATACAAAAAAATTATAATCCATACAGAAATTGGAAAAAAAAAGTAGAGTCATTAGCATTTTGGGGACTAATCATATTAAGCAGCCAACTCCAGAAACCCCAAAACCAACTAAAGAACTCCATCCTTAATATTTTGCTCCTCTAGAACCACTCCTGGTGCCAAAATCTCTATTAGTCAAGGTTCCCTAGAAGGACAGAACTAATAGAGTGTCTGTGTGTGTGTGTGTGTGTGTGTGTGTGTGTGTGTGTGTATGGGAGTTTATTAGGAAGTATTAACTCATATGATCACAAGGTCTCACAATAGGCCATCTGCAAGCTGAGAAGCAAGGAAGCCAGTCTGAGTCTCAAAGCTGAAGAACTTGGGGTCCAATGTTTGAGGGCAGGAAGCAACAAGCACAGGAGAAAGATGTAGGCTGGGAGGCTAAGCCAGTCTAGCTAATTCATGTTTTTCTGCCTGTTTTGTATCCTGACCATGCTGGCAGCTGATTAGATGGTGCCCACCCAGATTAAAGGTGGGTCTGCCTTTCCCAGCCCCTTCACTCAAATGTTAATCTCCTTTGGTAACACCCTCACAGACATACTCAGGATCAATATTTTGCAGCCTTCAATCCAATCAATTTGACACTCAATATTAGCTATCACATATATTATTAAGCTTAACCCAATTAGTGAACTATATCTGCCTGAATTTTAATTGGAAGCTAGTTATACATAGTGTTTCATCAGAAATCACTTTTCTCTATTATTTTGACTAAACTAATTCAACTCAAAATAATATTGGTATATTTTGTGAATAAAAATTTGCTTATTTTAAAGCTTAGGAAATTGAATGCTTTTTCTGCGTGGCACATTTTTATTTATTAGGTCTTACCAATTCAAATCCAAATATATACGTTTGTGAAATGTCAGAATAAAATAAAATTCACTTACACTAGAATAAAATAAAATTCACTTACACTTAAAATGTTGCTGAATATAGTTTAAAATCTTTAAATGATTTCAAATGAACTTGAGATATGTCTTTTGCCTTTTATAACCACATTTAATGTCACTTTTCATTTTCTCTTTGAAAGAGGAAGTAGTAGGCCAGGCGCAGTGGCTCACACCTGTAATCCCAGCACTTTGGGAGGCTGAGGCAGGTAGATCTCCTGAGGTCATGAGTTCCAGATCAGTCTGGCCAACATGGAGAAACCCCGTCTCTACTAAAAATACAAAAAGTAGCCGGGTGTGGTGGCACATGCCTGTAATCCCAGCTACTCAGGAGGCTGAGGCAGGAGCATCTCTTGAACCCAGGAGGCAGAGGTTGCAGTGAGTCGAGATTGTGCCATTGCACTCCAGCCTGAGCAACAAGAGTGAAACTCCGTTTTGAAAAATAAAAAATAAAAGAAAGAGGAAGTATTAGATAACATAGAACATGTTAATTCAGTGCTCCATTTTAGAATTAATAAATTTTTAAAAATTTAACTGGTAAAAAAATGTAAACAAAAAGGTTAATAGGCAACTCTATATAAAACTAGATCCATAGTTGGGAGTGGCATTGAATTTACAACACATTTTTTTCATGTGTTATTGTGGTGAAATATATATCATTATTTTCTATAAAATATAATGTTGGACAAAGATGCAAGAAATTGGGATTATGGGACTGTGGAATAAAGGCAACTCTTGAAAGTTTTATGAATCTAGAAAGATGACCAGCATGCTGAAATAAAAATGTATTTGAAATAGGTTCTATTCCTTTTTGGGGGTTCTAATATGAAAGCCAGCATCTCACACCCTTGAATTTTTGGCACTAATAAACACTAGAAGTTATATGCAAGGAAACAAATATTACCTTGACCAGTCCAATCAGCTTCAACCATACTGGCTATTAATGCTATGTTTAAAATTGCAGTCAGATCACCCCTGCTTCCATAGGGGTGTATGGGATACATGAGTGGTTGAGTTTTAAACAAAGATAACAGGAAATCAGAAATGTTGGCTTTCATCTTTACTCCCAAATATTCCTAGGAAATTCCAAGGGATAGACTACCACAATCATTTGATATCAAGCCAAAAAGCACATGCCACCAAGAGATGAGTGTTTGACAATTCCTGGGCAAATGTTCCTTCTGAGCAATGACCTCAGTGGGTGGAAAAGGTAAGCTATTGTATCTGTAAAAGCTGTATAAATCATGAACCCAGTAACCTAAAAGCTCTAGAGGACAGACTCAAAATACATTTTAAAATACACTACTCAAATTCTTATTCTCTTATGAATGCATATTTAATTTGTGGTAAAATCTTCTTCAAACTATTCCACTCTTTGGGCTAAATTCAAACTAGATAAATTTTATGGCCCTATTACAATTATTATTTCATTTTTCTGGAACCGATTTTTGTGAAGAACAAGGGATAGTGATTCAGATTTTAATTCAAATTCATTTATTTTATCAAACTCTCACAATGTCCTTGATTCAACTCACCTTTGTGACCCTAAGAATAAAAAATATTCCATATTTTTTCCTTCTTCTTTTTATTATTTATTTATTTTTATAAATAATATGTTTTGGGGGAACAGGTGGTGTTTGGTTACAGGAATAAGTTCTCTAGTGGTGATCTCTGAGATTCTGGTGCTCCCATCACCCAAGCAATGTACACTGTACGCAGTGTGTAGTCTTTTATAACTTGACCTCCTTCCATTCTTTCACCTTGGTCTCCAACGTCTGTTGTATCATTCTAATGCCTTTGCATCCTCATAGCTTAACACACACTTATGAGTGAGAATATATGATGTTTGGCTTTCCATTCCTGAGTTACTTGACTTAGAATAATGGTCTCCAATTTCATCCAGGTTGTGGCAAATGTCATTATTTCATTCCTTATTACAGCAGAGTAGTAGTCCATGGTGTGTATATATATACCATATTTTCTTTATCCACTCGTTGATTGATGGGCATTTGAGCTGGTTCCATATTTTTGCAATTACAAATTGTGTTGCTGTAAACATGTGTGTGCAAGTATCTTTTTCGTATAATGACTTCTTTTCCTCTGGGTAGATACCTAGTAATGGCATTGCTGTATCAAATGGTACATCTACCTTTAGTTCTGTCAGGAATCTCCACACTGTTTTCCGTAGTGGTTGTACTAGTTTACATTCCAACCAACAGTGTAAGATTGTTCCCTTTCACCACATTCAAGCCAATATCCATTATTTTTGTATTTTTTTATTATGGTCATTCTTGCAGGAATAAGCTGATATTGTATTGTGGTTTTGATTTGCATTTCTCTTATAACTGGTGATGTGGAGCATTTTTTATATGTTTGTTAGCCATTTGTATATCTTCTTTTGAGAATTGTCTATTCATATCCTTAGCCTATTTTTTGATGGGTTTGTTTGTTTTTTTCTTGCTGATTTGTGTGAGTTCCTTGTAGACTCTGGATATTAGTCTTTTGTCAGATGTATAGATTGTGAATATTTTCTCCCACTCTGTGGGTTGTCTGTTTACTCTGCTGCTGTTTTTTGTTTTGTTTTGTTTTGTTTTGTTTTTTTACTGTGCTGAAGCTTTTTAATTTAGTTAAGTCCCATCTATTCATCTTTGTTTTTGTTACATTTGCTTTTGGGTTCTTAGTCATAGAGTCTTTGCCTAAGCCAATGTCTAGAAGGGTTGTTCCAATGTTATCTTCCAGAATTTTTATGGTTTCAAGTCTTATAATTAAGTCTTTGCTCCATTTTGAGTTGATTTTTGTATAAGGTGAGAGATAAGGATCCAGTTTCATTCATCTGCATGTGGCTTGATAGTTATTGCAGCACCATTTGTTGAATATCATGTCCTTTCCCCACTTTATGTTTTTGTTAGCCTTGTTAAAGATCAGATGACTGTAAGTATTTGGCTTTATTTCTGGGTTCTCTATTCTGTTCCATTGGTCTATATGCCTGCTTTTATTCCAGTTCCATGCTGTTTTGGTGACTACGGCCTTAAAATATAGTTTGAAATAGGGTAACGTAATGCCTCCAGATTTGTTCTTTTTGCTGTCTTGCTTTGGCTATGTGGGCTCCTTTTAGGTTCCGTATGAATTTTAGAACTGTTTTTTTCTAGTTCTTGAAGAATGATGGTGATATTTTGATGGAAATTGCATTGAATTTGTAGATTGCTTTTGGAAGTATGGTCATTTTCACAATATTGATTCTACCCCTCCATGAGCATGGAGTGTGTTTCCATTAATTTGTGTTGTCTATGATTTCTTTCAGCAGTATTTTGTAGTTTTCCTTGTGGAGATCTTTCACTTCCTTGTGGAGATCTTTCACTTCCTTGGTTAGGCATATTCCTAAATATTTTATACTTTTGCAGCTATTGTAAAAAAGGTTGAGTTCTTAATTTGATTCTCGTCTTGGTCGCTGTTAGCGTATAGCGGGTGTACATTATTTTGTGTACATACATTTATTATTCAAAGACTTTGCTAAACTCATTCCCAGTCCTTGGAGCTTATTGGATGAGTCTTTAGGGTTTTCTAGGTATATGATCATGTCACCAGCAAACAGTGACCGTTTGACTTCCTCTTTACCGATTTGGAAGCCCTTTATTTCTATCTCTTGTCTGATTGCTCTGGGTAGGGCTTCCAGTATTACGTTGAATAGAAGTGGTGAAAGTGGGCCTCCTTGTCTTTTTTCAGTTCTCAGGGGGAGTGTTTCAACTTTTCCCCTTTCAGTGCAATGTTTGCTATGGGTTTGTCATAGATGGCTTTTATGAACTTAAGGTGTGTTCCTTCTATGCCAATTTTGTCAAGTGTTTTAATCATAAAAGGATGCTAGATTTTGTCAAGTGCTTTTCCTGCATTTATTGAGATAATCATGTGATCTTTGTTTTTAATTCTGTTTATGTGTAGCATCACATTTATTAACATTTATTGTGGATGTTAAGTCATCCCTGCATCACTGGTATGAAACTCACTTGATTGTGGTGGATTTTTTTTTTTTTTTTTGATATGCTGTTGGATTCCGTTAGCTAGTGTTTTGTTGAGGATTTTTGCATCAATGCTCATCAGGGATATTGGTCTGTAGTTTTCCTTTTTTATTTTATTATTTTCTGGTTTGGGTATTAGGGTGATACTGGCTTCATAGAATGATTTAGGGAAGATTCTCTGTTTATCTTTTGGAATAGTGCCAGTAGGGTTGGTACCAATTCTTTTTTGAATGTCTGTTACAGCTCTGAATCTGTTTGGTCCTGAATTTATTTTAATTTTTTGTTGGTAAATTTTTAATTAGAAACAAAACAGGAGATATTACTACTGATACCACAGAAATACAAAAGATCATTCAAGGCTACTATGAACACCTTTATGTGCATAAAATAGAAAACTCATAGGAGATGGATTAACTCCTGGAAATATACAAGCATCCTAGATTAAACCAGGAAGAAATAGAAACTGTGGCATCAATAGTAATATCTCCCATTTCTTTTCTTCTAATTGAGCTTATTTGGATCTTCTCTCCTCCTTTTTTGGTTAATCTCACCAGTGGCTTATCAATTTTATTTATCTTTTTAAAGAAGCAGATTTTGTTTTATTTATCTTTTCTATTTTTTTGTTTTTGTTTTTGTTTCAATTTCATTTAGTCCTGTTCTGATCTTGGTTATTTCTTTTCTTCTCCCTCCTGGGTTTGGGTTTGATTTGCTCTGTTTCTCTAGCTCCTTGAGGTATGACCTTAGATTGTCAATTTGTGCTCTTTCAGACTTCTTAATGTAAGCATTTAATACTATGAAATGTCCTTTTAGCACTGCTTTTGCTGTATCCCAGAGGTTGTGATAGGTTTTGTCACTATTCTCATTCAGTTCAAATACGCTTTTAATTTCCATCTTAATTGTTGGCTCAACAATCATTCGGGAGTGGGCTATTTAATTTCCATGTATTTTCATGGCTTTGAGGATTCCTTTTGAAGTTAATTTCCAGTTTTATCCCACTGTGGGCTGAGAGAGCACCTGCTATAATTTCAATTTTTTGAATTTGTTGAGACTCATTTTGTGGCATATCATATGGTCTATCTTATAGAATGTTCTATGTACTGATGAGTAGAATGTATATTCTGCAGTTGTTGGGTAGAATGTTCCGTGAATATCTGTTAAGTCCATTTGTTCTAGGATATAGTTTAAGTTTATTGTTTTTTTTTTTCTTAACTTTCTGCCTTGATAACATGTCTAGTGCTGTAAGGGGAGTATTGAAGTCCCCCATTATTATTGTGTTGCTGTCTATCTCACTTATTAGGTCTAATAGTAATTGTTTTATAAATTTGAGAACTCCATTGTTAGGTGCATGTATACATTTAGTATTGTGATATTTTCCTGTTGTACTAGTCCTTATATCATTATATAAAGTCCCTGCTTGTCTTTTTTAACTGCTGTTGCTTTAAAATTTTTTCGGTCTGACATAAGAATAGCTAATCCTGCTCACTTTGGTGTCTAGTTGCATGAAATATCTTTTTCCACCCCTTTACCTTAAATTTATGTGAGTCTTTATGTGTCAGGTAAATTTCTTGAAGACAGCAGACACATGGTTGTTGAATTCTTATCCATTCTGCAATTCTGTATCTTTTAAGTGGAGTGTTTAGGTTATTTATATTCAATGTGTGTATTAAGGTGTGAGGTACTATTCTATTCACAGTGCTACTTGTTGCCTGAATGTCTTTTTTTTTTTCATTGTGTTAATGTTTTATAGGTCCTGTGAGATTTAGGCTTTAAAAATATTCTATTTTGGTGTATTTCAAGATTTATTCCAAGATTTAGAGCTTCTTTTAGCAGTACTTGTAGTGCTGGCTTGGTAGTGGCAAATTCTCTCAGCATTTGTTTGTCTGGAAAAACTGTATCTTTCTTTCATTTATGAAGCTTAGTTTTCACTGTATACAAAATTCTTGCCTGATAATTGTTTTGTTTAAGGGCGCTAAAGATAGGACCCCAATCCCTTCTGGCTTGTAGAATTTTCTACTGAGAAATCTGTGTTAATCGTATAGGTTTACCTTTATAGGTTACCTGGTGCTTTTGTCTCAGAGCTCTTAAGATTCTTTCCTTCATCTTCACTTTAGATAATCTAATGACTATGTGCCTAGGCAATAATCTTTTTGTGATGAATTTCCAAGGTGTCCTTTGAGCTTCTTGTATTTGGATGTCTAGATCTCTGGGAAGGCTGGGGAAGTTTGTCTGGATTATTCCCTCAAATATGTTTTCCAAACTTTTAGATTTCTCTTCTTTCTCAGGAACACCAATTATTCTAAAGTTTGGTCATTTAACATAGTCCCAAACTTCTTGGAGTCTTTGTTCATTTTTTAAATTCTTTTTTCTTCATCTTTGTCAGATTGGGTTAATTTGAAAGCCTTGTCTTTGAGCTCTGAAGTTTTTTCTCCTACTTGTTTGATTCTGTTGCTGAGACTTTCCAGCACATTTTGCATTTCTCTAAGTTTGGCCCTCATTTTCAGAAGTTGTGTTTGTTTTTTATTTATGCTATCTATTTCCCTGGAGATTTTCCCATTCATATCCTGTATCACTTTTTTGATTTATTTAAGTTGGACTTCACCTTTCTCTAGTGCCTTGTTGATTGGCTTAAAAGTTGACTTTCTACATTATTTTTCTGACAATTCAGAGATTTTATTTTGGTTTGTATCCATTGTGTTGAGCTGGTGTGATCTTTCGGGTGTATTAAAGAACCTTGTTTTGTCATATTACCAGAATTTTTTTTCTAGTTTCTTCTTATTTGGGTAGACTATGTCAAAGGGAAGAACTGGAACTCAAGGGCTGCTGTTTAGATTCCTTCGTCCAACGGGGTTCTCCCTTGATGTGGTGTCCTCCCATTTCCCCTAGGGACTGGGCTTCCTGAGAGCCAAACTGCAGTGATTGTTATTTCTCTTTTGGATCTAGCCATCCAGCAGAGCTACCAGGCTCCGGGGTGGTTCTGGGGACTGTCTGCCAAGAGTCCTGTGATGTAACCTGTCTTCAGGTCTCTCAGTGTGGATACCAGAACCTGCTCCAGTAGAGGTAGCAGGGAAGAGAAGTGGACTCTGTAAGACCCCTTGGTTGTATTTTTGTTAAGTGTGCTGGTTTTGTGTTGGTTGGCTTCCAGCCAGGAGATGGCGCTTTCAGGAGCGCACCAGCTGCAGTAGTATAGGGAGGATCAGGTGGTGGGCAGGGTCATAGAGCTCCCAAGAATTATGTCCTTTGTCTTTGGCTACCAGGGCAGGTAGAGAAAGACCATCAGGTGGGGACAGGGCTAGGCGTGTCTGAGCTCAGACTCTTCTTCAGTGGGGCTTGCTGTGGCTGCTGTGGAGGATGGGGATGTGGTGGTTCCCAGGCCAACAGAGTTATGATCCAGGGGATTATGTCTGCCTCTTCTGCGTCACACAGGTTGCCAGGGAAGTGACAGGCCTCACCCAGCTCCCATGCAGCCTACAGCCTGAAAGGCTGGTCTCACTCCCATCATGCCCCACCCCCCCAACTGTACTGAGTTTATTTCCAGGCAGCCAGTGAGCAGGGCTGAGTTTACCCCAGGCTACAAGCCTCCCAAGTGAGTAAGCAAGCCAACTCACAGCTCCTCGGCTGCCTCACGGAGCTTGGAGCAGCAATCCACCTCCTTCAAAGGGTCTGTGGATTCTCTTGGCTTTCCTGGTATGTTCTCGTGGTAGTTCTTGGAGCAAAAGTTAATGACGTGGGTCTCCACCAGCTGCTCTGTCCACCTGAGTGGGAGCTGCAAGTTAGTCCTCCTGCGTGGGTCATATTTTTTCTGGCTTTTGTTTTTCTTTTTACTTATGATCCAAATTGTTCTCTTTTTTCTCAATTCAGTAATGTACCTCATTCTGTCAATCTTGACATCTTTGCCCCTACCTATATAATAGATCCTCCCATCTACTTTCCTTCCAATAAATTGACCAACTCAAAATGGAACCAGAGGATTTTGTAAATGTGTGAGTTTAATAAGTCACCTCTGAGCTTGAGTTTCCTAATTTTTAAACTGTGAATACAGACTTACATATATTTCAATATCTCATCTAGATTTTAAAGGTATGAAACAAACCAAAAAAATATGGTAGATAGAGAAATATAAGAGTCTGTGAGAAAAAATCTGGAAACTAGACACTAGGCACTAGCAGTAAATTAAATAACATGAAATAACCTCTTGCCTGTTCTCTGGTGCTATTCAATGTTTGCTTAAAAGCAGGACAATTTTTCCTTATGGTGGATTGCTTGTTACTTCTAAGTTAAGATAGTAAAAACACTAGACTGGATATAAACAAGAGCAAAGAGGGTAATTTTGGGCATTGTCCAATAAGTTGGATAATAAAACACACACTATGATGCTATGATTATGAGTAACAGCCATCATCTCTGCCTCTGATTAAAAAAGAGGAAACAATTTCTTTGTGAAATATGTAACTGAAATTGAGATAAGGTAGCAATGGGATGTGATTCCTCCTTCACATATTTTTTTCTTTACTTGTCCCACTGATCACAAAATCCACACCACTACCTTACTAATGTTATACCTGTTTACCCCAAAGCTTTAGTCATACAAATAATTTTTCTGTGCTCTCATAGGGTTTAACTATACCTTTTACTTAAAGACTTACAGAAACTGGCCTTAGGAGATCCAAATAGTGAACCAAGTTTACAGTGTCCCAACTCGGGATGAAATGCTGAATAACTGATTTACAGCCTTGTTACCAGTGGCCAGTCCACTAGGTGGCTCGTTACTCAAGATAACAATTGCAACCAGATATGCTGAACTGCATCTACTACCCAATCACATGTTTTACCCAGCCCAGCCTTTATAGCTTACCCTTGATGTCAATTCCTGCTCTTTACCTAAAAAAAACCCTATTATTGACTCTTTTCAAAGAGCCAGCCAGAGAATCCTTGCACCTCCACTGTCTCTCTTGCACTCAAGCACAATGACTGAAATAAAAACCTTGCCTGGGAAATCTGCTTAAATCTGCTTGGCCCTGTGTTAATTTCCATTACAGGAGGAGCCTACGAGCCTGTGGCCTGTAACAAAACAAGGCAAGACAGCTTAAAAAGTAAGCATTTTCACCACATGTCCAGGATTATTTGGTTAGATAAAATGAAATACTAATAGCTTAGTATTTCTCAAGAAATTGTGATATTTCCAGAAGAGGCTAACTTACACCAAAATGAAAAAAAAACTCAAACTTCAAAATTGTTCATCAAGAATTTTTTAAACCTTCAAATATGAGCTGTGAATTTCTAAAATGTTCAAGTTATACATCTCTGTGTTCAGATAATCCCATATACTATGCAATCCTTAGGGAAATGAAGATATCTTGTGAGAAAATTAAGGTGAGGCTGGGGTTGAGAGTGTATTATCCCCTAAAATGATGATTGGTTGACACTAGGCCAAAAATTCATCTGGAATATTTAGTGAATGAATATTTACTCCCAATAATGTTTTTAATTCATTGCATTTACTGAACTGAGGTTTCTACTTTTACTTCTTCAGATTTTCTCTGTGACTTTGGGAAAATCATTGTAATGCTGCCTGCCTATTTCATCATTTATAACCTTAATCTTCATTCATTCATTCATTTACTTAAAAAATATCTACCATGTACCTTCTAAGTGCAAAACAAATGGCTTGCTGCTATGTCAGATAAAGTGACACATTTAGACATGAGCCTCAGTGAACTTATTATCTTGAAGAGAACAGAAAAAAAGGTATATAAGGAATGTGTTTTTCATGTTAGATAGAGAACTATTATACAGGGTTGAAAGTGACAAATGCCATAAAGAAGTTCAGATAATGTACAATGCATGTTCAAAGAAGGCAAAATTATTTAAGGTAGAAATAAACAGAAATTGAATGAGCTGAAATCTGTTCTGGGTGTAAAAACTCAGGTTGAATTTAAATATCTGAAAATAAGAAGTGTATTCCACACATAAGTAGGTATCCACAAAAAACCTCACTTTACTTGGAGTGTAAAATGCAAAAAAAAAAAAATTAAAAACATAGCATTAATTAAATTTGGATTAAATTGTAAGAAATGCTGATTGCTCGCCTGGTGCCGTGGCTCACGCCTGTAATCCCAGCACTTTGGGAGGCTGAGGCAGGCAGATTACGAGGTCAGGAGATGGAGACCATCCTGGCTAACATGGTGAAACCCCATCTCTACTAAAAATACAAAAAATTAGCTGGGCGTGGTGGCAGGAGCCTGTAGTCCCAGCTACTCGGGAGGCTGAGAGGCAGGAGAATGGCGTGAACCCAGGAGGTGAAGCTTGCAATGAGCTGAGATCGCACCACTGCACTCCAGCCTGGGCCACAGAGAGAGACTCAGACTAATAAAAAAAAAGAAAGAAAGAAAAAAAGAGAAATGCTGATTGCTAATGTTATGAGATCAAGTTTTGTTTTGTAAAGTTTAGTACAACAGAAGATTTTTGAGGCAGGAAGAGACAAAAATTAGTTATTCTTTTAGGAAGACTGTTTTGTCACATGTGTACTATACATTGTCTTTCCTAATTGGGTGTATAAAGGACTTCCACAAACATTTTTACAAAGAGAAGCATCTTACTTTTTTCATCAGCAACCTTATGTGCTACTGTTTGCAGCAATAAAAGTTTATAAACATAATGAGCTCCATCATAGCTTATTTACCTCAGTACTGGAACAATGTTTCCTATAACAAATTAGTTCACTGAGAATGACAGAAATAGAGAATAGATGAGCAAAGATTTTCCCCAAGTAAATTAGTTACTAAAAATGTCAGTGTCAAAGAAAAATAAGTTTTAGGTTTTTAAGTGCTGTATCACATAAAAATAAACAATACTGGATAGGTGGAGTATCAAATGTCTTACAGTCCATCTTGGAGTGATTCTCAAAGAGAAAATATATTTAATTATAAACAAGAGCAATTTATCCAGAAGCATGTCAGTGAAGGAAATACAAATATTTTACCCCAAAATAAATTTGTTTGACGTATTTTGAAGAGACTGTCACTGAGCCAGCAAACCCAAGTGCCTTTGCAAAGCTGCCTTTTGTGGGGAAAATTTGCATCTGTAGAGAATCTCCGTTAATGTAGTCATGCCTCCACTTCCTATGCCTTTCCAGGATCCAGTAGAGACTGAGAGTCTGACATCTTTAAATGTAAAAAAACAAAAAACAAGAAAACAAAAAACAAAAACCAAAACAAAACAAAAAACACACCATTTACCATCTATTCTCCCAAAAAAGGCTTCATCTACATAACAAGGCCACCTTTGCTATCTAAGCCTCTTTCTTTCTCCCTCCCATAACCTGTTTCACAAGAATCCAAACCCTCATTCTTTCTATAACTTGAAAATGGTATAAAAGTTTCTGTAACTCTTTGGGAAATTGGGTCTTCATTCTGAAGGCTCCCATGTGTACATGTTAAAGAAATTTGTATGTTTTCTCTCCTTTTAATCAGTCTGCCTCGTGACAGGGATTTTTCAGTGAATCTTTAGAGGGCCGATGGCTATGGCCCCCACATCAGCTGGTGAACCTTTTGCACTTTTAGAAGTGATCACATCCAGTGTGGTATATTCACTTCTTCTTGCCTGTTTCCTTTTATGTTTAAATTGCTACATGCCAGCATCACACATCTCAAGGATGGCTTGTCAAAATGTGTTTTGCTGGTTTTTTATAAGATTATCTTTTCACCAGAAAAACTCACACCGGGATTCCAGTGTAGGCAATGAGACTGCCTAATTCCACACCCAGCCCATTATACGGGGCCATTTCTGCTGCTTCAAATATTGTCTTGCTGTGAAGTGCATTCCCTGTAATCATATCCATTCATCTTTGCCTTACTTTCTTTAAATGCCTAGGAACATGCCTTAAAAATATTTGTGTTTATCCTGTTTTACATATGGTAGGCATTTAAAAAATAGAAAGTAAATAAGTAAGTAGATAAATAAATGGCCCATTTGGGAATAAGAACCTTAGGGAAAAAATGCTATTTTTTCAGTCCTTTTTCCAGACATGAGTATTTTGAAATCACACCATCTTCTCATTTTACATTATAACAAAAACACTTTTGATTCTTCATGTGGTTAGAAATCTAAACACTGCCAGAGATACATCTCTCATTTCACACTTCAGAAATGATGCAAAAGATCATTGTATGCCCCTAGGGCTTGAAATAATGGGTAGTCATTGCATGTGCTCTGGTTGGAAAAGACTGCAGATTACTTTTTCTTTTAGCCATACCCATCCGGACAACATGTCATCACCACTAAAAGCTTCATTTTTTAACGGGAAGGGGGAAAAATGAGAGAAAAGCACTTGTAAATATGTTAACTGTTCAGTAAATGTTAATTAACCATTGAAGGTGGCAGCCAAACTCTTCATATCCACCAATGCCTTGAAAACATTGTGTGAGATTATCTACCTTCAAACCCAGGCTGATTTTATAAATTTCTCTTTCATAGAGTAACACATGTAAGATTTTAAATTAGCTCTTCAGAAAGAAGGCATGATACAAATCCAGCATATAAATAAATAAATAATGCTCAAACACAGGGCTTTGGGTGATTTATTTTTATTTCCTCCTGTTTTTGTTTTTGAAGTTTACACATAAGTTGTGTTGATTTTCTCCTTTCACGAACTTACTAATGTTGATGATTTCTGATGAATTTTTTCCAAATAAAAAACATCTTAGCAGTAGAATTATCGATTTGCCTTGGGATCTTGTAATAGCTCCCTAATTGTAATGAATGTAAGTATGGACAAACTATTATTAACAGTTTTCTACAATGTGGAAACTCAAGGGGTCATATAAGAACTACACTAGTTCAAACTTGGAAACCATTTGCTTCTTTAAATGACTTTAAGCTGATTCCTTCCATTTTTTAGGCTTTCATTTTGTTTCCTATAAAGTTGTGATGACAAATTCTAAGCATAGGGATTGCATGATGATGTGATTAAATTTTCTGTTTCATAGTAGGACTTTTCAAGTGTGTTGCTGAAGAAAAAACCAAACTCTTGTGAGATATTTAGAGAGGTTTATTCTGAACCAATATGAGTGACCATGGTCTAGTTCAAGAGGGCCTGAGAATGTGTGCCTGAGGCAGTCAGGTTAGTTACAGGTTGGTTTTATACATTTTAGGGATACAGGAATTGTAAGTAAGATCGTAAGTCAATGCAAGAAAACTATACATTGGTTCAACCTAAAGAGGCAGATATCTTGACGTATAACGGCCAAATGGGTTCTTGCCTGCTGCCCAGACAGATTCAATTTATTAAGACAGGGAAATTGCAATAGAGAAAGAGTTTAATTCACTCAGAGCTGCCTGTACAGGAGACCCAAGTTTTCTTATTCCTCAAATCAGTCTCCCTGGAAATTCAGAGACTGGGATTTTTAAGGATAATTTGGTGAATAGTTGGTCAGGAAGTGGGGAGTGCTGATTGATGGGGTCAGAGATAAAATCATAGGGGGTCAAGTGGTTTTTTCTTGCTGTCTTCTGTTCCTGGGTGGGATGGTAGAACTGGTTGAGCCAGATTACTGGTCTAGGTTGCACTAGCTGGTATATGGGAACACGAGGTCTGCAAAATATCTTGAGCACTAATCTTAGGTTTTACAACAGTGATGTTATCCCCAGGAGCAATATGGGGAGGTTTGAAATCTTTCAGCCTCTGGCTGTGTGACTCCTATACCATAATTTCTAATCTTATGGCTAATTTGTAAGTTCTACAAAGGCAGACTGGTCCGCAGGCAAGAAGAGGGTTTGTTTTGGGAAAGGCTATTATCATTTTTGTTTCAAAGTTAAACTACCAACTAAGCTCCTCACAAAATTTGTCTGGCCTACACCCAGGAATGAAGAAGGACAGCTTGGGGATTAGAAGCAAGATGGAGTTAGTTAGATCAGATCTCTTTCACTGTCATAAGTTTCTCATGGTGATAATTTCTACAACATCGATTTCAGAAGTGGAGGAGGGTTTACAAGTCATAGGTGGTTCAAAGATTTTCTGATTGGCAACTGGTTGAAAGAGTTAAGCTTTGTATAAAGATTTGAGGTTAGTAGAAATAAATGTTTGAGTTAATATAAGGGGAGTTGTGTAGATCATTGTTCTTGTTACGTAGATGAGGCCTGATATGTAGCAGTCTTCAGAGAGAACAGATGGTAAATGTCTCTTTTCAGAGCTCATTTATTATTATTATTTTGTGAGACAGGGTCTCACTTGGTCGGGCTAAATTGCAGTGGCACAATCATAACTCACTGAAGCCTTGAACTCGGGCTGAAGAAATCCTTCTGCCTCAGCTTCTCAAGTAGCTAGGACTATGGGCACACACCAACCATACCTGGCAAATTTTATTTTTGGTAGAGATGGTGTTTTGCTGTGTTGTTCAAGCTGGTAGCCAACTCCTGGCCTCAAGCAAATCCTCTTGCTTCAATTCCCAAAGTGCTGTGATCACAGGTGTGAGCCATAGCACCAGGCCTCTTTTCACACCTTAAAGGTGTCAGACAGTTAATCTCTCCCAGATTCTGGAAATACCTGGCTGCATTAATGGATACTTTCTTCAGATGCAAATTTCCCTCTCAAATATCAGCCATTTCAAAATATGTCAAAGAAATATATTTTGGGGTAAAATATTTTTATTTCCTTCAGGGTTGTCTGTCATGTGATATACTATACCAGAGTCAGGTTGGAATTTGGCATTTTCTTTCTACATTGATCTTATGATCTCCATGTTAATGTTAATGTTGGTCAGTTGTACCTAAACTCCAAAAGGGAGGGGGTATTATGAGGTGTGTCTGTCCTCCTTTCTTGTCGTGGATGGGAATTTCATTTTTCGGGTTTCTCTAAGGTCCTCTTGTCCAAAAGGGGGTCCGTTAATTTGGTTCAAGGGCTTAGGATTTTATTTTTGGTCTACAGTGTTTTATTTTAACCTAATCTAAGTCAAACAGTTCAATGTAAATTCATCAGGTTCACTCTTATAAGGATTTAAAGATGCTCTCAATGTAGCTGATTTTTGTCAAGTGAGTCCCATTATGAAGCCAACAGTGAATTCTGTATGGGTATAATATAATTAGTATCTCTTAAAGTTAATTTTCACTGAGATTTATAAATGAACACAATTAATGTTAAGAGATAATTATTGATATTCTGTGCTCACTTATTAAATGAAAGTGCGTATTTAGGTCTCCTCCTCAGCTTAACTATCAAGCAATCTCTCACCCTATTATTTATTTCCATTGTGCTATATCCACTCTAATATAGCAATCAACAAATATTTATTGAATGTCTACTAAGTAAGTGTAAAGGCTCATACAGCACATCTCACATAATGCTCTATCAGCTGTGATATACTCTGGGCAACATGAATGAAGGTTTTGGGCAAGAAGGTGGCTCAATTTTCCCTTATTTCCTTTTATACATTTTGATTTTGCAGCATATTTATGCATGATATTCAAAATAACTGAAGGAAGAGAAAAGCATCAGTCTTCAACGATTTTAAACTGGAGTGAGAAATATACGATGTACATGCACAGGGCCCTGTGTTCAGTTTAGTGCTCTGCTGTCACTTTCTGGAAAATCCTAATTATCTTGAAACAAGGAAATCTGCATTTTTATTTTGCACTGGGCTCATGAGTTATGTAGATGGATCTTCATCAAATAAAAGTGACATTGTAAGGTAGTATGTGGTAAGAATTAAGTGGATAGTATTAACAATCCCTGATAGAATTGATGAGGTTAGAGGAAATGCTTCCCAAAATGTGGCACCTTGAAAACTGAGGAAACAGCAGAAGGAGGATGGCCACTTTCACCTTCCTTTCACCTTTCTTCCCTGAAGCAAATCATAAAATGTAGGATGGTCACTCTCTGACTTTGTTGCTCTCTTCTCCCCCGAAGACCCTCATGTGACAGATGTCCTGACTCATACCTAGAGGGTAGGAATGTCACACAGGAACACCAAGAGGATTCTGAACACAAAGGCCTTGCTATATATCCCCCAGTTTACTACCATTAGATTACATGCTTTTGTCCTCCAGTCATACTCTGCATGACTTCTGGTAAAAATATACAGATTTCATTGTCTTGTTTAGTCTTCATTTCTGAAAGCTCACATGTCACATCAAATTTATTAAATAAATGTGTATGCTTTTCTCTTGTTAATCTGTGCTTTATCATATGGGTCTCAGCCATGAACCTTGCAATGGTTGAGAAGAAGAGTTATCAGTCCGTTTTCTACCCTACAGAATGAAAGGAAAGAAGGAAAACTCTGTCTAAACAAACAAGTTATAATAGAATGAAATTCATCCTCTGTAAAAGGAAAAGATTATGTAAAGAATTTTGTTACTCCTGCAAATGGTCCTGTCTCTAATGTGTCCTTATATGTGTCTTTATTCATATTTAAATAGGGTTGATCCCTCTACTCCAATGAAAAGATTAGAATTCTATGGTCATTATGCTTTTCAACTGTGGCACAAACATTTCTACGTAGCATCTGTTCACTTAGAATGGATTTCTAAGTGCAAACTAACACCTATTAGTGCTCAAAAGAGTGTAGGCATTTATTAACTTAGTGAAAGTTAATTCCTCTCTCCTTTAAATGCAAATCTTATACTCTTGTAATATGCTACTGCTCTTGCCCTTTAGAAGAACCCCTTTGGGAGTTGATTGTGTCTCTAATTCATGCAACAGGATATAACTTGTTGTTAACTGACTGACAAGATACTGTCAGATGGGTCACTTTGTGACACATTTGAACTTAATTGGTAGGAATTGTCAAAACCTTGGCGATGCTTCTGAATGCAAGAGTTTGTGGTTCCAAGCCACCAAATTAAGTTGCACCACAAAATCCAACTTTTTTAAAACAATAAAGACTAACAGACTCTTGCACACCCTAAAGCGATCGTTCAGTACCAATGCCGTCCTTGCTCACCTCCCTTACAAATGATATTTTATTGACATGAACATGTAGACACGATGCGCTGTGCCTAACTATTCTCAAGAGAGAGACTGAAACTGAGGCCAAGTAACTTTTGAAGCCAAGCTATTGCATCTGACTGTTTCAGCAAACAGATATGTAGAGCTGCCACAGTGGCAAATGGCGCTGAAAGGCACAAGAAAAGTGGGACAGAAAAAGTGCTGGGCAAGACACAGAATGATTGATGGCATGCCTCTTTTGCTGGATGCCATCTGTTGAAGACTACAAGGAGACAAGTGAATGGAATATAATTTTTAAATAGCTTGTTTCTTTTATGAAATCAATCAATGTAATAGAACTTAAAAATTACATGTCGACTTGCCCTCCCAGATTCCAGTCCTTTTCTTTTTCTGTCAAAAATATTTTTGGTAAGTAAAAAGAGGCCTTATGCCATATGTGTTTTAATATGATAATTTTTAAAACTTATATTTTCTTTTCTTTTCCCAGTTGGAGAAAAGGAAAAATTCTATTGCATACATTCTATTCCAAAAATCACTTGAGGAAAGATTTTCAGAACAAGTGATTTCCCATTTTGCAGTTGATTATTTCATTCACTAACATCCCCTAGTGTTCAAAGTCATAACTTTAATTTAGAGTGGAAAAGGAATAGTCAAAACATACTAGTATTACTGTGCATTTTAAATATAGAACTTGTGAAACCTTGTTATACCTGCCATTGTTGACTCCTTAATTTGAATAAGATTCTTAATAGCTTATGTTTATTAAAACCTGCTTTGATTTCCAACCCTTCCAAGCCATCTCCCCTCCCTCCCTCCCTCGCCTTCACGGAGAAAATAAAAGGATTTCATTTCCACATCTGAATCCGGTGTTTAAAAGTCCTTAAGTCATTTGAAACATTAAATTAGCATCAGGGTATTTTTCAATGAAATGTCGCCAATGCTTTTTATAAAATAAGTACAGTGGAGAGGTCTCATATATTGGTGATGGGGTGCAGCCTATATTTCACATATTTCACATGAAAATATGCATCATTATTGATGAAGGCAAAGTTATATCTACATTACCATAAGGAATTTGCATAAATCTCCACAGCAATAGGACTTTAAAATATTCTATAATTTTTTTTCCCTTGCAAGTCAAGTTCCTACAATGAATTTAAAATAAGGTAGGTTAGGTTTGTGTGAAAAAATGAAAATTTACATATATTCAATTGCATAGGTTAGAAAAGGAATAGGGAGATGACTTATTCTATTCTTTCACACGTATCTTGAGGATATGTATAATGATTTTAAATATTATGGATCAGTATCAGCATTAAGATAGAACCAATACTATACAAAGAAAGTAAAAATGTCCTAAATTTGTTGCAACAATTTATTGCAATTATAGCTCCTTGTTAAAATGCAAAATTCCATTAACCAGGTAATTGTGCCTAGAGAAAAAATATGTCTTAATATCTTTAATGAATTTATAAATGTATTGCTCTGGGGCTTGAAATAACCAGACAGTGTCTTCTATGTCTAGTTTTAGAAAAAAAAATTAGATCTAATTTTGTTTCCTGTTCCCCATGTCTTGCCAACGGAATGGTGGCCCTTTAAGATTAATCCTAAATCACTTATAATACAGAGGAGAATAAGTAAGCCATCAAAAATACAAACCTGGTGAAACAAAAAACCTAACTACCTACTACCAGTCTACAGGGCTAGAGATTTTCTTTTTTTCTAAAAATGCACTAATTAAAGCAGTAAATACTTTTTAAAAGAAGTTTTGCATTTGAACAGAAATCAGGTTCAAACCTGGTTCTTTACCTTTTAATAGCAGAGAGCCTTAGGGAGCATGCTCTTGCTCTGACTTATTTCAGCATGTTAAGCTGTGTACTTAACATGTTTAAGCATGTTCACATTGTTAACATGCTTGAGAATGGTAGCAATGTTTTACCAAGGCAATTAATAACACTGTTTTATATTTGTAAAACAATAATTGTTTTACTAAGGCAGTTATTAATACTTTAATACATTAATTCAGACCTGTTCATTAAGTCACTAAATATTTTGTATTTATTGAGACCTTACTAGGTGCTCTGCTAGGCAGTGTGTCATGATCTGGGCTTGGAGTTATAAAAAATAAAGTCCATATGTACCATGGGCAAAAATTAACATAAAAGTAAAGCAAGAAAAACTTCCATTTTGAACACATACAAAGCAATTCCCTGATCCCTACCCAACTGGCTTTATTACTATTACTGTAAATAAATCCGTGAATAAATATGTAAATAAATAGTTGCTATAAATTGTGAGAAGTAGGATGACAGAGACACATAGAAAACGTTCAAACAGGAGATAAATTGTAGTAAAGTGCACGTGTTTGCGGTTTCACAGCAGGTGTGTTGCTTTATAGATTCCATTCATTGGGTTCCAAATTGTCAAACTACCTATGCTTACCTTTTGCTCAAATAAAAGGAATATGCTGCTCTGAGGTATGCAAGGTGGACAGTAGTATTTAAACTGGTGGGAGTAGTCAGAAAGATGAGGAAGTAAGAATAGAATCTGGGAGAGAGAAAATAGTATAGCTCTCACATCATAGTTTAGGGATTTATCATTCCTAGGAGTGATGGGGCAAGAAAAAACACTATATATAATACTATCCAAAATTTATTAAGAATTTAATAATGAACACATCTATTAGAAGCAGACAAGAGTTTCACAGACAAAGTTGGCATAGGAGGGCTTCTGTTTTGCCATCATTTAGTTTTTTCTTAGTGCATGTGGTGTGGGTATATACACACATGCATAAATATTGTTAATCAAACTTGCCTCCATGAACTAATTCAAGAGTGTATACAGGTAGATAGCATTAACCTGTCCTGTATCATGACACTTCCAGATATTCTGGGAAGTGCTACACCATGATCATAATGTTGTTCAAGTCAGGTTGACATCATAGAACTAGGAGGTTACAAGGAGTGTGAAAACAGACACAAGGAGAAAGGCCAGAAGATAACCAATGATGACAGGACAGATGATAAAGAAGTCCTCTAATAAGATAAGGTTAAATTATACTAATTTTAAAAAGCATATGAATACAGTTAGATCTATGGACTCCCCGAAACACCTAGCTGAACATCCTATATATGGTAGATGTTCAGTAAATATGTGTTGATCATGTGGGCATCTGTATCTTGGTTTTCAAATTCAGTCCTCCAATAAAAGAAACCAGAGCTTCTTGGAGAAATGGCTGATTCCAGAGCTGGGTCAAGTAAATTATAAGCTAAACCTGCAACATCTTTTTGTACCAGAAGAAAGAACATGACCAAAGAATGAGGGGCATAATGCCACATGTCAAAAGGACACAAGAACCAACTTAAGGGCATATTTGCTGTCAAATCTGACACAATCGAAACTTCTAAATAAATGTTGATAATTATATTTCATGATCTGTTGCTTTTGGAATTTTAAAGAATATAAATGAGATGATTGAACACATTTGAATGGAACCTATGTATTAGATGGTAGTATGCTATCAATTCAATTTTCCTATTTTCATGTTTCTATTGTGGTTATGTATAGTAATTCCTTGTTTTAAGAAACTACATGCTATAGTATTTAGGAAAAATAATCATTGTTCTCACAAATGATCAAGAAAAAATAATGAACATAAATACATATGGAAATAGAATGATAAGGTAAATGTGGTAAAATGTTAGCAACTGAAGAATCCAGTGTCTTCATAAAGGAGTTATATGTCTTTATAAAGGAGTTTTTATACTCTTCTTGTATCTTTTTCTGTACGTCTGGAATTATTTCAAGATAAAAAATTTAAAAATAAAGTAAGGACAATAAAAGCACAATAGGCCTGTTGTTTGTACTGAAACTCTCTAACTCTGAATTTGCCCATGATTGGTTTGTGAAACAAGCTGTAATTTACATGCAGCTAAATCTTTTCTTGTAGTCTGTTTCAATAAGTCATTTACAGGGTGAGTTTGGGAAGGTTTGTGAAAGCATTTGTTCTCAAGACCAAGCAAAATATTTTAATTCAGCTTTAACAGAACAAAACAAAACTGTTATTTTACTTTGAAGTATGTTTCCAAGTTTGAATATCAACATGAAACATTAATAAACATTTTTTGAAAAAGAGCAGTGATATTTCCTTACTCCTGCTAATATGCAGTGTGAAAAAGACAGAAGAAGTGGTCCCCTAACAGTGGTAGTACTCAGAGTCTAAAGATGCTTTAACTGATGATAAGAAACCAACAAACCCTAAGGTCAGTGGTGAAGAATAACCTTCTTTGGAGTGTGAAATGTTAAAGATTTTCTTTCAAGAAACCATTAAAAAAAACACACACACACAGGGTCATCTTTGAAGTCAATAGGCACTGATTTCTATTCCATGTACCAAGTCTCCATCTCTATCTAAAAGTATGTCACATAACCATTATTTACAGACTACTTCTGAGTTATCAAGGAATACTCAATCACGTCCAATTATTTATCTATAGATAGTTGCATATTGGTTATAGTTACAAAAACACTTTCATGCAAGAGTTTAAATTTAAACATCCCAGACATATTACAGTAATATTTATTATAAATAAGTTTAAAATGACATAACTGACAACAAAGAAAGCATGATTATTAGTGTTATATATTTAAGTTATAGCATGAGTCATTGTTCATTTCACTTAAAAAGGTAAGTTATAAGCAATATGAACAATAAATGCTCATTGTGGCAAATAAAAATATACGTGCTTAAAAATTAGTGGCAGATGTATTTATTTAGTGGAATTATGAGATTATTTGTGTTTTTTCTTATTTTTCCTGTTTTCAACAATGTTAAGGTTTCACTCTTCTATTCTGTAATTAGATAATAGTTATGAGTTATATATATTATAGTTATATGTATATATATATAAAATAATTGTGAATAATGCTCTTATTTATATAGGGATGCTTTAGCTAGAATTCTTTTTCTTTAAGAATTCTAGAAGGTCAAGGTTTTACTGTGTGGAATAGTATTGACTATTGAAATAGAACATTACACACTAAAACTGCATGCTATTTAATCCACGTAATTAAAGCTGAAAGGATAATCAGTAATTTATTTAGCCAAACTCTCCAATAAAGACAAATTATACAAAACAGATATACGAATGTTATCAGAAGTTATCCTAGTCTTGAGTTGACAGATTTCAAGCATAGCTTTCCAATGTTCCCACTGAAAATAAGTATCGAATATCAATGAAAGTCTTTTATAGTGTTGCTCAAATACAGTATGTACAGAAAACTCAAATCACTTTATTTATTGGTATAAAAGTTAATTTGTACATCAAATTATACGCTCATAAAAATTTTTGATGGTTTCAAAAGTAGGTTCTACCCTGGGCCTCCAGATCCTGTAAGTCTTAGAACCATGCCACTGAAACTGTTCATCAGGAATGCTATTTCTGCTAGAATCAAAAAGAAGTAAGTCAAGAGACTCTACTAGAGCTACAATTAAGGAAATAGAGAGCTATCCAAACCATTGTGGCCACTGATTCCTAGACCCACAAATTAGTACCTGGACCTTGGAGTGCTGCTGCAGAGATACAGCATCCATAATCGGTGCATCCATGACTATACATTGCAGCAACAGCCAAAGGGAGGAGAAGAGGTGCTGCGGACTGAAAAATTCATATGTTGAAATCCTAATTCCCAATGTGATAGTATTAGGAAGTGGCACTGTGAGGAAGTAATGAGATTATGAAGGTAAAGCTCCCATGAATGGAATTGGTGCCTTTATGAAAGAGAAGTCAGAGGGCCCTCTCTCCTTTCTGCCATGTAAGGACACAGATAGAAGATGGCTGTCTGTGAACCTGGTAGAGGGCCCCAACTAGAACCCTATCATGCTGGCAACCTGATCTTGGACTTCCAGCATACAGAACTGTGAGAAATAAATTTCTGTTGTTTATAAGCTACCTAGTCTACAGTACTTTGTTATAGCAGTTCAAACTGACTAAGACAGGGAAAAACATCTCTCTGATTTCCATCTTCTAAAGCAAGTGCAAGTGCATCTGTATGAAGGGAATTAATTTGTATCTTGAAAGCTAAGTGTGAGGGATTCTGGGACATGTAGTTTTAATTTTTCAACATGTGCTATAAGAGAAGGTATACTAGAAAGATGAATATACTGTATTACTATACTCAATCCACTGTTCTATTCAGATGTTTAGAATCGTATCTCAAAACTTTTCATATAAACTTAAGTGGGTCATGTTGTAAACTGGCCATGATCTAGCAACTTGTTTTTTCTTACCAATTTTTCTGTTACTGATCTTCAATTTGAAATCTTGCTTTTACCCCAAATGACTTACTCTAGTATTATTCCACATCTCATTATCCAGCTATCTTTGGATATAAAAATATCACTCCACAAAATACAGTTTCTGCCATTCTATACCCATTTGTGAATCTTTCTGTTCTTCAGGTTTTGGTTCAAATCAATGCCAAGATACTATTCTAAAAATATGACTAATTCCATTTCCTCTTCATTCTTAATTTGATCTTAGTTTGCTTTCCAAGTATGATAGTCTTTTATTCCCTATTAGATTTCAAGGGCCTTAGAATACCAGCTATGCTTGATGTTTATATGAGCTTTCCCTATATTAGCTAGTATAATGTTTTGTACATAGTAGATAATAAATACTAGCTACCTTATTGAATAAAATGATATGGTTAAAAACACTATATTTTACAAATTATAAATAAAACTAAATTATTTTCCAAATGCATTAGTAAAACACATTGAGATCACAGTTAAATTGTCAAGGAAATGGATAGTTTTATATAACAATGAGATTATTTCTATTATATTGAATATAACAATATATCCAATAAGAAGGATATGATAGAAATAAATGTACTTGATGTGAGTAGCTGAAAATATTTGTAAGTGGAAGATTTATGTGGATACAGAAAAAACATATTTAGAAGACTGCAATGACTATTTGATTTAAGGTCCATCATCAAGCAAAATACAGAAGTGGTTGAGTTTGAGAAATGTTTCCAAAATGCCAATCGACTTGATTGATTTAAGGGTCTCTGGACACCTAGCTCCTAAGACGTTAAGAAGTGAGTTGAAGAAGAGATTTCTGATTCTACCAGGAAAAAAAAATGGTGTCATGTAAAGGAATAAGTCCAGATGACCCTAATTAGGTCAACCTGATTTCTATGATACATCCATTTCATTTCCAGATGTTTCCATTCCCAGCAGAGCTGCTTCTGGCAAATCAACTGTGAAGCTACTGATGTTATTTATTTAGTTAGTTATTTATGCATCTATTCATTTATTTCACTTTTAGCTGAATAATGAGTTTTAACAATAACTTTTGGCAAGCTGTGTAAAAATGCTGCAGCATATATATTTGCAAATGTATATCACTAGATGCAATTGTAGGACTAATGTTGGAATTGAGCAAGAAGCTGTGCATTTCATTGTGCCAGCTAAAGCTAAGATGACAGGCTTTATTTCAATTTAAATAAAACCTGAAGGTAGAGCTGTGGAAAGCTGGCTCAAACTGTCTGGCATTCTGCCCAGAAGAGAGTCTTTGATAGTGTTCCTTAGACTATATTAGCTTCACCAGTTTTTCCTAGTTAACATTAAAAATTTAGTTCTCCAAACAGTATAATTCATCAGGATTTTGCAATTGTTTCATCTGCCTCCCTCTTTCCCACATTTTATAAAGCAGTTCATTCAAATCAAGAATCTTGAATTCACAAAGTGAATAATCTACATTTTGCTGACAGTTTTCCTTTCTGAATTTAATATGATATTGTCATTCAAAACTTGGAAGTGCCATTTAATTATGTGCTACTGCAGAAAACTGAGCTCTGGGTACTGCATATTCCTAAGGCCTAAAGGGGACTTTAAAAAAATATATTTCTTAACTTTATTTTTATGTAAGTGTTTAGGGGCTGGGGGTTACCATTCAAAGTGAAAGGTGGATTAAGAAGCATTTGTAGGTTGTGATCTGCTTATGAGAAAAACAGTCTGCCTTACATCTGCGTTATAGAAAGAAAGTACTCTCTCCACAAACGTGCCAAGAACATGAAGGAAAAAATTCATAACCCCAAATGGACTAGCTTTTCATTTCTTATTTCTTTGGGCTCTTGGTTTCTCACGCCTTGATGTATGAGCAAAGCAATTTTCCCATGCCCCAGAGTCACAACTCTGCAGTTACCGTGAATCTTCATATTCACATTCTACCACCATCTCACCCTACAATGTCATTACTGAAGGTCATTAGCAGATATTAACATGTTCCAAAAATTAAGTCATCGAATTAATTTATTTGTGGACATCTTTTGATAATCTCATGAGATCTTGTGAATTTATTGAACAGATAGATCCCTCAGAGTCATTTAAAACCAGATCAAGGTCTCAGTTGTCTGCTCAATTCCCTTGGTCAGACAACTCTGTTGCCCCCTCTTGTCAGTGTTTTGGAGAAAAGAACCAGTAGACATTAACAAATATGTTATATTCAGCATGTATAGGAGGTTTCTTCCAATATTGAAAAAAACACCTTTCAGCTGAAAAATTCAAATTATCTCTTGATTTCTCACATATTATCTGATAATTTTTATTTCTACTCTGGAACTTAGCTTATGTTACACTTACTTTATGGGGTAAGTTTTTAATAAACAACACTCAATTATTACTTATTCTAGAGGTGATTTCCTCTTAGACATTGCTTTGTCTCCTCTCATCTTTCAACTTACCTGGCTTCTTTGCCATTGTTTAAAGCTTCATGCAGCAAAGATTTAGTGATCACTTACTATGTGCAGGGTCTCATATTTAGATGCTGTGATGGGTGCACTTTTAGTTACTATGCTTTTTCTTTTCCAAGTAAAATAGTAGAAATGTAAGAGACACCAAGATTTTCATGGATTGCTGTATAGTTTTGTTTTATTTATTCTTTTTCTGGCAGTGAGAGACCCCTCAGCTCTCTCTTAATCTGAATGGCCAAGGCTATAATTACTCTTTCCAACAAATAAGTATGTCTTTCAGAAAGAAAAGTAATATAAATTTTAAGTTAAATATAGAAATTTCTTACTAGGTTATAAATATCGTTAACAGATACAACATAGACTCTTATAGACGATTTTTACGTCAACAAATAAGGACTTGAATTCAGAGTTTAATAATTAAATAAAACCAAATGTTGTCAGCTAAATTAAAATAATGAGAGATACTGAGATTCTGATGGAATACACTTTTGCCGTCTTTTTAATAAGCCTCAGAAGATTACTTACCGTAGTTTCTAAATGGTGAATAACATAGTTTGGTCCCTTCAAAAACATTACCAGAGAGAAAGATTTTAGTGCAAGTACTTCATTTGGAAGCATGGTGACGGAATAAGAAAGCGAGACAGAAAGGGAAGAAAGTCAATGGAAGATGTATTGATGAATGGGTTATTGCTGTGGACACCAGAAGCAGATCCCACAAGCAAGAATCTAGCTCAGATATGAGATGGGCTCATTCACGGAGACACCGAGGCACTATTTATCCAGCAACGTCTGTTGCTCATTGGTAGATATTTGCTTCTGGTTGTATGTGTGGGAATATTAGCTCCCTAAAAAACTCCAGTCCAGCCAGGCATGGTGGCTCACACCTGTAATCCCCGCACATTGGGAGGCCAAGGAAGGCAGACCACTTGAGGACAGGAGCTTGAGATCAGCCCGGCCAACATGGTAAAACTCTATCTCTACTAAAAATACAAAAATTAGCTGGGCATAAAGTATGCCTGTAATCCCAGCTACTCAGGAGGCTGAGGCAGAATAATCGCTTGAACCCTGGAGGCAGGGGTTGCAGTGAGCCAAGATCGAGCCACTGCACTCCTGCCTGGGAGACAAAGTGAGACTCTGTCTCAAAAACAAACAAATAAACAAGCAAACAAACAAAACCTCCAGTCTTACCCAGAGCATGGGTCAGAGATATACCTGCAGCTTGAGAAAGTCCTTAAGTAAAAAGAAGCAGATTTATGAGGAAAGAACATACTGCTGGGTACAGGAATTATCCAGTGAAATTGTACAGTGGGAAGAAGCAAATTGGCAAAACACCAATAGTATCTGCCATAGTAATATTGGTGAGAAGAGCATTTACATTTTATCAATATTTTTATCTACTTTAGAAATTTAGAATGTTACAATTACTTTCAATCTTCATGTCTCTAGAGCTTTCAAATGTATACTATATAAAACAAAAAACAATATTTTGTGGAAATTTTGAATACAGATAATCTGTTCTTGATGGACTAAATGCATATTTTAAAATATTAAAAAATTCTATATTTTTTCCATTGATATATTAAACTAAGAGTTTTTCCTGAAGTTACTACTTTTGTTTTGACAAGGGAAAGGGTTAGGTGATTTTCATTGGATGCATCAAGTTCTAACTCTTAAAGATTATAATTCATTAAAAACAAATAAATATATTAATAACACAGTCACATTCTGTTCCATATCTGATATGTTGGGATCTGTTCCCCACCCAAATCTCATGTTCAATTGCATTCCCCAAAGTTGAAGATGGGGCCTGATGGGAGGTGATTGGATAATGGGGAGCGGACTTTTCATGAATGGTTAACACCATCTCCTTGGTGCTGTTCTCATGATAGTGAGTGAGTTTTCATAAGATCTGGTTGTTTTAAAGTGTGTTGCACCTCCCCCCTTCTCTCTCTTCCTCCTTCTCCAGCCACTTAAGATAAGTCTGCTTCTTCTTCACCTTCTGCCATGATTGTAAATTTCCAGTGGTTGTCCCAGAAACCAAGCAGGTGGCTAGCATCTTGCTTCCTCTACATCCTGTGGAACCATGAGCCAATTAAACCTCTTTATAAATTACTCCAGTCTCAATTATTTCTTTATAGCAATGTGAGAATGGACTAATAGAGTGTCTAAGTTTAAAAATGCTCTTAAGACCAAGCAAGAGAGAGAGGGACTTCCAGACGGTGGTGTGAGTTGTGCTGCAGACTTTCTCTCTAGTGAAATAGCCATTTACCACTGAAAAGTAATTAAGCAAACAAATAAACGAAAAACTAAAGTCTCTGGAAATTATACTAAAGGCATATAACAAATGGAAAAACATCTATTGATGAAAATCCACTAAATCTCAGTAAGAACAATGAAAGTCTGTGGCATTTAAGCTCAACCTTCTCCATATCTCAAGGTGACAAAAGTTCTACCCAGGTGCAGTAGGCCAAGAATACTAGGTTTTCTGTTCCTGTGTTAATTTGCTTATAAGTGGGAGCTAAATATTGAGTATACACAGACACAAAGATGGGAATAATACAGTGAGAACTGCTAGAGGGAGGGAAGATTGGAAGGGGAGTAAGGGTTGAAAAACTAACATCAGACAATGCTCACTACTTGGTGACAGGATCATTTGTACATCAAAACCAAGAGCCACACAATTTACTCATGTAACAAACCTGCACATGTACCCCCTCTTAACCTAAAAAATAATACTGAGTTTCTGGCCCAGAACAATTCTAGGACAGAAGTTTCATGTCAGGAGGGGTAAGCTGAGAAGATCAGAGGCTTTTTCTTCTGCTCTGTGCTTTGTTTATAGAACAGGGATGAAAATTTGAGAAGCAGATGGTGTCCCAATCCCAGCTGCAGTGCAGTGGCACAAAAGTACTGACTAGGGGGAGGCCAGGCCTTAAGAACAACGCTCTTGATTGTTCAGCTTAAGGGCACTGAACTTATTTGGTACAGAGTGTGATTAAGTTTATTCCTAAGGGTGTTGTTGGAAACAATGGAGATATTGGTGAGAAATTAAGAGGAGTAATCTCATTTAACAACTTGAGATTTATGGTAATGAAATATTAGAATAGCTAGAAGTTTAACAGGGAAAGAGGTACTCAAAATAGCTCTTGAGTATAAGAGCAGCCTCAAAGACTGGCAACACTCTGTCCTTGCAAAGGGGCACTATTTTGAGGGATCAGAATGTGGAACAATTTAGGCTCCAGGGCATTTATGTGAAAACAATATAGCAATATAGCAATCAGTTAGAAACTGGTAGAAGCTGACAGTTGGCTGTGATACCAATAGAGTCAGGCCAAAGCAGGTGTTCAGGAAGAGTGTATATATATATATATATATGCCCAAGGCTTTGTAATCTATGGAATGACATAGAGGCTGTACAAGGCAGGAAGAAGAAAGAGAGCGTCAGTATTCAGGTTGCTACACTGCATTTATCTAAATGTTGGGTTTCAACACAAATTCATGAGAAATGCAAAGAAACAAGAATGTGTGACCTGTGCAAAGAAGAAAAAGCAGGCAAAAAAAACTGCCTGTGAAGTAGTTCAAATAGTGGATTTAGTAAACAGAAACTTAAAAAGCAGATACTATAAATATGTTCAAAGAACTAAAGAAGTCTAAAGGTTTAAAGGAAGGTGTAATAACAATGTCTCTATTAAGTGGATAGTAACAATCAAGATATAGAAATTATTTTTTAAAAAAGAGTCAAATGGATATTATGGAGGTGAAGAGTACAATAACTAAAATAATAAATGCACTAGAGAGCCTCACCAGTAGATTTGAGCTGCCAGAGGAAAAATATCAGTGAACGTGAAGACAGATCAATAGTGATTATGCAATCTAAAGAGCAGAGAGAAAAAAATGAAGACATCACTTGTTGCTTGTTTGGTTGATTAATGATATGTTTAGGCTTTGTGTCCCCACCCAAATCTCATCTTGAATTGTAATCCTCATAATCCCCATGTGTCTAGGGAGATATTTAGAGGGAGGTGATTGGATCATGGGGGGTGGTTTCCACTATGCTGTTCTCATGATAGTGAGTGAGTTTTTATGAGATCTGATGGCTTTATAAGCATCTGGTATTACCCCTGCTTGCACCTCTCTTGCCTGAACCCTGTAAGATGTGTCATTGCTTCTCCTTTGCCTTCCACCATGATTATAAGTTTCCTGAGGCCTCCCCAGCAATGTGGAACAGTGAGTTGATTCAGCCTCTTTCCTTTATATTACCCCTCTTTACCTTTATAAATGATAGCAGTATGAAAATGATCTAATACAGTTAAAAATGAATTTAAGAAATGAAGTCAAATAAACAGAGACTCAGAGAAGTGTGACACATCATTAAGTGCACCCATGTATATGTAATAAGAAGAACAAAAAATGGAGAGAAAAGCAGAAAAAGTATTTAACAAAATAGTCTAAAAACTTTCCAAATCTGCTGAAAAATATTAATCTATACATCCAAGAACTCAACAAACTCAAAATAAGATAAAAGTAGGGAGTCCCAAACCCAGATACATCATAGCCAAAAGGTTGAAAGCCAATGACAAAGAGAAAATCTTGATATCTGCAAAAGAAAATAACTCATCATATATAAGAAAATTCTCAATAAAATTAATAGTTGATCTTTTCTCAGAGACATGAGATACCAGCAAAGAGTGGGATAATATATTTAAAGAGAGAGCCAGAGTGAGAGAATAATAACTGTCAACCAAGAATATTATAGTAGCAAACCTGTCTTTCCAAAATGAAGGCAAAATAAGACATTCTCAGATAAACAAAAACATAAAATTCATTGCTAGCATACTGCCTTAAAAGAAATATTAAATGAAGTTTCTCAGGCTCAAATCCAGTAAGTCCACACAATATTTCAAATCCACACTAAAAAATAGCCCCAATTACTCTAATTATGTAGATAATGGTAAAAACACTTGAATACAAGTATATTAGTAATAACATTAAATGTGAATAGATTAAAAAGTCCAATCCACAGGTAGAAATTGTCAGATGACAAAAAAGTCAAAATCAAACTATATCCTGTCAATAGGAGACACAAAACAAACACATGTTGTCTTATTTTTATATTTATTTTTTACTATTTAGACCAGGTTTTACTCTGTCACCCAGGTTGGAGTGTAGTGGCACAATCTCAGCTCACTGCATCCTCTACTTACTGGGTTCAGTGTTTCTCCAGCCTCAGCCTCCTGAGTAGCTGGGACTATAGGTGACAAGAGCGAAACTCTGTCTCAAAAATAAATAAATAAATAAAATAAAATTAACAAAAACTGATTACAAACCAAAAAAATTCACTAGAGACAAAGATGGACATTTTAAAAGGATAAAAGGGTTTATGTCCCAACAACAACAGAATACACGTTACTCTCTGGTACACATAAAATATTTACTCAGAGTAGATCACATGCTAACAAATAAATCAAGCTCAATAAATTTAACAGGATTGAAATCATGTAAAATATATTCTCTGACTCAATGAAATTAAGTTAGAAATTGATAACAAAATAAAATTTGAGAAATGTATAAATATGTAAAAATTAAACAACATAGTCCTAAATCACCAATGGGTGAAAAATGATTACAGGAAAAATTAGAAAATATTTGAGATAAGTGAAAACTAAAGCTTAACATATCAAAATGTATGGTATTCAGCTAAAGCAGCACTTATGAGAAAACTTACAACTATAAATGCTTATATTACTAGAGAAAAATGATCTCAAATAAACAATCTAACCTTTCTTTCTAAGAAACTTGAAGAGAAAATAACCACAAAGCAATCAGAAGGAAGAAAATAAGAGATTATTGTAAGAAATTAAATGCAATGGAGAAAAGAAAAAGAGAAAGTCAACAAACTAAAGCTGGTTCTTTAAAAATTGAACGTGCAAAAATACCACAAAAACTAAGATTGATGAGAGGGAGAACTAAAATTATTAAAATTAGGAATAAAATGGGGAACTAACTACTGACTACAATCATTTTTAAAAGGACTATAAGGAAATACTATGAAAAAATTTTGTGCTAATAAACTAGTTTGTGGAATATGTATGTATAGAGAGTATATATACACACACACACATATATGTATATATGCACACACACACACACACACACACATATACATATATACATGACTCTGCCCCTTATTCCTGACACAGAGCTCCTAAAATCCTTGTGTATAGATATGCGCAAGGAGAAATTTTTGTTTTAATACTCTGTCTTCTACTTCAGTTCCTAATACAGAATTCCTGAGACCTTTGTAATTTCCTAGGTGACAGAAGAGTCTTTTGTTCTAATGAGGCCACTCTTGCTGGGCTCCTGGATGAGGGCTGGTCACCAGAAAGACCAAACCATGATTATAAGCTTGGAACTTTCAGCCCCAAATCACATTCTCTTGAAAGGAAAGAGAGGCTGGAGATTGAGTTAATAATTGATCATGCCTATGTGATGAAGCCTACATAAAAATCTCTGAAGTACAGAGTTTAGAGAGCTTTTTGGACTGATGAACACATGTATGTGCCAGGAGGGTGGCACACCTGAAATCCACAGGGACAGAAGCTCTGGTAGTCAGAACCCTTCTAAACCTCACCCTATGTGTCTCTTCATCTGGCTGTTCTTCTATATCATTTATCATATCCTTCATTAATATAATGAACTAGTATACATAAGTAAATGTTTCTCTGAGTTTTGTAAGCCATCCTAGCAAATTAATTGAACCTGAGGAGGGGGTTGTGGGAACCTGATTTACGTTGGTTGGTCAGAAATATAAGTGACAGCCTGCTACTTTTGATTTGCACTTAAAATAGGGGGCAGTATTGTAGGACTGAGCCCTTATCCCATGAGGTCTGCCTGTAATTCCAGGTAGCTAGTGTCAGAATTAAATTGAATTATAGGACACCCAGTTGGGATTTGCTGGAGAATTACTTGATGTTGGGGAAAACTTACACATGTTTTATTCATAGAAATGTTCTGTGTTGAGTGATGGGCATGAGGAAACAGTTTATTTTTTCCTATCTCTTACAAAGATAAAATAGACAAAAATGGATAAATTCTGAGAAAGACACAGACTACTAAAACTGATTCAAGCAGAAAAAAGACATATATATATACGAGTTAATGGGTGCAGCACACCAACATGGCACATGTATACATATGTAACAAATCTGCATGTTGTGCACATGTACCCTAGAACTTAAAATATAGTAAAAAAAGTAAAAATAAAAATAAATAAAAAAGAACAAATAATCTTAACAAGCAAAGAGATTGAATTAATACTTAAAAAATACAAAAAACTCGACATTGAGTGGGAGTTTATAGAAAAGCAATGGGTGGGTAAGAAGGTGATATTAGAGTCAGAGTCATACGTATAAACTCATGTTTAGTTTAATATAGATACAGATGATTACACATAGAAATATTTATAGATACATGTATATATATGCATTAGTATGCACTCACTTATTTCCTTGCTCCATCAGTTAAGAAGGCTTGGAAGCAATGACATGTTGGAAGCAATAAACACATCTAGGGCCCAAATTTTGGTTTCTAATATTATTCTCCAATAAGAGAAACCAGGGTTTATTGTAGAAATGACTAATTCTAGGGCTGGGACAGAAAATATTTAAAATGAGCCTGGAGCATCTCATAATACCAGAATGTAAGAAAGTGTTAAAATGTTAATTATGATAACAATTAATAACAATGATAATAATATTAATACAACCCACAATGTTGATAGTATGTCAAAACACAAGTGCCAAATGAAAGAGCTTCCAGTGGCCAAAAGGTAGAACAATTTGAGCAAGAAAATAAATAACTCTGTATTGGATTACAATCCAAGTATTAAATAAATATCCATAAGTCTATCTTGAAATAAACAAACAAAACAAACAATTGAATAAATAGAGAAAAAGATAAATGTTTCATACTGAAGAATTCCAAATAATTTGTATACATACTACATTATCAAGGTGGTGGAGTTAAGTCTGGATTACACATAGAGCCTTTTTTTCCAAAGAGTATGGAATATAGAAATAAAAGAGCAATCTTACAGTAGAGAAACCTGACAAACATTACTTCAATCTGTTAATCAAGGTTAATATCAATAGTGATTTCATGTTGACAGTATAGGCCCTTGAAACAATGTGGTTAAATAATGTGGTTAAAATGATACTTAAACTTTCCCGTCAAAACATGCCTAACCCCAGTTTCAGCATGAGAGAAACATCAGAAAAATCCCAAATTGAGAGGCATTATACAAAATGCCTGACCAGAATTCCTCAAAACTGTCAAGGTTATTGTAAGAAAGTCTAAGAAATATTCCACGAAACTCACAAAGTAAAGCCTAGACCTAGATGCCTTCACCATTGAATCCTACCAACCTTTTAAATAAGAATTAATACCAGTTTTTCACAAAATTTTCAAAAAATAAAAGAGGAGAGAATATAAGTAATTCTATGAGGCCAGTATTACCATGACATCAAAACCAAACAAAGACATAACAAGGAAAGAAAATTACAGAGCAATATTTCTTATGAAAACTGACACAAAAATCCTCAAAAAAAATAATAAAACTAGCAAGCTGAATGTAGAAATTGGAGAAAGGATTGTACTGTATGAGCAAGTGAGATTATCACAGGGCCATCAGTTGTTTTAACATTGAAAATCAATCAGTATAATATACCATATTAACAGAATAAAGAATAAATATCACACAATTATCTCAATAGATAAAAAATTTCACAAAATTTAGTAAGCTATCGTGATGAAAACATTAAACAAACAAAAATACAAGGGAACTGTCTCAACCTGATAAACATCTATTAAAAAATCACAACTAACATCATGTTAATGATGAAAAATAGTATACAGATCAAGTTAAAATTTCCCCTTCACCTTCTGATTTTCAATTTTAAAAATCAGCTGATAAAAGGCAGATTAGTAGAGAAATGGTATACAAATTTATCAACATGCATGTGGAAGTACCAGAGAATGATTACCTCAACAATGGAGTACTAAGCTTGTATACCATTTTGAGGTTGCAGAAAGAATGGGTGCTTGGATAATGACAAAACAGGTTATTGTAGAGGGAGAAGAGAAGGCTTTGCTAGCAAAGGTGGCCTTGTTATGCAGATAAAACCTCACAGTAGCAGCCAACAGAGAGAATAAATGGTGAATATTTCTTTCAGACCTTCAAAGGTGTCAGCTTGTGAGTTAATTTTTCCTAGATCAGCTCTTAGAAAAAGTCTAGCTGCATCAATGGCAGATATTCTCTGCAGTTAAAAATCCTCCCACAAAAGACACATTTTAGCTATTCTTGTATTTTCAGTCCTTCTAGATAGCCAACTTGAATTATGTCATGAAATTGTAATTCGGGGTGAAATATTTTTGTTTCCTTCAGTTGCTTACTTTCCCTCTAAGATCAGCAACAAGGCAAGTATGTTTGCTTCTGCCTCTTCTGTTTAACACTTTATTGGAGATTCTAATCTTGACAAATAGGCAAAAAAAGAAATAAAAGGCATCCATATTTGAAATAAAGAAGTAAAACTTTATTTGCCAATGATATTATGGTCTTGTATATAAAGAATCCACTAGAAAACCATTAGAAATGATAAAATTTGGGCCAGGCCCTGTGGCTCACACCTGTAATCCCAGGACTTTGGGAGGCGGAGGTGGATGGATCATGAGGTCAAGAGATCGAGACCACCCTGGCCAACATGGTGAAACCCAGTCTCTACTAAAAATTCAAAAATTAGCTGGGCATGGTGGCATGCGCCTGTAGTCCCACCTACTCAGGAGGCTGAGGCAGGAGAATCTCTTGTACCTGGGAGGCAGAGGGTTGCAATGAGCTGAGATGGGGCCACTGTGCTCCAGCCTGGCGACACAGCGAGACTCCGTCTCCAAAAAAAAAAAAAAAAAAGAAAGAAAGAAGATAAAATTTGGCAGAGTTGTAGATACAAATATCCATACATTAACAGTGAACAATCTGAAAATAATATTAAGAAAATTTTATTTAGAATCATATAAAAGAATAAAATATTTAGGAATAAAGGACTAACTTTTTATTTCACTTATCTTTTGTAATTTTTATTTTCAATTTCATTTCCTTCTTCCCTGATCTTGCATATTTCTTTTCTTCTGTTGAGTTTGGGTTTGGTTTGTTCTTGTTTCTCTAGTTCCTTGAGGTGTGACCTTAGATTGTCTATTTGCGCTCTTTCAGACTTTTTGATGTAGGCATTTAATGCTATGAAATTTCCTCTTAGCATCTCCTTTAGTGTATCCTAGAGGTTTTGAAAGGTTGTGTCAATATTGTCATTTAGTTCAAAGAATTTTTTAATTTCCATATTGATGTCATTGTTGACCCAATCATCATTCAGGAGCAGTTTATTTAATTTCCATCTATTTGCATAGTTTTGAAGGTTCCTTTTGGAGTTGACTTCCAGTTTTATTTCACTGTGGTCTGAGAGAGTACTTGCTATAGTGTCGATTTCCTTAAATTCATTGAGACTTGTTTTGTGGCCTATCATATGGTCTATCTTGGAGAAAGTTCCATGCGCTGATGAATAGATGTATTTTCTGTGCTTGTTGGGTAGAATGTTCTGTAAATATCTGTTAAGTCTGTTTGTTCCAGGGTATAGTTTAAATTCATTGTTTCTTTGTTAACTTTTTGTCTTGGTGACCTGTCTAGTGCTGTCAGTGGAGTATTGGAGTCCCCCACTATTGTTGTGTTGCTGTCTATGTCATTTCTTAGGTCTAGTAGTAATTACTGTATAAATTTGGGAACTCCAGTGTTAGGTGCATATATATTTAGGATTGTGATATTTTCCTGTTGGACAAGGCCTTTTATCATTATATAATGTCCCTTTTTGTCTTTTCTAACTGCTGTTGCTTTGAAGTTTGTTTTGTCTAATAAAAGAACAGCTGCTCCTGCTTGCTTCTGGTGTCCATTCACATAGAATGACTTTTTCACCCCTCTATCTTAAGTTTACTTGAGTCCTTAAAGACATAAGAATGACACAATGGACTTCGGGGACACAGGGGAAAAAGGCAGGAAGGGGATGAAGGTTAAAAGACTACAAATTGGGTTCAGTGTATACTGTTCAGGTGATGAGTGCACCAAAATCTCACAGATCACCACTAAGGAACTTACTCATGTAACCAAATGCCACCTATTCCCCAAAAACCTATGGAAATAAAAAAAATTAAAAATTAAAGATGATATAAATAAATGGAGAGGCTTCCCATCTTCATAAATTAAAAGGCTTAATATTGCTTAAATAAAATATTATCCAAGTTGACATATAAATTCAACTAAATCTCTTTCAACATCCCAGTTGGCTTTTTGTTTTTCAGGAATTGCCAAGCTGATCCAAAAATTTGTATGAGAATTCAAGGGACACAGAAGAGCCAAACAATCTTGAAAAAGAACAAAGACAGAGAATTGTCACTTCTCAATTTAGAAACGTGAGAAAAATCTACAGTAATCAAGACACTGTAATACTGTGGTACTGGCACAAGTATAGACAGCTAACAATGGAGTAGAATGTTAAAGTCAGGAAATAAATCTTTACATTTATAGTTAATTGATTTTGAACAATGGTACCAAGAAAATAAAATGGGGCATAATAATTTTCAACAAACAATGCTGGGACAACTGGATACCCAAAAGAAAAAAGAAAGCAAGAGAGAGCGAGACTTAGCCATTTCTTCATACCATACATCAAAATTATCTTAAAATTAATCAGAGAGCTAAATATAAGAGCAAAAACTCTAAAACATAGGAGTAAATCTTTATAAATTTGAATTAGGTGATAATTTCTTAGATACAGCACCAAAAGTGCAAGCAACAAAAGAAAAAAAAATTCAACAAAAAACAACAAAAGAAAAAAATTTCTTTCAATATTGAAAACTTTATTCTGTAAATGATATCATCAAGAAAGGGAAAAGACAACCCCCTGCAGGAAAGAAAATGTTTACAAATCATATTATCTGATAAGAGACTTTTATCCAGAATGTACAAAGAATCCTCCCAACTCAAAAATATAAAAACACCAAATTTAAAAATGGAAGAAGTATTTGAATAGATATTTTTCCAAACAATGTATACAAATGGCCAATAATACATGAAAAGATTCTCAACATCATTAATCATTAGGGAAATACAAAGCAAAACCACAATGAGATACCAATTCCCACTCACTAGATAAACAGTAGTATGCCTTGGCAAGTAGAGAAATCAGCACCCTCATACATTGCTGGGGATAATGAAAAATAGTACAGAAGGTTTCTAAAATAGGCAGTTTCTCAAAATGTTTAGCATAAAATATGTATGTGGGTATATATACCTAAGAGCAATGAAAACATATATGCACACAAAAACTTGTTTATGAATGTTCACAGAAGCATTATCCCCAGTAACCAAAAGGAGGAAACAACTAAAATGCTTATCAACTGATGAGTAGATAAAGGGTAGTTCCCCTGTGCATAGAACTAAAGTTTAAAACAATTAATATGAGTAGTTTTCTAAATACCCAAACAATTTCACGTAAGAGATGCACCATTTGGAACTAGATCTTTTAGTTAGTAAACTATCCTATACATTTGTAGTAACAAAAATTGCAGCACAATACAGAGAACCATTGATATGGTTTGGCTGTGTCCTCACCCAAATCTCACCTTGAATTGTAATAATCCCCATGTGTCAAGGGAGCGGGCAGGTGGAGACAATTGAATCATGGGGGCAGTTTCTCCCATACTGTTCTTGTGTAGTGAATAAATCTCACAATATATGATCGTTTTATAAATGGAAGTTCCCCTGCACAAGCTGTCTTTTCTGCCGCCACGTAAGATGTGCCTTTGCTTCTCCTTTGCCTTCTATTGTGATTGTAAGGCCTCCCAGCCATGTGGAACTGTGAGTCCATTAAACCTCTTTCCTTTATAAATTACCCCGTCTTGGGTATATTTTATTAGCAGGGTGAGAATGGACTAATACAACCATTGAGGAGAACGGAATGCCAGGTCCCCTATTATGTTATAATGGACCCATGGAAATGACTGGTATACCAAAGTGCTGTCACATATTATCACAATCTGCCCTCGATATGCAGAAGAATGGGGGACATCAAAAGCTGCACTCTTTATTGATTTGATAATGCATGTCCAGGGTGTCTTTATCCAGAAGATCCATATGTTAGAGACTTGAGAAAATAACCAAATTAATCATTTATGGATTACTACAGTATAGAGCTGTATTTCTTCACTGAAGATTGTAGGCATGTCTATAATACATCATATGAAGTTAAATATAAAACTCTGGTAAATCTAACATTCTATCATTGTCTTAAAACCATGCTACTTCAGGCAAAGATCACTAATTTGGTCTCCCTCAAACCTGGGCTTAAATTTGACAGGTAAGGTTTTAGGACAGAAAGAAATGGGTACTAGCTGAAACCTGAGGCTGCCTAATACATCTATAATCTGAAGCCAAGTGCCTAAGAAATACATCATGGACAACTAAAGGAAAAACAGAGGTCTAACGTCCCTAGAAAATTTTCCTCTCCACTTTTTGTAAGGACCCTCAGAATATTACCTAACAATAGTATAAATGAGTTGATGAATAAACATTATATGCAAGCCTGGAGTTTCCCCTTTAGAACTTAAAACTTTCAGAGATAGTAGCTTCTACCAAAAAAAAAAAACCTCATTTTTGCTTAAAAAAATTTTTTTTGCCATTTTACTAAGTTATCAAATTTACTTACATAATTTAATCAAGAACTTACATTAAAATTAAAAAGATAAGCTCATGCATGCAAGAACTGATTTTTACAAATTATTTCTAGTTACAGAGTGAAACTTAATTGGTTCTCTGTAATAATTAACATAGCTGGCTTCCTCAAGTAGTCACTTTGCTTCAGTTCACTAAAAAATAACTATGTTTAGAAGAGTCGTTGATTCCAACACAGAAAAAGTCTGAATTATGCTCTACTAGTATCTTCTGACAGCGTATATAAAGCAATACTCCTTAACCGATATGATAGGATAAAACAGAAGCAATTGCATAGTGAACAGGCTTATTCATGTAGGTATTTATTTATACCTGTCTCTTCCCTAAAAGCGACTGTGCCTACCTATAAACAGCATGTGTGGATAGCCAAGGGTGGTGAGGAAGTGTGAGCACTTTAAATCTGGAAAGAAAACAAAGATAAAGGTATAATGGTTAGGGAACATGGCTGTTGAGCAAAGATTTCACTAAAATCTTATTCAAATATTATCTACACCAGGAGTTAAATACAGTCATGAGCTGCATAGCAACGTTTTGGTTAATGAAGGACTGCATATATACCATGGTGGTCCTATAAGATGATGGTAGAACTAAAAAAATGCTTATGGCCTACAGATGCCCTAGCTGTTGTAATGTTATAAAGCAAAGCATTATTCATGCAAATCTATGATTTAAAAAAGGAAAAAACAATGCAAACTGACCACCCTAAACATATTTCTGAAAAAACACCTCCTGAAGAAAAGACTCTGGCAGATCCTTTAGGAGTATTCTAGCAGGCATTGTTATCATAGGAGATGACAGCTCCATACATGTTATTGCCCCTGAAGACTGCTCAGTGGGACAAGATGTGGAAGTGGAAGGCAATTAAATTGATGATCCTAACCCTGTGTACTCCTAGGTTAATAGGTGTATTTTTGTTTTAGTTTTCAACACAAAAGTTTAAAAAGCAGATAAACATTTTTATATAGCTATAAGCTGTTATAAAAATAGTAGAAAAGTTAAAATAATTTAAAATTTTACAAAGGAAAAGTTACAGTAAGCTAAGTTTAATTTATTATGGAAGAAAAAATATTTAAATGAATTTAGTGCAGCCTAAGTATCCAGTGTTTATAAAATCTTTAATAGTGTACGGTAATGTCCTATGCCTTTATATTCATTCACCACTCACTCACTCACTCACCCAGGGCAACTCTCAGTCCTGCAATCTCCATTCATGATAAGTACCCTACATAGTTTTATCTTTTATACTTAATTTTTACTGTACCATTTTTATGTTTAGATATGTTTAGATACACAAATACTTACTATTGTGTTACAACCACCTACAGTATTCAGTATAGTAACATGCTCTGTAGATTTGTAGCTTAGGAGCAATAAGGTATAACATCTAGCCTAGGTATTTGGTAGGCTATATGATCTAGGTTTGTTTAAGTACACTCTGTGATGTTCACACAACACCAAAATCACCTAAGACACATTTCTCAGAACATATCCCAGTCATTAAGCAAAGCATGACTATAATCATCAAGGATCCAGTAAACCAATCAGGTGGCAGTGAAAGCTTTCAGCAACACTTTGGCAATCCTGGAAATCATTTTTCCATTGGGTTTGGTAAAGATGGGTCCTGTTAGCACTTATTCTTTGGATCTATAACTGAAAGTGTGCTGCTGGAAAGAAATTTCATTTGGCTGTGTTGCTTTACATATAATGTAGTGACAGGGCTTTTCTTTCTAAAAGTGTAATCTCTTGACCTTCAATTTGGAAAATTTGCATTAACTTCCAACTATGCTACAAAGTGCTTGAATAACATTGAAAAACTTTCTGATGTTTCAATGCTTTGGTTTACTCTCATAAAAATGGTGACAATATCTGTTCTATCCATACCACAATATTATAGTGTCAATTCAAAAAAAATGTAACTATACAAACTACTGGTGTAGACAATGAGAAAAAATTATATTTATAAAAATTTAGTTTCTCTAAATTGATTTCATGCGAACCCTCAAAGCAACTACAGGAACTTTAAAGGCAAGACTCTGATAGGTTAGAATACTTGTACATTTTATGGTCAAAGAGCAGAAGAGATAAAAGGTAACTTTTTGCCCAGTCAATTAATGACAAATTGAAATTTGCACCAGTAAATATGATGGGTCTTGTAAGCATATTATCTCATTTAATTACCTCAACAATTCTGAGAGACTTTAATATCTCCATGTATAGGTAATAATAATAACTCGCATGCCCTGAGTATGTATGATCAGGCATCCTTCTAAGCACAGGAGATATACAGGTATTTACTGTTTTCATTACCACAACAACGCTGTGAGATACACACTAGAATCCCTATTTGCAGATGAGGAACCTAAAGTAAAGAAAGACTAACCTGGCAGCCGGGGGCGGTGGCTCACGCCTGTAATCCTAGCACTTTAGGAGGCCGAGGCGGGAGGATCACGAGGTCAGGAGATCGAGACCATCCTGGCTAACACGGTGAAACCCCGTCTCTACTAAAAATACAAAAAATTATCCGGGCGTGGTGGCGGGTGCCTGTAGTTCCAGCTACTCGGAAGGCTGAGGCCAGAGAATGGCATGAACCCGGGAGGCGGAGCTTGCAGTGAGCCGAGACCGCGCCACTGCACTCCAGCCTGGGCGACAGAGTGAGACTCCGTCTCAAGAAAAAAAAAAAAAAAAGAAAAAAAAGAAAGACTAACCTGACTAAAGTCACCCATTTAATAAATATTAGATTTATTAATTAATCTATTAGTAATTATAATATATTAATTTGTTATTCTCTCACTACCAGGGCACATAAAGTCTTAAGTACTATAAGGCCTCTCCAAAGATGAAGCTAAGACTCCAGCTGCAGTACCTCAAATAGGCTCTTTAGCTTGTCATTTATGAAGGTTTGTCGTCTTTACTTTGAACCATTTTGCTTTTCTTGAAAACTGTGTGTGTGGTGTGTGTAATGTTATTAAAAAGAGAATTAATGGAGAGGTGAAATGGTTACATAGATATGATCATAATGAAAATGAAATATAGTATTCACATTTGCAGAAAGCAAACATTCTGACTTTCTCAAATCTTGTAATAGAGAATATTTTTAATGCAATAATAAGAAATATTGCAAAATATTTAAAACTCTCGATTTTCCAAAAAAAAAGTAGTATTTTATGTTTAGTTTATGCCTCTTGACAACTATTTTTTTTTTTTTTTCTTGAGACCAAGCCTCGCTCTGTCACCTAGGCTGGAGTGCAGTGGCGTGATCTCGGCTCACTGCAAGCTCCGCCTCCCGGGTTCACGCCATTCTCCTCCCTCAGCCTCCCGAGTAGCTGGGACTACAGGCGCCCGCCACCACGCCTGGCTGATTTTTTGTATTTTTTAGTAGAGATGGGGTTTCACCGTATTAGCCAGGATGATCTCGATCTCCTGACCTCGTGATTCACCCGCCTCGGTCTCCCAAAGTGCTGGGATTACAGGCATGAGCCACCGCGCCCAGCCTTGACAACTATTTTTATGCCTACATTTTTTTCTGAGAAAACCAGGCCATTCCTCTTGCTTCTAGTTACTGGTTCAGCAACAGTTGCTCTATGCTTACATAGCTGCATTTAATATTTAATTATTTTTCAAAAAGTGTAAATAATATTTAACAAAAATGATAGTCTCATCAAATTTCAACATTCTTATATTAAAGTGGTTTCTTTAAATGTTCAACAAGTACCTGATCCAAAATGCATTCAAATATGATAATATGATGATATTCATTTTAAACTAAATAAATATAGCTGCTCTCCTTGGAAGCAATTTTAGTATATCACTTGAAGAATGTTCCACTTAAAATTCGGTTTTACCAAGTTGGTTGATTTAATCTTGCTTTATATTCAGATAAACTAGCAGTTATTTACTGCCTGTATGCTAGCTCTTCCACAAGTAAATACAATTCACTTTTCTTTCTTTCTTTTCTTTTCTTTTTTTTTTTTAACTTTCCTCTGCTTGCTTAGCCCATGGTTACTGAAAAGTCAGGGGAAAAAAGGCACATCTAAAGATAATATGGATTGGATTAAATTTGTAAACAATTTGATAAAGTGATGAACAAAAAAGTCTACTGCAATGGTGTTTGTTCTCTGCTTACAGGTGCTATACCCTGTACACGAAGTCTGACTCTGCTCATGCCACCTTCCTCCAGCAGAATAGGTGGCTGTTTTACTCACAAGGGTGCCATTAACTTGCAAAATAAAGGCAATGAGAAAGGCAGTATTTTTTTTTACAGAAAGATAGAGGGGGTAGTAGGGCACACTCAACGATTTAGGTTAAAGTGGCAGAATAACTCAGTAATCCCAGGCAAAACTTTGGAGGAAATCCTCATTGTCATGGGGGTTTCTTTCACTAGACCCTACAATCTGTATATACAAAACTTACTGTGGAACCTGGAAAATAAATGAATATGTTTTCTGGATCATTTTCTAGAAATAGAAGAGAAAAATATATTAGCTGTTTCTATTCCAAGGACTCAGTGTGAATGAAGGCAGGAAATGTAACTGAAGCTCACAAGACTCCTTCTCTCATTTTTAAATAGGCACCATACTTCTTTATTCACCTTCATCAAGTCCTCCTCCTGCTCCCTTTATGATAAATGCTACTGAAAGAGGTGAAAAAAAGCAGGCTGACATTAATCTTGTTATTTCTGGTTTGGGGGAGGCATAGACACAAGCAGAATAGATGATGTTATGAAAGGCCTCTGTCTGTAAAGCCAAACCAAGGTGACTTCTATCCTGGAAAGAAATTACAACCAGAATCTTGGCTTCTCTATAGAAGAATCCATGATTCTAGAAGGCAAAATGATTCTCCCAATTCAGTGATGCATGAAGGTTGAGGGCTTATCAATATTCACACTAGACCTGACATCTGAATTACAAAGTGGACTGGCATGACTATAGCATCCAGGAGCTGCAAAAGATAGTGAACCCAAGATGGAAAAGTGGTTCTGAGTCTAGAATTTCTGTGTAAGATAGTAGTGACTCTAAAGTAACAGAGTCTCTAAGTAGCCAGGCTACTAACAGCAATGTAGAGTGCATCACAGGTAAGTTATTGTCCACCTTCTTGGTCAGATCAACCTACACTTATAGTTCAAAACTCTTATCTAGATGCTGTAGTGAATGGAATAGTACCTGCTAAAAATCTATGTCCATTGGGAACCTCAGAATGTAACCATATTTGGAATTAGTTAAAATGAGGTCATACTGGATTAGGGATGTGAGCTAAATCCAATGATAGGTGTCATTATATAAACAAGAAAGGACATGTAGAGATACATATAAGGAAGAAGGCCCAATGGAGATAGAGGCAGATATTGGAGTGATGCAGCTACAAGCCAAGAAATGCCAAGGATTGCTGGGAGGCAATCAAAGCTCAGAAGAGGCAATCCCTAGATTGTTCAGAGGTAGCATGGCCCTGTATACACCTTGATTATGGACTTCTGGCTTTCTGAGCTGAGATCATAATTTCTATTGTTTTAAGTCACCTAGTTTATGGCAATTTGCTGCAGCAGTCCTAGGAAAAAAATATGGATATCATGTCCTGTTTTCAGAAAAGTCTTCTCTGACCATGCTCTGCACTTCATCTCAGTACTCCATCTGGCCAAGAAGTTTCTTCTATGTTATCTCATGTTCTTTTCTCTATTACATTTTAATTCAATTCTCAATTTATTTGCCTTTCTTTCTATAAAACCGTAAGATATTTGAGAACAAGGATCTTGTCTTATTTATCCTTCTCTCCTCAGAAATTAGATTGGAGACAGAAAGTCTAAATAAGTACTTACAGAATGAATGGATGACTTTTTATTATAATTGAATCATTTACCATTATTTTGAGTGCTTTCTACATATATTTACTGAGATTCATATTATCTGATTTAACTAATAATAAATATCATAATCTTCTGTTTACACCCACAGTAATTTATTGTGCTAGGTGCTGAGAATACCATAATTTAAACAGACATGACCCCTGCCTTAAAAATATGCAAACTAGTAGGATGAATTTTTTAAAAAAGAGACATCCCTTAGAATTCGGATTAGGTCAGATGAATTCCAAAACTTTTGCCTTCAACCACTTGGATATAATGTCTTTCCACAAGAGAAAGAGGGTGATTCTTTCTATGTAATTTTTATTTGTGTTTGGAAAGAGAATGCCAGTATTGACTGGTGTGTACTAATAGTGGTTTTTATGAATTTCAAGTCTACTAAAGCTTACCCACATATGGTGGCCCTCAAACTATGGCAAGCATGATAATCACCAGTGATTCTTTAGATATATCCCAAAAAGGTCTGTATTGAAATCCAAAGATGTATCTTTTAACAGCCTTCCCTGGTGATTTTAATTTCAGCTATGCCTTTGAGAAACACTGCTCCTGGAATTCTGTAAAACACTCACAGAGAAACATATGTTGTTTGTTCCAACTTATGTATCTTTGTTCATACCATGGCCACACTGTAAAATGTGCTACCAATTTTTCCTCTACCACACTGAAAAAAGTTTCTCAAATTAATGTTTAAGTCTCACAAACTTTCTTAACCATTTAATATCACACTAATTATTTCTATCACTAATTATTTCTATCATAAGTACATAGCACTTATGATGCAATTGCCATTTTATTCTATTTTACTATTTTTGCCTATATTCAAATTATCAAGTACCTGCGATATACACGGTTGACATTAAATACCTTATTTTAAATAAATGTGTATTTAAATTAATATGACAGGGACATAAGTAAGTTTAGCAAGCTAATTTATTTATAATTATCTAGGAATATATTATTTTGTATCTACTCAGAGATACTGGTTTATAGAAACTTTTAACAAAACATATAGAAATTATAAAGCACTATAATTATATTGTGCCTATTTCAAAAATTTTCTTGGAAAATTTAATATTCATACATAATATTATTTGGACTGAGGAAGCTATTAAGCCCAAGTAACATAACTGCATGTGCTGAAAGTGGTTTCAACTGCACATATATAACCAAAAACCATAGTAACAGAAGGTTTCATTAGTATCATATTGATATTATAGGTTGAAAAAAAGAGTGCTTAAAAAATCTTAGTGAGACTGATCTCTTCATAAACAGTCTGCAATGCAAGCTACATTTACATGAATTACTAATGAAGTGAAATGCATTGCACACTGCACTCAGACTGAGTTCACAAATGTGGAGTTCACTGGCATAATAAGTGGCGGACATGGCAAAAGCTTTTCTAATTCTAAAATTTATTCAATTCTCTATACATCTACCCTTTCATCAGTTAGTCCTCCTGAACCTTGATTTTAAATATTGATTTTGCTTTTGCACTTTTAAATACAAGTAATGATTCCCTTTTATTTTTCACTCACACCTGCAAAATCCCACTTGGATTAATCTAGTGATTTATTGAAAATGAGCACATTGATCTTCTTTTACCCTTCTCTTCTTGGCTTTGTATGGGTACTCCTGGACCCAACATCAGCAGTAGTATCTAATATTTAAAACTCTGTAGAGACTAAGCCTCCCTGGTTGAAAATAAATTGCTGTTCATTTTGGTCAAGCTCAATTGGTTTTCTAGAACAAGGCTAAGTTTCATGATGATGTCATGCCACTCAGTTCCTGGTGGAAAAAATTGATCGATTGATCTTTCTCAGAATGTCAGAGGAGCAATGCACAGAACACAAGATGTGAGCCATGGTGGGATTCCTGGGTTGTCTTTGTGGTGAGATTTAAAAACCTAGGCAAGAAGGCAAACATGACTGTTGTGATGATACATGTCTTGGTAGGGTGGCTTCTTCAATTGTAGGAGGTCATGTCACATAAACACTCTAAACAACATGTATCGGGTAAAATAATTACTGCCAGGTTACTTACAGAAAATTCTGAAGAGAGATTTCTTCAAATAGCATATCATCTTTCTTGAATACAGACTATACCCAGATTTTCAGGGGCATTTATCCAACTATAAAACTTCTTGCACGTTGCTATTTTTTAAGCATGTGCTAATGAGAATATCTTAAAATATATAAAATGGCTCACAACCAACAAATATCTTACCCAGATAATGCTGACTATTAAAATTTGTAGATGCAGATCTTGGAAAGCATGTAAAAAAGCATTTGAGGTTTTTTCTTCTCATATGAAAAGCATGGATATCAGCTCTGGACACTCAAGCTGGTCTTACATTTCGCTCTTTCAGTATTGATTTATTCGACACCTATAAGTGATAAGCATGTACCAGAGCCCGGGGCCACATGGTGAATATAGTATTATTTCCCAGCATCAGAGAGTTAATGATATACTAAGATGGATTGAATACAGTTTGATGAGTGCTATAAGTTGCTATGTAGCACATATCAAGTTCAGGTATTACCTATCACCAAGTATAAACCTGTTTAAAGGACACCTCACAAAGGCTAGGAGTAGGGGGTGGGGCCAGAGAAGACTTTCTTTGAGAAAAGAAAATGGCTGTTTCAAAATCATCATTCAGTTTCCTATGAATTGCTCTACCTCCTCTGGACTAATTAACCTCAAATTAGGTCTCTTATAATTCTTCTAAGAATCTCATTTCAGTTTGATGTTAACAGAATATTTTCCTTAACGTTTCTTTTTTAAAAAAATACTATTTACTTTCTTTGTTGAAATATACATGGTTTAAACAGATTATAGAAAACTTTTTTTAAAGACATAGTTACTCTTCAAATATCTAACACTTCTCACAAGATATTAAGGTAGTACTATGAAGAGAAACACACACAGACATATCCATATATATACATATACACAAACACACATGCTGTATTCTCTCTATCTCTCTCTCTCTCTCTCTATATATATATATATATGGCACCATAAAGATAATATTATGATAAATACGTATATGATATGCTGTATATATATATATATATATATATATGAAGAGAGAGATTGGTTAGAAAGTTAGATCTTTTCAATAACTTAGGTAGAAATTATGTTCACTTAATATGAGAAAGAATGGAGGGGCTAGATGAAATGAATGAAATGCTAGGAAGACAATTTTAATGAAATGCTAGGAAGACAATTAAAAAATATCTATAGTAGTTATGTATAGATTTCTTCTATGCAATTACATACCAAGAGGCAAAGCCTGAACAGAAACCCAGGTTGTCTGCCTGATAGTCCATTTTTTTGTATTCAAAATAATTTGGGTTGTCATAGACCAAAAAATAAAAAATACTTAGCTCTGCATAGTTTTCCCAACTCTACATAGTTTCCCAGCTCTGCACAGTATGTTTTACTGTTTGAGTACAGACTAGATCCCCTGGCGATAAGTGGGATAAATGTAAAATTATTACTATACAGACACCAAGCATCTATGTTCTTTATGCTCAAACAGCAGAAGCAGCAGTTGAGAATGAAGTTGTGTACGGACTCTGATTTCCAGATACCCACCTCCATGCAGAGCAGTGATAATAACATTGACTCCTTTCTTCCTTTGTTCTCTGCAAGGGAAACAGATGTATTCACTGACCACAGCATTGCCATTGCTATCTTAGTGGTAATGGAAACTTCCTTGTGAGATCTTGCTAGACTTGGAAGCTTCTTTTTATTATTCATAAATAGAAATATGCACAGAACACAGTGGCACTTCAGATAATTTTTTTCTTGTATTTCCCTAGGATTAGATTGTCCTAGGAACATATTTCAATTGAATTTTGAATGACAGAAGTTGTTTGAAGTTATAATTTGGCAACCAGCATTTGCCATTTGTCACAATAATCGATCAATTAATCTATCATTCAAACAAGTAGAATGCTATTCTGAGTCCTACACTATCTACCCAGGAAAGTATACAGAGTGGTAGCAGGGAAATTAACTCGTATATTTCCTCATTTTCTGTTAAGTTCAAAGTGGATTTCTATGACAGTTGTAGACATTTTTGGAAGCTATAAAGCTGCTTGAAAACAGAAGGATTTGTGCCCCATAAAGGTAATATTTCTATAAATACTTAGATGATATTCATGCATTTATTCATTCAACCAAAATACATTAAACCATCCTTTTAAGAGCTTGGAACATGGATGCCATTATAAGATATTGGCCCTACTTTCCATAGAGTTACTCTCTAATATGAGAACAAATAACTTCAGTATGTGTATTTTGAAGAGAATAAAAATGTATTATTACAATTGTTACTGTACAGGAAGCATGTGGTTCTCTAGGAATATGTAAAAGAGGCATTTTACTCAGAATGAGAGAGAAGATATTACCAGGTAATATTTCTCAAAGGTGGCAATTGAATTGAATCCTCAAAATATTTCAAAGAAAAGTGCAATGAAATCTTGAAAGAGGTGTGGGAAAAGGGAAGGTGGATGGAATTTTCATCTCCCAGACCTTAACTGGATGCATCTCTGACTGAGAAAACGTTATTGTCCACCGTTGTTCTATAAGATCTGTTTATAAGTCTATTTCCCCATCATAGATAGTAAGTTCCTTGAATGCCCACTGGTCATTCATGTATGCATATTTGCATTAATTTCCTAGGGCTGCTGTAATGAAGTACTACAAACTGGGTGTCTTAAACAATGATGATTTATTATATCACAGCCTAGAAAAGTCAAAAAATTTAAGAAAAAGTTAGATATGTCATGAACACATAAAAGATAGGAAGATGCTAGTGTATTTTATTATTTGCTACAGTAAAATATACACACATCTATTATACAAAGTTAAAATGTATTAAAATTCGAGGACATAAACACTTAAAGCCATACGTGGTGCCATTCACAGTGGGGAGAAATGTAAGCAAACAGAAAGCACCTACTGTGCTACTATAATAATTTAATGGCCACCTTCTCTTGCTATCGTGATAAGTTCAAATTTTGCAAGGATCTGATTTAAAGGGCCTTTTGCTAATCATCTCCATGAGAGTAGTTTGTCTCTCCAGCAAGTTGTATATTACAGCAAAAAGTGGCCTCTCACATGGTTCTTGTATATTTTGCATAGTTCTTGCATATTTTTCATTGCATTTAGTGCAATACTATAAACTTTGAATAACACCAGGGGACCCATATGAAGCACCACTAGTGATGCTGGAAGTGCTCCCAAGAAGCAGGGAAAAGGCATGACATTACAAGAAAACACTGAATTGCTTGATATGTACAGTAGATTGAGGTACACACTTGTGGTTGCCTGTCAGTTTAAGATAAATGAATCCATCATAAGAACCACTGTAAAAAAAAAAATAAAAAGAACACACATACATTTAGAAGAGTCATAATGCCTAATACATAGTGTACATTCAATCAATGTTAGCTTGCCAAAAAAAAAAAAAAATGCAATGGAAGGGCAAACCAAGTACTGTCGTCTAGTGATTTGGAATGTTATTCCATGAGTTGCCAGAAAATTGACAAGAAGAAATAAGTGCTTTTCCCTCCAGGAGGAGGTCATTCAGCCCAATTCTAGTTTTTCTCTAAATTGTTAGAGAAATTGTTAGGTGCTTAAAGTTGGGCTTCCCAAATAATTTCTCCAGAGAGCTGGCACTCAAGCTCAGATTGCACACACTAACCTGTTTTACCAGACTCCCACACCCTATAACAAGTTAGAGTAGCAGGCATGAGATCTCTCTCCTGAAGCACCCCATGCATCCAACTGTACTCTCATGATTGTAATCCTCTTCAAGGGAAGATAGGATAACAGGAGAGACAATATGCCTCATCTTTCTCATCCTCTCCCTGAAAAATTTTTCAATAACGCCCATTTTATGCCTGCCTTAGTTTACTAGGGCTGCTGTAACAAAGTACCACAAACTGAATGGCTTAAACAGCAGAAACTTACTGTCTCACAAATCTGGAAGCTAGAAATCTGAGATAAAGGTGTTGGCAGGGCCAGGCTTCCTTTGAAGATGCTAGGAAAAAATCTGTTCCAGATCTCTCTCCCAGCTTCTGGAAATTTCTTGGCTTCTGGCAGCATACCTCTAAATTTAACATGGCATTTTCCCTGTGCACAGGTCTCTGTCCAAAATTTTTCTTTATGTAAAGATATTAGTCATATTATATTAGGACCCACCTTAATGGCTTTATCTTAACTTGATCACCTGCAAAGACCCTATTTCCAAAGGAAGTCGCACTCACAGGTATGGAGATTAGAACTTCAGCATCTTTTGTGGGGACATAATTTAACTAGTAACAGTGCCTATAATGGATGATCTAGTGCATTTTTTTTCCTTCTACCACCGTTAAACAAGTATTCATCATGGAATATAACCAGGCTAAGAAGAAAAATAGGTATTGAGTCTTGGCTAGTCTATTCCAAATTATTTTCAGTCCTGACATGGAAGAAGGAATGAAGGAATGATACAAACACAGAAATTATGGAACCAAGACCATTTTTTTTCAATATTTGACTCCCTTCTGTTATAAATGAGGGTGTTCTTTTATGCCTTCAGGAGCCTAAATGCTGTTGTTAGTTTCTATAAATATTTACATATTAAAAATATATTCAGTCACTCTAAGTGCCAGAAGTACAAACATGGGTAAGACACGTGCTCTTGAGGTACTCTTATTCTGGCAAGTGAAAGAGTTATAAGATAATTATAACAGTTGTGATTAGTTGCTTACTGGAATTATAAATAAAGTATTATTGGAGTACAGAGGAGCAAAATAGTAAACCTATCTAGAATAATAAGAAAAATAATTATGAGCACACAAATATCACTCAGTAAATTTTGGGATAGAAAAAGCTAATCTTTGAGCATAGCCCTGAAGGATAAGTAAAATTGTATGTGATGCAAAACTGGATAATGATGATTGTGCAGTTGAAGAACATTAACTACATTAGAAGTTTTGATTATTATATTATTTTATAATATTTAAAACATAGTATAATGTGTCATATAATTTAAAATGTTAAAAAAAGCACATATATACAAAATACACAAGGCTCATGACTGCCCACTTCTAGTCTTGTTCCCAAGAGAAATTTACTTATAATCATCACTATTCATAATGTGACTGATGGTAATAATCTTTAAATGTGCTTTTTGATTTATAAACATTAGATATTTTCTCTTAACTCTTGACAATACTAAATGAAGACTTAATTCATTTGCCTGACCCCACATCCCCTATTCCCAAAATAGAAATATCATTCTATTGCCAGCTTTACTTATTTTAATTGGCTCACAACCATAGAGAGATTTTCATAGCTTCCCACTTTTGAGTGATGTTATCAGTACTCCACACTTCCCTTCACTTCTCCTCTCTATTTATATCTCCTAATTTCTGATAGTTGTATTTTTACTTACATATTGTCAAGAATGGGAATATTTATATTATCTTTTATAAGTACAATCATACTTTCAGTGCTTTGTCTTATAGATTGATTCCAAATGCTAAAAATGCATCAATATCATTTACATTATTACAACTATGTAATTATGATTCACTGCAGGGGCAAGTATTTTGATATGAATATATCAGGCTCTCTAAATTTCTAATGCCTTAATCCCTATGCTACTCAAATGGGAATGTTCAAATAGATTCTCTACACTTCACTAATTGCTCAAAACCATGCCAATTTAATTCGCTTCATATGTGGATCATGCTTTTCTTGCACTCTTTTTAACTTTTTTAAATTTTAAAATAATTTCAGACTGAGAAGTGTTGAAAAACCAACATTGAGAGCTCACATGTATTGTTCATTTAGCTCTCCTAATGTTAACAATTTACATAATCATAATGCAAATTAACATTGTCACAATACTATTCACTAAATTATAGACCTTATTTGAATTTCACCAGTTTTCCCCTGAATGTTCTTTTTCTTTCCCGGGTTCTAAACTAGGGTCCCACATTTCATTTATTTGTCATGGACTTCTCATCTCAGGCAGCTCCTTAATATTTCTTTGTCTTCCATGACTTCAAAACTTTCGAAGAGTACTGGTCAGTCATTTTACAGAATGTCTAGCAATTTGAGTGCCTGGTGTTTTCTTGCGAGTAGGTTGTGGTTATGAATGTTTGACAAGAATAACACAGAACTCATGTGTGTCCTCACTGACTCTCAGTCAGGGGTACGTAAGGTCAATATGCTTTTATATCAGTGATTTTAACCTAAATCACTTGTTTAAGATGGTGTTTGGTAAGTTTCAGCACTGTAGAGTTACTGTTTTTTCATTGTAATTGGTAAATATTTTGTAGGAAATCCTTTAAGGCTATGCAAATATTTAGTATCTTCTTTAATCTTTAACCATCAATTATGGCATACATCAGTGAATCTTGCTGTAATAGTTAATAATATGGTGTTTGCCTAATGATAGTTTTATAGTTCTCTCATTCCTTCTACATTTATTTATTGAAACTGTCTGTATGAGGAAGCTGTCTCTTTTCCCCCTACTTAATTATACATTAATCTATTTTTTTGTATTTGTGTGGACTCAGGAATGTTTATTTTATGCTATGACTTATCATGTAATGTTATCATTACTTAATTGTTTGCTCAAGTTTTTCCATCTTTGCCCATTACTATCTGTTTTTCAGTGAGATGAATGTCTTTTTTACTTGACTTCACTTAAGCACTTTATATTTTGCATAACAAGATGTTCCAGGTACATCTTATATTTCCCCTGCCCTATAACTGGGATCATTTTTCTTTACAAGGAACTGAGATTCATTTTATTAGAGGATGACATCTAGTAACTAAGATTTGGGCACTAGGTGCTCATTGCTGCTAGGTCGTCATGTCTCCAGGCCCTCTCAGCATCTCAATAGAGTAGGAAATGCATGTATTTATACTAACAACTTAGGCATATGCATGTGTATTTATTTTTCTCATCTATCTATCTATCTATCTATCTATCTATCTATCTATCTTCAAAAACCATAAACTAATACCAATACCTCCAATTTCAATCAATTTGTTCATTCTAGGATTTGCCTTTGCTTATTTGCAACTAATTCCTCTGAAAAAATCAGCCTGTCATTATCTGTATTTAATTATTTGTTCAGTCCCAGTATACAAATAATTTATGTGCAACATTGCTAACATATGTCCCTATAAGAAATAGACTTATTAACCACAAGACAGGGTTTGTTTTTTAGCCTTACAGTAGCTGCTACTATAGGTAACCTATCAATTTTTTTTGTCTTTTAGCCTTAAAGTTGTAGCTACCATAGGTAACCTATCAAAATGCTGTTTTCCAAAGCTGCTTAGGTTATATCTTTTATTCCCCATTCCCTTGAGTGTGGTTATAGATTTTTGTTTTGTTTTCTCTGTAATACAGTTAGATATAGTTAAGCTTATTTGCTACCATTTATCTTCTACTTTGGTTTCCCCCACATTCTGGTGGATTTTATTTATTTACTTATTGTGGTATGAGAACCACTACGATCGTTCTAAGAGTCAAAACTATACAAAAAGGCACACTTCAAAAGACATATCCTTCCTTGCCCATATAATCAGTTCTAATTGCTGTTTGTCTGAGTCTATTCCAGCTGCTCAAACAAAGTCCCTTAGACTAGTTAATTTATAAACAACAGAAATTTATTGCTGACAGTTTTGGAGTCTGTGAAGTCCAAGATTAAATCACCAGCAGATTCAGTGTCTGGTAAAAGTTTGTTCTTTTCTTCAAAGATAGTGGCTTGTGGCTGCATCTTCATATGGCAGAAGGGGTGAATAATCTTCCCCAGGCCTCTTTTATAAGGAATCTAATTCCATTCTTGAGGGCAGAGCTATCATGACCTAATCACATCCCAAAGACCCCACCTTTTAATATTATCACAATCGGGATTAAGTTTCAGCATATGAATTTGGTGGTGAGGGACAGTGCACAAACATTCAGACTGTAGCGTTCTGCCCCTAACCCACAAACATTCATGTCCTTCTCAAATGAAAAATACATTCATTCCGTCCCATTAGCCTCAAAACTTTTGACTCATTTCAGCATCAACTCAGAAGTCTGAAGTCCAGAGTCTTATCTAAATATCATCTAAATCAGACGAGGATGAGATTCAAGGTATGATTCATCCTAAGGCAAATTGTTCCCCAGCTGTGAACCTGTAAATCAGACAAGATATATGCTCTTAAAATACAATGAATGGTGGGACGGCCATAAGATAAATATGTTCATTCCAAAAGTGAGAAATAGTAAGGAAAAAAGGGCTAACTAGTCCCAGGTAAGTCCAAAACACAACAGGGCAAACAATATTAAATCTTAAAGCTGGAGAATCATCTCCTTTGAGCCCATGTTCTATCTTTCAGACACAAATCTATCAGGGTTGGGCCCCCATGTCTCTACGCAGCCCTGCCCCCATGGCTTCGCTGGGTATGGCCCAAGCTGCAGCTCCCATGGGTTGGAGTTACATGCCTGTTGCTCTCCAAGGCTTGAGTTACACATTAGTGGTTCTACCAGTCTAGGGTTGTGGGGGAGACCCCGTCCCCATGGTTCCATTAGACATTGTCCTAGGAGGAGCTCTCTGCAATGACCCTGCCCCTGTAGTAGTTCTCTGTCTACGCTCTGAAGCTCCCTGGGTCATCCTTTGAAATCTAGATGAAAGTACCATGCCCCCACAGTTCACACATCTTGTGCACACATGAAGATGGTACCATTCAGATACAACTGTGGTTTACCATCTGATGTTTTCAGAGGGGCTGCCTGAGTAGAACCTGGAATACTTGAGCCACGGTTGAGGCAGTCAAGGACAGCTGCACTGGAATGGAGGGAGCGCAAACTTGAAATACTTCTGTCTCCAAAACCCTGGCATTCTGGGCCTGTGATAGACAGGGCAACCCTGGTGATTTCTGAAGTGTTTTCAGGTCATTCTTTTATTATCTCCAGGCTTCCTTAGCACCTGGTTTCCTTTCATCCATATTAATCTCCTTATCAAAAGTTTACTTGGCCACACTCTTGGTGTTCTCTCCCAAACATGTTTTCTCATTTTTAACAAGCTGAGAGTTTTCCAAAGCTTTAAGTCCTACTTCCCTTGTAACTATAAATTCCATCTTTAATTAGTTTCTCTCACATTTTACTATAAGCAGTCAAAAGAGGACATGTTGTATCCTCAACACTTTGCTTAGATTTTTTTTCCATCAAATATCCTATTTAATCACTCATAAACTCCTCCTTCCACAAAACGCTAGGACACAAACACAATTCAGCCAAGTTCTTTGTGACTTTATAACAAGGGTTGGTTTTCTTCCAGTTTCCAAAAACATGTTCCTTATTTCTATCCGGACCTCATCAGAATTGCCTTTACCATCTTTATTTCAACCAACATTCTGTTCATGACGATGTAGATACTGTCTAAGAAGGCTGAGGTTTTCTCTACAGCTCTCTTCCTAGCCCTCCCTAGAATTTCCCTTTATGATCTGTTCATGGTAATATACGCTTTTTCTAACAAACCTCCAAACTATTTCAGCCTCTGCTCATTACCCAATTTCAAAGCTGTTTCTACACTTTTAGGTATTTGTTACAGTGGTACTCCACTTCTCAGTACCAGTTTCTGTCTTAGTTCATTTGGGCGCTATAACAAAAATACCTCAGACTGGGTGAATTCTAAATGATAGAAATTTGTTGCTCACAGTTCTGATGGCTGGGAAGTTCAAGATCAAGGTGCCAGCAGACCTCTCCTTTCTACTCCTTTTTCATCCAACCCTTATCAGTAATTAATTTCTTCAGTTTTTAGTTGACTCTTCCTGTACTTCTGTTGCACAAGGGAGCAGGGATATGTATATTTCTTATGTTCTCTTCTGTCTTATAATAATACTAGCATACTATTGATTTTGTTTTGCTTTTTCATTTAATGCCTGCATTCCCAGCAGCTTTGATATTGCCTGCAAGGGGGCAAAAATTGGTTCTTGGAAGATAAAAAATCTTTAAAAAAAATCTTACTCTTTGTATATAACACAGTATATAAACAATAGACAGCATATCTATGACAATAAAATTTAATAAAGGGACAATTAGGAAAAATATCTAAAAGGCTTTTTAGGGTACAATAATGAAAAGATTAAAAACCTCTAATTTAACTTATATTCTGCATATCTAACAAATCAGTAACAGATGTTTTACTCATTTTGTACAGTTGTATAGTACTCCTATTTTGGATGCATCAAAACTTATTAGCCACTTATGAATGTATGGACATTTAGGCTGTTTGCAGTATTTTTCAATTAAAATAGTGCTGCAATAAATAACCTGTGCATACATACCTTTGTATTATTGCATGTTTCTCCTAAGAGCAAATATTTAGAAATGAGATTGCTGGGTCAAAGGTAAGTGCAAATGTAATTATGTAAAGTACTGCTAACATTTCCTAATATTTATACCAGTTTGTATTCCCAACAGCAATGTGTGAGGACTATTTCTCCACGGCATCCCCAACACAAGGTCTTATTGCACTTTGTGAATTTTACAAGTGTAATTGGAAAAAAAATGGTATCTCAGTATTGCTTTAATTTGTTTTTCTCTAGTTATAAGTAGTTTTGAAAACTTGTTCATGTTTGAGGTGCATTTTAATGTTTTTCATGTTTGTGCATGTCTTTTTTTCTAATTTTTCTATTGGGTTTTTGTATTTTTGTCACTTAATTTTTAAAAGTTCTTTATATATGAGAGCTTTGTATCTGCAATATATGTTGCAAATAGTTTCTCCCAATTTTTCAACTTTTTTAAATGGTGATTTTACAATTATTTGGTTTTGGTAGTCAAATGTATCAATCTTTCATGTATGGCATCTATGTTGTTTCTCTTTTACCTTTGTATTTTCAATCATTTTTAGAAAGTCTTTCCCTACTTCAAGGTTAAAGGGGAATCCATGCATGTTTTCTTCCAGTACTTATATGGTTGTACTTTTAAAAAATCCACTTGCAGTTTATTTTGTGTATGGCAGTGGAAATAAGTCTAATTTTATCTTTTCAAAACAAATATTCAGTTGTCCTAGCATCATTTATTAAAAAATCCATCTTTACCTCAGAGATTGGGGATACCACTTTTGTCATACATTAAATTTTTTAGTGTTTTGAGATCTATTTCTGGACTTTCTATTTTATTTAAATAATCTATTTGTGTATTCATGCCCTGTAGCACACTTTTAATTACAGGGATATGTTTTAATATCTGATAGAGCTATTATCCTTTTATAGTTTTTATTTGTCAATGTTTACTATGGTATTCTAATATGCTTGATTTTTCATATGTACTTTAGTATCAAATTCTTTAACTCCATAAAATATTGGGTGATATTTTTTGTGATCACTGGTAATTTATATATTAACTTAGTGAAAACTGATATCTTTTTAATGTTGGGTTATCCTTTTCAAAAATGCTGGATATATTTTCATCAAGTCTAGTTTTTTTTTAGTTTCAAGAGTGTTTATTTTAAAAATTTTGAATAGATATTGTGATTTTAGATTAAATTTATTGTTAATATTTAATCTTTTGCTATTTGTAAATGAAGTTTTTGCTAGTATAATGTCATCTAGCTGCTTATTGTTTCTATATGTGAAGGTTATTGATTTTGTATGTTAATTTTATGCTCATTACTTTTCTAAAGTCATTTATTGTTCTAGCTAATTTTATTATTGATTATCTGTACTATCAGATACACTATCATATATGCAGATAGTATATCTTATCCATTGTTATTCTGATAATTGATTTCTCTTATTTAATTTCTTTGACTAATACCTCTGGTATAGGGTTGAAAACTAAAGTGCTATTTGTTGTCATATTTAGTGGTTTTCAGGTTGACTTCTGCAGTGTCTGATATCAGGATCACAATTTCTTTTCTCTTTCTATTTGCATTTTCCTGGCACACTTTTTTCCCATACCTTTCTGACTTACTTTGTTTTAGGTGTATTTTTTTATGTGCAGCATATTATTGAGTCTTGTTTTGTGGGCCTAAATGGAAATTTTTTTTCTTAACTAGGTAAGCTAAGCTCATTTGTTTTTATTCATATGACAGATATATTTAATACCAAATCTTATATATCATATAATTATCTTGTTATATCTTTGTGTGTGTGTGTGTGTGTGTGTGTGGTTTTTTGTTTTTTTTTTTTTTTTGAGACGGAGTTTCATTCTTGTTGCCCAGGCTGGAGTGCAATGGCTTGATCTCGGCTCACCACAACCTCCGCCTCCTGGTTCAAGCGATTCTCCTGCCTCAGCCTCCCGAGTAGCTGGGATTACAGGCATACACGCCACCAGGCCTGGCTAATTTTCTATTTTTAGTAGAGATGAGGTTTCTCCATGTTGATCAGGCTGGTCTCGAGCTCCCGACCTCCTGATCTGCCTCCCAAAGTGCTGGGATTACAGGCGTGAGCCACCGCGCCCAGCCTTATCTTATTATATCTTATAATTATGTTTACTTTGTTATATCTTATGTTTATTTTGTTGTATTTGTATACTAAGATTATATTAGCTACATTTTATTGACTTTCTACCTTTTTCAGGAACCCCAATCATAGTAATAGAATTCCTTCTCTCCTGTCTTCCATTTCTACTGCTTGCTCTTAGGTCCTTTTAACATTTCTTTTTCTTTTTCTTAATCATCCTTTTCAATTATTTTTATTTCTGGATTGTTTTCCTGCCATTTTTAAATGTTTCATTACATTCTATTTTGTTTTGTTTTTGAAATCTTTTTTTTTTTTTTTTTTTTCAGAGTCTCACTCTATCACCCAGATGGAGTGCAGTGGTGCAATCACAGCTCACTGCAGCCTCGACCTCCTGGGCTCAAGAGATTCTCCTAATTCAGCCTCCCAAGTAGCTGGGACCACAGGCATGCACCACCACACCTGGCTAATTTTAAAATACTTCTGTAGAGGTAGGGTCTTGCTATGTTGCTCAGGCTGGTCTTGAACTCCTGGGCCCAAGCGATCCTCCCACCTCAGGCTCCCAAAGTGTTGGGATTACAGGTGTGAGCCACAATGTGTAGCCTTGAAATTTATTTTTAATTTATGGCCTTTTGTGCTGGTTCTGCTATTTCTTACCAGAATTCAGTCCACTCTCTTTATCACTTCTGCCTCTTTTTATACATATTTCTATTTTTAAAGTTTGTGAGTCAAAAGAGGTTTTCACATATCCTAAATGCTTATTGGAATATGTATAATTACATTTGGAATGTTGATGCATACACTTCTGTTTTTTTGTTTTTCTTAGAGGAAAAGGTGTATTTTCCTCCATTGATTTGTGTAAATTTTTTTTCAAAAGCTTAATAAGTATTTTATTTTGTTTCTGTTCATTTTTATGGCATTAGGACAATTTAATAATATTCCCAGTGTAAGAAAAACCTCTTCTTTCAGTATAGCAAAATCCAAATAATTGAAAAGATTTTATTTGTTTTCATGTGGAGAAAGAGGTGAGTCCTCCGATTTTATGAATCTCTTTAGTGCAGTAGGACATTAAATTTGCTCCCCTTTTCTACTTCTTGCCATCACTAACCAATTGCCAAATGACACATCTTCCTGTTTTGTTTCCCCAGAAGCTATCTGCATTTTTAAGAGCATCTGTATTTGTATCTAGCCCTTCACCCAAGACCCTTTACTTTCTATTTAAAAGTTATTTCTCATAGTGTGTGCTCTGAACTGCTCAAACACTTTTCTAATGTTTTCAGATTTAGTAGTTGTTCAAATCCTACTTAGACTCCTTTTTCAGACATTGTTATCTGTCTTTCCTGCACTTTTTTTTTCAGTCTGCCTTTGGTCATTACAGTGCACTGAGGCTGGCTAAGTGTGAGGCAGGCATATAAGAGACATATAAGGGATTGGAATTTAGTAACTTTATTATTTTTACTCACACTTATTTTGCGGTTTTGACATTCTCTGTCTTCAAACATGAAAAGGGCATAATTTTTTACAGAATTTGTGTCTCCCTTTTTATTTCTTCTTTATGGATTGGGAGAACATTCTTGGAGCTACTTGGCTTGTTGCTGCCATTGTTCTCAGCTACCCAGAAGTCTGGCCTCATGCATTGATTTCTGTTTATTTGTCTTAATATCTCAAATGACTTTTCCTTTTTCTTATTATTAGAAGAAACTTTTGCTTTTTCTACTGTACCTATAATGTTTTTTCAGCTAATTTCTCAATACATTTATTGCTATTATTTTATTATTTTTTGAATTTTTCAAGTTCTAGTTCTAATTTTTAAAGATTGCTTCATATTTAAATCTTAAATTTCTCATACAGTTTTGTTGTTGCTGCTGTTATTTACTTTTTGAGGAGTTTACAGTTGTCACTTTACTTTTATTTTATTTGCTAAAAAGTAATTTCCCTTTTCCTTTTGTCCTATAACCAATGGTATCCATTAGAGTAATCTGACCTGTAGCTGTCCTCTCAACTACTTCTCCAGAGAGGAGGAGTGTCATATCTAGTAAGCAAACTTTGGAGACGAAACTGAAGATATGGGGGATCCATTCTTTTTCTCCCTTTTTCTTCAGATCTGATGTATTACAAAGATAAAGCACCAAACTAAAACTTTTTAAAAAGGATATTAGAAAAGGGAGCAATATTTAAGTTCTTACCAGATCAGAAAGTGACTGAAGCCCAGTGACATCTGACAGAATAAAGCAAATCTAAGATAGCAGATTTGAATGACTCCACCAGAGGAAGCCAGAACCTGGGTTACATTTAGAAGAAGACTTTCAAAACTTCTGATGTAGAATTCCCTGGAATTTTCCAATAGCAACACAGGAAACATCTTTTGAGTGTCTAAACAGATCAAAGGGGAGGTCCAGGGAAGGTCAGCATGAAATAGTCGAGACATACTTGGTGACTTTTCAGTGTTTTATGTTTATTGTACACAGCATGCCTGCTATGGTCTGAATGATCATGTCCCTCTAAATTCAGATGTTAAAATCCTAACCCCAAAGGTGATGGTACTAGGAGGTGGGCCCTTTGGAAGGTGATTAAATCATGATGTCAGAGCACCCATAAGTGAGATGAGTGCTCTTCTAAATGACCACAGACTGTTAGCTAGCTCCTTCCACCATGTGACAACACAGCTAGAAATCATCATCCATGAACCAGAAATCTGCTGGCTCCTTGACCTTGGACTTCTCCAACTCTAAAACTGTGAGAAACAAATTCGTGCTGTTTATAAGCCCTCTAGTTTATGGTATTTTGTTATCACAGCCAAAACAGACTAAGACAATGCCTATAAAAATTTACATTAAAAAAGAAAATATTTAAGGCCTTACAAGGAAGCTAAGTAGAACTATAATAAAATACCTTCAGGATCAGATCAAATGTTTGTCAGCAGAAAAAATGATTTTCCAATGGGTTTATCAAATTCAGGGAGGATATGGCAATGTAGGGACGGTTATTTTTTGACTAGTAAGAACACATACCTGAGAAAAATTAACAGTAACTGTAGTTCAAAATTTACTGAGGGTTATTCTATAATTGAAGTAAATATGGGTAATGGATGGGAAAGAAAGACATTTTAAATATTTAAATGTTGGGCAAAAGGCAGCCATGTCTCACATATGCCACTCGGAGAGGAAAGAGCATGTTTTTGTTATTGACTTAGAGTACTGAAATATACCTTTTGATGGGGGTGGTATTTTTAACAAGTATGTTTAGATATACATATGATAGTTTCTGGAACCTTGACATGGATTAACCTCATCATTAAACCTGATGAGGATAACACCTGGAAGGGCTGTTTTGTTTGTTTGTTTGTTTGTTTAACAAAACTTATTTTTGCACTCTGCTATTCTTTCTATTATGATTTTTAGTAACTAAGTTCTACATTATATAACCAGAATTTTGCTTGTGCCAAAATTTCTAGGGATAATGGATGGGCTTGTAAAACTTGTTGGTTGTGGGCTACTGCTGTGATGATACTATGCACCCTTTTAATTTTCAATGTAAAACTCTGGATTAGCAACATCAGAGAGCTTAGCTAAGCAACTTCAGCAGTACTAAAGGAATATATACAATATAGCCTAGCCTGACTCTACTCAAGTTCCTATATGAAAACCCTAGGACTAAAATTTTGGATTTTTTTTTTTTTTTTTTTTTTGGAATTTAGATTTCCCTTTCTTGGACTTTTAACTTACAAGGTCAAGAGAATTGAGAATTTTATTTTAATTTTTAGCTCTTTTGAATTCACAAAGTTTGAGTTTATGTTTTTGGAATATTAATTTATCCCTGGGCATTTGATAGTAAGATGAGGATTATATAATAAGTTGGAGTCATCTCTGTTTTTCATTATTTTGTTATTGTAAATGTAGTCAGTTGATGTCATTGTGAAACCTTTAATGAGTTATATGGGACAATGGGACTGGACATAATTTGAGTTGGAAAATAGAACAGAAAGTGGGGTTGCAGCCTTAGATACAGAGTGGCCTTTGATTAAAATTTCTTTGATTTATGTATTGCTTTAGTCCATTTCAGATCTTTCTGGAAGTTACATTTCAAATTCTCTCCAGTGGGAATTTACATAATGGTTGGTACTGAAGTTCTAGACTCAGGAACGTAGGAAAACTGCTCTGAGACTGCTGATCTCCTTGCCTGAGAAGCCAGGCATACTTTTAATGTATCAGAAGCTTCACGGTTAGATAGAATGGTTTAAGTTAACGAATTTGGGAAATTTTGAAATATGACTTAGAAACCTCCTTTTCCTTGGTTTCTCAAATTTTAGACACAGGATAAAGAAGTTTTACCCATATTTCTGCAATTTGCAGTGAAATGTATGTTATATTGGTGATATTATCCTGACTCCTGGTGGTCCACAACTTATTTATAAGCAACCAACATAACAGTACCAAGGCATAGAGATTGGATACCTGCCCAGGTGCTTCATATAATTACTAAACAGTGTGGCTTGTGAGAAGAAAATTGAGAGCTTGGAGCCAGGCTACACAGGATAGAGTGGACTACCTTGTATATACTGCTAGTGTACTATCATGCAGGCATTTAGATTAATTTTTTTTCTTTTCTTTTTTTTTTTTTTGAGACAGTCTTTCGCTCTTGTTGCTCAGTCTGGAGTGCAATGGCATGATCTCGGCTCACCACAGCCTCCGCCTCACGGGTTCAAGTGATTCTCTTGCCTCAGCCTCCCGAGTAGCTGGGATTACAGGCATGTGCCACCACGCCTGGCTAATTTTGTATTTTTTGTAGAGACGGGGTTTCTCCATGTTGGTCAGGCTCGTCTCAAACTCCTGACCTCAGGTGATCCACCCACCTCGGCCTCCCAACGTGCTGGGATTACAGGCGTGAGCCATAGCACCTGGCGCATTTAGATTTTATATGATGAAAATTTGGGAAGCCCAAGACAGGTTTTTATCAGAGGAGTGACAAAGTTTGATTCACACAATAAAATCTTTCTGTTTGGAGAATGAACAGCAGAGAGGCAAGAATGGAGAAAGAGAGATGGTATTTTCCCTCCCTCAGCTGCCTCTAATCAGCAGCTCGTACACAGTACTATCGTTGGCTCTTTCAGCAAGACCTGCATATTCTCTTAGATGTTTTGAGCTCAGAGGCATCTAATTTTAGCAGAATCCACAAAATATGAACATTTCCATATTTAATGGCACACAGCAGGAAAGCCCCTTGAGCAAGAAAGTCCTGAAGTTTCGCCAGGCTTACAGAAGGAGGGCTCACTGAAAAATCACCGAGGCTGGATTCGTATCCAAAAAAGAATGGGGCACGGGACAGTAATAAGGGCATCTCATGTCTAAAGTACAAATCTAAGAATCCTGTTGGAGTAAAAACTTCGCCTAATTTACTACAGTAAAGAAATCAACTGTTAGAATAAACATGCATTATTTCCTGTAGATAGCTTTCTTTTACAGTGCATATGAATTAATCCACATGTTGTCAGTACACAGAGATATTTGTCTGCAACTTCATATGGAAATGCTTAAGTTCAGCTACTTTTCTTTGCAAGGAAAGCATGTAAAGTTATACACTTCCTCATTCCTTTTAAGATGATTTAATACATCTTAGTCCATGTGACAAACACTATGCTTACAATTTCTAAACTGTAAAAACTTTTCGTCTAAGTTTAGCAATTGGCACCAGGCAAAGGGCTAGTTGTTCTCTCAAGTATTCCTATGTGAATCCGAAATCTAAGGTTTTAGAATCAGAAGATAATTCGAATATAGACAGAAAAAATTAAGATTTCAATAGGGTCAAGTTCAAACGCATACAGTTGACACTGGTTAAAGGAATTTTGGAAAATGTGTTTTAGGAATCTTTATCCGTAGAAAAAAAAATTGGAACTTAGTACAGAACTGCAATTGAAGCTTCCAGAAGAATATGTGGGCACAGCCATAACACTAGTTTTGGTTGTATAAATACTATTGCGCTGTTGTGCAAGTTTAAGAGAAATTTTCTCTAACTTTCTGGGCCTCGGTTTTTCTCTCCACTGACATCGTACCTATTCTTTACCCAAGATAATTTCTGACAGAAAGAAATAATTTGAAAGAAAATATGACCCAGAGTGCTGTGCTATTGCTAGTAATTATCAGTATATTTTGATGTTTTTATTATTGCTTGCTTTTTTCAGATTTTAACTTATTTTTAATTTTTATTGAGGAATACTATATAAGTATTCAGCCTGATAAAATTTCACAAATGAAACACACTTCTGTAACCAGCTGCCAACTCAAGAAAGGGAATATTACAAACTTCCATTTGTACTCTTTAGTCACTATTCTATTAAGAAAAAGCTGATTGGAAACTGATTCTGTGCATGGATCTTGTCAACTATTAACTTCACTGTAGGAAAACCTCCAAAAGACTTTCCTCTTGGATAGATCAGATTCCTTAGAAAAAGATCCTCCAGTCTCTGTGTGGAGGGTAATCTCTTGGCTCTCCGCATGCTGGAAGCCCAGCGAGTTTATCTAATCCCTTTAAATCTACCCACTTTTGAATGGGGCCAATAGCCATAAATCCCTAATTACTTTACATCTCCACAGAACAAACTTATTCTTTTTTGGTGTTGTAATGAGACAGTCCCACAAATCTGCAAAAGGGCAAAGGATCTTAGATTCTTATTGCTTCTTAATCGATCTTTCAAACAACTCTAATTGTCATATTTCTTTTTATCCTACATTCAGAGGTACTCGTTTTTTTCCCGAATCTAGAGCCCTTGGGAAACTCTGTAGTGTGAGTCTCAGATTTTGCCTTCCAGAGTAGGACTCAGTTTTCTTAGATTTAATATGCTATTTATTACCTCACCATTGTTTTCCCTATTCTAACTTTTTTATTGTTGTTTCCCATGTTCCTTGTTTTTGTATATATAGACTTACTTATATCTTAGAGTAGGCTATAGAAAGGAAGCAAAAATAGACATGGTGTTCAATATTCAATAGTCCATCTTTGCCCAGTAATATATTACTCATTTTATTAAATTTCTATGTACCTATTGCTGTTTTCAAGAGCTAAGGAATAATTTTTCAACAAGTATTAGGTAATTCTTCAATATCATGAATAATTTTATTAAATTTACTTTAATAAATTAGAACTTCAATTAAGTTTTCTCCTAAAGAACTTTCTCTTCTCGTCCTCCATTTTTCACAGACTTTGTAGGCTATTTCATATCTGTTTCCTGGGACTTCATAGGTATTTTTCCATTTATTTCTCTGTTTTCTCCATCCAATAATTTCAGTGAATTTCTGTTTTGATTTTTGTCTCCCTTAAGGTAAGAATATCCTAAATCAGTTTCCTCAGAAGGGTATCATGAGAAATCAAGACTTTGAGCTTAATCATATCTGCAAATACATTTATTCTGCAATGTTATTGCTCATCTGGTTGCATTGAGAATTCTGGGTCAAAAATCTCATTCCTTCAGATTTTGATGAAATCACCTCACTATTTTCATAGCAACCATTTTGATTTCCTTGCCTTTTATGTGACTTCTTTTTCTGTGTATATATTTGAGTTATTTTCTGTATATATATTTGGGATGTGTGTGTGTGTGTGTGTGTGTGTTCATTTTCAATGTATTATGCTAGACCATTAATACTGTTTGTAGTTTTAAAACTGTTATACTTAGCTCTGAGAAATATTTTTGTATTATTTATTTGATAATATATGTACTCAAATAACCCCTGCTTTTCTTTCCATACTTACTATTAAGAGGGGGTTGACCTTCTTAGAATGACTTTAATGTCCATGTTTTTCCCGTTATAGTTTCTATTTCTTTGTGTTTATGCTCTACCATTTAGGAGATTTCCTACCTTGATAAACTTTATATTGAATTGTTATTTTGTTAATAAAAATTTTGATTTTCAAGAGCTCCTTTATATTTTCTAAATGTTTCTATTTCATGCCCTCCTTTTCTTGCTTTATAGGCAATATATTTTCTCTCATCTTTGTGATATATTAAAGGTATGGTTATTGGCTTCTCTTCCTGGCCTGGTATCTTTCTTGTGAGTTTCCTTTGAGGAGAGATTATTCCTATTAATTTTTTTTCTTATCAAAGGCTTTCTGAAAAAGTGTCGAGTTGTGCTTGACTCTTTATTCATGTTTCAGACAAAAAAAAAAAACACTGAAAGGCTGACTGATTGCTCTGTGAGTATGGATATGAGGCTTATTGACTTGTGAGTTTCACTGTGGAATGAGCAGTTGAATCGACTTTTTTAAAAAAATTATTTAGCTCTCTAAAGTATCTGTATATGAAATCTTTTCTCTGGGACTATATAGGTATTCTAGAGAAACATCTTTGAATCTTCTACCTGAGAGGAGAAGTAACGCTTTCGAATACTCTGAAAGCATGGAAGGGAAGTGGTTTCACATCTCATAGTTCAGCAGGTAGATTTCACTTCCATTTTATTTATTTTTTTAACCCAGTCCTCAACCTTGCCCTCTACTTTGCATAGGATATCAGTTGTGTGACTTGGGGGCAGGACCTTAGTGTGGTCCATTTCTTCTCTTTACAAACTCCTAACATATTCCCTGATGTTAGTGGGAACTTCACCCTCACCTTCCCTATGACCTGTACTTTCAAACCTTGAGGCTCGCAGAATTTCACAAGGGTAAATTGCCATACTTTTCCTGGTCATCTCTTCCCTTAGGCATTTATGTTGTAACTTTCTATACTCTGCACTATTATCACTTCCGCATTTGCCTTATCTCTTCCAAAAAAGTGTTGACATCATTCCTTTATTGTTGCCTTTTCCTCTTTTCTCTCTGTCTTTATGTACTCCTTAACTACAGTTTTGGTGGAGTTGCATGTTTTATAAATAGTAAACACTTTTAGGGCATGCATCATATTTTCTTTAGTTTTCTTCACCAGTATCTAGGACAGTGTGTGGCACAAAGTAAGAGTTTAAAAAATCGGTTAGTTTTTAAGAACTGACATTGATATAAGTATTTATTAAACTACAACAGATTTTGAATATTAGAGCATCTTTCAGGATTGATACAATTAATTTTTTTAAATGGCCATTTTGTCCAAGTGGAGTGACTTTTTCTAATCTTATCTGTCTGCAGATTTCTTATTTATCCTTCAAAATGTTGGCTTGGTCACCATCAAGTCATCACTTCTAATATAACTTGTCTCAGAATTATTCTCTATTTGATACTGTGTTTTTATATTGCATATATACTTATGATAGAATACATCAATATGTAAGTATTTGTTTTTATGTCACTGAAAGCAAAAACTTAATCTTCTCTGGATTTTCAGCTCTAGAAAAAAATATATCTGATGCAGAATCAGAACTCCACAAATATTTACTAAACTGTAATGAAATGAGTATTTTCTTCCAGGTATTATAGGAATGAACAGAAAACCGGGTATTCGTATTGCTGCCAGTTGATTTTAGCCATTTCAACATAGCCACAAAGCCCAGGGAATTTGGTTTTGGTTTCCCAAAAGGCTTTCATTGTTGGTTTTATTGCCAGAAGAAAAAGTATATTTTCCTACAAAGGAAATGAGGACAAATAGAAAACAAATTGTCCTCTTACAAAGTTTTAAAACATATACCCAAATCAGAATTAGTCCCTTGATTGGATTTACTCTATTAATTTTAAATCATCCAATAGACCACTTGGCTGACTCACCATGTGGAAAGTCAGAGTAGATTATCTAGTCAACCTTTTATTGTCTATATTTTTCAATAGATACTTCAGCAATTGAGATTCAACAATTTTTCCTAGTACATTTCTATCCTGAATGTGTGTGTGGGTGTGGGTGTGTGTGTGTTTACACACACATCAGTATGTGATACGGGGTCAAATGCTTCACTGTATTTTAAACAAGGGAGAATTTATCATTTCATACAGGCCAGAAAGAATTTTTCCCTCTATGGTTAGATGATTTTTAGGTTTTCACACTTGCAGTGGAAACTTACTTTTTATAGAAAAAGCAACACCTATCCGTTGTAGAAAATGTCTTATGGTTTGGGGATGGGGAAAAAATGAGGTGGTGAATGAAAAATGATTTGCTCCTCTGTCAACCTTCAAAGAGGTGATTTTTCTGTAGTCTGGTCGGCAACGAGATTTACTTTGATTCAACTCTATCAGCAGCAGGCCAAAGAGCATTGTTTCTTTTCTTTCTCTTCTATGTTTTGTTTTTCTTTAATTTGAAATTAATCAGATCAAGCATTGCTATCCTGTACCGTGTAGGTGATAGGAAATAAGAAAGCCAACTTACAGTTGTGGCCTGGATTACTATGCTTCACTATTATTGATTGGGGCAGTTACAGTATTGCTGGTTGAATTTTAAATGAGGCCTGATGCACCCAAGCATGTGTGGTAATCGAAATACAACTTCAGACATTTTAGCAATTAGAGAAAAAAAAAAGCAATTGGTCTGAAGCTAGTTGGAAATACAAATTGCATGTCAAATGAATACACTATGTTCTCTTTGCTGGAAAAAATATGATGGAGAAAGTTTAGGGAGATAGAATGAAGATTCAGTAGTTAACAGTGCTGTAAGATAATTAGCTTTTCTGCATTATAAAGCCTAACCTTTGTTCAATGATTATTGAAATAATATAGAATTATTTAAATGGTAACAGTTGAGTTTGAAAATGGTTGACTTCTATAGAAATGCATGTTAGCCAAAGTGCTATGATTGAGGAATATGTATCTGCATTTATGCATTTCACATATGTCTACATTTCCTAGAATAAAATTATTTTTCAACATAATTAACAATGTATCTATTGTATTCTCTCTATAAAGATTTCTTTCACCCCACTGATTGAGTAGAAAATAGACTCTGTTTTAAATATGCCCTATTTTACCTAAGCTGAAACAGCAGGAGTGTCTTGTCACTAGAGGGCAGCCATAATCTGCTACAGTCCAAAAGATCTTCCTGGATATCCAAGTCCAATTGCGAATGTGAAAGGCGTGATTTGGAATCAGTGAACTATTTTTCAACTATACTTATTTTAGAAAGGGAACATGACCGGCCATGTTCAGACAACCAACCAGAAATGATCTGATTAAAAGTCAAAGCAAACAGACAATTGCAATACTGTTTGCTTGAATTATGGGAAATATATACCTCAGTTATCACAGAAAAAAACCTGATTGTAATGTTTTAAAAGAAAAAAATGTGAGTTTTTATGGGCACAGATTGGCCTTGTCCCCATTTCTATCGGTTTGTTGTTGCCACCAGGGAACCAAAGTTCCAGGCAAAGAAAAAAAGATCACTGAACAAATAACTGTGAAATGCCTATGAGGCTGCTCATTTCTTCAAAATTTAGTTAGTTCAAATGCATGTAGATCTATTAGAAGGACTGGGAAATCAGAAACAAATGAACACTTCATATCAACAGATGTTACTAGGATTTTGTAACTGGGGTAAATGTATTCCATGCCAACCTAAAAATGATCCCTGCCAAGTAAACCTTACACATGGTAGAGTTTAAATCTCTTGCCTTTAAAGGGATCTCCACGTCCAGCCAATCTGAATTAAAGATGAGTACCCATTAGTATTATGCAGACGGTTCAGCTTCTGTCCTTTCCCTTAGAACTGTATACCTGCTTATTTAAAAATGATTTTCAGGATCTTTTGATCCCAGTAGAGGTCAGTAGTGAGCAGACCTTGTAGTCCATGGTATTCACTGTCTCTCACTGGTAAGGATACTTGATATAGGTGATTTTTAGCACCTTCTGTGAAATATACAAGAAAAGTGATGTTATCCTGCTAAACAAGTATGTTTTCTATCTTTGCTCTGTTCCACAGAAAATTCCACAGCCACTCTATTCCACTAGTCACAAGGCAGTCCAGTTGAAAAAATATGGAGAGAGAAATGAAACTATTTGTATGGTAGAAAAATAACTTTAAACACATATTTTAAATAAAAATAACTTTAAACACATGCGTTATTAATACTTTGTCTTGTAACTACAATGAGATCAGTTTTCCCTGAAGGAATGAATCAATGATGAATGAATAAATGAATGAATGGGGTTAATATCACCTTCAAGTAAGCTCTGCATTTTTGAAGGAATATGTATATGGCAGAGTAAACACACATACTACCTTTTTTTCAGATGTCCATAGATTCTTCTGTGCTTTATAATTTAAAAGTATTCCAGAATTCGTAGTTGCATTTTGTTATTTTATATGTATTCCAATCAACATTCACTGAGTGTAAAACTACATTCATGTGAAGGTCCACAAAGATTTAAAGAAATTGGCAAGCTTTCTTTCAGGAATCCAAGTTAAATTTCACACAGCTGTGAACAACAAAAGTATTGCTCTTGGTATGACCTATCTATGGGGGTTTGCTGCTTTTCTCCACTAACCATTTTGAATTTCACAACCACTTTGTAACATGCATCGAACATAAGAATAATGGGGTTTGAAAGTTGTAAAATTATGTTTACTTTGCTAAGCCAAAGTTTTAATTCATCCCACATATTTTACAGTGTCTAGAATGAGTTTTGGTATACATTATTTTTATACTCTTACCTTAAAGTAAAACATGGCAAAGCCTAACAAAAACTAAAGTTATTTAATTTCCTCAAAAATGGTAATGTAGTTTAAATTGAAAGAAACTGATTTGATGTTAAAAGACTTGACTTTCCATACTGGTAGTGTGACCTTAAACTAGACACTTTTACCCTTGGCCTCATTTCCTTGTCTGTAAAACGAGGTAGGTTAGACAGGCTGATTTTATAGGTTTGATCCTACTCTCATAATGTACTTCTCTTTGGCACCTACTTGATTATGCCTTGTGCATTGTCATTTGTGTACTTGTTTTCTCTCTTCATAGAATACAAGCTCCATCCTTGAAAGCAAAGAATGCTTCAGTCATCACACAGTAGCTAGCAAAGGAACTGGCACATAACTGATGGGAGAGCAGTAAATATATGTGGAAATGAAAGCAGGATATAGGAGTATTATCTTATTCTAGAGGTGGAGTACATTTCTCTGTGTTTTCTACAATTACCCATCAGCACAGCATTGAAACTAACACAGTGTGGTAACTACCATTTCTATACTTCTATTTCATTGATGTTAAAATGAAAGACAGCCAGTAGAAAAATGTGCAATTACTAAGATATCAGAGCTTTTAAAATGTATACGTAGAAGTTGATTGAAAAGTTCCGCCTTCTATTTTGGAATGTTTTAAAGTTATCAAAGATTCAAAGATCCTTTTGTTCCCCCAAGAATTAAATTCTATTGCAACCCAGAAGAGCTGAACTCTATTCTGTAACTTTCCATTTTGCAAACTTCCCACTTCTATCTGATGTTTTCTGGACATTTTAATCTTTGTAAATAGATGTATTTCTGCTCCATAATGTCAGCGTATGTGAGTCAATGATTTAATCATTGAGTTTATGAGAAGTGGTCATACCTAGGATATCTCATACATTCCCTCTTTGTAGAAGAGGAGGATGTATAAAATAGATACATCCATCCTACATTGATACTTGATATAGATAACCTATATCAAGTATCCTTACCAGTGAGAGAGTGTGAATATCATGGACTATGTCTTCTCATTACTGATTTCTACTGGGCTCATATAAATATATGTGATATATTTATATAATAATGTGTATTAAAATAATATATATATTTATATATAAATATAGGTATATATATAAATATATATGTGTGTGTGTATATGAGGAAAACAAACATATCCATATATCCAAGTGCTTCCTAACATTTCTCACGAAAGCATAATTTAGAAAAATCCTTTTAGATGGAAAAAAAGGAATGGCACATATCTTGTTAGGCTGCATCTTTGCAGGTTCACTTTAAATTAATTCATAGATCAAAAAGAAGAGTTAAAATAAAGCAAAAGCCAAAATTTTAAAATTGCTCTACTTCCTACATAAGTCCAAATAAAAAGTTTATTACAAATATATTCAAGACTACAATAAACAAATTGAAAATGGCAGCTAGAAAGGAGTACAATAGATTTTAAATGTTAATCTATTTCTCTTTTTCGTAAATGCCCGAGGTGTTTATATAAAGGAATGAAGATTAGGCTTTCAGCTTTATCACTTCGTTGTGTGTAAATGGGGAACATAAGCATCATATAAATCGTAAATATCTGTCTAAGAAGATGACCTTCCCAAAGCCATTTTCTTTTCCCTGAAACTCTTTGCTGCTCCGGCCTTAAGGTTTAAGAAACTGCTCAAGATTCTGACAACCAACCACAGTGGCCCATCTGTCTGCAAAACCATTCTCATTGCTCTCTTTTGTGTTATTTTCCTCTTATTTGTCATAGCGTACTCAAGGCCTTCTCGTTACTCCCAGAGCATTCACATGTGGGACATAGGGGACTGTCTCTCATCTGCCCTTATTTGATGTGGTTGGTTAGCTTGTCCTGGAGTAAGTTTCTGTTCCCTGGGGATAACTACCTGAAAAGACCCTGCTGGGTCCTGTCTCAAAGGAGAGAACAAATCTGCGTAGTCTTAAACTGACTGGACTAGGGGTTAAATGCGAAAGTGACCCTGGCACCTGGAGACGCTGCATCTCCGACCTTCAAGCTGCTGGGCCCGTGAATGACTGCTGAGCTGCTGGAGGTGCCACAGAGAGACTCAGTGGGGATGAGAATTTTTAATGATTTATGGAACTTTGCTTGGTACTGAGAACTACACTTTTTGGTTATAGGCCATTTTAGAAATTACTGCAATATGGAACTTATGTTAACTGCTTTGTAGAAACACATGCACAATAATGTTTATTATTATCAAGATTTGCAATGTGCGTGGGTGCTCACGTGCATTCTGTTTTCTGTGAATCTCAAATGTAAGGCATTATACTGACAGATGTCATCATCTCCGTCATCACAATAATAGCTAACATTCATCTAGCATTTACCATGTGTCAGTTACTGTGCTAAGAACCTTCTATGTGTTTCCTCACGTAATCCTCACTATAGCTCTATATCATTTAATCTACATTTTGGGTCCTAAATGTTGTGACTATTATTATTCTGTTATACAGGTAAATAAAATTATACCTAGATAATTATACAGGTAAATAAAATTATACCTAGATAAGTTAAGATCTCGCTCAAAGCCACATGGATTATGATTGGCAGAGAACAATTCCAAACCACTGCTACTGTCATAGCCTGTACTCCAAAGTATAAATGAGCATGAAGCTAGCTCATCCCTGAATATTTGCTGAATTACTACTGTGTGCAAGTTAGAGACAAATAGAATATCATTAACCTGGGAAGTTAACTTTTCAGAGCCAAAATATCAGGGTTGAAGAGACTGTTAGGGTCTCTAACAAAACAGAACTCACAGCCTTTATTCTTAGAACACCTGATACAATGCAGACATTCAATAAACACAGTAGAACAAAAATGGCACTGGGGCTTATTAAAGGACAACATGCAGCCAGGCACAGTGTCTCATGCCTGTAATCACGGCAATCTGGGAGGCTGAGGCAGGCAAATAACTTGAGGTCGGGAGTTCGAGACCAGCCTGGCCAAAATGGTGAAACCCCATCACTACTAAAAATAGAAAAAAATTAGCCAGGGGTGGTGGCATGTGCCTATAATCCCAGCTACTCAAGAGGCTGAGGCAGGAGAATCGCTTGAATCCAGGAGGTAGAGATTGCAGTGAGACAAGATTTTGCCACTGTTCTCCAGGCTGGGTGACAAGAGTAAGACTCTGTCTCAGAATTAAAAAAAACAAACAAAAAAAAGACAATATGCAATCACTAGCATTCACTCATTTGAACCTGTTAAAAAGCGACTCACCACGAGACAAAATGTGTGTTCCACCTGTGAGGAGTGGTACATCATGAGGCAGAAAAGCAGTGACACAGAGCCAGGCAACCTGAGTTCAGTCCTGTGGCAGCCACTTACTGGTTGCAAAACTAGGGACAAAAATCAGTGATATTTCTAAGCCTTAGGGATAATAATAATCTTACCTACCACACAGGATTATTGTTAGGATTAAATAAAGTATTTCATATGGTAGATTTAAAGAACGCATGACAGACACATTATAAGTTCTCTATAACATCAGCTATTGTGATGGTTGTGTTCAGTTTTATCAAAATCTTGGATGAAGGGGCTATTAAAAGACATCAAGCCCAAACTAATACTGATCATAGAAGCCCCAACTAAAAAATTGGTGGAGACATTTAGCCTTGCTAGAGAATAAAACAACTCACTGCTTTACATGAATACCTTCATTTTCTTTTTTCCATTTTAGGAAATTTCTACATGCTAAATTTTTTTCCGTATAGTGAGTTAAAATTGGTTGCTCTGTCATTTTTATCAATGACTCTGAAGCTTCACAAGCTACAATAATTTTCTCCTTAAAGACAGATTTTCAAACATGCAAAAACCTCTGCATTATTTGTGTACATTTTCTCTTCCCATGTAAGGAGACACTTATACAGTTATTTTAACTATTTCTATTTTGATATGATTTTGAGACCTTTCTTATTATTGATCATCATTCTTTTGAGCAGGTTTCAGTTTGAAAATGTCCATCCTAAAATACGTTGTGGGGAGGGAGAGGCAATATTTCAGGTGAAGTCTTCTTTTCTTTTTTCTTTTTTTTTTTTTAGACAGGGTCTCACTCTGTCACCCAGGCTGGAGTGCACTGGTGCAATCATGGCTCACTGCAACCTCTGCCTCCAGGCTCAAGGGATACTCCTACCTCAGCCTCCCAAGTAGCTGGGACCACAGGTGCGTGTCACTACACCCAGCTAATTTTTTGTGTTTTTGGTGGAAACAAGGTTTCACCATATTGTCCAGGCTGGTCTCGAATTCCTGTACTCAAGTGATCCACCTGTGTCAGCCTCCCAAAATGCTGGGATTACAGGAGTGAGCCACCATGCCCAGCCAGATGAAGTCTGCTTTCTGAGAAGTAATGAAATCTTTACCATCCGCATTCTGGATACTATATCAACATAATCTAAAAATGTATTACATGTTGATTGAGCAGAAATTTAGTCAGTTGAAACTCCTGAGTATTTTTCCACTGAATCATTTGTGAATCTCTGCATACTTTCATTGATTCCTGTTTTAATTTTTTTGGTTTTATTATTCAAACTTATCAAGTTGTTTTTATCTTGCTATTCTATCAGAGCGTTAGTGTCATCTCCACTGTTTTTATAATACATTTATTTCATAATTTTTTTATAATTTTAATACAAGATCTAAGAATATGAGAGCTAATATAAGGCTGAAGCAAAATTTAGAGAGATGGTTTTCTAGGTGGATATCCATTCATTAATCAAAATATATGAATAACTTGATCAAATCAGTTCTAGTTCTTTACAAGTATAGAATTTTAAAATGCATATGTCTTTTGACTTAGCAATCTCATTTCTAGAAATTCGTCTTACAAAAATAAAAAACAAAAATGCATAAATACATATATTTATACAGTACTCATTTTAGGAGTTTTCCTACACTGGAGCTGCATGTTTCATGGAACTTAGGTTCTAAAGTTAGTGAAAAGCATATCTGAAAATCTCTTAAATAATAGAATTACTCTCAGTACAGAAAGATGCTTACACTATAATAGCTTCAAGAGAACTTAGGTTGACTAAAAAAAACAGACTTAGTTCTCCTATGGCATTCTCACTCCTAAGTATAAACTCATTGATAAGTTGCCCCAGTGGAAAAAGACAACAGTATGTAAGTAATAATCTCTTCCCTTTTCTCTCTCTCTTCCCTGGTAATAATAAAATATGCTGTGTTCATTTCTAAGGAATGTTATGTAACTTTTTAAACAGTGAAGTAGATTTGCATATGTTTATGTGTCGACTTAGACACACACACACACATACACAGACAGAGGGTTACCCCTAGTTACAGGGATGGTCACATGATGAAGAGAGAGAAGAACAAGGATATTAATTTATACCACTTGAACTTATGTAATATTTAATTTTTTTTTTTTTTTTTTTTTTTTTTTGAGACGGAGTCTCGCTCTGTCGCCCAGGCTGGAGTGCAGTGGCGGGATCTCGGCTCACTGCAAGCTCTGCCTCCCGGGTTCACGCCATTCTCCTGCCTCAGCCTCCCAAGTAGCTGGGACTACAGGCGCCCGCCGCTACGCCCGGCTAATTTTTTGTATTTTTAGTAGAGACGGGGTTTCACCGTTTTAGCCGGGATGGTCTCGATCTCCTGACCTCGTGATCCGCCCGCCTCGGCCTCCCAAAGTGCTGGGATTACAGGCGTGAGCCACCGCGCCCGGCCTTAAATTTTTATAATAACAATTTGCTACTTAAAATACTAAGTATAATTTTAAGAATCAAGGATATTAATGATTTCTTCTCTCTCATGATTTTCTAAGCAATTATGGAAATATTAGGTTGCATAATAACAATTACATTTAACTCAACAAATAATTAACATTAGACCTGTAAGATTTGAATATCGAGAAATCTTATTCAATCATTTTGAGAAGAAAGCTGTCTCCTAAGGAAGACAGAAAGATATAGAATTTATTCTACTTTGAGACCTAGAGCAAACTAAAAAAGGGACTTATCATTAACCTGGGCCTTGATGAATCCAAAGGGATCAGGGAAGCCAGAAAGGATATTTTAGGCAGAAGGGAGAGCATGTTCCAAGACTAGGAAGCAGCTGTGAGCATGACCAGTACTACTGACCTAGACTACTGGTAGTCTAGCTTGGCTGTGGAATGAATGATCAAAGAGTGAGAGATAACCTCAGACTGGCAAGCTGGAGTTACGATGGGGAAGTCCTGCCTAATATAGCATTCTAAGAAGTTTATTTGTAGAAAGTGGAGAAATACAGGGGTATGTTTAGGTAAGAGAGGCACAAGATTATGTGTGTGTTTTTGGAAAGTTCATTTTGGAGACTGTGTGGTGATTTGATCTCAGTTAAGAAAGGCTGTATCCAAGCAGACTGGATATAAGGTCGTTAAAATAATCTAGTAGAAAGATGATGAGTGTCTGGGCTGGAGAATAGCAGTGGAGGTAGAGAAGAGCCAGAGAATTCATGAGACGAGTCAGAGTCCAACTACAAGTTATTTCAGTCCTTGGGGATGTAATTAATCTGGAGCTGGTATTGTGAGCTCATTTAAGTAGCTAAGTGCTCTCTTACTATCTCCTCACTTATCTAGGGATTTGATTTCCTTGTTTGTCCTACCCTTTGGAATTTGAAGATCATTTTTTTTTCTTGATTGAGAAAACAGAAGCAAAATAGGAGTTTAGTCCTTTCAATGTCATCTGCTGATACTGCACCATCTGGCCCAGGAATCAGACCTATCCCTTGCTCAGTCTTTCTTAGAAATTATATTTAAATTGTCTTTAGTGCTTTCCAAAAGACTCGGCTTACTCTGTGGCTTAGCCTTATTGATACTATTTTTGCAGGTTCCTGTCTCTCTTTCAATGTTGCCCTTCATGGTGCATCTTTCCTTTTGGCTTCCATTTTTCTCAAGATTCCAGAAAGAGAAATATCTATTCTTGGTCTGTGGTAAATTTCTTAGACCTGAATTTTCAGCTTTTCTCATTGTAAGAGAATATCAAATAAATAATCCTTCCTCCTTTTTTATTATTGGACATTTTAGAGTGACAGTGTTAATACCAACATGCATTTAATCATTTTTTTAATATTTGAGTTCTTTCATTTTCAGTTCAGAATGTCCTTCACATATATTTTGTCTGTTATTTTTATATCCTCTTTCTTTTCTTTTTTATTTGCTTAGCTCCAGTTTTCTCTGCTTTATGTAGCTCTCTTCTCTCCAAGGATTTTCTTGCTATCAATTTCTATTTTGATTGATCCACCTTCTTCTGGATAGTCTAGTCTGCTTCCTGGCCTTTCCCTCTTTCCTAGGTTACATGTTTTTACCATGTTAATGCTAACAATCCTGATATCCCAAAGCTATGAATGCAGGACATACTATGTATACCTTTTTCTTCAATAGCATTTTAGAAATCTGTTTATTTATTTTAGAGCACTTCAAAATGTGTTTCTTTGTTTCTTCTGGATAGCAAATTTTATAACTATTAAAATCAAAGCATTTAATTGTTACTCGTGGTTATATTATAAATAGAAAAGCATTCTGGTTTAGTGAGAATAACCCCTGAGTAGGAGTAAAAAGATATGGGATTTTCCACTTTGCGGGTGTATAACTGCCCTGTTTAAATCACAATTTTCCTAAGCCTCATTTCCCTTGTTATACATAAAATAGAAATGATAATATTTTCTATGGTAAATCACAACCTTGTAAGTATTAACTAAAATGGCATACATAAGAACTATTTATAAGCTAGAAATTCTTATACAAATATAAATTATATTTAAAAATTAAACTCTAACAAAAATTTAGTTTGTTGATTACTTTTGTATATAATTTTCTGCATAAAACTTGAGGAAACTAATAAATAAGAACTGTTCATCTGGTCAAGGAGACCAGATCAACACCCACTTTTTTTTTCTACCTGATACTATGAAACCAAGCTTGCTAAGCTTCTCTGATATTTTTTTTCTTTTGAGCTAGATTATAGATGAAGTCAATAAAATACAGTTAGTTTAGCTTTTAATATTTTTTTTACCAACCAATGGAAAAGCATACTTAGCTCATGGATGAACTGGTTTTGCATTATATTTGCATAAACAGTGTCTTCTAATGGGAAAACATCCCACAAATATAAACTATTTTTGAAGTGTTATTTTGCGAAAATAATCAAGGATATTACAAATATTGTTTTCAAAGGCTATAGATTTGATTTTGAGACTATCCTTTATACTAATCGTATATTTATAATGATGATTCTAGCAATTGTTCACAATTTCAATAACTAAAAATATAGATTTAAACATGCTGTATGGGGTATTGATGATTCCCAAATCTATCTACTTTAACACTCATGAGATCTGCATTACCTTTACCGAAATTAAATAGGAGATTTATATACGAAATCCATTTGGGGATTAAGAAATTCAAAGAGAATGATAGGAACACCTTGAATAGGTAATTTGGTCCTTTTTGATGAAACTTTCAGAGACCTGATATAAGGTTAGTTGCAATAACCATGCATGTCCTGAGGTTAATCAGGCTCAGGATTGCAGATTCAAACTGAAACGAAAAGCATGGAAGGGCATCAACTTAGGACCTTGTGTATGTTCTTCCTGTATGGGATTAGCATATGTTTCTTTACTTACTCAGTGCATAGCCCTTTGTATTTTAAGTGAAAATAAGTTCCAAAGTGCTACTGACCCTATTAGAAAAGAAATAGCAAAGCTCTCCCACTGTATGAAGGAAAGACTAGCAAAGTGAAATAAGTTAGCCTTGTAAGCAGAGGGTCAGCTTTTCTAATGAGCTAAAAGGCTTGGATATAAGTGAAGGTGAAATGCTGTTGAATTGTTACAAATGCACCAGAAATTGTCCACATTTAATCTAGTGGTGGGAGGGTGAAGCAAAAAGGAGAATCAACATTCTGATTGAGAATCTGCCAGTTTTCCATGTTAAGTGAAAACGACATGTTTCCAGGAATATGCCAGTTGTGTATCTCTTTACCTTAACCAACACTGGGCATTCCTGCAGACCATTTTCAACTTGCAGCTCAGTCCAGTACCTTATGTTCCCTTTCTTCTGTCTTCTTCATTACTAACATTCTCCCTTTAACCTAAAGAAAACAAAGGAGACCAGATCGACACCCATGTTGAGCCTTCACTCTCTTAACCACATGGAGCTAAGCTCTAGACAGATGCCCTGATTTTTCTGATTCCAAGAGATTCTTGACTAATTTTACATTTTTGAAATTGAACTTGTACCAATATACCATAGACCGTCAAAACGATGTTAACATTACATCACATTATCTTGTAGATTTCTTTAACTTTTAAAATGGTCAACAATACAACTGCAACATTATACTTATTATAGATTTAAGTGGAATTCTGTCTGTAACTGATTGACAATATCAATAATTTTTATATCAAATAGGAATAGCAGTTTTTTTTCTTTAGTTGGGGCCTCTTTGTTTTATTCATATGCCTATAGCTAGATCCTCTTTTCTGTCTGTAGACAGTGATTCCTGCTGTGCACTGTTAAGAAAATGAGAAGACAAAATGGAGAATCAATTAAAAAAAAGCTTTAGTTGATGAAGCTTCATAGTAGATCAATGGAATCCAGCTAGTTAAGCTATCTTTAGTAGCTGAGATAAGATTTTATAATCACTGTAAATACTTACACATTTCTATGTCTTCCTCATTTTGAATTTCTGTATTTGGACAAAATCTTCCTAAGTATTCAAAAATTTATGACATTTGAGTAAGTATTTCCTTAGTTATACTATAGATAACCAACTTTGGAAAGCAATAATTCAAAGATAATTTAACTCCACAAATATCCCACATATTTATTTAGAATATATGCACTTAAAAATTAACCTCTCCTTTCAAGAATTGAAACAAGGTATAAGTGCAGATTCAAGGTGGACATAATTATTTTATTCCATTACTTAGTACTAAAGGGAATTACTTATTTAACAGTTATTCTTTTATTACCTGCTTATTTAAACAGGTTTCCACATAAGCACAGGATATGTAAGACTGATATAAAGCAAGAATATTTGTTTAATAGGCAGATCCATAGATCTGATATTTATTAGGTTTCACTAAACTTGCATACAAGGAATAGTTGTTTAAAATTCCTAATAGCATTCAGTAAAAATATTGTTTGAACTATTTTAACAAACCTTTGTTTTTTTTAAAAAATAAACAAATATTAATGAACATCCTGCTAACTGACTCTTGTTCACATGAAGAAAATATCTTGGTACTCTTGATTAAATATGAAATCTAGAAGTAAATTATTTAGAAATTAATTTAAAGCTGTAGCTAGTCTATAAAATAAATCATACAATCCATACTATTTTCTCAACTTTGACCTAAATATACTGAAGGCATTGATATTCGCTTTAAAAATAGGACTATTTGTACTACATTATCATTTTTAGATTAAACAGTAGCAATTATATAGATACTGCTGATTCCGGAGCACAGCTATTCAAAACTCCAGCAGGAACCTGGAAATTTGAAACATTCTAATTGCTAAATTCACTGACACTTAAAATAGAATGTTTTGAATGTACTCAAATATGCATTAGCTCCAAATTGAATAACATGGCATACATGAATTTTCACATAGTAACTCATTATTAAAATCCAGTTTCTGGGCTTAAGATATGGAATATATAAACACTCACCAAATACACCAACATGTATTTATCTAAAAAAGCAAACTATTATGTACCATGTAGTATGTAGAAATCATTCTGACAATACCTGAGCGTGATAACTATTATGATGTTCATTGTGTCTTAAAGATATTATTTCAATTTTTCCAGACAAAAATATATAGTTATATAGTAAATATGACTGTCAATAGGGAAGTCCATTAGTCTGTTCTTGCACTACTATAAAGAAATACCTAAAATTGGGTACTTTATAAAGAAAAGAGGTTTGTTCAGCTCACAGTTCTGTGGGCTGTACAGGCTTCTGCTTCTGGGAGGCCTCAGGAAACTTACAATCATGGTGGAAGGTGAAGGGGAAGCAAGTGCCATCCTCACATACTGGAGCAGGAGGAGAGAGAAGGGGGAGGTGCTACACACTTTCAAGCAACCAGATCTCATGAGAACTCTATCGTGAGACCAGCAAGGGGAAAGTCTGCCCCCATGATTCAATCGCCTCCCAATAGGCCCCTCCTCCAACACTGGGAATTACAATTCAACATGAGATTTGGGTGGGAACACAGAGCCAAACCATATCATTTCACCTCTGGCCCTTCCCAAATCTCAAGTCCTTCTCACATTTCAAAACACAAGCATGCCTTTGCAACAGTCTCTCAAAGTCTTAACTCCTTCCAGCATTAACTCAAAAGTCCAAGTCCAAAGTCTCATCTGAGGCAGGGCAAGTCTCTTTTGCCTATGAGTCTGTAAAATCAAAAACAAGCTAGTTACTTCCAAGATACAATGGGAGTACTGGCATTGGGTAAGTGTTCCCATTCCAAAAGGGAGAAATTGGCCAAAACAAAGGGACTACAGGTCCCATGCAAGTCTGAAGCTCAGCAGGGCAGTCATTAAATCTTAAAGCTCCTAAATGATCTCATTTGACTCCATGTCTCACATCCAGGCCATGCTGATGCAAGGGCTGGGCTCTCAAGGCCTTAGGCAGCTCTGCCCTGTGGCTCTGCAGGGTACAGCCCCCATGGCTGCTTTCATAGGCTGGCATTGAGTGTCTGTGGCTTTTGCAGGCTCATGGTGCAAGCTGTTGGTGTATCTACTATTCTGGGGTCTAAAGGATGGTGGCCTTCTTCTCGCAGCTCCGCTAGGCAGTACTGCAGTGGGGATTCTGTGTGAGCACTTCAACCCCACAATTTCCTTTTGCACAGCTCTAAGTTTCTTCATGAGGTCTCTGCCTCTGCAGCAGACTTCCACCTGGACATCCAGGTGTTTCCATACATCCTCTGAAATCCAAGCAGAGGCTTCCTAGCCTCAATTCTTGCCCTCTGTGCACCAGCAGGCTAAACACCACAGGGAAGCCACCAGGGTTTTCAGCTTGCACCCTCTAGAGCAATGGCCTGAGATATATATTCAGCTATGGCTGGAGCTGGAGTGGCTGAGACACAGGGAACAGTATCCTAAGGCTTCACAGAGCAGCGAGGCTCTGGACCTGGCCCACAGAACTATTTTTCCCTTCTAGGCCTCCAGGCCTGTGACGGGAGGGGCTGCTGCAAAGGTCTCTGACATGCCTAGAGGCATTTTCCCCATTGTCTAGGCTATTAACATTTGGCTCCTCTTTATTTACACGAATTTCTACAAGAGGCTTGAATTCCTTCCTAGAAAATGGGTTTTTCTTTTCTACCACATTGTCGGGATGCAAATTTTCGAAACTTTTATGCTCTGCTTCCCTTTTAAATCTAAGTTCTAGTTTCAGATAATCTCTTCACTCATGCATATGAGTGTACACAGTTAGAAACACACAGAGCACCTCTTGAATGTTTTGCTGCTTAGAGATTTCTTCCACCAGATATCCAAATTATCTCTCTCAAGTTCAAAGGTCCACAGATCCCTAGGACAAGAGCACAATGCCACCAGTCTCTTTAATAAAGTATAGCAAAAGTGATCTTTAGTCTAGTTCCTAAGAAGTTTCTCATCTCCATCTGAGACTCCATCAGCCATCTCTGTCCATATCACTATCAGCATTTTGGTCAAAACCATTCAACAAGTCTCTAGGAAGTTCCAAACCTTCCCTCATCTTCCTGTCTTCTTCTGAGCTCTCCAAACTGTTCCAACTTCCACCTATTACTCAGTTCCAAAGCTGTTTCCAAATTATCTTTATAGCAATGCCCCACTTCTCTGGTACCAATTTTCTATAGTAGTTGGTTATTACACTGCTATAAAGAAAACTGAAACTAGATAATTTATAAAAAAAAAAAGAGGTTTAATCAGTTCATGGTTCTGTGGGCTATATAGGCTTTTGCTCCTAGGGAGGCCTCAGGAAACTTGCAATTATGGTGGAAGGTGAAGGGGAAGCAAGTGCCATCCTCACATGGTGGAGCAGGAGAGAGAGAGAGAGAGAGAGAGAGAGAGAGAGAGAAATGTGCTACACACTTTCAAACAACCAGAGCTCATGATAACTCTATCATGAGAACAGCAAGGAGGAAGTCTGCCCCTATGATTAATCACCTCCCAACAGTCCCCTGCTCCAACTCGGGGAATTACAATTCAACATGAGTTTTGGGTGGGGACACGGAACCAAAACATATCAGGAAGAATATCACAACTGTAGCTGTCAAAGGAAATCACTTTTGCCATCATGTTTCCACTGGGGAAAAAGTGAAGAATGGTCATATTTTCTCTGATGTCTATGATACATATTTATTTAAAAATTCATTCAGCAAAAGTTACTGTGTGCTTGCTTCTTGTAATTCTCAGAACTAACTAGGAACCACTCCCTCTAGAGCTAAGATTGTGAATATGAACAGAACTTAAAAATTATGAGCATTAGAAAGGACACTGGACACCTTCTGGATTTATGCCATCTTTTGTTGATGAGAAAAATTATGCCAATATATTGGTTAACTTTCCCAAGATCACACCATTAGCTAATAATAATAACAGATATTCTAAATTCCACTTTATTTTCCCTATTAATATACAATGTTGTCTCAACCAGTGTCTCAACTTTAATGACTCTCTTCTTTGAAAAAGTCTTCAGGGGTTTCTCATTTGGTAGGGAATCCAACAGCATGAAAACAAATCAACCAACACTTGGTGTGAGCTTAAAAAGATGATTCCAAGTCAAAGGAGAGTCACCTTGAGAACCATGAAACCAAGCACTTGATCACAGGACTGAGAGTCAATTGGCCCAGGAAGGAAGGTATATAATGTTTTGAATTCCATTTTGGTCAAGTCCTACTACTGTCTCTGGCTTTTCTATTTTCTTTTTTTTTCTTGAGATGGAGTTTCACTCTTGTCACCCAGGCTGAAGTGCAATGGCATGATCTCGCCTCACTGCAACCTCTGCCTCCTGGGTTCAAGTGATTCTCCTGCCTTAGCCTCCCAAGTAACTTGGAATACAGACATGTGCCATCACACCGGGCTAATTTTTGTATTTTTAGGAGAGACAGTGTTTCGCCACGTTGGTCAGGCTGGTCTCGAACTTCTGATCGCAGGTGATCCACCCATGTTGACCTGCCAAAGTGCTGGGATTACAGGCATGAACCCCTTTGGCCTATTTTTCTATTAAACAAAATATAGACAACCTACAATGGGATAGAGATAACCATACATAACCTCTTATGAGATGACATTCATAGCATAGTCTGAAGACTGAAGGACCCAGATTGTGAAATAATGTGCCTACCTTCCTGAAACAAGGAAATGGAGAATAAATTGTAATGTTTTGAGGCTTATCAGTAAGAAATAGGTTAAGGAATACCAAGGCAACATCATTTCTTACCCAGAAGCACTGAATTCATTGGAGAATGCTGGTGGTTACTCTTAAGCTATCAGACACCATTATTATAGTTGGAATATAATAGAGGACTACCTTTAACCCCTAGGCTTAGAATAATAATTATGATTTCACCACAGAAGCTTCTTCCTGATAGTTCCTTCAGATTTTGACTATATAGTAATAGATACAAATTGTATCATGAGGCTACAACTTTATGAACTGTGGTCATAGGAGGAAGAACTGGGATGCTTTCTGAATCCCCTCAGTGGATTCAGGAGAATAAGCGTAACATTACTTTTTTTGTGACAGCAGTGATAGCAGCCTGACAACAGAGATAAAGCAATAATCAAGAAGATGCAAACAGGATAGAAGATCAGCCACATGGACTTGCTGTGATCATCCCAGACAAAGATCAAAAGGATGTAGGCATTATTTAATAATCATATCTTGGGCATAGGATTCAACAGATTTGAGTAGGTGACATACTCTTATACTTTTATTCTACTAATTTGTTCCAGGGAAATAATTATTTCAAAAAGATATTGAGAAAACATTATTTCTGGAGTTATGTAAAGTTCATTTTTCAAAATATTTGTACTTTATTCTATCAAGACTGAAAGATAGTTTATGATTTTATTAACCGTGGGCACAAAAGACTGCCATGGTCTTTGAAAGTCCTGGAGGACAATGACATACTTATCTGGACTGAGTATATTAGGAACAAAGACGTAGCCTTTATAAGATAATCTGCAATCACTCTAACATGTAAAATGTCTAGCATGAAAAATGTCATGGTCCTATTGATAAAGCAAACACCTTTTAGTTGAATCTCTGATATGGTTTGGCTGTGTCCTCACCCAAATCTCATCTTGAATTGCAATCCCCATAATCCCCACATGTCTAGGAAGAGACCTGGTGGGAGGCGATTGGATAATGGAGCCCATTTCCCCATGCTGTTCTCATGATAGTGAGTTCTCACAAGATCTGATGGTTTTATAAGGGGCTCTTCCCCCTTCACTCCTCTCTCTTTCACCTGCCACCATGTAAGGTGTGCCTCTTCCCCTTCCACCATGATTATAAGTTTCCTGAGGCCTCCCCGGCCGTGCAGAACTGTGAGTCAATTAAACCTCTTTCTTTTATAAATTACTCAGTCTTGGGTATTTCTCTGTAGCAGTGTAAAATAGGACTAATACAATCACTATTTAACTTCAGCAAGATCTTTTTCTTTTGTATCTGATTTTGATCAGTGTTTTTTCTGTGGTATAGTAAGATCATAGTATATAACCCTTAAATTACAAAACATGCATTGAGTCCAATTTGCATGTTCTGAAGGCAAATGGTTTGTGGTTAGATTGAGGTTTAAATTCTTCCTCTAACATTCAAGCACTGTGTGGTATTGGGTAAGCTGATTAACTTAAAACTCTGCTTCCTAATTTTCAATATATAATACAACCTAACATCATGGTCACAACATTTGTAGACATTATTGTACTTCATATAATCTATCATCATATTTTGCACATTTTTATTATTCTGAAATTAATTATTTTTCAGTTTATGGAATCTTAAAATTCTTGTTAGCATTGCTTAAGATATATTTCTTTCTGAGTAGAATTACTTTTGCTTCTGTAGTCACTTGAGAATAACCTACCTATGACCACTTAAATTTTTTTGGACAATATTGGAAGAATGAACCACAAATCTGTGTTGAGTGCCATCTTGATTTTCTTGTGTGGTTTGTCATTTTTTTCCATTGGGTAAGATGTTCTCTTAAAAATAATTAATTATTTTTAGCTATCTTTTTTGGTTGGCAGAATTGTTTATATTTTATCATTTTATTGATATCTCAGCTTCACTGGATTCCTAAACTTGAATGCTTTATAAATTGATGTTTACCTTTAATTATATACATATATATACACACATATATACTATATACATGTATGTATATTTATTTCAATTACACAGACTATACATATTTTTAGAGGATTATAATGGAATCATATATTCTTACATTTTAGTAAGTTTAGTAAAATAAATGTTTGCTAAGTAGATAAATAGGAGGAGCTATTTTGTTGAATCAATCTCTTCTTTCTTTTCTCTCTGTCTTCCTTCTGCCTTTCTTTCCATGCATTTATTCAGAAAATATTTATTGAGAACTTGTTACATTCCAGGTTTTGAGCTAGGCATTGAGATGCTATTCTTTGCTCTTCTGTACTGATTTACAATACACTGAGAAAAATATTGTGGAGAGAGTGGAAATAAATACCAAAAAAGGGAGTTAGGAATTCTAGATTCTCATTTCAGTTTCTTGTTAACTCATTGAGAACAATCTCCCTTCACCCATGAAAGATTCCCTTTCTTTGCCTGTAAAATGAAAAAGTCTGGAATAGACAATATTTGAGTTTTTTTTCTAGTCACTAATCATCCTTAATTTTTCTGTCTTTCCCTCTCTCTGTCTCTCTCTCTTTCTCTCATTTTCCCTTTTATATCCTTACTTTCTAAAAACACACACACACACACGATATAGTAAAAATTGAAAACCAAAATTATAATTAAATAAGATCTTCTGAATTTTCATAAAATTGAATAATTTTACAATTAATTTTATTAATTAGTAGTAGTTATACATTTGTTATATTTTATATATCTTAAATAATTAAATGTAAATATTGCACTAAGACTTTGAGACACCTAGTGTGAATGGGGGGTGCCAGGTAGGAAGTATGTGAACCATTTTTATATGATAGAAAGCCAGTTGTATATGTGTGACGGTTATGTAGACGGATATGTAGTTTCTCCCATGTTGCTTGCCTCCTGATAAGTGGTCATATCCATTTATCCCTTCCCGTGAGTGTGTGTGGTTCTTATGACCTGCTTCTAACTAATAAATATGGAAAAGATTATGGGATATTATTCTTCTAATTATGTAACATTGTAAGAGACTCTCTCTTGCTAGCTTTCTGGCTTTGGGGGGTCTCTCTCCTTCACTAGCTGTGAGAAAGAAAACTATGAATCCTACAACTGCAAGAAAGTAAATTCTGCAAATAATTTGAGAAACTTGGAAATAGACCCTTCCCCAGTAGAGTCTCCAGATGAGTACCTGCTTTTGACCAACACTTCCTTTGTAGCCTTACAGAGGACATAGCTAAGCTGTGCCCAAACTCATGTCTTACAAAACCAGGAGATAAGAAATGTGTGTTGCTTTAAGCCACTGATTTAGCCACAATTTGTCATGCAGCATAGAAAAGTAATATAATGTGTCTACAGTATGGACCTTTTTGCTCAAGGGATAAAAGATCTAAGAATAAAGTTAGTGGTTAGGAATGAAAACTGGAATCTGTGGATAAAGTTAAATACTTAGGACCAAAGTCAGGCTAAGGTGTTGCTGGTAGTCTCAATATATATCAATGAAATTGTGCTCTATAAAAAGTTAAGGACTCTGAAAAGGCAAGGGGTTGGAACAAAATTTTGCAGTCTAGGTCATGCTTTATCTAAATTTTTCACATCTTATTCTAAATCTGACTACAGGGAAGGTCAAAAAGGTAAACGAAGGATGATTTGTGAAGAATTCAGAGGCTAAGGCAAATGAAGGAGTTCAGCTTTTTTCTTTTGACTTTCAGAAGGCATCAAAGACATATATGCAGAAGATTGAAATGACCAGATCATAGTTTTAGAAATGGTGAAGTTTTCAAAATGAACTGTGAGCAAGGGGCTATGGATGTTGACTGGAGGAAAAAAATGCCAAGTTTATGGAATGTTTTGACTAAGACACAAATTTTCACATTTCTACATAATTTTGGCCCCATATGTCTTTATTCATTCCATTCCCTTTGCTTAGAATACCCTTTTTTCTTCTCACTGGTTAAATATGATTAACTTTTCAATCCCAAGGAAATTAATTGTTTCTTTAAATATGTCCCAATAGAACTTCACACATAATATAGGATAATTTCTTGTTCTTTGTGTCTGTTTCCTCCATCATAGGGCTGTATAAAGCCTGCATTCCATTTCTTAAACAGATGTTACATGGGAGCTTTTAATTACAGGCTTAGAAATACAGTTCGCAACTTTGTTGAACAATAGTTGAAGAACATTATTAACAAGTTTGAAAATTGGATTGTTCAGGAATGTTGATGAAAGAAAGCATGATTTTGAAGCCTAAATATTTTAATTACATTATTTTGCAAAAATACTACAAAATACATTACAATATGATTAGATTTTTTTCTGCTCATTGAAATTTGGCATTCACATTAAATTTATCGGAATGAAATATATTAAAAGTTCTTAATGTATAAATGGCTACTTCATCTTGACTTTAGAGTTACCTTCACAGTGTTTTGACTTCCTGTGATTCCTATTCTTCATTCCCATACTTAGGGGTTTACATTTAAAAATTCTATGATATTTGTGCCATTCAAAAATATTTACTCTATTAAAACATTGTAGCTCAGTATGGTGGTACACATCTATAATTTTAGCTACTCAGGAAACTGAGGCAAGAAGATTGCTTGAGACAGGGGTGTGCAAGGCTGCAGTGACCTATGATTGTGCCACTGCACTCTAGCCTGGGTGGCAGTGTGAGACCCTGTCTTTAAAAAAATAAAAATAAAACACTGGAGGATTTGTTGATCCAGCGCGAAAATGTTTGGCCTATAAAGTATATTAAATTACATTTTAGTCTAATTCAAAATTGTTTATCATTTTCTACTATTTTAATAATAATAGGTAACAGCAGAAATAAGTCAACATTTTTGTTACTATTATGTACAACATCAGATAGCCCTAACCAAGATAATGCTTTACATTAACATGCTGCTTTAAAGTTTTAAAACGTTATATCTTTTGTACTTTTACGGTACAGAAAGGGGAGTTATTATATGTGTGTGTGTGTGTGTGTGTGTGTGTGTGTGTGTGTGTGTGTGTGTATTTTTGAGACAGATCCTCACTCTGTTCCTCAGGCTGGAGTGCAGTGGCGTGATCTCAGCTCACTACCACCACTGCCTCCCGGATTCAAGCAATTCTCCCACCTCAGCCTCCCAAGTAGCTGTGATTACAGGCACCCATCATCATGCCAGGCTGATTTTTGTATCTTTGTAGAGATGGAGTTACACCACGTTGGCCAGGCTGGTCTTGAACTCCTGACCTCAGGTGATCTGCCCGCCTGAGATTACAGGCATGAGCCATTGTGCCCAGCCCAATTACTTATTTTATTTTACCTCTTTTTAATATTTGATTTTACCTTACTTTTAAAAAATACAAACTAAGACCTATAGATTTTAATTGATTTGTCTTAGGTCATAGAGGTAGTAAGTAATAAAACTGGGATTAGAGTTTAACTCAATTGACTCTATGACCTTCCCTATTATACCAGGCTGTTTCTTATATCAAGATAGAAAGATTTTATATCTCATTCTGAAGATAAAAACAATGGAAATCCCAAACTAGAGCCATCTTTCAAGACAAATGTTTTTAAGTAAACAATTTGGCAACATTTTAAAATAAAAACAGTTCCAAAACAATATCTAGCCCTCTAGGTCAATGAACAAATACGAATTTACTGCATAAAATGATTAAATTACTATTCTGCAGTACAATGGGCACAGACAGTAATCTAGTGATTTTTCAGTGATAATGTACATTAACTTAGCTTTCATGAGATGGAAATTAAGATAAACAACTATGTCATTGCTCTCAGAAGAATCTATTGTATAATGTGAAAAGAGAAAAAAACAAGGTACCTCTCTTACTCTAATCCTTTAGACTTATTAACCATATTACCATAACGTAGAACAGATGTGTGTTAGGAGTGGGGAGTGGACTTGTTGGGAACATTCTGGTCTCTTTTACTTTTCTTCTGCAGGTAAAAATGACAGCCTAATCAGATGACATAAGAAAACAGTAGATTGAGGGAAAATGATTGCTCTTCAAGATCCATACATATTACTGCCCCTAAGATCCATACATATTATTATCCCAGTTTGCTATATTTACATATTAAAATATAACATATGATTATAAATGTGTACTCTTAATGTTGGAAGTGTTAGCATCAGTTGTGGTATAGTGCAGTAGTCACCACCACCTTTTCATGCTTCATGATATGTATGCTCCATTGCCATGTGACTTTGGTGACTCTCCCATTAAGATGTGGAGGCTATTTCTCCCCATTTGATTCTGAGCTTAACTCTGTGGTTTGCTTTGACCATTGGGGCAACAGTGTATGTAGCCAGTTGCAGAGTCTTCAGAAGTGCTTTTGTTTTAGGGTTCAACAACTTTTTTTGTTGGGAACCCTTCTGCCACCATGTGAACAAGCCCAGGTCAGCCTTCTGAAGAGTAGGACCATATGGACAGAGAAACCAGCTATTCCAGCTGTCCTAGCCATCCAAGAGGTCCCAAACATTCCAATCATATTAATATAGTTTGGATATTTGTCCCTGCCCAAATCTCATGTTGAATTATAATCCCCAGTATTGGAGGTGGGGCCTAGTGGCAGACGATGGAGTCTTGGGAGCCGATTTCTCATCAGTGGTTTAGCACCATTCTCTTGGTGCTGTCCTTGAAATAGTGAATGGATTCTTGAGAGATCTGGCTGTTTAAAACTGTGTGGAACCTCCCACACACGCTTTTGCTACTGCTTTTGCCATCTGACCTGCAAGCTCTCGCTGTGCCTGCCGCCGTGATTAGAAGCTTCAAGAGGCCTCCCCAGAAGCAGATGCCTCTGTTATGCTTCCTGCACAGCCTGCAGAACTGTGAGCCAATTAAATCTCTTTGCTTTATAAATTACCGCAGTCTCAGATATTTCTTTATAGCAATGCAAGAATGGTCTAACATACATATCTTATGCAGACATGTGAATAGGGCTGATATGATTTGACTGTGTCCCCACCCAAAATCTCATCTTGAATTATAATCCCCATAATCCCCATGTGTCGAGAGAGACCAGGTAGAAGTAATTGAATCATGGGAGTGGTTTCCCCATGATGCTCTCGTGATAGTGAGTGAGTTCTCATGAGACCTGATGGTTTTATAAGTATGTGGTAGTTCCTCCTGCTTTCATTCTCCCTTCTGCCACCTTGTGAAGAAGATGCCTTGCTTCCCCTTCACCTTCTGCCATAATTGTAAGTTTCCTGTGGCCTCCCCAGCTGTGTAGAACTGTGAGTCAATTAAACCTCTTTCCTTCATAAATCACCCAGTCTTGGGTAGTTATTTATAGCAGTGTGAGAACGGACTAATACAAGTGCTATTTTACAGCACTCAACCAGGTGGATGCAGTGGTCTCTGCCTGTAATCCCAGCTACACAGGAGGCTGAGGTTAGAGGATCATTTGATCACAGGAGTTTGAGACCAGCCTGGACAATATAATGAGACCCTGTCTGGGAAAAAAAAAAGAAAAAATCACTGTCCAAGCAACCAACTCACAGAATAATGAGAAATGACAAAGGCTTGTTGCTTTAATCCAGTGTTTTGGGATGAATTGTGGTGTAGCAAAAGTTTTCTGATTTGTAAATCTATTTGAATAATGTGTAAGCAACCTTGTATCTACTGAAAATGAAAATTTGGGATTGTCATTTCAATTAGGAATTTGTATGTATATATATTACTGATATCTATATTTCAGATTGATCTTTAAACAAAATATGTCAACAACTAAATGAAGCATACATTTCTTACAGATTGCTTTCTTTTTGCCCTCTCTTTCTGTTTATAATTTACAGTTCTCCCATTCACTCAAGTTCAAACTTTAAGTTAACTATTGATCCTTTTATATTTCTTGCACTACATAAAACTCACCTTCTAAGGTAATTGAAAGGATTAAGTAAGTTTACATAGACAGTGTGATGGTTAATGTTAGGCCACAGCTTGACTGGGTTAAAGGATAATTAGATAGTGGGTAAAATATTATTTCTGGGTATGACTGACAGTTGGCTGAGTATAGAAGATCTGCCTTCACCCAGTGTGAGTTTGAACCATACAATGGCCTGAGGCCCAGATAGAACAAAAAGGTAGAGGAGTAGTGAAGTCTCTCTCTGTCTGTCTGTCTTCTGAAGCTGCGATATTCTTCTCCTGCCCTTGGAAATCAGAACTACAGATTTTCTGACCTTTGGATTGTGGGACTTACACCAGTGGCCCCCTGGGCTCTCAGGACTTTGGCTTCAGACTGAGAGTGACATTATAAGCTTCTCTGGTTGTGAGACTTTAGGATTTAGACTGAGTCATGCTTTGAATGTAGCTTTTGTTGAAGAAAAAATATATATATATATATATATATAAAGATAAATATATAGAAATATATATTTATAAATATAAATATAAATATACTGAGCCATATTACCAGCTTTGCTGGTTCTCCAGCTTGTAGATGGCCTATTGTGGTAATTTTCTACCTCCACAACTACATGAACCAATTGCTCTAATAAATTCCCTTCTATCTATCCAACAGTCTATCTCCTAGTGATTCTGTCTCTATGGGGAACCCTGTTTAATATAGACAGGTAGGCAAAAAGCTAGATGATAGACCAACAGATAGAGAGAGAGAGAGAAGACACCTATAACACTACTTGATAACACATAGCAAGGGGGTTATAAATGTTGATAATAATGATTACTATTATCATCTAATTAAATGTCACCTACAGTTTTTGCCTATGTTGTCTATTTTTCATTCACACTGCTTCTATGTTCTTCAGGTCCTCAATTCCTCTTCCTTTGAATATTGCTAGAATAGGCAATATAGAATATAGTTTTTGCAGTCTCCTTCTTATATAATAATTCCTTTACTCAAATACACCTACAGTGTTCCTCCTTGTATAACAAAATAAAATCTCAATCTATGTTTTTGATCTTTAAATCCTTTGTAATCTGATACTCAAACAAATTTTCTCTCTTATTCTCTACTTCACCTTATATATTTGAGCCCCAACCCAACTGCATTACTTCTTGTTACCCGCATATACTATATGCAGCCCGTACCATGTTCATGCCATAACCCTGCATGAAAGGGCCTCCTCATATCCAAATATTTCCCTATTGTTACAGGCTTGATGTCTTATTTTTTATATTATATTGTAGACACTCTCACCTTTTGAGGCTCTAGGCTTCCTTGTACAAACATACCATTATATTTGAACAGTTTTTATAGAACTTATTATTTTCTATCATAATTATATTTATGTATAATAATTTCTAAAAGTTTTATGCTTTTTCAGGCTAACATCTGTATATCTCTATCTACCTCATACCCCACATCACCTAGAACAGTGCCTTGGATATATTTTGGCTCTATAATGGCATATTTAAATGAATGTTTTAAAATAAATATGTGAAAAAAGTTGTTAGAAAATTCATGAATGACCTCACAACTGAGGCAATGTGCACTTAATTAAAAAATGGAAACAAAAAACATGGTTTTATCCAACTTTCTATGTTAACAAACTCCTCCTTTTGCATTTTCCATATGGTCAGTCAGGACAAACAAGACTAATCTATGGTGACAAACACTCCTATAAATTCAGTTACTTAATGCATAAAAACTAATGTCTTGTTTACACAAAGTCCCCTTACAGTGAGTGACTCTCCAGGACAGCTGTCATTCATACTATGCTCAGTAATTCAGTCTGCTTCCATTCTCAGTACCAAAGGAGAAGAAACAAATCAGAAAGACATGCAGAGACTTTTCATTACCTTACTCATAATTATTCATTACTTACAATTCATTGGCCAGAACTGGGCATAGTGGCACCTAACTATTAAGAAATTGGATGACAGTTTTCCATGTGCCCAGATTGGGAAGAAGAATCAAATGTGATGGGTGCTACCTCATTGAAAGGCACTACCATCCATTGAGTTGGACAAATTTGGAACCTCGATATTTTCTTCTGCTTTACCACCCATCATCCATTAAACCATCACTAAGTTAGATTTTTATATTTTTAACCTGTAACTGTCTCTCAGGAATCTCCATTTCTTTTCATCTCCACTAATGTCAATCAGTTAGAAGATAAAGTATGTTTTAAATTGGGCTAGTGAAATTGTCTCACAACTGATTATTCCAGTTACTATGGCAGCATAACAAAACACCTCAAAACTTAGTACTATACAAGAGCAATTTTATGATTTTGTGATGCTCCCAAATCCTATGAGTCAGAAATTCAGCTGGGGCCACATGGGAATAGTGTTTCTTTACCTGAAGATGTCTGGCTCCACAGTTTGGAAGACTCAATCGGTGAGGAAGAAGAGGTGATTCAATGCCAGGGGTGATTTGAACGGTTAGAAGCTAAAATAACTAGCACTGGATGATCCAAATCCAAAATGGATTCTTCACTCACATGAACAGGGATAGCAAGAAGCCTGGGGTGAATTTGCACTGTCAACCAGAACAACTCCATGTGATGGGTTATGATCCAAAAGGAAACATCTAGAAAGCAAACCTTTCAAGAGATCAAGACAGAAGTTTCAAGACTTATATTGGCCTAGCCTTGGAAGCCATGCAGCATCAATTATGCCTCATTTTACTGTAAATGAGTCATTAAGGTCTGCAGAAACTCAAGGGGAGAAGAATTAGGCTCTGTGACTTGATGAAAGAGCAACAAGCTCACATTTCTTACAAAAGAAATGTGAGGAGGGAAATATTATTGAGGTCATTTTCATCAGATTTCCATTCAAATACCACTGTCTCAGGAGGCCATATTATTAATCTCTTTAATGCATAGTACCATGTGACTCTCTGTAGCACTTCTCAGAGTTCCAATTTTAATTTGTTTGTCATTAATTCTTCAATGTCTGTCTTTGCCAGTAAATTTAAAGCTCACAGTGAGCAGGAACTGAGATCCTCCTCACCAGATATCTGTGCTGAATTGTGTTATATCTATCTAGCTATGCCTAGGAACCACAAAGGCAACAGCTGCACAAATGCATCAGGTTTTCTGGAACAGCCTCTATGGGTTACTCCCCTTTGTGTTCCACTTCAGTAGCTTGGCTTCTTGGATTTACTTAGAAGCTACAACTTGTTCCTTTGCCCTGAATCTCTCCAGGAAAAGAAGTCAGTAACTTTTTCGCTGATCTTCCTACTATCTCCTTCCAGACCTTCACTTGTGTAGAATGTTTTACATTTGCTTAAAGTCTAGTTCCTATAATAAATCTCATATTCCCATAATACTTAACAGTGGCTGTTTCCTGACTGGTAAAATATCCTTAGAATTTTGCCTAGTGGTTGGCAAATAATATATTATTGATAAATGGTTTTTGGAAATAAATGTCAAAGAACTGATTTTGATTTGTTCAAAAAGAATAAGGGTAAAAATAATCTCAGACAAGAATTATCAATGGATGCTAAAACCACAGGGTGAAATTTGAGAAGTAGCAGGGCAATTACATGGTCTTAATGAATGCTACAAAACATACTTATTCATTACAAAGTGACCAAAAAGAAAGCTTGTCAGACACCAGCATCATTAACCAAGAGATCTAAGCTACGATTACAAGAAATAAGAAAAATAGATACCAAGTGTGCCCTGATATAATACACATGGAAGAACATAGCATTCTTCCTGGGGTTATTTCTGCAAAATGTGCATACCTAAATCTAATCTTGGGAGAACATCAGACAAACCCAAACTGTGGTGCAATCTTCACAAGTGCCAAAGGCCTGAAAGTTGAGGAAAGACCAAGGAACTCTTCTATATTGAAAGGTGATAAAAAATATGTCAAGTAAATGAAATGTGTGATTGTGAACTGGATCTTTTTGTTGTAAAGTATATAACTGGAATGAGTGGTGAAATCTAAATAAAATCTGAAGATTTTATGGTAACGATACATTAAGGATAGTTTTTTAGAGTTCACGGTTGAATTGTTGCTATGTGGGAGAGTGTGCTATGTGTGTGGTTTTTGGGTTTTTTTTTTTTTGACAAACACTAGCATATTTTGGAGTGATAGGGTGTCAGTTTGTTGACTGAGAAATAGCTCAAAAAATAGAGGAGAGGGAGTATAGTGCAAATATGGTAGAATCTTAACATTTAGGGATTATCATTGAAGGGTAAATAGAAGTTCTTTGTACAGTTATTATAACTATAATCTAATTTTGATATTATTTAAAATAAAAGGTATAAAAAATAGTCAGGGGTGTTAATGAATAATGTCACCTTATTTGTTCTCAGTAAGTTTACTGTTCAAACTATGTGCCAGAATTGAAATACAGGATACTACCATGATTTTTCTGCGAGAATGGAATAATCTCAAAATGTCTGAAGGATTAACTTTCTGATCATTATCCCCATTGGAAATGAAGGTGTAAACACACTGGAATAGATATGTCGCTTTGTTATCTTGCACTGTTCAGGATTGTTCTGACAAAGCCTATGTCTTCCCATCTCCCAAGTCTATCATTATCTGCTATGCTAGATATGTTATACACATCCATGACATGATTTTTCTGACATGTGAGGAGGGAGATTGGATGTCTTTATCTTGGACTGAATCCTCTAACTCTTCTTTCTAGCCAAGGTGATTATGTTTTCTACCTCAGATAATTCAGATCTTTATCCCATCTTCCAAAGAATGTGAAGAAGCAAAACTGAGGAATCAAAATAGAGCTCATAATGTATTAATGTCACATTCATGCACTCAGTTAAATATTTCATTTTGTATTTTTTGTTGAAATACAATCAAGATCTTTTCACTGATAAAAAGAGAACTGCAGATAGTTAATAATTTTTAGATTATTTTTCTGAAATAAAATAATATAAGTACACGCACAGAGCTGTGATTTGCATGGGATGATGACATTACTTCCAGGGTAATTCTGTCTGTGTTTTATAGATCACCTCTTGAGAATTGCTGGTGATAAATCTGATTCTGGAAAATACCTTCTTTGAGTTTTGCACTGTTTGAGTTTAGCTTCTTGTCTATAGGCAAGGAGATTTTATGACTGTACCCAAAATGACGAAATCTACTTCTGGCTGCTGTACATTAGCCTGCTCTATCAGAATCATACCCATTCATTTACTCTCCATTCAGCAAACATTTATTTTATCAGGTGCTGCACTAGGCTTGAAGGATAACAAAATGAGTAAAACCTTGACAAGGCCTTTAATATCAAATGATTTCCACAGCAGACATCTCTCAGTATGAATGTACACACACAATCACTTTTTTTTTCCCTGAGAAAAAATAATGTCTGCTCTCTGGCTTTATGATTAGATTAGGATTGAAGATTTTACCGAAGTTCAGCCACTGAGATTCTCTTTTAATAAATGTGGAATTAGAACTTACAGGATCTAATTCCATTAGTATTTTGCTTACATTTAAGTGATATATTCTGGAGAGGTATGGGGGAGACACTTCTCCCATTGTGTGTGAAAAAGGAAAAGGCATTTAATTACCATGTAGAAGAATGAAGTCGACTTCAGAGGTAGCAGAGTAAGACACATAGAAAAAGTGATTATACCTCAAACAATAATCATTTTGCTTTCTGGTCAGGCTTTCCATTTCCTGCTGTTAGATTTTTGTGATTTCTATGAAATATCTCTTTATTCTTCAAATCCATCTCTTCTCTTTTTTTTTCTTTTCTTAAACAACCAAAGGCAGTCTATAGACTAATAACTACAATGATGTACAGTTGACCCTTGAACAATGCAGGGATTAGGGGCACCAACTCCTGAGTAATTGAAAATTCACATATAATTTTTGACTTCCTTAAAACATAACTGACAATGTCCTACTGTTGACCAGTAGCTTTACTGATAACATAAACACTCAACTTATATTTGGAGTTTTGTTTGTTTGTTATTATTTTATTTTATTATATGTTTTTGAGACAGGGTCTCACTCTGTTGCCCAGGCTGGAGTGCAGTGGTGCGATCACAGCTCCCTGAAATCTTTAACTCTTCCGCTCAAGTGATTCTCCAGTCTAGCCCTCCCAAAATGCTGGGATTACCAGACTGAGTCACAGCACCTGGCAGATTAATATGTATTTTGTATATTATATGTACTATACACTATATTCTTATAATAAAGTAAACTAAGGAAAAGAAAAAAGTTATTAAGACAATTACAAGGAAGAGAAAATGTATTTACTAATTATTAAGTGTAAATAGATCATCATAAAGATCTTCAACCTCATCATCTCCACATTGAGTAGGCTGTGGAGGAAGAAGAAGCAGAGGGGTTGGTCTTCCTGTCTTAGGGATGGCAGAGGTGGAAGAAAATTTAAGTATAAATGGGTATGTGCAGTTCAAACCTGTGTTGTTGAAGGGTCAACTCTAATTGGGCCTGTAAAGGGAGTATAAATGTATTATTAGTTAGGACATTGGCCCAGCTGCTTTGTAGGAACCAAATAACACAATAACACTATTCTTTTATACTATTATATAGGTAATTATATTATTTGTATAATAACACTACAAAAAATAGAAGGTTTATCTTTCTTTTACACGAAAATTCTAGCTGATAGACAATCCATTGAGCGTAGGGAAATTCCACTCCATAAAGTGAACCTGCAACCTAGATTCCATCCTTCTTGTTGCTCTACATTCTCTATGTTGTTTTTTCCATATTTTAAACTACAGAAAAGGAAAAGAGAAAGTGGAAGGGAAGTATCTGCCCTTTAAGGTTATGATCAAGAAATTGCTCACAAAACTTCTATTCATATTGCATTGGACAGAAGCTGCCTTACCTCACCTCACCTCAGAGGAAGGTTGACCAACCCTCTATCTTGGTAGCTATGTGACAAATGTTTGGCAGATGGGTTTTTGTTGTTGTTGTTTTGTCACAGAGTCTTCCTCTGTCACCCAGTCGGGAGAGCAGTGGCATGATCTCAGTTCATGGCAACCTCTGCCTCCTAGGCTCAAGCAATTCTCCTCATGCCTCAGCCTCTCTAGTAGCTGGGACTATAGGCACACACCACCACGCCTGGCTACCTGGCTGATTTTTTGTTTTGTTTTTGTAGAGATGGGGTTTCATCACGTTACCAGGCTAATGTTGGAGAGTTTTATTGTCAAATGGAAGAAGGGAACAATGGATTTGGGGGAACATGAACAATTTCTGCTAAAATCATGCAATTGGAACCTAATGATAGAACAACTATAGTCATTCTCTCAGGGTTATAAGAAAAGATCTCCTGGAGAAAGTCTTTCCCGACTCCTCAATGATTAATTGGACCTTGCAAGGTCAAGAAGGAAAAGGATCATTTCAGGAAGAGGAGATATAATGTGCAAGACAAAAAGAGTTGTTAGTTTTAATGCTATTGCAACAAAAAGAGTTGAAGTTTTGTTAGAAGAATGGTGATGTAGCCAGATTTATTTTTAGAAAGATAACTGACAGATGGTGAAGAATAAATGGAAGTAGGTATGATTACTTATAAATGCTGAGGCATTATGTGAGGCCAGTTCAAGTCTGCTGTGATTGCAGAACTGCACTCCAGCCTCAGTGACTAAGCAAGATCCTGCCTCTAAAGAAAAAATGACTACTAGCATTTTAAAAAAAATATGACACATACAAGTACCTTGCCAGATATCTGTATCTCTAACACTTTCTCTCAGACTGGTGTTTTTGTTTTCATTGTCAATAGACTAGTGTGTTTTACTTTCAATTGGTTTATTTTCTAATCTCCCTTATGATTTTTGTCCTTGATTCATGTATTCTTTAAAAGTATATTGAACAAATGCCAAACATTAGGGGATTTTTCCATTTAAAAAGTAAAAAGACTAGTAATCGTAGCCCTTTGGGAGGCCAAGGTGGGTGGATCACTTGAGGTCAAGAGTTTGAGACCAGCCTGGCCAACATGGTGAAACCCTGTCTCTACCAAAAATAAAAAAATTAGCCTGGTGTGGTGGTGAGCACCTGTAATCTTAGCTACTCAGAAGGCTGAGGCAGGAGAATAGCTTGAACCTGGGAGGCAGAGGTTGCTGTGAGCTGAGATCGCACCACAGCACTCAGCCTGGACAATAGAGTGAGACTCTGACTCAAAAACAAAAATGTAAACAAAAAACAACAGCAAAAAAGACTAGCTGTACACAAGGATCATCTGATAGAGATACATAGCATAACCAATATTTCTGCCAAAACTCAGTAAACCTACAATTTAGCTAAAAGTTCCTAAGTTTCCTATTGATGGGTCTGACCTGCAGACCTTGGCTGAATGCCAGATGAAAAAATGCACTCAGACACAGGTATCCAGTGAAGAGCAGGCTAGGGGACAGGGCTGCTCACAGACCCCAAGAAGGGTGTTGTAAAGAGTCAGTAGCCATGGCCCTGACAAGCTGGCTCTGTGGGGATTTATTTAGAACAGATTTAATGACAAAGGCCTTGAATCAACACCCTTGCAGTTTGTCCCCTGGAGAGAGCAGTCCTGTGCGTGGATGATTAAAGGCCAAGTTCCAAGTCCTAAGTAAACTAGCTTATTTAGATCAGTTTCTTTACATCTCCTTCTTATCTAACCTAAGCTTTCAGGCACCAGATAAGAGAATCTGGCTGCCTTCAGCCAAATCTGCCTTCAGCCAAATCCTTTTACGAAGCTTTTGTAAAACCTCCTGGTCTTCCAAGAAGGTTTGCCTCTTCCTACAATTTTTCCCACCACACTGACCATTTCCTACATCCTATTATAATGTGTTTCTTAAAAGAATGGCCTTGTGCAGAGATTTTTCTCCTGCATTCTCTATTCCTCAGTCAGGCTTCTCTATCCAGCAATCTAGATTTTTTTTTTTTTTTTGCATCAAAAAATGTCTAGGGGCTGGGCATGGTGGCTTCCACCTATGATCCCAACACTTTGGGAGGCAAAGGCAAGTGAATTGCTTGAGCCCAGAAGTCATAAATAAATAAATAAATAATAAATAATAAATAAATAACCTAATAAATAAATAACCTAGCCAGGCATGCATGGTGCTGTGCATGCCTCTGGTGTGGTCCCAGCTACTCAGGAGGCTGAGATGGGAGAATCTCTTGAGCCCGGGATGTCAAGGCTGCAGTGAGCCTTGATTGCTCCACTGTACTCCAGCCTGGATGATAGAGCAAGACTTTGTCTCAAAAAAAAAAAAAAAAAAAAAACTAGTCTCAGGTGCAATGGGTCACACTCTAATCCCTGCACTTGGGAGACTGAGGTATCAAGGAAGAATAGAAAATAAGCAAGAAACAAAAAACGTAAGTTAATATTTTTAACATTCCTCCACTACACTTTTTAAACACTTACTTTACTTTATTATAATTACAACCATGTATCACTTGATGACAGGAATAGATTCTGAGAAATGGCTCATTAAAAGATTTTGTCATTGTGCAAACAACATAGAGTGTACTTACGCAGACCTAGAGGGTATAGACTATTACTCATCCAGACTTTATGGTATAGCCTGTTGCTGCTAGGATACAAACCAGTACAACATGTTACTGAACTGAATACTGTAGGCAATTGTATTAATAAAGTAATGGTAAGCATGTGTGTATCTAAACATAGAAAAGGTACAGGAAAAATACAGCATTATGATATCCTGGGATCACCATTGTATATATGGTCCATTGTTGACTGAATCATCATTATGTAGTATATGACTGTATATGTTCACCTGCCTGTCTCTTCTTCTTACACTGTAAGTTCCTTAAGGGCAGAACTAGAAATCATTGATTTATCTCTTTATTTCCATTTTCTGGCACCATTTAAAGTAGTTGCCCAATAACTGCATGCTGAGTAAATAAAAAAGAATGCATGAATTAAAAAGATAGAATATGTACACATTTATTATTCAATTTAATGTAAAAGTATGCAGCCCAACAAAAGATATCCAGATTTTAAGTATCTAGGCAGATAGACATATTCAGAAGAGAAGTTCAGATAATTTTGCCACACAACAGAATAGAAAGCTTAAAGAAATATTGATGATAAATGTTACATTTTCTACTAAGGTAGTTTTGAATATAATCACAATATTTAAGCATTGTTTTACTATACATTTTCATGTGCCATTTAACAATATGAATCAGATTATTAAATGTGAACAGTCTTTCTTGGATTTCAAGTGCATGTATAATACTCTCCAAAAATAATAAATCTGCCTCGGTTGTTTTTTGATATCTGCTAGAGGATGTTCACATTAAGATAAATGAATTGTCATGTTTCAAGAACTGTTTAGTTTCACTTTTAGGGGACCATCTGTTCTCTGATGAATGGTTCTGTGTATAAGACTGGGCATGTTGATTTAGCTCTTTTTTAAATAAATGCCATAGCTAATTATTTTTTTTAAGAATGTAGTGTTTAACCCCTCCAGCTTCCATGGTCTCTTTTGAAAACAACTATGTAATAATGGTTGATATGATTTGGCTGTTTCCCCACCCAAATCTCATCTTGAATTGTAGCTCCCATAATCCCCACATTATCGTGGGAGGGACCTAGTGCAAGGTAATTTAATCAAGCGGGCGGTTATCTTCATGCTGTTCTCATCACCGGATCTGATGGTTTTTATAACGGGCATTTTTCCCCCTTGTGCTCAGCACTCCTCCTTGCTGCCATCACGTGAAGAAGGACATATTTGTTTCCCCTTACACCATGATTGTAAGTTTCCTGAGGCCTCCTCAGCCATGCTGAACTCTGAGTCAGTTAAATCTCTTTTAATTCCTTCAGGGGGTGCAATTACCCAGTCTCTGGTGTGTCATTATTAGCAGCATGAGATGGACTAATACAATGATCTTGTCCACATAAAGGTTTCTCTTAGAATGCAAACACATTTAGCATAAATTGCAGGAAAAAATAATTGGATATGTTGGAATACCCCTATTTGTGACTGAATAATGCCCTTATCTTTCTGAGAAACTAACTCTCTGAATGAGCGCACAGTTTAGAGCGCACACACTGAACGTTCACAGAGAAAAGACAGCCAGCTAATGCTGCCTTCAACCAACCTTATCCATCATGGAGTTAAGGGATACCACTGTATTACCCTCACATTACTTTGCACACTGTTACTCTGTATCATCAGGAAGAGAACATATAAATGATAAAATTTTAAAAAGCACACGATTAGCATGTAATGATCCATATAATTTTTTGAATTAATGGGTATTACTTAATTTGAGGTTTTAAACATGTATTTGAATCATTCAAAATATAGCTATAGTTGTAAAATTAAAAGTACAACCATTAAGCATTTACAATTGTGATTTACATTAGAAATAATCAAGGAACCTACTCATAGATTACACATATAAAATATTCACTTGTATATTACTATGTTCACACTTGTTAAATCAGTAGATAAATAATTTTGCCACATAGATCCATGGATTCCCAAACTCTATTCTATAGTAGAGCCCTAGGTTTATGAGGGCTATGGGTGAGCATACATCTTATAGACATATCCATTCTTAATTCAACAAAACTGCTCTATTTTTAATTTTACACAATATATTTTTGAATGTTTTCATTTGTAGAATCAGTTTCATAGCTAAAGTAGCAGGAAAACTAGTGCCCTAGATAAACCCACCTCCCCGAAATTTTTCTGCTTTGAAACATCAATGATGATTGCTTTTTTTATAGAAATTTTTTATGGGAAATTGCATTTATCTTTGTTAGTAGAGACCACATAAAATCCAGTAACTAATTTTTACTTATTTAAATGGAGAGACAGAAGAAATAACCACTTCACTGCTTCATTATCTGTCTACCTGACACTGACTCCATGCATCAAAAATGAGCCCTCTGCAACCACATTAAAAAACAAAAACTATATAGGCTGGCTGTGGTGGCTCATGCCTGTAATTCCAGCACTTTGGCAGGCCAAGGTGGGCAGATTACTTGAGGTCAGGAGTTTGAGACCAGCCTGGCCAACACAGTGAAACCCTGTCTCTACTAAAAATACAAAAAAAAAAAAAATAGCTGGGTGTGGTGACGGGTGCCTGTAATCCCAGCTACTTGGGAGGCTGAGGCATGAGAATTGCTTGAACCCAGGAAGCAGAGGTTGCAGTGAGTCAAGATCGTGCCACTGCACTCCAGCCTGGGCAACAGAGTGAGACTCTGTCTCAATAAATAAAATAAAATAAAATACCATACAATCTTTAAAACCATTGTGAAACTCTCTGTTACTGTATTCTTGGGCACTATACCAGGAAGCTTGGGAAGGTATTTTAGGATAGAGGACTCTATCTACTTAATGTTTCCCAAATTTTCATGAAGATATATCTTTACATTATGCTACCTATCTTATTAAATAGGATTTTCCCTACTAAGACAAATAAAATTACTCTAGTCAGATGCAGTAAAAGGAAACTTATTGATGGAATGTGAAATAATTCACAAAATCAAAGTAAATGCTGAGGAACCAGGCTTTATTATAAAGGAACGAATCAGAGCAGCTGCCTGAAACTAGGAAGTAGAAACAATGGAAATATCTCTCCAAGTTATTCCTATTTGATCAAACCATTTGTAAACTCTTTCTTCTCTCCTATTACACTGGGGCAAGTGTCCTATTGCCATCAAAAGTCAAACTCCCCATTGAGACTCTAGCATCATCTTCTCTCACCTTCTCCATGACTGAACTCTGACAATTTTGTACTTTCCAGGGTATTTTTCTAATTTCTACTTTTGTACTCCTTCCCTTCAGTATGCAAGATGAAGGGAATATCACCTCTATCATACTTAGAATATCCATCTTATGAAAAAATGATTACTTGTCCATCATTCTGTCACCAGTACCCCACATTCTCTATCCTTCTTAAATACAGTGGTTAGTGATTGCTGTTTCTGCTTCCTCACATAGCATCCTCTCCTTAATTTACTGCATTATTTCAGGATCCTACACTGCAGAATCTACTTTTGTCAAGAATACCAAGTCTCTATTGTTGTCAGATTTGATGGTCACTTCTCTAATTTTGCCTTCTCTGGCCTCTGAGCAGTGTTTAACCTTGTTGACCATACCCTCTTTCTAGAAACACATCTTCTCTTACCTGTCAGGATAAATGTCCTTTATTTTCATCCTAAATGACAGGCTACTACTTCCCAAGCTCATTTGCTTGACTTCTAAGAGTTAAAGTGCCTCGTGGCCTTTGTCTAAGTCACCTCTTCACTGTCTGAGCACTCTCCACATATGACCTCATTCACTTCTCTCTCATCAGTTACTACTTATGTCAGCAAATCCCATGTTTCTCTCTGTAGCCCTGATTTCCCTCAGCACTCTACATGCTTCTATGCAGTAGTCTACTCAACATCTTTACATGCATCACCAACAACCATCTAAATTCACCATGTGGAAAATGGAACATTTAAACCACCCCATTTCCACCCTGGTCTTTCTTCAGTTTTTTCCACCTCAGTAAACCACATCTGTATATATCCAGTTGGCAAAGCCAAACATCTCAGAGTCCTTGATGCTTCTTTCTCCATCATGACATCCATTTAATTCACCAGCAAATCCTATTGATTCTATCTCTAAAACGTATACAAAATCTGTCCACTTTTTTCAGTCTCTACTAAGGCCACCCAGACTAAACCACTTCTCTCACATGGACTAAGCTAATAAGTAGCTTTTCATTTCACATGTTAACAATTCCTTTCTCTTCACATAGAAAAAAAAAGATATTTTAGAAATATTTTTGTAGTGTCATGTGCTTACTTAAAATTCTCCAATGATCTCTCAACTTATTCAAAATCATATTTTTATTCTGCTTTGGCCTGTGATATAACCCTGCTACATTTTTGACCTTATTTTAAACTAGCTTTCTTCTCACCAGCCCTACCAGTCTTCTCTACTATCTAGTTGAACTACATAGTCTCATGGTAGACTCATCTCCATGAATTTCACATAGATGGCTGCATCTTTTGATCATTCACTTAAATTCATATCTTTATATAGCTATCAGCCAAAAGTCCAAAGTCTTAGTGGACACACACACACACACACACACGCACACATACACACACAGAAGCTTATGTTCTACCTACATAACAATTCAATTTCACGCTGTGTGTGTGTTTGTGTATAGTGGGAAGAGTTGCTCTGCTTCATGTAGTTATTCAGGGGCTTCTTCAATGCAGTGACTTCACTATCTCATAGGGCCTGAAGATTTCCCTTGAAGTCTGTGTATCTGGCCTCTATCACCTTCAGAAAAGAGAGAATCTATGGAGAATTGCAAAGAATCCTTTATGGACCATATCTGAGGTGACTTTTATCACTATTCCCCACATTCTAGTGGCCAGATTTCAGTCATACAGTCACACTAATGTCAAGACATGCTGGAAAATATGGCTTAGTGGTTTCCCCAGGATAAAGAGGGGAAGATAAATATTGGTGATTATTAGCAGTCTTTGGCATATCACCTAACCATGTAGTTACCCACTAACATTTATTACATTATCTAATTGTAATTATGCACAAAGCAAATTTTAATGGTTTACTAATTATTCCTTTAGTCATGCATTAATTAATATCTCTGTGCCTTTGCTTCAGAAGAATGAAAGCTTCATAATGACAGGGATTTTGTCTGTCTTGTTTATTGTTGTACTCTTAGCTTTTAGATACAATTTATGACTGGCATATATTAAGTAGTTAATAAATAGTTTTTATAAGTTTACACAGTCTTGCTTGGTTTATGCATAAGATTAGAACAGTACAATTTGTTTGCCAAACCCACGAATATTGTATCTTAAGAGAGACAAATGCAATAGCCTTGAGACTTGTTTCCTTCATTTGCTTGCAGTAACTTAATAAGAAGTAGGCTTGGAGAAGACTGAGCAATTCTGATTGAATTAGTTGGAAGAATCGGCCAATACCAGAGGCTGAGTTCTGGAGGGCTTCCTGTTTCTAACAAGGTTGTTATTTCCACACAGGGCATCTCTGTTGTTACACAGCTGCATAGATATTCCATGACACTCTGTACCTAAAATATGTAAGATATTTCAGAATTAAGATCTTTTTCTACTATAATGCCTTCAATGTTGTCTGTAATGCAACCAATTCCAATCTAGGCACGATTCCCTTTAGGCTAATGAGAATATGAAGAAGCATATATTTCCCTCTATTGATTTTCCTTATAAGTTTTTGGCCAAAAAAATTCTTGCTTTTTGTTTTTGTTTTTTAATTTGTACTTTGAAGTGTTAGTGTCCATTATGCCTATGTATGAGACTACTCAGTGAAGGAGGAGTAGGTCACCAGACAAATTTTGAGTATATTTGTCAGGAGAAAAGGGGAATGAACTTGAGCAAAAAAGAAAACAAGAGATTCCATCTACATTTTTCTTCCTAAGCAGTTAAAATTTGTGTGAGAGAATGTCATTATATGTGTCAAAAGAAAATGCTGTACCATAATGAATAATTAGTAGTAAAATCATGAAATTATAGCAAGTGAAAAAATTAAACACTATTCTTTAAGTAAAACAAAATATGTTATTATGTACATAGAACAAGAGTTCAATATTCTTTTTACTGAAAAATACAATATAGATATTTATTTATTTCCAATATATTTCATTAGAAGTTCTTACATTTTCTATCATATTCCTATTCTACATAGGCAATGGATTTTAATGGAACACAACTTTCAGAAGTTATTTAAATTGTAATCTCTCTGGGATTTGAAAAGGATTATGTTTTCATTCTAGTAATTGGTATGCATCTAAGTTTTGGTGGTAGTAGCCCATGTTTTTCTTTATTCTGTGACACAACCTCTAAAGCAACATGATAGGATGAAATTATTCTTGCAATTTAACTCAATTGTTTTTTCACAATTTTATAGCCTCATTAGCAACTTTTTTTATTTGGGCTCTGTATCAAATAAAGGTGCTTTGCAAGTTGGTTTTCATCATTTTGCAAATTCATCAATTTATTATTTTTTCTTCTTGTTTTCGAAAAGCATGCATTAAATGTAGTAGTCTACTATGTTGTAGGTACTATTAAGTATACAACGATGTGCAACACGTAGTCTCTAACTTCAATGAGGTTGTAGTTTTGCCAAAAAGCCAAGTAAGCCCAGTTAAAGTCCTCAGAAAGCATAATAGAAGCACACCCAAGTTATTAAAAAACTTGTTTAGTTTAGATTGAAGAGTCAAACCACACTGTCTAGAAGAAACAATGCTTGAGTTAAATCCTACTTGATGAGCAGGAATTCAATGGACGTAATCTAGAAGAGAATTACATTCGTGGGGACTCTTTGAAAAAAAAAAGGAAAGAAACAAAGAAAATTTGCATTCTAGTAATAAAAAGCAATAAATAAATCAGTCAGAAAGAAAAAGCACTGATATGGGAAATAACAGTGAAGAAAGAGCATAATGAGGTTTGCTATTTTCTTTAAAAAGCAACAAACAAGACGAAGTGCATTCAAACAATTCAAACCTGGAATTCCAGATGATATCACTGTGGTCAGGGGGAGGAGAAGAGATCAGAGGTAGATGACGGTAGGCCAACATTGTTTTCTTGTTCAGATAGAATACATACATGGGAAAAAGCTTCACACAGTAAGAAAAGAAAAGCGTACTTATGGCTCTTAATAAGTAATGATAGCCCACAGCAGCGAAGAATAGAATACTGGGCTTTAAATCCAGGACAGTATTCTGTCCTATAATAAAAGATTAGCAATGAAGGGAATGCCATTCACAAGAATGGAGGGTTAGGTAACTATGCCCAACTTTATCTATCTATCTATCTATCTATCTATCTATCTATCTATCTATCTATATCTCACACATAAGCATACACACCTGCAAGAGAAACAGGAGACAATCTTGGGCTGAAAATCCCATACTGACACTGTTGCAGTATTGTATCACTGATAAGGGAGGTGGCAGCAAATCATCTCTTGCATGAATATGCCACAAAGCCAAGACGGAGATTGGCTGGAATGAGGAGGAAGTCTGAGAGCACAGATAAATTCCCACCTCTCAGGCCCAGGTACACAAGATCTGACTAAATTTGTCCCTGGACCAGGAAAACAGAAAGCTCTACCCTCTCAATCCCCTCCACTCATCTATCAGTCATCTGTCAAACATCCACATAAACATCCAGTGATAAACAACAGCAGTCTACTGCAGGGAAAATTGAAAGATCATGGACAGAGATGGCCTCTGTGGCTGGCAAGGGCATATAGAAAAGCTGAAAGTTGAGAGTGGACCATGAAGATTGAGAAAAACATCCCTGGAATTGCAGGCCCCAGCACAAGGAGTCATTACAGACATGAGACTGAAGGCCCCAGCACAAGGAGTCATTACAGATGTGTGACTGAAGGTTGTGGTGCTCTCAAGGTAACCATAGCAACCACAAGCCCAAACTAGATTATCTCCCAACTAGATAAACTCAAACCCGAATGCTGACAGCTTGACAGAAGAAACAAGCCCATTTCCAGACTTAGTCATATTTGCCTCTGTCTCTTTTGCTTATACTCATGATGTCTGCCATTAAGTAAAAAAATTATGACACACACACACACACACACACACACACACACACAGAAACAAGGGGGAAAATATCCCTCAGTGTAAAGAGAAAGCCATAATTTTGTGGTCAAATTAATACAATTTTCTTACTTTTTAATATTTAAAAAAGTTGTTCTTAAAGTGTGGGCCTTATATATAGGCAATAAAATTTAAAATATAACAGTGGTCACTAACTGTCTTGGACTTGTTTGAAATGCAAATTATCAGGCTTTATCCCAGGTTTAGTGAATCAGAAACTCTAAGGTTGGGGCCCAATAAACTCTTTTAACAAACCCTTTAGATAATTCTGAAGTATTCAGAAGTTTAAGAAACATTGTAATGGTGAAGTAACTAAACTAGTGTACATTTATTTTTATAAAAAGATAAAACTTGTGAAGGATATGGAAGGGGATGTGTTAATATGTGCATATGTCAATCTACACAAGTTACTGTAGAATCTAAATGAGGATTTGTTTGGGGGGTGGGGTGGGGAGGGTTTCTTCTTCCAGATGAAAATTCTATTAGCTCTAGAGAAAGGCAGTTTATGGTGCCTACTGACCCTCCTACCTACTCACGTGACAGATTTGATTGGTCTCTCACAAATGACTTGAAGAAATTTGATCCAGTTTTTCCGTAAAACTTACTACAAGGAAAATATCAGCTGTATGAGTTCTTCATGACACAATGTACTAAGAGAAGATAGTACATTTTAAATATTATTTTTTCCCCAATAAGGTGGATTAGAAGCTCTTAGTGTACCTCAGCCATTTGGAATATTGTGCATAAAGATCAACTTGTGAGCTTTAATTCAAGAAGAAAAATGGAAATCCATCAAAATTGCGAGGAGAATGCCTGCAAACAGCCCCCATGACAGTGTCCAGCTGATAAAAATGAGTAAAACCCCAGTATGTGACAGAGGCAGAGAGCATTCCTCTGTGACTCTGGGTATCTGAGCAACCCAGGCCAAGTACTGGAGCTAACCTGGGGAGAGGCCTGGAGACACTGTGAGGAAAAGACAGTGGGAAATGCTGCAACATTTTCCCAAACCTGGGACTGACAGCAGGACACAATTTTTAATCCAGACTCATACAAAGCCAGCCATCCTTTCTTTAATGACAGAATTGGCCATGTAGGCATTTTAGTGTTGCCATGTAGTTATTTTAGTATTGGACCAGAGGCTGAAGCACCTGCTCTGGAGCAGGATAAGGGCCTCAACAGCCAGTACTGTGAAAGCATCTGAACAGTAGGCACTGGAATTGTGCTCTCCTCTGTTGTAGGCCTAGAGTGGGAGGAGAGTTGCTACAGCTGCATTTCTCCTGGGCAGCAAGACTTGCAGCCAGAGCCAGCTTGGTGAACTAGAACCAGTTTGCATATGCCATTTCTGGGTGTCAGAGCCTACTCCCCAGAAATCATGGCACATCAGGGGCCACTCCACTCTATCCTCAGGCAGAAATCCAGGCATTGAGAACACACACTTGCCTGGATCAGCAGCAGCTTGAGCTGCCCCACCCTTCAGGGACATAGATCATGGTACAGTGGAGCCCTTTCCACTCCACACCCAGGCAGATATCCAAGCATTCAGAGCACCCATTTTCCTGGTTCAGCAGCTGGAGCCAGGTGTATGCTATACCATGATCTATGCCCAACCTTTCCTGGGCATACAACATGGTGTAGTGAGGCCCTCTCTGCTCCATGCCCAAGCAGATATCCAGGCATCTGGAGCACCCACTAACCTGGATCAGCAGCCACCCTTCCTGTGCAGAGAATCTGGTGCAGGTTCAGAGAGGCCCTCTGCTTCATACCAAGCTGGATCCCCAGTCATTCAGAGCACCTGCTCATCTGGTTCAGCCTGAGTCAGCCAACACTTATGAGCATAGATTGTGGTATAGTGAGGCTCTCTCTGCTCCATGCCCAGGCAGATTGCAAGGCATCTGGAGCACCAGCTCATCTGGGTCAGAGATTCTGGTGCAGGGGAACCTTCTCTGCTACATGCCAAGGCAGATCTCCAGATATTCAATGTACCTGACTGCCTGGTTCAACAGCTTGAATTACCCTACCCCTCCTGTGCAGAGATCTTAGTGGAGGTGGGACCCTCTCGGTTCCATGGCCAGACAAATCTACAGGCATCCAAATTGTTCACTCTCCTGGATTAGAAGTTAGGCTGCCCCATGAAGAGGACATGGAGCCAAGCAGGTTTCCCACCTCTATGCCTAGGCATATTTCTGGGTATTTCGTGGCCACAAACTGGATTCTCCCTTTGTGCTGGTGCTTGTGCCTACCGTTGGGGAATTTTAGGGCAGACTTGCCTGGTCTGGCTCCACCCATTGTTGCCCCCACCCCCTCCAGGGCTGAGCAGGGAGATCAGACCACTGTGCATTTCATGAATCAGCCCATTACCTGAGGCACCATAAAATTTTTTCCAGTAAAAAAGCATCAAGCCATGTCAAAGACAGCCAGCTCTATTGTACCATTTACTGGCTTGTAGGTTGGACTGCACAGCCCAATATAAAATCTGCCAAGAGAAGTGCAAAAAGAAGCAAAAAGATCCAAAGACTTTACCCAGCATTTTCTACAGTCACACCCTCTAGGCACAGGAAAAAGAGAAAGAAGAAAAACAAAAACATAGGGAAAGAAAGAAAAAGAAAAAATTCTACCCAAACACAAATAATAATAAAAGTTAGAAGTACCAGCATCTACAGATAAGAAGAAATTGGTGCAAGAATATTGGCACTATGAAAAATCTGAATGTAGAGACACCACCATAGGATTATACTAGCTCTCCAGCAATGGTCCCAAACCAAAATAGAGCTCAGAAATGACAGATAAAGAATTCAAAACATGGATTGCAAAGAAGCTGCAAGATCCAAGACAAGATTAAAATTTAACACAAAGAAACTTCTAAAGCAATCCAGGAAATGAAGGAAAATAAATATCTTACAAAGAAATGAATCGAAACTTCTAGATTTAAGTAAACCACTTAAGGAATTTCAAAATACAATTGAAAGCTTTATCAATAGACTGGAACAAGCAGAAAAAATTTCAGAGAGTGAAAACCAGTCTTCTGAACAAACCCAGTCAGATAAAAATTTGAAAAAGAATTTTAAAAAACAAATTCTTCAAGAAATATGGAATTATGTAAAGCAAATAAACTTATGAATTATTGGCATTCCTAAGAGAGAAGGAAAAAAAGTAAACAACCTGGAAAACATATTTGAGGGAAAATTCAAGAAAATATTTCTAATCTTGGTAGAGAAGTAGACATCCAGATACAATAAATCCAAAGAACACCTGTGAGAAACTATACAAATTGAAAATCAACATCACCAAGGTATATAGTTACAAGACTGCCCAAGGTCAGCACTAAAGAAAAAATCTTAAAGGCAGCTAAAGGAAAAGGTCAGCACACATCATGCTAACAATGGATTTCTCAGCAGAAACATTAGAAACCAGGAGAGACTGGAGGCCTATTTTCAACATTCTTAAAGAAAATAAATTCTTACCAAGAATTTCATATCACACCAAACTAAACTTCATAAGCAAAGGAGAAATAAAATCTTTTCCAGACAAGCAAGCAGTAAGATAATTTGTTACCACTGGACCAGCCTTATAGAGATCCTCAAGAGAGTTCTATACATAGAAGCAGAATAACAATACCTGCTACCACAAACACACACACACACACACACACACACACACACACACACACACACTTAAGTACATAGCCCACAGACCTTATAAAGCAATGACACAATAGAAACTACAAAGCAACCAGCTAACAATTTCATAAGATAAAAATCTCAAATTTCAATATTAACCTTGAATGTAAATAGTCTAAATACCTCACTTAAAAGACACAGAGTGGCAAGTTGGATTAAAAAAACAATCTATCCATCTGCTTTAAGAAACGCTTCTCACATGTAATAATACCCATTGATTCAAAGTAAAGGGTTGGGGAAAGATCTACTATGCAAATGGAAAACAAACAAACAAAAAGGCAGAGATGGTTCTTGTATCAGATCAAACAGATCTTCAACCAACAAAAGTAAAAAAGGACAAAGAAAAGCATGACTTAATGATACGGGATACAGTACAAGAAGACTTAACTATCTTGAATATATATGCACCGTCATTGAAGCACCCAGATTCATAAAAAGTTGCACTTCTAGACCTACAAAAAGATGTAAACAACCACAAAATAATAGTGGGGTACTTCAACTCCCCAGTGACAACATTCAGGACAGATCATTGAGGTAGAAAATTAACAAAGAAATTCTGGGTTTAAACTCGACACTTGACCAATTAGATCTAATAGACATCCACAGAATACTTCACTCATAAACCACAGAATATACATTCTTCTCATCTGCGCACAGAATATATCCCAAGATTGACCAGATGCTTGGCCATAGAGCAAATCTCAATAAATTTTAAAAAATCAAAATTATACCAACCATAGTCTTAAACCACAGTGGAATACAAATAGAAATAAACACCAGAAAGATCTCTCAAAACCTCACTAGTACATGGAAATTAAACAACTTGTTCCCGAATGACTTTTAGGTAAACGATGAAATTAAATCAGAAATTTTCAAAAAATTCTTTGAAATAATGAAAACAGAAACACAACTTATCAAAATTCATGGGATGCAACAAAAGCTGTGTTAAGAGGAAAGTTTATAGTGCTAAACACATACTTCAAAAAGTTAGAAAGATCTCTAATGATCTAACATCACACCTAGAGTGCTACAGAAACAAGAACAAACTAATATCAAAGCTAGCAGAGGGAAAAAAAAATAACTAAAATCAGAGCAAAACAGAATAAAACTGAGACACGAAAATTCATGCAATTAATCAGCAAAACCAAAATGTGGTTCTCTGAAAAAATAAACAAGATTCATAGACCACTAGCTAGATTAAGAAAAAAAACAAGAAACAATAGAGAGAAGATCCAAGCAAGCAAAATCAGAAACAACCAAGTTGGCATTACAATCAATCCCATAGAAATAGAAAAGATCCTGAGAGACTATTATGAATACCTCCATGCCCACAAGCTAGAAAATCTACTAAAATAAATCAGAGATTACACAAGTACATAGAAAAATATTTTATGTTCATGGATAGAAAGAATCAATGTTGAAAAAAAATGGCCATACTGCCCAAAGCAATCCATAGATTCAATGCTATTTCCTTCAAACTACCAATGTTATTTTTCACAAAATTAGAAAAAAGCTATTTTAAAGTGTATATGGAACCAAAAAAATAGCCTGAAGAGCCATGGAAATCCTGAGCAAAAAGAACAAAGCCAGAGGCATCACATTACCTGACTTCAAACTATACTATAAAGTTACAGAAACCAAAATAGCATGATACTGGTAAAAAATAAAAAAAAATTTAAAAACTGAACACATAGACCAATGAAACTAAATGCAGAGCCTAGGAATAAAGCCACACACCTACAGCCATCTGACCTTCAACAAAGTTGACGAAAATAAGCAATGGGAAAAGGACTCCCTATTCAATAAATGGTGCTGGGATAGTTGGCTAGCCATATGCAGAAGAATGAAAATAGACCCCTATATGTTACCATATACAAAAATTAACAAAAGATAGATTAAAGATTTAAATGTAAGACTTCAAACGGTAAGAATTGTAGAAGAAAACCTAAGAAACACCATCCTGTACGTCAGTCTTGGGAAAGAAATTATTACTAAGTTCTTAAAAGCAATTGCCACAATAAAAAAATTGACAAATGGGACCTAATTAAACTAAAGAGTTTCTGCACAGCAAAATAACTGTTAATACAATGAACAGCCTACAGAATAGGAGAAAATATTCGCAAACAACACCTCTGACAAAGGTCTCATATCCAGAATCTGTAAGGAACTTAACCCAATAAGCATTAAAAAATGGGCAAAAGACATGAACATATGCTTCTCAAAGTAACACAAACAGCCAACAAATATATATTTTAAAACGTTCCACATCACTAATTGTCAGAGAAATGCAAATCCAAACTTTAATGAGATACTATTTCATACCAGTCAGAATGGCTATTATTAAAAAGTCACAAAATAACAGATGCTGGCAAGGCTGCCAAAAAAGGAAACACTTACACACTGTTAGTGGGAATGCAAATTAGTTCAGCCACTGTGGAAAAGAGATTGGAGATTTCTCAAGGAACTTAAAGCAGAACTACTATTCAACCCAGCAATCCCATTACTGGGTATATAACCTAAAGAAAATGAATTATTCTACCAAAAACACACATACACTTTTCATGTTAATTGCAGCACTGTTCACAATAGTAAAGATATAGAGTCAACCTAGGTGCCCCTCACTGGTGGACTGGATAAAGGAAATGTGGTAGATGTACACCATGGAATATACAAAGGCATAACAAAGAATAAAATCATGTTCTTTGCTTCAACAGGATGGAGCTGGAGGCCATTATCCTAAGAATTAACACAGGAACAGAAGACTAAATACTAAATATCATATGTTATAACTTATAAGTGGGTACTAAACATTAGGTACTCATAAATATAAAGATGGCAACAGTAGTAACTGGGAACTACTAGAGTGGACAGGAGGGACGGAGATAGGAAGGGTTGAAAAGCTATCTGTTGGGTACTATGTTCAGTATCTGGTTGATGCGATCTTAATTTCAGCATAATGCAATATATCCAAGTAGCAAACCTGTACATGTGCCTCCTGAATCTAAAATGAAAGTTGAAAAAATATTAAACACAAAAATAATAAATATGAAATAAACATTAAATTCACTCTCAGTTTTGAATTTCCTCTCTAAAATTTAATAATGGTATCTTTCTAAAACACTAATGTTATAAATACTTGAGACTGCTTATCATATTTAACATCTGAAACATGATAGTAGATGAGCAGAATCTTAATTCATCACTCATAATAGCAAAGGGCTTACTGTACCATTTCGTGAACTCAAGTGGAGTATATTTTATTTTGATTATAGTCAACAGAGATGGGGATAAAATAACTCCAGTGACTTATCTGTAAAGGCTTTCTAATTAAATATTCTAACTTTATTAAATATTATAATTAAAATACCATATCAACTTTTATATTGGAGAAAATATATGATACAAAATATTTTTGAGACCTAGAACAAAAATATTATCATTCTTAGTTTTTTGAGAGACACATGAAAAACCAATGTAATATTTGTCATTTTGTGTCCAAGATGATAACCCTTCTAAAAAGCATGATAGTATAGAAGTGTTAAGGATTTTATATGTGGTTAAGAAGTGTTACATGTAATTTAAAAACATGGGTTTTATTAATGAAATATAAATGAAATATAGTTTAAAAAGATAAACGCCATTTGAATGTGTCTTTACTCCTATTATGCTGATTATCAAAACAGATACCTTTTTATTTAAGCAGCTAAAGTTCAACTTTTGCCACTTCCTTTTCTCTCTTTGCCTGCCAACAGTTTCTGGGATTTAAAGAGATATACAACTTTGATGGACCAACATTCCTGTTTTAACCTAACTTTAAATACCAAAATGCTTCAGAATCAGTAATAGGTGAGGGACTGCCATTATTTCTTATTAATGCATTTCCATGTTAACAAAACATTTCAAAAATAGAGAAACTTCTTATGTTCTCTCATATTATAGATTTTCTCAGATCCCTTAGTGCTCATGTCTTACAAATGTTAAGATATTGTAAAAGACTGCTCTCTCTACTATTCATTTAGAGAAACCAACAATGTTATTATAAAACAGCTGGTTTAACTACAGGAGAGAAGTACAAATTGGCCTCAGGTATGAAACTACTGCGACGGAGCAGCAAAACAAGGCAAGATGCTGAGGAAAAACACTATGGCAGCTGCACTGGTGGGAAGGTGCCTTAGGATATAATGATAGGAAATGTTTTTTAAAAAAATTTTTAAAAGATCCTGGCAGTAGAAAAACCAACTCAGCTTTTAGCATTAAGGAGCTATCATCAGAATGAGAGCATAGTAGCCTAGTAATTCATTAGGTTATAAAACTTCTGTAACCTAGTTGGGAAACACAAGTAAATAATAGTCCTATTTAACTTTTTTTTTTTTTTTTTCGAGATGGAGTCTTGCTCTATTGCCCAGGCCAGAGTGTAATGGTGCCTTGGCTCATTGCAACCTCTGCCTCCTGTATTCAAGCGATTCTCCTGTCTTAGCCTTCCGAGTAGTTGTGATTACAAGTGTGAGACACCACAACTGGCTAATTTTTTGTATTTTTAGTAGAGACAAGGTTTCACCATGTTGGTCAGGCTGTTCTTGAACTCCTGACCTCAAGTGACCTGCAAGCCTTGGCCTCCCAAAGTGCTTGGATTACGGGCATGAGCCACCATACCCAGCCTTATTTAACTTTTTAAATTAAGATTTTCTTAAGCTCAAATTTAATCCACACATATCTTGGTCATTAAGACTCATCACATTGGGTAAGAGTAAGTTGTCTTGGTATAGTGTTGGAAAGTATTAAGTATCTTTATTATTTTTTTCATCCTCTAGACCATTATATGGAGGAGATGGAGTGGGAAAAATAATATAAAGTAATGTAAATGTGACATTGTAAGTGTAAATATGTAAATGCAGTAGTCCTCCATTATGTGTGAGAGACATGTTCCAAGACCCCAGTGGATGCCTGAAGGGGTGAATAGTACCAAAACCACTTGCTGTCTATTGAAACACATTTCTATTCCTGTCTTCTACCCACAAATTGAATGCATTTTCCAACCTAAGTAAGCACTTTTCATGGACTTTGGCCACAAGTTTTGCAGTTTGAAGTGCAACAGCAAAAGTAGCACAAATTTATTTTACACTTTCCACAATTTCATAGATAGAAGACTGATTCTTACTAGAGATCTTAGCAAACTCAGCCTATGTTTTTTTTTTTTTCTTCGTTTTTTCTCCTCTTCTTACTTCAAGAACTTTCACCTTTTCATTTACAGGAAGTAAGTTATGGCTTCTCTTTGGTGGATCTCTAGACCCAGCATCACTACTCTTGCCCTTTGAGGTCCATTATTAAATAAAGTAAGAGTGACGTAAACACAAGCGCTGTGATACTGAAGCAGTGGGCTTGATAACTAAAAAGACTACAGACTGATTAAAGAGTGGGAATGTAGACAGTGCGGAGATGCTGGACAAAGGAATTATTCATGTCTGGCAACAGAGTGAGATAGTGGAAGAGTTAAGAACACTATTCAGAATGGCCTGCAATTAAAAACTTAGAAATTGTTTATTTCTGGAATTGTCCATTTAATATTTTGGACCATTTTTTAATATTATAGAAAGCAACTGAAACTGTGGAAAGCAAAGCCAATGATAAGTGGGGACTGCTGTATGACGTTGCCTTCTCCATATTAAAAACCTTCAGGACCCTTTCTCTGAATCTAGAATGAAATGTATGGTCTTGACATGGTTTCCATGGCTTTCACACTCTGGGTCATGCATCACTCACTGTATTAGCATCACTGCTCTTCTGAAGGTCATGGTATGGTCCATTCTTATGTTTACAGTTTCCAAAACTTACTGCTCTATCTCATGCCTGCCTTTGCATTATTGACTATATTTTCTTCTATTTAGAAAGCCCATACTGCTTCTTAATTGCCTGTTGAACTTCTGCCCATATTTAAAGCCTATTGCATGAATATTCTTTTCTGTGAATGCTTTTCTGATCCACTCAGACATGATTGATCATTCTTTCCTGTGGAATCCCAAAAGTCAGTGATAAAGATCCTCTATTATAGCTGATGACACAGTCATATGCTTAGATTTTCATTGTTTCTAGTAGATTTTAAGTCCAAATGCTAGTCTTAATTTCTGTTGTTCTTTCTTCTTACGCATATCTTATTCTTTACCTCCTTGATTATTTTTCTCTTTTTTTTTAATTGTTATTTTTCTGACTCCATGTCCGAAGAATTAAAAGTGCATGTCCAGGCCAGGCACAGTGGCTTACACCTGTAACCTTAGTACTTTAGGAGGCAGAGGTGGGAGGATTGGTCTCGGAATTTGAGACCAGCCTGGCAACATAGTGCGAACCTGTCTCTACAAAAAAAATATCTAAAAAGTGCATGTCCAGATGTAAGTGACAACCTTAGAATTTGTTACTGGGAGCCATTATTTCCATTGCTTATCTCTATTGATAAGTAATTCCTCTACTAACTAATCATATTTTTCACTGGTATATTTGGCACTAAATACACACATATATATATAAGTATAGATCTTTCCATGAAATAGGTAAATACGGAACAGTACTGACTTTTACACAGTCCTTTTTTCTTCCAGCCTCATAAAGAATAAAGAAAAAGTGCATTTGTTATGAATAGCACTTATTTTGGTAACCATAAATTGGTATGTCAGTTTTAGCCTTTTTATAGCAATATGACAAATAACATCACAGGGTGGCCTTAGGAAAAATTATGCTATAAAATTCCCATACAACCGAAATAAAAGAACTACCCCCCAAAAAGATAGGTATAAATTGATTTCAACCTCATTTATTTTATATCTAATGGCATATTATGTTTAATGAATAATAGCTTATAAGAAGGAAATACACCAAGAATGAAAATGAGATTAAAAAGTCATGCACATCAGAATCTTAGAATATCAAAGTATAATATATTTTAAGTTAAAAATGTAATGTAGCCAATGTTTTTCACTAGATATTTTAAGAACGTCATATGTTAATAAGTGACATACTAAAGATAAGGTACAAACAAGATAAACTTATTTTTTAAAACTGCTCATGAAATGATCCCATATAAACATTTTCTTCTGGGTTTCTGAACAGATTTGTAGCTTTGACACCTGGATTTTACCTACACAGTGACAACTTCTGTTACATGTTCAGTTAATGAATTAATGAATGACATTCATGTGGGTCAGATGGAACAGTATGGAATAAACAAAAATACAGTTGTGTGGATTTGTGACACAACTTTACATTGTGTCATTTGTTATTGATTGACCACACACGAAGATCATGACAGATAATAAAATGTATACCAATTCAAGTGAAGTTTTCTAGAGTCGTACAACTGGGCTGTATTCAATTACCACAATCAACATTTAGATGAAGACACTGGTGATGCACTGACTGACCAACTTGGTACAAAGGCTAGGATAAATAACTGAATAAGCTGAATGGCAGAGGCATAATTTTGAAAGATTTTGATACGCATGAAAATGTAGAGAAATACAGCAACATTGAATTTGAAAAAAAAAAATGTCAACTTCTGCATGTGTTCTGGGTGGGAATATAATCATACGGCCTTCTTTGTAAAAATGAAGTTTTGAATGAAAAGACTAAGAAGGGTCATTTCCAGTTCAGATTCCTCAACATCTCTGATCCCAAGTGCACCTTCTTTCAGCCCTCTTGCCTCCTTTCCCATTACCCTTAAAGGTGGGGAGTGTAGCACTCCTGAGGCTCTCACTGGAATGGGAATGAATCTCTTTTCCCTGAATCCCCTGAAGGCAGATGCCATCCTTGAGAATTTACAAGTCAACATACTTAACTTTAAGCAGAAAACATTAATGTGCTTATAAGGACACACAAAATTTGTATTTCAATCCCCACCATAGCCAACTTCACAGTGAAAGTGCTTTCCTCCTCACTCTTGTACACCCTATTTCTGACCAGAAGAAGGAGCATTTTGCTTTTTGCCAAATGAGAAGTGCATTCTGGAAACACTTGATGCCTGCACCACACCTCGAGTTGTCTCTCTGGGTTCTCTCAACTATTTATTTTTCTGTGGTGCAACAAGTGCCAGAGAAGAAAAATTCTGCCCGAATTACAGGATATATGTATGTAAGTAAGGAAGTGAGTTTTCATTAATATCATTGATACGATTTTGTCTTCTCCAAGTAGAGGAAAGGAATATGAGTATTGAAGGCATGCAGTGTGGTGTAACTACCAGAGATGAGGCCAGACACTAGGTGTGGGAGGAGGCTATGAATTCTTAATAATGCTAATCTTCAGTGATATGGTGAATTAACAAATATAAGTTTGTGAAATAATAAACTTGGCTAACTTTCTCATGAAATCTGTTAGTAAGATTGCTTCATGGTAATTTTGGTACTTTAGTAGTCTTGTCTGTTGTATTATTTAACCTGGCTATATTACTAAATTAATTTAACGTATAGGTCATGCAACAAACCACAAATTGTTGCTGCTAAAATTGAATAAAAGCAATCTTGAAACTTTTTACCAAGATGATCACTTAAAGAGAGTGTATCTCACTTCACCCAAAGGCATTAAACATAGTGTATAATTTGCTTGACCTGAAAATCTGGGAATTACTATCTGTTGCCTTGAAAAATCAAACATTTCAATAAAATAAAATTGGTATGCAAAGAGCTTAATAAGCTTAAGATAGAAGACTCTATGTTAAAAAAATAATAATAAAAATCTTTTGGAGAAGAACATAAATTGATTTAATCATGAATGCAATTGAACTTTCTAATGGATATATTTAGAAGATTATTAGTTTGGAATTGATTTTTCAGTTGGAAATCATCAGTAAAAAAATCTCTTTAAGGTTAAAAAGAAGGCATTTTAATCTGCATTCAAAATTAACAAAGTGAAATATATGCAGGGCAATATGGCACTAACTAAATTTTTTAAAAAACACAACATGTATTTTTTTCACTGAAACTATCACTTCTTTCATATAAGGAAAGGAAACTCAATTTGTGTTCTGTGGAGAAATCAGCCATTTGAAAAAGTGTGTGCTTAGCCTCAGTCATTAGAACAGAACTTCTTATGTGATAAGTAGAGAAATAATTATTTTCTTTTTAGATTGAGAGGTTTTTTGACTCTTTATGGCTGTCCTTTGTCATCTGGCCTGGGCCAGAAAAAGATGAAGTCACAGTGAATATTATTATTTTGGAATAAAGGCTGAGGAAGAATTTCATAATTCTTTACATTTTGTTCATGCATTTGACTGCCTCCTTCCAGCTAGAATGTAAAATTTTGGAGGATATATATTTAAATTTTATATATCCAGACCCAAGAAAAGTATCTGCATAGATATTCATTAAATATTCATTGAGTAAATAAAAGAAGGAGCATAGGAAGAATAGATTGCAAAAATATAGGGACAAAATAAAAAATATGCACAAAATTTTGGAAGGTTTTCACAAAAGTAAACGTTGTTAGAACAACGACCTTTCTAACAAGGATTTTGAAAGTCATCATTGTTGAAGATCTGGAAGATGATGCCCTTATTTAGCTTTAAAGATAGCAGGCTAAGTACTAGAAAGTATACAGCAATTAAAAATTTCATTTTTTCTCAGAACTCAGAATTCTTCATTCTTCCACACACTTTACCTTTATCCAATCCACAGTTTTCTAAGCTCATGTCCTACAATAATCTTTTCCCATGGATTTTAATATCTTGGCTTAATTAAATAACTTAAAGTTAAAAACATAGCACTTAAACTATGACTTACACTTAAAGACTGCCGTTTCTAAATCTCCAGCTTCAACTTCTCAAGGACTGCAGACCAGCATCACCAACTCTTTAGTAAAAGTAATTGCTTTGATGACTCCCCCCAAAAATGAAATACATGAAACTCTTCTTTTTTTCTTTCTCACACAAGCCTATGGTTCCTTTTCTTTCTCATAAAAAGATGACATCACCAATAGGTCATTTGCCCAATCTAGGATCTAGTAGCCAGTTAGTAACTGTGCCAAATCTATTACTAGATCTAGGTACCAAAGCTAGCACCTTCTCTCTGCCTGACTACTGCCATGACCTTCGCTTAAGATCTCTTAGTTTCCTAACCAAAGGATTACAATAAATTGCTAATGGAGCTCCCATTTTCCAGTTCTTTCTGACCAGGTTACTGTCCCCATTGATTCTATAGTGATCTGTCTAAAATACAAATGTGACTAGCTCTATTGAAAAAAAGAAACTTTTAGTGATTATTTTTATGCCTATGTGGAAATGTCTAATATTTCAACAAGCCATACACTGCACTTCATAATATTAGGCATCACAAATCCTTTTTGCTTCTGTCGTGCTACTCTCCATTGTGAACAGTGTTTTGCTTTCAACATAATAAACTACACAGAAATCTCTAAATATGTCAATTGTTTTACTACACTAAGCCAATCTATGTTTTTCTTGTTTCCCATGACCATTTTCCCAATATTCATCTCTTACTCTATTATTTGTCTTCAAATTCTACATGAAATGTCACTTTTCAGTAAAAAAAAAATTACTCGTCTTTCAAAGCACATTGTGCATAATTCTGTTGTAGCCTTTATTATACTCTTATCGATTATTGGTTGATAGACTTTTCTGTCATTTAAAAGGGTATATTCTTTTTAGGCTGGAAGCTTTTCGGATTCCAGTTTTGATGTGTTTCTGGTGTCCTCTGATTCTGTGTACTCAATTAATTTTTATAAATGCATGAATAAATTACGATGAGTGTTATGAACTAAAATGCATGCCCCTAAAATTCATATGTTGAAGCCTTAACCCCCCATGTGACTGTATTTGGAAACAGGACCTTTAGAAAATAATTAAGCCATTAATAAGACTATAAGAGTGGAACATTCATCTGATAAGGCTGGTGCTTGTGTAAGAAAAGAAAAGAAAACAAAACAAAACACCAGATTTCTCTTAGCCATGTGAGGACACAGTGAAAGGGAGCTGTCTTACCAGGAATCATAGATGTACCCTTGATCTTGGACTTCCCCACCTCTAGAACTGTGAGAAATACATTTTTGCTGTTTAAGCCACCTAGTCTGTGGGATTTTATTATGGCAGACAGAGCAAAATAAGACAATAAATTTGGAAAAGAAAAATAGCTCCCAGTATAGCACAGCAACAATATTAGCATTCATGCTATTTTAGGCAACCTGGTCATAGGTATATGTGTGCCCTAGAAAAATGGAGCTGTGTATGAATTGAAACAGCTATATGTGTAAACACTTTTTAGGGGCTTAAATAACCAGGTTCAATGCAGCTCTAATGTGACTGACTCTTTGACTAACACTGGAACATCAGATATTTGAGTACACTAGTGAGGTTAAGTGATGATACTGAAGAAGACATTGTTTGCAACTTGAATAAAGTGTCAAAGATCAGGGTTTTTCTTTTTTCTTTCTTTCTTTGGTTTTTTTTTTTTTTTCTTTTTTTGAGATGGAGTCTCGCTCTGTTGCCCAGGCTGGAGGTCAGTGGTGTGATCTCAGCTCACTGCAATCTTGGCCCCCCAGGTTCAAGCAATTCTCCTGCCACAGCCTCCCAAGTAGCTGGGATTATAGGTGCCCACTACCATGCCAGGCTAATATTTGTATTTTTAGTAGAGATGGGGTTTCACCATGTTGGCCAGCCTGCTCTCGAACTCTTGACCTTAGGTCATCCGCCCACATCAGCCTCCCAAAGTGCGGGGATTACAGGCATGAGCCACCGTGCCAGCCTGGGTTTTTCTATAGAAGGTCTGGGGCCAATACTTGGACACATAATTGCTCTTTATAATTTTCTGAATTATTTTGTGAAAAAGAATCTAATAACTCAAGATTCCTGAAATCCAACATTTGGAAATATTAATATTAACAAAGTTAAATGTGTATCCAGATGTTAATGAAGTAAACCTTCATAGTATATATGCATTGATTAAATTGGCATAGTGCCTCAGATAGAGTCTTGTTTTAAGTAACCATCATTATCTAACAAGTATTTGCAATGTCTTTGTGTCAAAACTCATAGAAGTGATTTTAGTGACACATAATAACATATAATATGTTTATTTCTTAATTTTTTAATAATTTTCTTATTCTATGACTATTAAAGTGTTCTCAATTTTAATTGTACAAGAAATTGCAGAATCAAAATATTCATTCTTACTATTTTGGTAGAACAAATTTCCAGGAATGCAAATACCAGATTTCAGGATCTGAACATATTTTAATCTTTTGTTACATACTGCCATACTTCCTTTGGTAATAATGTACAAATCTACCTATGAAAAAAACAGCATGTAAGTGTACCCCTGTTCCCAATATTTATTTATAGAACCTTTTTAGATGGACATTTTGATTGACTAAAAAGTCATATTTGGATATTTCAACATGCAGTATTTTATATTATTAATATGTTTACATGTTTTCTTATGTGCATGGCTGTTTATATTTCTTGTTTTATAAAATGTCTACTCATTTTTTTTATTCTGCTTTTTAAATTGGTCTTTATATATCAAGGTTATTACTGGGTGTCATTTATGCTGCAATTATTTTTCCCCAGTTTGTAGTTTGCTTTTTACATTTTGTTACAGTGTTTTCTGCCCTTACTTTTTGAGGTTTTACTTGTTAATTATTTTGGAACAAGTAAAGCACAGAAAAGAAAATCTTTAGTTCTGCCTAAAAGGACAAGGAAAGAGAGGAAAGTTAAATAAAAACCTCTTTCTGGAGATGGTAGGTGACCAAATTATTGAAATACAAATAGATAATAATATACAGGGTGTGGACCAGGGTAGTTAGTCCAGAAAAAAGAGGCCTACATCATGTTATGTTTTGAAAGGGCAGCAATTAATAGAAATTGAATTGGAAGACTAGTCACAGGGCATGGCATAAAGAGTCTTATACTAAACAACTGAAGTTTATGCTGAAACATTAGAAACCATTAGATGGTATTGAAATAATTCAATTTATATTTTAGAAAGATTACTAACAGAAATGTGGATGGATGAAGTGGAAGTGGATAACCTCAAAGTCCAGAAACTCACTCAATCTGTTGTAAAAATCCAGGGTAGTAGTGATGAGGCTCTGAGCCACTAGAGTAGTAAAGGGAATTAGAGCAAGAGTAGATCCACAAATATTTTAGAGGTAAGATAAATAGGTCTTGGTAATGAAAAGAACATGGAGAAAGAGAGTTTAAAGGAACCTAGGATGATTTCAGTTTTTCTCACCTGAATAGGTACATAGCATTGCCACTCTCTAATAGTCTTCAGAACAACTATGGAGGTGGTATAGGTAATTTACAAAAACAAGCTGTTTTGACTTAGGTCTTCAACAGTATAGTTTGGGTTGCCATAGTTCTTTACTTTCCTTAATCTGTTCTGGTTTTCAACATAATAGTAAAGTTTTCAGTGTGAGATAAGTGTGTATTTTTGATATCACTGTTAGTGATGAACTTAAGAAATTCTTTGTCATGTACTGGAGGCATCTGGATACAGACAGAAGGCAAGGATATACTGGGGTAAAAAAGCGCAGTACCCCAGCAAAGGCCACACCCTCAAGCCCGGAAACCCACAGCTCTAAATGGGGACAGGAATACCTATTTTTGCACCCAATTGTTGGCTTTTGGCCCGTCACACCCCCTTATCCTGTACACATATAGACCCCAAACTCCAGGCTCCACAAGCAGGTAAGCAGATGAGACAAAAAGAAGAGCAGCAGAGTGGCAGAGCAGCAGAAAAAGAGAGAAAAGAAGGAGCACCTGAACTTCGAGAGGAGTTTGGCTGGGGACAGTCGGAGAGGAGATTGGCTGCGGGAGGGCCAAACTCCAGGGGAACATCATCTTCCCACTCCATCTCCTTTCCACCTCTCCATCCATCTCACTGAAAGCCACCTCCAACACTCAATGAAACCCCCACATTCACCATCCTTCAAGTCCATGAGTGACCTGATTATTCCTGGGCACCAGACAAGAACCTGGGCACCAAGAGGGCACTAAACTGGCTAACACTTAAGCCGTCTATGGAAGGCAGAGCTAAAAGAGCACTGTAAGATGCCCACTGGGGCTTCGAAAGTCGCAGGTACCCACCCCTAGGAACTACCATGGTGCCTGAGCCCAAAAGCACTCTCCCCAGCTCCTGCACCTGCCCATCTGTGGGCTCCCTCTCTCCAGCAGATGAGCCACACCCCTGTTGCATATCCTGTGATGGGGGTCAGGGAACTCTCCTGTTTCAATTCTACCTATTTATTTCTGTTGCCTCACTTGCTGCTACCAACATAAGGGTATTTCTTTTTCTCAGTTTCTACCAATATAACGTTATGGTAGTACAAAGAAAAATAAAATGAGAAAAATTTCTAAGGCCTTATAATGGGCATTTGTAATCTACATGATGCTTTACTATCCCATGTTTTGGGCATTGTTTATTTGCTTCTGCCAGTCCAACAAGGGAATGCCAAGCCCAGTGAATTAGCTTTACCTAGGATTGTTTTGGGAAAATTCTTGCAGGAACCTGGTAAGCTTCACGATTTTGCCTGGACACATCTGGACACTCTTCTTGCTGGACATGTGATTGCTTCTCCTATCCCCAAAATTCTGTGCATCTTCTTTTCCTTTCCCACCTCTCTTTGCTTCTTCTGCAGTAGCTGAAGAACTATAGGGCTACAATTGAAGATTTAGCTTTTGCTCCTCTTACAGAGATATTGTTTAAGGAAACGGACAGCAAAAGATCAGAACAGATTTTCAGATTATTTTGGCATGTCAAAATAGAAATTTTTAGAAGCACTGGGTATCATTAGTCTGGATTTTGAAACAAATGTTGTCTGGAATTATAGAGTTCAGAGTCACCTGCAAAGAGTTGATAGTCGAAACCATGCAAATGGATAAAATTCCTCAAGGTAAGTATGCAAAAGTAGAAGAGTGAAAAGACAATAGAACAAGGGACTCTGTAAAGAATGAGTGGATCAAGAGGTTTTTGTGAGAAATAAAAATAAGGAGTGGTGTGTGGTTTAAAAATTGACAGAAGAACTAAAAAAGGATAATGTGGCAGAAACCAATGAAAGAAACAAACACGCACAAAAACAAAATACAAAATTTTAAGAAGGAACGAAGTCAACAGTGTCCAAAAAAATTAAAAATGTCACCTTAATATTAAACTGCTTATCTATGCAAATATTCTGGGCTAATTTATCAATCATTTATTTCCAAAATTTCTTTTCATTTGGAGCTTTTAGTCCAGTTTAGTTCAATAAAGCACAAAGGACAAAATGGAAAATGATTACAAAGAAAAAGCACTGCAATGTTTCTTTATTGTTTCCATACTTAATATTGATCTATGGTGTGCCAATGACAAACTTCTCTGGCCCATAGAGCTCACTATTTGTTAAGCATTAGTATTGATGCAACAAACCTTCTCTACTGTTATAATAATTTCTTTTATGTATCATAAGAAGCATAGAAAGTTAATACTTACACATGAATAGAGTAGATTAATGACATCCCCGTTTTTTCAGTATGTCATATGTTTATAAATATAGAACCTTCATATGTTAGTCAATCATTTGTCTTTATTTTCTGCATTCGCCCTACAGTTAAGTACAAAAAAATTTAATACAATTTTAATGCTGCAAAACCTATGTAAACATTTTCCTGCTGCTATCAAGGTAGATATTCCAGTAAATCAAATTTCTCTGCATTAGGTAAGAGTTTAAATGCTGATTTTATGAAGGGCCATTATGGATACATATCAGATATGCATGATTGTTGTGTAAAATTGATGCGTTAAAAAGAACCTCTGCATTTAAACAAAAAGAGAGATATATCTTCATAAAAATTCTTGTGAAACAGGTCTATTGTATTACAGAAGTACAAATAATAACAGACTTTATGACTTGTCATAAAATATTTATTGTACACATTTCTTCTACATCATAATAAAATGTTTATTCCAAATTCAATATGTAAAATTCATACAAGTATGATTTAGGCTACTTACATAATTCCTAAATTTAACCTTTAAACATTTCATGGAAATCTTATAAGTATCTGTATAAACTCTCACATTTTGGGGTACCTAAAAAGTGATAGCATTAACAATGTTGTGTGATAATATGTATATGCTGGATTAGCTTAGTGAAGGCAGTTGATATGATTCTGCACAAGAAAAATAAAGAAAAATTCTGTAGGTTCAAAATGTCATTGGAGAGTTGATCACTCAAACAATATTATTTTTTAAATCTTTGATGAAACAATGCTGTGTTCATCAAAGTGGGTAAATCTTTTATCAATTATAGTGAGACTCTAATATAAAATTCCAGTATAAATAGATGTGAATTGAAAAGAAATCACTGAAAGTCATCCATGCTGCCCTTTGTCCCTCCCTGTTTATTTAAGAACAGCTGCAAGGAGCAGGCCTATGGCTATGCTGAGGAGTTTTGTTGTCTCTATAACTGTATGTAATTGTTATGTCAACTTATGCCATGCAATCATAATAATAAAATAAATTTTCATAGCAGCTTCATTTTGGAATTAATTGTAATAGAGTAACTATTTTGATTTGTGGTCACCAGAGAGTAAGTTTACCAAATTGTTTTCAGTATGGTGGAATTAATAGCCATGTCTAAAATCATCATATCAATTTTTAGTTGAAATCAATTAAATGTCAGGTGAAGAAAGAGTTTGTGCAAATAGTTCAAATTTTGAGTGAGAATAGTAAGGTAGAATCGATTCAACCACCATTTCTGTTGGAAATTACAACATCACTAGGTGACAGGAATTTTTCAGCTCCATTGTAATCTTATGGGAACACCTCATAAATATCGTGTGTGGTTGACCGACATGTCACTATGCAGCACATTACTGTATTTTTATTGAGGACTTATAGTGTGCTAGGCAGTATCTATGTGCTTTTGTACATTATTTTTCTCCATATAATACACAGAGGAAGATAATGAGGTAGATGTTAATATCTCCACAGCTGAACGTTTCAAATTCAAGGAAGTTACGTAACCTATTCAAGATCATGCAGCTAGTATGGGAGGATCTGAGTTCAAACAAGGTCTGTCTGACTGTAGACCCAAACCAATGCTTTCTGACTCCAAATCAGAACTCTTTCAAGAATACCACTCTAGACAAATTATTAAAAGGTGAAACATGCAAGAGCTAATTTGGTTCCTTTTAAACCCTAGCTTTCTAGTACTGATGAGCAAAGAAGGATTTAAGATGGAGTTCAAGCTTCAGGGCTTCTTCCCTGCAGGGACATTTTCTTAAGGAACTCCTGAATCTCATCTCAATTGTACAAGATTTAGGCATTTTAAGTCTTAATTATAACCATAAGACTGAATCCTTCATAAGTTAAAAAAAAATCAAACCAAGGAAGAAGATCATTCATGGAAAAAAAATCCAGAGGAAAATTACCATATTGCCATGAATGGTTAAGGATTTGTCAGTTTCTTACAAGTGGCAGGGATAACAGAGTTTGGAAGGGAGTCCAGCCTAGACCCTTGAAAATAAGTGACTTTGATGATCAACCTCTGTGATGCAGGTTGTGTCTTCCGAGAAGCAGACTAGGGGAGTGTACTTTGAATCAAAGCCTGTGGACCAGAGAGAAAGAATCAAGATTGGGCAGAGGGAGAAGTTGGGCTGCAATGCAGGCCAGACAGCCTCAATATTCACAGTCCTGGGAATTAGGGTAGGAAATCATGGGAGGTCATTTTCGGATTCTGCCTAACTCACAAGCCATGTGGTTTCTGTCACAACTACTCAACTTTGCAAGCTGTAGTGCAAAAGCAGCCAGAGAAAATATATAAATGAATGAGAATGGCTGTTTTCCAATAAAACTTTATTTATAAAACCAGGAGGTGAGCTGGATATCATCCATGGGCCACAGTGCCAACCCCTGGTCTAGTCAAATAGTAAAAGCAGAATCATTAGAAATAGATACACATTAAATGCATACTGAATGAGAGCCAGTTGAACAAACCCCAGGCAAGAGAATTCTGGGCATAAGAACCATTATGTCAAGTATCTGCAATATCACAAATTATTCACTTGAGAGAAAATGCTAGAAAATGAGATTTCTGTATCCAGCAAAATGCCTTCAAAGGTGAAATTCTGAGTTCCATAATAAGTGTCTGCTCTTACTAGAGAGCTTCTATAAAAGGTGACAACCAGAGGACATTTATAAGTGCTATCCTCAAGTTTTAGACAACTGTGGGTCAGGAGTCTTTGAAATTAGCGATTCCATAAAGTAATGTGAGAAGATACAATTTAGTTAAGCAATTATAAAATGAAAAAAATAAAGTACAAATAATAAATTAAATTTCCTGATAGATCAAGAATTACATTTCTAGGCTGGGCATTGTAGCTTATACCTGCAATCCCAGCATTTTGGGACGCTGAGGCAGCAGGAGCCCTTGAGGCCAGGACCAACCTGGGCAACATAGTGAGACCTTGTCTCTACAAAAATAAAAATAAAAATAAAAATAAATTAGCCAGCCATACTACGCGGGAGGCTGTGGCAGGAAGATTGCCTGGTCCCAGGAGCTCAAGGCTGCAGTGAACTATGATGGTACCACTGCACTTCGGCCTAAGTGACAGAGTTTCTACAAAAAGGAAGAATTACATCTCTATAGCCAAGTATTAACTAACATGAGGACACTAGCAAACACTAGAGACATTGCTATTATCATGTTATGCCATATAGTAATGAGAATTATATATCTACTTATACAATTCATAATCTCTTCTATTATCTAAATTAATGTTTATTTTATTTATTTGCTAAAATATAAGTTTATTTGTGCTATTTGCATCACTTTATTACTTTATAGATTGCATAGAAATAAAAGAAGCAAATAATTATATAGAAATATAAAATTTTCTGGACTTGTGATGAGAACTAAAGACTTTTAGATTATACTTTGCTTAAACTGAGAAACAATGTTTTTCGTGTTTATTATTTAACTACTCCTAACCCCATAGTACTTAAAATAATGTCTGGCCATAGTAGGTGCTCGATTAATATTTAAAAAAATTTTCTCTGCTAACAACGACAATTGTTCTCTGCTAACAACAATAGAATAGTTGTTATTCTAATTGACTTCAGTGCTGGTTTTTAGAAACCCCAGGAGTTCCTGGTCTATCAGTGGGCATTTGTACACACAGATCTTACACGAAGATTGTAAAAATATCAAATAGACTGTACTATTCAATTGAGCTTAGCTCATTTTCCTGATACAGAGACAAGGTATTATTTAAAAAATAATGATTTGATCTCATGTATCTGTTCCTTACTCCTTGAACAATGGGTCCTCTCTATATAAAGCCAGAAACAAATTTTTCTTCCAATTTTCTAATTCAGACCTATCTTTTTATTATATCTTGCGAATTCTTTAGGGGATAATCAGGATAACTATGTCATTAGCCTAAATTCTCTTTTTATGAAAAACATACCTTAGCTGAGTAGCAAGTGATTACGTATAGCAAAAATGATGAGAAAGTATTACATTACACTTACTGTGTTATATATTAGATCTTTCAACAATTCTGATCCAAAGAACCTCAAAGCATTAATGTTATGGGAATTTTTCTCTGACTATACTGTTTACTCAACACATTTACTAAATTTTTAATATAAAAATATAATTTTCCAGTTTCATTTTACTTCTTCTGAACTAAGTATAATCTTACCTGAAAACATGTTAAAACTGATCATGCTTTACCTGCATTCTGACATATTTTGTACAAAATAAACAATTCATATTTATTACATAAATTAATTTTTCATTATTTAAACTTTAACAATTCACAAATAGATGATAGGTAAAATGCAATGATTTTAATAGCAATCTCTGAAAGAATCTCCAGTTTAGGGACACGGTTTTTAGGTCATGTTTTAGTTGGCATTCAACCAGAGAAACAAAGTAGGAAAATATGGAAAAATGTATTTCGAGAAATTGGCTTATGCAGTTGTAGGGGCTGGCTAAGCAGATCCAACATCTGTAGGGCAGTCAGTCAGGAAGGGAAAGTCATAATTAGGCTGAAATCTCATGGGCATGATGCGAACATTGTAGTCTACGGGCAGTTAGGAAGGAAGATACAGAATGAAAGGGAGAGGAGCTGCTGACTCAAATTCTCATTGGAAACACTAATCTCAGGGAAGGCCTGAGTTCCCTTTTAAAATGTTTCTAACTTAATCAGAATCACCTAGGATAATCTCCCTTTTGATTAACTTAAAGTCAACTGATTAAAGACTTGAATTACTTCTGCAAAATCTCTTCACTGTAGCATCTAGCTTAGTGTTTGAATAGCCATAAGAAGGTGAGCACACGCTTCAAAATGGCCACCCTTCCATCCTCCAACTCTCACAAGACAGGATCTCTAGTAGCATATCATACCATTCTAGAATCAATCATCCCAGAAACATCCTACAAAGGGGACTGTAGTTTAGCCTTGCCACATTTACTGTAGTTTAGCCTTGCCACATTTACCCATCAAAACACCATCACAGATTGAAGTACATTGAGCTCCATAGAGATAGTGCCAGGGCAAGTGAGAGCAGCAGAGGCACTGGGCAACACTCTGCCTCACTGAGGAAAAATAACTAAACATGGGCCATGGAGATCCTGTGAAGCCGAGAGGCAAAATGTCATCATATGTATTTTTTGTGCAAAATTGTCAGGAGGAGCACAAGAAACGGTATCCAGATACTTCTGTCACCTTCTCACAGTTTTCTAAGAAGTGCTTAGAGAGGTGGAAGACCATGTGTGTTGAAGAGAGGGGAAAATCTGAAGACACAGCAAAAGCCGGCAAGCCTTGTTATGATAGAGAAATGAAAACCTATATCCCTCCTAAAGGGGAAACAAAATGAAGTTCAAGGATCCCAATCCACCCCAGAGGCCTCCTTCTGACTTTTTTGGTTCTATTCTGAGTAGTGTTCAAAAATCAAAGGAGAACATTCTGGCCTATCCATTGATGATGTTTCAAAGAAACGGGAACATGTGGAATAATTGCTGCAGATGACAAGCAGCCTTATGAAAAAAGAGGCTGCAAATCTGAAGGAAAAATACAAAAAAGATATTGCTGCATACAGAACTAAAGGAAAGGCTGATGTAGCAAAAAAGGGAATTGTCAAGGCTGAAAAAGCAAGAAAAAGAAGGAAAATTAAGAAGATGAAGAGGATGAGTAGCAGGAGGAGGAAGAAGAAGAAGAAGATCATGATGATGAATAAGTTGGTTCTAAAGCCTTTTTTTCTGGTCTATAAAGCATTTAAACCCCCTGTACAGAATTCACTCATTTTAAACAAAAATATTGAAATGTAAGGCTGTATAAGATTTGTTTTTAAACTACACAATGTCTTTTTTTATATAGTTACCACACTACCAAATGTGTTTTTAGATAGCCTCATTCTGATGGTGTTTTCAATAGCCACTGGCCTTGCCTAGTAAATTGGCATGGAAATTTAAAGTAGGTTCTTGATGGCACACAGCACAAATTAGTTATATATGGGTTATGGGGATTGTAGCTTTTCAACTTCAGTTGTCCCTGATGCTTCTTATATGAAATAACTGTTCTGTTAACTAAGTATCACTCCATAATTGCAGGAAAAAAGTTGCAGCTATTTTGTTGACATTCTGAGACTTTCTCAGTAAAAACAATTTTTTAAGTTAAAAAAAAAAAACAAAAGAAAAACAATATCACAGTAACTATTTGCTTTTTGCCTTAAAGTCTCAGAATAACTAGCAGTTGGCCTATGCCCAAAATAAAACTCTAATATATCTATCTGGTAAAACTAGTATGACCTTTCATATCAATTTCCTCAGGTTTCCTAAGAATCCTAACTTTCTTTTTTAAACTTTCTTATTAAGAGACAGGAGCAAAAGCACTTAAGACATATAAATAAAAAGAATAATGAGGTTAGCAAAGTTTCAACAAAAATGTCATACATGATGACTTTTAAAATTCTTACCTAAAGAATTGTGAAGGGAAATAGTTTAAATAATAAAATGTTTTAAAAATACATGGCACAATGAATTTTCTAAGGGTTTAGAAAGGTAGAATAAACACATTTTTCTAAAATACCATCAATTTGGCCTGCTCTGTAGGCGAAATTGAAGGAACACATGAAGACATGAAATTAGCCTGCATACTTTGGCAAGACACCCTATATGAAAGCCATGGTTTGGTTGAACTTGCAGCAAATATTGTGTCAGCCAGCCAGAGACAAATACCTTTTTTCTAACGTAATCATCATTGATTTATATACACATTTATTTCCAAATTTATTATAATCCAATTCTATGCAAAAGACTATTTCTGGAGTTTAATATATGTATGTGAATGAATGAAAGGAAAGAAATGATGGAGAAGAACATGAGGGAGACAGGTAGGCAGGGGAAAAGTGAATGAGGGCAAGAAATAATGAGGAGAGGGAACAAAGGAGAGAATGGCAGAGGACAAAGAAGGAAAGAGAAGGTAGAAGAAAGGAACTTCCACCTAATTGAAAGATTTAAATCAGAACTTTTTTTTTTGCCCTTAACTAGTGGCTCACTGACTGTCACTAATGAGTATAGCTACAAAGATCTGAAAAAAATTTAGTGAAATCACTCACTAGGGAAATTGTATTTCTGACAATGCATACTAATTACTAGAGGAACTCTTTTAGCTGGGCATGCCTCTAGTCCCAGCTACTTGGGAGGCTGAGGCAGGAGGGTCACTTGAACCCAGGAGGTTGAGGCTGCAGTGAGCCAGGTTCATGCCACTGCACTCCAGCTGGGGTGACAGAGTGAAACCCTGTCTGAAAAAAAAAAAAAAAAAAAAAGTAGAGGAACTTTCTCCTAAGTAATGAAACTGGCTCAATACTCCCATAGACTGTTCTTTCAAAAAAACATAGAAATTGACCCTTCTGCTGTTAAAGCTTGAAACTTGTATTTATTTCATCTGAGTTCCTTTCTCAGGAAAGGACCTTCAGGCCTCTCAAAAAAGGTATCAAAGAACTGAAACTCACCAAATTGGCGCCAGATGCCTCCTTGCCCCTCCCTAGTTCTTGCTTTCTTACACATTATTATATTTCTTCCCTGCTGTATAAACCCCTAGTTTTAGTCAGTCCAGGAGATGGATTTGAGTCTGAACTCCCATCTCCTTGGTTGTAGCACCAGATTAAAGCCCTCTTCCTTGGTAATACTTGTCTTCTCAGTGATTGGCTTTCTATGCAGTGAACAGCAAGGCCTAGACCAAACCGCTGATGTTTTGGTAACAATAAAAGGAATATTGGAAACACCATAGTAACCTGAAAAGTCAAGATGTAGGTAATATTCCTTCCTGCAGGTCATCTGTGTTGAGCTATTAATATATTTTTCTGCTTCGGAGCCTTGTGCCTGCTGGTGAGAGTGACTGGTGCTCATTAATTCCCAACTCCAGGTTCAAGGTTAATTATAAATCAGTCAAGCCAGGTGTATTTAGGTCACAGAAATCAGCCAAAGCTAAAAATCAGGGCTTTTTATCCCAGAAAGCCAGTTTTTGAACATTTTCCATCACAACAGGTGAAATAGTTGACTCTTCAGAGTCTCTTCTATCACAATGTTTTCACATATCAGTTATTCTATGTATTACTGATTAGTAGTAAGTAAAATGGAAAGCTCCTCACTCCAGACCAGAAAAAAACTCTTTATGACAGATTTGCCTCAGGAATGAAGGATAAGAAACAACTGGTCTCATAGGAATCCCAGGGCAAAGAAGATATTTACTAAGTCAAATTTCTTAGAAATTTACAAAGATCAAATTAGTGAGATTCATCCTGTGATTATACCTTATTCCATCATTATCCAGGATTAATATTCTTATGAGAAGAAGGGCACTGTAGTCCTTTTATTTCTTCCAGGTGAGGCAATTGTGCCTGTGTATATCTGTCAGTTCATACATGTGGAGTGGAAGTTTGACTACCTCTGTGCAGGGTGATAAATGATAAAAGACACTATATTGAAACCTTGGAATAAAAAGATGTTTAGACATGGTGCTTGATTTAAATTTCAATGTTTTATAGCTGAGGAATTAGTCTTAGAAAACCTGAATGAAAATTCAAAACTCTGTCATTTGAATTGATAGCCACAACATTTTCCACTCAATGGCACTCTATATTAAATTTATTCTGTACATTAAGTACATTACAAATTCTTATTTTACATATTATGAAAAATTGAATATATACAAGGATCTCACACTTTTTCATAATAAATTCAAAAGCCCAAATTCTACAGTAAAGGAAAATGTGGAAAAACGCTTTTTTACTAATAATTCTCTGTGTGCATAAAAATATCTTGGACATTTGTAAAAAATGGAAATCAATGAGACTAAACTCCAGAAATCCTCTTTTCATAGGACTAAAAGAACTTGAATATTTTGTCAAAGGCCTTTTCTGCATCTATTGAGATAATCATGTGGTTTTTGTCTTTGGTTCTGTTTATATGGTGGATTACGTTTATTCATTTGCGTATGTTGAACCAGCCTTGCATCCCAGGGATGAAGCCCACTTGATCATGGTGGATAAGCTTTTTGATGTGCTGCTTGATTTGGTTTGCCAGTATTTTATTGAGGATTTTTGCATCAATGTTCATCAGGGATATCAGTCTAAAATTCTCTCTTCTTTGTTGTGTCTCTGCCAGGATTTGGTATCAGGATGATGCTGGCCTCATAAAATGAGTTAGGGAGGATTCCCTCTTTTTCTAAACACTCAATAAATTAGGTATTGATAGGACGTATCTCAAAATAATAAGAGCTATTTATGACAAACCCACAGCCAATATCATACTGAATGGGCAAAAACTGGAAGCATTGCCTTTGAAAACTGGCACAAGACAGGGATGCCCTCTCTCACCACTCCTATTCAACATAGTGTTGGAAGTTCTGGCCAGGGCAATCAGGCAGGAGAAAGAAATAAAGGATATTCAATTAGGAAAAGAGGAAGTCAAATTGTCCCTGTTTGCAGATGACATGATTGTATATCTAGAAAACCCCATTGTCTCAGCCCAAAATCTCCTTAAGCTGATAAGCAACTTCAGCAAATTCTCAGGATACAAAATCCATGTGCAAAAATCACAAGCATTCTTATACACCAACAACAGACAAACAGAGAGTCAAATCATGAGTGTCAAATCCCATTCACAATTGCTTCAAAGAGAATAAAATGCCTAGGAATCCAACTTACAGGGATGTGAAGGACCTCTTCAAGGAGAACTACAAACTACTGCTCAATGAAATAAAAGAGGACACAAACAAATGGAAGAACATTCCATGCTCATGGATAGGAAGAATCAATATCTTGAAAATGGCCATACTGCCCAAGGTAATTTATAGATTTAATGCCATCCCCTCAAGCTACCAATGCCTTTCTTCACAGAATTGGAAATACTACTTTAAAGTTCATATGGAACCAAAAAAGAGCCTGCATTGCCAAGACAATCCTAAGCCAAAAGAACAAAGCTGGAGGCATCATGCTACCTGACTTCAAACTATACTACAAGGCTACAGTAACCAAAACAGCATGGTACTGATACCAAAACAGAGATACACACCAATGGAACAGAACAGAGTCCTCAGAAATAATACCACACATCTACAACCATCTGATCTTTGACAAACTGACAAAAACAAGAAATGAGGAAAGGATTCCCTATTTAACAAATGGTGCTGGGAAAACTGGCTAGCCATATGTAGAAAGCTGAAACTGGATCCCTTCCTTACACCTTATACAAAAATTAATTCAAGATGGATTAAAGACTTAAATGTTAGACCTAAAACCATAAACACCCTATAAGAAAACCTAGGCAATACCATTCAGGACATAGGCATGGGCAAGGACTTCACATCTAAAACACCAAAAGCAATGGCAACAAAAGCCAAAATTGACAAATGGGATCTAATTAAACTAAAGAGCTTCTGCACAGCAAAAGAAACTACCATCAGAGGGAACAGGCAACCTACAGAATGGAAGAAAATTTTTGCAATCTACTCATCTGACAAACGGCTAATATCCAGAATCTACAAAGAACTCAAACAAATTGACAAGAAAAAAACAAACAACCCCATCAACAAGTATGCGAAGGATATGAGCAGACACTTCTCAAAATAAGACATTTATGCAGCCAACAGACACATGAAAAAATGCTCATCATCACTGGCCATCAGATGGCCAATCAAACCACAATGCAAATCAAACTACAATGAGATACCATCTCACACCTGTTAGAATGGTGATCACCAAAAAGTCAGGAAACAACAGGTGCTGGAGAGGATGTGGAGAAATAAGAACACTTTTACACTGTTGGTGGGACTGTAAACTAGTTCAACCATTGTGGAAGTCAGTGTGGCGATTCCTCAGGGATCTGGAACTAGAAATACCATTTGACCCAGCCATCCCGTTACTGGATATATACCAGAAGGATTATAAATCATGCTGCTATAAAGACACATGCACACATATGTTTATTGTGGCACTATTCACAATAGCAAAGACTTGGAACCAACCCAAATGTCCAACAATGATAGACTGGATTAAGAAAATGTGGCACATATACACCATGGAATACTATGCAGCCACAAAAAATGACGAGTTCATGTCCTTTGCAGGGACATGGATGAAGCTGGAAACCATCATCCTCAGCAAACTACCACAAGGACAAAAAAACCAAACACCGCGTGTTCTCACTCATAGGTGGGAATTGAACGATGAAAACACATGAACACAGGAAGGGGAACATCACACACTGGGGCCTGTTGTGGGGTGGGGGGAGGGGGGAGGGGGGAGGGATAGCATTAGGAGATATACCTAATGTAAATGAAGAGTTAATGGGTGCAGCACACCAACATGGCACATGCATACATATGTAACAAACCTGCACGTTTTGCACATGTACCCTAGAACTTTAAAGTAATAGCAGGTGAGGGTGCAATTCTGACCTAGGGATTCTCACTTACATTTTGAAACACCCCAATGGGAGTGATCATCAGGGTTTGCTATTCAGTGAAATCAAAACCCAAACCCCTTGTTAATCACTGAGGCAGAATGCTTCTTCTCAACTCAGGACCATGGCTGGCCTTGAGCCATTTTCCACCTTTCACAAATGAACATCACTTAGCACGGTGTCTTTAGCAAAGACAACACAAACACAATGAGTAAGAGTTCCCTTGTCTTCTAGTCCAGGATGGGAGCAGGTGGTGGAAAGGGATAATATCACCTGGAAGTTACTTGGTGTCATATGGAAACCTTGGTATCAGTTCAGGTGTTAAAATTCTCAATATACCCAAACCCCAATTGTTTCATCACCTCCCAGACTCAGAGAAACACACCATTTTTCTTTAATAATGTCATCTCCTCTTTAAAAACCCACAATCTGAGTATCCCATTTATGAATAAATATCGTGGTCAAAGTTTAAATAAGTTGTAGAATGAATTTATTTGTTATCATGACAAAAATCAAGAGGTCAAATACCAATGGGACTTTATCTTCTCTGAAACATTCCAGTGATAGCCCTTCATGCTCACACCTAACACAAACTAATCAATAATCAGGACACTTTAAGATGGTAATAAAGACATTTAATTCTTTAAGAATTCATTTCTCATTCTTTAAATAATATCTGACAGTAAGAAAGAACAAGTAAATTATAAATTTAAACATCACTGTAAGATGAAGTGGGAGGACAGAGAGTGGAAACCTTCTTGTCTTTCTGATGCAGTTTCTGCTCTAAAGAACATACCAGTTGTTATGTGTTGCAAGATATTATACAGACATCATTTTCTCAACAATTTTGTTGTATAAGATAATTACTGTATAATAGAGTTATTATATCAGTTGAAAGGAAAATATAGCTTCCCATTGTTTGGGTCTTTCACTCGTCAATAAAATTATTCTGTGTATAAGTATACAGATATAAATCTTGCGGATGGAGCATTTGATAAGGCAGACACAGAAAGATACATAAGTATTTCTTACTCTTGTCTACAGAAAATAAAATACAAACTCTTGGGCAAAAACACACAGATGTAGCATTTTTGTTCTGGTAATTTAGCATGGCAAAACTAATGGTGGAGGATAAAAGTCTTCTTGGAGTCAGAAAAGAGACAAACTTTCCAGTGTTTACTGGAACATTCCAGGGGATTTTCATGTGCACACAGTGGAAGGGTGAGACCCAAACAGCCTCAGTTTTCTCATGAATAATTGTCCCCTTGGTTGCTGTCAAATACTTCAAGCATCACCTGACGTTGCAGTGAGTTCACTGGAATGCCCTAGAAACACATACTTATGGAGGGCCAACTACAAGTCAGTATTGTGATTTTAAAATATCAAAATATCTCTTGGAAAAAGGAAATATCAGTTTATTTTTCAACATAAGAGCATGTAGTTTGTATCAGAATTTTTGAAAAATCCAGTAGGAGATCAGAATAAAAGGTATTCTCTGAAAGTTTAAAGGTTAAATTTAATCCTGGTAATTGTGGCAGGTACTCATACAATAGTGCCACACACTTCAGAATTTCAGAAATACAATTTATAGTATATTACACATTATAAAATTATGCATACACCTACACCAAGAAATTTCACATCTAGGACTTTACCCTAAGGTAGGAGTCAGAATCTTTTTCTATAAGAGGCCACATAGTAATATTTTAGGTTTTGCAGGCCATACAGTCTGTGTCCAACTGTTCAGTTCTGCTCTTAAAGCATCAAAGCTGCCATAGACAAAATACAAACAAATGAATATGGCTGTGTTCTGATAGAATGTTATTCACAAAAACAGGCAGTAGGTCATAGTTTGCCAACCTCTGTCCTAAGGCATTAAGCAGAGTTAGCAAGATTTATTATACAGATATTCTGAAAACATGTTATTATAATAACCAAGGATTAAACACAACCAACATTCCCAAAATAATGGAAATAAATAATTATTACAAATCTACCTAACAGCATAATATTGGTCTGTTTAAACTTGCAATATTAGGAGAATAGAGTAGAATATTAAATTACGCATATAGTAGGATCCCAATTTTATTACATATAGAAATATTCAATATGCAGATCTTCAGAGGAAATTTAGCTGATTATGGAATTTCATTAAAAATCAGAAAAAACAAGTTGTGTTGGGGATGTAGTCAAAATATTTGAAAACAAACTTGAATAAATTCTTTTAAAAATCAAATTTATGTATGGAAGGTATTAATGTGACATGATTGCCATCTTTCCCAAAATTAATTTATAAATTCAAGTAATACTAAAAAAAATCATAACTGCTCTTTCTTGGATCTTGACAAAGAAAAAAAGCCAAGATAATTTTGAAGAAGAAGAACAAGGCTTTTGTACCTCATGAGGTACTAAAAATTATTGAAAAGCTATTTTAATTATGAAAGTGTGCTATTAACACATGAATAGAACAATGGATAATTTAGAAATGGCTTACTCCTCTAGAAACTTGCTGTACATCAGGAATTTGATCAAAGTGTCAATGTTGAATTTTACCCAAGCTTTGTATTACCAGTACAATAGTTAAAACATCCCTCACCCCACCATTTTGTTCTCCGAAATCTCCACACACTTTTGTGTTAAGCAAATACCTGAATACAAAACATATCCTTGCATAGCCTCAAAAGAGATCCTTCTGCAGCATTGCTCATGGCTGCCTAAGACTCCCAGATGACTCTGGTTTACCTGCCTGTTTAAAACCCCAAGCCTGCTTCTTTTCCTTTGATATGCTCCTTAATTTTCTTCTAATTGCAATGACTTAGAAAAAATCATCTCCTAAAATTTCAGTAAATTTTGCCTTTCACAAAAGTCAAATGGGAAAATTGAGACCATTTGATATATGGACCTTAGAAAATAGGTTACAATTTTTTAAAAAAAAAGCATACCTTCTTCCCTCTCCATGACATAGACATGAATTCATTTTTATAGGTAAAAAGTAAATGTTACATTTTAAAAAAATATAGACTATCTTTATGGCTGTAAACTAAGAAAATATTTTCCTAAATAAGACACAAAAACACAAACCAAAAAACAAAAGTGTGAAAATTTTGAGTATATTTTATAAGTTACAAATGTGAACTTCAAGAGATATCATAAAAATGGAAAAGCAGTGAATGCCGTTGAATGGGAAATTAATAGTGGAATTTTCTTCATGGTTTTCTAAAGTTATTTTAGGTTAGAATTATTTCACAGTAAAAAGTAAGTAAATTTGAGATCTAATATTTCACAATCTTCCACTCTAGGATGGAATATTCAGTTCACTCTTATAACTCTCAGCAAGTACTCGTCATTCCTGTCCCAGGTCAAGCAATGTCCATGTCTAGAATTACAGTCTGCAAGTATCAGCAGTCAGATTTTTAAATCTTTTAAAATAATCACGGGGAAGAGACAATAGTTTGAATTACCATACTTTTGCACGGATGATGAAGGATTTCTCCAGCTTAGGCTCTTGGAGCTCCTGGTGGTCTTTCTGGGTCCTGTCCAGCCACTAGCAGTGCAAAGCTCTGGACAGTAATTCAGGTCATCTCACCTCAAGGAGAGTCTTCACAGGAGGATTCGTTCTCTCTGAGTGGAGAAGGTGGTAGTTTCTCTAGAGTACAGCAATGGCTCCAATATCTAGGTTCTTCTAAAGTTTGCTCTTAGAAGTAGTAAGACAATATATGTGAAAGGGGTATACAAAAGATGAGCTCTGATTTATGAAAAAATGTAGAAAAAAGAGAAAAGTAGAAAGGACTTCCTACTGAAAAAAAATAAATTCAGTGGTGTAGAAAAGAGAATAATAAAACTGCCATGGATTCGTATGTCACTGTTTCTTCCTAGGAACACTGAGGATTTCCCTTCTGTTACTTCATTTTATCCTCATAAACAGATGCCCAGTAGAGACTGGAGTTTAAGATTTTTGAAATTAGAAACGTGCCAAATTGAAGATTACAATTATTTTGTGCCTTATTGGCATTTGTCTTGGGGCAGATTTTATTTTATTCTGGGAGAAACAACTTGGACAATTCAACCTTTTAAGTCATACAGATTTTAGGCAAATAAGATAAGCACTTAAAATTTTTCTTGGAAAGTCCTGAATCAACGAAGGAATCCAAATTATGATGCTTTTGTAATAAACATGAAGTGAGCCGTTTAATAGGATGACCTCTGTTCATCTACAAGGCAACAGCTTTTTTTAGATGTAAATAGTGAGTCATGGGTGGAACTGTGTCCCCTAAAAAGATATGCTGAAGTCCTCATCTGTAAAAGTGACCTCATTTGGAAATAAGGTCTTTGCAGATATAGTCAAGTTAAGATGAGGTCATACCCAGTTAGTGTGGGCCCTATTCCAGTGACTGGTATCTTTACAGAAATGAGGAGATCTGGATACAGGGAAGAAAAAGAATGTGCCAGTGAAGGTTGCAAATGGGTCTACAAATCAAAGAACACTAAGAATTGCCAGTAACCACCAGATGCTCGAAGACAGGCATGGAACAGAGTCTCTGTCAGAGACTTCAGAAAGATCTAATTCTTCATTTCTGACTTCTGGCCTCTGGAATTATGAGAATAGATTTCTGTTGTTGTAAGCCACCTCATTTGTAGTACTTCAGTATGAATACCTTAAAAAAACTGATACAAGTCAAATTTATTTTATTTCAGTTGCGTTGAGTTGAGTTTAATTTTCCCTGAATGTGTATTTAGAATATCTGTATGTGGAGGGAGATATGTGAGAAACACAGAGAGACAGAGAGACAGTAACAACGAGACAGAGAGTTTTGATTTAAGCAGTTGCTTTGTTCTCATTAGCTAACTAGACCATATTTACCCAGAATAGATCCTCAGATCTGATTGTCTCTTTAAGTCCTACCAGTTGAAAGGCAATCAAAGGAATTGGAATGAGCTACCTCCCAGAAGGTGTTATTTAATGTAATAGAACAGATTTAGGAATGCACTGTCAGTTATTGCTGATCGTTTGACCCAGACCACATCATATTCATGGAAGTTGTATTCTAAAATAATGGGAATTCTCACTGCCAGTCATCCTGAAAGTAAGTTAAACAGCAGGAAATGAGCTGGAACTTGGATTCTAGGAAGTCACGGGTTCAGGAAGAGTCTCCCTCTTGTCTATGGGAGTAAAGCAAAGTTGCACCCACTCTTCCAGGCATGGAGATCATGTAACTTCTCATTTGTGTGAGATGAGCCGGAGCCCAGTATGTGAAGGCCTATGCATAGTCAGGTGATGACTTGAGAGTTTTGTTTGGTGTGTGGGACAGAAGAATAATCCCCGCTAATAGTGGTTTGAAGTCACTTTTCTGTTGTACTTACTTTAGTATCAACCTTTATAAATTCTTGACACATGTTGCTTTCTGGTATGAGCAGTGCTATGAAAAACTAGGCGGAGGACTGGAATTGTCAATGTCCATGGCCAGGGAAGAAAACTCCATCTAGCAGCTGACCTGAGGTAAATGGAGGAGTCTGGAGGCAAAATAAGAATATGGGAGCAAGTGTAGATTTGTTCTGGAGCATCAGTGAAGCTTTCCAGGGAAACCCTGGAAATATGTAGTGCATTTTTAAGAACTCCTCATTTTTGACATACAGGATAGTGAGAATTCTAACTATAATAATTTAGATGTTCAAAATATGTCAGTTTTACAGACATAGTCTGGTGAGGCTCCATTATTACAACATCCAATTGTGTCTGGCACGTGGTAGGTGCTCAGCAAGTTCACCTCCATTAAACTTTTCTCTGTTTTAAAGATAAAATAAATGAAGAGGTGAAAAGTTGGTAGGGGAGAGGTTAGACTTCAGTACATGAGTCTTTGGTAGTTATTCTCCAAAGGTTTTTCCCCAGTTCCTCCCATCTCTGAACAGAGATGTTACTCCTCACTTCAAAGAATGAAATGATTTATCCTCTTTCTAAATTTGGGCTGGCCATATGTGCTGCTTTAACCAACAGAATGTGGTTGAAGTGACATCCTGGGAATTAAGTGATAACGAGATCCTAAGTGGACTGGTAGCTTCTGCAACTTTCCTCTCAATGCTTACTCTTGGATTATCGTCTCTTGACACACAGCCCCCATGCTGTAAGAAGTCCAAGCCACATACAAAAGAAATGTGAAAGAAAATGAAGCACTTCCATGAACACCCCCAGAGCAGCTCCCAGTCAGGAATCAGCATCAACTGCCAAGCCATGTGAGTGTGCAATTTCAGAAATTCAGCCTGAGGCTCTAGATGATGGCAACCCCATGAAACCTCATGTAGGGTGGAAGAACTGCTCAGTTGAGTCCAGTAACCCACAGAATCACTAAAGATAATAAATTGCTGTTTTCAACCACTAAGTTGGGCATGGCGAGAAGTATCATTTCTTACATAGCAATAAATTACTGAAACAAATCCTAATAGCCTTGGAATTATGCTGCCAAAGCCATCCAATGCATAAAAATAGATAGTCTTTTGTTCCATATTAAATGCAAACTGATGTGCTTTTGTCACTTGTTTTAAACCATTTCACAGATAAAAAGAAAATAGTCAAAAAATATTCTGAACTCGATGGAATACTGTGGAGTAGATGAAGAAAACTCTTCTGAGTATCATCAAGACTATAAAGACCCTTCAGAAAAAAACTCTCTTGCAGACATCTGTCCATTCTTTATATGTGTATGGGATCTTAGTTTGTAAATTTCTACTTCATATGTTTTTATAAGATGACTTTTTTATTGTTCCAATTACTTATTATTTTTGTTTAAGCTGGACTTAATTTTAAGATATATGCAATCCAATTTAATATTGCATTCAGAAAGTAAGAACTCTGGCCTCATTATTTGCATGACATGAATATGAACACAAGAAAAATTGGATTGGACAAAATTTATTGCTTTTGCTTTATTTTTTCCTGCCACAAAACCATGTCCTCTGTCTTTGTTAGGGCTGGGGATTGTTTGGACTTTGTTATTCTCTAATAATAGGCAAAATAAAGGTTAGACATGGAGAAGAAAAATCATTATGTGAACATTATAACTACGTATGCTAACTTGAATGTCATTCATCATTGCGTTACTCACAAAGTGGCAAATTTTAGTCTTCTTATATGAACAACTGGATTTTAACAACTGGATGGTTTTTAACAACTGGATGGTTTTTCAGAGACTTCAGCTATGATTACTTCTCCCTCAAAAATTTACATTGAATGAAAATGACACCAAATTACCTGAAAGTATAAAAAGTAATAGACTCAAGAAAAAATTTGTTTCCCTAGAGACTATCTGTTAAAGATCTATAAACATTTTTATAGAAAATGAACCATTTTAAAATAAGCTTTTATAAAACATTTTCATAAGAACCTCTATATCTTCTTGTGATTTTAAATTAAACTGCCTTAGTAAAAATCAGAGATTATCTCTGACACATTTTTTTGGTAGAATGGAGAAATGAAAGATCCTCTGATTTATGGTGTGATGTTTAGCAAGGTCGATTAAATCTAAGTGATAATCCTTGAGTAACACCATTTAACACTTCACTCTTTACTCATGAAGAGCAAGTCAAAATAGTGAACTGAAACATGAAATGATCAATGGTCAAATATAAGAAAACATCAAATAAACACAATAAAAAACATCTGAGTCTCATTTGATTTTCTTCCCTCTACTCATCCTGAGCTATTTTTCTGGTAGTTTCTCTTTAAATCTTCAAAGACAAAACCCATTACACAGTCCTTCATATGACTCTAGAAAAGGTAATATATACCTAAACATTGCTCTTTACCTCCATTCAAACTATTTTTCTAATTTATTCCTTTTGATGAGACAAGTAACACTAATGAGCTAAATTAACTTGGCTGGGGCATTTGTTTTGTGGTTAAATATAACATTTCCAACTTTTTAAATATTTTTGGGTCAATACTGAAAATTGGCCATGTCATTTTAAATCAGGTAACAAAATCTGTACACAAGAAAATCTAACTTAAACAGCAACAATATTCCTTAATATTAATATAAATGAGGGTCCACTATGCATGAAGGTCCACTATGTTATTATTTTTCTAATGATACTTATATATTTTTATTTGATATATTATTAATATATACAAAATTTTTAAAATATAGTTGATATGTTTTATTTAAATAAAGTTAAATTATTTTGTTCTATGTGTATGGCAGTTTTATAAGATTAGATATATTTTTGACTCAACATTAAGAGATACACTACTACTTGTACATATTATATGAAATACCAGCTTTCAAACAAAATCTCACAATTATTTAGATTTAAAACAACAACAAAATAAGTTACAGAACACCTTTAGTTAACCGCTATAGGCAATACAGTAATTGGTACGTTATGAACCTACACCTATTTCTGGAAGGTATATAAAACTATGATAAACTTTGGGGTATCATATTGGTTATTTATTGTGTCATAGCAAACTACTGCACAAATCAATAGCTTATAACAGACATTCTTGCCCACAATTCTTTGGGACAAGAAGACTTACAGGACTCAACTTATCTCTACTCCACCATGGTTTTATTAGGGCTGATATGACTAAGGCAGGCATTCAAGATGGCTTAACTCACTGTGCATTACCTGTGTTGTGCTGGCACAAAATGGATGTAAGCTGGCTTGCACAGGTGGGTTGCTCTTTTCTCTGGTGTTGCCTGGGCTCTCTCATGTGTCTGGGCCTTCACTGGACCTTCTTCTCCACTTGGTTTTTTATCCCCCAGGATATTTCTGTCCATAACAGGATAGCCTGGTCTCCTTTACATAGTGGCTATGGTTCCCCTGTATGAAATCAGAAACTGAAAGAAAACCTCTGGAATTTTGGTCTCATAAGTCCCAGAGCATTTCTCCCAGAATTGTATTGGTGATAAAACAAATAAATAAAGTCACAAAGCCAGGACAAATCAAAGGGGTGAGACATTGGAGACCATTTGGACCATTTTTAACAATCTGATTTTTAACACCTTTTTAGCAACTGCTACACAGACCTTTCTTAATTTTTAAAATTGTAACAAAATATGTTACTCTTTGAAGAAGTGTTGTATGAGTTAGCTAAATGTCTGCTGTTTTGTTTCGTTTTTCTCATCTGCTTTTAGGCTATGAATTTGGCTAAAAAAATTCTTGCACTGTCATTTTTAATGCTTCTACTTAAAGAGTATGGAGTAAGACAAATGTTCAAACTTTTATTTTAAATGGAACATTTGAAATATAATGTGAGAACCTAAATTTTTAAACAACATGTATAGTTCAAAATTCAGAAGTATTCAGAAACATTTTCTGTTTCATTTTTCTCTCTACTGTTGCTAGTAAGTACAAATATAGATTTAGACAGTTTTTCCTGTAAGCCTACTATAAGCTCTATACCTTTTCTTCTGAACTTCAGCCAAGGCTTCTCTTTTCTTAGTCTTTTCTTTTGGAACTATAATAATTACTCTAAAATTTTATCAAAAGTCAAAGTCAAAAAGAATGCAGCAGGTATTCATTCATTCATTTATTAATTTTACTAAAAATTGATCATATTCTATATATCAGGTATGGAATTAATTCAGTAAAGCATACTTCTTCATCCCAAAGAGCTTCTACAGAAGAAAAGCAAACAAGTTAACATTCATTATAATTCAGCATGATAAGTGCAACCACTGTAGTCAAAACAAATGTGTTGAGCCAAAAAGAGATTCTACTGCAAAAGATTTGGGTAATGCCAATGACATCACTAAATGCAGTCTGAAACTCACAGCAGAAGAGTCAAAAGATATATGCCCTTTATTTTTTTCTTGGTAACCTGTGAAGAGGCATGTGTAAGTCAGGCACTCGGAAAACTCCATGAGCTGTACTGCTGTGCTCCCAGGAGGATATGGTGATGACAACCTGATTTAGGAGAGAGGTAATAAACTGAGAGGAAAATAAATAGGTAATAGTTGCTTATTTCACAAACCTGATTGTAATAAATACATACATACATAGGTGGAGACTTCAAAACGTTCTTGGAACATTGGAATTAAGAGATAAAAATGTAACATTTATTTCCCAACATAAGATACATCAAAGTCAAGACATCTTTGTAAGGAATGATAGCCATTTAGTGCATCACTAAAAAACTGGGGGCCCTAGGGATTTAACTATGCCAGTGCAATTCTTTTTACATTATTAACTGAGGAAAAATTGGTGCCCCCTTAAAGATTTTTAAGAATTAGAAAAAAAAAAGTCAGAAGGAGCCAAATCAGAACTATAAGGTGGATCCCTAGTGATTTTCCATAGAAACTGTTACAAAATTGCCCTTAGTTAATAAAACAAATGAGCAGGAGCATTATTGTAGTGGAGAAGGACTCTTTGATGAAGAGAGTCATCATGAAGAGGATTCTTTGATGAAGGAAACTTTGATGAAGATTTTCCAGGCATCTTTCTGCTAACGCTTTTGCTAACTTTCTCAAAACACTCTCATAATTAGCAGATGTTATTGTTCTTTGGTCCTCCAGCAAGCCAACAAGCAAAATACCTTGAGCATCCCCCAAAACTGTTGCTATCACCTTTGCTCTTGACTGGTCTACTTTTACTTTGTACAGGACCACTTCCACCACTTAGCCATTGCTTTGATTGTGCTTTGTCGTCAAGATTGTACTGGTAAAGTTATATTTCATCTCCTGATACTATTCTTCGAAGAAATGCTTCAGGATCTTGATCCCACTTTGTTTTGAATTTCCATTGAAAGCTATGCTCATGTCTGCAGCTGATCTGGGTGCAACAGTTTTAGAACCCATCAAGTGGAAAAGTTTGCTCAACTTTAATTTTTTCATCAGAATTGTGCAAGCTGAACCATTTGAGATGTCTATGGTGTTGACTATTGTTCCTGCTGATGATTGTTGGTCCTTTTCAGTTAGGTCGCAAACAAGATAAACTTTTTCCTTACAGACTGATGTGGATTGAAACCTCCCACCATAGGCTTGAATTCATCCCTTCTTAAGATGAGTTATTCCTTTGTGAACTGCTGATTACCTTGTGCATTGTCTGCATAAACTTTTTGTAAAGCATCAAATATTTCACCGTTCTTCTACCCATGAACTTTATGTTTTTCTTGCTTCAATTTTAGCAGAATTCATGTTGCTCTGAAAGGGGATATTTTTAAACTGATGTCTTATCCTCCTTAGTGCCTCAAACTAGGTCCTTTTTAGGAATGTTATAACGAGTCAGTATGAGTTTATTTTGTCACCAAAAAAATTTAAATTCATACATAGTTTTTCATAATATGCATTTTCATAAACCTTTTGAAGTCTCCTCACATATATAATTATATAATTTTTGAATGTTTTAAATATAACTTTGTGTTAAATAACTTTCTAGGTTGGTAGTATAAACTAATCCTTCTCTCTTCACCCCAGGTTTGGGGTTTGTATCTGACTACTGGGAATCAGTGCTTACATACAAGCAAGTCATTTAGGAAGAAGAGATATAGGGACCTCAGGGCTAAGAAATGCCTTATTTTTCTAAGCCATTCTTTTTCTCCAGGCTCAGCCATGGATTTCCTACTCTGTGCCTTCACCAAGTTTCCAAAGCTACTAGGTGATGAAGTGAGCAGCAAGAGTCTCCTGTGTTCCCACATTTGTCTCCACTGGGCTCTGTTGATGTATTTCCTTGTGTTCTATAGTAGCACAGTCAAATCAAATCATATAGCAGCAGAGATACCTCTTGTGCAACTACAAAGCCTCCTAGATTGTTCTTTCATTGAGCTAATTCTATAATGTTCTCAGTAAAGAAGGAGGAATTTTGCATGCTCACCTAAACTATTGGAATATTCCAGGATCTGTCTCAGGGCTTATCTATACAGACTTGCCGTGACCACTCTTTCTGTTTTACTCTTTGACAACCAAAGTAGTGGGAAAAAAATCTCAAAGGTCTTTGTTTCATATATTACAACAAGGTAATGATGCAAAAGATCCCTTTGCTTTTGGATCCCCAAATATCTTTATGGTAGCATACTGTATATTTGACTCCGGGAGGAGTATTGAGTGTGTTTTCAGAGACCCATAATAGTGACTAACGTTATTGCTCCTCTCTTTAACCTTTCTCTACCCTTCCCCGGATTAAATAACCTTTATAATATGTAAACAATCACCATTTGTCTGTACCTACTGCTTAGGCTGGGACATGGGTAAGTATTCTATGTTCCAAAAAACAGATGCTTTATATTCAGAGATTTTTTTCCTGCTAATAATTATCACTGCCTTTTATGCTTTTGAACCTCACAGCTAAATATTCTGGTTACTCATTTTCCTGAAACTTCTGTAGTAATAGCCCCATCTTAAGGATAATAAAGGTGAAATTTCTTAGCTTTCTAAGAGGAGGAGAGGGTTCTTGTTAAGATAGAGAAGAACTGAAACCAGAGTGGCGAAGGGTGGATATAAATTAATTGGAAAATATTTTACACTATAAGTATGACGCAAATAGAGTCCTGTGAAGAATGAGTCTGGTCAACAGTATTTGAATATGTTGGATGAAAAGTAAGAAATAGCCTAGATCACATATAATAATGTTTCAAGAATAACAACTCAGCCTGGGTTTGTTGTCATTTAGTGTATGATTGAACTCACAAATGAATAGCACAAAAACGATCATGTATGAGAAAAATAGAGAAGTCATTTCACATGGCTTCATGAACCTCTACAGTAAAGGTCACTTGTGGCATGTTTTTTGTGCTTCTGAGGCAAAACTTGCCCATATAGGCAAATATTTCTCATGACCCTCAGCAAATATTGGAAACAGCAGCAGATTCCCCATGTTTCCTATGCATGGGAGGTAGCTCTGGAAGAAGTGAGCTTTAGGTTAACTTTGGAAAAAACAAAAGAGAGAGAGACAGTAAAAAAAGAAGAAATGTAATTTTCCAGATAAATACTAACTCTGGCAGAGACTACTAACAATCTTTCGACAACCACTCTTCTCTTCTTCTATAAAGATATCTATGAAATTGCCTATTTTTAGCTGACTACCATAAAAAAATTTTATAATTGCCCAACATTCCAGGCCATGTAACTGAGTACTAGCCAATGACATGTAAAAAAAAAAAAGTCGTCTGTGTTTCTCCTGCTTACCTTCCTTAAAATACAGCTAGAATGTACACTTGTCTCCTTTTCATCATCTTTTCCTCTTTTCCATTGGTTGGAATGTAAACAAGGTAGCTGGGAAGGACTGGGCTTTGGGTATTAAGGACTGGGCTTTGGGTATTATGAACTGACCTTTGTAGTGGATGAGGAACATAACAGAATAAGATAGGGGGGCTCCAGTATTCAAAGGACATTGTGGAGCAAAATCACCATACCAGCTCTAGACTATCTCTTCTGGACTTTAATGTGAAAAACAAATATCATTCTTCCTTGGTCTGTTTCTCATCACCAAACTGAATCCTATGTGATATATGAATTTTCTGTTTCGTTTCTCAGGATAAGTTGGACCTGCAGCGAAAAACTAGCCTGAAAAGTAAATAGAAATGAGTTAAATGTTAGCAAAATATCGGGCTACTGATGTTCATTACTCCTTGCCAGAGACATGTTCTTTGTTCTTACATTAAGTCAATTTCTTTGATGAATTACTTTGGTCATTTTTTTATTGATTCCCTTGGCATCATAGTGCCATACCATGATATCTTGTTCTTTGTTACTGACAAAATGTAGATCAGAACTTGGATGTTCAGACCCTCCCATGCTTCAATGTCTTTGCTTACACCATCTCAAACTGAATCATATTTAATGTAGTTAGCTATTTTACTGGTTGATCCTTTCACATTTCTCTCAAGCCCTGAAATCTGTACCATCAAAGATTTCCACTTTCATTCATCCAAGGGATCTGAAACAATTGATACTTTACTACTATAAAAATTTTGCTGTCTTCTCGAAAGCTTTTAGGCAATATAGTGAATTGACTCAGAAGTCTTGCTGCCTCGGTTTCACCATTTACTAATTATTGACTTTAGATAAATTACTTGCCAACTCTAAAACTTCTCTTTATTTTTTCTTAATTCTAAAATAGAGACATTAACGAAAATAGCACTAAATAACCCACATTAAGCAATTAGCTGAGGCCCTGCTAGAATAAATGCGCTATATATACTAACTAAAAATAGTAATAGATTTTCTTTCTCACCTTGCATTCTTAAAAGAGGATAATAAAATCTTCTGTTACTTTACTTTTATTCAGATGACATTGAATAAATGCTTTCCAGAATGAACAAATTCACTTATTCAACAAATATTTTTGGTATATTTTTGTGCCAGATATTGGAAGTACTGTGTAGCAGACAAACCTGGCCCCACCATCACGCCTTCTAATTTGCTTGTTTGCAGATAAAATCCACTAGCCAAATAATTCATGTGCATTACTGACTTAATATTCTCTCAAGTGATTTGTGCTTTTCTTCAGTCTCTTTTCATATTTTTACACTGTCTCATGGTAATCATCTAGGTAAATGGTGCATCACTGTTCAATTTGTTTTAATTCATTTCTCTAGGTGTATGTATGTGACTATATAGTGCTTCAAAGATATTCATTTAATTAAAGATATCTGATGATTTGAATGATAATCTATAAATACAAGAGAGAAAGGAAAAATTTGAATAATGATCTGAAAGTTGTAGTTTTACATTAACTTTCCAAGAAGATTCCAGCAAAATCTCAGATTGATGACTTAATCTACTTATGTTACTGTTTCTCCTTGAAAAAATAATAAACTTTGAAAGTTTATTTTTTTCTTAGAAAAACAGTTTGAATATTAAAGGTGAAAGGTATTTTAAAAATCTGAGCAGCTTCTCTCTCAGAGATAATTCTCAGAAAGAATATGATACATCAGCACACTGGCTCACTGCACACTCAGTACACATGGCATTCAGGTCAGGACTGCAACACAGCAATGCTTCTATTTTCCCTTCCGCTTTGATTCCACAGCTTCTCACACCTTTCATAACAACTCCCCCATCAGAAAAAAACTGCTTTTTTCCTATTGCCAGATTTCTACTCCTGACCCAGATAAAGAAAGTTTATTTCCCCTAGTTGATGCAAAAAAATAAAAATAAAAAATATTTTTTTCTGCTAAAACTTTATTTTTCTTATATCTGTTTGCTGCCTTACCTGATAAAAGAAGTAGGTAAAATACAAGAAACCTGTCAGGATCTGGAAAGGGTGTTAGTTGAGTTGAGTACTACTTAATAATCCCAAAGAGCATCACTGAACAAGCACCCCCAAAATCTTTCCTGGCTGAGATGATGAAGAAAGCCCATTTATTAAAAATCTGCAACATATCACATTATACAGTACAAATCAACATAATGTGATATGATCTGACATCGAGTTTAAAAAGTGCCTTTTCTGCTTCTGCTCAGACCATATGTTCAAATTATTAAAAATATCCACAAATGCTTGTTTTTTCTTTTAACAAATCCAAACTTCTCTCAAATAAACTATCTTGTATTGTTGGGCAGAAAATGATTTTCTTCTTGTGGGCACTTTATTATCAATTACTTTACATGTACATACACATATACACAAAAAGAAAACTGTCAAAAAGTAAGGTGTTACTATATAGGGAAGAAATACAACGTATTTAAGTTTACTTGTGACAATAGATGCTCTTTCTGACCTACCTTATATTGGACTTTTGGTATGCAAATATGACTCATTGAATACCGAAATATGAGTGCCTATTCATTGTCACTTTCTTTTGACCTGAATTCTGTTTACCTAGCAATCTCCAAAAACCTGTTCACCCATGGGTAATAGAAGCTAAGCTTTCTTTAAAAAATTATTATTCCATGCAATTTGTGAGGAAACAGCCAAGTTGGCAAATTAAAAACAAAAAACAAAACTCTGGAACATCTTGACTGGGTTGATGACATGACAGCATTGTAGTATACTACCAGCTGGGAGTTGGCTGGGGTTCAGAAATGGACTCAAGACAGTGGAAGCAGAATGCAAGAGGAGGCAGCTCTTCACTAGTGTGACTGTTTTGTTAAAACCAGCAAGAAGACCATTTGCTACAACAGCTTTCTCTCACTCTGCCCTTAGCTGATTTCTTGTCGGCAACAGAAAAATGTGACATAAGGGGATAACGATAGCATGTGAAATGATACTGCACAATCTGCTCAATCTGCCATTGCAGTCTCCAGGCCTGTTTCTCACCTTGCTCTGGATCCCCCCTGAGCTGATGCAAGCATGGAATTCCTGTGGACTTCCAAGGGGGCTCTATGCTTATAATAGACTAAAGAATGGAAAGTAGAGCAGAGAGAGGGGCTAGACAGATGAGCAAGGTATTTGGTTCACTATCATTTCCCTAAAATAAAGACCAATGAAACATTAGATAAAACTAAAACAAAAAACAAAAAATACCTCACTTATGAAGGTTTTGAACGCTCACATTTGCCTTTTTAATGTCTCTGCACTTCTGGGTTTTTTCCTCTCTTTTTAAGTTGACCCAGAGAATGATGAAAAAGTAGGGAATGGCCATGCATGTAGTATTTTCATTTCAACCAGCAACATGATGCTTCCAAAATCTTGCAAGACAAATCTTTCCCCCACAGATTTGCAGCTCAAATTTGCAAACAACAGAATTTCCATGGTTTCAATAAAGTTCAAGTAAGCATCCTCCAAATTTCAGTATTTATCTGGACGAGTGTTAATGTTGCATTTTTAAAAATTCATCCAGCACTAACTACCTTAATATTTGGAGATAACAAATCCTGATCTGTAATCTTTCCTCAGGAAAAAAATCCAAGGTTCCCATAAGAAATAGCTTTTTATTAATATCCTTGAGAATCTTGAAACATTGGGTATTGTTATGTCAGCACATCTGTTTATCCTGCTTGGGCAGAGAAATTAACTATCTGGCAATACTGATACAGCAGGGGAATTTCTGAGGTCCTTCGATGAGAGGAAAGTATAAATGTAATGAAAATTTAAGGATTTTTTTTCTCTTATCCTTCCCTTTTCAGTTTATATTGCAGCATCTCTGGCCATTAGAAAAGTGAAGAAAATAGTGTAAATTTCTTAATAGCTAAATAAGGCCTGAAATAGACCTACAAATTTAAAAGCCTGTAATCCTCAGTATGAAGAGAAATTAACTACCTTCCAGCATTCCTATAGCAATGAAAACTCTTTATCTAGAAACAATAATAATAAAGATTGGAAAAGTAATAGCTAAGCATTCTTTTAAAAATTTACTTCAACTGATCTTTTATGCTTGGTCAGTCATGAGAAATAAAATGTTAAAAAAATCTTAAAGGCACATATATGAATGTATGTTTGGCATGCAATACCTCACTACATTTGTAAAATAATGTTAATTAGGGCTTAATAAGTTAAAATATGTAAGGTAAAATAAATTCTAATTGCCTTAGCTATTAAATAAAGGGCTGTCCTATATTTGAGTGTGAATTACTCCTTAGAAGAGCAGGCCTGGATATCTGTACAGAGTATCAATTCAGTCAAACTACACTCAGTTTTCTTCTCACAACTTAGGTCTTCTCCTTGGAAATGATTTTCCTGATGAAAATTCTATGCCTCAAGTGACCTCTTCTTTCTCAATACTCTATGAACTTTTATTCTTATTTTGATTCTGTTTCTCCTTTGCCATCTCTCCTCATGGCTAGACTTCAGAAATTTGGTTTTCATTTCTTATCATTTTAGGAATCAAAATAGATACTCAGAACAACAATAGTAAGAGTGGTAGGTAGCTATGATTTATTGATTACTTATTAAGTGTGGCACATTGTGCTTGATGTTCCACATATGTGGTCTCATTTAGTTCTCATACTAATCCCGTAAAGCAGGCATTATTGTTTCTATTTAAGAAATGAGTAAACTGAGGTTCAAAGGGTCTAAGTAAATTCAGCAATGTCATGGGGTTACTAAAGAGTAAAACCAGAATTGAAACCTTGGTCTCTCTGACTTCAACACTTAGACTCATCAACACTAAATTACACTCGTCCCCTTTTATTGACTTTTATCTCCATGGGGTCTTACAAAATGTCATTTATGTCTTCCCAGATCACAAATGAATGGAAAATACATTTTGGTTAGCCTAATCAGAAGCATGGTTTTAATATCTTGTACTATTGTACTTGGATAATATTGCTTATTATCCAGCCAGCCTTACTCTAACAGACATCATGTTTGTATCCTATGATAAGCTGCCACATTTGTGTGAGGAGCACAAACCTGATAGTAACAACTCCGATGTTAAAAAAAAAAAATCTTGTTTTTTAAAATCTTTATGTAATTCAACTTAATTTCTAACATGAGCTGCTATTATTGCATGATAAAAAATTCAATCTACTTAATTCTGAGTTCTCATAACCTAATCGAGTGATTTCTCAGTCTTTATAGTCTTTCTACCTAGTCTCATTAAGTGTTAAAATTCTATCTTCAATGACTCTTTCTCCCTGAAGAAATTCTGAGCAGATGCCGTTTCAGAAATTTGATTGAATATAGAAGTATTATCTTCATCTTCCTTTGTCTCACTTCTCTCCTGATCTTTCTATTTTTTTTTTCAATTTCTAAGTTATCAGGTCATTTGCAATGTAATAGAGAGATATCTGAAGAATCTGTGGGTCTAACTTTGGCTTTCACTTGGCTGACTATGCCATGGCCCATCCACTGGTATTGTAACTATGTCCTTACCCCATCTCCAGGAAGGAATGCACAAGGTGTATCCTAGGAAAGATTTCCTCCTAACCTTTACAAAGCCTCCATGATAACTTGCTGACACACTTTCACTATCAAGTACCTATAACAGTATCTTTCTTGAGAACAAAAGGAACTCTGAGAAAACCTCACAAAAGCTTGAAGTAACATTTGAGGCGTTTTAATATTCAAAGTGGAGTATGTTTCTCTCTTTAAGGGTGAATTGCATTTAATGACTATCTTTCAAAAATAAAGAAAAGGAAAAAAATAACTTTGTGTGAAAAAATATTTTAAACACCATCCTAACCAAGTGACCAATCAAGGCTAACCAGCAGTGATCAGTCATGTTGATATTATGTACCATAATGTGATGAGGAGGGTAACTAATCTCTATGGCATTCTCAAAACACATGTGAAAACATCAGACAAATTGAAATCAGGAACACTGTACACAATACCTAATTATCACTCTTCAAAACTGTCAATATTATTTAATAAAAGAAAAACTGAAAAACTATCATAGATCAAACTATCATAAATATCAATATTTTTTAATGAAAGAAAAACTGAGAAACTATCATAGATCAAAGGAGACTAAGGGGGTGATAAGGTTTGACTGTGTTCCCACCCAAATCTCATCTTGAATTGCAATTCCCATAATCCCCATAGGTGATGAAAGGGGCCTGGTGGGAGGTAATTTAATCATGGTGGCAGTTTCCCATGCTATTCTAGTGATAATGAATAAGTTCTCAAGAGATCTCATGGTTTTATAAGGGGCTTCCCCCTTCACTCAGCTCTCACTTTTCTCCTTCCTGCCACCATGTAAAGAAGGACATGTTTGTTTCCCCCTTCTGTCATGACTGTAAGTTTCCTAAGGCCTCCCCAGCCATGATGAACTATAAGTCAATTAAACTTCTTTCCTTTATAAATTACCCAGTCTCAGGTATGACTTTATTAATAGAAGTGTGAGAATAAACTAATACAGGTGGCAGGACAACTAAATTCAATGTAGTGTTGTGGACTGGATCCTGGAACAGAGAAAAAAATGCATGACGTGTATATAAAACGTATCTTAGTTAATAGCATAGTACCAATGTTAATGTCTCAATTTTGACAAATATCCTGTGATTTTGTAAGATGTTAACGTTAGGGAAAATTAGGTGAATATTTTCAATAATGAGATTTTTAAATAATGTCAATTTTTAGGCAAATTTGTTGCTGAAAACAAATAGTGCCAACTATAAAAATTTTTATAGCAGCATGCTTTGAAAACTTAGGATTCCATTTCTCTAATCTGATTATAAATCTTCTAAGCAAATTGCTGTGACTAGCTTTGGCCATATCTTACACAAAATATAAAAATGAAAATTCAGTACTTTTTAATGTGGAAGAAAAACTGATGAACATCAGGGAAGCTCAAAACCTGCTAGCCCATTTCAACAAAATATTTGCATTATTGGTGGGTGGGACTGAAATATGAGTTCAAAGATTTTTCATCTGCAGGCACCATACATTTCTTCTATTTGGACTTATTTAATTTTTACCACTTGATTTTTCCAATAATAACAGTTATTAAGCCAATAATCAGAATGTCTCAATAAACAGAACCATTTAGAACTGGACCTGCAAGTCATTCTAGTATGAAGTTTTAAGTGAAGATTTTCGTGATGGTGATGTGTATTTCATCACCCTGCAAGCACCCAACAATTTTAATAAAATATTTAAGTTTTTAGCACCACTAATAAATAGAACAGAATAACATTTCCTAAAAATGTTATTTATCTCATCCATTTTAATTTCATGTTGTTATATGCATTTTATAATACACAAAAATATTACTGTAATAATAAATGCCTACTTTATAAAGGTTTTTATAAGCATGTAACTATGCATCAAAAATATATTGGCTTTTATTTTAACTGTAAAGATTGTTTCTACAAAGAAAAAATTTGGAAACAACTGCCTCTTGATCTCCAACTTGGTCCTTTCTATGTTCTAAAAAGATTTCCAGAAGTTCCCTCTACTTTCCTTTTCAAACTTAAGCAGATTTCCAATAAGGACTAGAACATAAGTAGTAGTGAATGTTCCTTAACCTGCTTTTAATTCTTCTCTTCCTCTACTGTACTTCATCTTGTTTCTTGATAGGAGAGAAAGAAGACTGATTTCAGCCAGATTATGTACACCTTCAAACTTTTTTGTCTTACATCAACTCCTGAATTTACAGATAAAAATCAGAGGTTATTACCTGTCATATTAATATTTTCTGCATCTTTTCTGGAAAAATAGTAGTACTTTGTCTCTGTTTTAAATGAAGTGGCCATTGAAAATAACAAAATTCAACAATTAATGTGGATATTACTGTTTCAACTCATTTGTATGCACTTCACAAAGGAAATAACTGCTTTAAGATTATTTAAGGAGTAGGCTCTGACATGAGGCAAGTCTACCTTGGATAATTTACAAATACAAGAAATATGTTCCTGAATTTACAAGGATGCCTCAGCTAACCCCAGGGCACGAGGCCAAAAGGCAACCAGGCATCAGGTTATTGCAATCTGGAGAGGATGTGCTTTGATACAAAAGAAAATCTTCATGCAAACTGCACGTGCATATGTGGCACAGATTTTAAAGAATGAACCCTCAGGCCCTGAAAAAAAATTAATGAGTTCTGCCTCTCCTTTCTGTGACCTTTTAGTTAGGTTTTCAAGGGAATTTGTTTTCTTTGTTTTAGTCTGAGCTGTTCGGGAAAAAGTCACAGTGGGATAGTGAATCTGCAAAAGTGCTCTCATAGCACAGATTTTGCAGTCTACCATTGAGTTACCGTCTCTTGAGTAATTGAAGGTCCTGAACCAGGTAAATTCACATACCAGTCAAATATTGTCTTAAAAAAAAACCCAACCCAGAACTCCTCTTTCTAGGTGTTTTTCTCTTTGATGATATAATTATTCTGCCAAGAGCCTATTCAACTCATTATCACTCCTTTTCCATCCTTCTAACTCTGCTTTCATTAAAAGGTTAGATTAATTTACTTATCATGTCACAAGAGAGCAGAACATGGGGATAGGAACAGTGGACTTGAGGTCAAAAAATTCAGCCCAAAAATCAGGCCTTGACATTTACTATGAGATGTGTGCCTTAGTTTCTTATTCTATGGTATAGGGCTAAGAATGTTTTCCTTGATTCAAGTAGCAGTCATGTAGATTAGGTTCCAACATCGGTTCTACTCTGCCCCCTCACTCCACTCAGCAGCCAGTGAGTTTTGAGTGGGATGGACCCCTCCCCAGATCCAGAGTGGGTCCCTGCTTAATCCAAGTTTATCAGTTCACTTCATCTTATTTGCTATCAAGACTGGCTCCCAGATAGTCAGTAATTTAGGACTAAGTGAATAGGCCTGATTTTTCCCACAGCAGTTGGTCTAGGGGTGGACTTGGAAACTGAATCTGTCTAATCAGCATGAAAAGAGCATCTCTTTTCCTTAAATAATAAGTTGCATGGGTCTGAAGCTTGGTCACATTTAAGGGTTATTCAGAGATTTTAAACTAACCAGGGCAGTAGTAACAATATCTAACTGTCTCAAAATTATTTCCTTTCTTAGCACTCTATACCTGCAACAAAACCCTTTAAGCTACTAGGAATGATACTGTTAATCTAGTATAATGATCCAAACCTATTGCCTGTCATAGGCCTTACAATATATATAGGCAGGGGAAAGCTACAAATATACTTTTTCTATTTTTCTATTTCTTATCAAGTTGTTCTGCTTTAATTGACATTGATTGAACAAAATTCTCCAAATTTTTGAAGGATTCAGAAAATAAAAAAACATAATATGCATAAGAAATAGTGAAGGAAGAAAGAGAAAAGCAAAGTTAGCAGTATGAATTTGAGATAATAGTAAGGCTAGTTAAAACGTACTATATATTTATACACACATGTTATGGGTAGATTGCATGTTTCATTTTAAGCCAGGAAAGTAGTTTATTTTTTAATATATAAAATTTGAAGTCTTATTCTTTAGGGATGTCTGCATATGGAAGTGTCAATAAACATTCTTCACTGCATCTTCAAGAATATACACTTTATATGTACACTTTATGGTATGCTTTATGTGATACCAGCTTCTGTTCAAGAAAAAAAAACTGCAAGTATAAGATATTGGGAGACAATTCTCACGTTTCTACTCATCACTGATAGCCTTTGCACAGTAAGCAGCATTGGAAGATAGAAATAGTGTCTCTCATGGGGAAAAGGTGGCATATTTATACTATACAGTTTCATAAAGATAATGTCTCATTCTCGGATGAAAGTCAGGCAGGCTTAGTGCCCATTGTAAAAGATTTTTTTTTCTGTGCAGGAAATTCTTTTCCTATAATGGAACCCAATGTGTTCAACCATCACCTGGCCCTCTCTGCATTGTTCTGTGAGAACTGGGGTCTAGGGAACCAGCACAAATCCTGAAAGTCTGGCTTCTGCTATTGCTAGAAGTACTCAAGCCTTTTATTTCTCATCCAGGAGTCTTATATCTCCTACCAACAGGCATGAAACTGTAAAGTTAAATCTTAGGTTGCCTGTAGGGTATAATTTCAGACTCTTCACACCTTCTTTACATAGTAGCCTGTGTTCATTTTCTATTGCTATGTAACAAATTATCACAAAAGTAGTAGCTTAAAACAACACCCATGTACTAGCTTACCTTCTTTTGGTCTGAAGCTCAGGCGTTGTGTGGCTAGATTTCTTACAAAATGGCTCAAACCTCAAAATCAAGGTGTCGGCCAGAATTGGTTAATTTCTGGAGTCTGTAAGGGAAGAATGCTTTTCTAACACATCTACTTTTCGGTCAAATTCTATTTCTTGCAACTATAGAACCAAGGACTGATTTTCTTGCTGGGGCTACTCCAAGCTCCCACTGTCCACCCATATTTATTGCCACATGGCCCCATCCATCTTCAAAGCCAGAGGAGAGACTATACCTCAACTTGAATCCCTCTAACCCCTTGAATCTTTGACTTCCTCTGCCTTTGACCTCTAGATTCAGATTTCAAAGGCTTATATTTTTAGGTTACATTCACCCAGATAATCTCTCTATCTTGAGATCAACTGATTTAGAGCCTTGATTACATCTGACAAATATAACCACAAATTTCACCCACACTCAACAGGAGATTGTACAAGGGTAAATGTCAAGGTGGGTCACTTCAGAATTCATCCTAGCACAGTCTTATTGTTTGTCATCTCTGACCTAAATTTTTAATCAAACAGTGAAAACTGCGTAGTAAAATCAGTTCCTAAAATAACACTATTCTGAGATAAAAATAAGCCAATTAATTAGAGCAATAATGTAATAATACTATAAATAGAGATTTGATTATCATTTCATAAAAGGAATGCTGTGTACTATAATGAATAACATTCTCAACAACATTCTTATCTTGGACACCACTATAAGGTCTATAGGTATGTTTCTTGAACATATTTCAACATAAACTGATGGAAAGTCCAAAACACAATTCAGCAAAAGGAATTCTATAAAGTCTTCTTTTCAAAACTCAACATGCACAATGTTTTGCCAGATAACCTTAACATATATACATTTAGATAGATATTAAAATAACTGTAGCAGGTTAATAAGGTAAAATGATGTCAAGGACCAGAAAAACAGCATAATGGTGAAGACAATAGGAAGTGGTGGCAACTGAGGCTAACTAGAAAGAACATATCTTGCCTAATGACATTCAATGCATCATTTTAAAGACAGTGTACCTGACAAACAAAACACATCCTCAGACTGCCATGAAGCAGTTCTTATGTGTGACCTTTAATATATCTTCATGTCATTCAAGCAATCTCTTATATTGTCACTTTACTTGAACTTCAGATTACACTTGTCAGTGAGTTCAAGATTATAATGCCTTGAAAAGCATACAAAGGTGGTTACCAAGTAAAAGTCAGATAGGAATTAAATAATAAAGATTATTCTTAGTTTTTATTTTTTGATGTATCTGTAATATTTCTGTTCAAAATCTGTTAATTATTATACTGATGTTTTGAATTAAAAATGTTAACTGCTAACAAAATCATCCTTTTGTGAATCTGTTTATGTAAGACTAAAATAATTCTTTGCTTCTAAGTAAATTGGTTTAACACTCATTAAGATTTCACATTTAAATTTAATTTATAAATAGCAATGTATCAGAGTTCTAAGCTTGTGCTGAGTAGAGGCATGAGAAATAGAGAGCCTATTGATTTAATTATAATAAATATCACTTAGATGTCAATGAAACACAAATGTATATGTTGGACGACTGCTTGCTTGAAATCTCCTCTGAAAATTTTACAACCATCTCAAACTTAATAAGGATATCTAGAATATTATACCCTGACACTTGACATCATGTCTTTTCTAATTCAATCAAAAGCATCCCACCTACCAGTGAAAATTTAGTAGTTATTGATAATTTCTCTCCTTTTATCTCAGTATAAAGTATGTTCTGTTGATTCTCCCTCCAAAATATAGCTCAACTAAACACACATCATTCTATCTAATACTACCATCCTTGTTCAGGTCATAATTATCTCGCTCTTCGGAGAGTACGAATTCATCTTAATTGTTCTCCTATTCCATTCTTGAGTTCTTCCTCCCATTCTCCAAATCCAACAAAAGCTATCTTTCTCAATACTAATCAGATACTGACATGACCTTACTTAGAACTCCTTAACAGCTTCTTTATCACCCCAAACATACTTCTATCTCAGGGCCTTTCTATCTGGTGTTTACTCTGCCTGGGACATCTTTTCCCAGAGTTCCTCTTGGCTTTCCACCTCATTTCTGTCAGGTTATATTCATGGCCTCTTCTTAGTGAGACTTTCTGCAACATCCCATCCAAAGGAATGAACTCCTCTATGCCTCCTTGTTTCTGGCTTGCCTTGTCACTTCTCTTTATGTCACATACTATACCTTTTACTTATTTACTTTCTTTGCTGCTTGTCTCCTCTTCCAAGTATAAGCTCAATGATGATGAAGGTTTTATCTGTTTTTCTTCCTACTGTAATGTTCTTTTCCCATTCTCAATATGGTAGTTCCTGCTCATTCTTTAATATACAGCTTAAGTGTAATATATCCTGGGAGAGGTCTTTTCTGACCACTCCGTCTAAAGTCAGTTCACTTTAATGTACTATCTATCTCAGCCATTTTAAAGACCATAATAGCATCACTTAAAATCATTTACTTGGCTTTATGCCCCCAGCAATTAGCTCAATATTTTTCAGATGACTTTTTGAACAAATGAATGAAGGAATGAATCAAGTATAGAATATAAATCATGACTAAATGAAGATAAGCCTAGGAAAAAAATTTTACATATAAAGAATTTTGATGAAATATATAGATTTTCAAATCCATTTATTGATTCAATTTTCCTAGTAGTATCAAACTGTTTCTTTTAACAATCAACCTTACACACAAGGATTATGTATTACAATACTTGAAACAAGTCTCGGAATGAAATTATCATTCGAATTCTTATTACGTATGCAGCCATGGACAAGTCACTGAACATTAATTTTTTTATTGATACAGTTAGGATAATTATACCTTCATTATAAGTTTAAATGTGGTAAATTCAATTAATGGTTTTGTTTTTGTTGTTAATAGTATAAAAGGAAAGTGCTCATAGAAGTTGGTGAAAGCCCTGAATAAGAAATAAAGTACATGCTCACACTGCACTAAGCACCCTGGAGGTAGATAAGTTACAAAGATTAGGATTTGCATAATTGGTGTAACTCATAGTTTGCATTAACCTTATGAAGGGCAGCTATTTTTCATAGGTGTTGAGAGTAATGTTAAAGAATACCAAAACCTAAGCCCTAGCAATCATGAAAGTTAGCATGGATTATTAAGCTAATTAAAACACTGGGACTCTGGAGACCTGAATTTTAATACACATTTTGCCACTAACTTATAATGTAACCCTAGGCAAGAGAGCAAGTCTCTTTATTCTTTGCTTTCTTCATCTGTGAAGTGAACATTACCTTCCAGAGGTGGTTGTACTGCATAGCAATGAACTGATGTGAAGTACACTGTAAGAATGGCATCCTTATGATAATTGCAAAGAGTAAAATTTAAAGCATGTAACATGGTTAAAATAAATCTACAGATAGACAGATTACATCTTATCTCTTCAAAACGTTTACTATTAACAGAGGGAACAAGATCATTTTGGTTTTTGCTATTTAGTTTATTCCACCCCCATACTCCCCACCATACCCCTTCAGGAAGCTTCCAAAAGGAAGTGATTAAACTGTTGAGAATATTTAAACTAACTAAAGACTAGAAACAATGTATGGCCAGCAAATGTTAATTAATATAATGTCTTCGCCAAATTTATCTTAAAATGCAAGGTACACAGACTTACTTCCACCAGAGCATTCATAATTTTTGCTCTTTAATTAAAGCTCTGATGCCTGTTGCCATTGCTTCTCTTGACTGAGCCCCCCAAAAGCATAATTGGGAAGAAAGATCATGGTACTGGATGATGAATGAGTGTAGCATTCCCTGTACTAAGTTCTGTACTGGAATATAAAATGAATGGATGTCATCAAAGTCTAAATTATGGGCTTGAATTTAAGATAAATTAGCCTACCTGTAGCACATTACAATTTTCCATACAAAATTAATTTATTTTACCTGCTGAATGACTGTACATTTATTAATTTGTGCAGGTCACACATTTTATTATTAAGGAGACCCTTTCTGAATGATAGTAAGGTGATTTTTGATTGTGATTCTTGGCTGGTTTGTTATATACTAACTTCAAATTTCTTTATCTGAGAACTTGTAAATTTGCTGTCAACGTGAGGAAATAACAGGAATTCAGAAAGTTCTCTTTTATGTAAAATATTGCTCATGTTTAGAGAAAAAACTTTTTTTCATTGAAACACATTTAACAAAAATATGCTGTTCTTTTTTATAGAATCATCTAAGGTAATGTATAGGAAGCCCGAATTATGCGAGGAAATCTAAATTCAATATTCATGACTCCAAAATGATGCATATCTCTTATGCGAAATACATTTTCTTTCCCGTTTATTCACACTTACATAGGGATTTTGTAATGTGGCTACAGGTTAATATCTGGGCATATCTTTTTTTATATATTACTAGTATACACATGGTTTTCCTTTTAAGCCATATGAATAGAGAAAATGAAAATAGAAAAATAAAACCTTATAGAACATTACATATGAATATTTGTAGCCACAAACTGCTTGTGATCTCCACTACACCAAATTGCTGTAAAAAGAAAATTAAGATGGATGTTTACTTCAATGAGAGAAACTTCCAGACATTTAAAAAAAATCAAAAAGTAGTAGTTGATCAGGTATTTTATTCAAACAAATGTTAATTCTGTACTTCAACCATGAATACCAATCCAGTAAGCAGTAAATGATCATAAATGAATCACGCCTATTTTGAAGTAAACTGTGACATTGCTAATATTTTCAAACACTTTCTAAAGTCTTGATATAAACCAAGTGTTTTGAATAGTTCCTGTGCTTCTTAAGAAAAGACAACCTCAAGTATATGCCCCTAATTTTTTGTTTTGTTTTGTTTTTTACAATTCTAGCAGAGCTCTTAAGACTATTAGGAATTCTGGAGTGAAGCATGAATACATTAAACCCATTATTAAGGTATTGCAAAAATTGTTGGTTTCATTTACTCTTTCAATAAACTAATCCATAAGTTGATAGCGACTTTATCTGACCTTCATGCAAGTGTTGCACTCTGAGTGTGGAATGTGAGATGACTGTCTGTAAATGTTTTGTTTGAAAATATAGTCCAATAACATTGATTTACGGTGATGTCTAGTCACAAAACCCTTATGAATACAACATTCAAAACGAATAGGACAGTGACAGTACATCATTCTGGGAAAGAGGAACATCTCGGCAATATGAATCATAGACATAGATAACTGGTGTCATTTAAACCACATTAATATTAAGGAATGTAGTTTACATTTTAGAATTACTCAGTATGCAAATACGCATTTCAACTTTATAGTGCATATCTAGTCAACATGGAAAGCTATATGTCAAAGATTTTAAACATAATGAAAATTATCAATGACTTTTATTTCTGTATAACTGATGATCAGCAATAATATTCTTTGGATGAACAATAATACTTAAAATTATAATATTAATATAATTAGCAAGAAATTTTAAAGACATCAGCTTTTAAAGCTAGAGATTTATTATTTTACATGATGGAAACAGTATATTGGCCACATTCAAGACGGGTTTTCACTGAGATTTATAATTTCTGACATATTTCTCAAAGGAATGTGAAATATATGTGTAAAGAGGTACTTACACTTAAGTACATCATGTGTACTTATCATGTGTAAGACAGTAAATACAGTTAGAAATTTTGCCGTTAAAATCCTCTAGCTTACAATTTTTTGGTTCCTCTGGAGAATAAAAAAGAATCTCGATAATTGATGAATAGCTCTCTACAATATGCCCCAAGAGTGGACAGGAAGAATACAATTACTGATGTTACACAGGTATTAGGAGGCAGTTTAAAGCAGCTTGTTAGTTGAATTGAACAATAGGGAAACTTACAGTTCAACAGCTTTGCTAGCAGGTGTTCCTGTTGCCGTGGTAAAGTGCTACATGTTTTACTCAATAATGGTGATAATACAATTGAGTTATCCCAAAACTCTTTGTAAAAACTCAAGTAATAAAAGCACATTATGGTTTCTTTATACCTCTAGTGTTGCTTTAACCTATATGCCCCCAAATGCATCTGCTTTTGAAAATGTCTTATTTAGGCCAGAGGAAAAATGGTAATTTTGAAAATGGAATTTAATTTTCTGTTATATTTTTCATTAGAGCCATCATCTGTAAGTTTATTTATTTTTTCTTAGCTTTGCAACAGGTCATTAACAATGTAAAAAGCCTATAAATAAATATATTTTCACCTACATTTACAGTGACTAAGTATAATAAAAAGACACACCGCATTTCCTTATCAGGCTTTCTGATAATACAGGAGATCCTCTGGTCATACACTTTAAACCTTAGAGCATTTATATATTCAAAAAAGCTTAGCCTCAGGGCAAGTCAAAGCAGCTCATTACATGAAAAAAAAATGACATTAGTTATTAAGCATAGTTATTTTAGTTTGACCATAGAAGAGCTTTTGTTTGTCGTTTGTTTTCAATTACATTTGATTTTGCATGTAGGATATATAATAAAAAAGGAAAAGTATAAATGCATATATTTAAGGAAGAGAATTTAAAATAAAAAAAGAATTAGACCAACACTATCAACAGCTGTGGTTCTGTCACTGATGTCTTACAGAGTTTTACTTTAGACTTAGGTACATGATTAGGCTTCCAACCTAAGCTGCTCTTTTATTAGATCTTCTGTCTGTCTACCATCTCAGTGGTCAGTCGTTCATTCAAAATTGATTCATTTTCCAATGAGGTATCATGCCAGGTACAGAAGCTACACAAATAAAGAGACAGGACCTGACCTCCAGGGGCTAGGTGTCCAACAGAAGATTCAGACATGTAAGCCAAAAATTACAGGCAAGTGCTGTGAAAGAACTATGAACAAGGTGGTAGCAGAGCAGAGTGAGGGAAGACAAAAATACTGCCTGGAGGTGTCAGGCGGTAGCCTAAGGATTGCACTTGCATAAGATTGGTAAATACTGATTTCCTTAGGGAGTGAGGCCATGCACACCCGAGTTTGAAGGACAGCATTTACTTAAATCATTATTCAGAATTCAGCATACTCAGTGATACCTGTTTTCTACTCCAAATGTATAGTTGCTGTTGTGATATCTTTTCAACTCTCATTTCATGAATATATTGACTGACTTGAGGTCAAGTCTCTGAAAACATGCATTGAATAATGAAGCCTTATAAGGCTTATAAACAAAAATAAAATTATTTATAACAATTTGTTAGAAAAGTTTTTGGCAATTATTTCCATAATCGATGGATATTTTCATATAAATAGGTTGCAAATGGTATACTAAAACATGGAATTAAAAATGATTCCACTATAAATTTAGCCATTGTATATTTAAACTTAATTCATTTTTATTGCTTGATCTGGACTCAAACTAGAATCACTTCTGTCAGCAGCTATGGGGGAAAGATAAAATTTAAAGGCCGGGCGCGGTGGCTCACGCCTGTAATCCCAGCACTTTGGGAGGCAGAGGCGGGCGGATCACGAGGTCAGGAGATCGAGACCATCCTGGCTAACACGGTGAAACCCCGTCTCTACTAAAAATACAAAAAATTAGCCAGGCGTGGTGGCGGGCGCCTGTAGTCCCAGCTACCCCGGATGCTGAGGCAGGAGAATGGCGTGAACCCGGGAGGTGGAGCTTGCAGTGAGCCGAGATCGTGCCACTGCACTCCAGCCTGGGCGAAAGAGCAAGACTCCGTCTCAAAAAAAAAAAAAAAAAAGAAAAAGAAAAAATTTAAAATATTCTGATAAAATATTTGTTATACAGTATGCAGTGATAAAAATGAGGAAAGTTGAAGACAATCAATTCTCAAAAAATGGTAACAAAATTTTTAAAGTCATTATTAATCGAACAGTTAATATTTAAAAAGCAATGAGCTGCCATTTTGTTCTTGTAATTATAATTTAGTGAGTAAGGGCCAGTGAAACTGACATTGCATTATCCTGCCCCTGCTAGTGTAGTTACACAGTACTTTGGGAATACTTTTTAGAATCTAAAATTATTCGTATTTTTGATCCAGCAATGCAACTTGTTAGACTTTATACAACAAAGCACACTAATTTTAAAAAACTAGATAATCTATATACTATAAAAATTATGCATTATTGACAAATGCAAAAAAAGAAAAAATAAAACACCAACATTGACTGAATTTTACTACTAGTACTACTATTACTATGATTACTAATACAACCACTGCTAAAATCTACTGTGCTTTTATCATGTGTAAGACTCTCTAATTGTTTTACATGGATATCATTTAATGAAAACAAAATCCCACTGTGTTCGTTATTTTATTATTCTGATCTTATAGATGAGAAAACTGAGGTTCAGGGAGGTAAAATTATTCATTCAATATAATAAACTAGTAGTGGAGCAACCAATATACAAATCCAACTATCTGTGACTAGAGGTTGCACATGAAAACCAAATTCCATAATACACAGTAATATTTAATACTCATAGGGGTGTCATTTTTCAACATTACATATTACAACACCAAGCTTTAAAGAGATTCAGGCCAGGTGCAGTGGCTTACGCCTCTAAACCGAGCACTTTGGGAGGCCGAGGCAGGTGGATCACTTGAGGTCAGGAGTTCAAGACCAGCCTGGCCAACATGGTGAAACCCCCTTTCTACAAAAATACAAAAATTAGCCAGGCATAATGTCGGTGCCCGTAATCCCAGCTACTGAAGAGGCTGAGGTGGGAGAATAGCTTGAACTGAGGAGGTGGAGGTTACAGTGAGCTGAGATTGTTCCATTATACTCCAGCCTGGGCGACACAGCGAGACCCTGTCTTAAAAAATAATAATAATAATAAGAGCTGCAAATTCCAGAGTCACAAAGTGGGTTAAAAGAAGTCCGATGTCTTATGATTCTAGAGTTAGACTATTAATCCTTGAGCTATGCTGCATTTTAAGACAAGATTGCAGAACTTGGGGTTTCCAGATACTCTAATTTCATAAATTCTGGGGCCAGAATCTGCTTTGATTAAATGAGATCAGATGTGATCAGGTATATTCATGGTGATTTGAAATAATCAATAATTTATAAAATTACTGTGTAAATAATTATTAAATCTATTCACTCACTTGATCTTATAATTATGCCACAATGCAGCATAGGCAACCCTATGGTGTAATGACAAGTGAAAAGTGTAAGAGGAAAAAAAGGTACATATATTGTGATTATTAATATATTAAAAATGTGAAAAAGACTGGGCAGAAAAAGTAACCAAAATTTTTACTATAATGGTAGGATTATGGGTGATTTTTTTCATTTTTAATTTTCTCTGACTTGATAAAATTTTGAAACTTAAAAAACTTAAAGGAATAAAATTAAAGTATAGCAAATAATTTAAATATCAGATATTAAAAGCTGATCTTTTCCTGCCTACAATATGTAATGCATTTGTTTATGTTAAGGTTTCCTACTCTTTTTATAGCATAGGTAGAAGTAAGACCAATTTTTCAGCTTCAGGTTTCCAAAATCTTACATATTTTATTTTACATTTCTCTCACTAATATGTTTAGAAAAATATACGATTGATAGTGTTATTGTAAGGGTTTTTTTTAAAACACTGTCCAACCTATAAATAATTTTATAATCTTTCTAAGAGTTAATATATTAATAAACACATATATATGTATTTATATGTGTATTTATACATATGATCAGAGGCATAAATGAAAAAACGTATCCATACTTAAAATAACCTAAACCATCCTTCAATGTTTTTCCAAGTATTTTGTTTAATATAATTAACTGATTGTGTGGGGCACATAAACCTGCATATTGTCAACTACTCAGTTATGATTTATATATTTGATATGGAAGTGAAATCCCCTGAACAAAAACAGAAACTTCATGGAATCAACACAGGAAACTAATGGAAATGCATATATATTGTGAATAAGGTACTAGAATGTACAATACTGTGGTCACAAGTAAACCATTCAGTAAAGAAATAAAAACTAGCAAAGAATAAGATTAAGAATAATCTTAGGCTTCTAGTATTAGTCTTTTGTTTCCATATTGCTTATCAACAGTGTATTTATGAATTTAAATTATGCTTATGTTTCATTATATGTGATCAGAAGCCATTTAAATCTTGTTCTCACATCTCTTATAAATCTCCACTGCCAAAATATTCCTGACAAATCAACCTATTGAAAAACCACTATGTCCTTCATGTATTTACCACATTTACCCTTTGAAAATAAAAACAAAAATTGGTAAGGATTATGACATTTCCTTCACCAATATTCATTCTAAAAGAGGCATCCTAAATATAATACATTCCATTATATATATTATAGTATAGTATATTTTATGTATATCATATCATATTATATAAATTATCACATTATTCACTTACAAATCCCCGTAATGAATCTCCTATTCTTTCCACATTTTAGAAGGTAACATGCCATCTTGAGTTTTATGTGTTTTCATACTTTTGAAATTAGCTCTTTCATTGTTTACATACACGGATAACCTATATTAAGCACCCCTGGAAGAGTGTATGGTTTATTGAGGACAAATCTACTCTATACTGCTATGCAACATTCATTCACAGTTTTTAACAAAGACAGGGAAACTATACCATCAAGCCTCTTACTTTATATATTTAAGTAATTATAAATGTTTACTGATGTACATAATGGTATCCAACTTTGGAAGCCTGTAAGCGTGTGTGTGTGTGTTTGTGTGCATATAGACATGTGCTTGCATATCTGTATTGTAGCTAGATATCCAAAAATATTTACACAGCAGTATAATTACATATCAAATTAAGAACCATTGTTACACATTAAACACATTTACATATTATAATATATGTAGCATATTATGTAACACATTACATATTATAACATATTAATAGACTTGGCACAAATGTCAATAGTAAATTTGAATTAGGTTCCCTCTTTGAGGATCACTTTTGTAACCTGTAAAGTTGGAATGAGTATCATAAATACTCATTGTTGTTTGATATTTGTGGTAAAATAGTTTCCATTATCTACATAATTAGCATATTAAAACATAAGTAAAAATACTTTAAAAACTTAAAAACCGTTGATCGTAGAAAAGATGCAGATATATCTGTGCTCTATCAATACAGGTAAGCATTTCTGAGGATGTTCAAAGTTAGACTAAGTTTTTTGTTATTTTGTTTGCTTCTTTCACATTTCCATTTGGGAATCTATTCCATTTGGCCTCCTCTATGGAGAAATGGCGAAATGGTTTGTTTCAGTAATAAGGAAAGGGTCTTGGGAGAGTTTAGAAGGTCACAACTTCTTGATCTCTGACAAACAGTGATTAGTAAAAGTGAATTTTCAAACTCCATTACCTTGGGAACAATTAGGCAAATAAATCCAGGGGCTGAGGGGAAAAGATAACATGAAAATTAATCTATCTATTCTCCTATTTTCTTTGCTTTGTGTCTAATTTGTACAGTTTGGCACTGTGTGGTTTCAGAGATAGGTTTTGACTCTGGATAAATGTAATCTCAAAGGATTTATGAAATATAAACAATCATACTTTCAGAAAATCTATTTTTCCAGAGTATTTGATCAATATGATGATGTGTAAATACAGACACTGAGTGGAGAATTAAAGTGATTATACAGACCATCTAAAGGGCATAGGGAACTACAGCAGGATTTGGGACCTAGACGTCTGAATTACTCAATTTGACTGTTACGGTGTTCAAATTTTCCCGTTAAAGTCCAAAAGCTACATTCAACATTGAGTATACAGATACCACCAAACTAGCACTTCAGGTTTTTTAATTTTTTTTTTTTGTAAAAGGGAAGACAGATTACTGAATTTTAGTGCCATTTTTGTAGAAGTGTAAGACCAATGCTACTTGGAAATTGTCTACAATAAAAAATTAAGGCCATATTTATAGTTTTACAATAAGTGAACGTTAAAAGGTAAAAGGAATACTGAAGAAAATATAGGAAAACACTCTAAGTCTCTAAGACAAATAATTTTGTAGTTAATTAGCTTTCAGTACTGCCTGTTCATAAATACAATTTTCATTATACAATCATACAGTACATTTTGTTTCATGCTCCACATTTTTAAATTATGTTAAAACAAGTTACCATGGTTTTATTATCTTGATAGTGATTTTAATGCTCTAAAATGTTCTGTCCTATACATTTTAAAAGTATATCAAACATGAAAAACTGAAAACCAAATCTGATATTTTTATAGCATATTGACAAATCAACATGAATACACCAACAAGGCTCTTACTTTATATATTTAAACAATTCACAAATATTTATTGATATGCTCAATGATATCAAACTTTAGAAGACTGTAGTATATGTGTGTGTGTGTGAGTGTATGAAAACATATACTTACTATATTGTAGATGAATACACACAAAAAATGTACACAGGAATATAACTGAATATCAAATTAAGAATCAGTAGTACAACACATTAAGCTCTCATATTCTACTAATGGAGTTGGCACAAATGTCAATACTGAATTACACATTACGTTATCCCTTTGAGCCTCAGTTTTATAATCTGTAAATTGGAATGAAAACAACAAACTCACAGGATAAACCAAAATAATATTATAATATGATTCAATATATCCTACATAAATATCAATTGAATCCAGATTTTGATGGTTACTGATAGGCAAAAGTAGGCACTATATTACCAGGTTAATTGTTGCATTAAAATGGATTATAGTGTTCCAGCTTGGATTATGGCAAAACCCTGTCTGTATAAAAAATACAAAAATTAGCGGGGTGTAGTTGCATGTGCCTGTAGTCCCAGCTACTTGCAGGGGCTGAGCAGGGAGGATCGCTTGAGTCTGGGAAAGTCAAGGCTGAGGTGAGCTGTATTTGTGGGTGAAACCCTGTCTCAAAAAAAAAAAAAGATTATAGTGTTAATCTACTAGTTTCAAATGTTTGCAATCATCTACAAATAATTAATATCAAATTGTTCTACATCTTGGATTAAACCCAACTGTAAATGAAAGGATTGCCAATGATAGTGACAGTGTTGATATTTGAATGACATATTTAAAAATAAGAGAAACACCTTTTGAATTTTTTGTCTTCTTTGTAGTTAAGATGCCATCAACAGCAAATAATAGGACATTGACTCAAACTTACTTGAGTCCTAAGGAATTTTTTAAATCATTTCACATAATGAGCAGGAAAAAGGGAGGAAGTTTTCTTGATTGGTTAGTTTAGTTGCTCAGAGGCATTATCAGGGTTCCAGATTCTTCCAATTTTTTCAATCTGATATTTTTAGCTTGGAAGCATGATCCTCAGGACAGCTCTTTGCAACATTGCAGAATAACTATCACATTTCCAATTATCATGTCCAAACATGGCAACCGCCAATAAAATATAAGGCCATCTCTCATTCACAGAGAAAGAATTGGTTATGTGCCTCTCGGTTTGTGAGAATACTGTAGATAATGGATCTAATTAGATTTCACCATATATAACAGATTTAATTTGATCTTGGACTAATTCGTCATACTTTTGTCTTGTGCCCAATCCTAAATCAATATTTAAAAAAAAAAGAAGCAAGATGCCTATGACTAGCTTAGTAAAATTGAAGCTCCATTTAAAAGAAAGTGTGGGAGTTAATGAATTTTTGTATGAACAACCTAGACTGCTTCATCCAACCTGAAAGCACTATTTAAAACTGATTCACTCATTGATTCACTCATAAATATAGACAATCCCAAAGAACAATAGAAACAAACATTAATGGCTAATGTAGTAGGCCAAAGGTAACCCTACACTAAAGAATTCAAATGAAAGAACAAACAAAAACCCCAAAACATTTTCATGTACATTAAATGATAGAGTATCATGATTAAATTAATTAATTAGAAGACCTGAGTTGGAGTATTTGCTGATTTCCTGGGTGTAAATATTCCTTCCATGGTCCACTTCAAGCTACCAACATGTAGTCAAGTGCCTAGTGAGCTGACTTCAGGACTCCACTGCCTCCATTAATGGGTTGCCCAACCGCCACCCTTGTCTGCCTATCGTGTACTTCCAACACAACTACCAGAATAGTGTTTTTAAAACTTGTCCTGTCATTCACTCCAGAGATCAAGGTGTTCCACTGGCTCTCCGTATTATCAGAGTCCAGAATCCTTATAATTGTCTACAAAGTTCTACCTCAATTTGCCGCTGTTCCTTTTCTGACTATATCTCCCCTGTGCTCCTTCCATTTTAGCTACATGGTCTCCTTGCTATCCCTAATTACTCCAGGTTTGCTTGTTGCTTAGGACCTCTGCCTGAATTTAGCGAATGCCTTCACTTTCTTTATTTAAATGATGTCTTTCTATGAAGTGCAATTAATCTGAGGTCCTATTGATAATTTATTTGAACTTGAAACTTTTCCCCTGTCTGTTCTCCTCCTCTGAGCCTCATGCCATGTACCACCTTCTCACTTACTGTAAAATTTACCCATTTGTTATGTTTATGCTTTATTATTTGTCTCACTTGGCTATAATTTGAGCTTTAGAACAGTTCTTTTTTTATTATTATTTTCTGATATATCCCAAGTTCATAGAGCATTGTCTAGAATCTGGTAGGCACTTAATAAATATCTGTTCATTGAATGAGCAATAATTTCTAATACCCAAATAATGTTTAGAGAGTATGCATCCTTTTCTTGAAAACTGTTGTTCTTTCCAGTGGTCTTTTTAATATAAGTGCAATGCTTTTCTCAATGTGTGTCCTAGAAACAATTTGGTTCTCTAAATCACATGTTCAAATGATCAACTATATCTATTTTAGATTTGAAATTAAATAAGTAAACAAGTGCTACGATTTGCTGCTTATATGCCAACTATGAAATTGCTGTTTTGAAACAAGTACGTGACCTGCTTACCCTTCTTGTATACATGACAAAATTCAAAATTCAGGATTTGTTTTTTGGTATCTTACCGTTATAATCACAGATGAACTATGAATATTTCCTTCTCTCAAGATATATAGTAAAATAATGGGAAATCAACATATAATATGCTTTGAATCTCAAAAAAATTATTTTAAATAGAATAGTTTCTACCTTTAGAGTGTATTACAAACTTAAAATAGTGTCTTTCAAAAAACAATGACCAAATTCTGTTGGTACCTTTGTTATTTAATTTTATGCTATACAAAAGCTGCTTGATTCATATATATCATGCATACTATTAATAAAAGCAAGAAGAAAACATTTTCCAGATTTAAAAGTAATGTTTCAGTATTTTTTCCTCTTAAATTCAGGTTTTAGGAAGGCAAAATTAAAAACAATATCTCACATATTTGTATGCCAGTGTAACAATCTTAGAGAATGGGGAAAATTGGTGGTATATTCACAGAGAAAGAATTGGTTATGAACAGAAACCATTAATGAAACTTGATGATATTTGTTCTTATTCTTAAAATTTATTTTTGAATCCTTCTATTATTTATCCTTGCCTGAATATGTTGATTTACTCTAGAGGCAACTGAATTAATTATCTGGTTGAGCAGAAAGAAAATTGCATTATTCTCTATGTTTCATGGTGGATCCATCATAGTCATTTTTTTTTTTGAACTGCAGGCATTCAAAGTTATTCAAAATGTATTTCCCATCAACTTGACTCCAAGACAATTTTAGTTTTTTTTCTAAAAAGTTAAACACATTTCCTTTCTTTTAGCTTGATTGAAAGATATGAATGTAGAAATGAATATGGGATATAATTATTCGTTTGCCTAGGAATATACAACTCAATATTGAAGAAAAAATACATTGGAGCACAGATACTACCATACGTCAAAACTTACCACAGAGCTACAGTAATCAAGGTAGTGTGGTATTGGTGAAAGAATAAACAACAACAACAACAAAAATAAATGGAACAGAATAGATAGCCCAGAAAAAGACCCACATGAATATATTCAACTGACCTAAGAACAAAGATACTCTTTTTACCAAATAGCATGGGAACAACTGGACATCTATATATATATATATATATATATATATATATATATATATATATATGTATATATATATGTGTGTGTATATATATATATATGTGTGTGTATATATATATGTATGTGTGTGTATATATATGTATATATGTGTATATATACACATATATATGTGTATATATGTGTATATATACACATATATATGTGTATATATGTGTATATATACACATATATATGTGTATATATGTGTATATATGTATATATATGTGTATATATGTAAATATATGTGTATATATATGTGTATATATATATACACACACACACACACACACACACACATACATATATATATTTACATACATAAAACCACTCACTGGATAAAGTTTTTGAAACACATATGAATGAAGGAGATTTACTATCTTAAGTAAGTAAATGTTCTGCAAATCAATAGGTAAATGACAACTCAGAACAAAAATCTGCAAAAAACATGAAGCTGAAAGGCACCTAATATGCAACAGAAATGGCTAACAAGCTATTCAATTCAAGCTCAACCTCATAGACAATAATGAAAACATAAAATCAAACCACAATGTGACATAGTAGACTACGTCACTCAGATTGTCCAAAGTTTAAGTCTAAAATTACCAACCACTGTCAGGTATGAGTTACAATGGCACTTATTTCATTGTTGGTGGATATCTAAATTGGTAGAACTGATTCGAAGAATAATTCAATAGTGTCTATTGCAAATGTTCATGTGTCTACCACCATAAACAACAATTACTTTTGTAGCTTATGCACAAAATAAAATATGCCCACATCAATAAAAAAGACATTTGTGGCCAGGCGCGGTGGCTCATGCCTGTAATCTCAGCACTTTGGGAGGCCTAGGCGGGCAGATAATGAGGTCAGGAAATCGAGACCCTCCTGGCTAACACGGTGAAACCCCGTCTCTACTAAAAATACAGAAAAAAAAATAAAAATTAGCCGGATGGCGGGTGCCTGTAGTCCCAGCTACTCGGGAGGCTGAGGCAGGAGAATGTCGTGAAAATGGGAGGCGGAGCCTGCAGTGAGCCGAGGTCGCGCCACTGCACTCCAGCCTGGGAGACACCGGGAGACTCCGTCTCAAAAAAAAAAAAAAAAAAAAAAAAAAAAAAGACATTTGTAATTATGATTATAGCAGTATGATTTATAATGATGAAAAAAAGTGGGAAACTGCCTAAATGTCAACACAAAGAGAATGTATAGATAAATTATATATGTATATGAAATATATGAAATGATTTCTCTATACATTCTCTGTATATATACACACACATATATACATTCTATGTATGTATACACACACATATATACATTCTATGTATGTATACACACACATATACATTCTATGTATGTATACACACACATATACATTCTATGTATGTATACACACACATATACATTCTATGTATGTATACACACACACATACATTCTATGTATACATACACACACACATACATTCTATGTATACATACACACACACATATACATTCTATGTATACATACACACACACATATACATTCTATGTATACATACACACACACATATACATTCTATGTATACATACACACACACATATACATTCTATGTATACATACACACACATATATACATTCTATGTATACATACACACACATATACATTCTATGTATATATACACACACACATACACATTCTATGTATATATACACACACACATACACATTCTCTCTATATATACACACACACATACACGTTCTATGTCTATACACACACACATGCACGTTCTATGTCTATATACACACACACATGCACGTTCTATGTCTATATACACACACGCATACGCACGTTCTATGTATGCACACACACGCATACGCACGTTCTAGGTATGCACACACACGCATACGCACGTTCTAGGTATGCACACACACGCATACGCACGTTCTAGGTATGCACACACACGCATACGCACGTTCTAGGTATGCACACACACGCATACGCACGTTCTAGGTATGCACACACACGCATACGCACGTTCTAGGTATGTACACACACGCATACGCACGTTCTAGGTATGTATACACACGCATATGCATTCTATGTATGTATACACACATATATATTCTCTGTATATATAATCTGTTTATATGTATTCTCTCTATATATTCTCTGTATATACATTCTCTACATATACATTATCTCTATATATACACACACATAAATTTTATATATGTATATTTCATAGATGAACTATTAGAAATAAATGAACTAGACTACTTGAATTAATATATTAGAATCCTACAAATATTTTGAATGCAAAAGTAAATTGCATACGAAAACTGAATGCAGGGAGCTATTTCTATCAGATGTTGACTAGAATAAACTACGATGAAGGACATTAGTAGGATAATCAGATACATTTAAATATGTGTTGTATATTATATAATTGAATTACATTATGGTTGTATGAGAGAATTCACTTGTTTTGAGAAACAAGTAGTAAGGTGTGAAGTTGTAAAGTTCATATTGTCTACAACTAAAGAGTCCCAGAAATACAAGTAGAATGTGTTTAAAAAAATGATTGTAATGAGAGTTTATAATGCAGTTCTATTAAAAAGAGATTGTGATTAGTCGGAGTTCTATATAAACCAGGAACTCTGATTCTAAGGGCAGGAGAACATAGGTGTACCAGCCTTGAAGAGAAGCAAATCAGCCCTTTCTCTGCCTTTTTGTTGTATTCAATGGATTTGTTCTTAACAGAATGGATGAGGCCCCCTCACATTGGTGGGAACAATTTTCTTTACTAAGTCTATGGATTCAAATGCTAGCCTCTTCCAGAAACTCTCACAGATACACCCAGAAATAATGTTTTACCACCTATCTGAGCATCCTTCAACCAAGTCAAGTTGACACATAAAATAACCATCACAGCAATAATTACACAATGTGAACAAGTATATTTTGTTTGGTGGCTATGTGTGCCCTAAAAGCAGAGAATATAAATGTATAAATCCATTCTTCACTCCCTCATTAAAACTAAGCATGGACTTGGCCCCAAATAAAAGCATAACCTATTCCAAAAATTACATTGTATAAGTGACATTCTGTCAATATAATCCAATGAAGAATTACATCAGCAACAATAATAAAATTATTTTAAAAATCTATTCACTACCTCATATTTAAGAAAGAGAATTCTAATATAGCAATGTTCTGAGGGAAAGCACAAATTAGTATAATTATTTTTTTCATAAAGATGTAATATATTCTCATAGTAATACGTACAAACCAAAAGATGAAAGAATGGGCATAAACATTTGGGTAACAAAAAGACCTGTGAAACGTATCTAAAAATCTTTAAAAATAAGGAAGACCACCAAATCATACAGAGAATACGGCTTTATGATTCGAGGTTGGAAATCTGACAAAAAAAAAACATAAAAATGAAGAACTTCAAATTTTTGTTTTACTTTCTTTATGCAAGTCACATCCTGCAAAAAGAAAATGCAGGGATTTGCATTTTAACTTGTATTAAAGAACTTAGTGAAGGGAAATTGACTAAAAATTTGGAAGAGATTTACTCAATTATATTAATTTGTAAATATAAAATAAAAAGGATCTCTAGGTATTGACTACATTCTATAGTTTAGTAAAACTTGTTATGAAAAAACTTAAATAATAGCTGAATTATGTAACAACATATTGCCAAAGAGGAAATTGCATCAAAACAACTATTAAACTGATATGTTGAAATTATTATTCATGATTACAAGGAACTGAAAAATAGGTGTAGAAGTTTAGAAACATTCAGGTACATACACATTTTTTATAAGCTTAGATTTTAGATCATGTACAAATTACAGAAGAAAAGGTTTATACTGAAGGGCAAGCCAAAAAGTAACAAAATTTGTAAGACAAAGTGAAAGGAAAATATATCCTACAATAAGCTAACATCTGAGGGAAAAAAATACTTAAGGAAACAAATAAGAAAGAAACTTTAACTTATGTTGGCAGTAAAGACAAAACCAAAAACAAACAAGGGGAAAGAGTCTATTTCTAAGTGAAATGGTGTAATATTAGTATATACAGAAAACTGTGAGAAAATATAACTCTTCGACTTCAACTTCTTTCTTTTCTATCAAAGAAAAATTGGAAAGGTTGAACAAAAATTGTTCGAGTGTACTTGAAAAACCTGAGATAACTACTCATGCTTTTATCCTATAGGTTTTCAGTGTATCTTCCTTTTTTGTATCAGTGATCAATTACCAGTAGCATACATCTTCTCTCATTCACTCACCATTTTAACCAATGACACTCATTTTTGAGATGACCATCTAGAAAAGAATTTGACTTATATATATGTAACAATGTATTGAAAGGCCTAAATTTGTTGGGAGCTCAAGTAGCAAACATCTTTATTCTAATGCAACTCCTGCTTTCCAACGTGCTTGATTTGCACTCTTCTCTGACCTATGACATCTCAGAAAAATCCCACAGCTTTCTAGTAACCTTCAGGAATTAATACAGCTTGCCATGTTCATATTAAAATTTTCCTATCGCATAATTGAAAATTCCCAGCCCACCTCCTCCCCCTAACTAGTGTGTGATTCACGGCTTGGGAATCTTTTGTAAATAAGAAGCCATGGTCCATTTTCTGTTATTTCTAATTCTTTTTGGATAGAATCAATACAAAATTCTTAAATTTTCAACCCAGAATTTGATATCCAGTCAAACTAAGCTTTGTAAGCGAAGGAGAAACAAAATCCTTTACAGACAAGTAAATGCTGACAGATTTTGTCACCACCAGGCCTGCCCTACAAGAGCTCCTGAAGGCAGCAGTAAATATGGAAAGGAAAAACCGGTACCAGCCACTGCAAAAACATACCAAATTGTAAAGACCATCAATGCTATAAATAAACTGCATCAATTAACGGGAAAAATAACCAGCTAACATCATAATGACAGGATCAAATTCACACATAACAATATTAACCTTAAATGTAAACTGGCTAAATGCACCAATTAAAAGACACAGACTTGAAAATTGGATAAAGAGTCAAGACTCATCAGTGTGCTGTATTCAGGAGACCCATCTCACCTGCAAAGACACACATAGGCTCAAAATAAAGGGATGGAGGAATATTTACCAAGCATAAAGAAAGCAAAAAAAAAAAAAAAAAAAAAAAAAAAGCAGGGGTTGCAATCCTAGTCTCTGATAAAACAGACTTTAAGCCAATAAAGCTCAAAAGAGACAAAGAAGGCTATTACATAATGGTAAAGTGATCAATTCAACAAGAAGAGATAACTATCCTAAATATATATGCACCCAATACAGGAGCACCCAGATTCATAAAGCAAGTCCTTAGAGACTTAGAAAGAGACTTAGACTCCCACACAATAATAATGGGAGACTTTAACACCCCACTGTCAACATTAGACAGTTCAATGAGACAGAAAGTTAACAAGGATATCCAGAAATTGAACTCAGCTCTGCACTAAGCGAACATAATAGACATTTACAGAACTCTCCACCCCAAATCAACAGAATATATACTCTTCTCAGCACCACATCACACTTATTCTAAAATTGACCACATAATTGGAAGTAAAGCACTCTTCAGCAAATGTAAAAGAACAGAAATTATAACAAACTGTCTCTCAGACCACAGTGCAATCAAACTAGAACTCAGGATTAAGAAACTCACTCAAAACCACTCAATTACATGGAAACTGAACAACCTGCTCCTGAATGACTACTGGGTAAATAACTAAATTAAGGCAGAAATAAATAAGTTCTTTGAAACCAATGAGAACAAAGACACAATGTACCAGAATCTCTGGGACACAGCTAAACCACTGTTTAGAGGGAAATTTATATAACTAAATGCCCACAGGAGAAAGCGGGAAAGATCTAAAATTGACATCTAACATCACAATTAAAAGAACTCGAGAAGCAAGAGCAAACAAATTCAAAAGCTAGCAGAAGACAGGAAATAACTAAAATCAGAGCAGAACTGAAGGAGACAGAGACATGAAAAACCCTTCAAAAAATCAATGAATCCAGGAGCTGTTTTTTTTGAAAAGATTAACAAAATTGATAGACCCCTAGCCAGACTAATGAAGAAGAAAAGAGAGAAGAATCAAATAGAAACAATAAAAAATGATACAGGGGATATCACCACCGATCCCACAGAAATACAAACTACCATCAGAGAATACTATAAACACCTCTATGCAAATAAACTGGAAAATCTAGAAGAAATGAATAAATTCCTGAACACATACACCCTCCCAAGACTAAACCAGGAAGAAGTCGATTCCCTGAATAGACCAATAACAAGTTCTGAAATTGAGGCAGTAATTAATAGCCTACCAACCAAAAAAAGCCCAGGACCAGACGGGTTCACAGCCAAATTCTACCAGAGGTACAAAGAGGAGCTGGTACCATTCCTTCTCAAACCATTCCAAACAATAGGAAAAGAGGCACTCCTCCCTAATTCATTTTATGAGGCTAGCATCATCCTGATACCAAAACCTGGCAGACACACACACACACACACACACACACACACAAAATTTCAGGCCAATATCCCTGATGAATATCAATGCATAAATCCTCAATAAAATACTGGCAAATCGAATCCAGCAGCACATCAAAAAGCTTATACACCACAATCAAGTTGGCTTCATCCCTGGGATCCCAGGCTGGTTCAACATAAGCAAATCAATAAACGTAATTCATCACATAAACAGAACCAATGAAAAAAACACATGATTATCTCAATAGATGCAGAAAAGGCCTTTGATAAAATTCAACACCGCTTCATGCTAAAAACTCTCAATAAAATAGGTATTGATGGAATATGTCTCAAAATAATAAGAGCTATTTATGACAAACCCACAGCCAATATCATACTGAATGGGCAAAAACTGGAAGCATTCTCTTTGAAAACCAGTAGACAAGGATGCCCTCTCTCACCACACCTATTCAACATAGTATTGGAAGTTCTGGCCAGGGCAATCAGGCAGGAGAAAGAAATAAAGGGTATTCAGATCAGAATGGAGGAAGCCAAATTGTTTATGTTTGCAGATGACATGATTTTATATTTAGAAAACACCATCGTCTCAGCCCAAAATCTCTGTAAGCTGATGAGCAACTTCAGCAAAGTCTCAGGATACAAAATCGATGTGCAAAAATCACAAGCATTTCTATAAACCAGTAATAGACAAACAGAGATCCAAATCATGAGTGAACTCCCATTCACAATTGCTATGAAGAGAATTAAATACCTAGGAATACAACTTACAAAGGATATGAAGGACCTCTTCAAGGAGAACTACAAATCACTGCTCAAGGAAATAAGACAGGACAAAAACAAATGGAAAACCACTCCATGCTCATGGCTAGGAAAAATCAATATTGTGAAAATGGCTACACTGCCCAAAGTAATTGATTCAATGCTATCCCTGTCAAGTTACCAATGACTTTCTTCACAGAATTAGAAAAAACTACTTTAAATTTCACATCAAACCAAAAAAGAGCCCGTATAGCCAAGGCAATCCTAAGCAAAAAGAATAAAGCTGGAAGCATCAGGCTACCTGACTTCAAACTATACTACAAGCCTACAGTAACCAAAACAGCATGGTAATGGTAACAAAACAGATATATAGACCAATGGAACAGAGCGGAGGCCTCAGAAATAACTCCACACATCTACAACCATCTGATCTTTGACAAACCTGAAAAAAAAAACGAGAAATGGGGAAAGGATTCCCTATTTAATAAATGGTGTTGGGAAAACTGGCTAGCCATATACCGAAAACAGAAACTGGACCCCTTCTTTACACCTTACACAAAAATTAACTCAAGATGGATTAAAGTCTTAAACATAAGACCTAAAATCATAAAAACCCTAGAAGAAAACCTAGTCAATACCATTCAGTACATAGGCATGGGCAAAGCCTTCATGACTAAAACACCAAAAGCAATGGCAACAAAAGCCAAAATTGACATATTGGATCTAATTAAACTAAAGAGCTTCTGCACAGCAAAAGAAACTATCATCAGAGTGCCAGGCAACCTACAAAATGGGAGAAAATGTCTGCAATCTACCCATCTGACAAAAGGCTAATAGCCAGAATCTACAAAGAACATAAACAAATTTACAAGAATAAAACAAACAAGCCCATCAAAAAGTGGGCAAAATATATGAACAGACACTTCTCAAAAGAAGACATTTATAAGGCCAACAAACATATGAAAAAAAGCTCATCATCACTGGTCATTAGAGAATACAAATCAAAGCCACAATGAGATACCATCTCACGCCAGTTAGAATGGTGATCACTAAAAAGTCAGGAAACAACACGCTGGAGAGGATGTGGAGAAATAGGAATACTTTTACACTGTTGGTAAAAGTGGAAATTAGTTCAAACATTGTGGAAGACAGTGTGGTGATTCCTCAAGGATCTAGAACCAGAAATACCATTTGATCCAGAAATCCCATTACTGGATATATACCCAAAGGATTATACCCTTGAACCAGAAATACCATTTGATCCAGAAATCCCATTACTGGATGTATACCCAAAGGATTATAAATCATTCTACTATGAAGACACATGCACATGTATGTTAATTGCAGCACTGTTCACAATAGCAAAGACTTGGAACCAACCCAAATGCCCTTCAGTGATGGAATGGATAAAGAAAATGTGGCACATATACACCATGGAATACTATGCAGCCATAAAAAGTGATAAGTTCATGTCCCTTGCAAGGACATGGATGAAGCTCGAAACCATCATTCTCAGCAAACAAACACAGGAACAGAAAACCAAACACCACATGTTCTCACTCATAAGTGGGAGTTGAACAATGAGAACACATGAACACAGGGAGGGGAACATCACACACCAGGGCATGTCAACGGGTGGCGGACTAGAGGAAGGATAGCATTAGGAGAAATACCTAATGTAGATGATGGGTCGATGGGTGCAGCCAACCACTATGGCATGTGTATACCTATGTGAACAAACCTGCATGTTCTGCACATGTATCTCAGAACTTAAAGTATAAAAAGAAAACGGGGGGGCAGGGGAGGCAAAAGATGTTTATGATTGGTGCTCTGTGGAAAAGTTTTCACATTTTATATCTTTCACAGGGTACAGTTGTGGAACTCTTTTAGAAACTCCAAGAAATTTTGTAGTTCATGCTTTCCTGATTAAGCCATGAACTTTTACAATCCAGTCCCATCAGCTCCTGCTTTTTCCTTGAGTACCTACTCAAGAAAAGCTTCCTGGCCAGGTGCGGTGGCTGAGGCCTATAATCACAGCACTTTGGGAGGCCAAGGCGGGTGGATCACCTGAGGTCAGGAGTTCAAGACCAGCCTGGCCAACATGGTGAAACCCATCTCTACTAAAAATACAAAAATTAGCTGGGCGTGGTGGTGCGTCCTGTAATCCCAGCTACTCAAGGGGCTGAGACAGGAGAATCACTTGAACCTGGGAGGCGGAGGTTGCAGTGAGCTGAGATCGTGCCACTGCACTCCAGCCTGGGCGACAGAGTGAGACTCTGTCTCAAAAATAAAATAAAATAAAATAAAATAAAATGATAAATAAAACTTCCTGCCTGAATCGCTCATCCCAATAGTCCACCTTCTTTGGCACAATACCATTCAAGATGGCTTAGAACCAGCTGTCTTCTTCTACCCAGTTGATACAAGGGAAACCAACACATCCTTGTCCTGAGAAACAATGAAAGTTTAGCTAGCTCTTCTTCTGCCCTCATTCCTCATAACCTAATATCGTGAGCTGTAGCTGCCAGCCTCGCACCTATTCAGAATTATACAGTTGACAGGCAAGCAACAGCCTATTCATATGCTCTCCAAATTTCAGGTAGCACATGACAATTTCTTCCAAGAAATCTCACAGAGCTCCATTTGGGTGCACTGCCATAAGCTCACCAGTCCCTATAGCTCAGCAAACTTCTATTGTGAAGCAGGTAAGATACAAATTCCTTCCTTTAGAAAACACCATCAGTGTTTACAAACGATTTTCTCAATACCCATTCATTTAGCTTGAGGGGTCAGGCATGCCAGCTCACTCCACTGAGTGAGGAGGAGAAATCTCAAAGCTTTCTCTCATAGGCCTATCCAACTCCACTATCTTAATTATTCCTCTCTATTTTCCAGTATTATCCTATATGGGCGTGTAGGGAGCACTAAGGTTGAGAGACACAGGATTGTTCTCTGGTGTCTTTTGGGGCATTCTGGAGGAAAATGGAAGTCTGATATTTAGGTGCTATCTTCTTCAACACGTGAAGGCATTTATTATCTACTATCTTTTAAAACGGGACTAATTCCATTCAGTATTTTAATACTATCTATACATGTACCTCTACATGTATATATATATATATATATATATATTTCAATAACGAGATGGAGATTGATTTGTGGCAGTGCTTGGATTAATACAGAATTCAGCCCACTTGAACTGTTCAACTATGGATTAAAATGTGGAGGACTATAGAGCGACTAATTTCTTGTTCATTAGAGTGACTACGCCTATCTCTAAAAATTGTTTCATTTTAGGGTTAGCTCTAATTTACATGAATTCATTCAAGGTTGTTAATATTAGAGTTAAGCTAATCTTCAACATTTGTAAAAATTCCTGGATTTCAGTGACTCATAAGTTTGAGCAAAATCCCTTTGGTTATTTTTAAGCCAGAAGCGGGGGATAAGTGCACTTTTTCAATTTTAAGTTCAATTTAAACTTAGTGTGCTTCAATAATTCAGAAACCAATGAACTTTAAAAACTGAAGATTTTGGAAATCCAATTCTTGACTACCTAAGATTAGTTCAGAAGTTTAGGCAAGATACTTTCAATTACTTGAAAGCAATATGTTACAAAAATATTTCTTCTGGGTCTGTAGTATAAAACTGAGTAATTATATTTTAAATGCAGAATATAATATTAAATAATGCTTATGTGTTTTGTGGTACTGAATGAACAGAAGGAATTAGATGTATAAATTTAAGATATCAAGATACAGAAAAGTAAGACTTTGTATTGATGTGAACAATATCTTTTAAAATTAAGATTAAATAATTAGCTTATATTGAATGTTCTGATAAATTGATTTATTGTATTTTAAACAAATATTTACACTGATTTTATTTACATATGATAAGTAAATATTGAGTATTCACTAATGTAAATGGCTTTGCATTACAATAAACTGTAAGTTTTACAATTGTAAGAACATAATTCTGGAATATCACTGTCTAATAGAACTTTCTGTGATGATGAAAATGTCAAATATCTGTGCTATCCAATGCAGTAGCCATTAGCCACATATGACTATTGAGCACTTAAATGTGGGTAGTACAATTAAGTAACAGAATGTTTATTTTTAATTTTATTAAAATATTAATCTATATAGCCACATGTAGTTAGTGGCTAACATATTTGATGGTTCAGCCCTGGAATATAAGTATACTTGATATTCTTCTAGTATGCGCTTTTGTAAACTCAAAAATTATATTTATTACAATACTTTGCAATCTTAGGGTACACAGATTATTAGGAAACTCAAAGGCTATTATTTCATTATTTTCAAACTAAAATTTTATGAAAACAAACTAATCATATATATGAAATGGCAGCATATGTCCTTTATATGTCTAAAAATTTGCCAGTACATATAATGTGTTGATATCAATAATCACTATGAAATAAGAATCGATCATCCCATGCAATACAGTTTTTTTCAGATTTGTATAATTTTAAATAAAAATGTACAAGCCAGAAGATTATTGTAAGTATCTATTATTTCAAATTTTAAAAATGCAATCCTTTCTAGACATTTTAATTTCCCCACTTCCACCTTTTCACCTCTACGTACATTTTTTTGTATGTTTTTATACATCTATAGCTTTTTAAATTGGGAAAATAGGAAAGTAGAAAACTTCTAAAATGTGAAAAATGTAAACAGCTTGTTTCTTCCATGGCACATATGTTCTCTACAGGGGAACTTTGTAGTGCTGAGTTGCAAAAGATTCCATATTCAATCTGCCCTTGAGACTGTCTGCCGTCTTCTTATTTCCAAAGATGAATGTTTTCTATACCCTGCCAAATACCGGAAAGACTTGATTCATTCAAGGCTGAATTATTTACAAGAATCTTTTGCATTCCTCCTTTCAGGGACAAGGTTTTGTTTTGTTTTGGTTCTGTTTGGTTGTGTTCTCTTCTGCAGTGATTTTTCAGGATACAAATTATAAAAACAAATATGAAGAGCATCTGAAATATTTTATTTAAAGGTGCTATCAGTTAGGAAAATGATACAAAATTCCATCCATTAATTTTTATTAGAGTTAATAATAATTCTACTTTATAGGATTATTGCGGGGACTTAAAAAGTTAATATAAATTGAGCATTGGTAATAGTACAGCACACATATGATTAATTAGCATTAACTTCTCATTTAAGGCAAAAATGTAGCCACTGTTAAATTTTATTTTGAGGAAAGTACTAGAAATGAATTAGGATCTTTCCCACAATGTGTTACAGATTGTGTTTCTGAAGAAAGGTAGTGCTTTCAAGAATTGCATGATTTTGTTATAAATAATCTCAATAACAAAAATTATTATTTTGTCCCTCATATCCTCAAATGATATTAGTGAGCCTCCCTCATTGGAGTCAGTGTTTTAGGCTATTTCTCTAATAATGGAAATGGATTTGCCCTCTTCTACCCACTTCCCCCTGCCTAGTCAATGTCATGCCTTTGCAAGAGTGCTGACTAGTATTACGAGATTATACAAATCCCCAATAGTAATTAACTCAGGTGTCATGGTCAGTTGGCTCAAATTATTTTAGTCCCTTTCTATCTTTCAGTCCAGGTAAGTAAAAAAATCATGACAAGTTTCAAAAATTCTGATTATTTCATTCTTTTGGCAAGCCATGGATTGCATTTCACCTCCTTCTCATGAAACTTTTCTAATTATAGAAAGGAAATTCATTTGCAGAATAATATTTCTACCATATAAACTAAAATAATTTTGGTGGTAACATTCTTGCACTATTTGTTAATAGAATAAATTTCACAAGAATAAGTGCTTTACAGTTTTTAAATGAATGTGTACAAGCCATGACAGTTTTTTTTCTATTATACCCCAAAGTAGAGAACTTGTACTTAAAAATAATTCATTAATTAAATGTGAAAGTATATGTTTAGAAAGCCAACTGTCCAAGGAAATAAAATAATTTTTAAAATCTTTATTTGCTTCAAGGGGCTTCAAATCAAGGTGGTATTTTAAACATACTCATGGGAAACAATAATACAATGTTGTATGCAGTAAGTATCAACTGCTTGCTTTAGATAGTAAGTACCAAAGAGAAGGGACTTTATGTGGGTAGTAAGAGATTTTGGAAACATGCGTGGAACAGTGAAGTCACAGAGAATGGCATAAACAGAATTGTATAACAAATTTTAACATGGATGGTATATTTGAGGTAAGATGCATAGACAGGAATCTTTTCAGGAAGAGCATGTGTAAGGAAAGCAGATTGGTGTCTTACTATGGGGTCTTAAATATAAATTTTTGAAATTTTAATCTACTAAAACTGGAGAGACATTAAAATTTAAAATTGGGATTTGTCTGTATTCTGAAAATCTTTAAGAAATTAATAGGTGGTTAAATGTAGGATGTATCTGAACAGAAAGACTTAAAGCAAGGAAACAAGTTAGAAATTTATGGTGGTGATAGTAGTAGTAAAATAGTAGTGACAGTAAGAGTAGCAAGAGTAATTTGTATTTCACTTTAAAGTTGTTATTTGACAGAGTTTCTTTACATACCTTATCTTATGTGGTTGAAGCAGGACTTATAAATGTCTGAATTAGAATTGAGGTAATGGGAACATTGAGAAGAGAGAAATGGAAGTTTAAAAAAATAGCATAGACAAGACATGGCAGTATTGGTATGTGGGCATAAGCAAGACATCAGAGATAATGCTGAGATGAAAAGAGAAATAGCAAAATAAGAAACAGGAACTAGGTTGACAAGAAATCCTGTTCGTTTTTCTCTAAAGCTTTCAGTTTGAAGTGACAGAAAAACATTAAAGCATAAATGCCCAGTGAGTAACTAAAACCTGGCAAATAATTACATAGAAGAAAGGCCAAGTCTAGAGATAACAGTGAATACTTCTCAAGAATACATTGTGAAAAAAATACAGAGAATTATTTGCTTTGAACAGAGATAGAATGAGGAAATTTGGAAAACCTGATAAATTTAATGTGATAGATACAATTAAATAAAAAAACTTTTAAGGAAAGAGAGCATAACCAACAGTTTGGTCAAAATTTCAATATTCCAAATTTCAGTGATTGAGAGAGGGCTTTTGGATGGGGAAAAGCAATACTAATGAGCTTCATGTATGGACTTTCAAATTGCAGACTACAAGAGAGATTAAGTGATGGATGGCAAAAATATTGTGTCAGGTGGCATCAGAAAAAAAGGCAAGAAATAAGAAGGGAACAACAGAAGAGCTTTATGGAGGTGAGAAGGTTTAAAGGCAGAGAAAAGAGAAAAATAGATAATCGCCATTCTGACTGTCATGAGATGGTATCTCATTGTGGTTTTCATTTACATTTCTCTAATGATCAGTGATGGTGAGCTTTTTTCGTATGTTGGTTGGCTGCGTAAATGTTTTCTTTTGAGAAGTGTCAGCTCATATCCTTTGCCCACTTTTGGATGGGGTCATTTTTTTTTTCTTGTAAATTTGTTTACGTTCTTTGTAGATTCTGGATATTAGGCCTTTATCAGATGGGTAGATTGCGAAAATTTTCTTCCATTCTGTAGCTTATCTGTTTACTCTGATGATAGTTTATTTTACTGTGTAGAAGCTCTTTAGTTTAATTAGATTCCATTTGTCAATTTTGGCTTTTCTTGCAATTGCTTTTGGCGTTTTCATCATGAAGACTTTGCCTATGCTTGTATCTTGAATAGTATTGCCTAGGTTTTCTTCTAAGGTTTTTATGGTTTTGGGTTTTACATTTAAGTCTTTAATCCATCTTGAGTTAATTTTTGTCTGTGGTATAAGGAAGGGGTCCAGTTTCTGTTTTCTGCATATGGCTAGCCAGTTTTCCCAGCACCATTGATTGAATAGGAGATCCTTTCCCCATTGCTTGTTTTTGTCAGATTTGTTGAAGATCAGATGTAGATGTGTGGTGTTATTTTTAAGGTCTCTTTTCTGTTCCATTGGTCTATATGTCTGTTTTGGTACCAGTTCAAGTCAGGAAAAAACAGATGCTGATGAGGCTGTGGAGAAATAGGAACGCTTTTACACTGTTGGTGGGAGTGTAAATTAGTTCAACCATTGTGGAAGACAGTGTGGTGATTCCCCAAGGATCTAGAACCAGAAATACCATTTGATCCAGCAATCCCATTACTGGTTATATACCCAAAGGGATGTAAATCATTCTACTATAAAGACACATGCACACGTGTGTTTATTACAGCACTATTTACAATAGCAAAGTCATGGAACCAACCCAAATGCCCATCAGTGACAGTCTGGATAAAGAAAATATGGTACATATACACTATGGAATACCATGCAGCCATAAAAAGGAATGAGATCATGTCCTTTGCAGGGACATGGATGAAGCTGGAAACCATCATTCTCAGCAAATTAACACAGGACTAGTAAACCAAACACCATATGCTTTCACTCATAAGTGGGAGTTGAACAATAAGAATACATGGACACAGACAGGGGAACAGCATATATCAGGGCCTGTTACGAGGTTGGGGGTTGAGGGGAGGAAACTTAGAGGATGGGTCAATAGCTGCAGCAAACCACCATGGTACACGTATACCTATGTAACAAACCTGCGTGTTCTGCACATGTATCCCAGAACTTAAAGTAAAATAAATAAATAAACTTCACATGTATGTATTAAAAAAAGAAGAAGAAAGTGAGATTCAACATCTTAGAAATAGAGGAACAAAGAGATAAGCTTGATTTCCCTAAGGATGCAAAGAACGTAAGTTCAAAACCAGAGGGAGAAAATGCCTTCTCACCCACACATTCTTGATATAATTTCCTAATTAAAGCTCACTGCAAGTATAATGCCAACCAGAGAATTTTAAAGTTATCTTTTCATACAATAGCCTTTAAGAAATTCTATTGATAACATATGGACATTATAATATAAAGAAAAAGTTTGAGTATCAATCCTCTTGGAAAAAGAACATTTCTGTCATGAAGAGTTGTATAGTCATTCACATACCATTAGAGATCTCAAAAGTTAGCTCAAAGGGTAAGTATTCAAACCAGCGATAAAGGAAATCCAGTTCAAAGCCTCCTCATATTACTAAGTTATATTTTTATACTCAGATCCTGATTTTTGCAGCTTATAAAATTCTTTGTTTTAGATAACACACATGAATGGAACTTATAGTGTTTTGTTCCTAATTTGTACCATGCTTTCCACTTTTACTAGTTCTATTCCACATTTATTGCGATTCTCAGGTCATTTCCTTCTGACTACATAAACTGAAAAAGCCTTCTTGAGAGGAAGAATGGAAAGAAATGCTTAATACTAGCAGAACAATAAAGTCCTGTATGTCCCAGAAAATAGAAGAATAATATTCCAAATAACTTCTTTCACCTACAGTAGCTTTCTGTGACAGTTAACTGCATAGTATTCACTTTACAACATGTTCACAGCAGTTTTCTTTCAAGTAAAACAGTGTTGGCAGTATTAATAACCTGTTAAGATGGAAACTGTTTAGAAGCAAGTGAGTAAGTTATAAGTCAGTAAAACTCCAAGTCACTCTTCCAAAAGAAAGTTTATTTGAGTTAAGGTTAAATTTGCCTTCTAAACTTCCCTAGTATCAAAGTTTTGAGAGGATCAATATTTTTAGTTTCTTAGGCCAAATTGCCTGTATGATACTCTTTTATCTTATAGAGAGATAACCTACATAGAGTTCTAGTATGAAAATATAGTTCTCAGCTGATTTTTAATTTCTCCAGGCATGGCATATTTACACTAAAATAATACTCATATATTTTCCACCAACGTGTAAAGCACCTAATATTGACTAGAAAATGCTATCTGTTCTTTACCTCTCTATGTTCCATCCACTTACTCTCCCAAGAAACCTGAGCCATCATAATCAGAAACACACTTTGCCAACAGTATTGCTATTATTGGTCATTTTTACCTCTAGTCCCTAGCACTGAATAAACAACAGATTTTTTTCTCAGATTTAATTAAATACTGGGGTTTCAATTAGTGGCAGCATCAACAAAATATTGGCATTTCAGACACACCTGTTTTTCAGAGCTAAAAAATAATTCTATTGTCTTCACTTACAGTATGGCTAATGGAATATCTTTCAAATTACTTGGAAAATAAAGAGAAGCAATTATATCTGAGGACCATTCTTTATAACATAGTACTTTACTGTTCAGCCTAAAAGTGTTTTTGTCTATACCAATACCCTGTGGCTAAACCATAGTTTCAATTAAATAAGAGACCATTAGTGATCAACAAGATGATTTCAAAGTATTGGATGGATGGTACTTGACATATAGTAAGTGCTAAATAAATGTTGGATATTATTATGTTTGAAAAAAAAAATCTCAAAGTGTTGTCACTTTCCCAGACTAACAAGCTAATTTTTTAATGCAATGTAACAAGACACTGATCTTTACAGAGAGAGATTAATTAACAATATAAAATAAAATACTAAAAAACAGACATTTTAGATAAAATAGTCCATTTTAGGTAAATATATTTTAGATAAAATAGGACATACTTTTACTCACTGTTAATTTTGGTGAAGCATTTTGGTTTCTTGTGTTCTTTTTTGTTGTTGTTGTTGTTTTAGCATGAGATTATCATAGTGAGGAAGCAAAGCATATAAGAATGTAAATTCCTGTGAAACATGCCTATATGGGACATATTTTCTTTGCAGTATAAATTTGACTGATTTCAACTAATTTAAATAGTTGAGGAACATCCTCTGATAGATTTTCTGTTGTAATAGTTTAAATGGCCTTATTGAAAAGATTAAAATATCAACTGAATATATTTGGGATTATATAATAACCCATCTTTGTGCTGTATAGCCCAGGAAACATAAATGAATAAATGAAATTTAAATCGAACCTCTGCTCCGCAAGGTACAGCCATATGTACCATAGATCCTCTATTCCTATTTCTTACTCTTTCAATATAGTATAAATTGGTGACTGTTACTTATCCCTAACTTTTCGTTTCTCCTCATCCTCAGCAACCAATTCAAATTTTTGTAGAAGCTGAGTACTTTTTTATTTGTCTTCTAGCCCTTTTCCCTTTTATGTCTATTATTTCTTTTTCCAACAAGCTAATCTTGAGATAAAGGTTACCCATTCCTGCCTTTGCAGTTCTCCTCTTCTCACCTCTCCTCTCTTTGTATCTTCTCTTCCTGTCACTTCCTCATCCCTCTCTCTGTTTCCCCCTTTCACTCTCTCTCCTCATGATTCAGTTATCTATATCAAACTTCCAGGAATGGATCTGGAAATAGCAGAATTCTTTTTTTTTTTTTTTTTTTTTTTTTTTGAGACGGAGTCTCACTCTGTTGCCCAGGCTGGAGTGCAGAGGCACCATCTCGGCTCACTGCAACCTCCGCCTCCCAGGTTCGAGCGATTCTCCTGCCTCAGCCCCCCGAGTAGCTGGGACTACAGGCGTGCGCCCCCACACCCAGCTAATTTTTGTATTTTTAGTAGAGACAAGGTTTCACCATGTTGCCCAGGATGGTTTCAATCTCTTGACCTCGTGATCTGCCTGCCTCGGCCTCCCAAAGTGCTGAGATTACAGGTGTGAGCCATCGCGCCCAGCCAGAATACTTTATTGAGAGTAAGAAGAATCTCTGCAGGCAAAGACAGATTTGTCTTTAAAGTTTGAAGAATCTTGGTGGTGGGAGTGAAATGTATGTGAATATTTTCTTGTTAAATGTTTTTGCCCATGTTGCAAACAAGTATTGTCAAAGGTCTCAGATGAGTCTGCCTAACTGACCTTGAATATCAATATTAAACTTAGGTTAGAAAAAAAGCGATATTGCTATCTAGTGCTTTAACACCTTGCTTTACAGCTAACAAGATTCTCTTCTTCGAAATGAATAAAGCTCGTTAGACATTGTAGTCAATTATCTCTCTCTCTATGAGTATTTTATTTAAAGATTGAGATAGAACCACTTAAGTCATGAAGACAGTTATCCATCTACAGTCCTGGGCACTTAAGGACGATCTTTTCCATGGATAAACTTTATTTTGACTCATTAAAAGGAGCATATGGAAATAATTCCAATTTTACTTACCTGGTGTGCCAGATAAGAGAAACTATGGCCAGTAATACTTTAAACTGTACTATGCTTTACAGCTTCCCAAACCTGCTCACTTACAGTATTGCATTTGACCCCCAGCACCCTGTGAGTTAGCTATTATTATTTCAATTTCACAGATGTGGCACCTTGAGCTCAGAGAGGTTAAATGACTTGTCCAAGTTCAGATAGTAAGTGACAACAGGGCCTGGAACTTATGACTTCTAAAATTGGCTCCAAAGATAGCTATTCATTTTCACAGACAAAAACTGAGTCTAAAATTTATTATGTGGATAATGGGTTATTCATTGCCTTTTGTGTTTTCTCACGAGGAAGAGACACCAGGACAGAGACACTCGACATATCGAAAGTGATGGGGGGTAGAGAGATCAAGCAAGCTGGTTGGACTGTTGGGCCTCTCTCTCTATTTCCCTATATGATGCCTTATGAATACTGTATGACATCTGCCACAATAGCCCTTGTACCTTGAGTCCTTTCAACAAATCATAAAAGATACAATGATTGGGTCTCTATAACCACAGAAAATTGAATGCAAAAGAAAAACCTTTCTTTTTTTTCCCTTTCCATCCAATTTGCCAGGAGTCATCCTATGATCACACATGAGATAGGGATCGCAGCTGTATCTCTGATTGAGGTTATGGTCACAGGGATGAGTGGCAGTGGGGCCAAACCCCGCATGGTCACATTAACAGCTATTCTCTATCGCTGTGTTCTGAACTCAGCGGCTGCCTAATAAGTGGCTGCATGACTGAAGCATCAAATGAACACAAGAAAGTAACTTCTGAAGCCCTGCCTACTTTGGTCTCCGGGCCTATTGAAGTGAGTTCCTTGAGATACTTATTCCCTCACAAGTACACTGAGTACTTGCAAGTCCCAGCCTCAGGCTCATTCTCAGTAACCACGTCACAACTCTGCATGACAAAACTTTTCAGGGTCCTTTTTACAGACCACGCTCCAGCGGTGAGCAGTGAAGTGAGTTACAGAATTGTCTCTGCTAACCTGACTGCGGCACGTGTTCCGCCAACCCCTACTCAGTTTCTCCCCCTGTTCTTTTCTTTGTATTTATTACTTTGGGAAACACTTCTTTCTTTTTAACCAAGATTTGTTTTTCTTCTCTTCTTTGCATAGAGTAATGCTTTATCTCATGAATCCCCAACACGCGCATATGAACAAAGATTATGATAGGGACATTTTTTCTTCCATGTCTCTCTCTGGAGCAAAACTGCATTTTGTTTGAATGATTTCATAATGCATTTGATAAAATAATTGACTTTAAAGCTTGGACCTTCCTTGTTCATCAGTTCGTTTTCTCCCTATAATTCTTTAAAGAAAGCCTTTCCTTGGAAACCAATTAAGCCATTTGAATAGGATGCTGCAAATTAATAATTCTACCATTTACAAAGCAATAAGATCAGCCAACATACCACCCAGAATCTCTCTATATAAACAAAAATAATTAAGAACATCATTTAGATGGATGTTTATGCTTTTTTATGATGAGTTGAAGTTTTATAATTCTAGATAAAAAAATGGAAACTCAACTAAAGAGCACATTAGATGGGAGGCAAACTGTGGCATCATTTACGCAGAAAGTTCAAAAATGCATAGATTTTTATAAACTTAACCATTCAGAATGCTCTCACTGTTGTGTTAGTATGAGTTAAAATGAAAATATTTTGTGCTATGATTAGGGTAGTTTAGTTTATGTTGCCAAATACAAAGATGTTTTCCATTTTGTTTAAGCAGACGTTTTTGTATTCTGTGTTGGCCCCTCATTACTTGAAGGAAAGTAATATTTATTTGGCACTTAACAAGACTTTCATACTTCCTTGTTATCCTTAAATAAGAACTATAATATATGTCTTTTAGTGTATGCTATGCATTTCATTTTTAACTCAAATTCCCACGATTTACAATGCCTAACAAATTACATACTGTAAGTATAATTTTTATCATTCTAGTTGGGAAAATATTTTTCATAGATTCAAATTGCCTTCAAAAGTACATTTATGTATATAGATATGTATCACTTTCAAAAAATCTGTCCAGAAATGTCTTTCTTATTATGATAAATATGGTCCTTAATTATGACTATATAACAGCTGATTATTTTCTCTGTATCTGATTATGTTTTGTGACTCATTCATGATGGTTAAAACTACTTTTGTATTATCCTATAATAAAATATCTAGAAAACAATCAAACAAAAACTTTCAGATTCTCATCTTCATGGTTGAAATAATAAACTAATAATGGGGAAGATAATTATTTAATTAAGGAACATGGCATGTTTATATGACCTAGTATATTTTGCCCTAAATATTTATTCTTGAAACCTAAATGAGACATCACAGGTATTCAGCAACTCTTCTTCCTGTAAGACCAGTTCCTAAACGTTTACCACTTTTCTCACATTGTATTTCCAGTCTGTCTCTCCTTCCCCACCACCCCTTCTCTCTCCTTTTTCCCTATCTCTACCTCATCCTTCTCTCTTCTTTCATCCTGTTTGTCTCTCTCTTCCCTCTCTCCTTGTCTCTCTCTCTCTCCTGATGACTTTATGTCATGCTCCCTAGATAAGTTCTGCCTATTAGACATTAATTTCCATGAATTCTTATCCCACTGCTTACATATCTCTCAATCTTTATTCATCTTTACAATTTTATCTCTTTACTTTTTATAAAGGAAGTAGAGTGATTTGTCGTCCTGTCTTGGGTTCCTATTAAAATCTTTTTCCTGAGTATTATCTAGTTTCATCACATCACATCTCTTGAGGAAAAATCTTGCTATCAATTAATTCTATTTTTCTCTCTGTCTGCAATGATACCCCTCACTAATTGTTCTCTAAATCGTAGAAAGCTGATTAACCATCTTTCATGCTAAACCAACAAACAAAATCCTTCCCTAATACCATTGTGCTCTAGCTCTTGTCTGGTTACTACATTTATTTATATGCATGATCACTATAGTCTTCGTTTGCTTTTGCCCTGTATATTGCTTCATCCTACTTTCAGACAAATCCATATTTTTCACATCAAACCTGATCTTACTGAAGTCACTACCCTAATTGCTAAACACAGTGGTCACTTCTTATTCCTAATTTTAGCTTAACTTGCCGTACAGTGTGCCAAGTTATGGTTATAACAATTGTTTTGACAATCTCTTCCAACTTTGTCTCTATGATTCTTCTACTTCTTGGATTATTAAGCTTCAGTTTCATTGCTTGGCTTTTCTTTCTCATCATGCTTCTTAAGAATGGTTGTGTTTTAATTAGAGTTCTACATTTTATTATTTTCTATTATATTCCACAATCTCCTTCACCTTAAGATCTATATTAAACATTATAGCTGCACAGTTAAGTCAATTATCTCTTCTTAGCCCCAGATCCATATACCCACCTACTCTTGTTGTATATTCTACAATAACTTCTTATTCAGCCATCCAAAAGCTGATCTTAGTATTCATTTATGTTTTTCTTCCTTTTTCATAATGAGTTATTTATATTTAAAAAATGAACTATGAATATTTTAAATCATCCTTTGGGGATATATCAAATGAAAACATTTTGTAATCAATGTTCATCTTGGATGGGCACAGTGGCTCACACCTGTAATCCCAGCACTGTGGGAGGCCAAGGCGGGTGGATCACTTGAGGTCAGGAATTCGAGACCAGCCTGGCCAACATGGTGAAACCCTGTCTCTACTGATGGTGCACACCTGTAATCCCAGCTACTCTGGAGACTAAGGCAGGAGAGTTGCTTGAACCCAGGAGGCGGGGGTTGCAGTGAGCAGAGATGGCGCCACTGCACTCCAGCCTGGGTGACAGAGCAAGACTTCATTGCCAAAATTAAAAAAAAAAAAAAGTGTTCATTTTGGTGTTTACATATTTGTTAACAAATTTTCTAGAGTATTATTTACATTTTGGATTATATTCAATTGGCATTTGTGCTGGTACAAAAATTCAGAAATAATGAAACAATAGAAATAAAAATGATTTGTAAACTCCAAACAAATAAAAATGATTTGTAAACTCCTTCTTTATACAGATCTATTTCTATTTTTGAGAAAATGCAATTATAGTTGAAGGCACACTAACCTATTATTGTGCTATATAATATAATGCAATTTTATATGCTTACATCCTTATGAGTGTGCTAGCTGCAAAAATAAGTATAAGCAGTTTATCATGCACTCTAAATAGTTAAATTCAGACTGGATTCCATTGAAGAAATATGTGAACACAATCTAAGTAATCAACAAGAGTATTACCTTCATAGCTAAAACTTACTCTTTTATTAAGGAGATATTTAGCTTAGGCCCAAACAGAATGACAAATATGATAAATCTGTATCCCAGAAGAGGTATGTCCAGAAACAAAACAAAATAAACAAACAAACAAACAGAAAAAGAAAACTCACAACACTCAATAGTGGACTAAAACAGAGAGTACTTATTGGTGGGTGTTGAATAGGTAGCTCTGCTGATCTTGACCCAGTTTATTCAAATGTCTGAAAGCTGCTATTAGCTATCTACAATGACATCAACTGGAGCAATTTAGCTCTGCTCTTTGTCTTTCTTTTCCTTCATCAGACTAGTCCAGGTATGTTCATTTGATGAAGTCAGAAACACAAGAGAGAGAGAACCCAATTGCACAAGGCTTCTCAAGCCTGCTATTACATCACACTAGCCAGCATCAATTGGCCAAAACAAGTCATATGGCCACAGTCAGAGTGGAAATGTAAAGTTACATGGGAAAGGTAGGGTACAGAGAAGAAAAACAGCCATTTTTGCAGCCTGCAGATCTTCCAAGACTTTTTTTTAACTAAAATTAAGTGCAAATCATTTGGTAAATGCTTTAGTACATGAGCTCATTTAAATTTAACAGCAACTCCGTGAGATCAGCATAATTATTGCTATTAATAATTTCTCATATCTCTTATTTTACAAATATGAAACTAAGATTTAGAGAAGATAATTAGCTCAAGATCACAGAGATTACAAATGGAAAAACTGAGATATGAACCCAGATGTTCTGACTCCTAAGATTCTTCTTAACTACTATGTTATGATGTCCACAATAGCCCAAGTTAAAAAAAAAATTCTTTGTAATGATGCTATAGCCTGTTGATGCATGATTGTCATTTTGATTATATCTAAAGAAAAAAACATATAAACATCAATATACTCATATATTTATATGTTGCATCTCTTTTTTATTAGTGAAGTAATTATAGTCTCTTTCACATTTACAAGAGCAATATACTACTTGTTTTTTGTTGTTGCTCTGTTCTGTTTTTGTTTTGTTTTTACATTTTAGGTCTGACAATAAGACTCTCCACAGCAATACTTGGGGTTCATAAATGAATCTCAGTTAGAAATCTTATGTCATAATCTCAAGTCTGGTATTAAATTCACCTGACAAACAAGAACTGCTACAGGCCTCAACTTCTAGTATAGAATATAAAGAAAAGAATTGGAAATTCATTAAATCCTTACTACAGGCTTTTCATGCTTTAAAGTTGAAAACTGGTTTAAGCCTGGATGCTTCCAGCATTTTATAATTTGGCTTGTAATCAGTTACAAGAAAGAAAAAGTAATCACCAAAATGAAGTAGTTTACCATACTGCAACGGGAAACAGCAGAGAAATGAGATTTTGTGATAACATCAAAACAAAGGAATGCCTAAAAAATATAGTAAAGCATTCTTTGTAACTGAAAGCCTGTGCTGTGCAAAATTATAATTTCAAAACTTAAACTCATGAAGTCATGCACAATATATAATAATAAGTTTACATGTTGAAAATTAGATTTGTTACTCAAAATCAAAGCCAAAAAAGAAAACAAACAAAAAAACCCTTCCAATTATATCTTCATTTTATCTATTTTTTTTAAAGTAATAAACATGCAATTTACCAATTCCAAGAGCTTCCTGGAACTAAAAAATGACAAGCAAAATTAACTAAGCAGTCTGAAGAACAAGGACTGAAATATCTACACAGTATGTGTCCACTGCACTAACTGGGCCACCCTTGGGGTGTTGGAAAGTGGGACTATATTCTCTTTTATAGTATTTGCATGTTTAACAACTCCTTTAGAAGACATATGCTGTGTGAAAGCATTTTATAAATGATCTCAGAGAATAACAAACTTTTTTCCTTAGATCAACCATACTCCTTCCAATTGAGGAGCAGACACAAAGCTGGTTACCTTCCTTAAGATGTTTAACTGACTCTTCAGAGATCAAAAGCTAATAGATTTACTGCTGTTAAATCCTATACAAAAGAATTGCTTCTATACCTGGAATTATGTAAGTTAGCAGTATGGTTTCCTAGATGTAAATTTAAGAAAATCCCTGCTTGGCTTGTTTCATCCTACTTTTTCTTCTACCAGCTAGTGCCTAGTTTAAGGAAGAATAAAAATTAGCAGTTGGTTGACATTCCTTCAAATGGAGTAGCAATACATTAGTATTTTTCTGATCACTGGATACCCTGAAGTGGAGAGCTTTCCAAGTATTGGTTAGCTTTAATTTTTTCTTATCTATTTTACCATAAATAAGGAAGCACGAAAGACCAGTATTACAGTATATAGTATGTTGCCTATTCAGGTTTAACGTTATTATTTAAACTGGCTTTTTTTTCAAGGAGTCAAATAATACAGATTTTCACTCAGAAACCCAGTTTCTCTAAACAGTAGCTTTTAGGAACAGTAGCTTCTAATAATAACAATATTAATATTCTCAAGCTTATTCTAAAGTGATTATCATTCTGACTTACAATTGTTCATTTGTCTATCAAACCTTATAACTTACAAGTGATTTGAGGACAAAAGCTATGTTTGCCTATGTTTGTATACACAGAGGTTTTCATGGTATTAAAGTAAATTCTATTAAATTAGTAATACTATGTATTTATGTTTGCCATTTAAATGTTTTACAAGCCAGGAATAACTGTAGGAAACAGATTTGAAAATGGGATTTTGAAGTTGGATTACTAATTACTTGGCCATCAATGAAGACCTTATTATTGGTGGTAGGTGGGTGATAGATGAAGTACTTAGCCCATGTCATGTTGTAGTAGAGCAATTGTTAAAACATTCACTGGTTATAAACTGGAATAAAATACTGGTGTAAGAGAATGCATTGGCTGGTACATTAACTCAGTCATTTGAAAAGTACAGAGGAAGGAGTAGTAATAAGGACTACGAAATTGGATGACTGTCGGTGGGTGCCATTAAAACACTAAAAAAAAAAAAGCAATGCAAGGCTGAGGATCAATAATCCATTTAATCAGTGTGTGAAAGCCGGAGACTCCCTTAGCAGCATATAAAGAGAGCATATAAATCTGGAGGACAGAAAAGAGTAAGGATTAGGCCCAAGCCTTAATGAAAAAGCTCAAATGAGTTGAATTCTCAACCTTGTCCAGTCTTCCTGTCTGAAGAATAGAGCCCTGATTGGAAAGGTGTGGTACCTGAGACTTTGGATGGAGACAACTGAGTTATCTGGGGGATTAGCAACTTCATAAAAGGGTTGGAGGACACAGCACCCTTTTGCCCTTCCATTTCTTCTGCCTTGTGAGGATACAACATTTGTGCCCTCCACAGAATGCAGCCAAAAAGGTGCCATCTTGGGAAGAGAGAGCAGTCCTCACCAGACACCAAAACTGACAGTGCCTTAATCTTGGACTTTCTAGCCTCCAGAGTGGGAGAAGTAAATTTCCATTATTTATAAGTTACTCAGTCTCGGGTGTTTTGTTATAGCAGCATAAACGAACTCAGCCAATTCCCTTGCCTGATTTTGGTAGTAAATTGGAACAGATAGCACACACAGTTGGAGAAGGCATGGTGACCAGAGAATTCAACCCTCAGAGAACAGAGTCTGGGTACCTTCCTGAACTGAGCCACACTGACTAGCAGATGTGCCATATGAAGTACAGAGAAAGCTGCATGGACAGTAAGGAGGCAGATGGTCGACATCAGTTTTGGCCCCAAGGTCAGCAGCAGTGGCATGATTCTAGTTTGTCCCACTAGTCTTTGTATGTTTCCCCAGGAAAGCAGACAAATCAGGATCTTGGAGAATCCGTGTCTATATAGGCTAAAACTTTAAAATGCAAGTAGATCTATGTGGCCCAATGAGTAGATTGTAATGGAGTCAGTGGTGTTATGCAGATCTCCCCTCTAAGATTTTGAGGCATTCATTCAGCCCAGCTATTGTGAGGTCCCCCTTGTTCCAGAGTGAGCAGTATTGTCCCAGAGTGAGCAGGTCTATGCAAACCTACCACCAAAGTCCAAGCAACACCCCTCCTAATGGTCCTCTACCATACTGAAGGGAGCTTCTTTGCCCGAGTTTCAACTCCCTTCCCTGGGACAGCCTTTATTCAATAGCTAGTCTATGTAGGGGTACAAAAGACTGAATTTCCTGTCTTAATTTGGAAGCTCTAAGAGCATCCTAGCTCAAGAACACCCTATGGAATCAACTAAATCTTCTTTTGGACTGTATTATAGTTCAACTTTCCCCTTTGCCTGGCCCTGCACCCTCAATTTATTAAATATATATTTTTTTGTGCAATCCCTAAAGCCTTCTGAATGCAAAGCTCTTCCTCAGAGTTCATTTTAAGACATTTAGCCTAAGAAACCCTGCAACTAATTTTTAGACTTATCATTTGGTGACAATCTTTCTATGTCTTCCGATATTTTTTTTCTACCTAGTACTACATATTCTGTTTGTGTCATAATTTATTTAATAATTTAGGCTGTTTCAAAATTTTTGTCCTACAGATCTTGGTACTGTTAGCATTTCTAGGCAAGGGCATTGTTACTGTACCTCAGATTACATCCTAGCTCTACATCCATCAGTAAGTAATATCAATATTTAAGCCTTGTGGTATCATTGGTCTCATTTTTCAAAATGTAAAAATGTTTCCTGTGTCTCAGTATTTGAGAAGGTTGAGCTAATCTTCAAAAATGTATCTTAATATTATGAAAAGTTGTCTTATAGATTCTTCTTCCATCTTCTACCTTTGTTTTATTTACCTACGCTAAATTACATGATGAACTTAAAAGCAATCATCATAAATAAGAACTCTTTATCACATCTTTCACAGCCTCATCCTCTGGTACATCAAACTTCTCATTTAAAAAAAATTTACTAAGATTAACAAGCACTGTTGGACAAAAATAAATAAAACTATATTGATTCATTCTACAAGAAGACATGACCTCTTACTTTAACTAAAACAGACTGTTCAGAAATATTTTTATTGAAATATAACTTACAATAAAGTACAAAAATTCTGAGTGTAAAATTCATTGAATTTTACTTATAAACATACCAAGCAACGACCACACATATTGATCTTAAAAATTTTCTGCACCAGAATTTTTTATAAGCACTTTCTCATTCACCTCCCTCTCCAGAGAGTACAGTTTTCTGACTTTTGTCACTGTATATTAGCTTTATTCTTCTTGAATTTCATATAAGTAGAATCATAAAGTACATATTCTTTGCTCTCTCATTTCTTTTCTCATTATATGTCTGTGAGATTCATTCATTTTACTGAGTTTAGAAGTGGTTTATTCTTTCATATTGCTGTGTAGTTGTGAAGTGTACAGAAAAAATGTTTGTATTTCTAGAGTGGGAGGTTTCTGAAGAAATTTTACCTGGAAACAGGATTCTGGGCTGAGACCAAGACTTGGGACAGTAATTTACAATTTTATAGATAGAGAACTCCAGAAAGATTTACCTAGCTCCTAAAGTATATGTTTACATATCAAGAGAAAAGCATAAAACTTTGGCAAAGTCTCAAGGTTTAAAATCTGAAGCCATCTGGCCCTTGGAGAGGTTTAAATTACATTCCAAGGCTGAGCATGGTGACTCACATCTGTAAACTTAGCACTTTGGGAGGCCGAGGCAGGTGGATTGCTTGAGTTCAGGAGTTTGAGACCAGCCTGGGCAACAAAGGTAAACCCTGTCTCTACAAAAATATTAGCCAAGTGTGGTGGCATGTTCCTGTAGTCCCAGCTACTTGGGAGGCTGAGGTGGGAGGATCGCTTGAGCCCAGGAGGCAGAGGTTGCAGTCAGCCTTAATCACCCCACTGTACTCTAGCCTGGGCAACAGAGCAAGACCCTATCTCAAAAGAAAAAAAGAAAATACTATATTTTAAAAAGTTAGAATAAGAACTCAGTATCCTTTCCACTTCTCCAAGGTTCAAAGTTTATTCTCCCTCTTTCGAAAAGAAGAAAGGGAGGCGGCTTCCTCTTTTTCCTGTGTAAAAGCAGAGAAAATTCATTATTTAAATGATTAATGATAATTTGTGTATGGGTCACACTTTTTTGTGTGCATATAGGATAAAATTAATTAATATAAATATGAAAAACCAAAAACATCCCCAGTATTTCATTATATAAAAAATAATATATTTAGCCATCTTATTTTTGATGCAGACTTAAGTTGTTTCAGATTTGTAACTATGATGAAGAAAGCTGTTATGGACATACTTGTACACATATTTTGTTGGTCATATGTCCTCGTTTTTGGAGGGATATATGATTAAAAGTAAAATTGCTGGGTCCCAGGAAAGTTACATATTTGGTTTATGTATGTATTGGTAAATAGCTTTTCAAAGTGATTTTACCAATACACACACCCACCAATACGCAGGTGTCCTAATTGTTTCACATCTTTAGCAATACTTACTTATTCTACTTTTGACAGACACTTATTTTTAAATGCTTTAAAAATATTCTGCATTATTTTCTGGTTTTCACAATATTGCTTCAGAAGTTAGTCATCATCTTACTATTGTTTCTTTGAGGGTGATGTTTCTTACTTCTCTGGCTACTTTTAAGACTGTCTCTGTTTTTCAACAGTGTAACGAACATGTACTTAGATAATTCTTTTGGTTTGTTTAACTGATTAACTATTAAAAATTATTCTGCTTGTGGTTTTCTGGTCTTTTAAAATCTGGAATGTGACATATTTTCATATTTTTAGAAAATTTTCGGCTTTTAACTTTTTAAATATTACATTTGATCTAATTTCTTCTTCCTTCCCTTCCAAGATTTTAATTCCAGGTTGTGGTAGACTGAAAAAATGTCATCTTATTTTGTCATCTATATATTCATGCAGGTCATTTACACTTTTTGCAAGAAGATTTTGTTGCTCCTCCTATTAGGAGTGAAGTCTGTTTCTCTTCTCTTTAAATCTGGACTTGGCTTTTTAAATGACTTCAGACATTGAACAATTTTGGTCCAAGAAAATGCTTGAAAAGCACTTGAGCATTAGAGCTTTTCCTCTCTCACATGTTTAGAACCCTGAGATCATCATGTAAATAAATCTGAGTTAATCTCCTGGAGAAGAAAAGGCCAGGAAGAAGAGACACAAGATGCTCCAACAAATAGTTGGCTACCCACTGTCAGACAGCCTTCCAAATACCAGACTTGGGAAACTGTCCTAGATTCGGATGCATAAAATCTAGCCCCGGAGAGATCACTCAAGCTTGCCCAGACTCAAAGAACCATTCAGTCAACCCACATAATTGTAAAGAAATAATGAATGGCTTTGTTTTAAAACGCTAAGTTTGGTTGTAGTAGGTTACTTAGCAAAATCTAAATTTCCCTGTGCTCCAAATGTTTTATACTTTACATCCTCCTTGTTTTCTTTTTTTTTCATTTTGTAGTTCACATTGAATGTTTTCTATTGATCTGTGTTTGAGTTCATTTTTTTCTACATCTATTGTTAAATCAATCCAATGAGCTCTTAAATTTAGATATTAAACACTTCAATTCCATAATTTCCATCTAATTCATTTTGATAGATTTTATTCTCTATACACTTAATTCATTTTCTTCATTTTGCCTTTCTTTAATATATTAATGATGCTATTTTAGTTATTGCTGTTAACTCTAATCTCTGGACCATGTTAGGTTATGCTTCAGTTGTTTATCCTTTCTCTTGATTATTAATCAGATTTTTTCCATGTTGGGATATTGCTATGGAATGAATGTTTGTGTATTTCTCTCCCAAATGTATGTGTTGAACTCCTAATCCAAAAGGTGATTATATTAGGAGGCCATTGGATGGTGATTATGCAGAGCCTTCATGAATGGAATTCATACCCCTGTAAAAGAGACCCCAGAAAGCTAGCTCCTCCCTTCCCCCCAAGTGAAGACACAGCAAGAAAACATCATCTATGAACCAGAAAATGTGCCCTCATCAGATATTGAATCTTCCAGCCACTTGATCTTTGACTTCCCAGCCTCCAGTATTGTGAGTGATAAATTTCTGTTGTTTATAAGCTACCCAGTCTCTGGCATTTTGTTATAGAAACCCAAATGGATTCAGACACATATATAGTATTTTTTTTTTATTTCGAGCCAGATGTTATTTAAAAAAAAAAACAACCTGTATATATTCAGAGAATATCTTCTACCCATAAAGATTCTCCTCTTTCCTCTTATAGTAAAACAGCATGAGAAGATAACTATTGTGGTCAAATCAAAAACTGATCTGGGCTAGGACTGAGTTCCATTTTTAGTAAAAACCTAGCAAAAATTTCTTCCTTTAACTTTTAGCTTCTTTAATGCCCAGTTTATGAAAGTCCAAAAACTGTCAGTGTCATGAAGAGAGACTGTGTGTTTAATGCAGCCTATCACTTATCCAGCCCTGCAGCATGGCTTTGGCTTCTGGACTAGCCCCTAGCCTTCCCTACTACCCAATTCAAAAATATCCCTTAAAGAAAACCAGCTTTTTGGTGGTGCTCCTTTCATTTCCAATACATTTATAAATTCTGTGAGAGCACTAAAAGTGATAATTGTTTTAATGAAGATACAGAATGTTTTAAGGGAAGAAATATTTGTCCCTGTCAAGGCTAAACACTCTATGTAAACAGAAATTAATTTGTTTTCTCTACTGATAGAGAAATCATTGATAAATGATGATAGATAGATGATAGATAGATAGATAGATAGAGATAGATAGATGATAAAGAGATGATAAATAGATAGATGATAAATAGATGATAGATAGGTAGATAGATAGATGATAGAGACAGATACATACATAGATAGGTAGATAGATTATAGATAGATAAATGATATAGATAGATAGATAGATAGATAGATAGATAGATAGATAGATAGATGATAGAGATAGATAGATAATAGAGATAGTTATTTTTGGAGAAAAAAATAAGATATGGGGTTACCTGGAAGCCAATTGAACCAAAAGATTTTTAGGAGGAGAGGTGATCAAGTGTTCAAATGCTACTGATAGTTAATTGTGAACAAATAATTGCTTATTGGATTTAACAATGTGATGTCATTGTAACCTGGCTACAAGATAGAGACTAAATCCTATTTGTGATGATTTTAAGAGATAATGGGAAGAGAGAAAATATACTGAGTGAATGAAAACAACTCTATTAGTTTTGCTGTAACATCATGTAGATAATACATTTCATTGAAAACATAAGAAGATTTTATTATTGGTGGAAGGGGATAACCTCCTTCACAGCCAGACTCCAGTTACAATCCCTTGATGCTGGTTTCAGAGTACTCCATACTTCAGCAACAAGGTTGTTGCTCATATAGTTATAGGTAACTAGAATGATCTCCACCTTTCAAAATATCCTTTCCTATCCAGTTCCTCTTGTTAAAGCCATCTTATTAATTAATCCTCTCATAATTATCCTAATTTAACTTGGTTTCCGTCTTCTTTAATCTAAGTCCCTTATTACTTTGAATTTATATCTCTCTTAACATTCAGTCTATATGTTAACTTTTTGTTTCTTTTCTTATCTCCCAGCTAGGTATTTGAAGGCAGGACATTTTTTCTTTGTTATTATTATTATTATTTCAACTTTTATTTTAGATTCAGGCAATACATATGCATGTCTGTTACCTGGGCTTATTGTGTGATGCTGAGGTTTGGGTTAATAATTATCCTGTCACTCAGGTACTGTGCATAGTACACAACAGTTAGTTTTTTAACCCTTACCCTCTTCCCACCTTCCCCCCATTTGGAGTCCCTAGTCTATTCTTTTCATTTGTATGCCCATGTATACCTGTTGTTTACCTTCCACTTAGAAGGTATTTGATTTTCTGTTCCTCAGTTAACTTAGAATAATAGCCTTTAGCTCCATCCAAATTGCTGCAAAAAAAAAAAAAAAAGATGTTTTCATTCTTTTTTATGGCTGTGTAGTATTTCATGTTATATATTTACCATATTTTATTTATCCAGTCAACCAGTGATAGATACTTACGTTGGTTCTGTGACTTTGCTATTGTGAGTAGTGCTTCAATAAACATGCAAATGCAGATATCTTTTTGTATATTGATTCATTTTCCTTTGGGTAGATTCCCAGTAGTGAAATTACTGGACCTAATAGTAGTTCTATTTTTAGTTCTTTGAGAAATCTCCATACTGTTTTCCACAGAAGTTGAACTGATTTACATTCCCACCAACAGTGTATAAGCATTCCCTTTTCTCAGCATCCAGACCAACACCTGTTGTTTTTGACTTTATAATAATAGCCGTTCTGACCGGTATATGATGATATCTTATTGTAATTTTAATTTGCAATTCTCAAAGGCAAGAAAGTTTTATTCTTCATCATTGTATTCTTCTTAGCACCTAGCATGATGCCTTGCATAAAGTAGGTTTTGAATGCTTGTTTGCCAGATGAATGAGTAAACATTGATGATAGTTTCTATTTGCTGGATAAATAACCACCCTGGAAAAAAAACTGGCATAAAAGTTTAGTATGTGTTTTGACTAACCTTTGTAAGGGTAATATTAAAACATTAAGTGTTAAAAATGCATAGCCATTGTTACTGAGATTTGCATTGTTTAATTAATTTGCTATATTTTATTTTCTAATAATATCTTCAATTAGGTCCCTTTTGCCTTTTCACATTTATGCAGTTATATTTAACTCAGGCCCCCATTCAATCTGTCATAACGAGAAGTAGTTTTATGGAATAATGAACATCCTCATTTCCTGTAATTTGTAAAATAAGTTAAAACTATTAAACTAAAATTCACTGATTCAGTAATCATGTTTCTTTTAATATTTTATTACAGCATCTTTGCAGATGGCATAACTTTAATTTCCAACAATTGTAATTTTTTACCTTAAATAAATACATACAATAAATAGATTAAAGGAAGCATAAAAGATCTGAAAACTCTAGTTATAATTATTAGATAATTTTGTTTATTTAAAAACACAAAATTAGTTCAGAGGGACACTGTCAAAACATGCTTTATTATACATAATTATGTAAATCAAATTTCTTTTAGTTTCTAGTGATAGAAGCAGACTATCGCTAACTTAAGCATTTTATTTTATTTATTTATTTATTTATTTATTTATTTATTTATTTATTTTTGGAGACAGTCTTACTCTGTCACCCAGGCTGGAGTGCAGTGGCGTGATCCCAGCTCATTGCAACCTTCGCCTCCCAGGTTCAAGTGATTCTCCTGCCTCAGCCTCCTGAGTAGCTGGGATTACAGGCATGTGCCACAATGCTCAGCTAATTTTGTATATTTAGTAGAGATGGGGTTTCACCATGTTAGCCAGGTTGATCTTGAATTCATGACCTCAGGCGATCCTCCCATCTCAGTCTCCCAAAGTGCTGGGATTACAGGCGTAAGCCACCTTGCCAGGCCAACTTAAGCCTTTTAAAAGGGATATTTATTAGAAGGAAACAGAAGCTAGGACTCATGAAGGTAAGGAAATGTGACCTGACTCACATGGTGGTGTGTTTTTTTTCTCTAGAATACCATCAAATATGATTCACCTCCAGCAATGCCACAATATCACATTCAGATGTTTCAAAAACATCTGATTAGCTTAGTTTTGATTGATTAGCTATAGCAAGATAGCAAATTTTGTCTGTTAAAAGCTTACCTTTGTGTGTCAGGAGTAGTTTCTATAAAAGCAGGAATCAGTAATAGTGAGGGAAGCCACTTCTGGAAATACATGTTAAAATCATCTTTTATAAGATATTTTAAATTCTAAAGTGAATTGACTACATGTTGACTTATTTTACTTCCCTAATAATGTTTTCAATGAGAAGTCATCTCATTTATCTATTTTTTTATTCATTAATTTATACACCAAACAACTCATGCATGTAGCCTCTGCATTACACACTTGACTAGGTTCTAGGGATAGTGATCAATGACAAAAGTGTTAACCTTCAAGGAGCTTTTAGTTGAGTAAGTGTAAAAATATGAGGCCGGGAACAGTGGCTCACGCCTGTAATCCCAGCACTTTGGGAGGCTGAGGCAGGCGGATCACGAGGTCCGCCTGTAATCCCAGCACTTTGGGAGGCTGAGGCAGGCGGATCACGAGGTCAAGAGATCAAGACCATCCTGGCCAACATGGTGAAACCTTGTCTCTACTAAAAATACAAAAATTAGCTGGGTGTGGTGGTGCATGCCTGTAGTCCCAGCTACTCGCGAGGCTGAGTCAAGAGAATGGCGTGAACCCAGGAGGAGGCAGAGCTTGCAGTGAGCCGAGATCGCACCACTGCGCTCCAGCCTGGGCGACAGAGAGAGACTCTGTTTCAAAAAAAAAAAAAGAATGCAAATAATTACAGCATAATATTATGTTAAAATTCATGCAAATGTCTGGGAAAAGACAAAAGAGGAAGTAAACTTCTTTGAAGGATACTTTTAACTTTCAAAAATCATAAAATCACTAATTTGTCCAATGATGGACACCAAGTAGCCTTAAGATACTAATCATTTTCAATCATTTTAAAATATTTCATAAGAATTGGGACAGCAATCTGAAATGAAAAGTTTGAAATCCCATTACCATTCCTTAAGCTTCTCAGTCTTGAAAGAAAAAAAAATTTTTTCGATGGTACTTCTTCAGTTCTACAAAATGATTAATAGCAGAATATTACTGGAGTTTAAATATTTCTGAGACAGCAATTCTTCACTCCCTGCTGTTTACAAGTAAAATACTGTCTACAAATAATACATTACATTAGCTGTCCTCTTTATCATAAAGCCATGTTGAATACTTGTAACATTTATAAAAAGACACCAACTGATTGCAAGATGAGCGTTACCCTTGAGCAAATTATGAACACATTTATTTCAGTCTTATGTGTTTGAAACTAATTTTCTGGTAATATCAAAAGTGTTCATAGAATTAATTTCCTGTCAGTTCAGCAGTATTCAAGTGAATATTTTATGATTTTGCATTAGCTGTATTTGTCTAGAGTTGTGACATGATCGAGTCATTCTCTGAGGGAAACACATTAATAATTAAACTCTGTCCAATGTGGAGTGCTAAAGATGACAGCATAATTGTACATTTCCAGAGACCGTTTCACAAGGCAGAGACGGAGAATTGCCCTGCCACCATTTAAATGTCAATTTAGAATTTCTTTAAAAACTAAAACAGTGCTTCAGAAAAAATGGAGGGGAGAGAGATGATGTCAAATTTGGAAATAGTTCTCTTTACTTTTTCTTTACTTTAAAATGTAAGCTAAATGCAAATAGTCTCCTTCATTCTTTCCTTCTCATGCTGAATAAACTGTCAGTTACAAGTTCTTTCTTTTGACAATATAACATCATCAATGGTCTTTGAACCACGACTGTTTAAATGATAAATACTACTTGCATAGATTAGCTCCGTAGGAAAAAGTACAGCTGACATGAGAAACTTTGATTGGTTTCGGGGCTTATATTTGAGTCTTTTTTAACTTAGAAAACTTCGGCAATAATTTAGGATTTTAATCTACTTCCCAGTCAAATAGTTGTGGATGGATCACTATATGTGTTCTTATTTATGTTTCCTATTCTGATACTTAAAGTTATTGGATTTTTAGAAGTGAGATTTAAAAAATTTCTAAGGCCTATATATTAAACACATTAAAACTCATATTTGGGTTTCCTTACTAGACAAACTGTGGTTAAAAATTGTGACTGAAGAAAATTTAATAAAATTGAATTCAACAGAAGCCAAGACTAGAGGCATGAATATGGTCCCAAAATAATTTCAGTTGAAGTTTGCTGGTGAACAGTCTAGCAGCTAACCCCTGAATGAACTTCAGTTTGTTTCAGATATATACACTTCTTAGCAATAATAGATACGCTCTCATTATCTAATATTGACTGAACAATAACACAGTTTATCCCACTTCCTTGAACTTATCCTAAGGAAATAATACTAAGTAATCTAACCACAGTGGAGTTCATGGCAGCATGGTTTCTAAAAGGAAAAAAAAATAATTTAGCTCAATAGATAAAAATAGGAAATTTGTTAAATATGATGTGTTTATATCATTAAATATTCTAATGCTGCAAATAAAAACATGCAGTGACTAGAAAATTGTTCATTCATCTACTTTTTCATATATTTATTAATTCATTCATCTCATAAATATTCATCAAATGCTTATTAAGTACTAGAAGGTAGGGCAGTGAAGAAAGCAATACCCCTAGTTTCAGGAAGCTAGCATTCTAGAAGGAAAAGCCTGACAATAAACATGAAGATACAATGTCCCAGGACAGATTAAAAGCTATGAAGAAAAATCAAGTAAATTTAAAAAATGAACTGGGCATATGGTTATCAAGATGGGTAGACAGTGAAAGCTTTCTAGAGTTGAAAACAGCAGTTAGGCCCTAAGGCATTTGGAGACAGAGAACCTTAGGGTGAGAGATTAGGAAACATAAAGCCTGAGATAGACACTGGCCAGTTTAAAGTGAGTAAGAGGCAGTAAGAAGTCCAGGCTACTGCAGTGGGTGAGGAAAGAGGTGTCAATCAAAGAGAGCAGCCACCAGCATTGAGTGCATATAGGCCAAGGGGAAGGGCTCGGGACTTCATTCTGAGCCAGATGGGGAGTCTCTGGAGATTTCGGAGCAGAGGACTGGAATGGTCTGACTTTCGAAAACAATACTTCCATGTTATGCTAAGTGGAATATAAGCAGTTTAAAAAGCAGTATATACAACTTACAATGTGTAGTGAGGTATTTGTTGGATTTTAGTTTTGTAATTTTTACTTTCCTTGCTGAATTATTAGTTCCAAGGGGGCAGAAACATATGCCTATTTTCTCATTTCTGTCTAACCAGTACTTGGCAACTGCCTGGCTACTGTAAAGCACAAAGTAAAATTTGTTGGTTGAATGAATGAGTAAATGAATAAACATTTTTTAATATTTTAAAGGGTTACATATGCAGGAATTCCTCATTTTATTGTGTTTTGCTTTACTGTACTTCACAACAATTGGATGTTTTTTACAAATTGAAGATCTGTGGCAATCCTGACTAGCAAGTCTATCAATGCCGTTTTTCCAACATCATGTGTTTACTTCATGTTTCTGTGTCACAGTTTGATAAGTCACACAATATTGCAAACTTTTCATTATTTTTTCATTTGTTATAGTGATCTGTGATCAGTGATCTTTGATGCTACTATAGTAATTGTTTTAGGGCACCACAAGCCATGCCCACATAAGATGATAAATACAATTGAAAAACATTGTGTGTGTTCTGACTGCTTGACTGAACAACCATTCCCCCATCTCTCTTCATCTCCTGGGACCTCCCTATTTCCTGAGATACAACAATATTAAAATTGGGCCAATTAATAGCCTTACAATATCCTCTAAGTGTTCAAATAAAACAAAGGGTCACACATCTCTCATTTAAAATCAAAAGTTAGAAATGATTAGGCTTAGTGAGGAAGGCATGTCAAAAGCTAAGACAGGCCAAAATCCAGGCCTTTTGTGCCAGTTAGCCAAGTAGCCAAGTGGAAAATGCAAAGAAAAAGTTCTCGAAGGAAATTAAATATGCTACTGCAGTTAACACATAAATGATAAGAAAGTAAACAGTCTTATTGCCGATATGGAGAAAGTTTTGGTGGTCTGAACAGATCAATCCTGCCACAACATTCAGTTAAACCAAAGCTTAATCCAAAGCAAGTGCCTAATTCTTTTCAATTCTGTAAAGGCTGAGAGAAATGAGGAAACCGCAGAAGAAAAGTTTGAAGACGGCAGAATTTGGTTCATGAAGTTTAAGGAAAGAAGTCATATCCATAATATAAAAACACAAGGTGAAGGAAAAGTGCTGCAGTTATCCAGAAGATCTAGCTAATTGATGAAAGTTATAGTTCTACTGAACAACACATTTTCAGTGTAGAAAAAAATAACCTTCTGTTGGAAGAAGATGCCATCTAGGACTCCTTTAGAGAGGAGAAGTCATTGTCTGGCTTCAAAAATTCAAGAACAGGCTGACTCTTGTTAGGGGCTAATGCAGCCATTGGCTTTAACTTGAAGCCAATGCTCATTTATCACTTTGGAAATCCTAAGGCCCTTAAGAATGACGTTAAATCTATTCTGCCTGTACTCTACAAATGGAACACCAAAGCCTAGGTGACAACACAACTGTTTAAAGCGTGGTTTATTGGATACTTTAGATCCACTATTGAGATCTACTGCTCAGGAAAACAAAAGATGTATTTCAAAATATCAGTGCTTATTTACAATGCATCTGGTCACCCAAAAGCTCTGATGGAGATTTACAAAAAAATTAATGTTGTTTTCATGTCTACTAACACAATATCCATTCTGCAGCACATGGATCAAGAAATAGTTTCAACTTTCAAGTCTTATTATTTAAGAAAAACATTTTGTAAGGCTATAGCTGCCATATATAGTTATTCCTCTCATGCATTTGGGAACAGTAAATTGAAATCGTTCCGGAAAGGATTCACCATTCTAAATGTTATTAATAACATTCATTACTCATGGAAAGAGGTCAAAATATCAACATTAGCAGAGGATTGTTAGAAGTTGATTGGAACCATCATGGATGACTTAAAGTGGTTCAAGACTTCAGTGGGGGAAATAAGTGCGGAATATGGTGAAAATACCAATAAAGCTGGAATTGGAAGTGCAGCTTAATGGTGTGAGTGAATTGCTGCAATTGCATGATAAAACTTGAAGGGATAAGGAGTTACTTCTATGGATGAACAAAGAAAGCGGTTTCTTGAGATGAAATCTCCACCTGATGAAGAAGCTGTGAACATTGTTGAGGTGACAACAAAGATTTAGAATATTTCTAAACTTAGTTGAGGTTAAAGCAGTGGCAGAGTTTGAGAGGATTTACTCCAATTTTGAAAGAAGTTCTACTGTGGATAACATGCTATCAAACAGCATCTCATGCTACAGAGAAATCTTTCCTAAAAGAAATAGTCAATTGATGCAGCAAACTTAATTGTTGTCTGAAGAAATTGCCACAACCACCCTAACCTTCAGCAACTACCACGCTGATCAGTCAGCAGCCACCAGCTTGGAGGCAAGACCCTCCACCAGTCATGTGTCACATAATGATGTTCCAGCCAACAAGGAAGAGCATACAAAATGGTACTCCCATAAGGTTGTAATGAAACGGAAACATTCCTATTGCTTAGTGACATCATAGCTATCTTAATATTGTAACAAAATAAATTACCCACATTTTTGTGGTTTTGCTGGTGTAAACAAACCTACTGTGTTGCCAGTTGAATGAAAGTATAACACGTACAATTATGTAGAGTACATAATACTTGATATGTAATACTTGATCATAAATGTAGTTTATGTATTTGTTACACTACACTTTTTATTGTTATTTTAGAGTGTACTCTCTCTGTCTTCATAAAAAGAAAGTTAACTGCCTCAGGCAAGTTCTTCAAGAGGTACACCAGAATAAGGCCTTGAGGATGCCAGCTTCATATATGTTATTGCCCCTAAAGGCCTTCCAGTGGAACAAGATGTAGAGGTGGAAAACAGTGATATTGATGATCCTGAGCCTGTGTAGGCCTACACTAATGTGTGTGTTTGTGCCTTACTTTTTAACCAAATGTTTAAAAAGTCAAAAATAAAAATAGAAGCTTATAGAATATATAAAAAAGAATAATTTTGTACAGCTGTACAATGTGTTTTTGAAGCTACATGTTATTACAAGAGTCAAAAAGTGTAACAGCTTTAAAAGTTTCTAAAGTAAAAAGTCACAGCTTAAGTTCACTTATTAATAAAGAAAACAAATTTAATTAATTTAGTGTAGCCTAAGTGTACAGTGTTTATAAAGTCCTCAGTCATGGATAATAATGTCCTAGGCTTTCAGATTGATTCACCACTCACTTACTAACTTACCCAGAGCAAATTCCAGTCGTGCAAGCTCCATTTATGGTAAGTGCCCTATGAAAGTGTACCATTTTTCTTTTACCTTTTATGCTGTATTTTTACTATATGTTTTCTATGTTTAGGTACACAAATACATTATGTTACAGTTGCCTACAGTATTCAGTACAGTAACATGCGGTACAGGTTTGTAGCCTGGGAGCAGTAGGCTATAACAGTAGCCTAGGTGTGTAGTAGGCAATACCATCTAGATTTGTGTAAGTACACTCTATGATGTTCAGACAAGAATGAAATTGTTTAACAGTGCATTTCTCGGAATGTATTTCCATCTTTAAGCAATACAACTATATATGTACGTATATATTCCATATTTTCAAAACTTTCTATAAAAGCTAAATTGTTCTTAGATTTATATAATAGGAATAGAATAGTACTAAAGATAATCTAGGCAACTTAAAGGCTTGAAATTTTAAATTTATTTTAGCAGAGAAATATTAGAATACTATTTCTCAAAATTCACTTATTTAGAACTTAGAGATGGGAATGACATTACCTCTTTTCTGTAGACAGCATAAAAAGAGGTTTGCAGAAAAGGTGAACTGTGCGAACAAAAACCCAAATGACATGTCTATGTATTTCTTTTTAAACAAATCAGATTCAAGTACTGTAAAACCCTAATTTACAAAACCTCAATCTCTCAGAATACTCAATCTTAGGAATTGTGATTGCTGTTTTTATTTTGCTTATTCAGCTTCATTTTCTAGAAGAAAGAGGCAAATGACAAAAATACCCCTAGGCAATTTTTGGAATTTATTCAGAAAAATATATTCCAGACTACATTATGCTGTCAAAACACATTCCCACCTTTCTCCAGTGTCTACATCTACATTTACACAACTACACAGTGATTGCCAATGTTTCAAATAAACTAGAGGTCTTAGATTTTATTATGACCATTGTACTAGACTAATTTAGAAAGAAATGTAAAACACTAAATTTTAGAATTATCTTCTCTGTATTTGAGAGTTAAACTACATTTTATCAAACAAGCCAAGTTAACATAAACTCAATTTTGAAAGGTGGTAATTCATTTTTTTAAATTAGGAGTCTCCCTTTCCATATAATAAATATATATAACGACAAAGCTAACTGTAATATGTGAAGGACTAATTATTTGATTATTTAGTAAAGTGATTTATCATAAAAGTAACATATATGGCAAGCATAAGTTAACAATACTCTGAGTATTCATACAGAATAAAATTTATAACAATAGAACAATACTAAATATTTGATAATTCAGAAGACCCTTCAGAAATTGGGTGACTGATTTTTGGAAATTTATCATGAGAGAACTTATTTAAAGGCGGCTCTAATAAATGGAGACAGAGAATAAACATACGTATTTACTAGAATCTCTAGCAGGCAACATTTTATTGAACTACAACCAGTTATTGTATGTGCTTGATATCACTTTGAAATTAGAATTTCCTCAAATAGAATAATACATTGTATATATTCCTCCAAGTCTAAATTTATAAAGTTTTGCTCTGAATGAACTCTATATTAGACTGAGTAGTCTGTTTAAAATCAAAGCTCTGAAAAACAGGTAGTTGTTTCCCAGTTATAGGAAAATAGTCAATAGATTTCATTGACTTTTGAATCCCTCAGGAGTGTTTTCTATGTTAAAATTATCTTTAAGGGTTATGAAAGTGTAATTTTTAAAAATCGTAATACCAGTGGTACATTATGAAAACACTGTCACCTCTCTTTTAGAACAGTATAAGGATGAGATTGTTCTGAAGCTGCAGAACTATTTTAGCCACAGTGGGATCAAATGCCAGTCAATTTGGAAAACTACTTTTGGCATCTTTCTCAACCTCTTTATTTCCTACAGTTTACTTGAGTATCCTTCAGTTCAGGGCCATTCCCAATCATTTTTTGTTGTTGTTGTTGCTTCTTTTTTTGCACCTCCACCAGAGTCTTACCCCTGGCCTTTCATCTGGCTGGTTCACTTAAATACATATTTTACATACAGGCCCTCCATATCTGTGAGTCCCACATGCATAGATTTAACCAACCAATGATCAAAAATAGTCAAAAACAAATTGCCTGTGACTTGAAGAGGCACAGACATTTTTTTGTCATTATTCCCTAGACACTACAGTGTAACAACTATTTACATAGCATCTACTTTGTATTAGGTATTATAAATAACCTGGAGATGATTTAAGTATACAAGAGGATACTTGTATGTTTCCCATAACATAGGTTATGGGAAAATACTGTGCCATTTTATAACAGAGACTTGGCAATCTATGGATTTTGGTATCCTCAGGAGACCCTAGAACCAATTCTCCATAGATACAGATGGATGGCTATATACTAATTTTAAAAACAATACAATAATATAGTTTTTAAAATTATAGAAATATGCTTAAAAATTAAATATCTTTCTCCATTCTCCATGCCACTCAACCCCCAGGTGGACTCCTCAGAGCTGAACAGTATGGTCCTTTTACACCCTTACAGGAATTTTCATATGTATTTATAATTGTGTAAACTGGAAATCTCCTTTTTTTAGATTAATTGGAGTATTGTGTTCTGTACTTTCTTTTTTTCACTAGTAGAGCTTGCCTGTCTTTTTACATTAGCACATATTAATCAACCTTAAAAAAATGACATACTCTCTCATATGAATATACCACATTTATTTATACTGTCCATTTACAGATGGAATCTCAGGGTATTCTCAGTCATTGCTATTGAAAATGTTTGTGTAACAAATGGTACATAACATAATTTGTGTACATGTGCAATATAGTCTTCTTACCTAAGAAAAAAATACTTTTCCATTTATTCACTCCCTCTTCAGCCTTCAACTTGGTACTGTTTTTCAGGAAAGAGTTGAGTGTTCTTTCTATAGGTCATATATAAAGTGTTCTTGGGCCACTCCACTTAAAAGATGATTTATATTTCATATATTAGTTCCAAAGTCAGACCACTTTGGTTTGCACCCAGCTCTGCCAGTTACTAGATCATTGATCTTGGAAAAGTTACTTGGCATCTCTTTTCCAGGATTTTGTTATCTGTAAAATAGATAATAATAGTACTTACCTTGTGGACTAATGTACAAGAAAAGAGTGGCTGAAGGAGTCTCAGTCACAATAGTAAGTACTTAAGAAATGTTACTTATCAGCATTATAATTATTTCTATTGGTATTATTTTATGTGCTCCTACATAATGTTAAGTAATTCCTATCTAGTTGAATTTCATGTAGAGGTCTTGATGAATAATATATTTAAAAATGTTAAGAATTTCTTTTCAACATCTATTGAAAGGAACATCTGATCATTCTTTTGTACCTTCTTAGGAGTGTGTATTCATTATTGAAATTGTCCACAGGTAGTTTCTTTTCTTTATTTTTTAAACTACCTTTCTCAGGCTTTTGTATTAATGTCACTCTTTCTTTATAAAAATGTGGGTTAGCTTTTCTTTTCTCTGTTCTGGAAAACAAGGAATAGCATATGAAATTTCTGTCTGTGGATATTTGTTAACCTTCTTCATAAATATTTTTAACCTGTTACTTTGGGGCTGGCATCTCTGTGATATTTTCTCAAATTTTTTATGCCACTTGGTTTAGTTTTCATGTTTTACTGCTTTAGTGAACAATTCTGGAAATCCATATTTTCTTAGATAAACATTCATTTCTTAGAATGTATTAGTTAAGTTTTATTTACTTGGGGCTGGGTGCAGTGGCTCATACCTGTAAATCTCAGCACTTTTGGAGGCCAAGATGGGCAGATTGCTTGAACTCATGAGTTGGAGACAAGCCTGGGCAACATAGTGAAACCCCATCTCTACTGAAAAAAAAAATAGCCAAGTGTGGTGGTCTTCGCTTATAGTCCCAGCTACCTGGGAGGCTGAGGTGGGAAGATCACTTGAACCTGTGAGGCGGAAGCTGCGGTGAGCCCAGATCATGCCACTGCACTCCAGCCTTGGCGACAGATACCCTGTTTCAAAAAAAAAAAAATTAATTTAAATTTAATTTAAATTTTTATTATTTTAATTTTCTCTTTCTGACTTTTCCACGATTTTCTTAGTAACTTTTTATGTCTAAAATTTTTTTCTTCTTGTTTTAGAGCACATTCTCAACAAATTTGCAGAGTTCCCTGAAAGTAGTATTATCCTCCTTCAGGAGAGCAGAGGTCTGCATGCCTCTCAGTAAACTCCCTCCACCCGCAACTTTCCTTGCAACTAGAAAATATTTCTGTGCCGATTTATAACTTTGTGACTTATCCATGACCTGTCAAGGACACAGCTGTTCCAGACAAGGGACTTAGTTCCCCCTTCGTATGTCTCTAATTCTAGGAGAATAAAGTACTTAAGATTTGTAGAGGTCCATGTCTGCTCCCTGAACCTGTCCTTGGTTCGGTGTTTTACAGTATTTGACAGCCACTTTTTATAGGTAGAGATTTAGGGTTGTGACTAGTTCCTGTTTTCATTGGTGGTGCTGATTTTTTCTTCTCTTGTTAATTTTCTTCTTGATTTTGTATTTGGCTTTAAAGAAAGAAGTGGAATAGAATGTCTTTATTGCATCATATTCTACTATAAGTCTTGTTCTTTTTAAGTTACAAAACTTAATTTCCTCCATTCATCCATTTTGCAAGAGCCTTTTATAAACCTCACTAGATTTGAAAAGGCATTCTTTAAATTTTTTTCGAACTTCCCCACACCTCTCTTTTTATTTCTCATTCCTAAATATGTCTTATTTGTTTGTATTTCTCCAAAAGTTGCTAAATTGAGAAATCTGGGAAAATGGGAAAATGTCAGTCTTCACCATTGTATCTCTGTAACAGTGCCTAGCAGATAATAGGCTGTAAATAAATATTTATTGAATGAATATTTTTCACCATGGTTGTTACTGGGTTTTCTTATTTAACAAATTATTTTTGGTACAATAAATGTCAATATGTGCTTTTCCTTTTTGAAAATGAAACATTTTCACTTGTTGGTCAGTAAAGTTTTAGGAATTAAAGCAGTCTATTTCAAGTATAAGGGAGTGGTGTACAGTGTGGGATAAAAAAAGCAATCCACACCCTCTCTTATATCATCCACATTTGCCAACATTCCCAAATGCCATCATGTATTATGTCACTAGTACAGATATTTTTCCTCTGGATCACCTAAACATTCATCCTAGATCTCACACACACACAGGCACACACACACACACACACACACACACAGACACACACACACACACTCTTGAATGAGTACTTCTTTTGCAGTTACCAGCTACCAGAGAGGTAGTGTTCTGAATTCCAGTACTATAAGTTGGCTGAACAGTCTTTCAACCCAACACTGCCATTAACTACCTTTCTGACCTCAGGCAATTTGCTTAACCTCTCCCTTAGTTTCTTCACTTACAATACAATCACAGTAGCGGTATATTTACTACATGGAATTGGGTGAATTACACGTAAAATGCTAAAGGCCATTTGATCAGAAAAGGGAAGGAACTTGCACACCTCCTTCTAGATTTTGCCAAGAGCTGACCCTGTTAGAACAAAGTAAATAGCACAAAAGTCATGGCCTCCAGCAATCTTGATTTCCCACTCCCTTCTCATATTTTTTTAAGTTCTAGCGTTTTTTAAATAACCATAACCTTAACCTTCCTCAATATTGCATTAAAACCATTTACTATGCCATGATTTTTTAATGCTAACTTCAAAATGCACAGAAGGGAAATATATGACTACAGAAGGTTAAATTGTAAGAAAAGATGTCACAAGGCATCAAATGGTATCTGCAGCAGCCAAGTAAATTCCTTTATCACAGGTTTTTCAGAGCTATCCGTTAGGCTAGTTTCAACTTCACTCCTATGAATTGCATATGTTTTTTTCTAACAACGTCACGGAATCAGTGGCTGATTATCCAGGTTTTGTAGCTTCCTTCTTCAATTTAGAAACTCTCTGAAACCCTACAGGTTACAGAGTTAGGTGGTCTTCCTGTCACAACATAGGAGAACAAAACGTATTAAGTTGGCCCATATTATTTTATCTCTGCAGATTAAAAAAAAATGCTAGAAGCAGTGATTGACTTTATAGATTAAACTGGAGACTTGAAATTTCTTTCTGCATTTATTTCCTCACTGTCCAGATAATCATATGTCAGTGCTCTGGCAGTTTATCATGGCAATGAAAGAACAACCTTCATACATTGTAGAACTCAGAAATTTTTAGAATGTCTTTCTTTGTCAGATGTAAATGAAGAAAAAAACTTTTGATGTCAAGACATTAGCAAAAGATTGACTACAATGTCTCATTTGATAAGTATCTAACAGGGTGTGCACTGAAAGTGGAAAGATTTAACAATGTGATAATAAGACTACTAAGTATGGAGAGAGCAAGAGTCCAGGATTGGATACAGGAGAAAACTGAGAAGGAAGAGAGAAGAGGCACAGAGAGAAAGACCTAACAAATGACAAGAGGCTGAAGCTGGAAGATAGTATTGCCCAGTAAACAATTTCCGTTGGTTGGTGGCTGAAGGGCATTCAGGATATGAGTGTCTAAAATTCACTTCTAAGTTAATTGCACTGGTTTCATCTAAAACCCTTCCATGCTTCAAAACCCACAGTAAAAGTCTGTTATATCACATATCTAGCAGGTATTTTTGGGTGGGGGTGGGAGAAGAAGAATAAGAATAAGGATCTGAATTCTTTCTCTGTGTCAATAATGAACAATAGAAAAGATAATAATAACTGAAACTGAGATGTTGTTAAAATCTAGAGTTCATGGGAGGAAAAACCTGAAATAAGAAGTAGGAATTTGAAAAATTAATGGAGATGGAGATCACAGGCTATCCCATATAATATTGGCTAGAGGAATTATGTAAAATTTTAAAAATAGAATACCTCATCAGATTTCTGGTATATATTAGTTTAGTGCTTCCCTCCTTTAAAATAAGTAACTAACTATATGGTGAGATAGCTGAACAAACAAACACTATTCTTTCTTTTCTTTTTTTTGAGACGGAGTCTCGCTCTGTCGCCCAGGCTGGAGTGCAGTGGCGCGATCTCGGCTCACTGCAAGCTCCGCCTCCCGGGTTCACGCCACTCTCCTGCCTCAGCCTCCCGAGTAGCTGGGACTACAGGAGCCTGCCACTATGCCCGGCTAATTTTTTATATTTTTAGTAGAGATGGGCTTTCATCGTGTTAGCCAGGATGGTCTCGATCTCCTGACCTCGTGATCCGCCCACCTCAGCCTCCCAAAGTGCTGGGATTAAGCAAATACTATTAATGACTAATAGTATTTGTCATTACTGCTCTTTCTCCTGCTCTCATTTCCCTTCTACCTATCTTTCCTCTCTCCTGCTCTCATTTCCCTTCTACCTATCTACTACGTAACAGGATCAACATTTAGAGCAATTCCAATTGCAAAGGATTTTATAAGTACACAAAAGCATGTTATAAATCTCTAGTAGGAGTAGAGTTAATGAGTTGTGAAAGGAACAGACTAAAGTAGATTTAGGAAGTAAAGGTATGGGCAAAGAGGTTAGCTATTCTTTCTGATGTGTAGATATTTATCAAAGTCCTTTTTCCGATCCAACAGAATAATCTTCCTAAACAACTCATTGTCTCCTACAATTCATCTTGCTCGATGAATAAACATGGAAAGGTAAACATTTGAAACAAAAACATGGCATCTAGTAGACACTATATATTTGGAGAAAAACACAGTCATAATAGTAGTGGCTATTGCTAACAATTATTGTGTGCTATAATTAATTATAATTATTGTGTGCTATTTTTATCATTTCTCTCTGAATGAATATTTGATTCCTAGTTTCCAGACTAGGGTTGCGAATAACAGTTCTATAAGTTTTTCTATGCATATATTTTGGTGAATGTATATTCTGAAAGTCTTTGGAAAAAGACCTAAAAATGTGATTGTTGGGTCATACAATAGGCATATATTTAACGTTAGTATGTAATACCAAATGTTTTTCTAAACCAATTTAATATTCCATGTGTAATATATGTGAATTACAGTTTCTCTACTTCCTCTACAATAGTTGATATTGACAGTCTTTTAAAATTTGTCCATTTTAGTAAGTACGTAATGGCATATCATTATGCTTTTATATCACATTTCCTTCTTGAGAAATAATGTCAAACCCTTTTCACGTAACTGCTGGCTGTTTGAATACCCTCTTTTGAGAAGTGCCTGCTCAAGTAGTCTGACATTTTTTAAACTTAGGTCATTTGTTGTCTTCTTATTAATTATAAGAGTTTTTTATATATTGTGAGTTATTTTTTAGTTATAAGTATTGTGGAAATATTTCACACTATGGCTTGCTTATTCATTTTTTAAACAATGCATTGCTGGTAAACTGAATATCTTAATTTTAATTAAATACAAGTAATTTTTAAAATGATTAATATTTTCTTTCTTCTCTTCATTTAAAGGAATATATGGATACTATATAACCATGAAGATATTTTTCTTTCCTGTCTTAGAGGTTTATTGTTTTTCTTTTTACATTTAGCGCTATAATCAACATGCAAGTGAATAACCAGATCTGACATATTTCTATAATGGAATACAATACAGTACTAAAAATTACTTATGTACAATGATATAAATGAATCTCATAGACATTATGTTGAGCAAAGGAGCCCAGGAATAGACTATATATTGTATGTATTTCCTGTTGAATTCATTTGTATTAAACTGAAGTATGATCAAACAATCTATTAATATAAAAGCAAAATAGAGGCTATTGAGAGGGAAGAGACCAAAAGAGATCTTAAAAATGAATTAATGAAAAAGTTACATACTTTTATCTGGCACTAAATGTATATTCATATGTAAATATTTTTCAAGCTGTGAAATTAAGATTTGTATTTTATATAAAGTTATGCTTCAATTTTTAAAAAGTGTTTCAATTAAAAAAGGCTGATGCTTTCTTTAATCATCTGATTTATTTCACAGAATCATTCTTCAAGTTAAGCACTTTTATTCCCATTTTTTAACCCTAGACTTAGGACATTAAGTGATTACCTAACACCACAGCACTAATAAACATCAAGACACTTTTCTAAGCAACTCTGCTTGACTCTGAAGTTTGACTTTTCAAGACTCTTCACAAAAATAAACTATAAAGAAGAAACCGAAGCATTTCTACTAGCATACATCTCTTTAAGTGTATTTTTTAATAACTTATAATTGAGTCTTTCCTGGCTGAACTTTTTACATCTTCAATATTATTTGTTTAATTTATTTTGTCATTAGAGCCGGCATATTAATTAGGAACTATTCTTCAAAACTGAATATTCATTAGAAAATAAATACTCATGTGTTGTGACATACTGGCAAGACCTCCTCACAGTGGTACAGAAACTTGGCAAAGACTATATCATTGGTGAATATCTTCACGGTTTTATGTTCTTTAAGGCAGTAAAAAAATCACAAGACTGGAGACCTGATGTATTCAATTTCTAGCTTGCTGTAAAAATTTTAAAAAGCACCACAAACAGTGCCTTTACACACCAACTTATTGTCTCACTGTTCTAGAGGCTAGAAGTCTAAAATCAAAGTGTTGACAAGGTTGGCTCCTTCTGAGGCCTGTGAGGGAAGGATCTGTTTCAGGCCTTTTTCCTGAGCTTGTACATGGCTGTCCTCATGTTCACATGACATCTTCTTTGTATACATACCAGTGTCCAAATGTATTCCCTTGAAAATGACACCAGTCATATTGGATTAGGGACCTACTCGACTCCGCTATGACCTCATCTTAACTAATTACATCTGCAATGATTCTATTTCCAAAGAAGGTCATATCCTGAGGTACTGAAGGTTAAGAGTTCAACATATGAATTGGGTGGGGATGCAATTCCACCCATAACACAGGGCCACATTCATAAAGTCCCACTCAGAGAAATCATGATGCATTTTGAGAGAGATTTATAATAAAGTGTTAACCTTAAATTTATGAAAAGCAAATTTCTTACAATATCTTCTAAAACATTTCCAAAGATTCATCTTTAAATATGCAGAAGAATAGTTTATAAGACTTATAATTACGAATCATTATCTATAGTCTAAGTGTTCTTGTCTTACATTTTACAAATAGCTACACTGAACTGAGTTTATTCTGATCTTTGATTAAAATGATATATGGGAAAAATTTTTAAATACAAATAACTCACATATAATATTCAGCAAAGTTATTTTATTTAGCTAGCCAACTAAACGGCTTTTGTATCTCTCATGATATAATGCCATGAACAAATATCTAATAATATTCTAAAATTTTATTTTGGTGTAAGAATACATAAGACTCATATTCCCTTTATATGCATTCCTTCTCATACTTTTTTATAATGAAAGTTCTTTCTCAATGCTTTTAGTGTTTATTTTGAATTAGATTTCAAAGACTTGAAATATATCCATAATCACAGACACATTAGACACATAATAATTATACACATAGTGTTAAACATACTAAAAATCAATTCCTCTAGCAGAATAATTTGCTGACCTTACTTTCTCATCCTTTATGGAAGAGCATAACACCACCACATGTAGCACTACAGCAGTAACATTGTCATTCTTTTGTATAAAAATCATAAATCCATGACTAAAAATGATGCAATCACCTGTGAATACAGAAAAAAAATTGTATTTGACCAAATCAAAGCTGGTCAATTTAAAGGAAATAAGTTTTGGAGACTTTCGGTTTTTATTTTTAAATCTATGATCTCATACTCCCACAAGGTATAACCAATTGCATTTTTTTTTTAATTTACATTTTTTAGAGCCAGGATCTTGCTCTGTTGTCCAGGCTGGAGTGCAGTGGCATAATCAGAGCTCACTGTAACCTCGAATTCCTGGGCTCAAGTGAGTCTACTGTCTCAGTCTCTCAAGTAGCTGAGACTACAGGCATATGCTGCCACATCCAGCTTGTTAAATTTATTGTAGAGATGACACCTTACTATATTGTCCAGCCTAAACTGCAGTATTTTCTTAAGTTCTTCTCACAATCATGTGTGTCAAACAACTAAGATGTTTTACTGTTCTCAGTTTCAACATTTACTAAAAATCCATGTTTTCATATTGCAAAAATTTGAATTGGTCTTAAATGGATTTTTTTGGACCACTTTCCATCTTCTGTATGCTTTTTTCTTCCTGGGAGAGACATGTCAGGTATTGTATTTATTGTATTTCTGTCTGTTATCTTGGAGTAAAAAGGATAAACAGAATAACATCTCATGATGGGCAAATATAAATGTGAACTCATTAATAAATGGCTGAATTAATCTAAGAAAGTAAAAGTCCTACAAAATGTGCTTACTCTCTCACCTCTTTTTTTTTTTTTTTGAGATGGAGTCTTGCTCAGTTGCCCAGGCTGGAGTGCAGTGGCACAATCTCGGCTCACTGCAACCTCTGCCTCTCAGGTTCAAGCGATTCTCCTGCCTCAGCCTCTTGAGTAGCTGGGATTATTAGGCGCGCATCACCACACCAGGCTAATTTTTGTATTTTTAGTAGAGACGGGGATCTGCCATGTTGGCCAGGCTGGTCTTGAACTCCTGACCTCAGGTGATCCACCCTCCTCGGACTCCCAAAGTGCTGGGATTACAGGTGTGAGCCACCACATCCAGCCTACTCTGATCTCTGATTAAACCATCTGCCTTCTCTTGCAACCTTCCCCCAACCCACATACACACAGAGTCACTCCCATTGGGTCTTTGGTTTCTTAGAAGTTTGGCCACTGTAACACTGGCCTTAGGATTTTGTGAAAATCAATTTCTTATAGCCTCAGGTGTGTCCTCTCAATTTCATATGTTGAAGTCCTAAACTCCAATATCTCAGAACGTGACTGTATTTGGACACAGGGCCTTTAAAGAATTATTTAAGGAAGACTGATGTCTTATGAGTGAGCCCTGACTCAATACTACTGGTGTCTTTGTAGGAAGAGGAGAGTAGAATGCAGATAACAAACAGATAGACCAAAGGGCAATTATATGAGAATGCAATGAGAAGCCATCTCCGAGCCAAAGAAAGAGGCTTCGGAAGAAACCAAACCCACTGGCACCTTGACCTTAGACTGCCCAGATTTAAGAACTGTGAGAAAATAAATTTCTGTGGTTTAAGCCACCCAGTATGTAGTATTTTGTTTTGTCTGTATACTTTTGTTTATTTAGCAGAAGTTTCTCTTGATTCTTCTAATTTCCATAACTGGAAAAGACAATAAAGCCATCCTCTGTTTCTCTGAAAGCTCTTGCTTACTGTTAAATAATAATTGAACATTAACATCACTCTCCCTTACCATTTTCCATGCAATAATTGGATTTCTGTAGTACTTTCCTTCGTGCAGGCTTATAGCTCTTTCAGGGGAACTCATAGCATTTTACTGATAGGGAAACAGAGTGAATAGATGATTTCCTCTGTCACAGGGTATGTGACAAACGTATGTATGATTAAGACAAAAAGTGTTAATTGTACTCAGAGTCATTCATTAATAATGCTAGCTTTTATTCTGTGGAAATTTATGTTTAGAGAGATTACATAATTTACCAATATCAGATAGCCAGTAACAGGTGTAGTGAAGATTCTAAACTAGGTTTACAGATTCCAACACCAGTTTTCTTTACATTGCTCTTTAATTCACACTGTCTAGATCTCCAACGAAATCATTTGTGCTTTCAGGTGATAACCACCTCCAGAGCAGAAGCCAGAAAACTTCCTACTTCGTAAGTGCTCAGAAGATACCCTCAGTAAAGATTTGTTGATGCTTTGGGGGCTCTGTGCGCTGTTTTATTTACTCACTTGTCAGTCCCCAACATCTAACAAGATCCCAAAACAAGGTAAAACTATATTGAAGGAAATATCTGAAGTTAGTTGATATCAAGCTTCCCTCATAAAGTATTAGGAATGGCAACCTATCTAGAAGATGATCAAAATGTTGAAAGAATTCCAAGATTCCAATTTACATCAGGCAAAAAAAAATCAGCACATGAAAAAAATAATACCAAAGTGTATTGCCGTTTTACTTTAGGGACACTATTGATATTCAAAGAAATCATAAAAATCAAATGGAAATTATTCATTTGAGGCCATTAGAGATCAATGCAAGAGCATTTAAAATTGTATACATCATTATACATTAGAAGAAACAAAAATACTTGGGTTAAATGAAGCTTTTCTAATTAAGGATTACAAAGTACCTTAGAACATATTGTGCTATACAAAGGCCAAATAAAAATTATAACATTTGGCTTGTAAGAGTTCTCCTCTTATAATGTAGGCCTTCTTTACACATCTGATTGCTTCCTCCCTTAATAATATGTCTGGATTGGAATGCTGGTTTATTTATTGGTTTTCTACTATTTAATGGTACTTGAGTTAAGCTAGTATTTTATTAAAATGGTCCAATATTTATTCAAGCATTCAATCTATGTTTAAATCTTTGAAATAAAAAGTCTTCTTGTAAATCCTCAATTTGATTTATGGTATACTTCACCAAGTAAAACTCTTGTGATACATATAGGGTGATGGTGGGGATAACTTGGGTGGATGGCAACAATGGAATGAGAACTTCATTCAGATCTTTGTTTTTCTAGTCATCTAATTTAGTGTAGGCTTTCACAGCTGGACTCCCTACCCTATAAAATAAAGTGAAAGGGAGTAAAGTTGTCTAGCTGTAAACTAGAGAGGAAAAGAAAATAGCTTCCCATGACCCAATATGAGCAAAGCCTTTATAGTAGCAATGGTGTAATAGTTACTAACAGTTGTACAGGACTTTATTATGTAAAAATTACCTCAAAATGTCATTAACTTTGTCTCATCAAATATATTGCAGTATACATATTATTATCCTCATATTGCAGATATGAAGAGATGATTCATTGAAATTGTGTTACTCATACAAAGTTATCTTGTTAGTAGCTGAGCCCAGGATGGAATTCGTTTCACCATTCTGGTCATCCTTGTATGCATGAATAGAGTGAGGGATTTTCCTAATAAGATAACAAACATACTTTTTCTGGCCTCCACATTGGTAACTGAGACCTGGGTAATAACTAAGAGGATATCTTTTCTCTATTATAAAGTTTGATGAACTAGAAATGAAAGAGAAAACCAGAAGAATGTTTATTTCCCTGTAAAATGAACACTATATTGTTTATTGCCATTTCTTATCATTCGATTTTTCTATACCTAAAAACTGTGTAATGGTAGGTAAGAGTAAAAAAAATTATAGAAAAATAGAAGATAGCATTATCTAAAAATCTAATTCTTATATATAAATTGTCATCTTAGGAAAAAATTAACATAAAATTATTTTGCAATATTTTACATAACTAAAAAAGGTAAGGCTGAATTCTGCTGGTGAAAGTAAAGTGGAATTTTATTACAGAACTAATGGACAATTCTAGGGTAGAATTTTTCCTTTTTTCTTTGGCAGTTTCTTTAGTTTTGCTGAATCAGCTAATTTGTGACCTAAATGCTTCCTCCTCTAGGCCTTTTCTTTGTGTAGCATGTAGAATGCCCATAAGCTTGTGTCACATGTAATACTTTAATGCAATTACTAACTTTAATGACCTCATAATTGGAACCACTGTGATTCTTAATATGACTATGGTGAGGTGAGCTTGTATTGACTTTCCTATAGACATTTATGTAGACTGAAACTTTGTGGTGATTCAACTGCACTCTGAGATTCCAACAACACATCTATGGCCATACCACCCTGAACCCGTCCAATCTCATCTGAAATTCAAACAACACGTTTCCATTTTAATTACTTAACTGATCGCTTATGTACTTAAAACATGAAATTCTATGCTACTGAAAAGTTAGCTTTTTTTGGAAATTCTCAACATTTGTATGCCATATGCTTTCAAAAAATAAAATATTCAATATTTAATAAAATAATCCCAAACTGAAACTCATCCATTGCAGCTGGAGTTGTTTCTTTATTTAGAATGGTTTACTAAACTTTAGTTGAGGGGGAGATAATTCAGGAAGAAGCCAAGCTTCTCCCAGTAAGACTGTCTTTCTCATCATGCTGAAGGTAATTTTATAACACTCTATTAATGAAAAGATCTAAGCAAGATTAAGAGGCCTCTCCAGGTCCCTCCCACAGCCCAGCATGCACTAAAGTACTTTAAAGGAACTGTTTGCATTGGAATTCTCTCATGCATTAGCACTTAAATCTTTAAAATATCTTTGAAGCCCATCTGCTGCAGAGCTTCATTTTTAATGAAAATGAAAAGGGGCAGTTATAACTGTCTCTAATATACTAGGTCTTTTTCTATAATTCTAATTTGTTGTACCTCAGAGGAGTTCTTTGGAATAGAATTATTTTCTCTCACAAGATAATGAATTCATTGTAAGCTGCTCATAATAGTAACAATCATAGAAAACTGAAATATATCGGCAATAAATAGACCATTTTTCTATCACTTTAGAGTTGTATTCTATAATATATATTAGTTTCTTACAAATTGATATAAAAATCTTTACATATAGTGTCCAACAATATTTTTACACTCAAATGTACAGAGTACATTGTATTTTTGAAATAAATACTTTGAAATTAATAATGTGAAACAAAGAAGAGAATAAAATGTTAATTAATAATTTCCTAATATGCATTTCCAGATATAAAATTTTTTGGGATTTAGTCACTGCAAGATTCCAATAAAAATTTGTCTTCTAGTTCTCCTCTCTAAATTGGGGTATTTTAGCTTCTCAAGCAAGAGAAGGAAAATGGCTTCTCACTTTTGAGGCAGAATATAATTTTTATTTTTATTTTTATTTTTACTTTTCGAGACGGAGTCTCTCTGTCGCTCAGGCTGGAGTGCAGTGGTGCGATCTCTACTCACTGCAACCTCTGCCTCCCTGGTTCAATCGAATCTCCTGCCTCAGCCTCCCAAGTAGCTGGGATTTCAAGTGCCCGCTACCATGCCTAGCTAATTTTTATATTTCTAGTAGAGATGGGTTTTTGCCGTGTTGGACAGCTGGTCTCTAATTCCTGACCTCAAGTGATCCGCCCGCCTCAGCCTCCCAAAGAACTGGGATTACAGGCGTGAGCCACAGCACCCAGCCAATTTTTACTTTTTTATCTGTTTTTTGTTTGTGTGTTTTGTTTTGTTTTGAGATGAATTTTCGCTCTTGTTGCCCAGGCTGGAGTGCAATAGCACGATCACAGCGGGCCACACCTCTGCCTCCTGGGTTCAAGCAATTCTCCTGTCTCAGCCTCCCAAGTAGCTGGGACCACAGGCGCCTGCCACCATACCCGGCTAATTTTTATATTTTTAGTAGAGACGGGTTTCTCCATGTTGGTGAGGGTGGTCTCAAACTTTCAACCTCAGGTGATCCACCCACCCTGGCCTCCCAAAGTGCTGGGATTACAGGCATGAGCCACTGCGCCCAGCACTTTTCATCTGTTTTTTTGTTTGTTTGTTTGTTTGTTTGTTTTTAGAGATAGGACTTGCTCTGTTGCCCAGGCTGGACTCAAACTCCTGGGTTCAAGTAATCTTCCAGTGAGGCAGTATATTTAATGCATAATGTTGGGCTTTGGAGCTAAACCATTCCTTACTTACTTACTATCTTATGAGGCCTTGGCTAAGTTACCATTTTCTTTGAGTTTTGGTTTCAACATAAGTAAAATGGGAATAAAAAGGGAGCGTAGGGCCACAGGGTAGCTGAAAGCTTTAAACATGTTAATACACATTTAAGAATTTGGCACATAAGGCTGGGCGCAGTGTCTTACACCTGTAATCCCAGCACTTTGGGAGGCTAAGGTGGGTGGATCACTTGAGGTCAGGAGTTCGAGACCAGCCTGACCAACATGGTGAAACCTCATCTCCATAAAAAAAGACAAAAATTAACTGGGCGTGGTGGCGCATGCCTGTAATCCCAGCTCCTTAGGAGGCTGAGGCAGAAGAATCGCTTGAACCCAGGAGGCAGAGGTTGCAATGAGCCAAGATTGTACCACTGCACCCCAGTCTTGGTGACAGATCAAGACCCTGTCTCAAAAAAGTTTTAAAAATTAAAAAAAAAGAATTTGGCACATAAATAATTCTCAATCCATGTTAGGTGTAATACCATTATGAAAATTTATTTTCTACAAAATTTTTTTCCAAGGCTGGTTGACCATTACAACTCCAGCATATTTACCTGTACAGACAGTACAAAGAGTGGCACCACAGAATTATCCCAAGGGGCAAGTCCACATTTTTTAGAGGGTCACAAATTTCTCTGACTTAAAGCCTCTGAAGGTGTTCTAGCTTTTCCACACTTTCATCAGCATCAGAAAATGTAATATGGTAGTAAAAGCACAAAGATTTTCTTTTTAAAGCAAGATGTTGTTATCTACTTCTTAGAAACTGTAAATGAGTAATTTCATACATTAAAAATGGGAAAGACTAGACATACTCTGAATCTTTATTGTGAGGAACAAATAAAATATCATACAACCCAGTAGACATTAACAAGTATTTCTTTATATAGACTTAAAAAAAAAACTGGTTCAAGAAGATCAACTTCCAGAAAAGATAGAGGAGTTTGTATTATACAAAGTTTCCAACTGAGGAAAATAAGTAATCCAATAAAAATGCAGAAAGCATTGCTGCTGGGAAAAAATAAGGATTAGAGGGGCCAAGATCCAGAGGAGAAGAGACTGAACAAGTTGTACTGAGCTTCTGTAGCTGCATTTTCCTCTGGGACATTGCCAATTCAAAGTGCAGGTTAAAAATCTGACAATATGGGTTTGCATGGGTAAACAACCACTCTGGGACAGGGGAAAAACCAACAATAGATGGTGATCTTTCAGGGCTAATAATACAAAATGGAAATTTAAAGGTCAAAATGCCAGTGAGAATGGTGAGACAGAACACTGAGCTTGACACACAGGTGGCTTTTTAAAAAAGACATTTTTCAAAATCCATCACCAGAGAGACAACAGGACAAGAAGCTAATCAGAAAAACTGTTTCCCTTCTAAGAAGATTTAAATTAGAGTTTAAAAGCATCCAAGTGAGGAGCTCCAGTGAATACATAAGGTTCTCAGCTGAATGCCCTGAATAACTATGACCTGAGAGTGCATGCAAGCCAGAGTTAAATGGGACCTTATCAAAACCCAACCACAACCCAGCTTTACCTCAGCTCAGTCTCTGATTGGTTTCAGGTGATTAGCCCTTAACCTGCCTAGTAGTAGAAAAGGTAAAAACTCTCTAGAGAAAAATGATATTATCTGGATTCTCTGTAGTTTTTATATATAATATCCAAAATTTAATTTAAAAATTACAAGAAGAAAAGTTGCAAAATGCAAAATCAACATACAAAATTTCGTAGATTCTCAGGCAACACCAGCTGAAAAAGAAATGAAGAAACCAATCCCATTTACAATAGCTGCCAAAAATTAAATACCTAGGAAGAAATTTAACCAAAGAGGTGACAGGTCTCTACAATAAAAGCTATAAAACACTTTTTTAAAAAGTGGCAAAGTGAAAAGTGAAAAGACCTCCCATATTTATGGACTGGAGGAATTAATATTGTCAAAATGATTATACTACTAAAACAGTTGTACAGATTCAGTGCTATCCCTACTGAAATACCAACATTTTCCACAGAAATAGAGAAACTTATACTAAAATTTCTATGGAACTAAAATTTATATGGAACCAAAAAAGACCCAGAGTAGCCAAAATAATCCTGAGCAAAAAGAGCAAAGCTGGAGACATCACACTAGTTGTCTTCCAAATACACTACAAAGCTATAGTAAACAAAACAGCATGGTACTGGCATAAAAACAGACACATAGACCAATGGAGCAGAATAGAGAACCCAGAAACAAATCCACATATTTACAGTCAACTAATTTTCATCAAAGAAGCCAAGAACATACATTGAGAAAACAATAGTCTCTTCAATAAATAGTGTTGGAAAAACTCAATATCTGTATGCAGATGAAACTAGACCCCTATCTCTCACCAAAATCACCCCCTCTCCCTTACACCCCTATCTCTCATACAAAAATAAACTCAAGATGAATTAAAGACTTGAATGTGAGACCTGAAACCGTGAAAGTATTGGAAGAAAACATAAGGGAAATGTTTCAGGATATTGGTCTGACAAAAGATTTATGGATAAAATCTCAAAAGCACAGACAACAAAAGCAAATATAGACAAATGAGATTCTATCAAGCTAAACAGCTTCTGCACAGCAAAGAAATTCATCAAAATAGTGAAGAGACAATTTGCAGAATGGGAGAAAATGTATGTAAATTATTTATCTGATAAGGGAAAAAATTCTAGAATATATAAGGAACTCCAACAAATCAAGTGCGAAAAAAACAAATAATCTGATTAGCAAGTGGGCAAATGATCTAACAGACATTTCTCAAAAGAAGATATACAAAAGGCCAAGCATATGAAGAAATGCTCAAAATAATTAATTATCAGGGAAATGCAAATCATGACCACATTGAGACATCATCTCACCCTTGTTAGAAAGGCTGTTATCAAAAAGACCAAAAATTAACAAGTGCTGGTGAGCATGTGGAGAAAGAGGAACTCATACACTGTCGAGAATGTAAACTAGTACAGCAATTATAGAAAATAATATGGAGGTTCCTCAAAAAACTAAAAATAGAACTGCCATATGATCCAACAATCCCACAACTGGGTATATATCCAAAGGAAAGCAAATCAGTATGTGAAAGAGATAAACATACTCCCATGTTTATTTCAGCACTATTTACAATAGCCAAGAGACAGAATCAACCTAAGTCTTCATCAACAATGAATAAAGAAAATGAAATGTATATATATATACACATATACATAATAAAATGCTATTCCACCACAAGAATTAAATCCTATTATTCGTGGCAACATGCATGAGCCTAGAGAACATTATATTAAGTGAAATAAGCAAGGCATGGAAAGATAAATACCGCATGTTCTCAATCATAGGGAGAAGCTAAAAATATTGCTCTCAGAGAACAGACTCATGGTTACTAGAGGATGGGAAAGGTAGGGGCAAGGGGAGATAGAGAGAAGTTGGTTAATGCATATACAAGTAGGATAGGAAGAGTAGGTGCTAGTATATGGCAATATAGGATGATTATAGTTAACAATAATTTATTGTATATTTTCAAATAGCTAGAAGGAAGGATTTTTTATGTTCCCAACAGAATGATAAATGTTTGAGAACATGGATAATCTAATTACCTTGATTTGAGCACTACACATTGTATACATGTATTGAAATATATTCTACCCCATAAATACGTACAATTATGTGTCACTTTAAAATAATTTTTAAAATACCAAAAGAGCCAAGAGCCAAGAAATAAGACTAGAGAAATATGGTGTGCATGTATATGTTTCTGTGTGCATGTGTATGTGTGTATGAAAATAGGAAAATAATATAAATTTAATGATAGAACAACATCTAGAAAAAAATAAATTGGAATTTCTAGAGCTAAAAAATATAAAATACTACATTAAGAATTGAAAAAAAAGGATTTAACACCAGATTAGGCACAGCAAAAGAACAGTTAACTGGAAGACAGTTCAATAGAGAATATCCAAATTGAAGTCGAGAGGAGAAAAATAAATTTTAAAAGAGAAAATTTTAAAGTAGTAAGAGCCTAAGTGACACTTTAAGGCATTCTCAAAAAGTCTACCATATGAACAATTGAAATCCATTTTTGAATGGGACTGAAACAATATTTTAAGTAATAATGCCCAAGAGTGTCAAATAACAGGCATTATTGCATCAAATAATGTCCATGAGTGTCAAAACCCGATGATGACATTACAGTACAAATCATAGAAGCTCTATAAACCTCAACAGTATAAATGCAAATAAAATAACATCTAGACATATAATGACAAAACTTCTTAAACTTTAAAAAAGGAGAAAATTAATGAAAGGAAGAAAAAAATTACACATTACTTTCAAAGGAGCAACAATATGATTAAAAGGTTACTTATCAACAATAACAGAAGCCAGAAAATAATGCAATGAGTCCTGTATATATTGAAAGAAAATAACTGCCAACTAAAATTTCTGTACCCAACAAAAATACTCTTCAAGATAAAGGCAAAGTAAGGACTTTGATATAAGTAAAAGCTGAGAAAATGGGCCACCAACTTACCAGCACTAAAAATAAATAAATAAATAAATAAATAAATAAATAAATAAATACATACATACATACATACATACATACATACATGTCATTTTTTAGGTAGAAATAAAATCACCCCAGATGAAAACATTGAAATAAAGAGAGAAATCAAAAGTAATGACTAAATACGTGAGAGTATGCAAAATTTCACCTTGATTTCTATTTTACCTGATATGAATAATTCTTTGTGTGCTTTGTTATTGTTTGTCTCTGATAAGTACTTTTTCTTATCTTTCATTACAATATTTTGTGTATGTTTAGGTGTATCTCTTGTAGGTAGCATATGATTGGATTTGAACTTTGGTTGTGTTTGCTATTGATAATATCTCGTTAACTGCCACATATGATCCAGGACTCTCTGTCATTTCAAATAGTTTTTTCACTCTATATTTTTTGATATTAATGATATAATTAATTAGGGTTTATTTATTCTATTTTTAATTATTTAATTTTTTTATTCTAGGAGTTTGAGATATGTGTGTGTGCATGTGTGTATGTGTGTGTATATTATATGCACATAATTTCTTCTGATGATCATCCTTAAATATTTAACACATTTATTTAAACATGTTTTATTACTATTTGAGTTTATTATATCACTAGCTACATACATCTTGGAAACAGCTTCCAATTTCCTCTTTCTCTTGTCACAACACTTCCATGTCGATAATATCTAGTATTTCTTTTTCATATTGTTTCAATTGTTTAATATTATTTGCCAACAAGTGTTTGGATTTAACTGTAAGTTTTACTGGACTCTTTGTGTACTGATAATTATCTTTATTTTCTTTCTCTGATTCATTGTTTTTCATTTTCCTAGGGTACATTTTGTAACATTTGTTTTAGTGACTCATGCTTGCACACCCACTTTCTGTGTTGAGAAACCTATTTAAGTATACCTAGGGATGCCAGCCCTGCTTATAGGATAACGTTTACAGTGATTTAAAGGAAAGGCATAAGTGCTCCTGGGTTGAGTGCAATAATCTTGAAGTTGTAGAAATCTCCTACTCTTTTAAAATGTCGTTAGCTACTGGGTGTACACCTTTTCATTTCTAGCTTAAATGCTTACATATGCAAATGCATCCTCTTAGTAAAATACTTTTACTGCCCTGCCTACTGTTGCACACAAGCTATGATGTAAAGAGGGCAGACTGGTACCAATTCTCTGGGGGTAGTCCCCCTAAAAGCACCATCCTTCTCCTCCTACCTGAAGTTGTGTTTCATTTCATCAGCATGTGCTTTTATCTATGCATCTATTCCAATTTGCTTTTTGTCTTCATTGGTACTAAAATCAGTGGTCTGCTAAATCTACTTATTATTGTACAGATTCCCATGAACCTACATTTAAAAAATTCATATTTTATATGTCATTTCTAATGTTTTAGAGTATAAATAATCAGGCATTTGAAATAATCTCTTAATTTTCATGTTCTTTACATTGATAAAGATAAATAATATGTAGTATTTTGAAGGAATAATAATGTAGCAAATGACCATGACAGTTGAATATTATTCATTCCAATTTGTTTTATTCCAATAATCCTTTTAGACCTGGATGTTATGGACTGAATTGTGTCCCTTCTCATATCCATATATTGAATCCCCAACCCCCAATGTGACTATATTTGGAGACAGGATCATTAGGAGGTGATTAAGATCATAAGGATGGGGTCCTAATCTGATAGGACAGCTCTCCCTTTAGGAAGAGGAAGAGACACCGAATCTCTGTCTCTCTCTCTCTCTTCCTGTACACACAGAAGAAAGGCCATGTAGCAAAAAGGTAGCCAGCTGCAAGCCAGGAAGAGGGGCCTCAGCAGACATCGACCCCGATGTTACCTTGATCTTGGACTTCCAGCCTACAGAACTGTAAGAAAATAAATCCCTATTGTTTAAGCCACCCAGTCTGTGGTATTCTCTTACTGTAGCCTGAGCTGACTATAACATACTGAACAAGGGTTCAAGATGGGTGCTAATATTTACCTGGCTCTAGAATTGACATAATATGTAAGTATTTTTAAAGCACAAAAGAGAAAATTAATTAATATTGGAACAACAAGGTATTATATGTCATAAAAAATTGTATCTAGCAGGTCACACAATCACATTCACATTTGGTTTTACCTGACAGAAAATAAAATGGTGCCATGGGTTTTATTTTGGTCTCATTACTTTCTCTTTTTTATGGCTTCACTTAATATTTACTACCCCATTAGGAAGTTGTATGTATAAAAATTGTATATATACACATATATATAAACATATATATATATATGTCTTTTTTATCCTTTGGCATCTTCAGCTTATCTGCAGCAAAGCATGTCAGATTTCTAGGTATTTCTCTATTGCTTAGTAAATTTTGGTTAAATTGAATATATTCAATAATATCAAGTAAGTGAAATTATACCTAAAGGTATTGTCACGCAAACAGGTCAATTTTTCCTTTTAAGTTGGTCAGCATGCTTGCTTTCTTTTTTTTTTTATTATTATACTTTAAGTTTTAGGGTACATGTGCACAATGTGCAGGTTAGTTACATATGTATACATGTGACATGCTGATGTGCTGCACCCACTAACTCGTCATCTAGCATTAGGTATATCTCCCAATGCTATCCCTCCCCCCTCCACCCACCCCACCACAGTCCCCAGAGTGTAATGTTCCCCTTCCTGTGTCCATGTGTTCTCATTGTTCAATTCCCACCTATGAGTGAGAATATGTGGTGTTTGGTTTTTTGTTCTTGCAATAGTTTACTGAGAATGATGATTTCCAATTTCATCCATGTCCCTACAAAGGACATGAACTCATCATTTTTTATGGCTGCATAGTATTCCATGGTGTATATGTGCCACATTTTCTTAATCCAGTCTATCATTGTTGGACATTTGGGTTGGTTCCAAGTCTTTGCTATTGTGAATAGTGCCACAATAAACATACGTGTGCATGTGTCTTTATAGCAGCATGATTTATAGTCCTTTGGGTATATACTCAGTAATGGGATGGCTGGGTCAAATGGTATTTCTAGTTCTAGATCCCTGAGGAATTCCCACACTGACTTCCACAATGGTTGAACTAGTTTACAGTCCCACCAACAGTGTAAAAGTGTTCCTATTTCTCCACATCCTCTCCAGCACCTGTTCTTTCCTGACTTTTTAATGATCACCATTCTAACTGGTGTGAGATGGTATCTCATTGTGGTTTTGATTTGCATTTCTCTGATGGCCAGTGATGGTGAGCATTTTTTCATGTGTTTTTTGGCTTCATAAATGTCTTCTTTTGAGAAGTGTCTGTTCATGTCCTTCGCCCACTTTTTGATGGGGTTGTTTATTTTTTTCTCGTAAATTTGTTTGAGTTCATTGTAGATTCTTGATATTAGCCCTTTGTCAGATGAATAGTTTGTGAAAATTTTCTCCCATTTTGTGAGTTGCCTGTTCACTCTGATGGTAGTTTCTTTTGCTGTGCAGAAGCTCTTTAGTTTAATTAGATCCCATTTGTCAATTTTGGCTTTTGTTGCCATTGCTTTTGGTGTTTTAGACATGAAGTCCTTGCCCATGCCTATGTCCTGAATGGTAATGCCTAGGTTTTCTTCTAGGGTTTTTATGGTTTTAGGTTTAACGTTTAAGTCTTTAATCCATCTTGAATTGATTTTTGTAGAAGGTGTAAGGAAGGGATCCAGTTTCAGCTTTCTACATATGGCTAGCCAGTTTTCCCAGCACCATTTATTAAATAGGGAATCCTTTCCCCATTGCTTGTTTTTCTCAGGTTTGTCAAAGATCAGATAGTTGTAGATAGGTGGCGTTATTTCTGAGGGCTCTGTTCCGTTCTATTGATCTATATCTCTGTTTTGGTACCAGTACCATGCTGTTTTGGTTTCTGTAGCCTTGTAGTATAGTTTGAAGTCAGGTAGCATGATGCCTCCAGCTTTGTTCTTTTGGCTTAGGATTGACTTGGCGATGCAGGCTCTTTTTTGGTTCCATATGAACTTTAAAGTAGTTTTTTCCAGTTCTGTGAAGAAAGTCATTGGTAGCTTGATGGGGATGGCATTGAATCTATAAATTACCTTGGGCAGTATGGCCATTTTCACAATATTGATTCTTCCTAACCATGAGCATGGAATGTTCTTCCATTTGTTTGTATCCTCTTTTATTTCCTTGAGCAGTGGTTTGTAGTTCTCCTTGAAGAGGTCCTTCACATCCCTTGTAAGTTGGATTCCTAGGTATTTGATTCTCTTTGAAGCAATTGTGAATGGGAGTTCACTCATCATTTGGCTGTTTGTCTGTTATTGGTGTATAAGAATGCTTATGATTTTTGTACATTGATTTTGTATCCTGAGACTTTGCTGAAGTTGCTTATCAGCTTAAGGAGATTTTGGGCTGAGACAATGGGGTTTTCTAGATATACAATCATGTCATCTGCAAACAGGGACAATTTGACTTCCTCTTTTCCTAATTGAATACCCTTTATTTCCTTCTCCTGCCTAATTGCCCTGGTCAGAACTTGCAACACTATGTTGAATAGGAGTGGTGAGAGAGGGCATCCCTGTGTTGTGCCAGTTTTCAAAAGGAATGCTTCCAGTTTTTGCCCATTCAGTATGATATTGGCTGTGGGCTTGTCATAGACAGCTCTTATTATTTTGAGATATGTCCCATCAATACCTAATTTATTGAGAGTTTTTAGCTTGAAGGGTTGTTGAATTTTGTCAAAGGCCTTTTCTGCATCTATTGAGATAATCATGTGTTTTTTTTCTTTGGTTCTGTTTATATGCTGGATTACATTTATTGATTTGTGTATATTAAACCAGCCTTGCATCCCAGGGATGAAGCCCACTTGATCATGGTGGATAAGCTTTTTGTTGTGCTGCTGGATTCCGTTTGCCAGTATTTTCTTGAGGATTTTTGCATCAATGTTCATCAAGGATATTGGTCTAAAATTCTCTTTTTTGGTTGTGTCTCTGCCCAGCTTTGGTATCAGGATGATGCTGGCCTCATAAAATGAGTTAGGGAGGATTCCCTCTTTTTCTATTGATTGGAATAATTTCAGAAGGAATGGTACCAGTTCCTCCTTGTACCTCTGGTAGAATTCGGCTGTGAATCCATCTGGTCCTGGACTCTTTTTGGTTGGTAAGCTATTGATTATTACCGCAATTTCAGAGCCTGTTATTGGTCTATTCAGAGATTCAACTTCTTCCTGGTTTAGTCTTGGGAAGGTGTGTGTCGAGGAATTTATCCATTTCTTCTAGATTTTCTAGTTTATTTGCATAGAGGTGTTTGTAGTATTCTCTGATGGTAGTTTGCATTTCTGTGGGATCAGTGATGATATCCCCTTTATCATTTTTTATTGAGTCTATTTGATTCTTCTCTCTTTTTTTCTTTATTAGTCTTGCTAGCAGTCTATCAATTTTGTTGATCCTTTCAAAAAACCAGCTCCTGGATTCATTAATTTTTTGAGGGGTTTTTTTGTGTCTCTATTTCCTTCAGTTCTGCTCTGATTTTAGTTATTTCTTGCCTTCTGCTAGCTTTTGAATGTGTTTGCTCTTGCTTTTCTAGTTCTTTTAATTGTGATGTTAGGGTGTCAATTTTGGATCTTTCCTGCTTTCTCTTGTGGGCATTTAGTGCTATAAATTTCCCTCTACACACTGCTTTGTATGTGTCCCAGAGATTCTGGTATGTTGTGTCTTTGTTCTCGTTGGTTTCAAAGAACATCTTTATTTCTGCCTTCATTTCGTTATGTACCCAGTAGTCATTCAGGAGCAGGTTGTTCAGTTTCCATGTAGTTGAGTGGTTTTGAGTTTCTTAATCCTGAGTTCTAGTTTGATTGCACTGTGGTCTGAGAGATAGTTTGTTATAATTTCTGATCTTTTACATTTGCTGAGGAGAGCTTTACTTCCAAGTGTGTGGTCAGTTTTGCAACAGGTGTGGTGTGGTGCTGAAAAAAATATATATTCTGTTGATTTGGGGTAGAGAGTTCTGTAGATGTCTATTAGGTCTGCTTGATACAGAGCTGAGTTCAATTCCTGGGTATCCTTGTTGACTTTCTGTCTCTTTGATCTGTCTACTGTTGACAGTGGGGTGTTAAATTCTCCCATTATTAATGTGTGGGCGTCTAAGTCTCTTTGTGGGTCACTCAGGACTTGCTTTATGAATCTGGGTGCTCCTGTATTGGGTGCATATATATTTAGGATAGTTAGCTCTTCTTGTTGAATTGATCCCTTTACCATTATGTAATGGCCTTCTTTGTCTCTTTTGATCTTTGTTGGTTTAAAGTCTGTTTTATCAGAGACTAGGATTGCAACCCCTGCCTTTTTTTGTTGTCCATTTGCTTGGTAGATCTTCCTCCATCCTTTTATTTTGAGCCTATGTGTGTCTCTGCATGTGAGATGGGTTTCCTGAATACAGCACACTGATGGGTCTTGACTCTTTATCTAATTTGCCAGTCTGTGTCTTTTAATTGGAGCATTTAGTCCATTTACATTTAAGGTTAATATTGTTATGTGTGAATTTGAACCTGTCATTATGAAGTTAGCTGGTTATTTTGCTCGTTAGTTGTTGCAGTTTCTTCCTAGTCTTGATGCTCTTTATATTTTGGCATGATTTTGCAGCGGCTGGTACCGGTTGTTCCTTTCCATGTTTAGCGCTTCCTTCAGGAGCTCTTTTAGGGCAGGCCTGGTGGTGACAAAATCTCTCAGCATTTGCTTGTCTGTAAAGTATTTTATTTCTCCTTCACTTATGAAGCTTAGTTTGGCTGGATATGAAATTCTGGGTGGAAAATTCTTTTCTTTAAGAATGTTGAATGTTGGCCCCCACTCTCTTCTGGCTTGTAGAGTTTCTGCCGAGAGATCCGCTGTTAGTCTGATGGGCTTCCCTTTGTGAATCACCCGACCTTTCTCTCTGGCTGCCCTTAACATTTTTTCCTTCATTTCAACTTTGGTGAATCTGACAATTATGTGTCTTGGAGTTGCTCTTCTCGAGGAGTATCTCTGCGGCATTCTCTATATTTCCTGAATCTGAATGTCGGCCTGCCTTGCTAGATTGGGGACGTTCTCCTGGATAATATCCTGCAGAGTGTTTTCCAACTTGGTTCCATTCTCCCTGTGACTTTCAGGTACACCAATCAGATGTAGATTTGGTCTTTTCACATAGTCCCATATTTCTTGGAGGATTTGTTCATTCCTTTTTATTCTTTTTTCTCTAAACTTCCCTTCTCGCTTCATTTCATTCATTTCATCTTCCATCGCTGATACCCTTTCTTCCAGTTGATCGCATGGGCTCCTGAGGCTTCTGCATTCTTCACGTAGTTCTTGAGCCTTGGCTTTCAGTTCCATCAGCTCCTTTAAGCACTTCTCTGTATTGTTTATTCTAGTTATACATTCGTCTAAATTTTTTTTCAAAGTTTTTAACTTCTTTGCCTTTGGTTTGAATTTCCTCCTGTAGCTCGTAGTTTGATCGTCTGAAGCCTTCTTCTCTCAACTCGTCAAAGTCATTCTCTGTCCAGCTTTGTTCCATTGCTGGTGAGGAACTGCGATCCTTTGGAGGAGGAGAGGTGCTCTGCTTTTTAGAGTTTCCAGTTTTTCTGCTCGTTTTTTCCCCATCTTTGTGGTTTTATCTACTTTTGGTCTTTGATGTTGGTGATGTACAGATGGGTTTTTGGTGTGGACGTCCTTTCTGTTTGTTAGTTTTCCTTCTAACAGACAGAAGCCTCAGCTGCAGGTCTGTTGGAGTTTGCTAGAGGTCCACTCCAGACCCTGTTTGCCTGGGTATCAGCAGCGGTGTCTGCAGAACAGTGGTTTTTCATGAACCGCGAATGCTGCTGTCTGATCGTTCCTCTGGAAGTTTTGTCTCAGAGGAGTACCCGGCTGTGTGAGGTGTCAGTCTGCCCCTACTGGGTGGTGCTTGCCAGTTAGGCTGCTCAGGGGTCAGGGGTCAGGGACCCACTTGAGGAGGCAGTCTGCCCATTCTCACATCTCCAGCTGCGTGCTGGGAGAACCACTGCTCTCTTCAGAGCTGTCAGACAGGGACATTTAAGTCTGCAGAGGTTACTGCTGTCTTTTTGTTTGTCTGTGCCCTGCCCCCAGAGGTGGAGCCTACAGAGGCAGGCAGGCCTCCTTGAGCTGTGGTGGGCTCCACCCAGTTAGAGCTTTCCCAGCTGCTTTGTTTACCTAAGCAAGCCTGGGCAATGGCAGGCGCCCCTCCCCAGCCTCGCTGCCACCTTGCAGTTTGATCTCAGACTGCTGTGCTAGCAATCAGCGAGACTCCATGGGGGTAGGACCCTCTGAACCAGGTGCAGGATATAATCTCCTGGTGCGCCATTTTTTAAGCCCGTTGGAAAAGCACAGTATTTGGGTGGGAGTGACCCCATTTTCCAGGTGCTGTCCGTCACCCCTTTCTTTGACTAGGAAAGGGAACTCCCTGACCCCTTGCGCTTCCCGACTGAGGCAATGCCTCGCCCTGCTTCGGCTCGTGCACGGTGCGCTGCACCCACTGACCTGCGCCCACTGTCTGGCACTCCCTAGTGAGATGCACCCGGTACCTCAGATGGAAATGCAGAAATCACCCGTCTTCTGCGTTGCTCACACTGGGAGCTGTAGACCGGAGCTGTTCCTATTCAGCCATCTTGGCTCCTCACTTGCTTGCTTTCTTACAATTATTTTTAGTGGTCAGTCATAAAACATCATTAATTTTTTCTTTCTATAGTTCTTGTGTTTTCTTTGATTATTCCAGTTGTTATACTCCTTAACTCTCTGATTGAGACCTCTGTGAATTTCCCGCTTCCTCCTCTCACTTCACACACCTCTTCTGAAAGCCATCCCACTCCGGGCCTCAAGAGGAGCCCCTATCCATAGGGTAACACTGAGTATTCATAGGAGCTTCATGTTGAATCTTTACAAAGTTCTAGAAACTACATCACTCAGACTGAGGCGCAAGGAGACAAAGAATAATTGAGCCAACCACTCTTGAGCTAAAGAAAAATAAACTAAACCTTTTCAGTTATGCATGAATATATTATAGGTTTAATTCGTTAATGCCAACCCACAATTCTTGACATGTACAGGTTTTGTCTTAGGGAAAAAATAAACACTGATATAGTTAAGATAAAAATCTTTCACTTGGCAGGATGGGCCTAAATTGTCTCTAAGTTTTTTGTGTGTGTTTTTCTATCCATAAAAGCTGCAACTATTAATATATGTCCAACTAAGTGTTGGTAGAGTAAGGCAGATAGATAGGAAATTTGAGTGGTAATGATAGTAGAAAGAAGTTCCAAAGGGACAACAAATGAGATAAGCAGATGGTTAAAGGCCAGGGGAATAATATAGAAGAAAAAAACACTGAGTTTAATGCACTGCATTTGCCTAGTATGTAATAGCAGTTTTCCAGTAAAGTGATGATAAAGGTCCCTATCCCTGAAGTCAGAAAGACCTGGGTTAAAAGTCTCTGCTACACAATTAGATGTCAATATCCTTGAAAACGTTTGTTTTCTCCTTGTAAAATGAAAGTAGTCATAAAATCTGATTCAGGGAGTTGTTTTGAGGATTAAACATGATAATGCAGTTAAATAATGTTAGTTCTTATTAGTTATTATAATTATCTAAGTCAGAAAAGATAACAAAATATGAACAAATAAGCTTAGAGATTGGCAGATTGGGATAATTTATTCTAATTGTGTCTAAAGACAATAAATTTAGAAATCAAGCTCATAGAATGGAAACCCAAATCAGACTTCAGACCTCTAAAGGGCATCATTAATATCAGACTCTCTGTGAAGTGGACGTTCTGGATTAACTTAGTGAGGAATCTGCATAGTTGTACTCAGTGGTGGCCCTGGTACAAAATGCTGATATCAACATAAGTTATCCATATATGTTGTAAAAACAAAGGTACATACACAAACATTCATTTAATTATCCATTTGCATGTTTACTATGAACTGTGACTAAAAGTTCCTTCTCATCTCCAAATACGTTGAAAATACCTTATCTTAAAATAAGAAATCTGGTCCCTGGAGATTCATCATGTGTTGAGAGCAACATGAACCAGAAGGAAAAAAAAAAAAAAAAAAAAAAAACTCTTACATGTGAAAGAGAAGACCTTCTCTGATTGGCATCTGTGAGTGCCTGTGGCAGCCCTTGCAAAACTTAAAATAAGATGACCACAGTTAGGACAGTTGGCCCTTAGATTTAATACTGTTAAACACTGAAGTCTCACTTTGTGCATTCAGGCTTAACTTCCTGCAGCTATAAACTGTCTTCTGTAAAACAATGCTGGCTGATCAGCCTGGGCACCTTGGTTAAACCCTGTCTCTACAAAAAATACAAAAAATTAGTGGGGCCTGGTAGTGTGTGCCTGTACTTCCAGCTACTTGGGAGGCTGAGTTGGGAGGATCATCTGAGCCTGAAATGCGTAGGTTGTAGTGAGCAGAAATCACACCACTTCACTCTAGCCTGGGTGACAGTGAGACCCTCTCTCAAAAACAAAAAAATAAAACAACAGAAAACCCCACAGTGCTGGATGTTCACACATCTTCAACATCTGAACTTCAGCACACCTAAAAATCCCTCCTGTGGCAACCCTGGACTTGTGTGATGATCAGATGATAGGCACACAATTGACTGGAAGTTTAGTTGTTAAGTTTAACTTCCATATGGAAGGGGAAGCTTGCTACATAAGGTGGCTCCAGTATATCTATTGCTCTTACTATAAGTGACGGGAAACAGTGTCTCTTAGGCAACCATAATGAATGTTTGCCATAAACTAGTTTAAAGCTCAATATGTAATTTATTCCTGGCTGGAATTTTCTCCCAAGTAGGTTATGCTATATATTACACAGACATACGTACAAGGGGAAAAAAAGAGAAAAAAATCAAGAGTTATAATTACATTCACATGTTGGCTAATTGGGCCCTTCGGGGCCTTCCTCCTAATTATAAGAGGGCATGCAAAGAAGAAATATCACTAAAAGCAAGTACGTATAGAATGAGTTTAAATGGGTTATGCTGGCTATATAAAGGCTGTAAAACTTGATAGGAAAGGAATGCTATTACTTGCCAAACATCTCCTACACATTAAAAAAAAATTATCAGGCCCACATCAGTGTCATTGACAGTATAAAGGATGAGAAAAAAAAAATTTAGCTTTAAAGAGATACATTGAAAAAAAGAAGCCTTCTAATATACATTCTAGATGTGTGTTTTATTTTATATCTGTTTTAGAAATGCAAGAAAATTATAAATTTGTGATACCATATGAAATAAAAAAACGTTTTTTGTGGCAAATTCAATACTATATGTATAAGACTTTTGTAACACTTCTGAAAATTACATAGATACATAAATATAAGCTTGAAAATCTTCAGAGAATTGATTCATTTCTAATGTGTAAACTTTGATGATATTATTTCATAAAAGATGCAAAAGCAGATTTTGATCCCTGACATTAGAAAACTATACATTGCTGCTCTGATAATTCTTAAAATAAATTTTACAATTGTTTCCCTTCAATTTCTCCTGGGGATTTAAGATGGTAGAAAGGGTGGAGAAAGAGTGTACCCACGTTAGAGTAAATCATGGAACTTTTTACAGGGTTGTAATTCATTTTATTTCACATCAAGTGTACCCTTTTGACATGCCTATAAAAGTCTGAATGTTTATAGTAGATGTGTATATAATATTACATTACACCTCATAACCGAGATAAACTGGCAGGAACCCTAAAGCTCAATAGGAACAAGATTGCCTTTATCTCTTAAAACTGTCATTTTAATTTTCCACACTAGACAATGCTATAGATGCCGGATGACTTAAGTTCCTGGTGGCTGTTAGACCACAATCTTGTAATGTTTTGAATTTAGTACCTAATCAAATTGCTTTGCTTTTAGTATTCTTATCTTGATTTATGCGAACTGGTATATGGTGCCCTCCTTAATATACCCGAAGGAACAGTGTATTTTATAGCATTCTAAATGCAAATCCTGCTCCCAGATTTATGCCATGGACAATGCAACCACACCATTAAAAAAGAATTTAAAATGAAACTTAGAAAAATTGAAATGACAATTTTAGAGTCAAAAAACCTGCAGTGACTGGCCCTGATGCTCTGTGGGCTGCTGTGACTGAGCCCGAGTACTTGAGCAGAGCACCGTCCACAGCCTGCAATTTCAGAGTTACCTTCTATGGAATTGGAATTAAATGCCCAGTTAATACAAAGGAAAATTTCCCTTGTGCAAAATCTAATCAAATGTAATATGTCTATATTATAACTACCATTTCTATGACTATTATAATTCAAGTTCCTAATTATGAGTTCAGTTCATAAAAAAGAAAATTGGCTTTCATTTGAGCAGCATTTTCAGTCAGAAATGGGAAACACACATTTAAGCACACAGGTTTTCAATTCATTATTCTCTTTATTTCAATACCCATTATGGGCCCAATTCAACCCTCACATACTGATATTCAACTCCCTCTGCAGTCAGGTTCATATACAAATCTTGGGCTCAGCATAAGTAGGAAAAGCAAGAAAATGATTACTGAGGAGCAAAGGAAAATAAACTATTCATATGGTAGGTCTGAAAAAAATTCTCTGAGGCAAGACTAAATATACAGGATTAAATAATCTCAACTAGATATGGTTTAGAAAATAATCAAATCTTTGGTTTCTATTTCTTTCCGTTCAATGTTCCACTATAGTTTTCTGTATACATGCAACTTCCCTATCCCCATTGAGCTCAGAGTTAGCTGAATTTGAGGTAGTTTGACTTGGGACCATAGACTATACAAATAGATCCACCATTTAAGCTCTACAAAACTCACAGAATTATTATTTTAGACAAATTTACAATAATCAATATAGCAATTGGTCAAATAAAAAAATCACTTGTAAATAGTTTTTTTGTGTCCATGTGTGTTTTTGTTCTTTTTCATTGCAAAACACGTTTCTACAAATAAGTAAAGGCAGAAATGTTATTGGTCCCGAGAACAGGCCACAAAAGCTGATTGATCATTGAATGGATGAAGTATCTCAGAGCAGGTCTGAACTCTAAATATACTCCTTCTTGTCTGCACATGAACTACAAGTTTCAGGTCCCAAGTATCTATCAACACAGATTCTCTGTGACCCCAAACAAGAGCACTGATTTTAACTGAAGGTTGAGTGGAATTATGCACTGGCTGAAGAAGAATGTAACTGTGAAATAAGTATACTTAATAAATTATAAAATATTTAAGCTATTGAATATACATTTATTAAACATAAAATTTACTTTGATCTTAGAAACTGAGATAGAAATTAATGAATTCTTCTCTTAAACATTGAAATACTTGGATAACAGTCATTGTAACTATCAATCACTTGTTCTGAGGTCACATGGATTGGCAGCTCTACTACCTGCTTTGTCCTCCAAGTATCTCCAGCACACTCCTAGCTTGTAACTAGTAGAGCCAGGATTCAAAACCATGTCTGTGAGGAGCTGAAACCTACCAGCCTTGATTGTCAGGAATATGTCAAGGCAACAGTATAAAAGTTGGATAAATTTGAAACCACTATCTAAAATAAATTACAATTGTTATACATAATTCTTAATGAGTTGAACATTTAAACAATATAAATTGAGATTTTCAGGTTATAAGATTATTTGTGATATTGATATTTTTATAATACATTTTTATATAAATAAGTATTTTATTTAATTCATTTGTCCCTGGCATTGTTCTTAGAAGCATAATGGTTTCAATCTGCAGTTCTATTTACTATGTGATGTACAGTTGAACTTTTTTTAAATTCCAGTTTCCTACACTTAAATAAAATATTTGTGCTACTCAACTCATTGTTAAAAATATTTAATGATGTCAACCATTTCAAATTGATAAATTTAAATGTATATGTTACATATCAGAATAACAATAATTATTGATCCCTGACCAAATGCTGGTTGCTCTGCTTAGTGACTTAGATGCATTATTTTATTTAGCATTCAAAATTGTCTCATTATTATTATTTTAATTTGAGAAAAATCCAGTGAGGTAGATATTAACATTATTTTCATTTTAAAGACAGACAAAGCAGGGTTTGTAGAGATATATATTTGCTGAAAGTTATGCAATTGATAAGGGGCAATGGGATGCTTAACCCCATACTTTGAAATTTTAGGTTATGCAGATTTCACCCATTATTGCTTCACTGCTTATATTAATCTAATAGGTGTGGTACTAGTTAAATTTTTATTTGATGTTCACAAAGATATAGAAAAGGTCAAAGAATAGTCAAACTGACACATGCTTTTCACTTTGCCAGTTTATCCTCTGCAATAAAGAGTACATTAGAATGAAAACTACTAGATATTATATTAAAACTAATCTAATTAATAGCAGACTCAGATTGTGTGGAAAGGCATCACACTTAATACTATTGAGAGGACATCCTGATTAGACTCTTTTGTTTTTAAGGAATCCCAGTCAGCTACAAGTATTTAGAATCCAACTTTCTAATGAAAAAATAAAAAACACAGATTGAAGAATTTTGAAAATGTTAAAATAGAATGAATAATAAAAATAATACAAAAATAGAATACAACTTTCTGGATTACTCATGTTTTTATCTGTGAAGAGTTATTATATCCCTTTAGGGCATACTACCATAGGTCCATGCCATAACAATTTTCTTTATAGTCTTTACAGAGAATGTTCACTGAAACACTAATATGCCTACAAGGCAGAATCACAGTTGGTGAACTCTTGATTTTTTTACTTAGCCCACATAATTTCTGCAAAGAAAAGAGCTCAAAACATTCTGGTGTCCAATAATAATGGTATTCTTGAAGACCAGGAGAAATTCAACATGGAGAAGTTCCAAGAATATCATCACAGTAGAAATAAATGGAGTTTTAAGGTAGTAACAAATACAAGTATATCTTGTTAAAAGAAAATAAGAACAACCACACCTATTCCAAAATTGACCGCTTAGTTGGAAGTAAAGCTCTCATCAGCAAATGTAAAAGATCAGAAATTATAACAAACTGTCTCTCAGACCACAGTGCAATCAAACTAGAACTCAGGATTAAGAAACTCACTCAAAACCGCTCAACTACATGGAAACTGAACAACCTGCTCCTGAATTACTACTGTGTACATAATGAAATGAAGGCAGAAATAAAGATGTTCTTTGAAACCAACGAGAACAAAGACACAACATACCAGAATCTCTGGGACACATTCAAAGCAGTGTGTAGAGGGAAATTTATAGCACTAAATGCCCACAAGACAAAGCAGGAAAGATCCAAAATTGACACCCTAACATCACAATTAAAAGAACTAGAAAAGCAAGAGCAAACACATTCAAAAGCTAGCAGAAGGCAAGAAATAACTAAAATCAGAGCAGAACTGAAGGAAATAGAGACACAAAAAACCCTTCAAAAAATTAATCCAGGAGCTGGTTTTTTGAAAGGATCAACAAAATTGATAGACCGCTAGCAAGACTAATAAAGAAGAAAAGAGAGAAGAATCAAATAGACTCAATAAAAAATGATAAAGGGGATATCACCACTGATCCCACAGAAATACAAACTACCATCAGAGAATAATACAAACACCTCTACGCAAATAAACTAGAAAATCTAGAAGAAATGGATAAATTCCTCGACACATCGACACATACACCCTCCCAAGACTAAACCAGGAAGAAGTTGAATCTCTGAATAGACCAATAACAGGCTCTGAAATTGTGGCAATAATCAATAGCTTACCAACCAAAAAGAGTCCAGGACCAGATGGATTCACAGCCAAATTCTACCAGAGGTACAAGGAGGAAGTGGTATCATTTCTTCTGAAATTATTCCAATCAATAGAAAAAGAGGGAATCCTCCCTAACTCATTTTATGAGGCCAGCATCATCCTGATACCAAACCCGGGCAGAGACACAACCAAAAAAGAGAATTTTAGACCAATATCCTTGATGAACATTGATGCAAAAATCCTCAAGAAAATACTGGCAAACGGAATCCAGCAGCACATCAAAAAGCTTATCCACCATGATCAAGTGGGCTTCATCCCTGGGATGCAAAGCTGGTTCAACATACACAAATCAATAAATGTAACCCAGCATACAAACAGAACCAAAGACAAAAACCACATGATTATCTCAATAGATGCAGAAAAGGCCTTTGACAAAATTCAACAACCCTTCATGCTAAAAACTCTCAATAAATTAGGTATTGATGGGACATGTCTCAAAATAATAAGACCTATCTATGACAAGCCCACAGCCAATATCATACTGAATGGGCAAAAACTGGAAGCATTCCCTTTGAAAACTGGCACAACACAGGGATGCCCTCTCTCACCACTCCTATTCAACATAGTGTTGGAAGTTCTGGCCAGGGCAATTAGGCAAGAAAAGGAAATAAAGGGTATTCAATTAGGAAAAGAGGAAGTCAAATTGTCCCTGTTTGCAGATGACATGATTGTATATCTAGAAAACCCCATTGTCTCAGCCCAAAATCTCCTTAAGCTGATAAGCAACTTCAGCAAAGTCTCAGGATACAAAATCAATGTACAAAAATCATAAGCATTCTTATACACCAATAACAGACAAAAAGAGAGCCAAATCATGAGTGAACTCCCATTCACAATTGCTTCAAAGAGAATCAAATACCTAGGAATCCAACTTACAAGGGATGTGAAGGACCTCTTCAAGGAGAACTACAAACCACTGCTCAAGGAAATAAAAGAGGATACAAACAAATGGAAGAACATTCCATGCTCATGGTTAGGAAGAATCAATATCGTGAAAATGGCCATACTGCCCAAGGTAATTTATAGATTCAATGCCATCCCCATCAAGCTACCAATGACTTTCTTCACAGAACTGGAAAAAACTACTTTAAAGTTCATATGGAACCAAAAAAGAGCCCACATCACCAAGCCAATCCTAAGCCAAAAGAACAAAGCTGGAGGCATCACACTACCTGACTTCAAAGTACACTACAAGGCTACAGTAAACAAAACAGCATGGTACTGGTACCAAAACAGAGATATAGATCAATGGAACAGAACAGAGCCCTCAGAAATAACGCCGCATATCTACAACTATCTGATCTTTGACAAACCTGAGAAAAACAAGCAATGGGGAAAGGATTCCCTATTTAATAAATGGTGCTGGGAAAACTGGCTAGCCATATGTAGAAAGCTGAAACGGGATCCCTTCCTTACACCTTCTACAAAAATTAATTCAAAATGGATTAAAGACTTAAACGTTAGACCTAAAACCATAAAAACCCTAGAAGAAAACCTAGGCATTACCATTCAGGACATAGGCATGGGCAAGGACTTCATGTCTAAAACACCAAAAGCAATGGCAACAAAAGACAAAATTGACAAATGGGATCTAATTAAACTAAAGAGCTTCTGCACAGCAAAAGAAACTACCATCAGAGTGAACAGGCAACACACAAAATGGGAGAAAATTTTCACAAACTACTCATCTGACAAAGGGCTAATATCCAGAATCTACAATGAACTCAAAAAAATTAACAAGAAAAAAACAAACAACCCCATCAAAAAGTGGGCGAAGGACATGAACAGACACTTCTCAAAAGAAGACATTTATGCAGCCAAAAAAACACATGAAAAAATGCTCACCATCACTGGCCATCAGAGAAATGCAAATCAAAACCACAATGAGATACCATCTCACACCAGTTAGAATGGCAATCATTTAAAAGTCAGTCAGGAAACAACAGGTGCTGGAGAGGATGTGGAGAAATAGGAACACTTTTACACTGTTGGTGGGACTGTAAACTAGTTCAACCATTGTGGAAGTCAGTGTGGCAATTCCTCAGGGATCTAGAACTAGAAATACCATTTGACCCAGCCATCCCATTACTGGGTATATACCCAAAGGACTATAAATCATGCTGCTATAAAGACACATGCACACCTATGTTTATTGTGGCACTATTCACAATAGCAAAGACTTGGAACCAACCCAAATGTCCAACAATGATAGACTAGATTAAGAAAATGTGGCACATATACACCATGGAATACCATGCAGCCATAAAAAATGATGAGTTCATGTCCTTTGTAGGGACATGGATGAAATTGGAAATCATCATTCTCAGTAAACTATTGCAAGAACAAAAAACCAAGCACCGCATATTCTCACTCATAGGTGGGAATTGAACAATGAGAACACATGGACACAGGAAGGGGAACATCACACTCTGGGGACTGTTGTGCGGTGGGGGGAGGGAGAAGGGATAGCTTTAGCAGATATACCTAATGCTAGATGACGAGTTAGTGGGTGCAGCGCACCAGCATGTCACATGTATACATATGTAACTAACCTGCACATTGTGCACATGTACCCTAAAACTTAAAGTATAATAATAATAAAAAGAAAAGAAAAAGAAAATAAGAACGCAGAAGTAATAGAAAAGAGAATATTTCACATGTTGTAAAGGGGATTGTGGCTTACCCTTATATTAAGAAATAGTAGCATTGTAACACCATAGCTGTTAAATAGAAGAATATTTTGCTTCACTGGCTAATATATGATGAGTCTGCAATACGTTTGGAAAATGTATCATGCCCTAGAAATTCATGTACTTCAACGATCATGGAAAAAAAATATGAGAAACTGAAGGGCTGATAGTATCTTAAGGTGTTAAAAAAAAATCTCTCTTAAAAGGTACAGAGTCTGTAATTCTTAGGAAAGAAGACGTAATTTGGTCTCCACTTTAAAGTCTTTAGATTTGTGATCCAAGGTGAAATCTAAAAATAGTGGTGTGAGTGGTCAATCAGTACTCAATCTTTATATCTTAAAATCAGATGCATACACCAGCAAACAAACCAAAGTTAAAAAAAAGTGAAACAACCACCTAGGTTTCCTTGAACAGATTTTTCATAGAAATATGGATATTAAAGGTTCTACTGGCGAGGAGTCAGAAAGATATGAGGAACATTCTGGAGAAATTCTATATCATCTTAATGAAAGTTTAAGTTTCCAAAAGAGACTTCTAGTAGAAATTTGGACTTTAAAAGCCCAGTGAGAGCTCAGAAAGTAAGACACATGTTATTAGAAAATGAGGGAGGTAATTTCCTACATTTTATGTAATGGTCATTTTTTAGCAAAATTGAGTCCGGAAAAGAACAACTCTTAATCAGTATAGTTGAATATTTAGCTGAGATTATTTCCAAGCAAAATGTTTATAGTGTTGTCTTGTTTATTCATACTACTAATAGTAAGATGTGAGAAGTGAGCAAACTTTGAGAGATGAACTGTTGAGCAAAATGAGTCTATGAAATTTGTATTTGGGTAATTATGAGCCTATCCAGTTAATGAAAGATGCTAAAATTCAGATATGTTTGCGATAGAGAAAGGGCTGAGGATGTAGCTGTACATTTGTTTGATGAAATCTCAAAAATAGCATTATGTCACTTTAGTAATATTAAGAATGTGCCTTGCACATCTTCTCAATCAAACCACGAATCATAAAGTAAAAGATTGTTTTCCTCACTCATCTAATCAAAACCAAAAATAGAGAAAAGAAGTTTATAATTCATCCTATGCATGTCCTACCACTTTATATTAAAACTGTTGAGGTCTGTTAACTTGTCTTTTTGATTTTGCTGGTCCAGAGACAGAGAGGAATTTTTCTCCAAGAAGCATGCTAATCAAATTTAGATGAGATTCTGGAGTTTTGAGCTGATAAGATTTAGATTAAAATTTGGAATCTGTACTGATGCTGTAATGGGATGAGACTTTTGAAGACATTAGAATAGGGTAAATACATTTTGTATTTTGAATAAGTATGAATCATCTGGGGGCCAGGTGATGGAATGTAGTAGGCAGAATTCTAAAGAGGCCGCCCCCACCAAATTTATGTCCCATGGTTATTCAACCAAACGTTAACCTAAGTACGGCTGTGATGGGATTTTGCATATGTCTTTAGAGTCCTAAGTCAGTTGACCCTAAAATATGGAGATTATCTGGGTGGGCTTAGCCCAATCAGGCATCAGATGAGTGTTTTATAAGTAGGGAGTTTTCATTAAATATTAGTAGCTGTCATATATTCAAATGGTGAGGAAGATTTGCTACAAGGTGAGATCCATTGTTGAGATTGAGAGATTACCTCCTTGCATGATGTTAACAAGAACCTGAGAGCAGACTACTCTGAAAGATACATGACAGCCAACAAGGAAACCAGGACCTCAGCCCTACAATCGGAAGGAACTGGATTCTGACAACAGTTAGAATGAGCAGGTCAATGGATTCTTCTCCAGAGTCTCTCAGAAAAGCTTAGCCTGGCCTACACCTTGATTTCACCTTGTGAGAACCTAAGCAGAGAATGTACCCAAGCCTGGACTTCTGAACTGTAGACCTGGAAGCTAATAAAACAAAGCAAAACAAATTAAAACAGAAAACATTTTATCCAAATAATTTAATCAAAAATCTCATCAATCCAAAGTACAAGCTCAAAGAAGAAGACGAAGAAAAAGAAAAAGAAGAAGAAGGAGGAGGAGGAGGAAAATGAGAAGGAAGTGGAGGAAAAGGAGGAGGAGGAGGTGGAGTAAAAGGAGGAGGAGGAGGAGGTGGTGGAGGAAAAGGAGGAGGAGGAGAGGGATCACTTGCAATCACTTGTAGCTAGTCAGTATAGGGGAAAGTGAAGAACAAAGTCTCATACCTGACTAGATGGGTCACCTTAGTTTGCATCTATCTGTATTTATATTTATCTATAACATAATAAAATAAAGTAATGTAATATAACCTAAGTACCTAATTTCAGTAAAATTTTAAAATAAACCAAACATCATGAAGTAGCAATTAGCTCCAATTTCAAGTAGTTTTATCTTTAAAACTTAGGAAACTCAGATAATTGCCTGCAAAAATTCAAATTTCAGGGTAAGAACAAAGTACTTTGTCAACTTCAAGATGGATACTCTTGCAATAATTTCTAAAATTAAATATAAAAATTGATTATTTTCTTTGAATTCTACGCAGAGAGTGCGTTTATGTAACCGATCATTTTTAACCAGAATATATTTAACAGGAGCATGCACATCAGATTAGTACACTGTATCTTAATCCCGATTTTTAGGTATGTCTATAAGTTTTGTTCTTTTCTCTATTAAAATATTTTGAAATGCATTATTGATTTTATTTAAAGATAAACTTGGTGTTTTATAATTCAATTGAATCAAGTACTTCAGCACCTTATAAAAATAAAAGTCTTAAAATGCATTGTAAAGTGTATCACTGTCTACTGTTACATAAATCTTTTATTTTATTATCGAGTGTCTTAATTGAATATTTCCTGATGTGTCTTTACTCTAAACCCCATTTCATTAGTATGAGAGTTTAAATCACTATTCATTAATGAGAACATTTTGATGATGCATATCTTTATTCTCCTGTAGTACTTTATTATCATGGTAATATTAATTTAGATACTACCCAAAACTTATAATAGTTCAACATTAAGAATTGAATGTCTCTTCATCACTTCTAATTATACACTAGGTCTTTTAATTTCATATATAAAACATGAAGAAACTTCATTTTCTTCAAAAACTTTTATAGAAAAATAAAAAGTTTTATTATATTAAAAATATGTAGAAATACAAATAAAAAAATTGCTTTCATCTCTCGTATGACCTCTAAGAACATACATATATTTATATTTAGTGTGAGTTATTTATATAAATACAAATGTTTCTTTTCCTAGATGTAAAAATGTTTCATTAGCTAGTTATTTTTTTCTGTTATGGCTGACTTTTTAGTATAGTGTAATGTTAGGAGCATGGACTTGAGAGCCAGACTGAATCAATTTGACACCTGGTACCCCACTTCCTGGCAGTGTGTCCTTTAGAAACACACTCACTCTCTCCTGTATTTATTCATATATAAAATTGAGAAAATCATAGTCCTGCCTATTATGATGGTTTTGAGAGCCACGAGTCAATATTTGTAAAGTTAGAATGGTGCCTATCATAAGAGAAGGTTGTGTTGGATATTTTTAAAAACTTATTTAACAAATATGTATTGATAGATGAATATGTTCTAGACACTCTTCATTGTACAGAAAGACTTTCTTAGCTCCTAAGGTTGACTTGGAATGCCATTATTTGTGAAGAACCAGTCACTTTGCTAGGAACTGAGTTTATCAAGATAAATGTTACCTAATCTCAAGAGACTTACCGTCATGGGAGTAAAATGATGATTGTAACACATTGTGATAAGTATTTTGATAGAAATAGGCACAGGGCCCCCTTAGAAGCATAAAAGATAAATACAACACAGAGCAGTTTAGGTCAGGTAGGTCAAAATGTGACCATCTATGGAAGAAATAATATGTGTACTGGTTAATGTAGGCTAAAGGGATATTTCTTGAAAAATGAGCAATCTTGAAGCAGATATATCAAAAGCAATTTCCCATAAGAAATAGTGAGAAAAGATTGCATTGCCTCATTTCTAGGACACCAGCTACAGTTATAGGTTAATTGCTGATTCTGCCGCTGATTAAAGGAGCAACAGAGGTCTCCTCTACCATCCCCATAGGGCAAAAATTGCAAATGCTACAAGGCCCTTTTAGGAAAGGATGGTCAATAAAACAACATCTACTCTGCCCTGTGTGATGGCATATAGAAAAGGCTTTCTATGACTTTATATTAAGGCTGGATATCCTATTGACCTGGATTACTAAACAGCTGCTCTCCTGATATAATTCAAGGCCAATCTGAATGGTTAAATAAAAAAGAAGAAAAGAAAAAGAAATTTGCAGTGGAATAAAAGGTGTAACATAATTTCTAAGAAAAACCAATGGAGGTGAAAAAGTGAAACAGCAATGACTAGTCGTTTACCAATGACCAGCTTAAGATGGAGGCCATGCTCGTCAACAGCGGTGTGTATATGTTGAGGAGTCTAGACAGAATGTGTGCATGTATTTCAACTTAAAAATACCATTAAAATCCTAATACAAAAGTTCAGTGTAGTTGGTTGCCTTCTTTTTACTTGTGTCTACAATTCTAGCAGCATAAAAGCAATGAGCACCTTAGAGAAGCCAGGAGAACAAATGAGAAGGAAGGAGCAAAGGAAAGAAGAGAGCTTGAGAGGGAGGAAAGAAGGGAGGGAGAGAGGGAGAGAGGGAGGGAAGGAGGGAGAGAGACAGAGAGACTAAAGTAAAAACTCACCTACAAAATATTGAATATCAGGGATTTTAGACATATTTCAAGAAAGTAATAGAATATATCTGGCACGTTACTATCTTTAATGAAACAACATACCTTCACATTCACTTTATTTGCTTTCAAAATGTTATTTCACTTTAAAGGAAAAAAACTGGATCTTAATACTTGAAATTCATGAAAATAGATGAGCATACAAAAATTCTCAATTGAAACATTTTAGATAATGACTGCGGGAGCAAGAGTGTATTTAATTGTATAATATTGTGGGATCTCTAAATTGAAGAATTTTTAATCTTTTATAAGGCAAGAAATGTGGTTCTCAGAGTAAGGAGGTTTAAGAAACCATATATATGTCCAAAGACTGAGTGTAGTCTGAATTTAGCTTCTATTAAATTAGTAATTTATATTGATTTATCGTAATGAAATTGATGGCAGTCATTTTCTGAAATGTCTTTAAGAAAACTCACCTAGAAATAAGAAGGTTTTTCTTTAGACAACTAATTCCTGTAAAGTGTTTACTGCTCTCAGATGGTGGGACCAAAGTATAGCAGGGAAAATGAAAACCAAAAAAAACACCTACTTTTTGAAAACCAATACCATGTCAGTCCTGTTACCAAACCCTGTCAAAGTTAACTTTCTATTTAGAGCTAGCTGTTGAAGATGTGCGACCTTAACCAATGTTACAATATCTACTATCATATTTGTAATTGATAATCCCATTAGCAGTGTCTAGAGTTTCAGTGACCTCTGGCCCATCAATGCTGAATAGATTTTTCAGTGTATCAATTTCCAGTGTGTAGCTTTAGCAGCATTGATCTAATTGATCTCAAGGATGATCCTGTGGAAGAAGTAGAGGGAACAGATATTGCTGCATATTAACCCTGGACAAATATACTCTCTTCTAAAATTATAACATAAAAATATATTCTGACTGTCTGTTGTATATTCAGAAAAGTATTTATTGAGCAATTTGTTGAATAGACAGTCTTCAGGGGATAGAGTCTCTGCCCTCATGGAGCTTATATTCAGGGGGTCTCCAATAGAAATGCTGAAATAATATTTGTGGCAACACCATGCCTGGTATATCTTGGCATAAACACAATCTATATTTGATTAATCCATATTTTTATAGGAGAGTTTTAGCACTGCAGCTTGGGAATATCTCAACCCCAAGTAAATATGAAATACTGAATGACAGAGATTTTGTACTTGGCTGTCACAGAAGCTGCCCTATTGATTGGATCTTCATAAATACTCAGTGGATTAAATAATTTTTTTATGAAAGGTAAACATTTTAAAAGTTTGAAAATACTAATTTCTTTTCTTTTCTTTCTTTTTTTTTTTTTTTTTTTTTTTGAGACAGTGTCTCTGTCACCCAGGCTAAAGTGCAGTTTCGTGATCTCAGCTCACTGCAACCTCCGCCTTCTGGGTTCAAGCGATTCTGGTGCCTCAGCCACCCCAGTAGCTGGGATTACAGGCCTGGCTAATTTTTGTTTTTTGGGTTTTTTGTTTTTGTTTTTGTTTTTGTTTTTGAGACAGAGTCTCACTCTGTTACCTAGGCCCGGCTAATGTTAGTAGCCAAGGGGTTTGGCCAGGCTGGTCTCAAACTCTTGACCTCAGGTGATCCATCCGCCTTGGTCTCCCAAAGTGCTGGGATTACAGTCATGAGCCACTGTGCCTGGTGATACTGAATGTTTTAATTTCCATTATAAATATGTTAATTATTTTATACAGAGCCTCTTTTTAAAAATTCATTCAACAAATATCTATTGAGTGTTCGCAATTTGTCAGACACAAGCGAAAGACACATATTGTACTTTAAAAAAAAAGAAAAAAAAAGAGGCATTGTCTGCTCCTTCACAGAGCCTATATTTTAGTGGGGGAATTACTGATTGAGGGAATAATTGCACAGATATTAAGATAATTACAATTTTATAAGTGCTAAGAAAGAGTGCACAATTTTTTAGGTCATCTTTATGAAACTAGGCCCTGACTCAATCTGGGAATGCTTTCCTAAGGAAGTTGTGATTGGATACAAAAGTGTAAAACAGTATGAGTTAGGAAAGTTCAAGTGAGGTAAATTGTCCAGGTGAAGGGACAATCATATGTGAAGACATCTGTACAATAACAATGAATGTTTCCTTCGTTGTAGCATGCAGTTTTCACTGGAGGTAGCTTTGATGGGTCAGGGATTGTTTCTTACCCTGCTCTTGAATCCACAGCTGGCTATGTCACTAGTTCTTATCCAAAAATTTCAAATGACAGTGAAACGTCATCTCTGCATTGGGGTGCCTTCTCTCCTCTGATTTAGCCCCAGGATAGAAGAAACCTGGATACCTCAAATACCACATGAAGGAACGTCAACTAGGCTGCAAGCAACACCCAGATCAGCTTGTCAGATATTAAATTTAAAAAATCTATTTTTTTGAACCCACCAAAATTTGGGTTTATTTTTGCAGTGGTGCTATGGTTAATGTTAACCAAAACAGCATGAGGTGTAAAGTGACTAAGGGTTTTGCAGTTCCTGAAAGATGCAGTGTGATTAGAGCACTGAAAGTAAAGAGAAAATACATTGGACTCCCAGAAAATTGTCCAACAAAAAGCCCTCAGGACACATTATGTAATTCTCTGCCTTCCTCCCTTATCCTCTCAACTCTATTTTAGTTGGATATGACAAAAATAACCCAATTTGTGTGATCAAAAAATCCTAGGACAGGCATGTTGGTTCATGCTTGTGACCCCAGAAGGTGGGAGGGTTGCTTGAGGCCAGCCAGGAATTCAAGACCAGCCTGAGCAACAGAGTGAGAAAACATTTTTTCAAAATTAGCTGGGTATGGTGGTGTGTGACTATAGTCTTAGCTATTTTGGATGCTGAAATGGGAGGATCCCACGGGCCCAAGAATTCTAGGCTGCAGTGAGTTAAGATCATACCATTTCACTCCAGCCTGGGTGACAGAGACCTTGTCTCTAAAATAATAATAATAATAAATATTATTTTAAAGGAATAATTAAGCCCAACCCCACCTCAAATAAGGAAAATAATTAAGGACCCATATAAAAAAGAATGGTGAAAACCAGAACAGTAAGCTAAAACCCATATCTATGTCATGGCCAGAAATCAAATTGTAAAGAAACATATCAGCATGAACTTTAGCCTATGCAATCAGAATATAAGGTGTTTGTGTGGAGGATGGTGGTAGTGGTGGAATTCAGACTTCTCTATAAGTTCATTTTCCAGACTAGGAAAGAGCAATATGTCCTAGGAACCACGTAAAATAAATAAATAAATAAATAAATAAATAAATAAATAATAAATAAACATTACAACTCTGCTTACCTGTCTTGACCTATAGTGAAAAGAAGTTTGCAAAATTCATAAATACAGGCTTGCTCTTGCATCAGAATTCTGATGTTCAAATTTATACCATGTACATTGTACAAAAGAATATAGGTTAGTTAATATTAAATAATCATAATTTAAAGCACTTTAAAGGGCACCTATGTTTTAAAATATTATCTTTCAAAATATAGCCCAAATATGCCCCACATGATTCTCACTGAAAGACTACTACACCTAAACTCAGTCTAAAATTATACAACTATTTAATAAAAATGGCATTATAGTTGCTATTCAGCTGAACCATAGCAGAATAATTAAACTCTCAAGTTCTTTAGATAGTTGAATTAATAGGTATAGAATTTTTAAAAACTTTAAGATATTTATGGAAATAAAAAATGAAAAAATACTGCAATATAAAAAATATAAAATATACCATATATTTGAAAAAAATTAGAGCATGTATAAATAAAAATGTATGCACTCCTTAAAATGCAACACTAACTAGATGAGTGAATAGAAAAATAAGCAGAATTGTGAAAAAAAATTGGTAAACTAAGGAATATCTGAAAAACATTGCTCAGAATGTAACATACAGATTTAAAAGATGGAAAAACAAGAGACATGGAGGATAGAATGGAAATGTTTAAATGTCATCTAATCTGATTCATAGAAGATAATACGAGAAGAATTTGAGAGAGGTGATATTGCCAAATATAATGGATGTCGATTTTACAGAATTGACGAAAAGCAAGAATACTTCAGTTCAGGAAATGCAAGTAAAATGAACAGAAGGAAATCCACACTTGGAAACATTATAATAATATTGAAGAAAACCTAGGACAGAGAGAAAAAGCTAATAGTAGCCAAAGAGAAAAGAAAGATGACTTACAGAGTTTGCAACACTATAAAGAGTATAAACAACCAGCAGAATAATATCCTCCAAGTTCCAAGAAAGGAGGAAAACATCCTGTCAATTTAGAGTTAGATACTCAGCTAAACTGTCACCAAAGATTTTGGAAAAAATAAAGGTATTTGAAACAAGCAAAAACTGGAAGAATTTGTCACCAACTTACTCTCACAAAAGAAAATCATAAGGCATTATTTCAGAAGGATTACATGACAATCTGAGATGCAAAAAAAAAATTGAGAAACATGAATAAATGAGAAACTTTCCTATGAAATAGAGAAACATATGAATAAATAAAAACAGATATTATCTGTATGAAATAGTTGAAACAATAATTTGGGGCTAAAAACCAAGAAGGTGGACTAGTACACAGGACAACAATTATATAGGAGGGAAAATGGACTGATTAATATTAAGTCTTCTAGGACTGGGCAGTTCAAACTTCATTCCATAATTACTACCAGCCCACAAGCTGTCTGTTACTGATCTATTACAAGAAATACACAGAAATTAATAGTAAGAGTTAGAAACTTTAAAAGCGTTTTGACAAGAGTAATTTTATGTCTGTTTAATTTAGTAATCAAAAAGATTGGCTCATATTTAATCTGTATTTTTTATTTATATACCTATTTTATTTTATAGACTTATCAGTTCACGAGTAATTGGAATGTTTGAAAAAATGTATTTTACCACTAATACTTTGAGAAGTATTATCCTCAAATCCTGTATGTTTAAAAAAGAAGCCCAGAAATTATCTTTAGGGAGATATAATTAGAAAAAATAGAATATTAAATGCAATAGGTAACAACAAAAAAATCAGAAATAAACAAGTATCAAGAAAAATGCAGAATTAGAAATAAAACTTTACCAATCTAAAAGAAGACAAGAAAATTAAAAAGAAAAAAGAAATCACTGGAAAGAGATGATAAAGGGGAAACACAAAATAAGAAAACAAAATCCAAATATATTAGTAATCCCTAAAAATATAGATAAAATAAATTTATTATTTCAGTGACAAATTATTACAATGGATTTTGTAAAAAAAAAAAAGTCTAGTTATATGCTGTTAGCAAGCAACCTAACATATTAGGATGCAAATAGTTTGCAAGTAAAAAGATGAAAAAATGGAAAAAGATATATCAGTCAAAGATTAAGCAATAAAAAACTGATGTTGCCTTCTTTAAAGGAGAATGGTATTTTTAGAGATAAAAATAGTCACATATATTGAACAAATTTTACAAGAAGATATAGATAGGGAGAAATTATAAGCGTTAAGTGTTTACACTAATAGTAAAGGAGAAAAGTTGAGCATTAACTTACAATAACTAAAACTTAGTTTCTTATAATTAAGTAAAATTTTTGTAAGAAAAACTTGTCATAAATTAAGTCTAGCCTCCAACTTGGGATGTTATAATAGATAGAATATTCCTAAATAGTACATACAGGAAAAACATAGAGTTAAAATAAAATAATGCTAAAGAACACAGAAGAGAGAGGATCAACAAATTATATATTTAGAGCTTAGTGAAGACTAATGAAATAGCAAAACTTTCTTAGGATTGGTCAAGAAAAAATAAAGAAAGACTAAATAACCAATTTTAATAACTAAAAAGAGATCTTAATTAATACAGGTAGAGCTGAGGAGTTCTAAATGATAAAATAATACTACCAACAATTTCAGGTAAATAAGTTGTAAAATAAGAGGTAAATAACAATCTATTCCGCCTCACTCCCCCAATGCAATTACTGAAAACTGACTCAATGTAAAAAAATGAAAATAAAAATGTTGAATAGACCTGTAAACATTAACAAATTGAATCAATAGAATGAGTAGTAACAGATATAAACCCTATATGCTGTAAAATCTACGGGTCTCAGAAAATTTTGTAAGAGATTTCTATTGAGCACTAACTATTTACAACCTTTGCAAAAATAGACAAATTGAAATGCCTGCTAATTCTTTTATGAGATGATATATAAACTTGATAATAGAATCTGACAAAAATATTAATATTAAAGGCCAATGATAGGTTGATATCAATCATAAACTAGAGATTCAAAACTTTTAAACAGCATCAGCCAAATTAATACATTAATATATTTTTAAAAACTATTCATGAACAAATATGTGTATCTTAGGAAGGTTAAAATGTTTTCTCTCTAGGAAACCAATACATGTAATTTATGAAAATATTAAAGTAAAAAAATTGAAATTGTGATTTTAATGGGTTCAAAAAAATTATCCAGTGAAACTCAATAACATGTATAATAAATATCATGCTATTCCAATAATAAGAGGCAAATTTCTTAAGCTGATAATGGGTACTTACCAAAATTTACACCCACATTATACTTTATTTTATAATATTAGAAGCCTCTCTTGAAAATCAGAAAAACTAAAGAAGGTCACTGTACAAGCTATAGTGTGTGTATGTGTATATATATGTGTATATATATGTATGTTATATATGTGTGTGTTTGTATGTATGTATGTGTGTGTGTATATATATATATCAGAATAGCATTATGCATTAATTTTATTTAAATATAAATATATACATATGAATATAAAATCACTATATAATGCTATACTGGTTTAGGCCCGCAGAGTACAATAATACATAAATGTGAGATTATTCAAATATAATTTGCTACAGTTGAACCCAATTTGTTCAGAAGACAAATTCTAAGTATTAACAAGGATATATAAAGATCGCTTAACAAAAGGACAATATGTACATAAATTGACTTATTTTTCATTAGCAAATATTAAGATGTATAATTATGTTAATGATATTAATAATATTGGTAAATAATATTAGCAAATAATATTTTCATGTAAATGTTTTAAAGCATATGTCTTATAGCTCAAGCTGCTATAACGAAATACCCCAGGCTGAGTGGCTTAAACAACAAACATTTATTTGTCACAGTTATGGAGGCTGGGAGGGTCAAGATCGATGCTCTGGCAGACCTGGTCTCTGGTAATGGTTGACTTCCTGGCTTGTAGACAGCCAACTTGTTGCTGTAGTCTCGCATGACCAAGAGGGATAGATCATCTCATGACTTTTTTATAAAAGCAAGAACCCCTTTCATAAGGTTTCTATCCTTATAACTTAATTACCTTCCAAAGTCCCAATCTTCAAATACTATCCTATTGGGAATTAGGCTTCAACATACAAATTTTAGGAAGACACAACTGTTAAGTCCATAGCAGGTAACAATTACAAAACCAACAAAAATATGAGCTAGCATATATTAAGATTTTTTAAAAACCTGAGTAATATCTTTATGAAGAAAATGTAATCATCAAATGAAAATTTACTAAAGAAAATTAAATTAAATGGCAAGACAAATTGTTTTTGAAAAGGCTCAGTGACTTAAACGTCTCCATTATCTCTAAATTAATCTATAAATTCAATGGAATTACAAAAATATTGCTGCAGTTGATTTTGAAAGAGGGAGAAATATGCAAAGGGTAAAAATAACTAAAACTTTTCTAAGAAAAACTTGTCATCCTAGTTACCTTTTTTGTTTTTTTGAGACGGAGTCTCCCTCTGTCACCCAGGCTGGAGTCCAGTGGCAGCAATCTCAGCTCACTGCAACCTCTGCCTCCTGGGTTCAAGCAATTCTCCTGCCTCAGCCTCCCAAGTAGCTGGGACTACAGGTGCTTGCTACCACGCCCAGCTGATTTTTTGTATTTTAGTAGAGTTGGGGTTTCACTATGTTGCCCAGGCTGGTCTTGAACTCCTGGGTTCAGGCAATCTACCCACCTTGGCCTCCCAAAGTGCTAGGATTACATGAGCCACTGCGCCCAGCCCCCTAGTTCTCAAGATTTATTTTCAGACTATAGTAAATAAATCAGAGTAGGGTTGCCACAGGCATAGCTTCCCTCCCATATGGTATAGGGAATGCACACTGACAAGAGTATTAGAAAAAGAGACCAAAAGGGAATATAAAAGGAGTATTAGACAGGTTTTTATTTTCCCTCATCAAATGGTGTCTCTCTGACTATGTATGAACACAGTCATGCAATGCATAACAATGGAGATGCATTCTGAGAAATGCATTGTTAGGTGATTTTGTCATTATGTGAATATAAAAGAGGTCATACACAAACCTAGATGCTATAGCCTACTACACACCTAGGCTATACGGTATAGCCTATTATTCTAGGCTACTAAGCTGCAAAGAATGTTACTGTACTGAATACTGTAGCCAGTTGTAACACAATTGTATTTGTGTATCTAAACATAATCTACATATGGAAAATATACAATAAAAATATGGTATAAAAAATCAAAAATAGTACACCTGTATAGGACACTTACCATAAATGGAAGTTGCTCTGCGTGAGTCAGTGCGTGAGTAGTGAGGGAATGTGAAGGCTTACGACAATATGATGTACACTATTGTAGACTTTATAAAAACTATACACTTAGGTTACACTAAATTTATTTTAACATGTTATTTCTTCAAGAATATATTAGTCAGTTTACTGTATTTTTTAATAAACTTTTAAATGTTTTAAATTTTTGACTTTTGTAATAACACTTAGATTATAACACAAACACATTAAGCAGCTATACAAAAATATTAGGTTGGTGCAAACAAAACAAAACAAACGACCCACCCTGGAAAAATCACAATTACTTTTGCACCAACCTAATATTTTCTTTCTTTATATCCTTATTCAATAAACTTTTTTGTATTTTTAAAATTATTTATTGTACTTTCTAAACTTTTTTGTTACCACCTAAGACACAAACACAGTCGTGCATCACACATTACTGGTACATATTAGCCTAGGCCTAACAGGGTTAGGATAATCAATATCACTGTTCCACCTCCACGTGTTATCTCACTGGAAAGTCTTTAGAAGCAATAATATGCATAGAGCTGTCATCTCCTTTGATAACAGTGCCTTCTTCTGGAGTATCTTCTGAAGGACTAGCCTGAGGCTGTTTTACAGTTAACTAGTTAACTTCTTTGTAATAAGTAGAAGGAGTACTCTCTGAAACAATAATAAAAAGTATAGTATAGAAAATACATAAACCAGTAACACAGTTGTTTATTATCATTATCAAGTATTATATAGTGTACATCATTGTATGTGCCATACTTTCATACAAATGGCAGCACAGTAGGTTTCTTTACTATGGCATCATCACAAACTTGCGAGTAATTTGTTACACTAAGACATTATGATGGCTATTACATCACTAGGCAATAAAAATTTTTCAGCCTTATTATAGTCTCATGGGATGGCCATTGTATATGCAGTTCTTCAGTGGCCAAAACCTTGTTATGTGTTGCATGACTTTAATTACAAGTACCAAGATTAATTTAAACATCTGTTTTAATATTTTAGACAATTGTAAAAATAGTGATGACTAAAACTTCGAGTGTTCTGATGCTTGAGTGTAATCACACACACATTTGCATAGTGTTCATATAGGCATGAAAAGACAAGATTATGTTCTGTACATGTTTTCAATAATTTTAGTGCATTTGACAGTTTTCTTTTGTGCAAATATATTTTGCTATCATTTTAACAGAAAAATATTGACAAATTTGCAAACACAAAAGCTATTCTTTTCCAAGTATCAAATATTCCTATTGTTACAAAAAAGAACAGAGATTTACTCATTAAATTCCAATGACAAATTCATTACATTCAAAGATGATTTAGAAATGAATAAAGTGGAAGGCTGAGCTTGCTTTAACGTTCCATGTGGAGTTAATACAGAAAAATAATAAAGTGGAATTTACAAGAAAGAAAAATAGATATTGAAGAGAGTACTAAAAATCAAGGAAGTATTTTATGAAGAATACTGTTTGAATAATTCTTTTTAGTAGACAAAACACTTATGAACACTGTATAATAACACATGTTTAAGAAGTGAATGATAATTAGAGGGAATTTTACTTGTGAACCCAAGTTTTAAAGACTTTCTTATTGTCAGCTTCTACATAAAAAAAAAAAAAAAACACTCCATGCACATGGACAACGTGAGCATGTAAAGTTTCTAACCAATAATGAATACAGTGTTGTGACAAGCTGGTTACAGTTTTCAGCCAATGCGATAATCAACACCAATAAGAAAATATGATGGCTGACCCATAAGCAGAAAACTAGATTTCCTCTACTCATGATTGGAAACAATGCATAAATATGATTTTGCCGAGGAATGTTTTGAACAAATAATGGAATATCTATGAAAAAAAATTAAATGAGAGAAAAGTATGGTGTAATTGATTTGGGAGTATAACTAAAGAGCATAGTAGAATTTAAAGAATTATTAATGACCCCCCATAGAGAAAGTTTTAATTTTTTTGATAAACAAGAAAGCTAAATCCATTAATGAGGAAGGATGCTTTTCCAAAAAGGTATTTAATGTCTATGAAATAGTGAATAAAGAATAATTGAAGGAGAAGAAATTCCACAAAAACTGTCAAGATTTAACATTAAAAGTCTTTTTGAAGGAATTCTTGCAAATTGCATCAATAATAAAAGTTTTCAAGACAGCTGGCCCCTGTTCTGAATGCATTTCAAAAGCACTTAGAAAATTAAACATACCGATTACTGCTACAAAAGATTTCTATGAAAAGAAGCACCATTTATTTCATCTTAAATAGATTTTTTTTTCTTAAAAAGACCACTTACAATGTAGATGTCATATTAAGGGCTTATTTCACAGATTTCAAAATACATTTAGAAGACTATATTGCTATATTGTGTTTGATTTATATATTTCTTTTTTGTGACCAGCTGTGGTGAAAAGCCTAAAATTAAATCTTAATATTATGTGCTGCCTTGACATAGGGCAAAATTGGGAGTGTCTTGATGTTCTAACTGCAAGTTCTCAACCCTTCTCTCCTCTTACAGTTGAAGTCTCATAGCCAAATAAGCCACTTTATTAAAAAGAGAAGAGCAGGTGCAGTTTCTGCTCATCTGTGAGCAGCATGTGTCAGGTCCCTGCCAGCCCGCTGAATTATTCAAACAAGCCAATCACATCTTCCTTTAGGAACCAGGATGTCACAGACTCTCTTGATCCTACAAAGCCTGCCTCTCACAGTCTCTGTTTGTTCACTTTATTCCCAAGGACAACCTCTGTGTGGCCTTCCGTGGCTTTCTGTGTCCTTCTTCCCTGAGCTGTGAGTATACAAGACTAATAAACTCCTGCCAATCTCATCTGTTCAGTGTCAGAAGTCATGTGTTTAGCTATCTTCATAGCCCTAGGGCAGGAATCCCTTCTCACCAAAAGGGTGAAAAGAAGGTGATTAAAACACCAGTTTTCATATTTTTTATAATATAAATTTTATTTTCAAGTACGGAATCACAAAAATCATATTATGCATACAGGAAATAATAAGATTTCAGCTTATTTTTATAAATTTGTGACCACTATCTAGAAACTAATCAGATTGTATATCACAGAGGATATTTTATAATTGGATATACTGAGGCACAGTTCAGATATGGGAGACTAAGTCACTTGCATAGTAAATGATGGGAGAAGTACATAGATCACACGGTTCCTCTCACATCAAGGTCTGTTTTCTTTCCATTGTATTCATTTGTCAGAGTCACACAGAGACCAGAATATAAGAATTCATTTCCAATAATATTACAATTCCAAACATGTATTTCACGTGCATTTTTCCCTCTTTTCCATCAGATTCACTCCTTTGAACCTTCTCAGCATTATTCATGGCAAAGTCAACTGGAGTTTTGTTTTAGTAAAAAATGCCTGCTACATAGGATTTTCTCTTAGACAAAAATCAAATGGACTCTTGGATGATTATTCTCTTTCTTCCACCATCTCTCAGTTACGACTTCACAGCAATATCACTGATTTCTCTACCAGTAGTCAATCAATGTATAAATAGAACAGTAACTATCAAGTATGCAAAATTTCAAACGCTAACTCTGTTCCCATGATCATTAACATGTGAGCTCTTTCAGTATTTCAGATTGCAATAATTTGAAGGGTAGAGAAACTATACATGTAGCCTCAATTTAGGACAAAAAAACAAAAAGAAAGAAAAAATATATAGAGAGAACAAACTGAGTATGCTAGTTACCTCATCTCTAAACAAAAGGTTTAAGATATCTTAAGTTTCCTTTTAAATGGAGTGTTTTGTTTCTTGCTTCCCTTGATATTGATGTTTATATACTGTCATGAAAGTTAGGATAAAAAAAGAATATTTTTAAAAATGCAACAATTTAGAAAAATGCAGTTATTTTTATCTATCGTTAAAAATATGTCTCTATGATTACACATTATTGATTATTTTGAATGTATGTCTTTCTGAAATAATATGTCTTTTTATGGATGCCAATGGTTGATTTGACTCATATATTAGAAATCACCTTAATAGCAGTTGCTCTGCTATGTAATAATTTCTTTAAAAAATTTGTACTAGTTTCATTAACGAATTATATTCAATATTTAATTATTTATATCTAATAATCCTAGATATCAGGTTATAATTATAGTTATTTAGGAGTACAGTTTATCAATCTACTTCCTATTGTGAGGTTCACAATGTAATTTGGTCATAAAGGTGTTAAATTTGAATTTTATTAAAGTTGTGATAGGTAACTCATTATAATGGCTTAAAATATTTCTAGAATGAAATTATTAAAGACATTCTTAAGGCAGCAGATGTTTGATTCTTAATTTTCCATTTGCCCATGTGTTGAATTGGTCTTAGAGCAGTTATCTGAGATAAGTGTTTACTTGTTCATATGTGTTCCACATACCAGCTTGTAGAGATGTTGGCGGCTTTCCATTCAGGCAGCTGTCTTAGCTAGTGTTCTTACCAACCATAAGATAATCTCCCATCTAGTTGTTAAAATATACACATCAGCCCTTATTGGACAATATAGACATTGTGGACTATAACACTTGACTGTAATATAATCTTGGTTTCTCTCTTCTTCGAGTCTTTTTTGTTTCGGTTTTTCTGAAAATTTTGTTGTGAGAAATAACATTCATGGAGTTTTTCTCAAGTCATATGTAATTGATTTACTCTTTATGTCATCATATTTATCTCAGAATCATGTCAATTCATCAGAGATTTTATATATTCAGTATATATTATTCTGAATTTTTAAGAAATATTCCTTACTGAACTTCATTATGTAATCATATAGTGCTGGTATGTTGCTAAAAATGTAATTATTTACATAATATAGTGGTGTACCCCTCATGGGCACCAATTTTTTAAATTGTTTGATTTTCTTGTAAACGTGACTTCTCAAATATTGCTCATATTTGCTTATGTTCTGTCCCCCTAATTATACATCTATGGAATTCAGTTCTATGCTTGTTTTCCTCACTCTATTGATGAGGTCCTGCAGCTCATTTTCCTTCCTAATGAGACATAGCAAGTTCCTGCCTTGGTTATGTATTGTGACTTTATTTTAGTTATTGGTTTAACACTGAGTAGAGGAGGTGGGGATAAATTCTGAGTGAGGGATACCTGTTGCCTTGTTTTGGGTGGAGAGTGGGGTGGTTGCGTCTTCTTTCATGGAGTAAGCGGTAAAGTTTATCAAAGAGTGGGCCACTTCTACCAATTCAGAGACCTCAGAGTAATACGGTGATTAAATATTTTTAGGGCTGTCTATGCTTGTGCCCCCATTCTATGCCTCAGGGTCCCATTCTTTCTCAAATAGAGCCCCTTATTGATGAGACTGTCTTTTCCCCAGCGTATGTTCTGGGAACCTTTGTCAAAAATGAGTTTACTGCAGGTGTGTGGATTTGTTTCTGGGTTCTCTATTCTGTTCCCTTGGTCTATGTGTCTGTTTTTATTTCAATACGATGCTTTCTGGATGCTTTAGCTGTAGTATAATTTGAAGTTAGATAATGTGGTTCTTATAGTTTTGTTCTTTTGCTCAGGATAGCTTTTTGCTCAGGCTATTCTGGATGTTTTGTGATTCTATACAAATTTTAGAATTTTTTTTTTCTATTTCTGTGAAGAATGCCATTGGTATTTTGATAGTGATTGCATTGAATTTGTAGATTGCTTCAGGTAGTATGGAAATTACAACAGTATTGATTCTTCCAATCCATGAATATGACTATCTTTCCATTTTGTGATGTCCTCTTCAATTTATTTATCAGTGTTTCATAGTTTTCGTTTTAAAGATGTTTCACGTCTTTGGTTAAGTTAATTCCTAGGTATTTTATATTATTTATGGCTATTGTAAATGAGAGTACATGCTTTACTTTTTTTTCAGATTGTTTACTGTTGGCATATACAAATGCTATTAATTTTTGTATGCTGATTTTTTAATCCTGCAACTGTACTGAATTTGTTTTTCAGCTGTAATGGTTTTTTGGTGGCATCTTTAGGTTTTTCCAAATATAAGATTATATCATCTGCAAATAAGAATAATTTGACTTCTTCCTTTCCAATTTGGGTGGCTTTTATTTCTTTCTCTCATCTGATTGCTCTAGCTAGGATTTCCAGTAATATATTGAATGACAGTGGTGAAAATGGACATCCTTGTCATGTTCCAGATGTTGCAGGAAAGGCTTTCAGTCATTCCTCATTCAGTATGATACTAGCTGTGCGTCTGTTGTATACAACATTTATTATGTTGAGGTATGTTCCTTCTATTCCCAGTTTTTTGAATGTTTTTACCATGAAAAGATGTTAAATTTCATCAAATGCATTTTCATCATCAATTGAAATGATTATATGGTTTTTGTCTTTCATTCTATTGATATGATATCCCATACATTGATTTGAGTATGTTGAATTATCCTTGCAACCTATGGATAAATCCCACTTGCCCATGATGAATGATCATTTTAGGTATTATTGAATTCAGTTTGCTAGTATTTTGTTGAGGATTTTTGCATCAATATTCATGAGAGATTCATCAATATTCTTTGGCCTGTAGTTCTCTTTTTTTGATGTTTCTTTGGTTTTAATATCAGCATAATATTGGCCTCAGAGAATGAGTTTGGAAGTATTTCCTCCTTCTCTATTTTTCAGAACAGTTTGAGTAGGATTGGTGTTAGTTCTTAAAATATTTGTTAGAATTAAGCAATGAAGTCATCAAGCCTGGGGCTTTTCATTACTGAGGACTTCTACTATAACTTTGATCTTGTTACTTGTCAGTGGTCTGTTCAGATTTTGGATTTCTTCCTGGTTCAAACTCAGTAGGTTGTGTGTGCCTATGGATTTATCCATTTTTTCTAGATTTTACAATTTATTGGCATATAAATGTTCATAGTAGCCACTAATGATCCTTGGAATTTCTGTGGTATCAACTGTAATGTCTTCATTTTCATCTCTGATATTATTTATTTGGGTCTTCTTTCCTTTTTTCTTAGTCTGGCTAAAGGTTCGTCAATTTTGTTTATCTTTTCAAACAACAAACTTTTTGTTTCATTGATTTCTTGAGTTTTTTTTAAATCATGTCAAATTCATTTCTGCTCTGATTTTTATTTTTTTCTTCTTTAATTTGAGGTTCAGTTTTTTTGCATTTCTAGTTCTTTAAGCTGTGTCATTAAGTTATTGATTTGAAGTTTTCCTTCACTTTGATGTAGGCACTTATCGTTATGAATTTCCCTTTAGTATTGCTTTTGCTGTATCTGTACATTTTGGTATATTATATTCCCACTGTCATTTGTTTCAAAACAAATTACAAAGAAAATTTTGAATTTCCTTCTTAACTTCTTCATTGACCCACTGGTAATTCAGGAGCATACTGTTTAATTTCCATGTGTTTATATACTTACAAAAATTCCTCCTGTTATTGATTTCTAGTTTTATTCCATTGTGGTCAGAGAAGATGCTTGATAGTATTTCAATTTTTTTGGATGTTCTAAGACTTGTTTTGTGACCTAACATATGCTCTATTTTTGGGAACAGTCCAAATACTGAGGAAAAGAATGTGTATTTTCCAGCCTTTGAATGAAATGTTGTGTAAATATCTATTAGATAAATTTGTTCCACAGTGCAGACTGAGTCCAATGTTTCTTTGTTGATTTTCTGTGTGGGAGATCTGTCCAATGCTGAAAGTGGGATAGTGAAGTCTTTAGCTGTTATTGTATTGGGTCTATCTCTCTCTTGAGCTCTGATAACATTTGCTTTATATATCTAAGAACTTCAATGTTGGGTGCATATATATTTATAATTGTTATATCCTCTTGCTGAATTGACCCCTTTATCATTATATAATGACATTCTCAATATCTTCTTAAAGTTTTTGTTTTGAAATCTATTTTGTCTGATCTAAGTATAAGTATTTCTGCTATTTTGTCGTTTACATTGGCATGGAATATCTTTTTCCATTCCTTTATTTTCAGTCTACATGTATCTTTATAGGTGAAGTGTGTTTCTTGTAGGCAACAGATCATTGTGTCTTGTTTTCTTCATCCATTCAGTCACTCCATGTCTTTTGATTGGAGAGATTAGTCTATTTATATCCAAAGTTATTACTGATAAGTAGGATCTTACTCCTGCCATTTTATTATTTGTGCTCTGGTTGTTTTGCAGTCTTCTCTTCCTTCTTTCCTTCTTTTCTGTTTTTCTTTTAGTGAGGCTGATTTTCTCTGTTGGTATGCTCTCATTTCTTGCTTTTTATTTTTTTGTATATCCGTTGTATGTTTTTCAATTTCAGGTTACCATGAGGTTTGCAAATACAATCTTATAACCCACATTTTACACTGATGATGATTTAATACTAATTGCAAAAGGCATTACTAAAGGCATTTACTAATGAAACTCCCATAAATCAAGGATAAAGAAAGAATCTAAAAGCAGCAAGTGCAAGAAACAAGAACAAATGTGCAGAAAGAAAACTAATAAAACCAATAAAAATTATACACTTTAACTTCATCCTTCCTTTTTTAACTTTAAGTTGTTTTTCTTTATGTCTTATTGTACTATGCCTTGAAAAGTTGTTGTAGTTATCAAGAATAGTTTACACACCACTATTACAGTGTTATATACTATTCTGTGTTTTTCTGTGTGCTTACTATTTCCAGGGAGTTTTTTGCCTTCAGATGATTTCTTCTTGCACATTAACATCATTTTCTTCCAGTTAGAAAAACTCCCTTTAGCATTTCTTTTAGGACAGGTTTGGTGTTGATGAAATCCCTTAGCTTTTGTTTGTCTCAGAAGGTCTTTATTTCTTCTTTATGCTTGAAGGGTATTTTCACTGGCTATACTATTCTAGGGAAAAAGGCTTTTTCCTTCAGCAATTTAAATATGTCATACCACTCTCTCCTGTCTTGCAAGATTTCCATTGAGAAGTCTGCTGCCAAATGCATTGGAGCTCCGTTGTATGTTATTTGTTTGTTTTCACTTGCTGCTTTTAGATTCTCTCATTATCTTTGATTTTTGGGAGTTTCATTAGTAAATGCCTTACGGTAGTCTTGAGTTAAAAATTTTCTTGGTGTTCAATAGCCTTCTTGTGCTTAAATGTTGATATCCTTCTCTAGGTTTGGGAATTTCTCGATATTATCCCTTTGAATAAATTTTCTACCCCTATCTCTTTCTCTACCTCCTCTTTAAGGCCATTGATGCTTAGATTTGCCATGCTGAGGCTATTTCTAGATTTCATAGCCATGTTTCATTTTTTTCCCTTTTTCTTGTCTCCTCTGATTGCTTATTTTCAAATAGCTTCTCTTCAAGCTCACTAATTCCTTCTTCTGTTTGATCACTTCTGCTATTAAGAGACTCGTGCATTCTTCAGAATGTCAACTGCATTCTTCAACTCAAAAAAACTTTCTGCTTGATTCTTAATTATTTCAATATCTTTGTTAAATTTTTCTAACAGAATTCTATATTCCTTCTCTATATTATCTTGAATTTCTTTGAGTTTCCTCAAAACTGCTATTTTGAATTCTCTGTATGTCTCTGTTTTTCCGGGATTGGTCCCTGGTGCCGTATTTAGTTCATTTCGTGATGTCATGTTTTCCAGGATGCTGTCGATGCTTGCAGATATTCGTCAGCATCTGGGCACTGAAGAGTTAGATATTTGTTATAGTCACACCCTGGACTTCTTTGTGCCTGTCCTTCTTTGGAAGGCTTCTCAGCTATTCAAAAGGACTTGGATCCCAAGCACAATAACACTGTGGTGTTTGTCGACTCATGGAAGTACCACTTTGATGGTCTTGATAAAGATCTGGAAGAATTCTCTGGATTACCAAGCAGAGACTCTTGTTGTTTTCCCATACTTTCTCCCAAACAAACGGAGTCTCTCTCTCTCTGTGCTGAGCCACCTGGAAATGGGGGTGTGGTGATGAAAGCACCTCTATGGCCATCATTATTGGGATTGTGCTGGATCAGGCCTGAAGCCAGCATAGCACTGAATCTTGCTCAAGGTCCTTCCCTTCGGGGCAGTGAGTTCCCCCAGGCCACAGATATGTCCAGAGGTGCTGTCTGGGAGCCAGGGATTGAAGTCAAAAACCTTAGCAGTCTACCTGATGTTCCATTATATTGCAGCTAAACTGGCACTCAAACCACAATACAAAGTACTTCTCACTCTTCCCTCCTCTTTCCATAGGCATAAGAGCCTGCCCTTGTGTCTACCATCACCACCATTCTATGGGAGGTTCTGCCAGTCCACTACCACTATTCACTTTAAGTCCAAGGGCTCCTCTGTCAGCTTGTGGTAAATGATGCCAGGCCTGAGACTTACTTCAGTGCACTCTGGCGCAAAGGAGGTCCAGAAATGCCACTCTGGAGCCTAGGCCTAGACTTGGGGACCCCAAGAGCCTGCTTGTTGCTCTACCTACCATGGCCAAGCTTGTACCTAAGAGGCAAGACAAAGTCCCCTTTACTTTTCTCTTTGCTTTTCTCAAACAGAAGGAGTCTTTCCCTGTAGCCATTATAGCTGGTTATGTGTTGGGTCACCCCTGAAGCCAGCACATCTCAGAATCCAAAGCCCATGGTGTACTCCCTGGGTATTACTGGGGTTATTCAGGGCCCAAAGGCTCTTTAGTTAACATGTGATGAGTTTTGCGAGAACTGGATTCTTCCCTTCAATGTAGTGGGTTCCCTTTTGGCCCAAGATGTGTGCAGAAATGTCATCTGGAAGCTAAAGCCTTACTACTCTGTCCAGTGCCCTATCCTACTGTTGCTGAGCTGGTATCTAAGATGCAAGATTAAGTACTCTTTACTCTTCACTCTCCTCTCCGTACCGCCTGGGGTTTGGGGAGGGATGGCACAAGCACTCCCTTAGCCACACCAGCTGGTGTCTCCCTAGGTCACATGCTACCCTAGTCTACTGGCTGTAAGACCAGCCTAACACTAGGATTTACCTAGGAATTGCAATCCTTGTGTCTTAAACTGCCTTTCAAATTTACCTAGAACCCCAGAGACTTTTAGTCCTTGGTGGCAAAGCATGCCAAAAAACTTAAGTTCCAACCCCTGGGATGGGTGATTCCCCTCTGGTAAGGGCTGGTCCAAATTCTAACTACATGCACAGGCACGTGCTGAGCCCAGCACCATTTATTCTCTGTGACAGGACAGCATTGAGGTCAATGTCAATCCCCCAGTCACTGAGATCTCCCTCCTCAAGGTGCACAGAGCCACTGCTGGGGGTCAGGGGATGGGTGGCATCTGTGATTCAAGACTATCTCTCCTGCCCTCATCAATGTCTCTCTTAGTGATATGAAGTTAAACCAGGTACTGTGGTTGTTCACCTAAATTTTGGTTCTTTTGATGGTCCTTTACCGTGTGCAGATGATTGTTAAAATTCGGTGTTCCAGTGGGGAGAATGAACAGTGTAAGCTTCTATTCCACTATGTTGCTCCGCCCCAGATGAAATTCACTGTGAGTTTATTATTGACCTAACTTTTCTATGTTAATGTTTTCTGCATCTTTGAGGTTAATTAAGTGTTCCCTTTATTATCCATTTCCCCTCACTAGTTTAATAATTACACATTTTTTAATGAAGCTTTTGGCAGTTAGCCTGGAGATTATCATCTACCTTATTGACTTATTAGTGTCTTAAATAAATTCAAATTCTTACAGTTTTGTTTATCTAGTGTGATGGATAATTTCTGTAAAAACTTGGCCAGGCTATGGCACCCAGTTGTTTTGTCAAACACTGGTATAATGTTGCTGTGAAAATATATGTGAAGATTAACAATTATTATCCAGCTGACATTAAGTAAAGCAGATTACCTTTCATAAAGTGGTGGGTCTCATTCAATGAGTTAAATGCCTTAAGATAAAAGACTGAGGTTTCCTGAGGGCAAAGTATTTGTGCCTCAAGACTGCAACTTAGAAGCACTGTGTAAATTCCCATCTTCCATCCTCCCCTGCATAGTATGAATTCAAGACTGCAACATCAACTCTTATCTGAATTTTCAGCCCAACAGACTACAGATTTCAGATTTGTCTGGCCCCTAAGGTTCTGTTTTTCTGGAGAACCCTGATTAATACATCTAGTCAATTATTTCACTGGAATGAAGTGCTGGGTTTCTGATTTCTAACAGCAACAGTGGAAGCGAGGAAATGATGGAATGGAATTTTGAAAAGACACAGTGACACATATCAATACCAACTTAATATTTCATTTGTTTGTTTATTATTATTATTAGAGACAGGATCTTGCTCTGTTGCCCAGGCTGGAATTCAGTGGCACGACCATAACTCAATGCAGCTTTGAACTTCTGGGCCCAAGCTATCCTCCCACCTCAGCCTCCCAAGTAGCTGAGACTACAAATGCATGCAATTGTGCCCAGCTATTTTCTTTGCTTTTGCTTTTTTTTTTTTTTTTTTTAAACAGACAAGGTCTTTCTTTGTTGCCCACACTGATCGTGAACTCCTGGCTTCAAGCAATCCTCCTGCCTCAGCTTCCCAAAGTGCTGAGATTATAGGGGTGAGCCACCACACATGGCCTCAACCTAATGTTAGGAACAAAGTAGGTAGGTTTTATAAGAGATTGGACAGAGTTAAAAAGAGTATTAGTGAACTTGAAGACTAGTCAGTAAAAAACACCCACATAAAAGTACAGAAAAATAAAAAGAATTAACTCCAGAAAATAGCATAAGCATAGGGAACACAGTGAAAGTCTAACCTATATATATTTAGTTTCCCATAGAGAAAAAAAAAGAGAGAATGAAGAGCCATGAATTTGTTAAATATTTGGATAAACTGAATTAAGTATGTCTACTTATGATAGTATCTATAGTACTTTATGGAGTAAAATATATAGAGAGAATTAAAATATATGAAAAATAGAATATAATTCAGAATGAAGTAAATGGAGAAAGTGTCCCAAGGTGTCATTATTGCAGAGGAAGAGGGTACCACCTGACATTTTATTTTTATAATGCAAAGGTAGTTACTATTGGAATAGTAAAAATTATACTTCCTAACTGAAAGGGAAAAATAGAATAATCAAAAATAGTTATTCCAAAAGAAATAAAGAAGGAGAGAAAAAGGATCAAAGGCACAGATAGAAATTGCAGAATAAGATTGAAGAAATAAATCAACATTCATCAGTTAATATATTAAATAAAAAAAAAATGCTCAAATTAAAAAAAATCAAACTCCATAGACAGTCTATATGATAAACATACCGAATGAAAATATATATATTTATATTTATTTATTTATTTATGTAAATAGCAGCTCAGTATACCCTAGCTAAAACTTTTTAAAAGTCTAGCAACTTCTTAGATTATAAACCCTCTTTGGATAAAGATTGCATTTTACTCATAATTGAACCATCTGTGAGGCTTTGCAACATGGCATGCATATACACAATGAAACAATTCACTTGAATATTGCATAAGAGTTAATAAAGTGCAGTAGCACATTATGTCTCTCAGAACAGTCTTGTATACCAGGGAAAGAAGAACTTTTAATTTAATGAAAAAAAGAAACAAAGCTAAGAATTGGCCTGTTCAAGATTATTTAGCAAGAACTGAAACTCAAATTTAAGATGCTTTATACCTATCTTCTGTACTATTTTATGAATTAACTCTTTGTGTAATTAAATTGAATCATTTGTATCTTTAATCATTCTCCAAATGTTTCCACTTTTAAATATTTTGAGATCATTCATTCAGGGATGACTGAACACATATCTAATTGCTTCATTTACTTATGTCATCTTAATGAATGTGAATTATAACTCATTCAATTTAGTTCTAATAATTGGCACTGATGATAAAATTAGATTTATGCCTGTAGTCTCTGCTACTTGAGACAATGAGGCAAGAAGATCACTTGAGGCCAGAAGTTCAAGTGTGTTATGATCTCCTGTGAATAGCCACTGCACTCCAGCCTGGGAAACATAGCAAGATCCCATCTCTCAAAGAAAACCTCAAAACTAGCTAGTTCTTTTTCATTTGTTAGGAAGAGTCATGGCTTTTCTTGTGAAAGAACATATTTTTCACCCATGCAGCAAACCAAGAACTGCATCTTTACAGATTCAATCAGAGACAATAAGAAGGTTTGATCTGTATTAACTCCAAGCAATTGGAGTCATCCAACAAAATGGTCTCTGCCATTTTGTTACTAGCTGCAAAACAACCATACCTGATATTCTCATGGTTACTGGGAGACAGTTCTCATAAAATGGTAGAAACTAAAGACATTGACAGGGTTATAAAACTCACAGTCTATTGTGAAAGAAGAACAGTTAAAAAATTTAAAATAAACATTAAAAAGAGTAAATACAGATGACATTATCATCCCTTAAATAAGATCATGGAAAGCAGTACTGTATTTTCTAGCTTCTACAGTATGGCTAGACCTCTGATTTGGTCATTTCATGGATGATATCACATTGAAACCTCATGTCAACCTGGTAGGAGACATATTAAATGTACATGAAAAATAAGAAAACTGACATTCTGAATTATTGGTATCAATAATTTCTAGTTTTAATTATAGTAAGATTAATAATAATTGCTATACTTTAATCATTCCATTATTTCTAGGATTGGCATTTGTACTTATGCCGTTTTCACACTGCTGAAAAGAAATACCTGATACTGGGTAATTTATAAAGGAAAGAGGTTTAATTGATGGTTCTGCATGGCTAGGGCAGTCTCAGGAAACTTACAATCATGGCAGAAGGTGAAGGAAAAGCCAGTACCTTCTTCACAAGGTGGCAGGAAACAGCATGTGGAAGAAGTGCTGTCAAACAATTATAAAACCATCAGATCTTGTGAGAACTCAGTCACTATCACAAGGACAGCATGGGGGAAACTGACCCCATAATCTAGTCACCTCCCACCAGGTCCCTCCCTCAACACATGGGGATTATGGGGATTACAATTTGAGATGAGATTTGGGTGGGGACACAGAGCCAAACCATATCAGTACTCTAACATCTATGTGTGATTTGAAGCTATAGTCTGGGTTATTTCTGCCATATCAGATTCGGCAGTTGTGTTGCAACTTGGTTCTTTTGCTGTACTATTTATACATTTTTCAAATTTCTATTTAAAATTAAAATACTTATATAGCTTTATTTTTAAAGAAAAGTAATAGCAATGGGTTTTGTTTGTTTGCTTGTTTGTTTGTTTTAACCTGTTTTCCTTCCCCCCAGTGAATTAATTTTTGGTTTTGGTGCTATGTAAGTAGAACCATTAAAATAAACATAAGCCTTAAAAAAATTTGTAACAAAAAACAATTTTAACATTTGAACTATGCTTTTGAAATCAGGTAGAGGATAATAAATTGCAATCATATTTTTCAACATTCATGTTCTTCTTTTTGCTTTCAAATGCACTTATCTTTAAATAAATCAATAAAAAACAATATTTGGACAAAAGAAAACAAATTACTTCTGTTTTTATAATGTCCATTAGATAATTTCTGCACCACTTATATTGACTTTTCAATAGAAAAGACACTAAAATAAAACACAGTGAATGACAGATATTTACAATGAATCTACTCAGCACCACAATTTTATATTTGCACTCTTGATCTTAAATTTGCTGAAAATGTCAGAGTTCAATGGCACCTGATAGGAGGCGCCATGCCAAATATCACATGTAATCAATTGCATTTATTTTTCTGGAGATGTTTATAGTAACAGGGTAAGATAGTCAACATGTTTAAAAATAAAGAAAGTAAGATAAATTATAAAGAGTGGTTAGGTCTAGAACAGTGCCTGGGGGGGCGGTAGGGATTGAAATATACTTGTTAAATGAATAAATGATTGAGTAGAAATCCAACTAAGTACAAACTCACATATACACTATATTAAGCCCTTTCATTTCTTACTGCCTGACCCTAGAATAGAAGTTATTTCAGACCAGGGAAGCAAGAAATCTGAAAAGGTTTTTATATACAATAGCATGAACCTTATGCTCTTCCCTACTTTGAAAAAAATTGACAAGAGTGAATGTCTAGGTCCTCCGAGAATGAGTAAGAGTTTTTCACCCTCTGCCTGTGGCACACAGACAGCTTTCTTGGTGAAGCACTTGATCAACGGTGTGTGTGAGCTGTGAACGCCTGGGTTGCCCTGCTGAGAGCAGGGCACTCCGTCTGTTAAGGTTGTACGTTGCTGTCTGCAGGTTTTGTCAGCAGGAGCAGCGGAAAAAAAGCAAAAAGAAAATTCAACAGAGGTAATTCACAGGGGGGCGAAATGCACACATCAGTAAAGTGGAGGTGGCAGAGTGTTCCAGCATCCACTGGGAGCACTATCAGAAAAAATGAAAGTGCTACTTTGGATTGTAAGGAGCAGCATGGGGTGAACTCCACAAAGAGAGAAAATAACACAAATTGTCTACCTGTGATAAACTAGTCAAGTTCCTGGAGTAGTGGTTTCAGAACATCCTTGCTTCTCCTTTCTGGCCAATTGAATGCTTTTCAGGTGGGGGAGATTCAGAGCAGGGGTTGTATTTAGAGTAATCAAGTGTTTGAGGATAAAGCATTTGGAAATGTATAATGTGTGAGTGGTTATGGCCAGTGAACACTCACTTGGGCAAAGGCAAAGAGTAGAAAGAAAACTGCCTTTAAATACATATAAAGCATATTTTACTCTTCTAGACCTTTAAAACATGACAAGCGATTTTGGGCAATAAAAAGACTTTTTCATAGAGTCCTATACAATGTGGCATTTTGAAAGGTTGACATTCACCCCAAAGAGATTATAATAGACTATAATAAATTGCAACCCTTTGCCCTACTTTTACAGCCTGATATCAGGCAGTGCTTTCCAAATCAGCAAGGAATTTGGTATTATTCACATAATTATCCTGCTTAAAAGACAAAAAAATAGGAACCAGAAGTCAAAGGTGGGGTTTCTGTCTTGTCTAATGAGAAAAACTTGGAGTTATTTAGCTTTGTGTGCCTTTGGAATAAACCATAACAAATAAAGATATACAGTTCCTTTTTATTTTTAAAAAGCAAGAGCTTCATTATTCATGCATTCATTTAGCACATACTATTGTGGATTTTGGTATTCTACGTTTTGCATGCCTCTAATACAAAATCAAGTAAGAATGTCATTAAAATTTTAAAAAAGTATTATGAAACCTATCAACCACCTGACATTTAATTTAAATCAGACCTGCCATTCATTTTTAATAACATTTATGAATCTCTGAGGTGGAAGAAATCAATACACATTTTTAGAAAAACAAAATCAGCAGGAAGTAGAAGACCCTCAGCAATACTTTGATTTTCTTCTGGAAAAGCAGCAAACGATGTTGTTTTGTTGTTCCTATTATCTAAATGCTCCTGAATTCCTTTAGTCATACAGCAGTATGTTGTTAGAGAAACATTTTTACTAAAAAGCTAAAGCCTTCAAAGTGATTGTTTGCTGTGATCCTTCCACATCTTTACCTCCCTCTCTATCTTTCTCTTTGTGCCTTCGATTGCCTAAAAAGACAAACAAACATGTATGAAAAAGACTCTACTTTTGTTTTTCCAAGACTAACAGGAATCAAGGAAGTGAAATACCACAGAATACAGGGAGCATCTGCTGGAGGGAGATAGGTAAGGGAAAAAGCCTACTCAAATAGAGACGAAAAGGGTTGCGAGGAAGAGAAAGTGTTTGACGTGGAAGGTGATTTTGAAATATATTCTAAACCCTGAGGGTGACATGGATTGGCACGTATGAAAATAGAATTTTTATCTTAAGTGACCATAAGGTTGACTTCAATAACTAAAAAAAAAAAAAAAAAAAAAAAAAGATTTCTGAAGAAAATGGAGTTTTCCTGGCAAGAATGAAAACACTCTAAATAAAGTTTGTGGCAGATTGTTAATTATCAAAAGATAAATGTCCTGGATGTTCAGAGAGTTAATAAATCAGAGTTCCATGTAGCTTTCATAATGTAGCTTCTTTATAATTGCATAGTGAACCGTTTTAAAAGTGGATTCCAACCTAAATTCCTATTTGTATAGCCCACCACTCTCCCTGCCTGCCCTATTTTGTAGCTCAGGATTTCCCAACTTCAGCACAAGTAAATCTTGGATCAGATAATCGTTTATTGTGAGGGGCTCTCCAGCACGCGGGGATATTTTGCGGCATGCCTGGCTTCTACACATTACATGCCAGGAGCGTCTCCTTGACACGGAAATAAAGAAGTGTCCAGACATTGCCAAATGTTTCCTGGAGGGGGAGCAAAATTGTTGCCCATTGAGAATCACTGCTCCAACCTCAGTGAACTACTGAACTACTCCTGAACTAATGGATTCCTTTTTATTTCCTGAACATACATGATGTTTCCCTACTCTGTGCTTTGCCCATTCTGTTTTCTATGCTTTCGAAGGTTCCCTACCTTTCTCTGTCTACTACAATTTATGCTTTTAAGCCCAAACCAAATGTAACTAACTCCCTGTGAAATTTCTTACATCCCAAAATAAATTTGCTTAGTCTTGAAATTATATTATTACTCATAATAATTTCTATACTCTTAAAGCATTGTGTGTGTGTATGTGTGTATATATATGTATATGTGTTTGTCTATATATGTATGTGTGTATATATTGTTTTCGTTCTGAGACAGAGTCTCACACTGTTGCCCAGGCTGGAGTACTGGAGTACAGTGGCATGATCTTGGCTCACTGAAACCTCCTCCTCCTAGGTTCAAGCAATTCTTGTGTCAGCCTCCCGAGTAGCTGGGATTACAGTCTAATCCATTTTGGTACCCACATTTCCCAATATAAGATATTATACCTAGTGACATTAAGAGTAACAACCACGCACACACACCAAAAAAACAAATAGCAAACACTGCTGTCTAAAGGTGCTATTCCAAACTGTCTTAATCTGTTTAATGTTGCTATAAAGAAATACTAGAGTTTGAGTAATTTATCAGGAAAAAAAGGTTTATTTGGCTTACAATTCTGAGGGTTGGAAAGTTCAAGATTGGGCATCTGCATCTGTGAGAGCCTCAGGCTACATCCACTCACGGTGGAAGGTGAAAGGGAGTTGATTTTTGCAGAGATCATGTGGCAAGAGAGAAGAAAAGTAGGGGTGGGAAGGTGCCATGCTCTTTTTAACAATCAGATCTTGCATATAACATGAGAACCGACACACTCCCGAGGGAAAGCATTAAGCTATTCATTAACCTATTCTACCCTCACGACCAAACACCCCCCATTAGGCCCCACATTCAAATCTCAACATGAGATTGGTGAGAACAAACAAACCATGTCTACACCATAGCACAAGTACATGCTATGTACTTGCTTGTATTATCCTCACAATATCATCATGAAATATGAATTATTACTATTTTACAGGAACTGAAGCCTAACAGAAAGGACATGGTTAGTTTGAACCCAGACAATATGACTTTGGACTTACATTTTTTAACCCCTATAAAATACCAACTTCCCAAGTGAAAGAATTAATAATCGTAAAATTAAGATTGTTAAGACTGTTAAATATTTTATTTGTATAATGGGAAGATGATTTGGTATTACCCCGTGTGAAGAAACAGGAAAATGTGCAGACTACAGGGATCCAGTTTAATATAATATAGGGAACCTAATAGATAAGAAAGATACAATCCCAGAGATAGCATAAATGAAGTCCACTTTGGGCATTTGGTTTAATTTAGGGGTTAGGGTTGACAATTAACAATAAAGAAGCAAAGATTGGTCACTAAACTTAAAGAAAATTGAAAAAAATTACCTGAATTTATAGAAAAGCCTTCTTTTATATAAAACACACAAAGTAAAGCAAATAGCTTTATTGTTTTGGTTCACATCAATTCTCATGCAAGGATTGGTGGTCTAAGGATGAAAGAAAATTATGGCTTTCCCATCTCTATTCAACCTCTACAACATTTTATTTCTACAATAAAAGATATGGGAGTCCAAATATACATCCTAAATTACTCATTTTCTTTAGCAGAGTGCCTTAAAGCTCAGCTATAACAATGAGTAAAACAAATTTGAGAGTAGTAGATAGCTTTTTTCAACAAAGAGAAATCAAATAACACATTTTATAGATTCATTTATAAATTCATTAAGATTCCTATATTCTTTAAAGATCACCTCTGCAATTTCAATAAGAAGCACAAAGCTCTTAGAACAAGCTTGTGTCTGTTTAAATATAACCTTGAAATTCTCAGCAGCTCTCCCATAGTCATACATGGTTGAGACTATCAAAATCTATTTGTCCCTTAGGTACCTTAATTTGCCAATAACATGATGTATGAGAATCAATGAAATCATGTTACAAATGTGGAGTAGACTCAGAAGTTTCTTACAGATATGGAAAAATATCAAATTTAAGCTTTTCTGTGGCCATTTGAGAATAAGTGCTGCTGTTTTTAGTGCACTGAGGTTGAGCAAACTGAAAAAGGGATGCAAACATGGTTTTAAATTCATATACATTGTCAGTTGTCAGACTCTGGCTAGTGAGTAGGATGTACTAATTCAGCTATTGCTACATTAACGGTATCCTAATGTTCAATTGTTTAATTAGCCATAATGTATAATTTAATTATTTGAAAACAACTGAATAACACTTTATTCATTAAGCTAACACTGGCTTCTGGGACAGATAACCCCTTCTCTCCTGAGACAGTAGAGTAATAATAGGAGTATTTTTAGCTCATATCCTAAACCAAGCTGGTGATCCTGGTTGGGTAGTCATCTATGTGGTAATTTAGTCACTGGGATCTTTTTAGATTGTGGTCTCCCCTTCCCTGTATCATCACATTTGTTTATACTCAGTTAACGTTTTAGAAAAGAGAGTGAAAATCACTTGAGGAAGGTTTGTAGGTCACACACATCACAATGTGTACGTTTCATAGGTCAGAATTCGATGGCATGGCAACTCCAACCTGCAAGAAGGGCTAGGAAATGTAGTTAAAAGTTCTGAAGTTGAAAGAAAAGGGAACAGAGTTTGATAAACACACAGCATTCTCAGCCACGAGCATTATGAACAACAGGTTTATTAAATACTTAGCCATATGTATCATATATACATAGTTATTTTTATACATATGTAAACACAAGTACTTAAAGGTGTCTCTTCTTATATACCTCTCATTTTGACCATCCATCTATCTCAACCAAGTATTGATATTAGTCTAGTCATGTTGTTTCTGTAGGTTATTCTGGTTTTTTGTGTAATCTTAGTCTGTGCTGATCTTTGCTCCCCTTTTTCAATGTCTTGCATCTTCCCTTATGTAACTGTCCTTGGTGGTTGTACTTCCAATAACTGTATTAGTCAAGTAACAGTACCTCATCTCACACTTTAGGTTTAACAAGAGATTTATTGGATTTTGGAATCCAACAAAGGTCGGAAACCTAAACCTTGGAAAGGATAAAGACATGGCTGAACCTCAAAAACAAACAGAGCACAGGATTCTAAATCCACCAGGGCTCTATATCTAACCTATCTTTTCTTCTCTCTGAGTGTCAGATTCATTCTGTCTCTACAGAACAGCTGCTCAAATACGTCTGTAAATATTGTTTTTACATCTGAGGAAATCTACCACGGGAGAGAAACTCTTTCTTGATTTCAATTAAAAAATTCCACTTGGCTTAGTCATACACCCAACTCTGGATCAATCAAGGGCTTGTGGGAAGGTCACATAGGATAATAGCAGTTCTCGTAGGAATGAGATCCTTGTGAAATACGTGCAGCAGTTCCTTGAAGAAGTGAGGTGGGAGAAAAAGGTGATGACTGGGAGGTGGGAAGTGATGGTTTTAGAAACAAGAAGTGGTACTAGGAGGCAAAATAATAAATTTACTTCTGTAGAAACTCACAGATTTTCTCAGCAAAATTCTTAGTTCAGCTATTCTGTAAAAATGTGAAGACCTTACTGGAAACTTACTTACTCTTTATTATTATATTTTATTTATTTTCTCCTTTCTATTTTCCTGGCTCTTTTAAAACATGATTTATTTCTTTTGTATTTTGTTTTGTTTCCTAAGTTATCCTTTTAGCCTCTTTGAAGCTCCAGGCAGTATACAATATTCTACTGCCCTTCACTGCTGTCTACCAACCTATGTGATTCTTAGCATTATTATCTGAAGCTGCATTTCTCCCTTTGACCACACAGTCCCTAAAAATATACCCTTATAGGTGGGCCTTCGAACATTTTTTAATGTAACCAAATAGAAAGTATTTTACACATCGTGACTTAGTACGGACTCACGTATGTATACACATTATGTTTATATAGTTGAGAAAAGTTTTGTGGAAAATGCCTATCTTTATGGTTTGTAATGAACTCTCATATTTGTTTTAATATATTTCATTTGTAAATGCTGATCACAAGCACCTAAATTTGTTTCATGATCATCTCCTCTAGTTGACTCACTCTGGCCATCTAATCTCCTAGCGTATAAACTGTGTGGGGTACAGTGGCCAATGTCATCTACAGGCCCCAATGGCACCTGCTAAACATGCAGATCTGATATTACCTAACCTGCTCCTCTTGGACGTCATAGAGTGTCTATGGCATCATCAACCCTAGAACCACTGGAGCATTCCATCATCAAGAACTGGAACGCCAAATTTCTGGGTTATAGTCTATCCACAAGAAGCTAGTGATTACAGCCAAAGTAAGTTTTAACACTTCCGGAATGAAGAGCTCTCTGAACCTGAGTTTTCTTATTTATAAAATAGTAGTAAAAATGATGCAGGGCCCTTCCCCAACAGAAACTAACCATCTACAATGTAAAAATCCTGAATAGTATGTCCTAAACAGCATGGCAACAATCATGAATAAAGTACCACAAAGTAGCATGTGTGCACCCTACAATCTCCCTGCTTGGAGGGGTTACTTATTTCTCTACTGTTTTCCAGTAAATCTTCATTGTAAGTTGCTTAATCAAGACTTGATGAAATAATAAGACTTTACCAGGGAGAGGGGCAATGGGCAGTGGACATTCCAGACTAAATGAACATCAGAACAAATAACAAGTCGTATTATCATGTTTTTCACTTTATACACATATCATTTGAGGACTCCTCAGATGGGATAATAACAGTATAATAGTAATAATAGCAATCACATACGCTACAGTGACAGAGTGCCAGCTATTCCACCTGCTTTATTTAATTCTCATGACAACCTTTGATATGGGTATGATAAATATTATTATCCCTGTTTCGCAATGTAGTTAGGGCACGTTAATTTGCCCAAGGTCATACAACTAGAAGTTTTGGAATTAGAATTTAAACCCTGGTCTGTCTCATTCCCTGGTAGGATCTTTTAATCACAGACCTGTTCACTTTCTCAGCTCCCAGCCACCAGGCTATGATTCATCATTTCCAAAGTTGTTGCTACCGTAATCAATGATACACATGTTTTGACTGTTACATAGAAATTTTTGCAAAGCAGCTCTTTTAGTTGTTAATCATGTTTCCTTCTGTAGCTGGATTGTCCAATATGGCAGCCATGGCTAATTAAATTTAAAGTAATTAAAACAAAGTAAAATTAAAAATACAATTGTTCATTTGTACCACCTATATTTCAAGTGCTTAATAGCCACACATGGCTTGTGGCTACCATCTTGGACAGGATACACGTGCGTGTGTGTGCATGCACACACACACACACACATACATGCATTTCCATTGTTATGGAAAGTTTCTAGGTGGGTTGCACTGAAGAACACTTTGAGGCACAGACATTCAGACCATTACCTATGCTCCCTGAGTCAATTTAATATGATTTCATTCTATTTTATTCCCTCTCAGCTTCCTTAGTTCATACTCATGAAAATTAATTTCCTATATCCTGAGAAAATATCAGCTATTATAAATTTATATTTATATTTTTTGTATGTATTTCATTATTAGAGGTATTATAATTAATAAAAAGGAAAAATAAAACTAATTTCTAAAATTAATCAAACATTTATTTAATTTTGATTGTCACATTATAGCGCAGTTCCACTAAGTCATCAGAAATGAGGTTATTGTAAATGAACATCTTGGCTGTGTCTGTACAGCTTTGGTATGTTTGAGTCACTCATTCTTTCTTTATCTTTCATCAAACTTGCACTGAGTGACAGGTTGACACAATGATTACATAAAAATATGATCAAGTAACCTTGGATCTCATAGGCATTACTAGAATGTGCCCTCAATGGGTTAGCATTTTCATTGGCTTGTACTTTGCTATATCCCCATCATCATTTGGCATATAATAAAAATCTCCAAAATACATTTTTGAATGAGTGAATGAAATAATGTGGATTAAAAAAAATGTATACATGTGTGCGTGTTTTAGCCATGAAAAATATGGTAAAAGAAGCTGGCCAAAATCCTAACTCCATTCCTTTTGCCCACTCCCTGTAGACATGGTTTTATTGTAATTCAATTTTAAGCAAAAAAATTTCTCGCATAAAAACTTCAAATAAATCTCAAACGTGTTACTTAGCTTCTGCTTTTCCTAATAGGTTTAAAATGTAAGCTAAATTATAAATTGAAACAGCAGGCCTAAAATTAGATATGAATTCCTTTGTGGTACTGGCCATCATACTTCACATATCTGATTCTGTAGAAGCATTATTGGAATTATGCCGGGGTGAACCCCAGATGTTCAAGCAACGCTCACTTTTCCAGGCAAAATTAAAATACAAACCCTTCATTCTGGCAGCCGAAATGCTTAAAGTTGGCATGAAGCCTCTCAGAGACTAATGAGAAAGACAAGAATGATAACACTACATCGAGATTCTATTTCATTATTCATCCCCTACTCTCTATGGAGGCTTTACAAACATTAGCTAATGCTCAGAAATATCCCTGGGAGGTAGTTTATCATTGATGTCTTTGTCTTGTACCGTGGAAACTGAGGCACAAGGAAATATGAAATTATTTGAGCAAGTTCATCTAAAAATATATCAACTGCAAAAGACTAGAAACCACATTTTAAAAAATGTCAAACTCTTGACACAGTCTTTCTTAAAGTACTAAATATATACAGAATAAAATGTTGTAATAGCCAAACCATTTTTAGGTTTGGCTATTATTTTAGATCCTTATAATTTGATACATACAGCTATACTGAAAGGAAGAAAAAGTTGTTTCTTAATTCCTCTTCCTTTGGGGAAAGTATGGTGATATAACCTGGGAATAATACTTCTTGTGTAATACCCTAATGAATTGTTGGCATTAAAAATAATGCCCCAAATTATTGATAAGACCTTGGCATGCTCTCCAATTCACTGCGTGGCATTTCACCATGTTATTAAATAATATTAAAATATAATGTTAACAATATAACAATATTCCACAACATAGCTATATTATAGTCTAGATAGTTGTTTATCATTTTTTGGATGTGTAACTCTGACAATATTTACTAATTTAAATAATGCTTCAGTGACTAACCTTGTATATAAATCTATTCTACTCTCCAATTATTTGTCATATAGCAGATTCCTTGAACCGAATGCAAAGGGCATGATTCAAAAGAGAGAAATTATTAACACTCTTTCAATATTGCTAATTTTCCCTTCTAAAAGGTAGTATCAATTTACTCACCCATTAACAACACAATTGGGTTTACTTTGAGGCACTTTCTCCAAACCTGAGTATAAATATTTTTCAAGCAAATATTTCTAAATTTTAAAGATAAACATTTGTATATCACAGATTGATGTGTGACTGAGTGTGGATATTTAACAAATGTTTAATACCTCCTTTCATTTTACCTTTAAAGAACAACTCTAAAACAAGCCTAAAGCAAATACTGGAATAATTATGTACTTGTTAAAAGAAATGAACTGTTATTAAACTACTGTACTAGTTAAATGTTATGAGGATAATTATAATAATGGACTTTTAACATTTTTTATTTTATTTGTAAAATATGTGTGCTATTCATTGACATCTATGAGGTGTCTTCAAGTATAGAAATTACGTCACTGGACCTCTTTTGGGATGTCATGGTAATAGAAGGAATACTCAGTAGGAGTCCAATACTCAGTAGATGTCCAAAATATCACATACCTATGAATTCTGGGTATGTGATTTGGTATGCTGTCAGATTTTAATCAGATAGTTTAAAATTTTTATACTTTCAAATGTTTAATTGAACAAATTATAAATTATTTATGACAGTACTCCTATGAAGTAGATGTTATAACACCTACCTCGTAAGACTACTGTCATAAATAAATGGGCAACATATGAAGAGGTACCAGGCATGTGTGGCACACAGTAGCCGCTCAATAAATATAAGACATTTTCCTCTTGTCATGGATTTATTTAACTTCAATAAGGCTTTGAGCTGTTTTCCCAGTGGAACTAATAAGTTTTTCATTATTCCATCAAGTATCTCTAATCAGTTAATCTCATTAGCACAATAAACAAATTATTTCTAAGACAGTTTGCTAAAGCCTAGAATCCTATGTAGAACCATGGAACATATCAAAGCCAGTCCTCTGATACAAGAATTGCACATCTACCTATCTTTGAGAAAATCATATGCTAGCCAACTAAGCCATCCAATTAGAATCACTCCAGTGGATTTCAATTATAATTACTCATTCAACAATTTTCTGACTTAGACTTCTATATCCATCTCTCTAAGATCTCTCCATCTAGCTCTTTTTGGGAAAGCAATTCAGTAAGAATAAATGAACCAGTTTTTACTATTTAATTTATTATTGATTTTTTGCTTAATTTATCATGTGACAAATATTTAGCACTGTATTGAAAAAATTCATCTGTAATTTCTTTCTTTTTGTAGACATCCTGTAGCTCTTTACATCTTAAGATACGGCTACGTATTTTAACTGTCTCTAGGTGTATGTTGATAAAGACACTATAGGACTGCTAACTTGTACCACTATATCTATACCTCTGAGAGTAATAGAATTCTTGGTGGGGGGCACATGGCACTGAGAATAAATAATATGCTTTATTTAAGATACTCTGATTTGGGGTGTTTGGCAACTCACAACAGAATCTAATTCTAATTTATCAGTCATCTGAAGAATATAATTGTTAAGTGTATTTTAAATTCATTCTACATATATCAGTTTTTAACTACTAAACACAATATTCAAATCAAAAATTTTTTAAAAAGACATATTTATTTAGCATCATAATTACATTTAGCCATCAACAGCATGGGTGCAAAAAATATCTACATTAAAACCCTTTGTTGGAACGCTTTACACTTTCCACAGAACAGAAACTAACATAACCTGTTATACAATTAGTCACAAAAACAGTCCTTATGTTTTTTGCCCATACACATGACTATTGTCTCAAACATGTCTTCTTTGTAGCAGCTAGGCCCTGCCACCACTGTGCTTGGCTGAGTTCACAAATCTGTGGTAACCTATTGCTTCCCTGTCGCTTCTCTGGCTCTCCTCTCCTACTAAGCTGTGTTTCCTGGCAGTAATTAAAATCTTCTGCCACTTCCATAGTTATTGCTGCTACTGGAACTGCCATAGCCACCGTGGTTTCGTGGTTTGGCGAAGTATTGGCCTCCACCCACACAGGGGCCAGAGATACTGGCTCCAAAGTTTCTTCCCTTCATCGGTCCAAAATTTGAAAACTGATTGTGATAATTGCCAAAATCATTGTAGCTTCCACCACCTCCAAAACTGCCTCCATCATCACCAAATCCATTATAGCCATCCCCACTGCCACCAAAGCTACTGAAGTTTCCTCCACAACCAAAGTTGTCATTCCCACCATAAACACCTCCACGACTACCACCAAAGTTTCCAGAACCATTTCGACCTCTTTGTCTGGATGAAACACTAGCCATCTCTTGTTTGGCAGGGCTTTCCTAACTTCATAGTTGTGGCCATTCACAGAATGGTATTTCTGAATGACAATCTTATCCACAGAGTCATGGTCATCAAAGGTTACAAAGGCAAAGCCCCTTTTCTTGACACTGCCTCTGTCAGTCGTAATTTCAATCACTTCAATTTTTCTATATTGTTCAGAATAATTTCTTAGGTGATGTTCTTCAGTGTCTTCTTTAATGCCACCAACAAATATCTTTTTCACAGTTAAGCGGGCACCTGGTCTTTGAGAATCTTCTCTTGAGACAGCTCTCTTTGGTTCCACAACTCTTCCATCCACCTTGTGTGGCCTTGTATTCATGGCTGCATCCACCTCCTCCACAGTGGCATAAGTGACAAACCCAAAGCCCCTGGAGCACTTGGTCTTTGGATCTCTCCTTACCACATAGTCCTTCAGTATTCCCCATGGCTCAAATGGTCCCTCAGGCTCTCATCAGTTGTTTCAAAGCCCAGCCATCCAATGAAAAGTTTCTGCAGCTCTTCAGGCTCTTTCGAAGACTCTGACTAGACATGACAGTAGTAGGAAGAGAGACTTGAACGATGCTTCCTCAGCAGGTGGACAGAAAGGAGTAAGCTAACGAATCTCAAATCGGATTCGTTAGCCATTTGTTGATTGTTAGAAGTTCTATGGCTTGTTTCTGCAACTGAGAAACATTAGCTCTGATCTCTATGCCAAGCAATAATTTTTAATTGCATAACAACATTCTGTCCACCAAAAATTCTCACAAAGTCTCATGATCAGTTACTCCTCACAAACTTTTCTAATATAGTTAGTTAGAATTCTCTGTGTCTATAACCTAGTAGAAGGTATTGAATGGGAGAATTTGGCTTAGGATTTATGATGTATTCTACAATCTTCAGAGAGCTTTGCAATCATTGTCCACTTAATGAACACAATAGCCATGTAATGTAGGTAAGTATTATTATCCCACAATTGAGTAAAATGAGAGGTTCAGTGTCTTGCCTTGGGTGACAGAGTTAGCACGTAACAAATTAGAGATTAAGATTTGAAAATTTCTGACCCTCCATGTGTTGTATTTTTTTCCATTCTCTAAAAAGCAACTACATTCTATTCTGGAAGAAGTTTAATTTCTGTAGAGGTTAAAATTATTCCTGAATATGAATTTTTAAATATATTTTAGGCCTTTGAATTATCTATTTTATGGAACCCATATTGCATTCGCATGTAGTTTAAACCTTCCAATATTAACTGATACACATAATCCAAAATGAATAATTCATTCATTCAACAAAAGTATTACAGATGCTTAATAATACCATAAAATAGCTGGTGCTAAGGCTAAAAAGAGTCAATAAGCCAAGGTTCCTACCTTCAGTAACTTCTTTGTCATTAATACTTTATGTTATAAAGAAACATAAATATTAATAAAATATGTATATTTCACATATATGTTTAATATCCCCAAAATAATAATTTATGCTAGAGAAAATTCAAGTAATCTTTAAAACCTATCCAACTTAATCAACATGCTATGTTTATTTTGCTTTAGATATAAAGGAGCTTTCAAGTCCAGTTCACTGTAGTTAATAAACCAATATAAAATTGCAAAGACATCAGGTTTATCCATAGTTACACAAGTTAAATTGAGAAAAATTTTATTAAAATAGTGTTTTACAAAATATAGAGTTTAGTTCCAGGCAAGAAATTATTTAAACACAAAAAAACTTCAAGTCAAAGAGTGTTTTGTATGACTATATATAAACACTAAACTTGTGTTCCCTAAAATGTGATGTTTTCTTTGTGTGGGAAGAATTAATTCACTTTGTCTCTACGCTACAAAGGAGTGAATGTCACAGGAGAAAAGGCTTGAATTATTATAATCCCTAAGAGAAGTTATTGTAGATGATATTGGATAAGATGATTTCTAAAGGACCAATACCGTGTAACGAGGGAGTGGAATAGCCTAATGAATTTTGAGGCGCCTTATGCAATTAATGGCTTGAAGTGCTGTCTTCTGCTGTCTTTCTTATTGTTGATATTAACTTTGTTAAAATTATTTATTTGCTTTGTCTTTAAATAGATTCTTAACCAGTAGAGCTTCCATTCTTCAATACATGCACAAAATCTTCCAATTTTAGGGTGTCATTTGAGAATGACAGCAGCAATTTTTTTAATGCAATGAAAATCTCACAAATATCAGGATTGTTCAACAGAGTAGGAGTCCAATTGCTTTCCTAAGACTTTGTATTGGAAACCAAAAAATTCTAAAATAAAATGTTTTAGTTCATTTTTAGCTCACAAATACATGGCTTGTCTTTTGTGATAATCACAAGAGAACTTTTTAAAAAATGAATATACACAATACATTTATCTAGTATATTTTTTTAAAAAGCTAGGTAATTTTCCAGACATTTTAAATGTATATTTCTTCAATTACGATACTTGTTATGTTATCCCTCTGAGGTCGGTAAGCACAACAGTCTTATTCTGGTATTACTGATAAGATGAAGGCAGACAGGGCTCAGATGACATATTTATTACAGCAGAGGAAATTAATGACAGCTCTAGGATCAAACTCAGAAGCTCTGGCTCACTTACCAATAGTTTGCATATTTGTTTAAAATAAAAATATCACACAGCAAACTGACTGTAAACCTCAGCAGTGCCTCTTACCATGGCACCTGAATTTTCTCTTTAACTTAAAAAAGAGCAATAACATCAACACACTTCTACTTCTTATTTTTCATAAAGTTTCTAAAAATGGGAAATAGTTTGGTACATCAGTGTATAAATCCTAACTGGAAAAGTTTTCAAGCAGTAAGTGCCTCAGAAAGCTAACTCAAACATTACACTACATATTGCTATGAAAGCTTCGGGGGAATTTGAGATTTGGATTGGACTGGGGAAAATTCTTTAACAGTCCATCCAGTTATAAATATTTTGTGTGGAGTTTGTCTTTATGTTTTCTCCCATGGATGTGTGTGGACATTTTTTTAAAAAAAGAAATCTTGAATTTTACTTTTAAATAGGACAGTAATCATGAATTTTAGGGGAAAAAACTGGATGCCTAAAATGAATTAAACTACCTAAAGATAACCATTTACTCCTTTTTTAGGGCATAGTCAATTCTATTCACCTTAAGTAAGCATACTGTTCATCATAAGATAATAAAATGTAGATATTAGTACCTGAAATATTCCAATGTTCACAAATTTTAGTTCCTGAAACTAAATTTGCCTGTAACTGAGCTAAATAGGACAGAAATCATCTTACCCAATCAGTGAAAACTGCAGATGAGGTTACAGGGATTATTCCAGCCCAATAATTTGGAAGAATTTATCCCCATTTCCACACACACAAAACAGGTTTTATATTGAGGGTTCTTCTCTTCCTTTAAATTGCAGACTACTGTAAAAGGATAGACTTTATTTATAATGTGACTTCAAAATTGGGACAATTTAAATCAAGTCTTATGTACAAAAGAATGGATGTTGGGAAAGGGGACACAGCAAGACTGGTGTGGTAAAGTATGGGGCAGTTTGGGAAGGGAAGTAACAGAAATGGCAATAATATTCTTCAATCTTGATTGTGCCATCAATCACAATTTTAGTTTTTTTTTTTTTTTTTTTTTTTTTTTGAGACGGAGTCTCGCTCTGTCACCCAGGCTGGAGTGCAGTGGCGCGATCTCGGCTCACTGCAAGCTCCGCTTCCCAGGTTCACGCCATTCTCCTGCCTCAGCCTCCCAAGTAGCTGGGACTACAGGCGCCCGCCACCACGCCCGGCTAATTTTTTTGTATTTTCAGTAGCGACGGGGTTTCACCGTGTTAGCCAGGATGGTCTCGATCTACTGACCTCGTGATCCGCCTGCCTCGGCCTCCCAAAGTGCTAGGATTACAGGCGTGAGCCACCGCGCCTGGCACAATTTTAGTTTTTAAAGCTAAAAAGAGGAGAATGATTAAAAAAAAAAAAGCATGAAGAGAAAATAGTTAAAGGAGAAGGTGGGTGAAATGGACATTGAGGGAAGTGCTACAGATTGATTTGCAAGTTTTTAAGAGTAGATGTTCCCGTGTCAACTCTCACCAATCATTCAGCTATATTAAGTACTCTAAATACACTGGAGGGTCCTTAAACAGTATTTGCTATAGAGCAGAATTCAGCATGTGAACTGTAATCAAAGAATTTTAGTTTGCAAAAGTAATTCATTAACTCACCCTGTATGAGTCCCTAGAATGTAGTTATAGCAAAGCTTCTGGTACACATGTCCTCCCAGTGTGTATGTGTGTGGACATGTGTATGTGTGAGACACTATGCTCTATAAATCGCTAATTTACTCCACAGAAGATAGGAAAATATCCAGTGTATATAAATGTGAATTGTGTATTTTAGAATCTAGTGCCACCATAAATTTCACCCTTCTTTCCATATTAGTATTAAAATATTCATGTCTGCAATTTTCAAAGAATGTTGCTCACAGCAACATCCTGACTGTCTATCCGTGGGTCAGTATCCCATGCTGCCTTAATGGTAGCTTTCTCTAGAGTGTCTTTGTGGCAATCAACGTGGAAGAAAAATACAAAAGAAATATTACTCATCAGATATCCATTGTATCTACAGTGCTAGGTTTGCTATATAAAATATTCACAATGTTATTTTATATATTCAGAATAAAAAACAGGAACTTAAAATGTACATTTTGAGAGTATGTACCACATATAGACAATCTCTTCTAGTAGAAAAATAAAATTGTACTATAATTTTTGTTCTATAATATCAAACACTCAGCCAATTATTATTTATTCCATGGCCCAAAAGTAAGATATATATATATTTCTTTTATTTTATAACTTTTTTTACATTACTATTTTTACTGATCTTTTTATTTTTCATATCAAGCAATTAAACCCATGTTCTGTCTTCTGGCAAGGTGAATAAAAATTAAATATTCATTTAAATAATCTCCATGCTTATGTTCAACAACCCACATCTAAAATATTATTAATGTGTTAAATTATTAAACATAAATCACAGGACAAAACTTTCAGCTTGTAAAAGTCACCAAGGTAAGTCATGGAATCTCAGTGTCATTTAGTTTTTTATTATATAAATTGAATTTTTAAAAAGGCATGTAGAGTTCCTTCACATAACTAAAAATAGCTACACAAGAGTAGGTAATTATTTCATTATGCAAACGTGAAACAACACTTCATTGATTTACACAATAAAAAAAATTTTCTAAGAGTAATGTGAAGTATTTAGTTTCCAGTTTTCTCTTTGAAAGGCTTCATATATTCATTGGCATTTAAATACTCAGACATAAGACATATTTTCCTGTTGTGAAAATAGTGTGTGCACAAGTGTACTTACAAAGAATAATACAAATGTGTTGCACATAACAAGAATAAAAGTTAACAATGAGGAATTTAAACATGAATATTCATTCAAAATAATTCAAGCATCAGGATAATATTAATTTAGACTTTGTAAATACTGATTTTCACTATAAGCCCTGAAGATATTCATCAAAAACATGTTTGCTATGATTACGTTTTCAAGGAATTAAGAGATTCATTGAACAACAAAAATGTACCCTAAGACCCATTTGTTAATCTATTCACTCATAGCTAAAGCCTGTACCCTAGCAAGCAAGCATGATCTTTTCTGCAATGTCTAACATAAACTATGGCACTTTAATAAATGATCACATTTGAAAACGTAAATGCACTTCTCTCAAGGAAAGATCAAATAGAACTCTTGTTTAATTCATGTTATGAATATACTTTTCAGTTCAAATACTCTTTCAAGATGTTTTCCTGGTAAAATTCATATATCATATATATATATATATATATATATATATATATATATATATATATATATATATATAAACATATAGGGAGTGAGTGTGAAAAACTCTGTTGGAGAAGTTTTACACTTTGCAAGTCCTGTAATGAGAGTCAGAGAACGCCATCAGGAAGACCCATAAGCCTGTGTGAAGTGAGACTTACTTATTTTAATGAAAAGCACTCTCACACACCTCATTTGTAGAATTATACTGAGCAGTTTAAATTCCTCATCTGTCACTTAGAGGTTAGGCTTATTGAAATGCATCCTGGACCACAGACTGCCTTTTTTCCTTTCTCTTGTTTTTACTACTGCTGAGTTTTTGTTCTGAAGGCCATTGATTGGTTCTGACAAGAAAGTAAGGCCCTACAAACAATCTTGTGAAAGACCCATTGTTAGTGTCATCAGATGTCTTGGTGTACTCCTATGTGAATGAAATTGTGAAATGATAGATGTTCTGAGGGAGAATTCTTTCAGGCTTGTAACGTTATTTCAAAGTTTAAAATTTATCTCCTTATTTAGATGACCAATAGCTTGTCTCTGGCTTGACTATTGTTGATTAATTGGTCTAGAAAAACTAGTAGTAAAGCTTCTGTATTTTTCTAAAGATAAATCCACCAGAACAAACTACTCAAAGTCAGTAGAAAGAAAATACAATAAGCTGTAAAGTATGCCCTGGCTGAGAAAAGGGACAACAAAACTTTTGTAGATCAAAATGTGAAAAATACAATTACTTATTTATAGCTTGTCGGGTGTATTCCCACAACTCGTTTTGTTTCTGTTTTCCAGAACTTCAGGAAGATTTTGAAACACTCCCACCAAACCAGTCTCTTTCTCATACCTCAGTTGTGCTCCAGACTTAAAACAATGTATTTATTTTGTTTTAAAGTATCAAGAATTTCCATAGAAATTACTGAAATATTGAATATAGATTGTGGATGCTCAGTTAAATCTTTGTTGAATTATTTGAAGGTGCTGTAATTTATTATTTTTATGAACTAGATTTTTTTGCTGTAAGTTTTTATACTTGTTTTTAAAATGACTCAAATCCTCTTTGGCAAATATAGCACTTTGATCTTTAATAACTAAATGTTTATACAAATATAAATTAACAGTAATGTGCTGTGATGATCCTTGCTGTAATTATTTATGACATGACCTAAAGAATATGTTATATTAATTATTTTCATAAATTTGCCAGCTACTAAGGTCTATTTTTTTATTTCTTTCCACTTCACTTTTCCCACATTTAACACTTAATACAGACCATTATAAACATTTGAACTGTGAAAATCTTCTGAACTATATTGATGCCTTAGTAAATTTCCTTGGAATATAAATTCAAAATATAAATTCCGAATTATCTAGCGTGAGCACGTCTAATCACTGACAAAGTCACCTTTTTTTTTTTAATACTTTAAGTTCTGGGGTACATGTACAGAACGTGCAGGTTTGTTATATAGGTATACACGTGCCATGGTGATTTGCTGCACCCATCAACCTGTCACCCACATTAGGTATTTCTCCTAATGCTATCCCTCCCCTAGCCCCCGATCCCCCAACAGGCCCCAGTGTGTGATGTTTCCCTCCCTGTGTCCATGTGTTCTCATTGTTCAACTCCCACTTACAAGTGAGAACTTGCAGTGTTTGCTTTTCTGTTCTCGTTATCACAATTTGCTGAGAATGATGGTTTTCAGCTTCGTCCATGACGCTGCAAAGGACATGAATGCATCCTTTTTTATGGCTGCATAGTATTCCATGGTGTATATGTGCCACAATTTCTTTATCCGGTCTATTATTGATGAACATTTAGGTTGGTTCCAAGTCTTTGCTATTGTGAATAGTGCTGCAATAAACATAGTGCATGTGTCTTTATAGTACAATGATTTATAATCCTTTGGGTATATACCCAGTAATGAGATTGCTGGGTCAAATGGTATTTCTGGTTCTAGATCCTTGAGGAATCGCCACACTGTCTTCCACAATCATTGAACTAATTTACACTCCCATCAACAGTGTAAAAGCATTCCTATTTCTCCACATCCTCTCCAGCATCTGTTGTTTCCTGACTTTTTAATAATCGCCATTCTAACTGGTGTGAGATGGCATCTCATTGTGGTTTTGATTTGCATTTCTATAATGACCAGTGATGATGAGCATTTTTTCATGTGTCTGCTGGCTGCATAAATGTCTTCTTTTGAGAAGTGTCTATTCATATCCTTCACCTACTTTTTGATGGGGTTGTTCCTTTCTTGTAAATTTGTTTAAGTTCTTTGTAGATTCTGGTTATTAGCCCTCTGTCAGATGGATAGATTACAAAAAATTTCTCCCATTCTTTAGGTTGCCTGTTCACTCTGATGATAGTTTCTTTTGCTGTGCAGAAGGTCTTATGTTTAATTTGACCCCATTTGTCTATTTTGGCTTTTGTTGTCATTGCTTTTGGTGTTTTGGACATGAAGTCCTTGCCCATGCCTATGTCCTGAATGGTATTGCCTAGGTTTTCTTCCAGGGTTTTTATGGTTTTAGGTCTTAAATTTAAGTCTTTAATCCATCTTGAGTTAATTTTTGTATAAGGCGTAAGGAAGGGATCCACTTTCAGTTTTCTGAATATGGCTAGCCAGTCTTCCCAACACCATTTATTAAATAGGGAATCCTTCTTTCCCCATTGCTTGTTTGTGTCAGGTTTGTCAAAGATCAGATGGTTGTAGATGTGTGGTGTTATTTCTGAGGCCTCTGTTCTGTTCCATTGGTCTATATATCTGTTTTGATATCAGTACCATGCTGTTTTGGTTACTGTAGCCTTGTAGTATAGCTTGAAGTCAGGTTGCGTGATGCCTCCAGCTTTGTTCTTCTTGCTTAGAATTGTCTCGGCTCTGCGGGCTCTTTTTTCACTCCATATGAAGTTTAAAGTAATTTTTTTCCAATTATGTGAAGAAAGTCAACGGTAGCTTGATGGGAATAGCATTGAATCTATAAATTACTTTGGGCAGTAGGGCCATTTTCATGATATCAGTTCTTCTTGTCCATGAGGATGGAATGGTTTCCCATTTGTTTGTGTCCTCTCTGTATTTCCTTAAGCAGTGGTTTGTAGTTCTCCTTGAAGAGGTCCTTCACATCCCTTGCAAGTTGTATTCCTAGGTATTTTATTCTCTTAGTAGCAATTGTGAATGGGAGTTCACTCATGATTTGGCTCTCTGTCTGTTATTGGTGTATAGGAATGCTTGTGATTTTTGCACATTGATTTTGTATCCTGAGAAAAGTCATCTTTATCTTTCCAGGTAAAATAAACAGATAGCTTCTTTTGGTTGTATCATTATGCAGTGATGCAGTTGAAAGATGACAGAAAACATTTTTTAAAATAACATCAGAATCTTTCTTTTCCTATCATCTCATGGAAAAGTTTCACTCGCCTATCATATTAGCAATTCTGAAGATACCTTTGTGTTAAGATTGACAGTGCAGCACCACTACATTTCTGAGCAGTTTCGATATGCATTGGCATGCCCTAGGTTCATGTTACACAGTTGAGTACCATTTAGTGTAAATTTAATAGATCATTTTATTTGGGTGTAATTAGAATTACAAATATGAAGAGGAATAAAAAAGAAGCTTGTTGCTTATCAAATAATTTAACTAGTTTATGTAGTTTTAGAAATTCAAAATTTACCTATTTGAAAAAATAATTTTCAAACATGCATAAAACATGAAGTATGAGATTTCTAATTTTAAGAATCTGATAAATTATTATATAGAAATTGTAAACCTAGCATAAAGCTTACAGAGTTTACATATTTTATTTAAATATCCTATTGCTACTAGGTGCATGTGGTTGTTATGAGTCATATATTTATTAAACATTCATATAAAACCTAGCAAAAGTATGTTCTTGGCATTTTTGGAACTTAAATCTTATGACTGCCACATTATTATATAAAGATAGACACAATCCAATATTTTAGTTGGGGCCAGTAAATTAAGACATATAGAATTTTTTTTAATTTTAATAAATTACAATTTAAATAAAGTTAAATAAAAGTCTTAAATTGAATACAATAAAACTTTGTAAAATAAATGTTAACATCTATATATAAACATGTATAAAATCTTGAAGTATTTATGTTGTTAGTTTCAGTTTACATGTTGAAAGTGTCTTGACCATTAACATATTGACATAGTGGCTGTTCTTATTGACTGATGAAGAGATTGTTTCACTCATTTATTCATTCATTAAGCCAACATATATTTAGAACCCCATACTACAGAATAGGAATTTGACAGTAAACTTTCCCTGGGTTATCTACTACTAGAGCACCTCTACATTCATCAAAATGTCTCCCATACTTATTATTTTTGAAAGTCCCCAAAAGATAGCTTACAAACAACTCATTTCTGTAACCAATAGCCATATTCTTCCATTCTTGTACTTGCCCTTATTGTAATACGTTGCAGGGGCATCAGTTCTTTTGTTTTCATCAATTATAAATATGATGAAATATTAAAGATGAAAAACAACAACTTGATTATCGGGGTCATCAGTATGTAAAATAACAAGGTGTTCTTTAAAATATATCTTTTAAAATGTATCCAGAATCCACTCACTTCTCACTACCTCTACTGCTGCCACTACAGGTCTGTCATCATCATCCCTTATCCCTAAATTACTGTAAAAGCTCTCTAGCTGGCCTTGCTATTTTGATTCTTCCTCACTCTCTTCATTTTCACAGAGCTGCCTGACAGCATATCATTCTTCTGCTCAATACCATAAAGAAACTTCCATTTTATTCAGAGTTAAAGCCAAATTCTTATAACGGCCTAAGACCTGGTTCTTCATGACTTCTCTGACTTCCTCTTCTATTCTCATCCTTGTCCATTCCAGCTGCACTGGCCTACTTTCTGTTCCTCAAAAATCCTTTGTACACTCTGGCCCTAAGACATATGCCCTGCTCTTCTATCTTCCTGCCACCCTCTTCAGTCAAACCACTTCTTGAATAACCCTTGTTCCTCCTTCAGGTCTTTGTGTAAATAGCATTTCCTTGATGAACAGAATATTTAAAATGGCAACCCTTCTCTAGTCATCTGAAGCATATATCACCCTCTACCATTGTAAATAATTTACCTATCGGTTTTGTCTATGGTTAAGGGCTTATCTCATCCACAAGAATTCGGTTAATTGCTTATACTACATGTTCCCATTTCACTTTCTACTTTCTTTGCCATATTATTATATGATATGATAATTGCTTGTTGAAATTCAGCCTGATCAATAAACTGCAAGGGTGGGATCATGGATTTTTTGAAATCCATGCAAATAGTGAGGACTCATTAAAATGTTAAATGTGCTCGCTGTTAAATTCATTCATTCATCATTAAATGAATTCATTGTTAAATGAATGTTGAATATAATGTCAGATTTAGCATGTTGCATTAAAAAATTTAGCATGATGCATTTAAGCCTTTTAGCAAGGCTTAAAGATGGAAAATATTTTTTAGTAAATAAACACTTAGAGATTTAGATCTTGATTAACTTTTTTTCCATGTGCCTGGAATGAGTACGTTCTTATCTATTTATGTGTGTGTATATATATATGTGTGTGTGTGTGTGTGTGTGTGTGTGTGTATATGTATGTATATATTAGAACACAATAAATACTTTTAAGGATGAGTCTCACATTTTTAGTATTTAGTAGTCCTGAACAGACACTACAGTTTGCCAGGAAGTCAAGCTTACCAATTTCCAGGATCTGCCATGTACAACAAGTTATTTTTTAATCCCTCTGAGGACTGTGAGAAGGAATAATACCAACGTCTATGAATACACCAAATTCAAGGCTCTATGTTTTCCTGTTGTCATATTCTAAAACAGGCTCAAATATATTGCAAAGATGACCAAATGAGAGCCCTGTTTGTTTAAATTTTTTAATATTTAAAAGGAATTACAGGAAAATAAAATTTATTCACGTATGCATATATGTGCTGTCTTTTCTTCAAGTTTAACCACCAAATGCTTTGAGAGCTGGCAAGTCTGAGTAACACTGGTATCTGTTCTTTTTTACCATATCAAAACTTGAGCTTAAAAAAATTGTATCAGCTGATGATGACAGTAGAATGTGGCAGGGCTGAGAACTCAATATTCATTTCCCAGGCTAATAAAAAGTAAATAAATATTCTGAAACAAAGGAAGGTCAGAGACTCTTTCCTACCTTATCTAATAGCTATTGCTATTAGATATTCATGGAAAATGGTGGGTACTAACAATATAAAAATGGACTTGAAGATAAGTCCATCCTCAGGCACCCCTAAATAAAAGATAAAGCTGAGAGGAGAGAAGATAGAAAAGCCCTGATTTTTCTCACCTAAGGCCAATTTCGGAGGAGGCAGAAGGGTAACAATCTATGCTTCAGCCAAGGGTAGTAAGTGGAAGAAAGTAGGGAAAAGATGACTTAGAAGAGAGTCATCAATTATGATTTAAGAAAAGAAACCAGGGGTGCAGATGTATTACCCTTACACACCCAGCAGTAGCCCCCACTGGCTGTGACCTGAAACCTTCACATCTAATCAACAAGCCAGCCCAAGCTGGAGGGCTATTGTAGGGAATGAGGTAGGCAGGGAGGCAGGTAGAGTTAAAAGGAAAGGAGAGACTCCAGACAATGCAATCAGCAGCAAGGTGAGTATGAGATATATCTTTTCACATTTGTATTAGGTGTGTTCCACAAGTATAATGGGAATACATTTAAACATATTTTCTTGATTCTAGAAGTTCTTGATCCCAGAAGTTTACGTGAGCAGAGGTTATGCTCCATGGGATAATTTGGTATAGCAAAAATGTATTTCAAATGGACAAAAAAAAAAAATAGTATCAAAGTATTTTAAGATAAATTACCTTTGACTGTCAGCTTCCTTTTCAGTGCTTTGAGGTCTCTAAGACATATCTAGAAGATCTATTTTGTGGAAAATGAAGACTACTTAAACCAAATGGAGGTGGAGGGCCTGTACCTTTTCTTTTTTATTTTATTATAACATTGTCCTTGCAATAACTAAGGAAGTTCCACGTTTTCTTTAGACATCATTAGGTACCAACCTCTTGCAGGACAACTTTGATGCTATGTGAATTCTGTTATTTTGCTAGTACTGAATATTTAAAATTGCAGGCAATTTTCTTGGGCCTGCCACTCCATTAGAATTAGAATTATTAACTCCATTCATATTAATTTTTTTAAATATTACAGGGGGATGTGCTTCTGCTCATTTAAGTCCACATTCTCTTTGACTATATTCAGTTCTCAAAAATTTTTCTTAGAGGCACAATTATCATCCCTTTCCATCTTATAATTGCCATGTCTTCATCATCCTCCAGGCCCCAGCTATCTGTGCCATGTCTTACTGTTTCTGGACTTCTTTGAGTTCTTGCAACATTTGGAAATTAGAAAGACTTTTACTTCCAAGCCTGTGGTGGTTGCTGTCTTGTAAACACTGTCATTGATGGTTGGCCTGATTATATTTAATGCATGAAATTAATAATGAATCTGTAATCTGTGACCACTAAATGCACTTAGTTTAACTCATTCCTCCAGTTGGATGGTACTTCTAAGATTAACCATGTCACAAATAGATGTCACTAGTCACAAAGGGAACATAATTGAGGTGTCCTATTAGCAGTAAGGAGAGAGGTATTTAAAAAAATTCTAAAGAAAATAACAGGCCAGGCACGTCGGCTCACGCCTGTAATCCCAGCAGTTTGGGAGGCCGAGGCAGGTAGATCATGAGGTCAGGAGATCGAGACTATCCTGGCTAACACGGTGAAATCCTGTCTTTACTAAAAATACAGAAAGTTAGCCAGGTTTGGTGGCACGTGCCTGTAGTCCCAACTACTCGGAAGGCTGAGGCAGGAGAATCACTTGAACCTGGGTGGTGGAGGTTGCAGTGAGCTGAGGTTGCGCCACTGCACCCCAGCCTGGGTGACAAACAAGACCCTGTCTCAAAAAAAAAAAAAAAAAAAAAGAACATAAACATAGTCAAGTAGTAAATAAACATAGGCTCTGGATCAGACAAATCTTGCTTTAAATTGTTTTATCCAACTGTGTCATTTATAATCCAAATATGTATAATGTAATCTTTAGTTTTCTTATCTATAAGTTAAACTCAGTTTGTGTAAGTTTTACATTGTGTAAGTATTGTTTAAAATGATGACTGCAAAATTATATTGCATTAGGGTAGAGTCATGACAGTAAATGAAGTTGGGCAATGAAAAGCAAAAGCAAAAGTTAGGAAGGGAACTTAGGTGAGAACAAATGTTTCTGATTTCCAGCTACAGAGGTTCTGCACATAGGCTACAGTTGATCACAATAGCTAACCACTACTAGTCCCTAACGGGAGCTTAAGGACATCCTGGTCATTTTATAAACAAGAGAAAATTGTGAAAAAATGGGAAGTTCTTAAATAGAAATTTAGAATATTCATTTATGCTTGACCCTATAGACACATCTCAAAAGTATAACATAAATATGACAGGTTCATGATTTGATTTTCCGTAAGATTTCTTGTTATACATGGCAAAATGCTTTTCTTAACTAAACAAATTCATAATAAATTTTAAAAATTTTCTACAGCCATAGTGGGAATTTGAAGTTATGGTAAAAACAATCTCTTGACTAAAGCTATTATAATTTAGAAGTAACTAAGAGCTTCCTTTAGTTAACAAAACTCTTTTTTAAACCAGACAAAAAAAATCTTCCTTATTTTAATAACCATTATTCTCCTCTATTGTCCATAATAATTCGTCATTTTGCCATTTGATACAGCCTAGAAGTCAAGATCCCATCAGAGCCTGTCTTCTTTAAGACTACATATCTTTCCTCCAGGCTCCAGCTGTTTGACACAAAATGAGAAGTTCAATACAAAACAATCTAAAAAAAAATCTATGCATCTTCTGCCAAGTTTCCACATTATATCTCAATAACCTACTGTCAAGAAAATGTCAAACAATAAATAGACATCTTTTTCAGAGGTGAAAATTGTCAAGGGTCCTTTTATTTTCCCCTTTTATTAAAATAAGACTTGCATAGATTTTTCTCTCTTCTGGTAAAAGAAGAGAATTTGTACTATCTCCAGGAAGTTTCAGAGAATTATTATTTTCCCATGAAATGAGTCAATAAAAGGCACATAGCCATACTTAACTACATAAGTGTCAGCATTAGATTGAAAATGATGCGACATTTTATCAAGTTTTTTCTGAAGATTATTTGTAGCCATAGGGAAAGAATATTAACATTGCTGAGTGTGTTGCAGAGATGAGGAAAACTTAGCACTTGCTAGTAAAACAGGGCACTTTGATTTTATTAAATTTACTGTACTTAAAATTCCTGCAAATATCTAATTTTAAATCCTCACTAAATATTCTGTATGGTCAATAGTAAATGTCCACACATTTAAGTAAATACTAAAATTATTTTTTCTTTCATCACAATTATATTCTTTTATCCAAAATAAATTATATAAACTTATGTTCCCCAATAAAAATTATAGTAGTGGAAATGTGACTGTGGTAAGTAATATCCTGTATACCCTAAATTGCCTGTGATGCCACATTCTTCAGATTCTCTGGAAATTAAAAATAAGTACATTTTCCTATGTACACATTGATTTTGGGCCCAAGATAACAATCACTTAGTTCATTTATATTTCTTTCATATCCGGTGACCTTGATTTCAGAATGGATCTCTCATTTATGGATTTTCACTCCGTGCCCCCAGTTGAAAGAATAAATTTTGGGGTTATAATAAAGAATAGAAGTTAAACAATATTTCCTACTTGGAGAGAGTAAAATCAGGGCAGAGACTCTGAGTTTAAAATATTCCTTTCTTTTTCTTTCATTCTGTCTTTTGTTTTTTATTGAAGTGCAAACATCCTAAGGGTAAAACCCCATGAATTTTTATAAAATGAGCAACCTTAGAAAACTATCAGCAAGATCAAGAAATATGGTGGCTTGCTTCCATATTCCCAGCACTTTGGGAGGCCGAGGTGGGCAGATCACTTGAGGCCAGGAGTTCAAGACCAGGCTGGCCAACATGGTGAAACCCCATCTCTACTGAAAAAACAAAAATTAGCCTGGCATTATGGCAGGTGCCTGTAACCCTAGTTACTCAGGAGACTGAGGCAGGAGAATTGTTTGAACCCAGGAGGCGGAGGTTGTAGTGAGCTGAGATGGCACCACTGCACTCCAGCCTGGGCGAAAGAGCAAGACTCTGTTGCAAAATACAAAAAAAAAAAAGAAAAAGGAAAGAAATACAGCACACTCTTGTATCTCACAAGATCTCTTTTTGACCCTTCCTAATCACTGCTACTGTCCTCTTCACAAAAGGTAACCAATGTCATTAATTATAATGATATGGAATACTTATGAACTGTATGATATTTTATGGTATTCTATGGTGTTGTACGGTACACGTTTGCCATGGTTTGAATGTGTCTCCCAAATTTCATATGTTGGAAACAATATAAAATAATATGTTAATTTGAGGTGGGGGCTTTGGGGAAATAATTAGGATTAAATAAAGTCATCAGGATGTGGCCCTCCATGACAGACTGGTGGCTTTATATGATAAACCTGAGTTGACACGCAAGGTCTTGCCCCCCAGCCAAGTCATGTCCTTCTGCTTCTGCCGTGTTATGATGCAGTGAGAAAGCCCCCACTAGAAGCTGAGCAGATGCCAGCACCATGTCCTGAACTTCCCAGCCTCTTCTTTCTTCTTTAAATAAATTATCCAGTCCATGATATTGTTATAGCAACAGAAATGGACTAAGAGAGTGTTGTTTTGAGTGTGGCTTCTCTCACTCAATATTATGTTTTTGAGATTAAGCCATGTTACTCCATAAAGCTGTAGTTGTTAATATTTACTGTTATTGAGTATTCTATTTTATGTATTTCCCATAATTTCTTCATCTTATTGTTGATGGTCATTTGGATAATTTCCAATTAGGTGCTATTAGGAATATTTCCATTAACAATTTCAAGCAAGTCTTTTGATGTACGTGTACTTCTACTGGATAAATACTAAGCAATAAGATTGTTGGACTATATGCTCACCGATAGTAGATACTACTAATCAGTATGTCAAAGTGATTGTACTCATTTGCATGATCACCTGCAGTTTAGGAGAATTTTAATTGTTCCTTATACACTCAGATTAATAGTGTCAGTTTTTATAACATTAGACACTCAGGTAGTATAAAGCAATATCATCTGGTTTTAATTTTCACTTCCTTGTTGACTAGTGATGATGTCACATTTTTATATGGCTAAATATAGCTAATTACATAGACTTTCTCTTTAGTTTCTCTTTTTCATTGGTTTATAAAAGTTTTCATGTACTGAAATATCCTCACCCATCAGCTTATGTTTCCACATTATGGGGTCAATTATTAAACAAAAGTTTTTGCTTTTACTGTAGTTCAATGTATTCCAATTTTTCTTCATGATGAATGGTTTTTTTTTATGTTCTGTTTAAGGATCTTCAAGGTCATGGACTTTTTCCTCCCATGTTTTCTTTTATAAGCTATATTGTTTTTCCTTTCATATTACATCAAAAAATACTCATAATTGATTTTTTATACAGTAGAAGGTAATGAGTAAATCAATTTGTTGAAAATTTTAGATGGTAAATGAATAATTACAATAAAATGTCTCTCTTCATATCTAGTAATGTTGCATTGAAGTCTGCTTTGACTGATATTAATGTAATTACATCAGATTTATTTTGTCAGTTATTTTTATGACATATCTTTCTATCGTTTTTGCTTATATAAAATTTTATATGATATGTCCATATAATAAATTAATTCAGTTTTCTAATTATTTGTTCCTTATTCTTTTCATTTTTCTTTTTATCTTCTTTCTTAAATAGCAGTTTCCTAGTTTGTCCTAGTGATTCTTGCTTCTTTTTTGCATACTGTAAGCTATCACATTCATGACTATTTTTAAATGAAATTATATAGTGTATTAAAGATGGTGGAGTTTAGTTTCTCTCTCCTTGAATCTGAGCTGGTCCTGTCACTATTTAACCAAAAAAATAAGCAGAGGCCAGGCATGCTGGCTCACACCTGTGTCCTAGCACTTTGGAAGACCAAGGTGGGAGGATTTCTTGGGCACAGAAGTTTGAGAGCAGCCTGGGCAACAAAGCAAGACCCTGTCTCTGCTATAATGTAATAAGAGAAAAATTAACTGGGCATGGTGGCGTGTGCTTGTAGTCCCAGCCACTCAAGATGCTACTCAGTAGGCTGAGATGGGATGATCACTTGAGCCCAGGAGATGGAGGCTAGAGTGAGTCATGACTGCACCACTGCACTCCAGCCTGGGTGACAGAGGAAGACCCTGTCTCAAAAAAAAAAAAAAAAAAAAAAAAAAAAAAAAAAAGCAGAAATGATGCTATGCTAGTTCCAGTACTGCACTTTCAAAAGATTGAGAGTGTCTGCTTCCTTCTTCTCTTGGAATATTTGGTCTTAGAATGCTTCCTCTCAGAATTCCATCACCATTTTCTGAGAAACTGAAGCCACATGCAGAGCCCATATATGTATATGTATTTTTAATTAAAATCCCCACCTGAGCTCACAGCCAGCAGCCAGCATAAACTGTCAACTGTGTGAATTGAGCCATCTTGGACACTTCAATCTAGTTGAGTCTCCAAATGAATGAAATAGGACAGAAGATGGGAAGCAGAAGAATCACCCAGCTGAGACTGGTCAACCCACGGAATCATGAGAAATACTACAATTGTGTTGTTTTAAACCATTAAGCAATATAGAACCTGAACGGTATACACAAATAAAACCCAAATTTATGTCTCTACTCTACATTCTTTTTCTGGCTTTCAAATCTTCATTTAACTTTTGTCTTGATGCTTATGTTAAAGATACCTTAAACTGAGCATGCCAATGGTTTCCAATAACTTTTACCTTCTCAAATCTTGTCCTTCTTCAGGGTTAGCTGTTTCACTAAATGACACCAGAATCCATGCAATTGTATAATAGAAAAACCTAGGTGGTACCATTAATTGAAATAGCTAACACTTTATCCTTCACTTTAATCTCATGTCCAATATCCATTCTATCATCAACACTATCAATGTTTCCTCTCTTTAATAACTCTCAATCTATTCTTCTCCATTTCATCTGCCACTACCCCTATTTCAGACTAAAATTGTTTATTTTCTGAACTATTGAATAGATAAGTGAAATATTTGAATCTATTCTTAAAATTACCAACCCATTCTACATGTAACAGCTAGAGTAATCTTTGTTAAATATGAAAATTTAATCCTGTGATTGCCATCCTTAAAGTGTTTCAGTGGCTTCTAATGCTGCAAAGATAAAATCCAAAATCTTTATCACGGGCCTGCAAAGACAAAGGTTTTGATTTCCTCCAAGCACTTCTTATTGAAGTTCTTTAGGCAAAATAAGTATATTAAGTTATACACAACATTAATCTGTTATGTATAACACAAACTAAAACTCAAGTGGAAGTCTTCATCATCTTGATTAATTAATCTACAGAAAAACACTGGATGCTCACCATATCCTAAGCTTATTCACATATATTTTCTCATTTTATCTCCACAAATACTATTGAAAATCAGTGTTATTCTTTAACATTTCCATATAAGAAAAATGAAATTCAGAGAACTAAGTAACTTGCTCAACATCAAACAACTCTGAAATGATGGAGGCAGAAATAAAATTTGCAAATTTTTCCTCAATAATTTATTCTTCCTTTCTCTCAAAGATCTCCACATATATAGTTTATGTGACAAATGAGAATACAAACAGATTGAAGAGGATCAGGGTTTTTCAGTCTTAGGGTTCCCTTTAAGTTTACCTTCCTTAAGCATTTCAAGCAGAGATTGCACAACTAACAAATCCATACTTTCTATTGAAATGCTGCCGTGTTATACTCGTATATCTGACAATAATTAACTCTCCATATGTACTCAGCATTCTTATATAATACTGCTGTCACTGTGCAACTGTACATATTTACTAGAGCATAGGTTCAGGTTCTGAGATAATTCATCAGAACCTAGCTTCCTTACTTCTAGTAGGCCTCATTATGTCCCATAATGCACGATAAACGAACTTTAGTTGGCCATATGACCACACAGTTGGGAATGTATTTTCCGACCTTTCTAACTGGTTAGTCTATGTCACTAAATTCTCACTCATGATATAGGGGCAGAAGTAATATGTGCAACTTTCTATGACTTGCCCTGATTTGTTTTTCCTTATTCCCATGAAATCAGCATATGGATACTGCAACAATCTAAAATGAATCACATAGACAAAATCAACAATCTAAGAGATATAAAAAAATAGAATTAGCCTAGACCACTAATAGACATTGCTTAGTAGCACTTCTCTGAAAGTGTGGCTAGGGCGAATAGTACTTGAAAGAGAGATAAACTTCTATTTCATTTACTTTGTTAACGCAGGTTAGCCTTCACCTTAAGATTTTTCAAAAGCCAAATTCAGGGTTATCTCAGTATGTCTCAAGGACTTGCCAATGCATTTAATGCATTAGTTCACAAATTGTTTTGCTTAAATCTTACTTCCTTAACCATACATTTTAAAAAATATTCATATACTACTACTCCATATATATTTACTGATTAATTTGTTTGCAGACTTATAAAACTAGTCTGGAAGGAAGTTTGACTATTACCTAGTCAAATTCTCTAAGGAGTCAAAGTCTGAATAAATTTTTGAACATTAAGTTACTAGTTAGCAATGTCCAGAGCTTCGATGACACTTTGGCTGCCCCTTCTCTGTTTCTCTCTGATTTCCAAAAGACAGATTGGTTGTCTCATATTTTAAGATTTCTTTGATTTATGATGATTGATTAATTCATCATTTAAAAATACACGCCTAAGTAGCAAAATTCAGTGACAGGCTTCAGATTTGCAATTCCAGTAACATTCATAGTATGTGAGACTTCTCTTGTTTTGGAAAATGTATGGTAGTCTCCATTCTCTTAGCTTAGATGTCAACCACAGAATTATGCTGACTTTACAAAACAATTCTTAAATTAAATATTGGGTATACATATCAAAATACAAGTATTTATATCAGCACTACTGCAACAGAAGTATAACCAGCCACCTATGTGCTTTTAACTGTTCCAATAGTTATATTAAAACAAAGTAAAAGGAAACAGGTAAAAATAACTTTATAATACATTTTAGTTAACCTAATACAACAAAAACTTTGTCATTTAAGAATGTGATACATTGTAATCGCAGCACTTTGGGAGGCCGAGGCAGGCAGATCATGAGGTCAGGAGATGGAGACCATCCTGGCCCACATGGTGAAACCCCGTCTCTACTAAAACACAAAAAATCAGCTGGGCGTGTTGGTGCACACCTGTAGTCCCAGCTACTCGGGAGGCTGAGGAACAGGAATCGCCTGAACCCAGGAGGCAGAGGTTTCAGTGAGCCAAGATTGCGCCACTGCACTCCAGCCTGGTGACAGAGCAAGACTCCATCTAAAAAAAAAAAAAAAAAAAAAAAAAATTGGGTGACATTTTAAGTCCTTTTGTCCCTACATGGTCTTTAAAATATGGTATATATTTTATACTTATGGTAACTTTCACAGTTTGGAAATCTGGACACAATTTTCATCAGCAATACTTAATTTGTATTTAGATTTTATAAAATTTACACAAGAAAAATTAGATTCACAATTTTAAATGGTGGTTCAAACCACACTTAACATTTTAGTTACAAAATTTAAATTAATTGAAATCGAGTAAATTTAAAAACATACTTCCGTAGTTATACTAGCCTCATTACAATTGTCCAGTAGCCACATGTGGCCAGAGATTATTATGTTGGACTGCATAACAATTTTCTGTTGATTGTCTTCACAGATTTGATAATCAACTGACTAATTTAAAAGTTGCCCATATTTTAAAAAAAATTCTTGTATCAGAATTTGCATTCTTGTGCAAGCATTAAAACATGTAAAAGATTTTTTAAGAGTAAGCAAGAACTGCTTTTTGTTTCACTGAAGCTATTATCTAGCCTTTACTTAACACTGTTCCCACTAAGATGCCACCACTGAACTATATATAATAGCTTGAAGTTAATAATGGATTTCTAAAGAAACTAAACTTGCTCTTTAATTGTCAAAGCCTGATTATTTAAATAGGCTATGTATTTTTGCAATGTCTGTGATTATAGGATAGAAATTGTAATGTTTTCCCTGAATTTTTTGTTTACTGTAGTGAAGTGTCTTATATATACAAACTTTCCAGGAGAAATGCACTAAGATAAGATTTGTACTTAGAACTTTTGCTTCCAGCCAAGATGTAGTAGTACAGGTCAGATTTACCTTCCTAAATGAATCAAATAAAAAAGTGGACAAAATATATTAAGAAAAAAATTCTGAAGGTATTTGTTATCAGGCAACAAAGGAAAGTGATCCATGAGAGGTGAAAGTAAATGGGGTGAGCCTCACGAATGGCCCCACTTATTGATTGAAGAGAATTTCTAGCCTGTGGCTTAGGAGAGGGGACTCAGGAAGCCCAGAAGTCTCTTTGGAATGAGGAGAATTGTTGTTCAGAAAAGATAAGCAGCTAGTGTTTGCAGAGTAAAGTACCAGAGAGGACAGAACTATTCCGAGAAAGAACTCTAAAGACTACAGAGGGCCTCCTTTGTGTCTTCAGCTTTGTATACTCATCACCACATAAGTGTTTGGAAAAATATCCCAAATCCAGGGAAATAACCAATTAAAATAATTAGAGGGAACAATTTTCTGAATTCATACAGGACTAGAGGTGTCGGTTTTTGCCAGCCAGAATAGCAAACCTCTTCATTTAAAGACCATCATGTAGAATACTCAGAGTGGTTCTGCCAATAGTGAGACAAATGATACCTACATTAAATGTTGCTCTGTCCTAACTAAGCTTAAAAACCAGCTTCTGAAGGATCAACATTTCCCAAGTAATTTAACTGCATCATGCAACAAAACTCAAGAATATTTGTAGGAACTCAAAAACTTTCAGTGCTTGACAGGGTGAAATTCGTGAAATTCACAGTCTGACAACAAATAAAAAATTACTAGACATACAAGGAATCAGGAAAATACAATCCATACTGAAGAGCTAAATCAATAAATGGAAACCCAGAGCTGACATCAGTGTGAGATTCAGTAGAAAAGAACATCAGCAGTGATTATATCTGCATTTGATGTGTTCAAAAAATTAAATGGACATGGGAGATTATAGAAAAGACCCACCTGAATTGAACTTTTAGGGGTGAAAACTACAATTTCTGAGATAAAAATACAAATATTATTACCTAACAGTTACATAGAATTTTTCCTGTGACAAATACTCTATATAACAGCAGAAATTAAAAAATGATAGCAATACTCTATATAACAGCAGAAAACAATGATAGTGAACTTGAAGACATATAAATGCTATTTAAAAAAAGACATACAAACACTGTAAGACATACAAGCACTGTAAAAAAAAAAGTACTGCCTGAATTTTTTAAAATTTAATTAAAAGTATAAACCACAGATCCCAAGAAGCTCAGCAGACTCAAGTAAAACAAACGTGAATCAAATTGACAGTGACAGAGAAAAAATTACAAAAGTAGTCAGAAAAAAGACTCATTCTGTACATAGAAATAGATATAAGGATGACAGCAGATGACTTTTTAGACAATGCAAGCCAGAGGACAGTTTTCAGCTTCTTTAAAGTACTGAAAGTTATTCTCAATCTACAATTCAATAATATCTTTAAAAAACACAGGAAAATAAAGATTTTTTTGGACATATGAAGGCTGAAATAATTTTTCACAAGCAGGACTGCACTATAAGCAATGTCGAACGGAGTTTATTAAGCAGATGAAAAATGATGCCACAAAGAAGTCTGGATTGACAAAGCACTAGATAACTATGAAGGCAAATATTAAAGATTTTTTCTTATTTAAAAGATCTTAAAAGATTTTTATATGTAAGTATTTATAATCTTTTAAAATAATTATTGATTATTTCAAACAAAATAATTATAATTTTTTTTAGGTTTCTTAAATATATGCAAAAGTAAAATGCAAAACAATGATGACATGGAGACAGAGAGGGGAGAAATGGAACTACATCTGGTGGTCCATATCTGTGGGTTCCATACCCATGGATTTAACTAACCACAGATGAAAATATTCAGAAAAAAGGTAATGAAAAATAACAATACAAAAATAAAAATAATATAGTATAACAACTATTTACATAGAATTTACATTGTATTAGATATTATAAGTAATCTAAAGATGATTTTAAATATATGGGAGGATGTGCATAGGTTATATACAAATACAATGCCATTTTATATAAGGGACGGATTTTGGTATTCACAGAAGGTCCTGGAGCTCCATTGATCTCCCACGGATACTGAGTGACAACTCTATCCCATTGTAAGGTTCACATTGGGTACATTAATTTGATAATATCATTTGAAAGTGGATGGTGATAAATTAAAAATGTATACTATAAACCCTAAACCAGCCATTAAAATATCACAATGAAGGTTTATAGCTTATGAGCTAGCGGAGAAAATAAAATGGAATCAGAAAAATACTCAATAAACCCAAAAGTAGGCAGAATAGAAGGAAAAAAGGTAATAAATACTAGTCAAACCATTAGAAAACAAGGAGCAAGATGATATATTTAAACTCAACCAGATTCAAAATTATATAAAGGTGTTTTAAACATCCCAAAGGCAGAGATTTTCAGATAATTTTTTTAAAAGCAAAACTTTTTTTTTTTAAAGAAACTCTCTTTAAATAAAAGGAACTACATTTCCCAGGAAATCATGTTGGCTTCCCTTTACGATAAAAAATACTACTACCTAACATTACATAGTATTTTTCCTATGCCAACTACTGTGTGTATACTAACTCATTAATGTTTGTAGTAACCTTATGAGGTAGACATTGTTATTACAGACTCACCCCTCACCCTCAAAAAAGACTACTTTATTTTTCAGATATGAGAGACATAAGCCTGGAGTAGAAGCCAGAGACTCACTAAATTCTTAAGCTATACAAGATTGGCCCAATATGGTCAGCAAGTGCGCTCATTTCAGGGAGAGAGTTCAGGGTAATGTAACAATTACGTATACAAAGGGAGTGTGACATGGACAGATAGAGGAAGAAATTTCAGCTCTTGCTATAAGTTGGAATAATTAAAGAGTAGGGCAGAAGTCTGAACAGAAAATCTAGGAAACTTTCTATGTGAAGTTTTGAGTGATCTCCTCACAGTAACTTGTAGGTATCTATGATATATCAAGCAAGAGTTCTAGCATCAAAGTGCTGTTCCTTTGAATGTACATCAGACATTGATTCAGCCACGCAGGACACTTGTTAATCTGTGTTACACAGATACACTATGAAAAATGCATTATGTTGATCATGCTCTTGTCTAAAACAGAGCTGTATAAAATGTGTTCCGCAGACTAGAGTTCTCAAACTGTTTGTTCATTTGTTTTTTGTTTTTTGTTTTTTGTTTTTACCAGTTCACAATGATACAGTGAAAAAATGGAAGATAATTTATTTCTGCAGTGCTTTACAAAACATCAATCTTTCAACAGATTGGAAAACCAAAAACAAAAAAGTAAAACACAGAAACAAATTCTTAATTCTTCCCAACAGAGTTTTACAAGCCCTGGAATAAAATCCTCCTTTGATTATTAGGTTTTCCATTCCATGCTTTTTGTGTGTGTGGCAATGCAAGACAGCACCGGGCATTTTTGCCTTCAAACGTTGGAGAGATATTTCTATTTAAATATTACAGTCAAATGTCTAGGCTTTTTTCCTATTAGTGGTTAAATATAAGGATTTTGGAATCAGGAAATCCTGAATTAAATCTAATTTCTACCACCTAGTGGAAATGTGAATTTAAACATGTCACTGGATAATTATATGCCTTGGTTCAAATAATATCTACCATAGCACTGCAAAGTTTATTTATAAAAACTAAGATAAAAGTATATGTAAAATGGTGCTGAAAACTTTTACAAATTAAGATACTTATGCTCTGTCTTGACATACAAATATAATCTGTGTGGTCATGTTGTTCTGATACATGTCTCCAGAGCCTCCTAGGGAATCTTTCTCATCTCTTCTCTTTCAAGATATTCTCTTCTCTCTCTGCTGACCCAATCTCTAGATGATACTTTAAAAAATCACATCTTTAGTGATTTAGGGTCTAGTTTTTCAGAGGTTTCTTAAGGAAGATCTGGGACTTGTAGTTACAATTTTTAGTTTTATCATGGAGCCTTCTCTCTCCCATGGCATATAAATATTTGAGGTAGGTAAAGGAAAAGGCAAGAGAAAAGAGGTAAGACAGGTTCAAGTAAAGATTTATGTTACATTTACAAGAAATTTTCTCTAACTACACAAGATCATGCTTCTGACCCTTGACCTCATTGCCATACTCCATTTTTATTTATGAGGACCTTTTTGAGGAGGGAGGATATTAAGATTTGAGGGACTGGTTGTGATTTTGATGAGCTGTATATATATGTATTTGTTTCCTGTTGTAACACATTATCACAAGCCTAGTGACCCAAAACAGCACAAATGTATTATCTTGACACTCTAGGGTTCGGAATCTGAAATGTATCTTATGTGCTAACCTCAAGATGTTGACAGAGCTGAGTTCTTTTTGGAGGATCTAGAAGAGAATCCATTTTCAGCTTCTTGAGGCCATCTGCATTGCTGGGCTCAGGCCCCTTTATCCATCTTCAGAGCTTATCATTCCAACTCCTGCTTGCACTGTCACATCTCCTCTTTCTTGACCTTCCCAATTCCCTATTGCAACTCTTGTGTCTTACATAGTCCCTATCAAGATTGCCAAGGATAAACTTCCAGCTCAAGATTCTGAACTTAATCACATCTACAAAATCCTTTTCTGCCATAAAAAGCACCATATTCAGTTTTTGGAAAGTAAAATGTTGATGTCTTAGATGGACCCATTATTCTGTTTACCACACTATGGTTTCCTAACTGCCATCAAGGAGTTCATAAACATAATTAAGGCTACGATTTAGCTGGAAATTGATAAGATAGTTTTTCCTCAGAGTGAGAGGAAGAGGGTACCGCATGTTTAAGTATTCTGAGCCCAAAGGGAGCAAAAAGCTTAGAACATTCCAGAAACTAAACAAAGACCTGCATGATCAAAACATGTGTATGAGCATGAATTCAAATTACTACTCACTTTAGACCTTGAGTAATTTACTTAACCTCTCTAAATAAGACTCTTCTTCCTTATACCTGTAATATTAACATTTCATAGATTCTTTGGAATGTTTAAAAATATACCTAATGTGAAAGGCTAACAGTAATCACTAGATAGGTACTTGTGATTATAAGGTCAATGGAGACAAGCTTTAGTTGCATCCTCAGGGTCTTTTTGCATTTGTTAGGGACTGTGTGATAGAACTAAAATAATCATTCAGCAAGAGGAATTCTCTGCTATTCATACTCCCAGCTCCATGTGCTCTGTCTTCTCTTCGTCATTCAACATCTTTCCTAAGTAGAAAATTTAATGTCTTATTTAAGTCTTTTGAGGTACAACAATCAAGCACAGACTGTGTGGTCTGAATATATGCCATATTTTATGTACATAGTTATGCTCGTTGCTCTAGGTCTATATTATATATTTAAATAAAAGAATGAATTCCTTTATATGAGCACTTTTTATCTCCACTTATCAAGTACAAGTGGCAAATTAAAGCAACAACTTTTATTAGTTTCTCAAAGGTATAAGATAAAAGATATTTATATGTGTATGGGTAACACCAAATCTCTAAAATCTACCTTCATTTATTCTCCACTGATAAAAACAGTTTTAGCTGACAGCTTTGCCAACACACTAATTAGCTCTCAGTTGCAGAATTTTCAGTAAGATTCCACCTACAACCTCTGTGTTTTATTGTCAGGTAGCCTGACAAGGATATATGATTTTTAAATGCTGAGCAGATTAAACAACAGTGAATAATTTTTTTTTCTTTTTTTCACTTCACATCATTTGGTGATGTCTGAGCATAACTAATTTGGGGTTGTTTTTTCTGTTTGTTTGTTTTTCTGTCAGACGTTTCACTGGAAATTGAACTACAGTTTTTGTTGCTCAGTTTCTACTGGAGTAGTATGATGACTAATATCTGTATGACTTACAACATGAGAATGATGGATGATCTAGTAAATGCCCAACACATATTAGGAGCTCAAAGAATATTGGTTTTAATGAATGAAAATATGAATATATATGTGAAGGCAAGGAAGAAAAATGCCATTTCCTTCCTGGTTTCAAAAAATCATCTGTCCCATCATGTTTTGGTGTCCACAAAGTGTTCTATATGAAAATTAGCAATTTTCTACATCACTCTTGTGAGTAGACTGAAAAAAAGAGGGATATAAAGAATTGGGAGTTATTAAAGTATAATGGAAGAGACCCTAGGACTGCTATCAAAAACATCAGTCCTCTTTCACATTCTGAGCACATGAGAAGATGGCACTTCTCTTTTGATTTCAAATATGCCGTATAATTTGCTTTGATCAATGAGATATGAACAAATGTGAGATGTGTTTTATGCAGATAGTCTTAAGAGGCAACAGGTAATTCATAAAAATTGATTTTCTCTGGTATTGTAACTAGAAAAATTCAAAATGTTTCAGACACTATTTAAGTATGTCTCTAAGGTACTTAAATTAGCAGAAACCACCTGCTGAACCAAGATGGACAGGTAGAAAGAGCAGAAAACAATCCTTTGGATTTTTAGCTACTGAGATTTAGAAAGATATGTTACTGCAGCAAAATCTACGCAAACCTAACTGATATACACCTAGACTTACATTTAAAGCTCTTCTCTGTAATTGCCTAGCTATCTTTTAAGTATTAATTAATCTTAGTCAGTTTAAAATATTAATGTTTTTAAATAATTATTTTAAATTCCAGTACTGTGCCCTACTCAAGGCAACCTTGAGTGTTTTGTGTAGATTGATTAAATTATTTATTGAAAACTTGATAGATATTGCCAACCCCATTATACAGGTGAGGAATATGGAATTCAAGAGCATTTATGTAACTTGCTTATGTCCTGATATTCAGTGAATAGAGATCTGACTCTGAATTCGATATGTATGGCTTCAGAAATCTGTCCTGTTAATCAAATTTGTATTCCATTTTTGTTCTGGAATTACATTTTAAATATTCATAAAAATAAGCACAAAAGAGTGATTTTGTGAAAACCAAATGGGACAGAAATATGGATAAAGTCTCTGACACAGAATCGTCAATAAATTATAACATCCCCTTTTATCTTCCCTTAAAAAGAAGCTGAAGTTTAGCACCAAGGGTAAAGTGAAATACAGAAAAGTCAGAAATAGCAAGTATTATATTGTAGAATTATTTTTGACAAAACGTCTTCGTTATTTTCTGAATTTCAATTACACATGCTCTTCTTTAGCATATTAAAAAAATCTAATGAAGATAACTACTATTCTTTTAAAGCTTGATATGATTCATTGATTTATTCACATACTATTAACTTACCGTATATTGTTAATTAATAATTTTTCTCATAATAATATAAACATCTTTTATGTAGCTCATACCTCATATCTCACTTTTTAGAAGGAAAAGGGAATATAACATTGTAATTTTTAACTTAATAATTCATTGGAAAAACTGAAAGAGAGAAGGAGAAGAAAACTAAACAATATCCAAAGTTCTCCTCTTCTCTCGTCTTTGTTTTAGGAACTTATGATTTTAATTCTTCTCACTCAAACTCACCACACATCAAAACAACCTCACTTATCAATACAAAACTCTTAGATTAAACTAATACAAAATGACCTAAGAACTTCGGAAAAGAACAACAGAAATATTTGAAATGAAATCAAAAAAGTTATTTATACTTAAACCACAATTAAAATAAAATTCTACTATTAGAAGTAGGACAGCTGGAACAGTGAAACAGACTGATACATACAAACCATGGATTAATACCAGCAATAAAGCATAACAAATTCGTGATACAGGCTACAGCTTGGATGAATCTGCAGGGAATTATGTTAAATAAAAAAGAAAACATCAAAAAGTGACACATTATGTGTTTAATTTATATAATATTTTTTAAATGACAACATCTTAGAAGTTGAAAACTGATTAGAGATTGACAGAAGTAGTGGTGGGGGCTGTGGGTAAGAAAGAGAGAGTGTGATTATAGAAGGACAACACAGGAGGTACTAGTGACAGAACTGTTCTGTGTCTTGACCCTGAAGATGAAAATAGACAAATGCATGCGATAAATTTTTACACAACTAAATAGACACACACATACACAAATACAGGAGTACAAGTGAAAATGAGAAATCTGAGTAAAATTGGTGAATTATATCAATGTCAATATCCTGGTTGTGATATTTTACTATAGTTTGCATGATGTTACCACTGGGGGAGACTGCATAAGGGTCACATGAGATCTCTTCCTATTATTTTAAAATAATGTAAAATAATTATAGTTTTAAAATTTTTTAAATATTAACCTAAAATTATCTCAATAAGAATTTCAATTAAAAAATGTAAGACAATTGAACCTCCAGTCAACTTCCAAAGTGTTGTAAATGCATTTGAACCAGATTTGCTATTTAGATACCATATTCAATCTAATTGTCTATACTCACCATCTCTTTAATAATTATTAGATTGAAAAACATATTGAAGTATTTTATTTGTTGTGGATTGAATTGTGTACCCCAAAATGATATGTTGAAGTCCTAAGCCTTGCTGTCTGTCAATATGACTTTATCTGAAAATAAGGTATTTGCAAATGTGATCAAGTTAAGATGATGCTATAGTAGATTAGTGTGGGCCCTAATCCAGTGATTAGTGTTCTTATAAGAAAATGAAAATTTGGACACAGTTACACAGACAGACACACACAGGGGGAAAGTCATGCAGTGATGGGGCAGAGATGGAGTAATGTGCCTATAAGCCAAGGAACATCAAGAATTGCTGGCAACCACCAGAAGCTAGAAAGGGAGAGGAAGGATCTTTCCTACAGCCTTCAGAGAGAGCATGGGCCTGGAAATATCTTGATTTTGAACTTCTAGCCTCTAGAATTATGAGTGAATAAATGTTTGTTCTTTTAAGCGGCCAAGTTTGTGCTACTCTTTTTATAGCAGCCCTACAGAATGAATACAATGGTATTTTATTGAATGCATCACCCAAAATCTTTTATGTTAATGTAAAATAGTAAATTAAACCACAATAAGTATTCCATTTTGAATTCCTCAGTTATTGTCTGTTTACAATATACAAGCTTACCTGAATAGCCAAAGCAATCCTAAGCCAAAAGAACAAAACCGGAAGCATGTATCACCTGACTTCAAACTATACTATAAGGCTACAATAATGAAAATAATATGGTACTGATACACAAAAAGACAAATAGACCAATGGAACAGAATAGAGAATCCTGAAATAAAGCTATACACCTACAGCCATCTGATCTTTGACAAGGTCAACAAGAATAAGCAATGAAGAAAGGACTCCCTATTCAATAAATGGTGCTGGGATAACTGACTAGCTACATTCAGAAGAATGAAACTGGGCCCCTACATGTCACCATATAAAAAATTAACTCACGATGGATTAAAGACTTAAATATAACACCTCAAACTATAAGAATTCTAGAAGAAAACCTAGGTAACACCATTCTGGATATCAGCCTTGGGAAAGAATTTATGACTAAGTCCTCAAAAGTAATTGTGACAAAAACAAAAATTGAAAAGTGGGACTCAATTAAACTAAAAAGCATCTGCACAGCAAAAGAAACTATTGGCAGAATAAACAGACAACCTACAAAATGAGATAAAATATTTGCAAACTACACATCCAACAAAGGTCTAATATCCAGAATCTATAAGGAACTTAAACAGCAAAAGAAGCAAAAAATGTCAAATAATTATATTAAAAATGGGCAAAGGACATGAGCAGACACTTCTCAAAAGAAGACATACAAGCAGCCCACAAATATATGAAAAATCCTCCACATCACTAATAGTATTATGCTGTTCTCACAATGTTATAAAGAAATACCTGAGACTGGTCAATTTATAAGAAAATAAGTTTAATTGGCTTATGGTTCTGCAGGTTGTATAGGCAGCGTAATGCCAACATCTGCTTCTGGAGATTCCTCAGAAAGCTTCCAAACTTGGTGGAAAGCAAGGGGGAAGCAGGCAGATAACATGGTGGAAGCAGAAGCAAAAGAGAAAGAGGGAGAGAGAGAAAGAGAGTGGAAGGGGAGGTGCCATACACTTTTAAGTGGGCAGGTCTCATGTGAACTCAGAGAGAGAGCTCACCACCAATGAGGTGGCCCAAGCCATTCATGAGGGTTTTGCCCCGATGAACCAAACACCTTCCATCAGGCCCCACTTCCAGCACTGGGATTTACTACTCCATCCGAGATTTGGTTGGTGACAAATATCAAGACCACATCACTAATCATCAGAAAAATGCAAGTTAAAACCATGAGATACCATTTCATACCAGTTGGAATGGCTATTTTTGAAAATTCAAAAAAATAACAGATGCTGGCAAGGTTGTGAAGAAAAGGGAGTGTTTATACACTGGTGGTGGGAAAGTAAATAAGCCACTGTGGAAAGCAGCTAGGAGATTTCTCAAAGAACTTTAAACAGAGGTACCATTCGACCCAGAAATCCCATTTTCGATATATACTCAAAAGAAAACAAATTATTCTACCAAAAAGACACATGATGCAGTCTCATGTTCATCACAGCACTATTCACAATAGCAAAGACATAGAATCAATCTAGGTGTTCCATCAATGGCGGATTAAATAAAGAAAATGGGGTTCATATACACCAGGGTATACTATGCAGCCATAAAAAGAATGAAATCATGACCTTTGCAACAACATGGATGCAGCCGGAGGCCATTATCCTAAGCAAATTAATGCAGAAACAGAAAATCAAATATTGCAGGGTCACGCATAACTATGAGCTAAGTATCAGATACTCAGGGACCCAAAGATGGCAACGATAAAACCTAGGGACTACTAGAAGTATGAGGAAAGGAGGGAGACAAGGGGTGAAAACCTGTTGGGTAACATGCTCAGTACCTGGGTAATGGAGTAATTCATATCTCAAATGTCAGCATGTACCACCTGAATCTAAAATGAAAGTTGAAAAAAAATTCAGAATATAAAAAATCATCTTATTCAGCTAAAATATTAAAATATATCTTATTTCTATAAATGGCTATTGTTCTAATATATTTTGGCCAAAATAGTCACCTCATCTATCTGCAATTAAATGTTTAATTAACATTTTATTTAATTTTGATACGTATCAAATTATTATTGATTCTTCTGAAGTATCTGTAAAACATGTTTCAAAATATCTCATAAAAATAAACATTTAAACATGAAACAAAAGTATGAACGCTTCGTTGTTCCTCTATTACAATCCAGAAAATCATTCTTAGCAATGCCAAACACTATTTGGTAGAGATGGTGAAAGAAATATTGCTTTTTCTTTGTTTCTTCTTTTAATCAGTATATTTACTTTTGTTTTTCCTATTCTTACGTGTGTGTGTGTGTGTGTATATTTATTTATTTATTTATTTATTTATTGCTGGGCCCACTATGTATAAAATGGTAATTTGTATCAACCATTATTAGCAGTTCATATTTTCATCCAGATTTATAGATAAGGATATTAAAGACAGACAGATTTTTTTTTTAGTTAAAAGTTTAAAAATGGTTTAATCATATCTTTTCTGAAACCATGTATACTGTGAAGTATAATTTCAAGTAAATCATGCTGTGGAAATAGTTTATTTTATACTGGATTCAGCCTAGAAAGCTGTTGATATCATTCAACATCAAAACATTTCTAAAATGCTCCATCACTGAAAGCTCTTGAATAGTAAAATATTATTAAAAATCAGCTTCAAGTATGAAAAGAAAATACCTTTCAAAGGCCATCAACATGAAAGGAAATTCTCACATATATTAACATTGAAATGGAAATGTATTTTCAGTAAAGAGAAGTTATCAGAAATTCTCCCTTGATAAATATTTCACCACACTTCCCTTTGGCCATTCTGCCCACACTATGACCACCAGCACATTGTCATGAGAAGTTTGCTTTACAGAATATACTAAATTGGAGCATTCAGTCTTTCAATTCAGTATTACACATATTGGTAACAACTTCAGAATAATTATGGCTTTTATCAAACTATCCTCAAACATTTCACTATTATAACTATGGAGGTATTGAAAACTACGCTGTAAAGTGCTGTGAAGTGCTGGATACATACTTTTGTTTTGTATACTTAATGCATCTTAGCATAACAAACTGGGCAAAACTCTTCTCCAGGATTAATATAACTATTTGTTTTTTTCTGATTTTAAAGTTAGCTTTCCTGACTATTTCTGCCTTTCATATACACACACACACACACATAGCACAGTGAATTGGAGTTGTATGGACAAAGGTTCAATTGTTTTTTTTAGAGAGGGAAGGTTGAGACAGGGTCCCTTTTTGTTGTCCAGGCTGGAGTGCAGTGGTGCAGTCACAGCTCACTACAGCCTCAAGTTCCTGGATTCAAGCCATTCTCCAGTAACTGGGACTACAGGCACACACCACAACACCCAACTACTTTAAAAAAAAGAAAAAAATTGTAGAGACAGGGTTCTCACTATGTTGCCCAAGCTGGTCACCAATCCTGGGCTCAAGATATCCTCCCATCTCGGCCTTCCAATGAAGGCTTACCTCTCTCACTTATTAACGTGTCTCTATTACGAATTAACCAAGCAAGTTTTGACAATTTATTTAATATTTCTGTGTCTTAGTCCCCTCATTTGTGAAATGATATAATAAGTCTAAATTACAGGGATGTTGCTAGAACTAAATAAACAAAAGGTAAACCATTTATCATAATGTCTGAAAAACAAATTAATAAGTATTTAATAAATGGTAGCAAGAGGAAATTTAGGGATTTCCGCCTGGGCTTCTGTGTAGCCATTATTCATAACCCACAATTCACACATAACCAATTGTTTTCTACAAACATTTATCCTCAAGTTGATGTTTATACAGAGGCAGCTTTTGAGGCTTTAAACTGAATTTGTAAATCCATAGCAGAGATCATGGTCCTGAAATTCAGGGTTTCCATCTTAAAAGCCAGGTTTCCTGGTGGCAGAAAAAGTTCTTTGTTTTCACCAAAGGGCTGAGAGGCAGGAGTAGTTTGAACAGAAGTACACAGACAGGAGATAGAAAACTCTTTCTACCCTGGTGGAAGTGATTTGAAGAGAGAGGAAGAGCTAAAACATGGCTGTTGCTGTAGTTGCTGCTCTCATTTTTCTTTTAGAATGAGTCTCAGTGGTGATGGAAACTTCCTTAAGTTGAGGAAAATCTCAAAATAAAAGCTACTGTTGCCCCACTTTCTGGGGTTTAGGCCTCACAGAGGGGCTTTGTGTCTGGAACATTGTTGGAATAGCAGGTATTAATGAAGGCAAGAATGGTCTAGATGAGAGGTTGGCAAACTTTTTATCAAGGGCCAGAGAGTAAATTCTGCAGGTTTTATAGGTCATATAATTTCTGTCACAGCTAATTTTCTCAACCATGACCTTGTAGTAAGCAAACAACCATGGGCAATGAATAACTGAATAAATAAAACTTTCTTTACAGATACTGAAATTTGAATTTTTGCATCATTTTCATGTCAGGAAATATTATTCTTCTCCTGATAATTTTCAACAATTTAAAAGTGTAAAAATCATTCTTAGGTCACAGAACATACAACATGACATTTGTCAAATTTGGCACAGAACCTGTAGTTTGCTGTGCCCTGGTTTAGACACAAAGAGGATCTAACACTGTCCCTTGAAGTTTCTAAGAGAAGCATAGGAGAACATAAAAGTTTTCTCTTTCCTTGTGAAGGAGAGAATGTAAATGAGAATGAGTAAGAATAGACATTTAGTTGGGAAATATATAGTATATGTGGACTGAAGAAAATAGGTTGAGGTGGGGCCACACTTGTCAGCAACATAAGCAGTACTGAGAGGCCAATGTTCTAATTAAGGAAGGACAAATTTGGTCTCATACCAAGGCTAAAAGGGTCTGAAGATGACCTTAGAACAGACTTAAGTCTCTTCACTACCCTTGTTCCCTGAGGCCATGTGTTACCTAAGCATCTCTGGAAACTAGATCACAATCAAGGGGAAAGATTGGGGGGTTTGGGTGCCATTAGGTGGGATAGGATTAGATTGAGATGCCAGAAGGAAGCACAATCACTGCCAGGGAGTGTTACAGAGCCTGAGTCGGTACCCAGGTTTTCTATTCTTTTTCATCTAGTGAGAACCACCAATCTCTAAAGGCTGACTTGCTACCCATTGACCTCCCAATGTGTAATGCAATCCTATCTAGAGTGCATCCCAACCTAGAGTTTTCATTTAGCTGCAATCCTTCCCATATGGGCAATTCATCTATCAATTGAACTCCACCAATTGGAGGCAGAAAGTTGGGTACATGGCTGGAAAGAAATTTTGATTTGTTTCCATGATGAAACTAGATAGAGAGTTTCAATTCTCCTACTAAGCCACAACAGGGATGGGGTATGCTTTTCTATTATAATATCTAGTTAACCATCCACTAGAGACCTCAATGGAGCCATCAAGCTTTCCAATATGTCTTTTGCCAAAAAACTTTAGCTAAGATTGAGGTTAAGAAGTCATCACACACGCACACGCACACACACACACGCACACACACACACAAAAAATCTAAAAACTTCACTGCTGTTCTCACCTGTTTTTCTAGGTCACTATTCCCTCTATTTCCATGATGACTTGAGATTCATCCAAGATTCCTAAATCTCATTCGTCTTGCACATTTAATTTGGCCACCTAATCCTATTAATCTTCTCATGTAATATCCCTCAATTCCATTTCTTTCATTTCAACCCCATCTCACAGCAATATGTTAGGTCTTTACTTTTCTTTTTTGGAATCAGTTTTTAATTGGTCTCTTTGACTTCAGTTTTATCAGCCCTAACTCTTGTTCCCCCAATTAGATTCTAAATATTGTTGTCAGGGATATTTCTAAAATATATATCTGATCGTATTAGATGTCTACTAAAAATCCTTTAACAATTCCTCACAGCCTCATAGCCTATGGATAATGTGATAATTTCTTGGCAATGATATTCAAGATCCCTATTCTACTACATTCTCTAAGCTCTTTTCCCACAATGCTTGGTATAATCATTCTGTAATTCAGACATCTGTACATATATAGTTTGCCAATAATGTATTTGTTCTCCTTATGATTCCTTTTCCTAAAATGTATTGTGAACAACACAAATATCCTGTTACAGTATTAATAATTTCTTAAACATTTCCAAGGTCAAAGAATGTAAAGAACAATAAATAAAATTTAAATATATGTCATTACTGCAAATTTTTTCAGAACTTAAAATTTACAACATATTGTTAGTCTCTAAGATAAATGCAATGATATTTAACATAGAGACTTTTTTTTATCACAGGACCTATAAAGAACGTGTATTGACCATATCCTACTGCATTCATTTTACCTATCTTTTCTTATTTCAAATCCCTAAAAACTCTTTTCTTTATTTCTCAAAATATTGTGATAAAATGTTTCCAACTTCTGTACTCATATCATGCACTGCTGTCTTGGCCATCTGTATACAGAAAAATTTATCTATCAGAGTACAGCAAAATTGGCTTGGGTTAAGGTCAAGATACTCTTTCTGATTCACCAAGGTGTGCTTATACTGTCACTTTTCACAGGACATCATGAATGTAACCTTACTAGGATCAAAGTGGTTAAAAATTCTGATTTTAATATTTATCATTTACTAGTTTCTGGGGCATTAAATTCTTCCAGAAAAAAAAGTAATCACATATGATTTGAAATTAAATGCTCACTAAAATAATAAAACATTTTTTCTTTTTTCTTTTCTGAAGAAATCCAGGGCCAGGTGCAGCCGCTCAGTATTACTTGAGGCCAGGAGTTTGAGAACATCCTGAGCAACACAGGGAGAACTCTCCTCTACAAAAAATACAAAAATTTGCCGGGCATGATGGCATATGCCTGTAGTCCCAGTTATTTGGGAGGCTGAAGTAGGAAGATTGCAGGAACCCAGGGAGGTCAAGGTGACAGTGAGCCCTGATTGCACCACTGCACTCTAGCCTGGGTGACAGAATGAAATCCTGTCTCCAAAAAAAAACCACCACCACCACCACCACCAAGAAAGAAATCCAGGTTATAAAGACAAATGTCTAGTTATGGAGAAGTGCAATTTTGTTGGTGTTACTTCAAATAATGTCACAGAAGATTTAAGTAAGTCAGGAGGATAATTAGCTAAATAGAAATACTTGAATAATTTTTCCACTTCAATCATTGTGTTAATTTTGGTGGGTATGGGTTTGGTTTAGAAATATTGAGTGTTCATGGGAAAATACCAAGCAGATTTTGCTAAATATTGAATACAAATAATTCACTTTGAGAGACCAGGTGGGTCATCAGATTACAATTATTTTCCCCATAGCCATGTGGCTTACTTATTTTAGTTTGCAACCATCCATATTTGTACATGCCTCGGGCAAAGCTTTATTGAATTGACTAGAAGAACTTAAGGATTTTTCATTTGGTTTGCTGCATTGTTAATATTAGCTTGTCAATGACTTGAGATTACCTTTTTTTTCTCTTTAAAAATGCTTAGCAGGAAAATAAAATAAATGGTTGTTTTATTTAGGAATATCTCATGCTTTTTTAGCAGTTTTATTTTTCAAGATAGGTACTATGTTGCCAAGCTACAGCTCTAGACAAATGAGAAAATGATTTTCCTGACTTTTGTTCATTTAAATACTCAATCATGACATTGTGTTAATGTTATTTTCAAATAGAATGTCCTTGCTTTTCACATGAAAAATGAGGGGAAGGGAATGATGTGATTGTTCAAAACTTTGAATCGATGCATATTCATTAGAATGGATGATATGGAACTCAGATGCACTGACTGCATTTATTTAAATATTCTCATATGATTTCCATGAGTTTTATTAAAGTAAATGCAGAAATATGCCATTATGCCAGGACTGCTTTTGCATATATAGCCATCTCAGAGTCTTATGTTACCTGTAACCTGTAGTAATTGTTAAGTCAGAATTTAAGTCAAAGCTTTGAAAAATGCAAGATATTGTGACATGGAAATTTTAAACATGTCTATGAGCTTAAGTTTCCTTGATATATATGTACAACACATTTTCCAAAAAGTAATTCATTGATGCATGATTGCTTTCAGAATAATTCATCATATACTAATAATATTGACATGGAAAACAATGATTATATATTGCAGAGACAGCAAAGTACAGAACTTTAAATCAAGAACAAAAAAGTCTTAAATTCTATTTTTTAACAATACCAATTCACAATTAATGGGGAGAAATTCAGTCTTATTTGATCTAGACTATTTATATTTGAGCAGTTTAAAATCTACCTTCTAGTAAGGACTACTCAGTACAAGTTATTCTACTGACAGGCAGAAGCTACATGGAAAATACCTGAATTGCCAAAAGTAATCTGAATTGGTAGCACAATGTATTTTTGTTTCAAGTATCTTAGTAGACTTGTATATGTATTCCCCGTCTTGAAGCTACAATCACACATTAGACATGGAAGGAAACTGGTTATGCTTAACCGGCTCTTCTGTTCTTAAAAATGTTCATAGATTATGACCAGTGCTCACTCTTTTAAAAAGAAAAGGGAAAAGTATTGTAACATAATATTCTAATGTTGTGCATAAATGTGTTCTAGACACTATAAGCATATCATGTATTCAGAAATTTGTAAGTTTGAATATCTATGCATTAAACTCTCATATTTATGAATCAAGGCCTTAAGGCTCATTGATTCATCCTCGGCTAACCTAAAATAACAAAAATGAGAAAACCCAAAGCTTTATTCAGAGGTAAATGGGAAGTATTAAAGATGCAATGAAAACAAAGAGAATGTTTTTGTTTGTTTTGTCCTGTTTGTAAATAAAACTGAGTGTAGGACTTCAGAGGTCAATCTTTAACTTTGGCCCTTGTAGTGATTTTAGGAGGTACATGTGAATGAGAAAAATCAGAGGCCTCCTGCTTACAAGTTTTAAACTCTAAGTACATAGGTTTTTGTGTCATATTTAACCTTAAAGATGTTGGGAGATCCATGTTTCATACTAAAATGACGACAGGTTTTCCTTTACAATGAGGCATTTCGCCTAACTTTCTAAGTAAAACAGGACACTTTTAATGACAGTATCTCAAATGTCTTTAACCTTTGTGTCTCAAGGTAGTTTCTAAAGACACAGTTTCTTTTATTACAGGTTGTATCCCTAATCCAAACATCTGAAATCTGAAATGCCTCAAAATCCAACACTTTTTGAGTGCCGACATGATGCCACAAGTGGACAATGAAAATGATATTGTTGACACTGCAGGGAAAATGCTTATAGACCACACGGTGAAAATGTGTGGTGGGCTTATGGAAGGACTACAACAGCGTGCATTCCTAACAGAACAGGAAATCATGTCAGTTTATAAAATCAAAGAAAGACTTCTAAGACCAAAAGTCACTGTTAATGAGGCAGATGACTCTGGAGGAAACATTTTAAAAAGCCATCCAGCAGAACATCTTCTCATCCCTAAAAAGGAACCACTTCCTGGTCTCTTAACTGCTTCTGATATTTTTCCTCTCCAAAAACAAACAACAACAACAACAAAAAAAAAAACAAAAAAAAAAAAAAAAGAAAGAATATAGCATAGAGTAACCTTTTTATCAAAACACAGTATCATCAGTGGAAAATAAAAGCCTGCTGTTGTTTCTTGTTGCTGTTGTTTAAGAGCTGATACAGGTATTCTGGTGATGCTACTGTGCTGCTTTAGTTATCCTGAGCACATTATGTGTTCCTGTATAAATGGTATGTTATATATACCATTAATATATATATTAATATATTAATACTGTGTTTTGATAAAAAGGTTACTGTACATTATGTTCTTTCTTTTTTTTTGGAGAGGAAAAATATCAGAAGTTACCCTGAACACATTATGTTTTCCTGTATTAATGGTATGTTATATATACTATTTATATATATATAAATATATTAATACTGTGTTTTGATAAAAAGGTTACTCTACACTATATTCTTTCTTTTTTATTTTGGAGAGGAAAAATATCAGAAGCAGTTAAGAGACCAGGAAGTGGTCTCTTAACACATATGTATAATTAATATATATATAAATGGTATATATAAATATATATAAATGGTATATAATTAACACATGTATGTTATTTTTATATATATATATATATATATATATATATATATAGAGAGAGAGAGAGAGAGAGAGAGAGAGAGAGAGAGAGAGAGATAGATGGTGCAGTGCGATCTCAGCTGGCTGCAACCCCTGCCTCCGGGGTTCAAGCGATTCTCCTGCCTCAGTCTTCCGAGTAGCTGGGACTACAGACGCGCACCACCTCGCCCAGCTAATTTTTGTATTTTTAGTAAAGAAGACGAGATTTCACCATTTTGTCCAGGATGGTATGTTATATTTTTTGCTGCTAAGTATTTACATGTGAATAAGTTTAAGAAAATAATTACTTATCGGCAGGATTTAAATTCAGAGTCAAGAATGATGGTGATGCCAAACAACCACAGATTGTCCACATGGGTGGCTGAGACAGTGATGCCTTTGCTTTCTGATGGTTCAGTGCACACATACTTTATTTAATGCAAGAAATTATTTTAGAAATTGAATAGAATTTCCTTCAGCCAATATATATAAGGTGTGCATGAACCATAAATGAAGTTCATGTTTAGACTTGAGTCTCAACCCTGAGACCTCTCATTATGAATATGCTAATATTCTGAAATCTGAAAATTATCGAAATCTAAAATAGTTCTGGCTCCAAGCATTTTAGACAAAGGATACTCAACCTGTATGTGTATACATATATATAAAGGTCTTCAGCACAGACAAGAGCTCTTGAGCCCATGCACAACATTGCTACTTCAGCTTGCTGGAGACTATCTCCACGAAGGCTGAGTGGAAAAGGGAAGGGACCACTTGGAGGGGTGTTGGATCCATTGAGCAAATATCAAAAACAATAGCCAGTTTACAGTGTTTTGTATGATTTCCTCTTACAGAAGATCTTTGACTTGCTACTGACAGCCATTTTAGAAGGTATATTAGGAATTATTTGGACTTGCTCCTTTAGCCAACTAATCTGTAATTCTTATCTGATTTTATGAAAAATATATAATAAGCTATTTCTAACAAATCAAGTGTAAATAAACATCAGTGTCAGTGGCTACTCCACTATAACAAATCAATGAAAATATAGAAGAGTACAAAATTAAGTATTCACTAAACATAATTTCATGTATATGAATAAGATAAAAATGCAAATACAAAGTTATTCTTTGCTTTAAAACTTAATTGGATGTTGATTAAATGTAATATTTTTCTCATTTCAGTCAACAAAAAATGATATCACACTTTTTAAAACAGAGGAATCATTCATAAAATGATAATATACACTTATATATTAAACTGTGGACATAATATCTGAAAACCAAATTCTTTGTAAAAATTTAGTAAAAGAGGGCTGGGCATGGTGGCTCACACCTGTAATCCCAACACGTTGAGAGGCCGAGGCGGGTGGATCACGAGATCAGGAGTTTGAGACCATCTTGGCTAACACGGTGAAACCGTCTCTACTAAAAATCCAAAAAAAAAAAAAAAAAAAAAAAAAATTAGCCAGGTGTGGTGGCAGGCGCCTGTAATCCCAGCTACTTGGGAGGCTGAGGCAGGAGAATGGCGTGAACCCGGGAGGCGGAGCTTGCAGTGGGACGAGATCGAGCCACTGCACTCCAGCCTGGGCGACAGAGTGAGACTCCATCCCAAAAAAAAAAAAAAAAAATTTAGTAAAAGAGTTACTTTAAAAATTTTACAATTATCGTGCTACATTCCAAGAAATAAAATATTTAAGATAAAGTAGTATTCTAATAGTCTTTGAGGTTTCTTTCTATAAATGGTATCAAATATACTGAGTATAAGACAAATAGAATATTTAAAAGTTTATGGTAATGCCTAGTAATTTCAGTTAGAACCAAATCAGAGTTATATAAAGATATATATACATATAATGATATACTTTTATTTTATATCTTCATATAGCAGCCATTTGTATATAACAAATAACACATAATAGTTACACATTCATATATACTATAAATAGAAATAAACAATTGTACATGAGAACTAAGTACAGTGGACTATAGAGGAGAATGAATATTACAGGTATCTGTTAAGATAAGTGAGTCTCTACTAAAAAAGTACAAAAAATTAGCCAGGCGTGGTGGCAGGCACCTGTAGTCCAGGCTACTCGGGAGGCTCAAGCAGGAGAATGGTGTGAACCCGGAAGGTGGAGCTTGCAGTGAGCCGAGATCGTGCCAGTGCACTCCAGCCTGGGCAACAGAGCGAGACTCTGTCTCAAAAAAAAAAAAAAAAAAAAAAAAGATAAATGAACACACACACATTAATTCCTAATAAGAGAAATGTAAACATTTACTTGTTATTATTTTTTTCTTCCAGAATTGGTTTTATTTATTTTCAATTTAATAATAGAGAGTATTCCTTCTTTATATTTAAAATAAAATATTTCAACTCAAGTGGTATTCGGATCATCTATAGGATTAAAAAAAAAAAAAGAAACACAGCCTGTAGTAAGTAGCTCCACATCATCCTTATAAATTTTTATCAACTCTACCATCTCTTTAAAACTAACATGGTATGGGCTAAAGCTGGTAATAAAAAAAAAAATTGCTTTTTTTCTTTCCTTTTTTTTTTTTGAGACAGAGTCTCGCTCTGTCACCCAGGCTGGAGTGCAGTGGCGCGATCTCGGCTCACTGCAAGCTCCATCTCCTGGGTTCACGCCATTCTCCTGCCTCAGCCTCCCAAGTAGCTGGGACTACAGGCGCCCACCACCACGCCTGGCTAATTTTTTGTATTTTTAGTAGAGACGGGGTTTCACCATGTTAGCCAGGATGGTCTCGATCTCCTGACTTCGTGATCCGCCCGCCTCGGCCTCCCAAAGTGCTGGGATTACAGGCATGAGCTACCGCACCCGGCCCAAAAATCTGCTTTTTGTTAAAGCTTTTTTTCTTCTTCAGAACTTAGTTCTGAAAAGCATGAATACTAAAAATAAATAAATAATACTGCTTTTGTTTTTGAACTTCCTTTTTTCACTGTAGTTCACTACAGTTTGTGCCACATCAGTTTCAAAGCATCAGCTATGGCAATGGAGCAACTCTGGTTCAATGGGTTGTTATGCAGCTCTTTCTAGTGGGTTTTTTTCTTATCCATTTTATAAATACATACTGATAGAAACTATTGGGTAGAGATTTAAAATAATACTTTAACAGTTGCAGAGTCCAGGTCGAAAATGGAGGCAGCTGCAGTGTCCTGGGTTTCTTGGCTGCTGGGTCGGTCCCGCCCACAGCTGGGGTGGCCTATGTCGAGTGGCGCCCATGGCGAAGGGGGCTCAGCTCGCATGTGGAAGGCCCTCACCTACTTCGTCGTGCTCCCCGGAGTAGCATACAGCATGCTGAATGTGTTCCTGAAGTCGCACCACGGAGAGCACTAGGGACACGAGTTCATCCCCTACCCCCATCTTAGCATCAGGACCAAGCCGTTTCCCTGGGGAGATGGTAACCCTACTCTATTCCGTAACTCTAAACGTGAATCCGCTTACAACTGGCTGCGAAGATGAATAAAGAGAATCCAGACCACTAGCCGGGCACTGGGGACCACAGCACTGGTTTGGACCGTTGCTTTGCGCACGGACCAGAAAAAGTATACGAGACCTTAAGCTCACTTTCCTTACTTGTATCAGATGATGACTGGTATACTGATCTTCCATCCCTTTGCTTGTGGCAGGAGGTGGCTTAAATAAATCACTTAAACTCAAAAAAAAACAAAAAAACAAACAAAAAAAAAACACAGTTACAATTAGAATGTCACGTACCTGCTTTACTTATACATCTAAAGTATATTTTTCAAACTTTTATTGGCATTTTTACTTGACTTTAGCTATATAGACAACCACTCTTCAACTTTTCTGCAGGATTATTTCATTCTTAAATATAATTCATAACATGAGGCATAATGAAGTCCACCGATTCCAAAAATTATCTGGTTATTTCACTTAGTGGCAATTGTGAAATTGTTTAAAGGGAAGAGCTTTGTTAATATTAAGTTTAAGAAAATCAGTTATAAAAGAGAAGTTTAAAGAGAAGAATGCATTATTTCCACTATTTGAATAATTTCTTTATTCAACTCTTTTCTTATTAAAGTTTCACAAACTGCTAACAAATTTATGTCAGCATCTGAATAATTTCAAGTTTCACAAATATCACTCAATTGTGACACTAGCTCTCCAAATAATAGAATGTTATATTTCTCTTGATCTTTAAGAAATAGATGTGGTCATAAAATGCAGATAGGCAATACAAAAAATAATTTTAAAAATATTGTTATCTGCAATGCTAATAATAAATAAAACAGTAGAATACCTGACATCGTAGTCAGAAAAACAAACTCTTCATTTTGGTAATGCATGAATGAATGTGTGATGGCCTGGAAAATGGTTAGGTGAAATACATATTTTCTATGAATTTTTAAAAGGGCTTCTAAAACATTAAGCCACTAATTCCAGAGTATAAATAACAGCTGTAAGAATTTGTTTTATGTGTCATATTTAATTGAAAATAATGTGAAATAAAGGTTAAAGAATACCTTTATATTAAAAGTCATTAGAAATAAAAGCAAGTCAGTCGGCCAGGTGCTCTGGCTCACACCTGTAATCCCAGCACTTTGGGAGGCCAAGGCAGGCGGATCACTTGAGGTCAGGAGTTTCAGCCTGGCCAGCATGGTGAAACCCTGTCTCTACTAAAAATACAAAAATTAGCTGGGCATGGTGGTATGCACCTGTAATCCCAGCTACGCTGGAGGCTGAGGCAGGAGAATCTCTTGAACCCAGTAGGCAGAGGTTGCAGTGAGCTGAAATCATGCCACTGCATTCTAGCTTGGGCAACAGAATGAGACACCATCTCAAAAATAAAAAAAAAGAAAGAAATAAAAGCAAGTTTATTTGTTTAGAACTAATCCACTGTTTGTTAATTACTTCTAACATTTAATATACACATAAATATAATAAATGTTGATGTTATTTTGCCACCAATAAATATACAATAATCATTTTCATAATGAATTAAGTAAACTAAGTGAAAACTAAATACGTTTCTTAACATAAAAATCACTGTCATTTAGAAATAAAAGCATTTTATACAAAGAGTATGTAAATTGTGTTTTATATGTGATCTTTTGTTGTAAAATACTTATTTGGGATTGCTATAAAATAAATGATTGCAGATATAAAGAAAAACATGCTGAAAAATATCAATTCCTTGAAAAATCAATTTTTATTGAAAGAAGGTAGAGGACATTGTTATGCTGATAATAAAGATAATAGATTTAGTCTCTGAATTCACAGTATCATTTGTACAGAAATTAATGGCTTGATTACTTAAATAGGGCAGGGTAAATAATAGCCTATATTCATTGATGGTGTGAGAAAATGGAAGGCAGGAAGGACACACAATTTACACTCATTATTGTCACTAAAAGAACCAGCATTACCTAGTCATCACTTTAAAAATAACCGTGTTGGGCCAGGCACAGTGGCTCACGCCTGTAATCCCAGCACTTTGGGAGGCTGAGGCAGGTGGATCACAAGGTTAGGAGTTCGAGACCAGCCTGACCAACATGGTGAAACCCCATCTCTACTAAAAATACAAAAATTAGCCAGGTGTGGCGGCACGTGTCTGTAATCCCAGCTACTCAGCAGGCTGAGGCAGGAGAATCGCTTGAATCCAGGAGGCGGAGGTTGCAGTGAGCCGAGATCTTGCCACTGCACTCCAGCCTGGGAGACAGAGTGAGACTCCCTCTCTAAATAAATAAATACATAAATAACCGTGTTATTATTATATTTTTGCTACACTGTGATATAATGATACTCACATATGCAATTTGTGCATTAATGTACCTTTTTCCTGCTTGTGGAAGGCAGTAGTTGTATGTGAAATCCAAGAATGACAGCACTGCTTCTCTGGGGCAGTTCTCTATTAAAGCTTTTTATACAAGCAAAACGCTGTGCATGTTGAAATATCTGTTGCCCACTTTTGCAGCCAAAATTTCTGTATTTGTGATTTGAATGTGGAAATACCCACAGTCACTCTCAAAAGGATTTATTTAATCCATGTCCTGATATCATTAGCACTGACAGCATTTAGGGTAACACTCAGGGAGATAAACACTTTTGATATATTTCTTCAAAGAATGTGTTCTGTCAGTGAATGTGTCCAAAAGCATCAGGGCATATAAACATTCCTCAAGTGGGTTTACTTATCAAGTATGAAATGACTGGGCCAGGAGAGTACTAGGGTTTTGACAGCTTGTGGTTTGAAATTAGCATGACCCTTTGTACTCTTAAAGAGAATTTGTCTATTTTTATCTATCTTGATTCAAAAGGAAGGAGTCAATGCAAGAATTGCAAAGTAAGGGCAATTACAATTATAATTATAAAAATCAATTTTAAATCAAGATCCCAGCACTGCAAAAAACACCTTGGAATAAGGCTCTGATAAATTGCCTTCTTTTCTCATGATTTTTCAGGCACAGCTATAGGAGAAGTCTGAAGATGAATCAAGTGACAAGAAGTTTGAAACAGCTTGCTAATTTATTTTCTGAGCCATATTTCTTGGCTAAGTGAGTATGAATTTCATTACTTCCATGAACATGCTAATCATGAAACTACCTATTATCCTTTAACTAAAGGGTCAATGGTTTTAGGTTTGGGAAGTAAACTGTTACACTGTTTAAAAACACTCTTCTCTAAGGAAAAATAGTATTTTATGGCACATTAAATCATGACTAAATCTATTCTTGAGGAACTTTTCCAGAGAATTAAATGTAAACATTTTATGATAAAACTCCTATGATATAATATGAAATAGGTATCTTTAAGAAAACGAAGCTTTTATCAGCAGATTTTTCCCTCTTTCTGATGCAATGTAGTACATTTGATTAGGTAAGTTCACATTGACAAGCTAAGATAATTAATACAAATAAGTAACTTGTACAATGATAAATATTCTCTTTTTTTTAAAAAAAAGACTATTATTGAAGCAGAATGAACTGCCGAAGTATAATCCTCATAAAATTAAGCAAATATCACAAGTAATGATTGAAGTTTCAAAAAGTCTCTCCGTGTGTGCAAACAACATAGCTTCGCTGATCATTATTTTGTTCTTTTATTTTATTGAAAGTCTATATATTGGATTTTTAAACAAACAGACAACCTAAATTCATAGTAACTCTTCAATTAAGACTGAATGAATAAATGTAGGCCATCATGAGAACAAAATACTAATTTTTATCCTACCGCTTGTAAGCTCAAAATTAAGAGACCATAGACGGGGATCTTATCCTCTTTCAATTTTTTATCCATTAAATTTGGTATGATAAATTTCACTTGCAGGTCCACAGGTCAGAGTCCTAGCTCATAATGGGTTTCTTACATATTTACTATTATACACATGCATATTTATCTCACAAGTGAAAAATCAAACCTTCTCACCTTTTAAAACATTGTGTTTAATTTATTAATGGTGATTAACATTTTTATCTCACTCAATATGTGCTAATTGTCCCTGAAAAGAATATCATCTCTAGTAATGTTTCCCTTTGTCATTGTAATTAGATAGTGACTTTTACCCTCCAACTAATTTGGGCAAAGCTCTTTTCCTTCAGTCAATGAAAAGACTGTAAGAGTGAAGATGAACCCAGTACCTCAGTTGGAAATGCAGAAATCACCAGTCTTCTGCGTCACTCACACTAGGAGCTGTAGACTGGAGCTGTAAAAAGCTTATCCACCATGATCAAGTGGGCTTCATCCCTGGGATGCAAGGCTGGTTCAACATACACAAATCAATAAACGTAATCCAGCATATAAACAGAACCAAAGACAAAACCACATGATGATCTCAATAGATGCAGAAAAGACCTCTGACAAAATTCAACAGCCCTTCATGCTAAAAACTCTCAATAAATTAGGTATCGATGGGACGTACCTCAAAATAATAAGAGCTATTTATGACAAACCCGCAGCCAATATCATACTGAATGGGCAAAAACTGGAAGCATTCCCTTTGAAAACTGGCACAAGACAGGGATGCCCTCTCTCACCACTCCTATTTAACATAGTGTTGGAAGTTCTGGCCAGGGCAATCAGGCAGGAGAAAGAAATAAAGCGTATTCAATTAGGAAGAGAGGAAGTCAAATTGTCCCTGTTTGCAGATGACATGATTGTATACTTAGAAAACCCCATCATCTCAGCCCAAAATCTCCTTAAGCTGATAAGCAACTTCAGCAAAGTCTCAGGATACAAAATCAATGTACAAAAATCACAAGCATTCTTATACACCAATAACAGACAAACAGAGAGCCAAATCATGAGTGAACTCCCATTCACAATTGCTTCAAAGAGAATAAAATACCTAGGAATCCAACTTACAGGGATGTGAAGGACCTCTTCAAGGAGAACTACAAACCACTGCTCAACGAAATAAAAGAGGACACAAACAAATGGAAGAACATTCCATGCTCTTGGGTAGGAAGAATCAATATCGTGAAAATGGCCATACTGCCCAAGGTAATTTATAGATTCAATGCCATCCTCATCAAGCTACCAATGACTTTCTTCACAGAATTGGAAAAAACTACTTAAAGTTCATATGAAACCAAAAAAAAAGCCCACATTGCCAAGTCAATCCTAAGCCAAAAGAAAGCTGGAGGCATCACAGTACCTGACTTCAAACTATATTACAATGCTACAGTAACCAAAACAGCATGGTACTGGTACCAAAACAGAGATATAGACCAATGGAACAGAACAGAGCCCTCAGAACTAATACCACACATCTACAACCATTTGATCATAGACAAACCTGAGAAAAACAAGCAATGGGGAAAGGATTCCCTATTTAACAAATGGTGCTGGGAAAACCAGCTAGCCATATGTAGAAAGCTGAAACTGGATCCTTTCCTTACACCTTATACAAAAATCAATTCAAGATGGATTAAAGACTTCAATAAAACCATAAAAAAACATAAAAACCCTAGAAGAAAACCTAGGCAATACCATTCGGGACACAGGCATGGGCAAGGACTTCATGTCCAAAACACCAAAAGCAATGGCAACAAAAGCAATGGCAACAAAAGCCAAAATTGACAAATGGGATCTAATTAAACTAAAGAGCTTCTGCACAGCAAAAGAAACTACCATCAGAGTGAACAGGCAACCTACAGAATGGGAGAACATTTTTGCAACCTACTCATCTGACAAAGGGCTAATATCCAGAATCTACAAAGAACTCAAACAAATTTACAAGAAAAAAACAAACAACCCCATCAAAAAGTGGGCAAAGGATATGAACAGATACTTCTCTAACGAAGACATTTATGCAGCCAAAAGACACATGAAAAATGCTCATCATCACTGGCCATCAGAGAAATGCAAATCAAAACCACAATGAGATACCATTGCACACCAGTTAGAATGGTGATCATTAAAAAGTCAGGAAACAACAGGTGCTGGAGAGGATGTGGACAAATAGGAACACTTTTACACTGTTGGTGGGACTGTAAACTAGTTCAACCATTGTGGAAGACAGTGTGGCGATTCCTCAAGGATCTAGAACTAGAAATACCATTTGACCCAGCCATCCCATTATTGGGTATATACCCAAAGTATTATAAATCATGCTGCTGTAAAGACACATGCACACGTATATTTATTGCGGCACTATTCACAATAGCAAAGACTTGGAACCAACCCAAATGTCCATCAATGATAGACTGGATTAAGAAAATGTGGCACATATATATCATGGAATACTATGCAGCCATAAAGAAGGGTGAGTTCATGTCCTTTGTAGGGACATGGATGAAGCTGGAAACCATCATTCTCAGCAAACTATTGCAAGGACAAAAAACCAAACACCGCATGTTCTCACTCATAGGTGGGTATTGAACAATGCGAACACTTGGACACAGGAAGGGGAACATCACACACCAGGGCCTGTCGTGGGTGGGGGGATGGGGGAGGGATAGCATTAGGAGACATACCTAATGTAAATGATGAGTTAATGGGTGCAGCACACCAACATGGCACATGTATACACATGTAACAAACCTGTACGTTGTGCACATATACCCTAGAACTTAAAGTATAATTTAAAAAAAAAATAAAAAAAGAGAAGTTTTAGGGTTTGCATTAAATAAACAGGAATAAGAGTTATAAAAGAAAAAAAAAAGAGTGCAGAGTCGTGTAGCCAAATCTTTCAGTTGCTTTTATTATAGTACGCACGTTACCCCAAAAATTTCATTGCCCACCAAACAATGAAAACCAGCTATTTCTCTTTCACGTGCAATTTAAAGAAGAAACCACAAATATTCACACAAACTAAGTACACATTTATCGTGCTCTGACCCTAAACATTTAAAACATTGTCCTTTAAGACAATGTTTTAAAAAAATTACTAGTTTTTCTTAATTTACTATATGTTATCCAGGAAAAGGGTCAAAGCTTTAACTTCATTTTGAAAGAGAAAACACCTTATCATGAGGAGCAGATTGGAAAAGGTCATTTTTCCTAAGGCAAGATAACAAAAGTTTAATGGCTATCAAATTATTTGGAGGGAATGAGAGTTTCTCTAAGAATTTGATAGTCAGGATCCCTAACATTTACCTTTTTCCTTTTCTAGCGTCACTGCCTCGAAAGGAAGATGAAAATGCTCATAAGAAATGTAAGTGATCTTTATTGGTCTGTGACTTTTGTATAACCATAGTCTCTGGCGTGTGACTGCACTAAGCATTTCTTGTCAAAGCAGGTAAGGGAATTGAACACTTGTCTGAAGGAACCTGTGTCTGAAGGAAACTGTGTGTGTGTGTGTGTGTGTATGTGTGTGTGTCTGCACATGCATGCATGTGTCCACATGCACATCTGTTCAGAAAGGTAAGGCATTTGAAGGAAAAGCGGGTAACTTAGGAAAGAAAACTTAGGAAAGAAAAAGGTAATTGTTGTGCTTTTTTTTTTTTCATTTTGAGAAAAATCAAAGTTGTATAGTTTACCTAGATCATTCTTAATGCATAATCATCCTTCCTTAATTTTCCTTCAGATATTCTATTAATTTTTCCTCAAAATAATTTTTCTTCAAAGAAACATGGTTATCAAGTTGGGAATAAATTGAAAAATAGTTTCCAATCTGTAAAGACTTTCTCACATGTGATAGAACACATTGTTGAGGAGAGATAGTTCTTCAATCTGTCATGAAAATGAATGAAATTTTATCTCCGATGTTGCAAAAACACCCCATGAGAATACAGGATATATTTGAGAAGGGGAGTAAGACCCTTCCCTTTACCTGAGCCATAATCTTTTTGAAAAATAGATCGCTTAAAATACAGTCATTAAAAACTTTCTATAAATTACACGTTTTACTCAGAAAGGGAAACAGGATAGAGGAAGATGCATTTTAATGATAGATTCATTTCCCTGTAGAAAACTACTTAAACATAGTAATAAAAGCTGGGAAATTATGTCATCCAAAAAGCTGGGAAATTATTTCATCCATATTTCCTTTAACCTTTCAGGGCATCTACTCAAGTTTGTTCAGGGAGAGTCATCTTACACATACATAAGCAGACACTGTCAAATTTAAAATAAAAGATGAAAGGGAAAATCAACTTGAACATCATCAATACTCCCTGCTGTAAAATCCTACTCAATTTATGTTTTTTTCTTAGTTCACAGAAAAGTTTCATATAAAATATAAAAAAGACAACCTCGCCCTGTGCTTCCACCTGATGGTTGCTCTTTCACATCGATCTCACCTGCCTGTTTCATCCCAGGAGCTGTGGGACCAGACCCCAGCACACATTGTCAGCAGCAGCTGCCTCTCAGCCAGATATGCCTAAGAGGAAACTGTGGGGTGTTTGTGAGCCTAGAGGGGGCTGGTTTGCCCTGGTTCAAAAATTAAGCTTTATAGAGAAGCTGACACCAGCTCTCTATAAAATGTCCTACCTGGCAGCCATCTTGAAGGTGAAAAAGTCTTCCTAGGGAACCTATTTTCTGAGGAAATGAGACCTACATCGACCCCATAAAGAAATGGTAACATGCTGAAGTTAGTTCACATTTGATATTTGATCTTTTCATTTTTGGGGGGAGGGGGTGCTTTGGAAAATCAGAGGAAGGTCACATACCCCAGTCTGATTGGTGGGAAAGGATCCAAAGGCTTCCTGGAGGAGGTGATACCTGAACAGCCTAAAGAACAAGGAGCTTTTGTGTCCATCTGCTCATTCTTGGCAGAGCACTCCTTGAGGAAACAGGTTAATCATAGCTCATATCTAGTCAAATCATTTATTCTTACACATGTTTATTGAGCTCTTTGCTAGGAGAAAAACACTCCCAGAAGCAGCTTGGGAACTAGGAAGTGGCAGTCAGAAGGGAGAGAAGTGGATAAGGGAAATATGAAAGGAAATCAAGGATGAATCTCATATTTCTAGTTTAGGCGAATGGGTGGATAGTGGATCAGGGCAGCCACGTGCAGTTGTGCAGGTTGTAGACTCACAGATGCTGAAGGAGAGGTAAATTCTATGGAGAAGAGCCTTATTCTTGATCCCACAGTACCACCACTTAATATATGATGTTGGAGTGGACTACAATTGAGAAAACTGTTTTGATTTCTTAAAAGCAAGCCTGTTCTTTCTTGAGTAAACCAAGAAATCTACTTGGCTGCTATATTCACTTGGCTCCTTAATTTTCAAACATCAAAAATCTCTACTGTGAATCATTTATGTCTTCTCCCTATCTCTTCTGTCTTTAGAATATTTTGACACCTCTACCAGAGGAGATTTTAGGATTTCCTGCTTAAAGAAAGCTTGAAAATTAGGTATGAAACTGAATTATCAGTTATTAATATTGTTAATTAACAATGGGGTTATTGATATAGTTGTATCAAGAACACCCATTATTATTAAATTCATAAACAAGATTGCCATTAGTTTTTAGAATTATTTCAAGCTACAATTTGATCATCTTATAATAGTGGTAATGCCCTTGTTCCCTTCTTTTTTGAGATGGAGTCTTGCTCTGTTGCCCAGGCTAAAGTGCAGTGGCGCCACCTTAGTTAACTGCAACCTCCACCTCCAAGATTGAAGCAATTCTCCTGCCTCGGCCTCCCAAGTAGCTAGCACTACAGGCGTGAGCCACCATGCCTGGTTAATTTTTTTGCATTTTTAGTAGAGATGAGGTTTCGCCATGTTGCTGAGGCTGGTCTTGAACTCCTGAGCTCAGGCAATCTGTCTGCCTTGGCCTCCCAAAGTGCTAGTATTACAGACCTCAGCCACCATGCCCAACCAGATATTGGATATTTAGGCTACACTTCTACTGTTGTTTTCTAGAAAATATTGCATGGTCTTTAGCGTAGAAAGAGAATTGATTAAAGGTCATTAGCTTCTAACGGCTATTACTTGAACAGATGTGTATAAGCCTAAACAATAACAAACACTCTATATTTTTACCAAAAGCAACTTTATCCACATGTCTAAGGCAAATAAAGTTTGTGCCAGGTGAAAAGCTCTGAATGTTAATTTTAATGTTTGCAGTCCTCCTTAGACAAGGTTAGCGTAAGTAGAAATGGAGAGCAAAAATATTCAGTAAATGGCATGCTTATTAGCAAGACAATATGGTTTTCATGCATTTCTAGTTAAGAGCAAGCATGGGGGTGGGGCAGAATGAGGAGGCACAGATTTAGATTTAAATGTTTTCATTATAAAGTCCAAAGTCACTTTCTTTAGGCATGCAAGCTGTGGATAGCTTCAGTCTCAGCATGCAGGCTGTGGATAGCTCCCTACAGAGTCTTCTTTATTTTCATAAAGATCAACTCGCCATCCTGTGCACCAAATAACTTTGCATTTGATAAGTGCTCAGTAATTTCTTGATACATATGGTCCAGAATGTAAATCCCAAACCAAGGGCTAAATACTGTCACAAATACACAGACTGGTAGAAAAATCTGATTATGACTAAATTTACTGGAATTATATTTGGCTAAGTGAAATAAATGTCTCCATTCAAAAAAAATTTAAAAGGCATTGTTCTGAATGAAACAGAAATGTATTTCTCTCCTTTATAAGGTTCTGGAACTTGGTAGTCTAGGACCAGTATGGTGGCTCTATTCTATCAAGTCCTCAGGAATTTAGGATTCCTTCAAAGTCATTCATTCATCATCTTTTGGGTGCGTCCTTCCTGCTCATGCTCCAAGTTGGTATCCATACAGGCTGCGTATGAAAAGAGAGAGAAATTTTTTTTCTCAAGAGACTAAAGGGCATAGGCTAGCTTAATCTCAACAGAGCTTTCTGGAAGTGTCCCCAGAGCATCCTCATTTAAAACACCTCGTTTAAGTCATCAGTCACTTGACCATATCTAGGGGCCAACTGCCAAGGATTTTTTTAAAGTACAATTCTAATGGAAGGAGGGAGAACAGGTATTGGAGGATTAGAGTTCTTGGAGAATCACCAAGGTGATTCCATCGAATTGATGAAGTAAAATGCATTATTGAAATGATGTTTTTCACTACAAAGTGTTCTCTATTTCTTTTCTCAGCTGAGAGAAGACTATAAGAAAACAACACGCTGGGCGTGGTGGCTCATGCCTGTAATCCCAGCACTTTGGGAAGCCGAGGCAGGTGGATCACGAGGTCAGGAGATGGAGACCATCCTGGCTAACACGGTGAAACCCCGTCTCTACTAAAAATACAAAAAATTAGCCGGGCGTGGTGGTGGGCGCCTGTAGTCCCAGCTACTCGGGAGGCTGAGACAGGAGAATGGCGTGAACCCGGGAGGCGGAGCTTGCAGTGAGCCGAGATCGCGCCACTGCACTCCAGCCTGGGTGACAGAGTGAGACTCCGTCTCAAAAGAAAAGAAAAGAAAAGGAAGCAACACAGTGGGCATGCAAGCAGAGTTCACAAGTAGGCATTTAAAATAAGATTTAAAATCTTAACACCCTGAAATCCTCTGAACACAAGGTAAGGCGTGGAGCTGGGGGGAGAGGAGAAAGATGTGATGGCAGAGCAGTAAATGGACGTTTCAACCAATCACATGTCCTCATCTTGCACAGTGTTCACTGGGGTGCATGTGAAGAGTTCCGGTTTGTAGACAAAAATCTTTTTTCAGAAAGAAATATCTTGACTTTGAAAGTGTTTGAATCCATTTTAGAAATATACTTTAAGTCTCAGGCCAGGTGCCGTGGTACACGCCTGTAATCTCAGCACTTTAGGAGGACGAGGCCGGCAGATCACCTGAGGTCAGAAGTTTGAGACCAGCCTGGCCAACATGGTGAAACCCTGTCTCTACTAAAAGTACAAAAATTAGCCAGGCCTGGTGGCACACGCCTGTGATCCCAACTACTCAGGAGGCTGAGGCAGGAGAGTTGCTTGAACCTGGGAGGCAGAGGTTGCAGTGAGCCGGGATTGCAGCAGTGCACTCTTACCTGGGTGACAGAGCAATACTCCGTCTCAAAAAAAAAAAAAAAAAAAAAAAAAAAAAAAAAAAATATATATATATATATATATATATATATATATATCTTACACCAAATTTATAACCTTTTGAATATCCTGTCCACTTACAGTTGCATAATTAATTGACTAATTATATTCTATTACTTTTGTGGAAAAAATATGTCTGTGCTCAATGTAAGGATTGAGCATCTACCCTGTTATTTCTCTACCCACCCTGACCAAGACTTGTGGACTCTATTTGAAGTTTCCAGTTTATTCCAATAGTTCCATTTTGTTCCAGTTTTAAGTTTCATGTTTTAATATCATTTTAGAAAAAATGGAGTAGGCCTATATTTCAATATGTTAAATAGTATATTCAGCAGGGTACAACCACCGATACATTAGTCTGCAGAGTATATGGTTAGTATCATTAGGGAAAAAAAGTCAAAATCTGGCCTCACATTTCATGAAAGCTGTAAACTAAATCACTTTGATCTTCATTTTCTTCACTTTGATTCTCACAGAGTATTTACATCCTCTTATGTTTAAATGACCCCATGAACCCATGAGAGTTTCAATAGCCAGTTAAAACACACAGTATGTTTTAAAAAACCAAACATAATTTAGTAAGTCTACTAAAAGCTGATAGCATTTCTCAGACTATAACCAGCATTAATTATCCTTCCTCTTTCTTGAGTAAAAAATTAGAAGAAAAGGAAAGGGCATAACCTTAGTCCATCTCTGTAGTAAAGATTGCAACAACAATAAAACATAAGGAAATATGTTTTGTTAAAATATGAAGGTTAAGATTTGAAGACTTCCCCAGATACCTCACACGGCTACAATGTGTTTATACTGATTATAAACAAAATCAATTTAGATACTGATATTTAGCTTGATAAATATTTAAAATAATAAAGTTTAAGATAGAAGTAGATGTAAACACAGAAAAGTTATTTTATGCAAACTTTTAGTTGCAAATTCACCAATTCTTTACATTTTGGGACATTTGAAAGTGTCTCAGTTTGATTTGCTATTTAATCAAAACAATGAAAACCCTTAAGTATAATTTGAATTGGTAACTAGTTAAATTTGGGTACAAATCCTATACTTCATTGGGGTAAAATAATACAAGCATAACCCATGAATTAAGTAGCTACATAGCACTAAGACAATATAAGTGAAATTTAGAAGCTAAAAAAACAAAACAAAACAAAACAAAAAGGAGATCTTTCAGGAAATAAATAATCCAATGCCAATACTGCTATTATCTATCTATCTATCTCTCTATCTCTCTACCTATCATCATTTATCTATCTATCTGTCATCTACCTATCTATTCAAAGCCAGAAATTATTTGAGAGTTTATAAATATTTATGCAGTGGTTAAAGATTTTCTCAAAATTGAGAAAGAAAAATAAAGAGTAGTCTTTTTAGTATTGTGAATTAGATCTTTCACAGAAAGGAACATATAGATTTATCATGTCACAACAAGATTATAACACTGATTTTAGTCAAAATATGTGTAACACAAGTATTATAAATTACATTTTTTAAAATGATAATATTCATAACAACTGCCCAAAAAAGACAAGGCAATAGTTGGATTAATTTGAGTTGAATGCTACTATGTAGGGATCTTGAAGAGTAACCTGCCCTAGATGATGTCCATGTTTGGTATCTTTTGCTGCATAACAAACCACACTAAAATTTAGTGGTTTATAACAGCCATTTATTATCTGTTACTGCTTTTATGTTGACTAACTCTGGATGGTGATTCTACTATTTTACGTCATATTGGATAAGACAGCAGTCATCTGCAGGTTCAGTTAGCCTGGAATATAAAGATGGTTCCTCACATGACTAGCAGTTGATGCTGGCTGTTGAGTGGAAACTCAGCCAGAACTTTGCCCAGTGTCAGTGGGTGGCATCTTAGTGTGGCTTGAGCCTCTCATACCATGACTATTGAGTCGCAAGGAATGTTACAACAGGGAGTATTCCAAGGGATCCAGTCAAAAGCTGCCATTCTCATAGGGCTTGGGTTTGGAATTTAGAGAATGTCACTTGTGCTCATTCCATTGATCAAGTATGTCACTAAGTCACCCAGTTTCTAAGGCACAGAATTAGACTCCACCTGTTGATGAGAAACTAGCAAGATCTCACTGCCAAAGTGCACATGGGATAGGAATTATCGCACATGGGATAGGAATTATCATTGAAGATATTTTGGACAAATGTGATTGGCCATAAGAATGATTCAGAAAATTTAAGATATTACATGTACAATATCTTAAATTTTCTACATGTTGTCTTGCTCACACTGACTTGCTCTCTCCTCACTAGCTATGTGTACCAGAAAAAAAAAAAAAACAGAATACCCACTGAGGGTACTGGTATAGTAGCAATATTGCAAAAAGTTCAGCTAATCTCTCTTAAGAAAAACAGGATTTTTATTCTGACCAAATTATGTCTTTCTAATTTGGCAAGTGGTACTAAGCTGCCATTTCTTGTATTGAAATACAGGAACTGCATTAAAATAATGAAGATATTAGGTGTTTTTAAACTTTTTTCTTCTTGTGTAATAATCCAGATAAGAAAATCTGCTTAAAACAAATGAATGGCTTAATGAATTATCATTAGGTGAACCACCTTGGAAAAACCTTCCAAGAAGTGCCTTCATGCACCCCACCCAATCAGAGCCCCTTCCCTCCCTCAAATTTAACCACCACCTTGCCTTTGTAGTCATAATATTATCATTTCATTATGTTTTAATCACTCAGTACACATCCTTAGATACTACGTCCTAATCTTGTCTAGTTTTTAAAATTGGTTAGTTGGTTAAATCTTTTTAATCTGCAGGCTTCCCTTCCATCCCTTTCTTAATCTGTTGAAGAAGCTAGATTCCCTGTTTATTGCCTAATCACTTTTTAAAAAATATTAAGATAAGTTTATGCTCCATACCTATGTTCGTTAATTTGATATGAATTTCAAATATTGATATTTTGATTCTATAATTTGTTTTATATATTAAACTGAAATGATTATATAAAAAGACGCTTTATCTCATCTACTAGTTTACTTAGTAATACAGTTTATATAAAAATGACTTGATTCTCTCCCCTAAGGTTTGATATATTTACCCAGGTTTTAGATAATGAATTGATTTTCAGTTCATGGAAGGCAACTTCCAAGACGGCCCCCAATAATTCTGCCCTCGTTTAATCTGTGGGCTGGCCCAAATGATTCGCTTTTAGTAAAAAGAATATGGCCAAGTATGGAGGCCATATTTGAGATTAGGTTACCAAAAGCCTGTGTCTTCTGTCATCGTCACATTGTCTTGCTCTCTCCCTCACTAGCCATGATAGAAGTCAGCTACCATGCTATGAATTGCCCTATGGAGAAACCCATGTGGCAAAGAACTGATGTCTTCAACCAACAACTAGTGGCTACCCAAGGCTTGTCAATAGCCACATGAGTAAAATTCAGAGCAGACTCTGTCCCAATATGTCCCAATAGAGCCTTGAAACTGTGAGATAAATAATTACTAAATGGGGGGGGGGTAATTTGTTACTTAATAAGAAGTAACAAATATAATATCCAAAACTGAACTCATGGATTTAAATTGGTTGATGGTTTTAATTTACTAACATGCTTTACTTTATTGAAGCTCAGACTGCCTCATTTGGGAAAAATGGGGATCTTTGTTCATGACTATTAGTTTTTGATAGTCCTGCTCATCACATTGACAAAATTTGTTCTATGCTAATTTTGTATGTTTCCTGACCCAGACTGGATTCAACCATTTTCTAAGAAGCCCTAATTTCCTTCATTCAATGGAAAAATGGCATTTCAAAAACACAATCAAGGTTATAAGTACAATTGACCTTAGAACAACATGGGTTTGAATTGCATGTGTCTACTTACATGCAGATTTTTTTCAATAAATAAAGTTGGTCCTCTGTATCCAGGGTTCTGCATCTACATCCACATATAGAAAGTTCAGTATTCATGGGATGTGAAACCCGCATAGGAAAGGCATACTTTTCTATAGGCAGGTTCTGCAGATCCAGCTGCAGGACTTGAATATTCATGGAGTTGGTACACATGGGGGTCCTGGAACCAATACCCTGAGTATATAGAGTAACTACTCTACAGTCATTGTTACTGAGTTGGTTATTGTTTTTAGGCCCTTTAGATTAGATATATGAAGATAAAATACCTCCTGACTTTACACTTGGCATCCAATTAAAATTCTCAACTACAGGATTTTACTTTCTTTCTTCTATATTACATGTGTTTATTTTCTTCCACATTGAGAATCTGGTTCTCAGGTACAGAAGATATAATATAATTTGATTATCCTAAAATGACTCAGTTTCTTCATCATTTATTTAATGACTGCATATGACAAATACACAACACACAAACTTCAGAGTCTCTAAAGTCAAATGCTTGTGTGGGAATCCTTGGGAAATATTCCATTGTCCTATCCTTGGTAGTACACTTATTTAAAACATTTTCAACCAAGACAATCCATTATTTTAAAAATACATTCAAAGATAAGTATTTAAAAGACATACTAAGATGAATATTCAAATAAAATTTGGTAAAAGCTTAACATTTCTTTTTCAGAGAGTGAATTAAAATGCTTTGGTTTAAACCTTTTTGCCTGTATTTTTATGGACTCAGTGAAAATACAGACTTGTAGTCTTTACATAGTCACTTGCCACTTACAATAAGAAATTTTTAAAAATAGTAGCCTGCATTCTTTTCTTTTCTAGAAAGTGATTATTATTCCCCCTATTATTGCTTGTATATATATCTTTCCAAGCTAGATCTCAGCTTTATATTTCAAAGCAAATTATCCTAGCTTGTTACTGTCCAATCCATCTGTTGATCAATTAACATATCTAGAAAATTTTAGTAATGATAAGAATAACAACAACAAATGAAATATATACTATTTATCTATTGAGCATGTATTATCACTATGCTAAGCATTGTACCTTTATTATCACATTTAAACTATATATGTTAGTCCATTATCATGCTGCTAATAAAGATATACTGGAAACTGGGTAATTTATAAAGGAAAGAGGTTTAATTGACTCACAGTTCAGCATGGCTGGGGTAGGCCTCAGGAAACTTACAATCACAGAAGAAGGGGAAGCAAACACATCCTTCTTCACATGGCAGCAGCAAGGAGAAGAATGAGAGCTGAGCAAAGGGAAAAACCCCTTATAAAACCATCAGATCTCGTGAGAACTTACTGTCATGAGACTAGCATTAGGGAACCACCCCTATGTTTCAATTACTTCCCATGGAGTCCTTCCCACTACACATGGGGATTACGGGAACTACAATTCAAGATGAGATTTGGGTGGGGACACAGCCAAATCATATCATTATATATACAGTCATTTCATTTCTTGTTATTCATGATCATTATATTCTATAAAGTCACTGTGAACACTAAAGAATGCTGAATCATTGCTCACAGATGAAATACAGGGTTAGGTTCTGTGGAGCTCTTATCACAACATTTTTTATCAACCAATCATATATAACCTTATTTTTTATGTATTTCTGTTTAAAGACAACTTAGTTAATATAACTGTTGACTCATTAATACTGATCTCATGGCCAACAGTACTATAACTCATGCCTGAATGTAGCTTATCTAACACATATGTTTTCTTCATAAGACACATCATCATAGCCTTCTTGTGCTAGGAGACTCTAGACAACCCTTTAGCAATACATTTTGGGCCATTTTTTTCTTTTTATTAAAGTTCTAGGGTACATGTGCACAATGTGCAAGATTGTTACATATGTATACATGTGCCATGTTGGTGTGCTGCACCCATTAACTTGTCATTTACATTAGGTATATTTCCTAATGCTGTCCCTCCCCCATCCCCCAACCCCACGACAGGCCCTGGTGTGTGATGTTCCCCTTCCTGTGTCCAAGTGTTCTCATTGTTCAATTCCCACCTATGAGTGAGAACATGCGGTGTTTGGTTTTTTGTCCTTGCAATAGTTTGCTGAGAATGATGGTTTCCAGCTTCATCCATGTCCCTACAAAGGACATGAACTCATCCTTTTTTATGGCTGCATAGTATTCCATGGTGTATATGTGCCACATTTTCTTAATCCAGTCTATCACTGATGGACATTTGGGTTGGTTCCAAGTCTTTGCTATTGTGTATAGTGCCGCAATGAACATAGGTGTGCATGTGTCTTTATAGCAGCATGATTTGTAATCCTTTGGGTATATACCCAATAATGGGATGGCTGGGTCAAATGGTATTTCTAGTTCTAGATCCTTGAGGAATCGCCACACTATCTTCCACAATGGTTGAACTAGTTTACAGTCCCACCAACAGTGTAAAAGTGTTCCTATTTCTCCACATCCTCTCCAGCACCTGTTGTTTCCTGATTTTTTAATGATCGCCATTCTAACTAGTGTGAGATGATATCTCATTGTGGTTTTGATTTGCATTTCTCTGATGGCCAGTGATGATGAGCATTTTTTCATGTGTCTGTTGGCTGCATAAATGTCTTCTTTTGAGAAGTGTCTGTTCATATCCTTCGCCCACTTTTTGATGTTTTTTTTTTTTTTCTTGTAAATTTGGTTGAGTTCTTTGTAGATTCTGGATATTAGCCCTTTGTCAGATGAGTAGATTGCAAAAACGTTCTCCCATTCTGTAGGTTGCCTGTTCACTCTGATGGTAGTTTCTTTTGCTGTGCAGAAGCTCTTTAGTTTAATCAGATCCCATTTGTCAATTTTGGCTTTTGTTGCCATTGCTTTTGGTGTTTTAGACATGAAGTTCTTGACATTTTGGGCCATTTTAAATAGTCTTTAAAAAAATCTCACAAAAATGAGGGAAAACATAACACTACATAGATAGTAAAATGAACATTTATTTGCAATATGAGAGCTGAAAAAAGAAGGCAGAATATCACCTTGTTTGATCTAAACTGGGATTAGATCTAAGCTCAGAACATATGTGTCAGATGACTCAAATTTTTTCTCCTACTATGTGAATGTCCATAAAAAATTGCAAAAGCATCATGAGTATTAATTTTGTGAGTAAAAATAAATTTTGGCAAGTTGAAAAATTTACAAATATGGAACCTGTGAATAATAAGCAGTTCTCTGTGTGTGTGTGTGCATGTGCATATGTGTACATATATTCCAATATAAATACTTATAACTGGAAATTTATTTTACCTTTATGCATAATATACATTTGGAAGAAAACTTGAATATTAATCTTTTAATTAATTATTTTGTCCCAGTTATATTTTTTCTTCTTAATTCCAAGCTCTATTTTATTCTTTATCCAACTTTATTGAATAACTCAATTTTTATTCATCACCACTCCTTCAATTAAAAAAAAAAGTCAATGAGTTTTAGCCTTATCTTTGTGAGAAACTATGGTCTAGAAGACTGGTCAATGAAATTACAATTTCTTAGACTGGGTCTAGGCATCAGAATTTTTAAATACTGATTAAGAAGCCCTTTAGATGGTTCTAACAAGTAGCTAGGGTTAGAAACTAACTTTAGATACCAACACTGATACTGTGCTACCTAGGAATGTTCTAGAATAACTTTTTTAGAGTCACTGTTTTCTTTTTCTTTTTTCTTTATTTCTTCTAAAAAAATGGGATACATGTGCAGAACATCCAGGTTTGTTACATAGGTATATGTGTGCCATGGTGGTTTGCTGCACCTATTGACCCATCCTCTAAGTTCCCTCCCCTCACCCCTCATCCCCCACACAAGCCCTGGTGCGTGTTGTTCCCCTCTCTGTGTCCATGTGTTGTCAATGTTCAACTCGCACTTATGAGTGAGAACATGCAGTGTTTTGTTTTTTTTCCTGTGTTAGTTTGCTGACTATGATGGCTTCCACCTTCATTCATATCCCTGCAAAGGACATGATCTCATTCCTTTTTATGGCTGCATTGTATTCCATGGTGTATATGTACCACATTTTCTTTATCCAGTCTGTCATTGATGGGCATTTGGGTTGGTTCCTTGTCTTTGCTATTGTAAAAGTGCTACGATAAACATACATGTGCATGTCTCTTTATAGTAGAATGATTTATATTCCTTTGGGTATATACCCAGTAATAGGATTGCTGGCTGGGTCAAATGATATTTCTGGTTCTAGATTCTTGGGGAATCACCATACTGTCTTCCACAATGATTACACTAATTTACATTCCCACCAACAGTGTAAAGGGGTTCCTATTTCTCCACAGCCTTGCCAGCATCTATTTGCTTCCTGACTTTTTAATAATCGCCATTCTTAACTGGCGTGAGATGGTATCTTATTGCCATTTTGATTTGCATTTCTATGAGGATCAGTGATGTTGAGCTTTTTTCATATGCTTCTTGGCCACGTAAATGTCTTCTTTTAAGAAGTGTCTGTTCATATCATTTGTCCATTTTGATGGGGTGTTCATATCTTTTGTCCATTTTGATGGGGTGTTCATATCTTTTGTCCATTTTGATGGGGTTGTCTTTTTCTGGTAAATTTGTTTAAGTTTCTTGTAAATTCTGGATATTAGGCCCTTGTCAGATGGGTAGATTGCAAAAATTTTCTCCCAATCTGTAGGTTGCCTGATAGTATAGTCACTGTTTTCATATATCAAACGAACATCTCATCTCTTGCCTCATAAAATGTTGTGAGCATTAAATAAGATGTTATGTATTTAATTTTGGGTCCAGAATGAAGCATTCAATAAATACATATACGTTTTTTCTTTTTGTATTGAAAACCTGACATATCTTTCTTCCTCTGAAAGGAAAAAAGATTTAATTTCCACAATTCTTCGTAATGTGAAAGTATACCAAGCTCACTCCCTGTCTTTACAAAATAATACTCATTTTACTTTAGAGTGATACTTAGGATTTACAGATTATTTTTGCAGCCCTTCCTCCTACTATATTTCTTCAAACATTCTACCCACTACTCAAATTGAACTTACCATAGTTCTCCAAAAGTGCCACATATCTTCTCATATATGAGTATTTGTTCAACATATTTCCACTGCCTGAAATAATCAGGATCCTGTAGCTATTCCTGTAAGACTATATCCATAATTTATGCACAATGCAAAAATACCTTATTCCAAAGCCTATTCCCTTGGTCCACTTTCTGAGCATTCTACAGCCCTAAAACAGTACTAACTCAGTCTCTTTTGCAGTTCAGTGAAGTTCTGTATGTTTCTCTGTTACGGCACTACCAATTCCTCTTTTATATATCAATTATCTGTGTGTGTATAATAACTTCAGGACTAGAACATACACTCATTGAGGGTGGGCACATTTTTTATGCTTAACATTTGTTCCCATCCTGTTTCTGTGACCATGCTGAAAGAGAGGGAAACGCTGATATTGTTTTTTCCATTCTTGGCTAGTTGTTAAAGAGAAGGGTTCAATCTCTGTAGTGGTAGAGATCAATGTAAGAGAACATCAAGGACAATGGATGGCTGAGGGTTAAATTAATCTTCATCCCCTTCTAAGCTCGAGATTGTCTTTCTGAAATAATTTTCCACTCGTATCTTGGAGGGAATCTCTTTTTAATAAGGAAGTCCATTTCCATACATAGATATTCAATATATATTTGTAAAAGGAATTAATGTGTAAATTATGCCCCTTTAACCATAAAAGGATAGTCGCTATAGTGGACATAGCACACCACTTAACGTAATCACTCCTTAATTTTTACACTATCAAACCTGTATTTCTCTATTTAAAGAAAATAATTATTTATAAAATAAAAAATCAAAATCAGATGGATTGTGTCTATTCTTTTTCTTTCATTTATTCAATCTGATGAGTCTTTCGCTCAGTAGAAAATTAATTTAGTTAGCGCTTGATCTTCATGAAACAAGTAATTTTTTCCAAGCTCCTATTATTTTCAAGGATATTATGTATTTAAAATAACACCATGTCCTATTATAATTGCTGAAATATTATGTGTATAAAAACATAAATTCAAAATAGTAATATTAATCACACATATAGCCAGTTTTCTTAGAAATATGTAAGTTTTTAAAGGCCTCCTTTTTCAGCCAGCCCTAAGTGCAAAGGATATGATATATTTTTATGTCAATACTTTATAATCTGGAAAAATCAATAAATGATAAGGAATATGTGGAAAATATTTGAGAGTAAGCCTCCAAAATAATATCCTACATAATTAATTTAAAAGATAATAAAACATGAGAAAAATTAATATCAGTGTCATATTAATAAAATACATATGTGATATTATTTTGCATATTGTGTATATATACAAAATTTTTATAAAATGGCTTGTATAGTTTTTAAGCTTATAATTTAGGACATATGTTGACATAATTAATCTATGAGTGATAACTGATTTTCTTCTTATAGCATCCAAGGCATTAGTCCCACTTGCCATTTAAAAGTTATATTTCTACTAAAAGTAACCATTTTAATATATTGTAATACATTGTTTTTAATGGCATAAATTTAATAAATTTGCTTTTAAATGCCATTTACCAAATATATTCATTTATGTCATATCTTAATCTAAATTATTGAAGTTCAGAATAGTATTGGGTTTAGAAACTGGTTATCTTATTGCCCTTTCTATCCCTTAGCTGGCACACCTCTTCCCTTTAACCTGTTACAGGATGGATTGAGGATTAAATGAGAAAGTTTATGAAAACTGCAAGACTAGTGTCAAATTATTATATGTCAGTATTAAATATGATTAGATATTATGAGTTTATAAATTTAAATTACAGTAAGCAATATTATTTCTCTTAAAAACATTTAATGGCCCAATAATCAAACATAGAATCAAACAACATTCTCTGTGTGTATGTTTTCAACTATGTGCCCTGTAAATAGTAGTTCTCATAATAGAGGAGGTGTTTCAGAGAATGAATCAAGTGAACAGTTGCATCATTATATTGTGACAATCAATAATGTATTTATTTGATGTTTTATACTTCTGCTCAATATCCTGCATCACAATGATCAAGCAGTAAGTGTCAGTGTGTGTTTGCATGTGTGTGCATATATCCATACACAGTGTGCACTTCCATGGTGCTTGGGGTAAATGGATCTGTTTTCATATTCCTTACATTTAATGGGGAAAATAGAGGGAAGATATTTTCAGAATATAGGAGAAAAATAATGAAGTAGATAGTGACTGAGATTTGTGTTACTACTAGTGCCATGGCCTAGGGAGGTCTCATTTAATGGAGAGTATCTGAGATAAGATAATGTAATGAAAAAGAATAAATTATAAATTTATCTAGCCAAAAAAACCAATTGAGGTGAATGCAATGGCAAATAAAAATACTCTGAGGCTGAAATAAGTTTATTTTTTAAATTCAATATGTTTATTTTCCTTTTATTTGTCCTATGGCATGTCATTATATTTTATTTGTAATTTATTTTTCAGTGTTCTCTCTCTTCTTCCATTTACTTCTTTATTTTAATGCTTCATTAATGTTTCCTTTAAGGGTCCTCATAGTTTTTAAACTTGGTTTAGTCAATTTTATACTTCTTAGAACTTTTAAAACTTTAAATAAGTAGGTGCATGCCTAAGCAACATTGACTAAGTAAATAAACGTGCAGAGGAGGTTACAGTTCTTATTGTATGCATTCAGATCAATATAGGTAGCACATGTTTAATATAAGATGACTTAATATAAATTAAGAAAATTTATCAGAAAGGCATAGAATTCCTAAAATTATCATCCACCTGCCTGTCATCTATAAATGCTAACATCTATATGTTAATGAATGACATTTTTATGCAATCATTGTATACTTGCACACTCATTGACTGAAGTTACCATGTACCAACTGCACTTTGAGAAAATATATCTGAGAATTTCATATATTGTATTTCAGGCAGATTTTCCTCCCCATCACTAAGTACCAACCACACTTCAAATTCTGAAATTGTACAAGTGTATATAACCCAGGGAGTTTATACAATTTACTAAAAAACAAAACCAACAACCACAATTCAAAAAAAAAACCCCAAATAATATAAAAATATATGGTGAACAAAAATGGCTCAATATATGACTGATCATGATAACAAACTAGAAGGACTGTTTTGTAGCAACTGTACAAAAGGCAAATCTTTGCCTTTGGCCATCATTCCCTAAAGACCAATAGTTGTATCAAGAAACTCTGCTGTGAAAATTAATTCATTTAAATGTTCCTAAGAGACATTCCAAAAATCAAAAACAGATGGTCAGTGGTAACATTATTATTTTTTTCCTAATTATAAAGTTAGCTAATTAATAACAGTAACAACTTTAGTAAAAACATGACAACTACAATAATAGCTGCTTTCATTGAGCAGTCTCCATGTTCTGGGGACAGTGCTAGGCACTGAGTAAATTGCAAGAATTATCTTATTTAATCTTCATAAAATCTTCATGACATAAAATGCTATGATTCTCATTTTATAGATGTGGCAATTTAGAAATAGAGAGATTAAAATTTTTTCAGAGTAGCAAAGGCAGAGAATATTTGAACCCAGGTTATCTGACCCTAGAACCTTGCCACCTCCTCATCTAGTTCCAAGACATATGTATTCATTTTCAATCAAGAAATAATGAATCCATCAGATAGCTAACTTCTACAGGAATCTTGGCTGTATTACACACATTTTAATGTACATGTAAACAGTCTAAAATGTTTCCTTAACAGGTAAATTGAAAACGAATGAAGAGAAACAATAGAATTGGGGAACATGAAGTTGATAAATAAATGTACAAAAAACAAAGAGAAAGGAAAAAAGGAGGGAAAAGACAAGGGAGGGGAGGACAGGGGAGGGGAGGCGAGGGGAAGGAAGGGTAAGGGGAGGGGAGAGAAAGGGAGGGTTGGGGATGGGAGGGGAGGGGAGGGTTAGAGTAGGGGAGGGGAAGGGAGGGTTTAAGGAGGGGAGAGGAGGGGAAGGAATGGAAAGGAAAATGTAAAGAAAAAATGTGTGTCCTGTGGATGAAAATACAGTGTATTGATATAGTGTATTGACCTGTGACATTGAATTAGCAAACAGTGTTCTACACCAGAGTTTTTCCAAATGTGGGTTTAAAAAAAAAACAAAAAAACTCAGAATATAAAGTCTCACTGAGATGTACTAAATCAGAGTCTTTCAGTGTTAAAATCAGGATTGTACATTTTTAAAAAACACCCCAGCTAATTCTCTACGTCTTGAATTCAGGTTCCCTTCAACTCTCCAAAACAAATTATTTATTCATTATGAAAAAAATACTTATCCCTTTATGTAATACTAGGCCCTAAAAAAATTGGCAATCACCAAAATTTTAATTCCTGCCTCACTTGGTAATTTTAAAAACTATATGATTAAAAAATCAGTTGAAGATGCTGGGAAAACCGGATATCCATATACCAAGATTGAAATTAGACCCCTCTCTTACCACATATAAAAATAAAATCAAATTGATTAAATAATAAAACCTAAGACTTCAAACTATGAAACTGCTCCAAGAAAACATCAGTGAAACTCTCCAAGACATTAGTCTGGGCAAAAATTTCTTGAGTAATACCCCACAAGCACAGGCAACCAAAGCAAAAATGGACAAATGAGATTACATCAAGTTAAAAAGCTTCTGCATAGAAAAGGAAACAATCAGCCAAGTAAAGAGACAACTCACAGGGTGGAAGAAACTATCTGCAAACTAACCATCTGACAATGGATTAATAACCAGAATATATAAGGAGCTCAAACAACCTTATAGGAAAAAATCCAATAATCTGATTACAAAATGAGCAAAAGATTTGAACTGATATTTCTTGAAAGAAGACATACAAGTGGCAGACACATGAAAAGATGTTCAACATCATTGATTACCAGAGAAATGTAAATCAAAACTGCAATGAGATATCATCTCACTGCAGTTAAAATTGCTTGTATCCAAAACACAGGCAATTACAAATGCTGGTTAGGATGTGGAGAAAAGGGAACCCTTGTACACTCTTTGTGGGAATGTAAGTTAGTACAGCCCCTATGGAGAACAGTTTGGAAGTGCCTAAAAAAACTGAAAATAGAGTTACCATATGATGAAGCAATCTCACTGCTGGGTATATACCCAGAAGAATGGAAATCAGTGTAATGAAGAGATAGCTGCACTCCCATGTCTGTTGCAGCTCTGTTCACAATAGCCAAGATTTGGAAGCAACCTAAGTGTCCATCAATAGATTAATAGATATAGATAAAGAAAATGTGGCACATATACACAATAGAATGCTATTCAGCCATAAAAAAAGAATAAGATTTTGTCATTTGCAACAACATGGATGGAACTGAAGGTCATTATGTTAAGTGAAATAAGCCAGGCACAGAAAGACAAACATTGTATGTTCTCACTTATTTGTGGGATCTATAAATCAAAACAATTTAATCCATGAAGATAGAGAGTAGGAGGATGGTTACCAGAGGCTGAGAAGGGTAGTGGGAGGGTATAGGGGATGGTGGGGATGGTTAATGGGTAAAAAAAAAAAAAATCTTTAGAAGAATGAATAAGGTCTAGTATTTAGTAGCACAACTGGGTGATTATAGTTGATAATAATTTAACTGTACTTTTTAAAAATAACTAAAAGAGTATAATTGCATTATTTGTAACACAAAAGATAAATGCCTGAGGAAATGGATAGCCCATTTTCCATGATTGATTATTAACATTGCCTGCCCGTATCAAAGCATCTCATATCCCCCATAAATATATAAACCTATTATGTACCTACGAAAATAACAAATAAAACATAATATATATTAAAAAATTGGCCAGGCATGGTGGCTCACGCCCATAATCCCAGCACTTTGGGAGGCCGAGGTGGGTGGATCACAAGGTCAGGAGTTTGAGACCAGCCTGGCCAACATAGTGAAACACCGTCTCTACTAAAAATACAAAAATTAGCTGGGCCTGGTGGCATGCACCTGTAATCACAGCTACTCAAGAGGCTGAGGCAGGAGAATGGCTTGAACCTGGGAGGCAGAGGTTGCAGTAAGCCAAGGTGGCACTACTGCACTCCAGCCTGGGCAACAGAGGGAGACTCCATCTTGGAAAATAAATAAATAAATAAATAAATAAATAAATAAATAAATAAATAATCAATTGAGGTTATGTGATATAGTAGAAAGAACCCCAAAATTAAGTTAGAAATGTTGTGTTTAAGACATACAGCTTTGCTTTCTGCTAGATGCATGACATCAAGAAAGTTAATGTATGTCTGACATTCAATTTGCTTATATTTGAAGTGACAATAAAATGACACACTGTTATAGGATCATAAGAAGCAATGTGTGTTAATATGCCTGCTAACTTTAAAACATTATTTAAACATGTGTTATTATTAAATGAATTTGGAAGATAAGTTTACCTTGACATGCATACAATTTCATTATTTTGGCAACAATTGTACATTAACATATAGGGTCCAATTCCTTTAGTCAGTTTTCTAACAAGACTAAGGTTTCACTTTCTTTGGCTCCCAAATTTCTCTCCAAAAGAAAAATCTCTTAATTCAAATGGACAGAATATATCCAAAAGGAAAAAGGAAGAAAAAACTGGCACATTAAAATGGGGGAATAAAAAAACCTACACCAATGTTTCACATCAAAAGAATTTATTTCAGTTGAGATACAGAAAAAAATTAAAATTGCCTCTAGTTTTTATGCCACATGAAAAAAAAAAAAGGCAGAAATGGTAGTGTCATTTCTCTTTAGCTCCCAAGAGCAGATCTTGCACAGTGCACAGTTTTTTGCGTCCTCTGAAGTCACCAGGAGTTCTATATAAGGAGTCCTTAGAGGGGAAGCCAGAGACAAGTATCTGACTTTTTGTCACTTCCTGTTCCAAATTTTGTGTACAGTATAATGAAAGTCCATTATAAAGTGGGGGATAAGACACATGATTTACATCCAAATTATACTTGGCTGCACTACCATAAAAAGATGTAGCAATTCAGCTATATTCTGTTGCAATGACTGACAATATTTTTTCTTTATCACAATCCCTTTGATGCTTATTAGAAATAATAATAGATGGTCACAATAACTTTCCTTTTCATTATTTCATTACTTTGGTAAGGATGTCTGAGTGCTTGCATATTTTGTGATAACACACTTTTCCTTCTTCTGATCCATCTTTGTCCCTTCTTTCAGAATACATGGGTATAATTTCTTCATCATTCATTTTGTTGAATATGATTTCAATTGTCATGTCAATAGTAAAATATAAATTCCTTCATCCTGAAAAGAAATGCTTGTTTCAGTAATATATTTTCCCCAAGAAGTTTAATATTAATGAGAGAACCTGAATTTTTCCACACCAAGCTGACAGATTGTGTCATAGATTTCTATGTGAAATTTTCAAGAAATATAGCACTGGAAGACAGCAGTACATAGCTCAGGGCAATAATAAGTCATAAATGGGCAGCAACAATGTTGGTCTAAGGAGTAGATCAGTGTTGTGCTTTGGAAAAACATGACCTTCATTTTTTTGTATCTTGTTGTCAGTCTGAAATGAAGAAAGTAAATGTTGACCAGTGATAAAGCAAAAATAGATAGTCCTCTCCGTTTTCATATATGCCTTTGGAAAATGAGTATATGAAATGATGATAGAAAATAATCAACAATTCATCTAGTCAATTACCTTTATAATTGAGAGTGTTTTATTTATTTTGCCTGCATGAAAAGTAGTTGGGAGATAGAGAGAGAGAGAGAGAGAGAGGTCCACCAACAAATTAATAGTTATTACCCATTCAGTGGCAAAAAATTAAGTAATATTTTTATTAATTTTCAACTAATTTATTTTTCCACATTTTAGTTTGTTTTTATATTAATAATTAATGAAGACTATCATTGTCACTTCTTTACATATTCCTGAATACCTCACCAATAGTATAAAACATTTTGAAATTTTATAGTTTGTTGAGTTCAGAGCTTTAATTTCATGATCGAAGTTGAGTTTGTCACCAAATCTGCCTTTTCACTAAATCACACATTCATTGTTCCTCTAAAAGTTTATGTACAAACACTTTGTACAAGGCTGCTCTATTTTCCTTTCTCAATTACTCTTTTACCATTTACCTGAATCAACAATTATTTAAGTTTCATAATCTACTCTCCAACTATCACATTCTCTGTTGTTGGTTCATTACCATTCCCTTTGTGAATATGATTTTCCTTTTCTACAAATTGCACTAATCATTGTAATCCTTGAAAGGACCTCTTGTTTGACGGGAATATGAAATTTCATTTGTCAAAACCATACTACAAAGGAGCAAGACAACTACCAGGAATATGATCTGGCATCCAGAGATATCGTTAATCTTCCCAGGGTTCCCAGGGCTCCCAGGCTTCTAAACTGCAGACTTACTACACTGAGGGCTGTATTCACGCTATGCTTTAATACAGAATGATTTTTCCATTACCTTTTTGAAGATGTTGCAATAGCATTTAAGTAATTAATAGGTTCTGTGAACTTTGATGGATTTACTACACCTGAGAAGTTTTCACCTGGAAAGTGTAACTACAAGAGGCTTGAGTCATGTGAACTGCACCAAAATAAGACTGAGCTTCATTTAATACTCATTATTACCCCTGAATCAGAGTACTGTTTGTTTTGCAGTGAATGCAACTGTTTAGTAGAGATGGAATTATCTTTAAAATTGAGAAACTTTTCTGCCACAGTGGTAGAATGCAGTATATTCTGACCTTTGTAGATAGAACTGATTTTATTAAATACAACTGGAATAGAGATATGTATAGATATATTGATCACCAGACTTATAAATCTATTTATTTGTATATCATCAATCTTCATGCACTTACCCAAAAAGAATACTCACACTAGTTTATGAAAGCAAGACTAATTATGATAAAGTTTAGTTCTAACTGTCCAGGATGTAAAATTCACTCGTATAAATAATGATTTTAAGAAAATATAAACTGTATTAATATAGGGTTTATTAAATTTGCTATAGCATGTAAAAGTTAGTAACTAATGGACTTAGCGAAAACATTATCTTTACATTCAAAATCAATCCTTAGGCTATTGAATTGGAGGGGAAGGAGAGAAAAGTTCTTTACTGAATAGGTTACACTTCATATTGTTGTTTTCACAAGTATTGTTACCAAAGCTACAAACTCTGATTTCACAACCCCTGTACATATTTATTGATCATCTTGCTTTTGGTAGTTATACAATACATTACATTCAAGTAATTCAGATGTCCAAAACAAAAGCAAATAGGTTTCCAAAAAAGCTTCACCTCAATTAGGAAGCAGAAGGCCTACCAGATTATTTTATTTTTCTTTAGAAATAAATAACAACATAGATAATCCATCTGTGATCTTAGTACTCTGACCATCAGATAGTAGACTTTTTTATCTGTTAATGAGTTAGGAGCTAACTCTGATAACCTTGTTGTTATTAATACCAAAGACCAAAATCCAGTCAGTATAAATATCTGTTTATAGAGGAGAGAGAGAGACTAGCTAAAATATTATCCCTCATAAAAACATAGTTGACAATGAAATCTATGACAAATCAACATGTCTCCTCATTTATAAAGCTTTGCTGCTAAAAGGTGCAAAATATATTGGGTATCTAAAATGTGATAGAAATAATGAAATACAGATTTGGGTCCTGAGGAGGACTAGAAAGATGATTTTTTTTAAGGAGCTGATTGCTAGACTCCTTAGTGATATGCACTATAGACAGATAACAGAAAAAAAAAACAATAATTTTTACCTTCTTTTTAAATAGGAAGATACCTTTTTGTTTATACATATTTTGATGGTATTTTATTTTGCAGTTTCAAGTGTTATGTTTTATTATGAAATATACCATTACACTTTAAAAAGTACATTGTTTGGAGTTCACAGTGAGCCCAGCATTTTCTAGATTAGATCAATGCTGAAACCAAATATAACAAGAATCAGCTAAACCTGGGCATTGATTTGACATCAACCTTAGCTTTTGATATTTCTTTCTGTGATCTGCCTGCTTCTAAAAATTCTGTGCTTTAATCACCAGAGAGCATGGGTTGGAAAGACTCATTTAGATTTAAGGAACTTTGGCTTTTAGCAGTTATATTGGCAAAATAAGTACCAAGATTGCCTGATAATGATTATGTCTATATGTGAACACTATCATCATTTTTTCTCACTTGAGAAATAATTTAACTCCAACTGAAGGATTGAAGGATTTTTTAATAGATTCCTTTATTTCAAAGCTTAAATGAAACAAGGATAAATAAAAAAGATCATTATTTAAACAATGCTTTGATGGAAATAATAGAGAAACATTCTTTCATGTTGGAAAAATAGTTTAGAATTGAGTCCCTTGTAACTCAACATTTATCATTTTCATTTATTTAGTGAGTATCATTTAAGTAATAAGTCCTAATACCTAAAAGGTTCATAAAAATTCAAAACTTTTTTAAACAATAAATAATTTACTTTTTATCACTATGTGTATGGTATTTTTTTTAATTCCCACTAGCTCAACAAAGAAACTAAAACACTGAGTAGCACAATGATGGTTAGAATTCTTTTAAAGAATCAGTGAAGGAAAATAATGTCTTCATTCTCAATTGATAACGCCTAAGTTGTATTTACCTGGGCCCAGCAGAAACTTGTTTGATATGCCTCTGACAACAGTTTATTACCATTTTCTTTAAAAAGATAAACACAATATTAATACCATTACATTAAATAAATATATTTATAATAATGAAAGGAAAATGTTTTACTTATGAATTTACATAATACATTGCTTAATATATTGATATTTGAACACTGTTGTGCCTTACAAAGGTTTCATTTACCCACTGAAATGAAAACGTTCATAATGAGCATAAGCTGATACAAATATTTTACAGAAAGCTAAATATTTTATAGCATCTACATTTGTTGAAATTTAAAGAGGCTATAATAGAAGAACTTTTGGACAAATATAATCTAACTGCTTTATTATCTAAATCTCGGTCTTTGATAAAGCTCATTTCAAATGTATGACTCTAACACATTCAAGTATTCAGTAAATTGAAATGAGGCAACGGACTCATATGAATCCTGCTAGACTCATTATTGATGACAAAAAAGGGAAGTTAGAGATGTAATTATGTAAAGGATTTATCAACAAGATAGCTGCATTATCAACAGTGCAATGATCTTGACCAAGAAGATACACTAGAAGACATTTTTGTTCTCCATGTTCTTATTCTTTAGGTTTCTTGCCAGTTGGTTTGCACTGGAGACATGTTACTAACTGTGTATATATGATGTAGACGAATGTATGAGAAAGTGCAGGGCTTACTAGAGTGGTAACCATCATGCTGTTTCCTGTCAATTCTAGAGCTATGCAATGCATAGAGCCTTAAGGGTATTTTAACTTTATACAATTTTATTTCATTATTTTATAACCTAGCACTACTAAGTAAGAGCAGTACTGTGGCCTCCCTGTTCTGCCTAGCTATTACCATGGTCATATTACAAGGATGATTTTCAAAATGTTTAAAAACTTACAGCACTGACACCAACCAATTGCAACAGATATCAGACTTTTCACCACATGATGCAGATGCTTTACCAAGAGAATATTAGAAGAATATCATAGTGATACAGGTTGCTCTTTATGCAAGAAACTGGGAATTGTAGGTGAGAAAACACGTAAAGGAAACATAGATCTCTCAATTATCTGTCAAAATCAAAAGTCCAAAATAAAGTTGTTTCCTTTTTTGAGACAGAGTTACACTCTTGTTGCCCAGGCTGAAGTGCAATGGCGTGATCTCTGCTCACCGCAACCTCCACCTCCCGGGTTCAAGCAATTCTCCTGCCTCAGCCTCCCTAGTAGCTGGGATTACAGGCATGTGCCACCATGCCTGGCTAATTTTGTGTTTTTAGTAGAGATGGGGTTTCTCCATTTTGGTCAGGCTGGTCTCGAACTCTCGACTTCAGGTGATCCGCCCACCTTGACCTCCCAAAGTGCTGGGATTACAGGCATAAGCCACTGTGCCCGGCCCAAAATAAAGTTTTACTATAAAAAAATCATAGAAAGCAACAACAGAAAGGTATATATTTTCCGGAGAGAAATAACCCCAAGTTATTGCCTTATCTCCTGACTGACTTTACATTCGTGCACTCCATAAAGATAGCACAATGTGCAGATTTTCATAGCCATCGCCAGTGTGATACTTTCTTTGCAAAGTAATAGATTTGCCACTTGGGCCAGGCTCTTTGACTTGGTTACTACAACCATATGTGGAGTCTCTACCTCTAGGGTACATTTTTAAAGTAGCAAGATTCTAATTCTCCATTCCCTTGAAGGCATCGTTTGTTTGGAACATAAGCTAAAACTATTTAAATAAGCAATTTAGAGTTGTAGTTTCAAGTAAAAATGGCAAAATTTGATACAGGGGTGTCAATTTATAATACATATTTCTTAAGTACTCTCCAAATCCCTCAGCAGTGCTCTGTGAATGTTGTAAATTCAAAGCAAAGAATTAAATAGCAATTCTGAAAGCTAATAAGGTATCAGGTAAAACACCAACTAATTATAGAACATGGGGCTGACAACGCAGTATCAGGTGTGGTGTGCTTTTGTAATGTTTAAGTGGCTTTACTGAAACATTATTCAAAGTTCTAACAATAACATTAAAAAATAGTAACCATGCCCTAAATCTATTCGGTTTTTACTTGAAGAATAATGTTTCAATTACAGATTAAACTTTAGTAGATGAATCACATTTCTTGATGCATAAGAACTTTTTAAAATATTAATTCCAAGCATTTCTTCAAGTTTTAGAGTTATACTAGTCAAAATATGCAACCCTAGGTGGCTTAAGGTATTGGTTACTTTCATCTCCTTACATTGCTGGATAAATGTAATCAAGGTTCCCACTCGTCTATTTTCTAAGAGAGACTGACATTGCCGAAGCTTACTTTATATGGTTCGGAAGTCTACACTTGAAATGGCTCATATTTATAATCCTCTGGAAAGAAAAAGGATTAATTTAGAATGCAGGTGTTAATGTGTTTGGACCATGCCTATGTCTCTACTTCTGTGATACTTAACACATTTATTATTAGTCATTTTATGACTGCTCCTATTAATATGCAACAACACTATGCCAAGATCAGCACCTTTCTTTCCATTTCACTCTTGAAAGGACTGAGATATACTGTAAAGAAAGAGGAAACTTACCTATCTGCTATTAATGTTTTCTGTTCTTTTAAAAGAATACTTCAGATGCCTGGAGTATTCTTGCACTTACCACAATCGCTGCCTTAGCTTAATAAAAAAGAATAATTTTATTAGTTTTTTTCATTATTTCCATATATCATGTTGAATATTGATATTACAGCAGTCAAAATAACTGTGAAGTGTTTCCCTTGATATCTTGAATCTCAGTAGAAAGTGATTTAACCCTGCCTTTGCAGACAGACCTGAGTGATAGAGCCTGAATATATCTGGTCAGGCCTCAAACAGCTATATCTACATAACCTAGAAAAATAATTGTTGGAGGCAGAGTATTGTTAATGTCCTATAATTGACTTAGAAGGTTAAGTGACCTCTTAAAAGAATGTGAACTTATGAATTAAGCAGTTCTTTTACTCTCATGGGGCAGTTTATTCGCCAAGAAGAAGTAACTGTTAATGAGCTCCCTAGCTAGCAAAAGCTAGATGTAAAGTATGTACAACTTCAGAATGCCTAGTACTTCATACAGTAACAACAAAAGTTAGGTGTTGAGTTCATTCAGATCTTAATGGATCAAAAGAGAATAAGGGAAGCTTGTTTTAAAAGCTGAATAGCAACAAAATTATTTTGGAGTTTTGTATTCATGATAATTATTATAAATATAAAATTTTTAATGCCTTTAAAGTTTTCACACAAAACATGGAAAATTTTGAACTTTTTAAAGTGGAAATTCATTATTTCTTCTCTACCACAATTTCCCTTGGAATTTGAAGGTACTCAAATCCCATGTTAAAATATTATTAGAATAGAAATTGTCATTCAAGGACGGAATTGGTTTTAATTTAGTAAATAGAAATTTAGCACCCACAATGAGTTAAATTCTGTGCTATGCACTAGGGACACAATGATAAAGAAACTGTGGTTTTGTTTGATGAGGTTTTTTTTCCTCCCATCAAAGAGCTTCCTGTCAAGTGAAAGATTCAATAACTCAGTAGAGTCAATGCCAAGAAGTAAATGCTGTGTTGTGGTTATACCAAGGAAATTATGGAAGTCAGGCCCACTTCTTTTCCTCTACACAGATTGGATCAGCATGAGTGATATCACTCTTAGTTGCTTTTGTTTTAATGTGGACCTTTGGGCTGGGAGTTATAGTCTAACGAGGACTAACTTTTCACTACTCAAGTACAGAGCATATACTTAGCCATGGGTTGGACTGTCATTTCTTCCTGGAGTTCCTAATCATATAAATTACAAAGACAAAGTTTTTTTTTAAAGCCTAATAAATCAAAGAAAGGAGCATGGTTGGCTGAGTCAAAGGTTTGGCAACAGCAACCACTATGAGTAGGAAACTGAATAAAAATATTAAATAGCCATCTGCTAAAAAATAATAAAAATATATTTGTTTCATGCTTAATATGTTTAATAAAAATATATTTGTTTCATGCTTAATATGTTTAAAAACAAGGTCATGAATTAGATATCGTGTTCAAATCCAGAACTGTGGAAGGAATACAAGAGTTGGATGCAGAATTGCTAGCTGTTCTTTTTTTTTTTACTTTTCTATATTTCCTGTAAGAGGTACATTGAAGAGCATCACACTGCTTGATGGCATCCTCTAGGACTAGATGACTGGTCTACTGAGGCTGAGGCATCAGATAGCAGAGAATCAGAAGCATTACTATGACTCTTCTCAATGTCTGATTTCTGAACCTTCCACTGCTCTAATATAGTTTATATATTTCCAATGTAGTTCTATATAGTTCAGTGTTACTTAAAGTATAATCTTGCAGCCTCATGAGAGACCTTGTTAGAAATACAAATAATCAAGTCTCACCCCAGACTTAATCAGAATCTTTCCTATATGGGCCCTGCAACTTGTATTTTAAAAAGCCCCCAAGGTGATTCTGATCCTTAAATTTGAGAAGCATGACTATCAAAGGGTATATGATCCTAAGAATTTATTTGGTAAGAGCTGAATTTGGTAAGAGCAACAGATTTGGGTAAGAGCAATACTTAAATGCTCCAAAACCATTTCTTATGGTGACCTTTTTCTCTCAGGCTAGTGTATACACAAGCACAAGTATTTATTTGGAAGGAATAGGAGCTACAAGAAGTGGTTTTGGAGCACTTTAGTGTTGCTCTTACCCAAATCTGACCCAATTCAGCTCAGGATATTACTATATAAAGCCTATTAAAATAGTGATAGTTTATTTCAAATATAGGAAATTATATAGAGTCTTTTGACATAATGGGATAGCCAGATGAGTAATAGAATTGGAATAATTTGTCCAAAAAAAGTAAAAAGTAAAAAGAAATTTAGGAAATAGAGAAATTGATGATTAATTGTGGAAAGCAAGAACTTTCACAAATGGCAGAATAAATTCTTAGAACCGTATACCCTAAATACTTTTTTGGAACGAACAGAGGATATAACATTATTCATATATATAAACACGCACCTTTAGAAGCAAATGAACATTACCAAGAAGATAAAGCACCAATAAATGCTCAAACTTCTGTATACTTCCTTTAGGAATCAGGAACATAGAAGATATAAATGACACCAAGCAAGAAAACAAAGCCCAATGATAATCTAGTTAGACAAGGCAAATCTATGCATACTTTTCATTCATTTAGGAAAGATCCAGCTGTCTCTTACTATGCACCCAGCACCATGCTAATTTAGAGAGAGAAAGCAGTGAAGCAAACAGGAACAATTCTTTCTCTCTTCAATTTTAGAGCCTTGTCACTGAGGCAGACATTGTAACAAAACAAAATAAAACCAACCCCCCTCCTCCCTATACCTCCAAAGTACACACTAGGTTATAGGCTGACGGCAGGGGGACCAGGGTTTGTATTTTTGCTCTATCATTGACTAGCTCTTTAACCTTGGACAAATCACATCTTTAAGCTTCAGTGTCTATAATGAAAGGTTAATAATAGACCTCAGTATTCGAGTTATTGTGAAGATTAAATGATTCATGATAAATTGCTGACTCATTGACTAGCACATAGTAAGTATTTAATGTTAATATTTTACTGTATAAGTAGATATGCTGTGTTAATTGAAAGAAAAACACAAGGTGTTTTGAGAATATATAACCAAGGAATCTAATTAAGATTCCATACAAATAGTGCAATCTTATACTAAACTAAAACTACCCAGTTTTCTGTATACTTATGCTTTCTGTAAACTATATGGAGTTGAGGCTTCCAGGGACTCTATGTGAGACTGCCAGCTTTGGTTTTTCTAATCTGACATTAGTAAGGTAACACTGAACGATTTACCCTAGTTCTGAAGCAGAATCGTAACATAAAGGACTGCCAGTATGTCCCCTGGTCTTGTTGGCTGGAAATGTTATTTTCATACAACCATTTTCATTTTTAGTCGAGCAGCATTGAAACTTTCCAGATTCCTTGCTGTTTGGCAAATGTTTTAATTGGTTATATTTTGCTACCCTGGGCACACTATTAGACAAAATTGCAACAAAAGACATCAATAAAAAGCAGAAAGCTTCAGATTGTTAAAATCGTGAATGTTATTAATACTATTAAAATGCTAATTGCTGTTTAGAGGAGATTCAGTTGCAATTCTAAAGGAGGAAATGCTTAGGCTGCAGGATCTGAGGCATGGATTGTTTGTTCCCTAAAGGGGAGAAAATTCACTTTTGTTTAATTTATAGGAACAAGAAGGCATTCCAAGGAGGTACACTGAAGTGACTGTAGACCTCCTAGGGTCAGAGCCACCTTCAGCTTCACCCCCACCCTAGGTGGTCCTTAATTGCCACTACAGACTGCCTGGCTGGAACTTATTGTTTGCACTGCACATGACCTTGGATGAAAACTAGAGCGCTATGAATTAATCCCTGTAATATTTTGTGTTTAACATCTGTGTTGTCACCAGCTATTATTCAGAGGACAAGAAAAAAAAATAGCCAGATCTATCTCCTATTACATTTTTTTTTAAGTCTACACTATTGTTTCCCAAGGACTCCCTAAATGGATCACCTATAAATGAGTGAATCCATTCATTTTCTTTATTTTCTGAAACAAAAGTCTACAGAATTTAGGGGATAATACCAAAACCAAATAAGACTATTTTTTCAATAATAGGAATCCCCCAGATATCTGTTTCCTCTATCTATATTGCTATCATCTGTCTTTTCTTTTCCAGTATCTGTTTTAAAATAGGGGAGGATTCCAAAGCACATATATCAAAATAAAATGATTTCATGTATCAGTTACGGCTTTATTCATTGATGAAATGTAGTCACCACAGGGAGAAATGTAGCAACAACTTAGCATCCAGAAATAATACAGAACACTGTGCTGCATTAAATGAAAAATACCTGCAAGAGGAAGTGAGTTAATAAAAATTCAATTACTCAAATGGGAACTTTTCCAAGACCCCAGGGTTAACACCTAGATTAAACTCTCACTCTCACTCTCTCTCTCTCTACACACACACACACACACACACACATGCACACACACACACCTGGCTTTATTAGTTGTCAGAAGTGTTTAAAATACTCCTTTTCCTTTTATATAAATACAAGAGATACATTTATGGCTAAAATAGTTTTTATATCATCAAGCTGAGAACTAGTTTTACATAGGAAGCTAACAATAACAACAATAATAATCACAAGGATTAGAAAGAAAATGACAAAGTGTGTTGGACACGACACAGAACATTTGAAGGCAGACCCCAACACTAGGCTGTAAAATTAAGTAATGAACAGTCACTGTAGAGGGCAGAGTGACTCACAGAAGAGTCAGATCTTTGGTCTTTGATTTCATAGCTCCTTCTTAGATCTTCTCTTAGAGGTTATGGAAAGGAATGATCATCTTGTGAGGCTATTTAGGGAATCTGAACATAAAAGAAAATAGAGTTACAGATGGGTGTTAAGAGACCATTTTACTCTACTTCAATAATGTGAAAAACAGAGTAATTAGCATGGAGAAAAAAATAAGTAAATATGAGCCTAGAATACATCCTATACAGAACTTGAAATATTTTTATAGCCCTAATGTGTACTGAACTTATGTGGAGAGAATAATTTCAGAATGATATATTTAGTTGGGGAGCCACACAAACTGGGCTCTCTTAGATGCTAACTGATTATGGGAAGCAAGAAGTGAGCAGCATGGAAAAGAAATGGTAAGAATTTAGTTGGAGGAGGAAGACATCTGGAGGTTCGGCCCCAGTTAAAAATTCATAGGCAAATCCTGCTGGAAAGGGAGTTAGCAGTTTAATGAATAAGTTATTATCTAAACCCCAGGAGGTTAAATGTTAACAGAAAGGACTTCAACAATGATGTCTTAAGTGCTCCTAACTAGACACATAATGTTTAGTGTGCTGCCATTTTTTCTGAGTGTTAGTTTTAAATAGACTATTGACAAATTACAGATTTTTTTCACGTATTGAAATTATATTCCAGATGATTTTGAGATTTACTGGTATAATATTCTCCTCATGAGGTAGGATGGAAGGGAAGAAATAGAGAAAAAATGTTCTGCTCTGAAATAAATGTGGTGTTTCCTGACAGCGTTTGTCAAGGTAAGGTGTTGTCTTTAAAATGGGACATCTAGTTTCAATTTACATTATGCTTATTTCTAAGACTTCTATTTTTTGAGTTTTATGAGTAGATTCTGCTTTTCTCTATCATTTATTCAGATTATGACCACATGTGGCACTTTCTTGTATGGAGTGGTGAAAGTGGGGAAGGAAGAGAAAAGATATTTTACAGTAATGTCATATAGTAATCCTGTTAAGATTGGAGTTTATGAAAAAAAACACGAGATAAAACATTATTGTGATATTTCTTATATCAAAGTAGAATTTTCTTTCCCTCAATTATTTTTATGTTTTAAAAATGTTTTTCCCTCTTTTTGTCAAAGGCAGCCTCAATAATAGTTATCATATCTCAGTGTTTATGTTCTTAAGGCTTTCAATATTATTAATCAATCTTTCTATTTTTTTAGTAGATCACAAGTTTTAAAGAGTGTATTTTAATATAATACTCCTATTATAGGCCTATAAAATATTTAATTAAGAGAATATAATTTTCTTACTACGTTTCTGTGATTATTCATACCCCGCTCCCTCTTCCCAGAACACTTACTTGCTCCATTAGATTCTTACACAGGACCCTTTCTTTTTCCTATCGTAATTCCCAGCATAATGTGTTATCTCGCAGCCACTTTTTCAAAGTATATTTCCTTAGACTTAATTAGATTAAGAAAAGAGCAGTAACTAAGGCTTCTACCTCTTAATGAAAGCTTCCTTAGCTTTACAAATACCAGGCCAGATCTCTGAAGTTACTGTTTGAAAAGGCCCGATTCTAAAGCACTTTTATCCACATTTGACTCTCTTGAGGCATTTGTTTTTTCCACTTCAACTCACTTAATTGCACATGTCCCCAGTCAGACTGCCTAAAGAGAATGACTGTGTCTATCTTGGTCAGTTTTTACCCCAGCACTTAACACAGAGTCTCAAATAATGCAGGCAAACAACAAATATTTGTTATATTAATTCAGATTCTATATAACGTAGAAAGCAGAATCAATCATCAACGTAATAGATTCTGCTTAATTATAAAGAAATAATTTAAAATAACAATAATAATGATGATGATAGTTAACATTTATCAAATCTTCCCTAAGTGCCTCAGACTTTTCTAACCATTTTGTACAGATTAAGTATCACAAGTCCAAGAGGTAAATGCTATTTTAAACTTTACTTTATAGAGGAGAAAACTGATCACAGCAAGTTTGAGGACATAGTCTTTAGTCAAACACCCAGTAAGGGGTAGAGGTGATACTGACACTGTGTTAACACTTTTAAGCCTCTGACATTTTATTTGTAAAGCAGCTGCTTAATATATCTAAATAACTAAACCTCCCTTGCATTCCTTTTACTACCTATCATGCAGTTACTAATTCAATAAGATCTTTATTATGCCTTAATATTCTATATTTCTCTTCCTAATTTTCTTTTAGAGAAGTGAACTGTATACAAATGAACTATCCTAATCATTTTCAAGTTATTATGCATGCCCCTACTCATTTGTTAGAAAACTCTTTTCTCTTAATTATCTTTTCTCACAATAAATTGATTAAAGCTCATATTATACATATTAGTTTCTTAATTTCTTCCTGCTAAGATTAACCCATGATTATTTGAGAAACCTTCAGATTTGTCCTTGCAAACTTGAACTGCCTCTGGTTAATTGGTTCCTTCTACAGTTCTTCCTTTCTACCACTGACTTGCAGTTACCTCCAGTTATTGAGCAGCTACTTACAAAGTTATTTGATATTTGAATCCCTCTTTTCTAGAAGACATGCAATCTGTTACGCTTTAATTAGCAGGATTATCCTAGGCTATACCTGTCTTCTTCACTAACAGAATTTCTACCTCATATTACTTCTGATTATCAACAACTGGCTTTCTTAGCATCTAACACACTGGAAATTCTGTGTGCTTGATCCCATTTTTAACAGTGCCAAATTTAAATCAAATGTGGTTCATGTGGCAAGGATATTTATTTTTTCTATTTTTTAATTAGTTTTATGCTTTCAGTAACTAGTAGATCAAGATGCATTTCATACCCCTTAGAAACCTGTAGTTTCTGTATGGTAGAAGATTTAAATAACATTGTTATTTAGGGAGATGTGTTTTTGTTTTCTGACTGATTTTTTCTCCTCCAAATCATAAAGGCTTTGTAAATCACTCTCAACATTTTATGAAAGTGACTTGCAAAATAAGATACTTAAATGTAAAATCTTAGTTGTCAGCCATCAGTAAAATAGGCTGTATTGGCTGGGGTCACTCAGTTGCACAGTGTCATCTGGAAGTGAAGAATCCTTGGAAAGTTTTCTCTACTATCACCAAAAATTTTGGAAATCCATATACACATTCCTGATATTGATACAGATGGTCTTCCCAATAGTAAGGTATTTTACTTGAGACATTGAAGATTTATCTTGTTCTTTATAACAGTATAGATTGCTTAATTCAGCCAAGATATTTCAAAAGTTGGAAATTATATTTCCTCTATACCTGACCCAACAATATATTTGTAATTTTGAGTGACATTTTGTTTCTTACACATGAACTGACAATGCATCTTCTGATCAGTAAAGAATGCTAAATTGTGTTAACCAAATGCCCTACATGTTAAATCTATTTCTAATTTTCAAAACAATTTACAGTGTCTACTACTTTTAATTCTAAATATGTAAAATGCTCTAAAAATGTACGTTAAACACTCATCACTGCTTCTAAAACCTGCCTCCATTGATAGCAACCTGATCCATTTCACTATCATTGTTTTCCCATATTACTAGTATGATAACTAGTTGCCTTATTATACCCATGATGTATTCCCTGCAGTCTGTTCTCAACATAGAAGTCAAGTGAGTTCATCCCTTCTTTGCTCAAAACCCTAAGGGCTTCCTATCTGAGTAAAAGAGACAAATTCCTTTTGATGACAAGATTATTTTTAATCTATTCTTCCATAACTTCTTTGACTTCACCTTCTTCTAATTTCCTACTTACTCTTCTCCAGTGCCATTGGCTTACCTGTGCTATTTTTTTTATTCCTTTTCTTTTCTTTTTCTTCTTCCTCTTTTTTCTTTAATAAAAATAAATACAGACAAAATTATTTTCCCTTGTTTTTATTTCTGTCTAGAATGTTGCTCCCCTCAGGGGGCTCACTTCCTCTCCCACGATAAGAGAGAAAAACAGGAAGGGTAACTTGGAAATAAGTTAGTTTTAGAAGCTGTGAACATCTAATTTTTAATAATCTAGGATTGAATTACGATAGATATTTCTTAATACACAGGATTATTTTCAATATCAGTCAACATGAACATTTGAAAATAAATGCTTGATGTGATGTATAATACAGACCATCCTGCTTAATATGCACACTAATCCCCTTCTAGTATGTTTTCTTCTGCTGAAAAGACTGGAAAGATTTTTTTATTTTTATATTTTTTTTGAGACAGAGTCTCGCTCTATTGCCCAGGTTGGAGTGCAGTGGCGCAATCTCGGCTCATTGCAGCTCACTGCAACCTCTTCCTCCAGGGTTCAAGCTATTCTCCTGTCTCAGCCTGGCTAATTTTTAAATTTTTGTTATTTTTTTTTAGATGAAGTCTCGCTCTGTTGCCCACATTGGAGTGCGGTGGTGCAATCTCAGCTCACCACAACCTCCGCCTCCTGGGTTCAAGCGTTTCTCCTGCCTCAGCCTCCCGAGTAGCTAGTATTACAGGCACACACCATCATGTGCAGCTAATTTTTTTATTTTTTGATAGAGACAGGGTTTCACCACGTTCGCCAGGCTGGTCTCGAACCCCTGGCCTCAAGTGATCCACCCACCTCGGCCTCCCAAAGTGCTGGGATTATAGGCGTGAGCCACTGCGCCTGGCCACTAATTTTTGTGTTTTCAAGTAGAGATGGGGTTTCTCCATATTGGCCAAGCTGGTCTTGAACTCCTGACCTCAAGTGATCCACCCCCCCTCAGCCTCCCAAAGCGCTGGATTACAGGCGTGAGCCACCGTGCCTGGCCAAGATTTTTTTTTTAATGCAATGTATAGTTTCCCTTATAATTATGGTTTTGGAAGTAAGACTTCGATTTAGAGCTTCATGGAATGAGAGGCAGGACAGAAAGTGTCCATTTTTGCTGCTGGAGAGTGTAATATTGGTGTGCAGTTCTGGACTAGCAAATATAGTTGAAATGTCCCAATTCTATAGTTAGCCTTCTGATTCCACATCTTGCCTAATCATGGTTGGCTGAGGCAGCAGTCTCCTTGATGGTCAAGTTCTAAAGTGTGCCTTTGTGACTAATTGCCTGTGATAAGTCCCTTTGTCTTTAAAGTAGAACAGATTTTGTTCTCTGTGACACTGCGGACTGAAACAGTTGGTGTGTTTTTTAAATTTTTTTTCTTAAAGTGCAGAAGATTGCATTATCTGTTAAAATATGCCTTAATCTTTGTGATCTGAACATGATACAGAACTTTGGGAATATGCCAGCATACAAAAACATTTTTGTTTAATCATGACATTTAAACTAACCCTCTACCAAGATAAAAGGAGAAAGTGATGTACTAGTAGAGCAGAAATCCACTAGATTGGTTCAAGTTTATATAGCATAAAGGAGTACTACCTTTTGTAACCTCTTTGATTTTTTTCTGCTTTTGAAGAAGGAAAGGTCGAAAATAAAGCACTGATGGAAATACATGATAAATAAGGTAGGTCTCATGGCTACACATCATGAAAAACTAAGCACAACATTAGAAAGAGGAAAATGTGTCAAATATATTCAGTTAACTATACTATGTTAAGATTAAGATATACTACTGTGCTGGAAACACAAAACATCAAGTATTTCACAATATGATAAAATCTTTCATCCCTGCTAGTGACTCAAATAAGTATGTGTTCCTTGCCATTTACAGAAAGGGCATGTCTTATTATTTCTCAATATTATGAGTATGTCAAATGCATCTTCACATATATGTTAATAAAATCTTGAGCAGGTCATCCTTTGGACAGTGATTCTATGTATTTTCACAATGGATATGCAAATGTAGTTATACATACATATATATGAACAATAAATACATATAAACAAATCATCATTTCATTATCATCATCATCATCATATCTTAGGTGTTTAATGGGCACCTATTTGCTTTGAAGTTCATTATGTAATGGAATTCAGGTAAAAAAGCAAATGGCTTCTCATTGTAAGCAGCTTGAAGTATATTTAAGAAAAGAAAACATAACATTTTTATTTTATGGTTTACTGGCTTACTCTCTACTACTCACCATCAGAAGTAACAGAACATAATTTAGCATCCTGGAAATTATATCTAAAAAAGATATTGCAGTAATCTATGGTGGGTATATATGATTTAGCAGAATCACCTGAGACTAAGACATGTGGATTTAATATAAAGTAAGATAAACTTGATATGATCATCAACAATGTAATGAAGTTTGAGGCTGAAATGCCAGAATTATAATATTTAAAACAAAAGATAATCATTTTATTGTAGTTAAATAATACATTTAGTTCTAAATATAAGACACACACATACACACACAGACAGATAGATGGATGGATGGATGGATAGACAGATAGATAGATAGATAGATAGATAGATAGGTAGATAGATAGATAGATATTCTCCTGGAATATTTTTAGGCAAGAAAAATAAGTATAACTAAAATACCTGAAACTCTGAAAGCTTGCTTTGCCCAGAAAAAGGAAGACGATGGTAGAAAGGATCAGGAAATAGTTGCCAGGTATGAAAGCAATTTGACATATTTAGTCTCAATTAAAAACAAATAACTTTCTCTTAGAGATGTCAAGAAGTAAAATATACTTAATCAAAGGATACCAAGCTATCTGTCAGAGGAGCTGTTCAAGCAAAATTTATTTGACAAGTGGGTTGAAATGATTCAAAGGAAAGCCCGACCTCTGAAATCTATCGGACCAAACTTTAATTTCCCTTTCAACATCAAAATACTATGCTTTTGAAACACACATTAAAATAAGCATACAAGTCAATAAATGCCAGTCACAGATAATTTGTAAGTGCTAAGAGAGTTTAGAGATGGTAGAGAAAATAACTTCTATGGTGGAAAAAAAGCCTCAAAAAAGTAATGGGATTTTAATTGGACCTTTAGGGGAAAAAAAGGAGTACATGTTGCAAACATTCCAATAAAGGGAAGACATCTGATCAAAGATAAGAAAAACCCAAATATGTGTAGAATTTTCAGGGGAAAAAAATGATAAAATATTCCATTTGTATAGTTTATACCAATTTTCAAAATTCAAAACAAACATTACACATTTTATTCTCATAGTGTCCCTGTAAGGAGATAATGTTACCTACACTGCAAAAAGAAATGAAAACTTAGGCTGGTCACAGTAAAACTGCAACTAGGACCTGTACTTTCTAACTTGCTTACAAGTGTTCATTCATTCTACTCTATCTTAAATGACATTCCATGGAGCAGAGTGTAATCTTCTTTTCATAGTAGATGTATATATGAGTCACATCTTGGAACTCGCAAAGAAGTTCTAAATTTTGAGCACTGTGTAATACATATTTATTGTCCCACAATTGAATATGTGTTTGCATGGGAAATATGTTTCTTTGAAGGTATTCTTTGAATCCAGTTATTTCAAAGACAAATAAATTATATGCCATTATGGCTTCCTTCATGTTGCATGTACAGCTATTATAAAATCCTCTTGTGTTAAAGTTAAAGCAATTCATATAGTAGTAGTTATTGTTGAACTTTTAAGATGCTATGCTTATTTTTGCTATGTGGAGGGAGAAAGTCCAAGCCTTCTATTTATGTTCCATCTCCCTGGAGCACCCATCCCCTTGTTCTTTTTGCCTGAATAACTATTATTCATCAAATCTTAGTTTAAATGTTACTTCTTCAGGGGAGTCTTTCTGAGCCCCTCTTAGAGATCTAGTAAGTTTCCCTTTTGTATGTTTTACAGCACTCTGTATTTCCCATTTGTAACATAAATCATAATTGTAACTAAATATTTTGCAGAGTTATGATTTGTTTAATATCCAATGTCCTGAAAGACTGAGTTCTAAGAGAGCAGGGACTTCTTTCCTCTACATCCCCAGCAACAAACACAACAACGTGCACCTGTAGACACCTAACTATTTTTGAAGCAAATGAACAAATGAATGAGTGCTAAAATTGAGTGAACCATTAAAAAAAAAGTGCTGATGATCTTTTAATTAGTAATTATTGTTAAGTGATAAGTTTCATTGCAGCATAATTTCTTATTTTTTTCTTAGAAGCTGTTTCTGTTGAAATTTAGTAAGATCCTCTTTTCAAAACAATAACAAAAATGAATATATTTCCCTTAGCACACTTTTCATAAGGTGACTCAAGAAATTGGGATATCCTGTAGAATATCAGGTACAGCAAGTGTTGGAATTATGCAGCAATCACAGGATGGAATTTTTGAAACATTTTTAGATGAGTGTAAAGAAAAGAAACTGAATGTGTGCTCCTGACACAGGAATAGGTATTTAATAAAATAAACATAGTTTATAGATCACATGAGGCCTTTCTGTGACTGAAAGTAGAAGCATTGGCTGATTTTAAAAAAAAAAAGTGAAAGTAATTGTGTTTATTTTCATTAGTTTAGTCACTCTTAGTTAAGACTTTGGTGTAGGCTACCTCTCCACAGGATGAGCTTCAGTGAAATCATATTTAAATGCAATCGCAGCACTTCATTAATTTACATACATAAATTATAAAATATACACATATACACAGTCCCATCTCTAACAACCTTTTTACAAAATGCTACTTGAAAAAATTTTAATAACGTTAACCTTTCCAATGACAAATGCTTTTTCTTCTTATATGTACACAAGTCATCAGACAAATTTACCAGGGGTGTTCCACAAATAATGAGGAAGGATACCATTTGTGTTCATAAATTTAGTCAGTTTGTCTAGGTGGAAGGATCATATATCATAAGTCTATAATTTTATTTAAGGTATGTGGTTTACAGACTTCTAATAAACTTGATATGCATTAAAGTAGAGAAGAGTAAGCAAAAAAAAGTTTTCCTAAAGATCCAAGTAGTTTTTGATAACTGTTTAGATGAATAATAATCTCACTAGAGGTGATATTTCACATATAAAGATATTGAGATACATGTTCAAAATATCAATATGTTGCATAATATTTAAAGCATATTCAGTAACAACAGTTTAAAAAAATTCTAATGAGATACATCTCACTAAGTACATTTATAAATGGAAAAGCAAAATTTAAATGGCGTTTGAGATTGATTTCATGCATTCTATCTAGTATTATCATTTTATCTCAATACACAGATTTCCACAGAGATATATAACTAGGTCATAATACAATCTCCACACTTATTACTAATTAATTATGTGCAAATGGAAAGAGCACTGATGGCAAAAATTTGCCAACCCAACAACACTTGAACCATGGAGGGTTACATTGCCAAGTGTTGAATTTGTCAGTTCTCAAATTATAAAAGATTAAGTCACAGACAGTATTCATATTACTGCATCATATCTGTAAAAAACTTATTATGATTTATTAATGTGTTAGTCGTTGGTCATCATTAACCCTATAGAAAGTCAAAAGTGTCAGTCAATTAATCCCTATTAGAGGACTAGCCATGGAAAAAACCCTTGGATGTCTCAATCACCTAACATAATAAATTTTTATGGCCGCATTTACTTACAGTAAAATACACTCTACCAATATGTAGCTAAAATATTATTGAAATATAATGCTACTACATGAGATATGGATGGCAGACTAATTCATTGAGACATCAAAATTATAGTGGCAAAGCATTTTATGTGTTGTATAATTCTTGCACTGTAGCAGCTTCTTTTTTTTTTTTTTTTTTTTTTTTTTTTTAAGATGGAGTCTCACTCTGTCACCCAGGCTGGAGTGCAGTGGCACAATCTCCGCTCACTGCAACCTCCACCTCCCAGGTACAAGCAATTTTCATGTCTCGGCCTCCCGATTAGATGTGATTACAGGTGCCTGCCACACCATGCCTGACTAATTTTTGTATTTTTAGTAGAGATGGGGTTTCTCCATGTTGGCCAGGCTGGTCTTGAACTCCTGACCTCAGGTGATCTGCCCGCCTTGTCCTCCCAAAGTGCTGGGGTTAAGGCGTGAGCCACCACGCCAGGCCTGATGTAGCAGTTTCACTTGGTTATTAAATCAGTAAAAGTCTAGGAAAATGGTGACTTTTCTTAATAAAATCTCTCTGCTATGCGCCCATGAGGATGAACAGTGAGCAACTGAATTTATTTTGTAATGTCATAATTTGTCTTGTGTTGAGAAGACAATATAAAACAAAGGTGCTTCTGAGCTCAATACTACATTGTTTATGATGAAACCAAATATTACCTCTTCTAGTTCAGGCAGTTGTTATCTTGGTAATACCCATCCTAAGTCATTAAAACAGTAATTGAAAAATACTTGTTAACTACTATAATTGTAGGTTTTATTATTCATCAAAATAAAGGACTGCTCACAAAGTACATCTTGTGTCATTTATGACCAATAATTACTACACTACAAAGCAATTGAAAATACCTATTTCCATGAAAAATAATTGTAAATATATTTATTAATATAGTTCTAATGGATTTTAAATGAAATAGCACAATATGCAAGAAACTCATATTTGCCTAATTCATCCCCTGAAAGAGCTAATTGGAATTCCTTGAGCAAACATTATTTTTAAAAATATCAAACCCAAAGTAAGTACTTCTGTGAAAATAAAAGAAAATCAAAATAAATGGCTTTCCCGGAAGACAAAGAAATATGTTCTAATATTTGAAAAATAAATATCAAAAACACATTACATTGCTCCTGGCTGTAATATATAAAATGTGATCTCAATGTACTATGAAAACTAAGAAGGTGATTGGCTATTGTAGAGTTTGTAAACTACAGTAGGATCTGTGTTTCCTGTAAGTTAATGTCATACATTCTAAATTGAGATTTTTTTAAGGATTGTACAATGTAACATAATTAACTTCCATATGCTATGAATAGCTCAATATTATACGACAAATCCAAGAATTACAGAGTCAAGAGATTTAATGTAAAAGTTAAGGGTATTTTCTAATTAATTGATACTTTAAAAGTAAACCTATTTCAACAAAACAAATAAAATGACAAAATAAATGCAAAAGCAGTTTTTAAATTAAAAACAATTTAAAGTTTGAAAAAGTAGTATTCAACTCTTTCTCACTTTCTTTGCCCACGTTTAATTATGAACTATTAGAATATGAAAGCATTATTAACCACTATAAATCAGTGTAAAAACCAGTGGTATAGGTTAGGAGCTACATTTTTGAATTATGTTTAAAGCAGTTGAAAAGGGTGAAGGATTGTGTGGGAAGTGGTGAGGGGCTGATGGAATCAGGCCAGGTTTTGCTGGACTCTTGCCTACAGTTATAATTAGATGAGTTAAACCTTATTACTGGTACAGAATGTATCTCTTTTAGAAGGAATTAAGAATGTCCTTAAAATTTTACTCAACTCAACATTTTACCTATTAAAAGCATCTAAGTTACTCCTATCAAGTAGATACAACTTTATGTCCACACCTAGAGATAGGTGTTGATATGGGCCACTTTATTTGTAATGTAATGGGCATTTTTAATGTAATTATTAATTCAAGGAATGGTTATGATCTTAAGTGCAGCAGAGTAGAACAAGACACGATGAATCAAATATATCTTAGTTCAAATTCTCACTCTATCATTAATGTGTGGAGTGGCCTTGAAAGTTCTATAACATGCAATACATTATTCATCAGCATGTCTGTTTTATTCACAGCTGATAATGCCTACAACGTAGGTTAGTGTCTGACACATGCTAGGTTCTCACTGAAAACTTATTCCTGGCATGCAATAACATGAAATCTTATCCTTTAAATCATGCATCAGCTCTATTAATGTTTAATATGAAGCAAAAATGACAGAAGTCTTTGGGAAATAGTCTTCTGTAATTCGGTACTTGACATTTGGCCCCTTAAGAGGCTTCAGGGAATCTCTAACACTTTTATGTAAAATTTACATGTTATGTAAATTTGTATATTCTGTGTAAATTTTCTAGAGTTTTATGACTTCATTGTTTATTGAGATACCTGTTTCAAACCTCTTCCATTAACTTGCTGAACTTCTTTGTGCTTCAGTTACATAAACTTGAAAATTATAGAATGAATGAGAAATTAAATGAAGTAATATATGTAAAGTACTTAAAGAATGACTGGTATATAGTAAAGGTGTCAGAGGCATGTGAACAAAAACAACTTCATCTTGAGTAGGAGCTGGGTAAAATGAGGCTGAAACCTACTGGGATGCACTCCCAGATAGTTAAGGCATCCTATATCACAGGATGAGACAGAAGGTCAGCACAAGCACGGTGGCTCATGCCTGTAATCCCAGCACACTGGGAGGCCGAGGCGGGTGGATCATGAGGTCAGGAGATCGAGACCATCCTGACTAACACGGTGAAACCCAGTCTGTACTAAAAAATACAAAAAATTAACCGAGCAGAAATCAATGTACTTTACGTTCTTAGCTCCCACAATTTAGCCTAAATATTTGCCCTAGCATTCTTATACTAGTCCAAGCAGGCATTAGGTCATAGCCTGTTCCTCTTCCTTATCTGAAGATGTTTCTACCTTTCTCAGCATTCCACAAATTACTTCCTCCTTCCTTTGTTCTCCTCTGCCTTTGCCTCGTTTAAAAAGTTCTAAGTTGCTAGACAATCAGAACAAACAGAAAATGTAAAGTCCCGTTCCAGCCAATAAAAACCAGACATGGCAGTAAGGTGGACACATCAGGTTATAAATGACCCTGTCTCCTTTGTTCAGTGTACTCTCATGACAAAACTGCTAGCAAGTGTACCTTTTCTGCAGAAAGTAAAAAAAAAAAAAAAAATAGCCTTGCTGAAAAAAATAAATTTATGTTCAAGTGCTATTTCTTTGTGACATCAAAGAACAAACATTTCTAACATGGACCAAACCAATGTATTTCTCAAATGTATTTGATGTCTCATGCCTATTTAAAATGTATAAAAGCAAGGTGCATCACAACCACCTTGAGCACATGTTCTCAGGACCTCCTGAGGGCTGTGTCATGGGCCACAGTCACCCATATTTGGCTCAGAATAAATCTCTTCAAATATTTTACAGAGTTTGACTCTTTTTGTCTACACAACAAAGGTTAAAAACCACTGTTATGAGTAATAAGAATGGAAATTGTAGGAAAAAGATCTCTAAGATCTCCCAAATTTTTCTGTTTCATAAAAACAATGAAAGCACTGGCAAAAAACATTTTACTAGAACTCTAGAAAATAATCTAACATGTGCAACAATCCAAGGATCATTTAATGAAGAAAAGCAGTTTAATCTTGTTTAAAATAGTGAATTTTGTGGTATTTTAACTTACCTTATTTTTATCCTCCTCTTTCCAACTTCATGGTACTCTTGAAAGTCAACAGCTCACAATTACGGTGACAATGAGCAGCCTAGCAGCCACTGGAGATGACTTAACAGATTTGTAGCTCTCCTAAATTCCCTGGAAAACCCAAATCTCAGTATTTGCTTTTATTTGGCCTGTCTTATAGATGTGCTAATATAATCAGTCCTTTCCCAAGGGACAAGTGTCAAAAAAAAAAAAAAAAAAATCAGTAGCAGTTGTTTAACATCACACATGCCTGGGGCAGTGATAGCAGTTGAGGCTAACAAGAAGCTGAACAAAAACTTAAAAGGAAAAGAAGAGAATGAGATTGCCATAAGAGGATTTAAAAAGTTCTGACAAATTCCTGGGAATGCTGAAAGACACATTAATTCATACGGCTGTTCACACACCAAAGAAACACCTGAAAAGTTTTGAAGATTTCACCTCTGGCTGACCTTGGCGCTTTATGAAAGCAAATAGTACAGGTTAAGGAAGAGTTTAAACAGCCTACCTGAGTGTTGAAGGCATATCCTAAATCACTGGATCCCCTTGCCAAAGGCTAGGACACTTGTTGGCTTTCAGTCATTTAAGAAAATCTCTGTCTAATTATTAGCCAACCACTAAGCTAATTAAACAGAAGCTTCAATGGCAACATATTACAAACAATACAAACCATAAAGATTTAGCTCAGGAAAGTCATGAAACAAATAGCAACATCAGCAAGCTCTGGGTCAAAGAGAAAACTTGACTTCCAGAGATGCCACACAATATTAATTAAGATGTCCAGTTTTTTAAAATACAAGACATAGAAATAAAGAAGTATGGCCTGTACAGGAAAAAAATAAATAAAAATAAAAAGGAGTCTCATGTTAAAAGAACTAAAGGAAATTATAAAACAGTACCTCATCAGCTAGCATATAGAAAATACTATTATAATAAAATGATTTTTTAACAAGAATCAAGTACAGATTCTGGTGTTGAGAAGTATAATAATTGGAATAAAATATTACTAGAGAGGCTCAACAGAGCATTTGAGCTGGCTGAGGAAAGAATCGTAGACTTTAAGATAGGTCAGTAACTATTATCCAGTCATGGGAAAAGAAAGAAAAATAATTAAGAAAAATGGGTACAGCCTCAGAGACCTATGACATATAACATTAAGTATACCAACACACACACAATAGGAGTTTCAGAAGTTGAGGAGAGAGAGCAAAAAGCAGGAAATATAATTGAAGAAATAATGACCCCAAAACTCCTACACTTGATGAAACATTTTAATCTAGAAATCCAAAAAGCTCAATAAACTAGAATAAACTTAAAGAGATCCATATCTAGACATGTCATAATCAATCTGTCAAAAGCAAAACACAAAGGTTGAATTTTAAAAGCAGTAAGAGAGAAGATGCTCATCATGTATAAGAAACCATTAGTAAAATTGCAGGTGATTTCTAATTAGAAAAAAAAAAAAAAATCCAGAAGGCAGCGGGATAACACATCTGAAGCATCAAATGAAGATATCAGCCAAGAATTCTATATCCAGCAATGTTATTCAGTGAAAAACAAGAAGCAATTAAGACATTCTAAATAAACAAAAACTGAGAGAATTTATCAGTAGTAGGCCTTCCCTAGAAAAAAATATTAAAGAGAATCCTTCAGGCTGAAATGAAAGACTACTAGATGGTAACTCTAATTCACATGAAGAAACAAAAGAACACAAAGTTAACCACGTGGGATAAATATAAAGATAGCATTAATGTGCTTTTATCTGTAACTTTTACATCTGATTTAAAATACAACTTGTAGAAGAATAGTTATAATTCTGGATTGATGGACATATGTATAAAGTTGTAATTTATAAAATTAATTCCATAGACTAGAGTAGAGGGATTTTGGCTATATATAAAAATATTTAACAAACTAAAAATAGATGAAAACTTCCTCAACCAAGTAAGGTCGTCTATGAAAAACTCGCAACTAACATCCTACTTAATGGTGAAACACAAGCTTTCACTCTAAAGCAAGGAACAAGCCAAGGATATACACTCTTGACACTTCGGTGTTGTACTGGGGTTTCTAACCAGGGCAATTGGGCAACAGAAATAAATTTAAAGTATCAGATTGAAAAGGAAAAAGTACAGCTATCTCTATTTTTAGAGGACATGATCTTGCAAATTTGAAAATGCTAAGAAATCCACAAAAATACTATTTATTGGCCAGGCGCAGTGGCTCAAGCCTGTAATCCCAGCACTTTGGGAGGCTGAGGCAGGGAGATCACCACATCAGGAGTTCGAGACCAGCCTGGCCAACATGGTGAAACCCCATAATTACTAAAAATACCAAAATATTATCTGCACGCCTGTAATCTCAGCTACTTAGGAGGCTGAGGCAGGAGAATCGCTTGAACCCAGGAGGCAGAGGTTGCAGTGAGCTGAGATCACACCACTGCACTACAGCTTGGGTGACAGAGCGAGACTCTGCCCAATGAACAAAAAAACAAAACAAAACAAACAAACAAAAAACCTATTTATTATAGCTAATGAACAAATTCAGCAATAATGCAGGGTAGAAGACAAATACAGAAAAATAAATTATATTTTCAATAATTAGCAGTGAATAATCCAAAAACCAAAATAAGAAAACAGTTTCATCTACAATTGCAATAAAAAATAAAATACTTAGAAATAAATTGAACAACATAAGTGCAAATATTATAGGGTGAAAATGACAAACATTATTGAAATAAATTTTATAAAAACCCTAAGGTAATGAAAAGACATTTTTGAGTTCATGAATTGGAAGACTTGTTATTATGATGATGCCAATATTCCCCAAATTTATCTACAGATTTAATGCAATCTCTATAAATATCCCAACTGCCATTTTGCAGACATTGACAACCTGATTCCAACATTCATATGAAAAGGCAAGAGATCCAGAATAGTCAAAACTGTCTTGGAGAAAAAAAAATAAATAAATAAAACAAAACAAAGTTGCAGGATTCACACTTTCGAAATTAAATTTGTAATAACTCTTGAATTCACATTTCAAAATTTAATGAAGACATTGTGGTACTGGCATAAGAAGAGGCATATATAACAATGAAGTAGAACTGAACATTCAGAAATAAATCTTTACATTTATGGTGAAAGAATTTTCAATAAGGGTGCCATAATTCAATAAGAAAAAAAATAGTCTTTCCAATAAATGAGTTGGAGACAACCGAATATTCACATACAAAAGAATGAAATAGGAACCTTACCTCACACTATATATAAAGATTTACTCAAAATATACCAACTACCTAAATGAAAGAGGCAAAACTGTAAAACTTTTATTAGAAAACACAGTCATAAATCTCAGTGACTTTAGATTAAGCAACGGTTTCTCAGATATGACACCAAAAGCACATACAACAAAAAGAAAAATAAGGAATAAATTGAACGTGGTCAAAATTAAAGCTGTTGTAGAGAATACTATCAAGAAAAAGATATGGAAAGACATCTCACAGAATGGAATAAAATATTTGTAAATATTATTCTGATAAGGTTGTAGTATTGAGATTGTATATGAAGAACTGTTACAATTCAACAACAAAAAAGACAAGTAATCAAATTTAAAATGGGTGAGAAATTTAAACAGACATTTTTCCAAATAAGATACAAAGAGCCAAAGACCCCGGAACGATGTTCACTATAAATCATCTTTAGAGAAATGCCAATTAAAATCACAATGCAATAACACTTCATACCAGCTAATAATGTTGCTACAATTAAAGAGATGAGGATGTTGTCAAGGATGTAGAAAAGTGGAACACTCCTACATTGTTTCTGGGAACATAAAATGGTGCAGCTGCTTTGGAAAATAGTTTGTCAATTCCTCAAAAAAGTAAAAAAGTTGTGTCACCTCAAAACTCCACTGCTAGATATGTATCCAACAGAAATAAAAACATATGTGCACCCAAGAATTGTACGCAATTGTTTGTAACAACATTATTCACAGTTGCCAAAATCTAGAAACAACACAAATTGTTTAATTGATGAAAGAATAAACAAAATGTGGTATATCTATACCATAAAATATTATTTAGCCATAAAAAGAATAAAGTACAGATACATGCTACAACATGGATGAACATTGAAGCATTATGTATTCTATGTCAAAGAAGCCAAACAGAAAAGCCATGTACTATATTATTGATACTATATGAAATGCACAGAATAGGTGAGTTTATACACACAGAAAGTAGATTATTATTTTCAAGGAGCTAGAGGGAGGATGCAATGAGGAGTGACTGCCAGTGAGTGTTTCTCTGAGGGGTATCTAATTCCAGAAATTAGATAGTGATGATGGCTGCAGAATTATTTCAAAATAAAATAAAAAAATAAAAACACTTCTATAAGAAGTGCTAATATTTTTGTGGCTTCATTACAATAAGAAAAATATTCAATGCTTAATAAGTGCCAGGAATGAGATATGCGATGGATAAAGATACACATTTTTTAACCCTCAGTGTATAGTGTAATGTAAAAGACAGACATATGTGAGAGAATTATATTAAAATGTATCAATAAAAATACTGGTATTATGAAGCAAAGGTACAAGGGACTGTAGGAGCCGATGCTAGGGATGACTAAAAGGGGCATAACTGTTTCAAGAAACTTAAGAAAATAAATTCTGAGCACACAGAATGACACACTGAATAAAGAGAGATGAATCTATAGAATCAGAAAGGCCTTGAAGAACCTTGTGAAGATTTTCATATTTATCTGTTGAGCAAAGGGAAAGAAAGCCATTCTAGAATTTTAAGTAGAAGAGATGAAGTACTATGATCATATCCGTATGAACAGAAGGAAGGTGTAAGAAATGCAGGAGAGAAAAGCAACAGTGAAAAGAAGAAAGCCAAGTAGGAAAACACTGTAGTAATCCTGAAGATAAATGATGCGGACTTGAACTGCTACAATTACGACGACACTGGAATAGTGGAAAGGTAAATGAATCCAGGAACAATTTAGGGGGCAAAAGGGACAAGACTTAGTGATGGATTACGCATGGTGTTTGGGAAATGATACAAAGTTCCTGGAAATGTGTCTTGACTTCACAACTGGGTTTGTGGGAAAAGATTTGGGTTCATTTTTAGGATGTGATAATGTTATGGAGACATATAAATGGCATTAATAGGTGCTCAAAAAATATTTATTAAAGGCTAGTATTGAATGAATAACAAAAAGCCAATTGGTTGTAGCAGTCTGGATCTAGGCCTTGATGTAATAATTTTGGCTGGGGTCAAAGATCCTTTTTTAGTACTTGATAATAATAACAAAAATATTAAGAAAGCGGGAATCCTAATACAGAAGGAAAACCCTTTACAACTAAATAGTTAAGTAAGGAATAAATACACATTTTTTTTAAAAAGCTGGAGTGTTGTTGTAAAATTAGTTTCCAAATCCTTCTCACCAACTAATGGGTGGATATCTTACCCAAGTATAACTATGAAAAATGTCTCCATCCTGTTCTTAGGATTTCTTACTGATCTTGTTGATGTCTCATGATTGTATCATAATAAAAATGTCTCCATATATAGTTGTTTAGTACTAATTGCAGAGAACATCTAATATTTCTGTCTAGAAATTTTTAAAGATCGCTTGTTAATGGAACAGTATTTTCAAATAAGCAGTTTGCTTTTATTGTGCTCTGCGTAATGCTGGCTGATGTGGCTTTTATTCAGTGAATGGTACTTATGTTCAGAACTGTGGCTCTCTGCTTTGTGTAATTATCCTAATACTCCAATGCGCCCCTGGCTGCATTAGTTAGATGAGTTATCCTCAAGTAAGTTTTAGTTTTCCTCTCCCCCTTAAGAAAAAGCTATTTCTTTCTTTCTTTGTTCCCTTTTTCTTATTTGAATACAGTAATGAAGTAGAAGAAAATAGTAAACAATCCCACAATAAATAATGACATGTAAGATTTTGGGATATATGCTTCCAAACAGTACACTTAGTATATTATAAATCATTTAATGTAACACGTACCAGTTGGTTTCTAAAAATACATATTTTCATTTTCAATAGCTATCAAACCTCAGTTATTAAAACCTGACTTGAAATTACTAATATAAATTATATAACACTGCATATCATTAATGTATTATAATTACACATTTAATGTATTTTTCATATTTTGCTTTTATAAACTAAGCTGTAATAAGCATATGTGTGCATCAGTTCTAGCATATTTGTGTCAATATTTCATTATTATAAATTCCTAGGAGACAGTTTGCTAATTCAAAAGATATGTGCATGTGCAATTTAAGCCTTTTGATACATATTAAGAAATTTGTTTACAGGATAATGCATACATTTAGTCTCTCCCTGATAATACGTGTCTTCAATCTTTTTTTTGTAACTAGATGCTGTGCTGAATATTTGTGTTGATGATAAACATTTTAATTTTTTTTGTTTTCCTAGTAAAGTCCTACAAAATATATTTTATACTTTATATTTCATTTTAGTTTTATAGGTAATGAAGAATGCCAAATAAATTAGTAATATTGGGCATCATTCATTTCTTTTAGTAATTTATATTAGCAGTCTAGTATTTCAAAACTAAGAGCAATGATGTCTACTGATTTGTGATCTGTCCCTTGAAGAACTTGCTCACAAAATTTCCTGAAACCATCTATTTGGGAGTTAGCATTTTAAAAATTTGTCAATTTTTGGACAAGTTTTTCAATTATTATATGTCTTAAAATTAACATTGACCAATAAGATAATTATTTAAAAATTTTAAAATTTATTACCATAAAATCATATATTTTAACCGTCATATATTTAACAATTTTTGTACTATCATCTTTAGCATTTGTCATATTCTGTATTTATTTTATCTTTTGACATCAGCTTGCATTTTGTATTTGTTTCTTCAAATAAATAAATTTTGCATTTTTACTAAGTAGAATTTTTATAATTTATTATTTTATATTTTATCTTTTTTAGGACTTTTTTAAGCAAAATGTGCTTATTACTCATTTTTCTTGTTTTAGTTTTTTCTAAACACTTTATGCTATGTTTTTTCTAATGTATCTTTGATATCAGTCAATGTTTTGATAGATACACTTGTTAAGTGAGTATAGCAATAAGTTTCTATTTGTCTTTGGCTCAAGAATAACTAAAAAGTACTTTTTATTTTCCAAGTGGTTTGATTTTTACTTTCTCTTTTGATTGATATTATTTTCTTATTTGTTATTCATTTGAGATTCTATTTTAAAAATACTTGCTGTACCTATTTTTCTCTTGCAAAGATACATATTTTTTGAGTAAAGAAAGGGAAGTTTTTCTCCCAACTCCTTTAGTTTATTACATAATTGAAAGTTAATGTTGAACCATTATGTCTTTTATTCCAAATTTTATTCATGAATTTAAAAAATTACAGCATACAGTGGAAAGGAAAGAAAGACATTTAACAAAACAACTTTACGTGATACTGAGATGGCATTTTTTCAACTGGTGTCTAATTCTTGAAATTGAAGCATCAAGAAAAAATCATTTAAAAATGTTTTAATCTCTCTCGTTCAGTAGTAGCTTCAAATTAGTTTGTGATGTAGGAGAGGTATAAATGACAAATTAATGAATTCTCAAACTGATATCGAATAATATGCACAATTTTATGCATACTAAAAATAATCTCTTAAAATCTGTACGTCTGTGCCATGAAATCACTGTTCACCAAAAGCAAGACATTTGGAATTTTATATTAGGTTTATATTATCCATGGTTTTTTTTTTTGGTATATGAGGAATGAAAAAGTGAAATAAATGTTTTGATAAAGTTATCAAAAGTCATTCTATTCACACAACAAACACATTTAATGATTAAATTATCTCCTTTTAATCTGCCAATTTTCTAAATCATCTTAGAAGTTTCAATTAAAATGTTACCAAATATATATTGCCACTTTCTGGCCTTCATTTTTAGAGAAATATATCACTTTAAATAACACTGTAATGAAATGGTAAAACTTTTACTTTATCTTAGAAATATTTTTGAGGGCATTTTTATATATTTTACTGATATAGGTTAACATTTTCACATTAAAATAGGTTATAATTAGAAGTATGAAACTAAACTCTCTTGTTAAAGATAATTAAGTCTTTCTTTAAATTTTCTGACATTGTGATCATCCACCACTTTGAAGAGATAGTGATAGAGTGGAATTATGTACAGCATGGAGCATATCAGAGTGATGCAAAGCAGGAACTTAGACACTTTTGTGGCACAGTACCATATCTGGCGCCCTCATTCATTTGCAGCAGTTTTATAAGGAACAATTTCAATGCATCATTGCCAATATCCTAGACCAAGCAATTAAGAATACAACTTAGCATATCTTAGTTCAGTTTCCTCAAAGCAGCAGTAGGCAACAAACTGTGGGGAAGTTAATATCGCTCAGGGTAATCAACCTATGGGACATGGAATTGTGAATAAAAACCTCAGCCTTTACATACACTAACGAGGAAATTCGAAGTACATTCTACATATTTCCTTAGAAGGTCCCCAGCAGGATTGAGCTCCCGTAACCCTCAGCAGTAAACAGTTCATTAAAACACTCTTTCCTGGTTTTACTTCTTTCTCTGTCCCATCTTCCTCAATGCCTCCCTTCTATTTCTTGGCATCAATCACATTCTCAATAAAATACAGGTCACCAAGTTTTTATTTTGGGGTCTGTTTCAGGTGAAAACCAAACTTTTATTTCACTCAAATATTTTAATGCTTTTGAACTTTAATTGGTGATTTGAGAAAGAAAGAAAAGTACTCGACTTGTATTAGAAAAATATATACATTTGTATATGCTAATAATTGTGAGTAAAATATTATAAATAATTTTACTGATGGACTCACAGAGCCAAATTCAAATAAGTGCTTTTGGAAAATGAGGCACTTCCAGATTCTATTTTCTAAATGACAGAGTATAAATTGTAGTCTAAAAGGTTTATCAGTTTTGTTGATATTTTCAAAGAACCAGCTCTTTTCTATTTTGCGCTTCATTTATCTTTGTTATAATGTTTATTATTTTATTCCTTCTGTTAGCTTCAGGTTTAGTTTGTTCTTCTTCTAGTTCCTCCAGATACAAAGTTAGGTTGTTTATTTGAGATTTTGCTTTTTTATACTGTAAACAGTTGCAGCTATAATTTTCCCTCTCAGCACTGCTTTCCCTGCATTTAATAAGTTTTGATATGCTGTATTTTCACTTTCATTTGTCTAAGGTATTTTCTAATTTCCTGTAACTTCTTGTCTGACTTATTGGTTTAATATTGTGTTGTTTAGTTTGCACATACTTGATCTTTTCAGTTTTCTTTCTGCTACTGATTTCTAATTTCATTCCATTATGATCAGAAAAGATACTTTGTATAATTCCACTCTTAACGAAATTCACTAAGACTTGTTTTATGGCCTACCCTATGGCCTAGTCTCAAGAGTGTTTCATGGGCACTTGAGAATATATATTCTGCTTTTGTTTGGTGAAGTGTGCTGTATATATTTGCTATGTCTATTGGATCTATAGCATTGTTCAAACTTTTTATTTACCTATTGATATGATGTCTAGTGTTCTATTCCTTATTGAAAATGGAATATTGAAGTCTCCTAATATTTTATATCTGTCTGTTTCTACTTTCAATTCTATCAATGTTTGCATTATATATTTAGGAGCTCTGTTATTTGGTGCATATATAATTGTTATATTTTCTTGGTGAATTGATTTTTATCATTATATATTGTTTTTCGTTGTCTTCTGTAACAGTTTTTGACTGAAAGTCTATTTTATCTTGTATTGTTATAGTCACTGATGCTCTCTTTGGTCACAATTTTTTGTTTGAATAAAATATATTTTTCCATCTCTCACTTTTGTCTTACGTGTTTCCTATGATCCAAAGTACATAACTTATAGAAATTATGTAATTGAATATAAGCATGTTCAATAAGCTTGCTTTCAATAGTTCCACTAGAACAATCAGTTTTTTGCAGAAATAACTGCAAAGCAATCTTTGCCTCAACATCTACCTTTGTTCAATGTCGAGAATTTGACCAAGATTCATTAATAGTGCTGTTTCTGTTATTTTAGCTATCACTATTACACTGCTACCACAGAAATCTATGCAGGTGTATAACAATGGCTTTTTTTTTTTTCATTAGATTCCCTACATAATTCATCCTTCAAGTGGTAATGTTTTAGAAAAATAGCTTAGGGAATGAATTATCTCTATTTACGCTATTACTCTGGGTTTTTATAGGTCTATTTTGTTGGTTCTATCTCAGTTATAAAATTCACTTGAGTTTTCAAATGGTTTTACTTATCCACACTGAATTTTTATGAAACAGGAGCATTTGTCAGAATTACCATAATCTGTAAATGTTTTCTCTCTCTCCCTCAACTTAGATATATTTTGATTCTATAACTTCTCTTGTTTAACACTATAAATCATCTCAACTGAATATAAGATACACCCTTTTGATTTAGTCCTAATCTCCTGAGATTTGGTCATTTATTTATTTCTAGCTACTACTGGCTACACAATCACATGCAAATCGTAGGGAAATTCTAAAGTATATCACAAGGGCTTTTTAGCAAAAACAAATCTACATATCTTAAATAAATAAAAGCTTTAATGTAAAAAATGTTTGAATGCTGACTTCTCCAAGTACCACTGACATAAACTGTTAATAACACAAGCCTTAATTTATTTGTTATTACAGTAAAAATGAGAAGACCACCTCTTTTAAGCTATAGCCATGTTCTAGAGGAGGGGCGGTAAGGTCAGAATTTATTAAGAAAGAATTTAAGATGAGTCTTTCAATGCAGGGATAGATTAAGAATTGGTAAGAATTTCCTACCAAATGGTAAGGGTGAGTGGGAACAGCAGAGTGAGTTTTGAGGTGATATAATCCTATAACACAACTCTCTTAATGCTTTCCATTGAAGAGCTGATGGATCTTTCAGAAAGTTCCTATAATGAAAAACCAAATCCTTTGCCTAGGCAGGAAACTCATGAAAAAGCAAAGTACTGTTAGAAAAGACAGTGGAAAGGCAAAGCCATATTACTGTAGACAGTAGGTATTATTATTTGCAGTGTTCAGAATAAATGAGGGAGTAAATGATTTTAGTCCTCACAAAAATGCTGTGTGCCTATCAAACTTATTTTGTTTTTCCCTTGCACACTAGCAATACAGACAAATTACAATTCTCGGCTTTCTCTCCAGTAAGGTAAGTCTCAGTAATTAAGTTCTGGCCAATATAATGAGACAGAAATGTACACTGGCCTATAAAATATCTATTGTTCCTCATCTAGTGGCTGAATAAGAAGGCCTACTGCAACATTTGGAGATATAAGTACAATGTGGCAGAGCTCTGAAATTGAAGAAGCTTGAATCCTTGAGTGAATGTATACAGCTCAGAGTTCCTACCTCTGCCCCACTCCCTCCCCTAACAATGCCACAACATCTGTCAATCACATATAGTATTCTGATACCAAAAAATAATATTTAATTACATTAAGTTGCTGAATTGGGGGATTTATCTGATTTACTGTTATTGTTTGAATATGGTTTGTTTGTCCCACCAAAACTCATGTTGAAATTTGATTTTCAACATGATGGTGTTGCAAGGTGGGGACTAAGGAGAAGTGTTTGGATTATGAGGAATAATCCCTCATAAATAGCTTGGTGCTGTGTTCATAGTAGTAAGTGAGTTCTCACTCTCAAGACACTGAATAAATTCTCATGAGGATGGATTTTTTCTCTTGAGAAAGTAGGTCGTTATAAACCCAGAACATCCCTTAGGTTTTCCCCTCTTCATACGTGTTTATTTCTGCTTTGACCTTTTCCATCATGTTTTGATGTAACATGAAAGTCCTCACCAGAAGACAGGGCGGTGCCTTTAAACCTCTCAGCTTGCAGAACTGTAAGTTAAATAAACATCTTCTCTTTATAAATTACTTGATCTCAGGTATTCTTTTATGGCAACAAAAATGGAATAAGACTCTTACTCACCCTAACTTACTATGATCTTTGTATTAAATTAAAATTCTTAAATTGGCTATAATTTTCTCCATAATCCAGCCTCTTCCCTCATTCTCGATAACTTCCCGGTTATTGTTCCTAGCTATTCTGAGAATATTTTTTGTTCATTTATTTTGTTGTTGTTGTTGTTGTTTTGTCTTGTTTTTACCTCAATAGCCTTGCCTTGGTCCTTTGACTGAAAGTCAATTTTTTCCTCTTCATTCGGCTATCAGAATTCAAATTATTGAATAGATCACAGTGTAAACTTTACCTCCTCAGAAAACATTTTTTCTGATCAAATCCATCTGCAGTCCAAAATGTTAGATTTCTATCAGACCTTTTGTCATGCTGTAGTCTGTAGTCTTAAAAATAAGTAAATTTTAATAGTGTAATTTTTAATTAAACACATGCCTCACCCACTAAAATGTGAATTGCATTAAGACAAGGACTAAATACATATTTATTATTGTTATATCCCCCAGAGCCTGTGACAACCGAAATTACTGACTGAGACAAAAAGTCTCAGCTAATCAAGGTTTATTAAGCCAACTTTAGGAAGTGTCTGGAAAAAACACAAGCCACAGACACATTCGAGGCTATTTTTCTGAAGAGGTTTTTCAGGAGATTTAGTATTTATTTATTTCCTTAAAGGTGGGGGAAGGCATATAGGAAGAGAGCAGGTAGGCAGTAAGGTGAATCAATACATTTCTTAAATTGAGACTTTAGTTAGTGCCCCCCAGTAAATCTACATTTTACATAACCTAACATGAATGTTTGAAGAGAAAAAAGGAGTAAAGAAAAATTCAGTTATGGAGATGTCTCCAGGTAGGTGGAGGAATGATTGGTCCATCTTGTCTTTGTTCTGCTCCTGGGAAGATAAGCTTGTAATGGACATCATCAGTGTGGAATAAAACAGACTCTAGTTTTAGGAGCTAGATTTACAGTGTAGACCTAAAGTTACAATTGTCAGGCCCTTGTCTATGAGAGGCCAGCAAAGAATTTATTTAGGAATGATCTGTGAGGGCAGTCCTTTGTAGATGCCCAAGGCCTTTTACCTTGACAGAATCTGGCTGACACATAATCCTAGTGACAGTTATTCATTTGGAGGAAGGCATTACATGACTCAGCTTCCAAGCCTGACCTTCTCCTTTGCATAAGGAGTTTGGAGGTCCTGAGATTTTTTAACTTTCCTTTATATCTACATAACAAATAATTTTGGAAGAAAGGAAGAAAACTGAAAGGCAGCTGTATGGCCAACTAGCTACTTATTCTACAACACTGAATATACCATTTTTCCATTCTACACTCATATTCTTATCATTATCAATAAACTTCATTAAGATAAGAAAATTTATCCACATGATCTTAGTATCGCTCTCCAAATATCTGCCCTGAGAAATACACACATTTGCACACCCAGTTTGATCTGGTAATCTTATTATCAAAAATTTCTAATATCTTTGGTAATCATAAGTCTCATTTTGCCTCAAAAAATTCTTTATTTCTTTTGATAGGTATTAATAGCATTCTTTTCACTCCAAACAGTGGCCGGTTTTGATAAATTATATGCTCATTCTACTGAGGTTTGATTTATCATGTTACAGGTATTTTGAAAAAATTATTATCTTCTATCAGCTATCTGATATAAACTATGCATTTAGAACCTGCAATGAGCCATAAAATACAGTGAATATATTATTAGCTGATGTAGTTAAGCCTTTGGAAAACATTATAAAAATGTCCAAGCCACATTATTATCAATCAGTTTCTTAAACCAATAATTATGAAGCATATATTTTAAAGAGTTGATAAAACTTCCCAAAGGACTAATTTACCCCTCAGTTCTGATATATATACTGAGAGGATATGGAACAACAATCATGATGACAATCAATCCAACGAAGAATTGAGCATTTGTTCTAATATTACTCCTTTGCTGATGTAAGACTTATCTCAAAACAATACATTTTCAAACGCAAATGTAACATGAAACACACAACCACTTCTACTTTAAATATCCCATTGTATTTCATAGATATAAAAGACAATCATAATGAAAAACCAAATGAGTATAACTGAATTTGGAAGGTTTTAGAATATCACAAAATTGGTATCCTATATCTAACAGTAAACAAAGCATATAATTAATACTTGAGTAAAGCTGTCATACTTTAAGAATTTTTGGGAAAGTGACCTGAATTCATAGGGATTCCAGTGAAATGATTATATATGAGTATGCTTAAGGTTGAATTTTTAGATTTGCTTATTGTGTGTTTTTTCTTTTATTTGTTAACATATTTCACTAATCAAAAGTAAGTATGTATATTTTATGTCCAATAGGTACAACACTATTGAAGATATAAAGAAGAATGCAATCCTATTCTCAAGTTATTGTCATTAAATAACATAGAAGAAAACCCATTAAATGTGTATAGGAAATATTGAGGAGGAGTAAGACTTAAAAGACATAAAATCTAGTTACAAGATCAATACCATAATTAAAGTAGGAGTTAGAAGATTTTGCATAAGAGTGGTAATGTTAGAAACAACGGCAGAAACACATGGTTTCACATTCAGAGGAAAACTAGTAACAACTAGATGTAGGGGGTAATGCATTGTTGGCCAAAGTTCTATCAACATTCTACCTATACAAATGCCTAAGCTCACTGCCATTTGACTTTGTAGCTATTTCCATGAAGAAGTGGTGTCCCCTTTTCCAAATTAACTCTAGCATTAGCCATATGACTTATTTTGCCCACTATGACAATAACAAACTTGACACGAGTAAAAATTTGAGAAGTGCTTTCAAATTACCATTTTCTTTCCTGAATCACTGCAACCAACATGAAAACAAGCTCAAGCCAGCTTACTCTAGGATAAAAAATGGTAAGAAGCAAGGGTGAATGGTCCCAGTTAAGGCCATAATAAGCCAGTCAGCCCCTAGCCAAACTGTCGCCTTCTTGTAGCCACATGTGTGAGCCCATAACAGATCAGTCAAGCCTGACCCAAGGCAATAGAACGATTCTGATGACCCACTCGCTCCCTACAAATAATAAATAGATGTTTTATGCCAGTGAGAATTTTGTGTGTGTGTGTGTGCATATGTGTGTGTGTGTGGTGTGCTGTGTGTGTGCATTTGTTTACAGTATTATTTTATCAATAGATAACTGATACATTGGGGAGGAGTCAAAGATAAATGAGAGGTTTTCACATTTGGTAAATATCGATAACTTCAATCTCTTTATTAGTTTATCCATAAATATTTTCTAACATGCAAGGAAATACACTGTTCATTATCTCTAGAATGTAAATACAATATTAAAGTTGGATTAATGAATTTAAAGCCAGAATTTTGTTCTCGTAGTTTAAATGAGAGATCTATCATCACATAAACATTCTTTTTTTGAGAATAATTTTGTTTATTTATGACCTACTTGTAAAAAAAAAAAAGAATAATCAAGGAAATTTAACTTATTTCTGAAAATAATTTATTTTTATTAACTGGAATGTCATATGACATCAATTATGTAGCTAAAATCATAGTCAAACAGGATGCCCCACGAATCCAAAGAATTTTGTCAATACAAATTTTTTAAAAAAGTAATTACCAAATGTTAAGCTCTGCAGTAGTATGGCTCTCTCAAGCAATTATATTTAAAATCATCAATAAAGATAAGAATTTTTTATGGAATGTGTTTTTAATTATGTATTATAAGTAAATGGAGTTCTCAAAATAATAGTGTAAGAATCATAGCGTCTAAAAAATTATTTATGGGACAGAAGTATTTGGTACCTATTTTTGTTGTTGTTGTTCTATTTAGCAGTGAAATAATTCAGAGAAAACATTTTCTTATTTTCCAATCTATTTGTATGACTAGATATAGCATATACATCTTTGTAATTTAATAACCATTATAGGCCCCCATTTGGCCAATAAATTGTTTTGTGCTTAATTTCCACAACCGAATTCATAAAGTATTACAGTGTCATTCTTTGGCTGTTACGATGCTGAAGTATAAATTGGGTATTGGGAGCATTGAGAAATATCAAATGTAATATAATTCCTTCATAATCAACATAGGTAACCTCTAACCTTAAGTATTAATCTTCTTTTATATTGTAATCTTACTCCTAGACCTAAAAACCCTGGTGGAAAGCAATTAACAAAATTCTAGACTAAAGATTAATAATCCTAACTTCCCTTTAATTTTATATACCTATGGCAAAAGAAGAAGAATCCTGATACTTCAATTATTATTTCCCCAAAGATGGCATAATTAATTTTTATGTTAGCTCATGATATTTTAGACAATAATTTTTTTAAAAAATTACTGAGCCCTAGAAAGTTAAATAAATGGAAATAAAGGTCCTCTCCCACTATAGAAAAGTGTCGTTTCTTTCTTGCTCTTTCTTTTTGAAACAATTTTATTTATTTGAATTTAACAATTTCAAATTTGTTTTAAATTTAGGTTTTCAGTTTTAAGAGGATTTGGAAACCTTTGGCTTAAAACGTAGTGGATAGTGTTAGTAGATAAACTTTCTTCGCTTTGCACTTGGAGAAATTGTTAATAAAACTATGAAAGACTGAATATTAATGATGTCCCAAGTTATCAATGAATGGATAGTCTATTCTAGATATTAGAATAGATTTATTATTAAAAAGTCTTTGAAAATTTGAGGAAATTTTATAATATATTGCTCTCCACTTGAGATTTTTAAAATAATATGGTTAGGACCCTGATTCAAATTAAGATCAGTTACTAGCATGAACAGATAAGAAATTTATGAAAAAGTAACCTTATCTACTCTCCAAAGATTACTGGACTATGAGCTATGAAGCAAGACAACAACTATAACAGTTACACTGCACCCTGAAAAGTTTTCACTTAGGTACAATGTTTGAGTTGAAACTTCTGAGAAACCTGCCATGAAGGTTACATTATAGATTGAGAAAAAGTATGTTTGGATATTGTTATTATTAAAAATAATACTAAACAAAATGAAGGGCATTATATTTGCTATATTGTGCAAGCAAACAGAACACATAAAATTCAAAACACCTTCTAGGATAATTGACAGATTTGTTAATGTTCTCTCACCACATTCAACACATTCCAGCTCCTTGTAAAAAGTCAGTTCTCTTCCCCAGTGTAATTTGTGGTTCATTAACTTTCAGTTGGCTAGAAGTAAAAAATTACTGGAGGGTCAGGTAGGTTTATACCAGTTTAACAGAAACAATTATTAAGGAGGAATGGTCCTTAAGGATTTAAGTTTGTATTGTTCAGTAAACCTCCTTGAATTAACTTTCAGTGCAGTTTTAGAATGCACCACGTGTCTGTTGAAGGGGGAAAAATAAAGAAATATATTGATAAAAATGTTTTATGTGAAATCATAGAAACAACCAAATATTGTACCTGAACCATTGCCATATTTTTACTTATTAATGACTTTCTATTTTCTTCCTGTAAATGTACCTCAGCCTCAAAATCCCAAGGCAGATAAAGTAGTTACAACAAGAGATAACTAATTGTGCAAATTTTTTCCGTTGTTACATCAATAAAATCAAATTGTAATTTTGCCTCACAGTTAATAGAATGGTATTGAATAGATATATATGATTACAGGCCTGATAATGTTTCGCACTTGATTTTCACACCTACGGCTTAGAGTGTTAATGTTGACTGCTGATAGTTAAAAGATAAATCAAAGTCAAATTATAGAAAAAGGGCAATGGAAGTACTGAATTCAATGAAGTTATAGCTGTGGGAGATAGGATCAAATGCAGCCTAGCTAAGATTTAAAGGTCAAATCTGTGTTGCTTCAGTTAAGATCCAGCTGTGAAAAGTGTGATGAATTAGTGGTGAACAAAGGAATAGGGTCTTTTCTTATTGTTGCATTTATCTCCTGGATTACATTGATTGGCAGAAATACATAAGAGCAAAGGTTTCTGAAGCTTTCTCTTTTTTCCCTATTGACAAGAATGTGATAAGGAAGAGTAAGACCTCTGCACCTACAAGAGAACTGATAGGGACAAAAACAAAATTACCTAATTTTGATAAAACAAATCTTTCCAATGGTCTACAACAATTTAGACTTCAACAATTACTGAATTCTTTAAAACAGTCATTTGACTATTGGCAAGTTCCACGTGAATATGTCAGTGATCAGCAGTGACAGTGTCAATGAATTAATGCAATCTAACTTTTTCTTTCTAGTTACTAATTTGAACATATTAATAAGTATATAATTCAAGAAATAAGATTGTAAAAAGAAACTTTCTGTGAAAAAATAAAAACTATTTTGAAATTGAAATTTTAATATGATTCAATTAGGAAATCAATATTGACACAGAAGGTTAAGTTGATGATGTTCCTTCTTTTACATTAACAGATAACAATATTCAGTGAATAAATGCACTTAACTCACTAATGTGGTTAACTCATTTCTAGACCCCTTGAAACAAATGTTAACACCTCCGGGTACTTTAGTTAGAATTACTCTTGGTCAGATAGCTTTGATAAGTGTGTTAACACATTGAATAAGTGGTTTAAAGAAGTAAAGCTTTGTTTGTTTTCCCTTTTCAAAGTTTCCCTTGGTTTGCTAGATAAGTTTACATAGCTGTACTCTGCCCAGGGAAGCTGGAGTTTGAAGGAAAGGCTTAGCAAAATAAGGTATAATAAGCACACTTAAAAACTGACTATAACAACGTCACTTTCTATTATTGGATTAGCAGTTTGTTGCAATTATTCATACATATTACTACTACTAAAATTGGAAGCTATAAATGAGCAGTTTACATTTAGTCATTTAGCACTGCCCAATAAGAAAAATAAACCCAAAACTTGCAAATCACTCTTTTAGAAATAATAAAACAAAATAAAAACTTCAAGTTATAAAGAAAGTTAAAAGCCTGTTACCGAATATGTAAATTATCTTTTGTTTTCGACTCAGAATTTATGAAGTAATTGGATGTAATTGAAAGGTAGAGCTTATACTCAAACAATAATTAATTTTTAAAAGTGCTTATTATATGCTAGACACTGAGCTATATTAGTCTCACAGCAAAGCTAAGAGTCTGATACTGTTATTATTGCCATATACAACTGGGATTGAGTAATTTATAAAAAGTCACATAACAAATACATGTTTGAGTTGTATTTGTTTTTCACGTTTGTCATTGCGCACGAGCTCTGTTTTGAACCTAGGTTGTTGGATTTCTTGATTCCTTGTCTCCATTACACTGCAGAAAACTACCCTATACTAAGATACTAGCATTTGTTTGGTCTTTTAAATATTAAAGATGTTAAGAGTATAAAAAACTTTTTTTGGCATTTGTCTTCTGTTCTACTCATATGGCAATATTACACTTGATCTTAGGCCAATAACTGAGAAGCAATATTGTAATAATAGTTTCATTGCAAATCAGCAATGAATTTAGATTATTACTGACAGTATTATTTCTTATATTATCACACATTCATTTATTGAATAAAGATGTATTTAGCTTTCACTAGGTAAAATTCTATCACCGTAATAAAATGTAGTCCACTTCTAGTACAAGATACAATAGTGAAAAAGACAGACACATTTCTTACCTTTGAGGAGTTAACACTGTATGGAAAATAGACCAAAAACAACGAAATAAAGAAACTTGCCTAGCAATCTGATAGAAAATGTTGATTTTATGCCAGCACATACAAAGATGCTCCATGTTTTCTCATTCAGCACATTGAACCAAGGTCAACCCTTCTTTAGTTAATCTTCTATATAGCAATAGATGCAATATAGTAGTAGTTAAGAATTGCAATTGGAGATAGTCCTCAGTTTATATCTGAGGTTCATTAGCACCTACTTATGAGCTTTACAGACTTGAAAAAATTACATAACCTCTTTAAACCTAAGTTTTCTCATTTGGATAACATAAATCCAAAATTATCAGTTCCATAGGGTTAATGATGATGATAATATTAAGGATTTTAATAACTAAATTTAAATACTTAACACCATGAAACACTTAAATTTTTCTCCTTTATATTAAACTTTTTCATTACATTCAAATAATTTTTCTATCACTTGTGGTTGCTAGGCTTGTTCAAATAGCATTTAATATGCAATTATTGTATGTCATGCTCTGTACTATGCACTGGAGATAAAGCTGAAAAAATAATAGTAGGGGAAAGAGAGATGTGAAACAAACAATTTCAGTATAATGTAGTAATTTGCTTTCTTAATACAGAAAATGAAATAATTATGTTTTTCTCATTCTTTTCTAGGATCCCACATATAATAGTAATCAACTAGTAACTTGAACTAACTGATTCTTGTAAAAAAAAAAAACAAAAACAAAAACAAAAAGCAGCCAGGTCTTAGTAAGAGAAATGATCTCTGTACAAATACATTAACTGGAAGGCAGGCTATATTGAGCTATATCCAGAATATAAAATGATTCAATTAAATAAATATTTTGCTCAGAAAAAAATTTTTAAGAAAAGTTTCTGGCTATGTAGATAGGTTCCAAGTCTGTATTTTATCAAAATATTTAAGTTAGAAACACATCAGCATTTTTACTCTTGAGGTGTTTGGAAGACCTCAAAAGAAGACAATGCCCAACAATGAAATGTACCCTTGATATTTAATTGTTCATGAGAAAGAAAGACCATTATGGCTAAAAGGCTTCTTGCCTTTTTTATACATAGATACTTTTAAATAGCAAAAAAATGAATACTTCAAAATCTGAGCTTATTGCTTAAATTCTTTCTCAGCTTTTATTTTGAGGTTTGCAGGATATGAAAAATATGAGAATGACTTCTTTAGATCAAATTTCTTCCTGTTTAATACATTTATCAGATATCACAGGCAGTTTTTAGCACTAGAACCTCAAAATTATAGTAAATATATTGTATAACAATAGAAAAGAAGTTGCATTATGTTTTCATCATGTTAATCAACATTTCTTACCTAGATAATTCTTTTGGTTCTACTATTTCTTATTCGAACATATGTCATGTTAGTTGACTAAAAATTATTTTATTATGTCAAAATACATGAATTTTATGAATCTAATAGCTTGCATTTATTTTTTAAGGTACAAAGAGCTGCAATATAATATAAGGCCATGGATGAAATAAAACTATGAGAATAAGTGTGCAGTTTAGATCATTATATATAGCTAAGGGCATGCTTTAAAGCTACATTAGGAAATAAAGAATGATCCCAATTTTTTCACAAGGACAATAAATAAACTGAAAAGCAATCCAGATCACATATTTTGAATGTATTAGTTAATTAATACTGCCATTGTGTATAAACAGGAGCACTTCAACACATTGAGCTTCATACAATATAGCTTCACGTTCCTTTTTCTGATATGGACTTATTTCTTAAGTTTAAATGGACTGAGTCCCTTAAATCTAAGTGGGTGGTAGTAGTTTTTGTCTAATTTACATTTGAAAGGCACATTTTCATTTCAAGTCTAAGTGGTTAGATTCTACTCACAGTATTAATTAAATACTTGTTGGGTAGAGCGTGAATATTGAAATTTTCAATAGCGGGAAAAATGACACCAACACCACCGAGCATATCCTTGAATCTGAAGATTGACAGTTCACTGAATTTTGATCCAAATTATCCCTACCTGTGCAGGGGTATCAAGAGGTTAGTAAGAGGTTTAGGTTTCTGGGGAAGAACAGAATTCGGAGCAAGGGACTATTAAATTAAAGAGCATACCCTCTTAAATCTAAATGAAAAATAAGAGTTAAGATAAATGCCAAACCAGAATGAGTGTGGCAAGTTGAATTTGGAAAAAAGAAATTTAAAAATTCATGGCTGGAGAATCAAAGTGGAAATATGTTAGGATCAAATCAGTTTGGGAATTAGGTGCCACTAAATTTTGAGATTATCTTCAAATACATTTGAATATATTTGTTTAGATCTATAATTTCTTATGCTTATAGGGCAGGTAGAGATTTTGAACCATTTTTCATTTCCAGGTAATAATAGCTATTCTTGGTGCCCTATTTTCTGTTAATGACACTGTCACCTTGATGTGGATTCGTAGTCTTCAAGTCATTCATTCATTTTAATAACAATATATGGTGTCCTATGTGTCAAAACTATTTTAGGTTAGGGTTACTGTGCTGAACAAAAAAGACAATGTCACTGTCTTTATAGTTTCTCCATTCATAATGGGAAGACAAAGAAAGCAAGTTAAATATATAAATAGGCAACAGTAAGTGCTATGAAGAAGAATAAAGGAAAGTAAAAGAGTAACTGAGGTCTTGTATTTCAAGAAGGAGATAAGTAATCAGGAAGAACCTTTCTGAGGAGGTGGAAATTGAGAAAAAATTGGAATCCAATTAGAAAGCCAGTCATGTGAAGATCTAGAGAATGAGTGTTCAATTCGTGTTATGTAATATGTGTTGGTCTTCAATAAATCTTTCAGATGTTTTTGTCATCTTTCAAACACACTTCATTCAATCCATTCTGCACACCTCTGATGAATGAATTGCACTAAAACACATCTCTGATTGTGTCGCTCACCTGCTCAAAAGCTCTCAGGGCTCCTCATTGCCTGAAGAGGGAAGTCAAAGTCATCTTAACTGGTGCTTGTGGCTTCTGTGATCCATCATCAACACCAATTCTGCCCTTCTTTTCTATTCTGACCCTTCACATGGGTTCACAGCCACAAAGGGTTATTGACCACTTCTCAATATCTCCCTTTTTCTTACTTTTGTAGAATTTTCATAGCTTTTCCTCCACAAATCAAAATAACAAAACTTATCTAAGGTTTAGTTCAAATGCCTTTTATTTTATGAAACTCACAGATACTCAAAGTAGTGAATAGTCTCTTTGTTCCCTGAACTCTGTCATTTTATATCTGCCTTATTGCTTTTATCATATAAAAGAAGAGAAAGTATCTTAGCATTTTTTATAGTAAGAGAGAGTGAATAACTCTGTAAAGTTAATTTACTTAATAATCTCTTTGGCATTGTTTGTATATTTGTCTTCATCTCCAAACTGGATTATGAGTGTGTCAAAGAGTATATAAGAGTTATCATGCTATCTATCAGGTACTGAACATCCACTGGGTGGTGGCGAAAATCATAGGCATAACTTAGATTTATTGAAATCAAAGAGGTTCTGATTTTCTGGCTTATATTGGGGCATATGGTAAGTGGGTGTATATAAATTATGTGGAGGATAGCAACATGGCTATTCTCTCAGTGTCCAGGGCACTGAGCCTCTGGCTTAGAGAAGCATACTTTCTTCACTGATATGTGCAAGTGGGATATAGGTTTCATATAATGTGGGAATTATGGTTCAAGCGACAAGAATGATCCCAAATTTGGAAATCAATTAAACAATTTAACATATACTTTGGGGCAATTACATAAATTATTATCTTCATAGCATGAAAGTTTGTTGTGGCCAGGAATATCATAAATAAAAATCATAAAATAAATCATTAAGTATACTGCTGTTCCTGCTAATGGAGACAGCAGCATTTGTTCATACCAAGAATTATCTCTAGTTCAAGATTGCCTGAATTTGAATTTTACCTTTTATGACTTACTAACTTCATGATTTTAGGTAGGTTATTTAATCAGTTTTCTTCAGTTACTGTATCTATAAAAGATAATAATAGTACTTATTATTAAGCACTTGTTTTAGTTCAGGGTGGTATAACAGAATACCACAGACTGGATGGTTTATAAACAATGGGAATTTCTCAGAGACCTGGAGGCTAAGAAGACTAAGATCAATGTGCCAGCAGATTTGGTGTCTGGTGAGGGCCTGCTCCTTGGTTCATAGATGGCCACTTTCTTGCTGTGTCCTCACATGTTGAAAGAATGAGGGAGCTCTCTGAGGTCCCTTTGATAAAGGCACAATCCCATTCATCAGGGCCCCACCCTCATGACCTAATCAAGTGTGAAGGCCCCACCTGCTAACACCATCACATTGCATTGGAGATTAGGATTGCAACACATGAATTTTGGAAGTATACATGCATTCATCTATAGCAGTAGAAGGTAGTAGTGTGAATTAAGATTAGTCCTATGAAGTAGTACAAATAATGATAGCAAATGGTCAATAAACATTTGCTTTTATTCTTATGCATTCAAATAATAATTTTAGCACTCATACCATTGCGTAGTTTGTTCACTATTCATACACCAGTTAGAAAACGCTGTCAAATACAATTATGTCATAGGGTAAGGCATGGACAGTTGAGAAAAGAGTCAAAGGCAGCAAATAAGCAACTGAAGATATAAAAACTCCTTATTTTTGAAAATGTTAAAGGATTTATTATTCAGAAGAACAATGAATAAAATAAGACAGTAGCAAAATTCTTAACATGGTGCCTGTCATGTAGTAATTGCTCAATACAGGTTAGATATTGTGGTGGGTAGAAAAATACTTTCCCAGAAATATTTCTATCCTCATCTACAGACCCTGTGAATATAATATGTAATAGAGTGAGAGGGATTTAATGTTGCAAAATGGAATTAAGTTTACTGATCAGTTGTCCTTGCAATGAGGAGATTATTCTGGATTATCCATGTGGGCCCAGTGCAATCACAAGTGCCCGAACATGTGAAAGAGGGAGGCAGAATAGAGAATAGAAATTCTCTCAGTGGTATAGAGAAATGTAAAAATGCTAAGCTACTGACTTTGAAGATTGAGGAAGAGACTACAAGCTAATGAATGTAGATGACACCTATGAGCTAGAAAAGGCAAGGAAACAAATGCTTCTCCAGAGCCTCTAGAAGGAATGTTACCCTGCTGACATCTTGATTTTAGAACCTGATCTCCAGAGCCATAATGTGTGTTGTTTTTTAAGCCACTGAGTTTGTAGTAATTTGTTATAGCAGCAATAGGAAACTAATACAGATATTGCCATCATCGGTGTTGCTATTATAATCATTACAGTGGTAAGCATGCTAAGGGTGCAGAGATTGTCTAGTGATTCTTTGTAATTGAAAAATAATAAAAAAGGAAATATGTTTTTTTTTTTAAAAAAAAAAAAACCAGAAGCCTTTATAGGCTTTAAGGTTTTATAAGGGGGAAAACTTTCCCAAAGGACCATTAGATGCAGAATTTTGAGAATAAGATCATGCAGAAACTCTTAGCCTAGAGGGATATGCAACACAGAATAATATGTGCAACAATTTCACCTTGGTATATTGTAATATTCTTCTGAGGAAGAGGATGGGTTAGACCTCATTTAAAACTCTAATTCTTTGCTTAATGTAGTTGAAGATAATGATGATTAACTAGAAGAAACTTGAATGAATTCTCCACTGATAATTTCTTCCGGGAAAAAGCACTGGAGTCAGAACTCTGCCAAACAAACCCGTAAATATAGATAGAGCACTCAGTACGCTGATGGGGTCTATATGTAAACTAACTCTAACAGCAAAAACGGGAGGTGGGCTGTAAGCAATGCAGTGGATTCATGCAGCTATATATAGTCTCTCCCTCCACTTCCCAGCTGCCAGCTCCTCTGCTATGGCTTTTTTTTTCTTTCTCCTCCTCTCAATACTCTTTCTCCTTCCCTCTTTCTCTCTCCTGTGTATATCTTCTTGTTATTCTGTTGATCAATGTTGTATTGGGGTTTGACTAAATTAGTTACTTGTATCTGCATTCTTTCTGAACTTTATCTGTAGTAATTAGATAGAGCCATGTCAGGCAAGACCTACCAATGCTTTCTGACAAGAAAGTAGTTTCTGAGTGCCTAGGTGGCACCTGGGACTGTGGAAGAAGTAGCTAGAATATTAGGCAGAGAGCTACAGAATTTAATCAGAGTGTTTAGGGCAGAATATCATCAGGTTTAAAACAGTTCTTGATTTCATTCACTGGGCAATCCAACAAATACATTGATTATAATCATCAATACTTTTGGAATGAATTTAGATTAGATCCTACCATTATTCAATGGTACAAGCATCAAATTTTATAAAGTATTTCATTATAATATTTATAATGGAGGCCAGAAGACTTAGACAATCTAGTCCTTCCATGTTCCTCTGCCTGCTTTTATCCTAGCCACACTGGCAGCTGATCAGATGGTGCCCACCCAGTTTGAGGGTGAGTCTGCCTCTCCCAGTTCACTGACTTAAATGTTAATCTTCTTTGGTGACACCTTCAGAGACACACCCAGGAAAAATACTTTGTATCCTTCAATCTAATCAAGTTGACAGTATTAACCATCACAAGTCCATCTCTTGTCAACTTGAACCCATACACATCTGAGATCATACATAATCTTTAAATAAAGACAATAATAAGGTCATAACTATGCCTAATGTAATACAGCTATCATTCTTACAACTGGAAATGCATCAATCCTCAACTCAAATGCTATTACATAAAGTTAACGACACTTAAATGTTGATACGAATTCAATAAATTTTATGTCACATGATAAAGGAAAAATAAAAAAATGAAGATATTTTCCTAGTACAAATGTATGAATGCACCAACATGTTCTTAACAAAATACGGAGGAAATACTCATGACAATTACAATCCTCATTTCTGCAACTGGTCACATGGCTGTAGCTGGTATTGATGACTACTTTCTTCTACTACTCATTCTGCATTCCCCTTCCCTTCAGCAAGCACCTCAGCAGGTTGTAGTTTTTTACCTGCTGGGGTGACTAAAACCTTCATTCCTGAGGAGTCTGGGCCATTTGCAGTCTTTCCTGGATTGGGTTGTTGTAGTTTCCCATTGACATTAATCACAGGGCATGGTAATACTAAGAGATGCCCTAAGGGATCTCTTATATTCCACACAGACTCTTCCTTACCTCCATTGTAAAGTAGTATACGATTTCATCTGACAGTCAAGGTCAATCACCCCAGCCAACACTGTAACTTCCTTCTTACCCTGTTGGCTTACAGGTAGAAGGAGCCCAAAGTGGCCAGGGGGCAATCTTAACTTCCAGTTAAATGGAATCATTGTTGTGTTTCCTGGTGGTGGTGTTCCTCCCTCTGGAACTAAGACCTCTAGGCTAGCAAAACATGATCTCACAGGAACAGGAAGCAAAAATTTTGCTAGTGGGTCACTAGGGGTGATGGTGAGTGGTGCCACTTCCACTTCCACTTTCACCCCTTGATTCCTGGAACCATGAATAATCCTGGTTATGGAAGAAACAGTTACATATATCGGACGTTAATTCTGAGCATATACGACTTCTGGAAAACTTTGCCCCAGCCCTGCAAAGTATTGTCACCTAGTTGGCATTGTAATTGTAACTTCAAAAGGCCATTCCACCATTCTGTCAATCCAGGTGCTTCAGGATGCTGGGGAACATGGTAAGATCAGTGAATTCCATGAGCATGAGCACACTCCTGCTCTTCTTTAGCCATAAAGTGAGTGCCTTGGTCAGAGGCAATGCTATGTGGAATACCATGACAGTTGATAAGACATTCTGTGAGTCCACAGATGGTAGTCTTGGCAGAAGCATTGCATGCAGGATAGGCAAACCCATATTCAGAGTGTCTATTCCAGTGAGGATAAACCGCTGCCTTTTCCATGTTGGAAGAGGTCCAATATAATCAACCTGCCACCAAGTAGCTGCCTGATCATCCCAAGGAATGGTGCCATATCAAGAGATCAGTGTTGGTTTCTGCTGCTGGCAAATTGGGCATTCAGCAGTAGCCGTAGTCAGGCCAGCCTTGGTTAGTGGAAGTCCATGCCACTGAGCCCATGTGTTACCTCCAGCCCCTGCCACCATGGCCACTTCGTTCATAGGCCCATTGGGCAAATACAGGGGTGGCTGGGGAAAGAGGCTGAGTGGTGTCTACAAAATAAGTCACTGTCACAGACACACCCAGGAAAAATATTTTGCATCCTTCAATCCAATCAAGTTGACACTCAATATTAATCATCACATGCTGATACTCATGTTTTATAACTACCATTTTTCCCTTCTCTATCAAGTTGTGTGTATTCTCTTCATTATTTTTTCTTGTTCTTTACTTAAGCATCCCATGTGGCTTTAAAAATAAACTATTTTTAATTGAGTGTAATTAGACGAGTAAGAACTTTCTGGAAAATTGCCATTTAATGCATATGCATAAGGCCAAGATATTCTTTACTAATTCTCAGTGAAGCATCTTTCTTAATCAAACTAAATTTGCTCCTCAGAGATTAATTTGTATACCTAGCGAAATTTTATTTCAATCAAATGGAGAGCCTTTCAATAAAATTAATTGATTGATTTATTTTATTTGTAAGGTATATTTTAGCTCAGAATATATGTGGCTAATATTATTTCTTTGATTCTGTGAAATGATTTCATTTAAAAGTATTACAGGTAAGAGCCTACGACCTTCTGCCTCAGAATATACCTTAGGCATATAATAATGGACCAATAAATACAGCCTATTGTGTCTTAATGCCATATTTCCAATTCATTGTAAACAATTCCTTTCCAAAGATTTGCTATGAGCAATTTAGTATTTTATCTTTCTCTATCACTAACTTAATCTCAGTTAGACTTCTTTCTCTAGCAGAATGTCAACCAGTAGTTTAGCCCTTACATTTTGTTTTGCTTTGTTTTTTGTTTTGTTTTAATATTTCCTCTATAGTAGATTGCAATAATTTCTGACAGTGAATGTTCCTGATTCTTATTCTTTTATTGGGTTTCCTTTAAAACCCAGGCTAAAATACTTATTATTTATCATATGATTGGATTTTTGCTGTACTGTTTGTTACTTTACAAATGATGGTAGGTGATTAATTTTGATTTGTTTATATCTAAATTATTCTAGAAAAAGAAAGATTATGTATGACTGAAAACCTTAACATTTTTATGAAAAAATATTTTAATCAGATTTATTTTAAAATTTAATTTTGATTTTTATTTTGTTTTAATCAAATTTGCTTATTCATATTAATCAGATAGAATTATATAAACACACATAAAATTGTATGTTTGCAATGCATTTGAGTTCACAAATGCTTTGTAAGAAGTTGCTCATCCAAAAGATATTTATTGATAATATCCCATTTTTCAAACATGAATTCTGTCTTGAGTAAGCTTACAGTTCACTAAGAAAGATAAATTAGCATTGTTATTTTTCCATTTGGGTAACCACATATAGGTAGCTTAGGGTATGGAGTCAGACTGCCTGTGTTTATATTCCTGCCTTATTTGTTTCTAGATACACCACCTAAGGCAACTTTTAGTAGTTTAGTTATCTATAAAAGGGAGAATAATTATGGTACTTGCCTTATAGAGTTATTTGGGCAACAAAATATATTATTAATAATAATAGTCAAAGTAATAATGATAGAAAGCACTTATTTATTTCTCATTAAGTACTAGGCAGTGTTTTAAAGACTTTACTCAAAGTGAGAAATTAAGTAGATTGTTCCAACTCATGCAAATACTTCAAGATGCAGAGCAGAAGATTGAACCTCAAATTACCTACTTCCAAGGGCACTTGAACATCTCTCATATTATATATATATAGATAGATAGATCTATTTTATATGTATCTACACATACATGATAAATTTATTGTTATATAATTTTTGTTATTTGAGTATATACATATACATAATATATACATATATAAATTCTCTAAAGGGAATTGCTTTCGCTTTGAATGATGATGATGTTAATGGTATTATAATGATATATAGTTAAAAATGACATTCTCAACTCTATTTTCTAACTTTATCAACTGCATAAGTAAATATATAGCAAAAGTACTTTCTGTTAAATTTTGCTTTTGTTGTTTTACCTTTTCCTTTCAGTTTTGAAACATTAACTACTAGAATGAATGCATACTGTAAGGCACCTACTCCTTATTTTTCAAATTAAAACTTTAATTGAATTTGGTCCTTGATTGACTATCGCTAAACATTTGTTCTGACTAGCAATATTATGTTTACAAGTCTAATAAAAAGAGCAAAATGTCACATAAAGATATTTGTTTTGTAAAATAGTAATTATTTTTCTGCCAAGTTATATTTTTCTATGTCACTGGGCAAATTGTAGGTGGCTTGGTATAATAGAAAGTGAATTTTTTATAAAATATTGTTATAAGGAACTTTTGAAACTTTATGATAATTTCAAAAAAAAAAAGACTGAAACAGTTTTTAAGCAACCCATATTTTTAGACTGTGTGTTGAGTAAGTTGGTTATACAGTTGTTCCTTAGTACCTGTGGGGAACTGATTCCAGGACTCTGCTTGGGTTCCAAAATTCAAGGATGCTCAAGTCCCCTATATAAAATGGTATATTATTTGCATATAACCTATTCATATTCACATACTTTAGATCATCTCTAGATTATTTATAAGATAAAGTACAATGTAAATACCATGTAAATAGCTGTTATACTATATTTCTTTTGCATTCTATTTATTGTTCACTTGTTAATTTTATTATTATTCCTAATATTTTTGAACCATTGTTGATTGAATCCATGTATACAAAGGCCTGACTATTTAGATATATTAAGTTACATTTTGCCTAAAGCTGCCTCCATAAACAGGAAACTTTAACTTAATATGTAAACAAACAGCATCCTACCTTAAGTAACTACTTGTAACAAGTAGTTGAGTCTCAGCCAATCATAGGAGCCAAACTTGCAGCCAATCACAGGCTGCAAACTGCTCAGACATGTCCAAATATAGCAAAAACCAGCTCTAACCAAAAAGACTGTTTCTGTCTGTCACTTTCTTTTTCTATCTGTAAATATGCTCTGTCCTCATTGCTGGGTAGAGCTCTCTGAACCATCACTAATCAAGGGTGCTGCCCAATTCATGAATCGTTCCTTTGCTGAAATAATCTTCACCAAATTTAATTTGTCTAAAGTTTTCCTTGTAACATTTTGAATGAAAAGAAGGTGTATCTACATTCAACAAAAACCAGAGAGGTTGAGTTTTTAGAGCATTTCTTTTTTTCACTTCCTCCTCAGAAGACAATAAAAAAGGATAAGTGAACATTTCATACAAAAGCCATCATTTATTCCCTAAATTCAACACTACTGAAGTATAAAACCTATTGCAATAGGCTTTGCCAAAGACATTCAGAAAGTCTAAAACCTTCTTTTTCTATAAAAGATATTATTACTTCTGTAACATCTTCAAAGAAACAAAATGTTATTTATTTCTTCTCTTAGAGACCCTACACTTGTAGAATATATACTGGGCAAAAAAAGCAATAAGACAACGAGAGTCTCACTGCTGAAAGAGAGAGAAAAAAATAGCCAAAGATTACATATGAAAGAGACAGAGGGAAATACAGGAAGAATACATAGGTATTAAAAGTTTATACATCCATATATCTAATAGATATTCATAGATATAGATAAGGTCATAATGTGATTAATTTTTTACTAAAATATGTGAATGTGTCCATCTATTTTATATAGCTCCATTCTGGAATGCAAATATTGTTTTAATTTTTACTCAATACTGAGGCATAAAATGCTATAAAATTTTTACAAAGTTGTTTTGAAGTTTTAAAAAGTATCAATAGCACTATTCAAATGTTTAATGTGCATTAAATAGTACTTCTATGCAATCATTTTGTATTTCTAGTAGATTTAACATGTAGTATGCTTAGAGTTATGATTCTTCCAGACATACTATTTTCTTGAAGCAATTCCTTTGGTTTTAAAACATTGTTTTCCAATAATAAAAATGGAAAACTTTTTTTTTGTTTCCCAAAAGAAGTGACATTTTGAAATGAGGAATGAATATAAGCTTTAAATAAATTGCATATAATTTACAATTTCCAATCTGGCATTTAAATAGGGATACACAATTCAAAATATGTTCTCATTACATGGTTTAGGTTTCAAGTATAAGCCGTTGTTCATAATCTTGCATCTCCATTAAAATGTCTTGTTTCCATCCTAAATATTACAACAGATCCTTAAGATACAATGTAAAACATATGTCGTTAATTAGCTAAGCAATAATGGTGCATTGTTTAGTCAAAATGAAGGTGTATTTCATTTTGGAAATGCTGAAATTCTCTCTTAAAATATTGCAGCATGTATTTTATAATGATTACTAAATATGCATTTCTCTGGTATAGATTTTTCTTTATAAAGATAATTTTATCAAATATTGTTAATATATGACATTTATAAACTGTGGGCCACCAACTGCCTTGGATTGTTAATTAAAACTCTTCGTTACTCAAATGTGTTGTTCATATTCCATGTTCCTATGCTCTTAAAAATACTTATTTTTTACATATTTCTATGTTGGTTAAACAAAAAAAAAATTATTGAAAGGCCCATGGCACAAAAGATCATATGACTTAAAAGGTAGTCAGTGATTTATGACACTGTTACCACCCATCATTGAGTAAATGAGGCTTGAAACTGACTAATGTTTCTCTTCAGTTTGTTGGAAACATTTATAACTTTCTCCAGGGATTTTTCATTGCTATATTGTAAAGTAGTGAAGAAAAAAAAATATTGAACTGTTACTTAGTTTTAATTACATTTGAGAAATACTTTTGACTTAATATTATTGAGAATACTTTTGATTTAGTGAACTTCTTTTGCATATTTTAGACAACATATGTATTGATAAAGGCAAACAGCATCAATAATAATATTCATTTTAAACCATCAACATTTCTTCAAATTATTAGTTTATTGTTTACTATTTTGCTATGCCTGTGTCAAATAATAAAAAATAAGTTAGATTCTCCAAATTTCTTTAGAAACAGTTCAAGCCTACTGAAATAAAGACACGTAGATGACATTATAGTTTTAGCTGTTCCACAAAGTGGCAAATAGGATGGACATTAACTTTTAAAAGTTGTGTTACTTCTAAAGGAAAAAAAATGTATGTGAAATAACTGATATTTTTGCTATGATATTAAGAGATATCTCAATGCACATTCTCAACTTCTATTTTGTTTTGTTTAAGTATTATGCTAAAGAGCAGGACTTCATATTATCTTTTCCAAAACTGATCCTAAACTGTGGTCATGCCTCAATCTTAATGTTCAGTGCAATGGAAATTCATTTACATTAATTTCTGAGGCAAATAATTTATTCTTTGCAAAACTTACAAAGGACAAAAATTCCAGTTCAAGGACTAAGGGTAAGAAGAAGTAAGGAAGATCAATTCTAAATACAGCACCAATGCTTATCTCTCAGCTTCAGTCTTTTAGGAGTCTGAAATAAAATACAAATGATAATGCACAAAATTTACTTAAAATTGAGCAAGTCGTTGAGAATTCAAAGCACTATTATTCTGGAGAATATGTAGCAGAACAGTGGTTATGACTGAAAAATCCCGACAGATTTTGATTTGAATCAACCTCTGTTACTTTAGGTATGTGATCATGAGTCAGTTACTGTTTCTGAGGCTGAGTTCAGTATCTAAATTAGGATTATAATAATAGCTATGTTTTTGTTTACCCTCCAGGAAAAATAAAATACAATATATAAAGGATTAGCACAGTGGCAGGCACAATTAAGTTATTAATAAACTAGTTATCTAAATGTATACTATAGTATATTGTTTAAGAGCTTGAGCTCTACTTTCAGGTAAAATTTATTTTTGATCTACGCTGTGTTACTGGCTAAGAGACCTTGGGAAAGTTTTTTGAGATTTTCTTATTTAACTTTCCTCATAACAGAAAAACAGATAAGTAATAGTACCTACATTAAAGATATGTTTGGATGCAATAATGTAAGTAATGCACTTCTATGCCTGACACATATTAAGTTCTTAACAAAATGTTACTTAAATTATTCCTGCTGCTGCTGTAAGCTATTGAAATGTATGTTTCTTATTTGAGGATACAATAAACTGTGTTAGAGCACAAAATATGTTTAACAGGTTTAGCTAAAAGTTGGAGTTGCCTACATCTGGAATACTACAGAAGAAAAAGAGGATATTCTGTGTTGGCTTATTCTTTTCTTTTTTTTCTTTTTTTTTTTTTTTTTTTTGACAGAATCTTGCTCTGTTGTCCAGGCTGGAGTGCAGAGGTGCAATCTCGGCTCACTGCAAGCTCTGCCTCCCGGGTTCATGCTATTCTCCTGCCTCAGCCTCCTGAGTAGCTGGGACTACAGGCTCCTGCCACCACGCCCGGCTAATTTTTTTGTATTTTTAGTAGAGGTCAGGTTTCACCATGTTAGCCAGGATGGTCTTGATCTTCTGACCTCGTGATCCGCCCACCTCGACCTCCCAAAGTGCTGGGATTACAGGCGTGAGCCATCGCGCCTGGCTTATTCTTATGCCTTCAGTGGGCCTTGATGACACTGGTGGTTTCAGCACCAGCACAACACAGAGATATCAAAACACCATGTCACCCCCACAAAAAAAAAAAAAATGCTAGAAATCATGTGGCCATCAAGGAAAACAGCTCAATGGTGCATGTTAATACCCTTTAAGAAATCTGCCAACTATCTACGGAGAAATGGTTGGAAGTCACGCAATAGTCACAACAGGCCAAATCAGAGAAACACTGTTTTGTGTTCATTTTAACCCTAGAATAGCCTAGTACACATGAATTAAATTGCTTTTCAAAATTATTATTTCTTCCACTCTCCTTTCCTTCCATAAATCTTATAGTCATTTCATATTTGTTTCTAAAACTAGTCCTCATTTCCTCCTCACGATTATTCACATGAGATGTTCTATGTGGGAAGAGCTGAATGTGTTCCAGACCAAAACACTTCATCACCTTTAAGAACGCCAGCAGTGGTACCAACATTTCTGGTTTGCTGCCATGTGGCACAGATGTCTATAAAAGCACTAGCAACTCAGGGTGACGACATGCCACAGTCAGCTTTCCTCCTAAATAAACAATTCAAAGTGGGTGAACAAATAGCATGCTCTTTTAAAAAATAGATTGTCTCCATTATTCCATCGTTTGCCTGAGAAAAGCATGAAAATGATGATATGAAAAACCAGCTCACAATCTGACTCAAAATGATTCAATTCCAGACCCAATACATAAGAATAATGGATTAAATGCATACCTCAACTTAAATCAAAGAAAATATTAAGTGCTAGTAAGAGGTGAAGCCGGCTGTACTTCCTGGGTTGACTGGGGACTTGGAGATCTTTTCTGTCTAGATAGAGGATTGTAAATGCACCAATCAGCACTCTGTGTCTAGCTAAAGGATTGTAAATGCACCAATCAGCACACTGTGTCTAGTTAAAGGATTGTAAACAAACCAATCAGCACTCTGTTATCAGCGCTCTCTGTCTCGCTAAAGGACTGTAAACGCACCAATCAGCACTCTGTAAAAACACACCAATCAGCGCTCTGTGTCTAGCTAAAGGATTGTAAACATACCAATCAGCACTCTCAAAAAACACACCCATCGGTGCTCTCTGTCTAGCTAAAGGATTGTAAATGTACCAATCAGCAGTCTGTAAAATGGACCAATCAGCACTTTGTAAAATGGACCAATCAGCACTCTGTAAAATGGACCAATCAGCAGGACGTGGGTGGGGCCAAATAAGGGAATAAAAGCTGACCACCCCAGGCAACAGTGACAACTCGCTCAGGTCCCTTTCCATGCTGTGGAAGCTTTATTCTTTTGTTCTTCACAATAAATCTTGCTGCTGCTCACTCTTTGGGTTTGTGCTACCTTTATGAGCTGTAACACTCAGCGCGAGGGTCTGCAGCTTCATTCCTGAAGTCAGTGAGACCATGAACCCACTGGGAGGAACAAACAACTCCAGACGCACTACCTTTAAGAGCTGTAACACTCACTGTGAGGGTGTGCGGCTTCACTCCTGAAGTCAGTGAGACCATGAACCCACTGGGAGGAACAAATAACTCTGGACACGCCACCTTTAAGAGCTGTGACACTCACTGCGAGGGTATGCGGCTTCACTCCTGAAGTCAGCAAGACTACGAATCCACCAGAAGGAATAGATTCCAGACACACTAGAAATAAAAGGAAATGCAAAATTAGAAGAATAAACAAAGGATGACTCTGAGGGATCCCAGTGATGCCTAAATCGCACATCAACTTTAATGGTTAGTCTGAAGATTTAACATTTGCTTCTGGAATTGGTTCAGACTATAGACTCTAGACATAAGCCTTGGGCAGCAGTGAGGACAGTTTTCATCTACCTGCATTGGTGAGAAAAAAAATACAAAAAATTAAGACCTTTTTTACTCATGTGTAGGATATACATTACTCCGGAAGGACGATGCAGAAACCCAAAGTCAAATTAAAATGTAGTTTGGAAACAATGAAAGACATAGGACCCTGGGCAGGGCACTGACTAAATATACCTCATACGGACAATTTCACAACAAAGGGTACTGACGGAAAACAATGCTACTGCAAATGAACTTATATGACATTTCATAAACCACAGTAGAAAATGAAGTAGACTTAAAAAAAGACTTTCAGAAAAGTATGCTTAAAATCACCTAGAAGTAAAAGAAAGAAATGAAAAGTATAAGATTAGCTGCACATAGAAAATATAGGGCAACTTAATACAGAATAAAAAAAGAAACTCTAGAAATGGAAAACACAATTAAATTTAGAATAATGGAATTATATTTAAAAAGCAAAAAAGAACACAGTTGAAGGGTTTATTTAATATGATATAAAGCAGCTGAGAAGAATGTTGAGTAACTTAAATGTAGACCTGAGAAAATCATCTGGAATGCAATGAAGAGAAATAAAGAGATGCAAAATATGAAAGATAAAATGAACGTGGTATATATAATGAGAAGGGCTTCCATGTCAATAGGCATTTCAGAAGGAAAAAGTGAAGAAAATGGTAAAGAAGTAGAGTTTAAAGGGATGATAATAGAGGACTATTTCCTTTTCAAGAGTTAAAAAAAAATGCATGAGTTCTCACTCATGGACATAGAGGGTAGAAGAATGATTTCCAGAAGCTGGAAAGGGGAGTCGTTGGGGAGGGATGGGAGGAAGGTGGGGATGGTTAATGGATACCAAAAAAAAAAAAAAAAAAAATAGAACGAATACTACCTACTATCTAATAGCACAATAGGGTGACTATAGTCAATAATAACTGTTTACTTTAAAATAACATAAATAATGTAATTGGATTATTTTTAACTCAAAGGATGACTGCTTGAGGGGATGGATATCCTATTTTCCATGATGGGCTTATCTCACTTTGCATGCCTTATCAAAACATCTCATGTACCCCATAAATATATACACCTAGTACGTACTCACAAAAATTTTCCAAATTTTTTTTAAATTTAAAAAAGAAATCTATGAATTATCAGACTGAAAAATTCTACCAAATCCTGACCATAATTGAAAATGTCAAAAATATTCTACTTCTTAAAATATAAAGGTGAAATTGCAAGACCTCAAAAACTTTGAAAATCTACCAAAAGATAAAAAAGATTTCTTATAGAAAAACAATAATTAGAATTATAGCATAGATCTCATTTGGAAAACAAAAATCAGAATATGGTAGATAACTTTAACATACTGAGGTGAAGGAAATGTCCATTTTAAATGAATGATCACAGACCATCCCTTAGAAAATTACTGAAGAATTTATTTGAGAAATAGTTGAATTCAAAAGAAAGTAGTTTTATGCAACAAGTAGTAGTAAACAAGGAAATTATTAAAATACAGGTATGTTTAAATAAAAAGTAACTGAAAATTTTGTAATAATGATGAATGGGGTGCTTAAAAACAAAGTGAAACTAAATTTAGATTACAGGAAAAATTAGATGGGGGAGGAGGGAGATTTAAAGTGACTAATATCCTAATATTATTCAAAAAGAAGTTAAAAGATATTTTGTTAAGCATATATATTAAAATTTAAGAGTAACCACTAAAAGATTAGAAATAAAATTCAAATCTTTTAAAGTTCAATAGAGCAGAACGGAGAAAATTAAAACTAGGTGAGTCCAAGAACAGCAGCAAAATAATCAGGAGGATCAAATATCTCGTTTATCATCATAAACTAAAATTAATGTAACCATTCTAATATGCATTGGAAATATCTAATAATGTTTAAAATGTGCATAGTTAATGACTCAATACAGTAATTCTCTATATGTATTACAGAAACCTTTGGTTTGAATACTAACAGACATAAAGATATTTATTCCTACATTGTTTGTTATATATATTTTTGTTTGTATTTTTATTTTTTTGAGTTGGAGTCTCATTCTGTCACCTGGGCTGGAGTGCAGTGACATGATCTCTGCTCACTGCAACCTCCGCCTCCCAGGTTCAAGCAATTCCCCTGCCTCAGCACCACCACTCCCTACTAATTTTTTGTATTTTTAGTAGAGATGGAGTTTTGTCATGTTGGCTAGCCTGGTCTCAAACTCCTGACCTCAAGTGATCTGCCCGCCCCGGCCTCCCGAAGTACTGGGATTACAGGCGTGAGGCACCACACCTGGCCATTGTTTCTTATAGAAAGAAATGGAAACAACATAAATATTTGTCAGGACAGAAATAGCAATTAAAATGAACAAATTTAATCTGTGAATATAAACCTATATTGTATCTGAAAATATAAGGTTGAGTTAGCCATAGTGTATTGGTTTTCTATGCTGTCATAAAACTTAAGGTAAACTTAGGTGGTAAATGAGATAAATGTATTGTGTTATAGTTCTTTGGGTCAGGATTTGACATAGATCCCATCAGGCTAAGATTAACATGGTGTTAAGGTGTCTTCCTTTCTTTAGGTTCTAGAGGAGAATCTCCTTCTTGCTCACTTAGGCACTGAAAAACTTCAGCTCCATGTAGTCATAGGTCTGAGTTGTCTAATTCCTTGCTGCCTACAGCCTGGGGGCTCTCGTGGGTGTTTAGTGGTCTCTATCTGGTCTTCGCACATAGTGTCCACATTGCAGAACCAGCAAAACACTGCCGAATCCTTCTCACATTACTACATCAATCTTATTCTTTTGCCTTCTATCACTGCATCTCTCAGACTGCAGCCAGTAACATCCTCTAAATGTAAGGACTCATATGATTAGATTGTGACCACCAAAATGAGCCTGCATAATATCCCCATTTTAAAGTCTATAACCTTCATCACCACTGCAAAATCCCTTTGGTGCTACATAGTAACATATCCATAGGTTCCAATAAATAGGACATGGACATCTTTGGGGGCCATTATTCTGTCTACCCAAGTTCAACCTCTGGCCCCCAAAGATTCATGTCCATCCCAAATATAATTACCCCATTCCAAGTTTCCCCACATGTCAACCCATTATAGCATCGATGAAAACTCCAACAATCTCAATGAAATTTTGTCACCTAAAATCCTGAAATCTCATCATCTAAGTTAAGTATGGGTGAGTTGCAGTATAATCTATCATTAGGCACAATTTCTTTCCACGTGTGGGCCTGTGAAACTGCAGAAACATATCAAACAATTTAGAAATTGCCTGAGCCACACAAATTCCATTAAGAATAATCCTCTGCAGCTTATATGTCTGCCCTCTGGTTTTAAGGATCTGCCTTCAGAATCACCCTTTTTTCATAAAAAGGTAGCAGGTCTTTGCAGCTGAGTAGTTTTATCAACCCGTTCCTTGCTGTAAGAATTTTGGGAATTTAATTCCCTTGATTTATTTGATATTTCTTTGTTTCTTTCATTCCAAGTTGGCCGTGTTCCTGCTGATATAAAATTTTCAAGAACCCTGTAGCTCTCCCATGTATGTCACAAAGGTTCATTCCATTAGATGCGAGACTTATTCATAGATCTGCCTTAGATAATCTAGTATAATAGCATCTGTGAAAAAGTTAATATACCCATTAATGTTGTTAATAATGTTATATTATTCCTGGATAATAGATATGCAGTGAAATAAAAACATTGGCCAGAAGTATACACATTGAATTTATAATAGAATTATATTTGTGGTAAATGTTTGGATGGGAAATAAAAAAAGGGATGGTATTTTTTTTAAAGGTCTTTACTTTTATCTGAGTCTTTTAAAAAATTTACTATTCAGGGCCAGGTGCAATGGCTTATACCTATAATCCCAGCACTTTGGGAGGCTGAGGTGGGCGGATCACCTAAGGTCAGGAGTTCAAGACAAGCCTGGACAACATGGTGAAACCCTATCTCCACTAAAAATACAAAAAATTAGTCAGGCTTGGTGGCGGGTGCCTGTAATATCAGCTACTCGGCAGACTGAGGCAGGAGAATCTCTTGAACCCGGGAGGTAGAGGTTGCAGTGAGCTGAGGTCATGCCATTGCACTCCAGCCTGAGTTACACGGGAAAAACCCATCTCAAAAAAAAAAAATTACTGTTCATTCGGAGGCAAAAACATCATATGTGTTAGCATTTGTTAATTCTGAATGGTAGATATCCGGGTGTTTGTTACTTTTGGTCTTTTACATCCTGTAATTTAAAAAAATTACAACTAAATAATTGAAAAAACAATAATACTTCAGGGAGTTGTTTTGATAAATGGATTTTAGGTCAACAGCCCTACAAACATTCTCAGCTGAACATTCAGCAGCTTAACAGTGGGCTTTCTGGAGCAAGCCAAGGCCCCTAAAGATGCCATTTTGCAGAAGCAGATGGGCAGATATGTACTGCCCAAACATTTAGCATATGCTTCTCTGCGGAGATCAGAAAATGCTCTTCAGGTGTCATTTTTGCATGGCCTTAGTTAAAGAAGTAGGCGATGGTTATTAATCTCCCAGAGTATCATCATTTGTCCTATATGAATTTGTCTACTGTAGCTGTTCCAGTACTCTCTTAAACTTTTTAAGAAGCCAGATACACTAACTCTTGAACGTGCTCTTAATTAGGTTTAATTATTCATATTTTCCTTTTTAGATAGGCGATATTAATTGTAAAAATTTAATTCATAAATCAATTAAAATGATATCTATTACTGAATGTGCAAATTATATTAACACAATATCTTTATTTCTATTTATGGAAAAAATTGATTTAAAGAAACCCCACATGTTGCTAACGTTGTCATGATGATATACTCTCCCTATTACTGGTGATGATAATGATGGCGTTCACTCTCACAGTCTCCATGATTTTTGTTTGAGAAAAGAGAAGTACCAAATGTGTACCAACAGCAGTTTTCAGTTAAGGAAACGTTCCTCTCATTAGCCCAAATCTGAGAGGAGTTGGGAAGAGGCATTTTCAGGGAACAGGATAGTGTAATTCTCATTTAGTTAAAAAAATAACATAAACCATAATTCTTCATGGTGTTTCCCTATCTATCCTTTCTATTTTGCTGTTCCCTCATTAATGTTGACTGTGAAATGTATTGACTCTGCTAATTAAAAGGGAAAGGAATTGTAGGCTTACTTAATATAATTTAAGAATGTATCATTCATTTTAATTATATAGAGATCTATTAAATGTATATAGAGATGTGTTCTTTGATAGGAAAGTTATATAGAATGTATTTTATTAAACCAGCATCACCCAATTCCTCAAACAAAATGAAATTCCTTAATGCTTTTTCAGTTCACAGAAATTCCGAGAAACAGGTCATGAATGGCAGTCCAGCACAATCCTACACAAAAATAACATTGTACTATTTAACAAGCTAATCCCATTAACATTTTGGCTTCTTAAACAGTTCCAAATGTGAAAAACCTAGGCAGAAGTCCACAGAATGAAAAGACAAATGCAGGTGAAATTGCATAGAAACTGGAAGGCATAATGTGGCAAGTTTATACTAATAATTTATGACTTTGCCTCCTTAGAAAATACATATTAGAAAATTTTTAAGACAAATGAGTTTCTTGCAATTATTGTTGTCCAACTATTCTACATTTGCAACTTTGTGATATTTTTGTTAGATAAATATTTGAAATCATTTTTCAAAATTTTAATTGGTTGAGTTTTGTTCATACTTTTAATGATTTCCAGTTGTATGACAATATGCTTAGATACGTAATTTTCTGCTTTTTAAAAATTCTTATTCCGTGATTTTCATCATTTCTAATTCTAGGAGATTAGTAAATCACACTTTCATTAAGAGCTCATTTGTAGTATCTAGAAATGCTGGAATTTAACTAGAAAGTTCTACAGTATTTGGAAACCTTAGTTAAATAATCCAGCAAAGAAACAATATCAACAATATTTATAATATACATTTAAACAAACATTTCAATTATGCTACACCCCAACTACTAAATACATCTTATATAAAAAGACACTATAACCAGTATTAATCCACATTAATTCTATTCATTGAGAATTCTATAAATAAAACTTATTTTAGTAACACCTGAAAATATAACTAAAATTCTATAAGAGAAAATCATATTACAGGAGTCAAGGAGTTTTCCAGATATGCACTATCACAATATTTAAGATTATATTTGGATTTGATTTTCACTTCAAATTTAAGAACAAATTATCACCAAAGGCCTAAATTTAACTAAGGTTATATATATCAAGCATCAATTGTTTCCTTTGATAGATGTTTTCTGATTGCCAATTGTCCTACTAAACAAATCAGTTTTTCGCTCAGTGAAAACACCACTTACTACTTTGTTGTGAGTGGGACACACTGATTTTGCTTTTAGACTATTCACGGTTTCAATTACTCCTAACATATAATAATAATAATCATAATAAATAGTAATATTACTAATACTACTACTAATATTTGTCAGCTGTAGTAACAAGCTCCAAATATCAATGACTTAAGACAACAGAGATTTATGTCTTTCTCATGTTATATTCATCATGGTTGGCTACTGGTCTTCTTCAATTACTTTAATTCTGACTCTCACAGTAAGAAATTCTTATCTAGAACATTCCACCCTCAAGTTTAAGGAAAGGAAGCATTTGCTGGAAAGGGTGACGGCATGAAGATTCCAATATATGCCTTTTGGAGAACATATGCATGTAATTTTGTGGGACATATACTATGGGGTAGAATTGTTGAATCATAGAGTAGCTATATAGGCTCAGTCTTAATAGATACTGCCAAATAGTTGTATGAGTGGCTGTAATATTTTATACCCTACTGACTCTGAATGAGTTTCCAAATTCTCACCTACATGTTATATTTTTCATCTTTCTAAATTGTTGTCATGGAAGCATAATATCACATTCTGATTTTATTTTGCATTGCCCTAAAGATGATTAATGTGAGGTCGCTTTTCAGATATTTATTGGCATAACCTCTTTTGTGAAGTGTATATTCAAATATTTTACACTTAAAAGATTGTGTTGGATGATTTTAGCTTATTGATTCATAGTAGTTTTAGTACATTATTTGTCTTTTGTTGTACATGTGCATTGATAATGTTTTCTCATATTCAGTGAATTGCCTTTTCATTCTTGCAAGGATGTGCTTTAATAAACAGAGGTTTCCAATTTTAAAGCAGTCTCATTTACCAATTTTTAGTCATATTTATCAATCTCATGTCATGATTAAAAAATATTTGCTTTTCCTATCACAAAGATGTTTTTCAGTGTTTCCTTCTACAACTTTGTTTTACTTTGCATATTTGCATCTGAAATATATCTGGAATTGATTTTTGTGTATGGTATGAGGTAGGGGTAAAAAGATTCCATATGGATATCTAATTTATCATGTACAATTCCTTGAGAAGATCATTATTTTCCCTACTTCAGTGGAATAGTCTTTTTCTCTCAAATTAGGTGACTACATATAATCTGTTTTTGGATTCTCCATTTGTTCTAGTGATCTATTTTTCTATTTTAAAAACTGACTCCATACTGCATTATTAATCATAAATATGTTTGATATGTCTTCTTGTTACCGGGGGTCCTTGCTCCCAGAGCTCCTAACATGGTGGTGGGCCACTTCCAAAATGGCGGCAGGCCACTTCCAAGATGGTGGCAAGCCTCGTGTTCTCTGACCTGGGGTTCTTGGCCTTGTGGATTCCAAGGAATGGAATCTTGGGCCATGCGGTGAGTGTTATAGCTCTATTAGAAGTTGTGGGTCATGGAAGAGAACCGTGGAACCCAGTGACTAGTGTTCAGCTTGATTAGGACGAACCCAGGCACTTAGCCATGCAGGAACAATGGCAAGCCTTTAGCCTGATCGGGAGCGGCAATGGGTGCCTCGCTGGATCAGGAGCACAGCAGACACCTTGCTGGATCCGGAGGGATGGAAGTCAGCAATGGGTCTGCGACGGCGGCAAAACAGCAGTGGTGGACAGCGAGCAAAAGCTCAGCTTGAGCCGTAACAAACATGGACCAGACGAGTGCAGTTGCAAGATTTAATAGAGTGAAATAGGGTGAAAACAGAGCTCCCATACAAGCGGAGGGGACCCAAAGGGGGTTGTTGTTGCCGGCTCGAATGCCTGGGTTTATATCTCGATCCTTGTCCCTCCTGCTGTGCTCTCAGGCAATAGATGATTGGCTATTTCTTTACCTCCTGTTTTTTCCTCATTAGCATTTTAGTGAGCTCTCTGATTGGTCAGGTGTGAGCTAAGTTGCAAGCCCTGTGTTTAAAGGTGGATGCGGTCACCTTCCCAGCTAGGCTTAGGGATTCTTAGTCAGCCTAGGAAATCCAGCTAGTCCTGTCTCTCATTCTTATATAGTATTTTAAATATTTCCTGTATAAATTTCCTGTTGCTGCTGTAACAAAGTGCCACAAATGTAGTAGCTTAAAATAACACAAGTTTGAGAGGGACATCAGCAAGATGACAGAGCAAAAAATTGCAGCCCTTTTCCCTCATAGAAATACTGATTTAACAACAACATATGAACCAAAATACCTTGATGAGAATTCCATAACCTAGTTAAGAATTTGCAGTACTGTAGGCGAGAACAAATCGAAAACAACAGAACTAAAATGGGTAGAAGAGCAATTTCACATTACCACCACAGCCCATTCCCCAAGGTGAAACACCTCAGTGCTGAGAGAGAAAGCCCTACCAGTAACTACTCCTCAGGGTGGGGGTTGGGAGGGTCATGTGTCCAACCTCCTGCCTATTAGAGTGCTGCCTTAGAAACTAGTTTTTGTCTCACCTCACTTGAAGCACTAACCAAACTGGAATAGTTCAGATGCCTGGGTACCACTGAGAACAAAAGGAAGCAAAAGCGGCTTACTGTGGTTGGCAGAGCTTTGTGCAACCGAGAGAAGGAACAACACGGGAGGAGTCTACCCAAGAGTACGAGGAGTAGAGTTTGCATCCAATATTTCACTTTTGTCAGAGAATTTTCCTTGGGATGAAAAGGTGGTTCAACATACAAAAATAAATCAATGTGAGAATTGGAGAAAACGACAGATAGGAGGCAAGACTAACTTGCAGCTCCTATTTGGATAAACAGAGCAGCCTGTGGAGACTCACATCATGAACTTTTGCTCCAAGAACTACCATAGGAACATACCAGGAAAGCTGAGAGAATCCACAGATACTTTGAAGGAAGTGGATTGCTGCTGCAGCCTCCAGGAGACAGCTGAAAAGCTGTGAGTGCTCAAAGTGTGGAAAGTATGAAAGGGGGATTATCTACCCCTGAACACACATTGTCACTAGGGAACCTGAAAGTCCAGATCATGGAAGAAGGATTTGATCTTACCTGCAGCTGAGATAAATTTAGAGAGCCAAGTGAAATACAGGCGTAGAGAAAGCAGTTGGGAAGCAGTGCAGACATTCCTAGTCCCCAGGGAAGCTATTTCTGACTTTGTCTCAAGACAGGTCCTTTGGGGAAGGCTGCAAGTGGAATTGGAGAAAGACCACAGGGAGAAGGAAACTTCCAGTTGAACTTTGTAACAATTTCAATGGAACGTGACGTTTCCTGGACAGAACTCAGAAAAGAGGGCAAACCAGTTTTGTAGACATGAGCACAGAAGCTGTGGGAGATGTGCAACCAGAAATTCCTGATTGCTTTCCCAGTGGGGAGGCTGGTAGCCTAAAGCAAGGTCTCAGCCCTGCTCACTGGCTGCCTTGAAATAAATTCTGTGCTGCTGGGGAGTGTCGGTGGGGGGTGGGCACAGGGGGAGGTGGGTATGATGAGAGTGAGACCAGTCTTTACAGCTGCATGGGAGCTGGGTGAGGCCTGGCTTTTTCCCATTTCCCTAGTGACAGGCATGATGCAGCAGAGGCAGCCATAATCCCCCTGGGAAGATAACTCAATTGACCTGAGAACCACACCCCTATCCCCCACAGGAGCCACGGCAAGCCCCACCCAAGAAGAGTCTGAGCTCAGACACACTTAAGCCTGCCCTGACCTGATGGTCCTTCTCTAGCAGCCCTGGTAGCTGAAGACAAAAGAAACAATCTCTTGGAAGCTCTATGGCCCTGCCTGCCACTTGAGAAACCCGAGGTCTTCCCAGATCTTCCCTCTGACATAGTCTACCCGAATGAGAAGGAACCAGAAAAGCAATTCTGGTAATATAACAAAACAACATTCTTTCATTCTTTAATACCCCAAAACATACTAGCTCACCAGCAATGCATCGAACCAGGAAGAAATCTCTGAATTCCCAGAAAAAGAATTCAGAAGGTCAATTATTAAGCTACTTAAGGAAGCACCAGAGAAAGGTGAATATGAACTTAAAGAAATTTTTTAAATGTTACAGAGTACGGATGGAAAATTCTTCAGAGAAATAGATAGCATAAATAAAAAACAATCACAACTTGTGGAAATAAAAGATACACTTAGAGAAACACAAAATACACTAGAAAGTTTCAGCAATGGAATTAAATGAGTAGAAGAAAATAATTCAGAGCCTGAAAACAGAGCTTTTGAATTAACCCAATCCAACAAAGACAAAGAAAAAAGAACAACAAAAAAATGAACAAAGCCTCCAAGAAGTCTGGAATTATGTTAAATGACCAAACTCTAAGAATCACTGGTGTTCCCAAGGAAGAAGATAAATCCAACACTTTGGAAAACATATTTGAGGGAATTATTGAGGAAAACTTCCCTGGCCTTGCTAGAGATCTGGACATCCAAATACAAGAAGTTCAAAGAACTCCTGGGAAATTCATCACAAAACTATCATTGCCTATGCACACAGTCATCAGGTTATCTAAAGTCAAGACAAAGGAAAGAATCCTAAAAGCTATGAGACAAAAGCACTATGTGACCTATAAAAAAAATTTATCAGATTAGGTTTAGTAGATTTCTTGGCAGAAACCCTACAAGCTAGAAGGGATAGGGGTTCTATCTTTAGCCTCATTAAAACAAAACAATTATCAGCCAAGAATTTTGTATTCAGCAAAACTAAGCTTCATAAATGAAGGAAAAATACAGTCTTTTTCAGACAAACAAATGCTGACAGAATTTGCCATCACTAAGCCAGCACTAAAAGAACTGCTAAAAGGACCTCTAAATCTAGAAACAAATCCTCAAAATACACCAAAATAAAAGCTTCTTAAAGCACAAATCTCACAGGACCTATAAAACAAATACACAATGGAAAAAAAAAAACAAGGTATTCAGGCAACAAATAGCACAATGAACAGAATAGTACCTCACATCTCAATACTAACATTGAATGTAAGTAGCCTAAATTCTCCACTTAAAAAATACAGAATCGCAAAATTGATAAGAATTCACCAACCAAGTATCTGTTGTCTTCAAGAGACTCACCTGACACTTAAGGAGTCACGTAAACTTAAGGTAAAGGGGTGGAAAAAGATATTCCATGCAAATGAACATCAAAACCAAGCAGGAATAGCTCTTCCTATATTAGACAAAACAAACTTTAAAGCAGCAACAGTTAAAAAAGATAAAGAGGGACATTATAAAATGATAAAAGGACTTGTTCAACAGGAAAATATCACAATCCTGAATATGTATGCACCTAACACTGGAGCTCCCAAATTTATAAAACAATTACTACTAGACCTAAGAAATGAGATAGACAGCAACACAATAATAATGGGGGATTTCAATTCTCCACTGACAGCACTAGACAGGTCATCAAGACAGAAAGTCAACAGAGAAACAATGAACTATACCCTAGAACAAAAGGACTTAATACAAATTTACAGAACATTCTACACAACTAAGAATATACATTCTATTCATTAGCACATGGAACATTCTCCAAGGTAGACTGTATGAAAGACCACAGAACAAGTCTTAATAAATTAAAGAAAATAAAAATTATATCAGGTACTCTCTCAGACCACATTGGAATAAAATTGGAAATCATCTCCATAAGGGAACCTCAAAACCATGCAAATACATGAAAATAAAATAACCTGCTCCTGAATAATTGTTGGGCCAACCATTAGATCAAGATTGAAATTAAAAAATGCTTTGAACTGAAAGATAATACTGACACAAACTATCAAAACCTCTGGGATACAGCAAGGGTGGTGCTAATAGGAAAGTTGACAGAGTTAAATGCCTATATCAAAAAGCCTGAAAGAGAACAAATAGGCAAACTAATGTCACACCTCAAGGAACTAGAGAAACAAGAAGAAACCAAACGCAAACCCAGTAGAAAAAAAGAAATAACAAAGATTAGAGCAGAACTAAATGAAATTGAAACAAACAAAACAATACAAAATAGAAATGAAACAAAAAGCTGGGACTTTGAAAAGATAAGTAAAATTGATACACCATTAGTGAGATTAACTAAGAAGAGGGAAGATATCCAAATAAGCTCAATTATAAATGAAATGGGAGATATCACAACTGATACCACAGAAATACAAAAGATTATTCAAGTTATTCAAGGCCAGTATGAACACCTTTACATGCAAAAACTAGAAAACCTAGAGGAGATAAATAAATTCCTAGATATATACAACATTCCTAAATTAAACCAGAAAGAAATAGAACCTCTGAACAAGGACCGGTGCCATGGCTGACACCTGTAATCCCAGCATTTTGAGAGGCAGAGGTGGGAGGATCACTAGAGTTCAGGAGTTTGACACCAGCCTGTGCAACATGGTGAAACCCCATCTCTACTAAAAATACAAAAATTAGCTGTGCATGGTGGTGCATGCCTGCAGTCCCAGCCACTCAGGAGGCTGAGGCAGGAGGGTCACTTGAACCCAGGGAGCAGAGGTTGCAGTGAGCAGAGATCACACTATTGAACTCCAGCCTGGGCTTCACAGTGAGACTCTGAAAAAAAAAAAAAAAAAAGAAAGAAAAGAAAAGAAACTCTGAATAGTGCAATAACAAGCAGTGAGATTGAAATGGTGACTAAAACATTGTCAACAACAAAAAAAGCCCAGGACCAGATGGATTCACAGCTGAATTCTTTCAGACATTCAAAGAATTGGTACCTATCCTATTGACACTATTCCAAAAGACAGAGGAAGAGGGAATACGCCCTAAATTATTCTATGAAGCCAGTATCACCCTAATACCAAAACCGGGAAAGCACATAACAACAACAACAACAAAAGAATACTGCAGACCAAGATCCCTGATGAACATAAATGCAAAAATCCTCAACAAAATACTAGCTAACTAAATCCAACAGTGTATCAAAAAGATAATCCACCACGATCAAGTGGGTTTCATACCAGGGATACAGGGATGGTTTAATATACACAAGTCAATAAATGTGATATGCCACATAAACAGAATTAAAAACAAAAATTACATGTTCATCTCAACAGCCACAGAAAAAGCGTTTGATAAAATTCAGTATCCCTTTATGATTAAAACTCTCTGCAAAATCAGCATAGAAGGGGCATATATTTATAAAAGCCATCCATGAAAAACCTACATCCAACATTATACTGAACTGGAAAAAGATGAAAGCATTCTCCATGAGAACTGGACCAAGACAAGGATGCCCACGTTCACCACTTCTATTCAATTTACTACTAGAAGTCTTAGCCAGAGCAATCAGACAAGAGAAAGAATAAATTGCACTCGTATTGGTAAAGAGGAAGTCAAACTGTCACTGTTTGCTGATGATATGACTATATATCTAGAAAACTCTAAAGACTCATCAAAAAAGCTTCTAGAACTGATGAATAAATTCAGCAAAGTTTCAGGATACAAAATTCATGTACACAAATGAGTAGCACTGCCTTGCACCAACAATGACCAAGCTGACAATCAAATCAAGAACTCAGACCCTTTAACAATACCTCCAAAAAAATAAAATACTTAGGAATATATCTAACCGAGGAGGTGAAAGAACTCTACAAGGAAAACTGCAAAACACTGCTGAAGGAAATCATACAAGACACAAACAAATGGAAACACATCCCATGCTCATGGATGGGTAGAATCAATATTGTGAAAATGAACATACTTCCAAAAGCAATCTACAAATTCAATGCAATTATCATCAAAATACCACCATTTTTCACAGAATTAGAAAAAATTATCCTACAATTCATATGGAACCAAAAGAGAACCCACATAGCCAAAGCAACACTAAGCAAAAAGAGCAAATCTGGAAGCATCACATTACCTGACTTCAAACTATACTATAAGGCCATAATCACCCAAATAGCATAGTACTGATATAAAAATAGGCACATAGACCAATGGAACAGAACACTTAAATAAAGCCAAATATTTACTGCCAACTGAACTTCAACAAAGCAAACAAAAGCATAAAGTGGGGAAAGGACACCCTATTCAACAAATGGTACTGGGATAATTGGCAAGCCACATGTTGAAAAATAAAACTGGATGTTCATCTCTCACCTTATATAAAAATCAACTCAAGATTGATAAAAGACTTAAGTCTAAGACCTAAAACCATAAAAATTCTATAAGATAATATCGGAAAACACTTTTGTAGTCATTGGCTTAGGTAAAGACTTCATGACCAAGAACCTAAAAGCAAATGCAACAAAAACAAAGATAAATAGATGGGACTTAACTAAACTAAAAAGCTTCTGCACAGCAAAAGAAACACAGCAGAGTAAACAGACAACCCACAGAATGGGAGAAAATCTTCACAATCTATACATCCAACAAAGGACAAATATCCAGAATCTACAACAAACTCAAACAAATCAGCAAGAAAAAATACAAACAATCCCATAAAAAAGTGGGCTAAGGACATGAATAGACAATTCTCAAAGAAGATATACAAACAGCCAACAAACACATGGAAAAACGCTCAACATCACTAATAATCAGGGAAATGCAAATCAAAACCACAATGTGACACCACCTTACTGCTCCAAGAATGGCCATAATCAAAAAAATCAGAAATAATAGATGTTGTTGTGGATGTGGTGAAAAGAGGATACTTTTACACTGCTGGTGGGAATGTAAACTAGTTCAACCACTGTGGAAAACAGCGTGGAGATTTCTTAAAGAACTAAAAGTAGATCTACCATTTGATTAGTAGTAGCAATTCTACTACTGGGTATCTACCCAGAGGAAAAGAAGTCATTATACAAAAAAGATGTTAGGTTGGTGCAAAAGTAATTATGGTTTTGACCACTACTTTTAATGGCAAAAACCACAATTACTTTTGCACCACCCTAATACTTGCACATGCATGTTTATAGCAGCACAATTTGCAGTTGCAAAAATATGGAACCAGCCCAAATACCTATCAATCAATGAGTGGATAAGGAATATGTGATACACACACACACACACACACACACACACACACACACACACCATGGAATACTATTCAGTCATAAAAAGGAATGAAATAGTGGTATTCACATCTGAACAGTTGGAGACCATTATTCTAAGTGAAGTAACTTGGGAATGGAAAACCAAACACCATATTTTCTCATTCATAAGTGGGAGATAAGCTATGAGGATGCAAAGACATAAGAATAATACAATAGACTTTGGGGACTTGAGGGAAAGGGTGGGAGTGGGGTGAAGGATAAAAGACTACACTGCTCAGGTGATGGGTGCACCAAAATCTCAGCAATCACCAGTGAAGAAATTACTCATGTAACCAAACACCACCTGTTCCCCCAAAACCTACTGAAATTAAAAAAAAAAAAACTTCAGACCAAAACTAAATAAAAATCAACTTCCAATAAATAAATAAATAAATGTGATACATCATATTAAGAGAATGAAGGATAAATATCACATGGTCATTCCAATAGATGCAGAAAAGTTGTTTGACAAGATTCAATGCCCATTATGATAAAAACACTCAACAAAGTAGAAATAGAAGGAAACTACTTCAACCTAATAAAGTCTATGAAAAATTCATAGCTAGTGTCAAAAGTGAAAAACCAAAAGCTTTTCTTCTAAGACCAGAAACAAAGCAAAAATGTCTACTGTAGCAACTTCTATTCAACATAGTACTGAAAGTCCTGACCAGAGCAATAGTAAATAAAAGAAAATAAAAGACATACAAATCAGAAAGGAACAAATAAAATAATATGTTTACCCATGATATAATATTATGCATAGAACACCTAATGATTTCATTAAAATTAACTTGTTAGAACTAATAAGTAAATTCAGTAAAATTGTCATATCCACAATCAACTCACAAAAAAGTTTTGTTTGTATACACTTGCAACTATCTGAAAAGACAATAGAGAAAACTATCCCATTCACAATAATATAAAACAGTTAGGAATAAAAATAGGGAGATGAAAGAGTTGAAAACAACAAAACATTGCATAAAAAAACAAGACACAGATAAATGCAAAGGTATCCCATGTTCATATCACTGTTTTATAGAAATATTAAAAAGTTCTAAACTTTACATAGAACACAAAGGACTCTGAATAGACAAAACGATCTTGAGAAAGAAAAAAAAAGCTGAATTATTCACACTTCCTGATTTCCAAATATGTCAGAAAGCTACAGTAATCAAAACAGTATGGTACTGGCATAAAGGCAAGCATATAGACCAATGGAGCAGAAGAAAGTCCAAAAATAAACCCATGCATAAATGGTCAATTGATCTTCAACAGGTTTGCCAAAAATACACAGTAGGAAAAGGATTGTCTCTTCAAAAAATTGTGTTGAAAAACTGGATGTACAAATGCAAAGAAATTAAATAGAATTATTATCTTACACTATATTAAAAATTAACTCAAAATGAATTAAATACTCAAACCTAATACCTGAAACTGTAGAACTAAAAGAAAATATATGGGAAAAGTTTCATTTAATTGTTCTTGGCAATGATTTCCTGAATGTGACACCAAAAGTAAAGGCAACACAATTAAATATAAACAAGTGCAACTATATTTAACTAAAAATCTTCTTTATGTACAGCAAGGAAAACAATCATGAGAGTTAAAAGGCAACCTACAGAATGGGAAAAATATTTGCAGACCACATATCTGATAAAGGATTAATATCCAAAATATATAAGAAACTCTTACAACTCAATAGCAAAAACAAATAATCAAATTAACAAATGAACATAGAACTTCAAAAGAGTTTTCTTCAAAGACAACATACAAATGGCCAGGCTGGGTGCAGTGGCTCACAGAAAGTTTGTAATCCCAGCACTTTGGGAGGCCGAGGCAGGTGGATTACCTGAGGTCAGGAGTTCAAGAGCAGCCTGGTCAACATGGTGAAACCCTGTCTCTACTAAAAATACAAAAATTAGCTGGATGTGGTGGTGGACACCTGTAATCCCAGCTACTTGGGAGGCTGAGGCAGGAGATTCACTTGAACCTGGGAGGTGGAGGTTGCAGTGAACTGAGATCACACCATTGCACTCCAGCCTGGGCAACCAGAGTGAAACTCCATTCTCAAAAACAAACAAACAAACAAACAAACAAACGGCCAATAGTTATGTAAAAATGATCAACATCACAGTGTTAGTCCATTCTTGCATTGCTATAAAGATATACTTGAGGCTGGGTAGTTCATTAAGAAAAGAGGTTTAATTGGGTCATGGTTTTGCAGGGTGTACAGGAAGCATGGCTCTGGCATCTTCTGATGAGGACTCCAGGAGTGTTTACTCATGGGGAAGCTGAAGTGAGAGCTGGAATGTCATATGGCAAGAGAGGTACCACAATATAGATAAGTGGGAGGTCCGAAACTCTTTTAAACAATCTGATTGTGCATGAACTAACTGAGCAAGAACTCACTTATCACCAAGGGGATGGGGCTAAACCATTCATAAAATATCTGCCCCCATGATCCAAGCACCTTCCACTAGGCCCCATATCCAACATCGAAAATCACATTTCAGCATGAGATTTGGAAGGGATGAACATTCAAACCATACCAATCACTAATAAACAAGGAAATGAAAATTAAAACCGCAATGAGATATCATCTCACACCTGTTATGGTGGTCATTACCAAAAACAAAAAAAGGAAATATACAATGTTGGCAAGACTGTGAAGAAAAGTGAAACCTGTGTCCTCTTGGTAGAAATTAAAATGGTGCAGCCATTATGGAAAACAGTATGGAGGTTCCTCCAACACTTAAAAGTAGAACCACCATATTGTTCCAGCATTCCCACATCTAGGTATTTATCGTAAAAAAAAAATGAAGTCAGTGTCTCAAAGAGGTATTTACAGTCTCATGTTCATTGCACTATTATTCACAATTGCTAAGATATGGAAACAACATAAATGTCCATTGAGAGATGAATGAATAAAATTTGATACACACATAAAATGTAATATTTTCAGCCTTAGAAGATAAATAAATACTGTCATATGTGACAACATGGATGAACCTTGGCAACATTATGCTATGTGAAATAGGCAAGTCACAGAAGGACAAATTCTGTATGATTTCACTTATATTTGAGGTGTCTAAAGTACTCAAACTCATAGAAGCAGAAAATAAATTGCAGTTTCCAAGGCCTAGGGAGAGAAGGCAATGGAGTGTTGGTGTTTTATAGATACAAAGTTTCAGTTATGCAAAGTAAAAGAAAGTCATAAATACCTGCTGTGCAACATTGTGCTTACAGTTAATAGTGTATTCTACACTTAAAAGCTTGTTAAGAGAGGAGATTTCATGTTATGCATTGTGATAGTTAATTTTAGGTGTCAACTTGATTGGATTAAGAAACATCTAGATAGCTGGTAAAGCATTACTTTCCGGTATGTCTGTGAGAGTATTTCTGGAGGAGAATAGCATGTGAGTCGGCAGTAGAGAAGATTCACCATCAATGTAGATGGACAGCACTCAATTGACCGGGGGCCTGGATGAAACAACAAGACAAAGTCATGGCAAATTCTCTTTCTTTCTCTTATAGTTAGGATGTCCTTCTCCTGCCCTTGGACATCAGAACTCCAGATTCTCTGGCTTTTGAACTTCGGGACTTGGAGGAGCATCCTCATTTCCTTCCCTGAGTTCTTTGGCTTTTGGCCGCAGACTGAGAACTACACCATTAGCTGCCTGGTTCTGACACTTTTAGACTTGGACTGAGTTCTCCAGTTTGCAGACACTCTGTCATGGGCCTTCTCAGACTCCATAATTGTGTAAGCCAATTACTCTAATAAATCTACTATCTTTCTCTCTGTCTGTCTGTCTGTCTGTCTATCTATCTATCTATCTATCTATCTATCTATTGATTCTGTCTCTCTAGAGAGCCCTGACAAATATATGTTTTTCACCATAATAAAAAATTAACAAACATAAAGTTATTATTATATAGTTATGAGAGTCAGAAGTCTGTAATAGGGTTCACTGAATTAAAATCAACACATCAGCAGAACTGTGTTCCATGTGGAAGCTCTTGGGCAGGACCTGTTTTCTTATCTTTTTCAGCTTCTAGAGGGTACCTGCATTATATGGTTTGTGGCCCCTTTCTCCATCTTCAACTCAAGCATCCTTAGATCTCTCTCTCTTTCTCTGACTCTCTTGCTTCCCTGTTAGATCCGTTGTGATTACATTGGATCTACACGGACATAATTTGCTCATCTCAAAATCCTTAATATCTTCATAGTCTCTACTGCATGCAAGATAACATATTAAAAGGCTTCAAGGATTAAGAGATAAAGAGCTTTGGGGAGAGGGCATTATTTGGTTTACCTCAGTCTACTCTCTAACCTTCAAATAATCTGTTCATCAGAATATTAATATTAATACTTTAATCCCACGCCAACATACCCAATGTCTCAAAATATTACAACATCAACTAGAAGTCCATGATTTTATATAAATCAGCTAAAAAGAACTTATCAATTTGAAATAATCAAAAGGATCAGAATCCAGTTTTAAAGAGTTTATTCAAGCAAAAGGTTGGGAATGGACAATCCAGGAGACACAGACTCCAGAAAAAATGGTTCAGTGTCCTGATGTTAAAAGTTAAGTTCTTGCTTATATAGGCAGAAAAAATAATTAATAATGATAAGATTGCAACATTTTCTATACAAGGCTAGTTTATGTGTTACAATAAGTTATTTAGATACAGCTTATTTTCTCTTTCATACAGCTTGTTTTCTTTTCTTTACAGCTAATTTTCATTTCCTTTCTGATTTAAAAGACTGTATTTAACATTCCATTGTAAGGCAATATAATAGCCATGATGTCATTGTGTGAACAAGGTAAGACGGAATTTAATCTATAATAAAGATCAACAATGAAGTGTGAAGGGGTCTTCCCTGGTGCCCTTTAGTTATTTATATTTTATAAAACAAAGTAAGTAAGGAAGAAGGCTAATCTATAACAGAGAAACAAAGTTTACAGCTACCTACATTACTGCTGCCTAGGTTACAGGTGGCTGTCACGTAACCCAAGCACCATAATCACATTCCTTTAAGGCTCAAAATAATTTAGAGTTCCAACAGCTTGGGTTATGAATTACTTATTTTTACAACCCACGTTTCATCATATAAATTAGGTGTTGTGAGTATTCGAATGAATCCATCCTGGGGAAATTTTTCTTTACTTGTGGACTTATTAACCTCAAGAAACAAATTATCTTTTCCCCAAAATACAATAATGAGATCAGCATAAAATCACAGTTGTAAACATTCATTCAAAAGGGGAGAAAATTGAAGAAAAAGTAATTCACTGGTTCCAAACAATTTTAAAATCTAGTCAGGCATCAGGTTTCAAGGCCAGGGGAAAAATCTTTTGTGGCTTGTGGCTCTGTCCTCTAAGATTGCATTGAATCTACAGATTAACAAGGTAAAATTTGACATGACATCTTTACTATATTTACTTCTTTATTTTCTTTCAATAATTTTCAGTTTTCCAGGTAGAGGCCTTGCACATATTTTGTTAGATTTATTTCTTGGTGTGTGGTGGGTTTTAATTCAATTATAAGTAATATATTTTAACATTTTTATTTCCTAGGTATTGCAGTTACAGAAATAAACAATTTTGCTTTCATAGTGACCAGTGTGCTTAATAAACTTACTTAACAAATCTAGTAGTTTTTCTGTAGATATTTTTACATTTTCTACATTACTATGGTTTGAATGTCTCTTCCCAAACTCATGTTGAAATGTCATGGTAAGAGTATTAAGAACTAGGACTTTTATATGATATTCAGGTCATATGGGTACTTCCTTCATGAATAGATTAATGTTATTTGTCACTGAAGGAGTAGGTTCCTTATGAAAGGATGAGTTTGAGCCCCCTCTTGCTCTTCTTCTCTATTGCCCTCTCTTTGCCCTTCCACTCTTTCATCATAAGATGATGCATCAAGAAGGTCCTTTCTAGATGCTGGCACCTTGATATTGTAATTTCTGTCTTTCAGAACTGTCATTCAATAAATTTCTATTCATTATAAATTAATAAATTCATATTTATTTAATATAGTCTATGATATTTTGCTGTAACAGCACAAAATGGGCTAAGACAGTAAAATGGTATCAGAGGAATGAGTGTTGCTATAAAAAGTACCTGAAAATTTGGAAGCATCTTTGGAACTGAGTAGTGGGCAGAGGCTGGAAGAGTTTGGAGGAGCAGTCTAGAAAAAGCCTGATGCCATGAACAAAGAAGTGTTATGGGTGATTTTGGTGAAGGCTCAGAAGAAGAGAGGAACTGAAAAGAAAGATGGAACTTCCTACAGATAACTTAAGTGATTATGATCGGAATGCTGACAGAAATATAGATGTTAAAGGCCATTGGGATGAGGTCTTAGATGAAAATGAGGAATATTTTATTGGACACTGAAGTAAAGGCCAACCTTGTTATGAAGTGGCAAAAACTTGACTGAACTGTGTCCACGACCTAGGGCTTTAAGGAAGGCAGAACTTAAGGGCAATGAACAAGCATATCTGGTGGGAAAATTCTTAAGCAAAATATTGAGGAAACCACATAGCTCTTTTGTCTGCATACAGTGCAATAAGAGAATACCAAAATGACTTAAATACAGAATTTATAACTAAAAGGGACACAGAATGTAAACATACAGAATATTCCCAGTCTGGCCATGTAAAGAAATAAAAACGCATTTTGAGAGAAAATATCAGTGGTGTGGCCTAGTGACTATTTGTTAAGGAGATTAGCATGGCTAGAAGAAACCAGGTGCTATTCATCAAAATAACGAGAGAATAGCCCTGAAGGCATTTCAGAGATCTTCAAGGCTGTCCCTCCCATCACAGGCACAGAATGTTAGAACCTTGAGGGTAGAAAGGGCTCACTGCCCAGTACGGCTTGGAGTCTCTACTCCCTGCATTTCAGTGCAGCACCTCCAGCCACCCCAGCCATGGCTCAAGCTGGCCCAGATGCTGCTCATGCTGCTGCACTGGAAGGCAAAAGCAATAAGTCTTGGCAGCATCCACATGGTTCTAATTCTGCAGATGGACAGAATGCTTGGGCTGTGGGGCCATGGCAGCCTTCACCTGAATTTCAAACAATGTATTGAACAGCCTGGGGATCCAGGCAGAAATCTTTCATAGGGATTGAGCCACCACAGAGAGTGCTCACTAGAGCAAACCTACTGGAGCCATAAGAGTAGGGCTGTCCCCACAACCCCATAACTGTAGATATACCAGGGTGTAGCCCCAGCCTAGAAGAGCTGCAGGCAGGAGACTCCTACCTATGAGAGCTGCTGCATGGGCTAAGCCCAGTAAAGCCATGGGGTAGAACTGTCTGAGGCCTAATGGGCCCACCCTCCTTCACCCCAGGGTATCCAGAAGGTGGCACATGGAGCCAAAGAGTATTCTGAAGTCTTAAGATTTAATGTTGCTTGTTCTGTTAGCTTTTGTATTTACTTGGGACCTGTTAATTCTTTATTTCCAGTTGTTCCCTTTTTAAATGGGAATGTTCATTCTATGCCTGTCCCAATGTTGTATTTGTGAAGTAGATAACTTGTTTTGATTTCATAGACTTAGAACTGAAGAATAATTTATTTCAGATGAGTTCTGCCTTGAGACTCATCCCTATAGGATTTAGATGAGACTTTGGGCTTTGGACTTTTGAGTTGGTGCTGGAACAAGTTAAGATTTCTGAGGCTATAGGAATGAAATTAATTTATTTGTTATGTGAGAAGACTAAGACTTTTAGGGGGCCAGAGTCAGAATGCTATGATTTGTTGAATGCCTACTCCCAAACTTATGTTAAAATGTAATTGCCATTGTGAAAGTATTAAGAGATAAGACCTTTAAGAAGTGTTTGGGTTATGGGGCCAATGCCCTCATAAATTGATTAATACTGTAATTGTGGAAGTGGGATTATTATAATGGAAGTAGGTTTCTTACGAAAAGTTGAGTTTGGCTTCCTCTTACCCTCTTTTTATCCTTTTACTGTTTGGATTTTACTCTTTGCATTTTACCATTGGATAATGCAACAAGAAGGCCCTTGCCAAATGTTGGCATCTTGATATTGGACTTCCTCATCCCCAGAACTGTCTACCAACAAATTTGTGTTCCTTATAAATTATACAGACTTTGGTGTTTATTATAGCAGCACAAACTGACTAAGATATATACACACAACCAGATTATCTGTGGAAAATGACAATATTTTCCTTAAAAATCTTTGTTTTTATTTTATTTTCTTGCATAATTTCACTAAGACTATGAGTATAATATTGAGTAGGAGTGGTGATAGCAAGTATCCAGTTTCTAAGGGAAACACATATTAAGAAAGTTATTTGCTGTAGATATATGTAGATATTTGTTACTGATTAACGACTTACATTCTGCTACTAGTTTGCTAAGAATTACTTTCATAAATGATTTTTAACTTTATCAAGTGCTTTATATCTATCAAAATAATCAACTATTTCTCTTTTATTCCACCAATGTGATTAGTTACACTAATTAAATATGAATATTAAACTACTCTTGAATTCTTGGAACAATCTCCACCTGGTTTTATGTATCTTCATTTTTTATGTGTTACCAGATCCATTTTGCTAGTATTTTGTTTACAATTGTTCACTAGCGTGACTGGTGTGTAACTTTTTTATTCCATTTTTTGTTGTTGTTTTGTTTTGTTTTTTGACGAAGTCTCGCTTGGTCGCCCAGGCTGGAGTGTAGTGGCGTGATCTCGGCTTACTGCAAGCTCCGCCTCCCGGGTTCACGCCATTCTCCTGCCTCAGCCTCCAGAGTAACTGGGACTACAGGCACCCGTCACCACGCCTGGCTAATTTTTTGTATTTTTAGTAGAGACGGGGTTTCACCATGTTAGCCAGGATGGTCTCAGTCTCCTGACCTCGTGATCCACCCGCCTTGGCCTCCCAAAGTGCTGGGATTACAGGCATGAGCCACCGCACCCGGCCAATTTTTTAATTCTTAAAATGCTCTTATGATGGCTTTGGGTCTGTCTCATAATACACTGAAAAGTTTTTGTTGTTTTTCTGTTACACAGAAAAGTATAGGTAAAGCTGGTCATTTATTTCTTAAGTATTTTTAAAGAATTTATTAATAAATTTCCCTGGTCCTAGGGTCTTTGTGAAAAACTTTTTCAATAAAAACTTCAAATTTTTAATACACATTAAACTATTCAGATGTGTAATGATTTTTAATTTTGATAAAATGTATTTCTGAAAAATTTATCCATTGTATATCATTTATCAAATTTATAGTTGTAAATTAGTTTATAGTATCTTCTGAATACCTAAATATATAAAGTTTTTCATATTATATTTTTGATGTCTATAGAATCTATAGTGATATGCTTCTTTCAACTTCTGGCATTGCGAATTTATGTTTTCTCCCTTTTTTATTATTTAGTCTTGCTTTGAGCTAACCAATTTTATTAATCTTTAAAAAAAATCTTTTAGATCTGTTGATTTTCTGCATTGCATATTTGGTTTCTATTTTATTCATTTCTCTTATAATAGTTATAAAATAAACTTGGCTGTCTACTAATTCCTGATTTAATCTTAGACATTGTATATTACAAGGGTATAGATCGTTGAGATGATACTTTGTCCACTACAGCAAGTTGCTTTCTTCTTTATTAGGGTATTTAGGGTAGAAGACTTATTTCCACAATCCAATCAGTGATTGAAGTTTGCTGGACTTGGGCTGCAGATTGTATAAAACTTAGTCAACCTCTACTTTACATTTTTTTCCTAGAGATTGATCCTTTAGGTCTTTTAATTGTGGGCCTTTTGAGTCTCTGGTTTCTTATTTTATTATTATTATTATTATACTTTAAGTTCTGGGATACATGAGCGGAATGTGCTGGTTTGTTACATATGTATGCATGTGCCATGGTGGTTTGCTGCACCCATCAACTCGTCATCTAGGTTTTAAGCCCCGCATGCATTAGGTATTTATTCCTAACGCTATCCCTCCCCTTGCCCTCCACCCCACCGGCGTGTGATCTTCCCCTCCCTGTGTCCAGGTGTTCTCATTGTTCAACTCCCATTTATGAATGAGAACATGCAGTGTTTGGTTTTCTGTTCCTGCGTTAGTTTGCTGAGAATGATAGTTTCCAGCTTCATCCATGTCCCTTGAAAGGATATAAACTCATTCTTTTTTATGGCTGCCTAGTATTCCATGATGTATATGTGCCACATTTTCTTTATCCAGTCTATCATTGATGAGCATCTGGGTTGGTTCCAGGTCTTTACTATTGTAAATACTGCTGCAATAAACATACGTGTGCATGTGTCTTTATAGTAGAATGATTTACAAACCTTTGGGTATATACCCAGTAATGGGATTGCTAGGTCAAATGGTATTTCTGGTTCTAGGTCCTTGAGGAATTGCCACACTGTCTTCCACAATGGTTGAATCAAACTAACTTACACTTCCACCAACAGTGTAAAAGCATTCCTATTTCTCCATATCCTCTCCAGCATCTGTTGTTTCCTGACTTTTTAATGATTGCCATTCTAATGGGCATGAGATGATGGTAACTCACTGTGGTTTTGATTTGCATTTCTCTAATGACCAGTGATGATGAGCTTTTTTCATATGTTTCTTGGCTGCATAAATGTCTTCTTTTGAGAAGTGTCTATTCATATCCTTTGCCCACTTTTTGATTTTTTTTTCCTGTAAATTTGTTTAAGTTCCTTGTAGTTTCTGGATATTAGCCCTTTGTCAGATGGATAGATTGCAAAAATTTTCTCCCATTCTGTAGGTTTCCTGTTCACTCTGATGATAGTTTATTTTGCTGTGCAGAAGCTCTTTAATTAGGTCCCATTTGTCAATTTTGGCTTTTGTTGCAATTGCTTTTTATGTTTTAGTCACGAAGTTTTTGCCCATGCCTATGTCCTGAATGGTATTGCCTAGGTTTTCTTCTAGTGTTTTTATGGTTTTAGGTCTTACATTTAAGTCTTTAATCCATCTTGAGTTAATTTTTGTATAAGGTGGAAGGAAGAGCTGAGTCTTTGGCTTCTTAGTCCCAAATAACTATAGAATATTAAGTTTTATTTTTTCAGAGGCATTATGGCTAGCTCAACTCTTTATAATTCTTCCTCATGTATCTTCAAACTTTGGAGATGTATTGATAAGGAGATAAGTCATATGATTTAAGCCATTTCAAGGTCACTCCAGCCTTGTGTGAATGCCAAAGTCATTATTCGTTTATCTGTCTCCAAAAAGGCCTTTGATTAGAGTCAAGCCTGGATATTTACCCCGAGTTGCACCAGATGTTGTAAGTGTCTTAGTAAAAAGTGGTTACAGATCTTAGTTGAAATTCATCACTTTCACCAGGGCTTTAATTATTTGCCTGTTTTATTTAGAAGGCTATTGCTTCAGGGTGAGTATTTGTTTCTTAATAGCATGAAACTTTGGGACATATTTTTCTCACTTTTGAACATTTCAACCTGACTCTTTAGCCTCTTCAATCTCAGATTTCCGCAAATGTGCTAAAGGGAAAATTAGCCAGGTGCCCAAAGCCCTCTCAGCTTTCCAAACTTGTTCTACCAGCCTTGTAGGACTGTGTATTAGTCTGTTCTCACACTGCTATAAATAAATACCTAAAACTGGGTACTTTATAAAGAAAAGAGGTTTAATTGGCTCACAGTTCCACAGGCTGTGCAGAAAGCATGGCAGCATTAGCTCAGCTTTTGATGAGTGCTCAGGAAACTTACAATCATGGAAGAAGGCAAATGAGGAGCAGCACTTCACAAGTCTGGAGCAGGAGGAAGGTGGGGAGGTGCTATACACTTTTAAACAACCAGATCTCATGATAACTCATTCACTTACTATCAAGAGAATAGTACCAAGAGGATGGTGTTAACCCATTCATAAGAACTTGGCCATATGATCCAATCACCTCCCACCAGGCCCCATTTTCAATACTGGGGATTATAATTTAAATTGAGGTTCGGGTAGGGACACAGATCCAAACCATATCAGACCGGTAAAACTCATCTGATTTTTCAATATTCCCCTCTACTAACTCCCACTATCTTGCCACACACACCATAGCAGTCTTCTGCATGATCATTGAAATAGGTCATTGTTATTGAGAAATTTAGCTATCCTTTTCTCACTGTCTCAACAGATATCTAAAGATTTTAAATATATGATTTTTAAAATTGATCTGAACGTTTTAGCTATTGCCGGCTTCAGTATTGGTCTCTTATCATTTACTACCCATTAGGTATCAGATAATGAATTGAAAATGTGCCATGAGCCTAGCGGAGTGGCTCACGCCTGTAATCCCAGCACTTTGGGAGGCCGAGGCAGGCAGATCACTTCAGGTTAGGTGTTTGAGATCAGCCTGGCCAACATGGCGAAACCCCTTCTCTACTAAAAATACAAAAATTAGCTGGGCATGGTGGCACACACCTGTAATTCCAGCTACTTGGGAGGCTGAGGCAGGAGAATTGCTTGAACCCAGGAGAAGGTTGCAGTATGCCAAGATCTTGCCACTTACTGCAAGCCTGGGCAACAGAGTGCCCATCTCAAAAAAAAAAAAAAAAAGGAAAAGAAAAGAAAAAGAAAGAAAGAAAGAGAGACAGAGAGAGAAGAAGAAAGAAAAAGAAAGAAAGAGAGAGAGAAAGAAAGAAAGAAAAGAAAGGAAAAAACAAAGAAAGAAAAAGAAAAGGAAGGAAGGAAAGAAAGAAAGAAAATGGGGCATGAGAGTAAGAGTATAGCTGTATGAATGGAGTTATCACTTTATGGAATAGAAAATACTAGAGTAGAACTAGTTTTGTTGGGGTAAGGGGAATTACAAGTTTGGTTTGAGTCATATTAATTTGAGATCACTGTTAAGCCTTCCACTGGAGAAGTAAAGAAAATAGCTGGATATAAAGCAATTTTTAAAAATGTTTGACATTTGAGAAATATGTCTGGTGACCACCAACATGGAAATGTAGTCAGTTCTCTGGAAGTACATGGTGTTACCTAAGAAAGGAATGCAAAAAGAAAAGAGAAGAGGTTCTTAGAGGCAGACCTGAGGCATTTAGCATTCAGAAACAAGAAAGATGAGAAAGATTCAATTTAAAACCTGAAGAGATCAATAACTGAAATAAATCAGAAAGTTGACAATTACCTCCCCAAAGGCTTTGAATTATAATGATTTTATGGATAATTCTTTCCATATTTTTGAGAAGCAAAGGAAGTATTCAACTTCCAAATACGCAGAAACAAATATTATAAAATGGTTTATATGTAAATATTAGATTGCCAAAATAAAATTGCCACTGATAATATGTGTCATAATATTTACTTCAGAGTAACTCCTAGACTCTCGACTTACTCTGTATTAACAATAGGAGAGATGAAGTTTAATTATAGTTAATGCTGAACCTCAAACTTAAGCAATTGGTGGTAGATCCAGATTTAGAATCTAGCAATTCTGTCACTCAGTCTAGCATTGTTTTCACCATACCATCCAAGCTACATTTCTAAATTTAAAATGTTTCAATAAAAATGTTTCCTTTGTGCTAAAAATATCAGATAATATTTAATCTACCCATTAGGAAATTTGTTAGAAAGTTTAAAAACTGTCTTCAGTTGATTTAGGCATTTGTTTTGATATTTTTGTAACACAAAAGGAACTACCACTTGTTAGAACTAATGAGTTCCTTTAATCATATTCACTGATAACTCATAGAAGACTTGAAAGTAAGCCTGATCCAGATTTCACAGAGAATACCCAGAATTATTTTAAAGCTAAAATTGTATTCCCTATGGTTAAATTAGGAATCTGGCTGTCATTCTTAGAATAGTTTTAGTAAGATAGGTACCAGCTTTCCTTTGCACTTCTGGTAAAATTTGACTGTGAATGAAACTAGCCCTGAGCATTTTTTTTGTTGAAAGATTTTAAATTACTAATTCAATTTTATTACTCATTATTGGTCTGTTCAGGATTTCTATTTCTTCCTTATCCAATATTGGGAGGTTTTATTTTTCCAGGAATGTATTTATTTTCTCTAGGTTTTCTAGTTTGTACTGTGTACATAGACATGTTCATAGTAATATCCGATGATCATTTGCATTTCTGTGGTATCAGTTGTAATGTCACTTTTTAACATTTCTAACTGTGCTTATTGAATATTCTCTCTTTTTTATCTTGGTTAAACTAGCTAGAAGTCTATTTGTTAATCTTGTCAAATAACCAACTTTTGTTTTATTGATCCTTTGTTTCATTTGTTGGTCTCAATTTTATTTAGCTTTGCTCTGATCTTTGTTATAGGTTTTCTTCTCTTGGCTTTTGGGTACGGTTTGTTCTTGATTTTCTGGTTTCTTGAGATGTGACATTTGGTTGTTATATTATGAGACCTTTCTGCCTTTTTTTATGTAGGCACTTAATGCTATTAATTTTCCTCTTAACACTACTTTTGTTGTATACCAGAGGTTTAGGTATGCTGTATCTCTATTTTTATTTATTTCAAAGACATGTAGATTTCTGCCTTAATTTTCTTACCAAAAATTAAAAATGGTTACTTTTTTACCATAAAAAGTCATTAAATAGCAATTTGTTTAGTTTCCATGAGCTTGTGTTGTTCTAAGAGTTTCTCTTGGTACTGATTTCTAATTTTATTCCACTGTGGTCTGAGAAGACATTCAATATGATTTCAATTTTTTAAAAAAATCTATTGAGATTTGCTTTCTGGCCAAGCATATGATCAATTTTGGAAAATGTTCCGTGTAGAGATGAGAAAAAATGTATATTCTGTAGTTTCTGGGTGGAATGTTCTATAAATATCTATTAGGTCCATTTGGTCTAAAGTCCAGTTTAAGTCTAGAGTTTCTTTTTTAAGTCCTACTTTAATGACCTGTCTAGTGTTACTGTTGGAGTTTTGAAGTCTCCCACTCTTATTGCATTGCCATCAATTTCGTTTTGTAGGTCTAGTAGTATTTGTTTTATGAATCTGGGTGTTCCAGTGTTGGGTGCACATACATTTAGAATAGTTAAAACTTCTTGTTGTATTGAACCTTTTATCATTATATAATGCCATTCTTTGTCTCTCTTTTTTTTTTCCTGCTGTTGGTTTAAAATTTCTTTTATCTGATAAAGCAATGGCTACTTATGCTCATTTTTGCTTTCCATTCACATGATGTTTTTGCAACCCCTTACTCTGAGTCTGTAGGTATCATTAAACATAGGTGGGTCTCTTGTAGGCAGCAGATGGTTGTCTTGTTTTTTAATCCAATTTGACAGTCTATATCTTTTAAGTGGAATATTTAGGCCTTTGCAGTCAAAGTCAGTTTTGCTATTTGAGGCTTTGTTCCTGTCATAGTTTTGTTAGATAGTTGCCCTGGAGTCTCAATAATTGAATTGCTTTATAGGATTTGTGAGCTATCTACTTATGCATGCATTTATGATAGAGTGTGTTGTCCCCCTTCATTTCCATGCTTAGAATTCTTTTGAACGTTTTCTGTAGGACGAGTCTAGTGGTGACAAATTCCTTTGGTGTTTGCTAGTCTGGAAAATACTTTATTTCTCCTTCATTTATGAATCTGTGTTTGGTAGGATATAAAATTCCTGACTGCCATGTTTTTCCTTTAAGAAGGGTAAAAATCGGCTCTGATTCTTCTTTGGTTTGTAAAGTTTCTACTGATAGTCTGATGGAGTTTTCTTTGTAGTTGAGTTGATGTTTCTCTCTAGCTGCCTTTAAGACTTGCTCTTTCATATTGACCTTGGATAGTCTCATGACTATATGCCTTGGTGATCTTCATCTTGTGTAGCATCTTCCAGGTGTTCTCCAAATTTTTTATATCTGTATGTCTATATCAACAGTAATATTGGGGAAATTGTTCTCAGTTATTCCCTCAAATATATTTTCCAAACTTCTTACTTTTCCTTCTTTTCCCTTAGGAATGCCTATATGTTAAAGTTTTGCTGGCTTTATATAAAGTTTTGCTGGCTTTATATAAATTTTTTATATAATCCCATATTTCCTGAAAGCTTCATTTATTTTTTAGGATTTTTGTCGTTGTTGTTGTTGCATGACCATGTTAATTCAAAAGACCAATCTTTAAGTTCCCAAATTCTTTCTTTTCCTTACCCTAGTCTATTGTTGAAGCTTTCAGCTGTGTTTTAAAATTCCTTCAGTTAATTTTTTATTTATAGAAGATATCTTTGTTTTCATTAAATATATCTATCTCATCTTTCATCTCCTGAATTGATTTTATGGTTTCTTTGTGTTGGCTTTCAACTTTCTTTTGGATCTCACTGCTCTTCCTTACAATCCATATAGGAAGGATTCCTCCCTAACTCATTATATGAAACTAGTATTACTTGATACCAAAATCAGGCAAGGACACAACAACAACAACAGAAAATAAAACTATAGGCCAATATTCCTGATGAACATAGATGCAAAAGTTCTTAACAAAATCTTGCAAACAAAATACAACAGAACATCACAAATATAATTAATCATGATCAAGTGCATTTTATTTCAGGGATGCAAAGATGTTTCTACATTTGGAAATTAGTAAATGTGATTCACCACATCAACAGAATTAAAAATAAAAACCATAAATGATAAATGCAGAAAAAGCATTTGATAAAATTCCACATCTCTTCATGGTAAAACCATCAACAAATGAAGCATTGAAGGAACTGGCCTCAAAATAGTAAAAGCCATATATGACAAACCCATAGCCAGCATCATACTGAATAGGGAAAAGTTGAAAGCATTCCCTCTAAGAACAAGACAAGGATGTCAACTCTGACCACTCCTATTTAACATAGTACTGTAAGTTCCAGCCAGAGCAATAGGCAAGATAGAAATAAAAGACATCCAATTCAGAAAAGAGGGAATCAAATTATCTCTGTTGGCTGATGACATAATCTTAGACCTAGAAAATTCTAAAGACTCCTCTGAAAGGCTCCTAGACTTGATAAATGGCTTCAGTAAAGTTGCAAGATACAAAACTAACATATGAAAAGCAGAAGCATTTCTATACAATGATAGTGTTCAAGTTGAGAACCAAATGAAGAACTCAATCCCATTTACAATAGCCACACAAAAATAAAATCTCTAGGAATACATTTAACTAAGGAGGTGAAGGATCTCTACAAGGAGAACTACAAAACATTGATGAAAGAAATCACGGATGACACAAACAAATGGAAAAACAACCCATGTTCATGGACTGGAAGAATCAATATCATTATAATGACCACACTAACCAAAGCAATCTACAAATTCAACAGAATTTCTATCAGTGTGCCAGCATCATTCTTCACAAAATTAGTTTATATAGATCTAAAGGTCTTAAGGAATAATAATAATAAAAAAGAGCCTGAATAGTGAAAGAAAACCTAAGCAAAAAGAGTAAAACTGGAGACATCATCTTACCTGACTTCAAATTACACTACAAATTATAGCAAGGTACTGGTACAAATATATATACATAGATCAATGGAACAGAATGAAGAACCAATAAATAAAGCCATATACCTAAAATCAACTGATCTTTCATAAAGTCAGTAAAATTAAACAATGGGGAAAGGACACTTTATACAATAAATGATGTTTGGAAAATTGGCTAGCCATACGTAGAAGACTAAAACTGGATTTCTATTTTTCATTATATACAAAAATTAGCCCAAGATGGATTAGAGTCCCAAATGTAATACCTGAAATCATAAAAATATTAGAAGAAAACCTAGGAAAACCTCTTCTGGTTATTGGCCTAGGCAAAGAGTTTATAGCTAAGACACAAAAAGCAAATGCAACAAAACCAAATATAGACAAAGGGACTTAATTAACCTAAAAAGTTTTTGAAGAAGAAAACAAATAATCAATAAAGTAAATAACCTACAAAATGGGAGAAAAGATTTTCAATTTATGTCTCTGACAAAGGACTAATATTTAGAATCTACAATGAACTCAAATAACTAACAAGAAAAAAACATACATCCTGTTAAAAAGTGGGAAAAGGACATATAACATAATTCTCAAAAGAAGTTACACAAGTGGACAAAAACATGAAAAAATGCCCAATATCACTAATCATCAGATAAATGCAATACCATTTTACACCCATCAGAATGGTTATCATTAAAAAGTCACAAAATAACAGATCTTGGCAAGGATGCAAAGAAAAGAAAATGTTTATACACTGTTGATGGGAATGTATGTTAATATAAACTGTATGAAAAATAGCATTGAGATTTCCCAAATAAGTAAAAGATAGAACTAACATTGAATCCAACAATCTCACTACTGCATATCTACCCAAATGAAAATAAATCATTGTATAAAGAAAACACCTGCAGTCATATGTTTATCGCAGCACTATTCACAGTAGCAAAGTCATGGAATCAACTTAAGTGTCCATCAACAGTTGACTGGATAAAGAAAATGTGGTATATATACACTGTGGAATACTACATAGCCATTAAAAATTAAATTATGTCCTTTCCAGGAACATACATACAAATGGAGGCCATCATCCTATGTGAAATCACTCAGAAAGAGAAAATCTAACATTGCATGTTCCCACTTATAAGTAGTGCTAAACAATGGGTACACATGGACATAAAGATAAAAATAATAGACACTGAGGACTCTGAAAGTGAGGAGGGTGGGCGAGAGTGAGGGTTAAAAAATTACATATTGGATACACTGTTCACTATTTGGGTTATGGCTACCAAAGTCCAAACCTCACCATTATGCAATATATCCATGTAACAAATCTGCATATATACCCCCCTGACTCTAACATAAAATTAAAATAATAAAGTGTAATTTTTAAGGGGAAGTGAAATAGTTGTCTTAGCTTTGAACGAAATTTAGAATAAAAAGAGATTTTCTGCAATGCCAAAATGCTTACAGAATGAATTACTGAGAAGTCAGTGGGGGAAAGAATGAATTCACTCTTCCATTTAAATTAATCTAAAATAATTTCCATCTTATCAAGTCAATCTTTTTATAAAGATATGTGATATGGTAGATATCCCAGTACTATAGTTAAGACACTTAAACTTTCTTATTATTTAATGAATAATAAGTTGACCTTGGCACTATGGATGCACATAAAAATAACTATGCTCACATACTGAAAGGCATAGGAATAATGGATTAAAATCACAACATAAGCCATTGATATTTCTTCAGATGAGCACCATTTTATTCAAAAACATATTTAACATTAAAAATACCTTTAGTTATAAATATACCAGTGTTTCTAGTCCAAGAAAGTCTCTGATTAATGCACCAATTGCTATGGTCTTAGATGTGTGTATGGTGTTTTTTTTTTTAATTTTCCACAAAAATTTGAAGGCTTATTTGAACCTTTTATTTAATGCTATTGCTTCTTTATGCTCCAGAGAGATTTAAAATACAATCAAGTCCCTTATTCAATTCAAGTTATTGTAGGAACCACAGAAGCTCAATTAAAACATCAGCTTTCTATTAATCAGTTGTCTAGTAATTACCACACCTTGTCTATTGTATCCTGTTCACTTTCACAACTTTATCTCAATAGATTCAAATACTTGTAAGTACCCCTTCTAATAGAAAGAGCCTGGATGTACTTTGCAGGAAGGAGTATGCTGAAGTGGAGCTGTTTTAAAAGGAAAGAGTAACACTTTGAAGTAATGACCTGGCTAATTAATGCTGAATTCCAGTAGAGATCCTATTCCTACTGAAGTACTTATGACATTCACATTAATACTAAATGAGCACATCAGAATTAATGTCTTTGCAATAAATACCAAAGGAGTTGAGAATGATTAGCCTATTATTGTAAAGTGTTACATAGAAGACAAAAAAGACGGAGGCTTAAAAGAGCAGTGATTTGTTTCTGAGATTGGAGCTAATGGCATTCATATTTATCAAATAAAATAAAGACATGGAAATACATAGAATATTTCATGCACAATTCAGTACAATTTTAAATGTAAAATAAATTGGTCTAAAAGGGGTAATGTCTAAATTTCATAAAAACTGTTAATACCCTACTTCTGCTATCAACCTTATGTGTTACATCTGTATACACATACATAAGGAAAATCTGTAGAAACAGATTTCTCTTGCATACACCTTTAAGTTTCCATTCTTAAAACAATGCTGCTGTGATCACCTTAATTTATGATCCACATAATAATCTAAATAAAATCTTAAAATACCTACAGAATGTTCTAATTTAGTGATTTTCACACTCTTTCAAAACCCTGGAGTTTTCTAAAGAGCCATGCCAGGATACAAAATGAAAAGAAGTCCATGAGGAGAGAGGATTTCCTCTATCTCTTACCACACCCACTTGGAGCAGAGTGGCTCCAGTGTTATCTGTTGTAACTTTTATGATTCTGTATAAAACTTTATTGGGAAATAAGGGGTTTGAAAACAAATTTTTAAATAAGTATGAAAAGCATTTTTTAAATAGAAGGTCCTTAGGTAAATTATTTGTTATTTTATCTTCTTGCAGACACAGACATTCTCACAATCTTATGTTGGGTCTCGGTAAAAATTGAGTCATGGCATTCAGATATGTTTAAACTGCTCTTGTCTAGATTACTCAGCACTTAACTAAGCCACCTCTTTACCTTCCAGTGAATCTTCTTCCATTCTTTTGCCAGTGAACTTAAGGAAATACAGCCCGGATGATATTAGTACATTGTAATGTTCCAATTCTTCAATTGTTTCTAATGTAAACAGGACGAATCTAAACTTCTTATGACATTTTTTAACTTTTACCCCAATTCAAATTAAAAACCCACAATACATGTTTAATGACTATATTATACTAATGTATATTTCCATGTTTTTGGTCATGCTGGTTACATTGTTTAGAATATTTTTCATGTTGACCATCAGTATGGATATGCGTATAAAAACAAGCAAGGGAATCACTTCTGAGATAGCACTGAGCATAATTGGTAATGCCCTCCTTTTGTTCCTCCTGATATAGATTGTATATATTTCTACTCATACTATTCACATACTTCTACATACATATTTCTATAGAATCGCATTCTACAGCACCTAGACTATGTATGTGTGCTCTCCATTCTAGTTACCCAAGGCAGAATCTGAGCCTTATTTGTCCTCATCTTCAGTCAGTGCTTTCTGTAGATAACCTCTATTGAAATCAGCTGGGTATTAAAAATAAACAATTGTGGGTACCACTCTGACCTATCAATCACAATTTTGGATCAGCAAAATAGTGTTTATACCATAATCCTGAATTTTCAAGAAGCGAAGCAGGTGTTTTTCCACCAACAAAAGTTTGAGAATTACTGCTAATTGCCTATAAGAGTCTTTGGAATATAACAAGTGTTTAATTAGGGAATGTGCATTGATTAAATTATCAGAAGCAACCTCTGCAATTGGCCTTGACTATTCACTCTTAGTGCCAAATGGCCTTGTTCTTGTTGAAACTGAATTTCATATGCCTAGTTCTAGATAAAAAGATCTAAGATTGCTGAATAACATATTCTGCTATTACTGGTAGGTAGCCCACTACTGCACAACTACCATCTCATCTAGTAGAGCTTATCAAGTTTCCAAAAATAAAAATAGATTAATTAATTTATAGCTTTGATTATACCAATTTTTATGATGGTTCAAATTTGTTTCAAAATAAGCCAATCGTTTGATTTCTCTTTCTCATTAAAAAATGCAGAATATCCCTCACTCTAAAGCGATACTAATATTAAATTTAGTTTCCTTGGCTAAAGATTGATAGTGTCCTCCACTGAAAACTCACTGGACTTGACCAGTAGAACGTCTTGTCATTGGAAATATAACTTTCCTCTCATGTTCAGTGACAAAGGATTTTATAAGACTATCTCTATCAAAGAATGGGATATATTAGTCTGTTTTCTTGCTGCTGATAAAGACATACCAGAGACTCGACAATTTACAAAGAAAGAGGTTTAATTGGATTTACAGTTCTTTTTGGCTGGGGAAGCCTCACAATCATGGCAGAAGGCAAGGAGAAGCAAGTCACATCTTACATGGCTATCAGTAGGCAAAGAGAGAGCTTGTGCAGGCCAACTCCTCTTTTTAAAACCATCAGGTCTCATGAGACTTATTCACTATCACAGTAACAGCATGGGAAAGACTTACCCCCCGTGATTCAATTACCTCCCACCAGGTCACTCCCACAATATGTGGGAATTGAAGATGCAATTTGGGTGGGGACATAAACAAAATATATTATGGAACAAAGAGATGTTTTGCTCCCTAAACAAAGGCATTTCCCAAAGAGTTTCTTTTCTTTCCTTCTACTCTTTTCCTTAACAAATTTCCCCTTGTTCCTATATTAATAATTAGTTCTTAACTAATGTTTATTGTGTTTGTAAGCTAGCCCAAACATTCTATTTTCTGATTGTCCTTATCTTTAGAGGCTATTGAAACACTTACATTTGATATTTTACCACCACAATAAAGGCTGTGGATACTAAAACCAGACGTAATCATTTACTTATGAAAATAGTTTTGACTTTCTGATTCTTTTTTTATAGAGCCACTGTATTCTCAGCAACTCAGTCTTAAAAACCAGAAGTCATTAGAAATTATTCTCTCCTTTTGCCTTCATCTAAGAATTTCCACATTCCAGAGCATCTGTCATCCCTTAATTTCCATTTTCACTACCATCACTACTCTGCCCTTCCAGCTGGACAAGTCTGACTGACTGCCAAAGGGTCTTCTTGCTTCCTGTTTTATTCTAGATAAACTCATGCAACAGTAAACTGCCAAATTAAGTTTCTCAAATCCAACTCTTTTTAAAACACTTGACTGCTCAAAATCTTACAGTTATTCTTCAGGTCCTACTTCATTTTTACTTGTCTAGGATACTTCCATGAGATAATATTCTAAATTTATCTTCTACCACTCTTTTAAACATACCCTAAACTCTGGTCAAGATATGTAAATTATTATACCTACCCTAACCCCTCCATTATTCCCTTTAGCCACAACCAGCATATTCTGTTTCTCTTCAGGTTTGAATTCAACTGCCTAACAAAACACACCAATAGATGAGTAGGAACATCGCTTTCAATGTGGAATATGGAGGTTTCATCAGAAGTGGGTAGGAGGAGGGGCTTAGCTCTTTGTAAAACATACTGATTTACAGAAAACAATGCTGGACCTTAATATTTAAACTTGCCTATCTCTAAAATTCCAGTAAGTGCTATAATATTCTGTAATATTACAAATAAGCAACCACCCAGCAGTATCCTTTGCAGCACAGTCCAACCTTCAGACCTCACTGCTTTTGAGAGAACTGCTGTAAGATTACACCTAAGAAGTAAAAATCCTAAAAACTCCCCTGAGCAATATCAATAGATCAATAGATATGATTTATATACACATCCATTCTGATGCCAAACAATGTAGCTTTAGAGTGAACAAAGCTGAATACAAATATACTTGCCTGAGAAGTTCCCCAAAGTAAGCTGGCCCCAACATTTGTTGCTAGTTAAGTTCCTTCTGTCCATTGTTAGTTCATTTCTTTTTTTTTTTTTTTTTTTTTTTTGCTTTATTTGTGGGGGAGGTTGATTTAAATGTACAATAAATATATTGTGATGATTGTACAACAATCCTGTAAATATACTAAAAATACTTAATCGTATATTAAAATGAGTACATTTTATGATATTTAAATTATACCTCGATGAAAAGAAAAAATGATAAAAAGAATACCTATACATTTATTAAATAACATAAACATAAATAAAGGTTAAAAAACTAGGTTTGCAGTTTTGTATTAAAATACTAATTCATGATTGCCTAGTCTGACTACATCTCAAATGCTAAAACTCAAGAATTTACAGTTAACTTTTTCTAACAGAGGAAATTTGGAATGTGTTAGTGATTATTGTTCTTTTTTTTTTTTTTTGCTGCTTAATTAAACATTTATTTTTTAACTGAAGATGTGTTACATGTTCAGTATGAAAAATATAGAATATATAAGGAAGCAAAAAGAAGAACATTTAAAAGACCTGTATTCTTTTCTCTTGTAACTCATTTCACCTTTTTGTTTTCAGTTTACAGTAGTCCTCCATTATCCACAATTTTGCTTTCTTTTTTTTTTTTTTTTGAGTGTCTTTAATTTTTTTTTTTTTATTATACTTTAAGTTTTAGGGTACATGTGCACATTGTGCAGGTTAGTTCATTTCTATTAAATAGCCAGTCTTTACTATCAGTGATAGTACTACAATTCAAGAAAATGGAAATGGCTTAAGGGAATCACATTTCTCTCTGGTTCCCTAGTTCTTCTTGCAAGAGGGAATGGCTGCTTCTATAGGAGTTGACCAAACCAAAGGAGAACAGAGATCCAACCCAAGCAGTTGTTGTAGAATACTGCTCCTTGTCTGTTTCAAGCCAACTGAATGTGTTTTATTTTTCCTTTTAATGAATGGTTCTTGTTATTAGGGACTAATAATCATTTCAAGATACAGGGTTGTACAATCTAATAAGTGATATTGCAGTACTCTCCCTGCCCTCCAGCCCCCCGAAAAAATTCTGCCTAGGTGAAAAGTGACATTTAAGTTAGATCCAAAGGATAATATAGGCCAAGTACATTCTGGGCAGAGTTATTAAATGAGACATATTCAGAGAAGAAAGATCTTTAATGTGTTTTCTAGCAGCGTATGAAAATGTGATCAGGTTAGGGTCTTAAAGAAATGGATGCCTCCCTATTGTAACAGTTTATAATTTGATACTTTTGATTACATTTAGACAAAAATTTTAGAACACCAAGAGACAAACGCAAACCGAACCATTGCATGTAGTTATCCTGTAACAAAGATGTGTAAACCAATACTGATATTATCTGCATCGTCCCAGACTTGGCATATTCTACTTACTCATGGTTGAAGGGAGACCTTAGGAATTTTACCTACAGTCTGAAGCCAAGGCTTCATGAGAAGATTTGCAAAAAGTTTTAGGATCTTTTGTAATACTTTCACTGAGTCATCAATTATGATACGTCCATAGAAATATTCAGTCAAAAATGATTTTGCCTTACTTTATAAGAAAGAGACAAATTTGTGTCTAATATATTTATCAAGTCAAATAAACTAAGGATGGTTTCTAAACAAATAAATGTAGGAATAAGTTGAAGCTAGGTATTTGCATACATTATTTATTAAAATATTGAGATCATAATATTAAGATATTAAGAACAAATGTGCACTGAAGAATGACCTGCCACCAAAACTCTACCTACACATGAGTAAACCTGAACAATTTAATTTTCTTTTTTGTTTTTAAATTTAAAACGAAATAAAGATGGGGTCTTGTTATGTTGCCCAGTGTGTTCTTGAACTCCTGGTTTCAAGCCATCCTCCCACATTGGCCTCCCAAATACTGGGATTACAGACATGAGCCACCATGCCCAGTCTAATTTTCAGTTACAGAAATTTGAATGCACATTATGGAGAAAACCGTACAATCTGCAGAAGCAGCTATAGTCTAAGGGATGCATATAGAATTATATTTAAAAATCTTTAGGACTAAAAGATAAGTATGGAATGTTTTAAACATCAAAAGCAAAACCAGAAGGCAACACTATTATTATTATTATTTTGCTTTCAACTTTTATTTTAGGTTCATGTGCAGGTTTGATACAATGGTAAATTGTGTGTCACTGGGGTTTCATGTACAAATGATTCTGTCACCCAGGTAGTGAGCATATACCCAAGTTTTTCAACCCTCTCCCTCCTACCATCCTCTGCCATCTAGTAGGCCCCATTGTATATTCTCTTTGTATCCTTGTGTACTCACTGTTTAGCTCCCACTTATAAGTGAAAAGATGCTGTATTTAATTTTCTGTTCTTGTAATTTGCTTACGATAATGGCCTCCAGCTGCATCCATGTTACTGCAACAGACATGATTTTGTTCTTTTTTTATGGCTACTTAGTATTTCACAGTATATATTTACCACATTTTTTTAAACCAGTCCACCATTGATGGGCATCTAGGTTGATTCCTTATTTTTGCTATTGTGAACAGTGCTGCAATCAACATATGAGTGCATGTATCTTTTTGGTGGAATGATTTATTTTCTTTTGGGCTTATACTTAGGAATGAAATTCCTGGGTCAAATGATAGTTCTTTTTTCAGTTCCTTGAGAAATTTTCCAACTGCTTTCCACAGTGGCTGAACTAATTTACATACTTACTAACACTGTATAAGCATTCCTTTTTCTCCTCAACGTTGCCAGCATATTTTCTGACTTTTTAATAATAATCATTCTGACTGGTGTGAGATAGTATTTCATTGTGGTTTTGATTTGCATTTCTGTAATTACTACTGATGTTGAGCATTATTTTATATTTTTGTTGACCATAAGTTTGTATTCTTTGAGAAGTGACTGTTCACGTCCTTTGCACATTTTTAATAGGTTTATTTGCATTTTTCTTGACTTGTTTAATTTTCTTACAGATTCTGAATATTAAATTTTATTAGATGCATAGTTTGAAAATATCTTCACTCATTCCATAGTTTGTCTGTTACTCTGTTGATAGTTCCTTTTGCTGTGCAGAAGTGCTTTAGTTTAATCAGATCCCACTTGTCAATTTTTGTTTCAGTTGCAATTGCTTTTGGGGACTTAGTCATACCTTTATTTTTTTTTTTTTTGTCAAGGCTGATGTCCAGAATGGTATTTTCTACATTTTCTTCTAGGATTTTTATAGTTGTAGGTCTTCATTTAAGTCTTTATCTATCTTGAGTTAATTTTTGTATACAGTGAAAGGTAGGAGCCAGGTTTCAATCTTCTGCACTTATCTTAGCACCATTTATTGAATAAGGAGTCCTTTCTCCATTGCTTGTTATTGTTGACTTTAATCAGATGGTTTTAAGTGTGAAGCTTTTTTCTCTGGATCTTCTATCCTGTTTAATTTGTCTCTGTGTCTATATTTGTACCAGTACTATACTGTTTCGGTTATTGCAGTCTTACAGTATAGTTTAAAATTGGGTAGTGTGATGCCTCCAGCTTTGTTCTTTTTGCTTAAGATTTCTTTATTTGGACTCTTTTTTGGTTCTCTATAAATTTTAGAGTAGTTTTTTCTAAATCTGTGAAAAATAACATTGGTAGTTTGATAGAAATAGCATTGAATCTGTAAGTTGCTCTGGTAAGTATGGCCATTTTAACAATATTGATTCTTCCTATCCATGAGCATGGAATGTTTTGCCATTTATTTATGTTGTCTCTGATTTCTCAGCAGTGTTTTGTAGTGTTTGTTGTAGAGATCTTTCACCTCCTTGGTTAGCTGTAGTTGTAGACATTTTATTCTTTTTGTGACTATTTTAAATTGGATTGTGTTCTTGATTTGGCTCTCAGTTTAAACATTAGTGGTGTATAGAAATGCTATTACTTTTTGTATGTTAATTTTTGAATCCTGAAATTTTACTGAAGTCATTTATCAGTTCTAGGTGTCTTTTGGTGTAGTCGTTAGGGTTTTTTATATATACTATCCTATCATTTGTGAAGAGAGATAATTTGATTTTCTCTTTTCTTCTTTGGGTGCCTTTTATTTCTTTCTATTGCCAGATTGCTCTGGCTAAGACTTTCAGTACCATGTTGAATAGGAGTGGTGAAAGTGGGCATCCTTGTCTGTTCCAGTTCTCAAGAGGAATGCTTCCAGCTTTCCCACATCAGTATGATGTTGGCTATGAGTTTGTCATTGATGTCTCATTATTTCAAGGTATGTTCCTTTGATGCCTAATTTATTGAGAGCTTTTAACATGCAGGGAAGTTGAATTTTATTGAAAGTCTTTTTTGCATCTATTGAGATGACTGGACGGTTTTTATTTTTAATTCTATTTATGTGGTGAGTCACATTTATTGATTTGTGTATGTTGAACCAATGTTGTATCTTAGGAATAAAGCCTACTTGATTGTGGTGAATTAACTTTTTGGTGTTTGCTGGCTTCAGTTTGCTAGCATTTTGTTGACAATTTTTGCATCTATGTTCATGAAGGATATTGGCCTGAAGTTTTCTTTTCTCATGTGCCTTTGACAAATTTTCATATCAGAATGATGCTAGATTTGTAGAATGAGTAAGGAGGAGTAACTCCTCCTCAATTTTTTGGAAGAATTTCAGTAGGATTGGTACTACTGTTGTAGTAGTACTAATGTTGTACTAATGTTGTAGAATTTGGCTGTGAATCCATCTGTTCAGGGTTGTTTTGTTTTGTTTTGGTTGCTAGGCCCAGAAAGCAAAATTATTGAATTATATCTTAATTAATGTCATACATCTAAAATTAAGGATATGAACAGCAGACAATTTAGTGATTCTAAGATATTTGAAAATTTTAAAATATACAAGATATTAATACCAAAAAGATATTTTAAATTTCTAAAAGTAAAAGCAGAAGAGATAAAAATTTATAAGAACATGAGAAAAAGATGTGTGTAGGCAATTTACAGAGTTAACTTGAAAACCTAAGAAACAGATGAAGAGATGCTCAAATTTATTGGCATAATTCTCATTAATAATAAGAAATGCAAATTGAGCTAAAATGATATATAGCTTTACAGTTGTTATATTGGCAAAAAATTGAAAACAAAATACCAAAGGTTGAAGGTGATATGTACATGAATTGCAGGTGGGTGTATGGACTGATGCAGCCCTTCTGGAAAGCAATCTGGCACCAGTACACACATTAAGTGTATGTATATTTATAGCACTCCTACTCTTGGATATGTTACACCCCCCATCAAACAAGCAATTATTCTCTCACAAATTCATACAGAGACATATATGAAGTGGTTCATACAGTGTTATTTGTCAAGGAATTGAAAAAGACCTGGGTGTTCATTACTGAGAGACTTCAGGAGTAAACTGTAGGGGAGGTACACCATGAGCTATTATGCAACCATTGGAAATAATGAATTGGGCATATACATGGCAACATAAGAAAACCACACTGGGAGTGTCTGCCATTTTGTCCTATTTTCAAATTAACAGGTTAGTTTGCCACAGTTTCCTGTAAGCTGGCAGAAAATATGAGACTCCTCAGTAAGAGACAAAGGATTTGTCCACAATGATAAAGCAAGTTGCATGACTTTCATGTTCACGCCTATTTCCTCTGCTCTACAGTCCCTCAGAGGTGATACTGATGGGACTAGATGGAAGCTGCATATCCAGTGTGTCTGTATTAAAATCCAGCAATCCAAAGGTAAAGAAGTCTCAATCTTTCATAATGGGTTGCAAGAAATCCTGCCCCAATTTTGCCCTGGAAGAAAATATTATCTTTATTATACTGGACAGAAATTAAGTCTGCTATTTCAGAAGGAGACAATATAATTTTTTAAAGTCTATTCAAACATCTTTGACAAGATGGGTCCACACTTGGAGACATAATCTTGAGGTTGGGGGTTACTACTTCTTTCAGGAAGAGCCTCCTGCAGCAGCTGCCAAGTCAGGAGAAGGCCTTAGAGTTCTCACCAGCCGAGCCCCTGAAGGTGTCTCAAATAAGACGGGGTCCTTGCTGCTTTTGTGATCTTCCACAGATATGTGCATTTTCAATTTCTCAACCACCTTTCACTTTCTGTTGGTTTGTTTCAGGTCTCGGGTCATATGGGCAATAGCAGGTGTATCTTATCACCTCAATCTATTACATATATGTTTATTGCTTTGAGGAGAAAAAGAACTTCACTGTGGGCTCAATGCTACTTGACATGAGTGACTCCATTTTGAGGCATAAGGATAACAAAACATTATGATATATCAAAAGATACAGATGAGGAGATATGTAGGACTAGGTATGGGGGAAGGGGCACAAAACTTCCATGTGCTCTCCAGGGTTGCCACTCTTGAAAAACCTCCACATGTTTAGCTTTTTGTAAACTCTCTCAACCAGTCCTGTTGAACATGTTATGGAGACTTCATTGGATAAGCATAATTGAATCATGGACAACCATGTAGAAATGTGATTGGATCAAATGAGTATGATCTAATACTGATAGATTGAGTGAAGGAACTTAACAAGGCCTGTCTGTTCAGACTCTTCTCAGTCTCTCTGTGCAGTATTCCTTCCTCCTGGGTATGGGGAAGAACTCCTTCTGAAATTGTATCTGAAATCTTATGACCTACAATCAGACAAGGTAGGTCAGAGAATTTCTTTATGGCCAGCTCCAAGACAGAAAGGCAGGAGAAAATCAGAGAACATTTTTAGTTTCTATGGTCTGCCTTGGGGAGAAAAAGGAGCAGGTGAAAGGAGGGCAGGAGATTTGCTTCCGAGGTCTAAACCATCCTGACATTATAACAAAATACTGTCTTTCATCTTTATCATTCTGAAGCTGTTCCAGATCTGCTTCAGGTACCAATGACACAAGGACAAATACTTTAACAAAAGATACACTCATTGTTTTAGTCACGTAGGAAGTAGCAAGGGCTATAGGAGTTGTAAGCCAGGAACTGTGGGTGAAAACATATATATCTGTGTATCTATATAATAACATATATGTGTATACATAAAATATCACAATAATAGAGCTCAAAAAGCAGGAATATATAAAAAAAGAAAGAGTAAATAGAAAGATTTAACTCATCTAAAATTAATTATTACAATAACGTAAATGATCTAAATATTTCAATTGAAGGGCAGAGAACTCAGACTGGATGGCGTCATACTGGATAATCTCAGACTATATTCTGTGTAGAAGAAATCCATTACAGTTCATGCATGAGCTTCAAGTCAGCAGGACCTTCATTTCAGTATCTCAGCCTCTCACTACATTAGTGAGATCATATAGCATAGTGAAGAGCAAGAGTTGAATTAAAGCCATGTTAATAAACAGAAGAGGCTATTATGTCAATGTACTATGAATAGGGTCATTTTATCTCAGAGTATTAATTTACTTCTATATTCATTTGTACCCTTATCTATTTGTGCTAGGCTGAATAAAGATCCTCCAAAGACGTTCAAATCGTAATGCCTAGAACCTATGACAATGTTACCTTACTTGGTGGAAGAGCCTTTTCAGATGTTATCAAATACAGGATTTTGAGATGGGAAGATTATCCTGGATTATTTGCTTGGGCTCAATGTAATCACCAGTGTTTTTATGAAAGGAAAGCAGGAGAATCAGAGTTAGTAGTAGGAGACACGATGATGAAAGCAAGAGATTGGAGTGATCAGGACAGTGATCATGAACCAAGGAATACAAACGGCCTCAAGAAACTGCAAAAGGCAAATAAATGGATTCTCCCATCACAGCCTACAGAAGAAAATATCTCTACTGACACTTTGGTTTCCACTCAGTAAATCTTCTTTTGGACTTTTGACCTCCAGGAATGTAAAATAATAAATTTGTGTTGTTTCAAGTAACTAAGCATAATCCAGTGACTGCTTTCAAGGAAGTCACAGTTTAATATTTCTCCTTGTTTAGCTTTAAGCGTTTGTAGAATTTTATACCCAACACCATTTCTTTGCAAACAAAACAATCAATAAAGTATTCGGTCAGTATCTCTAATTGGATATAGAAAAAACAGTAGAGTTAAAATGGCACAGAAAGAATTAGATTTGTCTTTTTTTTTTTTGGCTATATACTAGTGTTGCAAAATTAACTAACTCCTTAAGTATTAATATACTTATCTGTTATTTCAGAATAAACATATCTGTTTCACCATGTAAATAATTTTTAAAAAGCCACTACAACATATTCCAGATTATAGTTTCATGTTCATCTAATCTTTGATCTGAGACTTTGACGGTTATTATGCAAGCTATAATGTATAAGTTAATAGTGTTTTCAACTGCATGTTACACAAACTCCCAAAAAGGTAGATGAAATAAATTGGAGTTTATGTTTCTCACATAGTAAAAATTGTAGAAGTAGGTAGGTCTTAGCATTACTTTGACTGATCACAGATACAATCAAGGAACCAGGCCCTTTCTATTTTTCTGCTAGACTGTCATTAATTCATTGGTTTTCTCATGCTTGTCACCTTGTGGTTGTGAAATAAGTGCTCTATTGTCAGACAGCACATTGTCATATCTAGATTTAATATAGAATTATATTAGGAAGCACAGTGCCAGCAGCAACCATCCCCTTTTATTAGTAAAGTAAAAGCTTCATGGAAAAATATGCCATTACCCCTCTTTAGAGATACTTGGTAAAATAGACAGCAAAGTTGACAAATTGGTAATGCAATTGTCATTTTGGTTTAGCCCACTTAGGCATGGACATATGCTATGTAGAATAACGGAATCTTGTTAGCAAGGAAGAAGCTATTAATACTCAAAGGATAGGTAGTTTACAAGTCCTGCCACATATATCAATGATGTTAATTCAAGAACTGTGGGGAAAGATACAGACCAGATGTGGAGTTGAGTAATATCGATACAGAAGGGGAGAAGGGAAGTGCTGGGAAGGCAATGGTGTGATGCTCCACCCCCAGCCTGTGCCCATGAACCTAGGTGAGGAGAGGCACTCCTGCCTTCACGCCCAAATGTTGCATTTCTCAAAGCCACCCTGGCCTGCCACGCTCCCATCCTGTGTCTATAAAAACCCCGAGACCCTAGTAGGCAGACACACAAGTGGCTGGACATCGAGAGGACGTCAAAAGGTGCACGCCTGTGGAAGACCACATGGCAGATGCTGGCATCCCGGCAGGCAGGCCATAGACTAGCGGAATGAGGCGGAGTTTGGCCAGGCAGTTGGAGGAGAGCCAGGGCTGCCTAGCGGCCTGACTCCAGGGGAAACCATCTCCCCTCTGGCTCCCCATCTCCTGAGAGCTACTTCCACTCAATAAAACCTTGCACTCATTCTCCAAACCCACATGTGATCTGATTCTTCTGGTATATCAAGGCAAGAACCTCATGATACATAAAGCCCTCTGTCCTTGCTATAAGGCAGGGTCTAATTGAGCCAACACAAGCCACCTATGGATGGCTAAACTAAAAGAGCACCCTGCAACACATGCCCACTGGGTTTCAGCTATAAATATTCATCCCTAGACACTGCCGTGGGGTTGGAGCCCCACAGCCGGCTCGTCTGTTATCTTCCCCTAGAGGTTTAAGCAATGGGGCACTGAAGAAGCGAGCCACACCCCCATCACATGCCCTGCAAGGGGGACAAGGGAACCTCTCCCATTTCAATATAGATTAAATAAACAATGTAAAGAATTCTGCCAAATGTGTGTGTGTGTGTGTGTATGTGTGTGTGTGTGTGTGTGCATGAGAAAGAGAGAGAAAGAGAAGAATAAAATATTGGTGAATGTCACAGGCCTACTAGTGACCTTTCATTTTCTCTTCCCAAAACGTCTTTCTTTCTTAATCTCGTGACTGCATTACTACCGCCTTCTAGTTGAAATTAGTCAGTCATCCTACAACAACAGGTAAGTCCTCAATGTATCTGCTCTCTGAAGAAATGTGAGAAAAAGCATCCAACTTTGAACTGTGTACATCTGAGACAGCCAGGTGGGAGGGGGTCCCTGGAGAAACTCCAACCAGTCTGCCCACTGAGGTGGAGCCCTGGGAAGTTCATGACTTTTGCAGCAGGGAGGAGCCTGGCCCCTCCTCTTCCCACGTGGGACCTGGGATTCAAGGTGCGAGCTTCACAGAAAAATATGCCATTACCCCTCTTTAGAGATACTTGGTAAAACAGACAGCAAAGCTGACAAGTTGGTAATGTGATTGTCATTTTTGTTTAGACCATTTTAACCAGACATGGACATAATGCTACATAGAACAATAATGGAATCTTGTTAGCAAGGGAGAAGCTATTAATAATCAAAGGATAGGTAGTTTACTAGGCCTGCCACATATATCAGTGAAGTTAATTCAAGAACTGTGGGAAAAGACACAGTCATTTTGATTTGCGGAGACTCCCTGTTTCCCCCTTTTCTTCTTTTTCATCCAATAAAACCCTGCTTTACTCACCCTCTCTAATCGTCTGCAAGCCTAAATTTTCATGGCTATGGGACAGACAAGAACTCCACCTTTAACTGAACTAAGGAAAATTCCTGCAACATTTTTGGTGCACAAAGTGGGAGCTCAAGAAGCGGTGAGTGAAATGGAGATTCAAAACCTCTCACTGTCGCTTCTAAGCCTTTTCATCCTCGGACTTCTGAGGGTGGGGGGAAACCATTTTCCCAACTCCTGTTGCTCCCCGGCCTTTTCATGGCCTTTTCCTTCCTTTTTCAGGACTGACCTGTGAGCAGCAGTTCCCAGCCGCTCCTCCCTCTCTGCCGGGGCTGGGATGTATGGCTCAAGAATCCTGCACTGCCACGTGGCTGGTTCCCAGCCAGGCACTGCTGCAACCTTCCCTTTCTCCCACCAAGGGGTTCAGCTCCATTGGACAATAATTAAGATTTTCTCCTGGTGGAGGAACCACTTGCCTAAGAATTAGAGGTTCTTCCCTAGGCATTTTTAAACTGTTCTTTTTTCTTTCCCCTTCTCCACCTTGTCGGGAGCTAACTTTTAAAGTTTTTTCCTTCATAAGATGTTTTACCAGGCCAGCCCTCCCCAACAAGTATCACTGTTTGTATTCTCTGCAAAGTTTTGGTTGTGAAATCAAGCCTCCATCTTGTTTTATATCCTGAGGGCGTGGGTGGTAACCCTTGGCAAGGCTTTGTTGGGCAACCCTGCCTTAGGGGATGAGCCCTCTCAGGCTCCATATCTGCACTTTTTCCTAGCCCTGTCTCTTAAAGCTTCCCACCCAGCGACTGTGTTTTCCTCTGCCTGTCTGTGTGTATACTGTGTGTAATGTCTGTCAAAATAGCTCTAATTAATTTGGCCTAAAGAAAGACAAACACTTGGATCTATTATTTTTTAAAGGGAAGTTAAAAGCTGTGGAAGCTTTCAGTTCATGTGACTTTAATCTTTAAGAAATAAAAACAGCCTTAAAGATTATTAGTAAAATGCAGGTCAGATACAAGGTTTGGTAAGTGTTTTGAGGGTGCAAACTGCTTTTGGGGTTTTGAGAACTATTTGATTTGCCAGCTTCACAACTGGTAGAGCCTGGGGCCATTTGGAACTAACCACACCCTTAATTAAGAAGGCAAACCTTGGCTGCACTTATCACACAACTAAAACAACTTACCAAGTTTTCCTTAAAGTTAAAAATTGCTAGGAGTTAACTGAAACTACTAGAAATAGATTTACTCGAAAGGTGTGTAAGAACAGTAAAGTGCGTTTTTTAGTAAAAGTTTGTAAGAAGGCATGGAAATGTAAACTTTTGTCTGGGGTTAAAGGATTGTTTTGAGTTAAATTAGGAAAAAGCTGAAAGTTCAAAGAAGCAGTGGAAGAATTGTGGAAATTCTTCTTGCAGAAGAGGTCATCTAGGTGAACATACTAACTAAATTCCAAAAGGAGTATTATATGGTTTTTCTGTAAATTGAACATTGAAATAAAAACATAACAAAGTTTCCTTAAGGTGCTAATCTGCTCATTCACAAAATTTGTAAAGGGTTATAAAAGCTTTTTGCTTCTTAAAAATTTCCAAGTCATCATTTTGGCAAAATAAATAACTTATGGTAATCCGGAATTCTATTTCATAATATCAAGTGTTTATGAAACGTATTTGACAGCCTTCCCCACATCAAACTTCAGTTTCAAAATTGTCTTCCCTGGCACCTGGCTTTTCAAATACTTCAGAGGGCCCCTGAAATGTCCAGAAAGGAGAGATAAACAGAATTATTTCACATATTTAGGTACATGGGATTGCCAACATGATGCTCAATCTTCTTTAGGTTATATCTTGGTGAATAATGCTAATATATGTTCCAAAATTTATGGGATTCCTCAAATTCTAATGTCTGAGTATGTGCTATCAATCATAATTAAGGTTGTTATGTTTAAGTTATTGTAAACCACAGAGATAACCAAACTTCTTTCTCAATTGTGTTTCTAACTGTAACTACCCTGGATATTTTGCTATTCACAGAAAATTGTTGTCTTATTTTAATGCTTTTCAAAAAAATGGTTTATAATAAGCTGTAGGACTGAAACAGGTGCTCTCAAATACAGGCTTCTGGTAACATTGGAGATTGTGATGTTAAAGGAAAATGTACAGGACTCATGAAGAGCCAAAATGTCCATGAATATCAAGCAAAACAAGAGTTAACCAATGGACTGAACTCAGAAAACTGAAGCAACCTTTTTAACCTTTGCCTGGAATATTGCTGATCCTTTTTTTTGTTTTTCAGACTCAAGGAAATTTAAACTATTTACTTAAACTATTTAAATTATTTATGGCCTTTAATAATTAAGTAAGGTTTATTCTTGGGATCAAAATTTGGAGCATGTTTGTTTTTCTCTACCTGGTTCCTCTAAAATTTGGAAACTGTCTGTGAGTATTCTTATGGCAATATAGTTGTTTGCATCAGTGCAAGAAGAATTCATTTTTCTTTTGCTACAAGACACAGTTGGAGAATCTGGTAATTTTACCAAGGCTTTGACTGGAAGGGTGTGCTTCCCTTTAAGGAGTCAATCTCTCCTTGCAAAGTCAATAAAAGCCCAGTGGGCAAACTGGCCTCATACCCTTGCCTACATGGTCTCTGTAGAGGGTTCCTGACCTGTATTCAGTTAAGAATGTCACTTTCTAACAGGTCTAGGACCTCCACGTTTATCTTGGGACCTTAAGAGGAGAGGATCACCCAACTCACAGGTGTTTGAGGATACTAACCCATGGCTGGGCTCAGCTTTAAAAGGTCTTATCTGAGACTCCTTGTGGAACAGAATTCCATCAAAGCCAATCCAAAAGGCCTATGTAGAAATAATTATTCTTGCTGCACTTAATGCAAATAATCAGGCCAAGTATAAAACGAAAGTCTATTTTGCAAACAACTCAGTCCTACAATGATTTATTTTTTAACAAACATGAGGACTGGAGAGTGAGAAATTATGTTCAAAATGTATATCTTTGTCATTAAATTCTAAACTCACTAGTTCTTTTTAAGTTTTCATCTACATTTTAGACTAATCCTGCTTGATTCTGTGAACCAACCGGCAATCCCTGGCTGTAGCTCAGAAAGAACAAAAGGGATGGGTAATGTAGAAATCCGGATAGATACTCTAGTTCTGAGCAATTATCCTGCAAATCCTGCCAAGTGATAGAATAAATAGGGAATAAATACAGTGCCCATCACCCGGAGGTTTCCTTTTTGGGAATGTAAAACCAAGGGAACTAACCAAAGCCAGGCACCATGCACCGAAATTCTAGCAAGCATAACTCTAGCTACCAGTTATCTGGATGGGTCACAAGACATTCTTTCCTCTTCCTTGTTGGAGGACTCAATTCCACAGTTTCACTTTAGCATTCAGCTTATAATGAGTCCATGTAAACCCTCAAGACACATATTTGTCCCAAACTCAATTCCATGCTTCAGGTCAAAGCCCTAGGGAGGAAAACTGGATCTGAGGGATCCAGAGGCAAATGACAACAGAGGTTAAAAGGCACAGCACAGGTGATGACAGAGGTTAAAAGGCACAGCACAGCACTGCCGATTAAGCCAACCCCAAGCCTCTTGTTTCATGGATAAAGACCACATTAATACTGATGGCATAAATGAGGTCTAGGGAACTCTAAGGCTACTGATAGTAGATGGGAAAGAGACATAGGTGAGAACAGATAATTCCTATTCTCTAGGCCCCCCTGCTTCATGGATGCAAGTCGCTTTGACACCTATGGCGACACCTACCAAGGTCGCCGGAACTGGGGGATGGAAGGACAGAAGAGGGAAAAAGGATGCTCTCTCTCCCACTCCCTTACACCTGGGTATCTGCTAGGAAGAGAAGGGAACCAGGGATGCCTGCTCCCCTCTTTCTCATCTTGAGTCTGTACCCCTTTTGAATGCATCCTCAACCCATTGAACTCCTTTGAAAAAATGCCTTCTTTTTATTCCTTTCTCCTCCTCTGTTCTCTCTTCACTAATAGGTAACTGACTCAGTACTATGGGACACTCCCCTCAGATACATCTTCCATACTGGAAAGAGTTAATTTCCCAAACCTTAAACTGGTTGGCTTAGGATAGGGTTCAGGGGAAAGGAACCCAGAAGCCTGACATGCCAGCAAAAAGGTAAAGTTTTGTTAACCAGTTGGGCTTTTGGCCTCCCTCTCCCAGTGCAAACTGGTAAAAGGCTTCAGAATTTTTGAGCTGTCCTTGCCCCTGCCCTTGTTTCATTTTGACACATGTTTCCTAATAACCCCCTCTCTGTTCTTACCCTCAAGTCATCAAACTCCAAACAGTCATGCAACGGGAGCCTCTGAGGATGGCCCCTTCTGCTGGGAACCCTTAGATCGGCCTCTGAAAGAGCTCTGACTGCTGTTTCCCCAAAACAACACCCCCTGGCAGCAGGAAGAAATTAATATTGGTCTTCGTCCTTATCCTCATGCTAACGGCAGTTAGATGTACTTCTTTAGAGGGGCGAATGAGACAGCCAGATGGGCGGGGGTCCCTGGAGAAACTCCGTCCAGCCTGCTCACTGAGGTGGAGCCTCAGGAAGATTCCACCTGTGCAGCAGGGAGGATCCTGGCCCCTCCTCTTCCTGTGTGGAACTTGGATTCAAGCTGAGGGTGGGAAGCACTCAAGCTTGATACTCTAGCCTTGCAGAGATTCCCTGCTTAGCCCTTTTTTTCTTTTTCACCCAAAAAAATCCTGCTTTACTCACGCTCTGCAACGTCTGTGAGCCTAAATTTTCGTGGCCGTGGGATGGACAGGAACCCTGCCTGCTTTAGCTGAACTAAGGAAAAGCCGTGCAACACATCCAGTAGGATCTACCTTCTATGAAGGTGAGGGTCTACTGAGGATGAGTTAAAAACTAATGTTGATTTTATAATTTTATGAGAGGTTATATTTGGTTTTCTTAACATGGTGAGTTTCATAAGTTTTGTCCTTTTTGGAGCATCCATTTTTTTATTATGTCTTTGTTCTCCAAAAGTAAAATTCAAAGAAATTTCTGAAATTTCCTCTGATAATGCTGTCATATTCCAAGAAACATTATGGCTGTTTTGTTTTTGTTTTGTTTTGTTTTTTGAAATGGAGTCTTGCTCTGTTGCCAGGCTGGAGTGCAGTGGTGGCATCTCGATTCACTGCAGCCTCTGTCTCCTGGGTTCAAGCTATTCTGCCTCAGCCTCCTGAGTGGCTGTGATTACAGGCGCCTGCCACCACGCCCAGCTAATTTTTGTATTTTTAGTAGAAATGGGGTTTCACCATGTTAATCAGGCTGATCTTGAACTCCTGACCTCGTGATCTGCTTGCCTTGGCCTCCCAAAGTGCTGGGATTACAGGCATGAGATTACGGCTGTTTTTTAAAATCAACTTGCACTCTGCTTACTAGCAGTTTGGTGGTCACTGTGAAAGTAAGTTTTTGCTTCATTTAAACATATATGATACACAGTAATTATCTTATTTGTTAAATCCCAAATAATTGTTCCCCAAATTTAGATATCTATTCAAATCCATCAGACAATAGTCTATCAACCAAAACTAAATGAAAGCAATTTGAATTTTTATTTTCTTCTCTCTTGAAAAAATTCAAATATGAGTTGATTACAAAATATTTTTAACTCCCGTCTTAAGACTCTATCTAAAAATCTCAAAAACTCTACTGTTTACTAAATCCACTTTACCTTTTGGTACTCCTGACCCATTTCTCTACTGTTTCTAGATCTATGTTTCCTAATTGTCCTTTTCAGTTGCAATTAATAGACTTTCATCTCTTCTGGTTTTTGTTCCCACACATTAACCTTGAACTTCATAATAATATTCAGGAGAAACAGGGCTTGACAAATCCTTCATAGAATAACGGTGGCAATAGCAGGGATTGGATTTGGAAGGTAAAGGAAATACCTACTACATGAGAAGATGCTGTGACCACCTGTACATTAATATCTAAGGATCTTACAATACATGATAACACTGTGTTTTCTTAATTATGTTAAACAAATCAGCAGTGGTGTATAAGCATTGAAAGACTGAAGATACAAAAAGTACTGAAAGACCTAATGGGAAATGACAGTAGAAGAAAAAAGTAAAGAAGAGGACATAAAAGGGAAACCAATAGTGAGGAAGTGAAACTGAAGAGATGCAGTTTAATGGGCGTAAAGTTTCAGTCATGCAAAATAAAAACAGTTCTAGAGATCTACAGTACAATATGATGCTTATAGTTGACAATACTCTATTATACACTTAAAAATTTGCTAAGAGGGTAGTTCTCATGCTGTGTGTTTTCTTAACCACAATAAAAAAAATCACTGTGGCATGAAAAGGGTTCAGGGGAATAAAGATTTGGATCAGCTATTTACACACCATTTCAAAACAATGGAAATAAAAACTTAAGCAAAAAGATGGAAATCACTAGTCAAAGAAGCTAAGTTAGTTCCTTTGGTGAAAGCTTGTTTGCCTGCAGCAAACAAGGAAATAAACCCTGGATATCAGTGAAAGCTAGATATTTTGTTTGGGGCAATGATGTTTAATGTATTAAGGGTGACTGATCAAAGAAACCAGTGTAAACGTCCACAGCCTGAGGTTTCCCAGAATTGTTCAGTGCCTATGGTATTCTCTCTGTTTAACAATGATTGTGCATGTGATACATTATGGCTTTTTTGTTGTTGTTGTTAAATCTCAACATAACTTTTTGGGAATAATACTTGATAAAATTCCGGGTATTCCAAGGAGTTCTAGTTTGAGTAATATTAGTTTCATAAAACTATCTAGGAGGATATATAAAAGGTGTCTCTATTATTATTCTATATATAGCATCATGATATCAGAGAATATCAGAGTTGAAAGTGACTCTGAAGGTAATTGAGGATAACCCCCTGTCTGATGCTTGAACAATCTCTACAATATCACAGACAAGGTTATGGAAACAAGTTTTTGCTATCAAGTAAGAAAGAAAACTTCATGTAAATACAAATTAAATTCTAATTTATATGTGGAATTTTCTCATAACCTGAATTATGTAAGTGCAAATTAGTTCTAATTGTTAAACAAGTAAACAAAAATAAGTAAAAGTGAATGTGAAGTCTCAACAAGAATTCATATCTGATGATATAATTACTCACAAAATGCAGCTACCATTTGGATGGAGAATATTAAAAATTCAACTAAAAATAATGTATTCTATCATATTTCAGTTTTCATTGATAATAATAAAATGTTTGATAAAAATTAAAATAGTAAGCTCATAAGTAATATAATTATTTGATATGCCAAAAATAGAGTCTCATAACGAAATAACAAGAGTGAGGGAGTACAAATGTTTCAGTGATGCTGATTAAAGTGTAACTGCTTTTCAGGGAGGAGGAAATGAAACCAGGATGTTTTGAAGAAACAATGTTGAGTTTTGCATAAATAAAGAAGTAGAATGAAATTGAAAATAATTGGGTATGTTTATTGCCGGAGAGTTTCTGCAATATGCTACTGCAGTCCATATGCTTATCAATTATGAGGATTTTTGGCTTTCGGCTCTGGAAAATATGAGAAATATGGGCAATTACTCTCTGAAGAAAGGTACTCTTTTATCATCCATATGTTATTAATGCCCAGCAAGGCAAGGCAACTTCTATTAAATGAGCAGCCAATAATGCTTTATTAACATATCTTTACTAAAGATCAATCTTTGGAAATATTGTCGCATATAGCATTAACCCACAACTGTATGCTTCATTTTATTTTTCACTTAAATAGAAATTATATTAAGCTTATTCATTACTATATGTTAATCAGTTTGCAAAGACATCTTCCTGCTTGTCCATAAGCAATAAGCAAAATTAATGATTTAATTTTTATTTTAAAATTCTTCATTGTTGACAACTACCATATGTTTTAAGCAAAGTCATTGGGGTGTGTGTGTGTGTGTGTGTGTGTGTGTGTGTGTGTGTGTGTATTTGAGAGGGATTGAGGAAAATAATGCAATTATTATATAAAGTGATAATGTATAGATTGAGGCATAAAGATTAAGTAGCTTAAGATAATGTATTCATTCTATATGTGCTTTTCTCTAATCATCGCTCTGTAGTTGTTCTACATGTAAGCACTTGAACTTGCAACAAAGTTGTGAAATAATAAATGTACTATTAGCAAAGAATAAACCTCATAGATATTTTTCAGAAACATTAATTAGGCCTAATAACATCGAGCAATAGTGATATTCTACTACTGTAGGATTTTTTTTGCCTCCCCTCTACTCCCGTTTTTTTGAAGACAAAGAAATTTCTTCAGTTTTTTAGAGTATGCTTTTGGCAGGAAAATTAAAGATATTTGTTTTGTTCCCAGGCCTGCCACCGGCATGCTGTGTGATGCTCTTATACTCTCTTTGCCTCAGTTTCTCCCATTACTGAAATAAAATTGTAATGGTTGCCACTTTAAAATCTCATAGGGTTGCTCTGAGAAATAATGAGAATAGCGTGGAGAAGTTTGACAGAATGAGGCAAGAATTCTTGAACATTAAAGAGAATTCAATATAGATGTTTTAATAAGAAAAATGTTTCTCTTAAGCAGTTGCATAGCAGCGTACTGTCTGATTTTATTAGCTATTTCTCACTAAAGCCTATTAGGGAAATTTGGTTATTCAGGCCATTTTAGAAAATAAAGGAAATTTAAATATTCATGGAAAAAGACTGTATATGACCCTTGAAAATAAAGCATTATGAACCAAATGGAAATTTTCAAATGGTTTAGGCTGTTACCTTTTTAATTCAAGCTTGCTTTATTATCAAACATTTTAGCAACTTGAAATTTTACTGTAATATCTAAAATTCTTCAGAGAAATTCCATGAAGCTCAGAAATTTCTCAGTATCATATGTAAATGTAAATGTAAAGAGCAAGAAATAATCAATTTATAACAAAGTATTTTTTGTCTCAAATTCTGAGTACCAAAGTTGGCTCTTGTTAATGGAATGTTTAGATAGAATGATTATAGGAATGAATATTGGAAATTCTTGTCCTGTTTTCTTCATTTTTTTTTTTCTATTTCTTCCCAGAACCATGAGTGAGTGATTGGGCATATATTCATTTCATGTCATATAGTGTAACAGAGAGTTTTTTTTTATTTTATTTTTCTGGAGAACTACTTAGTACATAGTAAACTATTCTCTCCCTAGACAAATATAAAACCTAGGTTACAGTAGAACCTTGAAAAGATGTCAACTGAAATAACATATATGTTTGTCTTGGATTTTTAAATTGAAAGAGAAATTGCTGCTTTACCAATCACATAATTTTGTTTTATGACTAAAGCTACTTTAAAAACTAGACTATTACTTATTTTCACAAACTGTAACCTGAGATAGTTTTAGGTACTTGAGTCAGGTATATCTTGGTTATACCTCCTCCACTACTTACCCCAATTTTTTGCTTAAAATTTTCCAAAGAGGTTCAAGAATGATAGAGGCTATAAGGTGCTTCCAAGGGATGTGTAAAAACTGAGTAAGGTATACAAAATAACTTGTGCAACATTTCTTATTGTATTCAATTTTTTCAAAGATATTTATACATGACACTTTGTAATATTGTGATCACTTTCCAAAATAGATATGACCTATAGAAAGAAGTTTTAAAATGTTTCTCATACATTACTTCTCTCTGAGATTTCAAATGCAACTTCATGATGACCTTCATAGAATAAAAGTGTTCCTATTTGTACTCTACTGTTTTTATTGTTGTAGTAATGATGGTGGCATATTGCTTTCTAAAAGACACATAGTAAAACAGGTTAAAAAAAAAGTCTCATCAACATAAAACTTTCTTTTCCTGCAAGTATACTTCCAGGCAACTAAAAATAATAGTTCCAAACTAATTTGAAATACCTATGGAGAGACAGAGAGTACAAATGAATTTGTCATAATTTGAGAGGGAAATGGAGCATTGTTTGCTATCATCTGGTGACAGAAGTGAACAGGGCTAATGTTCTTCCCATAATGAAATGGAAATGTTTGTCAATAGGTTTGATGTACACCTACTACCTATAGGAGCATTACCTTGATATTTTGCTTAAAAAAATGCTGTTTTTAACAGCATCCCCAACGACTGATGGTTTCATATCTTTCTACAGTGTGCTGGGTTGGTATTCTGGAGCCAATGCACATTTAATAATGAATGTTTTTTCTTTTATTTCTTTTCTTTCTCTCTTTCTCTCTCTTTTTTTTTTTTTTTTTTTTTTTTTTGACAAGGTCTGACTCTATTGCCCAGGCTGAAGTGCAGCGGCACCATCTCAGCTCACTGCAACCTCCACCTCCTCAGCTCACGTCATTTTCCCACCTCAGTCTCCACAGTAGCTGGAACTACAGGCATACACCACGTGTGTTAGGCTAATTTTTGTATTTTTTTTGTAGAGATGGGGTTCCACCATGTAGCCCCGGCTGGTCTTGAGCTCATGAGCTCAAGCGATTCACCTGCCTCAGCCTCCCAAAGTGCTGGGATTACAAGTGTGAGCCACCATTCCTGCCTCTATACCTCTAAAGGTATTAGTTTTCCCTCAGTTGCAAAAAATCATAAATGTAAAATCATGTTGGCTAGTTTCTCTAACTCTTCTATAAAATCAATTACTAAGTATCGTAGACTCTTCTCAGATAAGTCATCTTCCAAATATCTCATCTTTTCCATTCTCCCTGCCATTGTTCTAGTTCAGAGCCTTATTACCTTTTATGTAGAATACTTTCATAGACTTTCCTACTATCATAGTCTTGCCTTCACATGTGTCCTCCGGAAGATTAATCTTGTGAGGCAAAATATTTGACCAGGCTCAAAATAATTAAATGCTCTCCTTTGTTTATAAGAAAAGTCAAATGCTATAAACTGATGTTCAGTTCCTGCCATAATCAGGCTTCAGTGAACTACTCATTTATTACTAGAATAAAAAATGTATCTCAAATAATTTATGTGCTCCTTACCACCTCCCCCTACATCCTTACACTTAATCATTCTCAGGGGGCAATTATATCCACCATCCAAAACACAGCTCAAATCCCATTTCCCAGTGAACCGTCACTCCAACAACTGATCTGTAAGTTAGTTCTTTTAAGTCTTCACTGTTCTTACCACTCATTTGGCACTTACAGTTTCCATTTGGTGGGCTGTTACTTAAAATTCAGTAAACCTTCTTAATCTCCCTGAGGAGACTTTAAGGTCCTGGAGAAGAATACTCCTTTCTTTTGTATATTAAATTCTACAAAGTACCACTGGTAGGTTTCAATAAATATTTTTATAAAACATTTAAAAGAGCAGGAATAAAAGCAACAACAAGAAAAGTGGCAACAGATGACAAACCTTGGCCACTTTCTAAATCTGCTCTGATGAACCCTAATAACAATCAATTAACTCACTATGAGGTTTGTCTTCATGCTGATGTACTAATTCCTGATAGTGAGCTGAAAATACACACTTGAAATAGAAATTTACTTTTCCAGATATAATTCCATTGTTGTAGTTCATTTCATCACAGATCTTCTACGTGGCTCATTCTCCTTTCTTACCCTAGAAAGACTGACCCATTAAATCCCACAAAGTTCTCAAGTTAATTTGATAGCATATATGTAATAACTTCCATCTGAAAAGCTCAAAACATAACATCTAATTCTTGTTAGAACAAAAAACTAACAATTAAAAATCCGAAGTTAAAACCAGATGAGAGAATATTTAACAGAATGACCCTAGATTGCCTAGTAATATGCTGCAGAGGAAAAAAAAAAAAAAAAGAGGAGGGGAGGGGAGGTCACCTATCTATGTAGAGCTTTGCATTATAATGATAGATTTAACTTCTTTTAACAATGGAAACTTTTTGAGTTTACATTTGGAACAAAAATAGTAAACTACTCTTAAGAAGTATAGTGTGAACAAAATACAAGGGAAATCAGTAACAGAGCCATAACAGAGCCTTCCACTTTAAATAGTTTGGTAAAGTTACATACTCCAGTTTCCACTAACTAACATGTGTGAAGTCTAGCTCTCATTATCATAAATGTTTTGAAAGTATAATGCTACCTTTGTAGAGGCAACTCTGCTTATGAGATACTGGAACAAGTTGATTCATAAGGTACTGAAAATGATAATCCAACCCTCTAGAATAAAACATACAAAACATCCCCCAATATTATGCAAAACTATTTCTGATGAGAATGACTCTTCATTCCTGTCTTATATTACTCTCCTGCTCTATTCCATTTAGAGATAAGAAAATAGACCTTCTATAAAAATGTCTCCTCAGGGCTTATGAAACGTTTGTGAGAGTGAGAGAGGGAAGAAGAAATTGTTCAGAAACATAATGGAGATCACTTGGCAATTACTATTTCTACTTGTCCAGTATCCAGTTGTTCTAATTTTAGAATTGCCAAGTCGATATCTACTTCAGATAAGAATTGGAAACAAGTGAAAACCACATAGTTATGATCCTGCTTTCTTTGCCCTTTCTCCCTGCTCCCCTACATGTAACCTTTCACATATTTATTTTGCTATCCACATTATTTTTGAAGTATGTTGTTAAACCTAAGACCTCATAAAGTAAATCCTTAGAGTTGTGAAAAAAGAAAGTGAGGTCATTTTAAAGTTGTGTGGCTAATTTACAATCTGAACGTTTTTGCATTTTTCTCATGTTAAAGAAATTTTAAAAACTTATCAATAGATTTCTTTGTGGCTTTTACTAATGAAGTTGTATTTTTTTTCTACCCATGTTAGGTGTTGAATAATTTGAATGGGAATTTGAAGGTCCATGGCTTCCAAACCAGCAGGAGTTAAGGCTTAATTGCTTGGAAATACATTTTCATGGCTGATACCAGTAACAGAAAAATGTCTGTATGTCAAGAGGCTCTGTACTAATCAGTTAACCATAACATGTGCCACCCCATACCTTGGGCCAATGTAACTGTTAACAGCTTGAAGCTATTAAAAATGTACCAATGGAGAACTTTCTTATACTTTTTTCACTAATGTGCTTCTTCACTCTAAATAAAGGAATAGATAAATTTTATACTTAACTACTGTCAGAGAAAAGGAAAGTACCTTCGCTTAGTTTGAGCTTCAAAACATTACATCCAATGGTGTTCATTAAGGTAACACTTTGAAAGTCACTCAATTGCTAATATGCTCTCTCTGCGTCAACTCAGAGGCTGCCTATTAGATCTAGTTACACTCCAGAGACAGGGATTTGCTTTCCAGCTCTAGAGATCAGGTCAAGAATTGCAATAACAATTAGTAATTAGTAGTTAGATCTCAATTTACCACATTAGAAGGTCACTCCTCTGAAGCATTTGGTCTCATGAGAGGAAAGGAATACAGGAGACCATCAACTGTTGACACTTTGAAATCAAGAAAAGAATCTAAGATTCTCCTTGAAATTCTTAGGCACTTTAAGTGTAAATTTCTTAAGATCTCATTTTTATAGAATTAATTAATGGATTTAGGTCTAAATCCTAGGTATTACAGCAACTCATACTGTGTAACAAAACAATACTCTTATATTTAATAAGATATAAATTTGTCATCTTTAAAGTGGTGATCTCCCTGTGAACCTGGATAAAAGATAAAATGTGAATACTATTTTAAACACCTCCTACTATCCTCCTAAAATATTATTAAACAATTGAAAATTTAAAATAGTATAATATCAAATAGAGTCATGTTTTATGGTATGAACGTGACTAACGTATGAAAGTTTGCAGACAAAAATCTCAGTTCACAAACTAAGATATGTGGAAAATGCATTTTCTTGATTTTTTAAAGTAAGTTGTCTTCTGCTGTGTAGTCTGTGTCCCTAAGAATATAATTAACCTTAATTATTGTTTGAACTTCTATCCAGTCCTCCACTTGACAACATGTTCAAGGTTCTTGGATCTTACACAGCATCAAAACAATTGGATCATGTGTCGCAGTCTCTGTTCATCAGTTAGCAGTTTACCAACTTGGCCATGAAAATCTACCATTCACCTATTTGTGCCTGTTCATCAGGTCTGGGAGACTTGCTGACTTCATACAGTGTCCTTTAGGATATGATGACAATATATGAGACGGAATCATTGATGCTTCTGTTACTACAGCCTGAGATGTCTTTTGGAGTGTATCTTTCTGGGATCTTACTGCCTTCACCAGAACATTGTCAGAAAATAGGACCTCAGCTTCTATCACTCCAGAGCATATATAACTCTCTCCTCTTGACAGCTAAGAGAATGTCTTTTGAGCCTGAGGGAACCCTTTCTCCTTCCTTTTTCACCAAAGATGTCTATCTGTGTAATATACTAAAATTATTAGAAGACAAATTACAGGACATTTTATAGATTACTACTCCATTCAGATTCACCACATACCTCTTTTGAGGCACTAAAGCACAGAGCTAACCAACTATCTTAGTGGAGTGAAGGGAAAAAAATATTACAAGCAGAAGAATTAAACATAAGTTAATACCCCAAAGTATTATCCAGGTATATTTATAGAATCAATATTTTGAGAAGACACAGGTTTTATGAAATGTTTTGATGATTATTTTGAAAATGTTAAAAACAACATGAATTATTTCTAGTATCAGCTAAGTACTAGAAATTTTAAAGGCAAACATTAACCTTATATGTATAAAATGTAGGTATTATTAATGATATAAGGAAGAATTTTACTACTAGAATCTTTCCCAGCAAGTCTACAGGTTTCATAAAAGAATAGTAAAATTCTAGCAGGAAAGGACAGTGTATCTTTCTGGAATTAAAAATTGCATTGGTTAAGAGCTTTGGGGTGCAAGAAACAAAAGCTTTCCTTAGGTAACTTAAGTAATGGAGTTTTAATACTCCATTTTAAAGATCACCAGAATTTCCATATTGCAGGAGCTTGTGATGGGATATCTTGTTGGAAAGAAGAGCTAAGTAAGTGGTCTCATATTTGCCTTCTATAACATAGACATTGCTTTTACTTATATTGTATGAATTCTTTAATCCCACTGATAGAGCAGAAAATTAATAATAACATATATTAGTATGTTAACATCTAATATGGTTTGGCTGTGTCCCCACCCAAATCTCAACTTGAATTGTATCTCCCAGAATTCCCATGTGTTGTGAGAGAAACCTAGGGATGGGTAATTGAATCATGGGGGCCTGTCTTTCTCAAGCTATTCTCGTGATAGTGAGTAAATCTCACAAGATCTGATGGGTTTATCAGAGGTTTCTGCTTTTGCTTCTTTCTCACTTTTCCCTTGCTGCCACCATGTAAGAAGTGCCTTTCACCTTCCACCATGATTCCAAGGGCTCCCCAGCCATCTGGAACTGTAAGTCCAATTAAACCTCTTTTTCTTCCCAGTCTTAGGTATTTCTTTATCAGCAGCATGAATACGGGCTAATACAACACCCAAATAGAATAAGAGAAATAAGTAGATGACTTTTTGAAGAAAAACAGGTGTAAAACTGAAACAGAACCAATAGCACAAAGATAACAAGAGAAAAAAATAGTTCATTTTAATTTCAGTTGTTCTCATAACATATAATTGAAAGTAAAAATTTGCTTCTTTACAAAAAGAATGTTATGATTTGCATATATTTGAAAATAAAGTCAATTAGCTTTAGAATTAGCATTAAGGAAGTACCATATAAGCCATGTCAAACAAGGTGACCCAGGACACTCCTTCACCTCCTACATTGTGATGCCACGTATATAATATGTATAGGCCTAATTTTGATATGGAAATAATGAGCAATGTGGGCCACACAAAGATGGTACTGAGAAGGCACACAGAGAGGCACTAAAAAAAAAGCTAGATGTAGTTAAAAGTAGAAATAAAGGCATGGGTTTGAGTTTTACATAAATATCTAAATTCAAATATATACATTTGACAACTCTGGAGATATCTACAAATGGCTTGCTTCGATGGCTGGATTTGGACAAGTCAATATGTTTATAATTCATGTCATTATAATTCCATTTTGCCTTACATATCTGCTTAGTTGCATAAAAGAAACTATAGACTGGGAAAATAGGCATCGCCTTTTCTTTCTTATTTCCAGGAATTACAGTGATCCAAATAGTCATAGCACTTCCCTGGCTATAGGCCCTGGAGTTTAGGCCTGTTCAGATAGAAGAAGTTTAATAGTAAATAGTGTCATCAGGACACAGCAATGGTTCTGGAAATCCAATAGCAGCTTAATATATTGACAATTTTCTGTTAGTATATCAGCCAGAATATTACATTCTCAAGCAATTAAACCTTATCTCCTGCTGTTTTTGAAGTCATGAACCATCAAATTTCCTATTTTTGTTAATCAGCCTCTATTCTTGATTATGAGTGCAGACAGCTATGAGTGCAGACAGGGTGATTTGGTAGAGAAAGTATGTAAAGAGCCGACTAGAGAAGTTATTCAAATCCTCATGACTTTAGGCAAGACCATTTTCCTCAGAAGCAGTTCAGGACATTTCTAGGACCTGGAGCATAGTGGATTCCTTTGCTGTATGTGAATCTATAGAAAAGAAAGCTTAAAGGCATATCAGTTGAGAAAGAAATCTTATTATATAATAATCATTGCAAAGTGATCTTAGCATTTATGAACCAACTTTAAAACAAAAAAAAGTGTAAAATGCATAAAACAAAAAATTAAATTTTAATATCCAATTACTTTTGGAGGTATATAATGTCTATTTTATATATTATTGATCAATGTGCAAAGTATGTAGAAATTGTATATTAAACTTTTAATATGTATAATTTGTGCACTGAATAAATACTGGGCCTTAGACACTACCAAGGGTTATCTTTAACACTGAGACTGTAGCACTGCCAAAAGTATATTCTTTTTCTTCAGTGAAAAGCATACCCGATCCAAAAAAAATCCATAATAGCTACCTTATTGTGGTTATGGTAGACAATTAGAACTTTCTTTAATAAACACATTATTATATTCTCTTCCATTATGTTTCAATTTGTGATTCTCCATGGTATTTTCTGTTGGCTCCAACTTCTATCAGTGGGCACATGTTGGCGATGACTGACAGAGGCTGCTTTCAATAGTCTTATTCGCAACAACACCTCTTAGTTGAAGTCCCACATGTAGTTTAGCCATTAGTCAGCTCTTGGCAGCCTCAGATGCCTTTGAGACAACAATTCTCATTCATTGCTCTGTCAGTTTACTCAGGTAGGTTTATTCATGTCTTAATGTATATTTTTAAATTATCCTTGAGATTTCCTCTTTAACCCATGGATTGTTTAGAAGTGTGTTGTTTAGCTCCCAAGTATATAGAAGATGGAGTAGACACACTTTTTTCCTATTCCTCCATCTAAGTATAACTTAAAATCAAGACATTATATATATACAAAACAAACATAAGAAAGATCTACAGAGTGAAGATAAGAAGGCAGATTGGCTGTGGACTTTGGGACCAAGGCAACAGCAGAGTGGTGATTTTGGTGTTTTCCTCTTCCTTCCTATATCCTAGGCTTAAAGCAGAAGTTGGCAACCCAGAAACACCAACGCGTGCAGAGCAAAAAGAAAAAACAAACAAAAAAGTGCACACTTAATAAACAAACAAAAAACTCACCATCACCATCAAAAGTATGTTCTTTCTCTATCTAACCAAATAACTAGGAACTGGGCAACCCAGAATGACATAACTTTTAGACCACTCTACTTCAGTCAAATACCACAGAAAAAAATATGGCTCCCTCATCACCCATGACAGCAAAGGCTGAGTGGTGAGCTGAGATTTTGATACTCTTCAGGCTATAATGAGGTACCCCAGTACCCTCTCCAGTGTGGTGTTATATAAAGGTTTGAAGTATTACTGGAGGCTGACTGAGGAACCTAGACTTTCACACATACAGGGAAGAAATGAGGGAATATACCCACTGCTTCTACTGGGGTGGTGTCAATGAAAGCCAGCTAAAATGCTGAAGACACAGCAATAAGCAAGATAGGTTATGACTTTTTCTCTCTCCTGAATATTCTAGTGGAGATCAGGGTCCAAATGTTTGTAATATTAAACACTGTAATATTAGGTTATGTATGTTACAGAATGACTGTGTCTCTTGCTACAGACGTATAAACCAAAGGTAGTGCCTATAGCTAAAAACAGACAACTGAACAAAAATGTCGTATGTGCCAAGATGAAGAAGCAAGGCAAGAGGCAAGTACTAGAAACCAAAGCAACTTAGATGACCATGAGGTGTCCACATGTCTTGATAAAGAGTGATGACTATCTGTCCACATAGAAAATATTTCATTTAATTATGCCTAGGAAAATATATGTTTATGGAGTACTTACATAGCATAAGGCAAAAGAAAACACACCTTTTAAAGATGCAGAGCAGCTGAACAATGAATAGGTGATATTGATGACTGATATATTCTGATTTATAGTTAATTTAGATGAGCCTACTCTCCCCATAATTCTAACAGCTTTAACTATGCCACAGATTTTCTTGTGGATGAGGTTTATGTTAACCATGGCTGGTCAATGGTGGAAAGTAAGGATAAACAGGACCAAATATCTTAAAATTTTGAACTGTAGAAAAATCATAATACATTCTTTCATTAAATTTTGATATAAGATGTGTGTCTTTAAGATCCCAGTCATGAGGATTTATTATAAAATGAGCTCAAATGTAAAGCAGAACTAGCATATGGATTATGAGCATGATATTAAACGAAGATATCAAGAACATGTAATTAGTTTTCAAGTAATTAAAAAACAAGAATAAAAGTTATTTTACGTTCTGATATAATTTTTTAAAAAACTCATCTATGTCAAAGGTAGACATTCGGAGCTACACATATGACCCATTTTTAGAATATCTCACTTCCCTAGTTTTCTCTTTAGTCTTTTTTACTTGTAATAAGAAAAGCTTCAAACCCTTTGGCTAGTATTAATTGTACACAGCAAGTTGGAAAACACCTCTTATAGTATTCTTGAAAGTAAGAAAGTCTGTTTATTTTTGATGGAACATTTATTAGTTATGTTGATCCTGCAAATGTTAATGTCAAAGAGATAAACTATATGAATAATAATATTTTCTGTGAACTTGAAAAAAGAAATGGTTTTAACATTATAAAGAGAGATGCATATTATTATCGCAACATTTAAAAAGTTTTGTAAACAGTATGAATTAAAAGTCAGATATTCACAATTAAAAATAGAAGACAAATGATCAGATTTGGAAAGGTTGTTGAACGGCCGTGGCCATTTTTGTAGTGCACAGAAAGGCTAATGTTTAATCTGGTACTGTACCTTGGCACACTTATATTCATTAACAAACATTGAGGAGAATGGATTCTCATTACAAATTTTTCAAATTATGTGACATAACGGGAAAACAACATTCAATTATTATGCTAGGTCCTGACACTCCAACATTTTTGCTTTTTTATATTTCTCACAGCTGGTGAAGAATGCCTATCTTGTCATCTTTTCAATGCTGGCTGATATATATTTGTTTCTAAATCAGTTGACATTTGTACTGGAAAGGGTTCAAGTACCTTCATCCTGTTCATTGTTACCTTATGCCTGTGGAATTTTACTGTACCACTCTGTAATAAAACTCTAGTCTCTTGGCTATTTTGTTCAGAAACCTGCGGTGATTTCCTAATTGCCTTCAAAATGAAGTTCTTTAACTTTGGCCAAGCAGTCAAGCACATGGTATTTCTTTTTTTTTTTTGAGACGGAGTCTCGCTCTGTCGCCCAGGCTGGAGTGCAGTGGTGTGATCTTGGCTCACTGCAAGCTCCGCCTCCCGGGTTCACGCCATTCTCCTGCCTCAGCCTCCCAAGTAGCTTGGACTACAGGCGCCCGCCACTACGCCCGGCTAATTTTTTGTATTTTTAGTAGAGACGGGGTTTCACCATTTTAGCCGGGATGGTCTCGATCTCCTGACCTCGTGATCCGCCCGCCTCGGCCTCCCAAAGTGCTGGGATTACAGGCGTGAGCCACCGCGCCCGGACCACATGGTATTTCTAGTGGCCATCTTCTTTTTTTTTTGAGATGGAGTCTCGCGGTGTCTCCCAGGCTGGAGTGCAGTGGCGCGATCTCGGCTCACTGCAAGCTCCCCCTCCCAGGTTCATGCCATTCTCCTGCCTCAGCCTCCCTAGTCGCTGGGACTACAGGCGCCCGCCACCACGCCCCGCTAAGTTTTTGTACTTTTTAGTAGAGACGGGGTTTCACCATGTTAGCTAGGATCTCCTGACCTCGTGATCCACCCACCTCTGCCTCCCAAAGTGCTGGGATTACAGGAGTGAGCCACCGTGCCCAACCTCTACTGGCCATCTTCTTAACACAGTTATCTTCTACTATCCTCCACCTACCTCCTCGTCAACATCTGATTCTCCTAACTTTCAAGTATATCTTGCACGTGTGCCTTTCTCCACATGTATCCAGCTGTATTAGTCTGTTCTCATGCTGCTAATAAAGATATATCTGAGGCTGGGTAATTTATAAAGAAAAAGAGGTTTAATGGACTCACAGTTCCACATGGCTGGGGAGGCCTCACAATCATGGTGGAAGGCGAAGGCAAACAAAGGCATGTGTTACATGGCAGCAGGCAAGAGAGCGTGTGCAGGGGAACTGCCCTTTATAAAACCATCAAACCTCATGAGATTTATTTACTATCAGGATAACAGCAAGGGAAAAACACGCCTCCATGATTCAATTACCTCCTATTGGGCCCCTCCCACCAAACGTGGGGATTATGGGAGCTACAATTCAAGATGAGATTTGGGTGAGGGCACAGCCAAACCACATCACCAGCTGTTCCCATTCCCCTTCTGTATTGTCTTCTCCAAATTAACACCACTTTTCAAGGCCTGGCTCAAATGTCACTGTCTCCAGGTGCCTTCCCAGGTTTTTCTCATGAGTTTTTTCCTCTGTGCTTCCAGTGTTCTTGTTCCCATTACTATTTTATCTCAGTATATTTAGCCTTGTATTCAAATTTTATTTTAAACTTGCCCGTCTCCTCATTATTATTAGGGCTTGTGTTGTTTTATATTTCTATAAATTGTATTACCTTTCATATTGTGTTTTTCCTATTGTACTTCTGAACAAAATAATGTTTCACTGTTGGTCAAAATTAATAATTCATTGAAATATACCAAATGAACGCATACAAAATACGCTTGTAGGTTTAATTAGATCTCTGAATATAGCAGACCCAGACCCAGTCACAGTGTGATTTTTGCAATATGAATTGCAGTTCTTATTGCATAGATCATTCACTATCAGAGCAAGTCTGTTGATTTATGTTGAATTTTAGAATCCATGAATATGCATATATTACATATTGAGGTTAAAACAAAAATCCTTAATAGGGAATTAAGACAGGATATTTGTGAATGTTTCATGGCTAAACGGGACTATGATAAGCTATGCCAATATATATTTTCAAAGTAAGCAGAAAAACAGGAAAAGAAACCTAATATACAGGCATTTTAGACACATAATTTAGCCTTAGGACAAGGTTCTGAAGCAAACAACACAAAGTTAAATGCCTCTAAGAGGTACATAGATAACAGAGATGTGGTATGCAATTTGAGTTATGATGGGTAACCTGCTAATAAAGGGAATAAATTGAGTTTTGCCATGAGCTAATGTGGGCCAATAATACCAAACTTAATCTTTTTTTTTTTTTTTTTGCATTATTTGTCAATTTTTATATGAGTTGTCACACAAAACTCTGGGTTTTTACCTTCTCTTGAAAAAATCTAAAGATTAAAAGAATCTCATAATTAGCAGTCTGTGACTTCTGTTCAAAGGCTCTTATAAAAGGTGATTGAAAAGAGAGAGACAAGCAAAATTAAATGTAGCAGTTGGAGAGAAGTGGAAAATCCAGTATACCTGTTTTGAAGTACAGGTTGAAGATCACGAGTGATTTGTGAAAATTTAAATACAGAATAATAGCAGATATAGTCTAAGTAATGACATAACTATATTGATATGAAAGGTTGATTTCTGACTTTTGAGAGTTGATCTAATTATAACTTTTGAGAGTTGATTTTTGTTAGCATTGAGAACATTGTACAAACATTTTCTCAGTCTTCTATATAAAACCTAATGGTATCATTATTTCAGATGAAGAAACTGAGACACAAAATTAAGCAACTTCTCTGAGATCCTTGCATAGCAGGAAATTAAACCCAGCTCTTTTGTACTAGAATGTTAGTGTTCCTAGCAAACACGCTAATCTGTCTCCAATTATTTGGATCTAAAATCAGGTATATATATGTTTAGCTAGCATCTGCCCTTCACAGAGTTCATTATCTCTTGGGATTTATGATTAACTTCTTTCTGGGATTGAGAAACTAGTGACTAGCAGCTAGATGCTGGCAACTCAGCTGAAGTGGTTTGAAGAAGCTTACCAGGAACTAGCCAGTGCCCTAGTGGCCATCTCTGAAATATCCCTAGAACACCTGCCAGGCAACAGACTGGAGGGTTTATTCGTGTGCTGTTTGTACAGTTGAGAAAAAAGATACTGCCAAAAGCCCAGCCTGAAACAGCCTAAGGATTAAAAAAGAAGGAGCAAACTTGAAAGATGTAGATTGAGTAAATATGTAGGACTGATTTGGCACTCAGTCCAATGTGTACAATAAAAGAAAAAGCATGAGTCAGTAATTTGCATGAGGTTTCTCTCTTAGGATTTTACTGAGTAGAATAGAAAGGATGATTAGAAGGGAATATGAAAAGAGGTAGTATTTTTGTGTCAACAGAAATAGGTCAATAAAATATATAATATGTAGTTTGGTTATATGGGGTGATGGTTCTGGCCATATTGATGCTAATTGAATAAAAATCATTGTTATCAATTTCTAGTATAATTGAAGAGCTTTCCAAAAAATTATTCATCTATCATATTTTATTTTTAATCATTAAATTTACGTTTTTTTTAATCTGAAGGCTAAAGTTTGTCTTTTATTCTCTTGACAAAACATTGACAAGCTGAGAAAAACACACACGGAGTGCTTTTGATGGGCAAATATGAGTCATGCTGCGTTGGATGAGTAACCTATGAGTGAATTTTGGCCATTTTGTTTTGAGCTGTCAGATAAATTTCTCTTGGGCATCTTTCCTATTGCTGTGCATCTGAGCAAAATAATATTTTATTGTTGGTCATAATTAATAATTCATTGAAACATACCAAATGAATGCACTCAAAATATAGATGTAAATCTTATTAGATCTCTGAATATAGCAGTTCCAGTCACAGTATGATTTTTGCAATATGAATTGCAGTTGTATGTTAGATCCTTTTCTCTCAGAACAAGTTGAGAATTATAATATTAAAAAATTGACAAATTACTTTCTGCTTATAAATGAGAAAACAGATTTGTAAAATGTGAAATGAGCCATTCTAGCAAAGTAGACTTTGAGCTTCAAGTGTAAACAGTTCAGTTAATGGCTGGGGTTTCTCAATCTCAGAAGCTCTGGTGCATGGGGAGGGTGAAGCAGAGGTTATGGGAGCTCTTCAGCATTTTACTGAGAACATCCTTATAGGATTTAATTAGGCAGATTACCTGTTATGCATGGTGTAGTGTGCTGAACAGTTTTAAACTGGTATATCCTCGAGGCAAATGGAAGGCAAAGTCATAAGGAATTACATTCTACACAAATAACTCAGAGTATTTTATTAGTGGGCCTCATAGAAATAAAATCTTCCTTGCCAATGCACCATTTAATGTTTAACTCAATTGAGTACCAAAGAATTGGTTAAATGTTCAACGGCCATCTAGATTTATGGATCCAACCTGACCACCCTTTCAGTATTTTTTTTTTCTAGTAACAGCGTTGGAGCTTTGAAATAAAACAAAATACCTTTAGTTTATAACAGCATGTGCTTTATTCTACATTACCAGATAATAGCACCAGTATAATTGTTTACAAGAAAGATAAATCTGGTTTTTGAAAAACAGTAATATTTTATAATTAGAACTTCAAAAAGTAAAATTGCTTAAAATACCCCAATGAACAGTACTGTTTACTAATCACTTCAGGATGCAAATGTTAACTTGCTACGTATATGCTAAATTCCTGAATCTACTTAATCACTTTATTCACCTAACCACCTACAGGGAAGGGTCACTGTGTCAAGCAATCCTGAATGGTATTTTGTGTGAATTGGGAACAAAGCTTTTAAAGGCCAGAGGTTTAGGAACATAAACCAGATGTGCTCATTTTAAAAAGTCTACTTAGTTTGTGGAGGAGAAAGGTCAGCCTCTTAGATCTTTTAAAAATCTTACTGTCAAACACATTCCATGGAAACTAAGCATTTTAATATTCTTAGAGGGCTGCTTCACTGACTTTTTTTTTGATAAAATGTTTGCTCTGATCTGTGTTGTACATGAGTCTATTCTACATTTAGAGTACAATAAGATTTCCTTAACCTTTTAAAAACCCCCAAAATAAGTTAGAATATTTATTTAGACTTTTATTCCACAGAAATGATGTTGAATTATTTTTTAAAATTGTAATTCTAAACACAAATGTCTGATTTAAATGCCAATTCTCAATTATTTGCCAAGTACAAATCTAGGTCACAAATTGGCTATTAAAAGGAATAATTTATAAAGATATATTTATATAAAAGTGAATGACTTTCCTCTTTAGGGTGACGATACACATGATGTCTAGTGCTCACTTTCACTATAATTCTGTTTTAAAAGAATTTATTGAAATTCATGCTTCAATACTTCTGCAGCATATAAATTACATTGAATTTTTGTTTAGACTATTTTTATACTATTCATCCAATTATTCATGAGAAATAGGTATTTCTTTATGATAATAGTTCAGATTTACATTCTCCTAACTCTTAAGTTATTCCAGTATTTCAGCTGTTACTGGTGCCATCTAATCTCACCTCTGAAAGCAGAGTTGTGTGTATTTAGCAATACATACTCTGATATCCTATGGCCTTGGGATGAGTCCCGCATATTAGCTATATGATCTTGGGTAAAGTTAAATTTTTAAATTATTTAATTTCAATATCTGTTTCATTTGGTCAATATGACTAAATGAGAAAATACATGATATGCTAACACAGTGCCTGGCACCACAGTACTGAGTACATTGCAAACTTTTACAAAATTTTACCTACTCTATCCAATCACATAACAAGTCAAGCAGTATCTCAGCCTAAGAAACGGCTGTAGAGTTTGAAAAGTGTTGGGCTTATCTTCTCGTTCTGACCCTCTGATCTCAGGCAACATCCTTAAAATATCTTAGTCTTTTAAAGGCCTATATTAAAGCAAATATTTTAAATGCTTATATTAAAATAGGTTCTTTGAATTATTATAAAAATATGAGATAACGTTTGAAATGACCTAGTACCATTTCTCAATAAAGTTATTTAAAATTTAATTTGTAATGCTTTATCAATGTTATGTCTAGCCTCAGTTTAAATGCAGGTTATTTTTAAACTATAGTAAATAACAATTTAAAAATAACCTGAATTTAAACTGAGACAAGACTCACATCTGCATCAGTGGATTCGGTGTTTTGGCAGAGCCTATGAATTTCTTCCTGACATCTGTTTCTCCCTTTCTTAGTAATAGAATTCCTGATTTTTAGCTAGCCACATGGACATCTGGAATAAATGTTACATTTCATGGCCTAAGTACCCTGTTTACTAGCAGAGAAACGAATGTTGAACCTCTAATATAACACCATAACTTGGAGAAAACACCTACCTCCCGGTAAAATGTCGCTTACGTGTATTTTTCTTTTTTTGATAATAGAATAAGTAACAATTTGCCCATAGTGAAATACACACTTATTCTGAATGCAGATTTGTCTTCTTTGCCCACAGTGATTCTACAAACAACATTCCTAAGTTTACTGCATTCATTCTTCACTCTAAAATATCCGCATATGATTCCTTCTGACCAAGAATTTTGCTTTACAGCAAAAAAAGCAGAGCAAGGGGATAATTGCCACAGCACTAAAGAGTCATATCATGTACTCCATCATCCAGAGTCAGAGAGCCTTTTAAGAGAGTGGAAGACTATATGTACTGCTCAGTAATGTTACCAACTAGAAAATAATTTCATATGATTTGTTGATGTGTACATATGGATTATCTTCTTAACCAACAAGCATAATGGTGTTTTTTGTTTGTTTGTTTTTGTCACAGCTGAAATACATGAGTCTGGGAGGTAAGAATGGGGGTAGGAGGGTCACCTCTCACTGTTTCACTTTATGACCCATTTACAAAATGCTGCTTTCAATTCCTGTGATCTTGACCTCTCCTGGCTTGGAGATCTTAGTACTCAAGGAAGAAATTCTTCCATCAGGGAACACAACGATAGCTCAATTGGAGTCAGACTTGAGCTTGCCACCTGGCCATTCCAGGTTTCTCATGATATTTATTCAGTATTTACACAGAATGTTACAAGGTGGGTGAGTGTGATTGATCCTCATTAATCAGGGGAAATAAGGTGACCATTGTGCATTAGGGACACAGGAAATATTTGGAAACCAGTGCATTCTTTTGTGTGCCTGATAGAACTGTCATATCCATTGCAAATAATAATAATAATGGCAAAACTGTAGCATTTCAATATAAGGAAGTCTTCTAAGAACTCAGACCATTCAGATGTGAATGTTTGAATTACCCATCCAAACTCCTGTTAGGCACTGGATGAGAAGCAAGTAGAAAACGGACTTGAAGGAGCAGGACCAAAATTATAAATACCAACTATGATATCACTACCAGCTGTACAAATGAGGTCTTCAGTGGCTAACATATTGTTCCTTGTTCTGTTATGTGTATATTTTTATTAGCTAACTTTACTTTTTTCCTTCATCTCTTCCTTTCTCCTATAATTTTATATTCAGTGTGGGTGGTGGTTAACTTTATAATTTTATCCTTGGTTCAGGGTTGTGACAGAATTAGAGGAGAAATGATCACACAGAGATGAAATCAGTGCTTGCTAGAACTCATTTTAATTTATAGAGAGATATTGCATCATGTTAGCTGGCATCATATTGTGTTTCCAAATGCTCCTGTTTGGAAGCTTAAATTTGGGATGAAGGGTATGTACGGATGACAAATATTTCCAGCAGAAGTTTTGTAGGTACTGTGCCTTGGCTCCCACACAACCTCCATTCCAATCACTTTTTGGTGTGCTATCCTGTACTGAAAAGGCTAGATAATCCAAACTGTATTTCCCAATCTTCTCATCTCGGGAGTTCTGTTGTAATTTAGTGTCTGCCAAACACATTTTGTAAGTTTTAGATTTGAAACTGAGTTATGGCAAGAGAAGAAGAACCTAATGCAATCATTTCTGATGATAAAGTTTGTAGCAGAAGCATCAAGGATCCTAACTAGATGACTCTCTGCCATGATGTGGGAAGAATTCCCCATTGGGGCAAAGACAGTGGGGCTCTGTGTTCTGCCCCTTCCTGATTCAGTGGCTTCTTATAGTCGTGGGAACAGCTTTCCTGCTAATATCAGAGGCACTGTGATCAAAAGGTCTGGGGGGAATATTTGTCCTCTCTGAGCTTGATCCACTCACTCAATCTTACAATAATTCTATTTGGTCAATCTATAATTTAATTAACTTCATCATAACAATTATTCATTCTGAATCTGCCCCCACGAAATTGAAATATTAGTACAAAGATGAAGATGATGTGATGCCTTTGTTGAAGGAACTCACACTCATAGGAAGAGAGATAGTCACTATGATGCAAATCAGACTGCAATATAATAGAATTAAAAATTACATGCTATAGGAACATTGCAAGTAATTCTATTTGTTGTTGGATAAGGTTCCATACTCTTTGGGCCCTAATTAGAGTAAACTGAGCAGAATTTTAATAAAGAATTTAGGTGGTACAGGAATGGTTCCTCAGCATTTCAGGCTGAGGTATTGGAATTCTGTGGTTGGGCTAAGTGACTGTCAGATGAATACAGATGAAGAGTGAGTTTTTCCATTACTGGAAAACCCAAAGTGTGAGTGTGAATGGGAGATCTAGGGGAATAAATCTAGAAAAATAGGCTGGAGATCAGGTTGCATTGAGACCTAAATGCAATGGGAGTTTACATTTTGTTTTGTGGGGGTGGGTTTTTTTTTTGGTTTATTTTGTAGGCAACAAAAATTACAAAGCTCAGTTGAAGAAAGGAAATTATGGAGCTACCATATAGATTAAATTAAATGTGAAAACGAGAGGAGTATGAGGAGGCTAATTAGGACGTTATCACAATAGGAAAGGATATAACCTAAGGCAATAATGTGGGAATGAAGACTAGCAGATAGACTTTATAAATACCATGGAACAAAAATGAACAGGGCTTGGCTTCCTATTAAATGTGAAAGTTGATTAAATATTTGGACTTGAAAATGGCTTTTGAATCCCTGAAGGCATGAAGATGCTGGTGGCTTCAACAGGGGCAGGGCCATGAGGGGCAGGGCCATGTGGGTGTGACTGGAAATTTATAGAGTTCTCTTCTGATTTGTTGCACTAGAAATTTGTATGGTTTATAAGATCTAGCTGGAGATGCCCTGCAGATTGTTAAAGTCTAGAAGTTAAAATAGAAGCCAAGATTATAGATGCAGATTTCAGAGCCATATTTAGGAATTCGAGGTGGTATTAAATAATGCCAATCCCCACCATTGCTGTTTGTCACAGTGGGCCTCATACTGCACCAGCAATTTTTGCAACAGTTAGGAATGACATCTATGTAGCTAATAAAATGGTAAAAATTAATGAAGAGAAGTTGATAAGTATGAACAAAGTATTTTTTTTAGCTCATTGAGATGCTCCTGGGGACTCCTACTCTATATTGGTTGAGATTTGGGAGGAAGTCAGAAAAAATTTAGTTATTCCTGTTATTATAAACCTCTTTTTACTTAATACTTGATGAGGTTTGGAAAACTCAAAGTATGAAATATCAAAAAGTTTTATTTAAAAATTTTTATGGGCAATTTTTTCTCCTAAACATGTTCCTCATTCTGAATGAGTCAATGGATTTCAGCAAGCTTACAAAATTGATAGGATTTTTGAAGTGGTAGTAAAAACTCACATTGCCGTATACATTTAAATCACTTCTTCCAATTTGGTTATGCTAGAAAGTAAATCTTGTTACAACCCATCCTCTTCAGAGATACCCATCTTTTTTTCTCTTTCCTAAGATATATCTGCTCTTTTGTCTCTTCCTCTTTGTTTCTTGATAAAATAGACTGAGATTCTGTTTCTCAGTTGCTCCTTCATAAACATTCCAAAGAAAATACAAACAACCACCAAAATTTTGAAGACAAAATTGTCTGATGGTATACTCACATATGAGTTAACAATAAGCATTGAAATTTTTATTCAAAAAGAAATTTGATCTACATAACTTACTGTGAAAAGAAAAATCATAGTTCCAAACTGTTGACTTTTCCATCATTGAAGATTTTGATAGTTTTTTGTGTGTATGTAGCAGTTCAATAGATAAACACGCACACACACACACCTACAACTGCTACCTGTGATATAATTCCAATCAAAAGAAATTGCAAAGAAAGGAAAACAGTTAACAAGTGTTATCAAAAAGTAAAATATGATAATACGAATCAGTGTCGTGGGTGTACTTTTAATTAAATGGCAATATGTAGTAAATACCAGTATGTACAGAATATTAGCAAAGTACTTTGTGTTAGAGGAACAAAGTCAAAGAAATCTATCTACTTAGTGTCCTGAAAACATAGACTTTTAGAGCTGGAACTTTTCTCAGAGGCAACATAGCTCAATCCCCTCATTTCATTCATGAGGAAACTTAATGCTAGACAGGCAAAGTGATTGCCCTTGCTTTTATGGCTATTAATGTCAGATGGAAGAAATAAGAGTGGATCTACTACTTAACTGAGAACTTATAATAACCTATACAGGTATTTATTGCCTGCTTTTTTCTCTTAATTTCAAAGAAAACAACTGAGAGTTAGAAATTTGTGATAAAGATTTAATGACTTTTTTTCTCTCAGCCATAATTGGAAATATCTATATATAAAAACATCAATTGCTGAATATTCTCTGCCAATACGGAAAAAGGTTCCCATATAAATAATATGCTTTGTAGGCCAGCACAAAATGTATAGCCCCATGGTTTCCAAACTCTCTGTTAGGTGCCTTGGGTGCTACAAGAAACTCACAGAACCACTGTAAGAAATTTTTAAATTTTGAAATATTCTTCTACTCAATCTCTGTCAAATACCATCCAAATTGCTAGTTAGAGGTAGTTCAAAATTTCATCATTAGATTGTTACATTATTTGTAGTGGTGTCATATATTTGCAAAGCTAGGATTTTGGCAATTCCTGTGATAAAAAAACAAGTCTCATGCAAAAAACAATGTGTCACAGGAAATTAAGATGGTGGTATTTGATCAAATTATGCTGTTTGAGTGTGCAGTACTCAGTAGACATAGGCATCCCATCTGTATGGAATTGTATTTATCTAAAATAAAATAACATTTTTTCTTTTAATTTCTGTGCATTTTTTCAAATGCTTATTAAATTTTTTGAACTTAATTACTTAATAAATGAAACAAATATCTATTCTGGCCTCAGGGTACATGAAATAGTTATTGAAACATCAACAGTACTATCAATCTAGAAAGTCTAGAGACCACATAGGTACCATTCTTTTCTAATTTGGACAGATCAAGTGACCACCTGCAAGTGAAGATGGAGAAAATTTTACCTAAAAACAGGGTTCTGTGAAGAAATACAGAGAAAGAAGGAAGGTTTCTTAACGCTGAAAGTGGACTTGTATCCTAAACACATATTTTCATAGGATAATTTAAAATAACTTTTGCTAGCTTTTATTGCATATTTTTGCAACCCACTTCTGCTATGTGCAAGTTAACCACAATTTTCTCATCTATATCATAACAGCTTACTTCATAGGATTGTTGACAGAGAGATGATTAAAAAATAATCTACATAAAATGCTGAATATTGTGCGTGACACCTAGAAAACACTAAAATATTGTTAGTTACTACATTATGGTTCACAGAGACATGTTTCTTAACTGAGATAATGATGTACCTTATAAACAATACAGTAGAAGAAACTACAAAGATTCTTTCACTCAGTTAAATTTGTTTCCTCTTACTGTGATTTAATTAAAATTTACTAAGAAGTCAGAAAACCTGGTACTGTTCTTGGCATAAAGGGAGGTGGACCAATAAATATAATATTCTTTGACATGAATAAGTTTCAAGATACACACAGCCAACTCCCATTCTTCCATTACCTGCATCCTGCGGCATTTTATTGCCTCGTCCTGGCTCCACTCATTGTATAGCAACAGTTATGCAGAAGCATCCCCTATAGCAACTTTCTCCATTTTTTTCTAAGTTAACTTAGTTGTCATTTCAAAGAATGAATTATCCTTTGGAATTTTTGTTTTGTAATCTGTTAAAAAAATTCTGCTGAACATTAAAAATTTCTAAAGCCAAAATCATCTAGCTTATGACTATAAGGCCACATCAAAACATGGGTTTCTTCATAAAGGTTTCCAGAAAGCAACAAAAACTTTGGGGAATATGGAGCTCCATTACCTGCAACTTATGTCTAGAAAGATACTTTACAAGCTAAAGCTAAAGAAATGAGCATCAAGTTAATGTTTAGAATTCTCAAATCTGCTTGTCTATACTTCTTGCTATTTTTTTTTGGCTTTTTCTATTGCTTTGTTTTAATGCTCAGAGAAGTAATGGTCTCTAAAATCACGGAAGATAAAATCAGTAGTAAATTAAGAAAAAGATCTCTTTAGCCATTCTTTCCTGCGGTCAGGACATTACTTTAGAGGCCTTAATCTTTCTTTGGTTTCAAATGCCTGCCAATTCATAAGATAATCCTTGAAACAATCAATTCACCCATCAGCATGTTTCAGTGCCTGCTGAGAATGTAGAAAGTATTGACAATTTTAGTCCATACTTACTTGTAAACACCTGTATATTTTCAATTTTCATCATGTTTTAATGTAAAATAAATGTGATCTCATGTCTGCCTTTGAGTATTTGAGTAGCTTACTTTTCAGAAGAAGCTGGAGGTTAGATCACAGGGAACTGATCTACCACAAAACATGTTAACACACACACACACACGCACAGAGAGAGAGAGAGAGCAAGCAATAAGAAAATCCTGAGCAAAGTGTTTAGTAAACTCAACTAATATTTTATGAGGAAGATGCATCTTCAATGAGAAGCAGAAGTCTGGCAAGTATGATGAACTGTTCAGGTTACCTATGTAATTGTAAAATGGGTATATGGGACAGAACTATTGGCCAGCATACCTCCAAGTATTTCTGATGTGGAAATATGCTTTATTTATTCATGTGAGTAACCATGCATAGTAATAAGAGCTTTTTATTTGTAATATGGAAAGCAACACAAGTTTACCAGAGGATTTCCAGATGCAGGACCAGCACAATGTATGCTGTATATGATACAGTAACACATAGTCATTTCCTGAAAACCCTCTCTAAATCTGAGAAGCACAATTTATGTCAATACAGAAACAGGAAAGAGCATCACTTCAAAATGACAGCATGTGACATGAGTGTGGCCCCTTCATATATGGCTTGAAAATAATGTGGTGACTTCTCTAGAAATTAATTTGTCAAACTGTTGCAGAAGAATTTAAATAGCTGCTTCTGTTGACTCAATAATTCCACATCTATGAATCTTTTCTTATGGAAACAACAAGAAATTTAGAAAAATAAAAAAAGATGCCTTCAGATGTTCATTGCAGCATGATTTATAATATAAAAACATATAGCCTTTTAAATATTATGAAAAGCATTATAAGGAAGACTAGCTTATCCTTATATAGCATTAATTATGTAAGAACTGAGTACTTTACATTTATTATTTCATTTAATTTTTACAATTCAGAGAAGTAGGCACTTGTATTATTCAGGGTTCTCCAGAGAAACCGAATCATTAAGATACACATATACACACACATACACACACACGCACGCACACACACATGGAGATTGACTATAAACAATTAACTTTCACAATTATGAAGGCTGACAACTCTAAAATCTGCAGTGAGAGCCAGTAGGCTGAAGACACAGGAGAGCCAACATTGCAGACCCAGTCCAAAGATATTCTATGGGGGGATTCCCTCTTGCTTGGGGTGGCCTGTTTGTTTTTTTTGTTGTTGTTGTTTCTTTTCAGTTCTCCAGCTGATTAGATGAGGCCTATTCACATCTTGGAGGGCAGTTTGATTTCTCAAAGTTCACTGATATGAATGTTAATGTCATCCAAAATGCCCTTCAAGTGGACACATAAAATTAGCCATCATAGCCTTATAATTACTACCATTGAATATATATGTAAGAACAGAGGTTCATAGAACTTGAGTTTGTGCAAGGTTATGCCCCTAAAAGGAGCAAAGCCAGTAATGAAGTTTAAGTTGGTAGCCTCCAGAGTCTAAATTCTAAATATTACATAAAATATCTATGTAGAATGTAAAGAAGTGCCCGTGATATAAAACTACATGAATAAAAATAAAATTTTTAAAGGCAAGATACTAGCTTGTATATTCAGCATTACCTTATGATACAAAAAATACATAAAAGAAAAACTGAAAAGAAGTGTGTAAATAGGTACTAATATATTACAAATTATCCTTTTTCTGTTTCCTTATAGCTTTTCTACTCAAGCTTTTAATCACTCTCGTGAATAATTTTTAGTATTTTAGAAAGCCCATCTAAACTTTAAAATTACAGTAAAGTATGAATCTGATACTTAAAAAAACCTCAGCTGGACACCCATTGCTGTGTACTATAGATTTGACATACCTCAAACACTCATGGTGTCTCTAATTTTAAACACTGCTATAATCCTACATTGGCTATAGATGTGATAGACTAGTCCAATCTGTTTAAAGTAAAGCAAAATTAATTTAGACTTTTTGAAATAAATGGAACTAAAATGTCAGAAACTTTATATGCAATATTGAAATGTTAAGCATAGCAATAAGAGTCCTAATAGAAAACTTGGAAATTTTCATGTTTATTACTAAATTTGATGGTTTGAAGGGCCAGAAACAAGAGCAGGGTAGGTTCCCTGCATGTATATCTGATCTTCTGGATGACATATTATGCAGAATATAACTTTGGATATTCTGGAGGAATAGAGATAAGATGGAAATAACAGAGATGGAAACAGCCAGGCAAAGGCGCATGTTTGGGGCATGCCTAGGAATTGGAACTGAGACAGAAAGATACTGGAAAAAGAAAAGTTGGAAAGGAAGTCAGCGGAAATCAGTAGGAAATAGCATGTGCTTTGGAGGTACATTGGAACCTAATATGATAAATAAATTCCAGGTTAGCCCTATCTAGTGGTTATCAAAGTGAAAGAGGCCAAAACAGTCAGAAAGCAAAGCCCATTTTTATGACCATAGTAAATTTACTTTCCTAAAGTCTACACAGTCCCACAGGCATTCATTACAATGATCATCTATCAGCAGCAAATCTTCAAACATATATGATAATGTAAGATTTTAAAATGTTAGGTACAAATTAATATAATGGCATAGTATTTTTCATAGGTAAAGTTTTTTCCTGAATAATTTTAATTAGCAATACCCAATCATTCTCCTATAAACATTTTTTTAAAGAGCAGAGGCAGCAGTTAAACATGCCATTTTAAAAAATTGACAGTAACTTGTGAAAAGAAAACGAAGTTTTTTTGCATGTGAAACCTAAATGCTTACTTTAATCAGTATGGCATGTTTAGCTGATTCAGCAATAGCTTTACAATCTGTCAGTTTAGTCTCAGAATACATCTTTTCTTAGACATTTCAGCTGGATGTTGCAAAAACATTACTGTGACAATATTTATTTATGAATAATTAATGGCATAATAGAGAAGGCTGGATTTAATTATACAGTCATTGAATATATAAGAACAAAGAAAATTAGCTGTAATACAATTTGATTTTAAAAACCATTAATTTGATCAATGGCTTTATGGAAAATGCTTCTTTTAATTTTTTGTGCTATCTAATTTAATTGTTATGCTGAAGTAGCTGAAAGACAAAAACCTCATAGAATATCCTTCATGAAACCATATGATTTAATTTAAACTCAGGTTTTATATACTATGAATTACATGGTTGCGATTAAGCTCACAGGTAATTATTAAAAATCCTTACTTAGCACTGATTTTGTCTTTATGTAATTGTGATTGAATAGAACTTAGACAACTTATATTCTGAGAGGAGCAAGGGTAAAATATGAAAAGAAAATCCAAATGAAATCATAAAGTACTCTGAGACAAGAAGCATAGGAAGCAAAGCCTTGGTGATTGGTCATTTTGTTGGCTGGACTGGTATTTCACAAGCATGACAACCACTGAGTAGCCTGAAAATGTTTAAATGGATTCACTTTTATAATCATGTAACTTGCCTTCCTAACTGCATTATATTTACTTTCATTTCCTTTCTAAGGAATAAAGTTTGGATATTTGAATACCAGCAACTTAAATTTTGTATATTATGTGCAGTAAGTGTTCAATATCATTTACTTTATTTAACTTTCGTGTGTGTGTGTGTGTTTTTTTTTTTGGGGGGTGGTCACTCCTCTCACACTCTGGCATTCTTTTTACTGATTTTATCATTCTAAAAGCATTGCCTGTGGCTGTAACACATCTTACATATCCTGATAATGGTGTCGGTTGTCCTATTATGAGGTATCAGTAACTGAGAGAAAAAAAAATCAGAGCAACATTAACAACAATCAAGAAAAGAAAATCAAACTCTTACTGAGTATGTGTCCCAGCAGAAGGAAAAGGATCTAACAAATTAAATGCATAAGTTCATGCAAAATGTGTGGTTCAACAAGAAGGAATTTTATTTCCCTCTGAAATGAAATATACAAAATTTGAAATCAAGCTGCCAGTCATTTCTGATAAACTATTTAAAGTTACATGCTGAAAAGAACAAAAAAGCTGAATTCAATTTTATTTTGGAAAGACATTTTTTTTTAATTAATGTAGTGTGAAACACTACCTTGAAAAGTGAAGACACAGCTACTATGTAAGCATCCAAAGCAATCCCTGCAGACACTTTAGGTATACTGTTGAATATGGGCTAATCCTGTGATCTAAAACTATCAAAAATTCCTGTTGAAAATTAGACTTTCCTTAGTGATTTGGACTGATGTCAATGCTTTATCTAAAGCAAAGGAATGTTGTAGTCCTGCACATAGACACAAAAAAATTACCAATAAGATTGTTTTAAACTTCCCTTCAAGCATCAGAGAATATTATGCATCTCTCTTTTTATCTATCTAAATTGTGGATTATTTGCTCACTGTAAAATAATAGTGTCCTCAAAGATAAGTGTTTATTTGCAAGACGATAATAGCCTATGGCATCCACTTCTAAGTTCACATCAATTTTAGAGCTTTATTTTTAAGAGATACTCTACTGCCCATTTGGAATTGGCTCTAACCACCCCCTCTTCAGAGTCTTGAAGCCTCTTAGTGAGCTAGGCTGTTTCCATCCACCATTACTTTGTTGCTGAGATTTCCCTGTCACATAAAAATCCACAAACTCTATAACTGCAAACACAGAACTTGCCAATGCTACAAGTATAAGGCTGCTGTTTTTTAAACTTTATTCTAGAATTTATCAATAATATTGTTGTACCATAAAATTTAACTCAAGACAGCATTTCTTAGAATTTGAGCAATATATGTGCTTTTTAGTGGACATGGTTTACAGAGATATTCCATTCTATTTACTCAATATGTTCCTCTGCTTTCCAGGCCTAAATTCTAGATGCAATGTTATTAACAACTTCATAAAAAACTCTCAAGAGTGGAAATGACATTTGTGATTGAAACATAAACGAGAAGGTTTATGATTACATGGTGACAAATATAGCTTATAATTGAGCTCTGACTACTTCTATTTTCTTTCTTTTTTACAGACATGTAGAAAGATTCTAAACATATCATTCTGGAAAATCCATTTGTAAAATTAAAATGGCTAAATGTCTTCTAATTAGGTACAATTATCATAAGTTAAATTGTTTTCTGACATCTGAGTAAAAAATACTCTTGGGTAAAACTCAGATCCCAAACCTTAAAAGTAATTTTAAAGTACCTTTATGAAGAGCAATTATAATGTAAGTTTAGACCATACTAGTGTGTCAAGTTCTTCTTACATCTTTTCATATCCGTCCCAAATTCATTTCTGACCACAAGTTATTATCAGGGATAAAAAAGCTTGTGAATTTTAACGTATCATTTTAACCTGGCCTATATTTTAAAGCTTCTTGGAGGGAACAAGATTAGAAAACAATATCAGAAGACTAGAAAAAGAGAAAAGTATACAAAATTTCTTACTGTTACAATTTTCTTAAACATAATTTGAACATTCTATCACTTCAGAATGAATAAGTCATAAAGATGGACTAATTTGATAAATCCACACAATACATCTCTTTTGGGAGTTAGGCAAAGCTAGTGAAAGCACTACTAAATTCTTAACTAGAATTAATAAATATGTTTTGAATTAATAATGACATGAAAAGTGTTAACCCTCTGGAAATATACCATAAACCAGAACATAATAATATGCTAGGAAATAGATTTCCAAATGACATTCAGTAATAAACAACCAGTAGAGTTTGGGTTTAGCTTAGAATGACTGAACAGTTTCAGACTGGCCACCCTAATGAATGAAGGTGCAGAAAATTCTTATTGTTTTTATGTAATGCATAAGACTGTGCATAGACATGAAATGTCTGCTCATAAGTTCCTGCTACATTTCTAGATTTTTTGAAAATATATTAATTCATTTAGCTAGTATCTTCAGAGATTGTTGCTTTCTGATATTATATATTAATCCATATGAATTAATAGCCAACTCATAGATTTATTTATACATTTCTACTTCAGTCCTAAGACAGACATGAATTAATGCAATTTTCCCACACTCTTCCCCTTTTGCACAGTTGTTATCCAATTCCACCCACTAGCCTTCTGATTAATACAATGCAGTTGACTTACCAAAGCATAGCCAAGGAATAGATGGATTAATATGTCAACTAAAATTGATGATCAGATGTCTTGTGCCAGTTTGATATAATTCCATCGGGTTCTAGGATTGCTAGGTGAATTATTTTAGTCAGTAAAAAAATGCTTCGCTAAAGATATATAATTGCTTTCTATTTTGAAGATTCCTGCATACTGATAAAATGCTTATGGTAAAGGCTAAAAAGTTTGGTATTATCCCGATGTGTTATTTACATATTTTTCAACCTATTACTGTGTAGTGAATCTACTGTATTCCTACATGTGTTCATTTTCCAGTATGGAAAGAGACAAGGGAAGGGAAATACTATAAATATATCACTATAAAATGCCAGTTATAGAGTATTACAAATTTAAGTGGGCCATATGTCTTTAAGCAGACATAGAGGATTCTGACTGCTTTTTTTTTTTTTTAGACGGAGTCTCGCTCTGTGGCCCAGGCTGGAGTGCAGTGGTGCGATCTCGGCTCACTGCAAGCTCCTCCTCCCGGGTTCACGCCATTCTCCGGCCTCAGCCTCCCGAGTAGCTGGGACTACAGGCGACCGCCACCACGCCCGGCTAATTTTTTGTATTTTTAGCAGAGACGGGAATTCACCGTGCTAGCCAGGATAGTCCCGATCTCCTGACCTCGTGATCCGCCCGCCTCTGCCTCCCAAAGTGCTGGGATTACAGGCGTCAGCCACCGCGCCCGGCCTCTGACTGTCTTTTACTCAAAATTATTATGTTGGGGAAATGATTCAAAATAAAAAATAAAACATTAGTAGCCATCTGGACAAAGAAATCATAAAAGAAACTTACCTATAATATTTTCTACCTAATTGATTTGGAGGTTATTGTTTCCATTTCTACAGTTTACTTACCCCAAAACTTAGATCAAGAAAGCATACTATAAAAAAGTATTATGAAAGTAAATTAATTTGTGATTGTATGAAACCATACAAATAGCTACTTATACATTTAATGGAAAATGTTAAAATATACAAGGTAATCAGAGAGTGTTTTCCAAAGGTCAGTAGATATGTATAGAATTCGTATGTAGTACAAACTACTACTGGTGACCAGAAATAAATTCTGGAAAGTTAAATATGGATTATTCTCAAACTTATTCAGGAGACTGAATTCAGAGGAAACTTCATTTGCTAGTTTCTACGCTCGTTAAAGAGATCCATCAGCACTTTCAAGCTCTGAAGTTAAGGCATTGTATACATGGCTTCAGAAATCATTTCCAGTCACATTTTTCAAAGAGTACATTTAAAGAAAGAATCTAGGAGCAATGACAGTCAAAATTGTTCCTACAGAGAAATATAATTATTTGCAGAAGGATGGCTGAGGAAACTAGCACAAATGAAAATAAAGGATTTGAACAGGCTTCATGGTTTGCTGCCTCCATTATGTGTTCATTCTATCATCAGATGGTCAACATATTCACAGAGAACATGGCTGAACAGTTGGTTTTGACAAAATTGTAGATTGCCCCTTCTAGTTGCCTTCTAATTTGTCTTCTGAGTTAAAGATGAAGAACATAAGTAAAGAATAAGCTCTAATTATGAGGAGGGAAATTATTCCTCAACTTGAAGCATAAGAATAAAAAGTCTTTTTTCCAAATAAGCATTATTTTCTCCAAATATTAATCTGCCTGTAACTTTTTTTCATGCACGTCTTTTTTCTTCTTTCAGAAAATAAAATCTTGCTTCTGTGCAAGAGGTTAAAAAATCTGCCCTTGGATTTTCAGTAGTATATCATTGCAAGAAGTTTTTCTCCTTTCTTCTCTTCCTTATTTTTCTTACTTTTCTTTCTTCTCTTTTTTATTCTTAAAAAAGACACACCCCCAAAAAAGGTTGTTCAGTGATTATGAGTAAACTTTAAACACTGTATTGTATATTAAAAATTCTGAGCTGTGGTTACTGTTTTCTTGCCAAATAACACATACAATTCCAACTGAATCAATCTTATCGATACCTCTAACACAAAAATGCACCGTGTTTAAAATTCCATCCTCAATAAAAATTAACTCTATTCATTTGTATATACATTTTTTCTTTCATCAAAGAATGATTGAATAATTTGAGTCAGATATTCTGCCCAGGAGAGGGGAACAATGATGAATTCACCGTTTCTACAAGTAGCTCACATTTCTGCTGGGGAGAAAGACGAGTTCACATAGATACAATACATTCTGATATATGTCACATTAAAGCCTACATAGGGTGGTAAGAAATGGTTAAATAGTAAAAACAGAGACTGCTGTAGCCAGAGGGGTGTAGCATAGTGTTTCTCCACAAGGATCTGCCTCATGGAGAATCCGCACTCTGGGAGTTTTTCTTTTCTCTGAAAAATAGCAGGATTTTCTCTGCCCAAAGAGTGGCAAATATCAGCAAAAAAGAAACTAAAGTAGCTGTCCACCCAAAGAAACAACTGTTTAGAGACATAAATACAGCTAAAAACCAAAGCAAAATGCCTCAGAGTCCTGCAAATGGTTACAACCTTTGTAATCTGAGGAAAAGAAACTAGCATTTTGCAATGCAGCATAGGAAGGTAACTCCTGTTACAGGCAGTGACTGGAAACTATGCATTTAGCCCCTGGCAGTAGAGATGCAGGAACTGGGAAAAATCTTTAATTAGTAATAACCTAAATTTTTTATAAAGATTATCCCAGTTTAGATGGATGTGGAATAAGTATCTCATGGAATTTAAAACAAAACAAAACAGGAAGACTGAGGGAGACTATTGATTGTTGATTGTTAAGGAAAAGAAATGCTCCAAATTAGATCAAAGACAGTTGCTTCAGTCACACAGGCAAAGAGTTTCAAAGATTAAGTGAGGGGGAATTGGAAAATAGAATGAGAACTCTGCTACTTAATATTTTTGGTTAGCTACATGCAATCATGCTTAAGTGAATAAGTCATATATGCAACTTTTGTTTCATATTATATGATTAATCAATCCCCTTTTACACTTATTTTTTTTCTGATGCATGACTCTTATTATTCTTATGGATAGGGAGCTCAACAAGACGGACCCCAGGTTTTGGTGTCCCAAATAGGGAAAGACATATATCCAAGTAAGTACACTGAAGCATTTTTTGGCTATTGAAAACAGTCTAAATGTCAATAACAAACAATAAATAAGTAATCAATAGCTCACCTATGCAGACATTAGAAGTATAAGATATAAGGTATAAGATAAGCTATAAAGATATAGGGCAGATCTGGCTGTTCTGATGTACAAAAAGTATTACAAGTAGAGAAAATAAAGCTGTATATTAAAAAAATACGATTTTTCTAAAAAATTCCAACTGGCTTTCTATATCTGAGACTATGTGTAGCAAAAAGAGCTCTGACAGAATGTACATCAAGCTGTTTAAAATGTTTACTTCTGAACTAGGAAACTAGGGGAATTGAATAATTTTTACTTTACATATTTTCTACATATCTTTATCATGTACAACTTTAATATTTAAATTCTTTCTACAAAAACATATGGTTTCTGAAATTTAAAAGCTATTTACCAAAAACATCAGTAAAATGAAGTATTTAGAATGAGTCAAATAGATCTGAAGAATCTCCTAAAGAATGTTACTTAACCATGGTTATTCTTGTTGCCTGAGCTATTCCCCACACTCAATAAAGATAAGCCACAGGGAGTGTGAACATTCAAATAAGAGAGTCACCATGTTGGAAAAGTTAGCTGAGAGGTGAAGTAGGACAGGGCAGAGAAAGGTCAGGAAATATAGGAAGGATTCTCAGAGGAGAAAACTTTTAGAAGGGAATAGGAGTTTGAGTCGGGTTTACCATGCAGATTTGGTTGGAAAACACATTCCAGGATGATTACGTCATACTAAAAAAGAGCATGGAAGTGTGAAACTTCATGATGTGTTCAGAGAACGATGAACAATATAGCTGTTTAATAGGGTGGGTGGGAGCATAGTGAAAAACAAGACAGAAAAAGCATATTAGGATCAGACTGTAAATGTGTGAAGGGTCCCGGGTGCCATGCTGTAGATTATAAAGTTTTTAAGCAAGGCAGGCAATCTCAGACTTACGTGTTTGAAGGTTACATTATTGGCAAGCAGGAAGAAGAACTAGAGCAGGGGAATGTTCCTAGATTTTAAAACATTTTTATTTCAAGATGAGAAGGCCTTTTTGGAGGAGATGTTCAGTAAAGGACGGAGGCAATATGTCCCAGGCTTGGATAAAAATGTTTTTAAACATATGCTTTATCATTAATATCATAAAGCATATGTTCAAATCCTATATACAGCACATTCTTGGCTTGTCATAAAAAATTATTTATTAAGCACCACCTGCATATGAAATTATAGTAGAACTTATATATAGAAATTATATATAGAACTAAATCCCCTGCAAATGTCAAATATGTGTTTTAATTTGAATGTTGCATGATACGCATAAAGCATTGAACTTCCCTTCCACCCCCACCAATACTGTCTGCATCCCAGTAATTCAACTCCATTATACATTCAAAGAAACAGTCTATTTTTAAGAATTTGCTATACAATTCAATTCACTTAAGAATGCATCTTGTGGAGGCAGGGATGGGAAGATGTGTAATAAGTGGAGAATACATATCTTAGTTTGAGGAAAGTTAGAATGTAAGTGATGACGGGGAAAGAACTTATATAAGTAAAATCACTGCTTCCTAAGGCAAGATTTCAGCATACGTGTAATGAAGAAGTGCAAACTGTGAAAACACTAAAGAGATTCTTGGTTAGGAAAAGATCACCAGGAGGTGGTTAGTTAGAGAAGGTGGTGAGTTTCTTTTATGCTTTCACTGATAAAATGTGTCTAAAAGTTTTAACAATTTTCAAAAGCAGAACATCTAGAATATCCTTTCAATTACTATCCAGTTATGTAGCTCAATGTGACCTTACAGAATCACTAAGCTTTAGCATTGAATACTTCATCTCATTTAGAAACAGAAAAAAACTGTTGAACCTTATGTGGCTTGGCTTAAACTTAATGAATTTTCTGTATTTAAAACACAGTGTAATTCCAAATGAGTTTCATTTGATTCTCTTTCACTGTCCTTTTATCAACATGCCTTAAGATTTTTTAAAAATTATTTTTCTCAAAATCATGGCAGAATGAGAGCTAGAATGGTGGCAGACATGAAATACACGATGCAGGGAGGTATAGACAAGCATTATTTCCAATTGTACCGTGCCACTTACTGTCTTATCTCCTCTTTCACCTATTTTATTGAGTACTCTTCACTTTGTTGACCTGGTATTCATGATTAATGTATAATGTTAAACATACGTTTAAGAAATACACTGTTATGGTCCCAAAATACACCTGTGCCTACAAGGTTCCTGCAGGTTAATGTCTTCTGCTAGAGAAAATGGCCTCATCTGCATTGACTTTCAATAAGCTCCTGCAGGCAAACACCTGAAGCCAATCATCTGCATATACCTGCCTGCAGGCATAGGTGTGCTACCAGAGACTGTAGACTCTATATCTTCAGTGTTTAGTCATATACGTGGTGTATAACATAAAGCATGATTCACTGATTCAATGGACTGTGACTGCAAGTCCTTAATGGAAACTGGTCTTTATTTGCAATGGATGAATTTTTATCACACTCAGTGATAGAAATAAAGTTGATGATGGAAAAGAAGCATGGTCTCTAAAAAAATAATTAGTAACAGGATATGAAGGAATTATAAATACAGAATCAATGAGATAAAAGCAAATCCAAAGATAGTTGAGCTGTCTATAGTAAATAGAGGTAATTTAGAGAAAAGAAACAAAATATCTTATTTGCAGAAGAATACACTATCATTGTTTTCCAAGAATACTAGTAAATTTAAGTGTTGCCTTGTACCATTTATATTTTTTCCTTATTTCAAAATTTTCTTGGCCAAGTTACAAAAAAATTTATTCAAGTATATATTAATTCCACAAATATGTTTGAGTGTTACTATGTGTTAAACCCAGGGAGGGACATTTTTGATAGAAAAATAAATAATTAAGAAACCTATTAGGTGGATGTGAGTAATAAAAGTAAAATAAACACAGTGTGATGTGGCTGGCTACTATAATAGACCTATTTTTGGGGTAGGTCGGTGGAGGAAGTGATTGCTTCTATGCCAGCTCCTTTTCTTGCCAATCTCTAGATGATTTAGGGCTCAATGATTTAGTCCTTGAACTTCCCCTCTTCTCAATATTCTCTTTATAGGCCCTCAATTTATTCCTTGGCTTCTCAGGGTCATCAATACATTGATGACTCTCAACCTCCAAATGTGTGTGTTCAACCAGCAACTTGACATTTCCTCCTGTATGCTTAGTAGGTGTCTCAAGCTTTTCATAACTAAAACAACTTTCAATATATGAACCCCACCCCCACACTACCACACACACGCAACCTGCTCCTTTCTTAATCGGCTTCATTCACCTGGTTTCTCAGGCCAAAAATTTAAGAGATTTTCTTTGCTGCTTTTTTTCCCTCACATGTTCATGTTCAATATATCAGCAAATACTGTAGCCTATACCTTTAAAATTGATCTTGAACTTGACCAGTTTTTATAACATCGACTGCTCTCACTTTGGTTAAGCTTTCATCATCTTTCACCCATCCACTTCAATAACCTTCCAACTGGTCTCAGGCTTCTTTTCCCGACCCTTTAATCTAGCCCCAACTTGGCAGTCAAGTAATCTAAAAACAGATCTTGTGACTTGCCTTTTCAACATTTGCGATGCTTTCTGTTTACACAAAGTTAAACTCAACACTATGGCCCTACAGTGCCCTCTTCATCTGGCTTCTGGCTCACTCTCTAAACTCCTCTCTCTCACTTCTGTCCTCTTCACCACTTCTAACTTTTACAGCTCTCGTGTGTATGCGCGAACTTGAAGTGAAGGCTTAAGTTTTGCTCTTCCATTTTTCAGGCATGCTCTGTTCATGGCTGCCATAGAGCTCACTCCCTCATTCCATTGAGAAATTTCCCTAAGTGTCCTCTCCTCTCCACAGAGATGCATCCCTGACTGCCTATCTAAGATAACCTACTCACATTCTATATCCTGTATTAGTTTTCTTCATATAACACAGTCTTGGCTTTAATAGTATATATTTATATTTTTATTGCCTCTTGCAGAGACATTAAGCTTCATAAGGGCAAGGATTTTTTTCTTTCTTATTTTCATTGCTGTTTCCTCAAGACTAGAAATTTTCTTGGGACACAATGAGCGCCCAATAAACATTTTTGGGATATACGAATGAAAGAGGAGTTGATTCCTGAGTTTATCATGAAGGAGGAATAAAAAATATTGAGTGGGTGAATGACATTCTGGAAATGTACTGTAGGTAAGTGCATGGAGGTGTAAACAGCACAGAGCATTCATGAATGGTTAATAAGTCTCAGTGGATAGAGCGTTTCTGGAGTCATCACAAAGATTCAGATAATTATGCACATTTTATTTATACATGGACTTTGGATCGACTAAAAAGAAGCAACTGAGCAGAATTAAAACTTAATTGTGACCCTTCATAATGTTCTACATTATTTCCACAATCTATAAAATAACCGTAATTAAATGACAAGAAAAATGATTCTATCAAATCACTAATTAAGTGCACTTTCTTTCAAGTGTTCATAAGTTGTCTCTAAATGTCATTGACAGTATCATGATGCATATATAAAGGGGAACTAAAATCCTCGGGTGTTTCAGATAATCCTTGTGCCAACAAATAGAAGCTTAGCTAGACACTCATACTTAAGACTCGTCACATTCTGTGGCTTAGTCTCTTCATCTCTCTGACTGCATGGAGGCTTACCTCAAAAAGAGCCACCTGATGTTGTCTTGTTACATGCCAGGTGAATTTGTCTATTGCTGTCAAATTTGGGACTGTGGATAGTTATGTTGCAACATGTTAACATTTCTTCTGTCTACTCGGTTGGAGTCTTCTTCACAGCAATTCTTCTGTCCTCAATTATTTGGAATTCTACAGTCATCCAATACTCAGTGTCAAAACAAACAAGATAGGGAGTACAGAGTGCCCTGTTTGTCACAAGGTGTGAATCATTTTATCTTCCTTCTTGGTTTTATATATGGCTTATAAATAAAATGTATATAAGAGTTTGGAAACAGAGAACAAGATCTATTAAGAGAATTATAGCTTGATAATTATCTGGATACTTGTGGTTTTTTATGTTTAGAGGAATACCCTTAACAGACTAATGTGGCTATGTAGAATCCTATCCACAAACCCACAGTTTAACAAGATTAAAATTAATGTGTCATAATGAATTCTAAGGAAGAAACATTCCGAAAAGACTCAGATGTTTAGAAAAACTTAAGTTTGAGAATTGTGAACACAGAAAGAGCAGAAAACTTACCTTTCTCATTTTCTCCTAGAAATCTAGCACCTACTCTGTCTTAAAGTTTTTCATAAATATTTTAGTTAATTGGTTAATCCCAGCTCTCCCTATTAGGCAGTCAACAAGTAGGGCTTTGTCTAAAATAAAGTTTACACAATCATAGCACTATTTAATATAACTCTTTGTGATGATATAAATATTGTATAAATTCTGTTGTCCTGTATAGTAGCCACTAGATTTGTATGGCTAGTGTGGGCATGAAATGTAGCTAGTGCAATAGAGGGTCTAAATTTTTAATTTTAAAAAACGGCATTTCAACTTAAATAGCCACATATGACTAGTGGTTTACTGTACTGGGCAGCACAGATCTACAGTATTCAAAGTAATATAATCTTTTATCTTTTAGTGTGGAATGTATGTATTTTAAATTATCACTAAATCCTTTTATTTGAAATATGCACACACAAAAAAACAGCACCGAGGCCCTTTGTAATTGGAAAAAATTTTAATTTTCCCAAAGGTTTTGGTTAAATTTCCTGTTAACAATATTCCTTGGTACTCATAGAACCAATTTAAATGAAAATCATAAATTTTTAAGTTAGTACAGAATGAAGTCATTAATAAAATCATTAAACTGTCAAAACTCCTAAGTTATAAAGCATTGAGCAAAACAGCATACGTCTAATATCGTCTCTTTTTATTGTGTGTATGAAGCGGATGGCAGGAAAGATTGTCTATGTTTTTCCTTCATGACCAAAAGAGAAAATTCTCACAGATATGCGAATAGAAGAGATGTGTTACTATTTTCTTCCATAAATTGATTCATTTTAGGAAGAAGAGAATGAGGAAAGGAATGTTTTTAAACTATGTTCCAATTTTCATTAAACTGTGTATGAAGACAGTATGTTTATTAAGTTGCTAGAGACTTTCTCACAGTGTCCATTACAGCTGTATAAACTGGCCCCCTCCTCTTCCCATTGACAAGTTCATTTTAAACAAAGTTATGACCTGCTCTCCCTGAGCTCTCTCTGCCCTTTGCTGTAAAATTCCAGTTTACCTCCCTTTTAAACCCAGGGTCACAAAGAATTTTTATTGGAAAGCTAAGTAAAACCAAAAGTGCCCATGAACTTCTTTGAATGCCACTTTGCACAAAGTACTAATCAAGATTTTCTGAGATCACGCTGGGGAGTTTTTTTTCATGTATGTGGCAATAGTTTGGTGAATTTCATCTTAATCGATAAAAGACAAAGAACGTATAAGCCATGTGTAAGAAGAGGTGGCAGACTATTTACTTTATTATTGTTTAACCAGATATTTAATAGTCACACAATATACAACATTCCTGAAGTGTGTAACACTCATCAACACCCTTTATGAATAAATGTTAATCAGGACCGTGGATTTTTGTTTTATTTTGCTAAGGGTGAAATCTCTACATTGACCTCTAAATACAGTTGTTTGGAATCTTTTTATTAGACAAAAATAGTTAATTTAAAAAAAGTTTTAGGTATACACACATACACTTTTTATGCAGTAAAAATTACTGTGGATCAGTGACATGTAAAATAGTTAAACTAATTATTCTCCCATATTTCCTCCTGATACTTTGTTCATTGCCAAACATATAATTTCCAAGAACACCTTAATGTGTAAGAGCCCCTAAACTCTAGCACTGGCCTTGTCACTGAGTTATATTCTAACATTTCACCAGACTAGGATGTCCTTGAGTACAGGATGAATGCTTATTCATTTAGTTCATTTGTAAGGCCCCAGTAGAATGCTTATGATTAGGGATCAGTGCATACAAGAATTATTGACTGAATTTTCAATTGACTTCTGCAAAACTACAACTGTAATCATCACCTTCTTACATCTTTTCATTTTTCATTTGCTTCTTTCGCTTTTTAATATTTGTTAGTGTGTTACTTTCCTCTTGTCACCTATGTGAGCTAGATTCTACATCTGTCTTTGTCTCTGCCAAACAGATGTCAAATTCTGTCCGTCTTTAATAGAATTGACTCACAAATTCCGTTGATCCTTTCATGTCATTCTCATGGTCGATATCCTATTTTAGGCCTTCATTAATGCTATGTACTGAATTGTGTTCCCCCAAAATTCGTATGTTGAAACTCTAACCCCCAGTGTGATTATATCTGGAGATGAGGCCTATAGAAGGTAATTAAGGTTAAATGAGGTCATAAGATTAGGGTCTGATATGATAGGATTAATGTTCTTATAAGAAGAAACATGAGAGAGCTCACTTGCCTTCTTTCCTCCTCCACTCTTGTGTGCACAAAAAAAAAAGAGATCATGTGAACACACAGGGAGATTGTGGCTGCCTGCAAGCCAGGGAGAATGACCACACCAGAAACCAACCATGTTGGCATTTTGATCTCAGACTCCCAGCCTCCAGAATTATGAGAAAATGAATGTCTGCCACTTAGGCCACCCAGCCTGTGGTGCTTTGTTATGGCAGCCCTAAGTAAGACAATTACCTTTTGCATAGAGCTTAACTACTGAGATTGTAATTAGGCCTCTTTATACCAATCTATTTAGGATATTGGGATCAGATATTCCAAGGCACAGCACTGACTATGTTACTCTTCTACTCATATGTGCTTATTATATTCTCATTTTCATATGATATAGTAATGATAGTGAATAAATCATTGATTATTACATGCCATGCATGAAGCACTCAACTTGCATCATGACATTTAATATTCATAATTATATGACATATGCAATATACTTAACCCTCCATTTGCAGATATTATGTAATTTGCCTGATACCACAGGACTAACTAATGATAGATCCAGAATATAAACTCAGGCTTTTCTAATCCAAAGGTCACAATTTAAGCACTAATTGCATATAGTTTTTCTTGACTTGGCATTCAAGGGATGGGAAAACTCAATAGAAGACTCTTGCAATAGCCCAGATAACGTGTAGATAGTTAGCAGAGGGAATGAACAGTAGTGAACAAAACCCAAAGACACATCACAGGCAAAAATCAATTGGGTCTGGAAATACATTTAAGTTATGGAATATAACGTGGTCTACCACAATTTTAATGAAAATTTAAACTTCATAAGAACTTACAAGTGTATATTTATTTGATTTGTCAAATATATCAAGTAGTATGTTATCTTTTTAAGAAATTATAAAGCCATACTTTATATGATAGATACCCTGATTTCTTTAAGATTCATCTAAAAAATGTGACTGTGTGTTTTTTAAATATCTACCCTCACTTTACCCTTTCTTTGTTATAAGTAAGCACCTACCACTTTTGGTTTTATTTAATTAGTATTTTAATGTTTAGAAGATTTGCTTTTCTAGTTAGGTAGTTAGAATCTTATTCATCTACTTTCCATTGAATATCAACAAGTGTCTTTCTTATAACCAGTGCTTGATGACTGTTGATGTGACTCACAGAAGATAATAAAAATCTTTGGTTTTATTTGCAAAATTTATTACTTGAAAACTGTATATGGAGGTAGGACCTATAAAGGAGGAAATTAAATTTTAAATGAGGTCAAAAGAGTAGTACCCTGATATGATAGGATTAATATTCTTACAAGAAAAGACACTAGAGAGCTTGTGTTTATCATAAATTTGTTTATAAAGTCATGGAAAGATGCTTTAATACATACTTTTAAAATCAGAATTATTAATTTGGTCTTAAATAAAAGGTTTCCCATAAGGAATTTACTAGAGTTGAGGTGTTTATTCTTTCAACTTGTTTAATCTTAGAAACATCCTACTATTAACATGTTTAACAAAGTCCTTCCAAAATTTTCAAAGAAAAGCTGTTTCCAACTGAAATTCAAACTATCACAATATTATGGTGAAATATCATTGAAATGAAAAGATATATACACAATTTAGACATCCTACCTTTCATATACCTTTACGGGTATAGGAGATAATGAACAGTCATGTAGAAATAGAAACAAAGCTAGTGGCATTTTTTTGTTCTTTTGTAAAAGAATTTATTCATGTTTTCAGTAATTTTCTGAAACTAAGACTTCAAGTTTTACTCTATTTTATAGCACAAATATTGCTAAATGAGAATTGTAAAATGACTGATCAAAAAGTCAAAATAAACAGCTAATTTCTTCTAGGAATGCTTATAAACAATTCTTAATTCACAATGTATGCTCACCTTTCAAGAAAAGTAATTTTCCCCCAATGAACTCTATTATTGATAAAACTCAGAACTGATAAACTTTAAATTAGATGGGAGAGAAATAGCCACATTTCTTTTTGATTGGTATTACTTCTAGCTGCTGAAACTTATAGCAGAGATTTGTGTTTTAAACAATGACTAAAAGATATCCACTTGTAGTTGTGTTACTAGAAAATCTACAATGTTGACTAGAAAACTCTTTATTTATATTCAGAATGTTGAAGTATTGTACATGGATATTGAGGAAACTTTTCTGAAGCCAGAAATAATAGTCCATATCTCCCATTGCTGGCAGTAAGTGACACCGCTATTAGAAGACATATCAAGTTCATTAAACAGTCTAATTCTGCTAAAAGCTGTAGACAGAGAGCAAGCTTAACACACAGTCTTAAAATAAGAAAACTAATTTGGACTTGAAGAGCTCAAAAGAACTAGTGAGATCTCCCAGTCCACTTTCTCTCCTCAGAGCCAAAAATATATCTTTATTTGGATTAGAATTATATGGATTTTGCATGCCTATGTACCTTCAGCCCTAGCATGGTGCCTAGAGCCTCATGGATTTAAAAGAAAAAAAAGCTAAACGAACGAAAGAAACTAATGAGATGATATTAGAAGAAGAGAGAGAAATAGAGGGGCTCATAATCAAATAAGTTTCCCAAAACACCTCCACTCCCAATTGCACATTAACCATACTTAGAATATTACAATCTCCTAGAAGTCCTCTGGTAAGTAATAATAACAGTAAAAATAACATTTGATTGAGTGCAGCCATTCTTTTGCTGGCAATAGGAAATAAAATAATGCCCATATCAAGGCCCATATAGGCCTTGATTCATCTGGTCCCCCACTGTATTAGTTCATTTTCACACTGCTATAAAGAACCACCTGAGACTGGGTAATTTAGAAAGAAAAGAGGTTTAATTGATTCACAGTTCCACATATCTGGGGAGGCCTCAGGAAACTTACAATGACAGAAGGCAAAGGGGAAGTAAGGCATATCTTACGTGGCAGCAGGAGAGAGAGAGAGAGCACAGAGGGGGGTGCTACACTTTTAAACCATCAGATCTCATGAGAACTCACTCACTATCACAAGAACAGCATGGGGGAAGTCTGTCCCCATGATCTAATCACTTCCCTCCAAGCCTCAACCCCTGACACGTGGGGATTATAATTTGACATGACACATGACATTTGGGAGACACAGAGCCAAACATATCAATCCTTCCAGGTCCCTCCCAAATCTTTTATCCTTTTCACATTGCAAAACCAAACATGCCTTCTCAACAGTCCCCCAAAGTCTTAACTCAATGCAGTATTAACTGAAAAGTCTAAGTCCAAAGTCTCATCTGAGACAAGTCCCTTCTACCTATGAGCCTGTAAAATAAAAAACAAGTTAATTACTTCCAAGATACAATGGAGGTACAGGCATTGGGTAAATGCTTCCATTCCAAAAGGGAGAAATTGGCCAAAACAAAGAGGCTACAGACCCCATGCAAGTCCAAAACCTGGCAGGGCAGCCATTAAATCTTAAATTTAAAATCTTAAACCCGGCAGGGCAGCTATTAAATCTGGATGTCTCACATCCAGAGAATACTGATGCAAGGGGTGGGCTCCCACAGGCTTGGGCAGCTCTGTCCCTGTGGCTGTGCAGGATACAGCCCCTGTAGCTACTTTCACTGGATGGCATTGTGTGCCTCCAGCTTTTCCAGGTGCACAGTGTAAGCTGTCAGGGGATCTACCATTCTGGGGTCTGGAGGATAGCATCCCTCTTCTCACAGCTCCACTAGGCAGTGCCCCAGTGGGGACTCTGTGTGGTAGCTCCAAATCCACATTTCCCCTTTGCACTACCCTTGCAGAGGTTCTCCATGAGGGTTCCACCCCTGCAGCAGACTTCTGCCTGGACATCCAGGCATTTCCATACATCCTCTAAGATCTAGGTGAAGGTTCCCAAACCTCAATTCTAGCCTTCTGTGCACCTGTAGACCCAGGACCATGTGGAAGCTGCCAGGCTTGGGGTTTGCATCCTCTGAAGCAACAGCTCAAGCTGTATCTTGGCCCCTTTTAGCCATAGCTGGAACTGGAGTGGCTAGGATGCAGGACACCAAATCCTGAGGCTGCACAGACCAGCAGGGCCCTGGGCCCAGCCCATGAAACCATTTTTCCCTCTTAGGCCTCCAGACCTGTGATGGGAGGGACTGCTGTGAAGATCTGTGACATGGCCTGGAGACATTTTCCCCATTGTCCTGGTGATTAACATTCAGCTCCTTGTTACTTGTGCAAATTTCTGCAGCTGGCCTGACTTTCTCCCCAGAAAATGTTTGTTTGTTTGTTTGTTTGTTTTTCCTATCACAGGGTCAGGCTGCAAATTTTCCAAACTTTTATGCCTGCTTCCCTTTTAAACATAAGTTCCAATTTTGGACCATCTCTTTCTTCACACATGAGCCTACACTTTCACAAAAACCCCTGTCACTTCTTGAATGCTTTGCTGCTTAGAAATTTCTTCTGCCAGATACTCTAAATCATCTCTGTCAAGTTCAAAGTCCCAGAGATCTATAGGGGAGGGGCAAAATGCTGCTAGTCCCTTTGCTAAAACATAGCAAAAGTGGCCTTTACTCCAGTTTCCAATAACTTCCTCATTTCCATCTGAGACCACCCCTGCCTGGACTTCATTGTTTATATCACTGTTAGCATTTTGGTCAAAACCACTCAACAAGTCTCTAGGAAGTTCCAAACTTTCCCACATCTCCCTGTCTCCTCCTGAGCCCTCCAAATTGTTCCAACTCTGCCTGTTACCCAGTTCCAAAGTTACTCTCACATTTTCAGGTATCTTTATAGCAGTGCCCCACTATGAGTACCAATTTTCTGTTTTAGTCTTTTTTCACACTGCTATAAAGAACTACTTGAAACTGGGTAATTTATTTAAAAAAATAAGTTTAACTGACTCACAATTTCACATGGCTGGGGAGGCCGCAGGAAACTTACAATCATGGTAGAAGGAAAAAGGAAGAAATTCATCTCTTACATGGCAGCAGGGGAGAGAGAGCAAAGGGGAAAGTGCCACATTTTTAAACTATCAGCTCTCATAACTCACTCACTATGATGAGAACAGCATGAAGAAAATCTGCCCCCATCATCCAATCACCTCACTGCAGCTCCCTCCCCTGACACGTGGGATTGCAATTCAACATGATATCTGAGTGGGGACACAGAGCCAAACCATATCACCCCCCTCCCAAGTCCTTTTCTTTGTCTTCCCCACTCATATAAATCCAACTCATTTTTCAGGTTCAGGTCTTGGTTTTTAAGCTAAATCTTTACTGTTTATTCTATTGTAATCTTTCTTTCTTATGAAATTAAGGAAATGACATTTTTAGGACAACATTAGCATATTAATCTGTACAAGCACCTGAATATGCATTATCATTTATCATTCAAGAATTTTGTGTACTAGAACAATTATCTTGTTAAAGATATAAGTCTGAGGGTTTCCAGGGTCTATGGGTTTCTGAGGTTTGCTCAGAAGAACATACCTAACAACAACAGCAAAACAGCTATCCTTTATTGAGTGTTTACAACTTGACAAGAAGTTACATATATTAAGAATTCTGCAGATATTATACTATTTAATCCAGATATCAACTCTGTGAGATAGTATGTTAATTTTCTACTGCTGCACAACATATTTGGTGTTTAATAATACTCATTTACTATCTGACACGTTGAAGGATCAGAAGTCTTGGCTGGCTCATCTAGAAACTTTACTTAGGGCCTCACAAGGCCAAAATCAAGTATCAGCCAGGCTAGGCTCTTACCTGGGGTTCTGGGGAAGAATTCACTTCTGAGATCATTCAAGTCTGAACAAATTCAGTTTCTTGTGGTTGATTCCCTTTTCTTGCTGGCTGTCAGCTTGGGGCTACTCCCACCTCTCACATTCCTTTAAATGTGGCTTCATCCATCTTCAAAACCAGCAGAGGTGCATCAAATCCCTCCATGCTTAGAATCTCTGATTTCCTTTTCTGTCATCAGCTGGATAAAACTGCATTTATTATCTCATGTGAATAGATTAAGCCCAACCAAATAATCTTTCTTTTGCCATATAACTCAACATAATCATAAGAGTGATATTTTGTCATATTCACAAGTTCCACTCACATGCAGAGAAGATATTATACAAGGGTGAGAGTCATCAGGGATTATTCTTAGAATTTTGGCCAACATAGATAGGTTCTGTCATTACTGCCATTTTTCAGATAAGGAAACTGAGGCACAAGATGGAGCCAGAACTTGAACACTTGTTTAAATACTGTTTTGTGCTATTTCAATTAAATCATGCTTTAATTTTGCTGTTTAAGCTCTACTTCTATAAATATTGCCTTATATATCCCTATACTTACAAGTTTCCCTAGATCATTATAAAGGTCTCTGGAACATCTGTTGAAGTGAACGACCCTTGTTACCTAGGATAAATGTGTTAATTTCCTCTTTAACATCTTTCTGCTATTCTAAACGCCAAAGATAGAATCAACTCTTAGACCATCCTGCTTGTTTGATGAAACTATAAGCATTTACAGATGTTTTCAGAACAACTTTTATCTCCTGCATATTTAAACAAAGTCTGTTATAAAAAAGGAAGAAGAAAAGTTAAACTAACTTTACTCTGAGCTAGATTATAGAGATCACTGTATAACTCAGGCAGTATAATTTCAATCCCAAAGAATTCATTTTTGCCAATAGCTCTTCTGATTTCTTTGAAAATGTCACTTACTCGAACAAAATTCAAATGCAATCAAAATTTATTTGGAGTTTATCTGATAAATATTAGTCAGGCTCAGTATAGCATGTAGAGTTAAAACATAGAGTAAGGCATGATGTTGACTGCGAGGGATTTACAGTAATTAATGTGACACATGAACGTATGCTCTGTGCCTGTTTTCTCCTTATTCTTCACATATATTCATGAACTATGTCTGAGTTAAAGGCTCTGAATCTTGTGTAACTGGCTAGGAGATGTGAGTAAAGCATTTAACCTCTGTAGGTCTTGTTTTTTCTTACCTATAATTTAAAAATGGATAGAATAGAGGTTATCCTCACAAATTTCCAATCTATGGCCATAAATATGATAAATTCCAGGTGAGAATTGAGAAAAAAGAGAGCTGAGAAATATTGTATTAAGCAAACATCTCATATTTTAATTAAAGCATTATAATAGAACATATAACATTTCTTCAAGTGCATGAATAATAAGAAATAGCTATTCAGAGCTTCGTCAGCTTTTAAATCTCGCATAAACAGTTCTCATAGACATAAGGGGTAAAAATATGGTGACCCCCCACCCCGGTCACAACTAAACCCCTAGATTGATTCTGTTTGGCCACCTAGGGTTTCTTTTTTTCTGTTTTTTTTTTGTTTTGTTTTGTTTTGTTTGTTTTTTTGTTTTTTTTCTTAAAAATCAATTCAGTTTATTTTGGGTAAGACATGGTTTTGGGATCTCTATACTCCCCAGCATGTCTAGTCTGCTCTGCTCATTTAAGTAACCTGTATGGCCATCATTGAGTTTGGAATGCATGGTTACATTAAAACAACTTTGGTTAGAGATTAGGAAGACTTTATTATTGTTGACAATATAAGTATTAAAAAGGCATTCTTTTAAAAAAAAAGTTTTTTAGAGATGAGGTCTCACTATGTTGCCCAGGCTGGTCTTGAACTCCTGAGCTCAAGTGATCCTTCCATCTCAGCCTCCCAAAATGTTAGGATTACAGGCATAAGCCACCATGCCTGGCCTGAGATTTTTAAAGAAAATAATAGCATTGGATTTTCTGGAGTATTTCCAGTAAGGACAGATTCTAAATGAAAAATGATTTCCAGAAGAAAAAATTAAATTAATGCTTTAAAGCTTTCAGCTTAACATTCAATAATGAACACTAAATGCACCTTTATATAAACTACCAAAATGTGTTTCATGGGTAATTTCAAAACCTTCTACTTTACTCGAGTGACAGTCCAACAAGTGATTATGGTGGAAGCTATTGCAAAATAGTACTACTCAATATAAATTTGATAAGATACGCTTAAAACAGAAGTGTTCAGTTCATTGAAATTGTAAAGAATAATCATGATCTTCGAAGTTATAAAATAAGATACACATTTATATTTTATTTGCTTAGTTTCATCATCTGCTCTTCAAAATCTTTTTCATTATACTGTTTCTTTACTTTGAAGTGGGGTTTGTGACCCACATGAAGTAATCATTACCATGGCAAGTGTCCAGATTGCTAAATATTGGAAACCAAAACCTCATGTATGAGAGGAGCAGTCCCTAAAGCCCTTTATTATTCATGTCGAAATCAATGATATACTCTTTAGCTACTGTCATTTGTAAAACCATCTGGTTTGATCTGTTTTGAACAAAGAAACTCTTTTTTTCTTCCTAGTTTCTCCCTTGCAACAACAGAGTTTTTCTTAAGATCATGTCAACACATCCTTTATAAATTCATTACAGAAATAGATAGATCCCCAGCAAAAGACTCAAAAGGCAGAGTGGTGCTACAAATAGATTGGGATTTACAGGTGGTTAGGAGGGAAGAAGGCCAGAGTAGTGAAGTGTTAGCAAAGATCACTGATGATTCCTTTAGCTATGAGGTAATTGTACCCATCAGGGTCTTTGCCCAAATCTTCTGAGCGATATTGACAATGTTAGAGAGTTTTATTTGAAACTGAAAAGATAAATTACACAGAAAAGCAGTACAAAGTGGTTTTGGTTGATACTATTTCTTTAGATTCATTATAAGTCTGAGTTTGCACACCTATATATAAGAAGAATATTGTGAACAGTATGATGGTAACACAATTCAGAATACAGTGACATGAGTCAATATGACATGTCCTTGACCAAATGTACTGTGTTTTTTTTTTTTAATTTTACTTTTAAGCAAAGATACAATACTAAAGATTATTTTGATAACTGCAGTTTCATAGCATCTACTAATGTGGATATAGTTACAACCAGATCTATAATACTGAACTTTAGTGAAGACAATATTGGCCTTCTGTTATGCCTAAAACTATTCTAAAGTAATGTATAGATGATTGTCACATTAAAAAATTCTTTACACATTTTTAATAATATTTAGAATATATATATATATAGAGAGAGAGAGAGAGAGAACAAAATCTCTTTTACAGTTTCACTAAAAAATCTCTCATTTCTACAAGACACATGTCTAAAAAGCATCTGTTTTATGAACCTTTTGTTTGTTCCTCAAATTCTTCACACATATATCTTAGGGCATTTTTGTGTTTGTTTTAATTGTAGTCGATTATACTTTCTATGGAATCTTGTTCTTAAATTATTTGTTAGCTTATTTCAGTCTACTTAAATAACATATTTTTAAATGCAGCATATACGAACTTTTTTTAAGTTTCTACAAATACTAAACCTGAGATGGAGTAGAATATTCTTCCTCAATGGAATACTTGTTATAAATGTATACAAACAAATTTTAATAAGTATTTAAAATACAAACACATTTAACACTTGAATGAAATATTGATTTTATTTTCTGTGCAAAAAAGTCACTACTAAAAGTAGATACATGCTTCATTCATTGGACATATTGTTCACTCAACTTATATGATTGAGTGAATTTTTAATTTTACCATGTTATAAATGATATGTGGTGATAAACATGGGGAGACAAGTATTGCCAAAGCAATCTTTGTTTTACTCTATAGGTTAAACATATTATCAATTGGAGTCTGAATCAATTTAAGATATCATTATAACATCATGAATTTTATAATATTCTTAATTGTTCATGCAGAATTGTAATAATGTCAAAATGTTGTGGGCTAGAAGAAAAGGTAAGAAACTATCATTGATGCTAGTGTTTTTGACTAAACAGCAGACTGTGGGATAATTTTTTAAATGGCCTGTTTTTCTTTATACATTGAGCACAGAGAAATGACTTTGCAACTCAGGAAATATTAAAGTCAGTCCGCCATGTCATATTACATGTCACATCATAGTACCCAGCAGAACTCTTTCAGTCACACTGAAGAATCCATTACAGAACTAGAGGCACAACTTAATTCCATTTAACAAATGTGTGCTGAGATTTTAATATGAACAAATTAAGGGAATTGTTGCGCTGTTGGGAACAAGTTGTAGACAGCTTGGGTTCCACTTAGGTGGGATGGAGAGCAAAAAGTTTATGCCTTTTCTGTGGTTTCCAAGGTGATTGATTATCTGACCATATTTTCCAGTATTCTCAAGGTGCTGGATTACCGGCTCTAAAACCACTCAAAATAACCTATTTCCTTCTCTCCTTATTTTGTTTGAAGAGTCTTTTCTAATCCCCCCAAAACTCTCTATGATACACTTATTAAATGTAAACACAAAGAATAAACCCTACAGAGTGCTTTGTTATCTGAATTTGCCTTGGACCTTTGCCCTTCAGAATATTAAAAAGGATTCCAATCAAGATCATAATGTTTCAAGTCATATTTAGAGACAATTTGGTAGGGTGGCTTTGAAGAGAATAGATAGGCTGATCAGCTGTTTGCCAAATATTCATACCAATTGCTTATTAAATTAAAACCTAATGTATCAATTTTGTATTTAAGATCTTGTCTCCCAATATTCTTCCTTCTGTCAAACTCTTTACAAACCCAGGAAGAGACTTTCTCCTTTCCAAACCTCTGTCATATTATTTCCTTCACGAAAATTTTCGCCTACCACCGTGTCTTCTAAAATCTAGATATCCACATTTATAAAGTGTGGCCTAATTTCTATCTTTTATGCCAAACCACCCTTATCTTTGATGAGAGCCCTTTGGTGCCAGGCTAAGTTGGCACATATCTTAGCGCTTCTTTTCTGAGTCCAAAATGCAGATCTGATCATGTCATTTCCCTTGACATACTTTATAAGTTTTACATTAATTTGCTCTTGTTTGTTTTGGAAGCCGTGTCTTATGCTTCTAATTTGTGACAATGAGTGCAGACATTAATGGAACATCAAAACTATCACATAAAAATTACTACATGTAGAATTAACATAGTATGATATAAGCAGTGAGTGAGCGGTTATAGCTGACCCTGAGTGAGTATCTCTAAGATGTCTCCCAATGATCCCCACCTCATAGTATTCATGCCCTTATACAATGCCCCTCCTTGAATGTGAGCTGGACTTATGGACTTTTAATAAACAGAGTACGGCAAAAATGATGGGATACCACTTCTGAGATTAGGTTACAAAAAGACTGTGGCTCTGTCTTAGGCTATCTCTCTTGCTCTTTTTCTATGCTCACTTTTAGGAGAGCCAGTTATGGAGAGGCATACATGGTAAGGTCTCTGGCCAACCACCAGTGAGGACCTGAAACCTGACAATAGCCACATGAGTGAGCTTGTAAGAGGATTCTTCTCTAGCCAGATACTGAGATGACTGCAGTCCTGACCAACAGCTTGGTTGTAGTTTTGAGAGACAGTGACCCAGAGGCATCCAGTTAGCTGTGCCTGGATTCCTGATTCACAGAAACTACAGATAGTGTTTGTTATTTTAAGCTACTATGTTTTTCAGTGTTTGTTATATAACAATAGATAACTAATTCATATTTGGGTACCTGATGTTGGAATGCTAACATAACAAATATCAAAAATGTAAGAGTACCTTTGGACTGAGGGGAGAGTATTGAGAAGTGTTTTAATAAAAGCTTCAAATGTCTTGAACACACTATTCATAGAATTTTAGGCATTAAGAATGCTGCAGGTGAGGGCTTGCATAAAAGTGAGGAAAATCTTATTGAAAAGTTAAGGGAAGCAGATACTTGGTATGTGTTGGCAGAATATTTAGCAACATTGCTGTAAGAAGTTATACATAATGTAGAAAGTATGCCTAAAGAACTGTGATGAGTGATGTGGTTAAGGACATTTTGAAAATACATGTTGAAGATGCCACCTGGTTTCTTCTTGCTACTTACAGTAATATGCAAGATGAGAGAGCTAGAGGGGAGGACTAGTAAACAAAAAAGAGCTGGGACTTGGCTGGGCACAGTGGCTCACGCCTGTAATCCCAGCACTTTGGGAGGCCAAGGCGGGCGGATCACAAGGCCAGATCAAGACCATCCTGGCTAACAAGATGAAACCCCGTCTCTACTAAAAATACAAAAAAATTAGCCTGGCATGGTGGTGGGCGCTTGTAATCCCAGCTACTTGGGAGGCTGAGGCAGGAGAATTGCTTGAACCCAGGAAGTGAGGTTGCAGTGAGCTGAGATCATGCCACTGCACTCCAGCCTGGGCAACAGAGCAAGACTCCGTCTCAAAAAAAATAAAATAAAAAAAAGCCAGGACTTGATGGCTATGAGGATTCTTAGCCTCTCTACACAGCAAATGATGTTAAAAATAAAGAAATGGCTTCTGAGCTAACATGAAATCCATGGTTCTGACAGAAAATGGTGATGTAACAATGAAGCTGATAATGTGACTCTGAAACTTTTGTTAAGACCTCAGAAAGATCAAAGGTTTTGCTCAGTGTACTACTCAGTCACACAAAAGGCCATTAGAGAGACTAAATATGTGCCTCACAGATTCTTTCAATTAAACAACAGGGTCACCAGGAATTTTTTTAAATTTTACTTTAACTTCTAGGTTATGTGTGCTGAACGTGCAGGTTTGTTACAAAGGTATACTTGTGCCATGGTGGTTTGCTGCACCTATTAACCCATCATCTATGTTTCAATCCCCACATGCATTACGTATTTGTCCTAATGCTCTCCCTCCCCTTTTCCCCGATCCCCTGACAGGCCCCGGTGTGTGATGTCCCCCTCCCTGTGTCCCTGTGTCCATGTGTTCTCATTGTTCAGTTATGAGTGAGACCACATGGTGTTTGGTTTTCTGTTCCTGTGTTAGTTTGCTCTGTTAGTTTGATGGTTTCCAGCTTCATCCATGTCCCTGCAAAGGACATGAACTCATTCTTTTTTTATGGCTGTGTAGTATTCCATTGTGTATATAAGCCACATTTTCTTTATCCAGTCTATCATTGATGGGCATTTAAATTGGTTCCAAGTCTTTGCGATTGCAAATAGCAATAAACATACATCTGCATGTGTCTTTCTAGTAGAATGATTTATAATCCTTTGGGTATATACCCAGTAATGGGATTGCTGAGTCAAATGGAATTTCTGGTTCTAGATCCTTGAAGAATTGCCACACTGTCTTCCACAATGATTGAACTAAGTTTAAGGGCATTGTCCTTCAGTCATCTTAGGAGGAGCCCAAGGTACAAGAGGGCTCACCTAGAAGGGATCTGCAGGAGTGATTTTTGAGTAAACTCCAATGAAATACACAAGTGGCTCACAAAGTTTTTCAAAGAATTACAGCAGCAGAAAAACTACTAGCATGGAGTGACAGAGACAGACAGTACACAAGGAAAAGAGGCAGTTAGACTTTCACAAGTCTACTGGCCAGAAGAGGACTGAGTAAGCTACTCATCTGAAAACATTCTACCTTTCATGAAAAAGGAGGAATACTCACAGGATAGAGCCAAGAACCTGAAGAATTATTTTTCAGGCCTTGAAATTAATTAATCAAGAAACTTTCAACATTTATACCTAGCTGGATTTTAGAAGTACTATATCAATGACTTATCTATGTCTCAGTTTTAAAGATTATCTGTAGTGATTATCCTATGCCTGTCTCATCACTGCATTTTAAATGTGTGTGGATGGGGGAAGCAGATATTGCCTCCATAGGTTCATATTTCTATGGATCAAGGAGAAGCATACTTACTTAGCTATACTTAACGAACTATGCTCAAGGGGCCTCATCCACATCTAGACCTGACTTAAATGATGAAATTCTAGATTTTCAACTCCCATTATGGTAGGATTAGACTTCTGAAAAACTTTGAGATGGTGTGTGTTTTGCACAGGGAGGGGACATGAATCACTGGAGATCTTTGGATAGACTGATATTGGCAGTCTTTAAGATGGTTGATCCCCACCTTCTGGTGTTCCCATCCTTATGTAATTCCTTCTTATTGTGTATTCCTTAAACTTATTGACTAGTTTCTAATGAATAAAATACAAAAGAAGTCCTGAGTTGTCGCTTCTGAAATGTGTTTATAAAAAGACCGTGATTTCTATCTCAGGCAGCCTTTCTCCCTCTTTTGCTGGTTCACTCTGAAGATAACCAATTGCCATGTTGTAAGCAGCCCTATGAAGAGGCCCAAGTGTCAAAAAACAATATTTATCAGTGCCTAAAGGTTGTCAACAGACATATAAGTGAGCTGGGAAGTGAATCCTCCCCCAGTGGAGCTTTGAGATCACTGTGGCATTGGCTGATACTTTGATTGTAATCTTGTAGGAGACCTTGAGCCAGAGGTATTCGGCTAAGTCATTCTAAGTTATTCCTGACCCACAGAACTTGTGATGTAATAAATGTTTGTTGTTTTAAGTCACTGAGTTATGGAATAATTTGTTGCACAGCAATATATTAATAATGCAGCTTACCTGAGAAAATGTTTAAGCTGAGATATACTTTATAAGGAGACATCCAAGCACACATCAAGTGAAGAGCATTCTAGACAGTGCTTAGAGCTGATGGAAATATACTCAAATACTCACAGCACATGGTATTCAGAACCAGAAAGAAGGCCTATGTGTTTTATACACAGTGGAAGAAAGTAAAAATGGTATAAAGTGAAATTGAATAGTAGAGAGAGGACAATTTATTTAAAGTTGCAAAGGTTGTGGTCACAAATTTGGATTTATTCCAAGTTTGATGGAAAGTCAGTGATGGATTTTCTGCAGTCAAGGAATTTGTCTTAAAAATTTTACTCTTGCTGTTTTTAGAGAATACATTCTGCAGAGAGGGACGCAAGAAGGGGGACAGTTGATATAGAGATCCTTTAGAAAGCTATTACATTAGTCCTGGAGAAAGTGATGGAAACTCAGAGTGAAGTATTGGCAAAGATATTAAAAGATTTGAAATGGATTTTGGAGGTCATGCCAAGAGATCTTACCTATAGAGTGGATACGCAGAATGAATAGATAAAATGGTTGGCTAGAACTATTAGATGAAGGACTCATTTGATCTCATATACTCAACAGAATTGCAAGCACTTTATAGTTGCAAGCTTTGTATTATGCTCCCTTCAAAGTCACACAATTCCTAGTATAGAATGTTTTGTTGGTTATACAATAATACTTACATATGGATTAAATATATCTCATTTATTCTGATAGTCCTGGGTTTAAAGAAAAGAAACCTTCTCCGAGCTTCTGTGAGCTAATATTTCTGCCCTCAAAATAAAAATAGCTAAAAACAGAACAATTACTAAAGCACTTTTTTAACTTAAGGAATTAAAAAGTAAATAGAGATACATAAGGATAACAAAGGTAGCTAAAGGAAAAACTGATTATGTGTATATTGGTTGGCTCCCTTAGTGAGAGTTTGGTTATAATAATTTCTTTTGACACTGCCTGGCTTCTCAAATTTGATATTTCACCCATATGTGCTGATTGGTTCTATTAATATATTGTTAGGGCTGCAGTTTCACAAAGATGCCAGGTGTTATGAGCCTGGATAAAATAAAATTAATAAGGTCCCCCAAAGGACCATTGACTTTGTCTTAATAATCTCCATATACAGCAATTTATTTCCTCATGGTTTTCTTCAACTATTTTCAATCAAATACAGAATCTGTATTTTATAGCTTTCAGAAATTTCCACTTAAATCCATGTGTGACATTTGCCCATAATAATAATTAGCATGAGGATATCAACATGGACTATAGGAGGGGAAAACATTTGCTACTGTGCTGGTTGAGCACTTAATCATAAGCTTTCAAGGATTCCAGTAGAATTTACATATGCACCTTGCGGTGTGAGCCTGAGTATTTTCATACGTTTCCATTTCATTTGGTGTCATCTCTTCCTAGTAATCATCACTCAGATGCTTCTCATCAAGCCTTAGATTGCAGGTTAGAGACACGATTTAGCCTGATTCATTTCTTTGGATTTTGCAACTTTTGACAAATCAGAAGCAAATTTTGTTTTCTGTCTCATCTTTAAAATAGTTATCCAAAATTCTAACGTTTATTTCTTAAATGGTGTCGTTTGAAACTTGTAATTTATTATTTCTAGTATAAGAGCAAATTATAACATCAAACTCCTTTAGAAAACCAATCTACTTACTAACCAGAGATGACTTTCTAGTCTTTCTATTGCAGTTAGTGATCAACTTTTAATATCTCAATTAGGTTTCCAAATATGCAGTAGGTGTCCATACAGAAATTCCATTACTTTTTGTTTCAAAATGTCGTTTAGTATAGTTTTCAGCATTTTATTAACTAACTGTATGAAATCATGCTAAAAAGGTGAAATTCAATTATTTCTGTGAATATTTTTAAGTAATCACAAAGGCTTTAGACATTCAAGTAGTGTCAAAAAACTAGAGCAGTATCATGGCAATAAAATTATTGAGAAACATTAAATGTAAAGTTCAAATTAACATCATGATGATACACCTAAGTAGTGTTTTGCCAGAAGGTAAAGTTAGGGTACTCTTAATGAGTTTTAAATGCTGCATCCTCACACCACTGTAGTATTCACCAAAGAAGAATCCAGAATTAGGTGAGTTCTTGGATCGATTGTAAGGGAATTTAATTATTGCAGCTATTCCTAATTCATTAATTTTTCATTCAATAAGCATTTGGAAACATCTATGATATATTAAGTAGTTTTGAAATACACTGAGGGATATAAATATGCATGAGCTTTAAAAACTTATATTAATAAACATAATAGATAAAAATATAAGTCCTCAACAATGAAAATGTGAAATTGTGATGAACCACAGAAAGCGGAGAGAAGCTGCTATGGTGGGATAGATAGGGTACTTAGTTATAAATTGGGGAGATAGATTTCGATATCAGGCATTTTCTCTTGCCATTTTTATCATATTTCATCTAAGTCGCCATTAACATACCTGTAAAATTAATGTTAAAATACATAAGTTATCAATGAGCAGTGCTATCTTTATTGGCCAGATATTTTATTCACAATATATTTGATAACCCTACCAAAAACGTGTGTATTACTATCCACATTTTGCATATATATGAAGAGACAGTAGGCTATATCACCTTCTTAACTGACCACCAATAAGTGTATAAAGTAGGATTAGCAATCAAATTTATCTGATGCTTAACCCACGCATCACCCCACACTGCAAAATATACATTAAAGTTGATAACTGCTACTGTTTTTATTTATTACGACTTTGCTTCTCTAGTTCATCTAATTTTCCACTATCAAATAGATCATTAAAGCTTTGGTTGATTGACTTGCCCATACGTTAGATTATCAAGCATTCTCACTTGTGAAGGGTCCTAAATAACTTTTTAAAATAGCACTTTGTGTAAGGAAATCCTAATTTCCATATATATATATATGTGGAATAAATTATATGTATAATATATACAATTTCATATATATAATTTCTTCATATTTAAAAAAGAGAATGCTATATCATTTCAATGTTATATATTATAAAAATATAATATATAATTATATATATTTTACATAATTTCATATAATTTCTTCATATTTAAAAAAACAGAACAGTATAAAATTTCAATGTTTTATATACAAATATGTAATATGTAATTATATATAATATATAATATACAATTTTATAATATAAAAAAAGAATGATATATAATTTCAATGTTATATATACATAATGTAATATATAATTATATATCATATATCATATATAATTTCATATAGCTTCTTCATATTTAAAAAATAGAATGGTATTTCAATGTTATATATGTATTATATAATTTCATATATATAAAATTTATTCATATTTTAAAAACAGAATAGTATATCATTTTAATGTGATATATAATATATATAATTTCATATATAATTTATTCATATTTAAAAAAGAATGGTATTTCAATGTTATATAATATATGTATTATATAATTTCATATATAAAATTTATTCATATTTTAAAAACAGAATAGTATATCATTTTAATGTGATATATAATATATATAATTTCATATATAATTTATTCATATTTAAAAAGAGAACTGTATATAATTTCAATGTAATAAATAATTGCTTTCCATGTCTTAAGCTTTTGATTAAGTAAAAGTTCATGGTATTCTTTTCTATCAAAAAAAAAATTTTCCCAAGCTGTATTCTTACTGTTTTAACAGTGTTGGTAATGGTTATATTTCTAGTTCCTTAACATGACTGTTAAACTCATTCTGCAGATACTCTACCTTGATTCTTTTGTTCCCAAAGTTAATTAACTATGATATCTTAATCTTTTGTTGTTAGGTTTTATTTTCAAACTTTTAACCTATGAATTATTTAGTACCAACATCCCCGTATCTTTTTAACTTTGAAATATCTAACTAAAACCAGTTCCTTAATTCTAATATTTCCCATGGAAAATTCATCATGACAGTTGTATTTTACCCTGAATACAAAAGACTCCAGCTCACATTTATACATGTTCACTTTTAGGCCACAAGACCTCTTTTACTTTATGATATTTTATTCAATTTGTCATTTTTTTTTTCAGGAGAATAGTATACTTATTGAATTCTTATTGTTCATTTTGACAACTTTTACAAGAGAGTAAGAAATATAGTGAATGTTGATTATACCATCATTTATCATTTTCATTACTTTCTTGTGGATCTCACCCATAATTCAGACTCTCTTTCCAAACTAAAATATACTTTAAATATATCAAAACTCATTTATTTAATTATAATAAAAATATGATTTATATTTTGTAAATAAAATAGAGAATGTAAAATATTTACCTTCAATTTTATGGCCTTTCTATGAAAAATTAAAATTTAATAAAGCTACTTATTAGATCCTTTTAGATCTAATGATAGGATCTAATAAACATTAATGAAATGCATTTTCCTCTGAGTTGTATCCCTATTAGTATGGATTGATTAAAATATTCCTATGGCTGAGCTTTAATTTAGTCACAGAAGCTCACTACAACTACTAAAACAGCTACAACAGCTACTACAACAGCTACAACTACTACAACTGCTACAACTACTACAACTGCTACAACAGCAAATCCTTAATTGTTTTTTTCTTAGGGAGATTCTACTAATTTGACTGAAAAATAGATCCCACAGGCAAATACGTTTGGCAAATGCTGCCTGTTCTGCAGCTCCCTCTAGGAGATTTATAACGTGTATTTGAACAGCCCAGGCTCTAAGACATTCTGGAGTATAGAAACTTGTCTCATGCTAAAAACTCTCAATAAATTAGGTATTGATGGGACGTATCTCAAAATAATAAGAGCTATCTATGACAAACCCACACCCAATATCATACTGAATGGGCAAAAACTGGAAGCATTCCCTTTGAAAGCTGGCACAAGACAGGTATGCCCTCTCTCACCACTCCTATTCAACATAGTGTTGGAAGTTCTGGCCAGGGCAATTAGGCAGGAGAAGGAAGTAAAGGGTATTCAATTAGGAAAAGAAGAAGTCAAATTGTCCCTGTTTGCAGATGACATGATTGCATATCTAGAAAACCCCACTGTCGCAGCCCAAAATCTCCTTACGCTGATAAGCAACTTCAGCAAAGTCTCAGGATACAAAATCAATGTACAAAAATCACAAGCATTCTTATACACCAATAACAGACAAACAGAGAGCCAAATCATGAGTGAACTCCCATTCACAAATGCTTCAAAGAGAATAAAATACTTAGGAATCCAACTTACAAGGGACGTGAAGGACCTCTTCAAGGAGAACTACAAACCACTGCTCAAGGAAATAAAAGAGGATACAAACAAATGGAAGAACATTCCATGCTCATGGGTAGGAAGAACGAATATCATGAAAATGGCCATACTGCCCAAGGTAATTTATAGATCCAATGCCATCCCCATCAAGCTACCAATGACTTTCTTCACAGAATTGGAAAAAACTACTTTAAAGTTCATATGGAACCAAAAAAGAGCCCACATCGCCAAGTCAATCCTAAGCCAAAAGAACAAAGCTGGAGGCATCATGCTACCTGACTTCAAACTATACTACAAGGCTACAGAAACCAAAACAGCATGGTACTGGTACCAAAACAGAGATATAGACCAATGGAACAGAACAGAGCCCTCAGAAATAACGCCGCATATCTACAACTATCTGATCTTTGACAAACCTGAGGAAAACAAGCAATGGTGCTTTAATAAATGGTGCTGGGAGAACTGGCTAGCCATATGTAGAAAGCTGAAACTGGATCCCTTCCTTACACCTTCTACAAAAATTAATTCAAGATGGATTAAAGACTTCAACGTTAGACCTAAAACCATAAAAACCCTAGAAGAAAACCTAGGCATTACCATTCAGGACATAGGCATGGGCAAGGACTTCATGTCTAAAACACCAAAAGCAATGGCAACAAAAGCCAAAATTGACAAATGGGATCTAATTAAACTAAAGAGCTTCTGCACAGCAAAAGAAACTACCATCAGACTGAACAGGCAACCTACAAAATGGGAGAACATTTTTGCAACCTACTCATATGACAAAGGGCTAATATCCAGAATCTACAATGAACTCAAACAAATCTACAAGAAAAAAACAAATGACCCCATCAAAAAGTGGGTGAAGGATATGAACAGACACTTCTCAAAAGAAGACATTTATGCAGCCAAAAGACACATGAAAAAATGCTCATCATCACTGGTCATCAGAGAAATGCAAATCAAAACCACAATGAGATACCATCTCACACCAGTTAGAATGGCAATCATTAAAAAGTCAGGAAACAACAGGTGCTGGAGAGGATGTGGAGAAATAGGAACACTTTTACACTGTTGATGGGACTGTAAACTAGTTCAACCATTGGGGAAGTCAGTGTGGTGATTCCTCAGGGATCTAGAACTGGAAATACCATTTGACCCAACCATCCCATGACTGGGTATATACCCAAAGGACTATAAATCATGCTTCTATAAAGACACATGCACACGTATGTTTATTGCGGCAGTATTCACAATAGCAAAGACTTGGAACCAACCCAAATGTCCAACAATGATAGACTGGATTAAGAAAATGTGGCACATATACAGCATGGAATACTATGCAGCCATAAAAAATGATGAGTTCATGTCCTTTCTAGGGACATGGATGAAATTGGAAATCATCATTCTCAGTAAACTATCGCAAGGACAAAAAAACCAAACACCACATGTTCTCACTCATAGATGGGAATTGAACATTGAGAACAGATGGACACAGGAAGGGGAACATCACACTCTGGGGACTGTTGTGGGGTGGGGGGGAGGGGGAGGGATAGCATTAGGAGATATACCTAATGCTAAATGACGTGTTAATGGGTGCAGCACACCAGCATGGCACATGTATACATATGTAACTAACTGGCACATTATGCACATGTACCCTAAAACTTAAAGTATAATAATAATAAAAAAATAAAAATAAATTAAAAAAACCAAAATCACTGAATATCTTATTGGTTATTTTAAATATTCCATTTGAAAACTTTAAAATTGTGGATATTTAAATAAAAGATTTTTAAATGAAAAAAAAAAAAGAAACTTGTTTTGTTTTGTTTAACACACCAATCTGAATTTGAACATAGAACACTGCTTTTATACTCCACCATGCCAACACGGTGAACTAACAGTCCATCAGACACATGTACTGAGAACCTGAATACCTCATTTCCTGCATGCATGCTATGTGATTTAGAGAGACTTAATTTTCAGAGGAATTGTTTTAAACAACGTGATGGGGTGTTTTTCAGAAAATAGTCTCAAATATGTTATAACACTGTGATATGAAGGACTGTGGTAAACAGTAAATAAATTTGAATAATGAAATCTCTATGCTTTTTAGAGAAATAATGTTAGAGATTGAAGATGTGACTAGTAATCCTTTCTATAATACATTGGGAAGTCTTTCGTCATTTGTCCCTAAGCTTTATGGGTAAACAGTGGCACAAATCTTTCCACTTGGCTACAAGAAGAATGACATTTTTCTAGTGGCCATGTGTCTTGTCTAGTTCTGAAAGGAGTGTTTTTCAGGGAACATGAAATTGAAGGTTTCACAAAATTGAGAAACTGCAGATTAACAGTTGTGTGAAGTGCTAAACTGACAAAAATCTCATTTAGGAAAAGTAGATAATAATAATAATTGCTACCATTTCCTCAGTGTTAACCATGTGCTAGACAGTGTCCCAACCAGGTACTAGTCAAGGAAAAAAGGAGAAACTTTCATTTGAGTTGACATTGATAAAATACCACACTGTGTTTGCTTCATGCCCTCTGAAACATGGCCCTTATTTGTAACTAGCGCTTCAAAATAATAACCTTACCTTAAATAAAATTAAAAATATTATGTAACTCAGTACCCATCACCGTTTGAAGATATAATGATTGGGGTGAGGGGGAGAAGCATTCATAACTTTTAAACCAATTTTTTTTCTGCCTTAGACAATTCTTCCATTTACTTCAAACCACACATTATGTAGCTTTGATATATTGCTTTTTTTTTAAGAGAAAAAATATCCAGTGTCACAGTGGCATTATAGGAACTAAAGAGGATTTATCTTTTTTTCTCTCTGCCAAGAACTGAGTTTGAAGTCTACAACCATCTTAAACTAATAACTAAAAGAAGATTCCTCTAGGATATCTCATTATTCCTTCCATCTTCTCCTATTTGTATCACTAACCATTTGTTATATTTGTTCATTGCTAATGGGATTTCTTTCAGAAAATTTTCTGAAATAGAGTTGTTCTAAAATACTACAATTTTTATTATTTTCAGCTATTTTAAAGTTTTTTGAAACTTCACCACATCAGTCATAAGGGGCTGAAGTCTTATTTCTGGTACACATCTATCTGCGTGAGACCACAGTTCCAATATTCTGAAAAAAAATCTGCCTTTCTGGTCTTAAATTAATATGCTAAATATTATTGAGTTTACTTTGAATGATGTTCTTAATGTCAGATGAAGAATAATAGGCTCCTTTCACATTAAACATTAAACCTTAAGTCTAGATTTGTAGCTATACAAACCATCAATTGGCCACTTTAACCAGAAGATAAACATTAATTAAGAAGTTGATGGTCTACTCCTAAGACCTGAGCATGGTCTCAGTTATAACCTGACCTCACCACTTTTTAATGGGGTTGCCAGAGACAGTCATTTATTGTCTGTCAGTTTCTGTTCTCTTATCTGGAAAATGAAGCTGTTACTTGCCATGTATATTTGAGAGTTGATGTGAAGGTTGATTTGACACGGCTTTGTGAACTCTCAGCGCTTTGTTAACTCAAAAGAAGTTTACACAAAGGTATTGGCTATAATGAATGGCCATCTTTCTTCAAATAATGATTTTTAAACATAACAGTAGTATGAAGTGCCAGAGGACTTTATAAAGTTTTAGTCCCAAGGACTCTAACGCAGCTCCAGCAGAAGGTCCAAATACTTCATATGGTCTATAAAAAGAAAAAAAAATCCTAGATTTTCTTGAAATAAACAAAAGCAATAGGCAAGTTCAAACATTATCAATAATTTACATGAATTTTCTTAGGATATATGTCTTTAATGTTAAAATAAAAGTTTCAAACATCTCAATCTGCATAGAATTGAGAAGCATATAGCAAACTATCTTTACCTTAAGTCAAAACCACAAAAACTTCCATCTGTTGGATATCATCCATGATTACGCTCTTTCCTATAATTTCTGATATAGGGTTCCAGAAATTTGGGAATATCAACTGGAAATGAGCACTATGTAAAATGCTACTACTCTGGACAGCTTTTGTCATTCTATGAAAGACTCCTTTTGAAAAAAAAACTAAAATACATTTTTCTCCAAGGTGATTTAACTTAAATAAGAAAAGGTGACTATTAGAGGGAAGACCATAAAAAATTGTTCCGGAGAATTGTGTTTTCATTAGTTGTAGTCTTTAAAAACTTGTAAAGATTCTCAATAACTTAGGTGATTTCCAGTTGTATTTTTTAAATTTATCTATACAGTTTAGATAGAATATTTGTCTGCTCCAGCTGCCATAATAAAATATTATAGACTGGGTCACCTAAACAATAGAAATTTATTTTCTCAATGCTCTGGAGGCTGAAACTCCAAGATCAGGGTATCGACATGGTTGATTTCTGGTGAGGACTCTCTTTCTGTCTTGTAGGCAGCCACCTTATCCCTCTGTGTTCACATGATTTCTTTTATGTGCACACATTGAGAGAGAGAAAGAGTATGCTCTTGGTGTCTCTTCTCACCAGGACACTAATCCTATCAGATCAAGGCTTCACCTTTATGACCTCAATTAACCTAATTACTTCTTGGAGGCCAGGTTCCTAAATACAGTCACACTGTGGGCTAGGGTTTTGACATGTAAATTTGGATAGAAGACAAACATTCAGTTCATAACAGATGTACATTCAACACTACACTCTACTTTTTATTTTCATCTTAACATGTTTCATTTGGCTTTCTATTCATCTAGGCCATCAATCAATCTACCATATTCTAGGCATTTTGCTAGCTCCTAGGGACAAAAACAAAAAACCAAGTCATGAATCGTTAAGAAATCCATCTTCAATGATAATGACTTGTACACAAAGCTGAAAGCTATGAAAATTCTCTCCCTTGAATTGAAAATTGAAAACATAATTCATCACATAGGTATATTCTATGATGAGACAGAATTAAATCATCCACAGTGGGGTTTATAAAATTAATGCAGACTTATACTTCTATCCAGGATAGAGTAATACAGTCTCCTGCCTGAAACAAACAAAAATCAAGGAAAATATATCAAACAATGGTTTGACAGGCAATACAAGACAGTGATCCCAGAGAAATGGGAAAAAAGTCAGGTGAGCCTAAGATTTCCCACTGTATTGCTTCAAGAGAATGTCCACATCATGCACAGGGAGGAAAAACTCAGGCAGAACCTGGTAGACTGTCTGGATTCTATCGATGCAGCTGAGAATCTGGAAAGGACAAGGTAGCTAGAGATCACAGAACAAACTACTGAGGGAGAGACTGCTGCAGAGAGCAAGAAGGCCAGAGAATTACAGAAGATTTCCCTTGTGTATTCAGCAGAATACTGATTAGCTCATGTGTGTGAGGAAATTATCCAATGTTGGAGAAAAACAATCCAAAAGGATTACATGGAATATCCAATGCTCACGGGGGGTGTTGAAAATAGCCCCTGTTTCTGTCAGGCAAACTAGAAAACCTCATAATTCACAGGGCATCATACAGGATAGTCAGGAGTGTGCACATAGAATACTCAGTAGTGGACATAATTAGCTCTACGTATTAGGTGGGACATAGCTCTGAAGTAATCTAACAAATTTTGAAAGTGAAACCCTAGAGTATTGAACAGTTTCCAAATAATTTAACTGTATCCTAAAACAATACTCAAGAATATTTATAGGAATTCAGAAATATTCAGCACTCAAAATTGTACAATTGTACAATGACTGCAATCCAGTGAAATGTTGCCAGGTATGCAAAGCAAGAAAACATGACCTTCTATGATGAGGAGAAAATCAATCAATCAAATGACTCAGAACAGACACAGTTGCTCAAATTAGTAGACAATGAAATTAAGTCATTATACTATATTCCACATGTTAAAAAATTTAGGTAGAGAATAAATGATATTTTAAAAGATCTAAATCAAACTTCTACAGAAAATTATTAAAATGAATGAGAGAAAAAATAAACCAGATGAGATTAATGACTGCTATGGTTTGAATGTATCCCTTAAATTCATGTGTTAGAAACTTAATTTCCAATGCAACAATGTGGAGACGTGGGACTTTTAAGAGGTGTCTAGATCACTTTTTAATGAATAGATTAATGTCATTATTGCAAGAGTGGGCTTCTGATAATAAGGATGAGTTTGGCCCCCTACCTCTGTTTTATGCACACTCTCTTGTTCTTTCACCATCTGCCATGGGATGATGCATCAACAAAGCCATCATCAGATGCTGGCATCTTGATGTTGGACTTCCCATCCTCCAGAACCATGAGAAATAAATTTATTTTCTTTATAATTTCTCAGTCTGCGTTATTCTGTTATGGCAACACTAAGTAGATTAAGGTCATTTCAGATTAAACATTGACTAGAGAAAGAGTAATAAGCCTGGTGTAACAATAGAATCTATCCAAATGAAACACACGGAGGAAAAAAAATAGCTTAAAACAATGAAAAGAGGGTCAATGAGCTGTAGAACAATTTCATATAGCCTAATTTTGCATAATCGTAAATTCTGAAGGAAGGAGGTTAAAGAAATAATGGCCTAAAATATTTTGATTTCAAAAATTAGAAAACCCATATATCCAAGAAGCCCAATGAACTTCAAGAACACACACAGAAATACACACACACACACACACACACACACACACACACACACACCCTAAAGGAAACTACACTAAGATATATCTATAATCTAATTTGTCAAAAACAGTGATAACAAGAAAACCTTAAAAGTAAAGAGGCAAAGAGGACATACTATCTACAGAGGATGACTTAAGATTTATCTTCTTGTGGACATGATGTAAATAAGAAAATAGTAAAGAAACATCCTTCAAATATGAAAAGAAAACTATATCAATGTAGAATTGTATACCAAAAAAATTCTCTTCAAAATAAAGGCAAAATATGGACTTTTTGACATACAAAAGCTGAAAGAATTCATGGCCAGAAGACTAAAACAAGAAATGTAAAGCAAGTCCTTCAGGAGAAGAAAAATGATTCCAGATAGAAAGTGTATCTATACAAAGGATGTAACCCATATTTCAAAACAGAAATCAAAGAGAAAGTTAAAATATTTTGAATAGAATTAAAATGAAAATACCAGGTATCAAAATTTGAATGGTGCTAATAAAGCAGTACCTGGTGAGAGGGGTGGATTTATCGCCTTTAATTTATATATTAGGAGAGAATAGAAGTCCCTAGACTTCTATTAGAATAGAAGAATCAATGAACTGATTCTACCTTTAAAACTAAAGAAAGAACAGCAAATCAAAATCAAAGTAAGGGGAAGAAAGAAGAAAAATGAAAGAAATACAACAGAAAACAATAAAGAATATCAATGAAAACAAACTCATTCTTTGAGAAAAGCAAAAAGTCAACAAATCTTCAGCCAGGCTGACCAAGAAAAATAGAGAGAATCCACAAATTGCTAATGTGTGGATTGAGATAAGTGATGCTACTACAGATTCTACAGATATTAAAAGGTCACTAACTAAATATTATTTAAAAATTTTATGCTAATAGATTTGATAACTTAGATAAAATGGCTAGATTTCTTGAAAGACACAGTTTACAAACTTACTCTTAGAAAAATAGGTAGTCTAAATAACCCTCCACCTATGAAAGAAACTGAATATGCAGTTATAATCTTTCCATAAAGAAAACTCTAGGCCCCAGTGGTTTAATTGGAAAATGCTACAAAATACAGAATAAACAAATTTTATCAGTTATCTAAAAACTCTTCCAGAAAACTGAATGTATATAATACTTTCCAGTTTTTTCTATTAGGCCAGCATTATCCTAATAGCAAAACCTGACAAACACATTGTAACGATGCATTGCATGAACAGAGAATCCAAGAATTATAAACAACATATTAGCAAAGCAAACGCAATATATTAAAGGGATAATTCATCATAACAAAGTGGGATTTATCCCAGGAATGAAAGATTCATTCAGCATTCAGAAATCACCATACCAACAAACTAAAATTTTACATCAGATGATCATCTCAATAGAAGCAGAGAAAGCATCTGACAAAATCTAATTATATGCATTATACAAACTTAAAAAACTAGGAATATAAGGGAACTTCCTAAACCTGAAAAAAGGCATCTATGAAAAACCTGCAGTTACATCATATTTAATAGAAAGGGACTGTGTTTGTTTTCATATTGTTGAGTATTGAGGGTTCTTTATACATTCTAGAAATGAGTTCTTTTTTTTTCACCCTGTGCATTATGGCAAGAAATAAAGAAATAAAATACATCCAGTATAGAAAAGAAATTAAAATTTCTTTATTCAAGGATAACATGATCATCCATAGAGAAAATTTAAAAGACTACAGAAAAGCTAACAGAATTAATAAATGAGTTTAGCAAGGCTTCAGGGTACAAAATCAATATAAAAATTAATTCTATTTTTATATCTTAGGAATAAATAATCAAAAAATGTTTAAATGTCATTTGCCCTAATATAAAATACTTAAACATAAATCGGACAAAATATGTGCAAGATCTGAACAATGAAACTTTCAGAACAGTATAGAGAAATTAAGGAAGGCCTAAACAAATGAAGTTATATACTGTTTTTATGGGTTAAAAAGACTCTTTATTGTTAAGATGTTAATTTCCCCTAATTTAATTATGTGTGATACCAGTGAAAAACCCAGCAGGTTGTTCTTTTTGTTGTTGTTGTTGTTGTTTATGTCAAACTTGACATCATCTCATGCTAAAGTTTATATGGGAATTCAAATGAACGAGAAAAATCCAAACAACTTTGAAAGAGGAATGAACAAAATAGGGGAACTAATACACTCTGATTTTAAGGCTCATTATAAAGCTAAAATAAGTGTAGTACTGGCTTTAGACAGATAAATAGAACAATGGTGTAAAACAGTGTCCAGAAATAGACCCACATGTATATGGAAATCCTTTTTGGACACAAGTGCAAAAGAAATTCAGTAGAGAAAGGATAATCATTTCAAAACATATTTCTGCAAATATTGGACATCTATATGTAAAAAGAAGAAAATTGAACTTTGATCACTGCTTTGTAATATCATATACAAAACTCAATTCAAAATGGATCATAGATCTAAATGTAAAACCTAAAACCCTAACACTTTCAGAAAAAAAAGAGAAAAAAATTTACTTTGAATTATGCACATATTTCTTAGATATGTTATCAAAAGTACATTCCAGAAAAAAAGATAAATTAGTGTTCATAAAAAAAAATCACTATTTCAAAAGTCACTAGTAAAGAGAATGAAAAGACAAGCCATGGACTGAAAGAAAACATTTGCAAATTATGTATCTGATAAAGAACTCATTTCTAGAATATACTCAAAACTCTCTATGTTCAACAAGAAAACAAACAACGCAATATAAATGATTAAAATGTTTGAATAGACCCTTCACCAAAGATATACAGATGAAAAGCCCATGAGATGATGCTCAACCTTGTTAATCATTAGGGAAATGCAAATTAGAAGCACAATTAGAAATTACTACACAGTCATTAGAATAGCTAAAATTAAAGACTGGCCATGCCAAGTGTTGGTAAGGATGTAGAGGAACCATGATTCTCTTAAAGCTGGTGCAACTGGAAAATAGTACAATTGCTTCGGAAAATGGTTTTGCAGTTTCTTGCTGCAAACCTACACGATCAGATATCCAGCCATTCCACATCTGAGTAATTATCCCAGGGAAATGAAAATGTACATCAACACACCAGTGAATGTTCATAACTCTATTTGTAATAGCCAAAAAATGGAAACAACCCAAATTTTCATCAGAATGAGTTATTCCCATGTTATTCCCATACAAATCGCGTTTCTATGCAATAAAGCACTTCTTTGCAACAGAAAGAAACGAACAGATGATGTGTATGAGGACATGGATGAGTCTCAAAATAATTATGCTGAGTGAAAGAAGCTATCAAAAATGAGTACATACTGAATGATTCCAATTTCATTACATTTTAGAAAATGCAGACAAACACATATTGGCAGAAATAATATCAGTGGTTGCTTGGGGATGGGATGGAGAGGAAAGGAGTTAGATAAAAGGATTAGATAGACACAAGAAAACTGGGATCTTACCTTGATTATAGAAATGATTTCATGGGTATATACCTATGTCATAACATCAAATTGTACCCTATATATATATATACATTTTATTGACTTTCAACTATGTGGTAATAAAGTTATTAAATTTAAAAATCATAAAATCCTATTTGTTTATATATTTTTGCTTTGATTTAACAAATTTCATTTCTTCTATTTGTTCTATAAATAAGATGTTCAACCAATATCTAGAGTTATACTCATTTCACTGCAGCTACGCTTTTCTTAGAATAGTTATTTCTATTTTAGTTTTCAGAAAATCAAAAAAATGGAACACTAAATATTATGCATTTAAAATCCTTAAATATGGATTTAACTTAATATTTTTAAAATATTGGTAATTTTTCCAGGTTTCTTTTATGTAGTAATTTTACTTCATCTTCAATAGCTATTTTTGACTTACCAGTATACCCAACCACCACCTTATTTTGCTGTAAAACATTTCAAATATTGAATTCAGCTATTTGCCTTTTATAAATCTCACCATTGCAGGGCTAGCAATTTCCGGTTTGACAACAATGCCCAAAGCTCCTTGATGGCAGTATCTATGGTTTACTTGTCACATGGCCTTAATATCTACATAGTCCTACTGTGTAATCAGTATGTATTTGTTAAGTAAGTGAATAATTTAATATATATGGCCTTATAGTCACTGCATGATTCACAAAACTCTTTTAGGATATGGAGTAATAAACAATTACAGCAACTTAAAATATGGCACCTGTTAAAGGGCATCTACCAAATATGGTCTGACTGAAGCAACATCAGTAAAATACCCATTTATCCAAAGCAGCCTGAGATCTGAATGGATATATAATAGTTATACAATCTAAAAACTGGTCTTGTGATATGTGTTGGCGTTTTTTGTTTAGTTACTTCAGACATCATATTGTTTACTTAGCTTTTGCTACTTTCTGATTAAAGAAGAGTTTGTGATCTAGAAAAAATATTCCTTATATGAAGCTTCAAATTATTGGTTATAGTATATAGAATTTTATTTGTTTCAAGATAGAAACATCTAAAAATTTTTAAAACATTTACAAAATTTAAAGTTTCCATGTTGCAATGAAATTTACTGTTAACTAAGCAACATAGAAAATAAAGGTGCCCCCCAAAAGAGGATTATTTGTTCTTAATACTAACCGTGGCATTTTATCCATCTCCAGTGTCCTCAGCTCTTATTTGTGTAGCTGTCTTAGCATTTGAAATGAACACTTTGAAGTAGTGGAATACAAAAGTGAGGACTAAGGTGAAAGGTAAATTAGATGGAGCAGTTAGACTGTGGATTACTGTTACTCCCAGATGGGGAGCTGACTCGTACCCCATGCAAGCTTTCACAGGGTGTTGTTTCGATGGGCAGTGCCCTTGAGCTGCCCTATAACAGCAGTAAGAAAGAGGAGAGTTACGTCTAGCTTAGGCTTACAGGGATGAGCTGGAGTCTAGAGAACAGGACCCAAAGAAGTGGCTGTGATCACATTTCTTTTGGGGATTCTCTTTTTTTGTTGTTGTTTGACATTTCAGACATAGAATTATATTGCAAGTCCCAAGTTTATATCAATGAATGAGGAGATAAGAATTCACGAATGATGTTGAACAGAAAATGTATGAAAATGGAAATGATAATGTTGTGTTGATATCTTGTCAAAACTGAGCTTTAGTGCTTTGTTGTAAAGGTAGATTACTGGAGAAGTAATGAAATGAAATATTTATTATTCTGCCCAGAGAGAAAGATTTGAAATATTTTAACCCACCAAATTAAGACTTGTTATAGAAGAATAAAGCAATTCAGCCCAAACTATAGTACTGCAACCTCAACATTTGATTAAAACTTAGATCTGTGGTAGATGTAAAGATGATAATAAAGAGGGTAATGGTATATGAAAATATTTAAGCACAGCAATGAGCATAGCGATCCTAGAGAATACAGGAATATACAACAGAAATGAAGATATAATGTTTCTTGCAGCTTAGGAACTTGTCTCTTACATTGTCCATTTTATGTTCACTCAGTGATGGGTGCAGTATAGCAAGCAGCCAAGTTGAAAACAATGTAAACTTACATAGTAATGTGACAGAAGGGTCCATTTAAAAAGGGAAGAAACCTGAATTTGTCACAAACTATATGTCTGTATTTAGAAGAAATTGACACTTACAGAGAAAAATGTGCCACTATCACTTCTCTACCAGTTCAAAATGCAATTCATTTCATTTCATGGACAAGGCAACCAGAGGCTAAACAAAATAGCTTGTATTCATGTCCATGATAACATGTGAAATCTTCCTTAATACTTAATTCAATTCTTAATTTCCAAAATACATTTCTATGAGGAGGCATTAAATATAATTATATATAATCTATATGTACCTACATATTTAATTGCATATGAAATACTAATGTGTTAATTCTTTTGTTAATATTAATTCAAAGTGTAGACAGGACTGAATTCCTTTCTGGAGGTTCTGTGGGAGGATTCCTCTCCTTGTTCATGCAGGTGGTTAGCAGAATTCAGTATTTTTTTTTTTCTAATAGAACTGGGATCCTGTTTTCTTTCTGGCTGTCAGAGGGCTTTTACTGGCTTCTAAAGGCCACCTGCAATCCTTGGCTCATGGTCCAGTTCCTTCAGTGGAGCCAGCAGGTAAGTACCTCTCATATGTCCAATTGCTCTTTCTTTTCTCCCATCTCTCTGATCCACTCTTCTGCTTTCCTGTTTCACTTTTAAGGTCCGATGTGATTATGTTGGACCTGACTGGATAATCCAGAATAATCTTCCTATTTTAAGATCAACTCATTATCAACCTTAATTCTATCTCTAAAATAAATTCTTCATGCATATATGTATGTATATATGTAAGGGTTCGTGTACGTATGACCACTTGGTAAGGATTAAATGAGATGCTATGAGCAAAAATATTGAGTGTATAAAATGAGGATTCCAATCTTTCTTCATTGTACTGAAAAGGGTAACCAAACCTCTTTTGTATTTTTACTAAAGGCACTGAAAAATAGCTCAAGCCACAGCATAAAGTCCAGTGTTTTGACTTTCCATAAAATGTTTTTAATTTGGATGAATTGCTGAAAGTGTAAATGCTATCTCTTTTTCTGAATAACTTTAAACAGCTGGCAGAATGACATTTTGCCCCTTTGGAAATTTTAAATGTAAACTCTGTGTTTAGTATATTGTCGAAATATAATTCAGCATCATTTAAAAGCTTAAAATTCTGTTACTGTGATATTAATTATCTGTCATTTAATTTTTTTGTAATATTGCAGATTGTGTCTTTTTCTTCCTAGAACACAATTTTTAATTCACAAATAAAACAGACTACTAAATATGAGACTTCATGTATAGAAATATTGTCATTTCATTATTAAATCTACTCTAAAAAGGAAATACAGTTAAAGGAATTTTAAAATGCTTTCATTATTTTCCATTTATCTGAGAGTCTTCAATCTTCTTTCCTTAAGAAAGCTAAGCATTTGGATGGAGTAGCTAACTTCAGTCCATATTTAAGTTCAAGTCTGAAACTTATCAGGAAAATTCTTAGCAAAGATTTTTAGTTGTAACATATCAGGCAGACATTTGACATTTTGTAACCAATTTTTAAGCTTTGGGTGTTTTTGGTATTTCTCAAATCTCAATCAGTCTAACAACTCCTCCTTCTTTTTGTGTTCACATTGTTCTTTTTCTTTTCCTCCTCCAATTTCTTGTTGTTTTGTTGGTTTTCTGAGTTTAAGAGCTGTTTCCTGAATAAAGTCTGAAGCTTGACCACATTTTGTGTTATCTAAACATATCACAGAGAATATTTTATATTTGCATTTCTCTATCAAAATGAAAAAATGATGCAGTGACTGTCTTAATTTAATTCATGGTGATACACAATGTATTTGTAAATAAACATTTTTGAAATAATACAAATGAAGACATAATGTCATAGTACAATGGATGTATTCGAATACAATTAAATATGATGTTTAAAAATTGAACAAAGTGAATATTTGCTCATAATTGTGCTGGAAGTATTAAACATTAAATATGATGCTCTCGGGTAATTTGGTGGAAATATTTTTTTCAGATCTTCACAAACCACCTTATTAAGATAAATGATCATGCCAGGTCTTATATTTATGACAGTATAGATATTCCTGATGTAAGACAAACGAAATCCAACTAAAACTTTTTGGATTATTGGCAATAATGTTGTACTCAGTTTTAGGGTTAAAAAATAAAAGTTAAAAAGTTCATAACATTGCTTCAGACTATTATAAAGATTTCTCAAAGAGAAGTTCATACAATTTATTGTTATTTTAAACATTGCTATTTATAAGTTATGATGTAATTAAGCAATTGTAATGAATTAGCTGCAGCATGATCAATTTAACATTTTGATAAACGGTAGTAGAACATTTTGGAATGACATCTATAGAATTACAAATTCAGTGGCATAGAATCATAGAATAGCCTATGGTGTTTTTAAAAGTCCAACCAACATTTTTTAAAAGAAAGCTGAATATTTCACTTTATTTTCCCAAACTTCTGTCATCAGATGCTAGTTACCTTCAGTCATATACTTTTTCATCTTCTACTTTGAATCACTTTTAACTCTCTTAATTTTCCAGGATATAATGTAATTGCAGGATGGTTGGAATAATGTCGTTGACCTTGCTACAGTGGTTATTTTATTTTTCAGGACAGATAAGATACTCTTGTGCTATTACTATAACATAGTTGATTCTAAGTCACTTTTATTTCATATTTCAGTATGTTTGAAATTAGGAGGTATATTACAAGGACTGTAAAGCAGGTGAATGCCATGATGTTGTAGCTGTCATTTTTTTGTGCATGTGCCTCAAAGCTTACAGAACGGGGATTAGTAACTTGGAAGAAAATTCTGGCAATAACACTAGAGCTGTACTTAAGAGAAACACAAAGAATGACATTATGTAGACAAACAAAAATTTTGAACCTCCAAGTTAAAAAGTAAATCAGGAGTGTCAGATTTTGAATGTGAAGAAATTTTAGAAATATTTTAATTTTTGTCTTGTGCCTATGTTTGATATACAGCTTCCACTTGGAAATAACTATAATTCACCGAATTTTATTTTTTATTGTATGTTCTTTTTCTTTCTTAGAGATGCAGTCTCACTCTGTCGGCCAGACTGCAGTGCAGTGGCACCATCTTGGGTCACTGCAACCTCTGCCTCCCAGGTTCAAGTGATTCTCCTGCCTCAGCCTCCCGAGTAGCTGGGACTACAGGTGCGTGCCATCACGCTCGGCTAATTATTTGTATTTTTAGTAGAGACGGGGTTTCACTGTGTTAGCCAGGATGGTCTTAATCTCCTGACCTCATGATCTGCCCACCTTGGCCTCCCAAAGTGCTAGGATTACAGGCGTGAGCCACGGAATCCGGCCAATTCACTGAATTTTAAAGTGTGAAGTGCCTTGGCTTTTTAAGGTTTTATAATTGATCATAATAATTGTACATATTTATGGGGTATATAGTGATGTTGTGATACATACAATGTATAGTGATCAGATCAGGGTTGTTACCATATCTATCATTCAAATACGTATTATTTCTTTGTGTTGGAAACATTCAATATCCTCCTTCTACCTATTTGAAACTATATTATCAACTATAGTCATTCTATATTGCTATAGAAGAATATAATTTATTTTTCCTATCTAGCTGTAATTTTGTATCCCTTAACAAATCTCTCCCCGTCTCCCCTTTTCCCCTATCCTCCCTGGCCTCTCATATCCTCCATTCTACTTTTGACTTCCATGAGATCAACTTTTTTTAGCTTCCACATATGAGTGAGAACATGCATTGTTTAGCTTTCTCTTTCTGGCTTATTTCATTCAACATAATGCCCTCCAGTTCCATCCATGTTGCCATGAATGATATGATTTAATCTTTTGTATGGCTGAATAGTATTCAATTTTGTATTTATGACACAGTTTCTTTCTTTATTCATCTGTTGTTGGACACCTAGGTTGATTCCATATCTTGGCTATTGTGAATAGTGCTTCAATGCACATGAGAGTGCAAATGTCTCTTTGATATACTGATTTCCTTTCCTTTGGATAAATGCCCTGTAATGGGAGTGCTGGATCATATGGTAGTTCTATATGTAGTTTTTTTGAGAAACCCCCATACTCCTCTCCATAGTAACTGTGCTAGTTTATATTCCCACCAACAGGGTGAAAGAGTTCTCTTTTCTCTGCATCTTCACCAGCATTTGTTATGTTTTATATTGTTAACAGGCATTCTAACTGGGGTAACATAATACCTCATTGTGGTTTTGATTTGCATTTCCCTGATAATTAGTAATGGGCATTTTTTTCACTCATTTCTTGGACACTTGTATATATTCTTTTGATATTTGTCGTTTTTTTTTTTTTGTTTTTTTTTGTTTTTTTTTTTTACCCCGAGACAGAGTCTCACTCTGTTGCCAAGGCCGGAGTGCAATGGCATGATCTCAGCTCACTGCAATCTCCTCCTCCCAGGTTCAAGCGATTCTTGTGTCTCAGCCTCCTTAGTAGCTGGGATTACAGGGGTGTGCCACCATACCCGGCTAATTTTTGTATTTTTAGTAGAAATGGGGTTTCACCATGTTGGCCAGGCTGGTCTAGAACCCCTGACCTCAAGTGATTTGCCAGCCTCAGCCTCCCAAAGTGTTGGGATTACACGTGTTAGTCACCACCCCTGGCCTGCCCATTTTTAAAATAAATAGTTTCTCCTTTCCCTTTCCCTTTCATTTCCTTTCCTTTCCTTCTCTCCCTCCCTCCCTCCCTCCCTTCCATTCTTCCTCCTTCCTCCTTCCTTCCTTCTTTATTTTCTGTTGAGATGGTCAAATTTCTTGTATATTCTGCATATTAATCACGTGTTGGATGAATTGTTTGCATATATTTTCTTCCATTCTGTTGGCTTTCTTTTCACTCTTTTGATTATTTCACTTGCTGTGCAGAAGCTTTTAGGTTTGATGTAATCCCATTTGTTTATTTTTGCTTTTGTTGCCTATGCTTTTGAGGTCTTATTCATATAATCTTTTCCCATACCAATGTCTGAAAATGTTTTCCCTGTATTTCCTTCTGGTAGCTTAATAGTCTTGGGTCTTACCTTTAATTCATTTTGAGTTAATTTTTGTGTAGGGTGAGATGTCCAGTTTTTTCCCAGATCATTTATTGAAGAGTCTCTCCTTTCCCCCAATATATGTTCTTGGTGCCTTTGTCAAAAATCAGTTGGCTGTAGATGTATGAATTTATTTCTGCATTCTCTATTCTGTTCCATCGGTGTGCATGACCATTTTTATGCCAGCACTATGATGTTTCTGTTACTAGAGTTTTGTAGTATATGTCAAAGTCTGATAGTGTTATGACCCCAGGTTTGTTTTTTCATTTAAGATTGTTTTGACTATTCAGGGCCTTTTGTGGTAACATACAAATTTTAGAATTTTTTTTTTATTTTTCTATAAAGAATATCATTGTTATTTTGATAAGGATTGCATTGAATCTATAGATTGCTTGGCTAGTGTGGTTATTTTAACAATATTAATTCTTTTGATTAATGAGCATGGGATTTTTTTCATTTATTTGTATCTTCAATTACTTTCATAAGATTTTTTTGGTTTATTTTGTAGCGGTTTTTCACCTCCTTGGTTAAATTTATTTCTAGGTATTTTTTTGTAGCTATTGTAAGTGAGATTGACTTCTTAATTTCTTTTTCAGGTAGTTTGTGGTTTGGGTAGAGGAACACTATTGATTTTTTATGTTAATGTTGTATCCTGCAGCTTTACTGCATTTTGTCTATCAGTTTTGATGGTTTATTGGTGGAGACCTTAGGTTTTTCTATATGTAAGATCATGTCATCAGCAAATAGGAACAATTTGAGCTTTTTGCTTTCCCATTTAAATTCCCTTCATTTTCTTGTTTTGCTTAATTTCTCTAGCTAGGACTTCCAGTACTGTGTTGAATAAGAGTGGTGAGAGTGGGCATCCTTGTCTTCTTTCAGTTCTCAGAACTAAAAGCTTTTCCCAGTTCAGTATATTAGCTGTGACTTTGTCACATATAACCTTTATTGTGTCAAGGTACTTTCCCTCTATACCTAATTTATTGACAGTTTGTATCATAAAGGGATATTAAATTTTATCAAATGCTTTCTTCTCTATCTATTGAGAAGATCATATGGTTTTTGTTCTTCATTCTGTGATGTGATGTATTATGTTTATTGATTTGTGTGGGTTAAGTCATACTTGTGTTTCTGACATATATCCCACTTGATCACAGTGTACTAACTTTTGATGTGCTGTTGGATTCAGTATGTTAGTATCTTATTAAGGATTTTTGCATCTATGTTAATCAGGGATATTGGCCTACAGTTTCCTTGTGTGTGTTTTCTTTGTCTGGATTTGCTATCAGGATAATACTGGCCTCATAAAATAAGTTATAAAAATACCTTCACCTTCAATGTTTTGGAATAGTTTAAGAAAAAATGGCATTAATTTTTCTTTTAAGGTTCAGTAGAATTCAGTGGTGAAGCCATCTGCTTCTGGACATTTAATTGTTGAGAAACTTATATTGCTGATTCAATCTCATTACTTGTTATTATTCTGTTGACGTTTTCTATTTCTTTTTGTTCATTCTTGGTAAGTGATATGTTTTCAGGAATTTACTCATTTCCTCTAAGTTGTCAAATTTGTTTCCTTATAGCTGTTCATAGCAGTCTCGAATGATCCTTTGTAATCCTGGGGTATCCATTATGATGACTCCTTTTCTGTTTCCCATTTTATTTATTGGAACCTTCTCTCTTATTCTTAGTGACAGTTTGTTGATTTTGTCTATTTTTTATTCATCTTCTTGTTTTGTTAATCTTTAATATATGTTTTTGTCTCAATTACATTTCTTTCTGCTCTGATCTTTATGATTTCATTCTATTAATTTTGGGATTGGCTTTTCCTTGCTCTTCTAGTTCGTTAAGATGCATTGTTATGTTGCTCATTTGAAATCTTTCTAGATTTTTGATGTAGGCACATATTGCTATAAAATTCCCTCTTAATACTGCTTATGCAATAACCCATAGGTTTTGGTATTTTGTGTTTCTACTTGTTTCAAGGAATTTTTTGAACTTCAATTTCTTTTACCAGTTGGTCATTCAGGAGCATGTTGTTTAACTTCCATGCATTCGTATAGTTTCAAACGTTTCTTTTGTTACTAATTTTTTGTTTAATTCCATTATTTTTGAGATGTGTTTTGCCCATCTCTCTCATAACCTGGGAAGTTCACAGCAATTTAATTAAATATTTTTCTACAATTTTCTCCCTTCTCTTCTTCTGGAATGCTCATAATGTGAACATTTATTTATTTAATAATATCCCACAAATTCTTTAGGTTTTCTTTATTAATTTTTATTATTCTCTTATTCTTTTTTACTTTTTAAATTGTTTGTCAGCTTGTGTTATTTCAAATGATCTTTCCTGAAGTTCAGGAATTCTTTTTTCTGCTTGGTCTATGTTATGAAACTATTTTTTTTTTTATTTCATTCATTGAATTCTTCAGCTGTTAGATATTACAAAAAAAGAACCAAACAGAAATCCTATTTCTTTGTTGAATTTTTCATTCAAATCATGAATTATATTACTGATTTCATTCAATTATCTATCTGTATTCTCTTCTACCTAACTGAATTTCATTAAGATTATTATTTTAAATTCTTTTTCTGGCATTTTGTATATTTTCTCATTATTGATGTCTGTTGCTGGATAATAATTGTGTTCCTTTGGAGTTGTCACATTTCCTTGCTTTTTCAGGTTTGATGTGTCCTTACACTGATTTCTAAACATCTGGTGTAACAGTCATCTCTTCTAGTTTTATGAAGTAGGTTTCGTAGGGAAATACATTTCTAAGAATGGCTCTTGGAGTGCCAGTTTGCTGGGGTGCATTGGCTTTGGTTATAAGTGGATGAAGTAGTATCGTCTCTATGTCATTTCTTCAGCTGTCATCTATGCTAGTGATGTTTGCAAGTATCTCAAAGACATAGGCTATAGTGGCCATGGTGTGGCTTTGCTGTGGGTAGGTTCATCAGGCGGTTTTTCAGGTCAGAGGCATGTACCTGCCCCAGGTCGACCGACTTGGGGCTGCTATTAGGGCTATAGGTCTGTTCCTCTGGCTAAGATCACATACACATGGTTGCTTGAATGGTCTGGGGCATACCTGCCAGGGACAGCCCACGGGGATGTTTCTCAGACCCAGGACATGGGCACATAGCTGCTTACCCGGCCTGGGAGTGTGTCTGCTGGGGTGGCCCATATGGATGTTTCTCAGGAGCAGGAGGTGGGTGCAGTACTACTCAGTTGGCCTGGAGGCTGACAAGCCAGGGGCAGCTCTAGGGCTGTTTCTTGGGCCCAGCAGACACACAGCTGCTTGACTGGCTGTGGGCTTGCCTTCCAGGGGCAGCTTGTGGAGCTGTTTCTCACTCCAAGGTTGTGGGTGCACAGATGCTTGGTTGGCCTGGGGTGGTCAGCCAAGGGGGCCTGCACAGCTGTTTCTCAAGCCCTAAAGCAGGTACAGGGCCACTGGGCAGGCCAGGGGCTTATCTGTAGTGGGATGGGTACCATGGGGCTGTTTCTTAGGCCCTGGGTAAAAGTACGTTGCCACTCCACCAGCTGAGGACCATGTCAGCTGCTCAGATACTTGAGGGCCTCCACCACATAGAGGAGAGTATGAAGTGGTTTGGTTGCTAAGGGCAGTTTCACAATGGGCAGGACTACCAGACTGTTCCTCTGGCTGGAAGTAAGGGGAATAGTAGTTGGTTTCCCTACTATGCACAACTCAAAGTCACAGCTGATCCTGGGCCCAAGCTCTGCAGTGCTGAGGTTGTGGCATTCGACTACCAATGTGGGCTTGGCATAATGAAGATGGTGCCCCAGTGCTGGGAAGGTGCAGTGGCTCCTGCCCCCACCCCAAGGAGGGCACACTTTTTTCTCCCAACAGGAAGTAACTCATGATGCCAGGCAAATTCAATCCATGTGGGGAAGATGGTACTGCAGAGGCTGCATGTCCTCCTGAACTTCCAGTCACCAGAGGTGCCTCTCCACTCCCCAAATACATTCTAACAATCCCCCTTTGATACTGCAGATAAATCTTTCCTGTTTATTCATTACCTTGGTCCTTTCTTGTTGGGGGATAGATGTCAGGTGTCTCTAGGTGTCATTTTGCTGACATTTTCCTTTATCGGTATGCATAGTTTTGACACGATTAAAATGTCAACATAAGACTTGATGATCTTGATTTCAAAATATATTATTTTGTTATATGTTATATATATGGCATAAAAATTAAATGTTATAATTATATATGTTATAAGAAATGTTATGATTTAATTGACAACGATTTTAAAATAGTACATAAAATAAATTTTGACTCAATGGTTATAACAGTTTGGTCAGAAAATTTAAGGGAAGGTCCACACTGTTCCTCATTTATGAAAGTTTTGTGAAGTGACATTTATCTATTCAAAAATTGAATATCCCATATAGAGTTAGCAAATACATTGTTTTGCTTTATTTCTCCTGTAGTCTTCTTACTCCCTAACAAGGAGTAAATTTAAAACTTTAGGTAACTATTTACAAGGCAATTTACGAATGCTTTTGACATTGAAATTGAACTACAAGGTTATTTTAAAACTACCCTCTCTGTAAGAATAAATTAGACTACAGAGAGGAAAAGGTTAATGAGACAAATGTAAGATGCATTTAAACTTCGATTTCACTTGTCAGTTCATTTGTTCCATCTCATCAGACCTGCTGGTATGACAATTTTGAAATTCTCATTTTGATGGAGAAAAAGTTACAAAGGAGTAATAACAAATTTCTTTACACAGAAATAAAACATATTTTCCTGATGTCATGATATTCAAGAATTCAGTGAAAATGTGCAGAAATTACAAAGAGAAATAAAATGCATATCTTTTTGTAGTGACCCATATATAAATCACATATCTCAAACTGGTCTAACATAAAATCAGTTTTCGTGTTTTCATTGTATTTCAAATTAAAGAAAAAACAAACAGCTACCCTAGTTTTCAATTGTGTAATGTAAAGTAGCAACAGAAATTCTCTGGAATAAAAAAAAAAAAAAGAAAGAAAAGAAAAATCTGGAGGAATAAATAGCAACCAACATCCAAACCCAAAAAGCAGCAGATAAACTGGCATTTCAATTATCCATGTATTACACATCTTTTTTCTTCATTGTACATCACCAATAGCTGTGAGGCTGGAGTACTCCTAAGTTTGGTTTTGACAGTAGCTCATCAACTCTTCCAGTGTAAAAATATGCTTATTTGCTGAAGTTTCACTGTTGTTTTTATTTGTTTAAAAGAAATGTTATGTATGCATTATGAAGTACCTGCAGGTGTAATTTCCTTATGTGGTTGCAGAGGTTGCCAAAACGGAAGACAATGAACAACTCATTATCTATTGGAGTAGGTGAAAAATTGATAAGCTTTCAATCAACATGTCTCACTATATTTCTTGCAACAGTATGCTTACTTCCAAGCAGAGTATAGGAAAAAATCTTCAGAACACGGTAACCTTAGAACAAATCCAATTTACCACATTAGCTGAAAGAGACACCAGGACTACAATATCCAGAAAGGAAGTACTTAAAATTACTTGAGGCATATACATATGACTTACAGTTTCATAGCTGATTATAGGCAGTGACACCTACACCATATTTACTTGTATACATACAGCACATTACCATATGCTGCTCTGGATACCTGGAGAAGGCAGAGTAAGAGAGAAGCTTCTGGTTTTAGTTAATATGGATAATAGTAACAGTTACATTAATTTTCAATTTCAGTAAACTTAATCCAGGATTCAGACACTCAAGAAATACTTTTTTTTTTTTTTTTTTTTTGAGACGGAGTCTTGCTCTGTTGCCCAGGCTGGAGTGCAGTGGCGCCATCTCAGCTCACTGCAAGCTCCGCCCCCCGAGTTCACGCCATTCTACTGCCTCAGCCTCCCGAGTAGCGGGGACTACAGGCACCCGCCACCACGCCTGGCTAATTTTTTTGTATTTTTAGTAGCGACGGGGTTTCACCGTGTTAGCCAAGATAGTCTTGATCTCTTGACCTCATGATCCGCCCGCCTCGGCCTCCCAAAGTGCTGGGATTACAGGCGTGAGCCACCATGCCCAGCCAATAAATCCTTTTTAAATGTATTATACATGCTAAGTTTTAAGATATACATTTATTTTAGAAATATGTTCTATTTTCAGTTTTTTTCAATATTCTACTACTTTATGAGTACTTCTTAAATTAGATCATCATAGAGCATTTTTAAGAAGAAAAAAAGAACTCCCCTAGAAACAATGTCCTTCTCTTAATTTTTTAGGATAAATTTATATATGCAAATTTGACTCATAACATAATTTTGAATCAAAATAGCTCATTATATCTGCTGTCCAAAATGTATGTAGTGAATTACTAGAGTTACAGTCATAGCTTAGAATGGGAACAGATCAGATCAGGGGTTTAATAGAATTAAGGACAGCTCAGTCAATGTCTTTAAAGTATTTATGAGAATTTCTCTTGAGCCCTTAATTGTTCAATTTTAAACTGCCTTCAGCATTTAGCTAGGGCATTTACAACTGGGAGTATGCCTTGGAAAACAGTTTTGCTCCAGGCTTAGAAGTAGCTAGGAATAGTCACAGCAGCGAAATCTGTGTTGGAACTGTATGGGCATTTCTAGGATACCATTGCTTATAGCCATTGTCTCATTTTTTTTTCTGTTTACCTTCAACTGATGAATATTAAAAAATTATCCATTGCATCAAAAGCTTTGCATTAGAACTTAAAACTATTTATAAACAAAACATATAACTCAAGAAGTTTTCAAAATCTTTTATTGTACAGCTGTCCTTGCACTTACTAGCACCATCCCAATATCCTGAGGCCTACCTTGGTAAATCACCTTCCAATATCTCCCAATGTCATGCTGTGCCCTTTTCCTTCTGTTCTCTTATTGACACTTTAACAAGTATTCTTGAGAACCTACTAAATGCCAGGTATTGTGTGTATAGCTTATAATACAAATATAAATAAAACAAGATCATCAGTCTTGGGGAAGAGAGAACTTCATAGGCTGGTGGTTACGATATATTATATTTAGAACAATGACCTTGATATATACAAAAATAAAATGAAAGTACAAAAGAAGAGTAGCAAGAATGACTTGAACAGTCAGGGAAGGTTTCTTTGAAAAGGCTACATGTGAACTTACTCTGATGGATGATTTTCCAAGGCAAAAGAAGAAAGAAAATTTCAGATATTATATAAATAGGCACAGAGAATACATAGCATGTCTGTAGAATGCTAGACACTTTCAAAAGTGGAAATAGGAGGTGGTGGAATGCCAAATGAAACTCCTGACCCCACTTTCCTGCCTCTGACTGCTACGCTGTCAAGGCTTTCCATTGGTTATTTCCAATTAGTACCAAAGGTTATGGGAGCCCTGTCCACACAGGCAAGGCTCCTAGGGTCAACAGGCAGTGAGGAGGGATGCAAAACCAATGTTAATAGCAATAGGGTTCTGTTAACTATTGAATGGAAATGGTGAAAATGGAAGACAAATGACAGTCTACCTCTTTGTCCTTCAGCTCCTATTCTTGTCTTTCTTCCCCATGTTCCCCAAAGAAGGAATGAACAAAATACCCTCAGCTTTCCTATCAGGTTGGCATATCATGGTATCAATTCAGTCACACTCGTACTTCAAACCTAAAATGTTAGCTAATGTTTTTGTTCCTTTTTTTTTTAAAGATATCAAGAAAAAATGAGGAGAAAATTGATAACATATATTTATTTTTTTTACTTCTTGTCTCTGTAGCTGACCATAGGCAAGCCTCAGTAGGAATCATACCTGTCTTTGTCCTCCAATTCTATGTCCCTTTTACTCTCTACCAGTATCCCAAATGGATGGATTTATTTACTGGTGGGATTATGCAATTTTTAATTCTCACAAAATCTAAGTGCTTTGTGATCTTGCCTTTATTTTTATTTTTTTTCCATTGACCTAATTGTTACACAATGAAGTACTAAAACTTCAGTAAACCCAGTAACCCCCTTCAATTCTGTGTTTTTCTTGCTTACATTCTATAGAAGCAACTCATTTTCACTATGTAATTGAGCTCAACCAGGCTAACAATATAATGAACTCTTTCTCTCCCTGTTCAGCAGCTTGCAGCATCAAAAATGATTATGGAGAAGTCTCAGCTTCCAATTTAATCAAACAAGTACTGTGTTCTACCACGAACACTAAAACCTCTAAGTGCATATAGTATAAGATTATGAGATGGAAGCAAAAACTCCTTGTCTTAGTTTGCTTGGGCTGTCATAAAAATAAATACCAAGACTGGGTGGCTTCAACAACAGAAATTTATTTTCTCACAGTTATGAAAGCTGGATGTCTAAGATCAGGATACCAGCATTGTTGGGTTCTGGTGAGGACTCTCTTTCTGGCTTGCACAAAGCTGACCTCTTGCTTTGTGCTCACATGGCCTTTCCTCAGTGTGTGTGTGTGTGTGTGTGTGTGTGTGTGTGTGTGGTGTAAACAGAGAGCGATATCTTTCTCTTTGTCTTCCTACAAAACCACCAATCATATCAAATTAGAACCCCACCCTATGCACTCACTTAACATTAATTACCTCCTAAAACCCTATCTCCAAATACAGTCACATTAGGGGTTAGGGCTTCAAAATATGAATTTTGGGGGGACACAAGTCATAGTGCCCCTTAATATAGTTATTGTATATAATAGTGAGATAGAGACTGCTTTACCTCTGCTCATTAATTCCTAAATTCATGAATTATGAGGAAGGAGACACCATATCTTGGTCCTTGATTTCATGCATATGTAGGAAAGCTCCATAGTATTTCAGGGCATTATCTCTCAAGTGGTACCTTAACTGAGCCTTCAGCAGGCCATTCCAATGTTCTATCTAGCTACATGCTACTGAAGGTAAAGCATATTTAACGTGAAAGTATATATTTTTTATGAGGACAAATTGCTCTCTCCTTCATTATGGAAAGATTAACACTTCCATCTGATGGCTGCGTGGTCAGCCAGGAAACCAGTTCTATTTCAGAGGCTCAATATTGGTCTGTGCTGTTGGCAGATTGGGCAATAAGCGGTGGTGGTATTCCAACCAGCCATTTTAAGAAGTCTATATGGTTGAACTAAATGCATAGCCACCATCTTTACCAATTTGTAAATGTGCCTATTGAGCAAGCAAGGGGCTAGGGAATGAAAGGAGAAAACTGGCTGGTGGCCGGGCGCGGTGGCTCACGCCTGTAGTCCCAGCACTTTGGGAGGCCGAGGCGGGCGGATCACGAGGTCAGGAGATCGAGACCATCCCGGCTAAAACGGTGAAACCCCGTCTCTACTAAAAATACAAAAAATTAGCCGGGCGTAGTGGCGGGCGCCTGTAGTCCCAGCTACTAGGGAGGCTGAGGCAGGAGAATGGTGTGAACCCGGGAGGCGGAGCTTGCAGTGAGCCGAGATCGCGCCACTGCACTCCAGCCTGGGCGACAGAGCGAGACTCCGTCTCAAAAAAAAAAAAAAAAAAAAAAAAAAAAAAAAAAAAACTGGCTGGCATCCAGAGGAAGGGCTGTGACATCAAACGAATTACTGAAAAGTTCCCCTGCAATAGACATTTCATGAGACTATTTTCATGGGAATATCTTCACATTCTGTTGATTCAGAAAGGTTCATTCACATTTTCATAATTTCAACCTCCTTGTTACAATTCTTCTAGTCCTGTTCTTTTTAGGCAATCTGTCTTAGTCTGTTTGATATGCTATAATAAAATACTATGGACTGTATAGCTTTTAAACAACAGAAAATTATTTTATACAGTCCAGAGGCTAAGAGGTCCAATCTGCACTAACAGATTTGTTGTCAAGTGAGGGCCTGTTCCTCCTAAATGGCACCTTCTAGCTGTGTTCTCACATAGTGGAAGGGTCAAGACAGCTGCCTGAGGCCTCTTTTACAAGGGCACTAATGCCATTCATGAGGGCTCTGCCCTCATTATCTAATCACCTCCTGTCTTAGTTCATTTTGTGCTGCTCTAACAGAATACCTGAAACTGGGTAATTTACAAGGAATAGAAATTTATTTCTCACAGTTCTGGAGGCCAGAAAGTTGATGATCAATATGCCAGCATCTGGTGCCTGATGAGGGCCTTCTTGTTGCATCTTCACATGATGGATGATAGAGGGGTGAGCAGCAAGCTAGTCAAACATTGAATGAAGTCTTTTCCTTAATCCCATTAATGAGGGAGAAGCCCTCATTAATTAGTATGGCCTAATCGCCTCTTAAAAGCCCTACCTCTTACCATCACATTGGCAACACCTGAATTTTGGAGGAGAAATATTCAAAACATAGCACCTCTCGAAGGTCCCACCTCCTAATGCCATCAGATTGGCGATTAGGTTTTCAACATAGAAAAAATTATTCGTTCACCACTGGCTTCTTCCTTCGCTTCCCTTCCCTCCCCTTCTTTTCCTTTACTCCTAAATAAAGATGTAGGAATACAGAACACATTCCAGGGAAGTCTGAGCCATCTGGTTATAAAACTATACTTTACAGACATGCTTGACACAGCATGAAATGCTGTCATGCACATTCACTTTTTTGATTCTTTACATTAAATAGCCTCCTTTTTAATGGGAAGTTCAAGTCACATAGTAACGTGATGCCCCATGTTCAAGTGTTCAGACTCAATCAGGTAGAATAAATCTAAAGTCTACTTTTGAAATGGAGAATTGTTGTTGCCATAAGAGAATCCCCCGTGGGAATCTGTCAGAAGATCCATTCAGTATTTTAATCTGCTACAGATATGTTCTATTTTATTTGGTTTGCTGAGTATGAGGTCCAAGTGGAGGGCTAACTTGTATGGCAGGTTTAGAGTAGTACAGACCTTTTATTTCTTTGTGTCCAATTTAAAACTGTCTTTTAGGTTACATAGCAAAATATTTGAAGCTGCATACTTAGATGTGATGTGTATTATCTCCAACATTCAGAGTTTCTTCAAGTATGTGTCACTTGTTTTGTGGGCTGTAAATGGCTCCACAACTTATCTCTTATTTTTCAGGGGCTCTTTTAACATGGCCAAAAGCACTGTGTTCCCAGAAATCGCACTGATTTGGCAGGTGGTGTTTGGAGTTAATTTCCCAGCATCTACCAATCATGTGTTTAAGTCGATTAGAACTTTTTTCTGTGTCCTGCCTGGCATATCCTGCTAGCATAATATCATCAAAATAATAAAGCCAAATGTGATATTTCATATAATCACAAAAATATCAAGATTTTGCTTGTCTATTATGACATTAGGCAGGAAATCAGAAAAAAAATCCTCATGTAAGATAGTAAAAATGTACTTTTGCCCTTGCTATAAAAAATAAAATAGCTTCTAATTATGTTTACTAATAGAAATTAAAGAGAAAAATGCTCTATCAAAAGCTGCAGAGCAAGATAGCTGAATAGAACTCTCCAGGAATTTCCCCCCACGCACACAAAGGAACACCAAATTGAACAACTATCCACACAAAAATACTTTCATAGAACCAAAAATTAGGTTGAGCAATCACAGTAGCTGGTTTTAATCTTATATCAAAGAAAGAGGCATCGAAGAAGGTAGAGAAGGCAGTCTTAAATTGCCTATGCCACCCCTCCTCCATCCACTAGCTGCAGCCATGTGTATTGAGAGAGGATCTCAGTGGATAAGGTAGGAAGAGCAAAGTGATTGTGGGACTTTGCATTGGAACTCAGTGGTGCTCTGTCATAGTGAAAAGCAAAACAGGCCAGAATTCCACTGACATCCATTTGGTAGGAGCATTTAAACGAGACTCTGCCAGAGGAGAATCGTCCATACCAAAATTGGGACCTGAGATCTGCAAAGCCTTGTTACCAAGGGCTAAAGTGCTCTGAGGTCCTAAAGGAACTTGAAAGGCAGGGTAGTCCACAAGGCCTGCAATTTCTTGGCAAACCCAGGTGCTGTGCTGGGCTCAGAGCCAGTGGACTTGGCATGCACATGACCCAGTGAAACATGAGCTAGGGCATACAAAGGAGTGCTTAGCTCCTGGTTAACATTTATAGACTCACCATGGGCTAGAAGGGAACCCATTGCCCTAAAGAGAAAGACTCAATTCTTGCAGAATTCATCATCTGCTGACTAAAGAACACTTGGGTCTTGAAAAAGCATCAGCAGTAGCCAGAAAATAGTCACCATAGACTTTGGGCAAGACCAAGTACTGTGCTGGATTCAGGTGTGACCCAGCACAGTTCCAGTGGTGGTGGCCGCAGGAGTGCTTGCATCACCCCTTCTCTAACTCCAGGCAGCTCAGCACAGAGACATGCTGTTTGCTTGGGGAAAAGTAAAGTGTGAGAACAAGAGTCCCTGCCTCTTAATCCAAGGAATTTTCCCTGATCTTACCCAAAACCACCAAGGCAATGCCTCTATGAGTCTGCTAGAGTCATAGTGTTACTGAGATTGAAGTGCCTCCTAATGCACATACGGCTGCTGTGACCAAATACTTAGGTCACAATACTCAATTTCGTTGGACAGGTACAAACAAGCCCAGACTGTGAAGATTAGAATACCTAACTCTTTGATACCCAGACACTGACTAACATCCAAGAGCATCAAGACCACCCAGGAAAACATTACCTCAACCAAATGAACTAAATAAGGCAAGAGTGACCAATTACAGAGTGACAGATATAACTGAACTTTCACATAGAAATTTCAAAATAGCTGTTTGAAGCAAGTTCAATAAAATCCAAGATAACACAGAGAGGGAATTCAGAATCCTGTCAGAGAAATATAACAAAGACATTCAAATAACTTAAAAGAATCAGGGAGAAATTTTGGAGGTAAAAAATTCAACTGACAAACTAAGAATGCATCAGAGTCTTTTAACAGCAGAATTGATCAACAAGAAAAAAGAATTAGTGAGCCTGAAGAAGGCTACTTGAAAATACACAGTCAGAAGAGACAAAAGCAAAAAGAACAAAAAACAATGAAGCATACTTACAGATCTAGAAAATACCCTCAATTCTAAGAGTTATTGGCCTTAAAGAGGAAGTAGAGAATGAGAAAGAGGTAGAAAGTTTATTCAAAGGGATAACAGAGAAATTCCCACACTTAGAGCAAGATACCAGTATCCAAGTGTAAGAAGGTCCTAGAACATCAAGCAGATTAAACCCATAGAACACATCCTCAAAGCATTCAATAATCAAACTCCTAAGGGTCAAGGATAAAGAAAGGATCTTAAGAACAGCAACAGAAAAAACAAAACAAAACAAACAAACCAACAAAAAAACGCAAACATACACTGAAGCTCCAATACATCTGGCAGCAGACTTCTCAGTGGAAACCTTGCAGGTCAGGAGAGAATGGGATGATATCAAGTGCTCAAAGAAAAAAAGCTCTCCTCAGCAAATGTAAAAGAACAGAAATTATAACAAACTGTCTCTCAGACCACAGTGCAATCAAACTAGAACTCAGGATTAAGAAACACTCAAAACTGCTCAACTACATGGAAACTGAACAACCTGCTCCTGAATGACTACTGGGTACGTAACGAAATGAAGGCAGAAATAAAGATGTTCTTTGAAACCAACGAGAACAAAGACACACCATACCAGAATCTCTGGGACACATTCAAAGCAGTGTGTAGAGGGAAATTTATAGCACTAAATGCCCACAACAGAAAGCAAGAAAGATCCAAAATTGACACTCTAACATCACAATTAAAAGAACTAGAAAAGCAAGAGCAAACACATTCAAAAGCTAGCAGAAGGCAAGAAATAACTAAAATCAGAGCAGAACTGAAGGAAATAGAGACACAAAAAACCCTTCAAAAAATTAATGAATCCAGGAGCTGGTTTTTTGAAAGGATCAACAAAATTGATAGACTGCTAGCAAGACTAATAAAGAAAAAAAGAGAGAAGAATCAAATAGACGCAATAAAAAAAATGATAAAGGGGATATCACCACCGATCCCACAGAAATACAAACTACCATCAGAGAATACTACAAACACCTCTACACAAATAAACTAGAAAATCTACAACAAATGGATAAATTCCTCGACACATACACCCTCCCAACACTGAACCAGGAAGAAGTTGAATCTCTGAATAGACCAATAACAGGCTCTGAAATTGTGGCAATAATCAATAGCTTACCAACCAAAAAGAGTCCAGGACCAGATGGATTCACAGCCGAATTCTACCAGAGGTACAAGGAGGAACTGGTGCCATTCCTTCTGAAACTATTCCAATCAATAGAAAAAGAGGGAATCCTCCCTAACTCATTTTATGAGGCCAGCATCATCCTCATACCAAAGCCTGGCAGAGACACAACCAAAAAAGAGAATTTTAGACCAATATCCTTTATGAATATTGATGCAAAAATCCTCAAGAAAATACTGGCAAACGGAATCCAGCAGCACATCAAAAAGTTTATCCACCATGATCAAGTGGGCCTCATCCCTGGGATGCAAGGCTGGTTCAATATATGCAAATCAATAAATGTAATCCAGCCTATAAACAGAACCAAAGACAAAAACCACATGATTATCTCAATAGATGCAGAAAAGGCTCTGACAAAATTCAACAACCCTTCATGCTAAAAACTCTCAATAATTAGGTATCGATGGGACGTAACTCAAAATAATAAGAGCTATCTATGACAAACCCACAGCCAATTTCATACTGAATGGGCAAAAACTGGAAGCATTCCCTTTGAAAACTGGCACAACACAGGGATGCCCTCTCTCACCACTCCTATTCAACATAGTGTTGGAAGTTCTGGCCAGGGCAATTAGGCAGGAGAAGGAAATAAAGGGTATTCAATTAGGAAAAGAGGAAGTCAAATTGTCCCTGTTTGCAGATGACATGATTGTATATCTAGAAAACCCCATTGTCTCAGCCCAAAATCTCCTTACGCTGATAAGCAACTTCAGCAAAGTCTCAGGATACAAAATCAATGTACAAAAATCACAAGCATTCTTATACACCAATAACAGACAAACAGAGAGCCAAATCATGAGTGAACTCCCATTCACAATTGCTTCAAAGAGAATAAGATACTTAGGAATCCAACTTACAAGGGACGTGAAGGACCTCTTCAAGGAGAACTACAAACCACTGCTCAAGGAAATAAAAGAGGATACAAACAAATGGAAGAACATTCCATGCTCATGGGTAGGAAGAATCAATATTGTGAAAATGGCCATACTGTCCAAGGTAATTTATAGAGTCAATGCCATCCCCATCAAGCTACCAATGACTTTCTTCACAGAATTGGAAAAAACTACTTTAAAGTTCATATGGAACCAAAAAAGAGCCCACATCGCCAAGTCAATCCTAAGCCAAAAGAACAAAGCTGGAGGCATCACACTACCTGACTTCAAACTATACTACAAGGCTACAGTAACCAAAACAGCATGGTACTGGTACCAAAACAGAGATATAGACCAATGGAACAGACCAGAGCCCTCAGAAATAACGCCGCATATCTACAACTATCTGATCTTTGACAAACCTGAGGAAAACAAGCAATGGAGAAAGGATTCCCTCTTTAATAAATGGTGCTGGGAAAACTGGCTAGCCATATGTAGAAAGCTGAAACTGGATCCCTTCCTTACACCTTCTACAAAAATTAATTCAAGATGGATTAAAGACTTCAACGTTAGACCTAAAACCATAAAAACCCTAGAAGAAAACCTAGGCATTACCATTCAGGACATAGGCATGGGCAAGGACTTCATGTCTAAAACACCAAAAGCAATGGCAACAAAAGCCAAAATTGACAAATGGGATCTAATTAAACTAAAGAGCTTCTGCACAGCAAAAGAAACTACCATCAGAGTGAACAGGCAACCCACAAAATGGGAGAACATTTTTGCAACCTACTCATCTGACAAAGGGCTAATATCCAGAATCTACAATGAACTCAAACAAATCTACAAGAAAAAAACAAACAACCCCATCAAAAACTGGGTGAAGGACATGAACAGACACTTCTCAAAAGAAGACATTTATGCAGCCAATAAACACATGAAAAAATGCTCACCATCACTGGCCATCAGAGAAATGCAAATCAAAACCACAATGAGATACCATCTCACACCAGTTAGAATGGCAATCATTAAAAAGTCCGGAAACAACAGGTGCTGGAGAGGATGTGGAGAAATAGGAACACTTTTACACTGTTGGTGGGACTGTAAACTAGTTCAACCATTGTGGATGTCAGTGTGGCGATTCCTCAGGGATCTAGAACTAGAAATACCATTTGACCCAGCCATCCCATTACTGGATATATACCCAAAGGACTATAAATCATGCTGCTATAAAGACACATGCACACGTATGTTTATTGTGGCATTATTCACAATAGCAAAGACTTGGAACCAACCCAAATGTCCAACAATGATAGACTGGATTAAGAAAATGTGGCACATATACACCATGGGATACTATGCAACCATAAAAAACGATGAGTTCATGTCCTTTCTAGGGACATGGATGAAATTGGAAATCATCATTCTCAGTAAACTATCGCAAGAACAAAAAACCAAACACCACATATTCTCACTCATAGGTGGAAATTGAACAATGAGAACACATGGCCACAGGAAGGGGAACATCACACTCTGGGGACTGTTGTGGGGTGGGGGGAGGGGGAAGGGATAGCATTAGGAGATATACCTAATGCTAAATGACAAGTTAATGGGTGCAGCACAGCAACATGGCACATGTATACATATGTAACTAACCTGCACATTGTGCACATGTACCCTAAAACTTAAAGTATAATAATAATAAAATTAAAAAAAAAGAAAAATACTTTTACCCTAGAGTATTACATCCAGCACAAATATCCTTCAAACACGAAAGATAAATACTTTCCCAGGCAAACAAAAGCTGAGGAATATTGTCACCACCATAACTGTCCTACAAGAAATGCTAAAGGGAATTCTTAAATCTGAAAGAAAAAGAACTTAAGAAGCAATAAAAAAAATCATTTGAATGTACAAAACTCACTGGTAATAGTAAATACACAGACAAAATACAGAATAGTATAACACAGTAATTGTGGTGTGTAAACTACTCATAACTTGCGTAGAAAGATTAAAATATGAATCTATCAGAACTAATAACTATAAAACTTTCTAAGACATAAACAACATATAATAACATAAATAGATATAATTTTAATTTTCTTGAATTTTTTAAGTCTTGTTTTGTGGTCTAACATATGGTCTGCCCTTGAGAATGATCCATGTGCTGAGAAGAAGAATGGTATTTTTCAGCCATTGCATGAAATGCTTTGTAAATATTTAATAGGTTCATTTGTTCTATAGTTCACATTAAGTCTAAAGTTTCTGTGTTGATTTTCTGTCTGGGTGTTTCTTTGTTGATTTTCTGTCTGGGTGATCTGTCTAATACTGAAAGTGGGGTGTTGACATCTCCAGTTATTGTATTAGGGTCTATATATCTCAATAGCTCTAATATTTGTTTTACACATCTGGATGCTCCAGTGTTGGATATATATGTATTTAAAATTGTTGTATCCTCTTGCTGACTTGACACTATTATTATTATTATTAAGATAGGGTGTCACTCTGTCACCCAGGCTGGAGTGCAGTGGTATGATCTCAGCTCACTGCAGCCCTGACCTCTCAGCCTTAAGCAATCCTCCCACCTCTGCCTCCTGAGTAGCTGAAACTACAGGTGTGTGCCACCACACCCTGCTAACTTTTGCATTTTTAGTATAGATGGAGTTTTGCTATGTTGCCCAGGCTGATCTTTAACTCCTGGGCTCAACTGATTTACCTGCCTTGGCCTCCCAAAGTGCTAGAAATACAGGTGTGAGCCTTGACACCTGGCCAGTTTTAAGCATCTTGAGATTGAGATGCTTATGGGACATCCATTCAGTAGTGTCCATTAAACGAGATTTTTTTTCAGAAATGACATTCTTTATATCTTTTTATATTTTTTGTCTTAAAATCGACTTTGTCTGACATAAGTATAGCTACTCCTGTTCTTTTTTGGCTTCCATTTACATGAAATTATATCAAGTATCTTCTCTGAGCATAATGGAATAAAACTCGAGATCAATAACAAGAGAAAATTTGGAAACTATATGAAAATTAATCAATGTGCTCATGAATGACCAGTAGGTAAATGAAGAAACTAGGAAAATTGAAAATTTTCTTGAAACAAACAATAATAAAAACACAACATACCAAAACCCATGGAATACAGTGAAAACAGTACTAAGAGTAAAGTTTATAGCAGTAAGCACTTACATAAAAAAAAAAAAACAGAAAAAACCTTCAAATAAACAACCCAGTAATACATGCTAAGGAACTAGAAAAGCAAGAGCAAACCAAATCCAAAATTTGTTAAATAAATAATAAAGGGTAGAGCAGAAATAAATGAAATTGAAATTTTAAAAATACAAAGATCAATAAAATGAAAAGGTGGTTTCTGAAAAGATAAACAAAACCAACAACTCTTTAGCCAGGTTAACTAAGTAAGAAAGAGAACTCAAATAAATAAAATAAAAGATGAAAAAGGAGGCATTACAACTGTTACTGCAGAAATTTAAAGGATCATTAGAGGCTACTATTAGCAACTATATGCCAATAAATTGGAAAATCTAGAAGAAATGAATTCCTAGATACATACAACCTACCAATATTGAACCATGAAGAAATTTAAAAATGAACAGACTAATAACAAGTAACTAGATCAAAACATAATAAAGTCTCCCAGCAAACAAAAGTCTGGGAATCTGTGCCTTCACTACTGTATTCTACCTAATATTTAAAGAAGAATTAATACCAATCCTACTCAAATAATTTCTAAAAATAGAGGAGAGAGGAACACTTCCAAACCCATTTTATGAGGCCAATATTACCCTGATCCCCAAACTGGACAAAGATACAACAAAAAAGAAAACTATCTCTGATAAATATTGATACACAAATCCTCAAGAAAATAATAGCAAACCGAACTCAACAACTCATTAAAAACATTTCCACCAAGCGGGATTCACTGCAGGGATGCAAGGATGGTTTGACCTATGCAAATCAGTCAATGTGATACATCATATCAACAGAATTAGAGGCAAAAACCATATGATCATGTCAATTGATGCTAAAAAAAATTTGATAAAATCCAATATGCATTCATGGTAAAAACCCTAAAAAATTGGTATAGAAGAAATATGTAACACAATAAAACACTCATAGCTTTTAAACTGTGAATAGGGAAAAAGTGACAGCCTTTCATCTAAGATCAGAAACAAAATCTTACTTGGAAAATAATGCTCACTCTGAAAGTGAGCATCTGCACTTTTTTTGAAAGTAAGAATGCTTGCATTTGTCACTGCTATTTAACATAGTACTGGAAGTTCTAGCTAGAACAATCAGACAAAAAAAAAGAAATAAAAGACATGCAAATTAAACACAAGTCAAATTACCCTTGTTTGCAGATAATATTATCTTATATTTGGAAAAACCTAAAGACTCCACAAGAAAACTGTTAGAACTGATAAATTCAGAAAAGGTGCAGGGTACAAAATCAACAACAAAAATCAGTAGCATTTCCATTTATTTGCCAACAGCAAACAACCTGAAAAAGAAATCAAGAGACTAATGTCATTTACAATAGCTACAAATAAAATAAAATACCTAGGAATAAACTTAATCAAAGAAGTGAAAAATCTCTGAAATAGAAACTATAAAACACTAATATAAAAAATTGAAGTGGACACCAAAAAAGGTATTCCATGTTCATGGATTGGGCAAATTAATATTGTTAAAATGGCCATACTACCCAAAGCAATCTTCAGGTCCAATGTAATCCCCTTCAAAACACCAATGACATTCTTCACTGAAATGGAAAAAGAGAATCCTAAAATTTATATGGAATCACAAAAACCCCAGAATACTCAAAGCCATCCTGAACAAAAAGAACAAAACTGAAGGAATAACATTACCTAACTTTAGGTACTATACTATACCTATAGAGCTATAGTAATCAAAACAGCAAGGTACTGGCATAAAATCATACATATGGAACAATGGAATAGATTGAAGTATCTTGAAATAATTTCATACATCTACAGTATATTAGTCTGTTCTCATACTGCTAATAAAGACATATCTGAGACTGACTAATTTATAAGGGAAAGAGGTTTAATGGACTTATAGTTCCACATGGCTGGGAGGCCTCACAATCATGGCCGAAGGTGAAGGAAGAACAAGGAAAGTCTTACATAGCATCAGGCAAGAGAGTGTATGCAGGGGAACTCCCCTTTATAAAACCATCAGAACTTGTGAGACTTATTCACTATCATGAGAACAACATGGGAAAAACTCGCCCCCACAATTCAATTACCTCCCACTGGGTCCCTCTCATGACACATGGGAATTATGGGAGCTACAATTCAAGATGAGATTTGGGTGGGAACACAGCCAAACCATATCATACAATGATCTCATTTTCAACAAAGGTGTCAAGAATATATATTGGAGGAAAAAACACTCTCTTCAATAAATTGTACTGAGAAAACTAGATATTCATATGCAGAAGAAAGAGACTATAACATTGGTTTTCGCAAATATTTCTTGAGTAATACCCCAAAAGCATAGGCAACCAAAACAAAAAAAAAAATGGACAAATAGGAATCACATCGAAATAAAAACTTCTGCACAGCAAAGGAAATAATAACAAAGTGAAAAGAAAACTCACAGAATGGGAGAAAAATATTTGCAAATTATTCATCTGACAAGGGATTTATAACCAGTATATATTTAAGGAGCTCAAACCACTCAATAGGAAAAAGCTAGTAACCCAATTTAAAAATGGGCAAAACATCTGGATAGACATTTCTCAAAAGAAGACATACAAATGGCAAATAGGTTTGTGAAAATGTATTTAACATCACTCATCATCAGAGAAATGCAAATAAAAACTACAATGAGATATTATCTCACCCCAGTAAAAATGGCTTTTATCCAAAAGACAGGCAATAATGAATGCTAACATGGATGTGGATAAAAAAAGGAATCCACTTACATTGTTAGGGGGAATGTGAATTGCCATTTCCACTATGAAGAACAGTATGGAGGTTCCTCAAAAAACTAAAGACAGAACAACCATATGATCCAGAAATTTCATGAATGTTCCTGTATCTAAAGGAAATGAAGTCAGTATTTTGAAGAGGTATCTGTACTCCCATGTTTGATGCAGCACTGTTCACAATAGGCAAGATTTGGAAGCAACCTAAGTGTTCATAAACAGATGATTGGATAAAGAAAACGTGGTACATATACACAATGAAGTACTATTTGGCCATAAAAAAGAATGAGATGCTGTCATCTGCAATATCATGGATGTAACTGGAAGAAATTATGTTAAAGGAAATAAGCCAGGCACAGAAAGACAAACTTTGCATGTTCTCACCTGTTGGTGAGATCTAAAAATTAAAACAATTGAATTCATGGAGATAGAGAGTGGAATGATTTTTCATCTCCATGAACTCATGGAGAGAGAGTGGATTGAGCCTGGGAAAGGTAATGGGGGGTCTGATGGGGGAGTGGAAATGGTTAATGGATACAAAAATATATTAGATGGAATGAATAAGATCTAGTATTTGATAGCACAACAGAGCAACTACAGTCAACAATAATTTATTGTACATCTAAAAATAGCTGAAGGACTATGATTGGAAAGTTTGTAAAACAAAGAAATGATGAATGCTTAAGTGATAAATATCCCATTTTTCCTGATGTGATTATTACACATTTTATGTCTGTATCGAAGTATCTAATGTACCCCATAAATACATATACCTACTATGTACCTGTAAAAATTAAAATGAAAAAGAAAGAAAAAGCTGCATGGTAGGGCCAGTTGCCATACTGACTTGCTTCAATCAGATACAATAATTATATTTAGCTATTTTTGGCTTTGCTCTTTAAATATACAAATATTCAATCACGCTTCAAGATGCATCTATCTGGCTTTTGTGCTGGCCAAATGGGAGGGTTAAATGGGAATGTACTAAGAATCATTATTCCTGTTTTTTTCAAATCTTTGATGATGAAGCTAATCTCTAACATTTCCTTAGGATTATAATATTGCCTTCAGTATGTAAGGGGGAGGTAGGATGTTCCAGTCGATTCTACTAGGTTATTTCTACCATAGTAGTCCACATTCTACTAGTCATGGAAATAATATATTTTGTTATTTATTAAATATAACTATTTTCACTGTTTAATCTGTGACTGAGAAAATAATCACCATGAGTTTGGCTTGGGGCAAGATTCCATTTGTCTTCTGATCTTGATAAGCCGCAATCTCCAGTTTATCTCAAGTCTCTGAGCATTAGTATCAGTCTAAAGCCAGCGTATAAAAAATCCAAGGGCTGAGTTTTACTCTTTCTCTGCTATACACTTACTCTCATAAATGCTGCTAGTCTCTCTGAGAGAAATTATTTTAAAAAAATTCACTTGTGGCTGCATTGAGGAATGTTTCTTGAAGAGAGCTGGCTTTCTCCATAAACAAATAGCTTGAATTCTGTGAAATGAATTTTATCTAGAACTTGAGTAAGAGACCATAAATACCCTACATCAACTTGAACTGTGCTTTCTGCTAACCGGACCTAGAATTTTCCCACTTACATATTTTAAACAGCCTCTTAATAGTCCCCTCACCTATTTAATTTCTAGAGATCCTGTAGTCAATTAACTGTATTTCTGCTTGGGAGAGTACTCTGATTGTGACGTCTCTCTAAAGTGTATTATGATAATTGTGCTTATCTTTGTCCTCACAGGTAAGTACCTTTATTACTCTAGGATCTAAGGTTCCACTGCTCTCATGGAAATTGGGGAGCTCAATTCCATGGCAGAATTTATCTCTAGCTTGCAAAAAGACAGTCACCACACTTTCTAAGAAGGCTTAGAGAAACATGTATCCCTCAGGCTTCCCTAGAGTTTAAGTTAGGAACTGGTTAAGCAGATTGCACATAAGACATTCATTCCAACATTTTCTAAGCCTTCAGGCAACTCTCCTATTCAATATGCTCTGTAAATTCCAGCATCTCAATTTCATTGACTATAGGTCTGCCTTCAATTCTCCAACCAAGCAAACTATTACTGTTTACTTTCAGTGTGTTCAAACCAACACAAATCCTGGATGCTGAGTAAGTGGATTCATTTCAATAAATTAAACCCATGTTGGTCTTATATTCCATGCTCCTGGACCTAACAATCTTAGAATCCCTCTCATTCATGCTCTCTGGACTCTTACTGATACTGATCGGCAAGATACTACATTTATTTCAGCAGATAGGCTATTTCATTTTAGGTTAATATTTGTACTTCTCCATTTGAACTCTGCCTCTGCTGGCATCGAAGTCTTCTTACAGACCTACAGGACACATAGGCTGGTGGAGTGAGTCCTGAGAACAACTGAAATTCCATTGAGAGGCAACTGTTCCAGTTTATATATAAAGAAGCTGCATCCATTAACAAAGTTTTAGGTGTATATGGGAATTCAAATTCCTCAGCTTTATGTTTCTTCTCTAATGTGCTCATGCCACGCCCCATTCTTCCATTCTTTCCCAACCAGGACCTTTTCTTAGAATAAAGATCTAGTAGAATTGTACATTGCATTAGTTTTGTTCTGTAATTCTACCGTGATTACAATCAGGCCCTGTGCTTGACTCTACGTCTATAGGACGTAAGAAACTCTGTTATAATTGCCTTTTAAAAACAAATTTCCGGTCGGGCTCAGTGGCTCACGCCTGTAATCCCAGCACTTTGGGACGCTGAGGCGGGCAGATCACGAGGTCAGGAGATCGAGTCCATCCTGGCTAACACGGTGAAACCCCTTCTCTACTAAAAATACAAAACATTAGCTGGGTGTGGTGGCGGGCGCCTGTAGTCCCAGCTACTCGGGAGGCTGAGGCAGGAGAATGGCGTGAACCCGGGAGATGGAGCTTGCAGTAAGCCCAGATCGCGCCACTGAACTCCAGCCTGGGAGATGCGAGACTCCATCTCAAATAAATAAACAAATAAATAAATATAAATATAAATAAATAAATAAATAAACAAATTTCCATCTGAACATTGCAATTGGCATCCACGACAATCAGCATTTTGTTTCCTCATTACTCTCTAGGACCCTCAGAGGAGCTATCCCTGTTTCAAACTTTGTAAGCACTATTGTTACTATATAGACACTTGGTCACAAAAGCATGTCTTCTGTCAGCACTTTCTCATGTGTCTTTGCTGGTGGTCATTTTTTGAAACTAAGATGGCAACATTTGTCCATTACCATCCCCACCCTGGATGAGGCTATAAAGTTATACATGTGCTTCTAAAACATGTAAACAACCGAATCCTGGAATCTTAATTTTATGGTTCTTCCTGGGAGGGCTACTCCTGGTATCAATCAGTCTTTTAGTCAAAAAACAGATAGCACACCCTAATGGGGTAATTAAGGAAAGATTAATGTGGACACTATTTTTAGCAAGTAAACCAACAGGGACTATGAAGCACCCCAGGGCTACCAGGCAGTGGTAACTTGTTATCATGTTTAGGCTTAAAGTGGCGAGAGAAAGGAACAATTACTATATTTTGGAGAGTGTCGTGGTTTTAGGAAAAGACTACCCACTAGAAACATAATCCCTGCCAACCTGCAGCCTGGCAGAAGTCAGTTGGTGGACTAAAACTTCAGCCCTCTCTCTTCTGCCACCGATCTCCTGCTGGTGCCTCCCATTGGCTGTGACCCAGTATATTATAAGAACGTAGTCCACAACCTTTTCCAGTATTATTGTTGAGTAGTATTTGATGTTTTCTTCCTCTTCATACTCTACATTCTCCCCTTTTTCCTTACACAGCTGATGACCCTTGATTTCACTGAGAAAACCAAAGCTTTTGGAAAACAATTTTCACAGAGTCCCAAGACCATATTGACATGTTTAGCAGTATCTGTACCCACATCACAGGCCTCCATTCCTGTTGCCCATAGATTAATTTCCATGTTTCTCTATAATCCACAACTCCTGAACTGGATGCCTTTCATCTACTCAAGCATATCTCTCTAGCTCTTCTCCCTCATTTCTTCCACATCATCAATGTTTCTTTGCTATTGTATTATTGTCACCAACCCATTGACATACTGTTATTTTTCCCATCATAAAAGTTCTTTATCACCCTTCTCTTTCTAGCTACTGTCACATTTCTTTTCTCCTTTTTATAGGAAATCTCCATGTGATTGTAATCTTACTTTTAGAAATTCAACTCTTCTTATCTTTTAAACCCTCCTAAGTCAGGCCTTCACTCTGAACTTGTTCTTGTAAAGGGCACTAATGACCCACCTTGTTGAATGTAATGGTTAATTTCAGTCAACTTGTCCCATCAGCAACAGTTAACATAGTCGGTCACACACTCCTTAAATATTTTAACTTGGATACCAAGTTGGTTTTCTAACTTTCTATGGCTATTCCTTTTCAGTGTCCTTTGCTTCTTTTTCATCTAGGTCAGGTGCCACCCAAAGGAGTTTTATTAATAAAAGACATAAATTAACATGACATACATGTGAAATTTAGGCTAAAACTCTATCCCAAATATCCTCAATATTATCTAGTCTCTAAAGAAAGATTGTGTTTGGGCAAGGAGGTATTAATTACTTAAAATCTAATGTAGCATTTTATGTGAAATTTGCCATACCACCTCCCATTCCGCTAGATGACATTTCTAAAACACAATTTGCAACACTGTCATGGTCAAAATCCTGTGTATGAAACTTAGGCATTACTCTCAATTAATGCTTGGTTCTCACTTGTGACTTTATGTTACTTGATAAATCTAGTGATGTGCTAAAGTCAACTCAAATTGATTTGAGAGAGCCAATTTTTAAATTTTTGGATATCTTATCAGCAAGTTGTTAAAGCACTGGTTGCACAAAATTGGCTATTGGGAGAGAATTTACACTATGGGAATTGGAAAATGCTACAAATTAGGAATTTTGTCTCCATAGATGCAGATGTTAAATATTTACTAGTACACAATTGCTTGAATTATTTGCGACAGTGTTTTGACAAAATCTTGAAATTAAATTACATTATGATGTCTGTGCTATCAAATAAGCTCCATGTGAATAGAAAGCTGGTACGTTTTCTTTATCTTTATATTCCCATAGACCATCACAGTATTTTGTACATATTTGAATACATATTTTTGTATTAATGAATGTACATACACCTTTGTATTATATCATAATATAACCCATGGGTTATACAACAATAACCAAAAAATGTTGTGTTTTTCTAATAAATATACAGTATCTAAGTTGCTGTCTAATTATTCTAAGCCCTGAAAATATTTTTTAAAGTCTCAAGACATTAATACATGCCTTAATAAAGCTTTTAGGGAGATGAATAGAAGTGATATTATAAATAAATAGGGGATTTAGAGAATGATCTCACTTTGTAACAGACACCAACTATTTAAAATACACCGTCTCTTTACTGTGCATTAAACTGCTCCACTGTAATTTTTAGTAACAATTATAGAAGCCATTTCAAAAGCATTTTAGATATGGGGAAGTCATATAACCAGGTTTTCTTTGTTATTTTCTTTTACGCATCCTAACACCACAGTTACGAGAGGATGTCAGCTTTCCAGAACTCTCATATTTAAATTGTTTTTCTTCTTTCCTGTTTTCTTTAAATATTTTTATTCTCTAGACAGGCAGAATAAGGACCAGTGAAAGAAACCATTATAATTCCTTTGTCCATTTTCTCCAGAATTGCTATTGCTTCACTCTCTCCAACTTTGTCTAATGGATCTACTGAATATTTAAATATATCCTAGTGGAGTAAAAATACTAAGCAAAAGAAATTGAAATTACAGAAAATATAAATTCAATCATCACACTCAATTATTGTAAGCTTTCCTCCCTGGCATTTGAAATGAAACAAGGATGTATATTATCATCACTCCTATTCAACATTTTATTTGTTCTATAACTAGCCAGGACAATAAAGCAAGGGCGAAAAAGACAGGGACAGCATAAGGTTTAGAAAAAAGAAATAAAACTTGCATTATCTGAATACATGAAGAAGAATATAAAGTTAAATTTTAGAATCAATAAAGATTTTAGCAAGGAGACTGTACATAGAGCCAAACGTAATTAAATTATATTTATGTATATTAGCAGAACAGATAAAATTGGAGTTAAAAATACATTAATTACAGTGACAGCAAAATATATCAAATGTTTAAATATGTATAACAGAAGGTATGCAATAACTCTAGTTTAAAAAGTAGAAAAGAGTAGGAGAGAGATTTAAAAAAAAGATTTAAAATAAATGTCCATGGTTTGGAAATTCAAAATTATAAAGATGTCAATTCCTCCTAAATTGATTTATAGATTAAGTGCATTTTCAATTAAAATACCAGCAAAGGAGTGTGTGTGCATGTGTGTGTGTTTGTAAATGGACAGATCCTAACATCCATATGAAAACAAAAGGTGATAAAAATACTCAAAGCAATCCTGAAGAAAGCAAACAAAGTTAAACTCACTTCACATATCAATATCTAAAATAAAGTTGTAGTAATTTGATCAGTGGGATACTGACACAACAATAGACTAGTTTACCATGAGAATAGAATAAAAAGTTAAGAAATAGACCCACTTATAAATGTTCACCTGATTTATGACAAAGGTGACACTGTGGTTCTCTGAAGAATGAATAATCTTTTCAATAAATGGTGCTGAGTCCATTATAAGGCAAAACAAAACGTATATGGATTCCTACCTCGTACATTATGAAAAATCAATTAAAGATTGATAGCAGATCAAAATGTGAAAGGTAAATCAATAAAGCTTTTAGAGAGATGAATAGAAGAAAATTTTATAAGGTGAATTGGAAAAAAATTCTCAAATTGGACACAAAACGTCTCAATCATAAAAGAAAAAATAAATTAAATGATGTTAAATTAAGAACTGCTTATCTGAAGCCATCTTTCTTTTTGAAGTCATCTTTAACAACAAAGAATTTCATAGATTGAAAGAAGATATTCACTAAATATAACTGACTAAGGACAAATTTCTGAATACCGCAAATTCTTCAATACGTCAATAAGAAAAACATAGTATCCAATAGATATGGGGAAATTTGGACAAACATTTCAGAAAAAAAAGATATACAAATTACCAATAAATACACGGAAATATGTTTACCTTCATTATCTATTAAGAAAATTTAAATCAAATAACAATGTGATACCATAAAATACCCAAAAGAATAGTTAAAGTAAAAATGATGGAAAAGGTATAGTGTTAGAAAGGAGGTGGAGTTCTTGAGACTTATAAACTACTGGTGGGGGCACAAATTGGTGAAACCACTTCTTAAGTCTGCATGACAGAATCAACCAAAGTTAAAACTACATATACCTGATAAGAGCAATACCAATTCCAGGTGTATACCTACACAATATGCATTTGCCTTCCAAAGATATGTATTGGAATGTTCATTGCAGCACTTAATGATAATTCCTTATAAATAGCAATCACCCAAATGCCTAACATCAGATAAAGTGTATTATATCCACACAATGAAATGCCATCCTACAAAAATGAAAATGGATGATTTTCAACTACATAGAAAAACATGGGTAAATCTAACAAACATAATGTGGAGCAGAAGAAGTCAGAAAGAAAGGAAGGCACGCAGGTAAAAGTCATACATATAAAATACAAAAGCATGCAAACATATACACACCAAATAAAATAACACAATCCTAATTGTGTGTCTATGCTGTTAGAAGTCAGAGTAAGGCATTACTCTCATAGAAGTGGTGACTGAAAGGAAAAGAATTGGGGCTTCTGTGGTGTTGGATGATCTGAGGAATTTGTTTTGTTTTTTTATTTATCTCAGAGCTGATCAGACCAGGGTGTTTATCTGTGAAAATTTTTCAACATGTACACTCATGACATGTGATGCTTTCTACATGTTTATTAAACTTCAATGAAAAGGTTTTAAAAAGAGTATGGTGGGAGAGGTTTTATTTTTCTCACCAACATTCATAATTTTTATTGTATACCATATCTCTCTTTTATGCTATTTTGTTGTTTCTCTTTGAATAAGAAGGCTTTGTTTTTATTGACAAACAAAATTCCAATCCAAGCTGTGCCCCATTATACACATCTTGTATTATATAACATGAGGGAAGGAGTACAGCTATTTAATTTCTGATATTTCCATTTCTGGAATAAAAACCAGAAGGTTCAGGTTTAAAATTTCCTAATTTGAACCACCCATAGCAAGAAAAGCAGGCCCAACATGTGTACCCCAAATCAATCCAGTCACCAGTATTTTCAGCATAGTAAGAACATAATCTTTTATTTTAACGATAAAATGCATTAATTTTTCTAATTCTATAGCCTTTAAAAATCTTCTTAAATATTTAAAGCAAAGCCCCATCTTGGAAAACACTATGCATATTTCTTTAATGGAAATTTTATGCTAAATTTCTCATAACAACCAAGTGAACCTTCTTTGAAAGAAAGGAAAAACTGTTGTATTCAAAAGAGAGAGGCAATATAAACATATCAGTACAGATAGTCCCCAACTTATGACAGTTTAATGATTTTTTTAGCTTTATGATGGTACAAAATCATCTAAATACTTTGAATTTTGATCTTTTGCCGTGTTAGTTATATGTAGCACATGAGATATTCAACATTTTATTATAAAATCGGCTTTGTGTTAAATAATTTTGACTAACTATAGGCTAATGTAACCATTATGGTAATGTTTAAGGCAGGCTAAGTTAAACTATGATGTACAGCAGTTTACATGTATTAAATGCATTTTTGATTTACCGTATTTTCAACTTATGATGGGTTTTCCAACATGCAATCCCATTGTAAATGCAGGATCCCCTATATATGCTGCATTATGAATACTCAGATTAGGATTTTCATAGTGATTTTTATTTAAAATTCTCAGCAGCTCTTGTTCATGGACTACAAGTGTTCAATGCTTACTGTACTGAAATCTCACTTTTTGTATTTATAAGGAAATTATTGTTCTGATATGTAAACTAGGAGCTTTGTTAGGTTAGATGACAGGGAATCATTGAGTTGCCTCTCTTTAATAATAAAGACATACCACTATGTTCTTACTTTATAAATGTATCAATATTTTCTATACTTCATATTACATTTTAAACACATATACTTCTTTACATATACACACATAAATATATACACACCAAATGAAATAACACAATCCTAATTGTCTTAACATGTTTTTTTTTTAACACAGATTCACCCAAATTTCTAACTCATATTATATTACTTGTAATTACAAAACTGTGTGTGATAGTTCACATATGAGTATAGAAACTTGGGATGCTTCAGACACAAGAGGAATTGACACCTTCTTGGAGGCTCTTTTCCAGGGACTTTATTGTGTCATAAGAAAGACTGGTTGCAGGACAAGTGTCTGGAGAAAGCATTATTTGTAATGCAAGTCTGGGAGAAGAGAATAATAGCCAATGTGGAAAAGACATAAATCACCATCTGGTTCCTCCTTTCAGATTCCTCATGGAAAAAAAGACTAAAGCTTCCAGAGGAACGGCAACAAAAACGATCATCCTTGGACCATAGATAAAAACCCATTAAGGCTAAAGGAAGAGAACCTGAAAAACACCCTCTACTCCTGAGATAAGGGCAGAAATACATTTTGAGCCCACGTCGTAAGAGTTTCCTACAGCTTGATGAGGGACAGGATCACTGAAAAGTCCCCATTCCTGAGAACCAGGTATGTAACACCTGCCTAACACAGGCTGAACCAGAACAGCTGAGATTTTCTCCACCATTCACTACTACCAGCCTAACAAGCGTCATGCAATGAGTAATAGCCATTTAATCTGGAAAAAATATCAAAGGAGAAGAGACTGCCACTGAAGTATAGGTGCAATGGGAAGACCCAAAGCTAAAGGTAGAATAAGCAATGTAAAATTTCCTGGAAGATAAGTTGTCTACCTAAACACAAGGAAATTCAGGAGGCAGTTGTCACCTGTAGTGCACTAAAGGCAGTCATACCAACAACAAACCAAGCCTAGAAAACCTAGTTCAATTTCTAATTAACTTTACTCAGTCTCAGACACTAAAGACTTAGAAAAAAGACATGTGCATTTCTAGGAATAAATGTTATTTGTCTCAGTTTCTGCTAGTCTAATAAGATGTCTGACTTTTATTCAAATTTTAAAAGACATAAAGCAGCAAGAAAAACAAGGCATGTTCCAAATGAGACAAAGCAATCAACAGAACCAGATTTAGAGATGAGAAAGCTTCGGGAGCTACCAGGCGTGGAATTTAAAATAGATATAGTTAATAAATTGAAGCTTTCAGAGGAAATGGTAAGCAGCATACATTATCAGATGGTCAACTACAAGAAAGGATATAATGGTAATGCTACAGATGAAATACAGTAACAGAAGTGAAGGATGTCTCTGATGGTCTTCTCAGTAGGTGACACAAACAAGAAAAGAAGCACTGAATTGGAGATACATCAATAGAAATTTCACAAATAGCAAAAGAAAAGTTAGATTGGAAAACAAAAATAAAAACCAAACAAACAAAATATCTAGGACAATACAGAGCAGTCAAGGACTGTGGGGCAATATGAGTCTAATGCAAATGGATCAATTGAAGGAGAAGAGTGAAAGAATGGGGCAAAAGAAATATTCAAAAATGAGAATGTACAATAAGTTTGTGAAATTAATAAAAAATAAAAGCACAGTTTCAATAAGCTTGGAGGACACCATGTAGGACAAACAAAAACAAACAGAAAAACAAAAGCAGTATATATCTTATCAAATAGCTACAAATGTAAGACAAAATCTCGAAGGCAGCCACAAACACAACACATTACATACAAGGGAACAAAGGTAAGATTCACATCTGAATTTTTGTCGGAAACTATGAAAGTGAAAATGCAGAAGAGTAACATCTTGATATCATAAAAATAAATTAAAAATTGTCAACTCAAAATTCTAGACCTGTGAACATAACTTTCAAAAATGAAACAGAATAAAACATTTTATTCCATACATGGAGAAGCAGAGTTCTTTACCTGCAAATCTAAATACAAGAAATTTTAATGGAAGTTCTTCAGACATAAAAAATGTAATATCAGGCAAAACCCTGTATCTACACAAAGAAATGAAGAATATTAAAAATAGAATAATAAAGATAAATATATAATATTTTCTTCTTGTAATTGCTCCAGTAAATGACTGCTTAGAATGAAAATTACAGCAATGTACCATGCATTTATGGCATACCTAGGAGCTACATGCATAATAAAATTGCACAAAAAATAGAATAGAGAAATTGGGAAGATACTGTGGTAAAACACTTTCTCAAAAGAAACATGCAAATGGCTTAGAAACAAGTTTATGAAGAAATGCTCGACATCACTAATCATCAGATAAGTGCACATTAAAATCACAATGAGATACCATATCACACTAGTTAAAATAGTTTGTATCAAAAAGATAGGCAATAACAGATGCTGGCGAAGATGTGGGGAAAGGGGAAGCCAGACACAGAAAGACAAATATCGTATATTCTCACTCCTATGTGAAAGCTGAAAAAAGTGGATTTCATGAAAATAGACAGTAGGTTGGTGATTACCGGAGTCTAGGAAGGGGAGGAGGAAGGGGGAGATGAAAGGAAAAACAGAATATAAATGTATTTATTACCACTGAACTGCAAATTTTCAAATGCTGAAGATGGTAAGTTTTATATATAGATTTTACCACAATGAAAAAATTAGAAAGTTAAATCATAAAATATTTAATCAAATGATAATTAATATACTATATATAAAAATTTGGGTCTGGGAGCAGTAGCTCATGCCTGTAATTCCAGTGCTTGGGAAGCTGAGGTGGAAGGAAGCTTGAGGCCAGGAGTTTAAGACCAGCCTGGGCAACATAGTAAGACCTGTCTCTACAAAAAAATTAAATAAAAAAAAATTAGTCATGGTGGCATGCACCTGTAGTCCTATCTACTTGGGAGGCTGAGGCAGGAGGATCCCTTGAGCACAAGAGTTTGAGGATAGAGTGAGCTGTGGTTATGTCACTGCAATTCAGCCTGGACAATAGAGCGAGGCCCTTTCTCTATAAAAAACAAAATGAAATAAAATAAAATCCAGGGTTGCTACGAAAGCAATGTTAACAAAAAACATTTATGTTGACACAACCAAGTGTTGATTAATGAGGGGGATATATTCTGAGAAATGCACCTGTATTAGCCTGTACTCACACTGCTAATGAAGACATATTTGAGACTCAGTAATTTATAAAGGAAAGAGGTTTACTGGACTCACAGTTCCACATGTCTGGGGAGGCCTCACAATCATGGTGGAAGGAGAAGGAGGAGCAAAAGCATGACTTACATGGTGGCAGGCAAGAGAGCATGTGCAGGGGAACTGCCCTTTATAAAACCATCAGATTTTCTGAGACTTATTCACAATCATGAGAACAGCACAGGAAAAACCCACGCCCATTATTCGATTACCTCCCACTGGGACCCTCCCACGACACATGGGGATTATGGGAGCTACAGTTGAAGATAAGGTTTGGGTGGCGACACAGCCAAACTATATCAACATCATTAGGTGATTTTGTCATTGTGCAAACATCATAGAATTTACTTAAGCTTGGTGGCTACCTGGTATAGCCTATTCTTAGGTTACAAACCTGTACTCCATGTACTGTACTGAATACTGTAGATAATTATAATACGATGGTATTATTTGTGTATCTAAACACATCTAAGCACGTAAAATGATACAGTCAAAATATGGAATAAAAGATAAAAAATGGTACACTTATATAGGGCATTTTTCGTGAATGGAGCTATCAGGATTGGAAATTGCTCTGGGTGAGTCAAGTGACTAAGTAGTGAGTGAATGTGGAGGCCTAGGACATTACTGCACACTACTATGGACTTTTAAAACACTGTATGCTTAGGCTATACTAAATTTATTTATAAATGTCTAATTTCTTCAGTAATTAGCTTTAGCTTATTGCAACTTTTTTATTTTATAAACTTTTAATTTTGAAATTTTTGATTCTTTTGCAATAACACTTAGAATACACATTGTACAAACACATTGCTTTTTTATATCTTCATTTCCTAAGCTTTTTCTGTTTTTGAAATTTTATTTTTTTTTTACTTTTTAAACTTCTTTGTCCTAAACTAAGACATAAACATATACATTAGCCTAGGCCTACACGGGTTCAGGGTCATCAATTTCACTTTCTACCTCCACTTCTTATCTCACTAGAAAGTCCTCAGGGGCAATAACATACATGGAGTTGTCATCTTCTATGACAACAATGCCTTCTAAAATACTTCCTGAAATGCCTGCTTGTGACTGTTTTATGATTAAATTTTTTATGTGCAGAAGCAGTACACTCCAAAATAATGATTAAAAGTATAGTATAGTATAGTATAGTATAGTATAGTATAGTATAGTATAGTATAGTATAGTATAGTAAATACATAAACTGGTAACATAGTAGTTTATCAAGTATTATGTACTATGTATATGCTATACTGTTACAGGACTAGCAGCCCAGTAGGTCTGCTTACACCAGCATCACCACAAACACATGAGGAATACATTGTGCTGTGATGTTACAACAGATATGACATCACTAATCAATGGGAATTTTTTAGTTTTATTATAATCTTTGGGACCACTGATGTATTATATCCAATCTGCTGTTGACCACAAACATCATTATGTGGCACAGGACTGTATTCAAAAAGAAGGCAGATAACAAATAAAATAGCTGAGGTTTAGAAACAAGAAAAAAAGAGCAATTCAATCCAAAGCAAACAGAAGGTAAAAAATTACAATAATCAGAAATTAGAGAAATTAAGAACAAAAAAATAAAATTAACCAAGTGAAAAGTTGGTTCTTCGTGAAGATCAATAAGATTGATGAAATTCTAGCTAGACTGAACAAAATTAAAAGGAGGTATGTGGGTGGGAGAAAGGGGACAGGGGAGGAGACACAAATTCCAAATTTCAGAAAAGAAAAAGGGGACATCACTTCATCACACAGACCCTACGAAAAGCAAAATGGATGATGGAATTCTACAGCAACTTTACACCCACAAAATTGACAGTTTATATAAAACAGACAAATTTCTTGAAAAATGCAAACTGCTAAATCTCAGTTTAGAAGAAATAGACAATCTAACTATTTTTGTATCTATTAAAAACATTGTATTTACAATTGGAAACACTACAAAAATAAAATTTTCTGATCCAAGTGAATTGTAGCAAATATTTAAGGATAAAATTCCAACTGTATACAAATTCTCCCAGAATATAAAGAGGAGTTAATACTTCTCAACTCATTTTATGGGGCCAGCATTACTCCAATACCTAAACCAAAGGCATTAAAGACAAAGATGTTAAAGACAAAAATGTTAAAGACAAACAGAAGTCACATATCTCTCATGTACATGAGGAAAAAAAATCACAAAGAAAATATTAGCAAATTGAATACAACAATCTTTAAAAAGAATAAAACATTATGACTGCATAAGGTTTACCCCAGGAATGCAAGATTCATTTAACTTAGTAATCAGGATAATTCACCATATGAACAAACAAAAGATGAAAAAAATCATGTAATCATTTCAACGTAGGCAATTAGGAAAAAGCACTAGATAAATTTCAGCACACATACATAATAAAAAGTCTAAGTGAACTAGGAGGAGAAGCAAACATCTCCAAATCAATAAAGGTGATCTATAAAACAATGTACAAGCTGACATCATACTTAATGCTCAGTGACCCAAGATCAAAAACAAAGCAAGAATATTTGCTGTACCATTCTTATTCAACATCACATCAGAGGCTGTATGAGTTCAAGAAACCAGTAAAAATAACTAGAATGCATATAAATTAGAATGGAAGACTGCCTATGTAGAAATTTCTAGGGAGTCTACAAAAATAAATGAATGAAATGTACATTAGAGCTAGTAGTGGGTTTAGCAAGGCTACAGCATATAAGGTCAATACACAAAATAAATATATTTCTTATTTTTTATTTGCATAAATGTAATGGGTACAAGTGAAGTTTTTTTTTACATGGTTATATTGTGTAGTGGCGAAGTCTGGGCTTTTAGTGCAACCATCATCTAAATAACGTACATTGTACCGTTGAGTAACTCCTAATCCCTCACCCCCTATCCCCCCAACCTCCTGAGTCTCCAATGTCTATTATTCCACACTCTATGTCCATGCATACACATTATTTAGCTACCACTTACAAGTAAGAATATGTGATATTTGATTTTCTGTTTCTGAGTTGTTCCACTTTAGGTAATAACTTCCAGTCCCATTCATGTTGCTGCAAAAGACACAATTTCATTCTTTTTTATGGCTGAATAGTATAGGAATATATTTTATATATAGCACATTTTCTTCATCTAGTCATTCTCTCATAGACACGGGTTGATTCCATATTTGTTATTGTGAATAGTGCTGTGTAAAATAAATGATCAATTGAAAATTCAAATTTAAAAGTACCATTTACAATAGGAACAAAATACAGGAAATACTGATGCATAAGACTAATAAAATATATGTCTGATCTATCTGCTGATTAAGCAAAATACTGATTAAATAAATAAGAAAGACCTAATGGAGGGATTTACTATATTTATGGATTAGAAGACTTGATATATTTAATATGTGAGTTATTAAACTGTTCTATAGATTTGGCACAATTCCAATCCAAATTTGAACAGGTTTTTTGCATAGAAATTGATAAGCTGTTCTGAATTATATACGAAAACACAGAGGACCTAGAAAAACAAAACATAAGAACAAAGTTGGAGGACTCATACTACTAAAAATTTGGACCTGTTATAAGGTTACAGAAATCAGGACAGTATTTTATTGGAGAAAGGATAAACCCATAGATCAATGGAACAGAATTGAGAGCCTAAAAATGAAGCCACACATGTATGGTCAATTTTTTGACAAAGTTACAACAGCAATTCAATGGAGAAAGGGTAGTCTTCAGTGAAAAATGATAAAAAAGTATGCGTTCATATACAACAAAGTACTCATTGTTCCTACCTCACGTCATATACAAAACTTAACTCAAAGTCTATCACTGACCTAAACACAATACATAAAACTGTAAAACATCTAGAAGAAGACAAAGAAGAATACATTTATGAGCCCAGTTAAGGTGAGATCTTCTTGGATACACCACCAAAATAATGAATCAAAACAAAAAATATGAATAAGTTGGACTTTGTAAAAATTAAGAACATTTGCTCTTTGAAAGACAATATTGAAAGAATTAAAAGTGACAGACTAGGAGAAAATAAGTTCAAAGCACATATAAAACAAATCACATATCTAGAATATATAAGCGTCTTCTAAAATTTAATAAGAAAGCTAACAACTAAAAAATAAATAAGTAAATAAAAATTTGAACTCACCCACAAAAGAATGGCAAATCAGGACATGAAAAGATGCTCAACACCATTAGCCATTAGGGAAGTGCAAATTAACATTGCAACTAGATACCACAACACACCTATTTGAGATCACCAAGAGCTCACAAGAGGTAGAACAATTTGAATTCTCACATATTATTTGTATGAAATGACAAATTGTACAGCCACTGTGGAAACAGTTTGACATTTTCTTATAAAATTAAACTTACCCTTACTATGTGACTCAACAGTCATACTCGTAGGTATTCACTCAAGTAAAGAAAAACCTATGTTCCCACAAAAACCTTTGTGTGAATATTTAGAGCAGATTTATTCAGAATTATTCCAACCTAGAACAAGCTAAATGTCTCTCAGTTGAGGAATAGATGAACAAACCACAGTACATCTAGAAAATGGAATTCTACTGAGCTGTAAAAAGGAACAAACTACTGATAAACCCAACAATATAGGTGATTCTGAAGTGCATTATGCAATTTGCAAGAAGTAAGACTCCAAATGCTACATACTAAATAATTTCCTTTATAATACTATCTGGAAGAGGCTAAACCGTAGGGACAGATTATAGATTAGTGTTGCCCAGGGGCTAAGGATTAGATAGGAGGTTGACTACAAAGTGACTCAGGGAAAATTTTGTGGTGCAATGGAAATATTCTATATCTTTATCTTGGTGATAGTGACACAAGCATATGCATTTGTCAAAACTTGCACAAGTGGACATTAAAAAAGGTTATTTTCCTATGTTTAAACTATATTTTAATTTTTTTACATGGGGGATAAAGCCTTCCACTCAACAAGCCATTTCCTGACATATCACCATTTCAATTACTCTCCCACAAAAAATAGCTTAATCAAATTAAGAGTAAAACACTTTGGGGGTATAAATCAAATCTAGGATATTTTTCATCTATTTCTTTGCTAAGTGAGATATTTTCTAAGTATAAAGCTTGGGTTTTTTTCAATAAAATATATTAGATGAAGTCAGTATAAATAAAAATAAGGAAATGCTGTTATAGAGTAAAAACTTCAATAATATATCATGTAATTGGAGTATCTTACAAGTACAAATAATGTTCCCTCACTACATGTTTGCATTCATGTAACTGTTTCACAAGAATGAAAGCAAAGGGCTTATTTTTAACTTGCTAAATATATCCACTTTTTCAGTGACACTATGACAATTAAAAGTGTATTAAAATCCCATGACTGTAGCCTTTACAAAAATTACAATAAACATACTGAAATTTTGCATAGTTATGTATTTATCTGACCATAATTTGGATCAGCTGTATTACTATAGATAATACAGAAACAAGAAAGGAAAACATCTCTGGTTTCTTTTTCTAAGAATGAAATTTTATAAATTAAAGTGTTATGTTTCAATTAGAGAATAAATTGCACATTATAATCCAAGATATTGGAAGATTAGGATGAAAAAGAAAAAAAGTAATAATAAAATACAACTGAGAACTTTTAAGCCATGAATATTTTCAAATTCCTCAAAGAGGTATAGAAAAGATGATGCCTTTAAATAAAAGCTTTCATTATTAAAAAAAAAAAAAAACACTGGGAGCGGTTGGAAGACGCCGCACACATCTTACTTAACGATCCTTTAGGAACTAACATATTTGTATCTCCTTTTTGGTTTCTCTACCTGATTCATCAGTACATGGTTGGCTATGTATTGTAGCTATCTTTTTACATCAGCTATTCAAAACACTTTGCTTGTCACAAATTCACCAGATAATTGGTCTTTCTGCCTTAATTGATTTGAAATACATGTCATTTAAAAATTAAAGGACAATGGACTCAATTTTCTAATGACAAAAAAGAATACGTTTTCAAAGGTTGAGTTGATGGGGTTTTGACTAGACAAATGAGCTATTAAAGTCCTTTAAACAATTCATTAGTCGCTAACGGTTTTAGGGACATCTGTTGATGACACTGAAATTGATCAATTTTAGGTGCAACTTTACTGTTGGGAAATTCAACCACCAAATCATTCAGAAATTTAAATGAGGTTAATGCTTGCATGTCTACCTCTTTGTAGAACACAACTCCTGATTTTTCGTCTCTACACCGGAAGAACAAAACGGTAAGGCAAAGAGAAGAAAATATGTAATCTTTCATTTTAATTGAAGCTTTGAATTTGCAAATTTTAACATGTACAAGTTAATTTTGCAAAATTTTTCTGTAAAGACTGTATATAGACACTTTTTTTATAATGCATTGCTATAACACATAAAGGGGAAAATATAAGAATTCTATCCTTCTAAACCTATGGGTAAAAATAACGCATGTTTCATTTCTTATCTAAATGACATTAATTTAGACTGAGTCCCCATCCCATAGTGCTGGAGAAAATTTAGCCTTAGCCATTTTAAAAGTGCCCATCCTCTAGTGAAGGCAAAGCACTTGGGCCACATCCAAAGCCAACATACTGGGGAAGCCCTCTCTTCATCTGTCATCCATTCTCTATACTGTCTGGGTTTCATGAATATTATTATCCCAGTTGATACATTCCCTTCAGGTCTGATAGCAATGAATTTATCATGCCACACTACTAGGGCTCTTCTCCCTGAAGCTTTGCTGTCTCCTTGACAAGTTGCTAGGAAGTAAAATTCTGGAGTCAGCCAGACCTGGGTTTGACCCTTCGCTCTGCTGCTTATTAGTGGCCAGACCTTGTGCAAGTGGCTTAATCATTCTGAGCCTCAATTTCTTCAGCTCTAATATAGATAATAAAGAAAATTACCAGACTGACTGAGCCCTGAATAAGATAATGTTGTGACACTAAAATAAGATAATGTATACAAATGACCTAACATGCCATCAAGCACATTGATATGAATTTTAGCTATTTGGTAGCGCCATGTATATTTGCTGACAAATACTCTCTCCTTGATCAGACCTTAGTCAGACTCCTCCAAGCCCTCTTCTCAACTACGTTTCAATCTTGGGCTTTACTGTGCATCCTTATCTGGCCTTCATTGCCCAATTTCAGTAAGAATTCTGCCAAGTCAGTTTAGAGAGAATTCCCCACTTCTGATATGTGATCCTCTCAATATCTAATGAAATTCCACATCCCTTACCCTCAATATCTGATCACCCTGACCTGCCTTCAGCAAATATTCCACCCTCATCTCCCATGTTCCCTCTTAATCATTTTCCATCCACCACTTCTACCACTACCACAAACTTGCTCCTTTGTTATTTATCCCCACTTTTCCTTGTTGAATTTGGAATTGAGCCCAATTCTATATTGAGATATCTCTTCCTCTACTGCAATAACTCCTGAATAAAATATATTTTTACTGTTTTAACTACTATGCAGCTCCTGCTTTTCTTAACATTTTCAGCATTAGTTCTTAGAAGATATTGACATAGATCATTACAAAATAAGTAAAAACACAAAGCTTGCTACAAAACTTTATTTTACAATGAGTAATTTTCTTCATCATGAGCATATAGCATCTTTATATGGCCTGTAATGTAAAACTAATGAGGAATTATAATGGGATAACTGGAGTAGAGATATTGTCTATTCTCACAAAGATTTTATAATGTAAGCAGAGGCAAACATACATACACTAAAAAATTGTGTGTGGATGTGCATTTTAAATATCGTATATAAAGTGCTAACAGGATATTCTTGTAGGAATTTCAAGCATAACGTTCAAAATGGTAATATGATCTCAGATTAGAGCTCAGACATAAAAGCAATAATTGAAGTCCATAGAGCAAGAAAATAAAGGTTTTCCTCATTTTTCAGACTGTGAGCTTGGTAAACATTCACAAGACAGATTTCAGAAGAACAAATAGAATTAGCAAAGTAGGTAATGAGTGGTCACAAATATAGAAGGGCAACACAGACAATAAAAGGGGTAAGAATACAGTTTAATCAAGTATTAAACACATCATAGAGGTCACATATAATAAATACAGAAAGAAAAAGCAACTGCGGATTTGGGGTTGAGTTGCTTAGAGAGCCAAGACTCCTTTTTCCTTCAGTGTTGTTAGCTCCAGGCTGATAAATGGGTTAATTTTATGGACTGAGTTCCTACTTAGGCTAATAAAATATGGCAATAATAATGAGACAATAGTAGTAGCTTATCTGCTCCCCAAAGCCCTCAGAGACAATGTTTCATGGAGTAAGTGAAACTAGAGATTCAAAGGTCTCATTCTCTTTCAGAAATTCAAATCTCCTAACCTAGATTCAATGAACATGCTTCTAAGAAGCTACTCCATTTTGGAAGAACAACAGATATTATCACCACTGAAAGAAAAGATCGTTTGGATTTGACCGAACGTTCTGTGTCTCAATACCCATCATAAGGGGAAGAAGATTCTACTACAGCTACAAAATTCAGCCTTTGGGGTGCTGCTTTGTTGGAGGTTATACCAAGATACTCACTCATTTCCTGGAAGGATCCCTAAATACAGAAAGCTAGACGGCTTTTAAGTTTTTCTAAACTCGGTAGATTAAACAGCCACTCAACTGATTCTTTGGAGCAGCTATTATGGAAATTAAAATGCCCTTTTAAAAACCAGATAAGTCCCTACTAGAGCTACGTTTCATCCCCTATGCCATCTTGCTTCTCTATGCATACACACACACACACACACACACAAAAGAAGCTTATGGATAATGTTCATTGCACTGGGAATATCCAAAGCAATGAATGGCTTTTAGAGTTGATTAAATGCTAAAGTGAAGCTTTTTGATAACCATGAGAGCTGACTATTGTAAGTGTACTCCAGTGTCATGAATATTACTGCTAATACATGATAAGATTTTTAAGGACATAATAAAGTGTAATAAAGAATAGATCACTTTCTTCCCTTTTGAGGTCTGGAAAGAGCTATCTTCTTTTCCTTGGGCCTTTACGATTGATGGCAAAAGGGAAGTCCTTTTAAAGTGAGTGACTTGGTCAGGGAGGTTACATAATGAGATTAATAGCTTAAAGGAATGGACTGTGTAACAGGCCGTGATGAGATTAAAGATATTTTAATATCAAAAAGGGCTTTGTGGCTTGTTAAAGAGAATACAATTTAGCATTTGAGTGCTGAGACTGACAGAAACTTTTGTTGATTAATAAGAATGTATGCCTCTTGCTGTACATTACTTAGCCGGGGAAATTGTGAGAACAGTACTTTATAGTACTGACAGTGCACTAAAATAAAAATGCAATAACTAGAAGGTGGAGTTATTAGAGTGAAATGAACTATTGCACTTTGAACAAATGTTTCAAATTATATTTCAGTTATTTGGTTCTTTAAAAATTCAACTGCATTTATTAAAAAGTTAATTCTATATATTTAAACAAATATGTATTGAAAGATATTGGGTTTACAATAGCAATGGGTTATTTTTAAAAATTGGGTAATAAGCTACTATATAATCAAAAATAAATTGTGAATGTTTTCCTTTCTTTATATAGATATAAACTTCCTGTGTCATATTTATATTGGCAATATTGATAATCATTATCTATGTCTACCAAACACTATTCAAGCATTGTATTTATATTTTATATATCCTATATTATATATTATACACACACATACACACATATATATGTATTTTACATATTTTTAAACATATATATATAATGTATATTTGTAAAGGACTGATAATTTAATTGAGAAGAAGACACTATTTACAAAAGGTTACGGTAGTATTTGGTAAGTTTTTATTAGTCCAGCATTTGTTCTTCTTCTTTAATAACTTTCTTTTCTACTGGAAGTGACATGTTCTTTATTTGTATTGTTGAAGGTGACCAGGAGAGCCTGATATCTCTGTTCTATACTCCAGAGGAGCTCAGGCAAAGATTCCCTCCCAGAATTTTTGAAGTTGACCTAGCCAAAATAGGACAAGCAAGTACCCTTCAAAGTATTTATTATAGCTCAGCAGCAGCAGCAGCAGCAGTCGTGGGAAAGGCCCAATTAACTTCAGGATATTTGTTGAGCTCCCTGCTGTCTGAGTCTTCTTCCCATCAGAGCCCCTTTGATTCCTGCTCATCCCCCAAGATTTGTCTCCCAGGTGGCTGCCAATTATGTAAGAGTCCATAATATTCTTTCATTAAATTTCCCCTTGCTAAGATGAGCTCAACAAAAAGGATCTCAAACCAAGGTAAACACAAACATGATTACATCACTGAAGGTAAAGCTCTTTATAATATTGTTTATGTTTTATTTTTCTTATATTGATAAAATGGATAGCAGGGACTGTTTTTGGCAGTAGCGGTGATATTGAAGATAATAATCTACATATATTGAAGTTGCATTAATATATCATATTTCATAATAATCGTAAGAGGCCAATAATAATTTTATCCTCTTTTTAGAAAGAGAAAAACTGTGATATGAAATTTACTGTTGTATTTAAATTTCAGGGAGGGGACCCATTACTAAGAACTGAAGCTTTCAGAAAACTGTAAATCTTTACAGAAAAATGAAGGGAAAAAAGATGTGGTAGACTAGGAAAGGTGCAGAGTATTCATAAAATATTAAAAGAACCAGGTTTCTGGAGCACAAGTCATGTAGAGTAGTTGGATATGTCCTTGGGAGTTAGACAGATGAGAAAACTTAATTGACAAAAAATGAGTTAAATTATTACAATGAAGACATATAGATCTGGCCTAACTCTTCAGAAAGATCACTACAAAGAATGCATTCTACTAGAAGTTATTTAGAAAACAGTGACATCAGAGGAGACGAGAAAGTAACTGAAGTTTCTCATCAATCAACAAATTAACATGTTCCCACAGTTATGATTTAAGCTATAGTTTCTCTCTGCCCAGAACCCCGTATCACTAGGTGGATGTAAATACTCAGGCATGTTAGACATAACCTGCCCAAGGGAGGTTTCCTATTTACCTCACTTTGATTCCCACCAAGTCTTCTCTCTTTCCCAATACTCCCCACTCTCAACAAGAAGAGCAACCATCCATTTGGTTGCTTAAAAAAATAATACTTTAAGTTCGTCTTTTTCTATACCAGCCAGCAGAAAGCTCTGTGGACTTTGCCATCTGAGATGTATGCAGATCATACCACTTCTCCCCATCACAAATTTTTCCACCCCACATGATCTCTTTGAGTAAACTGCTGCCACAGGTCTCAAAGTGAACTAATCTCCTGATTCCATTCTTGCCCTATCTGACCCATTCCCATGCAACAGCAAGAGCAACATTGCCATAATCATGTGAATCGGGTCATGGCAATCCCGTTTAAAATCCCCCAACAACTTCCTGTTGCATTTAGAATAAAATACAACCTTTTCATCAGGTTCAGGAAGACCTTTCTGATTTGGCCTCTGCATACATTGCCAATGTCACTTGATACCACCTCTCCTTTTCTATTCTGCTCCTGCTGCATTGGCTGTCCTTCAGTTCCTAGAGCACGGTGAGCTCATTCCCCTTTTAGGATTTTTCTCCTTTAGTTATAAGAGGATGGCATAGTTTTGAGATTCACAGCTCAGCCTCGAAATCGTATTCTCACAGGCATCTACTCTGTACCTTACAGCAGAGCAGCTGCTCACTAGCATAACAACACAATTAAATCTCTCCATAAGACATATCCCTATCTGATATTGTGGGTGTTTATTGTTTTTTGTTATCTAAGTCATCTTTCAAGATATTAGCTTCATTAAAATAATCCCCTGGTTTATCCTGTTTACCCTTATATATATCAGTACCTAGTATATTTCCTGACACATGGTTGGTGCTCAGTGAATATCTGTCAAGTCAATGAATAAATGAAGGAAGAAAGAAAAAACTAATATTTATTAAGTGCCAGGAATAGTCAAGTAAGCTAAATAACTCTGAGTGGCAAAGTACAAGACAACCTCTATACCCATATTGTTAGAGATTATCTGAGATACGTCAGTGCTCTTTTAATATTAATAATAAAAAATTATTATCCATATTTAAGATTGTTACCTAAAGCTTTTTAACTCTTTTCTGAAAACCAATAAGACCCTTTTATTTTTCAGACACATATAAGCTTTATACAGTAGGTGGGGTATAAGTAAGCTATCCAGTTGGCAGAGGAAAGTACTATTCCCTCTTTCTCATCAACAAACTGGGGTGTTTTGCACACAAAGCAAAACAACTTTCTCAAAGGACCACACTGCTTAATAGCGGAAGGGAATGTATGGAGTTGCTGCAGGAGGTTAAAAAATGTGGCCCAAAAAGTGTTTGGTTTTTGATCTTTCTCTACAGATAATGTAGGAAGCTGAATGCCAGGAGTGTGAGGGCAAAGACAAAAAATAGAGTTTTGCTGTCTGATCCCTGGCCCTGAAGACAGGTTTCTAGGTTCTGAAACAATGGCCCAAACACTGACTGTAAATGTGCAAGCTTCTGCAGCTGGTATATAACACCTTATTGCTGCTTCATGCAGACAGTGGGTCTTAGATTTACTATTATTGCATTCTTTAGCTTTTACGTTTTTATCCTTTAGCTTTTTTCTTCTTTGCATTCAATATTTTTTTATTTCCATTTTATTATCTTGGTTACTTTTGCCATTATGTTTTTTTTTAATCTCTTAGTCATTCTGTGTTTTTTTAATAACATTTTATTGCCTTAACTGTTCTGCCATATCTTAAAACTTCTTAGCCTGCTTTGTCTTTTCTCAGTAACTTATTTTTCCATTTATCTTTTTTTCCTTATACTTAGCTTTGCAAAAATCATTTACCTAATTTTTTCCCTAAAACTTTCACCAGTATAAGTTTTATCTTGTGGTGTTTACTTATACTTTTAGCTCTTTTCCTGTTTCTCATTCTTAATAAATTTGTCTTTTTTTACAATTTGTACTATTTTTATTCTCTTAAAAAATGTATTTTGTCAAATTTTCTTAATTTGTGTCTATGTATTTTAATTGGATTTCTTTTAATTACTCTTAAATATATTTAAATGTGAGCAGAAGTTGCCCATATGCCATTCAATTAAGGAAACTCTCTGCTCTAGGCAAGGTCAATCAGTCATTTTTCACTTTTCATTTACCCTTTAATGGGTCCTCCTGGCCCCTGTGAAACTGAACCTTCATTTACAACACTGAACATGTGATTCTAAATCATCATATTGAATAACAATAAGGCAGAATTTTGCAAATTTCATTGCCAATATTAACACTAATACCTTGGAATAACGTATCCACATTTGAAACAAGTTCTTTCTCCCTCAGAATGACCTGGGGAATGAGAAGGGAGGGATTGATTATTAACAATGCAATGTACTGGGCCTCACTCCATAATACCATACTAGAATATTGGGAATGTAAGCCTTGAACTTGCCTTTAACATTTCATTTAACAAGCTACCCTGGTTGATTTTTTTTTAATTACACTGAACTTTGACAACCAGTGTCCTGAATCGTTCAACCCCTTTATGTAAAAATGTCAATATAAAACCTATCATTTCTATCCTAAATAACCACTGGACACCAGGCAAATCATTAAAACAGAATAAGAACATATTTAATAAATCACTCTCCAGATTGAATGGTATTATTAAACAATTAATTAGTTCTTTTAAGGTTCTAGTACTGTGACTGAAAAGAAGAATGAGGATCTGTAGCTGTTGTCCTGGAGCCTGCTTTATTACAAACTGTACCACTATTACTTAACTGGTTCACTTTAGTTCCAGAAAGTGTCATGTCCATGGTACTCCCTCTGTAGGTTTGCAGTTATACATAACATTATCAGTATCACTATAGCGAAGTTAAACTTACATCACGAGGTTGTGCTCGCTCATATATTGCCTCCTGATATAGACTGTGGTCTGCTCCAGGGCAACTTTTATGTTTATGTTCTTATGATTCTGGTACTAGTAACAGTATCTGGCATTGAGTAGATGCTCAAAGAAAATTTTTTTGAATAAATAATTTTTTATTTAAACAGAAATGTGTTTTCCCATACTCTCCAATATGATGGAGATAGTAAATATTAGTTTGTATTCTTTCTTCAAATGTAAAACCTGTTTACATATGGAGCCTCTGACTGATACTCTTCTGGCCTTTACATAACGATTAGGTATCTAAAATAAATAGTTCTGGAGAATCAACAACAGAATCAGAAATGGCAAGATGGAAACTCTATTTAAAGATAATCTACATAGAGTGAGGGATAATTTTATCCCATTCTATAGATAATTCCTGTGATCATTTAAATTTTTGCTTAATAAGTATTTACACTCCTCTGTAGATGGTGTATATTTCCCCATCCCATGTTGTTAGGCCAGACTATGTAACTGGTTTAAACCAATGAATTTTTAGTGGACATGACACAAGTAGAAGCTTTAAATACATGTGTGTGGTTTTGTTCACTCTATTCCAGTGCCTTGCCTTGAAAATAACATGCCCAAGGTAGCTACTGTGCCTCTGGGTCACAGAACGAGCAAACATAGATGAGACCTGAATTGAACCACAGCCTGGATCCAAGTGTAACCAATACACAACCTGAAGCAGAACTGTCCAGGCAAGCCCTATCGACATCGGCTGAACCACTGTCACTCCACAGACTTTGTGGCAATGAAAACACATTCTGGTTTCAAAGACTGAGTTTTGGGGTGATTTTCTTATGTAACAAGTCGTGGCACCAGGTTTTTATATGCCTTTTTGGGGGTGAATTCACTGAATACAAAAAGAAACATTTTGAAAAACTTATTTAGAGTTATGATATAGTGTTAGAAGATATTAATCTGTTTTCTCACTTAAGTCCAACGTATTTTCAACCATGGACAATAATCCACTTTTCTTCTATTACTGTCACCTTTCATATCTATTCATAACCCTTTTGTGGTCTAGTGGAATTATTAATCAGGCTGTGGAAATAAAAAAAGAGGTTAAGAGTATTCAATCAATGCTACTTAAATTTTAGCTTGTCTCTGTGTATTAATCCAGATTGCTATACTCAGCAAAATTCACTTTTGTTTTCCTGCATGAATTCTTTCCACAGGGAACTTTCCTCTATTGATATTAAAACAGTACTTTTAGAAAGTACTGTATGTTTAGCAGTTAGTCATATCCTCTTTTAGATCATCTTTTAGATATACCATTGGTACACATTTTGCTTCTCTAACAACACGGTCAAATTTTGAGGTCATCCTTTAATTTATGTCCTTCTACAATCCCTACAATAAACCTAAACACAAAATAGGCATTTCATAAACAGAATGACCGTATACCACGGTTTTCCTGGGACATTCTCATTTATGGCTTTTGTTCCAGAATACTATTAACAGCCTTGTTAATTCTTAAAATGTCCCAGCTTGGACAGTAAATTATTTGGTCAATCCATTAATAAATCACTGCCAAATGACAAAAATGACCCTTAGAAAAAGTTATGTATATACTATCTACCATCCCAACAGAATTAAATTTGTAGATGTAAACCAACAAGTGTTAATATCAACGTATCATTTTGTCATGAATTCTAATATTCGGCCTAATAATGTAAGAAAAGTGGTGGCTAAACATCCATTTGCCTTCTGCCTTTTAAAGGACAGAGTCTGATCTGATATTCATGTCTGGTTTTTCTTATAATGTGATATGCTGATATTCTGAATCTTTGTTTGTATAGCAGGGACTCACAGCATATTTCAAGTCTATTTATACTTTATTTATATTTCAAAGACATCAGCCCAAGTACAGTGAGTTCAGCACAGTATACAAAATAAAATGCTTGTGGTTAAGCATTTATCAATGCCTTTGGAGTCAAAGAAGTCAATGAAAAGTGCTGTAAGCAGAGATGTATTAAAACCTGAAGAAAAGCATAGTAATAAAATGTAAATTTTTATTTTTCTTTCCCTATGGTTTATAGTACTTATATTTTTCATGGATTTAGGACTATGAGTTTTAATACACCATTGGGTATAGTGAGCACAGACTTTGAAATCATGAAGATCTGAGTTTAAAACCATGTGAGCTATTTGCCGACTAGATAACCTTGAAAATCTCTGGCAATGACAGCCTTTTTATTTGTATCATGGAGAAGGTATGTCCACTTCATTAGACTATTGCAAATAGTTAATGGAAAAAATAGAAAACACAGTGATTGACACAAGTGATTGTTCAAAAATTAGCATTTTTCTCAATGACTAACCCTTATTCCTAACATCTAAGAATTATTGGAAGCCTGAAGGTTTATTTTAGGAGTTTCTCTGTTACTGCTTTCACTCCGGATTTCGCATTTCCAAAGGGCTGTTGCTCTGTTGGTGCTATAAGTTTGGGGTTTTTTTTGCTTCTATTTGTATATTCATTGGGAAAAAATTCACTGGTCTGAACTCTTTAATGGCTTAAGAAGTCTGTGTTGATAAATGCGAAATGCAGCAAGGGTGGAACTGAAAGTCCTATGTTAAGGCTAGCTCCTGCCCAGAGTGCACATCATATCTTGCTTTTGTGTGCTGCTGTTCCTACTGCTGCTGAAGGGAACTATAACTATAGATCAGGATAGTCTATGACAGACTGTCTGAGGGAACTGAGTGCTGAGCTCATACTTATATAACTTAATGCATTCAACGAAACCTGGAAAAATCACAACAGGACAGCTGCATACATGACAAACAAACACACATGCTGTGCTGACTCCTCCACCAGGACCCCGGGCCTCTTCAGTATGTTTTGACAGATCAATTTGAGGCCTCTTATAAAACAATTCTCCCCATCAAGCTAAAAGCAAATGACCAAGATCTTTAAGATTTTGAAGGAAGACAGGCATGCCTTCATTCCTTATTTCTTAGTCCTATGAGGAATGTGATAAATAAGCAATTGCTGTCATAATGTTTAAGCAGTAGTTTGTTCTTTCTGCAATCTTTGAAGGGCTTTTGTTTAAAACCATTGAAGGAATGCTTCCACATGCAATGAAAATGCAGTAAGAAATCTATGAATTATACCAGCCCACAGACAAATTTTTATCTCTGTAAGAATTATTTTTATGTGAAATAATTGTAGCATAAATATATCTACTCAGGGTTTACAAAAATATCCAGCTAATTTAATATATAACTTAATCTTTCCCTAGCTTTGAGTCGCTTACTCTGGATTTGTAGCAATGGTGAGACTTGTGGAAATCCAACATTAATTGGACTGCACTCGAAATGTGTGAGTTTCAAAATTCAGCAATGTGCTAGAACTAGAAAATAGTGATAAACTATCCCCCAAAAAAGATATAGAAGACATCTTTCATCACAAAATATCTAAATGAAAAGGAAATAATTATTTTCAAACTTTAAATCAAATGTTCTTCCAGGTCAAATAAAATATGTTGGATTTTTTTTTAGATGAAGCTTAGGTTTATGAATAGATCTAAAATATTTTTAAGAAGCACAGCTTAGACTCATACAGTTATTGAATACTTAAATTTCTTCATAAATCTTAAGGACATCAGTTGTCAGAATGTCTGTGCTAGTCTATGGGTTTTCAGTTTTTGTTCCCTTTAATAGCTTAGAAAGGAAGATACGAACTATGAGAATTGTTAAAGCAACAAAAAAGTCTCTCTGTGTTTTCTTTTGAGGGGAAAGGTAATTTGTTAAGAAACCTCCTTGACAGGATGATGGAACATACTTCTTTTGTTTTTTTCCCACTGTGTAGAGCCATGAGAATCAAATGAAAGCTAGGCTTACTGTAACACATTGACTGACAATTAGATTTAAAAACCCCAGGAAATAGGATCTCATAATGGTACCTAATGGGATTCTGAAATAAAGTCTACTGCTCTCAGGTATCATCAGGTAGTGAAATTAAAAGAAAAGCACAGAAACTCAATTATTGCTAGAATCGGCTCGTTAAGTTGGTTGCTGTCACAACTAGAAGATTCTTTAACTCCATGGCAATACTGCATATTTTTGGTTTCTTGTACCATTAGAGGTTATTATGCCTCATAAAGTTAATAAATGTGAATCAAATTCTTTTCACGTCAAAATCTTTTGAGGCTTATTTTATATATATCCTTCTCACAAAGCAGAGTAATTTTATTAATATATCAAGCTAACAGAATTTGATGCAGCAGTAAATATCTGGAATGTGATGGCTTAATTATACTACTATTATTAGAACATCATATTTTTAAGTATTCCAGTAATGCCCCTTTTTATAAATTTCATCCCAATTGCATCTAATGAGACAATACTCAGATATTGATAAAAGAGTACAGAAAAGTAATCACTGTGAGTGAAACGTAGACATTCAATAACAAAAATGTAAACGTAAATAATAAAAACTATGGCTTATTTTACTATTAAATCTAATGCTATGAGATCAAAAAATAATGTTTGACTTTTGGTGTTTGATTAAAAACTTTCCCTTAGCATTTCATTTCTGAATTTTCCCATAGTCCATTATTAACGATGATCCAAAAACTAATTAGAGGAATAAAAAATGTATTATTTGGAATGTGAATCCAGCCACTAGAGATAAAAACGTTAGCAGCTCATTACTCTAAAGTCTTTTCAAATATATTTTTAAGTGAAAGTAACTTTATTAATCATAATATCCTAATAATCATTTTATACATACATACACACACACACACACACACACACACACACACACATATACACAGAGACGGAGCGAGAGAGATGGAGAAAGACACACAGAGAGTTTTTCTTTTGAAGTTGTAAAAATATAATGTCAAAAGAAAAGCTGATTCTTTCTACAAAGGAAAGAAGGCAAGACTGATTATTGATAAACATAAAAGGACATGTCCGTTGGGACCCCTGTAGTAGCGTTTCATTCCTTATGTCTGTCTGTGCTTGGTTTGTTCCTCAGTAGTAGCTGAATTTCCTTTAGTTGCAGAAAGAGCTACATTGGACAAACTCCCTCAAAAGACGTACTCATTCTTTTTCACAGAAGCAAGTGAATGTAAATAGAGAGGATAAGAAAAAACTCAGTGGATTTAGGAGAATCAAGTTGCACCCATGACACATGCCCTAACTTTAAAATATAGATCATTTGAGCCTATTTAATTTCAAGTTATTATTAATTCTTTATTCAAGAGACCAAAACTTAATGAGATTTTACTGAATTCTGGGAAGCAGAGAATTCAAAAAGATATGTTTTTTCCAGACATGAGAATAGAAAATCAAAAGAATTAATTGAGACAATTTGGTTTTATTATTAAAAGTCAGAAATGCTAAGCACAGAAAAAGAATGACAAAGAATAGCATAAAATTAAGAATGTTAGTATTTATGTAAAGAATTTTGTCATTTTCAAAATACTACGTGGTTATATCAAATGGAAGTACAAAAAATTTTAAACATGTTAAATTTTAGTCACAGCCAAACATTTTTTATTCTAGCAGAAAAAAAAGGCATAACAAAGCAAACAGCACAAAACAAAGGGATTAGCAGTACAATTAAACTCTGCCGGTTGGATTCTACCATCATCATATTGATAATAAAAAGCAATAAAGACTACTTTACGAGTATTAATTAAAGAGAGACTCGAGAGCAAGAGAAAGGGGAGAAAAAAAGTTCATAAAAAAGCTGCAATCAAAAAAAGCTTTTTATTTCAGGTTGGATGGTGAAGATACTAAAGGCAGTAGAGTGTGATGGTTATTCACAAGAACTTTGGAGTCAGACAGACCTGAGTTTGGGCGGTGCCTTTGCTACTTACAGTTTAAGCGGTCACTGAAAATCTCATTTTCTTCATTTGTAAAATAAAGTTAATAGCAATACTTCTTTTATACAGTTGTTTTGACGATAAAATTAAATAGTGCTTGGCACATAGCGTATGCTAAATAAATTATAGCTATAGCTATTAATAAGTCACAGGGACACAGAAAGTGAAAATTACATGGCTCCTGCTTGAGACTGTGTGGTTTCTGTGATCTTCCCTATGATGCTCAGTTTCTCAGCTGAGAAACTGAGTGAAGGCTGAAATCACCAAGATTTGCTTACACAGTTATCACACTCTGAGCCCTGGAGCAGCACTGTGTGCCTGCACAAAGGCACCTTCAGCAATTCAAAGTGGTAAGCTGCATCTGCCTAGGTAGGTAGAGTTCTAATTCACACAAAGGTTCCATACTGTCTCAGTCCTGATCACCAGCCGTCCTTCCCAATTGCAGCGTTGATTATAGCAATGTTTCTTAACCTGGTAAACATTTCTGCATCTTAAGTCAAAGAAGTTGCCCTATCTCTGATTTATAAATTACCATGGGTTTCCATGTACTATTTTTATTTACTAGCACACAGCTGAGACTTTAGTTTCCTCTTAAATCATTTAGTTTTGTAGTTCTCAATCCAACACTTACCTGATCACCTGCTCTTGTATAGCAGCAACTGACTGCAGTTAGTTTTTAGTATCTCACTCTTTATGGATGAAATAAAATCTGGGTTAATCACAGAGCAGGAGTGGAGTGATAAGAAGGTATTAGGAAGTTTGGAAATTTTGTTCCAAGAAATCATTTTATTTCATAGCCAATGGGGGTCTATTATTTGTGTCAAACATGGCAAAAGGTCTCAGATTTTAACCCAAATTGCATGTTACAAAGTTGACCTGCCATAGTTTCATGGATACTGGTCAAAAAAACAAGATTCCTAGGGCAGAGATAAAACATGCAATTTATTACATCAATAGCAGTAACAAGGTTAACAGCATTTTTGTGTTGGTTCCTGGAGCCCCAGTTCTCACAGGGAGGTGTAAAGATGGACAGATGTTTACCTGCACATACAGTAGATCTTATTACAGGAGAAGAATACTAAGCATAGGGAACCCAGATGTTTTATAATGAGCAGTAAGAATTCCTAACCTCCTTTTGCACCATAGGAAGATACTGTCTCTGTCATCTAAGGATTTAATTTGTACAAACATTCTTGAAAAGATAGTTCAGAATAAAGGACCATAAATGCCTCTACTCGCCAGATATGCAGAAACAGGAGATACCCATGGATAATTATCTCTCAATGATGTAGAAGACTTTGGAAGACTTCCCCAAGGGAAATATCACTATTATTCATTAGATATAGAGCTTATTTATATAAACCTGAGGAGTTAAAATGTGATTGTAATAAGGGATTGACAATCTTTCTAAAAATAAGTTCAGAGTGTTTATATATCCTTTCAGAGAAAAGAAGCATTAAATAAACTTGTTCTAAAGATGAGAAGTAACCTGAAATTTTAAGCAAGCCCAACTCTTCGCATCCCCTTTTTATCCTCTGCTTCTTTACGCAGATAAAAAATAAACAAACATTTTGCATATAACTTTTGGCACAGATATTGTGGGCTGATTTCCTTTTGATTATTCTTTTTTAAAATAATCATTTTTAAAACAACTTCAAAATAGCTAGAGATATTGCCTTTAAAACTAATAGCAAAAATATTATATTTTAAAATAAAGAGAAAATCAAAACCAATACTTTTTAACTTAATCTCCACAGTTAAAACATAACCAAAAATCGATAAGATAAATGAGATAATTAAAGTTGAAGTTAATTAAAATTGAATGATTTTCACGAATATATAGAACAAAAAGCAAAAAGCAAAGAGAAAATAAATTCTATAATAAGAAGTAGAGAAATAAGATTAATGATGCTGTAACACACTTGAGATATTGATTTTTTCCCTTTATCAGACTTCAACAGAAAAAAAATGGAGAAAAGAAATGTAAACAGTCAAGAGACAATGAAGAATGCAAAAAAACAAAAACAAAAACAAAAACAAAAAAAAGTCCCAGCCCTTTTCCTTGCTGAGCAGGTATGAGAAATTTCGAAAATCATTTATAAGTGAGCAGACTTACTGTACTTCAATCCATGAACACTGAAGAATGTTGAGCATAATTAATGAACTACCGTCTTTTAAATAATCATGAAGAAGTTAATAGACACCAATGATTAGGAGGGATAAGTAATATGCAGTAAAGAACTTTTAAAAGGGAGGTGAATAATTGACAGGTCAAGTAGATTTTTCTCTGGTGTGTAACTGACAAAAAGGAAAGAAGTGTTTGATGACAAATAAATAACCTGGAGAAAGTGAGCACTCAAGAGTTTGAAATAAGACAAAATTAAAAATAAGTCATTTTAAATATAACTAATTAATACTGAAATAGATAGGATGTACTTTAAATTGTAGGTAAATAGATATTGAAGGAGAGGACACGTAACCAAAGACAAATTTTTAAAATGACATAAATGACACAAAATTGTACAATAGTATGAGGAAAGTTAAGTCTACCAGGAAAAAAGCTTTTGATATAGAAAGAAAGCAACCAAAATAATCCTCATTTAGCTCAACAAACCTGACAGAACATCAAATGTGACTGAGCAAACCGCTGGAGCTGGCTTGCACTGCCTGGGAGGGCCAATTGTTAAACATCAGATAATTTGGAAAGACGAGTGTTAAAATGTTGGGGGTTTCATTTCCGCCACAGTGAGACCATTTACAACATGAAAAATCAGCAAATGATACAAGTCAGGATCATTTTTTTTTTTTCTTTCTTACAAGACACCATTGCAGCTGCTACAAGAGAGGACTTATTTTGGACAGATTCTGAAGTATTAACCAACAACAAATTCAAGGCTAAACTTACCACATCTTTTGGCTTTTGTCTTCTCTATTTAAAAACAAGTTTTAGAATTGAAATGGATTAACAATATTTTGTTAAATAGAGAATTACAGACTAAGATAATAAAGCTTAATGTAAAGGAATTTTAAAACATTTTTTTTCTTGATTATATAAGCAATGCATTCTCAGTGTAGTGAATACAAAACAAAAAGTTATAACAGAGATAAACGTTGTTAATATTTTAATGTATTATATTGGTCTTGAAAAATTTACACACACACATTTATGTATATATATTGTTTTCCAACCTGCTTTTTATAATATTATACTTTAGCTGCATAGAATTGTATTGAGATTTTAACCATTCCTCTATGGTAGGTTATTTATAATATTTTATATATTTAGTTATAATTATAAATAAAACTCCAATGAGCATCTTTGAACATTTATCACTGCATTCCTGCTTATTACCATAAGATAGATTTCCAGAAGAGGAATTACTGTGACTAAGGGAATGAACATTATTGTTAAGTATCTTCCATATATTAAACCACTGCTTTGCAGAAAGTTGGTTTGAATGTTTACTTCCTTCATCAGTGTACATGAATGCTCATATCCCCACAGCTGTCTAGCATGGATTATTATCATTTTTAGGAAATGGGGTCAAGGAGTCAGCATTTATAAAGGTTTTCCGAGACTGAGGCCAGGAATACTCTACCACTAAAAGTTGTCTGTCCCTGGGAGTAATACATCATGTAACCAGGTCTCAAACTGTCTGAAGACCATTAGAAAATAATAAGTTGGAAATTCCTCCCAGATGCTCCAGATGAGCCAGAGATCTCTTCTCTTCAATGGCATTTATATTTTTAGTCCAATTTGTCTCTAGCTGATGCAGCTTGTCTAGACTCTGCACTGCAGTTAATCTCAAACTCAGCGTGAACTTAACAAATGTTTGGCAGTAGGTATAGTGGCGGTGTTATCTATCTTTTACAGGTAATTAAAGAGGTCATGTTTACTGATCAGCCCAGGTATTTCCTGTTTCTTACCTTTATATTGTCATCTGCAAGTTGAGATTTGACCAGATTCCAGTACTTGCTGAACTCTCACAGCTGGAAAAATTGGTATCTTGTTTTAATTTGCACTTATTATTATTAAAATTAAGCTTAAACATAATGAGTGAATTTAATTAATAGCTATGTGTGTTTACTCTTCTTGGAGTTGCCTATTAACAACTTTTTCCTATTTTTCTTCCTGGGGAAAGGGGAAAATTAAGTATAACTCTCACTTGGTATATAATTAGTCAAGTCCTGCAGATTTTGCTTTTTTATTACTCTCAGATTTGTCTCTACTTCTCCTTCTCCACTGTAACTTGCTCCATCATCTGTCTCAGACTGCAGACTGCTTGCAAGACTGTTGCCCATGGCTCCAAGAGTCATTGTTCTAAAATACTTTTTAAAAAAGAAAATACTAATCATGTCATTCTGATCTGGTTTCTATTTTCCCCTAGGCCCATCCATGAGTTTTATGCTACAAAATTTTTAAACCCTGTTCAGTTCTGCAATGGCCAAGTTTCTCTTCTGCTCTGCACCTTTCTTTCTTTTTAAAGTATACAGAACCAAACATGATACTACAGTGAATATTACCGAAAAAAAAAACAAAATGAAATATTCATCTACTTCCCACTTCTATTTGATTATTTATTCCTACTGATTCACACTGATTTATATTGACCTTTTAATAAACTAAACCCTTACCTATTTTTTACAGAAGTTACTGTGATTTTTTTTTTATCCTTTACTTGTATGATTGGCTTTAGGGTCCATTTGCAGAGTATTTGATTCACTACTGTTAAATTTCCCCTTAAAAAACACGGACTGAAAAAAGCAAAAGGACTTGGTACTATATAAAGTAATCAAGAACTAATAGCCAACTAAGACCAAAAGTGTGCTATATTATGATACAAACTATAAATAGGAATGCTATCTCCTAAAACAAAGTTGGTCCATGGACCATGTGTAACTTGACCACAATAAGATAAATAAAGACATTGAGAGCAAGTATTTAGAGTCTTTTGTGATAATTTGGCATTCATATGACATCTAATTCAATATATAATTTTGTGTTACTTAAACCTAATAATAAAAAGTTGTGATTTGTAAAAACTATATATACAACCTGCTGTGATTTATTTTCGGATCTTGGATTTGACATCATTTTAATATGTGTGTCAGTTACAAACTTGGTGAGGATGCCCTCTAAATACTCACCAACTTCATTAATGAACAAAAGAGAAAGAGGGGACCAAGATGTCTGACTAGAAGCCGCTAGTATGTGCCGCTGTCGTGGAGAGGAGAAAGAGTTGTGAGTAAACATCAACTCTTCAACTGGATCTTCCAACTTGACACATTGGGATTCACCAAGGTAGCAATGTGACCCATGGAAAACAGAGTAGAATGAGACAGGACAACCACCTACCCAGGACTGGTGTGGGTCAGGAGTCTTCCCACTGCAGGGAAATGATGAGTGACTGAAAGCCCCCAGGAACCCATACTCTGGCACTCTGCCAAGAACCTTTGCAACCCTGGCCTCAGGAGATCCCCTGTAGTACTCTGGTTGCTTCCAGACTGACGAAGAGAGCTACAAAAAGTCTGGGCAGAGCTACTGTCAGGCACACACTGAATCTGGGGGTCCTTGGACCCCTGGGCATCCTGGCACCAACGGCTGCAGCTCCGGCAATAGATGAGGCCAGGGTCTTTCACACACCCCCAGGATAGAGGCTGAATCCACGGGGCTGAGGAGCAGATGGACTACAGGCAGGCCTCACCTACACTGCACCTCACCAGACAAGGCCCACTGGCCTGGGACCCTAGCCTGGTCATCCCAGGCCTTCCTGAGCTCTCCACCATAGCAGCCCTGTATTTCCTTGGGATGGAGCTCCCAGAGGGAGGAGACAGGCTTGCCAGTTTTGCTGCTTTGCAGCTCCCACCCCTATTGCTCTCAGGCTCGGGAGGGAGCAAAACGATTAATGACTAACATGGGTCCCCAGCACAGAGCAGCTGCCTTACGAGAAAGCAGCCAGACTGTTTTCCACGCAGGTTCACGTCCCCGCCACTTCTCTCTAAACAAGGCCTCCCAGCCCGACAGCCCAGCCACCCACTGCTACCTGGGCTATCTGGCCGGCAGCAGCTCTGCACTTCCCTGGGACTGAGCTCCCAGTGGTGGCAGGTAGGACTGCCATTTTTGCTACTCTGCAGCTTTGCCCCCTACTGCCCTGAGTCTTGGGAGGGAGAAAAGTGATTAAGAACTAAAGTGGGCCCTCAGCAAGCATAGCTACCTTACAGAAAGGCAGCCAGACAGTATTCCATGTATATCCCTGCCCCTGTTAACTTCACTGGGCAGGGCCTCTTGTCCTGGGCCCCCAGCACAACCATCGTGCCACTACCTAAACACTTCAGTTGGTAGAGGCTCTGCATTTCTCTGCAAAGGAAATGCCAGAGAAAACCTACAGCCACTCTCCCATTGCAGTTGCATGGAACCACTCTTACTGCCCATATGCTGGAAAAGGAACAAATGGCCTGGTTGTGTCACCGGCACCTCCAACACACCACAGCAACAATACAGAGAGGAGGCCAGTCTCTCTTCCCTGTGAGACTCCATCCCCTTACTCTTCACCAGGTAGGGCTCCTGGCTCAGGACCACAGAACAGCTGCCCCACCCCCATCTGAGTATTCCCACTGGTAGTAGCTCCGTGCTTCCCTGGGGTGGAGTTTCCAGAGGCAACCAACAAACCCTCTACCACCGCCACTTCAGCAGTTCTTCCCTTGCTATCCTTGAACTGGAGTAGGAAGAAAAGAGCCTGAGGGTTCCACTCAGGCCTCCAGCACACCACAGTTGCATATGGAAAGGAGTCCAGTCTCTCCTCCCTGTGAGCCTTTGACTCCCTGCTCTTCACCAAGGAGGGCCCCTGGCTCAGGCCTGCAGAGCAACCACCACACCCCCTGGTGGAACTTTCTCCCTGGTAGCAGCTCTGCATTTCTCTGGGGTGGAGCTCCCAAAGGCAACTGAAAGCCCCTTGTCATTGCCACTGCACTGAGACTGCCCTTGCTGCCCCCGGACTGGGTAAGGAACAAAGACCCTGAGTGCTTTACTCAGAACACCATCACACTGAAGTCACCCTAAGTAGAAGAGGCCAGCCTTTTTTCCCTGTGAGCCCCCGACTACCCTACTTATCACCAAGCAGGCCATCTCAGCTTGAGCCCACAATGCAGTCACCCCAGCCCAGGCTGATCATTCTGATTGGTAGTGGCTCTGTGTTTCTATGGGGTGGAGCCCCAATAAACAAGTGAAAGGCCCTCTGCCATTGCCACTGCCAAGGTCATGGCCCCTGCAGCCCCCAAAGTGGAGAGGAAACAAAAAGCCTGAGTTCCCCCCAGGGGTGTTGTGTGTAGACCAGGAGTGCCAAGCTGAGATCTGTAGTAAGAACTCCAGTGGGAGAGGAGCCCACACCATCAGACAACTGAGAGGAAGCATGACTGCAATTGTGAGGAAATACTGAAGAACCACATGGCTGAACAAGAGTCTACTTACTGGCCATTACACCTAAGAAGCATCTACTGAATCACAGCCCAAATATCAATACCAAAACTACTTTGCTAATATACCTCCCGAGTGAAACCAAGGGTAATAATTCAGCTACAAATAGAGACCCTGCACAAAGCCTCAGCCTTCTGAAAACATCCAGAAATGAAATCAACTGACTATACTCAAAACACACCACAGTTAAAGGAACATCAGCCCACATAGATGAGAAAGAATCAGCAAAATCTCTGGCAACTCAGAAAACCAGAATGTCTTCTTTTTTCCAAATAACTGAACTGGTTCCCCAACAATGGTTCTTAACCAGGCTGAAATGGCTGGAATGACAAACATAGAATTCAAAATATGAAAAGGAATGAAGGTCATTGAGAGTCTGAAGAAAGTTGAAACCCAATTCAAGGAATCTAAGTACTAAAATAAAATGATATAGGAGCTGAAAGATGAAATAGCCACTTCAAGAAAAATCCAAGCTCATCTGATATAGTTGAAAAACTCAGTGTAAGAATTTCATAGTGCAATGACAAGTATTAAGAGCAAAATTGACCAAGCTGAGGAAAGAATCTCAGAGCTTAAAGACTGGTTTGCCAAACTAAATCAGTCAGACAAAAAATAAAATAAAAGAATAAACAAAACCTCTGAGAAATATGGGATTATATAAAGAGCCCAAATCTAAGACTCACTGGTATCCTTGGAAGACAGGGAGAGAAAATGAGCAACTTGTAAAACATATCTGAGGATATCATTTATGAAAATTTCCCCAACCTTTTTCCAGAGGCCAACATTCAAACCCAGGAAATGAAGCGAACCCCTGCAAGATACTGTACAAGATGACCATCCCCAAGACGCATAGTCATCAGATTCTCCAAGGTTATCATGAAAGAAAAATGTTAAAGACAGCTAGAGAGAAGGGGCAGGTCACCTACAAAGGAAACCCCACCAGGCAACAGCAGACGTTTCAGCAGAAACGGTACAATACAGAAGAGTTTGCAGGCCTATTTCAGTATTCATAAATAAAATACCAACAAAGCATTTTATATCCACCCAAACTAAGCTTAATAAGTGAAGGAGAAATAAGATCCTTTTCAGACAAACAAGTACTAAGGAAACTCATTACCACCAGACCTGCTTTACGAGAGGTTCTTAATGGAGTGTTGAATATGGAAATGAAAGATTGTTACTGGCCACCAAAAAAAAAAAAATAATAATTAGGCGCATAAACTATTGACACTATAAAGTAACCATACAATCAAGTCTGCATAATAACCAGTTAACAACACAATGACAGGATCAATATTAACTGTGAATGTAAACAGGCTAAACGCCCCAATTAAAAGAAACAAAGTGGAAAGCTGGTTTGAGAAATAGGAGCCAACTCTATGCTGTCTTCAAGTGACCCATCTCACGTGCAATGACACCCAGAGTCTCAAAATAAAGAAATGTAGAAAACTCTACCAGGCAGACAGAAAACAAAAAAAACAGGGGTTGCTATTCTAATTTTAGGTAAAACAGACATTAAACCAGCAATGATCAAAAAAGACAAAGAAAGGCATTACATAATAGTAAAGGGTTCAATTCAACAAGATTTAACTATCCTAAATATATATGCACCCAGGAGAATAGGAGCAACCAGATTTATAAAACAAGATTTTAGAGACCAACAAAGAGACTTAGATAACCATACAATTATAGTGGGAGACTTCAACACCCCAGTGACAGTGTTAGACAAATGATTAAAGCTGAAAACTAACAAAGATGTTCAGGAACTGAACTCAATACTTGACCAAATGGACCTAACAAATATCCACAGAACTCTATGGCCCAAAACAGCAGAATATACATTATTCTCATTGCTACGTGGTGCATTTTCTAAAATTGAACACACAATCAACCATAAAACAATTCAAAATCAAAACCATATTGACCACACTCTCTCCTGGATAACAGCACAATAAAAATAGAAATAAATATCAAGATCGTTTATAACCATACAAGTGCATGGAAATTGAACAACCTACTCCTGAATGACTTTGGGGTAAACAATGAAATTGAGTCACTAATCAAGAAATTCATTGAAACTAATGAAAACAAAGATACAACATACCAGACTCTGGGATACAGCCGAGGCAGTGTTAAGAAGAAAGTTGATAGTGCTAAATGCCCACATCAAAAAGTTAGAAAGATTTCAAATTAACAACCTAACATCACCTAGAGGAACTAGAAAACAAGAGCAAACTAACCCCAAAGCTAGTAAAAGACAAGAAATAACCAAAATCTGGCCTGAATTTAAAGAAATCGAGACCACAAAACCCATAGAAAAGATCAACGAAACTAGAAGTTGGTTATTTGAAAAAATAAATAAGATACATGTACTACTAGCTAGACTAACAAAAGAAGACAGAAGATCCAAACACAATCAGAAATGACAAAGGGGACATTAACACTGACCTCACAGAAATACACACACACACACAAATCATCAGAGACTATTATGAACACCTCTATGCATACAAACTAGAAAACACAGAAGAAATGGATACATTTTTGGAAAAATACACCCTGTTAGAACTGAACTAGGAATAAATTCAAACTCTTAGCAGACCAATAACAAGTTCTCAGTTTTAATCAGTAATAAAAACACTACCAACCAGAAAATTTGAGATGAATTCTACCAGATCTATAAAGAAGAACTGATACCATTTCTACTGAAACTATTCCAAAAAATTGAAGAGGAGGGACTCTTCCCTAATTCATTCTATGAGGCCAGCATCATCCTGATACCAAAACCTGTAAAAGACACAACAACAATGAAAACTTTAGGCCAATATTGTTGATTAACATGGATGCAAAAATCCTTGACAATATACTAGCAAACAAAATCCAGTAGCACATCAAAAAGCTAATGCATCACAATCAAGTAGGCTTTATCTCTGGGATGCAAGGTTGGTTCAACATATGCAAATCAATAAGTGTGATTAATCTCATAAGCAAAAACAAAAACCACATTATTATCTCAATAGATATATAAAAGGCTTTTGATAAAATTCAGTATCACCTCATATTAAAAACCGTTACAAACTAAGCATTGAAGAAACATATCTCAAAATAATAAAACCTATCTATGACAAACCCCCAGCCAACATCAAATTGAATGGGTAGAAGCTGGAAGCATTCCCCTTGAGAACCAGAACAAGACAAAGAAGCCCACTCTCACCACTCCTATTCAACATAGTACTAGAAGTCTTAGCCAGAGCAATCACTCAAGAGAAATAAATAAAAGGCACTCAAAGAGAACGAGAAGAAGTCACACTGTCTGCATTTGCAGACAATGTAATTTTTTACCTAGAAAACCGTACAGTATCTGCCCCAAAGCTCCTTGATCTGATAAACAACTTCAGCAAGGTTTGTGCTACAAAATCAATGTGCACAAATCAGTAGCATTTCTATACACCAACCGTGCCCAAACTGAGGGTGCGTACACCGCCAGGGCCCTGGGTTTCAAGCACAAAAGTGGGTGACCATTTGGGCAGACATAGAGATAGCTGAAGGAGTTTTTTTTAATACCGCAGTGGCACTGGAACACCAGCAAGACAGAAACATTCACTCCCCTGGAAAGGGGGCTGACACCAAGGAGACAAGTGGTCTAGCTCAGCAGATCCCACACCCAAGGAGCCCAGCAAGCTAAGATCCACTGGCTTGAAATTCTCGCTGCCAGCACGGTAGTCTGAAGTCAACCTGGGACACTTGAGCTTGGGGGAGGAGGGGCATCCACCATTACTGAGGCTTGAGTAGGTGGTTTTCCCTTCACAATGTAAATAAAGCCACCAAGAAGTTCAAACTGCGTGGAGCCTACCACAGCTTGGCAAAGCCACTGTAGCCAGACTGCCTCTCTAGATATCTCCTCTCTGAGCAGGACATCTTTGAAAGAAACGCAGCAGCTTCAGTCAGTCAGGGGCTTATAGATAAAACTCCCATCTCCCTGGGACAGAGAACGTGGGGGAAGGAGCAGCTGTGCGTGCAGTTTCAGCTGACTTAAACACTCCTGCCTGCTGGCTCTGAAGAGAGCAGCAGATCTTCCAGCACAGCACTCGAGCTCTGCTAAGGGATAGGCTGCCTCCTCAAGTGGGTCACTGATCCCCATGCCTCCTGACTGGGAGACACCTCACAGCAGTGGTCAACACATACCTCATACAGGAGAGCTCTGGCTGGCATCTGGCAGGTGCCCCTCTCGGATGAAGCTTCCAGAAGAAGGAACAGGGAGCAATCTTTGCTGTTCTGCAGCCTCCACTGGTGAAACCCAGGCAAACAGGGTCTGGAGGGGACCTCCAACCATCTCCAGCAGACCTGCAGCAAAGAGGCCTGTTAGAAGGAAAACTAACAAACAGAAAGGAATAGCATCCACATCAACAAAAAGAGCATCCACACAAAAACCCCATCTGAAGGTCACCAACATCAAAGACCAAAGGTAGGTAAATCCATGAAGGTGAGGAAAAAACAGCACAAAAAGGCTGAAAATTCCAAACACCAGAATACCTTTTCTCCTCCAAAGGATCACAATTCCTCACCAGCAAGGGAACAAAACTGGAAGAAGAATGAGTTTGATGAATTGACAGAAGTAGGCTTCAGAAGGTGGGTAATAAACCCTCTGACCTAAAACAGCATGTTCTAACTAGAATAATTGCTAACTAGAATAATCGGTGTAGAGAAGAACATAAATGATCCAATGGAGCTGAAAAACAAGCATGAGAACTTCATGAAGCACACACAAGTATCAATAGCCAAACCAATCAAGCAGAAGTAAGGATATCAGAGTTTGAAGATCACCCTAATGAAATAAAATGTGAAGACAATATTAGAGAAAAAGATTGAAAAGGAACAAACAAAGCCTCTAGGAAATATGAGACTATGTGAAAAGACCAAATCTGCATTTGATTGGTGTATCAGAAAGTGATGGGGAGAATGGAACCAAGTTAGAAAACACTCTTCAGGATATTATCCAGGAGAACTTCTCCAACCTAGCAAGAGAGGCCAACATTCAAATTCAGGAAATACAGAGACCACCACAAAGATAATCCTCGAGAAGAGCAATCCCAAGACACATAATTGTCAGATTCACCAAGGTTGAAGTGAAGGAAAAAATGTCAAGGGCAGCCAGAAAGAAAGGTCAGGTTACCCACAAAAGGAAGCCCATCAGACCAACAGCAGATCTCTCTGCAGAAACCCTAGAAGCCAGAAGAGAGTGGGGATCAATAGTCAACATTCTTAATGAGAAGAATTTTCAATCCAGAATTTCATATCCAGTCAAACTAAGCTTCATAAGTGAAGGAGAAATAAAATCCTTTAAAGACAAGCAAATGCTGAGAGGTTTTGCCACCACTAGGCCTGCCTTACGAAAGTTCCTGAAGGAAGCACTAAATATGGAAAGGAAAAACTGGTTCCAGCCACTGCAAAAACATACCACTGTAAAGACCATTGACACTATAAAGAAACTGCATCAACTAACGGGTAAAATAACCAGCTAGCATCATAAAGATGGGATCAAATTCACACATAACAATATTAACCTCAAATGTAAATGAGCTAAATGCTCCAATTAAAAGACACAGACTGGCAAACTGGATAAAGAATCAAGACCCATCAATGTGCTATATTCAGGAGACCCATCTCACATGCAAAGACACACATAGACTCAAAATAAAGGGATGGAGGAATATTTGTCAAGCAAATTGAAAGAAAAAAAAGAAAAAGAAAAAGAAAGGAGGGGTTGCAAGCCTAGTCTCTGATAAAACAGACTTTAAACCAACAAAGATCGAAAAAGACAAAGAAGGGCATCACATAATGGTAAAGGGATCAACACAACAAGAAGAGCTAACTATCCTAAATATATATGCACCCAATACAGGAGCACCCAGATTCATGAAACAAGTTCTTAGAGACCTACAAAGAGACTTATACTCCCACACAATAATAGTGGGAGACTTTAACACTCCACTGTCAATATTAGACAGATCAATGAGACAGAAAATTAACAAGGATATTCAGGACTTGAACTCAGCTCTGGACCAAGCAGACATAATAGACATCTACAGAACTCTCCACCCCAAATCAACAGAATATACATTCTTCTCAGCACCACATCACACTTATTCTAAAATTGACCACATAATTGGAAGTAAAACACTCCTCAGCAAATGCAAAAGAATGGAAATCATAACAAACAGACTCTCAGACCACAGTGCAATCAAATTAGAACTCAGGATTAAGAAACTCACTCAAAACTGCACAACTACATGCAAACTGAACAACCTGCTCCTGAATAACTACTGGGTAAATAACAAAAATAAGGTAGAAATAAATAAGTTCTTTGAAACCAATGAGAACAAAGACACAACGTATCAGAATCTCTGCGACACAGCTAAAGCAGTGTTTAGAGGGAAATTTATAGCACTAAATGCCCACAGGAGAAAGTGGGAAAGATCTGAAATCGACACTCTAACATCACAATTAAAAGAACTAGAGAAGCAAGAGCAAAAATTCAAAACCTAGCAGAGGACAAGAAATAACTAAGATCAGAACAGAACTGAAGGAGATAGAGACATGAAAAACCCTTCGAAAAATCACTGAATCCAGATTTTTTTTAAAAGATTAATAAAATAGACCACTAGCCAAACTAATAATGAAGCAAAAGAGAAGAATCAAATGGACACAATACAAAATGATAAAGGGGATATCACCACTGATAGCACAGAAATACAAACTACCATCAGAGAATACTATAAACACCTCTACGCAAATAAACTAGAAAACCTAGGAGAAATGGATAAATTCCTGGACATATATACCCTCCTAAGAATAAATCAGGAAAAAGTTGAATATCGGAATAGACCAATAACAAGTTCTGAATTTGAGGCAGTAATTAATAGCCTACCAACCAACAAAAGCCCTGGACCAGAGAGATTCACAGCTGAATTCTACCAGAGGTACAAAGGGGAGCTGTTACCATTCCTCTGAAACTATTCCAAAGAAAAGAAAAAGAAGGACTCCTCCCTAATTCATTTTAGGAGGCCAGAGTCATACTGATACCCAAACCTGGCAGAGCCACAACAAAAAAAGAAAATTTAAGGCCAGTATTCCTGATGAACATTGATGCAAAAATCCTCAATAAAATACTGGCAAACCGAATCCTGCAGCACATCAAAGAGCTTATTCTCCATCATCAATTTGTCTTCATCCCTGCGATGCAAGCCTGGTTTAACTTACACAAATCAATAAATGCAATCCATAACATAAACAGAACTAATGACAAAAACCATATGAGTGTCTCAAAAGATGCAGAAAAGGCCTTCAAGAAAATTAAACACTGCTTCATGCTAAAAACTCTTAATAAAATATGTATTGATAGAACATATCTAAAAATAATAAGAGCTATTTATGACAAACCCACACCCAATATCATACTGAATGGACAAAAGCTGGAAGATTTCCCTTTGAAAACCGGCAGAAGACAAGGATACCCTCTCTCACCACTCCTATTCGACATAGTGTTGGAAGTTCTGGCCAGGCCAGTCAGGCAAGCGAAAGAAATAAAGGTATTCAAATAGGAAGAGAGGAAGTCAAATTGTCTCTGTTTGCAGATAACATGACTGTATATTTAAAAAACCCCATCATCTCAGCCCAAAATCTCCTTAAGCTAATAAGCAACTTCAGCAAAGTCTCAGGTTACAAAATCAATGTGCAGAAATCACTAGCATTCCTATACACCAATAATAGATAAACAGAGATCCAAATCATGAGTGAACCCCCATTCACAATTGCTACAAACAGAATAAAATACCTAGGAATACAACTTACAAGGGATGTGAAGGACCTCTTCAAGGAGAACTACAAACCACTGCTCAAGGAAATAAGAGAGGACACAAATAAATGGAAAAACATTCCATGCTCCTGGATAGGAAGAATGAATATTGTGAAAATGGCCATACTGCCCAAAGTAATTTATAGAGTCAATGCTACCCCCATCAAGCTACCACTGACTTTCTTCACAGAATTAGAAAACACTACTTTAAATGTCATATGAAACCAAAAAAGAGCCTGCATAGCCAAGACAATCCTAAGCAAAAAGAACAAAACTGGAGACATCACACTACCTGATTTCAAACTATACTATAAGGCTAAAGTAACCAAAACAGCATGGTACTGGTACCAACACAGATATATACACCAATGGAACAGAACAGAGGCCTCAGAAACAATGCCATACATCTACAACCATCTGGTCTTTGACAAACCTGACAAAAACAACCAATGGGGAAGGATTCCCTATTTAATAAATGATTTTGTGAATACTGGCTAGCCATATGCAGAAAACTGAAACTAGACCCCTTCCTTACACCTTATACAAAAATTAACTCAACGTGGATTAAAGACTTAAATGTAAGACCTAAAACCACAAAAACCCTAGAAGAAAACCTAGGCAATACCATTCAGGAAATAGGCATGGGCAAAGACTTTATGACTAAAACACCAAAAGCAATGGCAACAAAAGCCAAACTAAACAAATGTGATCTAATTAAACTAAAGATCTTGGCACAGCAAAAGACACTATAATCAGAGTGAACAGGCAACCTACAGATGGGAGAAAAATTTCACAATCTATCTATCTGACAAAGGGCTAATATCCAGAATCTACAAAGAACTTAAACAAATTTACAAGAAAAAAGCAACCCCATCAAAAAGTGGGGAAAGGATATGAACGGACACTTCTCAAAAGAAGACATTTATGCAGCCAACAAACATATGAAAAAAAGCTCATCATCACTGGTCATTATAGAAATGCAAATCAAAACCACAATGAGATATCATCTCATGCCAATTAGAATGGTCATCATTAAAAAGTCAGGAAACAACAGATGCTGGAGAGGATGTGGTGGAAATAGGAATGCTTTCACACTGTTGGTGGGAGTATACATTATTTCAACCATTGTGGAAGACAGTGTGGTGATTCCTCAAGGATCTAGAACCAGAAATACCATTTGACCCAGCAATTCCATTACTTGGTATATACCCAAAGGATTATAAATCATGCTACTATAAAAACACATGCACATGTATGTTCATTGCAGCACTGCTCACAATAGCAAAGACTTGGAACCAACCCAAATGTCCATTGGTGATAGACTGGATAAAGAAAATGTGGCACATATACACTGCGGAATACTATGCAGCCATAAAAAAGGATGACTTCATGATTTCTGCAGGGAAATGGATGAAGCTGGAAACCATCATTCTCAGCAAACTAACACAGGAACAGAAAACCAAAAACCACATGTTCTCACTTATAAGTGGGAGTTGAACAACGAGAACACATGGACACAGGGAGGGGAACATCACACACTGGGACCTGTTGGGGGATGGGGGGGCTAAGGGAGAGATAGCATTAGGAGAAATACCTAATGTAGATGACGGGTTGACAGGTGCAGCAAACCACCATGGCACGTGTATACCTATGTAACAAACCCACACCTTCTGCACATGTATCCCAGATCTTAAAGTATAATAATAAAGAAAGATAAAATACCTAGGAATACAACTACCTGGGGAATTGAATGATCGCTACAGCAAGAATTACAAAAAACTGCAGCAAGAAATCAAAGATGATGCAAAAAAAAATGGAAGAACATTCCATGCTCATGGACAGAAAAAAATCAATATTGTTAAAATGGCCATATTGCCCCCTGAAAACTTACAGACTCAATGTTATACCTATCAAATTACCAATGACATTCTTCACAAAACAGAAAAAACTATTCTAAACTTCATATGGAAACAAAAAACATCCTGAATAGCCAAAGCAATCCTAAGCAAAAGAACTAAGCTGGAGGTATTACATTACCTGTCACTGAACCATAATACAGGCTATAATAACCAAAACAGCATGGTCCTAGTACAAAAGCAGTCACATAGACCAATGGAATAGAATACAGAGCCCAGAAATAAAGCTGCCCACCTACAACCATCTGATCTTCAGCATAGTTGATAAAAACAAGCAATGGAGAAAGGAATCCCTATCCAATAAATAGTGCTGGGATAATTGGCTAGTTATATGCAGAAGATTGAAACTGGACCCCTTCTTTACACCATATACAAAAATCAAGTCAAGAAGGATTAAAGACTTGAATGTACAACCTGAAACTACAAAACCCCTTGAAGAGAACCTAGGAAATACCATTTTAGACATGGGCCCTGGCAAAGATTTTATGCCAAAGATGCCAAAAGCAATTGCAACAGAAACAAATTGACAAATGGGACTCTAAATGAACTAAAGTGCTTCTGCACAACAAAAGAAACTATCAACAGAGTAAACAGACAACCCATCTCACATAGGTCAGAATGTCTATTGTTAAAAAAGTCAAAAAATAACAGATGCCAGTGAGGCTTCTGAGAAAAGGGAATGCTTATACACTGTTGATGGGAAAGTAAATTAGTCTAGCCACTGTGGAAAGCAGTTTGCCAATTTCTCAAAGAACTTAAAACATAACTACCATTCAACCCAGAAATCACATTATTACATCTATACCCAAAGGAATATAAATCATTCTACTATAAAGACACATGGATACATATGTTCATTGCAGCACTATTCACCATAGCAAGACTTGGAATCAACTTAAATGTCCATCAGTGGTGGACTCGATAAATAAAATGTGGTCCATATACACTATGGAATACTATGCAGCCATAAAAACCATGAAATAACATCCTCTGCAACACAGAGGAAGCTAGAGCCCATTATACTAAGTGAAATAACACAGTAACAGAAAACCAAATACCACATGTTCTCACTTATAAATGGGAGCTAAACATGGACACAGAGAAGGAAACAGTGCACACTAGGGACTACTTGAGGGTGGAGGTTGAGAGGAGGGTAAGGTTGGAAAAACTACCTATTGTATACTATGCTTATAACCTGAGTGATGAAATATGTACACCAAATCCCTGCAACACACAATTTATCTATAGAACCAATCTGCACATATACCCCTGAAATTAAAAGTAAAAAAAAAATGACCCAGATAAGTCATTATATTCATGGTAAATCACTAGAATCTTTCTATATTAACATTAATATACTATCAATATTTTATAGATATTTAGCTAGTTACTAGGTCTAATTATGCTCCCTTTCCTACCCAAGTTTTCCATCAGTATATTATTTTTAAAAGTCAAATACTGGGCTGAAATTATATTCATACATATGTCAGGCCTTCCAAATTACCCAATACTCTATTTATTTTCTTTTCTTCTTCACAGGGCAAGTTCTATGAAATTGCTCAATACTCTCAATCAGTGTCTATTAACATAGTAAAATGTATGAATACTAAGTTTGATGTGAAGTTTTTAATATTATTTTTCTGGGCATTCAATTGTCATTCTTTGAATAATTTCTTCCAGATTGTTTATAATCTCTGTCATCTTCAAATTCTTAATGTCTTTGTAACAGACCTATTCACTGTAAGATTTGCTATACATTTTAGGTACTTTTTTATATTTTTATGTGCTCTTTCATTTTTTAACCTCCATTGGAATATGGATTAAGACTTTGTATTCTCCAATCTAAATATTTCTAGACAAACTATAGGTTCTAGACCTGGAATAGTGAGTAAACACATATTTGATGTTTGATTGGATGTGCTTATCTCAATAAAATATTTCTGTTTTTTTCCAACTGGATTCAAGGCAGGGGGGGTTATGGTCTCACAGTATATTTCTAGGCACTGTATAGGCACAATCTTACTGTGTATCTGTGCTTCTGGCTACCATATCCACTCTTTCAAGAAGTGAGGAAAGACTTAGTCTTAGCAAGTGTGAGAGAGGTAGAAAGATAGACAATCCACTTCAATATTGATGAAGAGGTGGATGTGATATAACAGTAAACTTAAAAGTCTACTTAGTTTCCAAATAAAGTACATGGCTACCAATGGTAGAAACAGGGAAGAAAATCAAGTGGATTTTGATTTCCCAAAATTATTAAACTATTGCTCTAGATACATAACACAAGACAATTTCTTTAATAATAGTTCACTTTGAGTAAATAAGTCTTTATTCTGCAATTTTAGAGCTACCAACGTCTTTAGCATCAATTGTAAGAACAATATTGCACCTCATAGATATTAGACAAACTCGGAATTTAGATCTTAGGTTTGCATCACATCAAATGCCTGCAGTTGGCACTTTGATAAAATAGGCAGCATCAGAACTATGATAGTTTTTGAGATATAATTAATGCTGTAGAGTTACAGTGTAACACATTAATTGTGGGAGCTTATATCTGATGAAGAAAGATTAAATGTTTGTACTTCTTTATTATCTTAAAATATTGTGTGTATCAAAATTAGGCCCTAGGCCATCTGTTAAACGGGAAAAGTGACTAGCCCTGGGCTTGTTATAATATTAATGCTATAATATCTAGAATTATTACTCCAATACATAGGAAAAATTGGTGTAATTTATAAAGAGAAATTAAGTGTTATGCTATGAATACACTAGAAACTAGTATTAATGAGGTATAACATAAGTCAAGGATACTATACTTTATATAGATGGTTGCTTGAAATTTTTAAAATGTTTTAATAAGGAACATGACTTATTTTTTAAAAGTCTACCTGAAAACATTTACAGGCTGACTCATGAATATTTAAAAAGTTGATTGACATTCTTAGCTTATACATTTTATGTTATGTTTGCATTCCAGCATCTTTTACATTACAATATTTGAAATTATTTTCAGTTGTTTTTCTGAGCAATCCTGACTGACAGTAACCCTAATCTTGGCTCTCTCCCATTATTTATTCCTAGTACCTGTTTGCTTCATTGATGCCAGAGTGCCTTTCTGAATTGCGAATTTCATCATCTTACTTTATTCCTTGAAAGCTTCCACAACAACCCATTGCTTACACAGTCAAGTCTTATTTCTTAGCATTCACTGCTTTCACAGGCTGCCACTGGTTTTCTGTCCTGAGCTAGGACTACTCCTTGAGGTAATATATTAAATAGACACTCAGTCTACCACGTTCACGGTCTTCAGTTTGCTTCGAAATTATGTTTCCACATGCTTTTGTACAAGCTGTTGTTAACTCCCTTAAATACCTTTTTCTAATCCCACCTTGTAGGAAAGTTCAATTCCTTCTTCAAAGCACAAGCAACAACTTCAAAAGCGAAGCCTCCCTTGACTTCTTCTCCCACTTCAAAGTGGCATTAATGACTGACCACTTATCACTCTGAACTACCACAAAACTGCATATCTTTATACCTATCTATTGATTGATCAGTCATTGCATATAGTCATTCCATGGTGAGAGCAATATAAAGTCTGTAAGTCTTACAGGGCCCTTGAATTACTCATTTAAAAGTAATTTATTCGTTTCACTTTGTACTTATTATATATATGTTTACTAGGTGACCACTGACAGAAAATTATTTTCCTAAATTTGCACAAGATAGGTAAAAGGGGAGCATATGTGCCCCCTTTGATGTACCTCGTAAGATCTCTGCTAGGCTGGGAAATTATTGTGCGCACCCTTTGTATCTTCTTGAATGCCTGAATCTTACTAACATAGTCACTCAGCAGCTACTTTTTCTGCTTATTAGCCTTCTAGAGCTACCTAAGTTCCTAGTTGCCTTCGAATGTGGACGCTTACTTCCTATTATTTTTCTGAATTCTTGGTATAATTTTAACCTATTCCTTTTGGTCTAATTTAGGTAGAGTCCATTTTTGTTGCCTGCTACCAACTTCAAATTGATATGCAAGCTTAAGAAAAATTGTGAGGCGTATGTTAGGAGATACATTGACTTGTCCAGGAAATTGTTGAGATCTGAGACAGTTGGCTAATCTCTTCACTAGAGGCATAGTAATATCAGATGCAGACTGGCTAAGGGACAAAAGTATAGACTCTCTTTAATTCCCAAAGTAGAAAAAAAAGCTATATTAACATTGCAAATAATTAAAAATTATTTATCTTACAGTTTTGGTAACATTGACAATTATAACGATGTATTATTTTAATTCAAGTAATGGAGAAGAGAAGTAGGTTTTGCTGAAGCATTATGGTTTAATTTTAGATCTGGTGGTTTGGAAGTGCCAATGGCACTTTATGTAGGTAATTAGAAGTATGCAGCTTGAATATGAGTCTAAAGCTCAAGAAAAGGGTTGGAGCTCTGAATATTGGCTGGAACATTATCAACCTGTAGGTAGTAAGTTGAAGGCACTGGCTTATGAGAGCGGCAAAGGAAGTTGCTTATAGATAGCAATATGAATGGAAACAAAGATACCAATATTTAGGCTGGGTGCAGTGACTCACACCTGTAATCCCAGCAGTTTGGGAGGTTGAGAGAAGGGGATCACCTGAGGTCAGGAGTTCGAGACCTGCCTGGCCAACATGGCAAAACCCTGTCTCTACTAAAAATACTAAAAAATTAGCCAGGCATGGTGGTGTGTGCCTGTAATCTCAGCTTCTTGGGAGGCTGAGGCAAAAGAATTGCTTGAACCCGGGAGGCAGAGGTTGCAATAAGCCGAGATCACACCATCGCACTCCAGCATGAGTGACAGAGAGGGACTCCGTACATTGTGCACATGTACCCTAGAACTTAAAGTATAATAAAATATATATACATATAAAAGATACCAACATTTAAATGAATCTTTCAGAGATTTATATCTTTTTACTGAGAACGTCTATATCTGGATATTTATTTAAAAGAAATAACCCTAATTCCAGAAATAGTTCTATGCCCAAAAAATGTCCATCTCAGAGACAATTAAAATGTCTGCACAGTCCTTCTTTTAGAGGTGTTTGTTGAAATTCACAAGGGGCGCTCTCTCCAGCTGCCAGGTTTATCCATATGACACAAATCAGGCAAATCATATCTTCTTAAAATTTGAATAGAAGGGCATAGAAGCTGAGAGTTGGGAGTAGAATTTATTTCAAGAGCTGAGTGTAGGAGGAAAGAAAACACCATTTTCTATGGATAGCTTCACTCGGGACTGTCCAGTCTTAGACTTAACTAAAAACTTACACTTTTACTTGAATTGGAAGTGGCATCCCAACATCCACCTAAAATATTCTTTCTTTTTAATTTTACTTAAACTGAGTCAATTTGATTTTTGTTACTCGCAACATTATCTTAACTAATAATGCAGTGTACATTATTTCTAATAGAGAAAAAATGTTAGTAGCCAAACAGTAGTAGAATATTTGTATATTATAGTGTACTTGCTAATCAACAATTTGTAAATTATTAAAAGTAATATCTATAAAGAGCAACTAACAACCTGCAAAAACTTGTTATGCACAAATGTTAAAAAAATTAAAAATTGCTTCTATAACATAAGAATAATAATAATTTTACAGCCTATACAGAGGAACAAAACACAAATGTTAATAAGAGTTGTTTTGGAAAAGCTTTTAAAAGTTTAAGGTAAAAACAGCTGGCCAGGAGTGATGGTGCAGGCACCACCACTTATTTCTTTCTCAAATCTGCCTCTATCTACTATTTTCTATCTCCCCTTATGTCATTCCAAACATCAAAGAAACCTTCTCTATGAAAGTATCTTTACTAGAAATTTATAAGGAGATAGAGGGAGTATGTCATATTGTTACACTACAAATTTACCTTATATGGTGTTGTATACTCAACATTCGCATTCTTTAGTGTTCTATAGACACTACCATGGTTCTACATATTTCTTTATTCCTCTTGCCTTCAAGACCTAAATAATGCCTAAATACTTGCATGTCTTAAATGAAGAATAATTTACCTTTTTTTTTTTTTTTTTTTTTACCTTTTCTCTGGTTTACACAAGACATTAAAATCTTACCCCTACTCAGTTGCCTTACTGAAATATTTTCCAAAAATAATAAACTCATCTGCCTAAGAAGAATTCAGATGACAATTTTAAGATAATTTTAAGAGACATTTTTAACTTATTAATCCATGTATTCATTAAAGTACATATTTATCGATTTTTCTATTTTTAAAACTTGATTTATATTGGCATTGTTATGCCCTATGACATATCATTTATACACCAATTATAGTTATTTTAAAGTTCCTAATGCAATATTTGGATTGTCTCAAAGTCTTGATTTTACACTGTTTATTTTCTTGACAATGGAGTCATTTTCTCCTTTTTTTGTGTGTGTATCTCATAGTTTTCAATGCTCGATATTATTTAGAAGAACTGTAGAGAGTGAAATAAATAATATTTATGCCTGGAAATGAGCATATTTCTTCATTAGACTGTTAGTATGTGGGTGGTGGAAAATGAGGGGAGTGTAAATTAATCTATGTGGAGTCGCTCCCCCTCATCTGGGGGAGACACATTCCAAGACCCCACTGGATGCCTGAAATCACGGATAATGTCAAACTCTGTGTATGCTATGGTTTATTTCCTTTACATACATACTTATGATAATGTTAAATATATAAATTAGGAACACTAAGATATTAACAATAATACAGTAGAACAATGATAACAATAAACTATAATAAAAGTTATGTAAATGTGGGATCTATCTGTCTTTCTCTCTCAAAATATCTCAATATTTTCAGACCATGGTTGACCATAGGTAACTAAAATCATTGAAAGTGAAATCATGGATGAGGGGAGAATAAAGCATTCTCATAGCGGTCACCTGCTGCTCCTTGTGTTTAGCATAGGACTTGGTGTGCTGACGGGTTTTCTCGGTGTTTATGCTCCACTCTGTTTTATAAGACCCTGAACATCTGCACTACAGAGATAGGTCTCCCTCCATCCTTTCATAGTTCTACATCAGTAGACTACTACCGTCTGTTGCTCTGTGTCAGGCTTATGGTAGGGCTTATAGGGGAGCTTCTTGGTTCTCTTGGTTGAACCTCAGTATTAGGCAGGTTCTGTACACCTAAACTGCAAGGGTGGGACTTTCTTTGTATTCCTTCTTCTCTCTTCTGTTAGGGTTCTCCAGAGAATCAGAACCAATAGGAGAGAGAGAGAGAGATTGATTTTAGGAATTGGCTCATGCAATTATGGAGGCTTAAAATTTTTCATGATCTACCATTTGCAAGACGGAGAACCAGAAAAGTTGACAACATAAGTCAATACAATTCCAAAAGCTCGAGAACCAAGGATGCAGTATAAGTCCGGATTGAGTTCAAATGGTTGAGATCCAGGAGCACCAATCTCTAATAGCAGAGGGAAATATGCACGCCCCAATTCAAACAGAGAAAGCAAATTCACCTTCTCTCTTTTTTGTTTTATTCATTCCTGCAACAGATTGGATGATCCCTTCTCACATTTCTAAGGATGGTCTTAACTCAGTCTAATGACCTAAATGTGAATTGTCTTAGTCCTTCTTTTTGTGATATCACAACAGAATACATGTGACTTCATAATTTATGAAGAACAGGAATGTATTTTTCATAGTTCTGGAAGCTGGGAAGTCCAAGATCAAGGTGTCAGTTGGTTCGGTTGTCTGGTGAGGGCTGCCCTCTGCTTCCAAGACAGCACCTTGATGCTGCATCCTTTGGAGAGAACACAGGCTATATTCTCACATGGCAGAAGGCAGAAAGGTAAAAGGAACAAGCTTCATGCATCAAGCCTTTTATAAAGGAACCTAATCTCATCTATAAGGGAAAACACCACATGGCCTAATTTCCTCTTAAAGACCCCACTCCTTAATACTGTCCCATTGACAATATCTGGATTTTGAAGGGGGCACATTCAAATTATAGTACTAATCTCTTCCAGAAACACTCTCACAGACACATCCAAAAATGATGTCTGATCAGCTATCTGGGCATCCTTTAGCCCAGTCAAGTTGACACATACAATTAACCGTCAAAACCCAACCTTAGCAGCCAAACTTTGTCTTGTATCTGTGGATGGTCTTGGGTGGTAGAAAATTTCCTATCCTTCCCTCAGTCGTAGCAGACATCCACTTATATCAGTACTAGATTTTGTGCCCAAGTGGGTTTCCTGTCCCTTTCCTAGGGACAGATGTATTTGACTTCTACCTGTCCGTCAACAGCAGAGCACCTTTGCCTGAGACCAGTGGCAGGAGGGTTTCCTGCTGATTCACAGTAGTTGAATATGGTTGATGCTACTTGGTGCAATAGTTGTTAGACAAACAGAAAAGTTTCACTCCCACCTCAGAGGGATACAGTTTTGCCTCATGTGAAGAAGAGTCTGAGAAAGTGAGCAGGGTTCTGTACCTGTCTGCCCTGAGGGGAACTTTTTTCTTTTCTTTTTTTTTTTTTTGAGATGGAGTCTCCCTGTGTTGCCCAGGCTGGAGCGCAGTGGCGCGATCTCGGCTCACTGCAAGAGGGAAACTTTCTTAATTCTCTGGTTCTTTCCCTCTCTGTCAAGATTACTGGATGGAGGGCCACAGAAAAGGGACTGAATGAAGGGAGACTTGTTTTGTGTGTCTGGGGCTCTTGGGGATTCTGAACTTTTCCAGGAGTCTTCACTTGGTTTTTAATAATTAGTTAAGATTTAGCCACTTTCTTATTACCCACTTTTATTGTGGTTGCCTCTTCCTCCCATATTCTGCCCAAAGTAAAAGGGTCAGTATATCCTGTCTCCTCAGAGGGGCTCAAAATTAAGTTTGCCTGGTTATCCTGTTACTTCAAAATTCTGATGTTTTCAATAAAAGGTAAGATTGTATAGACTATCCAGCCTTTGTGTAGTTAGCATCAGAGAAATGTATTCCTGAGTTTGTACACATTCTAAGTGGAAGCAGAAGTCATAACATACACAGAATATTGCCATTTATTATTTTTGACTCCAAAATGTATTATAAAAATATTTATAGGTAGTAGAACTGGATTTGATACTTTCATTTTAATGACTGCATTGTAGTGCATAAATCATAAAAATAAACTAAGGTTTTTATATTAACATATTCACCTAATAAATTAAATAATTTATTATCTAATGGTAAAACGCTATATTAAAGTTAACTTTAAGCCACTAGCAAATGTAAAAAGGTTGGCTTTTTTTAAAAAAAGTTCAGTTACCAAAAGAAAAAAGAATTATATTAAATTTGCAGAATCAAAAATATCCCAAGGTAAAGAATATTTATTATACCTAAGTTAGGTAGGAGGTACAGATTATAGGAAATCTTTATGTCACTTGTTACACTAGAATTGATGAACATAGAAAATTACAAATAAAATGTATTTTGAAAACTGTCAAATTTAATGATTACATATTTTATGCCATTACTGGCAGTGATTTCATACAGTTCTACAGCAACCTCAATTCTTCCCCCATCAGAAGAAAGAACTCAACTGAGGGGCATAAGGCAGAAGGAAAGACCAAGGCAAGTTTTAGAGCAGGAGCAAAAGTTTATTAAAAATCTTTGAGTAGGAATGAAAGGAAGTAACGTACACTTGGAAGAGGGCCAAGCAAGCAACTTGAGAGATCAACTGTGCTGTCTGACTTTTGACTTAGGGTTTTATATGATGGTATACTTGCAGGGTCTTTCATCCCTTCTACCCTGATTCTTCCCTTGGGGGGCGCTGTCCACATGCACAGTGGCTTGCTAGCACTTGGGAGGTGAGCATGCACAGTGTATTTACTGGAGCTGTAGGCATGCTCACTTGAGACATTCTTCCCTTACCAGTTGATTGGCCCTGGAAGGTCATGTACCAAATAAATTCCACCATTTTGCCTGTTTAGCACACATGCTTGAGCCCACTTACCTACCTCCTGAGATCTTATCAGGAAGCTGCTGATCACCAGTTTCAGGTTTTTTTCTGTCTATCGGGAGGCTGCCTTTCCCTGGCACTGGCTGCAACCAATTATTATTTTAGAGAGACAGTGTAACAACTGCCTGACCATCACTTGGTGGTTGCCTGATATTCCTGGTTGGGGTTGGGAGAGGGGCCTCTCCTGCCCTACTCATGTCTGACTAGCTACCTACTGTAACAATACTAGGCTCTTTGCTAAGACTTGGAAGCAAAAAGCTTTTTAAATCATTTTTTTTCTGTATTTAGAGCTTATGTACAATGATATAAATCACAGACTAAACTAAACAAGGCCTTTATTGAGGCGTGCCATTGGAGTTTAGTTTTAAAGAATGAGTAGGCATTTGTCACATGCAGAAGAAAAGATTACACTCTTAAAAATGGTCACAATGCAAGCACATGTGAAAAAAATTTCCTGAATTGAGGAGGCATCTTAAAGAAGTAACATCTACATTTTTGTCACATTTTTGTATGTATTTTTGCTATTAGTATAAAATCTGGAAGCCCACTACTCCCAGTGCTAGTGGATAAATGACTAGACTAAGACTCACAAAACCATGGTTTTTAACAGCTTTAAAGGGATCTACATAAAACAATCAGGGCACATAAAAGCAGCAATATCTTATATGCTCGTATTTTGCATTGGTAACATGTCTGTGACTTTTATTAAGTAAAGAAAGCCAGCAAGTGATTACTCTGATAAGAGTAAAATAGCTGATAGTTGCTAGGCTATGATGATATAACAAATAAACCTGAACATCTGAATAATTCTAAGTGTTGATGAGGTTAACATGGCCTACTTGTTTAGCTCTCATCTAAATGGTAGCTAAGGGATCTAAGCTGATCTACCATCATACAGCCTTTCACTTCCAGTCTAGAAGACTAAAGAGTTTGTGCATGAAAAAGAAACACCCATACTTGACAGGCTTGGAATGGAAGTGACATATCACTTCTGCCTACTTGTCACTGATGAGGACCAGAAACATCTCCCCCACCTGATGCATGGGGGCTGAGAAATGTAGTTTCATTCTGTGCCCCAGAAAATGAAACAGTTTGGTGAACTCAGTATATTTTTTTCTATAACCACCAATTCTAAAGGAGTCTATAGAGTAGTTATATAAATAAAGCATAACAAAGAGTAAAAAAAAAATAACTTAGGAACATTCATAATTCCACTTTGAGAGAAATCATTATTTCCATATTTTTCCTCCAATATTTTTTCTAAGCATATATTTTTTCTATTATATTCTATGAAAAGTTTGGGGTAGCTTTTTTATTTACCATTTCCCATTGTATGATATGTGATGGAATATATTACATACATGTAATTTAATGGTTTCGTGGTATCACAGCATATGTATATACCATCATTTACTTAACTGTACTTATCATTATTTGTTTTCACTGTTTAGTTATTTCAAAATAAATCTCCCTATAGGAATATTTAGATGAATTTCAGATTTTGTCCTTGAGATAAATTCAGAAAAGTGAAATCATTCTTTCAAAGCATATTGATATTTTTAAGGGCATGTAAAATTATTTCAATATTGCCTTTTAGAATTTTCCATTTCATAATCCCACCAGCAGTAAAGGATAGAGTGCATTTTGCAAACTTCTTGTTAGTTCTGACTCAGGAACTTGATACTGAGAACTAAAAACATCCAGCCGATATTACAGAGCAAATAAAAACACAAGCAAGAAGAAAATGAAAATATGAGCTCTTTTTCCTGTGTAATGAGCATGAACTTGATTTTCCTAATATAGATGTTCTCCTATGATCTGATTGCTCTTCACCAGACCTTCTGAGTGACTGGATTTGTGAACCATCACTTCCTATAATATAATCCAATTATAAAAATAAAATCTAAGATTTACAGTTAATACCAAACTTATATGTCATTATTATATTCACTCTCTCTTATTCTGTGTATATGCACATTATTTGTTGGGGTTGCAGAGGGAGAGTAACAATTTTGACTCCTCCATTAAATATCAAACTTCAGAAATTCCTCTGGATTGCATCACTTTGTTATAGTAAACATTTTGCTTTGCAATGCTTCCTTCATGCATATTGCTAGATATGTCACACTCAATATAGACATTATAAAGAAATGCTTATGTTTTTAAGTAATCATAATGTTTGTATGCTTTCCTGATGGAGGTATAGTTTTTCTGCCCTTGATGATGATTACAAGTTAGTCAACAATTAATAATGTATGTGCATCTGTTCTAGTGAGTACACAGAGTAAGAGTGTGTTTAGGCACATACTAAATGAATTCAGCTGTGATACATAGACTCCTTTCTTGAATTTCAAGGAAAGCATTCAAAAAGATGGCATTTATCAGACAACTGTTAACAATTCTTGAGACACAAGATTGTTTTGTTGGGAGAAATATACACCCATCCACATTATTTCATCAACTTTGATTTTTTTTGCTTTTGAAAAACCCAAATTTTATGCCCAGAAGTCATCATTAGGTGGTTCTTCAGTAAGCCATTGACAATTAATATATGAAACAAAACAAATTGGCTCCAGGACCTACATAGAAAGATCCACCCCTTCTACACTTTTCTAGAGAGTCTAATCATTAATAAGCAGCTGTTTTGAAAAATGCATTTATAGTTTAATAGCTGTAACTTATACTTGATTTGTCAAACACCTGCTTCCAAATGGGCAGCAGGATAGCAGCATACACGGCTATGTTGCTATGTGTTTAGAGGGCAAAGTGGAGGAAAATCCCAGTGTGATGCTGCTGGGGCATGTTCACAAATGGCTCAAGTCGGCCAAAAGGAAAGGTTGCAAATTATGATCCGAAGGAGACTGATGATGTTTGTGGAATATTCTCTCAGGGTGCCAAAGAGGTGTTTGTTCCTGAGGCTTAAGAATTATTTCTGTGGAAGGCTTTTATCATTAAGGTTGATGATCTGCCTGCAACCAAAAAGTAGAGAAAGAGAGAGAGATTCTCATAACAGCACAGTGATTTGTATTCTTTGCATGACAAAAACTTTCATCATTGATATCACTGACAGTTATGATTTGTTAAAGTTTTCTTCAGGGTATTTGTTACAAACTTGGAATTTATTGTTTTGTGATTTGCATCTTTATTTCTAAGGTGTACAGAATCTGTAGCATTAAGGCGCTCTACAATACTCTACAAGTATTATACCTACGTTACATACAGTAGGAGACATTTTTAAGCACAAATCCTTGGTGTACAATAAATTAGTTCTTTTGTAAAAGGCTGGCTTTTCTTTTTATGAGGTATTAAATAAGGATGGCCTCGCCAATGCAAAAACATTGACTAAATTGGCACATAGCAAACACAGTCCTGTAATTGAGTGTTTCATTTAGCAAAGTGTATCACACATGCACAGGGGCTGTATGTGGGATTTTTAAAAAGGTGTTTGGGGAAAACATGTAAAATTTCTAACTAAATTTATGAGTCTAAAAGCTCTTGTAAAATATCACTTATTAAAGGAAAAAAGATGATAAACTTTTTAAAATTATATTGAAATCGATCAGAATTTTGTTTATTTTTATTTTCTTACTGACTTGGGAGAATTCTCATTAAGTAATTTATAGCATAAAATTGAACTTTAAAGAGAATGTTTTCTACTCTGAATCCATTTTCAATTATTTCCCCAAGCCCCACCTAATAAGACAATGAAAAATGCTATGGAATTATATCCCATACAGTTTGGGAGTTCCATTTGGTTCTTTAACTACCAAGTATGTATGTCTTCCACAAGGAGTATGCAATATAGTGACCTGCTCAGGTAGAGTGTTTAACTTAAAACACTCAGGAATTTTTTTTAAGCGTTTAACTTAAGACACTCAATCAAAGACTGGTGAAGTTCCAAAATTCTTAATTTAGGTGACAGTTTCAGCAAATATTAAATAATAATTTTATTTAAAAGATAGACTACTTGGAGACTATCAGCAGAAGTGTCATGTCCATCATTTTTGAAGCTTTCACTTCATACTATACAATGGGAAATCACCTATGTCTAACCTTTGTTGGAATGCTTTATGATTAAGGAAGCTTTTTGTGGACTAGCAAAATATAGTAAAATAAAAGTAACTTGACGATTTTATTCAACGTTCTTTGTGGATTCCCTAAATAATAAATGTTGAATTTATATGAATTTCTATATAAGTAAGAAAAATCCACTGGGGATTTCCAACTTAAGCCAAAGAGATAAGACATGTGTCACAGTGGGAAAGGCTTGATTCTGAAGTAGAAAACCCCAGTTCCTTATTTCAGCTTTGTATGTCTTGGAGTATAATTTAATGTCTGTCTACATGTCTCATTTTACTTACAGCAAAAGAAGAGATTCAACTACATGAACATTTAGAGCTAAAAGCCTGTACGGGTTACTTTTAACCTCTCTCTCTCTCATATATATATATATATATATATATATGTATATATTACTATATATATTTATACACCTATATGTATGTGTATATATATATGTATGTGTGTGTATATATGTCACACACACAAAAATTACCAAATATCTTCCACCCTCCAATAACATGAGTGATTTCAGCTATTTTTCCCATTATAATTGAGGACCACCTTTCCTCTCATCCTCCAGATACAACTTTAAAAAAAAAAATATATATATATATAATTTCATATATGAGAGCCACTTATGATGATGACTCATCTAATTCAATAAGATTTAAAAGCACAGTGCCTAAATATTTTATGTCACTGAAATAGCTACTATTAGGCTGGTGCAAAATTTATTGCGGTTTTTGCTGTTGTTTTTAAAGTCTAAAAATGCAATTTTGCACCGGTCTATGTACACCATCAAAGGTAACATTTAAATTAATTGGCATAAGTTCTTCTTTTAATAGGTGAGATGTTTGTAAATAGTAAACTTGTAAATGGAAATCTTCTAAAGATAACCCAAAAAATGCGTGGTATCCATTTATGTGAGTTACAATAATATTTAAAGGCCACCTGAGGAAATTGGATGTTTCTTCATAATTAAATTACAAGAAGACTTTTGCACTTCAATTTTTATTTCTGTTTATTTGTATTACAAATGCTGTTTTTAATCATGAGTGTGAGTTCTTTAAAAATGACACATACATTACAGATATGTCTGGCAAACTTCACTTGTTCCAAAATATTATTTACTTAGGCTATACGTTGTTTTATTTATAACTTCTCAGCTAAGAAAGGTTGATTATTGTCCAGGAGCAGTGGCTCACGCCTGTAATTCCAGCACTTTGGGAGGTGGAGGCAGGCAGATCATGAGGTCAGGAGTTCAAGACCAGCCTGGCCAACATAGTGAAACCCCATCTCTAATAAAAATACAAAAATTAGCCAGGCATGGTGGTGGGTGCCTGTAGTCCCAGCTACTTGGGAGGCTGAGGCAAGAGAATTGCTTGAACCCAGGAGTCAGAGGTTGCGATGAGCCGAGATTGCGCCACTGCACTCCAGCCTGGGTGACACGGAGAGATTCCGTCTCATAAAAGAAAGAAAGGTTTGTAGCATTTGTTGGCATTGATGCCACACATAAGTTGGTGCAAAATTGCATTTTTAGCCATTAAAAACAACATAACAATATCAGTTTGTAGCAAAACTGATATTACAAATTATTTAGAATTAATTTTATATAAAATTATGCTGACTTTTTTCTCAAGAATTATATATCTTAAGAATGAACTATCTAAATTTGGTAGCTTACCATTTAGTTAAAAAAAAAAGAATGAAAATTCTCAAAACCAAGTTTGAATAAATGTGCAAATGTATACAATGCCTGAAAAAGGAAAAGGCAGCCCATGACTGTCGGAAGCTTGCCTGGCCCTAGAAGTTAGGCCTTAGTGTTGCTAGAAGCTGACTCTGTACTTAGAGCAAGGTCTTGGTGATCACCTTTTGAACATAGACAACTTCATAGGTCACCAACATCAGAAAAGGTCATTCTGTGGCTGTGATGAAGTGAGTCAAAACCTAGGCCACTCTGTATTTATGGACGAGCACAAAAAAGAACAAGATCATTGTGCAAATCACACACACAAAAATTACCAAATATCTCCCACCCTACACTAACATGAGTGATGGCAGCTCTTTTTCCAATTGAGGTCCACTTTTCCTCCCATCCTCCAGATAAAACTTAAGATACTCAGTCATAGACTGTCCCCACTTCCAAACAGCACCCAATCTAAAGTACTTCTTCCTTGAATACTCCCCTGAAATTACCTAACACATTTCAAATCCTGTAACTCCTTTATAACACCCTCTGACTGAGACAGTTCACAGTTCCCCGGAGAAGTATGTGTTCCTCATTACAATACTCAAAAAACCCAACTCTATTTGACTACAGTTATGTTCCTGGTGGTCTTTGACAAGATATGCATGCATTCTGTAAGGTCTATATTGTGAGTGAAAAATAAAAGCCGTCAAAATGTATATTAATACGTTTAGAAACAAATACATAACTGAGTAAAATTCTACATCTCACAAAATTTCCTAAAAATATTCCATATAATTTTATTTTTGTAAACATAAAATTAGGACCCCAATAAAGATACATTCATTGTTTAACTTTATCTCTTCATTCAGAGGCAAATTTCGTCAACATTTATTCCTCATCTTTTATCTGCCAAGCAGTGTGCTAGGGACTTTTATGTAAATGTTCTATTTAACCCTCAAAGCAGCCTATAAGTTACATGTTTTTTATATTGTTTAATCTCTATAACAGAGTACTAAAGTTGGCGTTTTAGTCTCATTTTGTCTCTAGGGCAATATTAAGTGGCTTGCCTGGCAGTGAGAGTCTGAGGCAACAACCAGAACCTTAATTCCCAGTCATGATAAAAATAGAAAATTAATAAAGCTACACTTTTATTCATTTAAGTATCTTTGTTATTCCTATTTTGTGCCAGGTACACTAAACAATACAGATGAAAATCTCTCTTGTCATGGATCTTACATTCTAGTGAGGCCTGATCAAAGATAAACAATACAAATAATTAAAATACATAGATGACAATTTGTCCTGTAGAAAAAAAATAATAATGCATTAGGGAAGGGTGTTAGAGATGTGGAGACAAGGGTTTCAATTTTAAAGATTATGTTTAGGAAAGCTTTCCTGAATGAAACCTGAAAAAAGTGAGGGAGCAAATTATAAAGATATCTGAGAGAAGCATGCACCAGGCAGGGGGAACAGCAGGTACAAAGAACTAGAGACTAGAGCATGCCTGATGTGTTCAACGAACAACAAAGAGACTTGTGTGTGGAGGGAACAAGAGCAAGTGGGGAAGTACAAATGATGAGGTCAGAGGAATGGCGTGAGGACAAACACAAATGGAGCCCCGAAGACCAGGAAGAGGGCTGGATGGTAGGAATAGAAGAGTATCATGAACTGACTTTTATTAAATGAGATCTCTTTGACTGCCATTTTGAGAACTGTCTGAAGGGAGCAAGGTTTGAAGCAGGGAAACCAGGTCATTTCAATAATTCACATAAGAAATGATGGCAACATGAACCAGAGTTGTAGAGGTAGAGGTGGTAAGAAGCGGTTGGCTCCTTGGAGTAGTATTTTGAAGGTAAAGAAGAGAGACGTATTAGAGGTTAAGTCATTTGCAAGGATAAAGTGGCCCAAGATTTGATCCAAGATTCCCAGATATTCTGACTGTGGAGTCTGACCCTCTATTGAACTATGTTGTTATAAACCTCAAAGAACCGTTATGAAATATTTTTAATGAAAACTTGCTTATTTTCAATTTAATTCCTCGAAACAGCCATTTTATAAAGTTCCCATGATTTTCCATATAACTACTCATGAATTTAAAAAAGATTGAAAAGTGATCTCATTTGTTAGAAACGCTGAAATTTCACCACTAAGAAAAATAAGCTCCTATCAACTATGTGCTCTTTCTTCAATTAGCTGCCAATTTAATTATTTTCCTTAGCAAACAGACATTTTAATGGAATAATTATGCTTTAACATAAGTCAGAATATTTTTTCAGTGTGCACTCTGCATCATTCTCAAGTAACTTTTGGTAGACTTTTTTTCTTTTTATCAGTTTCCAATTTTGTAAAAAGACTTTTTAATAGGATAAATTCTCAAATTTTTATATACATATATTAAAAAGTCAATGGGCAATTCATACTTTTTTGCCCTCTTTAAAGATAATTGTTATTACCAATCAGTTTCCTAGGAAGAAACATTCTTTCTGTCAATTCATCTTCTCCATCTGCTTGCACATACTGCAAAATTATAATCATCCATAATTTGTGATAAATTCCTGCCAAACGTTGCTAAAACAATTTGGAAAGTGCCAGACAAGGCTACTAGCCAATTTACACACATTGCAGATGCTTTTGTTCTTTATGCTTTTCTCCAGAAAAGTTGAATGTGAAAGTTATTTTTGATGGACTTTTTATTTTAATTCCAAAGTAATTGTGACAGTGAGTTCATTTTTGTCTATCTAGAACAATGACTTTTTTTTTCTACTAATGATGGGAACGCAATTGATAGGGCAGTACATTTCAGAAAACCATAAATAAGACAAACTCAGAATTTAATGAGGAATACTTATGCTGTAAGCTCTTTAATGACCAGGCTGTGTCTCTTTATTTTATAATCTCCAAAACAAAGTATAGTTCTTGGTATACAAGAACCTTGCTTAACCAGAGATTCTAGCAAGAAAACACAGCTATGCAAATGCCTTGGACCAAGGAAAGGATATACTCATCTGGGAAGGTCATCATTGTTCACCAAGCTTTCAGTTCCAACAAATCTATGAATGAATAATTCATGCAGAAAATGATATTTATCTATCTATATAGATTGCCTGAACTAATCATGAAGATAAATACTATGACAGCTGATACAGCCAAAACACTTTCATGTTTTACTCTTTGAATGAAATAGATTAATGAATTGATGTCCCCTTGTTTGCTATTTCTCTGCTCTCCTTCAGAGTCAAACTTCTCAGGTTTGTCTTGAACTCATGATTTCTACAACCTATTTAATGCTTTCTTAACCATTTCCAATAAAGCTATTCCTCCTCAAGGCTCTGAGGCCATCAGAGATCTGTGTCATACTAAAGTCAATCTAACTCTACCTCTCATACTATTGACATGGCTTACCAACCATTTCCTCTAGAAATGTTTCCTTTTCTATATTTAATCCATCACATTCTTGGTTTGCCTCTTATTTCTGTCACCTGTTCTTCACAGTTTTCTTTACTGGTTCTTTCGCTTCCTCCAGATTGCCAAATTTTGGATGCTGAGATTTTCATTTTTAATGTTCTTCTTTTGTGTAGATCCATTTTCTCTATAAATGATTTTATATACACGTAAGATTTTATGTGTGCTTTATGCACAGACAACTACTAAATTTATCTGTCCAAACTTGCCACCTTACTTCACTTCCCAACTCACGTATTTAATGTCCTTCTTAATATGTTTATTGTGGCATATATAGGAATCTCAAACTGAATGTAGCTCAAGCAAAACAATTTGTTTCATCCTGCCCAGATATTTTATTTTCCTGTTTCTAAGCCTTTCCCATCTTAGCAAACAGCAGCAACAGCAGCCCAGTTCCTCAGGGGAAGACAAACAAAACTAATATGTATACTTGACTCCTCTCTTTTGCTCACTCTCATCTCATTCATCAGGAAGGTCCCTCAAAACATATATCCTAAATCCTACCACCTTTTAGTGATTACAAATTCACTATCATCTCTAGCCAAATTTACATCAACTACTAGCTAACTTTCCACCTCCTTGCTCTCCACTCTTGCTCTCCTATCATCCATCCAGCAGCCAGAATTTTGTTTCTGAGATGTTAAATGCAATCAGATCACCACCAATAGGTTTTCACAGCAAGAAACTAAAATCCAACTTCTTGCCAAGGCCCTCAAGGCCCCACATAGTCTTGTCTTTGCACAATGTCATCTTCTCCCACTCTTTTTGCTCTCTTGCTTACTTGCCCCAGCCACATTACCGTTTTGGTTTCTTAAACAAATCTGCACATTCCAGTTTCATAGCATTTGCACCTATGTCTTTTCTTGGACTGTTCTTCACACAGATCTTCAAAGAGCTGCAAGGTAAAGGGACCCTCCTGAATGCCAAATTTAAAGAACTCTACTATGTCATACACACAGCCTCTTCTCAACTATTTAAAATCATGTCACCTTCTTCATATTGTTTATCAGTAGCTAACATCACTTATTTGATTCAGCTTTCTAAATACAGGGTCTTATTGTCTGCCTACTCCACTCCTAGGGTGCAAGCACTCTTAGGGCATCAATATTATCATTTACAACTCCTATACCTAGAAATATATGACTGAAATATATTTAGCATTCTGAAAATATTTTTTTGCCATCTTAAAAGCAATGCTGGAATTAGAAGGAACTGAATTAAGTGTCTTGTGCATATTAAGTGATGAATAATTATTTGTTCATCTATTTTATCTCAATTATTTTCTATCTTAAGTCTACCTTGAGTTCTTTTATTAAACATATCTATACATACTGTGAATTTTAGAATCTACATTTATTCCTACATACACTTGAAAGAAAAGAGGTAAATTTATGTTACTCATCTATTTCCTATTATTAATCACAAACAGTTACCAACATTGTTATGAGTTGAGACACATTGTATATGTAACACAGACTGTGATTGCACTCATGTTGCAGAGGATAATCATTCTTAATTTAAAAAGATTGTAACGGGTCTTAACTCTTTTGTTATTTACATAAATAAAACAAATTTTTTTGACTGAGAGTAATTAATGCCACTTATTTAAAACTAAACATTCTTTGGCTTCAAAAGTGGACAGAGAAACCCTCTTCTAATTGTAAAATTTCTAATATCTCTTTGGATATTACAGTTGAATTTAAGACATGGCTTAAAAATGAGCTAGAATTAATCTATATAGCAGCAAAGAAAAATTAGAAATGACACGAGAAAGAATCTGGTTTGCATTTCCACAGTAATTGCTACTTAGGGTTTCTATTCATTAAAGTAGTCAGAAAAAGGGTTTGAAAGTAATTAGTAAATATTGACTTCATAATCTTGTATTTTTACTTCCTGAAAATCACACTCATCAACTTTTTGGCCTAATTTTATAACAGATAGATAGATAGTTACATAATTCTACTTGATACCATAAATATATTCTAAATAAAAATATAATCTTAATTTATAAACTTAATCTCTATACTCAAATACAAGCACTAGGTGTGTTTTAATTTTAAGCTTCTATGTATAAGATAATATTGCTGGAATAAGGGGTTATTCATAATTTATTTGCCACAATAAAAGTTGTTTATGTGAGATTTTATTGGTAGATAATCCACTCAGAAAAATTGCTAAAATTAGGCCGGGCGCGGTGGCTCAAGCCTGTAATCCCAGCACTTTGGGAGGCCGAGGCAGGCAGATCACAAGATCAGGAGATCCAGACCATCCTGGCTAACAAGGTGAAACCCCGTCTCTACTAAAAATACAAAAAATTAGCCAAGCGTGGTGGCAGGCGCCTGTAGTCCCAGCTACTTGGGAGGCTGAGGCAGGAGAATGGCATGAACCTGGGAGGCAGAGCTTGCAGTGAGCCGAGATTGCGCCACTGCACTCCAGCCTGGGCAACAGAGCAAGACTCCGTCTCAAAAAAAAAAATTGCTAAAATTAATCATATCAATGATATACATGATTGTGGTAGAGGCTTCTGGCAATAAAAATAGTTGATATGGCTTGCTATTCAACAATTTTATAATCCAATGGGAAAATAAGTTAGCCACAAACACCTTCATTAGTGAAAGATATAAGCACGTATAGTTCACCACATATAATGATAAAATAATGTCTCACACAAAGTGCTTATTATAGGCACTGTGCTAAGTGTTTTACACATATTAAATAACTGAATCTTCATTATTCCGTAAGATAGCTGTTGCTATTATTTTAACCCCTTTACACAGAAAAGACAACTGAGGCTGAGAAAGCTTAAGTAACTTGTCCAAGGTCACACAGATAGAAATACTTGCCTGGAACTCATCATATTTAATTCCAGATTTAGTGTCATTTCCCATGCCAATGTAATTCTTGTCAGTATCAATGTCATTGTATAAATGTATCCATGGAGAAGAAATGGAGAAAGGATTCACTGTAGAATGAAACACACACACAAACAAACACACACACACACACACACACACACACACACACACACACACACTGGGGCTTGTTACTGTAAGTGAATGAATACACAGACGTGCATATAAAACATTTATTGTCACTTTGGGCTTACCTTGTACCAGACATAGTTTGAACTATTTGCACATATTAACTCATATAGTCCTTAGAAAAACTCTATTAGTCACTACTATTACTGCTAAATATACGGGAGCACAGAGAAATTACGCAGACTTCCTAAGGTAACAGCTTTAAAAAGTAGCTAAAAATCAATGTTCAAATGATATTTAAAACCAATTGTCTGAATAATATCACCCAAGACCTCAAGAAAGAGTATACACAGAGAAGTAAGAGAACTGGGAACTGAACTGTGCCCCACTTCCAAAATTGAATCTGACAGATTCAAAAAGAGGTAACAAAATAACTACGAGATAGCAACCAGTGGCACAGAAGGTGAAAACCAGGAGGGTGTTCTTACCAAGAAAGCTAAGAGAAGGGAGTGATTCCAAAAAAACAGAGGTCAATTATGTCAAATGCTCCTGAGAAGTTATGAAAGGATTAACAATAAAAAAGATTGGAAACTAGTAGTGGTTACTATAGTGAAACGGCAAAGAAAAAGACCGATGAGAGCTAAAGACAAAAATGGAGTAGTGTCCTAAAGAAAGTTGATAAGGACAATTCTTTCTAAATTTTACAGAAGAGAAATGAAACAGCAGCATGAGGGAGATGTGGGGTCGAGGCAGGGTTTTAGAAGATGGTAAACATTAAAATATGTTTATTTAACAATGGAAATGATCAAAAGAGAATATAAAATATGCTATGTGAGAGATAAGGAGAAATATCAGGATTAGAGTCTATACTTGTGCAAAACATCCAGCACAATGGTTACTTTTATGTGTCAGCTTGACTGGACCCCAAGTGTGCCCACATATTTATTCAGGTATTATTCTGGATGTTTCTGTGAGGGTATTTTGGGATGAGGTTCCATTTATATCACTAGACTGAGTAAAGCATATTTCCCTGTGTAATGTGAGTGGGCCTCGTGTAGTTAGTAGAAGGCCTAAATAGAACAAAAAGGCTGACCCTCTCCCAAGTAAAAGAGAGATCTTGCCTGACTGCCTTTGAGCTAAGACTTCAGCTTTGTTCTGCCTTCAGACTTCAACTGAAACATTAGCCTTCAGACTGGAAAACTATGCCATCAGTTCTAGTTCTTTAGGCCTTCAAATTTGAACTGGGACTGTACCAGTGACTCCTTTGGGTCTCCAACTTGCCAACTCACTCTGCACATCCTGGAACTTGTCAGCCGCCATAACCACATAAACCAATTTCTTATCATATTTACTGTTTCTCTGTAGAACTTTGACTAATATAACCAGAATCCAGAGCACCAGCCTTCAAATTCACCTAAGCTGGGAGTTTGATTTTAAGTGCTTGAGCTCAGCTGACCATCAGACCAGATCAGACCAGACGAAAAACTGGCAGAAATGATGAGTCAGACTAATCAAGTTTATCTTGCTTAGTGTCATTTCCAAACTAACAGAAAAGAGGTCCAAACACCATCATGAAGACCAAGAGTAGAAGAGAGCGTTACACGGTCTTCTTCCTTTGTCCCTCACTGAAGTGATGGTCTGAGCAGTTGGTGGTGAGTGAGGAGCAGGAATAATGTCTGTACTCAGGGGTCTGTCAGAGGTCCTTTAGGGAAATGCATGCTATACAGCAATGCATTGTGTATGTTCCATTGAGCCTATCCAAAGGTCTCAGAGCAATAGGCAGAAAATGGCTAACCACAGGATTTCTTATTTCTTTTAATATTGTCATTTTGTTTCTTTTCACTCTGTTGTTTTTTTCTGTTTTCTTCCGAGTTGTATTTTCAAATTTATTTGTAGTGGTTATTCATGATTTGTGTGATTACAAAACAAATTATAGCCATTTATTAAATTTTAAAACAACTGAAACATCAATCTCATACCATCATTCTACTGCCTATACTCGTTGAGTATTTCAGACTTCAGAATAATGTCCAAACTCTTACTATTGAATTCTAAGTCCATCAATAAGATAGGAATACATGTTTAAGTTAATTCAATTAGTTTCTTTTTCTTGCAAACAAATGAGCCCCAAGATGTTATTATTCCAAATCATAGGCAGCAACAGAACATTTATTTATTTTTTGTTTAGAGTTTGTTTAATTTCTTCAGTGGATGATATATCATCATAGTTGTTTTTTACCAGATTTTATTTTGTTTAGCTTTTGTTTTAATCAGTGGAAGACAAAAAGAGATTGACCAAGGGCAGCTACCCATACTGTAATGAATAGGACTCTAGGGATATAAATGAAAAAATAAAAAAGACATTTCAGGAGTTTTTCTGTGTATGTTACAATTTAATTAAATCTTATAAGAGTCTGTGAATTTGTTTTTAATTTCTATGAATAATGTTTAATGTATCTTATTCTGTATCTTTTATATTTCTATGTTTTCATCCTTTAGAGTTGATGCCATTTTATAGATAATTATTTGCTACCAACTACAGCAGATTGTTTACACAAAAATATCCCATAGAAAGGGTGACATTTGGAACTGGAAAGATGTATTACACTGTAAGATTTATCTGTGTTATTTAATAATTATAGATGTTTATGTTTTAAAACAGAATAGAGGTGCCAGGGCTACATAGGAAGAGCCCATCAGCAGATGAGAGATAGATTAGATAGCTCTAGAAATTATCTGATTTAATACATAGTGTTCACCTAAGTTTAAAAATAATATTAATTGGCCTAAATTAATAATATTAGTCAATAGGTTCAGTTATCCTTTTTAAAAGAGGAATCATCTTAATACACTTCCATAAATATGCTGCTGTGATTAGTTTTTTCCATGCACTGTAAAATATTGCCACAAGTTTTAACCTCATACTAACCATAAATAATGCTTAAATGATGCTGTAATTTTTGCAATTTGGGGCCATTCACAGATGAGTTATTCAGTGAAAAGTGATATCTCTCCTGAAGTACTCTTGCCTCATTATCTTATTCCAAAATGAATGAAGGGGAGGAGAAGTGCTAATTCATATTGCTGCTATAGTTAAACTATTCTGTAATAAATTTAATATTGTTTGGTAAACTAAGAGTGAGATATTTGCAACAATCTCAAATTTGCTGTAAATGGAAGAATTTCTTATAAAAAATGGAAAAACATTTTTATTTGAAAGAGGTTCTGTGACATTGTTAAATAATCTTCTAGAAGAGATTGCATTATTATATTAAAACAAAATTGGAGGAATATTCCACATATTTTACATATGTTTTGTGATATGAAATAAAAGATGTAAGTTGTTTCTTTAAGTAGATCAACACATACACATTCTAAAGTGAAAGCTTTATTACCAGCATTAGAAATGCAAAAGGATGCATTATTTAATTTGGAATGCTTTGAAAGATTGGTCTTACTGCAAATGTTCACAGCTCATGGTGATATGTTAATATCATCTTCCTCCTTAGGAAACAAGATCATTATCTGGCTCCTTGGGAGTCAATTCATGAAATCTTTAGGCACCACCTGGACCATTATAAAAGCATACACACAGGCAGGACACTCTGCAGACTCACAATCAATACACACTGACGACACATTTGACTAATATATGGGCTTCCTACTTAGATCTCCTCAGGAGATTGCATCTAGTATTAAACAAGTGTGTTCCACTACATTTTAGAAACCTATACTGAAAATACAAGTGAAAAATAGCATCCAAGAAATCATATCAGAAGAACCCTAATACAAGCCACCATTGTCTTTCTCCTTGACTACTGAAATGGTCCCTTAAATGTTCATTCTTGAACAGGAGCTAGAAAAATGTTTTAAAAACTTGGAACTAGATCATCTTATTCTCCTGCTTAAAACTTTTCTCGACCAGGCGTGGTGGCTCACACCTGTAATCCCAGCACTATGAGAAGCCGAGGCGGGTGGATCATGAGGTCAGGAGATCGAGACCATCCTGGCTAACGTGGTGAAACCCCATCTCTACTAAAAATACAAAAAATTAGCCAGGCGTGGTGGCATGCGCCTGTAATTCCAGCTACTTGAGAGACTGAGGCAGTAGAATCTCTTGAACCTGGGAGACAGCGGTTGCAGTGAGCCGAGATTGCGCCACTGCACTCCAACCTGGGCGACAGAGGGAGACTCTGTCTCAACAGAAAACAAACAGACAAACAAACAAAGTTTTATCTTGTTTCTCATTGTCCTTTGCATAACAACTAAGCATTGCATGGTCAGTCTCCTTATTTGCTTCACTAGCCTCATTGCCCCCTTTCTCTTTGGCCCATCTCATCCTAAATGTGGCATTTTGAGTGAAGTCTTCCATAATTCTCCACACTAACTTAAATGTCCTTATCATACACGCTCGCAAAATCCTGTACATTTCCTTCATTTCAATGATTATTACCGTAACTAAAGGGAAACTCTTAGAATATGCATCTTCCCACCTCTTTGAAACTACATGCTCCTGAAGGGTGGGACACACCTGCCATTCACAATAATATTCTAGAATAGTATCTGACATATTAGAGACAGTGATAAATATTTTTGAATGAATGAAATAATTTTCAACAAGTCTCAATTAGAAAATTTTGCTTGCATATTTTTACTCATTTAAGTGACTTCTTTATATATTTGTTTATATTTTTCAATCTGCATGGCATAGCCACAGATCCTTCTGGATGACATTTGCTTTATGACTTTATCCTTAGCTCTGTCCCTTGGATGTGACTAGTGTTCCATTCTTGGATTTCAACTTTCCGCCTAGTAGAACTGCAACTTTCCATCGTAGGTGCTGTTTGTGTCCAAGCTTTAGATTCTCTGGGGACAGAAACTATGCATTATTTATCTTTTGTTCCCCCTGCTATAGTTCACATGATAGGCAAACAAGAAATCCTTATATTAAATTAGGAAATGTTGCAGAGGGAAAGTATAAAATAGTCTAAATTAATGTCCTCAAAAAACTTATACAGAATCTAGATATCTCTGCTAAATTACTTATTGTTTAGAAATAAGTGTAATGGGCTCACCAAATGATTGAACTACTGTTGAGTGTAGTTTCCTTAAGAAAAAGATAGTTATCAGGCCCATTTTAGAAACACAAATATTCTGAAAATAGAATGAGGAAAAAAATTTTAAAGAGGTAAACTCACCTCAGACAGTCCAGAATATTTATTTTAGATGCTCCCTCAAACAAAAATACCAAAATTTAAAAAGGGCCACCTAGCCCTTTGCGTACTAAACATTTACACCAACAAGAATATGTTCTGAACAAATGTTTAGCACAGCATGAGATATTTAGACCTGACTCCAGATTGCTTCTGAAAAGTGCAGTGTCTGGCATTTTTTAAAAGGAAGTTTTCTAGATTTTATAAAATACAGGATGATGTATTAATCTCATATGATTGATATGTGCTAAGGTATATGAGTCTATTAGAATATTCCAATAAACCATTTTCATGTAAGGCACACAATGAAAATGTTTTGTGTTTGTGTTTGTGTGTTGTGCATATGTGTGTGTGTGTGTGTAATATCCTACTGTGGGATCCACATATATTTATATGAGACCCTTAGTCACTGTTTTCTTCTAAGGGAACTGTTCACAAGTGAACCCTCAATTCTATTCTTAAATTGAATAAGGGTAAAAAAAATTTCCTGTTTTATTTCCTTTTTAGCAGTAAAGAATTTGTTTATTCATCAATTTTTAAAATATTTTACAATTCAAATTTAAATTTTTAAATAGGACAAAGAATGGGTGTGTTTTTGTTCACTGATAGGCAAATTCCTCTATGAACAAAGCAGATTATAAATAAACAAGCTGAGATTACAAATAGACACATAGACACAAAAGATGTTTTTTGCCAAGTATATTTTGAAAAACATAATCAAACTTGTTACAAATCTAGCATTTGAATTTTGTCCTCCCCTAACGATTCTTTTTTTGTTATTCGTTACTAAGATGAGATAGTTAGAGCTGCAAGAAATGCATGCCTCTGGTTAGCCCTTAAAGACAAATATGTCTATCTAATAAATATGAGGTCCAACTTTGGATCGATGAAGTAGGAGCCAGGATTCCTACAACTAATTCATGAATCTTTGACTGATTTTTCTATAGATCTAGGAAAAGCCACTTAAGCTCTTTATGTCTTCACTTTGCAATGTGAATAACAACACAGCATATGCATTACTGGACCCTGTGCAATTTCTTTGCAAAAACACTTTTAAGATGCTTTGATAAGAAGTACTATGTTAAAGCAAATTATTGCCGTTACTCATTAAGCTGTTTGTAAAGCATAATGAAAAAAGGAAAGTATGAGCTCATTGCATGCTATGCAAGGGATGCTGGAAATCATTAATGTAGTCAGATTTCTCAGAGTAAATAATTTCAGTCCTACAAGCAGTTGTCATTGCTAGGGACATTACAATCTCTTAGCTGATATGTTTGCACACCCCTCACTATATTGAATCTAACCAGAAATTTGGTTTCTTGGGTGAAATAGAATATTCCATTTATTTTTCTTAGTGTTTTGTATCTTATAAGCAATTCATATTCAAATATCCTTCATATTATGGCTTCTAAATCCAGAAGCTACAGATTTACAAATCTTACAATTGAACATAGTTTCAACATCAGTGCCATTAGTTTAATAAAGAGATAAACAACGGCATGCATTTATAAAAAAAGTAGCCATTAATTGACACCAAATTTTGTCTAGTAAGATAATGTTCAGTAATATGTCTTTTGTAATGAATTTTGTTAAATGTAACTTTTAAGTTTTACTTCCTTTCTTTTTACCATAAAGTTAACTGAGGATATTTTTATACTTCACAAATGAAGTCCTTATGCAAAATCAAGCTTAACTTTCTGATGCCTTATTGAGAGCATGTATCCCCACTTTCAAAGACTACAAGCCATCAAGGATGTGTTGGCCTTTTTTTCCCCTTAAAATAAATCAGAAACCTCTTGCCATAGCCAAGCACACTCATTGATCAGAGGGTTCTCTTAAATTGACTTGTCATCAGAGAAAACCTCATTTTCTTTCTTCCTTCCTCCCTCTCTCCTCAATGAAGAGGTCACTGATGGGAACAAGAATATATCACAAAAGGAGTTTAGAATTTCTTCTTGGCCTTTTCAGAAAGCCACATCCAAAGCAAGTTCACAAAACCTCACATTTCACAAAGACCCAGTGCCTTAAAATAGAAAAGAAAGAAACTGCAGCGAATACCTCTTACATTTTTTTCCAAAGAAACATTGTCTTCCAATATGAAAAAATTATAAGAATATATAGTTTATGAATAATTGCAAGTTTACTCTTCAGTGGTTTTATTTTTCTTCTAGAATGGTCATATGTTCTGATCTGCAGAGTTCAAGTCAGGTATTAAGGATGTGGTCTGATTATACTGAATAGCATACAGGCCTAGAATAGATCTGTAGCTGCTTGAGAAATCTAACAAACAAAAAATCACTTTAAGAATCATGGCTTTTTCAGCAGTTGATGCTTCTCCTTTTCATGGAGAATTATCCCTAAACTTGGTATTCTGATTTTTATTTTATTTTAGGTTGTTAGTTTTTTCTAGAATGCAATATTAATTTTCACGTTGAAGATGCAGCAACATTAAGATGAGAATAATTGATTTTAGAAGAATAAGACTTCTAAAATAATTCTTCTAAAATAAAACTTCTAAAATAATCAATTCTAAATAATTGATTTTAGAATTAAGGACACATTTTATCACATAGGCCCAGGAAGAATTAAGAAATAATCTAACCAACATTTTTTGATAGCACTTCCACACATTTATATACTTCAGGTTTAGTAGAGTACTTCCCCCATAAGGGTCACAATTTTCTGTTAGCCAGTCTATTTTGTTCACCACTGTATTCCCAGCACCTAGAACAATGCCTGGAACAGAGGCACACTCAAGTATTGTTAAATAAATGAATAAATGAGTGATTCCTGCTAATCTTCAATTTCTGAAATAGTAAAATGTTTTCCTAACCAAATTAGAGTTTCTCAGTACTCCAATTCACCTTGCATCTGAATAACAATAAACTATCCTCCTTCTTGGCTGTTGGTTTAACTAGAGCATTCCTATCAAGATTTATTCATTACATTATTAATTACTGTTTCAAAGTCCTATACAAAGATTTCTCTGACATCTAAATTTTTTCTCTCTCAATCTTTTAACCTTTGCTATCTTGTCTAAGAAATTTAATATACAGATTTTGCAATTGTCTTTAGATTTTCACATTTATAAGGAATGTCTTTCTTGTACATCTTTTATGATATCATTATTTGATATATTAAGTAGCTCCTGAAATCCCATTTTTATCTGAAGACTATCTAGGATAATTTTTAAATAAAATTTTCCCTGTCTACTCCCCTCTAACACACAATAGTCTATAGTTGTGTATAGATAAGAAATGATATGCTTATCTATTTAATATTTCTTGTTGAATTACAGCCTATAGCTAGGAAACAAAATATCACAGCAAAAGAGTTCATTGGAAATAATGACAAATTATGAAACATAATTTTTATACTTTCATGAATTAGAGCTATAATTTCTAAAACTATTAAAGTTTTAATACAAACTTCTAACTTTCCTTCATTTGTCTTAATAACTTAGCACTAGAAAATTGATTCGATTGCTTATGAAGACAAAAGGGAACAGAAGATGACATCTAAACTTCTTTCCCAATAAGAAATGGATAGCATAGGATAAAAAATTCCAGCCATAAATAATAAATGTTATCAAATAAAATAAAATGGGAAAGGTTTTAATTGGAGTCTCAAATTATAGCAGGTAGGTAATGAGAACTTTCTGGGCCTCAGTTTCCTCATCCATAAATTAGGAATGATACCATCAGAACTCTCATAATACAAAAAAAAAAATCAACATGAGTTCTTGAATTATACTCTGCAATACACAACTTCACAAGTTCTAAGAGATACCTATCTGAAGACATACCATGTATTTTGTTGGCCTTTATTTCTAAATTTCTATTTGGTTTGGTGGGAAGACAGCTTTTATCACTTTTAATTAAATCCTAGGTTAGAAACTTTCATTTAAAATTAAGTTAGTGTAGAAATCAAGCAAATGGCTTGGGAATTAAAGCCACCATGGCTGACATGCAGGATCTGCCACTCTCTGGCAGATATCTGGCTGATTAACCTTAGGCCTTAGAACTAGTTTGTTCTTATTGATGTTCTGTTAATACCATTGATGTAAGTATTTTGTGAATTTACTAGATGTTTTATTCTAATTCACTTTTACTTTTTCTAACATATCCCAAAGAAATAAGCAAACATTATACAAAGATTGAGTGTCCCTCTAAATCAGCAAAAACTCTACCTATAATAGGGGATGCATTTATTTATCCCTGTCAAACTGAAATTAAATCACTCCTAGTTTTTAATAGGTTAATCAGCAAACATGTGGAAGTGAGTTCTTCTGCTTGAAAGCCTATGCAGAACACCTAACATTCACAGTCTTTCCAGCTACTACCAAAGTAATAACTTCCAGGAAAATCTTTGCAGCTGTAGTAATTACTACGAAAAGCCACCAAAATGGCTTATCTTGCTAGAAAGTAGAATATAAGGGGAACAGCATTCGATTTGGATCCACAGAGATCTTGCTTTGGATTCTAGGTCTGTCTCTTGCTTGCTAAGTAATCTTAAGCAAGCCACTAAAACTCTTAGAGACTTAATTTCCCCTTTTGTGAAGTGGTAGTAATACTTTCTCTAGATGTCTACAAAGTTTAGGGCTTATTAGCACATGGTTAATATCTAATTGTGTTTTAAAAATTTTTCTTACTTTCCACCTTTATCTTAAGGTATGATTATGATTACTTATGGATTTACCCATGTGAATGCTCTCAAAGACAAGATAGAAAACTTGATCATTGAATGACCATAAGAATAAATACCCTGCAATTTTGCAGTTGCCAAATGATGTACATTATTGGGAATCAAACTGACTTCTGTGAATTCAGAACAGGGATCTTTATTTTCCCAAAGCTGTATTTCTCAAAAATACTCAAACAATTCTGAGCAGTATTAAAAGGAGAAACTAATACAAGATAATTAATCTTTTGTTTTTAGTCTTGCTCTAGCTTTGCCAATTTGGCAAGATAAAACCATTTCCACTTAAAAGGCATGATGATTTGGTAACATAAATTGAGTCTCTGAATAAGGTTTATTAATCATGAATTTTGCCAAGACGATGTAATCACTGTTTTCTCTATGTTCTCGGTCTTCTGAGTCCCATTAAATGTCATGGTTGAGGTTTCAAGGCTAGACATTGACTCCACTGATATTTGAGCCAACCTATAATTTCATATTTCAGCATTTTATAGTCCAAAATATTATTCAATCATAAATATTTGTTGCATTTCTAATAGAGTCAATAAAGTCTAACATTATCTGTAATCAAATATCAGTTGAATCAGTGGAAAATGAGATTTATCTTTTCAATCAGTACTTTATAAAAACAAAGCAATAATTTCTTTTGATTTGAAATAAATATCTCTTTAACATGAGTTTCTCTTGAGAAATGTGGGATCATTCTTAGAAATATGAATAATTCTTGAATAGTTATTTTGAATACTCATAAAAGAATATTTATTTGTAGTATCAAAAATTGGCAAATGTTGCCATATTAGGTTTGTGGAATATATCAAACCATGTTTAAAGTATTTCCAGTTCATAAAACCTAAAGCAAGAACTTGCTGGCCAAGAACTTCATTGCTTAATTCCATTCTTGTATTTACATAAAGGTAATACATATGTGTTTGATTCATTCACAGTTAAATTACTTAAATGTTGCTTTTAAAATTATTTACTTTGTTCTTAGGTAATGTCTTTCTTTTGAGGAGCTCAAAGCACTCTATAAATGTTATTGGGCATTTTCACAATACCCTCATGAGGTAGATGGTAATGAGTTCTGTGAATTTCACTTATGTCATTTTTCAAGGGACCAGGGAAACGTTAACACGTAAGAGCTCAGAGTCTTAGCAGTGTTAGGTCATAAGAGATATGTGTGATATAAGATTTCAGATTTCACTCTCATTCTTTGTTTATAATCAAAATGATTTTTTTTAAGATACTAAAAAATTGATTATGATTACATGGGGGTAAGAATCTATTTCTTTTTTTTTTCCCACTCTCTCTCTTTCCTTTACTGTTGTTAGTCACATCCCCTAACCTTTCTCCTCTCCCAACTTTCCTCAGAGTAGGAGGTAGCTGATAATAGCTCTCCTTTAAAAGTATCTCCTGGAAGGATGATCACCGCTATACAGTTTGGAAAGAAAAAAATCAGTTGAATAGACATTTAGTGATAAAGTTACTGAATATAACCGAAAATCCAAATTTGTGAAAATGACAAAAATAGCAAGACTTTTTTATACTTGGTGTTCCCAACCTACAACCTACCATGAACTAGGAATTCAAGAAAATATTTATAAATTACACTAAATTTATTACACTCCAGATGCTCCATCATGCCTTTAATATGTAAGTTAAATCGATAGTTAGTATCTCTTCTACTTAGGGAATTTAAATGGTTACTTCACACTGAGTACTAGGAGAATAATATTAGGAGAAGTTAGCAGAAACTTACAATTGTCACATTACTAGAAATTAAAGATTGGTTCCTAAATAATATATAGGCTCTTGTGGAAAAATAGAGCTTACAATTTTCTACTTTGTAAATTTGACTTAAGGAAAATGCAATCTTGAGCACAAAAGAAATCCAGATCATGTGACCTATAGTTGTGATTGTTAAGTAAAGAAAGGGATAGGCGGCCGGGCGCGGTGGCTCACGCCTGTAATCCCAGCACTTTGGGAGGCCGAAGCGGGCAGATCATGAGGTCAGGAGATCGAGACATCCTAACACGGTGAAACCCCGTTTCTACTAAAAAGACAAAAAAAAATTAGTCCGGCGTGGTGGCAGACGCCTGTAGTCCCAGCTACTTGGGAGGCTGAGGCAGGAGAATGGCGTGAACCCGGGAGGCAGAGCTTGCAGTGAGCAGAGATCGCGCCACTGCACTCCAGCCTGGGCGACCAAGTGAGACTCCGTCTCAAAAAAAAAAAAAAAAAAAAAGGGATAGGCAATCACTGAACTAGTGCCCAGAAAATACCTCACACTTCACAGGAGGCAAGTGACACAAGCAACCATTTGTAAAATCTGGAGTTGCTGTTATCTTGCAATAAAGTAATCATCACAAATAAAATAATGCTCTGAAATTAATGGTAATATTTGACATAAAACTAAATTTTCTAGGCCTGACCAGGTAGATTTCAACAAGTTGGCTAAGGAATATTGGAGAACATCCAATTACCATCTCCATACTCCGCTGTGATTTTTGAATCAGTCTCAAATTATCCTTATTCTTGTAAGAAAAAAAAAAGGTTAAAATGCATTCTATAGAGATGATTTCTTTGTGTTCTTGTTGTCCTTTAAGTACAATATTTCTATATGTCCTTGTATGAGCTCTGTAATAGAAACATTTTACATACAAAATAGGGGAGAACTAATATACACAGGGAGAAAAATACTAAGTGAACCCTTAGGCCCTCTCATTGTCATTAAACTTCCCATAAGATAACTATTTTTATTGTAATATTGCCTTTTTTTAATGAATGAGGAAACAGGTTTACCATATTAAGCAACTTGACCATGGTTACAAATCTTAAAAATGCTAAATTTTGAATCAGATCCCAAATTGCCTAACATAAGAATGTATGATATTACATGCATATTACTGAAACTCAACTTATTATTGCTGAAGTTTCTTTAAGAATGAATCTACAGGAGAGAAAAATTAACTTTTTAATTTTAACTTTATTAGCTAGAAAAAGAAAATAATTAGCTTTTTACTAAGTTGTAACAAATTGTCTCAGGAAAAAAAAAGATGTTGAATTGTAACACTTAAAAAGCTTGGAAATTTATTTTCCAGTAAAAAATTTACTTCAAAATTTTACTGTTTTCGGTTCTTGAAAATATAATTGGGCACACATCAAAATATCATCAAGGTTATTAGAAGCCACTGCTATGATGAAATAAGATAACAACTAATTTTGCTAAATGGAATCAACAAGGTCTTTAAACACAATTATATTTAAGCTATAATAGGAGCACCGAGCTGTTTTATGAGGCAATAATCTGGTTCCCGTGTGGATAAAAACTATGAGGCTGAAGGCTGGTTAGAGTTTTGCAATAAGAGAAGTGGATTATTGCCTCGTAAAATCATTCAGCACTTTTCTCATTGTGATTATTCTACAAGTCTTCGAGAATTCATTTTTAAATAAATGTCACTACACAAGTAAGTGCTTATGTGGCAAGAAAACTATGACAAAGAAAGTGATAGAGGTAGATTGTGGCCTTTGAAATTATAAAAGACACATCGTCTGTAGCCCCAAAGAAAGCAGTTGTCCATAATGTAATAAGGTCTATTCTAAATCTTCAAGATTTCTTGGATTTTAAAGAAATCTTTTATGTTTTTTTTTTGGGGTCAACAGTCTCCACAAGTGGGTAAAACAGTGGTCTTCTGTGGTGTTTATCTTAGAATCATCTTCATAGAGAGGACCTGATGTTCATAAAATACCATTAGAAAAGAATATTCACTTCCAGTTCTGTTTCCTATTCTGATTATAGCCCTTACAGGAACCATGTTAGTTAAAATTGACCTGTTCTTTTATTTATTAATATTCATCATTTGATAATTATCTTTAGTTACTATGTCTTCAGTATATTTTCGTGCACAGAAATATGGTTTAGACATAAGAAGAATTTAATACATGTTTTCAAGATAGCTAAATGGACTTTACTATATTTCACTGTCAAATGGAATCTTCTATTTCTATAGAGAGAAAAGGACTGTAAAACTATGAATCTATGATCCAAAAGCTGTTTTTCTAAGGAATACACATTTAAATACAAGTTTAATTTTTTAAATTTCCTGTTTTTATCATATTCAAGGTGTAGTTTCCTTTTTATTTTCTCACTTTCTTCAACACAAAGTTAAAAATACAAATATAAACAAATACTTAATATTTAATAAAATTTAGTTATATGTCAAGAGTTCCTGTGTGTATTTGATTTTCAGAGCAGCCCTGGGAAGTAGTAATAATTATTCCCATTTTAGATAATGAAAATGTGGCAAAAAGGTAAAATAACCATACTACATTAGAACAAGTAAAATTAAATCGAAGCAAGTTGACTTTAGAGCCTATCCCTTGAAATTACAACAACAAACAAATTGACATAATTTTTTGTATTTTTAAATTGACAAATAATAATTGCATATATTTATGGGGTACAACATGATGTTTCAATACATGTATACATTGTGGCTAATTTGCATGTTTATCACCTCAAATATTTATTATTTCTTTGTGGTGAGAACATTTAAAATCCTGTCTTTTAGCTATTTTAAAGTACTATATACATTATTATTAACTACAGTCACCTACACAATGGAATGTTAGTCAGCCTTAAAAAAATTAGCATAGATTTGAACCAGCAAATTTTGCACAGAAATTGTATTTTCAAATACCTCATACATTTCTTGCAAAGAATAGTTAATGAAAATACAATGCATGTGGGATTGAAAAGCAGAAATAAAAATATCTATAATAAGTATCAAATGCAATGGGTGTACAATGTGGAAAAGGTAAAAACAGAATGATGCCCAGCTTTCATTACCAGATAATAAAAGATGAACATGAACTGATGTATACATTGCACTTCATCCCTCCAAGAGTCTGCTAATGTTGGTAATGCATGTATATATAAATTAGATTAAATTACAAAATGGACATGGTAAATAACAAGTAAATGATCTAGAATATAAAACAAAAACAAATTGGTAGAGCCTAGAGAAAAAAGACCTCTCTGTCTCTCCGTATATATAATTATATATGTAACAATGGTGAAAATGAAAAATAAGTGTAAAAACATTATATATATATATATATATATATACACATATATACATATGTTATATATAAGTATATACATGTCAGTAAACAGGGCAAATAAACTAATCTGTCATAATTCAATTCAATTACTTGTCTTTTTGGCAGGAAGATATAATTTCTGACATATTAGTTGTTGCATAATAGATATGTTTGTTCAAGATTTCTAGGTACCTCAAGAAGAAAGATGCAGGATTATAATATAAAACAAAAAAAAAAACAAAGAAACAAAAATTACTCAATCACCAGAAGAAAAACACATTAATATAAAACGTTAAATAAAATTCCATATGTAAGACAAAATGAAAGTTGAGTAACAAAAAAAGGGTTAAACTCTCCTATAAAGTCAGGGAATCACAAAACAGTTTCAGAAGAGAAAAAAAATCTATTCATATGCCAATTAATTTTTGAACAGATTAAAAAAAAAAAGGAAGACTGATTACAAAGGGATGGGAATATATACAAAGTCAGATATGAAGACAAAGAAAGCCAATGTAACAATATTAAAGAGAGATAAAATGAATTTCAAAGCAAAGAACATTAAAGAGGACAAAAAAGATATTGCTAAAACACCCAATCACACTACCTAAAAGATATTGCTAAAACACCCAGTCACACAGAAAATCAAAATGTGCTAAAGTTTTTGTTTACTAACACAGCAAATTCTAATGACTTCCAGCTATAAACACTTTATCTTCCAGGTCTTCGGGTTGGCTGGGACAGCTCTGCTTCAAGTTAATTGCATGTGTTTCTCTCATTCTGGAACTAGCAGTTACCCTAGTGCTGCTGGTTCTACTGCCAAAAATAAAGCATGCAAACACATTTAAAGTCTCTACTCCTATCACATTTCCTCATAATCCACTGGCCAAAATAGCACATGGTTAATATCAAGTCAAAGTCACATGGCCAAGAGTGTTGATGTATATATCTTGACTAAGGATGACACGAAGAATTGGAAACAAAAATCCGCTTGCAATGGTTGTTATTGAGTGTCAACTTCACTGTATTGAAAAATGCAAATTATTATTCCTGGGCATATCTGTGAGGGTGCGCCAAAGGAGATTAACATTTGAGTCAGCAGACTGGAAGACACAGACCCACCCTCAATCTGGGCCTCCATTTTTCTCTTGTGCTGGATGCTTCCTGCCGTCGAACATCAGACTCCAAGTTCTTCAGCTTTTAGACTCTTGGACTTACACCAGTGGTTTGACAGGGACTCTCAGGCCTTCTGCCACAGACTGAAGGCTGCACTGTCAGCTTCCCTACTTTTGAAGTTTTGGGAAGAGGAACGGCTTCCTTGCCCCTCAACTTGTAGACAGCCTATTGTGGGGCTTCACCTTGTTATCATATGTGAGTCAATACTCCTTAATAAACTCCCTTTCGTATATACATCTATCCTATTAGTCCTGTCCATCTAGAGAATCCTAATACACCACTCTACCATAGTTTACCTTCTTTGTCACAATTGCTCACTTAATGCTCACATAATACATACCTGTCTCCCTGAGATACCCCAAAAGTCTATACAATTATCCAGCTGGCTCAAAATTCAAAACCTCATGATCAAAAAAAAAAAAAAAAAAAAAAAAAAGGCCAGGTCTAAATGTGACTCCTGTTGATTCAGAGAAGTACTAACTAATATAGACAAGTAATCTGCTCTTTATATACTCATTGTTCAATGATGTAACAGGGATTGCCTAACAATATTTTTTAATTAAAAAGTTAGGAGAATGAGAGGAATATAAAAGGAACTGGTTTATAACAATTCAGATCTCTTCTTGGGCAAACAGTAGCAGGTCCTCCCACCCTGGGATAGGCCTAGTTTTGCTTCCTAGGTGTAAGTCCCCATTCTGATGTTCTCTTTGCAACCGTCATTATCATTATCCCTACTTATTCACATCTGAAAGGGACAAGAGAAAATATATTTTCTCTGGTAACAGTACAGTTTTTCTAGTCTGCTTTCTGCCTGGCCAAAGTTGGGGGCTACTTGTCTTTTTCAGTCTTCACAGTCACAATTTCTTTTTAATCCAGAATGGTAGTAGAGCTCTGTAAAAAACTGTATTTTAGTATTTGAAAACACAATTTAATTTCAACCAACTTGTATACCAAAACCATACCAGTTATTTTTGAGACACCTTTTCAAATGCTGCTCATAACAACCAACTCATGCTACCGATATTCTGCCTTAAAATCTTTTTGTTCAACACTAAGTTCATTAGGCTCATTTTCTGCCTTCCATGTTATCATTGTAATAATTTTACCAGATTGTTGACAAAATACCAAAGCTCACCATTTCTTCATATACCTATAAAAGTTTCATTGTTCTCTTACCCAAAGACGTTGCCATGTATGTTCAGTTTTTATTATATAAGCATGATGGTTTGGCTCTACCAAGTGTCATGTTAAAATCTGATCCTCAGTGTTGAAGGTGGGGCTTGGGGGGAGGTGTTTAGATCATGGGGCTGGTTCCCTCATGTATGGCTCGGTGTTATTCTTGTGGAAGTGAGTGAGTACTCACTCTTAGTTCCACCAGAACTAGTTGTTGAAAAGAGCCTGGCACCTCCTTCCCCTCTCACTTCTTGTTTTTGCCACATGATGGACTCCCCTAGACCTCTTCCATGAGCAGAAGCAACTTGAGGCTCTTATCAGATGCTGGCACCATGCTTCTTGTACAGCCTGCACAACTGTGAACCAAATAAACCTTTTTCTTCATAAATTACCCAATCTCAGATATATATATATATTTTTTCCTTGAGACACAGTCTTTCTCTGTCACTCAGGCTGGAGTGCAGTGGTGCCATCACAGCTCACTGCAACCTCTACCTCCCATGTTCAAGTGATTCTTGTGCTTCAGCCTCCCAAGTAGCTGGAATTACAGGAGTGTGCCACCACACCAAGCTAATTTTTGTGTTTTCAGTAGAGATGGAGTTTCACCATGTTGGCCAGTCTGGTCTTGAATTCCTGACCTGAAGTGATCCACCCACCTCAGCCTCCCAAAGTACTGGGATTATAAGTATGAGCCATCACGCCTGGCCAGATATTTCTTTATAGCAACACAAACAGATAAATTAATAGCCCAACCCAGAAACTAATTTCTGTTTTAGTCATGTTTCTGCTGCAATAATACCAAATAAAATAAAACCCCAAAATATCAGGGGCTTTCAACAATTATCTTTTGTTTTTTGATATTAGGTCTGATAGTTGTCTGGAACATGATATTCTCAGGCAGAGAGCAGAGGCACAAGATCTCAAGCCAACCATACAAGTATATTTACTTCCCCTGCTTGTGCCCATTCTCTAGTAGTCCATTGCAAAAAGCAAGTCACATGACCAGGGATATATATATTGCACTTACTTGGAGTAAGTACAAGACCACATGAAAACGAGTATAAATGTGTAAACCTTTTATAAGGAGGAAGTGAAGAATTGCAATAAAAATATAAATTTTAGAAAGAATTGACAAATCCAATATCATGGTAGAAGACTAACATTTGGTCAGAATAAAAAGATAGGTTTAAAGATGTAAGAATACTATGAATTTTTAAGACGTAATTAACTCAGTTTGTTTTATATAGCTAAGAGAGTACATATATTTTTTCCAAACAAAAATTATAAAAATAAATTTAACCATATTGCAGGAAAAAGATTATCAGTAAGTTCTAAAACCTAGAAATCACAGAAACTACATTCTTTGAATATGAATACAATAAATGTTGACCAAAAGGGAAAGCAAGTAAGTAGACAATTGAATACATTTGGAAACCAACAAGTAACTACCTAAGTAACTCTTAGACCAAAGAAAAACTGTAAATGGAAATTATACTGTATTCAGAAATGACCCATAGTGAGAAGACTCATATCAAAACCAATTATTGCAGTGAGAGCATCTCTCAGAGGCAACTGTGTAATCATAAATGCATTGTTTAGAAAACAAGGTAGGCTAAAAAAAATCAAAATAGGCTTTTAACTCAAGAAGCTATAACTAGAATAGCTAAATTAACCCAAATAAAATAGAAGGAATTAATGAGGACATAAGCTAGAACTTAATGAAACAGGGAACAAAAGTGGACTTGATCATAAAATCAAAGCTATATTATTTTCTGCTTAATATATGTATATTTGAAAAATCTACATTAACTACAAATGTAATAGGAAAACTCAAATTTGCTAAAATGTGCTGAAATGTATTCAACACTCATTAAGAATATTTTTAAAAAAACAGGTTTCCAATTCATGCTTCAAAGATAGCATAAAATCAACATGGACAACGGATTCAAAAACTATTATACACAAACACATAATCAAAAAGTAGAGACCACCTCACATTTAATCATAGATATAAAAATTAAAAATATTGGAAAGTTAACTGAAGTACATTAGTAGTATACTTAAAAAACGACAGATTATGATCAAGTATGATTTATCTCAGAACATACAAGGACGGCTCAGCATTAAAAGCTATGATTTGAAGTTTAAGTTTGTAACGTGTATGATCATTTAAATGTCAAAAATTTTTAAAAATTAAAAAATTATTTTAAATTGAAAACTACCACACATGCCCTTTTCATATGCATAGAAGCATGTGCATACACACACACACACACACACACAAGACAATAGAAGAAAACTTACTTTTAAAGGACATTTGGTAGAATATGCAATAATAACAATTAAAAATAAAATATTGAAAGCATTTTCATAAATAATGAGCAAGATAAGCATGCCCGTTATAGCTACAATCCAAAAAGTCACAAAAATGATATCCTTTAAAATAGAAATGAAAATATGAATATTTAGAATTTAATAAAATTGTGCAAAACTAAATGAAAAATATATAAAGTCTGAATAAAAAGAGAAACATCTTCATAGAAGACACAATTCTAGACATATAATATAAAAGTAATCTAATTCAGTGGAATTACAAATGAAAGTCTAAAATAATACTTTCCATGTTTCATAAGCTGATAATAAAATTGTCTGATATATAAAATGCTAATAATACCCCCAAAATTTTAAAGAAAAATAATGTGAAGTTCTCTTTGCATCTGTTAGGAAATCATGCCAAAAAATCACTGTAGTTCTGTTGAAAAGATTCAGATTCAGATTTTTAGATAGAATAGAGGAAAAAGTTCCACTGAATTTATAAAAAGATGAAGTTGGCATTTCAAAAAACATTTTAAAAGAGTCAACTTCTTTTGTGACATTATCCATTTGTAAAATTTATACAAAATATATAGAAAATTTTCCACTGATATATTTGAATTAAAAGTAAATTCTTAATACAAATTGAATACATTCCTAAATTTAATAGAGACTATCTAAAGGGATTTAAAAGGAAAAGATATAAATATATAAAGAAAAAGTTTTTTAGATGTAGCTATTGAATATTTTAATACTGCTATATCACCAAGACATATTGTTAAAAAGTTAAAAAATAAGTGAGAGAATGTATTTTCTACATATATAACCACCTCTTGATTAAGAGAAAAACAAATTCAAACAACTTTTTATCAGACTTACAACATTTTAAAAATTTTATGATATCTAGTGTTGGCAATGGTGTGGGAAAATGAATACTGCCATGTAGTTTGGGTTTATGGCCTTTCTTCTGACAATAATTTGTTGCAATTGCTAGATCCAGAAATTCCTCTTCTAGTCACCATTGCAGAAAAAAATCACATTTTACGCTAAGAGACACACAGAAAAATGTTCATTGTAACACAGATTGCCTTGACAAAGAATGTGATACAAGGCAAATGCCTATCACTTGGGGAATGGTTAAATAAACAAAAGTACATCAATAAATAAATAGCATGTGGTCATTAAAATTAATGACATAGATCTATAAATACTAACCTTGAAACATGTCTTTGATATATTGCTAACTGTAAAAAGCAAGTTGTAGACAAATATGTATAGCATGATGCATTTCTTAATGATATACTATATAGAGGTATACAGGTATTTTGTGTCTGTGTGTGTGTGTGTGTGTGTGTGTGTATTAGGGTGTATATATTCTTCCTACAGTGTCATTAGAAGAGCAGAGGAAGTTTCATTTATTTAACAAATATTGTTTCATTTATTTATATAATAAACATAAAGTTTGCTAAGCACAGTATAAATTTAACTATTGTTAAAAATGTTTAATGAACGCTTTAGATTCCAATTTTTTATGTTGATAAGTTTATCCCCTTCTATCGATTAAAGCAAAGCCTATAACTTCTATTGTGGCAAAAGCAGAAGGCAAGAGTTTCCTATGTTCTTTAGAAGACTTCAGTTTTGTTATAAGAAGAATATAGTGGTTTCATTTAAAATCTGATAAACAATATTAGCCAACACTAATGATGACCTATGAGACTGAGACACCAATTGGATAAATATGTTCATTTAGAGTCTTTTTAAGAAATGGTCATTGCAGGATATTTACCAGATCATTCAATTAATAGGAAAATATGCAATATTATTTCAGGGAGGTTTTTTTTCTGTAACATAATTATGCCTATCTCAAAGTCAGGGTCTCAGAATTTGGCCTTTAAAACATTGATCACTGTGTATAATTACTTTTTGTTGAATTATAAAAACCAATGCTCTTTATATGACTTCCTTTTTAGTCTCTTAAAACACAATTCCTTGAAGTGGATGCTTGTTTTTACAAACAAAAGCCCTTATCATGTTTCTGTGTAACTTTGTGTGTCTGTGTTTTCTGTCACATTAAAAGTCTATTTTAGAACTTAAGAAAGGTTAAAATTGTCACATTTTTCAAAAGAGAAAATTTATGATACACAGAGAAGACTAAATGGACTTTAACTCAATAGTTTTGCTAATATTATGCTATTATCCTTATAGAACTAATTGAGGAAACCAAGTTGGAGGTTATCCCAGAGCTGCTGTGGTTAACACTCTCTGCAGATGAAGCACGACATTTTATTCCACACAGGACTATCCAAAACATGCAACTGTACTACCATACCTCTCCCCATCACCACTTTCCTCACCCTAGAGCCCAGCTCCTACGCCAACAGCAGGTATCTCCAGGAAATCACAATTCTCTTTTCTTCTGAGCTCGATTTCATCTCAGAACCCTTCTTACCACAACATTTCAGGCGGTTATAAGGGTGAACTATGTTTGCCATTTCTGTCCTACTTAAAGACTTATTTTTAACTGTTTTTCTTCTCCTCTTCTTCAAGCAAAATCAGATATATTCCTTCTGTCTTTGCTCCCCCTTTTCACCTCTAATATGTTCTTTTTCTATATTGTGTCCATACAAATCCTTATCCTCTTTCAAAGCCAATGTCATGTCTCACTTCCTCCAGGAAGCCTCTCAGACAATGGCCACTGGGACCTCCAACTTCTCTGAGGGTTTCCCTCATATTTCTCACATATAATACAGAGTTGCCATCATCACGAACTTAGATAATTCTTTAACTTATAAATATATGTACCACTATTACATGGAATACGCTCTAAATAACAAAGAGCTAGTAACAATAAATGGTGACACCCTTACGTTTCTAATGATTCTTAAGTACATGTTAAAGACATTATTGAAGCTGATTATTGTTTCCAGCTAACACTAAATGCTTTTGAATTTTTTTCTAAGGAAGAATATACAGGAACAAGAATTTAAAAACCATCAGAAATACAAAAGTACAGATGACATTTCAAAACTTTTAGACAGAGAAAAATACATGCTATATATTCCAATCAGATTTAATATTCAAATCTAATTAGAAAATGTTACTGTATACATTTTATAACAAAATGACTTCAGCTGCATGCCAGTGAGAAACACCCTCTTAATGCTCCTGGCCTGGACCATGAGGGCTAAAAATTTGCTTCCACTGGTGGAGATCTGTTCAGTCTAAACAAATTCTACCTACGAAATTCACTATCACGTATATTGCAAAGCCAAAGTAGTGCCATCTAGTCCTATGGAGAACAGAAATAAACTTTATTTCAAGACGACTGTCAAAATTTAGGAGTGATGGGGACTTCAATGGTAAGAATTTGCATAATTCACATATTTTGACATCTCAATGAATTTAAGTGCTATTTAATAAACTGCTGGTAATTCACTATTTTAAAATTAAGAATTGACACTGTAATGTATTACATTTTATATTATGTCTCACAATAATATAGAGGATCATGTATCAGAGAAAGATGTTCTTTTCATAAATAACTTTATGTCAAAGCACAATTTTCAAAAAGTTTAAAATGTGACTCTCATACAAATAGAGAATTAACACATGCCAAAGACATACTTGACTCATTATTAAGGAAACAGCAAAATGGTAAAGCCAATTCTAAGAGTATTTGGGAAACAGAAATGTACATAGTTAATGAGGAAAGTCATACTAAAGTAAGTTTGCTAAGTTAAAGAAAAAACTGTTTAATGTCCTACAGGGCAATACAACAGTAAAAATTAATATCAATTCCTATACAAGACAGAAATGATTTGAATTTCTACTGAACAAAATCCACAAGTTAGCATAACATTTCACAAAATCTAGCTCTTAATCAATAGAACATCAAACCGAGGCACAGGTGCATGTCCCCTCAGGAATAAATAATCCTTAGAAAGGCCTGTAGGAAAATGCTCTAATATGATATAGGAAGATAGACAGTCATGCTTATACCTTATTTCCAAGTTTTATATAATCTTTTAATGAAGAAACATTACTTTTGATGACCTCATTTCTTCTCTTTTAGCTTACTTACATCATCAGCATTTTCAATTTGTTTTCACTTTGGGGCAACCCCAATCACTCGCCCATGCTCTCTCCCTGTCTCCCCACGCACACACCCCGAAAGCTCTTTTCTTTGTTTTGTTATTTTTTAAATCATCTTATGAGAACTGTTCCATATGTGGAAGAGTAATCTACAAAGAAACTATGCGGACATGAGAATGCTTGACTGATGTTGGCTCCTGCCACCACTTCTGAAATGTCTCAGCAAAATTATGATTTACTACATATTTTGGATCTTCATTACTTCTAAGTAGTACAAAGAAAGTCTTATAAATTACAGGGTAAACCATAGTGCTTTGTAAGGCATTTTTTTCTCATCTTGAAAATAATTTATAATTTAATAAAGATGTTCTTTACTAAATATGTTATGCTTGAATTTGCAGGCAACATGTCTTTCAGGATAGGAACCTAAAATGGAAGAGGCTGTTGCACGCTTTTAGAGTTAATATATCTATATAAATGAATAAGTCAAACTACCCAATTTTCTATTGATTTGGCACTTCTAATCCCCATATCCCTCACTGAGAATGAGACAATTTTGCTATGAGAAATATATCATTGGCTTCTGGCTTTAATTTTTCCACATTTGCTTCAGGGAGGCAGCTAATTCAAATAAAAAGTAGCATCAAGTAAGGTAACGCAGGTTGGACTTTCTATAAGGCTGCCTTCCGGGGATTTGGGTACTGGGGACAGAATGCCGAAATCCAGCCCCAAATCTCCTCTTTAAGCACAAGACCACTGGAGCTTCATATGTCAGCAGGAGGTACCCTGTAAGAAATTTACAAAAAGGCAACTTTTGGCTGAAGGCTAAATTATGGTTGCAATTAATCTGTGATCCATCTTATAAAAAAAAAGCAAAAGCTGCCTCAATCTGTCTGTGAACCTGAAAGCAAAATCTGCCTTGAGAGGTTTCATATGTACAGAAAGATGCATGCACACATAAGTATAACTCACAGCTACCTATAGAAAGGCTAACTAGAGAAGGGACAGGGTATTGTCAGGGGACTCAGAAATAAATGCACAACACTCAAGAATAATAAAGTAATAGCTAACATTTATTAACGCATACTGTGTCCCAGGGATGGAAATACATTTTTATATGAATCATCTCAATATTTTGTTGAATAGATAATATATATTCCATAACTGCCTTTGACTTTCCATGACTGAATAAATTGATCAGAAATTCAAATAGTATACCATGCAATAATCCGGAAGCAAATAGCAGAACCCAGACTTTAAATCTTCATTTCTCATGACATATTGGAAAAGTTTTTATTTTTAATTTCAACTAAAGAATCTCTGCATGGAATTTGTTAAGAATATATCCCAGCCGCTGCTTTTTCTATTCAGTGTGACCCCAAACAAGGAATGTTTCACATGGTTTTAGGTTTCTGAGTGGAAGTTTAGCACAGCTGTGATATCAAATGAAGTACCACCTGGCCTAATCACCGTAACAATATGTCCTCTGTCCTGCACAGCTAGCAGATGGATTGGGTATCAGCCTGATGTCATAATCTGTTAAGTTTGTAATATGGAGCATTACCCACCCATTTAGGATTCATCTCATCTTCTCTGATGGCATGCTGTACCCTAAATAGAGAGATGACACTATCATTATATGCCACTATCACTAGTCATATGGAATCTTAGTTTGCATTACTTAAGAATAATTATATGGTGCTCTAATTCATTTGGTGAACTGTCACTCCACTACTGAAAAACTTAGGTGGAATTTTAACAAATACTATGACATTCATAAAGCAGATTACTAGTCTTCAACATTTATTTCATTCTTCTCTTAATTCAAGTTCTAAATATCGACTTTCTTATATATGTGCTGCTGATCTTTTTGGGGCATTAAATGAAATCTCAAAAACTATAGAGTTGATGTGACTTTATACTTGCATCTCGGCTGTCATGTAAAATATGGTAATAAAAAATTATCAGTAACATATATGTCTGTAACATATATGACAAACATTTAAAAGGACAATATGATTGGTGATAACTCACCAAATTTTTACTGTCTCTCAAATGCAAGGCACAATGATAATGTGAATGCAGAAATAAACATGAAATTAAATTTTTCCACCCTTCAAAACGCTTTTAGTCTCTTCTAATTCACCTCCTCTCTCTACTACCCCCAGAAATACTCATTTGAGTTCATGCAAACATCAATTCCTTAAGTCTTGTAGATGCATCAGTTGACAAGGCCATCGCCCATCCCCCACTCCCTTCTCTTCTATTGTTACTTATTTTTCTGTATACAGGCTAGGAATACTACTACTCATCTTGTCAGTCTTCCTTGCAGCTAGGGCCAACCAGTGAGATGTAACAGAAATCTGGTAGCGGTTATGGCTTAAGTATGCTGGGAAGCTACGGGAAAGGCACACCTCCCTGATAACAATAGAGGAAATCTATTATCACTCCCACCTCCTTTCTTCCATCCTTGAATATAAACACGATGCTGAGAGTTGCAGCACCATGAAGCATTAAGATAATTGCTAAGATCAGCAAAGTGCAGGATAGAAAGCAACCAAGAAAATTATATTGCTGAATTTCTCCACAGCTCTGGTGTGCCTTCATGTAACTTCTTGCTCAATAAAAAGTTTAATCCATTGTTAGATAATTTGTTATCCACTACAAAACAGTGGATATGGCAATTAGTAACGTTAAGCCTACTTTATAAATGCGTTGATAATTTTCTTATTAATATCCTATTTCTTTTTAGAATTGTATTTATTTTCCAAACATAGAAAGGAAGTATAATGCATTAATACTGCAGTTTAATTTTAAGATGGTTTTCATCATAGAAACGTGATGCAATAGCTTTACTAAAACTATAAATTGTTACTATGTAATAAAATATTAATACATTTCTTTTAGCTATATAGCGAGGGATTCATGAAAAGTATAGTACCATTTATTTTTTAATGAAAATTAGATCTTTTTCAAATTATGAATATATCAAGAAATATTCAATCTTTATTCATCATTACTATTTATCTTCATTCATCTTTATCATATTACTTTTTTTCCCACAAAATAGCAATTATTTGTACTTTTTAGGATTATACTTTCATTCAACAGGTGTGCCTTCTATACACCTAGCTCTGTTTGGGGAACAGAGAATACAGAAAAGATTGAGGCATGACTTCTTCCCTCAGGAAGATCACAATTGAGTGAGGAAAATCAATAAATAAACGTTTACATTTACCAGCACACTGCCACCACACAGAGAAAAGGGTAGTGGGTATTCTTGTGCTCCACCAAGATACCCTCGAGTTCAACACACCCAACTCCCAGCTGCTCCCAACTTCAGCGTAATAGCTAAAGGCATGCATACAGCTGCCTCCATCACATGGAATTGCCTTGGAGGTATGGAACTGTTTCACCAAAAGTCTATGTAGGGATCCAAAGTCTGGCCTGCTGGCCTCCATTAGAGAAAACTCTGAAATAAAAAAAAAATCCCAGATTTATAAATCGTCATGGGATTAGCTGAGGGCTTAGTTGTAACTCTCTTGAGGGTCAATTTATCTTTCTACTAAATTTTCCTTATTTCCTTTCATGTCTTTCTCATGAGAATACTCCACATAATGCTTCTACATGCAATTAATTCCCAAAGAACAAGATATCTGACCAAGATCTTGAAGATGAATGAATGACAGTGGAGGAAAACAGAAAAAGGCAATCCTTACAAAGGAAAGAACATATTTAAAGGCACCTGGAGAAATGCAAGGTAGCATGGATGGTTTAAGTTAGGAAGCTGGGAAAGGCATACAGGAAACATGCAAAAAAGATTTTGCATATCAGACAAAAATGTTTGAATTTTATTCTGAAGGCAATAGAGAACATATATCAATTAAAAATGGAAGGAACAATCAAATGCCCAAATTCAGTGGCTAAAATAAATACGAGTATATGATTTTAACTGATAAAAAATCTACCAGAAGGATGGCTGCTGGCATTGGTTCTGCAATTTATCATACAAGGTATCATGCCACTGCCACCTCTTGGTTTCCCTATGGCCTTAAGAAGTCTGTGAAGGATCCAGGTACCTTGCTCTGTTCGACAGTGGGACAAACAGGAAGAGGAAAAACAGCAGTACTCTTCTTTTTTATGCCATGTCTCTTCACATTTGTGAAGAAAGCAAATGTTTCTTAACACCCACCCAGTAGAATTCTGTTGTAGATAACTTTTATAGTCCCTATGGTAGAAGCAAGCAAGGGAAATGCAAGTAGGAAGAGAGGTTAGGTAAGTTACCCTATGATGCCCACAAAGGATTCCAAGGACATGTATGACAGGATTATTACGAGGGGAGGAAATTCTGTAAATGGAGTAGTTTGGATATGCTATTGAATAATGCAGATAAGATAAGAGGAATGCCTAGAATAAAGAAAGATTGTAATAGTGTTAGTAGGAATTCAAATAAATCGAATAAACAAGAGATGTGGAATAATATGCCAAGGACTTGGAAATTGGTATGATTCAGTTGCTATGGAATGTCACAAGTTTTAAAAGGTTAGAGAAAATTGACAAGTGCTTCATTGATTTGCATGTACATCCTCATTCTCATTTGTATATCACTGATATAGGACAGGCATGATTATTCCCATTTCAGAGATTCAGAAACCAATGTTCAGAGAGATCAAAAAGGATTTGCTTTAAAAAAAAAATCCCATAGCTAGTAATTTTTAGAACTAGGGCTCAAATCCAAGGTTTCAGATGATTAACTTAATTGTGCTTGTTCTCTGAATGTATAATTTAGTAGAGCTCTAATGAATAATTTTTTATTATCCAAATCATCAAGCACTAGAATTAGTCAGCAAAGGTATATGTGCTTCTATAAAGCCTTATGGCTTTGTGTGAATACAAAATTGATCCTCATAGCAACTATGAGCAGAAATAAAGAGAATGAGGGGGAAGAAAAATGATGGTATAGAGCAGAATGTATAGGATGAGTAAAAGCTCATATTCAGGTTCAAAGATTTTAACATTTCAATAATTGTTATACTTTATTTGATTGCATGCCCTGTATTCAAATATTTATGTTTTATTTATATGGTAACAAGTATTATATTTTATTTATATGGTAACAAGTATTAACGTCATAATGTATATCAGGCATGTAGATCTTGGGTTTAGAAAAATGAATATGATACAATACTTTGATCAAAATTAGAATTAGAATTAGAAAAATATACCCATCATAAAAACAACCCTCCAAAGTTGTTATAAAAGTGCTCACCAATGCAATTTCATAAGAAAATAAAGAAATGAAAAATATTAGAGCAGAGGTGGCAATATACTTATTATTTAGTTTAGCAGATAATATATAACTATTCTTCTAAGAAAGCACATAGGAATAAATTTCAAAAGTGTTCTGTTAGTAAGATTAGTCAATAAATTATCTAGTTAAAAAAGCAAATATGCAAAATCAATAGCTATCCCCTTGATATGGTTTGGCTGTGTCCGCACCCAAATCTCATCCTGAATTCCCAGGTGTTGTGAGAGGAGCTTGGTGGGAGGTGATTGAATTATGGGGACAGGTCTTTCCCATGCTGTTCTCATGATAGTGAATAAGTCACACTAGATCTGATGGCTTTAAAATGGGAGTTTCCCTGCACAAGCTCTCTCTTTGCCTGCTGCCATCCATGTAAGATGTGACTTGCTCCTCCTTGCCTTCTGTCACGATTGTGAACCTCCCGAGCTATGTGGAACTGTAAGTCTAATTAAACCTCCTTCCTTTGCAAATCACCCAGTCTTGGGTAAGTCTTTATCAGCAGTGTGAAAACTAACTAATACACCCCTATAGAGAAAATTATTACTAGCTAGAACTTACAATAGAAAAATAGATCACTTTCTATAGAAACAGCAATTATCTTACACCTAGAATTAACTCTAGTCAGAAATGTAAAAACTACATGATGAAATCTTTAAAACTTTACTGGAGACATGAAGTCTTGAACTAATGAGAATACCAATGTGTACTATGTTTTAAGGAATTACTCCATATTTTAACTCTAAGAGATAAAAATGAAGAATAGAGGATGAGGACGCTCACATTTGCTAAGGCAAATCAGGAAGGGAAGACTTCTTAAAAGAAATAAGGCTCGAATTGAGAATTGAAAAATATGAGTTTCCCAAGTATAGGAGGTAGAAGGAATATCAGAGAGAAGAACCAGCTTATATAAAGCAAAGTTATCTCAAAAAGCACTATGTGTTCGAGGAATAACAATTAATTGGCCATGGATGAAACAGAGTAACTGGAAGAGAAATGTGGGAAGAATCTTGTATTTATACTTGTTGGGGAGAAAAGAGTATGCAAATCATAAATGCCATGAAAATACAATATTGTTCAGTTTTCCACATATTTTGGTTAATTTTTAGGTATTAGCTAACTATTAAAGAATTAGCATATAAACATGTTCTAGAATGTTGATGTATGTAATAATTAAAATTATACATATTTCTACCATTCTCCAGTGGGGATTTATAAAATATTTTACATGATAATATTTGGCATTATGTCTCAATAACAAAATGTTGAATTCATTGCTAAAGTCAAAGCTTTCCAGAATTACATCTGAGAAATAAGACACTGTTAACTTGTTAAAATAGTATTAAGCATTAAGCCTCTCATAAAGTTAATTTAAAAATGTTTGCTTTGTGTATGAAGGAAAATTCATTTTAAAAGTTCTACCTCCTTTATAGTTAGTAACATAATAAGAGACAGTGTTAGGTAAATAGCAAATTCCTTTAGAATATAAATAATTCTTGAGTTATTGAGACTTAATATTTTTATAACATGAATTCTGTAGAAATTGCTTTGTAGAGAACAGAAACTTAGTATAATAAACTAAACTTGAAATGCCTGAAAATAGGTCAAAGCAAACTTCAGTAGTATTAATATGTCTGACAACATATTAATGAGAAGGATTCATATAAATCTTTCCTATGTGTCCTTAAATTTGTTGCCAAAAATATTAAAATATTTTTAGTTTTTATTAAATATTTGTATTTACCCTTATTAAGTCAGAAAAAGCAAATGTCACATAGAAAAGGTAAACAGATGAAGATGTATAATCAAATATGCATACAGATTTGTATAAAGATTTAATATGTTTCTTTTTAAAGCCAAAATTTCTATAATTTCACTAGAACCCTTTGTTGGCTTTCATCCCAGTTGCTACACAGCATACATCACATCATTATTCTCTGCCTTTTTTCTCATTAACTTTCTATGTTTTTGGTTTGCATATACATGGAATTCATGTATATCCAGCACTTTATGCTATGCCATGAGTTGTTTCTTTTCTTTGACTCTATGTGCCTCAGAGAACAGGGTAGATCTACTGTTCCACTTCCCATAATATCCAATCTAAGGAAATGCAAAATGCTGGAAGTTCTAACCTACCCCTTTAGGAGAGGAGATTTTCATTGAGTTTTCTGGTAATTCCATCCTAAACACAGAATACCATTTTCTTTCTTCATTTAGAAGCAGCCTAATCCCCATTGGAGAATGGTAGAAATATGTATAATTTTAATTATTAAAATATACTTCAACATTCTAGAACATGTTATATGCTAATTCTTTAAGAGTGAGCTAATACCTAAAAATTAACCAAAATATGTGGAAAATTGAATGATGTTGTATTTTCATGGCATGGCTTGCATATTCTTTTCTCCCCAACAAAGATAAATACCAGATTCTTAGTTCCCACATTTCTCTTCCAGCTACTCTATGTTCCACCCATGGCTAATTGTTATTCTTTGAACACATAGTGCTCTTTGAGATAACTTTGCCTTATATAAGCTATCTTTTCTTTCTGATATTCCTTCTGCCTTCTATACTTGGGAAACTCATATTTTTCAATTCTCAATTCAAGGCTCATTTCTTTTAAGAAGTCTTCTCTTCCTGATTTGCATTAGCAAATGTGAGCTGCTTATCTTCTTTTCTTCATTTCTATCTCTTAGAGTTAAAATATGGAGTAATTTCTTAAAACATAGTACACATTGGTATCTCATTAGTTCAAGACTTCCTTTATGGCTCCAGTAAAGTTTTAAAGATTTCATCATAGAGTTTTTACATTTCTGACTAGAGTTAATTCTAGGTGTAAGATAATTGCTGTTTCTATAGAAAGTGATCTATTTTTCTATTGTAAGTTCTAGCTAGTAATAATTGTCTCAATAAGGGATAGCTATTGATTTTGCATATTTGCTTTTTTAACTAGATAACTTATTGACTAATCTTACTAACTTAACATTTTTGAAGTTTATTCATATCTGCTTTCTTTGAATAATTATATACTATCTGCTAAAAATAAAAATAATAAATGTATTGCCACCTCTGTTCTAATATTTTTCATTTATTTTCTTATCAAATTGCATTGGTGAGCACTTTTATAACAACTTTAGAGGGTTGCTTTTATAATGGGTATATTTTTCTAATTCTAATCTTGTGGTAGTGTTTCTAAGGTTTTACCAGTGGAAAATGGTTATTGATTCAGAATATATATTATATACTGAATATTACTGCATACTCTTTCTCATATTAAAATAATGTGCTTTTTTCTCTTTCAATCTATTAGTAAACGACACTTCATGATGCTTTTTAAGCTGATGGTGATGTTAAAAAATTGTTTTATCTTCTTTAGAATAAGTAATGGAAATAACATTTTGAAAAAATTTAATTTTTATATATATTTCCTGAAAAACTTTTTCCTCAACTGTTTATTTTAAGTTCTGGGGTACATGTGCAGGATGTGCAGGTTTGTTACATAGGTAAACTTGTGCCATGGTGGTTTGCTGCACCTTTCAACCCATTATCTAGGTATTAAGCTCAGCATGCATTAGCTATCTTTCCTGATGCTCTCCACCTCCCCACCCTCCCCCAGCAGGTCCCACTGTGTATTGTTCCCCTCCCTGTGTCCATGTGTTCTCATTGTTCAGCTCCAACTTATAAGTGAGAACATGCAGTGTTTTGTTTTCTGTTCCTGTGTTTGCTGAGGATGTTTACTGAGTTTGCTGAGAATAATGGCTCCCAGCTTCATCCATGTCCCTGCAAAAGGACATGATCTCATTCCCTTTTATGGCTGCGTAATATTCCATGGTGTATGTGTACCACATTTTCTTTATCCAGTCTATCATTGATGGGCATTTGGGTTAATTCCATGTCTTCACTACTATGAATAGTGCTGCAATGAACATATGCATACATGTATCTTTATAATAGAATGATTTATATTCCTTTGTGTATATATCCAGTAATGGGATTCCTGGGTCAAATGGTATTTCTGGTTCTAAATCTTTGAGGAATCGCCACGCTGTCTCCCAAAATGGCTGAACTAATTTACATTTTCACCAACAGTGTAAAAGCATTTCTCCTCAACCTTGCCAGCATCTGTTTTCTCTTAATTTTTTAATAATCGCTATTCTGACTGGCATGAGATAGTATTTCATTGTGTGTCAGAGCAAACAGACAACCTGTAGAATGGGAGAGAATGTTAGCAATCTATCCATCTGAAAAAGATCTAATACAAGGAACTTACGCAAATTTACAAGAAAAACACAATCAACCCCATTAAAAAGTAGATAAAGGACATGAAGAGACACTTATCAAAAGGAGACATACATGCAAGCCAACAAACATGAAAAAAAGCTCAGCATCACTGCTCATTAGAGAAATGCAAATCAAAACAACAATGAGATATCAACTGTTGTTAAGACTATTGAGGCTTACTGCCAAAGAAAAAAAGAAGTTTCAAAGGTCACAAACTGAAAAGTTTGCACCACCCAAATTAAAAGAAAAGGAATGAGGTAATCTCACCAATAACAAGAAGAGTATCTGAGGTCACGCACAAGACAGAGTAAGGAAATTAACAGGGCATAGACCAGGTAGGTCTCCCCTTCCCTCTTGAAAGGCAGAAAAGTGAGATGATTGTTCATACTTGGACATGTTTATAGAAAATCCTTAGTGTTCCTCACCTCTTAAAGTATAGAAAAACTTTCCAATCAACATAGTGCCCTTAAGAGATAATTGTTAAATGAGGGAGTTAGCCATAGGTGAGTAGAAAAATGACGGTCTTATGGAGTCTTTCACTCTCCATTATGCTTCTAATAACTCAGCTAAAAATCAAACTAAGATAATGTAAGGTTGCTGAGCAAATTTGCAGATTGGTCAACTTTGGGTTGGACCAAGATTTTAGGCACCTTGTGACCGAAATCTTTGACAGGAACAAGAGCCACTAGAAACTTTACAAAACCACTCAGCATCAGCACCTCTCTTCACACAGATACACACATAACATTATTAAAGGGAAGAGATTTTAAATACCTTTTCAAATGTTTTAACTCCATTTCTCACCTACTCTACATCTTCTAAATTTTCTTTAGACAACTTCGATTTTATGTCTGTTATTATTCTCAGTTCTTTATTTTACCAGGATATGCTTAAGTGTAGGTCTCTTTTTGCTGATTGTTAATGGTTCTCCTAAAGGATGCACACCTAAAGAAAGTTGTCTTTGTTATTATTTTATTATGTGTTATTATATTGATAATGTTTCTCTTCTATATGCACTATTGTATCATCATTAGCGAACTCATTATATATTCTTGGGATATATGAATTGGTCTTCCATGTCTTTGATTTTTGTTTGTTGTCATCTCCATTTTTTATTATAATTTTCCTTCAGTTCTGGGAGAATTATTGAGCTCAGCTAATTCATTGATTCACTTGTCCTAAGTATTCAGTTCTAGTTGATTGTTTTCACTAAGTTCTTTATTTTTAATTTAAAAATACATTTTTATTTAAAATATTTTTTAATCTGAAAAGCCTATTTTGGTATTGAAAAATAAATGTTCAATTTATTTTTATAAATAAAATGCCTTCTAAAATCTTGCTGAGAAAACATGTGAGAAGTTTTCTGTTTTTGGAAATCTGCTTCATAAAATTAGGAGAGAAGTAGAAAACGACAGCATGTGAGTTTTCCAGAAGGCCTGCCTCCTTTTATTCCAAGTTACTCTTTCTCTTGGTGTTACTTTAAAATTTTTCATTGGTTGGTGGTGAAATCTTAATACATTACTCTACAGGTAAACCCCATTGTTTGCATAAGGTGAATAAAATACCATAGATCATTTCTTCAGTCCGATCCCACCTCCTTATTTCTTACAGAAATGTTTGAAAATATCTTGTCAATTGATTATGGCCTTCTCTGTTTTTCAACAGTGTTTAAAAATGTATGGGTATTTTCAGTTGTTTCAGTATATTCAGGGAGGAATGAGCTTGAAATACATAAGCTGAAAGCTTAATCTTAAATCTTAAAACAACAGGCTGAGACACGTTTTGTAAATACCTTGTTAGAAATGGTTAAACAGAGCTCAGGAATGTTAAACAACATGTCCAAAAACACTCAACTAATGGCTCCATTTTCTTAAAACCTTTTTACATGTTCCATGTCTTGGTCCATTTGTGCTGCTATAACAAAATGCCACAGACCAGGTAATTTATTAGAAACAGAAATTTTTTTGGTCACAGTTCTGAGGCTGGGTAGTCCAAGACAAAGGCACTGGCAGATCCTTTGGTGAAGGTCTAGTCTTTTTTCTAAGACAGTATCTTAAATATTGCATCCTCCTTCAGACAGGGGGAATGCTGTGTACTCACATGGCAGAAGGCAGAAGGGCAAAAGGTATAAATTCCCTCTGTCAAGCTCTTTGATAAGGGGACCCCATTTTTGAGGAGAGAAGCCCTCATGACCTAATCACCTCTTAAAAGCCCCACCTTTTAATACCATTGCTTTGGCCATGAAGTTCCAACACCTGAGTTTGAGAGAGGACACATTTAAAACTATAGCATTCTGCCTCATAAAATTCCTGTCTTTCTCATGTGCAGAGATATACTTGTTCTGTCCCAATAGCCCCCAAAGTCTTAACTTGCTCCAGCATGCACTCAAGATGTTCTACCCGGACATCTAAATTAGATATGGGTGACACCCAAGGTACAGTTCATTCTGAGGTAAGTTGCTCTCCAATTATGAACCAGTGAAATCAATGTCATGCACTTCCAAAATACAAAAATGGGACCAGCACAGGAGAGACAGGACCATTTAGAAAGACAGCAATAGGAAAGAAGAAGTAACAGGTCCTAAGTAAGTCTAAAAATGAAACAGGAGAAATAACATTAAATCTTGGGCTTGAGAATAATCACTGACTCCATGTCCCACCTTCCAGACACAGCGGAGCATAGGTTGGGTCCCCAGTGGCCTAGGCAGCCTTGTCCCCATGGCTCTGCTGGGTGCAACACACATAGCAGCTCTCATAGGTTAGTGTTGAGTGCTTGCAGCTCTCCAAGCCTGGTGTCACATGCTGGTGGCCCTACAATTCTGGAATCTTGGGGGCTTCTCTGCCCCCTTCCCTGTTAGACATTGTCCTTGTGGCTCTCTGCAGCAGCTCTGCTCCTGCAGCAAGTCACTGCCTGCCCTAAGGCTGTCTGAGATACCCTCTGAAATCTAGGTAAAGGTAGCCATGCCCCCATAGCTCATTCACTCTGCAAGCCTGCAGAATTAGCACCATATGGACAAACCAGCAAGGCTCACTGCTTGTGTCCTTCAGAGCTGTGGCCCAAGCCATACCTGAGCCCACTTGAGCCTCAGCTGGTGTGGCTGGGGAGTGCTGTACCAGAATTTGGGGAGAAGAGACTTGAGACAGCCCCAGGCAATGAGCCCCCAGGTCCCATGGGTGTCCTTGGAACCTCCCTGGAAACCATTCTGCCTTCCAGGCCCTGGCACTCTGGGCCTGTAATTGGTGTGGCAGCTTCTAAGATCCGTGAAATGTCTGTGGGTCATTCTCCCATTGTCTTGATGAATAACACCTTGGTCCTTCTATCTCTACTAATCTTATCAAAGGGTCTCTTGAGCACACCCACACCCTTGGTTCTCACTCCTAAACATGCTTTTTAAATTCTTTACATGGCTAGACTGAAAATTTCCCAAATTTTTGTGTGCTGCTTCCCTTTTAGTGATAAATTCCAACTTTAAATTGTTCTTGCATTTTACTATAAGCAGTTAAGAGAAGCCATACAGCACCTTCAATATTTTGCTGCTTAGAGATTTCTTTCACCAAATATCCGAGTCCATTGCCCTTAAGTTCTGCCTTCCACAAAGTCCTAAGACACAGATATAGTCCAGCTAAAGTCTTCGCCAATTTATAACAAGAATGAAATTTTATCACCTTTAACAAATGTTTTTATTTACCACGCTCCAGACCAATGCTTCTCAAACTTCAGTGCACATAAGAATCATCTGATATTTGATTAAACACAGATTCCTGGCTCCTAACCTTAGAGATTTAGATTTAGTAAGTCAGGGATGGGACTCAAAGTTCTGTGTTTCTAACAATTCCCCAGGGAGTACTAATGCTATCCAGACACCATACTTTTGAGTAGCATTGATATAGGTCAGTCATTCCACCTCAGTCTTTGAGAAGAAGGAAAATAATCAGAAGACAAAGAGAAAAAAAGGATAATGCACACAGTACAGCAAATTTTATGTGTACATATATACCCAACTCTTAGATAGGTGTGGCTTTTTATTTTAGGAGCCTTGTAATGCATCCTCTGTCATTGACAAGCATCTGATAGAGTTTTAATTTTCTGAGAAGGGAGCAAGGCAAGGTAGGGAGAGCTGGGAGATAAGACAATGGTCTTTAGAGGTAAAATGCTTTTACTCATAAAAAAAATTCGTGTAGTTAGGACAAACCTTTTTGGCAAATATAAAATTAGCTGGAGTTTAGGAGGTTCAGTGACATGAAGTTCATGTATTTATTTTGTAAAAAGACAGTGATCAATTGTGTTCCATAAACAAAAAACAAACAAACAAAAAACAAAAAAGCAGTTTCGAAGGCTCTAAGGGGAGACAGATTTGTAGAAGATGCAAAATAGATTGCAGATCAGGGATGTAGGAGGGTAGAGTGTATAGGAGGTAAGAGGAACCTAAGATGACACATGAATCAAGGGCCATGTTCATGATTTGAAATAGGAAAGAACAATGGATGGGGAGTCAGGAGGTAAAATGTTTGTACTTCTAATTTAATCACTTTATAGATACATTGTTTTGGACTAGTCATTTTAAAATCCTTGAGCTCTTAGTTTCTTCACGTAGAATATAAAGATCTCATTTGACTAGGAAATTTTAGACAGAATTATGTATTGGAGTTGCATGGGGGATTATTTTGAAAGTACTTATGGAAAGGCTGTTTCAGAAAAATTTGACTCAGTAGATCTAGATAAAGATTTATACGTTGGAAAACTCTCAGGTAGTTCTTTTGTACTCTGGTTTGAGAACCACTGTGCTCAGTGATAGTTGAGTATTTTTACAAAAACATTGGATTCATTTAGAGTTATTCAAGGATGGAACAAAAATATTCTTAAATATTAGTTAAAATTATTACACTATACAGTAATTCAGTAATTATGTACTTATGTGAAATGTAATATTTTAAATCCTAACTTCCACACACTGCTGGTTGTAAGTTTAGCCTAGGTTATGCTCACATGACTAGAGGAAAACTCTCAAAATTAAATACTCTATCATTGACTGTTTCATAGATTAAAATATTCTTGTAGAGGACATCCATTGTTTTTGCCTTCCCAGACCATATAAAACCTTAGCATAAAATGGAACCTCACTTTTTTCCATTCTATAACTACCTATATTAGTTTAGGTACTCCAAGAAGTAGACGCCAAAACAGAGTTAAATGTGCAAGGATTTTATCAGGGAAAATCTATGTGTGAAAGGAAATAGGAAGGGAGCCAGGAACGACTGAGCAAGTCATTAGGTTGCTATGTAAGTCTGAACACAGAGTGAAGAAAGGAGGGAGCAAATGTTGGGTAGAAGTGTCATATTTTGCTATATAGTGACCAATTCAACAAAGCTGTATAGACCTTCTTAAGCTATTGTGGGCCAACACAGGAGTTATTTTCCTCCTAGAAATGGGTTTGTCTTGGTATCTCCACCACACTCAGTCGCTTACTGGAAGCAGCCTGTGAGAGGTGAGAGGCGTAGCCTTGGTACAAATTCAGCAATGGGTTTCAAAGCATAGCAGCTGAGATCCTTTATTAATATAAGCTCTATAGAAAGTCTGCAAAATCTATTATCATTACTAAAAAACCACCTTCACTCGTTTGTAGCACATAGCTTTATCTGTTCAATCACATGAGACAGTAACCTTTTACCTGGCCCTAGCTCAGACAAGTTAGCCCCAAGAATTGACTGAAATTACTAGGGAACATATTTGTTTTCTTTAAAATAGTGATAAAAAAAAAAAAAAAACTTTAAGCTCAGGGATGTTTGTGGCTCTTTTTCTCTCTCTGCTACTTCATATAGGTAAACTGGACAGTAAATGAAGCCAAGACAGAAAAAAGTTAGAAGAATGACATTAAAGATAGATTATTGATTATATATAGGTTGAATGTTTGAATGCACCTGAATCATTTCATCCTCTTATACTTTCCAGTTATTTACAGTTAAAATTTATTTCAGTTTTTAAACCAAAAAGTATGTTTTCTGTTAATTGCAATGAATAGTCTTTTATATAATCCAACATATTTATGTAAATGATTTAATTAAATCTTTACAACAAACTTTGGTGATAGATATTGTAATCCTCATTTTACAGATTGGAATAAGGTCCAGAAAGATGAAATGATTTCTCTAAGGTTGTCTAAAGTAGTAAAAAAATTATCTAGGGTTCAAAATCATAGTTTTTAAATTAAAAGACCACTGCCATTCAATCAGTTGTATGTTTGGCTTTTTTAAGTTTTTCCTAGTGAATGTCTAATTATTGTTGTCTTGTTTTAATGTGAATTATGGTCAATAATCTCTGTGTCATAGATACAGTACATATGTTTGCGTTTTATTTAATCCTATGGCTATGAACATGGACATAGGACTAAGGTTTCAGAATTTGAAAACTAATAAAATTACCTAAATACAGTACTCTATATTTTATTATATTATTGCTTTTCTCCTTATAAAATTGTGCAAGGGGTCATATGTAGTATTACTTATACCATTTAATGAGTGCATTTTTGATCTACATTTTGTCATTTGACATATGTTTCTAATTTATAAGCCTCAAGTGCCTATGACTGTTATTGTTTGAAGCCAAAAATGCAAGATTTTTATACTTAAAATTGAGTGTTTCAAATTACTTTGTAAAAGAATTCTAAATGAATGCTAAAGAATAGACAGATTAATGGGTATAAAAGGTTGTTCTATAGCTCAAGTTCAGCTATGAAAACTTAGGGTTTTTTCTACATTTTTTCACATATAATTACATAAAATATTTTGATTTAATGACATATAATATTGATTTTCCTACATTTCAATACCAGAAATAGTTGCCTCTCTTCCAGTATTAAGGATGATGGTAGGACCAGTAAATTCATTTATTCAGGAAACCCTTACTGAAGTTTTAAATCATGAGTTAGTCTTTAAAAAATCATCAAGTCTAATCTCATTAAGAATGGAGGAACTGTGTTCTATGAATTATTGTCACCTGCATAATATTATACAGATTGGCTCTGGCAAAGCTGGGACTAGATTCATTTCTTCTTACTTCCATTTATTTACTCATTCCATTGAGTCTTCTGTACAAAGGATCAATAAAATGGTATTCGCTAATTTTTCCTTGGGAATGCTATTTGGTGTTCAATTATCCAATTTGTGTATTTGCTTTGTACCTCTTGAAATTGTTTGCAGATATAATTGCTCATAAAATTGCAACCGGATTCTAGGTTGAAACTCCCACCCAAATCTACCACCCTATACACACACGCACACATACATGTATTATGTATATATGTATATGATTCCCAGATCACCCAGTTTTAACATTAAGAACACAAGTAAATTCTTAGGTATTGTTAGAGTGTGGCAGCTATGGGTAAAGAAAATTGAAGAGATCCAATTTTTTATGTGAAAGGCAATTCAAATTTAAAGCTTAGGTTGAATAATATAGTTAATTTAAATTATCTCAAAGCTTTATTTAAATCTTTTGTGTCTCTTCCCTTTCCCTAACCTTCTACATTTTTAAGATTTGTATGCTACGCCTCTAAAATGTATCTCGTATCCAGTCCCATCACCACTTCCTTAGACCCAGGCCCCATCATTTCTTGCTCGAGTTACTAAAAACACCTATAAATCAAACTCCTTCTCTGCAACGTTTTCACCTTCCAATCTATGCTGTACTCAGCAAGCAGAGTGATCTTTATAAAAGTCAAACCTGATCAAGTCACTTTGATAAATCTCCAGAGTCTTTAAGAAAAGTTCACACTCCTTAGCATGCCATGAAAGGCCTTCTAAAGTCTTTACTGTCTTATCTTATCACTACCCCTTCCTTCTCTATCATTTACTATGCAGAAATTCCTTTAGTTCTTCAAATATGCTATTTGGCTTCACACTTCTAAACCTTCCTATAGGATCCTTCCACACTCTGAAATACTCCTTCACTATGTTATCACCTAGGGTATACTTCAAGACGTAGCTTAGATATTGCCTCAAATATTTTATTAACCTTACAGTCTAGGTTAGGTATCTATCCTCTGTGCACATATAGCACCCAGCTAGCATTTCCAGATAGCATTTATCACACCATGTAGTAATCTATTTATGTGTCTGCCTTTCCTCACTAAACTGTAAATAATTGGAGGGTGTATCTGTTTCTTTATTCCCAGCCCCTAACATATTCTCGTTGCCATACATGTAATATTCATAAGTGTTGGTTCAATGAGTGTTTTACTGACATCTTTCTAGCTGCAGTCCAGTTTCTTGAGATCAGCTTCCTTTCTCATCCTGCAAGTACTTATCCCAGATGCTGGGAGTTCACAGACATCACAATTTCTTTCATAACAGATTTTGTGAATGTTTTAACCAAAACAAGATATAGCTATGTTCAAATGAAACTACAGCACATTTTGCAGGCTTGGCCACTTATTTGACAGAATGGAGGCATTAAGGGACTGCAGGCAGTGTGCACTTCAACTATGAGACAGCAGTGCTCCTAGCTGGTCACCCTCTTTTTCCAGCCCTGTGTTCTGAATTCAAGTTTTTCAGCGCAAGCTTGCACTCTTTGAATTACCCAGTATAGTACTGTTAAAATAACTTACTACAATATTTTTATGTCTTAGGGTTTTTTACATGTAAAATGGCAATCAAATAATTGCTCTCTGAGGTTATTTTGCAAAATTACTTACAAAATCACTCAATTTAGTTTCCAGCTTCAAGTTGTGTTTAAACAAGTTAGTCAGACCAGTCCTCCAAATTATTTAAAAAATCTGAACAAAGTATTTAAAAATATTATGTGGCACTGGAGACTTACCAAAAACATTTAGAATCTAGAGACAATTCTACTATTGAAAGATAATCAGAAACTGGTAAGATGTGAAAGTTTGCAGTCGTTATCTAAGGTCAACCTCAATCTTCAGTTGACTCCAGGGCAGAATACCGTATCCTTGGAAAATTAAATAGTAAGAGGAGAGAGGCTTCAGTGGCAGACCATTCGGAAAGTGTGGGGAAATCCAGGAAGGAAAGTAGCTGCTGAAGAGCCTCAATACCTGCATATAAAATCAACAGAAATATTTGCCAGATAACAACAATATATATTCAAGTCAAAGACCGCAACAGCATGAAAAATTGAAAACAGTTGAAAACTGCAATACATGAACATAAATGTAGATTGCTACACACCGCAGAGGACAAAGATTACAGAGGCTGAGTCCAGTCAAGCTAACTACAAGTCATTCTTCTTCAGAGAAACATAACAGAATCAAGAGGCTCTACAATGATTTATTCGTGATGTCCAGAATACAGTTAAAACTCATAAGACATGCAAATTTTAAAAAAGAAAAATATTATCCACATACCCTCTGAAAAACAGTCTAAAAAACCTCTCTTTGAAGACCTACATATTGTAATTAGCAAAGATTTTAAAGCATTTGCAATAAAGACGTCCACAAATTCAGAGAGAAATTGTACATAATGAATGATAGGAAATTGCAGCAGAAAAATGGAAACCAAAAAATAAAGAAAAATTAGAAATCCTAGAATTAAAAAGTACAATATCTGAAATGTTTAAAATTACTCTATGGGCGTAACAGATTAGAAATATAAGAAGAGAGTCACTGAATTTGAAAACAAATCAGGAGCAATTATCTAATCTGAAGAATAAAGATTCAAAACGGTTAAAGAAAAATGAACAGAATTTGGGACTTGTGGGACAATATCTAGCTATCTAATATCAGTGTAAATAGAGTCCTTAGAAAGAAAAGAGAAAACTATAACAGAAAAAAGAGGATTTTAAAAATTCCCACATTTTGAAAAGCATCAACATACCCAAAAGCTCAAAAAACCCCAAGCAAGTTAAATAAAAAGAAAATCCTGGCCGGGGGCAGTGGCTCATGCCTGTAATCCCAGCACTTTGGGAGGCCAAGGTTTGGGATCATGAGGTCAGGAGATCAAGACCATCCTGGCTAACACAGTGAAATCCCATCTCTACTAAAAACACAAAAAGTTAGCTGGGTGTGGTGGCGGGTGCCTGTAGTTCCAACTACGCAGAAGGCTGAGGCAAGAGAATGGCCTGAACCCCAGAAGCGGAGCTTGCAGTGAACCGAGATCACGCCACTGCACTCCAGCCTGGGCGACAGAGGGAAGACTCCATATCAAAAAAAAAAAAAAGAAAGAAAATCCCATCTCAATAAATCATAGTCCGACTGCTGAAGTACAAAGATAAACTCATGAGCTTGAAAGCAGCAAAAGTAAAACAACCACATTAAATATAGGGCAACAGTGATACAAATGACAATTACTTGTCAAAAGAAACCATAAGGCCACAAACTTCAGCAGAAGAAAAAAATATTTTCAGACTGATGGGGCATGACAATGGTAATAATGATAAAAAGAACTGGGAGAATAGAACTATATAAAGTTGCAAGTTTCCTCAATTTTATAGGAAGAAGTATAATAGTAACTTTTAAGTCAATTGTGATTTTAAAAAGGCATATTTAATCCCCAGAGAAATATTAAAAATAATACAAATATATAGAGAGCTAAAAGGCAATTAAAAATACAAATTCAATACAAAGAAATAGATTAACCTAAAATACACATAAGAAAGGAGGAGCAGAGAAACAAAAACTCATGACTTAAGGGGGGAATAAAAAGCAAATCTCATACCTTAATACAGTCATATTGGTAATTACATTAAATAGGAAATGTCTATTATGAAACACTCTAATTTTTAAAACTGTTTCAGTCTTGATAAAAAAAAGGTTGTTAAACTGGATAAAAAATGAAAGACCTATTTGTCGTATAAAAAAGCACTTAAAATGTAAAGATACAAATAGGTTAAAAGTAAGAGGAGAAAAAAGATAAACCATGCAAAGAATAAGCATAAAAAATTGAATGTTATTTCAATAATAAAATAGTTTTCAATAAAAGGAATGTTACCAGAAAAAAGGACCGTTCTTAATAATTCTTACTATACCATGAAGAGATAATTATATATATGCATACATAACAGAGCTTCCAGATATATGGAATATTAGTGAAATAACATTCATATTTGAAGTTTTTAACACCTTCCCCCAGGAGTGCATTTAAACAATTAATAAGATTGACAAACTACTAGAAAGCATGATCAAGTAACAGAAAAAACGAATCACTAACATCAGCAATAAAAACAGAAATATTACAAATCCTATAGTATAAGGATCATAAAAAAAAATTTAGAACCACGATAGGTCAATAAATATGGCCTCTGAAACGGAATGGACAAATTACTTGAAAATACAATGTAAAAATGTGGTACAAGATTAAATTAAAAATAATAGCATTATATCTGCAAAAGAAATTAAATTCGTTATTTAAAAAGAATACCTGCTCCTTCTCCCAAAAAATACCAGGACCGGGAGGGCTAACTTGTTGATTCTATCAAACAGTTCAGAAAGAAACTCTTTTAGAAAATAGAGTAAAAGGAAATAATTATAATTTCATAATATGAGGCTAGGATATTACTGATACCACAACCTACCGGGTATCGCAAAAAGAAAATTACAGACCAATATCTCTCATGGACATAGGCATAAAAATTTTTAACAAAGTATTAGTGAATTGAATCCAATAACATATAAAAATTATACTGCATTAGGACCATGTGTAATGTATCTCCAGAATGAAAGACTAATTTAATGTTCAAAACATCAAAGAATGCAATATACCACATTAACAGAATAAAAGATAAAATACAACACAGTAATAATCTCAATAACTGCAGAAAACATACAATTCAAACTGCATTCATGATTTTTAAAACATTTTTCATCAAATTAGATACAAAATGAAGTTCCCTCAATCTGATATAAGAATAACTATAAACAACCTACATCTAACATTGTACTAATAGTGATGACTGAATATTTTCTCCCAAAATATGTAATAAGGCAGAAAACTTTATTTTTTTCTTTTAATTCCAGATGACTGTATGTTGTAGCCAGTGCAATAAAGCATAAAATAATCAAATTTGAAGGAAAAATATTCATTTGCATCTGTTCACAGGCAACATGATTGTTTACATACAAATCTTGAGGAACTAAATATTGCTTCTATAAATAATAAATATGGTTGCAAGCTCTCCAAATATATCATTTTTTGAAGAAATTCTGTGTATTTCTTCAATATACAGAAATCAGCTATTTTTACACACTAGCAGCAAGCAACCAAAAATGAATTTTATAGTAGCATCAAAAATGAAATATTTAGGAATAAATTTTACAGAAGTCATTTAACACTCCTACACTGAAAAGTTAAAAATATTGTTAAGAGATTGATATGCAAAGTTTATGTACTGGAAGACTCAATATCCTTAAAAATTAAATTCTTTCCAAATTGATCAATAGATTTAAAAAATGCAACAACATCAGCCCATCATTTTTTTTAAATAGAAAATGACAAGTTGTTTTTAAAATATTTCTGAAAATGTAAAGGTTCATAGAATAGCCAAAATAATCTCAAAAAAGGAGAGAAAGCTGCAGAACTTTTACTACCTAACTGTGGTAGACAGAATTCTAAAATGGGCCCCAAGAACTCATTCCACAATGTATATACCCTGAGGCTGTGAATATGATGGAAGTGATTAATGTACAGAATATGGTACAGTTTATGTTAAAAAAGGGAGATCATGTGGGTGGTCTTGACCTAAACACATGATTTCTCTAAATCAGAGTCTACAATAAAATATACAGAAAACCAGAGATTTGAAGCATGAGAGAAATTCAACACGGGGGAAATTTTCATTACTGGTTTTGAAAATGGAAGGACCATATGGCAAGGAATGTGGGTGGCCTCTATATGGTAAGAGTGGTTGGTACCCAACTGATAACCAGCAAGACAATGGGGACCTTAGTCTTACAATTACAAGAAACTGAATTCTGCTAACAACCTGAATGAACTTGGAAGAGGACCCTGAACTAAAGATAAAATTTCAGATATCTGACACCTTGATTTCAATCTGTGTGAATGTGAGCAGAGAACCCAGCCATGCAGTGCCTATAGTTCTAACCTATAGAACTGTAACATAATTATTGCTGTTGCTTTAAATTGCTAAATTTGGGATTAATTTGCTATTAAAAGCAATAAAAAGCTAATACACTGACTAAATGACTTTCTAAAAGTTACAGTAATTGAGGCAGTGTGGTGTAGGTCGGACAGTATGCAAACATGAAAACATCAATGGAATAATAGACAATCAAAACTTTTCTGACTTATGAATAGTTTATTGATTTTTAAAATGTGAAACAATTCATTAGGGGAAGAATTTTTTTTCAATAAATGAAGCTACTACAACTGGATATTCATATGAATAAAAAATGAACATCTACACCTATCTCTGATAACACACATAAACTATTGAGATGTATTATAACCTAAATATAAAATATAAAACCAAAAAGCTTTTATAAAAAAACATTGGCTAATTTATTCGCAACCTGAGGGTAGACAAATATTTCATAAAATACAAAAACCAATGATCATAAAGAAAAAGAAGTTGAGGGGAACATCACACACCGGGGCCTGTCGTGGGTTGGGGGGAGGGGGGAGGGATAGTATTAGGAGATATACCTAATGTAAATGACATGACGAGTTAATGGGTACAGCACAGCAACATGGCACATGTATACATATGTAACAAACCTGCACGTTGTGAACACGTACCCTAGAACTTAAAGTATAATAATAAAAAAAAGAAGTTGATAAATTAGATTGCATCAAAATTAAATTATTTTGTGAATCCGAAAACTCATTATGGAAATAAGTGACAAAGAATTTATTGACGATATATATATCTGACAGGACTTAGGTTGAGACTATATAAATATTATAATCCATTAAGAAAATGACCAACAATACTTTTTTTTTTTTTTTTTAAGTCAAAGGAGAGAAGGATTGTGGAAAGATGGCAGAGCAGGAAGCACCAGGAATCTACCTGTTTACATAGGCAACAATTGCGCTGGAAGAATCTGTTTGATGTGACTTCTTTTGAAACTCTGAGGTCTATTAAAGGCTTGCAACTTACAAAGGAAGGCTGGGATATGAAATTGTGGTATATTTTGGCCAATTTCAACTTTTATCATAGTAGCAGCTACCCATTCCACTTCTCTCAGCCCATGGCAGGCAGCTGTGCACATGTTCCAAGAGCAGCTTAGACACAGCTTGTGGGAGGCAGGGTGGAAGAAAAAAAAAAAAAAATCACTGTCTTCCAGGTTTCAGAGAACTGTGCTCTGATCACTGATTGGTGCTTCTGATCACAGAGGTCCAGACAAAAAGTTGGGACACCATTTTTGTTGCACCTTCCTCATTGTTGCAAGCCCTTCCCCCTTTCAGCTGAAGTGACTTCCAGGGGAATTTAAAGGGCTATGGCAACATTCTCTATCTCAGTCCTCTCATTTTTCTCTTTTTCCCTCTTTGGAAGCCAGATATTACAGACTAGGATGTCCAAAAGAAACTGTATATATGGGGAAAACTAGACAGTGACCTCACATGCTCAAGTAAAAGTGCAGGCTCATTAAACACCTGAGAAGACCTTAACAGTATACCTCAGGCTCATCTTGGGCACAGAAGTTGTCTACAAAAATCAAAAAAGCAAAAATGATAAACAAAAAAGAGCAACCTTGAATTAAGGAAATAATCTGACATACAGAGTTACCAAATTATTAGATTTAAATGTCTAATTTTCAACCAAAAATTGCATGACATACAAAGTAACAGTAAACTATGGCCCATTCAAAAAAATAATATCAACAGAAACTGTTTCTGAAAAAGACTGATGGCAGATATATTAGACAAAGACTTTAAAACAACCATCTTAACAGTGATCAAAAAGTAAAGGAAGATATGGAGAAAATTAAGAAAACAGACATGAACAAAGTTGAAATATCAATAAAGTGATAGAAAACTTAAAAAGGAACCAAAAAATTCTGGACCTGAACAATACAATAACTAAGATTAAAAATTTACTAGGGAGATTCAAAAGTAGATTTGAGCAGGCAGAAGAATGAGCAAACTTGAAAATATGACAATGGAAATTATCAAGTCTCAGGAACAGGAAGGAAAAGAATTAAGAAAAGTGAACAGAGCATAAGGGACTTATCAGAGGTTCCAATATACAATATATTATGGGAATCCCAGAAGAAAAGACAGCAAATAAAGCAAGGAGAATATTTGAAGAAATAATGTCTGAAAAATTCCCAAATTTGTTGAAAGATATGAATATAAACATTCAAGAAGCTCAGCAAACTCTAAGTAAGATGAACTCAAAGAAACTCCTATCAAGACACATTGTAATTAAACTTTGAAAAACCAAAAACAAAGAGAAACTTTTGAAAGCATCCAGAGAGAAGCATCTCCTCACATACAAGGGACTTTTAATAAGATGACAGATTTCTCACCAGAAATTCTGGAGATCAGAAAGCGGTGGGCCAATATACTCACAATGCAAAAAAAGAAAAAAAAAAGTTAACCAAAAATTTAATATCCAGCAAAACGGTCCTTCAAAAGTGAGGGAGAAATTATGACATTCCCAGATCAACAGAAGCTGAGGAAGTTAATTGTCACTAGCCCTTTTCTGAAAGGAATGTTCAAGGCAGTTCTGAAAGATAAAATAAAAGGACACTATAGAGTAATTTGAAGCTATAGGAAGAAATAAAGATGTCAATACATGTCAGCATGGGGGCAATTATAAAAGCTTGATACAATGGTTTGTAACTCTATTTTGTATATATTATTTAAGAAACACACATTTTTAAAAATAGTCTAAACGTTAGTATTTAACTTTGGTTTATAACTCTACATTGTGTTCTACATAATTTAAAAGAGTAATGCATTTAAAACAATTATTGGTGTATGTTTTTTGGTATACAATATATAAACATGCGATTTTTGGACATCAGCAACTGAAATACGTAGGGACAGAACTATTAAAGGAGCAGAGTTTTTCTATGTTATTGAAGTTTGTCTAGTAAAAATTCAAATTACACTGTTAGAACTTGAGTATTTCAAGTGTAATCCCCATGGTAACCACAAAGTAAATAGCTACAGAAGAATATACATGAAAGGAAATAAGAATTTAAACATTTCACTACAAAAAATTAACTAAACAAAAAAAAAGATAATAATACAAAAAATTGAGGACAAAAATGTATGTTATATAGAAGACAAATGGAGAAATCAAAGAACTCCCCTTTTGTCAGTAACTACTTTAAATGTACATGGATTAAATTCTCCATTCAAAAGACAGAGATTTGGCCGGGCGCAGTGGCTCATGCCTGTAATCCCAGCACTTTGGGAGGACGAGGCGGGTGGATCACTTAAGGTCAGGAGCTCAAGACCAGCCTGGCCGACATGGCAAAATGCCATTTCTACTAAGAATACAAAAATTAGCTGGGCATGGTGGCAGGCACCTGTAATCCCAGCTACTTGGGGGGCTGAGAGAGGACAATTTCCTGAACCTGGGAGGCGGAGGTTACAGTGAGCTGAGATCACGCCACTGCACTCCAGCTTGGGTAACAGAGCAAGACTCCATCTTACCATCTTAAGGAAAAAAAAAAAAAAAAAAGAGATAGGCAGTATGTATTAAAAAATATAACAAACATGATACAATATGCTGTCTACAAGAGATTCACTTTAGATTCATAGACACGAATAGATTAAAGTGAAAGGATAGAAAAATATAACCCATGCAAATTATAACCAAAAGAAAGCAGGCATGGTTATACTAGTAACAGAAAAAATAGAATTTCAATCAAAAAGATTACAAGGGATTAAGAAGAATATTATATATTACTACAACAAAAAGATAAAATAACTAAATTCTGACATGCTACAACCTGAGTGAAACTTGGGCACATTATGCTAAACGAAATAAGTCAGTTACAAAAGGACAATTACTGTATGATTTCACTTTCATGAGGTATTTAAAGTAATCAAAATCATTGAGACAGAAAATAGAATGGTGGTTGCCAAGGACTGGAAGTAGGGGAGAGTAGGGGTTATCATTTAATGGGCACAGGCTTTTAGCTTGTCAAGATTACAAGAGTTATGTAAATGAATGGTGGAGATGACTATACAACATTATGAATGTTTTTAATGCCACTGAACTATACACTTAAAAATGGTTGACATGGTCAATTTTATGTTATGTGTAATTTACAATAAACAAATTGGAAAAATATGCAAAAGATTTGAACTGACACTATTTGAAGAAAGATTTATGAATGGTCAATATGCACAATATAGCTCTCAAGACCAGTCGTTATTAGGAAAATTTAAATTAAAACCAAATAACATACCACAAAACACTCACCACAATGTCTAAAATTAAAATGTTTGAAAACCTCAAACACTGGCAAGGATATGGAGCAATCATAATTCTCATATATTGCTGCTGGGAATGTAAAATGTTACAACCATTTTGAAAAATGTTTCAGTAGTATTTTAGTGTTGGACTTTTACTTATCCTTTGACCCAACATTCTACTCTTATTTGGTGAAGAAAAAACAGTATGTCCACAAAATGACAGGTACATGAATATTCATTTATGAAATTCTAGAACACGCAAAAGTAATCTAAGTAAAAATTTTAAAAGAATGAGAATAGAGAAGAGTGGTTACCAGGCTGCATATGTAGGAGGTAAGCAGTGGAGATTGACTAGGAAGAGACTGGAAGAAACTCTGGAAAATGCTCTATATCATAAAAGGGATGTGGATCATATGAGTTTAAAATTATACAGTTAACATTTGTGCATCTCAATGAATGTAAATTTTACCTAAATCACCATCACTTTCATCATCATCATCATCATCATCAGTCTGTGGGAAATGAATAGAGGGAAGTAGAAAAAAAAAACAAGATGAAAGATTTTTGGTGATTGTTGAAGCTATGTGATGAATACAGGGTTTCATTTTACTATTCTGTTTACTTTGCATATGTACAAGATTTTCCAAAAAGTGACTCAAAATTGTGTTGAAGAATGAAAATTTCTTTCTTCTACAACTCTAGAATACCACAATCTATTCTTAAGAAAACAAAAAAGTAAAATCTATTTAGATTACTTAATATTAGAAAGTAGGCAAAATATTTTATATATGTTATTTTACTCAATGCTCCTAAAAAATCTGTAAATCCAGCATTATTATTCTCATTTAGCATAGGCAGAAATACACATAGAGAGGTTAAGTAACTTTGCCAAGATAGCAAATAACAAAATTACAATTTAATGGCTGTCAAACTGATCCCAAATATATACTCCTTTTGCTATATGACTTTCCTAAGTTACGACAAATCTTGCTTTTGAAAAGGTGAAATATTAGGACTCAGGATTAGAGGCAGATAAGATATTAGGCTAAGATGGTTTATAAAAATTTTAATATAAGAAGCTCTTTAGATAATAAAGGTAAGTATTATTAAATTCAAAATTAGCTGTTGATACATTTACCTTTTGAGGGAGATGGCGTAATTCAAGTCACAGATGAACAAGCTCAACAGAGCTCCCTACAAAGAGGTCACAGAGACTGTTGAAGCACAAAGAGAAAAGTGAAATATCAAAGTCTCTACCAGTTATTCTATGTCACTAAACCGTTTGGGCCCTGGAGTTAATGTTCCATTGGCAAGCTGAAAACTATAATGAGTTTTTGGACATGCAAGAGTAAGCAAAGAGCGAATTAGAAATTAGAAAGCTATTTTACACTACAGTGAAAAATAAGAAAAACTGAGTTATGGGGAGAAGTTATTCACAGCAAGTTGTATTTGTTGGGGTTCCACAGAGAACACACAAATAGGATGTGTGTGTGTATATACACTATATATATATATATATATATATATAGAGAGAGAGAGAGAGAGAGAGAGAGACAGACAGACAGACAGACAGACATGATTTGGCTCTGTGTCCACACCCAAATCTCACCTCTGATTATAATCCCAATAATCCCCCCATGTCAAGGGAGAACCAGGTGGGAGGTGATTGGGTCATGGGGATATTTTTTTCCCCATGCTGTTCAAGATAGTGACTGAGTTCTCGAGATCTAATCATTTTATAAGGCAGTTTTTCCTGCTCTTGCTCTCTCTCACTGCCGCCATGTAAGACATGCCTCTTCCCCTTGTGCCATGATTGTAAGTTTCCTGAGGCCTCCCCAGCAGTGCAGAACTGTGAGCCAATTCAGCCTCTTTTCTTTATAAATTACCCAGTCTCGGGTATGTCTTTATAGCCGTGTGAGAATGGACTGGTATACAAATATATCATATATATGCACATATGTAGCCTAAAGACAGAGAGATTTATTTTAAGGAGTGTGATTGTGAGGGCTGGTACATCCAAAATGTAGGGTCAACTAGTAGACTGGAAACTTAGGCATGGTTTTTATGTCATGGTCTTGAGGCAGAATTTCTTCTTCTCCTGGAAATCTCAGTTTCTATCCTTATGACGTTCAACTGGTTGAACAAGTCCCACTCACATGATCCAGGATAACCTCCTTTACTTAAGGTCAACCCACTGTAACTATTAATCACATTTACTAAATACCTTCACAGTACCATCTGGGCTAGGCTTTCACCAAACAGCTAGGCACCGTAGCCTAGCGAAGTTGACACATGAAATTAACCATCACAGAGGGACTGTGAGAAAGAGAGACATAGTGTCCATAATGTCATTGGCAGCAAGACTAAAGGTGCTTTGTGAAAGATAATATCTAATTTTCAGTATTTATTTCAATGTTATATGATGCCATGCTGTAAATTTTATCACTTTAAGCCTTTGTGTGCAAGATACAGAAATTTCTTGTGTGAATAATATTTTCAGAAGAACTGAATTCATTGTTTTGGCTAAAGAATGAGAAAATGGCATAGAATGCATTCAATGACTGGCTTAGCTGTATCTTCAATATTTCAGCATATAAAGGGAGTCACACCAGATGAGACAAGAGAAATATGAGTCAACTGCCTGCACCAGAACCCCCAGAGATTTTCGGAATGGTACAAGGTTCCCACATGCATGGGATAAAGTTCAAGCTACTTTTTATTTCTTTGGATCTCAAAGGTCAGTGTACATCACCTGGTGTAACAGCTCAAAAAGGCCAAGTTGCAGATTATGGGCCTGAAGCTGAAAGTTATTTAAAGAGATTTTGTGGGCATTCTGAGGAGTCAATGGTAGCTTCCAAAACACCCAGAAACTTTGAACACTAAAGACATCAGATTCACTTTTGGTTAAGAAAGACTTTGTTACCTATAAATATTATCTTCTTCCATCAAAGTGTGAATAGAGTACTAAGGAAAGTTTTATACCCTGGCTTCTGTTTTGTATACATCCCAGGGATGGATGAACTCTATCCCTTTCAGAGGAATTAATAGATCCCTTGTTAAAGGTCCAGTCTAAAAGGCTCTAGTGAGGGATTAAACCCAGTTATAGAAACTCTTAACACTTTAATTCACATTCCCATTTGGGAGTAAAGCTAAGCAAAGGGTTTCAAGAAAAACTTTCTTGCTCTGCTTTTAGCAAAACAGTCATTTGACATGTCTCTATAAAGTTGTGCAGGGTCAATGCCAAAGTAAATTATGTTGCTTTACTCGAAATTTACTAAGGTGTTTCTTTTGTGGTTCTTGTAATCTACAATCCAACAGTGTTTTTGAGTAGAGCTGTGTGTAAATATTTGAAAACAGGTTACTTGATTATTTCTGTTCTCATTTAGAACAGAAATCTCAACGTAGTAGAAAAAAAAAGTTACCTGTACTTTTATTTCTCTAATACCTTGAAAACATCATTGTGGTAGGTGATTGCCATAAGGACTCTGGCAGGTTGGCATAGCTATCTGGTGGGCATTTTGGCTAAACATAAAGAAGAAAGTATGGCAGCAATTGCAAATATGTTAGATGTTGCCTCGTGTATGTTTCCGATACATTTGCATAATAAACCTGACATTCTGCTCTTCTCCTTACTTTCCCCATTCACACTTTCACATCACTTTGTTAAAACACACTGGTCAATTTCTCTAAGCCTCAGTTTCTTCTTCTACAGAATTGGGATGTATCTATTTCATAAATATTTACTGAGCATATACTGTGAACCACGAAGTTTACTAGGTATGGGGATATGGAGATATCTCAAATATGACATCTGTCTTCCAGAAAATGAAATAAACTTTACGAAGTGATAGAAAAGTACCATCAAACCATCATTTTTCAGCTAAGAAGATAGAACAAGTGCTGAGTTTCAGCAGGGAAGTAATCTGCTTGATTTTGGAAAGGCTGAGGATAAGTAGAACATGGAATTTACAGGTAGAGGTGTCTAGAAGCAGTTAAAAATAAAGATGGTTGGAGATCAAGTAAAATTATGAATATGAGAGTATTTTAGAGACTCAAACATCATGAAGATGTGAATTCCATATATGTGGCCCCTGGTAAGCAATACAAATGTGAATTATTATTACATACGTACAGCTGGCACTAAATTAGTTTGCAATTGTTTTCTGTTGATCTTAAAATGTTTAATCTTCTATGAGAGTAGAATATTTTGACTTACCATGTCAAATAGAAGCTTCTCTAAGACAAAGCATTAAACACTCTTTGTAACTATACTTTATATATAATATAGATGCTCCATAAACGCTGACTCATTGACAAATGGGAGACTCTTTTACACAGTGATGGAAGAAAACACTAAATCAAAAATTATCACCAAATGCTGCCAAATATTTACTTTTGAAATCTCTAGGTTTCACTTGTAAGTTACACTACCCAAAAATTGAATCCACAGGAGGTTACAAACTCCAATCATCACATCATTATCACTATCTTAAAAAGAAATATTTATCAAGCATTTATTATACAAGTCTTTTTCCTCTGAACTTAAAAGGGATAAGGTCATTGAATCCTCCAAAATCCCTTGAGATTGGTGTGCTGTAAGTGGTACATTAGGGTGGGCAAAACAGATCTGAATTCAGAGGGGCTGGATTAGAAACTTGGCTCCACTGCTTACTGTATGTAGTGACTTGAGAAACTTAAAGCTCTGTGCCACAATGGCTTCATCATTACAAAGTATAATATTATCATCTTCCTCCTCAGATTTTCTTAGGGTGAAATGAGTTAGTTTATCCAAGGAGCTTAAAGCAGTGCCTGGAATATTGTTTTTGTAAATATTAGCTATTATTATCAATTAGGCTACTTTTTTCTATTAAATATTGTTATACATAAAATTTTTATCAATGTACTTAAATCCAGTGTATATAAATCAAGAGATCTATTTTGGCCCTGAAATTTCAGAGTGAAGGGTTTTTGTTTCTGTGTTTTTAATTTCATTTTTGTTCTTTCAGTATATTTATTCTCCATGTCTTTGAAACAATTCTGTAGAGACACTCATTGAAAGTGTATATATTCACTTTTTAAAGTGGATAACAAATTTAGGATAAGTATAATTTGACAATAAGTTCTTTGTAGGCATAAGAATGGTAAAGCAGTGAATAGGTTGATACTTGAGTCTTTATCCCAGGAGAAATATAATAAGAATATTGGCAACTGTCTGTCCTTTAAGACAGCCAGGACACCAGATTAGCCTATTCCTTGTGGCAATTCCTAGCTGTAAGATTTAAACAGTTCAGAATGAAAACATTTCAGTGCCTTTACCTGTGGGTTTGTGTAAATGCCGGATATATTTGTATGGAAAAGTATTACTACATTTTACACTTGCATCTGATTATATATTTAATCAGCATTCATTACATTTTGGTTAAAATTTCTTACTTCAGGTTTAAAATTACTTCTAGTTACCATATATATTCTCATCTGGGAATGACTAAAGTCACTGGTACAGATGTGCTTGAGATATTATACTTTTATTTAATCAGTTATCTTAATTGGGAGGTTTTAAAGTCAAAACAGCAGGCACAAATCCCATATGTACTGGCATTGCTATTTGCAAATTTGTAGTACCGCACACAAAAATGTAGTACAAGCTTCTCTCACAAATGACCTACAACAAACCATATAAAGTATTTAGAATCTTCCCTCTCTACTTTTATAGCCTATCTGTGATGACTTGACTTTACTAATGACTTTAAATGTTAAATTAAACAATATTTAATTTCCCCAAATCTGCTTTAGGTCTTATCACCTTTGGCAGCCAGTTCCCAAATCCTTACTGCTATACTACCAGAATCCTCTTGTGTATTATCTATTTGACAGATGAGATGAGTTTATGGTGATCCCCTTCTCTTGGGCTCAAAATATTAAGTTTAAATCTAAACATGGTTTGCAAATAACCACAGGATCTTTTCCAAACATTATTTAATACAGTGAGCTACAGTTTGAACAGTTGCATATCCATTCAGGAAGCAGATTGGTTTGCTCATATAAACCACAGCTATGTATTTTTTTCAGTCTCCTGAATTACTAACCTGAAAGCCTAATGACAAATTTTTATTTTATTTAAAACATATATTACCCTACTTTTTTTCTTTAGGGTTAAAAAGGCATTTTATAATATATCTGAGAGAAAATATAATTTATAAGCTATAAATGTGTGTGGTTTTGTTAAGGAAGTGAAGATTAAGGATATGGATAACCTCCACAACTCCTTGTTAAACTTAAAATAAAATAACTCTCCGCACCACCTAATTAAACTAAACAAACTGGTCTTTGTCTCAGGCCATTCCATTTCTTTCATGTCACCTCTGTTTCTCCTTTTAACTCCTTGTCTCATACAAAACATAAAAATATGCTGAGGCACTTGATATATTTTCACTTGTACAACATGGATCAAGGAATAAGAATACCTTCATAATTCAATAGTTAAATAAATATGATTATATTTAGCCTATGTTCTGCATTATTTTTCAAAGAATTTGGTTATAAAAATATACATATATTCCAAAACTATAGCCTCCTCCCTGTTTTTGTGATTCATTTGAAAGTTCACATTTTTATTATTATACTTTACATTTTAGGGTACATGTGCACAACATGCAGGTTAGTTACATACGTATACATGTGCCATGTTGGTGTGCTGCACCCAAGTTCAAGCTTTTTAAAACTTTTTAGTCCCAACATAAACCTCATTCTGAGGTACCTTACTCTATTATTGCATCATCAGTGAAGGGAACTGAACTATATATATTTGCTAAAGTTTCATTACCTAAAAAAGTCTCTGCTATAAATGTATTTAATTATCTTTCTTTAAAAAAACTTTCTCATACAAGCAGGGGAATGGATATGCAAGATAAAGATGGGCACTTTGGTTTTGTAGTTATTTGGGATTCCAGAACCCACAAGGAAAATTAGCAACCCCATATATAAAATTGTATTTTTTGTTGTCATTAACATTGACTCCTGAGATTTTCATTAATACTTTTCTATTTATCTGTTCAGTGGGAACATTACATGTCACTTATTAATTCATGTAAATCTTGACATATTTGTCAATATTTTAAAAGCTTTTTATAAGGTCATACTAATAATGAATTCTCCAAAGCCTTTGATTGATTCACTTGAGAAAAGAATAATTATTATATAATGTGGATTGTGAATATAATTAAATTTACGGGAATTATTCTAAAATCAGGGGAGGTCATATCCTCTCAGTGTACCTATTGAAACATTGAAACATATCATCAGATGCTGCAAAGTGCTCTCTCACAAAATGTGAAATTTTGTCTTTAGATGATTGTCCTTCATTGAAGTTGAATGTCATTCATTCCATCAACGTTTATGTATTACAGGCATAATATATGCCAGAAACTCTTTATCTACTGGGGATGTGATAATGAACAAGACAGACAAAGCTCCGGACCATAGACTCATCATTCTAGACAAGGATCTAAAGCTACTGTTAATGACTAGGCCTCTTCTGTCCTGACTTTACCCAGGTGATGAATTCCAAATGTTAGAATCTGGCCTACTGCATGCAGTTCCAAGCATAAATTTTACTGCATCCCCCAGTACAGCCTGTATACGTGACCAGATTTTGGGGTCTCTGTAGGTTTGCCCATTTCTTAAGCATCACTTTCAAACATACACCTTGTGAAAGACTCCCATCTAATATAAGTATCACTACTTCTGAAAACTCCTCTATGACTTATCTAAAAAGTGGAACATATTTTGTGCTTCCATAGCATTTTGTATATATTCTAATTGTATCTTTTATCACATTGCATTGTAAACATCTATGCCTGACACCTCCATTGGACTATAAGCTTCTTGAAAGCAAAGATTACATATTCTTTAATATTTCTAACAAATACCTCAATACTTAGTACATAGAAGACACTCAAAAATACTTGATGATTAAGTTAATTAATTAATTAGCTAAGCTAAATTTAGAATTAGCTAAGGCCCCATCAGATTTTCTATTTAGAAGTTATTAAAATTCTCGGTAAAAGCTATAGTAATAGAACAACAACCTGATGTTTCTTCTTCTCAAGTATATTAATTATATCATGAAAGTTGATTCTATTCTCCTGAAAAATAGGGCAAATGAGTCAAGTGCTCCAGGCACAGCCCTCTCTTTCTCTCAAGAGAGACTTTGGTGATGATTCTGATGAGAATCATCTCTTGTGACAAACATCATTGGTCACACCAACTATTAACATTTGTCCTCTGTTACTATAAACAGTAAACAGACTCCACTGGTTACTGCATCAATCAATAACTACTCTTCACATTTTTCCACAGTAACTAAAAATCAGAAATACAATAAAATTGCTAAAGGAATTAAAGAACTGGAGGTTTTTTCCCCAAAACTTCAATATAATAAATATCACTTTGCCAAACCTAATAAATTCATTGCTAAAGCTCAAAAAATTGTAAATAACAAAGGGGACAAATAAAAAGGTTTAAAAATGTATGTTTTACTGGATAATCGGGGGTAATAAACTTTAAAAAATAAATAAAATACATGTATTTTTTAAATGGACTCAAAAGTATGGTCAAATAGTCCAAAAGATAGGAAAACAATCTGTAAGTTAATCAAAAGAAACTTCTGATAGAAAGAGCTAGAGTCAAAAATATCAGGCAAATGTGCTTTTCAATATTTCAAAGAACAAGTAATACACCCATGTAATTTAAAGTGTTTCTTAGCATAGAAAGTGGAGAGTTTAATTTTGAAATGTATATAAGTATTTAAGAATTCAAATACAATTATATAATTATTTTATTTATCACAGGGAAATATTAAGTATCAAATAGTAGGGGTTAAAGAAATTATAGCAGTCAAAAGAAGGCCACCCAAACACTAAAAATTAATGCCATTAAAATATGTAATAACGTGAAAATGTTTACAAAAAATTTAAGTTTTGGAAAGTTACTAAACAACATAAAGAGTACATTGTGTTATACTTTTTAAACAATTTTTAACAATCATGTTGAAAGAAATTTGAGTGTGCTTATATATGTGTACAAACTGACAGGCACTGAGGAAAACGATCTATATTCATTTCAAAATATTAAGTATTATATCTTGGTATTAAAAACAGTATCAGCCTAAAAACATTTCTAAGAAACATAGCACAGCTTTTAAGGTGTTTAACACAGTGCCTCAAATAAAGCGACCTAAATCTAAATTTATTTTTATTATAAATTACAAAATATTAACTGTCATTGATGTTCATCTCTAAGCTTTTGTCCATTCTAAATTTTCTATAATTAATTTATATTTCTTTTGTTGCCAGAATAAAACATTATTCTAATTATTATGAAAAACATTTTTAAAAGTACTCAATTAACAAATACCATAAATATGAAAAAGGAAACATATCTAGGAAGCAATTATATAATACCGTACTCATCTCTTAGAAAAGTCACTTTTATCTGAGAATCCCTCTCTAAATCCTCTTCTTAGTTTGATTTTCTTCTTCCTTTTAGGTTTTAGTTATCCTATCAAAGAAAATGGACCATGTTAACAGGAATAGCCCCACCAATAAAATTAAGCCATTACCTTACACTATGTGAATTATAATCCTATTGGATGCTTTAAAATGTTGGCTTGAGTACTGGCCAATTGGCCATCGGTATGGTTGAGATAAGGGTGAATGTCAAACACTATGCTGTATGTCCCATGTTTTTAAAATTCTGTGACAGACCTGTAGTTGTCCTCCTTATGAGGGACCTTTTTTTTTTTTTAAGATAATTTATCTTCTGCCTCCTACAGTGAATACGATTTTATTAATATCTGCCATTTCACTGCAATAACAATCTCATACAAGGCATTAGATAGTTCCAAAACTGATTAAATTTCAAGAAGCAGTGTCTATACATTAAGCCTGTATCTTTTGTTAATTTGAATGCCTACTATTTTTTAACCCATAAAACTAAAAGTAGTTGTATCAACCTGGAAGGCCAAAGAATCTCTCTCCTTCTGGAAAATATTTTGAAATTACCTGTACACAGTTCCTCCAGTAGTACTTTTTACAAACATGTATACCGGGAGAAAAGAAAAAAAAATCTATTCGCTGTTATTTTTCAATTTTATTTTGCTTTTTCATTTTGTTTCCAAATTGAGTTCCAGTGCTAAGATATTTCCTTCTGGTATAACATGAAGATGAAAAAAATAGACATTTTCTTGTAAATCAATTTTGAGTACTGTGGATACTTCTCAACTTAATTATTTTATGGAATTGCAACAATTCATGTTTTTCCATCATGAAACACATCATCAGCTGGGAGCACTGTAGAAAAGTAGCTTTAGGAGAACCGTTATCAGAGAAATTATAATTTTTCATCACAGTTTTTTTTTTCTGGGAAAAGCAAAGGCTAATTACCTTGGACTTAGTAGCATTTGGATAATTTCTCAGTTAAAAAAAAAGTGAAAACTCAAGCATTTCTTGTTAAACGGGAACTCAGTGTACATGTGTGATATAGTTGAAAAATCAGGATTTATTTTCAGTACGTAGCTACCAGCCTGTAAATTTTCATTGAAAATGTATGGAATAAGATACCAAAAGAAAAATATTTGGTGAACTAAGGAAAGGGGCTTAAGTAAATCATAGACTTACAAAGTTAGAGTGCAATAACTTGGATTTTTAAAGTCACAGTACTACAGAATATCTTAAATGCTCATGGGAAAATGCTCTTTAAACTCAGACACGGAGATTTTCATTTTAGTTACCCCTATTGCTTTTTCCCACATATTTTCTTCTTTCAGAAGCTTGAGAAAACAAAAAGGTATGAGATATTATTTTACTTAAGGGAAATGAAAAATACATTTTTAAAAAATTATGTACAGCTGAAATTTACAAATACCCAAGCAATGATGACATATTAGCAACATTTAGGGACCACTACCCAGTCCTGAATGATTCCACAGCAGGGGCAGTCCACTAAGAGCCATCTTTCAAGGGGCTCCCCATCAATCTACTTTCTTAATATCTTTGGGATTTGGTCCAGTATCACGGAGTGGGGTTATGAACACATGCAATACCAATAAAGTGTAGAAAGGCCATTAGTGATAATGCGGCCACAATGGAACACAAATGGAATGCAGAGATTATGAATATATTTAGCAGGCCAAATTCAGAACAGAGCTCAGTTTATCTGCACTTCATCAGTCTACCTTCTCTTGCCCTGGGTAATGGACACATTGTTCACCTGTTACTAAGTTTTTCATCAACTTAATTGGTTTTCTTTGCTTCAATATTAAATGTCGCCTTTTTTGAGGTTTATTAAGGTATAATTGATGAATAAAAATTGTATATATTCGAGGTGTACAATATGTTTTGATACACATATACATTGTAAAATGATTGCCACAATCAAGCTAATTAATATATCCATTTCACATATTTACCATTTGTGTGTGGTAAGAATACTAAAGATCTACTCTTTTAGGACATTTTAAGTATATATTACTATTTACTATAGTCATCATGCTGTACATTAAGCCTTCAGAACACATTTATCTTATAACTAAAGGTTTGTACTCTTTGACCAACATCTCCCTACTTCCCCCTCCCCTGGCAACCATCATTCCACTCTCTGTTTCTGAGTTTAACTTTTTAGATTCCACATATAAGTGATATCATGCAGTATCTGTCTTTGTATGTCTGGCTTATTTGACCTAACATAATGTTCTCCAGCTTTACCTATGTTTTCAAAAATTAACAGGCTCTCTTTCTTTTTAAAGGCTGAATAATATTCCATTGTTTATATGTGTGTATATATACACACATAGGCATACACACAATCCCTCATTGTACGGATATGTCTAATGTCACCAACTTAGTTGATTTCATTTCCTTCAATATTAAATGTCTATTTTCCCCAGATTTATTGAGGTATTATTGAGAAGTAAACTTGTGTAAGTTTAATGTATATTATATGATGATTTGGTATACATAGATACTGTGAAATGATTACCACAATGAACTTAGTTGATACATCTATCACCAGTCCTAATTACCGTTTTTGGTTTTTTTGTTTTGTTTTGTGATGGAATAAATGGCTTATTTTTTTAACATTTTTTTCTATAGTAACTGATTCCCCACTTAAAAAATATTCCAAGCACTGAGATTCAGATGGGTGCCCCATCACCATAATTGTTGCCATTGCCTCCTAATTTTAGTTTCCGAGCAATTCACTATCTTCATCACGTATGTAAAACAATCTGTCCCCTTACATTCTGATCTTTGAGAAAGTAAGGAAAGAATTGCTGAGAGAAAATTGAATTGGCTGGCAATTTCATTCTCTCTGCAGAGCTAGAATTATTTGAAACTTGTCATTTTAAAAGTTGTAACTGATGGTAGTATTATCAAATGACTACTCCAAAACCAAATAGCCATTACATTAAGTGCCTTAGATTTCCAAGGGTTTCATCATTATGTATATTTGTGGATTTTTACACAGCAAATATAGAACCCATACATTTCTTTTTAGTCCAGTTTTCCCTGCTCAAATCTTGCACCTGTGCCCACCATATTTTTTTTCCATACTGGATTTTTCCCAGTATTTTTTAAGAGTACAATGCTCTTAAAACACCTGGCATTATTTTTAGCTTACCTATTAAAATAAAATTACAAGGTAGAAACCTTAATATTCTCTTGTTCTTCATTCTACTTACACGTTTAGAGGTTATGGCTTAGAATTAGACTCACAGGCAAAAGAGAGATTTTCCACTTTCAGAAAGAAACAGTTTGTGGGGGCTGGAAAGGAGAGAGAATCGAAGATGACTTTGAGGGCTAGAAAATTTCTAATTGTTGAGCTTGTTAGTGCTACTTGTTCATAGACTAAGATGTTCGGCCAAAATTTTGTTCATCTGTCATCTACACACAAACACACACACACACACACACAAATGGGCTAGGAAGATCTTTGATTATTTTTCATGTACAAATCTATTTCATGGGAGTACAACTCCTAAGTTGCAATGTTTACATTGTTATCAGTTCTTCTTCCCCCACCCCAACCCCTTTTCCAACTGGGCGTACAATATGCACTCAACAAACCTATAAAAGGTTGATGAAAAATCACATTTTGTAGTCTGCCAAAGGAATGTTTGTATTAAATTGCTTCAGACAGAGAAAGTTTCAATGTGATCAGAACCCAGGAGATATAAAAGGAACATAAAGTTTGGGTCATAATGTGAGTTTATAAACCTGCCTTCTACTTAATTTAAATTTTAGTGGCAGTGCGAGAAATTGTTGTTTACCAGTAACAGTAGGCCTCAGGCCAAAAGCTTTCTACTTGCTGCCCTGATAGCCTGCCTCTGTTGGAAAGAGTTAACTACCTTTCATAGATATTTCTTGTAACTCATCATCTGAGAAAAATAAAACTTGATAATCACACGTAGGCACACACATTACTGTGGTTTACAACTATGAAGCAGCAAGTATAGGACAGGGTAAACTCCACTTCATGAACTTTGACTTGTTGTTTTTTGTTTGTTTGCCGTGCTTTGCTTTTTTGTTGCTGGATTAATGCTGACACTCAAATATCTATCTGCCTAGATCTGGTGTATGAGCTCTAGGAAGAGAATGAATTAAACATCTCTGCTTAAAATTAAAGTTTACCTTATAATTTGGTTTGATTTCACTGAATATGTCTGTGATTTATAGTTTCTCATATTGGATAGGACAAATCAAAATTACATTTACAATAAGATGAATCATATTCTTCTTTGATACTGTATCTTCTTGGCTTTTAAAGCATACAATTTTCTGTACAAGAGGCTGGAATAGATAAACCCAGCTGCCTCATCTTTGACCATGTCTGTTTGGTGAGTCTTTTAAGAGATGGAAATGACAAGAAAGAGCTTTGATCAAATCCAGTCAGCTTTAGCATTTATCCCAGAGTCCAATATTATAGAACACTGGCAAACCATCAAGAAAAAAAGTGGGAAAAAGTATTTATTTTATAATTATTTTCACAGTTAACCATGACTAGTTATACTTCAGACTTTTTGAATATTAAGCTGAAGTTTTATTATTTATTTTGTAAAATAATGTCAGAACTACAAATAAAGAGAGATAACATATACAGATACCTGGGAAGAAAACAGTTTAAATATCATGACTTCTATACCTATGTTTTCATTATTTTACAAACAGAAGAATTTTCATTGTGAATTCAATTTAGTAAAATGTTTTTCCAAATAATTATTCCAAAGTTAAAATACATGGTAGAAAATGAATAACAGTGGGCTGGTGCCACTGCAGACAAAAAGGAATATTCCTATGGTATAGTAAGTTAAGAAAACTTGTATTATGATAAAGATACTGCTTTATTAGCAGTAATCATCATTCACATGGTGTCTGATTTCCCATTTCAATTTGATTTATGTTGTATCTTGGAAGGAAACAGAGCTTATCTAGTCCAACCTGTCACTCAGCAAAGCAATCTTTTACAATGGTAAATTGAATTTCCAGCATCTTATGTACTTTCAATGCAAGTGAATTCATAGCTTGGAAAAGCGTCCAGTCTGCTTTATTTTTTTATTTCTATAGATTTAGGAGGTACAAGCACAGATTTCTTACTCACATGTTTTCTGTAATGGCCGAGTCTGGGCTTCTAGTGTACCCAACACTCGAATAGTAAACACTGTACCCAATGGGTAATTTTGCAATCCTCAGCCCACCATAACCCTCCCACCTTTTGTAGTCTTCAGTGTCTATTATTTCACTCTATATGTTCATGTGTATCCTTTGTTTAACTCCCACTTATAAGTGAGAACATGGGTTACTTGACTTCCTGTTTCTGAGTTATTTGACCTAGAAAAATGGCTTCCAGTTCCATCCATGTTGCTGCAAAGACATGATTGCATTATTTTTATGGATGAGTAATATTCTATGGGATATATATATATATCATATCTATCATATTGATTATATATATCATATATATAACATATCATATGATATGACATATATATCATATGATATGTTACATATGTCACATTTTCTTTATACATTTGTTGATGGACACAGGTTGATTCCATATCTTTGCTATTGTGACTAGTGCTGAAATAAACATACAAGTGCAGGTATCCTTTTGATACAATCATTTCTTTCCCTTATGGTATAGACAGCAGTGGTGACATTACTGGAAGAGCTACAATTAACTTGTTGGATTACACACGGCCTCTCCATAACTTCCTTTCAAAAGTCATACATCTACTTGAGTTGCCAAGAATAAATTTTACCCATCTGTTACATATGATCCCTTTAAAAAGCAAAGGCAGTTATCATGTGTCCCCAATACTTTTCTTTCTATAGATAAAATATTCCCATTTTCTTCAAATGTTTATTTAATCTGCCTTTTAATATAATTTTTATGATGTAATCTGACTAGTGTAGTCAGCCCTACTGTTTTCTGATTTCCTGGGATAATTCCTCCTTTGTTTGAGGTTTTCTACTTCTATTAATGCAAGCTATGACCAGATTGTCTTTTTTGGCTTTGATAACTCACTGTTGACAAATATTAAACTCACACTCAGTGAAAGCAACTAAGTACAACAACAATGTGGAATACATTTTTTTCTATCCTACATTGACACACAAAATATTTTGAACCAAAGCACAAGACTTTACAATTATCACTGTAGGATTTTCTCATTCATTTCAATCCATTCTTTCAGCTTGTTGAGATCACTTTCAGTCTTTACTCTCATATGTTTATCTTCTTGGTGGCATGACACTAGTGTCTGCAACAGCAGCCTTGGCACAGTACACTGTCCTTGCATTTGACATATATTTGTTATCAAGCTCTTGGAAGCAGAGTTAAAGCAGTTACTAATTCAACCATTTATTTCATCAACAAGTTCATACTTCTCTGTAATATTTAGAAAATAATATGGGAGATATTGTTAATCTTTAGCTCCCCTCTAATCTACAAATCTGATATATCAAATGCATTTAAAAACCAAAGTTTCATTTAAAAATAACCACAATGTTTTTTGGGTTTTTTTTTTTTAACTGTCCCTGAATGATAGTACATAAAAGAACAAGAGTTCCCAATACAGGCCTCGATACTGTTTATACTCACCCATGTTATTCCTTATATTGGAGGAGTATCTAGACCTGTATTGGCACTATTGTTCAAAAAAACTGTGGTTACTTTTAAATGAAACTCTGGCTTTTAAATGTATTTGATAGATATATCAGATTTCAGCCACTCTAGAAGTATATAAATACATATATTTTTTATTGTTTGTTCTTTCTGAAACAAAGTAATATAAAATACCCCACCTATGTCTTCAGTGTTTCATACTTTTCATCATGTAATTAACTTATTCAGATGGTTAAATGCAATTAAAACTTGTGAAAAGTTGCCCAACTTTTAATAATCTGGAAATTGTACATTCATGTTATCCCTTATGCTTAAAGACTATCTAGGCTTGTATCGTAACTATTGTTCTTTTATGTACTATCATTCAGGGATAGTAAAAAAAAAAAAAAAAAATTTTTTTTTTTAAATACACACACAAGATATAAACTCTATTCTGATTTAATTCCACTTCTGTACACTATATGCTTCTAGCTAATTTTCCTTTAAGCCACATTTGAAGTAATATTCTTTTTCTTCTCTGGCTTTGCCTAAAAATTTCAGATTTCATAATCTGCATTTAACATACTATTTTATGTATGTGTTACCTTGCATACCTTGATTATGTCACACCATGGATGTGCTACCCATGCATCCTTTCTGTTAATGCTATAGACAAAAGAGGAGTGGTGAGTGAATATCACCGCCAGTTGACCCTCAGTATCCTTGGGAAATTGTTTCCAAAACACACTTCTCCACAACCTCACCAGTCCCCAACCTCCATCCCTCAACCCCCATAGATAACAAAATCCTCAGATGCACAAGGCCCTTCTGTAAAATGGTGCAGTGTTTGCATAGCACCTATATGTATCCTTCTGCATGCTTTAAATCATCTCTAGATTACTTAAAATACCTAATACAATGTAAATGCTGGGTAAAAAGTTGTTATATTGTATATTTCACATTAATTTTATTGTTTTATTATTTTTATCTTTTTCCTCTTTATTTCAAATATCAGCAAACGTGAAACCTGTACATATGAGGGCCATCTGTACATTGGACCCCTTTAATGTCTGAAGAAGGGACTAAAGTCTTCAAAGTACCCTGAAGTTCCCTTTTTAAATATTTATTTATGTATTTATTTTCAGTGTATACTTTTTATGAAATAATAATATACATTATACAAGGGGATTATCAACAGATGATTAATCCAGAGTATAAACCCTAATCCTCTTTCAGAATCTAATTTATTTATAAACAGAATGACAAGTTGATGGCCTGTAAAACATGGTTCGAAAAATAATAAATGTCTTCGTATCCAAAGATCTTCCTCTTGCCACAAGGCAAATTGCAGCAATCACAGGTAAAGCGGTCAGAGTGAAGGCCAATAATCACATTCCCTAATGCCATTTTTCTAGTGTTAGCATTATACCAGGGTTTTGAAGAGGGGACAAATCGGTATCTTCCTTCATAATCTATAATCTACTTTTTTCTCTCCCTCTTCTTTCTGCCACATCCCTACCATCATCATAATAGCACAGCTAAGCTTTTATACAGTATACTGTAGTGGTAAAAAGCATTGGAATTATCCACATCTAGACTTCAGTATCAGCTCTGTTGCTTCTGGTTGAGTGTCATCGGGAAAATGTGAAAACTGTTTTTCCTTGATCTAGTCCAGTTACATAATTTGTGAGGCCCAATAAAAAAAAATGTGGAACTCCTCATTCAAGAAAATAGGAAAAATACTGCCACTAATGTCATTAAAATGTAAGGCTTTTTCCTTTCTTCTATGGTCTCTCTAGATTTCTCATGGTTTTTTGTTTTGTTTTGTTTTTGAGACGGAGTCTCGCTCTGTCGCCCAGGCCGGAGTGCAGTGGTGCGATCTCGGCTCAGTGCAACCTCCGCCTCCCGGGTTCACGCCATTCTCCTGCCTCAGCCTCCCGCCACTACGCCCGGATAATTTTTTGTATTTTTAGTAGAGACAGGGTTTCACTGTGTTAGCCAGGATGGTCTCGATCTCCTGACCTCGTGATCCGCCCGCCTCAGCCTCCCCAAGTGCTGGGATTACAGGCGTGAGCCACCACGCCCGGCCTTTATTTGGTATTTAGTGTCATTCTAACTTGTAAAAATCTATAAATACTTAATTATTAGCATGAATTTTACTATTCCTTTTTATGTTTTATAATGTCAATTTTAAGTGAAAACATGATAGGATTTAACATATGCAGAATCACTGAAATTGCACATTTCATATTTTATAGCTAGTGTATATGTAATATTTTCTTACTAGAATGATATAAACCTAACACAAAACTATCTCAACTGTTTTTATTAAACTTTTTGATGCACGCAAATTCTGCTTACATTGTCTACCTTCATCGTTCTGATGAGTAAGGAAGAACTGACAGGAAAATAACCTATGGATTGCCCTATCTTTCTCATCACTTCTATGTACTCATATTCAAATGGTTGGGTAACACAGGGAAATAATATTAGAAAAAGGATATCACAGGGCTCCTTAACCACTGTGTTTAAGACATCATTGCCTTGTTTCTGTGTTTGAAGCAAGTTCGGGTTTCAACAGAAAATATACCTTGCAAGATTCTTAGTGCACTTACTCAGTCATAGACATAGCACAGTAATCTTGTACTATCTTTGAGTCTTGCTGAACTCTCACGCATAAGAGAAAAACACATTCTGCATGCACGGGGCATAACAAGTGGTATATAACAATGAGGAGGCAAAAAAATGACAGCAGATATGCATATTGTGTATATCTCCTACAATCACACACATCCTCAATTGTTCCAATGCACAACAGAGCACAAGTTCAAAGATAAAACTATTGAGATTGTCCAAACAGCAACAACAGAACGTTAAAACCAGCACAGGTGCTTCTGAGTGCAGGGCCCTGTGTAACTATATATACTTCACACCCAGAAAGCCAGCCCTGTGCGTATCACAGCATTTAATCACCTGTTCTCCCCCAGTAGGCCATAACTGTTGCTTAGAATAATCATCCTAAGGCCTAGCATAGTGCCTGACTTAGGAAGCAATCATTTTTTGACTGAGTGAATATATCAATGTAATACTTAAACCACTGTCAAATATAATTTTTTTAAAAAATAGGCAGTTAAAATCATTAAATGAGGTATTGCTAAATACAAGAAAATTCCAAGTTACAAACTGTGCTCAATATAGTATAAAGTCTAAAATATCAGCTAAATTGAAACAATATAGCCAATTAAAAGGGGGCAAAAATTCTGATCACTTCCTTGGGTCTGAATGGAAATGGCACGTGATATATAGGGAGAGAACAGTCTGATAATCACTTTGAAACAAAGCAATTTCCATGAGGCAGAAACTTGGTCTGTTTGGTTCTTTATTACTATTCCCTTTCCCTAAATATGATGATTGATAAATATGTGTAAATGAAACATATTAATGAGTGACAAGGTGTAACATGATGGTCAAGAAGAATTAATGTTAATATATCCATATTACATGGATTTTGTGAGAAAGGTTTTTGATCCAAGTGTTAAGTCAATTATAAAATTAAATGATCAAAATGAGAATTGCTGAGAACATGTATTCCTCCCTTCCCTGGGTGTAAAAAGAAACTTCTCATTAGGAAACTACTCACTTTCTTTATTTCCCAGAAAATCTCTAAAAGGGGTGGTAAAAGAAGAATAAAAGAGGATAAAATCAACTCCTTAAAACTCTGCATAAGAAATGTATAAGTTCCTTTTAACTAGTCATCAATTATTCTGAAGAGTGCAGTTCTGTTAATATTTACTTATGTCATTACAAATAAAGTAATCGACCGCCCATGACCTATTGCCCTGCTTATGTTTTTAAGAAAAGCTTTGTCCAGATAGTGATAGATTCCTTCCTTGTGACTCATACATTACCCAGATGCTTCAGGCTTCCTGGAATTTCTGTTCAAAATTTCAAAACGTTTGGCAATAATTCATTTTTTGTAAGGTAAGCCTTAATTTTAAAGGAAAATAAATATTACAAGAAATTGATCAATAACTTATCACTAATTCTTGGCTTCAAACATTATCCATGCCAAAAATAAAAAATAAAAATTGCCAGCTTTTGATATACAAGGATGAGCCTTAATTTTGAGTATGTGTGTCACCTGTAACACGATGTATTGAACCCGTTGTCAGTAGGTGCCACCTTTCTTACCAAATCTCATCCTCTCTGCTATACTTGGTTACATTTTAAAATATTACATTAGCAATATATAGTTGCATAAAAATATTAGGTTGGTACAGACATAACTGTGGTTTTGTCATTACTTTTAACGGCAATAACTGCAATTACTTTTGCACCAATCTAATACAAACCGTACACAGACATAATCTCAATCTTACCATTCTGAGGTCATGAAAAGTATGAGAGTTTGTTAGGTGTCTTTCTAAACCTTGTTTATCACAAAGATCACAACGTTCTATATCAACAACTCTGCAGCTTACTCTTTGCACTTCATGATATATCATGGACATTCCTTTGGGTCAATACATATAGATCCAACTCATTTTTTTATAGCTGACTAATATTTCTTCTTAGATACATACCATAATTTTTAACCCTCTGTCTATCAATAGACACTCAAGATTCTTTCAGTTTGTGAGCCAATAAAAATAATCCATTAAATGTCTTTATATGTACACTTGTCCATATTGGTGATTTTATATCTTTAATCAACAATCCCTAAAAACTGGGATGCTGTTTTACAGATATGTCTGTATGTAAATTTTAACAGATGCTAACAGATTCCTTTCCAAAATGGTTTTAATAGTCTATATCCCCACTGGCTTTACTTACGTAAGCATTTTTCACTCTACTCTGTGATAGTACTGAAAATTTATCAATACTGCTCACTTATGCTTATCTGATAATTTTTTTTGTTTTTTATAAAATGGTATAATAGCATCTTATTTGTTTTTCCTTAGTTAGGAAGGTCGGTATATTTTTAATATGTTTAGTGGCCCTTGTAATTTCTGGTGGTAACTACACTGGAATCTTATACAGAGGGCTAGCATAATTTCCACCCTTTCCTTGACAACCTCGACCAAGAATAACTCTAGATCTCCTTTTACTGTTTTTCCAGTGGTCCTTACAACACCACGTGGAGCTTTTTCATCTAGATAGCCTACAGAAAAGGATTATATAAATTTATTAAACCTAAGAATGAATCAATTATGAATATTTAATGTATATGTGCAGGTATGTTTGTATTTCAACAGGGAATGGCCCACCAAAAATAAAATGGTAGTGAAAGCATCACTCTGTGAAGAAGCATCAATACGTAAGCCTTCCTTAAAAGGAGGAGAGAATGAGTGGTAGAGAAGAAATATAAGTGAAGAGTCGTACATCAAAAACAAATAGGAGGAAAGGATTAGCCAACCATGGGGAATTCAACTTTTAGTTGCCTTCAATGTACTTGTGTGCCTTACAAGAAAACAGTCATCAAGTTTTATTATCTATGTCCTTGATATCTCACACAACATTTTCTGCTGGGAAGTCTGATTTTCTCTGACCAGGACACTCCTAATAATGTTCTAATTTGACTTGTTGACTTGAATATTTCCAATCTATACTTTATATTTTATTAGGCCCTTGCATTTAAAAGGGTCAGAAAACCACCTACATCAAAATCACTTCATTGCTTTTTTTTTTTCATGTAGATTTTTAGCCAGGCATGGTGGCCTGTGCCTGTGGTCCCAACTACTCTTGAGGCTGAGGCAGGAGGATCACTTGAGCCCAGGAGTTTAAGGCTGCAGTGAGCTCTACTTGAACCACTATACTCCAGCCTATGAGAGAGAGACCCCATCTCAAAAAAAAAAAATGTAGGTTTTGTGGTATTTTACATCAGCAACAAATCATAATTTCCTAAGGAGAAGTCTAGAAAACTATATTTTTAAGAATTTTTCCAGGTAATCTTTACATATACTAAATTTTGAGGGATAATTTGCTAAGCCATATTAAATAGTTTGCTGTTTCCTGCATTTACTGCCATAAAAAATGTAATTCCCCTGCTAGTAATATCCTTACTGTATTCTGTCCATCAAATTACCATTTTTTAAACTGAATTCATCAGTTTGGAACTCTGCCCTCTATGATTTTACAACATTCTATACATAGATGTTCTAAAGGTAGTTTATTTCTAGCCAATGTTTAATTATACTTTATTTCTTTACTAGACCAATACTTAAATTACTTTAGGAAAATTATTGTATTTATTCATATCTGCCCTAATATTATGCTTCCATATTTAACCAATTATGATCATTATTATTTTGATGGCTTCCATATTTTGAAAGCCTACATCTTTTCAAGTATTGTTATGAATTTCATATGCAATACATTTTTAATTCCCAATAAGCATTTTAGTTCTATGCTATATACAAGGAAAATGTGACTCAAAGGGGAAAAAATATGTTTGAACTTAAACAAATAGAAAGTAAATTGAGCCAATATTCAAACCCAGTCGCATCTGAATCTAAAGCTACTGCCCTTTCCATAGTATTTCACAGCCCTCAATAAATGTTGGTTAAGTTACTGGTCATATTATATGCTAGCTAATTCTCTAAGATTTGTCAGTTAAACATTTGCCCATATGTAAATTTTAACAGACACTAATATATTCCTTTCCAAGATGATTTTAATAGTCTGTCTCCCCATTGGCTTTACTTACACAAGTATTTTTCATGCTACTCTGTGATAGTACTGAAAATTTATCAGTACTGCTCACTTATGCTTATCTGATGAATTTTGTGTTTTTCTGTCATCAGTCATTTCTGTAAACCTAAAGGATCTATTAAATACTTTCTCGTTTCTCAGCACACACTCTTAGTAATGTTTCCCACAGAGATTATTAAAAGAAACAAATAGTTACTTTATACATTTAAAAAGCTATAATCCCATCCTAACTTTAAGAGAGTCTAAAAGTTCACTTGAAAATTGCCTTATCCTCATAATCAGGAAAGGGGGATTAGATGGTTACCAAGTTTATTTAATGAAAAAAACAAACCTTAAGATGAACCAAATATTCTTAGCAAAAAGTAAGGAAATCATTAATGTATTATAGTTATGATTTTGAGCATCTACTTCATGCCAGACTTCATACACATATCTTTCCTTATCCTTACAGCATCACTGGGAATTAAATAGTTGACCCATTTTAAACGCTATGGAATAGGCTCTCAAGAGAGTAAGTTGTATAAAGTCATAAAACTGGACATTACTAGAGCCCAGTTTTTAACCAAGTTCTTTCTGTGAAATGATTCGCATTTTCTTCCCAGAAATGTATACAATTTACTCTGCTGCACTGTTAACAATCACTTATACCACCTGGCTCAACTAAAGGTCAAGCATGCACATTTATATCATAATTAAATGAAATAAAAAATGAAGATTATTTGATACATCTTTAGCAATATCTGAAATCATTATTCTGCTATATGGTTATCAGATGAATGTTAAACAAGGTATGTCAATGTCCATTATCACATTTATTTTACCCATCAATTAAAGTATTCCTGGCTTTATCTGGAAGAAAAATAGAAAAAGTTTAACCAAACACATAGTTTTTTCTAATTCCAAGAAATGATGCAGGTGCCTCCAGTCCTTCAATAAGCAGTAGCCATAGTCCAAGTTTTCTGTCTGGATGGGATTATAAAATGTTTCTTCTTTTCTCCTTTCCAGAAGACACTCTCACAAATGGATGAGGTGAGTTGGGTCCCTAATTCTATTTAATTGGAATTCTGCAAGCCCCAAATGAAGCCTGTATCCCCAAGGTGTAAATTAACTTAAATAGACTCTTTCCTTAGACTTGGCACTTCGAAGTAAGTAAAAGCCACAAAAAAAAAATAGTTACCTGGGGATTTTGTTTCTAAACTCTAATCAATTTTGAATTATTAGAATTCCAGCACTGTGGAGAAACTAAACATAAATTTGGGGAAGATAAATACAGTTGACTTACTCTCTAAAAGAAGAAATTATAGAACCAGGGACAAATAGTTTCCCTATTGTAAGTTTCATTCTGAGGAAGAAGCCAATTTCTGCCTCATACGTCTAATCTTGCCTCCAAGATGCAATTGTCCAGGTGCTGCCGTCTCGCTATATAAGCTGAAGACTCTAGCCCACACCTACCCCCTTGCTTCCTCTGAAATGAACATATGTCCAGCACATCTTTATTTCCAATTCCTTGACAAAGTGAAAACTTTTCTATACTTACTATAGATTATAGCTGGGCACCAGTGAAATCACAAAAGCCTGAAAAGGAGGAATACTCGAAGCAGTGTTCTATAATTTTTAAGGATAAAGATAAAAAACCGGACGAGACCAATATGAGCAACGGTGTTGCTTTTCCTGAGAAGTCAACATGTAGTATGAAATGCAGAAGTCATGCCCACTATTTAAAAAACAAAGACAAGGCACAAACTGGGATCAGATATTTGTAAAACATAAACTAGATTATAGTTTAAAATTTTTATTAAAAATTCTGCAAATCAATAAGAAAAAGAATAAAGCTAGAAATGGGCAAAAGGATGGGCAGTCATTTCACACAGAAGGGAACTCAACTGGCAAATAAATGTATAGGAAGATGCTCAACCTCACTAGGAATTACAAAAATCCAAACTAAAATCATAATGAGATGCCACTTTACACCCACTAGATTGGCAAAGTGTCTGAAATACCAAGTGTAGGAAATGATGCACATCAATACAGACTCTCAGATATTCCTGGGAGGAGTATAAGTTGGAAAAATCCTCATGGAAAGCAGTTTGGCAGCATCTCAAAGAGTTGCGCATTTCCTATGCCTCAACAATACCACTTCCAGGAGTCTGTGCTATAATACTAGAAGATACACCTATGGATAGATGTCTTGAACCAAGAAACATGTAGTCAAATGTTCATAGTAGCACAATTTATAATAGAAAAACTGTGAAAGGGACTCATCTATCCAATGATGGAAAAAATTATTAAATAAATACGACACAGTCATAAGATAGTATGTTTTAGAGCTTTAAAAATCAATGACTTTTAGCTACAGGCCAAAACATAGATGACTCCTAGGAAGACAATGTTGGATTGTCTTATTTGTCAGCCCTTTAAAAATAATAGATTGTATGTCTTTCTCTGGTACTTGCTTGAAGATGGGAGTTTTGTTTTAGGCTGAGAGAATTTCACTTAAAGTTGGTAATTCAACTTATCCTACCCATGTATTTGAATGGCTTCTGCCAGAGGTTTCTAGCTGTTTCTGATTGTATGTCATTCAGGTATTCATATATACAATACAGTTGGCGCTCCAAATCTGTGTGCTCCACATCCATGGATTCAACTATGGATCGAAAATATTCAGAAAAAAATAATGTGTCTGTACTGAGCATGCACAGACATTTTTCTTGTCATTATTCCCTAAACAATACAGCGTAACAACTATTAACATAGTATTTGCATTGTATTAGGTATTATAAGTAATCTGGAGATGATTTAAAGTATATGAGAGGATAAGCATAGTAATATGCAAACACATTTTATATCAGGGACTTGAGCACCCATAGATTTCAGTATCCACAGGGAGTTCGGCAACCAATACTTGCTCATACGGAGGGGTAACTGTGTGTGTGTGTGTGTGTGTGTGTGTGTGTGTGTGTGTGTGTGTGTGTGTGTGTAAAGTTTTAAAAGCCAAGGCAACAATAAGCACTAAATTTAAGATAATGCTTATCTGTAGGGAAAGATAGGAATATAGAAAAAGAATCATAGAAGTAAACACAATGACCTTTGCGATGCCTTAATTGTGAAATTGAATAGTGGCTCATGGGAACCTATTTAATTATTATATTTTATATTTTACATATACATTTATCCAGATAGTCAAGGAAAGAACAAAGTGGGGAGAAAGAGAAGAGAAAGAGAGAAGATGAAGAGAGGGAATGGAGAGGATGGAGGCAAGAGAAAAGCAGGAGCTATGGAGTCAGACATCAACTCTAACAATTAATAAATGTTTGAAGTTAGATAAGTTCTTTAGTATCTCTGAGCCTTATTTTTAAATATCAAATGTAAATTTCACTGTTGGGATTGAGATGAGTACTAAATGAGATTAATTCAAATAACTACACACTCCTGTTGTTTGGTTATTTACACGCACACTCCTGTTTCTCCCTGCCCAACTCCTTTTCTACTTAAAATAAATAAAAATTTTGGGGCGGGGTGCGGGGTCAGGGAAAGGAGAGATGCTGCAGATCATCACTATTATCTTCCTTTCGGTCATTTCTGTAGGCAGGACACTGCCCGTGATTACAAAGCAGGTGATGTCAGTGGCTTTCCAGATCCCAGTCCCCTCAGAAACCCAGTGACCCTAGGTTCTAGAATACAACACTCCTAACTTTCTTCTTCATGGCTTGAACTGATGCCTAGTGCTTTCAAAGATTAAACATTTTTTTTTTTTTTAGCAAGACCTAATTAGGAAAATCACAATTAGGTGCAAATATGATTTAATCTTCCCTTGGGGAGGGTAGGTTACTTTCCGAAAAAGTAGTTAGTTAACTAAAATGAATCTTTAAGTGGTGAAATGTGAGATGGAAGTATTTTGGAGCACAGTTGCACTCACCACCACCCCTTACCTTTTCTCCCTTGGGGAGAAAAGCAAAACTAATCAGCTTGCCAGCTGCCAAGGACCCCCACATCACTCTGAAAGTGAAGCTTTAATGGCTCAATAAACACAAACATTCATAAATTCAGCAACATCAAACATCAACTGGTAGGGGCTCATGCCTAAACATACTGCCTTAGCACCCAGTTGAGTTTAGCTCAGTGGCTTTCAACTGGAGGAGATCTTTACCTCCAGGGAATGGTAGGTAATTCTGGAGACATTTGTAGTCTCACAACTGGAGAGTAGGGTACACAAATTACTGGCACCTAGTAGGTGAAGGAGACAAGGATGCTTGTTGGAAACATCCTACAATGCACAGGACAGACCTAATAACAAACAACTATAAGGTCTCAAAATGTCATATGTGCTGCCTATGAAAAATCTGGGTTTGCTGTACGTGTGCCACATTGAGCTAGCTTTCTTCTGACCTCAGAGTCCCAAACTAGCTGTTTACTATAAAGGAATTTTATGTCATGGGGCTCATTATACCTTAATGCAGGGATTATTAAGCCAAAGATCTGTGAACTGGCTTAAGGCAATTCATAAAATCCATGAAATTATATGTAAATTTTGTTCACATGTGCAGTTTTAAAACATGAGTTTAAAGTTAACTTTTTGGAAGCCTAAAGACTCCCATCTCTTTTAATATTTCCTCCACAAATCTATCCAAGTATCTAAAATTCTCAACAAATCAATGAATTCCTCTTAAAAGAAAGATTTCATTGTGGATAGAGATTTTTAAAAATGGTGTTTCTACTCAGAACTGGATTGAAAATGCAGCCACACAAACTTTGAGTCTTAGTTTCTAAATCTATAAAAGAAAATAATTATTCAAATTTGATTACTGCTATTTAGATCACCTCACTACAGCAGGCATTTAGTAAACAGTAGCTTTTGCTGATGTTTTATTATTAAAAAAAAAAAAGTAGCATGGTTTTCAGGCTTTGCTTGTAGAAGATGGTAGATGGCATAAAATAGAGCTATCCGGTAATATTTTAGGGCATATTTATCCTGTATTGGGAAGAAGGAGGAAAAACAGATTTGTGTAAGATTTATAATATGTTTCAATACCTTATCTTATTCTTACAACAAAATACGAAGTAGATGATGTGGACATTCACATGAGAAAAGGCAGGCATGAGCAGTGAAGTAATTCACCAAATAAGTAAGGACTCAAATCCAGATACTCAGATTCTACAGCCTAATTTCCTTTCAGTTTGCCCTCTAGGAAGAGCAGGCCCCTCAGTATTCAGACACAGCAGAGACATTTGGTATAGCACAGACATTTTGAAGGACTGAACGATACCCCCAGAGGACACGCTGCTTTTTTAGGAGGTAATCACTGAATCTGGAAGTTAAGACAGAGATCCTTTTAGAAGGAAAAAAAAATCTCACAGAGAGATGTTTTTTGAAAACAGGGAGATTGAAAGGTCTGCTTCAACCAATTGCAACTTCTAATTTAAAGTCAAGCCTGGTTGTTCAACAGTAAACCCCACCTCAGCTCACTTTCCACTCTCTTCTAGCCCTGAGGCTCCTCTCCTCTTTGTCACTGCCATCTGCTTGTGTTTTGCCTTATTTCTGCTCTCTCAGAGGTACCAAAATAAGAGTTAAAGACTGAGTTTGGGCCCAGCACAGTGGCTTACACTGGTAATCCCAGTATTTTGGGAAGCCGAGGCAGGTGGATCGCTTGAGCCCAGGAGTTCGAGACCAGCCTGAGCAACAGGGTGAAACGCCGTCTCTGCAAAAATACAAAAATTAGTCAGGTGTGGTGGCATGCATCTGTAGTCCCAGCTACTCAGGAGGCTGAGGCAAGAGGATTGCTTGAGCCCGGGAGGTCAAGACTGCAGTGAACAGTGATCATGCCACTGCACTTCAGCCTGGGCAACAGAGCAAGACTATCTCAGGAAAAACAAAAAAACAAAACAAAACAAAAACGCTGAGCTGGCCACAGTGAGTATGGCATGTGAGGAAAAGCAGGAACTCAGAGAAATAAGATCTGATGTCTCTTGATCCTGCCTTTAGATTGCCCAAAGTACTTGCCCAATGTATAGAAAGTTTATTGAATTCACCAAGAAAGATACTTTTAAAAAATAATCTAGAAAGCCAAGAAAAAGGTTACTGAGATTTTCCTTCATTAATTCATATATTTAATCATTTTTTAAATTCAACAAATATTGAGTGTCTCCAACAAGGGCCAGGAATTCTGCTGACCACAAATGTACATGAAAAAAAATCAATGCCCATCTCAACCCACTTGGAGTGTGGGGGAGATGGACACTAAACAGATAACCCCTGCATAATTATTACATACTTAATAATTAATTGTAAGTGTAATAGGATTTATGTAAAGTCCAAATCTACAATAGCATACAAAAGAAACACAATGAACTCCAGGACATCTGCTTTGATTAGTTTCCTCAAGGAATTTAGCAAAAGAGGGAGTAAAAGAATGTTCCTGGCAGAGAAAACTGTATCTTCAAAGATGAAGTGAGAAAAAAAAAAAAGGCGGTGGGGGATAAAGAAAGATAACTTGTTCCTCAGTTATACTATGTGGAAACATTTATGCTACCCCAGATGTTTTAAGGACTTCAAAGAGTTTCTTAGCTTTTCCCTCTGATAGAATGCAAAATAAAAAACGAGCCCTTCAACTCTCCATTATCAATAATTTTTTGATTATATGAACCAACATCAGGGTTAAAAGGAAAACCACAAGTTAAAAAAAAAAAAAAAAAGTTCAAGGGGGAAATAAAAGCCTTCAGTGGTGAATTAAACATATGAGGCTTTTTTTCTTTTTAAAGCTTCTGTTTCTACTAATGGGTCATTTTCACCTGCTCCTGTGGGCCCACCTTGCTTACCAGGGGCTGCAGCTGAACAACTGAATGAGCTATCATTGCAGCTTGATCACCAGGATGCAGAGGTGACCAAAGGGTCAAAGGAACAGAAGCTGGGCCATTACAGAAATGGGTAATCCTCAAACAGAAAAATCCACTCCCAGATCATTTGGAGCCAAATGAAGACCTGCTAGGCTCAGGGAATCACCGACTGAGTTGCTGTTTGAAATGTGTTATCCTCAGATACACTGAAAGCCAACCCCACACGGAAACCTTGTGGTTAGCCATATGTTTGGGACACCTTTGGTGTTTACTAATGCCCTAGGACTGTGAAGCAGAAGATCCACAAGAGAAAACTAGAGCTGTCTGAACAGAGAATGCAAGGAGATTGGAAGAGAGCCCCTTTTGTTTGTGTGTACGTGATCAAAGCTGGAAGCTTTTCAACAGTGAGTTACTGTGCTGAACACAGAAAAACTAAGCCTTTAAAATAAGCCTGTTCAGGTTTCACGGCATATCTTTAGAAATCAGTCTATTCTTAAGAAATTGTGTGGCATTGTTTCATATTTTACTTTTCCTAGCCAGCTTAGTTTTTTTTTTTAATCATGAAAAGAACTTTATGTAATCATGACAAAAACTGACACAATCACTTTGGATTTGAAAGGATTGATTACAAGCATTTTTGAAAACACAGATATTCTTTTTTTTTTCCCTCTCTAAAAAGACGTTGAGGGAAACAGAAGACTAAATATGTTTCCTGGACACAAGAAAAGTCTGATGAAAGCCATTTTTCATTTTATTTCCATGCTGTGAATGCATATTCAGGCTATTCAAACTACCGCAGCAGTCTGGTTCTCAAGTTAAACCACCAACCACCAGTCCATAGGGGTGAAAAAACCTATTTTTATGCACTGTGACATTTTTAACTTGTAAAACATTGCAAATGTAGGTGGTAGTTCTCACAGTCTGGTGTATTTTTGGAGTTTCATAATCCTTCTAGTCAGAGCTCAGGGGCTGCTTTTTTTCAACATTTTGGCATGTCGTGACCTTTTCTCCATAACTGTACATGTTTAAAAAATAAATCTTTTTTTCTCATTGCTCTTCCAGTCCTCCTGTTGAAAGGCACTGGAATGGGAAATAGAACACACACATATTCACACTTGATCCTGCCCTGTTCTCTCCCTTTCTCTTCCTCTTTTTCTTTTTCTTTCCTCCTCCTCTCTCTCCTCCTTTTTATTTCATTATCTCTTATCTGTTCTCCCATGCTTTTCTTCCTCACATACATTTCTAAGAATAAACTTGATTTTCAAAACTCTGAAATTATATTTCAAATGAGATTTTTTGTTGTTTCCCCTTATTTATGAGAGTTAATGGTAACTTAAATCACATTTGTTTGTGAATTATATTTTCAAAACATGTAAGAGGTGAGTTCAATTTTGGAAATTATGATAATTTAAATAATGCTAATATAACTGGTTGAAATGTGAGACTCTATTTTTCTACTTTAGAGAACCCAATGATACATGAATTATTTATTTGCTCTGAATTGAACCACAGTTTGAAGGAACTGGCCAAACCCACTACTTGATGAAAGAACAACCAACCAAAGGTGTAATTGTAGAATTCCACCTCTACTAACTGTAGAGGCTATGCAGATGAGATATATAGATCTAATATAACAATTAAGAAATGAATACCCAATATTTGCTTGAATGGTATTGGTGACTTCCCAAAGTAACTACACTATTACTAGAAAGTTCCTTCTTATATTAAAACCAGTCTAACTCTCCTATCACTAACCTCTATTGTTCCTGGTTCTGCCTGTTGCAATACAGGGCTACACAAAGCCAGTGTGGACTCTCTCTCCTTACCCTGAATGTACACCTTCAATTCTTATTTTTATACTGTCATGTTTCACTACAAAACATCCTCATCTACCCTAATTTCAAGACCCTATACTATTGGGGCAGCCCTCCTTTAAAAGTTTTCTAGTTTATCAATATTCTACTTGTTACAATGTGACCATCAGGACAGGTTGCTCCAGGCACATCTATAATTTGTCACCTGATTTTTTTCAGTATTGATCAACATTTATTTAGTGAGACAGGGAGAAATATATTGCCAATTAATATAAACTATATTTTTGATATTTGGAAATAATATATATCAATTGTCCCCTTATCCTCTTCTTTGGGTTCTCCCCAAAATAACCTTCACTTGCCAAAAACAGTGTTGAAATTTCCAAATATGTACTTGTTAGAATGAAAGACAGCATAAGTTGAATACACAAGAGCATTTTTTTCCAAAATCCCCAATTAGACAAGTCTTCTCTTAGCCTTGCTATACCAGTTCTCCATCAACCTCCCGTGCCCCTACCCTGGCCACCCTATTATTGAGCTTTTTAGCCATTGGCTCTTTTTTTTTTTTTTTTTTTTTGCTTGATTTTTCATTCCTGTTCTCTACCTCCTAAACTCCTCTCCCTTTTTTAGTCAAAGCAATTTAATTCTGTCTTGCTTCACTCTCCAACACCCTATACCCCCACCCACTACTCTTTTTAAGAGTGCCAGATGCCATTAGGATAAAGATGACGATTTTGTGTGTGAGTGTTCAGCAAACAAAAGACCCTATAGTTAGTACAGCACACCAGTCTTAGAAAGCAATGGAAGATTATAAATGACTTTTTCCTTTCACATGTCCAGATTCCAAATAAGAGATTTCTTAAATGCTCTGGAGCTGGATCATTTTCCTATTTTGACAGTTATGTTAGCAGTTACTGGAGCAAACCAAAGTTAACTAGAACCATATTTCTCACTATTTCCAAAGAATGGATTTTTAACACCTTTCACAGACTGGCTGTCCAGGAAGTGGCCAGTCTGGTGTATGTTGCTTTCAGCAATGACAACATAAAACAGTTAAAGTGATGCAATCTGATCACTGAAGAAAACAATAGAATTTTGTGACTCTACAATTGGCTATAATATTCCAATAACTAAATAGTTGTTGGATTCGTTTTATTCCTTTGTAGCTCACTCAATATTTTAGTGTTAATTGCTAACGTCATTATGCTGCACTCTGAAACTAATATTTTTAAACTCAAATACCCAATTACTTACATTTATACTTACCATATTTCATCTTGGTTTGGAACTTAAATTCCAACCTATAGAGGTAAACATTTCATCTCAGTTCAGAAACATTAAATGTAGTTGTTTCCTGTCCCAACTTCAGTTTATCACAATTTTAGCAAGCAGCTTTCAATTACAGCAGCTTATAAAGTTCTTATATTATGAGAGACTGATTTTCTCTTAATGTTCCCCAGGACAGAACAAAGCATCATCTGCCACAACTAAGCCCACTATCCAGTGTCACACCCATCTACTAATAAAGAAGTGCAGATATTCTAAAGTACAGAAAATGATACTTGTAGATATCAGTAGATGCAAAACTTTCATTTTTTTATTTGTAAAACCCGAAAATAGAATCATTTATCTCTTTACACATCCTCAGAGCTTTATACACTGTATTAAAATTTTGTATTCAGTACACCTCAAAATCCTCAAGAAGAGGAAGCAAATTACAATAAACAAAGCTCATGTGCCAAGTATAATTCTTACTCTGTTTCAAAGACTTTTTGAACAAGCGGAATATGATTCAGGGAACTCTGCATCTGAATTTTCACATATTCATCATGACACTAAAGAAGGTTGGAACAAACTAGAAATAGTGTCTTTCAAACCAAACCTGTGGTTCACTATCCATTCCTGCCAAAAAGCAGTAAGTTTTTCCAAAAAGATTTCTCAGTGTTATCAAATAAGAGATGGGATTATTTAAAGATGAAGACATCAGAAGAAACTATATGAAGTTAGCTCATAAATATCTCCTTACCTTCCTCAGGCTAGTATAGACTCAGAAATGAGTTTATCAGCAGAATGAAAAAATTTGCCCAAAAGTGTACTTGGGAATCAATGATAACACCACTGATGTACTTTGTGTATTGAAAGATCGCTTTTAAAATAAAGTCAAGTAATATTTACTTTTCAGTTTGTATGGTTAATTAATTTGGTCTTTTTATGAGGTGATCAGTGTGTTTTTAATAATATTTAAATTTCTATAAATTGTATCTACTAAAATTGCTTTAAATGAGAACACATTATATAATATCCATTGTTTTACTTTATATTTTAGTGTGCTCACTTTTTACATTAAAATGTTTTAAATGTCTTTCAATATTTTAAAATAAACATTGAAGGCCTTATTTTTTAATACTATGTAAAATAAATACCTAATTACCAGTATTGCCATTTTGCTAGGCTCTTGTAATCACTAGAATATGGGGTATTTTGTTTTTTCTAGCAGCTGCCTATCCACTAAAATATGTTATCATTCAAGTCACAGGTCACTATTATTAAATTCAACATAAATGCTGTAAACTTTTTTTTCCAGTACTTGGAAACATTGTTCACATTTTCTTGATTTTTTGAAAGTGATCTCACCACGAAAGTTAAATGAAGATTTATTAGTTCCTAATGAGCATTATATAATTTCCTTACAAAATGTAATAATTAACTTTACATGAAAATGATGATCAACTTCCCTGGATACCAAAAGAGTAAAATGCCATTTTAAGGCATTAGTTTGGCAAATATTTAACATGTGGATAATATCTACTGTTGGCCACCAGAGAGGGAATGTCACTGTCTCTTTTGATGCTGTTTTTTTTATTACGCATTACAATTAAGTGTGTGTAATCTTTGACCCAACATGATTATTTCAGGAAATATATCAGAAATACTAACACAGATTTTCTAGGACAGACGTATAAGTCAGTTTCCTGCAGTGTCATTGGGAGCAACTTATTAAACCATGTCAATTCATGCTACAGAATGGGCCTCACTCATTCACAGGGAAAAGGGGGATACACACAGTCATCTTATGTTATAAACAGAACAACCCAACACATTCTTCTTCTTGAGAACAATCCTCCCTCCTGGTATTTTGTTTATTTCTCTCCAAGTATGTTCTGGAGTGTAGGAAGTATAAGAGAAGTATAGAATCTTCAGTTGAATCTGAATGCACGTACTCCTGGGAGCTTAGAAGTTTACAGAGGGTTTCTGCTACTACCCTTAAATGATCGAGGACAGAGGGTATACCTGTTTTACCTATGCTGCATCTGGCATCATTTGCCATTCTCCAACATAAAAGCACACGAAATCTCCAATAATATTTAAAGAGTTCTTTAGTAACAAGATTTAACTGATTTCATAAAAGTTGAACATATTCAAGAAAAGGGGGGAAATTAGACTCTGTTCTTATGCTAACTACTGTTTCTTTTCACTACCTAATGAGCAAGTCTTCACAATCCAGGTCTTCTAGAAGTTTCTTAAGTGGATAGTTGCCAGGTTTTTGGAGGGTATCTCATATAGACCTTCTTTATTTTTTAATTTCCCCCTCTACCCCATTTAGTTCCATAACCCAATCTCAATAACCCATTGCTTGCTGTGAGAAAGCAGTCACCAACAGAAATTTTCTAGCCCATAAAGATGCTAATTTTGTGCTATAAAAAAAATAAGGAAACAAATATAGCGATGTTTGAAGATTAATCTTTTTCACAATATGAACTTAATAAGGAATGAATAAGTAAATTGACACACTTAAAAATCATAAAACTCCTCATTAAATCTGGATTTTCAGTTTTTTTCTTTTCTTTTTTTTTTTTGAGACAGTTTCGCTCTGTCGCCCAGGCTGGAGCACAGTGGCATGATCTCGGCTCACTGCAACCTCCCCTTCCCGGGTTTATGTCATTCTCCTTCTTCAGCCTCCCGAGTAGCTGGGGCCACAGGCGCCTGCCACCACACTTGGCTAATTTTTATATTTTTAGTAGAGACAGGTTTTCACCATGTTGGCCAGGCTGGTCTCGAACTCCTGACCTCAAGTGATCCGCCCACCTCAGCCTCCCAACCAATTTCTTTTGTAAAGCTGGAAGACAGGGCAACACTGGGCTACATACCTAAGTGGTGGTCATTATCTGGATTGCTTCAATTAGACAACATATATGTTCTCCAGCTTGCCATGATGCCAAAATAGCCTTATTTTTTTACACTTAGACTACATGTTCATATTTATTATTTCTTGCTTTACATATTGTAAAGTACCAATATCCCTATCAAAATCCCTATCAAAAGAAAGAAAGATAAAACAGTATGATCCTATGACTCATGAGAAAAAAACCTGAGGAAAAGATTTTTCAGATACCTAGATGGCTTCATTTGTATTATATGCCAGCCACCATCTCCACCTTCCTCCATGGACATTTGAGTTCATAAACCTTGCTTCAGGTAAGAGGGTCCCTCCTCTTTCCTTTTTCTCATGCCTATCAAGAAAAATAATCAAATTCTGGTTCCCATAATTCCTTTCTAGTATCCTGCAAATTTTAGAGCCTCAGGGAAATGTTTCTGTTCTGAATAAATTATATTCTACAATGTCCAGTTTGACGGCTGTTCTTCCAGGAGAATGTGAAAGCAAAATAGAAAATCTACCTTTAGGCTAAAAATAGCATCACCTCTGCCCCAACAAGTCAACCTCTTCTTTTGTTGTGGTTCTATATATAGTTTTTCAAAGACCTCCTTTTAATCCTTGGAGTTTCCTCTGAGCAGCCATTAATGCAGAAATTTATCATTATGATCACACTTATTATAAGGTATCTTACAGATATCATCACCCTTTCATCAGATCACATGCCCAACTCTACCTCTTCTCTAGCTGTTTCAAAAATAAAAAGGCAAACACATCCTTTATTCTTAGTCATATTATCTAAAACATCTTACCTGTAATAAGTGGAAGAGAAAATAATTTCTATGCCTCTCTGAAATACCAATAATTACTCAAGTTTGAGATGAAAACAACTTGCATTTATTTTTTACAAGCTTCCTCTTTTAAAATTATTTAATGTGCCACTGAAATAATAGCCATGGAGTCTGGGGGACTTGTCGTCTTCTGGCTGATGTGTTCATTGACAATGTTGAGGGTACCGGAATGCTTCAGGGAAATAAATACTTTCAAAACAGCCTCTCTTTAATATCTGTTTCAAGGGAGAAAGGGACATTGGTGATGCTGAGACGAGGAGATTTTTATTTCCATAATTTAGTTTGAGTGTCTCAAAGCAGTTAGTTTGATTTTTCTTACATTGCGGACCACAGGTGTTTCCCATTAAGACAAGCAAGCTGACTTTAACGGAATCCAGCAGAGCAGTGGGCACAGAATGCCTTCTGTGAACTGCCAATAATTATTTGTCCTGGCTTTGTTTTTGGAGATTCTACTTAAATTGGTTCAAAAGCTGGTAATCTGTTTCATCCCTAAAGATTAACCCCCTAAAAAAAAAAATAAGTTTGCTTCCAGGTAATTGGACTGAATGAAAGAGCTCTCTTAATATCGCTGTTAAATTAAAGAATGATTTTTAAAGTGTGATAAAGGCTTTGACATACTGAAAGCCTATCTCTACTAGAAATACAAAAATTATCCAGGTGTGGTGGCATGCACCTGTAGTCCCAGCTACTTGGGAGGCGGAGGCAGGAGAATCGCTTGATCCTTGGAAGCAGAGGTTGCAGTGAGCCAAGACCATGACACTGCACTCCAGCCTGGGCGACAGGGTGAGACTCCATCTCAAAAAATAAATAAATGAAATAAAAACAAAAAGAGGCTTCGGAAGAGCACTCAATATGCAGCACTGCTAATAAAATAGCTTCATCAATTATCTCAGTCTTTTCAGCAGACAATGGGATGAGTAATACATCTAAACTGGCTAGCACCTAAATGCTTATATTGTAAAACATGCTGACTGCTGTGTCTGCTCTGGAATACGAATTTAAACTTAAGGCATCATTTACAAACTTATTGTAATTTGCAGTCATGTGAACCAAGATGTACTTTTTAAAACCTGCATCTCAGAAATCCAGTGGTCCTCATGTGATCATAGTCTCTTCTCAAAGAATAGACAAATGGACACACTTCAACATTCATTGTGGGTATGGTCAGCCAATGCCAGGTGGATTACAATACACAACAAAGTATTTTATTCTAGCCCACCTCACCCTTTCTTCTTTAAATTACATTGCTTGGCTTCTTCTATAATGAGCTTGGGTGAACTTTCCCTCTTTAAACATAAAGTAAATCTGTACTCATTAGCTATCTCAGAAAAGAGAGCAGATCTAACATACTAACAGACAATCTGGCTAGTGTAACTTATCAAATTAGCTGTTGGAAGATAGACATTTTATTATTTATTTATGTATTTGTTTGTTTATTTGTTTGTTTTTATTTTTTGAGATGGAGTTTCGCTCTGTTGCCCAGGCTGGGGTGCAGTGGCGCAGTCTCGGCTCACCGCAACCCCCACCTCCCAGGTTTGAGCAATTCTCCTGTCTGAGCCTCTGGAATTGCTGGGACTACAGGAGTGTGCCACCATGCCCGGCTAAGGATAGCCATTTTAAATTTTAGGTCTTGAAGAGTCTGATGAAGACATCAGAATGAGATAATTTATTATAAAATTACATTATTACATTAACCTCTATGCACACAAACTAGAAAGCCTAGAAGAGATGGACAAATTCCTGGACACATACATCCTCCCAAGACTGAATCAGGGAAAAATTAATTTCCTGAACAGACCAATAACGAGCTCCAGAATAGAATAAGTGATGAATAGCCTAGCAACCAAAAAATGGCCAGGACCAGATGGATTCACAGCCAAATTCTACCAGATGTACAAAGAGCTGGTACCATCCCTACTGAAACATTTCAAAAAATTGAGGAGGAGGGACTCCTCCCCAACTCATCCTATGAGGCAAGCATCATCCTGATACCAAAACCTGGTAGAGACATCAGAAAAACAAAAAAAAATCCTCTTCAGGCCAGTATTCTTGATAAATATTGATGCAAAAATTCTCAACAAAATACTTGCAAGCCAAATCCAGCAGCACATCAAAAAGCTTATCCACCACAATCAAATAGGCTTCATCCCCAGGATTCAAGGTTAGTTCAACATACACAAATCCATAAATGTGATTTATCACATGAACAGAGAAAAAGACATAAAACACATGATTATCTCAATAGATACAGAAAATGCTTTCAGTAGAATTCAACATTCCTTCGTGTTAAAAACTCTCAATAAACTAGGTATCAAAGGAACATACAACAAAATAATAACAGCCATCTATGACAAACTCACAGCCAATATCATACTGAATGGGGAAAAGCTGGAAGCATTTTCCTTGAAAACTGGCACAAGACAAGGATGCCTTCTCTCAGCACTCCTATTCAACATAGTATTAGAAGTCCTGGCCAGAGCAATCAGGCAAGATAAAGAAATAAAGGGCAGCATCCAAATAGGAAGAGAGGAAGTCAACTATCCCTGTTTGCAGATGACATGATTCTGTATTTAGAAAACTCCATAGTCTTGGCCCGAAAGCTCCTTCAGCTGATAAATAACTTCAGCAAATTTCAGGATATTTTAACATTATTCTTTAGTTATATTTTTTGCTTATATATTTTTACTAACATAAACAACCAATATAGAAGTATTAAAATGGCATTCATGCGTACAAGTTTAGTTTGAAAGCATGTGTTTGAATCCAAGAAAATTAATATATATTTTCATAAAAACTAAGAAAATAAAAATCAATTTAGAATTCAAATTAAAAAGAAGACATGCTCTGCTCTAATTCAGATGCTAGTATTTATTTTATAATATGTAGTCCACAAGAATGTCTAAGAGGCCATAGGACACCAGGATATGTAGGAAGATAGACAGAAAATACCTAAGGATCTTAAGTAAGTTTATTTTTCAGATCCAGGAAAACTCCCAGGAGGCTTAGAATTAGCAAGGTTATTGCAAACTACTGCAAATAATCTATGAATAATCATAAGGAATGGGAGTTTTATATATATATATATATGTGTATTTATATTTATAGGCAGATGTCCAATATTTTAAAAACAAGGGGGAAACAGGATTCTAGGAATTATGGGCAACTATACTTATTATGATTTGGTGAAAAAATATTATGATATAATTATCAGGCAAATGTACAGTATTTGTGTACACTAAGAATATAAGGAAGTAATTAATAAGAATCAGGGATGTTTGGAAGAATACGTCACACTAGGTTAACAATATTTTCTTTTTAATAGAGTTACTAGTGTGTAGTCCAATGAATACTGGAGAATACTTAATTAGTTTTTGACAAGAAATCCTCTGTTATTTTTTATATAATTCTTAGTGATAAGATAGATTTAGACTGTATGAACATGGTCATCAATGACTTTAACATCTAATTCCACTGTCTTTCTTTATCCTATATTTACAATGCATGACTTCAGATGCTCTTGACTTCATATGTTTTTCCTTTCAGCTATGTCTGCAATGACCAACTCTGTATGAGTATGTGTACATTCCTTTGGGTCTGTAACACACTCCTATCTCTCACACTAGAATTTTTCTGTGGCCTTCACCTTGTGGGATGCTATAAAGATTGATTTGTGACCCAAACAGACACAACCCAAAATTTCAGAGGATTAACCTGTATGAGGCAAAACATTAACCACTGGGCAATAGGAACCAATGAGAAAAGGCTCACAGGTGGTCCTGAGAGGCATTTCAGACAGTATCTCACACTTTCACAAAATTGAGGCATTATTCACCCACAGCATAGTCAACCTAATTATACATCCTCATATTGGTTCTCCTTTCTTCTCTGCTTCATAGCCCTTTCTTCCCTCCAAAACCTTTCACCTTTCTAGTTCTCACTTTTTCCCTTTTGTCTCCTAGTTTGATCACTTGAGTTGTACTCAATATCTGGATCTTTCCTTTCAGCATATACACATTTCCAAATTTCTCTCACCCAAAAGAAAAAATGAAAAATAAAAAATAACACGGTTTGATAGCATATTTCTATCTCATTATTGTCCTTTTCCTTTTTCATCAAGAATCTCAAAAGAGTAGCCCGCATTTAAGTTCTTACACCTTCACCTTCTACCTACTCATTAGCCAGCAACAATCTTGCTCTGACTCCAGCACATCTCTAAAACTCTGCTAACACTATCAAGGACATCTAATTGCTAAGTAAAATAGACACTTTCAAGCTCTCTTACTTGACTTTTTGCTGCTTTGGCACTGTCGAGAAAAGTTCTTAAGACTCTGTTTTAGTTTTCTTTGGACACCATCCTTTTTTGTTGTTTTTGATATTTTTAATATTCCTGAAAGCTCCTTTGCGGGTCCTGTGTTGTATTTCTTATCTGTCTGCTTTTCTGATGTTATCGCTTTTAAATTTGCATAACTTTCCTTCTTCTCCAATGCCAATGTCATTCACTTTTCTAGTTTCAGAACCTATTTGATCTATGTAGGCACCCAATGCTCTCTTTAGGATTGGCTTGCTGGAAGATTTTGACATCATTCATCTCTCTAGATGACCTACAGGCAACTCCAGTTTAATGTGTTCAAAACTACATCCCTAATTTTCCCCCTACCCAGTCACAAAAGCTCTCTCTTCCCATCCTTTCCCATCTCATTTTTTTTGCCTACCATCAAACAAATCAACCCCTTCAGAATCATTGGGATCTTTGTGTCTTTTTTCTCTCATAATCCAACTAAAGACCTACAGATTGATCTTTTAAGTAGTTATTGACCACATCTCCATTGCCACTTCCCTAAAAGTACCTTACTTTCTTACACTGTATACCTTATCATGATACATTTTATAAGAAAGGAGTTAAGTATACTTATTATATCTATCACTTTTTCTAAGGCAAACTGTTCTTATAAAGGGGGAGCTCTGTGCAGTGATATACATGATCTTGTTTCCTCTGACTATAATTGATTTGACTTAGTGAGAGTATACAACCTCAGTGCAAAAAATGCCACACATACACATAAGGGGGTTTTATGTGGAAAGCTACATTCAAACTGACTCATGCAGATTATCATTGTAAAGCAATTGAAGAATATGAAGAGAATCAGTCAGTAAGCTATTGTATTAGTCCATATTCATACTGCTGTGAAGAAATACCAGAGATTGGGTAATTATAAAGAAAAAGAGGTTTAATTGACTCACAGTTCCAGATGGCTGGGGAGGTCTCACAATCATGGCGGAAGGTGAAGGAGGAGCAAAGGCTTGTCTTACATGGTGGCAAGCAAGAGAGCATGTGCAGGGGAACTGAGCTTTATGAAACCATGAGATCTCATGAGACTTATTCACTATCACAAGAACAGCACAGGAAAAACCCGCCCCCACGATTCAATTACCTCCCACCAGCCCCTCCCATGACACGTGGTATATTAGTCCATTCTCATGCTGCTAATAAAGACATACTTGAGACTGGATAATTTATAAAGGAAAGAGGTTTGATTGACTCACAGTTCCACATGGCTGGGGAGGCCTCACAATCATGGGAGAAGATGAAAGAAAAGCAAAGGGACATCTTATATGGTGGCAGGCAAGACACAGTGTGTGTCCGGGAGAACTTCCCTTTATAAAACCATCATATCTCATGAGACTTATTCGCTATCATGAGAACAGCACGGGAAAACCCACCCCCATGATTCAATTACCTCTTGCCAGATCCCTCCCAAGACACGTGGGGATTATGGGAGCTATAGTTCAAGATGAGATATTGGTGGGGACACAGCCAAACCATATCAGCTATAGAAGCAAAACCTAAAAGATTATCAATATAGAAAAAACCTAAGATGTCATGATGGACTATTACTAAGCTAAAGCTTTGAGTGGACCAATGTTAAAAAAAAATGGAGAAATCGTGAGGCAGTGGATAAAGAGAGTGGAAGGTGATAAAACCTCTAGAGGCAAGAATAGACATACTGAGATATATATTGAACAAAACACTGAAGAAAATTTGAGTTATTAAGTGAAGCATTTCAGTGAACCCCTGGAAAATTTTGCCACTGAGAACTATCATAGTATCAATTACAGTTCCTGTTCTTACATGTATAACCATGTAATAAACCCCAATTACTTAAACTAGACTTTGTATCTTATAAGCAGATATGTCTAGCCACAGTACATTCTTCACTGGCCTGACAATCTCTAGTTTCTCACTTCCATATCCAGCATTTAACACTGTTGTAGACAAAATGTTGTAACAAGACAAAAATCTAAGTTCCTAAGCATGGCATCCATGGTCTTCTAGTCTGACCTTTGCTTAGCTCTTCAGACTCTTGCCCTCTTCAGACTTTCTTCTAACCTTCCCTTCCTAATTCATATACAAGTATCACCACATTCCAAATAGTTTCCTTGTTCCACCATGCTCATTCACCACAGTGTGCTTTTGCTTCTTTTGTCCACCATTACTAGATTATTCAATTCCTTTTTCTCCCAGAGTACTTTATTAATCTTTCAAAACACAGTTTACATGTAACTGAATTTAGCCCTTCCCTAGCATCCTGGGCATAAATACTTTATAATGCATACCATATTGTATTTAAATTAGTAGTCTTCCTCCATCTCTGTCTCCATCACTAGAATGTGATCTAGTGATCTAACTTATTTATCCCAGAGAAAAGCATAAAAGATGACATGCATAAAACAATCAGTAAATCTTTCTTCCTACAAATTATGAACAGTAAAGTATACACAGAGGGAGGTGAAAAAATAACTTCTCTGGTATCAACCTGATGGAGATCTTTAGTGGACTGCCACCAGACTGGGTATCCCTTTCTGAGTCTGTTTAACATTTTAATCGTTTAATATCAGCAATTTTCTAACATAGTTCTTCTGGGTCCTAACTTCCAGGAAACGACTCAGAAGCTTCCCTATGTGTAGATCGCTGACCTTATTCTAGATAAAAACAAACCTATTTCTAATCTCCTGATCTCATGACCCACCACTTTCCCTTGTATTCAAACATGTCACCATCTCTAGAATACACATTATGCTTCCTTTTGTTTTACAATCTTCTTTGTCTTAAGTGTTCTTTTTCTCATTCTTATTTATCAAAATCTTGCTGGCTTTTAAAACTTTCACTGATAAAGCAGTGCTGTAGATTATGCATTAGCTTTCTAGTTGGACAGCACTGCTTAACTCCTAAATTCACCACTTCATAACTAACTATGCAATTACTGGCAAGCTATTTAACCCTCCCGGCCTTATTTTCTCATATTTGTGAAATGGAAATAATATCTTCTTCAAATATTTTTTGTGAGTATTAATGAGGTCATTTATTTCAAAAGCATTTGGAAATTTGTCCCTTAACTTTCCTCTTGTGAATTTTCACCACACTTTATATTTCCCACATATTGCATTTCCATCTGTGATTTATAAGAGTTCCTATGTACATGATTTAAAGCTTCTATTAGTGAATAATTTGGAGGATGAGATGGGGAGGTAAGATACAGTTTATCAGTCTTTATTTATTTATCTATTTATTTACTGACATGGAGTCTCACTCACTCTGTTGCCCCAGCTAGAATGCAGTGGCATGATCTAACCTCACTGCAACCTCTGCCTCCCAGGTTCAAGCGATTCTCATGCCTCAGTCTCCTGAGTAGCTGGGATTACAGGCATGCACCACTATGCCTGGCTAATTTTTGTATTTTTAGTAGAGACAGGGTTTTACCATGTTGGCCAGGTTGGTCTTGAACTCCTGACCTCAAGTGATCCGCCCACCTCAGCCTAATCTTTATTTTTTATAGTATTTCACCTAGCAGGTTTAGTCACATAAACTAAAAATTAAATATACAATACATGGTTAAAGATTCAAAAGAAATTTTTATCAAATTTGTAAATAATATGAAGTTGAAGAAAGGGCTGAGCTGTATAACCAAATCAAGATTCAAAATATCTCAATGTGTTGAAATTAGAGTTTAACATGTCTATGCATAAATGAGTCCTGACTTTTTACAAGGATTGTCAGCAATTTGGAGGAGAAATATCTAAGTGTTTTATTTACTTTTATCTTACAAATAGCCAGTTTTACATTAAGTCCATAAAATAACGAATATGAAATAGCTTAAGTTAATTCAATTATATAGACATATGATGAAGTTTACAGACTGTATGTACTTTGTCTTATTCATATTACACATGGAGCAGGCTGTTCTATTTTGGAAGCCTCTTAACTGAACTGGAAAATTTGCAAGGAAGGGCAGCTGGAATTGTGAAGGCTCTGTAAAAGTATGTGTTCTACAGCTTAGCGAAAGAAACTGGGGTTGTCTAGTTTGAAGGATCCAACAGAAAGAACATGATAACTAACTGCAAGTATTTGAGTGGTTGTCATTTGCAAGATATTTGACTTAGTTTCTGGGATTCTCAATGACAGAATTATACCATTGGAGAGAAGATGCAGAGAGGCAGACATTGACTAAATATGAAAAAGAACTTTAAAACTTTTAGAGATGACAATAAATATAATGGACTTCCCCCAAAATGAGTAGGTTCTTATGAACTAAGAGGTTGAGATTAGTTAAGTGCCTAATAAGAATAAAAAGTTTCTTCCTTTAAGTAAGTCAAACAATATCTGATGATTCTTTGAACACTGAGTTTCAATAATCTATACAAACTAGATTTAAGAATTTTGAAATTCATTAAATACTCTTCTAAATTAAAATTTCAAAAATAAATATATTAGAAAAATGTTTACCAAATGTCCCTTAATACAAATAAGTTAAGAAATTAACTTGAAGGCAAGACAAGAAAATAACTTGGATTTATGCAAGCAAGGATTTTAAAAAGTTATTTGCAACCTTGAAAAACAAAAATGAGCTATGTTTAGAAAACATTAAAATAATTGGTTCCATGTCTGTTATAGTTCTTATGTGTCCATTAACCTAATAAACTCTGAAATCTAGTAATTAACTGACCCCGGAAGTCACAGGCCAATGAATAAACGAACTTTTCAAGATTAAAAAAAAAGTCATTGATTTATACTCACTGTGCCCATCCTTAGGAAATGCATTTATACCTTGAATTTTGCATGAAGTTGTCCGAATTACACAATTAGGCAATATGCATTTAGCTACAGTCAACAGAGTTCTGATTTGACTGCCAATTAGGAATGCATGTTGACTATCACTTAAGCGAAATACGATGTGGAGGGTAAAAGATTACCTCATCAAGTCTCCATCCATCTTTTATCTAACAGATTCACACATACATTCAGTATGCAATTAAATCACAAGACACTACACACAATGTGACCTCCACGGAAAGTATCAGTGTATATATTCATTTCCTAGTTGACAAGCAGTACAGTTATTTTACAGAACTTCAGTGGTGTGCAATTTCAAGATTACTACAGAATCACGCAGGATAAAAACTTCCAGTAGCTCTGATTTAATAAAGGGAGAAAGAAGAAAGGAAGAGAGGGAGGGAAGAAAAAAAGAAAAAGAGAGAAAAAAAGGAAAAGAAACGAAAGGAGAGGAGAGAAGAGGGAAGGAAGGAAGGAAGGAAGGAAGGAAGGAAGGAGAGAAAGAAAAAATGAGGGTTGAAATACTTGATTGAGGAACAGGTGAGGTTAAAAAAAGACTGAAGAATTACTGAACTCATTTTGACATGTTTTAAATAATGGCTGGAAAATACAAGGGCACGTGCAGTGCAGTTAAATCTTTCCCACTCTTTAATAGAGGGGATACAAAGGTCACTGCTGTGCAAAGAGAATTGACTAATCCCTTCAATGCATGGTGTGTCCAGTACCTCTTTTATTTAATTTTGTAGAGGAAAGCTGGTCTGAATTAGGCCTTCAATAATTATCGCAGGAACCTGACACAAATTTTAACAAGCCCCATAATGGCCTATCTATATATTCAGGCCAATTATTACATACTGACTCAAGCAGTTGGGCAGCAGATATTGTGCCGTTCACTCAGAACCCCTTTTGAATCATTTTACATTTCACACAATGCAAAAGAAAACAGCCACGTAAATTACAGAAATAAGCAGAATACCCCCCAAGGGAAAGCAAGCTGATTCTTAATGCTACGTCTAAGTGAAATGTGAATGATTTCATCTTTGAAACCTGAAATTGTGCTTGAAGTTGCAATTATACTCTTTCTGGCATGATAAGCTATTATAGAAAGAAATGTAATATGTCTTTAAAAAGCACAAGAACAGGAGACAGAGTTACAAGTAAGACCCAGATGAGCCTCTTCTTCCAAGAATGACAGCAAAGTTATAAAGGAATAGATGCCGTCTCTCTGGAAAAGTATGCAAAGTAAGAAGTGATTGGTACAGCTTTAATTCCTGCCACACTATTTTCAAAAATTCCAAGGACAGGACAACCTGACATTTAACTCTTTCTCCTCAATTACGGTAAGAGTGCTTAAGTAACATACATGTATTAGTGTTTAATGTACCCATGGTGTAACCCCAAACCCAGGACATCTTGTTACAAGGCCTATCAAATATGTCTTTCGCATCAGTAGCTAGGGCACAAATATTTCTGCCTTCTGATTTCGAGAAGATATTCTTTTTTTTTATTCTGCTTGCTTATTCATTACTAGAAGGTTAATGTTAAGGTGATAGTTTTACTCCTTTAGATCAAATTCTTTCCACAGCTCTTGCCTAAATTTCCTATACAGATTTTATTAAAATATGTGAAAATGGAATCTGTTAAACATGACCTGTATATGACCTTAAGCATAAAGGAAATCAAAACCATTTCCCTTCTTTTTTGTTACCAGTTTTTCATCCCCTACTTAACTAGCTGTTTCAAAATGTGCTTTTCCTTCCCTACAAAACACATCTTTATGTCAAAAATGATGAAAATACTGTAATGCTAAAAGAATACAGAAGCTCACTAGCAGGGTTTATTTACTGCTCGACACATGTTTCTCTTACTTTTGTTTTGTAAATCTTATAGATTTAAAATAAACTACTAGACGGGGATGAGAGGTTGCAGTTCTGTATCTATAAATAATGCAGCTTAGTAAATGCAAATGTTTCTTGTAGTCCAATGTTTCAAGGAGTAATTTTTGCAGCTCTTTTGGGAGAAAGTGGTTTTATATATTTTATTTTGTTTTTTAGCTCCATAATTTAAGTTTTATAGAAAAATATTTATAAGTTAAACCCCATATGTCTGACTTGCAGAAGAAATACACTAAATACTGTGTATTCGGAGAAGAGCATTGAAATCAGGGTGCAGATGTGCTTACGATTTACTCTCAGCTTGCAAGTATTAAGAAAAAACAGCCTCTGGGGGTAATGCAATCACTTTCATGGTACTTCTATCCTAGAAAAATAGTTCTTAGATTTAATCTATGCAATCCAATCAAAACCATACATCTACATAGAGCTTTTAAAAATATGTTCCTTGGACAGTTTTTATAGAAAAATTTACTAAAAGCTTGACTACACTGAAAAAAATTCATGTTAGATCTGGGTAGGAAACAACCTTGAATAATTTCTACTGAACTTTACAAAACACAAATGCAGCATAGAGAAAGGTTTAGTCTCCAAAATCTCTGTTCATTTCTAGGTAAGTACTTTTTCTTTTGCTTATTTTCGGGTCTTCTCCCCCCACCACCGCCCCCCACCCCCAACACACACACACACACAAAATTTGTTGCTGCTGTTAAAAAGAACCTTGCCACAAATTCAGTTACTTAGAAGCTCCAAGGTGAATTGACTGAAACTCGAATACAATTTTACTGACAGCCACATAACTCAGTACAAAATGGGGCCTTCTGGTATTTTCTTTTCTGTAAGAAAATAAACAAAAAAATGTGCAGAACTAGTCAAAACAGAATTACAATAGATGATGGCATTGGGGGTGAGAAGGAAGGAAAGAAGGAATAAAAGAAAAAAATTTTTAAAGACAGAAGGGAAAGGAACGAAAGGAATGAAAAGGGAACAGAGGAAAAAATAAAGCAAAATTAGCCAAAAAAAAAAAAAAAAGCTTTCTTTTTTGTTTGGTTGGGTTTTCTGGATCACTGAAAATCCTTACCATCTATGTTATCTCAGGTAGAGACAGGTGTGTAAAAAATATTTTTGTTTTGGATTCTTGTTAGTCATTTTTGTAAAGAAAGAGGAAGGAAAAATATTTTTACAGAGACATATACCTCTGTAGACAGAACTAGAAATACTAAAACAAAACAAAAGGCAATGGTTTAAATTCTCTTCTAACAAATGGAAAGAGTTCTGAAATTCATTGCTTCAATGCAGTGTGGCTTGCACTCACAGTACAGCATGCAAAGTGGGCATAGCAGACCACTTGGTGTGTGGATCGTCCTTCGAGGACAGCAGAGAGCATCTAGCTGTCAGCAACGTCAGGTTCTGCTGCAAAATGTTACCTTGCTGGAAGTTCTGCCCTGCTTTCCAGAGCAACCCTCATGTGGTGGTTGAGTGAGGTGGAGTATAAAGGCCCAGCCAGTTCTACCTGAGGGTGAATGCCCTGCCTTGCAATATTTACTTCCAGTGTGGTAGAGACTTTGTTGGCTGGCACTGTAGTTCACCTTCTTCGTCTGCGCCAAACTGCTTCTTCCTTCTTCCCTTCACAGATGGGAATTTTATAGCTATCTTGCCCCACAGGCTCCATTTTAGCCTCCTCTTCCAATGAATCCAACCTACAACAGCTACTAAGCTAAGTTTTAGAAACACTAAATTATGAAATACAAATTATGATTTTTAACACTCACTGAGAACATACTGTTTCAGGGACTAAGCAAAGCACTATTGCTTTCCATTTTCACCTTGCATTGTCATTAACTTCCCACCACCCAATTAGGTACACATTTTATACCTATTTTATAGATGAAGAAATCATGGCAGATAAATTCATAAAGTCTATAAAGGAATAAAGCTTAGAATCAGATTGTGGCAGTCTAACTCAATAACCTATGTTATTAATGTTTTAACATGCTATGATTATTCAAAAACAGACAAAAATCAACTTTTATATACATGCTTCCAAACAGCCAGACAAAAATTTGGAGAATTCCATAACTCAAATATCTTCATGTCTGATTCTATGTAGCTGGGACTTTTGCATAAACAATATAAAATTTTAATTTTCATCAGCATGTTTTACGATGAAAAATTTAACAAATATTTGTTTACAAATTGCTGCAAACAAGCACCATGCTAGGTATTGAGAATACAGAAATAGAAAAAAAAATAATTGTGGCCTTTGAAAAGCAAAATTCTTACAGTAAAAGAGGAATGCAAACCAATAATTTTAGCTCAATGTACTAGGTGCTCAAGTGAAGAGACAAGATACAGCAAGTTCATAAAAGAAGGAAGTGATAGCTCTTTTGGGAGACGCTAAAGACTGATTTTATACAGGACACATGCTTAAGACTTGAACGTAGGGAATGCCTCCTGACAAAGGCATGGTATAGAAAAAGGCAAGTTAGCCGTCTGGAGCATAGTATGTTCTCTGACAACTAGGTAAAATTTTTTCTTGTGAGTTTCCTTGATGGCTCAACCACCTATACTATAACTCTTTCTGCAACCATCTGCTTTTCTTTCTGGTTCTAGATGGACCTTGGGCAATACTGGCTCCATTTTAATTTTATATCTTTTTTGCCCCTCCCTTGAAGAAATAGCAGAATAATATTCCCTCATTCTGTACCACATTTAAACCTCTAACGTGAAGTATCAAAAGAAAACAACCTTGACCACACCCTGCTCTCCTCACTCACAAGCACCCAGACACACTAGAGAATCCAGCTATGTGCTTATCAGTATTCACAATTTTCTTACTGGGATCAGTTACCATTCTTTACTGTTTTTGCTTAACTCTAGGTCTTCCCCACTAGACTACAAAATGTATTTGGCAGGGAAGTTCTCTAGCTTGCTCACACTGATAGCATTACCAGTGTTGGGAACTTAGTAGGCATTTAATACATATGTGTTAAATAAAGGAATAAACGAAGGCACTGTTCACTATCATTTATTTATAAAAACAAATATTTATGGAGTATTTACTAGATTCCAGTCAATATGCTAAACTATACGAACAAAAACTGATGGAGGTAGCCATTGCCTTAAGAAATAAATAATCTAATAGATGAAACGTAGGTGTGCAATAACTATTGCTTACATGCCTACTAATAAGCATAAAGGACTTGGGGCATCTAGAAGGTCTAAGACTAGAGGTGGGATGACTAGATAAAAATATGAAACCGGTGATTCAATTAAATGAAATAGTTTTATAATAAAAGATGTTTTCCAACATATCCAGCTTAAACTTTTATAAAGAGAGAAATATGAGGACCCTTCCACAGGGTATAATGGAAAGAGAGTGGACTGTGGAATAGGTTAAACTTGATTTAAAATTTTAATCCTGCCATTTAGTAACTCTATGACTTCGAAATGTTAACTTAAGTATATGTCATCAATTTTCCCATTTGTTTTATTAATCAGGCCAATAATTACCATTCCCAGAGTTTTTTGTAAGGATTGCCTGAAATTTTATATGTAAAATACTTAGCATACTTCCTGGGGCATAGTAATGATAGCTGTTCAACTAATGCTGGTTTTCTTTGTCAATTTGTAGGCTAATCTAACTCTAGAACCCATCAATGAAACTGTCTTTATAAACTTTATAATTAATCATGGAAGGAGGAAAGGAGAGAAACAAAAATAAACCAAGATTGCAGCACGTTCAGGTCAGCCTGCTCTCTGACTTGCTTCCTCATAGTTGTTTGTTTACTGCCTATTGCCCCAGAATCATGTAGACCCTATTACAAAATTATAGTTCCCTTCAACTTCTCTCTAGATAACATCTTAAACATTTTGAAACTGTTTTTTCATTTGAGATATTCTTTCAGGTCTTGCATACAGGTGAAACCACTGACACCAGCCGGTCTGAAGGATCCCAAAAGGAACTGACTTACCAAGGAATTCAGTTTCTATATCCTGATGATTTTATCCCCCTTATCATAACCAAGCAATAACCCCAATTTTCCAGCCCCTTGTAATACCCTTAAAAATTGCATCCAAGAACTCCATTTGAAGATGAATTTGAGGGTTCCTCCCATGTCCTCGGTCAGCCGTCCTGCAATCATTAAACTCTTTCTCTGCCGTAAACTATGCTGTCTCCATGTATTGGTCTGTTACTGTACAGCAGGTATACAAACTTATTGGTCTTGTTATATTGGTATAAGTACAACTTTGTCACCCCAAACTATCTTCTCTCCTGCCATGCAAAATTGAAATTATGTCTGTGATGACACCTACAGTTTCAGGAGACCTTGCCTTGTAAATTAGGGACTAAAGTGACTTTATAATAATGCCTTCTAATGCTATAGTTAGATTATATGCATTTTCTTATATGTTGATATAAATGCCAAATAACTTATTTTACTTATGGTTCTCAACATAAGATGTTTTTATTATTGTTGTTACAATTTCACTATCTAATAAAAGGCTAAATAGTGATAGCTAACTCTTCAAAGATGAATTAAAATTAACAAATGAGTATTCCACATTTTCTCATCTATTTGTATCTGGTAGAGAGAACACAGATCTTATCTAGTCAACTGGTTCCCTAGTTACCTAATGTTCCAATGTGAGAGTCTGCAGCAAAGTATTTTAAAAATTAGGAAGAAGAAACATATCTAATTCAATAAGGGCATTGCAGTGAGTGCAAGAGTTATGTTGAAATGCACGGCTTGTGAGATACGTTGTTAAAGCCATTTTATTTTTATCCCTTCATTCCTTTTAACATGATTCTACGGGCCCTGTTCTCCTGCCCACTTGCTTACACTTAGTTAGTAAAAACAATTTTTTGACCATAATAATCTACAGATGTAAGAATAAAAACTTCACATTTTATTTGAAGAGAGGTCCTCCTTCTCCTGACCATCGTGAACCTGACTCACACTGAGCACCTGCATTGAAGGTGTAGAATGTAACTGTCATTTTCTTCTTCTATTCCTTGGTTTTTTTACCCCTTCTTCCTCCATTTTGCTCACCGAGAATTTCTAACTTAGATTTATGGGGAGGGGAACCAGAAGAAAACAATAAAGAAGTTCTTTGTAGTTAAATCTACCATGATCCATAACTGGAGTCTGTTCCAGAGGTCAGTCAGATGTTTAGATTGACCTCTTTAATGTGGAATAGTCACATATTTCCTTAGACATTTTTATCCTTAACAAATTCTTACTTGCCGTTCCCTTAATGAGGGAAAATGTATCCCTTCCTGCTCCTGATTTTGGCACTTTCATCAGCCCCTTATCTTACTCTATGATGTTGGAATCACAGGCAGTCCCCTGAATAGGACTTAAGATGGCCTGTGTTGGCTTTTTCACATCTGTGATTGTGTATTCTCATAGAGCCTGTATGTGATCCATGGGAAGTCTACACTTTATTTGCCTCATGGAGGTCACATGTTGCCCAGAGAGAGCACTTGTCTATTGTTCTGCTTTTCTTTTGATGTCCCAGACATTCACAATCAGCAGTACATTATGGATCCCAAGCTCCAGGGTACATATTTCAAACTCAAAGTGGTTCTGTAGAACATTCTTTCACCAATGTTTTTGGGAGTGAGAAACAGACACCTACACCCTCAAAACCTCCTATTTGAGGAAATCAACTGGGACTTAAAAGCATAGCTTTTTCCAGAAATTCCTTTATTGTCTCCACTTTTAATATTTTTAGTCTTTTAAAATGGTAGAGAATATTTGGATTCATAAAATTGGTTTCCATAATTTCTTTTGCAAATCCTTCATAGTGGTCTCATAACTCAACTTAGAATGTGGCATCAATTGTCTTGAGTCCTCAGCTGAAACTGATACTAATGTATATCTATTTTATTATACTGTCACAAGTTTTTCATAAAGTTAAATTTATCTAAGAAAACTGCTTCTCTTTATTTTGAGATTATGTCTGTCTTCCTTTTTTGTGGTATACAAATTTATCTTTTTGTAAAATCCTAGTGATCGTGTATTGTGGTTTTTATAATGTGTTTCCTTGATAAAATAAAGATTTGACCACTGATCATGTTGTCCTTTATATGATTTTTAATTTACAGGTTGATTTCCAAATGCCTTGAAATTATTACTCTGGTTTAGCTCCTTCATTTTTTAAAAACTAAGGAAAGTAAAAAAACCTGAAGTGAGGAAGTGAAAATTCTCAAGCAACCTTAATTAAATATTCAGGACTAGTAAAAGGAACATAGTTCTTCTGGCTCTATGCCCAGTGCTCTTTCCACTACTAACATTTATTTATTTTTTAAAAACATAAAATGAATAGATAGAAGTTCATTACAAAAGAGAAATCCTGAAAAATAATGCTAATAATTCTACAAATAAAAGGACAGAGCACCTTCCTCACATTCAGTCATTAATCTTCAAATCAGCTTACTGAGATAAGCACAGTTATTATCCCCACTGCACACTGAGAAAACTGAGGCCCAGAGTTGTTTTGCAGGTTCCCCCATGGCCACAAAACTCATGTTACCATTAACCTTACTAAAATTTACAGCAAACTGCTGATTAAGAACTGGCTATACTTAATCTGAAAGTCATTTCCATTTATCAAAATAAAACTATATGAAGTTAGCTTCATTAGATAATAGAAAGATGGAATAAAAAAGCAAAGAAAAAAACTAATGACTGATTACAATGTAAAGACACTTATGAAATTTAATTATAGGAATACAAGAGGAATCAGAAAAATATCAATGAATTATCAGCAAAATATCAATATGGGAACATAGTCTACTGATGAAATTTTTATCATAATAATTTTGTATTTCTCTATTCTTTTTCTAAAATCCCTAGATATTTTTAAAGCATACCATGTGTTAAACTTAACATACTTATGATGTAAGATTTAAGAGTCAGATGATATCTCCATCAAAGGCTTCATATATTAGGAGTTCATTATAGTCTACTTACAGTTTGTACTGAGCTTCCAAATTATAAAAATACATGCTTCTAAAATATTTTAAGTCAGTTGGTAAAATAGGAGGCAGTCACATAATCAGGTTCATGGTTTCTACTGTGCATGGTTTTTTCTTTCTCCTCTTTTTATCAAGAGCATAACAACTCGATCTTAAACACTGACACTATGCAGGCTTTGTTGGACTGCTCTTTTCCAATTTAAACAAAACATAAAACAGAGGAGATATTTATCTTTGAAGAGTGGCTCTCACCATTGGGACAGTGCCTTATTCTCTGTTACTCTCCAGGAATTCTAGATGTAGACAAAAATATATAGCAGGGCTTGAACAACATATTTCAGTGAAAAGAATTAATTTCCCAAAGAGTCAAAGATTGCTTGGAGCAGAATGACAGATTTCAGGAAGCTTTCCTGTAGAGTTACAGTGCTGAGAAACTGACTCCATATTGAGAAGATAGTCCCTATTATATTTTGCCCAACCTTCGGCTAAAGCCATAGCCAGACAATGTTGCCTTGTTATCCCTAAAGTGTTCTAGAATCATATTTTTGCTTTTCTTTCTAAACTTGCCCCCAGCTAAACATCAATTTTTTGGTCCAGAAGAAAAAGAAAAATATCCCTACAGTATGCCTGTCCTTGGCTTCTCGATTACAAATGAGAGTTTAATTCTTTCATCAATGTATATTAAATTTCAACAGAGTAAGAAATACATTTTGAAACAAACTGACAGTGAAATGCCTTTCAAAATACTGTTTTGGCTTAGAACTGTCATTGTTTAGGCTTAATGGCTGCAGCCCCAAGGCTGAAAAGTTACACTAGTATTACAGCTGTTCAATGTAATATTCAAACAATGTTTGCTATTGATTTAGAAGATTCAAACAGCTTAGATTTTGTTCCCTTTCATTTACATTCTTAGCATCAAAGTCGCAGAGTGTTAAGGTAGTACAGTAATGCAGTTAAGAAAAAATATTAATTCTGACAGTAGGATCTTGTTGTTTTCATTGTTATAGCTTAAAATAATTTACATGTTCACCATTCACCAGTAAATAGAAGAATGCCATTTCTAAACTTGAAAGAACAATGTATTATAAAATTATTCTGACAGTTCATTCATATGGAGAAGGCCTTGTACAAAACAAAGATGCAATGCACTCCCTGTTGACTCAGGACCTCTTTTGTAAAGGGCTTGACCTTGTGCTACTTAATAAAATTCAACCCTGATATGGGTCAGTATACTATGCAACGAAGCCTGAAGGGACTGTTTCTGAAGCCAGTGAGGTTTAGAGGAGAAAACACAAGAGTTAAGAATAAAAAGATCTAAATCAGCAGTTGACACAGAGTATGACCTTGGATGAGTTGCTTAACCTCCTTGGGCTCCAGTTGCTACATCTGAGACAGGGAATAACACTCTAATACAAACATAAAAAGCCTACTTCTTTCTATTTCACAACATTGGAGTAGGAATTAATGAGATAATGTGTGTAAAGCATTTTGATCTCCTGAGAGAAAGGCATAAAATACATAATACCAAGCATTATTACTAATAATTATTCCAGTTGACCTATGTGTAAAGGGTAGAGAGTAGTTTGACTCTTTTGGTAGCATAATTACATAGGAAACAGGTTTATTTATTTATTTTTCTGCTCTCCTCATAGAGCCAGAAGTTAATTGTGTTTTCAACCTAGAAGACAAGATTTTCACTTAGACATGGTAAGTGGTTCACTTGAACAGCTATTGAATAGACAGTAAGAATGTGGTATAGCCTATTCTTTGGGATAGAATGTTGGGGGTTTGAAAAAGTAGCAAAGAAAATTTCTAAGCAATGAATCGTTATCTTCTAAATAGCATATAGAGGTTAAGAAATATTTATTCCCCTAGAAAGAAGATTTAACAAGCAGTTCCCTTTGTCCCCTATCATAAGGCTATTTGATAAATTGGCTATCTGATATGAAATGCAAAATTTTGCAAACAATTTTCACGGTCTATAATCAAGCCAGAATTTCTTACTCACCTATGAAAGGTATAAGCAGAGACACAATCAGTGAATTTCCTAAATGTTTTCTTTCTAGCAGATATCCACTAGAAGTCTGACTTTAGTCAAATACATTGCATTTATTCATTGACTATTTAAAGATCCATCTACTGTGTTTTGAGGCATTGTGCAAGATTTTAAGGATATAGGAGAAGGAGATGCAAATTTTTCAGCATTCTGAAAGAGAGAAGTTAAGAATGACCACACACAGGTGGTAAAGTTTGAGTCTTGATGCAATAGAAGTGACTGACGTTCATTTGAGCTGTAAATTCTGGAAAGAGCCAACAGTCAGATGTGGCTAAAACAAGTACCTTGAAAAGGAATGGCAGTACACGTGACGAAATGACAAAATGGGCTAGGTGATACAAGTCAGGACAGCTCTGTTGAGGCGGTTCCACACTAAGCTGGCAGCCCCGTGATTCTCAGAGGATACGTGTGTCATGCTTGAAGATCACATCAGTCTCTTTCCCACTATGTATATCCTCCCTGTAGTCAGCCACAAGCATTGATCAAAAGACACTTTGTAATATCTTTAAATGTGTTAGAGAAATGTGAAAAGGCAATAGGAACTGTCTTTAGTCCTTTTTTGTTGGTTGTAACAGAATGCCTGAAACTGAGTAATTTATAAAGAAAAGAGGTTTATTTACCTCACAGTTCTGCAGACTGAGAAGTTCGAGGGCATACTCCTGGCTCCTGGTGAGGGTTTCTGTGCTGTGTTCCAACATGGCAAAGAAAGTCAATGGGAAAGTGGATATGTGAAGAAAGGAAAACCCAGTGACATCCTGGCTTTATGACAACCCACCCTTGTGAAAACTAATCTATTCCCTCAAGAATTGATCCAGTCTCACCAGAGCTAGAACTCACTATTGTGAAAACAGCATCAAGCCGTTCATGAGAGATCTGTCCCCATGACCTAAATACCTCCCACTAGGCCCTACCTCCCAATAATGTCACATTGGGGATTAAATTTCAACCTGAGTTTTGGTGAAGAAAAAACACTGCCTCAAAACCATAACAAGAACTATCCAAAGATTTTAAACGAACAAGTCACTAGTTATACAGATGTTTTACCTTACATAATTCTATAATTAGATATACAAGAAGAATATTTTTTGCATTGTCATTTCCCTGAAATAGCAGAGTACCCTTTTACAAAGATGTTTTATCTATCTATCTTTCTATCAGTCTCCAGTGCTTCTTAACATTTCTGCATGCTATCCTCTTTTATCTCCCCTAGACACATAATTATAATAAATGTATATTATCAAAAGACTAAAATTTTATGTCCAGAAATTCTAATATTTCAAAGAAATTTCTCAACTCACAATGTCTGATTTGCATATCACAACTAAGATCATCCTTAGTAGCTACTAATCTCTTGGTACTTCTTTTTCGTTTATTTAGCTTATGGAGTGTAGAAGGGAAAAGATCAGGAATGAAAACCTGAAGATTACATTTCTATTCCTAGTAAAGTAAGTCATTATCCATGTGACCTTGGAACTATTAATTGTGATCATAATACCTATTCAGTCTTTTACAAGTTTTGCTAGTATCACATGAAACAATGAATATGGAAGTCCTTTGACAATATGCAAGAATTGGGGATAAAATGATTTCCCAGACAATGACTTGGAAAGGCCCTGAAGGAGTCCCTATTTTGTTTAGAGTTAAGTTATAAAAGGCCAGATCTATAGAGAACTATTCAGGCCCAAGGAATGACAATAATTTGGGGTGTATGTAGTGAATTAATTGCCCATTTTGCTGTGTCCTTCAGAAACTCAGCTGATATTTACTCTTCTAGTTGAACAATGTCATAAGACTTAATGAGATATTTCATAAAGTTTCAAAAAATAGTTTTTCTCCACATATAAATTCATATCAAACAAAAGGTAGACAATTGAGGTTTATAAGATCCATTTCATAAATAAGACTATTATAGGTAATAAGAAATAAGCCACAAAAATCAAGTGTCTTCCAGTGTCATTTACAACTGACTGTGAATTCTTTGTGAGCCTTCTTTTATTTCCCCTTGTATTCTCAAAACAGAAAAGTGCCTGGTTCATTGCAGTTACATAATTGATTTTAAATGAGTTAATACTTAAGACAACTTTTTGACATATGCATAAAGTATGGCAAGTTCAATGTAAACTAAATAATTTAATTTCTCCAATATTATATATATGATATACTAACCTCTCAGCAAAAAAATGTGGCATAACCTTTTCAAAGAAAATTTTAAATAAATGTGAATAATATTGGCCGGGCGCGGTGGCTCACGCCTGTAATCCCAGCACTTTGGGAGGCCGAGGCGGGTGGATCATGAGGTCAGGAGATCGAGACCATCCTGGCTAACAAGGTGAAACCCCGTCTCTACTAAAAATACAAAAAATTAGCCGGGCGCGGTGGCAGGCGCCTGTAGTCCCAGCTACTCGGGAGGCTGAGGCAGGAGAATGGCGTGAACCCGGGAAGCGGAGCTTGCAGTGAGCCGAGATTGCGCCACTGCAGTCCGCAGTCCGGCCTGGGCGACAGAGCTAGACTCCGTCTCAAAAAAAAAAAAAAAAAAAAAAAAGTGAATAATATTAACAGTAGTCAAGGTGTCCATTTAAAATAGAGATAGAACAGAGGCAAGGGTGATTGAACTATCTAACCATGAGTATTTGAAGATATTTCATACTTTGGAAAATTGTCCAATCTCTGGTATCTTTCTAGAAGTGAGAGGTCGTTATATGTATATGATAGAATATTTTTAAATGTAAAAAGTCAAAGATTTCACAATTGATCCTTCCAAAGAGAATTCTGAAAAAAATCATTCAATAATTGCTCATCCTCTCGTCTAGGAAATGCCTAAGGGAACAAAAAAATAATTATTTTTATAAAGTGCCTTGTCAACAGACCAAAAGACAGCCCACAGAACATAGAAAGCAATTCTTGCAAAAATAGTTTACTGCTAGACATATATTTAAAACGGATCCAAGGAGGAAAAATCAAATAAGATTGAAAAATTAATTTCAATTAAAAAAATATGCTAAGTCCATATTTCACATGGAAAGTCACGCCTGCTACTGAAGGAGACATGAAGAAGATGACGACCAAATAGCCATTTATTAAAAAAAAAAAAAAGCCTGGTAAATTATTTTCACACAGGTAAACAAACAACATTACATATATCTATATATATTATATATGTGTATATATTGTGTATATATGTATATATTGTATATATGTAGATATATATTATATATATGATCAGGTAAATTATTTTATGCAGTTAAACTGCTATAATATGAGGCAGAATATATTAAGTATCATAGGCATAAAATGCTATGGAACCTCAAAAGGATTAAAAATTAAGCTTTCTTCTCAACCCTACTACTATATATTGAATTGTTCTATTTTCAATCTGAAGTCCTCACTTGACACTATATTCCTAAACAATCTTATCTATTCCTGTAGTTTTAAATAACATCTATAAACCAACAATTCCCAAATTTCCCTTTCCAGCCAAGACTTCTCCTTTGAGCTTCAGACTTATATGGCTCTCTATTTAATGTCTTTACTTGAATGTCCCACAAGTGTATTAAATTAAATGTCTTTATCAGTCATTGTTCTTAGTTGCAAGCAACAGAAATGGACTGGCTGAAAAATCAAAAAAGAGATTGTAAAAAAGATATTGAGAAGCTCACAGAATTGTTGTGAGGGTTAGAAAGCCAGGTTCAAAGCTAAATCTGTAGAAAAAATAATCAAAACCACAAATCAGAATTGGCTTCTTAGGATAATCACTGCAGCTGCTGCTGTTACCAAATTCTAGAAACTACTGTTTGCATGGGTGCCACAAGCTTAAGTTTTCCACAGCTGACCCCCAGCACGGATGGCTTAACCCAGGAAGATGATCTTGCAATCACTGCCCCCTATTCCTGGTAGGTGGAGCCCACTGTCACCACCACATTAGCAGAGTAAATCCTTGCACAGGTTTATGTTATGCATAGACATAACATCAAGTTGCAAAAAAGGCTGAGAAGGGTATTTGGGGCTTCTTCCTTGGGAAGGCAGGATTTATTAAAAAGAAAACTGTCCCGAACATAGCAATGGTTGTGAAAAGGTATTGAGCCGACAGAGATAGAACAGATTGTGCCACAGTATTCAAAACGGAATTTTGATTTCCCTCTCCACAAATCATTCCACTTGCAGTCTCTTACATTTTAGGTAATGGCATTCCCATTGACTCAGTTGTTCAAGTCAGTAACTGAGTTTGTCAAATTTCTTTGCTTATTTTTTACAACTTTCAAAAATGTGAAAACCATTCTTATTTTATGGGCCATATGAGGCAGGTCACTATAGGGTTTGTACCCACTAATTCCTGGTCAAGATCATACTACTACCATCAACTGATTTCTGGATATACACTAGAAGCTTAATGTTAACTGATCTATCTGCTTCTTTATCTATATTCAATCCATTCACAAATAACAGCATGAGCGGTATTTTAACCTGCTTAACGTCCTTTGCTGGTTGCCCATTGTGCTTAGTATGAAAACAAAACCGTCAAGTGGCCTTCAAGGCCTGGGATCATCTGAGCCCTGCTGACCTCTTCACATTTACTGCACACTCATTACCTTTCAGCTAAATCAGCCTTACTTCATTTTTTTGAATGCCAAAGTCTACATAAACTCAGGGACTTTGCACAGGCTATTCTCTGCCTGGAACCCTTGTATCACTTTTCCTTCATCTTTGAGGGCTCAGAGTCATTTCCTTTGAGTCTATTCTAATCATCCCAGACTAAATTAGGCTAATATTCTTTTTCTCTTAAAGAACACCCTGTTATTTTCCTGCATGGTACATATCTTTATCTGCAGTTACATAATTGTTTGATTCTTTACATTTTTATGCTTGCCTTCTTCTTTAGAATGTAAATTCCAAGACAACAGGGACCATGTCTGATTTCTTCATTGCTATAAATTTCATGCCTAGCATTTTACCATATTCTCAAATAATTACTTGTTGAATGAGGGACTGAATGAATGAATATATAAATCCCCCTGGAAATGTTCAAGAAAATGTTCATGGAGCTAGTGAAATTTAAACGAATCGTTGAAAAATATGAAGAATTTAGAAAGGTAAATTAGTGAAGTCTGATGTGGAAACCTAGGGCATACCTAGAAAAGAGTGAGCTATCCAAAGCACTGAGTTATATGGTATATAAGGGATATATAATGACTATATAATGACATCATCCTAGAAAAGTAGGTTGGAAGTAAATTGTGGAATGTCCTATATGGTGAGATAAGGAATATAATTTATCCTAATAGCCTAAGAAGATATTCCCATATGGTGTTCTCAGAGCTCTTAGTGTGTTTAAACCATTGTAACTCCATAAAGAATCTAAGGCAACCTCCATGATCCCCAACTCTTGGTATACCTATCCTTGTGTAATCCCTTTCTCTTGATTGTAGGCTGGACATGTGACTTACCTCTAATCCTTAAAACATGGCAAACGTGATAGGATGTAACTTCCATGGTTACTCTATATAAAATTATAACAACAGTCTAGTGAGGGAACTCTTTTTGCCAGGTTTTATAAAGTAAATTGGCCATGTTCCAGAGATTTGCACAGCAATGTACTGAATGTTGCCTCTGACCGATAGTCAGCAGAAACTGAGGCCCTCAGTCCAACAGGCCAAAGGGAACTGAATTCTGCCAACTACTATGTCAACTTGGAAGCAGATCCTCTCCAGCAGAACTCTGAAATGAGATTACAACCTCGAGTGATAACTTAATTGAAGTCTTGCAGAAGATCCAGCTGAGCTATGCATAGATTCCTGATTCACAGAAACCGTGATATTATAAATATGTGTTGTTTTAAGCTGTTATGTTTGTGGTAACATTGTTATGAAACAAGAGATACTTAAGGTATTATGGGATGAATTTTGTTCCCACCAACATTCATGCTGAAGTCTTAGCCCCTCATACCTCAAAATGTAATCATATTTGGACATAGGGTCTTAAGAGAAGTAATTAAGTTACAGTGAAGTCCTTAGGGTAACCCCTGATCCAATATGACTTGTGTCCTTGTAAGAAAAGGAAATTTAGACACAGACACGTCCAAGAGGGAAGTTGGTGTGGAGATCTAGAGAGAAGATGGCTATCTAAAAACCAAGGAGAGAGTTATGAAACAGATCCTTTTCTCATCGCCCTCGTAAGGAACCAACCCTGACAACACCTTGATCTTGGACTTCTGGCCTCCAGAACTGTGAGAAAATAAATCTGTTGTTTAAGCCACCCAGACTGTGGTCATTTGTTATGACAGCCCTAACAAACTAATACATGGGGGTTATAGTATGCAGTATTTCCTTTTTTAAGGAACATTTCATAATGCTTGAAAGACTACTAGTAATTTAAGGAACTTAGTTTATGAAATCCTACAGTAGACAATGGAAGTAATAAGTTTTTGAACCAGGATATGACATGATTACAGCTAGTTAGACAAGTTTATTTGTAATTTCTATTTTATTCAGTAAGAAATACTTTATTTCTCTACTTTTCTCACTAGGTCTTCAATCTCTCTCTCGAAGGATTTACCACTTTGCATTTCTCAGACCTGCATTCAATATGTCAGGCACACTCAAAATTTTCTTATCCATTATATTTCACAAAGGATAATTCTTAAACAGCAACTGTAAAAATTAGTTTAAATATTCCAAATTTGGGATGCCTACTGAAGTAAAGCCATTTTCAGCAGTTAGGATTTTGGTTTCTTGACAGTGAAACACGTATATTTACATAAAATCAGTGACACATTTTATTTAAAAGCAATGAACTATTACTTGAGATTATTTATTGGATTTGGCAATATCACTCAGTAGTCTGATGTTTGGAGAAACACGATTGAATTATTGCAAATAACTTTGTGTTTTCCCTTCATTTCAGTTCAGATTAGGGTTGTGTATTCTCTTATGTATAATAAATGTCAAAGTACCTGTGGATGATTTTCAGACAATGAATGTGGTTTTCAACTACTAATTGCCAAGTTTTGGTAGCAGAATCAAACTTCTGAGATAGAGTTCTCAGAATCTTTGATCACTTATTTTCAGCTGAATGTGTTTGAAATTAGTTAAGAATTAGCCATTGCTTGCCAGGGGTTCCTCTCCATCTCCCTGACAGCCATTCCTTCCTTCTTTATGATTTAGTTCTTCCTGTGAGTCTTCTTCACCAGGCTCATGGTGTCCTTTTGTTGACCTCTGATTGGTCCCCAATCTTGGTTATCTACTGGTACCAACTTATAGGTTGTCGTGCTGATTTAAGGTTTTATTTAATCGAGGGAAGACACAGTCTTTTTTGCTTTAAGCTCTGAGAAAAGTTTGTACTCTCTGTCATATTCCTCACCTTTTAAGTATTTTTCCCTACTCAAATAAGGTTTCCATGTTCGTCACTTCCCTGAAAGAACTCTCACCAGTCACCAATAATGTCCTAATTGCCAAATCCAGTACATTCCTTTCAGTACCCAAAATATTTGTTATCTGTGAGTCATTGGTGACTGTGAGCTATTTGACATCTCTGAGCTTCTCTTTCTTTCGCTTAGTGATAATGTTTCCTCAGTTCTCCTTCTATCCTTCTAATTAAACCTTCTCTGTAACCACAGTGACATCTTTCTGAGGCTATTCCTTAACTATTAGCATGTCCTAAATCTTCTCTCCTAAGAACCTGTCGATTCTCCATGTTCTCCTGGATTATCTCATGTAATCCTATTATCCTAAAGACAACTATACAATGATTAAACGACCCCAAAATTTGTACATTTAACTCAGATGCCATTACTACGCTCTAGGCCTATATAGGCAATTGCCTATTTTACATATTCCACATCTCAAAAACAGAATTCATCAACTCTTTCCTTCCCCTCTTGCCATGAAACCTGTCATTTCCCCTGGAATAATTATCTTGTTATCTCAATTTATTGTGCCAATAGTGTTTAAAACCAGGCAGACAACATTGCTTGCATCTTAAAAATCATGTGAAGTTTCCGCTGTTTCGTTTATTACTCTATCTTCACTGCCACTCTTGCATCGAGTCTGTACCATCTTGATTTTATATACTAATGCCAAATAATCTTTCTAAAAGTAATGCTTGTCGTATTATTTCAATTCCTACATTACCTAAAGAAATATTTAAAATATGTCAGAAGGTTATTCATAATTTGGCCCCCTGCTTTCTGCTCTGGCCTTAATCGTCCAACCTCACCTTTATCCCCATACTTTAGACCCTCCAGTCATGCAAACTTTTTTTAATGTGCTATTTTATGCCCATACTTACCCTGCTTAACATGCTGAAACGCCCTTCTTTTTGATATGTCCACATTTCTATATTATGTGCCTGAAAAAAATAGCTAATCATTGCTCATGACTCAATTCAAGTAGTTTCTCTTCTTTGACTGCTTTTCTAAAAATACCAGGTTAAGTTGATCATTTATTTTATGGCTCCACTGAATATTTTTGTTATAATTTTTTAATCACTGTTACCATTCTACTGAAGGTGTAGTCCATGAAAAAGTTCCATCTAGGAGGCTAAAAATCCAATTAACGCCCCTGTTCCCACCCCAATGTACTAAATCAGTATCTGGGGTAGGACCCAGGACTTTGTGCTTTAACAAGCTCTTCATATCATTCTCATGCTCATAAGGTTTTAGATTCTCTGCTCTGCAAATTTATGTGTTTCTAGGTTTCTAAAAATTAGAGATTTTAATATGGTAGATAGAAGTATGATAGAAAGACAAACCGAAAGATAAAAGACGCCTTTAAAGAACCTAGTAGAAAAACTTCTCTAACCAAGGATAAAAAGTTATATGCAAGGAAATACTATGACTGCTGTATATAATGTGTTAATTTCCTTCTTCCTCAACAAAATTACAAATGTATCACTGCTATGTGTGGCTGTCCTACATAATGTGTAAGTTTCTCTCTTCCTTGACAAAATTACAATGTATTCCTGCTATGTGTGCATATTGGGTAGACAGTATGCCAAATACGTTGCTGTGAGGGCTCTGTTCTTCTGGAAAAAAGGAAACCAAAAAATTTCAGCCTGATCTACCAGAGGTTGAATCATTGCCAGGAGAGAAGCAAGAGAGTGATTAGACCAAGGTAGAGGTGAAGTGCCTGCTGTCCTTTTTCAAAGTTCTGCCCTTGTACATACATGGAGAAATAAGTTATCCACATTCAGATACACTTTTCCTGAAAAAAAAAAAAAAAAAAAAAAAGTTTTTTTCTGAAATGTTTATCATAACCTTCTATAAAAATGCTTGTTGAGGTCTTCCTTATGGTGTGACAGGAAGTACTGATAGGCAGGAGAGTCAGATGAAGTAGAGTTATGGGATACAGAAAATTTCTATGAAACCAATTGCCTAAAATAATTTATGAAATATAGGATTAGTTATACAGTATATTTTTGTGTCTGTTTTGCTTAATAAATGTAAATTCTTTAACACTAAGAGTGATATCTCGCACCTTTTTTTCATCTCCATTGGGAACCATAGTTCCTGGAACATAGTAAGCACTTCATGAAAGTTTGCTGAATGAATGGTGAAAAAGATTTCTAAACCAGCATAAATCAATAACATTATCATATTCAGCTACAAAATGTTTTTGCAAAGAATATAATCTAGGCTGGGTGCGGTGGCTCACACCTGTAATCCCAGCACTTTGGAAGGCCAAGGCGGGCGGATCACGAGGTCAGGAGATTGAGACTATCCTGGCTAACAACCTGAAACCCTGTCTCTACTAAAAATACAAAAACAAAATTAGCCAGGCGTGGTGGTGCGCACCTGTAGTCCCAGCTACTCTGGAGGCTGAGGCAGGAGAATGGCGTGAACCCGGCAGGTGGAGCTTGCAGTGAGTCAAGATAGCACCAATGCACTCCAGCCTGGGCGACAGAGCAAGACTCCATCTCAAAAAATAAATAACTAAAATAAATAAATAAATAAATACATAAAATAATAAATAAAATAATAATCTATTCACTAATTTGAATATTAGGTTTGAAACTTCACACATTGTATCCTGTTTAATTTCATTACTCTTTGAAATATTTATTCAACATTACTTCTGGCAATGCTATGTATCTTTTTAAATACCAAATGGATGAACTGGAAACATATCTGCTTTCAAGTGCCTATACGAAGAGGCAGGCTGACATGCTGAACAGTTACTTACACCTACAGTTTTCTGCTTATATTCCATTATGTTCAATTATCTGAAACATGTCTACCCATGCATAAAATTATTAGTGTAAAATAATTTGTCTAATGAACACATGATAATGCTGAAATTTGTAATTTTTTAAATGTGTACAGCTCAAAAATTAATGTTAATATTGTATTTCTAATTCAAAATGATGTATTTTAGTAGAAGAGGCTAATAATCTAGCAGAATAGGCTTAATAATATAATCATATTTATTGCTTCCCACCAGGCCCATCCATGGGCATTTATGTTTTATGTTTTGACCTAATTACCAAAATTCAGGTATGATACTGTGGTGAATCATAGAAATAAAATTCCCTCTAGAAATTATCTATTTACAAATTAACCATTTTAAAGATAAAAGTACATACAGGATCAATTTTTCTCTGTTCCATTTATATAATGATTTTTAATTACTACCAATATGTCAGGTGTCTTGTCCTAGCTCATAAAGGCTCAGAAGTAATCTGTTTTGTTTATATTACCAATGCTATTTAAAAAGTTCTGGGCAAGTAACACCAGCCAAATGATAGAATAGAATGTCTACAGCCTTCATATCCCCCGAAGCAATAATTTGGCAACCATCCAAGAAAAAAATTTGTTTTTTGTGGGAACTTCAGGACCCAAGTAAGCAATTGTGACACTCTGTTGGAGCCCTGGACCAAGGAAAGTGGCTTTGAGAAGGCAGACCCGTGCTCCAGTAGCAAGCCTGCCACTGAGGATATGGCTACAGACTTGGAAGCAGTACCATCCACTGTGGACTTTTCTCCATCCCCACTTGTAAGCAGTCCTGGAGGCAGTCACATCTATCCAAGAACTAGGCAGTAGCGACACCTACCTACACCCTTGATAACTGGTGTGCTGACCACAGGGACCTGACTGCAGACCTGAATGGACCCAGAATTATGGTCTGGCTCCAGTGCCACTAGACTGAAGTTCCCAGTGCAATTCTGTCTGCCTAAGGACTAGGCAGGAGCCATGCCCATTTGTGCTTCCTATTAACAGGTCTACCAACTGCAGGCCTGACTGTGGATACAGAAGAAACCCCATGATGTGTCCCTAGGTCTGCTCAGTCATGGTTCTGGAGGAAGTCTTGTCTGTACTTGGCAGGGATAGGTCTTTATCTGCCAGAATCAGTCTGTAAAGACTGGAAGAGATGACTGCTCCTTCAAATGCACAGACACAAACACATAGCCACAGGATCATGAAAAGTCAGGCAAATGTGACAAACCCCAAGGTAACAAAGCTCCAGTAACCAATCCTCAGGAAATGGATAGCCATGAACTGCTTGATAAAGAATTTTCTTTAAATGTCTTAAATGAGCTCTATGAGCTACAAGACATCTAAATGGCATTCAAATAAAATCAGAAAAATAGTACACAAACAAAATAAGTTCAATAAGTAGAAATTGTAAGAAACAACAAAAACAGAAGTCCTGGGACTGAAGAATACAATGACTAAACTGAAAAATTCATTATAGAGCCTCAACCCCAGATTTGATTAAGATGAAGAAAAAAAATCAGTAAATCTGAAGACAGGTAACTCAACATTATCACACTTTAAAGAAAAAAGAATGAAAAAGAGTAAAGCGACTTATGGCACCCTATCATGTAAACCAGTATATTATTATGAAAAGACAAGAGGAATAAAAGAAAATGAGAAGAAAGCACAAGGAGATAATGGCTGAAATTTTCCCAAATTCAGAAAGGAAAATGGACCTTCAGATTTGTGAAACCCAAAGGTCTTCAATAGGTTGGCTCCAAAAAGATATGTATCAAGACACATTATAATAAAACTGTCAATGGTAAAGAAAGAGAATTTTGAAAGCAACAAGAGAAAAGCAACTTGTCACATACAAGAGAGCCTCCAGAAGACTATCAGGGGATTTCTCCACAAGAGCCTAAATAGGCCAGAGGAATGTGAGATAATATATTCAAAGTATTGAAAGATTTTTTTAAAAAAACCTGCAACCTAGAATACTTTGTCCAGCAACACTGTCCATTAAAAATAAAGGAAAGAAAAAAATTTTCCCAGATGAACAAAAACTGGGAAATTTCATCAGCAATAGATCTGCCTTATAGGAAGTGATAAAGGGAGCTCTTCAGGTTGAAATGAAAAGATAATCAGCTACAACACAAAAACATATAAAAGCAGAAATCTCACCGAAAAGTTGCCAAAAAAAAATTGTGGAAACTTTATTAGTTAGGCTGAATTTGTGTAAAAGCAAAACATATTCAATTCACTAAAAATAGTAATTTATTACATTATTGTGAACCCAGGTATATATCAAATATCATCCTATTGTATTGTGAGAGATAAGAAAAAGTAATTCTTTTTTAGTTACAAAAAGTAAAAAATTCACTGTACATTTGTATTTCTAACGAACAAAATAGGAGGAAACAAATGGTGCCCGATTAAGAGAATGATGGTATTTTGATGAGAAGTACAACTAACTGCAGCCTGTAAGTCACCAAAATGTACAGGCTTACCTCAGGAATTTTGAAGAGAGGTAACATACATTTCTCTATAACATTCAGTTAAATCAACCCAAATCTTAGAGTAGAAACTCATTAATCTGTCTGTCTAATAAGGGAATTAGCACCCTAATCTTTATGGGAAATACTCCTTGATCGTAATCTTAAAATCTGATTTACAGTTGCCATGCAACTGCAGACCACTAGTTGTATAGTTGATTAATCAAGATGTAGGCACTTAATCCAAATTGAACCTGTCATAATATTCCACATCCTTGACAAAAGTAATTGTGTTTTCAGGTAGAACCTGCCCACTGAAAAACTTAAAGCTCTTTGCTAAAGTTATTATTTATATTTTTTAAAAATTTGGATTAGAAACTGTACATTCTGGGGCAATCCTATTGCATACTATTATTATTTCTAATGAATGATGAGGATGTTGAAGCAGATAAAGGCAAAATGTCATGTTCATGGATCACATACCTAATAAGTACTAGAACTGAAATTCAAACAAACATGTTTTGGCTCCAGAGTCTGACAATTAACTGCCATAGTCTGCTGGCGTTTGGTGTATTGTGGTCCTACTATACGTGTAGTCTATATATACAAGAGAATAGCAGAGAATCTTTAATCAATCCTTTTCCTCAGGTTGAAATGATAAAATATAATAATCCTAGATAGAATCTATAGTGTAGCAGAAATTCGCAAAAAAAAAAAAAAATTCTCCAATTCCTGAGAGTTCCCACATGCAAAGATCTTGACATTAGACTTAAGTTCACAGCACTGCAAGGTGCTTCACACCAAGGCATTTACAGTACAACACATCTTATTCTTGCTGTGGAATACTGTTTTCAGATCTAGAAATTCTTTTTCTCAGTCCTTCTCATCATTTTCATTCTTCTTATTCCATTGTGTAACTTCAGCCTTAGTTGTCATCTCTTTGATTTTTCTTTATAGCCTCTGTGTACTCTCTTTAAGTCTGAAAGGGTCACCTAAGAGTGAACAGGACTTTTCTCAATCCCCCAGTCAACTCGTCTAAATAAGAATTATACCTTTGCCTTTCCTACACAACAGAATCACAGCAACATGAAACAATTGATATGTGTCTTACTAAGGACTTTTTTTCTTGTAATGAATTTTGCTGAAATGTCTGTACATTTTTACCTTTCATATATTTTGACAAGCCTTTCTGAAATCACCATATGGCTACACAAATGCTAGTACAGAGTTTGAGGATTTATTAGGTACCAATTCTGATCTCAGTTTCAGGTAATCAGGAAACAGAGCACTTGTAGTTTAGCTATTATGAGGTAGGAAGATGCAATGAAAAAGTGGTCAGCAATTTTCAGGACTAAATTCAGAGAAATAAAAGCAATACAGAGCACTAACAGTGACCTAAATTTCAGAGGAGACTGGTTATAAAAACATTATCACTGTCATCACAGTGGAGAGCTAGTCACTGTGCGCACAATGCACCTGCCCTCATCCCATCCTCCCCCCTTAAAAGAGCAAATGTATTCACACTGTCTGTATCATCAACAATGATATATTCAGGCACTGCTTCTCTGGAGAAATGAGATAATAAGCAGTGGGTGGAAAATTTGGCAAGAACTGTGGTAATTGCAGTAATCATAACAGAGATGGTTCCCATTGCTTCATGTTTAAATGAAACTAATAGAAGTAGCTTATTTACATTCCCAATTCATCACAAAAGTTCTGGCCCTTGTAATAGATTTCTGGATAGTATTGTGCCACTACATATTTTTTATTTCTAAAATATGACCAAAATTTTTTTCAAATTATAAAAATCTATAATTACTTGTAGGTATCACTAATGGTCATTAATTCATTATGAATAGAAAATGTATTACCTTTAAAAGACTTTTACTTTTATTATAACTTATTTAATCAATTAATTTTGGCTGACTGAAAATGAAATTGCATTATAGCATATATATCTATATGCTGATTTTATTTTTTCTGACTGCTACTCTCAGTATATTCATGGGATCTCCTTTATTTTTCATTTCCTTTCCAATTATCCATAAGTGAACTGTCATTTTATAATATCAGAAATCTATTCTGTATTTGATCATAATGAGAAATATATACCATTTATATGTATACACACATATACAGTTGGCCCTTGAACCATAAAGGGTTAGGAAAATCAGCCCCTGTGCAGTCTTCATATAATTTTTGACTCCTCAGAAACTTTACTACTAATAGACTACCATTGACTTTACTGATAATACAAACAGTCAATCAACACATATTTTGTAGGTTATATGTATTATATATTATATTCTTACAATAAAGTAAGCTGGAGAAAAAAATGTTATCAAGAAAATCATAAGGTAGAGAAAATATATTTACTATTTGTTAAGTGGAAGTGGATCATCATAAAGATCTTTTTTTACCCTCATCTTCACAGTTCAGTACACTGAGAAAGAGGAGGAAGAGGAGGGGCTGGTCTTGCTGTCTCAGGAGTGATAGAGGCAGAAGACAATTTACACATAAGCGAACACATGAAGTTCAAAATTGTTGTTCAAGGGCCAACTATGGTAATAAACACTGCCAATATGCTTTTAAAAATATTATTTAATCAGTTCATTTCTATTCTTCCTTTCCACCTCATATTCTAAGTAGTAAATAATTCACTAGGATCTCTCCAGCTTTCATACAATGTCGTTATTTTCAAGCTGGGGTTGCTGGTTCCATGACTCAATCCTAGAAGGAAAGGTACCAAGCATCAGTTGGTAGCTTGCCTAGGTTCAGTTTCATTCACTGAAAACCAGGTGCTTCTCTACATGAAATATCATATTTACTGGTCCTTAGAGTATTCCATGGTTGACATAAAAATTAAAGCATCTTTCTTCCAGTTTTATCATCACTGAAAAATATTCTGTGGCAACAAAGGAAGACTTCCATATTAAGTTGAATTGGTTTTTCTAGAAAGCGACTTATGAGCACAGGAACTTAATATTTGTTAGACAGTAGCTGTGAGCCAGACTCCCAGCAAAGCGCTTCACAGACATTTAATTCTTACTACAACCCTTGAAGAATAATTATTATCCACATTTGACATATGTAAAAACAAAAGGATAGATAAGTTCTGTAACTTGCCCAAGGTTACTATGTTCATACATGATTCAGCTAGTGTAAAACTCATGTAGTTTAACCTCAGTGTGTATGCCTTTCAAAATAACCAGATTTCTTTTTCTCTACATCCTTCAACGTGAGACCTAATGAAATTAATGTCCAATTAACTTTGGAATAGTGTTGCTAATGTTTAAGTGTCAAAACAAATACTTGCATTTTATACTTAATGGTAACAAGAGCTAGAGGGGTAGAGCATTATTTTGTCTGACCTCAAACCTATGTCCACATTTTCTCACTAGCCAGCCTTCATTATAGGGGCTATGAAAGCTAATTTCTCTTTGACTTCAGTTCCCCTCGCACCAAGGAGTTATGTGACACAGCTTTGTTCAATGAAGTATAATTAGACATTATCCCCATCTTCGGGGGAAAACTTTCTCTTTTTCTCATAAAAATAATGTAACTCCTAGATTGGTAGAATGAGAAGCTGAGCCAACTCTCTTCGCAAAAGGAAATAATAAAAGTGCACAGTATCGTTAAAAACAGCAATGTCCATGCTCCAAAAGTCAGCTAAAGGCATACAACAAATTGGAAGATTTAATTAAAGTAAAATTACTAAAACTTCTATGAAGACAGTGAATGGTGTCTTAGCCTAAGGTTGCTCCCATCCCACTCCTACCCTCAGCCCCATTAGCCCAATATTTCAACCAGAGAGAGGCAAGCTGTGAGAAAATCTCTGCTACCAGAGGAAGCTGACTTGATTTGGAGAAAAACCCATCCCTAGCAATGTTGTTGAAACGACAGTAATATTGATTGCAATGATTCAAAGAAACCAACCTCACAACTAGTCTGAGGTTGTGACACTGGTTGTGTCAAGCAACAGACTAGCACACTAGCCAGAAATTTAATAGGAATATCCAGAAAATAAGGCAACTACACTGGGTCTGGATATGCTTCTCATATCTCTTTGGTCTAGAAGGCTGGTCTACATAAGCATAAGAGTGAGCGCATACTCAGGAGATACCAGAGACGGCCCTAGCTACCTACGTGTCTCTGACTGAATTTGAGTCCTAGTGCAGAGAGGTGACATGAGGTGGCCTAGAAAAAAAGTAAAAACTAGAACACACTTGTAAACTGCCTGAACTTTGAATGCATTCCTTAACATATACCCAGATCTACCGGCAAAGGGTGGAAGATTTATTGGCTCAAGGTGTGTACGTATAATTTTGACCAATTACTATCTGATCACTTAGTTATACTAACTAATCTCTAGATGTCAGGCTTAGAAAGAAAATTCAAAAGGAAATAAAAACCTGAGCAGAGACATCCATGGCCACACACTGAGGGAGAGACAGACTCTACAAAATTAATTCAGGCAAGTCACTAAACAAATAACAGCAAAATAACAACAACAACAACAATAATAAAAACCATAACTATAACCCCTGGGAAGAGGAAAAATCAGAATTCTGATTTGCTATGGTACATTTTCCAAGTCATCTACTATGCAGCCAAAAATGCAAGACAATCAGAGAAACAACAGTGTGTCACATACACAGCGGGGAGAAAGCAGTTGATGGTAATTGTCTCTGAGGGGGCCTGGATGTTGGATTTAGAAGATAAAGACTCTGAAGTCACAATTAAAAATATATTCAAAGAACTAAAGGAAACAATGATGACAGTGGCACATCAAATAGAGAATGTCAATAAAGACAAAAATTATCAGAACCAATTGGAAAGTCTTCTGTCAAAAAGTACAATAACTGAAATGAAAATAAAACTGAGGGGTCAAGAACAGATGTGAGCTGGCAAAAGAATCAATAAACTTGTAGACCAACAGGAGATTCTAATCTGAAAAATGGACAATTTTAAAAAATAAAAGACAAGTAATCCTCAGAAATCTTGTGCAACACCATCAAACACATCAATATATGCATAATGGGAGTAAAAGTGGGTGAAGAAAAGCAGAATGGGCTAGAAAGACTATTTGTAGAAATAATGTCCAAAAAATGTTCAAATGGTGAGGAAAACTATCAACTTATGCATCTGGAAAGCTCAACAATCTCCAGATGGGATAAATAAGACATCCATACCTATATGCATCAAATCAATGTATTTGTTCAAAAACAAACAAACAAAATCTTGAAAGAAGTGTAAGGAAAATGACTTATCACATAGAGCAGAACCACAATAAAATTAATATCTGGCACCTCATTAGGAATAAATGAATAGCAGAAGGCCCTGGGATGACACATTCAAAGACCTAAAAGGAAGAAAAATAAGTCAACTAAAAATTTGATACTAAGGAAGACTATTGTTTAAAATGAAGGTCAAATAGGCATTTTAAGATAAATGCTGAGAGAATTTCTTTTCTCCTGAAGGAATTTTTGCAAACCGAAAGAGAATGACATCAGATGGTAACACAAATCACAAAAAGAAACAAAAGACAATGGTAAAGGTAACTGTCTAGTTAATATAAAAGGCAGCATACATTTACTTTATTAATTTTATCAACTCATTTTTTAAAAATTACATAAAACAATATTTATAATGAAATTTTAGGCCTATAAATTAAAAAACAAATATATACGACAGCGCTGTCATGAAGGATAGAGGAGAATATGTAGCTATTTTGGACTAAAGTTTCTATATTTTAAGTATTAATCAAAGTAGAATGTACTAAGATATACATAATGACTGCTACAGAAACCAGTAAGAAAACAACTTTATAGGAGAATAACCCAAAAAGAAATTTAAATAGTCCACTAAAAATATCTGAGCAGAGACATCTATGGCCATACATTGAGAGAAAGACTACAAAATTAGTTCAGGCAAAAATATCTACTTTACACATAACAAGACACTAAAGGAAGAACAGAAAAAAGAGACATATAGAGGACAAATAGCAAAATAGCAGGCATAATCATACCAATAATTGTAATAAATTCCTATTGATTAAATATAAAGAAATTGTCTAACTGGATAAAGGATATGTAATTGTATGCAGTCTACAAGAGAACTCTTCATATTTAATGACAAAAATAAGTTCAAAGAAAATAAAAAATACACACCATGCCAATAATAACCACAAGAGATTCAGAGTGGCCATACTAAAATAGTTTTAAAGACAAAACTGTTCCTACAGACAAAATGGGACATTTTATAATGGAAGTGTTAATCAATAATGTAACAATTATAAACTTAAGCACATCTAAAAATAGAGCCCCAAAATTCATGAAGTAAAAACTGACAGAGAAGAGAATTAGACAATTTTATAATAGATACAGACTTCAGTATCTCACTCTCAAGAACTGATAGAACACCTAGAGAGAAAATTATCAAAGATATAGAAGAGTTATCCAACACTATAAACAAATTGGACCTAACTGATAACTAGTAAACACTTCATCCAGCAACAAAATACTCGTCCTTTCAATCACAAAAAAAAATCCCCCAAGGTAATTAATACTCCAGGCTATAAAATAAGGCGAAACAAATGTAAAAGGATGGAAATCATATGAAGTATATACTTCAACTGTAATATAATCATGTTACATATCAACAGCAGAAAAAAAATTTAGAAATTAATCAACACACTTATAAAAAACTGATGGATCAATGAAAAAAATAACAGGTTAGAAAGTTTTTTAAACTAAGTGACAATGAAAATACAACATGTCTAAATTTTGTGCTGCTATAGTACTACCACCACAGACTTGGTAATTTACAATGAACAGACACTGATTGGCTCCTGGTTCAAGAGGCTGCAAAGTCCAAGACTGAGAGGTTGGCATCTGGCAATGGCTTTCTTAGCTGTGTCATCCCATGGCAGAAAGGCAAAAAGGGTGAGAGAGAGCGAGAGAGAGAGAGAGAGAGAGAGAGAGAGAGAGAGAGCGCGCGCGCAAGAGGGAGCCAACTTCATCCTTTTATAAGGAATACACTCCTGAGATAACAAACCCAATCCATAATGACATTAATCCATTAATGATGACAGAGCCTTCATGGCCTAGTCACCCCTTAAAAGTCTCACTTCTTTTTTTTTTTTTTTTTTTTTTTTTTTTTTTTTTTTTTTTAATTATATATTTTTCTTTATTTGTTTTTCACTTAACATTGTATCAGGACCATATCATTAAAATTTTTTGAACATTTAATTTTTTTTTTTTTTTTATTTTTTATTTTATTTTTTATTTTTTTGTTATACTCTAAGTTTTAGGGTACATGTGCACATTGTGCAGGTTAGTTACATATGTATACATGTGCCATGCTGGTGCGCTGCACCCACTAACGTGTCATCTAGCATTAGGTATATCTCCCAATGCTATCCCTCCCCCCTCCCCCGACCCCACCACAGTCCCCAGAGTGTGATATTCCCCTTCCTGTGTCCATGTGATCTCATTGTTCAATTCCCACTTATGAGTGAGAATATGCGGTGTTTGGTTTTTTGTTCTTGCGATAGTTTACTGAGAATGATGGTTTCCAATTTCATCCATGTCCCTACAAAGGACATGAACTCATCATTTTTTATGGCTGCATAGTATTCCATGGTGTATATGTGCCACATTTTCTTAATCCAGTCTATCATTGTTGGACATTTGGGTTGGTTCCAAGTCTTTGCTATTGTGAATAGTGCCGCAATAAACATACGTGTGCATGTGTCTTTATAGCAGCATGATTTATAGTCCTTTGGGTATATACCCAGTAATGGGATGGCTGGGTCAAATGGTATTTCTAGTTCTAGATCCCTGAGGAATCGCCACACTGACTTCCACAATGGTTGAACTAGTTTACAGTCCCACCAACAGTGTAAAAGTGTTCCTATTTCTCCACATCCTCTCCAGCACCTGTTGTTTCCTGACTTTTTAATGATTGCCATTCTAACTGGTGTGAGATGATATCTCATAGTGGTTTTGATTTGCATTTCTCTGATGGCCAGTGATGATGAGCATTTCTTCATGTGTTTTTTGGCTGCATAAATGTCTTCTTTTGAGAAGTGTCTGTTCATGTCCTTCGCCCACTTTTTGATGGGGTTGTTTGTTTTTTTCTTGTAAATTTGTTTGAGTTCATTGTAGATTCTGGATATTAGCCCTTTGTCAGATGAGTAGGTTGCGAAAATTTTCTCCCATGTTGTAGGTTGCCTGTTCACTCTGATGGTAGTTTCTTTTGCTGTGCAGAAGCTCTTGAGTTTAATTAGATCCCATTTGTCAATTTTGGCTTTTGTTGCCATTGCTTTTGGTGTTTTGGACATGAAGTCCTTGCCCACGCCTATGTCCTGAATGGTAATGCCTAGGTTTTCTTCTAGGGTTTTTATGGTTTTAGGTCTAACGTTTAAATCTTTAATCCATCTTGAATTGATTTTTGTATAAGGTGTAAGGAAGGGATCCAGTTTCAGCTTTCTACATATGGCTAGCCAGTTTTCCCAGCACCATTTATTAAATAGGGAATCCTTTCCCCATTGCTTGTTTTTCTCAGGTTTGTCAAAGATCAGATAGTTGTAGATATGCGGCATTATTTCTGAGGGCTCTGTTCTGTTCCATTGATCTATATCTCTGTTTTGGTACCAGTACCATGCTGTTTTGGTTACTGTAGCCTTGTAGTATAGTTTGAAGTCAGGTAGTGTGATGCCTCCAGCTTTGTTCTTTTGGCTTAGGATTGACTTGGCGATGCGGGCTCTTTTTTGGTTCCATATGAACTTTAAAGTAGTTTTTTCCAATTCTGTGAAGAAAGTCATTGGTAGCTTGATGGGGATGGCATTGAATCTGTAAATTACCTTGGGCAGTATGGCCATTTTCACGATATTGATTCTTCCTACCCATGAGCATGGAATGTTCTTCCATTTGTTTGTGTCCTCTTTTATTTCCTTGAGCAGTGGTTTGTAGTTCTCCTTGAAGAGGTCCTTCACATCCCTTGTAAGTTGGATTCCTAGGTATTTTATTCTCTTTGAAGCAATTGTGAATGGGAGTTCACTCATGATTTGGCTCTCTGTTTGTCTGTTGTTGGTGTATAAGAATGCTTGTGATTTTTGTACATTGATTTTGTATCCTGAGACTTTGCTGAAGTTGCTTATCAGCTTAAGGAGATTTTGGGCTGAGACGATGGGGTTTTCTAGATAAACAATCATGTCGTCTGCAAACAAGGACAATTTGACTTCCTCTTTTCCTAATTGAATACCCTTTATTTCCTTCTCCTGCCTGATTGCCCTGGCCAGAACTTCCAACACTATGTTGAATAGGAGCGGTGAGAGAGGGCATCCCTGTCTTGTGCCAGTTTTCAAAGGGAATGCTTCCAGTTTTTGCCCATTCAGTATGATATTGGCTGTGGGTTTGTCATAGATAGCTCTTATTATTTTGAAATACGTCCCATCAATACCTAATTTATTGAGAGTTTTTAGCATGAAGGGTTGTTGAATTTTGTCAAAGGCTTTTTCTGCATCTATTGAGATAATCATGTGGTTTTTGTCTTTGGCTCTGTTTATATGCTGGATTACATTTATTGATTTGCGTATATTGAACCAGCCTTGCATCCCAGGGATGAAGCCCACTTGATCATGGTGGATAAGCTTTTTGATGTGCTGCTGGATTCGGTTTGCCAGTATTTTATTGAGGATTTTTGCATCAATGTTCATCAAGGATATTGGTCTAAAATTCTCTTTTTTGGTTGTGTCTCTGCCCGGCTTTGGTATCAGAATGATGCTGGCCTCATAAAATGAGTTAGGGAGGATTCCCTCTTTTTCTATTGATTGGAATAGTTTCAGAAGGAATGGTACCAGTTCCTCCTTGTACCTCTGGTAGAATTCGGCTGTGAATCCATCTGGTCCTGGACTCTTTTTGGTTGGTAAACTATTGATTATTGCCACAATTTCAGAGCCTGTTATTGGTCTACTCAGAGATTCAACTTCTTCCTGGTTTAGTCTTGGGAGAGTGTATGTGTCGAGGAATGTATCCATTTCTTCTAGATTTTCTAGTTTATTTGCGTAGAGGTGTTTGTAGTATTCTCTGATGGTAGTTTGTATTTCTGTGGGATCGGTGGTGATATCCCCTTTATCATTTTTTATTGTGTCTATTTGATTCTTCTCTCTTTTTTTCTTTATTAGTCTTGCTAGCAGTCTATCAATTTTGTTGATCCTTTCAAAAAACCAGCTCCTGGATTCATTGATTTTTTGAAGGGTTTTTTGTGTCTCTATTTCCTTCAGTTCTGCTCTGATTTTAGTTATTTCTTGCCTTCTGCTAGCTTTTGAATGTGTTTGCTCTTGCTTTTCTAGTTCTTTTAATTGTGATGTTAGGGTGTCAATTTTGGATCTTTCCTGCTTTCTCTTGTAGGCATTTAGTGCTATAAATTTCCCTCTACACACTGCTTTGAATGCATCCCAGAGATTCTGGTATGTGGTGTCTTTGTTCTCGTTGGTTTCAAAGAACATCTTTATTTCTGCCTTCATTTCGTTCTGTACCCAGTAGTCATTCAGGAGCAGGTTGTTCAGTTTCCATGTAGTTGAGCGGCTTTGAGTGAGATTCTTAATCCTGAGTTCTAGTTTGATTGCACTGTGGTCTGAGAGATAGTTTGTTATAATTTCTGTTCTTTTACATTTGCTGAGGAGAGCTTTACTTCCAAGTATGTGGTCGATTTTGGAATAGGTGTGGTGTGGTGCTGAAAAAAATGTATATTCTGTTGATTTGGGGTGGAGAGTTCTGTAGATGTCTATTAGGTCTGCTTGGTGCAGAGCTGAGTTCAATTCCTGGGTATCCTTGTTGACTTTCTGTCTTGTTGATCTGTCTAATGTTGACAGTGGGGTGTTAAAGTCTCCCATTATTAATGTGTGGGAGTCTAAGTCTCTTTGTAGGTCACTCAGGACTTGCTTTATGAATCTGGGTGCTCCTGTATTGGGTGCATAAATATTTAGGATAGTTAGCTCCTCTTGTTGAATTGATCCCTTTACCATGATGTAATGGCCTTCTTTGTCTCTTTTGATCTTTGTTGGTTTAAAGTCTGTTTTATCAGAGACTAGGATTGCAACCCCTGCCTTTTTTTGTTTTCCATTGGCTTGGTAGATCTTCCTCCATCCTTTTATTTTGAGCCTATGTGTGTCTCTGCACATGAGATGGGTTTCCTGAATACAGCACACTGATGGGTCTTGACTCTTTATCCAACTTGCCAGTCTGTGTCTTTTAATTGCAGAATTTAGTCCATTTATATTTAAAGTTAATATTGTTATGTGTGAATTTGATCCTGTCATTATGATGTTAGCTGGTGATTTTGCTCATTAGTTGATGCAGTTTCTTCCTAGTCTCGATGGTCTTTACATTTTGGCATGATTTTGCAGCAGCTGGTACCGGTTGTTCCTTTCCATGTTTAGTGCTTCCTTCAGGAGCTCTTTTAGGGCAGGCCTGGTGGTGACAAAATCTCTCAGCATTTGCTTTTCTATAAAGTATTTTATTTCTCCTTCACTTATGAAGCTTAGTTTGGCTGGATATGAAATTCTGGGTTGAAAATTCTTTTCTTTAAGAATGTTGAATATTGGCCCCCACTCTCTTCTGGCTTGTAGGGTTTCTGCCGAGAGATCCGCTGTTAGTCTGATGGGCTTTCCTTTGAGGGTAACCCGACCTTTCTCTCTGGCTGCCCTTAACATTTTTTCCTTCATTTCAACTTTGGTGAATCTGACAATTATGTGTCTTGGAGTTGCTCTTCTCGAGGAGTATCTTTGTGGCGTTCTCTGTATTTCCTGAATCTGAACGTTGGCCTGCCTTGCTAGATTGGGGAAGTTCTCCTGGATAATATCCTGCAGAGTGTTTTCCAACTTGGTTCCATTCTCCACATCACTTTCAGGTACACCAATCAGACGTAGATTTGGTCTTTTCACATAGTCCCATATTTCTTGGAGGCTTTGCTCATTTCTTTTTATTCTTTTTTCTCTAAACTTCCCTTCTCGCTTCATTTCATTCATTTCATCTTCCATTGCTGATACCCTTTCTTCCAGTTGATCGCATCGGCTCCTGAGGCTTCTGCATTCTTCACGTAGTTCTCGAGCCTTGGTTTTCAGCTCCATCAGCTCCTTTAAGCACTTCTCTGTATTGGTTATTCTAGTTATACATTCTTCTAAATTTTTTTCAAAGTTTTCAACTTCTTTGCCTTTGGTTTGAATGTCCTCCCGTAGCTCAGAGTAATTTGATCGTCTGAAGCCTTCTTCTCTCAGCTCGTCAAAATCATTCTCCATCCAGCTTTGTTCTGTTGCTGGTGAGGAACTGCGTTCCTTTGGAGGAGGAGAGGTGCTCTGCGTTTTAGAGTTTCCAGTTTTTCTGTTCTGTTTTTTCCCCATCTTTGTGGTTTTATCTACTTTTGGTCTTTGATGATGGTGATGTACAGATGGGTTTTCGGTGTAGATGTCCTTTCTGGTTGTTAGTTTTCCTTCTAACAGACAGGACCCTCAGATGCAGGTCTGTTGGAATACCCTGCTGTGTGAGGTGTCAGTGTGCCCCTGCTGGGGGGTGCCTCCCAGTTAGGCTGCTCGGGGGTCAGGGGTCAGGGACCCACTTGAGGAGGCAGTCTGCCCGTTCTCAGTTCTCCAGCTGCGTGCTGGGAGAACCACTGCTCTCTTCAAAGCTGTCAGACAGGGACACTTAAGTCTGCAGAGGTTACTGCTGTCTTTTTGTTTGTCTGTGCCCTGCCCCCAGAGGTGGAGCCTACAGAGGCAGGCAGGCCTCCTTGAGCTGTGGTGGGCTCCACCCAGTTCGAGCTTCCTGGCTGCTTTGTTTACCTAAGCAAGCCTGGGCAATGGCGGGCGCCCCTCCCCCAGCCTCGTTGCTGCCTTGCAGTTTGGTCTCAGACTGCTGTGCTAGCAATCAGCGAGATTCCGTGGGCGTAGGACCCTCCGAGCCAGGTGTGGGATATAGTCTCATGGTGCGCCGTTTCTTAAGCCGGTCTGAAAAGCGCAATATTCGGGTGGGAGTGACCCGATTTTCCAGGTGCGTCCGTCACCCCTTTCTTTGACTCAGAAAGGGAACTCCCTGACCCCTTGCGCTTCCCAGGTGAGGCAATGCCTCGCCCTGCTTCGGCTCGCGCACGGTGCGCACACACACTGGCCTGCGCCCACTGTCTGGCACTCCCTAGTGAGATGAACCCGGTACCTCAGATGGAAATGCAGAAATCACCCGTCTTCTGCGTCGCTCACGCTGGGAGCTGTAGACCAGAGCTGTTCCTATTCGGCCATCTTGGCTCCTCCCAAAGTCTCACTTCTTAATAACATACCAATGGGGATTAAGTTTCCAATGCATGGTTTTGGAAGGACACATTCAAACCGTAGCACAACATATTAATTATGAGATACAACTCGAGCACTGCTTAACAGCTTTAAATGTCTACATTAGGAAAAATAAAAAAATCAATAACCTGCCACTGTGAAAATAGTTTGTCAGTTGCTAAAAAAAGTAAACAGAATTAGCATATGACTTATCAGTTTCAATCATAGGTATATGCTCAAGAAAATTAAAAACATACCTTTACACAAAAACTTGAACATGAGTGTTCATAGCAGCATTTTTCGCAATAGTAGAAAGGAGAAAGAAAATAATAAAGATTAGTGTGAAAATCAATAAAGCAGAAAACAGAAAAACAGTAGAATAAATCAGTGATACCAATAATTTTTTAATGATCAAAAAACATGAGAATCCTTTTGCTAGAGAGACCATGACAAAAATAAAGAAGACACAAATTATCAAATTTTTAAATATTAAATGGAAGAGGAGGTCAGGCATGGTGGCTCATGCTTGTAGTCCCAGCTACTCAGGAAGCAGAGGCAGGAGGATCATTTAAGCCCAGGAGTTCAAGACCAGCCTGGGCAACATAGCAAGACCCTATCATTATTTTTTTTAAAAAAATTAAAAAATGAAAAAGAAGACAGGACTACACAACTGAAAAATTTTAAAAGAATTGTAAGAGAAGGTTATGAAAACTATATTTCAACAACTTAAGACAACTTTGATGAACTGTATTTCCTTAAAGAAAAAATTTATAGAGTGGGAGGAGCTGAGATGGCCGAATAGGAACAGCTCCAGTCTACAGCTCCCAGCATGAGCAACGCAGAAGATGGGTGATTTCTGCATTTCCATCTGAGCTTTGAAGAGAGCACTGGTTCTCCCATCACGCAGCTGGAGATCTGAGAACGGGCAGACTGCCTCCTCAAGTGGGTCCCTGACCCCTGACCCCCGAGCAGCCTAACTGGGAGGCACCCCCCAGCAGGGGCACACTGACACCTCACACGGCCGGGTACTCCAACAGACCTGCAGCTGAGGGTCCTGTCTGTTAGAAGGAAAACTAACAAACAGAAAGGACATCCACACCAAAAACTCATCTGTACATCACCATCATCAAAGACCAAAAGTAGATAAAACCACAAAGATAGGGAAAAAACAGAGCAGAAAAACTGGAAACTCTAAAAAGCAGAGCACCTCTCCTCCTCCAAAGGAACGCAGTTCCTCACCAGCAACGGAACAAAGCTGGATGGAGAATGACTTTGACGAGCTGAGAGAAGAAGGCTTCAGACGATCAAATTACTCCGAGCTACGGGAGGAAACTCAAACCAAAGGCAAAGAAGTTGAAAACTTTGAAAAAAGTTTAGAAGAATGTATAACTAGAATAACCAATACAGAGAAGTGCTTAAAGGAGCTGATGGAGCTGAAAACCAAGGCTCGAGAACTACGTGAAGAATGCAGAAGCCTCAGGAGCCCATGCGATCAACTGGAAGAAAGGGTATCAGCGATGGAAGATGAAATGAATGAAATGAAGTGAGAAGGGAAGTTTAGAGAAAAAAGAATAAAAAGAAACGAGCAAAGCCTCCAAGAAATATGGGACTATGTGAAAAGACCAAATCTACGTCTGATTGGTGTACCTGAAAGTGACGGGGAGAATGGAACAAGTTGGAAAACACTCTGCAGGATATTATCCAGGAGAACTTCCTCAATCTCACAAGGCAGGCCAACACTCAGATTCAGGAAATACAGAGAACGCCACAAAGATACTCCTCGAGAAGAGCAACTCCAAGACACATAATTCACCAAAGTTGAAATGAAGGAAAAAATGTTAAGGGCAGCCAGAGAGAAAGGTTGGGTTACCCACAAAGGGAAGCCCATCAGACTAACAGCAGATCTCTCGGCAGAAACTCTACAAGCCAGAAGAGAGTGGGGGCCAATATTCAACATTCTTAAAGAAAAGAATTTTCCACCCAGAATTTCATATCCAGCCAAACTAAGCTTCATAAGTGAAGGAGAAATAAAATACTTTACAGACAAGCAAATGCTGAGAGATTTGGTCACCACCAGGCCTGCCCTAAAAGAGCTCCTGAAGGAAGCACTAAACATGGAAAGGAACAACCGGTACCAGCTGCTGCAAAATCATGCCAAAATGTAAAGACCATCGAGACTAGGAAGAAACTGCATCAACTAACGAGCAAAATAACCAGCTAACATCATAATGACAGGATCAAATTCATACATAACAATATTAACTTTAAATGTAAATGGACTAAATGCTCCAATTAAAAGACACGGACTGGCAAATTGGATAAGGAGTCAAGACCCATCAGTGTGCTGTATTCAGGAAACCCATCTCACATGCAGAGACACACATAGGCTCAAAATAAAAGGATGGAGGAAGATCTACCAAGCAAATGGACAACAAAAAAAGGCAGGGGTTGCAATCCTAGTCTCTGATGAAACAGACTTTAAACCAACAAAGATCAAAAGAGACAAAGAAGGCCATTACATCATGGTAAAGGGATCAATTCAACAAGAAGAGCTAACTATCCTAAATATATATGCACCCAATACAGGAGCACACAGATTCATAAAGCAAGTCCTGAGTGACCTACAAAAAGACTTAGACTCCCACACATTAATAATGGGAGACTTTAACACCCCACTGTCAACATTAGACAGATCAATGAGACAGAGAGTCAACAAGGATACCCAGGAATTGAACTCAGCTCTGCACCAAGCAGACCTAATAGACATCTACAGAACTCTCCACCCCAAATCAACAGAATATACATTTTTTTCAGCACCACACCACACCTATTCCAAAATTGACCACATACTTGGAAGTAAAGCTCTCCTCCGCAAATGTAAAAGAACAGAAATTATAAAAAACTATATCTCAGACCACAGTGCAATCAAACTAGGACTCAGGATTAAGAATCTCACTCAAAGCCGCTCAACTACATGGAAACTGAACAACCTGCTCCTGAATGACTACTGGGTACATAACGAAATGAAGGCAGAAATAAAGATGTTCTTTGAAACCAACAAGAACAAAGACACAACATACCAGAATCTCTGGGACACATTCAAAGCAGTGTGTAGAGGGAAATTTACAGCACTAAATGCCCACAAGAGTAAGCAGGAAAGATCCAAAATTGACACCCTAACATCACAATTAAAAGAACTAGAAAAGCAAGAGCAAACACATTCAAAAGCTAGCAGAAGGCAAGAAATAAGTAAAATCAGAGCAGAACTGAAGGAAATAGAGACACAAAAAACCCTTCAAAAAATTAATGAATCCAGGAGCTGGTTTTTTGAAAGGATCAACAAAATTGATAGACCACTAGCAAGACTAATAAAGAAAAAAAGAGAGAAGAATCAAATAGATGCAATGAAAAATGATAAAGGGGATATCACCACTGATCTCACAGAAATACAAACTACCATCAGAGAATACTACAAACACCTCTATGCAAATAAACTAGAAAATCTAGAAGAAATGGATAAATTCCTTGACACATACACTCTCCCAAGACTAAACCAGGAAGAAGTTGACTCTCTGAATAGACCAATAACGGGAGCTGAAAATGTGGCAATAATCAATAGCTTACCAACCAAAAAGAGTCCAGGACCATATGGATTCACAGCTGAATTCTACCAGAGGTACAAGGAGGAACTGGTATCATTCCTTCTGAAACTATTCCAATCAATAGAAAAAGAGGGAATCCTCCCTAACTCATTTTATGAGGCCAGCATCACCCTGATACCAAAGCCGGGCAGAGACACAACCAAAAAAGAGAATTTTAGACCAATATCCTTGATGAACATTGATGCAAAAATCCTCAAGAAAATACTGGCAAACCAAATCCAGCAGCACATCAAAAAGTTTATCCACCATGATCAAGTGGGCTTCATCCCTGGGATGCAAGGCTGGTTCAATATACGCAAATCAATACATGTAATCCAGCATATAAACAGAACCAAAGACAAAAACCACATGATTATCTCAATAGATGCAGAAAAGGCCTTTGACAAAATTCAGCAACCCTTCATGCTAAAAACTCTCAATAAATTAGGTATTGATGGGACGTATCTCAAAATAATAAGAGCTATCTATGACAAACCCACAGCCAATATCATACTGAATGGGCAAGAACTGGAAGCATTCCCTTTGAAAACTGGCACAACACAGGGATGCCCTCTCTCACCACTCCTATTCAACATAGTGTTGGAAGTTCTGGCCAGGGCAATTAGGCAGGAGAAGGAAATAAAGGGTATTCAATTAGGAAAAGAGGAAGTCAAGTTGTCCCTGTTTGCAGACGACATCATTGTATATCTAGAAAACCCCATTGTCTCAGCCCAAAATCTCCTTAAGCTGATAAGCAACTTCAGCAAAGTCTCAGGATACAAAATCAATGTACAAATATCACAAGCATTCTTATACACCAACAACAGACAAACAGAGAGCCAAATCATGAGTGAACTCCCATTCACAATTGCTTCAGAGAATAAAATACCTAGGAATCCAACTTACAAGGGATGTGAAGGACCTCTTCTAGGAGAACTACAAACCACTGCTCAAGGAAATAAAAGAGGATACAAACAAATGGAAGAACATTCCATGCTCATGGGTAGGAAGAATCAATATTGTGAAAATGGCCATACTGTCCAAGGTAATTTACAGATTCAATGCCATCCCCATCAAGCTACCAATGACTTTCTTCACAGAATTGGAAAAAACTACTTTAAAGTTCATATGGAACCAAAAAAGAGCCCACATCGCCAAGTCAATCCTAAGCCAAAAGAACAAAGCTGGAGGCATCACACTACCTGACTTCAAACTATACTACAAGGCCACAGTAACCAAAACAGCATGGTACTGGTACCAAAACAGAGTTATAGATCAATGGAACAGAACAGACCCCTCAGAAATAACACCGCATATCTACAACTATGTGATCTTTGACAAACCTGAGAAAAACAAGCAATGGGGAAAGGATTCCCTATTTAATAAATGGTGCTGGGAAACTGGCTAGCCATATGTAGAAAGCTGAAACTGGATCCCTTCCTCACACCTTACACAAAAATCAATTCAAGCTGGATTAAAGACTTCAACGTTAGACCTAAAACCATAAAAACCCTAGAAGAAAACCTAGGCATTACCATTCAGGACATAGGCATGGGCAAGGACTTCATGTCTAAAACACCAAAAGCAATTGCAACAAAAGACAAAATTGACAAATGGGATCTAATTAAACTAAGGAACTTCTGCACAGCAAAAGAAACTACCATCAGAGTGAACAGGCAACCTACAGAATGGGAGAAAATTTTTGCAACCTACTCATCTGACAAAGGGCTAATATCCAGAATCTACAATGAACTCAAACAAATTTACAAGAAAAAAACAAACAACCCCATCAAAAAGTGGGCAAAGGACAGGAACAGACACTTCTCAAAAGAAGACATTTATGCAGCCAAAAAACACATGAAAAAATGCTCACCATCACTGGCCATCAGAGAAATGCAAATCAAAACCACAATGAGATACCATCTCACACCAGTTAGAATGGCAATCATTAAAATGTCAGGAAACAACAGGTGCTGGAGAGGATGTGGAGAAATAGGAACACTTTTACACTGTTGGTGGGACTGTAAACTAGTTCAACCATTGTGGAAGTCAGTGTGGCGATTCCTCAGGGATCTAGAACTAGAAATACCATTTGACCCAGCCATCCCATTACTGGGTATATACCCAAAGGACTATAAATCATGCTGCTATAAAGACACATGCACACGTATGTTTATTGCGGCACTATTCACAATAGCAAAGACTTGGAACCAATCCAAATGTCCAACAATGATAGACTGGTTTAAGAAAATGTGGCACATATACACCATGGAATACTATGCAGCCATAAAAAAGGATGAGTTCATGTCCTTTGTAGGGACATGGATGAAATTGGAAATCATCATTCTCAGTAAACTATCCCAAGAACAAAAACCAAGCACCGCATATTCTCACTCATAGGTGGGAATTGAACAATGAGAACACATGGACACAGGAAGGGGAACATCACACTCTGGGGACTGTTGTGGGGTGGGGGCAGGGGGGAAGGATAGCATTGGGAGATATACCTAATGCTAGATGACGAGTTAGTGGGTGCAGCGCACCAGCATGGCACATGTATACATATGTAACTAACCTGCACATTGTGCACATGTACCCTAAAACTTAAAGTATAATAATAATCATAAAAAAAAGAAAAAATTTATAAAAACTACCTCAAGAACAAGCCTGAATAGATCTCTAATAATGAGATTGAATTATTAATTACAAATCTTCTTACAAAGAAAAGCCCAGAGCTCAATGGCTTGATCCAAAAAAGATATTCTATGTAATCCTTAAAGGAGATATAACACTAATCCTTCATAAACAGTTTTTAAAAATAGAGAAGGCAATCCTTATTTTATAGTCAGTATTACCCTGATACCAAAAGCCAGCCACATAATTCATTTAAAAAGCTAGAGATCAATATTCTTCATGAATATAGACATCAGAACTCATCCTCAACAAAATATTAGCAACAAATCAGTTCAGCAATATATAAAAAGGATTAGATACACCATGACCAAGTAGGATTTATCTCTACGATGCATGGTTGGTTTAACATCTGAAAATCAATAAATCTAATACACTGTATTAATAAAATAAAGGACAAAAATCATTCAATCATGACAATAGATGCAGAAAAAGCATTTAACAAAATGTAATACTCATCTATGATTTAAATTCAACAAATTAGTAATAAAAGGGAAATTTCTCAACCTTAGGGAAGCTGTGAAAAGCATACACCTAAAATCATATTTAATGGTGAATAATAGAATGCTTTTCTTGTAAGATAAGGAACAAGGCAAGGGCATCTGCTGATGCCACTTCTAGTGTATACTACACTCAGTGTTCTAGTCGGTTCAACCTAGCTGGAAAAAAAAAATGCATTCAGATTCTAAAAGGAAAAGAATCTATTAGCAAATGACATGATCCTCTTTATAGAAAATCCAAAGAAATCCCTACCAAAACCAAAACAAAACAACCACAACAGTAATAACAGCAAAAAAACACTAGTAATCATAATCATGTCACTTAACAATGGGAATGCGTTCTGAGAAATGCATTTTTGGGCAGTATCATTCTTATGAGAACATCTTGGAGTGCACTTACGCAAACCTAGTTGGAATAGCCTACTATAGACCTAGGCTATAGCCTATTATTCCTAGGCTACAAACCTATACAGCATGTCACTATACTGATACTATGGGCAACTGTAATAATCATGTTTGCGTATCTAAGCACATCAAAACATAGAAAAGATATAGTAAAACTATAGTATAAGAGATGAAAAATGGTATATCTGTATAGGGCTCTTAACCATGAATATAGCTTGCAAGACTGAAGTTACTCTGGGTGAGTCACTGAATGAGTGGTAAGTGAATGTGAAGGCCTAGGACATCACTGTACACTACTGAAGACTTCTGTATACTTACGCTACACCAAATTTATACAAAAATGTTTTTCTTTCTTCAATGATAAATTAACAGTAGTTTACTGCTAATTTCACTTTATAACCTTTAAACTTTGACTCTTTTATAATAACACTTAGCTTAATATACAAACATTTTACAGCTCAAAAATATTTTCTTTATATTCTTATTCTATAAGGTTTTTTCTTTAACTTTTTATCTTTTATTTTTACTTCTTAAACTTTTTTTGTTAAAAAGTAAGACACAAACACATTAGCCTAGGCCTCCTCAGGGTCAGAATTGCTGTCTTCCTCCTCCACATCTTGTCCCACTGGAAGGTCTTCCGGGACAGTAACACACATGGAGCCATCATGTCTTGTAATAATGCCTTCTTCTGGTGTACCTCCTGAAGGACCTGCCTGAGGCTACTTGACAATTAACTATTTTTTTTTTTTTTTGAGACAGCATCTCACTCTGTTGCCCGTGCTCAAGTAAAGTGGCACAATCTTGGCTCACTGCAACCTACATCTTTCAGGTTCAAACAATTCTCCCACCTCAGCCTCCCCTAGGACTACAGACACATGTCACCACACCCAGTTAACTTTTGTATGTTTTGGTAGAGATGGGGTTTCACCATGTTGTCAAGGCTGGTCTTGAACTCCTGACTTCAAGTGATCCGCCCTCCTCGGCCTCCCAAAGTACTGAGATACAGGCGTGAGCCACCGCACCTGGCTGTAACATTGTTTTATAAGTAGAGGGAATATACTTTAAAATAATGATAAAAGTATAATGTAGTAAATATATAAACCAGTATCAGTGATTTATTATAATTTTTAAAAATTATGTACTGTATGTATTATACGTGTTATACTTTTAGGCAACTGGCAGCACAATAGGTTCCTCTACACCAGCATCACTACAAACATGTGAGTAATGTGTTACACTATGCCATTATGATGGCTACGAAGTCACTAGGCAATAGAATCTTTTCAGCTCATATTCTGAGACCATCCTCCTATATACGGTCTGTCCTTGACTGAAACATTATGTGGCATATGACTGTACTAATAAACAAGTTCAGCAAGATGTAAGAATCCAAGAGTAATATCAAAAAGGAAAATGAATTATACTTCCATAGATAGTCCCCAACATACTACTGCTCAACTTATGTTTCAACTTTACAATTATGTGCAAATGATATGCATTTAGTAGAAACTGTACTTGAAATTATGAATTCTGATCATTTCCTGGGCTAGCAATATGTGGTACAATACTCTTAGATAAGATATTCAGCACTTTATTATACAATTGGCTTTGTGTTAGATGATTTTGCCCAACTGTAGGCTAATGTAAGTGTTCCAAACATATTTAGGCCAAGCTAGGCTATTCTGCATTGTTCAGTAGGTTACATTTATTAAATGCATTTTTGACTTGTGATTTTTCTTAACTTACAATGGTTTATTGGTATGTAACACCGTCATAAGTTGTGGTACGTAGAACCACTATAAGTGAAGGAATGAACAATCTAAAAATTAACTCAGGTAAAAATTTCACTCACAAGAACACTGAAAAGAATAAACTACTTATGAATAAAATTTAACAAAAAATGTAAAAATGTTTTATACAGTTGCTGAAAGAAATTAAACAAGACTTAAATAATTGGGAGACATTTTATGTTCATGGATTGGAAGACATTATAAAGATACAATTTTTCCCAAATTGATCTGTAGATTCAGTATAATTTCTATCCAAATCCCAGTAGATTTTCCTTTGCAGAAATTTTCAGGTTGACCCTAAAATTTATGTGGAAATGCAAAGGTTCCAGAATAGCCAAATTGATTTTGAGGAAAAAATGTTAGAGGGTATGAACTTTCTAATTTCAATACTTGCTATCAAGCTACAATAATCAAAACAGATGATGCTGGCATAGAGATAAACATATGGATCAATGGAACAGAATATTTATGGTCAATTGATCTTATGCAAAATGTACCAAGGCAATTTAATGGGGGAAAGGATAGTCTTTTCAACAAATACCGTTTGCCATTGTGATATCCATAACTATAAATTAAGAGCCTTATTTCATGTTATATAAATTAACTCCAAGTAAAAAGTAAACCGAAATGTAGGAGCAAAAACCATACATCTTGTACAAGAAAACATAAAAGAATATCTTCATGATCTTGGGTCATAGAGTTCTGAAGTAGTATACCAAAAGCTTAATCCATAAAAGAAAAACTCAGAACTCATCAAAATAATAACTTTTTATTTCAAAATACACCATTAAGGAAAATGAGAAGATAAGCCACAGAATGAATGAAAATAGTTGCAAATCATTATATGTGACAGAGGACTTCTATCCAAAATATATAAAGAACATGTATAACTCAATGTGAACACAAAACTTCCAATTTAGAAATGGGTAAAAGATCTAATATGCATCTCACTAAAGAAGATAATCAAATGGCTAAAATGCACATGAAAAGATACTTAGCAATATTTGCCATTAGGGGACTGTGAATTAAAACAATGAAATTAATACCACTTCATATCCACTATGATGACTATAATCAGAATGACAGACAATAACAAAGATTGATAAGAATCTGGAGAAGGTGCAACTCTCATTTATTGCTGGTAAGGATGTTAAATGGTGCAGCCACTTTGTAAAAGAGACTGGCAATTTCTTAAAAGGTTAAACATAAATTTACTATGCAATTCAAGCAGTGGTATTCCAAGGAATATACTGAAGAGAAACAAAGTATGTAAACAGAAAAACATATATAACTGTTTATAACAGCATTATTCATAACAGCCTAAATGTATAAAATAGTCAATTACTTGGAAATGGATAAACAAAATAGGATATATCCATACATTGGAACTCAGCCATAAGAACAAATGTTACTGGAATATGCTACTACCTGAATGAACTTTAAAAACATCATACAAAGTGAAAGATATCAAATGCTAAATACTATTTGTATAATTCCATTTACATAAAATTTTCAGAAAAGTCAAATCTATAGAGACAGAAAATAGAACAGTGGTTGTCTGAAGCAGGAATGTAAATAGAGATTGTCTGCAAATGTGCCTGAGGAATTTGTGGATGGGGAAGGCGGATGATGAGAAATTTCTAATACCAGTTGTGGTGATGATCGCACAATTCTAAAATAGTAAAAGTCATCGAATTATAACAGTTATATATATATAACAGTTGGATTTTACACTAAATAAAACTGTTAAAAAAGGAAAGAGTGGACTAAAGGTAACCTGATCTTTTCCCAGCCTTTTGCTTTAGTGTTTATTTGGGAACCAGGAGATCCCTGACTTTGTACAGTTACCCTTTTTAAAATGTCTATATATGAGCACATCAAAGAAGAGATAATTAAGCACAGTATTAACAAGAAAAAGAACAGAGACGGTACCAATCTTTCCCCACTTTTTTTTTTTTTGGCTTAAATATGAATGGCTGCCTGTAGCTACAGCAGCCATCTTGCAACGTTGAGGCAACAAACATGAAACTTAAACAAGCAGCCAACAAATAGAAGATGCTGGAGTCAAAAAATAGCATGGAGCTGTGTCATAGACAACCCCGAACATGATCTTACCTCCAGTTTTGCTATTTAAGAGAATAAATCAATCTTCGAATCCCATTTTTTTTTTTTTTTTTTTTTTTGAGAAAGAGTCTCACTCTGTCACCCAGGCTGGAGTGCAGTGGCATGATCCCAGCTCACTGCAACCTCCGCCTCCTGGGTTCAAGCAATTCTCCTGCCTCAGCCTCCTGAGTAGCAGAGATTACAGGTGTCCACCACCATGCATGGCTAATTTTTGTATTTTCAGTAAATATGGGGTTTCACCATTTTGGCCAGGTTGGTCTCAAACTCCCAAATTCAAGAGATCCTCCCACCTCTGCCTCACAAAGTGCTGGGATTACAGGTATGAGCCACTGTGCCTGACCACCCCTAACCTCCACTTTTTGTGAGAATTTCTACTGCTTGCATCACAAGCAGTGAAGGCATCAATGATATAGGCATTGACATGGACATAGATGGTGTCATATAATTCTGCTTGTTCATATTGAGGGTATAGAAACGTTGCAAAGCCTAATACTGCTTCTTCTTAGTATCACTTGCCACAGCCTAGGTTTTCAGACTAGCCAAAGGCCTCAAGTCTGAATAAGGGGAATGTATTCATAGCATTGGGCCAAATGAGCACTTGTTCAGCCCCGAGGGTTGAGAGCAGAACAAAGGCTCAGATTCCATCAAATCAGGTTCTATTTGTCAGGGTTCTTCAGAGAAACAGATTATATACATCTAAACAGATTTTATGTAAAATAATTTCAGGGAGGATAAAGTTGGTTTTTACATTGGTCATATTTTACATAAAATCTCTCTGTATGTATAATATGCTTATATAATCTCTATATGTATATAATATATATTATATATTATATGACAGTATATATTATATATAATACATGTGACTATATATTATATAGTATATATGTATATTTTATAGATGTATATGTGTGTGTGTGTGTGTGTGTATACAGAGAGAGAGAGAGAGACATGGATTAAGGAATTGGCTCATTAAATTTTGGAGGACTAGCAAGTCCAAAATCTGTAGAGTATACTGGCAAGCTAAAGGCTCAGGGGAGAGTTGAAGTTTGAGTCCAAAGGTGGTCTGCTGGCTAAATTCCTTCTCCTTTTCTTCCAGAGAGGTCAGTCTTTTTCTTCTAAGAATTCAACTGACTGAATAAGACCCTCCCACATTATGAGGGTAGTCTATTTCTCTCAAAGTACACTGACTCCAATATTAACCTTATCTACAAAAATACCTTCATAGAAACATTTGGAGGAACTTTTGACCAAATATGTAGGTACTGTGACATAGACAAGTTGACATATAAAAATGAACCATCACACAGAAGCACAGGGAAAATCCCAAAGCTGCAATCATCAGGTAAGTGTTTTTTGTTTTGTTTTGTTTGTTTTTCTGACAGGGAGTCTTGCTCTGTGACCCAGCGGGAGTGCAGTGGCGTGATCTCAGCTCACTGCAACCTCTGCCTCCCAGGTTCCAGTAATTATCCTGCCTCAGCCTCCCGAGTAGCTGGGATTACAGACGTGCGCCACCATGTCTGGCTGATTTTTGTATTTTTAGTAGAGGCAGGATTTCACCATGTTGGCCAGGCTGGTCTCAATCTCCTGACCTCATGATCCACCCACATAGGCAACCCAAAATGCTGGGATTACAGGCATGAGCCACTGCACCCGGCCAGTAAGTGTTTATTAGAATATCATCTGTGGACATGAATTCAGGACAGATATGACAACAAGAACTAAGTATACAAAAATCAAAGCAAAGAGACAAACACAGGCCTAAGATAAACAAAAGGGGTAATTGGACAATAAAGGTTAGGTAAACAGAAAAGTGTAAGGAACCAAGATGGGTGAAAACAGATTAGAAATGGAATATACAAAAGTATCAAAAGGCATTTAAAAAGAACGAGTTAAACTATACCAAAACCAGGCAGGAACACAGAAAGCAAGAAAGACAAAATTAAATATTTCAAGCAAAAAAGTATTGCCTCTTAAATATTTCAGCCTGTGATCCTTTTTGTGTGTCCCCAGTGTCTAACTGTAATGATATTTTGTACTACTAATAATGAATTTTGTTTGTATATAAAAATGATTCTGTTGAACACCTGCACTAGGCCATATACTTTATGTTGGGCTTTGCCTATTAATAAGAATATATTTCATTGAATTTTCTAGGATCTCTTGCTAGTTCCTTTTTTTGGTTTTTTTTTTTTTTTTTTTTTTTTTTTGAGACCGAGTCTTGCTGTGTCGCCCAGGCTGGAGTGCACTGGCACTATCTCGGCTCACTGCAACCTCCGCCTCCCGGGTTCAAGCGATTCTCCTGCCTCAGCTTCCTGAGTAGCTGGGATTACAGGCACCTGTCACCAAGACTGGCCAATATTTTGTATTTTTTTTTTTTTTTTTTAGTAGAGATGAGGTTTCACCATGTTGACCAGGCTGGTCTCAAACTCCTAACCTAAGGTGATCCGCCCACCTTGGCCTCCCAAAGTGCTAGGATTACAGGTGTGAGCCACCACATCCAGCTGCTAGTTCCTATTAAAAACAATGGAAAACACTGGTAAAATATTTGCCCTGGTAGCTGTGCAAAGTATGGCTGTAAAACTGAAGCACTCCATTTAGTTTGTGTGGGAACTGAATCTATAAACTATCAACAAACAAGTTGATTTAACCTGCTGTCTTAAGTGCTGAAGACTCTGGTTTTGAGTCAAGACATTTTTAACATCTATGTTATAAAGAGAGCTATATCCGCAGATGCACCTCAATTATAACCCAAAATTCTTAATATGACCGATGTGAAAACAAATTTTATCCTGCCTGAAATTTTTTTAGATAAATGTAAAAAGTGTCTTAAATATTCAATAGTATATTAAATTTCAGAAACGAAATCTACTGAAGTGATATTAAAATTTTAAAAGTGATTTTTAAATAGATTAGATAAAGTCATTTACATTTGAAGATACACTATAAAATTTCCCCAATAGCCATTCAAATTTCAGGTCAGAATTTAAAAATACAACAGATTTTTTTAATGCAATGATGGTTACCATACAGTGACTACAACCCAGCTTTTATATACATTTTGCACAAAATTATTATTATTGCTTCACTATGTGTACAAAAAGATTAGTTACAGTTACTAAGGGAAACGTAACTTGGAATTTTTTGACTTACACTTAAATTTTTTGACTTAAAGTTAGAAAGCTTGCCCTTAACGTTCTATTAATATAAGGTTTTGCAATTAACTTCCTTAGCAAAAAAATAAACAAAAGTAAAAATAAAGCTCTGCAAACATTTTTAAACTCATAATTCACTCGTAATGGGTTTTCTCTGAATGTATGGTTTGAAATTCAGTGAGCAAAATTTTAAATATCTTATTATGTATCCTTTTATGAATTTGTACTCATTATAATAAATGCAGCTGTTAGACTTTTCCCTTTCCTAAAATTTGTCACCTGAAATAAAAATCAATTTCATGATTTAAAGGGCCAGACGTTTTAGTATAAAAGTCCTGAAAGAAGCCATATGAATCCACGGGAAATAGTGATGAGGTATTGTTCAGGCACAAGGCCTTCAAGGTCCTCCCATTCACTTCTTAATTTTGATTCAGGGCAGGAAGAAATCTTTCTCGCTCTTATTTTTTCAGAACTGCATCTGTTGCTTCTTCAAGACATTTACCATTTTGTACTTTATATTAGATGCTTCTAGAGTTCAGAATTCTATCACTTTGTACTTTTTATTGGATGCTTCTATAGTTCAGAACTCAACTTTGGGATCCTGTAATACCTACACAAGTGATTTGAGTACATGCTCAGTCATATTTGTTGAAACCAAATAAGAATTTTGCTATATTCTGCTTCCAAACTCTGTGTTCTTTACAAATCTGCCACTCTTACCAATTGTCCCTCAAACCGTGAGCTTCATAAAGGATGGGAACCTATATTCACTGTAAATCTAAGTACTTAGGGCACTGTCCAGTTTATTTACTGACACATAATATATATGTTTTGAATGTGGTAATTTTATCAATGCAGATGTTCCATCATCTTTCCCAGATAGAAGGAAAAATGAATTATTAGCTTCATGAGGTCACAGAGCCAATAAAATTCTAATCAAAATTCAAACCGTTATTTTTGCCCTTGTAAAACTTTCAAGTTAAAATATTTTTAAAAATACAACCGCAAACAGGTTAAAAAAGAAAGATAATCTTGAAGAACAAGCTGAAAGGACTACTGTACTGATCGTTTAAATGCATGAAGTTCTAGTACTTAAGATAGTATGACATTGGTGCAAATATTGAGTGGAAAGGAACAGAAAGACAAGAAGCTTCCTGATGTATATATAGACACTTGTTTTATTATAAAGTTGTCTGATGGAATGCATTAATATTTGCCAAAATTTGCCAGCCTTCTCTGCACAAATAATATGTATACATAATTGTTGAATTGTTGGCCATGTACTAGCTTTGGCCAATAAAATATGAGCAAAAGTTAGTATCACTTCAGGGCAAAAGATTTAAGAGTTTGCCTCCCTTCTCCTTTCCCCTCTGCCACAAAGACCAGCAAAGTTCCAGATAGAGGCTGTGACATAAAGCCAGTGCCCACTCATGATGAACAAATGTAAATGAGAAATAAACTTTCTGGTTTTCGAGATGCTTAAATTTGGGGGGTATTTGTTACAGAAAACCTTAATATTTTCTGAATTCTATGAGTTTGCACAGTATAGCGGTAGGGATATTATCTGTAGTCTTTTTGGTTATTTATGCTAAAATAAAAGTAGCTTTATATGGGAAAGCATTTTTAGAACTCTTCACTACCTCACATACACAAAAATTCTTAGTGAGTTGAAGGTGTATAGCAAAACGAAAATATGTTTTAGCACACATTATAGCACATATTTATGTTGCTGAGTGACTTTCTAAACAAAACTCAAAAAGAAAATCTGTAGAAAGACTAAAACATTGCACTACACGAGAATTAAAACTTCTCTCCATCAAAATATACTATTAAAAGCCTCAAAGTAAAAAAAAAAAAATGCTTACACCATATACAACTAAAGAGGTCATATGCACAATACGACACCATTTTTTTAAGAGCCAAAATCTTTAACTGGCCACTTCTCCAAGAGTTTTTCCACATTGACTAGTAAACACATGAAAGAGAGCATAACTACATTAGTAATTGGTGAAATGCAAATAAATGCCAAAATATAACACCCTTACAGACCTACCAGAGAAGCTAAAAATGAAACCAAAAGACAATACTAAGCATTGACATAGAAGTGAAGCAACTAAAAGTCTCTTAAACCCTTAAGAGTGTAAATTGGTACAACCACATTGGAAGAGTTTGTTTTGGCATTGTTGGCTAAAGTGAAAGTTATACATACTCTATCGCCCAGAACTTCCACTCCTGAGGCATACACTCAGAAGACTTACGTGCCTTTTCCAGACTTAAAGAGTTGCCTCCAAGACCCTCTTTCAAGGAAGGACCTGCAGCCCAGGTGCAGTGAATGCAGTCAGCCAACAGCATTCAGCTGCCAACTCCTTTGTGGTCAGCCTCAGCTGCAGAGAGCTACATTGATGAAGATCATCCCTCTTAAGGGCAGCAGCTCATACCAGGTGACTGAATGAGGCTGAGGTCTTAGAGCCCGGCCGTTTAAGCCTTATTTACTTGCCTAGACCTGCCTGCCAGGTTTGCAAAGATTTTGTTGGGCCTTTATCTCAGTTCAGATTTTTCCCTGCCCAATCCTGCCCCAGCCCCCTTTTCTTCACAGGTGTTAGCTCCTACAAAGCATTGCACACACCAAGACCCATCTCAGCACTTGTTTCTGGAGAAATCAATATGTGACAGCTGGTGTTAGAAGCGGTCTGAGAAAGTAACTGACAAGGTAGGATTTGAGGCTACATCATTCACTGCCCGGCTGGCAGTGGAGACCCATCAATAGTGGTAGGTGACACACAAATAGCCCCTGCACACAGGTGTTGATCATATTGTAAAACTTTCATTGGCAGTGAATTGAGAGGGTGTGCTAGTGAAAGAGAATGCACCTGTATCAGGCTTTGGAGACATTTAAAGAAAGCACTAGCTATTAGGTGCTAAATGACTGTTGCTGAACACCATGGCTGCTCTACAAAAATATCATGAGTAGCTCTGGACAAGGAACTGGCAATTCAAAGCCAGTTGTGAAACCCCCAAGGCCTGTTGGATTGCACACAAAGAGGCTCTTACCAACTCTACCTGGAGGAGAGGAGAAAGCTGAGAATTAAACCCAGGGCTTAATCCGTTAGCTGAAATTCAAAGAAAGTTAAATCCCAACTACAATAGTTATGGGCCTTAGTTGAACAAAACTCTCATTACTCATAGACTTATGGGTTAATCATATATCTAATGATTAACTGAGGGAAGAGGAAAAAGTCAACTTGGTTTGTAGTATTATGGCCTTGTGTTAGTCCATTTTCATACTGCTATAAAGAAACACCCAAGACTGGATAATTTATAAAGAAAAAAGTTTTGATGGACTCACAGTTCCACATGGCTTGAGAGGCCTCACAATCATGGGGAAGGCATAGGAGGAGCAACGGCATGTCTTACGTGGTAGCAGGCAAGAGAGTGTGTGCAGGGGAACTGCCCTTTATAAAACCATCAGATCTCGTGAGACTTATTCACTACCACGAGAACAGCGCAGGAAAAACCCATCCCCATGATTCAATTACCTCCCACTGGGTTCCTCCCAGGACATTAGGGATTATGTTATGGGAGCTACAATTCAAGATGAGATTTTGGTCGGGACACAGCCAGACCGTATCAGGGCTGAATTGTGTCCCCTGTCCCCCAAATTCATATGATGCAGTCCTAGAATGTAGGATTGTATTTGTGTAGAGAGCCTTTAAAGAGGTGATTAAGGTAAAATAAGGTGAGAATGGACCCTAATTCAATAAAACTGGTATATCTATAAGAATAGGAGATTATGACACAGACACATACAGAGGAAGATGGCTATCTACAAGCCAGGGAGAGAGACTCAGAAAAACCAGTGCTGCCAACAATTTAATCTTGGATGTCTAGTCTCCAGAATTGTGAGAAGATAAATTTATATTTTTTTTTAATCATGCCATCTATGGTACTTTGTTCTGGTAGCCCTAGCAAACAAATACAGATTTGAGTACCAAGAAGTAGGATGCTACTCTAACAAATAACTAGAAATGTAAAAGTGGCTTTTCACTGAGGCTGGAAGAGTTTTGAGGCGCATGTTGGAAAAAGCCTAGATTGCTTTGAAGAGATTGTTGATAGAAATATATATGTTAGAGGCGATTCTGGTAAGCACTTATAAAGAAAACAGGACAGCTATAGAGAAAGCTTCTACCTTCTTATATAGTCTTGGCAATTAATTAAAATGAACTACAGCTATATACAACACCGTGAATGAATCACACAAAATTTCTGTGCACAGGAAGTTAGATAGCAAAGGAAACAACTACAAAAATTGGTATTAGTTTGCTAGGACTGCTATTGTAGGAATGGAGTTGAGATCCAGAAAGGACACACAGAGAGCTTCTGGTTGCTTGCGATGTTCTATTTCTTGATTTGGCAATAGTCAGGTGTTTATAATTCAATATACTCTTTTTGTATTATGTACTTTTTAAAATGTGTGTTTTATGTTGGGTACTCTATTATATTGTAGTCAAGTGGACCTCTCAAAACTAAACTCCCGAGTAAGATTGACTTACCTGGGCAGAGAGAGTGCTGAAGTACTACATTCAGCACTGAGAGCATGTACATCCTTCAGGCAGTTTGCAAGAGAGAAGAGAGAGCAAGGGATTGGTCTATGCATGTTCTTTCCCTCCGCTATCCCCAGTCAGTTGTCACTCTGCTTCCACTGGGGGGAATGAGAAAGAGGGAGGAGAGAGACCAGGAGCGTTATGCTCATGAAGCTTCATCAACATAAAAGGAAACATCACAGCGGAGAGTAAGCAATGCTGATGCTTCCCAACATTGTTAAAATAATTTTGTTATTTTAATCCATTAATCTTAACCATTAAACCTAAGGATTCCTGGGGTCAGTGGCCATTCCTTTCCACTTCACTTAGGAGAGTAGATTGGCAGTCCATCAAGACAGCACTGTTCCTACCTTCATGACTCCATTCTCTCAATACCATTCCCTTTGAGTATCTTCTTGAAACTTCCAGTGGACAGTAAAGATTAGAGTCCCAATTGATTTAGGACTGAACTGATTTTGATCTGAAATTGATTACTGAGTATATTAAACCCCAAAGTGTATATGAACTCTGAAGGTCAATTTATACCTAAAGGTGAAAATGTACTCTTTTCCTCATGTTCAACTATGTTGTCAGAAATAAGCAGTCCAGAATTTCTATAATAAAATCAAATAAAAACATTAGGACAATGCAAATAATGCAATAATGAGATGTCAACTTAGAGATATTCCAATAATCAAATATCAAGTTTGAATATAAAGCCTCCTATAATTATCAAATTTTTAGGGCAAAATTTAAGCCCAAACATTAAATCTCCTTGAAGATAGCTGCTAGAGCTCTAGACATTATTCCTGTGTCCCAAGAAAAAGGAAGCAAAGAGAAGTTGAGCCCCCCTCCCCCAGTATTTTTTGGAGGATTCTCCAAGTCTCATATACCACTTTCATTTGCCTCTTGTTACTCAGAACTTAGCCATGTAGTTCCACATACCTGCAAATGTGGCTAGAAAATGGGGTCTCCTTTCTAGGGGGCAACTTAGAATAAATATCAGGATTATTTTAGCAAGAAAGAACAATGATATTGTGAAGGAACTAGAGGTGTTTGCTAAAGCAGCTCTTGTTTGAGATTGTTCCTCCTCCTTTATATGTAAAATCAGTTAAATTTTACTTTGCCTCCAAGACCTCTCTTTCTAACATGCTGGTACTGAAATGAAAGACACAATGGCCATATTTTTTAGTGAATAGGCATTTTCAGATTTGTTCTATGGTGTTTGTCTCCACTGCCTTTTGCTGTAATAATGATTAAGCCTTAGAAACCTGTCAATGTAACCTAAGAAACAGTGGTAAATAGGAGTAATTTTTGAGCCTATAATTAAGTCACAGGAAATTAAGATTTAATCCTTCTCAAGACCTTGAAGCTTGCCCCCCTCAAAGTCTATCTCCATTTCCCCCTCTGGCAACCAGACCAATAATTAGGGTCAATCTCAGCACAACTTTGACCAGGGATTTTCTGGGCCTGCTGCAGAAGAAGGTGAACTAAACACCAAAGAAGCTGCATAACCTAGGTGTCAGGTACCAACATGAGCCAGGAGAGTTTGCATGGAACAAGATTCTCAGGGTGCTCAATCAAGGAAAGGGGTCGGGTGAAGCATGAAAGTGGCTAAGGGAGAGTTTCTTGACATGAGGACTCTTTCCCATGGTAGCAAACTCTTGACAAGGACCTGTGAGATAGTGCTGACCTGCTGTCGTGTTAGCCTTGGAAGCTTGAAAAGCGATGACCTACTTTCGTTGAAGTAGAAATGCAGAATGAACTTTTTGTTTAGCTAGAAATGTCCTTTTCCAACCTAACTGACAAAGCCCTACTCATCCTTTAAGATCAAGATTCAAATGTGTTCCAGTACTCATTATACCAAATAAAATTAATCACTCCATTACAATCTTATGGCACTATTATGGGAATTCCTTACATTCTTCTATCTACCTGTATATGATAAAATAATAAAAAGTATAAAAAAATGGCAGGGGGAGGAAATGCACATTCTTACAGATATCTGCCAGGACTACCAGGCAGTTATTGTTGTATGTATGCCTGTGTGTGTTATGTGAGGTTCATGGGTAAGAGAGACTGAGAAATGTTGAAATATTAAATATTTTATTTAAACATTTAATTAATCAATAAATATAGATACATATAGGTTAGGTTTCTTTTTCCCCCTCACCCTTTTCTTTTCTTCTCAACCTAGTAATGAATAAGCTTTTGGCAAGACATAATAACTTAAAAATCATAATACTAATAATGCCAGTACGTTGAGTATTTATTAAGCACCAGACAGTATTATATGAGTCATATGTATTAACTCATATAACCCTCCCAGAAACCACAAGAATCATGTCCTATTATTATCTCCATTTTACAGGTAAAGAAGTGAGGCCCAAAGAAATTCAGTAACTTGCTATGGTCACACAGCTTATAGGGACAGAGACATGATTCAAATATAACAACTTTTTAACTCATCTTCTTAAATTTTTAACAATTTACTGCCTAAAAAAGACAGTTTTCTTTGTTTAAAAATAATATGATTTAAGAAGAAGTCATTATAATAAAAAGATTTGTTGGACTATTGGATAGTCCTCTTTGAAAACATCTGGAAGTTCTAGTTCACTTACTGCCACCATCATCAAAGCATGACATAGCTGTGTGTTTCCAGAATGGAAGCAGGGCCCTGAAGAGGAGACAGAGTGAAAGAAAAGACCAAGAGAACCTGGAATCATGAGGGGAGAAGGAAGAAGACCGTTATGGTGGGTCTCCTAAACATACATCACAATTACGCTGTATCCCAGCCAGAGATGGAAAATATTTATGCAACATCCTCTAAATACCATGTGTGCAGGAAATCAACTAATAGGGGCATTGAGTTCTTTCTGGTGATAGATGAAACCTGTTTTCCTTCTCAGGCATGATAGGTACAACCTAGGGGTTACACATGAATGCAAGTTTGCCAACAATGCACCTAGCCCAGACCATGTCTTTGCAGATACTAAGCATCTAACAAATATTTGTCTCCTTTAATTAAATTATTTCTTATACATTTGGTTTTCTCCACATGAAGTTTAGCCTTTAATTTGACAGAATCAGTAGGGAGAGGAGTCACACTTGTAAAATGTCATTTTAAACAATTAACATGTTTATCACAAAAGCACTGATGATAAAAATAAATAAGATGAGATAATTTTTGGACAGCAGGGAATGTAGGAGAATTTTCTCTTTCAGTCAGAGACAGATAATTTTCACTTTAATTGGGAGACCATGGGGTGTAATGAAACAATTTCTAGATCAGTGGTCTAAGGCTATATTCTAGGCCTTGATCTCCCATGAAGAGGTTGTATAATCTTAGGCAAGTTACTTTGGCTTTCCTTAACGTTCTAATATCAGGGATGTTGTGAGAACCCAATGAGATAATCCATGCTGCAACCCTACACAAATGTTGCCATGTTGGAAAAGTATAAATGATTTTGTTGTCGATCACAATACCTGATGCACATTCAGCTTTCTGTAAGCAACTGCAGATCAAACTTAAGTTTCTTCATTTTAGATTTCCATAACCCCCATGTGTATGTTCTACTGATACACAAAAGTATAACAATAAAAAGAGGTGAAATATCTTAATTATATACAATACCTAAATAATTCTTACAACAACACTGTGAGGTTTCCATCTTTGATATCCTCTTTTCACACATGAGGGTTACAAAGGTTACATAACTGCAAACAAGGATTTATAACTGGTAGATGCTAAAGAAAAGATTCAGCATAGGTCTACTGGTCACTAACATCCATATCACTTCCATCATGGAATATTTCTTCTATTTGATATATAATTCTCTCTGAGTCCCTAAAGGAGATTTTCTCAGGGTAGAAAAGATATCCACTATAGGCTCACAATTGTTAAATAAGCCCCTAAATAATTCACATGTGTTTTAAAGACAAATGCATGTATGTGCACGCACATACATGCAATATGTATATATCCACATGATATTAATCAATGCCATGAGAATAATGCATGTCTGTACAGAAATCTGTATGTTCATGGACCTGTTTCTCATTTGCTAATTTCTTTACTTTACATAATTATCTTCTCTTGTTAAAAGGAATGTAATGTGGGATGTTTTCATTAGAAAAGTTTCTATTAATTTAAAGAGTGTTCTGCTTGCAATACCACTGAGATAATCAGAACTGGTAACACAAAGGAATAATAATATAACAAGCCAATCTTTCTATCATAATACCACCATTCCCCTAGCAGCTCCTCAAAAAAATGAAAATTTTTATTCAGACTGCAATATTTATTTTAAATAGAAATAGAACTATGTGCTGAAGTATTCATAAAAGCTCTGGTTACCTGTGAATCCCAGAGGCAGCCATCTATACATTAGCATAGATGATAATTGCCTGCTTTTTGATGATGTGTACAAATTTGACATTCCAGCTACCTGTTTCCATGAGCAAGTATAAAATATTTACCACTTTTGGCATCTGACCAACTAATTACCTTCAAAAATACATCCAGAGTAGGCATAAAATATAAAATTAAAACTTTTAAAATAGTTTTACTACAAACTTTAACTTTATATTGTCTTTTAATGATAAGTAGTCTTTACAGGTAAAAGTCTAAGGGTATTGGAAGTTATGCAATAATCCTAGAAAAATAACAAAGGTCATGCCAGTGGTTTTAAAACATATTTTATGTATTTAATTGAAAATCACATCGCCTTTACTTTCTTTCAGCATATATTGTACTTAATGCTAAACATTAGCCCTCAGAATAAAGAAATGAATAATATATGAGTTGCTCTTTATTATGATTTTGAAGACTAATTTAAAATTAATTTTCAGGACTATTATGGAATACCAAATGTCATGTTCACTAGTACCTGTACTCTGCTTCCCAATTGCAATGTGCTGTTTGCCACAGCCATCTGTTCATATTCTCTCTTCCAACTTGAATATCGAAAGAACCTGTTTCAAAAGGGAAAGAATTAAGGATTCAAAGTTTTCCACATTTTTGCAGAAAGTTCATATAAAATTTACACACTGTATATAAGAATTATGCAAAAAAATACAATTATAGGAACTAACAAAAATTATCTGTGATATGCTTGGGTTTGCCAGAAATGTCTGGTATTGTATTTAAGTAATAGTTCTCATTGCACAAATGCTCATAAAGTTTGTAATACGAAGTCTACAGGGACTGTGAATATGAATGCAATGAATAACTATGAGGTGTAATATATTCTAAAAAATAATACTGGAAGAGAGTATTTGTTTTTGTTTGTTTGTTTTTGTTTTGTTTTCATTTTTGTTTTTGTTTATTTGAGACAGAGTCTCGCTCTGTTGCCCAGGCTGGAATACAGTGGCGTGAACTTACTGCAATGGCGCAGTGAATGGAATGCAGTGAATGGAATGGCGCAGTGAATGGAATGCAGTGGCTGAGCTCACTGCAAGCTACGCCCCCGGGTTCATGCCATTCTCCTGCCTCGGCCTCCTGAGTAGCTGGGACTACAGGTGCCCACCACCATGCCTGGTTAATTTTTTTGTATTTTTTTAGTAGAGACGGGGTTTCACCGTGTTAGCCAGGATGGTCTCGATCTCCTGACCTCGTGATCCGCCCACCTCAGCCACCCAAAGTGTTGGGATTACAGGCTTGAGCCACCGCGCCCTGCCTGGAAAAGAGTATTGTCATACGAATGGGAGCTAAATGTCCAAGGAAACCTTCAGCACATCAAGATTATACTCATCAAGCAAGAAGGACTCCTTAATGTTTAAATGAGAATCTTTTGGCTGGTGACTGTGAAAGTGAGAGCCTTTTTAAGCAACTGACAGTTTCAAACTTGTGACATTTTGTCTATCCAGACAGAATAGATTCATAAGTGAACAACTTTTTGAATCTACTCTATATTGAGCATTGTACTAATTTGAGGAAATGGAGAAGAAAGGAAAGAGGATACAAAGAAAACGATAAACTGCTTACCTCCAATTCACTTTATATCCAATAGAAAGAATATATAGGCTAACATATATTGTCCGGAAAAAGAGAATAGAAAACCATGTAATCTAGTAACAAATAAAAGAAGCAATACAAACAGCTCTCACATCCACCAATTGCAAAGTAATAGGCCTAAGGCAGAAACGCTCCTTTTGAAAAGAAATTTAGATAATCTAAAGATAATAACTTATGAATATATCATCAAGGTGTTTCCATATTCCCAAAGTAGATTGAGGAGATGACTTTGACAAAATTTGTTATGTAAAAGCGGCAGGCATGGGATTATTTCTCTCCCTTTGCTGATAAGTGTAAATGGTGCCTATTTCCTTACCAGGTCACTTGCTCAATGCTTGGAATAAATTCCAGAAGAAAATGTGATCTGCCTGTGACATCTCAGGTCCATTGATCACCATGGTTGATGTAACTGATCAGGCCAGTTCCATAGGCATCAGTTTCTTCTTCATCACTTTATTTGTATCATACTAAAGCTGTAATTCTAATCAATTTTCAGGTAAAAGTAAACATTCTTAATGGCTATACAAAGGGAGGAATTCTATTGCTAGAGGCTCCAAACAAATCAACTTTATTTCTATATCCATTACTCAGTTCAACTAATTTGAGACTGTAGTTTTTATTATCCATGTAACTAATTAATTTTTGTCACATTTGGAAAATCACTGAGTAAGACTGAATCATGTCTCTGATAGCCATGTCCACAACTTTTCTAGTTGGCATGAGCTGCCAAAACCGAATCAATGCTACCATGATCCTGAACAATCAATGACACGCTCAAATATATTCAGGCTGGATGAGTGGCAATTCAATTGATTCTGCTTTACATATTCCACAATATTAAGCGTTTATTTTAGCACAAGTCAAGAACAACTTGAATTGCCAAGTGCCTACAGAGAAGTAATGTTGGGGCAATGTAAGATCAGTAAAAGGCAGAGTTTCTGCCCAGGTGGAGATGGAAAGCAAACACAAGTGAAAAAGATTTAAAAATGATGGCATCATCTATTGTTATAGATAAGAACACATACCTCATTACTTATGAGAGTACAGCACATTGTTTCATTAATTGAAAATCGGGTGGAATAGTTATCCGAGACAAAAAAAAAAAAGGGTCATATGCATTCGCCCACATATATATATTTAAAGTTATTAGTCCATTATTGAAAAGAGATTCCTCTAAAAGGTACCCAAGGGAGCAAAAAAGGAGACACTAATGTCCTTTTTTCTTTCCCAGACCATCAAGTAAGCCCAATTAAAGAGCTTGATATATCAGACAGGGTTTTAGTGAATGTGTCAGCATGGAATACAAGCACTGTAGCTAAGGAGAATGGATTATATGTTTCCAAAACCAATGTACGTTATATAATCTACCCTGTGGTGATCATGGGGTGAGACACATCAGGTGGGGCTAATCAAACAAGCTTTACGAGTAAACACTTCCATGTATATATATATATTTTTTCAGTTGGAACCACATTTCCAAGAATAGCTTTTATTCAATTCAACAAACTCCTGTTTTTAATAGTTCACTTAAACCTTTTTTTAACAATTCATTACAGGCTGAAAAAGGCTCTGTAAAGCATTTTGAAATAGGCTTCGCACTAATGTGATAAGAGATATCTTTTGAAAAATAAAGTGAAATAAAATCCAGGAAAGCATATGGTGCTTACCACTCAGAAATTTCTGTTTTTTTTTTTTTTTTTTAATACTAAGATTCACTAGAGAACACTGGAGTTTTTAAGAAACAAACAAAAGTACTTCCATAGCTAGAGGGATGCTCTTGCTTCTCCTGTATTTTAGTTAGCTTTAAGAATGGTATCATTACATGTTTTAGAAGCAACATTAAGAGTTGAGTAGGAAGAAAACTAATGCTTATTTTGAACCTACGATTACATATTATGCTAGGAATTTTGCATGTGATCTCCCATTAGTCTTGAAACAATTCTTTCAGATAATACCATTATCCTACTTTACAAATTAAAATTTTAGAAACTTTCTCAACATCTCACTGCCTTGAAAAGCAGCAGGATGTATACTCAGACTTCTAATTCAAATTCAAAATCATACACTTTGCAAAATGTACCTGAGAAACCATGGTCAACAGAAACAACATGCCCCTGACTTCATAGAATTGACAGACTGATTACCACTATGAAAAACAAGACCCCTGGAAGACTTTCAAAATTCTTATCTGCTAAGTATATTAGGGCCTCCAAGAAAACCCCAAAGCTATCCTACCACGTGTACACTATGGAAATTTGGAGAGTCTATAACCAAAGAAAGTTCTTCAAGAGTTTTAAAACGGGACAAAGAGAGCCTTCTCCTTACTTTATTCTCCTTGTCCCCTTGAGGTTGGTATTCTACATGTGTGGGGTAGGAAGAATTAAGCAAGTGGTTAAAAAAAGTGGATCAGAAGAAAACAAATTATTCAATTACATCTATAAGGTTAGATTATTTTTCTAAATGTTTCTGTTTGATTGAAGAGAAAAAATAAACTACAGGAGCTGGGCGAGAGAGCTAGTGATAGGGGTACTGTGGAGACGAGAAGGGAGAAACACATGCTTAAGTGAATGGAGGTACATGTTTTCTTATGTATGTGAGCACATGCATGACACAATCAACTTTTGAAAAGACCAAAATGCGTCCAGGTGCAGTGGCTCACACCTGTAATCCCAGCACTTTGGGAGGCCGAGGTGGGCGGATCACCTGAGGTAAGGAGTTCGAGACCAGCCTGGCCAACATGGTGAAACCCTGTCTCTACTAAAAATACAAAAATTAGCCAGCTGTGGTGGCACACACCTGCAATCCCAGCTACTTGGGAGGCTGAGATAGAATCACCTGAACCCGGGAGGCAGAGGTTGCAGTGAGCTGCACTCCAGCCTGGGCGACAGAGCGAGACTCCGTCTCAAAAACAAAACAAAACAAAAAAAGACCAAAATGCTATGAAGAATGCATAAGAAAGAGGTCAAAGGGGAACTATCAGCTTTATGGAATGCCTACCTATTACCAAGTGTTTCATTGCATAATTTTCGTATAATCATCACAATGACCCTGGAAATAAGTGATGCATTCAGATTTTATAGATGGGTAATCTGAAGTTCAGAGAATTTAAACAACTAGCCCAAGGCAACGCAGACCGTTGAACAGGGTTTGAATAAAGACAATGTGACAAAGCCATGCCCCAGGCATTACCACTATACTGAACTGACCTTACCAGCTGGAAAGCTTAAAGATGTGTATGTGCTTGTGTGTACTTGTGTTTCTATAACCCACACCATGGATATACTTGCAAGTAAATGGGGATATTATTTGGCTTATCACATGCCCACAATTCTCTGCCCAAATCTCCTCAGAAATCATGCCCCATATCCCCTCCCACATAGCTCCCTACTGTAAGCAACTTTGGCTGCCAGTCTGGCCATTGGAGCTGCCCAGGTGGGGCTACAGAGACCAAATGCACTGCGGAATTAATGATCTCTTCCCCACCTTCCAGCAGTGCTTAACAAATGACTTAGCTTTCTACATGAACAACTCTAAGGGACACTGCAGTTTCCCAGAAATCCAGAGGGACTGAGCTTCATTTGCCCACAGAGGTACCTGCTCACTAACATCCCCTGCCTTAGCTCCATTCCCTTTTTTTTTCTCCCTTTCTCACTTGCCAACTATTTCCTGGGACCACTTCCCAAATAAAACTCTTCCATTCAATACATAGCTCAGGTCCAGCTTCAAAGGAAACTCCACCTAACACAGTTAGCCTTCAGAGAAAAGGAAGAATTTGAACTGAACCTTGAAAAAAAAAATAGGTGAAATTACAAAAGGGAGGAGAATAAAAGAAATGGAAGCCAGCTACAAAGCATAGGTATAGAAAACCCTACGTCAATTTGAAGGTAGATAGAAACTAGGTCAGCAGATTGAGCATGGTACATCCTTAAGAATGCCACAAAATCACATAAATATTCTCGGTCATTTTTCTTTTTCTGGGCAAAGGCTTTAGAAGAATTATCATTTGCTCACACTGTCACTCTTCTTTACTTAGGAAGATTAGGATATTTTTTATTGGGAACCATTTATTTCCTGCCATATTTCAGAACAGATTTGAGAAGACTGAAAGGCCAATATGAGTAGTACCTACAAACTTTGAAGTTCTTACTCTCCTGCTGAACTATTACAATAGTCCTATTGATATAATTTTTCATAATGTAAACAATAAGAAGAATAAGAAATAGACAGGTAAGACAGTGTTAATGCAATGACTGACATATATTCCGAGTTTCCTGATCACTGTGCTATTTAAAGGTAATTTTGTTAAAGAGGCTTTCCTCTCCTGCATTTGCCTTATTGCCTACTGACATATATATTTGGGAAGTGGGGGTGACTTTTTTATTTTTGTTTTACTTAATATGCTTATAATGGCTCAAAATTTTTTTTTCTAGAGAAAGGAGGGAAAAAATATCAGTTTGGAATTGAGATATACTTCCTAGGAAATGTTTTTGATATCTTGAAAATTTAGGGATGATGCACTAGAGCTTCAGCAGAAACAAAGTACAAAATATCTTCGTATGTCCTTCTTAATCTTTAGAGTGAAGAGATAGTATTTTCTAGCTTTACATAGAAAATTACTAAAACTATGTTTTTGAAAGGAATATATTTAATATAACAAAGGACTGGTGTTGCTCCCCTTATGTTTTTTCATTTAAAAAAATTTTTTAAATTCAACATCACTTACCCTTAACTTGTTTTTAAAGTTTTAGAGAAACTCGGTTGCAGATTATAAGCACATATCTAACCGCAGTTTGCTTTGGGGCTAGCAATATGACTTTGCAAAAGTCAGAAATTGCTGAAGGTTATAAAAAATCTCCATTATGGGTGTTATTAGGTTTTGAGGAATAAACTGCTTTGCCTGGACCAAACTCTATTTCAAGGGCAGCATTTGGAATTGTGAAAAGACTCATACAGTATTTTCCCTTTTCACCTTTCAAGAAATTGCATATGAAACAATTTGTTTCACTGAGAGCTCAGTGTTTATTCCACCTATATTAGCCCTAACTGACTGAATGATGTTTGTGAATCCTTGAGGTTTGTTTGATAACAAAAGTAGCATCCAATTCAAGCAGTTTCTTTCAAGCAACCTTGAGAAAATTCCTAAAACTGCAAAAGAGTGCTTGTATGGACATTTTGCTGCACCATTAGATGACAGAAATGGAAGTTATTACATGGAAATTTCAGATGGAAAAGTGGTTTATTTTGTATTTTAATCCAAACATTGGGGCAAGGGATTGAAAGAATAAGAGCTTTTTTATTTTTGAAGACAGAGTAAATATAAATTATTATGGTTTGGCAATAATTTTTGTGTGTATGTTTCAAGGGTGTGAATGAAATGAGCTTTTTCCTTAAAGTAGCAGAACAAAAATTGCATTTTATTAACATAAATCTGGGGGCACTTTTCTTTTTTCATTTTAGGAATTAATTATCCATAACAAAATTTATCTATGTATGATCATAATTAACTGTAAAATTTCTAATCTTAACTAGATAAAATCTCTAAAAATTAATTTCTAAAAAGTTAATTTCTAATCAAATGTTATGGTAGGCAGAATAATGTTTACCAAAGGTATTCACATCTTAATCTCCAGAATTTGTGATATATTGTGTTACACAACAAGGCGGAATTAAAGTTGTACATGGAATTAAGGTTGCCAATCAGCTAACCTTAAAATATAGAGATTATCCAGGATTATCTGAGTGAGCCCAAGGCAATCACAAATGTCCTTTAAAGCAGAGAAGTAGGAGGCCATGAGCCAAGGAGTGCAGGTAACCTCTAGAATCAGGAAAATGAATTATCTCCTACAGAATCCAATAGCTTGATTTTTAGCCCAGTGAGACCTATTTTGGAATTCTGACCCATAGAACTGTAAAAAAAAATGTGTATTGTTTAAACACAGTGTGTGCTAATGTATTACAGCAGCAATGGGAAATTAATGTGTTAATCTGCAGTTTTTATTATATAAAATTAATCTATTTTATCATTGTGACAAATATTTAAGATATTTTTGGAAATGTAGGAAAAATTTATGCCTCAATAGACAACTGCATTGTATATTACATATCCAACCAGGTTCTCTGATTCTGATTCTACAGTAGCTAATTTACAGCTCTAAAGTTTAGATAACAGAAATTCAATATAATTCTTGTCTATGCACATGCAAATTCTGTTCTGTCCTATACAGTTTCAATTAACTTTCCTCCCCTACTGTAGAAAGAGCTAATATTGCCTCAATTTACACATTTAATATTCCCAGTCTATAAATGTGTTTGTCCTTTGGATTCTCCTCTGAATTGGTTATAGCACCTCAATAGCTTTCTCATAAATGAGTCAAATAAAATATTTTATCTATGTTCATTTTTGTATCTCTAGTCATTATTTTACCTGTTTTTGAAAATTGTCTCTTAACAAAAGTGACAGAAAGCTATCTCCAATTAAAATGAGAAAAGTGAGGAGAAGGAGGAGGAGAAGGAAAGAAGGAAGAAGAAAAGGAGAACAAGAAATAAGAGGAAGATGAGGAAGAGGAGAAGAAGGAAAAAGAGAAGGAAGAGAGGGAGAGAATGAGAAGTGGGAAAAGGAGAAGTAGTCGTTAGAATTTCACTTATCTCGATGTACCCTGGAGACTTTGGGCTTTGGGTACAACTAGGCAGCTGTGCTCAGATAATGCCCTCAGAGGTGTGGCTCCTGTTTAGCTTTCTCCCATGGTGGCTTTATTCTCAGGCAAGTTCTTTCTACATGAACCGAAGGATACTTTTTGGCAGTTCTAGGTTACTTGAGTCTCACCATGTGTGATCCTAAATGCAGACACTCTGTCCTAGTGTCTTTGTCAATTTCCTCATCGATTCAAACAGAAATCTACTGAATATAATGTGACTTGATATTACTATATCAGGGAATTTGGAATACATCAGAGAATACAACAAAGACCTTTATCCTCAAGGAACATATATCCTATTGAGAGAGATCTATTCTCAATATCCAAAATAAATGAGATGTTTGCAGCATACCTCAGAGATACAGCATGTTCAGTTCCAGACTACCGCAATAAAGCAAATATTGCAACAAAGCAAGTCACATGATTTTTTTTGTTTTCCCAGTACATATAAAAGTTATATTAACACTAAGCTGTAGTCAATTTAGTGTGTAACACCATTATATGTAAGAAAAAAAAACCCCACAATATACATACCTTAACTATGTAACTAAAATATACTTTATTACTGAAAAATCCTAACAATCACATTAGCCTTCAGCAGTCATAATGTTTTTGCTGGTGGAGGGTCTTGCCTTGATGAAGGCTGCTAACTGATCAGGGTGGTGGTTGCTGAAGCCTGGGTGGCTGTAGCAATTTCTTCAAATAAGAAACCAATGAAGTTTTCCACATTAATTGACTCTTCCTTTCACAAAAGATTTCTCTGTAGCATGTGATGCTGTTTCATAGCATTTTACTCATAGTAGAACTTCTTTCAAAATTGGAGTCAATCCTCAGAAATCCTGCCACTGCTTTATCAACTAAGTTGATGGAATATTCTAAATCCTTTGTTGTCATTTCAACAATATTCACAGCATTGATTCCATCTCTAGAAACTACTTTCTTTGCTCATCCCTAAGAAGCAACTCTTCATCCATTCAAGTTTTAATCATGAGATTGTAGCAATTCAGTCACCTCTTCAGGCTCCACTTCCAATTTTATTTCTCTTGCTTATTTGTACCACATCTGCAGTGACTTCCTCCACTGCAGTCTTGAACACCTCCAAGTCATCCATGAGAGTTGAAATCGACTTCTCCCAAAGTCCTGTTAATACTGATATCTTGACCTCCTCCCATGAATCATGAATATAGTTAATGGCATCAAAAATGGTGAATCCTTTCCAGAAGGTTTTCAACTGGCTTTGCCCAGATTCATCAGAGGAATCCCTCTAAGGGACTATAGCCATACAAAATGTGTTCCTTAAATAGTAAGACTTGAAAATAAAAATTACTCCTTGATCCAGGGGCTGCAGAATGGATGTTGTTTTAGCAGGAATAAAAACAACATTAGTCTCCTTGTACATCTCCGTAAGTGCTCTTGTGTGCATCTCCATCAGAGCTCTTGGGTGACCAGGCAAATAGCCAAGGAGCAATACTATTTTGAAAGAAATCTTGTCTTTCTGAGCAGTAAGTCTTAACAGTGGGCTTAAAATATTGAGTAAACAATGCTGTAAACAGATGTGCTGTCATCCAGGCTTTGTTGTGCCCATTTATACAGCACAGGCAGAATAAATACAACATAATTCTTAAAATCTCTAGGGTTTTCAGAATGGTAAACGATCATTGCCTTCAACTTAAAGTCATCAGCTGCATTAGACCTTAACAAGAGCTTAGTCTATCATTTGAAGCTTTAAAGCCAAGCATTAACTTCTCCTCTCTAGCTTTGAAAGTCCTAGATGGCAGCTTCTTCCAATAGAAAGCTGTTTTGTCTCCATTGAAAGTTGGTTATTTAGTGGAGTCACCTTCATCACTGATCTTAGGTAGACCTTCTGGATAACTTGCTGCAGCTTCTCTATCAGGACTTGCTGCCTCACCTCACACTTGTATGTTATGGAGATGGCATTTTTTTTTTTTTTAAGACTCATGAAACATCCTCTGCTGGCTTCAAACTTTTTTTCTACAGCTTCCTCACCTCTCTTAGCAGTCATAAAATTGGAGAGAGTTAGAGGCTTGTTCTGAATTAGGTTTTGGCTTAAGGAAATATTGTGGTTGATTTGATCTTTTATCCAGACCACTAAAACTTTCCTCATATCAGCAGTAAGCCTGTTTTGTTTTCTTAATATTGATGTGTGCAATGGAGTAGCACTTTTAATTTCCTTCAAGAACTTTTTCTTTGCATTCACACCTTGGCTAACTATGTGGCATAAGATGCCTAGTTTTCAACCTATCTTGGCTTTCAACATGCCTTTCTCACTAAACTTGATCGTTTCTAATTTTTGATTGAAAGTGGGAGACATGTGACTTTTCCTTTCACTTGAACGCTTAGAGGTACTTGTAGGGTTATTAACTGGCCTAATTTCAATACTGTTTTCTCTCAGGGAATTGGAGGGCAAGAGGAAAGTGAGCGAGATGAGGGATCACTTGGAGCAGTTAGAACACACACAACATTTATCAGTTAAGTTCTCTGTCTTATATAGGCAGAGTTTGTGGTGCTCCAAAACAATTGTAGTAGTAACATCAAAGAGTGCTCATGAGTGCTATTTGATGCATAAGAGATATAATAATAATGAGACATTTTAAAATATTGCAAGAATTACCAAAACGTGACACAGAGACACAAAGTGGGCACATGCTATTAGAAAAATGGCACCAATAGGCTTGCTGGACACAGGGTTGCCACAAACCTTCAATTTGTTATTAAAAAAAAGATATCTGCAAAGTACAATAAAGCAAAGAGTAATAAAACAAGGTATGCTTGTACATAGCATATTAGAGGATGATAAGTGCTATGTTCAAAGCAAAGGTAAAGTAGTGAAATCAAGAATATTAGACGTGGAGGCTGTCATTTAGCAGGTAAGATAGGCTCCACTGAAAGAGTGAGATTTGAGCACAAGCTCCAAGGTGATGAGGGAACGAGTCTTGTGTAGAAGTGTTTGAAGAGAATCCAAAGAGAAGAAATAGCCAATGCAAAGGCCCTACTCTCAGGTGAACTAATTTCCAGGAATAACAAGAAGGCCAGTCTGGGTGGAAAGAGTAAAAAAGAAGAAGAGTAAAGGGAGGTAGAGGGGTGGAGAACAAATCATGTAGGATCTCACATACCATTTTAATGACTTTAGCCATTCTTTGGATAAAATGAGAATTTTTGCAGTGTTTTGAGCAGAGGAATGGCATAATCTAACTTATGCTTTTTTGTGTTTTTTATTTTAAATTTTTTGAAGGTACATAGTAGATGTGTATATTTATGGGGTACATGAGATGTTCTGATACAGGCATGCATGCAATGTGACAGAATCACATCATGGAGAATGGAGTATCCATCCTCTCAAGCTAACTTACACTTTTAAAAGATTCATCTAGCAGCTGTATTGTGAATTAACTCAAGTGGGCAAACATAGAAGCCAATTAGCAGGCTGATTGCAGTTGTCCAGCTAAGAAATAATGGTGGCTTGCCCCACAGTGATAAGAGTGAAAAAGTAGTAGTGGTGAAAAGTGGTCAAATTATGAATACATTTTGAAGACAGAGCAAAATGGGTTTTCTGAAATTTTATGTGTGGTGTGAGGGAAATAGAATTAAACATGATTTCATAGTTTTGGCCCAAGGAAGTGGAGGGAAATGGAAAAGGCTGTGAGGATTCTAAGTGTTGGAGGACAATCAGGAGTTTCATCCTGGATGTGCTGAATTTGACTTGCCTATTAGAGAATCAAATGGAGAAATTGAGTGGGCAGTTGGATATGAGTCTGGAGTTTAGGACAGAGTTCTGAGCTGGTTATAAATTTAGAAAGCACCCACATATAGAATATTTTTTCTTTGTTTCTTTTTTCTTTTTTTTTTTTTTTTCTTTTTTTTTGAGACGGAGTCTTGCTCCATCACCCAGGCTGGAGTGCAGTGGTGTGATCTCAGTTCACTGCAACCTCTGCCTCCTGGGTTCAATCAATTCTCCTGTCTCAGCCTCCTGAGTAGCTGGGACTATAGGTGCCTGCCACCACACCCAGCTAATTTTTGTATTTTCGCAGAGATGAGGTTTTACCTTGATGGTCAGGCTGATCTCGAACTCCTGACCTCAGGTGATCCACCCACCTCCACCTCCCAAAGTGCTGGGATTACAGGCATGAGCCATCGTGCCTGGCCCACATATAGATTTTATTCGAAGACTGGATAAGACCAACAAGAGAATGAGGAGATATAGAGAAGATAATCAGGTACCAATCACTTCAACATTAAGAGGTTAGGAAAAGGAAGAACCAGAGAGCATGATAAAGATGTGAGAGAAGAGGAAATCCAAGAGTGTGGAATATTGAAAGCCAGATGAAGAAACTGTATCAAAAAGGAGGAAATGATCAACTGGGCCAAATTTCTTAGAAAGTTGCATTTAAGACCAAGAATCGGCTATTGGACTCAACAGCAAGGAGGCCATTAGTGACATATAGGAGAGCAATTTTGGTGGAGTGGCAGAGTGCAGTGCCTTATTCACTTACAATTAACAGAGAATAGGAAAAGGGTGGTGGTGGTTTGAGGTAATTCTTGAACACACTGCAAAAGCTTGTGGCAGAAAAGGAATCAAAAGATAGGTTTTGGATTTTTTATGGCAGAAATAATATTTTGTGTGTAGTATACGTGAATCTGGTGTACACAGGGAGGGATTAGCCCAAGTAGTGACAAAGTTATTCATTTACAGAACCATGTAGTAAAGCAGCATTGTGAGTGCGGAAACGGTGCAGAAGGTTGGCGGTGGGGGGTGGTAATTATCAGCTGAATGCCTTCATTTTCTCAACGAAAAAGGAAACAAGATCCTTAGCTGAAAGTGAAATGAGGGAGTAGGTATTAAGGCTGGAAAAGAGAAATGAGAAATAGTCATGAAAGTGGGAAAGTTAAGACACTTCGGATGCACAATGTGATGATGGGCTGTATTAAGTATCCTCTTGAGGTTCACAACCATGAATTTAAAATGAGACTAGTCTTCATGGTTGTCTGTTTTCCTTCAACTATGTGTGGCTGCACAGGTACAGGTACAGAGTAGGTGGGAAGTTGAATTTACCTAGGATTTTAGCTTTGCCAAATGAGTTTAAAATTTCCAGGACACACGGGATATGTTTAACTTGTCTAAAATATGTATTGTTAAAGGAATTTTAAATCTCTTGGGTATCATCTCAGGGAAGAAAAGTGTCTTATGCACAAAGGCTTACTTACAAAGGATTTTTAAGGCTCCCACGTATCTGGCAGGAATTCAGCAGCATGTATTAATTGTGAAACTGAGTTTTAAAAGTTCATATATTGGCCAACTATTGAAAGGTACTTACAAGAAAGAAAAACTATATCGAGATAGTGCATTTTACTATGACAAATAATTCAACATTCAATTGTGTCAGCTTAAAATGTAGCTACATATACAACTGTCATTTTCATTTGTTGTTAGAAGTGTCTATGTTTAATTTCCCAAGTAGGGTGACATTATTTTAGGCAGATACTGTACTTTATTCATTTTATTCTCTACTGCATTTAGCATATGACAGAGCACTTGGAAAATTCCCCCAAAAAAACCTAATAAACAAAAATCTCTGTTGATTAAAATGATCAGATTTACTGTTTTAAGTCCTATATTCCTATCTTGAAATAAAGCCCTCAACACAGTTCATCTAATATTATACAAATATTCAAATTCACATTGCAGATTTTAAATGTTCTTCAAAATCACTCGTTCTTTAAAAGCACATTCTTAAGTTGGAGTCACTTATGAGTATTAGCTAAAGAAAGAGTTTAAGTTCAAATTTCATTACTATCTTGTTTCAATAACTTAAATATAATTTAAATTAGTTTCTACACACACAAAATACTTAGTTTACAAATAAGATACATTACCAGGGAAGTGTCATATCTACTGTGATCTTTAAAAAAAATTTAAAAACTAAGGCAGGTTTTTATATTGAAATATACATCCCTGAAAAACAGAGTTTATAATGGAAATACTGACAGACCCATAACAATAGCAGTGCTAGCAGGCACCGCTATAATACCAAACGTCATCAGCCAATTTACCTCTTCATTCATGTCTGTTGCTAAGTGTCTAGTTACTGTAAATGCTTTAGATTTTGCATAATTTATGTAAATTATTAAACACCTGTTCTCTTCCCAGAAAAAAAAGATATGGAACAGTCTCCTTAGTTTAATTGATTCCTGGCTTGAGTTCTGTCATTGTTTCCCCAGCAACTACAAGGGAGTGTAGCTCCCTAATGGTCAGATAGTGTTGGAAAGACGCAGATGTTAAGAATTGATCTCTTAGGAGCATATATCTGTATAGCTTTATGTGTGGTTGGGTGGACATGTAAATGAATAAATAAAAATATCATTGTTTCTATTGAATTCATTTAGAGCAGAGTATGTATGCTATCAATAATACTTATTGTAAAGCACTTTTGCTGTATTTTCCTGCATTGACTTTTTTAATACTTTCGGCATCAGCCTTAAGTTTTAAAAACAAAAAATTGATATTATTTTCCTTAATGAGGCAATTCATATTCTTTTCTAAATACCCAATTCAAATTATTTTCTTTAAAGATTTCCAAATATCCAGTTCACAAAAGTGCACTTAATGTGCACAGAAAACTCAGTGTGGTCACTTGAAGCCTGTTAGAGAAGCATAGTTTTTTGTGAATGTTCATTAATTGTTATTGTTACTCTCCTAGATGAAATGCTAAAAAAGTTTCTGGATCCAAATGATAGTATAATTACCTAGCCACCCTAGACAGTGCTTTAAATTGTTTCTTTATTAGGCAGAAATCCAGTATAGCCTAAAATTATTTAGTTACACTGAACCAGTTACAGATATATTTTGTATATGTAAAATCTTTCCACAAAATTATTTTTAATACAGTTGATTTTGGAAATTGCTTTGCTCAGAAAGGCGTTTTAGAAATTATTTATGAAACATAAAACCGGTGCCTCAATGGTTCCACCATTGAAGATCAATACATCTTCAGCTACCACAGAAGTCTAATTTAACCACTGAGGGGAATCATAAACTAAGAATCAGGAAGTAGAGACAGAACCACCAAAAAAAGTGTTTAAGTTCCCTTTACCTATTATATTTGTATTTTTTGGCAGTATTTCCAAACTTTATCCCTAACTGTATGAAATGTTCAGTGTTTGAAATCAATGTGGAAAAATATGTATCTTAAGAATTCTGAATTAGAGTTGAATTCATATTTAGCTATCAATAAGGTAAGCTCCAATTCTTAAAATTAATGAGAATTTAACTCAGAGTATCTTTTAGTCAGTCTAAAAAGAAGAAGCAAAGAGTGGCCATGCAAATAATAACAAATATAATACAGATGAGTTGAATGCATTCAGTTTTTATAAAAGACAAATTAAAACCCGACAAAATAGATACTATGTGATAAAAATCTGGACATTTAACATAAGTTTCATAGTGTGAGGTGGGTAGTAAACAAAATAAAACAACATGCCTACTACGAGGCAAGCAGATTGTGTAGCAGTCATTTGTTGTTGTTGCTGAATAACATGCCACACAAAATTTCCGTAATAATCAGCAACAAGCATTTATTTCTTGCTCACATGTCTGTAGTACCCTGAGATTTGGCCTATCTTAGCTGGGCTCCTCCTCCAGGCTGGCCTTCCAGATGTGAAATGGGTCTACATGTCTCTCATCACCCTGAACCATTGGGTACCCAAAGTATGAGCTTCTCACAGTTAAAGGCAGGAGCAAAGGGAGCAAGCCCACCTACCCACACAAGCATATCTTAAGCCCCTGTTCACATGTTGTCAGCTAACATCCTATTGCAAAATAAGCTACATGGTCAAACCCAGCATCAATAGGATGAAGATAAAGAGGGACAGAGTGAATATTTGCAGAACAAAATTTTAATCTGTCACAGGCAGCTGTTATTATTAGTATTTAATATATAGTAAAATATTAATTAATTCTATAAAATATACATGGAACATTTTAATAAGTATGCTCAGGTAATTAATTTCAGAGAGTGTTTCTAAAGCATGTATTTGCTCTTCTTTACCAGAACTCCTAAAAATACCTAAATACAGGATGAGCTCATTTACTAGCACCTCATACTGTGTAGTTGAATTAGCAAAAAATACCATGTAACGCATTTACCTAATTGCGTAGCCCACATGTCCTCTGAATCTCCTTTGTTTCCCTAATCTTTTGAAAAAAATGAAAGGTTTGGTGTGCTACTTCTTGTGCTTGCTCACTAAAGTTATGACTCAACTCCTATCTCCCGACCCTATAGTGGACCTTGGCTCCCACCCATGACCAGCAGAACCTCATTTCGTGGTCTACGTGATAGGCTGCTGTTGCACTTTGCTTGGTTTTCAGAAGATATAAAGTAGAGCTCAACTGCTTCCTTTGTTTCCCAAGCACAGCACACAAGATTTTGATATGCATGTACATTTTTTTACTGAAGGGTTAAGATAACTTCAGGAGGAAATTTCCATACAAGCTGGAAAATCTTAAATTTCTAGCCAACTCTGAATTTTCTGTGAGTCTAAATAATGGAGGAATCGAAATACTGAGGCTTCCATAGAAAAGGAAGTCTTCTGTGGATACTTCCTCTAATCTGCACTTTCTTCTTCTCTCATAGGTGCATGTCCCTTCTCAAAGAATCTCCTGATTCATGTCTCACTCCCAGTCCCTCAGAAAAACTCCAATCCTCTCCATAGGACAAAATCTCAGCCTCTGGATTTATTAAATATTTGCTTCACTTTCTTCAGCTCTATCTAAGAGTGTTTTTATAAGGACACAATAAATTACCATATCCAAATGGCTTAGCCAAGTACCTGCACATAGTGAATGTTTAATAAATACCATCACCATCATCTTCTTCTTCCTAATCACAATTGTCATCACCATTATTATATTTTTATGTTTCACATTGTAAAGAGCATAGACCAGGCTCCAAACTGCTTAGGCAAATATTCTGTCTTTTCCACCCTGCAGCTATCTGCAATTTATTTAACTTCTCTATAACATATTTCTTTATTTGTGAAGTGAATATAACAATAGCATCTATATTATAGGATACTTGTAAAGATTGAGCAGATTATTATATACAAATGCTTAAAGAGTTTCTGTCATGTGATAAACACAATATGTTTTTGTTATATTTATTGTGATTATTATCCACGTACATTGCTTCATGTCTGAGTCATATAAGCTCAAGTATCTTCCTCAGGACTGCCCAAATGACAATGATGTCCATCACTACCCAGTGACAAAGTTTTACTATGAATATCTGCACCATAGATGAAGGAGGTAAAGCACACTATTAACGTTTCCTAATCAACATTCTCACCTGTGCGATCCTGGTCAGCTTCGTCCTTTAATAAATGAAACTATTAAAGTAAGCACATCTATCAAGTATAGACATTAATTTACCCTTCAGCTCTGGTCTAAATCCATACTGAGAAAGGGAAAAACTTTTATTTTTCCAATTAGCGAGGAGCCTGTCTGCTCTTTGAGTCAATGGACTCCAATTAGTGTGTGCAGAAGTATTTGATTTCTTTCCTGCCCTACCCCATTGGGCCTACCTGAATCATAAAAGAGATATATTAGCTTTTAATGTGTGTTCTTCTGGTTAATATGGAAGGGCAGGGAACTCAGTTCTTTATAGCCATTTTCTCCCACTGATAGAAAGATGAATGGGTGTGGAGAGATTATCAATACCCCCCTCCAAGCATATCTAGAAAATACATAAACAACAAGAAATTCCAGATATTTAAAACCTCCAAGGACTACTTTTTCTTCTTCCTACAAGCAATGCAAGTACTATCCATTAATTTTATACTCAAATGAAATTTTTGCTGGTAAGTTCTAGCCTGGCTTAAACTAGATTCTAGGTTTCCTAAATGTGGTCTTTTCATAACCACTGGTAGGATTTATCATAGCCATAAAACGAAGTGATTTATTTCATTTTTTAGAAGACATAAATATATTATATTCTATCCATCTAATTGTCTAATACCAGTTTAAATTTTCTGCTTAGAGTATGCTTATAAATGGGAACACAGAGAAATGGATACAAACTAAAAGGTCTTCCTGTATTGACAAATACAGACAATTTGAGGACCTTATTATTGAATTCACTGCACCTCTTACAATGGAATCTTTCTATAAGATGCCTAAAATTATACTCATATATGTTACTAAGAAATCAAGTAAAAATTTTGCATAAGCAAATTTTAAATATTAATTGTAATCCTTTCTTAAATCTCTCCTTTCCAACTCTACCACCATTAAAATTTTGAGGTTTAATTTAATTTGCTTAGTATGTGGCAATAGAAAAGATCCAGTCACCCAAAGAATGCATTCCAGGGAATTGAAGCTCATTGTTATTTGTTCTGAGACGTAAGTATGCCTTGGAGGTATGCTTTAGAATCTATTCGGGTTTGCCAGGTGTTCTAACTCAGATATACTCTTGACTAGCATGTCATCTGAGCACACTGCCAAATGAGAATTCTTCTGTTAGTGTCTCTCTATGGTGCACTAGAACACAATACAAGTGGTTGAATAGCAAAAGGAAATAAACCATACTTATATGATTTTCATCTATACTAATAGTAGAAAATTTTGTCAGACTATATTCTCAATAATACCAGCAGATAGCATGTAAAGCTTATGTTACATTTAGGGAATATTTCCTCTCGAAAACTTGCCAAATTTTAAGGAGTAGATTTTATGGAGAGTATGTCCAACTTGGCTGTTTTCTTGGCAGACCATATATTTTTATATTCTGATACTTGTAATGGATTTAAATATAAAAACTTTGATAGTGAAGAAGTTACATGATTTTTAACAATAATTTATTTGTTGTTAAGATTGTCTATTTTCATATTTTATTTCTTTTCAGTTTTAAGAGTGGAATCGTATGTCTGCAATATTGTCAGAAAATCTGGCTTCTAGAACTAACTCCCCTACCGACTATGTGGGTGACTTGTGCAAGCCATTTAACATCCCTTGCTTTCAGTTGTCCTATTGCTCAAATGAGAATAATAGCATCTATCATTTCTGCTTTGTTCTGAAGAGCAAGGTATGTATGTGGACAAACTTTAAGTATATCAAATATTAACAATTATAAATCATTATCTCTGTGTGATACAGAGTTTGCACTAGTGAGTCACTGTGAGTTATGGCTTTTGACTTGTCCATATCTTTTAGAATGAAAGTTAACTATTAGTAAATATCTTTCATCTGGTAACCACTCATGACTATCTCTAAGTGTTCCCACACTGGTCCAAATCAAAGAGTATAAAATGATGAGGCACATTTCCAATAATCATTCTGCTTTAGGGCTAGAACTTTATTGTGCAAAATATATTTTTGTAAGTCTTTTTCCTTAACTTTTGCTTCTTTTTTTTTCTCCCGGAAGCAAAATAAGTGCTAAATTTTTGTTGCTGCCAAAGTTTAGTTCTATATTTTCCCACATGTATTTTACATAGGTTTATTAATGAGTGAAATAGATTACTTTTTGTTTGTTTGTTTTATTCATGATATAAAAATGATATGCACTAGGTCTTGTTTTATGTGTTTTTATTAATCTAGATTTTTTTCTGGTGGTGTATTTGAAACCTGAAAATTTTCCTAATAGAGTAATTAATGCTCAAGTAGCATTAAAGTAACAATAAATGAATTCTTATGACCTCATTGGTATTTTACCATTCTTATATAGGTAAATTACACTTTGATAGTTTCAACATTCATGATTCAATAATCACAAATACATACAAATTTAAAGCTGGCTTATAAATAGTGTTAACCATACAAGACTGCAGGGCCCAAGGCTTAAATAAAGAAGGGCAGGGGTCAAAGAAAAGGAAAAAAATGAAAAAAAATTTACATAATTTTCCAGTCTCTGGAATTTTCCCCCAGTCTCTTTTTAGCCTGATCATCTGCTTAAAGAAAATAAATTAAGTGCTTCAAAGAGAGGTCAAAGGCTTTATTTAGTCAATGTGCATGAGAGAACACCTGGAGGCCAGGTAATTCTCCAAGTTGAAGCAAAATTGAGCTTTATGGGGGTAGGGGGGTGGGAAAGAGAGCAGTACAAGTCCTCGTGGTTTGGCTCAGTTAGTAGTTTTTTGTCTCTAACTGCTCTGAAAATTGTGCTTACAACAGCTGGAGATTATTCTGCTTTTTCCTGCCTCTCGTTCAGTATCATTGGGACAATTCCATCTCCATAACTGCCAGGATACTTATTTTGAGAGCTGTTATTTGCAAGCCTTGTGGTTTGTTAGTTGGTCAAGGTTCAAGAGGGGGAAAGTAGGGGAGAATAAAAATACCAGGGAGGCAATGAAAAAATTCAAGAAGGCAAGGGTTGAAGGTTACGGAAACTGGGGACTCTCCATCATGTTTTTCTTAATCCTTTTGCACGTCTTTATCTAAAATTCTGAATTTCTTTGCCATCAAATACTATAAATGATCACTTTGGGTTGAAAAAATATGCTAGAAGTTAAGGAAAGGCTATGAAGGTTATAAATTTTTTTAATCTTTCCACAAGACTATGTTTTACAGCCCCTTTCAATTATACTCTGTAAGTCACTTATCAGCAATGCTTTTTATTCATACTATGCATGTGCACACCTAGTCTTGATGCTCAGATATTTATATAATACAGAGGGCCTAGCTCTGTATGTCCATTGGAAGGAAGTTACTACATGGTAACTTCCTAGTGACTCAGTTACAGAAAAACATTGCATCCCAAAACGCATCAGAGAAACAATTCTTCCTCTTCTGCTTCTGGTAAATTTCACTAGTTTGAACAGATCTGAATTCACATATGGTTTCAATAAATACAAATGATAGAGAAGAATGGAATGGACTAATAACTAGAGAACGAACTTCTCAAAGTTTGAAAACTAACAAGAGTTTTGCTGATATTCAGTCTTACTCTCCAGAGCTCAAAGGACAACTTTATCTACATTGTAACACAATGTTTTAATTTACAAACAATCTTCATCTACAACTATCTATTTTTTTTTGATCCAGCTCTCTTTGAAAGAACCAAAGGACTTTGGCATCAATTCCTGTTTCTTTCCTATACAGCCAGTGGATACTGGCCCTATTGTTTCCAGAACAAAATTTCTCTTACCTTTTCTCAAAGTGTTTGTTGGAACTCATTATTGACACCTCAGTATTTCAGGACCAAAATATTGCAAAAACATTTGAAAACTATGTCAGCATGTATCCAACTGAATGTGTCTTTGCTTCATTTCCTTTTTATAAAATGTGATGGTTTTTTGAATATTGCATTAATTATACTGGAATGTGTTAACTCTGGAAATGATTTTAACTCTTCTTGATTTGAATAACTAGACTTTGAACCAGAACCTCTCTGGGGTTCTTGCTGTTACAGAAAATGTATGAAAAAGATAGTAATTTAGCACCAAGTGCCTTATAATTAAGTTAATCGTTGTCAGCATGTAGCTATAAAGCAAATACTAATTAGTCCTATTTGTATATCCATGGGCTTTTCCGGTTGTCTTTGAGTTAAAGTTTCTTATTTCGGCAACTTAGAGCCTCCCTCACTGTGCATGGGAAGTGTTTTTTTTTTTTTTAAATTTAATGTGCAAATTAAATGCATATTTATTTTCTCTATACAAATGAGCTGAACTGAGTTCTTATTAGCAAAAGACAGGTTTTGTAATGCTTAAAATGCAACAAATTTAGGTGAGAAATCTGTGAAATGCCTCGACAGTCTATGAATGCTGGTTAGGTATTATTAGAGATTCAGTCACTGTTTAATGATCAATTAATTCCTATAGCTTCCTGTATTTAACAAAAGCCTATTTTTCCAAATTGAAGAAAACACATATATCAAAATGAGCTGCATTTGTATATTAACATAGACACAGAAAAAGCCATATGCCCATGCTGAGAGAAATACATTATCCTGAAAATGTTTCAAACGTATATTGGAAAAGGTACCCATGAGCAGACAGAGCAAGTCACATACATACGAAGAGACTTACAAAAATTCAGAGAAACAAACATAATCAGAAAAATCAAAAAGCAAAACCAAGACATATTCCCATTCAAAAAAAATCTTAGATTGGAAAGAGCCCTACAGAAATATAGTAAGTGTTCATCAAAATCTGTTTCCTCACCTTCTGGGAAAACACTTAGATTATATTTCCCAGATTCCCTTGCAGATGTGACCATGTGACTGAGTTCTAGAGAATGGAATGAGAAAGAAAGTGGTGAGTTGCATTCCCAAGCTTTGCCCACAATGACCTCCTAGGTCCCTGTCTCCTCTGGCTGAAGGGGAAGGATGCAAGCTCTACAGGGACCTTGGAAGGTCTGTGTTAAAGATGGCAGAGCTGCTGTAAGCCTGGATCCCTGAAATGGACCCGAGCCCCTCCTGGACTCCCTTTTCTTCCACTTGCCATCCACCTTGGACTGTTACTGGAAAGAAAGAAATATCTTGAACTATTATGTAAAAAGACATTTATTTCCATGGTATTTGAGTTATTATACATTTTAAACTAAGTCTTTGACCTAGAATAATTTAACTAAAAGAGTGAAAGAGATGCAGACCTAAATGATACTTTTCTGGCTTCTGGTCACCTTATCTATTTCCTTCAAAGATTGTTAGATCTCGTGGAGTTTAAGAAAATGCTTTGATAGACTTCAGCTACCATGAAGTCTTTGCATTACAAGCCAAACTATAGGGCTTAGTGAAAGAGATAGGATAGTGAAGTAAAAATAGCACTAGACTAGAAATTAAAAGGTATTATTGCTATGTATGATACTTCCTACCTGATGATGTAAACGAGTGACTTTTCCTAACTAGAAATTCTATTTTCACATCTGTAAGATGAGAGCACTTAAAAAATGATCACCAAATATCCATAACATCATAGTTATCATTCTATGATTCTATAATTCAAAAATCCCGAATTATTGCAGAGATACTTTTTTTGTAAAACAGACAATAAAATTAAGGAAAGTGAAAAATTACACCATATGCTTTTTTTTTTTTTTTCTATATTTTCTGGGAGTTGTAAGATCAGCTTTAACCGTAGTCTAATCCTGAGTTAGTACCCATCTACTGTCTTATTTATTACAATTATAAAACAATAGGATAATGTGAACAATTTCTAAAATCACTGCACATCTAATGCACCAAGATACTAGGAGATAGCAAGTGCTAATCCTTAGGAATAATTTGCTTATTGGAAGCTTTGTTAAACATACCCTGTTTCTGTGAACAAAAGACTAATTTAGAAAATTATCTAGGTTTTGAAATATGATCTGTGTGATAATGAGCAAGTTGCTTAACCTCTCAGAACCTTATTGTCTTCAACTATAAATGGGGGTTAACATTGCCTCTGCTGTTGTTACAAAGATTCAGTGAGATTGGAAATGTGAAAGCTCCTAGTTTAGCCCTTGCCATACCGTAGCTGATCAGCATATGTGCTGGCTTATTCCCCAGCTTACTGCACAGTGTAGAAGGGTGTGCCAAACAGCAGACCCAGCTCTGGCCCAAACCCTTTCTAGTCACTATGAAACATTCAAGATGGTTAACAGAGGCTTACATATTGGCAGAGCATGCAGATTGGGACAGAAAGACCAAATGGAGATGCGCCATTTTAAAACTGACAATGATAGTGGTTGAATATTTTTTTGGAGTTATATAACTTTAGCTTATAGAAAGAATGAAAATAATTGCTTTCGTTATTATTTTCTAATATTAAGCAACTATTTGCTTTCAAGCTGGTAAAGGTAATTAACATTTCCTGATCATCTACTAAATGCCAGAGGTGCTTCTTTCTTGGTTATAGACTTTAATCTGCATAATAAAACTTTCAAGGTAGGTCTCTCACTCCCATCATTTAGGCAAGAAAACAGAGGATCAAAACGCCTAAGTGCCTTACTCTGGCCAACCTGCTGAACTCAATGTAGAATGAAAACCCACACATAAAGCAAAACCCAAATGTGTCTGGCTCTGAAGGCCATTTTCTTTTTACTATGTTGCAATGACTTTCAATAATAAAGTCTACAACACCTCCAAGTTGTTGTGCTTTAATTCACCAGCAATTATTGTGCTCCTTGTTTCTATAAAGCGAGTTCATATATTAAAACTCGGAAAAACAAATCCCAGAATGGGGATGTGGGAGTAGTACAGCAACTCTTAGGCTTACAAATCCTCTCTAAGTGGTGCTTTGCATTGTGAAGAACACAATTGTTCCAAAATATTTCAATATACTTATTTATTGGCAAAAAGTGAGGAGGTAGTGGGAGCATTCTGATGTGTGTTCAAGTCAAATATAACATGGTGAGCATAGAGAGAAAACAAGACAAACTTTGTTTTGACAATTTCTTTGCATGATGTCATTTGGTTTTTGTTAGTAAAAAGCTATCAGTGACATCTGTTTATCCATTTGTGAACAAGACAAAGCCAAATTTTGCACCAGGTCTCTCTGCACAAGCTACTAAAGGAAGGTCTTTTGCAAGTGATGATGTGTCAAAAGTCACAAAAAACTGTTAAAATTCTACTTCTGCTGAGAAAATAGTGTACTTGATGGATATGTGGGTGAAATGTATTAAATCCAGATGAGAGTGGTATTTTTGTCTCCATTAGCAACAAACACCCAAGAGAATGAAATGTTTAACTTAAAGAAAAGATTGTTTGTGATCAGAATGGCAATTTCCTCGAGAGAGGCCAAAATGCAGACAACTATACCACCTGGATATGCCTCTACATTTTAGTTTCCACTATCCCTCTGAATTATTACACGTGCACAAGAAGATAACTTCAGAGAAAGTTTTACTGTTATGTCTGGAAAGAATTTCTTCATTTTTCAACAATGTTGTTTTAAGAACTGTTATTTGGAAAACTTTCAGGAATTGCTGTCATCAAACCTACAAACTAATCTCCTTTTTAAATGATAGGTAATTTCTGAAATATCCTTGTATCTTTGGCTCAGCTCAGCAGATTTTCTACATATGCACCATTTGTGTACCACTGGGCTTCATACTCAAAAGTCATGGTAGGTTCCCACGTGTTTGCGCATTACATGCCTCTATTAGAAAACTCAACTGAAGGATTTAACTAGGTGAAACACTTGGGTAGGCATTGTGACTGAAATGGGTGGTTGCATCTACATTGATACTAAATTATTGAGTTTTTTTTTTTTTACAATTCCACACATCAGCAATTTGTACTGGGCTCAGCTGAAAAATTATTCTGTTGATCTCCCTGAGATCACTCATGTGGCCGCAATCATTTGTTGGCTCAGCTGAAACTGAATGATCTAAGGTCAAATCATCCATGTATCTGGTAGTTGGTTCTGGCTTTTGGCTGGGGCAGTGGGGCTAAGGGGGTCATTTGTTCTCTCATATTTCAGTAAATGTCCAGGCTTCTTCCCATGACATTCCCAAAGGAGCAAAACCAGGACACTCCCATCTAAAGAATGACATCAAAGTGTTCTCTATTCTTGTTACTATTAATTTCTGCTCAAGTGTTTGCATTCCTCTCTTTTGTTTCCTCCCACCCACCAAAACTTATTTTCATTTCTTAGACGGAGCGCTTTGCCCTCTTTTCTTTTGTGTATGCCTTCACCATCCATCAGGGAAAGTTGTAGAGATTTGTGGGCAGTTGATTCAGGAGAATTAGAATATTATCTATGTGGATTATTTATGTAATCAGATGTATCAGAAAAGAATAAAATAGACACATCTTTATTTTTCTCCTATAACTGCTTTCCTTTTATGCCTTCTTTCCTACCCACTGGATAGTATCTTCTGTAAGTCTCCCAGCCTTCAGGTATTGGAAAAGCAGTATTTTCAGGTATTAAGAAGTCCAATCAGAATTGAACAAAAGTTTTATTTCACTTCTAATTTAAAACTTCACCTTTTCCACAAGCTAAGACCTGAATCTCGAATGTCTATCAGCATTGGATAAGGGAGAAGCAGTCAATCATTCATCCTCCAAGGATGAAAAGGAAGATGGGAAGATCAACAATGAGGAAAATGGCAAGATCTTTCTTAATTGGGGCTGCAATGATACAACTTCACTGCAAACTGTGTGGCAGACACCTAAATATCAGCTATTTCTCTGGCACAGCACTCTCATGGGTTATTCCTACTGATAGAAAACTTTACCCAGCAATTCTTTAACAGGGCAATGCCTCTTCAGTTGACTTCTACATAGTTGACATTCTTAACTCCTACTCCTATAACAGCCCATTTCTTTTAGAGTGAGTCATGGTGGCAGCCACCTCCTGAGTGTGGTCTTTTCAAGAAGGCTGGCTTTGGCTGATTTCTTTACTGACCACCCTACCCCACAGGTACCCAGACTTAACAAACTCTGGGAATACAGGCCATTCCTACTGTCTTTCTTCTGAGGTAATGTCAGCTAGCCTTTCTCCTTTAGCCTTTCAAAGTAAAAGTCAAGAACCAGTCCCTATATACTCAAACTTCAGACAAAGATCAGTTCTTGAAAATCTCCTGCACTTTTCTTTGCTCTGGTAGCACCCAGAGATAGGCCTGAGTTTCTGAAGCATGAAAAGCATCCCAGTGAAGTAAGATGTCAATCTTCCTTTCTGGTAAGCATTTTACTGTCCTGCAAGTGGTTTTCTAGCTTCCTCCCTGGTTTGATTTGCATTGGAGCACCTCCCTTCTCTCCCACAAAGAGAGGGAAGAGAAAATGTCTCAGTGCTCTAAATGGGAAAGACCTATTGAACAGCCTATTACTTAAGTATTTATCTACTTAGCATTCTCCCCCTTTGCACACTTAAGTTCGATTTCTAATGTAGCAGGCTTTCTGAAGTAGCTATTGCCACTGTGCCTTGTTTATCATTTGTCTATTCTGTGTGGCTTTATATATTTGTATGTGCATGATGATACATATCAGAAGACACTTTTCTCAGCCTAATCCAGAAAACAGAAAATTCTTTTTACTAAGTTGTATTTTGTGATTGGTGCTGCCAGCATTAATCTCTGTAGGACTCGTGTTTTCTTGGTTGCATTAAGCAAGTTTCCATGCTTACCAATGCTTTGTTGTTTCAATTCTCTTTGCCTTATTTCATCAAAAGTGCTTTTCTCTTAAGAACACTGAGCCTGTCAGACCAGGACTCAGAGACCCCCTAGTCCTTTAACAAGACACACCCTCCAGCAAGAACACAGACTGGTAGTCTCAGTTTTCACGTAATCTTTCTGACCTTGCTTGGCTCCCTCGCTACTGGAACCCTTAACCACCCAGCACAGCCTGGTGTCCTATTGACTGTCACATCTTTTAGAGAAGTGCTCTAAACCTTGGGCCATGAGTTTTCACATTTCTCTTGACTCTTGCCAGCTTTCATCTACATTCTCTGAAAACCCTTGTCTAGTATGTTCTCAAGAAAGCTGACTTTAGGTAGAAATGGATAGGATATAAGCTACAATTGTAATTTAAGAGAAAGCAGATTGATGTATCTATTTTGTTTTCCATTTTTTTCTGCACAATTCTCCTTTGCCAACAATTATAAGGTAAGAGATGGAAAAATAATATTAAATATGCAAAATTTCCAGTTCTCAGCCACTAAAAACTGAGACAAAATGAACAAATAAGACCACTTTGCACTTTTAACTTATTCTGTACCAAATATGTCTGGATGATGGTATTCAGGACCATACCCAGACATGAATATAGGCCCTTACTTGTCTATATGAGATGTTAGACAGCAGAGAGTATTGGCTGATCCATTATAAACTCTACCGCTTATCCCTCTACATTATTCTAGCCTGAACTGTATTGAAATCATTTAACTGTGTTCAGGCAAGTATCCAGACAAGACCAAAGGTGTGGAAAACACTATCTCAAAGTATACTCAGTTGAAATTGTCACAGCCCCAACTGTTGTGGGCTACTTTTTTTCTCGATAGAATATACTGCAAAAGTTTTAAATAGAAGCAGAGCTATCTTTCTCAAAAGTTGAATAAAATGTTAGGGTTTATCAAAGTCTGAAGTCACCTGAATCTATGTTTCAATGTAAGATAGGTTGCCTCAATGGGGAAAGTAGTATTTGTAAATGGCCTTCTGATCATTGATCTCCTAGGGAGAGGTAAACCCTTATTTGCAAAGGTAATTCCAAGGTCCTGGCATAGCCTTTCACAATGTGTTCACAAAGCTATATGTTTTTGTAAAATTTGCAAAACTGTGACATTTAGCTGCAATTGTATATATGTATTTACTATTTATTCCTTTACACTCCAACATCCCCTTGGTTGTACTTCACCTCTTGTCTCTTGGTTTTGGTGTGGCAGAGGCAGAACTAAGGTAAAGGTGACTTATAAATCTGTTAATTTGGGGTTTGGTGGTTCACAGTATGTTCTGTATATAGTTCAGGTATTGCTAGCCATCCATCAGATATAGGAATGTCCAGAATACTTCTGCCACCCAGTGCTGACCCACTGGGATTGTGACTGATGCTGCAAGGTCAGATATGGCATAGCTGTGTGAATGTATGCGATGGCATCTGACAGCAGCAGTTAAGTGGCTGTAGGTTAGAGTACATTTCAAATAATATTTAACACTAATTACTGAATAAGAACTCTTTAAGCATTCTGGTATTATGGCTAATATATGAAAGAATCTTGAAAGAAATTTTTCCAAATTTGACAATAATCTTAAAAGTGTATTTGATATTACCAGCAATAAGGTATGAAGCTGAGAGAAACTTTTCTAAAAACTATGAATAATAAAACATTTCAATCAACAAAAGATTGAGTTCTCTGAGAAAGATCAAATTATCTTACTTTTATTTCTGAAAAAAATGGTACAAAATTTTATCATATGAAGAGGTGATCAAAGGGTATGCAGCCAAATGTTGGGGAAAATGTACATAAAATAAATAATACAAGTGTCTAAGGCACTTTATCAATTTAAAAAATATTTTTATTTCTCTGGATTTTGTGATATTCATGATTGCTTTGTAAAAATTTATAGTTTTTCATGATTTCCTTTCCTTTTCATTTTCATAAATAATTGTTATTGAAATTGAACTTTCTTTTAAAGAGGGCCTCACAAATTACATAAGCTTCAGGTCCCAGGAAACCTGGATCTGCCCCTGCCCCTATGGTATACAGATATACAGACATAGATAAAGATAGATACATAGATAGATAGATAGATAGATAGATTGATAGGTACATAGAGAAGGTGAACAGCTCTCAGTTCACTTCAGCTTCTGGGAAGTAGTAAAATTAGTAAATGCAGACAGTACCCCGACCATAGAGGACTTTATGGATTAAAATCAATATTTCAGTGGAACCAGCTTGCACTTAGGAGCTAACTAGGAGCCAGTGAAAAACACGTAGATGACTCACATAAATAAAGTAAGCCTCATAGTGGAGTACATGTGAAAATTAAGACAACAACAACACTCCACTTAAGAAAATTACCTGAAGAAGCCAATCCCCTTTGTAGAAATGGTACAGTCTCAGCAAATCCTTGGTATACATTAACAGGATGGTCTGTCTATCTGTTCTTTCCTATAATTGACCCTGTGTTCTCAGTGAAAGAGAGATTCATTTAGGAGTCATTTGGACTTGGAGAAGATTTAGTCTGAAGATAGATTGATAATTAAGTAACAGTTTTTCAATTTGAATGTTTTACTATTTTGACACTCAATAAAATTCAAATTTTTTAAAAAATAGAAATACCTGTGTGTATTTTGGGTTTTTTTTGTTTTGTTTTGTTTTGTTTAGGTCTTTTATGATTTCTGGATTGTCATTTGCTATGGTGCTTGAGTGAGATATCTTCATTGTCTCTTAACTTCCCAAAAGTTTAAACATTTCAGAGATAACATGATTTTGAGTAAAACCCAATTTACAAAGATGTACCTGAGGAGTTATTTTTTGATATTCTTTCACAAGAGAATTTCAGTTGCTAATAAGTTCTGGGCAATGTTTATATTTTGGAATAAAAAATATAACCTACCTTATTTTTATTTTTAAATAAACAAATCTTTGAAGCAACATTTCCTAAAATCGTGACCACATGGCATAAGATTTTAAAAACTCTGGAGGTAACCAAACCTATATTTGTATGCTGACATTACCCCTTCTCAGATAAGAGACCTCAGGCAAGTGGCTTAAATTCCTCAACTCTCATTATATTTCTATCTAAAATAAGTATCATAAAGGAACCTAAATCTTAGACCTAAGATGAGGGTTAAATATGATCCTAGATGAAAATGTTTTAATGTAGGTCATTTATAAAATAATTAAAGGCATTGTAAAATGCCTTTCAACCTTTTTATTTTTAAAGCTAATTAAAGTTAACTTGTTGCTAAAATACCATTCTAAACTTTTGAGAAAAAGTTTTTAAATGAACTGATATGACTGACAAAATATTGAAAATTTTTAAAATAGATATAATGTGCAATACATGCTAACTCAGATGAGTTATTTTTTTCAAAGAAAAGAAGGGCATGAACAGCCAAGCGAAAGTATTTTTCCATTGTAGAATCTACCTCCCTCACCATGACAGTACATCTCAGAGGTAATGACCCTTAGGATAAGTCAGAGTAATAGGACCCTCCTCTGTTTTATAGATGGCTTTTAGTGCAATAAGCAAGCAAATGAACAATTTATCTCATTACCACTGGATTTATTGGGGTTTGAGATTCAGACATTCCAATAAGGAAACAAATACTGTAGCCTCTTCTAAGGAACTCTTACTTAAAATATATTACATGCACACAAACCTATTATACTTCTATTATTTCCTTTTTTCCCACAGGGAAAGAGAAGAAATGAAACTTTAAAGTTTGTACTTGATAAAGGAAACTATTAATGAACAGGATTTTGTTTTGTTCTTTTCAACTTGTATTATTAGTAATTGTGTTTTTAATGAAAGAAATAACATAAATGACTTATCATTATCCAAATTGCAATTTATATTTTTAAAGTTAATCTTGTGAGTTTGTGCATCTGAATCCTTTTAAGAAAATACTAAAAAAAATTTTAAATGATATTCTGAAAGTTCTGAATCTGTCCAAATGATATATTACTGAACAATAGCAGCAACTGCTACATAAAATAAAACTTTTTGTTGTTTGAGTAATCAAGCACTGTATTAAGTATTTTATTATATTATCTTCTTTATTCTTTAAAATAGCCATGTAAGACGTTAATTTTAACATTTTAAAGCTGAGAAAACTGAAACTAAGATGAGATAAATCTTTTGCCTTGGAGAGCTAACCCAGGAATCGATCAAGTTAAAATTTGTATTTGAACTCAAGGACCTATTGTATGTTATTCTCCTCCAAGTTACCCAGAAAGAACCATACTCCAGGCCATTCTTTGACATAATGATAATAGTTATATTTATAGATCCCATTTTGAAACCTAACTATGCCTAGAACTCTACTGAATCCTTTACAGACATGATTTTTAAAATCAGTACAAACACCCTATCATTTTAGTGCCTTTATTATTTTCCTATCTTCATGAAAACTGGATCTTAGAAAAATTGAAAAATGTGCTGCCAAGTCACAAGATTTGCCTATCAAACCTACATTCTATATCACTACACAAGTTGCCTTCCTCATGAAGATTAGCTAGGTATTGAGACAGCAAAGATGCCATAGTTTTCCGATAAATAGCTCCTCTTGGAGCCATCGGACTAAGTTATCGTATAAAAACAAGTAATAGTTGTTTTATCCACTAAGTTATTTTTGACTAATCCATGACATAGCTAGGGTGACCCTGGAACATCCAGAGAAGGGACGAAAGAAGAAACAGAGCTGCAGAGTAGGGCCAACAGGGCTGTGGGTTAGGGAAAAATATTACTTTAAAAGAACAATTCAACTGGGTAAAACATTCAAGCTGTGATATCAGCTTGTGACAAAATGAAAAGCAAGATTAATGTACTTGTAAAAACAAAGCGAAAAACAAACCCTCCAAAAACTTGCAAATGAATAATATACAGAAAACAGGACCTTAGCTTTAGGTGTATTAAAAAACACATTCATTTTCTTGCAAGAGATCGATAAACTTTAAAAAGGAAGGTATCCCAAGCCTTTCTGATGTTGACAATTTTTCAAATGGTAACACATTAATTATCATTTTGATAATGTTGCTAATTCTTTCAATATGATTTAAAAGTTTGGAGATAAAGCAAGTTTTTCAAAAATTGCATAGAATTTTCTTAGAGCCACCTATGTACTTGATGTGAGATGTATAAAGTAGCAGAGTTTTTAATACAGTCTCTACTAAGTGCAATAGAGATCTTCACATATGCAAAATAGTTGAGCTCCAGAAAGGTAGTCTAAAGTTATAGAAATGCATTATGCAAACCTTTATTAAAACACAATATATCTTTGTCTCTCAGAAATGTTCAGTCAAAATATTGAACAAGAGAAGAAAAAAGGAATAGAAAGTTGGCCATCACATTAATAATCACTGGTGTGGTCCATCTGGGAGGCAGGAGGGTTGTTTGAGGCCAGGAGTTCAACTAGCCTGAGCAACAAAGTGAGACACTATGTCTACAAAACAATAAAAAAATTAGCTGGGTGTAGTGGTGCATGCCAATGGTCCCAGCTACATGGGAGGCTGAGGCAGGAGGTTTGCTGGAGTCCAGGAGGTCCAGGCTGCAGTGAGCTGCAATCACGCCATTGCACTCCAGCCTGAGTGACAGAGTGATAGGGTTTGGCTCTGTGTCCCCACCCAAATCTCATGTTGGATGGTTATCACCAATGTTAGGGGCAGGACATAGTGGGAGGTGATTGGATCGTGGGGGCAGATTTCTCCCTTCCTGCTATCATGATAGTGAGTGAGTTCTCACAAGATCTGGTTGTTTGAAAGTGTGTAGCACTTCCCCACTTCTCTCTCTCTCTCTCTCTCTCCTGCCAGCCATATGAAGACGCGCTTGCTTCCCCTTTGCCTTCTGCCACGAATGTAAACTTCCTGAAGCCTCTCCTGAAGCAGAAGCTTGTACAGCTTCATCCTCCATTCTTCCAATGGGCAATTCTAGGACCACTTTGCATGCTTCTCAGAGATTCAAAGGAATGAAGCTCCTGTTGCCTTCTGTGGCAATGTCAATAATGCACACTTACATGAGCTTTTCTTTCTTCCATTTGCCACTGTCTTTTTTTTCCTTTCCTTCTCCCATAAATAAACTAGCTGCATCAAATCTTGTCTCAGCCACTGCTTTTGAGAGAACTTCCAAAAAAAAAAACCAATGAACAATGCTCTGGGGGCATACAGAAGAGTCACCTGAGACTGGAATAAGATAAGCAAGATGTCTTTGGACTAAAGGTCTGGTCAGCAGAATATGTGTTGATTGAATGATTGATCAACTGAATGATTGAAAGAAAGAGTTATCATCTTCCTAATCTGAGCTATAAGCTTTTGATGACTTTATACCTACAGTATTCAAATTCTGTTTCTTCCTTTGGCTATTTAGAAATGCATGAGTAGAAAATCAGAGAGGGTAAGTGGTTGCAAACCAGATGAATAAATGCAGTTACCAGATGTTCGTTTTAAATTTAAAATTAATGTGGTGAAAAAGTATATAGTTTGTCAAAAGCGTCTATGGAATGGAAAATATTAATAAGAAGAATGCCTTATAAATGATGTACTCCCCAAACAGCTGAGTATACAAGATAAGTTCATTTTCAAAGCCCTCATGTCATTAACAAACTACTCATGCTTTTCTCACCAGGCTTATGGATTCTCCAGGACCTTCTGTGCATTGCCTCACATGGTAAAGATTCATTAACTTCTCTTCCCTATTTTGTTATTGTTTGACCCCTGAATTAATCTGTCTCTGTAGAATTTCCATCAGTATCTTTTTTTTTCCAGACCAAATTACAGAAGAGTAAATTCAATCTGAATGACAAATCTTGCACAAGTTCTCACTGCTTCCAGTATTATTTGGAGTTGCTTGTAAGCCAGCACAGGTAGCATGCAACAAAGCTTGCCATTTATCAGTAGTTTTTATGCTTTAACAGGATGTTTCATGGAGAGTTGTCTTACTGGTACAGGAGGAATTATCCAGGTGCTAGTTATAAATTTCAAGTTTAGGTAAAACTAAATTAAATTAGTATGATTAGGTTGGAGTGCAGTAGTTCTGGGTGAAAATGAGCCTTTCCGAAAAAAGCAGTTTGCTTTCCCTTGTGTCACTTACAGCATTTCTAAGGCAAAGGCATAAAGTTCATTTTTTAATTTCTGTATGAATTAGATTTATTCATACAGAAAAGTGTTAAGAATCAGGTTTGCTAATGTATGAAGTGAATCAGAAACATACATGAGCCATGTGTACCTTCCAATGCTTGATTAAATTGGCAGGATTTCCATTTGTGAGGAGTTTCATCTCACAGTGATACTCAATACAAGCAATGTTTACAGATAAATTTTCAAGAGTCATGCTAATTGTTATATTACATGAAAACCAAATTTATGAATTGGGCTACACATTTGAAGTTTAATCTGTGCATATGTATGGATTTTAAAATATACCTCTATTATAAATTATGTAGTAATCTGTTTTGTAATGTTTTCATTAGAATTTCCACAAGTTATTTTCATCATACTTAACAGTCTGTTTTTTCAATGCATTTATTTTCCTTTGCATGTTCTGATTTCTGTTTCAAGCCAAATATTAAAGTCATTTTAAAAAATACCAGTATGTATTTTTTTCTTCATGTATCTCAGTTATTTCTTAAATTTTATTTGCTTTTTTCAAAAGTTATAGCTTATGAGGCATAATAAAGCCTTGGTTCTGTGACTGCTTCTCAATGGTTCAAGGTTGCTACTCAGCTCCAAGGCAGATAACTAAAACTCCAATACTGCAAGGCGTTCCCAGAAAGCTGTCTTTAAGGTTTGCTTCATTCCTGTTTTTACCTATTCTGAACTTCCAAATCTTAAGTCAAAGAGTGTCCACCTTATTTAATGGTTTAAAAAAAAAATCATCACTATTATTATAACCCACTCAGATTTCAATTCTGAGTGGAACTAAATAGTTAGTGATGTTATTCTGCTTTGTTCGCTGCTATCTTGCCAGTGTCCAGAGCAGTGCCTGGCACATAGTAAACTCAACAGATATTTTTAAGTAAATATAACATCATTAATTGTAGTCCAGTATTAACAATAACTGTCATTTTATTGATTTATTACAAGCACTCTATGAAAAAGATCAGGCCTTTCTATTTTAATTTTGGGTCGTTCAACTAGACCCAACTGTTTTGTAAAACAATTTGAAACTTGGCAAATCCCAAAGCACAACTGGCAGGCTCAGCTTGGCAGAGCTTACCAGCCCAGCACTTACCCTTATGCTTCTCTGCCCATGGCCCTCACAGTGACCAGCATGGGCCTGGCAGCCAGCCGTTTGAAACATGTTTGAGTTGTTGACACTGCCAGGCATATATTCGTTTTACCCCTGTAGCCACCTAACCTCTGCATGCTGAATTTAAGAGTCTGATCCTTTTTGATGGAGTCTAATGTGCAGCATCTCCCGAACATATAATTAGCTACATGCACTACAATAATACACATGTGCACTGATGATAATTTGGAGGGAGTCCACCCTCACTAAAGAAAAAGTATTAATGATCAATCAGCATGGTGAAGGAAGAGTCTCTGTCCTGCTCAGGATGACAGCAGCATTCTCTGCAGGTAATAATGATATTAGAAATATTTCAAAACTCTCTGAGTGGAAAGGATATCTAACTTAGGGTACACTAGCTTGAGTATCAAGTAGACAAGACATATAGTCATCTGAATAATTATTTCTCACTCAAAATCAGCTCTGCTCCTTGCAGTCCTGTCTATGATAGCAGGGATTGCATCATCTTCTATATGTGGTTTTCAAGGTTGCCCTGGAAGAAGTCTCTATTCTAAACATATGAAAGAGAAAATGAATCACTTTGAGGGTAAATTTTTATTGACCATACCTGGAATTAGTACGTCAATTGTGTTCACACTCTATTGGTAAGAACTCAGTTGTCATACCTAACAACAAAGGAGGCAGAGGAATAGAGTCCAGTTGTATATGTTCACTAAGAAGAAATAGATGGTGGCAGTCATGAAAATTCACTGCGCAGGCCTCCCACAGTGGAGAGCATAATATACTATTGTCCCCAGCTGCTGTCGCTCTGGGTCCACCGCTGCATTTGTACTGAAGCAACACTTTGGATAGGCCGCTGTTAGCCAATGACTGAGTATGTCAGGATATGACGCCAGGCCTATTCTTGTGAGACACAGAACTCCTCCTAGGAATGACTTTGGCTTGAGAACTCCCTCTTGGCCTGGCCAAATCTTTCTTAGAACTGCACTGCATTCTAAATTTCTTCCTACCTAATCCTGCTTTCTTCCTCTTCTCCGTTATAGGGGTCAAATCTACAGGCTCTGTCCACCTTCTCTGGTTTGCTCCGCTTTATCCTCTACTGGTATTTCCTCCCAGTGCATCTCTTGCACATCTACTCTCATCTTGGTGTGTGCTTCTCACACGACTCAAACTAACATGGAGATTCTGATATGTACCTAATTGTTGCAGCCAAATTATGCTGTTCTAATCAACATTTGTACCGTTTCTCTATTTAGGAAACAAACTAAAACTCTCCCTCCCCAAGAGGTTCTGACTTGCTATATCCAGATAAAACTCCAGAACATCTTAGTGACATGTAGTCCTTTCCATCACAGCCCAATGTGACCCTCATTGTCCTATGACCAAAAATCTGGAAAGACTGGTACTCTTTGCCACCATTCCTATATACACACCCAATGATGGAGCAGAGATGATATAGCCACTATATAACTACAATCTATTAAAGAAGAGAAAAGAAAAACAGCAGTTACTGGAAAAAAAACCAAAATTATCAGAGAAGGCCATTATTAAAATGCCCTATGTCATTAGAAAAGAGAAATCCATGATAAGACATTGAATTTGTTCTTCCTGAGAACACTTTATTTTTGCTCAGTTTAGCCTCTGTTCTGCTCTCTGGGAGGTTCTACCTGTATTTCATCCTCTGTGATCAGGGTTGAAATGGGAATTGAAGAGGATGCTCTCTTTGAGGACCATAGAACTTTCCCAGCCTACTCCCTGGTGGTCAAAGTTTAGAGGTGTCCAGCTTGCTTTACAGTCACAGGCTTTTTCAGGCAGGTCTCAGCATCTCTTGGAAAATTCAGTTCCCTCAAACACTTTTCTTACTATACAGTTCTTAAATCTGAAGTTTGTTTTTCCTGTTGTTGTTGCTTTCCCATCACAAGGCTTCTCTCTCACAACCTAATGACAACTGAGATGAGAACACAAATAAATAAGCTTGAATAAGAAGGCAACACCCTTAATCTGATTTCGGCTGAGCTAGGTGTTCTTTGTTGAAGTGAGAAATCTTAATGAGCTTTTGTTATTCAAAAACCTGTTTTAATACTATTTCTTGTACAACCAAAAGCCTGGAAAGTCAGTATTTCTCATCTCAAAGAACTCCAAGTTATTCTTTTTCATCTCTTCTCTTAAGCTGGACAATTCTTGCTTGAGCGCAGACACTTGTAATATCTTGTTAAATGCAAGAAGTAAAAGCCAGTCTGGCTTTTTGTCCAATACTCTCCAACTAATAGCTTTTTCCCCATTGGAGGACAGCTCTCAACCAAAGACTTGCGGAAGATGAAAGATAAATACCCTAGCTCCCATATTCCTTGCCTGAGCTAACTCTGAGAATTGTTTCTACAATGTGTCCCGAGATTCTCAGTAGATTTAAGTTCCAGTTGCCCGTAATGGTAACTTGGCTGATAACACAATGTTTATTGGCTTTCTTTCCTTCCCCGTCTCAGTTCCCCACTCTCCTATTAATGTTTCCTGAGATCCTCTCTCACATAAACTACGTGCATTCAAATGCTTTTCTCAGGGTCTGCTTCCAGAAGAACCTAAACTAAAACATCATTGGTTTTATATTGTCTCTCTGGAACAGTGCCTAGCACACAAAATATAGGCAAAAAAAAAAAATTTGTGGAATAGATTGCTAAACTCATCCTAAATATGAAACTCCATTCTTAGCAAGTATTCCTTTTTTACTTTCTTGAGAATACAAAGTTTGTTATTAACCTGTACATCTGCTCTTCTCATTTCCCTTGTAACAGAGATTCTTAACTTATGAGGCCCTAAATTTAATAAAAGCTACAAGCCTCTAATCCAGAAAAACATATAAGCATATATACACTAATTTTACAAAATGTGGGGAATCCATAGACCCACGAGAGTCTCATAAGTCTTCATGAGCCCAGATTATTAACTCCAGGGCTATGCCAAACCAAATACTACAAGTCCCTCAGGCACATTCTTTAGCATACCTTCTTCCTTAAACTCTACCAGAAGATTTATCTATGACACTTTACATGAAGACTTTACAAGTATGCAGAATACATTGTAGTAGTTGAGTTCAGACTCCAGAGCCAAAAGGATTGAGTAATTAATCATGGGCAGATTACTTAACCTCTCTGTGCCTATTTTGCTATACATAAAACGGAGCAAGCAGTAAATACGCTGCATGGTTATTAGGAGGATTCAAAGAGTTAATCCATTCAAAGCACTTAGAAGAGTGTGTAGCCCTTCTCCATCACTGTGTAACTATAATCTATTACTGTTCTGGGTTCTAGGAATTTTTTGAATGACTTTGATGACTGCCAGGGTGAGGTTCTAGACCTTAAACCCAGCTTCAAGCAAAGAAACTCCAGTTTTATTTGTATAGTTACCAACTTTTTTTGGTAGACATGGGCCCAGATCAAGGTTTCAAAGTTTGCCTCAGCTGCAAAGAGTCACTCTGGGCACAGGCATATCTTTCTCAGGAGTACATCCAGTGACTATTCCAGGACAAGGTATAAAGGCCCAGCAATTGTATCCACTGATGGACAATTTTGATAGGCCATATATGCTGCAGAGCTCCTTATGGGTTTAAGGAAGGCTTTGTCTGGCCTACATCACCGTTGAGCTTCTTCTTCTGCCAAGTCTTGCTTCCTCCCACTCCCTTTCACAGGTATTGTTAACCCATGTCAAACTTCTTCCCAGAGCTCAGTGTCTGCTTCTGGAAAACCTACCCTGCAACAACTTCTAGATAAGAGTCTTAAAAACAAACAAACAGAAGAAACCACTGGTCTGTTTATACAGTTTCAATTATAGTAATTTTTAGTTGCTTTAAGAGTGTGGTACTTTTTATGCAATAAGATTTTAAGCTTCTCAAAGGCAAGAGCTTGATTGTATAACTGGAGTTTAATGCCTACTTAATTGACTCACTGTCTCTTTTGTTGGTTGATTAATTGATAGTCTTGTGGAAATTTGTTGTTTTAAACACATTAGTGATATATAATACAACAAAATTAGCATTTGATTTCATGCAGCTTAATATAGGCAACCCAAAATATCAAACTTCAAATATGCATAATTTATCCTAATTGCAAGAAGGAAAGAAACAGGAAGTTTTTAAGGTTAAAAAATGAACTGTCACATGTCTGTTAACCAAAGCTTTTAGTAATTATTTACTGACTTGCCCAAATTCTTTGGCCTTCTCAGTTTTAGCTAGGCAGATAATAATCTACTTAACACAGCTTCTTATGTCAATGTTTGTCTCAGCCTTTGAGCATTCAGACCCAAACTGCCAATGCCCCCAGGAACCAGCAGAGCCTGCCACAACAAGATCTGCTTTGCAGAAATTCTTCTTGATGACCCTAACGGTTGAATCTTCTTAATGGCAAATTGAAATCTGCCATAGCAAAACTTTCAACGGATTTCTTTCTTCTTTCCACTTGGAAAAAAATAATAATATGTCTACATGCTTAAAGATTATAATTTTTCCAATATTTTAATACAGCTCATGAAATCCTCTTAGATGTTTTCTTTTTCAAGTTAACAATTCTTTGTTCCTCTAAGACATGAGTTTTTCAGAATATTTGCCATTCTGCCTGTCTGCCCCTGGGTGCATTGTACTTTCTCAAAGTCTATGAGAATTGTGTCAGCCAAACCTTTATATTACACAGCACAGTTCATTGGGACTATTAGTTGTCTTGTTTTGGACACTATTTGTGTTACTGTGGCCTACATCTGCATTAATTTTTTAGCCTTTTTAAAAATATTATGTGTTCTGCCACAGTGGCTTTTCTGTCACATCCATATAATTTGACTTTTCTCAAATTATAATGTCTTATAATTAGAGATTTACAATCGAAAGCACCCCCTCCCTCACACTCCCACTCCCGCACCCAGCAAGGATAGAATTTCCTCAATACTATCATGGAAAACTTTCCCATCTGGCATTTAAAAAAAAAAAAAAAACAGAGTAAGTAGAAATATGACTTAGATTTTGAGTGACATTGTTTCACCTACTGAATACTCGTTCTGTGTGTGTGCTTTATAGGATGTCTGGGATCACTGTATATAAAATATAATCTATGAAATAGGATTTTATTTTTTGTAAGAGTAAATTGATTCAGAAGAAGGGAAAATTCTCCCCTTCTGGAAATTCAAAGCAGAATTGCTACTGTTATTGTTTGTGGATTTTGTTGTTTAGTCTAGGTTTTTTATTTTGTTTATATTGAGCTGAGTCTACACACCTTTATAGTTGCTGGGGTCCAGCTTCTTCTGTAATTGCCTCAGAAATGCCATCCTGTGGGACACCTAGTACAATAAATTGTTCAAGCTTTTGGAAAAAAAAAACTGAATTTTGTACAGCTTTTTGGTCTGGTGTCAAGTAAAGCCACAGATTAATTGTCTAAATTACTAACACAAGTCTAACACAAACTATGGTGGTTTATTTACTACAGAAATTGCAGTATTGTTTTCATTGATTATGAGGAACTAATTTTTCCAGAAGTATGATGTACAACATAAAGTAATGACTAGTGTTCACTCGCAGGTTGTTATACATCAATAGTCAATAAATAGCCTTGAACTGAAATTTTGTGAAGTTTTGTCTCTCACCAAAGCAAATTTTACATCCACTGTTGCATTTAGGAATTTATAGAAGGAAGATGGATCTCATAATAGATATTTTTCCAGAGCAAATTTGCTTCGGATCCAGAAATTTTAAAAATGAAGGCCGTTGTTTCAGGTCTCAAATTCTGAAACCTCCCGCTAGAACATGGAACTAAATTTCTGGAAGTAAGTGACTGTCTCTCGCTCATCTTTTGTAACCTCAGTCTCTAGCACCACTAATGAGTAGGCCCTAAAGAGATGCTTGTGGATGGAATAAATAATGAATGAATGGGTAATAAACAGTGCCAACTGTGGAAGTGAATATCTTGTGACAATCACAGGCATTACATTAAAAAGACAGAAGGAGCAAGGCACAGTGATATCAGGGGAGCTACACTGGAGACGTGATTGGAACATTGTTTGGGAGACCAGAACAGGTGACGATGTAGCAGGAAGATGGAAAATCACCAAGGACCACAGTATATGGCACGACTGGGCATCCATCAGCAACATGAGCAGGAAGAGAGCCAAAGTGTTGCTGAGAAATCTGTACCAGGAAAGAGATGTGTACTGTGTGTGGGAGTGATGTGCAAAGATAGCTCTCAGTGCACAGACAGAGCATATGTAGCTTGTTAATTTGGAGGTTTAAAAATTATATTTGATATATAAAATTAATAAAGATGATGAAAAATTAAAACTAAGAACAAGAAAATGGATGCAAAGAAGTCCTTAACTACATGTGTTTAGTGATCATAACAATTTATTATAAAATGCTTAGAGCTATAGTCATGCTCATGGGATGAATGATATTCACAAAATAAAAACAGCTGTGGGGAAATCACAAACAGTAACAGTGTCAATAAAGCCAATAAAATTTAAAGATGTACCTTCAAATATTATTCAAGTAGACAAAACATATGCAATTATCTCTTATGCCATATATGGCTCAGTTAAAGTGTAATTATAAAGAAATAGGTTGTATTTTGTAAACATTCAGTAACAGCCAACATAGCTTACCACAGCAAGATTTTTAATGCATCAGTATGTCTTGATAAATATGCACTTCCATATTCTATTGCACCTTCTGCATTACAACTTGCTATAGAATAAGAATAGAAGGCCGGGCGCGGTGGCTCACACCAGTAATCCCGGCACTTTGGGAGGCTGAGGCGGGTGGATCACTTGAGGTCAGGAGTTCAAGACCAGCCTGGCGAACATAGTGAAACCCCGTCTCTACTAAAAATACAAAAAGAAAAAAGAAAAATTAGCTTGGCTTGGTGGTGGGCACTTGTAATCTCAGCTACTCGGGAGGCTGAGGCAGGAGAATTGCTTGAACCTGAGAGGCAGAGGTTGCAGTGAGCTGAGATCACACCACTGCACTCCAGCCTGGCAGCCTAGGTGACAGAGTGAGACTCTGTCTCAAAACAAAACAAAACAAAACAAAACAAAACAAAACAAAAACAAAAAAAAAAGAATAGAAAAGCTACATCGATGAGTAAAGGATTTCAGGTTTTATATGACAGCATCTGTACTGTGGTTAATCAAAATGGATGAGTGTGTATTAGGAGTAAAAGCCCATGGTAACATAAGCCATAGACAAAAGGCAAATCTCATATTAAAGTTTGAAAAGAACAAACATCTTACTACATATTGTTACTAATATTGCTAGAGATTTTTTGTTTTTTAAAAAAGAATTATCCCAGGATGTACATGAAGAATACATTTGGCCTTTCTTTAATAGCATGTGTAAATAATAACTTTAAAAGTTGTATATGTTTTATTTTATTTGAATACTTTATTTATGATTTTTAACACATTTATATATCTTATTGTTTGTGGAAAAGCACACTTCATGTAAGTTATTATGTAACATGACATATGATTCAATTAATAATATACTTTGCATTTACATTGAATCTATTTTTGTTAAAATTTTTCTCATACTTTCTTTCCTCACAGTAATTCCATGAGATAAGCAGATTAGGTAAAATAACCTCCATTTTAGAGATAAAGAAACTGAGACATAAAGAAGTTAAATATCTTGAGGCAGGTCATGCAAGCACATGACTTCCCAGGGCTTATTTCAGCTTTCTGAATCATTTTCTTTGAAATCCCTTTCAGACCTTTCTCCTCTAGGTTTCTAGATGCCCCTGTTACAACATGCTGGATGGAGTAGTTAGAATATTGGTATCTGAGCAGATGATGGCAGATAATCCATCTAATACAGGCATAGAATAACTCCGACTTATTAGATTCACATATTCAAGGCCCAAGCAGGATATTTTTCTCATATCCAAAATTTATAAAGTATTAACTTTTGGTCATAATGATCACATTTATTCCTTTAAAAATAATCAACTTATAATGAAAATCAAGCAATTGTCATTTGGGGAAGAAAGAAGCAAAAATAAGAAATAATCCTTTATTATAAGAAATAAGAAAAAAGTAAGTAGTGGGATAGTAGCAGAAGAACTTTAGTTAAAACACTTGACTATAGTCTTCCTGATGAGAATGGTTCTAATGCATTCTGTAGATTTTAGGAATATAAGAGGTGGCATGTCCTTCTGGACAAAAGACCACATGCCATTCCGGTAATCCTGATCATCTATCACCATAAACACTCTCCTTTTCTGAAGGTTCCAGCTCATGAATTTTTCAATATCATTCTTTTTCATAATAGTTTTGATTTTTTTCTTTGACTCTCCATTATGCCATTAATATAATCCCATAGTGGCCTTTTCAAGTAGAAGAAGAGCAGCACTTAATTACTGGAATTAGAAATGACAAACATCACAGTTTTTATCTCGTTGACCTCCTCTAAGTAGTTCTCTGTGTAAATCTGAATAATCATGAATCTATGACATTTATCTTTTACAAAGACTTCTACAATTATTATTATTATTATTAATTATTATATTTTACTTTAAATTCTGGGATACAAGTGCAGAACATGTAGGTTTGTTACCTAGGTATACGTGTGCCATGGTGGTTTGCTGCGCCTATCAACTCATCATCTAGGTTTTAAGCTCTGCATGCGTTAGCTATTTCTCCTAATGCTCTCCATCCCCAACTGGCCCTGGTGTGTGTTGTTCCCGTCCCTGTGTCCATGTGTTCTAATTGTTCAACTCCCACTTATGAGTGAGAACATACGTGTTTGGTTTTCTGTTCCTGTGTTAGTTTGCTAGGGATGATGGCTTCCAGCTTCATCCATGTCCCTGCAAAGAACATGATCTCATTCCTTTTTATGGCTGCCTAGTATTCCATGGTGTATATGTACTATATTTTCTTTATACGGTCTATCACTGACATGCACTTGGGTCGGTTCTGTGTCTTTGCTATTGTAAATAGTGCTGCAGTAAACATATGTGTACAAGTGACTTTATAGTAGAATAATTTATATTCCTTTGGGTATGTAATCAGTAATGGGATTTCTGGGTCAAATGGTATTTCTGATTCTAGATCCTGGAGGAATCGCCACACTGTCCTTTGCAATAGTTGAAATAATTTACATTCCCACCAACAGTATAAAAGCATTCCTGTTTCTCCACAGCCATGCCAGTATGTATTCTTTCTTGACTTTTTAATAATCACCATTGTGACTGTTGTGAGATGGTACCTCATTGTGGTTTTGCTCTGCATTTCTCTAATGATCAGTGATGTTGATTTTTTTTTCATATGTTCATTGGCCACATAAATGTCTTCTTTTGAGAAGTGTCTGTTCAAATCCTTTGCCCACTTTTTGATGGAGATGTTTGTTTTTTTCTTGTAAATTTAAGTTCCTTATAGATTCTGGATACTAGATCTTTGTCAGATGGGTAGATTGCAAAAATATTCTCCCATTCTGTAGGTTGCCTGTTCACTCTGATGATTGTTTCTTTTGTTGTGCAGAAACTCTTTATTTTAATTAGATTTCATTTGTTAATTTTGGCTTTTGTTGCAATTGTTTTTGGCATTTTCGAGGGTTTCTTTTTTCTTTTTTCTTTTTTTCTTTGAGATGGAGTCTGGCTCTGTCACCCAGGCTGGAGTGCAGTGGCATGATCTCTTCTCACTGCAACCTCTGCCTCCTGGGTTCAAGCAGTTCTCCTGCCTTAGCCTCCCAAGTAGTTGGGATTACAAGCATGCACCACCCCACCCAGCTAATTTTTGTATTTTTAGCAGAGACAAGGTTTCACCATGTTAGCCAGGCTGTTCTAGAACTCCTGACTTCAGGTGATTTGCCCACCTCAGTCTCCCAAAGTACTGGGATTACAGGCGTGAGCCACCATGACTGGCCTGTTTTTGGCGTTTTCGTCATGAAGCCTTTGCCCATACCTATGTCCTGAATGCTATTGTCTGGGTTTTCTTCTAGGGTTTTTATGGTTTGGAGAAGAGCTATTTAAGACAAACTCACAGCCAATATCATACTGAATGGGAAAAGCTGGAAGCATTCCCTTTAAAAACCGGCACAAGACAAGGATGCCCTCTCTCACCACTCCTATTCAATACAGTATTGGAAGTTCTGGCCAAGGCAATCAGGCAAGAGAAAGAAATAAAGGGTATTTAAATATGAAGAGAGAAGTCAAATTGTCTCTGTTTGCAGATGACATAATTCTATATTTAGAAAAACCCATTGTCTCACCCAAAAACTCCTTAAGCTGATAAGCAACTTCAGCATGGTCAGGATAAAAAATCAATGTGCAAAAATCACAAGCATTCCTTTACACCAACAATAGACAAGCAGAGCCAAATCATGAATGAATTCTCATTCACAATTGCTACAAAGAGAGTAAAATACCTAGGAATACAGCTAATAAGGGATGTGAAGGACTTTTTCAAGGGGAACTACAAACCACTGCTCAAGGAACAAACAAATGGACACAAACAAATGGAAAATCATTCCATCCTCATGGATAAGAAGAATTAATATTGTGAAAATGGCCACACTGCCCAAAGTAATTTGTAGATTCAATGCTATTCCCATCAAACTACCACTGGCATTCTTCACAGAATTAGAAAAAACTACTTTAAATTTTATATGGAATCAAAAAAGAGCCCATATAGCCAAGACAATCCTAAGCAAAAAGAACAAAGCTGGAGGCATCATGCTACCTGACTTCAAATGACACTACAAGGCTACAATAACAAAAACAACATGGTACTGGTACCAAAACAGACATATAGGCCAATGGAACAGAACAGAGGCCTCAGAAATATGCATCTACAACCATCTATCTTCTAAAAACTGGACAACAACAAGCAATTGGGAAAGGATTCCCTATTTAACAAATGGTGCTGGGAAAACTGGCTAGCCATATACAGAAAACTGAAACTGGACCCCTTCCTTACACCTTATACAAAAATTAACTCAAGATGGATTAAAGGCTTAAATATAATTATTTTAAAAAAGTACTCTTACTTTCAATTTGTCCCAGAACAGGCAACTTTTTTTCTTAATATGGGCCATTGAGTAACCTAATAAAAATAGTAATCATAGTATAAATATTAGCTTTAGTTTTCACTAAACAATTGCCTTTGCTACTGTCCCAAAGTTGTTTCACATTTATTAATGTCAATAAAACTTTTAGATAAACAAATTTATCAGTTATGGCAGTTGGGATTCTTTGGTTATAAGGTATAGAAGCTGATTAGGGCTTATATAAGCAGGAAAGCTTGTTGGAAGAGTAACAGGTAGTTTCAAGAATCAATAAAAAGATAAACACAATAGAGAACAAAAAGGTACAAACAAGGTCAACTCTGAAAGTTTAAGTGTTAGGAGCCATCAAATGTCCAACAAGGAACCCCTCTGGAATGAATACAGTAAGGTCATTTCCTCTATCAATTCATTCAAGACTCAAAGTACCAACTATAAAAATATTTTGGCCAAGATTGAATCACATATTATGATAGTTAATTTTAGGTGTTGGCTTGACTGAATTAAGGAATTCTTTGATAGCTGGTGAACTATTATTTCTGGATGTGTCTGTGAGGATGTTTCTGGAGAAGACTGGCATGTTAGTTGGTGGACTGAGTGAGGAAGATCCACCTTCAATATGGGTGGGCAGTATCCAATCAATTGGCTAGGAGCCCACTTAAGAACAGATAGGCAGGGGAAAGGCAGATTCACCCTCTCTGGCATGGAGTGGAGTCATTCTTCTCCTGGCCTTGGACATCAGAACTCCAGCCTTTGGACTCAAGACATCCAGCCTTTGGTTCTCCAGCCTTTGGAATCAAGACATCCAGCAGCCCACCTTCCACTCGAGGGCCTTCAGGCCAAGACTGAGGGTTTCACCATCAACTTTCCAAACTTCCCAGGTTCTGAGGCCTTAGGATTTGAACTGAGCCACCCTACCAGCCTCCATGAAGCTGGTTCTCCAGCTTTAGACGGCCTATTGAGGGACTTCCCAGCCTCCATAAACATGTGAGCCAACACCCCTAATAAATCCCTATATCTATCTATCTATCTATCTATCTATCTATCTATCTATCTATTCATCCATCCATTTGTATCCTATTGGTTCTGCCTCCCTAGAGAATCCTGACTAATACACATATCGTACCTCAATTAGTACAAGTCAGGACATCTTTATTTCCAATCTCATTAAGACTAAATAAAATGGGAGAGAGACGATTCTTCTTAATAAAAGCAGAGTGCTGTTAGCAAAGGCAGAAGGAATAAATACTGGCCAGCAAAAACAACAGCAATAACAATACATGTCCAGTATCATAAATCATAATATATGCTCTTTAAAAAAACAATACAATATCAGAAGCAAATTAAAGTGCTAGATAAATGTAAGTTTCTTTTTTTCCATGGCCAGATTTCTGGAACTCAAATTCTATAGTCACTTCATTCACTTCCTAAACACATACTACTTTTTAATTTCCAGCACTCAGCATCAGTACCCAAATCTTTACCCAAACCTCTATCCCTAAGATATCTAATCATTTATTTTAAAGTCAACGTCCTTTTCTTTCTTTTCAATGAACTTACCCTCTTCAGTATCCAATTTTAATGACTACAATATATGTCATTCTTTAATAGTCAAAATGTTGTCAAGTACTTATTATACAGCTGCCACTTCGTAGCATGGCAAAATTCAAAGATTGCTAGGCCTTTAAGGGGTTTACATTTAAGTGGGACAAACTGAATTAAAAATTATGATATTATGTACCATGGAATCACAGAATAACCACTTACATTCATACCAAGAGAAGAAGCTTGCTGGATAGAGAAGGGTAGAGGATATTCCAGACAGAGAAAAATGATGTATGCAGAACTGAAGTTGAGTATGCTGGGGGGAATTCACAGCACTGCAGGAAATCCCATATGATTCAAGTTCAGAGTGTAAGCAGATAAATTTGTATGGATAGAAAAGGACTTGATTGTAAAGGCATTTATATGATGTATGAAGAAATTTAAACTTTATCCTATAGGCAATGGTGAGCCATTGAAAAGTTTTAAGGCAAAGTAATCATCGGATTTGTGTTGTAAGAAGACTAATCTAGTGACTGCACAGATGGGACTAGCAGAGAATGGAAGGAAGGAGACAATTTAGTACAGTTGCAAAAATTCAGGCAAACAAAAAAATGCAGACTAAGGCAACTGTATTAGTTTCCTCTGCCTGCTGTAAAAAACTGTCACACGCTTGATGGCACAGAACTACAAAAAATTATTTCAGTTATGGAGGTTGCAATTCTGAAATCAAGGTGTTGGCAGGGCACTGGGACTCTGGAAGCCTCTGTTTCTTGCCTCTTCCAGCTTCTGATAGCTGCTGGCTTTTATTGACTGTGGTCACATCACTCCAATCACTGCCTTCATCTTCACATGGCCTTCTCCTCTTCTGCCTGTCTTATGTCCCATGTGTCTCTTATAAGGACACCTGGATCATTGGACTTAGGGCCCACCTGGATAATCTAGAATTATCGCCTCTTCTCAAAATCCCTAACTTAATTACATCTGCAAAGACCCTTTTTTCTGAATAAAATAACATTCACAGATTCCAGAAATTAGAACATGGACATACCTTTTGGGGTCTACGATTCAACCCACTACAGAATACAATGAAAAGAGAAAGTGGAGAATGGCTGATGGGGGATTGATAAAACCTGCTGAATAATGGATGAATAGAAAAAGTATCCTAAGTGGGTGATTTAAAGGAGATGGAAAATTTAAGAATGATTTACAGATTTCTGTCTTCAGTGGGGTAGAAGAAACTATTCTTTGTCTGTGAGTATCGGTTTTCATTATCTTCTCAACTATAGAATTCCAATTCGGAAAGGGTGATTTTGTATCCAGATAACATTGCTTATTTCCTAAGTCTCTCTTGTAGTTAGGGTTATTCATGTAGCCAAATTTTGTAAACAGGCATCTACTGGGTGGGATTTTAGAATGTTTTTTAAAGAGCTCCAACTTAGACATGCTCTCCTTGCAAGTTTGCCCTTCACATTCACCTTTCACCTTCCTTCAGACAGGAGCATTGATGTAATCAAATCTCTCAGTGAAATACTGTCTTGTGACCATCAGGCTGCAAGCCAAATGTGAAGGATGATAGAGGGGGAAGTTAAAAGGAGACAGTTCTGGTGATGCTAGACATGCTGCTCCAGCCCCAGCCTCCAGACTTTCCATTATATGAGAGAAAAGGAAGTTAAATAAAAACACTTATTTTTAATGTGTTGTTTAATATACTATTTTTATATACTGTTAGATTTTCTGTCACTTACAATTAAAAGAGGCTGAAAAATACAAGGGATCATGTAATCGATTTTACCATGAGTCAAGATTTTTAAAAGTTACAAGTTTTTAAACCTTTGAAATAAAAGCTAGTAAGTTTGAATTTTGACCTGTTGAAATTAAGATCCTGCAACTTAATGGCTTAAAAATATGGCGTAGAGTTAAGGAAACAGTGTGAGACACAGTTATCAATGTCGAGTCATCAGTGTGGCAACGGTAGAGATAAGATCATAGAGAAAGGATGTGCTTAAAGAGAAAAAAAGAGGAAAAAACAGGAGGGAACAGGTAGAATAAAGGGAATTCACAGTGACAAGGAGGTGAGGTGAAGCAAAGGGAAAGCAAGGAAAAAGAAATGTTACAGAAGCAAAGAAAGGTTTTTTCCAAAATTTTCCCTTCTTTTTAGAGCTCTCTTCAATCTTTGACATCTTAAACCAATGTTTATTAAATCCCTACCAAGATTTATGTTTATTGATCATAATCCACTTTTCTCTTTATTTCTTTGAAGAATTTATTTAATTTTATGGCTTTGACCATACTTTGCTGATAATTCACAGAATTACATCATTAATTCTGACCTCTCCCTTTCTAACTACCTACAAATCTTTCTTTCTATGACCAATGACTCTGAAACTTTCATAACGCTCTACATCCTAAGAAGTTCCATTGCCTTTCATTTTGTCTTGTATTTTTTTCTGGAATTTGTGCTCAATTTTATGTTTTGCCTCACAATATGTGAAGTTAGACAAAAACTTCAAAAATAAGTTATATAAATTAGCTTTAAAAGAAAAAAAAGACTCTTTTCATGGGAGTTTATGTTTACATTTGCCCTGTCTTATCTCACATAGGGAATACTCAAAAAAGCAGAAACTATTCTTTCTTATGGCTACATTACAACTACTTTGAAGATTTAATATTCCTCTGAAATTAAACTGTACATCCAAAAACAATATCTGCCACAGATGTACAACTTGTCCTTCTTATAGAACTGATTTTTAAATAACTAAACTTTTTAATGGCCTTGTTTCAGAACAAATTACTCTAAAACTAGTAACTTAAGACACATATTTGAATGGACTCATGAGATATGTGTCAGTAATTGAGGAAGAGATTGGCCAGACAGTTCTCACCTCAGGCCCCTCATGTATTGGTAGTCAGCTGTTAGTTGGAGTTACAGTCATTGAAGGCTTGACTGTGCTGAATGTCCAGATGGCTGACCTGCGTGACTGACAGTTGATGCTGGCCAGAGTGCCCACATGTGACCCATCAGGATGAAGGTCTCTAGGTAGTTATATTTCTTACATGACAGCTGGACTTCCCCAGAGTGTTCATCCCAAGAGAACCAAGCAGAAGTTGCTCGACCTCCTCTCATCTTGCCTTGAAAGTCATCCAAGATCACTTCTGTAGCATTCTTTGAGTTAGAAACAAATCACTAAGGCCAGTCCAGATTCAAGACAAGGGTCATAGACCTCATCTATTGATTTTTTGTTTGTTTGTTTGTTTGTTTGAGGCAGAGTCTCGTTCTGTCGCCCGGGCTGGAGTGTAGTGGAGCAATCTCGGCTCACTGCAAGCTCCACCTCCCGGGTTCACGCCATTCTCCTGCCTTAGCCTCCTGAGTAGCTGGGACTACAGGCGCCCGCCACCACGCCTGGCTAATTTTTTAATTTTTTTTTAGTAGGGACGGGGTTTCACCGTGTTAGCCAGGATGGTCTCTATCTCCTGACCTCGTGATCCGCCCACCTCGGCCTCCCAAACTCATCTATTGATTTTTAAATGCCTTAGTATTCACCATTATAAAAGTATATTTGTTTTAGCTTTCTTAATGAGAAATGTTAAAAATTTCTACAATGAGTATATACTACGAAATATTTACTATCATCTTCTTTCTATGATTTTGTTTATGGGGAACAGAATAACTTTCACTACTACAATATATGTTTATAATTATATAATATCTTACATATAAAAATATTATAGCCTATCACGTTTTGCCTTTCTACCCTTTACCTTTGAACCAAATTCTAAAAAAATCATGAGGGTTAAAGTTTCAATTTACTAAACCAAGAAGCTACCTCTGGGGAGGAAAGACTTACAAAGTAGTGAAGGTCTTGTTCTTTCAAGCTGTGAACAGCCATTAACTTTAGGTTTTGTCTCTGCAGGAAGGAAAAAACAAACATGCCTTCTTAGAGTAAAGGGGAAGCAGTAAAGTGAGGCCTCATGTTTACACTGGGGGAAATTAAAGGGATTCTCCTCCAGTCTGTGTTAGTAGTCCCAGAAACCTCTCATAAAATAAATGAAAAGGAAATTTTTTAAATTTGAGTACTAATTCCTTGAGCACTTTTATTGATTTATTTTACTTTATTGTAACTAGTGACTTTAGATTTTGATCTTGAAAATGATTTGGAAAATTGAAACTGAAAAAGAGATATAAGATGTTTAGAAACTTTTATTAAAACAAATTTCCTGATACTTTTGTCATAGTAACACAAACAGTTCAGACCTAACTTTTGTTTTACATACAAATCTCTCCTGATATATAATTTCAGCTTTTTAAAATAAATTTAAATCATCTTATCTCAACAGTCAGTATTATCTTTTATATTTGGAAAATGAACTTATATAAAAATATTTATCATAGACCTATTCTCTTTAAGGCCCCATGCTAGTTTGGGTATGAAAAGTCCAGATTTCTATGCCTCATTTTGCTACAACAACCATAACAGAAATACAATGATTTGTAAAACTCTCTATATGTCTGTCTTCAAGGTTTGTGTCTACACTTCTGGAAGCTGCCAGCAGATGACGGCACTGCTGTTGATTAGTGTAGCTAGGAACAATAAGCAGATTTTATTTCTAGCACAGACAAATAATATTTCAGTTTTGTGCTTTCCAAAGCAGCCATGATTCCTGAAGGAGCTTCTTCATAGAGTAAAGCAATGAGGCCAGGATGAAAAGCCAACACCCAGAAGACAGCAATGAAAAAATGTGGGGGACAACCTTGGTCTTTGACATATTTGAACAGCCAAACTAATGCTTGCCTACTTTTGAACTCTTTCACATATGAGATAAATAAATCCCTATTTAGTAAAGTGACTTTTAGCTAGATATTCTATTACTTGAAGGAAAAGGTATCCAAATGATATCATTTAATTTCAATGTCTTAGGCAGTCATCAGAGCAAAACAATTCTATGTGCTCGCCTAGCAAGAAACACTTTTGGATATTGGGTCTGATTACATTATCTGTTCCTGAGGGATTATTCTAGTAGAGTCAACACTTCTCTACAGGTGGAACATGTTTAGAAAAGAGTTATCGGGGTCAACAAACCTAGGGAGGAACTTAGAGGTTTGAGCCATTTGGGGGTAAAGAAGAAGCATAATGGCCCCAAAAAGACGATTATACCAATTGCCTTTGATATTTGAGATTTTTACCTTAAAAAGGCCTGAGGGTCAAGTGCAAACAATCATCCCATAATCCTGTCTTAGCCATGGAATCCTGCTCAAGACAAAGATGCAAGAAAGCTGCTTCTACTTTCTTAATACCCCTTTCAGGTATGACTTCTTTTTAATTTTGAGGCTGCCTTTGATGTTGCCTTTAGCTTAATAGCACTTATTACAGAAATCTGCAAATATCCATAGGGGAAACACAAAGCATTCCCCTACTCTTGAATATTCTTCTGCGTATGGGTTGGGTTTCAACAAGCGTATGCATTCTTCTATTCATTAATTCTTAAAGCATCCATTGACCACCTACTAAGTGTCAAGCATTGAGCTGGTGGCTACACTCACATAGACGAAACTGGTCTTTTGTCATAGGATCTATCCACAGAGATGCGTATAAATGTTACAAACACACAGAGGAAGAAAGACTTTTCTGAATGGGTAATGGAAGGTTCCACAGTAGACAATTGAGCAGTACTTTGAAAATGTGTCACTAGGTAGTAAAAAAGCTTATGGGGATGCCTGGAAGAACTATGTGTGCCTCAAGGCACTGAAGTATGAGAGCACTTTGAATATAAGGGCAACAGGAGTCTCTTATGTATGAAATTCAAATGTTAGGTGGCCATGGGGAAGAAGCCTTGAATGGTGACACAGGTCTGGAACTGCAAACTGACAATTTTAAGCTTTTAAATATCTGTGAGTCTCTCTTCAAAAGACAGACTCACAGAAGAATTTTAAATGGTGACATTAAATATGAAATATACAATCAAGGAAAAAAATAACTCTGGCAGAAATTTGGCTTAGATGGAAACACTCCTACATCAACTTTAGTCTCCAAACCAAAGAAAACAACATCTGAGGAACATTTTTTCTTCCAAGAGATTACCCAAATTGCCTCCTTTCCTTCATTCCTAAATTTGGTCCTCTGCTTACAAAAAAACAAAAAAAAAAACATTTTTCTTAACAAAACCGAGGATTTTTGTCATCTTTGAGTATTTTTAAGCATTTCTAAAAAGTTGAATCTTAAAATAATAGGAATAACAGTTATTGGGTATTCAAAACAGTAGATTATTTGTCACGTTTTCATTACATTTAAGCCTCATTGAGTCCATGATAATCTTCCATTTGCTAAATTATTTTAGACTCTACTAAAAGCCCTTGTTACCGGGATTGTACTACAAAAAAATTTCCTTTTCCTCGGACCTGTTTAAGAGCAGACCCTCTCTCCATTTAGCACCGATACTGATGAAACCTATTGGATGCCAGGGCATCTCATCTCATCTATCCATTTCGTTTGGTATGGATGCTTATCACAGAAAGACTAGCTCATGTAGAAAAGAGCACCCCTTTCATTTTTGTTCCAATTTTCCTCATTTGGTCTTCCTTTAATCCTACAGACAATAGGAATAGCATAAAGAGAACAAAAGAGATTCCAAAGAGCAGGATGAATTTGCCATAAATGGGCAAATTTATATGAACAAAATCCTAGTGGGGATTCCTTCAGCTGTGTGTCATCTTAGTTTTTATGGGAATTAGCATAACTTAGTGGATTACATTCAGGTTGACTGACAGTCATTGTGCTTGTGCTTGAATATCTCTGACAGATCATCATCGCGGAGCATGATATAATGGAAAGAACCCGTCACCTGAGAGTCAGAAGGCCTTTGTTCCATCCTGGATCTGACACAAACTTTCTAAGAAAACTTAAGGAGTTACTTTACCTCCCTATGCCTCAGGTATATCATATGTGAAATATAGTCCACTAGATGAGTTTAAAGATCCAGTCTTTTCATCCTCTAAAACCAAATTACTCTTTGAATACACTTCGAATTTAACTTAGGGCTATAATTATTTTAACTCCAGACTTTCAAAATCTTAGTAACATGTTATATAGGCCAAAATCCATTACTAAGCCAGCTAGATGAAGGGAAATTTATGAAAACACAACTTATTTGTTCTGGAATTAACTAGTGAATGTCTAGCTGTGTTGTATGTGGAGTGTTACCACACATTTCAGTGCAGTGTTATTCTCAGAAACCTCCTTAATAGACCAAGAGATAACATAGAAAAGTAGAAAAAACAGCATAGAAAAGCACCACATGTATATAATCTTTTATAGTTGCCTCAAGGTAAATCGGGTTCTGCCATCCACACCCTCCTCTATTTGCACAGGAAAATAGCTGGAGCTCTGCACCTAGGAATGATGAAATATAAATTACTTTCTCCCAGATATCTCAGCAGAGCATGGCCTGGTATTGAGTCCCTGTCTATAGCTGGGTGACCCTCCAACTTTGAGGACACCAAAACTCTCCCAGTGCTTTCTGCACTTCTGAACTCAGACTGCCTTTGTAAAAGGGAAGTTGTTTTGTTTTCAGAAAACCAACGCTAATTGAGCTATTACTGAATATAATATATACGAGGCCAAAAGCAATAAGTACATTTTCCTAGTCTTTCCTGGATCAGCTCAGCTTTAGCACACATACATTAAATTACATTAGCAACTAATTTATGGTTATGAACAAAAAAGAGTTAACTTTTTCTTTTTGAATTGATGAGAAGGTTTTTCTCCCAAAGAATATGAAATCATTCTAGATTTATTTTCAAGCACAAAAGACAAAACAGCCATAACCACTCTCATTATTTTGTCATAGTTCCTTCCGGTCTGTATCTCCCTATTCATCCATTTCCATACTTGTATGTGTATGTGAGTTTCGGTGTATACATTAAATGCAATCAACATCTGTATTTTTCTATAGGCCCTTATTATTTAATATTACATTGTAACCTTTTCTTGGTATTTTAAAATATTTATTGTAACCATAGGTTTAAAAGTCTATCACATAGTCTGTCATAATAATATTACTGAATTTAAAGGTACTTCTTTTCTTGTTACTAGGATAAAATGTGACATAACAGAGTTTCAAAAAGTTTCTTCCTATTATTCAGATAGAATGTATTTTCAGAAGAAATAAGAAATATTAAAAATTTTAAAAAGATAACATTACTACATTTTAAATAGAGCTGAAGAAATACCTACAGCATTGTATAGATCATGTGGATCCATTTCCTGGGGCTGCTGTCACCAAGTATCACAAACTGGGTGGCTTAGACAACAAAAACTTACTATCTCACAGTTCTAGAGGCTAGGAGTCCAAAATCATGGTGTTAGCTGAGCCATGCTCCCTCTGAAATCTGTAGAGGAGAAATCCTTTCTTATCCTTATTCTGGCCTTTGCTGGCAATCCTTAACATTCCATGCCTTGTAGATACATCTCTACCCACTCTGCCTCTGTCGCCACTCGGCTATCTTTTCCCTGTGTATTTTCCTTTTTATTATAAGGATGCCAGTCCATGTAGAATTAAGATCCCTCTCCAGTATGACCTCACTGTAGCAGATGAGATCTGCAATCACCCTATTTCCAAGTAAGATCACAGTTGGAAACATATCTTTTGTGGCAGACACAGTTTAGCCTATAACACAAATGTCAAAAACACTATTGCTGTTTCTGCATGTGCTCATGCTATTTCCCCAATCTTGGAAGCCTTTTGCCCTTTCTTGCTATATTCACAATTACTTCTTCAAGGGCCAAATTGGTACAGCTTCCCCTATGAATAATTACTCCAGCCCCTATTCATCAAGTGCTTATGAAAAGCCAGGAACACTAGGTACACAGCACTCTATATAGATTACAGCTTCATCCTGTGGAGAACTTTTCTTCTGAATTCCCATAACAGTAGTTGTTACTAAAATCCATCATGTATGTTTAGTTATTTTTCAGCCATATATATATTTTTAACTTATATTTTTGGTTTGGGAGTATATGTAAAGGTTTGTCAAATAGGTAAATATGTGTCATGGGGGTTTGTGGTACAGATTATTTCATCAACCTGGTATTAAACCCAGTACCCAATAGTTATCTTTTCTGCTCCTCTCCTGCCTCCTACCCTCCCCCATGAAGTAGACCCTAGAGTCTGTTGTTTCCTTCTTCATGTTCATAATTTCTCATCATTTACCTCCCACTTATCAGTAAGAACATGCAGTATTTGCTTTCCTGTTCCTTCATTAATTTGCTAAGGATAATAGCCTTCGGCTCCATCCACGTTCCCACAAAAGACATGATCTTATTCTTTTTTGTGGCTGCATAATATTTCATAGTATATATGTACCATGTTTTCCTAATCTAATGTATTATTGATAGGCATTTAGGTTGATTCCATGTCTTTGCTATTTTGAATAATGCTGCAATGAACATTCACATGCATGTGTCTTTCTGGTAGAATGATTCATATTCTTCTGGGTATATACCCAGTAATGAGATTGTTTCAGCCATATATCATATTTTACAAATTAGATTGTAAGTTCTGCACTGGTGGAGATAGTATTTATTTTTTCATATTACCTAATACATATTTGAATAAAATGTGTAATGATTAAATGCATGAATGAATAAATGGATGAAAGAAATTTGCTATGAACAACTGCACCTTAAGATCTCTGTGAGTTCTTGCCTTTTCAAGGATCTGGCCTCCAGGATTACCTCTGTCTTATTTTATTTTCAATCTCTGCCTCCCTCCTGTCTCACTCTTACTTACCTTCAAATGCGTTTGAGGATCTTCCATATTTAAAATATTTTACTTGATCCCATGTATCTACCTCCTATATCACTCTATCATTTTTCTCCTCTTCACAAAGGACTCTAAATATTAGAGACTATTTATTTTTACTTCCATACTTCCATTTACTCTTTAAAATGAAAATGATTTTATTTAATATGTAAACTTCTCAATGACGTATTCATGTATTCAATAAACATTTATCACTCTACTCCTGTGTGCTAGGTGCTGGATATATACTGGTGAATAAGCATATAATCCCTCCCCTCATTCAGTTTACAATCTACCAGGGAAATTTTTATTCATTTATCCATTCAATATTTATTGTATCAGGCTTGCTTCTGTTTGTACAGTGATAAATAAGACAGGCAACGTCTCTATCGCTTTTCTCCTCTTCACAGTCAAGCGGCTCTAAATATTAGAGACAATTTAGTTTTACTTCCATACTTCCTATTTACGCTTTAAAATGAAAATGATTTTATATAATATGTAAACTTACAGAAAGGTAGTAGCTATAGAAGTTAAGACACCAAGCTGCTTGCCATAATCCACTTGATTTGATTTTTCTGTATTATGTTATGTATTTATTTGTTGATGCTTTAATGCCTCTCAACTGAATATATACTTTACAAATTCAAGACATTGCCAATCTTACTTATCATTGTACAAACAGAAGCAAGCCTGATACAATAAATATTTATTGAATAAATAAATGAAAAAAATTTCCCTGCTAGATTGTAAACTGAATGAGGGAAGGGACTATATGCTTATTCACCAATATATATCCAGTACCTAGCACATAGGAGTAGAGTGATAAATGTTTATTGAATACACGAATATGTAATTGAGAATATTTAGCATATGTCAAATATTATCCCATTTAAGATATTGATAAAAATAACAAGTACTACAAAAGAGGAATTGAGCTATCTTTCTCTTCTAGAAAGGAAAGCATCTAAATGTAATGACTTCTTGAGGATTATAAAAGTCCCTCCTGAATTTAAAAATAAAAAGCATTAAAGGGCCTCTGTAGAGTTAGCCAAGGGAATAGATTTGGTTTTTTGTTTGTTTGTAAGATGCCTACAAATTCTGTAAAGTAGGAAGAAGTGTATCCACTTTAAGGGCTTTTAAACTGTGGGACATTTTACTACCTCTGGATATGTAACAGCCTCAAGTATTCACAGAGTTAAATTTGTAGTTGCTTTAAAAAACAAGGTGGCCTTGGCCAGGCACGATGGCTCACGCCTGTCATCCCAACACTTTGGGAGGCCAAGGCGGGCGGATTGCTGGAGCTCAGGTGTTTGAGACCAGCCTGGGCAACATGATTGAAACCCCATCTCTACTAAAATAGAAAAAATTAGCCCGGTGTGGTGGTGTGCGCCTGTATTCCCAGCTACTCTAGAGGCTGAGGCAGGAGAATCAGTTGAACCCGGGAGAGGGAGGTTGCAGTGAGCCGAGATGGTGCCACTGCACTCCAGCCTGGGTGACAGAGTGAGACTCCGTCTCAAAACAAAACAAACAAGCAAACAAACAAAAAACAACAACAAGGTGGCTTCCAATTATAGAGACAGTATATAGACAAGCTCTTATTGTAAGGTGTTAAACTTTACCACCGATGGTCAAATCCCATGTGCAATAAACTTGCCTGGATAGTCTCTGAGTTTCTTACTTTTATCTGTGCCTTGAAGTATTATTGGTCACGGCTAGGATGCTATCCTTTAGGCATCCAATCTAGTATGATAAATGAAAGGCAATAGGACACAATAAACACCTTAGAAAAATCAAATCCCCCAGAGGTGCTGCTTTAAGAAAATAACTATAGGCTTCCTAATTGCTTTACAACTTCAGGGACACCTGCCAATTATAATTAAAGAGTCAAAGACTAAATATTCCATAAATCTTAATAAGGAACTGTGGAAAACAGAAGTCAGCAGGAAATATAAGTTACAGTCTTCCCCAAGAGTTCAATGAAATCTCTCTGTCTGGGCCACTTAATATTATGTACAAACCATAAATCCATAGTAAGTATATTACCTAGTGTAAAAGGCAATATCTCTTTGTCAACACGTATTTTAACTCACAGTGTCAGAGATATACTATATTTTAGGATGAATTTTTATCAGATAAAAAAATTTCCTTTCTAATTTCATATTACTATGCCAACCAGCGTGGTTTCCTATAAGACTTATTCTTTGGAAAAAATATGTCTTTGAAAGCTTATATTTCTGAGGAAGGAAGGGAAAAAGGGAAGGGACTTAGATCATTATATTAGTATTTCATATATTAATTTTCTAGTTTTTGTAGTGAGAAATTTATGTTTTCTGACTATACCTCCATTAATATCATCAACTTTATCCCCTTCCCAGACCCTCTAACCATAAGCAATCACTAATGTGTCTTGGCAATAGATTCAGATCATTGCCTCACCTGCAGAACTTGCCACATTTTCACTCTATGATATATGTGTGTCGTTGTCTTGACTTAAGAGAAAGTAATAGAAGGTCATACGAGGAATGCAGCATCAGGAAGCAGACAGATCTGACTTGCATCCTTGTTCAGCATAACTTTGAGCAGATAAAGAATCCTCTGTTGGCCAAAGACTCTTCATAGCTAAGGCCCTGGGATTGCTATTCCCCTGCCTCTAACCTCTTCATTTAGATCTTTACGTCAAACTGTACCTTCTAAAGATTCCTTTCCTTGAGAGGTTTTCCCAGCGGCTTGTATACCTTCCAGAAAAATTCTTGTCCTTTCCACTACTACTCCCAGTAACTCTCTATCCCATTATTGTGTTTCTTACTATCTGAAGTTACATTATTTATTTATTTATTTAATGACTCACTGCTTATCATTCCCTACTGTTGTCAAACTCAGTGGTTCTCAACTGGGAACAATCTGGTCTCTTAAGAGACATTTCCCAATGTCTGTAAAGATTTTTTGATTGTCACAACTTGGGTATGGTGTTACCAGCATCTAGTGGGTAGAGGCCAGGGATGCTATTGTACATCCTACAAATGGAAAAGCTAGCCCCATAACAAGGAATTATCTTGCCCAAAGTGTCAATAGTACCAAGGTTGAGAAATTCTCATGTAAAGCCATAAGAACAGCAATCTTGGCTGGGCGTGGTGGCTCACGCCTGTAATCCATGCACTTTGGGAGGCCAAGGCAGGCAGATCACGAGGTCAAGAGATTGAGACCATCCTGGCCAACATGGTGAAACCCCGTCTGTACTAAAAATACAGAAGTTAGCTGGGCATGGTGGCATGTGCCTGTAGTCCCAGCTACTCAGGAGGCTGAGGCAGGAGGAGAATTGCTTGAACCCGGGAGGGAGGTTGCAGTGAGCCAAGATTGTGCCACTGCACTCCACCCTGGCAACAGAGTAAGACTCCGTCTCACAAAAACAAAACAAAACAAACAAACAAACAAAAAACCCAGCAATCTTGCTGGTTTAAGTTTCTGACTTCCCAAAGTCTAGAACATTGCCTGGAATAAAGTAACTTCTTGAAAATATCGGCTGAATGAACCCAGTCGAAGAGAATTGGGAAGAGACAACAGACTAGGAACATAAATCTACTAGCAGGACTATACATATGTGTGAGTTTATTCTTTCTCTTACAATGCCACATTGCATTCTTAGTGGAGATTTCTAGCACATGTATTCATAATTGTAATCTGCCTGGGTTTCTCATGTTTTGCTTGAACCTCAATTATGCTTCAAACTCAGGCAATTGTATATTCACATGAATTTTCTAATCCAAGGCCCTACTTTTTGAGCCCACTTTTGTTTTTATGACTGATAGTTGCAAATATGTTACTTCTGAATCAAGCAGTGTGAAAATCACAGGTAATTTACACCATCCTTGACAGTTACAAGATCTCCTTTCACCGTTTTATGGCATCACCATTCCTGTAATACTTTTTTTCTAAGGGCAGTACAAAAAGTACACCGTGGCATAGAAACTTATCTATATTAGATTCCGAAAATGTGTAAGATAATGTGTGTGTTTATGGATCCTATTCCTGCAATCTGTCTTCCTTTAATAATCAGTTGTCAATGTATTTAAACCAATTAGGTGTTTATCTTCCCTGACATTTATATTGGCCAAGTAGATTAATACTAGATGTGACTTTGACATAATAAATCAGCAAATTATTTTCAATTTAAGTTATCATCTGCTGCCACTGGAAACTGCCTGGGAAAAATATAAAACATCAGCAGCCCATTATATATCTAATGTAACAGTTTAGATAGTAAGGGTCAACTGAGTTAAAATACACCCACCTGTATGCACTTACTAGGATATGATTAAATAACTTATAAGTTAAAATTTTAGGCATATATTTAGCAGGTTAAAAAGTCATATTTTTGTGCAACACAATAGATTTGGAATTCTGTGTAAAATTATCTACCATGTAATTCATGTTTCCCTCTTTGTTCCTAATGGCTTCTGGGCAAATAAAACACATTACATAATGTTTTAAGTGTGCATATTTTTAATGTTCATTTATTCTGAAACCTATAAAAACATAGTCTTAATTCACTTGTTTTCTTTAATCAAGTAATTAAACTATATAATAATGCTTCCTGGTGAAACTGTTATTCAAAATGTTACCATAAAATTATGGTTCTGAGTAATTTTTATAACTATGTTAGAACTGAAACAGAAAGTTGTTATACACCTCAGAGATCTTTTCCTGCTAAGCAGTCCATTTATTCCAGGGCAGTGGTCATTTCAACCCCATTTTTGATTGACAATCAGGATCCTTGGCATAGTCACATATTCACCCTCAGTTGTTTTTTTTACCAGTAGACTGTTTTAGAATTAGCCAGAATCCTTTGAGAGTCAGTGGCTATCTGAAGGATTGAGGCATTTAATATTTGCTTTGCTTTAAAAATAAAAACTAATTGTGTATATAGAATAATTCACAAGAGTTATTTTTCTACGTGTCTTAAAAATTGTTCTAAAGATAAGTTCAAGAGAGGACTTTCCAAAATTTACTATATTACTGGCATAGTCTCTCATAGTGATTCCTTAAAAACATAAAAAGTATTTAGAAAGAAAAGTTTTTGTAGTTTTGCTTGTAAAAGACTCTTAATAAACATCTATGAAATAGCTATTATAAGCAAAATAACCATGGTAGACAGGTAGAGTTTTAAAAAAATAGAAAAGCCCTTCCAAGGAGCTTAGTGAAGAATAGGCAGAAATATTCACAAATGATAAGAATTGAGTGACTAACAAGCAGTTTGAACTAATTATGACACGTGTGGCTAGTTTTTACCAGTAGTCTAGTAAATGGTAGAGAGTTATATTCCAGGCGTCATACTTTGTTAACAATTTAGCTTCGTGAAGAATAATCTTAACAATATATATGAAATATTTTAGTCCTACAGGTATAACTTCAATGGAGAAATACAAGTATAGCTTAAAACTGTAGCGCAAATGGCAAAAAACTACACAAATACAACTAGTTGTATCATTTTAGGGTGGCTAAATTTGAAGTTCTTAATAATATTAGTAACAGAATGGGCACCCTTACAGCATGCATGTGAACACTGAACACGCTTCCGTTAAAAATATCCACCACAGAAACACACCTATGCTTTTTCATGATTTGTGTCAGGAAAGTATATTATCATCATGATGAGTTTTGTTTATGCAAAAATTAAGTTATAAAACTTACCCTTGGTTTACTCAAAAAGAACATTTTGTTTCTGGAGTCGACGTTGGTAATATTTTATACCTGAGACCATTTTTTTGTGTGTGTTTGTGCTTTTGTTTTTTGTTTGTTTGTTTGTTTGTTTGAAATAAGGTCTCACCCTCTCTCCCAGGCTGGAGTGCAGTAGCACAATCACAGCTCACCAAAGCCTTAACCTCCCAGGCCCAAACAATCCTGGGACCTCAGCCTCCTAAGTAGCTGTGACCACGGGCATGTGCCACTATGTGTGGCTTTTTTTTTTTCTTTTCTGGAGATGGGGTCTCCCTGTGTTGCCCAGGCTGGTCTCAAACTCCTCAGCTCAAGGGATCCACCCACCTCGGCCTCACTAAGTGTTGAGATTACAGGCCTGCGTGAGCTGCCGTGCCCAACTGAGATGATTTTTAATTAAACAAAGACTGCTGTGACAAACTCTAAAAGAAAATCGATGTAGTTATATGGACATGCAAATTGAGCAGCCAAAGATCGTGGATGCGTGTGTTAAAAGGCCAAGAACACTGTCTGGTGACCAGAGAGGGAAGACAGTTGGATTAGAGAGAAGCAGTGTGCAGATGAATGAAGCAACTTGAACAAAAATCAAAATATAATAACCTGACAATATAGTTTTCTCTATTTTATACAACATACCAAGGAAATAAAAAAAAGGAGAGAAGTGTCAGTGATTCTTTGGTTCTATGTGATCATCATACCCTCATGCCACATCCCATCCAGGATGAGCTAATGAGCCTGGGGCTCTTGAGATTACACGGTAAATTGAGCGATAGCTGCTTAACTCAGTAGAAAACAGCACTTTTATTACATGATATCACCAGGCTTTTATGGTGAGCTTTATGAGATCTCACATGGTGATTTACAATTACTCTGTGTCACCAGTGTGGCACTACTGTTGCATTGTTTTGGCTATTAAAGTAACTACCTCCTGAGCCAATTTGCGAACGAGACAATTCACAAAGCGGCAGTGCTTTGTACTGTAAAAATAGATACTAGAGATAATTGGGCAAGGTGGTGTCATGTCACTTGTGTGCAGTTCATTAATTAACTGCTTGAAACTGCTATAAAATAATAGCCATGTCATCAGGATGAAAGTACAAGAGTGCAAAGGAAATAAAACTTCATAAGCAAGAAGGCAGACAGAAGTAGCTATTACAAAGAAAATTCAAATGTTTCCTTCCCTTTTAGTACCCATTCTTATTTCCCTCCAGTTACGAACCTGCACTTCAACTTTTCTTATTATTACTTGTTAGTGTTTATTGCGTGCTAGATGATGCATGCAATTCATGTTCCCCTCCTATCTGTGGATGCTGATGGATTGTTTACTAGAAGAGCTCAGGGATCATTGCCACAGACATCAATATCCAGTGATTTTTCCTCCCACAACTCAGAAGCAAGGTTCATATTAAAGACATTCATGAACGTATCACTAATGGCATTTCTCATTTCAGCAGCAATCAGATCTTTAGCAAGTCTAGCTGCGAGTCAGGTAATAAACCTATGTAGGGGGAATTACTTTGACAATAGCAAAGGCCAATGCAAATATAATGCCACATTTAAAAAATTGCGTTAGTAGGCATACTACTATTATTTCATAACCAGACTGGTTAATTGACAGTTGCATCAAAAGAAGCAACACTAAGTCAAAATATGGTGAAAAAAATGTATTAGAATAGTAACTCTGTGCATACTATACCAATAACTATTTTTATCTGCCTTTCGGTTACAAGCTCCACAGCAATCTTAAACCTGAAGTTGTGAGATGTACTTAACAATTGGAAAAGTAGATTTGGGGAACTTGGCTGAAGATGCCTCTGGCAAAAAAAAAAAAAAAAAAAATACCATTATGTACTACACACAGCCTAGAAAAACATAGATGCGAGCACTTAAAGATATTAAGCTTATTTCTCTACGAGGATTCCCTCTCTGTGTCAATAATGAAAAAATTGGGTCACCTCACAATGGCAATTTTCTCAGAATTATAGTACACTTGAGTCGATTTGATCTCCCTTTAGCTGAACATTTAGCTAAGGAGGACTGTGCTAAAAGAAGTAACCCATCATCCTTATCACTGAGTGTAATGGAGAAGGTGCCTACAGAATGGCCTCCAAGGTCCTGACAGTGATTGTTCAAGGGCTTAGGCTGATGAAATATTTTCTGTCAGGGCTTATTCCACACCTGACATTTCTCATATTTGATCTGTTAATGGTTATTGCCCACTATGCTGGTTTCAAAGGTCAGATTCATAAAAAGGTTATATCTCTACCGATTGAGCCCTTCTTTAGGAACTTTGCTCAAATATGTGTTGTAGGCCATGGTGACAAGTGCCTGATCCTTATCAGGAACACACAGGTGGTGATGGCCCATTCCCTAAGGATCATTTGTTTCCCTGTACTATGATGAAGACCGTATTGTTTCTAAAAGTTTCAACAGTTAAAATTTTTTTAAACTGTAGACGATTTTCTTTTATACCTATTTTTATATTCTTACTAGATATCATAAGAATGCCGAAATTGTATTAGCAAGGAATTGTAACATCATTGGTAAACATTTGCTGTAGATATGTTAATCTGAAATTATGTATTTGCTAATAATAAAAACCCAAAGCAAACTAAGTTGGCAAGAGGAAACTTTGTTAGTCCAGAATACAAGAACAGGTAGAACAATTGATCTGCAGAAAGGACATGGACACAGCTGAAGTCAAGGAATTGAATCCCACCAAGACCTCTTATATCTCAGTCTCTACCTGTCTTATTCTTTCTTAACTCAGGCCATCTTTCTGCCAACAGTGTTTGTGTTTATCATTCAGGAGAGGAAAAAAAAAATCTCTCTCTCTTTTCTAGTCTTAAAACACTGGAAAGACTCTGACTGATTTAATTTGAGTCTGTCACTCTGGACCAATGAACTAGGGGATCAGGATAACGAGTGGATGTGGCTAATTTCATTGAAACAAATGGTTGGACTTGCATGGGAGGTGATAGCAGCTTCCAAAAGAAGTTAGGGGGCAGGGAGAAGGAGAGTGGGAAAAGTCTGTTTCCAAAAACAGAGAAGCTGCCAGCCAAATAATTGTGTTAAAAATTTTACTGGACCATCCGGGAGGTGGGGGGCAGCCCCCGCCCGGTCAGCCGCCCCGTCCGGGAGGTGGGGGGCAGCCCCCGCCCGGCCAGCCGCCCCGTCCGGGAGGTGGGGGGCGCCTCTGCCCGGACGCCCCGTATGGGAAGTGACGAGCCCCTCTGCCCGGCCGCCACCCCGTCTGGGAGGTGTACCCAACAGCTCATTGAGAACGGGCCATGATGACGATGGCGGTTTTGTCTAATAGAAAAGGGGGAAATGTGGGGAAAGGAAAGAGAGATCGGATTGTTACTGTGTCTGTGTAGAGAGAGGTGGACGTGGGAGACTCCATTTTGTTCTGTACTAAGAAAAATTCTTCTGCCTTGGGATGCTGTTAATCTATAACCTTACCCCCAACCCCGTGCTCTCTGAAACATGTGCTGTGTCCACTAAGGGTTAAATGGATTAAGGGCGGTGCAAGATGTGCTTTGTTAAATAGATGCTTGAAGGCAGCATACTGGTTAAAAGTCATCACCACTCCCTGATCTCAAGTACCCAGGGACACAAACACTGTGGAAGGCGGCAGGGCCCTCTGCATAGGAAAACCAGAGACCCTGTTCACATGTTTATCTTGTTTATCTGCTGACCTTCCCTCCACTATTGTCCTATGACCCTGACAAATCCCCCTCTCCGAGAAACACCCAAGAATGATTAATAAATACTAAAAAAAAAAAAAAAAAAAAAAAGGTTAAAGCCACCACATGATCAGCAATTCCATTACTAGGTATATAAGTACAAGAGAATAAAAAACATATGTTTGTATAAAAAAAATAAAATAAAATAAAATAAATAAAAAAAATTTTACTGGAAACATTTGAAGTCAAAACACTATTCCAAAAATCCAAATATAATGCATACCTTCTTCTAAAATTTGTCTTTCGTAAGAAAACAATTAAACATGGGAGACACTACCAAACTAATATAAATAGATAAAATATACATATATACACACATATATACACATATATAATATACAAATATACACAATATACACATATATAATATATGGATATACATATATATAATTATAATTAGCATTATATTATTTTATATATAAATAACCAGAACTGAAAATGTGCTTGGTCTTGTAGAGTTTATATTCTAGAGAATATATTCAGAAAATAAACCAATAAATTAAAATTATATGATATCAACAGGATGGAAAAAAATACAACAGGGAAGTGGTATGCAGGGAAAGATGAAAGAGTTGGTTGCTGTTTCATGTTGGGTGGTCAGAGAAGGCTTCTAAAGATGTTTTTGAATTGATACTTGGAGGGAATGAATAAGTCAGGAACATGTGGCAGAAAAGTCAGACATTCTTGAACAGAAAATTTGCTTTAACAAAGTTGAATTTGAGACTGATGGAAGGGATAATGAAATGATCACTGACTTAAGAATCACTCTGCCTTTAAGTTGTGAAACCATAGAAAAGCATTTTCTTCTGAGTCTGTTTTCCTATCTGTAAAATAAATGCATCATTCTGCTCCCCCAAATCTTAAGACTCTTGATTTGATGAAATTGCTTTCCCGTTACTTAGTTCAGATATAACAACTACTGAGCAGTTTATATGTGAGCCCAAACTGCCTCATCTCTTGCCTGGACTGCCTGAATAGCTTCTTCACATAAGTCACTGTTTCTTTCCCTGCCCCCTACATGTACTGCTATTAAGACATATCAGGTTATGCCATTCTCTGATCAAAGCCTCCAGTGGCTTCCACTTTACTCCCGTGGGTGAAAACCCAATTTCTCAAAGACCTTTGTGAGCTGGGACACGATATCTTTACACAACATCTTTTTATTAAGGACTGAGTTGTGTCCTCATAAAATTGATACATTAAAGTCCTCTTCCCCAGTACTTCAGAATGTTACTCTATTTGGAGGACCCTAATCTAATCTGACTGGTGTCCCTATGAGAAGAGGAGATTAGGACCCATACAACACAGACCTGGGGGGACCATGTGAGGACACCCTCTGTAAGCCATGAACAGAAGCCTCAGAAGAAACCAAGCCTGCCAACATCTTGATCTTGAACTTCTAGCCCTTGGAACCAAGAGAAAACAAATTTCTGTTGTTTGCCACTTAGTTTGTGGGATTTTGTTATGGCAGCCCTAGTACAACCTCTAATGTTATTTTCCTCTACCACCCTTTTGCTAGCCTTGAACACACCAGACCTGTTCCTACCTTTGGGCGTTTGTACTGCTTGTTTTCTCTGCCTTAAATGTTCTGTCCTCATGTCTTATTCAAATGTCTCCTTCTTAATACAACTCCCACCACCATGTCCATTAAAAATGCATCCCCTTCCCCCACCACACCCTCATACTCCTAATCCCATTTACCTTGTTCCATTTTTCCCTATAGCACTTTATCACTTCTAATATGTATCTGACTCATTTTTATGTTAGTTGTTTATGGCCTGTCTCTCTCTGCTGGGAGGTAAACCTCGTGAGGGTAGGGATGGTCACCTGTGTGGCTCCCTGACATACCTTCAAAGCCTAAACCCATACCCAGCACATAGTAGATGTTGAGCAATATTTGTTACATGGATGCAATGGAAATAATAAGTTGGACAGTACTTTCATTATTACTTGGTCCAATTCCTTTTTATTAAAATTAAATTTATATTTAATTTTTTAATTAGCAAAACATATAGTTACCATTTCCAGATAGTAAACACTGATCTACTTGTAATAAATATCATTTTTAACTGGAAATTCATATCTAAAAAGTGCTATTTATTTATTTGTTGATGATCCATAAATCCAAGTTACTAAGACTTTGCATTTAGTTTTCATGAGTCAGGGTGTGCCAACTGTGATAATATATATCCTAATTTTCATTAACCTAGGACTACTAAGGATTTGATTTTGATTTTTTAATTGCCTACTTTATAGCGAACAGCGAAAGCAGGTTAAGGCCTGGGAGGGTGTCTGCTTCTCTTCTATCTAGTGGATCCACCCTTCACTAAGTCCTAAAAACAAGGAAATAAGAGGGTAAAGAACTTGAAGGAGTTTTTTGGAACCAGAACCGGAAGTGGCATTTATCACTTTCAGTTACATCCCATTGACCAGAAGAAGTCATTTGGTCCCACCTGTATGAAACATGATTGGGCAAAGCGCCAAGACAGAAGAGGCAGGCACAGATAGTGGGAGCACTAGTCTCTCACTACCTCTTAGCCATTCTCTGTCACAGGAAGAAATGACACGAAGCCACCATACTCGTACTGCAGACAAATAACAGGGAGAATTTTTGATTTGCATCATGGCCGGGATTGCTAGAGATCAAAAACAAAGACTAGGGAGGTTTTCCTATCCTCTTAATTTTGTTGTTTTGATTCAGCCTTACTTTGTAATATAAGTCACCAGAATATACAGTTATTTGTATAAATATATCTAAAATAGACTACAAATGTAAATTACTTGATATATGTTTGCCACTATTTTTACCTGAACTTTTCCCCATGAGTGATAATAATTAAGTGTTCAATTGTACATCCCCAAACTTTGGAAAACACAAAGGAAAATGTGAAACATGAATCTGACCAGTTACCCCCAAATTAGTTGTCACTGAACTAAGAGGAGAAAACCATAAACTGATATCTTACTTCTTTATCTTGAGTACATTTCTATTAATAATAAATTACATTACACAAAATTACAGAATTAACTAAGTCTGTTTATTTAAAGTCAGTCATTTCTGATCTTAAAATATGCACAGTAGTAGTACCAGGAAGTTAATTTTTTTTTTTTTTTTTTTTTTTTTTTTTTTTTTTTTTTTTTGAGACGAAGTCTCACTCTGTCACCCAGGCTGGAATGCAGTGGAGCAAGCTCGGCTCACTGCAAGCTCCGCCTCCGGGGTTCACGCCATTCTCCTGTCTCAGCCTCCCTAGTAGCTAGGACTACAGGCACCCACCACCACGCCCGGCTAATTTTTTTGTATTTTTGTACAGACGGGGTTTCACTGTGTTAGCCAGGATGATCTCGATCTACTGACCTCGTGATCTGCCCGCCTCGGCCTACCAAAGTGGGAAGTTAATTTTTTTTATTAAAACTTGGATTTTGGACTTCAATATCTTACCGTCTCTATGAGTTGGAAAATGCATGCTATTTTATGTTTTTCAAGAAAAAAACATGAGTTTGGGACCCAGACCTAGTGTTGAGTACTGGTTCCAACACTCACTAATTGTGTGAGTTTGGCAAATAACTCTCTGAAACCTAGTTTCCTCATCCGTAAAACAAAGAAAAATAATTCTTACTTCAGAGGGATGTTTCATATATTTCAGAATTAGTTATGAGAGAAACTAGATTCATTGTTGCCCTATATTAGCTCCTGAATACACTATAGCAGTTATTATTACTCCCTATGGTAATAAATTTTAAGGACTAAAATAAGTTAGAAATAATAACTTCAATGAAAGTTCGGAGATACAGGAAATACAATGTAAGCTAAATAATAGGAAAGGAAGTTCAGGTGGGGCTTGAGCTGAATTTTAAAATTTTGGTACTCTTTGGATGGAAAAGAAGGGCAGAAGGAACACAGAACATTTCAAATTGGAAGTGAATATGAGCTGTTCATAGAAAAAATGGAGCAACCTGATTAAAGGAACAGACATTGAAATATTCAGGGCAAATATACATCTAATATACTATCTTGCTTTTATATACTGTTAGAGATGAATATCAGAATTGTCAATGTTCGAATTTGCAAAACATAAATTTTAATAAAAATGTTCAAAAAGTATTGACTAAGAAAAAATATTTTATAAAACAATTACTTAAACATTTCTGTAATAATAAAAGTCAAAGGGAATAAGTCATTTATAAACTTGTATTATAAAAACATTTGAAAAACAGTTTAATTTTTATGTGTATTGCCCATGTTAACTTCTATAATTTGCAGAATATTTAAAACTAAATTGCTAGGTAATATATGCCAAATTTCTATTTAAAACACCAAATATAGGAAAAATTTCAAAATCCTTTTACATTTTAGCTATGGTAGGTAAAAATTATTAATTGTAGTAGTGTGAATTATTTCATTTATAATTCTTCTTTGATCCTAAAGCAGAGAGAAGACAAGTATGAAAATGGACAGATTAAATTTGGTATAATATCCCCTTCATGACTTTAAAGAGCTAACTTGACTTTAAAAAGATGAAAGGTACATGTAAAATAAAATTTTGTTTTCTGTGAAATTTTACTTCATAAAATATCCTGATTAAAATAAACACATTAAAAAGTGAGTAATCCTATAAACTTGTTCTTATTCTTTGTTCAAGTATAGTTATATAGCCATGGATAGGGAAACAAACTAAAAAGTTGTTTTGTTAAAAAAACAACAGCAACTTGGTATCACACACATATGCACAAACACACACACATATTAAGGAACACACAATATGAAGTAATTAAAGTTTTATTTTCTAGAATATGTGACATAAATTTTTAACCCAGGGGGATTTTGGGTTAAAAGTTTGATGAGTAGCAAAGCAAACAAACAGCCAACCTGAAATGCCACATTGGTTTTTTTGGTTTTTGTTTTTGTTTCTTCACTTCATTACATGACTACATCATTACATATGGTATCTTGCATGAGCCAAAATTTCAGTCCCTGCTTCATAATTTTTAAATGTTTTAGGAAATTACTTTCAGCCAAGTAATTACCATGGAAGAAACGTCATACTTATGTACATTTTTTATATGTGAATTTATTAATATTCAATGCAATATTTTATTTACAGCCATATTTTCACACGGAAATCAGTGGATCAAAAGTGAGCATTGAGTTTATCCTGAACCCATATTCTCTGAGGAGCTTTACATCTACTAATAGAAAGAAAGTCTAAATAAAGTAAAGGTACACCAAAAATGGGTCACACAGTGCACGGAAGCAATTAGGGTTCACAACTGCGGCTTGAATTAAATGGAAAGTTCAATTTGATTTCCCCTTATTATTATTATTATTATTATTATTACTTTTCTGCTATTATATTTATTGTTGTTTTGTGCTCTCCAATTCGTTATGTCTTAATAAGTATGCATTGTTAAGCACTGCTTGCTGGGGAAATAAATCATCAATTAATCTGGACCATCATTTGTTCATCTACTTTAGAATATGACGCTATTTGCACATTAAATGGAAAGTAAAAGAAGAATATTAAATTCCAAATTTATTTTTTAGTGAAAGAAGGGGAAAAGTGAGTACAGAAGAAAAGAAGGGCTACAAGAAGGAAAGAAGAAAGAGAAGAAAGGAAAAAGTGGGGAAGAGAGGGCCAGACAACAGCTAATTAATCTAATTGTGTTTGTATGGGAGGTTGATTGTGTCATTCTCCAAAACAACATGTCATTTGAAGCAGATGCACTAAAGTGGTGAATCTTGGATTTTAAAATTCTAGAAAATTGTAGTTAGTTTTTCATTTCTTCCTGAAACAAATATGCCAGATCTTTAAGTTTTACTGGACAATGCTCTTAAATTCTGATCTACTAGAAAATTTGACCTGAAAACCCTATTTCGTTATAGGCTGGAGAAGGAGTGATAAGTGAGCAGATTGGGGCAGGAAATTACAACAACTTCTAACCCAAATAATGATAGCTTAGTTATTATACTGAAGTCTGTTTTTTTTTAATCCAGCACTTAATTCTTTCCCTTTTCCTATGAAGATGCTTAAATCTACTGCATCCTAAAAAAACTTTTTTCCTTTCTGCCTTTGTATCTTCCTCCCCAATACACATCCAACCTTTTATCAATGAACAACTCAATCCTTACCATCTTATCCCCTCACTTTCTCGCTTTCATTGCCTTAAATCAGACCTTTCATTCCTGCCTAAATTCTTGGAATAATCTACCCATTGGACTCCATATTTTTGACCCTCAGTATTCCAAAACACCTTCCATACTGCTTTGGACCTTTAAACTTTTAATGTTACTCAGTTAATTTTTTTTCAGTGACAAGCCCTCCATTATCAGTAAGATAAAATTCACATCTATTGACATAACATTCAAATATCATCATAAACCTGTTTCACTGGTGCAATAAATATTATTACATGTTTACTTTATAAGGAAGAAACTTTGTTAGATTCTGTGGTTATAAAGATGAAAAGGCAGTTATCACCTTCTTAAAATAAACACCCAAGTGAAGACAGAAATGAAAATAATCAAAATAGATTGAAGTTATTTCTTAAACTTTAATAGCTTAAACTTTAATAACACTCGATGCCTCCTTGAGCAAGTCTTAGTCCAAAGAAAAAATGCTTTCTGTCCTTTGTAATAATCTTTACATGTGTAATCATTCAATAAGTATTTATTGAGTTCTTACTGTGTGCCAAATACTGAGTTAAGGAATGGGAAATTAAAGAATGTTTGGTGAATGAATAAAGGAGGGAATGAATTATAGGTTACCTTCAAACACGTTTATATTTCATTGATGAATATACAGGAAGTTTTCAGAAGGCTGTGGTGCCATCATGATGTATCACCAGATACCCCATCAAGACTGATGGACATATTCCCCCAGCTACAAGTATTGCTTTCAGGCAGACAGCCCTCTATTGTGAGTCTTTTTGGAATTATTACGTTGGTGCAAAAGTAATTAGGTTGGTGTAAAAGTAACTGCAGTTTTGCCATTTAAAAGTAATTGCCAAAACCGCAATTATTTTTGCACCAACCCAATACTTTGTCTAAAGAGAGTCACCTCATCCAAGGGGATGCCCTCTTTCCAAAGCAGCCCATATCCAAGGACTAATCAATATGAGGAGAAAAAGCCTCAGTCCAGTTTTCTCAATTGAATGGCTGTCTTAGCCTCAAGAGTTCACAGTGGAGTCAGCTGAGGACTTTGTTGAGACTGCACTGCAGCCCAGCTTCTCCTTCTGCCCAGTTTTGCTTCTTTCCTTTTCCTTCCATTGATGGTGATAACAAGAACATGTCCTAACAAACCTCCTGTACATGTGTTTTTAACTCAGAATCTGTTTCCTATGGAAACCTACTTGCAACATAGGGACAACTCCTCCATTACCAATTATGAGTTTACCATTCAATGTGTACTTCAAATATAGCAATGAGTTCACAAAACTCTGAATTGGTCCCAAATAATATGATTCTGAATGGGCTAAAATAGTTAATTATGAAAATTTGAGTAATAGTTATTGAGGGTTGTCTTTATATATCTGATACCCCTAATTTAGTTATATAGATGAGGATGTCATAGCTGATGTTCACTGTGGTATACTGAAAGTAGATTTTAACAAAGTCATAAAGTCACTATTGTTTATGTCTTCCTTCGTAGTCAAATCACTAAAAACTAGGTATTACTAAGAAAATACAAATCTCTACAAATATAACAACTTAAATGTAAAATTGTAATTGAATTTTAAAAGGTATGCAAACCATTTTTGTATATTCAAATTTATAAAGGCTACTGTAAATTCACAATGATTGAAATATTTGAAAAGCAAAGACAAATCAATACAGATATGTTTATGTGTTGTATTTACTAATATTCACACAAAACCATATAAAATGACTGCAGTAATATTCACTTACTGTGAAGTGTCTTTCCTTTTTGAAAGTAATATGTAATATCGAAAACTGTAGTGGGTAATGAAATACTGCAAACTAAAAATATATTCTGTATTACAAAAAACCTTGAGAAAAGTATGATGTGTTTATATTATTTTTTCCAACATGTTACTACTGTTCATGTCACTTTTTATATGTATAAAATCATATAACTTTACATTAATCCGATTTAGACTCATAGTTTAAACCTTCACCAATAAAGATACTCACACATTTAGTTACTATTGCTACATTCTTACTTACACAAATCTACATGTTGTGTTTATTACACCAAAATTATATTGAAAAAGCAGATCTTAATTTTTCTGGATTATGTCTTTCTTTTTGGTAAAAGTATTGCCAAAATTTAAAATTAATGTAAAAATTTGCCTCCTCTTGAGTACCTAAAAATTTTATTCTCAATCTGTTTTAGAATACGGTAAAATATAATTTTTATCATATTTTAAGAAAGAAAAAAAAATCGCCTCGAGGCAGTCACCTATTAGTATTCTGCCTTACCTAAGTGGATTATGGACTATGAAACTAAACCTGAACACATCTTAAAAACGTGCCCAAGCTTAACTATCTTGTCCTGTAAATATGGAAGGTGCTTTGACAATAATTGGGTCTCCCTAATACCCATATGGATTCAAATATTGCAGAAAGGAAATGGATTGTAAATTTTGGCAACTAAACTTAACTATATTTCCATATGTATGCTTTACCAACCACAGGATTTGGAATTCGAACCGTTGTTACAAACCATTTTTGCTAATTAGAAGCATCTTCATTTTTCACCTTCACAAAAAATGTTACAAGAAGTCCAATGTTCGCCTTGCTTATCTCAAATTCCCATTTGGCAGGCACTGTAAGACCTAACTCCCAAAGAGCTGTCATATGCCTGGAGTCTCCAACTTGGCACGGCTACTAGCTTTGACCTCAGGGAATTTTCCTGTGTGAGTCTTCCTGTGGTTTACCTCTGAGAGTTCTCTCTAAATTGAAAGGGAGCAAGAGAGATGGCTAAAAACAACAGCTCAACAAGCCAGGTTTATTTTAAGTGGTACACAAAAACAGTTCTCTTGCAGGACCAAACTGCTACAACATGGTCTCAGGTAATTACTCTTTACAAAGTAATTCAGGAAGAGCAAGGCCCAATTAGCTTAACAATTAAAAGGTGTGCTAACAGCACAACACACACACACACACACACACACACCCCACACACACACACATTCATCTGAATTAACACCCACATATGATTCTACAGACATCAATCAAAGTGTACAAAATGTCGGTCTTGGAGACCATGTCCCTGATTATCATCCCATGCTATACACCAGTTTAGGATCTGATCATTTCCTATTTCTGTTACAGTCATCATAGGAATTCTGTCTAACCTGCTTCTCTGTAAACAGGCCAAGATGACTGACTTGAACGTAAAAGACGTCTAAAATGCAGGATTTAACTAGCATAAACTATTGTTTGTATGTTTCTAGATGCCAGCTGGATCTCAATATTTGAGCTGTGTAATATATTCTTTCCATAAATTTTTCTGTAATGTTTTCAGTTATTGCTGAATGTGTAGTATTTTCTGTTTTCATTGTGGGTGGTGGAGAGCTGGAATTATGCAAGTAAGCTTCCTGCTTACTTACTTTCTGCCAGCTCTACCATTTACTAACTAACTTTGGAAAACAGAATTAACCATTTCTGTGAACATTTGCCTATTTGTCCTCAGATTCATTTCCTACTCTGCTCTTATTCTGCTTTTCTACTGCAGTAAGCTGCATTTTTTCAGGCTCCTCTATTTTCCATTTTCTGGGTAAGTGCAGCCAGCGGAAGAAACGGTAGAAAACTAGAGGACAGAATGAAGGGGAAAAAGGATGGTATTTCTCTCCCTTGCTCCGTCTCTCATGTAGGCCCTCTGGCAGATTCTTCCTTGGACAGCCACTTTCTCATTTGGCACACACAGGATAGACCCACTGTGGTTCTGCCTTCTGCAAGATGGCTCCAGACCCAGACGAAGGTACTCTCTCCCTTTGTTTCTCTAGACTTGAAGATGGTTCTTAGTTCTCTTATCATTTAGGTAATTAATTTCCTATATTAAAATTCCTTCTTTTTGCAATATATCCAGATTCTTGTTTCCCTGATTGGACATTGACAGTTACACTTACACACCACTGTTTCATGTCTTCATCTGTAAGATGCAGTTAATAATAATACTGAACATATGGAGTAATGAGAGGATTTTTAATGCAGCTGTTCTTAAGCTTCAAGGTGCATCCTAAGTATCTGGAGAGCTTGTTACAGTGCAGATTTTATGGCCTTACCCTCAGAGTATCTGATTCATTAGGTGAAAAGTGGGACCCAATAATTTGCATTTCCAACAACTTCCCAGGTGTTTTGGGTGTTGCCAGTCCACAGACCATACTTTGAAAACCACTGTAATGTAAAGTGTTTCACTCATTATAAGTATTCTGTAATAAAGTTCTAAGAATTAATGTTCACTGTCATCCTACAATTTTCTTTTGTCTTTCCTAATTATGGTTGTGCCCAGGATTTGAAGGAATTCTCAAATTCAGAATAGACAAAGGTATGTGAATATAACTAAGGATTTGTGTGTAAATGTGTTTGTGTCATTTTATGCAGGATAGAATTAGTTGTCCACACATTTCACAATGAATGTGGCAATCATACATATCTATCTACGTAGGCAGGTAGCTAGTAGCTAGAAGTAGATACATAGAGATACAGATACACACATGTATATTTCTGCTTCTACTTAGTGAACATGATTTGTAAATTCTTATACTTAATAGAGTCCTTTTGGTGAAATTAAAACAGGCATTTGAGTTACATCCAAGCAGTAACTTTTTCTTTCCTAGTAAGGAGAGTATAACTGAATGCAAAGAAGAAGCGGGAGGGAGTGGAAGAGGTGGAGGGGCAGGATTTATAAACAGAGGAAGAGAAGGGTGATGTTATTTTATTATTAATATTATTATTATTATTATTTTGAGATAGAGTCTTGCTCTGTCTCCAAGGCTGGAGTGCAATGGCACGATCTCAGCTCACTGCAACCTCTGCCTCCCAGGTTCAAGCAATTCTCCTGCCTCAGCCTCCCGAGTAGCTGGGACTACAGGAGTGTGCCATCATGTTCACCTAATTTTTGTATTTTTAGTAGAGATGGGGTTCACCATGTGGGTCAGGCGGTCTCGAACTCTTGATCTCAGGTGATCCACCCACCTCAGCCTCTCAAAGTGCTGGGATTACAGGTGTGAGCCACTGCACCCGGCCGGTGATGTTATTTTATATGTGGTATTTAATATATAAAATAGCCTATCACTTTAAAAGGTTTCTTAATATATTAGTAACAAATGCTACACAACTCATGACTGTACAGATATGCTGAAATGGATTATCCAGGTTTGGGAAGCTGAGCATATCTTGAACCTAGAACTCTAGTTTCAAACACAAAACAGCTGTCTTAACTTGTATTTCTATAAATATTGAAAGTGCTTTCATAAAAAATTGAATCTCCCTTATACCCATATAGCTAATAAAATAAAATTGATTGAAATGAGGAAACATAAAAAGGTATATCTCTGTATATACATATATACACATCTGTATCTATATCTACATATGTCTATCTATATCATTAGAATGCAAAGAGGAATGTAAGGTGCATGAGAGCATATTTCATTATAGATTCCTTCTAGATTTAGGGAATTTTCCTTCCATCCTAATCTTTACAGATGACTCATCTATAGTTAATATGACAGAAAGTCTTTTAACCTAAATTCTACCTCAAATAAAGTTTTTTACCTACAATTTTACTTAAAACAGCTTTCACTAAAATCAAAATTTTGTCTGAAATAGTCTGTTTTTCATAGAAACAACTATTCTCTGATTTACGCTTTCATATTTCTTTGATTTATATAACAAAGTAAAAAAAGCATAAACAGCGTTGGAAACAAATGTAACTGATCTTCATCGCTTACACACCTCAATTGGAGGGAACCCAAGAGTATGAAGTTAGTAGCATGTGGTCTAGCTACCAGTGTTTGTAGCTGTATTAGTTTTCTATTACCATGTAACAAATTACCACACATTAAGCAGGTTAGATCAGCATATAATTGTTACCTCACAGGCTTCACCGGTCAAGAGTCTGGTACAATTTAGTTGGATCTTCTGCTCAGGGTCCTATAAAGCCAAAATCAAGACATTGGCCAGCTACATTCTCATCTGGAGGCTCCACAAAGGAAAGGTCTGATTCAAAGCTCATTGTGTGTTGGCAGAGTTTTTCTTGTGGCTGTGAGACTGAGTTCACTGTTTCCCTGTTAGCTGTCACTGGGCACTGCTCTCAACTCCTAAAAATCACACTCAACCCCTTGCTACTGGGCTGCCTCCACAAGTGATTCACAACATGGTTCCTTGCTTCTGCAAAGCCAGCAGGAGAATCTCCCCCATCAGGAAGGCCCAGTTTCTTTCAAGGGTTCACCTGATTAGGTCTCAGTCTTACCCAGAATAATCTCTCTTTTAATTAACTAAAAGTCAACTCATATGGGGCCTCAATTACATCTGCAAAATCACTTCACTTTTGTCATATATCATAATGTAGTCACTGGAGTGAAATCCATTATAGTCACAGTTCTACTCATACAGAAAGGGAAAGGATTATATAGGACATGTATATCAGGGGGTTACAATCTTGAGGGTCATCTCAGAATTCTGCCTACCACTGTGCTTGTGAACATGACTCAGTTTGATTTACAGAGCTGTTATAGAGTGAGATTATAAAGGTGGTTAAGAGAGCTTGTATTCTAGTGACATTTAGAAGGTATTGTTGACTTTGTCTGGGGAACTGACAGACGCTATATGGATAACCGTTTATAATAGTTCAGAAACTACAGAAAAACTCAAAGAGGTCATATTTTTATGTTAAAATGTTATCTAAAAGATTATGAAACAGCTGAAATCATTGTTTAAAGAGGAAGTAAAGTGCCAATGAGGGAAAATATAAGTTGGCTAATAAATATAGACGTTAAAATGAGTACTTTGCTCTCAGTTATTTATATATTTATTATTTAATTATTAATGTAGCCATTCATTATTATTTTTTTTTTTGTATAGGCAAATTAGAGAGTATTCTGACCCAAGGCTAGAAATCTTTTACTGCCCTCCATACTGAGATCTCAAAAGTTAAAAGTCACACTGATCTCCCAGACAATTGAATCAGAAGAATCTTCTGCTTCTTCCAAGGAAAATAAATGACAGAATCTCTAATTCAGGTAACAAATTTGAAAAATCAACAGGATCTCTCTCTCTTTCTCTCTCTCTCTCTGTCTCTCTCGCTCTTTCTCTTGCTTGCTCATTCTATCTCATGATTCTTACTATGTAAGAAAAATTTTATCCATATCTCCCTTGCTATCCCCAAGCTTGGACTTGTTTTGATAATGACCTTAATTTTTTATCCGACATCTATACTTGCATCTACAACTTATGGAATGATCTTCCCAAACATTTGCAGAAAAATGAATTGAGCAGCTACAACTCTCAGACACAGGGAAAACCTATGAAGTGTATGAGACAGAGAGACCTGGCTTCACATTTCAACATCACTAATTTAATTGACCTTAAACAATTTACTTAATTTTTCTGAATTTCAGAGCAAAGATAATTAGATCTAACAATAACATATAGTGTCTATCGAATATTGAATAAACAAACAACATTTATTACTACTTTTTCAATCAACTTCAATTTTAATGGAGCCTATTTTTACTAAAAGTTAATCTTAATGAAAACAATTTTTTTTTTACATTTTAAAATATTTCCCAGAGCATGTTTCTTGAGCCATTAGGCCCATGTGATGCTACTGGAGGAGAAAAGAAAAACAATAGTAAATGACAAAACAAAGTACACTGAACAGTGCCAGAAGAGTCACAATGAGAATTATCATAATAAAGGCTCTGACATGTCCCACATAAATAAAAATGCTTACTATTTTTCTAAAATTTTCTAAAATTACATTGGATAAGCTGAGGGAAATGTGGTTTTAACACTTTTAATACCTAAAGCCTAATAGAAATTGCTTGTAATCAGCAGAACTAAGAAGAGAGACATAAGAAATCTACGAGGAAGAATACTATCACTACAACCAAAAACAAAAAAGAAGTAGCTTTGATTTGCTCTCATGGTAGCAGATGATCACTGTTACTGCCATTCAGCAATATTATTAATAATATCACAGATGACATTGATTAATATATTACTGAAGAAAAACTGAATTGTGGTTGCTGTTATTTAAACTAGGTGATACATTGCAACACATTATGGCCCAATCTTACTATAGAAAATGTCTTGAGAATCAGGCCCTATGGAGTAAACAAGGGAGGGCAAAGATCTCTACCTCCAACAGTGAAACGAAGAAGAAAATTCTAAAGATATTTTTGACTATGTTATCATCATGCTTTAGAGATTAATGGAGAAGAATGCTAGCAGAAATATAGAAAAATAAAATCTCAATTCCATAATAGAAGAGCAAGGCTGGTGAACACTTTCAAGAGTGGTCAGAAGGAGTTGAAAGGTAACATTAAGAAAAAAAAAATAGACCTTGTTTATGATTGTCCTCTGGGGTACAATCAATCAATGTGTCAGTCTTCAACCACTTGAAATTGGCATGACACATGAATGTAGAAAGTTAAACAAAAAGCACTGACTTAGCTTATGCTAGAATAAATTTAATTCCTATCACTTTCCCTGTGATGCCCCCGAAAAAAATGGTGAGACACTGCTTCTCTCTTCATTCACACTTTGGCTTCTTGTTGCCTGATGGGAAGTGGCAAGGTAAAGTAAAATTAGCAATAAGCAGTAATCATTGGAGTGATTGTCCAGAGCTTTTTAACTTTCTAGAGCCATGGCTTTCCATCTGGCAAAAGAGTATTAAATGTTTCTTTTAAGGAATTTGTAAACTCAAATGTACAAAACATATGGCATTATTCCAAGTTTGACATATTTCAATGTTTGACTTAACTAGTCCCACCCACTGATTTGGGCTTTCTTCGGAAATTGCTTACATCTTTGGTCAAACCAATCTGCTAAGACCTAAGACAAAATGTGCTGGATGGATGATTGCCCCCAGTAAATAACATACAATGTAGTTTTTTTGTTTGAAGAAACTGAGCTTTAGAGAGACGAAGTATCATTCCCAACTCAGCGGTCCATCTAGTACATGATGACTTGAAGTCTTCCAATGAAGTAGCTTATGTGCTTTCCATTCTAAGTAGGAGTCAATATTGATAAACACCAATAAGTTAGGTGAAGACCTTTGGACAGCATGTTACAGAAAAGATAGGTTAGTATGTTAGTGTAGACCTGAAGGAAATGAAAATGAAGCTGGGCCTGCAAGAATTATATGCCACAGGAAAGAGAAAAGAAGATATTTATTGAAATTAATAGACCTTTACCATAGGAATGTTTTAAGAGATTATCTTCACAGGATTTGTCTTAAGAAGTGGTAGAAAATCATGTTAAAGAATTAGGAGTATTAATAGTTAGTCCTTGCTATATGTCAAGTGTTATATATGTATTATTTCATTTAATCCTCTCAATAACCCTTGAGGGAAGAATTATATTTTGATCTTACTTGCAAGGAAACAGATTCAGAGAGGCTCAATATCATACCGGGAAAGACTTTCCTGAAACAAATACATAACACTACTATACACTTGAAGCTATTCTAAGCTGTTTGCAAATACCAATTTAAGCTTTGTAGTAGAGTTATGAGGTAAGTACTATTATTTTCAGTTTACAGTGGCATTTCTATCAGGTGGCAAAGTAGGCATCTAGGTGCCTAGCCACTATGCCATGCTGCCCTGTAAGTAGTGGAGCTGGCATTCACATTGGCCTCAGTATGATCCCAGTGCAGGTGCTCCTAAGAACTAAGCATTTTTTCTTCTTCAGCTTCAACAGTCTTTATTGACAATGAAATCTAGTCAAAGAAGAGGAAGGCACCTGACTTTGATGGTGCATGATTGGAAGATGCAGTAGGCAAACAACAAAATATTTTTGTGATGCTACTGGAAACAGAAATTAAATTATCACAAATGGACTCCATCTAGTCCTGCCACTTTGGTCTTCATGCCATAATAGGAGTAAAAATAATAACGAACCATTATTGTATGCTTACAGGGTTTTAGGTAACATAAAAGTATTTTTGTGTTTTTCTTCAATTAATTCACGCAACCTACAATCAGCACAACTCTCACCATTTTCTGGGTGAGGAAACTAAGATAAAGGGAGATTAAGTAACTTGCTCAAGGTCAAGCAGTTATTATCCTCTAGATTTACATTTAAACCCAGGCAGGGTGACTCCAAAACCTGGATCCCTAATCCCTAACTTAGATTACAACCCCCAAGGCTTCAGCTTCTTGTCTGTATGCATTGCAGCCCCGAAAGTGTCTTTTGTTTCCTCTCACCCTAGTACACACAGACTTTCCTTTAATTAGTGTGGTTTTTTTTCTGCAAATGACTCCTCATGATTTTTTTATTCAAAGTACATGAAAACACCTCAACCAGCAGGAACAAATGAAAAGTTTTATATACAATGTGAATGAAACTGTGGACATTTTCTGGCTTAGAATTGAACTTCCAGAAAACAATCGTAAAGAAGGCAATGTTTTGCAATTCAAGTACTAATTAGCACAGCATTATATCTTTTCTGAGTCTTAAAGGAATGTAGAATCATAGTCCTTTTGTATTAGAATGTATTTTTGAAAGTGTTAGCCAGGCCAGTGGTATAAATTGGCTATATGTTTTTTCTAGTATAGTTATTCTGGAGCATTTTTCTAATTTATATGTCCAGATAGTGACCAAACCTAATACTGCTAAAGATCGTAAGAGCAAAGAAAAAGTTATAATTAATCAAGCTTTGTTAAAGGTAAAGTGCAAATTCTCCATTTCTACTCACATATGCCTCTTTTTCTGAGTATGAATGTATGCTGTTTTGAACACTCAATCAATGCAACTTTTATTTTAGGTCTAACAATAGCTCTATATGCTACTTTGCCAGGTTAGCTCAGAGTACATACATAAGGAGAGCATTAGCTTCTCTTGGCTTCCTAAATCAACTATTGCAATGGTCAAGGGAACTGATCACTCTTCCAATAGATGGCTCCCTTGTATGCCCCCCATTGTCTCTAATACATGTTAACTTCTAGAAATTCTATTCCATATGAAGAAGGAAAGTTAGGGAGTTGTTAGGGAAGAGACTGAGAAAAGAAACTGAAGGTTAAGAAGATGATGAGAGCTGATGAATGGAGAGACCAGGTAATCAACTCTGCAATTCAAGAGCACAGAACACTCTGGTAGCAGAGAAAATCACAAGAACATGGAATGAAAATAAGGTTAAATAAAATACGGTTTTTTCCAGAGCAGGAACTGTTTTAAAAGAAAATCCATCGCCTTGGAAGTTTGGGTGGGAAAGTTAAAGATTTATTTTAAAAAATACCTTCTCTATACTCTTGCTTATTTCCACTTTCTTCTGTACATCAGGCTCAACAAACTTTTTACAGACTAAGTTTTTTTCTAATATAAAAATACAATAATCCAGCAACACAACAAGACTGATGAGCTGTCACCAGACAGGAGTCTCTCCTCCTTGCTCCTGGGCTTTAAACCTATTAGACGCCTCCAGTGACCAGTCCTGCCTAGCAATCAGGTTCCATCCTGGTGTGGAATCTGATACCTTAGTATATTAAAAAGTCAATTCCTTCCACTAACATGTCTTCTTAATTGGTAATGTGTCTTATGTGGCATAAATTATCAGTGCTTATCATGAATTCCTAGCCTAGAAAGAAAAATTAACAAGTTTTTCATTTCTTTTCATCAAATTTTATCTTGATAGATTCAGACACTTTGGGTAAAGTAATTTCCATTATCAGATCACTAGAACATTTATTTTTATTAAAAACAAACAAATTGATAGTCCAGGGTTTCATGTATTTCCAGAGCTGAGGTCTTGCGCACGTTCTGAGACTGTGTGCACGACACGGGCTGGGGACCCGGGCAGCTGTTGCATTCTATCAGCAAAGCAATCTCACTGCCTCGGTTTCTGTAACTTGAAAGTATGGCCCTTGTGAGACATTCTGACACCGTGAATTTGAAGTCTTCTTGTACTGTGACTGCCAGAAAGTTTAAAATGTTAAATAATCTCTCCAACTTGCCCTAGAAACTGAAGTTGGCTTATTAAAGATTTTTTTTCCCCCTGTTTGAAAAACTTCTTTGTTTCACTAACGGCAGGTCTCCTGTGTTTTGTAATGTTGTTATTGAACAAGTTTAATGATTTGCTGAGGACCTCATCTAGAGGCATTACCAAGCAACTCGAGATTAGAAACGTATGGTGGTGGAGGCTCTCCTAGAATAAATGAAAATATTTTATTCAGCTACCGAGAAAGGTCTCCAGAGATCAAATTAGAAGCTAGCTGTGAAGGGAGATGTTTAGGCATGCTCTGGAATTATTTATCAGCATTTTCTGCTTGTGTGAGAATAAGCAGACATTAAGTTTAAATTAAACAAAGGGGGAAAGAAAACAAGTTTTTTTCAGTAATTTGTCTGCTAATGATATTTCTGAATTATTCTTAGCTTAATAGTTTAAGTAATTTGCAATGATAATAATTGTTCCTGCTAAAGCTCCAATAGCGTCGATTTTTTTTCTTTTTGCCAAGATTAACCCCCTTTAAAACCTTTAATGGACATGTAATTGCAAATTTATTGTGGGCTTTGTTAATTTTTAAATTTGTTTTCTTCTTGACACTTCTTTTAATTTAATTTTATTTTATTACATTCATCAATAATTTGAGAAACTCTCTTAAAAGTCCATTAAAAATGAATAAATGTTCTTTATGTTGCACTTGTTTGTCTTTATTTATAATGAGGCTAAGCTTGTAGATAGAACAAAGGCCATTTAATTATTACTTTGAACATTAATATGCTTTTCTCATGTACGCATCCAAAATAAGTATGCTTTTAGGGTTTGTTGGAAAGAAGTAAACTGTTAACATGGGGTTGCAGTTGGCCCTTAAATAATTAAATAAAAGACCAGACCACATTCAAAATTAACACACAAATCTGTATTTTAAATAATATCTAGGTGGTGAAGTTGTGCTAAAAGCCATTAAATTTTGTTCTTAAAGGCACATTGCATGTTATCACAAATGATTAGTAATTTAAAACATTTTTGTGTGAAATTCAGCAGGTTAATAAACTAGAAACTAAAACCCTAAGTGGTATAGCTGCTTTTCATATTGAGGAAATGTAAATATATAACTTGACATTTTGTCAGCCAGTAAATCATCTTTCAAGTCACTGTATTAATCATGCACAAAGAAAGGACCAAGATGGCTAAAACTTCCCTTGACACTCACTGTTTCAAAGGTGAAATACTTGATGGAAATAATATTGTTCTTAGAAATTCATGTTGCGTATTTGAATATTCTTGATTCATATTAACTATTTTTAAAAGGACTTGGCTATCTGTTCTCAAATAATTTCCATTAACTTATTCCATTGTGATTTAGAATTAAATTGTACCTTAGATTTTTAAAAGGAGTGAAAATAAAAGGGAAAAGAAAAAAGTGAGATGAGGTGAACTGAGGACTCAATAAAAGCATAATCCTTATAATCCTTTTCTGGCCAGAGGAAAAATAATGCTTTTTAAAAATTGAATAAATTTATGTGTGTGTATATATATATATATATATATATATATATATATATATATATAAAATACATATACATACATAAAAATTTTCAGTTTGTGTGATTTGAGAAGAGGGTTAATTTGCTGTGTTTTTTTCTCTTAATCTGAAATAACACAAATGTGAATGATTTTCAAACACTTTGCAGTGACATTGTCAACCTTCTGCTAATACTCTTTCAGTGCTTGGGAACCAAATAATTACAAGATGAGGCATTTAAAAAGTCAAGAAGGTGATACAATGCTGTGAATTAAAATGAGAAAAAGAACTCAGTTACCTGTATAAAAGAAGAGAACAATTCAAATAGATATTTTAGTAGAAATATAGCAAATGCCTTAATATTAGTTTCTTTAAAAGTATTCTTAGGTATTGTTTACATTTATATCTGCTTGATTTTTTTCCAAATTGCTTAATTTTCTGAAATGCCAGATGTTGATTTTTTCATGTTTTGTCTCGTAGTGACAGAAGTGTCTCAGATTCCCCTCCCCCCAGCAAAATACCTATTTGTGATATATTGGATAACTTTTCCATAACTAAGTAGTTAGTGTGCTATCTCTTTCAAATGTATAAAGTAAAAGTATAGTAAAAGGCAGTTGCTTTTCAGTATTCTCACAGGTAGTGACAACTGCTTTCAAATATTTCTTGTCTATTTCTTCCATAAGCATTGAGTGGCTTTCTCTTTGTCTCTTTCCTTATCATGAGTCCTGCTACTCCAATAAGGATACAGAAATTCCAACAAGAGTACGTTCTCATCATTCATGATATCATTGATGAACCAGTGTGTGTAACCACCATTAACTGCTTTGTGACTGCCTTGTTCTAACCACTTAACTAAGTCTTTTAGTAAATACTCAAGTTCTCCTTCAATGCAAGTAATTGATGTCTTTCTGAGGAATTACTTTTAGATAGCCCACATGGTACACTCAAAAAGAAAATAAAAATGTCAAGCTTGAAACTTGACATCAACAAATCCAAATATTAACATCACATTTGGATATAATAATTAAAACTGATGATCAGATACTAAAAATGAAAAATTTTCTAGAAGAAAGTCCTTTCAATATGACTCAGCCTTTTTAGGAGGAAATTTTAAAGAAAGAAAAGATAACTCCTTTTATACTGTGGTGCAGTATAATTATGTCTAGAGGTGGTTGCATATTATAGTAGATTTTTAAGTTCTACTAGAATAAGAACTTGTGTTATTTACTTCAGTTCTCTCTCACTTAGCCTAGTTCCTAATGCATCATGAGCATTTCAGAAATAAAAAACCTGTAACTCAATTAATATATAGAGAGACATTGCCCTTATTGAAAATATGCATATATTACATATTATATACATTAACATAATTGTATGCATTAACATATATTATATACATTATAAAAGTGTGCATCACTTTGATGTAAAATTGAGAACGTAATTATTTTCACATTATATGATGAAAAGTATGAGTTATAATATTTACTTCCAGGGACATCAAAGATGGACAGTACTGTTGAAGGATGGGCTTGAAAACCCATTGCAGATAAGGTAATTTTCTACATGAAAAACATCCTAATACACATGTCAGTGTGTCTAATACATGAACTGCCAATCCTCTCTTCTTCCCTCTCTGTATTCTCTGTTCCACATCTTCAACCATCTCTTGCCAATACCTTTAATTCCTTTCATCCTGCCTGCCTGGTGAAAGCCCTCCCTGTCCCAGTCCAGCTATTCATTTCATACCTATCTGCACCTGTGATGCTGAGGATTACAGGGGAAAACATAACCACACAATCCAGCTGATTGGCCATTCTGAATTATATTGTCCTCAGACTCTAATAGGCCTTTCTTTCATGTTTTCTTGCTTCAATTTAAATCTTCTCCGCTGTCTTCAAGTATCTGGGCCCATGACTTCTCCCCTTATTTTGTCAGATGAATAGATTCCTACTCCATAGAAATTTTCCCTAAGGAATGTTCTCTACATCTCATTACTAAATAGCCAGATTTCCTTTTTTCTTCCTTCCTATAACAAATGAGGATGTGTCTTCCCTTGAGTTGATGCTAATCTCTCTGTATCTGCTCCAGATACCACCTTTCCTGTCTGCTCAGAAAACTGAATCTTTTCTCCAGTTCTATTGGCTCCTGCTCTTTAGTATTTAAATATACTGAGGAATCTTTCATATTACAAAACATACAGAAAAGAAAACAAATTAAAATCTTTCTCTACCTCAAGTTTCCCCAGCTACAATTTATCTTTTCTCCTGGAAATATCTTCATATAGTTCTCTTTTACAAACTGCTTTCACTTCCTCCCCTTCCATTCACTCCTCCAGATGCTGCAACACTCCCAATGCTTCTGAAAATATCCCCTCACCCTAATCCCCAGTGCACGCTTTGTGCTAAATTTTATGAATACTTGTCAGTCCTCATCGAACTTTATCCTTTGACACCACTTAACAGCCTTGACTACTTTCACCTTAATCAAACAACCTCTTCTCTTTGTCTTCCTGGTACTGTGTTTCAGAGGTTGGCAAATTATAGCCCACAGGCCAAATCTAGTTCATTCCCCATGTTTGTAAATACAGTTTTATTGGGACACAAGCACACATATTCATTTATGCATTGTCTATGGTTGCTTTTGGAGTCTATGACAGAATTGTGTAGTTGGGACAGAGATCATTTGACCCACAAAACCTAAAATATTCACTATCTTGCCTTCTACAGAAAAAGTTTGTCAATCCTTCTTAGATTTTGTGATACCTTTTTTAAAAAAATGTCTCTTTAGCTACTGCAAATCAGTCTCCTTACTAGGACCTTCTCACCGAATCATTTCAATGTTCATGTTTATCCAAGTTACACCCTAACATATTTCCTTTTTTCAACCCATACAGTCTCTCTGAAAGTTTCTTTGGGTATATATGACATCTTCACATACTATAACTCCCCAGTATATTTTTCCAGCCCAGATATCTGTTCTGAGCTTCTGCTAGTGTCCTTTTACTTAGATAGCTCCTCAACTTCTAAAATTCAACAAATCCAAAACTGAACATACCATTTCACCCACTCTACAATTTGCTCTTCCTTTGTTTTCTGTCTCACTGATTGGCCCCACTCAGTTATCTGCACCATCCACCACATTTTTATAGCGACTCCCTCTTGCCTTTCACATGTCATCCACAGAATATGTTTCTAGTTGTCACCATACCCCAGGTCATCATCAATATCTCTAACCTGGATTACTTCAAATGCCAACCAATGTTCTCTTTGTCCAATCTTACCAGTCTCAGCTATGTTCATGACTCAGCCTACACTCTCCTTTTTCTCCACTCCTACCCACATCCCCCTACCCTAAACACAAACACACACACACACACACACACTCACACACACACACTTCAGTTGGCTAATTTGTGATACAGGCTTCCATTTTTCCCCCTCAAAGGTTTTACTGTCCCCACAAGTCCCTCTAGACTAGGTTACTGGTTTTTTTTTCTCAATATTACCCAACTTCCCCATGCTTTCCTTTCTCAGTATTTCCACAATTTATTCCCTTCACTGTAATGAAAGTTCAAAACAGATAGAGATTGTGTTTACCTTCTTCAACAAGATCTACTCAGCAAGTTGCAGAGTATCCGGCTCAAGGTAAACACACAATAATCTAAACCGTATGAATGAATTGCAAAGTTTTGCCAGTTTGAAAAATCATTCATCTTAAAATGCTTTCTGAAATAGCTAATAAATTTTTAAATAATTTGACATCATGAATAGCCTTCATTTTAATTCTTGCCTTTTGTTTTAAAAATACATAAGCCTGTGTGTCATCTGGTTCCACTATTAAAATGGCCAATATTAAACATAAGCAATGCTAATCTGTGTCTCTTACAAAAGACATAACTTTATCGATGGATCCTTTTCTTTTTGTAAGGGCTTCCTTATGGGCTGTAGATGGACAATATGATGCTGTGTCAAAAAAAAAAAAAAGTTAGCAACTGTAAATTTGAAGGCATTAAATCTCCAGTTTCCAAATGTAGCTTGTATATGTGTGTAATCACCATGTTTTCTATATTTAAATATTGTTGCCTTTAATTAATATACATTTGATTAATGAAACATTATTTTATGAATCGTACAAGCATAATCAACCAATTATCTTACAGTACCTAAAGTGATGAGAAATATTTAATTAAAAATAATTTACTTTAAAGTTATTATTTTGTAAGTACTTTAAAAATATTTTTAATCAATCATAATGGCAAACAGAAATGGATTTTTTTCTCCACATAGAAAACCTATATTGTCATATTATGACTTGTCTGCTGAGTGTATTTCTTTAAAGCAGAAAGTATTCTAGGCCATAAAAGCCTTTGCTTTTCACTGAAAAATGCAGGCCATTTCAAGGTACAGAAACATAAGACAAAAACATCTTCATTTTTCCAATTTTTATAGTTTATTCAATGTTCATGTCTAAATTTAAAACCTGAAGAAAGAAGGACATATAATAAAAATTGGGCAGACTCCTAACAGTAACCAAGCAAATAGATCTCCTGTACAGCTTCCTATTGATAATGAATTCTCCATTTACTAAGGGAGACAGAGTGAAGCAATGCTTGGCAAATTATATTCTCTTCTGTGCTGCTGCCAAATGAACTACTTGAACAAGTGTAATTCTGCATCCTACACTTGATGCGAGTCTAATGTCACTATATTTGGAATGAAACATTGCGAAAAGTTGGTAGCATAAATGTTTTTGTTTTTGACAGATCTTAAGTGATTCTCTTCTCCCTCATTTTTTGAAATAATATGCATCAGTTTCTTATAGAAAGTGTTTCTCTTCTCCCTCGTTTTTTTGAAATAATAAGCACTAGTTTCTTATAGGAACAATCTGAGGAGAATTATTTATGATTTCTCTGTCATCTTTGTGAGCAACCAGATTAGAAAGGTATCTACTCACAAAATGCCCATGCCCGGAAACATATTTTGTTATCATTTTCATTCATAAAATACATCTTCAAAAATGTTTTCTATCCTAATGACAAAGAAAAGGAAATAAAAATTCATCGTATTAATCTCTTATTTTGCTAAGCAGAATCCTTTACAGCTTTGAGGCTATCTCTTGGCACAGCCACTGAATCGGGAAGCAGTCACAAATGCTTAGAGGAGTCCAGATTCTGTGGATGTGCCAAGAGATAGTCCCAAAGAAGTGATGTTCACGTATTTATGACCACACGCAAACTCTTGCCTAACTTTTCTTGCACACTGATTTTATCATACAGTCTTCACTTCAGAAAACAGCATCTCTTCTTCATTCCTGTTACAGAAAAAAAATTCTCCTGCTTACTTTTCGGAGCTCCTGTGATCCTACCTAATGTACCCCTTTCTTCAGCCCCATGGACCTCCTCAGTGTCCCAAGAACTCGTTATGCATTTGTGGCAGAGGAGGCCAATGTAAAAGGGAGATATGAAATAAAGTAAATGTGGTACCTAACCATAATAGGAAAAGCATGCATGTAGGAAACAGAGAAAGCTGAGTTTAATCCTAGCCAAACCATTTAGTAGGATTAACTTTTGCTTAAGTAGGCAGCGTAACTTTGGAGATGACAATACTTAGCTGAGGTAGATGATATTTCAAAATAAGTAAACACCCTTCCCAATTCCTTTACTTACAGGATTTACTATAGGATGCTACAGGCACTAAACACTCCCTTTTCCAGATGCCTTTGTAGGGAGAGATGGCTATGCAAACAGAGCTGGCCAATAAACTATAAATAGGCTGGGTGTGGTGGCTCACACCTGTAATCCCAGCACTTTGGTAGGCTGAGGAGGGCAGATCACGAGGCCAAGAGATCGAGACTATCCTGACCAACATGGTGAAACCCCGTCTCTACTAAAAATACAAAAATTAGCTGGGTGTGGTGGTGCATGCCTGTAGTCCCAGCTACTCTGGAGGCTGAGGCAGGAGAATCGCTTGAACCTGGGAGGCGGAGGTTGCAGTGAGCTGAGATTACACCACTGCACTCCAGCCTCCAGCCTGGCGACAGAGTGAGACTTCATCTCAAAAAAAAAAAAAAAAAGAAAAGAAAAAAAGCTATAAATGGAAATCTGCTGGGCAGCCAATGGCAAAGCCTTTGTTTTCTTTATCATAGAGACAGATGTCATCGGCCTTTCCTTTTCTCCCTACTCTTGCTTTGAACATGGATATAATACCAAGAGCAGAAGCAGTCATATTTTGACAGTGAAATCATGAGACAGCATGCTAAGCATGGGGTTAAACAGAGACAACATTTAATATCTTATTGAACTGCTGCAACAGCACTGAACTGCTTACCTCCAGACTTCAAGATACGTGAAAAAATAATCGCTTTTGTTTAATTCCCACAATTTAGAAAGTTACTTGTAGCCAAAGAATTACTACTAACTGACATACTAACACAAATATTCTCCATTGAAGGCATTTAGTGTTTGTCACAGCACTCCTAGACCAAAAGTAATATTTAATACATTCCATTTATTAACTAGTTAATCCAAAACTTAATACATACTTAGATCCTAACAACTTAGTGGCCTGTTGGACATGGCACAACTTCTCAAATCTTAGAATCAAACAGGACACCGCCACCATCATTTCCTGTTCCATATGGATTTTTGTGTGGCATTTTGTTTTTATTATAGTAATTGCAGAAAATCCAGCTTCCCAAAGATATGATGTTATTGTAGCACTCTGATGTCAAAACTGTGAACTACCTTGAGATACAGGTTTGTGCTTTGACATTCCCTGAAGAATATTCCTTCACCTTTTTGATTTTGCCTTGATGCAACATTTGAAAACAACAGCCTTAACTTTCAGAAACACTATGATAATAAAGAGACAATAAATGTAAATAATAAATGCCAGTAGCTGGTATATAACAGATGATCAATAAATTATAGATGTTATTAGAAGTATAGTTTTGTGAATTTTTGAAAACACTTCAAAGAATATCTCCCTATAAACAATTTCTGTCTCTGAAAACATGAAATAAGTGTATTTCCTATTTATTTCCTCTTATTCTTATGTGTCATAAACAATATATAGCATCACATTAGAAGCACCATATTTAATGGATTCCACTGCACACACATACACATATATGTACATTAATGTAAAACTGAAAGCAGGTACTGGGATCAGATGCTCAGTATGGCAAACAAAAATACAATGCTACAAAGACACTGTTACCCCAAGCTAACTTGCCACTTAATTTTAAGGGGCTTTAGATAGAGAAATGTATAAATGTATGGAACATTCCTTGCTTCTAACTCATGGTCGGACTTGCCATTGTGCAATTATTATTTCATTTTTCTTTCTTTTCTTCTTAATCTTCCTCTTAGATTACTCTCCCATTAGAAACACTCTCCTAATAGAATGTTTTAATTCTTACCTACCCTGTAAGGATTTGCCCTGTAAATCTGAGCAAAGATTACTCCCAGTACTGTAAAACTCTAAAGGTCCTATCCACTCTCCATTTAGTGTGAATAGTGTTCCCTTCAATTTGTTTGCCCCACTTCAGTTTGATGAACAATCACTTTCTCAGAAGATGGGTATTTTCTAACATCAGGAACTGGAATACAAGCCCTTGTTTTCCCAAGCTAAATTTTTGGTGCTGTCAGTTGGGCAAGATGTACCAGTCACCCACATACCTCAAGCTTAATGACTCCAGAAAATAGCAGTCTGTCTCACCCAAAAGGGCTTAAAATCACTGAATACTTAATGTGAACTGGTCAATTTCTTTGGAGGCATGAGATGCAGGAAAAAAATAAATCTCTATTTGCTATGGTTTCTGTTTGCATGGAGAACTTTAAGACTTTTTGGATGTAATGGGAAAAAAGTTAGACCATTTCTCAAAACACACTCCAGAACCACTGCTTTGAAGACTGGCTAAAAAGATCACGACAGGCAACAAAGTCATTTGCTTTTGGAAAGTAAAAGCATCAGAAAGTCCAATGGGATACATAGCAATGAGCGAAAGATCGCTCTTGTTTATGAGAAAGTATTGGGTAAGCTATGAAGCCCAAAATAGGGACCAACAATCCAGGGTGATTGTAAACTACAAACATGCTCTTAACCACATAGGAAACATACATAGCCTATGTAGGAAGTACCGTAGAAATCAGAGACACATTCAGGCCCACAAAATGCGATCACCTTTGCAGCATTTTCAAATGTAAATAATAATAGCTCTATATTAACTGATCATCTTCAGTTGTCAATTTCCTCAGACAGGTAAATTAGTTCCCTACCTGAGATTAATAGGTTAAATGGGCGAAGCAAGTAATTTAAGCAGGGTAAAAATAGATGTCATTCAATTCTTCCTTCTTTAATCTTTTAGTTTTTTTCTTTACCCCCATTTACTCTTTCTTTAATATTATTCATTCCCCATAACTTAGGAATAAAAATGCTGAAAATGGGAGTATTAAAATATATCACTTAATTTGTTGTGTGCAGTTTGTAAATCCTACCATTTCAAAAGGAAAATCACACATAACTCTTTGCACAACAAAGTTTCTCAAGGTAATTGTCTCAATGGCTTGAATACTGCAAGGGGTGAGATTTTTATTTTTCAATTTATGATCTTAAATTTTAAAACTACATTATTTGATACTGGGCCAAATAACACATTGACTATGTTTTTTTAAAATTCCTACAATTAGAAGTGTAATTAGTTCATTAAAATTCACACAAAGAAGAGTTAGTGAACACACCAAACCATATCAGTAGCTTAGAAACCCTGGACATCCATATGTTTTAAACTCATCCTATGATTGGACTGACCCTGTGTCTTCTATTTCTTCCTCTGTGAGCTAGCAAAATAACCCCGTTCACTTACCTGCTTTAAAGTGAGGAGTAATGAGACAAAATTTGTAGTCGGATCAAAGTGTACTAAATAAGTACTCTAATTCTCAGGGAAAACATTATGGGTATTTATATCATATACAGTAATGAAAATGGAAATTATTTACTCTGGGGACTATGGCCACATTATCGTTAAATTATTTGCATCTTAATAAATGATTTGCATGCTAATGAGAAGGCATTCTCAGAACAGCCTTTCCAAATGTTTCTCTATAGTTCTACTATCAAGTATGTATGATACCATGTGATACAAAGATATAAAACCTCAAAAGGTCTGTGAAGTAAATTATCCTTTTTTTCCTTTGTAATATGCTTTTGGGGGATTACTGAATGTTTTATTTTAAATTTGCCAGCTTATTGCTAATGAGTTTTTCTTAATTCTATGGGATTTTATCCCCTGTTTATGTATTTATTTATTTTATTGCTTCCAAGATTACACCACAGTCATGTTCCTTAGTGTGAGTCAAAGGTCCTTTCTATTGTTGCTAGAATGGATAAAGATTCAGTCTCCTGACAGACGGTAAAAAAAAAAAAAAAAAATACTCTAAATCAGAATTCTTTTCCCAATCTAATGTTTTGCATTTGACTTTTATCCATATGCAACCAAAAAGGAAAAAAGAAAAGAAAACTCTTCTTTAGATTGCAAATAAGGTTTTGTCTATTTGAGTGAATTTAATTGATCTGCTCTTGTCTCAAGTAACACTCATTATTCTGATCTCCCTAGAGATGATATTCCCAGTGTCTACCTAGATTCGGCTACTGCAGTGAGAGCACACATTTGATCTGAGATTCTGTACATATATATTGCAAATAAAAATAAGTTGATCCTCTCAAGGGTGTTCTTACACTAGCTAAAATATAACTTGAAAGGTTAGTGGGGAAGAGGTTAGTTCCCAAAGGGAAAGGCTGTTTCCCCACATTTGCTTGTTGGAGGATGAATACGCTAATTGGAAAACTGGAAGTTCTGGGGATTTGCAAGTGGAACAGGTGAAAATGTAACTGGTGATAATTAAAGGCTAATTATCTTCAACCCACAATTGGCCACAGGAGGTTCTTCTGAGCCACATAAAAAGAGAGCCTCGGGGTGGGGGGGAAAGACATACAGAAGAACCTACAATTCTTTTATACACCTGTGCTATTAACTATAGCCAGGAATTGAACCTGTGTACACTGATAGCTGATATCTGCCTTCCCCTGCTATCACCTTCCCTCCCAAATCTGACTGAAGGATTTCTACATGTAACTCATATCATCGGCATTAGGATTTGTCCACTTTAAAGTCTTTCTGGTGATTAGAAAGTAGATATTCCTCTGAAATCCCAAAGAAGACAATTTCTGACAGGTGGAGTCATTGTATTAACTGTTGCAGAAAGTTTAGGGATGGAAACTGTTTCTATGGATTTCCTCTTTAACAATGGTTATGTGGCATGAAGGGCAGAAAAACAGGCCCTTTTCACATTTCAGGCTGTATCTGGTTTTATTTGGACCAGGGAGAGATTCCAGGAAACTTTCTCCTAGAGGTTTCATAGTTGCGCTGGGAGGAATAAGAGGACCATAGGCCAAGAGAAATGTATTGGCAGAATCATCATTCAAGGAGCGATGGCCTAGTAAGTATTTTTCTGGGAAAGTGGGGGTACGTGATGTATCTTACACTATAGCTTACACTGCTACTTCCTCATCAGCATCTAAATGTGCCAAGTAGCCTGCCCATCCTCTTTTTTGGAACCTCTCCCTCCATACATATGGCCTCTCAAAGCTAACAAGTTCATGCCTAACTCCACTCCTAATCTAACTGGAGCTGAGTGATCCAGAAATAAGCACTGACACAAGCCAGTGATATCAGGGAAATTCCCTAGGATTTTATACATGAATCTGAGTGACAGAGGTGATCTCTCTCTGGTGACAGGATTTTATGGCATAAAACTGAGAACCTGCCAGCCACTGTGTTTTCCATCATGTGGAGAAAGCTGGTCTACAGTGAAAGAGCATCATGTGGAAAGTAGCAAGGACTGGAGAAGAAAACGCCTTGCTACCTTTTCAGCCCCTAATATTTTTGGTTCCAAATGCAGCTATCCTCCTGTGATTTCGTCATTCAACCCTTCTTTGGATAGTGGGCCAAAAACTTCCCTTTTTAACTGAAATAATTTGTGTTAGGATTTTGACATTTAGAACTGAAAGACTTCCAAATGAAGGAACACATCATGGGATACAATTTTTTAGTGTTGTCATTACCAGTCCTCAGGCCTCTCATCATCAACAGAGAGCACAGCATCCTCCCTTTTGGCTGAGCCCACGTTTAGAGAAAAGGGAACAAACAACAAACAGATTTGGAGAGGTCCAAGAACAATGGGGGCTTATTTCTTGCCACCTGGTCATGTCTGAGATGGCACCAGGACTTACAAAGGAGGCCCCGGGTAGAGTAGACATTCAGAAAACAGTGTGGCCATTCTTTGTGAAATTTAATGAACATACACTCCACTACCCAGCAATCTCATTCCTGAGCATAATATATAAACCACATACACAAGCATGCTAATAGATACATTGCCGTGGTTGCAAAAAATTGGCCAGTCTATTTTTCTGTCACTAGGGAAATGAATGAGTTTAAGTTGGACCATATGAAATTGTGAATTTTTGACCTTTTTTCTACAAAAAGGTCAATTTCATATAGTTCAACCTAATGCAATGTGGTAGATATATACTATGTAGCAGAAACAAAAAAAAAATCAAGATCTTCCTACAGCAACATGGACATATCTTAAAACTTAAGGTAAAAAAAAAAAAAATATATATATATATATATATATATGTTTCATTTAAATAAAGTAAAAACATACACAAAAATATACTGCATATCTTACCAGGATAGATGCATATATAAGGATATGTGTCAAACACAGTTAATGGGACAACTATTAAAAGAAGGAAAAATGGAGTAGGAATCAAGGTAAAAGAGAAAAATCAACTATCCAATAGAGATGCTTTGCATGGCCTGATGATGATAATATGTCATAAGCTTGGGAGCAATAAACCCATTTTTTTGCACCTGAGGGGTAAGAAGAGTGGCACAGCCAGAAAGCCAAAGAGAGAGGAAGAGGAAAGCTTCCTGTACCAGCATGAGTCCTCAACAGAAGGCAGAAACAAGAGGGAATGTATTTAGAAGAGAGGATCTGAAACAATTCCCCAAATTTTCCATAGCTCTAGACAAATGGCCATCATTTGTCGGAATTTTTCCAGGCCTTCTAGAGGTCTAGAAGGAACTACAATTAGCTAAGAGAGAGGGTTGCCACACAAGACAAAGGTCTCTTTGTGGTGACTGAGGGACATTGTTAGTGTATGTGGCATGGACCATATAAGTTAGAGCTATGGTCTACTGGGAATGGAGGTAACTGATGCTGTAGGAAATGAAACTCATAATCAAACACCTGACATCATGATTTATATCTCTGCAGAGTCTTGAAGAGGCCAGTGGGTGCTCATGGTCAAGACTGCATTATTGCCTTTCATGGCCCATCTAAGACATGTGGTTTGCACCTAGACCTACTTAAGTGCAATCTGGGGTTAAGAGATGGATGTCCTTTGAGTAAAAACCAGAAATTACTAAGTAACGCTAATTCAACTGGGTTTACATGATAGAAACTTAAGTGAGTTGAAAATACAGACTCAAGTTATAAATTATGTTTAGTAACAGAAAAACAATGAAAGTTCAATTTGTACTTACATGTTTCTGACTAAAATTTGTATTCTCTCTCTGTCTATATGTGTGTGTGTATATATATATATATATATATATATATATATATATATATATATATATGAACACCACTTACTTGCTGCCTGTAACTCATTTCAACTATTCAAAATTATCTGTCTATAAGTTCATGTTCAATATAGCATGTAATTCTCAGCTTTGAATACCATGTTTTTTACACGGAGAGATATGGGTATGCTAGAAACAGAGTTGGAGGTTTTAGTTTAATAGTCTATTGGTATTTTAAAATAAATAACACATTCGTTAGAAACAATATGTCAAAAAGCTAATTACTATTCTTGGCTCATTCTTCACACAGGCAGATTTTTGTTTTGTTTTGTTTTTGGAGTGTGCTTTGTTGTTGGAGACCAGTAGCTTTGCAATTGTGGGTAATACATTAAAGACGAAAGGAGCCTTCTTTTAATTAACGGCACAGTTCTAACTTGATCTAACCAGAGCAGTATCAGGAAGAGCCAGCAATGTCACCCCTCCTTATATTCGACAGCATTTGTCTACCTCTTACAATATTTTCTCAGGAGAATTCATCCTGGAGGATAGGGATTCTGAGCCAAATGCAGACACTTAAAGCCTTGAACTAAGGAAAAATTCAGAGCCAAGTGGAAAGTTTGGCTCATCAAGTGTAGTATTTGAAAAAGTAGATTTGAATAGAAAAACAAAGTGGTATCCCTAGAGCTACGTTATTGGTTGATAAAATTATATTCAGCAGTAGAATCCATTTCAATCAAAATTCAAAACTACTGAACTCTAGTAAAGAGAACAGATAACTTCAAAGATTTCCTTTTTTTTTTTTTTTTTCGAGATGGAGTTTCACTCTTGTCCCTCAGGCTGGAGTGCAGTGGCTCTATCTCGGCTCACTGCAACCTCTGCCTCCCGAGTTCAAGTGATTCTCCTGCCTCAGTCTCCCTAGTAGCTGGGATTACAGGCATTTGCCACCACTGCCCAGCTAATTTTATATATATATATATATCTTTTTAGTAGGGACGGGGTTTCTCCATGTTGGTCAGGCTGGTCTTGAACTCCTAACCTCAGGTGATCTGCCCACCTCGGCCTCCCAAAGTGTGGGATTACAGGCGTGAGCCACCGTGCCCGGCCAACATCAGAGTTTTTCTAGCCGAAGTTATTTTAGAGGGTAATCAGGAACTGTAGCTTTCAGACTCAAAGGCAGAGGAAGCCCCCAAAGCTTTGTGACACACTAGGACTTTCCCAAGCACACTTTAAGATGACTGAGTAGTGGTAGCTATAAAAATATAATAATAAAAGGAAAACTAATACCAAAAACTAATTTTTATTTACACCTTACTATGTACTAAACCCTAAAATCCTATCACCATCATTCTAGCAGCTAAATCCCCAAGTTACAGCTAAGCAAATTATGGTTGCAGTAGGTTAAATCAGTTGCCAATATTACTAAGCTAATTATTGACAAAGTTGGGATAGAAACACAGGCTGTCTGAGTCTAGAAATCTGAACTATTAATCACTTAACACTATAGACATTTACATTGGTTGACTTCTTGATCAGTGTCAAGATGCTGATAGAAAGGAAAAGAAACTAAGGAAAGCAAAGATTTCTTTGGAAGGGAAGTGGAGGTTAATAGTGCTTTAATTCAGGACACATTACGTATGAAGTAACTGTGGGATTTCCAGATGGACTTGAGTAAGCACTCGGAAACATGAAACTGGTATACAAGAGAAAAGTGGAAGATACAGATTTTAAAGCAACATATAGGAGACAGTTGAAGGCAAGAATGATATACACAAATACAGTACGTAGGGAGAAAAATGTTAATAAAACCTCAGAGAACATTAGCATTTAAAGAATGTTGGCAGGAAGGAGAGTAACTGAAGGAAATCAGGAGAATAATTTTCAGAAATCTAGGAAGAAGAACATGTAAGCACCATAAAGTAAGTGATTTTTTCTTTTTTCTTTTTTTTGTTCATTAATACATCTCAAGGACCAGAAATAATATCTAGTATATAGTAGAGATTCAAAAATAGTTGTATGTATCAAGTACTAAATAGAGGAAATTTGTTTTTGCAGTTGAAATGCTCAGGGTCCACATCTGGATAGGGTCCCTCAAATATCCTTTTTTATTTATTTATTTAGTTTGAGACAGAGTTTCACGCTTGTTGCCCAGGCTGGAGTGCAATGGCGTGATCTCAGCTCACTGCAACCTTCGCCTCACAGATTGAAGCAATTTTCCTGCCTCAGTCTCCCAAGTAGCTGGGATTACAGGCATGTGCCACCACGCTCGACCAATTTTTGTATTTTTAGTAGAGATGGGGTTTCACCATGTTGACAAGGCTGGTCTCAAACTCCTGGCCTAAAGTGATCTGCCGGCCATGACCTCCCAAAGTGCTGGGATTACAGGCATGAGTCACCCTGCCCAGCCTCAAATATCCTTAAAACACTCATTTCCCAAACCTATATTGAACATTATCTATATGCTTAAAAATTTTTAACTGGTTTTAAAAAGAGAGAGAGGGTTAATTATACAATTTTCTTTGATTAAAAAATGCTAAATATTTCTTCATGCTTAAATATTTTCAAACTAGTTTTTTTAATTAGATAGTTATATAACTTCCTATGACCTCAATTTCTTAACTAAAAATTTACTTCCCAGTGAAACCAGTGGTGGAGTTAACTAATTTCTGAAGAAATAAAAGGCTTGAGAGTTGTATTTGTTTTTAGCCTTAGATTTGCCTGTTTTTATACACACCTACATGTGAGAATGTTCTCATAAATTTTTCAGTTGGTCTATAATTTATGAAGCAGTTAATATGAATTTAGGAATTATCTTCCAAAAATGCATCATAATTTGTGTCTAAGTAACAACTGTTTCAAAAAAGAAAGCCACAGTCATCACTTGGTTGTGTTGGCTGACAAACCTGGAGTAATTAATCTTTGTTTTCAGTGAATATTTTATTAAATTAATTTTCAAAAATATGTGCATATTACCATTTTAAGAAAAGCTTTTATGTGTGACAGTCAAATGTAATGAAATGACTCAGGCCCAGACATAAGCTCCTGCCAAGATTTGAAAAATGATATGCTTTATATATATAAATTTTTTAACCCAAAGAAATCCAGGGGACTAGGAATTTACCAAATGAATAGACATAGGCACATGTTTGTTATTATATACCTGAGCATGTATTCACTTTTCAACTGAATTTGCTGATGGCATAAGATACCCAGGCTTTGAAGAGAGACAGACCTAGGTTTGGATCCTATCTTTGCCATTTCCTGACAATACGACATTGAACTAATTATTTCACTTCTCTGAGCTCTTATTCATCCTAAATTAGGGCAACTTAGATACCCATTGCAAGGTGATTGTAAGTTCCAGGATAGTATAAACTAAATCTTTCCTGTCCATTATCATATATCTGACTCCTGGCACAGTAAGAATTTGAAAAATACTTGTCTTGTTAGGTGAATGTGCAGGATAACATTTGCACTGCCTGGCACACAGGGAGTACTCAACAAATGCTACTTCACTTTCCTTTTTCCACCTACACAATTATTTGCATCAGCCCATCTCTCCCCAAATATTTCTGTTATTGGAACAAATGTGCATTCTAAGCTTGGATTGTCAGAATAATCATGTCAATCCTCTCGTGGCTCTTTCCCTTTGGAGGTACCAGATCTGCTACACTGAAAATATTATCATTAGTCACAATTTAATGCACTAACATATGCTACCAAATTCTGTCCCCAACTCCTCCATACTAGCAGGAATTACTTTCTTCATTTTAATTCATTTACATGATATTCATAAATTCAGAGTTTAATTATCATAATAGAGTTGAGTTTTACCAGCATTTTGGTTAAATAAATGACAAGACATGTCAAGCATCCTGCTTTTGGTTGACATGCAAACATATGCCTCCTACACTGTAAATTCTATTGATGGTTCTGGTGTCAACAGCAAGTGGTGTAATGAAATACGCACTTATTGTTATTGAAATTAGGACAACCAACAAGAAAGATTCCAAAGCAAGTTTATTATTTATTGTACATTACAACTATTATAAAATTGAAGCAGTGACATGATTCAATTTAACTTTGCATAGAACCATTGATCTTGATTTTTGCACAAAGAAGTCCTTTTGGGCTAAAGCTCTACACAGAAAATCAATTTGCTTAAAATGCTTCCCTTTTATACATAATAGCTTACTCATCGAGGACTGAAATTCTGCATGTGAATAACACTGCAGTCTCCTTCTTGCCAATCACTGAAGCACTATGTAAATTATAATTGGAATATTATGGCAAAAACCTAGAGGCCACAAGCTTTCCACGAGATAATTGAATGTCAATAATGATCCAGAAAAACATTTAAAGCTGCACCTCAGCATGAGTACAAATGTCCTCAAATTTAACTTTAAAAAAGTGTTTCTGTTCATTGTGCACTGAACATATGTCCAAGTATGGAGAAATACAAGCAAGCAACTACCCCCTGGAAACATTTTGGTCCATGTTCAGGGTAGAGACAAGGTTAGAAGTAAAATTCTAGTTCCAAAGGTGTCACTAACAATTAGATATTTTTATGTGGCTAGTTATTTAACCTCCCTGAATCTGAGGTTTTTTTATTTATGGAAATTACTCCAAAATCTAAAGTGTTTCAACTCCATCAATAATTACATAAACATTTTTTACTTTGAAACTATATTACTTAAATGTTGTTAGAAATGAATAAAATAAAAAAGTGTTGTACTAGAACTTCCAAAACAAGGCAGTAAAACAAGAATTAGGGGGTCTACATAGATAGGATTACCTCAAACTTTTTCGAAATGTATCTTGTTTCATGTGAATTCATAACAATTTTTCTAAATTGAAACAGAAAGTGATATAAGATCTTATATAATATTTCCTTGTGATTTAATAAACAACGTATTAATTAAATAAATGTCAGATTTCCAGAATCTAACAAAGAAGATTTTTTTCTGTATTAGTCTGTGTCTGTCTCATATGAACTTAGGCTATTAACATACATTCATTATTTTCTCTTTTAAGGTTTATATATAAATCTGATAATTAAAGGTAAGGCATTACTGCTATAAAAAAACTTCCTATTGTGATGAAAATATGTTTCCATGATTTTTTTAGTTCATCTGGCATAGACCTAACTTTGCCAAACATGTCGCACAAATTATATTCTAACTCTAAGTAAGACAACTCAGATTCCATGAATAGATATAAAATATGCTTGTTAATACTATGCTGGAGTGTTACAATTTGCCTCTGATCTGCTTCCATTCAATTTTCTTAAAGCTAATTTCAAAATCATTTTCCCATAAAGATTTAATTGGGAGTGTCTCTCCACTACATATCTAATTATTTCCTACTATACCATGAACACGACACACTTCTGGCCTCATATACCCTAAAGGATTTCAATTAATTCCAGTTATTGTGAAACATTAGGAAAGTAATTCCTAGACATTGTGCAATATGCCTAATTTGTATATAACTAAAGAAATGTGATCTAATATAATAATATTTTACTGGAGGCCAAATAAAGGACATAAATGTGTTATTGAAAGGCAAATCTTATATGATTGAAATTTGTTTTTCCTCCAGAAAATTGTCAGAAACAAGGATTATTCCATTTTCTTATGCATAAGGGGGAGCAACTAATCTTTTTAACTCTAGCAAATAATGATGCATTTTAATAAGCCTTTAAAAAATCTGCAATTAGCATAACATCAAAAAGAAATTAGACATTTTTCATTAACTACATGTAATAACTTATTAATGAGAAAGTACATTTTTCTAAACATTTATAATTTTCTAAATAAATAACTTGGTAAACAAATTAATATAGTCTAATAGTTTAGCTCATACTTAACAATATCTGCTGAATTTTCAAAATACAATTGAATCAGTGTGTAGAATATCGACTGAGAATATGGTCTCTAGAGTGACCTGCTTACTTGCTATGAGGATTTGGGTAAAATTTTGATCTCCAAAATCTTAATATCTTCAACTGTAAAGTGCCAATTGAAGTAATACCTTCTTCATCTTCCTTCCTAGATTTCTTATAATGATTAAATAAGATAATGCATGTGATATTGTTTAAAAAGCACTTAGACTTACTCTGTAACACCGAGGTCAACAATGAATAACTCTTATTCCACACTCAGCTATCCTAGAAGCCTTCCTGGTTTGCAGAGAAATTTGTACAAAGTGAGCATAATAGCATTAGCCCTTGACTGGTTCAAGTTAGTCTCTTGTGGGCTTGAAAGGTTTGAGGCAATCCCAAAACTAAATTCATCTCATGGCCATAATACGACTAGGCCCCACACTCTCATTTGCTCTCCATTCCAGTGGACTGGGGTTTTAACCAGATTCCCAGGGCACACCTGGCTCACAAGCTCAACAATGAAATTTCTGCTTAATCATCGTTTCACTGTATCTTGTACCCTTGGGTTCTATCCAGTATTACTTTGTCCCATAAAATTTTATTTTGATGCTTAACATTCCTCTCCAGCAGGAAATTCTTCTCTATAATTAACCCCACTCTCCTGATGCAATTATTTGCTCTCGTCTTTAAAATTGATGTGGATAAACTGGTCAGTATCCTTGGTTATACATAAACACTAACATTAAGGATGCAACAGCAAACTTTCACAGAGTTCAACCTTATGTAATTTGGGCATAGCTAAAAACACAATGGGAGTCTTATTCTACACTTAATAATTTTCCAAACAAAGCCAAAAAAAGATATCCAACAAGTATCTCTAAATTCTCTTCGTTAGAAAGTTTTAACTTGCATACAATTTAAATCTTTGTCTACAATGTAAGCCTATTTTCTCTTGTTTTGTTCTCAATAGATATGGAGAACAGCTACTTATTGTTTTGCCAGTAGTTTTTATCCTTCTGTAAGTTATTCCTCTTTTATCAAAATCCCTTTTATCCTCATCTTCTAAAAGTGCTATTTGCCTCCTTTAAATTTGTCTAGCTTTATAAAAGCTCCAAAAATACGCATGTAAGTCTGGATGCACATTTTTAAATCTAATAAAAACACTGCAAGCAGATAATACCTGTGTTATTTCTCATTGCATATAGCTAGTTGCTATTATACATCAAGAATTATATGTATACATATTCTTGCTTAGTATTATGTTAAACAGTTCATTTTGAGTTTATGATAATAACAAATTCACTTTATTTTTAGGTTCCTCAACTGTTTCCTGAAATCATTTCTATTTTATAACATATTATTAGCTTGATCAATTTTATTCTTATAGCTTAAAAATATTTCCTGGCATGTGATATATATCCTTTAGAATATACTTTTTACTTTAGCAAAGAAAAAAGGATGTCATTTGTTTTTCTTAAGACAAAGTTAAGTCCCCTTGTACCTCCAGTCTCCTCCTGTTTTTCAGAAATAGAAGAATCAGGACTCAGTTCCACCTAATTAGCCTTCCTTCACCCCCGACACCTGTTAACTCTACCCACACCTACCACACACCCCATTTTCCTTCATTTTCTGTAGTTGTCTCCATTTTGCGGAGATTCATCTACACTGTTTCTTTCTACAAGTAAAGAGAAGACAAAGCTGATCAATATCTGTCCCTTGAGTGTGTACTTTCAATTGAGTATTATACTCTTGCTCTCAGTCACTTTGAATTGGAATTCACATAGCCAGTAGCCCAGGTGATAATCAACCAAATCAACAGCAAGGTAGAAAATCAGAAATATTCACTTTTCCTTTCATTTATCCTTTTATGCTAATCTTCCTTAATTCAAAAAGCATCCTCATTCTTTTATCAACCTTCCAAGAAAAGCCTTGAAAATTATTTTCTCTCCCTTACTATGCTTTACCACTAAATCCACTTAGATGCCAAATGCTGTTTTATTGTTGTTGTTATCTATTCTAAATACTTGTATTGTTTTTCTCCTTTCTTTCAATTTCGGCATTTCTAGTGTTCATATAGGCTTTGATCTTCCATCTAAGTAAGCATACAATGAATATTGAAATGTTAATTAATATAAAGCCCTCCCCTGAATATATTAACTTTCCAATGGTTTATTTTTCCACCATTTAATGTACTTATAGTTTTTTAAACAAAATTACTTACCTTGAAATTATGTCCTTCAGCTGAGCTTTTCAAATAATGTCATCAATGCAACTATTATTTTTTCTACCTTTTTTCACTAATGTTTAGTTTTTTGTGCTATATTTCTATATTGAAAGAATATAAAACTTATCAAAGACAAAATTATCAAAAAATTGATTTTCAAAGATCTAGTTGACTTTTATTAGTGATCCATGAACTGAACAGCATCCAATTTATGAAATAGGAAGGAACTCCAATTAGTGGGTGAGTTTTATAAGAAGAAAAAAATGGAGAAAAGCAGGAACAAGGAAAAAAAATAGCAGTTTGATAATTTCGAAGCTACTGTCCTTATTGGAATATAAGTAAAATTTTGTTAGCTTAATAGAATTTGCCTATCATTTCTCTCCTGATTTCTGGGATGTTCAGATCTTGTAAGTAAACAACTACGGTATCAGTTTGGTAATGTGGAAATTTACCATGAGTGACTCTATTTAGATCTCTCTTTCTTTTTTAAAACAAAATTTTCCTTTCTTTTTCATTCTAATGTCTACATTTGCTTTAATCCAGTTCCACAGTTAAATATAGTCTGTGCTCACCACCCATCATTTTTCTATCTACTCACAGTCATTTATTGATTGACAGTGGTTAATACATTGATTGATTCTTTATGATACTGTGGTGAAACAATATTTTCTGAATTCTTATATATTTAATATTGGCATTTTTATAATTTATACACTTGAAGGCAGCTTGACAGGTTAAAAATTCTTGGCTTTACTTTGTTTGCTAGGATGTCTTGAGTATTTTATTCTATTTTTACTCAAATGAGGGTTCCTTTGTAGAAATCTTAGACTAACATAACTTTTTATTCTTAAAAGTGACAACCTGTAATCCCAGCACTTTCGGAGGCCGAGGCGAGTGGATTATGAGGTCAGGAGTTCAAGACCAGCATGGCCAAGATGGTGAAACCCCATCTCTACTAAAAAACAAAAACAAACAAACAAAAAAAAACAAAATTGGCCAGGCATGGTGGCAGGTGCCTGTAATCCCAGCCACTCGGGAGGCTGAGACAGAGAATTGCTCGAACCCAAGAGGCAGAGGTTGCAGTGAGCCGAGATCATGCCACTGCACTCCAGCCTAGGCGACAGAGCAACACTCGTCTCAAAAAAAAAAAAAAAAAAAAAAAAAGTGACAACAAATATTTTCAAATCATGTATCTGATAATAGGTTTATATCCCTATTATATAAAGCACTTCTATAAGCAATAACAGAAACTTGATTTTAAATGAGCAAGAAATTTGAATAAATATTTCTCCAAAAAATACACAAATGGCCAATAAGTACATAAAACAATGTACAACATCACTATCATGAAGGCAATACCAATGAAAACTATAATAAGATACCACTTCAGACCATTTGTGCACCTATGTTCATAGCAGTATTATTACAATAGCCAAAAGGTAGAATCAACCCAAGTGTCTATCAGTGAATGACATACAGCGGAATATTATTCAGTCTTAAAAAGAATATTCTGGGCCGGGCGTGGTGGCTTACGCTTGTAATCCCAGCACTTTGGGAGGCCGATGCGGGCAGATCACGAGGTCAGGAGATCGACACCATCCTGGCTAACACGGTGAAACCCCGTCTCTAGTAAAAATACAAAAAAATTAGCTGGGCATGGTGGCGGGCGCCTGTAGTCCCAGCTACTCGGGAGGCTGAGGCAGGAGAATGGCGTGAACCCGGGAGGCGGAGCTTGCAGTGAGCCGAGATCGCGCCACTGCACTCCAGCCTGGGCGACAGAGCGAGACTCTGTCTCAAAAAAAAAAAAAAAAAAAAAAAGAATATTCTGACACATGCTACAGCATGCATAAACCTTGAAGACATCACTGTAAATGAAATAATCCAGTCACAAAAGGATAATTTCCGTATGATTCCATTTATATGAGATATCTATTTTAGTCAAAGTCATAAAAACAGAAAGTAGACCAATGATCGATCTCCAGGGGCTGGATGGAGGGAGGAATGGGGAGTTTTGGTTTAATGGGTACAGAGTTTCAGTTTGCAGGATAAAAAAAAATCCTGGATATGGATGGTGGTAATGGTTGCACAACAGTGTGAATATACTTAATGCCACTGAATTGAAAAGTTAAAAGTAGTTAAAATGTCAATTTTTATTTAAAATTTTATAAAACATTATTTTTTAAAACTATGCTGATGTTTTAAATTTGCACTTAATATTTTCTAATTAAGTAATACACTTCTAGTAACTGACAATAAAAATATCGACTCTAGAAAAAAAGAGGAAAGGGACTCGACACACCCATTAGAATGCTAAAAATTAAAAAGACTGACCATATACCAAATGATGTCAAGATGTGATTCAGTTGGTACTTTTTCATATCCCCACCATGCTGGTGGGAGGTTAAAATAGCAGCCACTTTGGGAAAGGGGTGACACTATCTTAAAGTTAAACGTGTACATACCCTGTGACCCATCAATTCCATTCCTAAGTCTTCACCTAAGAACAAGAAAGAGATGTACAAGAATACTCATGGAAGCTTTATTCATATTAGCCAAAATCTAAAAGCAATATAATGTCCATCAACAGGGGAACTAATAAACTAATTTGATATCTTTATACAATGGAATGCCACTTAGCAATGCCACAACATGGATAAACCTCCAATATAACATGTTGAGTAAAAAATATCTGCCACAAAATAGTACGTGCTGTATAAATACATTCTATGAAGTGCTATATGGTGATTAAAAATAAAAAACAGTAATTGTTGTGGATGGTATTGACTAGAAAGAGGCTTGAGAAAATTTTAGGTTCTAATATTCTGTGTCTTGATTGGGGTAGTGATTGCATGTGTATGAACTTGTCAAACATTATCAGATGGTACACATAAATTATCTGCATTTTATAGTGTATGAGTTTTACTTCGATTACAAGGTTAGGCACAAAACAAGAGATGATGATCTTTTGCCATGTTTGCTTAAATGACTCTTTTAATTTTAGAAATACAGTTACTATTTTAAAGTATATTTGTATTGAGCCAATATCAAACGTGTTCCTCAGAATGTGATGTGCTCATTTATTATGTAGTTGCAATTAATTTCTAATTTTAGAAAGATTTCATGAATTGCATATTTAAATATGTGATCTATTTCTTTTTGTTGGGTTTCTTCTTCAGAGACTTTGAATATGACTATGCTGTTCTTTCTTCTAACTTAAAAAATTATGTTCTTTTTAAATTCTTTTGAACACACAACTCCGTCAATCAGCCATACACAATTATTCCACTGAGATAGCTTTAAATAAGATCACAATAACTTTAAAATCACCAGATCTAATGGATAATATTTGGTTCTTATCTAAATTGATATGATTTTTACTTCATTTTGGAATTAGTATCTTCCTCTTAGCTTCTTGAATAATGCACACTTTTAGCTGCTGTCTGAACTTTTTGGCTTGTTTATATCTGGATCTTTTCAGGCTGATCATTCTCTAGCCAATGATGAAATACAGAGCAAACTGAAGACTTTTCCTTAGTCCTATTCTTTCCTCATTCCATATCCTCTTCCTAGATGATCTCATCGATACACAACTTTATTTACCACTTATATTCAGACAACTCCAAAATTTATACCGCTAATCCAGACCTCCCCTCTAAATTGTGGACCTCAACTGCATTATTGTAATCTCCATTTGGGAAAAATGAAAGGTAACTGAGAATTCATATTTCCAAAACCAAACCAGAGATGGACTTTCTTCCCCAGTATTTATTATGGCAATGAATGACTCCATCTTCCGTCAAATTAAATAAGCCAAAACCCTAGGAAACATCCTTGATTTTACATAATCCATCCATCATAACAAATCTAGTAAAAAGATTTGTTAGTTTTACCTACACATTTCTCAGGTTTATTTTTTCGTCTTTAAAACCATAGCAACTACATAACCGTAGTAACTATTCTAGTGTACACTCATTGTCTCTAGCCTGAGCTACAACTGCACTATACATATCCATTCTTGTTTATCTACTCTATTTTTATAGAAGTCATAGTCATGTTAACACACACACACACACACACACACACACACACACACATATATTAGACAGAGTCTCACTCTGTCACCCATTCTGTAGTGCAGTGGCACAATCACAGCTCATTGCAGCTCATTGAACTCCTGCGCTCAAGCAATTCTTCCACCTCAGCCTCCTGAGTAGCTGGGCCTACAGGCACATGCCACCACACCCAGCTATTTTTTTTTTAATGTTTTGTAGAGATGAAGTCTTGCTACATTATCCAGGCTTGTCTTGAACTCCTGGCCTCAAGTGATCCTCTTGCCTTGGCCTCCCAAAGTGCTGGGATTACAGGCGGACTTAACCAAACACAACTACGTAAAATCCTAGCATACTCCTCAATCACCCATATAGGCTGAATAATAGCAGTACAAATATATAACTGAAATATCACCATCTTTAACCTAATTATTTATTTTATCCTAACAACTACTGCATTCCTGGCACTCAACCTGGATTCAAGCACCAAAACCCTATTACTATCCCATGCCTGAAACAAATGAACATGACTAACATCCCTAATCTTATCAATTTTATTATCCCTAGGTAGCCTACCCCCATTAACAGTCTTCCTGCCTAAATGAATTATTATCCAAGAATTTCCAAAAAATAATAACCTTATCATTCCAACCGTCATAACTATCATAACTCTACTCAACCTATATTTGAGCCACCACTGCAACCAGCTCATACTTTTGATCATATCACACCTCTACTCAAAAATCTTCAATGAATTTCCACTGACCTTGAAGTAAAATCTGAAATCCTACAGGACACTGCATACCTTGTTTTCAATCTCTGTATGTAACTTTATCTCAGAATTGGATACCTTCATTCTCTGCATTCAAGTGAGATTGTTTTTAGTTCCTTACGTGATTCACCCTACATTTTGCCACAGAGATTTTGAAAGTGGTGTGCTTTTTTTGCACGAAATTCTTCCTCCTTTTTTCATTTAGTTCACTTGATGCTCATTTTTATTTCTCAACATGAATCATTACTTTGCATAGGAGAATTTTCAACCCTACTAATCTGGTCAGAATCTACTGATATGTTATTTTATTGCACCATGAAAGTCTGTGCTAAAATTGCAGTTGTAATTTTATGATTTTTTTTTTACTGTGATCATTATATTAATGCATGGTTTAACCACCAGAGTTTATGTCATTTTTGAGGAGAGTCTACTTCTTAATCCATTCATGATGCTATAACAAAAATATTACAAACTTGGTGACTTATAAATAACAAACATTTATTTTTCATAGTTCTTGAGGCTAAGAATGCCAAGATCAAGGGTCTGGAAGATTTCATGTCTGGTGAGGGACCATTCCTCAAAGAGGGCACTTTCTCACTGCGTCCTCACGTGGTGGAAGCGATAGGGCAGATCACTGAAACCCCTTTTATAAGGACACTGACACCATCTATGAAAGCTTTCTCTGCATGACCTAGTCACCCCACCCGCAAGAGCCCCAACTCCTAATACCATTGCCTTTCGTGTTAGGATCTTAACATATTAATTTTGGTGGAACACAATTATTCAGACCATGGTGTCTATTTGTTGTTGTTTATTATTTGCTCCTCAGCGCCTAGCAGTGTTTGATAAATGTATGTTGAAGGAGGGGAGCAAGATGGTCTGACCTGAATAGCCAGTTCTCAAAAGAAGACATACCAATGGCAAACAGGCTTATGAAAAGGTGCTCAGCATCACTGATCATCAAAGAAAATGCAAGTCAAAAACTACAATGAGATATCATCTTACCCCAGTTAAAATGGCTTTTATCCAAAAGACAGGCAATAATAACAAATGCTGGCAAGGACACAGGGAAATGGGAACCCTTGTAGACTGTTGCTGGGAATGTCAATCGGTACAACCACTATAAAGAACAGTTTGGAGGTTCCCCAGAAGACTAAAAATAGAGCTACCATATGATCTGGAAATTCCATTTCTAGGTATATACTCAAAAGAGAGGAAAGCAATATATCAAAGAGATATCTTCACTTCCATGTTTATTGCAGAACTCTTTCACCATAGCCAATATTTGGAGGCAATGCAAGTGTCTGCCAAGCAATGAATGGATAAAGAAAATGTGGTACATATAGGCATTGGAGTACTATTCAGCCATACAAATGAGATTCTGTCATTTGCATATATGGATATAACTGAAGGTCATTATGTTATGTTAAATAAACCAGGCACAGAAAGACAAACTTCTCATGTTCTCACTTATTGGTGGGAGATAAAAATTAAAGTAATTGAACTCATGGAGATAGAGAGTAGAAGAATGGTTACCAGAGGCTGGGATGGGTAGTGGTGGGGGTGGGTAGGAAGTGAGGAGCACTAAGGGGTACAAAAAATACTTAGAAAGAATGAATAAGGCCTACTATTTGCTAGCACAACAGGATGACTATAGTAAAAAATAATTTCATTGTACATTTTAAAATAACTAAAAGAGTATAATTGGATTGTTTGTAACACAAAAGATAAATGCTTGAGGTGACAGATTTACCCTGATGTGATTATTATGCATAGTATGCCTGTATAAAAATGTCCCATGTAACCCATAAATATATATACCTACTATGTAACCACAAATTAAAATAAATAAATATATGCTGAACAAATAAATAAACAATAGGAGATGATCTAGAAAACTATAAATTGGGACCAAATTGTGAAGGATGTTCAATACAAGTCAACAGAGCTGATAAATAATTAGGTGGGCAATAGAAAATCACTGTCAGTTTCTGGGCAAGGGAAAAGAGTGATGTGAACAATGCATCAGAAAATAAGGTATTAATATTTGCACAGTTGGTGAATTAATATCAGTTAGAAGTTAATTTTTATGGTTCAGATAAAGATAGAAGATATACAGAAAACAGAAGGGCAGTGAGACTAGATAGAGATTTCTTTTCATTGTAGCATTATACGTGTCATAAGACAGAAGGAAGAATCAGTATACTTGAAGACAGGTCAAAAGTTACCCATAGTGAAGCCAGAAAGAAAAAGAATACAAAAAATAAAAAGAACAATATATGAGAATTGTGGTAATATGAAATGATCTAGCATTCATTTAATTTGTTTAACTTTTATGATCATGGGTACATGAGCAGGTTTGCTATAAAGGTAAACTTGTGTCACAAGGGTTTGCTGTACAGATTATTTTGTCACCCAGGTATTAAGCCAAGTACTCAGTTGTTTTCCTGATACTCTCCCTCCTGCCACCCTTCACCCTCAGATAGGTCCCAGTGTCTGTTTTTCCCTTGTGTGTGTCCATGTGTTCCCATCATTTAGCTCCCACTTTTAAGTGAGAACATGCAGTATTAGATTTTCTGTTCCCACGTCAGTTTGTTAAGGCTAATGCAAAGAATGTGAGCTCATTCTTTTTATAGCTGCATAGTATTCCATGGTATATATTTACATTTTCTTTATTCAGTCTACCACTGATGGACATTTTGGTTGATTCCATGTCTGCTATTGTGAACAGTGCTGCAAGGAACATATGCATGCATGTGTCTTATGGTAGAACGATTTATATTCCATTGGGTACATACCCAGTAATGGGATGGCTGAGTAGAAAGGTAATTTTGTTTTTAGCTTTTGAGCAATCACAACACGGCTTTCCATAATGGTTGAACTAATTTACACTCCCACCAACAGTATATAAGCATATCATTTTCTCCACAACCTGTTATAGTCAGCATTTTTTGTTTTTTCTTGACTTTTTAATAACAGTCATTCTGACTGGTGTGAGATGGTATCTCATGGTAGCTTTTATTTGTATTCTGTAATAATCAGTAATGTTGAGCTTCTTTCCATATGCTTGTTGGCCACATGTATGTCTTCTTTTAAAAAGTGTCCTTCATGTCATTTGCCCACTTTTTAATGGGATTGTTTTTTTCTTGTAAATTTTTTTAACTTCCTTTTAGATGCTGGATATTAGACCTTTGTCAGATACATAGTTTGCAAAAAAAAAATTCTCCCATTCTGTAGGTCCTCTATTTATTTGGTTGATAGTTTATTTTGTTGTGCAGAAGCTTTTTAGTTTAACTAGATTCCATTTGTCAATTTTTGCTTTTGTTGCAATTGCTTTTGGCATCTTCATCATGAAATATTTGTCTGTTCCTATGTTCAGAATGGTATTGCCTATGTTGTCTTCCAGGGTTTTTATAGTTTTGGTTTTTACATTTAAGTATTTAGTCCATCTTAAGTTGATTTTCATATATGGTATAAGGAAGGTGCCAAATTTCAATCTTCGGCATATGGCTAGCCAGTTATCTCAGCACCATTTGCAGAATAGGGAGTCCTTTCCTCATTGCTTGTTTCTGTCAGCTTTGTCAAAGCTCAGATGGTTGTAGCTGTGTGGCCTTATTTCTGAACTCTCTACTATGTTCCATTGGTCTATGTGTCTGTTTTTGTAACAGTACAATATTGTTTTGGTTTCTGTAGCCCTGAAGTATAGTTTGAAGTAGGGCAGTGTGATGCCTCCAGCTGTGTTCTTTTGCTTAGGATTGCCTTATTCAGACTCTTTTTTGTTTCTATATGAATTTTAATATAGTTTTTTTTCTAGTTCTGTAAAGAATTTCATTGGTAGTTTGATATTTTCAGAGGAAAGAAAGAAGAAAGCAAAACCCATAGAACCAAACATAAAAGCATTATGTAAGGTGATAGAACAAAGTGACCAAAGTTAATTTATATAGATTAAATGTATACATTAAAATTTAGACGTTTGAGGTGTGTGTGTTTGTGTGTGTGTTGTGTGTGTGTGTGTTTACTCAAGTTATGTCCTACATCCTACATCATAGCAAAACAAAAAATAGAGGGATGGAAAAATTTTCAATGGGTATATTATTCAAAAAAAAAACCAGCCTACACTACAGTGTTAATTTTAGACATAACATACTCTAACAGTGAATGCAATGATGGAAATAAAGTGGATGTTAATATTGAAAACTGCAATAATACATCAGGAAAAAATAATAAGCATGAATTTGAATATTCATAAAGGATATTCAAAAGGATATATAAAACTTAGTGATTTGAAAATGAATATTGACAAATATACGATTATACTTGTAGATTTTAATAAACCTGTATCAAAAACTAATACATCAAGCAGAATGTTAAGCACTAACAAAATATTTGCAAAATTTATGGACGGGCCGTGGCTCAGGCCTGTAATCCCAGCAATCTGGGAGGCCGAGGCGTGTGGATCATTTGAGGTCAAGAGTTCAAGACCAGCCTGGGCAACACGGTGAAACCCTGTCTCTACTGAAAACAAAAATTAGCTGGGTGTGGTTGTGCTTGCCTGTAATCCCAGCTATGTGGGAGGCTGAGGCAGGAGAATCGCTGAAACCCGGGAGGCAGAGGTTGCAGTGAGCTAAGATGATGTCACTGCATACCAGACTGGGTGACAGAGTGTGACTCTGGTTAAAATATATATATGTGTATATATATATGTGTGTATATATATATATATATATATACACACACACATATATATACACATATATGTATACATATATATATTTGCAAAAAGATGGACCAGTTAGCTGTTTACAAAAGAAATCTCAAAAATTGTTAGAATCGATATTACAGTCACCACCTTTTCTGACCACAATAAAATTTCACTTGAAATCAATTAATTAGAAGATCAATAAACCATATGTCTAAAAAGTATAAAATATTTAGACTTAAACAACACAAAATTCACTATATGGTAAAGTTGTAGGATGAAGCTAAGGTGATATAAGAAAACTGGAGCTTTAGTTTGTTATGTCCCACTCCCCAAAAAGATCCTAAAACCAAATAAGCTAAATATTAAACTTCAAAATCCAGAAAAAAAGTGCAATAAAGCAGACTTATGAAAAGGTGATAAAAGAAGGTAATAAAGGTAATGCCAGAAATTAAATAAAATACAAAAAAAATGCTCCATTAACTTAAATGTTGATTCCCAGAAGGATTATAAAATAAATGAGCCTCAGGCAAAACTAATTTTATAAAATAGAAAGAAGGTATAAATATTGCTATCGAAAACATAGAAAGAAACATAACTAGGAACATAGAAGAAAACTGCATATAAATATTTGCTAGAAAATGAAAATAAGAATTGGACAATTTTGTAGAAAATATGAATTTGAAAATTGACAGGTAATAAATAGAAAACTGGTATAAATTAGTAACTATTAAAGATATTATACTAGCAATCCAACATCACTAATCTAACTCCCAACAACGAACACAAAGAGCTTAAATTGCTTTGAAAAAAAGATTTGTCAAATTCTAAGGAGCAAATTTTCTTAACATATAGTAGTGTTCCAAAAGAAAAAATATATTAAAAACATCAACCAATTTCTTTAATGAAATGAAATTAACTTGAAATTAAACTGAAAAATTATATTAAAGTTAGTAATCAATTTTACTTATATAGGTCAAAAATCCCAAATAAAATTTAACACATGAAATAATACATTGAAAAAGAATAATAACAATAACACTGAATTTTAATCAGTAAGTTTTATCTCAGAAATGAAAGAATATTTAAACCTCATAAATGTATTACTGCAATTCATCCTAAAGAATAGAACATACCGGCTGGGAGCGGTGGCTCACGCCTGTAATTCCAGGACTTTGGGCGGCGGAGGCGGGCGGATCACCTGAGGTCAGGAGTTCCAGGCAAGCCTGGCCAACGTGGCGAAACCCCGTCTCTACTAAAAATACAAAAATTAGCCAGGCATAGTGGCACGCACATCTAATCCTAGCTAGTCGGGAGGCTGAGGCAGGAGAATTGCTTGAACCGGGGAGGCAGAGGTTGCAGTGAGCTGAGATCATGCCACTGCACTCCAGCCCGGGCAACAGAGCAAGACTCCCTCTCAAAGAAAAAAAAAGAATAGAACATGCCATTTTGCTAACATTTAAAAAAATTAACTAATTAATGGGGGGAAAATAACTCTTAGAAGCCCAGGAATAAAAGATTAATTTAACAACAAAATCAGACAATACCAAATTTAATAATAAACTCTACATTGGAACAAGAGAAAGATTCCAGATATTAATTATAATGTTTAATACATTTCTGGAATTTTTAGCCAGTGTATTGAGACAAGAAAAATCAATACAAGTTATAAAAATTGGAAGTGATGATATTATTATTTTTATGAACAAAAATAAAAATAAAGTAATTTTCTATATATCAAATCCAACAGAATCTATAGGCATATTTTATGACCAATAAGAGAGTTCCACCCTAGTTTTCAGAAAGAAAATCAATGCAGAAATATTAGAGCATTCCTATTTACCCATATTAACTATGTGAAAATATAGTGGAAAACATGCTATTTAAATAACAGCAAAAGTTTTATAGTACTTCAGTATAAATTTAATGAAAGATGTATAAAACTTTAAAAAAATCATATGTAATATTTCTGAAGGATGCAAAGGAAGATTTGAATAAATAGAAAAGTTTATCATATTTATGACAGGGAAGGCATAATATCAAAGACATGTCAAATTTTACAAAATTAATCTATAAATTTCTTGCAGTTCCAATAGAAATCCACTAAAAATTGATTCTAAAAATCATATATAAAAGCAAAGTGTCAAAATAACAATAAAAGATATGCAATACCAATACAAGAAAGATAATTTTCACTACTTGATATGAAGATTTGTATAAAGTTATAATAATTAAGACAATTTTATATTTGCACGGAGACGGAAAAATGAAAAATGGGACAAAATCAAGAATCAAGAAACAGAGCAAAATATGTATGGGACTTTGGCAGACCACTGAAAATCTTTAGGAAAAATATAGCTGAGCAATTTGTTTACATAAGAAAATATTAAATTATACTTTTCAAAACAGAAGCAAAAACAACTCCAGATAAGTTAAAGTATTAAATGAGAAAAAGAAACATTAAACACATTAAGAGAAATACAGAATATCTTTGTGCCATGAATGCATAGAATTACTTCAACACAAAAACACACAAAATTATAAGACTAATAAAATGAGTAAAATTAGTTTTTGGAAAAGTAAAACAAATAAAAATAGTAGCTTTGACTATGTTTTCTAAAGAAATATTTGGATTCTGTCAAATAAATAGCTTATTACTCAAAATAATTTTTTTAACTCCTAAATACTTGTGAGAAAAAGGCAAATGGCTCATTTGAAAAAAATAGTTGCAAACTGTGAACAGGCAATTCACAGAAACAGAAATGTAATGGTCAATAAACAGGGTGTTAATCCTACTAATTAACAATATGTAAAGTAAAATAATAAATATTATCTTCTATCAAATTGGCAAATATTTTATAATCTGATGATAGGGAGGGTTTATGAAGATGTAAAAAAATGATAACCTTTTGTATTGTTAAACCAACAAAAGGTATTTAGTCCACCAAACATAAACTATGTATATTAAGCAACAACATAAAGTGCAGTCACTTATTTTAACTCCTGTAAACTCTGTGATCAATTATGCGCCTCCATAGATCTTCATTGTGTCCCTTTATCTTTCTTGTCTCTACCAGATCAGGGCCACCCTATGGTCCCTCCTCTTCATGATTCATCTCCCACCATTATATCCAGCCTAAGACAGCCTCCAAAAGCCTATAGAGGATAGCGGTGTTGTCTTCTCCAGGGCCTTTCTTTATTATTATTATTGTTATTATTATTCTTTAAGTATACTTTAAGTTCTGGGGTACATGTGCAGAACATGCAGGTTTGTTACATAGGTACACACGTGCCACGGTGGTTTCCTGCACTCATCAACCCTTCAACTACATTAGGTATTTCTCCTAATGCTATCCCCCCACCACCCCCACAACCCCCGGCAGGCTCTGGTGTGTGATGCTCCCCTCCCTGTGTCCATGTGTTCTCATTGTTCAACTCCCACTTATGAGTAAGAACATGCAGTGTTTCATTTTCTGTTCCTGTGTTAGTTTGCTGAGAATGATGGCTTCCAGCTTCATCCGTGTCCCTGCAAAGGACATGAACTCATCCTTGTTTATGGCTGCATATGTATATGTGCCACATTTTCTTTATCCAGTCTATCATTGATGGACATATGGGTTGGTTCCAAGTCTTTGCTATTGTGAACAGTGCTGCAATAAATATACGTGTGCATGTGTCTTTAGAGTAGAATGATTTATAATCCTTTGGGCATATACCCAGTAATGGGATTGCTGGGTCAAATTATTCCTGCTTGATCCTTGAGGAATTGCCACATTGTCTTCCACAATGGTTAAACTAATTTACACTCCTACCAACAGTGTAAAAGCATTCCTATTTCTCCACATCCTCTCCAGTATCTGTTGCTTCCTGACTTTTTAATGATTGCCATCACTGGTCATTAGATAAATGCAAATCAAAACCACAATGAGATACCATCTCACACCAGTTAGAATGGCAATCCAAGGCCTTTAGTAAAACCTTTGGAGAGGAAATGTTCTCTGGGACATCCTAGGAAAATGTGATTTGGGGTAGATGAAAATAAAATGTTTCCCTCCAAAATTCATATCCCCCAAAGCTTTCAGGCTTTTCCTTCTACAACAAGGGTAGGAAACCATTTTCTGTAAATGGTCAGAGAGTAAATATTTTAGGTTTTGCTGACCACACACAGCCTCTTTCCCATCTAGTCTGTTTTTTCGTTTGTTAATATCCTCTAAACACAGAACAACCATTCTGTTTTATGGCTGTAAAATACACATACAAACAAAACCAAGCTGTGGGCTAAAGATTGACTCATTGGCCATAGTTTGCTGACCCTGCTCTATGGCAGAAGAAGGAAATTCTAGCAACTCAGCCCCAATTTGTGTATTTCTAGGAATTTGCCCATTTCATCTAGGTTATCTAATTTGTTGGGGTACAATTGTTCATAGCATTTTCTTATAATCCTTTTTATTTCTTCAGTGTCTATAGTAATGTTCCCAAATTCATTTATTTTAGTTATTTGTTTCTTCTCTATTTTTCTTCATCAGTCTAGCTAAAGGTTTCTAAATGTCACTGATTCAAAAAGACCAACTTTTGGTTTCATTAATTTATTGCTATTACTTTTCTAGTCTCTATTGTGTTTATCTCCACTCTAAATTTATTGTTCTTTTCTTTCTACTAGCTTTGGGTTTAGTTAGCTCTTTTTCTATTTCCCTGAGGTACAAATTTAGCTTACTGAATTGAGATTTTTCTTCCTATTTTTAATGTTGGCATTTATTGATATAAAATTTTCTCTAAGCACTACCTTTGCTACATTCCATAAGCTTTAATATGTTGTGCTTTTGTTTTCTTTCATCTGTATCTCCTAATTTTCTTTGTATTTTTTCTTTGAGACTTTGATTGTTTGAGTGTCTTGTTTAATTTCTTCATATTAATTTTCCAGTTTCCCTTCTTTTATAAATTTTCAGCTTCATTTCATTGTGATTAGAGAAGATATTCTTTCTGTATGATTTCAATCTTTAAAAAATGTATATGGCTTTATTTTAGACAGATCAACTATATAATATCGAGAATTTTCTAGCAAGCTTTAGTAAACCATAGTCTATGGAATCAGAAACAGAAGAACAAAAATATGGTAATAGAATTTTTCTCTTATTAGAGATTAGCTAAACTGATATCCAGGGAGAATTAGGAAGAATACAGAAATGAAAGGATACTAACAGACTGGGTTATCAGAGGGAGTCAAGAGATCACAGGTCATAAATGCGTAAGATTGAAAGAGAAGAAAAACTGATAAGTAAAGAAATTGGGGTAAAGAAGGGGTAGAATATGGGATGACATAAAAGTGCTAGTATGATTTCAAGTGAGATTAAGTTCCTTCCAGCTCTGAATAGAGTAGCATAGTTAGATCGCTTTGGATTTTAAACCTTTGGATTTGAGGACATTAAAAAAATTCTATAGAAGTCTTCCATTGTCAGTCAAGATGGGATGATTGTAACCAGATTTATCCTATGACCTAAATTTTTAAAAAACTGGACAGAATATATGAAGTGACAGTTTTCAGATATTAGACAGTAGAGAGTGCAGAACAACAATTTCTAAGAGAAAGAACACCATTGAGAAGAGTTCTGTGATTGTCATTAGAAAGAGCATCTAGGTTGCAGCAAAGAGAGGAATAACCCAGGTGTAGCTGGCCATCATCCTGTGTTGAGGAGAGAGAACAAGGAGGCTGAGAGTCCAAAGAAACTGGAGTTGTGAAGCAGGGTACCAGAGAGGAGGTTACTGAATACACAGAGAGAAAAACTCTAGAAATCTGCGGATGCTCCAACTTGAGTCTTCAGCTGACTCAACACATGTATATGAGGACACTACCTATGCTCAGGAGAACTACCCCAAAAGAAGAGAGGAAAAATGTATAGATCTATAGGGGTGTGAACAGTCTGTGTGCTCACTAATCACAGTAGGAAACATACTAATTCACAGGGTGTAGGGTGGCATAGTCAGGAGATTGCCTCAGAAATCTGCCAAAAAACAACAGCCATACATTAAAGTTTACTGTGTTCTAAACATTTTAAACAAAACAAAACAAAACAAAAAGCCTCAAAAGGATCAGTTTCCAAAGTTGGAGGACAGGCAGTATCTGATTTTGAGATCTTTTAAAACTCTACAGTAATCAAGACATTTTAGTATTGGCATAAAACTAGATAAATAAGTCAATAAACAGAAAAGACAGTCCAGAAATAGACCCACACGTATATATGCAATTGATTTTTGACAAAAATGTCAAGGCAATTCAATGGAAAAAGATAATCTTTTCAAGAAATGATGCAGGAAAATTTGAGTTACAAAAAACAAAAAACATTGACCCTGGCCTCCTACCATATACAAAATATTAACTTGGAACAGTCATAGACAGGATGTAAGAGCTGTAACTATAAAACTTCTAGAAGGAAACGTAGGAGCAAATCTTATTGACCTCAGATTTCGCAAAGATTTCCTAAATATATCAAAATACTTACTATAAAAGAAAAAACTTGATAAATAGGACTGTATCAAAATGAAACACTTTTGCCACTCAAAAGACACTGTTAAGATATTGTTATGAAAAGGAATAAAGCCAAAGATAAAAATATTTGCAAAACATCACATATATCCAACATAAGATATGCAGCTAGAATATAAAAGAACACATATTTCAGTTACAAGACAGCACAATGAAAAAATGAGCAAAATTACTGAGCAGCAACTTCACCAAAAACTGTGTAAATGTCAGTGAGCACATGAAAATATGTTCAATACCATTGTCATCAGGGAAGTATAAATTTAAACCACTGTTGGATGTCGCTATGCATACGCCAACATAGCTGAAGTTAAAAGTATGACCATACAAAGTGTTGCAGCTGGAACTCTCATGAACGGCTCATAGAACTGTAAAATGCCACAAACATTTTGAAAAGAGTTAAGCAATTTCTTAAAATATTAAATATACCCAATCCTATAACTCAGGCTATGTATTTACCCAATAAAATGAAAGCATATGTCTATACAAACACTTATATGTGAATATTCATAGTAGTTTCGTTTGTAGTGGACAAAAATTGGAAACAACCAAATGTCCATCAGCAGATAAATGGAAAACAAATTGTCATCTATCCATACAATGAAATAATACTAAGCAATAGAATGAAGTAAACTATTGTTACATGCCACAATATAGATGAATCTCAAAGTTATTATGTGGAGTGAAAAGAAGCAGGCAAAAAAAGAGAGAGAAAAAGAGAATGCATACTGCCTGACTTAATTTTGTAAGGTTCTAGAAAATGCAAATTGATCTATAGTCACAGATCAGTGGTTGCCTTGGGTGATGGGAGGAATGAAGGGGAGAATAGTATTCCAAAGAGACACAAGGAGACTTTTGGGCTTGATGAATGCAATATATTCATTATCTTGATTGTGATAGTTTCACAAATATGTACATGTCAACATTCATCAAATAATACACTTTATATATGTGCATTTTAATGTGCATCAATTGTACTTCAATAAAGATATAATAAAAAGGAAACTGTATTTTGATGATAATCACTAATTTAAGTGCTGTAGTTGTACAGAGTATGACAAGATCTGGACTGGAAAAAAATATATACATTTGTGTCCTATGAAGACTAAAGTCATCCATTAAAGTGGGATTACATCTGAGAGATCATCAGAAAATATTGAAAATAAAAATAAAAGGTCGGGCGCGGTGGCTCACGCCTGTAATCCCAACAATTTGGGAGGCCGACGCAGGCGGATCACAAGGTCTTGGAGATCAAAACCATCCTGGCTAACATGGTGAAATCCCGTCTCTACTAAAAATACAAAAAAATTGGCCGGGTGTGGTGGCGGGCGCCTGTAGTCCCAGCTACGCGAGAGGCTGAGGCAGGAGAATGGCGTGAACCCAGGAGGCGGACCTTGCAGTGAGACGAGATCGCGCCACTGCACTCCGGCCTCGGAGACAGAGTGAGCCTCCATCTCAAAAAAATAAAAAATAAGAAAAAGAAAGAAAGAAAGAAAGAGAGAGAGACGGAGGGAAGGAGGGAGGGAGGGAAGGAGGGAGGGAGGGACGAAGGAAGGAAGAAGGAAGGAAGGAAGGAAGGAAGGAAAGAAGGGAGGAGGGGAGGGAGGAGGGGAGGGATTATTTCATCAAAGGAACGTATGGAAGATGGTTTTTGAAATATATTGGCAAATTTGAAAGAAAGAAGGGGCAATAAAAGGCATACAGATTTCACTAGTTCATTACTTAGGAAATTGACAGAAATCTTTCATTTTTCTTACCTGAAAATGGATTAATAGCTACACTATACCTTTTGTTAAAATTAGTTAACATGAATATTTAACATCTCATTACATTATAATCACGAAAGGCAAACGTTGTCACCATCTAACATGATTGTGCCCTTTATATAAAAATATTTGCTGTATTTGTGATTTTACGCATTTGTTCAGTTGTTTATACAGGTTAACTGTTATAAATACTTACTTTGTTTAGGGTCAGATTTACCAACCAAAATAATCTTAGTAGTAAACAATTTATTTTTGTAATCAACCATGTTTTTGAAGATTTCTTGTCATTCAAAAAAGTGAATTAAAAACAATGTCAGTAATTCCTGCCTGATTAGTTAACCTTAAAAGCAGATTCTTTCAATGAAGTGCTAAGAACCTAGTATCTCATTTTATCAGTTAGACAGTCATTATATCAAGAAACACATTGCTGTCAAAACTATTTTTAGAGCATATTCAAAGATTATCTTTGCCTCAACAATGATGTCCCTCTGACTCTCCTAACATATGTATTCTTTATTATGAAGCAAAGATATAGTCCGTGTGGTTGCATAAATATACAAGTCCCACAAGACAGCTTGCATTAAAATAAAATACAGCTACAAAATACGGTAGGAATTACACCTTAATAAAATAAAATAAAACAAAATACAGGCATATACAAAATAAGATAGGAATTACACCTTAATTAAAAACATACTCAAACTAAAAATAATACAGAAAAGAGCAACTTTAAGACAATGAAGAGAATATAATTAATGCATCATTTAGCAAAAATGTTTCAGGCACTTTACTTGACAATTGGGACAAATCAGCAGGAAAGAAAGGGGACAGATTCCTGCTTTGGAGGAGTTATATTTTAACAGGCTGTAGCTGACCCAAAAAACAATAATTATATTAATAAGCAAAATATAAAATATACTAGAAGTTTATAAGTTCTGTAGGAAAAAAATGGAGCAGGAAAAGGGGAACCACGAAGACAAGGAAGGATATGGAGACTGACATTTTGAATAGGATGGGTAAGGTAAGCCCTTTGAGAAGGTGACATTTGAGTAAAATCTTCAGTGGAGTGAGGGATTTAGCCATACAGATCTTCAGACAGAGTGCAAAGACTCTAAAGCACCTGCAATATTCACTCAGAGAATGGAGGCAGGATGGCTGAAGAAGAGGGAGCCATGAAGAGAATAGTAGGTGGAAAGGTCAGAGAGGTTATGGGCAAGATAAGGTAGACCTTTGTGTGCCATTGGCTTTTTACGCTGCGAGAAATAGAAGCTGTTAATGGTTTTGAAAAAGGCACAATGTGATCTAATTTCCATTTCAAGAGAATAATTCTGGCTGCATTATTGAGAATAGAGAGTAGAGGGACAGAGATAGAAGTAGGAAGACAGGGGACCATTGTATAGTAGTAATACAAGTGAGATTTTATGAGGTTGAGACTAAAGTGAATGTCATGAGAAGTTGGATTCTGAATGTAATGAGGAGTTGAGTGTAAAGGAGTTGTGTGTAGAGTTGAGTATTTTATAATAGAAAGGTTGTGGGGTGTGAGGGAAAGATGGTAGTTAAGGATAAAGCCACAAGTTTTGCCTAAGTTTCTATAGAAGGATGGAGTTGCTATTAATTGAGATATGGAAGACTGGATGGAGCAGGTTTTGATGGACATACATTAGGAAGGCCAGCACATGAAAATTTCCACTCTATAAAGTGGGTACTATATGCCTTGCACAATTCCAATTGATAGGTGCATAAGCGTGAACAAAGTATAGTTCCAGTCCCCCAGGGAGTTAACCGTTAGGTGGGCCAATTAATAAACCAGGCTGGGGATGCTCCAGACCTAAAGGAATTGTGTAGGAGGGGTTTATGCCTAACTTCGAGAACATCATCAAATCTTGGAATACTAAAATGTAGAGAGTAAACTACAGAGTTAAATCTCAAACTAACTAAACCTCTTGACCCAATTGGTAGCATACTGATGAAGCTAATAGAATCATAGCTAATATTAAATAACAAGAAAGTATAACATGAAACTATGTACTAAATATTCCCAAGTGTTTTATATCTTTATTTTATATATTTAAGTATTAGTGCAAGCTAAAACGATCATTTCCCAAAATGTTTAAATAAATGCACCATGCAAAAGAAACGTAAGTAAAATTAATAATTTGAGAAAATATTACATTCTTTTAATGTTGATTGAGCTCAGCAGCCACATCCATGTTTTCTGAGGATGTTAGATTGAATGAAATATTGGTTTGATAACAATTACTGTCTTCTAAAACAAAATATTTTCTTTTGATTATGGAAGAAATTGAATGTTATAAACATTTCAGAATATAAAGAAAAACACAAAGAATAGCAAAATAGTAAAAAAAAATAATAATAATGCCCTTTTTCAGGGTTAAACACTGTTAACTGCTAACATTTTGGTATTTGCCCTAAGACTACATTTAGAAAAATGCATATTTTAAAATAAATGTAAACATACACATTTACATTAACATTTACCAATCTCCCTCAGAAAGGATTTGGAAGAAAAGAAAGATTTATCTGTTTGCAGCATATAATAACAAGTGTTAGTTAAGGCAAAAATAAACATTCTAAAATAAAAGAATGTTATTGTCAAAAACACATTTTAGGGGAGAGCATATCTCTAAAATCAAAAGCTGATAATTCAGTGAAAATAAGATTCACTCTGGTAATTTTTTTTTTCTACAAATTTTGGGCACACCTACATCAAGTGAAATAAAATTCAGTGTTTTATATAGGTCTTATCAGCATTGACTTTTCACATTGCAAGATCTTAAGATGTATCCTTTACATTGATAACAGCCATTTTCATCTAATTAAATTGTCATGATTTTATATATGTATATATGCATATGTGTGTTTATATATTAGGTATATATTCATATATTCACGTGTTGACTACTTTATTCAGTCACTGGTTAATAGTAAGCAAAGGGTGACATAAGAAAATACTTATTACAGTGAACATTATATAAAGCTTAACATGTGCCTAGCACTCTTCTAAGTGCTTCCTTACTGATCAACTAGTATCAACCTCACAACACCTCAATGAGCTAAGTATTATTCAGGTCTGAGCTAAGTACAAAAGTACTAAGTACTATTGTTCCACCACTTTACTGATGAGGAGAAACAAGTAAGAGAGAGGTAGAATACCCTATCTTTGCTTACTCTAAGTAACACTGATGTGAAGTGGCACTGGGTTACCCACCCTGGCTATTGAGCTCAAAATTTGTGCCCTTAACGGCTATACTCTGCAGCTTTATGAACAATCATCCAGTCAATTTCTGCTTTTCTAGATGTATAGCTATTTTAAAAATTATTTTGGATAAATATATACAGTTATGAATAATCACTATTACTTTTAACTTAAAAATTTAGATGTTTAGCCTGAATGTTCTCTGTGAACTTTTTCTCAGGCAATTTATATTTACCAATTGCATTTTACAATTATTCAACCAATTTACATTTCTAACTTTTTTCCTAAGATCACAGAAACTTTTCTTAGATTCAGCACCTCCTGTTATTTTCCAGTATTTTTATATATATATGATTTTTCTCCCCAGGCTTGAAAAAATAGTTTATTTGTAATTCAGCTTTTCTGGTAGCAATTAACAAGTCACTACACTAGCTGGCCTGGTTCTATTGTTTCTTAGGCGACTAAGTATGTGCCTACACTGTACTTGGTATTTAAATAAATCAATGATAAGGATCTTTCCCTGGAAGAATTTATAGTCTAATTGAAAAGTAGACACTCTACCCTTCACAAACAAAACTGCCCTATCAGCGTTTCTTGGCTTTTTATCACCATGAAAATCATAGGAATTTCGCCTGGCCATACACTCCAATGAATAAACACTGTGGGTGATGTACAACTCCTGTTTATTCACTAAAAAACATTGCACTCTCTTTTTTTTCAATTTGAGAGCAGGTACTGTTTATTATATGACCAGCTTAGAAAAATAATCATGGTAGACACCTTAGTTCATTCTTCTAAAAAACCTGTTGATCTGGTCCTGTCTGTTGCCAGCATCTCCACCTTCTACAAAATGGGTGGTCTTTTTCTTCATTCCGCCTCGTGGAGAAGATAATTCAAAGGGCCACAGGAAGTTATTTGCTTCTTTGAAGTGTTTTCCAACAGTATAGATCTCATTAATCATATCCTCCATGCAGATGATGCCATATTTACCAAGAGATGGAGCAATCAAAGCGTTGTCTGTCAAAGCAATTATTTTCTTATTGATTTTGCCATAACCACACTTGTAGATTAGTTCATTTACTGACTTCAGATTTGGGTACCCCCATACAATATATGGATCTACAATCCTCAGCATGTTAATTGAAGCCTTGTTAAGCTTCACAAAAGTTCCACTGAAGATTTGACGAAGGTGAAGAAGCCGCAACACCTTTCGGACCTTTTGGCCACACCATTGATACCCCTGATCCTGATGACAAATACCGATCTGTGTTCTGCAGGTACATAGAAGTTGCCAGCTTTTCTTGCCTTCCTCACCATTCGAATTTCAGTTCTGTACATCTGCCTATATTCCTTGTGATAGTGCTTTGCTTTTTCACAGATAAGCTTCCTCCTTGCCTTTCAAAGCATCTTTTGGACAAACTTCTTTCTTAGGTGCTTGATCTTCAGCTCTGCGAAATTCTTTCGCTTTTTCTTAAGGGTTTCTGGCACAGCAGGAACCTTCTTTTTCTTCTCTTCAACACCTTCTATGGTTCCAGCCAGAAAAGAGGCTTTTTTTTTTCCTTTTTTGACATGGAGTCTCGCTCAGCCTCCCAGGCTGGAGTGCAGTGGCGCCATCTTGGCTCACTGCCACCACCATCTCCCGGATTCAAGTGATTCTCCCGTCTCAACCTCCCAGGTAGCTGGGATTACGGGCACCGGTCATGCCCGGCTAATTTTTGTATTTTAGTAGAGACGGGGTTTCACCATGTTGGCCAGGCTGGTCTTGAACTCCTGACCTTAGGTGATCCACCCGCTTTGGCCTCCCAAAGTGCTAGGATTACAGAGATGAGCCACCCGGCCCGACCTTTTTTTTTTAATAATAAAGTTATCATGTGAGCAAATGGGAGCATTGTCAGTACAGAAATAGATTCAGATCTCCCATAGTTTTTTTTCTTCTTCAAGTGTATCATGTTAAGGTTTCTTGATTTTTGTCATTAGTAACAAATTATTTACAACTATTGACATTTAAATTTAAACTAACATTTTGCATCTTATATAGTTTTTGAGGGCTTGTGTAGTCATGGAAGGATTTATCGAGAAGACGAACCTTGAAGGATGTGTATTATTGACTGAAGAGATACCTTTAAGTTACTATGGCTTACCTTTTACTTAAATTATTCTTCTTGAAATCTGTTGTTTTCTTAAGCAACAACAAAACAAAACAAACTGCATTCAATTTCACTGACAGGATCCATTGAACTGGTTGTGTAGCTCCATAGCCAAAATTGTATTGTATTAAATTTGTGTTTTACAGTTTAATTGGAATGCCTAGAATCAAATTTAGTTCTTCTAATGAGGTCTCATATCTAATTGAACAATATATTGGTCTTTATTTTTGTTACAAAATAATGGAAAAATATATGTCCCCTATTCCACTTCCCGTATCTTATCTATCAGCATCTACAAAGGCTCTCACTCTCTATTGACAAGCAATTACTGGCCACCAAAAAACAATTTTAGGATAGTTTTCATGAAGAAACGCTCATTTTAAAAAGAGGTAAACAGTTAAAACATTTTATCAATTCTAACTATCCTGGTTTTTAACCAAGACATTTATTTACATTACAAAACAAGCATTTGCAAATTACAAATTTCTAGAAAAAAATTATCTTTTCTAATGAAAGAAAATATTTTGAATGATGAAAATAGCAAGTAGAGAAGTGTATCTACAGATTTCGTATCTATACTGTGGTTTTCTTATTTTGCAATGTACGGTCAAAGACAAATTAGAAAACCGACTAGATATGGTCCACAGATTCCTTTTTCTGCAACAACCTAAAATCTGATTATGAAGTCTTTCACTGATAATTACATTTGTGTTTAAGGCAATGTTTCCCTGTTGTTTGATGATATGGTTTGGCTGTGTCCCCACCCAAATCTCATTTTGAATTGTAGTTCCCATAATCCCCTTGAGGTCTGGGAGGGACCCAGTGGGAGGTAATTGAATCGTGGAGGCAGTTACCTGTATGCTGCTATTCTCATAATAGTGAGTAAGTTCTCAGAAGATCTGATGGTTTTATAAGGAGATTTTCCCTCTTTTGCTTGGCACTTCTTGCTGCCACCATGTGAGGAAGAACATGTTTGTTTCCCCTTTCCCCATGATTGTAAATTTTCTGAGGCCTTCCCAGCCATGCTGAACTGTGAGTCAATTAAACCTCCTTCCTTTATAAATTTCCCAGTTTTGGGTACGTCTTTATTAGCAGTGTGAGAATGGACTAATACATTTGGTCCTCATGGCATATTTTTTAATCTAGAATTTTCCATGGACTTCAAAGAATGCTAACCAAGCTAGCAATGTTGCATACAGTACATTCATCACAATGGCTGAACAGTACTGTACTCTGTACTGTCTCATCCAGGGCACCATTCACTAGGTTGAACTTCAGCTCAAAGACCTTGTTTGAATTGTTACTAACTTGTGTGGCCCTTAGGAGGCAATCATCGAAGCTTTATCTTTCTTCCTATGGGGGCTCAATTTATATAACCCTCTCATCTTTTATTCTCAATTGATTGTACCTTTCTTCTCAGCAATTCTTATGACCTGTTTGGCCCAATACCATAATATTCTGATTTTTTCTGCAGCTGTAGAAAAAGTACATTCTAAACATTGATCAATTTGGCAGCATATTTATTAAATATTATAGCCTTTAAAAGGGGTAGCATAGGGAATATGATGTTTCCTTAAACAGTTAGTTTTGTGGACAATTACAGTTCACCCTATAAACATATCCAGTCTAAATTTATTTTGAATGTCCCTCATAGATCTATTTTTTAATATCCTAATTAAGTTTCCATTTTATCCAGTTTACATTTTACCCAGTGTTGAAATGTAAAGACCAGATGACAGATTATTTTGTGGCTAATACTACCATACATTTATAAATTTGTGATACAAAGATCTGAATTCTAATTTAATAGAAAATAAGCCCTTGATCTTGGTGCTATGCTAGGCAAGTTTCCAGTACCAAAATTTATGTAGGCCTGAATAAATGATTTGAGGATAATAAAACACAGTTTCAAATTTTCATGAGAGTCATAGGAAAACAACAAGAACAAAAGATATCTATAATGTTTAATGGTCCTCCTTATATGATGATATCCAAAATCAATATTATCTTTTCATTATTAATGCAGAATATATATCATTGAACTAATGAAATAATGCAATTATTGAGGAATGTTTTATTCCTCCAAGTCTCTGACCTTATGTTTTCATTGGCAGTGAGTAACATAGCAGTTTCAAGTATCTCCACGATTATGAGAAACTATACTACAATTGTTGATTAATGTACTTTAATTCATCTCAATAAATAGTTTTCAAGTATCTCTCACATACAATCTAGGTATGTTAGATTACATAGAATAAAATGCTGGATAAAAACAAGCTTTCCCCTCTAGGATCTAGCACTATTCTGTAGGCTGTAGGCCTAGGTAGTAGTACAAAGTTAGAATGTATCCTGTCTGTATTTATAACTAAATTTCACATGCTTAATCTAAAATTAAACTTCTTCTTATACATCAATCATGATTATGTAAGATAATATAAATTTTGACTGTATCAATGATGATATATGAAGATACAAATCTTTCATGATTTTATGAAGATAATAATCTGCCTGAGAGAAGCAGGGTTGCCTTCATGAAGGTGAAGGCATTTAGGATAGATGTTTAAAAAGGATTTCCCATTATGGAAAAAATATAGCAAGAACAAAAGAAATAGAAGTGGGAAAGTATGGGATCTTACCGTATAAGTAGTTCTATTTTCCTGGAGATGATAGTACATAAACAGAGCAATGAAACAAAAAGAGAGAGTTTAAAGTTATGTGAAATAAATATTGCTTTATTATTGAATTAAAACTTGGAAACAAAATTGGTATTTAATTCCACAGAATATAGACACCTAATTAGGTTTGAAAAGGGAAATAGTAGAATTAGAGTTGGGTTTAGAAACAAAATTAGTCTTGTAATAGTAACTATGCTCTTCTAGAGTGAGGCAGTATAGTCATGGAGGAGAACTGCCAAGGGATTATTTTAATGATCCAGAAGATAAATAATGAAGGCTTGAACTAGCCTTATGTCGGTAGGATTGAAAAGAAAGGAATAGATTTTTATAAATAAAGATAGAATCTACAGACATGTATCTAAATATTATTAAGGCAGGATAGAATGAAGACTTAAAGATAACCCCGAGGCACTTAATCGTATGTAACTGAGAGAATTCTGCTACTATTACAGAACCTAGGAAGTCAGGTGCAGAAACAGGCTGTAGGAACAAGATTGGCCCAGTTGATTTTAAGGGCTGACAAGGTATCCAGGAAGATTGCAGTGGAAACTTTTAGAAATGCAGACGCTAATGCTATGGGGAGAGATAAGTGCAAGCGGTTGGATTCAGGAGTCATCTCCACAAGGGTCTCCTGTTGAGCATCTACGTACTTACTGCCAAGCCTAGATTCAGTATTCTAAAAGAGACTCCCTCTGTCAGAAAAATTTATTACAGAGCGCCCCACTTATTTTCTTAGTGAGGTTTTAGCTATGATTTAAAACAGAAATTCCAAAATCTCTGTTAGTTTGGTGAATATTGCAGTATCTTTGTCTGCAGTCTTAAAATAGGGAAAACACAATCCTTTCCTCAAATCGTTTGAAGCTCAGGAGATTACATGATTCTCAGGAACATGTTTTCAGCCCCTGTGCTCACCCCACTAGCACAAGTAGCATGATTCTGAGTAGGTTGTTTAAGCTCTCTTTTAATTTATAAAATTGAGTAGTAGAGTAATAATCCCTACCTTGCCTACCTCATAAATGTGCATTATTATGAAATAAGACAAGATTAAAGCAATATTCAAATGTAAGGAGTGATTACTGCGTTCTTCCTTCACATCTTCCTTGCATTCCCATATGAAAAATTCAGCCAACTGGATGGTAAGGACATTGTATGTCAGCTTCCAGGCCGTAAATAGGCTATGTCAGAGTTTGGCAAATCAGGAAATAGAAATCAAGTCTAGATATAAGGTATGGTGATGTGTCTGTGGGCATGGGCTATGAGACTTAGTGTAAGGTAACACTCACAATGCACCTCAGTTTACCCTTCCGTAAAATTGACATGGTAAGAGAAACTCTTAGATTAGATTGTTGTTAGTACTAAGTGCTTAGACATGTTAGCAATAAGCTATTATTGTAATAGGTACAAATTCTCAGTCTCAAGCTTGGATTTACAAAAATGTAATGTTTGCTTGCTTTTAAGTATTAATTAAAAAGAAATACAGATAGGATCTTGCTATTTTGCCCAGGCTGGTCTCCAACTCCTGGCCTCGAGTGATCCTCCCAAGTTGGCTTCCCAAGTAGCTGTGATTACAGGCATGAGCCCCTGCACCTGGCCCTAAAAATTAAAGTTAACATAACTCTAAAGTTTCTATTTCAGCTATAGGCAAATGGCTCATCAATTCAATTGTCATTTCTGGTTTTACTGAGTTCAATTCAGGATTTTGACTCAGTTCGTTAAGGTTTTCACTCCCCTTCCTTTTGCATACCCTCATCTCTAGTGCTTAATTATAGTCCTGGCATCAGGTGAGAGGAGTCTGGTCCACATGACGATATCCTCTAACCTTGCTGCTCTCCACTGTTGTCAACATGCTAATCCTGGCATGCATCATCATGCTCTGGCAATTGCTGCTGACATCCATGATCTTTGTGGCCTGTGACCAAGAAGTTCACAGTGTGCTTTTGTTGCACACATCTCTATTAATCAGCTAAGTTATGCTACACTAACAACACCCAACTCATACTTGTTTATAACAACAAATATTTACTTCTTGTTCTTGCTGCATGTTCATTGAAGGTCAAAAGCAGTTCTATTCAACATCAACCTTTTCAAAACCTTTTAAAAAATAATTTCAATATTATCTTAGATACAGGGGTATGTACAGGTTTGTTACATGGGTATATTGCATGAAACTTAGGTATGGGGTACAGATTCTGTCAGCGAGCTAGTGAGCATAGTAGGCAATAGGTCGTTTTTCCACCTACAACTCTCTTCCTTCCTTCCCCATCTAGTAATCTGCCGTATCTATTGTTCCCATCTTTATGCTCATGTGTACTCAATGTTTAGCTCTCACCTATAAGCCAGAACATGCAGTATTTATTTTTCTGTTCCTGCATTATTTCACTTACCATTATGTCCAGTTGCATCCATGTTGCTGCACAGGACAAGATTCAATTCCTTTTATGGCTGTATCGTATTCCATGGTGTGTCTGTACTGTTTGCTTTATCCAGTCAACCACTGATGAGCACCTAGGTTGAGTCCATGTCTTTGCTATTGTGAATAGTGCTGAAATGAACATACGAGTGAGTGCACGTGTCTTTTTGCTAGGATAATTTGTTTTCTTTTGGGTATATACTCAGTAATGTAATTCCTGGGGTGAATGGTAGTTCTATTTTAAGTTCTTTGAGAAATCTCCAAACTGCTTTCTATAGCAGTTGAACTAATTTACATTCCCACCAGCAGTGTATAAGTGTTCCCTTTTCTCCACAGCTCCGCCAGCATCTGCTGTTTTTGACTTTTTAATAGCCATTCTGACTGACGTGAGATGGCATCTTATTGTGGTTCTGATTTGCATTTCTCTAATGATTAGTGATGTTAAGCATTTTCTTATATGCTTGTTGGTGGCATGTATGTCTTCTTTTGAAAAATGTCTATTCATATACTTTGCCCACTTTTAAATGGAGTTGTCTTGTTTTTGCTTGTTAATTTAAGTTCCTTATAAATTTTGGATATTATACCTTTGTCAGTTGCATACTTTGCAAATATCTTCTCTCATTATGTAGGATGTCTGTTTACTCTGTTGATGGTTTCTTTTTCTGTGCAGAAGCTCTTTAGTTTAATTAGGTCGCATTTGTCAATTTTTGTCTTGTTGCAGTTGTTTTTGATGTCTTCATCATAAAATCTTTGCCAGGTCCTATGTACAGAATCGTATTGCCTAGGTTTTCTTCAAGGATTTTTATAGTTTTAGGTTTTACATTTAAGTGTTTAATGCTTCTTTAGTTGTTTTTTGTATATGGTGTAAGGAAGGGTTCCAGTTTCAATCTTCTGCATATGGCCAGGCTGTTATCCAGGTACCATTTATTGAATAGAAAGTCCTTTACCTGTTGCTTGTTTTTGTCAACTTTGTTGAAGATCAGATGGTTGTAGGTGTGCAGCTTTATTTCTGAGCTCTCTATTCTGTTTCATTGGTCTATGTGCCTGTTTTTGTATGAGTACCATGCTGTTTTGGTTAATGTAGCCCTGTAGTGTAGTTTGAAGTCAGGTAGTATGATGCCTCCTGCTTTGTACTTTTTGTTTAAAATCTTTGGCTATTCAGACTCTTTTTTGGTTAAATGTGAATTTTACAATAGTTTTTTTCTAATTCTGTGAAAAATAATGTTGGTAGTTTGAAGGAAATAACACTAAATCTGTAAATTGTTTTGGGCAGTATGGCCATTTTAATGATATTGATTATTCCAGTTCGTGAGAATGAAATGTTTTTCCACTTATTTGTGTCATCTCTGATTTCTTTCAGCAGAGTTTTGTATTTGTTCTTGTAGAGATCTTTCACCTCCTTGATTACCTGTATTATTAGTTATTTCATTTTTGTGGCTATTGTAAATGGAATTGTGTTCTTGATTTGAGTCTCAGCTTCAATGTTATTGATATATAGAAATGCTACCATCTTTTGCATTAATACATTTATTTTAAACCCTGAAACTTTACTAAAGTTATTTACCATTTCTAGAAACATCTTGCCTGAGTCTTTAGGATTTTTTAGATATAGAATCATATAATCAAGAAAGAGAGATAGTTTCACTTCTTCTTTTCCTATTTGGATATCTTTCATATCTTTCTCTTGCCTGATTGCCTGGCTAGGACTTCCAGTACTATATTGAACAGGAGTGGTGAGTGTGGGGCCTCCTTGTTTTATTCCAGTTCTCAATGGGAATGGTTCTAGCTTTTGACCATTCAGTATTATGTTGGCTTTGGGTTTGCCATAGATGGTTTTTATTATTTTGAGATCTGTTCCTTTGAGGTCTAGTCTAGTCTGTTAAGGTATTTATCATGAAGGGATGTTGGATTTTATTGAAAACTTTTTCTGCATCTATTGAGATAATCATATGGGTTTTTTTTTGCCATTCGCCGTTGCTTATGTGGTAAATCGAGTTTGATTTGAATATACTGAATCAGTCTTGCACCCCAGGAATGTGGTGTATTTGCTTTTTATTATTATTATTATTTTTTTTTTTTTTGAGACAGGGTCTCTCTCTGTCACCCAGGCTGGAGTGTCATGGCATGAACATGGCTCACTACAGCCTCAACCTCCTGGGCTCAAATGATCCTCTTATCTAAGCCTCCTGAGTAGCTGGTACTACAGGCACACCCCACCATGGTCAGCTAATTTTTTAAATTTTAGTAGAGACAAGGTCTCACTACATTGCCCAAGCCAGTCTTGAACTCATGGGTTCAAGTGATCCTCCTAGCATTCACCTCCCAAAGTGCTGGGATTGTAGGTGTGAGTCACTGCATCCAGCCTGTATTAACTTTTTAACATGCTGTGGATTCAGTTTGCCAGTATTTTGTTGAGGATTTTTACATCTATGTCGGCTGGGAATATGGGCCTGAAGTTTTCTTCTTTCCCAGTGTCTCTGCCAGATTTTGGTATCAGGCTGGTGCTGGCTTCACAGAATAAGTTAGAGAGGAGCCCATCCTCCTCAATTTTTTGGAATAGTTTCATTAGGGCTTGTACCTGTTCTTCTTTATGTGTCTGGTAAAATTTGGTTGTGAATCTATCTGTTCCAGGCCTTTTTTGACTGGTAGATATTTTATTACTGATTCCATTGCAGGACTTGTTTTTCACCTGTTCAAGTTTTTGCTTTCTTCATGGTTCAATCATGGGAGATTGTGTGTTTCCTAGAATTTATCCATTTCCCCTAGATTTTCTAATATGTGTACATAGAGTTATTCACAATAGTCTCTGTGGATTTTTTTGTATTTCTGTGGGATTGGTTACAATGTCATCTTTGTCATTTCTGATTATACGTATTTGGATCCTTATTTTTCTTTATTAATCTAACTAGCAGTCTCTGAATCATATTTATTCCCTCAAAAAAGCCACTTTTAGTTGATTTTTTGTATGAATTTTTGCATCTTACTTTAATTTCATTTGTCTGTAATTTTAGTTATTTTCTTCTGCTAGCTTGGAGGTTGGTTTGTTCTTTTTTTTTACCCTCACTTCCCCAGATTTTTCTAACTTCTTGATGAAGGTATTTGGAGCTATAAACTTTCCTTTTAATACTACCTTGGCTGTATCCCAAAACGTTGGTAAGTTGTGTCCCTATTTTCATTAATTTCAAATTTTTTTATTTCTGTCTCAATTCCATTGCACACCAGGAGTTATTCAGGAGCAAGTTATTTAATTTTCATCTATAATTTTAAGAGATCTTCTTGATACTGATTTCTGTTTTTAATATACTGTGGTCCAAGAGTGTACTTGGTATGATGTCAACTTTTTTAAGTTTGTGATTCAGCATGTCATTTCATTATGCTTAAGAACCATTGCTGGGGAGCTAGTGGGTTTGTTTGGAGGTTAGGGGACATTCTGGCTTTATTGCCAGTGTTCTTGCATTAATCCTCTCTCATCTGAAAGGGATGGTATTCCTTTAGTGTAACAAAAGTTGACAATAATCAGTTGGCTTCATTTCTGGATGTTTTCAGAGGGTTAAAGTTATGTACATAATCTGGATTTGTGGCTAGTTCTTGTCTGTGGTTCCACGGTAGTGTATATTAGCAGAATATTTTTTGGTGATGTAGTTTGGGCTGCAATCCAGTAAATGATGCTTAAGAGTAATGGCTAGCAGATAGGTTCTTAGCCATGCAGCTCTTTTGTATTTCCTCACATTCACAGGCGTGCTCTGCAGTGTAAGAGAACGAGATGACCACCTCACCAAGTTCATTCCTGGGCTTCAGGTGAGCTCCCTCCAATCACTGCTGGTGTGCCCACATTTCTTTTTTCTTTTTTTCCAAGAAGAAGTCTCACTCTCTCACCCAGGCTGGAGTGCAGTGGTGTGATCTTGGCTCACTGCAACCTCTGCCTCCCAGGTTCAAACAATTCTCCTGCCTCAGCCTCCCGAGTAGCTGGGATTACTGGCGCCCGCCACCACACCTGGCTAATTTTTGTATTTTTTTAGTTGAGACGGGGTTTCACCATGTTAGCCAGACTGGTCTTGAACTCCTGACCTCGTGATCCACCTGCCTCAGCCTCCCAAAGTGCTGGGATTACAGATGTGAGCCACCGTGCCCGGCAGGTGTGCCCACATTTCTTTGGTAGGTGTTCCAGGATATGGGGCTTCCTTGGGAAGAGTCCCCCGCAGGGAAACAAGCCACATCCTTTCCAGACCAGCCCTTCAGAGAGAAGTACGTTCCACTTCCATGCCAGCCCATGAACCCCTGTGTTTCACCCCTCTCAGTGCCCTGAGAGTGCGGGACTCTACCCTGCTTAAGTGCTGAGTACAGATCTTGGCTTGGCATTCCCAAGCTGTGTGCCATAGCCCTGGGGCACAGGGATCAGCCGGCAGCTTGGGGTAGAGCTCCAGCTGCACTGGGGTATCCTAAGTGCTCCCAGGTTTTTGGGAAACTACTCAGGTGGAGCAAAGCACCCAGGCTGGACAGTGGAGGCTGCACTGTGCACCACTCCTACAGGACAGCTAGGCAGGGGCCCTGAAGGGCTGGCAGGCAGAGGGCCTATAGAACAAATATACCCCGCCCCGCAGAGCAGCCAGGCCCACTGTCTCCGAGTCCAGCAGTCAGCTGGGAGCTAGAGCTTCTCAGAAGGAAATGTGGAGCCATGGAGGGTGAGTGCCCATGGCTGCATCCCACCAGAGCTGTCTACACACAAAAGCCCCTGGGCGTGATCCACATTGGAGGAAACCTGTCTCTGCCTACTCTCTGGGTAGAGCCCCCTACTAGCTCAAATGTCCATGGGGAATGTGGAGTCCCCTGTAGCGAGGATCCCAGAAGTACATGGTAAGAGTGAGCTGTGACTCAATCCCTTCATTCACCCCTTCCCCAGGAGCCGTTTGGGGTTGGGAACTAGTCTTAGCATTCAAATACTCCATTCAGTGTTTCCAGCTTCCTCCCTCTTCAGCTCCAGAGTCTGCATTGCCTCTCCATCCACTCTCAGTGTTTTCTCTCCGAATACCTGCTCAAATTATGTTGGTTTACTCAATATTTTTGTCTCCCTCAGTGAGAGCAGCACTTCCTGGCTGCCTCTAGTCAGCCATCTTGTCCCCTTCCCCTCAACATTGATTTTTATTCAAGGTTAGAATCTGAAGGAGAGCCTCCTATCAAGGATTGGCCAACTCATAGTAGAAGAAAAAGAGAGATGATGGAGCCACATAACGGATCTTAAAGTTTCTGCTAGAAAGTGCTTATGTCCCTTTAATTTACATCTCATTGACAGAAGTCACATGAACTTCCAAGTCTAATTTCAATGAGGTGAAATAGTATAATCTTTTCCCAAAGAGGAACAGCAAATATTTTTAATAATGTAATCTACAGCCCCGCAACATACCAGGCTTCTCTGGGTCCCCCAGATCACTCTCTGGCAGCAACATGCACATTTCACATACACCACCTCATCAAGGTATGGTGAGCAGACACAGTAGAGAGTTCCAGATTGGTGGAAAGACATATAGCTTCCTAATGACATATCTCCAAACACATTTCAAGCTCAATTCTTACAGTTCTAAGAGACCTCCCCCTAACATTTGCAAGGCTAAGTCAAGAATAAAATGGAGGCTCACATATTATAAATTTAAATATTTAAAAGTTATAAGACATGCTACCAAATGATTACATAAAATATGCTCTAACTTATGCCCTAACAAATAAGTCTTCATTAAGACTTGAAAGTTTAGTTCCTCATCAGAACATGACAGAGCAGAGAGAGCTTCCCCAGGCCCAGGTCTCAGGCCAACTTTGATGGGTATTATCTTCCCACTGCTATCTTTCTGACACACTCAAAAATGCCTCATGCTCATACATTAGGACATTCTAGCCAGCCTTCTCATGTTTTATCCACATCTCCCACATCTAAGGCTGCACTCACCAGCAATAGCCCATAGTGTGGGAAAAGGCGCACACAGTATTTGGGGACGAGTTCAAAAACACATGGGTTGGAAACTCAGGAGCTGTGGACCCTGTAGCATGGTTTAGAAGGGTACACGTAGGCTGGGTGAGCAGATCTCTTTGGACCCAGGACCCCTCACCAATGGGGAAGGTAACCCAAATAAATGCCAAAATGGAATGGGGGAGGGGGACCCTCAACTATGATCTAAGAGTACTAAGTCAAAATAAACTTTAGAGGATATACACCTAAGTTACATATACATCAAAGTATAATTTCACATGTTTGTGTATGTCAGTAATAGAACCTAGTCATAAAATGATTCTACAGGAGGCCGGGTGTGGTGGCTCAAGCCTACAATCCTAGCACTTTGGGAGGCCAAGGCAGGCGGATAACTTGAAGTCGGGAGTTTCAAACCAGCCTGACCAGCATGGTGAAACCCTGTCTCTACTAAAAATAGAAAAAATTAGCCAGACATGGTGGCACATGCCTGTAATCCCAGATAGTTGGGAGGCTGATGCAGGAGAATTGCTTGAACCCGGGAAGTGGAGGTTGCAGTGAGCCGAGATCACACTGCTGCACTCCAGCCTGGGCGACAGAGCAAGACTGCCTAAAAAAAAAAAAAAAAAAAAAAAAGATTCTACAGGTACAAATTTATAGTTAGATCAGAGGAATAATTTCTGGTGTTCTATCACACAGTAGGATGACTATGGATAACAATATTGTTTTGTATATTTCAGAATAGCTAGAAGGGAGGATTTTGAGTGTTCTCAACATAAAGAATTGATAAATATGAGGTGACAGATATGCTAAATACCCTGGTTTAAATATTACACAATGTATACTTATATCAAAATATACATTGTACCCCATGAACTGTACCCCATAAATATGTGCAGTTATATGTCAATTAAAAACATTTTTAAATAAAAATCATCGTAAAGATACTAAAATATGTTTTAAGGCTATCTTCCTTCTCACTTCTGTTCGACTGCATATACTAACTTCATCCATTATGATTGGTCTCACCTTTGCTTACCTTTGAGCAAAACTGACCCACTCAGGGGGTGCTTTAAGCAACTCCTGTCCATTTTACAGAATATCTATTTCTTTGGGAAAGAATTCCTTGAAATTTTCATATAAATAATTATCTTTAATATTTTTTAAAAAGCTTTATTAACAAAAGTGTGCATTCTTTTAAGACCTCTATATCTACTACTTAAAGTAATGTCTATTTGTCTTTGCAAATAACTCAACACAAATTCTGACTTTTGTCTAAGAATATCCTAACAGATCAGGATGTCCATGTCAGCGTGGTGAGTCACTAGTGATTTTTCTTCCTTCTTTGGCATGATAACCACCCTGTGATCAGGGAGTTGTTTTTTGTACATAACTGTCCAAGCTTGCTTTCTTATTAGCAAGACTCTGCCTATGGCTAATATAAAAATGTTTTTCCCTGGGTGAAATTAAATGAGACTCCATCTGTGGCCTCACTAGTACCCAAACCTCAATTTCTCTTCCGCCAACATCACCTCCATAGAACATGTGCATAAATGAATAAGTACTATATCTGGTGAGGCTGGCAAGTCCTCTTTAGAAAAACAAAGGAATTACTTTACAAATCTGAGTTATGACATGTGAGTTAGAAATTTGCCTGGTATGAGAATATCCAATTTTAAGTTTCTTGTCCCTCACTAGCCAGGCAGTTTTTAAGAAAACTGCCAATTTGCTTTATTTCATATGTACTTAATTTCTTGATTCTCAAACAGGGAAAACGTGAAACAGAAAACCTCACATGTAACCAAGCTGAAACAAGAAAGACAATTACTTTTCCCTAATGAAATGTTCTATTTCCTTACTTTGCTGTTTCATTAATTTCCCAACTTCATTTTATGCTGATCTAGATTTTAGTAGATTTCCCGGAACACAACTTGAGCAAAAGACATTTGAATTAATTCAAAAAAAATTATGTATCTGTGGCGCTTGAGGTATTTTTCATGAGCTGGGTAATGGTAAAAGGCAATATCCACGTTTCTCTGCCACAGAACTTGTCATTTTAGAGCTGAGGTGGTGTGGGCAGATTAAAATAGGCAAAAGAATAAGAATTAAATATAGTTATAATTATGACAAATAAAAAGATAGAATGACTGAGGGGCACATAACTTTTCAGAAGCCCTCTCTGAAGACGTGAGATGTGAGCTAAGAACTTACAAAAAAGATGAAGCAACACATGTGGATATTTGGAGGGAGTCTCAGCCCCCAAAGTCAACATCAAGCACAAATGCTCAAGAAAAGAACAAGTTTGGTGTGTTCCAAGACTGGAAGAAAGTCATTGTGATGGGAGCATAATGAACAAAGGAAGAGTGGTAGGAAATGAGGAGGGTTGATTACCCAGGGGTTGAATTAACTAGGCAAATACAAGGAGAGTTCCATGTTATTTTTAGCAGGAAGTCACCGGTGGAATTTCAGCTGAGAAGCAATGTGATCCAATATATACTTTTAGGAAATGGCTTTGGTTGCTGAGTGTAGAATATATCTTGAGCTAGGTTATGAAGGAATGGGTGATAGGGTAGGAGGGAGTGAAACCAGGGAACCAGTTAAAACACTGATATTTCTGACTTCAAGTCTTCACATATAGAACAATAAAACAGCATCCATACTCTATGTTCACTGACTTTTCTTCTTGGCCTTTGATCTGGGTTCATAGTTTGTGCTCCCCTTATATCATGAAGTCCCTTACATTTGCTGCATTTGCTCAGAGCTCATCCTCTCAACCCTTGTGCAGAAGAATTTGCAGAATTTTCCTCTGATAAAGGCACAGAGCAGTCACCTGGAATTACCAGACTCCTTTGTCCAGAGGGATGACAGTATTCAAAGAAGCTATGCACTGTTTTCCAGAACTTGCTAAATATTATCTATAAGTCAGTAATTTTAGATAATAGGAAGATATAATTTATTTTTACCTCTTTCTGGATTAGTCATTTTAAGTTCTTAAATTGTAATTGATGAGAAAACCAACTTCATGGACATGGAAATTCCTTCAGGCTGTGAAAGAGCAAAAAAGCCAGAAAAAAATCTGATTTTTTAATTGAAATTATTGGATACTGGCAGCTGGGTAGCATTAAGAGGATTAGAAACATGCCTGGTCTTCTATTTAGTTTTCTGTCCTTATCATACATGTCCAGTCCAATTTCTGGAACATTACTTTTGTTGTCAGTTATTAATCTTTCTGAGGTGGAACAGTTTGTGGTTTTGGTTCAGTCAATAACTTCTTTGGTAGTAAAATCCTCTCTAAAATGCAGTGACTCATGTGTGTTTTTTAATTTTATTTCTGGCTGGGTATTGCAAGCTTCCACTTTGGTAAAGCTGTGGTAGGGACCAAATCCATGCTGTTTATGAAAAAAAAAAAAATCTCTCATTTTAGTAGATAGAGGAAGGTGTTTCCCATTGCTGGGAGGTGTTGGGTGATATTTACATTTCTTTTCTTCAAAAATCTCATCATTGTGTTTTCTGTGCTTTCAAGGGATAGGTTTAACAACAGAAACGAGATAGTGGTTTAGACTGAAAAGAATCGTAAGCAGGAAGAATATTACCATGTTTTCTAACAGACACTTTCTCTGCATCAAAGCTTGAGTCTACCAAATTATTGAAAGGAGCATTTGCAACACCAAGCCTCAATAAAGAATAGAGAAAAAAAAAAAAAAAAAACTCAGGGCAATGTTACCAGTGGAGGGCGTCCAAGTTCCTGGCGGCTTGAACAAAGAATTGGAAAAAACACACAAAGAAAGAAAGAATGAAGCAGCAAAAGCAGAGATTTATTGAAAATGAAAGTACACTCCACAAGGTGGGAGCGGGCCTGAGAGTATGGGCTCAAGAGCCTCATTACAGAGTTTTCTGGGGTTTAAATATCCTCTAGAAATTTCCATTGGTTACTTGGTATGCGCCCTATGTAAATGAAGAGGCTGAAGTAAAGTTACAAAGTCATTTACTCGGTTTGCGCCCTCTGTAAATGGAGAGGATATTTGCTATCATAGCTGAAGTGTTTCCATTTGATTTACTTCTAGGAAGTCAACGTGAATTGGCCTTATGTTTCCTGCCTCCAGACCCCATTCTCCTGCCTTAGTATCTTTTTGAAAGATTTTGTAAATTTCGTTAACTACTACAATTAGGTGGACAATACCATTACAAGGAAAATTTTTAAAGTGTGTAAAGATTTGCTTGGATCTCTGTCATAGTCGTCTTCTTCCTTTCTTAAGACAGCTCCCTTATTCTTGAGTCCAGATAGCCAAGCACTCACTTATCTTCTCTAGGAGCTACTATCCTTGCTTTCAATTTAGCCACAGGTAATTTGATATATGTCAGTTTATGTATTAGATGCAAACTATGAATGTTTAATCCTAAGCAGCCAATATCATCTTTGTGCTTACAAGTTTCTTGACCAAATCTTAGGTCTAGAACAATGCAATCTATGGCTTCTATGGCTGAAGATGTAGAATTTAATGCAAACATTGTAATGGGACAATTGTTGACTACACCCCGTATTAATAATATTTTTTCCCATGTTCCAAACTAATTAATGCAGTGAAAAATTCTAGATGCTGACTGTGGACTCTGGATCAATTTGCTTCTATCAATCAGTACCTCTAATTCAGTCCATGTTCAAATGACCTTAAGAAAAGAATATCAGTACCTATATCTTGTCAAATGCAGGGTTTTTTTTGTAATGAACCAGGATAGGCTAGGACTGTTCTGCAGTAACAAATAACCCTAAAATGTTAATGTCATCAAACAAGAAGAGCTTCTTTCTTGTTCAGGCTACATGTCATTGAAAGCAGGCAAGGGGTGTCTTGCTCATTAAACACAATATGGGATTCAGGCTGAATGACGAGCCACTATTTCCAGCAGTGCCACTTCCTGAGTCCATGGAAAAAGAGCTTCAGGGAGCAATTAAAATGTTCTAGCCTAGATGTGACATACTCGGAGCTCATTGGCCAAAAGTAGTCACATGGCCTCAAGGGGCAGGGGGAGGGGGCTATGTAGATTGCATGCCAATTGCAGGAAGTACAATTCTACATATGTCCTAGAGGAGGGAGAAGCAGAAATATTTTGATGAACACCTTATTGATTACCACAGCACTTCACTACTGGCCTGCCTGAAGGCTTTCTGTGGACTGCTTCATTGAGTTCCAAATACCTGATTCCTTTCTAGCAACTTAGCCTAAGGAATCAGTCCTTCCTGGAAGACTATCCTATAAAGGTTGCTGATCCAAGGAAGGAGAAGGTAGCACATCACGTTGGCTTTTTTACCTGAAATTCTGATTAGTTAGGACATATAGGCTGGTATTGGTATCAGTCTCCTTCCTGACACTTGCACAATAGCAACTCCATGAACTGACCTGCCAGCATATATCCTAACGCTGGTAGAGACAGCACTTTGTTGTCCTATGTCTCTGAGATTTCCCACAGGGAAACTGAGTGTTCCTGGTACTTTCCTGGCATCCTGGAACTTCCGCTTCTCTGCGAAATACTTCCACACCAGGAAATAAAACACCATTAATAATCACTCATTTGGAAGGTGAACCAGCTAGAAAACATTTTCTGAGTTGTGCCCTAGTTTTGCTCAAGGGGATTCTATTGATCCATTCCCAGATATTCTGTTAGGTTCCTCAGTTTTCACTTCAAAAAATGTAAACCTTAATCCCAACTTCACTGTCTAGTGGGTAGATATGTATAAATTGCTGCAGTCCAGACATTCACCAGAGATAGAAGCTTGCATTATTTGCTACCTAAAATGATTAGGAACTCAGCTAAGCCTTTTTCTTTCTGCCTTCATTTGTTTTAAAAGCCTTTTGAGGTGTAATTTACATTCTATAAACTACACATATTTAAAATGTACAATTTTATGTGATTTGACTTATATAAACACCAGTGAAATCATCAATACAATCACAGAATGAACACATCCATCATTCTCAAAAGTTTCCTGGTGCCCCTTTTTTTTGTTCCTTTCTCTGGTCCTCATCTTCACCTGTCCCCAGGTAATGCATGATGTGCTTTCTGTCACTATAGATTAATGTTCATTTTCTAGAATTTTATATAAAGAGAATCACAGTGTATGTACTTTCTTGTATGGCTTCTTTCACTCAGCATAACTATTTTGAGGTTTATCCATGTTGTTACACATACCAGGGATCAACTTCTTTTTACTGCTGAATAGTATTCCATTGAATAAATATATCACAATGTGTTTATCCATTTACTTGTTAATAGACATGCATGTTGTTTCCAGTTTTTTAATACTACATATGATTCTGCTATGGACATTTGTATACTGATCTTTGTATGGACATATGCTTTCATTTTCCTGAATAAATACCTACAAGTAAAATGACTAGGTCATTTGGTGGAAGTATATTTTTTAAAACTGCCAAGCTGTTTTCCAAAGTGCCGTATTATACCATATTCTCAAAAGCACTGTGTGAAAGTTCCAGTTTCTATAATTTATCTTCCAACACTTGACATTGACAATCTTTTCCATTTGATAACATTACAATACATGTGTAGTCATATTTCCATCTGGTTGTGATTCGCATTTCTCTAATGACTAATGAGGTCATCTTTTCATATGCTTATTTGCCACTCAGATATCACTTTTGGTCAAGTATCTGTTCAAATCTTTTACCCATTTCCTTTAATTATTTTCTTTTCTTATAGAGACTCTATTTTTTGTTTAAAATATTTAAATTTTGGGACAATGACAAACTTATACAATGCTTTGTAGAAGTATACAAAGACACAGTTGTCCTCACCCATTGAAGAATAGTCAACCTGATGCTGCATCACCTCTTAATACATTAATATGTATTTCCTGCAGAAGAGATTATCACACATAACCACAGCACATCCATCAAATCCAGGAAATTAACATTTGTGCATTATTACCGTCTACTATTCAGAACTTACCCAAGTAAGTTTGGCCAATTATTCCAATAATGTCTTATAAAGCATAAAAATTCAGTTCAGAATCACGTATAGCCAGGTATTATGTAATAGCCATGTATTTTTAGTTTCCTTAAATCTACAACATTTCTTCATTCTTTTTCAGCCTTTTAGGACTTTAAAACTTTTAAAGAAACCAGATCATTCATTTTGTAGAATGTCCTTCAGTTTAGGTTTCAATCCTGGTTGCATGTTTTTGACAAGAATATCACAAAAATAATGGTGAACTTTCATGTTTGTACATTATTTTTTTTTCAAAACACCTTTATTGAGGTATAACTGACAAACAATAAACTGCTCATACTTAAAGTATTCAGTAAGCTTTAACCTATGTATACATTGTTACCAAAATCACGATAATAAACACACCCTTAACTTTCCCAAAATGATCCTGGAGCCCTTTGTTATACCTCTGCTTCAGGCCTTCTCTCCCAACCTCAGACAACAAATGATCTGCTGTCACTGTATATTTGTTTGCATTTTCTATATAAATGAAATTATATAGTATGCACTATTCTTTGTCTGAATTCTTTCACTTGACATACTTATTTTGAGATTCATTCATGTTGTAACGTGTGTCAACATTTATTCCTCTTTATTTATAAGAGAATATTCTATTGCATGGTATAACACAGTTGTTGGCACCTGTTGATGGACATTTGGGTGGTTTCCACATTTTTACTATTAAAATAAAGCTGCTATGAACATTCATGCATAAGATTTTGTGTGGACATATGCTTTTATTTTTCCTGGGAAAATACCTTGGCATGAAATAGATGAATCATATGGTAAGTGTATGTTTTACATTTTAAGAAATTGCCAAATATTTTTCCAAAGTAGTTGTGCCATTTTACACCACCAGCTGGGTGAGAGATCCAGTTTCTCCACTTCTTCACCAGCACTTGGGAGGGTCAGACTTTTAAATTTTAGCCATTCTAAAAGGTGAGCAGTGGATCCCTTCATGGTTCAGTTTGCATTTCCACAATGACTAACAGTGTTGAGAATTTTTCTGTGTTTATTTGTCATCCATATATCATGAGCTGTTAACAAATCACTCAAAATATGCTTGTTAGCAAAATTTTAATGTTATATTCATAATGAAAATCTGTGGTTCTGTATGACAATTCCCTAGGGCTTTTTTTTCTTTAGAGGTCAGGGGAGTTCAAAATGTGTTTTTTTTTTTAATTCCTTATCATCAGTGGTACATGCCTCTGCACTGAATAGTTGAAAACCTAGTGCCCCTTTCTGTTGGAGCTCTTCAAAATTACAATTATTAAAATACAAAAAGACCTAGGTATCTCCCTCAAAGTATTTTTTATGGATGCTATAATTTGTTGCTATTTATTTATTTACTTCAGTATTCAAAGCTTATGATTAAAAGCAGAGTATGGTTATCAGACATACAAAAGTAAAGACATTTCCCACATATTCTGTTGGCTTTCTTTCTCAAATAGCAGTTTTTTTTTTTTTTTTTCAGTCAAGGCTATCTTAATGTCCTCAGAGGCATTGAATTTCATGATGCTACGTGCTAGGAGGTGATTCTGGAAATAAAATATCTAACCAATGTTTTAGGTACTTTGGGATACAAAAATATGAACAAACCTGTTTCCTCTTTCTCTTTTGCACACAGCTAAACTACAATCCCAATTGCCCTTTGTAGTTGGGAATGGTCAGGTGATTAGATTAAGTTTTGGCCAATTGAATAAAAATAGACATAATATGTGCCTCTTCCAGATCTGCTCATAAAAATTCATCCCATGTGATCCTCAGCATTCTTTTACCTTCCAGGATGATCTTGTTAAAAGCATTAAAAATTATAGGTCAGCAAGATGGAACAAGACTGAGCACCTGAATCATCATTTGGAGGCAAACCACACATGGATCGGGAATACCAATTTGGTAGATTATGTGAATAATTTCCATTGCCTTAAACCACTGAAATTTGGGAACTTGTTTGCACAGCAACTAGAGTTATCCTTACTAATGCAGAAGTCACTAAGGTCAGAAAGATACATCAGTAATAAAGTTTCTACATTTTTCTACTGGTACTTCTTTCTCCATTTTCGGACTTCAGGCTTCAAGCCCCTGATGGAATGCTGAAGCCCACTGAGACAACAGTGCTTAGAGTTTAATTGAAAGGCGTAACTACTGTGCAACAGTCCTTTTAATCAAGATGTTAAAAGGAAATTTTATTAAACTGTGATTGAATATATAAAATTAAGATGTAATGCATTTTAAATATATTAGCTCAAATTGTAAAATATTAAATTAAGATTTAATATATTAAATTAAACACAGATTAAACTAAATTGAAAAAAATGCTTTTAAAATCTCAAATACACCAGAGAAATTATTAACCATTTTATTTAAAAGTGAAAATCTAGCAAGTACCAAGTGATAAAAGGGGGAGTTTTCAAGGGAAACTAGTTGCACTGGGGACATAGCAGTTGCTCCCTGAGGTAAATGAGACTATTGAAAGACTAAAGCTGACATTTGATTCTGGATTAAAGAGAATAAAAGCAAAATGTAATGACACGTTGAATTCCACCAGAGCCCATGAGATACCAGTGGCAGTGCCAAACCTGACTTTGAGCACATGGCTCATCTATTTAGAGTTATTCTCTTTTCCCACACCCAACATAAAAACCCCTTGAAAATGATTTTGTTGTTTGTGCTTATATTTTTGTGAGACAAGCTGGCTCTCTGCTGACACCAACCCTTAAGTCTAGCAGGAAACTTTTCACAGGAGGAAAAGAAAATAGAAAGAATGGTATTTAAAACTAAAAAATGACATTATTGCATTTTTCCTGTTTAACCCTGAAGATAAATAAATGCAAATGTACTTTTTTACTAAACTTAATAAGTGCTGGTGCAACCCTTTAAATAGATGTTGCTTCATCCAATTTTTACAATGGTCCTATAAGAAAATTATTATTTTTACACATGAGGAAATTACAAATCAGAGAGGATAAGACATTTTCCAAGAATAAAGCAGCTAGAAAGTGGTGTAACCTCACCCAAGGCTTTATTTTATTCCAAATTCCATGCTCTTTCCTCTTCCCATTAATGCAACACTGTGTGTGTGTGTCTGTGTGTGTGTGTGTGGTGTCTATGCTGGACTATGACAGTGGTATCTACGCTAGGCTACAACAGTGGTCTATATTATGGCTGAATTACATCTGTGAAGGAAGTAAGAAAATTTTCTCAGAGGGACAAGTCATAATCTGTGCATAATCACAGATGATAATAGTAAATAATAATTATAGCAGTTACCATTTATTAAGCACTAAATGGTGTGAGACACAATGATAAATACTTTGCAATACTTCATTCGATTATCTGAACAATTTATAAAATCAGAGAACAGCATGGGGGAAACTGCTCCCATGCTCAAATTACCTCCACCTGGTCCTTCCCTTGACAATTGGGGATTATTATAATTCAAGGTGAGATTTGGGTGGGGAGACAGAGCCAAATCATATTGGCATCTATCTTATAAAAATGGCTTAAAAGTATTTGTTGAATAAATTAGAAAACCAAATAATTATCAAATGTCACATTTGTACTGAACATATATTCGTGCTAAAAAAAAATGCCTAAAAAATAGAAGACATGGTGTCTATTTCAAGTAGCTGACAATCATCCAATTTGGTAGTAATATAGAATAGTATAAAGACATAGAAATAGATTCGAATTTGAAATTCCACCTTTGCCAATACCAGAATTGAGAAAGTCATAATTTTTTTGGTATATGTCTTCACGGCTTCCCAAAGCCAAAAGGTTAGATTATGTAATAAAAAGCTAACTTCCCACTCTTACAATCTGTCACTGCCCTCAAAGCAAGTCAGTTCGTGATAGCACTATGCGGTTTATATGTGTAAATTACTGGCATTTAGCAAGAATTGGTTTAAAGGATTTGCAAATTACAACAGATTCCGCTTCAGGAAACAGGCTTATGAATCTGTTATTTTTGAATGGTTATAAATAGCAGAAAGGTTGATCTAGGCATTTTACTTTTGTGATTTTATTTCATCTTAAACCCTGAGTTTCAATCTTCTCATCTTTATAATGGAGATTCTGTGAAGAAATAAAAAATCTTAACCAGAAATAATCACATAGTAGATGCTAGGCAAATGTAATTTTCCTTTTCCTTTCTGCCTCCAATTGTTTTCTTGTGCCATCTAAAGACATCTAAAAGTAATCTTTGTCCCTCTAATTCATTACATACAGACTGATGTTCAAAACATTTAACAGCTAATAGAGCATCAAAACTGACCAATCAAAACAGGACCCTGCCTTCTTATCAGACATTCAGCTCCAATCAGTCTTCAGGGGCTGGACAGCTGTGTTCATTCACTTACCTCGCTGTGACTGAGCAATGGTATGGTATGGTAGCAAAGCTTTAATATTCCATCCGAAAGTCCAATTTTAAAATTCAGCATTATCCTTGAGCTTCACACTTTTCTCAACACCAACTTTTACCCTACTTATTTTCATTAGAAAATTGAAAAATAAAAAAAGAATATTTTCTCTTCATTGCAATCATGAAGATTCAGCCCAGCAACAAATACTGATCAAGTGCCTATATTGTACAAAGCAGTATACAACTGACTGCTGGTAGAAATGAGAACAACTGGCAAAAACGAATGCTCAGAATCTGTAGCTTGATTCCACTATAGTAAAATAAGAAATTTCAGCATCTATAAATTATGATAGAAATGTAATTTCATGAAATTTTAGGTAGCGGTCAATGGTTCTCAATAATTTATCAGTATAGATTATTTAAGTTTTGGCCAACAGCTCTAAAATCTGAAGTATGATTCAATTAAATTATTTAAATAAAAATGATTTAGCCATAAAATGATCAAAAACAGTCTTAAACATTGTGGGATATAATCTTCTTGATTGACGGTTGTATGTGTGTGACCCCTCAGGTTTTATTGTCGTCCCACCAAATATTGTTACACAAATATTTAGACCAATTTATCGAGGATATTTTTGTCCTGCTCCTCTATTGAATAACGTAAGACAAAAGTGTTGCTAAAGAAGTTAACAAAAGACCATTGCTGATTATGACACAAAGGCATTTCACATTTCTTAAGGAACGGGATAATAAAGGAAATAAGTTGCTAATTGATCATAACTTGGCAGAAAATTGCTAAGAATACAAAAACTACTTAAGAACAGAGAAAAAAACCTTATTAATGAAATGTCACAAAATATCACAGTTCATTAGTCCTAACTTCCTGATGTCTGCTGAGCTAACTATAGAATTTAAAATAATTTCTTTTATGCATATGTATTTTAAAATACCAAAAAATCTTAATCATCAAATTCACTAAATATGAAAATTAATAATTATTGAAAAATCAATTTCACTATATCTTAAAGCTTCTTACTTGAAGATTATAATGTGCAAAATATCTAAATTCAACCAAATTAATTATTATGAAGCAGCTTTAATTTTCATTCTTGGATTTACTGAACTCAAGAAAGTATTTGGCAACCTGTTTATGAGTTATGTATATTGTAATTAAAGCTGTAAATGTATTAATAAGCACATTTATAAAAATTATAATGGTGTGTGTTTAGAATCTTTGATTTTGTTAACCTTAAAGTTGCAAGAAGAGTAAAAACCTCTTGAAAGTACCATAACTTTATAACTTCATTTTATTCTTTATTTCTTTGTAGTACTTAAGTAATGATTTTCTTGGTCGGTGGTAGCAGGATTTTTCTTATTGCACAAGCTTTCATGTAGATGAGACCCTTTTTATTCCTTAAGTGTCTTATTCTTTTTGAACTATTATAATTCTGAGATAGGCATTAAAATTAAATAAAACAATGGAAATTGTGTGTGGAAATATCGACGTTTGGTCTCACCAACACTATTTTCTTATTTTTGCTTAGAAACAAAGGGAGAATAACGTGTTAGATTCACTTACTTTCTATGTCTCTTTCTAAATCCTGGATCTCTAAGTCATCTGAAATGAAATCAAATAACAAATAACATGGTTTGACTCTGTGTCCCCACTCAAATCTCATCTGGAATTGTAATCCCCATGTGTCAGGGGCGCCTGGTGGGAAGTGATTGCATAATAAGGGCGAATTTCTCCCTTGCTGTTCTAGTGATAGTGGGTAAGCTCTCATGAGATCTGATGGTTTAAAAGTGTGCAGCATTTTCCCTGATTTCTCTCTCTCTCCTTCCACCATGCCTTGTTTCCCCTTCATCTTCTGCCATGATTGTAAGTTTCCTGAGGCCTCCCCAGCCAAGCAGAACTGAGTCAATTAAACCTCTTTTCTTTATAAATTACATAGTCTCTGGTAGTTCCTTATGGCAGTGTGAAAACAGATTAACACAACCAATAAATATTCCTCTAACTATAAAATCAAACTAAAATTCTGATCTTATAAATTATTTTGAATTCTACCCCAGCAATATTATTTTCATTTTAACATATGTTAGAGAACTAAAATACGTCATGAATAATATTTCCCTTGAGGATCTTTCTGCATCTACTTTCCATAATTATTTTCTTGCATTCACCTCTGGGGATCACCTTGCTCATAAGGTTTATAATTGTGAGCATCTTACTTATAAATATTATATTTAAAAGATTTAAGCCCTGTCTGTATCCCTTCTTACACCATGCAAATGTGCATGTATTTGAATATGAATATCACAGTTCGCTAGTTGCTCACTTAACTAAAATATTTCTGTTTAAAACAACATAAAATCATATATTCAGAATTTAAGCCTAGAGTTCTATAACCCAATGTACAATTTAAGTAATAGAAATCAAACTTTTCACTTGGCTTTAATAGGAATGCTATTTTCAGTTGATGGCACAGCATTTGCTTAGCAACAACACTAGCTTCCATTTCATTTTAGAAGACTTGATCTAGTTTGAACATTATGCATGTATTTTGGCTGAAAGAAAATTTATCACAGGTGTATGCCTTCAATTTGCAAGAGTGCTTGCAAAAGCAATCTGTCTGAACTGAGACCGCCATATCAGATAGTGAAGATATCATTAAAATGTTTCCTTTGTGTTATGTTCAGACGAAAATCATTCTACCTACTGAGCATAAGAACTGGAATCTTCAGCAAAAGTTAAAGGGGTTTTCAGGAAAAGAGCCTTCTGATATTCAGGTTTGGCTTGTGGGATTAAGAAAGTAACTGAGGCTCAACTAAATAATAAATTACTAATTCAAATGTCAGGCATCAATGGTCTGAAATAAACAGTGTTTACCAAGAAATTCCAAGGGAGAGGCTGACTTCAGTAGATGTTCAATAAAAAGTTTGTTGAATAAATGGGTAAATAAATACTCAAGGTCACAGGAGACAAAGATTTATTTTCACAGGATATTTGTCACTGCCCTCTTTTCACATCCTCACTGTTGGAACTACACAGCACCTATTGATGGATAGGCTTACCAAGGAGGAGAGAAACCACAGGCTCACAAAGCTCCCAGTTACATACAGGCAGAAGTGCTAAAAATGATCAGAGATTTTTATGTACACCTTTGCACTTTCTTCTTTTGTAAAAGCAAAGGGAAGTTGTTCAATGATTGTCAATGGAATTTTGAGATGCAAAAATTAAAATATTGTGAAAGAATACTGTGAAGTATGCAGAATAAACATTGCCAGCTATCGTCTTGCCCCTTCGAAGTTTGACGTTCGCCATTGAAACCAAAAAAAAAAAAAAAAGAAAAGGTGGAGGCATTGTACATAACTTTGAACAACCAGTTTAGAGATAGCTGACACAGAATTAAAATGAAGAATAACTGCATTTTTAAAAAATAACAGGAGTTTTTTTCACAGTTGGGAATTTGGTGTGGAGTTGAATAATGAATAAGATAATATTTCAGAAAGTGAGTTTGCAAGAAGGTGAAAATAAAAAGATTAGGAAATATTTGTAAATATATGTTTGGTGCATGAAATCTGTACAAGAATGACAAGTAGTACTGGTTGAGTCTATTTTTTAAGTCCAAATTGTTATACATTTTAAAAAGCAGGTATTTTAATTATTTTGACCAAAAAAAAAGCCACATAAAAATTGTTACCAAACACTGTGAAGCAACACTGCGCAAGAGTTTGAGACACAAAGAGAAGAGGAATATATCCGTTGAAACTGAAGAAGGAACTGAGATGACAGAAAAATAATTATTCAAATTGGAGTCTGTCCAGGATACCGAAACTAGAACAAGAGCCATGTGGAACTCATCACATAAAGTTTGGAGAAATTGTATACAGAGGCTTTGTATGGAATAACAGAGTCATATACACATGTATAAGTGCTATGGAACGCTAACACACTTGTGTAATTCCATACAAGGAGGAGGAGATTCTGGAGTCTATTTTGACTCAGAAACTAAATGATAGACTATTATAGTCCCAATCACTATTCAGTAACTAAGAGCCATCTGATAGTGATTCCCACTCATAAAACAAAGCCACTAGATATTTTTTGAGAGACTGAATTTTCTTACTGAATATCAAGTCCTGCCCCAAGCTGATCTCTTCTTGAGTAACCAAGTATACCATATAAGGGGAGGGAAAAGAAAAGGAGAACTAAAATAAAATGTTCTCAAAAAAGCAGCGTTTTTTTTCTATTTTGAATTATTAAGTAAAAAGGAGATATGCCAAAAATAAGATTTGTATATGTTTTTCAATATTTCAACTTATTTAGCAATTTTATGATCACAAAAGTTTTGTAATTCATCATCTTCAGTTTCCAGAAGATCCTTTGATGCATATGGTTCATGTTCTAATGGTCTCATTATAATATCCAGTCTATTAAGCCTCTTTAATATAAGATGGAAGGAAAAATGCTGAGGAATTTGGAGGCAGGCATTCTGAGTTTTCATTCCAGCTTTGCCCACCATAGACATGCAATCTAACCTCTTTGACCTTCAGTTTCATCATGAAGAATATTGGAATAATAATATTTAGCCCCATAGGGTTGTTTTAAAAATAAATCAGCTTACGGCAGGTGCTCAATAAGTGCTATATTGTGTATTCAGTTGGCAAATTGTTATTGGCGATGGGAACAAAAAATAGAAATGCATCATGTTCCTGTCCTTGAGTGAAAAAAACAAACAGACTGGCAATTACAACACAATGTGATAAATTCACCAATGCAGCCTTGCCCCTGGTGCTTAAGGGGCTTGGATTCCATATGGAAAAAAAATTCCCAAAACCTCTTCCCACCATTGAATATTCCACTCTTCCACTTTCTTGTCTAAAGTAGTGAAGTGATCACTGTAGCAATGAGACTATGTAAAAGTCAAATGAGCTAAAGGAAATCATAGCTCCTTTGGAGGCATGAGGACATGGAAAATCTCCATTCCCAAGAAGCTGTGAGATCATGTCTGATTTAAATCCCAATCCTAAACAAACCAGGCCTCACACTGGGTTTCATGTGTAGAATTTCATGTCCTATCCCTGTAATGAGGTGATAAGGCCTGTGTCACAGTAAGTCAGTAGCAGGTGATGGCAATTAACAGGATTGCACTAACCTGGAGATGTGCCAAGCTGTCAAAAAAAGGATTAGAAAGTAAATGAAGTGAACAACCACGAACCAGCAAATAGGGCTTAATGGACAGTACAAGTCAGTGAGGCAAAAATGGGCCAATTTGCTCTCATTGATTTTCACTGCCCATTGAGCTGCATTCCTTTTTTGCTTTCTAATGCATTTATCTTGGCCTAGGCACGTTCTCTGGCTGTCATCCTGAGGACAATTCCATTGACCGCAACAAATCCATGAATGACTGGAGGGGACCAAAGTATGACTTGACCTCCAGAGCTCTCTTTCAGGCATCATGATGCAATGTTGTGATGACTTGGAGAGTCAGAGACAGAAATTCCAATGGGGCCTCATATTAGACCAAGAAAATCATATGGTTGAGGAGACTTTTATGAGAGGAATGTAAGTACAAATAACAGAGTTTCATTCAACTTGTGTGTTCTACTTGCTTTATAAATAACTCACAAAGTAATGAAAACACTCTAACCTGTCATTTTCAATGGTTCTAAGTAATCTCCAATGGAAGCGCCAAATGACTTCTGCTATCCAGAATAACTAAATGTTGGTGACAATTTGTTGTTCACTAATTATGATAAGAGGAAAGCCATGCAGCTATTTAAACTCTAAGAATAAAGAAATTTTAAGTGCCAGCTTAGTTGGGATACTGAGAGTATTTCAGTATTTCAGTATCCCCTGTAATAAACCCTTATTCTCCTCTCTTATATTCATATTATTTTCTCATCTCCTCTTGTCTCCTGGCCATTTTGCTCTTTACTTATTTTTCTTTTGCTGTCTCTTCTCTCTCTCTTCTTCCTCCCTACTGGATGCTTTTTTATTTTTAATTCCCTTACTTTAAATGGAAATGTACTCCAAAGGTAAATAAGCTATCCACTACATTGCAAGCCAATCAGGAAAATTTGCATCTGTACACTGGATTATTCAAGAATTATGTTCACAGTAATTTCCCCATACCCTGCCATTTGTGCTTACTCTCAGAATACAGTGGCTTCTGAGATTTTGAAATTTCATCAGTTGCTTATGGAAGAAAACAATCTCTATCCAAGTTGTAGTGAAACTGGCTTACTTGTGAACCTGAATCAAGTTTCATGTCTTTAACAGACAAGACAGAAAACATGTGTCTACCCATAATAAGTGCTTTTCTTGTGTTAAGAATTAGAAGACTGAGCACAGATAACTGTGATTTGTATTTACCTCAGTATGAATTTACCTGCGAAAGAGGTCACATTTGTACCTTCAGCAATTCAGATTCTTTCATTATTACAGAGAGATTTAGTATCCTCCAATGCTGCTTAAGGAAGCTTCTGAGTTTCTCCAGGATGTGCTGAAAGGTCAGACCTTACTTAGCTGGTCAGAGTTAAGGAGATTCCAACCTGACAAGGAATGGCTGCAGGCCTGAAAAAGTCTTTCTTTTTCAAGCTAATTAACAGGTATTTTTTATAAGTCCAGTAAAATAATTTATTTCTGTAGTCACCTTTGTAAATAATGCCTTATTTGGCACTAGGACACACCAAGAAATGATTAGAGATAGCTAATAAATCTACTATTTGGCCATAAATATGGTATACCTTTGTTTTTTGTTTCATTTTGTTTTAAGCATTTAACTAACAGAGTTCGGTGGACAGGGGTATGGAGAGGACGATCTGGGTAAATCTTGAATGTTACAGGTTGATATGATTTGAATTTGTGTCCCTGCTCAAATCTCATGGGTAATTGTAATCCCCAAAGTTGGAGGAGGCACCTGGTGGGAGGGGATTGAATCATGGGGGCAGATTTCCCCCTTGCTGTTCTCGTGATAGTGAGTGCGTTTTCTTGAGATCTGGTTGTTTAAAATTGTGTGGCACCTTCCCTTTCTCGCTCTTCCTCCTGCTTGGGCCATGTAAGACGTGCGTGCTTCCCCTTCGCCTTCCGCCACGACTGAAAGTTTTCTGAGGCCTTCCCAGCCATGCTTCCTGTACAGAGCCTATTAAACCTTTTTTCTTTATAAATTACCCAGTCTCAGGTATTTCTTTGTAGCAGTGCGAGAACAAACGCATACACACATCATATTGCATTTGGATATTAGTTTTCTCCTCACTTATGCTTTGCCTCCCAGTGGACCACTTTTCTCCCTTCCATAAAGTAGCTTTGCATTCCTTAAATGCACACTGGGAATTACATGGCCGACTGCTATGGTGTTTCTCTGGGGCTGCTGTTACTGCACCCAGTAGAAGAGATACTGGGGACATATCAAACTTCACAAAAGTGTTAACTGCAGCTGCTTAAGCAAGAAAAAAAAAGCTGTCTTAATCTAAGTTATGCATTGCATGGCACGTGCATTTGATGTTTCCTTATATGTTTCCAAAGCAGCATGTGCAAGATATCACACTCAAACTGTCACTATCTGAAACACAGAGCAGCACACAGGCAAACGTTCCAATAAGACTATTGCACATATACGCCCCACCTGAGGCACCTGGAAATAACTAAACTTCTGAACATACTGTAGTTTGTAGTTTTCTTTAACAAAATAGAAAGCTTCTGTATTTAAATCAATTTAATTTTAACTGGGATTAATTTATTCTGGTATGTACTTCTAATTATTTTATATTTCCCTTGGATTACTTCCAATATTCTCTGAATGGTTCTTCAATTCTCTGTTTCCTCCCTATCTCTTATTCATTCTATCAGATTTTCTTCCTAAAAACGCACATTTTTTCCATACATCACTCTTCTACTTAAAAACTGTCAGTGGTTTCTCTATGCCAAAAATAAAGCTCAAATGCCTTAGCTTGACATTTAAAGTTCTCTGCCGTCTGGCCTCAACTTGCTTATGGTTGTTGCCTAGTTCCCTGTACCTCTAAACATAAATCCTCTGTTTCAAAGTGATCTAATTACTGGCTACCCCCTCACTCTATTTCCATGGCCCCCAGTAAAAAATTCCATGAGTTTTCTGAATGCTGATGATCATTCTCCGTGCTTGAAATGACCACGACCCACCTTTCCCTTTCTGTCACCCTTTATTCTGTCAACCTTCCAGATTCAATTTGCTGTGGAAGGATTTCTCCACATCTGCATAGCTTCTGGAATTAATGGAGCCCCCCATCCGGGAAGTGTAGTTCTGGAGAGGAAAACAGGTAAAGTCTAGAAACTAGAAAGAAAGACTGTGTTTTTGTTCCAGCACTCTTACATAGCTATAACATGACCTTGAATGAGTCACTTGACCCTCTGATCCTCCATTTCCTCGTTATTAAAATGAGATTAATAACTGCTTTCCATAATAATTTCAAAGTAATATGTCTAAAAAGGTACTTTGAAAATAATAAAGTTTATTTGAATGTAACATATGATAATTTTCTTCTGAACTAGCATTTCCCATGCAATTATAATATGCCAGGACTATTCTGTCTAATTCATAATAATATTATGGTTGTTAACCACATTTTTTCCATACATCACTCCTCTACTTAAAATCTCTCTCTCTACTGGGCTAGAAATACCTTGAAGGCAGAAAACATGAACTCCATTTTTGAATTCTCACTGTCTAGGATGTAGTTACTACTCATACTCTTGTACATATTTTATAGATAATAGAGCAGAAAGGTTAAGTTAATTGTCTGTGCTAAAACAATGGGCAAGAGGAACTGGGATTCAAACCAAGATAAGTGGACACCAGAGCCTGCTTTTATCACACTACGTAATACTGCCTCTTATGCTATCTTGTAATTAATTATTAGAATGTATTTAGTCTTATACACTTCTAGAGGACAATCACCACTACTCATCTTCTTTGTATATTTTATATGACCTCCACTGTCCAGAATGCTTGTCACACAGTTCATTTCCTCATCTCCTTCAGGTGTTTGCTCAAATGACACCTTCTCCATGAGATTTTCCGACACCTACCCATATTTAAAATTTAAAATACATGAAATTATAACCCTTAGCCTTTCCTGCTTACTTTATCCTCTTTATTTTCTCCATACCACTCATCATTTGACAACATCCATGTTTTACATATTTATTTGTTTTTATTGTCTTGTTCTACTAGAATGTAAGCTCCATGAAGTCATCAATTTTTGTCTGTTTCATTTACTACTGTAACCCCACTGCCTAAAACAGTGCCTTTCACATATTATAAACTCAATAAATATCTGATAATACATTAATAATTCAGCTTAGTATGTGATTGATCAAGTGAAGTGATTTGGGAGTTTTCTCAACTAAAGGCTGCTGACCTTTGTATTCAGTTGTGTAGAATAAGAATACACACAGTATCCACAATTGTGACATTCTCTTTAGATGAATCCTTGGACAATGCCAATTGTATTAAGAGGTGCAATAGGCCGGGCGCAGGGGCTCACGCCTGTAATCCCAGCACTTTTGGAGTTCCAGACAGGTGGATCACAAGGTCAAGAGATAGAGACCATCCTGGCCAACATGGTGAAACCTCGACTCTACAAAAAATACAAAAATTAGCTGGGCGTGGTGGTGGGCGCCTGTAGTCCCAGCTACTTGGGAGGCAAAGGCAGGAGAATCGCTTGAAACCGGGAGGCAGAGGTTGCAGTGAGCCCAGATCATGCCACTGCACTCCAGCCTGGCGACAGAGTGAGACTCCGTCTCAAAAAAAAAAAGAAAAGAGGTGCAGTAAATGCACTGTGATTCAGATAGGCATGTTGGAATTGTGCTTTTCTAAAACTGGAAATGTGTTTCTGTTTTTTTTTTTAATTTATAAATTTATGAATGAGTATTTTATAAGAGAAAAGCATCACTATAGGATAAGCTTCTATATTCTATGAAGATTTTGTCCATCATAATATAAATATATCCATGTTGATCACAGGATAAAATGTAAATTCCTAATCATCAGCTATAAGTCATTTTAGGATGTAGTCTCCACCCGCATGTCTACTTTCACCCCTTATCAGTCCCATTTCAGAGGCAAAATAGCACAGCAGCTATACCACAAACTTTGGAGGCAAGCTACCTGAAATTGCATCCCAGGCTTATCATCAACCTTCTTCAAGCCTCATATTCCTCCAGTAAAATTAAGATAGTTACATTCACTAATTCACAGGGCTGTTATGGGGAGAAATGAAATGATCCACACAAAACACTTAGAAAACTTTCTAACACAAAGTAAGTTTGGGGTTATTGCTATTTTTATTAATGTCATTTTACAATCCAGCCACTTGAAGTTCCCCAGCCTTTCTCAAGCATCTATGTCCCTGAACATCAGGCTTTTCTTCAGGTTAGAGAAAATATTTATCCCTAACTTATCCAACTGGCAAATTTCTTCTTACCTTTGAGGTCTCAACTCAAATGCTGCTTTCTATGAGAAGTCTTTCCTGACTTTGCCATTCAGACTCAGGGATTACCCCTCGAAAGTTCAATATCATATTGTGCATAATTTGATTTTGACAGTTAACATCATGCTTTATTGGTGTGTTTGAAATTCTCTCTACTGGACTAGAAATACCTTGAAGGCAGAAAACAATAATTCCATTTTTGAATTCCCAATGCCTAGCATGTAGTTAACACTCAATGAATATGAATTGACTACATAAATTAATGATTTGAGTTGTTTGTATTTTTATATGTATATTTATTTAGAAATACATGTATTTGTACTCTGCCTAGTTTAAGATTAAATTATTACTTAGATTTTGGGCATAAAATGTGAGCAGTATCCATTTTGGGGAAGAAACATTTTTCCCTCATCATGATGTTTTTCTTCTATGTGAAGAAAGCTCTATTTATGCAAATTATTGGCCCCTCCCCCCCCATTTATTCCTCCTCACCTGTGAGTTCTTAATTAGACTGAAGAGTTTGAAATGAAAACTGATCCTCCTAGGCCAAGCCCCTTCTTCTCTCTTTCAAGAATGGACTACCCACAAAGTGTATGGGTTCTTGGTTGCTATGGTCAGATAGTCAGCTTGGCCATGAAAACCCAGTCCTCATGGTATAAATTGTATCTTGTGCAGAAAATTATTCCCAATTTTGAATTTTGATATCAAGAAGCTGGTTTATCTTTAGATATAATTCACATTGGCAACTGAGAGCAATATTCACAATTAGGCAGATATTTTTTCTTCCAATTGCCTTTCCCTTTGGTCTTATTTCTCAAGTGATTTAGAATTCAGGCATGGAACAATGAGGCTCTTTACTGAACCCTTGAAACTATAAACATCTTTCATAATTTAACTCTGTTTGCACTATGACATAAATGAAAATGTATTACTCAACACTCTTATCGTGTCTACAATATTGCATCCATGTATCTCAAGCAATGTTGGTGGGTATAAGGGTATGTACAAGGAAGATTCTCACTGTGATTATGAAAAAAAAATGAAATAAACCTTTTCAATCTACTATGACACCAAAAGTAACATGATCTTTTTTACCAATAAAAAATCACTCCTCTGAAGCTCAAAAAATTTCTAGGAGAAAGGAAGCAGGAAATTCATTCATCTGACTGGTACTGTCTTAGAATCTTCAGATACTCCAGGCAACCTCTTGCTTACAAACTTCATTTTCACAGATCCTAACATGCCACTTATCTAGCATGAATTTCATATCTATGCATGTTTTATGATTCACTTATTTCACTTTCCATTGAAAATAAGCCTCTAATGAATAAAATGGTTTTTTCCACTTTATTAGGTAAAACATTTAATATAATGAAAAACAATTTTAAGTTGAAGTATCATATTAGGTTCTGTTGATTTGTTAATCAAACATGATGATAGGTGACAGAAGTGGTTTGCATTTGCATTTCATAACAGTTTAATACTATAAAATATAAGAATAAGAAACTAAACAAATTACAGTTATATTCAAATGTATTTTCAGGGAGAGTGGGGAAAATAGTTTCTTATCATTATATAAATTACAGTTCTAAGATTTCACTAAAGAACTATCCCAGAGTTTCAACTTTTATTTGGCAGATTTCATTTTCTTATTCATTTTTATATAGATTTTCTATATTTCAGTCACATTTCAGCTTATTTTATCTGGAAAAATATGAGTCAGTCATAAATGGCACATTATTACTCATTTCTTTAGTCATTTCTTTACATTTAACTAAAATATTTTTTGCTAATGTAGGCTATGGTTTCAAATTTTGACAGACATTCATAAATACTTTATATAAAAATTATATTTTTCTTCTTTAAACCTAGAGGAGGTAATATAATTGATGAAATATTTGTAAATGTAGAGCTTATAACATTATCCAAATATATATTGGATAACTTATCTTTAGAAGACATTGTCCTGCATCTGTGAAATTACATGAGCCATAGGCCAAATGCTTAGCTTTCATGAAATTTTCTCAATACCTTCAAAAACTTTATTAATTCATCCAGTTAACTAAGATACTATAGTGGCCCCTTTATATTAATCAGTATTTTGCCCCAGTATAGATTAATGATATCTGTCCATGATATGTATGTATTAGAAAATCTTTCTAATCAAATGTCTTGAACATCTCTGTCCTGTTCACACTCTTTTTTCTATGTATATTTTTATCTATAAAATATATGTAGCAGCTATTTTGTTGTACTAAAAAAAAAGTTCAGTACAAATCTTATTACACCTACCTTTGCATGCTCAATTTAATGATACTAGAAGTACAACAACAAACATGTGGGAGTCTGAAATTGTTTTAATGTTTAAGGGTGTTATATTAGAAAAGATATGATATAAATGGTATAAACTAATCAACACTTATTAAAATGATATTTAATATTTAACTTACACTTTTCCTGCCTTGGGAGACTTGGTAAGAAACCTGGGAATTTTGAAAAATCTGTACATTTATAACTGGATGAAAAGAAGATGTCATTGAAAGAAACAAGATAATCCTCATTCATTGAAAAGTCTCAACAAATATTTAGCCAAGGGCTTATGATGTACTTCATATTGTATTTTAGGAAATTGACCCCAGATAATTCCTGATTCTTTTTCTATTTTGTAGAAGTGTTTGCACTAAGTTACAATGTTTGAGATTCCATCATTTAGAAATTCACCTAAGTTAAGCCAGAGACGTCTGTATCAAGAATCTTTTGACTTCAAGTTAATGAAATCTTTCTCAAACTCTCTGAGATAAATTGGCACTCACTTTCCATTCCCACTTCTTTCTTAGTGCATTTTCTTCTACAGTAATGACTGAAATGCTAAAAACTACATTTCCCAGACTTCCTTCCACCTTAGCGTCTCTATGAGAAAAAGAGATTCTTCCAATTAGTGGTACTGAAAAGCTGCGGAGAAGATGGAAAGGAGAAAAAAAAATCGATGTGTCTATTAACATTTGCCATTTTTGCTGGCCAGCAAGGTCACGAAGAAGAACTTTTCTGCCTCAGCATTCCACTGTGTCACTGCTAGCGATGTGGGTGTTAGGAGGCAGTCGGATTGTGGCAGAATGAACAGCCTGACTCCACTGTGCAGACTCCAGCTTTGATGATGTCAAAAGAAGATTCTGGAGTAAGAAGCTTCCTGATCCGGATTCCTATTCCTGGATTTGTAGTTTTTGCATTGTGTTGCTGAACACAATTCCTCCCTACGCCACACTTTCCTCCTTACGCCACACTTTCTGATGTACCCAAGGTTATAGCTTCCCTGGCAGGACAATTCTGTAGTGTTCTGGAAGTCAATTCTAGAAGCCCAGTCCTCCAGGATTTCCAATCATTTGGTAAATATTTAATTCACTCTTTTAAATTTTCTTCTGTTTAAAATACCTTGTGATTTTTCTTTCATACAATGAACCCTAATATATTGACATAAACTATACCGAGTTATAAAGAGAATTTACTGGCTAACATAATTGAAACACCCTTGTGTAAATGTGACTCCAGACAGAATGAGTCCAGAAACTCATAGACTTCAACAACATAGCCCAATGCAACTCTCTGCTTTGTCATTTATTATCTTGGCTGAATCCTCAAGTATGGTGGAAGATGGCTGTGGCAGCCCGGCTTCTCACATTCCCAGGCTCCAGTCCTGTGGTGAAGACCAGCTGCCCCTCCTCGGCAATCCCAGCAAAAGCTTCAGTGAATCCTATTGGCTCTGATTAGGTAACATGCCCATCTCTGATGTAGTCATTAAGGCCAAAGCAATTTAAAAGTCCCATTTACCAAATTTGCACACTGTATGTTACTCTTAGAATTGAAGCAGTAAGAATGAACTCTATCCAAAACATAATCTAGGAGAACTGGGACTTCTTCAAGGAAATTTAGGTGCCATTACCACAACAAGAAGCACACGATTCAAAGCCAGACAACAAATGTTGCTTATATTTTCCTTAAAATATAAGCACTTCCTGAAGGATTATAATTTTATCATTTACATATTAGTAAAAATTTATTCAATCAGATTACTTACCTTTCCATTTTGATAAAGAATTGTTAAATAGAAAACATTAATTTTAAAATACCAAATTTCTACTATGATGTAGTCTCTAATCTCTGCCGTTATGAATCTTACAAAGCAATAATAAGGCAATTGCATAATTCATTACAAGTAGAAAAAACAAAGCTACCAGAAGACAAGTAGAGATAAAATGCTATCGACACTCAGAAGAAGGATGAATTATTTCAGTTGGGAAAATTGAGAAAAGCTTCATGGAACTCACAGAGATGAGAAGAGGTCAGTACAGGTAAATGATAAACGGGGAGAGCATAAGAATTTATTGAGAAGTTTATTGAAAGCAGTGTAAGAAAGAATTTTCTAAGAACTGTAATAATCTTTTCATAATTACCTTTTTTCTTTTTTTTTGCAAAGTTCATATAATGATAATGCCAGAGGAATAGGCAGAAAAAGATGTCTTCACAATTGTTGGAGAGGATGATTCTACAGCACTTGTGATTGGATATTGTCTGTTTCGTAATTTATTTTTACTTAATCTTTTTTTTTTTTTTTTGAGACCGAGTTTCACTCTTGTTGCCCAGGCTAGAGCACAATGGTGCAATCTCAGCTCACTGCAACCTCCACCTCCCAAGTTCAAGCAATTCTCCTGCCTCAGCCCCCCTAGTAGCTGGGATTACAGGCATGCACCACCACATCAGGCTAATTTTGTATTTTTAGTAGAGACGGAGTTTCACTATGTTGGTCAGGCTGGTCTCGAACTCCTGACCTCAGATGGTCTGCCCGCCTCAGCCTCCCACAGCGCTGGGATTACAGGCATGAGCCACTACGCCTGGCCTTAACCTTGTTTTAAAAAGGATTTGAGATGGCTGACCTAGCAATTAATTGGATATGCGGGCCAGTGAGGGAGAAAAGATAAAGATGACATTCGATAAATATATGTTGAAAAATGAGTTAATTTACTGAGCCTTGGTGACTCGAAGATGGAAATGTCACTACGAGAGTTGAGCAAGTCAGGAAGGAGTTGATTTGTAGAGATAATGGGAATTGACAGCAAATATATTACAGCAGACACTTCTTGTGTTTTTAACTACATGGATTGGTTGTACCAAAAAAAAAAAAGAAGAGGAAGAAGAAGAAGAAAGAAGACAATTTAGTTGCCTTGTGGCAGTCTTTACAAGCTGTGAAAAATGCCCCCCCTGAACTTCAGTTGTGGTCAGAAAGCGTAGTATCGTGAGTCTCTCCCTAAGTAGACAGACAGCAGGTGGAACTGACTTTGCTTGTGATATCATGGGACTCCCAAATACTCCATCTTCTGCAGCAATTGGAAAATTGCAGCAATTGCAGTAATCGGAACTTTACTTAGAGCTACTTGGAGTCAGGGGGCTTACACTGCATTCTATAAAAAGTATCACAGTATCCTTCCTTTTATCTTCTCTCAAAAGGTGCATGAATGGCCACTTTTCATGACTCTGGCCACCCTAATAATATCACTGCAAAGATTATCCAGAGAGGAGAATTGGACTCCCTATTTCAGAAACAGCTGTTTCAAAATAGTCAAAGCAATGAATTCATATGTTGTTTAAGTGCAATAAATATTTCCAATATTCTTGTAGCATATATGGAAGATAGATATCATCTTGACTCTGCAGATTAAAAACAAATGAGGGAAGGAAAAAGATTTGCTCACACTAGCAGACTACTGTAATTAGAGGCATAAACCAGAACTGGATGCTGCCTAAAATCAATGCTTTCAGCTTTCCCCAGCATACTTCGTGACTGTGCCATTCCCATAAGCAGCAATGGAGAAAAGATATACCCTTCCTGCCCTCCTACAAACAAAACACTTGCTCAACTGTAATTCTGTTTCACCAGCTTAATATAGACATTACATATCTAAACTCAAGTCTATAGGATTCAGACAGTTCTGGCTGTACACTTGGATAGGTGACCTAAGCCTTAGTTTTCTCATCTGCAAAATAGAGACAGCAATAATACTTTCTTCATATCATAACTACTGTTTTCAGAGTACATGCTGGGTTAGGTGTTTAGTACAGACTTTCAACCCCGTATGTCCTCTGAAACCAATACTTTTTATTCTTAACAAGTTCCTTTTGCTGATAAAAGACATTTCTTTTCTCCTGAGAGATAAATTTCCACTTATAAATGCATTGTTTGCTTGAAAATAATTAGTATATTTGCAGTGTTCAGTTGTTCATTTTAAAAGGTGTAGAAACAAGAGACTTTTTAGCCCTATGAAACTATTTCAAGAGTAATCTCTTTAATAAAAACAACACTCTGTGTTTTAAATCTTTCATTATTCACTTGTGTATGGTGAACTGAGATGGATACTGCATCCTCCTTGGATCTGAAGACTAAAATGTGCTCAGCTGCAGACCAATTATGATATTCAAGTATTTTCAAGACTGCTGAATGGGATATGTTGAGCTGTGCTTGTGTGATTAGCTTCATTGATTTCTATAGAAAATGCAGTACTTAACTTCAATCATTATAGTAGTTGAGTAGTTCAAGGAAGTTTACACTTCCTTTGAAATTCACAAGGAACATACAGTACAAAGCCAGCCATGTAAGGGTCACAATGACAATTTACCAAAATTAGAGGTCTCAGGATCATCTATAATCTGTCCATTTGAACAGATTAGACCATGTGATTACTCAGATGTGTGTTTTCAGTCTTACCTTACTTACAGATTACACGGTGCAATTACTTGCAAACAACTATCGATTACTTTAAAAATAAATAGGAACCCATTACATGGGAGTCTCCACTCTTTCTTTTGTTCAGAAATATTTTACTGTCTTCTAGTGGAAATAGTGATGTCTTGTGCCTGGAAAATGATCAGGCATTCACTAAAAAATATGGAGGCTTTTATCACAATGAAAACACTTCACGTGGAAAACTGGTGGTTAATGGATCCTCAATAATAACAGACATAAAACTTGGTGGGCTCTTAATCTATCTTTCCACCTATCCAACTAATTATTTCTATGACACCTATGATCAAAGTTACTTAGTTGAGCTGAGAGAGATATTAGAATTTCAACATAATGCATGATGAAGATTTTCTCCTGTCTTTACTCGGCCGGAGCCATATTGGGATGTATTAGGATTAGTGATACAATGTCTATAACGTACCCTGAGCTCCTTGGAAGGGAGTCACTACAGAATTTGAAAGCTTAAAATGTTATGCTTATCTCACCCACACATCGGAGGGAGTCTTTCCTTGGCAGCTTGGGTGATATTTGGCCTATCAGTTGCTGTCAACAATTTATTTGCCATAATGTTCAAGGCCTGGCAGATATTTCTATTATACAGAAGACCAGCAACTTGAGGACTGTTCTGCAGTCTTCCAGAGTCAAAGCAAAGATCTTCATGAAGATAATAAAAGAAGCAAATTACATGATTCTACTTCTACTTCGACTTCTCACGAAGACCCTTATCTAAAGCAGAATCACATGAAAAATAGCCTGCTCATCCTTTCTGCCAAGTCAAAAATCAGAGGTCCATGATCAATAGTGCAGTGAGTAATTAACAGTTCTGATATATTTTGAAGCACTGTTTTCAAACATTTGCACAGAGCAGTGTTGAAAATGTAGTATTCCTTATTCTCAAAACTCTTCTGATAAAATGTGGATTTAGTTTTGTTATAGTGTCAGCAATACCAGAATTCGAAAGTGAAACTCCCAACTACCTCTTCCATTTTTATCTCTTGTGTTATACATTCTCCACTTTGGTTTTTGTAAGATGATACTTATTAAACGTATCCAAGATATTGTCCTAGCTGCCAGTTGTTGTTTCTTTTGCTTTTTGCCCTGTGAACTCACTGAAAGCTTTTTTTCTTTAAGGACCTGCAGATAATTGAGCTATGCGTGCAAGGATGATGGTTAAATGGCAGGTCAAATGTATAGCCTATGAAAGGGTTGGTAGCTTCCAGTGTTCAATATCACCAGGTCGTTGTTACAGAAGTAGTAAAAAATATTCTTCAAATATAATCCTTTCACACCACTCAAATTGAGTCAGGAAACCTTTCTCAGGCTTTTGCAAGGTTTCATCAAGTAAAATAAACATAATATTATATACATAGCCATTGCATAAGGGTTTAGCTGCATGAACTTTGAAGGCAACATTGTTCCAATGTTCCATTTGAGAATAAAAGAACATACTTGATTGAATACTGCAGATGATGTCCATAGGAACACGTTAAGTTATCTCATTCATTCATTGAATCACTCGTGCACTCAATGAACACATACTTGCATTCAACAAATACATTGCATATTCATCTATTCTGGTAACAAGGAAACTTTTGTTCCAACAGGAGATTGAGTTTTTGTGAAAAGTTTAATTTCTTCTTTTGTCCAATTCTTTAGATCTAGACAATCAGAGCTGACATATAAAAAATTGTAATTTTAATAATTTTTATAATTTTGTAAGTATCTGGCAGTCCCAAATCTTATTTCCATCAAAGGATTGCTTTCAATTTGATTTCACTGGTGCTTTTCTTTTCTTTCTTTTAACTTGTCATCATAATGACATATTGGAAGACTATCGTAAGTGGATACCACTAAAAACACACTATTTCACTTTTGAGTTCACCAGTGTTTTTCAGGTCAAAAAATTATTGGTAGTAGTTTTTAGTAATGTATTCATTGAAATAACAGTAGTCCCCAACCTTTTGGCACCAGGGACTGGTTTCATGGAAGACAGTTTTTCCATGGAAGTTGGGGAACCATTCCACCTCAGATCATCAGGCATTAGATTCTCATAAGGAGCATGCAACCCAGATCCCTCACATGTGCAGTTCAAAACAGGGCTTGGGCTCCAATGAGAATTTAATGCCATCGCTGACCTGCCAGGAGGCAGAGCTCAGGTGGCAATGCTCACCTGCCAGCCACTGCTACTGGTCTGTGGCCCAGAGGTTGGAGACTCCTGCATAGGATATTAAACCCTTTTATGGCTAGTGTTCCATTATTGGAACGCTAAGCATGTGGGAGTTGTCTATAGCCTACTGCTCAAGGTTATTGCCAAGGTCTGATGGCAAAAATTCAAAAAATTGCAACTTCAGGCATAAATGGGTTAACTGTACCCAAGGAGGAGTTAGATGCTTTGGTTTAGGGTCTTGTCCAATCTGCTTTAACTGTTATTTGAATGGTAGAAGTGAACGTTTCTCCAAATTATCTTGTGTCAAGCGACGGCCAAATATCAAACGTCAGAGCATCAATATAAACATACTTCACACATTGACTATGAGAGTAATACCTGTTTTGATATGAGATTATATTTCCAAGTCTGTTGACCTGGGCAATTCTCTTGTGTATAATATCAGGCAATCCTCAAGGTCTACCTCAAAGTGTCCCTCTGTTATTTCTGGAATCTGTGAGAAATGGTCATATACATTGTAAAGTTGCCCATTGCACTCTTAAGTCCCTCAGGTGTCACTTGTAAAGCTGCTTTTTAATCATATTCTGTTCTCTTTGGTCATTAATTGTTACTATCCATTTGTCACAGATGAAAATATTTCCATTGTATAAACTCAAGGAGGTTAAAATATTAGCTTTCTGCCCTCAAAAAAAAATTAATTAAAGAAATGTAATCTAGTTTAATAAAAAAAAATGTCAAGAAGGCATTGCAGAATGTTAGAGGAAAGATTGCTCATGAACTTCAGCTTAGCAATTGGTCTGTTGAATCTATTTGAAAGAAAAATGTGAACAGAGAATTGCCCAGGCTAACAGGCCTGAGTGGGGATGGCTACAAATCCTTATTTTTCTCTGACACACACACACACAAAAAATGGAACTTGATGTTCAGAAAGCATTGCCCTTCCATGAAAAAAATAATTAATAAAAATCATTTTATTATATGCAGCATGCTTTAGGGGCTACAATCTAGGTGAAGTTAAAAGTGAACCTTTTTTTGTTTTGTTTTGGTTTTTTTAATTGTAGAGGACACTAAGAAGCAAAGTTTATCCCATTCTTTAGTCAGGAGGTGAGGCAGAACTCTGGAATGTAAGATTGCTCAAAAACATCTGCACTTGCCAACAGTTAACTTATGGGAATAAAACCTTTTCTGTATAAGTGATTAGATTCTCTGAGCTTCAAAGAGAGTTGCGGCATCTTAATTACATGGAATATAACTACTCCAGTTAAAAACAAAATATTCAAGGTGAAAACACAGTAGAATTAAGCAGTATTATTTCAACCTTGAAACTGAAGCTATATCTTATCACTCTATTGCCCCATAATGGAAAACTGAACTTGAGTTAATCAGTATTCCTGATTACAAATAGGAAAATTGTGGGGATTTTTCAGAACCTTCTTTTCATTGTAAAGGAAATGTCATGACCGTGATTTAGATAGAAATATTTTGCAGAGGATAAAAGGTTTTTAAAATTCTGATAAATACAGGCTAACTTCTGAGATTTATAACTTATTGAACTTTTTATGCATAAAACATTTAGATTAATTCATTTAAATAAATGATTGGATTGTTCTCCTGTCACTGCCTCAGATGTACCTACTTGGTCTTTCTTTTCCATAAAGTACATTTAGTGATTAGCTGAGTACATTTAAATGCAATTTGTCTTGAATAAGAAAAATGTGAAGATAAACTAGCTGTAAACAACTAACTAAATAATGCTATAACAATGCAGAGAAGAGACACAAAGCTGAATAGATGAGAGAGTTGCAAGCATTGAATATGGATTGAGACTGTAGTTCACAGTAAGTGTATCTGCCTATCTTACTTGTTTGTTTCATATTTTTAACTAGGCTGGGGAAAAAAACAAGACTACATGAATACTTTATCATTTTACTGTATACTTGCTTCTGTGTCATTCTAGCCAACCCTGTTGCATGATAATGACAACCCAAGCTCGGAGCAATAGAGACACAGAGTTTATTCACCAATTCAGTACACACCAAGTAAAATGGGGTCCATATAACTAAATGCTAGGTTAATTTTATAGCTTGTATGACCCCAGTGTACACCAGAGTTCTTCCATATTACTCAGAGGCAGAAAACATTCATAGTTCAGGGCAGTTGCAGACCACTCTAGGAATCCCACATCCTAGGAATTCCATGTCAAGGCAAATCATCGCTCTGATTTAACTCAAATAAGTAAAACAAGAAATGAAATCTTTGCTCAAAATAATCATGTTTTCCAAAATTTCTTCAAAATAAGAATTTATTAGGTTTGACCCAGAATGGGACCCATTTCCTCTCTGTGTGCTCCGAGCTACCCATTTCACTGAGAGCTCCAGAAACAAAAAAAACAGAGTATGTCCTGACAGTTTGCACTAAAGGCCATAAGAAAGCCCTGTACTCATAGTTACTCCTGTGGGATTTTTCCTCTTATAACCTCTTATAACAGTCATTCATGTCTTCTGGCTGAATATTCAGCATTTATAAATATCAACATATTTCATCATTTTCAATTGAATTAGAGAAAGATTTACACAAACTGAAGAGAAACTACAGCATGAGAATTACAAGAATAGTGCACTATGTAGCAAAGTTCCTGAGAATTAAAAATAGAATTATTGTAAATCTATGTATGTAGAAGACCAAAGAAAACAGGTTTAAACCAACTCATGACCTGCATTAGCCTTTCGTTTTTACCATTTTTCTCCAGTATATTAATTGTTTCCAAAAGTAAAAATAATTTTTACATATTGGAATAGTGTTGGAAAAGCATTAAGATGTTCCATTCTCTTTTTGTTTATAGACAAAATGCGTAAAGTGCTAAAGCGCTGACAAAGGGATTGGATGGGGCTCAATCCTCTGAATTAGATTCTATTCAAAAGCAGTCTTTTCTTTTGGCAGGAGCCCTACTTACTTCCAAAGACAAAAAGGGTCACACTTTTTTTTCTTCTGGAGATTCTTTACTCCTTTCTGACGTTTTATCCTGTTGTCCCTCTCTGTTGCTGCTATTTTTTGAGTTAGTTATGCAGCTTAATTTGATCATGCTTAGCACAGTGAGAGATCAGACTAATCTTCTGTTCTCCTTTTGGATCATTTACTGCAAAATGTTCTAGGTCTTACGAAATTGCAGGATTCCTCTGTCAACTGCACACATAAAACCATCCTCCATATGTCTTTGTCTTTAAACTCTCTTCTAAATATTTGAGAGTGAAAACACATGGACTGGGAGATCAAATGCTCTCTATGAAATATAATTTCATAGCTATCTGTCATAATTAATTCCAAGTCTTGTGACACAATGTTAAATATACTTTGGATAACTCATAAATCACCTAAAGATATACATATACATATATATACACACACATATATACAGAGAAGAATCTCTTCTATTAAAAAAATCTTTTAAGACTAACAATATAATATTTTTTAATGTTCTGTGTTTTCATCTGTTAGATGACTCAATTTGCTTTGAAAATTTGTTCTGCAATTCTATATAATTGACAAGATATATTCATGTAAGTTGTTTATTTCTCAAAAGCCTGGGTAATTGAGTTTGTTGAATTTTTGTTTTTTATTTGTAGTATGTTTGATGCTTGTGGTGTGTGTGTGTCTGTGTGTGTGTTCTGTCTTCCCAGTGAATATGCATCTTAGAATTCTTGAGAGTTATGTCTATTTGATGTATAACATCATTTTTATGCAGTTTATGCCAGTGTAATTCCTCAAAACCATCACTAACTCAACATAGACCAAGATAAACATAACTTCTTAAGCTGAAATGTTTCAAACTTATTCTGGCCAATTTAAGTAGGGTAGAAAGTTCAGTATTACCATATTTTTAAAACACAAATTTCTTTTATTATGGACTAATACCTATATCACAAAAGAAAAATATGGAGAAGAGATAAGAAATAAAAATAGCTAAAATCCTTTGCTCATCACTGTCGGCATTTTTTGATGTCTTTTTTCCCACCACTGCATTTGAAAGTAGCTTTTCTGGATGTCTTTATTTACAACTATTCTGGGCACATAATGGATAGAAGAGTAATAATGCTCATTTTCATAAGGAAACTCAGGCCTCTCAGCATGAGTTTTGGTGCCCATATGTAAGATGGCACATGACACCATGTTACATGTATTTCCTAGTCTTGCTCTGTTAAGTCATCTTTCTATGCCTTTCCAATTTGCCTAAATTAACAAGCAATTCAACTGGCAGACACTTTAGGGCATGATAGTTATGAGAGAAGACTAACAATGAAGGCTTATGTGTCTCATCCTCCCAGGTAAAGATGTGTATTTTAAAGGAGGTCTTCTAGTGTTAGTGTCTTTTCTAATGCCACCTGGAGCTAGGATTCCCTGCAGAATATCTCTGATCACATTAGCAGTGTTTATTGAACTCCCACAGGGTGTAAAACCCTGTGCTAGGATCCGCACTTACGAGAAATATTCATAGTCCCAGATTTTTCCCAGATGGCAATTTAGTAATAAAATATTGTGTGTAGAAGTCAGTAAAAAGACAAAGGTTGGAAGGGGCAGGCTGTAGTATGAAAAGCTGCAGAATCAAAGTCAAACATACTTGCATTTGAATTCAGCTTTATGACATTGCTACTCTGGGACTATAGGAGGGCTACTGAGATTTTCAGAGACTTGGGTTCCCATGTATGAAAAGCAGAAGCAGCAGCATCATTATCATGATGGATAATACTTATCGAATGATTATCATGTTCCAGGCATGCTCTGTAGTACTTTGCATATTTTAACTCAGTTATTCCTTATAACAAACCTGAGAGGCAAGCATTATCTCCCCATTTACAAATGATAAAATTGAGGCATAGAGGATTAAATAGCTTGCCCAAGGTCACATTGCTAGGAGATGAAGGAGCCAGGATTTGATACTGGGCAGTCTGAATCTAATATCTGAATTTTTAACCACTATTCTACACTGCCTAATGAGACTTTTGTAAGAATTAAATAAAATAATAGATATCCTCTATTAGCAATGTGCAAAGCCATAACTTGTAATAGCCTCTGATTCCCAGATGACCTGAGAAGTTTCTCAAAGAGAAAGGTTTACTTGAAAGTACAACTTGACTTGTGACTTAACAGAGGAAAAGGTAATGAAAAGTTGCTCTATTTTTTTTTTTGAGATGCAAAGAACATTTACTTGAACTTTACTGCACTTCTCTGAGTGTGAAATTCTTCCCTCTCAGAAAACCTTAATTCTTTCCCCAAAAAGGTTCATGTTAGCCTCCAAATTTTCTGCTGAGAGTTTCAAAGGTAAAATCAGAAGTAAGGTCATTCCTTAGAAATAGTATAGCTGTCATACCTGGATTTCAACACAGATTTCAGAATACAGAGTTTTCTACAAAATATACAATGACAAAAGTTATTATGCCCTTTTTAAGTTTATATTCATCAGAAATGTTTACTCATTCAATAAATGCATTTTCATTAAGGCAATCAGCATAAGAATCTACTGTATATCAGACACAGTACAAGACCCTGAGATTACAAAGGCAATTTGTTTGCATTGCATCACCATTGGTAGATTCACAGTTCTTACTACTTTGTATCCTCTTCCTTCTTAGTGCAACATTACCCCAGTTCAGTGTGGGGAAACCAAGTCCTACTCCCAACTTAGTGTATGATCTTTGGCAGAATCTGGTATCACCTCCTGGGTTCAATTACATGGAGTCCTGGCCAAAATAGTTTGTTCAACTACTCTTATCCAATCTGATGGAACCTTGAGAGTTTGCTGAGAATTTTGAGACAAAGACATTGGTTCTTCACACTCAGCAGCATCATGTGACTATGAAGTCCTTGGAGCTTCCAGCAGACATATTTCCATCTTGAGGACAGCTAGTCTTAAGGTGAAGCGAACCCCACAGATGCCGGAGTGTTCAGATGGGAAAAAATTACAATAAAAACAGGTTCTTGATGCTATCATTAAATTGCTGTATTAAGCCACCCCTGAAATTTGACTCCTCCAGTTGTTTCAGTTATATGTGAACCAATAAATTCCCTTTATTAGTTAAGCCAATTGAATGTGGATTTTATGTTCTTAGAAGTAACAGACTTGTGATTATTATAAATTCCTAGAGTCAATACAATCTAAAGTTCTATTTTTCACAACCCTGACAATCATAGCCCTGAGATGCACTAGTAAAATGAATTGCCTCTCGTACCAAGTGTACCTGGCATACATTTTGAGCTCCCTGGATCTTACAGGTACTCAGCTACAGAGCCACAAAGGATCAAATAGTTTGTTGATTTGCCAAAGTTTTTAGCTTGTTTTGTTTTGTTTTGTTTGGTGTGATTGCCTAAAAGAAATCCAACAATTGGACAAATATCAGAGCATCTTTATAACTTGTTGCAATTGTTCAAACATAGCCATGAGATGCACTAGCAAAATGAGTTGCCCTTAGTACCAAGTGTATCTGGCATACATTTTGAGCTCCCTGGATCTTACTGGTACTCAGCTACTGAGCCACAAAGGATTAAATCGTTTGTTGATTTGCCAAAGTTTTCAGCTTGTTTTGTTTTGTTTGGTTTGGTTTGGTGTGATTGTCTAAAAGAAATCCAACAATATGACAAATATCAGAGCATCTTTATAACTTGTTGCAACGGTTCAACCAGATTTAGCACTTTTGATAACCAGTGACTGAATAATAAGAAATTCCTGGACTAATGTCTTTGAAAATATCTTTAAAGACATTGCACTAAATCTAATATTGTCAAAATGACCTATAAAACACTGCATAAATTAGGAAGAATGGTAAACATAGAGGTGCAAACAGGTATTATTTATTATTTTTTCCATCTTCTTTAAATTTTCTAATTTGCTCTACCCCACCCAACTAAACATACCGCTCGTCTCCAAATATGCCAGGCACATTCCCACCTCTGAGCTTTTGTGTTGGCTTTTGCTTCTATCTAGTAAAAATTAGGTTGATATTCTCTCAGTTTGTTTCTCTGAAAATCAACATAATTCTCTTCTTTACCTTCCTAAAGTCTTTATTCAAATATCTCTTTTCTATGAAGTTTTCCCTGCCCACTCCACTTAAAATTATAAATACTTCCCTACAAACCAGCAATTTCTACCCCTTTCCTGCCTTGTATTCTCTGTAGCACTTATCACCATTTAACATCCTAGGTGCTATATTTTTTGTTTCCTGACTGTCTCCATCACTAGAATGTACCCTTCATGAGGGCAGGTTTTTGTCTAATTTCTACAAGAGTCCCTGACACTCTTTAGCTAATAAATACATGTTTGCTAAACAGAGGAGTCTGACCTTTTACCAAAGTAAAATTATATTGGTATTCCCAGATGTCACATTCAAGGAAGTCTCTAAGAAGAGAAACAATTAAGGTAGATATAATTACAAATGAGAAAAGATGAAAATATGTAAGGCTGTGAGGGGTTATGATTAAAAAATAAAACACTAAGGAAATACACCTTGATGTTTGGAAAAAAATAACATGCGTTATTTGGTGTGGATAAGAAATCAAGACTTTAGACAGCAGAGTTTAACATTGTGAAGAAGTGTCTGAAAGGTGTAATTCCTTTGTGAATAGAGAATAGTTTAAGGGGAGAGAGCCTGAAAATTTGCATCTGCCTTAAACCTTTCCAATGGTGAGCCAGGAGACTTCAAGGAGAAAAATTGCATACCACCTACTCCGTAGATGGCTCAGAGGAGAAGTGACATTGGATTAGCCCCAGTCTTAAAAATAAAATTACAGGACAAGATTCAAAGGGAAGTTTCCAATTCCTATCTTCAGAAAAGAGTCATGAACCATCAACAAGGGAATAAGACTGTAAGAACTTTGTAAGCATCTGTAACTTTCATCACTTTCCCACGTTTATTATTTTTATCTCTTCAGTATTTTCCCCAAAGGAATTAGCAGTGAAACCCTTAAAACAAAAGAGGTCTGTGCGATTCTGTCAGAGGTAGGTAAATAAAAGGTCAAACTGGCAAGACTTCACAAGCTTCTGCCTTCCTTTCTGGTGGATAATGAAACCCCAAAAGATAGAATGGGCGGCAGTGGCTATCAAAAAGAGAGGAAAACTGAACTGACTGAGTCTTGCCAGCCTACAGTGAGAAAGAAGTGAAGAAGAATCCAGTACAAGACGGGCCCTGTGGCTGGGTTGCAGAAATGCCTTCCAGCTTCCCAAAATTTAGAAATTTACCTCCTCTAAAATATAAAGAGTTCATGTACAAGTGGGTTCAAAAACAGTTTTAAATACATTTGTGGTGCAACTATTTTAAAATGGATGTTTTAATCAAATGAGAGATGCTTGGGATTCCTTTGGAATGTGATGTTATGCAAAGCATTTTTAAAAGCTTCAAAATATATCTAGGTGAGCGTCAGAGGCCAAATCATAGACTGGCTAGATGATTAACCAGTTTGACTTATCATGGCACATATGACCTTCTAAGATTATGTTGAATAACTGCTTTTAAATGAATGTGCCATGGAAATCTAGGCTAGTATATCCCTTGGTAGTAGAAACTGTTTCTAAATAGGGCAAAATATCAAATGCATTTGATAATGAACCAAAATTCTACAGCTTGCCTCTGAAAATGTTCAAAAGGATGTGACACATTAAAACGTCTACAATGTTATCACTACATCTTGCCAAATATACTGAGTGTGTTAATGATGATACATCCCTACATAATACTGATAGAACAATGGTTCTCAATTTGGAGCAACTTTACCTTCTTGGGGATACTTGGCAATGTCTGGAACATTTTGTCTTTCAAGACTGGAGCAGGTGTTACTAGAATCTAGAGAGTAGAGGCCAGGTTGTGCTGCTAAACATCCTACAATTGCACAAAAATGTACAATGTTGTGGGAGTAGTCTCCACAACAAAGAAATATGAAATTCGAAATGTCAATAGTGCTAAGCTGGGTACGGTGGCATGCATCTCTAGTCCCACCACTCTGGAGGCTGAAGTGGGAGGTTCGCTTAAACTCGCTTGAGCCCAGGAGTTTAAGTCCAACCTGGGCAATACAGTGAAGCCCCATCTTTTATATAAAAAAATGTCAATAGTGCAATAGTGCTGCAGTTGAGAAACACTGCTCATAAAACATTAGGCAGTGAACTTGGCAAAAAGAGGTCAAAACAAAACAAAAATCCTACGTATAAATGTTATGTTTCTATTTTAATTTTTATTGTAATTTTTACCATCTAGAGTATTTTTCATAGGATCACACCAGGAAAAGAATGCAGTTGCTGTCAACCTGTGACCTAATATTTAACAATTGTACTGGACTTAAGCATATGATACACCTCAAAAACACCATAACTACATTTTCATTTTTCTCCCCATTAATAGACAAATGATTCCGATTCACTTGATAGCATTCAATTGTGGTCTATCTCTTGGCATTCATATTATGATAACACACTGTAGATGACCAAGAGTCTGTAGGTCAAAACGTTGCTCTCCTGTAAGCTTATCAGCAAAGAATTTTGTCTACTGACTTCTTAGATGAAAAGTATCCCCCTCCCCACTCCAAAAAAAGACAGATAGCAAGAAGTAAAATGAATAAGCAAGGCCTCACTCGGACCTGGTTCTTCGTTTTGGAATAAGTCTTCCATAAAGTGATGAGATGTCCCGTATGGCCAGCCAGACACATTCCTTGAATGATGAGACAGGTCTCCAACAATAGTGAAGTGTTCTATCAATCCCTGAGTGATGTTACCATGTACACATGCAAACATTCCATCCCCAGGAGAGGATTTCTGGTAAAACAATTTGGCCCACTCTCCCAATTTAAACAACTGCAGATACATTCCAATGTGTCATTTTCAGTAAAGACAGGTGGCCTGCTGGTTCTTCATACTGGAACTCTACTCTGTGCTGTGAATGATATGTAAGCTGCAATTTAACCATACATGTGTATAAAGTATTTGTGATGACATAAATCAGAGGCTCTTCAACTGGCTTTACATCAAGCATTCCTATTCCCTGCACATTTCATAGAGTGATAAGGTAGCACCTCTTTTTTTCCCTAGAGTATCAAGTATTGAAATATGAGTCAGCTACTGGCAAGAACGTTATGAACTTCCTCACTAGCAACTGAATTAAGTGGCAGCATTAACACACAGATAAGCTATCCTGTCTTCCATTCCAAGCCTGAATGATTCTTTTAATGTTTGTCATTTAATGTGGCACCACTTGTGCACCCATTGTCATCTTCTTGCAGTAATAATTCTATGCTAGTGGAAAGCTTCTAGAAATCCAAACAGCAGTAGTCAATGTATAGAGGAGTTGTGTAAGAGGCATTCAAAATGTATAGTTCTGTAGTTGTGTGGTATCCTCACTTCTGGATATTAAAAAGCTATTGGTGCAAAGTTCTCTTCAGTGTAGTTTATTTTATTTTATTTTATTTTATTTTATTTTATTTTATTTTATTTATTTTTGGGACAGGCTCTCACTCTGTTGCCCAGGCTGGAGTGCAGTGGTGCACTCTCGACTCACTGCAACCTCTGCCTCCCGGGCTCAAGTGATTCTCCTGCTTCAACCTCCCAAGTACCTGGGACTATAGGCACACACCACTACACCCAGTTAATTCTTGTACATTTTGTACGGATGGGTTTTGCCGTTTTGCCCAGGCTGGTCTTGAACTCCTGGACACAAGGGATCTGCCCACTTTGGCTTCCCAAAGTGCTGGGATTACAAGCGTGAGCCACCATGCCGAGCCAAGGTTAATTTTAAATTAATCTTGCCAGTAGATAAAGATGAAATACTTACTAGTCTATACAACCCAAAAAGAATTAAAATTTTATGGCCTTGACAGTGGCTTGATTATAAAAAGCTTTTTGCTGAAGCAAATATAACAAGATTCCAAGAGAGAGGCTTTGCTTCCAGGACCCATCTCCTGAGATGAACAGTTATTTGCAAGCTTATATGTTTGTGATAGCAGAGGACTGGCATCAAAATAAATGGAATTAAAAAAAATAAATTTTGTTCCAATTTTAAAGAAAATTCCAGTCCCTTCAGATTCTTCCCACCATTATATGTTCACATTTATGCTTGAGCTCTCTGACCTGCATTCTATTAGGCTGGTGCAAATGTAATTGCAGTTTTTGCACTGTTTGAATTTGACGTTTGATATTGGAATACAATTTTAAACAAATGTGGTTACATTATGCATCATTTTAATGGACATTTCTCACTTTATGTTTTTCTGCTAATGACTTATTACTTGCTGTTTATATTATGTTTATTTTAGACCACGGGAATGATGTTAGACAAAAAGCAAACTCCAGCAATTTTCTTATTCAAGTTCAAAATGGGTCGTAAAGCAGTGGAGGCAACTTGCAACATCAACAGCACATATGGGTTAGGAGCTGCTAATGAATGTACAGTGCAGTGCTGGTTCAAGAAGTTTTGCAAAGAAGAAGAGAGCCTTGAAGATAAGGGACATAGCAGCCGGCCATCGGATGCTGACAACGACCAATAGAGAGCATTCATTGAAGCTGATCCTCTTACAACTACACATGAAGTGGCCAAAGACCACTGTACCATCGTTCAGCATTTGAAGCAAATTGGAAAGGTGAAAAAACTCTATAAGTGGGTGCCTCATGAGTTGACCAACCATAAATCAAAATAATCATCGTTTTGAAGTGTTGTTTTCTCTTAAGAAGACACAACAACAATGAACCATTTCTCAATCGGATTGTGACATGGGACAAAAAGTGGATTCTTATACGACAACCAGCAACGACCAGCTCAGTGGCTGGACCAAAAAGAAGCTTCAAAGCACTTTCCAAAGCCAAACTTGCACCAAAATAAAAGGCCACTGGTCTGCTGCCAGTCTGATCCGCTAAAGCTTTCTGACTTCCAGTAAAACCATCACATCTGAGAAGTATGCTCAGCAAATCGATGCGATGCACCTAAAACTGCAACACCTTCAGCCAGCCTTGGTCAACAGACAGGGCCCAATTCTTCTCCAACAAAGCCCAGCTGCATGTCACACAACAAATGCTTCAAAAGTTGAACAAACTGGGCTATGAAGTTTGGCCTCATCTGCCGTATTGACCTGACCTCTCGCCAACAGACTACCACTTCTTCAAGCATTTCGACAACTTTTTGCAGGGAAAATGCTTCCACAACCAGTAGCATGCAAAAAATGCTTTCCAAGAGTTCATCGAATCCAGAAACACAAGAGTTTTATGCTACAGGAATAAACAAACTTATTTCTCATTGGCAAAAATATGTTGATTGTAATAGTTCCTATTTTGATTAATAAAGATGTCCTTGAGCCTAGTTATAATGGTTTAAAATTCACGGTCTAAAACCGCAACTACTTTTGCACTAGCCTAATAACCTTTAGGAAATATCTAGAGGTTCTTACAGGATGTCAGTTCTATATGGACTGCTTTGTATGAACTCTCAATATAAACTTTGGGGATTGTAATAAAGAATCCTACTCAAAACATGTAATTTTCATGAACAGCTTATCAAGAAGTCAATCAGGGAGGGGGATATAAATATGTTTTTCTAAATTATTGCTATGAGCCATGCTGTATTAAATTTTGAAGCTTCAACCCTTAAAAAGGGGAAGATATTCCCCAAATCTCTGGGCACTCTAACAATTATAACTCCATTTGAGCTGATTTAAAACTTTGGTCATATATCTGTTTCACAGATCTCTTCTTCTTCCAACAGAGGCTGAGCTTCTGGGCTTGAGGAGTAAGAGTGGAGATAGACACATTCTTTGTACTTTACATGCCTCTTCCCACCTCCATTTGTGATGCTGGGTTAGGGAAAAGAGACAAGGGAGAGAGGACAAGCATCTTGGTATATAGAAGAGCAGAATGTTGCTATTTCTTTGGCCAGTGTTGACTAGCAATATCTTCTTTGCCATAACTGTCCCTATAACTGACTCTCACAGGTTACAAGTGTGTCTTTTAGGCAGCCTGGTACAGCTTCCTCAGTACTGAACCCTGACTCAGCTTTGAGTTCAAAATTTCAGCTCCAGAATAAAAGCTAGTGGGCTGTCTACACCCAGCATGGGAGGTAGCCTGCCTTAGGTGGAGGAACAGCAAAGCAGCCTTAGCTAGGTTACTGTCTGCGATGCCCTAGACTAAAAGGGAATTCAAGTGCCAGTGCCCTTGCCATGTCAGACAGGGTTTGGTCTGGAATGAGAGAGTACCTAGCACCTTTTCTTTTCAGCTTTGACTCTAACCTAGGTACAAGAGTCAACATTCTCTAAAATTTAAGTAGAAAAATGCAGAAGACACTGCGTAAAGCTGCATCAAGTTGCCTGGGATGCTCCAGTTTACTTTCTGTGAGACCTTGACTAAGTCACTTAACATTTCTGAGCCTAGGTTTCCTCAATTGCAGAATGGGATAATGAGAGTCCCAACTTCAAGATTAGCTTATCTATATGGCTATGTCAGCTATATGAATTTTTAAAATTATCTTTTAAAATGTAGATATCTGTTTACGTGTTAAGACTGAAACATCAGCAACATTTTTTAAAAGAGAAAAGTTTTCTTTATTTCAGAAATGATTTCACATCTAGATATTTTCTACCAAAGCTATTTGTTCCTCTCTGAATGCCTTTCTAGTAGGCTCTTTAAAATACTTCTCCTTTTCTTGGAAAAATTATAGTTTTGAAGATGATGTAAGGACATCAACATTTTCTATATCTGTTAGTCTCAAATTTTACTGTACCTACGTATTACTCATAATTGTATTAAAATAAATTTTGCAAGGCAGAACCCTCAGATATCTGACTTAATAGAACTATGGTGGGGTCCAGGAATGAACATTTTTACCCAACACTCTCTGCTTCCCAAGAAATCTGACATAGGTGATCCACAGACCACACATAGAGAAACATTGTTTTAAGATGAATGTGAAAATCTTTTGCAATGACCAATTCCTGGGACTGTTTGCAGCTATGTGCACTGTAGCTTACAAGGAATGCCTTACACTAGACAAACAGAAAAAACACAAGGACAATTTGTCTAACTTTAAGTTTTGATTTGAGCATTTATTCTATACTTACAGAAATTAAGTTTTATTTTGAAATAACTATAGTATTGTATACTTTTTATGCATGGGTGACTCTATTACCAAAAAAATTGCTTTTTAGAAGCATGGAAGAGGAAACTGACCTTGAAAGAATGCAGCACAGAATTATAACTATATCTATGGGGGAAATGGCAAATCTCTATTTTTGTTGCACAAATAATGAATGTAATAAAAGAAGCAAAGTCTAAAAAAGCAAGTGATTTTTCCTAAGCAATCTCTTTCTTAGAATTTTCATTACATTTTACTTCTTTATATAAAAGAAGATGGCATAGTTAAAATCATGTAATAACAGGTGCTATGATAAGTATTTGCCTGAAAATATTTTAGACCCCTGATTTAAATTTGCAAGTTTCTTCCTCTGTCTCTGGCTACTGTTCTCTTATTCAGAGCATTTTCCTTATTACCAAGAGCTTCTGGAAAAATTTCTTTAGCCTTTTGATGCAAATGATTTATTTTTCTTTTTGCTCCTACCCCACCCTTCACTGTCACCCACAGCATTGTCATTCCCCAACAGGTGCAAAGAATGCAATATCCCTGCTTTCATGCAAGAAATATATACGAATAGTAAGTGGCAATAAACACACCAGTGATCATAATATTGGAATTTTTAAATAAAATGATAGATCTAACCACTTTTTATGCAGCAAAGGAATGATACCACAAATGAGTAGGCACTTTTTTAAAAAAGTAAACATCTCCTGTCTCTAATTCAGGAGAGATCACTTCATCATCTGGACTCCTCTGTAGGGGACAAATGTGTAAGTGAAATTTTGTTGGAGGAATCTTCTTTGCTTATTCGGGTGCCTGCGACAATCCATGATTTTGCAACGAGGCTTGTTCTCATTTAAATTTCTCATTTTAGATCTAAACTAGAAAAATTTTGCTGTCTAGACTCAGTATGAATTCCCATAGTACCTCAAATCTGTATTAGGGGCATTATATAAAAGACAAGTTTGTTCTCATGTCTCTTCATGTACAAAGCATAACTCGGTCCTATAGTGAGCTGATCGCATTCAGACAACCATGTGTGAACCTTATGTTATTCTGCCCTTTTCCAATATTTAAAAACTGATATCTATCTTTTTAGGAGGATAAGTGTTTTCCTAAGTCGAAAAAATTTAGTTCAGGCTTGGCCTGCATTAACTCTATTGAATTCTTCAAATGCATACCAGGTTAATGAAGGCTAAACCACGGTGGGCTAAATTTTTTGATAAATATCGAAGTTTTCTTTGATCCTGATAACCCACAAATGTTCAGCATGAGTGAGTTTTCACGGTCAGCATGCAGTGGTTTTGATATTTAACTTAAGCTCTAGCCCAATATGGTTTATTTTACTTATGTGTATGGTATGCTTAGAACTAAGGAGCAGGAAAAATTAGAAACAGCACAGGGGTACATGACATATAAGGCACTTTTCCCCATTTGGCTAAGAGTCTGCATCATTTACTTGTGGCTTCAAGGGCTCTCTCTTTGTGTGTGAGTTTGTTTGAAGTAAAACAAACAAAAGCTTAGGGAATGCTTCTTTGCTTTATTTGACCAGCCCCTAGCTGCTTTCTTATATGAATTCAGGTCTCCTTTTCCCATCATGACAAAGCCTCTGACCCTGAACAGAGGCTAGGTGTCTTTCCATCACCTGGCAACAGGAGGTCTGAGAAGGATGAAATAACAATTAAGTAACAGCAAGATCAAGAAAAACGGTGCTTTCAAGGATAGACAACAATCTTCATAAAATGCACTGTAGACTCAAAGTTCTTCAATTTTCCATGAGTCAGATAAGTCGTATCTCCAACTTGTAGGATTCAATAAAAGTTAGGATTCAAATGGAAAGAGAGAAGTGTCTATACAAATTACGTGTAACATATATGCAACTTACTTTGTGATTCCATTTAGATGCCCTAAGAAATGAGGATCACGGTTACCTTGTGGGGATAGTGGGTGGAGAGGAGATTGGGAGGTGGGGGGCTTCCAAGGTATTGATCATCTTGTTTTTCTTGATCTTGCTGTTACTTACACAGATGTATTCTCTTTTTGAAATGTGTTTAATCTGTACATTAATGTATTAATGTATGTAGCCCAGGATTCATCAACCAGCCCTAGGGACATTTTGGATTACATGATTCTTTGTTATGGGCATTTTCCTGTGCATTGTAGGATGTTCAGACATATTCCTGACCTCTACCCACTAGTTGTCAGACGTATCTCTCCTCTCTAGTTATAATAATCAAAAATGTCTCCCAAATTGCTAAATGTCTCCAGGAAACAAAATCTCCTGAGAACCTCTAAAGTAACCTACCATTGTTAAAGACTATAAGTCAGATGTCTAGAGGAAATAATTCTTTAAGATAGGATTATTGCATCATAACAATGAGTAATATTACCAGACTTGGAGAAAATTATGTGGGCTGGCATTACTTGAAATTCACACTGTCTTCAAAATCATTAAAGTTTATTATAATTTGGATACACCATATTTCCCACTGCTTAACTTTCATGTGTAGCTTCTATAAATCAAACACTGCCAACTCAGAAATGCTTTTGACAACTAATTGATGGATTAATCTCAGTTTTGAGCAGAATAATTGGCAAGAAAAGGGAACCCATTATAGGGCTACATTATTTATATAAAAAAGGGGGCTCAGAATTACCTGCAAGACAAATATATGAGACTATTCTCAGTCCTAACAACAAAACCTGACTTTACAAATGGCTGTTGAGGCAGACAGGTAAGTAATTGAAAGGAATGGAAGTTGCCAGGTCTCTAGGCATGAATAACTACTAATGTAAGTTCAGATTTTTCACAACTGATAAAATTAGTAGTATCTGAGTTATTACAGAGACAAGACAAACAAGAAACCATAAGATAAAGTACTGTGGATAAAGAGTCAAACAAAAAGATGTTTAAAAAATGAACATTCACATTCTAGGCAAACACTTTAAAAGGCACCAGATACACAAATACCAGCAAATCCTGATAACTCTTTCTAGCAGGACAAAATGCTTTCTGTTTAAAGGGCATCCAACGTGTTTTTGTTTGGCTTTTGTTTTGGTTTTGGTTTTTTTGCTACGTGTATTTTTTCACAATGACTTATGACTTGAAAAGAAAAATAATGCCATGTGATTCAATGTTTTACCAAGAACTGTTTATCAGTGTTTCATTCTGTGCACTCAGAGCATAAACACTTTCTTTTTTCCTGAAGCCAGATTTGGATCACTCACTTGAGCTGGGCCTGGGGGAGAAACATAGCGTGTATGAGGAGCTGATTAATTACCAGAAATCAAATGCCTTGCAGTCCAGAGCTCTGTGTTGAAAGCAAGCACCAGGACTAGAGGAATGGTGAGATCCACATGCAGGCATGGAGAGACAGTAACACCTCGGGGATTAAGTTTCACTGTGGACTGAAACAAAGGATTTAAGAATGATTGTTTATCCTTGACAATGTCACCTGTGCCAATCTTTTTTTAACAAGAGCTTTCAGCATATGACTTTTAAAGTCAAAGAAATCCTGTTAACCTCAATAGTTTGTCATCTTTAAAAAATCATTGCTTTTCCACCCTTTATATACTCCTTGAAACTTAGGCAGTAACTCATAATTAAAGGTTAGAATATGTCTTATTTCAAGCCTTGTACACATAAATAGAATCTTTTGAGGCTATCTCTCTGGAAGGGCTTCTTATTTAAAGTGGTGCATATGTCTACAAGGGAGATATAAACAGAGACAAAATAATATGAAATGTTGGGAACAATATACTGGCAAGCTCAGAAATCTTGAAAGGTATTAATAATCATAGGTGGGCAAGATCAGCTAGTTGACAGACTTTTCATTTCTTCAAAGAGCATATAAATATGGAACTTCTTCCTTCAATTCACACTGGAGGTTGGTTTCTTTTCCATGCCTCATAGCCATAAAATCCCCATTACCATTGCAGATCCATTTGTATCAGTAGACTAAGGTCAAAGGGCCCAGTATTAAATTCCTCCACAGGCAAGTTTGCTTTAAAAAAAAAAAAAAAATTTGTTGGTGGGGGCCATTTTTTCCCCAGAAATTGCTTGTGCAATTTACCCTTTTCCTCCAAGAGGCACCCAGCGATGGGATCCAGAGCTGTGATGCTGTGGCGCTACTTTACTTGAAGGGCTATGTCTCAGAAATGTGTGTTGTACACTTAGAAGCTGTGGCTCCAGCTTTGCCACTTCAAATCACTGAAACACCTTAGCCCTTCTTTAAAACAGGTAGATTTAAAAAAAAAAAATCAAAGCTATTAATTAAAAAGAACACTAGGCCAAACTCTTATTTTTTTTTTTTATTTTTTATTCAGATGGGGTCTCACTCTGTCACCCAGGCTGGAGTGTAGTGGTGCAATCTCAGCTTACTGTAACCTTCCCCTTTTGGGCTCAAGCAATCCTCCTACCTCAGCTTCTTGAGTAGCTGGGATCACAGGTGTGTGCTACCACACCTGGTTAATTTTTGTACCTTTTTTGTAGAGACAGGATTTCATTATGTTGCCCAGACTGGTCTCGAACTCCAGGGCTCAAGGGATCCACCAGCCTCAGCCTCCCAAAGTGCTGGGATTACAGGCATGAGACACCATGCCCCAAGGCCAAACTCTTTATAAACCACCCAAGTTTGTCTATCCCAGAAAACAAATGGATTGTGAGCTCTAATAGTAAAACATAAAGTTAGTCTTTAGTATTGACTTTCTTCTCAGGTTGCCTCAGAAAGCCATGTGGTTTTATATTAGCAGAGAAAGTGAGACGAGAGTTATTGAGGAAAGGGGAACAAGTCAACTCTGTAACTATAAATATTTTAAGATTAACCAATGGCATTTAGTGGAATTCATGTTTAAAACTAGTTACACCAAGAGAAAATCAACACCAATAGGGGAAAATGTGGGATAGAAAAGTTTAAAATGTTTAAAATTTGTGGAATTTATCTACCCTTGTCCAGTGAGCATTTTGTGCTTTGGAATTACCATCTTCTTTTGGCCCAGGAGGCTAGCATCCTCTGGCTTAGCAGGGCATTGGGCAGAGGTGGGCACGTCAGCCCAGAGGTTACAAATGGAATCACTCTTACTTGGCAAGGCACTTACTGAGATTCCAACTGCCCATGAGCAGAGCAAGGTGGCTGAATAGAGGCCTCCACTGATTATCTTCCCCACAGGGACACCAAATTTTAACAAAAAACTACACACAAAAAGCACCATCATAAGAACCAATAATAAGGTGAGCAATCAAACTACCTGGTTTTAACTTCACATCACTGAAAGAGGAACTGAAGAGGGTAAGAAAGACAGTCTTGAATTGCTGACACCACCCCTCCCCATCCCCCAGCAGTGGCCACATGGCACATAGAATCTGTGCACCTGGGGGAAGGAGAGCACAGCGACGGGCACTTGGCATTGAACTCAGTGCTGCCCTGTCACAGCGGAGAAAAAAGCCATACTGGGCTCAGCTAGCACCAACCCACAGAATGAGCATTAGGACCAGCCCTAGGCAGAGGGAAATCACTCATCCCAGATGTTGGAAATTGAGTTTCTCAGCAAGCCTCACCACCATGGGCTAAAGTGTTCTGGAGTCCCAGGTAAACTTGAGAGGCAGTCTAGGACACAAGGACTATAATTCCCAGGAAAGTCCTAGTGCTAGGTTGGACTTAGAGCCAGTAGACGAGGGTGGCACATGACCTAGGAAGACACAAGCCAGGGCAGCTAAAGGAGAGTTTGTACCATTCCTTCCCCAACCCCAGGCAGCATAGCTGACAGCAATTAAAGTGACTCCTTCCTTCTGCTTGAGAAGAGGAGAGCAAAGAGTAAAGATGACTTTGTCTTGCATTTTAGATACCAGCTCAGCCATAACAGGATGGGGCACTGGGAAGAGTCAGGGGCCCTCATTCCAGGCACTAGCTCTTAAACATTTCTAGACGCACCCTGGACAAGAAGGGAACCTGCTGCCTTGAAGGGAAGGATCCAGTCCTAATAGGATCTATTACCTGCTGACTAAAGAGTGCTTGGGCCCCGAATAATCAACCGTGATACCCAGGTAGTATGTCATGGACCTTGGGTAAGATTCCGAGAAGTGCTGGCTTCACTTGATACCCAGCACATGCCCAGGTGTTGTGGCTATGGTGAAAGATTTCTCCTGTTTGAGAAAAGCAGAGGGAAATGTAAAGGGGATTTTGTATTGCACCTAGGTACAGCTCAGCCACGGTTGGGAAGAGCACCTGGGAGGTTGAGGCTGCAGTGTGCTGGGATCGCACCACTGCACTCCAGCCTAGGTGAGAGAGTGAGACCCTGTCTCAAAAATAAATAAATAATAAATAACTAAAATGCTGAAGTAAAACATCCTTTACCCTAAAATAGTATATTCAGTGAAAATATCCTTCAAGCATAAAGGAGAAATAGTTTTTCAGACAAACAAAACCTAAGGCATTTCATCAACACCAGGTATGTCCTACAAAAAATGTCAACGGGACTTTGTCAATTTGAAAGAAAAGGAGATTAATGAGCAATAAAACAATTTTCTGAAAGCACAAAGCTCACTGGTAATAGTAAGTATACAGAAAAACACAGAATATCATATAACACTGTGTGGTATGTAAACTACTCTTATGTTAAGTAGAAAGACTAAATAATGAACCGATCAAAAATAATAACTACAACTTTTCAAGATATAGACTACAATAAGACATAAAAAGAAACAACAAAAACTTAAAAAGCAAAAAGTTAAAGCATAGAGCTTTTTTAGTTTTCTTTTTGCATATTTGTTTGTTTGTGTGATCAGTGTTAAGTTGTCATCAGTTTAAAATAATAGATTATAAGAGAGTATTTACAAGACTCATGACAACCTGAAATTGAATAATAGATACAAAAAAGCGAAAAATTACCTCATATTACCAGGGAAAATTACTCTCACTAAAAGAAAGATAGGAAGGAAGGAAAGAAGAGAAGACTAGAAAACAAATAACAAAATGGAAAAAGTAAGTTCTTACTTATCAGTAATAATCTAATCAGAAGACATAAATTGACTTAATGGATTTAAAAAACAAGACCCAAGATCTGTTGCAGAAACACAGTTCATCTATAAAGACATACATAGAATGAAAACAAAGGGATGGAAAAAGATATTCCATGCCAACAGAAACCTAAAAAGATCAGGAGTAGCTAAATTTATATCAGACAAAATAAATTTCAAGACAAGAACAGTAAGAAGAGAAAAATAGGTTGTTATATAATGACAAAGGGGTCAATTCAGCAAGATGATATAACAATTGTAAACATATGCACCCAACACTGGTGCATATTATTATTTTAATAATATCATTATTAATAATATCTGGAGATTTTATACCCCATTTTAAACATTGGACAGATCTTCCAGGCAGAAAATTAATGATGAAATATTGAATTCAATTAGCACTATAAAATAAATGGACCTAATAGATATTTACAGAAAATTTAATCCAACAGCTGCAGAATGCACATTCTTCTCTTCAGCACATAGATCACTCTCAAGGAGAGATCATATGTTAGGTAGCAAAACAAGTGTTAAAACATTCCAAAAAAAAATTGAGTTAATATCAACCATCTTCTCTTACCACAATGGAATAAAACCAAAAACCAATAACAGGAAGAATTTCAGAAACTATACAAACCATGGAAATTAAAAAACATGCTCCTAGATGACCATTGGGTCAATGAAAAAATTAAAAAGAAAATTGATAAAATTTTTGAAACAAATGATAATGGAAACATAACATACCAAAACCTATGGGATACAGCAAAAGCAGTGCTAAGAGGGAAATTTAGACCTATTACTGCCTATATCAAAAAAGAAGGAAAACTTAAAAGAAATAACCGAATGATGCATCTTAATGAACTAGTGAAGCAAGAGCAAACCAAACTCAAAATTAGTAGAAGAAAAGAAAATAAAGATTAGAGGAGAAATAATTGAAATTGAAGAAAGAAAAAAATACAAAAGATCAATGAAATGAACAGTTAACTTTTGAGAAAAGATAAATTAAATTGAAAAACCACTAGCCAGAATAAGAAAAAAACAGAAGACCCAAATAAATAAAATCAGAAGTGATAATGGAGACATTATAACTGACACTGCAGAAATTCAAAGGATCATTAGTGTTTACTGTCAGCAACTATATGCCAGTAATCTGAAAAATCTAGAGGAAATGGAGAAACTTCTAGACACAAACAACTTACCAAGACTGAAACATGAAGAAATCCAAAACCTAAGCAGACCAGTAATAAGTAATAAGATCAAAGCCATAATAAAACTCTCCCAGTCAAGAAAAGCCTGGGACCTGGTGGCTTTACTGCTGAAATCTACCACACATTTAAAGAACTAATACCAATCCTACTCAGATTATTTCAAACAATGGAAGGGAGAATATACTTCCAAATTCGTTCTATAAGGCCAGTATTACCCTAATACCAGAATCAGACAAAGACATGTCAAAAAAATAAAAATAAATAAATTACATGCCAAAATCTCTGGTGAATATTGATTCAAAAATCCTCAACTAATTACTAGCAAACCAAATTCAACAACATATTAAAAAGATCCTTCATCATAACCAAGTGAGATTTATCCCAGCAATGTAAGGATGTTTCAACATATGCAAATCAATCAGTGTGATACATCATATCGGCAGAATGAAGAATAAAAATCATATGATATTTTCAATTGATGCTGAAAAAATTATTTGATGAAATTCAGCATTCCTTCATGAAACTGGGTATAAAAGGAACATACTTCAACATAATAAAAGTCATATATGACAGACTCACAGGTAGTATTGTACCAAATGGGGGAAAACTGAAAGCCTTTCCTCTTAGCTCTGGAACACTACAAGTACTTCAATATAGTACTAGAAGTTCTAGCTAGAGCAATCGCACAAGAGAAAGAAATAAAGGGCATCCAAATTGAAAAAGAAGAAGACATATTATCCTTGTTTGCACATAATATAATCTTGTATTTGGAAAAACCTGATGGCTTCAACAAAAAACTATTTGAACCAGCAAACAAATTCAGTAAAGTTGCAGGACACAAAGTCAACATACAATAATCAGTAGCATTTCTTATGCCAACAGTCAACAATCTGAAAAAGAAATCAAAATGTAATCCCATTTACAATAGCCACAAGTAAAATTAAATACCTAGGAATTAACTTGACCGAAGCAGTGAAAAATCTCTATAAGGACAACTGTAAAACACTAATGAAAGAAATTGAAGAGGACATAAAACATTGAAAAGATATTCCATGTTCATTCATTGAATGAGTCAATATTGTTAAAATGTTCATACTACCCAGAGCAACCTACAGATTCAGGGCAATCCCTATCAAAACGTCAGGGACATTCTTCACGGAAACAGGGAAAACAATCCTAAAATGTATATGGAACCACAAAAGACACAGACTAGATAAAGCTATCCTGAGCAAAAAAGAACAAAACTGGAGGAATCGCATTACCTGACTTCAAATTATACTACAGCACTATAGTAACCAAAACAGTATGGTACTGGCATAAAAACAGACTCACAGACCAATGGAACAGACAACCCAGAAACAAATGCATACATCTACAGTGAACTTATTTTCAACACAAGTGCCAAGAACATACACTGGGGAAAAGACAGTCTCTTCAATAAATGGTGCTGAGAAAACTGGATATTCATATGCAGAAGAACAAAAGTAGACCCCATCAATTGCCATATACAAAATCAAATCAAAATAGATTAAAGACTTAAACCTAAGACCTCTAACTATGAAACTACTACAAGAAAACATGTGTGAAATCCTCCAGGACATTATTCTGGGCAAAAAAATTTTTTAAGAATACCCCAAGAGCACAAGCAACCAAAGTAAAAATGGACAAATGGAATCACATCAAGTTAGAAAGCTTCTGCACAGCAAAGGAAACAATCAACAAAGTGATGAGACAACCCACAGAGTGGGAGAAAATACTTGCAAATTACCCATCTGACAAGGGATTTGTAATCAGAATATATAAGGAGTTCCTAACAATTATATAGGAAAAAATCTAATAATCCAATTAAAAATAGGCAAAAGATCTGAATAGACATTGCTCAAAAGAATACGTACAAACAGCAAACAGGCATATGAATAAGTGCTCAACATAATTGATCATCAGAGAAATGCAAATCAAAACTACGAGATACCATCTCACCCCAATTAAATGGCTTATATTCAAAAGACAGGCAATAACAAATGCTGGCAAGGAGGTAGAGAAAAGAGAATGCTTCTACACTGTTGGTGGGAATGTAAATTAGTACAACCACTATAGATAACAGTTTGGAGGTTCCTCAAAAAACTAAAAACAGAGGTAGCTTATGATCCAGCAATCCCACTGCCGGTTATATACCCCAGAAAGGAAAGCAGTATAGCAAAGGAATACCTGCACTCCCATGTTTGTTGCCCCACTGTTCACAATAGCCAAGATTTAGAAGCAATCTAAATGTCCATCAACATATGAATAGATAAAGAAAATGTGATATATATATAGATACATATACACACGCACACACACAATGAAGTACTGTTCAGCCATTAAAAAACAATGAATGCTGCAGAGGATGGATACCCTATTTGTCATGTTGTGGTTATTACTCGTTTCCTGCCTGTATCAAAATGTCTCATGTATCCCATAAATATAAGCATCTACCATGTACCTACAAAAATTAAAAAATAAAATATATTTTTAAAATCCCAACTGTCATCTAGATTGGTAATCCTTTTGTTGCTAATCAGAAAATCATCATTCATCTCTCCTAGGCTTAAGCTTCAGGACTAAGAATATATACAAGTATATGAATTAGAGACACAGCAGATAGAAACTAGTTTGACTAGAAAATAGAAAAAAGCAGAAAATAACCAAGAAAATCCCAAGGGCCTGAAAGTTACAGGATTTTTTTTAAAATTCAGCCTTTTACAAAATTAAATAACATTGGTTTTCAGTACTCATCCACCTGCACCTTTTTCTTTCTTCCATTCCTTTTTATTTTTTCTTGTACTATAGTACTGATTTCAGCCTTGTATTAGTTCTTGCCTATCCTATCCTACCCTCCATTCTACAGTGATTTTAATGAGCCTTTCTCCATTTGTTAAGTGAATATAATGATAAAAAAGGCAAACAGTTTTCGTCCTCAAGTAGCTCATGCCTACACTTCCGATGCCCAATTTTCTATCCCTATTCATTAAATCATCCCACTGTTAAATTATAATTATTCTCCCTATTTGCCTTTTCTACATTTTTTTTCTGATTTTTATCTTATAGATACGGAGTATTTATAGAGTTCTATATATTTATCTATGGTTTTGCAACTCACTGGTAAGTTGAAGGGGTTTGTTGAATATTTTACAAGAAAGTACTGTTTGGGGAAACTTAAAAATTTTTCTTCAAAGCTACTCTACTCACTAGACAAATGATTATGGTTTATGGGTGATACCTAACCCTGGGCTTCTTTGAGTTGATAATATTTTGGAGAAGTATAAGGCATATTTTTTTTACAAAAATTACATTTGATTTTAAAGTGCGTTTTGTAAGTTCCTCTCTTTTGGCAGAAAATTTGCCCTCCTAATTATGTTTACCTTAGGCTAATATTAAAATTGGTTTGCATTCCTTGGCATAAAAACTGCCTCAGGGAGAGGGCACAGAAAGAGGGACTTGACCCAGAAACATGCAGACAAGGGAGATATCTGCCCAGGGGTGCAGATTTAACCTAGATAGTACAGCAAGTGGATAAGCCACAAACACGTAACCAAGAACTTGTCTCTAAAAAGTGAACTAGAAATCTTATTAAAACTTTTCATTCTTGCCAATTTTTCCTATTATTTTATTGTTTATACTTTTTCAGATAAAAATAACAAAAACTATTTCTTATTCTCAACTTTTTTATGTTATCATTTTCTCTTTGCTGCTTTAGAAAAAAAAAAATATTAGTTTTTGGTAATTCCAAAGCAGAAATAATTTAGTTTGCTTTATTTTAGTAGGAATTTTAGTTTTATTCTCTTTTTCTCATTTTGCTTGTGTGTTTTGATTCTAGCCTAGATGCATTTATACATATCTTGGATGGCATATTTTCCTCCTCTCATCATCATTAACTCTCTCTAAAAAGTAATAACAATTGTAATTAAACGGCGCTTTATTCCAATGAGCTTCAAATGACTTCTAGCCATTATGTTAGGTGTGGAAATACTATCTCTGTGAAGTAGGTAGGAGGCAAGTGGCAGTATTCTCATTTCACAAAAGGGAAAGTTATCTCATAGCGAGATTAAATAAATTGCTCAAGGTCACATAGAAAGCTATTGAAAAAGGAAATTACTGTACATTCAAGCTACACAGCACATCTTCAGTTGGAAACTATTTCTTGAGTGTAAGCCATGTTGTATCTTATTAGCAATATACTTCATTGTTAATGGAAGTTTGATAAAGACTTCCATGGAACAGGCTTCCAAATATGTGGAAGTCAATAGTTACATAAAAAGATATACAAAGAAAGAAAATGTATTCTTCCTAGAATTTGAAAGATAATAGCAAGGACTTCATTGAGCTCCTATTATGTGTCAGTTGCTACATTCATAGTGAGATATAACTGTAAAGATTCAGACCCTGCCTCAAAGGACTTAAAATTTTTAAAATATAACTGATTTTTAAAGAGATAATTACATTTATGTATAAGAAAAGAAATAAATAAGGCTGTGTGATCATGCACTAAAAGGGTTCAAAATACCATGCTCTTTGAGTTCCCTGGTATATATTTCAGAGCTTTCTGATTTTCCCCTTATTACCCAGATCACATGGTTCACTAGTCATTGAAGTTACCTCTAACCCCTTTTTTGGGTGGCTACTTTTAATCCTCTAAAATATTATATTAAATGAGAACTAAATGGTAAAGACTGTCCAAATTACATATTTTTATTTAAAAAAGATTTTGTAACTCCTATGTAATATAATGGACATTTTTCATGGTAGATGAATAAGCTTTAGAGTTCAGATCTTTTTGACATCCAGTTTATAGATTTCAAGATGTTTCCACTTGACTGTACTTCTGTCAACATCAAGAATATAGGCTGAGTGTCCTCTCAACAATTATATTTTTATTGTCATATTCTAATACATTTATCACTTAACATAAAGTGAGTATCTTCATCAATCTTAGCAATGTTACTTAAGTCTTTTGAAACATTCTTCGTTTCCCTAGTCACCACCCAACCACAGAGTAGCTTTCAGAAATCACTCACCTACCTCTTCATTGGTACTGCAGCTCACCATTTGGAGACACTGTCCCATATACTTTAGGCACAAGAGTGGGAATATTGCATGTGGAAATCATTAAAGATATTTTAGGCTGGGCATGGTGGCTCCTGCCTATAATCCCAACACTTTGGATGATGGTCAAGATGGGAAAATCACTTGAGCCCAGGAGTTTAAGACCAGCCTGGATAACAAAACAAGACCCCATCTCTATAAAAAAAAAAAGTTTTCAAAAATAGCTGGATGTGGTGGTGCATACTTCTATTCCTAGCTACTTGGGAGGCTGAGCTAAGAGGACTGTGCTGAGTCTAGGAGGTTGAGGCTGCAGTAAGCTATGGTTGTGCCATTTCACTCCAGCCTTGGCAACAGAGAGAGACCCTGTCTCAAATATACATAGTTTAGGTGGCTAGAAAATCAGCACATTCCCAGGGCCTAAAAGACATCAAGCGTTTGAATATAAATCAAAATTTTAAAATATCTCTTCACTCTTCCATTGCTTTATAGTCATATGATTAGGAAGTGTACATTGGTTAGTGTGGATTTGTTTAGGGTTTTTTTCTATTTTTAAACAAATTTTATTGTGTACACTTGAGGTGTACAACTTGATACTAAAGGATACATATAAATAGTAAAATTGTTACTATAGTGAGGCAAATGAACATATCCATCTGCCCACATGGTTATCCATTTTATGGTTTCTTGTTGTAAAGTTAAAATCTAGTCTTTTGTAGGAATCTCAATACAGTCATTGCCTATAGTCCTCATATTGTACATTAGCACTATGTTCATTCTATATATCTTCTACTTTGTATCCTCTTGCCCAAACCAGTGTCCTGGAGAGTATCTCTGATGCTGTCTTGTAGTAGTTTCATAGTCTTAGATTTAAGTCTTTAATCCATACCAATTTGATTTTTGTGTATGGTGGGAGATAAGAGCCTACTTTTGTTCTTCTACATACGAATATCCAGTTTTCTCTGCACCACTTATTGAAGAGACTGTCTTTTCCAGAGTGTACGTTCTCAGCACTTGTGTTGCAAATAAATTCACTGTAGATATATGTATTTATTTCTGGGTTGTCTGCTCCATTGGTCCGTGAGTCTGTTTTTATGCCAGTACCATGCTGTTTTAGTTACTATAGTGCTGTCATATAATTTGAAGTCAGGTAATGCGATTCCTCCAATTTTGTTCTTTTTTCTCAGGATAGCTTTGGCTATTCTGGGTCCTTTGTGGATCCATATACATTTTAGCATTGTTTTTCCTGTTTCTGTAAAGAATGTCATTGGCATTTTGATAGGGATAACAATATTAATTTTTTCAGTGAAAGAATGTGGAGTATCTTTCAAATATTTTGTGTCCTCTTCAGTTTCTTTCATTAGTATTTTATAGTTTTCATTATGGAGATCTTTCACTTCTTTGGCTACGTTAATTCCTAAGTATTTAATTTTACTTGCAGCTACTGTAAATGGGATTATTTTCTTTTCTTTTACTTGTGTGTGTGTGTGTGTGTGTGTCTGTGTGTGTGAGACAGGGTCTCACTTTGTCGCCCAGGCTGAAGTGCAGTGGTGTGTTCTCGGCTCACTGCTGCAACCTCTACCTTCCTGGTTCAAGGGATTCTCCTGCCTCAGCCTCCTGAGTAGCTGAGAGTACAGGCCCACACCACCATACTCAGCTAACTTTTGTATTTTTTGGTAGAGATAGGGTTTCACCATGTTGGCCAGACTGGTCTTGAACTCTTGACCTCAAGTGATCCACACTCCTTAGCCTCCCAACATGCTGGGATTCCAGGCATGGGCTACCACGCCTGGCCTGGGAATACTTTTTTAATTTATTTTTTTAGATTGTTCGCTGTTGGCATATAGAAATGCCGCTGATTATTGTATGTTGATTTTGTGTCCTGCAACTTTACTAAATTTGTTTGCCAATTCAAAAAGTTTTTGTTGAAGTCTTCAGGTTTCTCCAAATATAAGACCATATCATGTGCAAACAAGGATAATTTGTCTTCTTCCTTTCCAATTTGGATGACCTTCATTTCTTTCTCTTGTGCAATTGCTCTAGCTAGGACTTTTAGTACTATGTTGAATAACAGTGGTGAAAGCGGGCATCCTTGTTGCATTCCAGAGCTAAGAGGAAAGGCTTTCAGTTTTTTGGCATTTGGTAAAACACTAACTGTGAGTCTGTCATATATGGCTTTTATTATGTTGAAGTATATTTATTCTACACCCAGTTTTTTGAGGGTTTTTATCATGGAGGGATGCTGAATTTTACGAGATGATTTTTCAGCATCAATTGAAATGATCACATGGTTTTTTCCCTTCATTCTGTTGATATGATGTACCATATTGATTTCTTCTTTAACCCATTGGTTGTTCACAGAAGCATGTTACTGAATTTCCACATATTTGTGAATTTTCTCCAACTCTTCCTGTTATTGATTTTGAGTTTCATAACACTGTGGCCTGAATCGATATGATTTCAATCTTCTTAAATTTATTGACTTGTTTTGTGGCCTAACAGTTGGTTTATCCTGGAGAATGTTCCATATGTACTAGAGAAAAATGTGCATTCTGCTGCTTTGGGATGAAAAATTCTGTATATGTCTGTTTAGGTCAATTTGGTCTAAAGTGCAATACAAGTTCTGTATTTTCTTATTAATTTTTCTGTCTGATTGGTCTTTTAATTGTTGAAAGTAGAGTACTTAATTCCCCTTACTATTATTATATTGCTATCTATTTCTCATGTCCACTAATATTTGCTTTATGTATTTAGGTGCTCCCACGTAGGCTACAGATATATTTACAATTGTTATGTACTCTTGATGAATTGACCCCTTTATCATTAAATAAAACTTTTTTTGTCTCTTCTAACAGTTTTTGACTTAAAGTCTGTTTTATCAGATGTAAGTCGAGCTACCCTGATCTCTTTTGGTTACCAAATGCATGGAATATCTTCTTCTATTCAGCCTGTATCCTTAAAGGTAGGCTGGGTCTCTTATAGTCAGTATATAGTTGAACCTTGTTTTTGTATCCATTCTGTCACTCAGTGTCTTTTAGCTGAAAAATTTAATCCAATTATATTTAAGGTTATTATCAATACATAAGGAGGACTTACTGCTGCCATGTTGTTATTTGTTTTCTGGTTGTTTTGATATTCCTTTGTTCCTTTCTTTTTCTCTTGTTTTCTGCCTTTGTGACTTGATAATATTCTGTAGTGCTAAGCTTTGATACCTTGTTTTATTATTTGTATATCTGCTGTAGTTTTTTGTTTTGTTGCTACCATTTGGCTCACGTAAAACATCTTATACTTATAATCAACTACTTGATGCTGATACCAGCTTAACTTCTGTTCCATACAAAAACTCTAGGCTTTTATTCACCCCTCCCCATTTATGTTTTTGATATCACGATTTACATCTTATAGTGTGTATTCCTTAAAAACTTATTATGACTTTCATCATTTTTGACCATTTAACTTACAAGTCTTCCATACTGGAAGTATGTATGATTTAAACACTGCTATTACAATATTGGAGTATGCTAGATATGACTTTGTATTTACCTCTACCAGTGCATTTTGCACTTTCATATTAATTCAGAGTAATAATTCTTATCCTTTCATTTCTGCTCAAAGAACTCCCTTAAGTAGTTCATGTAAGGTAGACCTAGTGGTGATGAATTCCCTCAGCTTTTTGCTTGTCTCAAAAAGACTTTATTTCTTCTTCATTTCCGAAGAACAGTTTTGCTAAGTATATTATTATTGACTAGCAATATTTTTCTTTCAGCACTTTGAATGTATCATCCCATTCTCTCCTGGTTTGCAAGGTTTCTGCTGAGAAATCTGCTAATAGTCTAATAAGAATTCCCTTATATGTGACCTGACATTTCTCTCTTGCTGATTTAAAATTATTTCTCTGACTTTAACTTTTTACGGTTTGATTATAATGTGCCTTGGAGAATTTTTCTTGGGTTGAATCTCTTTGGGGACCTTTAAACTTCATGGATTTTGATGTCCATATATCTTCCAATACATGGGAATTTTTTCAAAAATTATTTCATTATATATGTTTATGTCCCTTTCAGTGTCTTTTCTCCTTTTGGAACTCCAATAATACAAATATTTGTTTGCTTAATGGTGTCTCATAAGCTGCATAGGTTGTCTTTACTCTTTTTCCTTCTTTTTTTTTCCTCCAACTGAGTCATTTAAAAAGACCTGCCTTTGGGCACAGTAGTTCATGCCTGTAATCTCAGCACTTTGGGAGGCCAAAGCAAGCAGATCACTTGAGGCCAGGAGTTCGAGACCAGCCTGGCCTATATGGTGAAACCCCCTCTCTATTAGAAATAGAAAAATTAGCCATGCGTAGTGGTACATGCCTGTAATCCCAGCTACTCGGGTGCTGAGGCAGGAGAATCACTTGAACCTGGGAGGCAGAGGTTGCAGTGAGCCAAGAGTAAGAAACACTACACTCCAGCCTATGCAATAGAGCAAGATTTAAAAACAAACAAACAAACAAAAAAACCCTGTCTTCAAGTTCACTGATTCTTACTTCTGCTTAATCTGGTCAGCTGTTGAAGCTCTCCATTGCATTTTTTTAGCTTATTGATTGACCTATTCAAATGCAAGATTTCTGTCATATTCTTTTTTATATCTATCTGTTCTCCGAATTTCTCATTTAGATTATAAATTATTTTTCTAATTTCATTGAAATGTCTCTCTGTATTCTCCTATATCACACTGAGTTTCCTTAAGATCATTATTTTCAGTTTTCTTCAGACAATTCATAGATTTCTGTTTCTTTGGGATCAATTACTGGAAAATTATTGTGTTCCTTCAGTGGTGTCATGTTTTCTGACTTTTTCATGTTTTTGTGTGTGTCCCTATATTGATTGCGCATCTGGTGGAGCAGGCACAACTTCGAAACTGTACAGAATAGCTTTTGTAGGGGAAGATTTTCACCTGCAGATGTGACTAAAGCTGCTAGCTGAAGAGGGTACGTGGCCTTTGGTTTGGGAATGAGCACAATGGTATAGTCTCCATGCAGCTTTTTTGGTTGTGACCAATGTCAGCAATAACTGCAGGTGCCTCAGTGGTCTAGACTGTATGAGTTTGTGAAAGTAGTGATGGCAGTATAGGTTATTAGGTTTCTGGTGGCAAGGGATTTAGGGACCCTCCTTTTCTTGTCTTCCCAACATTGAGGAGTCTTATCTGAGAGAATCACTCTAGATGTTGGGTCCGACATGTCCCACCAGCAGCTGCAGCAGTTCTGGGATCCAGGGCACAAGTGCTCAGAGCAGTTGTGGAGTCATGGTCCCGGGCTCAGAGTCTTGCAAAACTACTATAGCACCTGGGACTTGAGGTTCATGTTTACTCTTCATGGCATAATTGGATTCATTTATCCCACAAACCTCTGTTGCTCAACAGCTCAGGCCCAGGGAGCAGGGATTTAGCTGTGGCTCTGACTCTGTGGGCCAGGACACTGGCATGGCTCCAAGAAGGGGTGCTCTGAAAGCTCAGGGCCTGGGGAGCATGGCACATGTCTTAGTTCATTTTGTGTTGCTATAACCTAAAACCACAGACAGTACAAAAATTTATTCTCTCACAGTTCTGGAAGCTGGGAAGTTTAAGATCAAGACACTAGCATCTGATGTGGACCTTCTTACTATGTCCTCTCGTGGCAAAAGACAGAAAGGGAAGAAAGGATGAAGCTGAGTCCTCAGGTGTCAGAAGGGCAGAAAAGAGAGAACCCACTCCCACAAGTTCTTTTTATATCTGTATGAATAATCTAATTATAACCTAAACACCTTCCATTAGACCCTGACCTCTAAACACTGTTGTATCAGGATTTAAGTTTCTACCACATGAATTTAGAGGGGATGCATTTAAACCGTAACAGTGCAGCTGCAATGTAGGACCCAGAATCAACAGGGTATAGCATCAGTTCAGGCCCCGGCAGATAAATTATCATGCAACTGTGACTCTGGCCCTGGGATGATGGGGCAGGGCAGTAGCCCAGGATTTGTGAGGCCTGAACAGCAGCAACAAGAACTCAGGAATGGCAAGCTGCATGTGTGGCTTGCACCTTGGGGGACAGGGAGCCACACAGAGATGACTCTACTTCCCAGGAATGTGAAGCACCTCATCAGCTCAGACTCTGTGCAGGGCTGGTCCAGTTCCAGGAAGGTGAGTAACTTTGACTGATCAGCCTGGAGGGCAGAATGGCTCAGCTCAGCCAAGGCTTTCATTCCCTTTGACATCAGGTGCCACATCTGCTCAGCCCCAGAAAGCACGGCTACACAGGTCAGTTGAGGCTCCAATTCCACAGGAGGTAGTGTGCCATGATGACTTGAGCACCAGGAGTGTGACTATTCTGGTGTACCAGGGGTGTGAGGTAATAGAGGATGAGACACCATGTTGGCTGTGATAACAAGGGGATGACTGTTCCCATGTTCCAAGGTCTAGAGTCTCCCAAGGGACAGAGTGCTGGGTCAACTCAAGCACTAGAGGGCATGACTGCTCTGGTGTGCCAGAAGCCTGAAGTCCCTGGGGGGTGTGACACTGTGTTGGTTTCAGCACCCGGGACACAACTGTTCCAATGTTGTCAAGGCTCAGGACCCCAAGGAGGCAGGTTGCCAATTCAGCTTGAACCCCAGGGGGCAGGGCACATCAGCAAGGAATAGGAAGATGGAACGCTTTGCAGTGCTTGGACCCAGAGAGTAGGGCATAGCCTCAGCATGGCTCAGGGATGGCACACTACCAGGGGGGCATGGTGCCATGGTGACAAAGCCTCAGGGGTGCACCCTTAGAGGTGTAAAATCTACTTTACCCCAGAGCAGGACATGCTCTAGCAATGGTTCCAGCTCCAGGACAGCATCTCAGGCCATAGGTTGATGGGGTATAGCGTAAGCTACTTCTCTGGGGATAGCACAATGTGTGGACTCTCGGGAAGTCCTTCAGCTGGGCTCAGAGCCTGTGAGGACTGCAGAAGTCTCCTATAGTGAAGTATAGTGAGGTGAAGATAGCAAGTGTCCACAGTAGTGATGGAGGCTGCTGGGTTCCTCTTATTTATCTTTTCCCATAGGGAGAAATTTCTCCTAGTTCCAAGCTGATCCCAACTGGGGGAAGGGGTGGCAGAGGCAAAGTGGATTTTTCCCCTTTCCTATACAGCCATCCTGGATTTCTGTGCTCGGCAGGCTTTCTGCTACTCCTTTGCTGTTCCCCTGTGCTCTCCTTTAGTTATTTTGGACAAAATGTTGTTCTCTATTTGTTGTTTGGGGATTTGTGTGTGTGTGTGTGACAGGGAAGATAGGTAGGAACTTCCAGCTTTTGTGTTGCTCTAAAATTAAGAACATTTATCTATGTGCATATTCTGATACATAAGTAAAAATTCACACATTTACAAATATGTATAAAGAGGCAGATTTTCAAGCATGGCTTTTCTTTAAAATCCATGTAACGTCTACTTCACCTTTAGTTAATAAATGAATTCATCACCTGCCTCCACTTTTGCATTTTTTTTTTCAGTTTTGTTCTATAAATCTTTTTATCTATTTTTCTTTTGTTACTCCAAAGTTATACAAATATACTACCTTCTAAATAGATCAAAATTATATTTATTATTTTATTATTGTCATTTTGGAAACAAGGAATATAGCAAAGAGATTTGAAAATTTGCTTTAGAATAAATCAAATGTTCTAAGGTAAACTGCAATGTCCGTATTGACTGCATTCATTAGTCAGTATCAATTTTGGACTCTATTTTGTCTATCCAAACCTAAACTTTGATATTTACAAAAGTTAAGGGTCATATTTGTATGCACTCTTTAGTCTTATTTGTGATCAATAATGTCCTTGCTCCTCAGCTATTCAAAAATGAATGTTTCAGGACACTGGGGACAATGTACCTTGAAGTGAGATTTAACTATATGCCATTGTTCACAGTACCTCCACTGACAAGCGGTAACTTACTTCTCTAAGATGAATACAAAAATATTTAGTCGTAGTAACATAGAATAATTATTTCAACTGTTTTCTCTCCTTGGGGGGAAAAATATACCTAAACTATTATAACCAAACAATCTTCCTTCATTGGGCTTATAAAGTAATTAATTTGGCATGCAAATCTTAAAGAGAGAAAATGGAGATTAGAAAAGAATCCATGATTGTATTTACTAATCATACCCATTTTCACTTTTTTTTTTTTTTTTTTTTTTTTTTTTTTTGAGACGGAGTCTCCCTCTGTGGCCCAGGCGGGAGTGCAGTGGCGCAATCTCGGCTCACTGCAAGCTCCGCCTCCCGGGTTCACGCCATTCTCCTGCCTCAGCCTCCCGAGTAGCTGGGACTACAGGCGCCCACCATCACGCCCGGCTAATTTTTTTTGTATTTTTAGTAGAGACGGGGTTTCACCGTGTTAGCCAGGATGGTCTCGATCTCCTGACCTCGTGATCCGCCCGCCTCGGCCTCCCAAAGTGCTGGGATTACAGGCGTAAGCCACCGCGCCCGGCCTCACATTTTTTAATTATTAAATCTCCCTTAAGAATTTGTTCTCCAATGAAGAGAAACATAAATTATCAACAATTCTAAAAACAGGTTTGTTAAATGTCAAAGTATTCTTACCATTTTTTTCTTAGTTGTTGCTCTTGTAGCTAACTGTTCTCTTATTAAGTACACAGATATGCTGGAAACATAATGAAGGCTGACCTTTCAGTTGTAAGTGCGCCTTAAAAAGATCAGTTCTACAGGGCCTGCCATCCATTTTTTGCATGGTTGTTGAAAAGGTGGCAAAAGTCTTATGCAGAACAAACTTCTTTTTAGGCTTTCTTTTTCATATTGCTTCTTGCATGAAATAGCAAGGCAAAGAAGTGCAGACTTACAAATCTCATTCATTGAGTATGAAGTATACAATATATATTATGCTCTTACCATATGCCTTCACTGTTTTACACACTGTGGATACTATTGTGTCTGGAATTGGTGGGTTCTTGCTCTCACTGACTTCAAGAATGAAGCCGCAGACCCTCGCGGTGAGTGTTACAGCTCTTAAGGTGGCGCGTCTGGAGTCTGTCCCTTCTGATGTTCAGATGTGTTCGGAGTTGCTTCCTTCTGGTGGGTTCGTGGTCTCGCTGGCTCAGGAGTGAAGCTGCAGACTTTCGCGGTGAGTGTTACAGCTCTTAAGGCAGCGCGTCTGGACTTGTTCATTCCTCCCCGTGGGCTCGTGGTCTCGCTGGGCTCAGGAGTGAAGCTGCAGATCTTCGCGGTGAGTGTTACAGCTCATAAAAGTAGCATGGACCCAAAGAGTGAGCAGTAGCAAGATTTATTGCTAAGAGCGAAAGAACAAAGCTTCCACAGTGTGGAAGGGGACCCGAGGGGATTGCCAATGCTGGCTCGGGCAGCCTGCTTTTATTCTCTTATCTGGCCCCACCCACATCCTGCTGATTGGTAGAGCCGAGTGGCCTGTTTTTTCAGGGCGCTGATGGGTGCGTTTACAATCCCTGAGCTAGATACAAAGGTTCTCCACGTCCCCATCAGATTAGTTAGATACAGAGTTTCAACACACAGGTTCTCCAAGGCCCCAGCAGAGCAGCTAGATACAGAGTGTCGACTGGTGCATTCACAAACCTTGAGCTAAACACAGGGTGCTGATTGGTGTATTTACAATCCCTGAGCTAGACATAAAGACTCTCCACGTCCCCACCAGACTCAGGTGCCCAGCTGGCTTCACCTAGTGGATCCGGCACCGGGGCTGCAGGTGGAGCTGCCTGCCAGTCCTGCACCGTGCACTCACATTCCTCAGCCCTTGGGTGGTCAATGGGACTGGGCGCCGTGGAGCAGGGGGTGGTGCTCGTCAGGGAGGCTTGGGCCGCACAGGAGCCCATGGAGTGGGTGGGAGGCTCAGGCATGGCGGGCTGCAGGTCCCGAGCCCTGCCCCGCGGGAAGGCAGCTAAGGCCCGGCGAGAAATCGAGCACAGCGCTGGTGGGCCGGCACTGCTGGGGGACCCAGTACACCCTCCGCAGCCACTGGCCCGGGTGCTAAGTCCCTCATTGCCCAGGGCCAGCAGGGCTGGCTGGCTGGCTGCTCTGAGTGCGGGGCCCGCCAAGCCCACGCCCACCCGGAACTCCAGCTGGCCCGCAAGCTCGGCACGCAGCCCCGGTTCCCGCTCGCGCCTCTCCCTCCACACCTCCCTGCAAGCTGAGGGAGTGGGCTCCAGCCTTGGCCAGCCCAGAAAGGGGCTCCCACAGTGCAGTGGGGGGCTGAAGGGCTCCTCAAATGCTGCCAAAGTGGGAGCCCAGGCAGGGGAGGTGCCGAGAGCAAGTGAGGGCTGTGAGGACTGCCAGCACGCTGTCACCTCTCACTATGGGAAATGAGGATTCTTGATATAATAGAGTGTATATTTTGGGGAAAAGCAGAAGTGAGATGGAAAATATAAGGATTTCAGATAAAGGCATACCTCAGAGATAATGTGGGTTTGGTTTCAAACCACTGCAATAAACTGAATATCACAGTAAAGTGAGTAACACAATTGTTTTGGTTTCCCAGTGCATATTGAAGTTGTGTTTACACTACACCATAGTCTATTACATGTGTAGTAATAGCACTTTGCCTATGAGGTAAACATGTACAAAGGTCAGGGTGGAGGCATGACTAACACAAGATGTTAAGAATGATATGAACGTGTCTTTGCTATTTCTGCCTAATGACTCAGTCTGATATAAAACCCTTTCTTCTGGTAAATGGTGGCATAGAGTATGGGATAGTGTGATAGCAAATTTGACCTTTTATTAATCACAAAATAAAAAACCTCTAGCTTAAGTTTGGAGATTTCTCAAAGAACTTAAACAGAACTGTCATTTGATGCAACAAACCCATTACTGCTTATATACCCAAGGGAATATAAATTATTCTGCTGTAGAAACTCATGCACGTGTAAGTTTGTCACAGCCCTTTTCACAATAACCAAATCATGGATTCAACCTAGATGCCCATCAACAGCAAGGACTTAAATGAGGCAAGAGGGTGCTAAACATTGAATACACATGGATACAAACAGGGGAATCATAAACACGAGGACTTACTTGAAGGTGGAAGGTAGGAGGAGAGTGAGGATCAAAAAACTACCTTCAGGTACCATGCTCACAAACTGGGTGATGAAATCATTTGTACACCAAACCCCAGTGACACACAAGTTACCCATGTAACAAACCTGCACATGTACCCCCAGATTCTAAAATAAAAGTTGGAAGAAAAGAAATTAAAATTAAAAATCTCTAGCTTAAAAAATTCTGATTATAATTTTAAAATATAGTGCACCAATTTTATAGCTGATACTTGGCTTTGCATTTGCTATTTTGATTTGAGTTTCTCTGATTATTAGTAAGTATGGACATTTATTTACAGAGTAATTAGCTACTTCTATTTTCTTTTGTGAATTATATGCAAGCATACCTAAGAGATATTGTGGGGTTGGTTCCAGACCACTGCAATATAGCAAATATTGCAATAAAGAAAGTCACATCTTCTTTTGGTTTCTCAGTACATATAAGCTATGTTTAAACTATACTGTAATCTATTAAGTGTGCAATAGCATTGTGTCTAAAAAATGTATATACCTTAATTTAGCACATTTTATTGCTCAAAAATGCTAATAATCACCTGAGCCTTCAGCTCAGCCTTTTGCTGGTAGAAGGTCTTGCCTTGATGTTGATAGCTGTTGATTGATCAGAGTGATGGCTTTTGAAGGCTGAGGTGGCTTTTCAATTTCTTAAAATAAGACAAAAGTGAAGTTTGTCATATGAAGTGACTCTTCCTTTCACAAAAGAGAGTCTCAACATGCAGTGCTGTTTGGTAACATTTTATTCACAGTATAACTTTTTTCAAAATTGGAATAAATCCTCTCAAACTTTGTTGCTGTTTCATCAACTAAGTTTATATAACATTCTAAGTTCTTTATTGTAATTTCTACAATGTTCACAATATCTCCATCAGGAGTAGGTTTTATCTTTAGAAACTACTTCCTTTGCTTATCCATAAGAAGCAACTACTCATCCATTCAAGTTTTATCATGAGATTATAGCAATTCAGTCACCTCTTCAGGCTCCACTTCTAACTCTAGTTCTCTTGCTTGTTACTACCATATCTGCAGTTACTACCTTCACTAAAGTCTTGAACCCCCTCAAAGTCATTTATGAGGGCTAGCCTTAACTTATTCCAAATTCTTGTTAGTGTTGTTTTTTTACTTCCATAAATCACAAATGTTCTCAATGACATCTAGAATGGGAAATCCTTTCCATAATGTTTTTAATTTCTTTTGCCCAAATCCAACAGAGGAATTACCATCTACAACAGCTATAGCCTTACGAAACATATTTCTTAGATAATAAGACTTGAAAGTCAAAATTACTCCTGATCTATGAACTGCAAAATAGATATCATGTTAGCAGACATGAAAATAACATTAATTCCTTGTACATCTAGATCAGAGGTCTTTTATGACTAGGTGCCTTTTCATTGACCAGTAACACTTTGAAAAAAAAAATCTTTTTTCTGATTTGTAGGTCTCAACAGTGGGCTTAAAACATTCAGCAAACCATGCTGTAAACAGATGTGCTGTCATCTAGGCTCTGTTGTTCCATTTATAGAATACAGGAGCACAGGCAGACAGGATTTAGCGTGTTCTTAAGAGCCTTGGGATTTCAGAATGACAAATGATCATTAGCTTCAACTTAAAGTCACCAGTTGAATTAGCCCCTAACAGAGAGCGAGAGTCAACCTGTTCTATGAAGCCTGGCATTGACTTCTCCATGCTACCCATGAAAGAACTAGCTGGCGTCTTCTTCTAATACAATACTGTTTTGTCTACATCGAAGATCCGTTTTTTATTGTAGCCACCTTCATCAATTATCTTTGCTAGATCTTCTACAGAACTTGCTACAGTTCACCTTGGAGAAGTTGAGGGAGACATCAACACTTGCTGCTTTACCTTGCACTTTTATGTTAGAAAGACAGTTTCTTTCCTTAAATCTCGTGAAGCAAACTCTGCTAGTTTTAAACTTTCCATTTGCAGCTTCTTTACCTCTCTCAGCATTCATAGAATTGAAGAGCGTTAAGGCCTTGCTCTAAATTAGACTTTGACTTAAGGGAATTTTTTGACTAGTTTAATCTTCTATCTGCAACACTAAAACTTTCTCCATATCAGCAATAAGGCTGTTTTGTTTTCATTCATGCATTCACTGGAGTAGCACTTTTAATTTTCTCCAAGAGCTTTTTCTTTGCATTCACACCTTGGCTGTTTGGCACTTGAAACCTAACCGTTGGCTTGTCTCAGCTTTCAACATGCCATCATCAGTAAGCTTAACCATTTCTAGTGGTTGATTTAAAGTGAGAGACATAAGGTTATTAACTGGCCTAATTTCAATATTGTGTGTCCAGGAATAGGGAGGCCTGAGGAAAGGAAGAAAAATGCTGGAATCACCATAGCAGATATAATAATAATAATAAAGTTTAAAATATCGTGAGAATTACCAAAACGTGACACAGAGACACAACGTAAGTACATGCTATCGGAAAAATGACGCCAATAGACTTACTCAGCTCAGGGTTGCCGCAAACCTTCAATTCATTAAAAAAAAAAAAAGTTATTTGCAAAGCACAATAAAGTGCAATAAAGTGACTTATGCCTATAGTGACCATTGCTATGAAGAAAATTGATAATAAAAATAGGATAGTGCTAGGCATGGTGGCTCATGCCTATAATCTCAGCACTTTGAGAGGCTGAGCAGGGCAGAATGCTTGAGCCCAGGAGTTTGAGAGCAGCCTGAGCATCGTGGCGAAACCCTGTCTCTACAAAAAAATACAAAATTTAGCTGGGCATGGGTGGCACACACCTGTAGTCCCAGCTGCTCAGGAGGCTGAGGAGGGAGAATCACCTGAGCCTGGGAGGTGGAGGCCTGCAGTGAGCCATGATCAGACCACTGCGCTCCAGCCTGGGTGGTGGAGTAAGACCCTTTCTCAAAACATTTAATAATTAATTAGTTAATTAATAATAATAATACGATGCAGCTTGATTGGGTAGGAGGGGAATCCTACTTTAAAAAGGGAAGGTAACTGAAGATGTAACATTGAGGCTGTCATCTGAATAATGAGAATGAGTTAGCCAGGCAAAGCTCTAGCAAAAGAGTTTTCCAGACCTAGGGAACCAAATGCAAAGGCTCAGAGGTAATAACAAGCTTAACATATGTGAAGAAAAGAGAGATGGGGAGAAAACTGACAAATTGCAAGACATGGAGAAAATGAAGCCAAAGAGTTCGTTGGAAGCCAGATTAGAAGAGCTTGAAAACCTAAATTGGAAGATGGGATTTTATTCAATCCAAAAGTTTTTGTATGGTTTTAAGCCAAAAAAAAAATGCTATGGTAGGGTTTGTATATTTAAAATATCCGTTTGTTGATATGTTAAAGCGGGACCCTAGGGAAATGAAACTAAAAGAGAGATCAAAAAGCTACAGAAATAGTCCAAAAAAGAGATGACAGTAACTTTAAGTTTCGTTGTTAAGAATGAAAATCATGAGAAGTAGCGTGTTCAGGAAGTGCTTGAGATAGAGTCCAAAAAACATGCTGATGTATCGTGTGTTAGGAGAGAGGGAAATAGAGGAATCAAATATAGCTCCTGAGATTAGTATACAAGCAATTTGTTAGATGATAGACCCATTAACTGAAGTAGAAAACAGTGGGGGAGGAGACGTTTAGAAAGATGTGAAAAACAAGAATTCTGCCTGTTGAAATGGGGTTGCCCTCTCCAACTTGAGGATGATGTAGACATAAAACTCTAGCCATGCTTGATCAACTTTAGGGAAAAAAAAATTGCTACCTTTAAAGGAGTACTAAGCACACTATATGCCTAATCACAATTAATTCTCACAACATTGCTATGAGAAAACTGCTGACATCATATTCTTTATACAGATGAGAAAATTAAGATTTAGAGAGGTTACATGCATTGTGAAAAAAAAAAAAAAAAAAAAAACCCAGCAGTGGGCATTGAAAATCTACATCCAAATTTGGCTGACCCCAGAGCCCAAGCTCTGAAATACTATGTGTCAAGAAAAGGACCCCTAGTACAGATAAAGTTTACCAAAATTCCAAGGAAGAAAGCCATTTCCAAGTCTCTGGGGAATGGATCTGGATTCAGGAGGTTTTCGTCATAAGAATAAAAATGGGATCTAGAAAGTCAATCCTATATCAAAGGCGGAGTAGTAACAAATTGTCTTTTGGCTCATTCCAATAGCCATAGCAGACTAAAGAAGATAAATTTCCTTTCCCTGTGAAGACTGTTCCAAGAACAAGAGATAGCACGTAATTTGCCACTTGGCTGTTAAGTGGTTCTGGTTGCGTGGATTGGAAAGATGCTAGTTCCAGGATCATTCAGTCAGTCTGAAGGCAATTTCCTCCTTTATACTAGTCATCACTGATTGGGCAGAACATAAATAAGTTGCCCAAGCAGTTGCTTCCATCAGACCCTCACCAGCTCTAATGCTGGAGAGGATATTGAGAAAGAAATAGTTAAACCAGCTGGGCATGGTGGCTCATGCCTGTAATCCCAACACTTTGGGAGGCCGAGGCGGGCAGATCACCTGAGGTTGAGAGTTCGAGACTAGCCTGACCAACATGAAGAAACCCTGTCTCTACTAAAAATGAAGAATTCCCCAGGCGTGGTGGCGCAAGCCTGTAATCACAGCTACTCGAGAGGCAGGAGATTCGCTTGAACCCGGGAGGCGGAGGTTGAGGGAGAGCTGAGATCGCGCCACTGCACTCCAGCCTGGGCAACAAGAGCGAAACACAGTCTCAAAAAAAGAATGAATAGATAAAAATAAAAAAGAAAAGAAACAGTTAAACCAAGTTATCTTAAGAGTTGTGGTTGAAGGAACACATGTTTAGTATTTTTATATTGAAAATAGCCTTTCCATATTTCTCACCAATTGGTAGATTATTTCCTCTTTGGATAACCTTTAGAAAGAGATTTCCTTCTAAAAGGAGTCTTAAATATATCCCTTAGGCTGGGCGCAGTGGCTCATGCCTGTAATCCCAGCACTTTGGGAGGCCAAGGCGGGTGGATCACCTGAGGTCAGGAGTTTGAGACCAGCCTGACCAGCATGGTAAAACCCTGTCTCTACTAAAAATACAAAAATTAGCTGGGCATGGTGGCACACGCCTATAATCCTGGCTACTCGGGAGTCTGAGGCACGAGAATCACTTGAACCTGTGAGGCAGATGTTGCAATGAGCTGAGATCACGCCACTGCACTCCAGCCTGGGTGACAGAGTGAGACTTTACCTCAAAAAAAAAAAAAAAAAAAAAATCCCTTAAATTATGATAAAGTGGAGACTGGTAATCACTACATGAGGCTAGACAGAGCACTAGATTTGAAAGATAAAAAATCAATTTTAGGACTAATAAATAAGGCCACAAGACATTTCATAATACTTGGAAGAGTAATCTCAGCTACACCATAAAAGTACTTAAGGTCCTATTCCAATTCCTTAAGTGAAGAGACTTAAAAATTTATATCTGGACTACATACTATAATCTATCAATATGGCATAATCAATTAATTACATTGTTTATTAATCTGATACTAATTAGATAATTCATTCGACAGATAATACCTAATAAGACTCAGACACTGTGCTGGGTGTTGGATACAATGCTGAAGAAGATTTTGACCTCTTGAAGTACACAGTTTGATGAAGGAGGCAAATAAACAATGTGTAATTGCAAATACTGATAACTGGGAAGAAGAAAAGAATAAAACTCAGTGGGAGAGAATAATGAGGAAGACTTAGTTTAGATTGGTTAATCTAGGCAGGTTTCTTTGCAAAGGACCCAGTTGGGGAAGAAGGAATGAAATGCAGGCAGTTAGAACAGCTCATGCAAAAATCAAGAACCTGGTGAAATTCAAGGAACTGAAAATCATGGGTGTGGCTGGAGAGAAGTGAAGGTAGAAGGAGATGGATTTGGAGAATAGGAAGCAAGCAGATCATGAAAGGTCTCATTAAAACATGTGGGCATTTTAATTGCTTGTTTCTAAATGCAAGAAAAATCAAGAACGCAGCACAACCTGATAGAGGTTCTTAAAAGACCATGCTGGATCTTATGTCAATAGTGGATTAACAGAGAGCAAGATTAAAGCTAGAGAGACATACTCTTAGGCTATATTTTATATGGGGAATCTTGATGGTGGCTTAGCCTAAGAGGTACAGTTGCAGTAGAGATGGGGAGAAAGGTGTGGATTAGACATTCATTTTGAAGGTAAAATAAACAAAGCTCGGTGATGTATCACAGCTAAAGAGGAAGAAGTGGGTAAAAAAGAGCAATTTCCAATTTTTAGCCCTGAATCCATGGGTAGATAGAATTAATACAAAGAAAACTGACATTGTTTTAATTCTATTATTCAAATTCAGTTATTCTTATTAAAATTTTTATTGTTTTGCCAAATAAAATGGGAAAAATTATTGATTTCATTTTTGGCTGAGAGAATGAAAGGCACTTTCTGCGGTGACCTCAGATAAAGACAGCAGCCAAGCTTTCTGTCTTGGAAGACTTTCCTCTTTGTCTTCCTGGGGAATTAGTAATAGAATTCTTGTCCAATTCCTCAAGCCCAGGCCTGCAGGGTGAGCCTGCTCACAAAAGAATATTCTGGGAGGATGGAGTGCAGAGGCATAGGGGACTGCCCTGAGCTAGGAGAAGTGGAATTGGATTCCTCAGGAGTTAAAGGGGTTCTTTTGACAATAGTGACAGACTCCCATTCACCCAGTTCCAAAAACAAACAGAAACTTACTGCGGGTTCTTAACATCTATCCTTCCATTCATTGAGACAGCAAGTCCTAGAGAGCAGTCTTCAAATTAAAATTTTAGCATAAATTTAAGTAAGTTTATTTCTGATAATAAGGAATAGAAAATATAAGATCCTTAAGAGATAAAAGAAAAGGTAGTGTTTTGTCAAAATAAAAAATAACTCAGGCAGGGCGTGGTGGCTTATGCCTATAATCCAGCACTTTGGGAGGCCGAGGCAGGCAAATCACCTGAGGTCAGGAGTTTTCGAGACCAGACTGACCAGCATGGTAAAACCTTGTCTCCATTAAAAATACAAAATCAGTCGGGCATGATGGTGCATTCCTGTAATCCCAGCTACTCTGGAGGCTGAGGCAGAAGAATCGCTTGAACCCGGGAGGCGGAAGTTGTGGTGGGCCAAGATCGCGCCATTGCACTGAAGCCTGGACAACAAGAGTGAAACTCCATCTCAAAAAAAATAAATAAATAATAACTCATGTTTGATAAAATTAGTTTTAAAAGCCACTGAATCTGAAAAAAAGGCACAAACATTTATTAATAAACTTTTTTGATGTATCTTGATAATTTTGATAGTCCCACAGAAGATTCCAGTTACAGTGAAAATAATTGACTCTAATCTCTGCAGCTTTGGCTGTTACAAATTCAGAACATTCCCAAATGGGCCCTGAGATCCCAGTGCTAACATCAAGCTTAACTCTGAACAGAAATATTTTTAAGGTTGAGAAAAGTAGGAAGTCTTACAGTTTAAAATGCCTTGAATATTCACTAGATGTTTCACTGAAATACCTGAGGTCTTTATATTGCAGGGTAAGGCATAATAGCAAATCACGGTAAGGGACATGGGTTTCTCTTATAAAGTGAAAAAACCACTGTGTATTCAGGTTTCTTCTCTGGATAATCAGTTCTAAAAAAGGATGTGTATGGAAGTTGAGGTTCTGAAAACTGACTCCCTTAAAAATATCTATGCATGCAGATCTCTTAGAAAGTTTATAATTTCCACCAGTTTGAAGACTTTTCCTGAAGACCACACTGTCTCTAGTACACAATCTTCATTATTACATTCCCAAAGATTGAGAATTTGATGAACTTGAGCCTTAGTGGTACTGTATTATTATTGTGCTATCTCTCAAGCTGGTGTCTACCTTTGAAGGTAGACATATTGAGTAATATTGAGTAATTGAGTAATATTGAATAAATATTGAGACATATTGAGTAATAATTTGTGTGAAAATACTTTAAAGTTTTGGTGTGAAAGATAATATGCGTGATACAGTACATGGTGTATGAATACAGTTGAGACAATAAATAAGTTGGATAAATACAACAATGTACATAAATCTAATCTACATAAAGTCCTCCTCAGCATTTTTGCATATAAAAATATACCTGTAAAATATTAACAAAAACAGTTCTCTGCAGTTTCAGTGTTATGCATTTTATGAGTTTTCTCAGGTTTCATGATCCTGTGGACATTTCTGATATAATACTTGCATTTTCAAGTAAGATAAATAGCATTCTTTCTTTCTTTATCTTCCTATCTTTCTTTTTGTGTGTGTGTGTGTAACTTAACAAGGCTATCTTTCTTAGAGCTACCCAATTACCAAAAGAAGAAAGAAAGAAAAAGAAGAAAAAAAAGAAGATATTTTTAGTGTAGTTATTAAGAGAATGCCAAAAAAAATCTGTTTTTTGTTTAACAAGTTTTAGATTCTTCAAGAGCAGAATATATTAGAGACACTAACATGATATGTGTGTATACACATATACATATATATTATACATATATATAATATTTTAGTTTTGCATTTTTTATGCTCTTTTAGAAATGAGAAATTGAGCTTGGGTCCTATGAGGTAGATTATGGTTATTAAAATATGCCCCTAGGCTTAACTTCTCAGTTTTTCTCTCTTGTATTAACCTGGTGTGTGTGAGTGTGTGTGTGTGTAACTGTGAATCCTTACACATGCACTTAGGCTAATTAGAGCAGAGACATTTTTATGCTCTACATTCTGCCAATTTGAAACTAATTCTGAAGCTGTTCCTAAATGCAATATATCTGATCTAAGTGTTCCATACATATACTTATCAACTAGATATAGATACTGAACTCAGATATAAGATACTTAAGTTCAGTAGGTTGTTTTGCATAATGACTTCAAAGAATCTTCCTTCCACCCCTGAGTATCTGACTTGAATTGAAATTCAAATTTAGCTTTATTAGAAAGGTTTTATAGGAAGGTTAATTAAGTTTTGACCCTCTTGAACCCTGATTCTGGGAAGATTCTATAAAATATTACACTTATGAACAGTTGGTCAGCATATCAGCAGCATTTATTGAACATATTTATGAACGGAACACTAAGGGCTATAGATAATTGTGAATAAAATGAAGAATTTAATTCCTTTCCATAAGAAAGTTATTATCTAATGAAAAAAAAGTAGAGTATATATTCAACTAAATGTCTCCCACTTATATAACAATAACCAGAAACCATACACACAAACTCAACATAATAAGAAATCAAGAAAAGTAGAAATTTAAAGGATTAAAAAAAAAGACAAGAGAAAGTGCCCACAGCAGGGCGATAAATGTTCTTCGTGGCTGGGCGCCGTGGCTTACACCTGTAATCCCAGCACTTTGGGAGGCCTAGGCAGGCGGATCACGAGGTCAGGAGTTAGAGACCAGCCTGGCCAACATGGTGAAATCCCGTCTCTACTAAAAATACAAAAATTAGCCGGGATAATGGCAGGCGCCTGTAATCCCAGCTACTCAGGAGGCTGAGGCAGGAGAATCTCTTGAAACCAGAAGGTGGAGGTTGCAGTGAGCCGAGATCATGCCACTGCACTCCATCCTGGGCGAAAGAGTGAAACTCCGTCTCATCAAAGGAAAAAAAAAATGTTGTTCACTCTCTGCTTGGTTAAACCTGGCTTATTGGATCAGTGGAGTTGAAATTGGAAGAAATTAGTCATAGAGCATGAAATGCCTTGGCAGGTCTGTTTTACACTAAGGGTGTTAGAAGACATTTTTCCCAAATCATTTTCCCAAATTAGAAATATAGCTGTTTAAGATTTCTAGGTAAAATGCAGAAATAGTTTTCATAAAGTTCAGAGTACTTCTCAAGTTTTTATGGTAAAAGCTGTTCATGGCGGTATTTAATTATAAGAGCCCAAAACAATTGTTTTCAGAATTATTAGATTTTTAAAAATATTTCCCCAGCAATGACCATTACCACCCACTCTCACTCCTAGACACACAAACTTACCCACATTCTTCAGCCTTATTTATCTAAATTCTTGGAGTTCATTTTAACCATCCACTGTAGTCCGATCATCTAATTTCCATATTCATTGCTCAGTAAGGAGTCTAATCACATTAGATGTTATACAACCCTCTTGAGCATGGAAAAAATAACTTTTTGTGTCATGACGCCTACTTGAACTTGACTTAAAAACACTGTGGGAGACACTCAATAAGCATCCACTTATTTGACTGGTGGAAGGAGAATCTGGAGCTGTATCTGGAGGCAAAATTGCATATTCATCACTTTTCCAAATTTGGATATATAGATGAATTTCTCAGTGTTTAATTGCTCAGTGAAGCCTTCCCCCAAGATTCCTGTGGAGTGTAAATGATAGAAAGAGAATTAAAAGATATCTTACGGCTGTAAGCTTCCCTTATCTGGTCCTTCACTTTAGCCGAAACTCTGTTATACTCAGAAGACCCTCTTACCACTAAGTAGAAATGCTGGGAAATGTGGGTGAGTATGGAGCAGCAAGCCTCTCCTTTGCATAATTTGAGGTATATATAAAAGACATTTCTATGCCAGAATCACCCTCCAATAAAAAAAAAATACTAAAAAACAATGATAAAGTTCTTGTGCATGACCTTTTAATAGGTCTGGAGGTAAACTTAGTAGTTTCTGATTGGTGTTTTAAGAAAATGAAGTCAAATATAATGTTGCACTGCATTATTGATGGTGTCATATTTGATATTAACTAGGTGATTCTTTGTTGCTTTTCTTTTTTTTTTTTGAGACAAAGTCTAGCTTTTGTCCCCCAGGCTGAAGTGCAATGGCCTGATCTCAGCTCACTGCAACCTCCACCTCCCAGGTTCAAGTGATACTCCTGCCTCAGCCTCCCAAGTAGCTGGGATTACAGGCGCCTGCCACCACGCCTGGCTGATTTTTGTATTTTTGGTAGAGATGAGGTTTCATCATGTTGGCCAGGCTGGTCTCAAACTCCTGACCTCAGGTGATCCACCCGCCTCGGCCTCTCAAGCTGCTGGGATTACAGGTGTGAGCCACCATGCCCAGCCTCTTTGTTGCACTTTGAAGGGTAAGTACTCTTTCATGAAACCCTAATTTTGGAAAAACACAGGTACTTATTACCTCACAATGTAAAATATATTTTTACTCTGAGCAGAGACACTTACACTTTAAAAACCTTATTAGAATAAAGTATCATATCTTTGGAATTTTCTTGTGAAAAAAAACATGTTGCCTAAGCTCGAACCAAGAAGAATAATTGTGGAGCACTTCCTAGTGAGAGAATGCCAAGGCGTGGAGATACATCATGGAGGTAGTTCTGTCAGGACACAGCACTGGCGGCCTATGAAGTGATTTTGTCACAATGAGAGGGGTGAAAAGATTGATGAAGATTCTCAGTCTTTTGGCAAAGTACTGCTCAGGGGTGTCCAATCTTTTGGATTCCCTAGGCCACATTAGAGGAAGAAGAATTGTCTTAGGTCACACATAAAGTACACTAACACTAACAATAGCTGAAGAGCAAAAAAAAAAAAAAGGAAAAAAATCAGAAAGTTTACAAATTTGTGTTGGGCCACATTCAAAGCCGCACTGGGCCACCTTCAGAATGTGAGACTCAGGTTGGACAAGCTTGGTCTACATGATAATTTTGCTCTGGGCCAAGCCTGGAATGATGACACAAAGTAGTTGCTCAACAAATCTTTCTTGAACAAATGAATGGCTAAAACCCTGGAAGGTTGTATTTTGCCCAAAATCTCTAGTGTTACTTCAAATCAAACTCAGAACTAAACCTAAGTAAACATTAGAATAAATATAACCTAATCACTTGGATTGTGAGGCAATTTTCCCTAGTGCTCTATATCTCTACATTTTTAGTCTTTACCAGTTCTCAGGTAGGACTAACAATATTGGCCAATAAAAAATAATTTCCAGAAATTGAGTTGGGGAAATAAGACCAAATTATTTGAAATAGCTTTTTTCCTTTTTTTTTTTTTTTTTTTTTGAGATGGAGTCTGGCTCTGTCGCCCAGGCTGGAGTGCAGTGGCGTGATCTCGGCTCACTGCAAGCTCCGCCTCCCAGGTTCATGCCATTCTCCTGCCTCAGCCTCCTGAGTAGCTGGGACTACAGGTGCCCGCCACCACGTCCGGCTAATTTTTTGTATTTTTAGTAGAGACGGGGTTTCACCGTGTTAGCCAGGATGGTGTTGATCTCCTGACCTCGTGATCTGCCCGCCTCAGCCTCCCAATGTGCTGGAATTACAGGTGTGAGCCACTGCACCCGGCCTGAAATAGCTTTTAAAAAATTAGTTAGAAAATATATGTTAATCTAGCAAAATAACATATATAAAAATAAATGAAAATAATGAAACAAAAAAATTTTAGTTGTTTATATTTTTATTGGGTACAGAGTTGGTATATATATTTATGGAGTATATGAGATGTTTGATACAGGCATGCAGTGTGAAATAAGCACATCATGGAAAATTGCTTATAATTTTTAAGAGGATTTGGTCTAGGGTTCCAGATTAGATCATGACTCCAGTGTTACATGTATAATTGATACATTTTTGTGTTTTACATTATAATCCCAAGTTAAAATTTTACTGTTTATAATCAGCATTAGAACATTTAAGAAAACTTAATACTTTACTTGTTCATAAGTTAACTCAATTTGCAAGAATAACCTAAATAGTTAAGGTGTGTTTCTTAGTCAGACACTGAAATATTAATCAAAAGCCAACATTTACCTGGAAATAGATGGGGCTAGCGAAGTGAAAGGAAAAGCCTTTATTCATCAGGCATTGAAATTCTGTACTAATTCCTATAAAGAAATTAAAAAGTGATGCAAAACAAAATGAAAACCTAACTTTAAAATATCTCTACTTTCCCCTCAGCCCAGCAGCCTCCACTTTCTGTTTCAGTTGTGCTTTTTGGATCTTTTTTCTTTCTTTCAGTCAACAGGTACATTAATCAGTGTACAAAATTGCCACAGTTGTGGCTGGAACACAAATATAAATACATAGATTGTGATCTCAAGAAGCCTACGTATTGATTAATTGACCTAGTTGAGGAGAAAAGACATGAAGTACTAATAAAAAATAAAAATAAAAATGCAAGAGAGAATCTGATAAAGTGCAGGCATATGATAAGACAAGCTCTGTAGGAGGTCAGAGGTGGAGGCAGGTTTGGAAGGCACTACACAGCTGGGGCCTTGAAACACTGATAATAATCAGAAGGGTTGAATCATAAGGACAGATAAATTCCAGGCCAGAAAAATAGAGGGAGTAAAAACACTGACGTAGAAATGCATTCAACATATTCAGAGACTAATGAATGTATCTGTATGAAAACTGCAAAGGATTTGTAGAACAGGTATAAAAAAAGGATAGAAAAGTAGGTGAAGGAAGATGCTAGCCATTGCATCTAGCATATTGCACCTTCTCAATCTATTCTACCTATGTCTTTGTTAAAGGGATAGCTCTCGCCGACCTTGTTTGCGGGTGACCCAAACCTGCCCTTCTCCCTTTCTCCACCTCCCTCATCTGATTGGATCAGGAGTGGACACCTCAAAAAACGTGAATGAATCAGATTATCTGCTCCAGAAACTTGGAACAGGAACATTGTGAAACTGAGCCACTTATCTCTGGGAAGCAAAACAGCAAGAACATGGAGCCAAAGTCAGTGCTGTGGCAAACTAAAGGCAGGTGTAAACTGTAGTTATTATGGGAAAGCAGAAGGAAGTGTCCTGCAGAGGAAATCTAAATGAAATGGGAAATGGAGCCAAACATACAGAGAAATACATGGTAGAATGTCTAAACGGGTAGTCTCTGGGACTAAGCCACCAGGAATCAATCCTAGCTCTTCCTTTAACAAGAAAGGTAATATTGAGAAAGTTACTAAACCTCCACGTACAATAGAAGATAAAATACAAACAGTAATTACCTTTGCATTGTTGTGAGAACTAAATGATATAATGTGTAGAAAGCATTTAGAACTATGCCAGGCTCATGGTAAGCAATGTCGCATGTTATTATCATTAAACCATCACTTTCCAGTTCCACCTATATTGCTTACATGGAGTCCTTCTGGTCTTAAAAATTAATTCTCCCCTCCAAAAAAATCTTGTTTGTTTGTTGAGCTAGTTTGATCAGTCCTATTTGCCTTACAACAAAATACTTTCTAACCTGAATGACTTAAAAAATAAACTTGGATCAGACTAGGAAGACCTTGAGTATTAAAGAAGTTTGAATCCAGAATACTGAAATTTTCTTCTTTGATACCTTTTTTCCTCAATCAACCCATTTCCCAGAATTTATCCAAGTACACTGAATCTCCCACTTACCCCAAACTTCCAATTTGGTGAAATATGATAAAATAGAGAAAATTTACTTTTAAAAATTTCATCAATTCCTTGTATTAATACATGTTTGCTCTTGAAAAATGCAGCTTAAATTTGAGAATTTTGGTAAGCTTTTCCTGTAATTTTCAATGTGCTTAAAAATAGAAGAACTTAAACTAGGAACACACTCATCCTTTTCTATGGGATCATTGTCAAACCCCCACTATTCAAGAAACCCAGCATAAATTATCATTTCTAAAAACTGCTAAGAAACTCAAGTTTTCTGAAGTGGTCTGTTCGGAGGTTTGTGCATTTTTCAGTGATCTGTAACAATGTATTTTTCTTCCCACCATCTACTGCAGGTGGGTTCACAGGTGGGACCTGAGGAGCATTTGGGGATTTTACCACGCGATTTTAAATTATTTTATTAAAACAATCAGTTTTCACTAGCTGTAAAAAGATATCCCACTGTAAGTAGATACGTTTGCAGTTATTTTGGAGGGAAAACTTCAAGACTAAATTAGTTTTTGAAACCCATCTTAGATTTTCATGTGAATTATATTCAGGAAAGAAAACAGTGACTTTTACATGACCATCTGTAACAGTTTGTGGGTAGAACCGAAGTCTACAAAGTTGATTGTTTTTGAAGAATGAAAAAATAGTAAGTTACCATATTTCTAGTATTACAGCTTGATCTGAATATGATAATCCTAATTGGAATGTTTTCTCATACGTATTTGAATTGAAGAACAGTTTTTAGCAAGGTACTTTAAATTTATTTCATAATACTAAAACAGAGAATTCTTGTTTCAAAAAAGCAAATGATAAAAATAAAACTGTGTTTACATTCTATTCTCTTTTTCTAAATCTAAGTCAAACTATAAGTTAGTAAATTGATATTTTTAATACAACTTTCTTAACTTTTAATTTTGAAATAAGTTTAGATTCATGGAAAAGCTGCAAAGATAGCAAAATGAAGTCCCCATATACCTTTCACCCAGATTTCTTAATGTTAACATCTTACATAACCATGTAGCATTTTTTGAAACTAAGAATTAACAATGGTACAATACTATTAGCTGAGTTAGACACTTCACCAAGTTTTCCACTCATGTCCTTTTCTGCTCATAGATCCAGTCCAGTATGCTGTATTGTATTTAGCTATCATGTCTCTTTAAATACCTCAAAACAGTGATGGCTTCTTGGTCTTTTGTCATTTTTCATTACCTTGACACTTTTGAAGAGTACAGGTCAAATATTTTGTAGAATTTTACTGTATTGTCTGATGTTTTCTCATGATTAGACTGAGCTTATGAATTTGGAGAACAATGCACCATAACATGATGTACATGATAGCAAAATGACTTCTTTCTGGTAAATATTAACTTTTATCACTTGGTTAAGGTAGTGTCTACCAGGTCTCTCCACGATTTTTCCCTTTCCATTTGCTAATCTTTGGAAGCAAGTCACTAAATTCAGTACATACTCAAGGAATGAGGAAGCAAGCTCCCCCCTCCTGGAGGAAGGAGTATCAAATATCTTGTAATAATTAATAAATATTTGAAGGTAGACATTTTGAGGCTATGCCAATATCCTGTTTTTCTTTAAAGTTCTACCCACTAACTTTGGCATACATCAGTCAATTTGCCTCCTCTAAGTTATTGCCTGCTCTATGGTACTGTAATTGTGATATTCTATTTTCCTAATTTACTGTACATTTATTACTTGGAATTCTTCTGTGCAGAAGATGTATCCTTCTCCACCATATATTTGTTTATTACTCATTTATATCAGTATAAATTTGTGAGTTCCAGCATCATAATCTATTTTAGTCTATTTTATGCTGCTCTAACAAAATACTGTAGACTAAGTAGTTCATAAAAAAAGAGAAATTTATTTTCTCACAGTTCTGGAGGCTGGGAAGTCCAAGATCAAGGCACTGGAAAGTTTGGTTGTCTGGTGAAGGGTACTCTTTGCTTCCAAAAGAGTGCCTTGTTGCTGCATCTTCCAGAGAGGAGAAATGCTGTGTCTTCACATGGAGAAAGATGAAAGGACCAAAGGGCCGAATAATGCATGAAGACTCTTTTATAAAAGTATTGATCTCATTTATGAGGGAGGAGCCTTCATGGCCTAATCACCTTTAAAAGGTCCCCTCTTAATACTATCATATTAGTCATTAAGTTTCAACACCTGAATTTTGAAGGGAATCCATTCAAACCCTAGCATATAATCCAATACTATCATTATTTGTTTATTGCCCACGATGTTGCAGCTTTGGCCATTGGTGTCTCTTTCCGTTTGGCTCGAATGTCCTTTTGACATTACCCTATTCTTTTTTTCTTCTTATGTACTTCCTTACTGCACCAGGCTCATCTTGTATATTCCCTGCCCCATCCCTAGAATCAGTCATTTCTCTAAGAAATTTTATCTCTTTTATTAGAAAATGGTGTTTTGAAACAAAGATTAGGGTGCTAGGTGTGCTTATTGCTACTGGGGTGTCACTGCTTTTAGTACGTCTCAGTGGACAGACCTAGAAAATATATGTGTGAATATTAACCTGTGTCTGAAGTTATTTCTGTATTTACCTGCCTTTATATATTTAAAATAAACATGAGATCAGTGTGATATCTCTAATTCTGACAACATTTCCACATGCAAATTTTAAGTCAGCACAGATTTCATTCTAATATTTGTACACTTAGACTTGAAGGGTTTTTTGTTTGTTTTAACTTTTAATTTTTCATATATATTTCATATATATTTAAAGAGAACAACATGATGTTTTGATATGCATCCTTTGATTCACTAAGAGTTTCAATCGAGTTCATTATTTAAAATATCTTAAATTTTACATTACATTCAGCTTATTTAACATGATTAGCAAATGTTATATGGTACCCAGATAATTACATTAACTATACATTCTTTCCACAAGCATTTACTGAACACTTATTTAGCACCGAGAGAAGCAGCAATAGTAAGACTTACAAGCCCTCTTCCCTCATAGAACTTTTACTTACAGAGTAAATGCATTATGTGCATTATTTTAATTGCCTGTAATTTATTGAGTTTTGTTGTATGCTTTATCATAAATGTACCCTCAAAGTTCTTGCTCTCAGAATAGTTATGTTCTAAGGGGGCAATACAAAGGTATTATAAAAGTTTTGCCTTCATCACATGAACATATAGCATATCCATGTAAAATCCAACTTTTTAGGCTTAGTTTTTTTTTTAATATTTGTTTTTCCAGTTTTATTTTCCACTTTTCTTGTTAAGTCCTCAATAACTAATCAAATAAAGTACTGAAATGTTTATTACGATAAGTATTTGTCATTTATGCCTTTAAAAACTGATCACAACTGTCATGGCAACTTACATGATAATAGGACAAACAGACTTCTCAGCAATCTCAGTTGGAAATGAAGTCATGATACCTATATTTGCTGTATATACTTGGCCCCTTGGCTGCCAAACCCATACCCATCTGTTTAGATGGCAGATTGCCTACTCATATGTTGGCTGCTCTCTTGTACTATGACATGAGTTCCCACCAATGACAGCTAACAAAATACTTCAGGAGGCAGCTCTTCTTACAGGAGGTCCTTTCCCATGCCAGAGTTAGAGAAGCAGTTGGCATCCCGCATCCATTTAAACTTTGTTACACCTGTTGACACTTCCGTGCCAAAAGCAGACAATGCGACAAATGAACAACAGAAAGCACAAAGAATTTAATGAAACTAAAAAATAACCCTTCTTACAAATAGATGCTCAATTTCACTGCTGATTACTTGCACAGTTGACATTTAATTAATGGTAAATAAGGATTGCCTACTAAGTGACCAGAAAACAGTGTGCACTAAGGTATCCCACATCGCTGGGATTTTGGCCTTTATCACTCCATATTGTAAAAGGCAATGAAAGTCAATAATTACACTGAATACCTCTTTTGTCTATCCTTTAAAAAAATGCAGACACATGTCAATCAAAGAAGGTCCTTTTTAAGATAGCTTTCTTTTAAAGGAGAATTAAGGTAATTATTCCAATGATTCAGACTCCCAAAAGCACTGAATTACTTAGATTGTCTCTTTCCTAGAACAGGTGAAAGCTATGGGTGGAAGATGAGGGAGAAACATTGTAATACTGTCCCAGAACTTCATTTTAACAAACATCATGTGACCATTAGAAACATATATATTCCAATAAAATATATGTTCAAATATAATTTAAAATGTTTATTTATGATTATATGCTTTGTCTTATTTTCATTGCTCATCATTTTTTAAATTTGTTGTATATTGTATCATAAGTATACCCCTAAAATATGTCTCTGTAGATAAAATGAATTGTGTTTTCAAAAAGTGCTTTAGTTATAACAGTGCACAATTCTCCTCTTCCTTCCTTGATCCCCAACTCTTCCTTAAACTGACATGAGGCCAGTACATCAATTTTCTATTCAATACCCTGAATATGATTCTGGGAAACAAAAAAAGAATTCATTTGTAATAATAATGATAGGAAAATAATTAAACTAGCAATAATAATGTCTCAAAGGCTGCCAGGAGTGGATGGGGTATCTAGTTCCCTGACATGCCTGCAAGAATCATAATGATCTCTTCCCTGTTTATTTCACAAGTCAAACAGCAACCACAACTAGTATTTATTGAGGACTTATTGTTTATCAGACCCTATACCAATTTCTTTTAATTCATACCTTATTGAATATTCAAAACACCAAGTCAGGAAGCCTTATCTAGATTTCACAGATAAGTAAACTGAAGCACAGAGAGATTACACAGCACACCCCAGTACAGGGATGAGCAAATGGCACAGTGAGGCTTCAAATTCAAGCAGTCTGTCATTTGAGTCCCTAACCTTAACTTATATATAACTCCATCTCTTCTCTCACTACTTTTATTTTATACCTCACATCACACTGTATACTGAATTTTTAAAGGTCTTCCAGCATACCATTACTTGACCCACTGCTTTTGCCTGGACAAATGCCCTCTCCCCATCCCATTCACCTCTCAAGGATAACTTCCACTCAAAGTTCCAAGATGACTATCACGCTCTTTCTTGGTTTGATATCACTGTCCTCCTTGATCCCTCAAATTTAGGTTCACTGTTTCTTCTGAATGTTCCTATTATACACTACTTCTAACAGCATTTTTCATGTTGTATAGAAATTGAGAGAATTAATGTCTTTCTTCTGATCTAGATCCCAAATATTTTGAAAGGGAAGGCTCCATCTGTCTTGTTCACTTTGTACCCATAGCACCTATCAAGGTGAATAGCACCCAATATATTCTCAACAAGCATCTGTTCATTCATTCAGTCATTCAACACATACTGTATAACCTGAAATGTTCTAGGTCCTGGGAATACAACAATGAACATGACAGATAAAATGCTTGTCCCATGACACTTACTTTCTTATTGAGTATTAGGCTAGGTAGTAAATAAATAGAATAAACTACGCTGTAGATGGTGATAAATGTGATGGAGAAAAATGAGACATTGAAGAGGGTTAGAAATTATAGCAGGGCTAAGGACTTTACGTGTGGTGGTTAAGGAAAGCTTCACAGGGAAGGTGACATTGGATAAAAGACTGAAGGGAGTGTAATTATATCTGAGGAAAGAACTGTTCAAAGCAGAAAGAAATTGAAGGCAAACATCCTAAGGCAGAAGCATAAAGTGACTCTTGGATTTAGTGATATGGCGTTCATTAGCAACCTTCACAAGAGCAACTTTGGGGGATTGATAGGAGTACCCTGACTGGAATGGAGACATGAAACAGAGATAACAAGGACTTTATCCATAAAGAGCATCACAGAAAGGGTAGTTGGAGGAGGAAGTGGGTTTGTGAGAAGATTTTTTTTTTAAGATAGTAGGAATAACAGCATGTTTGTATGACGGAGAAATTCTAGTTGAGAGCGAAACCCTGATGATACAGAAAAGACAATAGGATTACCACAGGTATGAACTTGAATAGGTGAAATAAAAGGATAGCTTTAGATAAGAAGACCCCAATTAGCAGTTACTTTATGAAGATATTATAGAAGTGTATTTCTCTTTAATGTAACTGTCCAGATGGAACAGATCAGATCTATGATGTTGGGACCACAGGGTCAGGATCACTGGCTCGCACTGGTTTCTTTTTTAACCACCATTAAGCTTGTTCTGTTCTACTTTGTACAAAATGGCTCCTAACCACATTCTAGCAAGTGGGAAATGAAAAAAATGGGTGGAATGGTGTATATGTGCATGCTTTTTCTCTTCAAGGTCAAGACCCAGAAGTGGCATACATTACATTCCATGATCCTATGGCAAAACTGAAATGCAAGCCCATGTCTAATTCAAAGGCCATTGGAAAATGTAATTCTTATTCTGGCCTATGTGAGTTACTTAAAATTTGTAATTTTTTTTCCCATAGCAGAGGACAGTAGGGATTTGGCAGGTGAGAAATGAGACTAACGATTGTCTCCACTTCATGAAGGAAAAGTGTAGTTTGTGTGCCCAGAGAAAGGAGACTTTTCGATGCCTCAGGAGGGAAAAAATTAATAGGGAAATGATACCAAGTCTATGTTAACCCCCAAACCAATAAATCCCTAATTTTGTCAAAAATATGTTTAGCTCTCTTTCATGTCAAAATGAAATTGGTTAAATTATTTTGATTGTGGGATAACTAAAACATAGGTAAACAGATCCAGGTTGGACCCCAACTCCTGTACTTATTATGTGTGTGACCTTAAACAAGTTACCTTATTGATTTAAGCTTTAGTTTCCTCCTGTAAGAAATAGGGTTAACAATATTACTGGCCTCATCCTGTTGTTAGAAGGACTGAATATAAAGTAGTTGGGGTGGCCATAGTAAGTACACGGAAATCATAGCTATTATTTCCTTAACCTGACAAAAATTTCTTATGCAAAATTGGAATCAGTGGTTTTTATTTTATTTGTTTGACTATCTACATAACAATGAAAATATTGAGTCTATCATGTACTTTCATTCCAAAATTAGAATAAAGATATGTAAGTTATAAAGAAATTCTAAGATGTGACAGTAATAAGAGTTGCCCAATCATTCTTCTACGAAAGCTTTCTGACTTTTCAAGCCCACTTAGTAGCTCCTTCCTGAACCCCTAAATCCATCTTCTTTGAGTTTTTTATACTTTATTAATGCAACAATTATTAATTTCATGGTGATTTTTCTGTTTACCTGTGTTTTCCCTTTAAAGGCAAAGAAATATTCTTGAAAAATATTGACAAAAAAGATAGCTAGATAGGCAGACAGACAGACAGACAGACAGATAAACAGTATAGTCTGTAGCATTGTATAAAATTCAGTTTAAATTCTGGCTCTATTTTACACAGATTCGTGACAAAGTCCCTCTGAGTCTCATTTTATCTGTTTGTAAAATGGGAATGTTGATACCATCTTGTAACTGTGTTGTCATTTAATTAAATAGCAAATAATAATTTCTTTATTAGAATCCTAACATAATGAATTTTTGTTTAACCTATATCTCCTTCCACATGATTATTGTATTACTCACCACTGCATTCCCAATGTACATCCCACTGCACAGTACCTAGAATCCTAGGTATAAATAAATATCTGTGAATGAAGGCATAACGCCACTGATATGGTTTGGCTCTGTGTCCCCACCCAAATCTAATCTCAAATTGTAATCCCCAAAATCCCCATGTATCAAGGGAAGAACCCAGTGGTAGGGGATTGGATCATGAGGGCAGTTTCCGCTATGCTGTTCTCATGATAGTGAGTGAGTTCTCACAAGATGTGATGGTTTTATAAGGGGCTCTTCCCCCTTTGCTCCTCACTCTTCTCTTTCCTGATGCCTTGTGAAGAAGGTGACTGCTTCCCCTTCTGCCATGATTGTGAGTTTCCTGAGTCCTCCTTAGCCATATGGAACCATGAGTCAATTAAACTTCTTTCTTTATAAATTACCCAGTCTTGGGTGATATCTTTAAGCAGTGTGAAAATGGACTAATACAGCCATCGATGACAGTCTGACTTTTTTTTTTTCAAATAGTGTTAAAACAAGACACACAGCCTGAAATCTTTTTACTTTCTATAATTCTGTTATGGGGTAGCATCTGCCATGATGCACACCCTCCACTTCATTATTTTGTGCTGAAAACGGGTGATCCCCTATCTTTGTTTATTTTATGTCAGGGTGACCTAACATATCCTTTACAGGCCATTTGTATTGATGCCACAGGGCTTAAAGGGGTGCTGTGCAAAATTCTTGTATGCCTTCTGCCCATTGTGCTTGAATAACTCAGCAATTATTCTTACTGCACAATAGCCAGCCCAATGTATCTGTTTTAATCCGAATTGTAGGGTGTATTGGTTAAAGAGGAAGCCTGGTCAAGCACCACCTGCTTCATGCTGAGAAGCTTTTACAATGAAGAAGAAAGATTCTGTGATGCTGGTAAAAATAACAGAAACACTGAGTGTTTTTGTCTATGACTCCACCAATAGACCAGCAGCACTGAAGGATGGAAACTACTACTTCTCAGTGCACTATACACTTAACTTTTTATAAATGTTCTATTAAGGAATGAGAAATGAATTATTTTATATTTAGCCTTCATTCCCTTTGCTTAATCAAGATACTACATTCCATTTTGTGAAACAATATCTGATTGGTAGTATTTCTGAAGTGATTTGAGGCATTAATCCAGTGGACTGAGAAGGTTTCAATTTTTCTTGCAAACTACTTTTAAAATGTATCTTCCATTATAAATCCCTATCTCTATTCCTTTTACAGCTCTATTTGAAAATTAACACTAATTTCTTAAATGGTATCATAAAAAGAGCATATTTTACCTCCAAAAGAAAAATAAGATATAAAATGATTTTCAGGGAATCTTTCAGAAAAGTATTACAAAAGTTTTTTTTTTTTTGTTAATTCTCAGCAGTTATAAAATACCGGTACTACATTATGGTTTGGTCTGCTGTAAAAGAAAGGAGGGAACAATAGAAATTGTTTATGATTTATGCTTAGGTTAGGAAAGAAACTATATTTTAAAAGTGTGTGCATTCCACAAATTTCACTCTCCCTAAACCCTTTCCTCCCTTTATGAATCAAGATAAATCTCACTTTTACCCTGAAGGGAAGATTTACATGTCACAAAAAAAGAAACTCGCTGAAAACAAGTGTTCTCTACAGCAACAAAGTAGTCTATATGTCTGAGGGCTTTTAGTTTTTTCAACAACTTTTTTTTTTAAGATGGGAAAATTTACTGTCTTGGTGGAGGTTTTGTAGTTATTTTTTAGTTCATATTTTGTTACACTTTTGTTAGCCTTGAAAATAGTTACCATGGTAATAGTTCCATATATATCTAATCTTAGAGCTGAATTACAGAAAACCTTCCCACAGGGTTGCATACAATGCCATTGATGGGTTTCATCTAGCCTATTATTTAAAGTAGGAATTATTTTAAATAATATCAAATTGTTACATTCAGTTCATGACTTTCTTTTGTAACTCTCAAGTTGGTGAAATCCTTTGGTGTGTAATTTTGGAAGAACTGTGTTTAATTTCAGTTTGTATTTGTAATCACTTTTAACTGCTTTTCCTTTAATGAATGCTATATAAGCTTAGATATAGAAGATAGTTTATTTTCTTTTATAACTAAATGCTCCTAAGGATTTATCAAAAATAATTATTTTAATATAAAATCTGTAGTAGATCATAATATTGGCAACTTCTAAGAACCCTTAGATATAAGAAACTCATTTTTTTCTAAAAGGTACTCATAATATATGAACAAGAGTTATAAATAAATGAAACATGACCCTAGATCCACGGGCTTTAAAGGAACTTTGATAAGCCATCCAATTTAGTCTCCCAACTCCAGTCTTAACAGAAATTAAATCACCCTATATAGCAGTTTTCTAGAGAACATTCTGTAAAGATGACTCCTCTGCCCTCCACAATGCTATACTTCAATGTTTTGCAGCTCTTATTTTTCAGAAGGCCTTCCCAGTATTTAACCACTTTGTATCTGGCTGCATTTTAACTACCCCTCCTCCGGGTCTTTGCCATATTTGCTCACTAACATCTATAAGATACTCCTTAGCTGTGGAAAGAACTCAGAACTCAGGAAGTCTCTAATATGTCTTAAATTAAAATTTTGTTAACAATAGCAACCTGAATATGAAGAAATGTAAAAATAACATGCATTGACAATTTGAGATTACTAAGAACACAAGGATAAGTCTACCTACTGAATACTTATTAAAAAGGTTGGTTTAAAAGACTATTTACAAATGTTGAAAAGCCTTTTGTACACTGTGAAATAAAAGAAAGAGACAATGAAGTTGCAATATTGTAACATAGTGTGATTATAACCAGATCTAAAAACATGTGACTATAGAGGCTTAGAATGAAATACACCCATTAATTACTATGTTATGGTATTAAAATGTGAGTTTTTTATTCCATTTGCCAATTTGGGGCAGTTTCTTATTATTTTATAATTTTTTTAAGGGAAGAAAAATAAAATACATGCATCAAGTCGTACACGAAGCTAAGCCTACACCCATTTTCAATTTTTTCTCTCTTGCTTGCCTTCACCTTGGAGACTGAGGGAGCTCAACACAATTTAGAGCCTTTCCCTCTCAATCTCCAAAGCAGGAAGCAATGACCATGCAATAGAGCTCTGGAAAATGAGACATATGCAGACATCTGCTGGGATATATCTGAGAAAACATGCTTTTCTTCTGAAAAGAAAGACTGATAACTGTTGGTAGTCTTTATCTTCTATTCACCTATCTATTTTTCCAGCCTTGAATGGAAACTTCATTCCTAAACTGGAACTTTTATCTAAGAACCATGAGAGAAAGTCTAATGCTGGCCTTGATATAATTTAGCTACTCAGCCAACACCAGCAATTTTGAGACTTCTGTAATAAAAGTAAAATAAATCTCTATTTGTTTCAACCACTACTGCCCAAGTAATCTGATTATTATAGCCAGAATATTTTCTTTTTTATTCAATAAAGACAATATTATTGTGAGTCTGGTATCTTTATGTCACTATGATAAACCGTTTCACAAATTTAGTCTCATTCCTCAAATTGTTGGATTGTCAAGTAACTTGAAAACTTTTGTTTTTCAATATATTATAGATATGTTATTTGCTATATTTACTATAAAAACTTAAGGAAAAGGAAAGTTTTTCAGCTGAAAAGATTTGTGTTGTAATTAGATGTGAATTAACATGAAGATTTTGATGCTGAACAAATAAATGAATCCCGTCAATGATTATGTTTCCCCTATTATACCACTTTGTTTTACATATTCAGAGAAATAGTCTTGGCAAAATACAATTGTAATTTACAAAGAAAGTCACCAGCAGTTGAGTTTTTCTTGTTTTTGATTAACATTTAATAAGATTCCAAGTCTGAAATCATCAGCAAGTCTGCTTTTTAAAAGAAATTTTAAGTGACTGCATAGCTATTGTAACTGGCATTTTCATGGATACTATTCATCCTGATTCTGTGTGTGTTTTATATATTACTGGCCCATGTTACCAAGTTAGCTAATGCTGACTTCAAGAATAAAATAATTAAGGTATTTTGTGCATTCATAGGTGGATCAAAAGCAGAAAGAACATAAGCCAAGGAAATGTCCTCATCTTTATATAGTCCCTTTGAACTATATTAAAATTTAGGATCACTATTTTTATTTTAACAAGTAAAAGGAGATGCTGTCAGAATGAAGATAAGATTAGGATTCTATACCAAATGAAGTATTTCTGACTCCTAGTTCCTGTTCCATTCTTTATGCCAGAAAAGCAGCAAAGATACCACCCACATTGCTGCCTTACTGTTTTTCTGAAGGTCGTTCAGGCAAAGGACTTCCAGTGGAATTCTCTCTAATATAAATCTATCTATGATCACATTGTTTTTCTTGGTGAAACCAAGGGTTGCGTTTCTTCATTAGAAAATGGTCGCTTTTCCACTTTTGCACGTCACAGAAGCAATATCTTACTCTCCTTTTGCATGTGACACCCATGGAAACACTGAAATCCACAATCTCTGGAAACGTACGGAAGTTAGATCCAAATGCTTCAAAATAAAGAATCTAAGTTAAAAAGTCCATTGGCACAGGATGTATTTCCACTAATAATTTTGAAAACTATATTAATACTCCTCCGATGCTATCTTTTTTCTTCACAAAAGAATCCATTTTTCTTTTCACTTGCCTCTGGTGGGGGGAGTTTACCATTGAAAAGTGATTTCTTAGCCAGGGTGTAATAAGCTTAACACAAAGGAGAAGAAAAGGGAACTATTGGATGGGTTTTGAATTTATGCTTGTGGTTAACACTATGCAGTATTTAAAATAGTTTCATTTAAAATATCATCTTTTAAAAATATTACTTTATAATTATATGTTTATAATCTTATTTTTATTAAAATAAACAAGTTTAGCAACTAAGATCCATTAAAATCACCTTGGACTCAAATATAATTCTCAACATTTCTCACATGTTGAGAAAATAAATTAAAATAAAACTAACCAAAAAAAGTAGCACTGCACAGGCAACTAAAGCAAAAATAAACAAATGGGATTACATCAAACTAAAAAGCTTCTGCACAGCAAAGGAAACAATCACCAGGGTGAAGAGATAACTTACAGAATAGGGAAAAACCAATTTGCAAACCACATATTTGGTAAGAAGTTAATATCCAAAATATATAAGGAACTCAAACAACTCAATAGCAAGAAAACAACTGAATTAAACATGGGGAAAGGACCTAAATGGACATTTCTCAAAATAAGGCATGAAAATGGTCAACAGGTATATGAAAAATGCATAACATCACTAGTCAGCAGGGAAGTGCAAATTAAAACCGCAATGAGATACCTCCTCATACCTGTTAGAATGGCAATTGTCTAAAAGACAAAAGATAAAAAGTTTTGGAGAAGAAGTAGAGAAAAGGGAACCCTTTCACACTATTGACAGGAATGTAAATTGGTACAATCATTAAGGAGAACAGTATGGACATTCCTCAAAAAATTAAAAATATAGCTGGCATATGATCCAGTAATTCCATTTCTGAGTATATATTCAAAAGAAATGAAATCAGTATGTTAGAAGGATACCTGCTCCCCTTATTGCAGCATTATACACAGTAGCCAAGATATGGAAGATATACAAACAAACTAAGTGTCCATCAACAGATGAGTGGATAAAGAAAATGAAGTATACATACACAACAGAATACTATTCAGCTTTAAAAAAGAAGGAAATCCTGTAGGTGAGTTAGCCAACCACAAAAGACAAATACCACATGATCTCTTCACATATGGAATCTAAAAACCTGAATTCATAGAAACAGATACTACAATGGTGGTTACCAAAAGCTGGAAGGTGGGAAATTGGGGAGTTGTTGGTTAAAAGATAAAAAATTTCAATTAGACAGGAGAAATAAGGTCAAGTTATCTATTGTACAATATAGTTATTACAGTAAATAACAATGTATTCTATTTTGAAAATTACTAAGAGAGTAGATTTTAAGTGTTCTCACCACAAAAGATAGTATGTAAGTAATGCATATGTTAATTAGCTGGATTGAACCATTCCACAATGTACACATATTTCAAAGCATCATGTTGTACATGATAAATATATGCAATTTTTATTTGTCAATTTTTTTAAAGCAGCAACATTAAGGAAAGTGAGCAGAAAAGGCCTCATATTTTAATATTACCTATTTAGGAATCAAAATTTTCCTTACAACTGCAATAAATTTCACCAGCAGCATCTTCAAAGATGTTTGTTAAGTAGCTCATATATTATTTGAAACTGTCGTTTTCTTCTTAGTCCTTGCTACAGAAAATTTCCCCAATACAATCTAATCAAGTGAAATAGTTATGCCTTAGTAGGGATAAATAAGCTCACATATGTATGTTTGTGTTTCAGTAGGGATTAATAAACTAAACTGATTCATTCTCTCTGTAAGGTAGAAATTCTTTCTTAGAAACAATTGAGTAAGGAAATATTTGATCAATTTGGCACAGGTAATTCCAGACAAATAAGAAAATAAATAATCTTATATGTTCTTGTGAACAGATAGTGATAGTTCCAAGAAATGAATTAAGTAAATTTTAACAAGCAGTATAATTATTTCTGTTAGATAATCCTTAATCTCATCTACGAAACGGAAAGGAAATAAATGCCTTCCTGTAACAGGAAGAGTGAGAGAGTAAGAGGTATAAAAGATTGAGATGTGTCACTTTTCCGGTTAGCTCAGTGTGAGAAGCCATGAGCAGCAAAGTCTCTTGCGACACCGTGTACGAGGTGATGCAGGAAGTCCTGCAAGGGAACCAGCACAAGGGCCCCAAGTCTGGAGACAGTGGAGTTGCAGATTAGTTTGAGGAACTGTGACTCCCAGAAGGACAAGCACCTCTCGGACACCGTCAGGCTTAAGTCCACTCCCCACCCCAAGTTCTCCGTGTGTGTCCCGGGGTACCAGCAACACTGTGACGAGGCCAAGGTCATGGATATCCCCCACATGGACATCGAGGCGCTGAAAAAACTCAACAAAAATAAGAAACTGGTCAAGAAGCTAGCCAAGAAGTATGATGCATTTTTGGCCTCAGAGCCTCTGATCAAGTGGATCCCACAAATCCTGGGCCCAGGCCTAAATAAGGCAGGAAAGTTCCCTTCCCTGCTCACACACAATGAAAACATGGCGGCCAAAGCGGATGAGGTGAAGTCCACCTTCAAGTTCCAAATGAAGAAGGTGTTATGTCTGGCTGTGGCTGTTGGCCACGTGAAGATGACAGAAGATGAGCTTGTGTAGAACATTCACCTGGCTGTCAAATTCTTGCTGTCATTGCTCAAGAAAAACTGGCAGAATGTCCTGGCCTTATATATCAAGAGCACCATGGGCAAGCCTCAGCACCTATATTAAGGCACATTTGAATAAATTCTACTGCTACCAAAAAAAAAATTGTGATGTCTTTCAGCAGAATAATTTTAGCACCTGTGTCATCTCTGGCATTTTTTCTACATACTAGCCACTGAGATAAATTGGAGAGTAGGGTGTGATAGAAGGAAGAACAACTTAAATATTTCTAAATTTTAATTATTCTGATTTAAAAGATTACAAAGTTGAAATAGGTCAAAATTAAAACTCTGGGGAAGAGTTCCCTTTTTTTTTTTCATGTATGGGAAATGAAACAGCATCAGGTAAAATGGGGTTTACTATGTTTGCAAACTTTATTAGAAATTAGCTGTTTCTAGGGAGCTAAAACATTTCAACCGGTGCCAAGAGAGAAGGAAGGAGCCTTTGTATTTTGAAAGAATAATGAAACTAAAGAGTTGCAGCCAAATTTTGAAGGGGAATCCAAATGCTGTTTGGGGAAAAGATGACTAAATGAATTACCAGTGGCTGTTTGTCACCTCCCAAAGCTCTGTTGCAGAAAGACATTACTGAATAGCTTTTATAATCCTTTTTTCTTATCCTTTTCTTTCAAATCAAGTCAAGCAGAATATAGTTAAAGGCTTAATTTTCACTGAAATGTTCTGTGTGAAATTAGACCTTCTGAATCCAACTTTTCCCAGCCACCTTTTTTTTTTTAAGCAGTAAGTAATCAGTGTTTAATTACTTGACTTTTACATGGTACAACCTTTGAGACCTTGCTGACTTACTGAGGCATCGAGGTGTATTGTTCAGAATGTTCAAAGACCCTGTATGTCTTGTTAGCATTAACAATGGTAAGGTTAGAAATGGAGAAAGTGGACTGTAACATGCTCTTTGGGTACACCATTGCACACATGATAAAAGCCTCAAATTATTTAACTTCTGATGTTACCAGGCACAAGGTAGAAAAGGAAACATAATTCTGTGCTTTTTTTTTTTTTTTACTTACGATTGCAATTTTGTTACTAACTACTGGAGCTTGAGGCCCTCAGAGGAAAGATATGTCTTTGTGACTGTAAAACAGAAAATGAAGGCAAGAGTTGGCAGAAATTTTTATTCTATAAGAACAAACAAATATATAATTCAGAACCATAATATGTGCTTTAGTGATTATTTATAAGCTATATATATGTGAAGTGTATTCCCTCTTTTAAGGTTTTGCGGATGGAGTCCATAAGTGAGAGACTTCACACTAACCCAAATTAAAACTCATACTACTTTAAAATTGTTTTACAGACTCGATCTATGTAAAAATTATCATATTAATAAGGTTTATTTATTAATTTTTAGTCAAATGTCAAGACACCAAATACATTAATATAAGGAAGAGAATTATAGAGTGCTCCGTTTATACCAGTAATACATCAAAGACGTCAGTGTGATACATGGAAAAAATTAATCCAATGACCTTGTGTCCTTTTAAACATACGTCGTTTCTACCCTGCCTACACCAAAAAAAAATTTAAAAGAATTTGAGATTCATTCCTGTTTAGTTTGTTTGCTTGTGCTGCTATGACAAAACACCACAGACTAGGTAATTTATAAATAATGGAAATTTATTTCTGTTTTAGAGACTGGGAAGTCCAAGATCAAGGCACCAGCAGGTTTAGTGTCTGGCAAAGACCTGTTCCTCAAAAATGGCACAGTCTAGGTGTCATGACATGGCAGAAGAGCAGAAAAGAACAGACTCACTTCCTTAAGACCTTTTATAAGAGCCCTAATCCCATCCATGAGGGTTCTTCTCTCATTAATCAATTCTTAAAACCTATTTATGCCTAGTGTTCCATTATTGAAACTCTAAGCATGTGGGAGTTATTTATATCCTACTGCTCAAGGTCATCACTGAGGTCTGATTACAAAAATTCAAAAAATTGCAACCTCAGGCATAAATGGGCTAAAGCCTCCCGCCTCTAAATACTATCACATGGGCAATTAAGTTGCAGCATATGAATTTTGGGGAACACAGTCAGATCACTCCAATTGCCCACAAGCACAAATACATGTATAATAAAAGATCAAATAGAAATTTAAATTAAAAATTCTCAGAAATAATGACTGTCTTGGCACAGGCTTGCAAATATGGAGTTATTGGTCACTTATTTTGATCTTTCATGTTTGATTATTACTTGTGATAAGTTATGATCTCTTTCTGGTGTTTCCTTTTTCAAAAAAATTTTTAGCCTCTAGGGGAACATGGTAGTAGCCCATCCTACCACAGGGACTAACCACATTCATAGTAAGTAGACAGTGTTGCTTCTTTTTTGTTTAAAGATAAACTGCTAATTTCCTTGTTATTCCTCATCTATACCAACAAAGAAAACTAATGTATATTAGATATATTTGGGTGTTGTCATAATTTTATTCCATTTTGCTTTCCTATATTTTCTGATTTTTTGCAATAATTATGTATTTCCTCATCATCAGAAAAAGCAATAAATGTGGTTCAAATAATTGTTAAAACTATTTAAAGAGGAACAATCCAGAGAAACTACATTTGTTTTCGCCTAGAATTAGGTTAATTTATGTGGATTGAGAAACTTTGAAAGAAAAAAGTGCAAATCGACTAAAAATGAGGGTTTGAGCATGCATATTCCTTTTTTAGTGTGCTTTTTATAGCACAACCAGTGATACAATGATAGCCAATACCATAGAGTTGCCATGAGGTTCAAGTGAGATAAAATGAATGCACTAGCACTGAGATTGATGGGATTAAGCATCTGAAAGGAGGAACAGGAGGCAAAGGAAGAGCAGATGGAGGTGAAGACAGAGACAGAGTCAGAGACTGTGAAGGAGACAAAGATGAAGACACAGGCCCAGACCACCCAGACCAACCCTAAACTGTACTGTATCACATATTGCTGCTTTTCTTTCCCCTTGCAGCTGTAAGTTACATATCTGAATGACATGTGCAATTTTGAGTGTTCTTTACTTTTTATATACTACTACTGCTGCTATTTATAGATGTCTTTGCCAATTTAGGCCTTTTTCACAAAGAGAATCTCATGTAATCATTACAGGTGCCATGTGAGATGGACACTTTCTCCATTTTAAAGATGAAGAAGTTGAGATTCACAGAGCTTAACTAATTTGCCAGAATTCACACAAAACTAGAAGAGGTTCAGATAATTTAATCTCCAGTCTCTTTGTTTATATAGGACTTTTAAAATCTTAAGATAATTTCTATTTTTCCTTAAAAATTTCTCTTATTGTTCTCAGGGTTAAAGTAAAAATTTTAAAAACATATATATGAGGAAGTAATATGCACAGCAGCAAAAATCTTCATCTGAAACTCTAGTCTTTTTTTCAGGTTACAGTACAAATGATTGCATAAGTTTAATAGGGGCAATGAATTTCTTTTGTAATGATTTCAACTAAAATGAACAATTTTATTTTAGCTATACTCACTTCAAATATGGAAATTCTGGTCCCACTAAAACCATTCTTTCTATTCTTTTCAAGAAGGATACTCTAGAATTATTTCATTGTTGTTGATTTTGAAATGTAAATAAAATTAGGAAAATAATGAGCAAAGCAATCTACATTTTTATTCAGAATTTGTTAATTTGATTAAATTTATATCAGATATATTCTTTTTTCATGACATTGGAAAAAATATTTCTTCTTTTCTGCATCCTTTTTTTTGTACCCAAAATAAACTTTTTGGCTGCCTAGTTTATCTGCACTTGATGGATAAAAGAAAAAAAAAACGAATTTGCTGTTTAACAAAGGGAATAAAGCACCACTTTGCCAGTAAAACTCTTTAAATTTATTGAACAATTCTTCCACACTTTATAAATTATTTTTGTCTAATTGTAGCTACATTTAAGTTAATTTAAAGCATTTTCTCAATAAAAATATAATGTTTATATTTTTCTATTATTTCCAAATGTTTTGTATCAATTTGATAATTGATTAATCACCAAATTGGAAAATTGTCATTTTCTCTGGCAATTTTCTGAAAAAAAAAGTCAGTTTTTTTTCCTTTTTTAAACAAACAAATGCAACTGGTTTACTTTAGTTTGAAGCTTGACCTAACTTGGAAATAAACAACTGGCCTAATCATGTATACAGTGGAGATATTTAATGAACACCACGTAAAGTTTGCCTTGATGGACTATGACATAGAAAAACCCAGACGTGTTCATGTGTTCATGTAAGAAGTCACTGAGGCAACAGCACTTTACATTAACCATCCGCCTAACACTAGTCGATCCTTACGTCACAATCCAAATTGGTGATAGAGGTTGTGCAATGTGGGAAGTAAATTAAAACGTTCGAAAGCTCTCCTTAGTTTGCATTTCCTTTTTGGCTGCTTCCTGTTGTTTTTGTTTTTCTGCAGGGTCTAAGAATTTCCCCTGGAGATGGGGAGAGAGTGGTTGGGGAAAGCAAGGGAGGGTATATATTTACATTAAGAACAAAAATGAAGACAGATAATCTTTCCTTTCTAAACTACAATAGAGAAATAGATATATATATATCAATGACTTGGAGTGCCCTACCTGAATGACCAGAAACAAAAGTTACCTGTATTTTTGGGCTGACAGGCTGTGATAAACTATAAAGGGTTTCTGTTCAAAGATGATTTAATACTGTTAACAGGGAAAGAAGTCAGCAGGGCATATCCTTTGGAGACTAATATTCTTCATATCTGAAATGCAGTTTTGGTTAAGGTCTCCAAAAGAGACTTTTAGAGATTGGGAACCTACATGTTTTTGCAATGGAATTTGACAAGCGTGGCATTTCTTACATAGCAAGCATCCTAGGTAGCATTCATCAGAGAATCTTAGTTGCTTGTGGTTTTTGCTAAATTATAAGTTATTTGAAATACATAATTGTTTTTAAATTTTAAGTTAATACATATTTTAAAGTATACGTACGTGTGTGTGTGTGTGTGTGTGTGTGTGTGTTGGAGAGAGGGAGGTTGACTTAGAAATTGAACGCTTAGAAAATAGAAAGCAGTAAGACCTTTCTCTTTTTTTCCCAAAGCAGATTTTTAAAGTTAGTTGAAATATTCTAAATCCTCTTACTGTTACCAATAAATTCTGAGTATATGTCACATAAATGAGAGTTTCTTTCTCCTCAGGATAAATTTCCAAAAAAAATTTTTTGATATATACTATTTTGAGTTTCCTAATTTGCTTCTGACTGGATAATTTATAAATTTGAACCCAGAGCTGCTCAATTTTAATAGAAACTATTAACATTTGTCTTAATCTAGAAATAACATTATTAACATTTTACATGTAATATATATAAGTATGTATATATGCAATGCCAATCTTAATTTGTGAAGAATGTCTTTTCCTATGTGTATAGGAAAGGAAAATAATATATTTTTTCAAAGTTTGGAAAACTTTGAAAAATTTGATATTGTGGTGATAAAAAATGAGACTGTGCTCGATCAAAAGATGACTTCCTAAACAAGTTTTATAGCTAAAATAAAAACATTACTTAATTTTGCCCCAATTAGATTTATGTAAAGAAAAAGATCACTTCTCTTGTGAATAGGCAAATGCAATTGTATCAAGGATAATTTAAAATATATTTTTTATCCAAATCTTTTTTAAACTTTTTCTTCTTTTCCAGAGGTGAAATAAATGTTACAAGACATACATGAAATAAAATGTTGTACTGAAATATCTATTAACAGATTACTTAAATTGTCTGCATGCCAGCAAAGAAAGATCTTGTCTTAAAACTTCTTTTGGATAGGAAGAAATTTGATTCAGAAATAACTTAACAGAAAATTACATTTGGCTAATCATGTTCTAACATAAAACAATGCCATTCACATCAGAATTTATTTTGTAATTTTGTAAAATATATTTTGCTTTTCCAGCCAGTTTTGTTTGTTGGTCAAGTTTTCTGCCATAAAGGCATAGAGCATTGTCTTTGGAGGCATCAAATGGTCAATGTCTATGCCTGGAATCTCCTGCGTCTAAACTGAGGAAACTCAGACTCAAACTAACAAGTTCAGTTATTAGTTTGCCGAGGACATAGTAAACGCTATATAAATATTAACTCTTTTTTTTATATTATACTTTAAGTTCCAGGGTACATGCGTACAATGTATGGGTTTGTTACATATGTATACATGTGCCATGTTGGTGTGCTGCACCCATTAACTCGTCATTTATATGAGGTATATCTCCTAATGCTATCCCTCCCCCCTTCCCCCACCCCATGACAGGCCCCAGTGTGTGATAGTTTGCTCAGAATGATGGTTTCGAGCTTTATTCATGTCCCTACAAAGGACATGAACTCATCCTTTTTTTATGGCTGCAGAGTATTCCATGGTGTATATGTGCCACATTTTCTTAATCCAGTCTAGTATTGATGGACATTTGGGTTGGTTCCAAGTCTTTGCTATTGTGCGTAGTGCCGCAATAAACATACGTGTGCATGTGTCTTTATAGCAGCATGATTTATAATCCTATGGGTATATACCCAGTATTAACTCTTTTATCTGGAGGTATTGGTTTTATAAATGGGAAATACTACATCTAAATTCAGTTTGTTTTTGTAAAGTCCTATTATTTCTGCTTCTTAGTTGAAACATGACCCATTAATTTATGTTTGCCTTATTAAATGTATTAATTCTACATATAAAAAAAATTTGTTGATGATTATTTATTATATAAGTATTAATGAATATAAGAAAAGGCTCAAGAGTTAAATGTTTGACTAGTTTTTGTTCCATTCCCCATTCATCTTTCCTGCTAATTTTCTAGTCCCTTTTAACTTTGGAAGGAACTAGTCGATGGCTTTTACCATCTCTCTATCTGTCCATCTATTATTTATCAGTCTATATTCAGGGTGCCTATTGTTGCTGCACTGATATTCTGTCTAGTGCATATTGCAAACTTCAGAGAAACAGGCCCAAAGAGCAAACTAGCAGAAGGCCTTGATTTAGCAGATCGAAAGGGAAAAAATTCTCAGGCATGAGGGGCTTTGTTGTCTAGTGAGATAACAGAACAAAGAAAACACAGATGAGCCACAAAAGTTCTGAGAAATAGGAAAAAAAAATAGGATACCTAAGTAGTATTGTCAAATTTCTGAGTGTAGAAAGAAAATTGATGTCACCTCTACAAACCAAGTAGTTTCCCAAAGAAGTTGCTTCTAATCAAATCTTCACTGCATTCAAAAATGTCTTTCGAAGTAACATTTTGCATTGGTAGAGGCATTTTATACTACATGTTTGTAAAATACTTATTTTGGAAGTCTCACATTTGGGGAATTTCATAAAGATCCTTTCTAACTGAGCATTTTCTATAGGAGGATATAGGTTTATTGGATTAATAAAAGTATTTTAAAGCAAAGTTGTAACCCTCATAAATTAACAAATATTTTACCTACTTATTGATCAAATCATTGACAAAAAATTGTGTGAGTTAATTACAATTATAATGAATAATGAATTCCAGGTAACAGAGGCTTATGAAGCATAAATAACTATACTGACAATCACAGCTAATACATGTGCCATGGGTAAGATTCAAGTGCAGATCTAAGGAGATAAGTAAAGAACAAGTTACAAAATGTGTGTGTGTGTGTGTGTGTGTGTGTGTGCACGCACAAACATGCAGGGTTGCAGGAGAGGGAGGTTGGAGGAAGATCCAAACAGGCAGACATAACCCCAGGTAAAAAGAAGGTGGTGAACTTTTGAACCCTACTGGCATACAGAGCGTACAATATTACCCACCCACCCAATTCTGCAGGTAATACAATCACAGTTTGCAGTGTAAATGTTTAATCCCATTGGTGTGCACTTCAAGTAAGAATTTTATTTCATTGGTATTAGTTCCTTATTTTTTCAGTTGTTTCTAAGTTGTTAGAATATTTGTTATCAACAATATTACTTTGGGCTTCTATGCTTTTAAAGCATAAGGACCAATAGTTTAATTTTGCAATGAAAAACCCCTACTAATATATCAAGAATACAGAGTTGCCTAACATATGTTTTTTAATTATAATGGCATTTTCTGCTTCTATTTCCCAAATGTAAATAAAATGCTTGGTTATTTAATTTAATGTGAATTAAGTAGTTTGTGTCATCCGTTAATGATATAAAATTGAATAAAGTAATTCTTTTTAGAGATAAAAAGTCTCTAAAGATAAATCATTCTTTTTAGAGATAAAATGTTACTTTGTTACACCTTTTACTTCATAGGGCACAACTAAAAGAGAAAAGCAAATCATGCATTGTTCTTCTGATATTCTTTGTTCTCTCTAGGATAATCTGCATGTTCATTGTATTTTATCATTTTTTAAAAATCTTTAATACCAGTCAAACTTGGCAACCTATACCAAAAAGTAAGGTAATCATCTTCAGAGAAATTTTGGGTTAAAGAACATCTACTTTTTCTCCTTGTCTTTGTCAATAATATTAGCAGAGTGGAGGGAAAGAGTGCTGATTTAAAACATGTTAAGTACACTGGTAAAGAGTAACACCCACTAATAATACTAGTGTTTGTTAGTAATAATTATTAATTTTAATAACAATTGCTTCTGACTTTCCAGAATTTGCTGTGGATTATTTCATTTCTCTTCTGTTTACCCTCCCATTTTACAACTGAGAAGACAGGCAGAAAGAAGCCATCCAGCCAAGATAACAAAACTAGTAATTGTCAGAGATACAAGCCTTATACGAGGCCACATGACTTGACATTGCCTTCCTCTGTGGAATGTAATTCTTTGTGATTTAAACCAATAACAATTGCATTTCCTATCAGTGTTCTTTGTTTTCTGCTTAAATAATTTAAAAATCAGAAATAATAATAAACAAAACTATTAAAATTATGAAGTAAATTGAAGGGTTTCCCCGTAATGCGTGGCATTCATTTTTTTGTCACCCAACCTCAGATTTATATATATTTATAGATTTAATTGAGACCACACTGTACAATACAAAGTTGAAAATAGAAACTTAGAGGTGAAACAGTCACACATGAGTTGTGGTACAAGATACTATGCTCTATGTAGCTAAAAAATATTAAAATTTAACACATTAGTATCCCTATATCGAACACATTTTGTGTTACATTTAAGAATATTGAAGAATATTCAGAAAGCACAGTGGAAGATTCTTATAAAATACATTCATGCTTCTGGAGAACTAGGGTAAATTAGTTATGCAACTTACACACCAGTGTGAAGCAATCTGTGACAGCATTTAAGTTATATTTCTGGAAAATGTGTGGCTGCTTTCATACACACACACAGACACAACACACACATACACACAGTATTTAATCCTACATAATACGTATTATTTATATAGAGTACAAGCACACAATCCTTTGTATAAATATATTATCACTATATAGTTAGATTTATAGAATATATTTTAAATATGATAAATGCATATACTATAAAACATATTACATATTTTGTTTAATTGTGAGTTGCTTTGTTTTTTAATTTACATGTGATACATATACATGTCGTAATTCAATGTTGTATATAATAATTGTAATTAAATACATTTTTGTAACTGATCATTTTTTAAATTACAATAAATAATTGTCCCAGTTCAGCATTTTTACTAGGAATATTTGTTATCTCTAAGTATCTGAAAAAGATTTTTAAATATTCTAAAAGCCAATCAAAATACATTTGGGGTTTTCTTCAATCTAGTAGGGAAAGAGAAAGATTTGCTTTATAACATTGCAAATTTAATCCTTGTAGAATGACTTTTGGTAACCCTTTTGTCACTGTGTTAGTTTGCAGAATTAGCTTGAGTTTGTTCAGCTAATTCCTAGCCATTATAAAATGTTCCAGCTCTTTCTGATTTCCATATAACTTCCTAATTTAGTGACCTTCACTGAAGAATTCCAAAGATTGAATTATAGCATAAGCGAAGTTTTTTATTTTGAATTCTACTAAGCACAATACATATTTGTGCCATATTAGAAAATAAATGAAAATTTTAAAAAATTAACAGCTTTTCATTTGGTTATCACCAGTAGCATTTTAAAAGTCTTTATCAAGTATAAACCTTTATTTTTGCATACTTGTACCTAGTACAGTACCTTGCTTGTAGTAAATACATAATAAATATGTATTGAATAATTTATGTGGATATTAATTTTATTGGAACCCAGATACACAGAAAAGTCTGTAGATAGAATGTCATTTTTGCTCCTAATGTAAATCTAAATATGATTTGAAAAAGAAAAGGCAAAATTTTTTAAGTAAATCAAATTACATTTCTTAATAAGCTTCTCCTTTACAAACTTCTAAAATAATTAATAAAGCAATTATGAATAATGTTAAATTTTTCAAGAAGTTCAGACCCTTTGCAGCTAAGTTTAAACCAAATTACTTCCCATGAAAGACATTAAAGAATCATTTCCAAGCTAATCACTATCCATGAAAAATAAAATCATAATTGAGTAATATAGTCCATTAACACAGGAATTTTCCTTTCTTAACTACAAAATGCTATTTACTATTACTTTGTCGTATATAATATTTTGTCAGGAAATGCCAAATGTCAATTCTGCATCTATATAACCTCTCCTTTTATTCCATAATAAAATTAAATATACATTTTGAGTCAATATAATCCTTATAGTCAAATGTCTGCAACCATCAAACATTTGTAACCTGAATGTGTTTACTTACATATGTCCCATTGCTAAATAAGACACTATATTTTTTTATATTCCAAAAGACATGAAAGCCAGAAGCAATTATCTAGGTTTTATGTTAAGCCTTTGGCTTAATCCAGACATTATGTACTATTGGTAAAAATCAAAAAGGGACTGATGTTTTGAGTAGGGGAAAATTAATACACTTAAACGGAATTATTTGTATTACAAACTCTATTTCCCTCTTTTTATTTTTCTTCTTCACTGTGGGCAAACATATTAATCTCTTTTTTTAATTTTTAATTTTTGTGGGTACATAGAAGGTGTATATATTATGTGTTACGTGAGAGACTTTGATACGGGCATGCAATGTACAATAATCACATTAGCATAAATGGGGTATCCATCACCTCAAGCACTTATTCTCTTCATACATGTTAGAATAAATTACAATATTTTACACAAACCAAAACTGTATGTTTAAATTTTGCCCATCTCACATTTTGCAGTTGGGGTCCAGATTCTATCCATAAATTTCTAATAACAAGCCCACAAATTACTATCACAAAAATAGAATCCTAATTAATGCATCAGTTAATAGTCCTTCCTTCATAAAAATGACTGAGTTTGCTTTAATCTCCTTTTCCTGTATTATTTCTCAAAGATAATGATGGCAGCAGTGGCCCCTCTGGAGTGGCCACTGCGAAGACACTCGCTGCAGAAGGAGAGGTGCAGCGAGGGTTACACACTCCATGGGGCCCATGGGAGCCAGGAGCAGGCAGGAGCTCTGCCCCTTTCTGGGAGCAGCTACAGCCACCCAGCCATGGCTCCAGACCCAGGCATCCCTGCACTCTCAGGGGCACGGGAAGCTCATGCCCTTGCAGTATCCAAAGTGCCTGCTCCTGCAGTCTCGCCTCTCCCGACTCCCGGTACCCGCTCCAGTGCAGAGCAAAGTTATGGCTGAGCCTGGGCACTGTTGTGACTCGGCTGGGTGTATGCATGCTTGAGGTGGCACTGACACTCCAGCCCCCTGACTCCCAGGGGCACTCCCTCTGGACTTCAGGTGCTGACAAGTGTGGGAGGGAGGCCAGGGGTGGCTGAGGGTGGCTTGGCGCAGGACTGCAGGCGCCTCTCGGCACCAACAGCCTGGGCTCCGTGGACAGCATGTTGATGGTTGGGGTCAGATAGGTGCCTGGGCAGAAAGGGGCGGGTCCCTGGTAAAACCCCACCTTCAAGTTAGGAAGCCTGGGGGCCAGGCTGCCAGTTCCAGGTGGAGTCCACTGCCCAGAATGAGAACTTATAGTGCTTTTTCCAGGTCTGCCCACGGCCACCCATGGACCAATCAGCATGCACTTCCTCCCTTCTGAGCCCATAAAAAACCCAGACTCAGCCAGACTTACACAGATGTCAGGACTACCAGCTGCCAGGAAGGAAGGAGCTACCCACTTCAGGTGTCCTCAACTCATTGGGACAACCCACCTGCAGAAAGGAGCTATCCACTACGGGTCTCCTCAGGGCTGTTCTGTTGCTTAATGAAGCTCCTCTCCACCTTGTTCTCCCGCCAGTAATCTGCATACCTGATTCTTCCTAGATGTGGGACGAGAACTTGGGAGCCACCAAATGGCAGAACTAAAACAGCTGTAACACAAACAGGTCTGAAACATGACCATGCTTGCCTCATTGCCAGCAATGCGAAAGAGAGAAGAGAGAAGGAGCGAAGAACTGTGGCCCTTCAGAGAGCCCAAACCCAGGAGCTCCCCAAGGCAGGCCTATGACACCCTCTTTGGGGCTCTGCAGTTCCTGGCATTGCCAGGCTTCTGGACACCACCAGGTTCCCAGTGCTCACAGTGGAAACACAGTGCTCACAGTATGCCTGGTCCAGCCACAGCCTCACAGGCAGTCAGCGCCTATGCTGGTGCTGCCACAGCCAGTACACCTGGCTATGCACAGTGGCCAGACCCTGTGCTCACTCAGACACCCCTTGCCACTCCACGCCTCGCTTATCCTTCACAGACGTGGGATCCAGGCCAGTAGCATGAGCCAAGCACAGCCTGATGGGCTGAGTGGGCAGAATGAGCCCAGCAGCCCAAGCAAAACTCAGGCAAAGGTGCCACTGGACACAGGGGATTCTGGCTGGAGAAGGAATACCCTAAGGATCCCGTGACAATAATATTTTATGTTCTTTCTTAGAGTCTCTTAGAAAATATTATCTTGTATTCAGGCACTATTTTACAATGTTTTAAAAGTTCCAATATTTAATACTTCATTGAACTTTTAAAAATGTGTTAGGGCCGGGCGCGGTGGCTCACGCCTGTAATCCCAGCACTTTGGGAGGCCGAGGCGGGTGGATCATGAGGTCAGGAGATCGAGACCATCCTGGCTAACAAGGTGAAACCCCGTCTCTACTAAAAATACAAAAAATTAGCCGGGCGCGGTGGCGGGCGCCTGTAGTCCCAGCTACTCGGGAGGCTGAGGCAGGAGAATGGCGTGAACCCGGGAAGCGGAGCTTGCAGTGAGCCGAGATTGCGCCACTGCAGTCCGCAGTCCGACCTGGGCGACAGAGCGAGACTCCGTCTCAAAAAAAAAAAAAAAAAAAAAAAAAAAAAAAAATGTGTTAAAATAACTCATTTAGCACTTTTCTATGTGGCTATATCCTACATTGTCAAAGTAGACATAATAATAATTTGAACAATGTTATGATTATGCAACTGTATGCTACTTCTTTCAAGAGAAGTAAAATGACAGAAGTTCTCTAACGATATATTTAAAATCACATTATTATTGACATTTGGTGGGTGGTTTATATTTTCAAATGGAAGAGATATCCACTCAATGTAAAGATAGATCATTACTTTTCAGAAGAAAAAGTAAATCAAGGTGATCCTTTTAGAGTCATATTTCTGCAATCATCAGGTATTTATGAACCGAAATGTCTATACTTGTGTCTGTCTCATTTTTGAACAGGATGTTATTCAGATCCCATTACTGAATAGGATTTCTTATTGCAAAAGACGTTAAACATATTAAAAGTTACTAAGTTTTTAAGTTGTCTTTAATTCAGACATTAGATTTCTTCTCTTAGATTTCTTCTCTTAACTGCTTAATAAATTTATAAAGCAATACTTTCTCAAATACTTTGTTACCTTTTAGAAATTGTTAAGGTCATTTTCTAAAGCATTTTGTACTGACAGAACGTAAATATCTTAGAGACAAGAATAGTTTATGCAAATTTACTTCTCTCGGTGTCTGAATATTTTTCACAACTTTTGGCAGTTAAACTATAAAGTGTAATCATAAAGCTAGTGCTTTTAAAGGATGCTCAGAAGGATTGTCATTGTCATTGTGTGGACTAAACATTTTTGTAGATTTGGGGTTTTGGAATGTTAATACAACTTAGAGGAAATAAAATAATCAATACAATGCAGCATTGACTGGTAGAAACAACTACAAATAAAATTTTGAAAAGTTGAAAGACTCTACATATTAAATGTTGGTCGCCTTCCTAAGTAAACATTCCTTTTATCTTGTTCTTTCATGATTGCTTTGCTTAATGTCTAGCATAAACTCAAGCTATGAAGACCATTGAATAGTTGGTTGTCTCTGGCTGTGGTTGTCTCTAAAGGAGACTGCTCCGGAATAGACCCTTCCACTTGGTTTATGTGGCCTTTCACATATCTGGCAAACTGGCTGTTTCAATCAGCATTCATGGCACCTTTACACTCTGATAAATCTTCATGAGATGTGACTTTATAATGTCCTATAATCTCTACTAAATTAAGTGTTAAATGTTGGCTTTAAAAGTATATATTTAGGGCCAGGGACGGTGGCTCACGTCTGTAATCCCAGCACTTTTGGAGGCTTAGGTGGGTGGATTGCTTGAGTTTAGGAGTTCGAGACCATTCTGAGCAACATGGTGAAACACCATCTCTACCAAAAATACAAAAAATTAGACAGGCATGGTGGCATGTACCTGTGGTCCCAGCTACTCAGGAGGCTGAGGTGCAAGGATTGCTTGAGACCAGGAGGTGGAGGTTGCAGTGAGCTGAGATTGTGCCACTGCACTCCAGTTTGGGTGACAGAGTGAGACTCTGTCTCAACAACAACAACAAAAAAAGTATATATTTAGGAAGACCAGATTAAACTATTTCTCTAGCTTTCTCATAAAGTGTCTTTAACTTTTTGTATCATGTTTTCCAAAGTCTCTAAAGTTTTGTTTTGTTTTTGTTTTCAGAAACATCATTCCCAAAGTACTGATTTAACTCCTTGAAAATGCTGTTGTTACTGTAGAAGTACATATATTTTATAACATATGATGTTTTACTAACTTTGGTCTTAGACAAGACAAGGTATTTTCAGAATAAAGTTAAAGCTTAATAACATGATTTGAAACCTTTAGTGATTTAGATTTTGCTTTAGGCTCATTTCTCATGACTTCATCTGGAATTATATTCTGTTCATTGCTTGGAAGGTGTCATGTGCCTCCTAACTTTCAGTGACTGAGAATGCTGTTGTCTCTGCTTGAGACATTAACACCCCTCCCACCCCACTCATATCCTCACACATGCTTTCACTTGGCAAATTCCAACTTAGCCTGAGCTGATAAGGTACTTCTCCACAAAGAGTTCATTGACCTTAAAAAAGCATGGGTTTAGTTCCCACCAAATATATCAAAATAGAACAGTACAATGAGCTCCCATGTAACTGCCAACTAGATATACAGTTATCATTCTGCCATTCTTCATCTCAGTTTCATTACAATACATTTGAATTTACTATATATTGCCTGTATTACCCCTGGACTCTAACTTCAATGTTGTATGGGACCAAGTCAGTCTAAGTCACTATTTACACCTATTGCCTAGCCAACACAGTGCCTGGCACAAGGCGAATTCTTTCAATATTTTATGAGCTTCACATTTTCAATAGGAACAGACTTTAAAATATATTGATGTAATTAGTATTTGAGACTGGAGGTGTCTCAAAAATATATTTTTTATTTTTATTTTTTTGAAATCACTTAATACATACCTAAAATAATTGAAGTTCATGAATCAAGAAAGAAAGCAATATGCTAAGGATGCAACTAATATAGATATTTTGAATGAACACCAATGTTAGCTCTGAGCTTCTTGATAAGCACAGCACAAAGGAGTTCCACGTGGTATATAATTCTAATTATCAGGAAGAAATATTCCAGTTTTTCAAGAAACACAATTTATTTGAAAGAGGGAAAGAGTCCTAAACTATAAATGTGATTTAGCTCACAAACTTGATGCAAAAGGTATTTGAAAGTATCACTAATGATATTTTCAAAAACATATATTATGATTTGTTATTGCCTATCAAAATCAACCATATATATGGAGTATACCCATATATACATGATATGAACATTTTCTGTTTTATAATAAGAATAAAGAACATTCTTTATTCTCTATTATGCTAGATGATAGAGATTTTACTTTTAAATAAATTAATGGACATATATTAATTTAAATACATGGACAATCCCACATGATTTCTAATAGTATTGGACAGTTCCATAAGCCACACGTCTTAGCTTTTGATCTCTCTGATTAACTTGTCTATACAAGTCACTCTAATTACCCAAGACTATAATTGGCATTCAATAAGGTAGCAGAATGCACCTGCCACTCTGACCACTGCCGACCTTCACCATGAATTAGCTAAAAAATCCATGTCAGGCAGCTAATTGAATGAAGCTGTAGACTTGTAAGCCATAATGGTTATGATTAGTGTGTAACATACCACATAACGGTAATGATGTAATCTAGGTCTTGATAGGCTTCAAACCGAAGTCTAAGGAGTCATATTCTAAATGAAGAAGAGAATAAATGACAATAAGAAAACTTTAAATAGACAGACAGAGCGCCCTTGCCTCTGTCTCCAAAAAGAGAAATATTCAATTGGATTTTAAAGGTTGGTGCGGGTTATGTGGCATCCTTGTACTTGATAGCTCGTTAAGGTAGATAGGCCTGTCAGCATTTCTTTCATTTAGGCCTGAGGAGTTATTCTTCATTTGCAGCAGGGAGTGAGGAGTCAGATTGGAACTGCTGACTGCTGCCTTTCTTAGCAGCCGGTGAACTGCACATTTCAATGAGGTACATGCTGAGCATGGCACGCGTATGTGGAGGGGCTTACCAGTTACTTATTTGTTGCATGTTTTCAGAGCCATTACAGTAATGAGATTAGTGATGCACAAGCTGATCATGCTTTCTTTACACATTACACTTTGTATACAAGTGACAAATATGAAGTGAGCAGCCAGAAAATGTCATTTGGTGAGAGAAAGCATGATGTGTTGGTGTTCTGGCTTAAGCACACACTGTGTGCAGGGTGGAAGAGCTTTTGTGGACTAGATGAATCCTGCTGGGCTCTCAGCCCTAGTGCTCACAGATAAAAAAAGAAAGCTTGTCCTGTGTGAAATTTGCTCCTGACTCTGGAGCCTATCCCATGCTTGTTAGGATATATGACATCTTATAAATATCCTCAGCAAGACACGTTACTGAACCTCTAAATGAGAAAAATGAAGCCTTTCATAGCAAATGCATCAGCCCAGTGACCAGCTTACTCATGAGCAGAAATTGAACATGTGTCCAGAAATGCAAAGTGAGGTTTCAGAATGTGCTGTCAGTCCAGGATACTCTAAATGCGGTTGGTGCTTCTGTGATTCAACAGTATCCTGTGGTGTGTAAATGGGTTACACTTCTGGTATTTGTTTCCATAGATTCATATATTTTCTGTGTAAATGATACTCGAAGTTAATGGTGACTAGAAAACTGCTTAATGGAACTCAGGAGCAGATCTGAGAAATGGCATAGGTCTACCAATAGAGCTATTAGAATGGTCGCAGATTTGCATCACAGATGCTACATTAACCTTGCAAGTGCATAAAGCCTGGTGTGTTTATACTGTATCCTGTCAGTAGGTTTGCAAGCTGTCTGCCATAAAACCGAAGTCATGGTATGGGACTATTAGGGGTGTAGCATATGTCTACTATGTGTAATCAGCATGAAGGGTAGATGGAATGTTCTTTTACTTTGGTAGATACAAGTTAGGCTAAGAAATATGTTTTCAGTTTGAGCATAGATATTGATAAACAAGGGAATTCAAGATCTTGCATTAGAGGATTAGGAGTATGCACAATAAGCAAAAACCGGAAAAGAGCATTATGATTAAGGAAAATATTGTGAGATCAATGGTAATCTCATTAAGTCACAATGCCAAAGTTTGTTTCCAATATATGAGTTTGAATTTGTATTAAATGCTTTTGAATTTAATAACTGGAAGCCAATTCAAATTACAGATTTACCCAGTATCTGGAATTTTAAAAGAAAAGAAAAGGTCATGGCCTGAAAATGATTTTTAAATATTTCCTGAAAATAGCTTCCTGGAATTTATAGTTGGTATTGTAATTACTGATTCCAATCCAAGGAATCGAACACATTTTTAAAATAAGAGCCTACTCTATTTCCTTAATTACGGTATTAGAGTGAGGTTTACATGGAAACTTGTGTGTATACAAAATTTCTCCTCTAGCACAGTGTTTTTTTAATTATCTATTACTCATTTGATCAAAAACACTGAGAAATAAGATTTTTCCACTAAAAAAGAAAAAGTCTTACCAGCATTTTACGTTCCAAAATTTTAAAATCAGAATTTACAGGAGTATCCTCAGATATTATTTACACTGATTTTACCTCACTATATTTTTTTCTCTGTTTTGAATTCATATAACACATTCCTATACTCTGGCATATGCATATGCATATATGTACATGTATAAATATACATATATGTGTAATGTCATTAGTCTTTAAGATAAAATTGTGACAGTAAATGCGAACCAAAATTGGATAAGTATTGCAACCTAATATTTCCAAAAACAATCAGCTTTGGCATTATAGCAGATATTTGTCAGTGTTTCCAAACAATTCATAGGAGAGTCAGTTTGGCCATCTTTATTCATAAGACAGTATTCAAAGTTTTAAAATGCTTGCAATATTATAGATAAATGCGAATACTGATCTAGATGCTTAAGCAGAAAATATTATTAACTATTTGTGGCTTTAGATCCTTCCAATCAACTTTTCACCTCATGGGCCACAAATGTAGTTTGAAAACTGCCAAAATATATCTACTATTGCATTTAACACATAAAATTAGCATCCTTTGAAGCTCCAATTATTATAACACACCTAAAGAAGGCTAATATTTAATCCTAAAATTTAATTCCATGATTGACTCCACTTCACCTATAAATTTCAGAAACCTACATATGCATACTGGGATAATATTCACACTAGTTGAGCTGCAATGTATCTTATACAGAATGGTGCAGTAAGAATGAAAGAATTGTCAGCTATCATTCTAATTTGCTTATTTCTTTGCAATTTGTTACATTCTTAACGGGTTTGATGAAGGGGAAAAATGCACATATGAAAACTCACCAAAAAAAAAGTATTCTAAAGATGGGTGAGGATGGGGTAGAAGAGTTAAAAATCCAAAAGAGTTGTTTAATAAAACATGGTATTATAAAGTTTGTGTAAATTTAAATCACCTATGTTAAAACAGAAAGAAACCTAATTCTTTAAAGGTATAGCTACAATCAGTATTAAATCTAATAGGGGTAAGAAAACAATAAATACTAAAAATTTGAAAATGTCCCCATCCAAATACACTTATCTTCTTATACCAACTCTATTTCCCTCATCAGGTTAATTCAAATTTAAGTTCTATCGAGAGAGTAAGAAGTTTTATATTAAAGGTGAAGGGAGAAAAGCAAAACCTTCTTTTTCGTAAAGATTGTTTCAGGAAAACACTTTATTTCTAAAAAATAATGGATAGAAGCTACTGGTATAAATTAATATTTCAAAGGGTAATAAATGCCCACCACATTAGGAATGGTTTAAAAAGTCATACCAGGGCTTTGCGAATATGTTTCCATAACCTGGACATAAATCTGATTTTTAAAATATTTCCCATCATATTTGTTTGAAAGCTTTTTTAAAAGTTGAGTGGATAAAAAAAAGTTTGTCCTTAAGCAAAAGTTTTGTATATTCACAGATGCTTGCATTATTAATTTGATTTTGTTAGCATTTCATGCACAAAGGATGAAACCATCGGCCATTCTTCAGAGCACATTGACATAAAACATTAGGAAACACAAGGAAGTCATAGAAAAGACTCCACTTAAGTTATCACCGTGCACCTAATCAAAAAAACAAGGAACCACAATCACATCATGGAGCCTGGTTGATCACAATCGCATCTGCATGAGAGAGATAGTGGCACTGACGTACTTTAGTGACCAAATGGTTAGATGAGACAAATCTGGCCTATGTCAAATTGCGTTCCATTTCATATTATGCATGACAAAGGCAGCGATGCTAATAAAAGATTTTTCCATGGACAGGCTCAGTGTCTACCACAGCATCACTGCTTTACTGTTATAATCAATTTAAATGCAATTACATTCATAAATTTAATGATCTATTGTTTTTAGAAACATGTCTTCTAAGAGCTTTAAAAAACATAAAAATCATAATTTTAAAGTGGGTAGGTATTAACTTTGAAAAACCATGAAGTTAAATGTTTGCACTTTAAATTTTGAGTAAAGAAACTAGAAATTTTGTGGGAAAGTATTTTAATTCAATATACTTTAAAGTTCTTAAGGATCTTAATAATTTTGGCAATCAATCTGTGTCTACTTGAAACCAAAGAAACTGATTATTCATTGAAGTAACCAGTTAAGCTGATTATCTTCTAGGTAATTAAAAAAATAGTTGTTTCATTTTATTATCCAAAACCAGAGAAATAATATGACTATGCCTACTTGCTGCTGACCATAGGTAAAAATAGAAAAATATATATAGGTAGTTGCCTATATATTGGGAATGCCTAAATTTCTCACAAGAATAGTTAGTTCTTATTTCTAAATAAAATGTCTTTATTAAAAAGATATGCTAAGGATTGGATTTTTCCTTATTTTCTTAACAAATTAAAATCTATTTAAACTACATTAAACAATTTGAAAACAAACATTACAATTTCTATCCTTTTGATGGCAGCTTACTTTTAAAAGGTTTCTTTTTAAAAGAATAGAATGCATTGGATGGGATTTCAGACTCCTTAACTAAGACTTCTTGTTAAGATTATTTTAAACTGTCTTGAATTTAAGCTTTTATGTTTCCTGTATTTTCATTTAATCTCATCTATATTTTATATTTACAATTTTTTCATTGTGAATATATAACCATACTGTAGATAGCAAGTTCAGGGAAAATTATCTGTTAATTGCAATTACAGTGTGTATATTTAACGTTCAATGTGTGATCATAAAAAAATAAGAATCATTCTGATTTTACTGCTACTAATGTATAAATATATTACAATTGTTGTATACGATTAGTCTAAATTGTTGAAGTAAAACACATTCATCTAGGCTGAGCGCAGTGGCTCATGCCTGTAATCTCAGCACTTTGGGAGGCTAAGGTGAGCGGATCACGAGGTCAGGAGATGGAGACCATCCTGGCCAACAAGGTGAAACCCCGTCTCTGCTAAAAATACAAAAATTAGCTGGGTGTGGTGGCGCGCGCCTGTAAGCCCAGCTACTTGGGAGGCTGAGGCAGGTGAATTGCTTGAACCTGGGATGCAGAGGTTGCAGTGAGCTGAGATCACGCCACTGAACTCCAGCCTGGTGACAGAGCTAGTCTCCATCTAAAATATATATATTCATCTAATCTGCTCACCTGTATTTTTGTTTTTTATTATTTGTTGTTGTTAGCCTATGAAGACACTGTATGCTGTTTATTTTTTTAAGTTTTCTGTAAATTTTACTCAGTACTTATCTCAACGGGTCTCTTTATTAAAACTGGCAAAGCTTTTCCTTTTGGTTTTCTGAATGCAGATGTATGTCCACCATTGAATTCACAAATTTAGGAAAATATATATTTCATATATTTATTCAAAGTGTCTAAAACTGAAAAAGTACATGTCATTTATATTATTCCCAGCTCTTTTTGGTTTGAGCCATAGACTGCAAATTAGTTTTTCATAGTAAAACTGTAACATAGACATCTCTTCATGCTTACCTGCTAACTATTCCCTGACTTACATCTTCAGCGTGCCATTGAGGTAAACACGATGATTTATTCTTAAATACTTATGTGGATGGTAACAAAAATGAAATAGGACATTGCTCAAAAAAGAGGGGAGGGAAGAGAAAGAAAAGGAAACTTCCCTACAATGCTGCTAGCCAGGCTTTATCTTTATGACACTAACGATAATCCCCTGTGTAATTAACTGTAGAGTGGTTATGCATGCAGCATGCAGCCCATGACAAGCCTCATAGAAAAATACATCAGTATTAGCCACAGGTGAATTCGTTTAGAAAGATTAATGACTGCACCTGAATTTTAATGTCTGAAAAGGGATGGAACACTGAATCCTTAATTAAAAAGGTGAATGACTGGTATGGTTTGTTTAACATCACAAATTTCAACAGGAGGGTTTTGTATTCAAATGAAGTATGCAAAAGGAAACTTTCCTTAGAAACTGGTGAAGTAGAGGTGAAGAGCAAAAATGTTTTATGTGCTTTACTTTATGTAAATCGATACATGGATCAGTTGCTTTGATATGGATCAAATGTGGTGTAATTATGGCTCTTTTCTGTTTACAGTGAATGTGAAGCAAAGAATTCTTACAGAATATGAGCCAGAATTACCCTCAAACCGAAAGAAAGTCAGAGTAGGGAAGCTGTAAAACCAACAAGTGATCTTATTCTTTCCTTAATGGGAAGCAGTTTCTTCTTCATTATTATTTTACAGAGTTTTTTAATGAACAGAAAGTAACCTTGAAAAACAAGTTGGCAACGCCATTCCCAGAAGAGTTTAACTCCGCTTTGCAAACTCTTTTACTGAGTGTGTTAAAGCTTATCACAGACAGATTTTTCAATGACAATTTTAATCTCCTCTTTTAGGACTTAGATGCAGACAAGGGGAAGGATGACTTGGGCATGCTTCTATCTGGAATAGGAGGAAACAATTGAGATTAATCATCTGCCCTTGGGGTAAGAATAGCAAAAAGCAGATGTCCTAAGCAAGAATGACCTAGAATATTACTTTAGCCACTGTGTTTACAACTTCTACTATTTTTAAATTATTTTTCTATTAATCAGAAACAGTTCATATGTTCTGGATCTTTAACAATACCTCATTTGACAAAAAAAAAAAAAAAAGAAAAGAACATACAAATAAAAAGCTGGCATAATATCATTAATCTATCCAGAGCCTATTGACATATTCAGTGTAAATGTACACCCCAATTACTTTTTTAAAAAACAACAAAAATAACATGTTTTATTGTTATAATGTGGGATTTCAGAAAAATGAAAGCAAGAATGTATCTGGCAGTTTTGTTCTAACCATAGTTTATATACAATTGTCTGCATTTTCTGTTTGGTCTTTGCTTCAAAATGGAAATTCCACTGAAATTTTAGTTTAGAAGAAATCAAAGCACATGAAAATTCCTTTGCCTTTTTATTTTCTAGGTCAGAATGCTGCTCACATCCATGGCAAAGTAGATTTTGATGCTTCTTAGCTTCACACATTGCCTGCTGTACCACCTTTTCTGCCAAGTAAAAGCATGGCTTTTAGTTCTGTCCGCTTTCCAAGGGAACACATTTTTAATGAAATGTCATTTAGAAGTATTTGTTACTTCCTGTAAAAGCTTCTTTCATGGTTTTGTGTGCATGTGTGAAGAAAAAAAAAATTAGCCTCTTAAAATGTTGTAGTTGTAACTGTTCCCAGTACTTAGAACACTAGCGAGGGGGGGAAGGAAACTCTCCAGTTCTCACAGATGTATCAGATGTTTTTAATAATGAATTGAAAAACCGTGTGTTCCATGTACTGTTATTGTCACTGAGCTATATTATTGAGTGAGTCGATTAGTGCCGATTTCCATTAGTTATAATTACCTGTGCTACAGTGCTAGACAAAGTTATTGGCACATGAAGTGTAAACATTTTTCAAAGATTGGATTTAGTTTTAAAGTAAACATTGATATCTTAGCATTAAGCCAATACTGAAATGTAAAGAAATGGTAAAGCTTTGGCAGCTCTCATCTCCTGAATTCAGTTAATCCATTAGAAGTCAATCTGTAGGATACTGTTTGAAGGGGCTTAAGAATTGTTATTGTTAATACCAGTTAAAATAATTTACAAAGGTGTCCATTAAACTAGTCAGCCAGGTGTTGACAGACAAAAATAGGGCTGGCTCTGGATCCGCCCAGAGCTATTCACATTAAATGTCAGTTAATAATGTCTGTTATAATTTTAGTAAATAAATGTCTGAAAGTTCAATATTAAAGCTTTCTCCCAGTTATGTACCTAAATCTTTTACCACACCTATTTAAATCCTCATCGCTAAGTTAAGCATATTCTCAATGGGTTCATAAGCTTTGCTGGAAGAGTACTTGTAATTTTCTGAAACTTTAGGGGGTCATGTTCACTCTTCATCCATTAAATCAGAAAGAATAAGAAAAGTTCAAGCTAAAAAAAAAATTAAAGGATTAAAACCAGGAAATGTTTAAAAGTGCCTCTTAAATATTGTATTGCCATTACTTTAAAACAATCATTCAGAGTGATTGTAAAGGGTAAATTATTTTTTAAAAAAATTTATGCCATTCACTGAAAGACTGTATTTGGATCATATTGTAAAATAGGACTAAAGCTTATATTCACGAGTAGGACTTTGTAATACACACACACACACACACACACACATATATATGTACACACACACATACATATATAATCTCCTAAATTCAGCAGGTCCTGATAACTCCAAAAGGTAGAGTACAACCTCCATGGTACATAGTAAATTCTCGCATCTTTGACATCTTACCTTGTTCATAAACCTGTCATATCCAGTGCCTTGATAGATAGAATTTGAATCACTTTCCTTGCTGAATGAAAGGATAATATGTTTGCATGTGAATTTCCCTCCCTCTCTCTCTCCAAAGTGTAAGGATGATTTTTGACATTGCATCCTCACATATAGACTGATTCTCAACATAGTTTAGAGCTCTTATAATATTTATGATCAGAAAATATACCTATATATTTAGGTTAAATAATTTAAACATATTTATATATGTATATACAATCCATGTAGTTATTTATTTTGTAGAAATGCAATATAAATACAGCAAATTGTCATTTTAACCCTTTCTGAAAAATGAAGAGAATGGTACTAGGAAGACAGTACTAATATTTATTGATTATTTATTACATGCCAGTCACTATAATGGAGGCTTTAAATGTTTTATTTTATTTCAAGGTGAAAATACGCTTTTGATGGAAATTTTGTTATCACTATTTTGCAGATAAGAAGTCTGAGGTTTAGTGACCATTTTGGTTTTAAAGTGCTATGCTGTGCTAAACTCACAATCAAAGAACTTTTTATTATTTGCCATTTCTCTGCCTACTCTATTTAACTATCTCTCATTGGTTAAATTCAAAGCTATTAAGTCTTCACTCTAGAGTTCTAGAATGTTTGTCCTGGATTTAATTTGGAGATTTGTTATGCAACTTGTAGACAAATCTGCGGCAGCAAAGTCATAAATAAGCAATTGTAGAACATCGTAACTGCTTTCTGTACCTGATTGTGATAGAACTGGATGTAATGTTTGCAGCACTTACAAGCCACCCTTTCAGGGCTGCACCTAGAGGATAACAGAAGGTTTTGGCGACATTTATGGAAACAAAACTAGACAGTAAATTAATCAACAAATGTCTATTTTATTTAAGAACACATAAAAAGCATTGCCGTTTGCTTGATTTTGGTTTGGGTTGCTGTAAACAGACAGGACAGGGATTTCACTTTCTGTCAAGACTTCATTCTCTCTCACGCCAAGCTTTTATTTCACTCCATATCTGAAGTCCTCAGAGAATCAGGAAAAGTATAAATGATACTTTTCTTCCTGTGGAAGGATTCATTTTCATCACATAGTCTTCATGTTTGTGAAATAAAGGTACTTTAAAGATTAAAAAATAACAAGCATGCTTTTTTTTTTTTTACATTTAGAAAGCTTAAGATACAAAATTGGAAAATTTAAGTTAGAATATCAGTAGTGGGCATATGAGTGTTTATTGTATAATACTTTCAACTTTTCTACATATTTGAAAATTTTTGCCAAATGCAGCGGTTCATACTTAAAATCTCAGCACTTTGGGAGGCCAAAGTGGGTATCCCAGGAGTTTGAGACTAACCTAGGCAACATAGCAAGAACCTGTCTCTAAAAAACGTTAAAAAAAGAAAAATGAAAAATTAGTCAGGCATGGCGGCATGTACCTATGGTCCCAGCTACTCCAAGCCTGAGGTAAGAAGATCACCTGAGCCCAGGAGGTCCAGGCTATGGTAAGCCATGATCACACCACTGCACTCTAGCCCCTGGGTGACAGATGGAGACACTGTCTTAGAAAAAAGAAAGAAAGAAAGAAAGAGAACATTTTTATAATAAAATGTTGAGGGGAGCTTTAAATACAATGAAGTACAGTCTAGTAATCACACACCAACTACTATTTATTGCTGCCAAGGGTAGGAATTATAGGGAAATTTTACTTTCTCAGATTTATTTATATTTTATGAAAAAGCTTGTGTTATCTGGTAGGAAAAATTACTTCCACTTTCTATATGAAAGAGTATTTGTAGAAAACTTTACCAGTAAAACAGAAAATGGATCACTGAACTGCTTTGAAATTCTGGATCCTTTTGACGAAGAATGAAAAGGAAAATTATGCCCATCATGTTGGTGAGGTTCTTTCTCTCCCTGGGTTGTCCTAGAGCAATGACTTTTTAAATTTCATTAGGATCCAAAAAATAGGAAATGTAAACAACAATCACAGATAGGGTATATTGAAACTCTATTGGCCGGGCCCAGTGGCTCACACCTGTAATCCCAGCACTTTGGGAGGCCAAGGCTGGTGGATCACAAGGTCAGGAGATCGAGACCACCCTGGCTAACACAGTGAAACCCCGTCTCTACTAAAAATACAAAAATTAGCCGGGCCTGGTGGTGGGCGCCTGTAGTCCCAGCTGCTGGGGAGGCTGAGGCAGGAGAATGGCGTGAACCCGGGAGGCGGAGCTTGCAGTGAGCCGAGATGGCGCCACTGCACTCCAGCCTGGGCGACAGAGCGAGACTCCTTCTCAAAAAAAAAAAAAAAAAAAAAAAAGAGAGAAACTCTATTATGTGCAGTACACTGTTGGAAACATAGGAAGAATATATATATATATATATATATATATATATATATACTCATGTAACTTTTCACTATCTTCAATTTACAGGTGACTCAGTCAGACAGACAAAACTAACATAACGAAAGAAGAGACAATTTAAAACCAAACCCTCACTAAACAAAAATTGAGAGAAGGGGACTTGAGTGATCAGACAGAATTAATATATTTAAAGAAAACTGCAGGGAATGGCCTGAGAATTAAGAAATCCTCAAAAACATTTAAACAGTCACAACCAATGTTAATTAAGATCAAGATCGTATTGCGTAAGTGATTTTGAATCCATTTTATAAATATTATATTACATTAGAACTTATTAAGTAATTTTCAAGCTATGACTTTTAATTGCTACCAGGAATTCCATCATATGGGCATATCTTATTTTTTCAATCCTTTCTTGTGGACAGTCATGTTTGATCAGCATTTAACTAGCATTCACATAATGTTGATGAATAATTCTTATATTGAATATTATGATATTTTTATATAGCCAAATAAATCACTCTTTTCTTTAATTGTGGGTTCTTCCTTTGCTTTTATCTTTGAGGTCTGGAATAATGGATGATTTTTAGATCATAGATGAGGATGATAACAGGTGTTCTGATTTAAGGAAAAATCACATATGAAAATCAATTTCTACAAGAGATTAAACTGAACAAATTCTTCATTTTATATAACTGATTTCCCACAATATCTCTAACTACAGATGTGCTGAAGATATAATTCCATTTTTAACAATTTGTTATATACATTTTAGTGGATAAACTTGGGTTGATAGGTACATTGAATTTATTTCACCTTAAATTAGATACATTTTCTAAAGGTAAAATTAATTATCACAGATACTGTAAATATTTGAGTATTTTAAGTGGATTTTATTAATATGCTGCAGAGTATTCTACATCAACATTATGTTTAAAAACTATTTTAAGAATTTCCACACTGGCATCCACAGACCAAATGATTTGTATCCAGCATATCAGAAATTCAGATGATAAGGTTTTATTGAAATATAAATTATTCTTGTAAATAGAGAGATTAAGTATTTCCAGGGTGAAAATGGATTGCTGCCACGCTTTCTCTGGTATTGTAAGTATTCTGTTTCCTTTAAAGATTTAATATTTTTCCAAGTGCAGCTGTATGAAAAAGCTGAAGTGCAGCATTTCCTGAGGAACCATTTGTCACTTACCTACATTTACCGTGTTTACTGTCCTCTGTGTATTGCTAAACTTCACTTTTAATAGGAGAAAATTGGCCTTAAACGGGGAGCAGTATTTTACTGCTGAGCAAGAAACTATTTGTATTCCTCTTTCAAACCCTGCCTTAGAAGCATGTAGAATGCTTCTTGACCAAAGGAGATGGTATGAATATTCATGTGTTTTATGAATCACAGAGTTGAGTCCGTATGGTTTTCCCATTTATCAATTACCGGTTTAGGATTATCCAGCTGAAGAGTTGAACTGATTAACAACGCTCTTTTTGTTTGCTCGGTGTTGAGGTGAAACAGCCCAGTGACAACTGTATTATTTCTTGCCTCTTCAGCTGTCCACACTTGTGCAAGAAGCTTAACATCCTGTCAGGTTTCATCATGTATCCTCTTTATTACCACGTTGTGAGAATTTGTATAGTTGTAAATCAGAATGACTTTTTAAAGTTTAATTTCTCATTGCAGAAAAGACCCCATGGTTACTATGCCTAACAAGCATGGCTAATCATGCCCATCATAAATGATCTCAGGTATGCTTGGCATCTGACTGGAAAATTAAAGTTTTAAAAGTTAATGCTACAAGCAGTTGAGAATAGCAGCTGCAGTGAGAACTCGGCTGTTACAGAGAAGGTGGAATTAATCAGACAAACACAAACTCACCTTGATTGACGAAGCTAGCATATTTAGTTTGGTTTCGTTTTACATTTGTTTTTGTTTTTCTTTCATTTTTCCTCTAACAGCCTATCTGAATTCTTATTTAAAATGTCACTGGGAGATTTCTTCTGGGACTGCTACTACTGATACTAAAATTAAAAAACAAAACAACAACAACAACGAAACCAGCAAACGCAGAATCTTTTTGTGGTTTGAGAACTCTGCTTTGCAGAAACTCAAAATTCTAAACTCTCTTTGAAAAAAGAAAAAAATGTACTAACAGGATTGATCTCTCTCTCTCTCTCTCCCCCTCTCTCTCTAACTTTCTCCCCCACTCCCTCCTTCAGCTCCCCCATTTCCCCTTCCTTCATGTTTACTTTCATTAGTATGCAATGGTACCTTTTAATGGGATAGCGTGGAAATAAGCAAAGCTTGAAAGGGCTTTCTTAAGTATATTTTCACTTTAAATGCTTAAGTGGCAATCTTTTTCCAGTGAACAATGAGCCTGCTGGTCTGCTATTTAGCAGCTTAGATTTAGATCCAAACTTTTCTTTTGCACTGTTACATATTGATTCTCCCTTTATCCCTTTTTCTGTTTCTCTGTGGTTTAGTTTTCTGTCTTTGAGTTCTTCTATTTCAGTTTGTGTGTATATAAACATGCTCATGCTTTGTTCTCTTTTTCAGTGATGGGCAGCCAGCTTCAAAGCCATAGAATGCTACATTTTGAAGAATATTTCAGTTATTGCTACATTTTTCTTTTATTGTGAATACAAAGGGTATCAAGCTGCCCCTACGATTTGCTAAATATCTCAGTGCAGTCTCAATTTGCTGTCATTTAGTTCTTTCTTCACTGAATCCAACTTTTACTATTAACCTATTTGGAAAAGAGCCAGAAAGGAGAGAAAGAGGGACTGCCCTGCACTTCAGTTGTTTAAAACTAACACCTCTGCCCTAGTGTGGAAGAATCTAATTTTCTCTGTGAATCTCAACTACACAAGAGGCAAGTTAGCACCTTTAACACTAAGGAATCGCTCAAACTGCTTTTGCTGACAGTCTGAGTGATTGAATCATTTACCCTACAAAACAAAACTGATAAACAAATCTACATATTTTAAGTGGGTGTAAAAGAAGTCTATAGTTTGGGAAAACAAACTGAACTTTTGGGGGTGGGGAAGTTAATTTGCCATGTAGGATGCTATCACATCAAAACAGACTATGCTTTTAAATTTTTTCTCTCAGATCCAAGCCTATCATTCCATGCAGAGAGCGTGGCTTTGGCTGTCTGAGATTCTGAAAATTCTGTTTGTGAAGCAATGAACAGTGTCAAATTCTTTGTTCAACATTCTGAACAGCAAGTCTCACACTGTAAATTCTGTTTTTCTGGTTTCTAAATCCTGAGTGGTTGCATGCAATATACATGTGGATGGAGATTAGAAAGATTCCGTCTGCATAAGTTCTTACTCTTTGTAAGGCGTGTGCTTTTTTCAGTGAGTGTGACCCAAGTATATCCATGCTCATTTTTTTTTTCTGATGAGTGAGTTAAATTGTTTGATTTACATTTTATCAAATACACTTTCAACATGTACCTTCTCCAAAACTCTAACACTGCATCTCATTCTGCTTTAGATTTGGTATATTCTAGATCACAATATAGCCAAAAAAAGATTATGTATTCATTACCAAAATAAACTGAACAAAAGACAAGAATAGATAAATGAATGTGTAAGAGAGAAAAATAACGCATTTTATCTTTCAATTTTATGTCTTCACTGCTAAGGTTGTTTTCCAATAAGGTGGATCTCTCACTTATTCTATCATCCTCCTTTCTCATACACTTTAGTCTTCAGTTCATTTTCTTTCCATATTCCAGCTCATATGCAAAAATATCGATGGCAAGAATTCTATATAGCTATACTGCCATATTTATAATTCAAAATCTTGTCAATTCTAGTCACTGATTCAGCTGCTTAGGCTGAAAAATAATGTATAATATTCTTAAAATTTTCTGCATGGTGATTGCAACTTTAGAGAAAGCTGCATTCAGCAGACAACCAACAGAAAAAGTTGGCTTAAGATTTTTAAATTCACTAAGTTATAAATGCACAATCATAAACAGGTAAGTCAGGACAAATATAAAATCAACCTGAAGTATGAAACCAAATATCTAAAAATAATATAAATATTTTGTCTCTATTTGTACAAATTATTTACTCAGTCCCTTTTTAAGTAGACTTTATTTTTTAAAGCAATTTTATGTTTACAGCAAAATTGAACAGAAAGTGCAGAAAGTTTCCATATGCCTCACTGTCCACAAACATCAACAGCCTGCACTGAAGTGGCACCTTTGTTACAACATACCTTTTTATTTGTTAGTGAAAAGAGATGACTCTCAAGTGTTGAATCCTTTAACACTATGGGTCAAAAATCCCATTTTTAGCTTAAGTCTCAAGTCTTGCTAGAATGCATTATTTCAAGAGACAAGTCATCTTTCAGTGCTGCTAAATACATAATACTAAATTAGTTACCGAAAACATACTGTGTTCAGTGTATAACACAGAAGGGATGCTAAAAGTAACAACTCAGAGAAGGTGTCAACAGAAGCACTAGTTGATTTGTAGATGTAAATTGGCAAATGCCTCACCAGGGGTAAATGCTGGAGATACAGTACAGCCATCATTGAGACTTCTCCTCCCTCTACTCTTGGCAGTAGTTCCTACTTACAGGTAGACAAAATTCCAGACGTACTCATTTCAACATTCAAGCCCTGCTTCCTCAATCTGCTTCCTAGTGAGACTATTGAAATTGAAGCGCTACAGAGAAAATAGAACTTGTCATTTCAAAAGTCTTATAATGAATTAAACTGTTTTTTAAGCCAAACAAATCCTAATATTCTAGTGCAAGAAAATACAAAGAGACTTAAGAGCAGACTAAATTATCTAAAAGAGATGCTAATTAGGAATAATAAATGCTTGAATAGCCTAGGCTTTTTTGGGCTATCATAAGATTATAAACATGCGATTCTGTAAAGTCAAATGATGGATCTTTCTAGTAGTAATTCCATTATGAATACCAATTCTGAGTATTAAATGCAGCGTGCTGCAGGCGCTTGCTAAGCTCATGAATCAGTAAGATTTCTTTCCTATTTGGCCATCCAGCTCTTGAATAGTAAATACAAAAGCCTTAAAAACCTGGGTTCCACAAGACTTCATTGTATTGGAGACAGATGTATTTCTTTTAATGAATCAGGACTACGAGTATTGATTCTATCAAAGAGTTCTGGGAACATTAACAGAAAAGAGATTTCTTATGACATCATGTCCCTCAACATAATATTTATGTATAATCCATGTGGACCATGTATATTTTATACAATTATTGATGAGAAAAGGGACCCCTTTAAGCCTTTACTCATTAAATGATGTTTCTCCACCATCCTCTTATCTTGCTGCTCTGAGGCTTCTCTAAGTGGTTGCTGGTGGTGATCTACTCTGCCTTTCTCTGCAAGCAACTTCTCTGCTTCAAGAATTCTTCCCAAAGCCAGTTCTTATTGTGATTGCCTCGTTGCTTTTGCCCGTATAGCCCTCGGCATCCTACCCCCACAAACTATTTACAAATAATTGTTCTTTAAGAGTCAGTTAAGCATTCACCATGCTCCTGCTTTGCAGGAAAATTGGCAGTAAAGTAGAAAAGCTGATGCCATCATCAAATATTATAACACACTTCTGAATGGAGTTTTCAATTTCAAGGCCAACAATATATAGCTAAGAATAAGTTGTTACTTTTTGTACTTCTTGAAACTACTTTATCATTGCTCAATATTTATTGAGCACTAGTGTTATTGGAGTCAATTTTATAACAATTTATTTCTATCCATTTTTCTCTTAATCATTTTTTTAATTTTGGATAGGAACATTTACATTTCAACCCTGACACACAAAAATTACTTTATAAATATTTGGTGTGTGGGTGCATGAGGAAAAGGTTTCCTTTCGGCATTTGTGGTTTTCTCTTCACAAATAAAATATTTAATGAAATAAGGGTGGAGCAGCATGACCAAATTCATATGCACAACATATTTGCGTGTTGCTATTCCTTTAAGCATTGAATAATTTTTTTTCTTCCAGTGTTTACAAAACAGTAACAGGTTTTTTTTTTATCTTGGCATAATGTTGTCAAACAATAAAAGAGTGTGGAAAAGAAAAGGGGAGCCTTTTTTCATAGTGGTGATCTGACAGAAGAAGGGATTGGTGGTTTCAATCTGTGTGCTACTCGATTGAAGGCAGACAGTTACTTAGGGAACATTACGTGTGGTTTGAATGGCTAAGAATAGATGTGTTCAAAGCACAGATATCAATGTCTTAAAAGCCACTCCTGGGATAGACAACAGCTTCTTCTTTAAGCCACTTAATTTTTTGTCTGGAAATTAATATTTCATTATTCCTTGGAGCACTTGACATGGTCTTTATGGTTTGAAGATGTGCAGCAACCACCATGCAACCTAATATTAAGTTGTGTCTTCAAAACCCATAGAGAGAAGGTGCTGGAACTAAATGCTTTGGCACATGACTAAAGTAATTAACTATGGTAGACAGATTTAATGCTATAATGGTTTATTTTAACCAAGAGCAAAAGTAGGGAGGGACAGGGCAGGAGAAAGGATGGCTGCAGTCAGAAAGTTAAAAATTAAATAAATAAATGTCAGTGTTGCCTATGTCAGGAACAGCGGCTCCCTGCTACTTTCTGAACTATCATGTTCAAAGATGTTGATTTAGGCTCCTGCTGGTAAACATGCTTTTTTATAACCTCAACTCATCCATATTTCACACAAGAGACTTCATAAAAGAGACAGATTTATAATTTTCTGTCACTGAATTCAAGATTACCAATTATTTCTTTATTGAAATTTTTGCATCCTTTACTAGAACAGGTATTCATAGCTTTATAGACCTTTTCTTTTTTTCTCAGTCACTCAATTTAGATTTATGAAGCCTAAGAGTTTTCTCCTGCAGCAACTCGCAAAAACATTCTACTTCAAATACGCAGTGCCTCAATCAATGTAATTATTTCCAGGAACAAGCCACAAGTTTTAGAATTTATATGCTTTAATAATTCTATATTCTTGGAATGTGTAATGATTATGCATGAATGAAAAATAAGGATTTTTGAGGACAAAATATATGGGAATATTTAAAGTTCACTTTGTAGATTAATTGGACATTCCTATTTAAAATTTTAACTTTTCTCTGTGTACCATTCAAGATTTAAAACTTTCCAAATTATTTCAATAGCATGCTTTCAGAACACTAATTATATTGAAGCATGAAGAAATGGCAGAGAATTTCAACCCAAATATTACGCAGTAGAACTGCAAAAATTAGGATAGGAAAGTCTAGGAAATGTGTGTTATCTTTTGACCCCAAGAGCTTAGGGACAGGGACTTCAAAGGTATAAATGACATGTCATATTATCTATAGGTGCTACACTCTATCATGTTGATGTAGTTTAATTTCTATGGTAGTTCTTATATGGTGGAATTTGTAGCGGTGTTAGAAAAATATGATCAGACAAATTTCCTGTATAATAGTCTGAGAAATGGCTAGAACATAGAGAAAAACGACTTAACATATGACCTGAAGAAGCTGGCGTTTCTTAGAAGGTTAAGAATGATCCTCTTCAGCCTGAAGAGATAAGTAGGGATCCCAAAGGAAGAGAGACACAGGGTTAACCCAAACTTTGACTTTTGAAGATTGCAAAAGAGAGTAATTAGTTCCAAGTAGACACAGCACCTCTCTCAGCAGGGCACATGGGCCAACAAGCAGAGTGGAGGCTGGATGTCATCCCTCCAGCCACCAGGAGCACTGTGCCAGCACCCCCATGTGGAGCCATTTCATGCCACTCCTGCCTAGGTCTCAAGAAGCTCAGTAGGAAGGGCAGGTATAGAAAGTGAGACCCATACTCCTCCTTTTTTCAAACACTACTCCTGTTTCCCTACACACACCTTGACTATGAACTCATCACTCAGAATGGTAATATTCAAAATTTGCTGAATAAATAAATAAAATAGGAACAGGTCACTATAAAAGCTAAAGAGGCACATGTAACTCTCAGAATGGAGGAATATTCAGATTTAATTCTATCTGTCTAGCTAAAGATTGCTTGCATAGTGTCTGTTCATATCCTTCACCTACTTTTTGATGGGGTTGTTCGTTTTTTCTTGTAAATTTAAGTTCCTTGTAGATTCTGGATATTAGCTCTTTGTCAGATGGATAGATTGGAAAAAATTTCTCCCATTCTGTAGGTTGCCTGTTCACTCTGATAATAGTTTCTTTTGCTGTGCAGAAGCTCTTTAGTTTAATTAGATCCCATTTATGTGGCCAACAAACATATGAAAAACAGCTCATCATCACTGGTCATTAGAGAAATGCAAATCAAAACCACAATGAGATACCATCCCATACCAGTTAGAATAGTGATCATTAAAAAGTCAGAAAACAACAGATGCTGGAAGGGATGTGGAGAAATAGGAATGCTTTTACACTATTGGTGGGAGTGTAAATTAGTTCAACCTTTGTGGAAGACAGTATGGCAATTCCTCAAGGATCTACAACCAGGAATACCATTTGACCCAGTAATCCCATTACTGGGTACATACCCAAAGGATTATAAATCACTCTACTATAAAGACACATGCCACGTATGTTTATTGCAGCACTATTCACAATAGCAAAGACTTGGAACCAACCCAAATGCCCATCAATGATAGACTGGATAAAGAAAATGTGGCACATATACACCATGGAATAATATGCAGCCATAAAAAAGGATGAGTTCACGTCCTTTGCAGGGACATGGATGAAGCTGAAAACCATCATTCTCAGAAACTAACACAGGAACAGAAAACCAAACACTGCATGTTCTCACTCATAAGTGGGCATTGAACAATGAGAAAACATGGACACAGGGAGAGGAACGTCACACACTGGGGCCTGCTGGAGGGTAGGAGGCTAGGGGAGGGATAGCATTAGGATAAATACCTAATGTAGATGACGGGTTGATGGATGCACCAACCACCATGGCACATGTATACATATATAACAAACCTGCACATTCTGCACATGAATCCCAGAACTTAGAGTATAATAATAAAAAAAAGATTGTATATACTAAACATAAATGTTTATAGTTTATGTCAATAGCACTTGACACTTTCACTTTCAAGATTTTCATGTTGATCCTCACTACAGCCCAGTATGATAGACCAAGCCAGATATTTTCATACTGTCAGGCCTCTGAGCCCAAGCCAAGCCATCGCATCCCCTGTGACTTGCAGGTATACACCCAGATGGCCTGAAGTAACTGAAGAATCACAAAAGAAGTGAAAAGGCCCTGCCCCACCTTAACTGATGACATTCCACCACAAAAGAAGTGTAAATGGCCGGTCCTTGCCTTAAGTGCTGACATTACCTTGTGAAAGTCCTTTTCCTGGCTCATCCTGGCTCAAAAAGCACCCCCACTGAGCACTTTGTGACCCCCACTCCTGCCCGCCAGAGAACAAACGTCCTTTGACTGTAATTTTCCTTTACCTACCCAAATCCTATAAAGTGGCCCCACCCTTATCTCCCTTCACTGACTCTCTTTTCGGACTCAGCCCGCCTGCACCCAGGTGAAATAAATAGCCATGTTGTTCACACAAAGCCTGTTTGGTGGTCTCTTCACACGGGCGTGCATGAAATTTGGTGCCATGACTTGGCTCCGGGGACCTCCCTTGGGAGATCAATCCCCTGTCCTCCTGTTCTTTGCTCCATGAGAAAGATCCACCTACAACCTCAGGTCCTCAGACCGACCAGCCAAAGAAACATCTCACCAATTTCAAATCTGGTAAGCAGCCTCTTTTTACTCTCTTCAACCTCCCTCATTATCCCTCAACCTCTTTCTCCTTTCAATCTTGGTGCCACACTTCAATCTCTCCCTTCTCTTAATTTCAATTCATTTCATTTTATGGTAGAGACAAAGGAGACACGTTTTATCCATGGACCCAAATCTCCGGTGCCAGTCACGGACTGGGAAGGCAGCCTTCCCTTGGTGTTAATCATTGCAGGGATGCCTCTCTGATTATTCCCCCACATTTCAAGGTGTCAGACCACGCAGGGACTCCTGCCTTGGTCCTTCACCCTTAGCGGCAAGTCCCACTTTTCTGGGGAAGGGGCAAGTACCCCAACCCCTTCTCTCCTTGTCTCTACCCCTTCTCTGCTTTTCTGGGGGAGGGGCAAGTACCCCTCAACCCCTGCTCCTTCACCCTTTGCGGCAAGTCCTGCTTTTCTATGGGGCAAGAACCCCCAATCCCTTATTTCTGCACCTCAACCTCTTATCTCTGCACCCCAATCCCTTATTTCCACACCCCAACCTCGTATCTCTGTGCCCCAATCCCTTATTTCCACGCCCCAAACTCTTATATCTCTGAGCCCCAATCCCTTATTTCTGTGCCGCAACCTCTTATATCTCTGTGCCCCAATCCCTTATTTCTGTGCCCCGACCTCTTATTTCTGTGCCCCATCCCTTATTTCCATGCCCCGACCTCTTATCTCTGTGCCCCAACCCCTTTTACCACTTTTCTGGAAGGTAAGAACCCCCGAACCCCTTCCCTCCATTTCTCTACTCTCTTTTCTCTAGGCTTGCTTCCTTCACTATGGGCAACCTTCCACCCTCCATTCCTCCTTCTACTCCCTTGGCCTGTGTTCTCAAAAACTTAAAACCTCTTCAACTCACACCTGACCTAAAACCTAAATGCCTTATTTTCTACTGCAATGCCGCTTGATTCCAATACAAACTCCACAGTAGTTCCAAATAGCCAGAAAATGGCACTTTGAATTTTTCCATCCTGCAAGATCTAAATAATTCTGGTCGTAAAATAGGCAAACGGTCTGAGGTGCCTGACGTCCAGGCATTCTTTTACACATCAGTCTCCCTTCCTAGTCTCTGTGCCCCGTGCAACTCGTCCCACATCTTCCTTCTTTCCCTCCCACCTGTCCTCTTAGTACCAACCACAAGCGTCGCTGAGTCTTTCTAATCTTCCTTTTCTACAGACCCATCTGACCTCTCCCCTCCTCCCCAGGCTGCTCCTCGCCAGGCCAAGCTATGTCCCAATTCTTCCTCAGCCTCTGCTCCTCCACCCTGTAATCTTTTTATCACCTCCCCTCCTCACACCTGGTCTGGCTTACAGTTTCGTTCCGTGACCAGCCCTCCCCCTCCTGCCCAGCAATTTACTCTTAAAAAGGTGGCTGGAGCTAAAGGCATAGTCAAGGTTAATGCTCCTTTTTCTTTATCCCAAATCAGATAGCGTTTAGGCTCTTTTTCATCAAATATAAAAACCCAGCCCAGTTCATGGCTCGTTCGGCAGCAACCCTGAGACACTTTACAGCCCTAGTCCCTAAAAGGTCAAAAGGCCGTCTTATTCTTAAAATACATTTTATTACCCAATCTGCTCCTGACATTAAATAGAACTCCAAAAATTAAATTCCAGCCCTCAAACCCCACAACAGAATTTAATTAACCTCGCCTTCAAGGTGTACAATAATAGAAAAATGTTGCAATTCCTTGCCTCCACTGTGAGACAAACCCCAGCCACATCTCCAGCACACAAGAACTTCCAAACGCCTGAACCGCAGCGGCCAGGAGTTCCTCCAGAACCTCCTCCCACAGGAGCTTGCTACACATGCCGGAAATCTGGCCACTGGGCCAAGGAATGCCCGCAGCCCAGGATTCCTCCTAAGCCACGTCCCATCTGTGTGGGACCCCACTGAAAATCGGACTGTTCAACTCACCTGGCAGCCATTCCCAGAGCCCCTGGAACTCTGGCCCAAGGCTCTCTGACTGACTCCTTCCCAGATCTTCTCGGCTTAGCGGCTGAAGACTGACACTGCCCGATCGCCTCGGAAGCCCCGTAGACCATCACGGACGCCGAGCTTCGGGTAACTCTCACAGTGGAAGGTAAACCCGTCCCCTTCTTAATCAATACGGAGCCTACCCACTCCACATTACCTTCTTTTCAAGGGCCTGTTTCCCTTGCCTCGATAACTATTGTAGGTATTGACGGCCAGGCTTCTAAACCTCTTAAAACTCCCCAACTCTGGTTCCAACTTACACAATACTCTTTTAAGCACTCCTTTTAGTTACCCCCACCTGCCCAGTTCCCTTATTAGGCTGAGACACTTTAACTAAATTATCTGCTTCCCTGACTGTTCCTGTATTACAGCCACATCTCATTGCCGCCCTTCTCCCCAACCCAAAGCCTCCTTCGCGTCTTCCTCTCCTATCCCCCGACCTTAACCCACAAGTATGGGACATCTCTACTCCTTCCCTGGCAACCGATCACATGCCCATTACCATCCCATTAAAACCTAATCACCCTTACCCCGCTCAGTGCCAATGTCCCATCCCACAGCATGCTTTAAAAGGATTAAAGCCTGTTATCACTCGCCTGCTACAGCATGGGCTTCTAAAACCTATAGACTCTCCTTACAATTCCCCCATTTTACCTGTCCAAAAACCGGACAAGTCTTACAGATTAGTTCAGGATCTGCATCTTATCAACCAAATTGTTTTGCCTATCCACCCCGTGGTGCCAAACCCATATACTCTCCTATCCTCAATACCTGCCTCTGCAACCCATTATTCTGTTCTAGATCTCAAACATGCTTTCTTTCCTATTCGTTTGCACCCTTCATCCCAGCCTCTCTTCGCTTTCACTTGGACTGACCCTGACACCCATCAAGCTCAGCAAATTACCTAGGCTGTACTGCTGCAAAGCTTCACAGACAGCCCCCATTACTTCAATCAAGCCCAAATTTCATCCTCATCTGTTACCTATCTCGGCATAATTCTCATAAAAACACACGTGCTCTCCCTGCCAATCGTGTCCGACTGATCTCTCAAACCCCAGCACCTTCTACAAAACAACAACTCCTTTCCTTCCTAGGCATGGTTAGCACGGTCAGAATTCTTACTGAAGAGCCAGGACCACACCCTGTAGCCTTTCTGTCCAAACAACTTGACCTTACTGTTTTAGCCTAGCCCTCATGTCTGCATGCAGCTGCTGCTGCTGCTTTAATACTTTTAGAGGCCCTCAAAATCACAAACTATGCTCAACTTACTCTCTACAGTTCTCATAACTTCCAAAATCTATTTTCTTCCTCATACCTGACGCATATACTTTCGGCTTCCTGGCTCCTTCAGCTATACTCACTCTTTGTTGAGTCTCCCACAATTACCATTGTTCCTAGCCCAGACTTCAATCCGGCCTCCCACATTATTCCTGATACCACACGTGACCCCCATGACTGTATCTCTCTGATCCACCTGAGATTCACCCCATTTCCCCAAATTTCCTTCTTTCCTGATCCTCACCCTGATCACTCTTGATTTATTGATGGCGGTTCCACCAGGCCTAATCGCCACACACCAGCAAAGGCAGGCTATGCTATAGTACAAGCCACTAGCCCGCCTCTCAGAACCTCTCATTTCCTTTCCATCGTGGAAATCTATCCTCAAAGAAATAACTTCTCAGTGTTCCATCTGCTATTCTATCTGCTATTCTACTACTCCTCAGGGATTATTCAGGCCCCCTCCCTTCCCTACACATCAAGCTTGAGGATTTGCCCCCACCCAGGACTGGCAAATTAGCTTTACTCAGCATGCCCTGAGTCAGATAACTAAAATACCTCTTAGTCTAGGTAGATACTTTCACTGGATAGGTAGAGGCCTTTCCTACAGGGTCTGAGAAGGCCACCGAAGTCATTTCTTCCCTTCTGTCAGACATAATTCCTCAGTTTAGCCTTCCCACCTCAATACAGTCTGATAACAGACGAGCCTTTATTAGTCAAATCAGCCAAGCAGTTTTTCAGGCTCTTAGTATTCAGTGAAACCTTTATAACCCTTACGGTCCTCCGTCTTCAAGAAAAGTAGAATGGACTAAAGGTCTTTTAAAAACATACCTCACCAAGCTCAGCTACCAACTTAAAAAGGACTGGACAATACTTTTACCACTTTCCTTTCTCAGAATTCAGGCCTGTCCTTGGAATGCTACAAGGTACAGCCCATTTACGCTCCTGTGTAGACATTCCTTTTTATTAGGCCCCAGTCTCATTCCAGACACCAGATCAACTTAGATTGTGCCCCCAAAAAACTTGTCATCCCTACTATCTTCTGTCTAGTCATACTCCTATTCACCATTCTCAACTACTCATACATGCCCTGCTCTTGTTTACACTGCCGGTTTACACTGTTTCTCCAAGCCATCACAGCTGATATCTCCTGGTGCTATCCCCAAACTGCCACTCTTAACTCTTGAAATAAATAAATAATCTTTGCTGGCAGGACTATGCTGAATCTCCTTAGGCACTCTCTAATCAGATATCCTGAGTCGTCTCAATTCTTAGACTTTTTATACCTGTTTTTCTCCTTCTGTTATTCCATTTAGTTTCTCAATTCATCCAAAACTGTATCCAGGCCATCACCAATCATTCTATACGACAAATGTTTCTTCTAACATCCCCAGAATATCACCCCTTTCCACAAGACCTCCCTTCAGCTTAATCTCTCCCACTCTAGGTTCCCACGCTGCCCCTAATCCCGCTTGAAGCAGCCCTGAGAAACATCACCCATTCTCTCTCCATACCACCCCTCAAAAATTTTCGCCACCCCAACACTTCAACACTATTTTGTTTTATTTTTCTTATTAATATAAGAAGGCAGGCATGTCAGGCCTCTGAGCCCAAGCCAAGCCATCGCATCCCCTGTGACTTGCAGGTATACGCCCAGATGGCCTGAAGTAACTGAAGAATCACAAAAGAAGTGAAAAGGCCCTGCCCCACCTTAACTGATGACATTCCACCACAAAAGAAGTGTAAATGGCCGGTCCTTGCCTTAAGTGCTGACATTACCTTGTGAAAGTCCTTTTCCTGGCTCATCCTGGCTCAAAAAGCACCCCCACTGAGCACTTTGTGACCTCCACTCCTGCCCGCCAGAGAACAAACGTCCTTTGACTGTAATTTTCCTTTACCTACCCAAATCCTATAAAGTGGCCCCACCCTTATCTCCCTTCACTGAATCTCTTTTTGGACTCAGCCCGCCTGCACCCAGGTGAAATAAACAGCCATGTTGTTCACACAAAGCCTGTTTGGTGGTCTCTTCACACAGACGTGCATGAAAATACAAATTTTAGAAATTAACGAACAATAGTTCAGAGAGGTTAAGTGGCTTGTTTAAAATTACACAGGTAGTTACATAGGACCATAAGCAGAACTCACCTTCTGAGTGCAAAAGGGAGACAGAAAGTACTGTTGAGACTCAAATGAGAGAAATGACATATCTGGGATATGGAGATTGTATTAAATGATTGTTTTTCTTTGAGAAGATTTTTTGGGATGATTATTTCCAACTTTTGCTGAATATTGATGGATAGCAGAACTCATGGAAAATATGGAGAGGTTTTCCATAGCTGGGTGAAATTTTTTTCTGGTTTTCTTTATCTTTCAGGTATTTTCAGAAAATGCAGCAACTCAGATTAATTTTCTCATGTTTTTCAGTTAGTGCTGTTTGTGAGTGTGTGTGTATGTATGTGTGTGAGGGTGTATGAGTCATTTGATATTGGATGCAAGAGTTACGGCAACCCATTCAAGGAGGTCCAGAAGGGTATACAAGGACAATGATTTAAAAATTGATTTTTTGTATGTGAAAATCGAGGATAGGTAAGTATTCATTGAGCACTCTTCAAAAAATCAAAAACCAGAAGTGAAGGTGATCTGGCTGCGACATGTCAACCCATTGATCACCAAGTTTGATTCGGATTGATGTGGCTGGCTAGGCGGGCATCCCTTTCCTCCCTACCACTTCCCATGCATCCCTCCTGAAGCTGCATGTTTGGTCAAAGAGGATGACCTCCCCTGATAGAGGAAGACCATTATTCCTGTCAAGAGTAGCTTTGCTCCCCTGCAAGAACCTGCAAACAGCTCAAAAAAAAAAAAAAAAAAAAAAACCCAAAACCAATAAAAGTCTATAATGTAAAGGACTCCAGGTTAAGTAATTTCATTTCTCTTGTCTTTGTCTAAAATTGTAAAAATTACCTGAAAATCCTAGGTTAGCTGAGGTGGTCATTAAGACTCCATATTTTGTTAAGATGTCATGAAATGCAAATGGTACGCATTTTTGAGATTTTTCAAGTAGTATAAGAATTGTAAACATTCTGTTTTATGAGTGATGTAAGTGTATTATATGTAATGTTGAACAGGTCACATTGCCAATGAGTTGAAATTGTGCAATTCTGAGTTTCTATTTATCGTCAAGAGTATATTGTTTTTATATTTTAAAAATATAAATATAACAAAGTACAGTATCAGAGGCCCTTTATAGTCAGATTTAATGGTGCAAACACTGAGTTGCTACAATGCCAAAAATACAGTATAATATAAAGGTAACAATATAGAAAACCAGAGCAAGAAAGTACATTTTATGTAAAATATTTTGACTCACAGTATCCTAAAGAGGGTAAAAATAAATGCTAGACTGTAACCTTCACCTGCTTGTGTTTATAAACATACCAACAGTAAGATCTGGGATTCACAAAGCCCATCTTCATCCATTTATTTTCCATCAATGTGTCTGTCCTTTAAATGATACATTGAAAAGAAGAGAGTCATACAATCAGTGAAGTTTTCAGGATTGATTTAGATAGAAACAAAATGAAGTAAACTCATATTTTCTAATTGTGAGCCACACCATATTGTATTCTAGTTTCTCTTGATGCATTGATTTGTATCCCTTGTTAGTATGGGATCCATTTCTAAAAAACAGTTTTGCAACTACTTTTAAAGCCCAGAAATCCCACATCTCAATTTGCATCTGTTTTAGTGGCTTAAGAATATGCAGCAATTTTTAAGCACTGTTGAAATGAAGCTCATAAGAATGTAAAATGAACAATGAATGAGAAATCTGGGTAGTAAGAGTTTAAAATGTCAATAGATTAAGCCCTTCTTGGTTTCTAATGCTACATTTTCAGATTTCTTTTTGAGAAGAAATCTCCTTTTACTTTATTTGTTTCCCTTTTTTCATAAGATTGAAGAAATCCTCCCAAGATTTTCCAAGCTCTTTTTGGGGGCTTTCCATAATGACAGCTGCAGGCTGTTGCTTCAGGTGACTGTGAAATCTTCTTCATAGAAGTCAGTTGAAATTATGCTCGTAGTAATCGTATTGAATTTACCCTGAAAATAGAACAAATAAATATGGATAGGATCAATTTTTACATTCAATTAAATATTTGCATTTTATTCAAGTAATTAACATGAGGATGAAAATTATCTTGTGAAGCACATTATACACATTTCTATAGCATGCGTTACTTTACCGGAGTTAAAATATTACCATTATGCCTGATAGCACATGTGGAAGCAAATCCTAGGAATGAAGCATTTATAGTAAACATCCATATGTTTTAGTAAACACAATTGCAGGCTTTCCAGAGTAAGCAAATGTGTGAATTCTTTAAATGATACTAAAGAATTAAAATAGTCCCACTTTTCATATGCCAAAAGGAAAAAAAAAATAACACTATGTCACATACTTTGAGATTGTAACAAAATCATAACGATGAAAATAGTAACAAGCACTTTTTGGGTTTGATACATATATTTCATATGTAACCATGATACTAAGCTTACGATTGAAGCTCTATTTTCCTCTTATTTTATAGAAGGCTTGCCTTAGACAAGTAGGCAATTCAGCAATTTGGGGGCGATAGATGTGGTAGAACTTAAGATGCAGTCTTAAAGACCTGGTCAATTCTAGTAATAGCTAACCCTCACATAGTATGTACCATGTTGAGGCACTGGGCACTTTTCTAAGTACTTTCCATATACTAACTCTTATAATCTACCTCATTTGGTTGATTCCATTATTGTCTTCATTTTACTGATGAGGAAACTGAGACACAGAGTGATAAAATAAGTTGCCAAAGGTCACACGGCTAGTAGAGAGCAGCAGAGATTCAAATGCAGACATTCTAGCTCTGCAGTCTGCTTAATGAGCCTTCATCTTAGATGAAAGTTCCGCAGCTTAAATGGCTCAAAGCTGACCTGACTGATCTAATTAAATGATTCTGATAATTCTGATTCTCAAAGCCTTAACTTGTAAATAGTCAAACAAATTAGATGTCACATGAATCTTTTTGCTTTGCCTCCCTTTCTGCAGTACCTGTAGTACACTGGGATTTCTAGTGGCGCTAACAGTGGTGGCACTGCACCCCTCTCTGATATAGGGACTTCATTGTCCTGAGACCATTTACATTTTCAGAACTTCATGATCACATGACTTTGGAGAAAAATTTTTAGCCTTTATTAAAAAAAGTTTTCTTTGGGTGTAGCTGCCCCCTAGGTAAAGTATATACATTTATGATACCTGTTATGTTGTCTTTTAAAAGAGACATTGTTGTGGGGGAAAAGCGGTATATGAAAACATTACTATAAATAGTAATGCAAATACTTCCATGAAAAAGTCATAGGAATGATCTCTGATTAATCAAATAAAGTGAACTATACAGACTTGACTGCTTCCTAATATCCTCCCAGAGTCCTTCAAGACAGCAGCATTCCCAGGCTACAAATCAGGAGGCTCAGGAATCAGGCAGCAATTCAGGAACATACCAGCAGGGCTCCAGCAATGCCTGTTCCAACCACATGACCAACACAGTTAGGACATGGACTATTTCCTAACCCTCAACCCGATAAGACCCAGGCTCGTGGAGCATCACAAAACCAACCAATTCTGGTATTGTTGCACTTCATTTTACATAAGTGTGGCTACATTTATTCACAGTTGTGTGAAGAGAACCTCCTAGGTTTCTTGCAAGTCTTAGATAAAGTAAGGGGCCAAAAGAAAGAAAATGGCCTTTTTAATATGAATGACCAGGTGTCCTAAAACTTACCAACAGAGCCCAATCCTTTTGTCCCTGGGCTGGGTTTCACCTATAACATTCAACTTATGATTTCAGAAATGCATTTTACAACTAGCCTCACATCTCCTAGCACTGGTTCCTAACATAATTGCTTCTAAGAACCTCAAAATTTATCTTTTTCATTGAAGTTCTGTAATACCTTGAGCACTTTTTAGACTTATTAAAATATGATACTAACTTTAGAAAAAAACTACCCAATTTTTACCACAAAGAGCGATGTTTCACCAACAAATATGTGAGCCCCACATTAGAATAACACTAAGTGACATATTTAATTCTGTATCACTTTACAACTATTGACTCATGCACCAAGCTGAGTTAACATTGTGTGCCCTGTTTAAAACCTTGCCCACATTTTGGGGGATTTCTAGTTAATGAAACCACTGCTTAGAGATAAACATTGGGATTTCCTATCAGCATCCCTTTCTACCCTTATACTGACATTAGTGACCAAGCCGGTTGTCAGGGGTAGGAGGGGAAGAGGGCAAGCACTGTATTTGACAATCCAGGGGAGCAGAGAATAAGGAGAAATAATTGTAGGCAAAAATCATGGTCCAGTTTCCTTTCCAAGAGGACTTAGGAGAGCTGTGGGAGTTAGAGGAAAAACTGGGCTTGGCAATAAGAAGAGTCAAGGCAATCTGGAACCCTCTTTGCCATCTTGGACCTTTTCCCTCATCTCTACCCTCCTGGTCCCATTTTGAAATTCATTGTTATATCGTAAGTGCCTAATAAAAAGTGAAAGTATTGTGGAAATGTTAATAATAATGTCTTTATGTACTAGGACTCAGGGATAAACAATCTCTGTTTCCATTTCTTTGTTTTCTTTCCCTCCTTCTTTGCACTTTCCCAGACTCTCCTTACCTTGCCTGGCATTTTTTCATCTTGGCACTGCATTTCTTCACAGATAGTTGTTCACAATCCTTCCATTCTTAGGGCAAATATGGTTCCCAGATTAGCATCACAATCTCCTGAGTACTTGATGTATGTTTTTTTTTCAGACAAGACTTCTGATCATCAAAAATAATCTTGCTATTGGGTAGTGTATTTGTCCGTTCTCATCCTGCTAATAAAGACATACCTGAGACTGCGTAATTTATAAAGAAAAAAGGTTTAATGGACTCACAGTTTCACATGGCTGGTGAAGCCTCACAGTCATGGCGGAAAGTGAAAGAGGAGCAAAGTCATGTCTAACATGGTGGCAGGCAAAGGAGGGTGTGCAGGGGAACTGCCCTTTATAAAACGGTCAGGTCTTGTGAGATTTATTCACTGTCACAAGAACAGCACAGGAAAACCCACTCCCATGATTCAGTTACCTCACACCTGGTCCCACCCACAACACATGGGGATTATGGGAGCTACATTTCAAGATGAGATTTGGGTGGGGACACAGCCAAACCACATCAGGTAATTTGTATGAAAATAAGCTGGCAGTTATCAGATAATTGCCACATCTGTCAAAATTAATTGTAGTCTCTTTTGCTTAAACAGGGAGAAAATAACCTTTCAAGTCAGTGTGTAACTAGGATATACTTAAAGATTCATTTAGCCTTAACCATTTATATCTCTAGAAGTAAATGGCTTTTACTCCACTTAAAAAGATAAATTCTTAATGCAAAGTTTCATCTTTGGTCATTAGCACAGTCTCTCATATGAAAGAAGTCTCTGTAATTAGTCTTATTGCATATAATGGAAAGACACTCTACAATTCATGTTTTTCTACACCAGATCAATTCTTTATTCTTTACATCCAAAAGTGATACTTTTGATAACAAGGTTCAACCTGTCAGTCTCACTAAAATTATTCTATTAGCATTGACAAGAATGATTTTTTTGGGGGGTGACAAAGTCAGGAAGGCTGGAGTGCAGTGGCACCATCCCAGGTCACTGCAATCCCCTTCTGGACCCAGGCCATTCTCCCACCTCAGCCTCCCCAGGAGCTGGGACTACAGGTGCATGGCACCATGCCTGGCTCATTTTTGTATTTTCTGTAGAGATGAGGTTTGAGCATGTTGCCCAGTCTGTTCTTGTACTCCTGGGCTCAAGAAATCTACCCGCCTCTGTCTCCCGAAGTGCTGGTATTACAGGCATGAGCTGCTGTGTCCAGCCCAACAAGAATGATTTTTAAATCATCTATTATTCCAATCTTTCCACCATAAATACTGGCTAATATTTTTATTATCATCTTCTCATTGATATGTTTGTAAGGTACTTTAAACAGTCCCTGACTTGTCATAAAGTTCATTTATTCCATCACTGCTATCATCATCTGATTCAAGCATCACAATAGACGAATAAATTAGAAAATATTATGATCCCAATTTACAAATGAAAAAATTGAGGCTATGAAGTTAGGTAACTTGTCAATGATTAAACAGCTTGGGGCAGTCAAAACTTAATTGCAAACCTAGTTGACTCTAAATGAAGGAAATGGACGATTCCCCAAATTTTGAATGTCTTTCTATTATGCTGCCTGTACATCTGGTTAATTGCAGAAGAAAAAAAAAAAAATGAAAACTTATCAGTAATGTGCCTCCTGACAATGAGGAAAAATTAGAAGAAATGAATATTTGAATGTATACCAATAGCTTTTCAATTATTTGATCATATTATAGCAAAGACTCCATAATCTACCTATTCTACTTGATCACTTCTTCCAGTGGAAAAGGAATTCAGCAATAATGATAAAGTGTCACTGCTTAAGCAAGTTGAGGAATGAAGGAAGGAAATTATTTAGACATCTGTTTTAGCAATAGGGGGGATGGATAATTCATATTCAAATTTAGTACACTGGGATTCAATGCTTTGGGGATATTACAATCCAGAAATAATATTGGACCAAATATACATGGCTACAAACTGTAAGCTTAGTGATACATCCCATAAGAAAATAAAATGGTAATAATTAAGCTAAACTAAATTTATAATTAACAAGCAAGAATAACAGCAATTAAAATTCCTGGCCAACACAGACGTTTCTGATTCACTAGTAACAAATTGTCCTCCCCTAAAACTGAAGGAATATTGTCAAGCTTTGTCAAATACTTCTAGGTGCGAAACTGAATTAGTCTTCAGTATGCTCTAGCAGCTTGTTAATTTGGGTATATAAATAACAAATGTTAATATCCTAGGTTAATAGTAAAACAAAACAAAACGCTCTTAGTAGTTGGATGTGGTGGAGTGCCCCTGCAGCGCCATTTTCTAGGAAGACTGAGGCAGGGGAGGATCGCTTGAAGCCAGAAGTTCAAAGCTGTAATGCCCTATGATGGGTGCCTGTGAATAGCTACCACGCTCCAGCCTGGGCAACATACAAGACCCCATCTCTGAAGAAAAAAAAAAATGAAATCTTCGTTATAGATAAAGATAAGAATAAGATAAGTCAATGGAATAAAACCCAACTTTTCCTTAAGAATAAAGGGGAACGCCTGTACATTTGAATCAATTTGAGATTCTTCAGGGGATTGCTTAAAGCCCATTAACAGGCCACAGAACAATTTTTGAGAATCACTGCTATAGAAAATATCATGCTCATCTCAAAGGGAATAAAATCTATCTTAAGTATGTTGTTTACAATCAAAATTGTTTTTAATTTCTCAGAACTTGCAGACTTTATGGGGAACTCGAGAAGACAACATCTCTTTCTTACTCTGAGAAAATCTTCCCTGCACTGCAACTTCTTTCTTTCAACTTGGCATTCCTCATTTGGTAAAATGTCATCACCATTTACACAGCTAGTTATGCACCAATCCTCTCTCTCTCTCTTTTAATCCCACATCTCACATCCAATTCAAACACTGTCACCTATACCTACAAAAATACACCTCAAAGTCAGTCACTGGGAAGTTAGTCCACGTCCTTGTCTCCCCTGGGTTTATGCAATGGCTACCTGATTGGGCTTTCTATTTCCTCTTGTGCTTCCCTCCCCTCACTACTCTGCAGCATAATCTTTCCAGAATGAAAATCAGATCATAACACTTTGAATGTCTCAGCTGTCACTGGCTTCCCATGACACAGAAACTCAACATTCTTCACAGCCTGTCCACTAACTGCCTCTCAGCCTCCTCTCCCTCCCGTGCTCTCCTCCCGCCCTCAGGGTAGTCACCTGGCCTTCTTTGCTCTTTTGAGAACACATCAGAAATGTTCCCACCTCAAGGACTTTACACTTGGAATTTTCTTCCCCTGGAATGCTTTCCCCAGGAATATATACATGGCGGCTTGCATCTTTGCTGCATTTACGTCTTGTTCTTATGCCAGTTCCTCAGAGATCTCATCCCTAAACAGCGTATCCAAAATGCACATTCTGTCACTCTGCATTCCTCTACCCTTTGTGTTTTTCTGCCTCACACTTATCACTGTGTAGCACTATATTATAAGTTCAGTTGCTTAAATGTTTATTGGCTGTCTTCACCACTGCAATGTAAGTTCTATGAGACAGGAACTTTTATTTATTTCTGAATCCCCAGTCCCTATCAGAACTCCCAGCATGTAGATCATGTTCATAAATATTTCCTAAGTGAATGCATGTCTACATTTGCATCTACACTTAGGTCGTCATTGGGATCCATTTAGAGGACTGCCTAATGCTACAACGAGGTGGTCAGTTACTGGAGGGTATCTCTGGAATTCTTCTTACTCATTCGAAGTACACTTGATGCTTTCGTAGGCTTCCTAAGACTCAGTGACAGTATTCTGGTTTAGGCAAAAGCAGAAGAATGACAGGGTTGATCTCAATTTCTCCCACTCACAGCTGGCTGAACATTTAACATTCCATATTTAATCTCGTGTTCCTAAAAAAGAGTTATCTTCTCACAGTCTTCCCACCCTAGTCCCACTTTCAGAGAGATCTGAACCTTCAACCAAAGTGCCTGCTATTCATCATTCTACAACTATTGTAACCACACTCCGCCTCCTAATTTTGCACTCCCAGGGAAAAGAAAAAATGTTTAAGAGCTCAAAACTTTAACCAGCCTCTCCCTTTATTTCATACAACAGACTTCCTAGTTAGAAGGATTGCAAACTGGAACCTAATTATATTTTAAATGAACTAAATATATTGCCATAAGTTGAAAATTATTTAGAAGATATATCCTGGCAACGTCATGAAAATCTAATCACAATAAGAACTCTTTTAACTTTTCAAAATAGAAGAAGTTGAATTTTTTAGAAGGCGTAACTCAGTTATAATTTCAGTGAACATAGTGAATAATTAACATCAGACTATGATGTCATAATTGTGGGAAACATGAGGTAGAAAAAAAGAATATTTTGTATTTTTTATATTAGTGATAAAAATAATTATTATTATAATACTATGTGACAGGCAATGTTACAAGCACTTCATATGTAGAAATTGCTGCCTTCAACCCTAATCCAAGCAACATAAAATCTTACCTGGATTATTATAGTACTTCCTACCTGGTCTATCTGTTTCTGCCCTTCACCCCTTACAACCTATTTTCAGTACAACTGCTCAATTATGGTTAAAAAGATAGGATATGTCCTATCACTTTCTTGATCAACACCTTTGGATAGCTTTCCCTCTGTCTTACAATAAACTGCAAAGATCTAACCATGTCCTACCAGGCCCTCCATAAAGAAGCCCCGATGACCTCTCTCATAACACCTCCAACTTGCTCACACTGGTTTCCCTGCTGTTCTTTATACCTTACAGGCAGGCACAGTTCTTCTGCTGGGCCTTTGCACCTGATTTTTTTTTTTTTTTTTTTTTTTTTTTTTTTATACGGAGTCTCACTCTTTCGCCCAGGCTGTAGTGCAATGGCGCAATCTTGACTCACCGCAACCTCCGCCTCCCAGGTTCAAGAGATTCCCCTGCCTCAGCCTCCTCCCAAGTAGCTGGGATTACAGGTGCCCCCCAACACGCCAGGCTAATTTTTGTATTTTTAGTAGAGACGGAGTTTCGCCATGTTAGCCAGGCAGGTCTTGAACTCCCGACCTCAGGTGACCCACCTGCCTCGGCCTCCCAAAGTGCTGGGATTACCTGAGTGAGCCACCGCGCCCGGCCGGCACCTGATATTTCCTCTACCTGCAACACTTCCATCACATGTTTTCATGACTTCTTTCTTTCTTCCTTCAACCTCTCCTCAGATGTTGTCTTCTCAATGAAGCTTCTCTGACTACAAAATTTAAAATCGTAGCCCCCACCCCAACAGTCTGCTTTCCTCCATTTTCTTCCATAATAACACTTATCACCATCTGATAGATTATATATATTTACTCACCTCATTAGAATACAAGCTTCATGGAAGGCATTTTTGACTGTTTTGTTCACTGTTGCAATCCTAGTCCTCAGAACGTTGCCTGGTACATAAAAGCTGGTAAATATTTGTTTATTAAACAAGATACCAATCAAGCAGTGAGATAACATTACATATCTATCAGAATGACTAAAATCAAAAACACTGTCAACACCCAATACTGGTGAGAATGTGGAGCAACAGGAACTCTCATTCACAGCTATGGGAATGCAAACAGTACAGCCACTTTGGAAGACACTTCGGCACTTTCTTACAAAGCTACACATAATCCTACCATATGATCCAGCTATTACACTCCAAGAAATTTGCCCAAATGAGTTGAAAACTTATGTCCACACAAAACCCTGCACATAAATGTTTATAGCAGCTTTATTCATAATTGCTAAAAATTGGATGCAACCAAGATGTCCTTCAATAGGTGAGTGGACAAACAAATTGTAGGATATCTATGCAATGGAATACTATTCAGTGATAAAAAGAAATGAGCTAACAAGCCATGAAAAGACATAGAGGAAACTTAATATATATATATATATATATACACATATATATACACACACACATATATATACACATATACATATATTGCTAACTGAAAAAAAAAAGCCAGTCTGAAAAGGCTAAAAACTATATGATTCCAACTATGTGACGTGCTGAAAAAGATAAAATTATGGAGAGAGTAAAAACATCAGTGCTTGCCAGGAGTTTGCAGGGGAAGAGAAAGGGATGAATAGATGGAGCACAGAGGATTTTAGGCAGTGAAACTATTCTGTGTGATAATATACTAGGGAATACATGACATTGTCCATTTATCAAAACCCATAGAACTGTGCAACACAAAAGATGAACCTTAATATAACCTTAATTGTTGACTTTAGTCAACAATTATGTATCAATATTGGTTTGTCAATTTTAATAAATGTGCCATACTAGATGTTAATAATGAGAGAAATTATGTGTCTGTTTGGGGCAGGTGGGTGTAACATAAAAACTGTACTTTTGAAGCAAATTTTCTGTAATTTACAACTGCTCAAAAAAGTAATCTATTAATTTAAATAAGTAAATATATGTAGCTACTAATTTGGAACTAGCTAAAATATTAGCCTTTTAATCCCATAAAAGAACGTTGATGTAATTTCTATCATTATCTTCATTTTGGAGATGAGGAAACTGACCCATCCATGTTGGGTGACTTTCCTAAGCTCACACAGCTACTACTTGAGAGTTGCAGGTGTGGAACCCAGAATGGATCATCTCCAGAAGCAGCACTCCCAATTATTATGCCATGTTACACACTCTAAAGACATTAAATGTACAAGGGATATAGGTTGATAAAACAAGAGCTTCTGACGGGACACGGTGGCTCGTGCCTGTAATCCCAGCACTTTGGGAAGCCAAGGCAGGCAGATCACCTGAGGTCAGGAGTTCGAGACCTGCCTGGCCAACATGGTGAAACCTCATCTCTACTAAATATACAAAAATTAGCCAGGTATGGTGGCACATGCCTGTAATCCCAGCTACTTGGGAGGCTTAGGCAGGAGAATCGCTTGAACCTAGGGGGCAGAGGTTGCAGTGAGCCGAGATCAGGCCACTGCATGCCAGCCTGGACTGAGCAAGACTCTGTCTCCAAAAAAATAAAATAATAAAATAAAATAAAAATAAGAAGAGAGCTTCTTTTTATGATATATGGTGAGAGAGTGAATGCATCTATATGAGTAGTTGTGCTAAAAAGAAAATTATCATTCAAGAATGAAGTTTGACAGTCCCAGGGTTTGGTTTGTTGTCATTGTTTACTATTTTTGTTGTTCCCTTTGAGAATAACTTAATCGCTCTTGACATACATGGTCTTTTGGTGACAAACAAGAACTTTTAAAAATGCTGCACAGATTTCAATATGGATAGGTACAAAAGCATATCTTTTTTATTTCACTTTTTAGTCTATTTGTAAGGCTAATATATGTCTGCTGTAGAGGGAAGAATTGATTGTCTAATTTCTGTAAAGGATTTCAAAATATACCTGAAGTGCCATTTATGTAAAATTAGAGATATGGCAGGACAAGCCATTGAGTGTGAAACAGAAAATTCCAGTCAACTGATGAGCCCCCCAGGCACAACACAGAGGGCTTTATAATTTTCTTCTTTAAAGTAGTTTCTAGATATTCCATTATCATGACAATCTTTCCAAGTCTAGATCCTCAAAGTGACCTTTTCCCTGCACTACCCAAAATAGAAATTTCAGTTCATCCCTGCCTGCCTGTGGCAGGAATAAAGCAAACCCAATATTCAGCCTCTTCCCAGATTACACAGTCCATAATAGAATATCATCATAACTTCTTTCCAAAGCAGAATATTCATCCAATTAAACTTGAATTTTTTTAAGAATGCTCACAATAAAAAAGATAATTGCATGGTTGTCAAAAATTATGACTAATAAGGTACGGTAGAGCCTCATAAAATAATTCTTATAAAAAGATTAACATTTACCATGTACTACTAAAGAAACATAATTGTAAGAGATTTAAAAATAAATAACTGGAAAAATAATAAACATTCATTGCACATAAAATATACAACCAAAATGAAGTTCAAAATGGTAGAAAAATACATTAACACAATAAATTTGCTTATTCAACATAGGGATATGGCCTACTATACAGAAATTAGTTTCTTTAAATACTTGTTTTAAAAAAAGAGGTGTTTTTCTTTGAACTCTGTTGTGTCATGAGGTTATTCTATAAACAGGTTTCTATTGTAGACCCTCACTAAAAGTCAAAACCTTTAAGGTACAGTCCTCACAAAAAAAAAAAAAAAAAAAAGTCAGGGAAAACCTTTCACACATACACAAATGGAGAAAATTGCTAAAGAAAGGAAAAAAAGTCCGCTTGACAGATAAGCAATAGCTCTGCTTACACAGTAATTTATGGTAATATCAGAAAGCTTTTGATAAATTTCACACATATTGCAGCGTAGGACATTGGAAAAGATAAAAAAAAAAAAACCTCAAAGAGATAGGGGAAATTAAACTATTTATAGAGGGGGAAGTATTTTGTAAAAGAAAATTTGGCAATTGGTTTTGATAGTCATAACAATTTATGTAATTTCTATGTTCTTTGGGGACTTGCTGTCTGAAAAAGTGGCAAGCTAACATTTTCTCCATTACTACAAAAAGTCATTTTTGAGAACAATAAATATGAGAAGGTTTAATATATATATATATATATATATACATATATTTTGTGTGTGTGTGTGTGTGTGTGTGTGTGTGTGTGTTATACGCTACATACATAGTAAGACATCTGGTAATGTTTGTGAGCCAAATAATTTTCTATCATTTGTTTAGTTTAGATCTTTTAAACTCTTATTTTTATTTTATTTGATAGCAAATCAATTTTCCAATAAAATAATTTTGCCTTTGGGGTATTATAATGAAAAAGCAATTTAAAACATATTTCTATAACTACTGAAAAGTACTTTCACACTAGATATGCAGTAACTAAATGAAGAAATATTCACACGAGTTGCACTTCCTTTCTTGTTATCAAAAAAACAATGAGCCTTAATTTACATATTTCTCCATCAACCCCTTAAGCCCTTATTAAGGTCAAAGCTTGAATATAATATATTTGTTATTCTACAGAATTTTATATTTTGAATTTTAAAGTACTATTTAGTGCTCCGATTTCACTTTCTATATTAAAAAAATATAAATGACATCAATGAAGACTTTTTAAATGAATTTCCTTATATTCTTCAGTGACCTTTTTAAATAAACTGTCCCTGCTTTCCTCTGAACTTCAATACATCTTTGGCCTGTCATTGTCATTCTTAATCATTGATGTCTCAATTCAATCTCTGACAACAACCACGATGAAGCTCTTCATTTCAGGAAACTGGAAACATTTTGTCATGCAAAAAGAGCGTATTATGGGAACTCTAGTTACTTGTTTTTAAAGAAGACTGACAGGAAAATTTGGATAAAGAAATGCAAGTCTGTCTCTGCTCTCCCTAACAAATCTCGCTTGAGGCAGAGCTTTAATGAGTAGTTCTGGAAACTTCTTAAACAATATATATATATCTCTGACCTGGATGGTCAACCCTTTCAAGCTGGCCAATGCTTTTCAATAAAGATAATATCAGAATCTGAAGGAACTGGTTTGAGTTTCTAAAGCATTTTGAGGAAATATTTTGTGAGAATGGGAAGCATATTTTAATGCCATTCCCATGTTTCCCTGACAATGAAAGCTGATCTGCAAGGGCGTTGAAAGCATTACAGGCTAATTTCATTGCAATGTCGGGATCTGAGAGGGAGGTGAGGAGAACCAGGAGTTGGGTGGGGGTTCAAGAGCATCGAGGTGAACACGGTTGACCCATTGGAAAATCACTAAGTGCTGGAACCCACTCTAGAAGGTTCATGTTTTGAGCCTTTATGGTGATTGTGCAGCTCTCTTGAAAATTTACACTGTCATTTTATTTATAGCAGATGTCTCTTAAAGCAAACATTTTTACTTCATACTATACAAATATTACGGAAAATTGCAAACATAATGTGGAGTTTTGGTCATGCTGTAGAAATCTACAGTATTTTCTATAATGGATTATGAGCAAGGGGAAAAAAACTGATACTGATCTAAGGCTGAAGGATAAGGGGTAATCAAAACAAGACTTCTGCAGATACTTTTATGAAACTTGTTTTCAAAGAAAAGGCAAAAGTTGAAACTGTGGATTAAACCAACTAAATTAAACTGTCGTGTATTCAAAATACATTCCGCACTTTAGAATAAAATGACCAGAAGCCAGTGTGAGGCAACTCCACTGTCTGAGCTATTCAAACAAAATAGTGTTTATTTGGATTTTCCTAAACAAAACTTGTATTCGATTCTGGTGCACACCCAGTGGGAAAAAAAATCTAAATACATATTTCATTTTTCTACCAGTTCTGAATTGTAGTTCTCTTGTGAATTAATTTTGAGTATAGTGACTTAAATGTACGCTCTGTGGCTGCTCAGCAATTGCTGAACTGCCTGATGGAAAAGTTTTAGCATCTGAAATTTAGCTCTTAATATAAAATAATATAAAACTATAATGTGCAATTAAAGGAGAAAGTAAATTCTGTTTGGAAACAGAATTCAAAAATAGAAAATTATATAAACTTTGGAAATTAAAATCCATATAAGTAAAACCTATATTTCTGAGAATTCGCTGTTTCTTATGCATGATTTATAACAATACACATTTCAAAAAGGAAGTCATTAAAATAATGTGGCCGTTATGTTTTCACATGCCTTTTTGAGAGTTTAACCAGTACAACAGAACAATCTCCCTGGACTCTAAAAACACAAATCCGTGACAAGGACATAAGATTGATGGAATTTGTAATCATATATTTTTACTTATGTAATAAATTTGTAATTTCAAGGGCATTATTCAAAATGACCACACTGCATTATAATGTGTGGATTCCTACGCTGTTTTGCATTAATGTCTGCAGAGAAATTTTACACTCTTAATCTGCCATTGGTGCTTCAGTGGGTTGCTTACCGTTATAATTCTGGTCACAGATGAGGGTTAAAATGTCTCTAACCTTTACAAATGTATTATGTGGCACCACTGACATAGCTTTTATTGCAGATAAAACCTATGACAAATTTTCTGTATGATAAAAGAAGAACATGATTTCATATTAAATTCTGATGATAGAGACATATTTCTCTGCTTGTACTTCTGAAATGTTTTGGGTATAGTAACAATGGACAACACTTCCTCTTCGATTACATCAATAAAATCTCAAAATCCCCTTCGTTTTTATGGGTCCAGAGCTTCAGTAAATATTTCTTAAGCAGAACTAAAAAACAGTGTGAAAAATCTTCAGAATTCAGTTCACTGCTAACCTTGCTGATCAAAACAGACAAAACATTCAGCTGGTTCAACATAATGAGAAGCAGAAAGAGGGAGCCACAAAAGAGCCTGGAAATTGAGTGTTGCCATGAAGGTGTATAAGAGCTCGAGCAAAATTTTCTCAAATATAAGCATCAAGATAACAGTAGGTCCCTCTGACAGTCATTTAAAAGAAAGAATAATGCCTATTATAGTAACTTCAAGGAGTTATAAAAGCACTTGAGTTTTCAGGGAGTCATAGACTTGTGAAATGTTTCTGACATTCCATCAAAAAATTGGTGTTGTGACATCATTATAATACATAATCATACAGTCAAGGAATGATTAGAAGTAAATCCTTAATAGCATTTTTTTAAACAAATTCCACATTGCATTCCAGACATCTTCTTTTTTCCTTCTTCCGTTAGATTGAATGATCAAGAGAAAGGTGGATAGAATTGTCTCCTGATGCGTTTTCTGGACAATTTCTTAACAAATGAGAATTCTATTGGTCTGCATTTTTTTTCATGTTTTGTGATTGTCAAGAACCTTACATAAATCTATGTCTGATGATACAAACTGTCTAATATTGTACTGAACACCTCTTCAAAATTACCTATTCAGGGGAAAGTATCCCTTTAAACTGCCAGGATGCCTCACAGCTATCAAGGGCTGTGTGGACTGTGTTCAAGATTCTAGGGACTTAAAGTATAATAATAATAATAAAAAAGACGCAAAATAAAAATAAAAACTTTTTAACAGAAAAAAAAAAAGATTCTTGGGGATCTGCCGAAGTTGAGTCTTCATTTATTTCTTTCTCTGCATGCCACTAGGGACTTCCCTAGACTATTTGAGGAATAGGCCTTTAATTGCAAGATTACCTGAAACCAGACCCAACAAGCTTGGAGTAGCAAACAGTCAAATTGCAACCCCCTACCAAAAAAAAAAAAAAAGCGACATGTGGCTTTAATTTTATTTCATTTATTTATTCTTTCAATTTATTTTTAAAAATTCTTGCCCATTGCTTCAGCCTTTGGGCCCATGTGCATAATAAAAAACATTGCTGGGAATAAATAATACGTATTAACTGTGTCTATTAGGATTCCCCCCTAAAAAGTTCATCAAAATGACTTATTTTATAGTAAGGAGTCTCAATTGCAAGTCTATTAGTAAAATAATTCTATTAAATTGTATGATATTTCTAACTTCAATTAATTACATTTATATCTAGCTCTATAGTGTAATGACTTATAATATTAATTGTGATTTTAATTTAGAAACAGAACTTGTAAAGTTTGCCTCGAGTTTTAGTGTTTAATGATTTTTCCACATTTAGACTGTGTCTACAAATTGAGACTTTTCCATTTTTCTAGTTAAACAACTGGTCATTTCAAACCTTCGTGTTGATGATTTTTCTCCACTGAATTGACCAATTTAATTTTCTCTAGGGCAATAAAGAAACACAGTATAATAGACAAACTAAAAGTGACTACAAAATAATGTTTCACTTTGGCTATGTACTGTTCACTTTTGGCCATATGACCAGAATTTTATTTTCACAAATATTAGAATCAGAGTTTCCAGTGGCTGAAGCCAGAGAAGTCCAAGAATCTGATTTGAAAATAGAATATTGTCATGCTTGACATTAGTTAATAAAACCAACTAAGATGTCTGTGCTGGATCAGCAATAAGTTGATTCTTTCCCACAATCAACAAGTTTTACATTCGGTCATTGCACCCCAGAAAGCAAACTGGCTGCAAGGTGACCTTGGCCTGGATCTCAGTGCCTCCATAGGCAAGTCTCATACTTCTTTGTAACTCCATTTCCTCATCTGTAAGACAAAGATTGATGATGAAATGAGGTAGTAGATATAAAGTGCTTAGAACAGAATCTTTCTCAAGTAATCAATAAATGTTTGCTATTATTATTATTGTCATTCAACCTAATATTGATATTCAAATTTTTCACTTTTAACATGTTATGCCACTCGCCTGAAATAACCTTCTCTTTCTGTCTCGCCTTTGTAAATTCAATACTTTCTTCATAGTTCAGTTGAACACCAGCCCAAGGTGATTTCTCTTTTCTCTCAACTCATATTGACCTTTTATCCCAAATCACAGTTTAAGACGTGTATATTCTCCAAAGATTTCTTACTTCCACACACACAAAAAAGTACAAGTTTCTGGAAGAAGGGGACAGCTTGCTACATTTCTTGTGCCTAGATTTGGCATCTGATGCATGCTGTATCCACGTCACAATTAACGCACAGAATCCGAAGAGTTAATGAGCCACAGCTTATGACATCCTTTATTTTTCCTGGTCAAGTTAGAGAACCACATTGTTTCAACAGAAACCTACTTTGTTTTTTTGAATTTTTGTTTGTCTTTTTGTTATTTTTTCTTAAACACAACAATTGATGTTCCTTTAATGGTGACTTTATATAATTTGGCCTTTGGATTACAAAATACATTTTTACACACTAAAATTCTTTGGATTGAGTCCAACAAGCTCCAGGATTATATAGTGTTTTCCTCTATACTGCAGCCTTTCCAAAACAGGTTTTATATCTTAATGTCGCATTGCAGAATATACATACAGATTCTTGAAAATGTCAGGCTCCTTCAATTCCCTGAAGCCAAAACAAATATGTCTACTATTATTGGCACAATTAAGAGTTACAATTATTAGGCATGGCGTTTATATACATGCAAATCTTATTGTTAACAATGGGAATTTCAAATATTTAATATTTGTATATGGATTTCATTTGAGCTCATTAAGTAAGTGGCTTGGAAAAAGAGAAGTAGTTGAATTATTACATGTCTAGAAAATGGTATTTAAATTTTTTAATTGCCTCATATTAGTAAAAAAAATCTGCATATTAAAATGATACCTCAAAGAGTCTGATTTCATTGCTTATTTCATTTTGTTACTTTGCTAAAAACATAGCTCTTATCTAGTTATCATTCATTTCTTCTCATCATAAACCAGAGTCCTTTAATTCTTTCACTGTGTCATAAAAGATTCAATAAATTCTGATTTGCATTTCAAATTCAGCTCTTTTTACAGAAGGACATCAGATTCAATGACAATTACATCACTAATCTCTTCAGCACTGACAGTGGGAAGCCAAGCTCAAGCTCCTTCCGACTGAAGTCCTAAAGATGGAAGGTCATGTAATGTTCCTTCTCAGCAAGAGTGAATTTTTATTTTGGTAAAATCTTCATTTTATTTTCATTAACGAATATGTGCTCATTTAACCCATTTGTTGTTTAAGCATTTCATACTATTTGTCTCTTTCTCCTTTCATTAAGAAATGAGCATCTTATTATTTTTGCTAAAAAAAGAGGAAACTTACAGTGTTGATTAAGCACAGTAATCTGTTGTTCTTATTATTGGTGTTATTTTGGAAATATTGAGGAAATTATATTCATATAATTTGGGGAGGTATTTTTCCATTTTGTTGTTGTTTAACCAATTGTAATGACCAAAAATGTAAGCACTCATGTATGTATAAGTATGGGTGTGTATATGTATGTGTGTGTAAATAACATCTACAAATATTTTAACACCTAGTGTCAGAGACAAAGATAAATCTACCTCTTGAATAAATGTATTGTGAATTAATTATTGCTCTTCTAGATTCTATATACAATTTCCTCTATCTTCAAAGACTTGTCACAATTGGAGCCAATAATACTGCACAAATTACACACAGTTGAAGCAATTATATTTTTGGTACTTTATAAATGTTGCTATCTCTGTAAAGGAAGGAACAATATAAAGTAAATAAACATGGAAGTCATTATAACAATTTAGTATAGACTAAATTTAATGAAGTAGTTATCAATATTCTGATATGCACATAACATGGGCAATGAATAGAAACTAAAGAGAATTTTTGAAAAGAATATCAACTTCCAAACTATTTTGCTATGTTATACTGAATTAAAATAATTTTCTTTTATTTGTACAGTATTTTCTGGCTTTTAGTATATCAACTTATTTTAAATCCTAATTATTTTACTTATATCACAATTTTAAGCTGTATGTTATTCAGATAATAGCTACTCACCAATAACTATTTTTAAGTTATTTTTTACGAGTAAGACTTTTTGCATTAAAAGTGAATTTTAGAAAGCATAGGGGTAATGATGGGTGACAAAGTACAAGATCACAAAAACCGAAAGAATACATGTTATTTCTGTATTTTTTAAATTAATAGGTCTGTTTTGACTACACTGAACCTAGTTCAGTCAACCAACTATTACAAGCATATGTCTTTTCAAGTATAAAACAGATACTGAATGAACACTTGTTAAATTAAGGAGAAAAAGAGTCAATAAGTGATTCAACCTGTGGTGACCAAGAAATTCCATAACTATGACAGGATAAGCTGCTCAATTAACCAAATGAATTGTTTGATTCCATCATTATTTTTTAATTCAAACATAATGGAGTTATATAATATAATGGATTTATAATGGAAAATTTTAGAAAACTTAGTATCAAAAATACATTGAAATATAAAATAAAATCTACAACAAAATACGGATATATTTTCAGGTTAATTTAGTGTAATTAATTTCCAGGTTAATTTAGTGCAAAATGCCCAGTCAAGTTAAGGACTTGGAAGTATGTGTGGGCCAAAGCATTCAAATTTATTTAAGGCATATACATGTTGTACTGGGGAGCCTTCAGAATGAAGCCTCCCTAGGTGGAAAGAAGGAAGAAAGAAGTGAAGAAAGGAATTTAAAAATTGATAAAACAAATAAATAAGTATTCATTTGTCAAAAATAATGTGTTGGCTGAGCTTGGTGGCTCACGTCTGTAATCGAAGCACTTTGGGAGGCTGAGGCAGGTGGATCGTTTGAGCTCAGGAGTCCGAGACCAGTCTAGGCAACATGGTGAAACCTCATCTCTACTAAAAACACAAAAATTATCCAGCCATGGTGGCCCATGCCTGTGGACCCAGCTACTCGCGAGGCTGAGGTGGAAGGATCACTTGAACCCAGGAGGCAGAGGTTACAGTGAGCCAAGATGGCACCACTGCACTCCAGCCTGGGTGACCCTGTCTCAAAAAAACAAAAACAAAAGTGTGTTGATACTAATCATGTAATAAATGGTAACTTTTCAAGTATAAGTTAGGTAAATATTTCTTTTTCCTCTCCCCTTTCCTGTCTAAATCCATTACTTTGCACATTTTTGAGAGAATAAAACATGAGTTTTTTAGTTACTATCTTGGTCTATTACTGCATAATAAAATAAATTTTTCTTAATTTGTAAAAACTGAATCATGTGAATTATCCATATAACTTTATATATACAGTATGTGTGCACATATACACACATATTTAAATGTTTGTTAATTCTGGGAAACTATAAAAATGAATTTGTGTGCTAAACTGAAACTAACATTTTTATTTTCTATAATCTGATCATAGAAAAAAGTATCCGTAATGAGCTTACAGTACATAAATTATTGTCTGGGTGTTAATTGCACTCAAAAAGCTACGTCTGCTGAAACCACAATTGCTAAATGGAAAAAAAAGATATATATATTATTATCCAAACAATGCCCATTTATACAGATATTAAGAAACAGTTGTTTGTTATCTTCCAATCAAACATATCTAAATGTTTTGTGTCATAACAACCAAACAACTGAATGATTGACTAAATTCTCTAGCAGGATGTTTGTGCATTATGTAGACATAACCAATGAATTACTGTACTTTTAAAGGCCTGGATAAATTCTCAGAAGTTTTTTATGTGCACAAAGACAATGCAGTTGTATATGACCTTGTTATTACATGTGAAGAACGTTAAGTCTAGGAGAGATGAAACGTTTTCTGATTTTCAGGAGATAAATGCATAAATACATTTTTGTTCAAAATGGTCTCCTTTTTTTCAATATACACAGTCACTGAGAGAGACCAGAAAATGTCTCCTAGTGGAAAAATAGACCAATGGGAGGACATAGTTGGCAAGCAAGAGAGGAGATGGTTGACGGGGCATAAACAGAAAAGATCCCAGAGGCAAAAATTGTATCGGAACAGCTAGTCATGGATGAAGGGGCATATGGGGAGTATACAAACTTGGAGAAGACAAACTTGTGCTGAGACTGACCACTTCTAGTTCCCAAATCTAAAATCCACACAGTCACCTGTCCTGATGCCCTGGAATTTCAATACTCTAGACATAGCTGTTACCATGCTGCTTTAAAAAAGTGCAGCAAGGTAATGCAGAGTGTGAGTTATCATTCACTGAATTAATCAAAAGCTTTTTCCTAAACAACTGCCATTAAGAGTTTAAGAAAACATCATTTCAGATGCACACGTTAGGTGGAGGCTAAAATGAAAAGGTAAGGTTTTGAATAAGATACTGCAGGGTCAAAAAACTATTTTAATACAACCTTAGTTATTCACCCTGTAATTTTTATACATGTGTAGATTTCCACAGAAAAATAAATAACTAGAGAAGAAGAAATGCCTTAGTTGTGTCTTTAAGAGAATTTAAGAAATCAGATTCAGAAATAGATTGTATACACAGACCACCCTGGCAATTCCTGTTTTTTTCAAGGAAGAGTGTTGCCATTATATATGTCACTGTCCACATTGTCAGTTTCACTCTGAAGAAATCTTTTAAAAGCCAGCGTTGCTGCAAATCCTGGCACAACTAACCATTAAGCTTTTTTTCAAAAGTATTGCCATCGATTTGTACTTACCAAAGTCTATTATATATCTCATGGGTAAGGCCTTTAATTGTTTGCAAATAATAAAGAAACACATTGGAAATATGAATGAAATAAAATATGACAAAGTTCTATTACGCTGCCCATAACCCTCAGTAGCTTTCTCTAAAACAATAACAACAACAAAAAAAAACAAAAACAAAAAACAACACTTAAGCTTTTCCCTTATTGTCTTAAAATCATATTTTCGTACTTACACACCTAGAGGAATTAGTAGAGTAGACAACTGAAGGCCTTAAATAACCCAGAGAGCAGAAAATGCATGGGACCATTCTTGAAAACACTAGAAAAAATTCTGAGAGGTGTGGTTTATTATAGTGCTCAATAGTATTAAAATAAATAACTTAGTTGTAAAAATAATAATAATATCGAACATACTGAACTGATTTTAGAATAACAGTTTCAAATGATTTTAGCCAGGGACTTCTCTGACATTCAACTAAATTTGATAGACTTGGATTTTTGTTTCTTTTGCCTTTCATAACCCAAGGCCAATGCTTAAAATAACTCCAGATTCAGGTCCTCTATATCATCCTCATCTGTGTTCCCCAGGATATTCCTTCTAGCCCTTTTTCTGCCTACATTTCTCATCCATCAAAAGAACTATCCATCTCGTTTTTCATTTGCACTACATTCTCACCATGCTATCCTTGAAATCCATTCTATGGGACCATGTTCTATGTGAAAGTGCTATAATTAGATCCTTCTGGGTCATTTGGTAATGAACCCATCTGGATTTCATCCAACATACACTAGTTTTATACCAAATCTGACCTATTATGGCTAGAATTACATTAAGGTTCCATTCTAAGTCCTTTCTTATTAAAATTGTGAGCTGTCATCCTGGGATTTTACGCAACAAACTATGAAAACTAAGCTTATATAAGGATAATTAAGTTAAAGTACACACTTTTAGGTGTGACTTTCTTAAGACTGAGCCAGAGACAAAGACAAATAGCCAGATTTTGGACCTCCTGCTAATTAGAATGGTAGTTCTCAAACTATTTTAACCAATATCCATTTAAACATGGCAAATAACCCTAAAAATCACCTGGACTATTCTCAATTTCCATTGGAAACATTATTTCATAATAGCAATGAAACATTACCTATTGTACAAATAAATTTGGGGGAGGAGGTTAGAGATAAATGATATAGATGATGCTCATATGATTCACAATACACATCTGAGATACACTAATTATAAGATTAGAGGGTGGACCAGGCACGGTGGTATACGCCTGTAATCCCAACACTAGTGAGGCTGAAGCAGAGGGTCGCTTGAGCCCAACTGTTTGAGACCAGCCTAGGCAACATAGTGAGACCTCCATCTCCACAAAAAAAGAAAAACAATTTTTGTTTTGAATTAGCTGAATGTGCTGGCACACACCGGTAATCCCAGCTACCTGGGAGGCTGAGGTGAAAGGATCACTTGAGCCCAGTAAGTTGATTGTGCAGTGATCTATGATTGTGCCACTGCATCCAGCCTGAGTGACAGAGGGAGACACTGTCTTAAAAAAAAAAAAAAAAAAAAGGATTTAAAGACAAAATTAGTGGTAAAATTAAGCACTGGTACCCACTATAGAGTTAACACAAGACAAAATGGATTATGGGGAGACTAAATGAGAAGAAAATTATAAATAAAAGCCAAGGACAGTAACAATTGAAAATCAGCAACAGCATAAGAAAAGTTTCACAACATTCTAGCAGCCTTCCTGAGGAGGGTGGAAGTGCCACTCACGTCTGCAAGCTTCTCAGCATCACCAGGCACCCTGTGGGAGCCAGTGTAAAGAAAGGAAGAAAGAAAATCCTACAAACCTAGGATTAACAAAATTTGCCTTATAAACATTAAATCATTGTAACTCTGAATAAATTACATAGTATTTTACTAGTAACCAGACTTTAATTGTATACGAGGAAAATATCCTGTGGAATGACATGTCATTGCTCCTAAAGAACCAAAGAAAGAATTTAGCACCACTGCAAGAGTTCACAGCCTATCGCTGGGCCAAGGGACAATTTTTCAAACATCTGCTTCAGTACTGAGCTCTTAAAAAATTAGATGTATGTTGGTAGCCTAAAAGTTTGTCAATAATCATACCGCAGGTTATCTGGATAACAACGCATGGACCAAATACTATATATAACTCACTTCTGGCTCACAATACACATCTAGGTTCAGGTTATCACTGGATCAAGCTGTACCCCTTTATTGTCTAAGGCTAATGAGAAGTGTATTTCTTAGATAAATGCAGTGTACCTGCTAAGTAAAGGGTAACCAATATCATTTGAAATCCTGATGAAGATTTCTCTATAGTTTGACTGTAGAAAATTCTGAGAGAATTGTCACAGCAAGTGAGAAAACAGCTCTGGTGTAAAAACTGAAAACAGCCTGATTGTCATTTATGTGGTGAACAGTAATTTGATTTCAACAAAACAACTTCATCTGTCCATCAAATTAATGATCCTAATTTAAATTTTATTAGTTTTGTAGTTTTTGTTGACTTGAACTTGTAAAATGGTTTTTCTTATACATAATTATATAAAGCCAATAAGCACACAGTTTATACCTATTATGTTTAAACGTGTTTAAGTAATACTATAATAAGAATAATTAAGTCAAAGCTTAGGGTCATTAAGAAACTTTGCTCTTAAACGGAACCTATATAATGAGTGCCCTAGTTTGTGGCATTGAGAAGCACCTCTTTGGCCTAGTTAATCCCCAAGAGAACAAAACCATAAATGAACGGGACAGGATGAATCTGAGGAGAAAATGGGTACACAGTGATCGGGAAAGAGATTAGGAGACATTTCTGCAGTCAGCTGAAAAGATTATAATAAGAAACTGCTTACCAAAAAGCTTCCTCCTGCCTTTTGAAGATTTCTAGAATAATACCTCCTGGGAAACCCAGGCAACAGGAACTTTCTGGTTCCTCTAAAGAATTCTGTAATGGCCACAAAATATCTCCCTCAAACTTCCAGAAATTTTGCTAATTTGTTTTGTGTGTGTGTGTGTGTGTGTGTGTGTGTGTGTGTGTGTGTGTGTGTGTTTGACCTCTATACTCTTCTTGACTCAGAACTCTTCTTACCCTTTCCATCATTGCCACTGTTGCCAGAAACAATATGATTCCTCCATTAGGAAATTTGAGGTAATTCTTCCCGTGGTTCTTCAATGTGAACTCTTTCCATTTCAGTGCATTTTACACATTGTTCAATATTCCTACAGGAAAGTTCGGATCATTTTTGTTGCCTACTCTAAAAGCCATGAAGGTTCGACATTGCCTATAAATCAGGTATTCGAGGCAATCATCATGACATTAATGATGTTTTCTTATCTGGCTTCAATCATTCTTCCGAGCATGTTCCCCAATACTTCCTAAACTTCAACAATGTTACTAGATGTTCGTACCTATCACTTTCTGCCTCTGTGACTTTACACAAGCTGTTTTCTTAACAGAAAATATATGTTCCTCCTACTCAGGTGTCATACAACAGGTTTCCTAAGACTCCTAGACTCTGAAGCCTGTACACAGGGTTTAACCAGGGAGTGCTCTCTAGAGTGGAACTAAGAGAGTGTATTAGTCTGCTCAGGCTGCTATAACAAAATATTAAAATCTGGATAGCTTTTATAAACAACAGAAATTTATTTCTCACAGTCCTGGAAACTGAAAAGGTTAAGATCAAGGTGCCAGCAGGCACAGTGTCTGGTGAGGGCCCGTTTCCCGGTTTGTAGATGAAGCCTTCTAGCTGTATCCTCACTTGGTACGAAGGGCAGAGTGGATCTGCCTTCATGATCTAATCACGCCTAAAAGACCCTACCTCCTAATACCCTCACCTTGGGGGTTAGGATTTCAACACATGAATCTGGAGGGGACACAAACTTTCACACCATAAGAGACAGTAAGCCCAAAAGACTAAACAAAACAGGATTGTTTGGGAAGACGTTGAAGTTGCGCTCAGAAAAAATTGCAACAGTGGACTCTACTGATTCTGTTGAGAGTCTGAAGCTCAGAAAACTTTTCAGAGATGCCTCCAATCCAGGTAAAGCAGTCAGACAGGTCTGCGTACCTCTGTATTGACCAGTCATTGGAGGCTGGCTGCCCTGGAAATGGGATATAACTTTTAGCAAGCCATCTTTCTTCAACTGGAGGTAGGAGAGAGATGAAGAAAGCTATGAACAGTCACAAGTAGCTCAAATCAGGCAGGTTCTGAAAGCAGATAATAAAGAAGCTGTTTATTTCAATAGTGTATAACTCTGTGCTGCCAAGGGCATGATAGGCTCCATATGTATGTTGCAAATACTCTTTTTAGGGTTTTACCCACCATAGATACCTGTAATACCATATTGTATAGCCCAAGTGGCAAGGTGCCTTGAATTGTACCCTGGATTATACAAGAACACATTTCTTAAAGGTGGCAGACTTCTGCTCTATGCCAGTCAAGAAATGGGTTGGAGCAATAATTCTTTTCCTTTTTTCTTTTTGAGACGGAGTCTCACTCTTGTTGCCCAGGGTGGAGTGCAATGTCACGATCTTGGCTCACCGCAACCTCTGCCTCCCAGGTTCAAGCGATTCTACTGCCTCAGCCTCCCAAGTAGCTAGGATTACAGGCATGGGTCACCTCACCCGGCTAATTCTGTATTGTTAGTAGAGACGGGGTTTCTCCATGTTGGTCAGGCTGGTCTCAGGTGATCCGCCTGCCTCGGCCTCCCAACGTGCTGGGATTACAGGCATGAGCCACCATGCCCAGCCATAACAATAATTCTTAATGTGGAATATGATGCCTCCAGAACCTGAAGAAGCCTACTAAACATGATATTTACTTCTTAGTTGTAGAAGCATAAGTTGCAATGATTTGTTTACTTTACTTTGGAAGTGATGTTCTGGCATGCACTAGACTCCTAAAAATGTCACTGATTAGTCAGGTCCTTGAATCTTTGAAGATTTTTATCTTCAACCCTTTGAAGTACACATACATACTAAGGCCTTCAGTGTACAGGCTACTTTCTGCTCATCTGGTCTGATTAACAACATCATCAATATAGTAGTCCAATGAGATATATGTGGCATGTATATAAGGTCCAGATACCTTCTGATTATCTTTTGATAGCACAAGATATGGAGCAAGACAATAAATGTACACTCTTTTCTACCTTATAATAACTCACTTTTTTAGAGTCCTCCTTCTTGATGAAGATGGAAAAGCCTGCATGCTTCAACTCAGTGGTAACCATGTGCTTGAAGCCTCATTAATCTTTTAAGCGAAGACAGCATGTTCGGCATTACAGCTTCAACTGGTGCTACTCGTTGGTTGAGTCAGCAGAAGTCGGCTGTAATCATCTAGGCACCGTCTGTGTTTCTATAGGCTGGTGAATTAAACAGGAGATATTATGGGGACCATCTTTCCTGCATCCTTCCAGTATTTAATAATGGTACTAACATCTGTCATTTTTTTTTCTGGATGAAGTATTGTTCTTGATTAACTATCTTGACTGAATTTTGAGGGGAGCACTTTCGAAGGCTGCTGCTCGGCTTTCCCTGAGATAGCTCTTTCTCGTTGGGTGAAGAAACCAATGTAAGGATTTTACCAGATACCAAATATGTCTCTTCTTGGACTGTATACATGTCCACTCTAATGCTCTACCCTTCATATCAAGATCAACTGAAACCCTGTATCCAACAGTCCTCAAAAATGTCTGAGCGATCCCCTTTTCCCAATTTAGAATGGCCCAGAAGTACCTTAGCAGGAAGAATGAGGGTTAACAGTTGGTGTATTTTCTTGCTGTAATGTTGCAAGGTCTTAAGTCTTGGAACTTATTCTTTAGTCAATAATGATTTCAGATATGAAAATAGTCTCAGTTATAGAAATACGAATATTATTTATTTAAGGCCGTCACCCTTGGCCTCCTGTATTTTAAAAAGCTATATAGACAAGCAATACACTTGATGGTTCCCCATTTACCTAGAAATAAGATATTCTATTAATTATCTCCATTGCTCTCAGCAGATCAACATTTCCCTGCATCCTGGTTGTCACTCCAAACTCGCCTTCATCACATCTTACCTTGCTTCCAAAGTGCCTATTATCTTGGGATCCTCCTATTCCAACTGTTGGTAGGGCACAGTTATTTCCCCCTCTTAGTAGGTTTGGCACTTATCTGCCTGATTTCTTGTTGTGATTTAACCTATTTTGTCATCTGGTTATGAGGAGGGAAGGTAGGATTAAATACAGATGTTCTGTATTTAATAGTAAATACAGATGTTCTGTATGTTCTCTGGCAAAACAGAGACCTCTGCATCATCTTTAAGCAGTAGCCTTTAACCAGGAAGGGTAGGCCACTTCTGCAATCGCAGCAAATTCAGAGTATCTAAAGATTTGAGAATTTTAACACATAAACTTAGATGTGCTTAACCCATTTCTCACCTGGACGTGGCAGGCTTGCTAAGATGGAAAATGCAACTTCCTCTGGAGATTTGTTATGCAGATGATTAAGCACTGGGTTGACATCTGCTTTCCAACCATAGAAGACAAAAATCCTTTCTATGTTATCCAGTAGGTCCTCTGGCTTTCACACGTAGCTTGTAATTGGTAATTAATCTCAGCCTTCCATTGACTTTCTCCAGTGTATATAGGTTCCCCCTCAGCAATAGCCATCCAATGACATGACTTTTTTTTTTTGAGACAGGGTCTCACTCTGTCACCTAGGCTGTAATACGATGGTGCAATCTCAGCTCTAATCACCTCCTAAGGTCAAGCGATTCTCCCACCTCAGCCTCCTGAGTAGTTGGGATTACAGGTGGGCACCACCATGTCCAGCTAATTTTTGTATTTTTTTGGTAGAGAGGGGGTTTCAACATGTTGCCCAGGCTGGTCTCAAACTCCTGACCTCAAGTGATCCTCCCACCTTGGCCTCCCCAAGTGCTGGGATTACAGGCATGAGCCACTACACCTGGCACACCGTGACTCTTATAATTACAATTTTCCTCAAACATCTCAAACACCTGAGACACTGCTCCCAGCAGTACATTCCTTCCATCAGCATCCTATTCTAAGTCCAATTCCCCACTGGTGGAAGTTTTATCATTGCCTTGCTATGGCATGTCAAGAGCTAGCCACACTCCAACCACTAACAGTGATGGTTATAGTCAGCTGATTTGTCCAGCTCCAAAATTCTATTTTATGGTCTTCCTCCTAACACCACTCCCAGTACCAACTAGTTCAAGTTGGGCTCTCCCAGTAAACAGATACTGAGATTGAGATTTGTGTGCAGAGGTTTATTGGGCAGTGCTGTTAGGAACAACTCTGAGTAAAGCAAGGGGAGGGAGAAGGATTGGAGGAAATTAAAATGTGATATCATTGTGAGTGTAGCCTTAGCTCATCCCATTGGAACCTCTGAAGCTGAGATGATCCTTCGGAGGTAACCTAAATAAAGACCAAGGGCCAGATCTTTGTATTACCACATTAACTACTCACTGGATGAGGGCTACCTCTGGGGGGTGGCATAAACTTGGAGGTGGCATGTTCCTTTACGTCAAAAAAGCCGTTATGGAGCCCTTAACCATCTTATGCTCATGGGATCTCAGAGAATGAATATCTCAATCATACTCAAAGAGAGTACTTCAAAGGGAGATTTGTGTGGTACAACACAGTATCCACTACACTATCACTTAAAGCCTACATCAAATTCCACCTTTGTACTTCCAAGCTGAAAATATCTTCATTTTCCCTCTGAATTCCCATAAAACTTTGTTATACTTTTCTCATAATACCATCTTCAACTACATTTATAGATAAATCTAATCTTTCCTTTTATATTTAAAATTCCTTGGGTTCAGACTTTGTGTGCAATTTATCTTCAAGTTTCTTACTAAGTCTATTTCTGTACTTTCTCATTGTGTAATCAATAACTGTTTTATCTTACAAATTTCTATTCATCTTCAAATCTCAGCTTACAAATCATTTCTTCAAGAAACCTTCTCTAAACCCCCAGACTCAGGAAGATTATACATGTTCATAACACCTTGTACTTGTCTATCATCACATTAATTACAATTATATTTAATTTGTCACAAAAGTAGTTATTTAATAGGCTTCCACTGCTAGAATAAAAGTTCACGAAGTCAAGATCCAGGTCTCCCCTGTTCACTACTTTACCTACAGAAATTAGCACAATGCCTGGCGCATAATTGGCTGCTAAATAAATAGTTATTGAGCAAAAGAATGGATGAACTAATGAATGAAGAGGAGAGTCTCCTTCAATATGAAAGTAAAGAATAAAAATTAACAGTCACTCAACTAGTGGCCTGAATTTTTTCATGAGCTTGCTTTCCTCCAAAGATCTTTCTGGGATTGCACCAAGGGGCTGCTTTCTTGAGGTGATAAAAGGATCAAAGTATTTCAGGCATTTGGATTGCAGGACAGAGCCTAGTGAGACTCCAAAGGGGTTGGCCTTCTGGAAGACAACATGAGGAACTTGAGATTCTGAGATTTAAGACAGGATACAGAGGTACTTCTATACGAATGATGAATTTGGATAGTAAATATTAGTGTTGAAGCCAAACTCTGTCTTGTTTGCTATCTGACCCCATCCATCACCAATGATCAGAGGACTGCATTTGAGTCATCTCAAGACGTTTATAACTAAGCCACCTCACTGTGCTATTAGAAAACAAGAGAAGTAATTACTGCACAGGGCTTTTCTGTCAAGTTCCTTGAACAGATAACACTGAAGCCAGAAAGGATCACAAGCACTCTCTTTCCTAGCCTCATCATGAATTTTCTGTCAGGATTGGTTCATTTTATACTCGGTTTTATATATGGGTAAACATATTTATTCTATGTGTTCATGCACCAATATTTGTTATTTCATTTTAGTATTTTTTAACTTCTTGTTAAAGAGTTTGTGTTTTGGCATGAGGTTATATAAGTTCAAATCCTGTCCAATTAGCTATCTTCAAAAAACCACTTGGCCTCAGTTTCCCCATCTTTAAAACAAAAGATAACAGAAAAAGCTACCTCAGGGTTATTGTAAAGAACAAATTAAGAAGTCAGTACAAAAGCGCTTTGTATGTGGTAAATCCCCACCTCCATGATTAGCTGTGATAGTGACAGGCCATTCTCAATACAGGACATTGTTAGGTATTTATGCTACGGTGGTGGGCTTCCTTCTGTTGACAGTTTATTTGAGGCAGGTAAAAATACCATCATAACCTAAATGATTACTTTGTTCAACAAACGTGCTTCAGAAGGAAGCACCTAGTATTAGCATGTGCTAGCAAAGGCACTCAATAATTGACTGCTAACTGGTTGATGTTCATGAAAATCAGGCAAAAATTTAGGAGGAATTTTCAGTTGTTATAAAGCTGGGTCATTATCAAATGTTACTTATCATGCCTCATTTTTACACTGTGTATCGAGATTTAGGAAAATAACTGGCTAGCTTTTCTCAAACTACATATTCAGACGTAGTTTTAGTTTTTGTTTTTATTTTTTTTTTTAATTTCTTAATTTTTTTTTTCTGTTTTGTTTTGTTTAGAGACAGGGTCTTGTTAGGTTTTCCAGGCTGGTCTTGAACTCCTGGCCTTAAGTGATCCCCCTAAGGCACAGGAATCACAAGCATGAGACACTGCACCTGGCCTGGTTTGAGTTTTCTCATAGTCATATTATCTATGTTTTCATGTCATTTATTTATGAAGAAATTCTTACGGCCCACAGGTCTGATTAAGTTCCTGCTAAGGGAATCTTCTGAGTAACTTTGCCACTATAGGGAGCCCTTTGGCTTTCTGACAGAAGAACTGAGAGTAACTCACAGGCCAGGCCTTGGCAAAGCTACTTCCTAGCCCAGCTTTTCTAGGTGGTGTTATGAGTCTGGGCATACCACATCTTAACAATCTGTGCCTGCGTCCTCATTTATAAAGTTAGGAATTTCAATTAACATTTATTGAGCACTCACTACAATTAAGGAATTATGCAGGGGAGAGACAGTGATTCCAGATGGATTTTGATGGTAGCACAGATGTAAACACCTATACCAGTGTTCCATTTTCAGAAACTTGGGGATGATCCTTTCCACTCTCAACCCATGTTCTGCAGGTTTCTCCTCCTTGCATTTACTCTCTTGTAATATATGTGTACATGCCTCATCTCTCATCCAAGTAAAAGCTCCTTGGAATGCAGGGACTCCATCATAACCTTATTCTTCTTTTAACCTCCTGTTCTTACCCTTAGCATTTGAGAAAGCAGTTACACATAATAGGTGCTAGATGAAATTTTAAGTACATGAAAATATTAACACCTATTATCAAAGGAGGGATTGGGTAAATGTCATCACAAAATTTTAAAGAATTTACTCTGGATAGTGTTTATTTAGCTTCCAATGTATCCCAGAAGGCAACCTCATAAGGTAACAAAATGTCTCCATTTCGCATATAAAGAACTCAGACTCAGAGTAACCTAATAATTTGTAGAAGACTAGATTCAAACACAAGCCCATCCAATTCCAAATGCTATATTTCTACATAGTCATTTCACCCAAGCTATCACACATGAGAAAGAATGCATCCGAGACAAAAGGATTGGAAAAGATTTCCTAAAAGTGGTGATGTTTGAGATGGATCTTGAGACTGAATAGAACTCTGACAAAGAGAAATGACAGAAACATGTCCTGCAAAGAGAACATTAATAGGAGCCAGAGACTGAGGATCCTGGAACATGATTGGGTTAGTAATCCAGATCAGCTCTAGGTTATGGTATGTGGCTAATAATTAAAAATATTATGATAATAATATGATGCAAAATTATGTATATACTTCTGCTATTTTAAAAATATATGTATCAGGCTGGGTGCAGTGTCTCATGCCTGTAATCCCAACACTTTGGGAGGCCAACGTGGGAGGATCACTTGAGGTCAGGAGTTTGAGACCAGCCTGGCCAACACGGTGAAACCTCACCTCTCCTAAAAATACAAAAATTAGCTGGGTGTGGTGGCACACGCCTGTAATCCCAGCTACTCATGAGGCTGAGGCAGGAGAATAACTTGAACCTGGGAGGTGGAGGTTGCAGTGAACCAAGCTAACATGACTGCATTCCAGCCTGGGTGACAGAGTGACGCTGTCTCAAAAAATAAGTAAATATATATATACACACACACACACATTTATATACATATATATCCACACATATATATAGTGTGTTATATATATGTATATATATGTATGTGTGTGTGTGTGTATATATGTGTCCATATAAGTGTATATATATGTATATATATGTGTATGTGTGTGTGTGTGTGTATGTGTGTGTGTGTGTGTGTGTATATATATATATATACAGGCATGATAGCTCATCCCTGTAATCCCAGTAATTTGGTGGCAGAGACTGGGGATCACTTGAGCCCAGGAGTTCAAGACTAGCCTGTGCAACATAGCGAAAGCTTGTCTCTGCAAAAAATAAAAAATAAGTAAATTAGCTGAGCATGGTGGCACATGTCTGTGGTCACAGCTACTCAGGAGACTGAGATAGGAGGATCGCTTGAGCCCAGGAGGTCAAGGCTGTGGTTAGCTATGAACCCACCACTGCACTACAGCCAGGGCACAGAGTGAGACCCTATCTCAAAAAACAAAGAAGACAAATAAACAAACAAAACATATATATGAATCTCCTCAAAATGCTCCAAGGACTTTCCATTACATTCAGAATAAAACCAAAGACCTTTTCCACATGATCCCCATGACTGCCACTCTGACCTCAGTATCTATCACTCTTTCTGACAGCCACTTAATTACATCCATAGTAGCTTTCTTACTATACTTACTAAACCCACCAGAGCCCCACTTCAGGCCCTCTTTATTGGTGTTTCCTGGGCCAAGAAATTTCTTTTCGTAGATAGTTTCCTGGCTTGATCTCTCAGTACATTCCAGTACTAGTTCAAATGCTGTCTCCTCAAAAAATGACTTGCTTAGTCATCACATCTGAAAGAGCAGCCCCCTTTCCTCTCTCTCTTTTTATCCAGGCTTCTTTTCCTTCTTTTTATTTGTCTCCACCAGGTATTAAATTAACTATCAAGGTTATCAAAAACAAAGAACTTCTGAGAAACTGTCAGAGCCAAGCGTATTCTAAGGAGACACAAAGACTGGATGGAATGTGGTATCCTGGATAGAAAAAGACATTCAGTAAAAAATAATGAAAACTGAATAAACTACAAACTTTAATTCACAGTCATGTATCACAGTAAGATGTTAATAATAGGAAAAACTGGACGTAAGGAAATTCTCTGTACTGTCTTCATAGTTTTTCTGTAAAAATGAAACTAATCTGAAATTTAAAATTTACTTTAAAAAAATATGTATGTGTAGCTGCCTGTGGTGATTCACGCCTGTAATCCCAACTCTTTGGCAGGTTGAGGCAGGAGGATCACTTGAACACAGAAGTTCGAGACCATCCTGGGCAACAAAGTGAAATCCCATTTCTACAAAAAATTAAAATTAAAATTAAAATTAAAAAATAGCCAGGCATGGTGGCATGCGTATGTAGTCCCAGCTACGTGGGAGGCTGAGGCAGGAGGATTGCCTGAGCCTGGGAGGTCGAGGCTGCAGTGAGCCATGACAGCACCACTGCACTCCAGCCTGGGCAACAGAGTGAGACCCTGTCTCAAAAAATAAATAAATAAAATGAAGAATGGATTAAGAATGACAGAAACAGTGGTGGGAAGGCCAATTGGAGGATTAGGACAATGATACAAATTTCTTAAAAGTGAGACCTAAGCCAAGTAGTAGGCAAATAGAAAGACAGGTGCAAGAGATATTTTGATCTAGAAATATATGAGACTGAAAATTGATTTCAAGGCAGTGAGCAAGGAGGTATAAGTAGATTAAACTGAGGTTATGAATCTAGATGACTAGAAGAATGTTAATATCATCAATTAAAATGAGGAATAGTAATTCTTCTCTGAACTTCCTATACAGAGGTCCTCAATTTAGGATCAATCCACTATGACTTTACAATGAGTTTGCTGGGACATAATCCTGTTGTAAGTCAAGAAGCATCTGTATATTCACATATTTCATTTGGTTGTCATAAGTAGCAAATGATAAATAAATATAGAAAATCCTTTGAAAAAGTTAAAAATGCTCAACAAAATGTAAATTATTCTCAAATTTTTATTTATAAAATTTCTGAGTGCAAAGCTAGAACAGGAGGGTACACTATGGTGTCTCAGCGAATGCTTAGCTTTAGGACAGCATTATAAAAGTTTTCATTTTTTCATGTCTCAGGTGCAAAACTTTAATAATAATAAAAAAAAATTTCTTTAGAAAGTATACTGAGACCTCTGCTCTCCACATCAGTCTTGGGGTTATTAAATGATCATTATTACTATTAGTATCTAGCTGACACTAACATGCGTGCAATCTACAGAACAAATGAAAGGTATTATCCTGGAGCAAAGTAATTTTTTATGATCAATAGTCTATCATTAGTATAATGTTTATTTTATGCATTCACAGACTTTTTATCACCTCAATTGTGGTTTATAAATATTAACCTATTGATCTTTGCTGCTCTTCCATCTGCTACAGAAGTTTCTGATAAACATCATCACTTCCTTCTTTTTATAGGTGAAGGACAAGAAATAAAGGAAATCTCTAGTTATTTGATGACTGGACATGGTTGTAGAAAGATTCAGAATCCAAGGTTGTCTAACCACATAAATTCCTCAAGCTTCCCTAGAGGCTAACATTCTAGCCTACCCATAAAATCTGAACTGATATGTTTCCTTTTAAATTAAAATGTAGAATGAATACAATAACACCATATACATAATTTACCCAGCATTGTGACTTGTGACTTACATATGCTTTTTAAATTATCAAATAAAATACTGAAAATTCAGTACTTGGTTTGTTTCACAAAAATCTACTGCCATTTATTTTCTTTTCCGTTTTCTTTTTCAAGTTTTGGCAGCAGAAATTTGTTAAGCAAGAGTTCTTGAATTCTTCCCAAGAAATGTGTCTTTTCTTTCTTTTGGGAGTCCGTTACACCAAATACCAATATGATTTCATTTAGGTAGTGAAGATCAGCTCTTTGGACAACCAAAATAATATACCCATAAAAATTATAAAAGAATACATTTAAAGGAGTCTAAGAAATCCATTACTTTTCTTAAACTTTTTTTTTTACTCAGTTTATATAGGTTTCCTGATGGGAAGCTTTATTGAGTCCATTATATCTTTAATTCATTTTGCTAAAGTAAACTCGATACAAGACTGGGGCCTAGGATGAGCATTAGAGTTACATTTAATGAAAATTTAAAACACAAAAGCACTTCAATTATTCATCTTTCCTGATTTATGTGGAAAAATGGGTGCACATATGTGTGTTCCTTTGATAGGGTTCATATTAATAGTGAGCTTTTAAAAATATGGTCCTTAGTAACTTCAACAAATGTCCTTTTACCAGCTTATCTTGAGCAAAACAGAGACTTCCAAATCAAACTTCTATTTCATCTATTTCTTTCTTTATTACTGAAATGAATAAAGTAATTTTTCATGGAAACGTAAATGCTTATCAAAATTGGAAAGTAACAAGTGCAACAATAAAACCATTTGTTAGAAGCTTCATATGTTATTATATTTTATTATTACGACTGGAGTGATACATTTGTCTTTTCATAGGGAGTTACATGAACTTCTTAAGCTGCAAACCCAGACATAAGTCATGTGTGTGCAAGGCAAAGGAGCAAAAATTATGTCCAGTTAAATCCACAGGCATTTGTTTATGCAAAGAAGCTTTAGAAATGGAAACCAAGAGCCCCCATTTTCCCACTTGCAACACAGAAAAGACTCTCAGTAACAGGTTTGACAAATCCACATTTAGTTCCATATGGTCATTTATCCTCCCTATGTCTTTGAAAGTAAAATACTGTGAAGGCGGCATTTGAGTTTTTGGTGACAAATTACTTTTCTCAGTAGAGTCAAAGGCTGTGGCCATCTGCAATAAAATAGATGAGCCACAGCTGGCTTTCATAATAATCAATCCCGATTGTAGAAGGATCATGGCACTTCTGGATTGATTGTGAGGACCTGCCATGACAAACAATACTGACCAATTCAGTCATGTTGACAACCAGTTATTTCTCATATTTAGATACAGACTCTACCTCATATCATCAGAAGGAAGGAAGGGGAGAGTTGAAAATTATCCGATATATTTGGACAATAGTAGAAAACTCTGAAAATTCAGAAAATCCTTAAACTAGATTTGGAGATCTAAATCACTTACATATGTCAATACTGACTGAGACTACATCTATATTATATCAGTAAAACAGGAAATCTGTTTACTAGGAATTTTTATCATTGCCTCCTCTACCTACACATACATCCTAAAGGAAACTGCCTTTCCACAACTCCTGCTATGTGAACTGTGGACCACTTGATTCCAAATTTCCTCTTACGTTCCCCCAGGTGTAACTCTTTCTGCCAGGGATGGATACCTGATGAAAAGGCAGTCACTCCATGGACATGGTAGTGGCTTAGGACTTGTGGTGTAACCCCCAAAAACATCCTTCTTTGGGAATTTGGAATTGAGCAACTAAATTACTGAGTTAGTTAGCTATAGAGAACTAAGCCTAAAAGTTATATAATTTTCATGGCTGGGTAAGCCATTATAGACCAAACATGAGTGGCATAAAAGAAAAAACAACAATGGCTAACATATGGTGAATACTTACTCAACGTCAAACTATCCACTATGTATTTTAAATGTCATGTCATTAACAGTGTTGGTAGATACTGTTATTATTCAGATAAAATTGATGAAAAAAATCTGAAATTTGGAAAGATAAATTAAATTCCCCCCATCATATAGATGTGAAATGAAGACAGAACTGAAGCTCAATTCTGCTGGACTCCTCTTGACTACTTAGCTATAAAACTGGGAATCTATTGCGGGAATTGGAGGAGAGAGAAAAAGACAGAGAAGCAGATAGAAATAGAGATGACCTTGCCTCATCATGTATGCAGCCCTAAGCACATAGCCTTCTCTCCTTAAAGCTTCTGAGCTACAGTTCCCATAGGTCTAAATATTCAATAATCTCTGTCCTCGGGGTCTCATGAGCTCCCACAGTGTCTCCAGGTTGGTGTAGAGTACACAATACTGTCTGTGGTTAGAGCTATTGAGATAACTAAAGCAAAGGTAATATTTATCTTCATTTCTTCATGCATTTCTTTAAATGTTCTATAATTCACTTTGATTTCAGAGATTTGATGTTAGTATTGCGTTTTTCTGGGTATGGGATATATAAACATCTAGTAACTATGAGTAAATATGAAATTCATTTTTTTCAGCCAATTTCCTAATTTTAAATTTGTAAGGACCATCCAAGAAAAAAACAAAAAATATGTATTTATTTATTATTACTGGCCGTGATATTTGAATATGCGTGTGCTTCTTCCCTCTAGAATCACTTCATATTCTGAGATTAAAATCTGTTTCAAATAATTAAGTCGCTAATGGCTTCAGCCCATTATAATGCCTCAATCTCATAAACAAAACCCTGGATGGCAAAGCTGGCCCTCTGCCCCACTCTTCCAGCAGCTAGGTAAACAATTATTCAAAAAATGAGGTGTTGTGGGATTTATACCGGTATTAGTCCATTTTTGCACTGCTGATAAAGACATACCAGAGACTGGGCAATTTACAAAAGAAAGAGGTTTAATGGACTTACAGTTCAGTTCCACATGGGTGGGGAGGACTCACAATCATGGTGGAAGGTAAAAGGCACGTGTCACGTGGCAGCAAACAAGAGCATTTGTGCAGGGAGACTCCCATTTTTAAAACCATCAGATCTCATGAGACTTATTCACTATCATGAGAACGGCACAAGAAAGACCCGCCCCCATGATTCAATTACCTCCCACCAGGTTCCTCCCATGACACGTGGGAATTGTGAGAGTCACATTCAAGGTGAGGTTTGGGTGGGGACACAGCCAAACCATGTCAATACCCAACATTCTCTTCTAAAAACCCAAATAGAAGTGGAAAAGATGAAGAAGGCCTGGATGATTCAGATAGCCCCACATTTCTGAACAATGCTACTTTCTTATGTAGAAGTGACATTCAAAGGATAATAAAAATTCTATATTATCTTACAGCTTACATTATTTGTGCATTTCAGTGCCCTGATTTTCTTTGTCCTAGGCTTTGTGTAAAGCTGGCAGTTTAACTCCATTGCCAAGTTTGGCAAATTCAAACTTCAACTGTCCACAGTCCTGATTCTCCAGTGGCCCCATCCCTAGGCATGTGGCTCAGTCTGGACAGGGCCTCCATGTTGTTTGGGCATCCATCAGCATTGGTTTGTTCCATGTTCCAAAAGCAGACAGTAAAATCAGTTTTTTCTTTTTCAGAGAGTCAACTACTGCTATGTTTGGCAGTAGTTAACTGTTTAAGCAAAGCTAGGATACTGGAACAGCAATTTAAGATGTATAATGAGGCACAGAAATAGCTCCTTCGCATTTTCCATTACTTTCGTAATGCTTCACCAACATTCTCCCTAAAATTGTTTCTCTTTGTTTTTAAAGGGAGGTGTGAATAAAAGGTTATTTATTGCAAAAATATAAAGGCTTCTTTATTCTCTTTGATATTGTTCACAAATTCTGTGTCATTGCAGACAAATTGTTGAAAAGATATGCAGATAATCTTGTCTGAATTGCCTTAAACTCATTCCACTGTATTTTTCCCTTAGAATAATGCCCTCACTCTAATGGAATTTCAAATATATTAGCAGATATTGCCATTGATATTTCTTCATGTTAAATAACTATTACATCTATGTGTTGCATTTGTATAAATAAAATATATGAACACCATTACAATATATATACATTTATATTTCACAGGATTCTACTCATTTCTATGGGATATTTTTAAGGATTAATGATCTTTTTTGCATTTCTTTGAGTTGTGGGGCTTTTGCCATGCCATAAAAAAGGCCTACCTTTTTAATGTGATGCAAATATAATATATAAATTATGCATTTAATATATGTGCAGTGGATTATTAAGTATGACATTCTCTTTTCTTCTAGAGTTTTGTTCAGTGGCCCAAAGGCTAAGATTAGCAGATGCTAGAACATCTATGAAGGATATTTTAAAATGGTTTAGTGACTATACCTTGAGGGCAGATATAAGTAAGTCAAGAGATTTATAGGGAAAGGATTTCTTTGAAGATTGTTGCAGATGGGCCAAATGAAGGAAGCTCTCAATAGCTATCCAAAACACCTGGCATGTTTCTTCTCGAGATTGAGAACAGGCTTGAGGAAAAGTCTAAAAGGAAGAGGTTGGCTTAGCAGAGCAGGAAGAGTAGTAGTGCCTTCGGAGAGGGATGGCTGCTCTTCCACCGAAGGAGTGGGGGAAATGGATGGGTGTAGGGCAAGAATAAAGACATGTTCTTCTGGGCCAAGTAGACCCACAGAGGAAAGCTGGTCTTGAGTCAATTTAAGGACCTAAAGGGAAATCCAGAGAGAAAGTACCACTGTATGCAGAAGCTAATGAGGCATTTTAGGCATTCAGTCAGAGCTAAGGAATAACCCAGTAGGAAACCCTCAGATGGAGCATTTCTGAAGAATCTACAAAAGTTCTCTGTGAAATAGTTAATACGTGGGCATCTGCCACACCAAGAGGGCACCTCTTTCAGTTTACAGTGGCACCTGAAGAGCCAGGACAGAATGCTGCTGGGGAAGCAAACAAGAGGTAGAATGGTAAGACAGAGAAAGCATGAAGAAGCCAGCCATAACCCTTTCCACATTGCCATTGACTCAGCCGAGTCAGCCCCAAACTGGTGGTTCAGAAGAAGGTTTAAGATAGAGCAGTAAATGAAACTTTGAGAGCATGCTAAATTAGACTTTAAAACCTGGAAAATAATTGTGTTATTTAAAGAGAGTGACCTGGAATATAAGGAGATATATCCAAGAGTTTGTACAGTGGGAGGGAAAAGCAATTCAAAAGAGGCTATTTAAAAGAAAATTGAGGAAAAGAATAAAATTGTGACTTAAAACCCCACAATGTCCATCTTTTTCAGTGTAACATACATTGAAATATCTAATCAGGAAAAAAACCAAGGTACACTGGTAAAATACACACACACAAACACGAACTCATATTTAAGAAAATGTGGCTATGGAAATAATACTGTATATTCACTTCAAATGTTTTCAGAAATATAAAATGTCTGATTGTGATAAATATAATAAAAATAATACAGAGTAACAGAGCTTGAGAGTGATGAAGGCATATTGCTATCAGGGACAGCGTCTATAACAAGGCACCATTTTGGTAGACACTTGGCAAAACTGATGGAATGTATGTTCAGTTTGGAGGAAGATTATTCCAGGCAGAGGATGCAAGAAGCAGAGAAGCCTGAGACCAGGACATGTTGATTGCATTCAAGAAGCAGTGAGGAGGCCAAGGGGCTGGAATGGCTTGAAGCCGAAAAGGGTAGTAAGAGGTATGATCAGAGAAGTGCCAGTCCAAGTAGGGCCTCCAAGGCAATGGAAGAGCCTTACATTCTACTCTGGGAGATACGGGAGGGCACTGAAGGGTTGTAAGCAGAAGAGTAGCATGACCTAAAGTATATGCCTAAAGGCTCACTCTCTCATGTTTTTTATTTGTTTGTTTTGTTGTGTTTTAATTACTGTGTCTATTTTCGGTTCGAGCAGGGCAGGCATGCACTTTGCAGTTGGCCATGGTTCACTATGCTGGCTCCATTGTCTGATACCAGGCCTGCTTCACTCTTGCACTTTGCTTTCTTGGCTTCTGATGGCACTTGAATTTACAAATTTTTATTCCAGGCTCTTACAGTTTCTGTCTCTTGCCACACAACAGGAAAACCCTCTTAAAATATAAGCTCAAGCTGCCACCTTCACATTTCCTTTTTTCTTTTGATGCACAGGTCTTCCTGGACATTGCCTTGTTCACGTTCTGAATTATGAAGCAGTTCTAAAACTTCCAAGTTTTCTGGGGCTTACTATACCTTTCAAAATAGGTTAGACCTAAGAAACTAGATGCTGCAGAGTTCTTGAGCTTGTTGCCAACTAAAGACCACATTGGTTGTGAAGATCTTTTTAATTTCTCCTGAAGAAGAGCCAGGCTGTACTGGAAGAGTACTCATGGCTAGGCCAGATCAACCCTAGAGAATGAGGAGCCCAGCCACAACATGTCATAAAATGTACTCTTTGGCTCCAAAGTGTATTGTTATAGAAATAGAATCAGTTGAAAATTCACTTCCAAGACAGACTTGAAGAGGGAAAGAAATCTCTGAGGAGCAGCCTAAATATGTTTAGAAGTGGAAAGAAAATAGCATCTCTTTGTTCTATTAATAGTGGCATTGTGAGGGTTAAGTTACAAGTGGGAGAAAAGGACATTGGGTTTCTTTTCCTTATAACATCTCCTCCCTTCAGTTGCCCCCTTGAGTACCAAGCATGGCGGGAGAGTTTAAAACTATCACTACCAAACACAAGACCTACTACATACCCCCATTTAACACTGCACAGAAGATCAAGTATGTCATATCTGGGCAGATAATTTACTCTCTTAAGGAATTCCCAGCCCCCAATCAACAGTACTCCAGAATTGAGCTCAGAGACTATAACACTCCCCAAGCACATTTAATTATTATTTGCTCTGTTTAATATGCATTACCAGTTAGATTTATTAAACATGTACTATGTGTCAAGCACTTTGGGCCCTGAGTATTAGGCCTTGAGTATAATGAGATTAATAAGAACTATTTTGTCCTTGATGAATGCACTTTCCAGTAGAGTAGACAAAACTATAAATAGATAAATGGTGTTGTCATCTATTAAGTGTTATTACTGAGGTAAAAACAAAGTGTGAATACACAGGGGACACTATCATGTAGAAGGGAGAGGGTCATATGCAGAACTGAGCATCTTGCTTTTTGTCACTTTACATTTTAACTTGTACTAGAATCCAGAAGAAAATTGTATGTATAACAAATCACATAAGTTTATAAAGGTAAGATGGTAGAAGGGCTTCAATAACAATTTTAAGACCTTGAACTGCATGCTGTAGCAGTGGGAATCCACTGAGTGTGTTTAAGCAGGGAGGGTACTTCATTATAACCACATTTCTTCATTTATATTGCTAGGCCAGGCTGCTCTAAGCACCTGATTCCCATATCCAACCACTTACGTTCCTTACATCTCCCCTTGGAGGTACCATGAGTCTCACAAGCATAACGTGTACAAAATTTCTCATTTCCTTCCAATCTAGTTCTTCGCCTATCCTTTCCCATCTCTGAAAGTTATATCATTTACCCATTGCTAAAGCCAGAAACTTAGAAGTCATTCTTGAGTCTTTCTTTTTCCTCATGGCCCATCACCATGTCCTTTTATTTTTCTACCTTCTACCACTCCTGTTTGTTTCCCTTACTACCCCGCTTTGTACTCCATCTTTCTGATGGTGGTGACCTCCTCGTTGGTTTCCCCACTCTCACTAGTGCCTCGGTCCAGGCCATCCTCCACAATAGCTGAGAGCAATCTAAAAACGGAAACGCGACAAAGTTGTGGCACCCTACACCTGCCCCATCCTGGAGCAATATGCAAACCCCTCTACAGTCTTTATATTCTATTTAGAACAAAGGTCAGAATCTTTACTGTGCCTCTGGATGCTTGAGTGCTCCCACAGTCTTGCCTCTCCAACTACACTTCCTGCCATTTCCTTCCTCCCTCTCTAAGTTCCAACCTCAACCCTCTTTTTGTTCCTAAGTATGCCAAATATTTTCCCATACCAAGGATCACACATGATGTTTCCCCTTCCTGCAATGTTCTCTTCCTCATACCTCATACGGTGACTTTTTCTTACTCTTCTGTTTTCTGCTTAAATCTTAAATCTTCCTTGGCCACTCTCTGTATGCTCTCCAGCCCCCAACTCATTTATATCAGAGTACTCAAGTTGAATTCATCATAAAACATATTGCAGACTATAATTAAATAGATGGTAATGATAGATAGATGATAGATAGATAGATAGATGATAGATAGATAGATACATACGTAGATACATAGATATGCAGACAGATGGCTGTTTTCCATTTTAATGCCTGCATCCCCTATTAGACCATTTCACTGCAACCTCCCTGGTGTTTGTTTTGTCCATTGTATTTTCAAAATCAAAGTGCTCAATACAGTTTTATTGAATGATGTATACTTTTCTCTTTTTGTCACAACATTTCCTTGAAATTATGTAACAAATTTGCATATATTTCCAAGTCATTTTACTTAAAAGTCTAAAATCCTCCTGCCCAGACCACTTTCTACTAGGTGAGAAAAGCGTGGAAGAGACATTTCAACCACTTTTTTTCACTACAAAGCACTAAGAGAACAATACTGCAGGAAATTTTTTAATGCTATAATGTGTTTTTTAATTCTCATTGAATTCCTCATATTCTCATGTATGACCAATTTCCAGATTTACTGAAATTTTTATTTAAATGCTTATCCATTTATTACATTTTGTCATCAAACTGAAGCATATAGTTAAGTCTGCTTTTCTGTAGTATGTGTCTTGAGAAAATAAAAAAAAAAATTCACTTGAACTTTGTTTTAATACATAAACTAGTGTAGGTAACTTTTATTGCAAGTACACATAAACATTTTATGTTATTTCACTCCCAGCTTCTAGCCAAAACATTAAAAAAAAAAAAAAAGGCGGTGGGGGGTGGGGGGTTTCTTGCAATCTTTGCAGAATTCCAAGCCTTAGTCAAAAAAGAAAGTCCCAAGAATCTTTTCAGAAATCCTGTTTGGGCACTATTCCCAGCATAATTTTGCAAACCAAGATGTTTGGGCAGTGCTGGTATGCCAGGGATAAGAAGTTGAGGATTTTTATCTGAATCTAACCCAAACTCCAGCCCTAATTAAAATACCACAACATTGTAAACTCCTTTACTATGTTAGACTTTAGTTGAACTAATTCCACTTCTGGAATACAGCTTCTCATTTATGTTCCTGCTGATTGCTTATAATTTTATTTCAGCTCTCCTCTTGCTTTTCAAAGGATAGAAGTATTGTCCCAGTTTTTGTTGCTATGCAGACATCTCTGAAGTTGCATACTAAAGCCAAATAGCCTGGATATGGTGACAGGAGCTTCTGAAGCTTTCTGTTTTATCCATTTTCCTTTTCTGATGACTGAGCATGGTGCAAAAGATGCCTTATAATGCTTTATTTATATAGTCTCATCTATTTTGGAGAAATAAGTACATATATATGCATATTATCTATCTATCTATCTATCATCTATCTATCTACCTATATACTCATTTTAATTGCCAAATACATTTGATGTTGGGCTTTTAGTCCCCTATACAGAAAGCATGAACTGTAAAGGTTAGTACAAACTCTGTGTGTTTATACTCCACACATATATGTAATGGAGGCTTAGAAGCTATCAATCTCTAAGCATATGCCCTACATTCTTTGAAATCCCATCAAAGAAAATCAGCAAAGGACACAGGTTCTCTGTCCCTCATCCCAAGACCACTTTACATGCGTATCCACCTTTTCATCCTTTTCCCTTCGAACCTTCTAAAAAGCCCCTAAATTTCAAGTTGCATTACCTGTTGCTAGGGCTGCTGCTATTCCCTCATTACTATTTCACTCAGAGTTCTAGAGCCTAGCATGAAGTCAAATGTAAAGTGACAAGTTAAAACCAAGGGGCTTCAAAGTACAAATTGTATATGATCCTCTTGCCATAACAGAATAGTGACATTGTCCTGTAAAATTAGAACATCTGTGCTCTTTTACTCCAGAGAATTAGCAGCATGAGTTCGATTCAGTCGTTAACAGGAATTCTAGAGAGATTTGGAACTGTTTCTCAGAAGAAGTAGAGAAAGTCAACAGTTTCCAGATTCTCCATATAAATAATTTCCTTACATTGTAAACATATTATTTATTAAAATGAACAGTTATTCACTGGGCATCTATCCTAAATACTGCACATAAAGCAGTGAGGAAAAGTCAAAGATATCTCTCTCATGGAGCTCAGATTTTAGTTTGGAAGACACTAAACAAACAAATGAATAAATAGAACATATATGGGGTCAAAGATGATGAGGTTTGTAGAGAGAAGTAAGGCAGAGAAGATGGAGAGGACTGGGCAAAGGATGGAAATTAGTGGGCAATGGATGGAATTTTAATAGGGTGTTCAGGGAGGTCTTCACTACATGAAAGACATTTTTGGGGAAAATTCTGAAAGAGTCAGACAAGTAGAATATCCAAGGGAAGACCATGCTAGGCAGAAGGAACAATAAATACAAAGGCTCTGAGAAGGCAGTATACTTTGTGTGATGGAGGAACAGTAAGATCAGAGAGGCTCACATGCTGAGAGTAGGGAGAGGGCGCCATATGGTACCAGAGAGGTCAGATGTAGGGGCAGGGAGTCCAGGCATGGCCTTGTGAACCAATGTTAGGACTTCAGCGGTTATATTTTACTCTGAAAGAGATAAGAAAGCTTTGGAAGATGTGTTAGTTTCCTGGGGCTGCCATAACAGATTCTTATAAACTAAGTAGCTTAAAACCACAGAAATGTATTCTCCCATAGTTCTTCTGGAGGGCAGAAGTCCAAACTCACAGTGTTAGTAGATCCTTGCTCCCTCCGAGGGCTCTAAGGGAGAATTCCTCCTTACCTCAATTGTCTTCCCATGGCTCCAGGCATTTCTTGGCTTGGGACTATGTCACTCCAATATATTTGCCTCTGTGTTCTGGTGGCCTTCTCCTCAGTGTCACTGCATCCTCTCCTTCTGTATCTTATAAGGACACTTGTCACTGGATTTAGAGCCCATCTGTATAATACAAGATGATCTCATATTAAGATCCTTAATTACATCTTCAAAGATTTTTTTTTTTTTCAAATAAGGTCACATTCACAGATTCCAGGGGTTAGAATATGAACATACCTTCTGGGGTGGTAGGGACAATTCATCTCACTACAGAGGGTTTTCAGCAGAGGAATGACAACATCTAACTTGTGGTTTAGCTGACTTTTTCTAGTTTCTGTGGTGGATGTAGAATACAGGGAAGCAGGAAGTCTTTCCTATCTCAGAGACCATAGGACATAAGGAGCTAATTCAGGTGAGTATGTGTTCTGTATCTGAAGAATAGTAGTGGGGATGGTGAAAAATGGCTGGATCCTAGATATATTTGTAGGTAAAAATGACAGAATTTGCAGAGGATTTTATGTGAGAAGTAAAAGTAGAATCAAGGGCAATTTCAAGGTGTTTGACTTGAATATCTGCAGTTATTTCTGATGTATATGGTAGGAATACCTTCTTTCCTATAAAGCTTTTACATCACTGAGGTCAAGGTCATTAGCTAGCTGCCACTCTGGCTCCATCCATCTCAGGTTGAATGTCATTTCCTTCTGGTAAACTTCCCTGACATCAATAGATTGGATTAACATATCTCTGTGCTCTGTGCCCTGAGTTTATTCCTATCATAGCTCTTTTTGTCATTTGTGTTAGTCTGCTTTTGTCGAAGCCCCCAAAAGTTAGTGACTTAAAACCAAACCAAACCAGAAAATAAAAAAACAAAAAACATGTATTTAGTTCATGATTTTGCAGATTGATGACAGGTTTTGACTGGCCACTAGGCTAGACAAGCTCACGCATCTGCAATTTGCTAGGGGGTCAGCAGGAACTGAATAATTTATGATGCCCTAACCTGAGATTTCTGAGATGACTGGGGTCTTTCACCATATTGTCTCTCATCCTCCACAGGCTGGCCTGGGATTGTTTACGTAGCAGCCAAAGCATTCCAAGGGAGTGAGCAGAGGCTACAAGATCCCTGGAAGACAGGTACAGTTTAACTTCTGTCAACTTCTTTTGGTCAAAGTAAGTCACAAAACCAGTCCAGAATCAAGAGATGAGAAAATAGACTCCACTCATCTATAGAAGTTACCAATTATTGTTGCAGGTTTTGCAATCTAGGATATCATTTAATATAGTTACTTATTCCTTGCTAGCTAATAAACCCCACAAGGAAAGGAAACAAGTCTCTCTGTTCACCACTGTATCCCTAGACAGTAGACATTGAATACATATTTACTAAAGAAATAAATGAATGAAAGAATGACTGAAAGAATTGATTGGAAGAGAAATGAAAATACAGCTCAGTCAGCAAATGCCATGATCTCTTGGTCTTCCTCCATTCTCTTAACATACGCATCAGAATCCTTATACACTTAGTATCTGTAACCTGTATTTGCATGTGGGGCAAACTATTGCTTCGAATCAAAGATCAGAATTAGGATGGGTGCATGCAAGAAATTGTCAAAATAAGCATTATTTTTTAAATTTTTTAAACATTATAAATATTTGGGATAACTTTTTAAGGGTGTTGGATTCTTACTTACTTAACCTGGAACAACAAATTATTGCGGTTTTCCTTGGAATAGTTGTATCTGTATACACAAGTTAATAATATACTTACTTCTTGAGTGATAGCAGGTATTATGTAGACCCATTTTTTTAGGGTTCAGAGTTCAGGTAGATACCTTCTTTTTTTTTTTTTTTTTTTTTTTTTGAGACGGAGTCTCGCTCTGTCGCCCAGGCTGGAGTGCAGTGGCGCGATCTCGGCTCACTGCAAGCTCCGCCTCCCGGGTTCACGCCATTCTCCTGCCTCAGCCTCCCGAGTAGCTGGGACTACAGGCGCCCGCCACTACGCCCGGCTAATTTTTTTGTATTTTTAGTAGAGACGGGGTTTCACCTTGTTAGCCAGGATGGTCTCGATCTCCTGACCTCGTGATCCGCCCGCCTCGGCCTCCCAAAGTGCTGGGATTACAGGCGTGAGCCACCGCGCCCGGCCAAGGTAGATACCTTCTTCGCATAAGTCAGTTGGCTTTCTTGCTTTCTTTAGGAATGTCTTGCAGGCGCCAAAGTTTTTCAAAAGGATTCTTTTCCTCCTTATTGATGTTCATCTTAGAATCTAAAATGCAAAGGATTCTATAATAGTGATATGCCTTTATTGTTAAGCAATGTCATTGTCTGAGAAACAGGTAGTGTTTTACAAATGGAATACAACGGCAAGTTTTTATCCTTTTTGCAATGGAAACATATAAGTACCTTGGTAGTAGAGCTAGGAATTGAATTTAAAATCCCAGTGCCCAATCATTTTCACTAACGACTTCATTCCTAAAGCTTCATCCATTTTTCTCTGTCACTCTTTATATCACAAATAATTCACACTACCTACCAGCAAGATCCTTTTAGATTCTCTTACATCTTTCAAACCCTCCTTAATGTGAACTTCTTTCAGCACTGAGCCTGAATGTCTTCCAGAGCCTTATTGATCTAAGTACATCAACCTGTTGTTTGTGCTGCCTGTCTGTCTGTTGCAGTTAGTCTAATAAGTCTGTTGGGCTATTCAATTCTGTGTTTGGTAGAGTGCTTATGTTTTGTACTCAGTACACCAGAGGTGTGGAAACAAAGCAGTAATCTGAGAACCAATTCAGTGGGAGCAAGTCCTGGAGAACCTTTACCTCTGCAAAGAATATTTTTCCAAAAATAAGAATATCTGGGAAGTAGAAATGGCTGTGGAGCTGTCTAGGAGTCCTATGGATACATGAGAGCCAGACCAGTTCTGTGAACATTGAAGTGAAGGAATGAGAAAAAAGGGTTGGTTCTGCATCACGTAAAAATTGTTAATTGTTAGGAACTTGTGTCTGCTGGGAAACAAACACTGAGAGGGAACAGGGATGTAAGAGTCTTAAGAGTTTGATCAGGGACCCAAACCTCTGAAAATCAAAAGAGGAAAAAGTCGGGGTTGAGCAGGTAAGCCTCAGACCACAGTGAAAATCTGACAGTCTTGACCAACCCAAAGGGAACTAGGAATAAAAGCTGCCCATGAGAGGAATCCTGCACTGGGCGGAAAGAGACAGGCCTAAAGAAACCCACTAAGCTTGGTCATTCTCTAAGAACTACCTGATAAGGTGAATTCTGAAGGTGGAGTCTGTTAGCTAACTTCATTCCTTGCCGCAGAACCACAAGGTTTTTATTGAAGGGAAACTCAAATAGCATACCTCCCTGGCTACTATGGAACATTAAATAGTTTTTAAATCTTTGGGAAAAGAGTGGAATGTTGAATGAAACCACTCTTTCAACCTCCATTGTAGCCAGTGGGGGTGAGGAGGGAGGGCTACAATCGAAAGATAATTTAAAATAATCCTAATATAGTCAGTCATTCTGTTAATCAGCATAATTTTTTAATCATTTGTGGTTTAGGTGCCCTTTCTGGAGGTTTTACTTGTCATTGTGTTTATGGGAAATTGACAGTTATTAATTGTTTTTAAGCTTGAACCAGTCCTTATTAGAATTCAAATGTATTTCCCACTACTGGGTCCAATATCTATGTAATCATTTATCTTATAGTGAATTTTACTGTAAGCGTAATATTTACAAGAAGCAATTTGTCATTCCTGGGTTAAGTATAGAAACTTCAATATTTTCTGGATAAATATGTCAAAAAAACTAAAATTCAAGCAATAGAAGAGAATGGGAAGCTTATAGTGTCTTATATTAGACTTGGGAGGTTTGCTATTTGGTTTGACTCGATTATCATTATTGTTTTATAAATATAATTTTCTAATTATTACCCATCATTAACATTAATGGCATTAATGCTGGTAATCCATCTCCCTAAGGATTTCAAAGTGCGATATTTTTTCTAAGCTAAATGATTTCCAGGACTCCAGCAGCAATTCCCACCTTGATTTGCTGCACCCGAAGTCTCCAAATACAATTAATTTTAATTCATATAAGAATATACCCATTTTGGGTTAGGAAATGGGGTGGCAGATACTCACAAACAATTTTGGAACATTTCCACTCCCTAAATATTTAGATCTCTAATCTAATTGGCACTATATCCCCCTTTTTGTCACGGTAGACAGCACTCCTTGTCATTTAAACTTTTCTCTATGTGTGTGTTCCCAGGTCTGGGGAGCCTGGAAGAACGCATGTGCAAGCAGAAGGCTGAGGCCCAGGAGGTACAAATGACCCATCATGCTTATGCCCAGTGTTTCTCCTTTCTGTGACCTGCTCCCCAGTCGTGCCCTAACATTCCAGTTGGTCTGTCTCCAGTTCCCACTGATCCTCTACTCTATGCTCTGAGCATATGCCACTGATTGCCCCGGCTCGTGGCGCTCTCTCCTGCTGTCCTGCCCTCCGTCCTCGTGTTCATTCACCCCGGCCTTCTCCTCCTGCATCCCTTACTTGCCCAAACAGCTCCTACTCTGTCGTCAAGAGTCACATGAAGCATCATCTAGTCTACAGAGAACTCCTTAATTACCCCCAACTGTGTTTTGCCTTCTTTACTTTCTTTCCTCTGAATGTTTTTTCTTTGTACAGTTGTCCAATATTAGTATCAATCTGTTTACCTACCTGTTTCCATCACTTCCGCTAAAAACTGAAGGCAAGGACGATACATTTTCATATATATACCCTAGGTTCTTGTGACAAAACACTGCGTTTTTATTGAATAAATGAATGAATGAATCCCTCCTCATCATTCTGGTGAACCAGGAGGCCAGCACCTCCACAGTCACTCTCTGAGTTGCTGCTGCAAGGTCCCTCCCACACTAGCAGCACAGGTAGGGCGCCATCCTCATTACCCCCACACAGCGCCACATACGCCAAAGGAGCTTTCTCTCTACCTTAACTGAAATCTGACCTTTCCTTGGCATGCTTATCTTCAACCAGTTACTAGAAAAAAGTATCTCTGATACAATAATTAAAACTACTGTGAATTCATGTGTCACTCTAAGTGTAAATTGTTCACGTGTTAATTTTGCCAGTAGTGAGTGAATTGAAAAAGAGACTGGGAAGCCAGTAAAACATAGAAATGAACCCCTAATGGTGGCATTTCAGGAAATAGGAGAAGACAGATGGGAAGATATTTCTGGACCAGAGTGCTTCTGGGTGCCCTTCACATTGTACCACACAAGCCATTTCCATTCCTGTACAGAAGGTTGGATCTGCTGCTACAACACTCTCTGGCTCTCCTGAGAACAGTATTTCTATTTTTGTCTTTTATAAAAAGGTAAAAGCACCCTTCTTTCTGGTTGTCAGGGAACAGGAAGGAGCCCCCTCTCATACAATGACCAGAAAAAGCCAATAACAAACTCATCTTTTTTCTACATTCAGTAGACACCATAGTAACACTTCCCAGTTTACAGATAGGCAATGAAGTTCAATGGAAACAGATTTTTAATAATTATAATTATACCTTACACTGATTAAGTGTTTACCCAGGTGCTATGCTAATCCTTTTCCTTTATTTCTTACACCAACCATAAAAGTAAGGTTATTTTATTATCCACATTTTATAAGAAAGTTAGCTAACTTGCCCATGGTCAGACAGATAAATGTCTGAGTCACAAAACTGGTGTCCAGAAAGTTATGACTCAGACCCCTAAATATGCCATCTGGAAGGCATCCCTGGTTTCAATAAGGGGCACCTAATTGTGGTTACATGTCAATATACAATCTAGCACTACTGGTACTATTATCACTCTTCTTTATATGACAAGACATTTATATTTACCTTTCCTTTTCTATTCATGAGAGTACAGAATACATCATAATTTCTGCATCCAATTTTTATATTAAATGACTGGTAAAGGAAATATAAACACTTTGCTGTGATTTTCAATATTTTTTCTGCAAAAATTTATGAAACATCTACAATATGTAAAAGACATTTTCAAAATATTTGGGGAGATATTTTAGAGGAAATCGTATGGTCCCTGATTCAAAAGAGTTTACAACCTGAAAAGTAATATTAACACCTCAGTAACATTACAAGTCCAACCTGTGTACAAGCTGTGTCCAAATAGAAAAAAACCTGAGAAGTCACCCAACCACTTAGAGAGCAATCAGACTATTGGATGTCAGAGACATAAAATAACTATTGTCTTCACCCTTTTACTTTCAGGCAATTGTCTCCTAAACACTGTTATAGTCACTAAGTCTGCATACTTTAGAAACTCCAGATCGTCACTAAATCTCATGGAAATGTGTATTGGCATTTTCCTTGAGATTTCTTTTAAAGTATCACTTCTGTCCATCAAGTCAGAGTCCTTATAAGTGTAGTGTGTTTAAATTCTTTATCTTTCCTGACAGTCTATAGAGTCCCAATAGCAGCAAAAATCTAACTGAACTCCCTACTACTCCCTGCAAATATGCTCATATGTTTATGTTGAGAGTTTTAATGCCATTTGTTGAAATATATTTAACCTATATCACTTGGTTCACACCAAGTTAATGCTAGCTCCTACAAGGCTATGATCAATTCAGTCAACTAGTTGGTTTGACTGATTTTTCCTTTGAATTCACCTAATTGCTGGGCTGTTTAAGTATCTGCAGATACCTTTACACAAAAGAAGGCAGGCTTCACATTAGCTTGCTAAAAGAGGGTTATTATTTTCTTCTGAGATCTGCTATGGACTTATTGAGTGGCTGTTGGCAAGAGTAATGATCATATTTGCCCTCTCCTCTTTCTCATTTTTAAAACAAGAATATGAATATAAAACAACCCAGAAAAACTCCAAAGATGCTAAATGAATAAGTTAATAATCATTGTTTATTTAAAGATACAACTGTATTGTACAAAGAGAGGGATTTCTTTTACCCTGAAATGCCAATAAGAAGCCATATGAAAAACAAAAATAACAATTTAAAGAGATTTTTAAAAAGCTCCCATTCAGTAGTACAATTGGGTTCTTTTCAGATAATTAATCATTAAGAAATATTTAAGTACTATTTTCTATTTACATTGCAGTATATATCACTGGCTCTTTGAAAGTTAACAGGGATTAATTTTCTTTCAAAATAAATATTCCACTTAACTAATTGTCTGTGTTCTTTCACTGCTGTCTACGCCATTCAAGCCAAAACACCGATCTCATTCAAAACTCAGAATTTCATCCAAATTTGTGTACCTGGCCACTAATAAAAGATTTTTGGTATGCTGTCTAAAATCCTAATGACAAAATAGGGAGAATCATAAAATGTTCATAAAAATCGGATGGGATCAAACATCAGCTAATCTGAGTATATTTTTCTCTATGATTAACCAGTTCTTAATGACAACATTTCTTATCTTACAACTGTGACATGAAGAGGGAGCTGTAGCTCTTCTGAGACACAGTTCTGCAAGAACCAGCTTATCCACGCTCTCCGATCTCGTGTCTGTTTCTCTTTCTCTCTCCCTCTCTTGCGCTGTCCCTCATTCATGCACTCTTCCATCTTTTTGCCATTGTGCCAGCTCAATTTAAATGTATCTGCTCTGTATCTGTTCAAGTGGAGATAATCCATGCAAATCAGGAGCCGTGGCTCTCAATGCCTGGTTCACAGAGAGGACTCAGCTTGAGGAGGTCACTCGTTCACAGCCGCTCCTCCCATTATATTTTTCCCCTTATTGCAGAACTGCTGTATGTATACAGTGACTGAAAGGACTCAATTTACTGCAACTGCTGCCTGGCTTTACTTACAACTTTTTTTTTTTTATAAAGGAACTTACCTCCATCTGTCTTTTCAAGGTAGGAAGTCTGATTCTTCTAAAGACGTGTGTAATGCCTCCACTGTCTGCTCATTATCAAATGTCACTTGAATGCTTTATATTGTTGCTGGCATTAGGTACAAATACTGTGATTCCAGGTGCCTCACGCTTTTGTTACTTAACCATATAGGTACAATTGTTTAAGTGCTGGGTATTATAATGTTTATTTTCCCTGCAGCAAGCTTCAGTTTTACAATGCCAGAAAGATTAGAGTATCCACTCTCTAATGTAGAAATATAATCCTCTATCAAGTTTTCCCTCTTAGAAAAACATTAATTTCTCAGTATGTTTTAACTTATTATGTATGCTGGCCAATAATAGCCAAGTGTAAAATTCAACCGTAACAAATTTTTTTTTTAACCTGGAGCCCTCCTGCAGCATTTTCTGTGAAAAATAACTAACTGTTGAAATGTTTTTAACAACAGCAACAAAATAATAGATTTTACTTTATTTTGCTGCAAAGCAAAAAGCTGAAGGCCTTATTGCTAACAGGCCTGTCAGATAGATTTATTCTTCACCATTTTAAAATTGTTACTAGGCTATGCAGAAGTATTACAAATAGTTAGGATTCAGTTACTGTCATTATCCATGTGATTATTTATTGTTTTGAGATTGAAATTGTATTACAGAAAAGTTTAATGTAGCAAGGCTTTAAAAAACCTGAATGTTTGTATAACACTGTTTGAGATCAATTTTTGAGAATGATTTCAATAGCCAAATGATTAGGTTTGGATTAAAAATGCATGTAAGAGTCTAGCAGATTTGACAATACACATGGTGATTTATGTAAGCAATTCCTGGGCTTACGTTACTTCATATGTGTCTCCTTGAAGTTACTTATAATATTTTAATCACTCCTTAGTCATATCAATTTTAAAACATACTGAAATGTCATAACATTATAGACTTTAAAATCTCTTTTTGACTAGTACAAATATAATTAGAACATTCCAGTTACAATTTAGATTTCAATAAATGCAATATGTCTTTGAAAGTACTCCTTATTAATATAATTTTGCATTTATTACCTTATTTTTCTAAGAAGGATTTGACATGTGGCTATGACAAGGCTAGTTAATCTCTTATATAAGATAGAATTGAACATAAGCAGTAAACAAAGTTGACAGTCCTGAAAAGAAGAAAAAATTATCCTCTGGTATACTGAATAGTTCTGATGACATAAATCTTACATTTCATCTTCTAGGTAGATACTTGTAGTTAGTGAAGTTCGAAGGAAAAAAAATTTATTATCCACATAAAATATCTCAATGCCAAAAATGTGCAGTTCTTTTTCTTTTTGATAGAGTCTTCTATTGTAAAAAAAAATGCGCCTTGATTTTTGAGTACAGTACAAGGCATGAAGCCCTGTCATTGTTAGCATAAAGAAGACATCTACACAAGTATTACTGTGCAGAGGGCAATCTTTCTGTCTCTGGCATTTGTTAGGTTACTGCACGTAGAATTTAACAGATAAATATGTTCTGCTTCGTGGCATTTTAGTGATCCTACTGGTATGCAAGCTACTCGGCTAGGATAGCAACCGAAAAAAAAAAGGTATATGTTTTATAGCAGTGGGTAATAAAAGACCTTCACAGTGAGAGAAGAGGAATTTGACTTATTTATTACACAGTAATTAGAATTTCTTTAAAATTCTTTGAAATGCCGAGTTGTAAAGTAAACTGAGGCTTTCCAGGAAGGGCTAATTGAATTTATCTATTTGAGCCATGTAGTTGTCCGTGAATATCTTCTTCACAGACACTGTCGCTGGAGAATTCCATTCACACCTTCAGCATTACAGGGAAAGAAAAGGATTTGTCACTAACAGTAAAGGATGACAATTTCATATTTAAAACGAGTTTGAGAACAGCACCCTACACAGGAAAACCTTAACAGATGGAAAGGTGCGTGGGATTGCCTGATTATGTGAACTTGAGACTAGTGTGAAACTAAAGGATGCCCTTTCAGAACAAAGGAACGCCATGTAATACTCTGTCAGCAGTCAAGCTGAGGATAGATATAAAAAGTGGCCAAGGAGATCTTTTGGGGACAGAGAAAATGCAAACAATGAGACATTCTCTTTTCAACCAAATTACCAGGGTTTGACAGGTATAAAGGCACTCCCCATGGAATGTCACACCATCATTTCACAGAGACTTATTTCAAAAGCACATATTTTATAGACTTTCGCATTTGTTTGCAAACCTCTGAGAAAACTCTCCAAAGACCTAACTTGTATGCCTTAAGTTAGGTTTTACAACTATGCATCCAAAATAAAATGGTCACAGCCTTCAACTCCCTTGGGTTTCTTTTGCCTCATCTGTAAACTTGCCATTCCTCTAGTAACTCATTCAAGCAACTGTTCAAGACAAGTTACATTTTACTCCATTTTAGTGTGCCTTGCAGCAGAATCTATAGAACTGGTAAACTTTATGGCTATATATAATACCATGTTGTTATTCCCACCTGGCTCTTTGCTGCTGCTTTTACTGAGTACAGTTAAAAAGATAAATTATCATCTTAAAAGGATGCTATGGAAGGTGTTAATAAGTTTTATCTAACTTCAGGAGTGTTCACTGGGGCTGTAGAAACTTGCGACCCTGCTTAAGGGGAAATGATGTGCGTCATCAGCAGACATTCACTGCCTATATCTTCTGTAAATATTTCAAATTTCAAGAAGGATTCTGTAATACCGTATATATTTCCTAAATCATGGAAGTTATTGCTGCATATGGATTGATTATGATATTGAGTGAAAACCCAATGGATTTTGCTTTATAGGTAATAACTTAAATTTGTACACCACCACTATGGGGTCAGTGAAACCATCATCCCCATTTCAAAGATAAAGAGAGGTACAGAGAGGTTTAAGTAACTTAGCCAAGGCCACACAGTTGGGACAGAACTGGGATGTGAACCCATTTATTCTGTTCCTGGCTTTGAAAACTCACACAATAATGCCTTCCTAATTATCTCTGATGACTAGTAGTAGGGACATTCCACCCCCCACAAATAGCAAAAGTGCTCCGATTTACCCATTTGTCATCTGGATTCAAATATCTGATTCTGATTTTCCAACTCTTTTCAAAGTTCTTCATCTCAATCTGTATTATCATTATCACACAGGTTTTAGAAGTTGTTTCATTTAACGTATGTCAGGAATGGTTACTCTTACAGAACATTTGTCTTTTACCTCAAGGAGTTAAGAACTAAATCAGATCTGTAATTGACTGACTTGTCTACTGACAGCCTTTGAAGAGCCACCACTCCCCACCTTGTTTTTCTGTCTAAAGAGCAAGATTGACATCTCTTTATATGTTTAAAATTTGTCAGTGGTGTAAAGTGCTCAGTAATGATGGAAATTAACCTGAGGCTTTATCTAACTACCTTTCCTAGCAACTCCATTGAAGTTCTGATAACAATTAAAATTTTGATGCAAACAACTGTTCACATCAGAAAAAATACTTTTTTCTGTCTTGTCATACCTTTCTTCAAAATATTCTGGGTAGTAGTGGCTCTTTTCCTTACCTTTCACTGCACTGGATGCATCTGAATGAAAATTTCCCCAGCCAAAATACACCAGCACATTAGAAAAGCAGATAAAGAAAAGAAATGAAGTAGCAATGCATGTTTAAACGGTCTGACGGTGAAACATTGAATATAATTATCTGTTCTTGTGTCAGTAATTGTTATCTCCTTAAGGAGAACTGAGTAAGAACAGGTCTATACAGGGCAGCATTTGTGGCCTTATTTCTGTCTATTTGGGATAGCCTTTGAATTGTCTCCCACTTTCTTTCCTCCCAATGTGAAAAGATGAACTATTACGCATGTAACTCATAGGTATCTGATTCAAAGACTGTGTTTATTTGACCTGTGGATATCAGATATCTAATATAAACAAAAACCCAAACATCATCAACACATAATCAAGTGGCAGAAGTTTGCAGAACATGGGTCAGTAGCAATTGAGCAAGCTACACATTTCTCAAGTAACAAATGAAAAACAATTTTGATTGTATTCTGTGATACCAGCATTCTTTTTAGATCTTTGAAGTATCAGGCAGATGGACTGCCCTGTATATCCACAACCTCTATCTGCTGGCAGGCAGAAAGCCCAAGAACCTATCTTTAAAGTTATTTTAATATATCAGTTTTGCCCAGATTAGCCAAGTTAGATGTCGACCATTGGTATGGGAAAGGTTGGGAATTAATTTAAATTTGAGCTAACCCTGCCATCATCTCTTGCTGAGTGAGTCCCTTAGCCTGTGAGACATTCTTTTCAGATTTGATTTCTCTGTTACTTGGTTGTTCTCTCCTTGAAAGAAAAAAAAAAAAAAAGGGAGGAGTGGTGAGAAGAGAACAGAGGATGGTGATTTTGAGTCTGTGTTGATAGAAACATTCAATGGAGTTAAAACTGACCTACAACCATTTGAAGAACGTGTCCCTCATTACTAAATTCTTTGGCTGTAATACTGAGCTCCCTATCTAAAAAGATGTCAATTTCCTGAAATTAAATATAAAACCAAGGGATTTTTCTCACTGAGGAAGGTGTGCAAAAATATTTAAACAACTTAACTCTGAAATGTATTAGCAATCAGTTTAGACTGGACAGTTAACATATACAAGCTCAAAACTAAAACTTCATTAGATAAGACGTACATTTTGGTAAGCAAAACTTCATTAGATAAGATGTACCAGGATTAGAAAGTCTGTTTGTTACTGTTGTTGTTGTTTTATGATTGTTGTTATACATAGTTCCTTCTATCTTCTCCCGGAAAAATTAATCAAGTGCCCTTTCTGTAATTGAGACCTCTTTTCTGTCTATTCTCAATGCCTGCAGTTTATATCACACAAGTCAGCCTCTAATTACGTTCTTTTTTCATATTTCCCAGGTTGTTTCATGGGTCATATTCTTGTATTCCCAGTAGTTTGTAAACTACTTGAGGGTGAAAATCATATTTAATCTGTGTCCTTCACAGTCCTAGCCTCAGCACTAAGACTAAAGCCTACTCTTGATTAATATTTGAATGGTTGATTGAATTTTGTAAAAATCGAGTTAGCTTATGTTATATATTTTTTAAAATTTGTTTCAGGAGGAAACAAATTTGAGAGGAACATCTATCCATCCAACACATTTCTTAAGACTTAGCTATATTCCAAATACTGAGCCTACGCTCTCTGACAGCATATTAAAATTTACACATGCTTAATTTTAAAAATTGCAACAAGAAAGGAAATTATTCCAATGGATAAAAAATATATACTATGATTTCTCTTTTTGGAAGTTAAAAGGAGAGGCAACTGGTAAAAGAACCAAGGTGAAAAGTTAAGAAAAGAAGGAGACTGAAAGACAAAGAGTAAAATACAGAAATATAGAAGACAGTGGGGGAATGGGGAAGAGATGAGGAGAGGAGGGTTTAGGAGATTTTAAACAATTCAGACTTTGGCATTTTTTAGTAACTTCAGTTTTCAGCTTTTAAACCTCTGTCACTAAATCTTCAGACACTATAAATGAAATGGAAATAATAATTAATCTTAAAGGAAATTATTCTTTGTCCTGAAACTTTGGCTCTCCAGGAATGAATACGTTAAGAGGAGTTAGGGTCCTAAGCAACGATGGAAGCAAAGAGAATGTAAGGTGGCTTTTAAGGCAAACTATGGAATAGTCAATCCAATAAGAAATCTACAGAAAGAGTTTACAACCATAAATCAGGTTCTAAAAGGAATTTTGCAAATCCAGTTTTACCCGGGCGGACGCCATCACCCAACCAATGTGGAGGTAGAGCCTGTCAGAGAAGTGGGTTTCAGGGCAGCTTCCAAGTTACAATGATCGCCAGCCAGCATGCTCCTGGAACAATGAGACGTGGACCTCAGGAGGCAGTGCTGGCAGGAGCAAAACAGAAAAAGGAGTTTGGGGTTCACAAACGTGGATAGAAAGCAGAACTTTCTTTCCCCTTCTGGGTGCCAGGGCCCAGGGGAAAGGTCCCAGTTCCTCCAAATATTCGGGGTAGGTAAAGGAACTAAACATATGGATTTTCTACCCATTGAGGTACTCTAACCACATGCTAGAGGCATTTTGTTTCTCAGCTCTTAGTCATTTCATTTTTTCAGCCTTTAGCCATTGAGATGTTAAGAGTATTTGTGAAATCCTTTTGATTAGCAAGTGAAAAGCCATTGTATACTGGCTTCTGGGGTGTTATCGGATTCAGAGAGGGATGGAGCAGTTTACAGGTGACTGTGGATATGTATTTCTAATTGATGAGAGGGATGTAGGACCTTGGTTTAAAGTTCTGCATTCTTCACTGGAAAACAAAAACCAAAGACATTTAAAAATCATGTAAACTGAATTTACAGAGAAAACATAATGAAACAGAAAGAGTACTAGTTTCAGACAGACAGACCTAAGTTGGAATACAATATACGGAGAGTATTATTGAATCTCTCTGAGCTTCAGCTTCCTTAAATGGAAAAAATACCCATTTCTCAGCTTTATAGTAAAGAAATAAAATAATGTCTGCTACATGCCCAAAACAATACTAAGTTCACTGAAGACATTTGAAGTACCTCTCTATCCTCATTTTGTTTTCTGTTCAAAATCAAATTTATAGTACCCTGGATCCCACTCACAGACATAAGTATTTAAATGTTTCATGACTTCATTTTATTTTGTAGCTAAGAAAAGAAAAGAGATTTATGGGACATCAAAGCGCTGATCCTAACCTGTTACTAACAAAGTGAGGCTTAAAATTCTTAGGTCTTCTCACAGTCAGTGAGCAGACCACAGGTGTAAATTAGCATATCCTTAAAGAAAGATGCTTCCTATGCTGGGGGTCACATTTATAATGTTGATTTAAATTAACATTTTCACCCAATTCTGCTTCTCAGGTCTTGATTTAATATCCTTAAGGCCTGATGCCTATGGACCAGCACGTGTTAATTTCTACGGCTCTTAAAATGGCATGCCTGTCTGCTCTTAGCCACTCGGGTGATAGGTGCTAATTCAGAGCTTGCTGAATTTCCTTCTGAAAGTGGTATCTGTGCAGGCCACTATGAGTTTCCAGTACCAAAGTTCGAAAGGCAGATTGCAAACTTTTGAAAGAGTTGACTATGGATCAGACAAATATAAAATTCATTCTAAGAGGACTCTCCTTCTTAGCTTTTTCTGTGTGAGAGGAGAGCACAGAGCACATGTCAGAAGAAAAGAAGCATCAGGACATGAAAAAATCAAGAGGGTATTTCACAGCTTGTAGGATTTTTCTGATTTCTTTGGAAACTATGTAAATGAATTCCTTAAACACAGACTGCCATTGATTTTTTTCTGGTGTTCATTGATTCCCTCATCATTGCTTCATGTATGTGTTCTCCCAAAACATCTAGTATTGATATTTCTCTCCTTCATACTCTGTCCCCAATCCATTATAAGTATATCATTCAAACCTGTTTAATTTCCTATGAAAGATGATATTAAGTGCACTGTTAGTGTAATTACGTCGATAGTGAAAGATAAACATGTATTAGGCAGTGCAAAATGCTGATTATCTGTCAGGGTAAATCTGTTTATTTCAGATATAGCAATCTGACAACCCCCTGGTGTTAATCATGAAAGTACATGCTTGTGCCAGGTACTGTTTGGTGCGGTTCTGACAGTGAAATGCACTCAATGGCTTACTGCTGTGACGTAATCTTCATCATATATAAACCCATATACATGTGTATCTATGTCATAAAGTGCAGACTGTGGATTATGTGTTTTAAGCATGTGTGATGTACTTATATTTCGGTATTTTTGTGTGTGTATGGAAGACAAAGTATAATTTGAGAAGCAACAATGTCCAGTTTGCATTAACAGCACTGTGTAAAATGGAATGGCTTGAGAAAGGAGAGAGTGGATTATAGGATTAGGCCGCATTTTAGTTTGTACCCAGAGCAGGGTTTGCCCTCAGTAATATCAGCTCAGAACCATTTGTATTAATCCACAGAAAAAAAGAAAGAGCCAGTAGAAAAAAGGAGAATCAGGAGGTAGGTCTGGAACAGGATATTCATCCAATTCTCAACACAAACATGCTTCCTTTATTCTTTAACTTTTTTCCTTGAGATAGTAGTTTCTAAATATATCCTAGAAACACTACTGACTGCCAGATGCTATTGGACATAAAGTTCCTCTTTAATGAGATAAAATAGTGTCAGGAAGTCAACATGTTACACATGCTGTGGCAGAATTTCACCAGGCTTTTGTGCAGCAGAAAATGAATAGAAATGACAATGAATTGAATATTCAGGCACAGTTTGCCAACTCCTCTGAAAAATAATCTTGTCTGACTTTATAACATTGTGATCATTTCCTGAATGCCATAAAATGCTGAGTAAAATAATAAAAATTGATACATATATTGACATTTCAGTTTTCTAAATAGAAGCTGAGAAAATATAAACAGCATTTGGTCTTTGCAACTCTTCCAACCAACCATTTGTATGCTGACTAATTCACTTACACTCAGATACCTCATTCAGCCTTAATATAAATGTCTTCTGAAATAATTTCTCACCAGTAGATTATGCACATCTTTAGTTTGATTCAGAATTTACATGTGTAGTTTGCATAATTTTGCATCAGAGTGTCTGCTTTAAATTACGTAAAGGTCACTGTCATTCATAATCAAAAAAGAAGGTGCATTAAAGGTCACAATTCGATAAAAAAATTGATTAGAGGTAGAGATTTGTTCATGTGATACAATATCATTGGATAAGTGGAAATATGAGTCAACAAATTAACCTCAGTATAAGGGGTGACCTGATTCTTTGCCATAAAAAAAAAATCACATCCAGATTGCTTTTTTCCCAATGTTTAACTTGTTTTACTCTATGTAGCAGTGACAGTTACTTCAGTTAATACCTCTTACCACTGGGGGTCTTTTATAATGTCATTTGGTTTAGAAATGACATAATGACAATTTTATCTCCAAAATAAAATAGTAAATTATAATGAATTAATAATAGACAGATATGGATTAGAAAGTCCCTCAGGGCTTATGGTTACTTCTACCATTTTTCCCCTGAGGTAGCTCCTAGTTCTTCCACTCTTTTTAAAAGATAGAGCTGTCACAGCACATTTCTTCTCTTACGTCACTATTTTCTACCTCTCACAGACACTAAGAGCCCATGCAAACCCTTTGGAATTTTGACATCTACTCAGTATTAGAATAGATAAGTTCAAAATAAATGTAGCTAGTGATCGGCAATTAGTTTTTTTTTTTGATTTGTTGAACTTTTTAAAATATGTCTGTCTGAAAGTAACTTGAATAAATGGAAAGCAATTGAAAATAAACAAATGCTAAGTTGCAGTATATATTTTGTCCATAAGTCAACTTGAATATCTGAAGGAAGATAATTGATACACATTTCACTTGGAAGTTTGGCATAAGTTCTGAGACATTGACATGAATACTTACTGTAACAGAACTCATATTTATTTCCTCATCTTATAATATTTTCCTTCTCATGTGTGCCCTTGACTTAAAGGGAAATCTTCCTTTCTTCCCTTAGCTGTTTGTCTACTCTATTTGTTGTATTGGCATCTTAGCATAGGATCATCTACCAAAAAAACAAAAAAAAAAAAGAAAAAAGAAGAAAGGTAGACAAGGAGACACCACCTTTTTAAAGTACATTGTTTATTTTTCAAAGAAAATCAAACACTTTTAAAGGAACCATAAAGGTTAAATGGTTTAAGCAGATTATAATTAGTTAATTTTGTTAAACCTATACTGGATCAATTTTACATTATTTTAATTACCTTTTGGAATAAATGGTTTGGTGAACAAATTCACTTGATGTTCAGGATCAAACAAAATTACCTTTCCTCTGGGTAGGCTTAAGTTTCACAAAATTATTTGAAAATGACCTCCTTTGCTTTCATCTAAAAATATCTTTGGATTTAGAAAATGATTAAAGTTGGATATATTGTGTTTTAGGCCAATCATATTTTATCATTTTCATAGCTTATTCTTTCTTTAAAGAGGAAAATAATGAAACTTCACTAAACAGATGTTCCCCCTTTAAGGAGACTCTTGGAATTTATACACTAACATGGTATACGCAAGGTTGATTCAACTCCTATTTCTGACAGAAGGCATGTATTATATTCTGGAAAGTTTATAAAATTTTTTGCTGACAAGATATAGAAATGAAAGCTGGATGATCATTAAATATTATAGCCAAATCAGAGACATTCTGATTTATGTCTTTGCTGTGTATGTATGTATGTGTATGTACCTATACTCATGCCTAGAAAGAAGCAATCTCTGAATTGTAAACATCCAGATCCCAGGTAGTTAGAGGATACATTAAAAAGCATATATGACTATCTCTCATCCACCCCGATTTAGGGCATCTAGGGAGCAATGTTGGGAAAGCGCAAATGGAATTTGACCTTTCTTTGTCAATGAAAAGTTAGGAAGTTATCCTAGTGTCCAATGCTATCTGTCTGTCTTTTTCTTTACAACAGTGATTCTCAACTAGGGATGATTTTGCTTCCCTGGTGACATTTGGTAATTTTGAGAGGCATTTTTGATTTGGGTTGGGGGTGGGAGGTACTGGTACTATGGGCATCTAGTGGGGTAGAAGCTACATATGCTGCCAAACATTCTAGAATACATAACACAACCCCCACAACAATGACTAATTCTTCCCAAAATGTCAGTAGTACCAAGGATAAAAACCCTTTCTTGTAGCTCAGAAGGAGGTATTTCTTCACTCTGTCTCAACTCTGTTGTATCTCTCTCCCCAACCCTCAACCCCACATAATCCCATACTGCATCTGGCTCACTGCTTTTCATCCCTCAGAACTCTCCAGGCACTCATCACTTCATTCAGGAAAGTGCCACTGACTGGTCTGATTGCGATGGCATTCCTTGGTGTTACCATCCCACTGTATCCCTCTGAGCTCTGTTGACTGACTTTTCTATATCCCATTCTAGACTATAAATGTTTTGAGAGTTGTATGTTGTATCACTAACATCTGCATAGTTTGTGGAACATAGTAACTCCTCTGTTAAGATTTGTTGTTGAATAAAGTCAAGTTTGTCTCTAGAAACAGTATAGTAAAGAGTGTTAGGGTTTATCTTAAATTATACTTAAAATACTATCTCAGGAATTGAGGGATAAATAAGTAAATCATAGTTGCTGGACTGAAAATATAACTGTTCTTAAAATTTTTTGAAACAATCATTTGTAAGTAGGGGGTCTGTCTGCATATTTATTTATGTCTATATAGCTGAATATGTTTCAAAACATAATTATATGTCTATGAAACATGTTATTTCAAAACATAATTATATGTTTATGAAACATGGCATGATTGTGTGTATATAGATGTGTGTGTGTACATATGCACATAGTTTCAATAGGTATACATTTTAATGATGACATTCCGTGATTGTATCATAAATGCATACACATAACCAAATAAAGCATCTTTATGTTTACATCATTAAATTTTTCAAGCTCTGACTTTATATTTAATATACCAAATATTATATTTGCAATAAAATAGAAAACATACTCTCCACCTTTAAAGAACATAGACATTACACCTTTAATAAAATCACTGTCATTTCTGTTTCATGCTTTCCTGATTTCTGTATTTTATGTTATGAATATGGTCAATAACAGTATCAAATTATAAAAATACACCTGTACAGCTGAATAAGTAAATAGTTTAGTTTATTGATTGATATTAGTCAGTGAAGCCAAGATTACATTTTACATCAATTGTTACACTTCTAAGAGTAATATTTATAACTCTGCATTTTGATAATATTACTCCCCTTTGTTATTCCATAAAAAGGAAGTGAAGTCTAAAGTCAGGCTGTGCCATTTAGAAGCTGTGAGACCTTAAACAAGTTATTTAATTCCCTAAGCCTCATGTTTATCTGTAAAATGGGGGCAATACTGACATCTACTAATAGCAATCTTACATGGTTGTATCATAGACAAATGAAATGATATTTTAAAAGAATTCAGCCTATAGGCACATAAAGTAGTTGAATAAATGGTGACTATTACTAATACACTACTAGTTGCAAAAGTAACCATGATAGTAATAATAGCAGTTATGGGACGGCATGAATCCAGGGTTTCTTTAGTAATCTGGAAAATATACCTAATAATATTTCTATAACTTAAAATTAAATTTATTTTGGAAAAATGTTTTATAAAAAGAGATCCTGTTTTATGTTTTTTTCTTACTGGAGTCATAAAATTCAGCATTGCTGATGCTTAAGAGCAAACTCACCTCTCTTAATGACTCCTTTCTTCAACTACTTTAATCATCTCTGTCTTCTTTTTTCTACTTTCATTTTTTCATTGCATGTAATAGTCATTTTATCCTCCATCCTCCATCAATTCTTTTTTTTTTTTTTTTTTTTTTTTTTTTTTGAGATGGAGTTTCACTCTTGTTGCCCAGGCTGGAGTGCAATGGAGCGATCCCAGCTCACCGCAACCTCCACCTCCCAGGTTCAAGCGATTCTCCTGCCTCAGCCTCCCGAGTAGCTGGGATTACAGGCATGCACCACCACCCCGGCTAATTTTGTATTTTTTTTTTTTAGTAGAGACGGGGTTTCTCCATGTTGGTCAGGCTGGTCTTGAACTCCCGACCTCAAGTGATCCACCTGCCTCGGCCTCCCAAAGTGCTGGGATTACAGGCGTGAGCCACCGCGCCCAGCTTTATCCTCCATCAATTCTATGGTGATGCTCACTTGTTTGTTTGAAAGAATTTTAAAGCAAATTCCAGATTTATACTTCTTTAATATATCCAACAACATTTTTCCTACTATTCCATGTCCTGCTGTGGCACAACAAAGCAACATAATCTTAAATACAAACCGAGATTTTTTTTCAACAGGGTGCATCATAGATAAGAAAGGCTGTGAAATATGCAGATTTCTCATCAAACTAAGAGAATTCCCTACCTTTCTCTCCCAGTGATCCCAATAGGCCAATGGGTCAAACCTGTCTTTGAGAACAGCATTTCTACAAAGCTGCTCAGAGAGGCGGGGCTCAACAAATGTTTTCTGAATGGAACTGGAATTATGAATGTTTCTAGTGAATGGTTCTATAAAGGCTAAAATAATTGTAAGTCAAATTATCATGAGTTTGTATTGCATTCATTAATTTCACTTCTTAGAACAAGGCAATAATCGTAGAGGAAAATAAGACCCATGGACCATATTGTCTTCTAAGCCCTCTAGGTCAGTCATCTGAGCTTTCTGCAGTCATAATCTTTTTGCTGGTGCAGGGTCTTGCCTCGATGTTGGTGGCTGCTGACTTATCAGGATGGTAGTTGCTGAAGGTTGCAGTGGCTGTTGCAATTTCTTAAAATAAGACAACAATGAAGTTTGTTGCATTGATTGACTTTTCCTTTCATGCAAGATTTCTATCACACAATGTTGTGTGATAGCATTTTACCTGTAGAATTTCTTTCAAAATTGGAGTCAATCCTCTCAAACCCTGCTGCTGCTTTATCAAGTAAGCTTACATAATATTCCAAATCCTTTGTTGTCATTTCAACAATGTCCACAGCATCTTCACCAAGAATAGTTTCCATCTCAAGAAACCAATTTCTTTGCTCATCCATAAGAAGTAACTTCTCATCCATTCAAGTTTTGTCATGAGTCTGTAGCAATTCAGTGACATCTTCAGGCTCCAGTTAGTTCAATTTGATAGTTCCACCACATCTAAAGTTACTTTCTCCACTGAAGTCTTGAACCCCTCAAAGTCATCTATGACAGTAGAAGTAAACTTCTTCCAAACTCCTGTTAATGTTGCCATTTTGACTTCTCCTGTGAATCATGAATGTCTTAATGGCATCTAGAATGGTGAATCCTTGCCAAAAGGTTTTCAAATTAATTTGCTCAGACTCCCTCAGAAGAATCTCTATCTATGGCAGCCATAGCCTTATTAAATGTACTTCTTAGATCATAAGACTTGAAGGTCAAAATTCCTCCTTGATTTATAGGCTGAAGAATGGATGTTGTGTTAGCAGACAGAAAAACAACATTCATTTCTTTGTGCATCTTCATCAGAGCTCTCAGCTGACCAGGTACATTGTAATGATAGTAATATTTTGTAAGAAAGCTTCTTTTCTGAGCAGTGGGTCTTCATAATGGGCTTAAAATATTCAGTAAACCATGCTGTAAGCAGACATGCTGTCATCCAGGCTTTGTCATTTCATTTATAGGGCACAGACAGAGTAGATTTAGCATAATTCTCGAGTAGATTTAGCATAATTCTTAAGGGCCCTAATGTTTTCAGAGTGGTAAATGAGCATTGGCTTCAACTTAAAGTCATCAGTTGCTTTAGCCTCTAACAAAGTCATCCTGTTCTCTGAAGCTTTGAAGCCAAGCATCGACTTCTCCTCTCTAGCTAGTTAAGTCCTAGATGGCATCTGTTTCCAATATAAGGCTGTTTTGAATACATTGAATATCTTTTTAGCATAGCCACCTTCATCAACTAACTTAGCCAGATCTTCTGGGTAACTTACTGTAGCTTCTACATCAGCACTTGCTTCACCTTGCAGTTTTATGTTATGGAGATGGCTTCTTTCTATAAACCTCATAAGCCAACCTCTGATAGTTTCAAACTTTTCTTCTGAAGCTTTATAAAATTGAAGAGAGTTAAGGCCTTGCTATGGATTAGGTTTTAGTTTACTTAGGGCAATTTGGAGGCTGTTTTGGTCTTCTATCCCGACGACTAAAACTATATCAGCAATAAACCTATTTTGCTTTCTTACCATTCATGTGCTCACAAGAGTAGCAGTTTTAATTTCCTTCAAAAACATTTCCTTTGCATTCCCAAGTTGGCTAACTGGTGCAAGAGGCCTATGGCTCAACATGTCTGAGCTTTTAACATGCCTTTCTCACTAAGCTTCATCATTTCTAGCTTTTGATTTAAAGTTAGAGGCAACCCTTCCTTTCACGTAGAGGCCATTGTATGGTTATTAATTGGCTTAATTTCAATATTGTTGTGACTTAGAAAATAAGGAGGCCTGGTTGAGGGCAGAGGGAGAGAGACCAGTGGATGAGCAACTGGAGAATACCCTGTCAATAGAGCAGTCGGAACCCACACATTTATCAATTAAATTCACGGTCTTACATGGATGTGGCTCATGGTGTTCCTGAAGAACTATAATAGTCACATCAAAGATCACTGATCACAGATCATTGTCACAGATATAATAAAAATGAAAAAGCGTGAAATATTGTGAGAATTACCAAAATGTGACACAAAGATATGAAGTGATTACATGCTGTTGAAAAAAAAAAATGATGCCAATAGACTTGCTGGACCAAAGTTTGCCACAAACCTTCAGTTTGTAAAAAAACACAGTAGCTGCAAAGCGCAATAAAATGAGGCATGTGTACATTATTTAGACCACCACTCTTACTAACATTTTTAAAAGCAAATGCTAAAATTTAAAAAACAAGTTTATTTAAATACATATTCTTTATATATTTTTTGCCATACTATTTTTTTCAATGTTCTTCCTTAAATGTACAGGACTAATTCATATATATATATATATATATATACACATATATATATACACACACACACGTACATATATATACATATACATACACACATATGTACATGTATATACATATACATATACATATATATATACGCACACACTGTATAAACAAAAATATGTGATTCTTTGACCCTACCTGGGGGGTGAAATACAAATTTCTGCCTTTGGCCCTTGCTTTTTGTACATTGAATGTGATCAAAGTAAATATGGTTAGCCAAATTACACATGAAACAAACCTTAAAAAGATACCATATACGATACTTAGGAATAAAGGTAACAGGACGTGATAAGTGCGTAATGATGTATATCAGTTAAAAACATGAAATATACAATTTTAAATGAGGTTTTCTAGCAAGGAACTTTAGTTAGGGAGAAAAAAGATTTATGGTCTTCAATTAATCATAAGTTTAATATGCACCAGTGGTGATAGGACTGCTAAAAAAGAATACCACCACCTTAGGCTAGATTAATAGACATTGTAAAAAGGACAGTGGAAAGAATGATCTCATTACATTCTCCTATTATTAGATCACATCTGGCATATTATAATTAGTTCTATACATTTAAGGGAAAACATTGAAAAACACGGTATATCAAAAATATGGGGCCAAGCTGAAGAAAGTTTTAAAAACCATGTCATACGGGGAACAGTAAAATAACCAAGTGGTTGACCTAGAAAAAAGAAGACTAAGGGGAGATACCATAAACAATGGATATGGATCACTATGGATATCTTTCTTTTGATGTTTTTTGTTTGTTTGTTGAGACACGGCCTCACTCTGTTGCCCAGGCTGGAGTGCAGTGGGGTGATCTCAGCTCACTGCAACCTCCCACTCTTTGGTTCAAGCAATTTTCCTGCCTCAGCCCCCTGAATAGTTGGGACTACATGTGTGTGCCACCACACCCAGCTAATTTTTGTATTTTTAGTAGAGACGGGGTTTCGCTATGTTGCCCAGGCTGGTCTGAAACTCCTGATCTCAAGTGATCTACCCAACTTGGCCTCCCAAAATGCTGGGATTACAGGTGTGAGCCACCGTGCCCGGCCTATAAACATATATTAATTGCCATTTTGGCAAGCACTGTGCTTATGTATAACATAAACACAGAAAATAGAAAAGAAAATTTTTCTGTTTTTTTTGTTTTATTTGAGGCAAAGTCTTGCTCTGTCACCCAGGCTGGAGTGTGGTGGTATAATCAAGGTTCATCAGCCAAAATCTCCTGGGCTCATGCAACCCTCCCACCTTAGACCCCAGAGTAACTGAGACCATAGGTACGAGCCATTGTACTAGACTAATTCAATTTTTTTTTTTTTTTTTTTTTGTAGAGAATAGGGTCTCACTATGTTACCCAGGCTGGTCTTGAACTCCTGGACTCAAACAATCCTCCTACCTCAGACTCCCAAAATGCTGGGGTTATAGGCATGAGCCACTACACCCAGCCAAGAAATTGGTGTTTTATCATTTTGTAAATGGACTTTATATTCAAGAGGAGAAGATAGACTTTAAATAATCACACAAAGAAACCTTTGATAACAAATAGTGATAAAGAGGAAAAGCTACAATGAAAAAATAAATAAGCTGATCAGATTTAATTGGAATAGAGCATATAGTCAAGGAAGGCTTCTTTGAAGAAGTGATATTTAAATCAAATTAATAAAGATGGATATGGGGAGAGTGGTCATTCCAAGCAATGAGAATAGCATATGCAAACCTCATAATTAAGAGACCCTTAAAGTAGAAAAGAGCTTGGTAAAATTGAGGACAAAGAAGAGGACAGAAAAGAGGAGCATCGCAAAGAATCAAGAGAGAATGTTGTGAGAAGAAAATGAGGCCGGATTGTTGTAGCTCTTTGAAGCTACGTTCAGGCTAGGCTACTATTGAAAGTGCCAGGAGAAGCTCCCGAAGAATTTAAGCAGAGTGAGGCAGGAAGATTCCCTTTTGCAAAGATACCTCTGGTTTTGTCTGGCTAATGTATTGGAAGGAGGCAAGTGGTAGTGTGAGAGCCCTTTAAGAGGCTATTGTAGTGGGAAAGACAGAGATGAAGGTCATTAGGCTTCAAGCGGAGGAGATGGAGACTGAATGAGAAAGAGAGATTAAAAATATTTTTTAGGGCTGGACACAGTAGCTCACACCTGCAATTCCAGCATTTTGGGAGGCCAAGGCAGGGAAATCACTTGAGCCCAGGAGTTCAAGAGCAGCCCAGGCAATATGGCAAAACCCTGTCTCTACAAAAAAAAAAATACAAAAATCAGCTGGGCATGGTGGCATGTGCCTGTAGTCCCAGCTATTCGGAAAGCTGAGGCAGGAGGATGGTTTGAGCCCGAGAAGTCGAGGCTGAAGTGAGCCATGATTGCGCTACTGAACTCTAGCCTGAGTGACAGAATGAGACCCTGTCTCAAAAAAAAAAAAATCTATCTATATAATATTTTTAAAATTATATATTAAAAAGTTATATATAAATTATATATGTTAAAAATTATATATACACACACACACTTTGGAAGTAGTATCAAGAGAATTTGATGATGGATTGGAAAAGAAAGTAATATGTCAAGCAAGACCCACTTTTTCTGGTCTGAGTAACCTCCCTGAGCTAAGGGGGAGGTGAGGAAACTTTTTTTTTGAGGCAGAGTGTTTTCCTGTCACTTAAGTTAGAAAGCAGTGTCTCAATCTCGGCTCACTGCAACCTCTGCCTCCCAGGTTCAAGCGATTCCCCTGCTTCAGTCTCCCAGGTAGCTGGGATTGCAGGCGCCCACCACCACACCCAGCTAATTTTTGTACTTTTAGTAGAGACGGGGTTTTACAGTGTTGGCTAGGCTGGTCTCGAACTCCTGGCCTCAGGTGATCCACCCACCCCGACCTCCCAAAGTGCTGGGATTACAGTCATGAGCCACCAGGCCCAGCCGGAAACTTTAAACCAGAGGTTTAAAAGCCTTGTTTTGGCCATAGTACATTTGAGAAACCAGATAGACTATTTTTATATTATTTGAGTGAATATTTAGTAAATTGTCCACTAGAAGAGACCAGAATTGCTTTGTGTTCTGTAGAAGAGCAGATCCACAGCCACAAATGTCAAGTTTACACAGAGGTGCACTTCAACCCAGTCCACGAAAGAACTGTTTTTAAAAAACTAGACTGTCCAGAAACCTGCCTTAGAAGAGGGTAAGTTTCCCCTCACAGTACCTCTTCTGGCAGAGTCAGAAGTCTACCCGACCTGTATTTAAAAGATGTCTGCACTGTGTGTAACACTGAACTGGAGTCTTTTTCAACACTATTGTGTTGAATTTCAGCTATAAAGTTTTAAGACATTGAGAAAACAAAGAAGATTCTCTCGTAGGTCACTGCAGGTGTTTGGTAAGTCATTTAATTGTTGATTGCTACTGGGCAAGTCCCTCACACCTTTCTACCAGAAGGGCAATTGATTGCATCAAGCAGCTATTGGCTATTTACCAAAACATGCACACTTTCTCTCCCAGGTAAATGAAGGTCAGCCAGCCCCACACCCAAATGAGTCACAGAGGTTAGAAGCCAAGAATTCTCTTCCAATATAACTCTAAACTTGCCTCATGCAAACGTCTTTAATTTGTAATGGTTTGCTTTCATGTTGTGCTTAAACTTAGCTTCAAGCATCCCTCTCAACCCAGCACTCCCAGACAATCAATACCCACAGACGTATAGTCATTTGAGATGATATTCAACTCAGTTGTCATCCCTGCTCAACCCCAAGGCTCACAGTACTGAAGGGCTCTACCCCCAATAACTCCATGGAGGATGAGAAATGGTGATGATTTATTCTAGGCCCAGAGACCCAGAGGATCTCACTAAGCATTCATACCACTTGCCAGCCAGAGCAATGATTATTTTTTTCCCATTGGTAGTGCTTCAATTTTTCCAAAAAAACAATTCTTTAGAAATTTAGGAAGATTCTTTAGTGTGGACTATATAAATATATACAGGTGGAAAGTTTAAGTTTGTCATATCTTGATGTGTGATTACATATGGAGAGTGGGAGAAAGAATCAGCCACACAACTAAGCATCCCATGATAGATACTGTGCTTAATCTGAGCCAGAGATTTGAGGCAAAGCTTCTCAGTCCTCTGGAAATAAAGAAAGCTTTTATTTTCTTTTCCATAGACTTTAGTCTTCAGTAATAATTGTGTGCTTTGTGATTGTAGCTCAGGAATAGTACCTATCACATTAGAGTTCAATTTTAATATATCTAGAGCTCTTTAATAAGACCGTCTGTTAAGACTAGGGCAGTGACTGATTAATAAGTTGGTTCAAGTAGACTTTCATTCAGGTCTCAGTAATAAGTGCTCTGTCTAGTTGATAAATTTCCACACTAAACACAAACGTTGTTATTTGTCATATACTAACTGTTTTAATGGACCATTCTTCATGATCTTTAACAACCATCAATTGATCTCTAGGACTCCAGTGTCACACGGCAATCCAGCTATGTTCAAAGAATCTAAGTTTAAGTGAACTACATACAAAAGAAGAAAAAAACACATTAATTTGCTCTAGGGACAGAAATATATAAAGCACATTAATGAAGATGTGAACAACAAGAAGTGACTCAGGGCTGTTATTTTTCTCCACAGCAGAAATACTGTAATCAATCCAGACAGTTATATCTTCAGTTCCTCAGGTTTTAATAAAGGTAAGTCTAAGAATTCTATTTAGACTTTCAGACCATTACATCCTGAACCGTCAGAAATAATCAGATATGTTTTAAATCAGCTAGGAGATAAACTGATCGATTTCATCCTTGTAAAACATAAACTCTAGAGGTAGCTTAATTTTCACATTCATCATTTGTGATTATTTTTCCAGTTCCTCTTTGCTTTAAAAACTACATCAAACTCGGATTTCCCTGCAGCGGACTGGCAGGCCTAAGCCACTTAATACAAATAAAGCCCAAAATGCTTAGAAATGAAATGAGTTGTTTTTTAAAGAGGTTCAGGACATACACTTATGTCCTAAGAGTACAAAAGGATATGCCTCCTTCTTTATCTGAGAGTCTCCGGTGGCAACATTAGCACATCGATGTTTTATGCATTTCATACATAATGCTCCATGTGATTATCAAATCCAGACTGCAGAGCGGAATTAAGTTTGCTGAGAATGGAATGGGACGGGAGGAAGGACATGTGCTATTGAGAGAAATCATCCCATTCCTTTATCTTCTAGGAGATCTGCGGAAGCCTTTCCTTTGGAAAGTGCTCAAAGACAGATCAAATGTGATAATAAAGGTTCACTATCTGAACAGGTCTGCCCTAGAAATAGTGCTTTGGAAATTCGAGGTGGAAAGAAAGGCAGTCTGTGCCAGAAACTGATTAAATTTCAGTCATCTATCCAAAGCAGTCCCTGGTTGCTTGTAAAATGCTCCATATAATTACAGTAACTATGGGTTTTAAAGGAATTTACACATTAGCCTTTATCATGGGACTTTCTTTGTGGGTGCATTTCTACTTTAAAATCAATATCCCTAAAATAAACTTTAATAAGGTTTATTAATTTTATCTATGTGGACCTTTAAAAAGTCAATATCAAATATCTTTCTTCAGATTCTTCTTGGCATTTGAAGAAGCTTAGATATAATCAAATGTCATGCCCTCTGTATGTTAAATGATCATTGTTCTATGACTTTGCTCTTGTATACAACTTAGCCCTCTTTTAAACTTTGGAAGAGTTGTGAATCAATACTAAATACCGTTTAAAACGTATAGGTCATCCTGATACATGATCTCAGTACCGTGGACAAGGCCCATTAGTTGCTTCTTGAGCTATTATCTTGCTCTGCGTTAGATTTGAATAACCCACAGAAGTCATTTGACAGCCCCCAGCTGACCCTGCACCATGGTGGCTAAAATCACTTCTTTGAAACAACCTGCAGGCCTTTGAAACAACCTCAGGGAACAAAAAACAAAAAGGCTTTTAGAAAGTAGTGTCCCAGAGAAGAACACGACTACACTGCCTTTCATTCAAAGTGCCATAAGGAGCATTGACAGGATACCACAAATTTCAAACCTTTTTCCTTTCAGAAGAGACTGAGTGCCAACATTTCTTTACAGTAAGCTTCAAAAGGGAAGAATTTCTACCAACTACATACTCAGTGGTTTGTTGGTATGTGGCTATAATCTTAATCCAGAGAACAGTAAATTTATAATTTTCATTGGAGGGAAGAATTTTGAGGAAACCATAGTTTAAGATCTTCCTTGACACCAGAAGAGTTCCATCAGTAAATCATACAGGAAACATCGAATTGTGCTACCCACTAAAAATAAAACCTGTTTTAATGTCAGACATTTGTAAAAGTAAAGGTCAAGCCAACCCCCATCCCTAAAATATAAGCCTCAGTACTAGGTTAGAAGCTTATTGATTAGGTCTCTTTTTTCTGTCTCTACCCTACCCCAGTAATAGTATCTTGGAAAACTTATTATAAAGTGAATTCATAATATTGAAACAGAACTTTACTGGGAGTCATACCTTAAAAAGATAATTTTATTAGCTGAGATAAACAGTGCATCTTTCCACTCAGATAAAGAAGACTGTAGAGAACGTTCAGATACTTTAACATAGTTAGCTATGTTAAAGTACCCTGTGGTAAGGATCACCTCAATTCCAGTATCTTTATCCACCTAGTGCAACAAATAAGCTAGCTCTAGCCACCCCACTCTTCCTCCTACACACAGAAAAATGCTATTTGACACACAATTGAATCAAAACATCAAAGGGCACAGAAGCGCTTAATTATCATTTTATAGTCTGCCCTTTAACTGGACTGTTTAAGAGAGATTTTCATTTCCTTTGTTATTAGCCAGTAAAGGATATTTTACATGATCTACAAAAAAAAAAAAATCTATCAACTTATTTAGGATAGAGTTTAGCTGCTTTTAGTGCAAAACCCAATTAACAGTAGTAACTTAATTCAATTAGTGGATTCTTCCCTGATGCAGAAGAAGTCGAGTTTTCACGATTATAAGCCATCCATGTTCCCACTGTCTAACTGCTCTGCCACTCTGCATGCATAGCCTCTATTTTTTGTGAGTGCTTGCAAGATAGCACTAAAGCTCCAGTCATTATGTTCACTTTTCCAAACAATAGGAAGGGCAAGGGAGTAAGGGCCTGTGGAGTCATCATACTGCATTCTTCTCAGAACACCCCACCCCCAACCCCACCAACCAATCCAAAGGCTCATCTTTATGTCTCATTATCCACCCCTATTTTGAAAGGAGGCTGAGAGACAGTTTTGTAGACAGACATATTGCTGTTTCTGACAATATAGGAAAGCTGCTACACAGGAAGAGGAGAAGAATAAATATTAGGTGAACAATTAATAGTCTCTGCTCCACAATCTAAACTTACTCCTTAATATGCTTCTGAGGTGTCTCATTTTGCAGACCTGTGACCTAAAATCTAATGAAAATATTTCTCTAAAAGCTAAACGGGTATTCTGTTAGCTAAGATCTTTTAGCTTCATATGTCTGCCTGAGCAGCATCATACTTTAGAAAAGAAAGCTCTAAATATAAAGTACAATTTTAAAATAATTTGATTATATCAAAACTGCCCAAACCACCAACTGTTTTTTAGATGCCAATTTATTTTTCACTTGTGAAACTTTGAGATGATAGGCATCTAAGGTTTCAGCAACTGTTATTTCCAAAGCTTAAAAGAATCAGAGAGGAAAATTGCTGGTTTCACACTATAAAATGTCCCTATTCTGCCTCAACTGAAACATTATCGTTACCAGTACATTAATATATTGCTCTAGAAATTGCAATCTTTATAGATTAATTTTCTGACAGCTCTGCTGGTATAGATTTACTTCTTTTGCTTTGCACATTTCTGATGATCAGATTTTAATTTGAGTAAAGGTGAAATAGAAAGAAAACTGTTATTTTGATTAAATTGCATTTAAGTAAATGGCAGTATTTTCGGTCATCCAAGAGGCTTTTTCATTTCTAGCTGGTATTTGCCATATGCTAATAAACTAGAACATCACAAGATTAATGTCTATTAAAATATGAGTTTTCCTCACCATGGTTAGCATCTCATCATCATGATGAGGATGACCAAAAGTACCTGAAATATGTTGATGTTTTATAGAAAAATGGGGTCAGAAGATAATCTCAAATACTGACCCAATGAGGATTAATTCAAACAGATTTCTAAAACTGTCACATGTCACTGAATGAAACACATGTGATACACTGCCTGGCCCATGACATCTGCAGGTCATATCTGATTAAAGAAAAGCAAGGTCACACATTTCTATATCAACATGTATGCACACTTCCTTGGGGAATGTTCTACTGCTGGGGAACATACAGAGAACAAAACTTTAATTTCTCTAACTACAATCCAAAAATATCTAATGTATCTTACTTGATCAGAGTCAAAGTATGCTTCAGGGGCTACTTATCTGGAGAATTTGTATGTCCTTGGGTCAGGAATTATTCTTTTAAACTGGAATATCTTTATAATTCAGCCAAACTAATGGATCTTTCCTATTATACCATGGCATTATCATCTAGGTACACAAAAGCTGTTAACACATGGCATACTTAATCACCATTACTACAAGCTGCCAACAGATGCATCAGTCAACAAATCTATTCTAATTGTGTCCTGGAAAGAAGTGTTTCACACCTTTGGAGGTTGACATCTGCACCAGGCAGAAGTGCAAAAAAGTGTTTAAGGTCCACATTTATGGATACCTGATAGGTGCATTTGAGAAAATATGAACGTTGCTCAACGGATGTTTTAAAGAACACAGAACACATGTTAATAACTATGACTGTTAACATTTTAAAGTTTAACAACAGATTAATTTGGCTGATAAGTACATATGTGACTGAATCATAAATTTCACAAGTGCTGGAACCATGTCTTAAACATATTTGCATGCCCCATAGTGCCTGGCACAGTGCCTGGTAAATTGAATGCTCTCAATAAATATTTGATGATAATGAGTATTTTATTTTACATCTACATCAAACCAAAACATCAAGCTGATGGAAAGGGAATTTTTCACTTCTAGATTCCTTTACTCCCTTATACTCATACCGTGTGTAATTGCTTTTTAAACATCAGACAGTATGAAATTTTCTAACTAAAAAGAAATATGCAAGAATGCAAAAGATGATAGAGAGAGAGGTTTCACATTTGCAAGTAAAGAGGATCGTTTTGGAAATACTTCATGTTATTACTTAGGATCTGAAATAATGATTAGATAAGTTTTGACCCTTTGGGGGTATGTTACGTTTACTTTGTATTTTGGGACCATGGCATCCAGGCAGTAGAAATATAGACAATGATATATCAAGTCACAGGCATGATACAGCAATAAATAAGTGCTCATCTTTTGCATGATTACTGTCGTACTGCTTTGGTATTATATTTGTTTTCCTCAAATAATTATTAGCTATATATAAATAATAAACTTTACTCCCTCGCTACTGGAAAATGATGTTTGACATTAAGGAAAGGTCAGGTATTGTGAGTGGGAAACCACAATGTGCATTGCCTTTAAGGATTATTGAATTAAGAGGTACATATATTTGACAAAGTATAGAAATCAAATAGCTACCATGTTAGCAGTGCCATTTTACATGCCATAGATTTATTGATCATTTAATAATATTTTTAACAGTTAAAACTGTGAGTACTTAGTATGCATTATGATGTAAAATGTAATATCACACCCTTGAAGATTATATGAGAGCATTTTAACTAGGGTAAATTAACCAATTATTTGGACATCAGATTGGAATATAACTTAAACAAAGGTGTTTAATTTTAGAAAGCACAAAAAAATTAAGTCACTTATGTCAGTTAAGTTGTATCTGTTGACCTAGGGGACAAGTTAAATCAATATTACAGCTACTTACACACAACAACACAAACTCTTTCCATGGGCCCAAGTTGTATTTTGACGTTTGTATGTGACAAATGGATTCTGCAACTCACAAGGATGCTTATGCTATAGATGTCATGATAGAAGGTTTCCAGATGAAACGAGAAGAAAAAAAACATTTTTTGTCCAACTCTGTGCCTTTCACTGAAGCGTAAATCACAGCATAAGTTTTATATTCAGAAATATCACAGGAGTAATCAAAATAAATATATGTACTCAAGGTTCTAGAATATATACTCACAACTTCATTTTTTTTCTGATAGACAACACAATTTCTGCCCTTAATTCTGGAGTCTCCTATTTTATTATTAGTATATTTGATCAGTAAAAGAAATATTTTAGCAGAGCTTGGTAATCAAAAAACATAAGAACTTTTATAGAATTTTCATAAAATATTTAATATGCCAATCAAGTTGTGTAAGTACCTCATGGGGGCAAATTGATTTATATTAATCAAATTTAGCAGTATCTATGTTCCAAGAGCTTTGGAAACATTAAATTCAAACCTCCTCATGGAAATACAATTTAATCCCAGGTAGATGTTCTTGTTTGCCATTACCTGAATGATTACATGGCCTTTGAAAGTTACACAAGGTTGAAATGTACCCAAAATATTGGACTCCTCTGAGGAAACATGTATAGAAATGTACAACGATAATACTTTTATTCGAAATTGAACCAAATACCCCTAACATATGTGCCTTTCACCTTATTTTCTCCAGTAATACATCAAAGCAAGAAAGTTTTAAAAAGAGAGAGGGATGTAGAACTTCATATGAAATTTGAAAGCATGAGTTCAGTTTTTGTGTTATTGTTTTGTGTTTTAAAAGTATATGTTTTTCTTTACCTTTGTTTTATTTTTTCCCCTTGGACAAAAATGTATCATAATAAGACTGTGATATTTTACACTGAGATGAGTTTAAAGTTTATACACTAGGAAGTTCAGCGACCTGGGAATTAGGAAACTCGTTTCTGAAATAAGCTGTACCACCATCTGGTCGTATAACTTTGGGCAAATCATGAAACCTCTCTAGACCTTGTAGATGTGGTTCACCATGTTGTAAAGTGAGGCTATTGGAATAAATCATTTAAAAGGTGTTTATGTTAAGGCTTTCCTTAGCATCTACCAGAGTGTAACCACTACACAGAGGGACCCAAAGAGAAATACCCGGATCTGGACTTTTTATTGCCGACCTGGGCTTCTATCCTAAATCTGCTCTCCTACTTAGAGAAAGTGGACTGAAAAAAATGTAGAATTACCGGAGACACCTTTTATGGTACCTTATTAGAGTCAAAGCATCCAACCAGAGGACATAGCCCTTTAGCTGCATTTATGCTGGGCACCTCCTTGACTTTTTAATTAATTAATTAATTAATTTATTTATTTATTTATTTTTTGAGACGGAGTCTCACTCTATCGCCCAGGCTGGAGTGCAGTGGCACCATCTTGGCTCACAGCAACCTCTGCCCTCCAAGTTCAAGTGATTCTCCTACCTCAGCCTCCTGAATAGCTGGGATTACAGGCACCTGCCACTGCGCCTGGATAATTTTTTGTATTTTTAGTAGAGACAGGTGTTTCACCATCTTGGCCAGGCTGGTCTTGAACTCTTGACCTTGTGATCCACCCACCTTGGCCTCCCAAAGTGCTGGGATTACAGGCATGAGCCACAGAACCTGGCCTCCTTGACTTTCTTTTTAGCCTTTCAGAGCTGGGGGGTTCCCTAAGCAAAAAAAAAAAAAAAAAATTCCTTACTTCCAAATGTAATGGAAAGTTATAGTGTTCTGTGGGAGTCCACAATTATTACTGTAATGAGATTGCTATGATGCAGTGGTGGTGGCATGGTTGTAGTGGTGATGATATTGACAAGAGTATGGTCCCTAGAAGAATATAAAATGCATTATTGGTAACTTCATTCAATTTACTTTGATAAGAGTTTGCTCTCAATCTCAGCCTGGTACCTTTCAAATCTGCTGGAAACTTGATCTTAGACTTCCTAACCTCCATAACTTTAAGAAATAAAACAAATAATCCAGTTTATGGCATTTTGTTACAGCAGTTCAAATAGACCAACACAGGACTTTTCCTGATAGTTTTAGAATAGCATAATGGTTAATAGCACAAGCTCTGAAACCAGCTAGACTGTGTTTCATCTGGTTCTACCACTTGCCAGCTGTGAGCCTACATAGGTTGCTCATCTTCCCCATATCTTGGTTCCTCTTCTATAAAAACGATACTTACATCTTGGCCATCATGTGAACATAAATTCAATAATGTGTATATTACATTTTTTCAGATAAACAAACTCTCAAAAGGGTTAGATATTATTAACTACCATTATAACCTATGATCCAGTCTTCCTGTCATATTAGTTTCATTTCTTTTAAACATTTTTCCAATTTCAAGATGAAAGGTTAGAAAATGATTTCTGTGTTGCAACTTTCCCAAATATATCAGGATATTACCATTTTAGTGGCTTTAAAAATGCCAATTTTACAGTTATGATTTTCTAGGCATTAAAATTGACGTTACATAAATACATATTTCTTCAAAGGCCTTAATAAAACAGAAAACAAAAAGCAATGAAAATGGTTTGTTAACATTTACACAGGGCTGCCTATGAGTAGTGAGATTTCTGGTAACTTTTACTATATTCTTTCCTTGTGTATGACCTATTAACACTTTTATTTTCTCAGAATTGGCACTTGTAAAAAGTAGTTGCTCACCTCTGCCTGAAGTCATTATCACACATTGATTATCAGTCAGTACCTTAGAGGAATTAGTTGCCAGTCAGGGACACTAAGAATCCTCACAGGATAGATATTTGAAGGACAGCAGAAGCTGAAGAGCAGGGAAAAGTGTTTTCAGGAAAAAAGAAATAAAGGTGTAAAGGTGTCTTTGGTGTTGATTAAATACAGTGGGCTATGTCAAGGGCTTCACATGTTCCTTTGTTGCAGTATATTTTCTATTACCAAAAATGAGCCTTCCTTACCTGAAACTAACCATCACAAATTCCTCCTTTTAATAATGAAGTTAGGTAACTTGCCCAAGGTTGTATCTATGAAAAAGCCAAAATATAAAACCAAATGTGTTTGAATCTTATAATTCTTCCAAGGCCTTATGAATCATCTTATAATAACAAGATAAATATGTGTTTTTTAATATTTGCATATGCTTCTGCAGTTAAAAATACTTTTTGTGAAGTATTTCACCTAATCCCCACACATACACACAAAAATATCCTGTTGAATATCATTACACCATTTTACAGATGAAATTGGAAAGCTCAGAATGTGCAATTAATTTAAAATCATATTGCCAGAGCTGTATCTTAAATCAATAATTTCTGACTCGGTCCAGTGTCTTTCCAATGTACTACACTATTTTCATTCATTAGTTATTTACACATACAAAATATTGAAATGAAGTCTACACAAGCCAAACCCTCACCCCCAAACCAAAACTGTGATTCTTGTTCACAAAAACACATAATTTAGTGTGAGAAATAAAATATGCATTCACAAAAGAACTAACCCTTTTCAGAGTACAGATGAACAAATACAGGATTAAACATAATTTCCATGTATGATTCCAACTGCCCCTCAAACATTCCCCACAACTCCATTTTCCCTAATATCTAAATCAGTCTTGGAAGGAGGAACATAATGTATGCATTTCTTTCACCATCTGTCAGTTTTCACTGATTTGGAGATTCATCCCTTCCTTTAGTTATTCTACACGTATTAAATCCTACTGATAGCCAGACTCCTGTGTACCACGCAGTAGGGCTATATAGTGTTTAAAAAAAAAAAAAACAAAAAACAAAAAACAAACAAAAAAGCACTATCTTTCCTTCATGGAGTTTACCAACCCTTGCAGTGCTTAGTGGAAAATTTCTACTTCAATCAATAGCACCATTAGCTGGAATCTAGATTCCAAAAATTTCCTAACACTTCCTTCTCTTCAGCAATTCCCTGTTTTAAGTGCAAGGCTGCTTTAAGTGTAGCTGTTTGTAAGACAAGGGAGATTATTATCAGACACCCATTGTGATGGCCTTCACTTACCATTCTTCTCATTCCTGATTAACGTTCAGTGGCCTTGTCGGAGATTCTCCTCTACTATGCCAGCCTGCCACTTCCAGATATGTTTCACCTCCCTTCTTTGCCTGCACCACTCTGAACAGGATTTCTGGAAACCTTTTGTGCAAGCTATAATAATGCTTCTTTTTCTAAATATACTGATAAAAGTATGAATGCGACTGATTGTGATACTAATCAAGGATTAGAAAAGGGAATGCTTCCACAGTAGCCCATTTTAACCCTCTATTTCACTCATGTTGATGAGGAATAGTTTTCTAGTTTCAAATATTAGCCAGGTACAGAACCAAGTGAGACTGTAAGTCTTGGTGGAGCCAGTTAACTGTGTCCATTTCCTTGATCTTCCATCTGAGTTAGGACTGTTTCTTAATTGCACTTGTAATATTCTTGTGCTGATTGCCCAGGTCCCTGAGGATCGCCAATGTGAAGTGCACTAGACCTATATATGTATGGCTGTCAGTGCACAAAGTTTCTAGTTGATACCATAATCCAAAGGAGCAGGGAGAGCACTCTGACTCAGCTGGGGTGTCTGGATGGCCTAATCCTCCTCTGGAAAGAGTTCATAAACTTTTTCATGTGTAATTCTGATATGGACAGGAGGCAGGGAAATACTGGGTAGAAGAGGGCAGTCCCCGGTGAGGGCCCCACCCTCGAGCCTGGACAAGTGGCCCAAAGTGAGAACTTTACCTCCCCGTTTTCCCACTCGAATGTTACCTTTTCAAAAACCACCCTGGCCTGCCCTGTCTCCCATCTTGTACCCATGAAAACCCCAGGCTCCACTGGCAGAGGAGCAGCAGAGAAGGAAAGAAGAGAAGAAGGAGCTTGACATCAGCGAGGAGCAGCAGAGAAGGAAAGAAGAGAAGAAGGAGCTTGACATCAGCGAGAAGCAGCCTTGACTTCACAGGGACAGCTTGACAGTGGGACCTCAAAGAAGAGTTCAGCTGGGGATAGTCGATTTCCAGGGGAAGACTAGCTTCCCACTCCATCCCCTTTCCAGCTCTCCATCCCTTCCCACCTTCCAACAGCACTAAAATTCCTGGCATTTATCATCTTCAATTTGCTTGTGCAACCTGATTCTTCCTAGATGCCGAACAAGAGCTTGGGATACAGGGGGCTGTCACACTGAGCTGTTAAACGCGTAAGACATTCACGGATGACAAAGCTAAAAGAGCGCACTGGAACACACACCCTCTGGGGCTCCAGGGGTTGTGGGTATCCCCCTAGATGCTGCTGTGGTGCGGCACAGAGTCCTGCTCCTGCTGGTGCCCCGAAGCGCTCATCCCAGACCCTGCACTCGCTCACCTTCGTGCTCCCTGTCCCATGAAGGATTGAGAGCTGTGGGCTGAGTAAACAAGCCATCCCCTTCATGAAGACCGTGAAAGCATCAGACAAAAATTTCCTGTTTCAATTCTAGCATTATGAGAGCTCTCAGAGAAATCATCATTTGCTTTATGTTAAAGAAGACCAAGTCTTCCCTGTGTTTTCATGGTTGCTAATATATGGTCTTCTTTCAAGTTCATCACCAAGTTAATCTCACTGTCCAGATCTACATTTTTTGAAGACCTCCATTGGTCTACAGGATTTGTAGACAACCAAAAAATTGCTAAAGAGAGTTGCCATTTATCTTACACCCTGGCAGACTCTTTTTTTCAGTAATTCTTAAGCATTGGATTGTATCAACTAACCAGTTCCAGCCCTTTGAGGTTCTGTTAAGTGCACTTTGAATTCTGTGAATTTGCTGAAGCCTTCAGTCAAATAATTTGAAAATAGGGGTACAAATAGGGTCAGAGTCTTTAGGTCAGAAAAATATTACACTCAAATTTCAATTCCCATTTTTTCCAATAACCTTCTCTAAGTAGAACAGTAATATATATATTTGTTTTATACAATTATTTTAGAAATTGTCTAAGCTAAAAGTGGTATTGACTTACTACAATTCAGACTACTCTTGGCCCAACGCAGTGGCTCACACCTGTAATCCCAGCACGTTGGGAGGCCTAGGGTGGCAGATCACCTGAGGTCAGAAGTTCGCGACCAGCCTGGACAACATGGCAAAATCCTGTCTTTACTAAAAATACAAAAATTAGCTGGACTCTGTGGTGCCAGCTTGTAATTCCAGCTACCGGGGAGGCTAAGGCCCAAGAATCTCTTAAACCCGGGAGGCAGAAGTTGCAGTGAGCCAAGATGGCGCCACTGCACTCCAGCCTGGGCGACAGAGCAAGACTGTGACTCAAAAAACAAAACAAAACAAAACACAAAACAAAACAAAAAACTACTCTTAATATACAGGCAGTTAACATTTTCTTGGTATCTAGTCTGGCTCAGGCACTAGGATATTAACTGATACCACAAGGATCAATGATTACATGGTGTCTAACTTTGAGATCACAGTAATAGAAATTAAGTGAGTTAACTAAAAAAGAACAAAGAAAATACGGATCCAAGAAGGTCTTTTACAATGGCAGAAGTTACTTTGTGCTAACTTTATCATAAACTTGGAAATTTAATAACAATTGTTAATAATTGCATAGTATTCACCATGTACCAGATATGTTCTAAGTGATTCTTTATCCCTGGAAAACATTGCTATTCCTCTTCTGCAAATGAGGAAATTGAGACACAGAGAGGTAATGCCACTGGAGTAATTCCAGACAACCCAGAAACTGAACCCGGGCAGCTTGGCTTCAATGTCCAACCTCCTAACAAGTTTATGGTACAGCCTCTCACTAAACTCTGCTCTTGACCACTGGGTCTTCAACTGCCCTCTTCTTTCTCGTGTTTTGAAAGTTTTACACTTTTCTTATTCTCTTATCTCATTACACTATTATTATTGCCTGGAATGCTCTTCTTTCATCTGCCTTGTGGCACTAACTTTTACTCAGCATACAAAACTCAGTTCATGGTTTACTCTCTCTCTTGAATGTTTAGTCTAATTTAGAGGTACCACCTCTAGATTCCCATAGTGTCTTGTGAATATGTATCTGTATAACTAATATTTGTTGAGCATTGATATGTATTAAGAGATAAGGCCTTCCCATGGATTATTTTGTTCCATCTTTGCAACAGGCCTATAGGGAAGGCGCTCCATTTCACTGAAAGAATATTAGGACATCGTCATAATTAAGGAAACAGCTTAAGGTTAGAATTAATTAATTAATAGTAACTGACAATGTCAAGATTCCAACTCAGACAATCTGATTCCCAATGCCTTGCTCTTAAGCATCATACCCATATGTGTGTTGCATACATGTGCACACACACACAAAATTACAATCACAGTACTTGCTTCATTTGCATCTCACCTTTACTGAAAGCACCTTGAGAGTCAGCCATGTCTTATTTTATTTTGTATTCCCAGTTCCTACCACAGTGCCTAGCAAATAAATACAGCATAAAATCTTAACTTCTGTTAATCTTTCTTATTGTACCTTATTGGTCCCTTGGGGTTGTTTTGTTTGTTTGTTTGTTTGTTTTTCCTTTAGTCCTTCACCTGATACTTATTTTATGTTGTTTCCCAGGACTTGAAACCTTAGCCTTTTCAGTCTCTCAAGATTGACTACTATGGCATTAGCTCCCACCTGTTATACACATGATTTCCAAATTCAAAGGACCTGTACTCTCTTGGAATTTATCCTTCTCCATACCTTTGTACATTCTGAACCTTCTACCTGGAATGTCTTTCTTTCCTTTCTCTGACCTAAAAATTCCAAACTTTTCTTCTGGTTTCAGCTCAGCCATGAGTTCTCTTAAGTTCATATGTTCCTTCCTCTGTAGTTCTTACCTACGTTTCTTTGGTAGCATATCTTGTGAATTGCATCATATTACAATTATGTTTACCTGTATCTCTTGACCTTAAGAGATTCTCAAAAAGAGCTGTGCTATATTCATTTTGGTATCCTAGTTTCTGGAAGAGTATATCACAGGAAGTGTGCTCAGAAAATTCTTTAATAAATGAATGAATGAGAAATCTGAAGAATATGTTTTTAATCATACTATATTTGCAAGAGGGTGCTTTTTATTGGGAAGCTATGTGTTAACATTCTGTCATTTTATAATGAAAGTAATTTAAAGATAGCATAAACAAACAGTATGTTATCTCTACTTCAAATATAGATTTAATGTAAGGAGATTAATATTTTATTCTGTCTTTGTATGCCTTTTCAATGTGTAATTAACAATAGCAGGACACATTTAACCTTATCACTAATATCCAAGCTTCTGCTTTTTGAAGAGTCAAAATCCTTTGCCCAACTTGTGCTTGCCCCAGGTCACGAGTCCACATCAGTGCTTCCGGTACAGAAGCAATTTTTTCTCTTTACTAGGGTAGCAGGGTCATCTGATTGGACTTTCCATGGTCCTGGCTGAATAGGAAGGGAATTAAATTGCAGTGTCAAAGGAAATTACTCATTCTAAGAAGCATTCACACATTATCTATGGCCAAAACCATCTCTGACACTCATTTATGATTAAAATTAAAAGTAAGAAAGAAGAGGCAGTTTGGCAGCACTTCTATGAAAATAAAAATGTGAGGACCAAATTAAATCGATGGTGCTGATCTGTGGCACACCAGATAAGAAAGTGGTTTTCTCAGTGGTGTTTTAGAATTTAGAGACATACCCAGTGAGACAGGAGAGGAAATGTATGCTCCAGTGTGAGTTAGTCTATACAGAACTTCCTTCTAGAACAAACCTTATTTAGGTTGATGCCCAATAAATTCAAGTCACTCAGACATTCTCTCATGGAAAGTTGTGAGGGAGCAAAGGTTTTTTTTTTTTTTAAATGGAACCTTAAAGATCTTAAAGGAGAAACTTTCTCTAAAACAAGCCCATTTTCCACATCGTCAATGGGCATGCACTGCTCTTATTTTATTTTTGCCATAGTCCCAATCATATGTTTGAAACCTATCACATGTCTAAGGTAATCGACGGTTACAAAGAATGGTGGAAAACATAATTTCTTGATAACATATCCCTGAAATAACATGGAGTTGAGGTCAAAATGTATCCTTTAAGACATTTCAAAATTATACAGCCTGGCTTTAAAACTGGGCTGAATCCTTTGCCTATAGAGGAAATAAAATTAAAATGTTAGATTTAAAAGGAAACTCAATATTGATTATTAGAAGTAAAAATATATTTTTTTGAAAGGCCATGGAACTATTTTAGTTCCTGGAATAAATATAGCAGCAAAGATAGTTTAAAAGAGAAAGGCCTCTAGATTTATTTAAAGACATGTCATCTCTGTGGCCTCTTCAAAAAGGGCAGACAAAACAAAAATGATTCATCAGTAGGGCTATTTACCTTTCAGAAAACTGTGATTTTTTTTTTTGTTTTTTTATGTAGGCCTATTTTTATACTTTTATTTTATTGCCTGGTACTTAAGCACTTAAGAATGTTTTTCTTCAAACATCAGATTTCTCAACCTAGTAAGCATGTATATTAGCCTTATAAAAGCAAGCTCTTTTCAAATTTGAAGTAACAGTTTACTATTTATTTCATTCTGATTTTTAAGCATTTTAATGGAAGTGATACTTAACGTTACTCTCATGTGACCATACAACCAGATGGTTCTACCTTTCTATAAAAACATGTTTGTAGAGCTCATTGGGAGTTACATATATTTGTGTATCTATGATGTACCTGCCTGCTAAAGCTCATCAACACTAATGAAGAATTAGTACCAATTACTCTAGTAAATGCTAGTAACTGCATTTATTTTAGATCAAAATTTGAACTAAACAAATACAAATTCAAATTCTAGGTTTTTATATTTCCTTTAGGAAGTGTGAATTCCAATGAAAACTATTTATTTCCTGAGAAATAAATAGAAGATGGGTAGTGGTTACTATTTTTCAGACAAATGTATTCAATGCAGACTGTGAAACTGACTGTGTCTGTGAGTGGAACTAGACTTAGTTAGTGACAGTCAGATTTCCAGAACACTGAACCTGTGAAACAAAGATTTTTTTGGATCCTGCTATAGGGCTAGAATTATAATACAACAAGCATAGGTATTTAACAGCAGATAACCATTTTAAGAACAACCAAAATTTCCCACCTGAATATTTCCCCTTGGTAAGATTATTGTCATAAATGCCCAAATGAATCTACTAAAAATATTATTTAAATGTCCATATGTTTTAGATCCTATATTGAGTCCATAGAAATTACAACAAATACTGAGGAATTAGAGTTACAGTGGAATTAATCAAATCAAATTAAATCTCCATTCCAATTGTATCATGTACCTTTGACAATTTTCTGTGCATTTTTTATGATCTTGAAAGAAATCAATTGGTCTTGTCTGAATTTGGCTGTGCCACTAAATGATATCAAGCTATGTCATCACTATGATTCTTGGGTCAGTCTACTATTTTATAACAAATGATAGCTGGAAAAAGATTCCATCTGGCAATTTAGTCATAATTTTAACCAAGTACCAGTGGAATTCAAATTTACTTTGGTCAATCACTCTAATAGGTTTTAAAAAATCAAAGTAATCTAATAAATTTCAATTTTCCATTAAGTAACTTATTTTTCTTAATTTAGTTATTAATACACATATTAAGTATCTTATATTTAATATGTTATTTTATCTTTTAACAGCATGATGAGGTCAATATTATTTCCACACCTTATAGGTGAAAAAATCAAGACTCATAAATTTAGCCAACTTTTCCTCTGACACAGAGCTAATAGGTTGGGGAATTTAGATTTGGGCTCAATTCTTTCTCTTTGCAAAGTTCAGCTCTTTATCCCAACACCAGTGTTTTCCAAACTGCACTCTGTGTTTTTCTAGAAATGTCTGTCAATAGATACTCTGAGAAAAAAGTATGCAAGTAACTTTTTTTCCTAAAATAAATCTTTTTAATGTATACGTAAAGAATATAATAAATTCATGCTTACTATTATTATACAACAATCTTTCTCTTTTTTTCTTTTCTTTTTTTCTTTTTTCTTTTCTTTTTTTTTTTTTTGAGACAGAATCTCACTCTGCTGCCCAGGCTGGAGTGCAGTGGTCCAGTCTCGGTTCACTGCAACCCTCCTCCTCCAGGGTCCAAGCAATTGTCACGCCTTAGCCTCCTGAGTAGCTGGGATTACAGGCACGTGCCACCACGCCAAGCTAATTTTCGTATTTTTAGTAGGGACGGGGTTTTACCATGTTGGCAAGACTGGTCTTGAACTCCTGAACTCAAGCAATCCCCCTACCTCAGCCTCCCAAAGTACTGGGATTATAGGCATGAGCCACTGGGCCTGGCCAACAATCTTTCTTTAACAATAAATTGTTATATTTATAATTGTGTGTACAATAAAAACATGTTTTAAGGGCCAATGAAAGATTAGCACAGAATTCAGAACTATCATTTCCTTGTGTCTGAGCTTAGGCTGCTATAACAAAATACCACATGCTAAGTGGCTTAAACAACTAATCCTTATTTCTGATAGTGGGGTAGGCTGGGAATTCCAAGATCAGTGGGCCAGCATACTCAGTTTTTGGTGAGGTTCCCTTCCAAGGCACATGGCTGTCTTTTCACCATATCCTCACAAGACAGAGAGAGAGAGAAAGAGAGTGTGACAGAGAGAGAGAGAGAAAGAGATTGTGACAGAGAGAGAGAGAGAAAGAGAGCATACACTGGTGCTTCCACTTCTTCTAAGGAAACTAAATCCAATTGCTGGGGCTCCACCTTTAGGACCTCGTCTGAACCTAATTACCTCTCAAAGTCCTCACCTCCTAATACCATACCCCTAATACATTTGGGAGTGGGACTTCAACATATAAATTTTGAGGAGACACAAGCATTCAGTCCATAACAGCTAAGGTGGCAAATAATTATGTGGTAGTTTAAGGGAGTAAAACACAATAAACTGTAAGTTATTGTCAATAATCTGGTTTATGGATTTCGTAGTAGATTGACATGTGGTCATTATATTACAAAGAAAAAAAAATTTTTCTTTTTGAGACAGAGTCTCCCTCTGTTTCCCGGCCAGAGTGCAGTGGCGCAATCTCAGCTCACTGCAACCTCCGCCTCCCAGGTTCAAGCAATTCTCATGCCTGAGCCTCCCAAATAGCTTGGATTACAGGCGCAACGTCACCACGCCCTAATTCGATGTTCTATGATAGCACATTTGTAGCCTGAGATTGGCCATGCTGTGAGTATTTATAAACAGAAATGGCAAATGTTACAAATCAGGTTTAATTTATTGTTTTGTTAATTGTCTGGACTTAAGAAAGTGACACAGAAAATGTTAATACAGCAGATTATAGGCCGGGCACAGAGGCTCACACCTGTAATCTCAGCACTTTGGGAGGACGAAGCATGCGGATCACCTGAGGTCGGGAGTTCGAGACCAGCCTGACCAACATGGAGAAACCCCATCTCTACTAAAAATACAAAATTAGCTGGGCATGCCTGTAATCTCAACTACTCAGGAGGCTGAGGCAGGAGAATCACTTGAACCCGGGAGGCAGAGGTTGCAGTGAGCCGAGATCATGCCATTGCACTCCAGCCTGGGTGACAAGAGCGAAACTCTGTCTCAAAAAAAAAAAAAAAAAAAAAAAAGCAGATTATATTTAAAAGTGTGTTTTGTCCAGAACTGTTACATCAGTAACATAAAAAATCAAGGAAATATTTTTCTCATATTTAAAAACTATTAATTTTCCAATTTGGCAAAGAAGCAGCTCATGCTATTGATCAAGTGAAGTTCCAGCATATGTCTTTGTTTTTTCACTTTTGTGTTATTCATTAAGGTAAACAAAAATATTAACCAGCATTTTCATCAGAACTGTATTCATTCATCAATAATAAATTCATTCATTCATCAACTTTACTCAAAATCTGATTTTGTGACACTGTTGAAAAATTATAAAAACTGGTCATGAATTTTTGAAAGAAATAGTTACATTGAAGTATAGGTGTGTAACATTTATAATAAATAATATTATATTTTTCATTATTGATAGAGTTAATGCTACATGGCATCTGGCTTCTAAGTGATCCAAGAGAGGAAGAACCAGTGGAAACTACATGCTTTTTATGACCCAGCCTTAGAACTCACATAGTATCTTTCTTCATGAAACAAACCCAAATATAGGGCAGCTCTCAAAGAATGGTTAGTTATTAATAGATGCAAGTCACTAAGCCTGGGCCACCTCCAAGCCTAGGCTGCATTCTCTCTCTCTCTCTTCCTGGTGCGCTTATCCAAGGTGATACATTGCCATTGCATCTCAAGAACAGCTACCAGTATTCCACTGATACATACGCATTTTAAAGAAACCCTCTGGCCAAATAACTTTTGATAGCCATGCATTCTGCTACATTGTCTCATCTATTCTTATCACCACAAAATCAATCCCTTCCTCAAAGTAACTGGAAGATTAATCATATTTTTGTTAAAATATAATAAAGAGAAGTGATAAATTATCCATTAATATTAAAATAAAAAATACAGATATAGAATAATTTTCACTTTGTAAATATTAATGCAACAGAATCTGTACAGCACCTAGAAAAAACAGGTGAATTGTTTTAGTCAACTAATCATAACTGTCCTAGATTCAGAATTATTTTGTGAAAGAATGAGAGAAAAAGAGAGAAAGAGAAAGGCAAGAAAGAAGTGGAAAGGAAGAAACTATATGTAAAAACGTAAAAATGCTTAGAATATTTTTCATTCATATTTTAAAATTCACTAGTAACAATATAGATATTCAATTGATATTATGAAGTTTGAAATATTCATTATGTATTATATTCACTTAACTAAGTACCATTTCAAAAGGTTTGAGCTTTTGTTGAATCTATTCTGGATTCTGAATTTTATGAAAAAATAATTTTTTAATATTTCTAGCCTCTATTGTCTCACATTTGATTTTCTATGGCAAGATATAGACAGCAATAGCAATACTTTGCCTTTCCATAACAGTATCCACAGTGAGTTTGTAAAAATACTGTTAACCCAAAGCTAAGTTGCACGCTGATAAATATTAGAAATATTGACAGGTATTTGGGGAGTGGAGGATGAGGTAAAAGGGGAAAGAGGTGGAGACACTCACATGAGAATAAAATACTTTCTATAAAGGCTTGCAAAATATTTGCAAAATGAAAATTATCCATTATGCTTATGTAGAAATAAGTCAGAGTCACATTTTTGCAATTGCTATAATCCTTTGGGCTACTGTGAACACCCACTCCACATCTACAGCATTATAATCTCATAATCAGAAGGAATAATTTGGTAAACCATCTTTATCTCAAGAATATGATCTTTCAGCTCAGTATAGTCCACATCCCAAATTTGATCATGTCAGCATCAGAGGCTACTATTAACTTGTGTCTCCTCAAAATTTATATATTGGAAGCCTAACCCTGCATGTGACTGTACCTGGAGATAGAGACTTTAGTGAGTAATTAACATTAATTAAGGTGATAAAAGTGGAGCCCTAATTCAGTAAGACTGTGACTTTATAAGTAGAGAAAGAGATCTCTCACTTTCTCTCCCCACTCCCTACCCCTCCATATGATGGCACAATGAGAAGATAGCCATCTATAAAGACAAGATGAGAGCTTATACTCAGACAAAGATCAGAAACTGAAGCAACTAGCACCTTGATCTTGGACTTCCCAGCCTCTAGAACTATGAGAAATAAATTTCTATTGTTTGAGCAGAGCAGTCTATGGCATTTTGTTATGGCAGTCTTAAGTGACTAAGATTTTGATACCAAGAAGTGGGGTGCTGTTGTAACAAATACCTAAAAATGTGAAAGTGGCTTTGGAACTTGGTGTTGGGTAGAGGCTAAAAGAGTTTTGAGGTGCATGCAAGAAAAAGCCTAGATTTCCCTGAAGCTACATTAGATATACAGACGTTAACACAATTCTATTGAGGGCTCAAAGGAAATAAGGAGAGCTGAAGAGAAAGTGTTCATCTTCTTATTGAAGATATAGTCACAAATAGAATGTTGGTAGAAATGTGAACACTAAAACCCATTCTGGGTTGGGTGCAGTGGCTCATGCCTGTAATCTCAGCACTTTGGGAGGCTGAGGCGGGTAGATCACCTGAGGTCAGGAGTTTGAGACCAGCCTGTCCAACGTGGCAAAACGCTGTCTCTACTAAAAAACACAAAAAAATAGCCAGGTGTGGTGGTGTGTGTCTGTAATCCCAGCTACTCAGGAGGCTGAGGCAGGAGAATCGCTTGAACCCGGGAAGCAGAGGTTGCAGTGAGCCTAGATCATGCCATTGCACTCCAGCCTGGATGACAGAGAGAGACTGTTTCAAAAAAAAAAAATTTCTGGTGAGGTCTTAGATAGAAATGAGGGACAGTTTATTGGAAACCAGAGAAAAGATGATACTTATAAAATACGAAGGAGCTGGACTGAATTGTTTCCTAGTATTTTGTGGTAGAACTTGCAAGCAATGCAATTGGATATTTAGCTGAGGAGATTTCTAAGCAAAGTATGGAGGATGCAGCATGGGTCCTCCTTATGCTTATAATAAAAAGTGAAGAAGGAATTGTTAATCAAAAAGGAATCAGAACTTGGATATTTAGAAAATTCTTCATATTGCAAAAAATGAGAAAACTTGTTTTAAAGAAAATACTAAGGTTGTGGCTGAACGAACAGTTGATAAAAAGATCATGGATGCATTTCACGGACTTAATCAGGCATCTCTGCAAAAGCCAGGAATACAGATGGGATAGACCAGCAGAGACATTGACAGTTTTAACTAAAAAGGGCAGAGAAAGGACAAATGCAAGAAGGCTATTGGGCTTCTTGGATTCTACAGGCCTTAGACCCTAAAGCTATTCAGCTGGGAATGTGCATTTCCCAGAAAAGGGAAGAATGAAACTGAAGATGAATCAAAAAATCATCAGGCATGTCACTCCCACCACAGGCCCAGAGGGCAAGGCTACTTCCTCCTTTGTTTCAGCCAACCAGGTAGCCACCACAGAGGCCAAGTGAGTAGGGCCACCCCACAGAGCTGAAGAAGCAGAGCTGCACTGCAGAGCCATGGGGTGATGTTGACACCCCATAAGCCTGGACAGCAAAGCATCACATCGAAGAGGATTACCCCCAAGCCTTAACATCTAATGGATCTTAGCTTCTCCTGTAGCTAAGAGTCTCTAAAATGCACCTCCCCAACAGACACACACACATACACACACACTTGTGTACAAACACACATCCCTGATTTAATTCAGATGTTCCTGGTGTTTTAAAACAAGGCAACGACAAACTCGTCCTCTGGTAATCAGAATCTACTTTTTGACAGTAGCCTTTCTCCTTCCCGTCTGCTTCACTTCTCTGACCAAAAAAGGTACAATTTGTATTTTGGTTCCAGAAAGGGAGTGGTGATATGGGGAGGGGGTTGTTGAAAACAATTTTATTAAACGCTTCAGAGGATTTCTCTGAACTTGGCTAAAAGTAAACATGAATTGAGATGAAAATGCTTGAGTTTGAGAGCCAGACCTTAGAAATGTTAAAAAAAGAAAGAAAACAAAACCAAGAATAAATAGCACCACCACCACCAACAACAACAAAGAAAGGTCTAACAATGAATAGGTTTCAAAGACTTCTCTTTCTTGCTGTCATTAAAAAATAAAAACGTTTTAAAATCAGGATGATATAAAATATGAGATGGCTGACCAAGCCTTTCCAGTGTAATACTGGGACACAGTAAACAATTACATTATATAAACCAACCATCTGAGAAGAGATGATAATTAAAGTAATGCATCTGCATGCTTCATTGATTTATGAATTTGTTTAATGATTCCTGTTCAGAGTAGCAAAAGCTATTATGCATTCACTGATTTTAAGAAAAAATATATAACTGCTTGACCTTTTGCTGCACCAATGGAAGTAATCTGCAGTAATACTCCAAGAGATTCAGTCACACTGATTTTTGATTACACTTAAACCATATATATATTTCCTTCATTGAAAAAGTTTTATGATTGTATATTCATAACTATTGATTGTTTTGGATGGAATCATGGAACCCAAGCAAAATTGCCTCCCAAGAGCTAAGATTAGGCTTAAATCAATGCAAGCAAAGCCATTAAACCGTGTTGGGGATATTGGCACCAGGGCAGTCTGCATTCCTCACTCTACAGCACTAAAGAGGTGTCTGCTTGTAACCAGGTGCTGCTGCACAAATGCTAAGTGATAGGTGGCCATTCTTATCAGGGAATTTCTTTGTTTATATGGTGTTCAGTCACAAGCTGATCCTTCTATTCATGTTGTCTTAGGATGTAAACTTTCTTGTTTGTTTTCATTTCGTTTTAACCTGGGAGCCAGTAAACCTTGGCACACAGGCAAATCTGAGAAGGGAAAATGGAAATTTAAGACTAAGTGATCACAGGAATGGCAGGAATGTGGGATGGTATTGGTGCTCTGAATTTAGAACTCTTTAAAGAAGTTTTTTCCTTCTACCCCACCCCCACCTATCTTGCACCAATCTCTTTTAAAAGTCAAAGATAGAGATGATAAAGACCTGTGTTGTGAGCTACACACACACACACACACACACACACACACACATCAGCATTCATTCTTTGGAATCACTAAATCCAAGCATTCTCTCATCAGCACGTCCATGCTTGACTGGAAGCAGATACAGGAAAAATATAGGAACAGCCAATTTGCCATATCAGATCAGACCACATATTTATCTATTTCTGTACTTTGCCTCTGGGAGTGACCAGTTGGTAATGTTTCATTAGGAAGGCGGGAGGGAAAAAAAATCAAACAACAACAAAAAAATACATTCTACAAACCTGCTTTAGACACTCATTCCCCAGTCAAGAAAGCACTTTACAATCTTCTATTCTCATGCTCTTTTATCATTTTTTTTCCCCTGTGCACCTTCCCAACCCATATCAAACTTAAAATAATTACCGCAAATGTCATTTGAGTGTTCCATGAAATATTTTGGCAACCTTACAATTTATTGTTCACCTTTCTTTATTCCTCTTGGCTTGAGATTTACCTGTGTTTAAGAGTTGATTGTGATTTTAGGGATGAATTTTTAGGGAATAAAACAAAAAATACACTATATGATAAATAACTAGCTTTGAGTTCATAAGTGCATAGCTATAACTTTGCCTAATATAACTCTATCATAGGATGCATTGTATTAAATGATACAGTGATTCACTCTACCTGAGAATGTTCAGACAATAATTCATCTGCTTACTGTTGTGAGAAATCTGCTCATAACACTGTAGAGTGAGGTTTATGATTGACACAATGAACATTTGTAAAAGAGTTGTGTTCTGTAAGCTAAGATTAAATTAGATCTTCAAGGATTTTAGTAAAAATTTTCCAAAATCATTTTGGAGGCAATTAGAAAAGAATTGCTAAGATTTGAATCTGAAGAATAATTGGTGAACAAACCAATGTAATGACAACTGATACTGAAGAGAAACCAGATGAAAAGATTTAAAGAGGGAATTCCTTCAGAACTTGGGGACAGATTTCACGGAAATATAAAGAAAGCACGTAGAAACATAGTCTACCAACGTAATGTCTTTCAGTAGCAAAATTTAATGACAATAAAGCAGGGTTGTGATACTTGACAGATTTTATGCCTCACATTATGCAATTTAACATTTTTTGGTTTTTTACATGTAGGCATTTGTTTACGCATGCATTTGGAGAACTTGACTGTGATGGAGCATTAGACAATGTGACTTGCATGTTGACATTATCGCAATAGCATGGGTTTTATATTAGCATATCTTTGATCATGAAAAGAAGAATTTTGCTCATTTTTATTGACTTATGGCTCAAAGAGATGGTTCTAAATAGGCAGTGCTCATATGTTTTTATTGATTTTCATGAATAAATGCAAACTTACAGAAATAAAAAATATGTAAAATCTGGAACATATTTCCCACCCCACCAGATTATGAAGATTTAAAACTTGATCAAAATTTGACCCTAAATTATTTGACAATGTCCCCTTAAGCCTTTTAAGGGTCGCTTAGCATTTCCATTACAAATCTTGACTTTCAGAGGTTTAACGCTTGGCAGTTTAAAGTTGCAGGAGCCTGGAACTTATACAAGTTGTCAGTCCAGATGTTTTTTATTTATTTGTGTGAGGTTGTTCCTTTTTTTTTTTTAACCCTCTCTTTTTTGTTTCACTGAAAGTGTTTTTAAAACTGCTGGTAACTTCTAAAGCATACAAAAATTAAAAGCTTTAAGCTTTTGTTCTGCACCAGAGCCATAAATACTTTCATTTTGAAATATAACGTGTAGAGAATTACACTTACTTCCCACCCCGTGATGAAAATAAGTCAATCCAATTTGATTCTAGAATCTCTTACATGTATTATGACAAGGATGATAAATAAAATAAATTTTAAAGTCAACAAGAAATAGAAATCTGAAGGTACTAAACCAAATTGAAGAAACCCTATTAAATGGACAAGTTATCTGGCAAATGCACAAAGAAAAAAATGATTCCAGATTAATTGTTAAAAAAAAAAAGTCCTTGATGTATTTTACCCAGCACGTCAAACCAGCAAGTATGTGGAAGGAGGTTTGAATCCTAGATGGAAGGTGCTGAATACTCAGAATCAAGTTCAAATTAAATAATGTTTTTAGTGCTTACATTTTCTGTCAAAAAAGCATTCCTGTTAGCGACTGTACTTGCTTTTTAAGAACCTGAATGACTACATAGGTGACAAAGTTATAAACCCCTTCCAAGAGCTGACAAGTGTCTAAGTCAGTTTAAAAAGATTAAGAGCGGCTCCCTTGTTCTAAAATTATACAAAAGTGCCATTTCACTTTTCAAGCAATTTGAAAGCCATTCATTTCAGTGGCAGGTAGCCAAAACACAAAAGCCAGAGAATGGCAGCAGAGATGTCATACCGGCATACACAGATGTTTTCCAAAGGTTTGTACTGCTTCTAACCTCAAAGGCACAGCCTCAATAGGTTGCACAGACAAAGGAGTCACCGCAAAGATCTGCACTAGGTGCACACACGTGTGCTGGGTTCTAGCATGCCCTGACTTACCCACAATGCTTGTGACTCTGTCACTTGACTCTTGAGCCCGGATGCCCAAGTTAAAGAGTTGAGGGTGACAGAACAGAATTTGTATCATCCCAAATACCTGATGGACAAAGTCTCAACATATCAGTGGACATTCTGATGGGCCACACCTGAGTTTTAGTTTCTGAAATCGTCTTGCTGTTTATTTACCTCTGAGGAATCAGTTAGAATGACACAAAACCCAGCAAAATACCCCCACCTGATGTATTTGAAATATAACTTTACACAACCAGCTTAAACTCTAGCTGTGAAAACTTGAATTTAAACAGCCTGAAATTGCATATAGTTTAAGTCTTAGGTCAGGCAGTGTGCTAGTTCTGGGGGTTCTGGAGGATACTAGTTTAGGTAAGCAAGATAATCTTGGAAAATGAAAAATTTTGTTGTACCTCGAAATTCTAGCTTCAATTCTTTAAGACAATGGCGATTAAATAAGGATTAGTGTTATATGGCCTTCCTATCAACTTAAGATATGCCATGTGAGAGAGGAAAGTGGTTTTTAAACCTCCGTTGGTAAATTTTATGTACCTGTTTAGTTCACAGCCATTCTTTTTAGTCATCTAAACACTTTTGATGTAGAAGGGAGACATATACATAAGCAATCAGGTAGAGTTAAAGCAGTAGCAATGGAATCAAAGGGAAAAGAGTGTTTAAGTTTGAGTAGTAGAGTCAGTTAACTCACTGAGTCAATTAACTCTATTGAAGGGGTTAATTAGGTCAGGTCAAGCAGGGATTTGGGAATGGGATAGAAAAACAAAACAATTTTTTTTAAATATTCAAAGAGATGATAGTTTTGGAACATAAATTGAGTGTTGGGGGTGAAAAAGCGTTGGAGGTAATAATATCTAATGTATAATGAATGCTTGCTTACTACATAGTGGGCAATATTCTGCATATATATGTACGTTAATCATCACAAGAACTTGATAAATGGGTGTTATGATTAACCTCACTTTATATCTCAAAATTTGCACCCAGGCAGTCTCTCTTCCAGACCCTTACATGTAGGCACTTCCCATACTGCCTGAGTGTTGTAAATGAGACTGCATTGCCATGAAAGGTATGAGAATCGGATCCTTGCTTGACAGATAAACAGTTCAGATTGGGTCCTTTTATTCCATAAATATTAGGGAGCCTCTGAAGATTTTTGAGCAGGTAAAGGCCACAACCAGATTTGCTTGTTATCTGAATTAAGGATAGAATGATAAGAAACAAGTTTGGGAGGAGAGGAACAAGAGTGTAGGACAGAGTTCTGATGGCTGGGCCTCAGAGCACACCAGAACCTAGAAAAGATGCAGATTCAGGGGCTCCACTACGGCTGCAAATGAGAATTTCAGGGATGATGAGAGCTTTAAAGACCAAAACAAGGAATTTAGAAAAAGGAAAATAGATTGAAAGACAAATTTGTAATGAAGATTTTACAGGATATGATGATTGATTGGATGTAGAAAGGTGAAGAAGAGAAAAAAATCTAGACTGATTCCAAGGTTGGCACATGGAAGCTCATTGAAGAGCAATGTCTTCAAAAACTTAGAAAACTGAAGAGGGAGAAAAGGGTGAGTATGCCACATTTCAAGTGGCCCTGGGATGATAGTGTGAACGTGTCAAGGATGCTATGGCTCTGGATCTCACAAGAGAAGCCTTGACAGGCTAGCTGTTGGCAGTCACCAGCGAGCTAAAGGTAAGTGAAATCATGCGAAAGGGCGACAGCGTCCCAGGTAAAATGTGTAGTATAAGAGAAAGGCTCAGGCATGAATCTTTGAGAAGCGTAGCATTTAATAGGTGACTATAGAATGACTAGAATGACATGTCTGCAGAGTGTCACAGAAACTGAAGGACTGAAAAGGGAGAGTAACAGCACCAAAGAACTCTGATATGAGAATTTGGAAGTAAGAAAGGGTGGCAATAAACAGCATAGACTTTGGAGTCCAGCAGACTTGGAGTCTAATTTAATGGGTAGTTCCTATAAGCCAGGCATTCAACAGTATTATATATGCATCATTTTATTTAATCCTCACAAATAACCCTACAAGAAAACTACAATTACTCATCTCATCTCACTAGTAGGGCAAATAAATCTTAGAGAAGTTTAGGAACTTGCTCAAGGACACTTAACTAGTTAATGATGAAACTAATATTCTGTTTCTTCCCCTACAGCCAGAATTCCTAATCGGATTCTAAGCTTCCTCTGTAAATCCATACTCTGAATGCAAAAATATGTGTATCTTTTTGAACATTGTGTTTTCTTGTACCTAATACACAACCAGAACCAGATTAGTTTTTCAATAAGCATTTATTGAATGAAAGAAAGAACAAGAGTTGAAGGATAACTGTGCATGTTTCTTCTCATCATGTTATCCCCTCCCAAAATGCCTTCCCACTAAACTTATTTGAAAACAGCACATCACTCATCTCTCATCCACATCATAAAGCCTACCCTGACAACCCCATCCAAAGACAGGCCTCGTTTTCCTGTACTCATGCATTCATGTGTGCCGCTTTCATAGAATGTATTCTATCTTGTCTTGTATAATTAATTCCCTTTTTGGATTCTTATATTTTGCTTCACAAGAAGGCAGCAAGCTTGCAAGGACAGAAATATATGCCTGTATTCCTCGCTGTCAACTAGTCCCATGCCTTTTACCAAATAGGTCTTAGTAATTGTTTGCTGATTTATTTAACTAATTAAAATCAGGGAATATAAAATGGCATTTAACCCGTGGCTGCCTCACAAATACAACGTTCTGCCCTTCATCTTTTCCAGACATATTTCAAAGGATGTAAAAAATAGACTTTCAGAAAAGCAACTGTATAGGAAAAAAATACGTGCCAGGCATTCAGTTACTCTCTCTGTAAAGCTCTTTGCTACTTATCATTGCAATAGACAGGCTTTTTCTATGTTTTAATAAATCCCAATGTTCATAGCTTTATGTCTTACGCATTTCAAGTTATATTTGGTTGAAACTTGGCATACTCCAGCCTGGCCAAAATGGTGAAACCCCAACTCTACTAAAAAAACACATTAAAAAAAATTGGCTGGGCTTGGTGGCATGTGCCTGTAGTCCCAGCTACTCGGGAGGCTGAGGCATAAGAATCACTTGAACTTAGGAGATGGAGGCTGCCGTGAGCCGAGATTGCACCACTGCACTCCAGCCTGGGTGACAGAGTGAGACTCAGTCTCAAAAAAAGAGAAAAAGAAAGAAAGAAAGAAACTTGGTATACAATTTTTAGAGTTTCAAGTATTTCCATACAGATACATATACAGATATATATGTGTACATATATTCTATATATTTACTTGTGTCAATCCAAAAAAGTTTCTTAATCTATAGACTTCTTTGGATTAATGGCACAAAAAGTAAGTGACCAAGTATCTGAGGTGCCTAGCTGGATAAAAGTGAAGGTTTATAGTTGTCCATAAAAGAAACACAACGCCTGTTGCCATTTGGAAAAGAAAGCATTACAGCACAAGAAGTGTACTACAGAGGCCAACATGCAGAACCCTGCATGGGAAGACAAGAGACTATTAGAAGCAGGTTCACCCTGGGCCTGCAGCTTCTGAATTCCCACAGGTGTTCTGTAGGCAACAAGAGCCTCTTTTTATGTGTCATTACCAGGAGAATGGTGACCTACTCGCTCCCAGCCAGACCTGACCTTATCTCTGTCTTCGTAACCCCTGGATTAGACTATTGCTCTGCATTTATACAGATAACACTGACAACTGCCTAAGACCCTCATCTTGTGCCAAATTAAGAAAAAAATGTGTTCTTACTCCCATTGTTACATATTTTTTTCCTCCTGGTATTATTTTTTTATCTCAGGGTATGAACAATGTTAGCTTCAGGATCCCCAACCAAATGCTTACCAATTGACATGAAATTACCCTATCGGGTAATGATTTGCCAGTGGGAAGAGATAAGAAAAACCTGAGATGGCCTGGAGGACAATTCTCAAATGTTACTCTCACTCCCACCTCTAATATTTATACAATTTCTCTCCTCAATTAGATTTAAAATGAGCTAAGAGACATGGTGTTTTCTCTAACAGGAATGTTAAAAAATTAAAGATGCTGAAACGCACATAAAATTTCACTGAGGCTTAGGTTATACATTGCAAAATGCTAATTCCTTTCAGAGAAGATTCTCAATTCACATAAAAAAGATGTGGATCAATGGAAACAATATGAGCTTTTCACCAGACATGGAATCAAATTCTGTGTCTTCTGATTACTATATGACCTTGGCCACATTACTAAGTCTGAAACTAACTTTTTTTTTGTAAGGGAGGGAGAACTCAGAAAATTAGAAAGCAAGAAAGATTAAGAAAAAAGAAGTGAGAAGGTCTCATCCTCTTCTTTGTGAAGGAATCTCTGATTATTTTCTCTGCATTATGAAGTGATATGTACTCAAGACTCTTCTGACAGAAACCTTCTAAGCATCTTCTCAGTGGGATGTTTCTGTTTGTCTTCAGGAGAGCATTAAGAAGTTTCTTTTTGGCTGGGTGCAATGGCTCACGCCTGTAATCCCAGCACTTTTGGAGGCCGAGGTGGGTGGATCCCGAGGTCAGGAGATCGACACCATCCTGGCTAACACGGTGAAACCCCGTCTCTACTAAAAATACAAAAAATTAGCCGAGCGTGGTGGTGGGAGCCTGTAGTCCCAGCTACTCGGGAGGCTGAGGCAGGAGAATGGCGTGAACCCGGGAGGCGGAGCTTGCAGTGAGCAGAGATCGCGCCACTGCACTCCAGCCTGGGGGACAAAATGAGACTCCGTCTCAAAAAAAAAAAAAAAAAAAAAGAAGTTGTTTCCTTTTAAAGCTCATTAAGAATCACACATTTCCCTTTATCTAAGGTACTAGGTACTTAAAGCTCATCTGTCCAAGGAATAGCTAGGTAATGGCTGCTAACATCCAAAGGCCTTATGAGAAAGAGCATAAACACAGCAAGACACATCATCCTGGGTCGCTCCTCCTCTTCCTCCTGCTTCTTTGAAGGAGCAAACACTGAAGGAAGAACACTGTGACTCTTTGGACTTTCTCAGGCCTTGCTCACTCTTTGCACCATGATTTATGTTCATAGCCTATGAAAAATTAATATTTTGTGATTAGGCTCCCAGATTCCCTCTCTCTTCAGTGTTTAGATTGTAAATATCCTACACCTGGATATATAACACCAGCCTCCCCCAACCTGTAAGTTTTCATTCTAGGCTCCTTTATATTCAGTTGATTGCTTTGCTAAGCCCTCTATATCCACTAAAGTCATTCATCTTCACTCTTTTACCAGCCATTTCTTTCAAAGTTTTCAGCAGATTTATTAGGATATAACTCAATGTTTTTTACCTCTTTACTTTTTTGTAGTGTGATATCATGGAAAAAAAATTAAACAGTTAAAAAAATCTTAGCACCATTTTGGATAATTTTTCAGAATTTCAGAAATTCCTTATTATTTAATCTTTACAATAATGATATGATATAAATAACATTAACACCACCATTTTACAGGTAGAATAAAGAAAGCTTGGCTGGGGCAGGCAGGCTTGGGGGTAGAAGGTAGGAAGTTAATACATTGCCTAAGGTCCTACAGCCAATAACTAATAAAATCTGTATATAAACCCAGGTCTCCTGGCTCTAATGTGCATGCCATTTTCACTAAGCTGTTGTGCCTCTGAAGTTAGTTAAACTCTTTAAGCTTAAATTTATTCATTTACAAAATGAGGATATTAATCTCTGCATAGCTCAGAATGCTGTTATGGAAATCAAATAAGTGAAAGTGCTTGATAAACATTCAAATGTTATAAGAATATGGGGGTAATAATAAAGTAAATTAGCAAAAGCTGAATAACAATCATTTTCTTATAAGTCATTATACACATTAAACTAAAAGACACTTATTAATATTAGCCTTTTTTATTACAAGAATCAAGCCCCCAGCGTGAAAATTAGACCTCTAATTCCCTTGTCAACATAATTTGTTTTAAAAATCACAAAAGCTAATTTGTGGAAACAAGGTAGATTTTAGACTTTTTAAACTGTGTGACAGAGGGTGAATTTCCAAGGCAATGTGGGAAAAGATGGGTTTTTCATAAGCAGATATGAGAATATTTTTCCCACATCATGTGAATAAGGTGCAGTGAAGGAAAGTGGTGACCTCGGCTCTCTTGGAATGAATGTGTCTTGATGACTAAGTTGAAGATGCCATTGTATGCCCTGTGTACTCAGGGTAAAGTACAAGCATTGAATCCAGATTTTCCAGAAGTTGATAGTGTCCTAGATTTTTGCTGTATTAAATTCAGTCTGAGCCCCTGAATAATCCCAATTCAAAAACAGATATGTGTGCAGTAGAGACCCCAATTTTGTGTTCTTTCATTTCTTCAGAGATATAGAACATATGAAATTTTCTTTCTAGTGTACATTTCATTTATAGTTTGATTAACTTCCACTGGTGCAGTTAAAAATCAACCTGGATAGGACAGCTTTGTTTTTTCATCTTGCACTGTAGAGATTCCAAAATTCTTGTCACTTTGGAAATCATGAAAATATGTGATTTATGTTAAGTACCTACTGTTGTCCTCACCTAGATAAAACAGTAAGTGAAACAGATGAGTTATAATAGGAAAGCAAGATAGTAATTAATCAATTACACAAACTTATAATTAGAAATTTTCATCAGTTCTATACAGAAGAATTACCTGGTGGTAGGAGAGAGATCTACTCCGTAGGATGAAGGAAAGTTCCCTAAAGAAGTGGTTTGAGCTAAAATATGGAAACTGGTCAGAAGTTAATTAGAGGAAGAGGACAGAGGAGCTGGAAGAGAGAAGAGAATCCAGGGAAAGGAAAATAGTGTATTTAAAAGTTCTGCTGTGGAAGGGACTTGGGTTCTGCCAAAGAGGTTTAAAATTTAAAAAAAATTAAAAAAAAGAAAGAAAAGAAAATCTGTGTAGTTGGGAGGTGGTATGGAAGCATGAAACATGCAAATGGAGGCCAGATCATACTTGAGCATAGACATATCCTTGAGTAAGAACAATAAATGAGCAGGCCTTAAAAATGACTGTGTTAGCCTAATACGTATATTTGATTACTTCATTCTGATACGTTTATTGAACATCTGCCATTGTGAAGCATTCTGCTACAGGGTCAACTGGAGACAGAGTGGTGAATAAGACAGACTGCTGTCCATGTAAAGCTTACAGTCTTTAGTTCCAATTCATCTTTGGGTACCTATCGTCTTCAATATACATCGCTATCCCTAGAGGTATATGGGAACAGGAGGCAAAACTACCTTTATTTGAAATCTGTGCCTTAACAACTACATATAAGTAATGCCAACTTGGTACTTACTTGGTATTCAGTATACAGCATTAATATTTAACTCATTTTCTTAGTCAACATGAGTAAGTCATACATAATAGACATTGCTAACATGATTACAATATGATTAAGTTTTTATTTTTACCTTGATCTTGCCCCTAAGCTCCAGTATTAATAGTAACTACACACTTGTCATCTCTACCTAAATAGCTAATAGACATCTCAAATTTAACATTCCCCAAAGCAGAACTTTACATTTACCTACATAAATGCATTACCACCCCCAACCTGTTTCTCTTAGTCTTCCACATTCAGTGAAAGAAACCACCATTCACTTTCTGAAGCCAAAAAAAACCTATGAGCTATCCTAGATTCTTCTCTTTCCCTCATCCTTCCCACATCCAATCCATCAGCAAGTCCTTTTAGGCCTACTTTCAAAATGCCTCCAGAATTTATCTTCACAGCCTGTCTCACCTGCTATAATAGACAATAATCTATTCTCGCACAGCAGCCAGGGTGATCATTTTAAAACAATCGAATTGTGTCAGTCCTTAACTTAAAATGCTCCAATTACTTCCCATTTGAATGGAGACTGGATATTCAACATGGCCTTCAAGACTGTACATGATCTACTCTTTACCCAGTTTTCTCACTTCATTTCATGGTATTGGAAAAGCTTCCATTTTGTGTTATAAGCTTCACTCTGCCTATTTTAATATTCCTTAAACAAATCAAGAACAGCCTTTGAACTGGCTATTTCCTCTGCTTAGAATTCTTTGTCCCTAGATCTTTAATTGACTGTTTTCTTCTGTCATCCAGTTCTCAATTCTAATATTATTTCATCAAAGAGACTTTTCCCAGCCACAAAAATAAAGAATATACCCTATATACTCAAGAAAACACAAACCAAGAGGACCAAAGGCTTTCCAGGAATGGAGGGCAGCACTAACAGGGAATGTGTTTCTGAAAAAAATAATGTGTATGCTCCTGGAACAGAGATTGTATGTTACTGGAACTCACATTATGAATATCTTACTCATCCAAATTGTTCTCTACAATTTTATGCAGGTTCATTTATGCATTGTTTTTAGTATCTTTTTAAAAATGTGCTTACTTTCTGTCTATGCCAAGTAAAATATAAATCCCATGAGAACAGGCATCATAGCCACCTTTTCTCATATCTGTATTTCCAGGACCTAGGAAAGTGATCTGTAAATATTTATTAAAGGAAAGAAGAGAAGGGAAGGAAAGAAGGAAGGAGGGAAAAAAGGAAGAGAGGAAGGAAGAAAAAGAAATTACACAGCTATTTGTCCAAAAACAACAAGTTGGCATCCTTTATCTTTTATATTCTTTCTTAAGCTTGAAATAATGTAAGAAAAAAATATTTTGCATGAAACATTCCAAATACATTTTAATGCATGCTGGGAAGAAGACTTTCTTCTGACCTAGTATCTATGTGGAAAATTTGAATAGTAAATCTGTAGATAACAGAGAAATGAAAATGATAAGAGGAAACTCCCCTCTCCCAGCCCCCATAAGAAGAAAGCCCCTAATCTTGCACTGTTGGGCAATGTTAGTTGCATTATCTTCTTTTCCCTTCAGTCTTATATTTTAAAAGAAGCAGAAAAAAGAAAGAAAACAAACCACAATGAATGTTTATTCTATTGGGCATCATTCGTTAGATGATTCACTGGGCTACATTCTCACAGTATGTATTATTCCCTCTGAGTGGCGATCCATTGATTTCCAAGTCTCTAAGCTGCCATTTTGGAGACTGCTGAGTGCAAATATTATAATGCCATTTGGGATATTCTAATGTGCTTTTTAGAAAAGTAGTCTCTCAGTAATAGTCAAACTTATCTTGATTGGGGTTTGGGCTACATTCTTGCTGAGAAAAGATGGCACTGCTTGCTCTTATGCTTTGTTTTTAGCACTTTAAAATTGACAAATTCTATCAGAGTCTTTGCCCAGAACTTCAATTATTCTAAGCAGGGTGGTCAAAGCCTTGAGGAAGTCCTTAAGTAAGTGCTCCTTAAGGACGGGAACACTGTGCTATAAATCCTGGTATCACAAAGGACACTCAACAAATATTTGTTGAATGAATAGATAAATAAGTGAAAGTATGTTAATTTTGAATTTCTTGCTCAATTGCTTAGAAAAATAAGCAATCTGCTTTGACAATCTGATGCTTCCACTTTAAGCAACAGAGAGTGAAATAGAAACTTTCCTTAAAGTACAAAAGGGATAAACACTTTCTTTTCCCTGAATATTTTATGCAAGAAATGCTTATTCAGTACCTATTATATACAGGGCATTGGAATGAACAAGAGCAATTTTTGATATCTGTCCTAAAAGAAAATCTATTCAGAGACAACCCCATGAAACCTCATAGCTATCTATAGATTTTTTTCCTCCCCCATTCAATAACCCTCTGTTCCAGTAGCATACACTATGGTTTTTTTTTAGAAACAAATTCCTGGTTAGTCTGCCCTCCATTCCCGGAAAGCCCTTGGTCCTCTTGGTTTGTGTTTTCTTAAGTATTTAGAGTATATTGTTCAACTTTAATAGACACTATTCCTATATTAAGGCATCCCAAGGTGCTAAATATTAGATAGCATTTATTTGGCCCTCCATGGGATTGCTTCCTCTAAGACACTTCGGTATGATGTTCTAGGCTTTCATTAAGCATTCCTATACTAAAACACCATAGGAATCTCACCTTGACATTTAATGTAGGAAATTTTTTTGAGGACTTTTTTTTCCCATTATATCCCTCTGCGTCCTCTCTCTCTATGAAGTGCCACATGAGAAGATTTTTCAAAACTAAGAGCTGGTTAAATCCTTGTTTCTCCCAAAGAACTCTTTTCATTATGTTCAAGGTTAATCTTATAACTTTTGCAGCTGTCTTTTGATTTTTTTTTTCTTTGACTATCAGAAAGCTCATAGTTGGAAATGCAAAGAAACTTTAGTCATTACATGGGATTACATTGCCCTTCTATCATTATGCTAATTCCTCCACAAGAAATGAGAAAATAAGGCCCTCCAAATTTATATGTAAAATTTTTAACAACTGAAGTTAATTTCAAAAATATAAGGTATATTTTTTTCACTTTCTGCAGGAAATATAGCAGTGATCAATGAGGACTAAAAATTATCTGTCTGCATAGAATTAATATTCCTTGTATTGGTCCTTATTGTTTTTTAACTGAAAAAAATGCTCATCCTTTGACCACTAAAATGATCACATATAGCTAATGTTTTGTGTCATTTCCTTATATTCTGTTTAAACATAAAACCTTTTCCATGTTATTAAAATCTCTTCTCAAATAATCAAGTACTATTTCATTCAGTGGTTAGCCCATGATTTACTTAACCATTCCTAACATCTTAAACATGCAGGTTGTTTTCTGCTTTTTAATAATTGTAAGCCTCTTGTGTTTTGGGATTATCAGCCTATGGGACATTCTAGCACTTTTTCTGTTGGATTATGACAGATACACATGTATATCATCATATTGTATTCACCATAAATAATTATTTTACTTATCAGAATTTATGTACATATATGTATGTATACACTTACTATCTATGTTGATATACTGGTAGATATTTATTAAGCAAAACGAATATCTTAAATCATTTCAGTATTTGGATGTAATTAGTCACATAAAAAAAGTTACAAAAAGAAGACTTAAAATTTAGTAATGTGTAGTATTCTTGATAGTCATAAAAACTGAGTAGGGAACATTGATTTAATCTTGGAAAAAGAGGCTTTCTGTGATATTTCAGCAATTCCCTAGCTACAGTCAAGTGTACGAAAGGGTAACTTAGTCATTATTCAAATTAGGCTATTAATGAGTCAATCCTATGGTAATTCAGTTGAATAATTTCTTCTCTAGAGGTGTCTATACATAACGAATTTTCCATAAAGTTTGACAATTAAAAAAAGAAACAATGTGTTCTAGTACAGAATTATCCTCCCTCTGTGGGACTACAGGACTATCCACTGGGTAGAATTATCACATAGGAGTAGTCACCAGAGAATTCAAGGTTATATTAGCCCTAGGTCTAAAAAATTGATTAATTTGTCAAATAAATGACAAATGTCCTCCACTATGCTGCTAACCATCAAATAAATGACAAGTGTCCTCCATTGTGCTGCTGACCAATCAATTCATTTAAAATAGCATCTCTGTGTAACAAAACCATCATAAAAGATTGTGTTTTGTTGATTTTTTTTCCTAATAAAGAAAGGGAACTTTCTTAGTTGCCAAGTTAAAAGATTGCAGAAAATATCTGAAAACTGTATAATCTCATTGGGAGACAAATTTCTGCTTCTATACATTGTACTTGGAAAACAACAATATAAAAATGGAAGCCTGTACATACTTATACCATAATATTTTCTGTAGGCCCTTCTGTAAATATCTACTGTATGAATGTGTTCCTTTCTCTACTTTGAAATGAAGAAATTCTTCAAGTGAACCACACTGCAAATGACTTTTTTGTGGGCATTTAATATTGTTGAAATTCTTCTGTATTTCTTTGTGAGGAAGAATAAATTTTTACATTCTGTAATAGTAAAGGATTTAAGTCATTTCCCAACACTTGCATTTGCCCCACTCCCCCTTACCCCCACTCTAAAATTCAATAGAAAGCCAGACTAAAAAAATTGGGAGAGGAATTTTTGAGCAAGACAGAGGAAGGTTGAGCCTTGAAAGTTTTCCATTTTTTTTTTTTATGGCTTTGCCTTGGTCTAGGATCATTTCTTTCATTTAAGTCTGAGTCAAAGCTCACCATTTGTGTTATGACCAATTTCCTGTTCAAAGTACAGTTCTTCATAGGTATTTTCTGCAATTAAAATTTCAACCTATATAATCACTTCATAAGTAAAGACAGAGAAAGAGTGAAAACACTGCTTATTTTTAATATGATAGACCCAGGTATAGAACAATTCAATTGGGTAGGTACGGAAGGTTAACTCTGTTGTCTGAACCCAACCATTCCTGACATGAAATGTAAAAACAGTTCTTTTGAATACTCAAAAGGTTAAAACTGCACACTTTACTATGAAAATTACTGTGAAAAAGAGGGAGGAAGTAAATTAATTAGCGAGAACTGAAAAATTGTAAGCAGTACACTTGTAATCAACCACCAGAATTCTTCACAAGCAGTAGTATCTTTGAGGAGTCAGGAACAATAGGATATTGGTAATTAATTCTTTTTTTTTTTTTCGAGACAGAGTCTTGCTCTGTCGCCCAGGCTGGAGTGCAGTGGCACAATTTCAGCTCACTGCAACCTACACCTCCCAGGTTCAAGCAATTCTCCTGCCTCAGTCTCCTAGCGAATTTTTATATTTTTAGTAGGGATGGGGTTTTACCATGTTGGCCAGGCTGGTCTTGAACTCTTGAGCTCAAATGATCCACACACCTAGGCCTCCCAAAGTGCTGAGATTACAGGCGTGAGCCACTGCCCCCAGCCGGTAATTAATATTTTAAGTCTGTCACTTATTTGAGTCTTGTATTGAGATAACCAACCGTCCCCTGCATTTATTTGCTTTCATTTGCTTCTCCAACCTGCCTGAGAGCTGACGCCCTGAGGCTGGAGTTCAAGTGGGAGTATACTGGTCCAAGACTAACTAGGCTTCCTGTCAGGACATTCCATCAAAGAGGAGTCCAAATCTTAACCAAAAGTCAATTTCTGTCATGTCAGTCCAACAGAGTTAAGCCAAAAGGGAGGCTAGAAGTCAGGAATTGGAAGATGAAATGGTGGTTGAGACAGTAAGTCACACTGAACCAAGGTAGAAACCAAAGCGAACACTATTAGAATAGAAAGGAGACATAAGGTAAAAAGTTGCCAAAGTGTAGGGAAAGTACTGGATAGAACTTATGGAAACCTAATCTTGTATTGCACTTTCATTCACATAAAGTATAATACACATCCCACATTGTCCCTCAAGTCAGATATAAACAGAGGTCTTATATGCCATCCTGCCTCCTTACATCATGGTTATCTCTACTTCTGTTATGCTTATTTCTATCAAGACTTAAAAAAATAAAGTGTGTTTCTTCCTTCTTAAATCAAAATAAGTGAGACGACAGTTTTGTGACATAAAGGGCATCTCTTCACAGCACTGATTTACCTAATAATATTGGTTGGGAAGGATAACGGAGGATCATCATTTAACAACCACCATACCCACAAGCATGATTGGGATGGAAACTATATTTTACTGCCCTGATTCAACATTAGCACTTATTCAACCTTAGTTGAAATCTATTGGGTGTTAATACCATTGACACTGGGTCCTTCATCCTTGAGTGACATCTCTTTTACTGACTAGCTATCTGATTTTCAACACATTAACCAATTTTCCCAAGGCTTAATTTCTTCAATGAAAAATCGGGTAAAGTATCTGAAAGTGTTGTTTTAAAGGCTAGATGTGCCCATTAACATATGTGAATACTATTAGCAGAGGGCGTGACTCCTCATAGGTTTTTAATAATAGTTTATTTCCATTCTTTGCTAGTCCAGTGAATTTCCTTCTCTTCTGCTGAATAAGGGAGACAACATTAGGGATAGTCTGTTGGTTCTTACAGACTGTCATTCTTTTTATACCTTCCTCTTGAAAATATCTATGAAAATCTTTAGAGAGTAGCTCTTTCAGTGATGAATTTCTGTTTCTCTACTAAATTGTTTACTACAGTAATGTTTAAGAGTAAGCTGTGCAAGGAAAAGGAATCTTAGGCACTTCCATCACTTCATGAGCTCTTCACTAAGGAACCCACCAAGATATGACACATTTGGCTCCAGAAAAAAAAAAAAGTAATTCTAATTTAGTGAGATATGTTCTTTTAAAAAGACTTTTTTATTGAAAGAAGCAGGCTCAGTGCACAAATATTTATAGCAACATGCCAGAAACTCTACAAAACCACTGTAGCCAGAGAGTAGTAAAACAAAGAACTGTAAAATTAAACACAGAACTTATTTTATACAAATGGTAGGTTTCTATCTAGTTTTCTAGCTTTACTCTTGCTATCTTTATGCTTTTCACTGACCCAGGATCATATACTCCTTAATATATACCAAGGTGATATTTCCCTGTTAATCTCTTAAACTCTCCTGCCCTTGCTTTAACATAGAAATAACTTGTCTTGGCCAGAATTTCACATGTAAACTGTGAATTTAGCTAATCTTCCTTTGAAATAAAATAGTATGAAATGCCTCCATATTTCAAGTTTAGTCTATGTACCTTCTTAAATTCTCTAATGAATTTTAGTTACTTCTTTTCAGGTCTGTGATTTTTGAAAACCTCCCAGTTGCTGGATTCTATGTGATGAGATTCTCTTCGTTTTCCTGCTTCTTTGATCATTTCTACCTCTCCTCTTCTCCTGTCTCTTTAAGCATTGCTGTATCCCCAGTGGATTATCATGAGTTCTACATTCTCTTTTTATGCTACATACTTTCCTGAGATGATCTTAATCACCCTCTGAATCCTTAACAATTTATGAATTCTAGTACCATTAACTTTCTCTCAAGCTCAAGACCCATATAGTCCACTGGTTACAGAACAGTTCCACCTGGATATTTTACAGTCACACAAATGTAAAATATCCAGCAACTTTCCTGCTAGCCCTGTTCTTCTTCTTGTATATCTTGGTCAGTGTCACCAGTTTCTATGTACTTGGACAAGCCTGTTTCCAGGCAGTAACTCTTGTTTTGTTTTGTTTTATCAGCTTTTATTTTAAGTTCCAGAGTACATATGCAGAATGTGCAGGTTTGTTACATACATAGGTAAAGTGTGCCATGGTGCTGTGCTGCAGGGATCAACCCATCACCCAGGTATTAAGCCCAGCACCCATTAGCTGTTCTTCCTGATGCTCTCCCTTCTCCTGACCCCCAAATAGGCCCAGGTTTGTGTTGTTCCCCACCATGTGTCCATGTGTTCTCATCATTCAGCTCCCACTTATAAATGAGAACATGTGGTGTTTGGTTTTCTGTTCCTGGGTTAGTTTGCCAAGGATAACCATTCCCAGCTCCATCTATGTCCCTGCAAAGAACATGACCTTGTTTCTTTCTTTTTTTTCTTTTTTTGAGACGGAGTTTCGCTCTTATTGCCCAGGCTGGAGCGCAATGGCGTGATCACTGCAACCTCTGCCTCCCGGTTTCAAGCAATTCTCCTGCCTCAGCATCCCAAGTAGCTGGGATTACAGGCATGTGCCACCACACCCAGCTAATTTTGTATTTTTAGTAGAGATGGAGTTTCACCATGTTGGTCAGGCTAGACTCGAACTCCTGACCTCAGGTGATCCGTCCACCTTGGCCTCCCAAAGTGCTGAGATTACAGATGTGAGCCACCAAGCCCAGCCTGATCTCATTCCTTTTTATGGCTGCATAGTATTCCATGGTGTACATGTACCACATTTTCTTTATCCAGTCTATCATTGATGGGCATTTGGATTTGTTCCATGACTTCGCTATTGTGAATGGTGCTATAGTGAACATACACGTGCATGTATCTTTATAATAGAATGATTTCGATTCCTTTGGGTATATACCTACTAACAGGATTGCTGGATAAAATGGTATTTCTGCTTCCAGATCTTTGAGGAATCGCCACACTGTCTTCCACAATGGTTGAATTAATTTGCATTCCCACCAATGCAATTAAAAGTGTTCCTTTTCCTCCACAACCTCACCAGCATCTGATGTTTCTTGACTTTTTAATAATCACCATTCTGACTGGCATGAGATGGTATCTCATTGTGGTTTTGATTTGCATTTCTCTAATGACCAGTGATGTTGATCTTTTTATCATATGTTTGTTGGCTGCATAAATGTCTTCTTTTGAGAAGTGTCTGTTCATGTACCAGGCAGTAACTCTTAACTGGCTTTCCTTTCTCTTTAATCACTTTCCAAGTCTTGTCAACTTGTCTCTTTAACGTCTTTCAAAAGTGTTAGCTATCTCTACCTCCACTGGCCACTTCCTTAGTTAAGGCCTCCATATTTCTCCTTGCCTCATTCATATTTGCCATGTATCTGCTGGAATAATTGATTTAAATGCACATATGGACTTGTCAATCTATTGTTGAGAATCTTTATTCTGTGCCACGTATGAGATAAAGCCAAAACTCCCCAAATGGCATACAAAGCCCAGTACCTTCCAATCCTTAATGATTTCAACATCTACCTTTAATGTCTGTTCTTCACACTTTACACTGCTACAGTACTTAACTGCTCACTGACTGTCCCACTACCTCTATGCTGGCTGACTGTCCCACTACCTCTGTGCCCACACTTCCCCATCACACCATTGTTTTGCATCGCTCCATCCCATTTCCTGAGGCATGAATGTGTTCACTCACATCTCCACATACCCATACACTTGAGCTAGCTCTTATTTGTCATCCTTTTTTTACATAATTCCCTTATAAAATCTCCTCTATAACCATAAAATATCCTGGAAGACAATTTCCTCCTCCTTCTCCAAAAAATCAGAATCTTCTATATATTTCCATTATTATATCTAATATATGTATTATTCAAGAATCCAAAGTGACAAGTGGTTGACCTTCTGAATATTCACTTTTGAATAAAGTGAAAAGGAATAATAAGAGAAAATAAATGTTTGTAGGGATGCATGTGGGTGTGGGAGGGTTGGGAGATTGAAAGATACATTGAGGCAGAGACAGAGACACACACAGGCAGAGAGAGAGATAGTGATACATAGAGAAGACAAGAGAAATGAGGACAGAAAGAGAAAATGCACAAGCATATATTTAGGGATTCATAGCATAGAACCCAGCAGTTGGGAGGTTTTCAAAACTTATAGACTTGAAAAAATACAGTCTATATATACATAGCTTTTTAAACTCCCTGATGAATTTTAGTGACTTCTTTTCAAGTCTATAGTCTATATGTAAATACATATACTTCTTACTTGAGACTAGTAGCCACCTCCCACCATGCAATATTTCCAGAGTTGTTTTTGTTTGAGTTAGGGTTAAAGGAGTTTGCACAAAACATTCAGATGTAGTCTACTTCTGGCAAAATGCATGCCTCTCTATATGGGGTCTATTGTTCTGCTTCTGAAAGCAATCTTGCTTCAGCCGAATGGATGACCTTATTCTGAAGCGACTGGCTCATTTGAAAGGCCATGTATACTTTTTTCATGTGCAAAAGAAAGCTAGACTAAATCAATTTATATTTCCTTATGAACATGAAAAAAAAAATCCCTTTGGTTCAGAAAAGCCACGGCAGAAAAACATGTTACATAAAACAAGGCATCATTGAATTTGAGCATTAATTTGCATGAAGCACTTGTAATCGTACAGGAAGCACTAGACTACATTTGGCATTGGAATTAGGTATTTTTACTTATTTATTTTTTATTTCACTAAGCTTTTTGGAACTGAGGTACTGCAAACTGGATAGCAGCTTGTACTGATTTCCAAAACCAGTGGAACAGCCTTGAGAGTTTCTTCCTTACAGAGTGATGTCATCAGTTAGTAAGTTTCCATAGTGCCCCATACCCTACCAAAGAAGTTCCTCTCTGTGTTAGTTCTACCTCACCTGCCAAGAAATGAAAACACACAGCTTCCTTTATTCTACAGTGAAACAAAGTGGTTTGGACACAATTTGGAGGGGAACTGCCAGAAAAAACAAAAAAAAAGGCTCTAACTTAATAATGTTTCCATACATTTAGGTGCTCTTCTAGAATATATAAGTTTAATTGATTTTTTACCTTTTTTATAGAATACAACTGGTATAGTAGAAACTGAACTTTGGCATTGACCCAGAAATGTAAAGAAAAGATATAAAACTTTATGAAATTCAAAACGATTAAATCATTGTTGGAGATATTTTTTTCCTGTTGGCTTTCACAAAATAGTACACTGTTTGTTGCTAACAGAAAATCATCCTAATTTTATCTAGGGGAATGCTTTTGTCTGTTTTATCTGAGACAAAATTCTAAATAAGGTGATTTATTAAAACCATATTGTATATACCAAAGAAACTGAAATAAGTGCTATTGTTCCTACATGAAAATTATACCCACAACATACTTTTATAGTTAAATATAGGCATCCTAAAAATACTTGTGCATTTCATTCTCAGAAGACCCCCTCCCCTACAAAAAAGTTTTCAGATATTAAGACCTGAAGACAGTTATAACTTATATTGCCATCAAAATGCATAGGACAGAGTACTTCAGAAATTTTGAATGACTCGAGTCCTTTTAGGAACACACTGCAGCACTTAAAATCATCTCATTCCTCATTAAATATGATTTTGCCCCATGTGCTTTTAAAAATCTTCACTTGTATGTAATAAATTTTCATTTTGGAGATACAAAAAGAATTAAGTTACACTAAGAATAATAGAATCATTGATATTAGAGATGAGAAAAACATATTAGGCCTTTCCTTTGAAAACTTGTGAAGGACAGTTTTCAATATCGTGTGTGACTTAGTGAGTTCTCTAGTCTAGCGTTTAATGGGAATTTTCAGTATGCTAATAAAATGCTTTTAAAAATGTATCTATTTAGGCCATGTGTACCCAAGTGAGGCAGACATTACTGAAAAGGGGAATAAGTTCTCATTTTCTGTAGTTCATTAATAGTGGCTTTCAGTGGAAAATGCAGCAGCATCTTTAGGGCCTCCACCATCCACAGAACCATTACATTAGCCAAGGCTACTAGAACCGACCACCTCACCCTTCTTATGCCTGTTTGAACTTTGAACTATAGCCATAGGAATAAAATCTCAGTGTTCTGTGCAAATTAGGGTAGATATTTCCACCAAGTCTATTTTTAAATACCAAGTAAGGTTGAAATAGCATAAGGCAGAGAAACAAATGGGAGCTGGAAAAAGACAACTAAAAGATGGGGAGTAGGATGATAAGGAAAGAAAAGTATCAATAAAAAAGATGAGTTTGTAGAATGACATCTGGGTTTCCAAAACTAATGTTTCCCACTAAAAATCTTACACGTTTCTATTAATATTGACACTTGTAAATACTTGCTTTTTGTGAATATAAAATAAGAAATGTAAAGCATTTGGCATAGCATAGGACAAGTATTCCATAATTAATCATTTATCTTCCTTGTAAATGAAACTTTGCATTACATACAAGAAGTAACCTGAAATATAGTGTAAAGGTGTAGCCTTAAATCTCTGTGATTGTTTTTATCTTAATTGTTTACTGGGAAATACAGAGGCCATTTTTCAGAAAGTATGCCATGTTTTTGAACAAGAAAAATTATGCACTTCATCATGGGTTATTTGATTCACCCATCGATCCATGTAACCATTCATTCATTATTCAATAAATTCCTATTGAACAAATCATGTCGAGTATTATGATAATTGCTGGGAATATTGAAATAAACAGAAAATCTAGCATGCTTAAATTACAATGAAAGTAACAGATGTGTAAATAAACAAAGAAAAAAGGAATAAGTGCTAAAACACAGGTCTGTTGTAGGTACAGTTGACAGGCAGTCATGTGAGAAGGGTCAGTGTAGGAGGCTTAGAACACTGAGATCTCTGTCCCGAGACCAGTAAGCTATGGCATAAAGATCTTAGATATCACATGTCAAAGCGAAACAAACAACCTATCCATTGTTCATGTGAAATAGGAGGTCATTCTCAAGTCTGCAATGTCGGTAGAACCTTACAAATTCTACATCAATCAACTTTTTTAAAATGGGAAACTATTACAGTAGTACTTTAATTAATCATCTGAGAATAAAGATAAAGTCAAACCTTGCTGAGAAAAAAGTGAACAAAAGTCTTCATAAATCATTCAAAGAATATTGGTACATTTAGAGCTCAGGAACCCATGTTACTTCTAAGATATAAAAATGTTAAGCAATGCCAAATAATTGCACATTATGTAAGGAGGGCCGAGATGGCAAACACAAGGGGGAAATATCAGTGCAGTCAAGATTGCTGTTCTCATTTGTACCCTCATGCCCCCATTTGCTAGCACCTGTACAACCTGGAAAGCTTATCTGTTGCTGGATCGATTGATTATAATTCAGCATAAGTAAGTTTCACAGTTTTACCTCATCAGATGTTTTTGGCTTCCTTTGCTTATGGCTCTTGATTAATTAATTAGTTGATTAGTTTATTTTCTCTGTTACTCCATCTCATTCCAAAAACATGTTAAAGTACGAATTTTCTGTTTGTTTAATAATTGACTTTGTCATCTGTTAAAATAATGTACATAACTAGGCAGTTAGAGAGAATTTTCCTTTCTGTAATGAAGCTCTTGAAACCAAACTATACCTGTCTACTTATATGTCTGACCCAGGCACACAGATTGATGATGTACTCCCATATTATTTTGCTTAATCACTCCTCTGTTCCCCAGAAGTGTGTTGGCAACAGCTTAGTATAGAACTGTAATTGTTTCTTTACATAAATGTCTTCTTCCAATGGTTCTCACTTTTTAATGTGCATCATCACATTTATTCAAAGGGAGAGAGCTTGTTAAAACAGAGCTTCCAATAGTCTCTGATTCAGTATGTCTTGGTGCAGCCCCAAAATTTTCCCTTTCAACAAGTGCCATGGTCATGCTAATGCTGCTAATTTGGGGGTCACATGCAGAGGACCTCTGTCTCATCCAATATCTGGTAAATATCTAGTTGGTGGCAATTCAGTCTTACCTCTGTACAGAACCTTTTAGAAAGTGTCCAATAAATGTTGATAACATTGAATAAATGACTGAATCATTGTTCCTGCTTTAGTCCTCTAAGATGGAGATAATTAATAACTCCTGATCCCACTTCTCAAAATGTTAGCCTATGAAAAACCCTAAGCAGGATGAGCCTGGGGGCAAAACCATACTTACAGCTGAAAACCTGGACTGGAAATGTCAAACATTTCCATCTTCAATTTTCCCAATGAGTTCCACATATATTCTTTGGAAGATTCAAAAAGGCTTAATAACAGGATGGATTATGAAAACTGAGAATGAGAAGGAACAATTACAAAACTCCTGTGAGTTTATCAAGAACAAACAGAGCCTGACTGGCAGCAGTTTTCCCTTAGTGATGCTACTTACAGGGTTCATCAGGGAAATATAACTAGCATAAAGTATCTAGGACCACAAAACAGCCTCACTTCTCTTGTAAAACATGGAAAAAAATAAGTTCAATGTCTAGAAAATTACATACATTAATAAGGATGAATGAATGAATATACAGAAGTCAGCCTGAAAAACATCTCTAGTGGTGTGGCATAAGTGTGACACTTCATTACTTAACCTTAAATGTTTGTTTTCAACAAGAGTTTGAATGATGACACGGAGGGTGGGCCACCAAAATTGCAGATGATTCAAAACCGGGAAAAAAGCAAGTGATTTAGGAGACATAATCTGAATCTGGCAGTATCTGGACAACATGAAGCAATGAACTGAAGCAAAGATTACATTCAATAAATGTGATCATGTAAAAATGTAGTAGGTCCAAAAATTAATCACATCACATAAATCTTAGATTCAAGGATACCGTGGATAAGAAAGGCAGATAAGCAGCAATAGATTTAACAGAAGTCAACAATATGTTGTGGCCACCTTTAAATACACATACACACACACACACACAAACACCCTTATGAATACATGTAAGAATATATGAACATGTAAGCTTAGCTATACATATACGTGGAGACATGTGATACATATGTATTCCATCCATTTACCCAGTTATTGACTCAAAACCATTAAAGCACACAACAAAGCCCCAACGTGACACAATAAGTGGAGTAAAAATATTAAATCCCATAAAATACAAGCTGCCAACCAGGCATGGTGGCTCACGCCTATAAATCCCAGCACTTTGGGAGGCCGAGGCGGGTGGATCACCTGAGGTCAGGAGTTCGAGACCAGCCTGGCCAACATGGCAAAACCCCATCTCTACTAAAAGTACAAAAATTAGCCGGACGTGGTGGCGGGCACCTGTAATCCCAGCTACTCAGGAGGCTGAGGTGAGAGAATCACTTGAACCTGGGAGATGGAGGTTGCAGTGAGCTGAGATCGTGCCACTGCACTCCAGCCTAAGCAACAGAGTGAGACTCCATCTCAAAAAAGAAAAAAAAAACAAGTTGCCTTGCTAGGAGACTAGTGAAATGAGTAGGGCAAGTCCGCCTAGCTAATCCACTGGCAATTCTGGCGGTCCTGGGCAATTCAAGTGTGTGCACTTCCTGACTGTGGTAGCACTTGTCTGCTCTGGCATGCATATCCACTCTTTTGTCCATTGCCGCTCACATATCCCTCGGAACAATTTAGGATCCTGGGATTTACTGAGACTTCCAGCACAGTAACAGCTATTTCAAGCATCTTCTAATTAGCTGGTACTCATTTCATTGGCCCTATCCAGGAAGATGATGCAAGACAGTACTGAAGACACAGAGATCCATCCTTTGCCTCCTGACTTCCTGAGTCCAGGATGGCCCTCCTTTGTCCAGATGGCTCTCATTTGAGACCACGGCTGGGTGAGATACCATGCCCAGCACCAGTCTTGCTGGTCTGCTTTAGGGCTTCCATGAGAGGCAGTTATCATGGAGTGTTGTTCCAGACAACATGCTAGTTTTCTGGCCCACAGAAATAGCAACACATCATCCCTGTCTTCAGACAAATAAAAAGATGTGAGCACCTGTGAGCAAACTTAGCTTAATACCTGTCTTAATAAGTGTATACAAAGAGCAATGGCAGCAACATAGACCACTTAAGTCTGGCTCAAGGAGTCAAGAAAACTTCATAGAGGAGGTATCAGTATAGCCCAAAATTAAAGGATAAGTAGCTGTTTGCTAGAAAATTTTGCCATTCAAAAGCCAGAAGATGAAGTGGAGCGGTAAAGCAGGACCAAATTATGAAGGGCCGTGAAGTTCATTGAAAGGTATTTAAGATAGCAAACAGCAGCAAGATGGATCATTTACAATAATATACAGGTATAAATAAGAAGAGGGATTTTATCAATTAAGAAGCTATGAATGAACTAACTGTAGCAAGAAATATCAAGTGAACACTTGTGTTTGCAACACATTTATAAAAATGTAAGTACCATATTACTGCTTACAAACATTGGAAATATTACCATCTTTAGATGCTTCTAGCATTCTACTATTGGTTCTAGGATTAGGGAATTCTGAAGTGAAATACTGCAAGAATATCAGTACTTGGAATCATCTTATATTATTTACCAGTATCTTATTTTGGATGACTCCTTGACTATGTCCAAAAGTATCCCCTTAGTAAATGGAATTTCTGGACCCCCCTCCATGGGACCTTGCACTAGATTCAAGCTATAATATAGCAGTGGCCTCAGGGATAAATTCAGCTATGGTTCATCGCTTGGATTTAATGATTTTTTTTTTTCAAAATGCTTCATTCTATTTTTAAAAGCAAGAATACATCCTTTGACATTCTGTTAATTAGAACAAAGTACCCATATTCGGTCTTATACTTACTAACTTTAATAAAATTAATGAATTCAATTTTTAAAACACAAATCCAGCATCATTACGAAGATAGCAATATATACCAGCATCTACCCTTAGGTGGACTGACCCCTGCCACTCCTGGCATGGGCGCTGTTGGCTCTTCCCCTTACTGGGCTGAGTAATACAGATATACTTAGCCTTTCTTCACAAGTCAGTTATCAAACTTTGAAAAAAATCTTATTTGTTCAATTCAAAACTGTAAAATCCAAAGCTGGACATACTAGTTATTGCTAACCTGTTCCAGAGAACCATTAGGCATTTTCCCAGCTGCCTGTGGGGTCGCTTTTACTTTTCACACTTTTCCAGAGCTGAGAAGGGAACAGCAGAGTGCTGCCAACCAAAGAAACATTGCCTAGTGGCCTGGTATTTTGGGAACTTTTCCAGCCTGCTTTGTGGAGGCAGCCCAAATGCCATAATGTTTCCAAAATGCCTAACTGGGTTGACTAAACCCAAAGTAATTCCACACAATGGTGATATAACCTGGTTAATACAATGAGTCTCGCCATGTCCTTTTTTTCCTCCTTCCTTCTCTCCTTCTTTTCTTCCTTCCTTTCTTCCTCCCTCCCTTCCTCCCTTCCTTCCCTCCTTCCTTCCTTCTTTCCTTGCTTCTTTCCTCCCATCCCTCTCTCCCTTTCTCTTCTTCTTTATTCACTCTCTCCCTCCCATATCGCTTGTCAATTATCCACCCCTCAATATTTTGTGATTTGGCATGAGGTCCACTTAACTCATGCATGACAGAAGAAGATGTACACCCCAGGGGCTGATCAGCCTCTTCATTGAGACACAACCAGATTGAATATGGGCCAAGACTTTTGGAAGCTAGTGTGTTCAGGCAGGGTTTGCCAACACTAACAGCAGAGTGCATGGGTCAAGAAGATAAATTCATGACTTTTTGTATTTATCCAAAACAACCAGGCTTGATGCAGTTGTTCACACCTATAATCCCAGCACTTTGAGAAACCGAGTAGGGAGGATCACTTGAGTCCAGGAGTTTTGAGCCCAGACTGAGCCAAAAAGCGAGACACCATCTCTCCAAAAAAAATTTTTTTTTAATTAGCTGGGCATGGTGGCACGCACCTGTATAGTCCTAAGCTACTCAGGAGACTGAGCTGGGAGGATCGCTTAGGCCCAGGAGTTTGAGGCCACTGCACTCCAGCCTATGTGACAGAGAAAGACTGCCTGAAAAAGGTAAAATAAAACAAACAACCAAACTAAAGCAAAGAAACAAATAGCATTTCTAGTAAAAAAACATCAATCATCAGCAAGTATATGAAATAAAGATAACCATAATATTGTGAGATTACTCTGAAAGTTGAATATTCCAAAAAATGCAAGTAAAGTATTCAATATATTGTCCGGCATTTAATCAATTCTCGGTAAATGGTACTATCATGATCATTATTACCCTCCTCATCCTTTAGTTATTATCAGTATCAAAATTAGCAAAATCTTAACTTTGGACCTGTGTTGGTAAAAATCATATCCAGTTAGTGGCTGGTTGCTGTTTGGTACATACTCAAACTAAGAAGGCAGGAAAGGTGTTATCCCAGCAGCAACGTAGAGTTAAAAACCCTCAGATTCATGGAGGCTTATACTACCTCTGAGATTCCTGCAGGGGTCATGATACGCACGTCACCAGCCCACATCCAGGTTGATTGTTAGGTTTCCTCTTTGTGTGACATGTTGTGATTGGATGATTTGTGAGAATGTATTTAATTGCTGGAGAATTATTCTTCACTTAAAAATGTTTTTAAAGTGTTACACCCTTTTAAAAACTTCAAAAAAAGAAAGTGTATTACCCATCCTACCTCCTTAACACCACATCTCTCATGATTTTGTACCTAATTTTGAATTTTATGCTCTTTTTAAAATCATAATAATAATGTGCATATTGAATACCACGGGTGGTACCGGGCACGGTGGCTCACACCTGTAATCCCAACACTTTGGGAGGCTGAGGTGGGCAGATCACGAGGTCAAGAGATCGAGATCATCCTGGACAACATGGTGAAACACTCTCTCTACTAAAAATACAAAAATTAGCTGGGCGTGGTGGTGCACACCTGTAGCCCCAGCTACTCAGGAGGCTGAGGCAGGGGAATCGCTTGAACCCAGGAGGCAGAGGTTGCAGCGAGCCGAGATCGTGCCACTGCACTCCATCTTGGCAATAGAGAGAGACTCTGTCTCAAAAAAAAAAAAAAGAATGCCACAATGGTTCACAATACCTACATGTATTGCAGTGATAAAGAGCAGGTTTTGTCATCAAGGTGTCCAAGTTCACCAGGCGTGGTAGCTCGTGCCTGTAATCCCAGATACTCGGGAGTCTGAGGCAAGAGGATGGCTTGAGCCCAGGAGTTCGAGACCAGCCTAGGCAACATAACTAGACCGTATCTCTACAAAAAATTAAAATATAAAAAATAATTAGCTGGGCGTGGCTTTGTGTGCCTGTAGTCCCAGCTACTTGGAGGCTGAGATGGGAGCATCACCTGAACCCAGGAGTTCCAGACTGCAGTGAGTTGTGATTGTACCACTGCACTGCACTCCAGCCTGGACACCAGAATGAGACCTTGTATCTTAAAAAAAAAAAAAAAAAAAAGCCCCGGTTCAAACTGTAGTTCTGTTGTCTACTAGCAATGTAACCTCCCCATGACTTAATCTCTCTTTATGTAAAAATGAGGATAATAACAACAACAATAACAACATATACCTCATTGGGAAAACTAAATTAAAGAATCCATGTAAAGTGCTTCCTGAAATGCCCAGGACATAGTACTCCATAGATATTATAACATTTTAATGGTTGAGAGTAGTCCCTAATCTTTTAACCCTCTTTAACCATAGTTAACATCCAATAATGCAATATTATAAATGACGCTATAGATAGCATACTTTCAGGTTTACAATACCCTTCCTTTCAAGAGATGTTATTACTATTTTTTAAAAATTTTCTGCTGAAGTGATCATTGAAAGATGATATTTGATTGCCATATTTGTTAATACCTCTCAGCTGTTTATTAGCATTCTTACTTCAACTTAACTAAAGGAAATCTATCATGTTTGCCAGATTTCTTCTTTATCTAGGCTCCTCATTCTCTACCTCCTTCCCCACCACCAAGCCACCTGTGCACAGGGCGACTTCATGGGAGAGAACCACAGAACACAGCAGCTGTATATTGAAATGGGAAATGTTCCCTCGTCTCCTCAAAGGGCGGGTGATAGGGGTGTGGCTCGCTTCTTCAGTGCTCCGCTGCTCAAACCTCTAGGGGAGCATACAGACGGGCAGGCTGTGGGGCTCCGACCCCATGGCAGCGTCTGAGGGTGAATGTTTACAGCTCCTGAGGCCCCAGTGGGCCTATGTTACAGGGTGCTCTTTTAATTTAGCCGTCTGTATGCAGCTTGTGTTAGTCGGCTCAGTGAGACCCCCTTCCTTATCACAAGGAGAGAGAGATTTCTGTATCCCGGGGTTTCTTGCCTTGGTTACAGGAAGAATGGGATCACACATGGGCTTAAGGAATGAGTGCAAGGTTTTATTGAGTAGAAGTAGCTTTCAGCAGATAGGGGAGCCAAAAGGGAGATGGTTTTCCCCTGGAGTCAGACTGCTCGGAGGCCAGGGCTCTCCTCCAACTGCCCCAGCCAAACTCCACTTCCTCCCGGGCGATGGCCTGCCTGCATGCTGGCGTCTGTCCGTGTGCTCTTGTCAGTGTGCTCCCCTCAACATCCTCTCCATGTTCTCTACAAGTCCAGCCTCTTGTCTTCTTCCGCTAATGTGTTCCTTTGTTGTCCAGCAGCTTCTGTCTGTGCCTTGCTAGGATCTCGAGTTTCTATAGGCCTAGGATGGGGGCATGGTGGACCAGAGTGCTCTTGGAAAGGAAAATACAACATTTGGGCACAAAGGCAGAAGTGCCTGTCCTCACCTAGGTCCGTGGGGGTAGAGCCCTAGCCAGGGACCACGCCCTCCTCTACTCAACACTTCCCTTCCCCTCTTCTGTATCATTTAAACGGACGTGTCCTTCCCTTCCCAGCACTCCCTTATCAGTAAAACCTGGCCTTCTCTGGTGAATTCATCTCTCGCTTTCCCTAACACGCAAAAAATTCTAAGACTCAAACGGCTTCTTTTCCCCTCCTTCTTTCAGAAGCCTGAGCTACAAACTCTAACTTTTTTTCTCCAGTCTAAATTTAATTTGCATTTCTTTGACTGCTAATGAAGTGGACGTTTTCCCATATGTTTGTTTACTAGTTGTATTTCCTCTTTTGTGAATTTTCAGTTCATGTCCTGTGCCTATCACTTTTAATGTGTGTGGGCTTTTTAAAATCACGGAGTTCTTAACACCTTATTAAACGTAGAATGGGATATTCTTTTTGAAATAAGCATATTTTATGTTTATAAAGCCAAATTTATTCGCATTTTTATGATTACTTTTTAATCTTTTGCAAATTTATATTTGTCTTCTAAACAAAGATCTAGCTATTTACTTCTTTTTTGTTGTTGTTTAACAATGGTTTGATTTGTTAAAATTTTATTTTAACATTAATCCATCTGGAACTTATTTTGGAATATAATATGAGGTGAGGGAATACATGGATTTTTTCCAAATTGCTAACCATTTATCCAATACCATTTTTGACTAAGCCTTCTCCTCTCTATTTTCCTGACTTACAATGACTTTAACATACATGGAATTTTTACAAATAATAACATCTATTGCTAAGCTATTTATTATTTTCCATTCAGCTGTCTGTTTTTATTCCAAAACCGCAGATTTATGTATTATAACCTTATAATGTATTTGGTGGTGGTGGTGGTAGTGGTTTCAAATTTACTTTGATAATCTTAACTGTTTATTCTTTTTAAATGAATGGTAGGAAAAAAAAATTGAAATTTCTCCCAAACTCTTATTTTATTTCAATTACATGAAACACAGAAATACATGTGGAAACTACATGAAATATATAAATAAATAAGGTTCCATCATCTCATTTACAATTATGTTTTGTTCTCAAACATCTTATGTTATAGACCTCAATAAAATTTTAAATTTTCTTTATATATGTGACTTGGATAGATTGGAACTATATTTGTAATTTTTCTTTATATATGATTTAGAATTTGTTTTTCAGATTATTCCTTGCTTACCTTTTGTTGGTACTTTGGAATCTCTTCTTTTAATTGTATTTCTAGCTTTATATTAAATATAATTATATTGTCAGTCAAATTCATGATATTTTACTTTACAAAACTCTTCAGGGATAACTTTTCCCAAAATTTATACCCTATATTTGGTTTCATGTTACATTGGTTGATCAGAAATCCCTAAATAATAGTAAAAATTAGTGAAGATAGTAGGGATCTTAATCTTATTCCTCATTTTCATCATTAAATAATGGCTGTTGGTTTAAACTAGAAACTCTTTCCCCTTGTTTAAGAAATAGCCTATAAATTAGCTAGGCATGGTGGCACACCTGTAGTCCCAGTTACTCAAGGGACAGAGGCGGGAAGGATCACTAGAGCCCAGGAGTTTGAGGATGCAGTCATCTGTGATCCACTGCACTCCAGCCTTGGGGGCAGAGCAAGATTTTGTCTCAAAGGAAAAAAAAATAGCAAAATAGCCTTCTTTTTCTTTCAGTATTTTCATGAAGAGTGTCTGCAGAAATTTTGTCTCCTACTCAGTAACTTTTGACATAAACATGTTATTTATGTTCTTCTAATACATTGATTCGCCATTTTTGATGAATAGATTTTATAATATTGCATCATGTTTTCTCTCCTTAAATTAAACCTTATGTGGTTGTGGTAAATTATTTTTCATAAGACTCTGAGGATGGACTTATAATCCAAGAATTTAAACATAATAATTGTTGTATCAAACATTTCCCTAAAGTCCTGTTCCATAACCCCACTCACCTTCTTTTATCCTATATAAAAACAATTAAGCTTGCCTGGCCTGATTTTTGCTGAAGGAGGTCATGCCCTTCGTTGTTTGTGATTCCTTTGTCTAACAGTGGTTTAGTTTTCTCCCTGAATATTTGTTCCAATGTTTCACTAATTATCGACATGAAAGAATCTTGTAGATATTCTTTCCAAGTGTTGGACTAACTGAACCCTTCTGTGCTTCGAGGTTCCAAAGAATTTTAAGCATAGCGTGGCATACATTATATAATCATAATTATATAGTATTTTTCCAGGGGAGTTAGTCTGTTGTTCACTAACAGTTAGCAATACCTCAGCCCTCACACCAAATCACATCAACATTCATCGCCATAATGCAGGTTTTGTTCTCTTCTGCCTGATTAAAATTTAAAAATCACCCAGATTGAACATATGAGATTTTTCAGTATTCCATTATTATTGAGACTACTATTGCTATTTGAGTTTAAAATAATAACAATCTGAATGTCCATTAAGTAAGGACTAACACACAATAGGGGTAGCTGCTGTGAGCTAACTACTTGTTAGGCATATTGTGTGCCTGGTGACCCAGACATGCCAGAGATAAAAATGAACTATTTTCAATTGCACGCCATTGTGTAGGTTATTTGCTTTTTTAAAAGCAACTTTAACATTTAATTTATGAATAAGAGAAAGTTATGAAGCATGGAGGGGTGGGGGAAGCAGAGGCAAATAAAGAACATTAACTAAGAAATGAGTTTGATCAAAGACGAAACTGCATTTAAAGACCCTGGTTCCACCGCCTGAGCTGAAAGTCAGCCAAAAATAAATAGTGACAGATGAAGAGAAACTTTGATTGATACAATTGGTCTTATCTTCAGATCTCAGAATTACTAGGAGTAATAGAAAATATGGAAGATTTTTATTAAGTGTGTAGAGAGACACTCCATCTTGCAAGTCTGATAGTTAAAAAAGTTGAGTGTTTCCATGAGGATTTCAACTAACATTCGGGAATGTTTCTATTTATCAAAGAAAACTTCCAAGATGCTTCCTGCAAGATCTCCCTAATTGTTTTACTTGTATGCCTAGCATTTACAATTGTCCATGCGTTCATTCAGACTTGTATGTGTTAAGCACATACAAGTCAGGCACTGCCTTAGTGTTTGGGGATATCCCAGGGTAGACAAGTTAGCAAGTTTGCACTATTGTTCTCATACACACATCGTGTGCTCTTTCCATACGCTGCTCCAGTGGTCTTTGTTGAGCCGCATTACAGGAAAGCCTAGATAAAGGAAAAGAACTTTTTCCTCTAACGTTATTCTAAATGGAAAACTCAACTCTTTTCATATTTCTTTTAAACTGATTTTTCCTGTGTATAAAAGTGATAGACCTGAGCTGGTTCCACTGAAACATCTCACTTAAAATATACAAAATTTGCTTTAAATTAGCACTCACATTGATAGATTGAACAGGTAAAAACGGCTTTCATGTTGTAAGTATTCCATAAAGTGGGAGGGAGGAACGGAATGAGGAATAGATAGAGAGAGAAAGAGAATGGTTATTTGAGCCACCACGGGTGATTATATATTCCTCTTTACTTAAACAACAACAAAAACTTCTCTAGAAAAGAGTTTGTCAAAAAAGCTCAACTTCTCTGATAATTTTTTAAAATGCAAATTAAGACAAGTATGCAATAGATACACTCTGCAAAATTTTAAAGGCCTTTATATTACTCAGTCTTGACCAAGTCTTAGGAAAACAAGATCTCTCCTAAACTACTAGTTTAAAAAAAAAAAAAAAGAAGGCCGGGTGCACGGTGGCTCACACCTGTAATCCCAGCACTTTGGGAGGCCAAGGTGGGCAGATCACAAGGTCAGGAGATTGAGACCATCCTGGCTAACACGGTGAACTCCCATCTCTACTAAAAATACAAAAAAAAAAAAAAAAAAGAGAGCCGGGCGTGGTACTTGGGAGGCTGAGGCAGGAGAATCACTCAAACCCAGGAGGCGGAGGTTGCAGTGAGCCGAGATCACACCACTGCACTCCAGCCTGGGCAACAGAGCAAGACTCTGTCTCAAAAAAAAAAAAAAGAAAAGAAAAGAAAAAAAAGAAAAAAGGAAGAAATTTGGTACATATTTGGAGACAAATTTAACAAGGTCTATCCAAACTAGAAAAGGCACAAACTCCACTCCATTTTCATTTTTAGGAATGCTTTTCTGTAGATGTGCAAAGATATATGTCAAACTGCACATTGTGGCTTTATCATAGAAAACAATTGGAAACCATCTAAATACCTGTCCATTAGGAACTTGTTAGAGAAACTATAGCATACTCATATAATGGCATGTTATGCAGCCCTTAAAAATGAGAGAAGTCTATATGTCCTCTACATGAGGAAGTATGTTTTTAGGTAATTAAAAAGTAGGTTGCTGAAGTATAGTAAATCTCATTTACATAGAAAAAAGGTGTGCATTTGTGGGTGTGTGTGCACGCATGTTTGTGACTAGAAAATTGCTAGAAAGATATGGAGGAAAAAAATCTTAAAACTCATTACCTGGTTGGGGAGTGTGATAGAAAGGAGTGGGTATGTGAAGGTAGGAAAAAATATTTCTACTTTTCTCTTTGTGCTTTTACCTATCATTTAATTTGTCACCATTTTAAATTTATCTTTAAAAAATGAATCATTTTTCTTTGAATTGCGTAAAATAACAGGTTTATAACAGATGTAAAATCAGAATGTACTATTTCAGCCACTATCACGATAATTTTATACATCATGTGTTTTTAAGGAAGTTTTACTGGTATATGACCTGAAACATTTGAATACCTTCTGATCATTTAGAAGATTTAGAACACTCTAAGTAACAACGTATCCACAATTACTAATATATGCTTGAAAATGTGACTGAGAAAGGCCATTTCATTATGTAGCTGGTAATAGATTAGGGTACAAGGAACAGCCAAGTTATCAATTTTATCCACTCACTTTAAGTACAGAAGGTTTTAAAAATAATTTTCAGACAAATTACCTTCTCTATTGATTGTTAATGCTTATGAAACAACGACTTTATCTTCCTCCTATTCAATTTGAACACCATTACCTAATTGCCACCATAACCTTCACAGTTGTCCAACCAGATATCAAGTTGTAGTGAGTTCTACATACGTTGCCTGTACTCAGGTAGTCTTTGATAAATATATAAAAAGGGGACATAGTATTCCATTCCTTTGTTCTTCTGCACACCTGGAGAGAATACTTAAATTTTATCAATACTATTTCCACATTGTCTTTTATTATACAGTCACATAAAAGTGATGATCCTATAAATTTATTTAAAACCCACTATTATTCTTTAGCAAGATACAGCTTTCGGGGCTTGGTGAGTACTGAAAAATCATAAAGCCATGTGAATATAAGCCTAGCATGAAAATACAGTTTGTGAGCTGGCTGTATTTTCCAAAGTTGTAATATATTCCAAAGGCTGCATAAAATGAGGGCTAGAAAGATGTTCATATTACTGCATTTGTGAAATGTGAAAATTTGTGAAAATTTGATCTATCACAATTTCTGGTTACTGTCAAGTAAATGAAATCAAAGGAGAAAGGCAGATCATGTGACATATTAATGGGAAAGAATAAACCTGAGGGTAACTTAGGTAAAGCACATAGAAATATTTCCTAATACACAGGGCTAGTAAACATTGTTTTGGGGAGAGTGGCAAAAAAAAAAAATCCTAGATAATATTTAATGAAACTGGAATCCCTGCCCTGGAATAAAAGAAAGCTATAGTGATCATTTAGGAGAAAAAATTTTAAAATGAATGAACAATGCATTGATAATGAACTATGTGCTATATTTCATTAAGAGCTAACATAAAAACTAAAGACGCTCTGCAATATTCATACCAAGAAGAATCCTTGGAAGAAAAACTAAGGAAACAATTCTAGCTTTCAAATCTAGAGTTGCTGCTAAGTAAACATAAAGATTTACTCAAGAAGATCCCTGAAATAATTCCTAAAGAAAATGAAAGGTCTTTAGAAACCAGGAAAATAAGTGTTAACTTGAAGTCTGAGACCACATAGCTCGATATGTCTCTATAATTGTCTAATGTCCTTTAGGAACTTGTGGCTAATTAAAAAAAAATGGCTTCAGCGCAATCCTCATTTGTTTTCTGTTTAAATAGCGCAATCTATTAGGTTTCAATGTCTCTAACTTGAAAGAATTTTATTTCTTTTTCCTGAAAAAAGTTCTATTCTTTACCATAAAAAATGACAAGTACAAGGTCAAATTCAAAGGTAATCTAATGACATGTCTGACTGTTCCTCTATCTAAATGAAATAAAACAGACACAGTCTCTTTTATAAAGGACCTAATAGAATAAACCTAGTAAGCAGGAAACCATTTAGAGTAGTTGATTTGGCCTTGGTTTTAAAGGTGACCAGCATTCCTTGGTGTGTGGTAAGGTAACAATTGAATTGGTTTTATTCGCTAGCCTCCATAATGCTTTCTCTTGCAGTGTTTTTTGTATTATGCACCAATACATCCTTCTTCTTCCTCCCCTATTTATTAGTCACATGGTAACAGATGTGCATCCAATACCAGATGAATATACTGTTACTCACAGTGATTTTCTCTGCAACAATCTAGAAGCACGCATTGCCTTTGTCCTGGGACCTCGTATTTTTGGTGGCCAGGCCTTACAAAAGAATATATTACCAAGCTAGAAAACATTAAAAGAAATAGTGTGACATGTACTGTATGTACTAACTTTAAAAGGTCCTTTACTAATCTGATGCAAACAATTGGTGCTAAATACATGTTCATTGAATTAATGGTCATTATAAAATATAGCTCTTGCTGCCATTCTCATGAATAGAATATACTTTCAAATTGCACCCTATTAAATCTTACATCAACTCTGCTATTCTTTTTTTTTCCCAGCTGAAATGTATTAACATATGCTGTACCATCACACAGGAGAAGCCTCAGTTCAAAAGTATTTCTCTCTCCTCATCTCTACCTGTTTTCAATGCCATCCTCTTCTACCCTTTGTCTATCAGTATCCACTTTACATTGTATGAGGAAAACTGAGACCAGGCTTTTGCTTGGCAATATGTCACAAATATTAGACAATCATGGCCTTTTAAAAGAAAATTTTAGTATAGTTCTGACTTTTATGAGAGTTGGTCCTCATTTTGGAATTAACGTTAGCTAGTATTGCTTTCTATTTGAGATCCTGCAGAAGTTACCTACTCTACAGAAGACGGTAGTGTTGGCAAAGCCAGTCAGGGAATGTTATGTTACGTGAAAACACTTGGACTTGTAAAACAAAATACCAATATTAATTGTCATCATTATTGCTTTTTTGGACTCTGCACCAAACCTTGCAGGATATTTCATTTACCAGTATTTTTCTAAAATAATTCCAGATCACAGAGAAGCAGATTATACCAGCAAAGTACTTCTGTCATAAACTTTTAGAAAATTAGGAAAGTTTTTTTAAGTTTCATATATAAATGCTGAATTGCCCAAATAATCATTTTATTTTCTATATAATAACCAAAAAGGCAGGTTGTATTTATGATTTGTTTTCTATAGAAGGCACTGTTCACATGCTTTAAATACTTATTTCTTTCCATAACTGTATGAGGTAAGTACTGTTATTGTCCTCTTTTATAGAAGAAACTGAAGGTCACTTGGCCTATGTCATGTAACTAAACAAGGGAGTTTACCCTCGAAGCCTTCAATTTTAACTGCTATATATCCGAAGTTATTCATCAACCAATTGTTAGATGATAGGCACTGTGGTTTCGGCTGTCTGCAGTTTCATAATGATGTAGGTAGTATGGCTTTCTCTCTATTAATTCTGCCTGGGAATACGGGTGGCCTCTGGAGTTTATGGATTACTTTCTTAAACTGAAAAAAATTCTCAGTCCTTTTCTCTTCCAGTAATACCTCTGTCTAATCCTCTCTCAACTCTCCTATGGGACTCTAACACATACTAGAATTCTTCATTCTATGCTCTGTATTTTTACCTTTTCCTCCCTTCTTTCCATCTTTTTAGTTCTCAATGCTTTTTCTAAATGATTTCTCTGGCCTACCATCATCAATATTTTATGTCCTGTTAAATCTGTTCATTTTCTGAAGTTTTCTAAAAACGTGTGAGGTGGTATTTTTTCAAATGTTCTGTCACTTTTTATAGCTTCTGTTTCTTGCAGCTATTTTCAAACTTGTCTTTTAATTCTTTAATTATAGCAATAATAGTTTCAGTCCCCCTGACTGATAATTCCAATATCCAAAAACTGTAGACCTGTCCCTTCTGACTGATGATTCTCCTGGTTTTCACACATAGTGCTTTGTGTGTGTTTTATTCAGGAGGATTCCTTGAGGCCTAGCATGGAAGTGCCTTCCTCCAGAGAGAATATATGTTGATTTCTGCCAGATTCCTAGAGGCACTAATTGTTTGGAATATTTTCAAATCAAGTTCATAGATTAGAGATCCCTGGGCCACCAAAACAATGCATAGTGAAGGCTGCAAATCAGTAAAAATACCAGCCACAACTTTCATTTTTTCTTTTTCTCTCTTGCTCTTCAATGTGCCAGATTACTATGGTCTGAATGTTTTATCTTCTCACTCCTCATCCCACCTCAAAATAAATGTGTTGAAATTCTAACTTCAAGGTGATGAATTTGGTGGTGGAGACTTGGGAGGTGATGAGTGAATGTCCTTGTAAAAGAGGCCCAAAGGAGGGCATTTGCCCTTTCAACATGAGAGGGCACAGATAGGAGTAAACGTGTATGAGGAAGTGGGCCCTCACATCGGATCTGCGGGTACCTTGATCTTGAACTTCCCAGACCTATCCCTGTGAGAAATAACTTTCTATTGTTTATAAGGCACTATTTTTTGATATTTTTCAATGCATCCCAAATAAACCAAGCGATACTCAATGCAATCCTCTGTAAGCAGAGGATAGAAGAGTAGAGATATGCTTATTACTGATTCCCTCATCTTTTGAGGATTGGGGCTTTTTGGGGCCCCAGCTCAACGTAGGTAGATAGTCTTTTGCAGTCCCTTGTTTGAAGACCCCCAAAGAGTCTGCCAAAACCATAGCTAGAATCTGACAGAAATCAAAAATACCCCTGTGGCAAAGGCAACTTAAGCACTACATTCTCAACTTGCTTCTCTGGATCCCCACCTTTTCATTGATTTTGTCCTGTAGACTTTACTATATTGTCATCCCTTAGATGTGCTTAAGAAAACGTTTTTAATACAGTATTTTTAGTTGTTTTCAGCATGAAAATCTCTCTGAATAATATAACCTTTACTGAACTACTCAACATTCAACAATGTAACTAACCATTATTAAAAAGAGAGGTCCTGTAAACAATGGAGACAATGTCTCTTTCCCAATAGAGATTACATTCCAGTCAGAGTCATATCCAAAACAAGTAAATAAAAAGACAAAATAATTTTGAGTTATAATAAGAACTATGAAGAAATTCTAGAAAATGAGCTGAAAGAGATATTAATGAAGGGATGCATAGAAGGGAGATATTGAAAAACAGCTTAGTATTTTTCCTAAATTTCAAAGAAGTTTAAAAAGTTAACAATAGCATAGAAAGAAATTTAAGGTTATAGAGAAATTAAAGTTAAATTAAATGACAGGTGGCAAATGACATAGGCAACGAATGATTTCGGGTATTATTGAAAGAGGCCTGGATTGGGAATGGAGTTTCAAGAATGCGTCCCATGTATCATTTACCTGCTGAATGGTCTTGGGAAAGTCATCTAACCTATTCAATATAATTCAACCACTAATACCACTAAGTAACTGCACATTTGTTGTTTATCTAAAATACAAAATACTTTGTTAGGCATTGGGTGGGAGTGGTCAGAGAGATGAGCAAAGCATGGTTCTTGCATTTCTTGCAATGTGGACCTACTATAAGGCTAAAAAGAAACTACATCGTAGAAACATAGATTTAATTTAAAAAACAAAAAAAGAAAGAGAGAAAGAAGCTATATATACAAAATTCCATGTCTGCTAATCTGACTTTTAATACCAAGTCTGTAGCTTGTTTAAGCTTGAATAAATCTCCTAACCAAAAGATCTGATAATACAGGTTGAGGTAATGGTCTTAAATGTTCTATGGATTCTTCTTCCTCACCTTTCTACCACTCACCTCACTGTAGGCTGGTGAGTGGTAGACCACTCACTAGAAGTGAGGAAAACAAGGAAGAAGAGAAGTTCTGAAACTTCATTCTTAAGGCAACCAGAAGAGTCCTGCTTTTATCCATTCTAATATTGAGTTTTCTTATAATATTAATATTTTATGAGCATGCGCAAAGAATGGTGCATGTAGCAAACGTTTGAAACCCACTGATTGGTTAGTTGGTTTTGTTGAAAAACGTAAAAGAGTTATGAAAACTGTGTAAGACTGATGTTCATTCTACTGACTGAAGAAACTTGGGAGAGCTGCAGAATAACTGCAAATGGTCTGCACAAAAAGGCACGAACCAAATATTAGCCATTGGTATAACATATTGGTATTAAGGTGAAGATATGGATAGAGAAAGAGATGTAATACATGTATAGATATGCAATTTCAATTTTTAAGATACAAATGATTCATGCTTATGACAGGAAAGCTCAAATAGCATGATAGATAATAATGTGAACAGTAAATGCCCTCCCTCCTATCATTTGTTTCAATTTATTGCATATTCTTCCAGAATTTTTCCATACCTATCCTAATAGATTTATGTAGTTTTTCATACAGAAAGGGAATTATACTGTACATTCCATATGGCAATTTGATCTTCTCTCTTAATATACCTTGGACATGTTTCTGTATCAGTACATATTGATCTACCATCTTCTTTTTTGGTACTGCAAAGTATTTCATTATATGAATGCAACAAAATTTATTTAACCAATCCACTGTGGATGGACATTCATTATGTTTTCATAACCTGTTTTCAATTGCTTTTCTATTGCAAAGATGCTGCCACACACACCCATTACATTAGCAGCTTTGAGTATATGTGGGAACTGCTTTTGCAGCTGCTGCGTCATGTATTTTCTCAATCAAAAGATAATTCAAATACAAACACTCATGGAAACTTTTGACACTTAAAGAAGATCCTCACACTAAAACCGTTTGGTAACTACTGAGTTAGAAATTCATTTTAAGCTTTAGTTTAGCATATGCTGTTTGAAGTGTAACAGGCAATCAAGTTTGTTAACAAATGAGATAAATAAATGCCCTTATCTGAAACTCACCAAAATTGATTCATTGATGCAGCAAACTCATTTTTTGAGCACTTATCCAGTGCTCCGGACTGTTGATATAGGAGTGACATGTGGTTTGTGCTTGTGGCACTTGTGCTACAGAAGGCCTAGAGACTGCCGTGCTAACATCAATTGCAACACCACTGCAGCAAGTGCTGGCATAGAAGAGCTGCTCTGCGATTTTACTATTGTAATGTAAACACTGAAAATATGAACTAGAGCTGCTGCTCTCTCTACCAATGTATGCAGTGCTTCTCTAGGCATTTGCAGGAACTGTTTTCTGTAGGGAAAACAAAGAGAATTTGGCAAATAAAATTCAGTTTGTATGTATTTTCCAATCATTTCCTATCTGTGGCTCACATATTTTTTTCTCTAAAATAAAGGAAGGATTTATCTTTCTATTTGTACCTCTCTAGCAAGTCCTCTGCTCCTTTATTTATCTTTAGGTGCCCTTTGAACACGGCAGAGGTTTATCCTTGCAAATGTCTGTCTATGGTAATTTCAGACTAACAACTGACAATTTAGCCACTTACACTTCACTCTCCAAACCTGTGCCTCACTAAATGCTACTTAGTGTCTTTTCTCTGGTCAAGAGACACCATTCTGGCTTTTTTTTCTGGAAATAAGAAATGGAGGCTATCTAGGCACAAGTATGTCACTCTGGTCAATGGAGTTTTGAAATGCAATACATCTAATATAATAAAAATATTAAGTACTACCATTTATTAAATCCTTACCATTATAAGTACTTTACCTACTATGTGCTTTATGTGTATCATCATATTTAATTTCCATAACAAGCATTATCTCCAGTTTACTTATGAGGAGCATGAAGCATGGGAGAACGTAAGTCACAAAATCATACGACTTGCAACGAATGAGCTCGATTTAAGTCCAGGTCTGTCTAATTCTATTGTCCATACTGTCAACCATTATACTGTACTGCCTCCACAGGTAAAGGGTGTTTTGAAATATGGATAATATTGCTATCTCTACACCATGTGTAAAAAAGCACCAAATATATGCCTCTCACACTTCCTCCTACCCCATCCCCACAAAAAAAAAAACAAAGAAGCAACATTTTCTGAGCTTAAAAAGAAACCTCCTGCCTGGATGCCATGAATAGAAATAAAGTTTATTTCGGGAGGAAGGTTTTGAATATATTTGAAATATTTAAGTTTTATACCTGCCTTCCGGTGTAACTTTGCCGCCTTAGGGTCTTTATGGATACTAAGTCTCATCTATTTTTACCAATTTCTGCAAAATTATGCTGGAGGAACATGCTAATGCTAACAAAGGAGCCAGCTTGACAGAGCCCCAAGGAAGAAAAAAAAATTATCTATATTAGAGTAGTATTAGTCTAATCCTACATCCTAAAATGCCATACTTGGATTAACCACTCTCCATTAGATAAGCAGAAAATAAATTAGCAATGGAAGACTTGGCCCAACCTCTCTGCTGGAAGCATATTATTAAGAGACCATGCCCAATAGTATTAGGGAGATATGTGTTTGACTATGATCTTGAAATCCAATGGGAAATAGAGTGCCAACTGGCAAAGTTTCTTTTTATTAGTTCAGCCTCTCTTTCTTATGTAATGCAGGGTGGGTAAAACTATATATGTTTTATAAAGTCACTCATCTAGTATAGACTGTATCTATCACTGAGTTACAAAATCTCCTGCAAAATCTTGCTCTAATATAATCCATCTCAACTTATTGATTCACAATGTTTTTCTGAAAAATAATAATTGTAACTTTTTGTGCCCCATCCAACCAAACCATACTTCCATAAAATTCCTTTCCTCTTTCACTGTTTGTACACACTCTTTTGATTGTTTGATAACATCTGCACATGAGAGTGTAAATTTCAACATTGTTGATGTTTCCAAATGGTTATAAGTTCCAGCTGTTTGTTCTTTTCTCTCCAATGGAGATCTAACATTACAAAGGAAAAGAGGAAAAAAGAAAATATAACTAGTTCCCTACTCTCTCATTAGAGAGGAGATAAATTGGATGGTAAAAATTCTATTAGCAATTATATTTTTTAGAAATCAGAAATTCTCAGCAAGCGATATTTAAACATCCCCAGTTGCCTCTATCACTTTGGGGAAGGGATGAGATTGGTGAATAGAGCCTGGTTATGTAGAAGATTCAGATAACACACAAAACTCCATGCCCCAGGGAAAAAAAAAAAAAAAGCATTGTACATATGTAGAATGTCATGAGAGGCATTCAAGAACATTTATAAAGTAAAACACCAATTACTTCATACATGAGGCCCTCTACAGCTAACAGTTCCTGCTCTTATTGTTCTCTCAATAAATCCTGTGCCAGCTTAACTTTCTGGTAAGAAAATAAGATTCTACAAACTTCCTCTCCCTTTTTAATTACTTAAGCATTGTTGTCTTGTTTTAATTTAGCAGCAGGGAAGGAATGCCAATGAGAGGCATATGTGAATCAAGAGGTAGGAGGATGCTACCATGTAAGACCCCTATACGATCACCTAGCCAAAGTTTAATACTAAGAAAGGTTGTGCCAAATAAATGCATGAGGATAATAAACAAGGAATCTACACCATATAATAAATAAACCTTAAACAACCAAATAATAGTTGAACATCTACTATGTTAATACTATTGCCTTGCTTTTTTTTTTTTTTTGCTTTTTTTTGCTTTTTTCTCCCAGAATGAGAGTAATTCATTGTTTTTCTGAATATGAAAGTATTAACATACTCATTATAGAATTTACTGATATTTGAAGGTAACAAGAAAAAAGATATCATCCATGATCCTAACACCTTTCAGGGAAAATATAAAACATTTTCACTTCTTTCTAGACTTTTACTGCATACATCAATATATAGATGTCTATTTTCTATTTTAAAATGGAATTACAATATGTAGTTGCCTGTTTTTAAAAAAAATGCAAGTTTGAGTAGCTCTACACTTTCTCCTATCAAAAATAATGGGTGCCATAGATTTCTTGTTAAGGATTTATCATTTATTATATATGTGTTATTATTTATTATAGATTCTGACTAATTGACAAATCTCTTATCCACTCTTCTATTTGAAAATATACAGTAAATTGTTATTTATAGTCACTATATGGTACTATAGAACACTAGAACTCATTCTTCCTATTTAGCTGTAATTTTGCCTCCATTAAACAAACTTTGTCTATCCCCCCTCCTCCTGTACCCTTCCCAGCCTCTGGTAACCACTATTCTATCTTTACTTCCGTGAGATCAACTCTTTTGGCTTCTTCATCTGGGTGAGAACATATGGTATCTATCTTTTTGTGACTGGCTTATTTGATTTAATGTGATGTCCTCCAAGCTTATATATGTTGCCACAAATGACAGGATTTTATTCTGTTGTATGGTTGAATATTATTCCGTTGTGTATATATACCACATTTTCTTTATCCATTTATCTGCCATTGGGCACTTTGGTTGATTCCATATCTTGACTATTGTGAATAGTGCTGCCACAAACATGGGAGTGCAGGTAACTCACCAATATACTGATTTCCTTTGTTTGGATATATACTCAGTAGTTGGAGTGCCAGATCATATGGTATCTCTAGTTGAATTTTTTTCAGGAAACTTCATGCTATTTTCCATAATGGCTACACCATATAAGAGTTCTCCTTTCTCTACATTCTTTCCATTCTTACCAGCATTTGTTATATTTTGTCTCTCTTTTTTATTTATTTATTTATTTATTTATTTATTTATTTATTTAGACGAGTCTTGCTCTGTCACCCTGGCCAGAGTGCAGTGTCACGATCTCAGCTCACTGCAACATCCACCTCCCAGGTTCAAGCAATTCTCATGCTTTAGCCTCCCGAGTAGCTGGGACTACACGTGTGTGCCACCATGCCCAGCCACCAAGCCCAGCTAATTTTATATTTTTTGTAGCGACGGGTATTCACCATGTTGGCCAGGCTGGTTTTGAACTCCTGGCCTCAAGTGATCCACCCGCTTTGGCCTTTCAAAGTGCTAGGATTACAGGTGTGATATTTTTTGTCTCTTTGATAATAGCCATTCTATCTGGGGTGAGATGATATCTCATTGTGGTTTTGATTTGCATCTCCCTTAGGATTAGTGATGTTGAGCATTTTTTCATATACTTCTTGGCCACTTGTATGTCTTTTTTTGAGAGAGATGCTTATTCAACTCATTTACCTATTTTCAAATGAGATTATTTGGGGGTTTGTCAGGTTTTTGCTATTTAGTTGTTCGAGATCCTTGCATATTCTGGTTAGTAATAGTTTGTCAGATGAATACTTTGTAAATATTTTCTCCCATTCTGCTAGTTGTCTCTTCACTTGGTGGATTGTTTCCTTTCTTTGCTGGGCAGTAGCATTTCAGTTTGATATATAACCCCGTTTGTCTATTCTTGCTGTGTTTTTGAGGTCTTTTCCATAAAATCTTTGTCCAGGCCAATGTCCTGAAGTGGTTTCCCTTATGTTTTCCTCTAGTAGTTTTATAGTTTCAGTGTTTACATTTAAATATTTAACCCATTTTGAGTCAGCTTTTGTATACAGTGAAGGATGGGGGTCTAGTTTCATTCTTCTGCATATGAATATCCAGTTTCCCAGAACTATTTATTGAAGAGACTGACTTTTGTCTAATAAATGTTCTTAGCAACTTTGTCAAAAATCAGTTAGCCGTAAATATGTGAATTTATTTCTAGGTTCTCTAGCTTGTTCTATTCGTCTGTGTGTCTGTTTTTATGCTAGTACCATGTTATTTAGCTTTGCAGTATATTTTGAAGTCAGATAGTGTGATGGTTCTGGCAATCCTTTCTGCTCAGGATTGCTTTGGTTATTCACAGTCTCTTGAGGTTCCATATTAATTTTAGGATTTTTTTCCTATGCAATGTCATTGCATTGCATTGAATCTATAGATCACTTTTGGTTGTATGGTCATTTTTACAATGTTAATTCTAATCCATGAGCATGGGAAGTCTTTCCATTTTTGCGTCCTCTACAATTTCTTTCATCAATGTTTTTAGTTCTCCTTGTAGAGATCTTTTACCTCTTTGGTTAAATGTATTCCCAGGTAATGATTTTGTAGCTATTGGATATGAGATTGCTTTCTTGATTTCTTTTTTCACTAGTTCATTGTTGGTGTATACAAATGCTATTGATTTTTGCATGTTAATTTTGTATCTTGCAACTTTACTAAATTTGGTTATTGGTTCTAACAGCTTTTTGTTAAGAGCTTTTAGGGTTTTCTGTATATATGACCATGTTCCCGCAAACAAGGAAAGTTTTACTTAGTCTTTTCCTCTTTGGTTGCTCTTGTTTCCTTTCTTTTGCCTGATTCCTGTGGCTAGGACTTTCAGTACTATATTGAGCAAGAGTGGTGAGAGTGGGCATCCTTGTCATGTTCAAATTCTTAGAGAAAAAGCTTTCAGCTTTTCTCAGTTCAGATGTTAACTGTGGGTTTATCATATATGGTCTTTATCGTGTTGAGGTACATTCCTTCTATAACTAGTCTGTGAGGGGTTTTATAACGAAGGGATACTGAATTTTATCAAATGCTTTTTCTTCATCTATTAAGATTATTTATCCTGTTTATGTGATTTATCATGTTTATTGATTTGTGTATGTTGAATCATCCTTGCATCCCTGGGATAAATTCCACATGATCATGTTGAATAGCTTTTTCATGTGCTGCTGAATTTGGGTTGCTAGTATTTTGTTGAGGATTTTTGCATATATGTCTATCAGGGATGTTGGCCTCTAATGTTCTCTGATTGTTGTGTTCTTGTCTGATTTTGATATCGTAGTAATGTTAGCCTCATACAGTGATTTTGAAAGAATTCTTTCCTCTTCAGTTTTCTGAAAAGGTTTAAGAACAATTGGTATTCATTCTCCTTTAAATCTTTGGTATAATTCAGCAGTGAAGCCATCAGGTCCTGTACTTTTATTTTTATTACTGATTCCATCTTGTTATTTGTGATTAATTTGGTCAGGTTTTCTATTTATTTTTGGTTTAATCTTGGTAGGTTGTATGTGTCCGGGAATTTATCCATTTCCACTAGGTTCTCCAACATGTTGGCACAGAGCTATTCATAATGGTTTCTAATGATTCTTTGTATTTCTGTGGTATTAGTTATAATGTCTCCTTTTTTTTTTTTTTTTTTTTTTTTTGAGATGGAGTCTTGCTCTGTTGCACAGGCTGGAGTGCAGCTGTGCAATCTCTGCTCACTGCAACTCCGCCTCCCGGGTTCACGCCATTCTCCTGCCTCAGCCTCCCAAGTAGCTGAGACTAGAGGCGCCCGCCACCACGCCAGACTAATTTCTTGCATTTTTAGTAGAGACGGGGTTTCACTGTGTTAGCCAGGATGGTCTCGATCTCCTGACCTCGTGATCCACCCACCTCGGCCTCCCAAAGTGCTGGGATTATAGGCATGAGCCACTGCGCCCAGCCCTTATAATGTCTCCTTTTTTGTTTCTGATTTTATTTATTTGGGTCTTTTCTTTTTTAGATAATTGTTATTATTTGAATTCTTTTAAATTTGTTGAGACATTTGCAGCCTAACATGTGGTCTATGCTGAAGAATGTTTGATGTGCTGATAAAAGGAATGTGTATTCTGCAGCTGTTGGATAAAAAGTTCTGTAAATGTCTGGTATTAGGTACATTTGGTGTAAAATGCAGTTTAAATCCAAGGTTTCTTGGTTGATTTTTTCGTCTAGATAATCTGTCCAGTGCTGAAAGTGGGATGTTGAAGTCCCCGACTATTATTGTACTCTAATCTGTCTCTCCCTTTAAGCTAATAACATTTGTTTTATATATCTGGTGCTTGGCTTCGGGGTGCATATATTTTTGTAATTGTTATATCCTCTTGCTGAATGGATCCCTTTATATAATGACCTTCTTTGTCTCTTTTTACAGTTTTTTACCTAAAATCTATTTTATCTGATATAAGTATAGCTACTTCTGCTTACTTTTGGTTTCCATTTGCATGGAATATCTTTTTCCATCCCTTCATTTTCAGTCTATTTGTGTCTTTACAGAGTGACATAAGTTTTTTTGCATATAGCTGAGTCATGTTTTTTTTTACATTCTGTCACTGTATAACTTTTAAGTAAGGAATGTAATTTGTTTACATTTAAGATTGTTATTGATAGGTGAGGACTTACTCCTGTCATTTTGTTGTTTCCTGGTTGTTTTTATACCTTTCATTTATTTTTCTTTTCTCCCATTTAAATCATTGCAGTTTGGTGGTTTTCTGTAATGAAAGTATTTGATTCTTTTCTCTTTTTTTCTCTATCGATCTGCTCTACCAGTGAATTTTATACTTTTGCATGTTTTTGTGGTGTGATTATCATCTTTTTCCTCCCATATGTAGGACTGTCTTAAGCATTTCTTGCAAGGCTGGTCTGGTGGTGATGAATTCCCTCAGTTTTTGCTTGTCTGGGAAATACTTTATTTATCCCTCTTTCTGAAGGGTAGCTTTACTGAGTTTACTTCTTTGTTAGCAGTTGGTTTTTCTTTCCTTTTCTTCTTCTTTCAACACTTTGAATATATCACCCAATTCTCTCCTGGTCTATAAGACTTCTGCTGAGAAGTCTGCTGACAGTCTAATGGAGATTTTCTTACAGATGACTTGACACTTTTTTCTTACTGTTTTTAAAAATTCTCTCCTTGTCTTTTACTTTTGACAACTTGACTATAATATGCCTTATAGAGAATCTTTGGGGTTGAATCTATTTGAGGAACTTTGAGCTTCCTGAATCTGAATGTCCATATCTGTATTAGTCTGTTTTCACACTACTATCAGGAACTATCTGAGACTGACTAATTTATGAAAAAAAGAGGTTTAATTGACTCACAGTTCCTGAAGCTTAACAGGAAGCATGACTGGGAGGCCTCAGGAAACTTACAATCATGGTGGAAGGTGAAGGGGAAGCAAGCACATCTTACCATGGCAAAGCAAAAGAGAGAGAGAGTGATGGAGGAAGTGACACACACTTTTAAACTATCAGATCTCATGAGAACTTACTCAGGATCATGAGGACAACAAGGGGGAAATCCACCCCTGTGATCCAATCACCTCCCACCAGGCTCTGCCTCCAATTCAACATGAGATTTAGGTGGAGACACAAATCCAAACCATATCAATATCTCTGTTGAGATTTGGGGATTTTTCAGCTATAATTTTATTATATAGGTTTTCTATGCCTTTTTCCATCTTTCTTCCTTCTAGAAGTCCATAATACTAATAAATAGTTGTTCACTTAGTGGTATCGCATAAGTCTTGTGGGCTTTCTTCACTACTATTCTTTCTTATTTCCTTTTTTTTTCTGATTGAGTAATTTCAAATGACCCATCTTCAAGTTCAAAGATTCATTCTTCTGCTTAACCAAGTCAGCTGCTGAAAATCTCTATTATATTTTTTATTTCATTCACTGAATTCTTCAGCTGCACAATTTCTGTTTGGTTCTTTTAATATCTATCTCCTTGCTACATTTCTTGTTCATACTATGAATTGTTTTCTTGATTTTGTTAAATTGTCTATCTGTATTTTCTTATATCTTCTTGAGTTGCCTTAAGATTATTATCCTTAATTCCTTTTCCAGCAATTCATAGTTTCCTTTTCATTGGATCTGTAACTAGACAGTTATTATATATTTTTGGTGGTATTGTATTTCCTTGCTTTTTCATGTTTCCTGTAGCCCTGTGTTGATGTTGATGTCTGTGCATCTGGTGGAGCAATAACTTCTTCCACACTTTCTACAGCAGCTTTTGTAGAGAATGACTTTCACTTGCAGTTAGGTTTTAGGTTGCTGGTTGGGAAAGGTGTAGTGACTGTTTTTCCAGGTAGACAGAACGGTGTTCTTAAGCTATATTCAACATTAACAATAACTATGCATGCTTCAGTGGTCTAGGCTATAGAAGTCTGTGGCAGTGGTGCTGGTAGCATAGGTGATTAAGTTTCTCAGTGGTAAGGGCTTTGGGGGGGTCCTTCTGTTCCCATTTCCCCCCAGTGGAAAGTCTTATCTTAGGGTATGCCAATTGTCTGGTCTGACATGACCTACAAGCAGCTGCAGCAGTGCTGGGTTCCAGGTGCAGGCACTAGGAACATCTTTGGGGCCCGTGTCAAGACTCAGAGTCTGTGAACCTATGGTAGCACCTGGACTTTGGGATTCAAGTTTGCTCTCTGTGGCAGAGATGAATGTAGGTTGCCCACAGAGCCAGGATCTGTGACTCTAAGGCACTGCCTAGAAGCTCAGTCCCTGGAAGCTGGATTGTAACTGTGATTTTACCCCGGGAGACTGGGAACAGTACTGGGCCAACTCTAGGGAAGAAAGTGTGCTCTGGAGGTTTGGGCCTGGGGAGTAGGGTATGGCTGCAGTTGAGGAACCTGAGAACCTGAGCCAATAAGTCTCAGTGGCAGTGTGGGTCACAGGGGATGAAGTGCTACATAATGGTGATTCTAGAGCCTGAAATAGTGAAGCTCAGCTGTATCCTAGACTCTGTTAGTCCAGGTGCAGCAGCAGCAAGTACCCCAGAATGGCTGGACACAGCTGTCTTTTGGGCCCTGGGAGACAGGGAGCACCACAGCAATGACTCCACTCCCTAGAAAGAAGGGTATCTCAGCAGTTCAGACTCTGGGAAGCGGGTCCAGCTCCAGGGAAGTAGAGTACTAGAGTTATTTGGCCTTTAGGGTGTGATGTCTTAGCTCAGCCAGGGCTCTGTTTCCCAGGGATGTGAGGTACTGCATCAGCTCAGCCCTAGGATGCATAGCTGTTCAGTTCGGCCAAGAAAGGCAACATTTTCTCAGGGAACAATGTGCCTTCTTCAACTCAGGCCCAGGAGCGTCGCTGTTCTGAACAGCTCAGGTACTATTTCCTTAGGAGGCAGGATGCGACTTCAGCTTAGGTACTAGGATTTGTGGCCACTCTGGGCAGCCAAGGCATAGCTTCCTCGTGTCAGGGCAGTGTTTCAGCTTTGGCACCAGGAAGGTGGTGGCCAACATACTTGCTCTGGGTGGCCATAGTATTGTTTCTCCAGGAGGCAGTACCACTTCAGCTCAGGCACAGAGGGATGAGACTGTTCTGGGATGCCTGGTGCTGCTTCATACCCAGGCAGCAAACTCAGCTGCCTGGAGTTCACACAGGCAGGGGACCCCAGTGTTGAAGACTACAGTTGTCCAAGGTGCTGCTTGGGGCAACCGGGATCCTCTTGCTTACCTGTTCCCTGTAGGGAGAAGTTCCTCCTGGTTCCCAGCTGCGGGAAGATGTGGTGGAGGCCAGGTACTTCCTTCTGTTCTCTATGTGGCCATGCTGAGTTTCTGTGCTCTCCAGGGTCTCTGTAGCTTCTTTCATGTATGCCAGCACTGTCCTTTAGTTATTGTATTAAAATATAGTTTATTTGTTGTTTTGGCTGTCTTTGTTGTGGAGATGAGTGCTAGGAGCTTCTAGTTGACCATCTTGCTCTGTCCTCCTCATTTGGCATGTTTATGAGAGTGCTTGATTTCCAAGAAATTTTTTTCAGCCAGTGAACCTCAGGAAATGTCTTAGTTGTCCCTGAAGTCACTAAGCAGCATCTTTTCCAGATGCCTGTTCGAACTCACTGTGCATTAGGGGGTTATCTGTTACGAGGACTAAAACCCACATAAGTGTGTCCCATTTTTAACTTTTAACTTCAAAATCAAATAAGCCCAAATGTATATATTCTGTTTATATACCTAGAAACATCCTCTCCTTAAAGATAATAACTTGTTCAGCCATAGAGAAGAAAATAATGAGAATAAAGATTTCCCTCTAAAGGATTAAAATTAGTAATTGTTTGTTTGTTTGTTTGTTTGTTTTGCAATTCCAAGAGATGTAAACTAAATGGACATAAATTGGTAAGGAAAGATTTAGCAGATGGCATACTTCCTTTTAAAACAGGTAGCAAATTAGTCTGTCTTCCTTCTTTCTCAAATACCACTAAAATCTAGCCTCTTTACTTGACTAAATGAGAAGATCACTATCTCCCTATACTGTGGGGTCCTGATAGGATCCTTGCTGTTTTTCTTAGCCTAGTGCTCTTACAGACAAACAGACAGCACCATGGCTGGGAAATTGAGGTCAGGAGGGAATATGCCACTCTGCCTGCCAGGCTCCCTAGTATGTTATTTCACCTGCTGGGTACAGAAACTTCTCTCCAGAGTTCAACAGAGAAAGTGCTTCCGTGATTAATCACATACAAGTTCCTGCACCCAGGGTCACTGGGTGATGATTCTTTGATGCACACCAAGAGAATCCACCATATAAAGGTGATGCTACTGCTGCCATCAACCCTCTCGGTATACATTATTCTAACCTATAGGTTCTAACCATAGCCAGCTTGTTTTAATAAGATTTCAGAAAGAGAATCAACTCAAAACTGCTACAACTACTGTGAAAAACAAAACAAAACAAAAATTCCTCCTGAACTTCCTACCCTCCTCTGAAACAAAATAACTCAGGTTTCTCTTAAGTTGACCTTGTTTTTCCTATTGTCTTCCATTTTCTTAGTATTATATTTTGTCCTATTTTCTATTTGAAAAGACCTTGAAACTGCACTGTCCACAGAGCATTCTTGTTCTCACAGCTTCCAACATGCCATGCATGTGCACCAGTCTTTATTCAAGCTCCCACCATCACCCCCAAAGAGCCCCTCAGAAGCCAGAGAGTTTTGTTGATTAATAAGGCAAACATCGACTGTGCAGCTATCTCATTTCATGCTGAACACCATGCTAGGTGCCAGAGATAAAAGAATAAGCAAACTACATATAATTCTTACATTCATGGAGCTTTCAGTATAGTGGAGAAGACACTCACTTTGCAAACAACCTTTTATTAAAATATGTAATAAAAACTGTGACAAGTGTAGAACGGAAAGGTTCACTCAGTTGAGAGAAGGCCTAACCAACAGGTCTTTATCTACTCAGACAAATCTTGGAAGATGTCCTTGATGAGATGACCTTGGTAACAACAATTAATCCCAGAATAGTAACAATAAAAAGAAAAAGGGAGCTATTGGAATGTACGTAACACTTTTCCTTGTTTTTTTTTTGTTGTTGTTTGTTTGTTTGTTTGTTTGTTTTGTTTTTTGTTTTTGAGACAGAGTCTCCCTCTGTTGCCCAGACTGGAGTGCAGCGGCATGATCTCAGCTCGCTGCAACCTCCTCCTCTCGGGCTCAAGAGATTCTCATACCTCAACCTCCAAAGCAGCTGGGCCTACAGGTGAGTACCACCCACTCCCAGCTAAGTTTTGTATTTTTATTAGAGATGGGGTTTCACAATGTTGGCCAGGCTGGTCTCGAACTCCTGACCTCAGGTGATCTGCCCTCCTTGGCCTCCCAAAGTGCTGGGATTACAGCCATGAGTCACCGTGCCTGGCCATAACACTTTTTCTTTAATGAGTGTACCTCTAGGATGGCATATCAAAAGTGGTGTTATAATCAAATAATTCAATAAGTAGGTAATCTTGGAAAAATGGGTTTAAAATTTAGAGATGCCAAAATGCACATTTACATACATTCTGCAGTGTATATGTTTCTATATTTGTACATTTATCTACCACTCTTCCTAGGATGACAGAGAGAGATGGTAGTCAGTAAAGCCAATGTCTTTGATTTTTTTTTTTTTTTTGAGACAGAATCACACTCTATTGTCCAGGCTGGAGTACAGTGGCACAATCTCAGCTCACTGCAAACTCTGCCTCCCAGGTTCAAGTGATTCTCCTGCCTCAGCCTCCCAAGTAGCTGGGACTACAGGTGCGCACCACCACACCCAGCTAATTTTTGTATTTTTAGTAGAGACAGGGTTTTGCCATGGTGGCCAGGTTGGTCTCGATCTCTTGACCTCGTAATCCGTCCACCTCGGCCTCCCAAAGTGCTGGGATTACAGGCGTGAGCCACCTCACCCGGGCGTCTTTGATTTTTATCAGAAGATCTGATTACAGTTTCTTACTTGGTAGTTAAATATTAGTTCACTCTACAGCATGGTGAAGCTGTAACACCGGAATCAGATATACAGCATACCAACCCCCTTGCCGCCATCTACTAGCTGTATGATCTTAGGCAAGGTAATCAACTTTGAAGCCCCGGTTATCTTTACTTTAAAAGGAAAATAATGGTTTGTATCGTAGAAAGTTCCTGTGAAAATTAAATGAGAATATTTTACAGTAAGCCTTTGTATAGCGTTTAGTATGTCCCAGATACTGTTCCAAGAACTTCCAAATATTTAATCAATTTATCTTCATAATAAATCTATGAAGGTTTTTTAATGAGCTTTTAATCACATTTTATATATGAGGACATGGAGGCATAAGGATGCTATTGGGCCAAGGCAAACAATTAGTAAGAGGCAAAGCTCAGCTTCAAACCCAGAACTTAAGCTCTCAGCCACTTCACTCAGAAACTTTGAATAAGTATAAAGCAATGAATAAAATGCTTGATAGGTTGTAAGCATTTTAAAATCTTAATTACTTTCAATATAGTTAACTTTTTAATCCATATTCAGGTGAATAGTCATTTCAAATTTCCTCAGACTAATACATTTCTCCAGGTGGAGATTTAGATCTCTTCTTCCTTTTCCTTCATTTCTTACTCTTCCTCTTCCATCAAAATCATCATTTCTGTCTCTCATGTGCATTCTTATAAATTCCACCTAAAAGATATGTAGCATCTCCTTATCTTTAATTACAATAGAAGAGTACACAAATCAAGATGATTATTAATATTTATAGATTTGTATAATATCTTAATTGACTATAAATATGGCTTTTAGCAAAAATTCTAAAAGCTATGTTGACATTCTAGAATAATTTTTCAGTTATTCCTCAAGAGTGTTGAGGTTCTAATACATAAATTCATCTTTCATTGTCTTCTCCACTTGGAAGTTATTATGTTGACTTATGGAACAGAGTACATATACTGCCCTGAATTTTATGACGGTGCTGTAATAGGCCTTTTTAGGTATATGCAAGTGTAGCATGAGGAATGCCCACTCTGAGGAGCAGCATGCTTTCTTTCACTTTCTCAGGGAAAGTCAATTTTACTGAGATACTATCCCTTATTCAACATCACACACAAAAAATGGGAAGAATGAAGTCTTTTTTGGCACTGGCAATGATTCCGTATTAATTTAGAATTGGATGTACTGCCACATATTCAGAGAACTGAATACCCCCAATGTGATATTGGAAAATACTATTTCAGGCCAGGTGTGGTGGCTCGTGCCTGTAATCCCAATACTTTGGGAGACAAAGGTGGGAGGATTGCGTGAGCCCAGGAGTTCAAGACCAGATCCGGTCTCCATGAATAATTTTAAAAATTAGCCATGGGGGTGTTGCCCACCTGCAGTCTCAGCTACTATGGAGGCTGAGGTGGGAGGATCACCTGAGCCTGGGAGGCAGAGGCTGCAGTGAGTTGTGATTATACCACCGCACTCCAGCCTGAATGACAAAAAAAAAAAAAAGGAAATAAAAAGAAAAATACTATTTCATATATTGAACAAAATATCTCACATTTTCAAAATAATAATAGGGATTATTTTCATAAGGCCTCTTATTTTCCAACAAGTTTAAAATCAGTTGAACAGTCTCCACACCTCCCCCAAAAAAGTCATTATGCAATCATAAATATGACATGTAAAGGAATTGTTTTTATACATAATGCCTATATATTCTTTAAAAGGAATATTTCATTTCCTTTTAAAATCCAATAAAGTGTTATCTCCTCATAAAAAGTTATATAATTTTAGTCCTCTTGAAAAAGATTATAATTAATCTGAGGTTTCAGGCACATACTTAATCTATTAGTAGAAAGATTTCCCATCTTTACTGTAATTATCTTGAAAAAGTTTGAGAAGAGACTTTGAAAAATCTTTAAGCATACATTAAAGTATTTTGAATATTGCTCTCTTTACTGAGATCAGAACAAGAGGAGGTACACTCTTAGCTGCAGTATGAAAGATTTAGGCTAAAAAGAGAAATGGCCTCCAGTAAAGTTTTTACATCATGAAATTTTTTTTTATCAGTGCAAATCACAGACCCTCTGTGTTAAGGGCTTCACAATAGAATTTTCACCTTTCAAATACAATTTAGGTTTAACACTGCTTTGAGATAAGGCGTGAACTGAGTGACATCTTAGTTTCGTTTGATCCTTCACCTTGAAGGACAGACTACACGGGACCATAATGGCACAAATCTTGAGTGAAGAAGTGAAACCAATTTTGCTAAAACATCTGAAATATACTCTTCCTAAATAGTAACATCTGGTGGTACAGAACGTCCCAAGGAGTCTTTGTTCCCAGGAGATTTCTCAACCCAGTTTTTTGCCACCCAAGAGGCTTAGGTAATACAGCTAGGGTCAGAGAAACGCAGCCATCCATCCAGCCTCTGGGCTGTTCTTTAAATAAAATTGCTTCCCTAACTCTCTTCACTCTCAAGTTTTGAATACAATGCAGTTTCAACCATTGCTATTGATATTTTTCTGTTAATTAAAAACAACAAATGACATTGTTGTCTGAGAGGAGTTATCCTCTCAGTAGTAGATGCCACGAGAGCCTGGAAGTCACAGACTTTGGGGAAAGCACAACTCTGCTCCCCAATCAGCAACATCTGCGATATGAAAAGGGGACTCTGGAGGTTAAAACCAATTTGAGCTTGTCAGTCTCTAGGCAAATGCTGCAGAATCCTCAGGAACAGCTTGTGACGAGGGAGTGTTGAATGGAAATAAGCTCAATCAGCCTTCTGGTTTGGATCATTGAGAATACTGGTGTTTTAATTTTTTTATTTATTTGTTATTGTTCTGTTTCATTTTGTTTTGAGTTACATTTGGGTTGAGCTCCTTATTCCTCGTCTGGTGTCTCTGGAAGAAATGTGTATTTCTGTGAGATATATTTCCTCCCGTCTCCAGAAATCTTCATGGAAGAGAAGTTCATTGCTACCATCTGTACTTGGTTTAGAAGAGCTTTGATTAATAAGGACCACCCTATTGTTCATTTGTTTGACATGTGGAGATATTTGTAATCTGTTTCTGGCGAGAGAGATTTCAGCAAGGATCTGGTTTGACTTTCAAACCCCCATTGCCAATGAAAACCAGCCTCCTGGATCCGGAGGTCAGTGGGGGAACAAGCAAAGGTGTTTTATTCTCCCTTCACCCCCTCCCGCAAACACCAACACCTGTTACAAGTGAGGTTAAAAAGATCCTGTTGGAACTCTGAGACAGAGACCCAATTCCATCCTGAAAGAGGCTCTGATGTATGGTGTATAATGAAAGCTGGAGACTGCCCACTGTTACACATCATTATCATTCAGATCATGAAAGAAAATGAAATGGTTCAAGCAGATAACAGCTGTTTTTATTCTGCTTTTCAAGGATTCTCTTAAACAATGATTCTCTTAAACCTGATCTCATGGCTTTTATTTAAGGGTGAACACCCAATTGTAAACATAGGAGAGATGCATTCTCATGATGTCAGTAATAAAAGCATGTATAAAGCAGCATGTGTATTCTGGAAAGCTAACTAACCATTAAAGCCAAGAAACATAATCTGGCACAAATCTGATTATGTGTCCAAGAGGACTTGATGGTATGCACATAAGAAAATGTAATGAAATAGGGGAAGGAGAAAAGAAGGGAGAGGGAGGAGCCAGAGGGTTGAAGGGGGGCTGTTTCATGTTTGTGACATGTTAGCAAAATCAGAAAAAGGTAGAGTTGCCAAGATCATCTGAGAAAGGGGTTAGCACAGCAAGCAGAAATGTAAGCAATTTTGTTTGTTTGTTTCACTATCTGTTGTATTACAGGCTCACCTCATTGCATTTTTATCTGTTAGTTATAGACAATGAGGTTGTTACACAAGACACACACAGGAAAAAGGAAGAGGCCCTGTCTTTCTTTAATCAGGAGTTCAGATCTCATTTGTTACGATGTACATCTATTGTGTTTGTAATTGCTGTGATCATTATCATAAGCATTAGGGATAGCTTGCTTGAGGAATTCAGGACCACACATTGCTCATCAATGTGATGGAGTAAACCTTATACAAGCTAATCTAATAGATATTTGTTGTAATTTTTCATTTTGTGAAATTACAGCAAAAACATAAGCAATCTCTCCTAGATGCACTGTAACACAGAATGCTCATTTTTTTTAAATTTCTTCCTATTTCTTCTCATAGTAGGTAGCATCCTTTATTAAATGGGTCATTGTATTAATTAAAGTAAATATAAACCATTCCTCACTGTACTTGATAAAAGTTTTTGTGTCTGAGGAAAATACTTGTGTGTATATGCATATAAAGTTTACACCTAACATTAGCGTACAAACCACATTAATTAAGATGAGTTCAACAAGCAGTTTAAAACTGGGAATCTGCTGTTCGCGTGCCTAGACTTGTACTTAGAAAAAATAGAAGGCATAAAAATGTCAGCTCCATAGATTTGCTGCTGAAAGACCCTTGTTCACTCGTGCATAAAATATAACTGCCCCCAAGGGTGTGCACGTTTACAAACGCAAATTAATCTTTACCTGCCCAATGCACAAACTATAATGGATTTCAGAACTGAACAATGTAAACTAAATATGAGATCATTTTTGATATCTCTGCTAAAGAAAACCATAATGCATGGTTTGGGATCCTAAATTATAGCTGGATTTTCTGCTCTTAAGCGTTCATTAGTTTACATGGGAGGGGCCAAAGAAATAAAGCAGCAACAGTTTGTACCAATGTATGACTTTCTATTTCTTTGGATCAAATAGGAAGAGATGTGTGGACTTAAACTGTTTTCAAATGTTCTCTCCAGTTCTGTTAGAAGCAATGTTCAGACTCAACTGCCAAAATTTTTCTTCAGTGTGAAAAATGCTGATTCCATAGGCTTGTGTTAAAATATAGCACACACACACCTAATAATCTAATGTCTTATCTATTGTTAGGTATGACTGTGTTAGCTTTCCATGTTGTGAATTATCTGGATTACAAACCCCTGTTCTTTTTCTTTCCTTCTCAGTATCTGTGTAGTGATAATTTTCCTGCTCACTGGTGCATCCGCTACTAAAATATAAGCAAAAATAAAAGGAGAATATAAAGGAGACACCTCCTACCTCTGGAAGGAACACAAAAAACACACATTTGTACCAGTTAGCAGCCCTAAATATCTGTTGAATAAATGGTTTTAAACAGTTCACTGAAATACATATTTTGAATCTGCAAATATGTCCTGGAACACAGAAGCTGTGTGGGTTAGGCAGCTACAGTATAGCTCTAAAATTCAGAGGATACCTTCTATTTTTGGCACAGAAGATAGTCACATGGCTATGAAACATGAATTTGGATGCCAAATGAATAACAAGCTTGGAGGCTGAGCTCCCAGTGACTTCAAACATCTGTGAAGTGAAAATATTCCTGTACCAAGGTGTGCTACTGTATTGAAAACAATTACTGTTACTGATCATTTTCTTGCTTTAAATAAAGTACATCTCTTCTCATGGGAGCAGGTGTAAGGGTGACTTTGTGAATCTCCATTAGTCAAATCACAAATGGACACCCTCCCCTATTCTTGTAAATCCATGCAAACAAAATTACAACTTTTTAACATCTCAAAAGAAGAAGTGTGCAATTTGTTAGCAAGAAAGGATAAATTTCACCTTCCCACTTCTGCAGGATTCATAGTAATCCAAAATCAAGAGAGCACAGACACTTTGAAAATCTGCCCTTTTAGCCCCTGCCTTTGGTATATTAATGACTACAAGATGTTGGATGCATATTTGAGCAGTAAGAAGAACCTGCTTCCCAAAGGGAAAAAGAAACTGGGAACAGACCCAGAGAAACAATAAGTTAGTGGACAGGTCTAAGAAACTCTGAATATCAGCACGTTCCAAAGCTTAGTAACAAAGCTTAGACTGTCACGTGATCTTTACATGAAAGTCAGCCCAAACCCTTTCTATTATTATGACATCTAGAGCATGACTTATTTTTCATAAACAGATATTTTTCTTACATTGGGATTTATTATACGATGCTTCAATTAGCATTCTGCCATTCTTTTTTGTCATAGTCATACAATGATTTGCTATCTACCTTTAAAAAGTAAAGAGTTAACAGAGAAGGGAAATTTGTATTAGGTCCTGCATTGAATTTAGGTTCTTCTTTAAAGGATGCAGTAGAACAAAAATGTCCTTCTTTCAAAATGCTTATTTTGGATTTGAAGAGCATTCTCACCCAGGTACCATTCTTTCCTTCTTTTACTTTTCTTCCAATTGTCTTACCTTTCCTCCACACATCCGTGATGCAGATTAGCACTGGCCTCCAAGCCCCAGGCATCAAAGGAATTAGGTCAGACCAGAAGAAATCAGGTTGCAGGCAAGAAAAGAATTTTAATAACATAGAAGCTATGCCAGCCTGGAGCTCCTGTACTCCTTCAGGCAGACTGACAAGCCCTGGCCTTAGCTGTAACAGTATTAGGTAATTGATATGTGGGAGAAAAGCAGAGATGTTTGAGAGAACAAAGATTTGTATAGTATTAGCACATGATATGTTGAATTTATTTAAAGCCAATCTGTACATAGAGCTCTGATGGGTTCGGTGCTCAGCCCTAAAACAATTGCAATTAAAAATAATTCCAGGAAAAGAGAAAAGCTCTAGTGCAATATCTGTTTGCTATAAATTATGAGTTTTTAAAAGTCACTTTGTATGTGTATTCCATCTGAGATTAGTGGTCTTTTAAAGCGTATATTAAGTGTACACAGAAAATTAATTTTATGTTAGCATGTTTAATGCTTACTCACTCAAACAGCATATTATCTTCCTGTATTTTAAGGACAAAAAATAGAAAGAGATTGTATCGGAAAATGTCTATACTTAGTTCCTTCTCCAGATGACCATTTTAGTTGCCACTATTACTGGCTCCAAAATGATTGGAGGAGTAATTCAAATTCAACCTATCACATTATCCAAGGGCATTCTATGAATAGCTGCAACCCAGAGCAAGTTCTGGCAAAGATGCAAAGGCAGCGTATGAAAGTCAGCAATAACATTCAGGAGTGTTTTCCAGAGTTGGCGAATGCAGATGAGAATATTTATATGTCATCTCTCAAACTATAGAAAGTATTTTGGGAAAGATATTTTTCACAAGCCTTAGATTAGCCATTATAACAATTTAAAGGAGGTTTTTTCTTTATTGGATGATGAAACAAACCTTTGGGTGATGCCAGTCACATTCACACATCATCCCATTTAATCCTTCCAGCAGCCCCATGAGGGAGATATTGGTGTCGTTAGCATCTGCATTTGTGATGAGAAACTGAGGCACAGGCATTAAGCAACTTGCTAATGACCTCAAAGTTAGAAGGTAGCAAAGACAGAATTTGAACTCAGGAATCTGAGTGAATTTCTAGAGGTTTTCCTCACTACTGGAAATAGTTTTAAAGTTTTAAGAAAGGGCCAGGAGCGGTGGCTCACGCCTGTAATCCCAGCACTTTGGGAGGCTGAGGTGGGCGGATCACAAGGTCAGGAGATCGAGACCACGGTGAAACCCCATCTCTACTAGAAATACAAACAATTAGCTGGGCACAGTGGCGGGCGCCTGTAGTCCCAGCTACTCGGGAAGCTGAGGCAGGAGAATGGCGTGAACCCGGGAGGAGGAGCTTGCAGTGAGCTGAGATCGCGCCACTGCACTCCAGCCTGGGCAACAAAGCGAGACTCCGTCTTAAAAAAAAAAAAAAAAAAGTTTTAAGAAAGGTGAATCCTCTTTGGTTTGGTTTCTGAATGTAGTAAGTCTCAGATTCTGATAGCTCTTAGACATCTCTTCAAAAAGGATCATCAGTAAGATCATTTTAACCAAGGGAAAAATACTATCCTACTTAATATGTATTGAGAAATTATTTCTACCAAATATACATAAGTTTTTCATGCATAAATTCACATAATACTCACTATAAGATATACAGTTACTATCCCCGGTTGAAGAAAGGGAAACTGATGCAGAGAAAAGTTGAGTAATTTCCCTTAGGTTAACAGGTAGACAGAATAAGAGCCAGGATTCAAGCCCAGGAAATCTGGTTCCAAAGGCAGTGCATGTAACCACCAAGCTTTATTGCCTCCACAAGTCATTATTAATTGAATCATTATATCATGTTATGTTTTAAGGAGTGGAGTTTTGTTAAATGATTTTGTGAATATAAATGAATACCAATAATTAAGGACACACTGCATATACCATGCTTTTTGTCTAGAATTATCTTTCCTCTTCACCATCTTCTCTTACAGTTCAACTTTAATGTTAGCTTCCCCAGATCCACCTCTCTAACTTAGAAGCCTTTCTATCTTCATAGTGTAGTGCTATCATGTCATGTATCACATAGTGTAGTAATGATATATTTAACTTTCTCTCCACTTGGACTCTAAGCTCGCTGGGGGAAGAGACTCCATCTTCTATGTCTTTCTATCACTAGTAATATTACTTGTTATGTAGCAGCCACCTAAAACACGTTGGATTTACAAGAGGATGAAAGAAGAAAATAATTGATAAATACTTGGTTGCAATAGATGGATAATTGGGTGAAGGATGTATAGATTTATTGATGGATGAATACATGGATGGATGGAAATATAAAAGAATAAGTGACATACACATAGGAAACATATGAGTCAGTCCAATGTGTGTGCCAGTTTTAAATAGACAGAGCTTCCTGGGTGTATTTCTAAAAAGAGGAACTTTGAAAAAAAATTCAGTCATTTTTCTACCTTATCTTTAATTACTATTCTTTTTTCTATTGTTTTATTTTAATGGCCATTAATGATGACTCAGTCAGCTGGTGATAAATTTGTTCTTGGATGTTTTCTCTACTTTTTTGTTATGCATATATCAAAGTTTTTGGCTTGATTTCACTCCTCTTAAGTAAAGGGGACTTTTATTCCTCTAATTACCTTCGAATTACCAGGAATGCACTGCATTCCTGACTCCCTGGATGTAGCCCTCCACCCACCTCAGCCGTTTGCCTATCAGGCGCTACTTGAAGGTTTGGCTTCTAGAACCCCTGCTAGATTTAGCAATGAAAGCAGCATAAATTCCTAAGCCTACCGTCAAGTGTGAATCCTCTACTTCAGAACAGATATATCATCCTGGCCCCAAAAAGAAACAGACCAAATAATATTTCCAATATTGTAATAAATTCATCCACTCCAAGTATTGTGTTGTATTTACTCACCAGGCAGAGCAGGAAAAAAAATGTTTTTGTCATTAATAACCAAAGTATCGTAAGAAAACATTAATTTCACTTAAAAAAAAAAGACATGGAAACTGTAGGCTACCATTACGGATGCCCTTATGATATAGCTTATAAATACAATATTCTATTAAGAATGTAATTGCTAGAGACATTGCTCCATGAAAGATGTGAGGTTGTTTACAAGAAAAAAATGTCATGTCCTCGTTCGAGAGTTGTTTTGGATGACTACTTATCAGGGTTTAAAAATATAAAGGCAAATAAAGATTGGTCTTTCTACTTGAGGTCAGTAGTTCACTGATTTTTGTCAAGAAAAAGAGTTTATTAGATTTCCTTTTACACTATCAGACAGCTTCTCATTTTTTATGTGATAGACTATGTAATTGTTTTTCACAGTGGTATGTTATCTATCTCTGTATATACACACATACACATACACATATATATTTACCCTCTGACACTGCATTTACTGTGGAAGTGTACCAAAAATCTATTTAAGATGCAAACATCAAAGAGGAAGGGGAAAAGGAGTCCTATTGCCACTCTGTGTAGATATCTGTGAAAGTCGCCTAAAGACCAATTGATCAAATACAAAAATCATCACAACTGCTAAAGGCTGCCAACATAATCATTTAAAGCAATGCAAAAGTAGATGCTGAAAAACGTGGGTTACCAAAGCATTCTTTACCTCTGGCTCCCCACTCTGTGCTGTATCATATTCTTGCAAGTCTCATTGGGATGCTTGGTAAACACACTTCACCTTTCTTTCTTCAGTTTCAGGGTAGAAAGGGTCCCTTTAACTCCTGAAGACAGTAAATCACAGTCTGTGTGGTGGTTCTCAGAAGACACTTAAAGGACTGAACTGGATGCTCTACATAGCACCCTTGCCAAAAGGGTTCGGAAATGACTTCCAGCTTCCCACAGTAATAAAATGGCACTGTTTGGCATCTTCGAGGTAATAAAAGTGAATTTTTTCCATTCTAGTAAATGAGAAGAGAGGCCTGGTTGTTTTAAAAACTGATTTAAATTCGTGTGTTTTCCTCACATTATAGAGCGTGATATGAGCACACTTAGGTGAACTTCAGACCATCTCAGAACATTACTATCAGCAGCTCTCTGGGGCAGAACAGGATGTGCTGGTGGGTGGTGCAAGGGAGGCTGGAAGGATGGCCAGGTGCCCTGGACACTGCCGCCGTGATACGATAGGTGGCGCTCTCCCCTCTGAGTCCATGTGAACGATCTCCGAACGTGCTCTTTGGAGGATATTACTTTGCTTGAAGGAAATGTCTTGGACGTTCATCAGTGTTTCTGGCACTGTTTAACAGCTGCTGAGTCTCATAGCAGACTCTGGCTGTATTTTGGTGATGGGAAAAGCTTTAGAAAACAGATTTCCTGTCTTTAAGGAGGAGGCTTATGTTAGGCATTATTGTCATTTGTATACAAGACTTTTTATAATTCGATTTCACTCTCCTCCCAGTTGCAAAGGAAAATCTTTTGTCATTCCTGTTTGACTCATAGGGTCTAGGAAGAAGTTTGATCATCTTCCGTTTCCCATCTGGTTATTCATAAGACACCTGCATCTCTGTGATTTCTCCTAGACTACACAATGCTACCAACTGACAACAGACGTTGTGTAAAGAAAGGCCACCTTTCAGAAAAGGAACCTGAACATTAAAAGCTTGTCAACCAAACACAAGGGATATAGCTTTTATTCCTTATTTCAACTGCACCAGAAGTGGAAATTATAACTCTTTTAAGCAGAAAAGACAAGATTGACACTTTTTACATAGAATCCAACCCACATTTGTCTTTGTTTATATGTTGCAATTAAAAGGCTATTATAAACAAATTAGTAGTATCACGGAAGAATTTTGAATGACTTGCTGATGTCAACTACTGCCAAATACCCTTATCTACTCACCACATTCTTAATTAAGAAACACCAGTGTGTGTGTGTCTTTGTTAAAATTACTCAATAGTGGCCTCAGTAGTTACAGACTAGTCCATTAATTTATTAAAGAAGTTCAAAAGATTATTACAAAAGAAGCAGGATGTAGACACACCCAGTTTAATAATAGTGGGGAAGAGAGGGGTCCCTAAAAAAAGATACGATAAGAGGAAAGGGAGATACCACTGCAGTTCATAATGATGGTTGGTAAAGAGTTGAGTACATGCTTTTAAGTTTGGACAGCTCGGTTCAACAAAGTAAGAATTAGCTGTAAATGCTAATGTCTTTGGCTTACAAATACTCCCTGCGAGTATGACCCAAATCAGAGCATCTGACTTCAGTGGGTGACCATCTGCGATAAAAAGGAGAATGTTTCCTTCTGGGCTAGTCCTGAAATACTAATAGAGGCAGCATTCCTGCACATACTAGGAAATCAATAAACACCTGCTGAATGGATGAATACATGAATAAACATTTGAAGAACAGTATCTCCTTTTCCTTTTTTTTTTTTTTTGAGACGGAGTCTTGCTCTGTCGCCCAGGCTGGAGTACAGTGGTGCGATCTCAGCTCACTGCAAGCTCGGCCTCCCGGGTTCATGCCATTCTCCTGCCTCAGCCTCCCGAGTAGCTGGGACTACAGGCGCCCGCCACCATGCCAGGCTAATTTTTTGTATTTTTAGTAGAGACCTTTAGTAACAGGGTTTCACCATGTTAGCCAGGATGGTCTCGATCTTGTGACCTCACGATCCGCCCACCTCGGCCTCCCAAAGTGCTGGGATTACAGGCGTGAGCCACTGTGCCTGGCCGGTCTCCTTTTCCTTATTGCTAAAACAGAAGTAATGTTACTTTCAGCAAATTTGTAAGGGTGAAAACAGTTACATTCTTGATCTTTAAAGTGCAATATATTTATCCCCCATATTTCTTTTTTTAAATATAGAAACTGTACTGTATATACCCTGAACAACCTTCTTGCAAAAAAAAAAAGAAAAGAAAAGAAAAGAAAAAACACAAAATTTAATGGCCAGCACATTCATCTCTACCTCTTACATTAACAGAGACTTGCTAAAGAGTTTTTATGGTTATACTTCAGCTTGTTCCCTGCGTGCTACCTCCTCTGTAACTTGACTTTAAATTATCTGTTTATCTTCTCATATTCCAAATATTATTGAATACATGTAGTAGATTAAATAATCAGTTTCCTTTGAATATCTTTAGCTGTGATTTCCTATTTTAACGTTCACATTTTGCATCCAAATGGTATTTGTCTTCATATAATTGATAAAATTCCATTTATTCATTCATCTAACATATATATTGGTTGAATGTCTATCATGTATAAGATAACCTACTAAATGTAGAAATTCACCAGAAAATACTCAACTTCTCTTCATTCCACAAATTCAGAGTTCCCTAATACTACGGGTTTACTTTAATTTGGTCAGTGGTGCCAAGTAGTCATATAGGTGAAATAGTTCCTTTAGAAGAGTGGTACTGAAAGTTGTCCATTCTTAAGAAGCATCTTTGATTATGTATGTAGTAAAACAGGTTCTGAAATTAATTATCTTAGAATTGGGCTCAGTAGACCTGGCATAGATCCCAAGAATTTACAGCATTTCTAACAAGTTTCCCAGGTAATTCTCAGGCACGTAGTTCTCAGAACGTGCTTAAGAATTACTGCCTTAAAATTTAAAGAAAATTTTATTTTCATGCCATGCTATATTCTATGTACAAAAAGCATCTTCCTTTACTTTATTATTTTTCTATAAAATACAATTTAAATTTTCCCGAATTACATTTTATAATTACAACAAAATCTGTTGCGACCCATGCAGACTACTATACAATTCTTTATCCCTTTAAATGGAGTAGAAATAAATGAAGAATGCTAAACATGATTTCTTTAAAAACTCACATTTTAATCATAAGAAAAATACTTTAATTGCTATTATGTGACTCCTAATTGGTAAATCATTATAATGATAATTTATAATTTTGGTTCATTAACTTTACAAAATATTATTCAAAAGTTCCTGCAAGGTGCTTTTTCTTTAATACTTTATTTTATAATTTTTCCTTCAAAATATTTTATTAGATCACAATGAGTTTTTCATGATTTTAGAGAATAGTAAGATAAGTGATGTTTTCCTTCTTATATTAGTAATACTTTACTTCTACCTTTTTGGAATGGATTATTTCTCTGTACAAGTCCTTTCAGCAATATGGCACCATGTCATAGGTGGTGAACACAGTGACATTATTTAAGGTCAGGGTACAGAGAAAATATATTACTAGGCTCTACTTGTTGTATTAGGGTCCACCTTTCTTTCACAGAAACATTGGCTTGTTATTTCATAATTTCAGTTCGAAACTTGGTTTTCTTGCTTCTAAGGTTGGTAGGTCATTTCTTTAACAAGATTTGATATATTTCTAATCTTTTCTAATTTGAATATTATCATAGTGTGATCTGGTGATTTTTAAAAAATATGTCAGTAGTGCCCAAGCTGCATTAGGAGATTTCAGCTGATATTAAATTAACCCCAACCACCACCTCCAGTCAAATGTGGCACCCATGCATGACAATATCACACCCACTTTTACTATATTTCTTCTTTTTTTAAAAAAATGTATTTTAAGGGGCTCACTTGAAAATAACTCATAATGACAGGCAATTGTGAAATGTTCAGTTTCATTGAGTGCTCTAACCACATTCACCTGAATAACCCAGCTCTCTAAAGGCTGAAATCTATTCTAGCTAATTTGAATACATAGTGTCCAATGGTAACTACCAATGTATGCTAGGTCTCATCAAAATGGAATGAACCAGAATATCTGCACACTCAAAACAAACAAACAAAAAGGAATAGATGTTTATTTTTAAAGTTTTAAAAGGCTAAAAAAATCGCAACACTATTTTAAAATATACACACTTCCACATGATAATATGCCCTTGAGCCTGGAAATCATTATAATAAAATTTTGTGGCAAAAACCCTCCACTTTTCTGTGGTGGCATTTCTGCCATGTTTCCAATTAGAACTCCTATAAATTTTGAAATTGAACAAACAGGAAAATAGAAATCTCACCTATCTGTATTCAGACCTAAAAAATGAATTTAAATAAGATTCCAGGCCGAGTGTGGTGGCTCACGCCTGTAATCCCAGCACTTTGGGAGGCCGAGGCAGGCAGATCACGAGGTCAGGAAATCAAAACCATCCTGGCTAACACGGTGAAACCCCGTCTCTACTAAAAATACAAAAAAAAAATACCCAGGCGTGGTGGCAGGCGCCTGCAGTCCCAGCTACTCGGGAGGCTGAGGCAGGAGAATGGCATGAACCCAGGAGGCAGTACTTGCAGTGAGCTGAAATCGGGCCTCTGCACTCCAGCCTGGACGACAGAGTGAGACTCCATCTCAAAAACAAAAACAAACAAATAAGATTCCAAATCAAACTTTCTAACTTGCTGAGGTTGATACATTAATATCTGATTTCCAATATGTAGCGATTTAACTAACCAAATCCATGTTAAAATAGAATCTATACTTTGATCATTCCTTTTAAAATGAAATCATGATTATTTTGACACAATTCTCTATACTGAGGTATCCATTTCCTCACTGGAGTTCAGAGAGATGCTACAAAGTTGAAAGGGTTTTTCCACAAATGATGAGGAGGCTAAGAATCCAGGAATGCAATGCACTAGACTGGTTGCAGACCAAGCAGCAGAACTAAAGCTCAAAAGTAGGTGAAGGAACTTTCTATCAATAACTGGCAAAAATAAAGTGTAAAGTGGAGCATATTTGTACTTCTGGACTGTTTCTTTATTCAGCAACCTTATACAGAAAGTCTTCTTTATCTTTTTTTATTATTATTTATTTATTTAGAGACGGAGTCTTGCTCTGTCACCCAGTCTGGAGTGCAGTGGCCTGATTTCAGCTCACTACCACCACCGCCTTCTGGGTTCAAGCAATTCTCCTGCCTCAGCCTCCCTAGTAGCTGGGATTACAGGTGTCCACCACCACACCTGGCTATTTTTTGTGTTTTCTTTTAGTGGAAACAGGGTTTCACCATGTTGCCCAGGCTGGTCTCGAACTCCTGACCTCAAGTAATCTGCCTGCCTTGGCTTCCCAAAGTACTGGCATTACAGGCATGAGCCATTGCACCTGGCCATTCTTTATCTTTTTAAATGTCATAGTTGCCTAATTATAAATATTATGCAAATAACTACTTATTTGCCAAATGACAAATCCAAAATACCAAGCATCATCAAACTTTGGAAAATGCATAAATATCTCTAGGACAGTATTTTCAAATGATGCATAGAGGTAAATACGCATGCTTTTGTACTATGGACAATGCTTCAGAAAATGGATCTTTAAATCAGAAAATTCCTTGAGGAGAAGTCTGACCCTGGCTTTGAGAATCACAAATGCTGTAGTGCAGGATAGGAGACCCACATAGTGGTTTTAGTCCATCTAATCCCATCAGACTGAACACCTCTAAGTATGTTTCTCCCAGTGAAAACGTCTGGTCTAACTGCCTTCTCTGTCTTTTAGGAATATATTATTAGAAAAGAAAAACATTTTTGGCCTACTGTAATTAGTCAAAGGATTAGATATAATTATAACTAGGCAACAGTTGTTGTCCAGCAAGCTTGTAATTGTAATGAAAGTTGATAATCTTTCTTTTCCTTGCAAATCCTAATTTACAGATGTTAGAAATTTAATCAAAAAAAGGAAAATCAGAAAAAAATAGAGGCAACCTAACCTGTAATCTACTTTTCAATCCCTCATCAGTAATGCCAAAGTGAAAATAGATTATTGAACTAGGAAAGGATTTTGATAAGCAAAATTGCCTTTAAAGCATTCTATTTGATAACATTAATATCACAATTCTCATCAGCATATTGGATACTATCCTCCCTCCAAAGGACTTCAATCTCATTTGATGTCTGTCTTTTACACTTTAGTTTTCTGAAAGGCTTGTTTTTGTTTTAAGTAGTTCATCTATTCATCCATCTATCTAAATATCTTCTAAAACTAGAGCAAAAAAGCCTTTACAAATACCTTACCAGAAAGCTCCCACAATAATGAAAGCAAATAGAAATTATAAGAAAATAAGTTTATCTTTCATGTTTGAAACCAGGAACACTTCTTCCCTTTGAATTGATTTCAGCTCAGCATGATTTTTCATACGTTTTCTGAGTTTTCTCAGGATTCTTTTGATAATGAGTAAAGAGCATTGTTTTGTCCTTCAAAGTTGCAGAGTGATGTTAACACAAGGAGTTTTGTTTTGAAAATCTTTATCTGGCATAATTATACATTCTGCCCAGTACTCTATTGATGGGAAGTAAACTGTTTCTCTCCTTCAGTTGTCGTGCTTAGGGTCTAAAGGCCAGATGGGTCCAGTAGCTGAAGCTACAAAAGAAGCTCTCCTAGGTCGTCGGTGGGAAGTTCAATATTATTCCCTCCCTAATAGCAGCTGCTTCTGTTTGAACTCAGGGTTATGAAAGATGAACTACATTAAATGGTAAATCATTAAATATCAGCTGAGTAAAAGCACTGTGGTGTATTTCCCTGCTTAAATCACCAGCATCTGTCTTCTCACATGCAAAGAGTTGCTCTTAACCATCATGCAGTGAAACCCTGACAGAAGGGCCAAGACTGAAACCACACAAAAAACCTCAAATAGCATCTTTTGGGTTTTCAGTTGGCAAGTAAATGATCATCAGCAAATATTCCACAGTGGAACTAAAGCTCAACATTGCATTTAACAGAGCCATAAAATATTTAGGAATGCACAATCCCTTTAGAGCCTCATTTTTTTCTCCTATTACGTGTTTATTTAGAAGAAGAAGAAAAACAACTGTTTAAATTATGTCCACCTAATACCTTAGGTTTATTGCAAAGCCTACAATTTGCTGGGTTTGTTTTACTATTGATCCTCATCTTACTTATGGAGGATGTGAACATCATAACTAGAGATAAAGCTCATACTGATTCAAAACTAAAATTGTACAATAATGGATGCCTAAGGTAGTGTTTCAAGACTGCTACAAAAATTAGACCCTTTCATCGACTTGCATTAGGCAGCAGAATAATCTCAAGTGGCAATGATAGCTATAAAATCCCTCTCCCTACATGGCTTAGATTTATAGTAGAATACTCATAACTGCAAGCAGTTACCATGAGACAATGGTCTTTCTTTACCTTTATACTGCATGTGCTTTCAAGGTGCTTTGCTCCTCTGTGGATCTGTCTTGCCCACGTGAGTATTTGAGCTATCATGACAGTGTCATATTAGATGCCACTATCATGGCAAGATACTGAAGGTAACCACACAACATCTCAACTAAATATTCTTTTTTTTTTTGCCTCCCCAGAATATATAGCCTTGTGATAAAAAAGCAAATGGAAATCTAGAATTCACTTTTAGGTTTCCAATTAGTTGCCTCTTTTTGGCATACAACAGACTGCATTCAAAATTTGGGAAGAAAACAGGGTTTAATTGCATAGATTATGTTCTACCAATCATTTTTATGGCATGCTTATTTTGAAAATGTATCCTGTCATGTCATTCCCACACTCATCTCAGCTGGGAACATACTACCTCTATATACCATTGAAAGAGGATATATAAAATTTTCTTAATAGTATTACTTACAGACTTATTTTATTCAACACTTGAATTTTCTTTTAATTTATATTAAATGAAATCATAAAATTGTTTTACATTAATCATCAAACAAATGAAAATTTCAGGAAAAACTGGTTTACTAACATCCTACTTATTAGAAACATACCTGAATCCTTCCAAAAAATATCCACATATTTACATCTCTCAAACTTCTTTTTTTTTTAACATAAATTATATTATTTTAAGAGGTATAAAGATGCATTTTATCATACAAACAATTTTTTTTTTGAGACGGAGTCTCGTTCTGTTGCCTAGGCTGGAGTGCAATGGTACGATCTCAGCTCACTGCAATCTCCACCTCCTGAATTCAAGCGATTCTCCTGCCTTAGCCTCCCAAGGAGCTGGGATTACAGGCACATGCCACCATGCCTGGCCAATTTTTGTATTTTCAGTGGAGACGGGGTTTCACCATGTTGGGCAGGCTGGTCTCGAACTCCTGACCTCAAGTGATCCACCCGCCTCGGCCTCCCAAAGTGCTGGGATCACAGGCGTGGGCCACCACGCCCAGCCAAATGTATTTTTTCATTGCTTTATTAATTAGTGCCTATATACAGTATAACATTACAGAAAACTATATGCACAAAGTCATACTATTGTTTAGGGAAGAAATAATTATACTCTTTTAAGAAATTATAAGAGTCTGGAAGACCATCTTATTGTTTGACTTTGGGCAAATTATCAGCTGTACCACCATTTTCTCATCAATATACTGAAAATAATAATACCTGTCTTACATATGTGTGAGAATCAAATCAAATCAAATAATACATACAAAGTACTTATCATAATGCCTGGAATATATTAAAGCTTTTAGAATAAGCAAAATGTTTGCTTTTGTCCCAAAACATACACAATGTATTTCAAATCTATGCTGTGTTGTGTTTCGTGTTTCCTACAGCCTCCACACTGTTCCCTGCCCCTTTATGCATTTACTAAAAAGGCTCCTTTTGCAGCTACTCATTCCATGTGTTTTATCCACTGGAAATCTTTCAGAGACCAACCATTGAGACCAACTTGCAAATATATTAACAGAAAACATATATAGCATGTGGTTACCTCTTTGGGGACATGACAAACAGAAAATGTCAGTGTGTCATGTTTTAGAAGAAATATAAATCTTCATGAACTGCAGGACGCAGTTTTGCTAACACGAGAAAGGAAAGATAACAATTTTGACAAAATTAAACTTAACCCTATGGGATATGGTTATCCCCATGTTACCTGCTTTTAGGATTATATAGGACTGTACTCATATTCAGGTCAAACTAAAGATAGCCAAATATCATTTAGGGGCATTAGAGGGTGAATGGAGCTGGCAGGCAGGCATGCCCAGGACACTTTCTAGAACACAGATGCAGGACCTATACCTACTATTCAATGCTGTCTTGTCATTGTATTAAAATACACACATCGCGACGGCCCAGAATGTTCACTGGTTAAGTGAGGCCCTAAAACTTGAAAGGATCTGTGTAACTGAGAGGAAGAAAAACAAGTCAGTCATGGGGACTCTATAACTCAGATTCTGAATACTGAATAATAATCTAGCATAATTATTTTACAATATTGTTCAGCCCATTTTTCGACATCGTTGTCAATCTGTTTACTCTTATTTTCTTATTTCCCTAATAATGTTATACACATATATGTACTGTATAAATAATGAAGATAGAAGCTTCAGTGTTTCATGTTAAAATGTTAACTGAGATGTAAAAAGGAACCACGTAATTAATCCTTGCACCACTAAGATGAATTTCATCACAGACAACATCATTCAACAACCCATGTCATTACTGAAGCAAAGGTTAAATTGCTCTTTTTAAAAAATATAAAGCCAAGCTTTAAAGAGATTTACAAAAAAATGAAAGAACTGACCAATCTTGCTCACTCTCATCCTGAAGAAAAAGTGTTCAATCTACCAATGTATCAGGCTTTCTATATAGTTGGTTGTTCTTATCTATAATAGTTAAGAAGCTACAAATGACAATATATTTTAGCATTATATCGCACACTTCATTTCATAAGGACACTTCAATTTCTCTTCATTTCTGGAGTAAGATTAATTTTGTCACTGAACATTCCAGGCCCAAGTTGCTTGAAAGGAGTCAGTGACACACCAACGTTTATGGAAATCCTGAGCTCCAATGTCAGAGAGCATCCCAGAAAGGATGATGCATCACTCTGCAACTGCCATCTGTTGAGTGTTTTCCCGACAGCTGTATCTGTTGACCATCACCAGTGCAGATAATCACAGGAGGCACGAAGGAAGTGCACAGCCGTCAGACACAGAGGAAAATTCCATGTTCGTCTGTAAAACAACATTGCTTTTAATTGCACCATAATGATTTTCTAACAGACACAATGGTATGTGGTGTAGTCTTAGAGCTGATTTAAAGCACACACTAAACCACAGTGCAGCTGAAAAGCCAATTGAGACTTCTTAGTGCCAGGAAGGTTTTTGTCTTGCGTGAATACTTAAGAGCATTTTGCCAGCTACTCTGTCCACAATCCACTTTTACCAAAAATAACTGCCTCTATCATTGTGGGCAGTTTTTAAAAGAAAATGAACATTTTTATTTCAAATATCAATGAGGTTAAGCCTTGGCTTTATTTTTAATCTTCATGATAGACAATCCTAAGATAAGACCACTTCATCAGGTGGGTGATGGTCCAAAGTCACACTCTCCTGACTTTTTTTAAACCACTTAATGTTTTTATTCTTACCCTCCAGTGTAAAAGTCTGCCCAGTTACCTTCCAACTTTACCTCTTTCAAAACATTTTCTGACATAGCAGTTGCAAGGGTATTGAGATGGTGGAATTGGCTTGTCAGACATTGAAAGCCTTGGTTTCTTCGTGGGAGCAATTAATAACACTAGTAGCTACTATTATTTGAAGACCCGCTATGGAGCAGTCCTCTTCTCAGTACTTTATAAGCTTCACCTTAAAAGATTCCAGTCAAAATGTCACCTTGTGTGAAAGTCTAATACTCTGTTTCTGGGAATTCAGCTGTCAGAATATGATGGATTCATCAGCAGAGGCTTTCTAAATCCCCTAGCTCCATTCCATTCTGGAGCATAAAAGAATGAGAGAGAGACATAGAGAGAATAAAAGAAAGAAATTTCAAAAGATCTATACTTTCATCCTTTTCATTTATTTTAATCATTATTATTATTATAGTCAGTATATGTTGACCCTATCACATATATACACACAACACAATCACGTACCCATGCATGTGTACACACACAGGCACTTATATACTCTAAACTCTCATTTTCTTCATTTACTACCAGTTCTCACTTATTTGTGTACCGTCTTGTAGCTAACTGTTACTACTACTCTGAAGTGTGGCAGCAAGAGCAGATATTAGAACCAATTAAAAAAAAAATCTGTGTTAAACGTGCATTAGGTACACTTGGGCTTATACTCTACTTTTCAGGGGAAAAAATATGTACCAAAATGAACCCCACATGCCTATGCCTGGCTCATGGCAAGTTTCATGGCTGACACTCCTATAACAAAAGACACAAATGTTTTTCTCCTACTAGTCTGAATTCAGAAAGCAAGGGACAAGGAAAAAAATTTACCATCCATTCTCCACCAGGCACTACAGGCAGAGATCTGGGAGAACTGACCTTGGTTAAAAAATATAAATCCTTACTTTTTTGCCGGCTTTTGTCAATTGCTTCAAGATCTCACCTGTGGGCTCTAGAGCAGGTAGGGGGGTCTGAGTCACCCCATGGTGAGTACCAGAAACTATAGGGGAGAAAAAGTAATACATGGCTGACAACCATATAACAAAAGACAGCTTAACAAAAGAAAATACAAATTTATTTATTTATTTATTTATTTAAGGCAGAAACTTGCCCTGTTGCCCAGGCTGGACTGCACAGATGCAATCATAGCTCACTACAGCCTTGAACTCCTGGGCTCAGGTTGTTCTCCCACCTCAGCCTCCCAAGTAGCTGGGACTACAGGCATGCACCACCACACCCAGCCAACAAATTTATTTGACCAAAGTTTCATGTGGTAGAAAGCCTTCAGAAATGAAGACTCAAAGACCCAAGGAAAACAGCGTATTTTTATGGACAAGTTTGATGAAGAATAGGCAGTCATGTAGAATTATGGTTGGACAATAGGGTGGTTTGACCTAATGATAAACTGGGCAGAACTTAGCAAAGGGGGTTTGCTTAGATTCTTCTTGGCCTCCAGGTATAGGGCAAGACACCTGTCATATGAGGGTCTTGTGGCCTATTTACAGGGGAGGTGGGTCAGACAACTTCCCTATAACCATGTTTCAGGGGAGAAAGGGCAGAGAAAGTTAGAGAGGTCCTTCTTGCTTCTATGGTTTTCTCAATTTCCTTCAGGTTAAAATACTCAGTAGATAGTGAACTCGAGTCGGAAGAGGTGAGTCCGGTCTCAAAATGGAGGTAAAACTGATGCCCAGTGGCCCCAAGCCCAATTCCAGCTGTGACCGTCACCGCCGGGAGCAGAGGATCATGATCCAAAGGAACCAGAGTAGTTGGGAAAACTGTTTATTGGTGTTCTGAGCTTTGAAACGACAGATGATAGTTTAAGAGAACATTTGGAAAAATGGGCACACTCACAGATTGTATGGTAATGAGACACCCCCAAAGAAAACGTTCCAGGGGGTTTGGTTTTGTGACTTACTCTTGTGTTGAAGAGGTGGATGCAACAACATGTGCTCAACCACACAGGTTGGTGGGTGTCTATTGGAACCAAAGATAACTCTTTCTAGAGAGGAGTCGATAAAGCCTGATGCCCATCTACCAGTGAAGAAAAATTTCCTTGGTGGTATTAAAGAAGATACAGAAGAATATAATTTGAGACTACTTTGAAAAGTATGGCAAGACTGAAACCATGGAAGTTATGGAAGACAGACAGAGTGAAAAAAAGGAAGGATTTGCTTTTGCAACTTTTGATGATCACGATACAGTTGATAACATTGTTATTCAGAAATACCACAGTTGATAACATTGTTATTCAGAAATACCACACTATTAATGGGCATAATTGTGAAGTGAAAAGGCCCTTTCTAAACAAGAGATGCAGTCTGCTGGATCACAGAGAGATTGTGGAGGTGGATCCGGCAATTTTATGGGTTGCGGAGGAAACTTTCGAGGTGGTGGAGGTAATTTTGGCCATGGTGGCAACTTTGGTGGAAGAGGAGGCTATGCTGGTGGAGGTGGTGGCAGCGGAAATAGTTATGAAGGAGGTGATGGTGGATATAATGGACTTAGAGGCGATGGTGGCAACTATGACAGTCGTCCTGGTTATAGTAGTAGAGGGGGCTATGGTGGTGGCGGACCAGGATATGGAAACCAAGGTGGTAGATATGGTGGTGGTGGTGGAGGATATGATGGTTGCAATGGAGGAAATTTGGTGGTGGTAACTGTGGTGGTGGTGGGAACTATAATGATTTTGGAAATTATAGTGGACAACAGCAATCAAATTACGAACCCATGTAAGGGGGCAGTTTTGGTGGAAGAAGCTCATCCCTATGATGGTGGTTATGGATCTGGTGATGGACATGGTGGATATAGGAGCAGAAGGTTTTGAAAACAGCAGAAAAGGGCTGCAGCTCTTAGCAGGAGAGAGAGAGAAATTGTTAGGAAAGCTGGAGGTTACTTTGAGACAGTCATCCCAAATGCATTAAAGGAACTTTAAAAATCTGCCAGAGGGAACAATGATCCATAGTCAGAAAAGTTACTGCAGCTTAAACAGGAAACCTTCTTGTTCAGGACTGCCATAGCCATAGTTTGCAAAAAGTTCAGCTATTGATTAATGCGATGTAGTGTCAATTACATGTATACTCCTGAGGTCTTTTATCTGTGGTAGCTTTTTCTTCTTCTTTTTCTTTTCATTTCATCAGGTATATTGCCCTGTAAATTGCGGTGGTGGTAACAGGAATAAAAAATTAAGGAATTTTTAACTTTTCAATATTTGTGTAGTTCAGTTTTTCTACATTTTAGTACAGAAACTAACAAAATGCAGTTTTGAAGGTGTTTCCTTGTGAGTTAACAAGATCATTGTTAATTACTATTTTGTATGAATTTTGCTAAAGTTAACTGTAAAGAAACATTTGCTGACTTGCAATGTAAGGGGAATCTATTCTCCCCATTTCCAAACCATGACATGAATGGGTGCTGACGTGTGGACAGAATAGATATTTGTGTGTTTGCAATGTGTGTTTTAGATAAATAGGATTGGGTATTTAAATTAGCATTTGTGAATTTAATAGCATTAAGATTACCTTCAAATTAAAAAAAATATCTCAAAATTAAAAAAAAAAAGAAAACCTCAGTATGCCAAGAGGCTATATTTTAGGATATCATGTTGCAGGTGCAAAAGGAACTTTCCTTCCACTCCCTGAAGGTTCAAGAATTTGAGCCTATAAGACAAACTGACAGATTAACAGGAGAAGAGGTGTACACATTTATTAACATGCAAACGCATGGGAGTCATAGCAAGTATGAAACTCAAACAAGGGTCAGATGGTTGAAGCTTAAAGGCCCCCATTCATAAGAGAGAGGGAAGTGGGGGATGCAGGCAATTTTAGAGGAAGAGTAAAGGATTTTTAGGGGAGGTGAATGGACCTGAGGAACAGATGATGGCCTGAGGCAAAGTTTGTCTGGACTCTGGGAGAGTGGTGTCAACTCTAGTCTTTTCTGCAAGTTTTTCTGCTCTGTTTGATGAGATTATAAGGAGGTGGCCCGAGACAACTACATTTCTTCTGGAGAAACTTCGCTTGGTCAAATGAGAGAACTTCACATAAAGCACCTCTCTGTGCTTCAGGATAGGGAAAGGGGAGAGAGAGGGACAGTGGGAGAAGGTCAGAGAGACCTTGTTTCTGAGGCTGCTTCTTTATTTCAAGGTACTCAGCATATCAAAATACCATATTTTAAGGTGTTGTTTTCTGAGCCACCACGATGTTCTGAGCCCCGATGCCTAGAAGTAGTGCTTTTTCAGGAAGAAGTCTGAACCACCTATTCACATTCCCATATAGCATAAGAAATTTGAAATTCTCACTTTTGAAACCTACTATCTATATTTGTGAACTACCCATGAGGCATTTCAAAAGCAGCTTTTTTTTTTTTTACAATGACCCACTCTTGTTAGTAGTAAGATTTGTTTGTGAACTTGACTTCCTAGTTTTCCCACTTCCTGGTTAATAATTATGAGAGGTAACAGTTCATTGTGCAGTTACCTAGAGGCTACTGTTACCTTTTTTTTTAACTTAAATATCCAAGATACTTGTACTCTAAGAGCAGGTGAACATTCTCATACACGATTCATGCAGTGTAAAAGAGCCACAGGCTAAAAAGCAATGCCTAATCTCTAATTAGCTAATTTGAGCGAGGGAGGAGGAGGGTCTATATTCCTGAACAGCCTGCCTATGTTTTAAGAATATTTCGTATTCCTAAATCAAGCAGGCACGATTCAGCCCACTAGCCATTGGTTGCCTGTCCTAAGAAACATGAGTCTCCTGATATTTCAAATTGGTTGCAGTAAAGAATGCTCAAACCAAATGCCTGCTTCCTTCGGTTCTGCCCTGAAGGAATGCTGCTAGCAGCTCTTCAATCTCTTTCTTAAAACAATGGTTTCCATATACCAAACAGTGCAGGCTCTGTGGACATTTTCTCTTGTCCACAATAAAAGAAGAAAAATAAGCAGTCTGAAATGATACACATATATAAATGGAACAAATCTGTAGTGAGAGCCTTCCATATGCCAGGCAACGTTTCGGGTAATGGAGGAAAGGAGGTGAAGAAAAGATGGGAAGCCCATGACCTCATGAGCTTTATATTGTTGTTTTTTGTTTTTGTTTTTTGTTTTGTTGTTGTTGTTGTTGTTTTTGAGATGGTGTTTTGCTCTAGTTGCCCAGGCTGGAGGGCAATGGCGCGATCTTGGCTCACCGCAACCTCCGCCTCCTGGGTTCAAGCGATTCTCCTGTCTCAGCCTCCCGAGTAGCTGGGATTACAGGCATGCACCGCCACGCCTGGCTTATTTTGTATTTTCAGTAGAGACGGGGTTTTTCCATGTTGGTCAGGCTGGTTTCGAACTCCCGACCTCAGGTGATCCGCCAGCCTGGGCCTCCCAAAGTGCTGGGATTACAGGCGTGAGCCACTGCACCCAGCCATGAGCTTTATATTGTAATGGGGGAAATAGGCAAAAGCAAAGAAATGATAGATGGCAATGTAGTAGCAAGTGCTTGATGAAAAATAAAGCAAGGTTAAAGAATGGAGAGAAATGGAGGTGCAGAAGGGGAAGGTTTGTCCACATGGGGTCTGTAAAGAGGGGATTTCAACAGGGCTAGAGAAGCCCTGCCTCTTCTGGTTAGATTTGAGTGGAGAGCTCTGTCAATGCCCCAGGGGATCTGTTTCCAGTTAGAGGATGGGATTGACCTGGTGCTAAGGCAATAAGGTGAAAAGGGGCTTGGTGTGTTTCAGGAACCTGCTATTTCTGAAGGCCTTTGTGGCATGCTGGTGTAAAAGTTGCCAGGTCTTCATTTTTGAAAAGGCTGTCTTGTATTCTGAGATGATGTCTTTCCCCTCTCCCCCAGCCCCCCACTGATGTTAACATGTCCTTTCTTTTAAGAAATGATGTAAGATTTCAAGTTAGTTGTTGTTGTTGTTGTTTTTAATAGCCTAACTTGGCAATATAAAATGTTGGCAGCAGTATGCTGTTCTCTCCTTTTTTTCCCAAACTGATTCATGAAATACAAACTCTGTTAAGCTCTGGCTTAAGACGTGCAGAAAGTGCCAATCCTCCCTCTGTGTCCATGGAAAACTCCATCTTAATGCACTCCCAAGTATTTATTTGATTTGTTTACTAATTTTGGTACTTACTTATTTTCCAAGTTTGTCTTGAAAGAAAAAGAAGCACTGTGCTCCCCAAATTCACATTCTATATGTTTGGCTTATTTTATTTTACTTTAACATAAAAAAGGAGTAGTAAAATTTATCCCTGATTCTTTAATAAAACAGCATGTCAGCAGAACAGGTACAGGAAATGGGGCCCTCCAAAGTTCTTTTATAGTCTGACATCAGAATTAAACTGGGATGTTGAGAACATCTGGGGCTCTCTCTGTTCTCTGTCTCCTCCTAAGATTTCCAAGGGATATCCGTGTTTGCTTTGTGTTTGTGTTTTGGAGGTAGGGTGGGGAGTTGGGAGCTGCTTTTTATTTTTTTCTTTAAGAGAAAAGGAGAAAACCAGATATTTTCAAGGGAATTGACTACTAGTGGCCAGTATAACAAAGAAACCCCACTAAGCCTAACCACAACCTGACAGAATGAAAAGTGATTCCGGAGCTGCCACTCACCACAAATCCCCATGAACCATGCCAGGAAACAAGCTGAAAGAAGTAGAGAGGCTGCCGCTGAAGGGCCACAAACGTGGCCCCTAGAGAATCTTCTGGTCCCATTCAAATTCAAAGTGGTAGCGTGGAGGAGGGGTGGAAACTGAAGACAGAGAATTAGCAGCCCTGTGATCACTTTCAGGGTTATGATGGAACTGATTTAAAATGCAAAACCACATTCCGCTGTAAACACAGAGACAAACTGGAAGCAGAGGAAATAGAATTTTATTTGGTGATTTTCAATTTTAGGATTGAAATGGGGATGGGAAGAACTATGCTATTTATTTTTCCAGCACTCAAATTGCCTGTTCTTTTTTGTAGGATAAGTGAATGTGGACTGATAGATTACTTCTTTGGGCTTCAATGCTAATAAGGCATACTTCCCACAGAATCTGACAGAAAGGATGAATACCTTGCCCTGCTAATGGTTAATTTGTAGTGGCATGTGTATTTCTTGAATGTTCATGAAGTTTTCTAATTCATCACCACACAATTGGGCTTTTTACCTCTCTTTAAACAGAATGAAATGCCGGGAGGGAGAGAGGTTCGGGGGTGTTGTATTATCCCTCAGCCCCTGTATTTACCACCCAAAAGTTATTGCTAATTTTTGTCTACCTCAGAAACAAAATTGTTCTTCAACAAATAATTTAGTACTGACCACACTTTAAAATGTTTATTGCTGTTGAATCTGTCACAGATTGCATCAAGCCACAGAGATGCTAATCTATCTCATGTATTTGAAATTCCTCTGGGAAACATATATTTGGGCTTACTGCTGAGTGAACATGACTGTTAGGATTATGGAGACCATACGCAGTGAAGAAAGGCAGCATCGCTTTTCTGACTGGAAAGTAAACAATAGGGCGATTGTCAGCTTACACATAGGGCCAACAGCCCTACTGCTGAAGAGTTGGATGTAAAATCCTTGATCAGCAAGCTGTCTTGATGTTTTCTTCTTGGAGTTGGATGTTGTCAAGGATTCAGATGAGCCACCCCAGTGCGTATGCAGGAAACAAAACAGGATATTCTTGTTTAAGGACTGTTTTCTGTAATTATGTTGATTTTTTTATGCAACACTTGAACTTTTAAAAACTCAAGGATGCATAAGAAGTACTCCAGAGGAGAATAAATGATTGGGATTTTGTCATAAGTGAAATGTTATTATGAGTTCTTAACAAAATTAACTTGTTTTTGTTTGTGATTGGGTCTATGAATTAAGTATACTGAGACCATGCCTGTTTCATCTTCCTGCCCCCCTCCTCGGCGCCGCTCCCCTCCCCAGCCCATTTTCAGACAGGAGGTCAAGCTGTCGTTGGAACATCATATTTCCTGCTTGGAAAAGGCACTGGATTGTATAATCATCTGACAGGAAAGTTTCAAGAGTACCAGGAGCTTCCCTTGGAAGGCTTGGGGCGGCATGGGGAATGTGCAGCATCTATAAACGTCTTTCCTTTGTACAATCATGGGCCGTTCTATGGTTGTGTATACAGAGTTTCAATGTGGAAAGAGCTAAACTGAACTGTAAATACCCTGAGGAAAAAGTGTCTGTGGAAATATGTACCTTGGGCTTGCCTGGTACCCTGTAGTTATGTGTCCTTCCTTGCTAAGGAAGGAACATCTGGCTGAACAACTTACTGTTTAATGCTATCAGGCTACAGACATCCGGTCACTCCTTTCCCATCCCAATATAAATTATCTGCCTTAGACAAGGGATGTAACATATTTGTATGCCAAGAAATTTGATTTTGTTACAATTATTTGCTCTTAATTTAAGAGAATTACTTTGTACTCTTTTTCTTTTATTTAATCAAAATGTCATGTGATTTCCTATTTTACTTGAATAATTCTCATAATTTTACAACACAATGAAAGGATTATAGATTAGTGCAGGTCAATCTCCTCCATGTCCTCCTTATTTTTCTTAAGATTCCAATCCACAAAAGGTCATAGACAACATAATACTTCAGGTCCAAGGACACCTCAAGGTCCCTTTGAGAAAGCGATTATATTCCAAGAGAAGTGTGCCCTGAGTTTTAACCACTGTGATTCAATGAAGAACATAAAATGTGAACTAGTCAGCAACTGCCAAGTTTAGTCAGGAGCACCCTGTGAAAGCTGATCTTACTCTAGGGTTAGGCTGTTTTGGGGAGAGTTTAAAATGGTGCTTGCAGGACAGCCTGTCTGGGTTGAATTCAGATTCTACCCTTCGGCAAGGAAATTATTTAACCCTTCTTTCCCTTGGTTTTCTCATTTGTAAAAGGAAAATTATAATTGTTCCAATTATTCTTTGCTGCATAATAAAGCACCCTGAAATTTAATGGCTTGAAAGAAGTATGTCTTATTATCTCTCACTTTTCCGTGGATTGACTGGACTCTGTTGGGTTGTCCTCACTCAGGGTTCATAATTCCGGAGCAGTCAGATAGCAGCAGGAACTGAAGTCATGTAAAGGCTTCAGGGGACTGGCCCCACAATATGATTCATTCACATGCTGGTTGTAGGCTAGAAGCTGTGTTGGGACTCTGTTGACACCTGGCCTCTCCATGTTGCCTGAGCTTTCCCACAGCATGGAAGCCTTAGTCTGACTTTTTAGTGGAAGCTCAGGGTTCCAAAAGAACAAGGCAATGTTGCCAGTTCATTTAAAGGCTAAGCCAGGACCTAGTATGCTATCTCTTCTGCCCCACTCTATGCATCAAGCAAGTCAATAAGTCCAGCTCAGATTCAAAGGGAGAGGAATTAGACTCCACATCTCAATCTCAATTAGAGGAGTAGTAAATAATTTGATACCATCCCTGATCTACCACAAATACAGTATTAACCACATAGAGTTTTGTGAGAATTAAGCAAATTAATCTTTGTAATGTACTCAGACCAATGTGTCACACATGTAATGTATTTTCAATGAAAGTTACTTATTATTTTCTGGGTACTTATTCTATTTTATGTTTCTTCACTGCATTTATCACCATCCAACTTTGCTTGTTTTTTATATTTGTCTCTCGGTATGTGTTTATTGTCTCTCTCTCCTACCCAAATGTAAACTTCATTACCATAGGAACTGCTCTTCTAGGGCCTAGAAGAGTGTCTGGTGCTTGATGAGGGTACCATAAATATGTGTTGAATTAATGAGTGAACTAGTGAATAAGTGAATGAACCCAGTGAATACAAAACTGTAGGAAATAAACATCTTGGATGTTTGGTTGTAGAAATTGGGAGTGAGGGAGGATTACAAACAGGGAGGTTGACATTATGATTTATTTAAATATATTAAAAATTAGAATGAGTATCATCTCTCATATGAAGCAGTTTTAACTGCAGCTGTCTGGGGAAGCACAAAATATATTACCAGGCCTACCTTGCAACCAAAATTGGGAAGCTGCAGGTGGTCATTCACAGGCCTTCAAATCTGACAAGACTGGGCTTAAGTCACTGCTCCGCTGTTTGCTTGCTGTGTGACATGAAAAGTTTTTTAACTTCTCTGAGTTGTAAAATCTGTGAAATCAGGCAACAAGGCACACTGCAAGGGACTCCTGTGAGAATTAAATACAGCTGACAAAGGGTTTCAACAAAAGTACTGGACACAATTAATAAAAATGTACCAGTCCCTGAAAGTATTAATAATAGGTAAACTTTATTGACATGAATTTTATTTTACTTATACTCTATATTAAGTTAGACAGCTTTACAGTTTCTGTTTTTCAAAAACTCCACTTATGTTTCCAAACACATTAAAAAATATTAAAATAAAATTACATTTACTTTTTAATAACTCAACATTCAATCTGTGAGTATAATGACCCATAAACTGACCTTTCTGCTTCACCAGCAACTGACAAAAGAACTGGAACTGAATATTCACTAAGTTTTAACAACCATGTTAAAAATAAATGTTTACATTTATCAAGAGAAACTGTGACATCAGAGGAAATAAACATCATGTCCAAAGAACAACTTCCCAGAATTCAAGGGGAATTCCCCCACCTCCAATCTCTCTGTGAGGATGTCCAAATGTAAATTACTTAATCAACCAGATGCTGATTGTCGAGAGTTCAATGAATTCAAAACACTTGGAACTTTGAGAAATTTTAAAAGGGAAACCACTTTTTGTTCTTTAGAGTGCTTAGTATTTTTAAATAAACTTATAGGCCAAGATGAACTAATAAATATAACAATCCATTTCTTCAAAACATCGGGACTATATATATTTAATTCAAGATGGTTAATTTGTAGGTAGACACACATATTTATATAAATTCATAGTGGATACATTGAACAGAAATTTTGTCTGTTTCCTTGCTTTGCAAAAACTGTTGAATAATATTTCTTACACTGAAACATTTCTCTGGAACCTGGGAAAGATGGAAGCTAGAAAAAAGAATGATGAATAAAAAATCATACATCTTCAGACAGGGTGCGGTGGCTCATGCCTGTAATCCCAGCACTTTGGGAGTCTGAGGCAGGTGGATCACCTGAGGTCGGGAGTTTGAGACCAGCCTGACCAACATGGAGAAACCCCATCTCTACTAAAAATACAAAATTAGCCGGGCGTGGTGGTGGATGCTGTAATCCCAGCTACTCGGGAGGCTGAGGCAGGAGAATCACTTGAATCTGGGAGGCAGATGTTGCGGTGAGCCGAGATCACGCCATTGCACTTTAACCTGGGCAATAAGAGCGAAACTCCATCTCAAAAAAATAAAAAAGAATCATACATCTTCAAAAGGAAAGTATTCAGCACTGAAGTTGCATATTGCTGTCAGGTAGACAGTATAACATATATTCAATTCTCCAATCAGCAAAACACCAAAGAAGCACAGGGCAGACACGGCTCGGTCCTCCAAAGTGAAGGAGAACGTACTTGCCGACGACATCACGGTAGAGCATGGTAAAATTTGTTCTAGAGGGGACTTACAAATATAGGACTCACTGACGGGTTTGATACCAGATAGGTGGCAACACTCAAATAACATCTATCTAACATACCTGACAAAAGGTGGTTAGTAAATATTAGTTTTCTTTCCTTCTTTCATTTGAACTATTTTTTTTCCTCGCTTTTTTGTCCATGACCATAATGTCTGGGCTCTGTGACTAAGCGTATAGCCATGAGTGCTGGGATCACTTTATGGCTCTTTGTTCCCAAGTAAACAAGCCTAGTCTGGTTATGTATTAATCAATAGAAGGTGATAGCCTGCATAAAGAACCAATATGGGGAAAGCAGAGGCCCAGATGAAATCAATATAAAATAAATTTATCTGAGCCTTTCCATCCTTCCACTTCTAGTTCCTTTATGATCCATGATCCATTTTAGGAAGATCAGTATGCCAGGGACTGGTCTGCTCAGTGAACCTCACTTATGTGAAAAGGAGAAACTCTTGTTGTCACCTATCAGGACCTGATTGGATCCAATTATATAGGGCTTCATCTCTTAATCAGATACCGTATTGGCATTCATGCCATAGCTATTTTTCCTATACAGAAGTGCTGACAAAAGTGATTTGGAGTTTTCCTTTCTTCTTTCCACACCTTACCCCTTTCAGAGAATGTCTATAATTCCACTCCTTACGATAGTAAATCCAGATGGCAAGAATTCTCAACAAAATGTGTTCATAAACATTTACCTTTTTCTTTCATATTTGTAGTAATGATAACTAATCCCTACAGTCTGGATTATAATTTGTTCAATTTATCCAACCAAGGCAAAAGTCTTTTAGGGGAATTTCACTATCCAGTCTATTATTTAACCTCATGAACAAAATCGCTGTTGCTGCCTCACTTAAAAAGATTCATCATGAAGGTTAAGAACAGATGAGACGGGTGTCTGCAGTCTCCTGGAATCACAAATGTACAAACAAGAGAACTAATTTTTCTCTACTGTTTTTACAAAAAAAAGGAAAGCTTTTTTTTACACTAGGCAAACAGCAACTGGTTTAGTCTCATAAATTTACATGTCCTAAGTAGTGTCAGTCTTCAGGCAGATTAGATTAACAGGCCTTGTGTTATCATCCCAGGAAAAAAAAGAAAAACAGATCCAAAGTCATCTGGTTAATTGGAGGAGGTGGGGAGATGAAGTTGCTTCCATTAAGTTCTTTTGGAGCAGTTGCAAGATCCACAAAATCTGTTTTTAGCTCAGTCATTCATCCTGTTGGATGTGTGATGTGTTTTCAATTTAATGATAATTGCCCTTCCCATTTCTTTGATAATTGCCCTCTCTATTATCATTTATGGAGATTCAAATTATAAATCAAGACAAGACAGCCAGAAAAATATTATGATTGTCCCTTCTGAGGCCACAGTAAAACTCAAGTAACACTGCCAAAGTCTGAGAGCTTAAGCTGTTTTCATTTGCATGTTTCTGAACATTCTATTTTAGGGTCCAGTGGTTTTCCTAAAGAGGAGGTTGCATGACAATAATAGAACTGAATGATAATGTGTACAGAGAATATAAATTTAGCTTTGATTCGAGTTATAAACTTGTATTTGAAATCAGAAACTTGCAGTCGTGACTGTCTGAAAGCAAAGGTGAGGAGTCAGCCACAAATGCCTACTATTAGTCACCTATGTCCCCACAGAGGCCATTGCATAGCGTTGCCTCCCAGGAGTTACCCTCTCTCTTTATTTTCAGCCTGTTTGGGGAAAAAAAAAAAAAAGCTGTATCCATTCCTTCTCACCGAATATGCCCCGTGATCAACACATTGAAATGTGTAGAAAGACATGAGTGAGCTTTGATGTAAGATTCCTGGAACCATCTCCCAAAACAAAACAGTATAATAAAAATGTACCCACCAAAAATGGCTCTTTGAGATGGTAACAATGGAGTTCTGGCTCCAGCTTATACCTGCTCAGGAGATCCCATTATTAACTTTTCAGGAATTTGGCAAGCTGTTTGTTCCCCCAGAGAACCATTATTAATAAATAAATTGCATAAATTTAGAATTAAATAATTAAACTTAAAACAAAGGTAATAAATACACACATTCATCACTTCCTAATTATTCTAGCACATTGTATTATTTTCCGTGTTGCTGAGGGTGTTTTTATCTATTATATCAACATGTTTGAAATACCACATAATGGTACAATATAGACTATCTCTTCCCGAGTCTGCATTCTGTGACTTCATATTAGCACCCAATATGGTGAATATCAGTAAATAATACTAAATATAGTATTTAAACCACCATATCAGAAAATGCTACAAGTCAGTGCTTTTTTTCCCAGAGAGCTGATCGGTAAACATTTTGCAGCCCAGCCCTGGACGGTAACATGGTTTTGTGAAGAAAGGAGTTTGCAGCAGGGATGACCTGGGTTTCCTTTTGGCTCAATTAGTAGCTGTATGAACTTGGGCAGTTTAAACTCTCTGAGGCTTAATTTGTCATTTTCCTGCTTAATACACTTCAATATATTTCTATTACTCAGGATGAAGTCCAAAATCCTTAGGGTGTTTTTTCCCTTATCATTGCCCCAGATTTCTTTAAACTCCTTGAATCCCCCAAGTTCCAGCTGCCTAAGGGCCCTCAAATCTGGAGTGCTCTTCTTTTTCCTCTTTGTCCTGCTAACTTCTACCCATTATTTAGGTCTCTGTTTAAATGTCACTTTCTCAAGGTAGACTTTGCGATAGAAACTCCCTTTACCTGCCGTAAAACTCCCAGAGAACCTTTTGTACTTGTCAAAGTGTAAAAAAATTATATTGCACATAGTTGTTTGCTTAATATCAAAACCCCCTCTTTCATCCATGTTTCTCATGTGTTGTTATCACTGCCAAATTTAACTCTGTGCCCATGGACAACCGCTTTGCAAGCCTAACCACTAACTTTCATCTGTAGGGTTTCTATCTTATTAAGAGCAAACTCTCATTTTCAAAGTCACTCATTCTACCCAAGAGGTATTACAGCATGGTTGGTAAGTATGCGAACTCTGAGGCAGAGCACTGTAGGTTTGAATCCTGACTCCACCACTTCTGAGCTGTGTGACCTTAGCAACCTTTCTGTCTCTCTTATTCCTAATTTAGGAAGTAGAGTTAATAACGAAACCTACTGATGCAGGATTTTCTCAGCCCCTTCACTGGACTCGCGGCAGGGTTACTCCCTCTATTAGGCATGCCAGGGTCAATCCCTTGCAGGAGGGAGCACGTGAGCAAGTGAGTGCAGGATCTGTCTGGCCACTCTGGGTGTCGACACAGATGCAAACTCTGTGCGGGGCCCATGGCCAGGCCAGGTGTGTCGCCTTGAGGGGAATGCAGCAGCACCCATGTGAGGGTGCCCACAACTCCGAAGCCCCAGAGGAGGTTTTACAGTGCTCCTTTAGTTGTGCCATTCACAGACGGTGGTGTGTTAGCAGCTCAGTTGGTCCCTTGCCCCATTGTGTGAGGTGGCTGCCCTCCGCCACTGATGGCAAAGGGCTGGTGTGACAGCCTTTCTTGCTACCTGCACTCAGTGGGTCCCGAGCTATTGTCCAGTGTCCAAGAAGAATGAGGTCACATAAACAGTTGAAGGATGGGGAAGGCAGAGAATTTTGTTGAGAAATGAAAATGGCTCTAAAAGGCTGTCTGTTCCCCAAAGTCAGGCTGTCTCCTCCTCTACCAACTGAGTCTGTGGTCTTTAAAGGCACAGGGTGGGGAGTGCATGCTGATTGGGTTTGCCAGTATGCAAAAAAGGCTAAAGCAAAGACACCACTCAAAGGTGCGTACGACAATGTAGAAAACCAATTAGGAAAGGGTAGGTATATGTAAAATAGGTGAAGGGTGAGGATCAATCAGAGGAAAGCACACCAAACAGGAAGACAAGTTCTTAACACAGTCTGATGATTTAACTTGTAGCTTGGCTTTCAGGCTTTAAACTGTCTTCAGCTTGAAGGTGGGGTTTCACCGGGTACCCACCCCTAGCTGCCTAAGCATTTGGCTGCTTCCTGTAGCTATCACTACTTCACGTTGTGAAAATTACATAAATTAGCCGCTGTGAAGTGCTCTGTGAAGGATGATTGTGTAGGAATCAGTACTTAAAGGTTGGACATTATTCCTACTCACCTTAACTCTGGTTGCGCTTTCTCCTAATTATGCCATTTCTCAGAATTCCCACCCATATGGAGACTCTCAGGCTTCCTTACCTTTGGTAAATTTAGACAATCCCGCAGATTTTAACTACCCCATCCATTGGAAGGATGCCAAAATTTCTAGTTCTAGTTTCTCCACTAATTTATAATCCTACAGTTCCAGCTACTTACTGCCATCTCCAAGAGACTTCTTGACACATCAAACACAATGCACCACACCTAAATTCATTACCCCATCAAACTAGTTCTTTCTTTTGACATCCGTATTTCTGTTAATAGCAACCCAATTTCTTCTGTGAGGCTCCAAGTTTCTAATTTATCTATGTCTCTTCCTTTTCCCTTACTGCACGTCTCAGCAATTGCCAATTCCTATTGATTGTCTCTGAAATACCTCTTGCATCTTTTTCTTCCTTCTAATTCCCACTGCTACTGCCTAGCCTAGGTTCTCATTAATCTCTTTCTTGTCTGGACTGTAACAACAGCCTACTATCTTCCTCACAGCTTTAGACTAAGCTTAAACATAACAAGAAGCATTCTTCTAGAGTTAGACATTCATAACACATGTTTCTCTCTCTCCCTCTCTCAATCCCTGTTTTGTGTGATGTTTTATTTGTGTCTTCCCTCCATGACATCAGAGACTTTTACCCACTAGTTCACCTCTGTAGCCTCAGCACCTAATAGTACTACTTAGTACTAGTTACTAGTAAATTTAGTACTATTATTAAATATTAGTATAGTATGAACATGGCATATTATTAATATGGCATATTGCTACTGAAAATAGTACTGTTAAATTTTAAATATTGATAAAATTATTTGTTAGGTTAATTATTGAATAAATCCATTTTCAGCCCTTGTTTTGATCTATAGTGCATACACTTCATCTACCTAAATTGGATTTCTGGTTAATTTACTCCCTGTTCAAACATCATCAGTGTTCCTAATCAATTACCTAATGTCTAATATCCCCATCCCAGAATACAAGGCCTCAATTAAGAGTACAAACTTACTTCTATGAAACCTCTAGCCCAAACTGAATATTCAATTTTTGTTTGTTTGTTTGTTTTTGGGTTTTTTTGTTTGTTTTTGAGACGGAGTCTCACATTGTCACCCAGGCTGGAGTGCAATGTTGCAATCTTGGCTCACTGCAACCTCTGCCTCCCAGGTTCAGGTTCAAGTGATTCTCCTGCCTCAGCCCTCAGCCTCCCGAGTTGCTGGGATTACAGGCATGTGCCACCATGCCCAGCTAATTTTCTTGTATTTTTAGTAGAGACGGGGTTTCACTATGTTGGCCAGGCTGGTCTCAAACTCCTGACCTCATGATCCGCCCGCCTTGGCTTCCCAAAGTGCTGGGATTATAGGTGTAAGCCACCACTCCCAACCTAGAATATTCCATTTTTTTTGAGACAGGGTCTCACTGTGCTGCCCAGGCTGGCGTGTGGTGGTGCGATCATAGCTCACTGCAGGACCTCCTGGCCTCAAGTGATCTTCTCACCTCAGCCTCCAGTAGCTGAGACTACAGATGCACACTACCATGCCTGGTTAATTTTTACAATTTTTATAGAGGCAGAGTCTCACTATGTTCCCCAGGCTAGTCTCTGACTCCTGGGCTCAAGCAATCCTCCCTCCTCAACTTCCCAAAGTGCTGGAATTATTCAATATGGGATTCATTGAAACTTACATTATGTATCTAAGCTCTCTAGAAAATATTGAAAATTCCTTGAATGCTTCATTTTCAAATATAAAGTCCTTTTAAAAAAGAAGTCTGGCTGTCAGTTGGAAAGCTATTACCACAACTTCAAAAATCAACCATTACTCAATTACCTTTGTTTCCTTAAAACGGACACAGTTAGATAGCCAATGTTAATTCTTCCTACAAAGATGAGCTTTTTTATTACAAATGAAAATATCCCTCTTTCACCAAATTACACAATAAAATGTTCACCATTTACTTGAAACATTAAAATTACATCTATTACCTAATCATGAAATAAAGAAATTGGCAAGAAAACAACTGAAGGGCTACTTTATTTTTTGAGCATTTTCAACCATAGCCTAAGATTTTATCCCTATCTGTAAATGTACTTAATTAACCAAGAGCGGTGTGAAGACTAAATAAGTCTATGTAGGAAATTTTCCTTTGTTACCTGTCATAGAACCTTTACAGTTATGTTGGACCCTCACAGTAAAACATGGTACTCGGGAGCAAAATTCAGTATCAGTCAGATTTGCTTTGGACTGCATCCAAGGACTGTCATTTTGATGCTGATTTGCCAAGAACAAGGACCTATCCATGAGCCCTCAGGAGAGTAGCACAGGAAGGTCCCATTGTAGAAGAAAATAGGTCCATTTCCCATCTACCATTTTAAGGCCAGGTTTCACAGCCTCACTCACAAATCTGCTGGATAGCAAAGGCTATCCCTTGCATTCACAAGGTAGTTTTTCACCCTGTTTCAATTCATGTCAAACTTACAGTACGCTGACAAACTAAAAATTATTGGTCTCCAAAAACCTACTCTGTTGCTCTCACAATAGTAATTTAAACATGTAACCAAGTGTAAGAAATGCATATTCTTTACAAAATCTTTAAATTCAAGAAACAACTAATAACTAATCTATACTCTAAAATGTATAAATGATTAGCCCATCTGGGAATTCTGCTGTTTAAAAGTTTACTGGATGGTGGTCAGGCATGGTGGCTCACATCTGTAATCCCAGCACTTTGGGAGGCCAATGTGGGTGGATCACCTGAAGTCAAGAGTTCGAGATCAGCCTGGCCAACATGATGAAACCCCATCTCTACTAAAAATACAAAAAATTAGCAAGTCATGATGGCAGGCACCTATAATCCCAGCTAATTAGGAGGCTGAGGCAGGAGAATCACTTGAACCCAGGAGGCAGAGGTTGCAACCCAGGAGGCAGAGGTGAGCCAAGATCACACCATTACAATCCAGCCTGAGTGACAAGAGTGAAACTCCATCTCAAAAAAAAAAAAAAAGTTCACTGAGTGATATTTCTCATAGGTAGTCATATCTTGATTAACCTTATTCCTATTTTAAGTCAGAGACAGTGTCTGATTTTCTATTGCTGGTTTGAGACCCACTTGATAGAAATCCAGCCACCTACACACTACTTAGTTAGGAATACATTTTAAGCATTCAGAACCTATATACAATATTTTGAATTTTGGAAAGTAAAATGAGCAGGAGCGTAGTAATTAGTCAACATGCCACAAGTTGGCTTCACCATCTCACTGCTTTGAGAAATTGTAACTGCTGCATCTCACCATTCCTACCTTAAGTTAGTATTTTATTGCTTGCAAAATATTTTTTATTAGAATAGAAATGCTCAAAGCAGATAGAAAGATACTCCTTGTTAGGCAAATATTGCTTGACTAGTAATAATCAATAAATAATGAATATTTATACCACAAAAATAAATGAGATAAATTAATATACTTATTTTGTTAGAAGAAAAAATGAGTATTTATCTGCTACAAAGGTGGGATGATCTGAAGTACTCTTATCAGACATCTATCCGATGCCCCGGTAAGTAGTGTCAGAGGACAAGAAAAGGTCCGGAGACCCACTTGTAGCCAGAGTTTGCAGAAGCTGAGAGAAGTAGGCAATAGCTGCTGCAGGAAAGATTCTATTGCCAATGTATAATAATCCCTTTTTACCAATGGCAGGCATTTACTTTGCCTTAGGAAATATGTAACATTTACCTTTGAACCTTTTAATCACTGGCAACTGATACTAATGCAAGACAGGTAAACCTTTCCTTATACTTTGGGAAAGAGCAATTGACTACTGAAAAAGAGTCAGTGGTTCACAAAGACCAGTAAAGCAAACAAAAAGTATATTTAATATATGGCCACTTCAGATCTAAGGGATATAATCACCTAACAGGAGAGTAAATCCCCTGAGCCATTTTATGTTTTTACATGTAAAATGTTTCTTCAGTTTGAGTTGATATTAACTCTATAAACTACTCATATTTTGGTATATTCATTTATTCTGCCTGTAAAGACTCGCTTTCTGATTTGCCCTCACATCTGTGCTTGCTGGAGGAACAGATGCTCAGTTCCTAACGGTCAAAGTTTGGCCTTTTCCCTCCTATCACTAAACCAGAAAGAAACAGGGTTCCGAAGAATGGTGGCAGCTTTCCAATGGTTGGCCTGCACGTTTACATTTAAAGTAAGCAGGTGGCATCAATGGGCTGTCTAATGACTAACAAGATAAGAGTGCAATTGATCTTTTTATTAACCCATCTCCCCAGGTGGGTGGCAGCCTGCTCCTCCCCTCTGGGTTCAGTCACGTTGTTCAGTTCCAGGAATCGTTTTAGATCTTTTTGCTTTTTTGTCTGAGCTGATACTTAAAACACAGGGACACAAGCACTAATATCCATCTCATCTAAATTCTATTCTCTCTGTATCTCCAAATTGGTAAATGCCTTCATCATTTGAATCTAATAAAAAAATTAATGCACATGCTAATGCATTTTCAATTTCATTGATAATCTTTTCATGCTGAATTTGAACTGTGGATTTGTTTGTCTCCCTTCTAGGTTACAGACCACTTACTCTAAACTTCACAAATGGTTCTGAAGAGTATGGAGCCTACGTAGATTCATAAGGTAAATGATTAATTTCAAAATAAGATACAATAGCTTCAATTATGATATGAATTCAAGCACTGCCTAAATGTATTTGCTTTATCTATTGGTGGTTTTCTAAGTTCTGATATTGGATGATCTTTTATTAAATGTAGAAGATAAAATCATGATCCTGGGTGGAGATGAGGGAAGAAGAAACTACATGTATGGGTTACCTCTCTCCATGAGTCAGGTTATTCGTTGTATGTTGCTTAAGACTGGCTGTCTACCTATCTAGATTTCTTACAAAATTATGCTTGTGATCTTAGGCATTTTTCTGCCTTGGAGTATTCTTGGACATCACAAATCACATAGGCAAATAGAGATCAGTTAAAGTTGCTATTTTTGCAAATGAAGCCAGAAATTATTCGGATGCATTCCTTTGTAGAAGTAGGATGAGGTACAAAATATCCTGTGGTGGTGTTAGATGAGGAAGTGTGGGCTGAAGGGACTTAGAGAGGACGGCCTCATATTTCTGTTTCTCTGAATCATGATCATCATTTGCTTTCCTGGTTATTACTAAGTAATTATACATTCCTAGAAGCTATGAATTCTATATTAAAGCGGACTTACATAGGATCTTTAATTCCACCTATAGCAAAATGATTAAAAGCCTAGCCTTCAGAGCCCACCTAAATTCAAAGTGTGATTCTGTCATTTACCAGCTATGTGGCTGTGGGCTCCACATTCTTATTTGCAAAATGGGAGAAATTGTCATACCTACTTTCAAGAGTTGTGGCATAGCATAAACAAATTAGTAGGTGTAAAATGCTTAAAATATTGCCTGGCACCTAGTAAGCACTAAATTTACTGATTTCACAAAGCTCTATTTTTTGATGTCCTCACTTTACGGATTGTTTCACTAAATCTCTATTTTTCAACCTCCTCACCTTACTTGCTTCAGGTTCTCAATTCTTCCATAGTCCACAAACTTGGAGGCTATAGCAATTATTAAGGGAACCAAACTCTGAGTTCTGTTTTAGCAGCCTCTCTCCTATACTTTCATGTAAATGCCAGGAAAGAAAATAATTGGCATCCCATTGCCCTTTGAATGAGTTCCTGGCTCGCTCTAGGTGGTGTGACGTGTAAAGTGACCTGAAAGTGGGGTGCCTGCCAGCCCGGCGCACAGCACAGCGTAGTTGGAGAATCAATTACAAGGCTTGTCACCATTTCAGAAACATGCAAACATCAATTGGCATAGAGTTTCAGGAAGCAGAATAAAAAGGAACCTACAAAACAAAAAGCCTTTCAGGGGAATGGAGGCACAGTTCTTCCAGATCACAAACGGATGATTATGATCACCATTAGCACTTAATGAGCCTATATAGGGCCAATGACTTCATCCGCCCAGAAGATTTGCCAATAGTCCATGTTGCCACTCACGTTCATCCTTCTCTTCTAAGAAGCATAACCATGGTGTTAAGTCATGGGATTTCCCTCTCCTCCACTAGCAAAAACATATTTCTCAATTCTACCATCCCCTAATTTTCTTTCAGGAGTAAGGTAACAAATTAGAGAAAAGAAAATAACACCCAGGGATGGCTTACACAGTCCCGGAACACCTGGGTTCCATTCAAAATTGGTCATTAACTACTCTCTGACCTAGTTTTCTCATCTTCAAAATGTAATCAGTTACTATCCTATTTACACTTACATAGTAATATATCACTCTTCTATTTCCAAAGGTAATATTAAAGATGAAAATATGTGAAATTGATATTTTGACATAAGTGGAGATATCATTTGTTATATTTAATTTAGGTATTTATTACAAATGTTATAATTTATTGTAGCCATATTTTTCTTTTAATAACTAAAATGTGGAAAATGGCATGTTAAAGTTTAAATGGGCTATCTGCTGAGCTACTTAAAAAACTATTAATTAAAATGAGATATAGGACCTAAACAGAAGTTTGATCTTTTTAGAACTAACCATACTATTATAATTTTTATATTAGTCAACATAAATTTTACTATTAAAATCATTTAAAGGGGCAAACGTTGGCAAAGTAGAAGTGATATTGTGAAGCGCATATATTAATAATAGGTTATTTATTGAAGGAAAAAAGTCATTATAATAGATACCATTCCCAGATGATACTTACGTGAATTTTTTTCTTTTTCCTGACTTAAAGATATAATTCAGTAAACATAGTAGATCTTAAAAGTGTATAATATATTGACAGCAAGGCAAGTAACAGTTACTGTGGAAGGGATAATATTAGATATTAAGAGAGTGCTTTAGGGTAATACTTCAGAAATTCAGGATTGTTTTATGTGAAAATATTTCAGCATGATTTTTCTGGCATCTTTGTGATATAAATAAACTTTATTTGCTCTGATAGTGTAAGAAGCAAAAATGGGTAATGTCTACTACCTATAACCAGCATTTCAGGAAAGTGTCGCTGTTAAAAATACATGGCAGGGATTGCATTTTGGGGCTCTAGTCCCAAATCTGCATGTGAACTTTCTGAGTCATCTTGAGTAATTAGCATCTCTCTAAAATTTTTGATATACAACTTGAAGAAATGGATGAAGGGACCTCAAAGAAAAAGGCTGATTTTTAGAAAAAAACTTCCAAGCAACAAAAATGGTTAGCAGATTTTAACATGCACAAATTCACATTCTGCTATTTATCTTTCCTTACATGTATGCGTATGCCTCTCATATGGTTTGTATCTGTGTCCCCACCCAAATCTCATGTTCAATTGTAATCCCCAATGTTGGAGTGGGCCTAGTGGGAAGTGATCTGATCATGGGGGTAGATCCTCCATGAACGGTTTAGCACCATCTTTTTGGTGCTGTTCTCCTGATAACAGTTCTCAGGAGATCTGGTTGTTTAAAAGTCTGTAGCACCTCCCCTGTCTCTTCCTCCTGCTCCGGCCATGTAAGTTGGCTTGCTTTCCCTTCACATTCTGCCATGATTGTAAGTTTCCTGAGGCCTCCCAAGAAGATCCTGCCATGCTTCCTGTACAGCCTGCGGAACCATGAGCCAATTAAACCTCTTTTCTTTTTCTTTTTCTTTCTTTCTTTTTTTTTTTTTTTTTTTTTTTTTGAGACAGAGTCTCGCTCTGTGGCCCAGGCTGGCATACAGTGGCTTAATCTCGGCACACTGCAATCTCTGCCTCCCAGGTTCAAGCGATTTCTCCTGTCTCAGCCTCCAGAGTAACTGGGATTACAGGTATACGCCACCACACCCAACTAATTTTTGTATTTTTAGTAGAGACGGGGTTTCACCATTTTGGCCAGGCTGATCTTGAACTCCTGACCTCAGGTGATCCACCTACCTCGGCCTCCCAAAGTGCTGTGATTACAGGCATGAGCCACCACACCTGGCCAAACCTCTTTTCTTTATAAATTACCCTGTCTCAGATATTTCTTTATAGCAATGTGAGAATGAAATAATACAGCCTCTACACCCCCTGATCTCATCATTTCAAGAATCATGGCCAGGTGTGGTGGCCTACCCCTATAACCTAGCACTTTGGGCTATCAAAGCAGGAGGATCACTTGACCCCAGGAGTTAGAGACAGGAGTTAGAGACATGCCTGGGCAACATGGAAAAACTCTGTCTCTATTAAAAAAACAAAAACAGACAAACAAAAAAACAATGAAAGGGTTATTTTAAATTGGACCCTCCTCATATTCCACAAAAATTTTTAAATCACAAAAAAAGGCTAAGCTAAGTTTAACTTTTAGTCTTACCCACTAGATATTTGGAGACTATTTTTCTTACCATTTAACTAATTTTACTAGGGGGATGGTCTATATTACACCCAAAACTTTTCCACAACAAAGAAATATAAAAAGAAGATAAAGTGTGACCCCTATACTTTACAGTTTATTTATAGAAGTAAAATTAACATATACAAAAATAGATATTAGTACCAGAAAAAGTATACATATATGTTCATTTCAGTATAATAAATTATGAATTTTATAGGAATTCTGATGGAATAAGTGGCATCAAAGATGTGGTTTGAATAATGAATACTTTGGATACATAGTGCTTTTGGGGGCTAAATAACCAGTGATACTATGGATTTATATTATCCAGGGTCTGTGTAATACTTTGGATACATAGTGCTTTTGGGGGCTAAATAACCAGTGATACTATGGATTTATATTATCCAGGGTCTGTGTAATACTTTGGATACATAGTGCTTTTGGGGGCTAAATAACCAGTGATACTATGGAATTATATTATCCAGGGTCTGTGTAATAGGCTGTTTGATCACTAAAAGTAAGACACAGGGATAATTGAAGGGGTCGGGTAATTCATTATGAAGGCAGGTGAATCCTAAGAAGTCTTTCACTCTTGCACATTCAGTGAAAGTGCCAATAGGCATCCCACCAAAATCCCCGGTGTAGCCAGAGTCTGAAGCTTTCTTCTTATATAGCAACAGTGAGAATTCCAGTATGAGTGGAAAAAATTCATTCACTTCAGAGAGAACTACAATTACAACAGTTGAATTATGGCCTTTATTTGTTTTACTTTATTTATTTATTATTGAGACAGGGTCTCACTCTGTCACCCAGGCTGGAGTGCGGTGGTGCAATCACAGGTCACTGCAGCCTTGACCTTCCAGGGTCATATGATCCTTCCACCTTAGCCTCCCGAGTAGCTGGGACTACAGGCATGTACCACCATTTTTGTATTTTGTGTAGAGACAAGGTTTCACCATGTTGCCCAGGCTGGTCTCAAACTCCTGGGCTCAAGCCATCCTCCCATTTCAGCCTCCCAAGGTGTTGGGATTACAGGCATGAGACACTGTGCTTGGCTCAGTTATGGCTTTTAAGACCCAAATGTTGGTCTTGTGTGCAAAGCTCAATGAGTAACCCCATTTCTCTGAATAGAAAACCAGAGTCTCTGAGGCTTATCAAGCACGAGCATTCCACCACCGATGAGTCAGTTTCCCTAGCTCTCCCTGTTAATCCATCAAGTTGCTTTCTTTTGGTTTCTAACCATGCTCAAAGTGAACCAGTTGAGAAAGCTGGTGCCAGTGACTTTAACAGAGAGAGGGTGGAGAGTATAGATGAGTCCATACCTGGCTCTAAGAATAAACCATTTGCCATCTGAGGAAGAAATGAGATCATTCTCTTATTAATAATCCAAAATTTGACTCAGAAGGAAAACCAAAATTTGACATTGGTCTTGAAACGTTGAGTTTCATTGTGTTGAAAACCCACGAGTATGCCAATGACAATAATCATAATACCATTAGGTACTGAGAGTTTATTGTGTACCTGCCATCCTGTTATATGCTTTAATTTATTATATCTCATTCAATTCTCACAAAGTTCATATTAGAAGAAAGTATTGGCCCCAGTCTAAAGATAAAGAAATAGACAGAGAAATTTACTTTGATGAAATTAACAAGAAGCAAGTGGCAGAGCCAGGATTTGAACCCACATCTCTCTGAGACCGAAGGCTGTGCTCTTTCCATTATGTACACTACCTTTCTCACAGTGCTGCCTCACTGTCTAGTGATGCTTTTGTTATATGCTCAGGTACCAGGAAGATGACTGAGTTGACAGTTTTATTGCATGTATGTACATTAACATCAACCAATACTTATTATTTAGTCCCATGAAGTCAGTGAATGTTTTGCAAGCAGATGGGCTACAGATTCAGAAAAATCAATGAATATTTGAGCAAGCAAGTGAATTATGAAAAGCAAAAGCATTATATGTGCTTTTTCTGGAAAGTAAAGGGAAAGCTATAGTGTTAATAAAACAGACCCCATGCTAATGACTTAGAGTCCCCCCAAAGTAAAAATCAATCTGACTGTAAGTTAGGTTGATTTTGTTCATTCCATAAACTTATTTCTCAATGGAGCTTCTTAATTTTGACATTCAAAATACAGAATCTTGTTCATGGCTCTTTACTTTCAAATTTAAGGCCAGTTTACTTCCTAATCTCTTCTCATTTATTATTCATTTTCATATAAGTCTCACCTTGTTTTCACATACTTCATGTTCTTACACACTCGCTAACAGATAGCCCTCACTGTCTGGAAGATCTTCCATTGATCATACCTTTTTTCTTGTTTCTCAAATCTTTATTGTACTCAGCTTCTAGGATCTGAAGTTCTGATTTTGCTCAAAGCCTTCCCAATTAATTAGATATAAAATACTACCGTCCTTCTATGGAAATCCTCTTTCCTCTAGAGTCAAAGTCATTACCAATGGTGAAATGTATTCATTTTGTATATAGCAGTAATTTCAACAGTTAGATTGCATTTTTCATTGATCTCTTTTTGTCTGGTTATAGTAGAAATGCTATTGTAGAAAATTTGTAAATATCAAAACATATGAAGAAGCAAATGAAAGCCATTGTTTATACCAGAGAAGAGCATTGCTAACATTTTTTTGTATTTCTTTCTAGCCCTTTTCTATTTTCACCACATGTGGTTGTGTTTTAACTTAAACTCTCCCTGCCTTAATACATTTTTATCCTGCTTTCTTTTCTCTAAAATTGGACCATCTAATATTTGGTTTCACTCAGTTCCTTAGATTTATAAGAGCCAAGTAATCAGTAGGAGATTTTGCCATTAAGAGTCCCGGTCAAGCATTGACTCATAGAAGCCTAGAAGCATTCATATTTCTGGGCTTGTTTACAAATATAAATCCTATGCAGTCTTATACACAACTCTTGAATAATTCTTCTCTTTGCTTCCATCATGCGTTAATTTTTTGTTAATTAAAACCACTCTATTTTATCTCATAAAAGTTAGAAAAATATATGAATATTACATTATAAAGACACGGCATTATAAAATAATACACCTGTCTTTCAGATTTCTAAATTAAATTATAAATCTAAAAAACTATTTTGTATCCATATAATGTAGTGTACAACTTCTGTGCGTTCTCTCTTCTCTCCATGGGTTCACATTAGTGTATGGAAGATTGTTTTCTTGTTCAACTTTCCCTTTCAAGGCATCTAGCCCTTGCCTCCCCACCTCCACCCCAGCTTATTTTAACAAGACTGTCGTTTTTTTATCCTGTGAACATACATTGTGTGAAAACCTAACTTTCTCCTTGTGACTTATCTGTCCAATTACAGGATGCAAGTTTTTATCATTTAGCTCATTGGGAAAGACTTTACTCTTAAATAATTACTATGCATCTCATTTCTTCCACCTATTAAAAATAATGTTTGATTATTCCGCCCAGGTTTAGACATTTATCTGGTCTGGATTTGTTTACTAATCAAACTTTTAAAGACACCAATTTTTCCCCACAAAAGCAATTAAAATGTGACTCTCATGGGAGAAACAGCCTTACACGATTTTACTGAACACCTTTATCTCAATGCCCCTGATACAAAGTGTATCCTCAGCATCCAGCCCATGGCTTGTCATCATTAGCTATTTGTAAATGAATAAATAATATCATTCAACATATGAAAACCCATCCCCAAGCAAGCAGGACTACTGACTTGTAAGGGCTAAAAACTTTCATAGCTTCAGTAAGAGGCAAAAATCTTTCATTCTACAAAAATATGTTTCTTTAAATGCCACTTTTGAATCTCCTGCCTGTGAGAATAGCATTTCCTGCACCTTATATATTTTTCACACCACCTAAAAGAGATATCAGAGACTATCCAAGTTGAATCCTAATTCTAGAACTATTGGAAAACCGCTGAGTATATTCATGCATCAGTCGAGTAGGTTTTGCAGATGAAGATATGAAACCTAAAGTATGAGCACCATTGAGAAGGAGCATGAGACCTGAACAGGGAAGAGAGTGTTGAAGTTCCCCAGGCAATGGGAACTCAAGAGGACAATCATGAGGTGTCAGGACAATCAAGACACGGCAATATTTTAAAATGCAGACATTCTACATCAAGGCAGATATTGCCAGCAAGAGGTCTGTGTTTTATTGAAGTCTAAACTAATTCCCCTTGTTTTATGCTCCTGAATGGTTCATTTGCTTTGGGAGCCTCAGGGGTAAAAGGGAAGGGAAACAAATTAAGTAAAACTGCGAAGACTTGTTAAAACTACACAAGGTGTGTCTAGCTCTCTTATTGTTATGTGATACATTGGGGGAAAAAATCTGTGGGAATTCCACTCTGACTAACTGCATAACAACTCACAGCTGATTAAGTCAACCTTTGAAACATGCAATGTAAATACAGAGAAAACCAAACTTAATATGCAATAGCATAAACTAATCATTGTTTCATTTTCTGGAAATTGCGTTGGCACCAGGGTGAGAAGTAGATGAAAAAACGCCGAGAAAAACAAAGACATCTCTCGGTAAATCAGTAAGTTTACAGATTAATGAAGAGCCAGACATTGCTGTTAAGGACTTAATATGCAGTGATTATGAGCCTGACCTTCCATAACAGCAGCCACTTAAGAGTTCTAGTGGTGGGGAGACTCACATATGTACCTAGAGAGAGAAGAAAAGAGAAACATTTATGACTTTTGCACCACCCAACATACACAAAAACACACCCTCTCTTAATCTCTGTCTATAAAACTTTATTTACATAGTTGTAAACTGGGAAATCTCAAGCATAAAACTCTGTCTGTATTAAATATACAATGGTTTAGTGGACTGGTGACTTTAGCAGGCTTGCCGATTTTTGCTTTTCCTGGCAGCAAATGATAAAAAGTCTTAGGGAATCCATATCTCTAAAGCCAAAAAGCAGCTCCCAGTCATTTGTGGCATCATTAGCAATGTTGTGATGTCCCTTAAGGACAAAACACATAAATGTTCTCATGTCACTTACAATTGTGTCAAGGAGAAAACCAAAATGAGCTTGCAAAGACATGCACCAGCTCAGTTTTGGAAGGAAAAAAAATCTTCCTTTGAAGGAAACGAAATCAATCCTCAGTTCAAATTAAATTTGGACTATTCTGTGAAGCTCCAATACACAGCTCCAATAACAATCAGTACTTATGGACTTAAGGTGCCGGCAAATAATGTTTCGTTTAAAAGAAATTGAATGAGGATTACTGACAGAGAAAGTTTTGATGCTATTTTGTCATTAGTTAAAGTTAAACCAGGGCATTATTGGCTCAGTCTTGAACATCTCAATCCTCACTCTTTTTTTTTTTTCTTTTTCTTCTTCCTTTTTTAATGCACTAGAAGCATTTGTCTGATTAGGCTTGTGACTTAATCTTATTAAAACCTTGTCATGCAAATGTAGCGTGAAGATTTCTGTCTCATGCAAAATGTAACTTAAATTCTATTGGCATGAAATACTTTGTTATGCACAAACCTTCTGTTTGGTTTGCTGACATTCTTCTCAGTCTGCTCTCATGGTGATTCATTATCTTGTGATATAGATTTCCAAGTATCATCTTTGTATTGATTTTTATATCTTTAATAACCACTCCACAGAAGATGGCTCCACTGGTGTCATTGATCGCATCAAAAATTCAAGGCTTACAGAAATACTAGAGGGCTAATTGGTAGCAGAACATTTCAGACTTAGCCTTAATGCAGTCTTAATCTTCTGCATTAAACCTACCTGAAGGTTTCCTCTTGGAATCAGCCAGGAAAAATTTAGCACTTCGTTGAAAAACACCTGGTGGGAGCAATGCAAGAACATGGCAGTCAATCGACTACGAACTTGAAAATGTCACATAACATTTAGATATCAAGAGCGATCCTTTCATCATCCGGGCCTCCATAACTGGAATGCTCCTTCCTTTTCTTTTCTATGGCCTCTGGCTCCACCAAGCCAGATTTGCTTAAACGTTTTAGAACAGGCCGTCAAAGATAAGTTCCCATAATTTTAAAGCCTGTGCCGTTCTGTGGTTTGATCAATAGGTGAGATTCCTTTGCAGAAAGTCAGAGTGAACATCCTGTTTGTGGAAATGACAAAACGACAAATTCAAGACCATAGGTGTAAGGCCAGCAAGCCCAAAGATCCGTTAGATGACCAGGTTTCTCATCCTCTAACTTGCTTCCCTCTTGCTCCTCATTCTCAGAGCATACAGACATGGTTTAGGCAACTAGAAACCTAACCAAGAGAGAAGCAAGTACTTTCTGTAATGCTCAAGAGGAACTTGATCATAAAGTTGAAACTTTGACTCGTTTTATTCTTTCCCGGGTTATTTTGTGAACTTACTCTGTCAGTCAGTGTATCAAAGCACAAATTGGTATAACCTGGTACCTTCCCTAGAGTACCTTATTCTCAGAAGCCTGTGGGCAGAACGTGGAAAGGAAACTAGGACGTCTTAGAAAGATAAAGAGGAGGCAGGATGCACAAGGATGTAGGCTTTGGAACTGGCCAGACCTGAATTCTATTCCACCTCCAACATTGTGCTGTGTGGCACTTGGCAGATCACTGCCTCCCTAAAAAAATGTCAACCGTGAAAATTTTCCTTCTCATAAGAATAAAACGTACCAATGCACAGAAATCCCGGTACTGAGCTTGTTATCTGTGCTCCATTGAAAAACACCTAGTGTTTTTCAGCACAGAGGTGTGTTACATATTAGAAGACCATAAAGGAAGAAGCCATGTGTTCTGCTTATTTGTTTTTTATTTTCTCCCTGTAGGAGTTGAAGAAGTCATTTTTGAAAGGTGGAAAAAGGGGAAGTCATACAAGAAAATTTGTATATGTTCTGTTTCTTAGCAGGATTCGAAACAAAGAACTACACATATATGCTGTTCAGCATTATTGTAGATACAGCATCAAGCGCTCAGAGGAATTTGAAACGTGAAAGACATTGGAGTTAGAGTGGTGATTTTAGAAAGACTGGAAATAGGAAAGGATGAATCAAGGATGAGGTCATAGTGAAATATTATAAACGATGTGGTGAATTTTTGATATTTAGATTCTTGAATCTTGAGTGAATCCTTGATCACCAGATATTGGATGAATTCTTAAATCACCAGAAATTATAGTTGTAAGTTTCAAACTTTCTGATTTTAAAAACTTATTTTTAAAATAAGTTTAATAACCTCATAAAAGCCTAATACATTTGGAAGGGTCTTAGTAATTAATTTTAAGTATCAATGCACTCTTACAATTTATTGCTGAGATTGTCTTCAAAGTGTTACATAACAACACAAGTGTGGGTCTCAGTTTACTTAGGATATGATATTTAAGGAAATGGCAAATGCTTGTATTATACACTTGTTTTTCTTTCTTCCTTTCTCTTTTTTTAAGAGATGGGGTCTCTGTTGCTCAGGCTGGAGTGCAGTGACATTATCATAGCTCATTGTAGCCCCAACCTCCTGGGCTCAAGTGATGCTCCATCTCAGCCTTCTGAGTAGCTGGGACTATAAGTGTGTGCCACCATATCCAGCTAATTTTTTTAATTTTTATTATTATTATTATTTTTTGTAGAGACAGGGTCTCGCTTTGTTGCCCAGGCTAGTATCAAAGCCCTGGCCTCAAGCTGTCCTCCTGCCTTGGCCTCCCAAAGTGCTAGGGTTACAGGCATAAGCCGTCACTCCTGATCCCACTTTTTATTCAAGTCATTATTTATGTTGTATAATTATGTGTATCATAGAACTTAGTCATGTATTTGGCCCCATAAATCCCCATCTGCTTGTGAAATTTTCATTTATACTTTCATCACATCCTCCTTTCCTAAACAAGCTACAGTTTTCAGCCTATGAGAGGAAAACATTTTCAGGCAGTTTTATTACAGGTGGTTTGACCATCATTGTGTAACTGCCTTTTGAACTGCCCTCCCACAAAATAGTTCTTGATTTTGCTGCAGTTTATATAAGAACTTGTTATCCCACCTGTCTGCTCCTCCTTTTGTCTTCTGTTTTCCTCCTCTTTGCTCTCTTCCTCTCTTTTTCTTTTCTAACTTCATTCCTTCCTAAGCTTCTACTTTATTTTCATGATTCTTCTCCCTTCCTCTCTTCTTCTCTTCCTTGTCATGTTGTTACCTGAACTGAAGCCCAATGCACAGAGTTGTAAGTTTAATTCAAATTTTATTTATCCTTAAGATATTTACATAATACCTGAAGGCATCCCCCAATATGGTGCTAAATTCATTTTCCATCCTTTACAAGAAAGATGTAAAATATGAAAGGAAACAAAAATTCTGCCTAATTCAGTGAAGATAGTTTTCCAAGTGCTGACAAATTTCTTTTTTTCCTAAACCTTTCCCTTTCTTTCCCCTACAATATAACAAAAAGGTCTCTTGACCACAGAAACCTTTGCTCAGTAGTAAGTTAATATGGTACATGAACATTTTCTGTTTCCTATTTTTAAAAACTTCAATATACTACAAAAAGAAAATGTGGACCTCCACTCTTAATGAACTAGGAAAATTAATTTATTTATTAATTTATTTTTTGAATGCTGGGAAAATTTAGACACTCGATACTAATCAGCTTATTGTTTCTGAAAATTTTTCTTTTCTTTTTTAGTAGTGTTATCTATTCTTTACCATTCTCAGAGAATTAAGTTTTTGCTTATTAAAGCAATACTATTAAACAGTATTTGATTATTGACTAATAACCAAAGAATTGAAATATAGTAAAATGTCACTAGCAAAAAAACTTTTTTTCTTTTACTTTTTGTTAAATTCCTCTTTAATAGTTGTTAAAACTACAAAAGTGGGAATTGACAAGATTTCCAGCCAAATGAATTTTTTTTAAATTTTGGATTTGTATATAAAATGATCCAGAAGTGAAATATGAAAGTTATGATATTTTCAGGATTTCTTCTTCTGGTCATCTCCATACCTTTTACACTCTCCAAATGGAGGCCTCACATCATTTCATAATAGGAGCCATAGCAGGAGCTTTAGAATCATTATTGATGTCATTCTGGAGAGCAAATTACATGTGTGCTTCAATTTGCCACTATGGAATTTACATAACCTCAGATTTTGAATTGAATGACCAGTGGACAAAATTGGCATCCTAACTTCCAATCAGATATTAACTGCCATGTTTTCAGCTACTATGATGCTTTCACTTGTATTGAATTCTCACAAAGGCTCAATATGAAAAATATTATCATTTTTGTTTTACAGATGCTAAAATTGAGAATCAGGGAAATTAAGCAATGTTGCCCAAATTGACAAACTCAGTAGTTATACCACATAGACTGTTCTGTTTGGCAAATAGACCTGAAAAATAGCAATTTGCCAATGGTTGGTAAATATTGTTTGTGATGTTTTGTTTATTGTGGTAAGAATACTTACCATGAGATCTACCCTCTTAACAGATTTTCAAGTGTACAATAACATGTTGTTACCTATAGGCATAATGTTGTGTGGCATAGCTTTAGAATTTATTCATCTTGCATCACTGAAACTCTATATGTTGATGAGCAACTGTTGTGGCTTTTGAAGTTTGGTGAGTGAGAGGGAATGGCGCCCGGCACGTTCTTTTCTGCTGCAGCCAGAGGAAGGGTTAGTGTTACAGGGTTCCTATGGTGCCACTTTCCCAGTGGGAAATCTCTGCAGCCACATGACCTCTGCCCAGGGCCTCACTCAGTCCTCTGGACTCACACCATCCGCTTCAGCCCAGCAGGCTACACTCAGCTTGCACTACTGGCCCAGATCCCGTGCCTGCCATGGCTCCATCCTCAGCCCATGGCTGAACAGGGCATGCCACAAAGTGGCTTCCATGTTGGGCACCAGTGTTTAGATGAGGTGGATGTGGTGGCGCCTGAAAACTAGGAGATGCCAGAAACCAGGAGTCCCAAGGAGTGTTACAGCTTTTGCTCGGGGAGTCCTGAGGTCTGAGCCCCCAGGAAATGTTACAGCTCTCTCTCATTCCTCCTGACTGCAGCTCAGTGAACAGGGACGTGTTACAGTTCATTCGTTCCCACTGCCCACAGCTCAGCAAGTTCCGGATTCTTGTCCCGCCACCAGAAGGAATAAGGTATACGGACACTGGAGAGTGAGTGGGGCAGAGAATAATTTTATCGAGTGACAGAAGGAAAGCTCTCAGTGGAGAGGGGATCTGAGAGTGGGTAACCCTCTGTGTGAGAGGGGACCCAAAAGCAGATAGCCATCTGTGTGGCTGAGTCCAGGGTTTTTAAGGGCTCAGAATATGGGAGTGTGTGCTGATTGGTCTATGGGTGGTCTTGGAAAAAGCACCACTCAATTGGTTTAAAGGCAACAAGGAAGTTCTCACTCTGGTTGTGGACTCTATCCAGAACTGGCAGCTCAGTCTTCAGGCTTTGAACTGTCATTGGCTTGAAGGTCAGGTTTCACCAGGGACCCATCCCTGTCTGCCTAGGAATCTGTCTGTCTCCTGTTGCTATTACAACTCTCCAATTCCTCCTTCCTCCAAACCCTGCCAACCACCATTCTACCCTGCATCTGTGAGTTTTACTATACCTCAAGTAGAATCAAGTAGGATCATGAAGTATTTGTCCTTCTGTAATTGGCTTATTTCACATAACATAATGTTCTCAAGGTTCATCCATGTCACATATTGCAGAGTTTCCTTCTTTATTTATTTAAGGTGCAATAATATTTCATTGTATGTGCATACCACATTTTCTTTATCCATTCATCTGCCTATGGGCATTCAGATTGTTTCCACACCTTGGTTATTGTAAATAATGTGGCAACAAACATGAGAGTCTTAATAATCTCTTTAAGATTCTGATTTTATTTCCTTTACATACATACATGTGTATATATATATACACACACACACATATACACACACATACACACACATATATACACACACATATATATATCCTGCTTAGTGTGTGTATGTGTGTGTGTATATATATATATGTATGTGTTTGTATATATATATATATATATACACACACACACATACACACACTAAGTAGCAGGATTGCTGGATCATGTGGTGGCTCTATTTTTAATTTGGAGTGTTTTAAAGACCCTCCGTACTGTTTTCTATAGCAGCTGCACAATTTTGCATTCCTACCAGCAGTTTGCAAGGGTTTCAATTTCTCCAGAGCCTCACCAACACTTTGTCTTTTGTTATTTTTGTAATAAGCAGCCTAAGAGGTGCAAGGTGATATCTCATTGTGGTTTTGATTTGTATTTCCCTGCTGATTAGTGATGTTGAATATCTTCATATACCTGTTGCCCATTTGTATTTCTTAGGTTGCTTTTTCACTCTGTTGATTATTTTCTTTCCCATGCAGATGCTTTTTAGTTTGATGTCCTCCCATTTGCCTATTTTTATTTTTGTCATGTAAATTTTTATATTAATGATTTATATTAATTATATAACACTATATATATAGTGTTTGAAGTGATTGGGTTGATATCTCCAGAATATTATTTTGTGTCTATTATATATCATACCACATAACTAAAGTAGATATTTGTTTCATTTTATTTTTAAAAAAAGAAAAAATTTACAACAGCTGCTTTACCTCAGCCAACTTAAGAAAAACTTATGAATTGATTCATTTTTCAAAGTTAAAAAAATTGCATAATTTTACCTTAAAGGGATGGTTATCCCTAAAACCTGTCTTTGACAGGTTATATTATAATCTCTTAAAACTTTCTTTAAAATTTCTGATTCCCTAGGCCTGAGTTCAGACATAAAGTATCAGAATCTCGGGCAGCATGGCTTGCAGAATTTGTGTATATTTACTGTTTCCCCATTGACTGGATGTGCTCCTTGGAGTTTGAAGAGCCACCCCTTTTACTTTATTAACAAAGAATAAAATGGTCAGAAACAAGACTAGAAATTTCGATCTCCTGGGTCCTACCAAATTGCCTCTGAATACTGTTCCTAACTAGGCAAAAGGCATGGAAGGACACAGACTATAGGAAACATTGCAGTGGACTGTCTTCCTTGCAAAATTGCTGGAGTTTTCCCTCTTTCAGGATCATCTATCTTGCATGTCTCTGTCAAGTGTACATTTTATATTTGTTTAAAGGAAACAGCAGTACTTATGCAGATGTATGACGGCATATGGTCAGGATTTAGATGAGTGAATACTTGCACCTGGAAATCAAATATTAGTACAGGCAGACCCCTCTGCTTGCCCAGGGCAGCATCCACTGAACAGGGTAAGGGAAAGAGCTGCCAGATCAAACATAATCCAGATGTCTTTTCCATCTCTTCCTCTTCCCCATACAACCTTCCATTGTTTTCTCTGTCCTTTGGCGATATTTCTAAGTTTTTAAAGGAGAAATGAAGCCCAGAAAATAGAACTAAATGTTTTTAAAGCAGAACAATCATACTACCCACTGAGCAGTAAAAGCTTTCTTTTTTTCTTTTCTTTTCTTTTTTTTTTCCTTTGGTTTTGGCCTTTTAAGAGGTTTTATTTTCATTATCTTTTTCAAGAACATATCAGATGTTTGTAGTAATCCTTGGTCAAGGATTTAGAAGAGTGTCCTTTTTAGCTTAATTTTCCTATTGACTAGGCAATTTTTGAGAAAGTGCTATCTCAGATATCATAGAGTGTCAGTAATGCCCAGTTACCTTCAATGATTCTAACTTTTACATAGTGTTAACTGTCCATTTATTGCATTTTAATCTCAAACTGAGCTTGTTGCTTGGGGTAGGTAGTTCACTAGCAAAGGATCTTGTTTTATCTTTTCGAAACACTTTTCCCCCCTTAGGCATGTCATGCAAGCTCTTTGTACTTTAATATCTATACATACTTCAGAGAGATAAAAAGAGGATACAATGTTGTAAATATGTTGATACTTTCTGATCACTCTGAAGCAGTAATTCATCATTCAAAATCTCCTATATAAAGATAGCTCTGTAAAACAGGCCAAAAAGCAGAGTGGGGTGTGGGAAGGCAGGGAAAACTGTCCAGGAATAAAGGCATGAAATGAAACAAATTTAAAACCTGCCAGTAGGCAAGAATTCTTCTAAACAGAAAAGAATGGCTGATAGTCTTCCAAAGAAGGAAGAAAAGAAGAAAGGGGGGGGGGGGTGGTGGAGAAAGAGAGAGACAAAGGAAGGGAAAGAGGGAGAGAGTGACATGTGAAGCCAGCTGGGCTTCTGGGTCGGGTGGGGACTTGGAGAACTTTTCTGTCTAGCTAGAGGATTGTAAATACAACAATCAGTGCTCTGTGTCCAGCTAGAGGATTGTAAACACACCAATCAGCATTCTGTAAAAATGGACCAATCAGCACTCTGTAAAATGGACCAATCACACTCTGTAAGATGGACCAATCACCACTCTGTAAAATGGACCAATCAGCACTCTGTAAAATGAACCAATCAGCAGGACATGGGCCGTGCCAAATAAGAGAATAAGAGCTGGCCACCCCAGCATGCAGCAGCAACCTGCTCTGCTGCCCTTCTATGTTGTGGAAGGTTAGTTCTTTTGCTGTTTATCATAAATCTTGCTGCTACTCAGTCTTTGGGTCTGTGCCACATTTAAGAGCTGTAACACTCACCGTGAGGGTCTGTGGCTTCATTCTTGAAGTCAGCGAGACCAAGAACCCACCAGAAGGAACAAATTCTGGACACATCAGGGAGGGAGGGAGGGAGACAAGCAGACTTGATAAGAAATGGCAGATTCTGGTGATTAATTTTTTTCCTACATGACCTACAAACAATGCGTGTGATGTAAAGTTACCAGGTAGTGTGGTCCGATTTTTACTCAGTTATTGTTACTTGGCCCTTGTTCTCATTAACATCTTGCTCCTCAGATTTTCCAAGTATTTTATTAAGTGTTTGATATATGACTTTTTAAGACTTTTTGATCATTCAAGACCTAAGAAAGCTATCCATATTCTTTAAATTGGGTCATTATATTTATTTTGTAGAAAATCATTTATCAGAAAAAGGGTAAAAAAATTAGGACAGAAAAATAAGTTGGCTAGGCAGTGGCTCATGCCTATAATCCCAGCACTTTGGGAGGCCGAGGCGGGTGGATTGCTTGAGCCCAGGAGTTTGAGACCACCCTGGGCAACTTGGCAAAACCCAATTTCTACAAAAAATACAAAAATTAGCCCTGAGGGGTGGTGCACACCTGTAGTCTCAGGTACTCAGAAGGCTGAGGCAGGAAGATTGCCTGAGCCTAGGAGGTTGAGGTTGCAGTGAGCTGTGATTGCACCACTGCATTCCGGCCTGGGCAATAGAGTGAGACCATGTCTCAAAAAAAAAAAAAAAAAAAAGAAAAAGAAAAGAAAAAACAAGTTGTGTAAACTTTGTAGGAAGTACAAATGGTCATGGTCTTCAAATGTGTATGTAGCAGGGGAGAGTTGGTGTCAGACAGATGTGGGTTGGATTCCTTCCTCCTTTGCTAGATGCACCTGTGGTCTTTCTGAGACTCAAATTCTTCCTCAGTGAAATAGACATAAATTTTTTGACATTTAAACCAAGCAGAAGAGTGTAGACCCTCTTCTAGACTGAATGTTTGGTACTCAGTCAGCTCTTGGTAAATATAAATCCTCCTTGCTAAAATTATTTTCTTCAAAATACTTCTGGTATTTGTTTTAGATGACAGTTCCCCAAATTGAGAACTTTTGTTACAAAACTGCTCCAGAGACATCTTTGAAAACCCAAGGCTGCAACTGCTGTCGGATTTCAGAATGAAAAGGAGGTTTTCCTCTGGCCTCTTTCACTCCTCAGTGGACTTTAAAGATGTTGGGAACAATTTGGTCTTGTTTTATGTGTCGTGGATTCTCTTTTTGTGAGATAGTTACCTAAATTAGTAAAACATGTAGACAGCAAATGAACCAGACTCGCAATAACCCCCTGAGCAATTGGCCCTCAACTACTTACTTCACAAGGTCGTGTTCAAGGCTGGGTCAGGAGATTGATGTGTATAAAGACAGTTTAAATTCTTTGCAGAAAAGTGTCCTTGGTGTCATTGTTTATTGCCAGTAAGAATGAAAATATCACCACCACTCTCATTAAAAGAAAATTGTATTAAAGCCTACTTTAAACTTGTTTCTTAGGTTCGTCCTGATAATACGGAAGGAAAAAAGTTTCCTTCCTACTTCCTCTCTTCCTTTTTTTTTTAAACACAAGCAAACAAAAACAAACCCTTCTAGTGCTCCTATATCCAAAGGAAATGAATTGCATACATACACATCATCATGTTAGTAGTATGCCCCAGCAGGAAATCTTGAAATGATTGATACTTAAAGTGTTATCGTCTCAAGTGGAAACTCCCGTCAAATACAAATGCACAACAGTTGCATTTTTTTCCTTCTCTTTCTTTTCTGCAAACATGTAATACAGCCCCAAAGAAATCATGCTGGCCAGCTTCCTTTCTCTCTATTTAGTGCCTTCCTTTTCCTCTCCCTATCTCTCCTCATTACCCAGCCGCAATTTGTACACGCACTCCATCCCCCCAACCCCCACCCATCTCTAGTATGTGAAAATAGAAAAGCATCTGAGTATCTGGGCAGCCTATCAGTTTGCTTAGGTTCATTTTAGCTAATCCAGACATCCCACACAGCAGGGGAAAAACTGCTGTATCTAGTGAAACAAGAGCATGAATAATTAAAACTCTGTTATTAATGAACTTCCAGTCGTTATGTAAATGAAACTGATTTCAAGTCTAATTTGTCAGCCTGAATTCTTTCTCTGTTCTTCCTTTGTCTAGGACAAGAACTCATCATAATGGACTTGATAATAAAACACTGGTAGACATGCTGTGTGCAGTGCCCATCTGAGTTAGGGCTTTTACCGTGGTTAATTGATACAGTTACTCCAGAACAAGTCTATAAGGCATTTTGTATAGCTCTAAGTTTTAAAAGCCGCTCTTTTTCCTTTTGACAGGACTGCCTATTCTTTGCACATACCTCATTATCATTTACCTTTACATGAGGGGTGGCATATAATTACTGCCTAGTAAATAGTTTCTTTTGCAATATCCGTGATATTCAAAGACAGCAGAGTTCAAAAAGGTCCAGGGGAAGAGAAGGCTGTAGTCTTCAGAGAATGACAAATAGCCACCAGGGAGAAAAAAAAAAAAAAGAAGAAGAAAAGAAAAAGGAATACTTGACAAAGTGTAGGACCACTAAGAACCAGTCGCCCACTGTTCTACCATCAAGTGTCACTCATGCTGTTGGTGGCATTGTCCAAGTGATACTGTGTTGTCGGTGGTCACATATTTCAGCTACGTTGTTTAGATCTACTGTATTGTTTGTGAAATCATTCACTGTTAAAATGACAACTTCAAATATCACAATTTGATTTCCTATAGTTACAAATATTTTACACAACATAAAAGCAATAATTCTTTCAATAGAAAGCTATTCAGCAGTGTCAACTCATTGACAATTATACTAAGTTCTGATCTTTTTACATTTGGATTTTGAGAATGCTTGTGTATTATTTTTAGGGAATTATATAAATTAGATATCAGAAATTAATTACTATTTTGAATATGTGGCACATGATTTTTTCACTATAAGATAATATATAAATAAGTAAAAGAAACTAATTTGTATTTTGGATCTGTTTGCTACATTAAATATTTAATTTCGTTCCATGTTTAGAAGGGGAAAAATGATCTCCATTCAGAAAGATTTTGTTTTTAAGCTGCAAGTGTTAAGAATATCATTCTTGCTAATCTAGTAGATTTTTCATTATTGAGATCATAGTACAAAGTAATATTAAAAATGAAAAATTTTTCTAGATCCCGCAAATGTTGGTACACTAACTCCTAGTTTTACGTCCCTATGATGGTATTTATAGTGCCTTTGTGTCACTGAACTTAGAGAAATGTTGTCTCACTGTTGAGCTCTGCTATCTTTTGTTATTTTGCACCATTGCTTTGTTTATAGTACTAAAGAATAAATGGTATACTAATCACTTTTGTCCAAACAAAGAAAAATGAAAATCTCAGCATCTGCCTGAAAGATGATCATTAGTCCTGCAGAGAGCCATCGTTTTAGCTTGTGGTACACAAATCTTTGGTCACCTGAAATGTGCCAGACACTGGGCTAAGCAAGGAAAATGAAAATTTTAAAACAGAGCAATTATTTCAAAAAAGTGAGGAAAGACCAAGTAACCAATATTTACAATATAATATGAAAGGTACTATAAATGAGAAAGATACAGTGTACCACATGTGTACATGTGTAATGTGTCAGAGAAGTATTGTAAAGTAATCTGCAAGAAGCCAGAAGATAGAATGCTTCAGAGAAGACCATTATGGCTGCTTTGTCTAATGGCAAAATATTACATGGCCTAAGCCCACTGTCAGTGTTGTCAGGTGCAAGGGTCTGGTTTTAATTTGATTCCTTTTCTCCCAGATGCATTACGTGGCAATTCCTGCCTCAATTTCCCAGCCAGCAAAAGGTATACAGTTATTAAAAAACATGTCTGATTTTCATGATATCAAAGTGTAGGCTGAAGGTACAGGTTAAATAAATTCGGTTTCGTGCAGTTTTACAGGATTTTGACTAGGCCGTGGCATTACAGCAGGGACAGTGCAATTTGAGGTCTCATAATGCCCAGCTTGACCCTGCTCCAGTGACTGCCCTGCACATATCCATCAGGTCTGCATTGAAGAGATTTCATCTCTATTGTGCCTATGCCAGATCTTGCTATAACCACTTCTCAGTCTCACATTTTGATTAAACCTGGAGTTTGTCTAACTCAAACTAAACCTAGCAACTACCTACATTAAAAGACAAAAGCAACCCAGTGATAAGTACAAGACATGTAATGACATATAACATCTCTCTCTCTCACGCGCGCGCACACACACACACATACACACTATGTCTTTTTGTTTTCAATTGATAATATGGCTCATGGGGCTAGCAAGTCTGTTCATTTAATTCCTAGCCAACTCCAGAAGTCATAAAAATGCATAATTTGAAATTAAAGTCAATTAAACCACATTGTTTCTTTGGAAAGTTAAAAGGAAAATACACATAAGTAATAGAAATCAATTATTGTATATTCCCAGGCCTGTTCTTATAAACTGAAGAGGTAATCAATCACTCTGGAGATTTCTACAAGGTAATTACTGTTTATTCTTTAATGATAGTGCCGTCTTCCTTTCTTCCTTCACACCAGCCCTTTGCAGCTGCCACCTCTAAGAAAGCAAATAAGCTACAGTTAAAAAAAAAAAAAGAAAAAAAACGACTGGAAGAAAGTTGGTGTCCTCATAATGTGGACAATAAGACTGCTGAACCTCATCCCCTTCTGTGACCTGAGGCTACGATACTTTATGGCCCTTGCTGTATATACACATCATAACTGCTTTTCAGTAATAAATGCAGCCGTGGCTTTGAGAAAGGGCACTGCTGCATAGGGAGAATTAATGAGAAATATCTTCCTTGTGGATGTTTAGTCATTTACAGGAATTAGGTACAAAAATAAGAAGCAGCTAAAAAAGAACATGGACCAATTAAGAATTTAAAACAACTAGCATCCAACTAAATCTCGTCCCCCTCTTTAAAAAAGACAGGGAGGAAAACAAAGAGTAAAAATAAATGCTACTGCTATTATCGAAAGCCAAAAGCACTAACCAAGAGATTTTACAGCGCTCCAGTCAGAGCCTAGCTAATGAATATAAGTTACCTTAGCCGGTTTTAGCTGACTTTGAAATTAAAGTCTCAAACCCTTGCATGCAGGGAGAGCTGGACTTGAGCAAAATGGACTTAATAAACTCCATTGTGCGGTTAGATCCCTAGTGAGATTTCCTGCCCATCCATGACCAATCAGTATTATTTTTTCAGTGACTGGTACTTTTGTGAGCAAGATTGGGGTTTCTGGGAGTGATTAGCACTTTTCACCCTTGATTGACAGGTTCAAACAGAAATGAGACAATAGGAGGAGTCATTAGGAATTCAAATGTAAGGTTGGTGTTTGCAGGCTTTGGGATTGATTTTAATAGAAAGGAACAATATATGTAAGAAAAGGAATTAATGTTAAAAATGTTATGAAGTATAAATTAATCTTTTCAAATTAAAAAAAAATCAGAATTGAAATTAGTCAAAAATAATATGGATAGGAACAGAAAAATTTAAATGTTTTTTCTAAATACTTTGTAGACAATGGATATATTCAGTTCCTTTCCTTAGCTATTTAAGACTTGAAGATTTAAAATTTTAGGGAAATTCTCAGTATTGAAAGTTTAGATTTGGTTTTCTCGAAGATTGAAAATCCTATAGAAACAAATAAGTATTGTTTTTCTAGGGAAAAGAAAATATGATGAAGTTCTCCATTATATCTAGGGAAGATACCAGAGGGAAATAATTATGGAGAGTGATTCTAGCATTGACCAGTAATTGATAATTGGCCACAAATAATTAGGGTAGTATCTTCACTGGTATAAATTATGCTAATAGCTCAGCCTTGTCCCTAGGTGCTGATACTGGTTTCTTATAAGTAATTTGGTTTTAAATTCACATTATAAATTTAGCATACTATACTTGAAACTTTAATCCTGTTTGGCCTCAAAGCAAAGGCAGATAATTCAGAATTAAACAAGCCTAATCAAAGACAGAAAATAAAATGGACCCCAACATTTGTCAGAATTTTTAAATAAAAGTTGATTTCTTATGGAAAAGAAGTTTTCTGTGACAACAATGAATACAAACCATGTTTTTTAAAAGCAAAGCTAAAGAAGGGCAAAACGTATTATTTGAAGTCACCTCGGAAATTTGAATGGAAGCATTTCTGATAACCTCGTAAGTTGTTAATGTTTAAAGGATGATAGCATAAATTCAATACCCTGTGCACGAAATAATCACTGCATCAGATTTTTATGCATATCCTGTGTGTAGCTCAGCATTCAAGCTGGATTTTTGAATATGTTGTGACTAATTTATGCCAACTTTTCATCAACCTAGCATTTTTCATTTTTCAATTGACATACAAAGTTCTGTAATCTGTGTGCTCAGTATGTTAATATACTGAGATGGTAAGAGAAAATCCAGTGCATCACAATCACAAAAGTAAACTGTGAGGGAGCCTCAGTGGAAGGAAAGGATGAAGAAAATAGTACAACCCAGTGAGGGGTTAGTGTTAGGTTTGATGTGGATTATTAATAAACCGCACTTCCCACATCACGAGATGACTTCTGTCCTTTTTTGACCAATCCACCTAGCACCTGTACTTCAATTTCCCTCCAAAAATTTAAAGCATGCTCTGTCAGTGGTTCTCACACTTTCCTGCAATTGGAATCACCTGAGAATCTTTCAGAAATTCTAAGACTTGGCTTCTGCCCCACACATTCTGATTTCTTAGTGTTTATCAGCAGTCCAGGAGGTTTTGATATCCAGCAAAATTTGAGAACCATTTCTGTAAATGCTTTCTGCCTCTGTTTTTTCTAATTTGGTCTGAAAAGGCACCAGTGTCCTCTCCTATACATGGTTTTTTAAAAATGCTTCTCCATCTTGCGGTTGATTTCAGGGACACGGCTCCTTGATCTGCTGTCTTTTCTGAGAAGCGTCACATCAACATACCCAGTGCTTCTGTTAAAGTCGCTTACAGACTCACATCCACTCTCAACTTCTTTCTTATTTTCCCTTTTATACTCTTTCATCCCCTAAATTACTACAGATCAACTGTTATCCCTCTGAGTTTTCAGCTCTTATTCAATTTCCTATCTTTAGCTATCTTTGGTATCTTATCCCCCAGTTTAAGCATGAAAAAGTTTCCTTTTCAGCATTACCTATTTCTTTCCCTTTTATCTAAAAAAACCACAGGCGGGCTCTATTCCTTTCTTCAATCTTCATCCAAGAGCTAAGTTAAGACCCTTAGTGATTTTTTATCTCATTATAGTGGACTTCTGTTTCAGACTCTAGTTTTCTATCTGTCTTCTCCCAATAGGCTCATCACTTTCCTGACAAAATGCTACTGTCAGACTTCTTGTCATTTCCCTTGCTCATTATGAACACCTCGTCAGTGTGCTTCTTAAACACATCCTATGCAATTCAGCTCTTTATTCTCTTTTCATAGGCTCCTTCTGTTCCAAGCTGTCCCTAGAATTATGGGTCTGGATAGGAGTCAGCCTGTGGACTGATAGCCATGCTTAATAAATGTTTCTGCACCAAAGAGCTTCTGCAGAGGGCGATTCTGCAACATGGATGACCAAGAGTCTCTCTAGAGTTCCTGGAATTGCTTTAGGCCTTAGAAACACGTGTTCCTTAAGTCATGTTCTTCTGCCTTTCAACAACCTATTTTATTCTAACGCACACATCTGGTACTGCATCAGAATCATCCAAAGAGCCAGGAAGGAAGACCTAGGACTGATAGTTATATACATCTATAACTGTTCTGTTTTTCTTTTGTTCAAGTTATGCAAATTATGTACTTATTTGAACAATTATAAAAAGAGTGGCTGCTGCCCTTTGGCCTTCCACATCAAGGGCCTGTTTCCTGCATCAACTGAGCTTTGTAAAATCCATCATTATCCCTGCTTCTATCCCCCGGTGCTCCTGCTCACCATTTCCCTTCCCAACAGATTCTACCCCCAACTGCTCCCTGTACCCAGCTGTTCCTCTTCCCTTTCTTGTTCGCATGCCCTTTTTCAAGTTCCACATTTTCATTTGCTAGGTCACCACCTTGAATTTTCTCAACTTCCTCTTGTAAATTTACTTCTTGCCATGGCACTTTTCTATGACAGCTTTTCAAATAAATCTTCTTTCGGAGGCAAAGAAACACACACAAAAACATTTTTTAAAGTCAAAGAAACATATACCAGTGAGAGAACCCTATCTTCTTTGTGGGTGGGTTGTATTTCTGAACTATTGAACACACATACATGTCACATGATGATGGATGTCAAGTCCTGGATGTAGAAACAAGTTCAAATTAACGTGCAGCAGGAATAATTGCTCAAAGATCAAAAAGCAAATTTCAGTTGTCACATAGTGAGCTTAAAATGTCACAAAGCAAGTTGAAAGGAAGAATACAATTATTTTTAATTTATTAATTTCAAATAAAGTCATTAATGCACAAAGGTAGAAAGAAGCTTGGTTTCCCTGAGTTTGGACTTCAGGTTTGGTCAGATCAGTTTCAAATCCTGACTGCAGTTTTGCTAGCTGTGTAACCCTCACAAATAATTTAACCTCTCATAGTCTGTTTCCTCACTGGTAACAGCAAGGTGTAAATAATATTTTATTTCAAGGATATTTTTGAGGTCTAAATAAGGTAAGATCTGTTAAGCACATTGCAGGATTGGGAGGTAGGTAGAACTCTGTAAATGGTGGTTGACATTATTATTTGCATGCCTTAGTAAATCTACCACCAAATATCTGGGTATATTTTATACATTTCTTGGGCAGCTCTGATATTATTCTTTCTTCAGACCACCACAAATCCATCCCTGGCATTTAACATATCAATACAAAGATATTTATATTTTCTTGTCAATACCTTAGCATTATTTAGTATTATGTATACTTTGCCCATTTTTCATTCAGGAGATGTTTTAAATGGAAAACATATTAAGCTACCCCACATGCTTTCAATATAGTATATCTGTTATCAGCCTCTGTAGCCACTAGATGTCAATACAATGTTTATCTGGAAGGTTTAATAAGGACTCATTAGTATCCTATTTAATGATTAAATAACGTACTCCCTTTGCAAGGCATTTTAATATTGAAGGGTTTCTGAGAATTTTATGATAATATTTATGGAATTTACTCCACTAACAGCTGAAATGCTTCACCTCATCCAGGCGTAAACAGTTGTTGAATAGAAACAGTTTTAAGCCTGAATCGAATTAAAATTGTGAAGAAAAATGTATATAGGCCGAATATAATTGCCCTGATTGACTTTCTGCAGGTACTTAACTTGTGGAAACAGCAACGAGGTCTTTATTATTCAAAACTGGATAAGACCTAAATTTTATATTTCATTTTAAAGATAGTATCTTACCTTCTCATAGTTATGACAGTAATTCAGAGAGAAGAAATAACCTAGGATGTTTCTAAAATCATTTTCTTCAGTATATTGGCTATTTAATTAGTGATTTGATTAAATATAATTTAAAATGTTACCAAAAATCAGCTTTAGGAAGTTTGGGTTTTTACTCTTCAATCTCTAACCCTCAAATTACAGTAAATAACTTTTTCCTGAACATACCAATTCACTTCATTATTTTTTGAAGCACCATACCAGTACAGAGAAATGTAATTTAAATCTTTCCTTTGAAATTAGGGAGTCATAACTTACTTGAAAAATAGGCAGAAATTGACCTCAAAAACAAACAAATAAAAATAAACAAAAAATATTGTCTTTATCTGGGGATGTTACTTTACTAGATGATTTTTTTCCCCCAGTTCCAGCTTTATGTGTTTGTTCTCTAGATATTTATCATTGAACCTATCTGTTTATTTCAGCCAAATAAAGAATAAAAGAACTTGGAAAATCCACTAGCCTAAAAGAAATCTTGCATTTAGGCCGTGCACCATGGCTCACACCTGTAATCCTAGCACTTTGCGAGGCCGAGGGCCGAGGCAGGCGGATTGCCTGAGCTGAGGAGTTGGAGACCAGCCTGGGCAACAGTGAAACCCTGTCTCTACTAAAATACAAAAAATTAGCCGGGGGTGGTGGCACACGCCTGTAATCCCAGCTACTCAGGAGTCTGAGGCAAGAGAATCTCTTGAACCAGGGAGGTGGGGGGAGGTTGCAGTAAGCCAAGATCACACCACTTGCATTCCAGCCTGGGCGACAGAGCAAGACTCTGAAAAAAAAGGAAAGGAAAGGAAAGGGAAAGGGAAAGGAATCTTGCATTTAATCTCTAGTCTGTATATCTCTTGTTACATGCTCTAGTAAAATCCTATATTTCCAAACCCTTCCCTAAATGAAATGGCACCATAATGAAATTTTAGGATGAGAAATAAAATTTTAAGACAGCTTTAAGAAGATTCTTTTTCTCTTTGCTTGCCTTTCCACATACATACTGCAAGTTGGTAACATTTTACATAAGATGATAATTTAACATAGTGAATGTTTTAGGAAGGAAGGGAATAAAAGGAGGGAAGGAGGAAGGAAACTGAGAGCAAAAGTGTCTGTCTGAGAACCCGTTCATTTCTTTCTCAACCACTTTATGGAAATTTTCTCCACAATTAGGACCCCAGTGCCTGTTATGTGAACTCAATGGATCAATGTAAGCAAATTAGAGATAGAGGGAGGGAGGAGAGAGGGAAAGAGAGAGAGCAGAAGGAGGATGAGGAGGAGGAGGTGATGATGGAGAGTGGGTGGGAGGGACAGAGGGGATGGTGTGATCGGCAAGAAAGGTTTGTGAAGGCTCAGTATGTTAAATTGACTTTTGCGATTGTCTCACAGTTTTGGCAGAGGTCGTGAGTAAGAATAAAAAGTAACTGTTATCCCACTTTCAAGGGAAAATTTATCCCTGCACTGTTCTGTATGGTAGGCCTTTGGCACAAGAGTCTATTGAGCACTTGAGATGTGGCTAGTGGAACTGAGATGTTCCAGAACTTATATACACACTGGATTTCAATAATGTAGTGTGAAAAAAATGTGAAATATCTGATTAATACTTGTTGCATGTTGAAATAATAAAATTGTAGATTAATCCAGTTAAACGTATTATTAAAATTAATTTCACCTGTTTCTTTGGACATTTTTAATGTGGCTACCAGAAAATTCAAAATAATATATGTGGCTTGCATTATATTTCTACTGAACTGCACCATTCAGAAGGGCTTTGCTAATAAATAGCAAAATGGTGCTTTAACCCTTAACCTATCACCCGTCTCCAGGTTAATATTGTGAGACTAGCTGGAGAGTCAAGAATGCTTTGTGAAAGAAAACTATAGGCCTATCAAGGGTAGCGCTGCAGCATCTTATTTCCACTGGGCAAGGGATGTGAGGTTTTTTTTTTTCCCACTTCAAGATAAACTTCAAAAGAGAACCATTTGTTTAGATGTAGATACAGAGCTGAAGAGGAGACTGACACCTCATACAACATGGATGTCCACATGGTTGCAAACACTCTTGGGAGGCTCTTTTCCTTGGTATGTGGAGTTGAGTGTCCACAGAGCTCTTAGAATCACTTGGCCTAGGCCTGTTGCAGTTGGAAAGACTCAGAAGCAGAAGTTAATGAGGAGAAGAAGAGGGAGAACAAGGAGATAGAAGGCAGAGAGCTCTTTCCCTCTCCCTATCACAGGTCTCCCAGTGTAGGCAAGCTTGAGCTGGAAAAGAGAAAGGAGCTTCGAATTGGATATGAAATGAACGTTTGAGTTTGGATAGAATGGGATTTTGTAATAGCTGAAATTGACACTGTTAATACATGAAAAATACTAGAAAACCTATGGAATATGCCTGAGTTTAGCGGCAGAAAAGAATCATTATGTTTATTGTCTGTCTCCCCCATTAGAATTTAAGCTCCAAGAAGATAGGATTGTTGTATATCTTTTGTGTTGTTTTGTTTCCACTTCATACTCTAATGAGCCTTAAATAGTACTTGGCCCATAGTGGGTGTACAATAAATATTGGTTAAATGGATGAATAGATGAATCTGACATGATATGATTGAAGCAGTAGTTGGATGGGGAAAGATGCTTCCTGGTATGCCTACAGAGTCTAGCATGTTCAATAACCTGGACACTTGTGTTCAGAAAAGCAAGGTCCATGTCATTCAGTGAGCATGAAGTAGCTGGTACATAAGGGGAGGGATTGCTGGTCAGTTCAGCAAATGCAGTCCATTTTAGAAATTATAGAGTAGAGTCAAATCACTACATGATGCTATACTATCAAGAACTCTTTTACATTTTCCTTGCCAATAGACTCATATTAAGGCTTGTGATGCTTAAAATATTTCCAGTGCTTTAGAGTTATTGAACATTTTTCAGTCAGTAAGATCCTTATGAAATTTCTTCCATCATTCATGGCCAATTACCTTTGTTTTTTCAATTACTGGTCATTTTGTTTGAGATTGAGTTTTGAGTATGATGAATACTTTTCATCATTATTTTATGTAGATTCAAGTAACAGTGAGAAAGATCATAACTCTGGCAAAGATTTATGCTGCCACCAGTATAGTTCCTAACCTTTTCTAAGAAAACATTTTGATAGGTGGTATGTGACAACTGCGCTAGGAACCCAGGGCCTAAAAGCAGTCAGAGTCATCACAATTCGTTCCTTAGGCCCCCCAAGTCTTTAGCCTTCTATTTCCTTGGTTTCCTAGAGCTCATTGACATCAATTGTTGCACCTCAAAATCAACAATAAGGATAAAACACAATGCTAAACATCTAGTTTTGTTTTTTTAAAGAAAACTTGTATCTAAACACTTTCTGAAAATGACACTCATGGGCATAAGTCATTACTGCCTTTCAAAATATAGGATGGTGGTGATTATTTTATCTGAGTATGTGAACTTAGCTAAAAAGATGCATGCATAATCAGCTACTCCCCTGAGTACCATCTCAGTTTTTATTACTATTGTTTACGTCTTGACAACTCTTCCTCTTTCTCTGCTGTCTGACATCTTTGCTCAAAGGTATCTACTAGCCTTTAGGTGACATAGGTGAGCTCTTTCTCAAAAGATTTTTAAAGCATTTATGCAGATTTTAGAATAATTTGTGAAAAAGAATTAGGAATACCTATTTTACTATGTTACAATTTGACCAATGTTAGCCTAAGATGTGCCGTCATTTGATGGATGAGGGAAAAAGAATGCTAAAACCTTTAATAATTTTGTAAATGGGTTCATCTTTCCTAAAGAGAAAAGCAAAGATCTCTCATACTAAAAGGATTATTTGGGGGGAGGAGATGGACAGAGAAGTACAAAAGACAAGAAAAACTGTAAGTGATAAAGACTGGGACAAGTAGATGACAGAAAAGACACAAAGAGTAGGGATATCAAATTGCTGACAACTCAAGTGTCAACTTGGGTTAATAGTGCCCTTCCTGGAGGAGGATGTTCAGAAAAATTGTGAGGCTATTACAATCTGTGTAGGAAAGCTGTCATGAGTAGTTAGTTATCTCTGCCACGGGGGCAAGTAGCAGGAATAGGGCATAAGTGCCTTGTATTTCCATTTCTATGCCAGAAGGGAAAGTTCTCTGCTACAAGAAAACCAGTGAGTGTTCAGAGGAAGCAGTGCTTCCATAGGTGTCAGGGAATCCCAGCTACGTCAACATTGAGGAACCTACGTCTGAATTTATATTTTCCACTGAAGAGAAAAGCCTTCACACTAGACACTTAAATATATGGGTAGGAAAAAAAGAAAGAAAGAGAAAGAGCATAAGTGACAGAGAGAGAAAGAAAAAGAAAAAAAGGAAAGAAAGGGAAAGCAAAAAAGAATGAAACAAGGAAGGAAGAAAGTACAATCTTTTGATTAGATCACATCCTTTAGGTCTCCACTATTATACCTTAAAATACTGAGAGAACTTGACAATATGATTGGTGAGGTAGTCTAAGTAAAGCTGCAAAAATATCTAAGTAAAGCAGCAAAAATTGTGAGGAGTAGGAAATGTATCAGAAACTGGGTATGAGCCAAATATTATCCTAGTGCTCAAGAAGAAGAGAAAAAGATGGATTATATTTACCAAAGAAACAATGTCCCTTCTCCTTTCCAAAGTGAACACCTCCTCCACCTGTGCTTTTTCACCTCAAGCCCAGATCCTTCTTCTCTTCTCTTTCTACACAAATTTATTGAAACGTTGTGCCTGCTTACCTTCCATTTTCCTTCTCCCATTTTCCTGTCAATTCTTTTCAATGGATTCCATAGAAATCTCGCAAAGTTGCTATTTAAAGGATTCCTAAGTGTCCAATTTCTAGTACATCATTAAACATGTCCCATTACACCTTCTTTCAGATAACATTGTGCAGTTTAACCTGTGATATCCTGTGTTTTTTCTGCAGTCATTCTACCTTTTTCTCATTCTGGCTTCTCCTTCATTGACTATAGATATCCTCTCAGATTCTGTCCTCAGATTCGCCATTCCAAATGCTTATCTTAGAAATTTTATCAACATCCATCGATTAAACTGTATTTTTAAATCACCCACATTTACCTGCCTAGTCCAGGTACCCTAAATATTACTGGTTTTGCATTTCAGCTGCCCTGTGGAAATATCCATGGATGTCCCACACATAGCTCATTTCAACTTGCCCAAATAAAACTTATCCTCTCTGTTCACAGAACTACTTTTCGTTCTGTTCCTCAGATTGGTTGACCATTGCCACTAACCCACCCTGGAACCAATACTATGTACCCACCATGCACTGTGCTATGGTTTACATGTGTCATATCACATAATAGGCACACCAGCCCTCCAAGATGGATTATTATACCCATTTTACAGATGAGGAAATGGAGACAATAAGAGGTTAAGTAACTTGCCCAAAAGGCCAATAGGCTGTCATATCGTAAAGCCAGAATTACTCCTAACACCTGACTATCCTGACAGCCAATAATATTTTCATGCCAACCTGAAGAAAACATGTATAAATAAATAAGGAAATGTGGATTCATTCTGTTTCTACAGAAAACAGGGCTGGAGCAGTGAAGAGAAATTACATGAATATAGATTTCTGTCATTTTATCAAATAACTTCTTAAGAGACACAGCAAAGAAACAAGTTTCCTGGCAAAGTGACGGCTTCCAACACAGGACAGTTGCAAAAGGATCTTTTGGATAATGAGAAAATGTAGACTACACAGACTCCTAAAGTTCACAATATGCCCTGGCACTCCTGCAGTTTGTAGGATAGCTCTTCAGTAGTTAGTTTATTAATCCTGTAAAGAACAAAACAGATGCATGCAGCCATTTAGTAAATATACTGCATGTTAGAGAATCAATATATTTTTGTATTAAACAGTCTAAAGTCATGAAAACTTTGGTAACGAAAAGCTAGAATTTTAAATAAGAAGAAAGTGTTTTTTATTTTAGTGATTCAGCTGCTTCAGGTCGTGTTGTGTTCTCTGTTTTGAAAAGCAGCTACCACAGCTGCTGCAAACATTTTTGAATGATCCATCACTACGATGTCATTCTGGCTGCAGCGTCATCTTGTGTGGCTCAGGAAGGAAGAGGGGAGAAAAGTGTGAACGGAACAAATGGCACACTGTGTTCCAAAACTGAAGAGAGCATTTTTTGTATATTTGAGAGTAATTTTTTTGCATTGTTTATTTTTGGGGGTTTTCTTTAAACATACACTTTAATGTATTGTCTTTAAAAAAAAATACTGCTTTCAGAAAGAGTCTGTGCTCAACAGTTTGCATCCTGCGATAATTATTCCTTGGGGGAGTCGGTAAATAGGAGCAAGGGGCAGGAGGAGTCATTATCTCCAACTAAAACTACAGTGGGAACATCGGAGAGGTGAGGTATCAGATAAGAGATGCAGGAATCCATGCTCGGTTCCTGTGGCCGTACAGGCTGGGCGATATGCCCAGGGCTCTAGATGATTCTGCAGAGGCCACTGGCAGGTGCCTACAATGAGACTCTGTTCATCCACTTTAATTAGCACCTCATCACTTTCAGTTTGGTGTCACCCAGCTGGCTACAGCTAGACGACACCTCCAGCTTGAACTGGGCTCCATTCCATTTTCTTGGAGCTTATCGAGACATGTGGTGCTTGCTTTAAGTGCAGCTGGTGCTGGCACTTTCATTGTAAATTTAAATCTCTGTTTGGAAAAAGGTGATAAGAACAGTTTGTTTCAAGTCGCTGGTGTTTAAGCCTTAAGCAATTCCCAGCAAATACATTCAAGGCTCCTTCTGGTTTGATCGGCTACAATTTGTAGTCGTCTTATTAATAGTGGCAGTGTTCAGATTCTTCTTAATGCTATTCACATTAAGGAAGTCGCTACACTGCCTCACGATTTCTCTGTGGTTCAGAGTTTGTGCTGATTGCTTTTAGCATTTTTGGTGATGCTTGTTGATCAGTGTAAGTTATGAGAAAAATACTGGCATCTGCATGCATTTATTTGAGTTTTTTTTTTCTTGTTTCAATGGAACAAAAAATGAGATGCTTACTAGATGCATTCTGTTTCATTGCAGTTATTTCTCAATAACTCAGGGTGCTAATATCCAAGACTGCACAGTGAGCTACAAGTGAAAGCTTAATGATCTTCTGTTTTTCCATACAGTTATTGCACCATCAGTATTTAACTCATTTCTTTATAAAACATCTTATTATATATTGTGTTTGAAAGTATTGTGTAAAAATAATGTCTGTTAATGTATTTTGTAACCAATTTGTATATCTCTTGGTTTTTGTCCCCAAGATTGGCAAACTTGATTAAAATATTTTTTTCTTTTTTAAAAAATTTCTTCTTATAGGCTGGGTGTGGTGGCTCATGCCTGTAATCCCAGCACTTTGGGAGGCCGAGATGGGTGGATCACCTCAGGTCAGGAATTTGAGACCAGCTTGGCTAACATGGCAAAACCCTGTCTCTACTAAAAATACAAAAAAAAAAAAAAATTAGCTGGGTGTGGTGGCGGGCACCTGTAATCCCAGCTGCTCGGGAGGCTGAGGCAGGAGAATCACTTGAACCCAGGATGCAGAGGTTACAGTGAGCCAAGATCGCGCCATTGCACTCCAGAGTACAACAGAGTGAGACTCCGTCTGAAAAATAAAAAAAAAGAAATTTCTTCTTAAACGCCTTTAGATACTCTGTAGGCATCAGATACCCACATTTTGGAGATAAGGAATGAAAAACTGAAATTAAAATTACTTCCTTTTTATATAGTATTCTCAGCAACCTTACGAGAGACAGGGAAAACAACCTCAAATGGATGACTACAGTACTAAAAAGAATGTTGATTATTGCATCCTTCTAATTCCTTTCTCTTTCTCTCTTTCTGGAACTAACAAATAACCCCAGTGGAGGAAACATTTCCCATGTGATTTTACATCTGAGCGAATTTAACCAGGAAAGTCTTGTTTCTAAAGCTTAAATTTTGTGGAATTATTTCCTTATTGATAGTTTATGGGGTTTCCTAATTTAGATGTCTTCATTTGTTCTCTTAACTCAAAATCACACTTTTATTAGTAACATTTTAAGTCAAAATGATACCTTAAGTTGCAACCGAAGTTTTATGGACATTATCTAATATAGTTTTCATGAAAATTCTGATTTTTTGTAGGTAAGGAAACTTAATTTCAGACAAATTAAGTCATGGGCTGGTGTCACATAGCTGATGATAGAAGAGGGAGGTCTCAAGCCTAGTCTCTGTTATACAGCACAAGGCTGGAAACCAGCTAAAGATTCTTCAACCAGAATCTTCCTCCTAAGAAACAAGAAACAAGGGCAACTAGGAGGCTTTAGGCATTCGTTTCCAGCATTATTACCATTTTCCTTGGCCTGGTGGATGAACTTTTCAGAGACTGGTTTTATCATTTATAATAGACAAAATCATACTGAACTCATATGACTATTACTACAGCTAGATAAGGTAAAAAGTCAAGTATTTAGCACAGTAAATAATAGTTACCTTCATTTCTTCTTTATACCAAAAATATAGATGCCTAGTCTAGCATTACCAGATGAAACTGAAATATTCTTAGTTGGTCAGTTAAGAACTATATGATGTTTATTTTGACAGTTCGTCCTGAAGCAGAGTAATATTTCACATTATAAGTTTTAATTTCAGAACATATAGCATAAGCCCACCCTTTCTTTCTCTGTATAAGAAAGATGGAAAATATTTTTTAAATTATACAAGATATAGCTGACCATATTAGGGAAAGGAAGTATACATTTTAAAAATTTACTGATTTATAGTCATAATAGACAAATATTTATTTTCATATGAGCTAGCATTCACTTATATAACGACTAAGTGGTTTTTGAAAACTCATTGTATCCTAACAATGAGTTATCTGATGTCTAGTTTTCATTAAACCTGTTTTCCAGATAAGGAAACTGAAGTGCAAAAAGGCAAGGTCATCTAGTACAGGAATTTACCCCACTCAGCACCCACATTCAACCATATATGCTGTGTTAAAATAATTTAAATATTACTTGTTGTGACAATTTTATCAACTTAAATCTTACAGTTATGAAGAAATTCTCCTGAACGTCTGTATCCTTTAAGGGTTAGATCATAAGTATATTTCAGCATTTATGTCATTTATTTGTTAAAATTAGTCGTTATCAATAAAACTACTCATTGGAGTTGAAAATAAATACAAATTAAAGAAATTTAATTTGAACATTGGATAACAATAAAAATTGTTGTTCAGTGTTTTTCCATGATTTCCATCAGTGTCTAGTAACAATCCTTTTAAACATAATAAAAATAACCATAGATACTAGAAATTGTTTGTGAAAGTAATGGAGGAGCTAATTGAGATTTCTAAACTAAGAAGCCCCATAAACTATCAATAAGGAGATAATTCCGCAAAATTTAACTTTAGAAACAAGGCTTTCCCGGTCAAATTCACTCAGATGTAAAATCACATGGGGAATGTTTCCCCCACTTGGGTTATGCATTGATTCCAGAAAGACAGAAAGAAATTAGAAGGATGCAATAATCAACATTCTGTTTAGGACTGTAGTCATCCATCTGAGGTTGTTTCTCCTGTCCCTTGTAAGATTGCAGGGATGAGATGTGGCCCTCGGCGCAGAAGCTCCCAGGCAGGTGGGCAACTGCCTGGGGCAGGACCAGCTTCAGCTGTGAGCCTTGCTCTCCCTGATTTGGGGGAAGACCAAAAGTCGTGTTTCGTTAATCTGGGTAACCTCATTTTCATCTCATTTAACTAGTCTAAGTTAATTGAACTACCTGCTGAGATCTCTGGCACATAGCTAAATAAGGTGAAATGAGGTTACAATGTTCCCTAACCCACTTTTGGCCCCATTTACTGTATAGGCTGGTTTTCAAAGAGGGTCAGAAAACACTTTGAAAATGGCAGATTACATCCTACTGCTTTGTAGCTACACCTATGTCAATTCCTTGTCATCCTGCTCCTTAACTTCACCTCTCCTTAAATATGTAGCCCTTCCCTGTTTCTTTGCCTCCATCTCACACAGATCCACTTCTCATTTTTTCAAGTCAGTTACCAACATAACATATCCTTAGACCCTTCCCACCCATATCTATGTACTCTATTGACGTTTCTGACACATTGTGTCCACAACTGCTCTCTATGGCTCTTTGTCTCCCAACAGATCTCACTAAACTCTCTTTTAGTCTGAACAGACTATGTGTACCCAAGGTTAAAAGTTGCCTTGAAAAATAAAAATTCAACCCACCAACTGCTTAGACTCTTTTAAAACACCAGTTTGAGAATTTAGCACTGCTATGATTGCATTCATTAATTATTTGGGCTTTAGCAGAAACTGATATTAGTTATTTCTGACATAGAGAACAAAATATAGTTTGCGGCCAAACAAACAGAAAGTTTGAATAAAGCACCGTATGTTTCTGCATTGTTTTCTCTTGCAAAAGTCCTAATGGAGGATTCATTTCAGTGATTCATTGTGTCCTTAAAAATGTAATTTTTCTTTTGCCATCCAAGTAATACGTGTTTATTATAGAACAACTTAAAAAAAATTATCTTTGCTCTTGTCCTAAACCCACACATATAATTTATTATTTTAAAATAAGGCGAATAGCTATTGATACTTAAATACTTAATTTTGCCTGTGCAAATCTGAGTTTAAAGCCAAAATGCCTGAATTAGTGATGTATACTAATTGCCATAAATATCTTGTAAGAACTCACTGAGTATTTTACTTTTAACCTGCGTTTCCATCGCTATCAGTGTTTCATTCTAGATAGTAGTAATTATAAAACCATTAAATGTATTGCAGCATAAAAACATCTTTATGTTTGTAAACACAGGAGATATTAGATAGGGTTCCATTTGTAAATGTAAGATAATTTCTTCCTATAGGTTATCATTCTGTCTTATACCTTCACTAAAACAGTATCTATCCTTACATTTTACATTATATATATGTTTTATATATTGAATTATACATATATTTTATACATTATATTTATATTAGCTATATCCTTATATTTTACAGTGAGCACACAGAAACATCCTGTACACCACACTAATTTTATTTAGAATGTTCACTTTCTCTTCCATGACTACTCTTACTCTCTCTAATCTATTTATGTATGAATATACTCAAGTTTATGGAGCTATTTTTTTATTTAATTTGTTCCTAAACATGCTATAGAAAGTTGACAACTGCGTGATATTAAGAAAGAATAGTCACCCTCAGAACCCAGACTCACCAATAGAAGAACTCTTCATTAGCTGTTTTATGAAACTGAAACCCAAACCTAATCTGAATGTTGTAGGATTGTTTCTCAAACTGTATCTGTTTTATAGCTTCTCATGGACACTTTTTTAAAGTTCCAGTTTTAGAGCGACAAGTGCCTTTTATATGAGTCTTACTTAAGCCATTTAAAACAAAAACCACGGCTGTTATAGCCTAAGAAGATAAGAGAGATGAACTAGTCAAGGTGAAGAAAATGAAGCAATCAAGATGAATGCTCAAGCACCTTCGTGCATTTAGCAACATAGAAGTATATTGACAAATAATGGAATATTCCTGTTCCTGGATTAAATAAGAAAAAGAGAGCAGAACAAGGTATAGATGAGCTAATTCTTATCTGATAAATAGCTACTTCTATTTCAAGTAATTCATTATTTTAATAATAACACTACATAAAACCCAAAACTGCATAGGAATATATATTTCCCCCAGAAGCAATTAAAAATGATTCAACAATGTACAAACAGAATCAAGAATCCGGGCATGGCGAAAGTCTTCACAATTCCAAATACTGCTAGTTATAGCATGATTAGATTATAAAAATGGGAGAGATGTTAACCAGGTTATTCCTTACATTGGATGTGACTCTGTGTTTGAGCTTAAACAAGGTGTTTTCAAGCATGTTTCCTTTCATAAAACTTTTAATAGACATGTGGAAATGGAAGACATATGTTTAACAATTATAACATAAGCTCACTCGAAAGTCTCCTGAATAAGACTGAACATTCCCTAAATCATGGTGTCTGACTTTCAAAAGACTAAATCAAATCTTCAAATGAAAACAATTGTGATGCAGTTAATTAAAACAACTTTGTGGCTATGTTTGATCATTTTTAAAGGGTGTGCATTTCTAAATGGCATAGGTTTTCATGTTTTAAACTGTGTAAGTCTTCATTATAAAGAGACCAGCTCCCATCACCAGATGTACATATACCTTCTGGGGGCTACTTATACACACAAAATGTGAGTGAATAAATCCCTTTTGGTCTTGCTTTTATAAATCAAAATTTAAGAATGAAATTCAAACATTAATTGATCAAAATCCCACAATGAATAAAAAACAAATATGTCTCTATTTCCTTATTAATTCTAATTGTTTAAAGAGTACATTCTTAAATCTGAATCTCCTTTCTAGTTCCAACAACTAGTCGGACTACAGAGGAACAAAGCAGCTTGCCCATGTCAACAGATCATTTTATTTGGGCTCCAGGTTTCTGAATGAACCTCAACACAGACCCTTGTAGACATCTGAACTCCATAAATCCACAGGTGTTTAAGTAGCCCTGAAGGCTGGGTCAGATAGCAGACTTGTTCCACTATGACTTTACAAGGATTTCGTACTGTGTAAACAACACTTGGAAGGATTTCTCTTTACTGCTGAGTAAAACCAGTAGCAGAAAGGGCCACTTTTAGTTTCCTTCCCTAAACTATGATGTGGTTCAATTTTATTATTTCAGTTATGAGCTGTGTATATTAGGTTATCTTGTACACAGTGTAGGCAGCATTTTAGTCCTTTGTTCATGAACAGGACAACTTGGCACAAAGCAAGGTCTCTTAAATGGAAAAAAAATCATCGTCTTAGAAGGGCATTCTATTACAATGATTTTCTGTCTTTCCTTGTACTGTACTAAGAAAATGTTGAAATATCTAAATATCATTTATTTGTTCCATTGATACTGGAGGATTTACATACCTCAGGTACCCTTCCCATAAAAAAAATTTGCATGAAGTTAGTATAAGCAAATGAGAGATTCTACCCATAAGGTGTTTACAAAATCCAGTTTTGTTTTCATTTTGCTTCTTTTGCTTTGTTTTGGTAATTGAGTCAGAAACCAGATTCAAAGGGCAAATTCAGAGGAAAAACTAAAAGTTTCATCCAATGATAAATATACAGTATGCTTTGAATGCTATGACAAACTGCAATATTCAAATGTCTCAAAGTAGAACATTAGTTCAGCTTAGACTTGGAAATTAGGTCTAAAGAAGAAAAGCAAGGAATTGAAAAGAAAAAATATGTGTTTGAAAAGCACAAAAAAAAAAAAAAAGTTTACCTGTCTGAGTGGTGTGTAGTAATCAGAAACAGGGAAAAGAAATAAAAATCATTAGGGAATTTTCAAGATCAGAAAAATTCAGAGGGAAAAATGTAGGGGTCTATAAGAGAAGATCCCCTGCAAATGAATAATTAACTCCAATAAAAAGCCTAGAGTCTCCATGTTGCCCCTGTTTTAAGATTTTGAGTGATTTTTTGAACATGTTTATGATAAAAGTTTTCTGTCACATATTATAATTGTATACTTTGAAGTGTATCTGATATTAAAGCAGAATAAAAATATGAACAGCAAAATATTTCTTTGTATATATAAATGGTATTTCATATATGAATGGTATTTCTGTGCCTTGGTTTAATATACAATACTTTATTTCTTAAAAGATGTTTCTAGAATGCCTCAAGAACAATGAACCTAAGTCTCCGTAGTGAAATAATCAGTGCCTAGACAGTATTGCTGTAGGGTGCACACAGGTACCAAAGAGCCTTGTGACCTTTCTGCATTAGGAAGGTTGCTAAGAAACACTGACCCTGCTTATAAGATAAGTAAACAAACATTTAGAAAAGAGAGAGCCAGATCCACTCAAGTAAACATTGATTAGCAGTGCAGTCTGATTCACTTATCAATGAATCATGTATAAATGATGAATCAAGTGAAGGACTGAGGATCAAAGACCATCAGCACAGAAAACTAAAGACTCGGACTTAACCTCCACAAGATCAGACATCTACTGAGCTAACACCTCTGCCCTACATATAGCACTCTCCTCATGCTTTGTGTGCACTTACAACTTCAAAAGTTTTTTTTATTACCTTCTATGGACAAGCCACTGTGCTAATATTCTTGTAAAATCATGCTTAAATATTTCTTTTGAATATCCACAAAAGGAAGGGATTGTAATTTGTAAGAGGAGTTTGGTTTTCAAAACAAGCAAGAATTATTTGCCGCTTGGTTTAGCAAATCAGATGAGTAAATATGCCAGACAATGCATGTGTGGTCAAAACCCCTATGTGCACATTTTTCTCTCTGGTCTTTGCTGTATTTCATAGACATCTTCTGTTTACAAGACCGATATTCCCACTCGACTATAAGCTCCTCAAGGTCAGGAACCAAGCTATTTTCATCTTTCTATTTTGACTCCTAGCACATTGCCCACTGCTTGGAAAGAGTCACTGTTTTTGTGTGATTCCTAAATTGTCTCTGAAGGCAATCCAAAAGAGAATAGCAAAGCATTGACATCTTTGTACTAACTACTTTGGGAAAAAAATATACACATACTGAGATTTTAAAAGCTAAATCTAAATACTTACAGGCCAATGCAGAATATCTACTACATGTTGATAAAACTTGAAAAAAAACAACTGTATAGTACTATTAGGTAGATGGGAATTATTTAAAATGAGTATTAAATTATACATCATTATTTCTGTTTTACTCCCAGAGTGAAACTGTGGATTCTGAATTTGTCCCTTGCCTTCAAAGTTAGAAAAATCTTCCACCATGACCTTTGTTCATTTGAACAGCACATGAAAATGTATTTCTCATGCTTTGGACATATAAGTTAGAAAACCTACCTCAAGTTTGACAGGTTTCCAAATGATTATTTTCATTTTTAATTCTAATTTGTGATTGATTCATCAGGTAAAAAAATAAACAAAGTGCATACCTTTTTGAAAGTATCTAAGACTTTACAAATGTAGCAGGAAGTGATGAGACTACCAGACGGAAGTAATGAGCAGGCTACTTGTATGAATTTAAAACAAAGAAATATAAAAGTGGGCTGGGCATGGTGGCTCACACCTATAATCCCAGAACTTTGAGAGGCTGAGGCAGGAGGATCACTTGAGCCAGGAATTGGAGACCAGCCTGGGCAACATAGGGAGACCTCATCTCTACAAAAAAAAAAAAAAAAAAGAAAGTAAATCAGCCAGGTGTGGTGGTGCTCACCTGTGGTCCCACCTCCTTTGGAGGCTGAGATGGGAGGATTGCTTAAGCCCAGGAGGTAGAGGCTGTAGGATCAGACCACTGCACTTCAGCCATCATGACAGAGTGAGACTCTGTTTCAAAAAAACGAAAGGAAAAGAAAAAGAAATGTATAAGTGGCCAAATCACACCTGAAATTTGACATAATTAATATAAATATAAACCCATTTAAAGATATATTGAAGGCCAGGTGTGGTGGCTCATGCCTCTAATCCCAGCACTTTGGGAGGCTGAGGCAGGCAGATCACCTGAGGTTAGGAGTTCAAGACCAGCCTGGCCAACATGGTGAAACCACGTCTCTACTAAAAATACAAAAATTAGTTGGGTGTGATGGTGGGCGCATATAATCCCAGCTACTCAGGAGGCTGAGGTAAGAGAATCGCTTGAACCCAGGAAGCGGAGGTTGCAGGGAGCTGAGATGGCGCCACTGAACTCCAGGCTGGGAGACAGAGCAAGACTCCATCTCAAAAAAAAAGGGGGAGATATTGAAAAATATGGAAAATGGGGAATATTACTGAAGTACAAAGAAGCTAAAATTGTATATTCAATAATGCTGTCAACTTATATATAACCATGTTAAGGTTATACTCCATGGAGTTTGTATCTGAATACTCACTTGAAAAATGGACTGGCTGAGGAGGAGATGTACAAATATATACAAGTATGTCAGTCTACTGTAATTTTTCTCATAAATATTTAGAAACTGATGGTTTCTTAGATACACATAGTAATATATTCAATTTAGTGATATATTTAGTAAAAAATATGCGCAAGGCACCCCGTCCTCCAAATATCACAGGTCTGTGCTCTCATCACGACTACTTCTAGTCACAAAGTGCAGACGAAATGGCTATTGTTACTGCATGCTACCCCTGCCCCCCGCCCGACTCTGGCTGAAGTGACTTCTAGAGAATTTAAAGAATGAGCACCATTTTTCCCCTTTATTTTTATTTTTTCCTCTTTTGAGGAAATTAAAGGCTAGGACTTTCAAAAACAACTGAATATATGAGGAAAATTTGAAAGTGACTATGTATGTCCAGGGAAAAAAGCAGGTTCAGAAAAGTCCTGAAAAGACCTTAAATTTACACCTCAGGTGGATCCTTGGCACAGAGAGTGCCTACAACAATACAAAAATCACAAAATCAATAAATAAAAACGTTAACAAAAAACAGCAAACTCTGGGGAAAGGGAAGAATCTGGTTTCCAGAGTTACCACATTATTAGATTAAAATGTCCAGAGACCGGGCACAGTAGCACAAGCCTGTGATTGTAGCACTTTGAGAGACCGAGGCATGCAAATAGCTTGAGCTCAGGAGTTTTGAAACCAGCCTGTGCAACATGGCAAAACCTGTCTCTACAAAAAAAAAAAAAAATACAAAAATTAACTGGATATGGTGGCACACACCTGTAGTCCAGCTACCTGGGAGGCTGAGGTGAGAAGATAGCTTGAGCATGGGAGGTCGGGGCTGCAGTAAGAAAGATCATGCTGCTGCACTCCAGCCTAGGTGACAGAATGAGACCCTGTCTCAAAAAGGAGGAAAGTAAGTCCAGTTTTCGATTAAAAAAACCATGAGTCGTACAAAGAAGCAGAAAAGAATTGTCCCTCAAAGCAAATAAATCAATAAAATGATCCCTTAAAAAGACCTGATGTCTACTAGATAAAGACTTTAAAATAGCACCTTAAAGATATTCAAAAAACTGAATTAAGATAAAGAGAAAGTCAATAAAATGATGTGTGAACAAAATGGAAATATCAATTAAGAGATGGAAAATCTGGCTGGGTGCAGTGGCTCACACCTGTAATCCCAGCACTGTGGGAAGTTGAGGTGGGTTGAGATCACCTGAGGTCAGCAGTTTGAGACTAGCCTGGCCAACATGGTGAAACCCTGTCTCTACTAAAAATACAAAAATTAGCTGGGCACGTGGTGTGCTCCTGTAATCCCAGCTACTCTGGAGGCTGAGGCAGGAGAATCACTTGAACCTGGGAGGTGGAGGTTGCAGTGAGCTGAGATTGCAACACTGCACTCCAGCGTGGGTGACAGAGGGAGACTCTGTCTCAAAAAAAAAATTAATAATAAAATAAAATAGATGGAAAATCTAAAAAGAAACTAAAAAAATCAAGAGCTGAAAAATACAATAATTTAAATGAAAAATTCACTAGAGGAATTCAGAGGCACATTTGAGCAGACAGAAGAATCAGCAAACTTGAAGACAGGACAATGGAAATTATTGAGTCTGAGGAACAGAAAGAAATAAGATTAAAACAAAATATACAGCCTAAGGGACCTGTGGGACACCATTAAACAGACCAACATACACACTGTGGAAGTCCCAGAAGTAGAGGAGAGACAGGAAAAAGAAGAAAGAATATTTGAAGAAATAATAGCTGAAAACATCACAAATATGATGAAAGACATGAATTTGTACATCCAAGAAGCTCAAACTCCAAGTAAGATGAGCTCAACAAGACCCACATGAAGACACATAATAATTAAACTTTTGATTGAAAGACAGAGAATCTTGTAAGCTGCAAGACAGAAGTGGCTCATCGCATACAAGGGATCCATAATAAGTTTATCAGATGATTTCTCATTAGAAATTGTAGAGGCCCAACAGCAGTGGGCCAATATATTCAAAGTGTTAAAAGCAAAAAGGCATCAATCAAGAAGTCTATGTTCAGCAAAACTGCCATTCAAAAATTAAAAAGAAATTAAAGGATGGTTAGATAAACAAAAGCTAAGAAAGTTCATTATCCCTGGAACTGCCTGGCAAGAAATACTTAAGAGAGTCTTCCAGGGTGAAATGAGAGACTATATAGTAACTGAAAGCCATATGAAGAAATATCTCAATAAAGGTAAATATGTGGTCAATTATAAAAGCTAATATTATAGTAACAACCATTTGTAAATCTACTTTTTGTTTTCTACATGATTTGAGCGACTTAACATATTCTTTTTTTTTTTTTTTTTCGAGACAGAGTTTCGCTCTTGTTGCCCAGGCTAGAGTGCAATGGCACGATCTTGGCTCACTGCAACCTCCACCTCCTTGGTTCAGGCAATTCTCCTGCCTCAGCCTCCCAAGTAGCTGGAATTACAGGTGTGCGCCATGATGTCTGGCTACTTTTTGTATTTTTAGTAGAGATGGGGCTTCAACATGTTAGTCAGGCTGGTCTCGAGCTCCTGACCTCAGGTGATCCACCGGCCCTGGCCTCCCAAAGTGCTGGGATTACAGGCATGAGCCACCATGCCTGGCAACTTAACATATTCCTAAAAATTATTAGAAAAAGGAAGCAGCCTAATAGAAAAATGGGCAAAAGACTAAATAGGCAAGTTATTAAATAGTGTACCCAAATAGTGACAAGCTTATGACAGTATTCTCAACCTCATTAGCCAGCAAGAAACTGCACATTAAAACTACAGTGGGATACTACTAACACCCACAAAATAGTTTTTTAAAGAAATGTTTTAATAACAATACCAATGATGTACAGGGATGTGGAGCAACTGCAACTCACACACAGCTGGTGAGAGCATACAACACAGTCATTTTGGAAGGCGTCTTGGCAGTATTTTCCAAAGTGGAAGGTACTTGAAATTTTAGTCCTAAGCATATCCTTTACATAAATGCATACATATGCACATTAAAAGGCATGCACAAGAATGTACATAGCAACTTTATTCATCATAACCCCAAATGCAAGCAACACAATGCCCACCAACAATAGAATGGATAAATAAAACAGTGAAGTATTCTAAAGTAAGGCACTATTGACCTTGTGGGCCAGATAACTCTTTGTTATGAGAATCTGACCTGTACTTTGTAAGATATTTAGTAGCACCCACTAGATGCCAATAGCATTTCCCTAGTTGTGATAAAATGTTTCCAGTAACCATTAAATGTCGCCTTGGGGGATTAAATCCCACCCCCTTGAGAATAACTTCTCTAAAACAATAAAAATAAACTTCTGCTACATGAAACGTAGTGGACAAATATATAATGTTATGTGAAAACAGCTAAACACAAAAGAGTACCTGCTATAGGATTTCATTTAAATAAAGCTCTAAAACAAGCTAAATTATGTGATATCTGTTGGAATTTTTATTACATTTGGGAGAACAGTAACTAGCAGGAGGCATATGGAAGATAGTCTAGTCTAGGTGAGATTCTCTATACATCCCAATCTGGGTAATGCTCACATGGGTGTGTTCTTTGTGAAAATTCATCAAGCTATACTTTTATGATTTTGCTATATATACTCTGCTTCAAAAAAAAAGACTACTCAAGATTATATATTTGTAAGCCTAGAGATGAAGAGACACATAATTCTAGAATATGAAGCAAATGTTAGAAAGAGTTACTTTAAAAACACAAACAGAAGGGATTCCAACATCTCAAATTGGAAGAGAGAAAAACTGAGCTTTGTTAGAACCAAAGATGACAGAAAGAGAAGTGACAACACTGAGTAAAAAGAAAGAAAGGAAATCTTATTTCCACAGGGAATAGAAAAGGTGCTAAAAGAAAACATTTTAACCCAGGACTAGAAAGTAAAACAATTTCTACGGTGGTGGGTGCTGCTAATTATCCACTTGTTATTTTTTTCTGTCATTCTTTCTCAATCAAGAGAACCCCAGATTTATTCTATGCAATACTGTGCTCGCGAAATGTTGCATTATTCAGCTCTCCTTGTAAACAGGGTTGTCCAAAGTGATGTGGCCATGAAAGCTGGTATTGCTGCAGTCACCATATGACATGAGATGACTGAAGATGGAAACCAGTGCCAAAATGTAGTTAAGCACAAAGAATGAAACTGAGTCTCTGATGACCATAGAGGCCCTCATCTTCACCCTGGACTGCCTGTTTCTGGCATTTTACATGAAAGGAAGAAAACCACTCTTTTAATTTTGTTTAAAAAGGAGTATGTGCAATAATTTATAACTTTGTTTCTTTCTAGTAGGAAATAAAGACTGCCCATCTCCAGTAATGTTTCTGTCATCCTTTTTTCAGTCTAACATTTTTATTTTCTTTGACCTAATATGTAGAAAACGCTCATGACTTTGCATATGTGGTTTGAATTAATGAAAAAGAAGAAGAAAAGCAAAGGGTAAATCTTGAACACACAAAAGAGAAGGTGATTTTATGTAAATATCTTTGTAAAATAACCAATGAAGTGAAAAACACTTCAAATTCTGCTTACTTTTTAAATATCAATATTCAAATAGTTTTGTTTCAAAAATTCAAAATTCAGTTAAACACACAGAACTTTATTCTGATAATGACAGTCTATTGACTGAGATCACATGGGAATGAGAAATGTAATAAAAAAGAAATGCTTAGATTATTGCTAGAAAAAAGTATGCATAAATTAGAAATACTTGGACCTAGACATACTACAGTACTATGTGTTTCTAATTGTTGAAAATCATCACTGTGCAATATTTAAACTTAAACTAAGAATGCTTCATTTCTAAAGTTGGAAAAACTAATTTCAAGTGAATAAAATCATCTTCAAAATTGGATATAATATTCAATATTCTAAGTTCAGAAAGAAGTTTTAAACAGCAAGGCATTTAATATTGCCATCCAGATACTATTCTGATCTGCTGATGTGGAGTTTACTACTGACGTCAATCAGAAATTTGCTTAAGTAGGGACTGATGAATAGAGTATACTTCCTTTCTGGATTTCTTCTTCTATCCAGAAACATAACAGGAAGGTCATTTGTTTTAGAATAGAAGAGTATGTGAGTGGTATAAAATGACCTTGAATTATGATCTCTTCTGACATCTAATGTGTAATATGTATTTTTAAAATCTAGGAGCAAATACATAAAACTATAGGTAAGTGATAGACAAAACCTGAAAGAAGAAAACTCCTTTTTAAAAAACAATGTAACTCAGTCCAAGTACCAGTGAAAAATATTTGTATCTAAATGTGATATAGTTCTAAGAAGCAGAGTCATTCAGCCTCCAACAGGTTTGTGAAATGTATTTCAGGAGAAAAGAAATTATCAAACAAATGTACCCCACTCCCGCCCCACAGTAAAACTAAATGCAATAGCATGATAGCTCAGCAGATGCAATGTGAGGTTGCCCTGCATGTCAGCATGACAAGACAGTGTATAACTCTAGCTAAAAGCCAAACTTGTAGGGAAAGCATATTTGCTGTCCATCAAACATAGGCCCATGGTTGCAATAAATACTTATCTTTATCTATCACTGGCTACCTGCCTATCTTTAATTTCAGGCCCTTGAAATTTTATTTCATTAACTATTAAGATACGCTTGTGCTCTCCTATTTTTAGGCCTATTTCTCAAAAGTGTTCTATTTGTATAATACATCAAAAAAGAAGACAGTGGCTGTATGTTTCTTCCCGTTGTTGGGATATTTGGAAGGAAGGGAGTGGAGGTTATTTTGGGCAAGAGTTTGTCTCTGGTCAGCTGAAACACATCAGTGAAGTAATTTCTATTTAAGTCTTGGCTTTGTCACTCAGCCTGTAATAAGCCAGAACTGTCAAACAGAAATCAGAACACAAATCAGTAATGGTTGCCAGAAAAAATGGACAGAAGAAAAAAATTCGATTTACAAGGCAGGAGGGAGTGGTCAGTGGTTACTTGCAGCACAAGCCAACAGTTTCCTCAGAAGTTTGGATCAGTAGACGCTATACACTTATTCAAAAATCCTGTTGCTTACTTGGGGAGAGGGCTTATTAATTATTTAAAACGTGGGGACAGCTGTATTGTTCTCAGTCTGATTCTCAATGTGAAGAAAATAAGAGGCAATGTGGGTGAGTAGGACAAGATAGAGGCACTTTCTGAAACAATTTTAATATGAATTGCTCACTTCACTTTGAAATCAGCTGAATGCTAGAATGTCAACAGTCACAAACTTATGTCTCCTTCATGTTTTGACAATGTTCAGTGATCTAATAGCACCAAGTTTTGCAAACTCTCTTGCCTAAATGCCAATTCTGCATATTAAGTTAGCTCTGTCTCAGTAGGGGTGTCAGAATCTTGCTGATTTTCACTCACTGAAGTGTAAGGCTTGCTTCAATCAATCAGCAACATTCTCAGCAATTTATCCATTCCATGTAAACTGAAACAAGATAATGTGTCCCATTTTTAAAATCTGGTCTATACTCGTCATTTTAAAAAGTATAATCTGGAGGCTCAGTCCCTTATCCTTCTTCTGAAGATGAACAGTTTATCTTGGAATGGCTTTTCCCTGGACAAGATCAAATGCCCATGCTAAAGCAACTTTCCCATCATCTGCAATCTGCTTCATGGGATAAATAATACAGTCACAAAATTTTACTGATGAAGAAAATCTTAAAGATCACCTGTGACATTCATTTCATGTCACCACTGAGAAAACAGAACTCTGAGAAATAAAGTAACTTCCTCAAGAACACAGCACTTTGGTGCCAAAGTGTGGCCTGATACCCAGAAGTCTTGATTACCAACCAGTCCATCATTCTTGTTGGCACCCCTACAAATGTAACTGGAAAACATGGACATCAACACTTCTCTTTTACAAATTCTCTCTCTTTACAATTTTACTTGATTTTACTTTTTCTTCATCTTGGAATCTTTTGTTTTAATACATCAGTTCCCCTTTTTGGAAATGTCTGTGCTAAAGGCCATTAATAAAGAAGTATTCAGAGCTGACACATCCCAAATAATGAAGCTGCTAACCTACATTACCATATTATACTTAATAAAATTAATTCGCCCATGTAAACCTTGAGTAGGCAAATTTGCACTTAGAACACACAGAGAACCATATTTGTGACACAGATAGATAACTATTAACTCCTTTTAAGCTTTCAAATGCCTTAGGATTTCAGAGTAAAGAATCAGAAAACTGCAGCTCTAATTCAAATGAATCAGGGTAGAGCAGATGGTTGAAGAAGGAACACAAGCAAGAAGGAAATCTCCTGTTCTCCCTTTCTGATTACTTTGCCCACAGAGGAATAACGATTCAGAGAAAATCAGTAATCATGGCGGATGTCATTAGCATATTCCCAATAAGGGAGCTTACGTAAAAATTCCCAGAGAAAATGAATGACTACTTGCAGATCAATTTGCAAAAGGCGCTCATCTCCAGCTGCCTCCCTTCTCCCAAAATGTGAATGATTTAAGACTTAAAAATTGAAGTTTGTAAAAGTTATGGGCAAATGCTAAAGGTTGTTTAAGTTAATAATGATGATTATTACAAGTAAAATAGAGCAGGTATATTTTCAAGTTTGTCAGTAATTAGTAGTACCTAATGTTTCACATTTCTAATTAAATTCCATTTGTGCTGCAACAAAATCCAAAGACTTATTAAAATATTGAATAACCCTCTCCCTCTCATCTCTTCATAATGGCTGATTAAGCAAACTGCAATGAAGCACCTTCATTGTTTTATTGTGAATCCATGTGGTAAAGTGTGTTTTTCTCTCTCTTAATTGATGAGCAGAAATCATTGAAACAGCACATCAACTCCATAGAAAAACTTGCACAAACAATTTTAAAAGGGGAAAAATTTCAACTCAGGTAACTAGGAATTTAGCATGCTTTTGTTGAGAAAATATTTCAGAAGTTGTGCTTTTAACTAAATGCGGTGCAAGAAAATGACAGATGCTTGCTTAAAGTTATACAGAAAACACCTGATAAGTTTGTCATTGGTAACCATTTCTCATTGTTCTCCTGTACAGTTTCTAGATTTCTAGTTATTGAGAGGGTACAAACATCCATTGCTCTTTGTCAAGTTGAATATTTAACCCTCAAACACAAGACAGAAGAATTCCCTTTCATAGGAGGAATAGCAGTTACCAAATATGCAAACACCTTTATCAATAATAAATCTCCCTCATAAATTAACCATGAGACACAATATTGGCAGGTCTTCATATTAAATAGAGAAGAGCTAGGTAATGCCATCATTGATTAGACCAGTAGGAAGCAGATGGTTAAATAACACAATAGGAAATGTCACAATCGTTTTAATTTTATTATTGAAACCCAAACTTTCAGTGGCGGTAGACAGATTGCCTTCATTTTTCATCCATAAAACAAGCATCTTGAACATTTTATCAAAAAGAACTTTTTCTTACACTGGCATTGCAACCAATAAAACCTTTTATGCATGGCAAGTTGGCAGAAACTATTAATAAAATGTCTGTCAACTGCAAGTCGCTCTTTTTTTCTTTAGCAAAAAAGGGGGAGAAATCATTAATTACAGTTTCTGTCACACACAAAAGACACTATGACTGTTCTGATGTCTTAACAGCCTGAATTCACCTAGTGACCACCTCTTCTGTGGATTTGAAAAGAGATGGGTCGTCATCCATCTAAACAAAAAGCTGCAGAGCTCTCCTAACACATTGCCTGTGTCTGCCTGGGCAACAAATGTGGTATTTTAGGTTGACTCTGAAAGAAGATTATGAATATGGATAGAATGCAAATACTTCATCTATCTTAATCAGAATACAGGAATTCAAGCTGTTGAGGAAAAAAAAAAAAAGACCTTAGAATTCCCATACAAGGAAAGAAATTTTATAGTGCTTATTGAATTTAGAAGACAGAGATTAGAAATGAGCTTAATGAATCTGTTCATCAGGAGGCAAGCAACAGACTTAGCAACAAGTGTAGATCAATTACCCTGATGACAAATAAATATAATGAACTTTCAAAGTGGGAAACAACTGTTTAACACAATTTAAGAGGAAAACAATATATTTTTTTTCCTTTTCTGGGTTGGCTTTGTCCTCCCCTTTCTACCTGATTATTTTTTTTCTTCTACTAACCACTTAAAAACCCTTTTCATTTCCCTGAAATGATCTTTCCTCACACAAGCTCCACATAATGGAAAAGAAAGAACACAACTACATAATTTCTGTAACCAAATATAAAGAGAACAAAAGGGCCAGGAATGACTTATATAGGTTCCTCCTGAATGTGCAGCAAGATTTTTTGCCATAACACTGTGTAGAAAACTGCCAGTTTTCTTTATTATTTCTATTTATCTGCTCCAAATGTGTCAACAAAAAGGTCTAGGTAGCTGGGTTCACCTGTCTTGGTTCCCCATTTCCTTTCACTTTTAATAAATGCATTTGCTCCAGGCGCTAGCGTATTGAAATGCAAGAGGTTTCTTTGTTTGTATATTTAAGAAACTTTTCAATTTAGTGGACTTCTTAATATGAAGACTAATAATTACAACACATCCATGTTGCTATGGTTTTTTTTTTAACAATATGGACTATAATTATTTTATGAGGTTCATTCAAGGATGTCTTTACACAGGGTGGGATATATGAGGAGATGAAATAAGTCTAATCTTATAGAACAAAAATGCTTTATAATAATCTATAAATCTAAGAAGAATAGTTATAGATTCTTAACCTAAAGTTTATTACAATTTTATGTTGTGATATATCTAGATTCAAATCCTAGGACTACCTGTTATGAGCTGTGTGACTTTAAGCAAGTTGTTTAACCTTTCTCTACCTCAATTTACTCATCTGCAGAAAGAGGAAACTACTAATAGATACTTCATATAAGAAATGAAATGATGCGAAGTATGTGAAGTACCTAGAACACTACTTGGACAGAGGAAGTGTTACATAGTTGTTAGCCATTATTAACTGGTCTATTTTTGTTTGATCTAAAGCCAAAAGTGAAAAGATGTGAACTGTTTAAAAATTCAAAGGCTAAAGCATACAATAGATCACTACTCATTCTTGACTGCTGACAGAATAGGTATGGCAAAAATTTGCAGTGGCTCATGCCTGTAATCCCGGCACTTTGGGAGGCCGAGGCGGGCAGATCACGAGGTCAGGAGATCAAGATCATCCTGGCTAACATGGTGAAACCTCGTCTCTACTAAAATAATAATAATAATAATAAATGAATGTAGGAACCCTCATTATGAATGAGCTACTGTGAAGGACTATTCCATTGGTAGATGGATGGTAAAGAAGACAGTAATGTTGGTAATTATGAAGTATGTGTTGTTTTCTCTCAGAACAAATGTCTGCAAAAATCTAGCAAGTATCGTGAAATTATCTTGTTATAAAGTTGGAATTCAAGGTAAGAAGTGAACATGCTCTTTCTTACCATATCTAATATATGCATGTGTACACATTATTTATATATACATATATATGCAATCTTTATAATCTTTGTTTGAGAAAACCCTTTTGAGTAGAATTTTTTATTACCGCTGGTTAAAAATGTCATATCACAAGAATCTGGCAAGCATTCAGAACCATTTAATCTTTCATCAAGGCTTAATCAGAAGAGGTTTATATCTCTTTTGTGCATTGTCAAGTGCCCACCACAATTTGTCTCCCCCATACTGGACCGACAGATTGAGTGAATAAGCAAAGAGCCGGAACATCTGAGTATAATTGCAGTGTCAGCACTGTTAACTGTATTTATGAGAAGAGAGTTAACACTATGACATTAATAATTTCATCAGATTACACATGTTTGCTTGACAAACAAGCAAGCTATTCTCTTTAAATTATCTGTGACTAGTGCTGTTTTCAGCTGGAGAACAGCCATGAATTCCAGTTTAAAAAGAAAAATAAACTCACCAAAACACCATTCAACTTACATTGTTATGTTTGGGGAAAGAAAAAAAAAATAAGTCTTTAAATATTTGCGTTGAGCCAGACTTTATAAATCCTGGTTTCCTGTCAATAAGAAAGAAAAAAAATGGTTAGGAACATACAATAAAAAGGAAGGGCCAGGAAGCATAATAATTGTGTCTCACTGTACTGTAGTTCAAAAATAGCTTCAGGCAGAGACACGAAGTCTTTTAGCTTGCCTTGACTTTTTAAACCACTAGATGCTCACCTGCAGTGGTTTCTGTGATTTGTGGCAGCTTACCAAAGGCACAGGATAATAAAGACAGTTTGTTACCCTCTAATTTTGGAGGGGCATAACACATGAAGCTTGTACAGCAATCTCTTACCTACATATTTCACTCCATAAGGGGAAACAATAAGAGAGAACATGACATGTATTCGAGAAGTAAATTACAATGTTATACTCTTTGGTCCAATAAACCATTGTGGGCTGTCATGCTCCTGACTACTGAAGTGTTCTTTTATGCTACAGCTTAATCAGCTGGGTCTAGGCTCTGCTTTTGCAGGCCAGTGCCTTAGGCAGCATAAATGCTGTGATTCACACATGTGATCACAGAAGCCTATATGGTAAGGACCACACAATCTGCCATGTAAGTTATTGGCCTGAGTGATGGATCTCCTTGCAGTTAATTTAGAAGATAGAATGGGACTTGAACCCGGTTGTTAAAATTATCACAAAACATTGAACCACCTGTTTGTCTTATTTAATAGGAGCATCTTGCTGGTGTTGGTTCTAACAAAGGTAACGTTTCATCATTTGAGCCTAGAATCTATGCCCTTGTGAGAACCCCACAGGCAGGAAGCATCTGTATTTATGAAGCTTACATGAGACAGCATGATGTGAACCTGAATGCAAAAAGTTAAAAGAGTTATATTGATTCCACTACTAGCAAGCCCCAAAACAAAAGCTTACCACTGCTATAAATACATGCAGAATTGGGTGTCAAAAGAAAGTATTTGGCTTACCTGTTTTAGTAATTCAGATAGTCGTTTTATATTCACTTTCATTATTCTTATGACAGTAGGTATTGTTAATATAACAAAACCAAGAGAATGATAGTGATACATTTTATATTTATATGTACATATGTGTATACACATAATCTCCATTTATAAATATATATAATATAACTATGCTTTCTTGAAAAAAATTAATAGATCTGTTTAGAAAGAATGAATGATATATCCTTAGGCTGAAAAAGAAAAAGATTCTTAACTCAGTGTCAGTCACTTAGGAATCATATTGCCAGAGTTTTGTATGGAATGCAAAGGATAAAGTATTTATGAAACAAAAAGATAAAACACATCTCCTCGCTAAGATGGCTATTATTAAAACCAAAATCAAGTGTTAACAAGGATGTGAAGAAATGGGAACACTTGCCTGCTGTTAGTGGGGATGTAAAATGGGAGCAGCTACTGTGGAAATAGTATGGTGGTCCTGCAAAATTAGACAAAGGACTACCGTATGATCTAGCAATTCCCGTTCTCAGCATATACCCAGAAACATGGAAAGCAGGGATCTAAATAGATGTTTGTACCACAGTGTTAATAGTGGCATTATTCATAATAGTCAAAAGGTGGAAGTAACCCAAATGTTCATCTACAGATGAATGGATAAACAAAATGTGGTATATACATACAAAGGAATGTCATTCCTCTTCAAAAGGAATAAAATTCTGACCCATGCTACAATGTGGATGAGCTTTGAAGATATGCAAAGTGAAATAAGCCAGAAATCAAAGGACAAATACTGCAGGATCTCACTTATATAAGAGGTACCTGGAATAGTCAAATTCATAAAGAAGAAAAATATAAAAGAGGTTACCAGGGACTGAGCACCAGGGCAAGTGGGGACTTATTGTTTAATGGATACAGAGTTTCAGTTGGTATGATGAAACAGTTGTGAAAATGGATACTAGTGATGGTGTGCAACAATGTACTTACTGTAGAATGTACTTAAGTAAATGTACTTATTGTCACTGAACTGTGTACTTAAAAGTGCTTAAAATGGTAAATTTTATATATATTTTCCCAAAATAAAAAAGATAAACCAAATTTCTTGAAAAAATAGAGCCCCTTCTCCAAAGAAACTCTTTGATATCCAAAACTAATAGTCTGAGTCTATCAAAAGAGAGCTAATATAAATGTAGAAACTTCAATTCGAGTCAGATCTCCAAATTGTGGGTCTCGAATTGGATGGTAATATGTTCAAGCCAAGTCAAAAATTCCTGTATTCTGGATTCATACCCTTTGCCTATCCTAAAGACTAGAAAGTACTCATTAGTACCATAGAGCTAACTCGCAGGGGCAAAATTACTGCTGCCACAATGTTAATTGTTTAAGGATAGATTTGATACCTTTAATAGAGAAATGCAAGTATAAAAGTACTTGGATTTATAAAACTTACTCTGTTCACCTTTATACACAACATAGCATTTTAGCCTTCAAACTATGCACACATTTTTATGGGTTTTACCAAGGACATCTGAAGATTTGTCTGGAAGTACCTCCCAACAACTGATCGGTGTACTATTCTGCAATATTTCTGCTATGTGATTTTACTAGCTCTCTGGGTCATCTCCTATGTGTGTTGAGAGTTCAATGCAAGTTATTTCTGCTTAGAGCTGCTGTGACTTGAAATTCCATTTTAGTGAGAGCTCACATTCTGTCCTGAAAATGTGTCGTATGCCTTATAAAGTTTATATCTTGGTTCACTCATCGAGGCACAGAGCATGTTTCCACATTAACATCATTTATAAAAATAGGAGGCTGAGGCCCCGGCTGTGGCCCCCGGCTGCGGAGGAGTCCGAGACGCAGCTGCCGCGCCTGGGCCTGAGCGGCCGCCTCCTCCGCCACCCGAAAACCCGGAGTGCCCCGCACAGGTTTAGACCCAGTGTGCCTGGTGGGCTGTGCCCAGGTTCAGAGTCATGCCACTCTGTGGGTGAAGCTTGAGGCAAAAATGGAGCCACTTCAGCAGCAGCAGCAGCAGCAGCAGCAGCAACAGCAGCAGCAACAGAAGCAGCCACACCTGGCTCCTCTGCAGATGGATGCCAGAGAGAAGCAGGGCCAGCAGATGAGAGAAGCCCAGTTCTTGTATGCCCAAAAGCTGGTCACGCAGCCGACTCTCTTTTCCGCCACAGCTGGGAGACCTTCTGGCAGCACTCCCTTAGGTCCCTTAGCCAGAGTTCCACCCACCGCAGCAGTGGCCCAAGTGTTTGAACGGGGCAACATGAACTCAGAGCCTGAGGAAGAGGACGGAGGTTTGGAAGATGAGGACGGGGATGATGAAGTTGCAGAGGTGGCTGAGAAAGAAACCCAGGCTGCTTCAAAATATTTTCATGTGCAGAAAGTAGCTCGCCAAGATCCCAGAGTGGCACCCATGTCCAATCTACTTCCAGCACCAGGGCTCCCACCACATGGACAACAAGCTAAAGAAGACCATACCAAAGATGCTTCCAAGGCCTCATCTTCTGTCTCCACAGCAGGACAGCTGAACTGGAATCTGGATGAGCAGCTCAAGCAGAATGGTGGTTTGGCCTGGAGTGATGATGCAGATGGAGGCCGGGGAAGAGAGATCTCTCGAGATTTTGCCAAGCTGTATGAACTGGACGGTGATCCTGAAAGGAAAGAGTTCCTGGATGACCTCTTCGTCTTTATGCAGAAGAGGCGGACCCCCATCAACCGAATCCCCATCATGGCCAAACAGATCCTGGACCTGTACATGCTGTATAAGCTGGTGACCGAGAAGGGGGGCCTGGTGGAGATCATCAACAAGAAGATCTGGAGGGAGATCACCAAAGGCCTAAACCTGCCCACATCCATCACCAGCGCTGCCTTCACCCTCAGCTCAGGACGCAGTACATGAAGTATCTGTATGCCTATGAGTGTGAGAAGAAAGCCTTGAGTTCCCCAGCCGAGCTCCAGGCAGCAATTGATGGCAACCGCAGGGAGAGCCGGCGGCCCAGCTACAGCTCCTCCCTCTTTGGCTACTCACCTGCTGCGGCTACTGCTGCTGCCGCTGCCGAGGCCCCTGCCCTCCTCTCCCCACCCAAGATCCGCTTTCCCATCCTTGGGCTTGGCTCCAGCAGTGGCACCAATACCAGTAGCCCTCGAATATCCCCAGCAACCACTCTCAGGAAAGGTGATGGAGCCCCAGTGACAACAGTGGCTGTGCCAAATCGTCTGGCTGTGCCCGTGACCTTGGCAAGCCAGCAGGCTGGTACTCGGACCGCCGCACTGGAGCAGCTGCGGGAGCGGCTGGAGTCAGGGGAGCCTGCTGAGAAGAAGGCGTCGAGGCTGTCTGAGGAGGAGCAGCGCCTGGTGCAGCAGGCCTTCCAGCGCAACTTTTTCAGCATGGCACGGCAGCTCCCCATGAAGATCAGGATCAACGGCAGGGAAGACAGAGCAGAGGCCTCGGCTGCAGCACTGAACCTGACCACGAGTAGCATTGGGAGCGTTAACATGTCTGTGGACATCGATGGCACCACCTACGCAGGTGTGCTGTTTGCCCAGAAGCCTGTGGTCCACCTCATCACGGGGTCTGCTCCCCAGAGCCTCGGCAGCAGCGCCAGCAGCAGCAGCAGCTCTCACTGTTCACCAAGTCCTACCTCATCCCGGGGCACCCCCAGCGCAGAGCCCTCCACCAGCTGGTCCCTCTGATGGGCAGGACCCAGCTTTCCACTTGCCACTCTCCAGTCGAGAGTGAAGGAAGTTGATGCACAGAATTTACCTCATCTCACGGAGCCCACGTCGACGAGCACCATTTGGCCAGACATTGAGAGTTTGGACGTGTCCGTCTGTCCAGGCTCCATTCAGGTCCTGCTGTACTCCGGGGGCAGGGAGAGGCTAGAGGGGCAGGACAGACAGCGTTGTCCAATCAGGGATTGTCCTGGAGAACTGGGTGGGGGTCTGTGGGTGTCCAGCTTCCTCCAGGGTTCCCCAGCCACCTCCCAGCTCGGGGCACAGTGTATCGACAATCTGTCAGCCGACACAGGGCTGGAGGCCCTCCATTTCCCTCCCCTTTTAATTTATTTCCCTGCCCCTGCCTTCTGCCATGACCCCAGGGCCACTAGTCTCTTCCCCTGTTTTTAAGTCCCATGTGGGGCTGCCAGGAGCCAAGAGCATGCCTTCATGCCCTTCTCTGCTGAGCATGGTTGGTGCCCTTCCAGCCCACTTTGCCTACTGTTAGGTTCCTGGGGTACGGGTCCCTCAAACACAAGTCTTGAATCAGTCCTCAGGGCCCCAGATCCCCCTTCTAATGGTCTGAAGGAAGAGGCTGTGAGGGCAGTTCAGGGCCAGGGCCCACAGGGCATCTGCTGATGGGAAGGCAGAGCCTCGGGGCTGCCCAGCCCTGGCACCTGCTTCACACGGACCATTCTCTGGCCGCCCCCCCAAACCTCATGCTCCCCGCTTGCCCTTATTGTCCTGCTTTCCCAAAAACAGCCCACTCATCCTTTCCCCAGCCCTCTTCAGCCCTCCCCAGTCCTCCCCAGCCTTCTTCAGCCTTCTTCAGCCTTCTTCAGCCCTCTTCTATTTCTTATGGGGCCATCTTGGCCTCACCATCCCCACACGTGCCGATGTCAGGTTCATTGAAATACCTCAGATTTGTAATTGTTGATGTTTGAGTCTTCAGGAAGTATTTGCATCTCTGAAATCTTTTTTATATGTGTTTTGCTGACTTTTTTTTTTATTTTAAAATTTTTATTGTTGTACACCAAAGAAATGAAAACAGATCACCCCCAAAGCCAAGCAAGTGATTGGGTACCCCGGCCCCTCTGGCCCTTCCCTCAAGCCCAGTGAGGAGGTGGGTGGAGGCATGCAGGGGAGACGACTCAGGGATCACGGGGGCGGGGAGGTGGAGTGGAGAGGCCCGCTCTCACACTGGGTCGGGCCCTGAAACCGTACCAGTTCTGAAGAGCGTTTTCTGCCACACCCCCACCCCCAGCTGACCAGGGAGGCAGAGGACACCTCCCCATCACTCAGCATTCCCAGCTCAGGGCACAGGCAGGCTGGGGTCCTCGCTGGCCTTGCCAGAGGTTGAGCCGCCCCAGGGTATGAGGAGATGAATAACTCCACAGCTCCTCCTGGACCCTGCGCGGGAGCAGGCGGCTCCTGTGCTGTAAAGAAAATTGATTCGCTTGCGGCTCACCTCAGTCGAGGAAGCCCTGGAATGTTCAGCAGAACACCACCACTGTGACATGGGGCTGTGGCAGTGGGAGACACCGCATGTGGCGTGGGTGTGTGTGGCGGCGTGGCTCGCACTCAGTCCTGTGTAGGAGAGGAAAGGGAATCAAAAGCTTGAGCACAAACAGATACCTCAGCCCGGTAAGCTGCAGCTCTGCTCAACTGCGTCTTCTCTCAGCCCTCCACACACGCTCACCCCCACTCCCACACACACACACACACACACACACACACACCATCTCCCGAGGGCTGACCTCCTCTGGCCTCAGCCTGCAGGGTGTGGGCAGAGAAGGGCATCTGGGACGTGGTGCCAGTGAGGAGCCCAGTTGGCTGGCACTGGGCCCATTTGAAGGTGTCTCAGACATTTGGCCAGTATGTCTTTCTCAGGGGTTTGGTCACAAAGGATGGACTCTTCCCACCCAGAGGATGCAGGGAAAGCACACTGTGTCTTTCCGGTCATTGGATCCTCTCCCTTTCCCCAGGCAGCTCGCCTGGCCACACCGTTGGAGTGAACCCTCACTGCCCTCAAGGACAACAGCAGGGTGTCACCCAGAGCCGGATGAGGGATGCCAGCAGGTGCCCCCACGAGTGGGGCCTTGGCCCAAGCAGAGCTTCCCCTGAAGGTGCCATCAGCCAGGGCAGCTCTGTCCCCTCCTGCTCTCCATCTTATATGTATTCTAACCAGGAAAAATGTGATAGCACATGGGTAGCCTAGGCAGTGAATAAATACCTCAGATGTCCTCCTGCAAAAAAAAAAAAAAAAAAAAAAATAGGAGGCTGAAACCTAGAACTGAGAAAAATCTGAGTTTTTATTAAAAAAAAGCACGTTTTTACTTTCTGATATCCACCTCAGCTTTTGTTCTTTAAAATGGGATCAATGTCATTACACAATTTTCATTAAAATCATGTAAAAAGCACCACGCTGTGCAAAAGATGGGCCCAAATACTCTGCAAAGATCATTGCACGTAAATCAGATCCTTTCCCTCTACCTGTAGGAGTTTCTGTTCCTGTTCTTGAAGAGACAGACTGGTGAGCATGCAAAATTACAGGAAATGCAGAGAACAAAATGGGCAGAGCAACCAAAACTGTGGTGTTTGCATCAAATACAGGTCAAGAGTAAACTTATTTTCCTATGAAATTCAAGAACATGTTGAAACTGGAAAGAGCGGGACAGGCTGGTAGCACCTTTTAAAGACCAAGAGAGGCCGCCTCATTAAATATTAAGAACTTGGAGGAAAGAGGTGGATTTACACTGATAAAAGGTTCATTTAAAATTCCATGAGGTCAATAAATTACCACTTAAGATGCCATTTCCCAAAATGTGTCCTGAAGAATGCTTGTTTTAAATGAGGGTGGAGGGGTAGAGGGAAAAAATCCTGTGGTCCAATTGATTTATGCACTGTATCTCAGATGGAGTTTGACAAGAAATGTTGGCCAGGCGCGGTGTATCAAACCTGTAATCCCAGCACTTTGGGAGGCTGAGGTGGGAAGGATCACTTGAGACCAGGAGTTTGAGACCAGCCTGGATGACATAAGGAGACCCCATCTCTACAAATAATTAAAAAATTAGCCAGGTGTGTCAGTGCACACCTGTGGTCTCAGCTACTCAGGAGGCTGAGGCAAGAGGATCACCTAAGGCCAGGAGGTTGAGGCTGCAGTGAGATGTGATGGCACCACTGCACTCCAGCCTGGGTGACTGAGTGAGACCCAGTCTCAAAAGAACAAAACAAAACAAAACAAAACAAAACAAAACAAAACAAAAAACCAGACAATAAATTGTTGAGTTACCAAAGGCCCTGTTAACGCCTGCAACAAAAAAGATTGCTGAATCTTGCTTAGTCCAGTCTTTTCCAAACTTGTTTGACCTTCAACCCCTTTCCTCTTCCTCTGCACATTCATCTACATAACAAATGTACAGAGGGCCTCCTCCAGGCCAGTCACTGTTCTAGGTCCTGGGGATTCAGCAGTGAAGAAAACAAAACTCTCCCTTGGCAGACTGTGTAATTAGGAGGAGACAGAAAATAAACCAATAGATAAATCAAACCAGAAAATAAATCATTTATATAATATATCAGAAAGAGTGCAATGGAGGAATTTTTTTTTTTAATAGCAAGGGGGAAAGGTTGCTGTTTTAGAGAGTGTGATCAGGGAAGCTTCTCTGATAGGATGCTACTTGAGGAACAGGTGAGATATGCTGAGTTGATCAATTGCTGGAGGACCAATGGAAGCCCCAGGGAGTATGAGAGCAATCACCACCTAGAGAGTGAGCCCCTCAGCACTTTCTCCTGCACAGAAGGAGACTTAATATTGATAGAAAGTTCTACAAGGCGGCACTAGCATTAAGCAGTTCTAATAAGAGATTGATTTTACCAGTGCAGATAGGGAAATTGCTCATCCTCTAAAAGCAAATTAACTCTTTGGAGCCCCTAGGGTGTTGTTCATTTACTGATTTATTTACAAATTGTTTGCTCCTTGGCCTCTGATTAGTGACATTTTGCATGGTGACCACGTGTTTTGGAATTGCGTTACTCTCAAGTCCTCCATTTCACATTATATGGTGGCCATTTATCTCACTCCTCGAGAGGGAAGCAGAGCAAGGGAGCGGCTGGTCATACCTCATTTGTCATAAGCGGAAAAGGATTCATCAAGCTGCTGAGCCGCGTTGAGGGGAACGATGATAGGGACTGGCATGTTTGCTGCCTGATTCAATTCTTGATTTCATTGACAGGGGCTCCATTGATGATTGTTGTGATTGAGATATCAAAGATAGAATAATTCAGAAAAGGTAGAAAGTTTATGCTACCTTATGCTACCTAAGGACATATCCCATTTTCCATTCTCCTGGTAGAAATATTTTCTGCCTTTAGAGCCAGCTACATTGTCTGTTGGGTTCTGTGCAAAATGAAAACATGAGATTACCTTATTTAAAGACAGGAAAAAATAGTGTTAAAGGTTCTAAAATAGAAAACATTTCTTTTTTCTTTCCTTTCCAATCTCCTTCTCTTGACTTTATTTTGCCTTTTATTTGCTATTTAACATTATTCTAAGAAAACATTTAATTTATTAGCATGAATTCTATCACTCGGCTTTATATTGTGCAATGCCAATTTCAAATGCAAATATGAGCATTTAAGGCACATGGAATCACTGAAATAACACAATTCATATTATGTAGCTTGTGTATGCATATGTATTTTATTCTTACCAGAACAGTGAAAATGCTACACAAAACTTAATTGTTTTTGTCTGACTTCTCGATGCATGCATGTTCTACCTTCACTTTCTATCTTACTGATTAGTAAGGAAGACCTTAAAGGGAATAGAGTTGTGTGTTGCCTTATATTTTAGTTACCTTCTATGTTATCATCATCACCCCTACCTCAGTCACAGACATAACACGCTGACGTTGTACTCACTTTGAGACTCACTGACCTGCCAGTCATTATGGGTTCGCCAGTGTGCTCATGAGGCATTACAAACGTTATATGTGAATGAGGAGACAAGGAACAATAGACACATATATTGCATGTGTCTCCTCTGCTCCCTTGCATGCCCTATTGTCCCATTAGACTTCACTAACAAACACAAGTTGAAAGAGAAAATGATTAAGGATTTCAAGGTAGTGACAGCACTGCATGAAAGCAAGTGCCAGGCCCTACCTACATGAAGCCCTATGCATAGGGTATGCACCCATGAGGCCAGCCCTGCCATCTTTTTACAGAATACATAATAGGGAACATAGGAATCACACACGAGGGTACCGCCATCTCATAAGGAATGTTCTCAACATTGTTCCTTCATTAATTTTCTAGATGTGCCCCTGACATAACCTTTAGAGGGTGAAATATTTGCCAAGAATATATATTATTAGTTGGAAAATAGCTTCAGGACTTGGTTAGAACAACTAACCTCAGAAAGTCCCCAGCCCATGTGACCTTCTTTTCTAGGTTCAGATCAAAGAACTGTTGATCTACTAATGGAATGGTTCATCTGTCTTTTAATGTATGCAGTATCATAGCTCATCTTTCCCTCTTCTTATGCTAAAATCATATTTTGATTAAAGTTGCTCTTCATCCTTCCTTTCAACCACTGCCACATTCCTTGTGCATCAATTCCCTGCTTTTCAGAATGCTTAAAATCTAGAGTAATGGAGTATGGTACTTCCACTGCTAAAATGAATTGGAGATCAATGCACAGAAACTCACAAAGCCAACAAGCCTGCTAGTAATTCTGATACCCTGTTAACTGCATCTTAGTGTCTGGTGGCCTTTGCTTCTCCTGGAGACAATGTAGCCCTCATTCTGCTCAAGACATACTGTCTTCCATTCGTGGAAAATCACTTAGAATCACTTCGGAAAAAATACCTAAGTGATATGGTAAAAAAAAAAAAGCTGCTTCCTGGCACATTCCTTTTACCACTCTATCTGCTACCAGACCTTCTATTGACCTTCTGCCCTATTCAAATCCACATTTTGTAACTGATGTGGAACACGCAGCATTTTGACACACCGTTCTTGACACACCGTTCGTACGAATTTACTGTAAACCTTGTGCCTGCCTGCATTGTGGTAGAAATCATATTACCAGATTCCTAACAAGAAGGCTTATGATGTTAGAAACTGTTAAAAACATGAATGAGAAAAGGCCCCTTCAAACAGAGCCTGAGGAGCTAGCTCAAGTAACAAAGCCCTGTTTTCCATCTTTTATGTAAAGCAAATGGATTAACAACAACTGGCATGAAGCTGAACTGACACCCTGACTCACTGTGCCAGGCAAGCGCTCTATTGAATTGTTTGCACCAGCCATTTCTTGTGTGCAAACAGGAGGAACTTGTTCAGGCAGCAGCCACTCTGAATGGTATGTGAGGATTTAGTGAAATACATGCTCAGGACAGCTTTCTTAATCCTTGCGAGTCTGCCCAACAGAGGGAATTCCAGGGTGACGGACGAAGGAAGCGTCCAAGTCTTTCACTAAACACAGTCAAGTCCAAAAAAAGAAAGTTGAAGTGACTTTGTTATATGTTTAGTTTATGCTCATCCAACAAATACCGCTGTTAGGAAAAAAAGTTTAATGAATGATGGTAATAAACAGGCTGGTACTACCCACTGATTAAAGTGTCATGATGCCTCTTTCGAAATCAAAGGAGTTATCTTGCTAATGAACTAAATTAGACTGAACTAACATTCATGTTAATAATTATTACTTACAGAGCTAGCTGTGTTAGGAGTGATAATGATAATGTGAAAACTGAATATAATAATAATATTTATCAGGTGCATATCCTCTAGTTTAAAGCAAATTTGACAGGAACATGCAGGTACCTCAGTGGCCCAATTTTGAGAAATAGAGGGAATTTTTTCATCGTAAGGATGGTAGATTAGGTCCTAGGTGAGTAATGAAAAGAAGGCTGAAAAACAAAATTCCTTATTAGAACCAGAAGTGTTAACCTGACAAACACATTCATTCAAACTCTTTAGCACGTGAAATATATATATGAAATACATATGGTACTCATTTTCCCTTAAAATGAGCCATGATTGAAAAAAGAAACAATTTTACATTCTCAAGGTTGGAAATAGAGAAGATATGCATTGGCGATAATATTGATTTAAAAAAAAATCTGCTGAAAGGCTATTATTAGACATAGATTATAGTTACAGTGAAAACTGGGAGCTGCTTTTAATCCCCTAGGGGGCAGAAAGTTATGTAGGGTCCTTTTTGTCATTTTCAAGGTGTAGAAAGAATGAAAAAGACTGCGGTGTATTTCATTATTAGTACACATGAACAGTTTGAACTCTCCATTATTGGGCTGTCTTTTTTCATAGTTGGTAACTTTTTCAGGCTCCTTCTACGAAACTATTTGACAAGGAAAAAAATAGCCTTCTTGGTTTGATATGTGAGTATATACAAGTTCGCACAGGTTTTCACAAGAAAGTAAATGAAGAGCATGGCCTGCAAGCTTAATCATATTAACTCTGAATATAATCAAAGCTTCAAAGTTTAACTCTATCTTAGCACTGAATGTGAATGGAAAACAAAGACTATAATATGAAGACATTTCTTAGTCTTGGAGGAAATTTTTTATTAAATATAAATTACTACCTCTCAAAGTAAAATTTACATTATATCTATAACAATATGAAATATCTTATTTAGCTACAACCAGATACTATTATTTGACTGTTTAGAACACAGAACAAAATCCTTCTAAAACCGGTACCTTGGAGGATGTTGTCTTTCTTTGAATTAAAGCCACAACTAACAAGCCAGGCACAGTGGCAAGCACCTGTAGTCCCAGCTACTTGGAAGGTTGTGGCAATAGAATCCCTTGAGCCCAGGAGCTCCAAGCCCAGTCCAGGTAACACAGCAAGACCTTGTCTCAGAAAAAAAAAAAAAAAAAAGCGCGCACACACACACACACACACACACACATAGACACATACAAGAAAACACCAACACCAAAGGCCAAATACTTCTCAACATACCAACGATTAGCAAGATTAATGATTACTTCTTTAACATATCAGTTCTCTCAAACTATTACTGTTAATAATTATAGGTAACTTGCACCTTTATTTTCTTTGTGTAGGGGGAAAGAAGTGGCCAAAGTATTTTATTTTAAATTAGTAATCTCACTTTTTTCATCAGAGTTTGTTTGATATGATTCTACTTTCCACATGTTTCTTATTCGCTGTTTTGTCTTTTAAGGCAGGGAAAGTGAGTCAAAAGCAAATCATGTTTCATGTGAATATTGGACTTTGACACTATTTGGACCAAATTATAGAGAAAACAATGTTCCGGAATTTTTTTTTTTCTTTAAACACTTATGAAGTGTCAAGATAGGCCTTAGTGAATCAACCAAGCACATTTTTCAAATTGTTTCAGTAAAGGGTGAGAAGTTGTAAAAACACCTTTTAAAATCTCAACGTTTTATAATAGCTTATTGCAATAATGGAATAATTTATTCCATTATTCCAAAGGGTAATGCTGTCTCTTTATCTGTTTGTCCATAATGTATGTCTGTGCAAACTTAGGATGGCTTTTACCTCATCGTGCTAAAAGAGCAAATGAGGAGATTTTAAACACGTCTACATTTTAATATGTGAGCCTGTAGGCTGCTATGCACAGTCTTCTACAGTTTATAGTGAGATGTTTCACATCAATTAAAAAAAAAGATGAGAGAATGGGTTACTTGAAGAGTTTGTTTCCTTATAATCAACTCTAAAGAGACTAAGGTCATGCAACAGATTTCTTTTTCTTTCTTTCTTACAGGGAGACTATGTGATGCAAATTGCTTTATTGGTGAAGGGAATTAAAATTATAAAAAGCTGGGCTTAAAGAAGTGCAAAATCAGAGCTGTGTCGGAGCAGGGACAATATAATTGTGGTATGGATTCCCATATGGGACTAAATTATCTAGATTTTAGTAACGTCAGCAGTTCTGTGTAGTTGCTGGAATGCGGCCAATGTGCCATATTTGCTTCATTTTTAAGATGGTTCTGATTCTACACAATGTTAAATATGCAGAAAGCTACAATTGTTCGGGTATCTTGGTGGCACTTCTCAGATACATCTCTTTGCATGTCAGAAATCTTATTTGACTATTAAACAGGAAGTGACACCAATGTGACTTTATTTTTCTAAGCAAAATGCCATTTATTATCATTTCTATCTAGGCTATAAAATCTTCCCAGTAGGGGGAAAAAATACCCTTTTCTGTGAGTACATATCAAGGTTGTCTTCCTTTACAGTGTACCATTCAGTAATACTGTTTTGTAGCAACTCAATAAAGCTGATAGTTTTTCTGGGTAATTACCCACAGCCCCCCTGCAGGACAAATTAGCATTCATGACCTGAATAATGCTTACTAGAAAGAGTTCAATGGAATTTACTTAATCAGAATCATTGCTTTCTCTTGGCTAATTTTTTTTTTTACCTAGTCCCCAACGCTTGCTAATAGCAAATATCTTTCAAGCCAATGTTTGGTATCTGATAGAGAAAAATGCATGAATCTTTAAATGTTCTAATGTATTTGTGAGTCTTGAAAAAATAAATGTATATTTTTTATATTGAGTGTGTGAAAAATTAAGATATCCATCTTCTTTAAAATTTCTAATTAAACTTACATGCTTATTTCTCTTTTTAATGCTTACTGGTTTCAGAAAGACAGAGAGAGATTTTTCATTTTCTAATTATCCCTCAATTGTTTCTCAATTTGCTGAGGACAAAGCTAGAGGATTGGTTGTGATTTTTGATAGATGCTTGGTAATCACTCTGTATCCTTAGGCATCAAAAATTAGGAGAACTTTGAATAGACAATGGGTGTTGTTTTTGACAATTTGATTGATTCTTACTTTGTTCTTGATGACTTATTTAATAATTTTATGATTTGAACCAAAATATATGAAATGTAGATACTAAGATATTAGAATAAAGGAGGAGAGAAAGTAATATTCACTGAGCTTCTACTACTTACAAAACACTCTGTGAAGTAAACAGTATATTTTATTAATTCTTGAAATGGCTCAGTGAGGGAAGGACTAGTATCTTCATGTTTATAAAAGAGGGAAATGTGTTTCAGAAGATACTTACTCCAGGTTATACAGCCAGTAATGAAACAGAACCGAGACACAATCCCCAGACTGCCTGAATCAAAAGCTTACACTTTTTTGGTTTTGTGTTTATGTGCAAAGATTTTAGGTTTTTAGGAAGGCAAGAAGAGGAAGTTCTAAACCAATTGGTTCTAAACCAATTCCCTTGACTGAATCTTTAATTTGGAAAAGACTCCTAACCTGGAAGAGGAAATGTTTCTAAAATACAGCTGCATATCAATGTCTTTGAAGGACAGCTCTATAGACAACAACCAAGATCAGAGAACCACAGCAATGGGGCCATCCTCTAAAGTTTATTTTAGCTTATTTATCCCCCCTTCCTGTCATCTTCTGTGAATCTTCACAACCCAGTGGAGTAAACGGCAGGTGTGAACTGTTGAGACACAGGCTCCCACAATGGAGCATTACTGAGGGTTGGGAAGTAATCCAGTCAAATCAAGCTGAAAGACAAAAGTGTGAGATAAGATCCAAAAATAACAAAGTAAAAGCAGAAAGGTCCTTTGGGGTTTCTATGCACTTAACTCAGTGGAGACATGGAATTTCTGTAGGTTGGGGAGATTTGTCTGGAGGCTTAGTTTGTATAGCAATCTCAGTTTTTACCTAGGTGGTATGGTTGTTTTGGATTGCATATTATGTTTGTTTAGAGTATATATTTATTGGAGGTGCCTTGGGGGAAGGCTCTCAGAGATTATGTGGGGTAGTTACAGCCGCAGAAAGAAACCTCTAGGCTCTTCCACTGATTAGATTGCATAGTTCGAATGAATTAAAACAGTCCAGTGCAACTGAAAAGGAGGATTCACTCATTCAGGCCCTTGTGCCTTGCAGTGCTGAACTGAATTTGGTACTTAATTAAGTTTCCAGGGGTGCAAAATGGCTATCCCATTTCTAAATCTAAATAAATCAAAATGTTTTTTCAACTTTGGGGGTTTCAGAAAACCCACAACACATTTTTTGCGCAGATTTTCCTTCCAAACACTAGAATATTGCGAGGAAAATTCAATCCATATGTTTCAGACTCACGTACAGTTGTATCAAAATCTTGTGTTGCAATTGACATTTGATGTTCATGAAGTTTTCTGAATGCTTCTTATTTGCCTTTAACTCAAGAACATAAAGTTGATTTGTCAAGCTTATAAGTACCAAAAACCCCAAAATATTACATTTGAGTTGAAGACAACAAATTTAAAATTCTGCATCGGGCATTAAATTTAATAAAGCTTTTGTCTTACCATCTCTGCAGTGTTGTGTACTTGCAGATAGGCATATGCCTGATGACATGGAGTACAAAGACACAGTATACTTTTGATATTGACATGGTGAGGAGAAAGTGAAATGATAGAAAAACAAGGACACATATTTTCTCTTCTGGTATTCCTCCGTGATTTAAATATTAACAGCATATTGTTTATAATTTAATGCAAAAAATATGTGCACTGACAGCCTATATCTAATTTCTTCTTCCATCCTTCAACAATCTCCGTTTAGATTCTGGTTGGTACTTGGCAGCTCTTCCTTTCCTGCCAGTGTTCAGGCAATGATGTATCTTCTGGTCAGTGGGTCCCTCCACATCACCACAAAGACAAGAGAATACTGGGAGGAGGAAAGGCAAGAGGAAAAATAAATCATTTAAACTGAAGCATCAGTGTCTTTGGGATGGTTATATAAAAGAATCTGTATTTGTTGCTATTAACGCTATTTTAGAGGTTTCTAAAATGATTATGTCCCTTTGTTCAAGGCTAATAATGTGGTTCTGCCTTTGCTTAGAACATGATAATGGTGCCTTCCAATCAGAATCAGCTCAGAGAGGAGAATCATTTTCCTAAGAGCCAGGAACCTCAGAAAAAAAAAAAAAAAAGTCTTCTGTTAGCACAAAATAAATAACAGTGTTCTGACATTTATTTATGACAGTGTCTGTATAGACAGTATAGTAGTTGGTCATTCACTTTGCTATGTGACTTGTATATGTGGGCTCTTTTATAGTTTTCATTATTCTTGTTTTCAGTGTTTCTTCCCTTAGAACAAAAATGATGTATGTTTATTGTGGAAAATAAGAAAATATTCGTAACTAAAAGAAGAAAATATTTCCGAAGCCTCACTTTCTAAAGATAACTGCTATTTACATTTATCATATGTCCCTTCATTGTATTTTATACATAAACATTCATGCACTGTATTTTTTATAAATATAAGATTATACAGCACATACTGTCAGTGGCAATATAGAGCAATAGAAGATTATGCTATATGTTTTTAAATCTTCTTTTCTTCTTTTATGATATGCTATATTTTAGATGGCTGTATATAGTTCATTGTTTGAGTGAAATATTAAATCAAGTATTCAAATATAATTATTCAAATGACTTCATGGTATTCCATTGTCAGAATGAACTATTTATCATCAAAATATTCAAATATAATTATTCAAATTTAATAATTCAAAATTTTAATTTTCAGGCTGTCCTAATACACTGGTTACATAAACAATACTTGAAAATAAGATCTTTCCTTCAAATCTTTGCCAGTGTGAATAATTTTTTCCTTAGAATAAATGCCCATAAGTGAAATAGCTAGTCGATGTTTTAAGGCTTTTGAAATATGTTTACAAAAATAGCATGCATTTTACTTTTTTTATTTTTTCAAAATGACAATAGATGTATGCCTCTGCTTCTATGACCTTTACTTGATCCTTGTCAGGGCAATTGCGAGAGGTCCAGAAGGTTGGGAATGTAGAATACGGTGGGTGGCCAAGAAAGACAATTATGCTGAAAAGTACAAAGTGACTCAAATGCACGTCTTGTTCCAAGATTCTTTGTTATTTAGATTCCTGCATTTTCTTCCTGCATCTTACTCAACACCCCCATCACTCCTGCAAAGTATTACCTGACTTTTAGAGTCTATAGTAAGAGCCCCACATGTTTTCCATGAATAAGGCTAGTTTTATAGTGAGCTCTGATCATCTGACAAAATAATATTTAATTGTAAGAAATGTTTTCAATAATCATGAAAATTCTTGTAAGTCTAACATGGGCCAACTTCTATTCGGGAACGTAATCATGTGTGAAGTCCCTGTGGAGTAAATTGGAATAATGTGAGTAACTAGGAAATGCAATCATTCTATCCCTAGTTAGGAGATGGATGAGACAGGAAAGCTAAGTGGAAAAGTGTATAGACCCTGTGGGAAAAGGTCTGAGTTTACACCCAACCCCTCCATTCACTAACTTTATGACTTCAAGCAAATGACTGGAGCTGCCAAAGTTTCATGTCCCCCTCTGTTGGGTGCTTATATGTTCTACATGCCATCTCGGTGGCGCAGACACACTAACTTGCATACAGTGGGTGGTTAATAAATAGTAAATACTTTAGCTTTTTTTAGACAGAGAAGATGCAAGTTACTCACTGAAGGCTATTTTAAATGCCTTTAGCCCATTTCAGCCAGAGGTCATATTGATTAAGAATCATATTCTGCTACAAGTAACAACAAAAAAAGAGTAGCTTAAACTAATAATTCTTATTTTTTTCACCTACATAATTCCACACCCAGAGGTGAACCTTGTTAGTGGTTATTGGTTGAAGAATGTCAAAACCGGCCGGGCACGGTGGCTCACGCCTGTAATCCCAGCACTTTGGGAGGCCGAGGTGGGCAGATTACAAGGTCCAGAGTTCAAGACCAGCCTGACCAACATGGTGAAACCCCATCTCTACTAAAAATACAAAAATTAGCTGGGCATGGTGGTGCACGCCTGTAGTCTCAGCTACTTCTTGGTAGGCTGAGGTGCTTGAACCTGGGAGGTGGAGGTTGCAGTGAGCGGAGATCATGCCATTGCACTCCAGCCTGGGCGACAGAGCGAGACTCCCTCTCAAAAAAAAAAAAAAAAAAAAAAAAAGGATGTCAAAACCACGATCCTTCGGATTAATGTATCGTTTCCTCTCAGCTACCAACATATGGCTGCTGCCACTGCTTTTGTCCACTGCTTTAGCCCCATGTCCCCATTTCAGGAAAGGAGAAAGAGGAAGTAATAGGAGGGAGAGGAAGCACCCAGGTGAGACATCCAGAGCAGACTGTGAATATCTCATTGGTGACTGCCACCCCTCACTGCAAGGAAGAGATGAAGAGCTGGGCACTTGCTTTTCTAAAGAAAACCAGAGTTACATTCCGTCTGCCAAAGATGACTTTTTCCTTTCTCTGACCATACCTCTTTCTTTTGTTTGCTTCCTGTTCGAGACAGAGTAGGCTCAGCTAGCATAGTTAGAGGGGCGTTACAAATCCCACCCAATAATTCTCACCCACCAGTTTCTGAGAATGCCTAAAATTTCAGCATCAGTGAATTAAGCTACCACCCACTATATGTTAAAATGCGTATATCTCTGGGAGGAAAGTTAGCACCTTGCTTCATTTCCATACTTAACACCTTAGATAACCAATAAATGCATTGATTAAATTCCCTTAAAGAGAAAATTAATTGAGACTAGGTTTTTAGCGAGGAAGGATGGAGAGTTCAGTTCTGCGTGACAGGCGCTAGCCAGGCAGGCAGGAGTAGGAACGCGTGAAAGGAAATAAAGAGCAGGAAGGGCAGCGTGAAGCTGCAGACAGGCAGTAGAGGCTGTTAGCAAATATTAGATAAGCACCTCAGAAACAAACACCACCTTTCACAGTGTGTCCTGGGAGTAGATCTGATTGCTCCTTTCTCTTTAGTCCTCATCGTGTCTGATCACATGCAAAACTCTATATTAATACACATCGAACACTCCAAACCACAAAATAGATAACTAGCCCAACCTGTGCCTGATATTCTGTTAAACCTCACTTCAAGCTTCACATTTTGTGAAGCCCAATGTGGTTACACTCAGGAGCCACTATCCAGAGAAATGGGAATTGTTGGCTATGCAGGCTACTTCTCAGGTGAGAGTCTTCTGACTTGATGTTAAGATAGCGGAAAGAGATGTTCATCCTCAACATTTGATAAGACAGACAGTGTAGCATTATTGTTCAGCTCATGATTTCTAGAGACAAACTGTGGCTTCAAATCCACAGTGACTATGGGAGAGGTATTTAACTTCTCTGTGCCTCAGTTTCTTCATCTGTAAAGTGACCATAATAATGGCATTTAGGCTTGGCGTTGTGGAGGAGGTTGCAGTGAGCTGAGATCGTGCGACTGCACTCCAGCCTAAGTAACAGAGTGAGACCTTGTCTCAAAAAAAAAAAAAAAGGTATTTATCTCTTTAGTTTGTTGTGAAGATTAAATGAGATATATAACAAGAGCTGAGAACTGTGCCTGGAACACAGAAGTGTTTGCTTTATTAAGTTTAAAGCATTACTTTTTTCTGTCTCAGATCTTTTCCATAGATACTGATAATCATATCTTATATGTCTATAGCTTTTTACGATTTCCAAAGCATTTCCCTATGTATTTACTCATTTCAGGCAGGTGGGTCATTTTTATTAGGCCCATTTTACAGATGGGTGAATGGAGTCACAGAGATTATGCGTATGTCCAAGGTCACATGGATATTAACAAGGCAGAGACCTAAACCCAGCTATTTGAAGACAAATTCAATGCACTTTCTGTTATGCCACATTGACATATTTGGAAGCAAAAGTTTTGACATCATGGCAAAATGAACATGTCTCAGAGTTGATTCTGTTTATGTGTATTCCTGATTCCCAAAAGCTGAGTCTACCTATAGGTATTATCCAGTATACTTGCCTGGGTAGGTGTAAGAAGTATTTGACTTCCTGACTCATATGTAATTTCTGTACTATTCCAGAAGGATCACAATTTATTCCATTACTATTGAATGACCCAGTAATTATACTTCTAGGAATATACCCAAGAAAAGAATCTTTAGCAGTGAAAGAAAAAAAAATAGTTGTATAACAAAAGATACTAATTTAAAGTTATATATAATAGCCAAAGAAGCAACAAATAATCTAAATATACTTGGCATAGGATCAGTTAAGTAAACTCTCACACATCAACTTAATGAAATAATGATGATGATAATAACTATTGTATATTGAGCATCCAGTATGTGCAATGCATTTTACTATCTCCTTTCAAATGGCATCTCTTTTGATTTCCTAAGAGTTAGGCATTACTGTCACCCCATTACACAGATAATGCCCCAAAGCCAAGGTTGTGTGCCCAAAGTGACAGATACGGCTAATGACTCATCCTTCAACCTTTCTTGCTTCTTTATTGCCAAGGAGCCCTGATTTTGCTTGAGAAAAAAGTACCCAGCCCCAGAAGATAAATCAAGAATAGTCCAAGCTGATAAGAGCACTTCCAATCTCCTTGCAAGTACTAAGTCTAGGGATGGGCATGTGGTATAATTCTTGTCAATAAGATTTAAGAATAAATTTTCTTGGGCTTCTTGAAAATCACTTCCTCAAGTCTTTTTTAATTTTCTTTTTTCCTGCTCCCTTTTTTCTTGCCTTTGAACATTTTTATGAGAGTAGATGATGCTGGAGGCTGAAGCAGCCATTTTGGGATCATGAAGGGATTAGAAGCAAATGATGAGAATGACAAAGTAAACAAGAAAAGTAATCTAGGCCCCCAGTGGCTGCAATTAGCCAACAAGCTACCCTGGTATTGCCTGCTGCCTTTTGGGTTTTCTTTGTTTTTTGTTTGTTTTGTTTTTTAATAGAAGCAATACACATCCTTTTGAGATAAATCACTACTCATCTACTGTTTAGTACTAAAACCAATTATATTAGGTAGGATTTGATAAAGCTGTGAGTGACATAAAAACACCATCCCCGCCCCTCTGCCACACACACACACATACACACACATACTAACTTGAACTTAAACACCTTTTAAAGTCTCTGATATGGTTTGGCTCTGTGTCCCCACCCAAATCTCACCTTGAATTGTAATCCCCATAATCCCTACATGTAAAGGGAAGGACCTGAAGGGAGATGATTGGATCATGGGGGTGGTTTCTCCCATGCTGTTCTCATGATAGTGAGTGAGTTCTCATGAGATCTGATGGTTTTATAAGTGTTTGACAGTTCCTCCTTCAGACTCTCTTGCCTGCCTCCACGTTAGAAGTACCTGCTTCCCCTTCTGCCATGATTGTAAGTTCCCTGAGGCCTCCCCAACCATGCAGAACTGTGAGTCAATTAAACCTCTTTCCTTTACAAATTACCAGTCTTGGGTAGTTCTTCAGCAAGGTGAAAACTGACTAATACAGTCTCTCTCATAAAAAGTCTATGACAGGCAGTCTGGCACAAATATGGCATTCCACGAAGTCCTGAGAGACCCAGGCTTTTCTGGCTTTTCATTCCCCGATCCCAGGATTGTGCCCACCACAGGGACCAATACGGCTACTTGATTTCCAGCATTCTAGCCAACAGAAAGGAGGAAGGAGCAAAGAAGAACATGTGCCCTAACTTTTAAAATAAGCCAGAAAGTTTCACACACCATTTTATTCACATCACATTGGATAGAACTGCTAGCTGCAGGAAAAGCAAGGAAACGTCATCTTTATTCTGGAAGGTCATGTACTCAGCTAAAAATCAGTGATTCAATCAGTGGGGAAAAAAGTAAAGAACATGCAGAGGGAAACACATGGCAGCTGATGAATCCATATCTGTCTGACTTTAAAGCTATGCACTTACTGCTATATTCCACTGTCTCTTGTGGCTAATTATACTATATAGTGATGTGGAAAATGTTATATTATTTTCCATCCTTTAAAACTATTCACAATTAAAATATAAAAAGAAAAATGCTTTTAATATGTTAAACAGGATAAAATTATATAATATATACAGGTAAAATTATGATTTCAAAAGAGTCAAAGGAGTGGTTGTATTTGAATTTAGGAACATGAAGGTATCACAGATTTCTTCCTACTTTTCTCTATTCTTAAGGCTTCTTTAATAAGGAAGTAATCATTTTGTAATAAAAATATCTTATACTTACCTATATATCATATTAAAATCATATAAACTACTTAGTCACTGAAGCTTTTTATATATAGCCATGAAGCAGAGTCTGTAAGTGGTGGATTTTATGTAGAAGAAAAATGATAAATAGCATGTCATTTGATGCTTCATAATTTTTGGTTTTTCACTTTCTGGGTCACAGATTTCTCAAAGAGTTTTCATTCTTTCCACACTTTAGTTAGGTGATTGAGGAAGGTGTCAGGCTACTGAGACATGGGAAAAGATGATGTGGAGGAATTAAATTCTTCTTTTCTTTTGGTTGAGTATACAAAATACAGAGTATGATTTCATAGTCCTTCTCCTGTGTGTATTAACCTCTGTCTGCTATGGGCAGTATTGAGAAGATATTGAGAAGATATCGTCATTGGCATTCAAATGAGATACATACTTGTATAATAAATGTACTTTTTGTTTTTTTTTTTTTTTGAGAAAGAGACTTGTTCTGTCACCCAGGCTGGAGTGCAGTGGTGCAATCTCGGCTCACTGCAGCCTCTGCCTCCTGGGTTCCGGCGATTCTCCTTCCTCAGCCTCTTGGGTAGCTGGGATTACAGGCGCACACCACTGTACCCAGCTAATTTTTGTATTTGTAGTAGAGATGGGTTTTCGCCATGTTGGCCAGGCTGGTCTCGAGCTCCTGACCTCAGGTGATCTGCCCACCTCAGCCTCCCAAAGTGCTGGGATTACAGGTGTGAGCCACTGTGCCGGGCCATAAATATACTTTCATATATACTGATTTAATAAAATCAGTGCTAGGAATTGATGGAGTGGTTAGAATCAAGAAATTTGAAAAAAAGGGAAAAAAGAATTGCTGGTTGGTAGTGATTAAGTGATTAAGGAATATATTGAGGGTGCTAGGATTACTACATTACTAGAGGAACATTATAAATATAACATGTCAGTTCAAGAGCTCTTCTTCTCCATTTGGTGAGTGCACATGCACAGTTGGCTTATGTGGCATCTAGAGGGCCAGCAGCACATATCAAGGAGGTGTAGATCCCAGGATTGTCCTGTAGTATAGGTGATGCATAGCTTAAGAAGTTATGTTCTATATGTGGTTTAAGCTATACTTTTTCTGTCTTTAATATGTACTTGCTTGCTGATTTTTTAAGAGGAAAAGGGACAAAAACAACATTGAAAATTATTTAAACCAGTGAAGTTAAGTGTAATTCTAATACAACAGATAAAAATCCGTATTTTATCTCTTAAATTATTAGGATGATAAAGCTAATTTTTGCGTGCTTGATTGTTTTGTATTCATTATCCAGTCCAATAAATTGAGTATACAAATTTTACTCTTACTCAACAAGAAACCTATGGCTCATTTTTAGTAATTTATTTACATTCAAAGGTTCAGTAGGAATTTCATATCTGAATATGCTCTAGAGAAGATATCTTTTTTATTTAGTTTCCAAACTATGTAATTCAAGAACTGTAAAGTGGTTGAGGCTACAATTAAAGATATGGCTTCTCAATGGCAACACAGAAAAAAAGTTACCTGGAAAAAAAATTAACAAAAATATGAGCAAACACTATATGACGGAAGTTCAAAAACTACTGAAGAACAAAAAACACTTGCATAGATAGAGACCCATACAATGTTCTTGGATGAGAAGATATATCATAAAGATGTCAATTATCCTTAACTTTACCTGTAGCTATTATGTCATACTAATATAAAACGTTAATCAAAGTATTTCCAGAACAAGATAAGCTGATACCAAATTTTTTATATGAAAAAATAAACAATCAAATAGAGCCAGGAAGTCTTAAAAAGAAAAACACTAAAAGGGAACTAGATCTTCCAGTTATTAAAACATCCTATAAAGCTTCAATAATTAAAGTATTATAATATTGGCATGCATACACACACACAGAGAGAGAGAGAAGGAAGGAGAGAGATAGAACAATAATTTGAATCTATAACTCATCTATACCATAAGTCAATATTTTTTAAAATAACCCAATAAAACATGGGTAAAGGAAATGTACAGCTATCTCATAGAAAAGAAAATACATTTAAATAAAACAAAAAATGGTTGATCTCACTCATAATCTGAAAAATACAAATCGAAATCACCCAAACTTTTTTCATGTATCAGATTGGCAAAGATCCAAAAGTTGGATAACACCCTATGTTGGTGAAGGTTTGGAGAAACTAAATCTCTTCCACTTCCATAGAAATAAATTTGGCAATAGCAGAAAAAATAAATAAATTTTAAAAATCGGGCCTGGTACGGTGGCTTGTGCCTGTAATCCCAGCACTTTGGGAGGCCGAAGTGGGCGGATCACAAGGTCAGGAGTTCAAAACCAGCCCAGCGAAGATAGTGAAACCTCGTCTCTACTAAAAATACAAAAGAAAGTAGCTGGGTGTGGTGACAGGAGCTCATAATCCCAGCTACTCAGGAGGCTGAGGCAGGTGAACTGCTTGAACCCGGGAGGTGAAGGTTGCAGTGAGCCAAGATTGCGATATTGCACTCCAGCTGGGTGACGGTGCAAGATTTCATCTCAAAAATAAAAAAATGGGCCAGGCGCAGTGGCTCACGCCTGTAATCCCAGCACTTTGGGAGGCCGAGGCGGTTGGATCACGAGGTCAGGAGATCGAGACCATCCTGGCTAACACAGTGAAACCCCATCTCTACTAAAAAAAAAAATACAAAAAATTAGCCGGATGTGGTGACGGGCGCCTGTAGTCCCAGCTACTCGGGAGGCTGAGGCAGGAGAATGGCGTAAACCTGGGAGGTGGAGCTTGCAGTGAGCCGAGATCGAGCCACTGCACTCTAGCCTGGGCAACAGAGCGAGACTCCGTCTCAAAAAATAAATAAATAAAAATCATACAAACATACAAATCTTCTGAAACTGAAATTATGCTTCTAGGAATTAATTTGAGAATCTATTTAGGATTATACACATACATGTGAAAAACTACATATATATAGGATGCCATTACAGTGTGTGTGTGTATAAAAGCAAAAGATAGGAAAGAACCTAAATAGGAAGACATCAATAGAAGACAGTTTAAACACGTAATGGAACAACCATATAATGTAATAATTTATCCAAATATGAAAGAAAAAAAACTTCATGTATAAATACTAAACATTTTTTAATTTATATTAACAACAACAACCAAAAAAACAAGATGCAAAACAGTATGTATAGCATGCTACATTTATGTTTTTAAAATGGAGTTTGGGGAGAACATCTTGACTCAGGCCTGTAATCCTAGCTACTGGAGAGGGTCAGGGGGCTGAGGCAGGAGGATCTCTTGAGTCCAGGAGTTAGAGGCTACAGGGAGCTATGATCGTGCCACTGCATTCTAGCCTGGGCGACAGTGAGAACTTGTCTCTTAAAAAAAAATAAAAATAGGATGGAATATATACATTTGTATAGAATATCTTTGTAAAAGTACCCAAGAAAGTAACAAAGTTGTTTATCTCCAGGGAAGAACATTGGGTGGTTAGGGGACAGAGGTAAAAAGAGAGACTTCTCATACTTTTTATATCTTTTGAATTAGAACCTTTTGAGGTCATCACTATTCAAAAAATAAACTAAAATATAACAAATTTTAAACACCTTAGCTTGTAACTCACAGTCATACCCCATAAGTGTGGCTCTTTCAGGCACATATTTTCTAACTGAAGGGAGAGTGGCTCACCTCTCTTCAAACCAGTAAGCTTGAAATCTAAATACAAATTAGAGAGTACCCGGAAGGAGCCTAACATTCCACACGTGTAGTAAAAATGTCAACATGGACATTCCAAAGTGCACTTTTTTTTTTTTGGAGACAGTCTTCCTCTGTCCCCGAGGCTGGAGTGCAGTGGTGCGATCCCGGCTCACTGCAACCTCCGCCTCCTGGGTTCAAGCGATTCTCATGCCTCAGCCTCCCGAACAGCTGGGATTGCAGGCGTGTGCCACCAAGCCCAGATAATTTGTGTATTTCTAGTAGAGACGGGGTTTCACCACATTGACCAGGCTGGTCTTGAACTCCTGACCTCAAGTGATCTGCCCCTTTCAGCCTCTCAAAGAGCTGGGATTACAGGCATGAGCCACCATACCCTGCCTATAAAGTGTACTTTCTGACATAGTGTATAAAATGTCTTCCTAACTCCATTTTCAGTGGTATCGTGTTGTTAGCTTGAAATCTACTTTAGTGAGAGTATTTATCCCAAGGAAATAGGAAACGCTACACATCAGGGCTTTATTATATTGGTGGGGGGCAAAGGTGGAGCCAGTAGTAAGACCAGCACACCACTGGCTTAAATGTTCTACCTTTTGCCATGATTTTCTTTACAACTTTCAAATTACTTGACATTACTTTTCTAAAACATGGATTGATATTTATTTGACAGTGAAGCTGATGAAAGATGCACAATAAGGAAAGATAAGCATAATGTGAGTTGAACGCTAATAACTAAAAGTGTATCCTCATCTTGGTGCACAACCCATGACACCCACTGAGAAGACCAAGATCAGATCATGGAGCTGCCACTCACTGTGTCTTCCCAGTTTAATTGGACAAAGAATTTTCTCTGTTTCCTTTTATAGACAATTACATAAAAGCTAAAGAAGTAAAATTAAGCAGATTTGCAAGCTTATTTTGTCTCCTTGTATCATATAGTGCATTTCATTTAATATTTGCCTGTTTTATTAATAATTGAAAGCCACTTTGCAACATACAGGCATGCAGAATAACTTTTGAACCTATGGGAATTAATGTCTAGTGAGAATGGTCTAGGAATAATAAAAGTTATGATATAAAAACCCTGATCAGCTATTTTGCAGTTTAACTATTCCCTGTAGATATTTTCCTCACATTATTACCCTCCTTTCACTTGAAATTCATATATCAAATTCATGTCAATATTATAGCTTGATAGGTAGCAAACTACTTAAAAAGATATGTATATATTTTTAGATACAATTAAGTTAACCTTTTAAAAATATAAAGAAAGAAAAAGCAGAATGTCATTACACATCTTCAAAAAGAAATTACTTTGAATGTAGAGAAGAGATATGTAATGTTTAACATCATTCTGTGTTAAACTTTTAAAAGTCCCGATTAGGATTCTCTCCTATTGAGATTTTTCTCTGGGAGGGAGATTTTGTTTTTTTAGGAATGTTTGTATTTTTTCTGCTTTAAAAACAGTTTCTACTTATGTAAATATGCCTACCTTGCTATTACCTGTGTCAGTAATGCCCAGAGGAAAGTCTATTTCGAATATACACATTCTCCATATTTGGAAACTGTAAATTAAATCAGATATTTTTGTCTGTTTGTTATTACAATTCTAGGGTAAGTTCGCCCAAGGGCAGAGCTAACACAAGCGCACCTCCTTATACTGCTATGATGCCCTGATTTACCCTATTTGAGGGAATAGTATTGACCGTTTGGAGCCACCTCTGGCTACAGTATTTCTCTGGCTATCAGGTTAATGGATCTGTTTGGGTGGTATTAAAATCAAAATGATCTTTAAATTGCATCTGGCTGCAAAATTTGCAAAAGCAAAATATAAAATCTATACATGAAAATCAGAATGTTTTCATTCAATAAAGTCGAATTCAGCATTTAATCTGTTAGGTACTATTAGGATCACCAATAAAATACCAACCTGGTTCTGCTCTTTAGGAACCACAAAAACAATGCAGATCATTTCCTCACTTGAGTTTGTCACATAGACTTCCTCAACCAGTTTCCCTCATCACAAAGTGTTGTCAGTCGCAGCTGTAGTCTGAGTTTAACCCCCCAAAATTCATATGTTGAAACTTACTCCCCAATGAGATAATATTAAGAGGGGGAGTCTCAGGGAGGAGTTTAGGTCGCCTCCTACACCAGCCCTCATGAATGGGATTAGTGTCCTTATAAAAGCGGTCGAAGTCGAGCACGGTGGCTCAGGCCTGTAATCTCAGCACTTTGGGAGACCAAGGCAGGTGGATCACCCAAGTTCAGGAGTTCGAGACCAGCCTGGCCAACATGGAGAAACCCTGTCTCTACTAAAAATACAAAAATTAGCTGGGCGTGGTGGCAGTCGCCTGTAATCCCAGCTACTCAGGAGGCTGAGACGGGAGAATCACTTGAACCCGGGAGGCGGAGGTTGCAGTGAGCCAAGATCGCGCCACTGCACTCCAACCTAGGGGATAGAGCAAAACTCTGCCTCAAAAAAAAAAAGTGATCGGAGGGAGCTGCCTTGTCCTTTCCACCATTTGAGGACAAAGTAAGAAGATAACTTCTGGCCAGGCAAGGTGGCTCACGCCTGTAATCCCAGCATTTTGGGAGGCTGAGGCGGGTGGATCACGAGGTCAGGAGATCGAGACCATCCTGGCTAACACGGTGAAACCCCGTCTCTACTAAAAATACCAACAATTAGCCGGGTGCGGTTGCATGCACCTGTGGTCCCAGCTACTCGGGGGGCTGAGGCAGGAGAATGACGTGAACCCGGGAGGCGGAGCTTGCAGTGAGCCGAGATCGCGTCACTGCACTCCAGTCTGGGCCACAGAGCGAGACTCCGTCTCAAAAGAAAAAGAAAAGGAAAAAGATATCTTCTTGCAAGTACAGAGTGAACCCTTACCAGACAACAAATTCGCTGACAGCATCTTGATCTTCAACCTCCCGACCTCCAGAACTGTGAGAAATACATTTCTATTATTTATAAATTAACCAGTTTTAGATATTTTGTTAGAGCAGCCTGGATGAACTAAGAGAGTTGGAGAAAAGAAGCAAGATACAACTGGTGCCAAAATGAGTGATCCCATGAGTGCTATAGGAATTAGATAGAAGGTAGCTGAGGTTCTTTAGAATAGAAACTGACCCGGCCCGGCGCGGTGGCTCACGCCTGTAATCCCAGCACTTTGGGAGGCCGAGGCGAGTGGATTCAGGAGGTCAGGAGATCGAGACCATCCTGGCTAACACGGTGAAACCCCGTCTCTACCAAAAATACAAAAAATTAGCCGGGCGCTGTGGCAGGCGCCTGTAGTCTCAGCTACTCGGGAGGCTGAGGCCGGAGAATGGCATGAACCAGGGTGGCGGAGCTTGCAGTGAGCCAAGATAGTGCCACTGCAGTCCGGCCTGGGCAAAAAAGTGAGACTCCATCTCAAAAAAAAAAAAAAAAAAAAAAAAAAAAAGAAAAAGAAACTGGCCCTTATTCATATTGGTAGTCTGAACACCTGGAATATTTCCTGGCATATAATAAAGACTCAATAAACATCTATTGATTGCAGGATTAAAGTAAATAAGTGGTTCATTGTTGGCTGATGCAGAGGGAAAACCTTATGGATAAAATAGAATTTTAACTCTATCTTGAAGGATGGGCAGGATTTGTATTAATGAGGAGAATAGGAAAGGATACTATAAGTGAGGAAGATAGCAGATGCTAAACTCCAGAGAAGTAAGAAGGGTGTTTTAAGAGGGCGATGAATAAGATTTCCAGGCCAGTGCTAAGAGCACATGGAGCCAAAAGTAAAACCTAAATGTTGCTAGAAAAGGTGAAAAAAGATTTACGAAGAGCCTTAAAAACTAAGCTGAGGAGTGTGGAGTTTATTAGGTAAGTAAATGAGCAGTGGAGGAAAGACATGATGAAAAATGCTGTTTGAGGGAGCTAACCTGGCCGTGGTGGGAGGATAGAATCCCAGGAGGGAAGTAGGAGCTGTGACCCCACAAGGGGAGGTGCATGCAGCAAAGCAGCTGTTGCTATAGTGCAGAGGTGAAGGACAGTGGAAAGAAGGGAGGAACTGATTTGGGAGAAACTGGAAAGTAAGAATCCAGAGCATTTGGTGACTTTTAATATGAAGCATGAGAGGCAGGGGCCAGGAGAATAGGATAAAGTTGGTGCTAGTAACGGACTGCAGAAAGAATAAGCAGCATGTTTCAGTTGCGCCCTGTGGCATTCTTCTGGGAATAATTGTGTTATCTGTTGCCATGAATTGTCCAATATATATTGGGTGCAATTAGGTACTTATTGAATGCTTATCTTTTGTCCAACTATGCCAGGAGCTATGGGAAATATAGAAAAAGTAAGTCAATAACATGAACATCTTCAAAATGCTGGCATTATTTTTTATTGTTGTATTGTTATTTTAAAAACATTTTTGAACCACTGTTGGTTGAATCTATAGATGCGGACCCCATGGATGGGGAAGGCTGACTGTACTATAATTTCTCCTCAGTTTACTTACACAAACAGTGACTCTGACAGTGGCAAATTAACTTGCCCAGCATAACAAAGCCAGTAAATAGTAGACTCAGAAATAAAATCCCAGCAGTCTAAAGCCCAAAGTCTGCAGTTTCACCATCACACCATACAGGATTTACTGTATGGAAGTAGTTAATAAGGTTAAATGACACTAAATATTATTGAGGAACAAAACCTGTGGTATCATGAAATTTGTTTTAGGGCAGGAGGAAGAGATGAGGCTCACAAGAGAAACTGTATACGCAATAACATGCCCAAGGTCACTGACAAAAAGGCATAAATCTGGGCTAGATGATGGCTACAGGGTTGAATGCCAGGAACAGTGTTGTCACTCAATATGCACTGGGATCAATCAATTAAATACTTATAGATCACTGATCATACATCTAGTAGTGACAGGCCTAGCACCTGGTAGTGACAGGCCTAGAAGTTGAGGATGAATGTACCCTCTTCTCACATTTTCCAGGCTTCAGCTTTATCTTCATACCAGTACAGGCCCAGGATACAGTTCATTCAGGCATGCACCATATTTCAGATCAACTCAAGCTGCCCCTTCCTCAAGGTGGCACAAATTCAAAAGTATTCCTGTGATTTTATTATTATTATTATTTGTATTTTTTTTGAGACAGGGTCTGGCTCTTTCACCCAGGCTGGAGTGCAGAGGCAGTAGCTCAGCTCACTGCAACCTCCACCTCCCTGGGCTCAAGCAGTCCTCCCACCTCAGCTACCTGAGTAGCTGGGACCACAGGTATGCACCACCACACCAGCTAATTGTTTTGTATTTTTTGTAGAGATGGGGTTTCACCATGTTGCCCAGGCTGGTCTCCAACTCCTGAGTTCAAGTGGTCCGACTGCCTCAGCCTCCCAAAGTACTGAGATTACAGGCGTGAGCCACCATGCCTGGCCTTGATCTTCATCATACTCAGCTTCATCATGTTCAGCCTTATTACTCTGGGACAAAGCCTCTAGAAGCTCTAAGTGACACGAGCAGTGTAGTATTTTTAGTACATAGGATGAGCTGGAGAAGAAATAGAACAGAGTTTAGAAAGTTAAATACCTGGGCTGGGCCTGGTGGCTCATGCCTGTAATTCCAGCACTTTGGGAGGCCAAGGCAGGCAGATCACGAGGTCGGGAGTTCGAGACCAACCTGGCCAATATGGTGAAACTCCATCTCTACTAAAAACACAAAAATTTAGCCAGGCATGGTGGCGCACACCTGTAGTCCTAGCTACTTGGGAGGCTGAGGCAGAAGGATCACTTGAACCTGGGAGGCAGAGGTTGCAATGAGCTGAGATCGCACCACTGCACTACAGCCTGGGTAACAGAGCAAGACTCTGTTTCAAAAAAAAAAAAAAAGAAAGAAAGGTAAATGCCTAGCACTCTATATGATGCATGCCTGGTATGCAATAAATAGTTGTTAAAAGAAGAAAGAAACTTTAAAGAAGATATTCTGATAATCCACATTTGAGGAGAGAAGGACTCTTGCTGGTAGAAAAGGAGAATTAAGAATGAATCAAAAGAGCTTTCACAGGAAAAATCAACATAATAGATTGCATGTATGGTAATGGAAAAAGAAAAGTCATAGACTACACCAACTTTTGAACCTATATACTGTGTTTGAGAAATTATATAACTGATAGAGATTCTGAGAATTAGAAGTTTCATTAGGGTAGGAATTCTCTCTCTTATTATCTATGGTAATCTAGAAACTAGCCACATGCTTAGTTCATAGTAGACAGGCAATTAATAATTAGGGTGCTGAATAAATAATGTATTCATCTTAAGAAGAAAACCAAACTCTCATAATCCTCAAGCTGTGAGTCTCAACTCAGAGCAGTGACATTTACTGCTGGGAACCCACGTCTTAATGAGCCACTCTTACAGGAGGAACTTTGTTATATCCTTTAATAAGTTAGATCGGGGGAAAAAAACAGAGACAGGGAGATGTTTGAGGACCACTGTACTAGCACAAATGCCTAGTGGCATTCTTGATTTCAGGTTAGGGCTAGGATCGTGTCTAGAATGAAGGGCCTATATTAGTTATTGGCTGGATTCCTGAAACCAACTCCAAGATGAATTTATCAGGAAGGTCAGTGGACCCCTCACTTGCATAAGCCCCTAAATTTCTTAAATTTTTATATACTTTAGACACCGTAAAACCTGGACCTACCACTAAACCACTGGTCATATACTTAGGTCTAACTGGCATAAAAAATGATTTGAATTTCCCTCTTGCCTTTTCATCATCCCAAATAACTGAAGTCTGCATCCTAAGCTTGGAATTAAAACTAAATTCGAATTTTAGTCATGCCTTTACAAGCTCCATGGCTTTAATATACTATTTAATTTCTCTGAGTTCAGTTTTCTCATCTGCAAAATGGGAATATGAATAACTACCCTTCAGCGTTAGTATAAGCTTAAATGTGCATAGGAGTTCAATAAATTCAGCTCCATTATTATTAGTACTTAGCACAACGATAATTCTACTCATTTTTCATGTTCAAAATATTATACATAATTGTCATTTTGTTATAAACCCTCAGAGCCCCAATAAATAAGGTTACCCTAATGTTTCCTCTACTTTACTTTTCCAGTTATCCTGCTAGGAGGAATCCTGGAAATAATGATTTGCAAGAGTTATGTACCAGATTCAGAACATACATTTTCTTTTTTTTAACTTCTATTCTCTCAGTATCTGCTGAGTATGAATATAAACGTAAGCACTAAGCTTTTATGAATAATATCTGAGCTGCAGAGATTACTGTTTCACCAGGTTATTCCAAGCAATTTTTCAGGCTGAACAAAAACCAAATTTATCATATAATTTAGTGGTCATTTTTTTATCATCTGGAAACCAAAAAAAAAAAAAAAGCCATGAACACCAATGAATAGGCCTGCCTGGTGGCTCATGTCTGTAATCCCAGCACTTTGAGAGGCCGAGGCAAGAGGATCACTTGAGCCCAGGAGTTTGAGACCAGCCTGAGCAACATAGTGAGACCTCACCACTACAAAAAATAAATGTAAAAAATTAGCCAGGTGTGGTGACACATGCCTGTGGTCCCAGCCACTCGGGAGGCAAAGGTGGGAGGATCACTTGAGCCCAGGAGATCAAGGAAGGCCACAGTGAATCGTGACTGAACCACTGAACTGTAGTCTGGGCCACAGAGTGAGACCCTGTCTCAAAAAAAACAACAAAAAATTCTATCTATCTATCTATCTATCTATCTATCATCTATCTATCTATCTATCTATCCCAATGAATAAATGAACATACTTCTGTACTGTAACAATTACTAACTAAAGAGTGGTTAGAATTTTATTATTTGCCTAATCATATTTTAAATAAAAATGGGTGGCCAGGTGTGGTGGCTCACACCTGTAATCCCAGAACTTTGGGAGGCCGAGGGGGGTGGATCACCTGAGGTCAGGAGTTCAAGACCAGCCTGGCCAATATGGTGAAGCCCCGTCTCTACTACAAATACAAAAATTAATCAGCTGTGGTGATGCACGCCTGTAATCCCAGCTACTCGGGAGGCTGAGGCAAGAGACTCACTTGAACCCATGAGGCGGAGGTTGCGGTGAGCCAAGATTGTGCCATTGCACTCCAGCCTGGGCAACAGAGTGAGGCTTCATCTCAAAAAAACAAATAAATAAAAATGGACTCTAACATAGTTTTTACTGAGGGGAGGGCTCTCACATTCTTTTGCTCTTAAGTATGTTCCTCTGAATTTGTCTTCCACTTTACCTACTCACATCATTCTGGCATAGGAAGAAAGAAATTAGGCCAAATCTTCCCCAAATATTTAAAGTCTGCAGGCTTCTTTTCCTTGCAGTTATACTTAAGGGTCCTTTAATTTTAAAGAAAATAAAATACCGAGAGCTACTCTGAATTCCAGAAGCATTTAGATTAATTTTATCTGAACAATCTTAATATCAGCTACATGCATTGAAAGCATAGTCTTACAAATGTGTGTAAACTATAATTTATTCTATTACAGAGCTTAGTGTTCATTATTCTGGAAATAACTCCATATCCAGCTCCCTCCTCCCACCCACACCCTCACACTAGGAGTCCAAGGGGCACCAGCAGTGAATCACTGTTTTAGGTACTTGAGAATCTGTGGTCAGGTTGTCTTTGCCCATTTGTGTGAGTCTTGACGCCTTCCTAGCCTAAAAGAAAATAGAACATAAAGAAGGAAAGCACCTGGGCTACGTTTAGATCATGGGGTCTCCAGACAAAGCCTCACTATGAACATATGAGGACAATCTCCTTTTCTAGACTATCGTCAACCCAAATTTGAATTCTGGTTGTGCTGTTTATTAAAATGTGGGTGTCATCTAACCAAAATGGGCTTCATAATCTTCTTTATCTGCTAATTACAAGTTATTTTATTTTATTTCATTTTATTTTATTTACTATTTATTTTTTATTTTTTTGAAACCGAGTCTTGCTCTGTTGCTCAGGCTGGAGTGCAGTGGTATGACCTTGGCTTACTGCAACCTCCGCCTCCCAGGTTGAAGTGATTCTCCTGCTTCAGCCTCCCAAATACCTGGGATTACAGGCACGAGGCACCTTGCCTGGCTAATTTTTGTATTTTCGGTAGAGACGGGGTTTCACCATGTTGGCCAGACTGGCCTCAAACTTCTGACCTCTGGTGATCCACCAGCCTTGGCCTCCCAAAGTGCTGGGGTTACAGGCGTTAGCCACCGCACCAGGCCTGATTACAAGTTATTTTAGAAGAAAATACATTTTATCTACAGCATCCTCTACCAGATCAAAGCACTCTCACACATGTTATCTGATATGAGCTACACAATAACTTTGAGCCAAGACAAGACAAAGAAAACTGTTCCCATTTTTCAGAGAAAGAAATTGAGTCTGTGATCACATGGCTTTTTCAATTTAGATTTAATTAGTATTTGAGACAGATGCCTAGCAAGGTTTTCTGATTCTTGAACTAGTTAGTTTCTGACTACCTCCCGCTGGTCCTTCCATGTCTATAAATCTATGATTCTAATAATCATGGCCCATCTGAGAGACACCTTGCATGGCTTATGTCTGAGACTATTTGGTGGCTGGTAAGAACAGAATAATGCCACTATTCTTCAAGTTTTTTCAAAGGTTACAGAATCAAATGCAAGTTATTTTTAACATTCTTTGTGAATTCAAATACTAGGTGAATATTGTGATTTTTATTTCGATGACAAGAACATCCATTTAAGTACCTTCCCTCTTTCTTCCCCTACCTCCCCAACCTCTCTTTTTAACCCACAATCAGGGCCTGCTGGTTCTAAGCTTTTTGGCATCTCTGGATGAGTCTTATGTGATTTAAAATAGCTGCTACTGAGCTGTTGTTTAGTACTTTAGTCCAAGTCGGCTTTAAGTGTGTACAACGTAGAAAGAGTTCTTTTCTGAGGACTGACTCTAAGCTTCAAGAAATGTTGAAGGGTTTTGTTTTCCCAGAGCTGTCAAGTTTTTTGAGAGAACTGAAAAGATGCAACAAAGGAAGATGTGAGAGTGATTTTTAAAAATTTTAAATATCTCTTTGGTTCTCCAATCTTTTTCAAATTAAAGTTATATTGCTAACCATTCCATAGCTAAATGCCTCTACCTTTGGATTGTTGCGCTGTGGTGATTATGACCCTTATCTCATGTGTGTGTGTATGTGTGTGTGAATGTGTGTGTAAGTGTGTGAGTGTGCCGACATTCCTTTCTTTCAGACTTCTCTCTGAATGGTAAAGGTTTATCAGAGACTAAAAACTTATCTTTTCAAAATTGAATTTGTAGTAAAAGTGGTTTGATGTAGAAGGGAGGAGGGGAAGTAGAAACAAAAGTAACATTGGAAGAATAATAAGAGGAAAGCAGCAGACAGCAGACCCAGACTGTACAGTACACCATGTTTATGTGATTTACTTGGGGTTATATGTTTTTAAAAGCAACATATAAACGCATAGCAGGATTTTGGCAGATGAAATTATGTTGCATTTACTTTAAGACACTCAATGATGATAAACAGTTATTTAGTACAAGTAGTATGCCCGATGGTGCAAAGAACATTGAATTAGATATGGCTCCTGCAAAGTAGGTTTGAAATCTAAATACAAATTAGAGGCAGGATATAAAATGCCCAGGAAAAAAACCTAACATTTAAACATGTAAAAATGTCATCATGGACATTCTAAATGTACTTCCAGACATAATTTGTAAAATTTCCTAACTGCACATACAAACAGTGTAAATAAAGTCATATTTACACAGATTCAATCATGCAGATGTAAGCACATGAATCTCAGATATGCCATTTAAAAGTGATACATTGAGCTGCAAAATATAGGCATCCACCTGAAAATTGCTATCTTTACTGTTCATCTCCCTTACATTTTTACTTATATTCAACTTCTTTATAAATTACAAGTTTGAATAAACATCCAAACATTTGTTGTTTCTGAATAATATGTGCAGTATATATTTGAGTAAAATTTTCTCTAAATGATTTTTAAATTTTGTATTTGGCCCCTGTAGTCTCTCTTCACTTACTTTAATAAAATATTTTACTGGTTTTTTTTAAGTTGACAAAATGGAAAATTGAAGAGCCGTTGAAGAAAAACAAACAAAATTCTCCATGTGAACAATCGTTGCACATTGATGTCTTGAAACAAGAAAGATTTCTCCTATTTATTTACCAGAGATGAGTACAGATAATTTCATTGTACATCGATTTTCTCTAAGGAGGGAGGAAATGTGGTCAGCTAAAACAAAGCACTGAAATGGGGAATCAGCTGCCACAACTTCTATTCTCATCTCTATCTTCAGAATTTGCTTTGACTCTCAGAAACTCACTCGGTTTCCATGATCTGATCTAGGGTTTTTTGTTTGTTTGTGTCTTTGTTTCTTTGTCGTCGTTGTTTTCCTTTGGTGGTTATTTTGTTTTGTTTTGTTTTGTTTTTAACAAACATGATCAGACTTATAGTTAGAATTCTTGAACTGTTTTGTTAAGATATTTAAATTGGTCTGTTCTATAAATAATATATTGATAAAATGGTAACCAATACAATCATACATCATTCAGGAATATAATCATGTGAAATTCATGTAGCTAAGTGTTTAGTGAGTGCCTACTGCGTGAAGGGCACTGAGCTAGGCACTGCATAAGCGTATTTGGTCTTTAAATCACAACATACTTATGTAACTGTCATTATATGCAAATATAAGGTTCTCAGTAGGCAATACTGTGTGAAGTAAGAATAAAATTATCCAAGAGAATATTGCTATGAACTTTAAATACAAAGACCTCCTTTATTTTTGATAAATACTTGTTAAATACACAAAACATTTCAAACCTCTTGATCTGTTTTTATTGTTTTTGAATTACATATACGGAATATGTCCACTGTATACATTTTAAAAGTTGGCATGAATATGTATATTTACATATGCATATAACTAGAAAAAAGCATCATCCTATACCAGAAACACATACATCTGTGCCTTTTAAAGTTATAAGTTAAAACTTACAGTATGACTATTTCTTTTTTTTGTTTGTTTTGTTTTGTTTTTGAGATGGAATTTCGCTCTTGTTGCCCAGGCTGGAGTGCAATGGAGTGATCTTGGCTCACCACAACCTCTGCCTCCCAGGTTCAAGCAATTCTCCTGCCTCAGCCTCTGGAGTAGCTGGGATTACAGGCATGCACCACCATGCCCTGCTAATTTTGTATTTTTTTTAGTAGAGGCGGGGTTTCTCCACGTTGGTCAGGCTGGTCTGGGACTCCCAACCTCACGTGATCCTCCTTCCTCGGCCTCCCAAAGTGCTGGAATTACAGATGTGAGCCACCACGCCTGCCCAGCATGACTATTTCTAATGAAAAGCATTTTATCTTTACTAAAAGTACTGCTATTTTTCCAATTCCCAAGTTTCTTATGCTAGGCCTGTCTTCTTTTTCTTTTTTTTCTTTCTTTTTCTCTCTTTTTTTTTTTAGATGGAGTTTCACTCTTGTCACCCAGTCTGGAGTCCAGTGTCACCATCTCGGCTCACTGCAACCTCCACCTCCCAGGTTCAAGTGATTCTCCTGCCTCAGCCTCCCAAGTACCTGGGATTACAGGTGTTCACCACCACGCCCAGCTAATTTTTGTATTTTTAGTAGAGACAGGATTTCACCATGTTGGCCAAGCTGGTCTCAAACTCCTGACCCCAGGTGATCCATCTGCCTTGGTCTTCCAAAGTGCTGGGATTACAGGTATGAGCCACCATGCCCGGCCGTGTCTCCTTGATTACAGGAAAAGATAGGAAAAACATAAATAAAATGTCCTTTCAAATTGTCGATTTCATAATCATGCTTTTTATAAATTTATCTTTGAAAATGTTTTGGGCTTGGGTATTTAACAAGAAGTTCTGGGGCTTTTACTAGGTTTTATTTATATTTTGCTCTTCCCAACTATATTAGATAGGAATTTTGTTGGGTTATCATGACATAGAAACCCTGAAACACAGTGGCTCAAACAAGGTGCAGGTTAGTTCCCACTCACGTAATAGTTTGGATAGGCAGGGTTATTGGTATGCAGCAGCTGTGCCATCTTAGAGACACAGCCTCCCTCTGTGTAATAGCTCTGCCATCTTCAACTGTGGCTTTCATCTCTTGATCCACCATGGCTGCTCTGGCTCCAGTCATCATCTTTGTCATTAGCCAGCAGGGGGAAAAAAGGAAAGGAAATGCATGCTTCTTTCTTTTGAGGACATACTCTGAAATTTACACATGTAATTTCTGAAATTATTCATGGTAGTTGTTCAGGCACAACCACACTAGAAGACAAAATAGAGTAGTGAGATTCTTGCATCTATACATGGAATCTCTGGATACAATAACCACAAATACAGCCTCATACAAGGGTGTTATGTCGATGACTCATTATAGGCAGGATTATTGTAGATGACCTTCTGAAATGATGACAATTCAGTAAAATTTGGAATAAGACTACATAAAGGGCTGGGCACAGTGGCTCACACCTATAAGCCCAGCACTTTGGGAGGCCAAGGCGGGCAGATTGCTTGAGCTCAGGAGTTCAAGACCAGCCTTGGCAACATGACAAAAACCTGCCTCTACCAAAAATACAAAAAAAATTAGCCAGGCATGGTGGTGTTTTCCTGTGGTCCCAGCTACTTGGGAGGTTGAGGTTGGGGGATGGCTTGAGCCTGGAAGGCGGAAGTTGTACTGAGGTGAGATCGCACCATTGGGCTCCAGCCTGGGTGATAGAGTGAGACCCTGTCTCAAAAAAAAAAAAAAAAAAAAAGACAACATAAAATCTTCCCTTAATATACTTTTCTGGAAAAATCAGTGCAAAATAAAAATCTTTGTGTTGGATGTGAAACAGAATTAGGTGTGCATATTTATAAATTATCCAGGTTTTTATCAAGAAATGTCCAGCAGTTTGAAAGTCATGATAGATATAGATAAATTATTTTTGTGTCAGACTGTGTCCTAAACTTTGTAACACAATTACCACCTCTAGTCCTGTCCACTAAATTCCCTCCTTCAATTATTATGACAACCAAAAACAGCTACAAAAATTTATAAAATGATGCCACCACCACCCCTCCCCACCAGGACTGTAAAACGCATATTGACAGCTCTAGAGCTACAAGGCATGTTAGCATCTGGTCTCACTTCTAACATACCGCAGATAACAATATCATCAAACATTTCACAACGTTCACACGTGGGTCTCAGATTTTCAGCCACTAATATCTATATCACTGCCCCCGATCGCCTGATGCTGCACATTCTAGTCTTTTCTTAGGACAGCATTTCACTTTTAGGTACCAAATCATATGGCATGTTATGAGTTTAGGCTGCTATAATAAAGGAACCCAAAACTGAACAGACATTTCCTTCTCCTATAGAAGTTCTCCCAGCATTCTAAGACTAAGAAGGCAGACTGACAACGTAAGGACTCTTACCACTACTCTCTTTTTGCTCCGTCATTCTCAATTTCTACGATTTCCATTTCAGAGATCCAACATGACTGTTCTAGCTCTAGCCATCACATCTGTATTCCAGCAATGAAAAGGGAAAAGATTAAAAAAAAAAAAAGGCATTTTTCTTTCCTTAAAAGGCAAATCCCAAAAGCAGACAGACAATTTCTCTTACATCCCTTACTCTAGAACTTAGTGTTTTTATTTTTGAGATTCTAAAACTAAAGATGACTGGTGACTCTAAGAATCTAGAGAATCTAGTAGGTATTTTTCTCCCAAACAGGTGGCATAGTGAAATGAACCCCAAACTAGAAATTCTAATTCTGGTTGTACTGCTAACTAGCTTGGAGATCTCAGGCAGGTCATTTAACTTCTACGATTGTTTCTCCATCTGTAAAATGAGTAAAGGGGAGGTGAATAGGTTATTTCTAATTTTCCAATTCCAGAGTATAATAGCCAGGACATCATTATGACTAGACTAAATCTTAAAACTTTTTTCCTAAAAATTTTGCAATCTGTTCATTGTAGGTGATTGATTTTTCAGAACTCATTCCAATTTTATAAAGTAAGTTAGGAACATGGAATTTAATGGAAAAAAAATTTACTTTAGATTTTTGTCATAATGCTTTTAAACAAATATGTATTGAACACTTACCACAAGCCAGACACTGACTTAGACACTACAGATAAAATGCAGAGCAAGATTGGCACAGTGCCTCCCCTCATGGAAAATACAGACAAACAGAAAATAATGGAAATGCATAGCAAGTGCTTGAAGGAAATGTACAAATGTCTAAACAAGACACTAACAGAAGTGACCAGCTTTAGATAGGGTGATCACAAAGGCCAGAGGCCTTAGAATCAAAGGAGCTGCTTGTGCACATTGTGGGACTAGAAAGAGCATTCCAGGCAAAGAGGGATTGCCTGTATAAAGGCCCTAGGAACCTGAGAAAAAAAAATAAAAAATAAACACGGGCCAGATCATACAGGTACTGACAGGCCCTGGTAAGAAATTCAAAGGTATTAAGATTTATTCTCAGGAAAGGGGGAAGGCAATGAAGGGTTTCAAAAAGGTAATTATGTGAATTAGCTCTCAGTCTAACATCACTTTTGCTTTTGTTGGAAGGAAATAAAAGAGAAAGCAGAGAGACCAATAATCCAGGGAGAAATGGTGGCAGTTGAGACAAAGGGGTGGTAATAAGAGAAAGAAAAAAAAAATACCTGTATAAAGTGCAATTTTAAAGCTTAATTTTATACCTAATGGTATATACAATCAATCAATGAACAATCACATTCTGAGGTCCTACCGTATGTCCAGATGGAAGTGTAAAGGTGAATGATATATTGCCCCTGCCCTCTAGGAACTTATAATTTATTTGTGGGGGAACAGCTAACAAGTAGGAAACCATATCAATAATCTTACAAGAACTTCTCTGATACCTTATAAAAAGTGATTTATTTCTCTTATGTCTTTGAATTAACAGAGGAATGTTTAGAAATCTTAAAATATTATGTCTGTGTTGTATCCTGCTATTGCTTATTATATTTACAGACTGATTTTCCTGTGCAAGAACCAGGATGCAACCAATGTCCAAATGGACATTTCTTTCTTTTCCATGTATTATATTTTTTCTTACTTAGGCAAGCTCTTGGATGTGGAGTAGGTACCAGATTGTGCTGGTGGTAGGATTAAAAGAACACTGCACTTACACTTTACCAGTGTATGATAAGATCTCACTCACGCCTGCCTACAGAGACCCTGAACTCTCACCTTTTCACACACCCACATTGGCAAACACCTCAGCCTAAGAGACAAACTCACAGATGGCAAACATAGGGTGTTTGCTTTCTAGAAATTATAAGAAACTGATTAAATTTCAAATAAGAAAGAAAGATCAAATGTAGCAAATGATCTCATTTAAAATAATCAGTGCACTGTATTAGAAATATCTTTTCCGGCTGGGCACGGTTGCTCACGCCTGTAATCCCAGCACTTTGGGAGGCTGAGGTGGGCAGATCACCTGAGGTCAGGAGTTGGAGAACAGCCTGACCAACATGGAGAAACCCCGTCTCTACTAAAAAAAAAAAAAAAACAAAATTAGCCAGGCGTGGTGGCGCATGCCTGTAAGCCCAGCTACTCGGGAGGCTGAGGCAGGAGAATCGCTTGAACCCGGGAGGTGGAGTTTGCGGTGAGCCGAGATCACTCCATTGTACTCCAGCCTGGGCAACAAGAGCAAAACTCCATCTCGAAAAAGTAAAGAAAAGAAATCTCTTTTCCAAACAATATCTTGGAATAAACTAAAAGTAACTTGCCTCAGACTTAAAGGTCCTCGATGAAAAGGGCTATAGTTTTGCTACTTAAATTACTCTTTCAGGTAAATTTTCAAATATTATTGGCATTGGAGAACTTCATGTGAAAACCTCATGCCCATGGCCTAGGGTTCTCGCCCCGTACCACAGGTTTGAACACCATCAGACTTGCACATTCACAACAGTAACCCCAGTTCTTGTGGATGGTAACGTGTATATCTCTCCAAGTCTGTCGAGAGCAGCAGGAATGAGGAAAGTAAAAGGATGCCAGAGGCCTAACACTCGTGGCCATTACCATTCCCAGAGTGCCTTTTGCAGGAGTAGGGAATGGTAATTCTGATATCCTGGACACATTTTTAACTGAGTAATAACACTTTGCCTACTTAAATGCCCCCTGTAGTTTCAATTAACTGGGCATGCTTCTGAACATTCTTTTGCTGTTAGGCGAGGCGTGGTTACAGCCAATGTGCATTACTTCAGCAGTGAATAAAAGTGCTTTCTCATCTAGCACCCACCTTTCAAACCTGTGCAAGGGTAAGGATATAATTTAAACATTTAGGCTCTAATTTGCAAGACATTTTCAGAATAGTAAGGTCAATAACATTTGTATAACATTTCCACTGTGGGAAGAGGGCATAAAATCTAAGAATACAGTGGCTATTATTTTGATTATCAATTCAATAAGTAGAATCATGGCATTATTGCTATTGAATGCCTAGTTAATAACCAGATAAGAGTACTTCAGAGCTCAATAGGAATATAAAGGATATTTATAATGCAACAATGGATTATTCAGATTTTACAATAGTTATTTCTCAGCAAATAATGTTGCTTATAAAAATCATAGTCCCCTATCTCAACATTTCTTCCACTATTCTATGGGAAACTGGTGTCTTTGGAAATCTTAACAGATGTCTGCCAACAACAGTTTATGTTAGCTAACAAGTTTAGAATATACTGGGTCAAATTTAAACACTTTTTATCTTGCTTTTTTTTTTTTTTGGTTTTGCTGTTTTTGCAAAGCCTTAATAATATGCTAACATTTATTTTGAACTTCAAGATAAGTTATCTAGCATGTAGGACTGTATTTCCACAATTAATGTGACTATAGGACCCTGGAACATATATGCTATGGTCTGAATGTTTGTGTCTCCCCCAAAATTCATATGTTAGACTCCTAATTCCCAACATGGTGGTATTAGGAAATGGGGCCTTTGCTAGGTGATTCAAGTGTGAGGGCAGAGCCCTCACGAATGGAATTTGTGAGGGCTAATTCCCTCACTAAAGTCCCAAGGGAGTTGTTCACCCCTTCCATCATGTGAGGACACAAGGAGAAGGCATTATCTATGAAGAAGCAGGCCCTTGCCAGACACCAGATCTGCTGGCACTTTGATCTTTGACTTCCCAGCCTCTAAAACTGAGAGAAATACATTTCTGCTGTTTATAAGCCACCCATTTACAGTATGTTGTTAAAGCGGTATGAATGGACTAAGACAATATATTAACATATTTTTTCTATTTAAAATACATATTTATTTCTGGTTACTTCTTATCCCTTCTGCTGCTGCTACCCCAACTGGAATTAACATCGCCTTTCACTGGGTTACTACGATAGCCTTCCTAATTCAATTCATCTTCCTGCTTCTAGCCCTGTCCCTTGACAGTCTATTTTCAAGAGGCAGTCAACAACACCCCTTAAAAATCTGCAAAGAACCCTACGATAGTTTCCCATTTCTTTCAGAACAAAAGCCAAAGTCCTCACCATGTCCTGAGAAGCCACAGGTTATCTCACCTCTCCCTCTTCTCGAGTTTTTCTAAACTCATCTCCTTTTGCCTGCTCAGCTTCAACTTCATACGTCTGTTGAAAGTTTCTCAATACACCAGGAATGCTTCCATTAAAGCCTATTTACACCGGGTGTTCTGTCTGCTTGGCAGAGCCTTCTCTAGATAGCCGCAGGGTACATTCCCTCACTTCCTTCCAGTCATTTGCTCAAGTGATGCCTTCTCAGTGGGACCCGCTCTCACCAACCCACCTGTTTCAGATGCTAACCTCTACCCGAACCCATCTGGCAACCCTGATTCCCTTTATCCCACTTTTCCCTGGATCCACTGCATTTATCATCTATGACCATGCTACAAAAATAAGTAATTTATTATGTTTATTTCTGACTCCAACTAGAAAGTAAAGTGCAGGGAGGTACAGATTTTATTTTATTCTGTAAAATAATTTGCTCTAATTTCTAGAACAGTGTCTAGCATGTATTGGGTTGTCAATAAATATTTATTGAATAAAGAAAAAGAAAAGAATATTCTCCATATATATTTCTAAAATCAAAATGTGTCATAAAAATGAAATGTTTCTTTTTTCCCTGTTATAATATTTCTGGTGTTTGTTATAGTTACTTATGTCTTCGAATCTAGGAAATATAAATCAGGGGATACTTGGATTTTTCCAAACTCGCTGCCATCAGAGTTAATTTAATATCTGGTAAAAAGAAGAAGCCTAATGTCATCTGTGACTTCTCTTTTTCTAATTTTATCACTCCTTTCTCTGTACCTGAAATTAATTTTTTGCCAAGTTGCCTAGTCCTGCCAACTGTATTTCAATAATAATGTCCTAATTAATTTCCTTCCCTCCTTCCCTGCTAGGAAGGGCACACATAGAGAGACAACTGCCAGTAATCCTACAGGGGAGGCCGGAACTCTATCATAGGTGGCCTTCAAGGCAATTAAACTTTTCATGGTAAACAATAGTGAGCCACTACATTTTTTTAAGCAAGATCAGAATTTTTAGAAAGGTAACTCTGACAGTGATGTATCAAATGACCTGAAGGTCAGCAGAACTCTCATTTCTAATTCTGCACGAACTCTTGATTTCCCGCTATGTGATGATCTTTCCATCAGTTTCTCATCTACTTTCTCTTTGGCCACCTACTCACATCTGAAACCTGCTCCTTCTCCAAGAGCCTGGGTATACGACAAAGACCCAGGTCACGAGACATCCCTGGTTCCATCACCTTTGAGATCTTTCTGGTCTTCTTACACACTCTGACCATAAGAGAACAAAGGGAGAAAGGAGAGAAAAAGAAGGGCTCGACATTTATTTCTTATAATCTCTAAATAATCTCATATAATGTGAGTTAGTCCCACCTTACAAGTAAGGGGATCGAGGTTCAAAACACTAAAATATTTTACCCAACATCATATAAGTAGTGGGATTCAAACTTATAGCTGCCCAGAAGAATAAAAACAGTAAGACTGACTGAACTTTTTTTTTTTTTTTTGAGACTGATTCTCACTCTTTCGCCCAGGCTGGAGTGCAGCGATGTGATCTTGGCTGTCTGCAACCTCCGCCTCCCAGGTTCAAGTGATTCTCCTGCCTCCCCAGTAGCTGAGATTACAGGCATGCACCACCATGCCAGGCTAATTTTTGTATTTTTAGTAGAGACAGGGTTTCACCACGTTGGCCAGGCTGGTCTTGAACTCCTGACCTCAAGTGATCTGCCCGCCTCGCCTCCCAAAGTGCTGGGGTTACAGGCTTGAGCTATCGAGCCTGGCCTGACTGACTTCTAATGAGCATCTAAGTTCCAGATACTGAAACATCTCTTTTACATAAATTATTTAAATTCCAATAGGCTTATGGGGAGCTTCAGTTGTTATCCCCATTATATAGAACAGGAGACCAAGATTAGGAAGATTAAGTAATTTTCCAAAGTTCACATGGCTAGTAAATGATGATTCTAAGACTAGAGCTCAGTTTTATCTAACTGGGGTGAGAGGTCCTAACCCCCACACTATCAATAAACTCCAGTGCTTCCCCATGGGTCATCTTGCCTCCTGCGGTATGGAAAACAAGAGCCATGGGGCACACACTGGCCTGGCCCTGACCATCACTACATGATGGTCTGTCAGCCTTGGGTGTCAGTGAGCCCGTGCTCTCTCTGCTGTCGGCAGGCCTGGATCAGCTGTTTATCCTGCCACTGGGTGCGGGGGGAAGGGAATAGCTCTGGACGGATCAGTGCTCTTAAAAATATTTTTTTTTTCTGTACTGTTTCCTGCTTTAACAATTTATATCCCGTCCACCACTACCACCATCACCACCTGCCCCTAGAATTGTGGGGAAGAAAGAAAACTCTAAAGCTTAAGATGCAAGAATTCTAGTTGAATTTCAATTGTGACTATCAAAGCAGAAAAGTCCTCTGTAAATATTAAAATTTTACCATATCTTTCTGCCCAGCACTATGGGTTACACGTGAACTTGGCAGCATTTTATTTGGGAACGCAAAGTCCGGCTTACTCCTTTTTTCTTTTTTGAATACTCATTTAGCATTGGCTCAATACTTGAGGTTCTTGGGTAAAGGTTTCTCAATTAGATAGTTAATTTGGATCTAAAGAGTTATTAGTCAAAATACCCTGTGATATGAAGACTGGTGTGAATAAAGACAGAAACATTTCATTCCCACAGATATAGCATAATAATAATGATAAATTAGGAACATCACAGACGTGTTCACACCATGCCCAGATGTGCCAAGAAATGGCGCTTATTTCTTTTTAATTGATTGGATCTTCTTCATAATTCCACATCCACTGGGCAGTCTAGAAAAGTTATTTCTGTTACATTGTTGATTCAATCTTATTAGGCAATTCAACCCATCTCTTTATGTAACTTAGTTTGTGCTTCAACAAGTAAGAGAAATACTTGTCAGATTTCCGGCCTCTCCACCTGGATTTACATGGATTATGTGAAATGAGTGAGGTACACATAATCTTAGGGGAGGTGGAGTCCTGGAGTTGAAGAGGTGTCCTCTAAGTCCTCCCGGCCTGGTCTTCTCCCAGAGGTGGTCATCTCAGGAGGGACTTGTCCATCCCCAAGGCATTCTGAAGCCTCCATTGCAAGAAACTGCCTTTAGTGATATTCATTCATGTTTTGTTCACTCAATTCTTACAGTGTTTCAGGGCCCCAATAGCCATCTCCCCTTGTTGATCAAGCCCCCATCTCCACTTTTGCTGAAAATAATGATTCCCAACTGGATCTTTATCTACCGTGAATGGCTTCATTTTCTTTAGACCACCTGCTTTGGCAAAGTTGCCAGGCAAGACCTTCACCTACTTTCAGCCAGATGCCCCTGGTTCGTTTCACAGGACACTCAGAAAAGCTACCATACCATGCAAGAGCTGAGGGAGACTCTGAGGGGTTAAACTCAGATCTTTCTATACAAAACCACAGTAAACCACTGAATTTAATTTTATGTAAAACCCCCAGTAGTTAAGCAGAAGGAACCTGTAAAGCGATAGCTTCTCATCCTCTTGAAGGAGCAGAAGGCCCTTTCCCCTCACCATTCCCCTCAAATTCTCTAGAACATCTCTATACCCTTCCCTCACTCAACCCCCACCACCAGGAATTGGTGAAAACTGGAGAAGCTGGAGCAATGTTCTCCTATTTCTCTGTCTTCTACCAAGAATCCAGTGGGAACTGAGGAGCCAGGCATTTCCCGACTTCTTCCTCACTTTCATTTAAGACTCGCTAGTATTGTTGTTATTTCATTTAAGACTCTCGAGTATTATTTGTCTGGCGGCTTCTCAATAGTTAAAGAAGAAATAAAGGAATTTAGAAAATCTTTTTCTTTCTTACAATCCAAATTTCATGACTATTGTCTTGGCAAAGAAGTCAAAGGAGCCAGCTTTTGAGATTCAAAACTGATCAATGGCTTCTTTGTTCTAATCTTGGGAATTCCCAGCTTCTCCCTCCCAGGGGCTATGTGCTTGGGAGGTAGAAGTTTGCAACAAGGGAACTTGATTTAAGGGATAAGTGTCAGTGCTTTAATTTACTATCTCAAACGATTTCAAATAATTCTCATTATAACTCCCACCAAAATAACAATATTAGCTTCTTACTATGTCAGATACTGTGCATCAATGTTATTTTATGTTTTACTTAATTCTTACAACAACCCTGTTATGAAAGTCTTATTACACACATTTTCAGCGTAGAAAATCAAGTCTCAGAATGATTCACACAGCTGGGAAGGAGTTCTTTCTCTTACCCACTGCAGTCTAAAATAGTGTTTCTCAGTTTGACTACAGCCCACACAAGAAATATAATTTATGTCCCAATCCAACTACACACGTAACTGAAGAAAGAGTTTCACATAACAATACTTAACTTGCACTCAATTTCTTATGTTCTGTGCAATTCTCTTCCTTTCTTTTTTTACTCTTTTTAATGCTAATCACAATCAACTAAATTGATTTCATGACCTACTAAAGGGTCATAATTGACAGCTGAAAAATGCTGCTCCAGCATCTGCTGCATCAATATTACAGAATTCTAGTAGAAATTACATCAAACTCTTCAGCCATTTGGAAATCAGGCTAAGGTAATTTTTCATATGCAAGTTATAATTGTGAGCGCTTCAGTATGAAAAACTTGAAGCAAGTAGAATAGTGAGTTAAATGTCAATTAAATACTGTTAAGTAGCTTTAAAATTACTTAGCAAGAGGAAATCCAAAAGCTGAACAAATATAGATTTGTGGTTGACTTGCCATTTTTAAGTAGTTTCACAAAGTCCTCTTTGGGTTATCCTCTCAGAACTTGTATCTAGGTATTTTCACTCTCAATTTTGATCTACAGGACATAATTGTATTCCAAGGTTTTTATTTTTCCCCAAGGATTCAGGTTAAAATGTAGCATTGTTTTCATCCAAATTGTATTCCAAATCTCTAAATAATCTCAAAGAAGAAAAACTTTCGTGAGTCCCAAATTCTTGAATGATTAAGGATTTGAGTCAGTGGACATTCTGCACTTGGAGTGAGCAAGATAAACTCCAGGCTGATGATGTCAACTAATTTGGGAATGAGTGAGTGACATTTCAAAAAACAGAAGGTTGAGAAGGTGTTCAAGAATTTCCAGGTCTTGAAGGCTAGAAAAAGCCAACAGATTTCTGCCTTGCAGTCCAAAGCTCATTACAAGGTTGTATGTTGGAGTGCTTTGCTTTAGGCAACTTTCAAGTAAATCAAGAAATGAGCCCTCTCCCATGTTTGCTGCACTTTCTAGTTCTCACTAAATTTTACTTTTGACCTCTGAGACATTTGCAACGGCACCAGGATGTGGTTACAAATTGGATTAGTATTACCAAGCAGATCCTTTTGACATGCTGGAAGACCTAATCCATCAGTTACCTACTGAAGCCAAATGGATGACGTTTGTAACTCCTTGGGGTAGGTTTTGAGATACACAACAGGAGGACAAAACAGAAACTTTTGAAAATATGGAAAAGAAACTATTCAAAACAAAGGAAAGGAAGAATGCTCGAATAAATGCTGGGAGACCTAGATTCTGGCTCTGCAACCACAAAATAGTTTTGGAAGCCTTACAAAGTTACTTGACCTTTTTCAGTTTCAGATTTCTCACCTGCAGATGTCTTCTGTAGCTTATCACCTGCAAATGGTCTCCTAGTAACTACTGACATGCCAAATAGTTGGGATCAATTCTCTCCCTCAAATTGCACACAAGATTGAAGTCACCATATTCTTCAATACTCTCATTAGATAAATACATTTCAGAGAATACTATAAATAAGCAATCCTCCTGGAATCTGGCACCATTGAGAAGAACCTAGCCACCAGTGGTTTTAGGAGAGAGCTAAGGGAGAAAGCATAACATGTAAACAAGATCACGGGATGAGAAATTCACACAACCTGTAGAGGGCACTAAGGTACTTTTTAGAGAAAGAATCAGACTAATGGGCATGAGAGGTACCTGTTACCCCAAGTGAGAAGCAAATGGGAAGAAAGGATGAGTGAGAGAGGTATCTTCATTCAACTTTCCTCACATGGTTCTGTTAATCCCTGCCTTCTATCCCAAGTAGACAGTAATCACAGTAATCAGTGATTACAAAAGATAACCTGCTAAGATAGAAAAGGGAAAAAATTACAAAAAGAAAAGCTTCTTTGTAAGGATTTGATAAATGAGCCCTTGATACCTAATAACTTCAGGATTTGCCATTGGTCTGAATTAGGAAATCCAAGGAGAAAATGTTTGAAACTCCTGCCATATTGATTATTGGCAGAGCAGAGGTAAATTAAGGGGAAAATCCAAGGAGTATCATAGGGTAGGATAGCACAGATGGAAGATGCCAGTCAATGCCTTATATTGCAAGATTGTTTCTCAGGAAGGAATGAATAGGATTCAAAATGATGCCCAGAAATGCCCTTACTTTTGTATAATTCTTAACAATTTGCAAAGCCTTTTGTAAAGCTAGAATCTCATTTGATCCTCATGACAGCCATTTTATAGCTGAAGGTGTAGAGAGGTGATGTGGCTTTCCCAAAGTAACACAGTAAATTTCAAAGCTAGGTCTTTAATAGAAATTAATTTCCAGTGATTTTTAACAGAACATCGGGCTGTTCTACCAACCCAGAGTGCTTTCGGGGACTTATTCACAGTGGAAAAATTCTGTTACAAGCCCAAGAGGTGTCAGTTTATGTTGGAAAGTAAAAATCAAATGGCAGATATTCACAAAGCAAAATAAAGACAATTTCTCATCACAGGCTTTGTAGCTCTAAGAAGCTAACAGGAGTTTTCACAACACAAATGGCTAATGTTAGCAGCACGCCGAGTTGGCAGTCCTGTCGTCTGCCTGATCAACAATATGCCATGCTGTTCGAGATTTATCCTGTTACAATTCCTCTGGGTAAAGGTATCATTTCCAAAGTATCCCTATCAGAAAGTAAATAGAATTTGTAATAAAAGCCAATAGAAGAGGTGGGAGCATATATGCTTTCCGTTCTACCCTCTTTACAGAAAAAAAAAAAAAAATTCATTACTGCCTATATTCAGATGATTAGTGTCCCAAGCCAAAGCTCCAGGAAGGGAATCTAGAGTCAAAACAGGAAGAACAAGTTTGGGTGTGAACTCCACAGGGAAGCCTCAGGCTGAGACATGATGATGTCATGGGCTTCAGGAGGGGCTTTGAAGTCAGACCCAAGGTTGAAACCCAGCTCTGCCTCTTAGAAGATGTACTGAGACTCATTGAGCTTCATTTTCTATGCAATGAGGATGAAATTCTGATCCTGCAAGTTGATGTAAGGATCAGAAATAATACATGTAAGTGTGTGTCACATAATAAATCCTCAATAGGTGGAAACTAGAATTTTTGGGTCCCAGATGCTTGATAGGAAATGGGGCACACAGTAATGTTGAAAGCCCTAAGGACAGGTTTTTCCTCTTTTCAAGTCTGCTAAAGACTAGCCCTGACACCAGGTCTTGAGGAAGATCTGTGTATCCAACAGGCCAAGGACTCTTTCAGAAGACAGCTTTTGTCGAGTGTCACCTTGAGTCCCCAAGTGTAAGGATTTATTATACTTTGATTTGTACAAGTCCTCCAAGATCAAAGATGGATTCTGAATGTTAGCTGTCAAGTGAACAAATGATTGTGGAAATATAAAAGCAAAGCAATGCATGTTGCCTTAGGAATAGCTCATTTGCAAAATCTAATATGCTATTACATTGACATATTTCCTCATTTCATCTATTAAATCTTCCATTTTAGTAAAACTAGTTTGTTACAACCAAATGCTGTGATTATGTGCACTTATGTATACATCATAAGTGTATAGTCTGCCTATAATGTCTAAAGAATGCTGGGTCTGAGTTGAAAAAAATAGGAAATTAAGATCTAGGTGTGAATGAACAGCCTCTGCATTTCAAATATCTTTGAGTATGACTACCTCCTTTAAAATACTTCTGAAACATATAGCTTTTTAAAATTTTAGTTCTTCTAGCACATCAATCAATCAATCAAACTGTAAGTTGTTCTTTTAAGAATGTCCATTTGGAAAACTTATGGAAAATAGATCCCATGAATTGAAATACTCCCCGGATTAACTGAAATGTATTAGTGGGAACTGCTTGTGAGATATTACAATGGAGGTAAGGAATCACTTTCCTGTTCCCTGAGTTTTTGTTCTCATCTTCCATCTAGGACTTGGCCTATTTTATTTGAATCTGCCTTTATTTGGCCTGGGAAAAAATGTTTATGTAAAAATTGAACCCTCTCTGGCTCTTGCAGCAGCTTGTTTGTGGTATAGATGAGTGTGCAGGTTCAAATTCCTCTGTTCACTGTTGACTAAGACCTTGAAGAGTTCTTCAGGCTCCACTAGGCCCGAGAAGAGTCTATTGAGAGTCTCAGCCTTTTTCTTCCTGCCAAGTTACTTTTTTATTAGGTAGATAAACTCCTGAATTGTTGAGAAGCAGCTGTTTGAAGAAGGATTTGGCTGATTCTCATGAGGTTTCTGGGTGCATGAGAGATATATTTTCATCTGGGATCCATTGGTCCCGAGCACAGTTAGACCTGGATGACCTCTCTTTCTTGCTCTATAAAGGTTTCTGGAATGTGGTGGAAATGCAGCACTGCTTTTCAGGGAAAGCTGCAGCCACTCAATCAATTTCCTTTTCCTTTCTGTCTCCCATCTAAATGTGGATCTCTCTCCATAAATGTTAGTCTTTAAAATTAGGATTTCAGGTAATTTGATGTTTACTAGATGAATGCTAACCACGTAGAGTATATGAAACTTTACTTAGAAAAAAAAAAAAAAAAAAACAGAAAAGAAAGAAAAAGAACCCCCCAAAAAACCATGAGTTCTGACTAAGACTAAGCCTGGTCAGATACATGAAAGGGTTTAAGCTGTTAATTTTCACATATTGCTCAAGTAAGCAAAACTAAAAGCATTTAATTTCTCTAATAATCTCAGACATGGTTTTCTTATAATGTACTACACAATCTGTATTGATTACTCTGTCGGTGAGATACACATTTAATAAACATGTATTCCAAAGTGAAGCATAAAATCAAAGTTTAAATTACTATTCTTGAAAGCCACTTTTTCCCCCAGTGTGTCAAAACAAAATAATTGGGAGACAACAAAGACTTACATTTCAATTGTTTCTTGAGAAACTAATTGATAATAGGTATTAAGATGAACAGGGCATTTACAGACAGCAGAAGAATAAATTCCATACTTTTTCAAAATATGTTAGTGTAGAGATGACTTCCACCCAATCATTTGGGAACAGAAAAGAGCTTAGCTGGAAGTTGTAAAGGAAGAATAAATTTTTAGTGTTTCTGAAAAACACATAAAAATTTTCAGTATTATTTAAAAAGTATTGAATTGATAAAAAATTAAATATCAAATCTTGATCCACTATGCCATTTATATCTGCATATAATAAAGATTAGATTATAAGCTTTTAGCATTATTTTTGCAAAGGGCATTATTTACATATAAGAGCAAATTTCTTTGCCAAATTTAAGCACCCGGTTTTTGAACTTTTAGTATCTCCCAAAGCAGTATTTGCAGCTATGCAAAAATTTTTCACATCTTTAATGCTCTTCAGAAGAGGTCTATAGAAGGCAAATTGTAAATGTGTAAAGTGGTAAATAGAAGGGGTGATTCAAAGGAAAAGCAAATTGACATTTGTAGTATTAGAGGGTACTGTTGTTTTTGATTTGTTATATGCCTTAATCTGGCATGCTATTTCACCCTTCATGACACACATCAATACCTTCTTTATGTCTGGCTATTACCACTCATTTAAAAATCTATTTTACATGATTCTTTCAGCCAAAAAAAGACCATAATGACACAGAATACAGCATGTGCTTCATAAATTCTGTAAGAATCAATACTTTGGCTGGGAATCTGTCAGTCTTTCAAAGTTATGCATCATTAAACTTTACTGTTATTACAGTGGACTCTTCCTCAAAGTTCAGTAACTTGCTCATAATGGAGAAACGCTTTTAAAGCCAGGAAAGCCAGAGAGAGGCAAAAGCTACTAGCAGTGGGATATATACCTGCAGATGATGCTTCATTTGCAAAATGCAAATAGAACCAACACTGTTTTGCTTATGTATGGGCAGGTAGTTTATAAGCTTCAGGTTCCATTTATCTAAAGGCCCTGTAGATGATATCCACACAAGTTTGGAGAATATGGGAAATATTCTTCTACTGACCAGATTCCTCCTGCCTTCTAATAATAACCTCTGATAATTCCAGCAGTCAGGTTAAAAAACAGATGACAGCTGGATTCTTCACCCATTTTACACTATTTTCTGGATTAACTTGTAATGAGAACATGAGAGGTATTTGTTGTTTGTCATAATGATTGGTTCCAGGAGACACTTACTTTTCAGCCACACCTGTAGGGATTCCAGCTGTAATCATGGCACCTGTGAATGGCCTCGTCAGCATCAAAACCAAATATTGGCAGAGTGCCACTTGTGAGTTGTCTCCTGGTTTCACCCCAGTCTCATCAGTCAAGATCTCACTATTCTTCTAACCATATGAAATACATGAGGTTCCCAGAACTGACTGAGCTCTTGCTGCTGGGTTCAAGGCCTTGGCTTCCGTAGTTCCTTTCACCTGTCCTGCTATTTCCCCTCTTAGCTATTACTTTCTCTTTTTTTTTTTGGCAAAAAAAAATTTTTGAATGTAATAAAGAAATGGCAATAACTGGTACATACATCAATTCAAAATATTTTCACTAAGCACCAAATAGAATAGTTCCCAATCTTTTCACTAATAACCGCTTTGCAAGAATGCCTAAAACTTAATCAGTTTATTTAGGCTTTTAGTCAAGAAATATAAAGCTGCCAATCAGAGTTTCTAATGACCATGAGACAACCAGGTTAACAGCCTTGAGGTCATATTATATGAGCTTTTAAAAGCTTTGTTTAACCTATACATTGTAACTCAGGGGATTTGTTGGTGTCAGGCTGGTAATCACAGGTCCATGTTCCAGATACCATATACACACACAACAAAAAGAGAAAGACTATATGATCCCTGTATATTTAAGGGGAATAATGTCTGATTCTTACAGGTGTACAATTAGTGAGGGGCAGAGAGACAGGTGCAAAGCACTAGCCTTCAAGGGAGAACCAAGCAAGGGCAGTAGAAGAGATAAAAGTCCTGTGCCCTTGGGGTGCAGCAAAATGGGTGCTGGGAGGCTCCAGGGAACAGACACATGAGTGGATGTCAGTACATGTGGGAAGGGGCCTTCAAGGCTGAAGAAAACAAAATGAGCCAAGGCACAGAGCCACAGGAGTACTGCCAGTCAGAAGATAGTGAAGCATTTGTCCTGGGTAAAGGGATGTGATCTAATAAGATCTAGTAAGAGACTGTATAAAACTCAGAAAACCTCACCCAGTGAGAGCCAAATAATGCTGGTCTCTATTTCTTTTCTTTTTTTTTTTTTTTTTTTGAGATGGAGTTTTATTCTTATTGCCCAGGCTGGAGTACAAATGGCATGATCCTGGCTCACTGCAACCTCTGTCTCCTGGGTTCAAGCGATTCTCCTGCCTCAGCCTCCCAAGTAGCTGGGATTACAGGCACCCGCCACCATATCTGGCTAATTTTTATATTTTTAGTAGAGATGGTGTTTCACCATATTGGCCAGTCTGGTCTCAAACTCTTGGTCTCAAGTGATTCACCTGCTTTGGCCTCCCAAAGTGCTGGGATTACAGGCATGAACCACTGTGCCCAGCCCTGATAGTCTCTACTTCTTATTAGCAATTCGACAGAGAATTTGAGGCGACCTGAAAAACTAACAAGAAAGCAAAATATCCCCCAAAGGCAGAGGTGTCACATGCTCTTTGTGGAGGTTAAGTAGTCAATGATCACTCTGCAGCCCCTCCTCACCCTCACTGCGACACCCCAGTCTCTTGGAATCAAATCCACTGGCAATAACCTTCCTTAACGGAAAATGTTTTCCCTCCCAAAATGTAAAACAAAAATAATACAAGCAAGCAAAACTCAAAACAGAAAGGGATGATCAGAGCAAGCTTTAGCCCCTTGTAGCTCACTTATGCCCCCATTGTCATGCTACTGAAAACAGTGTCTGCCCCCATTAAACTGATTCATTACTGCAGAATGAATGGCAAAATTTAGCGTATCACTGCTCCTACTACATTCCTGAAAAAAAAAAAGTAAACACCACACAAAATATAAACTTACCCCCAAAAGAAGTCAGCATCAACCTAAGGATCCTACTGTAATATTACTACACTAACCCAAGACATTTTAATCCTCTTCTGACTTATTTACCAAAAAATACTCATTTTGAGAGCTCTGGAAGCATTACAAATATTGTATTAGATTTTTCTTCCTGAGGTAGTTTGAAGTCTTGAAACAAGAGCGAATTTACATATTTTTCTACACACCACTGAGGGGTAATTATCATAAAAGGCCTACAACCAAAATCCTCATCCCCCGATTCTCAGGCTGTCACAATTTTTTTTTTTTTTTTTTTTTTTTGAGACAGAGTCTCACTCTGTCACCCAGGCTGAAGTGCAGTGGTGTGATCTTGGCTCGCTGCAACCTCCACCTCCTGGGTTCAAAGTGCTGGGATCCCTCCCAAAGTGCTGGGATTACAGGCGTGAGCCACAGAGCCCAGCCTATAATTTTTCCTTCACATCAAACAATGGAAAACACACATAAAAAGATGAAAAGTCATACAAAAATTAAAAAACAAGCAAAACCACCATTAAAGAAACTGTGTTGTCACACTAACAGTCTAAACTTTGCTAAAGACCAAAAAAAAAAAAATTTTTTTTTACTTGGTTTATCCAAGCTACAGACATTTTATAAAGTACTCAAGAAATTAATAGCTTATAAAAATAGTGGAACATTTTTCAATGACATCATGAAACTAAAATCAACTCATTCTCTGGCAAAGAGTTCTTCCAAAATGTCAAGTCTACAAGAAGGGATGTAGGCCAGGCGCGGTGGTTCACACCTGTAATCCCAGCACTTTGGGAGGCCGAGGCGGGTGGATCACGAGGTCAGGAGTTTGAGACCAGCCTGACCGACATGGTGAAACCCCATCTCTACTAAAAATACACAAAAAATTAGCCAGGCGTGGTGTCGTATGCCTGTAATCCCAGCTACTCGAGAGACTGAGGCAGAGAATTGCTTGAACCGGGGAGGCGGACTCCGTCTCAAAAAAAAAAAAAAGAAAGAAAGAAGAAGAAGAAGAGATGTGTGGCAAACTTCACGAAGCAGCCCACTCTCAGGCTGACCACCTTTGCCTGTTGTTCAGGTTGGCTTCAGAGGTGCAGGGATGTTGGCAGACGCCTCCTCAAGGTAGGCCAAGGAGTCCCGAGGGATACCGATGCTGGCCGGCTTTTCAAGCTGAACGTTGATGTCCTCCAGCACCTGGTGCCAGCGGCTCAGCTTTATCAAGTGCTTCTGGACTTCTTTCCACTGTAACTCATTCCTTAGTTTTGAGACATCCTCTTTGATAACCTGCTCTGGTTTCTGGACAAATAACTGCAATATTTTTTGTAAGAAAAAGCATTCTGGTGACAGAGCAAGACAGACAGAAAGAGAGAGAGAGAAAGAGAGAGAGAAAAAGAAAGAAAGAAAGAGAGAAAGAAAGAAAGAAAGAAGAAAGAAAGAAAGAAGAAAGAAAGAAAGAAAGAAAGAAAGAAAGAAAGAAAGAAAGAGAAGAAAGAAAGAAAGCAAGAAAAAGAAAGAAAGAGCATTCTGTCTTTCTTTCAATATCCAGAAACTTCTGGCTACACTGAGCAATAACAGTTTGAATGTCTTCCTAATCAGTGCAGTTGACATAGTCCTGACTCACCGGAGAAGTTAAGCATGCATCGCAGGATAACTCCAATTACTCCGCCGAAGTACTGTTAGAAGGTCTCAGAGCACGTGGAGCTGTCTGAAGAAGCGAAGTCTGGCCCCGGAGGGCCAGTAGGGGCCCCTGTAGCTGCCCAGAGAACATACCCCCTAGCGGAGCTGCTGTGGCTGGAATGGCGTGGAAGGAGCCCACTCTTAGCTGTTACTTTCTGTATAATCTCTGAATATTTGTCACATTCTCTGGGAAGTCCTCCCTGATCACCTTACATTGAGGAGGGCGCACCTCTGTTCTGGCGAGCACCTTGTTTTGCCCTACATAATATTTATACGGTAATGAAATCGCCTGTTGAATGTCTGGCTTCTCTATAACAGTGAGAGTTTCAGCAGGGACTGCATCTATTTCCCATTGTACCCCATCACACAATTCAGTGCCTGGCACACAGTAGGTGCTCAAAAAAATCATCAATGAATAAATGAACGATGTCTTCCATGTGCAAAGTAGAAGTAAATACTAGAAATCTCAAAGAGGCATAAAATTTAGCTCCTATTCTGGAAGCGTTTACAATAAGGTGGGAAAAACAGTATGGACATAGGTTTTTTATAAAGAAGGAGAAAAGGAACTAAGAACAAATATAAGAACATTAATAACAAAAATTATTTTCATTAGCTGCAAGAAAGTAATAGTTTATTTGTGATAATACTAAAAAAAAATTTCTCACATGAATCAGTAAGAAATAAACAGTCATTTGAATGTCAGAATCATATCAAATTACAACACCTTTCATAGTATGTTCTCCCTTATCTGTGGCTGAAATGTCTCACCCACTGGTTTGTTGACAATGCCTTCAAGGCCATATTGCTACATGGGAGAATTTGAGTGCAGACATTCCTTCATATTCATTCTTCATGCAACCTTTCAGCTCCAGATATTTGCAAATTTTGCCTCAGCTATTGAAATTTGTTATGGAAATAACAATGAAAAAAAAAACCTTGATTCCCACTTCTTAAATGAGTGTTTATACAATAAAGTGTTTATAATAGTACCTGGTACCTGGTTAACTTTCAATACATGTTTGTTATTCTCATTTCATACCCCTTGATATCTTTAAATTCCCCTTTCTAAGGCACTGAATCTAAACCTGAAAGCAAGTACAGATGGAAAAGAAGAGCGATATAATGAACCTTGCACCAGGTTCTTGGACTGGTGTCATGCATGCATTTAAAATTACAGTTCAGAGTGCAGGCATTTGAACTGGCTCACAAACAATAAAGAATTGTGCCTGGTCTGGGTCAGGTATAAACAAGCTGGAATCTGGCATAGGTAGGATGTTTACTAGTTTGGTGTTCTGGTTGTGTGCTTTCTCTTATTCCTATAATCTTCACCTCTGATTTTTTCTGTCATTCTGTAAGGAGACTTAGATTTGGTCATCTTCCCACCATATGCTAAGTCTAGCATGGTGGGCTTTGGAGTCAGAAATTCCTGAGTTTGGACCTGACCTCACCATTAGCCTCTCTGAACTTCCTTTTCTTTATTTGTAAAGATGGAATTAATAACCAGTCCTGCTTTCTTTAAAATATCTTAAGGATAAGTACTAATTAATATAAAATTAATGGTATAGGTATACTCTAATCTTGGTGAGAGAAACAAGCTCCTCTAAGTAGGTAACTGATTAGTGTCAATTGTGATGGATATAAATACGATGAAGAATTGGTATCATGTACAGTTCAATAGGGCTCTAACACATCACAGTACGTGGTCTGTGCCCAATAAGCTATGCTCCATGTTTTTTTTTTTTTAATGTTCCTACCACACGGTTTTGCAGTTGTTCAGAATTCAATATGTATTTTTGAATCAAATAGAATTTATAAGAATAAAATATAAGCCCTAAATAATGGCAGGAATATTCTCCTATAACTTTAGTGTCTTATTATTATTCAAATACTAATTTTCAACATTGCTGAGTTATCTAAGTTTATGTAGAAAGGTTTTGGAAGAGTCTGTCAAGAAAACTCAAAAAAGTATTGTAGAAAAGTAATTTTCTGACCCAGTGCAGGTGTTATGTTTTTCATCTCTAGGGAGTAATGTTTGATTATATTTTATTTGGTTCATCCAGGGGCATTATGCCAGGAGCATCTTCAGATTGTGTAGTACCTCACACGGCCACCACATCTAAGGGGCATTATGTACATCATAAACATCTTTAATAGTTTAATATTAAACATCTTTAATAAACATCTTTAATACTCTACCTTTGGACTTAAAAAATTGTGTATTTATTATGACAGTTTTTCAGCAATAGCAGCTAAATGTCTTCTTCTTAAAAGATCAAAATATTATGATAATTTACTGACAGAAGAATTGTAAAAGGCCTCAAAGAAGAGATACCTTTTTTTAATCCAGACAAAGATACCATAGAGGCTTGCAGCTGCCCTGTCTTCACAATGCCTAACAGTGATGAGAGACAGTAGGATGTTAATAAATGCTTGATGAGATAACAGTGAATAAACAAAACATTTCAAAGAGTATGGGTATTGTGAAGGATTATGACAATAAAAGACAGTATTACAAACAGCCAAGAACACAGACACTGGAGTCCAAAATACCTGATTTCAAGTGTTGGTTCTGTGGCTCACTGTCTGTATGTCTTGAATGAGTTACTTATCCTTTCTCTGCTTCATTCTCCTCATTTGTAAAATAGGAAAACTATAGCCTCCATTTCACAGGGTGGCTGTGAGGACTAAATGAGTTAATATACATCGAATCCTTAGTGCTGTATCCTGTTCAATAGCGGCCTAGAGCATCGTATTCCACAGTCAGCGTCCAATAGGCAACAGCCTCTATTTTTAAAATAGAGACTAAACACACAATTTTGCACATATGTGTTGGGAATTCAACACATCTTTTTCTGTTGAATAGAACTGATGAGAATAAGAAAATTGTGGAAATACACTCTTAAAACTTTAGAATCTTATTATTGTTCAAATCAAGATGTGTTAGATAAGTGCCTCATCAGTGAGGATGATCGTGGTGAAGAAGGAAGAGAAAGAAATGGAGGAGGAGGGGGAGCGGGCCGCAGAAGAGGCAAAGACAAAACACTGGTCATTCGGGAATCAGTAAAAGTTAATCCTCACAATGGTCTGCAAGTCCCTAAATGGTCTATCTGCACCACGGCCCGGTCCTCCAGACACATTCTTCTCTGACCTGTCCCCCTTCACTCCCCTTTTGCTTCCTCCATTCCAGTCATTTTTGCCTTCTTGCTGTTCCTTGAATGCACCAGACACAATCCCGCCTTAGAGATTTCAGTGAAGCTATTCTTTCTGCCTCAAATATTTTTCCTCCAGATGTTTATTGGGATGATTTCCTCACCTCTTTTGAGTTTTTGCTCAAAGGTCATGTTCTCAGCTTAAGACCTACCATTACCTCCTCTCTAACACCATTACCCTTCCTCCACAGCACACACTCTCAACATCCTTACGCTGCTCTACTCTTTCTTTTCTACTTGGCTCATTTCACCTTCTAACACATATATTCATTATGCTTATTATTTATTGTCTCTCTCCGTTTATCTGAGCTGCCCTCCCCCACTAGAATTTAAGCTCAAGATAGTGGGATTTTAGTGATTTTGTTCACCGATATAACTCCCAGACCTGGAACAGTGCATGACCTATAATAGGTGCTAAATACATATTACTGTAAGATTTCTCTTTTTTATATATTATTTTCTCTCGCTATAATTTTTTTCTTTCAATTTTTTGTTTTGTTTTGTTTTGTTCTGTTTTTTTTTGTTGTTGTTGTTTTTGTTTTTTTTTTTTCAGAGGGAGTCTTGCTCAGCCACCCAGGCTGGAGTGCAGTGGTGCGATCTTGTCTCACTGCAACCACAATCTCCCGGGTTCAAGCGATTCTCCCATCTCAGCCTCCAGAATACTTGAGATTACAGGCACCCGCCATCATGCCCGGCTAATTTTTGTATTTTAGTAGAGACAGGGTTTCACCATGTTGGCCAGGCTGGTCTTGAACTCCTGACCTCAGGTGATCCACCCGCCTCGGCCTCCCAAAGTGCTAGGATTATAGGTGTGAGCCACCACTCCTGGCCTTTTCTTTCAGTTTTAATCATTTTGCACTGATATCACTTTGATTATAGGATTTTCATGAAACAATTACTGCTCTATGTCCTGGCCCAGATCTAAAATGAGCAAAGAACAAACATACAAAGCTTAGAAGAGCAAGATTCTGCTTTGTTTCATTGTTATTCTCAGCCAAATCTTCATGCCTTTTGGGGCAACTGACAAAAAACAAAAGTTAGCATCATTTATATAAAAACACTCCTGACTCAAATCTTTCTTTAAAAAGCTAAAATACTTTAAAACTCTAATTTTTAAGGTAAAAGACAAGGGCATAAATGGCTTCTCAAGTAACCCAATCAACATTTACAATCATCAATACATAGTTCTGGTTGCAAGGAGAAGGACAATTTTATAAATAATAAATAGAAGATAGGGATTATATGAGTAGGGAGGGGAAACTAAATTGTGCAAAAAGAGGCCCTCAAGGAAGAAAGTGGATAGTTAAAATATAGATTGGTTAAAATTGTTTGAGGCTCTTCCGTAGCTGAGAAAGGTGATTTGATTAAAAACACCAGTAATTTTGTTCCATATGTAAACTGACAAGTATGTCTATAAATCCACACCACCCACCCATATTTTCATTTAAAGGAAAACTAGGAAACAATTACACCCAGATTGTGTATGTTTAATGTACTAAATTACTATCAAATGAAGATTGAGACATTAACTTTTTCTCTAATGCAAACTTTTTTATGTGTCAATTTAAAATGTTCTTATAAATGTAAGTAAATTTTATTTGTTTCTACTTAGCCTAAAATAAGAAATTGTATAGCCTCAGCTGGAAAATATCAATTACACAGTCTTTGTTTCTTTGCAACTACTTCCCAGTAGATTTTTCTATTATTTAAAATTTTAGCAAATTTAATTTTTATTTTTTATAAACTGTAAGATTCTTGCAGTTTTTTTAAAAAAATTGATACCAACATTCAGTAACTATTAGGAAATATTTTTTGTATTTACTACCTGTCTAGTATTTAGAGAATTGCTTTCCCTATTTTGGATTAATCATTGTTTAATTTCTAAATCCAAGGGATTAATATATAAAACCTTAAATATTAAAGAAAAATTAATTATGTTCATTATTATTTCTATAATATTTCATACAAACCCATAATCTTAACAAGCATTTCATTCATTTATTCATTCGCCCATTCAACAATATGTCTGTATTTCTTTATTACCAAAGCTTAACTTTTTTGACTTTGATTTGTGAAAGCTTATTGCTAGGTGGATGCCATATTGTGCCTGGTGCTGTAATACACTGTATTTAACTGTCAATATCTATAAACATTTCTCAATATGACCTGTGAATGTTAGACTGTTTACAGCATTTCCTGCAATTATCTCTTCAGAAATGTGACAGAGGAAATGGGCTCGTGTCACCCATAGGATTTGAGAAACGTCTAGTGAAAATCATTGTAACTTGGCTTCAATTTGTAAGGCATTACACATCAGTTATTACCATGCACTTAGATTATTTTTGTGTCTTGTAAAATATTTTAGGGTGGTTTTTATTGCTCTTCCTTGACAACCTTCTGGTGTCTGTGTCACTATTATTTCCATTTTTAACGGAGTTCTTTGATTACTTAAGGGATAGGCCAACATTTGGGGTTAATTACCAACCTCCTTTGTTAGAAAGCATTACCTAAAAGAGGAAGAAAGAGAGGAGACAAAGAAAACTGAAGTTCAAAGAATGGGGAATAAACAATGGACTTGTTTTATTTGTCTTATTAATATGGCCTGTATGATGTAGATGGCATTATTTTATATGTACTTTGGTGAGTTACAAGGTAGACAGAAATATAACAGAATTTTACAGCTAAAAACTCACTCTTTTTTTGTTTTTCAGTGAGGAAAGATCTAAAAGGAAAATAAAGTTCAAGTCTCCTAACTCTCATGCAAACATTTCTTCTATTTCTCATATTAAATCTCCATCCTGCCTACAAGAAGCATAACATCTCAAAACAGGAACATCATATATAAATATAAGTACTGAATTTCCTCTTCCTGTACAAACATGTATGTGCATGAGCAAAAATTTCAATCACACCCAAAGACACATAGTTGTCATAGTTAACACTTTCTAAGTGCCTACTAGGTACTAAATGTTTTGTTTTGTCTTCATCAACTCATTAATAAAACACACACACAACTCTATAAGGTAGTTTAGTGTAGGTAGATTCTTTTACAGATGAGGAAATAGAGAACTGAAGAGATTAAATAATTTCCTCCTTATCTTAGAGGTAGTAAATGGCAAATCCACACACAGCCCAGATGTTTCTAACCCCAAAACAATGATCCCAGCCACTATGTGTATATTCATAGTCACTGATGTCAAATCCTTTTTCAAAATTAAGTGTGGATGGTGGGAAGTGCGTTGTGTACATAGAGGGTAGATGAAAGGAACTCTGTTAAAGTCAATGTACTAGTGACACATAGCTGTGTAACAAATTACCCCCAGAACTTAACAGCTTAAGGGAACAAACATATTATCTGTGGGTTAGGATTGGGCACAGCTGAATTGGGTTCTCTAAGTCAGGCCTCTCATGAGGCTGCTATCCAGGTGACCACGAGGGTTGTAGTTATCGCAAGGTTAGACCGGAGGAGGATCCACTCCCAAGCTTATTCACATAGATGTTGACAAGATTCAGTTCCTCGTGGGTTGTTGGACTAACGGTCTCATTTTCTCATTATCTATTGGCCGGAGCCTCCCTCAGTGCCTTGCCACATGCACCTCTCCTTAGGGCAAACCAGAGAATGGCATTAGATTCCATCAAGATGAGCAAGGAAGAGAGCAAGTGAGGGTGGACAAGACAGAAGCCAGAGTCTTTTTATAGTCTTATCTCAGAAGTGACATCTCATCTCTTGCCATATTCTGTTCATTAGAAAAATGCAAGTTACTAGGTCCAGCCCATGCTGAAGGGGAGGGAATTATACATGCATACCAAGAGGAGGGGATTCACTGGGAGCCACCTGAGAAGCTGCCCACCACAGTCAAGAAAGTGTTCTCAGAGGATATTGAGGACTATGTTCAGTTGACTCTAGTCTATATGTCTGGCTGCAGAAAATTTCCTGAATGAATGTCTTATGGTAGCCTCCATCCTAATTCAGGCAGAGCCTAACATTAGCCAGAATGAACATGCCAACCTCCAGCACTGCCTGAGAGAAGCTGTAATTCTGATAAGGAGTCATCTAGCACAAAATTAATTTCTTTCAGAATTAAATTTTCATTTCAAATATCAAAAAAGTCAGTGGATATAAATAACTATTTTTATATAATATAGTGGCAAGAAGGTGGGTTCTGAAATCTTCTGACCGCATTTACAGATACATCTCAAAGACAACAGCTGTTTGAACACAGGCAACTGAGGCTCTTAACCTATTAGAGCTTCAGTTTCCTGACTGTGATTCAGGGACATAGTGCTACTATGAAGTTTAAATAAGATGACGTATGTGACAGGATTTTGTTAACTAGAAAGTGCAACATACAAATACAAACTTTGCACTCTCCTTAGCTACAGAACAGGATAGAATGTTAAGAACAGCACTTAGCATGCTATTTCACTATCTTATTAGAGCAATAAATATCTTTGGAATATGGATGATGAATGAACTGTGTTGTTAACAGTATTCAAAGCGCTATGAGTATCCACATTTGTTGTTGATCTACTAAAGAGAAAAAAAGGATTCCCAGGCAGTTTTGTTTCAAAGAGGCACTTGTGTTTTTGAACTGCTTGCCTTGACCATGCTGCAGAGGTTTTGAGGCAATGCGCAAGCTTTCTGCCGCATTGAAAACTTCTGGCAGCATGTGCTTCCCTCAGCCATTTTCCTTCATTTCATGCTGCCCCTAGTTAAAATGTTCCTGTTGTGTGTGTGTCTTTGACTTGAGAGAAAACATTTTCTCATATCATGTAAGAACTACATGGAGTGTAGGCCCCTGATGGACCAGAAAAGCACATTAGCCTTTCTTCTTTAGTGGCCCAGATTGAAATCTCATCTGATGTTTTCCCATTAGAAATGAGATGGTGAGATATTTTCTGGGAAGTGATTTAGGTACACTAAAACAATCTATAAGGATCTATTGATTAGAAGTAGATGACTCAAACTTGATTTGTGTGCACTGAAGTACCTTGGAAGGTGATGCGATTGACAGGCTATGTGGAATAGATTTGGGACTGGAATAGTTAAGATACTGCAGCTTTGCAGAGGGGTACAGAAGCAGAGGAGTAATTTGTGGAGAACTATAAATGGAGGAAGAAAATATAGAATTTAGACTACAGAAAGCACATATTCTATTTTTAGTAATATATCTATAAATTCAAACAAACAAAACAAGGAGTTTTCATACAGAGAGTTATAAGAAGAAGGAAATTCCAGGGTGTTCTATAAACTTTGAAAATATATTCAAACATGTATTGGTTCCTGCAAACATGTATTGGTTGCCATTAGGTTGTTCCTGATTAGTTTTTGTCCACCACATAGTTTTAAAATAATTTAACAGCAGATAATAATGGTATTACCCCTCTAACTAGAATCAAACAAATAAACAAAACCTGAATCCAAATGGCCTGTTCATAATCTTATAGTAGTCCATCATAGTTGAGACCGGAAAATAATAAAGTGATGATTTATACTTGAATAATGTGGTTAAAATGTAAATTAACGTAATAAGTCAAACTCTAGCCAACTCTGAAAATGCAGGAGTCTATTGAAAATTTTGCATTCATTATATTCTGACTTCCTCCCCACTTTACATGGAACTCTGTTCCACAAATTTACTTGGAACTGAAATCATCATATAGGCAATATTTAAGATAATATGATATTAGGTATCTCCCAGGTACATTTTGCCTGGGACAAATCTTCCCTCTGCTCCAGGCAAATATGAATATGCCTTACAGGAAAGCCTAAGAAAGAGAGAACAGGAAAAGGGTGACTTCTTTGAGCCTAGCTGGTGACTCTATTAAGCTAAATGTTATCCTTAAAATATTTTACTTATTTTATATAAATAGGAAAGTATTATCTGATAGCATTTTATTTATTCTGAAAATATTTCTCGATATTTCAGTTTGAAGAAATTTCATAATTAATCATGGTGTTAAGGCAATAAAGACATTCAATTATATTAAAAATCATAAATTTGAAACAAATAAATTTAAATTTCATCTGAGCAGCTCAACTTTTCACAAACCAGCTAAATAAATTTCGTAGTATCTGTATATGCAAATTACTTCAAGGGGCAGAAATTCTCTAGTATGCTTAACTTACAGCATTTAAAAATAACATAAAGATTCATCTTTTTAGACTTTATTAACAATGTGGGGATCAGAGGGGCATGAGCTAACAGCTAAGATAATTGCTGTGGAATCAGCTGTTCTTTTTGAAGATCTAGTCATAAATTATCTAGTCCTGCACTGTTCAACATAGTAGTCACTATCAACATATGCCTATTTAAATGAATTAAAATAAGCAAAATTTAAAATTCAATACTTCAGTCACACTAGCCACATTTCAAGTGTTCAATAGTCACATACAGCTGGTGGCTACAGCATTGGACAACACAGGTATAAAACATTTCCGTCATCACAGAAAGTTATATTGTACAGCACTGAATTCTCCCTCCCATTTGTGTGTCCCTATGTCTGATCTATATCATGAATACAATAAGGAAAATATGTAGGGCACTCGGTACTTATCCGGAATGCTGAAAATAAGATAGAACTTATCTTCCTCTTCAAAAGTTAATGAACACAAAACACTTCGTGTCCCAAGATGTTCTTATTAAGCCATGAAAGTTACAAGAAAATTAGGGGTGGAAATATTGAGAATTATATATTAGGTTCAATGAAGCACTAAAATATACTTGTCAAGTCCCCATTTGTCCGCTGTGTTTGGAATGAAGTAAGTGGAAAAGAGCATAAAAATGTTAAAATGCTTTTTACACAAAACAAACAATATTATGAAAGGAAATTCTTAATGTGTGTAAAGATTAAAATATTGTTGAAACAAACTAGCTGATAGAGTAGGATGGGCTTCACTCTATTGGGAAAAAGATATTTTTCCCTCTATGATTCCAATAGTTTATTCCTGCAAGACTTAAACTGAATGTGTTTAAATGTTCAAGGTCATAAATAGCAAGATAAGTCATAGTATTTCTTTGTATCTGAAAACTTACATGTATTGCATTACTGTAATACTTTTTTTTAAGTCTGCTTGCCCAGTTTTTTCTAATTTTTTCTGTTGGTTGTACGTTGAAATACAATGGCTTCGAAAAAAAAATCTAGAATTCTGAAACCTCAAAATTAACCATTAATATGATGGCTAAAATAGAAGGCAGATTTTCTCTTTAAAAAAATTATATAGTGGTGTTTTCCACTGTTAAAAAAGGAAAACTGAAGGAATGGCTTTTCTTCCATGCAATGTATTTCTAGAAAGAGGGATCATTGTCTCTGAACTTTCTTGACCTTAGCCTGTTCTCTTTTGCTAAAGTCATTAAAATGATTAGAACCTCAAGGAGGGTTACAGTGTTATATTCTTTTTCTCTTTTTAAGTTACTCTGAGCTGAATCAACCAGGTTTAAACCTTGCACACATCCTATTAATCCCATCTAGCTTTTCTGTCTGCCTGGATGAGTTTCTTCAACAGATTCTCTGAATATGCGTTAAAAAACATAAATCACTGGATTAAACTTGTAGAGAATGATGAAAGCTAAATTCGTGTATATACATGTGGCAGGACAAATGTACCCTTTTATTATTTAACCTGAATGAAAGCAATAAATTTGAAACAGGTTTAACTGATGATATTGGTAATCCACAACAGATTTTGTAAGTGTTTTTGAATGAACGTTGGTTTTGTTCAATAATCCCTTGGATTAAAGAAGGGTTAGATAACTCAAACAATCTGCAAAGAATCATATTATTTTGCTATTTATCTTTTATTTTTACCAAAAAAATGATAAGTATGGTTTAGGCTTTAGCAAATTAAACCAAAAACTGAATTATTCAATTCATTTTTTAAAATTTGTGGCTAGGATTACCCAAGAACATTTTTACCTATGTTCTTGGATAGCAGCCTGTTCTCCATCCTCTACTGTTAATACATAGTGTTATGTAGCAATAATACAGATCTTATTTTTAGGTAGACTGACAATAGCTTCTCAATTACTTGCTTTGCTGATCTATCGCATCCCCTTTAGGTCTTCCAAATTTTATAAACTTTAAAATGTAGAATAAAAATTCTTTAAATTTCCTCTGTATAGCCACTTATTTCCCTACCTCAACCCCTGCCCACATTCAAATAAAAGGTTTGAAAGAATTATTAGGTGGGTACTGGTATTCAGTTCTAATAATAATTAAAAGTGAATAATTGTTTGTTTATTTAGCAATTACTAGATGGTAGAAAGTCTCTTCATCCATTATCTCATTGAATTCCTCACAAAAACACTGTGAGACAGAGAGAATTTTTTCCCCATTTTTCCACGAGACAATTAAGTTACATGATAAATTAATATACCCAAGGTCACACATCTAGCAAGTGGTAGATCCGGGGTTCAAACACACCCACATCCATACTAGTTATCTATTGCAGCATAACAAATTATTCTAAAAAGTAATGGCTTAAAACAGTAAACTTTTATTACCATAGATTCTGAGTCAGGAATTAAGGGATGGCTTAGTTTGTTGGTTCTGGCTCAAGGTCTCTTAGGAGATTGTCGTCAAGATGTCAGCATGTAGGCCAGGTGCAATGGCTCACTCCTATGATCTTAGCACTTTAGGAGACTGAGGCAAGAGGACCACTTGAGGCCAGGAGTTCGAGACCAGCCTAGTCAACCTAATGAGACTCAGTCTCTACATAAAAGAAGAAAAACTTAGCCAGGCATGGTGGTGCACATCTGTAGTCCCAACTACTGGGGAGGCAGAGGTGAGAGGATTGCTTAAGTCTGTGAGTTCAAGGTTGCAGTGAGCTATGATCATGCCACTGCACTCCAGCCCTGATGACAGAGCCAGACCTTGTCTCTAAAAACAAATTTAATTTAAAATTAAAAATTAAACCAAAAAAGATGTCAGTAGAAATGTCAGCCATCTAAAGGTTTGACTGGGGCTTGAAGGTATGCTTCTAAGATGCCTCACTCACATGGGTATTGGCAGGGTGCCTAAGTTTCTCCCTAGCTGTTGGCAGAAAGCTCAGTTTCTTGCTCCATGGACCCTTCCAAAGAGCTGCTTGAGTGTCCTCTCAACGCATCTTAACCAATTCTTTCAAAGCAAAACAGAAGTCACAACATCATAGTCCCTCAGAAGTCACTCCAAAATTTCTGCAATATCCTATTGGTTACACAAATCAGCCCTACACTACAGCCTACACAAATCAGGGTGACACTACACAAGGAAGTGATTATCAAGGAACAGGGATCACTTGGACCATCTTGGAACCTGGCTATGTTCCCAGCACAAAATATATTATTAGAAAAGTTAGACAGTCTTGGTTTTTTTGTCTGTACTTACTGAATGAAGAAACTGCACTGAAAAGCTATATCCAACTGTAATTGCTACTCATTCATATTTTTAACATGGAGGATATTACATTCGTTTGTTTGTTTGTTTGTTTGTTTTTGACATGGAGTCTCACTCTGTCACCCAGGCTGGAGTGGTGCAGTGGCATGATCTCTGATCACTGCAACCGCTGCCTCCCAGGTTCAAGCAATTCTTGTGCCTCAGCCTCCCAAGTAGCTGGGGCTACAGGCGTGTGCCACCACACCAGGCTAATTTTTGTATTTTTAGTAGAGACGGGGTTTCGCTATGTTGGCCAGGTTGGTCTCGAACTCCTGACCTCGGGTGATCTTCCTGCTTCGGCCTCCCAAAGTACTGAGATTACAGACGTGAGCCACTGTGCCTGGCCTGGATATTACTTTTATTGGATAAAATTCCTAGAATAATACTTACCTCATATTCAAATATAGAAACAAAATCATATCCAAAGAGAGATCTTTAATTTTTTTCAGTTATCAATCATTCTGCTCTCACTCAAATTACCATTTTGCTCTAGTACAGATTACCACTGTGTAGGCAAGACATTCACAGATTACTTCTGTAAAGGTCCAGATAGTAAATATTTCAGCTGCACACCAGAGAATCCCTGTTGCAACTACCTAACTCTGCTGTTGGAATATCAAAGCAGTCATAAACAATATTAAGTGAATAGGCATGACTGTATTCCAATAAAACTTTATTTAAAAAAATATATAGTAGGCCAGACTGGGTGCAGCAGCCCACGTCTGTAATCCCAGCACTTTGGGAGGCTGAGGCGGGCAGATCACCTGAGGTCAGGAGTTGGAGACCCGCCTGGCCAAAGTGGTGAAACCCTGTCTCTACTATAAATACAAAAATTAGCTGGGCATGATGGCAGGCACCTATAATCCCAGCTAATCAGGAGGCTGAGGCATGAGAATTGCTTGAATCAGATAGGCAGAGGTTGCAGTGAGCCAAGATCATGCCACTGCATGTAGCCTGGGTGACAGAGCGAGACTCTGGCAAAAAAACAAATACAAATATATATATACATATATATATATAATATATATTTGTATATATGTATATATATGTGTATGTATATATATGTATATATGTATATATATGTGTGTGTGTGTATATATATACACACACATATATATATATGGTAGGCCAGATTCAGTAGTTGGGTGGACTTTTGAACAACTATCTTGATTTCACGTAACTAAAATGACTTTAAATTTTATGTGACAGAATGATGTTAAGTTGTTTGTCCGGCCCATAAAATATTGTACAATTTTAGGAAAGCTGACAGCACCATCAAGATAGAAAAGATGAGCCTCTGTAAAAACAGAGCGTAATAGATAAGACAAAAATTTTACACATCAAATCATCACTCTAAAAATATTAAGTCATTCTAGAAAATAAACAGAATTAAGGGTGGATAAAATTTTGATAATTCTTAATTCTGTCTGTATTATGAATACTTCATATTTTTAGCTGACTTGAATTCTCTAGACCTTATATATTGTGTCCAACACAGAATAGGCACTCGACACATATTTGTTGAATGAATTTCCACATGCTCCGCACCCCCCAGCCTTTGCTACCTTTTCTTGTCTCATCAACAAGCTTTTCAGGCCAACTTGAAGTTCACTGTCAGTTTTGCTTTTAAGAAGTCATCCAACAAAAAGTAAATAGCAGGTAAGAAATAGTTATTGAAAGATAATTGAAGATATAAAGACTTAAAAACAAATTGAAAAATTATAGAATAGAATGAACATTGACTTCAAATAGACTGGCTAACAGGAGCAATGAAGCATCAGACAATAGAGTAATTGGTGAGGAATTTATTGGCCTCTGACAAAGCTATTAAAGATAAGTTCCATTTAGTCATTCTCACTTTTACTGCAGTTGTTTTTACTTTGAGGCCAAGCATTATATTTTTAACCCACATTTTAATGTGGTTATATCTATAGCTTAAAACCTCTTATTATATCTACTACAGTGTTCATTCACTCATCCAAACAAACGTTTATTCATTTATTTCTTGAGCACCTACAATGTGCCAAGCACTAGGTAAGTTCTCAAAGATACAATGGAAAACAAAACATGGATCCTGCCCTTAAGGTGCTTGGAGGCTGATGGGGGATACAGAAAAGTAAACAGGCATGGTAAAAATGCACAGTGTCATAAGGTACAAAGCTCATATCCAAGTATATTAACTTCACATTAAACAGAAGTATTAAACTTTCATATTACAGGTCCCAAAGACAATACCTACTGTGCATTTCAGCTATTTCCACTTTTCAAAACAGAAGTAAAAACAACAAAATCATAAACACCATTACTGGAATATACTGCTTTATAACTGTATTACAGAAAATGCAAATTACTAAAGTGGTTTAAGGAGAAAAAAGTTTCCTGGCCAAATTATTTTGCAAAATGCTGGGTTCAACAAAATTAAACAGATTTCTTTTTTCACTGTAGAACTTTTCAGCACTTATAATATGGTAATAAGCATTGTGACTCACTCAGAGGGCAAATATGATTTGCAGTGTTTTGAAATGTATTTGATAAGGGTATGCTTTTTAAAGAAAGTGTCACTTAATATCTAGTAGGGCGTGAATGTTTATGGGAACGTAGTTTGACAAATACTACCAAATATAGTTTGAGAAATATTACCAATAACAATTTCACAGGTTTTAATCAAATCATATTCATTATAATCTAGGAGGGCTAACTCTTTAAGTGAAATATTAAATAAATCCTTTTGTTATGCAAGAGAGTATTTTTGCAAAACTCTCTAATTTAATATCTTTCAAATTCAGAATTTAGTTGATTTGTTCTTTTTTAAAGAAGCATTTCCCTGGGATCCTATTAAAGGCTATCAGGTTTTGCTAATCCTTGGCTAATTATGTGACAGAATTCAGGAGAGTCCAGATAGGAAGCAGAGGAGTCTGTGATCTCAGCTTGCAGAGGACAGCCAAAAGACGAGTAGATGAAGCAAACTGATGTCCCCAGGTTAGGCACCTTCTTTTCTTCCCCCTTCCTTAACCTTTTTCCTCTCCTTGTTTCTTTATAACTTATTTTCCCTTTCCCACTCTGTTTCTTTGCTTCCTCTCCCTTTTACTTAACTCCTTCTCAATGACATAGGTCTGTCTATGATCACCAAAGATTTAAATTTAACCCTACTAATAGCCATCCCAGCAATACTATTGCAATAGTATTTTATAATTCATGTGTGGGAATGAAAATAGTGAAGTAGGCAGCTCATTCATAGCAATGGAAGGGATAAAGAAGCTGTCCCCTGTTGGCACAGACTGACCTCTGATTTCCCAGTTTCCTCTCTACTGGCTCTACTGGTACTGGCTCTATCCCGTACAAAGTGGTTTTGAAAGATAAGATCACGCCATGTTAGTGCATGTGTGTGGAGGAGAACTTTTGAGATAGGATTTGACTTGTGCAGTATTTGCCTCCACATCAGGCACCTCATATTTGAATCCTTATATTTGAGTTTCTCTTATTATAAGGTGATCTACCAAGTCTTATTTTATATGATTAAATACTGGTTGGAGAAGACACATAGTCTCAAAGACTCAGACAACAATAGTTTTTCAATTGTTAGAGAAGTCTCTAATTGAATTGGTAAAAATAGGAGACAAAGAAAGTTAATACAGACAGTAGCTATTCCTGGGGCGTCTGCTTCATAATTGCAAGTGTTAGAAAATGTTGTAAACATGCCTTTATTCAGATTAGTTGGAAAAGCATTATAGTAAGTTATTACAAAGTGGATATCAAACAGACACCTAAAAATGAATTTTTTTTTAAGTTGCAAGTACTTGCAAAATAAGCCTAAGGGAATTCCTATAGGCTTAAGCAGGAAAACTATCTAACATGCAGTGAATACTTATAGAAGTGGGTGGTGGGGGAGGGGGAGGGGGAGGATGAAAATGAAAGTGGTTTAAGCTGCAGAAGGAGGAAAAATCAGAGATTGGTGACTGACCAAAGGAAGCACCTGCTTTCCGGAAATTAAAATCATGTGTTAGGCAGCTCTGACTTAATTGCCAAATGGGGTGAAGCCCAGCCTCTAGTGTAAAAGGGTCCCAGATTATAATTGGGCATCATGGATTAAAATTCAATACCTGAAAATTTCCTCAGAAATGAATGGGCAACTGGGACAGACTGCAGAGCCCAGTACAATATGCTTCCCGCAGCTGACACTGGCTGGTCACTTTATTTGGCACCAAATAAAGTTCCCAAGTGGTCTTTAAGGGCATTCAGCTGCTGAGTGCTTATTTCATTCATCTCTTATTGTGCTGCCAGTAGCAGATCCAAAGAAGTAGCATGAATCAGCTCTGTGGATAAAATTTTCTCAGGCTGCGTGGTGGAGATGCAACTGGACTCATTTCACTGCTTTAGTGGGACCTTCACTAGCAGCAGTACCTTGAATAGTAACAGCTTTCACACAATGTCATTCAACAGGAAATTTGAGGGAAAGCAGGACAAACTTGAACATTAGGAAACTTCCAAAATAAATGCCATTTAGCGAAGAAAACAAAAATCTTAATGAGAAACATTATATACTTTTGTCATTACCAGATACCTTAGAATATTGTGAAATAAAGCTCGTAGCTCCCCTCTGTGTGTACTTCCAGCTGCAAAGTAGAGGCTAGCGCCTAAATTTCCTACATTAAACATAAAACTATGGCATTATACTTACCTCTCTTTAGTTGCTTCTGTTTAAAGTAGCTAGAGGATTAAAAGTCAATCCATACAATACCTTTAGTTTTATATGGACTAATTTCAAAACACATACTCAATGGCAAAGTGTGTTTTCTTATTTCTGTCAATTCTAGTAAAATTTTCTGATTATAAAATAATGTTTCGTGTCTTCCCCCATGCCGGTTTAAAAACTGCAGGAGCTATAGTAATTCTGCTGAGGTCACGAACTTGTCTGATGAAGTACAGATGAATGTAAAATATTCTTCTAAGCTTAATAGGTCTTATTAATGTGTAGTTCCAGTACACATTTTTTAATTTAAATTCACGGAAAGGTTAAAAAGCAGTAGTTTTTACTATTGTTTTGCCTTTGGTTTAGGACAAATTATGCACATACCCACAAGAGAAACAGTCTGCTAATCATTTCGTATAAATCACTGTTAGCGGCAGTATCTAATAGTGCTACTATCACTGAATGATCAAGAGTCTTACATTTCCATTAGAATTAGGAGCAAGGGCTAATTATTTTTAGTTAAAGTTGAATTTAAACGGGAAGCATATTTTGGCATTTAGTCTGGAAACCCAGGACTGTTATAAAATGCCTGCTTGTAAATTCAGAGAATAGAAAAATACATACAGATTTTTTTTGTTTCTTGGTTTTTGGAGAAGTTGGTATAGTTACAGTGAGATCATTAATGTAAATATAGGAATATAATATAATTAATATAAGATGTTCTGTTCTTGTGTTTATGGCCAAATTCTGCAGTATAAAATGAATTAATTTACCCAAATAAATACGCATAGTATCTGGATGCTTCTCTAAATTGAATTTCTTTTAACTTTTTAGTAAGGAAAATTCCAAATTTATACTACACAGAATAGCATAATAAAACCCCATGTACCCACTACTTCACATCACTGATTAGCAACACATTATCCATTTTGTTTCATCTTTATCTCAACCCCTTTCCCTTCAGAATTCTCTTCTTCAACAGATGAAATAGTATGGGATTTAAAAATTGATGGAACTTATTTTATAAAATCTCTATCTCAGGATTAAGCATTTTATTTAAGAGGTTTTTGCTTTTCAGTTTACCCAGGAAAAGACAGGTGCACCCTACACACAACATGAAGTGGTGGATGAGGTGGGTATTTAGTAAACTCACACCTCAAACACCAAAAATTCAATGATCTGGGTTTTTGTTTTCTATCAGTTTTCTAGGTAATTAAAATGTTGCTCTTTTTCACCAGTGGAATTTTGAGTCTTCCACTTCTACCACTCCTCTAAACCTCTCAGCTTTTCTGCTTTCTTTTCTTCTTTCTCTCTTTATTTATTTTTGCTTCCCTCTAAATCATAAATAATAATAGTTCCTACATCATAGCTTTTTAGATTTTAATGACAGCCTCCAAGGACAGGTGCCAGTTAAATGAAACATATAATTAAAACTTGTGCTATTCTAAAATTGGGTTACTTGGCAATACTCAAATCAGAGGCTACCCCCATTCAGAAGACATGCATGTAGTATTTATCTGGGTTACCGGGTGTGCAGCAGATTCAATCAAGGCCAGTCTTTGCTAGGTGCCAAAAATGTGGTGGAATGTTTAGTTCGGCGCACCCACATTTCAGGTTTCTCTCCATGGCACCAGAGTAAGTGTTCTGCAGCTTGCAACATTGGCAACCAGTGTTCTTCTTCTTAACTAAAAATTTCAGTAAAGCAATATGTTTACCAAGCAATTAATTTAGGCATTTGCGCATATATATGTATGTATATGTGTATGAATTATCATACTTGTTGCATAAGTTTTATGAGTTTTTTATAAAGTTTATGATAAGTTTTTCTTTAACTTCCAGTACTTTCTCACTAAAAAATAGAAAGACATGATCTCAGTCTCAGTCCTAGTCTGGGACATAGACATCATGTTGTTGGATCCCATGTTTGTCCTTTCAAGCATGGTTATCATTTTTCTATAAGCAATCTCTTGAAGTAGCTTTGCTTTCAGAAGCTCCTGAGAATCCTTCCACGTTTACTCAAGAGCAAGCTTTCTGATTCTATTACTGTCCCTATTAATTCTACTCTGGTAACTCTTCAACCTTTCATTGATTTTCCTCTCTTTGGACTTGTCATTTGTGCCCTGCACCACAATGCTGACTGGGGGACAGGCACTATCTCTGCTGAGTTGGAAACGTCATGATGTTTTCATCGGTAGCATGCGACTCTTGATATCCTGTGTGAATTTAGGCTGGGCTCTAGTTCTCTTGGCCACACTCACCATTGAGATGCAGTCCCTGCTTTCATCCCCTTCTACTCTTGTACTCCTTGAGTCCTTCTACCTTACATCTTAATTCTGTATGTTTCACGTGGTTTTCCCACAAAGGTCTTCTCTGTGTGTGCATTGTCTCTCAGACAATATGACATTGCTGGTGAGTTTTCTCTAATGTCTCGCTAGTCTCCTTGGTGATACACTGACAGGCAGACATATCAACCAGACTCAGCTCTGTTTTGTAGCTGTGCCTTGGAGTCACAGTGATGCCTCTGGCTTGTCCTAACTCTTAAGCCTTCGCCTCTGCAAACCAGCAGTCAGACAGGACACTTTCCTTTCCCAAACCAAATGTCACTCACAGGATTATTGTTAGGAAATTAGCCCCTTCTCTATGCTCATGTACCAGTTTCCCATTTCAAATATTTCCCATAGTTTCAAAGCACTAGGCAAAAAATTCAAGTTGATACTGTTTAACCAGGCACACCTTTATTTTCAAATTATTTAAATATTCAATCTTTCCTGCCTCACTGTGTGTGTGGGTTTCACTCTAACAAATGTGCTATACAAAAATTTGGATGTATGTTTAATTTGATTTTCTTCTGAATAAATCTGAATTTTTTAAAAATCAGTAAGAAAAGGTGCAAACCATTAGGAAAGCATTTAAAGTAGATTAATTGCTTATCAAGTTTTCATTCTCTCTTCAAACCATATTGAACCACTTGTTTTACATGAATTCCAAAGGCTGGCACTAGCTTTCATTTCAAGAAATAAATGACACAGGGTATTATATTTTAAGCACCATTAAAACCTTGAAATTGCACAGTGACTTAGAAAACAACAAGTTAGTTAGTTTGGATAGCTTTGTAATAGTTATACAATGGGGAAATTCATTGTTAAACGACCCTCCCACTCTTATCTCACAGGTAATGCTTGTCAGAAAGAGGAAGGAAAAATGAGACTGGTATCCAGGTACACAGGTATAGGAAGATCAGAGAGAACGTACCAAATATTCACAGGGAATCTGTTATTCATTGATCCATGACTAGTGATTGGAAACTATTTTTGCCTGGACAGACAAATCTAGCTCATCGCTGTCATCCTAATTCCTAGCTTCTATAATCCACTACTAAAGTTGTTCTTATCTATATTTTAATGTGTTTGAACAGAGGGTGGTTGTAATACTGTTAATGAAACAATTTTAATATAAATGATTTAGGAATTATATTAAGTGGCATTTGAATCTGATGCTTCCACCACCTAATTTATCTCCTTTTTAACCTTTTCTTTTACACCTTCATTAGAATATCTATTAAGGTAATGAAATCTAGCTACCAGATTAAAAAGCAGAATACTCCAAGTTCTAAAATAATAAGAATGATAGTATTTAAAAAAATTTTTTTGAGCAAAATTTCAAACCAGTGAAAACAACAAACAACAAACCCCATCTGTTTTTATGATGCAACTCAAACAGCACCTGAGTCTATAAACAGGCAATAATTGGTTAGCTAACCAAAGTGATACAGTTCATTATTTTTCTATTGCACATTTATGTAGTTCCCCCCGAAGCACAAGCATAATTTGGTTTTTTTAAAAAATATGATTTACATATGGCACTTGAAGAGAGATGTTTTAGAAAATCATATAAAATATTCCTCCTTGTAAAAGCAATGTCCTCTCCTTCTTGTTAATGCCAAGGATGCTTTTCCCCAAACACTCATTCCCTGCTCAGAACAGTGTAGCCACTAATGAGGAAAACACAGCTAGTACCTCAGTTGAATGTTTTCCTTTGTTTACCTATGGGGAGTTCATTCTGCAATGGGAAGAATCTCTTACTATCAATGAGTCTGAAAGTGCTCAAATTCCACCAAGGGGAAAGTTACAAAGCTTTGTGTATCCATGGTTTAAGCTAAAGCAATGCAAAAGGAACTCTATCAACTCAAAGAGCATCAACCATGCTGCTTCCATTGTCTCCATGTATATAATACATTCCATCTTATTTACATGGGTTCTATTTCCAGTTACAAGATCACTGTTTGGCAATACGAGGGGATGTGTATCTAAAATGACAAACTGATCCTGGCACTTGCTACTTATTACAGGTATGTTATGTGTTTTCAGCCTATCGGGGATTTCTAGAGTAGTTCCAGTTACTGGCAATCAGACCTTGAAAACTACTCCATGCCCAATAATAATGAAGATCTTCAAATGGATTTTTTAAAGACAGCATTAATTCAGAATATAAATTAAGAGAATATATTTGATGGTGAAAAAGTGCAAACCTACCGACACATTTTGGTTTCATGTATAAAATATAAACAGCATATGAATTCTCCCTTGTGTCTTCAGAGGCATCTGCAGCTTTTTTTCCTTCTGAAGGGTGTTCAGAATATGCTATTTTAAGCATCATAACCCATAAATAAAATACAGTGCTTGCCAAAATTATTTTTTTACCTATATATAGGGCCTTTAGACACTGTTCTGAACTCTGATTTTCTCCTGAGATGCAATTTAAGATCTTTAAAAAAAAGTATTTAAAAGACTTCCTATGAGATATGCACAGCTTTTTTTTTTACATTTGTGTTTCTATATGGCCAAATTGCTCTGTTGTTATAAATACTGTACGTAAAATTACCAGATTACCTGGCATTCCATTTTTACAGGGGATACTGCATCGTTAAGCATGGAAAGAATATAATAAAACTATTCAAACTGCTTAAAATATTTTGTAACCATAAATTATTATCCAAAAATATTTTTCAAGTAGATAAAAAGAGTTGTCAATTCTACATAGTGAATGCCTCATAAGGGGCTCGTTTGTGGTTGAAAACTGAATAAAAGCGGTAAATTAAGACCAGACTTAACCATAGAGAAGCCGTAATCCACTGCAGATTTCCTTGGTGAATGAAGTATTGTGATGTGGATTTATCCTCCTTGCTTGTACAGTTAACCATTCACATCTGTGACCAAAGTGCTGTCTGTGCTCACAGACAAGGTAGGTTCACTAACCCCAAGGAGGTATGCCCATGCTGATTTACATTGTATTGATAAGTACAAAATAAACACAACTGTGTCTCGGGGGCTGCCTGTGAAAGGGCAGATAGTATATTGATGCTGAACTGGTGTTAAGAGAAAACAGGGGTATTGAAAAGTGAGTGGGCACTTGAGAAACTGCCAGTGATGCTGGGTGCCCAGTTTTTGAACAGGCGTGATGCTAGAGGGGGCCTTGATGAAGCCAAGGGGGATGTGGGTATGAAAGGTCAGGAGTGCTGAGAGCTGACTGAAATATGGTCTATGTTAAAGGAGTATCACTCACTATAAATATTCAATGTCAAGAATTTAAATGGCTTACAGACATAGAAGCCCTTGATGATTATGTTATCCAGCATTGTTGATTTCCTTCTGTTGTTTGTCAGCAGCCACCACAATGAATGAATAAGACTCTGGAAGTCTTGACAATGAGTCGGTTTACTTTTAAGTCTGTGCATTTTTCTTTGTGATTACATGCCAGTATAATACCTAATTTGCCTTTTTCGAAATTAAACTAAAGGGAGCCAAGTATGTCATATATCTGTTATTATTTTCCTTTTCTTTTAGAGCCCAATGTTTCCAAAGGACATTAATTTTGATTTCTCCAATGAAGGCTTGTGGCTGTCCTTATGCTTTACAAAACATTACCAAATCAGAGCCGAAAAGAAAACTGTGAGTGAACATTCCTTCCAAACAATTGTTTTTCATTATTTAAGAAAAATTTTCTCAGATTTTTCTGTAATTCATTCCAATATGCTCCTTTTGTAAAAGATGTGGGAAAAAGAGAACACACAAGTGAAAAATGCCTTTTTATTCTGTAGAGGGTTGATACTTAAATATTTTATGAGTCACTCCAACACCTTTCTAAAACAGTATTTTACAAATAAGGTCAGCTTTGCAAGAAAAAAAGTTTATTCTTGAACATAAGCAGGTATTTGTACATTAATGTTATAGTAAAATGTATGTAAAGTAAAAACTACTAGCTTGTTATGGTGTTTTCATCCTTCAAATCAAAAACTTTTCCTTGGAATTTTTCAAGATTGGAATATCAGTTTCTTTAAGCGGGAAAATATTTAAGCTAATGAAATCTTTATCAGATTCAGCAGCTCCACTAAAGAGTAAACTAGGTTATCTACTCAAGAAAAGGTCATTGGGACTTAAAGTAATGTGGATATCTTTACTAATGTAAAAAGATCCCAGAAAGCATTAGCTCGTCTAAATATGTGTTAGATTTGATTTGATTCCTAAAGAATAACGTTTATAATTGCCATCTCCACTTAATTAAGGATAACCACGACTTGATTATACTCATTTCATCTTTACAAATGTGTGTGTTTCTGAGGAAAGCACAATCTTAAAATCTCTAATATTACATGATATATATTTCATCAATACTTCTGGAGTTTCAAAGCATTTCCTTCTGGTTAGTGGAAAGGGGTACTGTGCTAGTTGCATGTAGGTTTAAACCAAATTGCCTACAAATATTGCATAAGTGCCTGAACTTTCAAGACAAAGCTTTTCCAATCAAATACGGTATTTAACCTCCCACCACCACACACATGCGCGCACACACACACACACACACACACACACACACACACACCCCTGCCTCAGAAGTTAAGGGGAAACAGGACAGGCATGGTGGCTCACACCTATAACCCTAGAACTTTGGGAGGCCAAGGTGGGCAGATCACCTGAGGTCAGGGGTTTGAGACCAGCCTGGCCAACATGGTGAAACCCTGTCTCTACTAAAAATACAAAATTAGCCAGGCGTGGTGGCGCATACCTGTAACCCCAGCTCCTGGGTAGGCTAAGACAGGAGAATCATTTGAACCCAGGAGGTGGAGCTTGCGGTGAGCCAAGATCACGCCACTACACTCCAGGCTGGGAGACAGAGTGAGACTCTGTCTCAAAAAAAATTTTTTTTTTAGTTAAAAATATGTTAAGGGGAGAAAACTTCAGTAGAAACTTGTCATTAGCAGTAAATTATTCTTTGGTGTTTTTGGAGTTAATATTTTCTAAAATGGTTGCCGATTGATCAAAATAACTATTTTTATACTTTTGCATGGCTTCTGTGTATTGCAATAATTTAATAATAAGTAAAAAGACTCCCCCTTAAAAGAAAAAGTGCTCGTTAGTGATTGTAATTCCATGTTGTGTGGCATGTTCCTTACATGTTTTGAAAAGGTTATGGATTCACTCACTGTAGCATCAAAAGTATAAAGGTGAGAGGTGAGATTCTTTGTTGCAAGTGCTGAGAAATAATCATTTAAAGGTCAATTGCACTCAAAAAAAAAAAGAACATCTGTTTAATAAGTAACTCATTTTGGGATATGCTGCAATTTTAAAGGTTACAGAATAGACCAATTTGCCAATGATGTCAGCAAGTACTATTAAAGTCATTGGTCCTATAAAAACAATCCTTCGTAAAATTCAGATTGCATGCCTTCTCACATACCCCACCACACATCAAAAAAGTGCCTAAACTATTTATAGTGTGCTTTCAAAGACACATTGCCTCGTGCACTTTACCTTAAGTACTCAGCTCCTCTTAAAAGCAACAGTGGAGTGTTAGATGGGAAAATACCTTGGCAACCACACAGCCACCCCCAACACACAACACACAACCCACTCTCTCCCACATCTGATTCATCCTATTTTGCTTCATTCTTTCAGTTTTATTAATGTATAAGAACACTCCCATGTGTCATGGGTTAGAGGATTTCTCACTGGATATTCTGTTATACCGTACACCAACAACTATCTTACTAGAAACTCCTATACAAAAGAAAAAACTATTGATTCAGCCATGTAAAGGACAAACTATAAACTTATATCCTTTCCTATTCCAAGACCAACTTCCTTCCCCTACTATTCTCTAAAAAAACCAAAGAGAATTTGGTTTGGCAATAAATTGGAATATTAACTTGATATGTAGAAGTAACAATATTTCTACTAAAACTCTTTTAGTACCTGAAAGGTTATTTTGTTCAAGATCTGAATAAAGGTGGTAGTTCATTTAATATAACTTTTATACTATTAAAAAATTTTTGCCTTTAGGGAACTGATGTACAATGAATAAAAGTTGTTTGTTGTTTTTTTTTCTTTGTGAAGCAATATTTTAAACTGGCTATAATTTTCCCTAGAAGGTTCACTCTTTGAGATGAGTATATGAATAAAATAACTTGAAGAAAAACCTCTATAGAAAGCAATCCCTTCCAGACACTTGACTGCTTAAGATTTACGTTTACTTATTTTACTCTTCACGTTGGTTGCAAAGCTCCTCCCCATTGAAGATATTTTGTTGGTGGTAAATAGTGAGTTCTCAGATTTTTATGATTTGATTTTTTACATATGTTGTGTCAGAATTTTAATTACAGTTTGAAAACAATACGTTTTCAAGCACACTTCTAAGGTTTGCTATTTAGATTAAAGGAACTAGAAAGCTTATAACTCTTACCCTATTGTAAAGTAAGAATTACCTCTGTCTATAAGACATTTGCAATTAGAAGAAATTATGATACTCTTATTTCAAGCAACTTAGCTAAGAATCAAGTTATTCTCTTAACTTGACTTGCTTTTCATTTGAAAGAGGGCAAAATCTATTTCCTGGGTAATTTTGCAGAGCAAAGATATTAATACGTTGGGGTTTAATTGTATCCTGTGTTTAAATACACTGTGGGTGAAACCCCAGACCTCTGCTTAATTGCTATGAGAAAATAGCCTGATTTCTCTGAGATTAGGCACACGCTTATGTATACTTTGACCTAAGAGTGCCTCCTTCAGAATTAATCTTCTAAGGTAGAGGGATTTGCTTTTATATGTGCAGCAGGGCCATTCGTGACAAACAGGGCCTAATAAACTAACTTCACCCCCTAGACCTCCCTTTTGCTGTCAACGTTTTTCTTCATCTATTCACTTCACACATCTCTTGTCCAGTGGCTTATTAGCAAATAACCCTCACTGGGCAGGGGGAGTAATTTTAATGGTATTTTTAAATTAGAGGACTTGGAACTTAAATGGGATACTTCAAAAATAAAACTATCTTTAAAACTTTCATTTTTACTAATGAAACATAAAGTACTCTAAAATAACTCCATTTAAGTAAATACCATAGCCCTTTGAAAAGACAAACAATTCGTATTTACTTAAAATTTGGTCTGCAGCTGTATTTTGTTGGATTTGTCTAATGTATGAAAGCACTTTTTCTTTCCCATCAGCTACATCCGAATTGTTTTTGTAAGATGTAACAGAATGTTCTGGTTTTAAAATATTTATATTAATCAAAGTTAGGGCTGTTTATATTTTTTGGCAATCGCGCTTTTCTTTAAAAGTGATGCACTCCTATTTAACTAAACAAAAGTGTTGAAATGGCCTGTCATATAAACTTCAACATAGCACAGTTGGCAATACAAATTCTGGAGACGGAAATAAAAGGGACGTAGTTTCTAGCTTCAGGTTAAACATGGATTAATAAAAAGAGCAACAGTGATAACTTCTAAGATTTTCCCGAGGAAATGTCATTCATTGCTGCTTATAAACTCTAGAGTTACCTGGTGGAAAGGTTTGTGTTCAAGTTTCTTGCTCTATTTTCTTGGGGCATTAGGAAGTAAATCCTAAGCGCTGGCTGAAAAATAATGACAAGCCACTAAAGCTGGAGGCTTAACACAACAATCAATTAATTTTAAAATTCCTTTATATTTTATATATGTCCAAACTCTTTTAGTAATGATAAAAATACTTACATGTTACTTACCTGCAATCAACTGTATTTGTGGGCAGAAATAGCTAAAAGGAAAGAGCTGTTTTTAGAAGTCAAGTCTCCCACTATTGTTATTGCTACAAGCTTTTGTTGGTGAATCTTAAACTGTATGATCTATCTAGACTCACATAAGGAAAGCGGAGTTTTTATTAAAGACATTTTAAACTTCAAGCCAACCTTAGTTAAATTCATATATAGTTATATGTAATTATTTCGTAGTATGGACACTCCCAAATATTCTGGAAGTTTAATAAGACATGGCTTTAGGTAGATTGGTCTATTTGGGTTTTTTGTTCTTGTTGTCATATTCATTCTGTAGTTCAAACTGCATTGATTCACTTCTGTGGAAAATAATCCTAAACAGGAAGGGTGGGGACAGAAGACTTAGTCCCTAATATGGAAATTATAAGTGTTTGTTCTTTCAGAGTATGGTAAGGACATATCAAACAAACAGGAAGTATTATTATGCATTGCAGGCAAAGGGGTTAAAGGTCTCCTGTTCGAACTTTTGGCCCTTCTAGAATCCCTGATCCTTCATTATTTTGTTTAACTTGATGTAAGTCTTGACCAGTAGCTGACTCTGAGAAAACATTTCCTGACATAATTTCCAGAGGTGATGTGGGATTATTGTGCTTGCCTTCTCATTTTGGGTTGAGGATGAAAAGTCCAACAGTGGTTCCTGGTTAATACTTCAAGCACGGTCTTTTAATTAACAGGTCAGTTTAATTCATTCCTTTGGCCTTTAGCATTACAACTTCATTTTCACACTTTGGTTAAAATAATAAATGCACACAACACACACACACACACATTCACATACACACAAACACATTTAAGGAAGCAAAAATGTGCTATAGCAGAACAAAAAATAAGTGGACTCTTTTTAATTATCTCATTCATAATATAAAGTGGTAGAGGATGAGCAAAAAGGTCAGGATATAATAAATATAAAATTTACATCTCCAAACTAATTTACCTTTTTTTAATACCAGCTAAAGCCAATGAAAATAAACATGTATTCTATTATGTTACACCATTACAGATTATTATTAATGTCTTGTTTCCAATTTTAGGCAATTTTGGTATAATCCAAATCTATATATTAGCCAGGGTAGAGGGTTTTGCTTAAGGTAGTTGACATCATATAGTCCAAAGCACAGGAAGAAGTAAAACATATCTGTAATCTTCACCCATTTCCAAACAGAAGGGGATAATCGGGCCAATTCTTCTATTGTGCGCCCTCCTTCTTCATGCAGAGATTCCTTTGAAGTCAGAGGGAGATGAAGGAGCTGAGGCTGAGAATGTGGCTGGAGGAAAAAAAAAATGAATATTATTAGGCCAGAGTCTCATAACCATGATTTATGCCACATTAACCATTGTGTTTGCTATAATGCAGGGCCTTTTTATTATCGTTTTTACCTTCTAGTTTAATCAAGGATCACTAATACAACTTTTAATAATATACTGGGTTTGAAAAAATATGTTTATTTGAACTCCCTTAGGTGAGATTCACAACCCAGCCCCTCAAAAATGTAAAGAAATAATTTTATTTAGAAAAAGCTAAAAATGTAAAAAGCATCACTTTCGGCTTGTATGTAAGTCTAGATGAGGCAGAAAAACTGACCAATTAAATTGGCATTCAGAGTGAGTACAGCACAGAGAGGAAGTTATGAAGGAGGTGGGGATTTATTTACTTGTCAAGCAATTTTCTCTCACTTTCTCCTTACTTCCTACCACCTTCAAAGAGGGAGAAAATGTTAGCTTGCATTTATGTCACCAAGCTAAAAGTTTATTTCTTAACCCTCCTTTGTTACAAATCACAGGGAGCATGAATGTATTTGAGTGCATAGAGGGAAAGTTATATAATTCAAGCAGTGATGGACTGACGCTGTGGAGTGTCATTAGACTTAGGTGAACAGACAGCTGTCCAGAGACTCTTCAGTTTCAAAATCGCCAACAAGAGGAAAATGACTGAAGACAGGAGCAAGGAGAGAACCAATCAACTTGTCAGACTGCGAAGCTATCTAAGAACAAGACAAGTTCTTCCTTCAATTAATATACATTATTTAAGAACAATGCTAAGCCATATGAGAGATAGTAGAGGTACAAAGACAAATCACATGATTCTTAGAACATTCAAAGTTGTGTGGAAGTGAAAAACATGTTAATAAACAATAACAAAGAATATGACAAGCATCATAATACAAGTGTGTACTTAGTGCTATGAGAAGACAAAGAAGGGAGTTATTAATACCTCTTTGAGTTTGGAAAGAGGTATTGGATTGGTGAATAATAATTTCACAAAAAAGTTAATAAATTAAGCTGCATCTTAAAGTATAAGTAGGTATTCATCAAGCAGAAAAGGAAGAAGTGGCCATTCCAGGCAGAAGAAATAATGTAGATTGAAACCAAAGCATGTCTTATTCAGGGAAGAAGAAGTTGTTGACTATGACTATAGCATATGGTATACAGGCTGTGTGGTAGGAGGAAGAGTCTATCATAATTCAGCTCCAAATTGCAGCCCAATAAACAAAGCCTTGCATGTTATGCTAAAGAGTGGGGACTCCATCCAGGAAGCAGTGGAAAGTCACCAAAATGTTTAAGCAGGGGAGTAACATGATAAGAATCGTGCTTTAAAAAATAGCTGGCATCAGTATAGAGGAAGGCTTGGAGAATGACAAGAATAGAATCGTTTTTATGAGTTATAGAGAGATTGAGAATTGAAAATGTGAGCCTTTGCTGTGAAAATAAATTAAGGAGGGATTTTAGGTTTAGGAGGTATAATTAAAAACAAAACAAAACTGGCAACCTCAATACATACAACCTTTCATGTGCATACTATCGGGTTTGGGTCAGAGTGATATGGGTAGAAAAAACATGTTTCCAGTATAGTTAATAGTAGAAGATGGGTGCTTAAGTCAGAATCCCTAGAAGCAGGGACCAAGAGTAAAGTTGTTCTGAAAATGATTTACAAAGGGAGTGCTCTTGGGTGGAGGGAAACAAGAGGAGCAGAATAGGCAGAAGCAGGGAAGAAGGTAGCTAAGAAGGATGAAAACTGGCCTTAGCTGAGCCTGCTCCTTTGGGGAGCTCTAGAGCACATATTGTACCACAGAGTTAGCTCCTCTTATCCCCAGGGAGGATAATTCTCAGGTAAGTTAGCTTGGTTCGGCTGAGGGCTAATCTTTGGGAAGGAGAGAGCTATGAGCTGTTAGCAGCCAAAAACACTTACAGCCGCTGGGGAACAAGAAGGATGCCAATAGCAGCCACTGCAGGCCACCCCTTGCACTCCTCAGAACCACTTGCTTCTGACATTTAGTTTACTCCATTCAGGCACAACAACTTCAGGATTCTGGTTAGTCACATGTCCTGGGCTCCTGTATAAGATAAAGATGAGTAAATCAAACTGTAGCTTCCACTGCTGCAGTGTGTCCCAAGCCCGTAACATAATCATCATCTACCCCTTCATCACTCTTCCAGATGTTCCTCCTTATGGGTGACTACTTCTGCAGGTCTAGATGGATTGTCTGAAGGCATAAACCACATTCTCATAACTTAGGAGTCTAAGCACCTGATTACCAGGCCCTAATCTGGTTATGGTTGCTGTACTTGCCTGTTACAGTTAAACAAGGCATGGGAATACCAAGATGCGGCTCAACAGATCACTTGAGTGACAAACACATTGCTCCCTGTCTCTAACATGTAGCAGCATTTCTGACTCCTCCTGATAATCAGGTCATTTATCCTGCCAATACAGTAACTTTTTGTGCCCGCTAGTCTATTGGCATAAGGAGCTCAAAGTAATCTGGCAATATCCATAGCTTTAAGTTTACTGAGACTTTTCCTAGATCCCCTAGGTGGAAGTTTCCCTCCTGTGGGACTTAGGACCTCTAGACTCAAAACCTGAAGTTGCAGGAATGGGTCCCTGAGAGTGATGGTTGAGTGGAGTTCTTATTTTTACTCTTTGATTCCTGTGCTCATGTATTCTAATCATTGAGGACAGAGAACCATATAGTATCTGTTGCTTTAAAGTGCACACTATACTCCAAAAGATAATACTTATCCCCATAGGATGCCATCTCTAAGCTGGTGCTGTAACTGGGCTAGCATGTGGTAGGACCAATGAACTCCACGAGCATGTGCCCATTGCCATACCTCCTTTTCTATAAAGTGAGTTCCTTGGTCCAATTAACATGATTTTATCCATATGGTCCACAAAGATGATGCCCTGTAGAATGTCTATACAGTCCCAATCCCTACAGACTATATTTGGACCAAGCTGGAGAACTCACATAACCCTGGGACAAGATCATGACTCTTGTTATTAATCAATATGAATGCAAGCTGCTTCTGATCCCCCCTCCCTAATGGGTATTAAAAATAACACATTTGCCAGAACAATAACCACATATCTTGTATCTGGTTAACTTGCCCTAGTAAATATATCACATGCAGCATAACAGCTGTGATTGAAACTACAACTTTGTTCAGTTGGCAGTACTCTGCTCAGAACTCCATGATCCATCTAATTTGTGTATGGTCTAGATTGCTCAGCTATGTGCAGATAGAGGACCTTCACCTATGTATCCTTTAAATCTTTGAGACTATCTATTATGAAAGTAGTATTTATTTATTTATTGCACTAATCTGTGCAATTTTCCTCAGGATGTGGTAACTGGTTTTGATTTACTAACTTGACCATAGAGGATAGTTTTAAAGACTTCCACTTTGATAGTACAATAGTTGATCAAGAAAACAATGGGAGAATTCATCAACCTCTAACTGGCTCATGCCAATTATACATTCAAGGACTAGAAAAATGATCATTAAATGAGTGTGTAAACCCAGTAGAACCACTGTGAAATAAGTCTAGATCAGAACTCCATTTATTTCCTGACACTTACATGACCATACTCTAACAAGCGGCCCATGGTGGTGCTGTCAGCAGCAACTCATATCTTATATCTACCAATCCTAAAAAGATCTGAGGATTCCCTTTGTTCCAGTGTGCAGTTTTCTGAGTAAATACTCTTGGTCCTTTTGGGGAAGAACTGAAGAGTCACACACTTACTATAATGTTGCAGTTCCTGTCTCATGGAGACCCAGCATCTCCGTCAGTCAATAGTTTCTGGGTAAGAGAACTCACTCAGGTATGAAGACAAGGCAAGAAATTATGACTTTCCATTGAGACATCCGATCTCAGCCTTTCGCTCCTTATTTTCTATCTCTTTTGATTATGTGTATGAACCAATACCCTTGTTGGTGACTCATCTATCTTGCCCTTTCACATAGTAACCATTTCCATGGATAGCTTAGGACAGTTCCCACGCCCACCCACACAGCAGCCATTTCAACCCAGTTTCCCATTGTGGTGACTGCACTCACTTTGCTTCTGACAATTAAGCGCTTCCCTGTGGCCCCTGTTAATCAGGAATCCTACCATCCCCCTTGCTACAATGGACCCCAGTCTTTTAATCACATGTCCTTCTATCCCTGGTTTAAGAAGGACTGTGCTTCTCCACAATGTTGGAATCTCTCTGATCAGCAAATTCTTCATCATGTTAATAAACAGCATGTCCTCCAAGCTCTCCTAAGGAACATAGATATGGATATTTCAATCTTCCATAATAAACCCATTTTTGCATGCTCAGTTTTTTTATTAGTTTATTTCTTTCTCCACAATCTATTACTATAGTGCCAGGATCTCTACTTCATTTCATGTGACCCATTACTTTTTCCAAGCTACCGAGAGCTATCCCAGTCTTACATTAGACCTATCATGTAAGACTTTGCTAGGTATTAAATCCTGTGTTACAACAGAACAACCCCATATGAGAAAACTGTCCATTACATAGCTTTATATTCTGCCAAGACCCTCAGGATCCACTCCCAGGCATACTCTTTGAGCATACATGCAGTCAAGTCCTAGATATCACGTGGAGTGTGTAACTCATTTCCTTCCTTAGCAGGCCATCAATTCCCTAGCTGGGTCATGCTGAAATGTGGCCCAAATTATCAGTCTGACTTCCATGAGGGAAAGTACAGGCAGATCTGAGGATTGTCTTATAAGGCATCTGCCTCATTTGAAACCTTGGCATAGTCTTCATGAAAGAAGCTTTCTCTTCCAACAAGAGAAAAGGGGGCTTACTAGCCATTTCTGTGAGCCACACATGTTCAGGGGACAATGTAGTTGTAAGGTGCTCATCTACTCAGATATCCCTATCCCAAACTTCAGGGTACTACTCCTTTTTTTCAGAGTCCTAAATTTTGCACAGGAAGCTTGCTTAGGCTGAGAATTTAGCCTCCTTTAAAGTTCTTCCACTTCTGCAAATGAGCCATGAGCCTGATCTCCAAACCTGTCTGCTTTCTAGCTACAAGAGAAGAATGTCTCTTTAAATGATGCTAATGAGGTTTTCTGACTATCACATTTTGCTTTAAATGCCAAATAATAGAACTGAGTCTGTGTATTAAGCAGACTCTAAGATGGCTCCCAGTAAGCCTTGCCTTGTAGTGTTCATGACATTGTGTAATCCACTCCCTTAAATATGGGCTGGCTTTGTGACTTATGTTTAACCAGCAGAATATGACAAAAGTGACGGTACATCACTTCCATTATTAAGCTACATAAGATTGTCACTTCCTTCTTGCTACCAGAATCCCTCTCTTGCTGGCTTTGATCAATTAATCTGCCCTATTGGAGTGCCCCATGTGGCAAGAACCTGAGGATGGCCTTCAGCGAATAGTTGACAAGGAGCTGAATCCTGTCAACAATCACGTAAGCTTGAAAGTGGATACTTCCCCAGTTGAGCCTTCTGGTGACACCCTAGCCTTAGATGGTACCCAGATAGCAGCCTTGTAAAATACTCTAAAGCAGAGGACTTAACTAAGACATCCCTGGACTCCTGACCCATAAGAACATGGAGATAATAAGTGTGTGTTGTTTTAAGCTGCCTAACTTGTAATAATCTGTGACAAAGCAATAGATATCTAATACAGCCTGTTATTTTATCTCTTTAATGCATCAGTGATATTTAGCAACAATTAGCCATATCTTTAGAGTTCCAATTTCCCCATACCTCTCAAAGCCAGAGACATTGCATCAGCTACTACATCCTCTTCTACCTATATCTCAACCCAGTTGAGATCATGGGTGAAAATTTTAACCAGAGGTAGGCAAATGTTTTCTGGAAAGAACCAGATGGTAAATGTTTTAGGCTTTGAGATCATATGGTCTCTGTCTCAAATACTCAATTCTGTCTAAAAATTGTTAAATGAATGTGTTCCGATAAAATGTTATTTACAAAAAGAAGTGAGTTGGGTTTGGCCTACAGCCATAGTTTGCTGACCCCTGATCTTATCTTAACAATTTCCCTGCTATATGATGCCAGGGACTAACAATAATGCATCTGCCACCAGTGATAAGAGCCTTATTGCCATCCACCTCCCGAATCTCAGCTTAGTCTCAGCTTCTTAGGACCCTTCTAGTGTCATTCAACTTGACTTGGGATCTCTAAAAGCAGAAACTAAGAGAAGGATTCTTATAAAACTAATTTATTGAGGGAGTGCTTTCGGAGAAGGGGAAGGAAGGAGAGGGCAAAGGAAGAAAGCTAAGCAAGAAGTATGTTCAGCTGAAAACTGTGAGAGCTTGGTCCTACAGGAAGCTCTGGAGCACCAGAGGTCAATTCGCCCTTATAGTATGTGTGTAGGTGTGGGGAAGGAGGTGTAGGGGTGGGGAAGTGGGTGCAGGCAGGGAAGGAAGAGCTTTCATATTCCTTATATCAGTAAAGTATTGGCTGTTGGCTGCCTGGGCGGGGGAATGGCCCAAGTAAAGCAATTTCCCTTCTCAGGGAAGGGAAGTAGCTGGGTATGGGTACTTTCCTATTCCTTCTTTGGGACAACCCATTTATCCCAATTACACTTCTGTTTATGACCTAGAAGCATTTTCATTAATTTCTAAGGAATAGAAATAGGATGGTCAAAATACAAAGTATATTAATAATGCCAAAAAGGATGCAAAATAATTCCTGTTCATTATGGTTTTGTATTTGATAGGTGTTATCACTTTTCTTAGCCCATTTGTCAAAACCAGAACTAACATAGTCAAAGTGAACAGAATGGAATGACAGTTTGGGGAGCAATTACAAGAAATATGTGCAGTAGCAGGATAAAACACAAATAGCTCAAAGTTCTCCTATCACCTGGCGCTCACTATTAAATAGTGTAATAACAATCACCCTAGAGACGAGCTGCTTCAGTTTCTATCCCATGCTCTCCCTTACTGGAGCTGTAAACTTGGGTAAAATATTTAAATTTCTGTGCCTCCTCAGTTTCCTAATCTGTAAATTGGGGTTAATGCTAGTATCTACCTCATGAGATCACTGTGGGAAAAAATGAACTAATATGTGAAGTGTTTACAATAGTATTTAGTGCATAGTGTACACTGAGTGTTGGCTTGATTATTGCTGATGTTCCATTATTTGTGATCACTCACTTATCTACTATCTTATTTAAATGTAGCTTTTTCAGCGTACCTTAATTTGGGTTTTGGGCTCTATTACCTCTTATTCCTATGCTTTGAAATATTTGAAAATATAGTTAGAATAGTCTACCGTCAGCAAAAATTCACGTCTCTTTCCTAGACCCCAAGGAAAATTCTGCAAAAAGCCATATTCTTGAGTTCCTTCTGTAGACAAACAGTTAAAAGTGTACCTATGCTTCTAAGCAAAAACCATTAAAAAAGAGTATCTCTATCCACATCTGAGATGATTATCCTTTAGTAATGAATCTAAAGAGGCTCCAATTTTTTGTAAGGTAAAATGATGCCTAAATTTTGCGAAGTTTGTTGGCATGGCTGACCACAAGCAAGAAGCTTCGGAGACTTCAAAAATAGAGGCTTCTATATATTTCTGCACATAGATAGACAACTATGTATGTATGTAGAAACACATAAAGAATATTGTTTATTATATGTTTATATACACTGGCTCAGGAGAGTATAAGCTTCCAATTTTTAGATTTATAAATATACTTTTGAATCTATAATAATGCAGAGTACAAGATTTTGTATGTTGGAGACAGATGAAATATATCTGATCCCCATCATCTGCCTGGCACTTCTACTTCTCTTCATCTTTATAAATCACTGCTCAATAAACAAGCAAATAGGAATCAAGCAACCATGGAGATTTGGAAGAAAGATCACAATTATTTGACGAGTGAAACATCTGGAAAGGGATCATGGCCTCATTATCTTTCAAAAATAGTTAATGAAACTCTTCTTTTAGTTCACTGAAGAATTCAAAGTGGAAATGCTTCATCAAACATTAACTAAGAAAATGCATGCCAATGCTTTGGATAAGTCAAGTTGTCATTCTGCTCCATAAATATTTATCCTGCAGATGGTTTTTGAAACTACCAGTTTCCTTATTATAAGGAAAAGTTAAGTTAGTATATTTATTTTAGATTATATTACAGAACTTTTCAACAGTTGGGATTTTTAAAAACATTTATTCCATTCCTTTTCCTATTTAAAATCAGTGGCTTGAATTGAACAAATCACAACGTAGTTAGAATTCTCACACTTATCAGGTGAAAGATTGGTCTCACCTATTACGTGTCTTCTTGACAATGTAAAAATCCATTTAAAAAATTAGAAATCTTTTGAAATCCTACCTTTCAGAAGAAAATATTTAAAACTTGGTAAGCCATTGGACAGCAAACAGCTTTTGAAAAACAATTACATTGAAAAAGTAAATCATTTTCAGTCCAAATGTGATTGTGCCTTTCTGGTTTTAAAATGTATTATTTTATAAGAATATAATAGAATAAGTCACAACTAGTGTAAAGTGAAGCAGCAAACACATTTAATATAAACACACTGCATTGTGTCTATTTGATTCAATCACCAAACACTTATTGAGCACTGACTAGATGTCAGGAACTGACAGGTGCTAAGAAGGCAAAAATGAAATGGTGGTTACTGCCTTCAGGGAACTCCTAGTCTAATGGAGGTGACAGACACCTCTACAGCTATCTATAATAATAGAGTGTGACATGTGCTATGCTAGCAGCACCAGCTAAGTATTATAGGAGTGAAGGGGCAGGGGATGGGAAGTAACCTCCTGAATCCAGTTTAAAATTGAGAAGTGCAATACTTTTTATGAACCAAGGATCCCAAAGAAAGTCAGTCAATATATAAATGAAGATAAACAAAAGCCTTTGAGGGAACAAATTTAGAGGACAATTCTTAACTGTACCTTCCCAGTAAACATGGGAGTAATAACATTTAGAGAATTGAAAGATTGTGAACAATGTGCCTATTTTTACATCTCAAGGGTATTTTTGCAGGACATAAGTTGTGACTGTAATGACAGACTTCTGTGCAGTGGCATTCCTATAACTGCTATGAATGTACTCAACTTCATTAAAATCATTAACAATTACCAAAGATCGTTATTTCAACATGGCAGTCAACCACATGCTAAAACTAAATTTGCACCTAAGTATATTCAGTACTGGGGCAAATGTGGTCAAAATTGATTAACATTTAAGAAAATTACAATGTCACAAAAACTGAGGTGCCAAGTTCTTCATTCCGTTAATAAAACTTACTTAGTTTGGCAAGATATAAATAATTACATGAGCCTGCGATATGAATGTATTGCCTTAGCATTTGCTTAGCTCTTTGGGCTATTAAATAATAGTTCTATATCTGAGTGTCTTAGTCCATTTGGGCTGCTATAACAGAATGCTATGGACTAGGTGGCTTATAAGCAACAGAAATTTATATCTAACAGTTCTGGAAGCTGAGAAGTCCAAGAGCAAGGCGCCAGCAGATTCAGCATCTGTTGAGGGCTGCTTCCTGGTTCATAGGCAGCTGTCTTCTCCTTGTCCTCACAGGGCGGAAGGGGTGAGGGAGCTCTCTGCGGCCTCTTTTATAAGAGCACTGTTCCCATTCATGAGGCCTCTACCCTCATGACCTAGTCACCTACTGAAAGTCTCACCTTCTAATGCCATCACAGTGGGAACTAGGATCTTTTTTTTTTTTTTAACAACTGGTAATCAATTTATTAAAATAGTTGACTTAAGCATCCGCAATGGTGACTTCCACTTTAACTCCTGGCTCAATACTGAAGTCATCTGCTTAACAATCTCAAAAGGACTGTGCAAGTCAATGAGTCGCTTGTGGATTCTCATCCCGAAATGATCCCATGTCTTAGAACCTTCACCACAAGGATTTTTTCTTGTAGTGATTCTCAAACTCTTGGTAGGCATTCGAACTTGTCCTTTCACTTCGAGATTCTTTTCCTTTCCTCCTCTGATCAAGTCAGCTCACACCTTCTCCAGAGATTTTACATTGCAGCTCGTTAGAGTGATTCGAATTCAGTGAATTGTCACCTCCGGCTCCAAGGGTGTTTTTCCTGTATCCTTAAAAGCCATGGCTGCTGCGCGGCTCCCTGACCGACTTGTTCCTTGGCAAGAGCGAACAGCGGTGAGTCAGGAGAAGGAGCGGGCGGATCAGAGCTCCGCACCACCTACGACAGTGTCTTCCCCAAAGAGGGAAACTAGGATCTTAATTTATGAATTTTTATTTCCAGAATCCCTAGATTTTACTTTTTTTTTTTGGACAGTTTTCTGAGTGAGGTGATTAAAATGTATCAAGCAACAGAAACTTTTGGCACAACGAATTTTTTTTCCTGAAAAATTCCCCACACATTTGCTTTTGAGAGGTAACACACAGGATTAAGTAGTCTCTAGCTTTCTGCCTTAATATTTGTCTTGGCTTTTGGGTGATGAGTGGACACGGCTATGTACAACTGCTGCTTCTTGAACTCTTCCGTCTGCCTGTCCCCCATCTGTCTGTCTTTGGTTAGTAAGACGGTTTTGCCTTATCTTTTTGAATATTTGAATAACATGATTAAATTTTTAAAAATTCTACCAAATAAGTATTTAAGCACAGTCCCTGCCCTGTGAATTTATAAGATAATGAAAAGGCACCTTCCAAACAAAGAAAAGATGGAAAGATATTCTTCCTGAGAAAAGTATGTAACAATAGGGAAAAGCCAGTCGTCTCTTCTCTAATCCTTTGCCTTTGACATCTGTCATTTGGGGGAGAGGATTATGTGGGTGTTGGGTGGTGTTACAGTAGCAGTTAAAAAGTTCTCTTCATCCTGTGATACTGATTCTCTACCCTTTGTCAGTGACTTCCTATCTTACATATTACTTTCAGATATTTTCTCTTTTTAGCTTACCACCAATGAATTATATTTGCTACAAATATAATTCTTTCTACAAAAGCAGAAAGTGCATATGAAAAAATAAAGAAAAAAATTATATTTGCTAATATTTTACATGTTTGAATTAAAGTTTAAAAAACACAATAGCAACAGCAGTAATGATAAAAACGTGAATTTATTTAGTGTTTCACAATTTTCAAAGCATGTGTACGTATATTATCTCATTTGATCCTCATAATAACCATATGGATAGGTAGAACAGGCATTATTGTTTTCATTTTACACATGAGAAAATTAAATACCTTAACTGAGTTACCCCAGAAATGTAAGACAAAGATTCAAATGCAAATCCCATTGTTCCTCAACTTACAATGGGGTTACATCCGGATAAACCCATCTTAAGCTGAAAATATTATAAGTCAGAAATGCATTTCATACCCCCAATAAACCCATCAAAAGGTTGTAAAATCTTAAGTCAAACCACTGTAAGTCAGTGATTGTTTGTATTTTACTTGAGCTGATCCCCAGAAACATTGATAGGGAGTGTGGAATGAGTCAGAAGGGAAGAAAACCAATAGAAGATGTGTTTTCAAGGTGGTTTCCAATTTGGCAGTTCAGTCGTGCTGGGGAGCTATGAAAGCGGGTACACAATGCTGCCCAGTGTTAGCTCAATTAAGGGGTAAAGAAGCTGGAATATTTATCTACCAACTCTCCACCTATCTTTGGTTGAAGTCTGCCTCCAGAGGTAACAACTGTAGTGTACTTCTGGTTTGCATTTTTTGGTAAACTGAGCATATTCTCAGAGCCAGAAAAAAGTCCTCACTCCCAGAGTCACAGATGTTCAGAGTAAGCAGCTTTCAAGGTGCAGAGGTGAATGATGGGTGGGGTAGAATGGTCTTGGTTAGCCAAACTCAACAAGGTTAAGCAATTTATCCAACCAGAGTTACACAGCTAATATTGGCAAGACCATGAAGGGACTTAGGCTTTTGGCTGTTTGGGTAGATTCCTGGATAGAGTAAAATAGATGTCATTTCTTGTTCTCAAAGTGTAGGTTAGGAAAGAGAGTAGGTAAGAGAGAATATATTAAGCGTGAAAAAAATATTCTTTCTAAAGTTCTTACAATAATTGAGATTTGTTCACCCTGTACATATAATAAAATTATTCAAAACCTGAAGATTTTATAGAATGCAAAGAAATATCAATATATGGACCTTTACATAGCAAACATGCTAATACTCTGCCAGTATACATTGCCAAGGTTTTCTGTCCATTTGGTGGTATTTTGCTAAGGACACTGGAACAAATTTTTGTATTTACAAGTGCCATAACACGTTTAAAGGACATGTATATTGCAGAAAATTATGACACACAAGTGGTCAGGGAAACATTATGTGGAAAAGTCCCAGCTGATGTGTATGTTATCGCTAAACAGCCTCTTCACATCAGTGGCACTCACGCCTCAGTTTCACAGTCGTGAAATATTTGCATACAGATGTGAAGGTATTCTTGTGGCTTCCTCAATAAACCAGAATGGGGCTTTATGCACCCCTGAGTTTTCAATTAATGTTGTTGACAGAATGAATGGCTATTTATGCCATGAGCCTTTTATGTTCATTCATGGTACACAATACCTAAGTCTTAAAGATCTCATCTAAATGCCTCCCCTCTTGGGAGGGTGCTTATGGATTCCATTGTATATATAGGGTAGCATAAGGTTCAATGATTCTATCTAATCAGCAGAGTGGACCTTACATTTTAGCAAAGGCCACTGAAGCCTTTGTTCTGCAACAGGCCATTATGCTACAACTTCTTACAATAAGTTGAATGTCTGTTTGTCCAAAGATCTTAGGCATCCAATGCCTGAACTTCACTTTCCCAAGTATGCCTTTCTGTCCTCACCACACCCCAACACTCATATTTTTGGGAAAAGGATACCTACACAGGAAAATCATTTTTCTATGTGTAGTGAGCCTTAGTACACTCATCCATTTGACTGTGGTGAATAAGGGCCTGGAACATGGTTGGAGCCCAATAAATGTTTGCTGAATTTAATCCAACAAGAAAGAAACAGCACTACCAGCCCTGGCTCCTGTGTACTCTAAGATATCAGTAACATGGTACAGTTCCTGGAGGTAGAAGGTAAAAGTGAGTGCCACCTTTACCCCACCTATTCAACAGTCTCCTCAAGCAAAAGGAGTGTGTAGATGTTGTCTGAGAAAGATTTTCATGGTAGATGAATGAAATTCCAACTTTCTTCTTGGGTGAAAAATAATTCCAGTGATAATGGAATTAGAATTTCATTGGGTTTAATAATTATTAGTTAAAATCAACATAATAATTCATCTTTCCATACAGTTTAATTTTTTTTAAAAAATTCATCATCATCTATTGTTAACTGCACATTGGTCCTATGAAGCAGCTAAGTATTGCTCTCTCCATTTTTCAGATGAGAAAACCGAGGCTCATTAAGCTTAAGTGATGTCCATTTAGGTGACATCAGAGACAGGGATACAAATGCAGGCTTATCAGATGTAATCTAAAATAACACATTTTAAAAGTTCCAACTATGTTTCCCAAGTTTTGAGACTCCATATGAAAAATACAGGCATGTTTGTTTACTTCTGCAAAGCAAATTAAATGTGTAGCCCATGCATTATTGATGTCTATTATTTTCGTTCCTAAGAAGTATGTGTATCAAATTGCCTTTACAAGAGAAACTGTATTAAAACAACTTGTATTTACATGCCTTTTTAGTTTACACTTGAGCGTTTATTTTTCTGCTAACTTTAAGACAGTAATATGTGATGCTATTTTCAAAATCAGACATGCTGGTGACTCTTCCAGAGCATAGATCAGTGTTTGTACTTAAGATGTCCAGCCTGGAATAGGACTGTACCATTAAAGGCACATGTGCAAGTAAGTAAAGACTGCCAGACCAAATGGATGGCAAAGCCTTGAATTGTAAACTAACCCCGGAGGAACTTTTAGAATTGTTAGAACATTTGCCCATTATTTCTAGAAGAATCTCAGTGGCTCTAATCCATCTCAAACTTCTTCTCAATATAGCTCATTTCCTCTTGAAATTTTTCTTCTCTTCTATGGCCAGCATAGACAAGAAGGGGCAGACAGGCCTAGAGTAGACCCCAGGCCTCTTAGACCTAACTTAGGGCAAACGCAGAGAGATGCCCCAGGCAAATATGCACAGGGCTCTCAAGAACACCAGCAGCAGGGCAAATTGCTGCCTGATTTGCAGTTCTGCACTCTATCAGAATTTTATATCTGGAAGATAATAATTTAGAGACTAATACAACATGCTCATTGAATAGATTAGGAAATGTGTTTCTCAGAATTTGAATGACTTGCCCTAGTTCAGTGGTAGAATGAGAGATAAAACATGCCACTCAGAGTGGAATAAAATATATTTGTTTGTTTAAAAACATGACATTAATCAAGACAGACTAGTGGTGTAGCTGGAGGACCACACTTTAGATCACAAGATTTCTAAGTAAACTTTGATTTACTTAAAAACCTGGAGATAGAATATCAGTTTGGCTACCTTGCCTAAATAATGAAGTTAATATTTATTTCTGGAAAGGCTTGGATCTATCATCTAAAGTCTTAAATCATATTCATTCAGTGCCATGTTTAAGCAGTACAGTAATGAAAAGGAACAGTCAGTCTGAAAGAGAGAGCTGCTGATCGACACTCAAGTAATGAGTGTGCTTCCATCCAGTGCACAGGTGATCATTGGTGAGAGGAGGGCATGACTAGCAACTGCGTTTTCCTTGGCGCAGTGCAGAGCTGAGCAGGATGATTTATAAACCTCAACACATTGAAGACCAAAAAAAATAAATCATTAAGTAGCATGCCTCATGATTCAACTTGCTTTTCTTTCCCCCAACATGGGTAATAAATTGTGTGGGCTTTAATAATTTATAGGAGATGTTGTTATAATGTGAGAATATTAACTTTGGTGAGTCTTTTAATTTGTTTGTGATGTCAATAGTGTGCTGAAGTGTTTCTTCTACAGGACAGCAACACCACTAATGCACAATTGTATGCTGACTCTTCAGTCAGAGGCTCCTGGGGACCAGAAGAGACAGTTCACTTTAGCACTGATCTTATCAATTTGGTGTATGTCCCTGAGGAATTACATGCCACAGAGAGAATTAAAAGGAACAGTTTGAAAGCATTTAGAATCATATTAGCACATTCACATACAACCCCTCTTCCCCATGTCCTTGTGGAAAGATAGCCTGACTCAAGCAATTTTATTTCTGCCCAGGATTATGCCTCAGAAAAAGAGAGAGAGAGAAGAAGAAATCTTAACTAACAAAAAACAGCACAAGGAAAGCCCCCAAAATATTCCAGATTCATCTGAGAATGTGGCCAATTTCTTCCCAGTTAATAACGTCCTCCACAGATTTTCCCTCAGATGTTTTCTCGTCATTTCACAAATGTGACAGTAGTGACCCTCTCACATTTCAGACATAATTCCTCTCTGCCCCACCTATGTTTTCAATCAGGAAGGAAAGGGTTTTTAACAGTTTAGTGAACATCAGAGCCAGAAAAGTATATATAGGGAGAAGAAAGAGGCAGAATGAAAGAAAAAGGAAGGCAGAACAGTTCAAGAGATGATGTTATGGGAAAAGAGAGCTTCTGCAATAGGGCTGAGTGTGGAAGAGCCTGAGAGCATCAGCCAGGCACCATTCCGAATTTTAATTCCAATCTACAAGCTGCAAACACAAATGAAGACCTGCCCCTTCCTGAGTTTCAAGCAAACCTCTCTCCATATATAGATTCTGCTACTTAAACAAAAAAAAATTAAAACACATGAAGCAGTTAATTGGAGATATTAAAATGAAGTGACCAGTGGCCAGGCACAGTGGCTCACACCTACAATCCCAGCACTTTGGGAGGCTGAGGTGGGTGGATCGCTTGAGGTCAGGAGTTTGAGACCAGCCTGGCCCACATGATGAAACCCTGTCTCTATTAAAAATACAACTATTGGTGGGGTGCAGAGGCTCACGCCTGTAATCCCAGCCCTTTGGGAGGCTGAGGCAGGTAGATCACGAGGTCAGGAGTTCAAGACCCACCTGACCAAGATGGTGAAACCCCGTCTCCACTAAAAATACAAAAAATAGCCCGGCGTGGTGGTGGGTGCCTGGAATTCCAGCTACTTGGGAGGCTGAGGCAGAGAATTGCTTGAACCCGGGAAGCAGAGGTTGCAGTGAGCCGAGATAGAGCCACTGCACTCCATCCTGGGCAACAGAGCAAGACTCAGTCTCAAAAAAACAAAAAATACAAAAATTAGGCTGGACATGGTGGCTCATGCCTGTAATCCCAGCACTTTGGTAGGCCAAGGTGGGCGGATCACATGAGGTCAGGAGTTCAAGACCAGCCTGGCCAACATGGCAAAACCCTATCCCTACTAAGAATACAAAACTAGCCAGACGAGATGGCATGCACCTGTAATCCCAGCTACTCGGGGGGCTGAGGCTTGAGAATTGCTTGAACCCAGGAGACAGAGGTTGCAGTGAGCCGAGATCACACCACTGCACTCCAGCCTGGGCAACAGAGCGAGACTCTGTCTCAAAAAAAAAAAAAAAAAAGTGTCCAATACATGCAGAAACTAGCAGCACGAGAGACTGCAGTAACCACTGGTGGTAAGGTGAGGAAGGCTGGTGTTAATACCTTAGCACGTGATGGTAGAAGGTCAATGACTGAGTGGAAAAAGCAACAGAGTCAAAGACTAGATCACTCTCTCTTTTCTCTCTCTTTTTTTCTCCCTCTCTCCCTCACACATCTCATGTGTTCAATGGCTAGTCCTAATTCTTTGAATTTTCATTAAAACATTTTTTCTTTGGCCTAAAATATGTAGTTCCTGTCTCCAAATCTAACCTGAAATTCAGCTTTTCTCTCATAACCCAAACCCGAGAAATCTCAGTGGGCCATTTGTTCTTTAACCTCAGTACTTTATTGTACTTTCCTTATAGGTTCTAGTTCAAGATTTGGGTCTTTCTAAAGAAGTGTATATGTGTATGCATGTGTGTGTGTGTTTGAATGCATGTGTGTGTGATGATACATGCACTACAACACATAATTACTTATCTTCCAGAAAATATAGATGCATAGCTATGTAGTAAATCTCTTTCATGACTAAATCAATCTGTATAAATCAGGTATGTATGTCAATGCCCAGGCTGACCTACAGGATGCCAGAAGGTTCTGACATACTAAGACAAATTTTAAAACTGCAAACTTTTACATTTTTTCTTATATTTCACAGTGTCATCCATTCAACTCCCATCATTCTGCATAATGCTCACATGGTAACTTGTGCTATCAGCAAGACTAGGAATACAGCTCAGGAAGAAAGGACAATTGTGGAAACTATTTTCTAATTACCAACATGTGACTATTTGCACATCATCTTTTATGCCCAAAAAAAAGGAAGGAAAAGAAGCAAAGGCTCTGCCATTAAAGGCGAGTCCTGTTCGTTGTCTTTTCTTAAATTGTATGGCTTATTTATTAGGGTCTAAATAAAGTTAGTAACTTACCTAGGGGTATGGTTCTTGAACTTTGTTTAACAAATGAATCAAATGAATGTGTTTTAACTAGTCAATCTTTTCACTAGATCATAAGAGCCCAATATCTTTTTCTTTTTTTTTTTTTTTTGAGCCAGAGTCTTGCTCTGTCCTTTAGGCTGGAATGCAGTGGCATGATCTCACCTCACTGCAACCTCTGCCTCCCAGGTTCAAGCAATTATCCTGCCTCAGACTCCTGAATAGCTGGGATTACAGGCGCATGCCACCACACCCGGTTAATTTTTTTTAATTTTGGTAGAGACGAGGTTTCACCATGTTGGCCAGGCTGGTTTCGAACGCCTGACCTCAAGTGATCTGCCCACTTTGGCCTCCCAAAGTGCTGGGATTACAGGCGTGAGCCGCTGTGCCTGGCCTATAAGAACCCAACATCTTAAACAGAATATAGATGAGCTACTTTGGTTGAAGTAGTGAGAGGAGGCCTGGAGCTCCTCATCCTCGTTTCCCCATGCGGGGCATTGTGTGGACTCCTGCAGTCCAGTGAGCTACAGCTTGAAAACCTCCCAGGTTAGAGTATAGCACAAAGGGAAGTGCAAGTTGCCTTCACAAGATTCAAGTAAATATAAGACCAAATCAAATTATCAGAGAAACAGACACAAGTGCCAACTGCAAGCTACTGTCTTACATTGTTGAGATTTTATAAGTGCTAAGGACTGAGATGCTTTCAAACCTTACAAGTGAAAGATTTCCTGGGATACAAGACTTTCAGTGCTAAAATCAAGACAGTCATGGGCAAATCAAGAGAGCTGGCCACCCTACCAAGGGTATCCTTTTTGAGAGTCCAGGTACCATGTCAAATCTTGTCTTGCAGTGCTCAGAGAGTAGCAGCAGCATCTTCTCATCAAGAACACAGCACATTAGGATTCACCTGAGCCATGTGTGTTTGGCACTGGAGAGCTCTAGGTTCTCAGAGAGGGGAAAGAGAGGATAGATAATGAAAAAGTACCCCTGTTCTAAACCACAACACAGAGAGCAGGTATACAAATGCACACCCACACACTTTGAGAAAGATATTATGTTTATTCATTTTTACCACCATTGGTTTTTCTTTAGATGTCAAAGCACTTACACATAATCTCTTTTCAGCTTCCGAGACTGGAAACTTTACAGATGAAATAATAGCTCAGGTCTTTTCTCTCAAATTCACTGTCCAGAGTACTACCAACCACATAACCTGAGGATATGATTTAGGGTCACAGATGAGGGCAGCATAGGAGCAGCAATTCCCTCAGATGCTATAACACCTGCCATCCAAGGTCAACATAAAGAGCCCTTCCCCCAGTCTGCAAATTCCTTTGAATCAGCCCTGCCCCTGGAGATTCAGCCCTGCTTAATTACAAGGCTGAATTCTAAATGTGCTTGGTGTTTGTCAAGTCAAGAGAGAGAAAACTACTCTGTTTGTGATTTATGTGTGGCCAATGACAAACTGTATTATTCAAGAGAGAAGAGCAGATGGCCCCCAAACAAGACAGTTATGGCCCACAATTATAATAGTTATAGTACCCAGTGGATCTCCAGGATACCAAGAGAGCAAGAAATCTAACAGTCATACGAAAGACACTTAAAGGAAAAGGAATTTAAACTAAGCCCCCACATAATAATATAAGTTGAGACCCTTCTTCATCACATTGAAAAGGTTTATTTCTTCATGGTAGAAGATAGCATGAGTGTGTACCTCAAGTAGACCACTGTCCCAGGCAGGACTTGGAATTTCTCTGATGATGCCATCAGCTACTTCCATGAGCATCCACTTTGTGAGCTAGGACCTTGCAGTGATTTAGTTTATCTTGGGAGAAACTTAACACATCAAAGGCTGATTTACATCAGTCATTTTTGTCCCTTATTTCCATTGCCAACAGTCTAGTTCTATTGTCTGTGAATTAGATTTTGCAGTCTTGAAAATAGCCATGCAAATTACCAAAATGTTTTCCATTTGAGACCTTATACATATTTGAATTAAATCAACTCTAAGCTGTTAAATGGAATTAAATGAAACAGGCTGAATTTGATGACTAAAATTTTAAAACTTCTGCAAGAAGCTTTCCTTATCCCAACCTCTTTATTAATGGCCAATTGTAAATGACTTTTGCAAATGGAAACACCATTTGTCACTTTTTTTAACAAGTACTACACTGTACTGTCTTAACTCCCCCCATTCAATTTAAGCATCAAGATTTATAGCTTGTCGTGAGCTCCTCTATCTTTCTGTTCCTTCTTTGTACCTCTCCAAATGCTCAAGCAGCTTTTTTTAGAATGAAGTGATGATAATTTGTAGTGAACTCATACTAGCATTCTGAGACTTGACTTTCAAAAATCTGTATTCTTCCCTATTCCCTTGATTCTACTTGAAAGACTTACTTGCTACACAGCAACAAACTACACCCAAAATTCTAAACTCTTTCATTTCATTTGATCTTTCTGTAATGCATAGCCAAATTTTGGTCATTAGCAAATTGCTTCAGTATTTCTTTGTATAGTGGTGAATTTTATCAAAGATTACAGACACCTGAAACAACTTTTAAATAGGCCAATGCACAAAGTAGACTACCAACAAATGACCCTACACAGATACACAGGTTCATGCACATGCACACACACACACACACACACACTCACACTACACTTTAGTTTATATCAACCAAGTATTTGCTTGTTTTTGCTTGGTTAAACTATTTATACCAGATACCGAAGAATTTGGCTGTGAACTCCATTTCTTCCCTTTCTGCCTGTGTCTTTATTTTTCTTTCCTTTTTTTCTCTTTTTCATCCCTGTCTCTCACACACATACACCCAAATATAGCAAAAGCACATGCAGATAAATTTCTCAAGAGGATCAACGTGTGTGTGTGTGTGTGTGTGTGTGTGTGCGCACGCGTGTGTGTGTGTTTATGGCCTAGGCCTTTCATTTATTTGTTTATTCATTTGTGGCTTTCATATAAGTACTTGACCTCTGCAATCATGTGACCATAAAAGCACAAAGTCAACTGTAGTACATTTTGATGAATCAAGCATTTTAGACAATGAAATGCCTCTCGATTATTTAATGTTGACTCTAAAACCAAAAGCAACACTTTCATGAAGTGAATCATTTCTATGAACTTTCAGAACTCAAGATCTCTTCATCAACTTTATTTCTTAACTCTTTATTTTATAATTTTTGTAATTCTTAAGCTAAGCTTTTCTTTGAATCCTGGTTATAATACCCTGGACTCAATCCCAAGAGTATATCTTTCTATGAGTTACTATGACTGTTAGTATACATATGGCATAGAATTAATGATTATGCTGATGTAAGTTTCCCTAAACGCAACATTGGGTATCAAACACACTCGAAGTTAAACCAAAACTATATTAACCAACTAACTTATTAAGTACCTATTTCCTGCCAGCAAATGCATTAGGCTCTGGGGACTTACCGGTGAATGAAATACATGTAGTCTCTGCCATCATGGAATTTTTAATCTAGTGGTAAAAGAGCAATTAAATACACAGCCAAGTGTGATAAAGAAAGTTACAATAGAAATATCCAACCAGGCTTTTCTAACCTAGACAAGGCCAGTGATTCAGGAAAGGCTTGTCAAATTAAGTGTTATCTAAACTGCACGTGGAAGGATGAATGGCAATTAGTGAGGCCAAGATGACACCAAAAAGTTCCAAGTTGAAAGGACAAAACATGAAATTCAGGAGGTAAGAAAGAACACCTTTCCTTTGTTTATTTTTAACTTTTGCCTCATGTATTCGTATATCCCTTGTACTGTTGAAACATTTAGCTATGTAACTATATGCATTTTGGAATATTTATATTTTAGAAATCTCTCCCAAAATATAATTGCCTAACTTCCTGACATGACTTGACATTTAGTTAATTAAAGATAATAACAGAAAGAAAATAGGACCTCCCTTTGGTACTTACTGAGTTTAGAAAATTTAACTACTTCTGATGTTTTATTTGCAGTATTCTGGAAAGGTGATGGAGACAAAATCCATTAAATGTAGCTTTCTTTCCTCTCTCTGAGTCCCTAGAGTTTATTCTCAAGGGCATTCTCAAGGCCATAAACTCATGAACCTTACTAAAGCGAAACACCTTCATAATATTTCTCTGAGGGCCAAGGAAAGGAAGCATTGTGCATGTGTGAGCATTAGGCTGATCTTTAAAAGGATGTAGTAAGTGGGTTTCACTGTACTGGCAACTCTCGTGGGTTCCTTTTTTCTGCTACACTGAGTGGCACGTTCATATCTGATTTTCAGTGCATTTGCTCCTAGTTATCTCTCAGTGTTTCTGCTTCAGGAAGGTTCACTGTTCAGTCCATCTTCCTTTCTCTGGGTGAAGGGTGGGTCAGAGGGTAGAATCAGCCTGAGAGCTGTTGCCCTGACTGCCTCAGAACCCAGCTGCAGATGCTCTCCATGCATGAGGCATCCGGGAAGGGAAGGTGAGACTCTCGCTCCAGAACCAGCTTCACAGCATAATGAAAGCACAGGTATTTTCTTTGCTAGTTTCATGTCCATATCTGTTATACTTTGCTAAAGTCTTTAGATCTCATTAATAAACATCACAGGGAAAAAGAGCACTATACTCAAATAAGTTTGGGAAATATTGGATGAAACAAAATTAACTAGGCTTGTGTGTGTGTTCTTTAGAAATGCCTCTCAGAGTCTTTAATATGCTCATGCTGATTGTGGATATTTAAGAGAAAGAGGTTTAAGTATCCCTTACTCATCTCATTTAGCCCCTATGTTTTTCTTCATAGCATCTCTCAGGGCCAGTGTTCCAAAAAACATACTTGGAAAAGCCCAACTCTGCTACTCTTCTCCATTGCCTGTTTGAGACTAAGAATTCTTTCATTAGCTGACTTTCCTTCTATGCACCCATTCCTCATTCTTCTCCCCAATATTACTTGCCCATTTCTCTGTTCTATTCCTTCACCCTTCCTTCTCTTCCTCCTTTTATTCTCTTTTTGGAAATTTAAAATTACTATTGAGCACCTGGAAAGGTGGCTTCGAGATCTCAGGCTCTGGTCAAGACTCTGAGAAGAGATCACCAAAGCCCTCTGCTCTCTTGAGAGGTTTACATTGAGAAAGAGGAGGCGGGATGGAGAGGAGAACTAAATAAGTAAGCAAATACATGTACAAGTGATTTTTTTTTTTTTTTGAGGCAGAGTTCTCGCTCTGTCACCCAGGTTAGAGTGCAGTGGTGCAATCATGGCTCACTACAACCTCTGCCTCCTGGGTTCAAGTGATTCTCGTGCCTTAGCCACCCAAGTAGCTAGAGTTACAGCTGCGTGCCACCACACCTGGCTAATTTTTGTATTTTAAGTAGAGACTGGGTTTCACCATGTTGCCCAGGCTGGTCTCGAACTCCTGGCTTCAAGTGATCCACCCATCTTGGCCTCTCAAAGTGTCAGGATTACAGATGTGATCCACCACACCTGGCTCATATACAAGTGTGTTTTATCTACTAATTCTTGTAAATTAAACCTAAGCCCACTTGATACAAGTAACTCTTGGGTTCTTTTTGGTAGATAATAGTTATAATCATCCCATGCTTTGAGATGGAAGAAAGTGAGCTCCTCTCCCACAACCTTGTTTTTGATAAAAACAAGACTCACAACAAATTCTGCCACACATAAGAACTTTATTAAATAAAACATACTAGCTCACAAGCATGAGAGAGTTGATAAAACCCGTTCTGTGTCTTGATGGAGCACCACCTCTCTGTCCTTTTAGGTGTTCCCTCCACAATCTTGCATGAATGGTTCACTCAAGACTGATGTGACAATATTCCAGAAGAAGTATTCTGCCACCCTCACTGTCAACATCAAGCAATCCAGAGTCTTTTAAACCAATGTCTGCATATGGAAGATTCATAGATCAAGCTTTGTGTTCCAGTCCTAAGAATAAGGAGTTTTCTCTCAATATCTTGTTCATGTCTGGTTGGGAGATATAACCAAAATATTTTTGACACTTCCACCTTGAATTTTTCTAGCAGTCATATGCTAATTAACAAAGTGCTAATTTCACCAATAAAAATCCACTTCTGACATTCGCTATGCTAATTAGTGCAATATCTTTATCAGAGACAAAGATAGCTGAAGTGCTTGCTTGTAGTAGCCTCCTCTGGAGTGTGGCCTTTCACTGTCAGCTAACAGCCTCCCACCTGCCTCTTGGGGAGTGAATTCCTGATTAGAATGCTAGTTGCACCAGGGGTGCAATGTCAACTAACCATCCTTAGAGCATAAGATCTATTCTGATACATTTTATGTAAATTACAGTGTGGCCTCTCTAAGTCCTATAAAGGAAACAAAACAGGTTAGTGGCTTGGAGGTTTTTTTTTTTTTTTTTTTGAAGGTCTCTAGGAGAAGGACAGTGGGACAGCGATACCTAAAGATATTCAAGCTAATATCTGAGTTTAGAGAGCAGCTAGACTTAAGAATATTTTGGTGAATTGCATTCCAGACAGAGGTAAAAGGAAGTGCAGAGGTTCAAATGCAAAAGTGAGCTTGATGTGTTCAAGGAATCGGCACAAGTCCAGTGTGACTAGTGCAGTGAGACACCATCAGAAGGAGGGCAGATGGGATCAGGAATATGAGGAGAAACTTGATCACTGAAGGCCATGTTAAGAAACTTGGATTTTATTCCAAATGTAATGGGAATTTATTGCAGAGTTTTTAGTAAGGGAGCAACATCAAATTTATATTTTAAAAGAGGTCTCTGCTGAGTGAGGAGAACAGATTGCAGGTGGGTAAGAGAGGAATCTGTGAGACCACTTAGGAAGCTTTTGTGGTCCATAAAAGAGATTATGGTGGTCTAATTTAAAGTGGTATTAGTGAAGGTGGAAATAAATGAACAAAACTGAGGATATCTTTGGACATAGAGCCAATAGAACTTAGAGATGAAAAGAAATTAGGAGGCAGAATGAAGGTAAAGAAAACAAAAGCTTAGTTTTGAGTTTCCGCAGCTAGATTGCTTGTGGTACCATCTACTAAGATGCAGAGGATTGAGGGAAATACATACTTTTGGTGATAGGGTGTGAATAGGGTATTAATATCATAGAAAGAGATCATCAACATGTATATTAGGAACTACTTGTAAGGTCACAAATTCTAAGCCAGTTTCTTCCACTAAGGCTAATAAATTTTTTCAGAGTTTGTAGAAATTTCTAGAGGTACAGTAAAGCCTTCAGTAGCATCATGCTATCCATGCCTTTCAGCAGTTCTGCAATTGATAATCCTATCCTTCTTAAGACTCTAAAAGCTTTGTGAAAATGAAATGTGGTTCTTCATATAAAGACCGGAAGCCCTACTAGAACAGTCACAGGCCACATGACAATTATTGAGAGAAGGGATATATCACAGCCTTCAGACACGGAAGATATGGGATCAAATTCTGTCTCTGCTCCTGATTCACACTATGACTTTGGACAAGTCTGGAAGTCTCAGTTCTCTCATTTGTAAAAGGGAAATAATCTACAAAGTGAACATTGAATAATGTGTGTGAAACTTTTTAAACTGGGTAAAACTGCTATAATCTTTGTTACTACTTTTATTACTATAAAAAAACTCCCAACAACACAAGCCTTATTTCTGAATGTAGTAAATATGAAACCCACTCACTGAGACTACTATGTGTAAGGCCCTTATTTTACAGACTTTTCTATGTATAATTACCAATTTTAACAAAAATATCTTCTCCTGAGTCTTCAAGAAGTGAGCCTGGATAATAAATCACATTATCTCTTAGCTAACAATGATTCAATCTGAAATCACTCAATCTTTACAAAAATTCACTGCACCAAAACCACCTGGGGGGCTTTAATAAAACACTGTTTCCTAGGCCTTACCCTAGACCTGCTGATATGGTTTGGCTCTATGTCCCCACCCAAATCTCATCTCAAATTGTAATCCCCACGTGTTGAGGAAGGGACCTGATGGGAGGTGTGTGGGTCCTGGGAGAGTTTCCCCTATGCTGTTCTCGTGCTGGTGAGGGAGTTCTCACGAGATCTGGTGGTTTGATAAGTGTCTGCAGTTTCCCCCATGCTCTCTCTCTCTTGTCTGCTGCCATATAAGATGTGCCTTTCTTCCCCTTCGCCTCCTGCCATGATTGTAAGTTTCCTGAGACCTCCCCAGCCATACCAAATTATGAGTCAATTAAACCTCCTTTCTTTATAAATTACCCAGTCTCAAGTAGTATCTTTATAGCAGTATGAAAATGGAGGAATACACCTGCAGAACCAGAGTCCTTGTGAATAGGACCCAGGAATCAATATTTATCAAATACTCCCCTGGTGATGGTGATGCAGCTGGCCCACACTCTGACACCTGAGTAGCTAGTTTGTAGGTGAGAAAATGGAAATGCAAAGAAGTGACTGACCCAGTAGCACAACTAGATTGAAAGCTTTCTTTCCAATCTGGATCAACATGCCTTCCATTGAATCTCCTGGGCACCATCAGGGCCTGGATCTTGCTAATCCTCCTAAAAAAGAAAACCTTGATAGGTAACAATAGCAAAAGCCAAGATAAGAGGTGCCGACAAAAGTATGAAGTACCAAAAATAACATCTACTACAAAAATAAACAATATTCTATGAGAATAAACTTTAAAGAGAATGGCTCAGTCAAAGTGGGTCAACAGGATTATGCAAATTTGGCAGAGCATACATTATGCACATAGTACTTGGTCTCTCCCATGTGTTTGAGGTGGAATTTGTTGGCAATTGTTTGTTGTGGAACCCTATGGATATAGTATGCCTATTTTCTGTCAGATGAGAATGCAAAATAATATATCAAAAAGAGAAGGACAAAAAAACAATGACGACAAACAAACAAACCCCTGATAGCTCAATTAAGAAATAGGCTAAAGACATTCCTCCAAAGAAGACATACAAATGGTCAACAGGTATATGAAAAAATGCTGAACGATGCTACTCATCAGACAAATGCACATCAAAATCACAATGAGCTATCACTTCACATCTGTCAGGATGACTGTTAACAAAAACACATAATTAGCACTCATTAAATGTTAATTATCTTTGTTGTTATTATTAAGATTTGTGTACCATGAAGGGTACTATAAATGCTAGATGATCATGACATGGTCCCTGTCCTCAAAGAGACTGCATAAATAGGGAAGAGACAAGGAAACAAATTAGTATAATAGTATAATTTTAAAAGTATGGACTCTGGAAGCAGTTTGAATCCCGGTTCTGCCTCTTAGCAGCTGTTCAATCCTGGGCTAGTTACTTAACCTAACATGAAATTACGTTACCTATAGAACTGAGATCATTTTACTTGTCTCCTATGGTTGTTGTGATGATTACAAAGATAATGCATGTAAAACACATAGCACAGAGTCTGGAACATAATTAAGTGCTCAATAAATACAGCCATTATCATTGTCAACTTGTTGTGTTAGAAGTGGCCAGTGGGTATGATGGCAATGCCAAGCAAGGCACAAAAACAAACTCAGGAGTGGGATGTTTCTGTGCATGAAAGCCTGGGAAGGAGGTGAGGCCGTAACTGAATCTTGAAGGTCATATAGAGATAACCCAGAAGAGAGAAAGAAATGGTGCTCTGAGCGTGCTGTTAGTAATAAGGTGGAATGCAATCAGGGAGCTGCAAATAATTCAGCCTGCAAGCAATGAAGAGTGCAGGGCAGACAGACTTCTGAAAAACTGGGAAGATGGACAAGAATAGTGAAGAAAATTCTCCTACTGCGGGACTAAGAAGCTTGGGTCAGATCCTATAGGAAGCCAGAGATCTTTAAAAGACTTCAGAGAAATAGAATGATCAGATTGTGTTTTCAAATGATGGGGATAAACAGGGTGATCCAATGGTATAAAAATAGCTAGGAGTGGGGAGGGGTTAGCACTTATAAATGTGAGCAATGCCTATGAACATTTTCTGAGCTAAATGACTTTTAAAACAATTTCCATTGCTGATTTAAGATACTTTGCACAGATGTGAGAGCGCATTTTTTTCCTGATGGAATCTCATTTCTGTTCTAAATTCTTTATATCCTTTTGTTTGCCCTCATTTGTGTTTACACCACCTGTCAATTTAGTATAATCTGTGATTTTAATGTGTTTTCCCCCTCTTCCAGATCATTATTAAATGCGCTAAATAAAACCAGACCCATCACTGCCTCTGGCACTTCCCTCCCTGAACACTTCCACTTAGTTCAATACGGCAATTGTTATTGGCATAATACCTCTAAACTCCTTGAAATTTCCTTCCTACTTCTAGTTCATATCTGTGAACAAGATAAACAGACAAAGAAATGCTTCCTCTTTGGGCAAGACCTGGACCCTCTAGTTTGGGCCTGTGAGCCTTAACCCTCTCCATATAATCCCCTACGAGGGTACATATATGAAGTCCAAAAAAGATGTTACTCGATGAGACACATGTAAATCAATGGGTTTTCACTCTCTGTTCTTGCTCACTGTGCTCTTCAATACAAATGTCCTAATGGATAAACCTAATCAATCTCTCCATTCCATGGTATAGTAACTGGGGACTGTGTATATTGAGGAGAGAGGCTTCTGCAATCAGGCTGCATGGCATTAAAATCTCTTCTTTATTGCATAGAAAGTAGGTCTCTCCCCAGTGGTCCAAAGATTTTTTTTCATGTAAATCTGGAAATGCATTAAGTCACAGACATTTTCTCAAGCTTGCCAATCACCCCAGCTTCTCCATCTCTCAGCTCCATCTGCAGTTCTACCCCTAGATTCCAGTTCTGCAGGAAGTCAGAGCCAGGGCTCATGGGCGTATTGGAATGACATGTCTAACAAAAAGGAAGAGGTTGTCACCACTGCAGGAGCAACTCTAAAAACAGATATCAGGCCAGGCTCAGTAGCTCACGCTTGTAATCCGAGCACTTTGGGAAGCGGAGGCAGATGTTCAAGACCAGCCTGGGCAACATGGCAGAAACCCATCTCTACAAATTAAAAAAAAAAAAAAAAATTAGCCAGGCATGGGGCATGTACCTGTAGTCCCAGCTATTCAGGAGGCTGAAGCGGGAGGATTACTTGAGCCCAGGAGGCAGAGTTTGCAGTGAGCAGAGATCACACCATTGCACTCCAGCCTGAGCGACAGAGTGAGACCATGTATCAAAAATAAAATAAAGTAAAATAAAATAAAAACAGATATCAGTAAACCAAAAAGCAGTGAATATAAACAAAATTTTGCAGACCATTCATATTGAAAGGTGAAGCCGGCTGGGCTTCTGGGTCAGGTGGGGACTTGGAGAACTTTTGTGTCTAGCTAAAGGATTGTAAATGCACCAATCAGTACTCTGTATCTAGCTAAAGGACTGTAAACACACCAATCAGCACTCTGTAAAACGGACCAATCAGCACTCTGTAAACGGACCAATCAGCAGGATGTGGGTGGGGCCAAATCAGGGAATCAAAGCAGGCCACCCGAGCCAGCAGCGGCAACCCACTTGGGTCCCCTTCTATGCTGTGGAAGCTTTGTTCTTTCGCTCTTCGCAATAAATCTTGCTGCTGCTCACTCTTTGGGTCTATGCGCCACCTTTAAGAGCTGTAACACTCACCGCGAAGGTCTGCAACTTCACTCCTGAAGTCAGTGAGACCATGAACCCACCAGAAGGAAGAAACTCCAGACACATCTGAACCACAGAAGGAACAAACTCCGGACACACCATCTTTAAGAACTGTAACACTCACCGCGAGGGTCTGCGGCTTCAATCTTGAAGTCAGCGAGACCAAGAACCCACCAATTCCGGACACACTATCTTGGTTTCTAGATTTTGCTTTTCCATTCATCCCTTCAAGGAGCATTATTTGAGGTCCCATCTAAGTGATAGACACTGCTCTGGAGACCACAGAAAATCAAAAAATCAATAATGAAAAATGAAGAATAGTTGGTCTCTATCTTCAGGAAGCTAAAACCTAGTTGGGATGAATGGTTAGGAAGAAGCGATCCAGTGCTTACAGTTTTTTATACTTTAATATTTTCCACATATCCAAAATGGCATCTCAGAGGGTGATTCTATTATAGACACACTTTCACCTGATTAAATTGGGAGTTTTGAAGCAGACAGCTTCAGACTGCAGGTATCAATCATTTCACCATATCCATGCTTTATGCCACTGCGCACTCAAGCCTCACCCTTCCCCACCCCCACCCAACATCAAGGCCTGAAACGGAGTCAGCCTCATTCGCTGGCACCACCATCACCTGCAGAGCCATCCCTACTAGTATTTGGAGCTGCAGCATCTCAACCAGTGAGGGAACTACAAAATCACCCACAATGTGCAAAAAAGCCATACCGTGACAATTCTCACATGCTTCCTGACAGAAACTTTTGAAACAGAATTTTGATGGTGTTCAGAAAGGAGGAACAAGGCACAATCCCTACCTCTCTCCCCATCAACAGGTACCACACGCAGGACCCACAGGAGCTGCCTAGGTTGCCCTAAACAAGAGGCAGGTCTAACCATCTGAGTTCATCCACCATATTTGGAATTGTGCAAAATCTGTTACTGGTCACTGGTTGCCTATTGGGGCTCGATTTCTTCTCTCAGGTACTGAGCCTTCACATTCAACTCAGTGAGTGTAGAATCTTTTTCAGAAAAATTGTACTTTTCTGATTGTCCATTCGTTAAGGCCAATTTGCCTCAAGTACTCTATTTTACTAATTCCAAGTGTTCAGCACTATGAGTCCTCTCACTTTCCATCTGAGGCTACCTACTCATTAGTATCCACTTCTAGTTTTTTGGGTTTTTTTTTTTTCTTTTCTTTTCTTTTCTTTTCTTTTTTTTTTTTTTTGAGACAGGGTCTCGCTCTGTTGCCCTGGCTGGAGTGCAGTGGCACAATCTCGGCTCACTGTAACCTTTGCCTCCTGGACTCAAGTGATCCTCCAACCTCAGCCTAGCAAGTAGCTGGGACCACAGGCACCTGCCACTGCGTCTGGCTGATTTTTGTATTTTTTGTAGAGGCAAGGGTTTCGTCATTTTGCCCAGGCTGGTCGCAAAAGCCAGGGCTCAAGCAATCTGCCCACCTTGGCCTCCCAAAGTGCTGGGATTACAGGTGTGAGCCACTGCGCCCAGCCGAGTTCTAGTTTTTATAGAGGTAAGGCATTCACTTCCATGGGCAAGTTCATTGAACATCAGTCTATATGATGATACATAGTCTATATCAGAGGTCCCCAATCCCCAAGCCACGTACTGGTGCTGGTCTGGCCTGAGGCCTATTAGGAACCTGGTTGCATGGCAGGAGGTGAACTTCTATGAGCCGGCATTGCTGCCTGAGCTCCACCTCCTGTCAGATCAGTGGAACATTAGATTCTCATAGGCGCACGAACCCTATTGTGAACTGTGCATGCCTCGGATCTAGGTTGCACTCGTTATGAGAATCTAATGCCTGATGATCTGAGGTGGAACAATTTCATCGCAAAACTATCCTCCCCACCCTTCCTACCTCCACCCATCCATGGAAAAAATGTCTTCCATGAAGCCAGTCCCTGGTGCCAAAAAGATTGGGGACTGCTAGTCTAGACGACTCTTGGAAAAATAGCAGGCAACACCACTCACATACATCCTCCACTTAGGTTATCTGTTGCAATCTCCCCAATTGCCAGCAGAGCTGCTTTCTTTCGCAACTTTTGGTAATAGTCTTAGTTTTTCATTTCCTGTTTTGCTTTTGAGTACTTGCTTTCCACCTGGGATGTGAACAGCCATGGATTTACAATTATATCATTGATACGGGACACACTACTTGCACACAGAATCTTTTCCTTTTCGGGAACAGAGTTGGCTTCTTAATTGTACCAGGAAGACAGCGGAGCTTGGATGCTATGTCAGTGTTTCTTTAAATGGCGTTTTTCCATTGCAAGCGCCATTCCTGTAGCATAATCTAAAATATTCCCCGTGGAATTACCTCAGCAAACAGACATGCTTCAGTAAGTAGCCCTTTGCTGGGGTCATTGGAACTAAAATGAACAACAACAAAAATTCCACCCACTCTTATTTCTGATGGTGACCTAATGCTAACCTTGAAATGTGGAAGGAGCAACACCCCAGGGCATAACCTTAGATGGCTATAGACCTTCCACTTGGTTATAGCCCTCTTTTGTTTTCAATTGCTGAATTTTTACAGCTACATAACAAAAAACTTTATTGTTAAAGGTTATGTTGGGTTTTTTTTTTCCTTCCAATTATAAGGAGTTTGTCTTTGTCTTTGCAGCCTCGGGAAGCCAGGGAAAGTAAAACATCATTAAATCGGTATATTAAGTGATTTAATTTTAATCATAGGTAATTTGTATTATGGCACTTGACATAGACATTTAGCTATATCAAATCCTCCAGAAACAAAGCTAAATAGTAAAGTTTTAGTAGAGAAATCAGTTATTGGTCACCATGTAATGGTTTTGTGGGTGTATTGCACCTGAATCCCTTGCTGTAGCTCATGATACACTGTTCCCTATCCACTCAGAGGCTTCTGTCTAAACAAGATTGACTATTACAGGGAAAGAACAGAAAGTTTCCCATGTAATGTCACCAAATTTTTTACATTCTGAGAATCCTTCCCCAGGCACTAGCACAGTTTTAAAGGCAGAAAGGGGACCATATTTTTATGACAGTTTTTTTTCCTTGGTCTGAGGTTGGAGCATAAGAACAAAATAGCTCTTTTTGTTCATTGTACCAAGAAATTCCCTCCTGGATCTATCAAGTGTGACTGTTCACATAGCAAATAGCTTGGACATATCCAGACATAAACACCATATGAATAAAACATGTTGCAATTGTTGGATATAGTTATGTGTTTTACAAAGACAAGGTGTTCTGTTCTACACTATCTGCAGAAGTTCACAGTAATCATTCTAAACTGTGACACTTTATCTTATTAACTGAATAAAAATACTTTTAATTATCTCAGTTAACTCTGTTTATTATGACAGTATATGCATCAGTAATCTGGAGAAGGTTTTTTTTTTTCTTTTTTCACTGTTACTGTAACATAATGGCATGTCTAGGTTGAGTTCTGAATTGGGTTTTAAAAAAGGCTGAACATTTGGTTTCCACATTTCCACTCAGAGATTATCTCTTTTCTTTTCTGTTAACTCTAAAATGGAATCCTTTAAAATGAAGACTGTTTGGAAGGATCATTAATTAGTCAAATCTTGATGTTTTACTGATAATCCAGAGTTCCACAGAATAAGCAATTTGGTCTAATCTCAATTGCTGTACCATGTCTAAAGAGAATATAATCCTTAGAATAAAATTAATTCAGACCACACAGTGATGTACCAGCTGAGATCAGCACCTTGATATACATGCAGAGACTGAGAAAGGAGCTGGAACGTATCACTGTTTATGGGTGGAACACCAAAGTCCAGCACAGTTGTGGCTTTTTTTTTTTTTTAAGGTGTCTGCCTTCAAACCACCTGCCGTGCCTTTAGTACCTCATTGCCCTGGGCACTGACCCAGTGGAGATTTCCCTATTCACCAACAACCTACAGCAATTTGCACTTATTGACACCATAGCAACTAATTGGTCTTCACGACCTGCAAACTTTCAGGAAGGTCAATTTAAGCCACCTTTCCTGTGTCAGGGATCAATGTAAAATTCCACAAATCAGATGCACTTCTGCTCCCTAACCCCACTGGAAAATTGTCTGAAGTTTTCTTAGTTGCCTCAATGAGGCCTCAGACTTACCCAGTCTGGGGTTTAAAGAGTAATATAATACCATTTTGTGATCCTCATGAGAGGATGAAATAACATACAGTGATATGTCTTCTAAAAAGATTATTAATTTGTATTATTTCTATAAATTAAGTCTGGTGCTAAAAGAGGGGTGTGTGTATGTGTGTGTGTGTGTGTGTGTGTGTGTGATGTTTTGTTTTGCATTTAATCCTCATAATACCAGGTTAGACCAGGGAAGCACTGTATGAAGTAATTAAGGAAACAGACTCTGGAGTCAGACTGTCTAGGTTCAAATCCCTGATCCTTGTTTACCAGGTGTGTGACCTTGAGCAAGTTACCTAGCTTCTCTGTGCCTCAGTTTCCATTTCTTTAAAAAAAAAGAGGATAGTAAGTAACGGGTTGTTTTGGTGATTTAGTAAATGAATACATACAAAGAACTTGGAACTTTACCTAGTACTTGATAATAAACACTAGCTGTTACCACTATTATCCTTATACTATGGTTTAAGGCTCAGAGGGCTGAGATCTGAAAGACGAGGGCCGGGTTCTGAGACTAGAAATGTTTTGCACCATAGAAGTAACTCCCAACAAGTTGTATAAACACTATTGGTGGAACAAGATATAGTTGTAGGCAATACATAGGCAATACTGGTACATGGGTACAGTAGGTACATCTCACATTTTTCAATTTCACATGCAAATACAAAAAAAAGTAGAATGTACATAATACATAATTCATTTTTGCATGTGAAATTTAAAAATGTAAGATGTACAACTAGCATATGAAGTACATGGTTTTATGGATTCTATTATTTAGGTTTAGGTCAAGTAAAAAAGTAAATTTAAAGAAAAATATTGTGTAAATGAAAGCACATGTAATACACAAATATGGCAAAATATTAATTAGTGTGTACATGAATATCTAAAATTCAGGAACACTCCACCATAACATATTATCTCCAAGTATAGTCTCATCTAAAACATAGTTTTCTGAATCCAGGTACCACAATGAAAACTCTACCTGTTCTCTGACTCTATTTTTTTAGTTTAACCAATTAAGGAAACTAAGTTATATAACTGTGATATACCCAACAATCTGCTTTAGAATAATAGGAGAGAAGAATTCTGCCCTTGAAAAAGGAACAGTTTAGTTGAGGAGAAAAATCCAAAACATATGAAAGAGAACTCAAAAACATACTAACCTGTGTGGTAATATAGATAAGAAGATTTTCAAATGTATAAGTTCAGGGTAGGAAGAAATTAGTATTCACTGGAATCGTCAGACAAGGCCTCCGATGAACACGGAAGCAGAGCAGGGCCAAATGTGAATAGAAAAGGCAAAGCCTTCCGAGTGTTAGGAAGTACCGAGCAGCTCATCAGAATCAACTTTGAAATAACGGAAATGCCAAGGTTGTACTCCAGACTTTTCCATCAGAATCTCAACAGGAGTGCGGCAGGAGTGTTGTGTCTTTTTCCCCCATATCATGGTGCTTTTGCTATATATGTGGCTGTGTCCTTTTGTAGGTTTTTCTGACTTCTGGAAGCTGAAGTGCTTTCCTCTCTTTGGCCATCTAGATGAGCAGCCCCTCTCTGAAAAGGTCTGGGGAGGGAGTGGACTAGTTTTGGGGATAAAGTCTGTCTTCCTTGCTTTTTCAGTTTCTTGGAGACTACTCAGTGTATTTTGATTTGTGAGGTAGGCAGATTCCGAGATGGCTCCCATGGTCTCCATGCCCCAGTGTTACGACCTCTCTCTGCCCTTGAGCATATGCAGGACCCTGACTTGCTTCTAAGCAGCAAAACACAGAAAAAGTTTTAGGTTGTCATTCCCACCTAAGATTCCATCTTAGAAGACTGGAAAGAGAGATTTTCCTGCTGTCCTGGAAGCCATGTTGTGAACTCCCTGCAAAGAGAGGAGTGCCAAGGAATACAAGTGGTGCCTAAGGCCTCAGGGCATCCTTTAATTCACAACTAGTAAGAAACCAGAGCTCTCAGTTACACAGCTGGAAAGAAATGAATTTTCCAACAACATAAATGAGCTTGGAAGTGGATTCTTTCTTCTTTAGTTGAGTCTCCAGATGAGACTGCAGCCCAGCTGACACCCAGATACAGCCTGTTAGACCCTAAGAAGAGGACTTGTCTAAACTATGCCTGGATTCTTCATCGGCAGACCTGTGAGATGACAGATGCCTCTATATTTTAATCCTCTAAGTCTGAGGTAATTTGTTATGCAGCAATAGAAAATTAATAATCTGACTTTAGCCTGAACAAATGGAGGGGCAAAGTCATGCTGCTATCTGGATCAAAGACACAGCTTGACTCCCTCACTTCCTCCTCTGCTCCTGGTTGTAGTTTATCATATATTTACAATTTTTCCCTTGGTGACTTGCAATAATGAGTGGTTCCACCGTAGGTTGAAAGCCTCTCCGTCTTCAGTTATCATTTGAAGTCCTATCCAATTCCAAACATAGCAAATGCATCTTAAAAAGTAGAGGAATAAAACTGTGGATAGATAGGATAGAAGCTAGGACTTTTTTAATGATAACTTTTTTTCTCATCATTACAGAACTAATATGTGTTCACTGTAGGAAGTAAATCATAATGGAGATGACTCATCCAAATCAACAGCACAAGAAATGTGCACTAATATTGTCCATTATTCCGCTGGTCTTATGTATATATATGTGTCCAAAATATGGCACCGTGGGTCCTTTAAAACCTACGTTTTTTTTGGCCGGGCACGGTAGCTCATGCCTGTAATCCCAGCACTTTGGGAGGCCGAGGCTGGCGGATCACAAGGTCAAGAGATAGAGACCATCCTGGCCAACGTGGTGAAACCCTGTCTCTACTAAAAATACAAAAATTAGCTGGGCGTGGTGGCACACGCCTGTAGTCCCAGCTACTCAGGAGCCTGAGGCAGGAGAATCGCTTGAACCTGGGAGGCGGAAGTTTCAGTGAGCCAAGATCGTGCCACTGCACTCCAGCCTGGGCAACAGAGTGAGACCCCGTCTCAAAACAAAAAAACCTATGTTTTTGGGGGACCAGGCACAGTGGCTCATGCCTGTAATCCTAGCACTTTGGGAGACAAAGGCAAGAAGATCACTTGAGGCTGGGAGTTTGAGGTTACAGTGAGCTATAATTGTGCCACCGTACTCCAACCTGGGCAACAGGGCGAGACCCTGTCTCTTAAAAACAACAACAAAACCTATATTTTTAAATTAGCAACATATCCTGCATGTTTTTCCAGTTATTTAGTGACCTTAAACATCATTGTTAATTTTGTTACTATTCTGACATGATATTTCATTTTACATATATGATTTAATTCATTTAATGAATCTGGAAAGGGACAGAATTTGAAGCAACTGTAAAAATGTCCAACATATTGGGCATTTGGGAAATTTTATTAAGTGGTCATCAATGTTACTCTGAGCCACATCAGAATTTTCAATTTTAATGAATATCACCTAGTGATCTTAATGCAGATTCTGATTCCAAATAAGACTCAGGTCTGGGGTGGAGCAACAATTCTTTATTGCTCTAAGCTTATAGCTGTTACTGATGCTCTTGGTACTTGGACATACTTTGAGTAGGAAGAGACTATATAAGGGAGACACTAGAATCAACAGCCATAACTTGGAACTGAAAGTTTGGACCAGGGGAGATGCAGTAACAATGAAAGTTACAAGACATTGACAGATATTTCAAAGAACAAACAAGAGAACTTCAAGACAAATTAAATATGGAGCATAAGTGTGATAGAAGATTTAAAAATTGTCTCTGTTTCCTAAATTAGAAGACTTCAAGATTAGTGGTGCTATACACAGAAATGTAGTCAATTTTAAAAGACTGGGATGAGGTTGATTTTAGCCATGTTGATTTTAATATAAGAATAGGTTATTGTTGTGGGTTGAGTTGTGTCCCTGAGAAAGATATGTTGAAGTCCTAACCCCAGGTACCTGTAAATGTGGTTATATTTGGAAATAGGGTATTTGCAGATGTAATGAAGTTAAAAGGAGATCGTACTAGGTCAGTATGGGCCCTAAATCCAATGACTGATATCTTCCTTTTTTTTTTTTTTTTTTTGAGACAGAGTCTTGCTCTGTCACCCAGGTTGGAGTGCAGTGGCGTGATCTCGGCTCACTGCAACCTCTGCCTCCCAGGTTCAAGCGATTCTCCTGCCCCAGCCTCCTGAGTAGCTGGGATTACAGGCGTGCGCCACCACAGCTGGCTAATTTTTGTATTTTTAGTAGAGACGGAGTTTCACCATGTTGGTCAGGCTGGTCTCGAACTCCTGACTTCATGATTGGCCCTCCTCAGCTTCCCAAAATGCTGGGATTACAGGTGTGAGCCATCACACCCAGCTGATATCTTTCTAAGGTGGGGACTGATATCTTCCTAAGATTTGGAGACACAAAGACACACACAGGGAAGGAGGCCACGTGAGGATGGAGGCAAAGATTGGAGCAATGCAGCAGTAAGCCCAGGAGTAGCGAAGACCATCCAAAACAACCAGAAGCTAAGAAGAGGCAGGGAAGAACAGTCTCCCAGAGACCTCAAAGGGACACCGATACCTGGATTTCAGACTTCTGTTATCCAGAACTGTGAGAGAATACATTTCTGTTGTTTTAAGCTGCCCAGTTTGTGGTATTTATTATGGAAGCGCTATGAAACTTAGGTTGGTGCAAAAGTAATTGCAGTTCTTGCCATTAAAAGTAATACAGTTATCTGGCCGGGTGCGGTGGCTCACGCCTGTAATCCCAGCACATTGGGAGGCCGAGGCAGGCAGATCACTTGAGGCCAGGAGTTCAAGACCAGCCTGGCCAACAAGGTGAAACCCCATCCCTACTAAAAATACAAAAATTAGCCAGGCGTGGTGGCCCGCGCCTGTAATCCCAGCTACCCTCGGAGGCTGAGGCATGAGAATCACTTGAACCCAGGAGGCAGAGGTTGCAGTGAACCAAGATTGTGCCACTGCCCCACCCCCCCCAAAAATAAAAAAGTAATACAGTTATCTAATTGCTGACGTTGTGAAAACAAATAGAAGTATGAGATTGGAGAACATACTGGTCAGAGATAGAGATGTCAATTTTAGAAACTTTACAATAAAAACTGTAGTTCAAGTTTAAATAGTTCAAGCCATAAAGAAAATAGGCATATATGGAGAAGAATTAACTGTATAACCTTGAAATCCCCTCCCAGTTAAGGAAACTGACTGTGAAGTATGGCAACCCCCCAAACTCATTTAATGTCTCTTAGCCCCACTCTCCAATTCCGTATAAAAGAAGAGGCTGAATGAGACAAGCATTGAGTTGCTGTGCAGCTCTATTATTTTACATCCATCATTAAGCTTATACTTTGTCTAGACACTGGGAAGCTAAGAAGCAGTAAGAGCAAAGTACAGAGTCTCTTTGGTGATCATGACAATAGGAATACCTTGTGCTGTGTCTTTCTGGGAGAGTTCAAAACACTTTTATCTATAATATACAATTAATCCCAACACCTTCACTCTGAAACAGAACAAGCATTATCATCATTAAAGGATAAAGAAACCAAGACTCGGGAGAGTGAAATGAAAAAGCTCCTTCAGTGTAATATATTTCCTGAATGAGACAGAATGCTTATCAGGAGAAAACCTAATGAAAATACTAAGAACATAGAAATACCGCAAGAGACACATCACCTTCTCTCCCTCTCCCTCCTTCCCTTTTTCCCTCTTCCATATCTTCCTCCCTCCCTCCCTCTCTCCTCTAAATTTCCTTGCCCTTATTTGTAAAAATAGATTTTTCATTACAAAATATTTAACACGTGACAAAGAGAAATAAGGGGTATGTTGGGTGACCAGGAAAATAGGTATTTTTCTTCCTTATATGTTTTTTCTTCCTCGAGTTAATGGATAAAGAAAAGTTGTGTTAGATACTCTATCATTTCTGTAAAGCTGTCAGTTTTCTCCAGTCTTTGAGGACTGGAGCAGTTATCAGTGGTGTTTTACTTACGGTAAGAAACTGCAAGGCTGCCAAATTCATGTCGTGAGAGTTGAGCCTCATTTTATTCTCTAGGAAAAACCAATTCTTAAGCTGTCTTACCCCTTTAGAAGAGACATTTCCAATATGCTTCAACAAAGTATTAAAATTTTGCCTTTTCTTTACATTACAGTTGCATTCTTTGTGGTGCTCTTACCTAGAAAGTTGAAAAACAAAACCGCCAACATCAAATAGTCTACATTAAAACAGAAGCTCCACCAGCAACCCAAACTTCTTATTGGCAGTAAGCATCTTTAGAACAAACCACACTTAAAAATAATGGTATACTTGGCACAAGTTGAATTGTGGACTATATAGAGTTAAAAGTTCCTTATTTTAAAAAGCTGTCAGAGAGGAATTTTCATTCTTTCATTTGCCTTTGAAGAGTGAGTAGCCTGCAGCAATCTCAGCTATATTTTTCCTCCGCGACACAATAACAATCCCAAGTGACACACCTACCGAATGATTACAAATTGTGTTAGGCTGCAGGAATCTGAGACCCAAAACACAGGGGCTTCAACACTCTGTCACAAAGCCCGATCAGGAACTGGTTGCTTTCCAGCTGGATTTTCTAGCAGTACTTCCCTAGAACTACTCCACCCTTTTCCACACCTTGCCTGGGAAATATCAAAGACCAAAAAACAACACCTAAGACAAAGATCGTAGTGTAGCTACCAATCAGTGAACATGAACTTTTGCTTTAATGAACTCTATCCCTTTTTATTTTTTTTGAGACAGTGTCTCACTCCTGTCACCCAGGCTAGAGTGCAGAGGTGCGATCTCAGCTCACTGCAGCCTCAACCTCCCGGGCTCAAGCAGTCCTCCCACCTCAGCCCCCTAAGTAGCTGGGATTACAGGCGCAAGCCACCACACCCAGCTAATTTTTGTATTTTTCTGGAGACGAAGTTTCACCATTCGGTAATCTGCCCCCCTCGGCTTCCCAAAGTGCTGGGATTACAGGCGTGAGCACCGCGCCTGGCCTGAATGCTGTACTTTCACATAAGCTATAAAACAGGACAAGTGGTATCCTCATGTAAAACATGTAAAAACACACGCGGGCAGTTTAGCTGAAAACATTATTCACTGTAACAGAGTCAACTGGCCAGGGCGGTGGATGTGGGAGACACTCTGAGGCCTCTGGACTAGATGATCTGTGAAGGAATGTTCTACTTCAGTCCTTTGACCAATGCCTCAGAGCAGGCATTTTATAAATATTTGCTGATGTGTGTATAAAAGCATTTGTACCTATACTTTACCAGTGGGAGGAGAATATTGGCAGTTAGAGTTTCATGACGTCTTATACATTCGTGAACACCAGAATGGTAAGGGGTGTGGGTGGAGGGTAGGTGGGGACAGCTGAGTTAAAAATAAGGAGAGGGGCTAGACATGCTCTTTTTGCTTCAGTACTTTATTCACTATAGTTATGCCAAGCCAGGTACACATCCCACTTCAAAGGGTTTTTGTAGTACCCCTAGTAATTTTCAGTAAATGTTAGCTATTATTATTATTATTACTATTATTATTGTTATTCTAGAAATGGATAATGGATTCAGAAGTCATGAAAACCAAAACCATATTTCCATAACAAATGCGTGTATAAAGGCCCATGAACATTTTCTTTAAAAGCCACATACTTAAATGTATATATTCGATTTATCCAACTAACTTGCTGCCCTTCATGCCTGTGTCTTTTCCCATAATCTGAACTGCAGACACTTTGTAAAAGGTTCCCTGCCCCAGAATAGTTGTGCAGCGTCAACTCTTGGGTAAATCTAAGAGGGACAGGCCTTTAATTGAGCTGACTTTCCAAGTCATTGAGCTGGACACTGAGGTAGGTTGAGCCATATTTGCTGCTATGAATAATAATACTAATAATAGCTATCATTTACTGAGAGTTTACTATGTGCCAAGTACTCCATTAAGCCCTTTATTTTCATTATTTTATGTAATCTTACAACAATCCTACTAAAATGTACTATTATTACCTCTATTTTCGCTATGAAGAAGCTGAGGCTCAGAAAGATTAAATATAATAATTTTTGTATGATCATTCTGGAACTGTATCATTTTCTGAGTGGAAGCAGACTGAGAAGTGTGGGCAAATTGAAAACAGTAAGACAGAGAGCTTGAACTGGATCAGAATTATAATTCCAGGCATATCTCAGCTAAAATAGTCAAAGCAGGGGACTTTGAGAGATCCTCTGAAGCTCTAGAATGCCACAAGCTCCCAAATTTGAATATTCCTGGCCTCAGCTCAGCACAAGATGCCACAGCCTGGCCATGGCCCACTGCTGTGCTTAGATCCTGAGCAGCCAGGAGCCATCCTTGACTAGTTGATTCAAGAATCACCATCAGCGGTTTGTATCTTCTTGGCTTCCTGAAGAGCCAGGCTTATAGTCTAACAATCATATTCATTACAGCCAATCACAGCATTTTTTGGAGCTGCTCTTTCAATGTCACCTTCAGGTCCTGCATCACATTGAAAAAATATATACATATTAATCTTTCAAGGTTGAATTAGACTCTTGGACCCACTCAAAGTCATTGAGATCTAAGCTTGATGAGAAAGGTGGAGAGCCAGCTAGGTAAATAATATTGAAACTAAATAACATCAGTCACAAAATGTAAGTAAGAAAATGTATTCTGAGGGCAACTTGAAAAGTGGAGAATTGAAGATGTTCAGAGTGAGGACATCATTACTGGGCTCTACGTGTGCCCTCTCGGAGCTATCATTTGGGTGTGTAAGTCCCAGTAAGTGTGTTAAGCAATCACAGTGGATACTTAGTAATATTTTCTTATGGTCCTGTGGCATCTCTCACCAGCTAACTAAATGTCCAGCCTTGATAACTCTTGATTGGTATAAATCAACATTTACTAAGTGTCTGTTGAGTGACAATGAGCCAGTCACTCAATACGTTAACATATTTTTTTTCTCACAACAGCCCTGTGAGGAACTTGAGATTATAATCCCATTTACCAGATCAGGAAACTGAAACCATGAGCAAGCCCTAAACTACCTATTTCCTCAGCAAATTAGTTTTTAAGTGAAAGTGATGCTGAAGAGAATGCTTTCTTTACACCATCACAGTTGCTTCAGTCTTGGCTTTTCCAACCTCTCTCCAAGCAGAATATTTAGGGAAAACAGAACTTTCTCACTTCTAAATCAATCAAATGGCATGCATATGTTATAACCTCTTCTCAAATCAGAGAATGAATTTTTTAGGCAAAAAAATCTAAAGTTGTTTTACTTTACAAATATTTATGAACTGTATTAGATTTCTTTACTTCTCTAAGAAATGACAAGAAATAATGTGATTTATTTTAGATAGGCTTTAAGATTATTTAAAAGCTCTTACATTTAGAGGATAGTACCTGAATCACAGATTGTATATTATTCCTAAGTCTCATTAGAGTTTTCTAGGAGAAAGTCATCCTTATACCTACCAGCTAGTAGAGTATCTGCCAATAGAATTTATAGTGCAAGAGTGACCATTAACTCCTATATCTTTAAAGCACATTTCTCTTAGAGACCTTGACAGTTTAGACATAGGGCAAAAGCTTCATTTATTGACTTTTACTTGAAGAAGATGAAAAGGGTATTTTGAAAAGAAATAGTAATAAAAATAAAGGTTGAATCCTAACAGCCTTCAAAGAGGAAGATGATAATACCATGCATATGGCAGTTAAATATATTTTTCCTTAGTATTAAATATTATATCATATTGAATGCCTGAAGGTATTAACAAAAACATCCCTATACCTTATAAAATCAGATGTGACACTATCTAAGGCAGTATTTTCAAACTAATGGTTACAACTCTGAAGCACATTGTTAAATCTATTTAGTGGGTCATGAGCAGCATTTTTTACAAAAAAAAATGAATAGAACAGATTATTTTTGAAAATAAAAGATTAGAATAAAATAGAATGTATCAGCATGCATAACACATGGTAAAGTTTTATATTATGAATGTTAATTCCATATGCACTACTGTTTCCTTATCAAATAGAATAGTGCTTGGATCATAACAGGCAACAGAGGAATATTTGTTGTTAAATGAATGAATGAATGTATATGTGTGTGTGTGTGTGTGTGTGTGTGTGTGTATGTAGATATATGTATACATATGTATGTGCATGCATGTATGTGTTTGTGTGTGTATATATATGTATATATATAGTAGAGATTGGGTTTTGCTATGTTGCTCAGGCTGGTCTTGAACTCCTGGCCTCAAGTGATCCTCCTACCTCAGCTTGCCAACGTGCTGGGATTGCAAGTGTGAGCCACCATGTCCAGCCTAATTTTTTATTAATCCTTTATACTAAATCATAATGTAAAATGTACTTCTTACTGTAGGACAGGCTAAAAACTTTGGAAAACTGTGTGTGTGCGTACATATCCATATGTATATATGAATATATATATATAGGCATATATATAGACACATACATGTATACACATACACATAGACATATATAATACATAATAATTGCACATACATATATCTAGTGTTTTAGGACAAATTTCCTAGAAGCAGAGCTGAGATAGGCATTTTAGTGACATATTGAGAGAGTGCTGGCAGGGGACACCTGTAAGGCAGGGACATTAGCTGAATAAGACAGTGGAGAGAAAGCAAGGCAAAGCTGTGGTTTCAAGAGTCTAGCCTCCCAGCCTTCTCCAGGAAAGGCAGCTCCCATCAGCCAAGAGCAATCCCCATCCAGAGGAGTGGGCAGTGACAAGGCTGACTCCTCTCAGCTAATAACTTTTTATTCATTTAATCATCGAATACTTTTTGAGCGCCTACTCCATGCCCAGAACTGAGGGAAGCCCTAGAGTCTGAACCAATCTCATAGAGATTATAGTTTACTAGATCAAAGTCCAACTGCAATTTTTTAAAAAAGGTGAAATACATATGATAGAAGCCTTTGTAATAGGAAAAGTGGTTATTTCCATCATAAATCGAATTCCTCATATGACCTTCGAGTTTCTTTTATGCCTCAGTTTTCCTAGAATTTTAAACTTTCCACAATGAAACCAGCACATGCATTTAAAATGAGGTGATATGCATGTGGAGTTATATATTGGGCTTGATTAGCAGCCTAAAGGAATTTTTAAATATACCAATATTTTTCAAAAATATGTAAAATAGGCTACAAGTTTAAAGTTTGCAATCATAAAAATAATTATATGAAGTGGCAAAAACCCTGTCAACTATGCTATTGATATGGAAATAAAAAGTTACATTTCTGAAGAAGAGAATTTAGCAGAATCTTAACAAAGCCAACCAAGCAAAACAATTTCTAATCTACTGCTGGATTCTACATAGTCTCCTAATTTTAAATGATGTTTTAAATATTTGGGTGATTAAAATACGAAGCTACAAAACCTGATTTTATGAGACTTGTGGAAATACATTAATACTAAAGAACAGTGAAAAAAATCTAACTTATTCTCATTCTTGCACTATCCTCATATTGTTTTTTTCAAGAGTGCATCAAAAATTTCTACCTTTCCAATATGAGTCCAAAATGTAGATTTAATCATGTCACTCACTGGCCCCACCACCCTCACTACCTCCAGCTTATTTACAGTTTGGAACCAACCGACCTTCTTTTCTTTTTTCTTTTCTTTTGTTTTTTTTTGAGACAGAGTCTTGCTGTGTTGCCCAGGCTGGAGTGCAGTGGCCCTATCAGGGCTCATTGCAACCTCTGCCTCCCCTGTTCAGGCAATTCTCCTGCCTTAGCTTCCCGAGTAGCTGGAATTACAGGTGTGCACAACCACACCCGGTTAAGTTTGGTATTTTTAGTAGAGTCAGGATTTCACCATGTTGGCCAGGCTGGTCTGGAACTCCTGACCTCAAGTAATCCGCCTCCCAAAGTGCTGGGATTACAGGCATGAACCACTATGCCCAGCCAGGAGACCACACTTTGAACAGCAAAGTCTAGTACCTTGATTCTCAAACTTGACTGCATTTGGAATTACGCACCGATATCTAGGTCCCATCACCAGATACTCTGACTTTTCTGGTATGAGGTGCAATGGATCATGGAGAGTTTTAAAACTCCGCAGTTGGTTCTAATGTATAACAAAGTTTAAGAAACATTGGTTTAATATATACCCCAGGTCTGATAATTAGGTCCTTGATTGTTCTACTTTGTGTGAGATCTAGTCTCAAAAGTCTACATAACATGATTATCGCCATTCTCACTTCCCCCTGCCTGGACCCCCACCAAATCACACACTGGAGCATTTCCTTGAATGGCTGGTAAAGATCTGCTAAATTTGGAACGTTTTCCTTGATGCTGATTACAGTTCCTGCTTGCCTGGATCTTTAAATCTGGGCTCTGACATTGTTGGCTCTGAGATTTCCTATCATGGCATTTTTCTCCTGCCCATCAAATATTTATTATATAGCATTCTATAGCCACATAAGAAATATTTGATAGCATACATTTAAAAAGAATCATTCATTTATTTATTCAATTAAATCCTTTACCAAGTACCTATTATGTGTCAGGCAATGTAATAGAATCTGGGGATATGGCATTAAACAAAACAGACAAAGTAAAGCCCCTAGCCTATTGATACCTATATGCTAATGAGAGAGACGACTACAAAGCAAACACATATTTAGACTGAGCTTAAGTAGTGGTAAAAGTTATGAACAAAAATAAAATAAAAGGATAAAGAGCGACAGAGTCAGACATTTCACATGGGATGGCCTTAGTAGGACCTCCTGTGCAGGAACTATTGGAGCAAGACCAAAATGAGGGTAGGGAGAAAGCACACACATCTGGAAGGAAGAAAATTTCAAACAGAGGGAAGAAGGGCAAAGGCTCTGAGTGTGCAGCTTGGAGTGTTTAGGGTAGAGTAAGAAAGTCATAGGCCCGGCACGGTGGCTTATGCCTGTAATCCCAGCACTTTGGGAGGCCGAGGCGGGCAGATCATGAGGTCAGGAGATCGAGACCATCCTGGCTAACATGGTGAAACCCCGTCTCTACTGAAAACTACAAAAAATTAGCCGGATGTGGTGGCAGGCGCCTGTAGTCCCAACTACTCGGGAGGCTGAGGCAGGAGAATAGCGTGAACCCGGGAGGCGGAGCTCGCAGTGAGCCGAGATCGTGCCACTGCACTCCAGCCTGGGCAACAGAGACTCCGTCTCAAAAAAAAAAAAAAAGTCATTGTGGGCAGAGTTGAGGGAGCAAAGGGGCTATGTTAGGAGGTGAAAAGGTGGGCAGGGGCCGGATTAGGGACAGCCAGATCAGACATAGTAAGGTCTTTTATTCTAAGTGGGATGGAAGTCATTGGAGGGATTTGAGCAAGGGATTTAAAAAGGATTGACTTGGCTATAATAGATTTTTTTATATACCAAAGTCTATTTGACAATGTTTGTCTAGCCTTTTCAATTGCTAACCTGATTGTGAATGTTTTAGGATATACTACAGAGGAGGTTTATCAGACCAGATGGTTCTCCACTCCTTTCATTTGTTTGATGGTTAGATAACTGTTCTTCAACTCTTTAGTCCCAATATACAGAGAGAAACCGTGAGCTTTTATATGGGCTGCATCTTTGTAAAATTCTACCTTGGCTTTTAAAATATAGATATGAGTGAATGGATAAGGTAATCTCTCCTTTAAAAGGAGTGCTCAAATATCTCACACATCCCATCTGGATGCCTAACAGGTATCTCAAACATAATGTAGTCAAAAGAGAACATGCTGGGCGGGCGCAGTGGCTCATGCTTGTAATCCCAGCACTTTGGGAGGCTGAGGCTGGCAGATCACTTGAGTTCAGGAGTTCAACACCAGCTGGGCCAACATGGTGAAACCCTGTCTCCACTAAAAATAAAAAAATCAGCCAGGCATGGTGGCACACACCTGTAATCCCAGCTAATTGGGAGGCTGAGGCAGGAGAATCACTTGAACTGGGGAAGGGGAGGTTGAAGTGAGCCTAGATCACATCACTGCACTCCAGCCTGGGTAACAGAGCAAGACTCTGTCTCAAAAAAAAAAAAAAAAAAAAAAAAAGAGAACCACCGATTTTCTCTACCAAATCTACTTCTCTTGATTTCAGTAAATAGCACCACCATCTAACCAGTTGTTCAGGTCAAAACTGAGTTGCCATCTTAGATTCCTCTCTCATCCTCATCTAATCCATCGTTAAGTCTTGTTGTTTCCACCTCCAAAATGTTTCATCAATTAACCACTTTCACCCGCACTACTGCTACAACATTTATCTCTACCACCATTTGCAAGGCTAAGGGTAAGGTCAACCAGACACCCAAATCATGATGAAGGCGGTAGTAACATAAATGACTCTGGACTTCAAAGGAGTGTTCTGGGCTAGAGATATCATTTGAAAGACTTGCGGGTGCCAGTAGTATTTAAAGCCATAAGACTGTATGAGATAACCTAGGGAGTATATAAAAATGAGAAAATGTTCCAGGCCCAAGCCCTGGAGCACTCCAAGAAAGAAGACTGTGTAAGAGTCCCAGAGAGATAGTAGAAGAATCAAAAGAAAGTGGTATTCAGGAAGCCAAGGCAAGAGAATGTTTCAAAAGGAAGAAGTGATCAGTTGTGCCAAATACTTCTTATAGATTAAGATGAGGACTAATATTAACCACCGAACCCAATTAATCTCTTGCCCAGACTACTACAAAAGCTTCCTAATCTATCTTGCTCACTCTCATTAGGCCTCTTTATGGACTGTGTTCCACAAAAAATCCACAGTGATCTTTCCGAAGCTTAATCATATCAGAGAACTTCTCCACTTAAACCCTTCAATGGCTACCCATTGCAAGTGGACTTTAAAAAGGCAAAGTTACACATCATCTGGCTTCTGCTTGCCTCTCTGAATTTATCTCCCTCCATGTTCCCCCCACTATGCTCCAATTATGTTAGCTTTAAGTTAGCTATCTTGTTTTTTTTTTTTTGGTTTTTTTGTTTGTTTGTTTGTTTTTGAGATGGAGTCTCGCTCTGTCACCCAGGCTGGAATGCAGTGGTGCGATCTTGGCTCACTGCCACTTCTGCCTCCTGGGTTCCAGTCCCAGCCTCCCGAGTAGCTGGGATTATAGGCACACGCCATCACGTTTGGCTAATTTTGTATTTTTAGTAGAGACGGGGTTTCACCATGTTGGCAGGCTGGCCTCCAACTTCTTACCTCAGGTGATCCACCCACCTCGGCCTCCCAAAGTGCTGGGATTACAAGCATGAGCCGTCGCGCCTGGCCTATGTTAGCTTTCAGTTAGATTCTGTAGAAGATACACACTGTTGATGGCCTATCCTTATCCTGCCTGCAGTTGAAGAGTTTTCAGCATTCTGACAGTTTCTCATCTTTAGCACTGTGTCTCTTTTTGTGTTTGCCTGAGGGCTTTCTTCAGGGGTTTGCTTGACCTCCACAGGTGCAACCTAGAAGTGCTGGGGCTTAACACCCAAGAATTATACTCAACCAGTGAGATAGGGGAGAAGGCAGATACATAGCCTATCCTCTTGGTCTCTGGTAGGATGATCCGGAGTTAAGTTCCAAGTGGTTTATCAAAGGAGCCCCAGAGCCCCAGGGGAAATGAGCCTCCGTCATCCACAGCAGTAACTTACTTATAACATACCCTTTATTGGCTTTCCTCTCTCCGTGTTCGCCTTCTCCATTTCCCCTCTGGTGCTTCCTGGGGTGACTTCCCAAATAAACTACCTGCACTCAGTCTTTATCTCAGGGTCTATTATAAGAAATTCGAAGGAAGACGCATGCCCAGCCTCTTCTCAGCCTCTAGCTTTTGCAGGTGCTCTGCCTTCGACTTAGAAAGCACTTCTCTCAAACCTTTGCATGTCATCTTATCAGTGGATGTCTTAGTCCCTTTGGGCTTCTAGAACAAAATGCCAGAAACTAGTAAGCTTATAAACAAGAGAAATTTGTTTCTCACAGTTCTGAAGGCTGGGAAGTCAAGGGTCAACGTGCAGACAGACTTGGTGTCTCGTGAAGAGCTATTTCCTGGTTCACAGATGGCACCTTCTAGCTATGTGCTCACAAAACAGAAGGGGTAAGAGCTCTCTCTTGAGCTCCTTTTATAAGGGCCCCAATCCCATTAATGAGGGCTCTTGTGACCTAATCACCTCCCAAAAGGCCCCACCTCCTAAGATATCACATTGGGGCATAAGATTTCAATGTGTGGATTTGTGGGGGGCACATTCACACCACAGCAGTGGGCTTCAACCTGAATGTTTCATCATTAAAGAGCTCCCTGTCCCTTTGGTTCAAGTAGCTTCCATCAGTCACTCTATCCCTGTTGCAACTTCTTTATAGCATCAGTCAGTGCTAAAAGTTATCTGATTTATCATTCCATGAGTTTATCAGCTGCCTCACTTCTTCCGTCCTCACACTCAGCACATATCCCAGACACAGTCATGAGACACAACATTGTAAGAATTCCTTAAAGGCACAGACTGTCTCTCAGCTTCCTTGCTCAGCCCCTAAAACAGTATCCAGACTAGAGGACCCAGTCAACATTTGTAGACTGGCTGACCTAAGGCCTTGCTTCTCATAGTGGGGTACATGTACTCCTCCCCTGGCTGCTCGGTGTTACATCAGAGAGTCTGTATTTACATATCCAAGAAGCACAAAATATAACATATCTTCTAGAAACATAAATTTGATCAGAAACAAAGTGTATATATATGTGCATATTTGTGTATGGGTGTAGGAATATGTATGTGTGTGTATGTATGTAGGAAATATTTAAATCATTTACTTTTTAATAATTAAATTTTTATTTTTAAATTTAAACAAACATATCTTATGGAGTAACATGGGAGATTCTCATGGGCTTTTATGATAAAATAAGTGTTCACTGTCCCTTGCTTTAGGGGTACTTTGATGGGAAAGTCTAAAAGCCTTCCTCGGAGGGACCCATACTCTAATTGGAAAAGGGAGGAAACTCTAATGGGAATGGATGGCTACACAAACTGTCCCTATTTTTTTCTAAATTTTTACCATGTTCTCGGGAGCTTTAAAGCCATTACCCATACGTCCCCATTTTCTGGCCCAGTTTTCCCCAAACTGAGCTCGCCAGAACCATTAATTTATGTTCTCTAGAGATTAATGAAAATCTGTACTCAAATAAGACTGGAAACAGTAGACTAAACCTCCTTAGAGCCTTTAGTAAATGCTAATGTGCATTTTCATATACCAAAGAAAAATACTGTGTAATATACTCTTCTTCAAAATTTATTTGACCCTGTAATCCTTTTTAGAGTTTGTTGTTGGTGTTCAAACAGAGTCTCCCTCTGTCGCCCAGATGGGAGTGCAGTGGCGCGATCTTAGCTCACTGCAAGCTGTGCTTCCCTGGTTCAAGCAATTCTCCTGCCTCAACCTCCCGAGTAGCTGGGATTATAGGCACATGCCACCACATCTGGCTAATTTTTGAATTTTTAGTAGATTTGGGGTTTCACCATGTTGGCCAGTTTGATTGGTTGGTCTCGAACTCCTGACCTCAAGTGATCCACCCGCCTCAGCCTCCCAAAGTGCTGGGATTACAGGCATGAACCACTGCACCGGGCTTGTTGTTTTTCAAGTTGGGAAGCACTGCACTGACCCAAAAGGAATAGGATGGTATTCCAACCCTAAGCACATTTCCAGGTCAGATATCCTGCAAAGTGCTTTTCATAGGAGCTTGTATACCTGTGAGGTAAAGGAATAGTTATTCCTTTAATCTTCACAAAAGCCTTCCAGGTAGGAATTATAATCTTCAATTTCTGAAGAGAATATTGAGAAGTGAAATAATTTGACCCAGCTTCCACGGCTAGTAGGTAGTAGAAAGAGGATTCGAAACCATGTTGACCTGGTTCCAAGGGCCCTTTCTTCCACTTAGCACAGCTGAAAAACAACTGAAATGTTCAGAAGGAGCTTCTGCTGAAGCTACTAAAGAAAAGGATTTCTAGATTTCTAGATGTTCTTCTCAAAAATAACGAATGTATCAAAGGGGGTGGGGAATAAATATTTAATATTTTAAATGATTGCTCATTTCAACTGATCTTTTGAACTTATTGTTTGTAAAATATTGTTTTATATTCTTAGAAATAATTATTTTTAGACAATTGCGTGGAATTTTGAAGAAACAGACATTTCTGTTTGAATGCACTGTATATAATCAGTCCACACATGTTTCAATACATGGAAAACTGAAAATTTTTTCTGTGGCAAGATTTAAGAGATTAATCATACACATTTCTGAAGTAATTATGAACATATTAACTTAAAATTCAGCGTACCATACACCTAGTGAATGTCCAGTTTGTGGGCCTAAGAAAGCATACTTTAAAAGGTATGCTTTTTTTTTTTTGTCTAACTAACAAGTACACATTGACTAGGTAAACTCTTTGTTGAATTTGAATTGGGACTTAAATATAGAGTCATTCACCATGTAACTGTGGTTTGGTCAATGACAGACTTCATATACCGTGTTGGTCCCATTAGATGATAATGGGGCTGGAATTACTTCCAACTTCCTCTCAGAGACCACGCAAGCAAGAAGAGAGTGGAATAAAATCTGTAAAGTAGTGAGAGAAAAAAAAAACTCACCAACTTTGAATTCTGTACCCTGCAAAATTATCCTTCAAAAGTGAAAGAGAAATAGACTTTCTTTGGCAAACAATAATAGAAGGAAATTGTTACCATTAGACCTGCCTTGCAAGGAATGTTCTTTAGAGAAAAGGAAAATGAGAAAGGTCAGAAACTCAGATCTACATAAAGAAAGGAAAAGCATTAGGGAAGCAATAAGTGAAAGTAAAATAAAAACTTTCATTTTTCTTATTCTTAATTGATCTAACAGATAACAGTTTGTTCAAAACAATAATAGCAACAACATATTTGATTGTGTATATGCATGTATATGGCTATTTATACTTGTATAAGTGCGATAAATAACAGCTATAATAAAAGCAATGAGAGGGAGAAATTAGAATTATTTTAGTATTAAAAGGAACTCATACTACCCTAGAAATGACATAATGTTATTTGAAAGTGGACTTGGATTAGTTGTAAATATGTATACTGCAAACTCTAGGGCAGCCACTGGAAAAAAACTTTAAAAACAAGTATAACTGATATGCTGATAAAGGAGAGAAAATGGAATCATAAAAATTATTCAATTAAAACCACAAAAGGCAGAAAAAGAGTGGAAGACAAAAACAGGGGCACAGAACAAGGGCAGCAAGTAGAAAACTAACCTGAGCACATAGCGAAACTCCATCTCTACAAAAAAATACAAAAATTAGCCTGGCATGATGGTGTGTACCTATAGTCCCAGCTACCTGGGGAGCTGAGGTGAGAGGATCGCTTGAGCCCAGGAGTTCAAGGCAGCAGTGAGCCGTGATCACCCACTGCGCTTCAACTTGGGTGGCAGTGAGACCCTGTCTCAAAAAGAAAAGAAAAGCAGCAAGACCCAAGACCCAATTCTATGTCTCTGTAAGAAAGTTACTTCTTTTATTGTTGTTGTTGTTGTTTGAGACGGAGTCTCACTGTATTGCCCAGGCTGGAGTGCAGTGGTGCCATCTCAGCTCACTTCAACCTCCGCCTCCCAGGTTCAAGCCATTCTCCTGCCTCAGGCTCTTGAATAGCTGGGATTTACAGGCACCCACCACTATGCCTGGCTAACTTTTGTATTTTTAGTAGAGACGGTGTTTCACCATGTTGGCCAGGCTGGTCTCGAACTCCTGACCTCAGGTGACCAATCCACTTCAGCCTCCCAAAGTGCTGGGGTTTCAGGCATGAGCCACTGGGCCCCACCAGAAAGTTCCTTTAAATATAAAGACATATAGATTAAAAGTAAATGGATGTAGGCTGGACACAGTGGCTCATGCCCATAATCCTAACACTTTGGGAGGTCAAGGTGGGAGAACTGCTTGAGGCCAGGGTTTCAAGATCAGTATGGCCAATGTAGTGAGACTCCATCTCTACAAAAAAAAAAAAAAAAAAAAAAAAAGATGAAGGTATATGACACTAACATTAATCAAAAGAAAGCAGTAGTAACTATATTAATCTCAGACAGAGCAGACTTCAGACCAAAGAGAGTTATTAGAAATAGAGGACATTATGTAATGATAAAGGGGTCTATTTTTTCCAAGAAGACATAACAATCCTTAACATATATGCACCTAACAACAGAATGTAAAAATATATGAGACAAACTCTTTCACTTCACAGCATAATGCTGTGATAACTATTTCACAATCGGTAGTTTCTGCAGATTATTTATACTCACTTTAATTTAACCCAGGATGCTAGATTACCTACTAACTAAATAAGGAGGAATCTGTGCAATTGATGGCACTTCTTCTTACACGTAAATAAAATACATTGAGTATTATAGAGCAGATGACATGGTTAAAATGAGTAGACTCCTCGTCTGGTCATTTGATTTTAGTTGATTCGGTTCATGGGGACTCTGGCTAAGGAACATATTTCAAACTCTTGGTATTATCCTCCTGATAATCATAGTAGTAGTCTCTCTGGTACCCTGTATCCTCTCAAAGTTTTAAACATTTCCATACAGCCATCTGCCAAACGTCAAATGGTATCTCTCCAGCTGGAAAAACAGAAACTCAAAGAAAACACATGATAATGAGGAGGCCACCATTGCCTATAAATGGCAAAATGATGGTAATTGAGAGTAGTCCTGATGCCCTAAATTTTGGTCATGCTCTCACTGAGGTGAGAGAAACCTAGATGAGCATGACCAAAAGGAGAAATTGTCAAATAAAAAATTATAGGGCCGGGCGCGGTGGCTCACACCTGTAATCCCGGCACTTTGAGAGGCCGAGGAAGGTGGATCATGAGGTCAGAAGATCGAGACCATCCTGGCCAACATGGTGAAACCTCCCCCTACTAAAATTCAAAAAATTAGCTGGGCGTGGTGGCGGGTGCCTGTAGTCCCAGCTACTTGGGAGGCTGAGGCAGGGGAATCACTTGAACCCGGGAGGCGGAGGTTGCAGTGAGCCAAGATGGCACCACTGCACTCCAGCCTAGCGACAGAGCCAGACTCCATCTCAAAAATAAATAAATAAATAAATAAATAAATAAATAAATAAATTACAGAAGCCATTGTTTCAGACTAAGCTCCTATACTAGACCCCAACAGACCAGGCTAAAAATCAAAATGAAGTCACTCATGCTAAAGTTCCACATTACCAGACCTAAACTGCTATCCAACCTTCCAAAAATCAGGAACTAGAGAGCACAGCCGATTTCCCAGATAGGCCAGTTTAAATCTCCAATTGACATGAAAATAAAGTTTCCTCTGCTTTAGTCCTTACAAAAAAACAGTAGCCTAAAAGGAAGTAACCTGATGTTAACTAATTAGTTATTTTTCTATTGTTCTGTCTTCCTGTTCCTGCCCTATGAGAAACAACTTTGAAAGGATTAATATATTCTTTGTTCTTTGCTTCTGCTTTCTTTAGCCCTTCTCTATCTATAAAGCCAAGCTTTTCTTCTCAGCTCATTGGAACACTAATTCTATTTATGGAATGAAGTGTTGCCTGATTCTAGAACCACAAAGTCAATTGAGATCTTTTTAAAAATATATATAAGGCAAATATCGACAGAACTGCAAGGAGAAATAGATAGTCCACTATTATAGTTGAAGACTTTAACACCCCTGTATATGAAATGGACACATCCAGTAGGCAGAAAATCAGTAGGGGTTTTCAGGATGATACTGTACAGTGCCATCAATCAACTAAATATAATCAACATCCATAAGCTACTTTATCCATCAATACCACTATACACATTCTTCTCAAACTCACATTGGAATATTCACCAACAGAGACCACATTCTGGGTCATAAAACAGACCTTAACAAATTATGAGAATAAAGATCATACAGTATATGTCTGATCTTAGACCAAAAGGGAATTAAACTGAAAATCGACAACAGAAAAATAGCTGGAAAATCCCCCAAAAAACTTAGAGACTGAACAAGCACATTTCTACATAGCACATGGGTCAAAGAAGACATGTCAAGAGAAATTTAAAAATACTTGAAACTAAATGAAAATGAAGACAAAGTTTTGAAAATTTGTGGGATGCAGAGAAAGTAGTGCTCAGAGGGAAATTTATAGCATTGTGTGCATATATTAGGAAAAAGGAAATATCTAAAATAAATCACCTAAGCTTCTACCTTAGGAAACCAGAAAATGAAGAGCAAATGAAATCCAAAGTAGGCAGAAGAAATGAAATAATAAGCATTAGAGCAGAAATTAATCAATAAATTAAAAATAGAAAATTAGTATGAAAATCAACAAACCAAAATCTGGTTTTCTAAAAATACCAATGAAATTGATAAGCCTGTAATTGGACTAACTAGGGAAATAAAGAGAGAAGACACAAATATGATAAATAAAAGAAAGTACATCACTACAAATCCCATAGACATTAAAAGGATGATAAAAGAATACTATGCAGCCTGGCCAACATGGCAAAACCCTCTCTCTACTAAACATACAAAAAAAAAAAAATTAGCCAGGTGTGGTGGTGGGCACCGGTAGTACCAGTTACTTGGAAGGCTGAGGCAGGAGAATGGCATGAACCCAGGAGGCGGAGCTTGCAGTGAGCTGAATTTGTACCACTGCACTCCAGCCTGGGCGACAGAGCGAGACTCTGTCTCCAAAAAAAAAAAAAAAAAAAAAATTAGCCAGGCATTGTGGTGCATGCCTGTAGTCCTAGCTGCTTGGGAGAATGAGGCAGGAAAATCACTTGAACCCAGGAGGCAGAGGTTGCAGTGAGCTGAGATCATGCCACTGCACTCCAGCCTGAGTGACAGAGCAAGACTCTGTCTCAAAAAAGAAAAGAAAAAAAAAAAAAGACCAATTCCTTCAAAGACACAACCTGCCAAAACTCATACAAAAAGAAATAGAAATTTGAATAGTCCTATATCTATTAAAGAAATTGAATCAATAATTAATAACCTTCCAAAACTGAAAGCACCAGGCTCAGATGAATTCACTGGTGAGTTTTACCAAATATTTAAGGAAAGATATTATAAGAAAAAGAAATTACAGACAAATCTCTCACATGAACCAAGATGCAAAAATCTTCAACAAAATATTGGCACACCAAATCCAAAATGTACAAAGAGAATTCATACCAAATCAAGTTAGGATTTATTCCAGGTATGCAAAACCGATTAAACATTCAAAAATCAATTAATATAATAATCACATGACATGAACGGGTTAAGAAGAAAAATCCCATGATCGTGTCAATAGATGCATTAAAAAATCTGATAAAATTCACCACCAATTTGTTGTAAAAATTCTCAGTAAACCAGATATAGATAGGAACTTCTTTAATTTGATGAAAAATACGAAAAAGAAATCCTACAGCTAACATCTTACTTAGTGGTGAGAAACTCAAAGCTTTCTCACCAAGATCAGGAATAAGGCAAGGGTATCCCCTGTCATCACTGCTTTTCAATATCATACTGAAAGTCATAGCAAATGCACTAAGACAAGAAAAGGAAATAAAAAGTATACAGATTGGGAAGGAAGAAATAAAGCTGTCTTTTTCATTGATGACATGGTAGTCTATGTAGAAAATCCAAAAGAACTGACACACACAAAAAGACTTCCCGGGACTAATAAGTGATTATAGCAGGGTTGTGGGATACAAGGTTAACACACAAAAGTCAATCACTTCTCAATATACCAGCAATGAACAAGTGGAATTTGTTTTTGTTTGTTTGTTTTTTGAGACAGGGTCTCGCTCTGTTGCTCAGGCTGGAGTGCAGTGGTACAGTCATGGCTCACTGCAGCCTTGAACTCCTGGGCTCAAGCAATTCTTCTGCCTCAGTCTCCTGAGTAGCCAGGACTACAAGTATGTGCCACCATACCTAGCTAATTTTTATTTTTTAGAGATGGGGTCTCACTATGTTGCCCAGGCTGGTCTTAAGCCCCCAGACTCAAGCAATCCTCCTGCCATGGCTTCCCAAAGCTGTGGGATTATAAGCGTAAGCCACCATCCCCAGCCACAAGTGGAATTTGAAATGAAGAACTCAATAGCATTTGTGTTAACACTCCCCAAAATTAAATACATAGGTGTAAATGTAACAGAATATGTACAAGATCTATATGAGGACAACTACAAAACCCTGATGAATGAAATCAAAGACTAACTAAATAAATGGAGAGAGATTCCATATTCATGGATAAGAAGACTCAATATTGCCAAGATGTCAGTTCTTCCCAACTAAATCTATAGATTTAAAGCAATCTCAATTTGTCAAAATAATTCTGGCAAATTATTTTGTGGATATCAACAAACTGATTCTAAAGTAACCAACATAATATTGAAGGAAGAGAACAAAGTTGAAGGACTGATTCTACCCAACCTCAAGACATACCATAAATTTACATTAATCAAGACACTGTGGTATTTGTGGAAGAAGAGACAAATAGATCAAAGAAACAGAATAGAGCCCAGAAATAGACCCACAGAAATATAGTCAACTGATCTTTCCAAGAGGAACAAAGGCAATATATTGGAAGAAAGTCTTCTCAACAAATGGCGCTGAACAACTGACATCTACATGTAAAAAATAAATGTAAACCCAGAGCATACACCCTTTACAAAAATTAACTCAAAATGGATCATCAATCTAAATGTAAACCACAAAAGTATAAAACTCCTAGAAGATAACGTAGGAGGAAATTTGATGGCATTGGGTTTGGAAACAGCTTTTTAGAAGGAAAAACAAAGGCATAATCTATGAAAGAAAAAAATTGATAAAGTGGACTTCATTAAGATTTAAAATTTCTGCTTTGCAAAAGACACTGGCTAGAGAATGAAAAGAGAAGTCACAGACTGGGAGAAAATATTTGTGAAAGATGTATCAGATAAAGAACTGTTACCTAAAATATACAAAGAACTCCTAAAATTCAACAATAAGAACACAAACCCGATTTAAAAATGGGCCAAAGACCTTAACAGGCACCTCCCCAAAGAAGATATACAGATGGCAAATAAGCATATGAAAGATGTTCCATGTCATATGTCATTATTATACATTCATTCAAACCCATAGAAGGTACAAAATCAAGAGTGAACCCTAATGTAAACTATGGACTCCCGGTGATGATGTATCAAGGTAGGTTCATCAGTTGTAACAAATGTACCACACTGGTTCAGGATGCTAACAATGGAGAAAGTTACACATGTGGGAGTATAGGAAGGTATATGTAAAATCTCTGTGCCTTCTATTCAATTCTGCTGTGAACCTAAACCTGCTCTAAAAAAATAAAATTTATTTAAAAACAAAAATCACTTAGACCCCTTGTAGCTCTCACATTCATATATTGTTGATAGGTTCACTGCCATATAGTTTTACCATATATGATGTAGTCCATTGATTGGTATTTAGTTGTGTCTTATTTATTTTTTTCAGAACATATTTGATTTTCAGAAGCCTTAGCAATTAAGTATTAATAGTTGTACTGTGCATTTTCTCTCTTATGAAATACATGAGTACAGGCTGGGCATGGTGGTTCATGCCTACAATCCCAGCACTTTGAGAGGCCAAGGCAGGACTATTGCTTGAGGCCAGGAGTTCAAGACCAGCCTGGGCAACATAGCAAACTATGTCTCTACAAAGAATAAAATAGAAGTTATCCAGCCATGGTGGTGCGTGCCTGTAGTCCTAGCTACTTGAGAAGTGGAAGCAGGAGGATCAGTTGAGGCCAGGAGTTGGAGGTTACAGAGAGTTATGATGGCACCACTGCATTCCATTCCAGCCTGGGTGACAGAGTGAGATCCTGTCTCAAAAAAAAAAAAAAAAAAAAAAATTAAATTAAATGCACGAGTACATTACAATAAAAAATTCCAGCATTGCTTTCTAAATTATTCCTCAATTACTACCTTCAATCCCAGAGGTAGAGGCCATCATCATTATCCAGTTTGACTGTGCCTTCCAGAATTTTTCCATGCATGTCCATGCATATATGAACATATATAAGTATATATATATCCTAGGGGTTAAAGGAGAGAAGCATCTTTTTTTAACTTCACAATAGTTATTAGCTATCTTTCCATGACAATGTATATTGATTGTCCTTATTCTCTACAATTGCTACCTAGTGTGTCATGATATGAATGTACCTTATCTTGTGAGTCGTTCTTCACTTGCTGGACATTTAGGTGGTTTCTTTTCCATATTTCCCCCCTCTAATAAATACTGATGCATTGCACATCTTAGCGTGTATCTCTTTGGTCATATGTATGACTCTCCTTTCATAAGGTATTGAGATGAAATTTAATTTTAATATACTGCCAAGTCATCCTCCGAATTACAGTACCAATTCACTCTTCCCATCAGCAAAGCTTGAGAGATTTCCACACTCTAGCCAATACTTGATGTTATCAAAAAACTTAAGTCACTCTAAGGGATAAAAATGTTAATTCTCATTCATATTTTTACTGATTCTTGTATGTACTAGATCTTCTCACTCATCGCAGTGTCCTTCCCGACTCCCATATGGCCTCATGACCTTTGTGGGGTTGTTTGTTTTCAGTGCTCTTCCCTACAGCTAAGTGTTTGCTCAGAAAAAAATCTGATATCACTTGTCTTAATGCAAATTTAAGTCAAGTGGTTACTATTCCTACAGATATTGACATTTCAAACCTCATCTCTAATTGCAGAATAAGAGAGTGTACCAGCAATTTAAATAATCATATAAGAGAAAAATTATTTCTTGGACTAGGAGGTTTTCTCAACTCCAGATATCACACTATTGAGTAAAGGCCCTGGTCACGATCCACTAGGAATGACTTCATGGGTGGAAAATCATAACATTCTGGTTAGAAAACATTTGTTTATGCTAATTGCTTCTCAAATAATCTCAATATCAAAGGATTCTTCAAGTAGCAAATGCACTAAGCTCTGTTCTGAAAGGCAATGTGGTATGGCTGTGGAGGGAAAATGAGATACTAGAGTTCTGCAACAAAATTCATTCATATTAATTAACAGGAGCCATAGTGAGGCACGGTTGTACATTTATGGGTCAGAAATATTTTCCTCCCAGTTTATGTGTGGAATCAGACATCTCAACCAGTCAGTAGGTCCTTTTTTGGAATAATAGAGGTCTTCCTATTTTTTCATCAGCAAATATATTGCCTCTGAGGAAGGTCTTTGAGACCAGGATTCATTTTGAAGAAATGTCTGACATAGGCCCTGCCATGCCAGCCTCTCTTGGCCTCAATTTTCTTATTACTTAAATGAAGCTAAAATGCCTTCACCAGCATTACAGGATGATATGAGATTAAAATGTTATGCCTTACGTGAATGTACTTTTATCAACTCTTAAGTGGAGGCTGTAATTATTAAGTAAGTCAACAAACAAAACAACATTTTGAGCACGTATGTGCCTGATACTTATATTTATAGTCACAAAGATCTTGTAAGAATAAATATTGTTGTTCCCAAGAGAAAGTATCAGCTCAAAGAAATTGAGATTCATGCTCAATGTAAATTTGGCAGTAGCAAAAAAAATTCAAACAAAATCTATCTGAATCTAAAATCTAGGTTCTTTTCAGCACATAATCTGCCTTCATCCTTTGACAGCATATCACACATAGTAGGTACTTAATCATTGTATCTCAAATGAATGCAGAAGGGAAAGTTTACCTTGTGTTTGAATGCAGAATTTTGAATGTGATGAGACTTCACCTTATTTAAAGAAGCAGGTTATCTAAGCCATAATTATCAACACAGATTGAGCATCCCTAATCTGAAAATTTGAAATCTGAAATGCTCCAAAATCTGGAACTTTTTGAGCCCCAACATATCCCACAAGTGGATAACTCTACACCTGACCTCATGTGCCATGTCACGGTCAAAACGTAGTGGCACAGCAGTTTATTCAGTGTCCCCAGAGGAAAAATAAAATTACCTTCGGGTAATTTTACATACCTACAGGCTATGTGTATAAGGTGTATATGATACATAAATGAATTTCATGTTTAGACTTTGGTCCCATCCTCAAGGTATCCCAAAAATCTAAAACATTTCTGGTCCCAAGCATTTCAGATAAGGGGTATTCAAGCTCTATTAGTCATAATGCATAATAATTTAAGGTGCACTCTCAACAAGACAACATCTATTGGTGGGTAATGTACCAGAATTTTGACTTACAAAATGGATGGTAGAACTGACTAAACAGGAAGTTGCTATTCCATGCAGTTTCCCCAGGCTGGTGCCAGTACACATTCTGGGAAGATGCGATAACAGCACATTTTACATCTTTATGTGTTGAAACCAATAAATCTTAGCCCTCCAGAAGCACGGCCCTGCTTTGGGGTAAAATTGCAGCCACTGATCTATAATTCAGCTCTGACTTAACTTTCTGCCTTTTTTCTTTTCAGGCAACCTCCACCTATTTAGATGTGGGTCACTAGGTGACAAAATGCAAAGAAAACCAAATGTGGGAGATGATAGGAGCAGCTGATAAACAAGTATTTTGGGATTTCTCCTTTTAAATAGAGTCTGAAAGAGAGAGATTTTATAATAAATGCTGGTTTATATCTGAGAGCCAGCAATGAGATCAGAACCAAGAGGCTATGGCTGTTAACTTAGAGCTGAACTAAGAACCGCCTTTCTATCAGCAGTGACTGTTTCATGCCAACACAGAGGATTAGAACCACAGGACAATGAATCTGACTCCCTCAATTTATAGATTGGAAATTGAAGTCCTGACAGGGGACACAGCTGGGATTCAAACTCACAACTCTAGGCTCAGAGGTCTCTGCTCCGGTGTGCTGCCTTCTGCTACCCACCTCCTTTTCAGCAGCAGCTCTTCACCACTGAGTGCATTGACATGTTGGAGCCTAAATATAAATCCTCTCTGTTTACTGCAGCAAAACAAGGAAAAGACATATCTTTCTTCTCCCAGAACATCGGGCACAAGATCATGCCCAGATGCCATGGTTAATTACAGTTAAAATGTAATGCCACGAGAACGGATTGCACTAGACGGGAGAGGGGATTGAAGAGTTCATGGGTTCCAAGGAGAATAAAATTTCTGATCCTGCTTGAAGGATGGGTTAGCTTTGCACAGCTCTTAGCATATATGTTACATAGTGACATTTCTGTAAAGCCTCAGATTTCATTCTAACCAACCCATTTGGTAGTAGTGGGGAAGAGGCTTCCTAGCCTGAAATAATTGAGAAAAGACATTTAAAGGTATAATTTAAATATGAATGAAAGAAGGTTTCAGGGAGCATATCAGCTCTGCACTCCCAGGGACTTTAACTCAGCTTACTGTACAGGACAAGTGTCTACCTTCAGAGTCCTTTGGACACTTGGAACCGGAGAATGCTGTGCAGTATCACAGGGTTTGCCCAGACCAAGTATTCCAGCTCAGGCATTAAAACCATGCCAGGGTGGTGAAGGCAAGCCAGGAGATCATTTTTATTGACACCAGGCAGTTAACATTCTCAAACTAAATACCCAAAGAAAGGAAGTTCATTTTGGAACTCTCCCACATTTTCCAGACTTCTTCCCTCTTCTGGAATACCCTACCTCTCCTCACCCAAGTTTCCAGAGCCCTAAGGCCTCTACCATCCCAGTCAAAGGTATTCCGCCTTTCACCTAATCCCACCTCTTCTAGACCTACCCTATCCAAAAGTGTACCAAAAACCTTTTCTCGCTGCTTTCCCTGCAGGAGATCTTAAGTGAGATTATCTGATTCAAAGAATTTGCAACAGGGTGAAATCACTGAGAACCTCTATCAACTTGTTTTTCCTATCCCCAAGGACTTACATTTTAAAAGGTCTGTTATCTTATCCCAAGGGAAATCTTTTAATGTGGAAAAGTTATTTTTGAGCTGAGGCCCTAGGCTTCTTGGGCACTATCTACTCCCAACACCAGTCCTGACTAGGGTGCACTAAATGGTTGATTTCCATCTCCATTTCTATTCTCCTGGAATATCTTGTTTCTTTTACTCCACCTCAACTGGATTGTCTTCTCATTTTTAAAAGAGGTCTACAAGAAAGCTAACAGTTAACCCTTTCTGGGTCTGGACTTTGTGCTAAATACAAGTATTATTTACTCCTTTCCCACAACCCCTGAGGGAGCTTTACCATGGTTCCCATTTTAGAGAAAACAGGCTTGGAGGGGTTAAGTAATTTGCCCAAGGTCATGATGAGGAGCACAGCTGTGAGTTAAACGCATTCTCAGCCACTGCATCTGATGGAAAAGCACTGACTCCCGTCAGAAGGCTCACAACTAAGTTGTACTCTGCCACTAAGGAATGATGATCACTAACTGTCTTAATCTTTCTAAAACTCCTTCCTTAACCAGGAAATAGGGAGAAAACAGTAGTATCATGCTGGGCTAAGGTGAGAATTAAATGTAAAATCAATTTATACAATTATACCAAGTTTGTGGGGTTATTTGTGGGTGATAAAAGTATGGCACCTATTCTTAAAAAAAAAAAAAAAAATCACATCCCTGAAGGGAATTTTATTTCAGTGTATATGTGACTTCTACAAAAGATGGACTTGTAATAGACGATAGTAAACTGGGACCCTTTCTGTCTTGTTCTTCACTCAGGCTCTCAACAAATTCTGTTAAATAAATGAATGATTGACTTTTGCTTGGAAAACAGAGAAGGAACATGGCAGGTGAAGGAAGAAGGCTTTGTTAATTGAAAAATTGTGGGCCGGGCCCCCTGGCTCACACCTGTAATCCCAGCACTTTGGGAAGCCGAGGCAGGAGGATCACAAGGTCAAGAGATCGAGACCATCCTGGCCAACATGGTAAAAAAAACCCCATCTCTACTAAAAAAATACAAAAATTAGCTGGGCATGGTGGCACACGCCCATAATTCCAGCTACTCGGGAGGCTGAGGCAGGAGAATTGCTTGAACCCAGGAGGTGGAGGTTGCAGTGAGCTGAGATCGTGCCACTGCACTCTAGCCTGGCAACAGAGTGAGACTCCATCTCAAAAAAAAAAAAAAAAAAAGAAAAAGAAAAGAAAAGAAAAATTGTCACTGATATGAGTTTTAAATGTGACGATCAAGCCCTATGGAGCTAAGTAGTAGCAAGATGTATTCAGACATCACGCTAAAATGAATGATATCTTGTATTAGATTTTAATAGGTCAACAAAATTTTTAAGATTTTTTACTTAAAGACCTATTTAGCACCCTTTAGGCTTGCTAGTGCTACCTTAATCCTACTTGAACTTTTGTACCCCATCTTCCAGACATTTGCAAGTCTTTTTAAAATTGGCCTTGTGGAGAGTATATTTGTTTAGTCCAGTTTCTTTCCCTGCCCCCACCTCCATTTTCTATTTGCAGTTTTTGCCCTCCCTCTTGTACCTGGCATGTTTCCCAAGAAGTGCTTCAGTTGCAAAGAAGGAAAATACTGACAGTGCATAATTTAAATGAGAGAGATGTGCCATGCCACATTTTCATTAAAATTACAGAAAAATCCAAGCTGTGTGGAGTTTAAGGGAGATCAGAATAGAGTCCAAAGTGCTATCATTACATTTTGTAGTGTTTTTTTAGCTCAATAAAGCAGCTGTCCTATATTTGCAAAATAGCTTGGAAATTGTTGGTCGTAGAAAAGGAAAGATGCACACTGGGTTTTTTCTTTCTTCATTTCAGTTTACATTTTCTACTAGTTACAAGAATTAGAAAAAAAAATCAAAATGTATGATTCCTATCATCTCTAATAGCATTTAAGTATCAAACCAAGAATATGTTGAAAAGAGTTTCTAAAAGTAGGTTGGGGCAGAGTCTTGCTAACAAACCAAGAAATTCTTACTCACAGATCAAATACTACGCTGGTTGATAAGTGTAATAAAACAATGGCACTTGCTTATAATGGTCTTTCAGTAAGCAAAATTTTCTGCAAACGTACACAAAACAACCAAATTAAAATGTTATTCTTGAAAAAATGACCTGTAACAAATGTGGAGAATAAAGAATGCCAAAACAATGCTATTTTTCTCAGTAATTGTAGGGTTTCACCACTCTTAAACTCAATCATCCTTTAGACCTAGAGGAGGTTCATTATACTTTGGCATCAATTCATTATATTTTGGTATAAGTTAGAATAACAGAATGCTCCTGTCAACCAGGAGATTTTGTTTGTTTGTTTGTTTGTGTTTGTTTTTAGAGACAGGATCTTGCTCATCACTCAGGCCTACGTGCAAGTGGTGCAATCATAGTTCATTGTAACCTCCAACTCCTGGGTTCAAGCAATCCTTTTGCATAGCTAGGAATAGAGGCACACGCCACTGCACCCAACTAATTTTTTTTTTATTTTTTGTAGAGACAGGGGTCTCACTATGTTGTCCTGGCCTCAATTGAACCTCACACCTCGGCCTCCCAAAGTGTGAGGATTACAGGCGTGAGGCACCACACCACAGCCCAGCTGAGATTTTCATCTCAGTAGTTAATAACTTTTCTCCACATGGCTAATGCCCATTTTGTTATACTACCTTAGAATCTAGACCCCAGAATCAAGTATATCAAACATTAAAAATGATCTTTGCTATTTGAGAATCCAATAAAAAAACAGCAAGAATATTTAGCAATTTCAGAGAAAACTAACTTAAAAGCTACCTTGTTTCAATTGTTCTCCAAATAAACTACATTTCTGTGGTTTCCCAGCTGAAAATATTTAATTCTATATCTCTGAACACAACATCCTTATAAATGTTAAGTCCATTTTCAGCTTTGTCAGTAAGGGGGATTTTTACTTTAACATAGACCTAGAACTTTCATTCCACCAAATCACCCTATGTGTTTGTTTCTATTTTTTCACTTTTAATGATATATTTAATTATATAAATAACACCTGAACAATTAATGTAAAAAGAATAAACAATACAGAAGAATACTGAATAGAAATAAAAATCCACTTGTGCCTTCATTTCATATATAACTAATGTCATCAGATATTTGTTGGTGCTTCCAGACCTTTTATTTTTTAGTTTAAAAATATACAAACCATATGTTAGTGTTTTTATTTGGTTCCTCAAATAAGGTCATAGTAACAACTTTCTTTTCTTTTTAAAAATGTCAACTTTTTATTGTTAATGTAGCACAAATTCAGAAACTATATGAAACAAATATGCAACTTAATGAATTTATGATAGTATACTATTGACATCACAGGGCACCCTACAAGCTTCCGGATGCCCTCTTCCAATCAAAGCCCTCTCCCTCTCCCCAGAGTGAGGGGGTGATTTATTACTTAATGGACATCCTTGAATAATATGGCTTAGTTTTGCCAGTTTTGAATGTTTTAAGTCTCTTTAAATCATATTCTCCTTCCAGCTCTTTCTCATTTTTTTATCATTGCAATTTGTTAATTAAAGTGAATCATTTGATCATTTGTCCTGAACAGATCCCACAGTCTAGATTTTATTAACTGCATTCCCCTGGTGTTATCTAACATATTCCTGTGGTCTCTGTAACTCCTTTAAATTGGTAGTTAATCTAGATGCTTATTCAGATACAATGTCAAGTATATGTATATACATATATATTCAAAATACTTTATAAGTAGTAGGGTATTTTTCATCAAGATGTTGTCTCTTGCAACTTATTTTTTTACCTAATATATCTTGAAGAGTCCTCCTCCATTACTCAGTACATGTAAGTTTATCTTAGTTCTGTATTCCATAGAATGATGTACCATAATTTCTGTATCTTTCCCTTTCTGATAAACCTTTAGGGTTTTTTTTTTTTTCACTTTTATCAACAATGTTACCTTGAACATTCTTACATAGAGACCTTTGTGCATACAAGCAAGAGTTTTGCAGGACAATGACATCTTCAGTCCTTTTCCTCCTGTGTACACCATCAAGAGATCCTGAAAAGGGGAGAATTTCACTCATGGAAGAAACAATAGATCATTTTCTTCAGTGAAATGTGTTTAGGCTGCTTCCCAACACTGGAAAGGGACCTAAGATACAGCAGCAATATCCACAATGGGGTACATACCTACCAGAGGGTAATCAAAAACATCCATTGGGGCATAGGGAAAAAAATATAATTTCTATTTCTATTCATTCTTTTATATGTGTATCTTTTTTAATGTACAGAAGCGTGTGAAAAGAATTTGTAAATATATGTGTGCATGCTTGAAATATTTAATCAATAGGGATGTTCTGAGAAAAAAAGTTTAGATATGGTTGCTATATACATATTTGTTATGTAGAGCTCAGATCCTGAAAAGATGATTGCCTACTGAATATCTCCACCTAAATGACTCGTCATCATCTCAAACTCTACCTGTAAAAAAAATACAATCTGCAATTTTCCCCCTCAGAGTTCAGCTTCTTTCTTTCTTTCTTTCTTCCTTTTTTAATTGAGACAGAGTCTCATTCTGTTGCCCAGGCTGGGGTACAGTGGAAAGTGGTGTGATCTGGGCTCACTGCAACCTCCATCCCCCAGGTTCAAGCAATTCTCCTGCCTCAGCCTCCCAAGTAGCTGGGACTACAGGGGCGTGCCACCACACCCAGCTAATTTTTGTATTTTTAGTAGAGATGGGATTTCACCACGTTGGCCAGGCTGGTCTCGAACTTCTGACCTTAGGTAATCCACCGAACTTGGCCTCCCAACGTGTTAGAATTACAGGCGTGAGCCACCACACCCAGCCTCCGCTTCTTTCTTGATGCCTTTGTTTCCATTAATGACATCAGCAGTGTTCTCTCAGTCACCCAGCCTCGAAACCTTGAGTCATCTTTTGTTTGTTCCACCTTCCATGTCAGTCTTTACAAGAGCTTTTACTTCTGTGCTTCAGCCTTTCCATTACCACCTCCCTTATTCAAGCCCATTTAATGACTGTTGCGGTGAAGGTCTAATTGGTCTCCACTCATTCACTCCCTTTTTAAGCCCATACCTCCTAAAAGACAAATCTTTCTCAATTAAGCTTCTTATCACACCACAAATTTGTTGCAATCCTACATATAATTGTGAGCTGCCAACTAAAAAATGTCAAAACTGCTCCTAGGTATTCAAGAGCCTTCATGCTTTGGCTTCAAACTCTTCCTCTGCTTCATCGTCCCTCTGCCTTTTTTATGCTAATATTTATTCAATTGAGTCCTTCCTCTGTACCTAACACTAGGCTAGGCATATTGCAGGTGTTAGCTCATTTAACTCTCACTGTAGTCTAAATCTATGAAGTAGATGGCTGAATTTCATTATAATGGATTTCTGAAACCAGAATGCCTGGATTTCAATCCCTGTCTTACCAGTGCTATGACAAGTGATTTGTTGGACAGGTCTGTCCGTTAATCTCTCTTGCCTCAGCCTCCTCACCTGCAAAATTGCTCAATAAATGTTACTCTGCTCATTCTGGTTTTGCTTTGTTTTGTTTTGTTTGAGATGGAGTCTCTGTCACCCAGGCTGGAGTGCAGTGGCGTGATCTCACCTCACTGCAACCTCCACCTCCCAGGTTCAAGCCTCGCCCCCCTGCGATGGGGGTCCTAAGAGCCAGGGGGGCAAGAGGGGCTGGCTCTCTGGCCTCAACCTTCCAAGTGGCCAGGACTACGGGCGCATGCCACCACTCTCGGCTAATTGTTTTTCTATTTTTAGTAGAGACGGGTTTTCACTGTGTTAGCCAGGATGATCTCGATCTCCTGACTTCGTGATCCGCCCGCCTCGGCCTCCCAAAGTGCTGAGATTACAGGCGTGAGCCACCGTGCCCGGCCTCATTCTGTATTTTTAATATTACTACTAACACCCCCATTTTCCAGAAAAAGACACTGAAGCTCATAAAGGTTAAGTCAATTGCCCCTGTTCACACAACTAATGAGTGTGGGAATGGGAATTCAAACCCACATATGTCAGACTCCAAAGCCCACATTCTCAAAACAGTCTTTTACTGGCTCCAGTTTCCAGTTCCATCTCTCCTACTTTCTACACGCGTCCTCAAAGTTCCAGTTAAGTCAAGTTACTGACCATTCTCCAAGGTACTTCAGATTCATTTCTTTTCTTTCTTTTTTGCTTTTACCTATTTTACCTTTCTTCCTGAAATATTTCCACTTAACATGCATTTCATTTCTCTCTTTCCTCCTCAGTGGTGATCTCAGCCTCTTGAAATTCTACCCATTCCTATGAGAGGCTGTCTTCTTTGTGATACCATCCTTGATCTTCTTTTTCTCTCTTCCATGAAACCATCAGCTGTGATCTCCCTCCGCCCAAATGGACATATATCGTATGGCTCTTATGTGTGTGTGTGATTTTACTGCAGATATTTGTGCCATCTACAGTAGAAACCAGGAGGACATTATATTTGAAAGTCCCCCGGAGATCATCTTGCCTAATGACTGTTTTCAGAGCCCCAGGGTTCAAAGGTTCAGGACTGCCAGAGGCATTTGGGAAAGGCTGAATGGGTGAATCTCTCCTTCTCATATGTACCCATACTCCTTCAAACAGAGTATACCCTTTTTACCTCTTTTGTATATTGGAGTAAATGTCTAAACACATTCCCATGATATACTATTGTCTTCTATCTCCCACTAGATCTCTAACACTTTGTGGGAGGAGAGAGTCTTATGGAGAGGATGTCTCCTGCAATAACTACCTTATGGACTTCACAGAGTAGCTGCTTATTCCAGGCAGGTCCTTGTGCTCAGCACTTTAACATACCCTGTCTCAAATATCTAACCTCTCAACAGTCCTGTGTAGTAGGCATCCTCTCCATGTGAAAGATGCCAAATGGAGACCTACCTCACTGAAGTTAAGAAGTCTGCCCAAGTTCATATAGGTCATGAGTGATAGAAGTAGAATTCAAACCTAGATGTGACTGGCTCAGATTCTGAAGTATAGATAGACCAAGATTCACATTTTTGCCCACCACTAACTAGCTCTGTGATCTGGGAAGTTATTTAATCTTCCTGAATCTTGCCTTTATAAGGATCACAGTCGCACTTCTAAACACTGTCCCTAGGATTAGACACGATGTGCCAGATGTCTTTCAGTCAAAGTTGGCTAAGGTAATTTTCACTCTGCTATCTACATTTTCCCAAAAAAACTCTAGGTATCTTAACCTGTGAATTTTCTTCAGCAACAGGTACTAAAAAGCAGCATCCTGAGATATTCTGTCACTTACCATATATGATTTTAAAAATAATCAGGGCCAGGCATGGTGGCTTATGCCAGTAATACAAACACTTTGGGAGGCTGAGACGGGTGGATTGCTTGAGCCCAGGAGTTTGAAAACAGCCTGGGCAACATGGCAAAACCCTGTCTCTACAAAAAATACAAAAATTAGATGGGTGTGGTGGCACACACCTGTGGTTCCAGCTACTCAGGAGGCTGAGGTGGGAGGATCACCTGAGCCTGGGAGGTCGAGGTTACCATGAGCCATGATTGTGCCACTCCATGCCAGCCTAGGTGATGGAGTGAGACCCTGTCTCAAAAAAAAAAAAAAAAAAAATTCAGAAAGCCATGCAACTTATATCAGGGAAAGATGACAATTCAAGGCTCCAATATGAGCCAGTAATAGAACAAGTTTGATTTCATAGCATGGTGCTATGGTCTAAATATTTGTGTCCTTCCAAAACTCATACATTGAAACCTCATCCCTAATGTGATCATATTAAAAGGTGGGGCTTTGGAGAGTCAATTAAGTCATAAAAGGGGAGACCTCATGAATGGGATTTGTGCCCTTATAAAAGAGGTCTGAGGGAGTTTGTTTGCTTATCCCTTTGGCTTTGTGTGGACAAATAGATAGTGCCATCTATGAAGCAGAAAGTGAGCCCTCACCAGACACCAAATCTGATGGCAATTTGATCTTGGACTTCGCAGCCTCCAGAACAGTGAGAAATGAATTTCTGTTGTTTATAAATTACCCAGTCTAAGATATTTTGTTATAGCAGCCCAAACAAACTAAGACACATGGCATATATTAATGAAGGAATTCTTTCATGGTTAAAATATCCTAAGAGAAGTAACACTTCTGCTCCCTTCCCACTCCCTAGGCCCACAAATCTCACTTCTCCTGCCAGGAGAAACAGAGTCAATTACAAGAGGGGTGTGTGTGTGCATGTATGTGTAGTTTTTAGAAGTATTACTATGGAAAATACCCCATTAATAATCTGCATGCATTCTTAAGAAACCCTGATGTCATTTTTCTATTTGTGTACCTTTCTTTGGTAAGTAGGCAAAGCTGTTTTGTGAGTATGACCAGAAACTACAGGATACATCCAAAAATCAAATTTATTTTTAAAAATGACATAAAGCCTATTATAACTATTACATCTTTTGTAATCCTATTACCACATATTATTTTTCAATCATAGAACCTTTTTGTTCTTATTTTACTGTTGTAAGGAGACGTAAATTACTTATAAAGCATAAAAATAAAAAGGATGGCAAGTCAAAAGGCTTATGTGCACCTGGAGGAATATTGTTGACTGGTTCACTGCCATATAGTTTTACTATATATTATGTAGTCCATTCATTGGTATCTAGTCATGTCTTATTATTTGTATACATAAACATTATCTTTTTTGCGGGGAGGGATGGAGTCTCACTCTGTCGCCCAAGCTGGAGTGCAGTGGTGCAGTCTTGGCTCACTGCAACCTCTGCCTCCCAGGTTCAAGTGATTCCCCTGCCTCAGCCTCCTGAGTAGCTGGGATTATAGGCACGTGCCACCGCGCTCAGCTAATTTTGTATTTTTAGTAGAGACTGGGTTTCACCATGTTGCCCAGGCTGGTCTTGAACTCCTGACCTCAGGTGATCCACCTGCCTCGGCCTCCCAAAGTGTTGGGATTACAGGTGTGAGCCACTGCACATGGCCACATTGTCTCTTTTTAAAAAATGGTTTTATTTTTATAGACTTAGGGGGAATAAGTGTACTTTTGTTACACAGATATGTTACACAGTGATGAAATCTGGGCTTTAGGCATACCCATCACCCAAATAGTGTACATTGTGCCCAATTGGTAATTTCTTATCCGTCATTCCCCTCCCACCTTCCCACACTTCTGAGTCTCCAATATCTATTTTTCCATTCTCTGTGTCCATGTGTACACGTTATTTAACTCCCTCTTATAAGTGAGAACATGCAGTATTTGACTTTCTATTTCTGAGTTATATCGTCTATTTTTAATTCCTACTGTTAATATGCAACTAGCTCTATTGAATGCCTGCTAGTTCCTTTTTTTTTCTTTTGAGATGAAATCTTGCTCTTGTTGCCCAGGCTGGAGTGCGATGGCACAATCTCAGCTCATTGCAACCTCTGCCTCCCGGGTTGATGTGATTCTCCTGCCTCAGCCTCCTGAGTAGCTGGGATTACAGGCGCCTGACAACATGCCTGGCTAATTTTTGTATTTTTAGTAGAGATGGGGTTTCATCATGTTGACAAAGCTGGTCTCGAATTCCTGACCTCAGGTGATCCACCCACCTTGGCCTCCCAAAGTGCTGGGTTTACAGGCGTGAGCCACCACACCCAGCAATTTTTTTTTTTTTTTTTTTTTTTTTTTGAGACAGAGTCTCGCTCTGTCATCCAGGCTGGAGTGCAATGGCACAATTTCAGCTCACTGCAACCTCCCCCTCCTGGGTTCACGTGATTCTCCTGTCTCAGCTTCCCAAGTAAGTGGGATTACAGGTATGCACCATCACGGCCGGCTGATTTTTTGTATTTTTAGTAGAGACAGGTTTCACTATGTTGGCCAAGCTGGTCTTGAAATCCTGACCTCAAGTGATCCACCTGCCTTGGACTTCCAGAGTGCTGGGATTACAGGTGTGAGCCACCATGCCCAACCCTAGTTACATTTTTGAGGAAGCAGTAATGGATATTTGTTGCACCTGTCCCCCAAAGTGCATGCCAATGGGAATGAAAGGATAAACGTAGAGGGGAACCACTCTGCAAGAAAGTTTAGTATAAGGCTTCTTTCCTGTCTGAGTTTCCCCTCCTGTTCTTATCTGAAAACCCAGTCAAAATAACTGGTTGCTTCTATCAGCCTTCCCAGAGAACGCATTCATTTAAAAAATGGATTGACCGCAGGATGTGTAACATTGATGACACTAGAACATTGTCATATTGTGCAAAGACACTTAATAAGTATCATTTCATGATTGGTTAATGACTCGTAGATGGCTGTTAACACGTCACCATTACCATCTTTATCACATTTTATTTTAGTGCATCCAACTGGTTTACCACATTCTCATCAAATGCCCTGTAACTGAATTTAACATAGTTGAATGTATTATCAAAAATATTTCTAAATTATTCTCTTTTTTGGCATTAAGTAGTGAGCTGTGATTCAATGTTTATTGAAAAAACAGAGCTTCATAGATAATGAAATGTTGTTTGTGTGTGCAAAAGCACATTTTGCAAAGAAAACCATTATTTCAATACACAAATATTTTCAGAATCTATCGCCCCCCAAATGCCAAATTTGATCACTATTTCATATTGATTTTTGCCCTTTTGACAATCTATCACCAATACCACATGGCCATGTTTTCTTCCCTTCAAGCAGAGGTTTCAGTAATGAACTGGGTGTATTCTAAGAATTAGGCTTTAAACTTTCCTTTTCTAAATATGCCCATTTAAAGCTGTGGAAAATAGACCCAGAGGTCTAAGGGGATAGATGACAAAAGTACACTTCTTAAGTTTACAGTGGTTTGATGGGTTCAATTTGTTTTAGCACTCTAAAAAGTAATAATATGCTGTCTTTTGTATATTAGATCTGCCATCAGTTGCTTGTTTTCCAAACTGTTAATAGGTTGTACTGAGTAATCTGCACTCCCTTTGTGACCCAAGACAACTCACTGAGGTTGGAGGTACAATCTGTGACTCTGAGGCAGTTTTTCTCTGTATAAAGCTAATAAAACCAGCAACCTTACCCTTATTAGTGCTGTCCTGTCACCAACTGACCTAACACCTCCAAAAGTAAATAGAAGATTTGCACAGAGCCACATCCACATTCAATCTCCAAACCAGTTCTCCCTGTGACACAGTAGAAAGGCATCCTATGGTGAAAATTTATAGAACTTTTAGTAGTTCTTAAAAGCTTCCTTTTCTAGGTTTTAGTGGTTTTCCTTTTTCAAAGGGGACCTTTGAAAAAGATCAAACAAAAAATTTAAAAGAAAACAGAACCTGGCAGAGACCAAATTAGAGATTGTTAATATTCACATAGTGATGTCTTATTCTATTTTCTCTAAATTTGTGATCAACATTAATGAATTTGATCAAAAATATGTTTTGAGTACCTACTTTAGGTCAAACACTGTGCAATTATATGACAGATAAAGCATACTTGGGTCTTGCAAGGCATACAATCTAATAGGGAACATAGAAAACATGTAACTGTTAGAGGAGAGTTCAGGGTGAAGTGGATTTTGGGAAGGATTTCTGAAATCGTTAGCAAATCATCAAGGGCTGAAAGTTGCCCAGTCAGAAAGACTTTCCTTTCCTTTTATTAACAAATTTTTCTTTGCATTATTTTAACTACTATGTTTAATTCTATGCTAAGACTTTTTACACCAGCTCCTCTTTTACTTTCTTTATTGCTATAAAGGTTTAGGAAAGAAAATGTTCAAATTTAAATATCTTAGGTGTTTAAAGTATTTCCATAAGCATTTTTTTTATTAATCTTTATTGTGCCCCTAGGAAATTAACAAGTGATACTATCACCTTTGTAACAATGAGAAAATGAAGGCAGAATGAAGTTAAGTCCAATTTGTTAGTAACATTACAGCCAAAGCAATATTCCAGATTCCTTGATTCAAACCTTAAGCATCTTACTTTTTAATCATTACACGTTTTTGGTTGCTCAGGACATTGTATTAGTGTAACAATTTTAGATTATCAAAGCTTATAGAAAAATAAAGGTGAAGAATTCTTAACTATTCCATGGAAAAAGCATCTAAATATGTCATTTAAACTATAGAAGATACAGTGGAACAAGTTGTTTTGAATCAACGACATGCTTTCTAGGGCTAGGTAATCAACTGTGTGGTCAAAACTTTTTTAAAAAATGACCTTACACAGTCTACAACAATTAACTTCACTCATCTGTCTTAACTCATTTAAAACTGTCTAGATATGGCTAATTATTCACAGGTTGATTATACATCTCAGTTTGCCGTGGATGGTTCCAGTTTACACCAGTTGTCTAGTCTAACTAATGATAGCACTTCCTTTCACTTGAAAAGCACCAAGTTTTGACAATAAATCATAGGGTCACCATATGATTATGGTATTCACCATATTCTGGGTGAATGTATTGAAAACAACAGGATGGTGCCTCCCTAATGCTGCACCCCCATCCCCACTGGATATCCTCTAACAGTCTGTATACCATTTTGAATGCCTACCAGGGAAGTATTACTTAATTATGATAGAGTACAGGAGAGAAAAGTGCCCAAGAATAAAGTCAACTTAAGAGTTTTTTTTTTAATTTATAATTTTTGTGGGTACATAGTAGAAGTATATATTTATAGGGTACATGAGATATGTTTTGATGTAGATGTGCAGTGTGAAATAGCACATGATGGAGAATGGGGTATCCATCCCCTCAAGCATTTATCCTTCGAGTTACAAACAATCCAGTTATACTCTTTAAGTTATTTTAAAGTGTACAATTAAGTTATTATTGACTATAATCACCCTACTGTGCTATCAAATAGTAGGTCTCATTCATTCTTTTTTTTTTTTTTTTTTCTTGAGACAGAGTCTCACTCTGTCACCTAGGCTGGAGTGCAGTGGTGCCATCTCAGCTCACTGCAACCTCTGCCTCCTGGGTTCAAGCAATTCTCATGCCTTAGCCTCCCTAGTAGCTGGGATTACAGGTGCATGCCACCATGTCCAGCTAATTTTTGTATTTTTAGTGGAGACGGGGTTTCACCATGTTGGGCAGGCTGGTCTCAAACTCCTGACCTCTGCCTTGGCCTCCCAAAGTGCTGGGATTACAGGCGTGAGCCATGACGCCCAGCTTCGTTCATTCTTTCTTTTTTTTTCTTTTTGAGACAGAGTCTCGCTCTGTCGCCCAGGCTAGAGTGCAGTGGCCCGATTTCGGCTCACTGCAACCTCCACCTCCCAGGTTCAAGCGATTCTCCTACCTCAGCCTCCTGAGTAGGTGGGATTACAGGTGCCCACCACAGTGCCCGGCTAATTTTTTTGTATTTTTAGTAGAGACGGGGTTTCACCATCTTGGCCAGGCTGGTCTTGAACTCCTGATCTCCTGATCCACTCACCTTGGCCTCCCAAAGTGCAGGGATTACAGGCGTGAGCCACCATGCCCAGCCTCATTCATTCTTTTTAACTACTTTTTTTGTGCCCATTAACCATCCCCACCTTCCGCACTGCTTAAAGGTTTTTCAAGTAATGGTGGTGTTGAGGTTCAGAAAGCCACGCACCAGAGACTGCCACTTTGAAACGCTAAAAGGCCTTACAAACTGCCTTAGAATCAAGGTACTTAAACCTTATCTTGTTCCCCGACCCCTCCCTCCCACCCCCACCATTCCCCCTAACACTCCTCCCACCACTGTAAGGAGCACAGGGAGGGACTCTGGAATTTCCTTATCTGACCAAGAAAGCTTCTTTCCAAGAGAAATGCAATTGTCTTTAACCCTCTCATCAAATAACCAGTAAAGATCAACTAACAAGCAGAGAGGAGACTAGGAGTCTTCACCGCACCCAAATAGATTTTCCTTTTCTTTTTCTGAGGGTAGCACCAGGAGATTACCTGGGGGACTTTGTCTGCATAAGACAACCTTTGTTCTTAGGCAGCTCCATCCCTCACCTCCCACCTCCCGGATCCATACACCTCTCGCCTACGAATAGAGTAGTTAAGCTTCTATCAGCTGGCCCTTCTTTGAGTTCATATTTTGTATGACTCTCGGGAATGCTTGTGCTAGTTTTAATAAATTTTGGATGCCTTTTCTCCTGTTAGTCTTCCTGAGGTTAGTTGATTTTCAGTGAACCTTCAGAGTGCAAAGAGGAAGTTTTCCTTGCCCCTTACAGTGGCAAAATTACTTCCATGTCACTTGGTAAGTGTGTGCTGGTCCAGTTCTTCTTAACCTATCATTGTAATTTGGTCATTTTGTTAGGTTAGGCCTGATTGATTACAAGAGGGAATGAGCAGGTGGTGACCATTGTGGCCATTTGGTCTTGCTATTAAATCTCCCATTTGCAGGGTCCAGGCATTTGCTGGTCATGCTAATCGTTAAAGTCATGTTTAGCAGCATGATAATGGAAGAGAATATGACCTTTAAGAATTGGCTACTTGTTCTCACAGTACTTCTTGTATATGATTTATAGACTTTTTCAAGTATGGTAAATAGATATGGTGGATAAAGGCTGTTTAGTATGGTTTATATTTTTGAGGGGGAAGGATATCCGTTTTTGCTTGACGTTTATCATGTGTTTACAAAGCTAGAAAGATCATTGGTATACTGTATATTCTGCTGCCCTCTGGTATTACTAGAGGTTATAAAATATCTCAGCTGTCAATTGCTTTTTTGTTTTTGTTTTTTACTTTCTATATACTATTTCTTTTTAAATTTTTATTTCTAAATTATCCAGATCCGGAAAATCTTTGTATCCTCCGTGCCCAACACAAAGCTTTATAACTAGTTCTCAAAGAAATATTGGTCAAATAAACAGATGAAAAGATAAGTATTTTCTGTATCTTTACATACATCTCAGACATCTAGAATATAGTAAGGTAAACAACATCCTAGATTTATAATAAGAATATTTTTCCACCTTCTCATAATTCAAGGGGATGTTAAGATCTGCATGCATGTGTACACCCCCTCAGAAAAGCAATTTTTAAAAGCCCAAGTAGAGAAACCCATAATTCTACTTTAGTTTCACCATAATAGTGTTGATGTGCTTCCTTCTGAAACAATCAGTGACATTTCCTTAAAAAACACAGCATGAAGTGATTAGAATATGCATTCCATGAATGGTACTAAACCTTTTTGTGAATCAAATTCTTTCAGTTCTCAAGAGTTTCCCTCCCAGGCACAGATTCAAGAAATTTCTGTGATTGCCTTGCTTACCAGATAGTGATTCAGAAAGAACACACGCTGAAGTTTCCAAAATCTGAAAAGCTATCTGAGGGCAAAGATAATTGAGACAATTTAAGAAACTATTTTTATTTTAGTCTACAAATGATATAGCATTGCAATATTATTTTCTTCTTTCTGTCCCTCTATAGTCCTAGGATATATCTGAAAATACTGCGTCTTTGCTTAAATTAATCTTATTTGGATATTATATATATCTGGGTAGAATTTTAGACTGAAACTGACTTAATACGTGTGTGTTTTGGTCATATTCATTTATTTTATATATATTTATTGAGTTACTATGCTGTGCCAGGTACTGAACTTGAGGCTAAGAATACGATAAACAATGAATCTGACATTGTCCCTCCCCAAGTGGATCTCATAGTCAGAGAAGGGAGAAATGTAAAGAAATAATTAAAATAAATACTAGGTGGGTCAGACATTAAGAAAGTTCTGATCAAGGCACAGTGATGGCAGAGAGAAGAAAGTGACTCATAATGAACTCTGCATGGCATTTTCAAAAAAATCTTCAAAGACAGATGGATAAACTGATTATTTAGAATTAGTAGAGTTTGCCAAGTAAGCATGTTTATGAAGACCATTTGAGGTAGAGAACATGCAAAGATACATTATACAAACAGCGTAAGTACCTGGAAATCACAGAGGAAGTGTCCTGATATCAGTTGCATTTTCCTTTAAAAATTGATATCTTATGTGGTTTCTATGTATATAAACATCTGTTCCTTTTTGGCCATTCTCTCTTAATAAACTAATACCTAAACTGAGATACATTTCATTTCTTTATTAAGCAATATAGGCAATAAATTCTCATGAAGGTATTACTAATCCCAACTCCAATTTTAAATGTCATTTATCATACAATTATATGTTGTCACTGGAATGAATAGTCAGAGTTGACATTGGGTCTCCTACCTCCATGGCTCTATATCTGGGAAATGGAGGTTAATATTCCTGTTGAGAAGCATGTTAGGTAAATGTTATATTATCTCTATATGAGAACCTCTAGATGTTATAATTCATAAATCTCTGAGAGAGAGACTATATCTAGAAGCCTCCAATATTAACAGCAATGTAGGTAACCCTCTACATGGAGATGTTCAAGGTACCTTCCATTTCTAGGATACTATGACTGTAACAAATTCCTTTATGAACCTTCAGAGAATGATGTTTATGTCAATAACCAGTCTCAATTATCAGAGTATCTCTGATACTCTGGGTGGTTCCATGTAATTCTCCACATGCTGCATAATAACTGCTGATCTGAGAGAAAAGTGTTCTCGTGAATGAGCTCAGCTGTTAGGTCATGTGTCTTCTTCCAATCAGAAAATAAAGTTTCTTCCCTAAAGCTGAATAGCTGGACTAAGGCAAAGTTGTGGAAAATCCTTCCTAAACAATCAAACAAATAGATAAGCAAGCACAATCCAGTAAAGCTCCTAGCCTGCCAAAATGTCATGTGTCCTTTTAAATCAATTTTTAAATAGACTCTCAAGGAAAGGAAATGCTACTGCATGTCACAACATCTGTTTAAGTGCATTTATTTCCAACAGAAGCAATAGAACAACTCCGTGTGGCCCATAGATGACTGAAAGAGACCAAATTGCTCAAAAGATGCAGTACCATAAACAGACATTTATAAAGGTTCGTCAACTCCAATGAAGTGGTTTCTGTGGACTCTGCACTTTTCCATGCCCCTCTGTATTTCCTCACTCCTGTTGAAAATAAATAAATACAAGGAGGATGCTGCTAAAATGATGGAACCTTAATGTAACCTTTTCAGCCAGAGATAAAAACGTATTGATTGGTAACTGCTGAAGGACATCATTAAACTCTCAGTGTTTGATTTCATTTCTTCTCCTCTTATTAATTTATTTATTTATTATTGGGTTGCCCGCAGGCATCTCTGTACTGACTGACCCTGCTAGTTCAACTATTAAAGAATTTCTCTCTCTAAGGGGGCCTGATGTAAAAATGATAATCTGTTTGGCGGCTCCTATGATGGCCCATGAATAAAACATATAACAACCAGGTTAGAGTTGAAATAGTTCACTATTTGTTACCAGATAGAATGTTTAGAAGCTCCTGGAAAGCCTCACCATGGTTAATCTCAGAAGTCTGGAATCTCATTCCCGGCTCAAACTAACCCACAAGGGCTGTGACTAACCATTGGCCTTATGGTCAACCATCTTACAATAACTTATTAAACAGAAGCTAATGCTAGGGATTGGATTTGAACAATTATCCTCTAAGTATGGCAGAAAGTAAGTCTCTGCTTTTAGAAGGTATACATCATATCCTTGAAAACAAAAGAAAATGTTCAGTAGGTGAGATCTGGAAAGTGGAAGAGTTAGAAAGTGGCCACATCTATTATATTTAATAGTGCACACACTGAACTCAAAATGCAAAACTACCTACTTGGTTCTTTATAATACTACAAAGAAGCAATGGGATATTTTTGCCTCTGATTACCTGTTGAGACCAAGACGAATTCATGACTCTAACAAAAGAACGGGGGTGCTAAATAATCCCTACACTGGCAAATCACAGAAGCAAAACCTGTCCCTGGTTAGGTGGATGTTGTTGGGGATAAAATCAGACAGGAGTTATTTAATGTGACCCTTCCCACACAACAAGAGAACAATTGTTATAATTCACGTTTGTTTTCAAAAGCACAGTCATTAAAAAACTGCTTATAACACTTTTTTCCTGAAAATCTCTCCCTTTGTACATTGGCTTTGTCTATTAATCCTCTAATTATGTTCGTGAATATATTTAATTTTTGATCTTCTATAGAAGGAGGCATAAAATGAACATTTTGTATAAAGACAGTTTTATAGTGCTACATAACAGCTATTGACTAAAGAACTTAGCTGGGAATGTCTTTCGTCTGTCAACAATTCCTCCTTATCACCTCTGACATACTTTGTACTTTTTATCTTGTTGTCATTATTCTTTATTTCAGTGAAAAAATTAGATATAATTCTGGATACTAACACCATTTGAAAAATTAAAATATGTTTTTGCATTTCTAGTATAAAGTAGGCATAAAAAATTAAAAGAAATAAAGTAAGCAAGATTTTGAGGGTGTATCTAAGTATTTTTTTTAAATTCAGCATTCTCTAAAGAGCATTGTCAAAATATAGAGGTATAATTAATGTAAAATTATAAGTTAATGTCCAAGACATCTACTTTTAAAATATTATAAGTAATAAAATTTACATCTACTGCGTATTTATAAGATCTATGTGATTTATGCACCTCTGTTGTAAGATTTAGGTAACTTGATTTAAATATAATGTCTAACTCTCTCAGTGAATCATTATTGAAAAGAGTGTTGAATTTTTAAACTTTTTGAAATCATTATGAAATCTCTTTTCTAAAAATTATCTTTAAAAATCAAAGCTAAATGCTTCTAATAATATTTAGTGAGAAACTGTAGTAGCACCTAATTTATTAGCTTCACCATGGAATGAAGTATTTCATATAAGCAAGTTTTCCGACCAGGCTCAGAGGTTCATGCCTGTAATCCCAGCACTTTGGGGGGCGAAGTGGGGCGGATCACACACGAGGTCAGGAGTTCGAGACCGGCCTGACCAACATGGTGAAATCTCATCTCTACTAAAAACACAAAAATTAGTCGGACATGGTGGAGCACACCTGTAATCCCAGCTACTCAGGAGGCTGAGGCAGAAGAATCGCATGAACCTGGGAGGCGGAAGTTGCAGTGAGCTGGGATCGCACCATTGCAGCCTGGCGACAGAGTAACACTGTCAAAAAAAAAAAAAAGCAAGTTTTCCTGGTTATTATAGCTTGCCCCCTTGTGTATGTTATGAAAATCAAATGTAATAAAGTATACAAAAGTGTTTTAGATGGAATATAATTTCACTTGCTTGGATTTTGTTTTTGCTGGGGTTTTTTTGTTTTGTTTTTGCTTTTTTTGAGACGGAGTCTCACTCTGTCACCCAGGCTGGAGTGCAGTGGTGTGATCTTGGCTCACTGCAACCTCTGCCTCTGAGTTCAAGAGATTCTCCTACCTCAGCCTCCTGAGTAGCTGGGATTACAGGCATGTGCCACCAGGCCCGGCTAATTTTTTTTTTTTGTATTTTTGGTAGAGACTGGGTTTCACCATGTTGGCCAGGCTGTTCTTGAACTCCTGACCACTAGTGATCTGCCCACCTCGGCCTCCCAAAGTGCTGGGATTACAGGCGTGAGCCACTGCGCCTGGCCCACCTGCTTGTTTTAACTAAGATTAATGATGATCAACACTAACTGTAGGATTCCCAAGTTTGTTACAAAGATACCTTCCTCAATATCTTGCTCCTAATATTAGCACCACATTATTACATTCTTTTAGTTTTTATCTGTGGTGTTCTGTCTTCTTGCTCTAAGACTGTCCATCAATCTGGACTGTTTTATCTCTACCTTATTCTCCTCCCTGCCTTCTCTTTCTAGTTTCAGGTGGATTTGTTTATCTATTTTCCCAAATTCCAACAGACACAAGTTGGAATTTGGGACAATAGGTAAACAAATACACCTAAATTACATCTGTAGTATAAATAGATCTGGGTGAGTATCTAGTAAGTTCCTGTAAATTGAGGCGGATGTGCTTTTATTATAAGACTTTTAGCCGCCACTGAGGCACACAACTATAGTCCCAGATACTGAGGAGACTGAGGCGGGAAGATCATTTAGAGCCCAGGAGCTCAATGCTGTAGTGTGCTATGACTGCACAGCACACTGCACTCCAGCCTGGGCAATGTAGCAAGACTCCATCTCTAAAAACAAAGACTATGGGAGTATATATTTAGGCTACTAAATGTGCATTCATTGAACAAGTATTTATTATTTACTGTGTTTCAGTCACATAATTAGACAGATATGGTCCTTGTCCTCATGAAGCTTATAATCTACCTGAAGAGACAAACATATAAAAGACATGTTAACTATTTAATGAGATTAGATGGGTGCTATGAAGAAAAAATGCAGGATGCTCTAAGAGCATTTAAAAGAGGACACCTGGCTGGGTGTGGTGGTGCACACCTGTAATCCCAGCACTTTGGGAGGCCAAGGCGGGCGGATCATGAGGTCAGGAGATCGAGACCATCCTGGCTAACACGGTGAAACCCTGTCTCTACTAAAAATACAAAAAAATTAGCCAGGCATGGTGGCTGGTGCCCGTAGTCCCAGCTACTCAGGAGGCTGAGGCAGGAGAATGGCATGAACCCGGGAGGCGGAGCTTGCAGTGAGTCGAGATCAAGCCACTGCACTCCAGCCTGGGTGACAGAGTGAGACTACGTCTCAAAAAAAAAAAAAAAAAAAGAGGACACCTAAACTAATCTAGGAAGGCTTCCCATTTAAACTGAGACCTGGGGGAAGGATAGAATTAGGCAGGTCAGAAAAAGGACACAGTGTGTAAGGAAAGTGTGTGGTGTTCAGAGACTTTTTGTTTATTTCCAGAATCTTTCAAGTAGTTGAGATGGCTAATTTTGAAAATCTTTTAATAAATGGGTCACTTACTATATACTTTCTTTCAAAAAATTTACAAAATTCTTTGATGACTGATTGTAGTTCAGCTTATTTTCACGTGATTCTCCTTCCAGAGCTTGGAGAGACTCTTCTCTAAATTCTCAATGCATTTGCTATTTCGTTATGGAGTGTGACTCTTCTGTAACCAGGCCACTTATGCTGACTTACCTTGAGGACAAATTTCCAATTCTAGACTGTATTCTGCTCTCAATCTGATTGTAGAACTCCCACTGATGGCAGTAGGAGCTGTGCTTGTATATGTAGGAAAGTACACTGCCCTCTGTGTCATTGACGGACTCCTCTGGCACGAAGCCTAGAAGTCTGAGTGTAGATGTGAGTCTCTAAGGAAACAGAGCTCCCAGCAGTGCCACGCTGGCAGTAGTGTGAATGGAGGAAGAGAAAATAGGTGAAAAGGAAGGACACGGCATCTGGACCAGCACCCTCTAACCCACCAATCAGAGGCAGTAAGGAGAGGGAGAAGGAATTACAAAAAAATTTTTTTCCAAACATTCGAAAAGACTCTGTTTCACAAAATCATCAGTGTAGCCACATATTTCTTTATTTTGAGACAGGGTCTCGCTCTGTTGCCCAGGCTGGGTGCAATGGCACGATCTTGGGTCACTGCAGCCTTAACCTCCCAGGCTCAAGAGATCCTCTCACCTCAGCCTGTAGTTAGGACTACAGGTACACGCCACCATGTCCAGCTAATTTTTGTATTTTTTGTGGAGACCAGGTTTTGCCACGTTGCCCAGGCTGGTCTCAAACTCCTGAGCTAAAGTGATCCAGCCACCTCAGCTTTCCAAAGTGCTGGGACTACAGGCTTGAGCCGTCACACCTGGCCTCACAGATTGATTTTTAATAAGCCATATCTGTCAACATTTGCAAGGCCTGGGCAAGAGTGCAAACGGAGGCCCCAGTTCAGGACCAGCCCTAATCTCTTTCCACTCTCTGCAAAATTCTGTAGGAGAAGGGGCCTCCCAAGTATGTGCCTAACCTTCATCTCTCCCCTGTTCCTCACCCCAGACAGTCACACTGGTCAGGAGAACTGAGCCAGAGAAGAGGCCCACGCTGGCCCTAGAAGTGGGCTCCAGGCCATTTGGACAGGAAATTTTTGGAAGTGCTTGTTCTTAACCACTCACTAAACTGTACTGCCTTAGATAATGAGGAGATTCATAAAGATTTTAAATTAAGATCCATCGGTTTTAAGGATGAGAGAGCTATGCATCTTCTAAAGCTTGTTTTTAAATCAGTGTTTCTCAAACTTAATGTGCACAGAAATCATCCAGGGATCTTGTTAAAATGCAGACTCAGTCTGCAGGTCTGGGATGGGCCTTGAGATTCTGAAATTCCTTTTTTTTTTTTTAAACAGAGTTTTGCCCCGTCGCCCAGACTGGAGTGCAGTGGTGCAATCTCAGCTCACAGCAACCTCCACCTCCTGGGTTCAAGTGATTCTCCTGCCTCAGCCTCCTGAGTAGCTGGGATTACAGGCGCCCGCTACCACACCCGGCTAATTTTTGTATTTTTAGTAGAGACTGGGTTTCACTGTGTTGGCCAGGCTGATCTCAAACTCCTGACCTCAGGTGATCCACCCACCTTGGCCTCCCAAAGTGCTGGGATTACAGGTGTGAGCCACCACGCCCAGCCCTGAGATTCTGAAATTCTAATGAGCTCTCAGGTGATGCTGGTCTGTAGACCACACTTTGAATAGCAAAGCCTATGTGAATATTACTGGTGTCAGTTGTGTATATGGATATGTTTGTGTGTGTACACACTGTTACTTTGGAAAGGGAATTTTAATAGTGTGTGTAAAAAGAAAAATCATGTCAGCATTAGTTAAAAAGACATAGCTTTTAGAGCTATCATTATTTAAGATTTTTGTCTCAGATGATGTCCCAGACAACAGCCTTTCATACTGATTCCTCCTTCATATTAATCCATTATCAGTGGTGTCACAATGTCTTATCTTAGAATTGGGCTTTCAAGTGTTGCTTTAGCAGCCTTCTGTAGCCTTCTAAAACTCTGCAGATTTCTAAGATACCTATTAGAGCCAATGGAAGACTAAATGTCTCCCGGTGTAGAAAGAGTTTTTGATTAGATTTAAAAAGCTGTCATTTCTGAAATTTCCCTCCCTAAATCATTTTCAGCTTTCAACAAGCTCTTTCATGTTGCTTTCTTGGATGGATGCTGCTTCCTGGTAACTTTCTAACTATTCAAGTTAACAGTGTCCTGTGGTATGGAACTGATACATATTTAGGAACATCTTTACAAGCTAAAAAAGCACTTGGCATAGAGAAATGTTACTCTGGTATCTGCTCTGCCATAATAACTATTTTTTCTTGTATTGAGAGAAATTCAGCTACATGAGGAAGGACAATGATGCCACAGGTTGAACTGCTAAAAGCAGTTTTGAAAGCTGTCATAAAGGTTATCACTTTTCATTTAACCTAGATGAAATGTCATCCAAAGTAAGCATGTTTTCAAAAGCAACTTGGACTTGTGGGAAATGACAATTAAAAAATGTTGACATTGAACCGTGATTTCATAATGGAAAATTGACTAGTGTTTTAAGGATATATATATATTTCTAGATTGCCCTATTCTATGTTAAAAAAATAAAATGTGAAATATTATACTGAGTATTGAACTGAACTTCCCCTTGATAATTTATGGATTATAACTGAAACAGCAGTTTTCTTATTAGTCATGATCAAAGTGATTTGGAAATGTTTGAAAACATGTGAAAGTTGATTACACATTTTATTGCTGGCACCACATTGACTGGCCACCCATATGATGGAGCAATTGTGACTGTGTACTAGTTCCAACTAGCCTCAGGGAAAGTGTACACTGGATTGAAACCTTTAGGAAGCATTGCTTGCCTCATTTGATCAAGTGACTTTTATAATTTTCCAGCTTTTGTCTTACTTATTTCACACAATGAGAAAGAAAAATATCTTATTTCTGGCATTTAAAGAAAGAATATCCATCATTTAAAAATTCATTTCAAGCCACACATACCTACCTTTTCATGAAATGTATCTGTTTTGTTTTTCAATGAGACAACAGACATACTTAAGCAGAGTAATTCTATTTGATCTTAAAGTAACCAATATACCCTCATTCATACCTACCTTTTAAAATCCTACCCTTTTTTCAAGGCCCAACAAAATTCCTTCTTTTCAGGAACTCTGTATTTCTCTAGTCAGAATTATTGTCTCACTTTTCTATGGTCTAACAATAGAATTTGTGCATATTTGCTAATATGGTTTGTGTATATTTGTAGAGTTATCCTATATATGCTACTAGAAGGTGAGCCCTGAGGAACAGAAACTGTGCCTTCTATTTTTTTTTTTTTTTTTTTTTTGAGACGGAGTCTCACTCTGTCGCCCAGACTGGAGTGCAGTGGCGCGATCTCGGCTCACTGCAAGCTCTGCCTCCCGGGTTCACACCATTCTCCTGCCTCAGCCTCCCAAGGAGCTGGGACTACAGGCGCCCACCACCACGCCCAGCTAATTTTTTTGTATTTTTTTAGTAGAGACAGGGTTTCACCGTGTTAGCCAGGATGGTCTCGATCTCCTGACCTCGTGATCTGCCCGCCTCGGCCTCCCAAAGTTCTGGGATTACAGGCGTGAGCCACTGCACCCAGCCTCTTCTAGTTTTTTAAAAATTTTCCCATAGCAGTCTAACCAGTATGTTCTAATAATGGAGGTTATAATGTTTGAATCAAATCATTATAATGTCAGTAACTATGAATGAATGCTTGTGGGATGATCCACTTGTTCATTAAGATCACCAAATCATCATATTGACCTTTTCAGAAATGACCCATGTAAATAATTTTTATAAATTATCTGAGTCCTGGCAACATTTCAAAATTTAACACTTGAATGCAATTTGGATAAAATAAAATCACATTTTAAAATATGTTATATCTAATGAATCTGTCTTTAATATAAAATTTTAAGAATTTTAATAGTGTTTTTCTTGTAAAGTTTCATGTAAAGTTTACCTTTTTTGCCTTGAAACATAAACAAAACTTGGGTTCACAGACCAGTTCTAGGACTTAGTAGTTGAATGACCTTGAGAAAGATTCTTAAAATCTTTTAGACCCAATTCTCTAATCTGAAACTATGGAAGTAATACCATGGCCTGCCTTATTGGTCCTCCTAGGAGAACTCTAATGCACGTAGAACACTTACCACTGTGCCAGGCATAGCACGCATGTTGAAATTGCCAGTGCATGGTGCTGTGGGAAGATCTCTTTCCTGACAGCCCAAACTTGCAGTCCATCAGCTAGTCAGGCATGTGCACCGGTGCGCCCCCATGTCTTTTAACCATTTGTTGCTGTTTTTATTTGCGCCCAAGCAAAAGGGGACACCAAATTGTTGCAATTAGGAGAGAAAGTAAGAACCCTCAAAGTTTGAGAGAAAATCAAAGCAAAGACTTAGTCACTAAATCTTCCATAAGGAGGAGGAGAATGAGCAGCTGAAGTTTGATGGATTCAATTCTGAATGCAGTTTCTTAAAAGGAATTTTTGTGGTAAGAGACAATGGAAAGATACCAAGTTACAATACAAACCCAAGGGTAGGCCTCATGGAAATCAAAGAAATTGGCACTACAGGCACATTGTAGAATAAGGGAATATTTGAAAAGAGAGGGCTATGTATTTACCATTTTGCTTGATCTACATATCAAAAGCATCTTCCACTGTATATAGAAGATCCTTGCAGGAAACTGTTTCATATGAAAAATAAAAACTAAAATAAAATAAAAAAAGAAAGAAGAAAGTGCTGGAGGCCATATCATTTTCTCTTTTTCATCCTTTTCCCTTTCACAGATTTCAGGCCAGGTGCAAGTATCTCATGCAAACGAATACCTTCCCAAATCAGTACAAAGGCAAAAGAAGATCCTGGGAAATAAAGGATCCACCACACTGAAACGAAATAACATAACTGAGAAGTAGAGATAATTGAGGAAAATTAGGTGGTCTCAACACAAAAGAGCATAACTTTTTTTGTTTCCATCTAATAGCCTGTTACATAATAAAAGCCTATGGTGCTGTTAGGAAAGAAGAGACTTCTGCTCAGTTAACTTTAGAAATATTTTAATTTGACAATATAGCTTCCTAAGTATTTTGAATCAGTAATACTGAAAAATTGAAAGTCAAATCTCCAATGAGCTGAAACCTAGGTGATTTACTATTTGAAAACTTATGTTATTCTACTCATGTATGAGGCCTTAATTCTAATGGACTCCACTGTGGCAAAGATTTTTTTCTTAACAAAGAGGTGTCACTGTTTTTTAAATTATAAATAAGTTAACAGAAGTTTAAGCTTATTTTCTGGGTTTTTGTTATTGTTTTTAGCAGCAAAGAAATTTGTCCAGGCATTGGAAAAATAAACTGTTTTTTTTTTTTTTTCTTATTTTATTTGAGACAGAGTCTCACTCTGTCACCCAGGCTGGAGTGCAGTGGTGTGATCTTGGCTCACTGCAACCTCTGCCTCCCCAGCTCAAGGGATTCTCCTGCCTCAGCCTCCCGAGTAGCTGGGATTACAGGCGTGTGCCATCACACCCAGCTGATTTTTCTATTTTTAGTAGAGACAGGGTTTCACCATGTTAGCCAGGATAGTCTTGATCTCCTGACCTCATGATCCACCTGCCTTGGACTCTCAAAGTGCTGGGATTACAGGCATGAGCCACTGTGCCCGGCAAATAAACAGTTTTAAGAAAATGATTTCACGCAAAATGAAGGTTTTAAATTGGTCCTAACACCTACTGATCAAATTTATGGTTTGTTTTGATTCAAAAACCCATAACAAGGTTTTTTGTCTTGTTTTTTGTTTTTGTTTTGAGACGGAGTTTTGCTCTTCTTGCCCAGGCTAGAGTGCAATGGCACGATCTCAGCTCACTACAATCTCTGCCTCCCAGGTTCAAGCAATTCTCCTGTCTCAGCCTTCTGAGTAGCTGGGATTACTGGCACCCGCCACCATGCCACCATGCCTGGCTAATTTTTGGTATTTTTAGTAGAGATGAGGTTTCACCATATTGGCCAGGCTGGTCTTGAACTCCTGACCTCATGATCTGCCCGCCTCGGCCTCCCAAAGTGCTGGGCTTACAGGTGAGAGCCACCGCGCCCGGCCTGTTTTGTTTTGTTTTGAAACAGGATCTCACTCTGCTGCCCAGGTTGAAGTGCAGTGTTGTACAATCACAGTCCAACCTCCCGGGTTCAAGTGATCCTACCACCTCAGCCTCCCGAATAGCTAGGACTACAGGAACACAGCACCACACCCAGCAAATTTTTAAAAAATTTTTTGTAGAGATAATATTTCACTATGTTGACTAGGCTGTTTTTGAACTTCTGGACTCAAGTGATTCCTCTACCTTGGCCTCCCAAAGTGCTGGTATTACAGGCGTGAGCCACCATCCTGGGCCCTGATTAACAAGGTTTTAAGGGGGAAATTGCATGCATGTTACCTGGAGACTGTGGAAATGTGTACAGAACTCACTGGATTTATTTTATTTTATTTTATTTTTTTTGAGACGAGTCTTGCTCTGTCGCCCAGGCTGGAGTGCAGTGGCGCGTTCTCAGCTCACTGCAAACTCCACCTCCCAGGTTCACGTCATTCTCCTGCCTCAGCCTCCCAAGTAGCTGGGACTACAGCCGCCCGCCACCACACCTGGCTAATTTTTTTTGTATTTTTTAGTAGAGACAGGGTTTTATTGTGTTAGCCAGGATGTTCTCGATCTCCTGACCTCGTGATCTGCCCGCAGTGCTGAGATTACAGGCGTGAGCCACTGTGCCTGGCCAACTCATTGGATTATTCTTTTTTTTTTTTTTTCAGAGTTTCGCTCTTGTTGCCCAGGCTGGAGTGCAATGGCACGATCTCGGCTCATCGCAACTCTGCCTCCCGGTTTCAGGCAATTCTCCTGCCTCGGCCTCCCAAGTAGCTGGGATTACCAGCATGCACCACCACGCCTGGCTAATTTTGTATTTTTAGTAGAGAGGGGGTTTCGCCACATTGTCCAGGCGGGTTTCAAACCCCTGACCTCAGGTGATCTGCCTGCCTCGGCCTCCCAAAGTGCTGGGATTATAGGCATGAGCCACCACACCTGGCCCAACTCATTGGATTTTTAAACGGAAGATTCAGGTTCAAATCCCAACTCCTTGTGATCTAGTTGAGAGACTGGACTACTGTCTTAACTTTCCTGAGCTTCATATAGCCGGAATAAAACCACCTATTGTTTATGTCACATTGCTATGGTAAGATTCGAATAAACTAGCATAAAGGAATAACTCAGTATAGCTCCTGAAATATTTGGGATGGGGTGCAACAAAATGATAGTAATATTTTCCCTTAGAAGCATCACCATCTAGAAAACTGTTCAAGTTGACCTCTGTCTCCCACGTGTCCTATTAGTTATCAAGGCCTGTCATTTCTATCTCCTAAATATCTCTCAATTATATTTTCTTCTTTTCATCTTCCTTTGTACTGTCTAAATTAAGCCCCTCGTTACCTCAGGCCTCGACTAAAATAATGACCGTGTAATTCACCCTTACCCGAAGACTCAACTACTGCCAACCCATTCTTTATGTTGAATTATCTTTCTAGAGGATAAATGCAATCACATTATCCTTCTGTTTAAAACTTTCGATGCCTTCCTGATGACCATAAAACAGAATTTAATCTCCCTAAAGTGACACGCAAGGGACTTCATCACTAAGGAGTTTAACATCATCTTCTACCATTTCTCATCATATACCCTATGTAACAAATACATTATATACTATTATTTTCTCTGAACTTCTATCTTTGCACTTGCTGTTCCCTTTTCCTTTGATGTATTTCCCACCCTCTGACTGTGAACAACTATTCATCTTTAAGACACAGCTGAAATGTCACCTCCCATATGTAGCCTTCTCAGAGCACATAGGAAGAATTTATCATTCCTGCAGGACTTATAATTATATCCATTATACCACACCATATTTCTTTAGTAACTTGTTTACATGTCTGTCTCTACTCTGATCTCTGAGCTCCAGTGTATAGCATAGAGCCAAACATGTGGCAGTATTTGATAAATACTTACTGAATTAACAATTGAGAACAACAAAAAAATCGATGGTGTTATAATGGGTTAGCTCATGAATTAATAAGTCCCAAATTTGAAAGTGGCCTTTTATTTTTATAGTGTAGTTGTAGCCTCTGTCTACGCAGGCAAGCAAAAGAAACAGAATTTGGATAATTATTTAGGGATGTCTACAAAACAAAACAACAACCTTTCTGAATCACTTATGTTGATATTACAAGCAACTGTATCTTTGGCCTAAATTTTGAAGTTTAATTTACTCTACTTGTTTAGACATAGCATGAACACAGAGGTATTTTTGTTATTCCTGGAAAATACACATTTCAGATTGTCCATTCTTCCCTTTCCATGCTAGCACAAAGGAAAGCCAGGAATGTATATAACAGCAAAGTGGCCTTTATGTATGACTTTGCCACTACCTCTCAGAGTTCGCATTAAGCATGCTCTGTATCTTGTCTCCCCTTCTATTAAACAGTACAGGCCTTTCTCTTCAGGATGCTGTGAATTTAATGAGAAGGTTCCGAGGTGGTCCCATTTTTTTCTTTTGTCGGGAAAATAAGAGAAAAAAGCCAAACATCCTGGTGTGCAAAGGTTAGAGGCAGGCCTTGGTAATTAACTGCAGTTAGTGCCTAGCATAGTGCTGACAGTGAATAAATGTTCCTTGTTGGTGATGAAATACTAAATATCAGAACCGGTGTTTCTGGTTCTGCACTGTCATAAAGCTGCTATTATTCAGCATTTATTAGGTAGCCACAGAATATGAGGCATAAACATGACAAGGAGAAAACACACAGTCCCTCCTCTAAATTACAAAAGACAGATGCACAGGAAAGTAGGTGGACCTCGAAATTGTTTCCAAATGGCTCTTTGTAGGAGGATTCAGAGAGTAGGAAAACTAACAGGGAGGCAGGCTGGGTGGACAGGATTGAGTGTAAGAAAAATGGGAGGTGTAAGAGGAGTCAGTGTTTCCATAAGGGGAATAGGGTAGGAGGTCAGGCCAATTTCCAGAATCTTAAGAGTCAACATGAGAGATCCACTGGTGGTAATGAAGAACCCAAAGGAATAAAGAGGGAAGAGTGTTTATCTTTTGCCTCTCTATATCTTCTTGGCTAATGAGGACAGGTCTTCCAGCTTCTCTGGATGGTAGTAAGAAAAAAAAAAAACAGGATTCTTTTAAAGTAAGACACTCCCATACTAAATTAATAGTTCTTCCATTTACTAGCCTCGGTTTCCCTATCTTTAAAATGGAGCAATAATACCTCAAAGTGTTGAGCTGAGAATTAAAAGCCAGGAAGCCTATACCTGGTCCACACCAGTGCTTTGCACATAGTTTTAGGAAGCAAATCCAGGAGGCCCTGGAACCTTAGCCTAGTGTCTCAACCTTTGCTATACTAGGTTTCTTGCTTTTCTTGCTTTCTCCTTTTTCTATTTATCAAAGGAGTAATATTTTCTAGAAAGAGAAGATAGAGTTTAAACAAGAAATATTTGTTAATAAATATGTAGACTGGAAGTACCTCATGCTAAAGATCTGTTTACTTCTGAATTTGGGGCCAATGGGATTTTAATTTAGTTAGTAATTTGTTTTAGCAGTCACTAAGCAGAGACCAAAAAAAATCACAGTGGGAACCTCGTAAAATGGTTCTTGGGACCCTCAAGAGCATTTCTTTCAGTCTTTTCATCAACTGAGCTGGTCTATATTGTAAGTCTTATTTATAAGGAGGCTTTCAGGCAATTTCACACTGCTTTTCTCTGATGCAGCCCCAAAAAACATGTAAACCCAAGGGATTAGTAGCGACTTAAAGGGAAAATAGTGTAAAGTTACACCATGAACCGAGGCAGCACAGCTGCCTTGATGCACTGTTCCCTTGGGCTCCTACAGTGAATGAAACTTATCTAAGTGGCCCAGTCCACTCCCACACTGCCAGATCGGCAGCCCTTTGTTACAATGTGCACAAGAATTGCTCAATCTCAGGGGGCAGCTGAGTCTGTAATGACTTGCATTGTAGAAACACAGAGGAGTTCACTATCTAGGAATGAAAACTTAAATCTCTTCTTATATTTCTTTGTTGACAGTTGCAAAGCAGGTCTGGGTAGTAAACAAACTGTTTATTCCAGCAATGTTCATTTCATAGGCGGTTCAGATACATTTATTGAGTAGGGCAGCAGCCGAAAATGGAAATGAAACCGGAATGTCGGCTTAGGGCTATGTAGAAATCTTGAAAAAGACTGAATATTCCCCAAATGCAACCATCATGAGGCTGGCATGCTTACACTGATGATCTCATCAGACCGATAATTAATAATCGTGAATTAGGCTAATGAAATCAGATGGGGTAATGAAAGGCAGCCTTCTTCTACTTGTTAGCATTGCTGTTTTCTCCATTATTTAATCTCTAACAGAAATTGACTTTGCCGCTCGAGATCCAATTCAGCCTATTTGACTTTCAGAAAAAAAATTTTTTTTAAATTGTATCAGAGCCTTAAAGAAGGGGCAAGTATGAAAATATTAAGAATCTATACAATGACACCTGCAATGTTGGGAACATAGATCAACTCAGAACAACTGCATGCATTTCCTGCTCCTTGATAAAACTAAAGAAATTACAAGTAAAGGAAGTGATGAAAAGGAATTTTTTTCAAGGCTGGGATTTTTAAAAGGCAGAGATCCTCCATCCCCCAATGGCAGCTTCTTGAATTTTTTGACACACATAGTTTACTAAATAATTAAACTATAATACATCTTCCCTCCAAGGATAAGCACTATAGTAAGACCTAGGAAAGTAATGAGGATCAAGAATGAGCCCTTTGGCCTATAGAACAGAGCTGTGAAGACTTGACCTGGAAATGAAGCAGAGAGACTGCTTGCTCTGGTAAGAATTCACCAGCTGCCTCTATATCTTAAATCTGTAAGAGAAAGGTGGATGTGAGTCTGATGTAATTTGGTTCCTATTTGAGTCTTTACCAAAGAAAGCTTGAGAACCTGCAGAAGGGATGGAGGGCAAAGGAAGCATGTGCTTCTCATTCTTCTTGCCAGTAAGCAGCATGTGGATAAGGGGAGCCTCCATGTGAACTGGAACTGTTTGGGACCCATTCCAGTGACTTCACATGTTCTCCTGTCTTCTGTTTGAAAGCCAGTGCCAAAGAAGAGACAGGAAGAATGCATGTGTGAGTAAAGGGTTAAACTCAGCAATATGTGTGGATAAAGTCCCGGTGTATTTCCTATCGGATGTATCAGATCTATTTTGAGGTTACTTATCAGTTGGTTATTGTGCTAATAATTGACATTAAAATTAATACTACAGTTTGGGAACTAGGCAAAGAGCTAACAAGTTTGCTTTTACACAGAGCTTTCCAAAAGCAATCTGTGTAACTTGTTTCTGGAATGCAGCTGTGTAAGTTTTCATTAACATCTTGCAGGTGGAGCCTAATTTTAGTTCAGCCTTGAGAAGGGGGAATTGTTTTCCTCACCATATGCATAGCACCGCAACAGCAGCAAAGCAGGTGGGGCTTTGCCAAGCACTTGTTTACTTTCTTGTTTTTTTATAAAATGGATGATTCATATCGTTAATCATGCAGTTTCTATTTGATTTTAACACGTCTTTAACAGAATAGTCTGGAGTACATTTGACCTACAGTTACTTGAATGTGAAACAAAAGCAATGAAATGGAAAATGATAAGAAAATGAGCAATGAATCCTAAATATAGTGGGGAGAAGCCAGTGAATGAAGTAAAATTTAGAAATACATCTGTTTGGCTACAAAAGCATTTTAAAAAGCAACCTTCCAGATTTTGGTTTGGCAATTTGAAGTTGGCTCAGTTAGAAAGTTCCATATATATACATATATATGTGTGTGTGTGTGTGTGTGTGTGTGTGTATTTTTCTTTTTCTTTGCCATTGCAAGAAGGAAAGTATTACAGGAAGGAAGCTGTTGCTGGAAAGAGAGGAGATGAGGGGTCAGAAAAGACAACTGAGATGCATACACATTGTTTTCTCATGCAAGTTCTTCCCTGGCCTTTGAATCTCAGGGAATGGCTGGTAATCGGCTTAAATTTTAGGACTGAGGAAAAAAATATTGTTAAGAATCAGAGAGTGATTAATGACAGTAATTTCTTTTTTCATTTGTTTAGGAACTATCTTAAGATTGACGTTAAGCTTCAAAGGCACAAACTCCATACCTCTACTATGTTTCATATGCTTCACTGCAGTGAACCTACTGTGTGTGTCTCTTTGGATGTGAGGCTAGTGTGGTCTGGCCATAACGTGGCTGCATGTCATCTGGCTTAAACAAGCGCCTTTGAATTCTTCTACCCTGTGGTGTGTGCATGAAAATTCCATTACCTCCACAGAGAGGGGGCAGCTCCATGTGCATATTTGTTTCTTTCAATTCAGTCTCTTGGAATGGATGGAATGTGTGATAACGCTATATAGGAGTCTATTGTTCTGAACCTTAAAATAAACCTTTTCTTAAAAGCCCTCTTCTGGACCTTGAAGGTCACCATTCAAGGGCTTTGCCTTTATGGAAGTTCTTAACCTGGTATACAGGTTTGTCCATGAAAGTGCTTTAGAATGTTCGTGAAAAAGGGTTGTTTTGGGCCGGGCGCAGTGGCTCACGCCTGTAATCCCAGCACTTTGGGAGGCCGAGGCGGGTGGATCACCTGAGGTCAGGTGCTCGAGACCAGCCTGGCCAAAATGGTGAAACCCCTGTCTCTACTAAAAATACAAAGATTAGCTGGGCATGGTGGCAGGCACCTGTAATCCCAGCTACTCAGGAGGCTGAGGTAGGAGAATCGTCTGAACCAGGGTGAAGGAGGTTGCACTAAGCTGAGATAGTGCCACTGCACTGCAGCCTGGGTGACAGAATGAGACTCTATCTCAAAAATAAAAAGTAAATAAAGAAAAGAAAATGGGTTTTGTTTTCTGAATAGACATGAATGTGCATATTTCTCAGAAAAGAGTCCATAGCTGTCTTTGGATTTCTAGAAGTATTTTTAAACCCCAAAATATTAAGCACCATTGCCTTATACAGAATGTTTTCAAATACTATTTTTTTTCCATAAGTTATTGGGGTACAGGTGATATTTGGTTTCATGAGTAAGTTCTTTAGTGGTGATTTGTGAGATTTTGGTGCATCCATCAACCGAGCAGTATACACTGCACCATATTTGTAGTCTTTTATCCCTTGCCTCCCTCCCACTCTTCCCCCCAAATCTCCAAAGTCCATCATCATTGTTATGCCTTTGCGTCCTCATAGCTTAGCTCCCACACATCAGTGAGAACATACGATGTTTGATTTTCCATTCCTGAGTTACTTCACTTAGGATAATAGTCTCCAATCTCATCCAGGTCACTGCAAATACTGTTAATTAATTCCTTTTATGGCTGCGTAGTATTCCATTATGTGTGTGTGTGTGTGTATGTATGTACGTATGTATATATATATATCACAGTTTCTTTATCCATTCATTGACCGATGGGCATTGGGGTTGGTTCCACGTTTTGCAATTGTGAATTGTGCTGCTATAAACACGCTTGTGCAAGTGTCTTTTTTGAATAATGAGTTCTTTTTTTTTTCTTTTGAGATGGAGTCTCGCTCTGTCACCCAGGCTGGAGTGCAGTGGCGCAATCTCGGCTCGCTGCAACCTCCGCCTCCCAAGTTCAAGCGATTCTCCTGCCTCAGCCTCCTGAGTAGCTTGGATTACAGGCGCACGCCACCATGCCCGGCTCATTTTTTTATTTTTAGTAGAGATGAGGTTTCACCATGTTGGTCAGGCTGGTCTCGAACTCCTGACCTCGTGATCCGCCTGCCTCAGCCTCCCGAAGTGCTGGGATTACAGGCGTGAGCCACTGCGCCCGGCCAAATAATGACTTCTTTTCCTCTGGGTAGATACCCAGTAGTGGGATTGCTGAATCAAATGGTAGTTCTACTTTCAGTTCTTTAAGGAATCTCCACTCTGTTTTCCACAGTGGCTGTACTAGTTTACATTCCCACCAGCAGTGTAGAAGTGTTCCCTGATCACCGTATCCACATCAACATCTACTGTTTTTTAATTTTTTTATTATGGCCATTCTTGTGGGAGTAAGGTGGTATCACATTGTGGTTTTGATTTGCATTTCCCTGATTATTAGTGATGTTGAGCGTTTTTTCTATGTTTGTTCACCGTTTGTATATCTTCTTTTGAGAATTGTCTATTCATGTCCTTAGCCTGCTTTTTGATGGGATGGTTTGTTTTTCTCTTACTGACTTGTTTGAGTTCATTGTAGATTCTGGATATTAGTCATTTGTCAGACATATAGATCGTGAAGATTTTCTCCCACTCTGTGGGTTGTCTGTTTACTCTGTCAACTGTTCCTTTTGCCATGCAAAAGCTCTTTCGTTGAATTAGGTCCCAGCTATTTAGCTTTCTTTATTGCATTTGCTTTTGAGTTCTTGGTCATTAAATCCTTGCCTAAGCTAATGTCTAGAAGGGTTTTCCCAATGTTACCTTCTAGAATTTTTATAGTTTCAGGTCTTAGGTTTAAGTCTTCAATCCATCTTGAGTTGATATTTGTATAAGGTAAGAGATGAGGATCCAGTTTCATTCTCCTACATGTGGCTAGCCAATTATAATCCCAGCACCATTTGTTGAAAAGGGTGTCCTTTCTCCCATTTTATGTTTTTGTTTGCTTTGTTGAAGATCAGTTGGCTGTAAGTATTTGGGTTTATTTCTGAGTTTCTATTTTGTTCCATTGGTCTATGTGCCTATTTTTATACCTGTACCATGCTGTTTGGGTAACTATGGCCTTATAGGATAGTTTGAAATCAGGTTGTGTGATGCCTCCTGATTTGTTCTTTTTGCTTAGTCTTGCTTTGGCTATGCGAGCTCTTTTTTGGTTCCATATGAATTTTAGAATTGTTTTTTCTAATTCTGTGAAGAATGATGGTGGTATTCTCATGGGGATTGCATTGAATTTGTAGATTGCTTTTGGCAGTATGGTCATTTTCACAATATTGATTCTACCAATCTATGAGCATAGGATGTGTTTCCATTAGTTTGTGTCATCTATGATTTCTTTCAGCGGTGTTTTATAGATTTTCTTGTAGAGGTCTTTCGACTCCTTTGTTAGGTATATTGCTAAGTATTTTTTTTTTTTACAGCTATTTTAAAAGAGGTTGAGTTCTTGATTTGATTCTCCACTTGGTTGCTGCTGGTGTATAGAAAAGCTACTGAATTGTGTGCATTAATCTTGTATCTGGAGACTTTGCTGAATTCTTTAATCAGTTCTAGGAGCTTTCTGGAGGAGTCTTTAGGGTTTTCAAGGTGAAGGACCATATTTTCAGCAAACAATGACAGTCTGACTTCCTCTTTACTGATTTGGATGCCCTTTATTTCTTTCTCTTGTCTGATTGCTCTGGCTAGGACTTCCAGTCCGATGTTGAAGAGGAGTGGTCAGAGTGGGCATCTCTGTCTTGTTCCCATTCTCAGAGGGAATGCTTTCAACTTTTCCCCATTCAGTATTATGTTGGCTGTGGGTTTGACACAGATTGCTTTTATTACATTAAGGTATGTCCCTTGTATGCCGATTTTGCTGAGAGTTTTAATCATAAAGGGATGCTGGATTTTGTTGAATGCTTTTTCTGCATCTATTGTGATGATCATGTGATTTTTTGTTTTTAATTATGTTTATGTGGCATATCACATTTATTGACTTGTATATGTTAAACCATCTGTGCATCCCTGGTGTGAAACCCACTTGATCATGGTGGATTATCTTTTTGATATGTTGTTGGATTTGGTTAGCTAGTATTTTGTTAAGGATTTTAGCAACTATGTTCATCAAGGATATTGGTCTGTAGTTTTCTTTTTTGGTTGTGTCCTTTCCTGGTTTTGGTATTAGGGTTATGCTGGCTTCATAGAATGAGTTAGGGAGGGTTCCTTCTTTCTCTATCTTGTGGAATAATGCCAAAAGGATTAATACCAATTATTCTTTGAATGTCTGGTAGAATTCTGCTGTGAATCTTTCTGATCCTGGACTTTTTGTGTTAGTAATTTTTTAATCACCATTTCAATCTTGCTGCTTGTTATTGGTCTGTTTGGGATATCTAATTCTTCTTGATTTAAGCTAGGAGGGTTGTATTTTTCCAGGAATTTACCCATCTCTTCTAGATTTTCTAGTTTATGTGTGTAAAGGTGTTCATAGTAGCCTTGAATGATCTTTTGTATTTTGGTGGTGTCAGTTGTAATATCTCCTGTTTCATTTCTCAGTGAAGTTATTTGGATTTTCTCTCTTCTTAGTTAATCTTGCTAATGGTGTATCAATTTTATTTATCTTTTCAAAGAATCAGCTTTTTGTTTCATTTAACTTTGGTATTTTTTGTTTGTTTGTTTCAGTTTCATTTAATTCTGCTCTGATCTCGGTTATTTCCTTTCTTATGCTGGCTTTGGGTTTGGTTTGTTCTTATTTCTCTAGTCCCTTGAGGTGTGACCTTAGATTGTCTGTTTGTGCTCTTTCAGACTTCTTGATATAGGCATTCAGAGCTATGAACTTTCCTCTTAGCACTGCCTTAGCTGTATCCCAGAGGTTTTGATAAGTTGTATCATAATTGTCATTCAGTTTGAATAATTTTTAAATTTCCATCTTGATCGTTTTTGACCCAAGATCATTCAGGAGCAGGTTATTTAATTTCCATGCATTTGTGTGGTTTCGAAGGTCCCTTATGGAGTTGATTTCCAGTTTTATTGCACTGTAGTCTAAAAGAATGCTTGATATAATTTCAATTTTCTTAAATTTATTGAGGCTCATTTTATGGCCTATCATATGGTCTATCTTGGAGAAAGTTCCATGTGCTGTTGAATAGAATGTGTGTGTATTCTGTTGTTGTTGGATGAAATGTTCTGTATATATCTGTTAAGTCCATTTGTTCCAAGGTATAGTTTAAATCCATTGTTTGTTGACTTTCTGTCTTGATGAACTGCTGTCTTGATGACCTGTCTAGTGCTGTACTGAAGTCCCCCACTATTATTGTGTTGCTTTCTATCTCATTTCTTACATCTGTTAGTAATTGTTTTATAAATTTGGGAGCACTAGTATTAGGTGCATATATGTTTAGGATTGTGATATTTTCCTGTTGGACAAGGCCTTTTAGCATTATATAATGTCTCTCTTTGTCTCTTTTAACTGCTGTTGCTTTAAAGTTTGTTTTGTCTGATACAAGAATAGCTACCCCTGCTCACTTTTGGTGTCCATGTGCATGAAATGCCTTTTTCTACTCCTTTACTTTAAGTTTATGTAAGTCCTTAAGTGTTAGGTGAGTCTCCTGAAGGCATCAGATGGTTGGTGATTAATTATCCATTCTGCAATTCTGGATCTTTCAAGTGGAGCATTTAGGCCATTTACATTCAATGTTAGTATTGAAATGTGAGGTATTGTTACATTCATTGTGCTCTTTGTTGCCTGTGTACTTTGTTTTTTTGTTTGTTTGTTTTTTGCTTTTGCTTTTTAGCTTATATTCTTGTTTTACAGGTCCTGGGTGACTTATGCTTTAAAGAGGAAACACAAGAAAATGTGTTTCCAGGATTCCTTTCAAGGTTTAGAGCTCCTTTTAGCAGTTCTTGCAGTGGTGGCTTGGTAATGGCGAATTCTCTCAGCATTTGTTTATCTGAAAACAACTATATTTCCTTCTTATATGATGCTTAGTTTTGCTGGATACAAAATTTTTGGCTGACATTTGTTTTGTTTGAGGAGGCTGAAGATAGGGCCCCCAATCCCTTCTAGCTTGTAGGGTTTCTGCTGAGATATCTGCTGTTAATCTGATAGGTTTTCCTTTATAGGTTACCTGATGCTTCTGTCTCACAGCTCTTAAGATTCTTTCCTTTGTCTTAACTTTGGATAACCTGATGACAATGTGCCTAGGTGAAGATCTTTTCACAATGAATTTCCCAGGTGTTCTTTATGCTTCTTATATTTGGATGACTAGGTCTCTAGCTAGGCCAGGGCAGTTTTCCTCGATTATTCCCCCAAATATGTTTTCCAAGCTTTTCGAATTCTCTTCTTCCTCAGGAAAACCAATTATTCTTAGGTTTGGTCATTTAACATAATCCCAGACTTCTTGGAGGCTTTGTTCATATTTTCTTATTCTTTTTTCTTTGTCTTTGTTGGGTTGGGTTAATTCAAAGACCTTGTCTTCGAACTCCAAATTTCTTTCTTCTACTTGTTCAATTCTATTGCTTGTACTTTCCAGAGCATTTCATATTTCTAAAAGTGTCCATAGTTTCCTGAATATTTTATTGTTTTTTCTTTAAGCTATTTATTTCCTTGAATATTCCTCTCTTCACTTATTGTGTCATTGTTTGGATTTCCTTGCATTGGGCTTTGCCTTTCTCTGGTCCCTCCCTGATTAGCTTAATTACTAACCTCCTGAATTCTTTTTCAAGTAAATCAGGGATTTCTTCTTGGTTTGGATCCATTGCTGGTGAACTAGTTTGATTTTTGGGGGGTGTTGAAGGCCTTGTTTTGTCATATTACCAGGATTAGTATTCTGGTTCCTTCTTATTTGGGGCGGCTCTATCAGAGGGAAGGTCTAAGGCTGAAGGCTGTTGTTCAGATTCTTTTTCCCATGGGGTGTTCCCTTGATGTAGTACTCTCCCTCTTTTCCTATGGATGTGGCTTGCTGTGAGCCAAACTGCAGTGACTGTTGTCTCTCTTCTGGGTCTAGCCACCCAGCAAGTCTACCCAGCTCCACGCTGGTACTGGGGATTGTCTGCACAGAGTCCTGTGATGTGAACCATCTATGGGTCTCTCAGCTGTGGAGAACAGGTGTCCACCAGTGCCTGTTCTGGTGGACGTGGTGAAGGGTGAAATCTCAAATACTATTTTAATGTAACAAAGACACAGTAGTTTATTTGGCTAATGATTATAAATAAAATGTAGCATTTGTCAGCTTTCCTCTTATAGTGAGTCTGCCTGACTTAGGAAAGTTTACACTTTAAGTTGGCCGAGATTCTTTCCCTAGGATATCGTAAATCTTTCCCTATCTCTGACCTATAGCCATGCTAAAAGAACACCCAAAAGAATGTTAGATTTTCTAAAGATTTGTTCCTTTATTCGACATAGATCTGTTAAGCACCTGTTATATTTGAGGTACTTTTGGATTTCAGAAATATATGACTCAGTCTCTCTCCTTAAGAAGGACCCAAGCCTGTGGCAGAGACATTCAGCCAAGAAAAGAACTCAACTAAATGGTCTATTTGTAAAAACAAAAAAACATTTTGTGGGGCCTCAGATTTTTCACATCATATTTCACACTCTCATTCTGAGATGTAAATGAAAAGATTTTTAAAAATGACTGTGACCCTTTGGCAAGATGACAAGAACCACACCACACCCAAACCTGTTTGTTCTGCTGTCTTCGTCCACCCACTGGCAGATGTGGCTGCAGGGGGCTGTGTGGGTGACAGAATGCAGCGATGGAACTTTAGAATTGGCTCCTGTGAGTGGAATCGGGGGAAGGGTCATCAAAAGGCAGGAAGGAGCCAGTGCGTTTGAGACTGAGGCTAAGTAAGCATTTTTGACTGATTTGCTGTTACAGATTCCCTAAAGCCTCATCAGATTGTGATTTTGCAACTCTCTTGAGCACAGTCCTAGTTTTCACAACGCCCTCTCATTTTCACTGACCAGACCCAGTCTTTGGATGAGATCTCTCTCTCCCAATCTGGAACTCAGACTCTGTTACTATTTCTTCCATTCCCCAACATCTGAGGTGCTTCTCACTCAATCCCAAATTTTCCTTTGACCCCAACTTACTTACTCACAGGAGTAGGAGGACAAAGAGAAAGGGAAATAATTTGATGAGAAGCAGGGATTGACTACTTCCAATTATTTTTCACTGTAACCCATACTATCAACAGCAGATGACATCGATTTGATCTTCCCAGTACTATTTGTTCTTAGCCATATTCAGAATGTAAAATTTAGGGCCAGGCATAGTGGCTCACACCTGTAATCCCAGCACTTCAGGAGGCCAAGGTGGGCACATCACTTGAGGTCAGGAGTTTGAGACCAACCTGGCCAACATGGCGAAACCCCATCTCTACTAAAAATACAAAAATTAGCCAGGCATGGTGGTGCATGCCTGTAGTCCCAGCTACTAGTGAGGCTGAGGCTGCTGGAGGATCACTTGAACCCCGGAGGTGGAGATTGCGGTGAGCCAAGATCTCACCACTGCACTCCAGCCTGGGTGACAGAATAAGACTCTGTCTCAAGAAAAGAAGACTGTAAAATTTAGTATCCAACTTCTATTCATCATTTAATCCGGGACTATCTTGGAGAGGATGAAATGAGGTTGAAGCCCTATTTCCAAAATGTAAAAGAGTTGTTTTGGCTATCTAAACAAAGGGCTCAGTGTTTTAATATTCCTAGTTAAAAATCACAGGATTGGCCACCTGCCTTACTTTTTTTCTGGGTTATTCATTTCTTTGTAAATTTTTCCTACTCTCTTTTCTAGGCAAACCTACACTTTTCCTGCTGAGATTCCTAAAGTTATAGAGTAAAATGTCACCAAAAGGAAGCATGTGATTCATTTCACTCTTGCTGGTAGGTACATTCAGAATACGACTTCAAGAGGTTTATTTCCCGTTTGTAATCTAAACCTTATTGGGCTGCCTGCAGTGGAAGCCTCAGCTACAGCTGCAGAAATAAAGTCTTTACAGAAGCACTTAAAGAAGACCTGGTTGTTCTGGTACTGCTTCTGAAGAAGTTCCAATCAGCAGCAGGGGAAAATTTATGAGATTCGTATGAGATTTTTGGTTTCTTAAAAGAGTACACATTCCACAGAGGATCTGAATACATTGCACGAAAATCGTACAGTCCTGTCAACCAGCACAAGCACATGTGCAGAAAACTTGAGAGGTCACTGTTTGGCAGGACCACAGTAAAATCATCTGAGACAAATGAGATAAATCCTGTTTAAAGGCTTAAAGTGAAAGAAAGAGATTCTGCAACTTCATCTGGGGAGTCCTGATAATATCTAATTGTTATCTTTAGTTCTGGGACTCATCTTTAGTAGTCATTGGTATCAGTTCTGCTTGTTTTCTTTTTTTTTTTAAGCCTATAAATTGGTTAAAGATAAAGCATTAACCAAAACCTCTGTAAGTACATGAGAATCTCTACTTTGTAGAAAAGAAATAATAATAATTTAAGAATTCAGAGTATTTTGATTGCATATACCAATATACTTGGGTAATACCAACTATTAGTTTTCTTTTTAGGACTTTTTTTTTTGAGACGGAGTTTCGCTCTTGTTGCCCAGGCTGGAGTGCAATGGCACGATCTCGGCTCACTGCAACCTCCACTTCCTGGGTTCAAGTGATTCTCCTGCCTCAGCCTCTCGAGTAGCTGGGATTACAGGCGTGTGCCACTACACTTAGCTAATTTTGTATTTTTTAATAGAGATGGGGTTTCTCCATGTTGGTCAGGCTGGTCTTGAGCTCCCAACCTCAGGTGATCCGCCCACCTCAGCCTCCCAAAGTTCTGGGATTACAGGTGTGAGCCACCATGCCCAGCCCTCTTTTTAGGACTTTTGATTATCAAGAGTTGTGTAGGCTGAGGCAAAATGGCATATATATATATATGGGTGTGTGTGTGTGTATATATATATATATGTATGTGTATATAGATATATGTGTGTATATATATATACACATACAGATATCTATATACACACACACAAAGCCATTTTCATATATAGTATATATGATATATACACATACACTTTCATATACAGTATATATGATATATATATATTCACACACATGCACAAATAAGCCATTTTCATATAGTATACAGAAAGCAATTTTTCCTCAGTATATATATGTGCATAAAATCAAATTAGGCCGGGTGTGGTGGCTCACGCCTGTAATCCTAGCACTTTGGGAGGCCAAGGCGGGCAGATCACCTGAGGTCAGGGGTTCGAGACCAGCCTGGCCAACATGGCGAAACCCCATCTCTACTAAAAATACAAAAATTAGCTGCACTCCAGCCTGGGCAACAGAGTGAGAGACTCTGTCTCAAAAAATAAATAAATAAATAAATCAAATCAAATAATGTGTTTTTAAAGTGTTTATACCCATCCTACTGCCAAGAGAAGATCCAATTACTCAAGTTGATTGAATTATGTGGGATAACAGAGATGCCAACCCATCTTGACCCCGCAGTGTTAAGCCAATTCCTTTGATATTAGGCCATTGTATGCTAAGCTCTTTTTTGAATTACTGTTAGAATAAAGTAAAAAGAAAGACCAGGAAGAGCAAGCAAGACACAAGTAGGCTTGTGCAAAAAATGAGAATTGGTGACATTAATAACAATAAAAATTATACATAAATTGCTATAGCACATCGTAATTCTCTAAGTGTTTATCTAAAGATGATTTGATCTTTTTAATAATCTTTTGAGGAAGATTGAACAAGTCATTTTATAGAATAGAAAGTTAAATCAGGTGTTGTAGAGCAGTAATAGGCATTTTTTGCCAGTATAATATTTAATAAAACATTCAATTAGATGTCAATAGTTTAAAATTTGGAGATTTCACATAAAAACTCAGATATCTGACTTATCTAGAAAGTTGAAAGTTCTGGTACCACTGGATGACACTGGGCCAATATTCCCCTGACAACACAGTAGCACTTCCTATTGTCTTATACCCACACTCCTCATTCATTAATCTTTACTAGCTTGGTCATTTTAGGCATTTGATTTTTGAACCCCTGGTGTAAAAGGATTTTCATACTGCCATGCCCTGAGTTCATGACAGAGGTAGGCCTAGAGTGCAGGTCTGTGGCTTGTATTCTTTTACCATAAAATGTTTACATTGAACTGATGTATGGCTAACACATCCTTCTTTCCTCTCCTCCAAGAGCCTTCTGCTCCCCTGAACTTCTCACAATTGCCCAAGAGCTCACGCATTCCCATGTCCCCATACGCTTGATGCTGTTCCTTGTGCTTTTCATCCAGTCTACCTGCCACTCTCCCGTCTCCCGACTAAACCTGAGTCCTAGTGCTCCACTTAAAGTTCCCCTGCTCTCTGCAGCTGTCTCAGAGCCAATCTGCAACCTCCCTCCTCTCCCTCAACCATCATTTATTCAGACTCATCATTTGTTCAATAAATGTCAAATAAGAGAATGAAGAAGGGATACAATAGTTTTAGGCTAATGCATTCGTCTGCACTGGATTGACTTTTTTCCCAAGGTCTATGTTGGGTGACACATTATGACTTCCCTGTCTGTTTAAACTATGGGTCAGATTACTTCATAATAAAGATTTTGGAGAGAATGGCATCGAGCCACATTTATCCCAGGGAATGTGGACAAAGTTTGGGCAACTTCTTTTTTGAGGTAGTTCAGCATGACACTGTGGATTCAGCATTTTAAACTCATTTATTTGTCAAAAATGTTCCTTGCTTGGAACATGAGTTTCTTTACCACTTTGGTTTGGTAAACAGGGAAAACATTAATTCAAAGTCCAGAGAAGACAATACTCTGTTTTACCCCAGCAGGAGACAAATCAGTGGCTGGCAGGGGAAATTATATATAGAAAAATGACACAGAAAAGATATGGACTGGCCCGAGTTATTGATTCATCCCACAAACATTTTTTGATATTTACTGTGTTCCAGACACTGAGCTAGGCCCTGGAGGTAAGCAGATATGTAAATACATAGGTGCAATGGATATTATGGGCATCTGTACATTATATGAGGGATACAGAGGAGACAGCAATTAATTCTGCCCAATGAAATCAACAAAAGATACCTAAGTAATTTGACCAGTTAGCTGAGTCCTAAGGGACATAAGCATATTTTGTACTCACTTTGAAGATGACATTAAACACTTTAGCATTAAAAATAAATTTGGAAAATGGATCTCTCCTTCCTAAGGGTATAGATCATATGAAAAACACTTGAGAATATATTATGTGCATTTAAAAAAAGCACCTAGAAGATGCAAAATAAAGGAGTAGGAATATACAGTCTCCAGATTCTACCTGAATTCAATCTTGGTTCAATTATTTGCTAGCAGTGTGATCTTGGAAAAGTTACTTAACTTCTTTGTGCCTCAGTTTTCTTCTCTGTTAAAATAGATAATGAAACTACCGATGTGGTTAGTTATAGATGAGATAATATATATAAAATGTTTAGCACACTATCTGGTACATAGTAATAAAAAAATTAGTGATTAGCATTACTATAACATAATCTAGTATAAGCCCGTACACTGTTTTTCTTTGAAACAGCCAGCATCAAAATAAGATCATATAATTCAAAGCACTTATTAATAAAAACTTAATTAAAACAAAAGAAGAAATCTCAAACCTAATATGCCTTGCATCATTTATGTGTCAGCTTTGCATTTTATTCTCACTCATCTTAGATAATGAAATGAGACCAGGTCCCATAATTGCCCTTCTGTAACTAACTGTTCAGTTTCTTGAATTTTTCAGTGAGGTTCGTCTTCCCATTGTAATGAATTACTGTAATGCTACTGTGCTGTGGCTTCCAGTACTGCATATTACCAGTGAGAACCATTCTCAGCAATAAATTAACTTTCAAACCTTGATGAACATTGTGAATCCTACATTTTCTTAAATTGTGAATCTTAAATAAGCACACACATACATATGTACATATATGCATCCCTTTTAGTAGTATGTGTTATACTCTCCATTTGAATTGATTATTTTTATTGATACATATATTTATTTGACTAAGAACATTTTAGGAATATTGAAAATAATATCAACATTCTTCTGGAAAAGTCTCAAAAATCTTTTATTTCCTATTAATTCTTTGGTTATTCCTATAAAATTCAGATGAAACTGATTATTCAGTCTCTTCTAGATAGGGTAAAATAAACTTTCTGAAAATCTCTCACAAGTGGGGACTCGACAGTCTCTTGATAACATACCGTCCTTTAATTCTGTGCTTACCTACCAAAAATAATCTTAGGCTTTTCTATGTAATAAAAAGATATACAAATATATTAAAAATTATTTTTAATAAATCATAAATATATTCATTTTAATAAATAATAATACTTTATCATTTTCTAATACCCACTTACACTGGAATAGTAAAAATTACCAAGTAGACACTATTTTCTTTTCTAAAGATACTTTTCATTTTACTAAATTGGGATCATTGACTATATTTCCATCTGGAAGGAAAGGACCTTGCCTTATATTGCTATTTCTGTGTCACCCCTTGGATTAGCACACGGCTGAGGCAGCTATGTTTTGAGAATTGAGTATGAGGCTGGGTATGGTGGCTCATGCCTATAATCCCAGCACTTTGGGAGACCAAGGTGGGTGGATCACTTGAGGTCAGGTGTTAAGAGACCAGCCTGGCCAATATGGTGAAACCCCATCTCTACTAAAAGTGCAAAAATTAGCTGGATGTGATGGTGTGTGCCAGTAATCCCAGCTACTCGGGAGGCTGAGGCAGGAGAATCGCTTGAAGCTGGGAGGCGGAGGTTGCAGTGAGCCGAGAGATTATGCCACTACACTCCAGCCTGGGCAACAGAGTGAGACTCTGTTTCAAAAAAAAAAAAAAAGAATTAAGTGTGAGCTCCTTGAAATTCCTCCCTGGCTGTATTCCTCTGTTGTGTTCTGGGCTTTCTGCCAGGTTCTTGGGCAGTATCTCACTTCCATTCTTCCCATTTCCAAGTCTTCTTTTGCAGACTGACAAATTGTTTGTAATTTATTATAGAGAAATGTAGCTCTCTCGCCATCCAGTGCTGCTTACCAGACCACACCCAGAAGGACCTAGACTTTCTCAACTTGAGTGTCTCCTCTAGATTTATCTAGTTGTTTTCCTCAACAAAAGAACTATTCATAAGTGATATATGTGTTGCTCCTCCCAAGAAGGCAAAAATAGTCATCTTTTTTCATTTTTACAAAACAGCATAGCAGAATTTTTTTTCCCTCTCGGCTATGTAGATTTTTTTTTCAACAAATATGTTTAGAGTGTGTTGTCCGTGTAAAGCTTTTTACAGAACAAGTCATTCTTTCCTTCTAGTAACTCCCATCGCAAGAAGTGAACCCCAAGAAGGTGAAGCAGATAGCTACATAAATAAATTCTAGTGTTTTTCAGGAAAGAAAGAACTTCGGATGTGCTTGTGGAAACTCTGACAATTATGTTTGAGATATCATGGAGAATGGGGCAGAGGCAAGAATAGAGAGGAGTTGGCCAGGCGCGGTGGCTCACGCCTGTAATCCCAGCACTTTGGGAGGCTGAGGCGGGCGGATCACAAGGTCAGGAGATAGAGATCATCCTGGCTAACACGGTGAAACCCCGTCGCTACTAAAAATACAAAAAATTAGCCGGGTGTGGTGGCGGGCGCCTGTAGTCCCAGCTACTCGGGAGGCTGAGGCAGGAGAATGGCGTGAACCCGGGAGGCGGAGCTTGCAGTGAGCCAAGATCACACCACTGCACTCCAGCCTGGGCGACAGAGCGAGACTCCATCTCAAAAACAAAAACAAAAAACAAAACAAAAAATAGAGAGGAGTTGATGTTAACTCGATTTTACCAGAAAGGAAAGATTCTGAGAACTGCAGAACTTCAGAACAAACCAATGAGTTTGATATCAGTCTCTAGCAAACTGTAGACAATCATTAAAATAAAAGTGAGCCTGTTGAAAAATGGCACTGACTACTAAGAATCAGCATGGGGTCGCTAAGAAGAAAGCAGCCACAAGCAAACTAATTTATGTTTTCTCTTCAAAAGAGAATATAACTGGATTTTTGCAAGTATTTTAATCAAAATACTCATATGTTCCTAGAAGATAAGTTAGAGATACTTTAGAATATGGTTAGGAAGTTTCCAAAATGGCAGAATTATCTCTTTAAAAGTGATTAAGAATGAACTTTGGAGTCAGACAGCCTTAGGGGTTCAAATTGAAGCCCTGGACCTTATCAACCATGAAAATTTTTGAAAGTTGCATAAGCTTCCTGAACCATAATTCCCTAAACTGTAATAAGGATTAAAATTATCTATGTCATAAGGACACTGTGTTTCTTGTGACATAATTTACATAAAGTGCTCTTTACTCCTTATTAAATAAGTGCTCAATAAAAATGATAGGAGTTGTTTTATTCTCATTATCTAGGGTTGATTGATTGTTGCCAATCTGAAGAGAGGTCTCTGAGACATGCACTAGCACTTTTTTTGCCAGTGATTTGAAGGAAAGCATGGAAGGCATAATAATGATATTGTCAGGCTCCTTGCCAGGCTGTGTGCTTTTTCAGGAAAGGGACCTGTCATCTTGCCCTTGGTATGATCATTGACTGACCCATAGTAGCCGCTCAGATGTCTTTTAAAGAATGACACAAAATGAAATGTGGTAACCAAGACATTGGATAGCAAAATCAGGAATCCAAATATCCCAAATAATTAGAACAATGAGCCAGTACCAGAGATAAGCTCTAGAATGGATGGAAAAAGTTGTAAGAGGTTTGATTAAACAGAATTTGGTATGAAAAAGATTTAGATGTTTTTAGATGTTTTAGTTTTGTAAAAGTTCAAGCACTAAGAATAATAATGATGCCAGCCCCTCCTCAGAGTGCATTTCCTGCCTCCACAGAATTCTAAATTATTAGAAATAGAGTGCAGAACAAGGCAGGCATCAGTACCCATGTATTTTGCATAATTAGACCACATTTCAAATAGTGCATTCAGTTCTGACTGCCACATTTAGGAAAGGCATGGACAAACTGGAATCTCTCCAATATGGTGATAGGCATTAAAAGCCATATCATGTTATAATGATTAAAAGGAATGTTCAGTCTGAAGAAAGAGGAGACGTAGAGAAAAATGATAGCCATTTTTCAAATAGTTGAATAACTTTCATGTGGAATAAGGATTAAATTTATCCTCAGAAGCTTTAGAAAAAGCTCATACCAAAGAATAGAAAATTCAGGAAGGTATTGGTCAAAAATAAGGAAGATCTCATTTAAAATGAAACTAGATTGTCTTAGAGGTAGTAATGTATTATCTTCAACTTATTTAATTTTAATTTACTTGGCCAATGATTACTGCTCACATGTATGTGCATACCATGTATACATCCTATATATGAAAGAAGCCTTCAAGAGTTTGTAGGTTAGTTGATTTATATAATTTATAATTTCCATATATGTAGTTATAAATGTACCTCTAAACATGTACTGAGCAAATATTTATTGAACTCATTACATGTCAATCTTGTGCCAGATGTGATGGGCAAGTTGAAGCAAAGGCAATATTTTGTAAGAAATTTTTGCTTGGGTAAGATATTGGATGAAACTTTGATATTTGAGACCAAATCAATCTAAAAATAGCACAGTTTGCTTGATTTAAATGTCAGTAAGGAATCAAGGGGTCTGAGAAAATTAAAATCCCACCTCTAGAGTACAGTACATTGACAAAATGGGTTGAAATTACAAGTCAAATGCATGACCTTTCCATCTATTTAGCCCTATATTTTTTATACTTTGTTTTGATCATGTTATACTTGCATGACAAATAATACATATAATTTTGGCATGTTTCTAAAATCTGGTCTTGCTTCTTCAATGCCTGAATTCCATTTACATACATGACTATAAAGAGATATGTAGCCAACCAACTTTTTTTTAATACCACAATCAACAATAAAATAAATTAACTGTCTACTGCTCCTTAGGGAGCAAAAATGATTTCCTTTCCTTAATAAGTTTACAGAAAGCTTCTCCTATTATCCTTTTCTCTTTAGAAGAAGTAAAAGGATCATAACTAACACATGTATTTGGTTTGCTATTAGAAAATTTAAAAGCAAAATGTACAACATACAACATACACAGCGATATTCATTTTGATTGTTTGAGGAACTCTAATTTTATTTTCCTCTGCCTTTTGTTTTGCAAACAGTTGCTTTAGAAAAGGTGAAAATACAGTCATTCTCGATGTTTAAATAAAGCTATATTTTTAAGACAGGAACATAAAAAGAGCCCATTTTTGCTAAATGGTTAGATTTAATTAGAAGAGGGTGATTCTAAAAAGGAAACAAACAGAAAGCTGTAGAACAGCCCAGTCCTGCTCACTGCAGCCCAATCCTGATTCAGCAAATAGGTATTTGCCAGTAGCAATGAGCATTGTGTACTACAATGACGGTGCTGCTTAACTCGATACTGTTCCCACACCTCAGTTAGTCGGGCCCAGTGCGTGGGTAAATCATGAAGTCACTGGGTACTTGAGCAAAATATTGGAAGCAATGGAGGTTATGAGGGTTTAGAGACAGGTGGAACTGGCTACCTGATCACAGCCACACCCAACTTTTAAAATGTACCTGGCAACAAAATTCATGCCAATATGACACCTGTCTGCTTAGGAAATTCCTGACGAAACACAGAAGGGCAGGCTTGGGATCTTAATAGTGTTGTGACTGTGATTTCCCCAGGAGCCTCTCTGGAAAAGGCTCAATACTCTTTTCTCACTTGTTTGCCAGTTGGAATTTGAAGAGAGCTTGATAACTGTGTTCTATGTGGATCCAGCATTACAACTGATAAGGTAAGGGCAATTATATCTCTTTGTTTGATCATTAAAGTCAGAGTATAAAGAAATCCCCTACTACTCCATCTTCCCTTTCAAATGTAGATTACTAGGGCAATCTTGCCAGTGTATTTCAGGATCTTGAACTTGAGGGATAGAATTGTCTGGTGCCTGCTCTAAAAAGAGATAGCCAGCCCCTGCAATAGCTGTCGGTACAGTTTCTGGCTAATGAAATGCAGAGAAATGAGGAAGATGGTGAGCTGTGCTTGTGTGGTAACGGGTGATTTCAGAGGAAAATGTCAAAGCAGCTCATCTCCCGAGGCCCTACATGATGATGTTTTAGTAGCCACCTTTATTCAAGATTTAAATTTATGAAAAGAGAATCATAACGATATCTTAATTGCTCTGAAGATGTCTTTTCAAAAGAATTGTCACAGGAAGATTTCCTTCAGAGGAACGGAGAAACCAAAGGAGATGGCTTTATTGTGGAAGAGTTGAGGAAAGCCTTCTGTCCTAGAAGTTAACATTTACGGATCTCTCTGGCAAATAATAGTCTCCGTTTCAAGTCCATTATGTTTGATAAGGATTCAAAAAGTCTTAATCGAATCTAGCAGTCATTGCTGCTTGTTTCTTTCCTAATCTCCCTGATTTTGAATTATAAGATCTTTGTCTCTTAAAATAAAACATCATTTGTTAAAGCCTTTTCAAAATTAAGACCAAAACCGTCACAACTAATTGTTTCTTGGCATCAAATAAACAAATTTTTAAAGTTTGATGAATTGTTTGTAAGCTCTAATCAAGTGCGTGGTGTCATAAAAGAGGGGAGGGAACCCACTGAAACAATATATGTAATTTGTTTGCATTAGTATTTGAGATAATTACAAAGCAAGTGTTCAAAAGCTGTTCTGTATACTCCAGAAGGGGGAAAGATAGGAGAGGAAAAGCATAAGAACACCCAGCCATTGTCAGCTGCTCTCTAAAATATTGCCGGATTCACAATTGTCGAACATTAGCACTACTAAGAATGCTGGGGACAGAGTGTCATGTTGAATGTAGAGTGATGACTTCATAGGAAGGCAAAGCTGAAGATATGACCAGTTTGCAGTCACAGAAAAATCAGCTTTAATTAATTTGAGTGCCAGCTCTGTGTATAATTACACAGCATGAGAGTTTGCATGCAAATGCAGAAATGCTGATTGTTCAAATACTTGCACTTGCTCATTAATACGTTGGGACTAAGCAGGGCTGGCAAGCAGACAGGGTACGGCACACACGGTGCCTGCAGGCTAATTTGTATTATACTGTAGTTAGCAAACAGATTTCAGATGTTTCTCCTTTCTTTAAATAATAAGCACAAAAATATGTATGTCATTTTCATCGGTGGCATACCTTGTTTTCTTTTTGATTAAAATAAAATGTTTTTGGTTTCTGAAAAAGTGTTGAGGGTACATTAAACATTACTAGAACACTGATTTATAACCATTGATGCCAGGTCTGGGATATTTCTATTTGACATTTCATGTAATTGTCCAAACTGATCATATTTCATAATTAGTGAAACTATATTCAAACAATATAAGTTTATGATTAAATCCCATGGAGGAACAAAGGGAGAGACACAGTTGTATTGCCTACTTTTCTGTCGAATCTAGTATCTTGTAGTCAGCATTGGCTGGGTCCAGAAGCTTCAGTAGAACTGATTTCTTTGTGAAAGTACCTAATCCTAAAATGTCCTGCGGTGAGATTTTCCATTCTGACCACTGAATCTTTTCAGAGATCAGCTTCAACCAAATTCCCAACTATCTGGACAACACCCTAGGGGAAAGAGTCTGCCTAAATCACTACACCAGGAACATCTGATAATTTATTAAGGAATTTGCCCAAGTTCCCCAAATCTGGTACTACTATCAATGCTGTCTGTTTTCTTGCCAACATTTCAATGCTTTTCAGTTCTACAAATATTTATGGAGCACCCATTTCTGTTAGACACTGCAAAGCAGAGGATGTACTATAGTAAGCCAGATAGATACAGTCTCTGCATTGGCTATCTCTTTTCTCCCAGGAATTGTCTCAGGAAGGAACCTACGTCAGTTCCCTGGGACATAGATGTTTTTAGCAGTCATTACCTTGGGGGAAAGCCCACATTACAGAAACTTGAATCTATGGCCTTCCATAAATACAGTTTTCATGGTCCTTCTGGGACTCTCTGATATTCTTTCAACCCTATTCTTGTGTAAGATGAAGGAAGCTACCTCTGTCTTGAGGGTTGAATGGAAATTTAATGGATATGTGAAAGAGTCTATTAGGCAAGCCCAAAAGTTTTATAAGAATATATTGAAGAGGAAGGCTGTCATACCTTTCCCTGAAAGCCTATATCTGTAAGAATAGTCATTTCTCAAGGAAAAAGGGTGAACACAACATGTAGGTGGATATGGGGCACTTTACACCATTGGGTCTGACCACAAGTAGGCAGGCATCTACCTACGTGTTTTCAATATGACCAGCTGAGAAACACCAGCTAGACAGCATCACCCCTTCTTTCTAAAAACTCTGCCAATGTACATGTACAAAGATGGAAGGTGACAATAAAAACACTCATACATACCACCTAAGCTTCCACTTCACTTTCAGAGTAGTCATAACCTTCTCATGCTACATATCACAAGTATGCAAGAAGGAAGAAGAAAATCCAGGATGGTGAAAGAACTCCAGGGTATCTTCATGATGTACAACACAGTAATTTCGGAACAGTGGTTTTCAGAGAACAACTATGAATTGCAAGTACCCTGAGCTCAAACAACTTTTCCTTATGGCTCTGTCATGGTCAGACACACATGATTAGGAAACAAAACAAAAACAAAAACAAAAACAAATTTCCAAAATATGTATGAATTAAGAAAACACCATCTTGCTGGGACCAAAATATTAAAAAATATTTGTTATATGGATTACTGGTATCTTTACCAAGGAGAGTTAAAAAACATCTTAAGGGCTTTTGCCTATAAGAAATGAATTCTAATGGGGTTATGGTAATATATGAAAGGAACCATATTCACAGATGATGCAAGTAATTTCATGAAGCTACTAAGGGATAGGAGAGAAAGATAATACATTTGTAAAGAAGAAAGTAGAGAATTTATTCTGCAACTAGAAAGTTTTCAGGAAACCTGAGAACACTCTAGCTACAGAGATGAAGAAAGCATGTAACCCAGTGTAGAAGCACAACACACTGGGGTAGTTCAGGATGGTCAATCGCGCTGATTAATACAGCGTGAGAACCATAGAAGGAATGAAAGCAGCTAGTGAGTCAGCAATGATTAGGTCAACAAAAACTGTTTCCTCAGATTTGTGGGCTGAAATATGTATTCCACAGAAGACATATTTCAAGGGCATGAGAAGAATGAAGGGGAGAATAATTGAAGATAGCAAATGTGAGGAATCTGTACCCAGAAAGTGAAGCGGGAGAAGTAAGCAAGAAAAGTTTTAGGCAAGTGGAGATTTGAGCATGTTTGCAGAAGGGAAGAAATTAGTGGAGCAGGGGCAATTGGAGTTGTTAGGGGAAATGTGTGATTAATGGAACAGGAGTTGGGGAGAATCCAGGTAGTTATGCTAGCTAGAGAGTTTTTGTTTTCTGTTGTTGTTGTTGTTGTTGTCTTATTCCAAGAGAGAAGGACAGGAAAAGAGGATGGTGTCAGGAAATCTGAGGTGGAGGCGAGGAAAGTTATGAGAGTATGTGCCAGATGCCTTTGGTCCAGTGTGGACATTGGTGAGATCATCTCCTGGGAGAGTAAGTATAGGAAAGGGTGGAAATGACACAGAGATAAAAACAACTTTATTCTCGTACCGAAGAAAAGGAAGAGCAAAATAATGTAAAACAATTTACAATGAAAATGGGTAAAAAAATGTAAGGAGAATGAAGAAATGGAAACTGGTTATTATAAAGTTTCACTTAAACATTAACTTGTGCCAAGGTTAAATGAGTAATGAGTCTGGACTTAGGATTACCTAACAGTCTCTAAGTTTACATTTTCCAATATCAGCCCACCAAAAGTAATGGGTTCTTTTGTTTGTTTGTTTTATTTTTAGTTTAGTGCTCTTGTATTCTACACTAAGGAAGGAAGTGTGGGGCAGATATCTGCATATGAAGTAAAGGAGGCCAATAAGCCACAAAAGAGCTTAGTCTTTAAGGAAAAACCCATCATCTCTCTGGAGCTACCCCTTCCCCCTGCTCATCTTTGGCCTTGCTGGTAACAGTAAATGTATTTATTTAACTACATGACACAAGCCTGTATGGGGATGCTTAGGCCTCCCTTCATCATCATACTTCCCCTCTTACACAACCCAGATTTCTGTTGGCTCATACCACCTGGGTGAAACACCAAATTCAGGGCAGCCATCTCCTAAAAACCAGTTAAATCTAATACCTGTGCATTACTTGGCAAAAAGAGAAGGCCCTAAAAGTCTGACTGTCTGCTTAATGCGTCTGGAATTACCATTAGCATTTAGGATAGGTGCATTCTTAGGCTTAGCTGGCTAGTCCGGTTTTCCTGCCTCAAGACAGAGCATAGCACATCAGTCACTAAGTGGCTGCCAGTGGACACAGGGCATCCCCTGGGAGCGGCGGGCCTGGATATGGTCTAACAGGGGCGCTGAGCATTGAGATTCCTGGAGAGATTAGTGGTAGTGGTATGTGGATGTCTGGGCCTTCAAGGACCAGATAGTAATCAGTAGGAAAAGGAACAACACAAAAATGGTCCCAGAATACTTCCAGCCTGCCATTTGCTGCTGCTTCCAATTTCCTTCTTCTTTGGTCCTCTTTCTCTGCTTTCCTCTTCCCCACCTTTCCCAGATCCCAAGTCTAAGGGTCTTGTTGACCAGGTAAAACAGTTTGTAACATGTGGCAAATAGAGAATGTTGAAGATTTTTAAACAAAGGAATGAAACTCACCTTAATTCAAAACCAAAGATATCTTGAGGAGCTACTTTATGTCAGGCACTGGAGTGTATGTAGGGGATTTGAAGATAAACATATCAGGCCTTTTACTTAAGGAATTCATCATCTAATGGAAAGACAAAACTGTTAAACTCAAATACTGGATGACATAGGGGTACTGAAGAGAGGAAACGAGGATGATGGCAGAAAAAGACACTTCTGCAGAAAAAGAAAAATACTGGCAAAGCAAATGTCTGAAGCAAATGCATGTAGATATGGGAATGCACATAAACATGAACAAAACAGTGTTGTTGTTTTCTTTTAATTTTATTTATTTATTTATTTATTGAGACAGAGTCCCGCTCTGTCGCCCAGGCTGGAATGCAGTGGTGCAATCTCGGCTCACTGCAACCTCCACCTCTCGGGTTCAAGCAGTTCTCTGCCTCATCCTCCCAAGTAGCTGGGATTACAGGCATCCGCCACCATGCCCCACTAATTTTTGTATTTTTAGTATTGGCCAGGCTGGTCTTGAACTCCTGACCTTGTGATCTACCTGCCTTGGCCTCCTAAGGTGCTGGGATTATAGGCATGAGCCACCACGCCCAGCCCTGTGTATTATTTTTCTGGCAGCAATGTATAATGTTGTTTGGATGCAGAAAAGCCTACAGGTGTGCATCACCATGCCAGGCTAATTTTTGTGTTTTTAGTGGAGACGGGGTTTCACCATGTTGGCCAGACTGGTCTCGAACCCCTGACCTCAGGTGATCTGCCCATCTCTGCCTCCCAAAGTGCTGGGATTACAGGCGTGAGCCATGCGCCCGGCTGGGAGCAGCTCTTAAACGGCAAAATTCCTGTAGCCAGGTCAGCCTGTGAAAGAACAGCAGGAAGCCAGCCTATAGAAAAGAGGTGAAGGGCTGGGCGCAGTGGCTCACACCTATAATCCCAGCACTTTGGGAGGCTGCAATGGGAGGATCGCTTGAGGCCAGGAGTTTGAGACTGGCCTAGGCAACAGCAAGATTCCACCGCTATAAAAAATTTAAAAGGTTAGATAAACATGGTGGTAGTCTCAGATATTCAGGAGGCTGAAGCAGGAGGATCGCTTGAGCCCAGGAGTTCGAGATTGCAGTGAACTGTGATCATGTGAGCTATATGCACTCCAGCCTAAGAGACAGAGCAAGACCTTATCTTTAAAAACAAAAATTTTGGGGCCAGGCGCGGTGGCTCATGCCTGTAATCCCAGCACTTTGGGAGGCCAAGGCGGGCGGATCACGAGGTCAGGAGATCGAGACCATCCTGGCCAACATAGTCTCTACTAAAAATACAAAAATTAGCTGGGCGTGGTCATGCACGCCTGTAGTCCCAGCTACTTGGGAGGCTGAGGCAGGAGAATCACTTGAACCAGGGAGGTAGAGATTGCAGTGAGTGGGGATCACGTCACTGCACTCCAGCCTGGTGACAGAACAAGACTCCGTTTCAAAAAATAATAATAAAAATAAAAACAAAAAAATAAAAAAATTTTTTTAAAAAGGGATGGAAAAGAGGATATAAATGGTCAAGAAACCTTAGAGGAGAAATTGACAGGGTTTTGCATATTATTGCAGAGAGACAGGAAAGCTGTCATACTTGACTTTAAGGTTTCAAACCTTGGTGATGACATTTTTGAAAAAATAGGAAACATAGGAGGGGATGTAAATGTGAGAGGGAAGATATCGAATCCAATTTGGACGTAATGAGTGTTTTAGGTGCCAGAGCTTGTCTTTCCAGAGAAGAGCAGTGTGCAGGTGGAAACCTGTATTTAGCACTGAGAAGACGCAGGGCTAACAGCAGAGCTGTGGGCATCCTCTGCAGACAAGACCCAAAGGATAGGTGAGATTGTCAACGAAAAGAGAGAACAGGTGAGAAAAGGGCTAAGGAACAAACTTTTAGATCACATACACATAGAATGCAAAGAGGAAAGAGACAGAAGTTGCAGTCACACAGTTAAAAAGAAAACTGAGAATGTCCCAAGAAAGGAAGAAAGGGTGGAGAGTTTCTGGAAGCAAGGCCTGATCAGGCATCAAGGAGGAGACACAGACAAGGAAGATGGAATATGAGAACATTAGCTGTCACAATGACTTAGTCATGGATGACTTTCAGGAGAGAAATTTCATGAAGAGATTTCTCTTCATAGGAAGAGAAGTCATAAGCTGGGTGATAAGGACTTACCAAATGGCTCTAATGTATTTTAATATTGAAACAAAAGCAAAGCATTAAGCTTTCTAGGGGTTTAGCCCTAAATTGGAGGAACAGAAGATAAGAAATAGGGACTACCTCAAAGGGTGAGGAAAGTAGTACAAATTTAACTTGGTCTGCCGCGCTATTTTACCCAACCAGAGGCCTGTTGTAATCCTGGTTTCTCTCAAGCTGTTACTTCCCATCCTCAAGTGAAGGTGGGTGGCGGTTAATGGGGAAAAACTTGATGACTAAGGTTAATTATCAGAAAGAAAAATTACAGTGTACAATTATCAGGGGGAAAAAAAGGATGACTAAGGCCATAAATCACAATCAGGCTCTTCCTACAATTCATGCTTAGGAATTAAAGGAATTTTCCCCTAAGAATGTCATCTCCACTCCACCCACTGTTCATGGCCTATTTTATCTCTTTGAATACAGTCTATCCTCATAGGAGAATGTGAAAATTTCTTGTTTTGTGTGGCCTGCCCATAGGAAAAGGCCTTGATGATAATCCTTTCACGTAAAAGTGTGTTCCTTGGCTTCTGGTGACTTTTAAAAGCTATAGAATTCTCACAAAAGCTTTGCTATCCATGTAGCAAATTCAGTGGTCAGTCTCCCTACCTTATTAGGCTTAGTTTAAAAGCCATGATAATCTGGACAATCCTAAATGAAGGTATATCTTTCCTCGGCTTTTGCTTGAATGTATGTTATTGTTGTTGTTGTTGTTGTTGTTGCATCCACATGTTGGATGCTCAGTGCTCGGTTCTACCCAAACCAATCTGATAACAAATACCACCATATTACCTGTGAGTAGAATATTATTTTTGCCCTATTCGAATACTTTTTTATTAGCCACCCACAGCTCCTCTTCAACTACATGCAGATACCCCTTTAAGAGTGCAGCTGAGGTGTGATATCTAGCTTGCTGGAAGAGAATATAATTATGTTTTTACCTAATAGGTAATCTCTGTGTTATCCAAGAGTTCTGTATGGGGAATATGAATTATCCATGTACCACATTAACAAAGCATTCAATTGCACTTAGCTTGTGTTCTTCTTTTCAAATATAAGTAGCTATTTTAAATGCCTACGCTTGTTCTCTCTTTCTTTTTAGTTGTAAGAATATCTCTGCCACTTACCTAATTTTTGCAAACTTTTTATTTTTGTGCATATATTTGTGTACATATACACAAACACATGCACACATACACACACATTCTAAAGCACTCAAGGAGGCACCTTCATAAACTTGCCTTGCACGGTTGTTGGTTTATCCGTCAAAGAAATCATTACCAAGAGAATGCCGTGCTTCACATGCTTACTAAATTTTTTAAAAATGCTTTTCATTATATTTATGCAAACATAACTTGGCTAGCTCATAATTTACCAAATTTAAGCATTTGTCAGGGTTATTTCCAATCACTCAGAAAAATGTGCCTTTGTGTATTTTGATTATTTAAAGCAATATTGTTTCCATTATGCATATCTGTTGCCAGAACAGCATGACTGTCTTGACTGAATGAGGAAGTGGGAATGCTCTTAATTTTCCTACACGCATCTGCAGAAGTACTTTTGATTGTTTAGCCAATGCACATATAATGATGTAGGCATAAATGTTTCTGCACACATTTTCCTTGGCACTTCAGAAGAGAAGGGTAATGCAAAGGGTAATTACATATACTATTGTTTGCATTAAAATTTACATATATATATATATATACACACACACATATATATATCCTAAATTGTAAGCTGAGGAAATGTTTAATATTTTGAAGCATAAAAATTAGGATGGACTCCTTCTATAGAAATCTCTGTTATGTGATCACATTTTATTTATATACTTCAGCTAAACAATTTCCTTTATTTTTTGCTTTGGGCTTGTATAAGCTTTCTACCAAACTCTAAAGTTCTTAGGGATCAAATAGTGCTACTCAAACTTGCTTACCTTGCCTTGAAACACATCAACTTACTTGCTCGTTAGATGGGTCCATTATTTTCCAAGGAGACAGGAAAGGAAAACAGACAAGGTATTAGAGACCACACTTCTGAATATGGTCTCACCATATAACTATAGAATCAAACATTTTCTTCCTAGGTTACTATAGTTCATCGAATCTAAGATGCTGTCAATGGTAAGATGTACCCTTATTTTATATTCTAAAAAGAAAAACTAAAACTCTGCCAATGAAACGATGATATACTACTGATTGAACAAGTTATCCTTATTTCAGAGAAGTCATTAGGGTGGTATAAAAGTAATTGTGGTATTTGCCATTAAAGTACTGCAAAAGCCGAAATTACTTTTGCACCAACCTAATGGGAGACAAGATCCATTTTACAATGGATAAAATAGGCTTTATGGAATAATTAGAGAGCTTTAGCTCTTGGGTATAGTATGTTAACTACATCAGCCAACTGAATGGTGCTCCTTTCCTGCAAGAGACTATCTCCTCTATTCAGTGAGACTAAAAAAATGTACCATGGATTCCAAATTGCTTCTGCTGTTTCCCATGTACAGAGTTATCAAGAAGATATTTTCTCTTTTAAAAGAGATGACTTTGGCTTGAAGGAAGCAGAATAGTAGTATAAAAAGTAAACACAAAAAACAAAACAAAAAAAACCTTAGTGTTTGGAGTTTATTTTTTTTTTAATTTAAACTTTATTCTTGTTTCTGTGAGTCCTTAGGCTATGGGTTGACCTAGCTGACACTTGATTTCCCTACTCACTGTTTCCTCAGTTCCCAGTTTTTCTGCCCATCCATCTCTCTTCTCCACACTATTAAGAGGCATTTGAAATTTTGAGGTGGGTACTAAGTATGCCTTAAAATATCATTATAAAACAATATTAAAAAATGGTCAACCAAGCTTTAAAAAAATTTTCGAAACATGTTAAAAACTATCCTATTCCAAACAAATTCTTGTAAAATGTATACATTAATAATGAAAGAAGTAAAGTCAATTGTTTGGCTATCAGAGAAGGGACTTATAGAGAAATAACTGTTTCCCCGTCCCCCTCACCAACTCAACTTGATTTAATTAGTTGATTAATCATGGCTGAACAACTAATCACCTGTGGTGTGTCTCCTTATCTGTTTTGGAAATAGGCGTTACAAGGCAAGAAACAAAGCTAGGGGGAAATATTAAATTGCAATTTAATTTATTTATCACATATTGCATATCAAGATATTTTCTAACGTGTCAGATTCTTCTGGCATTATAGGCAATATTCACTTACTCATCACTCATCCATCTGTTAAATAAACCCATATGAAGCACCTCACGAGTCTCAGGTACTCTGGACAGAAAGATGAACAGTGCTGCCTTTCTATAGCAGTGTTTCTCAAACTTTTTGAGCTAATAACCCATTTCTACTCTCAAAAATTATTGAGGATTCTAAGAACTCTTGTGAGGCATGGTGGCTCATGCCTATAATCACAGCACTTTGGGAGGCGGGCAGATCACTTGAGGCCAGGAGTTCGAGACCAGCCTGGCCAACATGGTGAAACCTCATCTGTACTAAAAATACAAAAAATCAGCTAGGTATGGTGGCACACACCTGTAGTCCCAGCTACTCGGGAGGCTGAGGCATGAAAATCACTTGAATCTGGCAAGTGGAGGTTGTAGTGAGCTGAGATCACACCACTGCACTCCAGCCTGGGTGACAGAGAGAGACTCTGCTCAAAAAATTAAAAAAAAAAAAAAAAAAGAACTTTTATTTTTTGTGAGTTACATCTCTCAGTATTTACCACGTTAGAAATTAAAATGAGAAATTTAAAAATATTTGTTAATTCAAAATTTATGAAGAAAATCAGCCTTGCACAGATACTAGATGCAAAAAAAGGAAGAATATTTTACTAGCCTTCTCAGATAAATGTGCTATTCTTCTTTGATATTGAATAAAACTTTGACAAATAGTTTATTAAAGGTTAGTTGCAAGGTGGAATCTGAAACCATATCAATGAACATTTAAAAATCTGCTGCATTAAAATACATTGGTTAATCTTACATTTTGGATAGATCTTTAACCAATATACTACATGCATGATTTTGTAACATCATGCATTGGTCATTTGGAAAGTATTGTTTCACTGAGTTATGTAGATTTCCCATATGTCAGCATATTTCATGAAACATTTTAAAAGGAATCACCACTGTTAATATCACCACCAAGCTTATCAGAAAAGTCTTTACATATTACGAAGCTGTCAAGTTCACAGTGACAGATACAAATTGTTCTTCAGGTTACAATTCTTGTCCGCATGTTTGAATTTTATCATTGGCAATAAGTACTGTTGATTGTTTTCCTTGAAGTGATTTGGCTTGCTTTCATTCATTGTTTAAAAAATATCTGCACAGCACCTAAATCTGAATAACCATCGTTTGTCTGTCAGTTGCTTTTTAAAGTAAAAATGGTATTTCATGAAGAGAGCAGCTATGTCAGGTTACAACTCAAACATTTATCTCATAAGTGCTTTTCCTCAAGACGGTCAGACTTCGGTAGTCTGTGAAAGTGCTTTTTGCATGCATCCATTTTGTCATATAGAATATTAAAGATGTATATTCAGAGATTTAGATTTCTTAAAATTAGCAATGATTGTTTTTAAAAAGACATACTTAAAATTGGTATTTTTTTGTTTGTTGTTTGTTTTGTGTTGTTTTTGTTTTTGTTTTATTGCAAGTGTGAGGTGGTTAAGAATATGACTATAGTGCTACATATGGTTTGGTGCCACAGTTTTAATTTATGCTAAGATGTTAGCAGTTTTATACACCAGTGCTTTCTATCATCATTGCAAATGTCAACAGAGTGAAAAAGGCAAATAATGTCTTAATATGATTTTGAAAATAGATTTCACTTTACAAATCCCCCTGAAAGGGTCCAGGGACCCCAGAGGATCTGCTGACTTCACTTTGGGAACCTACTCTAGAGATTCAAAGGTTAAGGGAGAAGATAGATTAATGAACATGAATTTTCAGTGGTTTGTAATAAGTACAATGATAGAGGAAAGCAAAAAAATATTTTCAGAGCACTCTAAAGGAGAATATATCTGAGTGTGATCCTGAAGGACACCCAAGTGTCCGCCAAGTAGAGAAGGAAGTCTTTGGCTAATCGAATCCTGTGCCTGGGACTATGATTTCTGTTTTCATTTTACCAATGCTTTGTAAAGTGTAAAGACATCTCAACCATATGGTTTCTATATGGCAACTGGATTAAAAAAATATATGCCCAGTCAAGTAAGGCCATTAATAGACAATTACCACTAAAGGTTGAGTTACTATGGGAATTTGGAAGGAAGGACCTGGATGGTTGCATGAGATTCCATGTTGTATTGCATAGACATTTGTATGTGGTAAGCCAGATGTCATCTTTCAAGTACTTTTGGGCTCTGAGTCCCAATAGAAATAAATTCAAATCGGTCTTCATCGATGTGACCTGACATGATGTCATTGAACTATTTTAACTAACACTGAAAAAAGGTGAAATTATTGACATGGATTGAATTCCTAACATATGACTTGGTGACCTTACAGATATGATTACATTTAATTATCAAACAATTTAATGGGTATCATAATATCCCCATATTTAAGACCGAGACACTGAGGATCAGAGACATTAAGTAATATGCCAAAGGTTACAAAAGCACACAGTGTGCAGAACTGGCTTCTAAGCCAGCTGTGTCTAACTGGGAAATCCCTGTTCTTTCTCCAACTGGGATATATATAACTAGGAACAGGCAGAGTTATATTAGGTGTAAGATAAGCCTCAGAAAACACACTGCCTATCATGCTGGAGCACCAATTTACCTGGATCGCGGATTTTTTTTTTTTTTTTTTTTTTTTTGAGACAGAGTTTAGCTCTGCTGCCCAGGCTGGAGTGCAGTGGCATGATCTCAGCTCACTGCAGCCTCCACCTCCCGGGTTCAAGTGATTCTCCTGCCTCAGCCTCCTGTGTAGCTGGACTGCAGGCATGCACCACCACGCCCAGCTAATTTTTTGTAAATAGGGACAGCATTTCACCATGTTGGCCAGGCTGGTCTCAAACTCCTGACCTCAGGTGATCCGCCCATCTTGGCCTCCCAAAGTGCTGGGATTACAGGTGTGAGCCACCATGCCCGGCTTGAGAGTGGATTCTTATAATATTTTTTAAATTAAAAAACCCCGATATATAATGAAATGGAATGAAAATCATTTGAAGATGGAGACTTCCAAGGCATTCCATCTTGAGAGGGAAGGACCTAGGATCTTCCTGGAGCATCCAAGAGTCAGAGTTCATAGTCCTCTGCATTGAGGGAACTTTTGAGATACACTCTGAGACGTGCATTTTTATGTCAGACAAACCAGTGTGTTTTGCCCAGTAACTAGACCAAATGCTGTTCAGTTAGTATGCCAAGCAGTCTAAAATTGCTCCTAATTCCTGATTGTTGTGGGTATAATACACATTTCTAAGCATGTTTCACAGATGTGACATCAGCATGTACCAGAAGAGGTAAGGTTAGAAGGGAAGAAACGATTAACTCTAATATTTACCAACAGCCACTAATGGCCAATGATAGTGATGATGATGAGAATGAGTGTGATGAAAATGATATTTTTTGAGTATCGACCATGTGCTGAGCACTCTGCATAAATTCATCATCTTAAGTAAACTGCACAGCAATCTTGTAAGTTGATCTTATTGTCCCCATTTGTGTATGTACCCAGACATAATACTATGCATTTGTGTTATCTCAACAAGTCTGTGAGCTATTATTATCCATATGCTGCTGATGAAAAATTGGTCTCAGAGTGGATAAGTAATCGCCCAAGTTTATACAGTAAGTAAATGATGGAAATATGCAAAGACCCTGAGGGGCTTGTCTCAAAAGCCCTAGATCATTCCATGCCATGCTGCCTTGATATTAGGTAGAGATACTGTATTAATCTGTTCTCACACTGCTAATAAAGACATACCGGAGACTGGGGAATTTATAAAGAAAAAAAGGTTTAATGGTCTCACAGTTCCACATGGCTGGGGAGGCCTCACAATCATGGCAGAAGGTGAAGGAGGAGAAAAAGCGTTTCTTACATGGCAGCAGGCAAGAGGGTGTGTGCAGGGGAACTGCCCTTTATAAAACCATCAGATCTCATGAGACTTATTCACTATCACGAGAACAGCATGTTATAAGCCTCCTCTGATGATTCCATTACCTCCCACCAGGTCCCTCCCATGACATGTGGGGATTATGGGAGCTACAATTCAAGATGAGATTTGGGTGGAAACACAGCCAAACCATATCAGATACCTATATAAGTTATCATTTAAATTTGGATACTTTTGAAAGTAAAAGTGGATACTATTAATAATTGTGCCAGAGCAAGAGATATAAATTAAGATTGCCTCAGAAAATAAGGAATAAATTGTTACCTCACTATTAGGCAAAGATAGAGGCTGAGTGGTATCAAACTTCTTAAAAATACATGCATCAAGGTATTTCTTTATTTTAAAATACTGACTAATCATTTCACCTCAAGCAATCTTTTATAGTATGGGGCAGGGCAGGGAGAAGGCATATATGTATGCTTAATACTCAAGAAATAATTTTTACCTAGCAATTTATAGAGTAAAAAACATGCATCATTTTTGATACATTTTTATACACAATATAATAGAAGTCAGGCACAAAACTCTAAAGGGGATAAAGAAGATTTAGAAAACCCTGATTCAGTATTAGAAATTAATGAATGTGGTACTTACTATGTGCTGAAATATTATAACTTACTGATCAAGGGGAGAGAATTTTGAGAAGTGTGCTACATACTTGAATAGCTCCTATTTCAGAAATAATCCTGTAACAATAACTTGAGACAGTTTTATATAATTGTGGCAGGTAGTCACTCCACATTGATTCAAGTACAGGTTTGGGCATGTTTTGTTTTTTTTTTTCCTTTTCTTTTGTAGTTGCTTCTACTCAATGTATCATAGGTGTAAGTCCTTAATTTCTTTCCAGTAAAAGAAGAATAGCTTATAATTTCTTTTGTTTCTTTTTCTTTGATGCAAGAGTTCTCTCCTCCCAGTTTTTAACCTGCTTTGTTCAGACATTTTTTCTGCTCTAATTTTTTCTTTTTTACTCCTCAGTAGATTTACATAAAGTTAAGTGACTTAAGCTGTTTGTGACATTATTTTTGGATTTTACTGCTTCTTGCTTTGGCTGCTCCTGATCATATCCAGATTTATTTTCTAGAGGAAGCTAATTTAGTAAATTTTTTTTTTTTTTTTGGTAAAATAAGTACTATAAGCTTTCAACCAAACAGGCCACTCAAATGTACAGAAGAAAAAGCCACATTTATTCACAAACAGATGGGTTTTTCTTTTTTCCTTTTTTTAATTCTAAAGAGACATATATATATATATTCTTGAGTAAAACAATATGTACTAGCTTTGAACAAACATTTTATGCAGACATTAGGTCTAAACAGGAGAAAAAGCACCAGCTCAAATAGTATAATTTACCACTGTGAGATTTTTCTGTTAGTGTGTATGTGCATCTTGTAAATTCTTGTGCTTAAAGTTGCCTTTCAACCTTTTAAAATCATCCTTATGAATCTTTTCAGTTGGCTGGACATAAGAAAAGGAGGCTTTTCTCATGAATGAATATGAGAGTTATTATGTTAAGCGTGGAGTAAGAGTGTGCTGAGCACTTAATGCGACATGACGTGCCTGGTACTCCCCACAAGCTTACCTTCAAAAGGATGAAACAGAGACAAATATAGCTCTGCATACATGTCAAATGGCCAAGTGCTGAGGGGGAAATATCTCTTATCCCCCTGCTTTTTTTCCATTGTCTCTTCATGAGACCAAGGTCACAGAACCTAATGAGGAACAGAAGTCAAAAGAAGTAGAGTTCTTAGGTCTCCTGTACAGTACCTGGATTATAATTAATAGCTGAGGTTTTGAGGCCAACCAGATCAAGAAAGGTAAGATGTTCTGTTCCCACAGGCATTTTTGAGCTTGGCAATGCTAAAGTTAGGGATGGTTTGCCTCTTCAAAGCCCCACAGCATCGTAATTGCTCAAGGTACTGAAATATATGATACCATTTCATATGAAAATGGGGCAAGGGCAGAGAGAAGAAAGACTCAAGTGATAGAGAAGAAAGAAAGGCATTTTACTATTATATTTTTATACTAATGACCTTCACTTGGTCTCTAACACAGTCCGTCAAATCTTAAAAGTTTATTTCTAGCCTTAAAGAAAGTAGCTTGAACAGTTCATATTTCTGGATATGGCAGGCAGTGTGGTAAAGGAAAAAGCAAAGTCCCTGCAGGCAGAGAGATGTGTGCTTGATCAGTTCTGCTATAGACTTTGCATGACCTTAAGCAGCTTCCTTAGATTACTCGAGCTCTATTTTGTTATCTGTAAAATGGTTACAATAATACTTACTCCCCGGTGTTATTCTGAGTACTAAATGAGTTCTTATACCCAAAGCATCTAGTACAGGGCCTGCACGAGTTTGTGTTCTTTCATTGAGTATTGCTGTTGTCATTAAAAATATAATTTTATTCTCAGAAATTACATTTTATTACTGCCATAACCTTATAGACCAACAACAAACTGAGTAATCTCTACCTTCTCTTCCCTGTGTGGCTGGCACTTTTGGAGAAAAATCTCTTAAAAGGAAATTAAAGCAGTGCAACCATCTGTGATTTGTCAGGGTCATATAAAAGAGCTATACACCACCACCACCATCAACAACAAAATCAGTATCTAAGAACTAGATTAATCCAGGTTTGAAACCACCAAAAGGAGCATAAAAGGGTAAAGCAAAAATCAATATATATTCTGAAAAGTATGGACAGAAGGTAAATTACAGTTTGTGTGTGTGTGTTTTGTGGTAATAAGGAAGATTAAAGTAATATTTAAAGTGGTTAAGAAATCTGGACATGGGCTCAAATGCAACTCCACTGTATTCCATTTGATCTTCAAAGAAATAAAGTGCTGTTTAGTTTTTGATCTTCAGTCTTCTCATCCAAAAATGGGAATAATAACAGACTTATTTCATAAGATTGTCATGAGGCTTATATGGGATACTGCATGTTAAACAATCACTAAAATCCTGCATTAAGGATGAAATCTTGTTATTAGCATACATGAGCCTTTTGCCTCTATTTAGCATCGGTTGGTCATGTTGTCTCCATTTTCTCTTCTGGCTGTTTCTCTAAATTATCAGGACTTCCCAAAGCAAAGGCTTGGGAATGTCTGCTTCTGGAACATTTGAATGCACTTGAGAGCTCCCTGAGAATGAAGCATTCTAGAGTGTAAAAGTCATGAACCAGTTATATATGATTCTCCGGGTAAGTCCACAGGAACCCAGCCTGGGCTTCTCTCCTTTGGAAAGAGGCACAGCATGGCTCCCAAAAGGCCAACTACAAGTCAAAGGCTATGCATCATCATGCTTTGACTTTTCACCATCAAAATTCATCTATCAGTGAGACACAGATCATATGACTAATCTTGTTTGATTTGGCAATGAAGTGAAATGTCAATAGGCTTCCTATTTTGAGTGAAATTATTAAATATACCAAAGGGAATATTACATGTGTGTTAGTCATCCCAGAATAAAGATGAGCATACATCCCTGAAAACTTCAACTCCATTAATGGGATAATGGATCACCAGAATATTTTATATTTCAAATACATACTTTGTTCACATTCTTGCTTCACTTGGAGAATTGTGTCACTGTTGCCTAAGTCTTGGGTTTCCTTTACTCCATGCCTGGATTCTCCATTGACACTAATGGGAATTTCACCTTCCAGCACAAGACAATATATGGAACTAAAATGACAATAGCAGAAGGAAAATAATACATTTTGTACATTGTGCTACAGAATATTTTCTTGACTGTTTCTGTTATAGTCATTGACTATTGCTAAGAAAGATCCATTTGGAAACCCAAAAACATATTGTCTCTAGAGGCTAGTCTTTTGAAAACATACTTTTACCCTTACATGTCATCACAAATTACATAAAATAATAATTATAGATCAATCTACATAGTTTTAATTTTGTGGTTGGTTAATTATAAAAGCACACCTCTCTGGCACTGCCATTAGTCTATAAGGTATGTGTGTCTCACTCTGTGGCAAGGCTCGAGTGCAGTGGTGCCATCTCGGCTCACTCCAACCTCCGCCTCTCGGGTTCAAGTGATTCTCCTGCCTCAGCCTCCTGAGTAGCTGGGACCACAGGCACGCGCCACCATGCCCAGCTAATTTTTGTATTTTTAGTAGAGACAGGGTTTCACCATGTTGGCCAGGATGGTCTCGATCTCTTGACCTCATGATCTGCCTGCCTCGGCCTCCCAAAGTACTGGGATTACAGGCGTGAGCCACCGCATTTTGGGAGAAAAGATTGTCCATATTTTCTTAAGGAAACATAATGCAAAATCTGCCAGTTACTGAAATTAAAAGTATGATGATCTGTTTGTAGTTCATGTTCACACATTAGCAATAACCTGTAGAGCTATGAGTTGTTAGAATGTAGCATTAAAAAAAAAAAATCCTCTGTGAAAGAAGAACAGATACAAAGCCCATTTATATGAGTGACCACATGTCAAAAATGTAGTAAAGTGGTTTGCAGACTGTCCTGTTCATTATTTTGCTGACTTGGAAACCTTAAAGTGTTTTGTATCCTTTTCATTATCTACAAAAGTATAAATTGTAATGGAATTTACATAAAAATCCTGCTGGAGAGTGGAGACTTTACTGCATAGTCAGCTTCGCCTTCTAATCCAATCTTCCCCAAAGCAGTTGGTATGACAGTTGCCAAACTCAAACAGCAGGATCTCTTTTGTAAAGAAAAGTGTGAATTTGAGCTATAAAATGAACAGAATATTTTTCTATTACTCTGGATGTTTCCTCTTGCTGAGTTTACATGAGAAGTCTAGCAGGAGGTGTTATTAAACAGCCTCAGAAATTAGCCCCAAAACAATTATCTTGGTTTAGCTATGGAAAAAGACACCAGAGGCTTAATGAAAAGAGCATTTGAATTTTTGTGATTGAATATCTGTTGGACACCTCTGTAGTTATTAACCCTTATGGACAGGATTTCAGATTTTTTATTATTTTTAATTGAATTGGTTTTGGAAAACTGCAGATTAAAAACACTTTTCTCCCCTGGGTTAGTCAGAGATCCCAGAGCAAACTGTGTAATAATGGGTTCTTTAAAAGTTTGGTTTAAACCTTGCCTCATGGCAAGGAATATACCCTTTTTCAACATAAATTAGAGTTCTCATATTACAATAGATTTATAGAACTACTACGTAAGAAAGAATATCTCTAGTCATATAGGCCACCATCCGTTCCTCACAATCATTATCTGCCAATACCCATGGCTTTCTTTGTGTTTAGTAGTAAATTTGCTATGAATTAAAGCTTCCTACAGACTCCTTAAGACAATATTCCTAAAGTTACTATATTTTTCAGTTTTTTATCTTCGTCTACACATAGCCAGAACATCAGGTTTCTCAATCCTGCTTCTTTCTCTGTGTTCCTTTACAATCCCAAGTAATTTCTCTGTCATCATAGTATTTGCTATTTTTAAATATTTGTTGGCTGTTATCATGTCAAATCTTAAGTTACTTAGCCAGTTGCTTTAATCTTTTCTCCCAAGCCCCCTTCCCAACCTCACCTCCCCAGTCACTTCATCATTTTTTTTTCTTTTCTCTTTACTCTCTCCAGTCTTCCACATATTTCTGGAATTGAGTTTATCCAAACTGAATGCACTTTTCCAGGTGCATCATATATCATCCCTTAGGTCTGGGATATGATGGTTCTTTGTATACAGCCCAATGCTAGTGGAATTTGTCTTTTTTTGTGATCACTGTCAGCATGTTGACTCAGAGCGTTTTTTGAACATCTCCTGCTGATTCCTGAGGGGGCCTTTCTGCAAGTGGGCTATCCTCTACCTGGTAGTCTATTTTTAAAATGTGATATGGGAGAAAACATGATTTTGTGGACTGTGTTAGAAAACATGTCCAGGTACCACATTCCACCCCCTGCCATTTTTAGAAACAAATCTATTTTATTGGCATTTTTATTTTTGTTTTACTATATTTTATTATGAAAATGTAATGGTAGCATATGCAGACAAATTGCTGCTGAGGTTGCCAGAGTGAAAATGGAGATTCTTCTAGTCGTATTACAGACATTTTAAAAAAAGTAGTTGAAAAGGTCAGCACTGAAATTAAAAGCATTCCTTTTTTTCTTTTCTTTTTTTTTTTTTTTTGAGACGTAATCTTGCTCTGTCACCCTGGCTAGAGTGCAGTGGCATGATCTTAGCTTACTACAACCTCTGCCTCCCAGGTTCAAGTGATTCTCCAGCCTCCCGAGTAGCTGGATTACAGGCCACTACGCCTGGCTAATTTTTGTATTTTTAGTAGTGACGGGGTTTCACCATGTTGCTCAGGCTGGTCTCAAACTCCTGAGCTCAAAGTGATCCGCCTGCCTCGGCCTCCCAAAGTGCTGAGATTAACAGGCATGAGTCACTGCGCCCGGCCAAAGCATTCTTTATTTAATGTTAACAAGTGAGGTCTGTATATTTTCTTCACCTGTTCGTTTTTTTAAACTGTTTCTTCTGACCATCAAACTAGTTCACAGGAGGTACAAAACTGAGGGTGAGAAGCAAGAGAAAAGAGATATAAAATTAAATATGAAACTACAAAATTTTAGTAACACAAATTTCAGTTATACAAATTTTTTCTATATCATCATAAGGAAGTACTACTCAATATAAAAAGGCTATTGCAGCTATTAGATGGAAGTAGGCTACACCAAAATCAACCACAAGTCACTTTAAGCAGTGTAAGAAAATATTATATAACACCTATATATCAATAAAGCAAAACTGGATAACTTGTGAGTCTGATGAATTGGGGAAAAATCCTCACTTATATATTAACATATATTTATGTTTATATATTATACTATATATGTTTTATATATTAACATAAATAAATAAATATTCATGGGTTCTAAGGGGCTATCAATTATGTAAACCTACTCCCACTAATTTAATAACAGCTTTTCAGAAAATAAACTATATAAAATTTAAACAATTTCCTTTTTTTTTTTTTTTTTAATAGAGCCGGGGTCTTGCTATGTTGCCTGGACTGGTCTCGATCTCCTAGACACAAGCGATCCTCCTGCGTCAGCCTCCCAAAGTGCTGGGATTACGGGTGTGAGCCACCGCACCCCGCCAGATTTAAACAATTTCTTTTTGCTAAATGGTAACGGCATACATTTATCTGTATAATTGCATGTCACTCTCATCTCTGAATTATAATCAAAATTTAACTCAAAACCTCTTTTAATATACTTGGAGTCACTTTTGAGGCTTTATGATGGTATCAAAGAGATAACCACACTGCTTTTAGTTCATTCACTTTCAATTATGTATCTCAGTTAATACTACTTTAGTTATATATCCAAACAACCGACCCAAATTGATCTTGAACACCAAAGAAATTTATTGGCTTTTGTAAGTTAAAAATCTGCAGGTAGGCCGGGCATAGTGGCTCACGCTTGTAATCACAGCAATTTGGGAGGCTGAGATGGAACGATCTCTTGAGCCCAGGAGTTCAGGACCAGCCTAGGCAACATGGCAAACCCCAGTTTCTACCAAAAAAATACAAAAATTGCTTCTGTGCGGTCACGCCAAGCCAGCGCCTGGGCCTGGAACCGGGCTGCAGCTCTTCAGCTTCGCCCACTGCTTCCTGACCATGGACCCCCCGCAAAGTGAACGAGCAGGCCCTTGTGAAAATGTGTAAGCAGGATCCGAGCATTCTGCACACCGAGGAAATGTGCTTCCTGAGGGAGTGGGTGGGAGCAGGCGGTAAAGTACCACCTGCTACTCAGAAAGCTAAATCTGAAGAAAATACCAAGGGGAAAAAAAAAACCTGATAGTAAGAAGGTGGAGGAAAACTTAAAGGCAGACAAACCATCAAGTGAGGAAAGTGATCTAGAAGTTGATAATGAATGGGTGATTGAACCAGACACTGATGCCCTTTAAGAAATAGGAGATGAAAATGCAGAGATAGGACCAGGCGCGGTGACTCACGCCTGTTATCGCAGCACTTTGGGAGGCCGAGGCGGGCGGATCACGAGGTCAGGAGATCGAGACCATCCTGGCTAACATGGTGAAACCCCGTCTCTACTAAAAAATATAAAAAATTAGCCGGGAGCGGTGGCAGGCGCCTGTAGTCCCAGCTGCTCGGGAGGCTGAGGCAGGAGAATGGCATGAACCCGGGAGGCGGAGCTTGCAGTGAGCGGAGATCGCGCCACTGCACTCCAGCCTGGGCGACAGAGCGAGACTCCGTCTAAAAAAAAAAGAAAATGCAGAGATAACAGAGGAGATGAGATCAGGCATATGATAAGAAAGTGGTTGCTATTGAAGCCCTAAATGATGGTGAACTGCAGAAAGCCATTGACTTATTCACAAATGCCATTAAGCTGAATTTGCGCTTGGCCGTTTTGTATGCCAAGAGGGCCAGCGTTTTCGTCAAATTACAGAAGCCAAATGCTGCCATCCAAGACTGTGACAGAGCCATGAAATAAATCCTGATTCAGCTCAGCCTTACAAATGGCGAGGGAAAGCACACAGACGCCTAGGCCACTGGGAAGATGTAGCCCATGATCTTGCCCTTGCCTGTAAATTGGATTACGATGAAGATGCTAGTACAATGCTGAAAGAAGTTCAACCTAGGGCACAGGAAATTGCAGAAGAAAGTATGAGCGAAACGTGAAGAGCGAGAGATCAAAGAATAGAAAGAGTTAAGAAGGCTCAAGAAGAGCATGAGAGAGCCCGGAGGGAGGAAGAAGCCAGACCACAGTCAGAAGCTCACTATGGCTCTTTTCCAGGTGGCTTTCCTGGGGGAAATGCCTGGTAATTTTCCCAGAGGAATATCTGGAATGGCCAGAATGCCTGGACTCAATGAAATTCTTAGTGATCTAGAGGTTCTTGCAGACATGCAGGATCCAGAAGTTATGGTGGCCTTCCAGGATGTGGCTCAGAACCCAGCAAATTTGTCAAAATACCACAGCAACCCAAAGGTTATGAATCTTATCAGTAAATTGTCAGCCAATTGGGAGTCAAGCACAGTGCCCTTCTGATAAATAAAGCCCTTGCTGAAGGAAAAGCAACCTAGATTACCTTATGGATGTCGCAATAATACAAACCAGTGTACCTCTGACCTTCTCATCAAGAGAGCTGGGGTGCTTTGAAGATAATCCCTACCCTTCTCCCCCAAATGCAGCTGAAGCATTTTACAGTGGTTTGCCATTAGGGTATTCATTCAGATAATGTTTTCCTACTAGGAATTAATCCCTACCTCTCTCCCCCAAATGCAACTGAAGCATTTTATGGTGGTTTGCCATTAGGGTACTCGTTCAGATAATGTTTTCCTACTAGGAATTACAAACTTTAAACACTTTTTAAACCTTAAAAATATTTAAAACAAATTTAAAGGGTCTGTTAATTCTTATATTTTTCTTTACTAATCATTTTGGATTTTTTTCCTTTGAATTATTGGGCAGGGAAGATACTTATGTATGGAAGATTATTGCTCTAATTTGAGTGAAATAAAAGTTTATTAGTGCGAGGCAAACTAAACTCATTTGAGGATAAACATTGTATTGGATATGTGGTTCCTGAAGCATTTTGGCTTGTCTTTTTAAATGCTTTATCCTTTTCTTTAAATATTTATTTCAATAAAACTAACTGGGACCACCAGTATTTCAGTAGGACCTGGGTAGAGACTGGAAGTACTTGGCAGGGCAGTGGCAATCTTGCTGTGTTTTATATAACATGCATCTTTGGGCAGGTTTGCCCTTAAATCTCACCCTGTGGTGAAGGGATTTTTTTTTGTAATGCTGCAGTAGAATTGGAGTACTTAGTTCTGTTCTTGTCCAGTATATCTAATAAATGTTTCATATTATTTCCACATAGGGGAAATGAGGGAGTACTTTTCTTTTTATATTTCTATGCTTAAAATTCTCTTTCCTAGTCAAAAAATGCGCAACTCCGTGTCTGCTTTCTGCTTGTTAAATTTTTCTGCCTTACTTTTCTTGGGCTAAAGACAGGCTTTTTCCACCAGCATCATCACTGTTATTATCATTAATGGCATAATTATACAAGCATATTTAATGCTGTGTTTAATTTAATATGTAATACATAGAGTAATGGTAGGGTAATACCCACAACAACTGTAGTTTCTTACTTGGCCGTGAGAATGCTTACTTATGTGTTAGACTTCCACTCTGGCAACATCTTGTCATATCAAAAGACACTGGAAAGAGGGATTCCCTTTGTTGTTTGGTCTTCTACTTAGAAAATACCTATTGGAATTAGAGTTTATCTTGTAGTATTCATATTTGTATTTTGAAAATAATAAGGTTTGAATTAAATTGATATGCACAGAGGGGAACCAATTTTTTTGATCCAATGTGAATTATAAATGAGATAATCCAGTTGTTCATTGTGGAGTTGTTGAGACTATGAAAGACCCATTGTCTTTGTATTCAGCTCTTCCTTAAATAGTGTAATCCTACCCCCACCTCCGCTTGCTTTCTTTCCCTCCCCTCCAATGATAAAGAAAATGATAAATTTTCTGTTGTGCATTCAATTCTTATTTTAAATAAGACTATGTATAGACATCGTACCTGACATTGCTATGTTTCTAACAATGTTTCAATTTAAAGTGCTAGTGCTTAAAAACATTTTCATGGGATAAGACCTTGCATACTTTGCTTATTTGAAGAATCAGTGGTAGGTGCAGTGAAGTAAATTCTATGGAGTACATTTCTAAAACAGCACATTTCTGGAATAATAAATAAGTTTATTCAGGTTCTAACCCTTTGCTGTACACAAGCAGACAGAAATGCATCTGTTCTGTAAATGAGAAAAAGCTATTATGCTGATGGAGCATGCTTTTAAAATCCTTTAAAAACACCACAGCCGGGCACGGTGGCTCACGCCTGTAATCCCAGCACTTCGGGAGGCCGAGGCAGGTGGATCACAAGGTCAGGAGTTTGAGACCAGCCTGGCCAACATAGTGAAACCCTGTCTCTACTAAAAATACAAAAAATTAGCTGGGCATGGTGGCGGGTGCCTGTAATCTCAGCTACTTGGGAGGCTGAGGCAGAAGAATTGCTTGAACCCGGGAGGTGGAGGTTGCAGTGAGCCGAGACTGTGCCACTGCACTCTAGTCTGGGCGAAAGGTGAGACCCCGTCTCAAAAAAAAAAAAAAAAAAGAACAAAAAACACTCACCACATAAACTTGCATTTGACGCCAGGCACGGTGGCTCTTACTTGTAATCCCAGCACTTTGGGAGGCCGAAGCGGGCAGATCACAAGGTCAGGAATTTGAGACCAGTCTGGCCAACATAGTGAAACCCTGTCTTTACTAAAAATACAAAAAATTAGCTGGGCGTGGTAGCAGGCGCCTGTAATCCCAGCTACTTGGGAGGGTGAGGCAGGAGAGTTATTTGAACTCGGGAGGTGAAGGTTGCAGTGAGCTGAGATCATGCCATTTCACTCCAGCCTGGGTGACACTGTGAGACTCTGTCTCAAAATAAATAAATAAATAAATAAATAAATAAACTTGCATTTGAGCTTGTGTGTTATGTTAACATATGTTCTCCTTTCTCAAAATTGCCAACGTGTACTTGGTTTAACTCAGGAACAGTTTCTTCTGGATTCCTTATCTGATTTATTTAACTGAATTATATTCTAATATTGCAAATATCACCATAAGTGGGTAATAGTAAAATTCCTCTTCTGAAAATGTGTACTGTGCTTTTAGATTTTTAAATTCCACAATGTAAAATACATTCTTAATTTTCAACCCCCTCCAAAAAACACAAAAATTAGCTGGACATGGTGCACGCCGGTAGTCCCCGCTAGTTGCGGGGCTGAGGTGGGAGAATTGCTTGAACCTGGGAGGCGGAGGTTGCAGTGAGCCGAGATGGCTCCACTGCACTCCAGCCTGGGCGACAGAGCCAGACCATGTCTAAAACAAAACAAAACAAAACAAAACAAAAACCCAAAAACCAAAACAATCCGCAGGTGGTCTTTAGGCACTGTTGATTCATGATCTCAGAAAGCATCTCAATGACCTGTTTTCTCTCTGTTTGTAGGTATTTTCTCTTCTGTACAGTGTCCACTCTCAGCAGGATTGTCCCTTGGGGAAACTGCAGCAGCTCCATCTCCTTGCCCCTCTTTTATTCCAATAGTCATGAGAACTTCTCTCTCACAACCCTTACAGAAATCCTCAGCCTGGCTCTTACCTACCTGAATTGGGTCATACATCCTTCCCTGGACTCATCCCTGCGGCCAGTCACATGGGATTAATACTGGGTTACTGAAACCCTTAGTGTGGTCAAAGAAAACTTTGTGTGATGATGGAAACGTTCTATAATCTACTATGTCCCATACAGTAACAACTAGTCATGTGTGGCTATTGATTACTCAAAATGTGCTTAAGGCAACTGAGGAACTAAAATTTAGACTTTCTTTTAAGTATGTTAAATTTAAACTAAATAGCCATGACTGTATTGGACAGCACTAGAGTTGAGAGTGCGGGTCAAACCTACTTATATTACATGGATTGAGGAGTCGTTCCCCAAAGAAAAGGTTTTGGGAGAAGGAGGTCCTATTTTACCAGAATTGGGAAATATAGATGCCAAGGGGTAAAAGTAGCACATGTTCACTATACGTACTCTAAAACTTCAACTTTTTATTAACACTTTTTTGACTGATAGTTTCATTTCACGTTATATAGCTCACATCATGTTACCTACAGTTTTTCTAATGCTTTGTTTTTCCTTAATTAGAATGCATACAGTAGGAACTTTGGACAGATAACTGTTCAGGCCTGAATAAGAATCCATCCTAAGCTATCATTAGGGATTCACTGCTTTTAATTGAATTCTCTTTTATGTACACTGTGTCTTTCAGAGGATATTTTAAATGACATATATGGAACCAAGTTTACATTAAATTTCATGTGGCATTTTTAATACAGATAACTGAATGACAAAGTAGTAATCAGTTTATAGATATTGCTGATGTCAAACATGTACAGTAACAATTGCACTACAATGTTCTCCTTTAACTGAAGTATGCAAATTTTCTCTTTGATGCTGACTTATTCATTGATTCAACCAAGTTTCCAAGACAGGCAGGGTTCTTGCCCTCATTGAGCTTCTAATTCTCAATTTTGTGAAAATATGAGACACCATCCATGTTAGACTTGAAACAAAATAGACCAAATTAATACTGGTTTATTGCAGAAAATTTAGAAATATTAAGACATAATTAGTGGAAAATAAAAATTATCTATAATCCCGTCACACAGAAACAACTACCATTAATGTTTTAGTACATATTTATTTAAAAAGTATATGTATATTAGTACTTATATTTATTTGTATAAGGATGAGAACCTGCTATAGATAATCCTTTAAAACTTAATTTTTTTTTGAGATGGAGTCTTGCTCCGTCACCAGGCTGGAGTGCAGTGGCATGATCTCAGCTCACCCTAACCTCTGACTCCCTGGTTCAAGCAATTCTCCTGCCTCAGCCTCCCAAGTAGCTGGGATTACAGGCACGCGCCACCATACCCAGCTAATTTTTGTATTTTTAGTAGAGACAGGGTTTCACCAGGTTGGCCAGGATGGTCTTGATCTCCTGACCTCATGATCCGTCCGCCTCAGCCTTCCAAAGTACTGGGATTGCAGGCATGAGCCACCACGCCTGGCTGAAAACTCAATTTTTACATAATCATATGGTCTTTAAAAACATCGTGTTTAATGGCTGCACAGTATTCCATTGTGTGAATAAAATATATATATATATATACATCTAAAAAGTAAAACTCTTAGGTAAAAAGGTTATGGACTTTTTTTAACATTTTAAAGATTTAGGAAATTACAAGTTCCATGTAGGCAAAGGTTTTTGTCTGTTTTGTTTACTGCTAAATACCAGTGTGTAGGACAATGTTTAACACCTAGAGTATATTTAATAAATATTTGTTCAATGAGCAAGTGACTATTGGTATATTTCTCATCATAATTCAAACAGCCAAGTATGAGATGACCCATTTCCCTAAATTCTCATCAACTTTGGGATTTATATTTTTTTCTTTTCAGTTTTGTAGACAGAAGATGGTATCTCATTATGGCTTTTGTTCTAACTTATTTACTTTTTCCAGAAGTACAAATTGTGTCCAATCATGCTTACTTAGGCAAAAACAAGTTCTACAGGGTGAGAAACTTGTAGCCTGATTTTGGCTGAATATCTCAAAATCTTAAAATTTTGACTAAGCAAAATCCAGCAGGATTATGTGTTTGGGAATCATATTTCGGTCCACTAAGAAATCACATGACTAGAGAAGCCACTAAGCCTACTTTACCTCATAACATATTAACATGTAAAAAGCCTTTAAATGCAGGTATTTGTGTTTTACTAAATCACCAAATAGAGAAACCTAGATAACTGTGATGACCCTGCCTAATATTTAGCTCTCTCTATTCTCTGCAGAACTTTTTTTCTTCATGCCCTAAATGTAACTCATAGTCTAATACATAAGCACAATCGAAGTTTATTATAAAAACTATAGAGAAAATGCAAATAAACCAACATTGGGAGATCCAATCAAATCTCATGTGGAACTGTAACTAGGACCTAGAACACAAACATCTCATGGGGCTGTCTCCTCTCGCCGAGCATCTGCTTTTATTCTCTTGCTCTTGCCCCCACTCAATCTCTCTGTCTCTCTTTTACTCCTCTCTCTCTGCTGTAGTGCCTGTCCATGCTGAAACATGGTTCTGCACTGGCTTTAGATCCCTTTCCTATTCAAGCACTTAACTAACTGTGCTCCAGTTCCGAATAAGAGAATTAGATCCACTTCTCTTGGGGAGGTAACTGTCCTTCTTCTCCAGCCCAATCTGCTATGACCCTAGGGAAGGATCCCCTACTTCAAATATGGGAGCAAAGATGCCCTATTGATATGGGAGTAGTTAAAGAAGAGGGGTTAGATCTGATAAACATCCCAAAAGGCATATGTCACAATGTGCCTGCACTTGTTAGATGCTAGGATACAAATATAGGAAGAATTATTATATAATATTTATTATATTATTATATAATAATTTATTAATCTAACTTGAGTATACAATTTAAATAATCTTCCAGCCATCATTTAAAAGTCTTTTATGATAATCAGCAGTTTCTAAAAATCTAGTTTTAATTCTATTGCTAAGCTTCGCTGTATTTATTTTTCAACTTAAGTGTTTTGCCATTTGTCCCTGTCAGAGATCTTTGATTCCACAAAAACAATTTTCTAAAGTTTATTTTTTGTTCTACTAAGTATGGGTTCTTATTTCTAGTTATTTTTAACTGAGCTGCTGTATCTTGCAATTTTAGTACTTTCTTGCAGTACTGTTTTTCTCAAAATTACCTGACTTTGCAAAATTAAATAAATGAAAAGAACTACCTCTTGCAATGCCACATTTCAAGCATTTTTGAGATAACCCAACTGTGCTGTCTATACTAAGCAAAATGATTCATTGAAACTAGTGATTTAATGATGTACATATTTTTTCCATCTTTTTCATTTTCTTTGCATTTCATAATTTTATATTTTCCCCCTTCAATTCCATTGCAATTCAAGTCTATTATGGAATGAATTAAATCATTTTCTATTTCTCATTTAACTGATTTCTGACAGTTAATCTTTCCAGTTGTAACTAGGGTGATTTTTGAGGAAAAAGAAAATAAATTACATTTAAGTTACACGTATGAACAATAAACTATTTAAATCAAGCCATCTCCATCATTAATATCATTCTGGCCATATACTCTGGGTCTTGCAATATATGACACATGGCTAAATTTACGGGATTGGTCATCTTGCAGTTTCATTACTTCTCCTATTCAGATATATCCTCAAATTGTGGCAATATGCATGACATGACAGCCTTCCTTAATGACTGATAGAGATAGTTTCACCATGGTTCAGACCACTGTGATGAGCATCAATCACTAAGACAGACAAAGATGTCAAAGCTGCTAAGATGCTCTTTAATCCAGTGATCCTAGGAAGGCACAACTGTCAGCACAGATCTAAGCAATTGTCTAGCTCGGTGGTCCCTAACTTCTTTCAGTTAGAAAACCTGTGTTATACCAGAAAACATCCTTGAAGAATTCCACTTTTATTAAACACATATACAATGGCCAACACCAGGCACATTGTAACAAATACCATTTTAGATGTTTTACATATTGCCTTAACCCTTTTTACCCCTTTTCTCTGAAAATTGCTCCCATTCCTATAGAGGTGGCCACTTGTCCTATATTTGAGGTTAGAAATCTTTGGAAATAAAATTTAAATTTACTAATTATAATAACACATTTATTCAAAGAAATAAGTGTAAAGCATGCTATTTATTCAGTCAACAGATAGTGCTTAGTGCAGGGCCGGGCACAGTGGCTTATGCCTGTAATCTCTAGGGAGGCCGAGGTGAGTGGATCACTTGAGGTCAGGAGTTCGCGACCAGCCTAGCCAACATGGTGAAACCCCATCTCTACTAAAATTACAAAACTTAGCCGGGTGTGGTGGTACATGCTTATAATCCCAGCTACTTAGGAGGCTGAGGCACGAGAATTGCTTGAACCTGGGAGGCAGAAGCTGCAGTGAACCGAGATTGTGCCACTGCACTCCAGCCTGGGCGGCAGAGTGAGACTCCATCTCAAAAAGAAAAAAAAAAAATAGTCCTCAGTGCTTCAAACAAGTAGAGAACCACTGATCCAGAAAATATACTTGTTATAAAATTCACTCTTACCTTAATAATTCAGATAATTGAAGAAGTTTTTTGTTGTTTCATTCTTTACTTAACATTATTGATCAACCTGATTATCTACTTTAGCTAATATACACAGACAAAACCTGTAATTTTATAGGATGCCATGTCTAAGGTATCACAATTACCCTCCCATGATTCAGATATGGTAAAATTATGAATATATTTCTCTGAGGTGCAGTAAAATAGTTTATTTATTACTTCCTCAACATCTCACTCACAGGTGGTTACATTTTGAAAGATTATTAACTAGGCTGTGTAGGCAAGCACAATAATTTGACGTCAGGAAGCCATTGTCTGAGCTAGCCTCCCTCCTGCTAGGGTCTAAGGATATTATTTACAGAAATGAACCAGTGTATTATGTTTAATACATTCTTAGAACATTTGTGCATATACTATGTTAGGTTTTCCTATTTTAAGTGTTTCTATGTTACTTGAGTTCATTAAAATTTTTTTCCCACCTACTTTTTTTCCCCTTAATTCCATTAGGCTTTTTAAATTCCTACACTGGCTTTCTAATCTATCAATTTTGTACTTACCTATACCAAATGAGAACTCTCACCTTCTTCAAAATCTGATTCAAAACTGATTTCCTTCAAGAACTTTTCAGAATAAATGCCATGACTTTGCACTTCCTCTAGAGACTCCCTAAGATTTCAAATGTTCTATCATCTTTTTTTTTTGCAGCATATATATCATGCTTATTATATATTCAGTTTGAACTGCTTTATGCTTTGCAAATTTTCTTTTTTGGTAATTGCAGTTACTTCCGTATTTCACAGATGTGTGTATGTGCTTGCTGCTCTCTACGTCTTGATAATGCTTTGCTTCAGCCTGATGCAACATGGCCTGTTTGTTTTTTTAAATTTTGCCAGACAGTGTTCAGTACCATTTATCACTGTTGACTAAGCAACTAACAAATTCTTCCCAAAGAAGAGTGGCAGTGCACTTTGCGGTTTGTTAATTCATTAATTTACCCATTAAAGATTATTGATTGATCAACTCCTGTGCTCCTGGCACTGTGCTAAGCACTTGAGATACATCAGAAAAAGAGAGAGACTCAGCTATAGGGTTGATAATCTGGACCAAGACAATCTGTTCAAGGCACTTGACCCATTATGCTATCCAAACATTGTTCCAATGCTCTCGCTATCCACAGAGACTAGAGTATCACTAGTCCCTGTCCCTTTTTCTTTTCTCTGTAACCTACTTATTGCTGTTAACACAGTCAAGGGACAGGTAGATAACTGTGAGAAATCCATATATTTTCAAAGGGAAGTGAGTAGTGATCACATATTCATTATCTTGACCTTGGAGCAGGTCAGAGTAGACACAGAAGAAAGGAATGTTACCTGCTGCCAACTATTGTTAAGAGAGTACAATGTGAGATCCACCCCTAGTGCACTAGTTGATGTATTGCTGTAAAATCTCTAGGTATTCCAGCTGTAAGAAATACATCAGCTACATATCTCAACAATAAATATATTTGAAATTATACTTGTCAGAGAAAAGCTTGAGAGAACTACATATGCTTTTTAAACTCTATTGTTCTTCCTTTATGTCTTAGAGTTTACCAATATCATTATTAATATTTACTGTTAATTGCTTATGTATATTATTTAATGCCAGCACAGCCTTACAGAGGTACTGTTTTAAATGACAAAGATAATGATTACTGAAATGGTGATTAAACATACACTATAAGCCTAGCACCTTCATAAAAATCTCAGAGCTCTTTACAAAAGCAATAAAACAACAAACTGAAATAGCAGCTGTGAAAATCATAAACTAGTTTAAGAAGATAACACTTAGGAGTTTAAGGGTTTTTTGAAGCCCATAAATAAAAAGATGCAAAGTTTCATGCTCATGAAAACTAGCTTTTAGAATTTGCCAGTGGAGGATAGTAGACTAAGTGACCTAACATTTGTCTTCAAATCACAATGGCTATGTTGAAATGGATGGAATACCATATATATGTCTTAAGACTTTTATTTGATTTTCCTAGGCAGAATTGTCAATTGACCAATTTTTTTACATTTAACTTTAAAAAAAAGAAAGACCATAACAAAACAAGCTTATGATAAGGGTTTTTATTTTGAAGAAATTTCAAATACTCTTAATCTAAATCCTCTATGCCTTCTATGTTTTACGATATCCATAATATTCACTATGATGATCTGAGATACTGTAGAATTGCATTTATCAAGCTACTTGACTATATTCACTATAATTTACTTACTTCAGCAAGACAATCAAACAAAAGTTTGCTGCAAAAGGTGATACTGGCTGATGCATGAGGTAGTATCTGAGCTCCCTTGACATTGTAAGGTCACTGCAACCAAGGGTTCATTACCACATTGTGAAGAGTCAGCTTCAATGTATAAGCTGCTGTCCAGAGAAACCTAAAGAAACTAAAGAAAGCAGACCAATCATTAATTGTATGTGTCGTATTAGTTTGCTAGGGCTACCATAACAAAATACTATAGACTGGGTGGCTTAAGCCACAGAAATCTCTCACGGTTCTGGAGGCTAGAAGTCTGAGACCAAGGTGCTGGCAAGGTTGGTTTCTTCTGAGCCCTTTCTTCTTGGCTTGCAGATGGCTGCCTTCTCACTGTTCTCACCTGGTCTTTCCTCCATGTGCAAGTACCTCAGGTGTCTCCCAGTGTGTCCTAATTCCTCTGTTTATAAGGGTACCAGTCAGGTTAGATTAGGGCCCACCCTCACGGCCTCATTTTAACTATTACCTCTTTAAAGGCACTGTTTCCAAATACAGTCACATTCTGAGGTACTGGAAGTTAAGGTATTAACATATGAATGTGGGGGACGGGGCACAATTTAGCCCATAACATATGTTGCAGTGAGTGGAAGAGCATCCTTCTACCCCCTGCTAATAGCTCTGTGCACTTGGAACTTCAGAATGTGACCTTATTTGGAATAAAGGAGCTAAATGATTTGAACACAGGGATACAAAGAAGGTAACTGCAGACACTGGGGCTGACTTGAAGGTAGAGGGTGGGAGCAGGGGGAGGATCAGGAAAAATAACTAATAGGTACAAGGCTTAATACCTGGGTGATGAAATAATTTATACAACAAACCTCCATGACACAAGCTTACCTATATAACAAAGCTGCACATGTATCCCTGAACTTAAACGTTAAAAAAGGCTGGGCGCAGTGGCTCACACCTGTAATCCCAGCACTTTGGGAGGCCGAAGTGGATGAATCACCTGAGGTCGGGAGTTCGAGACCAGACTAACCAACATGGAGAAACCCTGTCTCTACTAAAAATACAAAATTAGCCAGGCATGGTGGTGCATGCCTGTAATCCCAGCTACTCGGAAGGCTGAGGCAGGAGAATCGCTTAAACCCGGGGAGGTGGAGGTTGCAATGAGCCGAGATCACACCATTGCACTCCAGCCTGGGCAACAAGAGCAAAACTCCATCTCAAAGAAAAAAAAAAGTTAAAAAACATTTCTTTAAATAAAATTTTTAATTTTATAATGAAAGAAAAGAAAGAAAACATGGAGGGGAAGGTGATAGGAAGATGGAGGCAGAGATTGGAGTGATGCGTCTACAAGTCAAGGGAAACCAAGGATTGCTAACAGCTGTACAAACTTAGGAGAGAGACATGGAACAGATTTTCCATCGAAGCCTCCTGAAGAAACAAAACTTACAACTTGATTTTGGATTTCTTGCCTCCATGACTGTGAGAGAATAAATTTCTGTTGTTTTAAGCCACCCAGTTTGTAGTCACTTGTTAAAGTAGCCACAGGAAACGAATACAGTTATTGGTACTGGAAAATAATAAACACACCTACCACATACCAATGACCTCCATGCACAAGGCATTATTTTGGTATATGTTGTCTCTTAAGTCCTCTAATCAATGAAGAAACTGAGGCTTAAAGAGGTGTAAGTTGGCCAGGCCATGGTGGCTCACACCTGTAATCCCAGCACTTTGGGAGGCCGAAGTGGATGAATCACCTGAGGTCGGGAGTTCAAGACCAGACTAACCAACATGGAGAAACCCTGTCTCTACTAAAAATACAAAATTAGCCAGGCATGGTGGTGCATGCCTGTAATCCCAGCTACTCGGAAGGCTGAGGCAGGAGAATCGCTTAAACCCGGGGAGGTGGAGGTTGCAATGAGCCGAGATCACACCATTGCACTCCAGCCTGGGCAACAAGAGCAAAACTCCATCTCAAAGAAAAAAAAAAGTTAAAAAACATTTCTTTAAATAAAATTTTTAATTTTATAGTGAAAGAAAAGAAAGAAAACATGGAGGGGAAGGTGATAGGAAGATGGAGGCAGAGATTGGAGTGATGCGTCTACAAGTCAAGGGAAACCAAGGATTGCTAACAGCTGTACAAACTTAGGAGAGAGACATGGAACAGATTTTCCATCGAAGCCTCCTGAAGAAACAAAACTTACAACTTGATTTTGGATTTCTTGCCTCCATGACTGTGAGAGAATAAATTTCTGTTGTTTTAAGCCACCCAGTTTGTAGTCACTTGTTAAAGTAGCCACAGGAAACGAATACAGTTATTGGTACTGGAAAATAATAAACACACCTACCACATACCAATGACCTCCATGCACAAGGCATTATTTTGGTATATGTTGTCTCTTAAGTCCTCTAATCAATGAAGAAACTGAGGCTTAAAGAGGTGTAAGTTGGCCAGGCATGGTGGCTCATGCCTGTAATCCCAGCACTTTGGGAGGCTGAGGCAGGCAGATCACTTGAGGTGAGGAGCTCAAGAACAGCCTAGCCAACATGGTGAAACCCCATCTTTACTAAAAATACAAAAATTAGCCCAGCATGATGGTGGATGCCTGTAATCCCAGCTACCTGGGAGGCTGAGGCAGGAGAATTGCTTGAACCCAGGAGGTAGAGGTTTCAATGAGCCGAGATCATGCCACTGTACCCCAGCCTGGGTGACAGAGTGAGACTCCATCTCAAAAAAAAAAAGGTGTAAGTAAACTTCTCTGGTAGCCACAAATAATAAATGTCAAGCTAAGAGTCAAACTGACGGCTGGGCGCGGTGGCTTACGCCTGTAATCCCAGCACTTTGGGAGGCCGAGGTGGGCAGATCATGAGGTCAGGAGATCGAGACCATCCTGACTAACATGGTGAAACCCCGTCTTACTAAAAATACTAAAAATTAGCCAGGCATGGTGGCAGGCGCCTGTAATCCCAGCTACTAGGGAGGCTGAGGCAGGAGAATGGCATGAATCCAAGAGGCAGAGGTTGCAGTGAACCGAGATCACGCCACTGCAGTCTAGCCTGGGCCACAGAGCAAGACCCCGTCTCAAAAAAAAAAAAAAAAAAAGGAGTCAAACTGACAATCAGTTTGACTCTATGTTATGGTCATTCTATGATGCTGTACTGAACTGGCAGACAATAGTATCTTGAGGTTATAATGAATTAATGATTTTGTGCTTAAATGGTTCATTTCATTGAACTTAGACAGTGACTCTTGGAGGCAGTTATAGAGAAGCACAAGAAGTAAGTAGAAGAGGTATCTCCCCTTGATATTGTAGGGAATCCCTGCACCAGCATCATCCCGTATCTTTCTCTTCTAACCATCCTATACCTAATGGGGTTCCTCTTATTTATTTCCTGGATAATTTATTTATTGGGTTATTGGATTATTTATTTATTGGGTTATTCGATTATTCAGCAGAGCTAAACCCAGTATCATCTGTAGTTTGATGTTGGACAGGAGTGTACTCTTCCTTGACATGGACATAAGAGGCCAATTTCAGTTTTTAACCTTGATTTTCCCTTAGATCCAGATCTCTATGCCTTATAACCAAAATATGATTCCTGGCTTGCTTCTTTAATGTTTTTGACTCTGAAAATCCTGAGCAGAGCCTAAGTGTTCACTGTGGATAAGTAGATGAGGAATGAGGACAGAGATGCCACCTGGAATTTTACATGAGTATTCTTATCCCATCTATTTATAAGGTTTGCCTTTTCTCCTTTTATAGCCCTACAGAGACTCCCTCACTCTTTTTTTTGAGACTGAGTCTCACTCTGTTGTCCAGGCTGGAGTGCAGTGCCACAGTCTCAGCTCACTGCAACCTCTGTCTCCCGGGTTCACGCCATTCTCCTGCCACAGCCTCTGGAGTAGCTGGGACTACGGGTGCTCGCCACCATGCCCGGCTAATTTTTTGTATTTTTAGTAGAGGTGGGGTTTCACCATGTTAGCCAGCATGGTCTCGATCTCCTGACCTCATGATCCACCTGCCTCGGCCTCCCAAAGTGCAGGGATTACAGGCATGAGCCACCATGCCCGGCCAACTCCCTCAATCTTAACCTCTTACCAGGCTCCAACTAGTAATCTTTGTCATTGTATTAGTCCATTCTCACATGCTATAAAGAACTACCTGAGACTGGGTTATTTATGAAGAAAAGAGGTTTAATTGACTCACAGTTCTGCAGGGAGCATGGCTAGGAGGCCTCAGGAAACTTACAATCATGGCAGAAGGGTGAAGAGGAAGCAGGCGTGTCTTCACATGGTGGCAGGAGAAAGAGAGAGAGAGTTAAGGGGGAAGTGCCACACACTTTTAAACAACCAGATCTTGTGAGAACTAATTCACCATCATAAGAATAACAAGGGGAAATCTGCCCCCATGATCCAGTCACCTCCCACCAGGTCCCTCCCCCAACACTGGGGATTACAATTCAACATGAGACTCGGGTGGGGACAGAGAGCCAACCATATCTAGTCATGTTCATGGAGCTCAGTTTTCCTAACTTATAAGTCTGAACCATAAAAGAGGGAATATTCTTATGGCTTAGATTATTTTCGTGTATTTATATATTTTAAGGTCAGGGTATATGTTTATTTTCTATCACCTCAAGAGCCTACAGAATTGTCAGTATCATCTGAATGTGCAAATAAAAGTTGATTAAATAACCAACAGAATGGTAGCTCTGGAACTTCTGGAGTCATCCTGGCAAGTAGAACCTTTCAGGTCTTGCCTTTAAAATTAAAACAACGCATGTCTCTTTTTAATTTATAGTTGCTAAAAACAAAAGGTGTCCAGATTCTACAAGACAGCCAAGATACACTTACCCCATAAAATACTTTTGCTGAATTATCCAACTATCCTTTGATTCTCTGGATATAACTAGACTTGTGAACAGACTGAAACCCAAATTAGAATTCAAAATTTGATAGAGTGTGGTAGGACAGACCACAGTGGCCTCAGACCTAAATTTAAATAAATAATGAAGTTATAAAATAAACACACTCTATGTATCCTGCATTACAAAAAATGTATCAATATTGTCTGATTATGTCTTCATGGTGCCATACAATTTGGCAGGATCCGGATCCGGATGTAGGTCAAGATTGAGTCTTGTGCTAAGTGATAAGCAATACACCAACCAATGTCTCCCTTTCTTGGGGTCCTAATTCTCATGACTGGAAGAACGGCAGATTCTCTGAGTGAGACTTCATCCTTTTATAATGGTTTCTAGTGTTACACTCAGCAACTATTGAAGAAGCTCTCCAGTCTCATTCTGATTGCTCCAGTGCAGGGACAGCTCAACAACAAGGAAGGTCATTGAAGCAGCAGAGGGAAAAATGAAACGTTTCCACAAATTTCTAGAGGTAGCCCAACCAGTTTAGGAAACTAATACTAAGACTGGGACATAGTGACAGCAAACATTACTGTCATGATATCATAGTGTTTATTGTCAGGACCTTACAGAAAAAGCAGACAGCCTGGGCACAAAGGGGCTGACATGGCAGTTCAGGTGAGATGAAGAAGAGACCCCTCTACATGCAGTGGGGTATCCTTTTTTCTGTTATGCATTGGCCAGTTTGGCCTCTCCCTATTCCATACAGTGAAACTGAAATGTGGTGTGATCTTCCTACCCCCGTTTTCCAGATGCAGTCTGGCATTCTAGCACCTGTGTTGCTGACCTCATTTTCCTCATGCTTTCTTGGCCTCACCTCAGCCTCTGAACTGTGATCTTTACCTGAGGCCCTTGGCCTGGTGACCTAAGTGATCATTTCTCTGGATTCTACCTTCACAACAATTAACCTGGTTATAAGGTTCCAGCCAGCAGGACTTGAGCTACTTCTGCTGTCATTCATCCCACTGGGTGCTTCTCTATGCCTGCTACCCCAGGGACCAGTGGCCTAGTGCCCTCCTGATAATGCTGGGTGCTTTTGCTTTTAGAAAGAACTTCACAAAAACCTTTTGTGCTGGTAACTGTAGACAAGGCACTCTATTCAGTATGAACCAAACAGTAAAGCAAGCCTGGCAGGCAGAAAACAAAACAAAACAAAACCACAACTTTAGACAAGAGTTGAATTAATTAAGTCAGTTATCCTAGGACAACTTTAGTTGCTAAGATGCAGTCTCTGGAGTCAAACTGCAGGGTTCTGCCTCGGCTCCATAACTTGCTCTGTGACCTTATGCAAATTATTTAACTGATGCCTCAGTTTCCTCATCTGTGAAAAGAGAATAGATATGTTGGAATGCTAAAAATGAGATTATACATGTATGCATCTACAACAGTACCAGCATATAGTAATTGCCCAATAAATTATTCATGGTTTGACAGAACCCTTGGGCCCATTTCCTCTACCTTAGAAACAACACCATCAGCTTACTCGAGAAAATGCCCTGGCCTGGAGCAGGCAGAGAGAGCCAAGGTGAGCTCTTATTAACTGTTTATGTTAAGACATTATATAAGCTACTCTATTTTCTACCCCAGCCTTATCCTATGGTAGGCAAAGAAAACTAGCCTAACCTGGTAACAATGACTTAAATATTAAATAATTAAAATAAAGCAGATAAATTGAGCAAGAGATACCTGCCTCAGCAGAGGCCTTACGAAAATCAAAGTTAGACTCAGTCTACCCAGCATGCTAAGCAAATCTCCACAATGCTACAGTGTTTCTGAACAGGGGCATTCTTAGCTTTATTGATAAGATAACACCCTTTCTTTATCCAGGCTGTTCCAGGCATTAGGGGTGCCTTAGCATGCCTAGGTCCTTCCCACTAAATGCCAATAGCATTCTTCAGTTATTCTGATAATACCAGATGCCTGACACAACACATACATGCACAAACACATAAATATACAAATGTACATGCATTTCTGAAGTCCCTTTAGAGAAGTGATACCAATCCAGATTGGAAACCACCACTGTGGCAATATAATCACATGGATTGTTCAGGAAATAGGCCTTCTGGAAGAAAATAAATATTATGATGTCAAAGGAAGATGAGGGTTGGCTGAACTCACTTGTTAGCCCACATCTGGGAAAGTAATATCTAACAAATTAATACTAGGGTGAAGTCACTTTTAAGAAAAGATGGCAGATTGTGCATGCGTTTTCATTCCAAATTATTTTACAAAATGCTGGTTATTCTGTTTTTATTCATTAAACAAGGGTTTATTAAATGCCTACCGAGTACATACCACTACTATATGCATATCCACTTTAAAAGGTTTATTTGAACCAGGACAGAGCACAGTAAGTTTCTGGCATCCTTGAATATAATTTCTAGTTTATTTAGTAGCCATGTCTGAAATGACATCTTATGTTTGAGTTCCAAGTAATGACCATTAACAAATATAGCTTAAAACCATTTTTTTACTTTTTGTTATTTTTGTGAAGCTAAGTTTAACTTGGCAACATTTTTGTGAAAGCTTCAATGCTTTTTGGCCTGAACAATTGCACTAAATAATCCTAACAAGGTTGAGGCAAGAACGTGGTTATTCAGACACAGAAATAAAATCCAGACATACACGGGTACATGTCTCAAAGGTTTTGAGCTCCCATAGTGCTTACTGTTTGTGCTATATAGACTTGCCACTCAGAGCTCCAGCCAACATTTAGTATATGCAAGTTAAACCATTTGGTGGGCTTTCTCCTCTACATTATCTCCACAAATGGAATATCCACAGCCTTGGCTGCTATGAATAGAAATAGGAAGCTTTTGAGAGAAGAAATTTATGCAATATAGCAAAAGAGATGAAAGAGATTCAGACCTCAAAGAAAGTATTAGAGAAGGAGGGTCAGAGACTGTAAGTTGAGTGTGGAAAAGCAGAGTGATGGATTATAGAGCAGAATGGGGAAAGACATGGTTAAAGGATTCTATTACCATAGGAAGGAAGGAAATTATTTTTTCTCACAGAGAAAAGAAATATTATAAACCAGAGTGTTATGTTTTCAGTATACTGAATGGTCTTATGTCCGTTTTGTGTATTATAGGCCAGAGGCTAATCATAGGTGAAGATGAGACAAGGGAATTCTAAAAAAAAAAAAGACAGATTATAGAATAAGAGTAAAGAAAATTGGAGTAAAATGAAGTTGAAGAGTGAGGCCAAAATAGATATAGGAAATGGAAAAACAAAACAAAACAAAACATGGTAAAGAAAGGTATAAGAAAAAGAAAAGAACTTAAAAAATAATTTTATGATTTCCTATGAATTTAGAGTCATCTTATTTTTAGAAAACCTACTGGGCAGTATATTTTACATTTTTAGTGCTAACCACTGAGATACTAAAACATAGTTCACGCAGATCTAGTCTTTACATTTCAACATTCACATCTTGAGATCAACTTTAACATAGTAATGATCATACTAGAACATCATAATTGGATATATTCAATTAAATTTCGTAGAGTATTACCTTTACTTCTTATAAGGCTTGGGATCTCTTGCACTTAAAATTTAAAGGTACATGTGAATTTTACACAAATCTATCTACTTTTCCTCTAAAAGCAAATGCAGTAATAGCCCCTGACAGAATTCCCTTTGGAAGATATATTTTTCTTAGTAAGAGAAATCAACCAAAGACAACTTTTAAATATTTCTAACCAAGAGGACTGCAATATTCAATCAAGTTAATGTTATCAGTGTGGTGATTATTTGAATATCTTTGATGTCAGAGCCATGCCTCAGAATTTCAAAATTCACTTGACTTTGAAATCAAAGTATACATGCTTTTTTCCTACTGTAATATAAAATATATATTAAAATTTTATCAAAAAATTGAACACACAAAAGGAAACTGCAAACTTTGCCAAGGATTTTGATACAAATTTAATTTGTTTTCAAATATCTTATTATCTATGTAATATATAAAACATAAGCTAACTGTGAATGTGGTGTATATTTTACTATTTGTATGACAAAAGACTGAAGTTTTCCTGCCCTAGGTTTACATTAGCATGTGCATTTTTAAAAGGCAGTAGTATGTATTATAGTGGGGAAAATATCAGTCCAGGATTTGGAAATCCTGTTTTAGCTTCAATCCTGGCTTTGTCTACTAGCCATATGATTTCTTTAAATTTTTTTCTCTTTTAAACTGGGAATAGTATGTTTCCTACCTAGTTCGTTGGGCATAAAAGGATGCTTTAAATCAAATCTATAAAAACATATGAAATATAATTTGTTTAAGTGTAGTTTCCTTAGGAATCATAAACAACTTCACTCATTAAAGGTTTGTTATCTAATGTATGGCTATCCCTCTTTTCTTCATATTGCTAAACTCTTGTACTGTTCTTCCATTAGTGGAAAAAAGAGAAAAGGAAAAAGAAGAAAACATTTCAATTTTCAAATCCATCCCTTTACTATCATACTTTAGACTACTCTGATTAAAGATTTTGAGAGTGATGACATTGAATTCAACATTTAAAATCAAGTGTGTTATGTCTAATTTGTATATTTTGCCTTCAAAAGATGCAAATTCCTTCTTTTGGCATCATGTGAAGAGTTAAGAATGCAACGAAAGAACTGAAACAAAAACTTATTCCATAAATCAACACTCCAGAAAAGAGACATTTTTCCTGTTGTGATTGTTATTATCATTCCAGCCCCTAGCGTACTAAGAGATTAGGAAAGTTTATGATATGAATGAATGCATAACTGAATGAATGTCTCTATGTTTGCAAGAAAAATATTCTATTATTTTTGTATTTAATTATTAATATTTGCCACAGAGTCAGTCTTACCACAAATTTTTCTCTGTCTCCAAGCCATTGCTTTTCCCAGAATTTCTAAATTGTGAGTTGTTGCTGTTTTATCAAATATAGAATAGTCATCACTTAAATTGTTGGGCAAGTTCAGTACTAACACTTATCTCTTCCACTTAATCTAGAGGTGAGATTTGCAGAAGCATCTTAAAGACAAGAGGGACAGGGCTTAGAGAATTTTTTTTTTAAGGCACCGTTCTTGCAAAAGAGTGATGTAAGAGGTAAGGAAGCTAAGAGACAAAACTGAACAAATGAGTTTAGGGAGAAAGCTAGCCTTTTACAGAGTAAAAGGAAACAGAAAGTTTGAAGTACTTTCCTCCAGCCTAATGAGGGTTTTTGAAATTAAGGGTTCTTAGAGCAAACCTGGAATTAGAACAAGTTAAAGAAGTAAAGAATGTAGGGAATGAATGGAGAGGGCTTGTTTGTCTAGAGTTGGTGCTTTAATAGAAAACGGCAGGTCAGCAGCAATGGCTGCAGCTGACAAATTGGCATGTATAAAAATAGGGACATTCTTATGGGGGCAGGAAAGCAGAGTGCTAATAACAGAAGGTTTTTTTTTTTTTTTTGCACTTGTATTAATCCAAAGAAGTTATTTAAAATTATAGTTCACATTTTTTTTCTCCATTTCTCAGAATTGTTTAAAGAGAGGAAAGAGAGGAAAAGGAAAGGGATAATTTATAGGATGTACCTTAGGAATTATTATTAGAAGAATAAAAAAGACTACTACTGGCAAACCTAAGTGCATTAGAAATGAAGTAATTAAAGGTTCTATAAGAAAATGAGCAAATTAGAGCTAGCAGTCATCTATTAACCTACTGTGACTTATAACTCACATTTTACTTTTTTCTCCCAGTGCAAAGCTCCCTTATTACCGTGTATGATGTTCACATGCAATTTTCTATTGTCGTAACCACATATATGTGGTGATGAGTGGATCTTAATTTGTTCTTCTATGTGCCTCTAGTTCACCAGCTTTAATTGTAGGGCACAGTTTTTCTGTGCTTTGAAAAGTGCCCAGCATTGCTAACCTGTGTCAGCATTTGATGTCTATTTTTGTAATATAGCAGTTATCATAAGTGATAAAGATAAGCAATGAAATGCATGCCAACATTGAAGGAAAGGACAAGGATAGATGTAGCTGATGATCAAATGTATTTACTGTGGGAAAACTAAGATTGGATATAAATGGTGGGAAGTGGGAAGCTAAAGATATACCTAGGGAGCAAAGTAGGAGAATAAGATACTTGCAAAGAGTGTGATGAATCAATTTTTAAGGAAATGAACTTAAATTCCTGATAGATGTTTAAGTATTCTATGAGCAGACAAAAACACTTGTGTTTCTAAATCTTAAATTAAGACATGCTCACAATTTCATGAGAAATCACTATCCATTAAAATATTGAGCATGTTTGGCAGTATTCTAAACACTACTTACATTATCCCATTTAAAGTACTTGTAAACTATATGGAGTAGGAACTAATATAATCCCCATTTTACAAATGAAAAACCGATGAATACAGATATAAAACAACTTGCTCAAAGTCACACAGATAGTTGAGTGACAGAAGTTTCTTTCAAACACAGTTTGTGTCTGATTTTGAACACAAATTAGCTCCTGATTCAGGCACTAGTAACCACTACGCCCTCTGTGTTCTGGAGAACCATAAGGATAAAATGTTACTGTTGAAGGTGGAATTTTTATAAAGAAACTAGCAATAGTATTTAAGTACTTCTTTGGAAAGGCAGCACATGATGAGAAGCTGAGAAAGATCTTAGTGTTCTCTACTCCAGGGCTGAAGATTGTCTCTCCTGGACTTAGTGTACCAAATACTGCTCAAAATTACTGTATCAAAATGCCTCTTATTACAAGGGACAGGATGACACACTCATGAAAATAGAGTGGAAGAACAAAACAGACAACTGGATGTCCGTATTTAGGTTCCTCTTTCTTTTGCTGTGTATATTTTCTAAATTGCCTCTATTTCCAGCTCAAATAAGCTCATATGAAATTATGTTTGAAGAATATGTTTCGTGTACTACTTGAGAGATGACAATGTTTCATTGTTTAAAATATTATTCCCAATAGCCCTTGCAACTCATTTGTTCCAAGCACAGAAGGAAATAATTTGATAACAAACCAAAGTACTCCAGTGCCTCATCATTGAGGACTGAGTTGACAACAGAAAAACAAGGGATGGGGGACTGCAAGTCACCCAGTCATTTCAGAGGGGGAATCATCTCAGAAGATGACAAATATGAGAGACTTCTGTCTTGATAACTAGTGGCATCCTTCCCTGGTAATCCTTGGCTGTTGGGCAATAAAAGACCCAATGTGGAGTTAGGAAGAAAAGACTTAATAATAACAAAAATAGTTTAACTTTTTTATAGCACAATGAAATTTACAAAGTGCATCTGCAAATATTCTCTCTCTTGATCTTTCTCTCTGAGAAGCACACAGCTGTGCATTCTTGGAAAAGTCACATATGCTTTCTTGAGCATCAACTTCCTCAATTGTAAGATAGGAAAAACAATTATTCTTCTTAGGCAAGTTACTCAGTTTCCTCAATTATAAAATGGGAGAAATAGTGGGTATTAGGTTGAAACAGAGTTTTGCCGATAGTCAACAGAAATGGCAATTTCATATGATTCAATCTAATACCTATCCTATAGAGTTGTAAGGATTAAATGGATCAATGTACGAAAACAGAGCCCAGCTGTTAGTACACTCAGTGTTATTCATGTAAATACAATCTCATTTCATTCACAGTAACACTGTGACAGATAATAGGGTTCTACCTTGAATATAAATTTATGTGAAAAGCATAAATATTATTTATGGATTTATAAGGGGGGAAATGTAGCTTTACAACAAATACCCTGCAATATAATGCTTTGTTATGTGGTTTCTAGGCTGCTCATTGAATATTTTATTAGCGAGCTTGTAAATTCTTTGGGTTGTTTCTCCCTCCCATCCAAATTTGCCATCCAGGGGGTAGTTGGCTAGTTTTGTAGGTGAGGTCTCAGTAAATACTCTTGTGATTTTGTCTATCTTATAAAATGACTCGAGGCCAAAAGAATGAGTATTGCTAGGCTTGTCAATTCAAAGAGGGCTTTAAAAGCATGTCAATATGTCAAGAGAAATTTTTTAATGGATTCAGATACTGCTTGATCAAAAAGAAATAAATAAAATATAACATAATGCATGGAGATAAATAACAGGAACCTTCAGAGATATTTGTTTGTACATTCTATTTATTTTGTGGAAAGTTTTCATTTTGATTTTTATTTCTAATATAATTTGTAAATTCCTCATTAGACATCGTGCCTTTGAAAATATGTGTGTATTATATACTAAATTGGTATATATTAAAAGAAAAATGTATTAAACTTCAAGTTATAAGATGCCAAATATTATGGAGGCAATTTTAGTAAAATAAAAATGTATATTTTTAAAAATTTTTTGAGACAGGGTCTTGCTCTGTCGCCCAGGCTTGAGGGCAGTGGTGTGATCACAACTCACTGCAGCCTCAACCTCTCCAGGCTCAGGCAATCCTCCCACCTCAGCCTCCTGAGTAGCTGGGACTACAGATGCCCACAACCACACCTGACTAATTTTTCTATTTTTTGTAGAGATGGGGTTTTACCATGTTGCCCAGGCTGGTCTTGAAATCCTGGGCTCAAGGGATCCATCTGCCTTGGCCTCCCAAAGTACTAGGATTACTGGGTGTGAGCCACCACGCCCAGCTGTAACAAATATATTTAAAGCTGTTTAATCTATATTTTATAAAAAGCCTCTGAGAATGAATTAGAAAAATGATATGTTTATAGTATATATTATTTTATCCTGTGAATAAATGTTACATAAAATCATATTATCATAATTACTAAAACAATATTATTGGATTCTTTTTAAAATAATTTAAATAACACAACCATTATTTTGGCCATTATTCTCTCTGAGAATTAGTATACTAATTCAAATTATATATATACATGTATATACACACGTGCACACGTATACACGTATATACACACGTGCACACGTATACACGTATATACACACGTGCACACGTATATACGTATATACACACGTATACACATGTATGTATATACGTATATACACACGTATACACACGTGTGTATATACGTATATACGTGTATACACACGTATGTATACACGTGTATATACGTATATATATGTATATACGTATATACACATGTGTATATATGTATATATGTGTATATACGTAATATATACATATATGTGTATATATGTGTATATATGTATATATGTATACATATATACGTATATATGTATGTGTGTATATATACATATATGTATGTGTGTATGCATGTATATATATGTATGTGTGTATATATGTATATATACATATATATGTATATGTGTGTATATATGTATATGTGTATATATACATGTGCATACATGTGTATATATATATATATTTTTTTTTTTGAGATGGAGTCTTGCTCTGTCGCCCAGGCTGGAGTGCAATGGTGTGATCTCAGCTCACTGCAACCTCTGCCTCCCAGGTTCAAGGGATTCTCCTGTCTCAGCCTCCCAAGTAGCTGGGATTACAGGCGCATGCCGCCATGCTCAGCTAATTGTTTGTATTTTTAGTAGAGACGGGGTTTCATCATGTTCCCCAGGCTGGTCTCAAACTCCTGACCTCAGGTGACCCACCAGCCTCGGCCTCCCAAAGTGCTAGGATTACAGGTGTGAGCCACCATGCCCGGCCTCAAATTATATTTTAAACATTATTTATTTGAAAATGATAATATAGGATGTATTCAACATAGTCCTTTATTTGACTGAAAAATAATTTTTCCTTTAATGTTTGTGTGTGTGTGTGTGTGTGTGTGTGTGTGTGTGTAAGAGACAGAGAGAGAGAAGGAGTGAGAAAGAGACAAAGTATGTGTAGAAACACATAAGACTGGTAGATTTCTTTTTATTGGATTTTTTCATTTAATTCTGGGAATCTTATTTATAAATGCTGACTTTAGACAAAAGCTGAGATTATCCTCATTTTACCAAAAAGAAGACTAGGTGTAAGAAAGTAGGAGTAGCTTGCCCAAAATTATATAACAAGAACTAGGAAGACTTTAAGCCAGGTTTTAAAATTCCTTGTTTGGTGCTCTTTCTTTTACAGATGGATGCTACTAACTTCTGCTTACAAATCTATCCTAGAATTTAACTGCTTTCACATTCTTACTTTTCTATTCTTTTAACTAATAGTATCAATTCTTTATATTATAATGGTATCATTGGAACAGGTAGACATCTATTAAGCTAAGGACTAAAATGGTCAATTTTTGTTTGAAAATAATAGAAGAGACCGGGTGCGGTGGCTCACGCCTGTAATCCCAGCATTTTAGGAGGCCAAGATGGACAGATCACGAGGTCAAGAGATCGAGACCATCCTGGCCAACATGGGGAAATCCCGTCTCTACTAAAAATACAAAAATTAGCTGGGCACGCGCCTATAATCCCAGCTACTCGGGAGGCTGAGGAAGGAGAATCGCTTGAACCCTGGTGGCAGAGGTTGCAGTGAGCTGAGATCGCGCCACCGCACTCCAGCCTGGCAATAGAGGGAGATTCCGTCTCAAAAAAAAAAAAAAAAAAAAAAAAGAAAGAAAGAAAAAAGAAAACAGTAGAAGAGTTTTGACCATATCTGCAATTTAAATTATTTAAATAGAGTCACTATTTGAGGGAGTTAGTGAAACATATTTATCTGAAAAGTGGTTAATGAATGATAAATTTTTTTGTCTATCTCAGTCTCTTATTTCTCATTCATTCCTTTTTTTTTGTTTTTTGGTTTTTTTGAGATGAAGTCTCACTCTGTCACCCAGGCTGGGGTGCAGTGGCATGATCTCGGCTCAGTGCAACCTCCACCTCCCGGGTTCAAACGATTTTCCTGCCTTAGCCTCCCAAGTAACTGGGATTACAGGTGTGTGCCACCACGCCTGGCTAATTTTTGTCTTTTTAGTAGAGATGGGGTTTCACCATGTTGGCCAGGCTGATCTTGAACTCCTGACCTCAGGTGCTCCACCCGCCTTGGCCTCCCAAAGTGCTGAGCTTATAGGGGTGAGCCACTGTGCCCGGCCTCATTCTTATTCTAGGACATTTGAATTCTTCCAGCATACTGTTTGAAGTAGAACAGCTACAATGAAAATATTTTTTAAAATAAAAATAGATTTTAAAATTATGAAGATAATGTAATGCACATGGAAAATCCAATAAATATAAAACATTTTCTTTTTTACCTTAAAAATTCCACTCAAACTGTTACCTCAACTCTTTCTTTCCCTTCTACCTTCCCCAATTTACCATTTTGATTGCTATCTTTCCAGACCTTACAAAATGATTTAGACAGTTAAGAGTTTGCTACATATTTGGCCCAAACATATGAAAGAAAAAAAGCAAACAAATATGAGAAGAATATATTTCTCATCATAAGAGACTCTTACCAAATAAATGGTAAACTGATGACATGAAAAAACTAAACCAACCATTGAAGACAGCACATCTACCATTACTTCTCCTTGTTCATGTTCTGTTCTCTCATTTTTCTTCATTTTCCTTCCCAGTACCATTAATAACCTGGCATACCACATATTGCTATTGCTTGTTGATTGTCTTTTTTCCTGTTACTAGATGGTAAGCTCCATCAGGACAGGAACTTTGAGAGATTTTTATTTTCTTGAACAGTGCCTGGAATATATTGATGTATTATAAATGTTTGTTAAATGAATACATAAACTAGACATTGGATGCTTTCAGAATATAATTTTATGGTTAATTGAATAAAACTATGCTTGTTGAAAAGATTTCTAAAATGTCTGTAGTTAGCACAGCAATATTTCAATAGTGAGTTTCATAGTCTTTTTTAGGTTCATAATTTTGAATGTCATTTCTCATTATATAAGGTAATATATAAGTATGGGAATTAGAGTAAAATTCATACTGACTTCATGACTGGCCCTGTTTTGAATAAATCTTCAGTCTGAATGTAGTTGCTTATAATTGGCCAATTTCCCTGAGAAACAAGCCAGTAAGTAAAATATATTGATTAATTGAGAACTGCAGTTAATTGGGTTTTTACTAAAATTTATTATACTGGCACAGAGTAGGCACTCAATAAATATTTGTCAAATATGTGAAGTCTAGTTAGAATTTTTTTAGTTTCTCAAATAAAAAGAAAAATTTTCAATTAAACATGTGATATGCAATAGCATTAGAATCTACATAGCAGACAAGCTTTTTCAAAAGTATCTCAATTTGTTCTCATGCTCTTCTTTTTCTATCTTTCTGTTCACCTAACCTATGAAGCTGGGACAAGTAAGGTGGAAATCTCTAGGTGATGTGTGAACAGAGAGCCTCAGTAGCCTAAACAGTGTCAGAGCTCAAATAGGCTGAGCAGAGCATCTGAATGGGAAGGGTCAGATGCCTAACAGCAATAGGATATTGGTTACAGGTAGGATGGTTGATCAAAAAGTAAACATATTAAAAATAACAGGAGACAGATGTTTCATTGTCAGACAAGTTGTTACAAATATTAAGAGAGAGAAAGTATGGCTGGGCCAGGTGGCTCACGCCTGTAATCCCAGCACTTTGGGAGGCCGATGGGGCTGGATCACAAGGTCAGGATTTCAAGACCAGCCTAGCCAAGATGGTGAAACCCCATCTCTACTAAAAATACAAAAAATTAGCCAGGCATGAGGGCAGGTGCCTGTAGTCCCAGCTACTTGGGAGGCTGAGGCAGAGAATTGCTTGAACTCAGGAGGTGGAGGTGGCAGTGAGTCAAGATGGTGCCACTGCACTCTAGCCTGGGCAACAGAGCAAGACTCCATTTCAAAAACAAAAAAAACAAAAAACAAAAAACAGACAGAGAAACTACATTGGACCCTGTGGTGCTGGTTTGGAAATGGAGGAAGCAGTGTTTCATAGATATAGATATATATGGAAATAAATATCAATGTAATATGTGGATGGATAGATAAATGGATTTTTATGTGCATATATCTCCTTGGTTCTGGATCCTGAGAACAATGACAGCCCCAAAACAATGGGCACACCTACATCCCAGATCTTGGTTTCTCAATAACATTCTCATCTAAAAGAAATTAAGACTCCTTAGAGAAATAGCTGATTCCAGGGCTGGGGCATGAAAAATACAAAACGAGCCTGGAATATATTACTGTGCTGAAATACGGAAGTATTAAAACAATGCCAGGGACATGTCAAAGAAAGATGTCAGACAGAAGAGGATCATACTGACCATATCTGGGACAATTTGAAAATCAAAGTGAATAATAACAGTAACAGCAGATTATAATCTATTGGGTAAAATGAATATCCATGAGTCCACTCTGACATATATAAATAAATAAATAGAAAGTTACTCTACTTCCCTGCAATATACTTATGAAAAGGAGGAAAAGAGCAATTATACAGTCATCACCTTAATCATGAGATCAGTATTCACATCATGAGTAATGTGCCACCTGATAGGTTGCTATGAAATGAACATAGCATCACTTTTGTGATTTTTCCGCCAAAGAGAGGAAACCTGAATCTGATAATGAGAAAACAAAAGAGAAACCTAAACAAGGAGCATCTTACAAAACAAACTAACTCACAATCTTCAAAACTGTCAAATTCATGAAAGCCATGGTAAAACTAAGGAAATCTTTCAGATCGAAAGACTGAAAATGCATAATAATTAAATTTAATGCTTGATTGTGGACTGGATCATTTTGTTATAAATGACATTATTAAGATAAGTGGCAAAATTTGAAGGGGATCTGAGGATTATAGTGATGTATCAGTATTAACTTTCTGATTTCAGTGGTTGTATTTCAGTTATAAAGGAAAATATCCTTGTTTGTTGAAAAAAATATGTTGAAGTATTTGGGAATAATAAGTATCATATCATGTTGACACATTACTCTCAAATAATTCTGAAAAAATGTTATTTGTCATTACAACAATTTTGTGATTTAAGATTGTTTCAAAATAAGAAAATAATAAAATTTTATTCAAATTCAACATCTTCCATGATATGTTGTCATAATCCCGGAATAGGTTTCAGGTTAGTTTAGAGAAAAGTCTTTTACATGTTATAAAGTTTTATAATACAGTTTGCTATGGTCTGAATGTTTATGTTCTCCCCCAAATTCATATGTTACAGTCTTCATCTTAGATGTGATGGTTAAGAGGTGAGGCCTTTGGGAGGTGATTAGGTCATAAGGGTGGAGCCTTAATGAAAGGGCTTAGTGGCCTTATAAAGAGAGAGATCCCACGCCCCTTCCACCATGTGGCATTAAAGTGAGAAGGAAGCTATCTCTGTGAGGAAGTCCAAGCGGAAGGGCCCTTGCCAGACATTGAATGTGCAGGCAATTGATCTTGGACTTCCCTGCCTCCAGAACTTTGAAAAATACATTTCTCTTGTTTATAAGTCACCCATTTGATGACATTTTGTTATAGCAGCCCAAATAGATTAAGACACATTTGGAGGTGTAGAAAGCAGAGGGCTCTCGCCATCTCCACTCTTTAAAACTACAGCATTATAATAATGAAAGAAAAAGGCGCTATACTTTTGTTTCATTTCCAATGAAAACAATTATGATCTCTTAGACATTTGGTACTGATAGTTATAGTAATGGTTTTCTGTTTCTTTCCTCCTTTTTTTGAAACAAGAGTCTCACAGAGTGCAGTGGCATGATCACGGCTCACTGCAGCCTCAACATTCCTGGTCTCAGGTGATCCTGCCACCTTAGCCTCCTGAGTAGCTGGTACTACAGGTCCTGGCCACCACACCTGGCTAATTTTTGTAGACACAGGGTTTTGCCATGTTGCTGGGATACAGCCATTCGCCACTGTGCCCAGTTGGTTTTCTGTTTTCTTTTGTCTTAAAGGCCTTTTAATATACTTCCTTTAGTATGAAGAAGCCAAATAGCTACAGTAGGTATTAAAATAGCAACAAATATTATTCAAACCAAAAATGATACTTCCCCAGAGAAAGAAAATTTAGTAGAAATAATATGTGGACAGGTAAAATTTTTATATTACTTACATTGCTATAATACAACTATTTTAAAAGAGCACAGCAAATAATAGATTACATTGTTTCCTAGTTGTGTAAACTTGTAGTGAATTCCAACAAGAACAGGCTATGCAGGCCATACATGAGGAAAGTGCTAGAATGGTACTGAAGACATCGCTGTATCTATTCATGTTATCAATATCTAGGTGTGTGTATTTGTCCAATTTCATGCTGCTGATAAAGACATACCTGAGACTGGGCAATTTACAAAAGAAAGAGGTTTAATTGGACTCACAGTTCCACGTGGCTGGGGAGGCCTCACAATCATGGCAGAAGGCAAGAAGGAGCAAGTCACATCTTAATGTGGATGGTGGCAGGCAAGAGAGAGCTTGTGCAGAGAAACTCCCGTTTTTAAAACCAACAGATCTTGAGAGACCCATTCACTATCATGAGAATAGCACGGGAAATACCCGCCCCCATGATTCAGTCATCTCCCACCGGGTCCCTCCCACAACACGTGGGAATTATGGAAGCTACAAGATGAGATTTGGGTGGAGACACAGAGCCAAACCATATCAGTATGTAACAAACATAGGTAAAATGAGAGCATCAAGTAAATTTATGGAGTAGGGTTGAATATACTATTAAAGATTTATTTGCCCAAAAGTATACTGATATGTTTGAGAAAATAGAATAATTTTCTTTAAAGCAAAATACAAAAGTACATAATTTCAGAAATTATGATATTAGAATATCCAGTTTGTCAATTCGGAATTTAAATATTAAAAATTTAGATTAGAATGTAAGCTCATGAAGTGGAATAAACAAATATTCTATTTGGTTTTGATCTGTTTTTTAGTTGATCAGTCAAGTAATAATTTGCATCATATCAAACACTTCAAATATCTGGAAAGTTGTCATTATTACTCCTAATACCAGAAAGGAATCCCAGAAGCTGAATGTCTTTCCCTAAAGGCAAATGTTTAAAGGAGACCATCTTTTGAATATATGATGGTGCATGTTTTGGGGGAATATTCTTTAGTCTATTGTGAGAATGAGTTGTGGTCTAAGGAATTTGGAGTGTCACTGGAGAGAAGACAAGGGGAGTGGGGTCCTTCATAGAAAATATTTTATCCCATGACTACACATCTGCCAGCCAGCAGGTACTTCCTCCTGATCTGTCATGGTGGTGTGCTGATAGAAACTAAAAAATGCCAATAAGGCTTCTTGGACTTAATAGACTCCTTCCCTCCCTTCCTCCCTCCCTCCTTTGGATTTCATAGATTCCCTCCCTCCCTCCCTCCCTTCCTTCCTCTCTCTCTTTCTTTCTTTCTTTCAATAACACAGTGTAGTAGGTTCAAAATCCAACTTTCTTGCTTTGTAGCTTTGGAAACATAGACATACTAATTTCTTTGTGCCTCTTTTTTTAATATATAAAATGGGGATAATAATAACACCCAAATTATAATGAGCACTAAATGAGACAACGCGTGAGCCACCATGCCCGGCTTTTTTATTTTCTCCTCCTCCTTCTCCTCCTCCTCCTCCTCCTCCCCCTTCTCCCCTCCCCTCCCCTTTCCTTCCTTCTTTCCTTCCTCTTTCTTTCTTCCCTCCCTCTTTCTCTTTCTTTCTTTCCTTCTTTCTTTCTCTCTTTCTTTCTTTCCTCCTTTCTCTTTCTTTCTTTTCTTTTCTTTCTCCCTTTCTTTTCTTTCTCTCTTCTTTCTTCTTTTCCTTTCCTTTCCTTCCTTCCTCCCTCCCTTCCTCCTTTCCTCCCTTCCTCCCTCCCTTCCTTCCTTCCTCTCTCTCTCTTTCTTTTTTTCTTTCTTTCAATAACACAGTGTAGTAGGTTCAACATGCAACTTTCTTGCTTTGTAGCTTTGGAAACTTAGACATACTACTTTCTTTGTGCCTCTTTTTCTTCATATATAAAATGGAGGTAATAATAACACCCAAATTATTATGAGCATTTAATGAGACAACGCATGTTAATTGCTTAAATTTGTACCTGAGAGATAGGAAACACTAATTGCTAGCCATTGTTATAATTATTGGAGATAAGGAACAAAGGTGAAAATATCAAGCAAAAATATAAGCTACACTAAGAAATTTGTGACTTCTTAGAACACATTGTGATGATTCTCTGAATAAATATATTTACTGGTACATACCCAACACAATATTAGAATATTAGGGCACATAAGTTCTCTTTTAAAATAGATTTAAAGATATATATATGTGTTTATATATATATATATATTTAAAGATATATATAGATTTAAAGATATATATATATAAATGCATATATGAAGATATATACATATATCTTCATACATGGGGGTGATAATTGTAGTATTTGTCACAGCAATAGAATGAAGACTTCATTATAAAAATTATTTAGCAATTTGCCTGGCACTACTAATAAGCACTCAAAGCACTAGTTTGCTACTATTGCTAATTATCATTATCATTATTATATATGTGAGAGATACATATAAGGGCATAATTATAATTTTATACTATGATAAGAACAGAAGAGTTAACATTTCAAGTCTTTTAAAGAATGAATACAGTTTTTCCAGATGGAGAAGAGGGAAAGAGCATTCATGGATTCCCCATGTGTTTTACCTAAACTTGACTTGTTTTCAAAAAGTCACTGAGACCACAATTATTTTACTGAGAAACTGCTTTTGAATTGACCATGTCCACACAAACTAATCAATCAACAGATAATTGAGCACCAAATCTATGAAATATGCAGAGAAAGTGTAGACAGGCTCCCAGCTGGTTTTGCTATTCTACATTCTCTCTTCTTTAGCATACTTTTCATGAGCTTGACACAGTAATCTCCCTAAAGTGCAGTTTTCATCATGCTGTAACTGCTAGAGGACATAGAGTGGTTTTTGAATGCCTGCTGTATTAAGCCCAAACGACTCTATCTAGCTTCAAGGATCCTCAACAGTCTTGCAATTCACAGTATGGCATCAGCACCAACATCACCAGGGAAGTTGTTAGAAATAAATAATCTCACACCTCAATCCGCACCTATTAAATTAGGTTCCTCATTTTAACAAGGTCCCCAGGTATGCACATTCGAGTTTAAGAAACATTTCTTTAAAATATCCTTTAATCTAAACCAAACAAAATCACTAATCCATATACAACCCAGTCTTATCAAGAAGAATTAAATCTTTTCATTAATTTCTCTGCATCCAAAGCAATCCCTTTGCTCATGCTCTTAACTCCACTGGAAATTTCTTATTTCCTTCACATCTACTTTCTAACTCTCATCCATTCTTGAAGACCAGTGAAAAGTCTCATATCTTCCATAAAACTAAGACCATTTCAAAGTACACTAACCTTCTTGAATATTTCTTGCACTTAGGACAACACCAATTCTATTCTTCTTTTATCATTCATTCATTCATTCATTCATTATTCACTGAATATGCATTTTCTTAATGCTTATGATTATTTACCTGACATTGTTGCATTGGCCACAATAAAACAAGAATGCAAGACTTTCCCTACTCTGTCAATTCCCAATGAGGGATATCATGGTTCAGTAGAGATGTCTTAAGTTTCATAGACAAGAGGTATAAGTGGGTAGATGTGAGGGTGCAGGACCATATTGCATAAAGCCACATAATTTGTGCTTTTTTGTTAAAACTACTTAATGGAAAAATACTGTTAAAATATATTAAAACCTTTTGTAGTTTGAAACAGATGAATATTTTAACTGTTACGGACATGACAAAGAGATGTTGTATTTTGTTTCATGTTAATTTTCCCTCCTATAGGTAATTGTGATTTTTTTATAGGCCAGCAATATGTCTTTCTCCATTCATTCAACAAATAACAGAATTTTAAAATAGCTCCTATTTGTCCTTTTCTGACTTCTTAAATTTTAGACATGATAGGCACTAAATAAATACTTGTTGATTGAAGACACTCTTTGATCTAAAGTTGGGGACTAGGTTTACACACGTGGAACAACCATTTCAGAAATGCAGCCACCCTTTCCTCCTACTGTTATTCATGACATAAGGAAACGTTCATGAAGTCATAGTGACACTTTGGTTTACTAGGAGTGTCTTTTGGATCAAAAAGTTCCTCCAGGGTGCCATGGAAGTTTCTGTTTCTCTGTAGCTAATGTTTGCTATCACCAGAGACTGTGTTGGAGTACAGCCAACCAAATGGAATTGGCTAGTAAAAGCTTTTGTGGGTGAGCATTTGGAAACAAGCTTCATGACCATTTGCTAGCAAAACCTCAGCAGGAGGAATTTTAACCAACCTAAGTTAATGTAAAAGTTTGATTTGAAAGGGTCTGGAGGGGCAGGGGAAATAAAATACTTAATGAAGTATGTAACATCCCATATTCTTTAATAGTAAAAATAAAAGTGTTAAAGCAAACTAAATATGGCCTGAGAGGGACCCTGTACTTCTATATTTGAATCCTTGTGGATGAATTGTAACCTAGATTAATAGTCAGACAAAATTGAAAACCTAACTTAGGAGTATGAGCCTGTAACAATAACTGAGTCTTGGCCAATCACAGTGGCCAAATTTCAGCCACTCATAGACTGCTAAGTGTTCAAACTGTGTTCAAATAAGGTAAACACCAATCTGTAACCAATCCAGCTGTTTCTGTACCTCACTGCCAATTTCTGTACATCACTTCCCTTTTTTGTCTATAAATCTTCTTCCATCACGTGGCTACACTGGAGTCTCTGTGAATCTGCTGTGAATCTAGGGGCTGCCCGAATCACGAATTGTTCATTGCTCAATTAAACTACTTTAAAGTTAATTTGGCTGAAGTTTTTATTTTATCAAAAGTTAGCTTTTCTTGTTGCAAAACTACTCACCAGCTCTTTAGGTAGAAACAGATGCTTAGGCAGATAGCCAGTCTTTGAAAGGGCGCAAGCTCCAAGCGGCGGCACTGGAGTACAGTAAGATTAGATACTGTGCAAGACCGTCAGTGAGCCCCTTGGTTCCTTCAGTGTGATTCAGGAGTGGAGTCACACAAGGAAACTTCAAAACCAAACTAAGTAAAAACACGATTTCCAAGGAACATAAACTAGAACTTTACAAGATCTAATGTTACATGAAAAATGCACATTACTTTGATTCAAGAATCAGCAATTACTTTATATTTATAACCTTCAAATTGGTTACAACGTTCCTTTATCTTATTCAGCATTCTTGCTGAAGATGAGCTTTCCCACATGAAGTGCAATTTTGTCTTCAACTTTTAATTCCTCTGGATACAGAAGAAAAGCTCTGGGCCCTTAATTGAGCAATTATTATTTCTTAAGTGAACATAGAGTTTGAGGATGGTGCCAAAATCTTCCTTTCATCCAGAGAACAAGTCTAACATAAGCAGCAGCATAAGTGTTGTCTGGCGGCACCCCAGTTTTAGGTACAAGAGCCAAGTCAAGACTGAAAGGGGAACTCATTCCTCACCTCTACTCACTCCCTGGCATCTCCTGAGGTTCTTGAATGAATGCCAATTAGGGCCGATTTATATGTCTCCTTGGAGGTTTTAGATAACTTCACTAAGACCTGTTTGTTTTTCTCATTTAGTCTGTTTCTCCAGAGTAGGATTTGCCAACTTGCTGCTGAATATGCTGTTTGCAGTTCATTGCTAGGTTTCCATACTAACATAAAGCATTGGTATTTGAAAAATTCATTAAGAAGTAGCTCACCTTAATTCCTAGATCTAAATCTGTGGCGTGGTTCTATCACCTTTTCTACAATGTTGTCTCAGAATTTAAGAACGGAAAATAAAGAGTTCATATGCTAACATTTCATGGAATATGCCTACACAAAGGAATTGCTGCTTCATGGCTTATGCCATTGTTTAAGCTATTCTAATTGTTTTCAAGTTTTAAATACAGAGCTGGAATCCAATTCTCAGGAACTCCTACCATTTGTCTTAGTTTTCTAAGACATTTACTGTCTCCATTACATAAAGAGACCTTCAAATATTTGAAGATAGGTTCCATGCTTCCTTTATATGTATATATATTTTTAATTAAACTTCTCTTATTCCTTCCGCTACTCCTAAGGTTACAGGGCTTCCAAACTGTATCATTAATGAGAAGTTAGCTTTTCAATAACCACATTTTGAATACAGTCTGCTAATACTGACCTCAATTATAGTTAAAAATATATAAGACCTGCACTTTAAATATAATCTTTTCCAGGTTTGATTAGATTTTGATTGCTGTAATTAGCCATCTGTAATACATAAGACATAATCTAGAATTTGCTCTTTACACATCAGAGTGATAAATCCAGCTATAGAAAGCATCTTTTTGGTTGCCTCTTAATGAAAATATTACTAGACACTACTAAGTGGTGATTGAAAAAACATGCTGAAATATTACTGTCAGCTACTGGAGTAAAACTTCTCACCAGAGAACTATCACAACTTCAGGATAAAAATGATTGCTATCTAAATACAAATTTTAGCAGCCATTAAAACTGTTAGAAAGAGCTTAGATCACTTTGCTTCTTAGAGTTTAAAAAATTTTTACTATACAGTATCAAATTAAAATTTAGTTACTACTTGCAAAATTCAAAACATTTATGAAAGTATAATTAACTAACATTTTAAATCAGAATTCAGGACAGTTTGAATGTTCCTTATATGTCCACAAAAGTTTTTTCTAGTCTTTTACCAAATACTAAAGTGATGATTTGTCCAACAATGTAGATGTTTAATATTCACCAAAGTGTCATCAACAACTTAATGCATCATGCTTTTCCTTCTCATTAAAACTGCTGTATTACTGAAGCTTGACCAAATTTCCTTCATGCTTGGACATCTGTTTAAGTATAATATTCTACACTTTTCCTCCTCTATCAGATTTTGCTTTATCTTTATTTTCCTTCCTTCTCTGACCTGTATTCAAGAAATAGAAAATGGCTCTTTGATGTGCCAGTTCCAAGTATGTTCAGATAAAAGGTAAATAATTCAATAGACTTGTTGATGAGAATTGACATTTGAACACTGGAGGTTGTTTCCTTTACTCATGCACTCTCTTAGTGAGGATAGGGGACCCAAGGTAGGGACTGGCTGGAGTGAGTTTCAAATTGGTGAAAAACTTCTAAAAAAAGAAATGGTAGAGAAAAGAGCAAAAAAAATTCTTTTTTAAATCAATGAAGTAGGAAAGTCCAAACATATATTCTTATCAAGTCTCATACTTGGCCAATAGTTATAAGCCTCTCTGAAAACATTTATATGTGTGGGTGGAGGCAAGTTGCCCATTAAATTGTTAGAGGTGTTATCAGATTCATCAGGACTTGGTTGTAAATTTGACTACACAGTTTGGCTCATAGAGAAATGAAAAGGAAATATCTGATTAAAGTGTGCATAGCTGCTGAGGCAACTGAATGTTGCCATAGCAATTGAGATGAAATGTGCAAGAAGTGAGATAATTAAATCTAACCCCTTTAGTAGTTTTGATAGTCAACGCACTGCCAATAGAAAAAGTTATCTACAGTATTAAGATAAAACACATTCCTCATGGAATGTCTCCTTACTGTATTTTGTTTCTTTTCTAAATACATTGCTTTTGGTGTCTAATTTGAATGTTCTCTTTTAATAATCAAATATAGTTTTGACCTTGGTCTGCCTAAACTTTCTGCTGGTTTATTATATCATGGGGATAGACATCTATAAAAAATATCAATGTTTTCCCCTTTAGTTCTTAAAAAAAGTATACTAAAGCCAAAGCTGCCACATTTGAGCTTAGAATTCAATAATATCTAGAACGTGCTGCCCTCTTCAGGAGCTGGTGCTTAAAAATACTTTTTTTTTTTTTTAGCAGATTGATGAGTTATAATATCAAAATTGTATTGATAATCTTTAGAAATAAATTCCATGTAAAATAAAGTATTTCTGTGTTTAAATTTTTTTTACATTAAGAGCTTGCATTAAAAATCAATACATATAACATTTTGAAAGGAATTATTATTATTTACAATTAAATACAAACTAATAATTTCCTTAAACTATTGTCATAGGGAGAATTCCTGAATCATTACAAAATTTGACTTCCATATTTAGTATTCAAATTTTTAAGAGAAAAATTGTCTAAAAAAGAAGGTATTTTCTATGTGAAAATCTAAGTAGGACATCCTTCAAATCCCAGTTTTATTCTTCAACAACAAAAACAACAAAAACCAACTTTTTAATTTGGGAACATTAGGATTTATAGTTTGAAATTTTAGCTAGTTTTCATTTACAGAAACAATATCTTTCTTGGGAATAATGATTCCAAAGATATCTTAACACATCATAATGTTTATTCAAAATTACTTCACTAGAAAAAATTTCTAAAGGTCTGAAATATCACTATTGAGAAAATTCAAGCAAATCTCCTTCATATATATCTATTAAAATTTCCTTAGCCATTATATAGTTTTAACAGAGAGATATGATCTCAGCGTATTTTTCTCCAAATTAGGTTTATTATACTTTAAAAAACTGATCAATATTAATAGCATTAATTATCAGGATGTGAGAAAACCATATTTTCCCTTAAAGAGTTTTAGGTAAACCTGTCTCATCTCTCTCAATAAAAACTTCAAATGAGCTAAAGGGCTGAGTGAAAAAAAAATTTATTGACAATGTTCTCCTAATTCTACAATATTTCTTTTGTGGAAAACAAAATAGTTTATTCCTGTATTTGAAAGTACTTATCAAAACAAGTGCTTAATCTTATGGTAGCTCTGTTCATAGTCATATAATATATGTTCAAGAATTCTTAGAACACTGATTTGTGTTTTCTGCTTAGATTTACTTTATTTTTGTTTTGCTGCTGGTGTATTACATTTGGCAGTTAGGATCCCTGTGGATGGAGGTATAATAAATAATAATATTTTCTTTACTTTCCAGGGTATTTATGGCACAATGAAAAATTTCATCTTTCCCAGAATGGTAAGTAAGGAGTTCTTTCTGTATTTGATAGTACTGAACACGAACAAGAAAAGGTGAATTATTATAATAAAATTGGAGTATCATCTACTAAATGTATTGAGTCATCTGATAATTATAATGTAGTTTATACTTTTGCAAATAAATGGATGCTGTATTCAAATTCTATAATTATTCCAAAATGTTCACCAAATATACTACAGGATTTTTACAGGAAATACAAGGTTTTGCTTTCTCTGTTGGATTGCAGTTGAACATAGTATATCCAACATTTTGTTTTCTGGGGTAATTTATTTTAAAATACACAGATATAGAAATAAATGTGGTTTATATTCCACGAGCAGAAAAAGAAAGCATTATCTGTGATACAAATTGAGAGTTGGTAAGAGTCCTTTGGAATTGTTACTGTTACATAAAAACTGATTGTAATTTATGTTTGACCGGGGCTTTGCAGCATCTGTGAATTTTAAAATATTTATTTTCTAAAAGTATATATCATAACTTCTAGGCAAGCTAGCCACTATATGATTTTGGTTAAACATATAGTTTCATTGTCTTTATATTTTTATGACTTAAACAGGAAATATTTAGTTTTAGTCTTTATCATAACCTCTTTACAATTCAAATACTAAAAATTAATCTTATTATATGGGAAAGGTCAGTGTAAAATGATATTTCCTAGGAAGTTATTACTGTCTCCTATGATGCTCTTTTATTTTTCCAGTGGTTTAAGAGTATTCCCTATAAAAAGAAGGAATTTCTCATTGTAGAAAAAAAAGTCACTTTGACATCAAAGTGTTAGGTTAAGTGAAAAAGCAGGGTACAGAACTACATACATTACATGTTGTGTGCATGTGCGCTTATATAGACAGAGGAGAGAGACTTGGCAGTATATCTTGGGCTTAGAAAAAAGACACAAAAGGCCAGGCGCGGTGGCTCATGCCTGTAATCCCAGCACTTTGAGAGGCCGAGGCAGGCAGATCACGAGGTCAGGAGATCAAGACCATCCTGGCTAACACGGTGAAACCCCGTCTCTACTAAAAATACAAAAAATTAGCTAGGTGTGGTGGTGAGCCCCTGTAGTCCCAGCTGCTCAGGAGGCTGAGGCAGGAGAATGGCGTGAACCCAGGAGGTGGAGCTTGCAGTGGGCCGAGTGCCACTGCACTCCAGTCTGGGTGACAGAGCCAGACTCCGTCTAAAAAAAAAAAAAAAAAAAAAGGAAAAAAGACACAAAAGGTACACAAAAGAATGGGAATATAAGTAGTTTGTCTTAATTCTTCATTTTTTGCATTTCCTATAATAAATAGATATTGTTTTTATAACCAGAACAAAAACATTATTTGAATAATAAGCTATTCAAAAGAGCATATTTATTATTAGATAAATACGTACATATAAAATTGGGAAATACTTCTTTGTGCCAACTGGATAACCAATTAAAAAAAAAATCTTCAGCTGGGCATGGTAGCACACGCCTGTAATCCCAACACTTTGAGAGGCTGAGGCAGGAGAATCACCTAAGGTCAGGAGTTTGTAACCAGCCTGGTCAACATGGTGAAACCCCATCTCTACTAAAAATATAAAAATTAGCTAGCTGGGTATGGTGGTGAGTCCCTATAATCCCAGCTACTTGGGAGGCTGAGGCAAGACAATCGTTTGAACCCAGGAGGCGGAGGTTGCAGTGAGCCAAGACTGCACCATTGCACTCCGGTCTCGGTGACAGAGCAAGATTCAGTCTCAAAAAAAAAAAAAGGGCCAGGTGTGGTGGCTCACGCCTGTAATCCCAGCACTTTGGGAGGCTGAGGTGAGCAGATCACAAGTTCAGGAGTTCGAGACCAGCCTGGCCAATATGGTGAAACCCTTTCTCTACTAAAAATATAAAAAATAGGGGCTAGGCGCAGTGGCTTACGCCTGTGGGAGACGGAGGCGGGCGGATTACCTGAGGTCAGGAGTTCGAGATCAGCCTGGCTAACATGGTGAAACCCCGTCTCTACTAAATATACAAAATTAGCTGGGCGTGGTGGTGCACGCCTGTAATCCCAGCTACTCCAGAGGCTGAGGCAGGGGGATCGCTTGAACCCAGGAGGCGGATGTTGCAGTGAGCCAGGATCGTGCCACTGCACTCCAACCTGGGCGACAGTGAGACTCTGTATCAAAAAAACAACAACAAAACAAAACACAAAGAAACAAAAATTAGCCAGGCTTGGTGGCACACGCCTGTAGTCCCAGCTACTTAGGAGGCTGAGGCAGAAGAATCACGTGAACCCAAGAGGTGGAGATTGCAGTGAGCTGAGATTGCACCACTGCACTCCAGCTTGGGTGACAGAGCGAGACTCTGTCAAAAAAAAAAAAAAAAAAAGTAGATAACTAGGCAAATATAAAGAAATTTTATCAAAAAATTGCTTTTAACCTAAAATAATGTTAATAAATCGTTTATTATTAATAATAAATGGCACTATTAGAATATTTTTGATATTAAAAATTCTGCTCAAGAGCAATTTATTATAGGGCAGAACTTAGCATAAATGTATAAATTTTAGTTATATCTTACTGTCTTGACACTTTAGCTCTCTAGAACTAAGCCAAAAATTTTAGAAGAAATTTAGGAAAAAAGTCTCTAGCATGCATCTAATACTGTTCACATAAATGCTTCCCAAGTTTTTCTTTCCATCATATTAGTTCTCAGTTTACATAAAATTATAACAGAATTGTTTCTCTAATTATGTAGCTATAAACTAGAAGGATTACTATAAAACCTAGGAGAGACTAGGAGGAATGCATTGAGGAGTTAAAGAGTATTTTCAGCTATTCACCAACAGTAAGAATTGAGGGACCAAGATTAGCTGTATGATTTTCAGTAAGATACATCATATACATAGGTTTAAAATTCCTGAGTGGTTAAAGTAGAGGGTTATACTATAAGATTTTTAAAATAAAATTTTAAATTTCTTTCTAGACCAAGAATTTTACAATAAAATTACATATCCTTAAATTGAATATACATAGCATAAAATAACATTGAGAGACTTGGAGTCATTAGAATGAAAAAGACTGTAATGATTAAAGGGGTAAATTTCATTCATTTGTAAAATTCACATAAGTGAAAGTCTCATCCATATTTCGTTGAAAGTCTTTTCCAAATTGTATTGTGTAAATAAGGGATTATATATTGTGTATTTTGATAATATTCCTTCTATATTACTATTTTTAAATGTACCAAAAAATTTAACCTTAATTTTTTCACTTTACTCTGAATGAGATAACATTGTAAATGACCTATAAGATAAAATCTAGTATCAATCTTTCCTAAAGAGCGGGGAGCCAAATTCACACAGATTTGTATATGGAAATTTATATTTCTAATAGGTTTAGACTGCCAAATTACTAATTTGTTATACTGGGAAATCAAATGTTTAAATATATAATTTCCTTTTTTGCATGTACTCGGTAAACTCTTTAGTCCAACATATCATGACATTTTAGAAGAAAAATGAACAAAATTAACCTCTTGTCTATAACCAAAATCAGGGGCAATGTAACAAATTATTGAATAAATAAAATACTGCTCATTCAAACTATTTCTTTCTGATTTGTAAGTGTGCTAATTTAACCAAACAGACAAAGTTCTGAATACTATGTAAACTAAATTGAAATGCAAATATATATTTTATTGATATGTATTATTAAAGCTGAACTTCAAAACAGAATAAATCTTCAGCATTCCAATTTTTTCTAAGATATTGATGAGAAAATAAAATAAATATTTTAATGTAGTTAATCTGCCCTTCAACAAAATATATCCTCTCATTTCCAATTCTGGTTGTACTTAATGAATAAAGGTTGAATGCATATTTATGTTAATAGTCATGATATATACACGTCAATGAACAACAGTAAAACATACTTTATTTCTGAAAATGTTAATAATGATTTATTACCTTATTTCATTAAGGACAAAAGCTCCACATTATAGTCAGCTATAGCCAATAGTCATTTTGTCATTAATCTTAAAATTTCACAAGTTTCCAATTTATCAAGTGTCAATTTTTAGGTCAGACAATAATAATATAAAAGAATTGTTAATTGGCCAACAGGTTGATTACTTTTAAGATGTGAAAAAAGCAAAGATAAAAACAGTCCTCTCCTTTTCCTTCAATTAAAATTGCATGCAATTATTCTTGTAGATTATAGTTCTCTTTTGGGATTTCCGGTTTCATACAACTTTTTGGTTCATTTCACAGGAATAATATTCATTTTAATCAGCAAAAAAACAATTGATGAGCTTTTTTACAAGAGGGAGTTCACTCTGAGTGCTGATTACTGCCACTACATTATCCTGTTTTTATTTATTTATTTAATTTTTAATGGTCTTGCTTTTAAAGCAGTTAGTTGAATATGTTATCTGTTAGTAGCCATTGCCTTTGAAGACAGAATATCTTTCTTGATGAGTGGTTAGCCCATTTTGTTTTATTCTCCCAACTTTCCTAAACAATATCGTAAGTTGGCTTCTGAAATGATTTATTGCCATTTTATATCTTCAAATATACAAATCAAAATATTTTAAAAGTAAATAGATATTTTTGATGTGTTATTGAATTGTATTACATAGTTTAGAAGGTTAAACTACTTCCTTTACAATTCTAAAAAATATTTAGTAGCTAAAAAAATAAAATTTCTAATACATATGTAAGAAATACAGGGCTGGGCATGGTTGCTCATGCCTGTAATCCCAGCACTTTGGGAGGCCGAAGCGGGCAGATCACCTGAGGTCGGAAGTTCAAGACCAGCCTGACCAACATAAAGAAACCCTGTTTCTACTAAAAATACAAAATCAGCCGGGCATGGTGGCACATGCCTGTAATCCCAGCTACTCAGGAGGCTGAGGCACGAGAATCACTTGAACCCAGGAGGCGGAGATTGTGGTGAGCGGAGATTGCACCATTGCACTCCAGCCTGGGCAACAAGAGCAAAACTCCGTCTCAAAAAAAAAAAAAAAGGAAAAAAAAAAAAAAAGAAAAAGAAATGCAGATCGTGAATACCCATGTACCACCAACCAGTTTAAGAAAAACACATTATAATGCCCTTTCAAGCTTTCAGTGTACCCTTCTACGGTTCTTTAACCCTTCTTTAATCCGAGCTAAACATTATCCTGAATTTTCTCTATCCCTTGCTTTTCTTTATAATTTTACCTCATATATTTCATCCTGAAATATATAATTGTTGTTTATGTTTTGCAACAATATGTAAATAGAAAGTTGTATTTATCTATGACTCTTCTACTCAACATTAAGATCTTGAGTTTCAACACTTTGAAGCACATGGCTATAATTCATTAGTTTACACTTGTATAGTATTCTATTGTAAGATTTATTAGTCTTCCTTTAACATTAATGCATATTTGGGTTGCCTTCAGTTTTTTGTTTTTTTGTTTTTATTATTATTATTACACACAGTGCTTCTATGACCAGTCTTGCAAATTTATAAGTAGATATGTGCAAAAATTTATACAGGGCAGTGGTTCTTAACCTGGGATGATTTTGCTCCCTAGAGAATACTTGGCAATATCTGCAAACATTTTTACTTGTCGTAACTAGAAAGTGCTACTAAATGTCCCCAGTTAATGATAAACATCCTATAAGGCACAGGATAGCCCCACAAACAAAGAATTATCTGGCCTAAAATGTTAATAGGATGAGGTTAAAAGATCAGTCTCTAGATGCCTACTTAAAAATGAAATTGCGGCTGGACATGGTGGCTCACACTTGTAATCTTAGCACTTTGGGAGGTCGAGGCAGGAGGATCACTTAAATCCAGGAGTTCGAGATCAGCCTGGGCAACATGGTGAAACCCCATCTCTATGAAAAATACAAAAATATGCCAGGCATGGTGGCAAGTGCCTGTAGTCCCAGCTACCCGGGAGGCTGAGGTGAGAGGGACAATGGAGGCTGCAGTGAGCTGTGATCATACCACTTAACTTTAGCCTGGAGGAAGTGAGATCCTGTCTCAAAAAAAAAAAAAAGAAAAAAAAAAAAGAAATTGCTGGGTCATGGAGTATGAAAAATTTCAAATTTATTAGATAATTCACAACTATTGTACACAGTAACAATGTTACACTCCTACTAGGAGTATAAAGATAAATATTATGATTTCTCTATATCCTAGCTAGCACTTAATATTGTAAGATACTTAAATGTATTTATTTTTATTATTTTTAGAGACAAGACCTCACTTTGTTGCCCAGGCTGGAGTGCAGTGGTGCCATCTTGGCTCACTACAAACTTGAACTCCTGGGCTCAAGTGATCCTCCTACCTCAGCTTCCTGAGTAACTACGACTACAGACTCGTACCACCACAACCAGTTAATTCTTAAAATTTTTTGTGTAGACAGGGGTCTCACTATGTTGCCAGGGCTGGTCTTGAACTCCTGGCCTCAAGCGGTACTCCCAGCTATCATCTGCTGAGGTTATAGGTGTGAGCTACTGCACCTAGCTAGCCAGAGTTTTTATAAATTTGTCAATGTGAAATAAATACTCCTCAAAGTTTTAATTTTCAATATTTGATTACCAATGAGATTGAGCACCTTTTCTCATTTTGCTGACAATCAGCATTTCCTGTTCTATGAAGTACCTCTTTTTTTTTTTTTGAGAGAAGGTTCACTGTATTGCCCAGGCTGGAGTGCAGTGGTACAATCACAGCTCACTTCAGCCTCAATTTCCAGGGCTCAAGCAATCCTCTGGCCTCAGCCTCCCAACTGGCTGGGATTACAGGTGCATACCACATGCCCAGCTAATTTTTAAATTTTTTATGTAGACAGGGTCTCACTATGTTGTTCAGGCTGGTCTCAAACTCCCTAGCTCAAGCAATCCTCCTGCCTTAGCCTCTCAAAGTGCTGGTATTACAGGTGTGAGCCATAGCACCCAGCCTTCTTTTTAACCAATTTTAAAAATTAGGCCAGGCGATGTAGCTCATGCCTGTAATCCCAGCATTTTGGGAGGTCGAGGCAGGCAGATCACTTGAGGTCAGGAGTTTGAGACTAGCCTGGCCAACACGGTGAAACCCCGTCTCTACTAAAAAAAAATACAAAAATTAGCCGGGCGCACTGGTGTGCACCTGTAATCCCAACTACTTGGGAGGCTGAAGCAGGAGAATTACTTGAACCCAGGAGGCGGAGGTTGCTGAGTAGAGATCGCGGCACTGCACTGCAGTCTGGGCGACAGAGTGAGACTCCATCTCAAAAAAAAAATTGAATTATCTTCTACTAACTGATTTGTAGATAATATCTGTACTAATCTACTGTTTTTTATTTTTGTAACAAATGTCTCTTTCTAATTTGTGCATTGTTTTTTCATTTCTTTAAGGTGCCCTTTTATGAACAGAGTTCTTAATCTTAAAGCAGCTAAACTTCATAAACTTTTCTTTTTTGCTTGTATCCTGCATTTCCCACTCAAGAAAGCATTCCCTTATCTGTGTTTTAGCATTTTGCATTTCTACATTTAAGTATTTAACCTATTTGACGTTGGTTTTTGTGTATGCTGTGAGTAGTAATACATTTTAAAAACAAGAAACTATAGTGTTAGTGTCATGTGTTGAATAGTTTATATTTCCCTACTAATCTTCAAAGCTAGACTTTTTATGAATCAAGTTTCCAAATATATAACCTAATTTGTGGCTCCTTGTTTTATTCTACTGGTCAATTTGTCTATCCCTTTACCAATATTATACTGCCTAAATTATTATAATTATATAATAATTTAAAATATCTAATAAGTTCTCTCTTGCTCTTCTTCAGCAATACCTTGGCTATCATGGCCTTTTTCTCTTCTATACAAATCTTGGAAGAAGCTTGTCACTGCTTCTTTCTACACTCACAAAACTTGATTGAAATTTGTTAGTATGTACAGATCAATCTGAAGGGAAATTACATCTTTCTTACCACTTTTAGTGTTTCAATACAAGCATATGGTCAACTCTTCCATTTATTTAGATTTTCAGTAATGTTTTTATTTTCCTTTTCTTTTTTTTTTCTTTTTTTGAGATGGAGTCTTGCTCTGTCATCCAGGCTGGAGTGCAATGGCACGATCTTAGCTCACTGCAACCTCCACCCCTCAGGTTCAAGTGATTCTCCTGCCTCAGCCTCCCAAGTAGCTGGGATTACAGGCAGCAAGCTAATTTTTCATATTTTTAGTAGAGGCGGGGTTTCACACCATGTTGGCCAGGCTGGTCTTGAACTCCTGACCTCAGGTGGTCCACCTGCCTCAGCCTCCCAAAGTGCTGGGATTACAGGCATGAGCCACTGCACCCAGCTTTTTTTTTTTTTTTTTTTTTTTTTTTGAGACCGAGTCTCACTCTATAGCCCAGGCTGGAGTACAGTGGCAGAATTTCTGCTCACTGCAACCTCTGCCTCCCGGGTTTAAGCGATTCTCCTGCCTCAGCCTCCCAAGTAGCTGGGAGTACAGGCACCTGCCACCCTACCTGGCTAATTTTTGTATTTTTCATAGAGATGGGGCTTCAGCATATTGGCCAGGATGGTCTTGAACTCCTAGCCCTGTAATTCGCCCGCCTTGGCCTCTCAAAGTGCTGGGATTACAGGCGTGAGCCACCACGCCTGGCTGCCTTTTTTCAATGTTTTTCTTTTCCTTTTAAGACAGAGTTTTGCTCTTGTTGCCCAGGCTGGAGTCCAATGGCGCGATCTTGGCTCACTGCAACCTCCACCTCCTGGGTTCAAGCCATTCTCCTGCCTCAGGCTCCCGAGTAGCTGGGATTACAGGCATGCACCATCACGCCCAGCTAATTTTGTATTTTTGGTAGAGATGGGGTTTCTCCATGTTGGTCAGGCTGGTCTCAAACTCCTGACCTCAGGTGATCCACCCGCCTCGGCCTCCCAAAAGTGCTGGGATTACAGGCGTGAGCCACAGCGCCCGGCCAATAATGTTTTTCAAAAAGGATTTATTCCCCCATAAATTTGTTAGATTTACTCTTAAATACCTTTTTTACAAAATATTTTTAAATTATATATGTGTAGTTATTTATTTTTAAAAAGAATTTGTTTCCATACATAGAAGTACAATTAATTTTTATATTTTTATTTCTATTTGGGAAACCTAAACTTTCTTATTAATTCTCAAAACTTACGTGTATTTTCTCTTGGATTTCCTGTATTAACAATTTATTTCATTCTAGCCTTTATACTTTCATTTTTTTCTTACATACTCTAGTAACTAGACCTCTAGTCCAGTATTGTATAGAGATGATGATTATGGAAAACTTTGTGTTTTCCTGATTTTTAAAAGAAAGTAGTTTGAACAGTTCACCATTAAGTTGTTGGTTTTTTGTAGATCTCCTTTATCAAGTTAAGGGATTCTTCTTTTATTTGTAGTTTGCTTTGAGTTTTTATCTTTAATAAATATTGAATTTTATCAAATGTTTTCCCTACATTGATTTAGAGGATAATATAATTTTTCTCACAAAGAATTGCTGAGCATCCTCTTTCACCTTAAAGACATTTACTGAATGGGGTGAATCTGAATTTCAGTTTTCATGTCCCTGCTAGCATAGGGGGAAAGTCACAAAGCCCAGGGCTTAGTGCTGGCATGCAAAATAGATATATCCTTATCATTAACCTTATCTACAAATAAATGCATCGCATAGAGGAGTGCAAGGAAAATTGCAAGTCTTACTTCAATGTATAACTAAAGAGGAAAAAAAATCTCTCTTGAAAATTCATGATCATAAACCAACCTTACTGTGTTTTCAGCAAGAATTCACACACTCTTAATGGTCTAAAGAGTCCAAGATAAGAATCTAGTTACACTGGTCCTCATTTGTGCCTTTTGAATCAAAAGAAAATCCCCCTATGAGAGTGCAACCTTATCCTATCCCTCTAAGAATTCTCACAGATAAAATTCCAGGAGTATACGCCCACAGTTAGAAATCACAAACACACTGGAAAAAAAAGGGAGGGTAAGTGAGCAAGAATTAGATGAAAAAAGATTAAATGCAGAATCAGACTCATAAAAGACTTCAAACTTTGGAATTCTTTCATCCTTTTTTTGCCCTTTTGCTTTTTTATTCTCAATCTCTTTTGCATGTAAAACTATATTTTAAAACATTTTATCCTTGGCTGGGTGCGGTGGCTTATGCCTGTAATCCCAGCACTTTGGGAGGGGGAGACAGGCAGATCACCTGTGGTCAGGAGTTTGAGACCAGCTTGGCCAGCATGGCGAAACCCCGTCTCTACTAAAAATACAAACATTAGCTGGGCATAGTGGCGGGCACCTGTAATCCCAGCTACTTGAGAGGCTGAGGCAGGAGAATCGCTTGAACCCGGGAAGCGGAAGTTGCAGTGAGCCGAGATCGTGCCACTGCACTCCAGCCTGGGCTACAGAGCCAGACTCTATCTCAAAAAAAAAAAAAAAAAAATTATCCTTTAGTGTTTAATTTCATTGTTAATAACATGTAAGCACTTCTTTGTGATAAAGTTAGAAATTAATAATACAGAAAAGTTTAACCTGTAAACTAAACCTAGTTACTGACATGGATTCTAATTATGACATTTATGTACCAAGCTATACAAGCTTTGGTGAAAAAAAAATGTACAGGCTGGGCACCACGGCTCACACCTGTAATCCCAGCACTGTGGGAGGCCGAGGCGGGTAGATCACCTGAGGTCAGGAGTTCGAGACCAGCCTGGCCAACATGGTGAAACCTTGTCTCTCCTAAAAATACAAAAATTAGCTGGATGTGGTGGCAGGCACCTGTAATCCCAGCTACTCGAGAGGCTGAGGCAGGAGAATCACTTGAACCCGGGAGGCAGAGGTTGCAGTGAGCCGAGACTGCGCTACTGCATTCTAGCCCAGGAGACAGAGCGAGACTCCATCCCAAAAAAAGAGTAGAAATAAGAATGAGTCCTTTTTTGTTTAGCTTAAACAAACAAGTAAATATTGTATTAAAGATAGTAAAACATATGTTTATAGCTATTACATAGCTATAAACTTTAATATTTTTGTTTTCAAACTTTAATATTTTTATAGACAGAAACCATTTAGCACAATACTAAAAATGATACATATTATAAATTATTAGAATATGTTTTATTTGTGTAGCACATTTTTGCCCAAATCTCCAGGACTTTCAACTTTATATTTCTGTTTTGAAATTTTTTTAGAAAGGAGTTGTGTTCTCACTTGATCCCAAGCCCCTGATGGTGCTTATAGTGGGCAGTGGGCCAAAGCTGAGCTAATTGTAGTCTGTCCCTATAATTTTTTAAACTGGAATTGTGGAACAGACTTTTAGGCAAAGGGAGAATATATCAATTGATGTATCCCAAGCAAGGCTGATTCTGAGCCTTAATTCCAGTTATTAAACTTCCTAGGGATCCATGAACCAGTAAATTGCCTGTGCTGAAACTTATTTGAGTTGAGTTTCTGTAACTTGCAGCCAAAATGGTCCTGATAACTACACTTACATAAAGAAAATTAAATTCTGAGATGGTTTCCTACATGCTGATAATCATAGAAGACAATGAATTAATAATACCTTTAATACCTTTTCCACCAAATAGAAGGGAATTGGGAAGAGTTTCTGGGTGAGTTAATTTGAAGCCTTGCCTTGACTAGAGTGTACCACCTTCCTCTGTTTTATTCCAGAGGCAAGTCGAAGGAAAAAGGATTGCCCACAGTTACTTCTTATGGTAAGGTTAGGACCACCAGTATTTTGACAATTAAGGTTCTGTATCTAGAGGGATTCCATTAGGAAGCCCTTCCTGGATATAATATTATTTTCCAATTACTTTCTTCTTGAGCGTTCACATGACCTCAAAAGCAATGAAAGGGACTGACATTTAGGGGTAGAACATAATAATTATTGAGCATTTTACTCTATGTTAGGTACCTGGTTGGTCGATTTAAATTTATTTTCTAGTTAAGTGGTATGGGCTGAATTGTGTCGTCTCAAATTCATGTGTTGCTGTCCTAACACCTAGTACCTCAGAGTGTGACTGTATTTGGAGACAAGGTCTTTAAAGAGTACACTAAGATTGAATGAGGTCATCGGGGTGGCCCCAATGCCATATGACTGGTGGCCTTATAGGAAGGGAAGATTAGGACACGGACACACACAAAGGAACAACATGTGAACACATGGGAGATGATCGCCATCTACAAGCCAAGGAGAGAGGCCTCAGAAGAAACAATCCTGCTGACACCTTACTCTTGGACTTCTAGCTTCCAAAACTGGGGGAAAATTAGTTTCTGTTGTTTAAGTCGCCCTGTCTGTGGTATTTGTTATGGCAGCCCTAGCAAATGACTACATTAAGTTATATGTATTCACCTTACTCAGTACTAGTCAGTCATGAAGGGCTGGCCAATCTAACCCTAAAATACATTTCAAATGTCTGCTCTCCTCTCTCTTCCTTCCATTACTATCTTAGTTTAGGCTTTATTTGTTTTACTTGAAATATTCCAATAACCTTCAGTTTCTCTTCATTCTAATAAAACCATTCATACTCATGATGGCAAACACATTAGATTGTGAGGTTGCTGAGAGCAACATGTGCTTTGCACTGTCTACTTAATCCAGATGGAGTCCATGGTTCCCAAACTTGACTGTGCATCAGAATTTTGGGTGGCATTTTTTAAGTTACAGATTTTCAGGCTCCTGACCATGTCTATTGAATCAGAATCTGTAGGCATGTGGGCTAAAATATTGGTATTTTTAATATGTTCACAAGTTGATCTTATGAGCAGTATACATCGTTGCTTATTTTTGCCCATCTTTTTATTAATAATCATGTGACAGTGTCTTCCACCATTGTTAGCTCAGTGTTTAGTACTATGTCATTCATTATCACAGTAGTTTTTGGAATAATAAATTTAATTACACTTTTTTGAAGTAAAACAGTGATTCTTTTACATTGATTACATATTTCAATAATTTTCTTGTTGAAGTTATGTTTATATATAACATATATATATGTTATGTTATATGTTATATCCCATCTTGTCAGAAGCTATAAAAATGTCACAAGTATACTTTTATATGTATAATAGTAACAAAAGATGACACCTACCCAATTTGTTTACTATAAAACTGATAAGTAGGTTTCAGCACTAGGATGTCCCCTTCAATATGTCCCTAATTAAGTGAATAAAATTTGGAAAAAGCTGGCAGAAACATTTATTTCTCTTGTAGTTGTTTTGTGGCCTAACACTATTCATATCGATATAAATTGTGTGGTAAGACCACAAGTAAAAGACAACATACAGTTCACCTTGGAAAAGGAGGAGGTAATGTCTGAAATTTTATCTGGTCCCCCATATTATAAGCTCAATTTATGCTTATCATTTAATAAAAATTGAAAACTTAATACTCTGAAAAAAAAACACACTGCTTTTCTTACTTTAAATATAAAATGTCTCCAATGCTGAAGCAGCGGGTCTTTGTGTCTACTCATAGAGAGGAAAGCATGATCCTAGAAAAGGGTAACAAATAATGGCATTCGGTCCTCCCAGATAAACTCTGCTGTAGTCTGTGCTGTACTTGAAATCAAAGGCAGATCTTCTGACTATACTTAGACAACAAAAAGAAAAGTTGCTGAATATATCTGCCAAAGTGATTATTTCAATACATATTTGTTTTGAACCTATTATACCAAACATTATATAATCTGGGGAGATCAAAAGAGACATGATTCTTGCATTTGTGGAGCATTCAGCTTGGGTAATAGAGGTCCTGGTTTAAAAAAAAAAAAAAAAGTGTGATGTTTACAGGAGCCTAAAATGGAGGCAAAGAGACAGAGTGTGTGAGAAGAAGTCATGCCCAAATGACACTTCCTGGAGGGACCAGTTACTCTGTGCTCAGATGTCAACAGCCAGGAGCACTCTGGGACTTGAGCAAGCAAATAAGCATGACATTTCAGTTCAGTCTTTACTGTCCATGCATACCTTGTAAAAAGGTTGGTACAGAAACTAAATATTATCCTTGGGCTACTTCTCCTTTTCTAAATGTATACATTCATGTATTCATTCAACAAGTATTATATTAAAAGTTTTTCTAAAATAAGGCCTTTTTAGCTGATTGAAAGGCCTCAGTATGAAGTGATATACGAACTAACTACCTAGTCCTTGGGTTACTTTTTTCTGGTACCTATTTTAAACATTCTGGATCTTTCAGATTATAATCTTGACCACAAGTAATGATTTACTATCAGTGCTTCCAAATTTGGGTTAGCATCATCAGGAATGGGAAGCTCACTACTTCTTCTATCATGATATTACCTCTGAAAAATTCTGACTATAAGTGGTTGTGTTTTTAAATGGAACTGTGCCTCAGAGTACCTTAAAGCATTTTTTTTTTTTTTTGAGATGGAGTCTCACTCTGTCGCCTAGGCTGGAGTGCAGTGGCACAATCTCTGCTCACTGCAACCTCTGCCTCTCGAGTTCAAGCAATTCTCCTGCCTCTGCCTCCCAAGTAGCTGGGACTACAGGCACGCACCACCACACCCAGCTAATTTTTGTATTTTCAGTAGAGATGGGGTTTCACCATGTTGGCCAGGATGGTCTCAATCTCTTGACCTCGTGATCTGCCCGCCTCGGCCTCCCAAAGTGCTGGGATTATAGGCATGAGCCACCACGCCTGGCCAGTAAGATTTTTATAAAATTAAAATAGGCATAGTAAAGAGGATTTGGGAAATTGAAGAAACAGATAAAGAAAACATTGCCATATTCCCAGTACCCAAGTACAACCACTCTTAACATTGTAATAAATATTTCTAGTGTTTTTACTATGTGTTGCTTTGATTCTTTGTTAGTTTATATAATTTGGTCATCACATGTAAACATGCACATACATATACATACACAATACAACTTAGATCCCTGCTGGTGGGAGAAATCTTCTATAGAGGATAAGTTAACAGGAACTGGAGAAAGATTGACCTGGGCTCCAATTCAAGCATTATCACTTGCTGGTTTTTATTGCCTTAGACATATTTCTTATGTCTCTCAGACTCATTTTTCTTATCTATAACATTAAAATAACCTAGAACCTACTTCTTAGGCTTATTGCTAGCAGTAATTAACGTAATTAACACTGTCGCTAGCACAGTGTCTAGTAAATAATAAATTCTTAATGATGATTAAATTATTATGCATACTACTCTGATATAATCATCAAATATAAAAATTTTCAGGCTAAAAATTCCCAATTCTTTCAGCTTTCTCTCACATGAAATAGTTTTAAGTCCTCTTACCATTCAGGCTGCTGACTCCTAGGAGTTCTATATTCTTCCCATCTATATCTTCTGTAAAATAATACTTCCAGAACTGAGCATGGTAATCTAAACAATTTGAAATAGAGTTAGATTATATTCTCCATTATTCTATACACATCCTAAATTTATTAATGCAGCCTAAATCACTTCTTCTTTTGTTTGTTGTTTGCTTTTGTAATTGTATTATACCACTAATTCACTGCCAAGTAAAGTTCCTCATTTTTTCCCCCAGGAGTACTGTTGCTAAGTCACATATCCCTTAAACTAAATTTAGGCAGTTAGTGTTTTGGTCCCAAGGCAAGACCCTACAATTATTCCAACCAAAAGATGTATTTTTAGAGTTTGTTCATCTTTTTGTTGTTAAAACATTTGGCTGGGCATGGTGGCTCACACCTGTAATCCCAGCACTTTGGGAGGCAGAGGCAGGTGAATTGCCTGACTCCAGGAGTTTGAGACCAGCCTGGGCAACATGGTGAAAACCCATCTCTACAAAAAATTAGCCCGGTGTCATGGCACATGCCTGTAGTCCCAGCTACCCAGGAGGCTGAGGTGAGAGGATCACCTGAGCTCAGGAGGCATAGGCTGCACTGACCTGTGATCATGCCATTGCACTCCAGCCTGGGTGACAAGTGAGACTCTGTTTCAACAAAATTTTAAAATGGATATTTGGACCTTGATTTTATCATCTAATGTATTTTCTCACCTTCCCTAGCTCATGTAACCTATGACCTATTTTTAATAGGCATGCCTTCTCATAGCTTTATCTCAGTCACTGATATGTTCACATTAGACAAGGCCAAAGACAAAGGTCTGTGGTATACCCCTTGAAAAGCCTTCCTCCAGACTGACACAGATTCATTAACATTGCCATTGGGTACAATCATCAATCAGTTATGAACACACATAAAAATACTATGCCTAGGTCAGGCGCGGTGGCTCACGCCTGTAATCCCAGCACTTTGGGAGGCTGGGTCGGGCGTATTACGAGGTCAAGAGATGGAGACCATTTTGGCTAACACCGTGAAACCCTGTCTCTACTAAAAATACAAAAAAAATTAGCCAAGCATGGTGGCGGGCACTTGTAGTCCCAGCTCCTCGGGGAGGCTGAGCAGGAGAATGGCGTGAACTCGGGAGGCGGAGCTTGCAGTGAGCGGAGATCACGCCACTGCACTCCAGCCTGGGCGACAGAGCGAGACTCCGTCTCAAAAAAAAAAAAAAAAAATTACTATCCCTAAACCTGTATTTCTCCATCTTGTTCACAAGGACATAAATAAAGTCCTTATTAAATGCTTTGCTAGAATCTAGAGATCTGTATATCTATTGTTCTGATATACTAGCTTTACTCTGACAGAAAAGAACATCTAAGAGTAGGCTGAACAGCTTACTCTTTTGGAATTTAGACTTTTTCCTAATAACCACCTTAAAAAATGTTGATGACATCGTCTTTTATAATAAATATTATATAAGCTATTCCGCACCGCTCACTGCCACCAAGCAACATCCATTTCATGGATCGAAAGTTTGCAGACTGACATTTTTTGAACATACGGCATTCCTCTCCAATGTCTCCCTCCTCCCCATTTTTCAAAGGTAATCATTTGAATATTTCATAATCTCATTTAGAAGTTCTCCTTGTAATAATTCATAGCGGTCAAGAGACGTTTTGGCAGCTATACCAGTCAAGTTTCCCCAGTAGGGCATACAGGTGAAGTTTTCATACTTTGTACCTAAGTTCTTGCTGCAAATCTTAGCTCTACACGTTTGTAGTTGTATGATCTTGGGCAACTTATTCAACCAAATAGTAACATATGTTTTATAGGGCTGCTATGATGATTAAGTGAACAAGTGCATATAAATACTTAGTATATACTTTATATCCTTATTTATCCTCAGTAAATGCTATCTACATTATAATCCCTTTATTTTGTCTTTCAATTTTTAGTTAATGTCCAATGGTCTTGACTTCATTTGTCACATATTTATTGAGTAGTACTTGGTACATACAAGGCCCTAGAGATAAAGTAGTGAACAAATCAAAGTACCTGCATTCATGGAGCTTACATTCCACTACAGGAAAAAAAACAAAAACGAAGACACTGAAGTATGTAAAATAATGGCAATCAGTGATGGGAAGAATGAAATGTCTAAGGGGTTCGAGAAGTCTGAGAGAACTCTTAGAAAGGGTGGTCAGGGTCCTCTCTGAAGTGGTGACATATGACCAGAGATATGACTGAACCAACAGGAAGAAACATAAAAGAATAAAGATGCTTTGCTTTCTCTTTTTCATGAATGAATTTTATGTCTTCAACTTAAAAAAAATGAGTCCATTCCTTTATTGATCGCCCTCCTCATTTCATACTAAGGAAAAGCATTTTCGGTTCTCTTTAGCATATTTCACAAGCCATAGCTCATTCTGTGCTTTAGTCTTGCTAAATTTTTATAGGTCTATTCTACCTTCATATATTTATGCTTGATTATGTTTCCCCTTTTACTATCTTTTGCATATGCTGTTTTAAATTCAGAGCCTGTCAGTAAGTCCCTGTGCAGCACACTGGTTTCTTTAGTTTCCTCCCCATTTTCTTGCTCATTAGAATCATTTGTGTTTGCATAGGCAGAACACAGCTTAAATCAAACTCTAAGAGCATATGGTTGCTTTTCCCCAAGGTTCCAATCATTTCCATTTTACCTACCGGTTTCTGTCAGAATGGGTCCTGAGCAGGAGTTCCCCTTAATGCTTACTCTGCCTTCTGGGAAATGAAATTATCAGCAAGGCCGGTCAAGAAATTGTCACTATTTTGCTTTCTGAGGTATGAAAGTTTCTGCAGATACTTGGAGACTTAAATCCCTAACACTAAGATATGTTGCAGCTCTGCCAACACATCTGAGGTCTGCACTAGAAAAGCATCGTATCTTTCCTTCTGACCAGAAAGTCTGTAGTGCAGTCACATAGCGCTATCACTTCTGTGTTTCTCATTTTATGTTCGTCTAGATTTTTATCCAGTGTTCCTCCATCTACAGGTTCTTGGATTTACATGTACATTCATAACTTCTAACCAGCAAGGACTATATACCTGCCTTCCAATCAGCTTGATTGAATTATAATTAAAATAAATTGGATTAAAAATTAATTGTTTATATGACCAAATTCTATGCCCAGAAAACCAGAACATTCCCCTTCAGTTTAATATTAACAAGCAGCATGAAATAGTAGAAAGCTTTGGGATGGAAGGTGGATTCTATTCCTGACCAAGCCATGTACTAGCTGGGAGACTTCCTACAAGCTGCAGATTCATCATGTATCAGAACTGAAGGACCCTTAATGGTGAAAAATCTGGACCCTCTACTCATCTACTGATGAGCAAATTGTGGCCTAAAAGGTTAAATGACTTGCTTAAAGTGTCACAGCTAGTTGGCAATAGTATCATGACTGCAAGATAGGGTTCTTTTCCTTAGGTCAGTAAGTTTCATCCCAATATGTTATCTTCCGTTAATAGCGCAAAGATTTACTTCTATGAAATGGAATAATAATATCTGCCCTTTCTACCTTATAGGGTTGTTGTGAGATAATACGTATATAATAATAATGGTTATGTAAGGTGGTATTGTAATGATTTTAATGATTTAATCTGTAGGTTTCCTGGACTTTTTCCTTCTCATTTAAGTGATATGCATTTGAAATATTAATCTGTGTTGAAATGTGCTTACTTTGTTGTAGGTTTACAATGAATTGCAGGCTATGTCCCCCCACAGAATAAAGAGCTTTTGGCATCCCTAAGACCAGGGTGGTAATCCTTGTTCTGTTATTCAAGGGATGCATGACAATACATCCTCTTAACCTTTCTGATTTTAGTTTTCTCATTTGTTAAAGGGTTAAATATTTCTATCTCTTACAGTTGTGAGCATTGATACAGAAAAGCTAAATATCAGTGGCTGTTTTTGTTTTACTTATTTATTTATTTTCTCTTTTCCTCCTCCCTCTGTCTATGAGCTGCTTGATGCCAGACACTATTTATATTTATTTATCTTTGTATTCCTAGAGTCTGGCACTCAATAGCTACACAGTATGTTTGTTGAAGGAATTATTTACCAAGGTGAATAACATGGAGTGGGTCTGAGGGTGGCAGCATTTTGTAGGTCAATGTTTTCCCATCTCTACTCTTAAGACTACAACATTGAGCTTTGTGGAGGTGCTGCAGGACCTGCCGTAGTGACAAGGGTGTAGCTGAAGTTTAATTCTGCCCCCTATCTTGCTTTAATCAGTGCAGATATACTTGTTCCTCATTAATATGTAGAACTGTTTTTAGAGGAAAAGGTTTTTCAGCTAAAAAAAAAGGTTGAAATGAGATCTGTAGCTAAACAGAATCTAGGCTTTAAAAGGAGTTTCAAAAATGCAGCTTTAAATACTTCTTTTACTGTTACGCACCTTAAGCCAACCAACATCTCTACATCAGAATTTCCTTGTTATCACAGGACTGATAGCATTTCAGGTTGGTTACAGATGGGAGGAAGATATCACATACACACCTGCGATTTCCCAGTGTATTTAGCCAAGGATATAGAACTTGGATCCAGGTGACCATGGGTATCAGAAGCAGGTGCATGCAGATAAAGCATATCTTGGCTTGATTTTTCTTTTCCTCTGGTTCCTCTGGGTCACACAATTGCCAGGGACACTACTGCCAGCATTGAAAGACACAATTTTAAAAACTCAAACTTGTTACTCTGGAAGCATTTATATTTCACGGCCTAGGCACTTCCATGCAAGGAAATGTTTGCACATATAGGCTCTCCCACTTGTAGAACCAAATTGGCACAAAGAAGAAAACCTCCTGCAGGCAGGATGGGGAAGAGCAGACAAAGTCAGAGCCATGGGTCCCTAAATAGTGTCTCTGCTTCCAGCTCCCAGTGTTCCCGTATTTTTGCAGGTTTGTTTTGAAGATTAAAGCAGGGTAACACTAAAATATTTAATAATGTGTAAATGGTTGGGCTTGGGCACCAATAGATCAGAACAGATGCTGGTCATAAACTACCAGCAAGCCCTGCCAGTGCCTACCAGCCAAATGCCAGCCTTAAAATAAAGTAACATTAAAATGTCCTCACAGTATCTGATACATAAATGGTGCTTGATTAATGTTCATCCCCTACCCTGTTTCCTTCTTCTTATTGAATTAAATCCAGTAAAACCAAAAAATGGCAAACTCAAGAGCACACATCTTCAAATAACCTAAGAAGTCAATCGTATTATTTTATCAGTATAATATATTAATGAGGGGGTAATTTCTAATGCCAGAATTCATTTTTTGGTCTACAGTAAAATGGATATACTTTAAAAAATTAATTATAAACTATTTCCTGCATTAGAACCTAGCTGTTAACTAGTAATAGATGTTAGTTACACCCAGTGAGCCTATTCTCTGTCTCTTCAAAGTTTACCATTTTTCCTGCAAGAAAGGGTTAATTCTCTCAGGTGCTTTGAAGCCGTGTTTCTCTGGAGTTGATAGTGGAAAGGGAGACCACTCTATCACAACCACTTGAGTCTTTATCTCCACTTCCCCAAGACATTCCAGAGATTTTGATATCCTCCTTCCTGTTAAGAATCTTTGCCAGAATGAGCATTGGAAGTCGGTGTAGGGTTTCTTAGGTAAGTTAGCTTTTTATAAAAAGTTCAGCTAGCCTTTGGAGAGTTTTACTGGTTGGGAAAGCAGAGCTTAGAAGGAAGGACATCTTTGTAGCCAAAGTGAAACAGGACTGTATCTACCTGAGTATCAAAGAAGACAGGGCACAGGGAAGGATCAGAGTAGGGAAGGGATGGAAGGACAAGTAATTGGCCGGCTTTATCATTTAGTGAGTTCTCTCTGGCCTCATCATCAGGTGATGCTTTTGCCATGCGTTGGAAATCTGTAATAGCTCTTCTCTTTGTGTGGCTCTTAGAAAGCTTAAAGGCAAATTAAGGGCTTATGTCCAGCATGCATATAGGCATACTTTGCCTGTATTCACCTTTCTTGCTATTTATTTATTTATTTTGAGACAGAGTCTGGCTCTGTCGCCCAGGCTGGAGTGCAGTGGTGCGATCTCAGCGCATTGCAACCTCCACCTCCCCGGTTCAGGCAATTCTCCTGTCTCAGCCTTTTGAGTAGCTGGGACTACAGGTGCACACCGCCATGCTGGCTAATTTTTTTTTTTTTGTATTTTAGTAGAGACGGGGTTTCACCGTGTTGCCCATGCTGGTCTCGAACTCCTGAATTTAGGTAATCCACCCATCTCGGCCTCTCTAACTGCTAGGATTACAGGCGTGAGCCACTATGCCTGGCCTCTTTATTTGCTTTTTAATTTTCAATTTTTTTATTTTTTCTTTGCCTCTATCTTCTTCTTATTTTTATCTCTTGTTGTTTGTAAATCTCCTTAAATCCCTTTTAAAATATGAAAGAAAATAAATAAGTAAATAATTAACTCTATAAACATAACTAAGAGTGAGCAGATCCTTCAAAATGATCATTTAAAACATTAGAAATACAAACAATAATACTAGCATATGTACGATGATAGGACTTTTACGTAGTCAATATAAAGCTATATATTTCAAAATGAGCTTACAAAATTCTTTGCTATAATACAACACAGGAAGTAAGATAGAATATTCAAAATTGTTTCATATGAGCTTATACAAGTTTAGGTATTTATATAACAGCATTATAAAAGTTGTCAACTGTTTCAGGCTATTATACTGTTTTATGCTATTAAAGATACTAAAATAATAGCAAATATTGGAAGAGTTGTTATGTGCCAGGTACTATCTGTATTAATTCATATAACCCTCACAACAACATTATAAGACACAGGTAATGATCATTCCCATTTTATAAATTAGAAAAAAGCAGTTAATTTAAAGTTGAGCTTCCATAACATGCTTAAAAATGCACAGCTTGAAAATGATGAAGCTGAGATCTGAACTTGGGTGGTCTCAATGAAATTCTAAGCTTTTAAGTTATGTTGCTTTTCTAAAAATAAAAAAAAGCATCTTAATATTAACATTAACTAGAGTTAAGTGACCTTACACTTTATTTTATGAGGACTTTTCAGATCTTTTCAACAGATCTTTTTCAAGGTAATGGAGAAGAAAACATTAATCTTTAATATAGCTTTTACTTAAAAAAGTAGTATCTGTGACTTCTTTGAAAGCATGTGTCAAGTGTTCAGTAGTGGTGTTTCAAAAACTTTTACAGAGCAAAGTAATCTCAAATGGTATTTACCATATTCTTGACTGTAGAATTTTAAATAAGAAGTGAATATAAAAGATTACAGCTATGAATAGTACTGATTGTAGCCTTGGCTAGGTGCAGTGGCTCATGCCTGTAATCCCAGCACTTTGGGAGGCCAAGGTAGATGGATCACTTGAGGCCAGGAGTTTGAGACCAATCTGGCCAACATGGTGAAACCCTATCTTTACTAAAAATGCAAAAATTAGCAGGGCATGGTGGTGTGTGCCTGTAATCCCAGCTATTCCGGAGGCTGAGGCACGAGAATCACTTGAACCTGGGAGGTGCAGGTTTTAGTGAGCTGAGATCATGCCATTGCACTCCAGCCTGGGCGACAGAGTGAGACCCCGTCTCAAAAAAAAAAAAAAAAAAATTGCAGCTTCATGGGATGCTTACTAAGCATCAAGAAAAAAATTCCGCTTTTCAATGTATGTGTTTTGTTAAGGGTCCAAAAATAGTAAAAATGTTTCATTTTTTGGTATGGACACAGATTAAGTTAATTGGTGTTAATTATCCAATTTTATGAATTAACTATATCTTTTATCTTTCAATTTGGCAGAAGTAAAAAGGGAGAGAAGACAAAATTTTTGTAAGCTAAATACTATGAATATGAGAAGCTTAGTTTTACTTTTTTCATTGAGAAGTGACTTGCTTAGTGGGGGAAAAAAAAGAGAAAATTTCTATTACGAAGGGGATCCAATCATATTTGCCAACATTAGTTTCCAGGTTGTACAGGGAATTATTTGTGATGATTTTCATTTAAATGGAGTCTATTCCATCAGTTGACAGATATTTGTTTTACTAAAGTTTTAATAGTAAAGTTGCATAGATAATTATTTAATAAAGTGGTAGGCAGGAGTTTGTGTGCCCTAAGACAAAATTAAGAAAATTACAGTTGATTCAAAGACGTATAAAACTGTTAGAAAAAGGAGAGGAGTATTTCAATGAGACTACTACAATGTGCACAGAGGGTCTTTTCAGAAATTATATATTACTTAGGATTTTAAGCTAATAATAAAGAATATTATGCAAATGATAAAATTTATAGAAAGCTTTAAAACTAGCATGTTTAGGCCAGGTGTGATGACCCACACCTGTAGTCCCAGCACTTTGCGAGGCTGAAGTGGGAGGATTGCTCAAACCCAAGAGTTCCAGACCAGCCTGGGCAGCATAGGGAGACCCTGTCTGTACAAAAAAATTAAAAATCAGCTGGGCATGATGGTGCGCACCTGTAGTCCTAGCTACTCAGGCAGCGAAGGCAGGAGGATTGCTTGAGCCCAGGAATTCCAGAGGGCCTTGAGCTATGATCATGCTACTGTATTCTAGCCTGAGCGACAAAGTGAGACCCCGTGTCTAAAAAAACGACAACAAAAAATCCTTCCAAAACCGAACTAGCATGTTTAATATCAATGATTCTCATCTTGTGGAGATGAGAATTTAAAATGAGTTATAAGCTGCATGTAGTGGCTCACACCTGTAATTCCAGTGATTTGGAGGCCGAGGCAGGAGGATCACTTGAGCCCAGGAGTTTGCAACCAGCCTGGACAAAATAGAGAGACTCTGTCTCTACAGAAAAAAAAAAATTGGTGGGTGTGCTGGTGCATCCCTGTAGTCCCAGCTACTTGGAGGCTAAGGTAGGGGGACTGCTTGAGCCTGGGAGGTGGAGGCTGCAGTGAGCCATGATAGCCCCATTGCACTCCAGCCTGAGAGACTGAGGGAGACTTCATCTCCAAAAAATAAAATAAAATTAAATAAAGAGTTATATTCCATAGGAAAATGTGTTGGCCTATAATCATGCTAAAAATTTGTATATGAAGATAGAAAATACAAAAGAAAATTAGGAATAATGATAATATACTAATAACACTCACCAATAAGAAATATAGCATAAAATTTGGCATAATAAAAAGTATTCTTAATTTAGCCAGGTACAATGGCTCACGCCAATAATCCTAGCACTTTGGGAGGCTGACACGGGTGGATCACTTGAGGCCGGGAATTTGAGACCACCCTGGACAACATGGTAAAACCTTGTCTCTACTAAAAACACAAAAAATAGCTGAGTTGTGGTGCACACCTATAATCCCAGCTAGTCATGAGGCTGAGGCATGAAAATCACTTGAACCTGAGAGGCAGAGGTTGCAGTGAGCCAAGATCGTGCCACTGCACTCCAGCCTGGGTGACAGAGTGAGACTATGTCTCAATAAATGTAAATAAATAAATAAAAATAAAATTTAGAAATTCTTAAACTCTGGAAGTCATTCCAATTTGAAGCAAATATTCTTCTTTGAAAAGTATAATCTTAAGGAAGAATTTTTTAAACATATCTGGGGCCATCAACTACTTCTGGTAACTTTTAGTGAAGGCTTAGCTTGTTTGCCTTAAAACATTTTGTGTTTGGCGGTTTCTGCTATATTGTGTTTTTATTTAACTACATCTATTAAACTGTATATTAATTCAGAAAAGATTGTTTACTTCCATTTGTTTGATTGAAAAAGTCTGTGATATGGTTTGGCTCTGTGTCCCTACCCAAATCTCATCTTGAATTGTACTCCCATAATTCCCACGTGTTGTGGGAGGGACCCGGTAGGAGATAATCTGAATCATGGGGATGGGGGTGGTTTCCCCTATACTGTTCTCGTGGTAGTGAATAAGTCTCATGAGATCTGATGGTTTTACCAGGGGTTTCTGCTTTTGAATCTTCCTCATTTTTTCTTGCCACCACCATGTAAGAAGTGCCTTTCACCTCCCGCCATGATTCTGAAGCCTCCCCCGCCATGTGGAACTGTAAGTCCAATTAAACCTCTTTTCCTTCCCAGTCTCAGGTATTTCTTTATCAACAGTGAAAACAGACTAATGCAGTCTGATTTATTTCATGTGTCATTTCTTGGTGAAGTATAGTTATGGGATATTAGGTAATATGAAAATAATCAAAATCATTATTTGTTTCTGTCAAGGCACCTTTCATGTAGGGAAACTAACTGAACAAGTCACATAAAAATGGCTGGGTGTGGTGGCTCATGCCTGTAATCCCAGCACTTTAGGAGGAGGAGGGTGGATCACCTGAGGTCAGGAGTTTCAGACCAGCCTGGACAGCATGGTGAAACCCTATCTCTACCGAAAATACAAAAATTAGCCGGGTGTGGTGGCACACGCTTGTAATCCCAGCTACTCGGGAAGCTGAGGCAGGAGAATTGCTTGAACCTGGGAGGCGGAGGTTGCAGTGAGCTGGGGTCGCACCACTGCACTTCAGCCTGGGTGACAGAGCAAGACACTTGTCTCAAAAAAAAAAGAAAAGTTTAAGATAAAACATCAATAGAAGAGTGGTGGGAAGTGGTGACAGGTGGGGAGAAAAAAGAAAACTGGTGAAAGTGAATATAGAGAATAGACTAAGTCAATCAGTACAAATAAAGGGGCAATATAATTTCAATATGACCTATGAAGTAAGAACACAAATGAGGTAATACATATACAACCCTTTGAACAAAGTAAAGCACTATTACTACTATTCAATATATTTCTTCATATGTATATTGACAGTATAATTCACACTTTTTTCAACATAAAAATTATTGAGCACCAGAGCTCAAACATTAAAATGTTTATAGGGGCCAGGAAGAAAAATAATGGGTGAAAGATACAGTCCTCTTGATCTATCTTCTATTTTCCAGTTTATAGAAATGTGGGTGATGATACATTTCAATTTCCTTTAATGCCACCATTAAAATAGAACATAAAACATTACACAAATGGAGTGATTCATGGCACAAGATACTTTGCCTTGGTTTTGAGGAGGTAATAAGAAATGACAGAGAATACAGGGAGTAAGAAAGGGTGATAGTTTGGATTTTTGTCCCCTCCAAATCTCATGTTGAAATGTAGTCCCCAGCATTAGAGGTGGAGCCTGGTGGGAGGTGTTTGGGTCATGGGGGAGGATCCCTCATATATGGCTTGGGGTCCTCCCCACAGTAGTGTGTTCATGCAAGATCTGGTTGTTGAAAAGAGTCAGGGACCTCTCCCTTCTCTCTCTTGCTCCCTCTCTCTCCATGTGACAAGTCTGCTCCCCCTTTGCCTTCACCATAATTGTAAGCTTCCTGAGGCCCTCAGCAGAAACAGATGCCAGCATCAAGCTTCCTGTACAATCTGAAGAAACATGAGCCAAATAAACTTCTTTTCCCTATGAATTACCTAGTCTTGGGTATTCCTTTATAGGAATGCAAAACAGACTAACACAGAAGGCACGTTTAGTTTAGAAGGTAAAGCCTCTCCTCCTGGATGTTGCTATGAGCTAATATACACCAAATGCTGCCAGATCTTTCCATTTTTTCTTCAGAAGTTGGAAATCCATATTTTTTTTTTTGAGATGGAGTCTTACTCTGTCACCCAGGCTGGAGTGCAGTGGCACGATATGGGCTCACTGCAACCTCTGCCTTTCAGGTTCAAGTGATTCTCCTGCTTCAGCCTCCCGAGTAGCTGGGATTACAGGCATGTGCCACCAAGCCCAGCTAATTTTCTTGTATTTTTAGTAGAGACGAGGTTTCACTGTGTTAACCAGGATGGTCTCGATCTCCTGACCTCGTGATCCACCCGCCTTGGCCTCCCAAAGTGCTGGGATTACAGGGGTGAGCCACTGCGCCTGGTCTGGAAATCCATAATTTTATGGAAATCTCCTAATTTTTAAGAGTTGACAGATGATAGATTAAAAAATGAAACAAAACCAAGGACAGTGCGACCCAGTGTGTATGGTGCAAACAAACTACATTTGTGGGCTAGATTTTATACAGGCCACAGCAGTTTGAGACCTCTATTTTATGCTTTGCTAAGAGCTGGGCATATAAAGTTTAGAGAGATTCTAAGGAGCTTACAGTCACATGGGGAAGAGAACAAGTAAACCAACAAATACAGTGATGTGTAATAAGTTCTATGATAATCAATGTTTGTTTTGATGATCCTTCAACACTGAAAAATTCCATATCATCTAAGAAAGATAAAATGATGTTTAGTATAATTTTCTTAGACAGCAAAATACTGTACTAATACATTTTGAAAACTTTTTTTAAAAGCAGGAATGTTGCTGGGAGCAGTAGCTCATGCCTGTAATCCCAGCACTTTGGGAGGCCGAGGTGGGCAGATCACGAGGTCAGGAGATTGAGACCATCCTGGCCAACATGGTGAAACCCCATCTCTATTAAATACACAAAAATTAGCTGTGTGTGGTGGTGGGCGCCTGTAATCCCAACTACTTTGGATGCTGAGGCAGGAGAACTGCTTGAACCTGAAAGGTGGAGGTTGCAGTGAGCGCCTGGTGACAGAGCGAGTCTCCGTCTCAAAAAAAAAAAAAAAAAAAAGAAATGTAAAACAGGAATGTAAACAAAAAGAAACAGCATTTCAGGTGTCAGCAAAAAATCCAAACATCTCCTTTTTTGGACATTTCTATTAGTTTACTCTTTAAGATAATATTAATAAAAAAATTTCTGGTGATCTGGCAGGGAAAAATTGGTTAAAAAGGCTTTTTGGTTGTTGGAGGTAGTGTTCCAGGCTTTGACAACTTAGTGAGTCATAAGTGAGCTACGATAGAAACATGGTACTTTTTAGCATAATGTATAATTTGTCGAAGATGTTTTTCCTTTGAATAAAACCAAAATACCAGGGTGCAAAACATAACCCTTGAAAAGTTGAATGTAAGTCCTGTTGATTCCAATTTCTGAGGTTCCCTGGACACATCTTTAACTCATCTAAGTTGTTGGGACAGGAAAGGTATAAGGGAGAAGAGTGTTCTAGGGAAAATGTGCTTGACAGCCAACATTTCAGTTTTTCTGAATTCAATAATTCACATGCGTTACTTTCCTGCTTTCCTTGAGATATTTCCCACCTATCTAATGCACGCACACACACACACATGAACACACACAAAAACACACACTCAACAGGATGATTAGTAGTACTAGAAACTCCTTTGACAATTTGTCTACATTTTTGTTTCTTTTTACTTAAATAACACACACACACAAACATTGTTATTCTGGAAAATACTCAAATTTTCATTGTAATTACTAATTTATGCAGGCACTAAAATTTGTTTACATATGGCCTACAAAAATATTTCAATTAATTGACAAAACAAATTTATTGTTATGTAAATTTGTGTGTTTATATGTGGTGAGTACATTTATATAAGATTTCTAGGTTATTCAACTTGCAATATCTATATCAGCAAAAGCAGTGCTGCAGAATATGGACAATATACTGAACTAAATATTACAATGGTATTCATCATTATAGGAATCTAACTCTCATTTATTCCAGAAATACTTTCCATCAGCCAACTACAGCTAGACACTGAAAAGGTCACTGTTCTTCAAAAAGCTTCTGAGAATAAGTGAAATGTTTCAAAATTACTTCAGTATGATTGGTGCATACCATTCTGAATAGTATAATACTTCCTATGCCATACAAAGTTGGGAGCCATTTCTAGATACACAAATGTGAGCAGGCAGCCTAGGCACATGGTGAAACCCTGTCTCTGCCAAAAATACAAAAACTAACCCAGCCTGGTGGCACAGGCCTGTGGTCCCAGCTTCTTTGTGGAGGATGGGGTGGGAGGATCATTTGAGCCCAGGGAGGTGGAGGTTATGGTGAGCTGAGATGGCAACACTGCATTCCAGCCTGGGTGATGCAGCAAGACCCTATCTCAAAAAAAAAAAAAAAAAAAAAAAAAAGAATGTGAGCAGGGAGGGCAGTGCTTCCTAAGAGGAAGTTCTAAGTTCTAGAAAGGAGTTTGAGGGGTCTTTTTTCTTTTTAATTAAAATTTAAAATTTAAGGCATCTTTTAAAAATAGGAACTTTTAAAAGACCATTATCTCCCCAAGAGTCATGAGCTATTTTGGTAGACCAGAGACTTTACAAAATTGTATTAGATTGCTGAGAGCTTCTCATACCTGCCTCCCAAGGTTTGAGTATTGTGGGTAATTGGTACAAAATGGCACAGTGTTATAGCTGGGTCTGTGGATGGTTGGATAAAAGTGAGAGGACTGAAGAAGTTGGAGGCTCAAAGTTTACTGCATGCCACAAAAACACATTGAGATACCATTATGTGTGAAATTATGTCCTCTCTAGTAAATTAATGCCAAAGGAAATCTGTTGATAGGAGGGGTAACAAAATTGAAATAAAATCTGAATGAATCCACTCAAACCTAATATAATGGGTCAGTGGAACAGTGGCACACAGGAAAAAAAACGGGATGGAATTTCCAAAAAAAGAAAAAAAAGGAGATGAGCAGGTTAAAAAAAAATAGATACATATTACCTATTATGTTCTGTGTAGGATATACTTCAGTGAAAGCTAATTTTCCTGCAGGTTTAAAAATAAAATTGATAACTTGTCATAAATTTATTCTATAACCTCACCAAAGTTGGAAAATTATTCCTTGTTTTCATTATTTTTCTGAGTAAAAGTGCATTTTCAGAGAAAAAGGAACAAGAATAAAATGTATTTGAGAGAAAATTTTGTGAAGTAATAGTCTGTGAAGAAATAGTATATAGTTAAAATTTCAGAATGCCATGCGTATTAAGCATAGTCTATAAATCCTTATGTCCTAATTAGTTTTGTGTATTAACTTATAAATAGTTTTGTATATTCTTGTTTCCTTTCCGTGCGTATTTCTCCTTTGTTTCCACAGATGATTTATTTCTCTGGGGAGGGAGTATGTTTACCATTCTCCAGCAGCACCTAGAGCACTGAATTGAGGAAAGCAGGTTCCTATGACTGCTGAATAACTGCCTTTATTATCCTTACATTTTGAAAAATATGTCAGCCTACAATTTCAGTAAAAACGCAAAATTAAAAATGAATATAGAAAATCATGTGCAACTTTCCCCTGACATTAAATTATCCTGTTGTGCCAAATGTAGCACAAATGGCCTTCTAACAGGGGTCCTATGCAAACAGTGGGTGATCACGGAACACATCAGCAGCAACACCAAGTCACACTGGTGATGTCAAGGACAATGTATTCTGAATTCCATTTTGTATTTCTTATGTGATATTGTGCCAGAACACAAATATATAGATGCAGACATATACATATACATGTGCATATATATATTTTTTACAGAATTTAAATAATTCATTCAAATAAATTATTTAAATGATTTAAAAATTCCTTTGTCAAACAGATTAATGGAACCTTGTTATTCAAAAGATAAATCATTTTATATGAAGTGGCAAAGACTTCAAGGGCTAATAAAGGTTTTATGAGAGATAAACTTTTAATGAATTAATACTTTCTCATGTGCTTATTTTCTATATACATAAACATATACACATATGCTTATGATGATATTTATATCAACATTTCCTGTCTGATTTTTAAGGAAACAGTATTTACAATATTTAACATAAAGTGTTTGTAGAGATTTTATTTTTAGCAGCTGAAGTATAATTCACCAAAGGAGAAAGTTTAAATAATGGTGCTGTAAATGTTATTATTTGTGTAATAAGATAAAACAGACCATTTTTAAAATTTGTAATTTATATGAATCTAGTAATCATTAGTCCTGAACAATTTTACTCAGGTCATTCTCTAGGCTTAAAATTTATTCTGCACTCAAGTCTTTTTGCTACATAGGTCTTAATCAGAAGATGTTTTGCTCTAGAAAATGATGGTGAACTAGTATTTATATAACAAGACCTTACGACCCTGGGAAAAATTTTAAGGATTTTTATAAGGCTCAGTACACATTCTTCAGCGAAATTTTGGCATAGTTTCAATTTTAGACTCCACTGAAATTCAATTGGTTTATTTTATAATTAAAAACAAGAAAATCATAGTAACAAAAATATATAATGTATAGCACTCTTGTTTATAATAGAAACATCCAAGAAACATGCTCTAACTTTTCTCATTACCCCAAAGGGAATTGCATCTTTAATCACACATAGCACAACTGCTTTCTAATTTTGTTTAAAGTATTTCAGTACTTACAAAAACCAGATCAGGTTATTGTAAATCTAGAGCAAATTAGAATCATTGGCCTCTGCTTAGCTCTATGCAAGAGTTCTATGTAAATCATAAATTTAATGGCATATTAAGACACACATCTGTTTCAGTTTTGTAGAAGTTAATAATCTAACTTCAGAGTATTTAAACACTTCTTTCACTAACTGAAAAATTCAGGCAAAGACAGACTTCCCTCAGTATATAAGGTACAATATTTTACTTCCAAATTTTGATAAGCTGTAAATATTCTTAAGGAAAGACAGTTTTCTAAATATTCAATCTAGTATCTATTTTTGACCTTACATGATTTCCTCCTGTACGGAAATAGTCAATATAAGCAAATAGGCGAGCATTATCATCTCAAATCTACACCTGCATAAAATATTTTGATTTATACATATATCAAGTTTAAAATCGTTTTGCAACAGGGCATTGGAGAGAAAGTAAATATTGAATAATTATATGAAAATGTCAAAATTCATTCTTTTAAATATTTTTCAGATTCTTTATTTGATTACCCACAAATTTATTTTTAAATGATAAATGATAGTCTTCTTGGGATTCAGATTATTTGAAAATAATTCACATTCTTGGGTTCCTCAAACATTTACATTTCATAGCCAGCATTTTTACTCTGCTTTTCTCTAATTTTATTTTAACAAACTATAAAAATTGTTTTTATGTTATATCCATTACCTCTTACCTTGACACGTCTCCTCATATATAGCAGTAACCCAGTATTATAATGAATTATTGTGTTTCAGTTGTCATTAGATAATAAATAAGAAATTAGCTTTTCTTGCTGTGGATTCTACATTGTTTGAACAATTAAAAATATATAGTTTGAATTGGGCTACTAATTAGGGTAGTAAGGATATTGTACTAATTAAGTTGCCGTCATTTTCGGGACAACTAAAGTTGCCCCCATAATGAAGGGGGCACTCTTAATGCACTAATAATCCTCGTTAGTTATATTGTAGATAGGTGATTTTGGTAACCAGGACAAATGACTAAGAGTGTGGATGGTCCAGTGAAACACATTTCCATCACTAAAATAAAACCATTCGAAGAATATATTATCCAGGTGATGGTTTAGCAACTTCTTTTTAATGTACAATAACTGGACAGGTTATTTATGTGTTTGTATTTCTAACCTAAAACAAATTTTTCCCCAAATTTTTCATTAAATATTACTTAACAAAACCTTATCATTACTGAATCCTTTCAGTGCTCCTTTGAGATATGAATGACATTTTAATATGATTCTAAATTTGGATGCTAATTTGAAAGAAAACTGATTCTTTTCTATCACAAAAGCATATGCCTATTACATCATTGTTTGGTCTAGGATCTAAGTGATTGATTTCATACTGACCTTAAGAATGCATTGTAAAGAGTTTCAATAAGTTGAAACCTGAATGATACTATTCTTTTATTAAGAAACTATGTTGATGGGAATTAGGTTTATAACACATTATTTTACATTGCAAACTGCTGTTCTACTTTCCAGATGCTCAGACATATTTATTTTTATTAAAATGTGCATGACAAATAAAGGCCTTTAAAAAATAAAGCAGCAAAGTGGAGTAAAAGATCATAGTTATATTGATTAGAGAATAAAATCATGAAAAACATTAGTAAGAGTTAATTTATAGATCAGAAGGATCAACCAAAGTCAAAGTCAAACATCTCATGTTATACAATGTTATGCTATAAAAGATTTTCAGAAATGAAACAGGTCCAGGAGCGATGGTCCGTGGCTGTAATCTCAGAACTTTGGGAGGACTGCTTGAACTGAGGCGTTCAAGACCAGCCTGGGCAACATAGGGAGACCCCGTCTCTAGAAAAAATAAAAAAAATTAGCCAGGTGTGGTGACACTCATTTGTGGTCACAGCTACTTGGGAGACTGAGGTGGGAAGATTGCTTGAGCCCAGAAGGTCAATGCTGCAGTGAGCCATGATTGTGCTACTACACTCCAGCCCAAGCTGGAGTGAGACACTGTCTCAAAATAAATATATAAATAAAATAAAAATACATAAATAAGTTTTTTTGTGTTTAAAAAATACTAAGGGATCATAGAGTATAATTACTTTATGCTGTATAATTATGAAAACTTTAATGTATGAAAACATTATAAGTGTTATACACACTTGAAACAATATGGAAACATTATAAGTGTTATATAATTGTATATTTGACTCACTTTCTAAAATGCAGAGAGGTTGTATGTGAGTTTGCTTCCTGACTCTTAAAAGCCTTTGCAAGTTTTGCCATACTACAGTGAACTATGACATGAATAATCAAAGTCATATTCGAGAGGCACTAAAAATTCAATTTGGACTATTCTGTGACATTGCTACTTGGTTATCTTTAAGGATTTAGATTTGATAGAGTTACTTCTACTGTTAACCATCTCTTTGCTTTTGTTCTGCACCTAAGCAATACATGATACTTTATCAAGAACTGCCCATTCAAAGAGTTGTAATTTTAGATTATTCTTAGTTTACCTTCAACAATTTTAAAGAAAGTTTAAATAAATTTAATTCATCGTTGACAGTGGTGGAGGTTTGTGTGCACTAAAAGGGGATCAGGAGGTATTTTATTTTTGTTTTGTTTTGTTTTGTTTTTTGAGACGGAGTCTCACTCTGTTGCCCAGTGCCCTGGCTGGAGTGCAGTGGCACTATCTCGGCTCACTGCAACCTCTGACCCCCAGGTTCAAGCAATTCTCCTGCCTCAGCCTCCCGAGTAGATGGGATTATAGGCGCCTGCCACCGTGCCCAGCTAATTTTTGTATTTTTGGTAGAGACGGGGTTTCACTATCTTGGCCAGGATGGTCTTGAACTCCTGACCTTGGGATCCACCTGCCTTAGCCTCCCAAAGTGCTGGGATTACAGGCGTGAGCCACCACACACTGCAGGAGGTGTTTTTTTAAACCACGTACTGTTAATGAGAAAACAAGGTTATGAGTATTTATGATGGACAAAATTACTAGAAGTTATAGACAGCTTTGTATAAAATTAGTGTTCTTTTGCTTACACTTTGTGATCTGACAGAAGCATTGATAAAAGACCTATAAGACCCAACTATATAAAATTCTCAAGATGCAGAGATTAATGAGAGTTATAGGAACAATCTATGGGAAAGAAAAACTTTGAGTTGTTTAAGACTCAGTGGAACAATAATTATGAAGAATATCGTTTTAAATTTGCTTACTTTTGAGTATCATAATGGTAACGACATAAAAATTTCCTAAATCTTTATATACAATTATGCATATATTAATTAACACGTGTGGTGCACAGAAAAAGTCATGTTACCAGTTGAACTAGTGGATGCTTTTTTTAAAAAGTATTAATTACCAAATGACAGCTATTAATAATTCGTGATTATATACTTCTAAATTATACCATTAAACACAATATGCCTTAATTATATTTACATTATACTTTAAACTGTCATTACTTTTGGAGACTGCATCTCTACATTTTGGATAGGGTTTGGCCTTCTTGGACAAAATTTGCTAAGCCTATAGAGCAGGGAGAATAGCTAAAACCTTACTGGCTTTGCCAAATGCTTTCATATGTTTTTGCTCTTACGGAAAATGAGTTTTGATTTCTTTTCAGCCTACATGCATGGCAAGGCAAAAATTGAAAACAAAGCTAGCAACTTTCAACAAGTTCTAGTTAAGTTTGGCATTCATATATTGCTCTGATCTGCTCTAGAGCTTTAATGTAGTTTATTTTCTAGAGTAGGAAAAACTAGTTTCAGCACCAAGCATCATCAACAAGTAATGATGAAGAAAATGGAACTGAGTTAGGTTTAGGATATAATCTAGCTAATTTTATTTCTATTTCTGAATTAGAAATGAGAGTCATTCCACGTGTTTTTTGTTTCTTTTGAAACAATTTTGAAACAATTTTCTTTTGAAAACAAATTTTGTTTCTTTTGAAACAAAATTAGAGTTTCACAAACTCTAATCACAGGCAAAAATACACTCCCCATAATAGATACAACCGTCCCTCCTTAATAGTTTTCTATAACTGTGTTGCTCAAACTTAATGGCAGTTTTTGGCCTACTCTCAAGCCTCAATACCTCTTCCCTTCAACCCCTGACCCTTTTAGAAGTGTCTTAGCTATAGCCATTGGCCAGAGTAGGGCAGTGAAAGTGATACTGTGTTCTATTGGCTTACACTAATCACAATATTCTGCACCTATGTCCATTTTCATACTATTTCAGATTCTTTGTTACTCAAACTGCTGTTATTCTTATGTATATTTTAACAAGTGCCTGATCACTTCCCTATAAACAAAGATACTTAGATGATAAATCTCAGTTTAAAAATTAGCATAACGTCTGTACCAGAAATATATGAACCCACTGAATAAAATAATCTTCAGTTTCTTAAGGTTACTAAAATTAAAAACATGAGTTTCTACAGTTGGAAAAAACATGTATGGTTAAAATGTTTGAAGCCCATCAATCTCTCTAACCACATAAGCTAATGAGTTCCTTCTGTTTTCTTTGAATGAAATCACCATGAGTGGTTATATGTTGATTTAACATAAAACAAATGGAAATGGGTGTTTCCTTTGTCCTTTGTAGAATTTATTTTAAAAAACAATTAGCAACTATTATGAATAAGTCAATGATTTTGCCATTACTTAAATAACAATATAGATTGAGTAATTAAATTGATTGGATTGCAGGGAATGCGTAACATACTCCAACTCTCCTTAACTTGCACACATCTGTAGATATTATTAAGCTTCTCATTTCATTTTTTTCTACCATAACACCTGTATTGTTATAAATTATGTTATGAATTGTCAGAGAGTGCCAGGTAAATTATGTTTTTTGAATGTAGATATACTCTATGGTGTGTGCCTTTTAAGTGTTCCTTTGTAATGGCAGGTTTGTGGCTAACAGCTTAATCTTGAATCTAGCAATATAATTAAACACTATTTCAATTCTTCTTTGTGGATATACAAAGAAGGTTGAAGTATTACCTCTAAAGAATAAAGAAATAATTAAAAATCTTTAATATTTAAAACATTGTCTTACACAAGCAGTATTCTTAAATGTAATTTTAAAACATAGCAAGTCTATTATATTTTTAGGAGAAAAGTGTGGAACTCTTTGAACTCTATAGAATACACATCCTATTGAAATAAGATTTGAAACTTCTATGGGGCATTTTTCTAGTTTGTATAATTTTAATTCACTTTTGATAAATTCTTCCCCCTTCCAAGCATCCTCCTTTTTTGTGATATTGTCTCTTTAAGAATACAGTGAAGAGTGATTCACTTATGTCCTGAGCATCAAAGAATGTCAAATATATCATGCAGATAGATAATGGGTTTTTCCAGAGATTATTTCTGAGAGAGTTAAATAAATAAGTAAATGAGCCAACATATGGCCAGCTTAATTCAGGCAAAAATGTCTATTGATTACTTACTAAGCTCACTAAATAAAAACTTCAGCCTAAGTTTTGCTTCCCAAAAGAAAATAGGATTAGACTGATGCATGCACTCATTGGGGCTTTTGTGAATGGTGCCCAGATGAGTGAAAACCTTCAAAGATGAACAAAGAAGGGCTAAAATATTTTGGTAAATGCAAGTTACTATCAGTTTGACTTATTCTCTTTTGCAATCCTGAATGAAATAATTTTATATTCCTAAGAAGATCATAAAATTACCTCTGAGGTCTGAGAATTAGATAATTCTGCCTTCTTTTCAACGACTTGAAGTAGCCTGATTTAATTTTGCTAGGTAGATCTGTTGTATGTATGTATTTTGACATATGTAAAAACTTAGGTACGTTATAAGGTTTTGCACCAGCTCTGCATAAGTGTACTTTATCCAGACTAGTTTATATCCTGCGTGGTTAATATTTGAATTATGTTATGTAAGAAATTCCAGATGTAAGTGTGTATGTAGTTTAAAGCACCAATGCTCTAAGTTGCTCCTTTTATCTTTTGAAATAGTGAGAATATTAAAACATCAATACATCAGGTAGAAGAAATTAGATTATCAAAGGTTCTTTTTTAATCTGAGAATTACAATGAAACCACCAAAAGAACATGTTCTAGTTATTTGGACACACGTACATTTAACCTATGATTTCCTACAAGTCAAGAACAAACTTGACCAGTAGTTGGATTGGATTTACTTTAGTACTACACCTATCTGGCTTTCTGACAAAATACTGATAGGTATTTAGGATCTTCATGTATTTTGAACAATCTGCTGTTGACATATTAATAACATTGTTTGGAATGATTCCTGAAGTATGATGCTTGCAACATTCCTGCAGCACCAAAAAGTACCTATTGTTTCTGAAAGCAAAGCAGCTTAAGTTTTATCCTACTTTCTAGGTTTTAAATATTGGAGAATCATTTTTTTCTTGAAAAAAAGGTAAATATGCTTATTTAATTGATGGCTGCATTCATTAGTAGAATCAGTGGTTTACAAATACATCTGAAAACATAGCTGCTTCCAGCTCAGAAATTTTGCAATAAAAAAAAAATCCATGTTTGAATTTTGTGGCATGCACAGGACACTTAACTGGCTTTTAAACGTTTTTCCAGCGTGATTCGCCCTGTCCTGCTCTGTTCCTTTCAGCTTAGGTCCATCGTAGGCTCTGCCTGGCTGTTTGCTGACATTGCCAACCGAGAGGGGCAAGGAAGTGTGTTCAGAGGACAAGAGCAAAGGCAGTTTCAATGTAAGGAAATGAGGGAAACAGACCTAACAGCTCTGTGACTATACTTGAGAGTAAAGAGCCTTGTAGTCTCCTTTCCTTCCTTTGCTTATCCTGGTGAGTTTAATCAAAAACAAACAAAACGCTCTTGTGAAATATAGTCAATAAAGTCAAAGTTTAGCTGGCTCTACGTAACTACAAAGAAAAAAATCATCGCAATTTAAAAAAATGTAACTTTCATTAACGAGCGCGCCGGAAATCTCAGGTATCAAAGACGCATTAACCCTGGAGCGTCCCCCGCGCGCCGCAGCCGGACGGAGGCAGCCGCGGCGAACAGACGTTCTTTCTCCTCCATGCAGTTACACAAAAGGAGGGCTACGGAAACTAAAAGTTTCGGGGCCTCTGGCTCGGTGCGTGGAGAAAAGAGAAAACCTGGAGACGGGGTGGGTGAAAGACGCATCCCGGGCGCCTCTCCGAAGTCCAGGCCGGGAGCAAGCTCCTGGGCCTAGAGGGGAGGGGGCCCCGAGCCGCTGGTCATCCCCCTGCGCTCAGCCTCGGAGCGCCGCGCTTCGCGGCGCTCTCCCAAATACTCTTCACCCACTCCAGAAATAAAATAAATGTTTTTAAAGTGCATGTGTGTGGACAGGATGGAGAGCGCGCGCCGGCGGAGCGCGCGGAGGACCCAGCGCGCAGTGAGTGGAGTTTGGGGGTGGGCTAGGGGTTAGCGGTTGAATGGGTGTGTTAATGGGGGGAGCTGGAGGCAGAGCTCGGGGACCTGGGGGTAGGGGGAGCGCGAACCGACTGGGAGGGGAGAGAAGGGGAGGGGCGCGAGCTGGCGCAGGCCGCCTCCGGGGCGCGTTCCACGGCCGTGCGCGCGCGTCCCTCGCCGCCACCGCCGCCCGGACAGCCCTGCGGCCGCCCCGCCGGCGGAGCCGGGGCCGGCCTGGTCCTCGGGCGGCTGCTTGGCCACCGCCACCGCCGTCCGAAGGGCTCGAGCCCGTAAGTATCCCCTTTCGCTCCTCCTCCCCGCCGCTTGGGCGCACAGCCGCAGCAGCTGCTCAAATGGAGTGGAAAACGGCCATTGGGCGACAATGAGTTATAGATTATCTGCTCCACGTTTTGTACTTAGCTGCCTGTAATCTTCTTTTGAGTTTGCCCGAGCCCCTTGCTGGAAAACTCAGGAGGGAGAGATTTGTCCTTTGACGCTGTACACGCTAGTATGTTTATATGATTAGCCCAACTGGCGGGGAGGGCGGATTTGGGGGAAGGAGGAGGAGGAGGCTGGAGGTGACTCCAGTTCAGACCTCGCGGAGAGTCTGTGTCAGGACTTCGCATTCCCCCGTCTCTCTCTCTCTCCCTCTCGCTCCCTCTCACTCTCTCTCCGCTCACACACACGCAGAGGTGCTGGGGCGAAATCGGGAGCTTACCAGAGAATTCCTTGGGATTGTTGGGGGGCATCTCCCCTCCGCTGCTGTGTGTGGCGTGGCTCTTCCCGGCTACTCCTTGCTTCCCCGAGCCCGAGTCTGCGCCGCCAGCCTTCCTTGGGGCAGCGGCCACCGCTCAGCCCCGGCCGGGAGATCCGAAATGTGAGGAGGGGTCGCCGCCGCCTCCCGCCCCAGGCCGCAGGGTCGGCGCGAGGGATGCTATTCCGGCCGGGCGCTCGGGGGGCTGAGGGGCTTCGCCTGACAAACTGAGTTGGCCTCGCGCCCCCGGCGCCCTCCCGCCCGTCGCTTCGAAGGGACTCCCAAGTCTGCGCACCTCTGTCAGGCTTTTGCTTCCACCACCCCTTTCGCTCTGATTCCCGATTTTTTTTTCCTAAGGGAGCGTGCGGTCTGGGGGTGTGTGCGTGTGTGTGAAAGACCTCTCTCGAAGAGCGGCGTGTGGGAAACTGCGGGAAAATGTTGACTTAACCCCAGGAGCCGCCCGGCGCTGGCTGCTCGGCTGGAGGCGGCGGCGGCCGAGCAGGAGGACGCGCCGAGCTGCGGCGCCGTGTCCGGCCGGGGAGCTGCGGCGCTGCCTCCCGCGCGGACTCGGCGGCCGAGGACCCGCTCGCGGCCGGCCTCGGCCCTCTCCGGCCGGGGTAGCCGCTGCCCTCCGCGCCTGTCCCCGCGCGGCCCCCACGCCAGACGGCCCTCCCTCGGGGCGCGCTCGCAGACGGAGGTAAGAGCCGCAGGAGCGAACAATGTGCCTCTGTGCCCAGCTTCGGAGACCTGTTTGCTTTGCGCCTCCAGTCCGGGGGTGGATGCTGGAGGCGCAGGGAGCCGCGGGTTAATGGGGCTCGGCTGTTGCTGTTCGGCTGGCCCAGGGGGAGACCCGCGCTCGCTCGGGCTGCTCGCTCCCTCCCCCCAATCTCCTCTTGGAAATCGATCCGCAGAACTCTCAGTCCGGTCCAGCCGGCTTCTCCTTTTCTCGTGGAGCCATTGTAACGCTCTCCAGGCATCAGTCTAGTTGCCGGGGGCGCTGGCAAGGGGGTTAGGATGAGGCTCCCGTAGCCATGCATTTTTTAATTTCATAAAAGCTTGGGGTCGCAAGGTTCCGCCCGTCCTTTCACTGGGGGCCTGGGGAGGAGGAGTGTGAAGCGCGTCCTCGGCGGAGCTTATTTGCTCCGGGCGCTGGGGCCCGGGGCCACCCCAGCGTCCCGCCCGCTTTGCCCTCCGGTCCCGCACTGTAAGTGGAGCGGGGAGGCTGAGCGGCTGGAGCGAGTTCGGGGGAAGTGGACGGTGGGGGAGGGCTTGGACGAGTTTTTGAGGGTTGCTGTTCCTTCTCGTCAGTGGTTAGGTGGTGTGGGGAGGCGAGGATGACAGTAAAGCGCAGCCAGATGTGGTCGGGCCGCCGCCGGGACTGGCTACGATTGGGAGCGGCGGGGCTGCTGCTGCCAGGGCGGCCTCGTGGGTCGGGAGGGTGCAGGGGCCGGGGACCCGGCGGGCCACGGGGAGGGCAGAGAGCCTCCCGGAGCCGCAGTGAGAGGGCAGCAGCGGGCCGCGTTGGGCCTGCGGGAGAAGTTACGGAGTGTATGCTGCTGGAGTGGCTGTGGGGCAGGGAGCCTCGGGAGCTTGGTTTGTGGGATGGGGGTGCCACTGGGGAGTGGCGACGAGAGAAAGGCGTGGGAGGAGCGCGAGGGAAGGGGAGACCCCCGCGCTGCCCGAGCGTGGGCTCCTTGATTGGCTGGGGCGACCCTCAGGCAGAGGGGGCGAGGGCGAGCCAAACCATGGAAGCGCCCCAGCAGTGTGGAGGTGCGCCTGCGAGACTTCTGCGCTTGGGACCCGTAAAGTTTGTTCCTTTCGCCAGACTGCGGGGTGGGGGTGAGGGGAGAATACTGGAAGCTTTACTTAATGCTAAAGTGTCGCTGAGTGGAGGCTTTTTTTCCCCCCCTCCAATCCTCTGTTCACTCTGTGCTCTCAAAGAATAGTTGGGAGGGACAAGTCCTGCGGTATCTATCATAGCCTTTCTCTTTTTAGGGACTCCTCCTCCTCATCTTTTCTCCCTCTCCCCGCCCTCCATTCCGTTCTTCCCGATACAAACTGTTGTCTCAGATTCCGACCGAGGGAATGTTTTCCTCCTGTTTCTTGAAAGGTGTCAGGCTGCTTAGCAGCTTCTCCCAAGCAGCCTGGGAGCGTCTGAGCTGCAGCTACCAACCATATGGTTCCCGTTACAAAGGCCAGGTTCTAAGGCACTCTCTTCCCCACCCCGCCCTCAATTCTTTGATTTTATTCTGCATTCTTTCAGTACGTGCACTTCTCTTCCCCTTTCCAGAGGCATAGATTTAACGGACGTAGTTGATTCATTCATTTCTCTGTCACTATTTATGTGTGGAACGGGTCCCACCGAGTTTGCTCTTTGCTCAACGAAGTTGCACAATGAAGAAAGTCACATCCTTTGGTAAATAATTACCTGTTAGGTTGTCTCTTGCTAAGTCAGGTTTGATCTTGGGCAAACCTTAGAAAATAGGCACTAAAGAGGCAATATGCATCCAGAGCAGAAAAATAGAATAGTTTTGGTACTCATCTGTGGCAACATTCCAACTTGTGATGGGACTGTTTTGACCTAACTAAGGGTACTTTGTAACTTTAAATTTTGTATCTTCGTAATACTTGAGAAACCCTTTAAAAGAAAATTTACTTCTGTCCAGGTGTGTTATGGAACGTTTTGTTGTCTCTCCCTCCACCCTTCCATAAATTTATGCATAATAGAAAGAATACTACAGAACAAATGTTCTGTTGTTTAGTTTCTTCAGACATTCCGATTCTCTCCTTTTGTTGTTTGCCTCTAAAAGAGGTGCCATTTCACATCATTCTGCACAAATTGTTTGAATTAATGCAAGTGTGAATTCTTACCGTTTGAAGGGGACTATTAGCATATCAAAGGTTTCTTAGCTTTAGCTCAATTGAGAAAACTTCAGCCTGTCTTCCTTTTGCTTCCAAGCGGAGGCCCAAAGGGCAATGAGAATTGTAAAGGGTAAAAATAGGGAGGTGGATTCAGGCTGTGTTTCTGAACTTTTACTGTTTTGTAGTTATGTGGGCCAAAAACATTGTCTATTGCTGTGGAGCCCTTGCAAATGGCAAGACAATTATTTTCTATTGATAAATGGTTTGTTCCTAGAAAAAGAGTGACCTTTTGTTTTATGATAGTCACTGTTGCCTGTCTTTTGGGGTCCCTTCAGTGTAAGAGAGAGTGAGAAAGCCTTTCCTTCTAACTTAATGCTTTTTTAGGAACTACACTTTGTTTTATTAGTAAAATGAAAAGGCCACTTAATTAGTTTTTAATTAGTCTCTAAAACAATAGAAATTTTGTGATTAAAAGACTCATTTGTACACGTAGGTAACTGTTTTTTATGTGCTAAATAAATAGGGAAAAAGTCAGCGGAGGATGCTGAAAATTAAAACCTCAAATGAACTTGACACAACTTCTGTTGCAAAAAGAAGCTTGGAAAAGTTTTTTTTAAGTGAAGATTCAAATTTTTGTGAATTCTATTTAAATAGATAATTCTGTTTAAATATTGTTTTGTTTCAAAATTTTTGTATCTTGTCAAACAGTAAACTCTAGTATTCAGTTGGTTTATTTTAAAAAATATAGTTTATTTGTTCTTGCTTTTTTATGTTTACAGAGAGAACATATCTTTGAATTTCTTTTAACAATTCAATATCCATGAATGAAAAAAAGAACAAGTGCTTGGGTCATTTGGGTTAGTTATCAAGTGCAGATGGGTCAAGGGGGAACTTTTATCTTCAATTTCTTGGGAAGAATTAGTTTTATTTATTTGACTTAAGAATTTACAAAACTTAATTCTAAGATGGAAATGAATTTCAGGGGAGACTTTTTTGGAGATGTAAGCTCATATTTTTTATAGTTTTACCTTAGATGTTTGGTTGCTTTTGAATATGAATTGATAACCTTTCATTTACTAATGTTCAAACTCCTTGCTTTTATTTTATTAATGAAAATGAATTCCAATATAACAATTTCAGAGGGGAAAAACTATCATTAATTGCCTAACATTTTTAGCTTAAGTGTAATCGGATGATCCTTTTTTTTTGGATTACAATTAGGGTTTTTTTTTCTGTGCCATTGAGATTGTATATCATTATATCCTTACCCTGAAATTATTTTATGGTAGTTTATTTATCTGATCCCTTCACTTGTCTAGGAAGTACTTTAGTGGTTAAAAAAAAAAAAAAAGGCCACATTGATGTAATTGCTATTATTGCACTTAAGTTGCTGTTAACTAGTCTGCTTTGAATGCAGAGTGTTATAAAGAAAACAACATTATCCTTTACAGCTATTAGTGATAATCTAAAAATTGTCTTGAAAACATTGCTCTTCACTTTATGTGAGGGTGATCTTGAATTCAGTAAATCTCTAAAGGTGCAAAATGTAGTGAAAAGAAGATTTTTCAACATTTAGATGACAAAATTGGACTACTTAGGGAAAAATTAATGTGTTGTAGAAGAACTTCAGCTGCCATTTTCAATCACTGGGTTACTATGTGTTGGCAACAGAAAACGAATTTAGAAATGGAGATAGCTCTGGGAGCAGGTAGTTGGGGAAATCAGAATATTGAATCATGTGGGGTAGAACAAACCAATTACTTCAAGTTTTGACTTGAGAATTTCCAATAAGTATAATTTTTTCCAGGCTTTTGACTGTCTGCTTTATTAATGGACTAACATCAAAGCAGGCAACAAAACTTCCAAATGTTATAAAAACTAATGTAAATATACAGATCTCACATGCAGTAATACAAGTCTAAATTTAAGACAAACAGTTGGGGTTTTTACTGCTGCAATTTTCACAATCAGCAGAAACATTAACACCAGGCTTCTGGGTGTTTCCTTTTTTGAAATGAGCTAGAAGAGAGCTTTAAAACTAAGGTTTACTTAGGGTTAATCTTTATTTGATCATTATTGAAGCTTTCTGTGTTTCATTAAATTTAAAATAGCGTTTTAGTATCTTAATATAAGAATATGTGAATTGAGATTGAGATGTCATGAAGGTCAAGAGGTAACTAGAAATCTACAAACCATAGTAATAAAATGTTATTGCTTTATTTTCTATCAAAATATTTATTTGACCTCACTTTTGTGAATATTCAAATAACACTCAGTTTATTGACAGTTGTAGGTGGAATTCTAAGATGTAGGTTAAACATACTTGTACCTACCTAAAAGAAATCTGTTTTCATTTTAACAATCCATACCGCTTGCCCAATGCTGATATTTAAGAACATAGATTAAGGGTTACTTAGATTAAGAATGAAAGATAGCTTTGGAAATGGAGGAATTTAGTTTCACATAAGGTGCTATTTTTACAAAAGTTTCTTCAAAGACTGTAGCACTTTTGCCTCTTACTGTTTCACCATATCTGATTTTGAGTCTTGAAGGGAGAGATGCGCATTTGATGTCTGTCTGCTTTTCTGCAGAAAAGATTTATGTAAAAAATAAGTGCAATTATTTTTAAGGTAATATATTTTGCAAATAAAATGCATCGTTACAAAAAAATGGTTCTTCAAGATTATTTGCAAAAATGCCTAGCTAAAAACTTTTCAAATTGATAGATTTCGATAAAGCATTAAAAATAGCAAGTTTAGCTACTAAGAGCTGAAAAGGAGTTGAAGTTCTGTGAATGTTTTGGTCATATCAGTTCCTATGGATTAAATATGAGTTAATGTAACCTAAATGGATAACTTTTGTTGCTATTTTTAACAAAGATTAGAATATTTATATTTCCAAGATAGATTAAAATCATAGGCTAGTTTACTTCTGTCTTACATAAGACTAATTATTCTATAGCCCCACCCAAATATTCATCTCTTCAAATAATTCTTGATTGAAGGTTGAAAGGTTGAAAAGTATTTAATCACTCAGATTATTGTAATTAGGCTTGATGCTGTCACAAAAATAAATTGAGACTATTCTCTAAAATCTTTTTGCTGCCTAAGATGCTCTCAAAGATTGGCCAGGTAGTGATTATATTTTTTAATGCTTTAAGAAAAAGCTTAAGGAAATAGTTTCTTTAACACAGAGATGAACAGTTAATTATTGGAATTAGGGAATTATAATCCTTGACTTAGTGTGGTAATTTCTAAAGGAGTAACAAGGGTCTGTCAACCCTAAATTTTACTCAGGACTTTAATTTGGTATTTTGAGTGTAGTATATAGGTTTTGTTAAGCATGTTAAGTATAGAAATTTTCTTAATGTTTTGATTGTTTTGATGTAAGTATTTTTGTGTGTGTGTGTGAGTCACGGTGTCATGAGAAAAGGGAGATCCTAATCAAAAATATTTAACATTTTTTTCCTGAGATCATATATCTGCTGCACTAAGTAGGCAATAATTTGTAGATATTTTTTGATATATTCTTATCCAACAGTTTTTTAAAAGCTTATTTTATTATTATTATTTTTTTACAAAAAACCTCCTATATTTGACAAATAAACATTATCTAAAGGAAAAAAAAAGTAGATGGAATAAAGGAACCAAGCGCTTAACATCTGCAAGTAAAGTGCAGCTTATAGCAAAATACTATTGATTGGTTTGGAAGTAGAAAGCAAGTTTAAATACAATTTGTTTAATTACAACGAAAATGCAGTTTTATGAAGTAATATAGTTTGTCTTCACAGATAATTTTATGCATTGTCTGGTAGTAAGTAAAATCCCATCACACTTATATAAGTTTGTTCAATTACCAGAATGACTAAAAGAAAAAAAATCAATTTAGGTTGAAAAACAACAGAAATTAGATTACCTTGGTTTGTAGGAACTCGCCAGCAGTGTCTACATTGCTTAATAATATCAAAAGTTACCATGTTCACAGTGTAAGGATATTGGCGCCAGTTTTGATATGCATACATTTGTTTTCTTGGTGACTTTTGTTAGATGCAGAGTTTTTTCTTTCTGCTTTTCATTTTTGTTTTGTTTTTATGAAAGCTATTGCATGACATACGAGAAACTACTTCCACTGGCATATTCTCATTTATTTTAGAGGTTTGTTTTTAAGTAGTTGCTTTTCCATATTCCTTGGATTTATTATCAGTTGATATTTTAGATTAGTGAAATATCAGGTGTAATCTTAAGAATCAAAAGAAACCTACTCCATTATAAGATATAAATAGGTTATTATCAGCGACCAAAATACATTTTGGCAATTCTTACTACTGATTCTAGAATTACATTGAATTCTAAATCCCAAATTCCTGTGGCAATAAAGTAGCATGGGATTCATCGTAGCAGATAGCTGGGCACCTGTTTTATTACCACCTTGATTAATTCTGGCACCCAGATTTACGGAAGTGCAGGAACAAGCACAACCGCTACTCAAAGCCACCGGCTGTTTTTAGGTCATGAAGTCAACTTCCTGGAATTTCTAGGGAAAATAGTTGAAAGGGGAGGACAAATGTCACTTTAAATAGAGATGTTTAAATCAGATTTCTGCCTGAGGGTAAAGTTTAGGTCTGTTTTAGCCCAGATGTAATGTCTCCCTCTACAGAGCACAGCATTAATCACGACCTGACAAGAAAACGTATGCTGAGCAAAACGTGGCCCCTGTTGGTTTTGTCATTGATTTTTCCAATCTGTGAGGAGTACATTATAATCATTAAAATTCAGACACAGGGATTACACCTTAATCTTTGAATTTCAGTGTTGAAATTAGTTATCTTAAAAGAAGCCTATTTAAGGCTAAAAAGTCTTTGGAGGACTTTTTTTGCGGTAGATTTAGTACTTTAATAAAAACAGAAATATATTGTTAAAAATTGGGTAGGTTAGGCAGATGTTAACTTCCTGAAATATGTGACCAAGTCTTAATTCTGTTTTAAAATGCATTAAGTAACATTTATATATATTTTTAAATCTGATAAAAAAAGAGATGGAGATAAAAATGAACTATTAGTTCTTGGCTATGAGAGATGGGAGAAGTTGAAAAGATGGTTAACTTTAGACTTAGCATCAATTCAAGCACATGTTAATTTGTTAGAACAAAACCAGATACAATCCTGTCTTTTTTTCTGAATGAATAAGAAAAATCTTCAGCCATCATACTAGCGAAGAAGGATGCACCATGAGGTTCCTAATAAAAATGGGCTTAATTTTGCTATTTTCAATTGTTAGGTAGTACTTGTTAACCCCTTTCTTGGTCACACATATGTACATACATAAACACACATTTTATAGTCTGTTTCTCTGTATATATCAATACTTGTTGTTTATTGTTGGCTAAAAATTAGGAAGTTCAAAATGTAAAATATGTATGATTAAGATATCTCTTTTAAAACTGATTTTGAAAATGGTATGACATAAATATCTGTTTTGCTGTCAAATATATCTATATCTCCTGCCTGTGGACTGAGAAATGCTTGTACTATCCACACTTTGCCTCCTTTTATAGGTATTTTTACATCAGTCCACACCTCAAGCTAGTTATTACTCTGGATTTAGATGACAGCATAATCTAACCTCAATTACTGTCAAAAATGGCACTTGACTGCTGGGGGTGGGTTAGGTGACCTTGTTTTGACTAATGCTTTCTCTTGAAGATGATAGTAAATAGTGTCTATTTATAGAGCGAACAAAAGAGAATTCTGTTTTCTTCATAAAGTAAGTTCTAATTCTAATCATTTATTCTTAACATTGTAAGTACTATGACAGCAGTTCTCCATATAATGGGCAAACCATTACAAGATTTTAGATAAAATTTTTAGTTGATACAATATTTCTGTTTTATGCAGACTACGTTTACTTAATCAGTTTTCAGCTTCAATTTACATAACAAATAATCATGTTTAAAATGAGTTTCCCTGTGTCTTTACTTTGAAGCAAAGTATTTCTATGTGGAATTATTACTCCTTTATTAAACTGGTTACCATCCATACGGAAATTTTCTCTGCATTAAAAGCCTACCATTTTATAGTGTTTGCTACTGTGGTTATTGATTAGAAATTACAGAACACATTTCTTATGTACCATTTTCTCCACTCATCTTTGTGTTCTTAATGTCAGGATGCTTATGGCGTATTTTAGTTCTTACAATTCCTGACTTTCCTATGGTTAAAATCTAAGACATTTTGGGAAACATTAATTTTGATAATATTCTATGCTTATGTATTTTTGTCCTAGTAATTGTACATTTTTTTTTAGTTTGATGAAGGCTTAATGTATTAAATGACAGAAGATATACTGAAGATTCGTGTACTGAAAATAATACATCTCTCCAATATTAAAGAGATGAGCATAATTCTAAAACACGTCACTTTGCCTCATATGCGTCGACAAATAAAAATTACACTAAAATTATAATGTCCTAGACATGTTCACTTTTACTAAGGACATATAACTTTTTTGCGCTTTTCAGAGTTCTCTCTGTCACAAAGAAGACAATGTTTGAATATTAGGTGCTTCCTCTTGATAGCTCAATAGATGAATAAATAGGAATGTTCTCCCACTTTGCTTTTTCTACTACAAGTGCTATGATACCCATAGCCTGCACGGAAATGACTTTTCATATTGTTACGGGTTTTAAACTAGATCTACAGCCTGAATATCTAAAAATGTACATGAAACAAAATTTGATTACTTTTTCTTAAGCAGAAAACCCCACAAAAAACACTGCTGATTTGCTGTTGCTGTTCCTCTTACCTCATTTGTTTCATTGGGAAAAGATATAACTGATACCTCAGTATGATATTTCTGTATGTTTTAGCATATCTTATAATTTTCCTTTGTTCAATAAGAACCTTAGTTTTAAAAAGTCACTTCTTATAAGCCTGTCAGTTCATTTCTAGGTAAGTCAAACTGGCTTTGCCTCAGATTTCCAGTCAGTATTTACATGTTATCAAGGTGATATGTTTATGTTGGAACCGAGACATTTTAAGGGAGAGAGGGGCATCAGCGTTCTGCAGCAACACGTTTTTTATAACACGTTGCCCCCGAGACTTAGAAACTGTTCTTAACTTTCTGTTTTTTGCTCCCTTGGCAGAGATACATCACATCATATCTCTGTATACTTGTGGAAAGGAATATGGCAGAAGAGCACATTGTGTAAACAAATCTAAAACAAATTCTGAAAACATATTACAGAAGGGTAAAGAGCATTTTGCAACCCAGATCAGTTTTTTTTTAATTGAAATGAAAATAGATTTTTCATAAATACTCTCCAGGTGTAAATTTTAGAATTATTCAGAATAAGAAGAAAATACAGTTAGCACTGCATTCATTTAAAATTGATCTTTTATCTTTGATTTTAAATTGATCCTAAGATGCTACCTTTGTTTACTTTGTGTTCAGAAAATGAATCAGATAAATGAGCCGGGCAGCTTTTTTTTTTTGGAGTGGTCTATCATTTCAGGCTGGTGCTGTGTAAGCAAGGTAATGTTTTCTTTTTCCTTGAAATACACTGTCTGAGTATGTCTTGGGTGACTTTGTGAAAAGTTTGTGTATCCTGTCTGCTCAAGTTGCCATCTTAACCAGGATGGAGGGCAAGAATAATCATGTTGAACCACAGATTTTCAAGAGCAATTATTTTAATCAGGTAATTGGTAAGGAAGAGAGAAAAATGCTGGATAGTAGAGTAGTATTTCTATAAAATGGTGACTTGCATTTTTACTAAGGTAACTGCCCACGTTTCAAATATTTTTGCTAAACCTTGTTATTACCTGCAGAGGGAGCTTTTATATGCGATGAAATAATCAAAGCAGTATAAATTGACATTTCCCTTTGAAAGTTATGTTTTATTAAAATATTTTTTATTTTTGTTTGAAAAAATTGTTCTAAAGAAAGTAAGGCATTTTGAGATGAGCCAAATTATAGTGCAACTTAATGTACTAAAGGCCTTGTGTTTATCATTTCCTTTATTCATAGATTACAAATGTGCCTTATCATTTCCTTTATTCACAGATTACAAATGTGCCTTATTATATTTTTGATTAAAAATAACTTAAAATATAATAAAGATACCAGATCCATTTTGAGATTATAATTTTTTATTTATGATTGTCTAAAGCTCAGGGAGAATGACTGCAGAACTGTCTTGTTTAAATGCATAGTAGTTGTTACAAGAGAGATCCCAGCTTTTTAGGTAATTTTCCAGATATGTAACATATTATTAAATGACCACTAAACATATCAAAGTGTATTACATTCCTCTACATTTAATTAATAGACCAGATTAGATGAGTTGCATATGTGCTTTTCTAAACAGAAAAACGATCGCTTTGGCTTAATGACTTTTACTTGCAATAATGGACATGAGTTCAATGACATTAAAACACGGGAACTACTAATAAGGACCTACTATTACATGATTTAGAAAACTGCTGACTAACTTGGGAAAAAAATGAATGCAGGCAGAATAGACAGTACTTGATTGAAACCTGAATTCTGTTTATGACTCTGTGCCAGCTGAATTTCTAAGGAATTGTAAGCCAGATACTTAGGGAAGTACTTGAGAGTTTTTCATTCGGGTGTTTAGGTAAGCAGGATGATAAGCTTTTAGAGGCATTTGGATATTTTTTAGTGAGTAGAATTTTTCATATTTCCTGCATACACTTATTTGTGCCAGGAAATTTAATGATAGGATATTATATTACATTTTATTAAAAAATCAATTCCAGTCTTTTCATTTTTCCATTTTGGTATAGTAACATTATTTTAGAATTTGCTTGTTGGTTGGTAAAAAATAGAAAGGTTATTATCCATTATGTATCTTTGGAAAGAGATGTAATAGTTCATTTCTCTTATTTTATCAAGTAATAATATGACAAAAATATTTATTTTGCATTTTAAAAAGCTTCGTTTCTTAATGAAATTCCTTGTTTCAGATTTATTATTTTAGTAGCTAATCTTTACTAATGTGAAAAGTCACATTGTTACTGTGACAAAGAATAATCCTCTAAGTAAGGAAACTTGTTTAATAAAGAGATTTGTGGTACTGGTATGGGCTTTTTTATAAGTAGTATTCTCTCAGCGTGGCCCCGTATTATCTTAACAAGTGTGTGCCACATTTATACAGAGCATTTTTATAATGGGGTAAGAATATTAGCAACAGCAATTATATTTCAATAGGATTAAGATGGTATGTTTTACAAAAGTATACAAATGCTTCTTTTCCATACAATTATTGGTAGATACTCTTTACTGCCAAATTTATGTCATTGTCTTAAATAATATAAAAAGATATTTCTTATCGTAGCTGGTTTTTAATATAATAGGCACTGCAAAATGGGATCTGATGTTATAGTTCATTACCTTTTTTCCCCCTAATACTAAAACCTCCTTCACAGTGAGGTAAGGGTTACTGGAGATTTCATTCCAGGAAAATGGTTATGTGAGGCACAGTAACTGTCATAGAGTGCATAACTTCTGTGAGGTTACTGGAAAGGCACAGCTAGGGTAAGTTCTACCTGTTTTGTCTTAAATTTGAAGGTAGACTACTGAGCGATTTTTAAAATACTGAAATCTGAATCCATTGAAAAGAAATTGTACTGAAAAGTTAATCAAATTAATTGTTCTCATAAAAGTATTATTGGTATTTTATTAGGGATGTTTATGACAAGGAAATAGATTGGTAACTGGTTTTCGGTTTAAAGTAACCATGATCTTGGTAAATTATCAAAGAAAATTTTATCACATATTCTTGAATTAATAATAAAAAAATACGAATTTATGATAAAACATTCTCTGCTCCTTTGTATATACATTATTTAAGCATAGATGTGTATATATTAATTGTTCTTGCATCTGTGTGAGCAGACTGGTTTTTAAAATAATAAGCTATTATGAATAGTATATATTATGAAGAATAGTCCTTCAAGTGAGAGTATTATGTATTAAGAGGGTAGATTTGAAATAATATTTTAAATATAAATTTTATAAGAATGGGAGTCAAATATTTGAACATGTTAAACATTTTAAGTGGAAGTTACCAAAGAATATGATAAACCCTAAATAAGATTAGAAAATTTATATATGTGTATGAAGAGTCTAGAATGCAAAATTATAAACCTGCATGTTTTAATAACTGTATTGGAAAAAAATATTTTAAATTGCTCTTGTTATTCCCAGGATTTAGAAATTAATATTTTTATTTTAGGAACAAAAATAAACAATATTAGTGTCATTTTGCCTGTTGTATGTTTCAAAGCCATTTCTTTTGCCTATTTAATAAAGATTTTCTCAAATTGAAATCTTAACAAAGGTATAAAAAATACTTTTTATTATCTACACTGAATGTAGTAGATTTTGTGGTGTTCAGGTAATGTTGTTAATTCAAAGCTGTGCTAAAGAGAAATGTTAAAATCTTAGAATATCAAGTTTGTTATTTTAAAATGAGAATAAATCATAAAATTTTATACATTTTCTTCAAAAATTTAAACACAGTAGCATTACCTTTATTTAAAAATAAACACAACATCTAAGGAAATCCCTAAAATTCAGAACAAAAACACTCATGCTTTCTACTCATGGGTAACTTTGTCTCTAATATTTGTGTGTTATACATTTTAATAGGAATATGATTGCTAAAACTATTTTTTTTGAGATACATGTTTAAGAAGGGAAAAAACCCATTTGTTAAAATTACTTAATCACTGAGTTTTTATGTCATGGTTTAGAAAATTTATTAATTTTTAGTGCTCTTTAAATCAGATTGTTGGTTTAAAAGATACTGTTATTTTGACCAAATATAAGTCAAAGCGGAAAGGTAGTTGTTAATACTCGTGTCAGAGGCCTTAACTAAAAAGTTAGCTATGTTCAAGGAAAAGACTTAGTCCAACATTTTACTATTTGACAGAGCATCATGCTGTGTTATCTCTTAGTAGTAGTTAGTGGCCCACAGTAGCTTTGGCTAATGCAAAAATACCTGTACTTTTGAAAGTATTTGAATTTCACCTCGAGAAAATCTTTGTTTCATCTCGTTGCTCTGTAGGATTCAGATAACAGCTACAACACAGTAAGGTATTCAAGAATACATTCCAAAAGCACTTTTCTATCATTGTATTCTCTGTAAGAATTAGGGTTGATTCTCATCAGAGTCTTTATTAGTATTATTACTGCTTAAAATATTTTATAGAATTATGGTGACAGTTTGTACAAATAGGGTGACATAGAATTATAATGAACTTGATAGTCAAACATAACCTTTACCTACTTTAATACTGTAGTTACTCCCTCATACCTCATGTGTTTTATTTTTTACTAATTTTCTTATATTGTGTTACTAATAAGAAGTACCTAAGTCCTCTGACATTTCAGCTTGGAAACCTGTCATTGGTTTCTTAAAATTAGAATAGATTTAAAACAATGATTATTTAGGTTAATATTACATGATTAAAACATCCGATAACGAAGCATAAGTATCTTAGAATTCACATTTTCTGGAGTTGCATTTCTTAAAAACATTTGGGATTGATTTTTAATAAGTTTAAGAGTATTTCTAAAAAAAAATTAGGGAGTAAGAATGAGCTCTTAGAACAATACTAAATTGAATAGCTTGTAGTGCAAGCATCACTTAAGTATTTTTAGAATATTGAAAATCTTGTAGATTACATACACTAATGGCCTCATTCTCCTTATTGCTTGTTAATTCTGTGAAAATCAAGAGGAGCATATCAAGGTTGCAGTTAATTCACCATAATATTAGCTTTTAATTGAAAATAAACGAAAATATAGCTTTGATTTGTTAGCTTATTTTATTCAAGTCAGTTTTTCCTATTTATAAAGAATAAATCACCATAAACTCTTATGTATGTATAAAATTGATGTTATCAGATGTTTATACAATTGATGATATTACTAGACATTTTTGCACTATTCTTAAGAATACTTTTTATTTTGTATATTGCTTTAATACTTTTAATATTTCCTCTTATAGAATGTTTTCTTCAGATGTTTTAATAGTTTGATATTACTCATTTCTGAATGGATGGTTGAGGGCCTTTTTCTTTTTTAAAAAACATTTTTCACTACTTGCCATGCAAACTATTTGATCTCCTAAAGAGAACCAGGATATAAATTTAGTAATTAGTATCAATGTATAGGTTTTTTTATTTAATGTGGAATTATTATATGGTGATGTTCTTTGGAGTGTTTTCATGTGACTTAATGTGTATTTAAGCCCTCCATAGTTAAAAAGATGTTTACAGTACTTTCATGTTTGGCATTATTCAACTCTTTCCAAAGATTCTTTTAATATTTTGTCTGATTATCATTTATTTTAACCTACAAATGCTCTTTTTATGCTTGCCTACTTTTATTCAACCTACAAAATAAAACTTTATTACATGTACTTTACCAAGTCCTTAATAAGCTTCAGTATTCAGTATTGCCAAGCACTTATTAAAGCTTCAACATTTTCTTCCTTTATTTTGTTAATGGTATCTCATGAATGTTGAATTCTTAGTTTTTTGGGGCTTTTTTTTTTTCAAGTATATTTAGGGGGTACAAGCACAGCCTTTTTACATGCATGTACTTTATAGTAGTGTACCCATCATCCACATAATAAATGAACGTTATACCCTCTAAGTAATTTTCACCCCTCACACTTCTCCCACGCTCCTACCTTTTGTAGTCTCCAGTGTCTGTTTTTCTATTCTGTATGTCTAAGTATTTTTCATCATTGTAGCATACAATCAAAAATTGGTAAAATTTAAGTGTCAAATTCCTAGTTAAAATTTTTTGAAATGATGGCATACAAACAGCTTTAAAGGTAGGCCTTCCGTCCCATTTTTTTTTTTTGGTAAGATTTATGAATAGATTGAAAAATATAAAAATTCGGTGGAAATCAGAAGCTAAGTCTTATCTTTAGTAGTCAGCTTCCTTTCTATGAATTTGAGTTTTATTGAGTCTTCTTCATCACAAGAGATCATGAATTTGGTAATAAATCTAGAAAAGTGCAGCTTTTTGTTAGTATATGTAAATAATACACATTTTTTTAAAAAATTGAAGATCGTTCTCAATTCTTAGTATAAAAATCAGAAATTTGTCTGGGTCTTTAAAAATATAGTACAAATATCTAATAATGTATTTGGTTGTTTAGCTGAAAGGCAGATGTTTCAGTCTTTGGAATTCAAGACTATATTAATCTAATACTCCTTAAACCAACATTTTATTTATAGGGTGTAATAAAAATCATAAAGTTAAATTTGAATGAGTAAAATCTTGATTTTTTGGCGGCCTTGTCCCCATTCTGTGTTGTGCATTCCCAAGGCCACAAGATACTGCCAAGCCAGAATGATTCAATTTTTACCGTTATCTACCTCTCACTCCTAGTTTATTACTTTATTGAGACGCACAGCACTAGAGAATTCTTGCTATGTGAATGATTTCTTTTGGCCAAGTGCGGTGTCTCATGCTTATAATCCCAGCGCCATAGAGGATGAAGTGGTAGGATAACTTGAGGCCAGGAGTTCGAGATCGGCCTGGGTAACATAGCAAGACCCGTTTCTACCAGAAATTAAAAAAATAAATAAATAAATAGCCAGCGGGGTGGTGCGTGCCTGTAGCCCCAGCCACTCAGGAGAAGTGGGAGGATTGCTTGAGCCCATGAGTACGAGGCTGCATTGAGCTACAATCTTGCTACTACACTCCAACCTGGGCAACAGACCTCTCAGAAAAAAAAATTCCTCTTGAGAGTCTTACTAAAATAAAAATCACAATCATATTAAACTTTCAAAAATCAGGTATTTCATATGTGGGTACAATCTCTTGAAGTATGTTATGCTTTTGTAGTTCAGAGCAGCTATTTCCTTTTTTTACAGATAAGGTCTTGGATTTACTTTAATAATTCACAGCATTTATAATGTCTTGGATTTTACATTCAAGATGTAATTTTTGGTTTCCTACATTGCCACAGAGGTTATTGTGGCAGCACATGTGGTTTTAAAAATTTGACAGAACTTCTGGTACTGAGTTTGCCAAAATTACCAGACCAAAAAATACGCATTTGCTTGCATTGGTCTTAAAGGCTGTATTTTGAAATGTTGATTGTATTTTATTCTTTCCAAGAACGATCCTACTTATAAGCATATTACATCTACCTTGCCATTACTTCTGGGCTTAATTCTATTAATTTTGTTTAGATCAACAGCCATTTATTAAGGCCATGCCAGGAAAACTGTACTGTTATGTAAGGACTGTGCTCACTAGGTTCACTAGGTTGTGAAATATTTGCACAAATAATTCTTATAAAAGTCATACTACGATATCATGCCAAAATGAAGTGCAGAGAAAAGGTTGTAAAAATATAGGGTAGGTTAGAGTAAATTCAAAATGAGTGGTATGGAAAAAGAGACCCCATTTATTTAGAACTGAAGGCAGAGGAGGATTGTAGGCTATATAGTCTTTTCTGAGGAGGAGAAAAGTTCAGAGGTAAAGGCACAGGAAAGGTAAAAATATAGTGCCTTAGGGGGAATGTGAAGTGTACAGAAAGTAGGAGATGAAACGGGTGTGTTAGTTTGGGACATGATTATGAACAGCCTGCTCTTTTAAGATTCTCTTGTAGGCCACAAAATGTTGTTGATATTTTCAATTGAGAACATGTTATACTTATTTGATAGCATTCAAGGTGGTGTATCCAATGAACTAGAGTGGGGAACTAATGAAAGAAATAGGAACCTAATTAGAAGGGGTGGACGACAGTCCTTGGTGAGAGGCAATGGCAGTAGACAGATATGAGAAGTTTTGTAATGGTGGGTTAGAATTTGGCATTTGATTGAATGCGAGGTAAAGGAGGAGCAAAGAATCAAAGCCCAGAACCAAGGTTCCAGCCAAGTCTTTTATGTATTCCATTAGCCTGCTTTAGTGGAAGGGAGAAGGAATGAGCCCATTTTCTGATGATACTTTGAGATGCATGTGTTAAAAGTCCAAAGTACCAGCTGCTGAGAAGGTTGATGCTTTGTTGGTATGTATATTTTTAAATGTGGTATTTGTAAAAAAAATATATTTTTTCTTCCTTTTAAATGTTTTTAAATGTTTTCGAGTGTATACCTGCATATGTTTTTACACTGCATATGTTTAAGTGATACTAATTTTTTTTAAATACTCACATAAAGTGAAAATTTTTATTATGCGATATTCAGGCTACATGATCTAGGTTTTTATTTGTATTTTAGATGAGATTTCTAGTAGGTAATCAAGACTGTATAAAAGCTATCGTAATCTGGTTAGAAATCTTTATTTTGCTAAAGAATACTTTTGTCATTATTAGACCTGTTGAGATACTCTTCATTGTTCAGGGCCATTTTAGTAACATTCTTAACAGCTCTTTAAACAAGTAATTTGATATTCTTTGGTTTCCTTAGATACCAGCCTGCCCCTTTTCAGAAAGCTTAGGGATATCTGTGCCCTCGAAGATTTAAAAAATTTCATTGCAATTTATCTTCACTGCAGCTTTCTCTTTTGTTACCATGAACTTCTAATATTATATATTTATTTTATTGGTACGTGGGGAAATTTCCCTGCTTCACCTGTTCTTTAAAAGAGTAACAATCATTTCCTCAATAGCTTTTCAGCTCTTCATACCCAGCAATAGTTCTTAGGTTTTATAGCTGATACTTTGTATCATGTTAATTATGGGTGACAACCCTGAACAACAACCCAAAGCATCTATCAGCACCTATCCATCAGTGATTAACTCAGAGTAGGCTCTCAATGTATTTTTTGAATAAATGCTTATCATCGATTATAATGAAGATCACAAATTGTGCTGGAACCTAACCAGTTATAGATTCCTTGCATGGATATAAGAATGATAAGAGTTACAATTAAAGTGTTATAACACTGAGTTGTGTGTCCTAATCCGAAAGTATTCTTGCTTCCATATAGTAGAGAAAATTTTTTGTGATGCAGTTACAGTGCTTAATAAAGCTTCATACATGGAAACTCTCAGTAAATGCTTATTGTTGTCATTATTGGTGTAAATTAAATCTGAATATTAGTTCACATATTTAAGTGGCCCTTTTGGTATCCGTTTTCACTCTTCAGATTTTTTTTCTCTCATTTTTTGGGGGGAAGACTCTTCTTTTTTTCAATGCTGCTCAAGATTTTCTATTTTTTAAATTAGAGAATTTTCTATTATTGTTGCTACCTTCCTTAGATGATAAATCAGTAGCAAGCTGACTGGTTTTTATCAAAATTGATGTTCTGATATTGAGAACAGGAAGTGTTGATGTTGACCTGTCTGTCTGAAAAAAAAAAACAAAAAACCCCACAATATTCTGCTTACACTTTCACTGGGCAATTATGTAAAAAAGATCAGTAGTTTTTCCTTGTTTTACTTTTATAATCTGATGCCTGGTGAAATAACCACACAGAAAACATGCAAGTAGGAATCTTTTGTAGTTCTCCATGGCCTATAATCCCTGCCCCCAAATCATGCCAAGCATTAGGATCCGCCCATGTATTAACAGCTTTAAGAGGAAGTCAGTAGAGGATCCTTGTCAGAATTGTCCTGGTGTGTGATGGCTTGCTGCTTTTTTATGAAAGGATCAGTCATGCCGAAGACATAGCTATGCATAAGGTAATCAGCATGAAATAAAGGGAAGTTAATTAAATATGGTTGTCAATACTGTAGTTGTGAATTTTATTTAACTAGTTAAGGAAACTAAAAATATGACATCCTTAAAAAGACATTTTTAATGTTTATAAGATAAAATACGTAAAGAAAGTTTTGACAATCTTAACAAGTCCATTGTCAAACTATTACCAGGCTGTGTAACCATCTAGTTACTTAGCAACCTAAGTGAAGCAATAGCATTTAATATTTTGTATAAATTTTCAGCAAAGGCGGCCCAAATTTTTAGCATTAGAGACATTTTCTGATATGCAGGGAGCTCTTCCTCCACAGTTCCTTTCTTTAGTGGGTCATTACATACCACAGGTGGATTATGTTTATCTTTTAATGGTGAAATGATAGTTTTTCTTTGGTGGAGGAGCTGGTTATCTGTCTTCCAAAATGTCTTCTGGTGACTTGTATTAAGATCTTATTAAAATATCATTGTGTTCTTGCATTCACAGCAGAAGACTACTGTAAATTGCATTATATGAAACTGAATAATATCTATGGTTTAATTTAAAGTAGAAATAAAATCTAAATTCATACATTCGAGCTGTAGGGTTTCAAGATTTTAATTTGGTGAAATGCCGGAACAATTTCTTATATTTAATTTGAGGAGTATTACATGAGAAGTGCATCTTATCAAATTAGGAAAGAAACATATACTATTTACACAGTCTAATTATTAAAGCATGTTAAATTTCACAGTTAATATTCAGATATCTTTCTGTAAATGAGTTGCTGAGATTTATTGTCAATGTTGTTTGATTTGTAAAGTCCATTAAGTTGCAAATGCTGATTTGAGGAATGGTGGCAAGTTAGGATTTCAAAGTAGCCATGTTTTTTTCAGTAGGCTCTGTAAATCATTAATACTAAAAAGAAATAACCTGCAATGCTGTGTGCATTATAGGTAATATCAGAAACTTTTTTTTTTTTTTTGCAAAGCATAGCTGAAGTTTAATTCCCAGTGTGGAATGTATTAGTTTTTCGTATAGAGGTGAGATAGCCCACAATTGGCTGTTGAACTGGAGTGCCGTTGTCTGTCTTATAATTTTGGAGGAGAAAAAAAAATATGATTTTAATTTTTACATTCTTTGTTTTGAAAGATGATAAAAGTGTTTTCTACACATGTTTCCCGCTATCAGAAAAAAATCACTGTTAAGAGGATATTGCTGATGGAAACAATGTTTTCTCAAGTTCAGAATATTGCTAGGGAAATATGTAGATGTGGAAGGCTACCTTGTTAAGAAGTTGTGCAAGAAAAAAATCTTTAATTTTTATATTTTGATTTATAATTTAATTTTTATATTTTAATATTAAAATTCTAATATTTTTAGTGTACTTTGAAAATGTCCAATTTGTACATTTATATAATCCCTGGGTTTTATTTTTATTTTTAAAATTTTATTTATTTTTACTTCTTTTTAATATGAGGTCTTGCTCGGTCATCTAGGCTATAGTGCAGTGGTACAGTCATAGCTCACTGCAGCCTCAGACTTCTAGGCTCTAGCTATCCTCCCGCCTCTGCCTCTTGAGTATCTAGGGCTATAGGCCTGCGCCACCACACTTTGTAACACAGTTTTTATTTAATAGCAAAATTAGCAAGTATATTTAATATAGTTTCATATAATTTCACATTTTGAGATAAGTTTGAAATTATTATAAATTGTTTTTGTAGATACTATTAAATTCCTAAACTTCATGGAGGAATTATTCTACTGGATTTGGGCCTGAGTTGCAGATTTTGTTTCTGCAGTAATTATGGGCCTTTCTATTTCTTCATTTTTATAATGAGGAGACTCTGGTTTTAAAAACTCTTTCTTGAGGGGTTTAATGATGAAAATGATAAGGTATTGTATGTCAAACAATGATAAATTAAAACTTCCAGAAGAAGTAGTCATTTTTGTTTTCTGCCTTATAGATTGACACTCTTTAATATTTAAGTGTTTAATTAAAAAATAGTCTGGCATAGAAAAAAATCTTGAAAATCTCTATTTAGGAGGTCTCCGAGTTAGTTCCCAGTTTTTTTTTTTTAATTTAACTTTCTTACACCAACAAGCAAAGATGAAAGTTTCCAGTTTTAAAAAATTCTGTTTCACACGAGTTTCTGAATTCCATCCACTTTGCTTTATTCTTTCCACTATTCATGTTAGTTTCCGTAATTCAGTTCATTTATTCATGCCTGCCTCCCTTCCTCTCTCCTTCCCGTTTTTTCTCTCCTTCCTTCCTTCCTTCTTCCCTCCCTCCTTCCCTCCTTCCTTCCCTCCCCCCTCCCTCTTTCCTTCCCTCCCCCTCTTCCTGTCTCCCTCCTTCCCCCTACCTCTGTCCCTCTCTCCCTCCTATGTTTCTTATTGTCAAAAACATTTATTATGTGCTAGCTCTTTGTCAGGCACTATGCATGGGTTATACTCACTGGTAAGGTAGCACTGAAGTGATAGACATGAAAGCCATCTTTCATCATAACTGTGTTCAGTTAGCTCACCATCTTTTGAAAATGTTACATTGTGATAGGGATGAGCACTCTGTACTATGGACAAAAATGACACTGTACCCCTGATGTGTGGTGGAGGTTTAGGGAACCAGTCAGTTAGACAGTCAAGTGATGGACCCAACTGAGTCTTGGAAAAGGAACAGTAGTTAGCCAAGGGACAAGTGGCAGAGGAGATTCCAGGCAGAAGGAACAGTATAACTATACCAAGAAAGGTATAGAAGTGAGAGTAAGCTTCTATGACCCAAGAACATAAGAGCAAATTAAATAATATTTAAAAAAGAAAACCACGAAGTTAAAAAAGGATGGTCTTCCTCAAGTGTAGATATATTTGCTAAAAAATAAATATTTCAAAAATTTAAATATTTTCCAGAAAGTTTGTTAATATATTTGATGTGTTTTTTTAATTACCAGGATATTATACTAGTCATCAGAATCACAAAGTGATAAGCGAAAGTCATGGTCCATAAGGAGCACTTACTCTCTTAATTACATTACATAAATTCGTGACATTACTTGTGCATTTGTGTCATTTCTGTATCTTCTGAATCATTGTATTACTTGCAGTTTAAGCCTCAGTGCCTTGAACAAAGTATGTACCCAAAAAATTTTTTAGGCTTGGTTTGAAAAGATTTATCTTGAAGAAAGATAAACATAGAAAATTTCAATAAAAGACATTTTATTTATTCATTTATTTATAGACAAGGTCTTTCTCTTTGTTGTCCAGGCTGGAGTACAGTGGCCTGATCATAGCTCACTGTAGCGTGGAACTCCTGGGCTCAAGCGATCCTTCCATCTCAGCCTCCCAAGAAGCTGGAACTACAGGCACATGCCACCATGCCCAGCTATTTTTTTTAATTTTTTGTAGAGATGGAGTCTCTTAATTTGCCTAGACTGAACTTGAACTCCTGGGCTCAAGCCATCCTCCTGCCTTGGCTCCCCAAATTGCTGGGATTTACAGGCATGAGCCACTGCACCTGGCTGCAAAAGACATTTTAAAACTAGTTTAAAAGCTTAATTGAAGAGGACTCAAGATAACCCAATAGCAACTACTGTACAAATGACAACAGATAATGGCAGTAAGAATCTGGAGAGGGAGAGGTTATTTTTCAGTTTGAGGCAGTAAGGTTGGCTTTATGGCACAGGTGGTTTTTAAACTATCAAGTTTATTCTGAAGTTTATTAGGTGGAGGGGAAAGATGTTTTCTATGTGAATAAAAAATCTTGAGTAAAAGTCAGTTTCAGAGGTATATTCAGAAATATTGAGCAAGTAAGTTTGACAGAAACAGTGCTGAATTAAGTATTTTTGAAGTTTGATCTGTTTGGGCGCCGTTTCCAGTTTTGCTTTTTAATTCTCCTCTCTCTCTCTCTCTCTCTCTCTCTCTCTCTCTGTCTTTCAGATTTTCAATTACCATTCCCCTTTCATTCCAGCCCCAGTTGCAACTTTCTTGTTGTTAAAATACATACAATAGGGCTGGGCGCAGTGGCTCAAGCCTGTAACACCAGCAGTTTGGGAGGCCAAGGCGGGAGGATAACTTGAGGTCAGGAGTTCTAGACAAGCCTGGACAACTTAGAGTCCTGTTTCTATGAAATACTAAAAATCAAAAATAAAGAAATAAAAATTTTTTTTTGTTGTAGTGGGTATGTCTGTGGTCCCCACTCTCAGGAGGCTGATGTGGGAGGATTGCTTGAGTCAAGAGTTTAAGGCTGCATTGAGCTATGGTCGTGCCATTGCACTCTTAGCTGAGCAGCAGAGCAAGACGCTCTCTTTTTTTTGAGATGGAGTCTTGCTCTGTTGCCAGGCTGGAGTGCAGTGGCGCAATCTCATCTCACTGCAACCTCCACCTCCCAGGTTCAAGTGATTCCCCTGCCTCAGCCTCCCAAGTGGCTAAGATTGCAGGCATACGCCACCATGCCTAATTTTTTGTATTTTAGTAGAGACGGGATTTCACCATCTTGGCCAAGATGGTCTCGATCTCTCCTTACCTTGTGATCTGCCCATCTTGGCCTCCCAAAGTGCTGGGATTACAGGCATGAGTCACCGCACCTGGCCAGACCCTGTCTCCAAAAAAAAAAAAAAAAAAAAGACATACTAGATTTGTTGTGCTAAGTTAGAGTGAAATAATAATACATGTACTTTTGGAGACATTTTAGAAACATTTCTGAGATCAACCTTTGTCAAGTCAGAACCCCAACTGTGTTCTTCCATGTAAAATTATTTTTAGAGTTTGTTCCAGTTTTATACACATTTATGGTTTAGGGTGAAATTAGGAAGATTACTAGAGGCTGGCAAGATGGATGGAAGGTGATAAATCAGCTTTGAGATTTTTGCAGATGTTCAGAAAGAAAGATGTTAGGACAGAGGGATTGAAAGCAATGGGAAGAGGATTAAGGTATTTCAGGGTAAGAATCAATAGAACAGTGAATGTGTACCTCTTTAAAATGAAGTACCTTTTGTATTGACAGAGCTATATTTTACCCAAACTTAAGATGAATAATGCTCCAGAGGATTTTTGGTTTCAAAACTATTGGAGACTAGGCTAATTTCATTTGTTTGTGTGTGTATCCATGCATACATGCACATATATATTTAGTAAGCTTGGTTTAAAGAAAATCTGTTACTTCATAGTAGATGTGATTTTCTTTTACCATTTCACACTAATGCATTTCTTTGTTATTATAAGTTAGCAATTGAAGGTTATATGTATAATTCATGCTAAATTAGTATATTGGTCTAGAAGGTTTTTCAGGAGACTAATAATGGAGTAGAGGCTTCTTTAATACATATGACTATATAAAACATTATTAATATTAACAGATGTTGCACTTTAATCCCCTAGAATGACTGGTACCAGCAGGAGATTTATTAAGCCTGAATTGTGTGAAATTGTGTGTGCATAAGCTGCAACTTAGACTGTAAAAATGCTACTGAAAACTGTTAAAAAGATTTAGCTATAATTTGGCAGAGAAGTATTAACTGTGCTAAAAGAAGTATGTGTGTATGGTTGGCCCTTCGCCTTAACCTTTTTATCATTTATCTTCTTGTATTAATGTCACTGAATTATTAATTCATGAGCCAGGATGGGAAGGGTGAAGGCACCATTTAAATGTGTGGCAAATTTATCCTTATCGCCAGAGACATGAAAAAAGTCATTTTGTGTTATCTGTAAAATGGAAAGGACATTTTAAAATTTCATTTACAGTAATCCACTTCACTTCCAGTCAAACACCTAGATTATTACTACCATAATATAATGTTATTAAAAATTTGTAACCTTCTCCACTCTTTTGTCTTATATATATAATGTTGATAGAAAAATTTAGCCTTGATTTATTTCAGTGTGATACTTGTTAATTGTAGGTTAAAAATGTTACTTTTACGAATGATATGTTATAGTTTGACTTAAATTTTAAGGAACAGTAGACTTATGAAAAATAAAAAATATTTACTGTAATAATAACAATCAGGATATTTTCATTGAGGGGAGTCCGCATATAGGGAATTGGAAAGCTCTAAATATATGTTTCAAAGAAATGTTTGCATTTATTGTGACTTCATAATTATTTGGAATAAGATTGGTGATGTTGGCCTTGTGGAACTTTTAGCATTATACAAGAAACTTAGCAAATTAGAATTTAGCATTTACTTGTTGAATGTAATGTGGATCTGGGATATATCCAGTATTTCATATGGATAAGTAGCTATGGTGACAGGAATTTCAAGAGTTTGAAGCCACTTTTACCAGCAGCTCTTCGAAACCATCATGCTAATGGAAGAATACCTCAGGGGTCTTGTCCAAACCTCATCACTTTTCATTCTCCCGTTATTTACTATTTTGATTGGTTTTATATACTCTCATGCCAAACAAAGTAGTAAGATAAGTTACTGTGGTAATGTCCTTTGTTTTCTTTTCTAGAATTTCTCCCCGAACACTCTAAGGTATACATATGGCTCTGTTATACACACACTGAAAACACGAATTGTTTTTTTTGAGATAGAATCTCTCTTCGTCACCTGGGCTGGATTGCAGTGGTGCGATCTTGGCGCACTACACCCTCAGCCTCCCCACTTCAAGCATTTCTCTTGCCTCAGCCTCCAGGGTAGCTGGGATTACAGGTGGTGCCACCACGCCTGGCTAATTTTTGCATTTTTAGTAGAGATGGGATTTCACCAAGTTGTCCAGGCTGGTCTCGAACTCCTGACCTCAGCCAATCCACCGGCCTCGGACTCCCAAAGTGCTAGGATTACAGGTGTGAGCCACTGCACCTGGCCTGAAACTCTAATTTGTTTTGATCAGTAAATAATGCTACTTTGTTTTTCTTATTCTAGTATGGTTAATTTACCTTTACATTAACATTTAAATTAATTTCTTAAAATAATAGACTAAAGTTGATTTGATTATTTTGGCAGACATGAATAGTTATTAGTTCATTATGTGACTGAACTGCATCCAGTTATCTTGGTCTTAGGATTGTTCATCTATAAACAGGGGTTGGGCAAACTATGGCTAGCCATCAGTTTTGTAAGTAAAGTTGTATTGGCACACAGCCAATGTCATTTCGGTATGCATTGCCTGTGGCACCTTTCACACTACAGTGGCAGACATACATAGTTATGGCACAGACCATATCACTCTTAAAGCCTAAAATATTTTCTGTCTGGTCCTCCATAGAAAGAGTTACCTAACTTCTGATCTGACTGTCTCAATCTGCATAAAATGTTGGTTCTAATCCTTACAAATGTAGTGGAATATAATTGATAATTTTAAGCTCAAGAGATTGGAAAATTCAGTAGTTTTTATCATCATTGGAAATGTTTTTTTTTAAGCAGATTTTTGCTTTTCTTTATATGTGGAGTAGCAATAATAAGTGATATTTTTCCTGAAAGTTTTCTGAATTGAAACATTTTAAAAACCATTAAAATGTTGCAAAAATACATTAGTCTGTTACCACATGAAGGACTCTTGGCAAGTAATTCAAGCTTCTAGTCATTTTTCTCTGCTTTTTATAACCTATGTTTCTTTTTTATTAAATGTCACTGCTTTATTACTACTTTAATGTTATTTGAAATTTTAATAGGTTATAAAATTATATTTTAAAGTTGAAAAAGCTCTTTTCTAAAAACCACATACCTCTCCTACTCCATGTTTGAGTAGTTAAGAAGCACTAAAACATAAATTTTAATTTAATGGAAGACCTTTTGGTTTTTAATTTTTTCATACCTAACAGCCACTCAAAATGACACAGTCTGTTACTGTTTCTTAATAGGTGTGTCCATGAATATTTTTCTTACCGTCTCATCTAAATCTCCTCATATTTTTTTTTTTCATTTTTTTTGGGACGAAGTCTTGCTCTTGTTGCCTGGGCTAGAGTGCAGTGGCGCTATCTTGGCTCACTGCAACCTCCTCCTCCTGGGTTTAAGCAATTCTCCTGCCTCAGCCTCCCGAGTAGCTGGGATTACAGGCGCCTGCCACCATGCCTGGCTAATTTTTGTGTTTTTAGTAGAGACGGGGTTTCACCGCATTGGCCAAGCTGGTCTCGAACTCCTGACCTCAGGCAATCCACCTGCCTTGGCCTCCCAAAGTGCTGAGATTACAGGTGTGATACATCTCCTAATATTCTTAGAGGAATCAGCTACACCAAACACAGAGTTTCAGGCTGACATGGGAAGCCAAAGAATCTATTCTGTTCATTCACTTAGACTCTAGCTTTATCTTTAGTACTATTAATTAAGTTAATTATTTAGAAATAATTGGTATATTCCTTTTCTGTACAACTCAAGAAAATCCTTTTGTTTTGAGTTTTACTTGTAGACACAGATATAAATGGTATGGAACATTTGGCATAATCGGGACTAACCCCAGCTAAGGCATAGAAACTTGTTCTTTCTTAAAGAAGTCCCTGATGTTGTTTTGAATTTTCGTTATCTGTAGTTTTCCCAGGAAGGCAGAGTGTGAAATATGTGAGCTAAATGCTTCAGGTTATTATAATATTCCTGTCAATATAATAATCTATAAGTAGATTTCAAAAACAAAGATTTTCTGAAACAGTTGCTTCTTTTTAAGATATGAATTAGAATAATTGCCGAGACATATTTTGATAGAAGAGACAAGTCCTTAGTTAAACATATTGCAGAAGCCCCCAGATGGCTTCCTTAACATTACTTAAGGTAGAATCAGGACCATAAATTTATCATTGGGAAAATTGGAAAATGATTGAATCATAGATTTATAATCTCTTCCTACCCTTATATAGTTGCTGAACTTGAGACCTAGATGCTTGCTACTGCAGTCCTTGTAGGGGCAGGTTGAGCCACGATTCTATAGTGTGCACTTGATCTGGATCTTGACCTCTTCATTAAGATGACTGATTGATCTAGGTACACGTCTCAAGGAAACACAGATCCAGAAACTGCTGTTAGTTACTTCTCTTAGCTTCTCATCACATTTACTACCATTAAGTTTTGGGAGGTTTAGTAATTATTATTTAATGCTTATTTTGGATCTTGGTCATTTTCTTGCATATTTAATTCTCATAAGATTATTAATTTCTTGAAGGTGGCAGCTATATCTTAATCTGTTTTATAATGCCTTTAGAACCTAACACAGGACCAGTTAATACAGAAGGTAAAAAAAATTAATGAATAACACTCGTTTTAGCACTGGATATCCATTAAAAATGTGTAGGAAGTACTCACTGGATATTCATTGACTTGACTGGACATACATGAAAGTATAGTGCTAATGTGATCTACTTTATGTTAAAGGCAAGAAATGTAAGTTTAGATAACACTATATTGACATAGTTTGCAAATGAATTGTATCATTTAATTACAAAGGCAATGTGCTATAGCACTTCACAAAACTTCAGCTTCTTACTGTGTATTCTTTATAGTTAATTTTTCACATATATCTATATTTTATTTTATTTTTTTGAGATGGAGTCTCGCTCTGTCTCCTGGGCTGGAGTGCAGTGGCCTCATCTCTGCTCACTGCAACCTCCACCTTCCGGGTTCAAGCGATTCTCCTGCCTCAGCCTCCTGAGTAGCTGGGATTACAAGTGCCCGCCACCACGCCTGGCAAATTTTTGTATTTTAGTAGAGACGGGGTTTCGCCACATTGGCCAGGCTGGTCTCGAACTCCTGACCTCAGGTGATCCACCCGCCTCTGCCTCCCAAAGTGCTGGGATTACAGGCGTGAGCCACCGCGCCTGGCCAATTTTTCATATTTATTTTTAAGATCATTTGATGTATTTTACTCAGATTACCTCATTACCTCTAAGAAACCTCTGATGGTGATATTGATGATCTAATATATGACAGATCCTGGGTCATTATTATTTCATTTAGTGGTTGTATATATAGACCAAGAGGGAATTTGAATATTGATTCGGGGAATGGCCAGTAACGGTGATTTATGAACAAAGGATCCAGTGCAGTGAGCCAAACATAAGATTGCATCTTATGAGTGAGCCACGTTGAGTTTTTTCTGTTATACTTACCCGAATGATGATTAGTCCATAATCTTGTAGATGTTAATATTAAAACCTTTGTTCCATGACTATTAAAGATACATTGCTAGTTATATTGGAGGAAATATTTATGTATTTATTCTTTGGACTTACTATGAACAACTTCTCTAGTAGTTTGGTTGATAAAATTTATCAGTGTAATTAGTTATATAATTTAGGCACTTTAGTAATATAAATGAGTAAATTAGGATAGCTCAACTGGAAATAGTAAAAATTAAGTTAATATTTAGCTGTTATTACCTAAGGGATGTTTAGCTCATGTAAACATTTTAAAAATCAACTCGCTATTCTTTTGGTGTTTCCTCACTTTTGTATCTCAAGATGATTTTGTTCTGTATTCATTTTTTTATTCTAAAGGAAAAGATAGTAAAATAAGGTTATCTGGTCTACATAATTAGTAACAGTAGTGATTTTAGAACATGGGCTTATTTCTCAGCCCTTCTGCTTGCTTACTTTCCTTGAGTAGGTTAAGTTTTCTGCTTTTAAGATAAAATGGATATATTTCTTAAGGTTGTTGGGAAAATTGCATGGAAGAGTAAGCACACTGTTATCTACCTAGTTTAGCTGTAATTTTTTTGGGAGCCTAACTGTGTGCAAGGCAGTTACAGGTTTTTACTAGGACGAGTTATTTTTAAAGTACAGTGTAATCTCCCTGTGGATGAGAAATTTTGTTTCTTTTTTTCCTCAGTACACAACATATGTAATAGGTGCTCAGTAAATATTTGTTGAAGGAATAATTTGGTGAATAGTGGAAAGAATGGCTTTGTAGATAGCCTTGATTGGGATCTAAGCTCTGCTGCTTATTAGCTGAGTAATTTCAGTTGAGTTATTTTACCTCTCGGAGCCTCAGATTTCTGACCTTTATAATACTGATCTTGCTTTTTTGGTAAGGATTAGTGATATGTATCTTACAGTATTTCAGACAACACAGAAGTTAGCTTTTTCCCAATTTGAGGTAAATAAAAAGTTATTTTTAAATGGCAGTCCTCTCCAATTTTAAGACATTGTATTTCCTCCGAACTTTCTTTTCTTCTTTTTGATATGGAGTCTCACTGTGTCACCCAGGCTGGAGTGCAGCGGCACGATCTCGGCTCACTGCAACCTCCACCTCTCGGGTTCAAGCAATTCTCCTTCCTTAGCCTCCTGTGTAGCTGGGATTACAGGCATGCACCACCATGTCCAGCTAATTTTTTGTGTATTTTTAGTAGAGACGGGGTTTCACCATGTTGGTCAGGCTGGTCTCGAACTCCTGACCTCGTGATCCACCTGCCTTGGCCTCCCAAAGTTCTGGGATTACAGGAGTGAGCCACCTTGCCCGGCCTGAACTTTCTAATAGTCTAGAGTCCTCAGGCAGTTTTTTTGAATTGAATTACAAGTACCATGACTAGAAATATTTCCTGAGTGTCTACTATGTCTGCGAAACGAAGAAATTTTAGTAAAGGGTAAGACCAGTGATGAATATTAAGGGGACTTCTGTATAAATAGTTTAATTAATGTCCTCTAGACTTGATAGCAGTGCCTGCAGAAAGAAAATGAAGAAAGAGGGTGGTGACTAGTGGCTGGCCACGTGGTTTTAAAATCTCTGTGAGCATTGCCAGCCCCAGCCCTATCCATGTGAAGAAAAGAAAATAAACTCAAACCTCAAAGAATGCTGAATGTCTGAAGCTTCTAAGAAAGCCTTTCTGATTAGGGATAGCAAGGGTTTGCTTAGCTGACTTACTGAAGGAAAACTCCCAGGGGTAATGATGTGTTCTCTGATGTTAAGAAGGGGAAATCTAGTCTGTAAAGATTACACATAAAATATTTCTGAAAAGTGAATAACCTGATTGAGGTTCAGCTAAAGTGAAATAAAACTATAATTTATTTTTTCATTTTCTGAGCCTTTGCACAGAAAATGAAAAGGCAGAATTGGGTTAGTGTCATCCTTTTTTGTGTTTGTTTGTTTTGGTAAAATACAGAAAAGCGGCTCTTGTTAGTAAATTCTGTCTCATAATGATTATAATTTTATGATGCAAATAAGATCTGAGACTGATTTTGTAAAGCTAACTTCAGTTTTCATTTAGAGTTGACATGTATTTAGTACATAGAATTTAGGCTTACCTAAAACATTAATGTTTCATTTTACACAGCATTAGTGCATAATAACAAGGATGGGTGACTTTGGTAGTTCTCATGCTTAGCTGGCTCTTTTCTTTTCCTGTTCTCTTCATGTTATAACTGTTTTGGGCTTAATAGCCAGTGTTTGCAGTAGTTCACTGTCCATGAGTAGAAACCAAAAATAAAGCTTTAGATAGAACTCCTTATGGTGGCTTTGCTCCTGGTGGAATATCAACATTAGTTAACCAGTTTTAGAAAATTGTAGTTTAATTTTCTTTTGCCCTTATTAATTTGAAATGTGTTATACTCTCTTTCAGTGATGCTTATTAATAAACATTTTATTTTTTCTACATTTGTTAAATAAGCCTCATCACATAATAAGGCTAGGTGTGATTTCCTGGTAATGTAATGTAAATATGTGACTTAAAATTAGTTAGCGGTGTTGTCCTTTTAAGTAATTTTGCGGACAGTTTTAGGCGCGGGATATTTAATGCAGCTAATAAATGGAAGCAGGTTACTGTCTGAAAGACTGCAGCTGACTGTACATTGCACGTAGTGTATAAAACGTTGAGGGCTGTTGGGATATACACAGCTGAAGCATATTCCTGGAAGTTACTGCTCAGCTTTGGAAGGTTTGATAGTAATGATGCATTAACGGACTTTTTACATGACAGGGTAATAGGATACTTAGATCAAAAAAAATGACAGAGGTTTGGTAGACAATGGTTTGTGGTTTATAGGAACAAGATTAGGATGAAATTGTTTGAATCTTATTTGAAGGATAAGGAAAAAGCAGAGGTGGGAGTAGGTTGTACGTTAGAAGTGGTTTGGATTTTTGAAAGTCATAGTCATTTATAGTTTAAGTAGAAATCTGTTGTATCTTGTTTTACTAAGAAATGAACTATTACGTAGCAAGCATTACCAGGAGCTTCACCATGCACTACACCTCTACCCTCCCAGTTCCTCCCCCACTTCATCCTAAGCTCTTTGATGTTCTTGGAAAAAGGTTTTCTAAAAATCAAAAGAAAGTTATTAATGTGGGAATCATTTGAAGTAATCTTTTCTGTTTGTTGAAAGGAAATTTAATAGACCTTTTCTGGTTTTGTTATTTGTTTTTGTTTTGCTTTGTGAAATGCTGTTATTGAGCTTTTTGCAGTTACAGAATTTGAAGGACAAATGTTAGCTGTTATCTATGCCAGTGGTTTGGCTCCAATATGATTTAGAAGGAATGCCTTCTTGGGATTAGTGTCATGATATTTGATTATTTATTCGTTCTATTCTTAGCTGATTGTGGTTTGTTAGGTATTTCAACTTTCATTAACATTTGTTTAATGGAAGGTTGTTTAAAACTTGGGTCACAGCAGTAAAATCTTTTGATTTAGTTTCCAAATTGCACTTAAAGCTTGAGGTTTTGGAAATAATTTTATTTGATGTAAAAGCGATTGGGCACAGGTTGTAGAATGATAAAAATAAATTTGACTTTTTTTTTTACTTATTCATTACACAGGCAGATTGACTTAAGCTTTATTTTTGTAAAAGAAGCCATGATTTTATACATTCTAGAACCTGTTTCCATTTGTCAGAAACAACCACTTACATGGTCTCATAATTGAATGATATGTATTTTTAAAATTGTGTTTCACATTCTCAAACCTTCAGAATACACTGAATTTTTAGTATATAAAAATTTTCATAAGATATTCTTTCCTGGCCAAAGACCACAATAGAGGTCTTGATTGTGTGGTTTCCTCCTCCTTTTTCCCTTCACGAACAGAGGTTTTCCTATCTTGGCAGCTGTTTCCTACAAAGCAGTCATCAGTCCCTGATTTCTTCCTTCCTCCTCCTTCCCACAAACAAGGGCTCTTTGAATAGTGGATGACTGAAGACAGACTGATCTTGGATCACTTTAAGAAAGTGGAAACGTGTGCAAGAGTTGAGCATGTGGGCAAGCTGCCTGTAGGCACTAGCTCATTCAAATCAAACAATGAAAACTTGGACAGTAAAAATTCTTTGCTTGGAATCTAGAGTGGTCCAAAGGCTGACTTAATTTTACTTGCAGCACTTCATCCACGCGTTTACATTATTCTGATTGCTTGATCAGATCATCGAACAGACTGTAAGAATATAAGAAATTGTTCATTGATGGCCTTTTAAATGTGACAAGCCATGAGATTATCTGACTTTTTAAAATGCTTTATGTAGAATAACTTTCAGGTTTAAGGCAGGCACATTGCTACAGCAGTTGTAAACTGCAGGTTCACTTTTGGTTTTGGTTACCTTTGAATAGTCTATGGGAGCTCAGAGTGAAAAATGTACAGAGCCAGCCAGCTAGTTTTGCAGGGATGCGTGCCATGTGTCTCCATCAGATTAATTTTGGATACATCATTCTTTTTGAGGAAGTTTGCATTTTCCTTTGTTTCTTTGGACAGATAAGCATCTGAGGTGTTCTTAAATGGCATAATACTGATGTTGGTGATGCCTCCCTCTCCCCTGTGTCTTCAGTGCTTTCAGAGAGAGAGCTAAAACTTGGGCCAATTCTGGGTCATAGAGGGATCCTTAGGGAAGCATTTACATCTCTGAAACTGTGGGCCTGAATGATTTCAGATTAATTTCTTACATTATTTTTGTTGTGTTCTTAATAAAGCAAGATAGTACCTTTATAGGTAATAAGTGTTTCAAACCATTTAACATCTGCCTGCTTTTCCAATCAGGTTACATTATAATGAACTGATAGTAGAATGTAGTGTACTGCTAATAGCATCCCGTGTGATAAGCTACATGAAGCATGTAGTAAATGCACAGTAGGTCAGATAATGTGCAAGAACTCAAAAGTTATCAGGAAAATTTTGTTTTCTAAATTTTCTTTATGGTTTAGTGACAGCATCGAAATGATGTAATGAGTTTGTTTTACTGAGTTATGTATGCAACCTCAGAAAGGGAGGGAAGAGTTCCCTCCCTGCTGCACTTTGTAAAACTCTTTAGTTGCAGCAGGTTAAGGATAACTGGAGAAAACTTGGTGTAAGAGTATTATGTAGAATAAAATAATAGGAAACGAACATGAAGAAACTGTAAGATGTTCCTTTAACAGAAAAGTTTGTGATTTCCTTTCCCTCAGAGGCTAAATGAGGAGGCTGGATATATTTGGGAAATGCCTTCATTTTATGTGCATTATAAGGCTAATGTTTGCTGTGATTCCTCACACGACCTCAGAAAGAAGTAAAACACTTGGACAGAACCCAGCAAATGACCTGGTCTCATGTGATCCTAGAAGCCGAGAAATACTAAGTCATACTCCTGAAGTTTTTGTACACTCTGCAGTTTGGAGAACTGGATCCATAGGGGCTATGAATACCTAGCAGTCAGGGAAATAAGTTTGATTTGGTGATTAGGAATGTGGCATTTTCAGAATCCCTTTGTATATGGCATTATTTTGCCATGTACAAATTTTGGCAATTTGACTGTCAAAAAGGCAGTCAACCTTTTTGGGCTTTTGACTGTTTTCAGAATGTAAGATTCAGATATCCAGTGTATAGGAGCAGCTTCCATAGTGGACATAGAATCAAAATATGTTTTATATTCAGGAGAGAGAGAGAGGAACGGAGAGAGAGAATTGTTTTGTTATGTAGAAAGACCATAGAGTAAGTGATGGATTTGTTTGTTTTTCAGATATGAAGATCAATGATGCAGACTGATGGTTTTGATGAAGCTGGGCATTTATAACTAGATTCATTAAGGAATACAAAGAAAATACTTAAAGGGATCAATAATGGTGTCTTCTGGTTGCAGAATGCGAAGTCTGTGGTTTATCATTGTAATCAGCTTCTTACCAAATACAGAAGGTAAGATCCAGTTTACATTTTGTTTTTTAAATCCAGGAGAACTTGAACTATACAATCTTCTTAATATGGAAGTGCCTAGAATATTTGTTTATTATTTTAAAAATAGGTGTTAAAATTATTTCCTGAATATTGAATTGTTTATTAGGTGGTTGAGTTCTTTTGATAACACAGATATGATATAGAAAGTGCTAGATATGTGAATTTATATTTTACGTGCATTTATGAAATATAACCATTCTAAATAATCCCGAGGGAACTAAATGAAAGCTCTGTTTTGGTATACATTTTACATTTATTCACTACATTTATTTTAGTAAAGTGGAAAGTATTTTGTGGAAATTTTCATCTTTAGTTACATTTGCTTAAGTGTGTGCATAATTCTAAAACTCCTAAGTTAAAATATGTAGTCTTTTATGAAAACTTACATTTTAATAATAGTTCATCTTTTTATGTTGTTTATATCTTTAGCTGTATATGTGTGTGTATATGTATATTCTTTGTAATGTTAAATTTGCAGAAATATAACTATTTCTTTGTACTTAAAAATAGATGTGGAATTTTTCTTAAGCACTATTGCATTAAACATTTTTAAAATCTAGGAATAGTAATGAGTGTATTTTTCAAGACAGACCTGATTTTTAAAGAAATAAATATACTTTTGAAGCCTAATGAAATAATTGGAACCATCATTTATTAACTATATAGATTTCTGGAATCCATTGTTTTCTTAGTCTTAAATATTATTTCCACATGAAAACAACACACATGCAGGTGTTTTTTAGAGCAGGCTAGAAGTTAATATGGAGCTAAGATGTATAAATTTTATAGCTAGTTGATAGTGGCAGTTATTGGCACGAAAATGTATTAATCTTGTAAAGTTTGTGAAGGGTATAAAATCTCTGAGAAATGCATATAAATTATAATGGATTTTAAAAAATTCCAATTCTTGAAAAAATGTTTAAGAATTAAAAAATTGATTTTATATGTACTTTTAAGTGATCTCACTTATACCGATTATTAAAATGATAGGTGGAGAAGGGGCATACTGTCAACTAATAGAAGTGTATTATTCCGTTGTCTGTGTAATAAGCTTCAAAATGTTAACGTTTTAATTTTGCTGAAAGAATTTTACTTGAATTGCTTGTTCCAAAGTTATATTTTATCATGTTCTCCTTGTCCCTCCAGTCCCCTACGTTCAGTATATTGATATGATGTAATATAATTTAAATAAATAACAAATTTAGAAATACTTAAAATAAGAGTTTCTGTATTCAGAAAGTAAATAGTGTTCACTTGGATTTAAGTCACACTTGGCAGTTACAATCTTTGGGTTAATATTTTATTTTCAGATGACATTGCTCTTTGCTTTAGAATTGAAGATGCATCATATCTAACATCATATGTAATCTGTGTGAATGAATAATACTATCATAAACAGTGAACAGGAATTGTGTTTAATAATATAAATTTCTGGCTTGGATTGTTGTGAAAATCTTGTGTGTAGTCTGATGATTTTACATCTCGTTTTTGGGGAAGAAAACCTAACTGAATTCCTGCTGTTAGGTTTGAATGTTTTTATACATTTAAAAAAGATTCCAGGTGTGGACCAATGGCTCATTAGTCCACATAATGAAAAAATTTCTAATCAAGTTAGAGATCACTTTGCTTGCACAGTAGCTTAACTCAGTGGGGGGCTAGCAAACAGAGAGTTTTTTCATGAGATACTGCAGCTTTATTTTCAGTGTCATCTATCAGGTCAGGATTCATATCTGCTGTTAGGAGAAATTTCATTTTTGGCTCATCAGGCCAGGGGGTATTGCTTCTGAAGCACTTCCCTCCTACGGGTAAAAAGAACCTGGGACGAACCCATACTGCTAACTGCTAATTGTAAGAGTATACATAGTTAATACACACTGTTAGAACATTGATCTAGTATTGCATGGGTTTGTCTTAGAAAGTCTTACATGACATCATAGTCCTTTATTGCCAGAAAGCAGATAATGCTCTGTGAACATCTATAGAGAAAGCCAATCAACATTAGGTAAGAAGGCATAGGAAGGCAGATATGAATTTAACCTTCAGCTATTGAGTTTCTTTTGGGCCCTTACATGATTGTAACCTTTTAACATCTTACACAGTTTAGTTCTTTTTATACTTCTTTTTATACCAGTTTCTAGGTTCTTGCAGGTAAACTCAGATAAGTTTTCCTGAGTGATTTCTTCCCTTTTTCCTCATTTATTGAGTGATTAAATTGAGCTGCATGCTTAGGGTTCAAAAATACACAAGGAAAAATAATGCATAAGGCACGGTTCTTTTTTTGTTTATTTTATTTTTTATTTTCCCGTAAGTTATTTGGGCACAGGTGGTATTTGATTACATAAGTTCTTTAGTGGTGATTTTTGAGATTCTGGTGCACCCATCACCCGAGCAGTATACACTGCACCATATATGTTGTCTTTTATCCCTTGTCCCACTCCTACTGTTCCCCCCAAGTCCCCAGAATCCATTGTGTTATTCTTATGCCTTTGTGTCCTCATAGCTTAGCTCCTACATATCAGTGAGAACATGGGATGTTTGGTTTTCTCTTCCTGAGTTACTTCACTTAGAATAATAGTCTCCAGTCTCATCCAGGTCACTGCAAATGCTGTTAATTCATTCCTTTTTATGGCTGAGTAGTATTCCATCATATATATATATGTATTTTTTTCATCATATATATATATTTTCCATCATATATATATATATTTTCCATCATATATATATGTTTTCCATCATATATATATGTTTTCCATCATATATATATATATTTTCCATCATATATATATATTTTCCATCATATATATATATATTTTCCATCATATATATATGATGGAATATATATATATAATATATATATAAATACACACAACACACACATCACAGTTCCTTTATCCACTCGTTGATTGATGGGCATTTGGGTTGGTTCCACGATTTTGCAGTTGTGCTGCTGTAACCATGCATGAAGGCATGATTCTTACTCTTGAGAAGCTCATGGTCTTGTGCAGGGATTGAAACCTTAAATACTTGTTGGTGCCTTGAGAACATTCGACTTGAGGTCAGACAAGAAAGTGCTTGTCAGAGGACCTGTGATTACCATTCCAGTATTTAGCTTGGTTTTTCCAGTCTTCTGACTTTCAGTAGAAATCAAACATTAGGATTTTTAAGTAATGGCAACTAATTAAGATTTTGTTTAAAAAACAAGCGTGTATACCATAGAATAGCCATGGGTTATGCCTTTCCTTTTAGATCTTTTTTTTTCCTCCTGTTACAGTTGTATTTTACCTTGGTACATGATTTTAAAGGCTTCACATAATTTTGGATTTGCTTTACATCGGTACATAATGAGACATACATTTCCAAATTCATAAGGACTTACTCTGTGTTCAGGCAAACATTATAAATGTCATATTTTGTGTACACATACAGGGGCAAATCACTAAGCATTTTTAAAGTTTGAACATGGCAAAAGCTAATTATACAAAGGTTTAATTGTTATATCTATCTATCTCTATTTTGAATCAAGTCTTACCCATTAAAATTTACCTGTTTGTGTAAGAATCAAGTCTTACCCATTAAAGTTTACCTGTTTCTGTAAAATAGGATTAATATTTTACATATTCTCTAAGCCTTTCCTACAACGTATTTTGGGGAAAATTATATTTAGAATTTCCAAATAAAAATGATTTTATACAGACCAAACTTGCAAAATATTTTGTAAATATTTCTTATAATTGATTTTATTTCTAGAGAACTAATCTCAGATTCTTGAAAAGTCAGTTTTATCGAGAGACTGGTATGCTTTGATTCTTTTGGCCAGTTTTTATAAGCATAGTACCCACTGTGGAATCATGTATCAGTAAGTAGAAAGTAAATTGAATTTTTGTGTCCTAGAGAATTAAATTATGCTGTATAATGGAGCCTTGGCAAGCATAAGTTAGACACATGAAGGCTTGCTCAAGTGACAAGTTACAAATAATAGTACTTCTTCAGCAAATTCAGTAATGCAGATTTCAGGTTGAATCCTTTATGCAGTGAATATGTAATTAGATTTTATTAGTCAAAATTTTACTTAATTACCTCAAATTATATTGTTGCTTATCCTTATTTCAAAGAAAAATGTTCTGCCAGGTATAAATATGAGACATGCCAGAAACAGCTTTATGTATTTATTTTATATAAATCAAGAAAATATAACAGTTGTAGAAATAGTTTCTTGCCAGTTTTTACTGTACTTTTAAGTTCCCTAAGTACATTTTATAATGACTTGAGTTAATGTTCTCTCTCTAAAAAGTGTGTGTCTGTAGGGTCTTTTCAGTATTTGGGTAGAAGAAAAAAAGGCAGATTTAGGGGTTAAATATGAAATAGTGAAAACTGTTTCTGGCATATAGATATTTCCTTCAGAATGGTCTGAATTTGGTGGAATGATTAGTAACTTTATTCTCCAAGGTTAAATTTAAGAAAGATTAATGTAATTCAGACTACTGTGTTCATTCCTCCTTTTTTCTTTCATTCTTTGATTTACACACGCATATAACAAAATCTGTACATATATACACATATTTGTGTATATATGTGCACGCGCATACACGTGCACACACACACAACATGCAGTATGCTAGTTTCATAAGGGCAGGGATGTTTTGTTGTTGTTCACTGATGTCTTCAAGTGCCTGAACAATGCCTGGCTTATACTAAGCACTCAATCCATAGCTGTCACATAAATAGAATAAATCTTTGAAGAGGTTCATAGTCTGTATAATGAGGGAAAAGACAATGAGCAGTTGTAATAAGAGTGTGATAAGTGCCATAATAATGATATTCACAGAGGCATTGGGATGAGCGATAGTTGGATGGTTGCATGTGTGTTAGGAAATTCTTGTAGTTGGAAGTGATGATACGGCAGAATCACCTGGAAGATCTGCGGTGGGGCCCAAGCATTAGTTAACATTGCTGACAAATTGCAGGGTGATGCTGATGGTGTTGCTCAGCATCACACTATAAGAGCCACTGCGTATTCTATGTGCTTAGGGGTGGTTGTGGTGAGGGTAGGGGTGCATGGGTGTAGACATGGTACAACTTTTTCAAAAGTATTTTTGGAAAAAATGATGAGATGATTGATCATGATTCAGAAGTTAGTATCCAGTTGTTTCTTGGGAGTTAGTATCTGTTTCTTTGCAGATTGTTCTTTATTCCCCTGATTAGGCTTCTTGGGAATAATTTTAGTCTTCAGAAAAGGATTTTTTTTTTCTTTTAGCGCTTTTTTTTTTTTTTTTTTTTTTAAGATGGAGTCTCACTCTGTCTCCCAGGCCGGAATACAATGGGATGATCTCCGCTCACTGAAACCTCCACCTCCCGGGTTCAAGGGATTCTCCTGCCTCAGCCTCCCAAGTAGCTGGGATTACAGGCACCTGCCACCATGCCTGTCTAACTTTTTTATTTTTAGTAGAGACGGGGTTTCACCATATTGGCCAGGCTGGTCTCTGACTCTTGACCTTGTGATCCACCCACCTTGGCCTCCCAAAGGACTGGGATTATATGCATGAGACACCACACCCAGCCTTTTTTGCTCTTTTCAAGAGTATACTCAGAAAAAAATTTTGAAAAATTTACACCAAATTGGAAAAAAACGTATTTTTCCTCTTAGGGATAAATGCTCTGTTTAGTAGAGCTCTTAAAACTCTTGTTTCAATTTGTCTCTTTCACTCTAATACCCTGGTTCTTTTCTTGTTGAGAATAACTACATGGCCAATGCTGTGATAACACTGAATTGACTTACTGTGGGGATTTCAGATTTCCCAATCTAACAAAATTAACTACTTTTGTTCATTTCAGTATATTTGATTAGTTGAAGTCTAGGAGGTAAATTTTTAGCAAGGTACTTGGGGATTTGGCTGTAAACCTAATGGGAGTCACAACTCCCATTAAATTAATAGGAATTGTGTATTTGTGCCTGCTGCATAGCAAATGTAACTTTATTTTCTAAATTCACAAATTATGTAAATTAACACCCAGCTAAAGCAATGAATTTTTTAAAAATTACTATTATTATTTTTTGAGATGGTGTCTTGCTGTGTTGCTCAGGCTGGAGTGCAGTGGTGTGGTCTCAGCTCACTGCAACCTCGGCCTCCTGGGTTCAAACAATTCTCCTGCCTCAGCCTCCCAAGTAACTGGGACTACAGGCACCCACCACCACGCCTGGCTAATTTTTGTATTTTTAGTAGACACGGGGTTTCACCATATTGGTCAGGCTGGTCTCAAACTCCTGACCTTGTGATCTACTTGCCTTGGCCTCCCAAAGTGCTGGGATTACAGGCATGAACCACTGTGCCCGGCCAAAAAAATGATTTTATTTAAGAAAATACTTAACTGTATTGCTCTTAGGACACTTTAGATATTCTTTATTTTGTTTCATGAGAATATTGTAATTTGATTGCAGCAGCTTTCTTCTCCATAGGTAGCGATAATTCGGTTTTAAAAATATAAATCTTAATGCCTTTACAAATTGTATGATGTTGTTATCTTCTCTTGCAAAAATCAAATTATTATAATATTACTATCAGCATTCAAGATGAAGGTAAATATGTTACAAATGTGACTCAAAGTTGCCGAAAATAAAATTAAGCTTAATCGGATACACTGGCATCTTTTCAAAAGTAAATTTGAATTATACTTTGGTCATCTTATATACCAATATTTAGTGTCAGAATATGCCATGTTTCATAAATGAAGATAAAGTTCAAGTGCTTGATTGTCGATTTTTTTTTCTTCCCACTTTTCCTCATGCTTTCTTCTTGATTCCATCCTCTTTTGCCTCTTTTTCATTTGTGGAAAAACTTTGTTTATCCACAGTCTTCGTTGATTCACCAGTAGGTCTGTTGTTGGCGGAAAAAGTATTGCAAACGTGTATGTCATTCACAACAGTCACCCAGCAGACCTCAAAAACATTATATTGCGTGGCTGTTTAATTTCGGTAAACCTCCATTTTCTGACAGAAAAGACCATATCAAATATTTAGTAAATAAATTTGTTTTTAAATAATAATTTGCTAAAAGTAAAAAGGTTATTAGCTCATGCATACTAGAGTAAATTTTAGAAATACCGATTTTACATGCATATTAGGCATTTACACAGTTATTTTTATAGTTTGAAAGAACCAATAGTGTATTACAGGGAGTTTAATTAAAAGCACAGGAGGCATTTAAAGCACCTTAATTTTGTGGAACTGTGATTCTGTTAATTTCTCATTACTCATTAATTTCAGCATTGAAGCTCTTCATTTTTTGAATTAATACACTTTAATTTTTTAATATACGATAGCTTGTGATATTAGAGAATAAGATAAGTGATTGAACACATCTGAAGACCACATCAGAAGACTATTGTAGAACATGCTGTGTCTCAAAAAACTGATTTATCTGCCATATTACTAAGGGAGTGTCTTACTAAAACTTGATACCCCATGGTACTCTATTTTCTTTTCCCCTCCTCTGCAAGACAAAGAATGACATATGACAGCCATGCAAGCTACACATATTAGACATCAATTTGGATTAGTGAGTATCTCATGGCATCTTTCAACCCTATTCCTGAACTCCTTTTGTCAACTTGACAGAAGTGATTCCAGGAGAATACCTAGTCCCAGCCTCGGGATCTCCTGGCTAAAATGTAAAGCTGAGAAGGGAATACGTATCAGCACTTCAGGAAGCAGAAACAACATTTATAATCTCTTCTTATCAGCATGGGACTCTCCTGAGTTTGACTTTTATGTCTGCCATAATTCTTGCTTTGAGGGCTTATTTTTCTTAAAAGTGTTTTTTTTCTTCTGATTTTGAATGTATATATCTTCATGAGAAAAGAGAAAATTAAAAAAATTAAGATAAAACTTTTAGAAGGTTCATAATTCTGTGACTTTCTTATGCGGCAGCACATTTCTTTTCTGTTTTTCCACCTATACACATACTTCATATGGATAAAGCCAAATTATGTATAAATACAAAATTAGGTTATTCATCTACATATACTCTTATATTCATATTTTCACTTTTAATTATCAGAAACAGTATTACTATGCCATTACATATTTAGATAATGAATGCTAACAGATGCATAGTAATTTATTTAATTATACAAATTTAATACAAATTATTTAATCCTCCTTTTCTACTTGCCAGCCATTTGTACTTAATTTCTTTCAAGTATAAGTAAAATACATATCTATATAATTATTTTTCCTTCACAACTGGTTATTTCCCGAGGATAGAATTCTATAATTCTGATAATTGTACTGGAGATATAGACATCTTTCAAATTGGCTTTTTTGAAGAGTTAAACCTATGTGCACACATTGATGACCAGTATATAAATCCATGCACTTTACCAGCAATGATCTGAAATTTTAAAAAGATTTAACACTTTGATTTGTAAAAAAGGGTATCTGATTATAAATTAAATTTGTAATTTGGGGGATACTTCTGGGGACAAAAACATTTTTTGTAGATTTATTTATTGGTTAGTTGTCATTTTGATATGAACTTTTTGTACACTGCTTTTGCCAGCTTTTCTGTTTGTATTGCTAATACTTTTCTTATTTTTTTTTTTACAATTTATTGATAATCCCCTTTTTTCATTTTTATTATAAAAACCTATTTTTGCCTTTTAGTTTAATTTACACTGTTTAAAATTTTTAATGAAAACTTCAAATAGAAGAGAGAAATTCGTAGTATAACACTAATCGCAGGTTTAACAATTGTCAAGATATTGTTACATTTGCATTATTGCACTCTTTCTTCTTCTTTCCTTTTTGTTATATAGCTATTTTCTTTTGTGAGACCTTCCATTATTTTATGCTTAAAAATGTATATCTTGATCTCAGTTAAATATTTATTCATTACATTTCCCTGTAGCTCTTAAATATTTTTATTTAAATTTTGAATCCGTCAGGAATTAACGTTTTTATAAGGGGAAATCTAAGGTCTTTGATCACTTAATTTAAAATCAAGTGAACTAACATTAAACCAACCAGTAAGAATTAAATTTTAACCAACACAGTAGTTGAAGTTTGGAACATAGCCAAATTAAAAATGGATGATGGATGATAGTTGAAAAAACAAAAAAGAAAAAGAATAGAAGTAAACACTGTTTATATCTACATAGATTGAATTGTGAATGAAAGTGTGACTGTTCTGAATCCAGTAATATATCAGTGTTCTTCTCTCCTTAAATGATTTTTGTATCCCATGTATTTAATAAAGTTTATTTTTAAGAGTTTTTATGTTGTTAAACAGCCGAGAGAAGCAAAAGCATGACTGTAGAGATAGATTAAAATGTCCCACCATGAAGATGAAGTTCTACATTTTAGGAATTTTGGAGTTTCAAGAAACATAAAGAATTTCCTGGAAAAAAAAGAAGGGATTCGTATGAAGCCTGGTTAAGTTTTGCACAGGGATTTAATCTAAAAAAAGGATCCAAGTAAAATTCTTATTTTGTTGCATATTTACAGGGTGCGTCTTACTATTCCTGTACCCATCTCTTTGTATCTAATTGTTGTGTGTTTGTGTGTATGTATTAATCATTAATTAGTTCTCTTTTCCCTTACTGATTCTTCTTTTTCTCTTTGTAGTACTAAAATCTAAGCCAGGTGTTAGATATGCCTATATGAAGTTCAAGCTTTGGTTAGAGACAATATAGTAGGTTAATACAAGTCAGAGACTTCCTTATTTTAGTTACACATTACAATAGAAAGCCTGTTGGATTTTAAGAGGCTACTTTTATATGGTAGAATGCTGTGATGAGGCGATGTTGACAGGCTTTTTAAAAAGTTGGTAAGTAAAGTGAAGGAGACAGGTGCTGTAGGTTGAGTTTATTTCCTTGTTTAAGGAAAGTGTTTTGTTGTTTTTTTTTTTTTACAGTTTTCTTGTTTGGTTGCTTTTGGTAGATATGTTGAATACCTGAACATTTCTCCAGTTGGAAGGAAGGGAAATGGAACCCATTGCACTGGTAGGAAGGCTCATTCAGGGAAGTAAAGAATGTGTATTAGGATCCAGAGAGAGGAAAGATTCAGGAAGAGATGTGTACAGCCGCAGAAGAAAGATGATGGAGGTCATGCTGGGCTTTAAACATCTTATTTATCTAGAATAGTGCCCCTCAAAAGTTAATGTGCATATAAATCACTCAGGGATCTTGTTAAAATGTAGATTCTTGCTTCAGTAATCTGGGATGGACCTTCTGAGTCTGCATTTCTAATAAGCTCCCAGGTGATGCTAAGGTTGCTGGTCTGTAAGATAATGTCTGTATTAGGGAGTTTTGGTTATTAAAATGTTTGGTCTAGAAAATGAGAGTTTACATGACAGTGACTTCCGCTGTTAAAAATCGAGGTTTGTTTTAAACCCAAACAACCATAGTTGAAATATAGAAATAACATCACTTTCAGTTGTATAACTCATTTTATTAAAAAAGGAACTAAGCTACCTTGAAACTTTACTGAACATTTTTATATTTTGTGGCACTTCTAATCCTATTTTATATGCCTTCTATTGACCTTTTATGTGGTGAGTTGCTTTGAAAAATCCCTGAGTAACAATGCAGCCTGACCCTTTCTCCCTAATATTTCCCTCTATTCCCTATTGATCTGTCATACTTTCATTCTATCATACACAGAAACAGTGTTTTTAACAGCATTTTAATACAAATGTTTTATTATTTAAAGTAACACTATAAAGTCATGTAATGCAAAGTGTATGTTTGTCTTATTTAGAAAAAGTTTATTTTTATTATACTAATTTTTCAAAGTCAACATATTTAATCAACTAATAATTGTTGTTTTTGCCTAAGTATTAATTCCTTGGCTTATCAGCACCATAAGAGTATAGGATGGAAGTACTTGATTGTTAACTGGTCATTAAAAATGGCTAAATATGTTTTATCTGCCTTAGGTTATCTAGTGATTTTTCCACTTTTTAGTATTGTATAGAATCAAAGATTTTCTTCTTCTTAGTGGACACAATCTCCTTTTCCCTTTTCTTTCAGAGGCAAAGATATAGGGTACTGATATGATTTGTTTTAATTTTACGATAATACCAATTATAAAGTAAATTTATTTCTTAATGAATTTTATTAGACTCTTCAGGCTCTTAAACCACTCAAAAGTAAGTTAGTAGCAAATTTTAAAAATAGAGACTCCTATATAGGTACCTGAGAGGTCGAAGTATTTTTATTTTGATTTTTTTGGTGGAATTAAAGAATTTTGGACTTTGAATCACAGCTTGGATATTAGTAGTGTAGAATTTTTCATTTTACAGATGAAGAAACTAAGGCCTGCAGATTGTTCCTTTGTCAAGCTCTACTTAACTGCCAGTCCAGTTTTCTTGCTGTAGAACTTTATATTTAGCTTCAGATCATTAGTATATTTTCCTATCTCAGCAGGCTGTTACTCAAGAATATTTAAAGTATACTTTATATTGCTTAACATTGCATTACTTAATGGTAATTATCAAACGAGCTAATTATGTCAGTTTTCTTAATGTTTATTACCATTTTAGATGAAAAACTATGTTAAGATTTGTTTTTTAGTGAAAATTATGTAGAGTACAGGAGGACCAATCATGCTAACACTTCAACTTTCAAATAATCTTCCAAAGTTTACAGCCATAAGCATATATTTTTTAAAAAGCACAATTTATCTTTGAAGTTACCAGCTATTGCTGAGAACCATTAACTGTCAGAACACCGAAAACCTGTAACAATTATAACAAGAATTGTAACTCTTACTATGTTTAGTTATCAGTCCACACAGATTATCAGTCATCATTAAAACAGTTAAAAGGCATGCTCCTCCTGAGCCCCTCCTTCAGGTATGTGTTTTGGACATTATCTTTTCCCTTTTGTTTGCTTACAACAGGAAGCTCGTTTAATCCTTTGCTTTGTTTTAGAGGTAAGCAAATAGCAACCATCCCTGTTAGCTTTCAAAAGCTCTTACTTTTGTTGCATTAATGGCACTCACTGTAGATTGTGTGATCTTGCTTTATTTACCAGAAAGCTTGCCTTTGAGAGCTGTCACTCCATTCTTTCAACAATGTTGTTAATTGACTGATAGCACTGATTGAGTGGAAAACCTTCAGTGACAAAAGACTGGATATAGGTGTGAGTCCATTTGAAAGGCTGGTGAATCTTTGCTTCTTAATCCCATTTCTATTTGCACTGAAATACTAAATACAGCCTAGAAGAACAAAGCATATTTAAAAGCATTCAGAAATGTTAAGCAACAATAAAACCCCGTAACCATTTAAATGACAGCAGCTGACTATTTGAATTAACTTTGTGTTTGGCTTAATTTGGGGCCCTAATTATTCCTAACTTACGTGAGTAGATTTCAATTATAGTATCCTGCAGGGATTTGTAGCTAAGGCAACTAAAAGAATCATTTTACATAAAGTACTTTTGTTCAACTGATTAGACAAGTTAAAACGTAATGATGTAAAATTGAAACCCTTCTGGCAAGGTCCAAACAAATGGTTCTAGTAATTTTGTCCAAAAAAGATTAATCTAAGTTTGATTTTAAATACTATTTTGGTCTTTTAGGACGATTGACTTTCCTGTAATACTGATAAGTATATAAAAATGCCTTAAGATTGCATGTTTTGGTAAAGGAGTAAGACTTTAAAGGTGAGGACAAATTTGTCACAGTGGATGGACACCTTCCTAAGTAATGTTTATTTGCTTTATAATCTTCGATACACAGTTTGACAGCTTTAAATGCATAGATTTAGAAGATAAATACATACAAATAACGTGAATGACTAGTACCTATTTAATTCTGTATTTTGGAATACATTTCAGTTGAACACAGATCAGAGGCTCATTTATGGATTTGAAATGCTATATACCAAGAAGGGACACAACATGGTTGACATTGTGCTATAGTCAGTGGACAGACTGTTTGACTCGTCCTGCCGAAATACTCCTCCCCACTACAAACAGCCACATTAATTTTAAACACCTTTACCAGAATGAAAGCTACTTTAAACTTAATTACTGGTGCTGGAGCACAATATTAAAAAAAGCATTAGCCAGCATCCATAGATCATTTTGAGGCTTAACCATAGCATTTCACTGGAGTCTTACAGCTGTCTAATATCAGTCTATTGTAGTGAGTGAAGTTAAGAGGCAGCAACTCTGTTCTATGTCTTGTCTTAGCACTGCTTTAAGTTCTCTTCGTTGTCTTCTTTCTCCCCCTCCTCCTCTTTTACCCCTTCTTTCAGTTTTTGAATATCTACAACATGTGAGTCATTGTCTTTTCACACTTGATATTTTCATTATTTCCTTTAAGCTAGTCAATTCTATGACCTGTTTTTCACTAAGTGAAACAAAATCTAAAAGGCATGGTGTGAAGTTCACAGACCTCACCTTTTTGACTTCAAAGTGAGGTTTTCCTCCCATAGCACAAATGAAGCTATATAACTGCTTCTTGAAAACAATGTCAATAAATTCATTCTTTGACCTATTCAGTTCCTTTTTGTTCTTTAGTATACTTTTTGAAAGCTAGTAACCTTTAGGAGGCTTTTTCTAATCTAAACAGGAATCCTCTGAATTTATATAGCAACACAGTACAATACAGTAAGCCACAAGTAGTTATTGAACACTGGAAATGTGACTAATGTGACTGAGAAAATACATTTTTATTGGTCAGAGCAATTTTATAGGTACTTCTTTCCTGTAAGGCTTTGTTGTTGTTGCTGTTGTTACCTCTTTACACCTCCTTTATATGTTTCAGCTAATTCATTGAAGTTAAGCACAATGTTTTATTTATTTCTGTATTTTTCATAGTGCTTAGGCATTCAAAACTATTTTAAATGATTGAGAAGCACATTCAAAGAGACTTAGTACCAAAGCTACATTTTAAATATATACTTAATTTATAGGGCAGGGATTTCACTAATGATCACCCAAAAACCAATATGGTTAGTTTATGAATATCGAAAACAAAGGAGTGTCCATGCATGCATAGTGTATATCTTGCAGGAATTCAGCCCTTAGGATTAACAGCTAAGTATACTTTAAGCATATTTTAATAATTATAGCAAGCCCTAGTTATTTACTGCAGCCTCAATTCTTATTAGGAGATTTTGATAGTTGTTTAAATTATTTGGATGGTAATAACCTACACTGAAGTCAGCTAACGTTGGCTTCTCTTCCCTAAATATGGAACTTCCTTCTTAAAATCCATTGATGAACCCAGCTAATATTGCCATTTGCTTTTTATGGTTTGAGAATATGTTTTAGAGTATAAGTAATTATGAAGGTATCAGTTAAAAATGATGAGTAATGAATATCTCTAGTCATTTCGAAAATTCTTGTGATCTTGTCTTGTGAATTCTTTAGTAACTAGAAAATCCTCTGTGATTTTAGCTTAAATATAAGGAGGACATTTTATCTTCATAATGGGTAATGATGTATTTTATTATAATGATATTTTATATAGATTTATACATCACACCTGAAAATATATTACTTTTTTGGTTCTTAATGACTTTTGGCTCTTTTTCTTAATTACTTTACTGTTAATATTAAAATGTTTATAGCTTGTAATTTATAAAAATTCGTAGCTTTTTTGGGGAAATTGTCATAAAATGCCACTTAAATTTGTGTGTGTGTGTGTGTGTGTGTGTGTGTATGTGTATGTATTCTGGCTGTCAGAATTTCTTATTTTCCACGTACGTTTGCAAATGAATTTCTGATTTACCATTCTGTCTCTGGGTCTAATTTAGAAAAAGAAGTAGTAAATTCTATGTTTAGTAGAAATTGAGGTAAATGCAGAGTACAACTATAGGATTTTTTTTATATATTAATTTTGAAGAGGAAAGCATCTGACTTAGAATGGCGAATTAAAAAATTATTATATTCTGTACAATGATGAACTATTCTAGCTTCAAGTACTTGGTAACTAAAATGTTTGCTCAGTAAACGTAAGAATTTTTCATTGACATATTCAGCATGGATTTGAGGTTTCAGAAGTGCTAGTTTCTAATCCTAACATCTAATGGTTCATTACCACCTCGTTTTAAAACAATAGTGATATCTCTCAAATGAAAGCATTATTTTGTCAGACTTTATTCCTGCATGGTTTACATTTGTTTTAGAAAGTCAGTCCACTTTAAAAATGAAAGTTTGGTACCAGTGAAAGTAGCTGAAAAGAATGTATTGCTGTTTGATAAGTCAAATAGAAGAGGAGTGTTAGAACAGATGAAAAACCTTCCAGGTAACCGCCTGGTAAGAGAAAGATGGAAAGATATAGCTTCTTTTCGGAAGAGATACTTATGAATCTAATCTGAGATGTATGTGGGAAAAAAATTTTTAAAAAGCTGTATTCTGTAAGCATAGTTGCTATGTTTGTCATTTAATAATGAAGAGAATAAGAAAATTCTCCCCGATACAACATTGACTTAATTGTCCTTTTATAATACTTCTTCAAAGTATGATCATTATGAAATGAAAATGTGAAAACACTTGGAGGAAATGAACCTCCATGGATTTGAGTAAAAATTTATTTTCCTTTTTATTTAGCATTTGCAAGTGTATATCTGATGTGCCATGCTGCCTCTAGCTGTGTGTCTCGCTGGCTTATTTCTGTTCTCATCCTCTCTGTCAACTTAGAAAAAAAATTAGTAAATTCTGTGTTTATTAGAAATACATACTTTCATGGTTTTGACAGCTGAGAAGTACTGTACTATGTAAATAAAGATATACCAACATAATGAACTTTTTAGCTTTATTAAATTATTTTTTAACTGTGCTTAAGAAAAATCTTATTGGTATTTAATCTGTATGAAGATCTGATACTTTAAATTTAACCTGTAAAAATCAACATTTTTTTGGTATAGTAGAAAAACGAACTGAACTGTCAGGTCATTCCAAGAGCGAAGAGGCAGAGGCAGCTGGTCCAGAGGAGAGGCTCTAGTTGGTGCATAAAAAATATATGTCAGCATTTTGACACTGCATTCTTTTGGGGTATCTGTTATCACTGAATAGGAAACTGTTTCAAATTGACAGGCAGACAGAATGTTGTGCTGAATGTGTAAATTGGAATTATCACATCTAGCAGTTCCCTTCACCAGGTGCTGGGTTGGAACTTGGTTCTCCACTAATCGAGAGAGTGCCAGGAATAGTTTTATTTGCTAATTATCCTTCACCTCTTCCAATCTAGTTTTTTTAGTAAACAGCTTGCCTGGGTGTTTTTAGGAATACCTAGCAGGACAATGTACGACTGCAGGTGCTTATGTGGCAAGAGGATGCCATACAGAACACTGAAAACACCTATATCCATCTGTGTGAAAAAGATGATTGCTTTCAAGGGTTTTACCCCCTAATGTCCTGAGAATGCTGCTTGTCAGTAGTTTGTTGGCCCAGAGATCCTGGTGACGGCAAAAAAGTGGAGGTTGGTGTTTTTAAGAAAACTGGAACATTTTATTAGGTTTTATCTTTGAATCTCTTTAAAAACTTTATGATTTGCAACCTATGTGAATAAGCAGTGAAATTTTCAAAGACTGTAAAAAATGAAAGCAAATAAAGTATTAATAAAGAAATATTAAAGATGATTTTTTTGTTTCTTCGAGCTTTGTGGTCTTACTGGAAAGATTTACTATAACATGATATAAGGTTAAGGTTTTTATTTTTCTGTCATTTTTTTCTAAGAAATTGTTTCATAATATACTATGATGTTTGAGAACAAAATTGAGAATTTTATGCTTTATAAATTTGTATCACAAGATGTTACTAAATACTGCTCAAATTAAAGCAGTATTTGAGCAGTATGCTCAAATTGAAGCATTTATAACTGTTACCTTTCTTGAAATTTAATAAGTTGGATCACAGAATTATCCTTTAATTCTGTTAATCATGTTTTCTTTTTTTGTCATAAATATATTTTTAAAAGAGTTTATGGCCTGCCTTTTGCCTATTCTATGGGCAGTGAATTTTCTTAATAAATTTTCCAATGTAGGTTGCATTTTCTGTTTCTGTTTTCTAATCATCTTTGCATTATGGCAAGATAAATGCCAAGTGCTCAAAATGAAGATTTTATGAAAATGTTTTATAGTTTTCCTTGGACTCTGAAAGTTGTCATGGCATTTCTACAGCCATTCACATTACAGGGATACTGCCGAACCACTGGATTTATCCTGTCAGCTTTGATTTAGGATTAGGCAGTGTAGTCATTTGTATTGACTTGGTCTCTGTTTTCTTTCACTGACATACCCTGTAGTGAAATTACATTTGTACGAGTATTTCATGGGAAAGACAGAAAGTATAATATACTCAAAGGCAGCAACTTTTGGTGTAACGTCCAGTGGTTCAAATTCTGACTCTCATCAGCTATGTGAACCTGTACAAGTTATTTAACTTGGGTTTTCTTGCTTATTATAAAATTGGGAAAATGCCTCTATTTTAGAACTGTTGATGCTTAGAAATGAAATGTTTAAACATTTATTAATCAGTGATTGTTGAACATTTGCCATGTGCTCAGACTATGCAGTGTGCTAGGTATGGGTATTATCTTAAAGGAACTTAACAATAATGGTGGTACCTTATGACACCTAAAGGGGAATCCAGAGAGAGCTGCATAGGTGGCATACTCAGCTGAAACTCAAACAGCAGAGATATCTGAATGAGCAAGAGGTGACCAGCTGAGAAAAGTTCTTCTGAGCTCCAGGAGAGTGTGCAAAAATATTGCCACTAAGAAATGGGGTGAATTGCAAATAGGTCAATGTGTGCCGAAGGTGAGGGGTGACAAAAGATAGCTCTGGATGAAGTTGGAGCCAGATGACTCATGTGGAAGAGTTAGAATTTGATCATGTAGGTGAGAGATAATCATTGAAAAATTTCAAAGGTGATTATATATTTTTATTCTGGAAGTATTTCTTTAGGCTGGATGGGGTTGACTATTGAAAGCGTTGAGAATATTGAACAAGTTCCTGTGGGACCAGGGAATTAACATAAACAAGTGAAGTAGACAGGATATAAAGAAATGATACAAAACTGGAAAGTGCATGCTTGTCTAAAGTAGGCAGAAGCCAGGCACAGTGGCTCGTGCCTGTAATCCCAGCACTTTGGGAGACTGAGGTGGGAGGATCACTTGAGGCCAGGAGTTAAAGATCAGCCTGGGTAACATAGATAAGACCTTGTGTCTACAGAAAATTTAAAAAATTAGCCAGGCATAGTGACATGCACCCATGGTCCCAGCTACTTAGGAGGCTAAGGTGGGAGGATCACTTGAGCCTAGTAGTTCAAGGTTGCAGTGAGCCATGATAGTGCCATTGCACTTCAGCCTGGGCCACAGAGCGAGGCCCTGTCTCAAAAAAACCAAAAAAACAAAACTAAACAAAATCAAGTCGGCAGGTGCTATTCAGCTTCAGGTGATTATTTTATCAGTATTTTGATACTTTTTCTTCCTCTTCTTTTTCTTTTTCTTTTTTTTACTTTTTAATATTTTTTCCTTGCAAGCAGGAAGTTATGATACATTTTCAATGCGAATATGTTGTCAATTGAGCTGATATTTTTCCCCAAGAAAAGTCGGACATTGGATTTGAATGTTACATCCCCATATTTTGAAATGTTGGCAGCTAATTCAAACAGACACTGAGGGGGCAAATGAAATATACCTGTGAGCTGAATTCATCCTGTGGTCTGCCCATTTGTGCCCTTTTTCTTAAAAAATAAGATTGTTGGAGTAATCCAAGCAAGAAAGAATGAGAGACTAGAAAAAATATTGAATGAGAGTAGATAAAAGGAATGAATTGATGAAATTTCCGAAGTCATATTCACAGTAGAAGTGAGGCAATTTGGCAGATCGCTGATGAGGGAAAGGGTGATTTATATAGTTTGTTCGTGGTAAGGGACAGAAGCTGATGTTTGGGAATAAAGTAAACTGGACTTTCTTGCAGGCATCCAGGGGAGGTCATATTGCCCAGCTGGTCCTTGTGGAGTTTGGAAGGTGGTGTGGAAACTGGTCATATATAGCACAGATGCATAATCTGAAGCAGCAGGTGCTTCTGGGACTCTGGTTACTTGCTTAGTTGTTTGGCTCATGGATTCCCTTTGTATCTACCTGCTTCTGCCTAATAGCAACTAGCTGTTCTTTCCCTCAACTCTTTTTATTTTTTCCCCCTTGCAGTTTTGTTTTAGGATATCTGGGGTACTTCACCCAGTCTTGTGCCACCCTGTCAGCTGCAGCTCTTTCTCTAGCTCTGGAATTGCTTCATGTTTCCCAGTTCAAATTCTTGAGAACAAGAGAAACGTATGGGCTTCTTCTTTTTGTATGAAGCCACAGCCTACATTGGTCTGAGGATCATGGACTGATTGCCCTTGAGTCAAAGAACCATGTCTTTTTCGATCAGCTGTTTTTGATTGCTGGTAGGGTCTCAACTGTCAGGCTGGCTTTGCCCCTTTAGCAGTGCCTATCAGCAGATCATTTGAGTTAGAATAAACTGAGCACCAGCAGAAATGGTGATTTATTAAATATATCTAGGCCTGGTGAGTGATGAATGTCAGGAGTCAAGGTGGATCAAGAATTCACCAAGATAAGAAATACAAGATAAATGGATTTGATGGCTAATTTGTGAGCTTAGTTTAATGAAGTTACTGCCATTAACAATATAATTAATACTAGTAATATGCCAAAACTTAGCCATGCTTATTTGTAGGGCATACTTAATTACAGAATTAAAAAAAAAATTAGGGCCTTAATATTCCATGATTTATAACAAGCATTTAATGTGAGGCTTGCTTTGATCATTAAATAATAAACATGTTTAATCATTAAATAATAAACATGAGTAAAGTTTGGGAAACTTTTGTTATAGATACATAGAAATAACTAGATTTTAATGTCTCTCTCATTTTGTACTTTTAATTTAAATCTAAAAACAATGACTGCACTTGTCAGTCCTTTACTGGATATTAATCACTGTAGTAGGTGCTTTTTATTCATTGTCCTGGATAATGTTTCCAACAGCTCTGTGAGGTTTATGTTGTTTTGTTACATTTTAGCCAAGGAAACTTATGCACAGTTAGGTGACTTAGGCAGGGTTAAATGAATAATGAAGTGATGAGATTGATTCATTCCCAGGTATGCCTGACACAGAATTCATGATGCTTTCAATTTGCATAATAATGGAAATCCATTTTTATTTTTAGATTTGGGATATTTCTAGATGTATATACTGTGGTATTTGTGGTTTAATCATGCATAATTTTAGCAACGCATATATATGTAAAAAGGAAATGACTTTAAAGGTTTATAAATGTATAAGCACTGTTCACACTTGAGCTAGGTCTACTGCAGACAGCCAATTGAGAAAGTGGAAGATGTTCCATTCAACATATGCTTTTGTCTTTGATGCCGGACATCTTACTTAACTCTCTATTATAATTGCGTTGACTAGATATTTTGGCATTGCGTAGTCACCTCAGTAGAAAAGCCTTTATCAGCCCACAGACGGTTCTTTTTGGTGGCAACTTTCACATATCAGCTTCTTCTCTCAAATCAGCATCCATTGACAGCTTCTGAATAGAAAGGATTTTGTTCTTGATCTATAGAGATGCAATTGAAAGATTATATTGTGATTTGAATATAACACTTCTTATTTTAAATTTCTCGGTTCTTGATACAAGACAATATTAAATAAATTATTGGATACATGAAGACATTTTTAAAAATCCATTTTTTGGCATTTTTGGAGAGAATATCATTGCCTTAATGATATTATTAATATAATCATCTTGGAATTTTTATCTTATTTATACAGCAATTAATCTTCTTTATCCTTACTACTATCAACCAAATCTTTCCTTTTTGTTAAATTGATATTTTTAGAATGGCCCTTGAAAATGTATGGGAATGTATTTTATCTCAAACGTGAAATTAAGATTTATGGTTAGTTGCGATTAGGGAAATAGGAAAAGTTAAAAATGACTACATTTGGACCAGTGGAGATAAGACTAGGAATCATAGAGGATAAGAGTTAAATATTATATAATCTCTAACACTCTGAGGTATAAGCAGTTAGTTCTGGCCACTAAAACTCAGTATTATTCTTTTGGGGATAATAGCAGTGTTGGTTTAGATTAAGGCTTCATACATAAAATTTGAAATTCTGTAAAAGGTACATCAAAATAAGGAAAGCCAGATCCAATAACACATAGGACACAGAATTAATAACTGAGCCTATAGTACTACTATTCCTTGATTTGATTTATTCATGAAGTCATTTGTTATTTCATTCAGCAAATGCTATGTTTTTGCAGTTTTTACTAAATGCAACTTTTTTGGTAGTTGGTGGTGCAAAGAACTGAAACTAAGGACAATGAATATCATTTTACCGTTCCTGTAAAATTCCTCTTAGGGCAAGAACAAAGGTGGTATAAAAATGTTTAGAACCAAGACTTAAGAGAATGTATTTCTTTCCTATTTTTGCTGTCTTCCTAAACATGACACATCCTTACCTCTTTAGATGTTCAGCTTCCACCGACTGCACAGGGTCAGTATTTGACTTGGTGTTATTTCTTAAAGTATCAGAATTGGGGTTGAGTACTTCCGTCAGGGACTGTGAAAATTTAGCACACTCTAAAAAATGATAGCAAGTATAAAGGTCCTGAAAAAAAATCATTTGCAAAATGTAAACATAAAAGACACCAAAATGTAGACATATTTACCATTTTTTCCCGGATGTAATATAAAGTGCGCCATTTGTAACTTAGAGTGCTTATTTCCTATTGGCTGTGGTTTATTTTCAGTCTACTATGGAGTTTTTATGTTATGGCATGTTAACATGCCATTTTATAGTCGTATGGCAGCTATTATTATTTATTTTTACTACATATTGGACAGTGTTGACTGAGTAAATGTAATTTTGATATATACCTCTATGAAATTAATTGTTTAGAATTTATTTAAGTAATTATGTTTGAACATTCAAATTATTTGATAACTAGAGAGATTAAGAAGATGCTACTATTAAAGATTGAAAATAATGGACAGTTTAAGATGGTAAAGGAAAATTTTGTCACTGAGTTTTTACCTTTTAATAATTTGAGCATCAGATTATTTTAAAACATTTGCCAATTCAGTTCTAACATGATTTTGTATACATGTATTTATTTGTATGAAAAGAAATAGTGTTGTTTAAATCGTGTCAATTCAGTGCTATTTTCTCTCTTATTGTGTAGTATTCTTTGAGTGTTGAATATTTGAATATTGTAGTTTGTTTTGTTCTTCTATATTAGAAATTCTCATGTAAGTAAAATGACCATAGAATAAAACCTTTTTTTTTTTTTTTTTTGAGACAGGGTCTTGCTCTGTGGCCCAGGCTGGTGTGCAGTGGCATGATTTCTGCCTACTGCAACCTCCACCTTCTGGGCTCAAGCAGTCCTCCCACCTCAGCCTCCTGAATAGCTGGGACTACATGTGTGCACCACCACGCTCGGCTAATTTTTGTATTTTTTTGTAGACACAGGGTCTTGCCATGTTTCCCAGGCTAGGCTCAAAATCCTGAGCTCAAGCAATCCACCCACCTTGGCCTCCCAAAGTGCTGGGATTACAGGCATGTGTCACCGTGCTTGGCCCTGAAATAAAATTTTTAATGTTATTTAATTAATAATCATTTCATGTCATTTAGACTTTAATTTTTTGTGAGGCTTTTTAAAATAAAAGTATTTTTAAGGACTTTATTAAATCCTAAGCAAATTCAGACATCATAGAAAATTGGAAAGAACATTAAAAATTATTAGAAATCCTTACTTCCAGAAACTAACATTTTCTTGGAATGTTTCACTGTTTTTTTTTTCCCCCATAAAAAACGGGCCAGGCGTGGTAGCTCACACCTGGAATTCCAGCATTTTGGAGGCCGAGGCGGGCGAATCACAAGGTCAGGAGTTCCAGACCAGCTTGGCCAACATAGTGAAACCCCGTCTGTACTAAAAATACAAAAAATTAGCTGGGCGTAATGGCAGGTGCTTGTAATCCCAGCTACTCAGGAGGCTGAGGCAGGAGAATCACTTGAACCTGGGAGGCAGAGGTTGCAGTGAGCCGAGATCATGCCTCTGTACTCCAGCCTGGCGACAGAGTGAGACTTCGTCTCAAAACAAAACAAAACAAAACAAAAAAACACTTGACTGGTATTCTATATTTTAAAGACTAAATAACAGGTAATTCCTTTGAATTATTTTTTAAAAAGACCTTTTATTTTTATTTTATTTATTAACTTCCTATTTTTGTAGAGACAGGGTTTCTCTATGTTGCCCAAGCTTGTTTTGAATTCCTGGCCTCTGGTGATCCTCCTGCCTTGACCTCCCAAAGTGCTGGGATTCTAAGTGTGAGCCACTGCACCTGGCCTCAGGTCTTTTTAAGTGTACATTAAAGTTTTAAATATGCACTATCACTAGCAAATTTTATAATCATATAATGTATGAGTTCAGTCACTTAGATCTCTGTTCATTGGAAAAATACCCCATGGTAACATGACACAAAAGGTACTTTGGGGAAGCGTAATTTCTAGGAATTCAAGATTTGGGATTTTGGATTCTCTGAGTCTACCTTTGGGTCTAATTAGTTACTTTCTCTGGTTCAAGCTCCCTTATCTTAAAAATTAAGAAATTATTTTAGAAGGGGGCCAATATTTATGCTGACTTTCAGCCGTGAAATAAAGTTAGTCTACTATAGGAGAATATTTGCTTCTAACTTCAAAATTTTCCTTGCCTTTAGTTTTCTTTTTATTCTTTATTGTTTTCATTTTATCTTATGAAACTACTTTCAGCATGTGATAGGTGATTGTTCTTAAGTATGCAGTTGTCCAATTGCATAACTTTGGCCTATTTTGATAATTTTTGTTACATGTCCTTATTAATTTAGGATATGTACATATTTCACTGACTTTTTTTTTTTTTTTTTTTGAGGTGGAGTTTTGCTCTTGTCGCCCAGGCTGGAGTGCAATGGCACAATCTCGGCTCACTGCAACCTCCACCTACCGGGTGGGTTCAAGCGATTCTCCTGCCTCAGCCTCCCAAGTAGCTGGGAATACAGGTGCCAGCCACCACGCTTGGCTAATTTCTGTATTTTTAGTAAAGACGGGGTTTCACCACATTGGCCAGGCTGGTTTCGAACTCCTGACCTCAGATGATCCACCCACCTTGGCTTCCCAAAGTGCTGGGATTACAGGCATGAGCCACTGCACCCAGCCTCACTGATATTTTAATTGGATGATAAAGTAGCAAAGTATTTTTATCATAGCTAGTTTTGCAAAGGTTTTAATGATTTCATAATATTAAGTTAATTTAAGAAATTCATCTAGCACTTTATAAGAGATGTCAGAATATCATGGCAGGTTCCATATGTTCCATATGTTTGACTAAAGGTGTTACCGTGCAGTGTTATACTAAGAGAAATTTATATTTTATTGATTATGTCGGTATCAATTATAAACTATCTTTTAACATTTAATGCTGTTCTTTATCAATAAACACATGGGCCATGCACAGTGGCTCATGCCTGTTTTCCCAGCCCTTCAGGAGGCTGAGGCAGGTGGATCACTTGAGGTCAAGAGTTTGAGACCAGCCTGGCCAACATGGTGAAACCCTGTTTTTACTAAAAATACAAAAACTAGCCAGTTGTGGTGGCGCTTGCCTGTTATCCCAGACTCGGGAGGCTGAGGCAGGAGAATTGAACCTGGGAGGTGGTGGCTGCAGTGAACTGAGATTGCACCACCACACTCCAGCCAGGGCAACAGAGCAAGACTCCATCTCAAAAGAAGAAAAAAAAAAAGAAACACATGAATTTGCTTGGTTTAGTCCTTAAACATTTTTCATTATGTGTTATTTTGTTGTAGAAAAATTTATAATTGTTTTTTGTTAATTACATCCGTCTTTTTTGTCATCGTAGAATGCGGCCGAAGATACTTTATAATAAAAGAAATATTACGTTTACGCTGGAATTTTGTTTTGCTTGCTGAAGTTAAAACAAGCAAAATTTGTAACTTAAGGTAATAGAAAATTAATATGGTAAAATGTCAGATTATAATGTGGACACTTAATATGTTAGTTATTAAGGAATTTAAAAAAGAGACTAAGATGGATGAGACAGAAAAAACTTCCTAAATTTCAAAAATAGATAATTTTAAAGAATAGATTAGACATATTGTTTTTACGTTATGGGTAAATTTCCCAGAAAAAGAAATTAAAAAAAGCACAACTGATTCATAATGAGCCAACCCCTTTTAGGGCATAGCTCTTGCTACCCTTTTAATTTGTGGCCTATAAATTTTAGCCCCTATCAACTCTGACAGTTACTAGGTAAGTACTCTTTTCATTTAGCCAATAGCTCTGTATTGATATCTAATATTAAGATAACAAATAGATCTTGATTCAAAGCTAGTCTTACATAGCCTTGTTATATCTTAATAAGAGCAGGTACCATGACTTTGTCACTATATATGAATGAATGAATGAATGACAGAAAAAATGAATTTCCCAGCAGATGACTATGTTAATAGAACATGAGTAAGCCATTTTTTTGTTGCTGGATTTGTATTTTATAAACTTTAGGGAAAGAAGAATAATATTTAGTTTTTTTGTAGTACTTTTACTCTTTTACCAAGCAAGTTTACTTACCACTTTCGCCTCTACCAGTGTCTCCCATGCACTGAAACACATCTGATACAGAGGAGATAATAACTGTTGGAGGAGTGAATAAGTGAATGATTCCTACCCCATTCACACTATTGTAAACAAGAAAAGCTTTTTCAAAACCAAAATGTGTTTTGAAAAAACAAATTCCCCATAAAACCAAATACATAAGCATAATACTGGTTTCTAAGTACTAAGTCAAGAAAAACGAACAAACACTGAAGGCTGAGAATCTGATTTTTGGCATCATGTTTATACTTTTTCAAGGGAATATTCTGTATAGACTTTTTAAAGACAAGGGTTTTTAAAAATTTTATGGGGGAGTCTAACAGTACAGTGAAGTTAGATGATTTGTTTGTGATTAATAGCCGGTGCTAGCTGGTGTCAGACATGAATTAGAAACCTGGTTGTTTGGTTCCCATGCTGCTGATCTTTGCAGGATTGGTTGCCTTCTCACTTTGGGCCCTGTCATATATGAATTGAGGGTGGGCAACAGACAGCTCAGGTTCTTCTTCATTACTGTCTTGCAAGCTTTTGAGGCACCCAAACCACAGCCATTGTTGGAACTTGGTTGCTTGGTTGTGGCATTTCTCTGTTGCCTCCTAAATACTGCATAATATTGCCCAAGGAATGTCAGGCTTTATGATGGTCCCAGAAAGGATCCTTTTTCAGAAACAGAAAAAAACTCTCTAAAATTATAGTTGGCAATCTCTTTGCTCCATTATCCTACACCCCTAACTTGAGGACTCTTTGCCCTAAATAGCAGTGGCTCCCTCCTGTGATTATTCTTAAGTTGCTGAGAGTGGGTTGTAGTGAGCTGATGAAAAGATGGCAGATGATGGGAAACCTTAGGATCTTGCTGCTATTTAAATTTGATTTAGTATAAAGTGAGATTTAAGTGTTTTATGGCTAATTAAGGGGTGAACTCAAGAAACCAGGTATCATATATTGAGTGCAAGCTACAGAATAAAAGAGCATGTTTTCTCACAAAGATACGTAGTTGATTTGTACATATTTAGCTGCAGAAAGAGATTAAAGTCAATACATCTGACCCAAACTTACTGAATTATGTGTCACCAGTTTTACAACACCCTAGATAGACTCTTGTAATTCCTTAGTACCAAGAGTTGAATTAATCTGAAGAGCAGTAGATACTTTCTTTTTCAGCAATTTTAAGTGTTTATTGGAACAACATTAAAAATAATTACAATTTTCTGATATTAAGTGGTAATCTATTGTGGAGGAAGAGCTAAAAATCCTAGAATTTAATTTTTCTTCACGGACACTAAAATTATGAAAACCACGTTAAAATTTTAGCATTTCAGGTATTTTAATTTTATACTTTATTATGGATATATTTAGCATAGATATGGGCCAACAATCTTATGGCAACAGTCATAACTGTTCTAGTAAGTTTCAATATATTTCATGGCTTAATTCTGTATATCCATCTATTATAAGAGACTCAGTGTGAGCCTCAGAATTGTCAAGCAAGAAGTTTTTTTTAAATGGGGAATTAAGTGCCAAGTCATGTGTCTGAAGTCAGCATATATATCAGTTGGCAAATACGTATATATTTAGTGAGGACCTATTTCTGATTTAGAAAAAAATTGATTGTAATTTCTACAACATTGAAACAGTGTCTAGAAGAATCCTTTCCCCACCCCCAAATAGCTGTTACTGACATGTCCAGAATATTGCACCTAAGAATGAATTGACCTATGACATATTAAGGATAAATTTTTTAAAAAATTAAGTGAATATTGCATTGTTTCTATTTAATTTGATAGCCTCATTTGTATCTGTTATATGAAAGTTTTAATCACCATAAATATATTTACAATGAAGTTGGAAAATGGAATTTCCCCACCTCCTTGGATTTGATTTTTCTGTTTTACTTTATTTCTAAAAGTTACGAAGCTGGGCATGGTGGCTCACACCTGTAATCCCAGCACTTTGGGAGGCTGAGGTGGGCGGATAACCGGAGATCAGAAGTTTGAGAAAAGCCTGGCCAACATGGCGAAACCCCATTTCTACTAAAAAACAAACAAAACAAAACAAACAAAAAACAAAAATTAGCTGGGTGTTGTGGTGGGTGCCTGTAATCCCAGCTACTTGGGAGGCTGAGGCAGGAGAATCCCTTGCGCCTGTGATGCAGAGGTTGCAGTGAGCCAAGATCGCACCACTACACTCTAGCTTGGGCAATAGAACAAGGCTGTATCTCAAAAGAAAAACCACCCCCAAAAAACAAAAAAAACCTTACGGCTTCCAGTATACCACTTTGTAGGTAGCAGATTGTCTGTGTATTTTGATGTCTCTGCCCTTTTTCTCTATTTACTATTTAAACAAACAGGCTTTACTCTTACAGAGACAAAGTTAGCAAAAGTACCCCATTGTTTTTCAGGTTTCTTCTACATTCCCAAAGCTGTAACCTTATTTTGTTTTTCTAAAATTTAATGTAGTTCTAACTGTTGACAAAGCTAGTTGTGACACTGGCCAACATTTTCTTTATTGAGAGTTGATGAATGACAGCCATGTCTGAAATCTCCAGTCAGACTCCTCCTGATATAAAGATAAATGTGAAATATTAGAACTGGAAGTATTTTAGCAGCTTTCACTACATCGAAGCTATTTTTTGTCACTTTTATTTGGGGATATGGAATGTTCACATAAATTCTATTTTAAAGATGTTTAAGTTTTTTAAAAATATCCTCTTCACTTACCACCATAGATGAGGAGCCTACCTATTCTAGAAAGAAAAATTGTCTCTAATTCTTAATTTATTATGTTTTCTCATGTGAGATTAGTAGTTTCATTACTAGTTTTGAGCCGATGGTACATTTCTCCTGAGAGATACCCAGGGAGTGAAGTGGACTTTGTTAGTAACCTTTGCTACTTGCCCTGCAGACAAGGAGAACTTAGGGAGACAATTCATCACCCTAAAGGGAAGCAGAGGAGAGGGCTGACATCACAATTGTCTATGAAATCTTGATCATTTTAAGCAGCATTGAAAATTTTGTTGGAAATGGTTTTATTAAAAATGTTCTGCATAATTGTGACATTTAAAGAGAAAACAGTTTGTATCTTCTAAGTTAAGAAAGGTAAAAGTGACAGCAGTTTTGAAGAAGAAGGAATTGAGCATTTTCTGTGTGATGAAAACTTTTTGTGCCAACAGTCATAAAATAGGGATCTTATTTTCTCCATTAAATAGATTAGAAAAAGGGAGCTAAAAATGTTTTGGTAACTTACTGCCAAGATCACATAACTGTTAAGTTAGAGCTGAGATTAAAATCGAACCTTCCTTTCTCAAGTCCATGGTTTACACTGTTAAGCCTTGATGCTCGTAGCAGAATAGGAAAGAAATAACATTTCATGCTCTTTTCTTCTTTCTAAAACATGTTACATTTTTTCTTGCCTCTGGCACTCATTCCTAGGCTTGTCATATCACTGACTTTTTCGCATCCTTTAGGCCTTGGTTCTAATTAATGTCAACCCCAGAGAGGCTTTTCATAGCCATTATATGGAAAGCACCTCCCAATTACATCATCCTATTTATTTTCTCCTTAACAGTCTTAGTACCTGTAAATACTTTATTTTTATGTCTCTCCCACTATAAACTCTATGTATAAAGGACAGGGACCTGTCATTTTCCTTTTTGTTCAAAGTTTTGTTTCATAGAATAGTACTTGGCATATATTAGTATAGTAGGCAGCTATTGGTTCAATGGATGAATACAACTTTTTATATATTCTGGCATCCTTTTAAGTAATAGAGACAAGTACTATTTCCTCAAAGAATGTTTAAAATAAATAATTAAAAATTTACCTTCAGTTTTAAATTTGAATTGTTACTGTGGCAGGCAAAAGTTATTTTAAAGAAATAAGTTATATATAAATTTCTCTGAAAATTATTGAAAATTCTTATTGAAATGGTGTTTTACTGAGATGACATTTGTAATTTTGTATCTTGCAAAATGCAAGATAATCTTTCATTATTCATATAGGATTCATTTCTGCAAGCATAGCTTAATGATTCAGTTATTAACTTCATTGTATATCTTACCCCAAAGAAACTAATCTCTGATATTTGGGATGTATGGGGTTTTTTTGGGGTGTGTGCATAAAATAGATACTCTCTGGATCTTGTCCATAACATGCATAGGAATCTTAGGTGACTTTTAACAAACATTAAGCAAGGGTGAGCTCAAAGCACAGAATTTAAAGTGGCAAGTAAGTGCTTCATTACTGGAATATAAGTTATCTGTGATTACAAATAAACTGTACAGAGTTATAAAAATTGCATTATGTTTCTAGACACAAGAATTTGAGATCTATGTTATTTAAAATAGTGGTTACTTTTAAAACTGGGTAGTATAAAAAATCCTTACTAATGTTCTTAGTCATCTTACTTGCTTTTGGGTAATAAATTACTTTTATGATTAGTGTTTGATTACTAAAATCTTAATGTTTTGAAATGTCTACTTTCCTAAAACTACAGCCAAAAAAGCCTGTATATAAAGTGCTTTGCTATACTGTTGAACAAGGTAGCATTGTTATTGAACCCCATGGGAAAAAAGGAGTGCTGTTTTGGGTGTCTATAAAAACGAACCAAACTTCTTCCCTGGAGTATTCTGACTGCTGTTGCTATGTGCTCATGGGCCTATGCCATGTGGCTCTTTTCAGATTTGTATCAGCAAGTCAGAAGTTAGGAGGCAGCTCTACTGATCCATGAGAGAAAAAACAATATTGAAGCTGATGAATGAGTTTTATATTTCTGTACTTGAAAATATTTAGTTAAATTACTGTGCAAAATAATGTCTGATTATCTGTAGGTTAATTCTTATCTACAAACATCAGATTTTTAAAAAGAAGATTGTGAACTACTTTTGTTTACATGGAATTGCTAATACTAATTACCTAAATGAAATAAATTTATAAAGGAAAACCAAATACTTCATTGCAAAGTCAAGAATAAGTAATATTCAAAAAAATTTTAATTCATAAGATATTCTGTAGTTGAGTGAATAATCAGGAGTTAACTTATCCATTTGTGAAGAACTTAGATTTTATTTCGTTTTCTGTTCTATTTTAGATTATTATCTCTTTATATCGTATGGTAACTCTACCTTACAGTGTTAGTTGTTCTTAAAAATTTGGAGCTTATAGACTCTTTGGAGAATCTGACAAAAGCTGGGCAACCCTCCCAGATAAATATGTAGGCCAATATGGGCACAAATAATTATGCCATTGTAATCCACTTAATAAAAAAGCTCCACTTTGGGCAAGGCTGTGTGTGTGTGGTGTGTGTGTGTGTGTGTGTGTGTGTGTGTGTGTGATAAAAATTATTTTCCTTTTACATTGAAGAGGTTTTATTGTTAAAATCCGTGCCACTGCTATGTGCTAGGCATTGCAGTAGGCAGTGCTAATACTGTTGAAACAAAACTACTCAAAGTTCTTGCCTCCATGGAACTTACACTTGGTTAAGATGTTGCGGAGACATGCATTGACTAAATTACAAATAGGGTATGTTCTACAAAGGTGGTTGCTTTGTGTGGTGGCTACTTTCATTTTTGTCCTCCTGTTTTTCCATTTATTCCCCATAGCTTAGCAAAGTGAACTTTGTGAAATATAAATTGGATCACTTTTCCTATCAAAAACTCTCAGTGGCCTCAGTAGGCACACAACTCTAAGCAGTTTGGCCCTGGATCCTCTCTCCAGCTTGCCATGGAGCTACCCTTCGGTAAGCTCTCCTGGGTTCAGCCATACTGATCTTATTTTAGTTCCTTTAAACGTTTCAGTGTCTTTATACATCTATAGTTTCTTTGCCTAGGATCGTTGTCTCCTCCTCTTCTTATGATAACTTCTTTTTTAGAACGACATGTAATTTTTCCTATCTCAGAGAAGCTACCTGCCCAATTAAAACACCCTTCTCCCCTACAACATTCATACCTACAAAACTCTGTTAACTTTGCTTCTTCTTTAGCACTTATTACAAACATGAACCTGTTTATCTATTTTACATCTTTTTTGGGGGGAAAGGTCCCTGTTATTTGCACTAGAATGTTGGCTCTATCTGGGCAGGAATACTGTTTTTGTTTTACTCAGCCACTCACAGGTAGGATACTGTCCGTATTTAGTAACCAAAGATGCATTGGAATGTGTAATGTGGATATTCATACTGCATATAAAGTATATGCAGGGGATTTGAAAGGATGTTGTGAGAGCAGTAGAATAAATGATCAATATGTGGATTATCTTGCTACAGTAGAGATGGTGTAAAGAAAATAGTTTAGAGATGAAACATTGAAATCAGTCAGACTTGGAGATGGGAGAAGTGATGTCAAGGATTGCTTACTCTTCGGTTTCTGGTTTGTGCAACCTGGATGAATGTTGGTGTTGTTGACTGAGATAGAAGAGGACCAAATTATTGTTAAGATATACTTATAAATCACTTGGGTCCTTTTCGAGGTCTTTTTTTTCTTTCCTTTTCACCTTCGAAGTTTCTTTTTAGTTATTTTCAAAGACTGTCGAGAATATAAAAATTTAGACCTATTACCTGATCAAAGTTCTGATTTTAAAAAACACGCTTAAAAAAAGAGACTGGAAGGCCCTTGCTACGTTACTTTAAACTACAGTATAAAGATACACAGATCAGTTTATTTTCTTAATGGAGGCTGTAATCTTGCTGTTCCTTTCTTCAGGAAATCCACTTAATATTGGCCACCTGTTAGTATTAGATCACCATGTATAATGACTTCCAGCCATTGTAAACATAACTAAGTAGACACATAAAAACATCATGATAGGAAAGTACTAATATATGTGTATAGTTTGAATACTTTAGTCTCTTCACAGTTTATAAATAATTACAGTTTCTCACTGTTCTGAAAATGAAAGGTGAATGTCAGTCACATTGATCATCAAAACTGTTGATTAAATGTATGTAAAAAAAAAATATAATTTGTGACTCAGAATTGAGTAATATACATTATATGTTCAGATGCATACTTTATTTAGGTAGACGTGTTAAGTTTTTTTTAATTAAAATTTTTTAGATTTAAGTTGAGTCTTCAATGCGGCCAAGTGTAATTTTGAATTCCTTTGTATTCACTTAAGTATTCAGATCTCTTTATGAGAATTTGTTAGCTATTTGATCTACATTGTAAAATATGTTTAATGGCTGTGCATCTTAAACAGTAGTGCTATATATCATGTCAAAATTTAAAAAGTAGGAAATGCACATTTTCCTTACAAAACAACAATAACAAAATAACACTTAAAGACTTAGCTTGTTACTGCCAATTATTCGGGTTAAGTTTGTACATATTAGCGTATGTATCTGCAGATAAAACTTACACATTTTCATGAGAGTTTTTACAAAAGGAGAATAAAGTGTCATTATTTTATTATAATTTTTTGATAATCTAACTTTTGTTGAAATAGATGATTTGCAAACAAAACACCTTTTATTTACTCCTAATTACATAAATTGAAATACCTGATTCTCTAAATTTTATTTCCCACATCTACAGTCCCGACACCCAGAACGACCAGTGATCCTCCTCCGTTCATACATTTAAATGTTCTAAAATCAAAACTAAATATTCCTGTTTATTCTTTCTTGGAGCATTTTGATACATGGGAAAAAAATATGAAACTTAATAAGGTCACACTTGAAATTGCAAGGATCAATTTTAAAATAAAACCAAGGTAGATATGGAAACTTTTAGTCAGTTTCACATTAAAACTTCACATTTTGAGTAATACCCATAGTGATAATCTAATTCTGACATAGTTGAAAATGATGGGCCTAGGAAGTTATTTTCAAAATACAGGAATATACACTACATTCTAAGTTGTCAGAGCTTAAAATGAAATTATTTTTTGCAGACAAAAAGTATTATGAAACTACCAAGCTTTTGTTTTTTGTTGGCACTAATAGTGTTGAAATAAAATGAATTTTACCTGTATTTTATTCATTTATGTGTTAGCATAGTTAAAACAACCAAAAACATATTTATTTTTCATGGTTCTCTATTTTTCTGTTCATGAAAATTTTAGTGTTTATAGTGGTTGGTATTATTTGTATAAAACTACTTTTTGAAAACTTTGTACTCTTTACCTAAAGCATTTGTAGATGTTAATCTTTCCTTTTTTTTTTTGAAGATTTTTTTTTTCTTTTTTTATTATTATACTTTAAGTTCTAGGGTACATGTGCACAATGTGCAGGTTTGTTACATATGTATACATGTGCCATGTTGGTGTGCTGCACCCATTACCTCGTCATTTACATTAGGTATGTCTCCTAATGCTATCCCTCCCCCCTCCCCCCACCCCCAACAGGCCCTGTTGTGTGATGTTCCCCATCCTGTGTCCAAGTGTTCTCACTGTTCAGTTCCCATCTATGAGTGAGAACATGCGGTGTTTGGTTTTCTGTCCTTGTGACAGTTTGCTGAGAATGATGGTTTCCAGCTTCGTCCATGTCCCTACAAAGGACATGAACTCATCCTTTTTTATGGCTGCATAGTATTCCATGGTGTATATGTGCCACATTTTCTTAATCCAGTCTATCATTGATGGACATTTGGGTTGGCTCCAAGTCTTTGCTGTAGTGAATAGTGCTGCAATAAACATATGTATGCATGTGTCTTTATAGCAGCATGATTTATAATCCTTTGGGTGTATACCCAGTAATGGGATAGCGGGGTCAAATGGTATTTCTAGTTCTAGATCCTTGAGGAATCGCCACACTGTCTTCCACAATGGTTGAACTAGTTTACAGTCCCACCAGCAGTGTAAAAGTGATCCTATTTCTCCACATCCTCTCCAGCACCTGTTGTTTCCTGACTTTATAATGATCGCCATTCTAAGTGGTATGAGATGATATCTCATTGTGGTTTTGATTTGCATTTCTCTGATGACCGATGATGATGAGCATTTTTTCATGTGTCTGTTGGCTGCATAAATGTCTTCTTTTGAGAAGTGTCTGTTCATATCCTTTGCCCACTTTTTGATGGGGTTGTTTGATTTTTTCTTGTAAATTTAAGTTCTTTGTAGATTCTGGATATTAGTCCTTTGTCAGATGGGTAGATTGCAAAAATTTTCTCCCATTCTGTAGGTTGCCTGTTCACTCTGATGGTAGTTTCTTTTGCAGTGCAGAAGCTCTTTAGTTTAATTAGATCCCATTTGTCAATTTTGGCTTTTTTTGCTATTGCTTTTGGTGTTTTAGACATGAAGTCCTTGCCCATGCCTATGTCCTGAATGGTAATGCCTAGGTTTTCTTCTAGGGTTTTTATGGTTTTAGGTCTGACATTTAAGTCTTTAATCCATCTTGAATTAATTTTTGTATAAGGTGTAAGGAAAGGGATCCAGTTTCAGCTTTCTACATATGGCTAGCCAGTTTTCCCAGCACCATTTATTAAATAGGGAATCTTTTCTCCATTTCTTGTTTTTGTCAGGTTTGTCAAAGATCAGATGGTTGTAGATGTGTGGTATTATTTCTGAGGGCTCTGTTCTGTTCCATTGGTCTATATCTGTTTTGGTACCAGTACCATGCTGTTTTGGTAACTGTAGCCTTGTAGTGTGGTTTGAAGTCAGGTAGCGTGATGCCTCCAGCTTTGTTCTTTTGGCTTAGGATTGAAGACACTGTTTTTATTGTCTAGTCAAATGGTAAACATAAGTGACTACATTATTGCTGGAAGATGAAAAATAAAACTATACTTTACAGTTCACATATTTCAACAGGTGATACCTCATTTCTCATTGATTTTAGGTATTGTCACTAGACAAATTAGTCTCTCTGATAACCAGAGAGAGATTAATCAAGTGTTGGTGCTTACTGGACTTTTGTGTTTCAGTTTGGCTGTTGTAATACTCACATGTCAGACTAAGTAGAAGGAGGCATATGCCCTTGGAAATTATTTTAATTATTTTAGATCATTTTTTCTAAAAAGTCATTGCCAAGAGAGGACACTTAGCTATACATATCTACATGGATATTTTTCTGGATTTTTAAGGACTAATACATAAACAATATAATCATGATTTTCCTATTGTGATGGTGTTAATGCCTGTTAGTGTTCATCAGTATAAAGGAAAGCTAAAAAGTTTGTTGTGTGCAAAAATAAGTAAAGTTAAATATGAATATCAGAAGCACTTACAATTTCTTACTGGCTTATTTTTTTCAGCTATATCAGCTTAAATAATGCTTAACTCTCTGAAGAACATGGATTAAAATGAGCAAATTTATAGTATGAAATCAGTATATAGAATGTAGTTTAAAATGAAAATGAAGTTAAAGCTCACATTTGTTTTTAATTCAGGCTCTTGACATGTAAAGGCATTTTAAGCCACCTACCTATTTCCAAGATGGTATAGACCACCTGCTGTTAACATGCTTTAAGGAAAATGGAGAGATGTAAAAGAGTTTTGGTGATTTCTCTGCTTTGAGTATAAATGAAACTGAAAATCTTCTGTCCTGTACTCTTAATAGTGAACTATTAGAGTGTTTAAATCTTTGTGTGAAAGTGAAGACTGTCATAAAGGATTATCATTAGCCTCTTTTTATTTTTTTGCTATGTGAGTACTTGTTAGCACTGGATAATCTGAATATAGTTTAGTTACAATACTTATTTCTGTATGTCTCTAAATTTGGTATTTTGTAAATGTGCTTTGACAGTAAAGAGGTAATTCTGATTGAAATGTAAAAAAACCATTTTACTTGAACATTATAAATGATAGATCAGAGTGTATGGGTAAGAATTACAGAAAATGGAGTAGCCTTTACAAGGTATATAGCATCAACCCAGCTAAGGTAATCAGAACAGTTTTAGAATTAGAATTCCTTCCACATGAGACAAGAACTGGTAAAATTTGCTGATCATGTTAGATAGCAGGAGGCTGGAAATTATTTGAAAACTTGGATAGTATATTCTATGAATATTATCATAATCTTTGAATAGAGAATGAGGTCAATTAAGGTGTAATCACTTGATTCTTAGTCCCACCCTGCATATGGAAATATCTAATTCTTACCAACAAACACATCCAAAGTGCCAAAGTTGCTGAAAATAATTTGATTTATTTTAGTTAAGCATTAATAAAGTATTGAAATTTACTATTGACTCATATTCCTTCTGATGGTTGAAAGATGAAAAATGTACAAAGGTCTCTAATTATATATGTAGGTAAAAAAGATGGAGTGTGATAAATATTTGTCAGTAAGTATTTAACTCCAGATTTCTATGTAATGTTTAGGGAGTTTTATCCTAAAAATGTGTAAAGAGTTTCTTAGATCTTTTCCCACTCATAAACTTTCAAAATCACAAAATCATGATTTGTTTTGGTTGGGTAGCTACTCCAACATTCTTTCTTCACATTCTTCCGTGGCATTGAAAACTTGCCATTTCAGTCTTCATGGCTCCCTTTGGAAACAACTTAATTATGTGAAATTGTCATGTAGCTTTAAGCCCTTCTGAAGATCATAGGTCAAGCTGAAAATTAAAGGGGACCCTTGCTTTATAGTGTCAGTTGTACCTTTTGGAACCTTGGCAGAATATTGATTAAACATTTTACCAATAAGTTTCAGATTGATTTACATATTGTGTAAAATTTATCAAAAGTAACAGTCAACATCTGATGGAATTATGAAGTTGATGGGATTATGAAGGTAACTAGAGGTACCTGCCTCTTTTCCTCTTAATGAAATTAGTCATAAATTAAATTGTTACTGAAACTTAAAACCAAGATAAAGCTGAAAGTGTATCCTTGAGTTTTTCTGAAATGTTTCTCCACTTGCTTTCTTCCTGATCTGAGTTTTCTTTCTTTCTGTCTGTCTTGTCTTGTCTTGTTTGTCTTGTCTTGTCTTGTCTTGTCTTGTCCTGTCCTGTCCTGTCCTGTCCTGTCCTGTCCTGTCATGTCTTGCCTCTTCGCTTCTCTTCTCTTCTCTTTTTCTTTTTTTTTCTGAGATGGAGTCTTGCTCTGTACCCCAGGCTAGAGTACAGTGGCACCATCTCAGCTTACTGCAACCTCTGCCTCCTGGGTTCAAGTGATTCTCCTGCTTCAGCCTCTCTAGTAGCTGTGATTATAGGCACACACCACTGTGCCCGGCTAATTTTTGCATTTTTATTAGAGATTGGGGTCTCACCACATTGGCCAGGCTGGTCTCAAACTTCTGGTCTTAGGTGATCCACCCACCTCAGCCTCCCAATGTGCTGGGATTACTGGTATGAGCCATCGAACCTGACCTTCTTTTTTAAGTTTTAATTTGCTTGTGCTGCCAGAGGAAAAATGGCTGGATTGCCTGTGTTTTAAACTCTTAACTTCTATAGGCTGCACACTCTTTCTCCCCAAAATCCCTGCAGCAAGTGACCTTGTCAAACAAAAGTGTGGAATAATGGGAGGCAGCCCAGTGATGGTGGGTCGTTTATAAGTAGCTGTTTGCTACTGTCAGAACAAAGGCAAATCAGAGTTGCATTAAAGGGATATGACAGAGTGAACAACTGCTGGCCCACTTCCCTAATAATACTTGTCTTCTAGTGTTGGATTGAAAACTGAGTGGCTGGAGTAGTTATTCGTATGGGTTTGGGATGAAAAATATATAGGAAAATAAAGATCTATTTCTGTCATTTAACAAAATACAGAATTTAGGAAGCAAAATTTGATTAAAGCAGCTTTATAATGCTTTTGAGTGACAGAAACATTATGAGTATGTTATGTTCTATTACATTGTTAATAGCATTGTTCATTGTTATATAGGATTTTTAACTGTGATATATTTGAATCTGTTTAATATTGCACCATATTGTGACCAGATTCTTGATGTACTTGTGTAAATTTGGAACAACAATTAAATCTTACTCTTTAAAATACTAGTTAAGTGTAGCACTCTTCTTACATGTCCATAATGGAAAAACACTTGCCTTTTATTTGTAGCTTGATATGTAGTCTGTCCTTTTGTTATTGTTTTTGGAGGGGGCTTAGGGTTTATGTGTGACTTAGGTGCTGCTGTGAAATGGAGAGCATCACCTATATCTGGCATTTGCATTTTTGTAATATTGTTTTCAAAATGTTCCAGAGAGGTACATTTTCTTCCACCCCGTCTCTCTAATGCACAGTTAACAGTATGTCCTTCACTTGAACTTTCTCCCTTGTAAATCAATTATGCATTTGCTATAGTAGTTCAGCTTTTTAAAGTGCATAAGGAGAATACTGTATAAAAAGTGCTTGTAAAACAAGTCTTTTTCTAAGAGTCTAGACCTTGAGAATTATGTTTTTGTTTTTCAATAAATGGTTAAGGTATTGTAAAAAGTTGGACATTTTACCAGAGTTACCATATTTGAGCTAATTTTTAGAATATTTTTTAAAGAGTTAAGTTATAGTGCTTTCCACGCAAGACTTTATATGAAATAAATACATTAAGAATGTAGAGTTTTTGATGCCTTGTCAAAAGTGGAATTAAGGTTGGTTTTATTATATGCTTTGAATGTGTTTCTGAAATATTTTTTGAAGCGGATACTTGTAAGTTAAATACCTTTTATCATTTATTTTTATCATAATTTTATATATACTCTGTCAGGGAATAATATTTAAGAATCCCAACATTTGTTTTTATGGTATATCTTTACATTGTAATCTGTAGTATTTTAATTTCCTATAAACCTCTTAATAATACTAGACAATATGTGACCTTTTACACTCATTCATATGTGCTATAAAATTACTTTTTCCTTTGATTCTATTAAATCCTTTCAGACCACTAGAGAAATCCCTGATTTGTACTTAACAGAGGTTTTCATGTATTAACAAGTAGAGTTACCTGGCTATCAATAAGTACTTGTTTAACTAGAGTGACTAAGTTAAAGACTTGTAGAAGTTAGGACTTTCTGAAGCTAATAATCCAACACCCTAATTTGTGACTCGAGGGATCAGATGCACAGTAGTTCAAGACTTGATGTTTTTGTTCAGGGTAAGGTAGTAATTTAGTGACAGAATCCAGATAACTCAAATCCTCAGACTAGAGAAAAATTATTAAGATTTCTTGACATTTATTGTTATTCCCTACCTTTAGCTTTTACACAGCTAAATCTACTTGTGGAAGTTCAGCTTCAAAAAGTTTTAGCCATAGTTTCAAAGCTGTTGACTGTGGTTGAGGTTTATTAACAACCTTGGTTTTCTAATGTAGTGGAATTCAAAGTAGATCAAATTCCTTCCCTGAGCCAGGATTCTCTGAGTGCTCTTCTTAACCACTCCTGCCCAACCGCTCATTCTACAATATTGAGCCTTAACTCCTGTTCCTGTCTCCTGGCCATCCTTTTTAATAGTTTTGTATTAAATTGTCCATGATCAACAACATTTTGTTTTAATAGATATTCTCACTTCAAGGTGGCATAAAATAGTATATATTTCTCAGGATTGACTTTCCCAATTAAGAGTATTTGCCTTCATCTCTGTGCATTAAAATTTATTGCTGCAATTGACATGACTAAGGTGGCATAACAGTGCTGTGAGCATAATCTAGAGCTAGTCTGAATAAGTCTGAATCATAGCTCTTCTGTTCATGACCTTGGGCCACTTACCCTTTCTGTGCTTTGTTTTACATATCTTTAAAATGAGGATTAAAATATTACTATTAGGATTAAAGTAATTATAATATTATTCATAAAGTACTGAGAATCTTGCCTGATATATATAGTAAGATGCTACATCAGTGTTAAATCATAGAAGGAGCCAGTAAATTGTTTCAGTATTTTAATGTGTGTACTTGAGGTTCTGGAGATATTCCAAGAACAACACACATTCCTAGTTTGACCTGAATGAACCAGGAATATTTAAATACATAGCATTTATTTTTAGAGCCACATTTTACTGAAACTAAACCTAGGAACAATACGTGGCTTTTTTTGGGGAGGGGGGAGGTTGTTGTTTGCTTTAAGAACCTTGCTTTGTTAAAAAAAAAGCCTAACTTGCCTTTTTGGGAAGGCAAGTTAGACGTAGACCTTAAAAGAAATCTAGCTACTGCCATTTATAGGTGGTTATATGGATACCTTACCTTTAGAAGTTATTGAGTGTGACTTATCTGCTTAATAGCGATTAAATCCGTTTAAAATGTTTACCAGGTGTTAATCATAAGTCAAGGTTGACATAGCCAGTTAAATCTTATTTGAAAGAAAGAAAAATCTCTGTAAATCATGTTTACAGATTTTTTAAAAACTGGCTGGCAATGTTTATTATAAAAATCCATAATTTTCCATTTGTTTGCTATATTAGAATACTATGCAGTTGTAATGAATAAACATTTATAGTTTCTGCTCCTAAAAATTGGACTACAGTTTCGTGAGTTTAGTCTCATCTGGTAAGCTTTCCAAGAGATTCAGGGAAGCCATAGCTTTCCAAGTATGCAAATCTCTTACATTCAAAGCACTTCCCTCAGGCACAAGAAGACTATTTCAGTGGCATGCTTTGCTCTTTTCCCTTAACATATCTAACATGAGGAACATAGATAGGGGACAGCCTATCTATGTTTGAATAGATGTTGAAGAAATTATATGAGAAGAATTGATAGAAAGTTTTATTTTTAATTGTTTGCTTTGTAATATATTTATTTGGTGACTGTAAAAAGTAGATTTCAGAAGATTTATTTATACTATCAATGCATGTTTTAAAATTATTCGTTTGAGTTGTAAATAATTAATGAAAAAGGCATTTTATGTGGCACTGAATCAACCTGTTAGTTTCAGTTGTTCACCCTGGATTTCTTTCATTTAATCGTCTTCTTCTTACTGCAAAGGAGGACATTTATTCATTACTTTGCCCAAATAATACTAACACACTAGCAGATGGTCACTTTCCAACTGGTTTGTCTTCAGAAAAGAAATTAAAATATTATAGTGCCAGAGAGAGATGTTGTAATGTGTCCCTTTCAAATTAACAGGTCATTCTTTTCAACTATTTTGTAACTGTAAAATAGCTCAATGTCACATAAAAGGCTAAAAGCTAGAGTAAATGGTGTCATGGGAAACATGAAATAAACACAGTGTAATGGTTTATAGTCTTGTCTTGAACACACTAAGAATATTTCTTTTCTAAAAAGACACAAATTATATGCTACGGTAGTATTTTGGTTTTACTGGATTCTAGTTTAATTAGTTCATATCAAAAGTTAGCACTTGTTTTAAAACGTGTATACATTCTGAAAGAAGATACTTCCCCCAAAACATTTAAAAATACCTTGAATATATTCTTAAACAAATATGTTAGCCTAGCAAACAATGAAATGAAAACCAAATATGAAAATAATGTATCTTCTTCCTTTACCCCTTCAATGAATGATCTGTAACTCTGATAAAAAGATTAGTTTAGAGATTATTGAATTATTTTAATACTAGGACCAGACTGAAAGTAACATTGTGCATTTAGAAATGCAACATATAAATGAGTAGAATTGGAGCCCCACATGATTGGGAAATAAGCTGGAGAAACTGAAGTATGCTTAAAACACAGAGTAATTAGCGAGCAAGCTCAGGAAAAAAAAAATCTCAGAATACTTAGAAGTAGTGTTTGAGGAACTAGAATCATCACAGTTTAAATTATTTGTTTTGACCTTTCTCTGCCACTGAATTGCTGTGTATCTTTGGGCAGTCACTTAGATCATTTCCTTGACTAGAACAGTAGCAAGTTGGCTTAGACAACTCTTAAGCCCTTTTTTTAAAGTGTTATAGCTATTTGGTTGGTGATGAATTACTTAACCCAGAATTTAAAAAAAAAAAAAACAACTTAAAATGCATTTGCCTAAGTGAGCCAGGTAGATTTATAATGAGAAAGAAAGAAGTTTTTATAATATTATTTATTCTTCTTCTGAAAAAAATCAAGTGATAATAGAAACCCAAATACAAAATAACTGAATTCGATTTGCATTCCTCCTAATTACTAGCACTGTGAACAAAAACAGGTCGTTTAAATATGTTGTATGGGCTTGGTGCAGTGGCTCACACCTGTAATCCTAGCACTTTGGGAGGCCGAGGCGGGCTGATCACTTGAGGCCAGGAGTCCTGAGGCCAGGAGTTTGAGACCAGCCTGGCCAATGTGGTGAAACCCTGTCTCTATTAAAATTACAAAAATTAGCCGGGCTTGTTGGCACGCACCTGTAATCCCTGCTACTCAGGTGGCTGAGGCATGAGAATCACTTGAATCCTGGAGGTGGAGGTTGCAGTGAGCCAAGATCTTGTCACTGTGCTCCAATCTAGGCGATAGAGTGAGACATTGTATCTAAATAAATAAATAAATAAGTTGTATTTTGGATCCTCAATAAATAAGTTGTATTTTGGATCCTCATCCGAACAATGGAAATTATAATTTTTCTGGTTATCTCACTGTGTCTAAAGCGATGTCCTACTGTGTTGCCTTTTTCAAAGAGTGATCATTTGACTATTCCTATAAGAGCCCTTATTGGAATGCTTTCTAGCATATTATTTGCCTCAGATACTCCATCTGTGTGGGGAGTTCTTTCTCAAATAGTTGGACACTTTCTGTCTTTTTAAGGGTAAAATATATGAGACAGCCTTTTCTAATTTGTACAGAGATGAAAAATTAAGTCAGCCTTAAGTTCTTTCTTAACTGAGAGTTTTTCTTAGAAAGTAATTTTAAGATATTGATGCAGGTTATTTTCCTCCTTAGCTTAACAAGGTTCAGGTTCTTGTCTCAGTACCAGGAAGAAGTAGGCATGCGGACACTTGAAGAGTGAGTGGTGTAGATTTTATTAAGCGAAAGGAAAGCTCTCAGCAAAGAGAGGGGTCCTGAAACCAGGTTGCCGGGTTCTCCCTTTACAGTTGAATTCGAGGGCTTCTATATCTGCTTGATGGGGCTGGGTTTTCTATTTGTATAAGGCATGAATTTCTTCTCCCTCCCACCGCCCCCCGCCCCATTCCGTCCAGTGCACACGCGGGCCCTTAGTCTGAGCCATTCCACATTGATTTATTTCCCTTACTGTGCATGTGTTAAGGGACAGAATTTTTCACCACGGGCATGTTTAGGCAAGCCCCCTGTGCACAATGACATTGGTGGGTTGGATGTTGTCCTGGGACCCTTCCCTATCTGCCTAGGCATTTGGCTGTCTCCTGCCTCTATCAATATCTTTTTGTCCTTCCCTCTCAAATCCCTACTTTAACCAGCGAAGTGGAATATTTGTCTTAAACATTGTGGTGTTATTACTCATCCCACCCCATTTCTTCCTATATTTGTTTGAAATGCCAGTATACTCATATTGCATAATATAGGATAAACAGGTTTATATGTGGAAGTGTGAAATTATATATTGTTATGAATGGTAGGGGAATTGGTAGATCTGGGACTCAAAATGATTGCTAGAACTTTATATATATATATTTTTGGTAAGGCATTAATTCACTGAGTACTTCAAATATTTTATTTTATTTTTGAGACGGAGTCTTGCTCTGTCACCCAGGCTGGAGTGCAGTGGCGCGATCTTGGCTCACTGCAAGCTCCACCTCCCGGGCTCACGCCATTCTCCTGCCTCAGCCTCCCGAGTAGCTGAGACTACAGGAGCCCGCCGCCACGCCCGGCTAATTTTTTGTAGTTTTTAGTAGAAACGGGGTTTCACCATGTTAGCCAGGATGGTCTCGATCTCCTGACCTCGTGATCCACCAGCCTCGGCATCCCAAAGTGCTGGGATTACAGGCGTGAGCCACCAAGCCTGGTCGTACTTCAAATATTAGTCCCATGTTCATGTTTGAAATTGTTTAATCAAAAGTTGTTACAAATAGTACTGAAAAAGGAAAGAAACCTGCCCTTGTGATTGTTCTTGCTCATGGTTATCCTCTCTGTTCTGTCTGTTCATCCTGCCAGGGTAAGCTGAGATCTCCCTTCCTCCATAATGTATTTTACAGCTCCAGTTCTCATTAGTCTTTACTCTGAGTTCCTACACCGCTTACAGTATGCACCACATAATTGAGTATTTACTTATATATCCTTCCGTGTATGGATTGGTGATGTTTCATCTGTTTCTTTGCTTCCCCTGTAGACCTCAGACTATACAAGGTGAAGACAATATTTTGTTTAATCTTTCCCTAAATGTTCCTAAGAATGTGTTAGAGCACCTAAGTGGTGCTCAGTGAATACTAGATTGATTTGTTTTTTTCCTTTTCTCCATTTCCTTTCACTGAGTGTGAAAATTGCTAGAAATCACACACCATCCCCCCTTTTTTTCCTGAGTCTATCTTTTTAATGGGCCTCTCTTCTTTCCTGGTATGCCAAGATAGATGTACTACAAAAGTCTGTATATAGAATTTGTACAATTTGTTTCTTGATTTTAAGTATATGAAGAAAAACGTGGACATAGAGAAATGATGATTCATAATATGTTCTAATTAGAAATGTGAAAGTTGGTTAAACATTAAAAAATCAGCTTGGTGTTACAGATGTGTTTTTTTTCCCTTTCTTAATTGTTTGAAGTTTGCAGAATTTACTGTTTTCTACCGTAACTAAGAGATATGCTTTCTGGCAGACCTATTGAAGAATTTGGTTTATGCCAAATATACTACTAATAATTTAAATGTCCCACATAGTTAGGATCTTTTGGTATTCATCAGAGTAAAAATTAATTTTATCTTAAAAACTAGAGTAAAAAACCTTTTTTTAAACAGTAAAAAATCTGCTTTCTGCAAACTGTGTCCAGATAACCAGAGCTGTTTAGCTGGATAATGAAACAGTAAATGTGAAAGCAATTTGAAGAACATACACATTAACATTATGGTTAGAAGAGTGAGGGATGGAATGCCTTTTGTATCCATGACATATTTCAAACAGAAAAATATGCAATCTGTTTTCATAGTTCATAAGATGCTCCACAATCCCCTCTCAACCAGTTCTGGTAGATAATTAAGACCTAACACATTTATTGTATGTAATGAATAATTTCTCTAATGCATCTAGAATTCAACAGAATTGGGAAATAGCCCTCAAATAATTTTATGTGGGGCTTTATTTTCTTGTGGAACCCTAGTTGAGAAAGGCTATGCAATCTCTTTTAACCTCTATTTGAACAGAATCTTATTTTGTCACGTATATGTTTGAAGACCTTAACCCTTCTAGATTATTTTTACTTGACCCAATTACTTAGTGGTTAAGAATGTATTGCCTATACAATACAGTCCAAATCTGGTTGGCCCTATTTGTTTTCTAAAGTTTTAAATGTAGCTATGTTTTATTGACAGCATTTTTGCTACTTAATTATGTCTTTTCTTGACAGCTCAAACTATCTCTGTTTACTCTTATTTAGAATGCAGCTGGCAACAGCAGTTGGTTTGTGAAACCCAGGCATATAATTAACTTCCCCAGTTAAGGTATGGTTTGTTTCATTGGAAGAGAAAGAATTTTGGGGGTATGTTTCTTTAGTCTGAGAAGTAATGCAGTTTATTTTCAGTATGGTATATTTTATGTGACAGAACATAAGCAGAGAATTTTTTAAAAAATTATAACATTCTAACATTACTTGAGCACTAAAGTGCTACAAAAAATACTTTGTTATTATTTGAACCACGAAAATCAGATATTAGCATTCAGCGTAAATGTCAAATTAACACAGGCCAGTAGGAACATTTGTGATCATGTTCTTCTCACATCTACTTGCATGGATAATGAAGCTTTGACTATTGCTTTGATGTAGATTTTTGGAGGAAATCCTCCTCCTATTTCCAAGACACTTTGTAGTTACTAATTCTAAGAGAGTATAAGCGAATCCATTTATTTAAAATAAAATAAAAATGGGGGGAAAGATATTTAAGCAATAAATTTCATACCATGAGATTTTTTATATCCTGGTTACTTTAAAACCCAGTAAGCTGCCCTGGGTTCTCTCCTGATACTGCACAGAACTTTTGTTTTACATCCTCGTCTTCCTATTATTAGTTCAACTATATTGTTTTTCTCTTTCCAGCACTCTATCTGGATTTTTGTAATTATTACTGTCTTCCTATTACTAGTTCAACTATATTGTTTTTCTCTTTCTAGCACTCTATCTGGATTTTTGTAATTATTACTGTCTTCCTTTATCAGTTTTAAAAGTTAAGATATGTGGTATTTTTGAGATCAGAATTGTAGCCATTATATTGATGTGCTGCAGATATTAAGAGAAAAAGTCCTTAGTTGCCAGCTTTTTGTATACTCAAGTGTTATGGATTCTTAAGAATAAATGTTTCTTTGTTTTCATATGAAATTGTCTTTTTTTTTTTTTTAGGATACATGTCTTACTTTGTCACCCAGTCTAGAGTGCAGTGGTTTGGTTCCCTTCAGCCTTGATCTCCTGGGCTCAAGTGATCCTCCCCCCTCAGCCCCCAGAATAGCCGGGACTTTAGGCATGTGCGACAACTCCCAACTAACTTTTGTACTTTTTGTAGAGACGGGGTTTTGCCACATTACCCAGGCTGGTCTTGAACTCCTGAGCTCAAGCTTTGTAATCCCAAAGTACTGGAATTACAGGCACGAGCCACCGCGCCCATCCCAAACTGCCTTCCTTTTTGCCCAGCCCATGAGAACAACCTGTGCTAGTGAATGATTTTTAAAGAATCTTGCTACTTTTTTCTGCCTGGGATTATGTGTTGACTGAATATAGTTTCCTAAGAGATACTGTTGATTTTTTTAAACTAAACGTCTACCAGACTTTCTGCTCTGTTGTTCCAAAATTGGACAATTTCCTGCCTGGTATTTTATTTTTAAGTTGAAAATGGGAAAATTGCTAATGATGTTGAAAGCAAAAATGGTATTGAATGCTTTCTGACTAAACATATATTGAACAAAGCAAAACACTATGTATCTGCTCTTTCATATAACATTCGGAAACTCTTGTGACATAATCAGGGCTATTTTCTGTATAAGATGGGGAGGTAGGCTTATAAATATGCTACGTAAGTGACCAGCTCTAGAGGAACCTGATACGAATGTGACCCCATACTGAGTTTAAGTAAATAAAACAGAAATAATGAATATATAGAATCATGACCCTTCCTGCTGATGAAGAAAATCATTTTGATTTTTGATATAGAGTGATAGAATGAAAACTATATTGGTAATATTGCTTATATTATATAGTAGTTGAAGTGAGTAGAGATAAATTCATAATTGAGTGATCTGTAAAAGAGTGTTCCAGAATAACATATGGCAAAATGAACTGAAGGAGGACTTTTGAAAACAAATAGAATTATGTTGGAAAACAAGTGTCTTTAATGGATTAGTTAAGGAAGTAAAAATAATTAATATAAAGCAAGGGAAACAGTGTATGGAGTTAGAGACATAAAATTGCCAATTTATTTATTGATTTTGTTTTATAATAGTTATTATTTGAAAAACGACCAATACGAATAAATAGAAGTAAGGAGGGGAAAGTGAAGGAAAACTGTTTTTAGCTGGTATCATCTATTTGGCAATGTCTTTACTGTTATGCTTATAATACTTGATTTATAAATGTTAACTGTAACATATTCATGTAAATATTTGTGTTTATTTTATATATGACTCTTTTAACCTGATGTTTCATCTCTATTTTCAGAGGAATTTAAAAAAAATGTTTAACTTTAGACATTAGCGATTACTGGTTCAGAAACAAGTCTTCTAATGATAAATTAATTCATTAGTAAAAACTTCCCATAAACACAGCTGCTAAGGCCTGCCAAATTGGCACCTTGGTTCCACGTCTTATCCAGGGCTTGACAAGAATATACTACTGCTTACTTAGTTAATTACTGCTCACAGATAGAAAAGGAAAGGCCTTTAATTCAGCATTTGTATCGTCGCATGGCCCTGTTCAGTCAAGCTGAGTGCATGTTACATGATTGCCTGAGAGGAACAGAAAAGCTAGTTTCTCAGTCTCTAACCAGAATGCATGATAAGGCTTGGTGTCAAAAAGGGCAAGATGGGGATCACAGCAATTATGGCAGAGGCAAAGTAGTTACTTTGACAACCAGATTGAGGATTCATTGCGATTTATTATTTACTACTTGAAAATCTCACTCTGATTTAATTAAGGGTTGAGATTTCCATGAAGTCTGTCTTTTCTAAATTTGAGCACCCTGTTACTGTTGTTTATGTGTGCACTGAAATAATCTCAAACTGATGTTACTCCAAAACTGTGACGAATTAGGCTTAACATGTAGTTTTTTGAAAATTTAGACAGGTCAGATAACAGTTAACTGAAATTAACTGGATCTTATATTGGGCGATGGTAATCAATGCTTACTAGTAACTTAGTAACATTGACTCCCTGGGTATCTTCAAAGCAGCCTGGTTGTAATAAGTGAATTTTATCTTTTTTGTTGAAAGCAGCTTTAAATAATTTATACCTGATTTGTATTTCAGTGTATCATTTTAGATATACACGTTATTTCTTTGCAGTTACTTAATGGTACACTTTTTTGGGTGGGGAGACAAAGTCTTGCTTTTGTCACCAGGCTGGAGTGCAGTGGTGCGATCTCAGCTCACTGCAATCTCTGCCTCCCAGGTTCAAGCGATTCCCCTGCCTCAGCCTCCCAAGTACCTGGGACTACAGGCATGCACCACCACACCCGGCTAATTTTTTGTGTTTTAGTAGAGACAGGGTTTCACCATGTTGGCCAGGAAAGTTTCGATCTCCTGACCTCGTGATCTGCCCGTCTCGGCTTCCCAAAGTGCTGGGATTACAGGCATGAGCCACCATGCCCAGCTGGTACACCTTTTATATTGCCCAAATTATAGTCTATAAAATGTGATTGTAATCAGATAATTCTTGGCCAGAAAACGAAAGTTCACCTTCTTAGAGTGAGTTAACCATTAGGTAATTTTGTATTTTATGTTTTTTTCTTCCCAAGTATTCCTGAAATGCTTTTTACCTTTGCAGATGTAACTCAGTTGACTACTTATTCAGCATTAATTAATAATAAAATATGATAGGCTTTTCAACCTATGATTTTTATTTAAACAAAACCTTTCAAATAAAAATAATTTTAAACCTGTATTTGATTTCTATTTAAAATGGAGTGTTTTCATATACTCTTTTAAATTAAAATAGTGTCTGCTTAGCTCGTTTACATTCTTTCTGTCAGAATGTCTGCCTCAGGATTCTATATATAATTAATGTAAGAAAAACAAGAGGGTAATCCCTTGGTAGAAAACTGGTAATGGATTAAAAGACCATAGCTCTGAAATTCCAGTAATGTGACACATTTTCTCTGAAAGATGCACTTAGGCCCGATATCTAGAGATATTAAAAAGTGCCCCCTATTTTAATTAGCTAAAGATAGACATTCCTAATATATTTTGTTGTATGTTTAATATGGAATATTATAAGTAAATTCATACACTGATACTAAATACGATTTGAGAAGAATTACTGCTTTGGTGAGAAGAGAGCTTTGAGTGTCACTTGAAGCTTCAAATTTCTTACTGAACCAATTGATAAAATGTACAAAATGTGTATTGAGAATGTGCAGAACAGCCACCCAGGTAGTTTGATCAGTGTCTTTCTACATAGTGCCTAACATGAACTAGTTTAAGAAACTTGAGGAATCCACATAACTATCCTTGGTTCCAATTTTTTAATTAAAAAGTTTAGACTAGAGCAGTGCTTTTCAAATTGTGATTTCCAACCCATTATCAGTTTGTAAGCACAGTATTTAGTGGGTTACAATCATCACTTATGAAAGAGAGCAAATATCAGAGCACAGTTTATATAATGAGTATTATTTCATGAAATTTGCATTAATTATATGTTCATATCTTAAGGGTACATTGTTTTGATATAACATGTCATACTTAAGGAATGCAGTAAAAATATATAAAAGGAAACACCGGGCTGCATGATCCTAAAAATCTCTCCCAGTTCCAACATTCCCGAGTGAAATTTTAAACATGTAGCTCTTCCTTAAGTAGCATTATATCATTATGTTATTTCAATAGAATTTGTCACATGCAGATGCATTTTGGGAGAAAAAGAGGAGAAAGGTGCAAGACTTGATATTCTGAGAGACTAATACCTATATAAATTGTAATTATTCCTAATTGCTATGTGTGATAATTTAGGCCTGCACAAAATTGCTGAGAGCATATCAAACAAATGATTAGTTCTCATTGTCAGGCCCAGAAAATACCTCGTGACTAATATTAGAGTACATCCTTTAAAGATGAGTATGATTTCATTCATTTGGGATAGAGAATTCAGGGAAAGAGTCTGGATACTTTGGCTGTGGCTAGACAGTCAAGCGGCCTTCTATGCCATACTTAGGCATTTGGAATTTATCTTAAAAGACCAGGGAAAGCTGTCAAACCCATTCAGCCTGCTAGGATTAGCTCTCCTTTTAGAACGATGAAAGTAGTAATGTGATTGTTGAACTCAAGTAGAGAAAAATTCAAGGTATGGAGACAATAAGTTACAAGAATTTCAGAAGGTCAGCTATAAACGTAGAAACTCCTCTTTTGATAAAGAGTGAAATACAACTCTTTATCAAAAGCTTGACAGTGCTCATACAACATACGAATTGAGTTTCACTTTAGTATTTTGGAAATACTGGAACAGCTTTCAGTACCTTTGCAAAATGCCCAAGTAAATGTATGTGAAATGTTGAAAGACTTAAATGAGTCCGGCATATAGGAAAACCTTGTTTTATTGAGCTTTGTAGATATTGCATTGTTTTTTTATTTTATTTATTTATTTTTTTGAGATGGAGTCTTGCTCTGTAACCCAGGCTGGAGCGCAGTGGTGCAATCTCGCTCACTGCAAGCTCTGCCTCCTGGGTTCACGCCATTCTCCCGCCTCAGCCTCCCGAGTAGCTAGGACTACAGGCGCCCGCCACCGCGCCCGGCTAATTTTGTTTTTGTATTTTTAGTAGAGACGGGGTTTCACCTTGGCACCTTAGTAGACCCAGGATGTTCTCGATCTCCTGACCTCGTGATCTGCCCCCCTTGGCCTCCCAAAGTGCTGGGATTACAAGTGTGAACCACTGCGCCCGGCCTGCTTTTTTTATAAATTGAAGGTTTATGGAAACCTTGTTTCCCACAAGTCTTATCAGCACCATTTTTCCAGCAGTATGTGCTCACTTCATGTGTCTGTGTCACATTTTGTTAATTCCCACAATATTTCAAGTTTTTCTATTATATCTGTTATGGTGATCTGTAATCAGTGATCTTTGATATTATTATAACTATTTGATGTGTATTATTGTAATTGGAGTGCCATGAATCATGCCCATTCCAGACGATGAACTTAAGGAATATTAGGTTTTCTGACTGCTCCACCAACTGGCCCTTCCCTGTCTCTCCCCCTCTCATCAGGCCTCCCTATTCCCTGAGACACAAAAATTTTGAAATTAACCAATTAATAATCCTACAACGGCCTATATATGTTCAAGTGAAATGAAAAGTTGCACATTTCTTCATATTAAATCAAAAGATAGAAATGATTAAGCTTAGTGAGGAAGGCATATCAAAAGCTTAGACAGAACGAAATCTCGGCCTCTTGTGCCAGTTAGCCAAGTCGTGAATGCAAGGAAAAAGTTCTTGAAGTAAATTAAAAGTGCTACTTCAGTGAACACATAGATGATAAGAAAGTGAAACAGCTTTTGTTGCTTATATGGAGAAAGTTTTAGTGGTCTGGAGAGAAGATCAAACCAGTCTCAAGATTCTCTTAAGCCAAAGCATAATCCAGAGCAAGGCCCCAACTGTCTTCAATTCTATGAACGCTGAGAGGTGAGGAAGATGTGGAGGAAAGTTTACAGTTACCAGAGGTTAGCTCATGGGGCTGAAGGAAAGAAGCCATTGTTCCCATAACATAGAAGTGGGAGGTAAAGCAGCAAGTGTTGATATAGAAGCTGCAGCAAGTTATGCAGAAGATCTAGCTAAGATCATTGATGGAGGTGGCTACACTAAACAACAGATTTTAAATATAGACAAAACAGCCTTCTGTTGGAAGAAGATGCCCTCTAGACTCTTCATAGCTGAAGAGAAGTCAGTGTCTGGCTTCAGAGTTTCAAAGGACAGACTGTCTTGTTAGGGGCTAATGCAGCTGGTGACTTTAAGTTGAAGCTAATATTCATTTACCATTTCAAAAATCCTTGGGCCATTAGGAATTATGTTAAGTCTGAGGAATACAGATGTACCCACCCTTCTCTTTGCCTTTTTATCAAGACTCAGTGTACAAGGATTGTATGTGTGGGTCACCTCGGTCTCCTCTGCTTTAATGCTCCTCATCTCTGGCAATAAATTACTTCTCTTTGAAAAACTTAACATTTATTAATGTGAATTTTGGGATCTTATGCACATAATTTATACGAGCACTAACTTGTCATCCTGTCTCTGAATTGAATCTTTTGATAGTTTCCTGATATAGTTTATGCTGTGTCTTCTGTTAGAGGAGGCTTTAAAAGGAGGGAGCTCTTGATCCCTATAGGAGAAGCAGAGCAGATAGAAGGGCATTCCAAGTGGGGAGAATACTGTGAAGAACGCTACAAAGACAGGAATTCACATACCAGATTTTATATAGTGAATATTTAAGACTCAATTCCATAGTGTAAACAGATTAACTTTGTTATTTAAATAAATTATATGGAAAAAATTAATTTTGGAATTTTCTACTATAGCAGCTTGGTGCCACAGGTACCATTTGTTTCTTTTATAGAAAATTTATTTTTGGAAAAACAGTTCATCCATCTACCTTTCAGCATGTCAAGGTTAACTCAACAGCCAAGTGCCAGCCGTGGGAGATACTGGGAAGAAACTTGGACTAAGTTGGGGGTCGGGGAGAATTTGGAACAAACAGCAAGAAGGTAATTAAGAGTTGGGAGAGGTGGGGATTAGGAAAAATGTATGCAATATATAGGAATATTTTGCTTGAGCAAAATATCTCTTATTGAATCAATGTGTTGGGGCACACATCACGCAGGGGAAATGTATCTTAGCTGTGATAAGGGAACTGTGGTGTAGGGTGCAGAGATACACGGCAGTCTTTGAAAAAACTGGCCCATCTCCATGTTCACCTAGGTCTACAGTCTGGTAGCTCTGAACCAGTAAGATTATAGAAATCTTGATATCTTCTCTTTGGTTCTCAGGGTGAGAAATTGTATATTTTTAGATTGTTCCCACAAAGGGGACAGAATTTCTGTTATTCTCCTGGGCCGAGTGCCTTTTTGTTCATCTACTCACCTTAACCCAAGTCCCGTTTCTTGGTACCTCAGGGTTGGCAGCCATCTTCATTAGCTCTCTTATTACTGAACCTAGTTGGTTTAGATGAACTGGTCACTGTTAGTCCAAAAAGGGTTTCCAGTTCTTGTTTTTGTTTTTTATTTCCCCCCATGCATGTATATAGAAGTATAATTTTAGTCTTTTACATACTTTTCTGGGAACCCATTCCCAAATCACTAAATATTATTATAGTATTATTTCTAATATTTATTTTTACTGTATTTATATTATTTAACGTTATATTGTTTTTTATTCTATTACATTGTTTTATGATGTTTTGCATCATATTCCATTTTGTCAATATAGTTTTAAAATACTTCTTTACTTTGGACCTTCAGTTTGTCTCAACATTTTTATTCATAAATTTTATCTAAATCTTAGTCAAGTTTTTTGGTTATTGTTAGAGTATGTTGTTCTTGCAAATGGGATTTGGTAAAGCTCTTCTCAGAAAGACTGTACCGCCTCATAATTTCAGAAATATATGATGCTGTCTGTTTTAAAACAGCCATACAAACAAATCCTTGGTAATTTGATAGGAGAAAATGTCACCATATTTTAAATTTTTGATGCCTTTTTGTCCTTGCCAATTAAATTGAGCATTACATGTTTATTTCCTACTTAAATTTATTTCATTTTCCCTTTCCATTTCTTACCTACTTTGAAATTGATACTCTTTATTTGTAAGCACTTTTATGTAGAGTATTTAACCTTGAGTTACTCGTTTAGACAGCTGATCTTTTTTTGCTCCACTACACGGCTTTTCAATATAGAATGCTTCAGTTTGAGGTAGATCGATTTATCTGTCTTTTGGTGGTTTTTATTTCATGAATCCGAATTTATTGCTATTTTGAGATCAGATTTACCCATATTTTCTTGTTAGTATTATTGTTATTCTAACACTGAAATTATTAACGCATTTATGTTTGGAGGTCTTTTGTAACTAGAACTTAGTCCTTTGCAGAACATAATAAGTGTGGCTAATAAGTGTGTGTGTGTGTGTGTGTGTGTATGTGTGTGTGGTTTTATTTCAGAGTTGCTTTATTTTAATTTATGATGAATTTCAGTTTCTATTAGAGTAGTGCTTTTAGGTTGAGATACATTTTTTTATCCATCAATCTTTGTACCAACACTGTGAATTAATTTAATATCATGACTGCTTTTCAAATGAAGAGATTGGGGACTGATATTTGAAGTGATTTATCCAATGTCACAGAGCTCTTTAAGGGATAGAACAAGGATTCCAAGCCAAGTCAGTTAACTCCTTGTCCGGAATTACTTTTCACTGTAAAATAGTTACCCATTTTAGAATTAAACACTTCAGATTTAAGTAGTTTGATCTCAATAATATCTGTACAGATTAAATTAATATCTTAGGGGGAAGTAATACTTAAGAGGAGCATTTAAAAAATGTAGTTATTGACCTAATTATTTCCCCACCCACCACACTCCCTGTAGGATTTTCATAAGCAGAGAATTATATTCTAAGATTGTGTTCTTATTTCATTAGCACTGTGATAAGCCATAAGAATTGTGTTTTACTATCTTTAATCTGTTCTACTCCATATCAAAACATTCATTGACAAGAGGAGATTGTAGTCTATTCACTGATTTTGTCCAAACCAGTTGGAATAGTGGTCAGCAACTGTCTTCCATAAATGGCTAGATGGTAAATTTTTTAGACTTTGTAGGCCAAATTTAAGGGTGTTGTATAGATATTTATATAATGAGAGAAATGAATATCCAACACATTTATTGACAATTTTCAGATCTTATTACTTGACACTGACAATTTCATACATTTTTATGTGTCATGAAATATTGTTCTTTTGATTTTGTTTGAACATTAAAAAATGTAAATGGACCATGGGAACACTAGTAGTCCAACCCTTATTTAGAAGGGACTGTTGTGGGTATCTGGTAGATCAGATTTGAATTCCATTTGTAAAACATTTGAGTATTTACTTTATAATAATATTAAATATAAATTAACATCACAGTTTTCTGAGGAAACTGAAGTTCATTTGTAAAGAAACTTCTTCAAGTTTTGCCAAGTCAGTAAATGGCAGAACTAGAATTCAAAACCTTATCTATTTTTCAGTGCCTGGGTTCTTTCATGTGTTCATTGTTACATCTTCTGTGCCAGGCATGGAGATAGGCACAGTGCATACTGGCATGAATTAGATGAGTTCCTGCTTCTACATAGTCCTTAGTCATGATGCTGCACAGATTTGGGAAATGTAATTTTCTAAAACCTGCCTGTCATTATAAATCAGATTCATCTACACTTACTCTCATTTTCTGATAAAAAGTATTTGCTTGTTTTTGTGACTTATCAATCCTGTCTTGTATTTTTCTTTTTTTCTTGAATAGTACAGGAACTTTTTTATCTGGTAACATTCAGCTTCTTAAGGATGAAATTAAAACTATTTGAGGTTGTAAGGGGAATAAACATTTAAAGTACCAAGGAAGGGGCTATTAGAGTAGTGCACCAGGGCATGGCAACAATGGCTCTCAAGCAGGATTCCTATGAGCCTTTTTTCCTGCAACTCCTTGTAATTTGTCAGAATCTGTGTATCCAGAAGTTGGAACTGCTCTGTTTCCTCTGCATTGTTGGTACCTGTAGGGAACAAGTATGAAAGACTACAATGGGCTGTAGTGTGTAGGGGCAGAGCTTATACCATTGGTTCTGCTACCGTGCTGTTCCTTAGTTCCCTTGATGTTCAGCTTGCAGTTAAATACAAGAAAGGATATAATTTTAACTCTGCAGAAAAGTAGTATTACTTCTTTTTTAAGGTAACATTTTGTAACTTTACAATGTTAAAATAAACTCCCTGCTTTCCCCTTTCCCCAAATGTTGTGTTGACAAGATTGGAAAATAGTTTGTGTTCTTTAATAAAAACCTTATCATTTCATTAAAAATTGAACAAACCTCAATAGCAAACACAAAAATGGTAACACTGAAACCAACCACGAAATCAAAGTCATTACATTGTCATTTAAGGAATGACTTTATAACCTTCATACGAATTTTGGGAATTGGTTTCTGTCCAACTCATAGTATCACAGTTAATAGACTACTTCTGTAAGTCAGCTCTTTGCTTCAGGAAGAGCTTTTACAACTGGATGGACTTTCTGTAGTTTCTGGAAGTGGTAGAGTTGTCTCCAACTTGTATTGTTAGTTTCTTTTGGTTATTCCAGCATTGTCTAAAGGAGGAATTCAAATGTGTTAAGGACACAGATACATAATGAATGAAGCAATAAATTAGTGCTATTTTCTGTTTGGTGGTGTTTTTTTTAAATTATTTTCAGTTTGCATCTATTGTGTTTTGAGGTAGAGTTCACAGAGTGGGTTCCTTGCTGCATTTTGTTTTATTTATTCTTCTATTTTGCAATTTTTAATTGGTCCAAGAGCATTCATTGAGAAAAGTAATAGCACAATAGTCACAGCATTCACTAGAGTATTTTTGTTTCTTTTGTGTGTATCATATTACCCACTTGATTAGTTGTTCCCACAAGCTCTGTATATCTTTTGGAAATCTATCTTTATATCTGTGAGATAAAAATAATCTTCAGTTATTAAAAAAGAGTCATCTGTGTTAGTAGTGACAATGTATATTTTAGAAATTTCATGTATGTAGCATCATTGAGAATCAAATATGAAACATTGTTTAAAGGAAAAAGAGTAGAAATTAAAAAAAAACTTTGATTGTATAAGTTATTTTTTGAGATGAGAAATTATTTCAATATGTTTTTTTTTTCTCTAGAAACCTGTTGGAAAATGCCTTGTTACTCCAGCAGAAAAGCATGTCTATTATTACCAATAGAATTAGTGTGTTCAGAAAAAGAAAAGGCTTAATTTACAGCCTTTTGAAGTTTTAGGGAAAATTCCTTTTTTAAAGCATGCAGGAGGAAAGACATGACATCACAGCCTTAAGTGGGTAAAAGGTTACATGGCTGATACTTTTTAAGTGATTGAATTATTAGCATGGGTAATAATTTGTGGAAGGTGAAGAGGTGCCACTAGTTTCAGTGTGTTAATCTTCCCCACTTAAAGTGAGAAATAAATACCTCATAAGAATATATATGGGGATATAGTGTCTTTCCTTTCTAAGACACTTGCTTGAGTCAGCAGTGGTTGCGTGTGGTCACCTTTGGATTAGTCTTCGGATTCAGAGAAATGAGTGGGTGGTTTCAGTGCAGTTTCAATGTTGTTAACCCAAATAAGTTCTAGAGTTGGTATTAATTGGCCCCCTTATAGAAACCTTTGAGGAGGAAGCTGTTGTTACACAGGTAACTTTATACCTTTAGAGTTTATTGTTGCCTAGTAAAAATTAATATGGAAATATAATAAAAATTGGTAGGGAACTCTTTCATTCATCTACATTGTGGTCACTCATGTGATTCAATTTAAATGTATCTTTTTTTTTTTTTTTTTTTTTTGAGATGGAGTTTCACTCTTGTTGCCCAGGCTGGAGTGCAGTGGTGCAGTCTCGGCTCACTACAACCTCCGCCACCTGGGTTCAAGCGTTTCTCCTGCCTCAGCCTCCTGAGTAACTGGGATTATAGGTGCCCACAGCTAGCTAATTTTTTTGTATTTTTAGTAGAGACGGGGTTTCACCATGTTGGCCAGGCTGGTCTCAAACTCCTGACCTCAGGTGATCCACCTGCCTCGGCCTCCCAAAGTGCTGGGATTACAGGCGTGAGCCACCGCCCCAGACCTGAAAGTACCTTTTTAAAAAGGAAATTTTGGTTAAGAGTTTTTTTTGTGTTAGTGCTTTAAAAAAATTGCTTATATTTAAATACAACAACGTATTAACTAAAAAGACTTAAAATCCAAATTTTTACTCTGTTTGATCTGGGAAACCTGCCTGGGAAATACTTAAAATGAAGTCTCCACCCTAATGAGTTTTAGCATCAGTGACAAAAAAGGAGTGGAAACCTTTACCTAGCAATGTTGGAGTGACTCACTGGATATGGGAACAAATAGCTCATTTCTGCATTTTTGCTTCTTATTTAATTATTTTTAAGAATAAATACATACTCAGGCTGGATGGAGGTGGGAGTGAATTAATGAAATTTCTAATAACAAAAGGATAGTAAAAATTATAAGAGATTACATTAAATAACATAGAGTTGGAAATAAATTATACCTGCGGAGATGATGAAATTGTCGTTTACTTATTCTGTAATTGTTTGCTAGTTTCTTTGTTGACAGTGAATACATTATACAGAGTTACTTAAGAATTTTAATTTGCTAGGACAATGCGAATGACTTCAGATATTAAATTTTTGTTAGAAACTTATTGATGTTAAACTGGTTTTAACTAGTTATAAAAAAAAATAATAATTGTAAAGAGTATTTCCTGTTTCCCTGTGAGGGTGGGAGGGGGACGGAGACTCTGGAATGATTTTGAACTCTAGCAGGTCGTCAGTCATTTAAGAGCATATTTTCATAGTTGAGTCCCACTGATTAGGGGACTCTGATGAAAATGTCATCTTTGTCCTGTTTGTATTCTTTATCTCTTGATATCTGGATTTTTGAAAAAACATTTTCTGATGATGTTCATGTCTTAAATTTATAAACTCAAAACTTTAATATATATATAAAAGTTAAAACTGTGGTCTTTTTGTTTCTTTTCCTCTTAAAACAACTTTTATGTTCTTGAGTATGTTTAACATCTTCTGGTACATAAGAATTATAGTAATAAATAAAGCATAAAGTAAAATAAAGTAAAAATAAAATGCCTACTGTGTCCCTGAATAACTAATATTCAGTTTTTGTTGAAAAGCTCAGAGTCCAGTAAGGAGGTAATATAAGTACAAAGACCCTTAGAATGTGTTACCTGCTCTGATAGAGGAGCTCATAATTGTTCATTCATTCATATATCCATTTATTTAACATCTTTATTTTGTCACTCCATAAAGAACACCGTAAATTGGTCCTTTCCTACGTTTTGGCATTATAGTAGTGAACCAGATAAATGACACTTGTCCTGAAGGAGGTCTCATCCCCCATGTTTGTTACTCAGGAACAGGGATTATTGTATTTTTGTTCCTAGTATCCCAAGTGTCTAGAAGAGTGCTAGGCACATAGTAGTTACTCAGTAGATGTTAATTGGAGGAAACAAAACAAATGACCCAAACCTAAGCTCAGGTTCTCCTTTCCCTGTTTTCAAGACCTGGTGTCTTGAACTGGGTTTTGAAGAGTAATTGTTGCCTAACAGAAAAATGAGTGGAACATCCTGTGCGGAGGAGATAGTTTAAACAGAGGCACTGAATAATTGGGTAATATTGAAGCTCAGTGTGAAAGTCACTTTTTTTTTTTAAGTAAATCGGAATTAAAGTATTCTGCCTTTGTGAACTTAGAAGTTGTAACTATATACTGAGACTAATAGCATCTCTTTGTGGCATATATTATTTTTAATAGATGTGCTTATCAGGAATTTTTTTAAGTTAAGTATTAAACATAATATTTTATAACTGAAATATGTTTTCATGGTACTTGTGAATTATTAATTAGTGGTAGATAATTTAGAAGTTTTTAGGTAGGAGAAATTAATTTCTTTCTAGTAAGGAATTTAACCCCACAGTGTTTTTGACTCATAATGTGTACTTTCTTTTTAAAATGTCAAAAGGCTTTTCAGAAGTAGTAGTATTTGAAACTATCAGCTAATGGTTTTCTAAAAGTATATTTTTACCTTAGAGCATCTAGAGTGTCCAGAATTTTGTGACTCTTAGCAAGTCCCCAAGTTGAAAATTTTTACCTTGTAGCTTGCATAATTGGATTTAAATATGTATTTTCATTATGCATGTATTTGTTAGAAAATATTGGTGTATTTCTTAGTGTAACACTATTTTGTATTTAAGTTGATTTTACTTAAGATTTCAAATAAACTGTTAACATTCTTCTTAGAAAAAATTTTTTTGAAGTACTTCATTATTTAAAATATTTCCAAAATAATCAACAGCTTATTTAGCTGGGCATGGTGGCATGAGCCTGCAGTCCTAACTACTCTGGGGTGAGGAAGAGGCTGATTTCGAGCCCATATGCTTGAGCCTAGAAGCTTGGGGCTGCAGTGAACTATGATTGTACCACTGCACTCCAGCTGGACAACAGAGTGAGACTCTCTCCCTAAAGCAGACAAACAAAAAAACAGCTTCTAAACCAAAATGACACATAAAACTAAGGCATATCACTTATTTGGACTGAGTTGATGATTGTGTAGTTATATGATCTTAAATTGTTGGAACACTTTCTTTTGCAACAGTTTCATATTTCTGTAAGCATTTGTTGGGTATTTCATGCTCACCCCACTTATATACAAATTACAACATTTTCTAGGCCAGTGTGCTTATTCTGGAAAATGACATTGCATTCTTTTATTTTCTGAATTATTTGCATAAGAACAATTTCAAAGGTGACAGTAGTAGGTCTTTTTTACTTTCCACGTGTCGTAGTTTAGGTTTGTAACATAATACAGACAGGTGAAAGGAATTACGTATAAGTAAGCACAAAAAAGTAGATGTTTTAGGGTTTGATTGATAAAGGCATTTCTAAAGTGGATCTAATTAAGTAATTAAAACAAAAGGATCTTCTACAAATTTACACGAAATAGGTTTTTAACATTCTGCCTTGTGGTATAAAAAAGCCTTATTACGCATCCTTGATTTTAAAAATTGTGCTTAGTTGGCTCCATGAATATGCAGAGATGAGTGAAAAAGTTGGACTATCAGTGACAACTTATCTTTTAGGTTTACTTTTAACACTATTTTCATCTAAGTTAAGATGAAATTGAAATAAGCTTTCTGGATGCTTCTAAATTTCACTTCAGCCTGGTTGAAATCATGTCCCCTCCTCCTTAAGTATTTTTCTCATTTCCATTTTAGGAAGAAATTTTGCTAACATATATAAACAGGAGTAATAAAGAGATTTCATATGCCAGCACTGGTAATAGACTATGGCTTGAGTTAATGTTTCAGCACGGCGTAGAGTCACAGCCTCACTCTCATAGAGGTCCCTGATAATCAAAAAGCATGGTGCTTCCTGGGACCCTCAAACAGCATGAGCAGTAGCAAACATGACAGTATTTAGTTCAAAGTAATTAAGAAAAACAGTACAAGAAAAGTTGAATTCTTTATAGTACAGCGTAGTAAGAACACTTTTATGGGAATGTGTGATTTTACAGAAATGTTTTAAGGAACAGAGTTAATGGAGACTTTGTTAGAAAAGCAAATGTTCCTCAACAAGCACTTAAAGTTTATCACAACAAAATGTACTGTTTGTTGTCAGAGCAGCATATTTTCTTGCAGAAATGCTTATAAGTGATGCCAAATTTAATGATAGAATTTCAATTCTGGTCTTACAAATTCCCATCCGGTAGCAGTGCATCTGTTTATTAGGAATTACCCCTGAATGTGAATGATTTCAGTCTTAAGTTGCTGCACCTGTTGCCGGGAGGTATTTATTCCGATCAGTAGCCTAAAGCAGAGAGAGTTATATCTTGACATTTTATAGCTTGGGGGGAAAAACTGTCTTTTCAAAATCATTTGTTCAGAGAGGAGAAAATGGAGCAAAACAGTTCATTTTACTCTAAGCACCGCTATTTGGTGGTATTCACATTTGCACAGCACAAAGCTGCAATATTGATTTTTTGCTCACAGAGCCTCCCACCAGTTCTCTCTTCAATTGTCAGGGTTGCAAGATGGATTAGATTACATTTTGCTGGTTGGGATGCTTATTTTTTTGTTGTTGTTGAAATAGAAATAGACTGAAAATACGGCTTGGAATGAATATCACAGTAATAGTGTGGTTAAAAGGCTTTAATTTGAGGATTTCTTTATGTTGATTATGTTCACCAAGCCATTTCCCTGACCATCAGACACAGTTTCCTTTCCTGTTCCTTTTCTTCCCCAAGACTAGTAGCAGCCAGCATACCATAACGATGTTCTTTACAACTCTGTCCCCAAACCTGCTGCTGATGGCCATCATCGTTTGGAGAGGCATTAAAGTAACATTTAAGAACATGAACCCAGGAGCTGAATTACTGGGTTTGAAATCTTAATTTCATTTTTATTGGATATAACTGTAGAAAACTTAATCTTTCTCTGCCTCAACTTCCTCCTCTGTAAAATGTTGATAATAATGTTACCTATCTTGTATGGTTGTTTTGAGGATTCATAATCAGGAAATATTTATACAGTCCTTAGAGGGACTTCTGAGGGTGGCAAATTCCCTCTAAAACAAGTGTAAAATTAGAATTGTCAACAACAACCATTTTGGGAGCTGGAAAGTAACCAAACAACAAACGGGGAAACATTATTTATGAAAATCTACTAGAACTTCTAGCAGATGTTTAAAGCCTTCTAGCATCGGGCTGCTCCTTATCCCCCGCAATCCCTCCATCTCTTACTCCTTAACTATGTCATTGTGGAAGTTTCATCAGGGCAAGATTGGCCTTCAAAACCAGTGGCTTTACTGCCATGAAGAGCTGACATGATTTGGAGTAGAGAGTGGAAACTCATGCCCAGCAGTGTTGTCAATGAAAGTAAACACTGTAGGGAAAAAAAAAAATGGGGAAAACCTGTAGCTCTGCTATCCTTTGGTTGTAGTTCCAGTTGGGATGACTGGAAACCATTCTGAAACTTAACAGGGAAATCTTGGAAATGAAGAAACCATAAACTTTCTGTGCATTCTTAACTAACTGGGAAGCTAAACACATGTACAGAGGAGACATGAGAGGACTTGGCAGCAAGTAAATAACTGAGTCTGACTTGTAAACTACTTGAACTTTTAATACTCTTTCTAACATACAATCACATCAGCAAAGAGTGGAGACTTAATAATGGGCCTATGGTTTTTGTGCAAAGTCTCTGCCCAGTCATTGGCTGACCACTAAGCCATGCAGACAGAGGTGATATCTAGGAGCCGAGGCTAAAAAATAAAAATAAGAATTCAAGCGAATTAAAATAAAACAGTGAGCAAAGGTATAAGCAGCCACACACTGTGAGGGCAGAGATTCTGCATATTAAATACAGCTGAGGTATTAAAAAGAAACCACGACAGCAGCAGCAATTCTCAGGGGAAAGAAATCTGAAACCGGAGTTGCTAATGGTGTATTATTTAAAATGTATAGTTTTCAACAACAAAACATTTATAAGATACATAAAGAAACAGAAAAGTTGATCCATAAAATAGAAATTGCCTCAGATGTGGACCCAGTGTTAGATTTAGCATATAAGGATTTTAAACCAGCTATTACAAATACGTTCAAAAATCAAAGTAAAACTATCTTGGAGAATTAAGAGGAAATATGATGACAATGACAACAAATACGTAGTCAGAGAAAAAAAAACTATTTTTCAAAGGCCTTAGAGACATTCTTTGCACATCTTAGTTATTATACCAGTGTGCTATAAGTAAATTAATATTTTGTTGTACAAATTACAGATAGTGTAGCTTCATCTGACCCAGAGATTGTGATTCAGTAGGTCTGGGATAGAGCTTCAAGATTTGTCTTTATAAAAAGTTTACTAGGTGATTCTGATGTAACCATATTTGGGAATCAATTATGTAGACTTGGCAAAGGATTAAAACATATATATATATATTTTTTTTTTTGATGATTTCTTCCCGTGAGTCAGTATTCTAGATCATTAATGTGATACAAATAAAGGAATAAATAAATGTTTTCAGGAATGGGTTTTTATGTCTTTTATAAGATTTATTTAGTGAAAATGTTGGGTTTTAAAAGTTGATACTAATTGCAATAATTTTATTAAAGGCTTTTCAAAGTTCCTTTAAAGTAGCATTGTTGGTGGAAGAGGTTGAGCTATATCCCTTGAAGTTTTCAGGAAAATAGTGTAAAATGGTCAAAGAAGGCACAACAATTTATATTTTTCTTAAAAATGTGTGTAAACTTTTTATTTTCCATCAGTTGTTTTGCCAAGATTAAGGACATGCCCGTGCCACAGCCTCAGGAGCTCCTGACAACATGTGCCCAAGGCGGTTGGGCTACAGCTTGGTTTTATACATTTTAGGGAGACATAAGTCAGAAATCAGTACATGAGTGATGTTCATTGGTTCAGTTTGGAAAGGTAAGACAACCCAAAGGGTAGAGTTAGGATTCCAGGTAATAGGTAGATTCAAAGATTTCCCGATTGGCAACTGGTTGAAGGGGTTTGTCTATTAATAAAGACCCGAATCAATAGAAGAAAGTGTCTGGGTTAAGATAGGGGTTGTGAGGACCAGGGTTCTTATTATGCAGATGAAGCCTCTAGGTAGCAGGTATTAAGAGAGAATAGATTGGAAATATTTCTTACCATATTTAAAGAGGCAGTTCTGGCCAAACGTGGTGGCTCACACCTGTAATCCCAGCATTTTAGGAGGCCAAAGTGGGCAGATCACCTGAGGTCAGGAGTTTGAGACCAGCCTGGCCAACATGGCGAAACCTCATCTCTACTAAAAATACAAAAATTAGCCGGTCATGGTGGTGCGCACCTGTGGTCCCATCTACTGGGGAGGCTGAAGTGGAAGAATCACTTGAACCTGGTGGGTGGAGGTTGCAGTGAGCCAAAATTGCACCACTGCACTCCTGCACTCCAGCCTGGGTGACAGAGCAAGACTCCATCTCAGAAAACAAAGGGTGGGGGGCAGTTCTGTCAGTCTTAAGGTCTCTGTTTTAATGTTAAGGATAGTCAGACTGTGTCAGAATTCCAATGAAAGGAAAGTACAATGAGGCATGTCTGACCACCCATTCCCATCATGGCCACAACTAGAGAACTTTTCCATAATTGATTCATGTTTATTTTCTCTTTTCCACTAAGTCATTGATTAAAATAGTTAACCTAGGAAGATGTTTTCCTGTGATTTGTGTGAACTCTGCTTAGTTTGTCACATGGACTTTTGAAAATTATTTTGACAGTACCTCACAATCTATATGGATGTGCACAGCACATCCATGTTAACAATGTTGTTATATTTATATTTTAAGAAAACAGAGCAAGTTGTTTATTAATTATCGATCACTTGAAATGTTGGAATAGCATGTGTACTTGATTAAAAGGAGCTTGCCTGTTTAGACTTACAGATTGAGGAAATTTTATAAGACTTTGAAATGGCTTTAATTCTTCAGAAAAGGTTTTAATTAAAACCCAGAGAAGTAAAATGACTTTGCCCAAAGTCACAAGACTGACCCATATACTCATACTTCAGTGTTCAGTGCTCTTTCCATGTGTACCTACAGTATAGCATTTGCTGTCTTTATATTTATGGTACACATGTTTACATTTCTACAAATATGATTTTCACTACTATTCATGTAGTTTTGTGAACCTTTACAATAATTATTTCTTGTCAGTTTTACTAATATATTCTTTGGTGATTTTCAGATTGTATGAAGACTTATAAAATAAATCTTGTTATTTTATCAGCAAAATGGCTTGAGTAGTCAGAGTTGATCAGAGAAGGGTTCTGGAGTCTAAGCTCCCTGCATGGGTTAGAATCTAACGTGTGGTAAGATTGAGACCCTAAATTTACTACTATTTGATGCCTTAGTTTCATACTCTGTAAAATTGGTACTATAACAGCAACTATTCCATTGTTTATTTTTTATGTTGTTGAACATAAAACAAAGTGATCCATATAAAGCATTTAAGCCAGTGCCAGCACATAGTAATTGCTTTGCAAGTAATACTTATTTCTCTCTTCATATTTGTTTTTTAAAGAATATATATATATTCATTATATATATATATACATTATATATACACATTATATATATACACATTATATATACACATTATATATATACACATTATATATATATACACATTTTATATACACACACACACACACACACACACACACACACACATATTTGGTTGGAAATACAGACTTTAGATAAGAGAAATGTATAAATATGTAACCCATCTGTCTTATGACAATTCCAGTGATACATATATAATAATAAATTGACAATTTAAATATTTTTTTGGTGGGGGAGATGGCATATAATTTTCATTGATAAGTAGTTTGCCTTGTTTTTAATGTTCACCATTTGTTTTCACTACCAAAGGAAATAGACATTACAAAGGAAAGCACATTGCAATTTATGTTGTGTTAATCACTAGTTTAATTCAACAATTTGGTTCCACATTTATAAGAATTATGTATCATGTGCTATTGTAGGCATTGAGATTATAACTAAGAGCCTTACTACAGTCTAGCAGGGTAGATATATATATATACTAAAAGTGAATATGCACTGTATCACATGTTAATAAGCACATTAGTAAAGATTAATATATCTGCATATATAAAGTTTAATCAAAACAGGTAAGAGAAAGAATTTAGAAAAGAACATTAATGATTTAAATCAAAATACATTGTAGGATTAAATAAAGTGGTATTTGCTATTAAGAACTCTTAGTGCAATTTCTGTTGCTATAGGAAAATACTCAGACTGGGTAATTTATAAAGAAAAGAGTTTTATTTAGCTTATGGTTCTGGGGTTCTGGGGTCGAAGGTGGGCAGCCACATCTGGTGAGGGCCTCATGCTGCTTCCTAGAATGGTTGAAAAGTGGAAGGACAAGGGAATGCAAAAAACTAATTAATTCCTTTGAGAACTAACCCAGTCTTAAAACAAAAACTTTGGGGCTGGGCACAGTGGCTCATGCCTGTAACCACAGCACTTTGGGAAGCGGAGGTGGGCGGATCACGAGGTCAAGGGTTCGAGACCAGCCTGGCCAACATGGTGAAACCTTGTCTCTACTAAGAATACAAAATTAGTCTGGCGTGATGGCACATGCCTGTAATCCTAGCTACTCAGGAGGCTGAGGCAGGAGAATTGCTTGAACCGGCGAGGCAGAGGTTGCAGTGAGCCAAGACTCTGTCTCGGGGTGGGGGCAGGGGGAAAGAAAGAGTTATAAAGACCCAGTCACCTGTTAAAGGCACGACCTCCCAGTATGGCCACACTGAGGACTAAGCCTCTACTTGAGTTTGATGGGAACAAGCCATATTCGAACGATAGCAAGTACCATGATCTCTTTTCTCCAGTAGATTCTGTATTGGCAATCTACTAAATTATTAAAGTGCACTGATCTTTCTTTTCTTTTTCCTTACTATACTTTTTTTTTTTTTTGAGATGGGAGTTTGGCTCTTTTTGCCCAAGCTAGAGTGCAGTGGTGCCATCTTGGCTCACTGCAACCCCCGCCTCCCAGGTTCAAATGATTCTCCTGCCCCAGCCTCCCTAGTAACTGGGATTACAGGCATGCGCCACCACACCCGGCTAGTTTTGTATTTTTAGTAGAGATGGGGTTTCACCATGTTAGCCAGGCTGGTCCTGAATCCCCTGACGTCAGGTGATCCACCCGCCTCAGCCTCCCAAAGTGCTGGGATTACAAGCGTGAACCACAGCGCTAGACCTTACTGTACTTTTCTGGATGACTGTGACCAAAGCTTTAAGACTGCCATCCCTGAATTATCAAAACGGTAACACACTCAACTATGCCAATTCCCAAATAGGTTTCAAAAGCAGAGGAAAATTCACTTAGAATGATAACTCTAATCCTGCAAACTAACAACAACAACAGTTAAAGGGCTTGGGTTTTAAAAACCACAGTGCTTCATAATCAGTTCTATGTTTTGACAAAATAGTAAGAATTGCGAGTGTGGCTCCAAGCCAGTCTTTTAATAATGTGTTCCAATATTCCTAGCATTTTCTAATAATAGATTTATTCTGTTTTATTATAGAATTGTAATTGCAAATTGCCTCTGTATTTAAAATAGGTTGCATTTCAAAATTTTATTTGATGTCGTTTGTTTGAATTTTCACATAGCTTTTGCCACAGAAATGTGTCAGCTTCTGAAGCCATAAAAATATTTTCTATTAAAATAAATATGGTACTACTAGTTTAAGCTGAATTATTTGTATAGATATTTCAGTACAAGGTCAGGAGATGGAGAAAAAAGCAGAGTGTGTGTGTGTGTGTGTGTGTGTGTGTGTGTGTGTGTGTACATATAAAAGTTTATGAACTTGTTGGGGAAGAAATATATTTTGGAAGTTTGGCCTGTGTACCATTTGTCCTGACATTTACCCAGCTCTGTTTCTGTATCCCTTCTGCATTAGTAGTGCACCTCTCCACATGCTACAGTACTCTCCATATACTATAAACCTTGTTAGTGAAAACCTACCAAGTTTGGGGTTTGCCACAATCTCCTGAAGATTTCTGAGTTCCAGGTTAGGTATTCTTTTCTTCCCTCTTCAGTCCAGTTACACCTTTAGTTTTCTCTGAAGAACTGAGAGTTCAGCCAGGTTTGAAAATTGCTGCTTTTTAAAATCATACCAGTATGTCACCCAGTACTGCTTTGGAAGAATATACTTACATCTCAGAAAAGATCATGTTCAGGTCTTTGAATTTGTTGAGTTGGATGGGAGCAGTGCTAGCTCCTTTGAATGTCCATCTGCTGATTCCTTTCAGTGTCAGTTTTAAATAAAGGGTATTTAAATGGAAATAAGTTATTGTGCCATAAGCATCTTATTGTCATAAATATCTTAGTTATTGTGGGGAAAAAACTGCTAAGATGAAGGTATTTTTTAAGATAATGCAATAGCAATTAATATGTATACATTAAATAAGAAAGTAAGGCCAGTGGGTGTAGCAGAGCCTTCATTCCATTGCACAAATGAAAATTCTTTCTTGATTAGTAGTTATATTTTCTGTTTGTAAAACTTGTCACCGTTTATAAAATCCATGATTAAATTTGTCATTATTATTTGGATTTACTAAAAAAGCCATTTAGTTTCTGATTATACAGAAAGTAATTTGTTAGGGTATTTTGTAAAGATGAAGAGTCCAAATAAAGATGAATAAAAAATAATTTTCTGACATATTGTAGAGAACCAAAAAATTATTTAATAAATGCCTGAATTTTATGACATCTCTTGACGATAGACATGAATCATATTACTTGAAAATGCTTTACTAAAATAATTTATCTTATAAATGAGTTACAGTTTAATTTTCTTTCTTTTTTATTTTAAGGTTTCAGCAGAGCAGCTTTACCATTTGGGCTGGTGAGGCGAGAATTATCCTGTGAAGGTTATTCTATAGATCTGCGATGCCCGGGCAGTGATGTCATCATGATTGAGAGCGCTAACTATGGTCGGACGGATGACAAGATTTGTGATGCTGACCCATTTCAGATGGAGAATACAGACTGCTACCTCCCCGATGCCTTCAAAATTATGACTCAAAGGTAAATATTCATGTGTTAATGTCCCATTTGAGCTATTGTATCCAAATTAGAAAAATTATTACAGTTATTCCAAAGCGAATGGATATAGACCACATCCCAGCCTATTTATTAAACTGAGTTGGGTTTTTACCTACTAATGTTGATATCTACACTTTATATTTTCATCAACATTCAAATATGTAAATCATTCTAATATAGCTTGACATGTATCAGAATATGTAATACGTATCTTTTTGTGTTATATAAACATGAAATAAAAAGCAAGAATAATTGAAATGTAATCTTAGTTTTTAAGGCTTCGAAAATTTGAAATACTTTTTGTAACATCAAGAATGTTGAAGTGCCTGGGTCTTTGGCATTAGTTGCTACTTAACTTTTTTTTTTTAAATTAATAAACTTTGTTTTTTAGAGCAGTTTTAGGTTCTTATTAAAATCAAGTAGAAAGTACAGAGATTTCTCATATGATCCATATCCACACACAGAGTGTTTCTCAACTGAAGATACTTTGCCCCACAGCAGTACATTTGTTAACAGTCCATGAACCCACATTGACACATAATTATCACCCAAAGTCCATAGTTTACAATAGGATTGGCTTTTGGCGTTGTACATTTTATGAGTTTTGACAAATGTATTCACCATTGTAGTATCATACAGAATACCTTCATGTGCCACATAATGACTACTTTTTGGTTAGTGATGAACTGCGTGTACCATGGTGGTTCCATAGATGCTAATGGATCTGAACTGTTGCCTAGTGACCTCTTAGCCATCATCAAGTCGTAGTGTGACGCATTATCTTTTCTATTTTAAATGTGTTTAGATGTACAGACACTTAACATTGTATTATAATTGCCTGTGGAATTCAGTACAATAATATGCTATTCAGGTTGTCGCCTAGGAGCAATAGACTGTACCTTATAGTCTAAGTGTGTAGTAGGCTATACTATCTCAGTTTGTTTAAATACTCTCATTGCTGTTCCTGTAATGATAAAATAGGCTGACAATGCATATCCCAGAAAGTATCCCTTTGTTAATGATGCATAACTAGTTTCACTGCCCTAAAAATCCTCTGTCCTTGGCCTGTTCATCCCTCTTATCCTCCTAACTACTGGTAGCCACAGATATTTTCCAGATTGGCTTATTTCACTTAGTAATATGCTTTTACATTTCCTCCATATCTTTTGTTGGCTTGATAGTTCATTTCTTTTTAGAATGGAATAATATTCATTGTCTGGATAGACACAGTTGATCCATGCACCTACAGAAGGACATATAGGTAGTTTTTAGGTTTTGTCAATTATGGATAGAGCTACTGTAAACATCAGTGTGCAGTTTCTTGTGTGAGTATAAGTTTTCAGTTTATTTGGGCAAATAAAGTACAATTGCTGGATTGTATAGTATGAGTATGTTTAGCTCAAAGTGGCTATACCACTTTCCATTTCTACCAGCAATGAATAGAAGTTCTTATTTCTCCACACTCTTGCCAGCATTCAGTGTTGCCAGTGTTTGAAATCCATTCTATTAAGTGTGTATTGCTGTCTTATTGATGTTGTAATTTGTAATTCCCTAATGACATGAAATGTTTAACATTTTTGATATACTTATTGTATACTTAACTGTCATCTGTACATCTTTTTTTTCTTTCTTTTTTTTTTTTTTAAGACAGAGTCTCACTCTGTTGCCCAGGCTGGAGTACAGCGGCGTGATCTCTGCTCACTGCAGTCTTTGTCTCCTGGGTTCAAGCAATTCTCATGCCTCAACCTCCTGAGTAGCTGGGATTACAGGTGCAAGCCACCAAGCCCGGCTAATTTTTTGTATTTTTAGTAGAGACAGGGTTTTACCATGTTGGCCAGGCTGGTCTCAAACTCCCAACCTCAGGAAATCCACCTGCCTCAGCCTCTCAAAGTGCTAGGATTACAGATGTGAGTTGCCATGCATGGCCTTGTATATCTTTTTTGTATCTGTTTAATCTTAGCCCATTTTTAAAATTGAGGGGTTTTTTTTTAGTATTTAGTTTTAAGAGTTCTTTGTATATTTTGGGATAACAGTCCTTCATCATATATCTCTTTCTCAAATATTTTCTCCCAGTTTTTGGCTTGTTTTTTCATTCCTTCCAGTTAAGAGTTATCATTTATATAGTTAAGACTTAAAACATAGAAACAGGCAAACAGAATTAAATAACAAGTTCAACTTAAGAAAGCATAAAACTAAGTATAGAATTCCTTGTATCCTTCAACGAATTATAGGTAAAATATCTTTTTACCAGATTAAACACTTTCTGGCTTTTCTTCCTAGCAGATTTGGCTTTACTCAGTAGGTTAGAGAAGTCATAGAGAAGGCTGTCAATATGACAGATGTGTTAAGCCAAGATGCAAAGTATGTTTTTGAATATTAAGTGAGAATTTCTGCCATCTTCAAATAGTATACAGATAGTTAAGGTAAACATATTCTGATTAGGTTCTATTCTTTCTAGTTCAAACCATTGCTTGTTTTTTTTTTTACCTTATATGTTGCCCAAGATGGTTATAAGGAAGAGACCAGTTGCCTTTTCTTTAAAATTTAGATGTAAGGAAAATTTTGCCCACGTTCAAATTCAGTATCATTCAAATTCAAGACAGTATAAAATTTGACATAATTGTTTGATTGTTGGAGGTACTGTAGTTTGTATTAAGGTGTTAAAGATGGTTATAAATTGGTGTTTAGCCACTTTGAAAATAGTACAATTGCCAGGTGCAGTGGCTCACGTCTGTAATCCCAGCACTTTGCGAGGCCGAGGCAGGTGGATCACCTGAGTTCAGGAGTTCAAGACCAGCCTGGCCAACATGGTGAAACCCTGTCTCTACTAAAAATATAAAGATTAGCCAGGCGTGGTGGCAGGCACCTGTAATCCCAGCTACTTGGGAGGCTGAGGCAGAAGAATCTGTTGAACCCAAGAGACGGAGGTTGCAGTGGCCAAGATCACGCCACTGAACTCCAACCTGGGCAACGGAGTGAGACTCTGCCTAAAAAACAATAATAATAATAATAATAATAATAATAATACTACAATTGAGAAAGGTAGAGATGAATATAAAGTATACGTATGTCCTAATATGATAGACTACCTCAATTCCTGAGTTGAAAGGTAAACTCATAATTTCTACTTTATTGAATTTGAGCAGTTTTTTTTCTTCACTGAGCCCCAGTTTATTATAGAAAGTAGATAATACATCATTGGTTAATTTTGTGTTTTAAAAATGGTGTGTTTGAGAATGTGTTATAAACTTTAAAGCTATATAAATGATACCTCTTAACTGGACTGTTGCCTTCCCACATATAAGTATAATACAGAAAACTGCTGAGAATGGATATCATTTTTTCTGTATTAGATACGAGACACCTAACTCTTGGCACCTTTTTTTTTTTGTTTTAATTGTGGTACTCCGGGCATCTTTATTAGAATTTTCCTATATGTAAGATAGTATAAATAATTATTGCTTATATAGAATAACTTGTCCTTTTTTAAAAAAAAAACTTAAAAATCCCAAAACCCTAATAGTTTAGCAGATTTTCCCCTTTATATTTCTCAAAAAATGTGATATTCAGTCATGTAGTGATGGGAGACATGTTTATTTCTTTAATGTAGAAAGTTTGTCTTTGAAAAGTTCACATTAAAACATTAGAATTTTTCCATTAAATTTGAAAGCCCCCCTTCCTTTTTTTTTTTACATGTGATGATAGAGATGGGCATAGAAATTTCAGTACCATTAAAATATGTTTTCATTGTATTTTGCTCCTCTTGTGTTTTTCACTCCCTTTCTTCCATGTTATCTCTTCAGCAGTTGAGAATCAAGTAAATAAATACACTTGTAATTCAGGCTGTGGACATGGTAAAAATATTGTATTCACTCTCCATTTTCTATTTCCTGTTCATTTAAAAGTGTGAAACTAAAGGCTCTAGTAGTAACTGATTATAGTATACTGTCTTAAGTATTCTGAGAGGCTCATCCTAAAAAGTGAGAAATGAAATGCTTTCTTAAAATGATATTTGTTTTAATATTTTATAGAACAGTCACCATTTAGTACTCTTTAAAGATAATTGTTGGGGGGGGCAACTTAAAAATATATAAAAGTTATAACACTTTGAATTCATTAACAAACCAAAAAAACAAATCCTACTATTACTTTGAAGTACTTGATTAACAAATTAATGAGAATTTTGCTACCAGTATTGTCTCTTTGCAGCAGTTGGGTACAAACTAGTAGGTGTCTTAAAGTGATACACTGGATTATACCTGAAGATCGTCCTGCCAAATTTTAACTGTTTTTTCACTCTAAAAACCTGCTCATTGTTATCAAGGTAGTTTTGCTGCTTCGGATGATGCTTTATAACATGACCTCAAGTTTTTAGCACTTTGGCCTAGAGATCTAAAAGTAATTATGTAAATATTTACTGGTTTATTTTTCAATATTAAATGTGAGTTTCACATGCATAGTTAGGTCTTTTGCAAAGCAATTCGTAGACATGTGAGTGTACCTTTGTAAATACAAAGAAGTATGAAACGTAATACATACCGTGTGAGGAAGACGGTGAAAATATGTGCTTCAGTTAGTCCCTATTGTAGTAAGGTGTATTTTGTATAAAATAGGCCCCCTGCCTCCCATTTTTTTTTTTTTTTTTTGCGGGGGGATGGATTGAAATTGCCCAGGGAAAGTAAGGTTATGGCCTAGATTTATGGAACTAGCCTGGCTCCTTCAAAGCTTTTAACCAAAAAAATTTTACTTAAGCACAGTTAAAGGTAGCACCTGACTAGAACCTCATAGCCTACTTACATTATGATGTTTCTTTTATTTTTTTTTATTTTTTATTTTTTTTTGAGATAGGGTCTCACTCCCTTGCCCACGCTGGAGTGCAGTGGCATGATCTCTGCTCACTGGAGCCTCTGCCTCCTGGGTTCAAGCAATTCCCCAGCCTCAGCCTCCCAAGTAGCTGGGATTATAGGCGCGCACCACTGTGCCCGGCTAATTTTTGTATTTTCAGTAGAGATGGTGTTTCACCATATTGTCCAGGATGGTCTCGAACTCTTGGCCTCAAGTGATCTGCCCGCCTCAGCCTCCCAAAGTGTTTGTATTACAGGCGGGAGCCACTGCACCCAGCCTATGTTTCTTATTAAGTAAAATTCATTATATTTTTGGTTGTTATACTATCCATTCAAATTCCTTGAAGTTTATTTCAGAACTGGGTGGCATGTAAATAAATAGTGCAGCAAGCCATTGTTTATACAGGTTTGGCACTTAAAGAGTAGTCAACAAAGAATGTAAAGGAGAAACAAATGTAAACATAAAGTTGAATAGTTGCCAGTGAATAAATGATATCACCCACAGAGATTATGTAATTTGAGTACGCAAAACCTGCTAGACAACATCTGCATTTGAGGAGCAGAGGTAAAATTGCCATAAAAAAAAACGGAACAGACGTGGGAGAATTAATGTTTTAGAAGCCAGTAGCAAAGTACAAAAGAGATACTTGAATTTTCTTGATGATGATGAAGATTTTTATTCTATTTTGACAGCTCAAATAAAAGAACATGTTAGGATTTTCGAGATAGGAGAGTTTCAAGATAGAAATCAAGAAATAGCAATTAGCCTTGCCTTGCATAGACCAGCAGGAATTAGGTAGTACTCTGGTCACATGGAGCCAGATGATGAATAAATATAAGACCTGAATTTATAAAGTAGGGATAAACTTCTAGGATTTTTATTCTATGAGAAAGAGAAAAAAATCTAGCTTTAGAACTTTAGGTATAGTTTAATTAACTTAAGCTCTATAAGCAACAAAGCTGATTTCAAAGCTCAGTGTTTTCTGAAAGGTTGGGATAATGGAAGTAAGCTCTAAATGTAGGCACCAGAATAATCTATTCCCTTTCTATACCCCATTCGGTAACTTTTCTGTTCTTGAATTTCCCTTTTCTAAACTTATCAATATCCTAACCTATTATCTCTAAGTATAATAATTACACTTTATTTTACTTTTTAAACTTGAGAGCATATGGAGTGGTGAGAACTTCTTGTGTGCCAGAGGCTTTGAAGGAATGTGTTGTTGTATATGTATGTGCATTACTTTGTTCTGTGGTTCTTTACATTACAGTGGATGCAGAGTGAGACTGGAAAATTGAGTGCATACTTCCACATTCAGTTAGAAGTAAGACTACATGGAAAGGACCATGTATGCCTTAGTCTGGAATAAGCAGAATGATCTTACCCTCTACCATGACACCTCCCATTCTTGCCACGAGGCAAGCCATATAAATAGGGACTCTGTAGGGGATGGGAGAGTTTATAGGCCATGGCTTCTATTTTAAGGGAGTTATTGAGATTGTTAGAGCTACGGAGGAGCTTGAGGCTCATCATATTCTAATTCCCTTTAATTACACTTGGGGAATTGATGTCATTATAATTGGTACACTTAGTTCACATAGCTACATGTATATTCTCACTTTTAAAAAAATCTCCTTGAGAAGGAGTGGCAATTTGATATTCTTTTTACTTCGCAAGCCTTTAGAACAAGGTTGGATTATTTTCCACAGGGGCTGAAACCTCAAATCGCCTGTACCTAGAACCTCATTCATTTAATATCTTACTGGCATGAAAATGTATTCATAAATAACTTTGAAGTTCAGTTTTGCTATCTAGACTTTTAACATGTCTATTATTTTCAAATATACTAATAGATACTAATTTTATATAAAATATTTAAACAAGGGAGATACTTAATGCACACATACACACACACACACACACACACCCCTTTACTATGGGAAGTGGTGAATATTGGAAGCCTCTCAGAATTTAATCAAGAAAATTCATTACAATGCACTCACAGTTCTGCCAGTGTACTCTGGCAGACTTCATGATTATAGATTTCGGCTTGTGTATACTCTCGTTGACGTACAGTCCTCTCAACTTTTTACATTGATCATCCATTCTTCATAAAGAAGCTTTGTATCCAAGTCAGAGCTATATGAAAGATATTTTTATTTAATTAATATTTGTTTTCTGATTTTTCCTATAGGTTACAATAAACTGTAAACTCATCTTTCTAAAATCTTCATATTTCTTCCTCATTAATGGCATTTTTCAAAGGGAAAAATTAGTGCAGTATGTCTTATGGTGTTTCATAATATTTTGGGGTTGGTATATTTTATTCCTGAATTATTATGAATGCTTACTAGTCAGGGTTACTCTTGCTTAGCATATTCATTCAGTATACTTACTCATTCTCTTAGGATCTAAGCCTGCCATGTCTCAGAAACTGCATTCTTACCCTTATGTTATTTATCCCAGGTGCTTTTATCTACTTGACATGTCAGGTTTATCCACCACTTGTCCATTAGGGTAAAATACATACGGGGGAAATGAAATAACTTGGCCGCTCCTAACCCATCATGTCTATGCAATCTACTTAGGTTATTTTCTATTAGTTGATGGATTTCTACTAATTCTCTCACTCGTGGCCTAGTTGTTTCAAGACAACTAACTGGTATTACAAGCACATCTCTGTGGCCAGTCTACTAATATAGATTCTTGAATTTTAGTACAGTAATAAATAACCATTAAAGCTCTTATTGGTATACCTAATTGGACACATACTTTGCATGTCACTTACTGATGGACATTAAAGCAAAGCACTCATAGGAAGGGGAGACTGTTGGCAGTAATAAACATGAAACTTATTAAACATTCACATTTAGTGTGCAAGAAAGACTAATAAATTTTGAAATGGTTTAGAAGATAAATTATCTAAATATCTTTTATGACCCTGCTTATCAAATGTAGAAAAGAGAGAAATAATGTCACATCAAAAATTCTGCCCTATAGGATCCTTGGTTTCTCCTTTTTTTTGACAGGGTCTTACAGCTGGAGTGCAGTCTCTGCTCACTGCAGCCCCAGCTTCCCAGGCTCAAGTGATCCTCCCACCTCAGTCTCCCGAGTAGCTGGTACTACAGGTGCATGCCACCACACCCAGCTAATTTTTGAAAAGTTTTTTTACAGACAGGGTTTCTGCCGTGTTGCCCTGGCTGGTCTCAAAACTCCTGGACCCAAGAGATCCGCCTGCCTCAGCCTCCCAAATGCTAGGATTACAGGTGTGAGCCACCAGGCCTGGCTCTGTTTTTCATTTTAAAATGAAAATCAGTAAAACAGTTCTACTAGATGTTGAAGACTGAGAATACAGGTGTGAATTGGCTCATTTTCACTGGTACTTCTCATTAATTTAGGGGGTTTTTACCTTTTGTATTATGTCCATTGATTGGTTGAGGAAACCAGAGTATTTTCCATAAGGACATTACATTAGTGGTCTTAAGTATTCCCTAAGGCTTATTCAGTGAAATTCAGAAGCTTGAAAGATACTTTAAAAGTTTGAATTTTATTTTATTTTTGAACAGATATAGGCTGGATAAGGGTAAGGGAAATTAGTTTTTGAAAGCAAAGCCATATCTCATTTCAACTTTGGTGATTTTGCTTCAGTTTTTATTTTTAGTTTTGAAACCAAAGCGGAGAGATGAAGAAATAAGATCAAAATCAATAGACGTGAACGTGAACATTTCATTTGACCTCTGCATTTCAATATGATCATAATGATCTTTTTATAGTGCTTTTCATATCCTTAGGGATTATTATGTATTCCACCTTTCTCATTTGAAAGGAGAGTATTATGGATGGGATGACAATGGTATTTCTGTGGTGTCTATATCATCACATACCTTGTAGTTTTTCACTCACCTAGAACATTCCTTCCTGTACACTAAAACATCGGTTTCTATTTACAAAGTATGACATTTAAACAAGTTAATTGACAGAACTGTGTTTGACTGGTATCTCTAAAATGTACTAAACAATCAAGTGTTAAATGTATTTACTTACTGTCTAAGGAAAATTATTGTGGGTAATTAGGTTCATGGTGGCATTTTACTAATACACATTTATCTAAACGACCACGAGATCAGCTTTCATAAGACTATTTTCAGATACCCATTCAAGGACTTTGTTGTTCCTAAGTATGATTTCTTTTCAGTATGGATCTGCTTGTTGATGTCATACTAATAATATAAAAATTTTGCTTACAAGCATCCTTTTTAAAAAGTTATACTTTGAACAGATAAGAATAGATGTTCAGTTACAGTTGTAAAAAATAGAAATGAAATTTTATTGTAAGGTTTCACATCAAGGCAAAGTCAACTATTTTTGCTTGTAATTTGGCATTTTCTTCTGTTTTTTTTCTTTTTTTGACACCAAAATTCATAGACAAATGCTACTGAAATGTAATATAATGCATGTTTTCTACCAGTTAAAAAAAGAACAAGTTGTGAAGTGTAATGTCACTTAAGAATTTGGAATTGTTTTTAGTATGCTGTAAAATTTCCTATGGCATTTTTATTAGGAAAATAATACATGTGTTTATTAAAGCTTTGGAATAATGTCACTGAAATATGCTGTTTATTAATACTTTTAATTTAATATTTAATAAATAATAGCAAACATAATTGGGGCAAAATTGAGACTTTTCCATTCTAATTATTCTTGTACATTTTAAGGAGATATCTAAATAAATAAAATGCCTAGCTGTATTTAATAGAGAAAACATCTTACTAAATTGGTTTACCCCAAATCCATATTTTGTTTTTGTACTAGGTTAGGAACACGATAGCATGATGAGTCAGTATACTGTATTGACTAATTTTATTGAATGAAGAGAAAGAGAGAAAAAAAAAATACATATATATGTCTTTTTTTTTCTTTTTGTGGGGAACATGGTCTCACTATGTTGCCCAGGCAGATCTTGAACTCCTGAGCTCAAGCTATCCTTCTTCTACCTCCTTCAGTGCTGGAATTACAAGCATGAGCAACCACTCCTGGCGAGATAATTTGATATTAAATTATTTAAAGATCTTAAACTGTCATTTATTATGGCCCTATTAATTTTCCATATATCCTATACTGAAATTGCATACCAAAACTATGATAGTAACAGCAGCAACAGCAACAACAAAAAACACCAGTACCTACTTTGTACATTATCTGAGGAGAATAATTGTGGGTAATTAGGCTTCTGATGGCATTTTACTAATACATATTTTTGTGCCTTGCATATTTTAAAGATCCATTCTTTTTTCTTTGCTATGTATTTTCTTTAAGTATATTATAGCAATGTAGTTAGATTTTTTTTAGTGCTGTTTATTACTCCACTATTAGTTTTAGAGGTAATACATCTCTTGTGGATGTTAGAAGGAAAAATCTCATTATGAAAAAAATAGAAGTAAATGATTTTGTAGTCTTTAACACATTTAAATGTTGTATAAATAAATCAGATATATTGTGAAACTAACACGTCACGGTTCTCTCAAAATTTGTTAACATGTCATATGTGAAGACCAAGAAAGACATAGTTTTAGAACTCACCTATCTACATTACTCATGGCTTTAAGAAAGTGTCTGAAATGAGAGTTGCTCTATTTAATTTGGCTTGAGATGATTCCAGTGGTCTTTCTGTTTGTTTTTTCAGACCGCAGATCTGTTATTGTTATTGAACTCACCTGTAATTTGTGGAAATCTTACTCTGTCTCTAAAGATAGATTCATGGTAAACCCATGAAGGTAATGAATCTTAAAACATCACAGCCCTTCACTTGCGTGGGTCTCTTCTAAGGCATTTGAACAAGTTCATGGGGTCAAATACATACAGTAAAAATTGGCAGAAATACAATATTTAAACACAATCTCTAAAGGCTCTGATTTCATTCTCTGACTTTTCTGATATACTTCCCCTCATTTATGGTGGCTTAGGAATAGCCAAGCGCATTTAGAGATGCAGTTAGATGGAAGTTCAGTTGGTGTTAAATTCAATCTAGGTTTAGTGGAGTTATTTTTACGTGGTTTGTAGACACTTGTATACAGTTTTGTTACTGCTAACTATTCTGGTGAAGAAATGGCCTCTAGAAATACTTCTGTTACTCATTATACTTCCTTCCTGATCGTGACATAAATGTGCAAAGCCAGATGTCATATTGCAATTTAAATATGTCCTATGACACCTGAGATATGTGGGTAGTGGAAGAGAGATAATGTTTGTAGTGTATGGAGCCAGAAGCTAGTCTATGGAAAAATCCTTTCATTCATTACATATATATATATAACATTAAGGGACATTTGGTTTTCATAGATAGCTAATCCAAAGAGAAGTTTTCTCTTACATATTCTTGGTGGAGTATGTAGAGTACACAGAGCACATGACAAGGGTAGTACTTAAAATTACCAATGTACCATACTTTCCCCCTCTTGATGAGTAAAATATGAAATAGAATTTATCAGAATGCCAGTGTTTGTAAGGCACAGGCTGGAGCAGTGTAGCAAGCACGAGCTCTTGTGGCAGTGTGGGTGCATGTTTTATGCATCACAACTATCAGTAGTAAAAAACAAATTTGGATCAGCTGTTCACAGGAAAAGCAACATTATAGAAAGTAAACTGAAATTTTTACATGAAGAGACACTCATAGACTATGTCGCTAAAAATATTGAAGTATTAGAAAGGAATATCAGGCAATTAATTAAAATGCTTTAGTTTTCTGGATTTTGTTGGTTGTGGTTCTTGTTGGCTTTTACAAATTTATTTCTTGTGATTTCTTTTTCTAAATAACCATTCACTTTGGTATCTAATTTTCTATATGTAATTTTTCTATTTTGTTTTTTATAGAAGGACCCTTAAATTTTACAAGTTTTAGACCCCACAAAACTTGAATTCACGCCTACCTTTTTTATTTATCAGGTGATAGTTTCAAGAAGTTGGCATAGCATTCCCCTGGACATTCACAGGTTGATATGTACATTTTAGGATATTTCATTGTATCTTTAGATATCTTCTTTGTATTTCAGAGATTTAGGATTTGGGAGAAGAGAGACTGAAAGATTAAAAATTAAACAAATTCATTTTTTAAAGGACATTATTTAAGTTTATAAACTAAAACATTTATTTATTTAGTAAAAGCTTTGAGCTAGAATAACCCATTTTCGCAGTTTATGTTAAATAAATGCTTGGCTTAAAGCCCTCCTATTATAATATGGACAAAACTAAATGGAGGAATAAACAGATTTTAAATAAATTTCACTAATATACTTTGCTTTTATACTCTCCTCCCCCTTCTTCTCCTCCTAATTTTTGGAAGTTTCCCTCACCCTCAACTCCCATTACAGACTTTATATGAAGAAAACTATTATTTAAGTTACTTTTCCTTAGTAATGGTGTTTCTGTTAGATTTATAATAAAAAACATCCTTTAGTAAATGAAAGCTTTTTTTTTTTAAGTTTTACTCTTGGTACTTAGAAAAATCACACAGGAATAGAATGTATGCTGATTTTTTAATGATATTTTATAATTCTGTAATTTTTTTCATACATTTGATTATCTTATGACATCCTAAAGTGTTCTTATCATTAATTAATAGAATTCTATGTAAACTTGAAAGAATGTTTGTAAGTAACTTTTGAAATCAAATTGTGAAATATGTGAATGAGACTGTACCTTTGAAAATGTACAAAAGCAGGTATGTTAGATAGATAAATAGTGGTCATAACAAATATATTATCTAATAAGTTGGTTCAAGGCACTTTTATATATCTTGCCATTTATTTCAACCCTTGATGAGTAGACCTTTATTAAGCTGTGATGATTACTGAATATGAAATGTAACCAAGATTATTTTTTATTCAAATATAATTTAAATATTCATCAAAGAGAAGTTATGCTTGAGACTGACAGAGACTATTAACATCAAAAAATATAATTAACTGCATTGGGTATCATGAAGCAGAGTTAGCCAAATAGCCGAGAGGTCTAATTGCTCTAGAGTTTGAGAAGCAATGGTTTTATTTTATGCTGTAGCTGTGGAATTAATAGTAATGCGGTTTCCTATGTGGGCCAATTAAAAGCTGCCTGTTAAGGTTCACTGCTCTATAGGAAACCCATTGAATATCGCTTAGTAAACAGGATTGACATGTCAATGTGTACAAGAAGATAAAATAGAATAAAAACTGTGAAAATGAGAAGTAGTATTAAAAGAACTGTCCTTGAAAACAACTCATAAAACTCTTTACCATTAGTGTTATGGTTGGTGTTGTAGTGTGCCTCCCACGTTCGCCTTTCAGGATCAGGCACTGTTTCTCCCAGCTGTCAAGAGAGTTGCCTGCTGATGGGCTCACAGCTGAGTCACTCCACAGGAACTGCCACGGGCTGAAGGGATCTTAAACTCTTCTCCCCAGAGGCAGCCCCCAGTGAATCCCAATGAATGCCAGAGTACAAAGGATTGGCTTCTTCATCTTTGCTTCATTTCAGGGACATCTCTGAAGGTCTCTGCCAACTCCAGAGCTCCCGCCCTGAGGAATTTGCTGGGCTTTTGTTGCGACTGCACTGGAGTTCGCCTTCTCACTCTCCCCAACCCTGCATCTGTCATGGCTTCAATGATAGTTCTAAGAGCACTCCCAATAAGCCTCTGAGAGATCTCTGCCTCAAATCTGTGCTTCCCTTGTTATCCAACCAAAGAAAAGTGCTAATACATTATAGGAATCTAGTAATTAAGTATAAAAACTAAAGGTTTTAAAGGAAAAAAAAAACAAAAAAAAAGCCCAATTCAGGTCTAAAAATGGCTTTTTGCACTCAAAACGTTTATCTTTGTCTTGTCATCCTTTTTCTTTAATAAAAGTAATATTTTGACCTTTGTGGCTCTATTAAGCTTTTTAACTGAATACAAAAAGAAAGTGCTTCTGATTGAATCCAAAAGGTTTTGCCTTGCCTTGGCTATAGAGGTTTAGAAGTGGGCAGACATTCTAATGGCATTTTGACATTAATGAGGTTGCTGAAATGGAAAAGTTTAAGGGTCAAAGATAAGAGCAGCGACAAGTTATTCTAGTGTTTCTTTTACTTAATAATGTCATATCAAATATGCTTAAGAAGTTGACCATGATTCCTTATGTAGAATATGTAATGTTTTATGAGTATACTACTTTAAGTATTATAATACTTTTTGCAAATAAAAAAATTCTAAGACTTACTATAAAACATGCCACCTCAGTCTATTAATATGTTTAGTTGCAACTTCTGCAAAACGTGTAAAAAATTTTAAAATTGCTTAATAGATTTTATTGTGTACAATATGATAATGTGTATAGTGTGTCTTTAAACTGCAGTGATAAGGCTGTTTTCCTAGTCATTCATTATTTAATGTGCTTACTCTGTTTATATCTGTGGCATAAGAGTGCACGTTAGCTTTCAGAAGAGCACAACATTTGCTGCTTCACAGCACACGGCCCTCCACTCCCAAGCCTGCACATGGTGTTAGTGATAGTTAAAGCACTTGAGTCTAACATTTTATAGATTTTGATGAACCGAGCCTTTCAGACAAGTTACTGATATGAAGCTAATTCAGGCTAGAAGTATAATATGAGGATAGACACTTTCTGCTTTCATTGTCACTTTTAAAAGCTTCTACAAACTGCTTGTGTAAACTATAAATCAGATACATTTTAGTTTGGTTTATATCATATGGTTATGGAACCATGCTTGGCTTCTGAAAATGATATCTTGTCTTTCATTGATTGATTTGCTGCCAAATGATTAGTGGGTTCTGAGATATAGAAGCAAATGTGCCAAACACTCTAACAGTATTTATTAACAACTGGTAAGAATATATTAGTATATTTGTTAGAGTACAGTCTGATGTTTATGGAGTTAATATATTTTAGAATAAGGTAGAGCGTTATGCAGTGCATATGATTCAGAGACTCTTAAAACAGTGACTAACCCCTCAAAGGCTCTGTAGTCTGGTGAAGAAGAGGAGATAATGTACAGAAATAACTGTGATACCAAATCTCCCTTATAGTGTAACAAACTTTCAAAAGCTGGTGGAGAAGGGAAAGTGGTAAGTTATGGCCTGAGAGGGGAAAAAATACTGTATGCTCGGGATACTGAGGAGGTCTGTTCAGGGAGGTATTCAGCTTCTGTCCCCTTTCTTTCACACTCTGTAACATGGAGCATGTTCGCCAGTTTCTTTTTCCTTTCGGGCATTGTGAGTGAATTCCCTCCTTTCACTTAAGCTAAGGAGGAAAGGATCTTTCAAAGATTGTGTTTATATATATCTCAAAAATTATGAAAATAGTCGTACAGAATATCATATTTAAAAAACTATTTTTAACTCTGTAATGTCAGCATGGAAAATAGCACTAGGATTTGAGTCCTTAATATTAACTCCGAAACAGTAAGGAGTTCAATCTTTTTATAGTAGAGAAGAGTAAGGTACAGTTTGATATTCACTTGTTAATTTTTATCTGTATAGATATTATTCAGATGTGGCATATTTATGGTATTACTATGTTTCCAAAATTACAGGTATTTCTACACTTTAGGATATAACAGCACGTAATGTCTTCTACCACTTTTTTTTAAAACCAGCATCACAGATGAATAAAAAGTTATCTGGCTGGGCTCAGTGGCTCATGCCCATAGTCCCAGAACTTTGGGAGGCGGAGGCGGGAGGAATGCTTGAGGCCAGGAGTTTGAGACCAGCTGGACCAAAATAGTGAGACCCCATCTCTATAATAAATAAAATATAAAATTACATTTCCCCTCCCTGCCTTTCTTCTTTTCCTCCTTCTTCCTATTTACCTGTGATCAATTGATCTATCTATGTATCTGTCTGTCTATCTTTTTAAAGATAATTTCTTGCTTTTGTGACTGAGATGCAGCAAAAGGACACTTCCCTTGATCTGTGCTTTTTAGAAAGAGCTCATTGGGTAATAGGCTGTAGACTGAATATTTACGAGTTGGTGTTCAGTTATCAAGAGAATGCCATCAGCAATGCCTTGTTGCTTTCTTATCAGCTACTTCCTGCTGTCAGCTTGGCACTTATTTCAATAGAAAAGGATTTGCATCAAATGTAATGCCTTATTATATACAGCTAACGTGGGGTTTTTAATTGTACAAACACATGAGACTCCTGCAGTGGTAGTCAATTTGATAAAAGGATTAGATTATGAATGTTTTGTCATGATTAAAGATTAGTTCAGATTTATCAGAAGTAAGCCAGTGAAATTTGTCATATATTTATCAGTCAGGTGAGACTCCATTAATCTGAGAGTGTATGAACCACAAGTAGCCATCTCTTTATAAAAGTCTGCTGAATTTGGTTATTTATATTCAGGTGACAGGTGCTAAGGATTGTTTTTGGCCTTCCCTACTTGCTCTACTGCTCAGAGTATCCCAAGAGTCTATGTCTCTAGCTTTTGGTCACTATTTTTTTTTTAATCTCATCTTATAGAATAGTTTGGTAAACATCTACACAAAATTTCTGTAGTTTTTATTAAAGAAATGACAACTAGTGTATACCTGAAGACATTTTGAATTGTTCCTTTGATTAAAAAACCTTCAGTAAAATACGGAAGATTGAGAATTCCAACTTAGAAGGTATTTAAATTGAGTACTTCTTGCCATAAACAAGACTAGGCATTGAGATAGATTGAAAAGAAGCCTGACATACAACAGAAAGGTGAAACTACAGTCCCAGACACAACTAAAATTACTGTGTGAGGCCTGATACAACAGTACCCACTGCTCTTGGAGTGTTTGGGAAATAATATAAACAAGGACATAAGAAGTTTACCGTGTAATTCTAGACATGGAAAATAATTAGTGAGTTTAGCAGCAACTAAAGTGCAAAATATAGGAGATGCCATAAAGCAGAATGTGATTAACTTCCAAATTAATAATATAGAGCTGCTGCTCTAGGAAAAGACTACTTCCGATTCAGGTAGTCAGGGAATATAATCCTGTTTGGCCAGCATCATTTGTATTGGCTTTCTGTATACCACCTGTGTGGCTGATTCTTCCCGCATATGTGTGTGCCTCCCTCAAGTATATAACAGGGAGATCCTGTTTTTAGGATTGCATGGAGGGCACCACTGGGAGTTGGAAAATAGCAGTTCCTCAGACTAGAAGCATAGTATCCTAAGCTCTGATAATTTTCTACCTCAGGGACTTAACGGTCCTTCAAATGGATCTTCTTATTAAGGAAGAGATAGTTCAAGAACTGTACATAGTCATTTATGTGAGAACTCAGTTCAGAGGTATTTGCTAGTGTGCTAGCTGTTTTAAATTACATAGATATCAAGATTCTCAAAGTCTACATAGAAAAGGTTGCCTCTGTTAGGATGATTTTTGTAGAGACGAGTACTGAGCCATGCTTATGGAGTAGATAATATCGTAGAGAGATGTTTAGGAGAGAGATCTTTCAGATGCAGTGATTCCTCTAGCCTGTGGTGTTAGTAAGTCAATCAGATTCTCTGGGCCTTAGTATATTGCACCTATATTAATGAAGAATTATATTAGATCGGTGATTTTTAAACTGGATTTCTTGGAGAAAACCCTCAGGTTGAGGGGTGATTGAGGTATATGGGAGGAGAGATCAAGTGGATTTTTCAGGGGTTTGGAGCCGAATTTCGCTACTATAATTCCAGACCTGTCTCAACTTCTATTTCTAATCCATTCTATTAAGCAGGATTTTTTTGTTCATTTTTTAAGTAAAATTTTTCATGTCAAAGAGATTGTGTTGCCAGAATCTGATACTGATTTGGTACTACTGTATTTGATGATGATACATAATTTATGCTCATATTTGTTATTAAGCACATACTTGCTAACAACATTTTTAAATTAAGGGAGAAGGATCCTCTGTTAGAACAGAATACTTGTATGAAAATTCCTGAGGGGAGTTGGGATATAATTTGACCATGAGGGTATACTCTCTATAAGTAGATGATAAAGTGAATTCCTTCTATGTGGGAAAGAAGGACATAAGGAAACACAGATCAAATTTGAAATTCAATAGTTAATAGAAAAAGATTCATGGCTTTCTGAATAATTATGTAGCACTTTGTTTTTAGAATAACAGTTTTCACTTTGTTGAACCTTTGGAGAAACATGAACTATGTATTTCCCTTGCCCTCCAACATTAACTTATTAATTCAGTTCATATATTCAGATATTGCTTGCTCATTCTTTTTTATTCCCTTCTACACAAAATATCCTATGAGTTTGTTTATAAATGACATCAAATATTTTACTGCCAAAATATTTTAGAAGTTGCAAGAGGAAGAAAAATTACTTTAAAATTAAAGTAATAATTAGAAATGTTTATTTGACTGAAAATTAAGTTTAGTGAAGAAATACAGTATGTGAACATGAAAGTTGGGAAAGATCCATAATTCGTTTTGTGTAATGAATAGCAGTGTTTTCTTCCCTCTTGATTAAAAAAAAAAAAAAAGTAAGCACTTACAGAACATAGAGTCATTTTAATAAAAAATGGGAAATGTTTCTGAGTCAGTTAAATACTTTGACAAAGATGCGTTTTTTAAAGCCACACTTCCAAAGTCTTGTTATTTTATTTCTATACTTTCAGTTTGATTTGTATAGGAAGTTCTGTCGGCATTTGTTGCCATGCTGTAATCAAAATGAGGTCTGTAAAAGTGGAAATTATATTAGTTATCAATTCAAATAGAAAATCGTTTGTTGTATATTCAGAGATTTATAATACTGACTAAATGACATTTCATCAAACATCTCAGGAGTCAGAAAAAAAATCTTTATGGCATAATTTTCTTCTTTTCAAAATGATATCTAAACCAAGGGCGTAATCTTTAAGGTGAATTTAAAATAGCCGCAACACAAATCTAGTTTACTCAATTCTGCCCTCTAAAACTCCTTTTAGTTGCAGGTTCTTTTGCATTATTTCAAACTCTAATCCTCTGAGCGGGTAATTAACAGACCAGAAAAGCCATTTGTGGAAAAGAAGAGCCATAAGGGTGAAAATATTTCTTCACTGAATGATCTTTAAGAAGTAAATAATTACAAACGGAAAGGATTTGGGATGACCAATCTAAAACTGAGGATAATTAGAAGGAATAGAGTATGAAAATCGAAATGCTTGGCATGTACAACAATTCTCATATCACAACAAGACTAATTAAATATTTAGAAACCAAAATCCCCTCACAATTCGAAGAAAAATAACCCACGACAAAAGGGTCTGTAACTTTGCAGATAATTGGCAAGGGTTATAGGAAGGAAAAACATCACAGATTGGCTCCAAGGCTCTGCAAGGTCATGTCTTATTACGCTGTGTCTTTTATATAGTCTGGTAACAAGTTTCTTGCTAATTTAATCTAACTAGGGCATCCCATAGCGATTTCCCATTTCCCTTGTTAAAAATGTGATAGTTTCTGCAAGTGCAAACTGCAGTAGGTTAACGTTTTTATAAATAATTGCTCTTAAGTGATACAGGTTGTAATATTTTTTGAATTATTAAAAGTGAAGGCTTTGAAAATTTAGACACAGAAGCATTATTTTTTTAAGTATTACAAAATTTTATGGTTTTTATTCCCATTTAAATTTTTTTGTTTCATTAAGTAGTTAGACCTGATGACCCTGTGAATGAAACAGTCTCAGTGGCATGCTTTGTAAATAAATACTTCTTATTTTGCTAATAAAAGCAAGCACATTTATGTTGAATGTGCATTTCTGCAAACAACAGATTTTGTACTGGATTAATAAGGCTCTGAGTGAGTCAAGCCTAATTTGCATTAAACTGACCCCAAGGTCCGGTAAAAACTGCAAGGAATTTCAAAGGTTTCTAAAACATAGAAAGTTGTTTTTAGAAAATCAGCATTGCCATTTCAAAATGCTTATTTTAGTAATTAATGTGGTATTTTTAAGGAAATTTTTGGAGTTTCTAAGTTGTAAATGAACTAAATATTAAAGTATGCATACTTTGTGTTTATAAATTCTGGCATAATATTTTACTCAAATGCAAAGGTTATGGGAAGATGTTATTCTGTTTTCATTGACTGAAAAAAAGCACGACAACCTCCTAGAATTGATTTTCCATAGGATTTTACTGTCAAGCTTTTGTTGACTTGCCACCAGTTACTTGATTTTTACTTGGGGAGTGAGGACTTTCTGTTTCTCTTATACACTATACTCCTTTTCAGTCAAATGGATTTATGTTTACACATTGAAAGTACAGAAAAACATTTTGCATTTTTGCTTATGATTATCATTTTAATAATAAATGCAATTTTAAAATAATTTTTATGCAATTTCAAGGATTTAATCACAGGTGCAATTTTAAAAAATCAGGATTATATTTAAAACTTTAAAAAAGTAGAAAATTGAATGTAATAAAAATTATATTGTTTATTTTTCCCAAATTATGTATCTCTGTGTACCAGTATTCATGCATATTATGCTAGAGATTCTGAAACTAACTTTATTACAGTAATGATTTCAAAATAAATAACACAGTGTTCTATAATGCAAATTGTATAATATCCTAACATACCTATAGGATTAAATTCTATATGATGGTTAGAAATCTAGACTACACAAATTATTAAATAAATAATGAGCAATAGCTATGTGACAAATGGGAACATTGTTACAGAACACCTCTTTTTTGCCACATGAATTACACACCGTTTAGCTTCCTAATGTTATGTTTACCTAGCAATTAGTTAAGCTCACAAATCATCATTAATAAATATTTAAAGAAAGCAAGACCCACTTTCCCTAGCTGTATAGAATAGAAATTTAGATGATAAAATAGCATTTCATTATAAAATAAAAAAAACTTTTTGAAAAGATTTGATTTAACATTCAACTCCATTTTTCTCTTGCATTTGTGAGGATGATTGTAACCTTGTATCTTGAAGCATAATTCTTTGTATTCCCTCTCCATTCACTTGATTATTTTGCCTGAGCAAATCTATTTGCATTGGTGCCTACCTATTTATGTTCTAAAGTTATATGCTGTGTGTATAAAATTTTGTTCTAAATTTGGACTAAAAAAGACAGTGGCTAGAGTACTAAGTCAGTTGGAATTTGCTAGTGTATATGGAGAAGTGATTAGTAGCTAAATACTTATCCCGCCTTCCTTTTAAATAGGTAATCTATTTCATAAGGGTTTGTTATTGGCATTGATGATACAAGACTATATCCAAATTGACAGGGTTCTCTGAGAATCAGGTACGGCTGATTGAGGCATAATTGGATGTCTGGTGTTTATTTTCTATTAACCATGTTTATTTATGAGCAGAAATAGCCAGATAATCATTAATCATTATTTAATTTTTTCAAAAACACCAGATTCTTATGTGCTAGGCATATAATCACCTCCAATAAGAATTTGTAAGTTGGCAGCTTCTTTTTTCTTTTATTATTTTCTCTTAAACTCCCACTTTCTAGTAGTTTCTAAATTTTTAAAACTTGTGTACCTGAACAGAATGTAATTTACTTATTAACATATAATTTATTTTTACTTAGTTATTGAGGCTCAAGAATGCATGTAATTCCTATTCTATTAATTAAAGAACAGATTCATATTGCAATAGTTCGTCTGTAGATATTCTGTTTGTTTAGCATATACAATTCACCTAAGGATGTGGTTTAAGCTCTTCCAGGAAATCCTGTGTATGTTTTGTTTATACTTGGCACTATGAAAAGGAGTGTCATTACATGATACCTTGGTACCTTGGAAGCATTGATTTCACCTCCAAAAAGTGAGCACTTTTAACTGAGACAGACAGAAAGTAACTCAGGAAAAAAAAAAAGTCTTACCATTGCTAGTATTTTGTAATTGAAGTTTAATGAATAAATAGCCACTAAAATATTTAAATTGATGAAGCAATCTTCATCGAAGATGCAGACTCAATAAAGGATTGAACTAATTCTTTAATTAGTAATTGTATAATTTCAAATTTAAGCAAACTTTAATTTTTTAGTTTCTGTCATGATATACTGAGCTTTTCTGTTGAATGCTGGAATATTTGTTCAAGGCGGTAGATTTTGCATTTTTAATCTTCCTTAGAACTGTGGTGAATAATGGCCCCTGGCAGGAGATAATGAAATTTTCTTAATTTATATTTTCAAGAAGAAGCTTCAATTGAAAATGGCATCCTGTGGCCTGGAGACATAGCTCTAGTGCAAGTTTCAGGGGAGCTGCAATAATAATGCAGTGCCATCGGTGACGGGGAACGATGGGACAGTGAAGAAGTAATTTAAGGAAGAAAAGAAAATGCACCAAAGCTTTATTGTAGCATATCTAATGATCTGCTGAAGATTCCCAATGGTTTTTGGAGCATGACTGGAGAAACTAATGTTATCTTGCCAAAACAGAAGCCCCTGCTTAATCAGCAGAACAAGACTATTGATTAAAACACCTCTCACAATAGATTACACATGGAATCTCGTCTCCATACTTTGCACTTGGTAAAGTGTAATAATGAGCATAAGATAATCAAAAGAAGAGTAAAAGCAATTTGTTGGGCATTGTACAATTCAAGATTAGAGTTGGAATGGAAACAAATTTGCATGAATAGTTGAGCCTGTTTTTAAAGCTGTACACAGTAAAGAGTACGCACAGTGCAGGGACTACTGTGGAAGAGTAAAAGATGTTCTGCTTCTTTAAGATTTGCAAATCTGTTCATCTTACATAGGGGACATTGTTATTATTGGTATTTTTGGTGGCGGTGGTGGTAATTTATATTTCTTGATGTTTGTTATCCAGGTATTGTGCAGAGAGTTGCCTGCACTATCCCATTTAACCTTAACAAACTTCTAAAGAAGATACTACGTTTTACAGATGATAATGCTAAGGTTGAAAGGTTTAATACATTGCTTATGGACTCACAATTAAGTAAGCAGCTGACCTGGAACTTACACACCAATTTTTTTCTGATTCTACAGCTTCTGCTTTTAAACACTAATCTTCCCAATTATCAAATGATTTTGCTTTTGAACAGAGATAAACAGTATGCTATATTATTTTTCGATACAATTTATTCTGAGAGTATAAGTAATGTGTGCATTGTGCTCTCTTTCACATAGAGTTTTAAAAGATTAAGGAAAGGGAACATATTAATAGTTTGTTTTCATTAATATTTCATTAGTAATGAGGCACTATGTCTCAAAAATAAAAAGATAATCTTTCTTGAAAATACTGCTGTTAATCTGTGCATGATATTTTTAAGTAATTTCCATATACTAGTATGTAAATTAATGATAATACACTTTTATAAAATGCCTTTTTATGCTTTACACATTTTTTTGAGAACATTTATCTTAATTTCAAAAAATACTGTGGATGCCTTAAAAGTTAATATTGAGACCTGAGAACATTGATTACATCTGGAAGATAAAATATACTGTTTGTAATACTTTCACCTTCTTGCCATTTGCAAATTGGGATGGTTAAGTGATGCATTAGCTATTTCTTAAAATCTTTTTTGAAATATATGTTGTGCACAAGCCTGGGCAATATCACCAACTTTAAATACTTACTCTAATTTTTGTAATCAGCAAATATATTGGTAGGAAGTAAATTAATAAACTATTAATCTTCAAAATTATTTGTTACACTTCAGCTTTTACAGATGCATATTTGGCTTCATTCCAGAATTGAACCATTGAAACCCTCACCCCCACACCTGTAGGGTAGAAAGACTACAGGGATGAGTTTTTAAACCATGAGTAAAATTCAGTGTTTTGGGCCAGACACGGTGGCTCATGCCTGTAATCCCTGCACTTTGGGAGGCCAAGGCGGGTGGATCACCTGAGGTCAGGAGTTTGAAACCAGCCTGCCCAACATGATGAGACCTCGTCTCTACTGGAAAAAAAATAAAAATAAAAAAATAAAAATTAGCCAGGCGGCGTGGCACATTCCTGTAGTCCCAGCTACTCAGGAGGCTGAGGCAGGAGAATTGCTTGACCCCGGGAGGCCAAGGTTGCAGTGAGCCAAGATCGTGCCACTGCACTCTAGCCTGGGCAACAGAGCGAGGCTTTGTCTCAAAAAAACCAAAAAACAAATAAACAAAATTCAGTGTTTTGTCCCATTTAAACTAGTTTATGACCTATAAAGCAAGACTTTTGGATTTTCTTTGTTGTGGTTGATGGATTTTATTAATGTTTTACGAATTTTAATGTCAGAAATAATACTTTTATTCCGGTATTTGAACTTAATATTAAAAGGTTTTATTATTGGGTTTATTTTAGTTATATTTGGAATTCTCAGGTTGAGTGTTGTACTCTATATACTTTAGAATAGTAAGAAAGGTCTTTAAAATTGTAGTCAGAAAGTTGCAACCAGAAATTATATATAGGTGATACTTCGTGCGTTTTTAACCCAGTGATGTGAAATAATGATTAAATCTTTGTCTTTGTATGCCAAATTTGAAAATTTTGGAAATGTGACTAGAAAAATACTAAAAATGATTATATGTTTAGAATTTGGGACTGAGTGCTTATGTAGTTTTATGTTTATTTTCTACTTAGTATTTAATCATGAATTATACCCTGGAAATGGTTTTTGTTCCTTGTTTTTGTTTTTGAGACAGGGTTTCATTATGTTCCCTGGCCTGTGCTTCAGTGGTGCCATCCTCCCACCTCAGTCTCCCCCAAGTAGCTGGAACTACAGGCACATACCACCACACCTGGCTAATTTTTTTAAACTTTTTGTAGAGATGGGGTTTTGCCATGTTACCCAAGCTGGTCTTGAACTCCTGGGCTCAAGAGATCCTCCTCCCTTTGCTTCTGCCTCCCAAAATGCTGGGATTATAAGCGTGAGCAATAGCGCCTGACCCCGAAATTGTTTAGACATTATTCGCAAGGCCTACTTATGCCTCTGAGTTCTCTCTAAAAACAGAAAGAAAGCAATTTCTGTATTTATTGCCTTCCTAGAGTTGAGCCACTTTATTAACATTTATTTGAATAAGTAAGTCAAAGATTGAATATAGGAAAATTGGCAGTGATTACAATGGGTCATATTTTTCTGTTATTTTTAATGACATACTTCTGTAGAACATAGTATATTTTTACATATTCTCAAAAGTTTTATTTCCAATTTTAGTGTTTCGTTAGCACATTTTTAGCAAAACATTATACTTCTTATCTGTTAAAAAATTGGTTCATATGTGATGTATACATGTACTCAGATAATATACTTATTTCAATTCTCCATGTTAAGAATTGATGAATAACTAGACAGCTTGCTCAAAATTAGAGCAACTAAAACTCTTGATTTCTACACTTAGAATTAGCAAGAAGACATATTAACATTGTAAACTGTATTATGTACCTCTTACATAAGTTGTACTCATCACTTGTTTTCTGTTTCACTTGTTTTACTAAGTTTTATAGAGCAAAATCATGTTTTGCCATTCATATTTATTCTTTAGTAAAGTATCTAAACCTATCTCGTTTTAACCCTGTGGCTCTCACACAAGTTGCACTGATCAGAGTCACCTGCAACACTTGTTAAATCTGAGATGGCTGGGTTTCCACTTCCAGAGTTTCTGAACCTGCCAATTTTTGGTGCAGCTTAATAATTTGTATTTCTTTTCTTTCTTTTTTTTTGACGGAGTTTCACTCTTGTTGCCCAGGCTGGAGTGCAATGGTGCAATCTCAGCTCACTGCAACCTCTGCCTCGCAGGTTCAAGCGATTCTCCTGCCTCTGCCTCCCGAGTAGCTGGGATTGCAGGCATGCGCCACCATGCATGCCTGCGTGGCTAATTTTTGTATTTTTAGTAGAGACGGGGTTTCTCCATGTTGGTCAGGCTGGTCTCCAAATCCCGACCTCAGGTGATCCACCCACCTCGGCCTCCCAAAGTGCTGGGATTACAGGTGTGAGCCACCGTGCCTGGCCAATAATTTGTATTTCTAACAAGTTTTCAGCTGATAGTGGTGCTGTTGGTATGAGGACCACATTTTGGAAACTACTGCTTTCACTATCTTAAGTCATCTGTTCATCTTTATAAATATAAAATGAAATAAGACCAGTTATTTGAAAGTTGAAGTGTTCAAAATATATTCTAGTATCTGCTTCTTTATGATGAACCGTAATTGTAGTTCCTTCAAATTGTAGTAAAATGTCTACTCATTAAAACCCTATTTTTTCTCTTTTGCCTTGTTCTCATTCATACCGATTTTTTATGCTTAATGTGTAAGAAAATTGTAGGTTATTAACGTAATAAACCCACATGGTATTACCAAAATATACTGATAGTTTGATTGTTAAAACAATGATACCTTTATTGGTAAAGAAATCTTCTTCTGTAGAGGAAGGGAGAGAAAGTCATGCCAGGAACTGTGCCCAGTACTGAAAATACAAACGACTAAACACTTTTTCTTTCTTGGCTTAACTCTACCTTTTCGCTTTCATTAGTATGAGAACTTGAAGCTGAGCCCTTGGCGGGAATTTACTTTGCTTCTGTGGATAAGTAATTGCTTTCTTTCTGGATCTTTTTAAATGATAGCAATTTACACTTTTATAATCTTATCAACAGCATATTGTTAAGGAATTTTCAGATTTTTCTTAGTATTAATAGCTCACGTTGGGTGTTTCCCAATGTCTTTCTTGTCTCCTCACTCTCTATTTGGAAACTTAATGCTGCTTGCACCCTTTATAAAGGAATATAAATGTCTGTATTTCTATTTCTGTAATTTGGGCCTCTAAAAGCTTAGATTCATTTCCATGAATCAAGATACTGGCATGCAAAGTTCTAATTTTCTTGTACTTTTTACAGTTGGATTTCTCTCCTTTCTGACCCTTAACTGTTTTAGCTCTAAATTTGCCATTTTTCTCAAGATTAATTTCTTGCACTTCTGATATCTCTGTGTATATAAACATATGAAATTTTCAAATTTAAAATGAATATTTTTTATATTTTGGGAGGCCCTGAATTCTAGAATTTTTTATAATTTTATTGCAGGAGCTTCATTAAATCAGTTTTGCTTAAGATTATAGTTGTAGAATTAATACGTTTTGCTGTCTTAAAGTGGATGCTTTGTGTAATGTGATTATTTAAATCAATAAAAATTATGTGGTTGGTATAAGTAATCATAATTGCTTTGACATTAATTTGAACCTGTAATTGGTCAGAGGACTACTGCAAAGTTGTTCAGAAAGAGTAAATATGGACAGTTATTTTTTATTATGGTGTTGGTCCTCTTTCAAACAAAATGTAATGGAAACCAGAATGCTTATATACTTCCTGCAGAACATACCATGACATTGAGAAACATACAGTAAAAGATCTCTAAGCCTGTACTAGTTATATTCATTCATCCAATTACTTCTGGTGGAAAAAATCTGGGCAATTTTCAATGTATTCTTTATTTTTGAAAAATTATATATATATATAAATGGCCAAATCCTTTGAGTTACTTTCTCCTTCACCTTAATAGCAAAGTCTTTCATGTTCATGTTCTTGGTCCATTTCAACTTTGAGTACAATTCCCTCTCTCTCCCACCAGTTGCTAGTTTGTTGATATGAGAGGAGCCTTTTGTGAGAAGGGAAGGTTGATAAACTAAATGAAGAGTTTACTCACACTAGAAATTGTTATTTGGAGGAGTTTTTGTAATCATATTTAAATACCATTCAAAACCTAACAGTTTGGTTGAGTAGTTATAAAATGTATACTGTGGGAGTATCTGAAAGGGATATCTAACACACAGTTGTTTATCTTTCTTCATTTCTGAGAGGTGTAAGGGTGTGATAAAAGGAAGATCACTGTAGGTATGAATAAATACAAAGAAGGAAATGAAAGGACTTTTGTTTTTAATGGGACCAAGTTAGTGATTTGAGGATTTCTGGCAGATCAAGAAACTAAAAAATCAGTGAACTGTCTTGTTGCTGCAAAAGTTTAAAAAAGAAGAAAAATGAAACATCAGAATTATATTTATTAGTTGGGAACATTAGTTATTGACCTATTGAGAAACTGTAAACCTACCTCTTGTCTTGAATTTTAGGATGTGAAATAGGTTCTGTGATTCATGTTAAAATAATTCGTTTACACTAAGTGGTGAACCACTGGTAAATTTCTTCAGATGAGTGAACCAAATTAAGAGAAATACAGAATAATGACAGGAAAACATATGTTACAGAAGATTGTGACACTATACCATTTACATTATTTACGTTCTTGAAAATTACAGTATATGGTATATTTCTAAAAAAACACTGCTATACTCTATTATAATCATGATAAAAGTTACTTATACTTTATTTAGGTCTTGTTTGAAGTTCATTGTAGTATACTTTGAATTATAAAATTTACCTATTTAATCCTGTAGTTTTCAGGCTTTGCTGCTCTTCAAAGAGAAAGTCTAGTTTTGAGTTGAAATGGCACCAAAGTATACGACTGTTCCTACCCATCTTTAACATGATTCACCTTCTACTGCCCTTTAGTTAGTGGTGCTAGAAACTGGGATGCTTTTCAAAATTCTTTATAGTGCTATTTTATACTTCAGTATTTTATGTACTATCGAATATGTGGTATTCCAACTGTTACATAAATGTTATAATGTTCTTGTTCTGCTTGATTTGCCTTCTTAATGTATGTGCTATCAGAAAATACAATAAAAACCCTGAAAACATTCCATTCATTAGGTTATAATCAAATCAAATTATAAAAGAAATAGTTCTTGCCTTTACAAAAGTTATGAAAAGACCTTTTGGACAAATTCATAGAATGTACATATCATTTTATCTGGAATTCTAACCTATTTCTAATATTCTTGGTGAATTACTGACATTGCAAAAACAAGAAAATAATTCCTTATAACAATAATTAGAACATTCTAGGCATCATGTTAGTACAACATTCTTTTTAATGTTATATTTTAGGGAGTACTGGTGTTGAACCGAGGTACATAGTCATCTCATTAATTATATAGGCACATTGATCTATGAATAGAAAGAGTAACAATAATGCTTAGACATTACATATGTGCCAAAGCATTTTTCTAAATCCTTTAAATGCACTTTATCATTTATGTGGACCATAGCATATAAGGTGAGCTCTACTAGCTTAGTTTCTGGTATTCCAGAAAGTATGTACAATGAAGAAATTCACACCCAACTGGATTTAGAGGATAAAATTAAAATCCTGGCTCCTTGTTTTGTGTTGTCAAAAACTTCCTGCTGAGAAATTCAGGTTTTGACTCTTACGTTTCTGTTTAGTTATAGGACCATTTTTAAAAATTGTAATCTTAATTCTTAATATCCTAGTAAGATATATCCAAATATCTTAATATCCTAGTAAGATATTTGTTGTTGATCTTGTTGTCGTTCAGTTCATGTTGAATATATCAAAAATTAAAATGTATAACAATGATAGGAAACTGTTGGCCATTATTTTTTTACTTCTAGTTAAAATTTAGTGTGACCCATGATACCACTGTATTACAACATAAAGAAAACAAAACTCTTATAAAATATTTAATAATGTAGAGTAACTTAACATCACTTGAATTTTTGTTTTATGTTTCTGGTTGCTTAAAGAAAATGAGAAAAACTTCTATGTTATATTTAAGTGAAAATAATCAAATAAATTATGTTACACAAGTTTGATACATTTTGTTTTTCAGGTGCAACAATCGAACACAGTGTATAGTAGTTACTGGGTCAGATGTGTTTCCTGATCCATGTCCTGGAACATACAAATACCTTGAAGTCCAATATGAATGTGTCCCTTACAGTAAGTATGCAGTTTATATTTTTTTACACTTTGCCCAGCATTACTTGTTGATGCTGAAAGACTACACATGTGAAAGAAGCATATGTTTATGGCCTACAAAACCATTATGTATGCAGAGCACTAACAGACTTGGGCCTCCAATTAACTTCATGAAGTGTGGAAGGAAGCCATAGTGTGATGCTGGCCAAGTGTCTGTCTGTGTTCTTAAGTGTTTGGCTTTTAAGGCTAGTGTTTTTCCAGAAAACAAACTTGAATTAGCTATTCAATACGGCTGATAGAAATCTGTACTTTTGCCCAATACCAGTTGCTGACAAATTGGTTTGGCTCACAGTTTTCTAAAGAAGGAATTGACTTCAGTTTTAATCGTGAGCTACTTGAATGGCTACCTGCTGTTGTAGTAAGTTTAGTGCTGGGTAAAAGCTACCATTGCAGTAACTGAGGCAAGTGCTTTACTTTTTGTTCTATTGTCTTTAAGGGAGCATTTCTTTATGGGATTCAGTGATGAAACCTTAATGCTAAATAAAATAGATATAATATAACCTTGCACATGGTTCTGTTTTTAATTTTGCAGCATCATTTTTAAGATCCTACAGATGGATATTTAAAATTCAATTGAAAAGTTTATAGGTAGGCTTCGGCCAGTAGTCAAATTTTGTATAGTTTTCCTTCTAATCTCAGAATTCGTACTTCAAAATTGTATTCTATACTTTCAGTTTTAAAAATCTTAGCATTTTAGACAACTTAAAAGTTTGAATATTACCTGATTTTCACAAGCTAGTTTGATAGTATTGTTGTCTTCTTTGCTTTTTAAATTATAGAAAAGATAGAGATGTCATTTAGTCATGTTAGTTCATGGGCGTTTGAATTATATGTTTTTTATCAGCAATTTTGCTGATTTGAGACAGTTTTTGTACACTTTCCTCCTTTAAAAAAAAAGGATTTGCCAAATAATGAAACTGCTCTTTCCAGAACCTCAAAAGCTAGGTCATTAGTTCTGACAGATTTATATGTTCAAACTATCAATATTTCTAAAACCAAAGGGCCAAATTCTGATAGATCTGCTGTGTCCGATATGGTAGTAATACATTCTGACACATGCTGTGAAGGCACTCTCCATCTTTTCTCTGACACAGTTTTGACAAATTGGCTTTTTGTGTTATCAGTTAAAGGCCAAACACAGATTATCTTTTCATCCCTGCTCTGTGTTCATGTGTTACTGTGAAATGGATGCTTTTTATGTTTTCAGTATTTTCTGTACCATTTGTAGGATTGGAAGCCTACTGAGTACACTGATCTTTATATCATTTCTCCTGTGTAGTGTTGGTGGCTTACGTAATCATTCTCCTGTGCCACTAGAGGAACATTGTATTCTTTTGACCTAACCAAAATTTTGTTCCATAAAGTCACTTTCACTTGAATTTAGCATGGTTTCTGTCTTCAAATTAGAGAAGAAATACAGCATCCATTCCCAAACAGTGGAATCAGTCAGAGCTGCCAAGAATTATCTTTCTGGAGCCAGTTCCTGTAACCTAGTCTATAGACCAAGAACAGTGTTAAGCAAATATTATTTTCAGACTCATAAGCTATTTCTTGTGCTGTTTAAGAAAGGAAAATGTGGATATCTTCTGGAACATCTAACTTGCAAAATTTTACTTTTTCAGTTCCCCAGAAGTATTGTACGTTGTGCACTAAACTTGCAAATAGCTATACTCAGAGAAGTATTTGTTCCTTTTAGTTTTTGTCTTTTAATTTAAAAAAATCAGTAATTAATTTGCTGTTACCTTTCTAGACATTTGCACGAGGCAGAAATAAGTCTATGGGTTTTTTTTAATCACTCTTTGCTAAAGAATAAAAGTAATTATAATTCCTATATACTCTACAGTAGTGACACTCTATAAATTGCACGGTTTCAACTAATATTAAAATACAATGCAAAGAGCCTTCTTAGATTATTCTAATCCTATGTAGGACAGTGTCTTATCTCTTTTTCCCATTTTCCTCACCTTTTGTTTCTTTCTACCTCTGTCCATTGTATTCATTCCTTATACTTTCTTTTAGTTTAAGCCTTTAGCTTTCACTTTCTCCTTGATTTAGTAGTGTTTTTATGTTTTGTAACATTTGCATACCTCTTTTACACGTTACTTAGTTGATAAAATTGTCACCATCAGATAACATTTATTATGTGTTTTTTACCACTTGGCTTTATACCAATTTCTATCCCCAGTAAATCCTCCAGGATCTTATATATTCCAATTAAGTCCTATTATAAAGCAATTTAAGAAGGTTTTCAAGACTTCTGAAAATTTTAAAAGAAATTTGCTCAACAGAGAACATTAGAAATGCTGTTACTTTGTTTACTTTAGTATGTTTATAAACAGGCGCATGCATTATATGTGATGCTTGTACTTTCCCAGTTAATATCCATGTCAAAAGTGTACATATACAGGGTATCCATTGTCATTGCCAGACTGTTAGGAATTGCATATATTTATATTTGAAAGAAGTCATAAAGATCTTGGAGGATAAAGCAGAGTAATCAGATTGGAATTTTGCATCCTGCAAGCAGGATTTGGTTTTGATTTTTGTACCTTATATTTCAAAGTATCATTGTAAAACTACTATAATATTAGCCACAAATTTTATTTAGTATGAAAAATAGCCATTATTGATTAAATCATTATTAATGAATAAACATGTTTATTCAATGAAATAGTGTGTCACTTCACATACAGAGTATGTAGGCTGTGTAGTTAGTTTGGGTTAATTTCTTGTCTTGCATATCCATGTAGTCCTCCACTGATGTTCGTGGGTCATATACTTGTATGTTTGGTCTAAAGAAAAGTAAATGTATTGTTAATTCATACGGCTCTTAAGACAAGTTGTAGTATATATTTGGCATGTGATAGAGAATACTGATTATATTAATTTTATTGTATTTTTGTACTCTTCTACTGATAGAATTTTGGCTGGTTTCACAGATGTCTGTCCTTTTGATTTTCATAAATATAATAACGTAGGGACTTTTTTGTTGTAAAGAGCAATGTTTTCCTTATGTGATTCATTAATCATCAAAGGTTTATAATATTTTAAATCTTTACTTTTGAGTGTTACTTACTTTTCAACAGAATTATAAAATATATACAATATATAATTTATACTTATTTTCCTTCAATATGTGATATCAATTAAATCTCAAGTAAATAAAGACTTTGATATTCTATTCCCTAACTACATTGTAATTTTAGTTTATCAAATAACAAAATTCAGCCATTTTCAATGAATGGAAAGCAAAATACACTTTCTACATCTTCTATTGAACTTGTTTTAAGTTCTTTTTTAAATAAACATTTTAAAATGTATTATTTCCATCCTTTACATTTAATTTATTTCAGTAAAATTATCCTTTCCTTAGGGGAAAAAAGCATACAGCTGTATATAAATTGTAGTTTGAGTAGTCACAACGCTAATGATTTCTCTTATCCTGATTTTCTCACTACGCCCTTCCGTTATTGATTCTAAGCAGGTATAATATTGCTCTTCGCTGAGGAGTAATTTTAGGACTAGTGGTTTATACAAAAGTATTGTTTTCAAGACAGTAATGTTGAATTTCTTGTTTTTCAGATGTAGTCAGAATAACACATTATAGAGCAAGTATGTTTCCTGAAAGTGGTTACATAGACCAAGTTGATTGGGGAAAGTTGTAGCTTAATGTGGAAAGTTGTATGCCATTCCTATGGCAAAAATGTTCGTGTGATGTTTTTTCCCATAAGTGTTTCAGAAGGCCAACATTTAATCTTGATGAATTATTGTAACTTTTAAAAATTAATCAAACTAAGATCTTAATAAAATGTGCACTACTCTGTCTGAGTACATTTTGGAAATGCAGTATTAGCAACCCTGATGCATTTTAACAACAGAAAAGGGAGAAACAGACATCAGTCTTGTCATTTTATGAAATTTAGGCAACATACTTCAAGCCTATATACAATGTAAAGTAGTATTTTATGGTTTGTAAGTATTAGAATACGGTTTACCAACAAGGATCTTACATAGCCCCCTTCCTAACTTCATAATCTGTTTCTTGAAACTGTAGGAGTTGTTTTTTTTTTTTTCCTCATGTAACTCTACTAATCAGGTTTGTTTTATGAAAGCATTTACTTTTTATAAGGTCTGTGGAGTCAAGGTATTTGCTCTGAATGCTCGGTATGATTGTTGTTGCATGCTAGCTTGCTTTCTATGTAAATTGATGATGGTAGAATTGTCATAATAATCTAACCATAATTCTTTCTTCCTTTTTCTCCTTGCCTACTGTGCTTGCTTTTCCCTTGTATGTATTTTGCTTACTTTTTTTATAGACTTAGTATTACAAGTTTGAGATATATAATATAGAAAATTTAATAAGAATTTTATAATAAAATGTATATGTAAACCTAACTAAGTAAATATACTAATTCTTAGTGGGGGAGAAAGGTACTACCTTACCCTACTCTTCAAAATCACTACTGGTGATGGGGGGATATTGATATATTCCTAAAGAGGAGGCTTTTTTAATGGTTAAAATTAATTTATCTAGGAATAGAAAATAATAGAAAAACAATTGAAACATACTGGGATGCATAATTATATATTTCTTCTTAGTAAATATCTATGAAAAACATGTAACCACATCAGAATTAAATTTGATCTAAACTCCAAAATTAAGTTGTGATTTTTATAAATGTATTTTTCTATTGTTATGCTTATCTAAAGTTAGTTTAATAATTGAGTTCACATAAGATAAATGGGGATGATATACCTATGCATGCATTTATGTCTATAGCATACATATAGGAAGTAAAACTTGGTAAGAATGCTGAGTGACTTTGGAAAGGCAAGAGTATGTATACCATGCATTAGTGAAGAGTTTCATTATTTATTCAGGTACACTAAGTGAAGCAACATGCCAACATATTTGTATTGCCTCCTTAATCTCCTAAAATGATTGATCCATGTTCTTTTATGTAACTTTAGAATCTTTCTCCTGCTAGGTTTTCCTGTTGTGTGTTTCTCTTTATCCAAAGTAGTACAGCTCTTAATTCTTCCTATATTTAGCATCTGTTACGAATTCAGTCTTAGACTAATAGTCAATTTATTTTAATCTTTTTTCTTTTTTCCTTGCACCTTTTTTATTTTTCTTCCTGATGCTTAAAATAGAAGTGGAGCAAAAAGGTAAATAACATACAGTCTGAACCCCAGCTCCCTGTTATGTGCCTTATGGATGTTAACCTCCTCCCTCCCCTCTCCCCACAACACTCCTGTATTAAAATAATCAGCAGGATCTCATAAATGCCACCTCATAAGGAAGTCAACTGTTTACAATGAAATTGTATGACTGCTAAACCTGGTGATGGGGTAAAAATTCTGAAGTCGGCGAGGGGGATCTGCCCTTTCTCTGTTTCTTTTTTACCCTTTATCTCTTTTTCTGACACCCTTGGATATTTTCTTATAATTAAAGTGTCATCTTGCCTGGCTTCCAGAACCCTCTCCATAGCATGCCATGGTTACAGGGTCTCCTGATTGTTTCATCACTGCTTTTCTTGCATTTACTTTTCTGTGCTCCTAATTGCATTTTCCAAATACTTATGTTCCTCAAATTGAAGCACCTTTGTTTTCAGTCTAACTTATGTAAAAGTTCTAAATAAGTCTTCACATTCGGTTTTCTGTTTTATTTGCCTTATTTCATGGTTTTGCTTTTAGGGGCTCATAGGTGAAGTAGGGGGTTGAAAGGTATAATGTTTGTAATAAAATGAAATATATACTGTTGTGCAAAAGCTCAAACTTTTAAAACATGGGTTAACAGATTATAAGATGAAAACATAGCAAAAATTTAAATTGTCAGACCACTTATAAATGATCTTAAACTTAGGCTTTTGTTAGTGAAAATAAACATAAACTTCAGTTACTTTGTACCCTGATACACTGATTATGCTAACTTTAGAAAAGAAGGGTAGTATTTGTATGAAGTATACATTTTGGTAAAATTGAATGCTAATAATATGAATTTTTCCCTTTTGATTTGTGATCACTGAAACTTGTTTGCCTGTGTAATTTTTTAACTTGGCTTAATTTTTGTCTTTCTCTGTAACTGTTAGTTTTTGTGTGTCCTGGGACCTTGAAAGCAATTGTGGACTCACCATGTATATATGAAGCTGAACAAAAGGCGGGTGCTTGGTGCAAGGACCCTCTTCAGGCTGCAGATAAAATTTATTTCATGCCCTGGACTCCCTATCGTACCGATACTTTAATAGAATATGCTTCTTTAGAAGATTTCCAAAATAGTCGCCAAACAACAACATATAAACTTCCAAATCGAGTAGATGGTACTGGATTTGTGGTGTATGATGGTGCTGTCTTCTTTAACAAAGAAAGAACGAGGAATATTGTGAAATTTGACTTGAGGACTAGAATTAAGAGTGGCGAGGCCATAATTAACTATGCCAACTACCATGATACCTCACCATACAGATGGGGAGGAAAGACTGATATCGACCTAGCAGTTGATGAAAATGGTTTATGGGTCATTTACGCCACTGAACAGAACAATGGAATGATAGTTATTAGCCAGCTGAATCCATACACTCTTCGATTTGAAGCAACGTGGGAGACTGTATACGACAAACGTGCCGCATCAAATGCTTTTATGATATGCGGAGTCCTCTATGTGGTTAGGTCAGTTTATCAAGACAATGAAAGTGAAACAGGCAAGAACTCAATTGATTACATTTATAATACCCGATTAAACCGAGGAGAATATGTAGATGTTCCCTTCCCCAACCAGTATCAGTATATTGCTGCAGTGGATTACAATCCAAGAGATAACCAACTTTACGTGTGGAACAATAACTTCATTTTACGATATTCTCTGGAGTTTGGTCCACCTGATCCTGCCCAAGGTAAGCGTGTTTACTTGCTAATGCTTATGTCATTTTGTGAAAAGCATTTTTCTTTTTAAAGACTTCTTAATTTTTTTTTCCTATTTTCTTCCCCTTTTCATAGTTAAAGGACAAAGGACAATGTTGTGGTACATTTTAGCCTTATTATGGTTCGTTTTCTTTTTCTCAATTTCTTCATTTTAATGTTGGCTTCAAGAAATTGTGGCATTATTAGTCAGCTTAAACTTTTTTCATTGCTAAAAATATAATACTAACCAGAAACCTGTTAGCAGTGTTTTTTTGTTTGGTTGTTTTCCCCTACTTGACTGCTGAATTGATTACAATCTATGTTCAGACCTTTTAACTTCTTGGCGCCAGTGGTTAAAGGAAACGTGTGTTAGGAAGTCCCAGGAGAATGGCTAGGCTTGATGTACAATGCCAGATATATGCGTTCTAAAGTTTTGGTGTCTGTTCTCTCAGTAGGAGAGGGAGCCATCCAATATTTTTCTAGATTATCATGTAAAATTACATGTTTTTATTTTCTGATAAATTAGTGACAGTTTGAAGTCAATATTTCTGTGACTTTAACGATCACATGAACCAAACTTTAAATGATCCCAAGTGATGACTTGTGATGACAGATATGCAAGCATTGTGTGATTTGTATTCTCTTTATGGAGGATCATTACTTTAGAAAGTAATGCTAAATTTTTGGAAATATACTTTGGTTTATTAAGTGAGTTCAGTTTTGTGGGAAATAATTTTTGATGATAAACGAATACTTCATTAAAACAAGATTATCTCATACTCATGATGAAAGAATAATTTGTTAATGTATTATTATAGAGCTTGCACTGTTTATAAGTCTTCTATTTGAACAGTGTTTGTTTAAGATCTGAATATCCTAATTTACTGAGTTAATCTTGAAATTATTGCATTATTTCAAAATTTTAGGAACTAGAAAGTTCTTTGGAGTGATTAAATTAATATCCTCAATAGGGTGGGGCAGAGACTAATATATTTTTTCTTCTCTTAAAGCAATGCAAGTACACACACTTAAATATGTTCATAACAAACACATACCCATACATATTTTAAGATATGCTGTTAATCAGTTTTAAATATTGTCATACGGTCAGGACCTCAAAAGCAGAAGTCACAGCTCTTTGTCATGGAATTTCTAATTTGAGTCATTGTAGAATACCAAAATACATGAGTTTTGTTCATATAATAACAATAATGATCCACTGACTTAGTGTACATCCCCTTTTTCCCTAAATCAGGTTATGTTTGTATTTTTTGGCTTATAGTTGTAGCAGTAATGTTCATTGTTAAATTTATAACAATGAAATCTTCTTTTAGGGCATATAATTTTATTGATAGTATCTTAGAATCATTTATTTAAAAATGTATACATATGTTTGCTCATGAGGCAGCAGTTTGGTTTGTTTCATCTATTTCAATTGTTTTTCCAAAAGCTGCTACTACAATAGTGCTTCTTTATCCTATAGGTTTGTCAAAAGGCAAACTTAAGGCATTGACAGACTTGTATTGGCATTGGCTAAAATTGTATTGATCCTTATGTTAACCTTTTTGTAGCCTGTATTAGTCTCACAGTTGTTAGATTTGTCTTGGGTAGCAGTAAATTTTTTGTCATCCTCAGAAAAAAAAGAAAGAAAAAAAATGTTTTACAAATTGCAAATTCATAATCAGGCAACAACCTGAAGAATTGTGAATAAAGTTGAGTATAATTCAGTTCAACAAATAAAAACATTACCCATCTACTTGCCACAAAGTACTTCAGCAAATACAAAGATGGTTAGTAATGTCATCCTCCACATGTGTCATATATTCTAGCAAATAATTTGATCCATTTCAGATGAAAAGTCTTTGATAGTTTAGATGCTTTTGGAAAGAGCAGTTAACAGCCTTGAAAATGAGAAGCTTCGGCAGATGTAGCAACTGTATGTTCCTACAACTATGGTTTGTCATCCAAAATAGCCATTCTTTATAAATAGTCCCAGAACATGAAAATTCATATTGACCCCTTATTCAGCCCTTAGTGATGAAAAGTATTATCTGACCTAAATTTCTCTCACTGCTGTTTGACCCATATTCATTCTCTCTCTCTCTCTCTCTCTTTGTAATTTATATTATGCATTTAGAGACTCCCTTCTCTCTGATCCAAGATGTGTGCTACCTATATGCATGTAGGTGGGGTCTTGCAGAACTATTCTGGCCCACAAATTTAGGTCAAACCAATAAGCCACTGTCAGCTTTCCAGAAACAAGATCCAAGAAACTGATAGAACAGAGCAATCAGAGAAATGAGGTCTTTTGCCTGTCATAAAGTAGTGATTGATTTATTTTGCTGAAATTCGTAGTTCAGGTCATCTGTGCTGGATTTGCTATCACATATATGGCCAAGGCATAAATTGTGCTATAAAATTATCCATTCGTTTTTTTTCATTATCTATGTCATTTTTCATTGTGGACTGTTTAATAATATATTAGCCTCAATACTTTTTCCCATTTATAAATCCAAGCCTTTTCATTCCTAAAAGCACACGCATATTATTTTTGTGCCTTAATCTTTTTTTTTTTTTTTTTGGTGAGTTTTGAGCTCTGTGTGATCCCTGCATAGTTCATTTGCTCCACTCCCCTAAACGAGGTCTGTTTTTCCTGTTTCACCTTCTCCCTCTCTGGAATGGCCTTAGGAAAAACACTTTCCAGTCCTGTTTTAACTCTTTTCCATTTCTTAATCTGGATTGCTTTATATTTACTTAATCTGTCTGCACATGTGATATCCCAAATATTATAAAGAAAATGATGTGTTTTTACTTGGCTTTTGGCAGTTCCTCAACATTTGGGTTAGACTAATTAATGATGTGATACACTTCTGTAATACCAGGAAAAAATTTTTATAAAGAGAGCCATTTTGTTTATATATAGCATAGAATTCATACTTCCGGAAATACCTTTTCACTGATAAAGAATGCTGTATAAAAGATGATCAGTGTTTTTAGACAGTGAACAGGGGCAAGTTGAATAGGTGCTCGTTTTTGCTTTACCAAGCTACAGAAACTCTAGAGTTCATTTCGTGAACAGTGGGTGAGGGTGAATTCTTGGACCTCAGTGAGGAGAATATTACCCTTAGCATAAATGTCTGTTGTCTTCAAACCCTTTCATGGAGGAAAACCCTGGTAATCAATAGAAGTTCTTAGTACATAACCAGAGTAAACTGAACCATTCTGTATGTGTTAGTTAAAATCTTCATGGGTACTTATTAAGCATGTTTATTAGCATCATTTCTTAGGTATTTTGTTTCTACTCAAATGATAAATGGTAGGTAGAATCCTAAGTCAGTGCATGAGTGCATGATACGGCATCCGGATAAATAGAGCTCTATAAAAAAGGGTTTGGATTAGAGTCATAATTCTATTGTGAGTTGTGTTTTCTATTATTATTTATAGGATATTCTTGAGTTTTGAACCTTTTGCCATGTTTCATTATGGAACTTCTCATTGTTTGTTATTCTAGTCTTATGCTTTCTTTCCAAATTGTTATTCTTTTAGAGATTTACACAGAACACCATGTCAGTTAAATGTTCCCAGATAACTGCAAGGTTACTTGTTGGATACCGTATTTTTCTAGAGTCTATGAAAATCTGTAACTAGGCAAGTAAGATCATAGCATTTAAGAGTATGGGAAAGTGACCTTAAACAAATTACTTATCTTCATCGTTCAGTTTCCTTATCTGTAAAAGGAAGATAATTATAGTACCTACTTCATGGAGTTGTGGTAAGGATTAAATAAGATGATCTGATTATCCATGAATGGTGATTGGCATAGCACCTAGCACATAAATGCTAAATCAACGTACACTTTTATCATTACCAGATGCCCTATTTGGGCCATTTCCACCTGTGGAAATAAATAATAATTTTTAGAAATATATCTGCATTTCTAGCCTTCACATGAGGAAAAAAAGTTGCTTTTCTTCTGGTATTGCTAAACTTAAACCTTCCAAAATTCCAGAAATTCTATGTGTACCTCTAAAAGATTTAGTTTTGTCACTTAAGCTTTATGATCATGTTTATTTTCATGATATCCCAATATTTCACTGATTTATTTTTGAAGAATAAGTTGATTCCCTTTAATCTATTTTGGTGATCAAAAGGTAAAAAGTGGCTGGGCACAGTCGCTCATGCCTGTAATCCCAGCACTTTGGGATGTCAGGGAGGGCGGATCACGAGGTCAGGAGATCGAGACCATCCTGGCCAATATGGTGAAACCCCGTCTCTGCTAAAAATACAAAAATTAGCAGGGTGTGGTGGTGGGTGCCTGTAGACCCAGCTACTCGGGAAGCTGAAGCAGGAGAATGGCTTGAACGCAGGAGGCGGAGGTTGCAGTGAGCCGAGACCACACCACTGCACTCCAGCCTGGTGACAGAGCAAGACTCCATCTCAAAAAAAAAAACAAAAACAAAAAGGTGAAAAGGTATAAAAATAAATTATCAAAAAAAAAAACAATGGAAACATGGCTGTAGAATGTTGCATGAAATTTTGCACATTTAATTGAGGTCCTTTTAATGTCTACCTTGACTCGGTTATTATGAATCTCAACTAATGCTTAGCTAACAAATCACTAATTGTAGTATTAATACATATTTCAGTGATTAAATATGTGCTAGTTAGTACAGTGTCAAGGGATATATCAGGTAGTGTAGCGCTCAAGCATTTTGCTCTGCCCCCTTCTTTTTTCTGTTCTGATTCCCGACTCCCCTTTAAGACTTGATTCAGCAGCAGTCATTTGACACTTCTGCAAAAGATTGTGATGCTTTTGACAAATGTTAATTGAGAAAGCACTGAAAGCCTGGCTGCATTGTAATCAAAAGAAAATTACAGAGGTTTAACAAGATGTCAAGCAAGTGCTTTAAAGAAAAGATAGACAGGTTTGAATAGGTTTCTGCAGCAGCTGGCTAGGCATGATGTTTGACTGATGTACATAGGCATCTCTCATATGGTCAATAAATTATGCCCTGGAAATAAAACACATGCTTTAGAAGTTTCTCTTGAGGTAGAGGGGGGGAAAGGAATAAAACGTGTATAGTGTACTTACTGGTAACAAGAAGTATGTAACTACTAAAGAACTAGAAACATGTCACACTACTTTTTCGTAGTTTACTGTCAGTAGTGTCAGAATTAATAAAGAAAGATTGATGGACCAGAGAGCTTAAAATAGTAAACATATCAGTGATAATATGAACTTGTTTTCTAATAAATTCTAATATTCTAGCTTATTATCTCATGTGTAGATAAAGTGTAAAATAAGTTGATTTTATTAAGATGATTTGAAAACATAGCTATTTTTCATTTGCTCTACTACAACAATTTAAATTGAAGGCATCATATATGTAAGGTTTTAAGAGCCAATAATCTGTAAATGTTGATACAACTTTCGTGTGATTTCCTCCAACAGTTTTTAAGTGGTAGTATTAAATTTTTACTGACAGATTTTTGTTGTTGTTTAAATTAATTCAGTGGTAATTAATGGAAGAAACATTGAGCTCCACTATTTCTTAAACCTAGTGGATTTAACAGTTTAGTAACATTGGAAGGCAAAAATAACCTTTGAAAATAATGAAAACATTTTTGCTTTTAAATGTGTAACGATAGTTCTTTTAAATTCTCTGTTAAGGGTGACTAAGATATGAAGGGTTGGTTTGAATTAGGCATGATTTGATCTGATGCTTTATCTTGGTAAGAGATTCCACCTCTGACTGGAACTAGCTGCTTCTTCATACCTACCTTTTTCAAGGTAACGATGCCGAAGCCTGAGATGTTTCCTTAATAAAACAGCGCAAGCATGCCAAGCTTATCTTCTGTTTGGATCTAATCAGGCATGCTGATCATGCTCAGGCAAGAACGGCTGCTGGGTGGAAAGATGTCACAGTATTTATTTTCTTGCAATATGTAAAGTGGGTGACTTTAAATTTTTTTATCATCCTAATTACATATAATCATCACAGTTTTGTTAATGCTTTGAATTTGATTGCTTATAGAATGTGAGTTTATACAATAGAATTTTTCTAAATTAAACTGTCCCACATTTCCTGTTAAACAGTATGTGATGAAATTATACTTAAACTGTACTATCACATATTTCATTGAGAAATAAACTTAAGAGTCATACAGCAAACACTATAGTAAAGCCTAAACTACCTACTTTCTCTTAGCCATCAGTATAAATAAATTGGAACAGATGAAAAGATGTATTCTTACGAGCGATATTGTCAGTAATTCTCATTTCCTTGGTTTGTGGGCAGACAGATGGGTAGGGTTTTGTGTGTGTGTGTGCATGCACACATTCCATGTGTGCATGACTGTATGTGAGTGCAAGTGTGTGTTTGAGATTAATATACTCATCTTTTTTCCATAGTGCCTACCACAGCTGTGACAATAACTTCTTCAGCTGAGCTGTTCAAAACCATAATATCAACCACAAGCACTACTTCACAGAAAGGCCCCATGAGCACAACTGTAGCTGGATCACAGGAAGGAAGCAAAGGGACAAAACCACCTCCAGCAGTTTCTACAACCAAAATTCCACCTATAACAAATATTTTTCCCCTGCCAGAGAGATTCTGTGAAGCATTAGACTCCAAGGGGATAAAGTGGCCTCAGACACAAAGGGGAATGATGGTTGAACGACCATGCCCTAAGGGAACAAGAGGTATTTTCTATAAACTACCATGCATACATTTTTCAATTTAGTAAGTAGGTTCTGTATTACAGTGAAGTGATTTTATTCAAAGAAAGCGATGTTTACAGTAGCTAACTTTATTTTTGTACTTTGGTAATATAACATCTATGGACAAAGTTTTTTAAACTGTAAAAGTCATTTAAGATCAGGCACTATAAATTACCTCTCCCTTTCAGAGACCTAGGTCAAGCCTGAGATTTTTGCCCCAAGACTCTAGTGAGTCTTCCTTACAGCTGCCTTTCTCATTATAAGCATCACTTTGGATGAATCCCAAGAAAATTAAGGGTTTTTGTTTGTTTGCTATAAATATATGATATTTCTATGCTGACTTCATATTTACCATTTATAATCTGCATTATACCCTACTTTTTGTCACTTATTGTCAAATACTTGCATTAGAGTTTATTCAAAATTTAACACGCAGAGCAGGATCATCATAGCTGATTCCCGAATGCATGCAGAAAAATGGTTTCAATTTCACTGTTGTTTTCTACATCTGTTGTAGGAACTGCCTCATATCTCTGCATGATTTCCACTGGAACATGGAACCCTAAGGGCCCCGATCTTAGCAACTGTACCTCACACTGGGTGAATCAGCTGGCTCAGAAGGTTGGTTGGAACCTTTTAATATGACACATTGGTGATTTAGGGCATTAACTTCTAACATAAATAATTTAGCTTTGTGTGTTAAAACCAGCTTTATTGCTCTTTGTTCAGTATAAAAGTAAAAAAAAATTACGCATAGTTTTGTCTGTAAACTGTTTATTGAAAGTTACATATGTTTGGGGGTATCCTGTTCTCTATGTTAAGCTTTTTAGTGAGTAATGCTTGTTAATTTCATTCATATTTAGTTCTGTTTCTTTTGATGTTCATAAGACAAAATGCATTCGCCGATTAAATAAAATATCATTAAGTTTACAACTGAATCCACAGAATGCAAGCAGATGTTTATATCACACATGATTATGGTAGAATGAGTAAACTACTTTAAAAGGCATTAGTAACTTTAATATTGCAGTGTAATGCAATGCCATTTTTTCTCCTCCTTCATCTACCTTTATGACGAATAAACATCAGATAATAACCCTCAGTATCATGCTGATTACATACTGACTTAAATTCTGGATCATTGGAATAAATAAGACTTTAAAATAACAATTTTAAATGGTAGCAGTGAAATGAGAGAACTGGCTGAAATTTTTGAGAAAGGATTTTTTTTCCTTTTTATTTCTTTTAAATGCCTGGTTCAGAATTGTGTGTGTGTGTGTGTTGATAATCTAAGAGCCTTGAAACTTCTAAGACGAAGGGAAAGTCATCAGTCTCAATTAGTTGGAGAATTTAACATTCGCAAATTTTTTTCACCACAATAAAGATACTCAAGGAGAACTAGAAGCTGTAAACAGAAAAAAAAATTTAAATGAGATAATACAAATTGTTTTTTCAGATCAGAAGCGGAGAAAATGCTGCTAGTCTTGCCAATGAACTGGCTAAACATACCAAAGGGCCAGTGTTTGCTGGGGATGTAAGTTCTTCAGTGAGATTGATGGAGCAGTTGGTGGACATCCTTGATGCACAGCTGCAGGAACTGAAACCTAGTGAAAAAGATTCAGCTGGACGGAGTTATAACAAGGTAGAGAGAACTCTTCTGTTATTTTGAATTAGACACTTGGTATGGCAGCTCTTTCTTGTCTTATAGCAGTTGAGAGCCAAATCTTTGGCCCCGGGACATATACTTAGAAGCAAAATTTCTAATTTGGTTCATTTTTCCAAGGAAGAATTACAGTTGAGAAAAGAGCAATGTGCCCTGCCCTCCCAAAAGAGTGTAAATGATGTTAATTACCTGAGAGAGATCTTAGTTGGTGGCAAACTTTATCTATCTGATTGTGGTCAATACTGTAAGTTTATAATGCATTATCTGCACTTGGAGAGATTATATGTTATACAGTTGATATACTTTATATGCTAATACATGGAACTCTTATAGTTGCAGCAAAATTTTGACACATATAGGAATATTAGCCACTGACATATTTCTTTCAATGGCAGCTTTTGGAAGAAGGACAAGTTGCCGTCTCCAGGAATATATTGTTATCAGTGCCATTAATTTTTCCTATTATGACAAAAGTTGGATTGCTACTTTTCATCACACTATAAGTGTTTATATTAGGTTCATAGGAACCCAAAATCTGTGCCTAATGTGGTTCTACCTGGTTAAAAAATTGACTTTTTTTTTTACTGCAGTATATATTTTGTCTCTTTTTGTCAACATATTTTAGATTAGTATACTTCATAAAATAGAATAAAAAACTGTAAATAAGCAGTTTTGGTAGTCAGTGCAGACTCAGACTCCAGAGGACTACTGCATATAAACTTCGAGCTCTGGAACACCAGCTTAATTTTTGAGGATTTCTTCTTTCCTCATTTTCAGCAGATAAAAATCTAACCTCTGATTTTTCTTTTCTTTTACTTAAAAGCTCCAAAAACGAGAGAAGACATGCAGGGCTTACCTTAAGGTATCTCTCCTGTGCTGTCACCCTGCTTTCTCCCTTCTTCAGCTACCTGCCACGCTTTATCATCTTGCTGCATGATCCAATGTATTTCAGTCTTTGATAATTATATAATGTGCCCCATATCAGCTGTACAAATGTTGGCTTTTCACAGGTATATTACTCTCAGAATAAGCAAATAATTTACTTTTAATGATTTCTGCTGTTTTTCCATTCATCCAAAAGTACACGAATTTTAATGAAATATCCTCTTAATTGGAAAGTAATTATGTAGTCTCTTTGTTTCCTGTTGTCATCTCTGTGGATTAAAAAACAACTTGAGTAAAACAGCTATGATATATTCTCGGCAGTTTATCATATCAAAGACTGTATAGTCATAATATATGTGCATGAAAAAGTCACTGCTTTCTTATCTTTGTGGTATACTCTTAAATAAAATAGGCTTTATTCTGAAATTTTTAGGAGTCATTTCTAGAATCAGGTTGATATGGGGATGGGTTACTAAAAATGAAATATGAATATAATTTGACTGTGATATCTGTATATGTTACATACTGTTTTTTATCAAGCTAATAGGAACAGAAAGCCACTGTTGAGCTCAGAATCCCTGTCCACTCCAGCCGGGTTTTCTCCCTGGTATATCCAAGTAATAGGAAACATGCTGAGGCTGCCATAGTGGTTCTGTGTGATAGATCAAAATAATAATACCAAATTGCATTTTGTTTTGTTCTCTGAATTTTAGGAGTTCCTTTTGGGGAGATATTACTTTCTAACCTTACTTTTCAGGGGACCATAACCATGGTAAATCAAACCTTGAAGAACGAATCCATATATTGTGACAAGAAAACAAAAGAACTTTTGTAGTTTCTTAGACTAGAGAGTATTAAAAAGGCATGACTTCACTAATTTTGGTTGGCAAGGTCTAGGAAAAAATGACGTCTCACTAGTTAGTATTGGACATTGTTGAACTTGAGAACTTTACAAGAAAAGGTAGTAGGAAAGTCTGTTTTTAGGTAATAATGGTCTGAAAGTCCCCTTTTAGCCTGTTTAATAGGGGCAGAGAAATAACTGCTGAAATCTATAGAATTTTTTTAAACTTCAATGTTCAGTTCACCTTTAAGGTATTAGTTAATGTATGAAATGTAATAATTGGTATGTTGCCCAGGACATACATCGCAGTTGGAAAAGAATAGCTTTTTTTTTTTCCTTTGGCAGAAAGAGACTACTTCAGGAATATGACTAGGCTAATGATCATTTTGATCCCACTAGACGAGTACAAATAGTAATAAATAAGGAGTGTTTCAAATTAATAAAAGCATGCCATTAGCAAGTTATGTGTATATGGAGTAAATTTCAGCATGACCTTAATTTCTGACCAGTGTCATTTTCAGTATGTCTCAAATGAGCTTCTCTGTTCAGATAAGACTAATAAAACTCTTTAAATTACAAATCAGAAGCTGACTTACACTATGCAAATGAAGCAAGTTCCCACTTTGTGACAGAGGATTCATTTGTAACTTAGATTAGAGAGAGGCTCCAGTCTGTATTTCTTGGTGACTAATGAATCTGGCCTCTGCAGACCAATTTCTGTTCCACTCTAGTTAATGGCTGCCGCAGTATCAGTGTGAGCATTTCGACTATTCTGTCTCCCATTAGAGGGAGAAAAAAAGCCTTTAACGCCACTTGGAAGTATCTTCCACCTGCCAGGAAGGTCGTGGTGTCTCACACGGCAGACAGAACGAGGATATTAAGATGGATTAAGCTAATTAATCTTACTCTGACAGTAGCTTCAAACAACTTTCCCCCCTGTTCATATAGTACCTCACGCTAGCAATTTTTATTGTTGTTCTTTTTGTACAGTGTGTGTTCTTTCTCTTCAGTAATTACCAATAGATCAGAACTATGTGTTTATGGGCATAATGACACATTATGACTGGGTGAATGGAATAGAGTAAATAAACTTAGTGATTTCACCTTTCCAAAGCATAGTCAGTGCGTAGCTACAGAGTGTAGGAGTATAAGATCCTGCCTTCAGTTGATTAACTGAGTTATATTTTATTTAATGTTATTTTGTGTAGCAATAAATTAAGCCTACATATGTGCATATTTACAACTTGGGTGTTTATGAAGACTTGATTCTACTTTCCTGTTTTCTCTAACTTATCAGTAGAGGCTTTAATTTTTATTCCTTTCTTTATCCCTTTAAAAGCAGATCATTGTTGATGAATTAAAGTATATGCTCAAGTGTTTTTTAGCTGGACAGAGAATTGGAAGAGTGAAAATGTTCACAGATAAATTATGAACTTTAATGCCACCTTGTTTTTTTTTTATTTCAAATGATTATAAGTAGACAGTGTCTATAAGGAATAATTTTGGTTACTATTTTAGTTGAGATTTCAAAAAATAATATAGTTTAATTTTCAAGCATACATATTAATCTATTCCAAAGACATCAGTATTTTTGGTTTAGAATATTCAAGTTTTGAGATCATAAATAGGATGACTTTAGTAGTTTTGACTCTACCTGTAAGAGTAATGTCTCAGATTAAGAGCTGACACAGGTGGTTGTCAACTATCAACAATTGAGGTGTGATTAAATAAATAGAAACAATCCACCTTCTACACTTACTGTTTGTAATCAAATAGCAGTCTGTTAATCTTCAGTCAGTCCTGTTTTAAAATGGTCCAGTTATATTTTAAAATGGACCAGATATATGTTGTCTAGGTGTTCTTCCATCTTGAAGTAAGAGTAAATCATCATGACAGATAAATATTACAATTGTCACTCATCAGCTACTGAAAATCACTTTGGTTCTAAAAGCGGTCAAAACTAATGATAGTTTTCTAATGGATACAGGCAATTGTTGACACAGTGGACAACCTTCTGAGACCCGAAGCTTTGGAATCATGGAAACATATGAATTCTTCTGAACAAGCACATACTGCAACAATGTTACTCGATACATTGGAAGAAGGAGCTTTTGTCCTAGCTGACAATCTTTTAGAACCAACAAGGGTCTCAATGCCCACAGAAAATATTGGTAAGTGAATCTACTGTCAAGTTTAATTTTGATTTAGGATATTCATATGTAAGAGGATGATGTTTCCATTCTGTATCTGTTATTTCCCAGTGCTGTACTTCTTTTTTTGTCAAATTATTTTTGTCTGTTACCAAGAGAAATTATTGACCACACTTACTAAAATTCATGCAAAAGCCAAACTCTATCCTGTGTTTTACAAGTTGGTTTTATGTGTGTGTGTTTTTCCAGTTGAAAAATCATTAACAAAAAAGTGTAAGAGTGCCTAAATACCAGAATGTAGATTTTTTAAGTAATGAAAGTACTTGCTATGAAACTGTGGCAAATGCTTAATCGTTTTATATAATATGTTCCTAATGAATTTAAATTATTTTATGGAATGCATTCTCAGTCAGATATTTTAGCACACAGAACTTGAGTCAGATGTTTGTATTAAACATAACTGCCTTCAGGTGAAAATGTGGTCAGTGAATTACATCTCCCACAATGCAGAACATCCGTGCTTCATAGATTGCAGAATAGCTACAGATAGTGTTGAAGCATAATTTAGAATTCAAATGCTACCACTGAGAGGTAGGAATTCACTTGTGAAAAATATTTGAAAGAAATACAGTAAAATTTTATTAATTTAGGTTTGAACAATTTAGAATTGTTAATTATTCAGTGAGGTTGAATTCAGATGAAGTTAACAGTATACCTTAGTTAGTGAAGTAAAAAGCTTCCCAAGCATACATGTAGAAGAACTCAAAAGGGACACAGACTACTCTTCCACCAGAAGCAGTGCTAACTTCATTAGGGCAGCAGATACTGAATGAAGACTTACTATCTGGAATGCCATATCTTAATGCCTAATTATGCCTTATTGTGCCTGCGTAAGTCATGAGACTTTATATAAAAAATGCAGATCAAAGGGGTATATGGAAGAAATGGACATAAATCAAATTAGCACCTATATTTGAATTCATAATCTTAAATTTATTTTATATAAGTGAATTTTTAAAAAGAAATGAAATATTTTAAAAATAATTTGTTTTTATTTACTTTGAGGTTTGGGAATGAAAAATCAGTAATTACCGAAGTGGCATATTATGACCTCAATTTGTTTTCTAAATATTCTGAAAATTATTAAAAAAAAAAAACCACTAAAATTCCCTTCTTATGCCTCTTCAATTGTGCAAGAAAATTTCATGGGCTGGGTTCACATCTATGCTCCCATCAGCCTTACATATATAGAACACACTGTAATTATAGATCCAAGATATTTTTATCCCAGTTTGAGATATATTCTGAACAATTAAATGTCCAGGAATACATTTTTTCTAGTACCTATGTTTTTCAGAGTTCTAAAGGATTATTTTTCGCTGGGCACAGTGGCTCATGCCTATAATCCCAGCACTTTGGGAGGCCGAGGCAGGCACATTGCTTGAGCTCTGGAGTTCGAGGCCAGCCTGGGCAACATGGTGAAACCCAATCTTTACAAAAAATACGCCAAGAAAAAAAAATAGCTGGACATGGTGGCGCATGCCTGTAGTCCCAGCTACTGGGGAGGCTGAGGCGGGAGGATCACCTGAGCCCAGGGAGGGAGAGGTTGCAGTGAGCTGAGATCATGCCACTGCACTCCACCCTGGATGATAGAGTGAGACCCCATCTCAAAAAAATAAATAAAATTTAATTAAATGAAACTAAAGGATTATTTTTAATGTTGATCTTTTTTCATTTTTAATTAAAAAACACTATGGAGAGACTGGCATCTCTAAAATAATGCTTGGTATTTACTAGTCTAAATGCTGATTACCCAAGAATTATCAATATGAAAGTCATTTTACGGCCGGGCATGGTGGCTCATGCCTGCAATCACAGCACTTTGGGAGGCCGAGGCAGGCGGATGAGGTCAGGAGTTCAGGACTATCCTGGCCAACATGGTGAAAACTCGTCTCTACTAAAAAATACAAAAAAAAATGGGAGGCCGAGGTGGATGGATCACCTGAGGTCAGGAGTTCCCAGCCTGCCCAACATAGCCAAACCCAGTCTCTACTAAATGTACAAAAAATTAGCCAGGCGTGGTGGGGGGTGCCTGTAATCCCAGCTACTCAAGAGGCTGAGGCAGGAGAATCCCTCGAACCTGGGAGGCAGAGCTTGCAGTGAGCCGTGATCACGCCATTGCACTCCAGCCTGGGCGACAAGAGCAAGACTTTGTCTCAAAAAAAAAAGGTCATTTTACATATTGTAATAATAGTTGTGTCTTTTTTATTTCCAAGGTATAAACAATTTTGGGGGTGGGGGGAAGGGCCCTGATTTACTGTGAGGGAAACGTTCACCTTTTTCCTAGGACTTGTCTTGTTCTCTTTTCAGACATGAGGACTAAAATAGCCTATTATTTCTCTATGTTCCCACTCCCTTGAGGACATGGCTATAATGTCTTAGGTTATTAAAACAATTTGATTTTCCTCCTTAGTGATTTCTTCTTAAATTCTTGGTTTAACTTCATAGCATGATTTACCCTTAATAATACATGACTCCATAAAATGATATAATTTTATCTATTATAATTATATCTAATTGTGACATTTAAAAACTTGGAGGTATAATTTAAAATATGCAATAAGAGCACCTGTTTTAAGTGTATAGTTTGATGGAGTATGGCAGTTGTACACTCTTATGATCATCAGCATGGTGATATTTCTGTGTCCTCAGATGGGCCCTTCATGCTCCTTTGCAGTCATTCTCCTCTGACCCTAGCCCTAAAAACATCAGAAACCACTGATGTGCTTTTCGTCCATGTAGATTAGTTTTGCTTTTTCTAGATCTTCAGTTGAATGGAATCATATAGTATGTAGTACTCCTTTTGATCTTGCTGCTTTTATGCAGAGGAATATTTTTTGAAATTTATCCATATACATGGGAGTGTCCATAATTTAATCCTTTTTATTGCTGAGTATTATCCATTGTGAAGACATACCACAATTTGTATATCTACTCACTTAGACATATTGAATTTTTTTCCACTTTTTGGCTGCCATTTTTGGCTGCCATTTTTCCAAGTGGTTGTACCATATTAAACTTGAACTGTAGCATATGAGAGTTCCAGTTGCTCCACATCCTCACCAATATTTAGGATTGGCAGTCATTTTATTTTTAGTGGTTCTTGGAGGCATCTCATTGTGGATTTATCTTGCATTTCTGTGATTGCTAAGTAACATTTTGCTGATAACCTCCTTTCATGTGTTTATTGTCCATTCAAATATACTTTTATGAAGTGTTTGTTCATATCTTTTGCCTATTTTTAATTGGGTTGTTTGTCTCATTAAATGAATTCTAAAGATTCTTTTTATATTATTGTTGTAAGTCTTTTTGTCAGAAATATGCATTCTGAGTATTTTTCCTCCAGTATGTGACTTTATTTTCTTTATATCTTGGGAAGAGCAGAAGTTTTTAATTTTGATTTTAAAAATTCACCTTACTGAGCTTTAGCAGCATCTGGCTAATCCTGTTCCACTTAACTCCTCTCACTCTTGTAATATTTTAAAGCAAATTGTAAAATCCTATCATGATTACTGTAAGAAACTTTATATGGATATATCCCATACTCTTTAAAAAACCACAATACCATTATCACACTTTAAAAAAATAACAAAACGTTTCAAAAGATAACAAAGTGTGTTCACATTTTCATAAATTTATTAATACTTTGTTGAAACCAGGATACAAGTCCAAGTAATAAATCTGATAGATATGTCAGTTGAGTTTTGTTTTTTTTTTTGAGATGGAGTTCCACTCTTGTTGCCCAGGCTGGAGTGCAATGGCGCGATCTTGGCTCATTGCAGCCTCCGCCTCCTGGGTTCAAGTGATTCTCCTGCTTCAGCCTCCCGAGTAACTGGGATTACATGTGCTCACCACCATGCCTGGCTAATTTTGTATTTTTAGTTAAGACGGGATTTCACCATGTTGGTCAGGCTGGTCTCACACTCCTGACCTAAGGTGATCCACCCACCTTGGCCTCCCAAAGCGCTGGGATTACAGGCATGAACCACCATTCCTGGCCAAGTATTTTTTCATTAAAAGTTATTTCTCTTTGCATACTAAAAAAAATATTTTTTAAACATTTTTTGTTTTTCTTGAGGAAGTCAGGTGGGTAATTTGTCTTGTAGACTTTGTTACATTCTTGGTTTGGCTTATTTCATCCACAGTGCATCATTTAACTCTGCCTGGTATGCTGATGGTTAGATTTAGAGGCATGATCATGCTAGGTTTAACTTTCTGTTTCTTTAATTTAACAAGAACTTTCTGTTGCATCTTATCAACAAGCACATAATCTTTGGTTTTATTTCCTTGTGATTTTCAGATCGGTTCCATGGTTTAGATGTTATCAGCCTGATCCATCCATTGTAAAATTCCCTTTTATTTATTGTCTTTTTTTTTTCTTTTTTCTTTTTTTGAGCCAGAATCTTCCTCTGTTGCCCAGGCTGGAGTGCAGTGGCATGATCTCGGCTCACTGCAACCTTCGCTTCCTGGGTTCAAGTGATTCTCCTACCTCGGCCTCCCGAGTAGCTGGGATTATAGGTGCCTGCCATGATGCCCTGCTAATTTTTGTATTTTTAGTAGAGACAGAGTTTCACTATGATGGCCAGGCTGGTCTTGAATTCCTGATCAGGTGATCCACCTACCTTAGCCTCCCAAAGTGCTGGGATTAAAGGTGTGAGCCACCGCCCCTGGCCTTATTTATTGTTTTAATGAGCTGAGTGGCCAGCATGATTTTTATCATCACTTTAGACTTAGACTGTGGTAACAAAAACCCCAAAGTCACAGCTGCTTACAACAACAAAGGTTTACTACTCCTTCCTGCTGCATAATTGTTGAGGCTGGACTTCAGCTCTGCTTCCTGTCATCTTCAGTTCTGCTCCGTGTTGTTTTTATTCTGGGACCTAGGCTGATGCCAGCTCCTTCCCATAAAGGTGCAAGTCTCCTGGCAGAGGTCATAGTTCTTCCTCTTTCCTCTCATTACAGCCACTACTTGCTGAGGAATTTGCAAAATAGTAAGATAAATATATTAAAATTCTGTTTACAGTATTGGCTGAGTGAGGCTCTGAATGGCTCTCCAGTGAACCAAGTGTATTCATGTTCAGAAAATCTATTGAATAAGGCATATATTATTTCAAGCATACAGAAAGTAGAGGATAGCATAACATCTGTGTACCACTTACTCAGCTGAGCCACATATTGGTATTTTACCATATTTGCTTCAGATTTTTTTGGAAAAAGAAAATCATAGATAATGTCGAAGTTCCCAGGATTGCCTCCTTCCTGATTCATATCATGAATGAGGTAGCTGTCATCTTTATTACTTAGCATTAATAAGCTTAAAAAATTTTGCTTTGTAAGTATGTACAGTGAATACTTTTCAGGTTTTTAACATTAATTTCACACTGTAAATGTAATTGTATAATTTTCTTTCTTTTTTTTTTTTTTTGAGACGGAGTTTTGCTCTTGTCGTCCAGGCTAGAGTGCAATGGCATGATCTCGGCTCACTGCAACCTTCACCTCCTGGGTTCAAGAGATTCACCTGCCTCAGCCTCCTGAGTAGCTGAGACTACAGGCATGCATCACTACGCCCAGCTAATTTTTTTGTATTTTTAGTAGAGAGGGGGTTTCACCATTTTGGCCAGGCAAGTCTCGAACTCCTGACCTCAGGTGATCCGCCTGCCTCAGCCTCCCAAAGTGCTGGGATTACAGGCATGAGCCACTGCACATGGCCATAATTGTATAATTTACCCTTAGCATTTTATTTTTTATATTTACATATGCTGATATGTGTATCTGTAGTTCATTTGATCTGTTTCTAAGAATGTACCAGAATTAACTGCTGATAGACATTTTAGTGGCTTCTGCTTTTTTCCTGACAGAAGGAAAACTGTAATGAAAGTTTCTGTATGCCTTCTTGCTCCAATGTGTGCCTTTCTAGACATACATGCGCACATACCTGTGTGTGCCTACACACACATACTCCCTAGAAATAGAATTTTTGAGTGGTAGAGCATACCCACCTTCAGCTTTACTAAATACTGCCAAATTGCTCTCTACCTTCTTTTACCAATTTAATTTTTCACCAGTAATACCATTACTAGTTTTGCAGACACTTTATTATTGACATAACTGTTGTCAATCTAATGAGTTTGAATTGGTTACGTTATTGTTTTAATTTACAATTTCCGTGATTGCTTCATGTTGATTTTTTTAACAGATTTATTACCTATGTTAGTTTTCTCTCCTATGAATTTATTGTTTACAACTTTCTCCTGTTTGATTTTTTCTTTATACTTCTATGTATACTGGACACTAATCCTGTAAAGATTATATAGTTTACAGATACTTATTCTGTCTGGGCTTTCTCTTTTTATCTTTTTAAAAGGAATCTGTTGTTTTACATAATGAGTCAGATATATCAGTTTATTCTTTTTAGGGTTGGTACTCTTGGTATCTTGTTTAAGAAATATTTTCCTTTTGGCTTTCTACTTAGGAAAATTTTCTCTACATTGAGTTTATAAGGATCTTATACTTCCCTTGTAAATGATAAACCTCTGCCTTTTACAGTTATGTCTTGAATCTACCTGAAATTTATTTTTAATTATGATATCATATGAGAGAGGCAGCTGATTTGATTTTTCCCCATATGAATAACCAGTTCCTTGTTTACGTTTAGTGCGTAATCCATTTCTCCCCCTAATGATTTGTAATGATATCTTACATGTTAGCCATGTCTATTATTTGCTGCTTTGGTTTTTTCAGTAATGTTAATATCTGTTGAGTCTTTCAGCCTTGCTCCTTAAGGAACTGCTTTGGCTGCTTTTTGGCATGTCTCTTCTATATAAATTTTTAAATCAATGGATCCAGTTCCAGACACAAAAATCTTGTTGGAATTTTTATTAGAATTGGACTGAATTTGTAGATTGATTTTGAAAGAGGTGCCAGGGTGAACTGTTGCATTCTCCCAAATAACAGCATTATGTAATTCTTCATTTTTTTCTTAGGTCTTCTTATAAAGTTATATATTTTTCTTATTTTTAGTGTCTTGCACTTTTTAAAAATCAGATTTGTTCCTAGACAACTTATACTTCTTTTTTTTATTATAAATAATATCACTTTTAAAATTACATATTTTAATTGTTTGTTGTGTGGTGTATAGAAACACGATTGATGTTGCTCATAGCAGCCTTGCTAAATTCTTAGTATTTCTGATAGTTTATCGTTAACGTCCCTCGTTATTACTATGTAGTTAATTGTGTTTACTGTGAATAATACTTGTTTTTTCCTTTATACCTTTTATTTGCTTTTCTTGAATTACTGCATTAAGCTAGGTCTTCTAGTACAATGCTAAATAAAACCTGTGACAGAGATCATTTTGACTTTAAATGGAATGCTTCTAGAGTTTTTCACTATTGTTTGCTATATATGTTTTGGATACATAAAGGTTTAGCCTTTATCTGATAAGAAAACTTCTATCTGGTCAAAGAATTTTTCTTTAATTCACATTTTTTGTAAAGATTTTTTTTTACATTAAGTGGATGTTGAAATTTGTTTCTGTGAATACTTTTTAAATTTCTCTATTTGATGAATTATATGAATACATTTTCTAATGTATTAATTTCTATATGCTTTTTTAACTTAATTTACTAAAAATTTAATTTGTCCAGGATATTATAAAATGTGTGTATATTTTATTAAAGATTTTTTGCATCATTTTAATGACTGAAAGTATCCTATATTTTTTTGTGAAATGAGTTAGGGATATATCTTTTTCTGTTTTCTGAAACAGAAAATAGAAATCTTATTTAAAATTCAGTATGTATTTATCAGTTGAGTTTTTTAATGGTCATAAACTATTAGGGTTTTTAATTTCTTTTAGTCAGTTTTATTTTTCTAGGAAAGTTTCTATTGTCTTTTAAAAATTTATTGATATAAATTTATCTATTTGTTGGTACAAAGTTCATTATTGCATTTTCTTATGGAAATATCTTAAGTAGCTTGAAATATCTACTGAGAGCTGTAGTCATGATCTTACTACTTTTAATAATTTAAAGTTTTTCTTTACTGTGAACATTATTTTTTAAACTCTAATAAGTAAATTTCTGTTTAATGAAATTAAAGTTTGATAAGTAAATATTTGTTTAATGCAATTAACTCTTTGTACATGTATATCTATGTTTGGGATGATTCATGAAAACTCAGAGGATATTCTTCTTTCATCCTGTCTTGTTTTAAGATATGAAAGCTTCTTTCAATGTGAGGAAGAATCAGTTACTTTAATTAAACTTCTTTCCCTCTTTCCTCCCTGCCGCCCACACAGAGTCTGAGAACAGTTCATCCATCTACCCAGCAGCTTAATCTTTCCAAACAAGTATCAGTAAAATAAGTGTATCAACCAGTTTCTGCAGCTGATAGAATTTTAGCAGTTACATGATGCTCATTATAAATTTGTATTTCAGGGTTTGACATGTGGTTTAATTGCTTATAAAAATGTATGAATGTTATTATATTTACACCTAAATATAGATGTATTTTACAAAACAGAGTTGCAGAAGATTAAAAAAATTAGTATCCAAGAATTACTGTACAATGGTATGAGATGATTTTTGTAAAAATAAAAAGGGGATTGTAGGTGAATAGCTGATAGATGATACAGACATTAGAGACATTAAAGAGAGTGACATTCAGAAAAAAAGTGTGGACTGTATTTTTTGAACTTTTTTAAGAATACAGATTATTTTTAAAATTTCAATATCAGAAATTAATGAATTTTTCATATAATTCCTTAGATTTCATCAATAAAATGTTAATATTGTAATTATTAATATAAGATAGTTAACTCCTGTAAAGGCAATGTACTTTTCCATTCCTTTTAAAATCTAAATGAATGTTAATGTAAAATAATTACAATCTGTATTGTGATTCCCAGCAGACAGTAAACATTTATATTGTTAGTGGTTACTATTAAGTATATTTTTGAAATGAAGTTAGCATTGGCATGTTGATCAGGTAGATGTTCTCAGTGTTTTGTATTGACGTGTTTTCCTTAAGTGTTTGTCAATTTCGATACTTGGTTTGAATTTTTGAAATTTGGTTTAGATTGCAGTGGTTGTCACACTTCTGCTGTAAAGGTCCAGATAGTATATATTTTAGGCTTTGCAAGCCATGGTGGTCTCTCTCGCAAATATTTAACTGGCATTGTAGCACTGAAGAAGCCATAGGCAATATACAAATGAATAAGCATGATTGTGTTCCAATAAAACTTTATTTACAAAAACAAATGGCATGCCAGGCTTGGCCTGCAGGTTCTATTTTGCCCAATTTGAATATGTAAAGACTGATGGTTACTAGTGAGAATTAATGGGAAGTTTTAACATAATGACATTTTCATCATAAATATATTCTTGGCTGGGCTCACTATTTTTAGAAATTAGAAAAAAAAAGTATTACTGCAAACTTGACCTGTGTAATTTTTCATATTAAAGTGGATCATAGATAGAAAGAGTTGTATAGATGCCATAAAGTCATTCAAATTTGTACTTCATATTAGTTTTACCACTGCCAAGTAATGGTCATTGAAAAGTTACTTAATATAAAGAGCCAAAAAATATCAGTTTGAAATATTTTTGTTTAGCTTCATGATTTAAATATAAAACCTTGAAAGTTATGTACTATTAATTCATACACTGTTCATACTTACAGGCTAACAGATTGGTATTAGTTCATGACAAAAGAGATAAAAATATGAAGAAGGTGTTAGAATGACAATACAAAATTTTTTTGAGAAGTGAATATTTAAGACTTAAATCATTTGGAGTAATTTGGTTTTTAGTCCATGATTTTTGTTGAAACCTAACAGTAAAATTTTTTAAGTAGGCAAAAAGAAAACAGTAGTTTCCATACAGTTATCATTTGCCTCCTTAGTTAACTCTTAAAGAATCCTTTTTTCCCCACCTCCTTTATCTTTTCCCTCATCCAGTCCTGGAAGTTGCCGTACTCAGTACAGAAGGACAGATCCAAGACTTTAAATTTCCTCTGGGCATCAAAGGAGCAGGCAGCTCAATCCAACTGTCCGCAAATACCGTCAAACAGAACAGCAGGAATGGTAAGGTGGAAGTCTTTTAAAAATTGACAGTTTTTGTTGTTGTTCAAAAACCTATTAATTCTAAAATGTATTTGAGTCCTTATATAACAAAAAAACGGCTTACCATTTAAAAGCAGATATAAAACAGTGCCTTAGGACTTCATCATTTTATTCTTATTTTATCTTAGTTTATTAACAAGCATGTTTTTTGTACATCATGTGACTATTTTTACCTTCCTAGGGCTTGCAAAGTTGGTGTTCATCATTTACCGGAGCCTGGGACAGTTCCTTAGTACAGAAAATGCAACCATTAAACTGGGTGCTGATTTTATTGGTCGTAATAGCACCATTGCAGTGAACTCTCACGTCATTTCAGTTTCAATCAATAAAGAGTCCAGCCGAGTATACCTGACTGATCCTGTGCTTTTTACCCTGCCACACATTGATGTAAGTTAATGTATGCTAATGAAGTAATGGAAGGTTATAAAAGCAGAAAGAAAGGAAAGCAAAACTGAGGTGCTGGGGATGGGGAGAGAACTGGGGAGATGGGAGGGAGGAAAGACAAGACCTTTCCATTTGAATTTTAAATGTTGGACTAGGTCAGAGACACAAGTTTATTTAAGTCTGTGAACATAAAATTAAATGAGCTTGGTTCAGTGATTATTAGAACTTAAGTGTATTCTTAATGAAAGCTAATTCAGTAATCAACAGGAAAATGTAAATGACTCTAATTTGTTTTCAAATGAAAATTAACCCTTACCTTACTTAGCAGCAGGATAGCTGAGTATTAACTCTTAGGACTCTGCCTTTCTGTGTGGCAAAATTTTTTTCATTAGTTTACTGATCACGTTTGACACAGCTGTTACCAAGTATTGTGTTTAAAAAAACAGTTGAGGAGATGTGATTCCTCTGCTGTGCCTTAAAATGCAAGTTGATACTTACGTAACTACACTGTATTGGAAGATTGTCTACAGAATGTTTGGCTGTTGTGATAAGTAGAGTGAATAAATGCCCACAGATAAAAAAGTGGATCTCCAAATAGGCAAAGAAAAATAAATTTGTGTGGTTATGGTACTCATATCTGCTTCAGTTGATTGACTCTTTTTTTTTTTTTTTTGAGACAGAGTCTCGCTCTGTTGCCCAGTCTAGAGTGCGGTGGCGCGATCTCGGCTCACTGCCAGCTCCACCTCCCGGGTTCACGCCATTCTCCTGCCTCAGCCTCCCGAGTAGCTGGGACTACAGGCGTCCTCCACCACGCCTGGCTAATTTTTTGTATTTTTAGTAGAGACGGGGTTTCACTGTGTTAGCCAGGATGGTCTCGATCTTCTGACCTTGTGATCCGCCCGCCTCAGCCTCCCAAAGTGCTGGGATTACAGGCGTGAGCCACCGCGCCCGGCCTATTTGATTGACTCTTAAGAGCTTGTAGGTACTAACAATATGATTTACATTGCTGCTAGTGTATCTCTTAGAACTAACCAAAAATGGGCCCAAAATAGAACATGGATTTTTAAAACATTTGGTCCGTATAGAATTTTCTCAGAACAAATTTATGGCTCTAATTTTATCAGAAAGGAAAAAAGATTCTAATGTACCATCAATTGTAAAATCATAAAATGGAAATTGTAATTGTGTAAAATGGGTCTTGGTAATTTAAAGTACACTTTAGAGTCTTTCGGACTATAAAGCCCCTTTTAAGCTAGATATCTGCCTTGTATAACATAGTCCACAATTTTGCTGATGAAAAACTTTATAGTCTGAAACATGCAAAGTTTAATCTAAATTACCTTTTATACATATTAAACAATTGCTGTTGCCATCTTAGAATATAAAATCCTAATTTTATCTTGTCATTTTATTTCCCAGCCTGACAATTATTTCAATGCAAACTGCTCCTTCTGGAACTACTCAGAGAGAACTATGATGGGATATTGGTCTACCCAGGGCTGCAAGCTGGTTGACACTAATAAAACTCGAACAACGTGTGCATGCAGCCACCTAACCAATTTTGCAATTCTCATGGCCCACAGGGAAATTGCAGTAAGTATTTGCACTTCTAATTAGTAGCAGAGAAAAACCTCAGAGATTCAAAACAGCTTGTATAATAGTCCCATTCTTTGGGTGCTTACCGTAACTAAAAAGCAAACAAAGTAATGTTGATTTCTAATTGTTTCTACACTGTCCATAAATTTTAAGAAGTCTTGGCACTGTTATTGTTACTTCTCAAAATCATATGCTATGACTTTATAGACTTGTAAGTTTTCCTCCTTGGGGCAGGTGCTTGGTAGAGACAACAGAAGATTTAAATAATGAGCAGCAATAGGTCATACAAAAGAGACAGAAGGCTCTCGAGTTTAACATGCCCTTCCCATCTTGAATGTTCGAATCTAATTTTACAACTTTCCCTTTAAGTTTCCTAACCACTTTGCACATTGTGCAAAGCTGCATCTTTTGAAAAGTCAAAATGGCTTCTGGAATATGTCTCAGTATTCTTTCTTGTGATTAAGACAATGACAGCCAGAAGACAGAAATATTTTAAGAAGTGTAGCATTTCCGTCTCAGATCCGTAGTATGTGTCAACTCTCAATATGTAAGCATACAAAACCCCAAGGAGAAAATAAAAACTTAAAACTTGGCTTATGTGTTAGCTTGGAAAAATCATTAAAATGTCAGTTGTTTTTAATCATGAATAAGTATTCTTTATTCTGTCATGTAAATAGTTTCCATGTGTTTATGTAGTTAATTCAGTCATACTTTGAAATCATTAGGCTCCTTTATTGTTTTCTAGGTAAAATCTTCCTCTCTCATAGATCATTTTTTAAGTATAAAAGACAATAATATTGAACGCTATTATGTGATCAAAATTTATTTTTGGTATTGAGCCTTTTTTGAACACATATGAATAGTATTCTTCAAAGAGTTCAGTAGTAAAAGATGAGCTGTACATGTGAAAGCTGTCTTTCTTCTAGTTGATGTAATGCAGGAATACTAATGTTCCTCATATCTTTTTATTTTCAGTATAAAGATGGCGTTCATGAATTACTTCTTACAGTCATCACCTGGGTGGGAATTGTCATTTCCCTTGTTTGCCTGGCTATCTGCATCTTCACCTTCTGCTTTTTCCGTGGCCTACAGAGTGACCGAAATACTATTCACAAGAACCTTTGTATCAACCTTTTCATTGCTGAATTTATTTTCCTAATAGGCATTGATAAGACAAAATATGCGGTAAGCACCAGTTGAGTTCATTGACCTTAGATCTCTGAAAATTATTTTAGTAGGTGTGAGGTGACATATGATACTGATATTAATGTTTGACCTTGTAACTTGATAGAATTGATACGGCAATATTGAAAGACAATTTGTAGTAAATTAAAAGACTGTCCAATTATTAAGTAATATTATGAACTAATTCATTTTATATATTAAGATACAGTCGAATTTTTCTGTGTTTTTATTAAGACATAATTTTAATAGAAGAATGCTGAGGATACAGTAATATAAAGATCCTATTTTAAAAATTCTTATTTTGTTTACATAGTCATTCTGACCAGTGATCCTTTCTTTGTATTCATAGCAATTGATTCATCATCATGAGGTCTTAATATCAGAAACAGAACTTAGTTAGTTAATGCTTCACCCTATATTCATCTGCCCTTGGATAATTTTAAGAATGTTCCAGATATGACAGGAACTGGGTAATTAGAGCTAGGATTTTGTCATTAAAGCAAAATTTTAAAATTCCATTATAGAAAAAAATAGAAATAATATATTTGCAAACAACACTTTTAAAGACTTGTGAAGCAAATCATCTACAAGTGGAATATTTAGATTTCATAACAGATAATTCACAAATTATGAAGTTTTCTTATTTGATATTTAATTTCACTAAAAAATGTTATAGTAATGTTCTTCCTTGATGAAACCTAGCACACTTGGCATTATACTCTGTGAACATGATAATCTTCAGATTTGTCAGGGTTTTTAGCTTGTTTCCAGTTACGAAAAAAATATTTTCAGGAAGCATTAGTTTACTCTGAATAATGTATTTTTGAAATAATAGTGATTTCTCTTAGTGAGTATTTTATAATTTTGGAGTGGGCTATTTTTATTCATGAGTTTTCTTTTGTGTTTTTTGTTCTTTTCCCCCGTAGATTGCATGCCCAATATTTGCAGGACTTCTACACTTTTTCTTTTTGGCAGCTTTTGCTTGGATGTGCCTAGAAGGTGTGCAGCTCTACCTAATGTTAGTTGAAGTTTTTGAAAGTGAATATTCAAGGAAAAAATATTACTATGTTGCTGGTTACTTGTTTCCTGCCACAGTGGTTGGAGTTTCAGCTGCTATTGACTATAAGAGCTATGGAACAGAAAAAGCGTAAGTAATTGCAAGCGACCTGAGTGTTTTTCAAGTGAATAATTTTTTAAAGCCTGTTAGCTGTCAGTGAGGGTCCCTGACAGATTAAAATAGCATCTGAAAGCTTTATTGGTAAGAGAATGGGCATACCGTGCACAAATTACAATCAAGTCTTTTGCAATTTTCTGGGTTCAGAGGATTTGTACTCTGGCAAGGCAGATTCCAAATTATGGACTTTCTTTTTAACACAAAAGATTGACCTGAAACAAATTGAAAAAGTAAATAACTTTTTGGCCTTAGAAAGATATTAAGTAAAAATTCTTCTGAACTTAAAGCTTCTGACAGGTTTAACTACTCAGTGTTAAGCTAATGCTTCATTAGCTCTCTTTGTGCAGCTGACCCTCTATAGCTAACTCTCATTCTGAATTGTGACAGTAGCACATTCCATCCCATATGTTTTACTTTGATAATATTGTATCAGGCAGTTTGAAAGGATTAAAATAAGTCACTGTCTTTCGTTCATAAAAGTATAGATATTTACAGAAAGTGACAGAAGGTAGACATAGTCATGTTTCTAAGGATTTTATTTGCTAGAGGCATGAATTTGCCTTCCAATTCTGTTTATTTTTTTCCTTTGATAAAATTAGTTATATAAAGATTCTTTGGACTAAAGAAAGCTTTTTGACTGTACAGATGATGAAAGACAAAAGAAATTCAGTGGGGATTCCATGTTATATGAAAAATGAACCACTAAGTAAAATCTGTCTTAATAAGTTTATGCATCATTTACTCTAATACTGTGTGAGTTCTGTGCTTTGATATCCTTTTCTAGCATTTATCCATTCCTAGTGGAGGTATTATATTTCTGCTACACTGTTTTGCAACAAACATAACATCTGAACAGTTTTTGGGGGTTCTGTTAGGTTCCATAGGGTTAAGCACTTCAGCTCAGACAGATCTGAAAGGCAAATTTTGAAAATTATATGTAGGACTTTAAAATGATGAGACAATTTGCAATATTGAGTTTCAAGTCTGTCTTAGGGAAGTCAGAAGTCTTAAGGATTCAGTGGTGGAGTGGTGTTTATTGTCTTCCCCATACAAGCACGATTTTGTATGCTTTTATCAAATATAAAACCAGCAGTTTGAAGTAAATAAATTATTTTCCTTTGTTAAGTCAAAGCCAACTCAGAATTATTAGAGGTCTTGCACATGATAAATGAATCTTCAAAGGCAAATGTAAAGATAGTTTTGTCTGTTAGGTTTTTAAAATCCTATTTTCCTTGTGATGTTGAGGTTCCATAGAAACTACTAATGCATATTCTTCTCTTTTCATAATAGTTGCTGGCTTCATGTTGATAACTACTTTATATGGAGCTTCATTGGACCTGTTACCTTCATTATTCTGGTAAGCAGGTTCTGTTTTCCCTTGCTTTTTAGCTTGCTGCTTTAGCAGTGCTATTCAAACAAGGATAATTTGTTTTATTGTTTGTTTATCTATCTATACAAAGATTTATAAATATGCCTGTCTCACAGGATAATAGTATATTTTAAATATTTTTTATAAACTTGCTAATTAATATTTCTGAAAATCTTTACTCTAAAAAGTACTTTTTCTCATTTCTAATTTAATAAGCTGACATATCACATCATAATCTAAAAAACATGCTTACATATAGGCCATGTTATAAATTAAATGAATATGTCAGAAAAGTGAAAGAATATTACCTTAATTTTTATTATCTTAGTTTCCACATAGTAATTTAATGAATTACTATGTAATTCTAATGAATTAATTTTAAGTGAATTTTAAATGAATATCCACATCCTCAATGCTTTTTAGTATATAAAAAGTTGTTTAAGCTTGCATTAACGAATGACTATTAAATCAACTTAAAATTTATTAGAAATAAAATTACTTCTATAAGACTGAAGATACCAAATGAATATACTAGTTTAAGAAATGCTATTTTTAAATGAATTTGATGCAAGTCAAGGATAACGACATTAAGATATTTTTAAACATCTTATATTACCCTTAGTCACATTTGAGATATAGTTGAAATAAAGGAGTGTAGCTACAGTATCTAGACTTTGGTATTTAAAACTTTCACTCAGGCCTGGACATGGTGGCTCACACCTATAATCCCAGTATTTTGGGAGGCTGAGGCAGGAGGATCACTTGAGGCAAGGAGTTAGAGGCTAGCCTGGACTTCATAGCAAGACCTCCCCTCTACAATAATATTTTTAAATTAGTTCGGTGTTGAGGCACATTCCTGTAGTCCCAGATACTCAGGAGGCAGAGGCAGAAGGATCTCTTGTGCCCAGGAGCACAAGGCTGCGGTGAGCTATGATTGCACCACTGCACCCCAGCCTGGGCAACAGAGCGAGACCCTGTCTTAAAAAAAAAAAAAAAACTTGCTCAGTTGTAGCACTATGGTGAGAAATGGTGTTATTAACTCTGAAAAGGAAACATAAATACTTCCTATTTTAAGAAGTTTTTCTTACTTTTTTTTCAAAAACGTAACACAAATGAGCTCGTTTGGATCTTTTCATGGTTAAGCAGTGTTTCATGAAATTGAGAAAAACTTCTAGTACTTGAAGGAAACTTAAAACCACTTCAAGTGTATATTTGTTTGTCATTAAAATTAATTATTTTACACAATTACTTATACAAAGTGAAATGAAAATTTGAGATGAATGCCTGTATGAATTAAACCAGTAAAACATTCTCAAGTATTCCTGGGAAAACTGATTTCTCATCAGAATTATTAAATCTGATGATTGCCCAAGTTTTTGTTCTTGGTGTTCATATGTTAACACAGCCTAAGCCTGTCTAGAGTTCAATGGCTGACATGAAGAGGCATGATCCTTGAAGACATAACCTTCCATTTTCCTCTAAGACCTTCGTCAAACACATAAGTTGCAAAAATGTAAAGACTGCTTTAGGGATATTTGGCCAATGAGGCTATCATGTGTTTACTCCTTTTATACTGTAGTTTTATTTATTTGATATCTGTGAAGATAAGTACTGACTTTAGATCATTAAAAAACATTTCAATTAGCAAAAGAAGTTAATTTTCAACATACTCAGCTTTTAGTAAGAAAAAAGGGTAAAGGACATTTTATTATGTTGTTCATTTATAGTAGAGCACACTATTACTTTATAAGTCTTGTCATTATTGTCCTCTACCAAATCCTTCAGGTTGAGATGTGAATGGCTTTTTCAACAGCATTCTCAAACACAAACCCCAGTAGGTAGCAATCCCAGTACAGATCTTGTTGGAATTCTCCTGCGATTGCTTTGCTTTCTAATTTTCCCAACAGAGAGAAATTAAGAGTGGTATAGGAGTACAAAACAGCGTCTTGCAAAAGAATATCTAACTTAAATTGAGATATGATATGATGATACAGTGTGTGTGGGGAAAAAATATATATATATATCTTCCCTCTGGTGATGATAAGACATGTAAACTCAATTCAGGCACAAATCTTAATAATATAGATTGTATTGTATACTATCCTTTTAAGGAATATTCCCATAACAACAATTACCTATTGCTATTCCTAGGAAAGTATAGCTTTGCATTTTCAGTTTTTCTGAATTGAAACTGTTTCACTTAGTTGTATTAAATAGGTGTACATTCTAAATAATAATCTATGAAGAAAAATAATATGCTAAGGAAGATAAAACTTCCTACTTCTGCATTTCTATAGGATGTCTTGCCTACAGGCACTAGAGTTATTATATCTATGAGAAAAGTGCTGGTAAGTAATGAGCAGTGGGAAACCATTAGTATGCCTGAAATGGTTTAATGAAAGCTTGGATCATGACACGTCAGGAGCTGTTCTTATCATTTGGACAGCTCCATCTGCATCGTTAATAATTAATTCAGTTCAGTAAGAGTTCAGCTCACACACTCATTTAGAAGTCTTCTTCAGAGAACACCTCTCTGGCTGCTAGTCCCAGGGAGAAATAGGTTTCTGCTTGGCTAACAGCAAAGATCTGGAGATACAAGTATAGCTTTAGAGTTGCATTTGCCAGGTAGCAAAAGCTCCAGGGAGGACAAAAAGGGTCAGAACGTGCACAGTTCAGCTAGGTTACTTCAGAGTGATGTTTCTGTTCTTCTGTCTTATCATATCCATGTCAGCACTGCAAGCTGTGGAATGAATTTTAAGCTGCTAAGCTCAGACGGATGTGATTCAATTGAGCAGGTTGATGACCATAAAACAAACTGTGCACTCCTATAATCTGTGGTACCTTTTTCTTTCTTAAAATTTCTTTGTATTTTTATGTTCATCAATATGGGTGATGTTTAGCTGTGTCATATCATTAAGCAGTTTGAATTTTATCAGCAAATTATATTGGTGGGTTATTATAAATAATAATTTATGAAATTATTGTTTGGGGATAGGTAAAAGAATGATCTTTGTCAGTGGGAGAGAAAAAAAAATGTCCCAGTTTGATGACTTACTCTTTTTGGCTGAATAAGGATTTTTTTTTTCTTGATTTGTTCTCACTCAACAGACTTATCTTAAAAGATAGCCATCTATTTACCTGTACACACACACCTGCACACAGACACACACACGCCCAGAGCTAAGCTAAAATCTGATTCTTGAATGAGTTGTTTCATCCCCAGAATTAATTATTAGCATGGACATTTAGCCTGGTGGGTTGTCATATGTATGTACCACAATCCTAATAGCCTATACTTACTAGTAGTGGCTTCTGTGTGGATAATTGAGTAACTGCATGTACTTACCAAGTTTAGACAAATGTTTGTGTGCGCAGCTGTAACTCCACCTTTTTCCTTTCTCACTGATGCATGCAGCCTTTCAACCTATGCCAAAATATTATGTTTAAACTTCGTAGTATTTACACTGAAAAGAAAAAACAAAGAGCAAGAGGGTCAAAGAGTGGCTGCATTGGAATTCAAGGGAGAAGAGCAGCAATTGGATGGTAGAGACATTGTTCTCTCCCTGCCTCTTTGCCTGCCTTCCATTGAGAAATAGGGGAAATACCATGTTGGATGGTTGTGATTTATTTTGTAAATGCGTATCAAAGGCAGAAAAATAAATTGGGCAAAAGTAAAAGTAAGGAGGAGAAAGAAATCACTTATTATAATTGGTGGGGGCGGGGGAGAAGGGGAAAGCACAGAAGTATATGGATGGAAAGAGCCATTTATGTCATGAGAAAAATGCAAAGAAGAAAGGAACTCAGACTTGCAGCCAGTAGTTTATTTGAAACCTACCTTTTTTGTCTTAAAATGACTACAGATTTTTATCAAAGATGTGTTTATTTGCCCCTCTGCCTCTTGTTCTCATTTCCACGGTTGTATTTTAAGAAAACAAGAAAGAAGTAAGAAAGGGGAAAAAATTTTTGGAATATTTTCCCCTGCAAAATTATAATTATCAGAATGTATTGCCTCCTGAAAAAGATTGCAGCAACAATATTTATTCTATCAAACTAAAATTTAGCATTACATTTTTTTAACATTGGAGAAAATAAGATAACTGTAAAACCACATTTTTAAAAATGTATCTGTGCTTCAGTATATGTTCTATTTAATTCCAGAAGATATTTTATTGTCATATATGTTGGTGGTAACATAAATTGTTGAGCATCAAAGTGATATAAAAATTTTTGTATTTCTCTAATAAGACTAGTAAATAATATGTATTGGTGAAATTTTTTTCTTTAGTTGGGAAAAAGAAAAATCTTATTCAGTATTATTTTGCCATCTTACGATTTATGTCATATGCTTTATTTCATAATTAATTAGTCTTGAAATGATGATATTTTGTCCTCTTCCACATACCATTGCCTCATTATTTGTATGCTTTCAAGTCATGTTTCAGAGGCTAAGTTAGTGTTGGGTTTAACTATAAATTTCTTTACATCTAGATATTAGTGCATTAGCTAAAAGTTTTATTTTCAGTTTCTTCAAGTTGGAGAATTCAGACACTTGTAATTTGAGCGCAAAGATCCCTCAAAGTTATGATTATTTTTCCAATACTTTTAGTTGTCTTTAAAGGAACTCACTTTCAAATCTTTTAAAACATTCCATTTTAAGTATGTTAGAAACAGCTTTAAAAAATTTTGTTCTTACATTTGCACTTGGATTTATGAGCTTATGTGATATTTAGCAATGTAAAAGTATAAATGACATAAACAGGTTTAGAAAAAATACAACTAACTGTTGTTAAGCATGTGACTTGACTAGTGGGAGTAGAAGCGTGGCCAATTGCTGATTGTGGGATGCTAGTGTTTTACAAAGGAAATGGAGAATTAGTTAATTCTGGCAAATCCGTCAGGCAGAAGTCATTTGATGAGCATACCTATTATGTAAATAACATAAATAGGATTTCTTTGAGGCAGTATTTTATATGTTAATTTATTTATCTTCAATTCATTCATCTCTGAGTGATTTTTAAGTTGGATTACTTTTTATAGAAATGGAAACTTTTAAATATAGACTTAGTATATCTTTGTTAGGAGACTTCTAATCTTTTCACCCAGAATAAATTGGTTAATTTTATATGGGAAGTCTGTGGGCTGTAGAGCCCAGACCACAGTATATTGAATCCCAGCCCTGAAATATAGTATCTAAGTAATCTTTGGAAGGACACATCTCAATTATTTGTAAAACGGGTATACAAGTGCTGCCTGCTACCACTGTATATAGGATTGTAGCTGTATTTTTCCTCTGTAATTTTCTTTATTTTCTGAACTTGTATTGTGAATGTATTGTATGTGTAACTAGAAAGATACATTAAACACATGTAATGTCAAAAACCTCAGTTAAGTGAGGGGAGCAAAAGAGGAGAAATGCATTGAACAGTCTGTTTTTAAAGGATTAATTGAGATAAGTTTTCTATGGCATATTCACCTTGGTTAGTATTAACTAGGAAGAATGACTTTATCATACTTAAGTCTTGATTGTATTTTTATATTGGTAGATTTCATTTTAGTATGTCACTTTTATTGGAAAGTTGTCCCTGATTTTTGCCATTGAAAAATATTTCTTCTGAGTTCACTTCTAAGATTTTATCATTTTCTACTCCTCTTCTTTTTGCAATATAATACTTTATATGTTCACATTTTTCCACATTCACATTTTTTAGTTTCCTTATAAATTTTATACATTGTAGTGGATAATGAATAACTTCTTTCTTTCCAGAATGTTTTAGTACTACTAATATTTTGTTCCCAAGGGAATAATTAATATGCTTAGAAAATTATGAACACCAAATTATGGTCCTGTACACTTCAGGAAATTGTTTAAGAAGAGCAAGGAAAAAAAACCCTTATGTTCAGAAGTTTGGGATAAAAGAAAGTAAATTGTTCTTATCAGGCCATTCAAAAACAAAGAGTCAGAAACAAAGGGAGAACAATTTAAAGGATTTTAATTGTGAATCTGCAAAGCAGCCATCTTACCTATTATAGTCAGTTTATTTGTTTACTTGGGTTTTTATTTCTCTGTTTATTTTTAGGATGTTTATAGAGTTCTTGTTTTTAACCATTCTTGAATTTTACTAGTTAAAGCTAGTGTTGCATAAAATTAAAAAAAAAACACACTCTTAATTTTTGCCTTTAAAAAATAATTAGAGGTACACTTTACCATGATTCTTTAAAAGCCTAATCAGATATGTACTATACTACCAAAGGACCTCTAATTTCTCAAAGGCAGAAATTGTGTCTTACCTCATCCACAATACAATAAGCACATCCTTGTACGGAACAAGGTCAATAAATATTTGTTGAATGAAATGTATCATATTGTAACATCTCCGAAAATTCAAGCATTTATTTATATTATGACCAACTAGAATGTTATGGAAAATAAAGCCAGATAATGTTTCTACAATTGTATTTACTTTTTCTCTAGATGTATTTTAAGACATTATTAAATTTTTTTTAAACAAAGCACTGTTTTTGTCCTTAAGTAATTAACATCAAAGGACAGAATGTTACCTGCCAACACTTGTAAAATTTTGCCCATTGACCTCATTTATCCCTTAAGAGGGAATTCTCCATCTAAGAGAAATCATAGGGCACAGTGGACAAAATGACTGGATAGATACACAGCCTACATTAAAGCTTTCCTTAGCTCTGCTCCTAAACTCATCATTAGGAAGGACTTGGAAATTTTTATTTATTGCCCTATATCACTTTTCCTAATTATAAAGTCAGAAGTAGTGAAAGATGAATAAAATAGTGTTACCATTTGATCATGTGATATTGTGACTCAGTAAAAATGATCATGTTACTGTAACACTGTTATGCTGATTATCTGCAACAAGGAATTAAATTCATCCTTACCTATAATAGGTGAAATGGGTCTTTTTCTGAATATACTATTTCTGGTATTCTCTTAAGTAACGTACAGCTCACAAAATGACTTTTTTTTCCTTTTAAAAAGTAATCTAAAAATAAAATGGCAAAAAAAAATTCAGGAACAATGTAGCTTAGTTCTATTTTTGGAGCATAAAAATGGAACTGCCTCCTCTTCTTCCAACATTCTGCCAGGTGTCTGTAGAAACAAATGCAAATTACCAACCTTTGTCTCTCAGTCAAAACACAGCTCCTTTTCCTCTGAGCAAGCTCATGTTGACCTCTTGGAATCCACTCACTTTCCTTCTTGTCAGATTCCATCTTCCTCATTTTGCTTTTGTTTGCACCTAGATTCTTTGCATAGCTGAATGTTTAGAAAGACTCAAAACAGCATTTTGTCAGAATGTATCTACTTCCTTACAATACAGAGACATAGAAAAAAAAGACTGATGATGGCTTTTAACAGTTAAATGGCAAAACATACCTATATAAACTTTATCTTACTTTATATAACAAACGTTTATCATGTTACTTCATTTGATCCCCACAATTGCCTTATGAATAGATTGGACAGATGTTATTATCCTCATTTAATCAGTCAAAATCAAGAGCTAGACTCACAGCCAAGACTTATGGTTTCAAACCCAGCAATTTTGTAGATTACATGATGTACATTATGTAAATGCTCCTTCTAAGGAATTCACTTTAGTGTTTCCATCAGATGGTTTTTAGGCCCTGAAGTACATCTAGCTAAAGAAACTAATTTAGGTTTTCTAATTTATTTAATCATTACCACATAATACTGACTTAATGAGGTTGCAATTTGATGTCAAATGATCTATTAAAGAATTGATCATACATAGCCAGAGTATTTTTTATGTAGACTCAACTTGATCATTGCATACATAAAAAAAATTATATCAGTATCTTCCATATAAACATGGATCGATACATTTGCAAGAACTATTCATTTTTCAGCTCTTTGTTCATTGTGGTCTAATTCTTTATTTGTTACAACAGCTAAATATTATCTTCTTGGTGATCACATTGTGCAAAATGGTGAAGCATTCAAACACTTTGAAACCAGATTCTAGCAGGTTGGAAAACATTAAGTAAGTATTTTGTATTTTAATTTTAATACTTGACAAACTAAGTAAAAGATACTCTCCACAGGGAACACAGGGATTTCTACCTTCTATCAACTGTAGAAATTATTCAGAATGAAGTTTTACTGCCCTCAAGTTGAATCTCAGTGTTACTATATCACTGATACTGGTCAAAAATTAGATAATAATTGCTGTCTTGATCTAGAGCCAATAAATTGTTTCAGTGGCTTTGTGGAAATTCCATATCACTGTAGCAATTTCATTTGAATTTAAAATGCAGTTCAAAATGATTTTCGTATTTGCATGGCTGATATGATTATATTAAGTTTGTTTTGTTAAATGACTTTTTGCTTTAAGGATTCTGAGCAGTTTCCACTCCTAATCCTGTTTTCCTAAGAGAATTTACTCTATTACTATTGTTAACTTGAAGATTATCTGTTGTTTTCATGCTAAACAAATATTTACTTTTTCTTAATGTTGAATAAAAGCTGCAATATTCTGTCAATGGAGAAAATGCTATCTAATTAACAACAAATGATAGCTGTTGTTCATTAAATCATCTTATGGAAACATTTTCAGAGTTACCTTTAAAATATGTGAGCCTTGTAATTTAGAATTTGAGAAGGTATTATTCAAGTTGGTTATAATGTGATTGTAAAAAATACTATTTTTAATGTCAAAAATGGCAGATCTATAGTAAGGGTAAATTTTTTTTTAATTAGATGTTTTAGATAGGTTAGTGCCAGCTTCATTGCATGTTGCATGGTAAGAGAGAGAGCTAATCTTTAGCATCTCTCTCTTTTCTTCCTTTTCCTCTTTCTGTCTTCTCATCTACACCAGTAATTACCGTGTTTGTGATGGCTACTATAATACGGACTTACCTGGGTAAGGTAGAACCCTACATTAACAAATTTATGGCATGATTTGTATTTTTTACAAATTCGTCAGTATCATGAATTGCCCTTAATTTTTATAATTATTTTGAAATATCTAATTTGCTATAGTATTTTTAAACTATAATATGCCTTTATTTTTTAATTGCTTGCCTCTGCATTTTGACTTTCTTAATTTTGACTAATTTATAAAATATATAAATGCTTTCTTATTACTTTCTATTTTAATTCTGTCTAATAATTTTGTTTCTCTTTTCTGCTTATAATGCTTTCTAGCTATGAAGATAATAAGCCATTTATCAAGTAAGATCATTAGTTAGACATGGAATGCACTGACTTTAAATCCTTCTCATTCCGTCCTATTTTCTACAGTTCTTTTCTTCTTAAGCTGTTCATGACGAAATCTCTCCAAAATTATTTTATTTTGAAGTTGTTCTCATGTTTTTGTCTCATTTCAGCTAGGCTTCTTCATGCTTTAGTTATAAAACCTTAGGTTCACCTAAGACTAGTTTATTAGAATCTGAAGTTTAGGTGTTAAGTGATTATCTGCCATTTAACCTTTCTGTATGTGTCACATTATTTAGTGTCATGTGAGTACACCATAGGAATAAAAATACAGGAGTAAATTAATTAAGCACTCCTTAATTTCTTTTATCAAAATGCACATAAAAGACAAAGTCATAGGGGATATGTTACACGTTGTATTTTAATATAGTTTTGATACTTTGTTTATTCTGGAATAAGAAAAGGTCATACCTGCTGTTGCTGTTTTCACTGGAGGCTGCAGTACTAAATGCTATTGTTCTTTCTTAATCAGAGAAAGGTTAAAACCAAAATGCTGTTGAATATGAATGTGAACATAGAGAAAGTCAACTGCTACTACTGATATGTTAACATTTAAGCGTGATGTGTGTTTTTTGCTCATTGAACCTGTTAAAAAAGTTCACTTTATTTTTCCAGGTCTTGGGTGCTTGGCGCTTTCGCTCTTCTGTGTCTTCTTGGCCTCACCTGGTCCTTTGGGTTGCTTTTTATTAATGAGGAGACTATTGTGATGGCATATCTCTTCACTATATTTAATGCTTTCCAGGGAGTGTTCATTTTCATCTTTCACTGTGCTCTCCAAAAGAAAGTAAGTAATTGAAAACACCTAGGGGCTCAGGTTACTCATTCTTTGATTTGAATATAATAGATATAATAAAGAATATTTTAAGTCACATCTGGCATATTGTTAAAGAGCATTATATTTTTAATTATAAGTTAATTTTCATACCTGTCTGAAAATTTAGGTTTCACCTATAAAATAATACCAGTCATCTTTTGTATCTCAGTTTGGGAATGTTATAAACTAGATACTTAGGTTAAGATTTCTTCCTTGCTCGTAGGGTCTATAAAATGCTAGGTACAAAGGATATACAAGGTAAAAGAAAAGGTTAAATAAAACTCATTCTTTGCTCACTAAAGGCATTACAGTGATTCACAGTGAAATGGAGTATAAGGATAAATGATGTTAATTTTTAAAGCACCAGACATACAAAAAATTAATGTTACCTTTTGAGTAATTTTGAAGGATCTAAAAATCAATAATTAGTACCTTACATCTTACTTACTGTTTTTTCCTGATTTTATGTTAAGTGGAGTCAGATGAAACTTACAGATGAAAAGCTTTAATCTGTAGCAAGAAGATGTAAACCTAAGGGAATTGCTTAGGTGCTATTTAAGTATAAAATTTCCATACCTTTCACTGGGTATCATCCTTTCTCTGCCTACATATCTAATGTAGTCGTTTTATTCTGTTATTACTAGTTGGTCACTAAATTGAACAGAGAAATAGAATTGTGGAAGTGAAAGCTATTATGTTTTCAGTCCTGACAAGACGATAGTGTTGTTACTTCCATCAGTTTTGAATAAGCTATAATTTTGAGATAATGACAGTGGAATGTGCAATACTGACAGATAATGTATATTCACAGCAATATAGGCATTAGGCAAAACCAACACTGGAAGGTATTATTTGGATAAAATACCATTTTGATTGCCATTGTCTTGGTTATACAGCATTTCATAGCAGTTAACACCCATTAAATGTGTTGAAATCTTTTGTGAGGTATGATGTGTTATTTAATAACAATGAACTTTAACTTCTAAACATTGTACAGGGGTAACATTAGTAATTACTTTGGCTTTTATATATTTCCTACATAAGTGAGCATTTTATTATTGTATGTTCATAATTTTTGTGCTGTTGTGCCAAACATCTTTGACACAAATCATAGACATAGCAGAAAAGGAGTGAGGTAGTCATTATTTCCTCATATAGTTATGTGTATTAAATGGAACAGGAGAGTCTCTTATGCTTTTTAGATTTAACAATTACATTTTAAATGCATCATGTTATACTTCAAAAGAAGTATAACTTAGTCTTGGATACATCCAGTTGGGTGCGCCAGGATGAGTTGTTAAGAATATGATATAAAATGGTTAAGTTAAAATCATGGTTTTAACTGCTTGAATGAGCATACTTAGGCCAAGAAAATGCTTTGAAGACTCAACCACATTGTTATTTGTTCTAATAGGTATAACTAAATAAAGCTAAAAAGATGAAAATGTAAGTGCGCTTAGATTTAAAAGGCCATCTACTGATTTTTAATTTTCTAATTTTGCAAGGAATAAGTGTCAAAGTCATGGTCTTTACAGGCAGTTACTGCACACAGACTTCTGAGTTGAGGGAAAGCCTTTGAGTGTTTTTGTAACCTATTAGAAAAAATATTTTCTTATGCAGTTTCTTCTTGTCTGTCTTGTAATTTCACAGTCTGGCTCTAACCCACAAGAAAACATGTATATGCCAGTATAGCTGCAACAGTCCAGCAGCACCCTCTCCCTCTTAATTCTGTACCACTGCTTTAGATGGGGCCCTATTATTTAGCAGTTGTTCGGACTTCACTTTTTAAAGTTTAGTTGAAACTTTTTTTAGACCTAACAACTTTTTTTTTGCATTCATATATTCAAGCTTCAGGGGAAAAGGGAAATTACATGGGTAACTCATTAATGTGAATGAAAATTGCATAAATAGTTCCCTTGTGTGCTAATGAAGTGAATAGACATCTTAGACTCTCTACACTAAATGTTAAAGCTAGACACATCAGAAAATGAAGAAAACATTCCTTCCTAATTAGAGGCAAATGTATCAAAGTACTTGTTTTCTTTATTCTTGTGCCAAAGTAGTCTTGTCATTATACAGAGGTTACCCGCAGAACTATGCAATCCAGCAAAAGAGGTTTCTGTATTGACCTACCTAAGAGGACATGAAGCATATAAAACTCAAATGACTGAATTACAGAGCGGTTAAATGTAATTAAGCAAGGAAAATACTAAATTTTTTGTCCTGTTTTCTTAGCATAAAAAATTGGAGTTACTAAATATATGAGAATAAAACTATAAATATATTGCTATTATTTAATAACTAACATTTATATAATAACAGGATATAGAGTATGTCTACATGTTATATCACATTTTAAAGACTCTACTAGCCAGTCTAGTGGACAGAGATACTTTTCTGATTACTATTTCAGTAATTTTAATTGAACTTGATTTTGCAAGTTCAATTTATTTTCTCCACGGATAAGTTTTAGTGGAACTTTAATTCTTTTCGGTTGTCTTCACTGTTCATTTAATTAGAGAGAGAGAAGCAAGTGTGTTATATTAATCCCTTGGTCTTGTGATTATTCAATGCAGGTACGAAAAGAATATGGCAAGTGCTTCAGACACTCATACTGCTGTGGAGGCCTCCCAACTGAGAGTCCCCACAGTTCAGTGAAGGCATCAACCACCAGAACCAGTGCTCGCTATTCCTCTGGCACACAGGTAACAAAGAGTTTGACAGCATCTTTAATTAACCTTATTTATAGAAAACCTACTGAGACATGTTCTGTTCAGATGCACTAATTGTCTTCTCATTATAATGATCTAGATAGCAAATACTTGCTTTTTTAGTATTTTGGTTTCAATGTCTTCTTAAACATTTCTTCAGTGTTTCTTTATATGTGAACGTCCTTTTTTGTGGAGAGTTATTTAAGAAGTGTGTCATAATCGTCTTATAGCCTAAGGCCATATAGCACAATGCTCATAGCAGGCACTCAATAAACATATATTGAATAATCAGTGATCTCCACTCTTTAAAGAAAGACAATAAAGTAACATGTTTTTAAGAGTGGAGGATTAAATGCCCCTTAGTTGCTTAGTAAATAAACAATAGATATTGTTAGTTTTAGACCAGAAAAAACACACATTCTTTAAAAGGCCACCAGATAATCCTACATAGGTTGTTTAGGGTAAATCCTTGTATGTCTTTAATAAGGTAAGTTTGGGGAAACTAACAAAACATATTTGTCTTGCTGTTTTGTATTAATAGAGTCGTATAAGAAGAATGTGGAATGATACTGTGAGAAAACAATCAGAATCTTCTTTTATCTCAGGTGACATCAATAGCACTTCAACACTTAATCAAGGTCAGTTATCAGGAAAATTTGAGTTACTACCATTTATTAAAGTACATATAAGTTCCTTTTATTCAATAATGTAATGTAAGAAATATAATTTTAAACTGCATTAACAGGATGCGGCTCGAAGGTAATTATTGAAAATATACCTTGCCACAGATTAAAAATATTATCCTAGGGAGTACAGATTTATCCTTTCTGACCAAGACATTTATGAAGGTTTTCTTCATAAAACATTAATAAAATTAGAATAGTTACTATTCACATGAAACAGTACCATGGAAATTATGAACTTTTTTAACCTTTCTTTCAAAAAGTAAAAAATAAATGCTAAAAACATGTGTAGTAAATCTTCATAAACAAAAATACATGAAAGTTTATAAAGTAATTATTTCTATATTGTTTGATGTGTCTACAGTGGCATCTTTAAATTTATCAGATAAATCAGTATAGTTCTTAAAATATGCTAGGAAATGAAGTAATTTAGAAAAGAGTATATGCACACACATGTATTCTTGAATAAAAGCTTAATACATTCCAATTTAGTATGAAAAATTATATGGTATTGTATATATCCTTGGAAAGGTAATTTATTACACTATTTTCAGTTTGATATGTACTGATTTGTAATACAAGTTAGAATTTATTACAATGAAATATAATGACATTTTAAACTGTTGACATTGTTCTAGTGAGATTCTCATTTAAAATGGAAAAAGGTGTATGTGTGGTAGCAATACTAACCTGAATTTTAAGATATTTTTATCCAAATTACATTAGCTATGCAAAACATAATCAGTAAGTATTTAAAAGTTTGTAATTTGTCAGTTAGAATGAAAGACGTGCATTTCTTCTGTTGCTTTGGTATTTTACTTCATTCTGTTGGCGATCAAAAAGTAAATGCATTATTCAATGATTCATTTTTGAAACCTGGCAAATAACATTACATAATGAAAATTCTTGTTATATAGAATTTGTGAATGATCTAATAATTCATTTTATAGTCTTTTTTTTCTCAGCATGTGTGCTTTTGCATTTACTAAGAGAAGCTTTTTGCAATGTGTCATACTTTCTACCTGTCTGTGAAAGTTGTTTTCCTCCTGCTCAGTTGGTATTAACACAGATGTTTTCATGAGGGATAATCCCACACCTGTAAATTCTGAAAGTTTGAGATTCCCTCTTCTGGGCCTCAGTGGTTACGTTTTTAATATTAAGCAGTAACATCTTGAAACATAATGTTGATCTCTATGCATTTAATTGCCATTTTTGTTTAACAGTGCTTTTGTATAAATTAGTAAATGTCATCCTCAGCAGGTGTTTACTTGGGGGATTTAGAAAGCACCTGTGAATTACTGAAATTTAACTTCCCTCTCCCTTCTCTCCTGCAAATTAGTAGTTCAAATACAGTCAGAACATTTCAACAGATTTTCCATTGCCAACTTGTCCACTACCCTTGATGAATATAAAAAAAATAGTTGACTACAACTGTAACACTAAAATAAGAAACTGATGTACTTTTCTCTGTTTTTTTGTTGTTTTTTTTTTTTACTTTAGGAATGACTGGCAATTACCTACTAACAAACCCTCTTCTTCGACCCCACGGCACTAACAACCCCTATAACACATTGCTCGCTGAAACAGTTGTATGTAATGCCCCTTCAGCTCCTGTATTTAACTCACCAGGTGTGCTTTACTTACAAATAAAACTACCTTTCTTTGCTGCTAAACAGAGCTATGATCTTTGCCCTGTTTCTAAAATATTCAAGTTGTCATATATTTATTGTTACATTCTTAATTTCTCAGTTAAAAAAAATTACGGTATTGTCTATGCCAGGCTTCTAAAACTGCACTATATTATAGTAAAAGCTCAGTCATGATAGTATTTACAATAATGATCCATGTTTTTAACACAGGTGGCATAAATCTTAATATATTATTACAGGACTGACATCACATGGTCTGAGAGCCCATCTTCAAGATTTATATCATTTAGAGGTATCCTATCTATATAATATACTGTTCAGTTAATTCTAAAGCTTGCTGACAAAATTTGCTTCTGGAATGAATTAGCTAATGAAGATAATTTGGATGCCTAGCTATAGAAAACCACATTCAGCCTATCAATATATCCAAACTATAGTATAGTGCAGCTTTATGGTAGTTTTCTTTTTTCTTAAGAAAAATTTCAGAATAAAGTTAATATTAGTTAGCTTATACCTATAGTTTTTAATTGGGGGAGGGGGAAAGATTGTCACTAACCCATCCATATATTACTATGTTGTTTAATAGCTTATTTTAAATAAAAGTATATATATATTTAATATTAACAGAATTTTCAAGATTTTGGTAAAGTTTTCACATAATTACTGCTAGCATATAATCTTTATTTGTGATGAATATTTGCCACTAAATTAAACACAGAACTTGGTTTCCATTTTTTTCTTAAAATTATTTTTTAATGTAACTGCAGCTTCTCTTTTCATTCTCTTGTTTTTTTTCACTTTCCTTATGCTTTCCTCTAGCAACCTACAGAGAGACAAGTATGGGAGTAAAACTTAACTTTGCCTATCAAATGTAAATTTTTTCAGCATGATTTTTAACGGGCACAATTAAAACATAACTAGCAGTCATGAAGTAGACTCAGCGGGCAAGTGGTTCACAATTTGCAACTAAAATATTAACAAATTCAAACAGTACATCCATCTGTACTGCCTTTTGTCAGTAATGGAGGTCTGTAGCAAATGCTGTCCATACTTAAGTATACGCAATGCTGAAATAATTTGCTCTATAAAGCCTGAAGTACTGTCAACCAAAATGCTTAATAATTGACTTATCATTTCTGCATTCCCACAGTAATCTTGCTACAGGCTGTGGAAAATCTTCAAGTGAATTACCTGAACTTGGGCAGAAAAAGATAACCTCTTCAAAACCAGTCAAAGATGGCTTAAATCTGCAGTATATCATAGAAAAGACCTTTTGGATTATATCCAGTGTATAGTGTTGTATTTACCAAGCAATGATAAAACAAAAGAAAATCTTTGAAAACAGTGAACCTCTACAGAGGAAACAAATGCTAGCAAGTGAGCCATGTGTCACTCATACCTTTAAGTGCGAAATGGTTTTTTTTTTAATAATCTTATAAAGATTATAGCACATAACATGAATTTATGAAGCTAGAGAATTGTGTCTACCAAGTTAAAGGAAGCCTTACAAATAACTATCACAATTTCATTTTGTTGCACATGGAACATGATACAAATTTGTCAGTTTTTCAGATGTAGAAGTTGGGACAGTCTTTAAGACAATACAAATCACTAACAAATATAATCTCTCATTTTCTCATTTTTTTGCTAATGATAATTTGCCCAACAATGATCACATATTTATTGGTCATGAAGTTTGTGTCAGGTGATACAGATATTTTTTTTTTCTGAAGGAAACTGCATTTTCTAGGATATCTGCAGCTTTAAGAGTGGAGTGAGCACTAAAACGGGAAATTTCGTATTTTTTTCCAAGAATTAAATTTTTTCCTAAACTCCTCCAAGCCTTGCATACAATGCAGCAGCCTCACAGTGGTCAGCTTCATTTCAATAACATCATTTCATTCTTTTTTTTTACAGACCTATCTGTAGACTGTGATTTTTTTTTTTCTCTAGGATTTTGAGAATGAATAACCTAACTTTCCATGGTGCAGACCATTTAATTTTCTCTTGACTTTTTTTTTCATTTGCTTGAGAAGCACTGTGATGTCTTAGTTTACATGTTTATGTGTCTGTAGAAAATACAACTCTGATTCAAATAGAGCATGTTACCATGTTTTATTTCCCCCTCCTAAACCTCTTTTCCTATCTTCAGCAGACTTATCCAGTCTTTCATTCCTTTAGAGATAAAAATATATTAGCCAAGGCTGCCACCCTTCTCCCATTCCATAGTTAATATTTATTCTTGGTTTAATTTCTGTGACCCATACTTAAGAAATCTCTAACATTTCTGCGTTTGACCTCCATGGCCATGGTGTCTGTGGGCCTATCTTGTACAGTGGACTCTGCTGGTTCATTCGGTGCTGTCACTGTGACTGATGCAGACTGCAGGGCTGCAGGCAAACTTTGACCACTAGAAGCCTGGGGCCATTGCTATTAGAGAGATTATTAGTACCAAATACTCAAAATAATAAATATTAAATGAAAAATAAAAGGCTGCTATTGCTGGTAATCTAATTTGTTGAACCCTTGCTCTGACTAAGTTGCTGAGAAGCTTAGAAATTCTTCATCATGTTACAATAAATCATTTTACTTTCTTTTATATATCAGCTACTCTTAGGCCAGATAGCCTGAGCAGACAGACATGATGTGAGTTGTCCAAAGTGAGTCATTCCACCTGCTGTCTATCGTGATGTTGGATGGTGCTTGTGGGCCCCTGGTCCAGTCAGTATGAGAGATGGCTGTCTTTGTTTAACATGACTTCTTTGTATCTGTCCATGTTTTCATTCTTTTTTTTACTTCATCTCCAGAAAAAGGAAATGTTAGAATGTTGTTTAAAAAGTTGCTTGCCAGTTATGTGGGTTTATGTTGTACATTTGCCTTTCAGTTTTGTATTGTGACTTACTCCTTTTTAATTTAGTGTTGTTTAGGACAAATTCTGTTAATTTTATTTTTATAAACCATAGTCTTGTACTTTAAAATGTAAATGTCACTAATGAATTGCTTTGCATTAACTATGCAAGGGCATGGAGTGAAGTCTTCTTTGTGTCAGAGATTTGACCAAAATCAATTAATCAGTACTGTCTCCTGAAATTGATAAAGTATTACTCTGTATGCCATTTTCTCTCCCTGGAAAACAGTATTATTTTTAACACTTTTTCCTGTTATCTAAGGGGTTGCAACTATTTACAGTTGGGAATGCAGGAAAGCCTGGCACTTTTCAAGTGTTAGCTTTCAAATACAACTTTGTCCTGAACGACATTAAAAAGTTTTGTACAAAAGAAATAGAGTTTCTGTGGAAAGGAACAGAGACAGTAATGATAACTCCCCCTCTTCTGTTTCAGGACATTCACTGAACAATGCCAGGGATACAAGTGCCATGGATACTCTACCGCTAAATGGTAATTTTAACAACAGCTACTCGCTGCACAAGGGTGACTATAATGACAGCGTGCAAGTTGTGGACTGTGGACTAAGTCTGAATGATACTGCTTTTGAGAAAATGATCATTTCAGAATTAGTGCACAACAACTTACGGGGCAGCAGCAAGACTCACAACCTCGAGCTCACGCTACCAGTCAAACCTGTGATTGGAGGTAGCAGCAGTGAAGATGATGCTATTGTGGCAGATGCTTCATCTTTAATGCACAGCGACAACCCAGGGCTGGAGCTCCATCACAAAGAACTCGAGGCACCACTTATTCCTCAGCGGACTCACTCCCTTCTGTACCAACCCCAGAAGAAAGTGAAGTCCGAGGGAACTGACAGCTATGTCTCCCAACTGACAGCAGAGGCTGAAGATCACCTACAGTCCCCCAACAGAGACTCTCTTTATACAAGCATGCCCAATCTTAGAGACTCTCCCTATCCGGAGAGCAGCCCTGACATGGAAGAAGACCTCTCTCCCTCCAGGAGGAGTGAGAATGAGGACATTTACTATAAAAGCATGCCAAATCTTGGAGCTGGCCATCAGCTTCAGATGTGCTACCAGATCAGCAGGGGCAATAGTGATGGTTATATAATCCCCATTAACAAAGAAGGGTGTATTCCAGAAGGAGATGTTAGAGAAGGACAAATGCAGCTGGTTACAAGTCTTTAATCATACAGCTAAGGAATTCCAAGGGCCACATGCGAGTATTAATAAATAAAGACACCATTGGCCTGACGCAGCTCCCTCAAACTCTGCTTGAAGAGATGACTCTTGACCTGTGGTTCTCTGGTGTAAAAAAGATGACTGAACCTTGCAGTTCTGTGAATTTTTATAAAACATACAAAAACTTTGTATATACACAGAGTATACTAAAGTGAATTATTTGTTACAAAGAAAAGAGATGCCAGCCAGGTATTTTAAGATTCTGCTGCTGTTTAGAGAAATTGTGAAACAAGCAAAACAAAACTTTCCAGCCATTTTACTGCAGCAGTCTGTGAACTAAATTTGTAAATATGGCTGCACCATTTTTGTAGGCCTGCATTGTATTATATACAAGACGTAGGCTTTAAAATCCTGTGGGACAAATTTACTGTACCTTACTATTCCTGACAAGACTTGGAAAAGCAGGAGAGATATTCTGCATCAGTTTGCAGTTCACTGCAAATCTTTTACATTAAGGCAAAGATTGAAAACATGCTTAACCACTAGCAATCAAGCCACAGGCCTTATTTCATATGTTTCCTCAACTGTACAATGAACTATTCTCATGAAAAATGGCTAAAGAAATTATATTTTGTTCTATTGCTAGGGTAAAATAAATACATTTGTGTCCAACTGAAATATAATTGTCATTAAAATAATTTTAAAGAGTGAAGAAAATATTGTGAAAAGCTCTTGGTTGCACATGTTATGAAATGTTTTTTCTTACACTTTGTCATGGTAAGTTCTACTCATTTTCACTTCTTTTCCACTGTATACAGTGTTCTGCTTTGACAAAGTTGGTCTTTATTACTTACATTTAAATTTCTTATTGCCAAAAGAACGTGTTTTATGGGGAGAAACAAACTCTTTGAAGCCAGTTATGTCATGCCTTGCACAAAAGTGATGAAATCTAGAAAAGATTGTGTGTCACCCCTGTTTATTCTTGAACAGAGGGCAAAGAGGGCACTGGGCACTTCTCACAAACTTTCTAGTGAACAAAAGGTGCCTATTCTTTTTTAAAAAAATAAAATAAAACATAAATATTACTCTTCCATATTCCTTCTGCCTATATTTAGTAATTAATTTATTTTATGATAAAGTTCTAATGAAATGTAAATTGTTTCAGCAAAATTCTGCTTTTTTTTCATCCCTTTGTGTAAACCTGTTAATAATGAGCCCATCACTAATATCCAGTGTAAAGTTTAACACGGTTTGACAGTAAATAAATGTGAATTTTTTCAAGTAGTTAACATGTGAACTTTTATGTATGATACATAATTGGCTTTAACATGTTGGTCCATTCCCACCTTGGTTTAAGTAACGTCATACCAAAGTCCATGGATATATGAAAGGATACAATTAAGTTGCCTGTTTGTTCTTTATGCTGAAAGGAATATATGTCTTCCAATTGCCCACTACATATGCACAAAATCTGCTGGATAAGTTTTAAGAGGGATATATTCTGAAAGCATTTTTGTTTGTTGCATTGTACCAGGACTAAAAAAAGAAGGATTGGAAGTTCTGCCATCAAATTTGGGTATCATAAAAAGTTTTTAACTGATTTTTCAGCAGTATTGGGAAGTTTCTTAAACATACTTTAAGGATTATAAATATCCCTATAGACAGCTGTGAATACCAATATACATTACCCTGGAAAAGTTTTACTCCAAGTTCAAAAATCATATAATTGAATATCAAGAAATAGATGTTTTCTGTTTGTATCATAAGCATTTATAGAAAATTATTCTAAAGCTTAATGGTTTGCTATAATTCTCAAATACTACCACTAGCTTATAAATCACTTTTATGTGGACACACACATGCCTATTGAATTTAAAAAGGAATGAGATTTAAAAATTAAGTGCATATATATAATATACATATATATATATATATATATATATATATATTTTTTTTTTTTTTTTTTTTTTTTTTTTTTTTGGGACAGAGTGTCCCTCTGTCACCCAGGCTGGAGTGCAGTAGTGTGATCTCGGCTCACTGCAACCTCCGCCTCCCAGGTTCTCAAACAGATTTAACAATCCTCTGAGAATGGTACTCATTTATTTGGCTAAAATTCTTCAGGGATTTATAAACTACTTGCTAAAGGAGGGCATTAGATAATCAAGTATTTTTAATTTTCCATCTTGTTATACTTTTTATTTTAAATGCCTAAAACCATACAGTATTGTGTGATGTGTAATTCCTAGTATACAAGCTACCTAGAGTCAGGCTGGTTCAGTAATAAATTTTTTTAAAGGCAACACTGATTATTCAGTTAGTCCTATTTCTTTCTCTTGAGGCAGTTCTCAAAACTCTAAAGACATGAACACTGCATCGTACCTAAATGGCTACTGTTCTCTAACGTCTTTATCCTATGGATTCAATTTGGAAGCCATCATTGATCTTTGGCATCAAAAGAAAAGTCATTTTTAAAGCATTTCTTTTCAAAAATATATAAATATTGCCTTAAATTCCATCTAGGATTCCCTTAGTACAAGGTAGTTTCTTAGGTTTGTAATTACTAAACTACTGACTGTTTTAATGCAGATGCGTTATTGTATTTATTAACCCAGTTTCTTTGGGTCTGCCTAGACTTCACCTGAATGTACAGTTTTCACATTCTTGATTGTTTCTCTTTGTGATAGTCACAACTGTGAACTTATAAAGTCACATTTTTAAAGTTCTTCCTAGAGACATTCACTCTGTCTTTATTAAAAATAATAATAATAATAATAAACGTTATCTTGTTGGCCAGACTGGTCTCCAACTCCTGGTCTCAAGCAGTCCTCCCAGTTGGGCCCCTCAAAGTGTTGGGATTAGAGGTGTGAGTCACTGCGCCCAGCATTAGTCTATTCATAATAAGGATGTTTGTGTACATTTGTTTTATATGTGACTTGTTACAGGTTAGTCCAGATTGACCTCTTGTTTTTTAAAAAAGGCCGTTCTATTTGCAAAACACACACACACACAAGACCCACTTATAGTTTATCCATTTATATATTTTTGTCTTAGAGGTGTTTATATTCATTTATGTGGAAGAGAATCCATACAAATCTATAAATCACTTAAATATGTCCTCGATTTCCACTCATCCACATTTGAGGGCAGTGACATATAATATTTTAACCAGTAAAACATTATTTGACAGAAAATCACTGTCTTCTCCCCAAAAAGAAGAGAAGCATCATGCACAAATTTATTGCTAAATTTCAAAAAAAAATTAACATGCACTTGTTTTATGGATGTATTTACTATGCTTTATGTATTTATTTCAATGAGAAAAGAGAAAATGTATCTTTCCTTCAATTCAACATTGAACCTCAAGCTTAAAACTGACCTTTTAATGTCCTCTTGTGGGACAGGGAGTTTTGTAAACAATTTTAACTCAGTAAGTTACAACCTTCTAAGTAGAAAAACTTGGAGAAATTCACACTAGTTGAATTTTTGAAATGAAAATAGCTCTTTGTATTTTCTCCATACTGATATCTTTAAAGGCAGTCCTTCCTGCAGTATTTTACAAATAAAGCTTAGTACCTAGAGTTTACACAATCCTGTGTTCCAGCTAATTCTCTTTCCCCGAAATTATTTCATTAAATCTCAAATGTCAGTATGGAAAGTTACTGGCGTGTTGAATGTAGATGAGAATTACTTCTCAGCATAATAAAATTAGTTTTGTGTTTTTTTTTTTTTTGGTGAAAATGCCATATCGTATGCTTCCTGCTAGTGAGCACCAAGTTGATTGGGAGTAGTCCTTAAACAGCATGTATAGGGAGACTGGAAGCATTATAAAGAATGAGTGAATGGTAATGGGTTTGGAGATTAATTCGTGACAGCCTTAATTATTATTTGAATGGTTTGGAATTAGAACTTTCGGTTATGTCAGTTTTATTCTTTCTGCAAATGATTGTAGAAATGTATTGTGTTAGTTAAATGCACCAAGCAGAAATTTTTGAATGTTTAAGAAGGATATTGGACCCGGCGCAGTGGCTCACGCCTGTAATCCCAGCACTATGGGAAGCTGAGGCGGGCGGATCATCTGAGTTGGGGAGTTTGAGACCAGCATGGCTAACGTGGTGAAACCCCGTCTCTACTAAAATACAAAACTAGCTGGGCGTGGTGGCATGCACATGTAATCCCAGCACTATGGGAAGCTGAGGCGGGCGGATCATCTGAGTGCGGGAGTTTGAGACCAGCATGGCTAACATGGTGAAACCCCGTCTCTACTAAAATACAAAACTAGCTGGGCGTGGTGGCATGCACCTGTAATCCCAGCTGCTCAGGAGGCTGAGGCAGGAGAATTGATTGAACCTGGGAGGCAGAGGTTGCAATGAGCGGGGATCACGCCACTGCACTCCAGCCTAGGTGACAGAGTGAGACTCCATCTCCTAACAGTAAAAAAAAAGGAAAGATACCACATTTTTAACCAAAATGTACTTTATACATATTACTGATGCCTTATACAACGTATGGGACCAATGGGAACTCCTGGAAGTTATCCAAGTTCATTTCAAGGCACTATGGCCACTGAGTTTTCAAGGCCAGCATAACATATCTCTGTCAGAGGGCATTAATAAGCTGTAAGTGCACCGTGTAATTAGGCTAATTAAATGTACTACAAGCATTTTTCAAATATTAGCAATAGACCACTCCTCAGCTCTTAATAAGTCTTCTCTGGAGTCTTCCTTTTCCTGATGGCATTACTTTTACTGAGTGTTCAGTTTCTCAGAAGCCTTCAGAAGCTAGTTTGATTTTTAAATCCTGTTGTTTTTACTAGTGAAAATGTTCTGAATTAAAACATTGTGAAATGCTGTTAGGTATACTGGCATTTAACATTATGGATCACAATGAAATAAGAAACAACAAAAACAGGTAACAATACAGTTGAGCTCACCAAAACCTTACCTGCTGTGGGGAAAGAATACTGCCCCATGAATCTTTCACACGTTTCTCTATTATACACTTATCAAAGCTGTAAGACCAAAATCTCTTAGAAATCTTTAAAAGGCACAGTTAAGCAAGCCAATGTTGTGTGGGCATAAGAGACTAGTGATGAATGATCAATTGATGAATAGTTTTCTAAATGTGTTTTTCGCAAGCATTTTTAAATCACATGTTAGACGTAAGCTTTTTTAAAAGCATTGTGGAAATCACAGCAACATGGCTTTCTTGTTTGATTTTATTAGGCAAAAACGATGGATGGTTTGATATTCTCTTAGAAAGGCTGACAGCTACTATATAGAACCACTCAGGAACAATAATGATAGGTATCAACGATACTGATTAGATGAAAAATTCATTTATGTTTTTCTGCTGAATATCAATCTTAATAAATAGATGGCTTTTAAACCAAAACGTAGTACTAGCATACAGTAAATTCTTTTACCACTGTAATAAAGGAGCTACAAAACAAGGATTGCTGTCTAGTTTTTTAAAGATACCTCGGACTAAATGATTTTGTCCCATTAACTAATTTTGCACAGTACCACAGAAATAAAAGTGCTAGCACCTAAACCTTTTGGCCGATGCTTAAATATATGCCAGGCTCTGTACTAAATGTTGTTGCTTTATTGCGCTTAATCCTCAGTTCTTTGAGTAGGGTATTAATTATCTATTTTTTGCAAAGAAGAAAAATAGTTTGCTCAAGGTCTCACAGCTGGTAAGTGGCAGAACCTTCACTAGAATGATTTATCTTTGACTGCATAGTTTGAGCATTTAACCAACATGTGTCACCTCTAGTTTTACTTGGAGTTCCAAGAATGTTCTTTATAGATCATGGACTCTGTCTCTGCTGCCAGTCATAAAGGTTTTTTTGTTGCTTTTGAGTCTATAGAGAAAAATGGAAATGAAGTAAGGAAGTCAACTTAAATAAGTCAAAGTGTTTCAGAAGAAGAAACCCCTCGTAAAAGATAATCTATTTACCTCTAAAAGGTAAATCTTAGCAGAAGTGGGCGCAGTAGATTGAGTGGCAGTCATATGTAAAGTTAATTGTTTATTGGTTACTAATGTGTCCCCCTTTGGAGATAACTTACATGGTTATCAGGAGGGAGTTTGTAGTGGGGGAAAAAAAATCAAAAGATTCTGATTTAGGACATCCAAATTCTAATCCTCAGCTGAAAAGAATGCTGGTTTACCCAGTCAGCAGTGGGACCAGTACCCTCAAACAATGAGGATTTTTATTTCCCTGTACAACTAAGCTATAACAACAGCAAAATTTTTAAAAAGCCATTTGAAAAATGAAAATTTTAGTTTCCTTACTTTTTTTTTTTTTGGGCGGGGGGAGACAGTCTCACTCTATCGCCCAGGCTAGAATGCAGTGGCATGGTCTTGGCTCACTGCAACCTCCGCCTCCTGGGTTCAAGAGATTCTCCTGCCTCAGCCTCCTAAGTAGCTGGGATTACAGGCGCCCACCACCGCTCCGGCTAATTTTTGTGTTTTTAGTAGAGACAGTGTTTCACCATGTTGGCCAGGCTGGTCTCAAACTCCCTGCCTCAAGCAATCCACTCGCCTCGGCCTCCCAAAGTGCTGGGATTACAGGCATGAGCCACTGAGCCCGGCCAGTTTCCTTACATTCTTTTAAAAGTTAATATTGTTTTAATTGTAAATGATTTGTGTGTGTGTGTGTGTTTAGGGCTTTTAAATTTCATAATTTAACTCTGTCTTTCACATTTGGCCAGAGATCTAATCTGAAAAGTGAAAAGTTTGAACTAAAATAGCATTACTGTTTTGTTTTGTTCCAAAATATGTTCTGCAGGGCCTTGGAGTTAAAGAGGGAAGCTCAGAAAGACAAGCTGGTTAGTGGTTCCCTGTGTTAGGGGGTTGGAAATGTAGTCCACTAAGGCAGGCATTATGCTGACCTTTATGATTTATTGCATTAATTCTCACAATGTACAAAGGTACATATTATTACACAGAAGGAAACTAAGTACCTACGTTCTTCAACTTAGCCAACTACAGAGTGGTGGGATGGGAATTCGAATTTAGCTTCATGCTTGATCCCAAACACTTAAACGCTGTTCAATTCTGGCTCTGGAGACAGTCAGGCCCACCTAGAGACCCCAGGAGTTCCACAGCAGTTATTAGCACCAAAAAGCCATGCACACCGACTGCTCCAGAGATAGCTGGTCTGGACATCACAGAGGTAAAAAAGAGCCCCTAAGGAATTTGAGTCTGTGTACTCTGGGCTCCTGCCCAAGACACACACTGTCTCTTTTGGCTACTCCACGTGAGGACTGTCTGAATCGCCCTGTTGGTGCCATTCACTTCTGTCCCCAGCCCCTGCCTACCTTCCTGCATTCTTTACTTTCTCTTTCTTCTTCAAGCTTTTTGTTTTTCTAGTAATTTTCTCCTGATTTGTAAATGTTTATTTGATTTTAAAAACTAGTTCTTAATCACATCTACTTTTATATATCATCTTTTTATGAATTTAGCCTTTTTTCTTACTGGTGTGTGTGTGTATATATATATATATATATATACACCTATATATATATACACACACCTATATATATATACACGCATATATATATACACCTATATATATACATATATATACACACCTCTATATATATATACCTCTATATATATACACCTCTATATATATACCTCTATATACCTCTATATATATACCTCTATATATACCTCTATATATACACCTCTATATACACCTATATATACACCTCTATATACACCTATATATACAGCTCTATATACACCTATATATACCTATATATATACACCTATATACACCTATATATAACTATATATACACCTATATATACCTATATATACACCTATATATAACTATATATACACCTATATATACCTATGTATACACCTATATATACCTATATATATACACTATATATGTATATATTAGTCTGTGAGTTTCTTCTTTCATTGTCTTCTGACCTCAGATGCTTTTTAAAAAATCTCATACAATGTTATTTTTTAGTATTAACCTTTAATTTTTATTGGAATACAAGTTTATTTATATTTAAATTTCTTCTTAATTCTACTTTTTAATTTCCTTCTTTTATTTTTGCCTTTATATTCTTTAAAAAATAAAAAGATCCCTCTGTGTTTTATTTTCTATTTTTCTTTGAATGTTCTTTTTCAATAGTCAGTCTGAGGTATGGCCATAAAGATGGTAGCATTGAAAAAGAGTCTCCCGCATTTCAGTCCTGCATGTAGTGCAAGTGTCATGCAAGCCAGGAGCCCACCTGAAGCTTTAGAAGCTACGTAGAAGAAATCCAGAGAGAAGAGCAGGGTGGAGAATAGGACACACACAGAGAGGTGATTTCAAGTCTAGTCTAGTCCTGTGTCATTCACAGTGACATTTTTATTATTTTTCTCTAATCCTTTTCTGTTATCTTGCCCACATCTAACTCAGCAGTAAATTTTTAGCATTTTATCCCTATTAGGTCTTTTGAAAAGACTTGTCTTAACAATGCTTTCCTTTCCACAGTTATGTAATCAGTTTACATAATATTTAATGAAACTTTATAACTAAAATAGCAGGCCAGGCATGGTGGCTCATGCCTGTAATCCTAACACTTTGGGAGGCAGAGACAGGAGGATTGCTTGAGCCCAGGATTTCAAGACCAGCCTGGGTATAGCATGACCCTGCCCATAGATAGATAGATGCATAGATACATAGATAAAATTAGCTGGGCATGGTGGCTCACACCTATGGGCCCAGCTACTTGGGAAGCTGAGGCAAGAGAATAACTTTAGCCCAGGAGGTCAAGGCTGCAGTGAGCCGTGGTCACCCCACTGCACTCTAGCCTGGGCAACAGAGTGAGAGCCTGTCTTAACAACAACAATTACAAAAGCAGGCACAACTTATTAAAGTTGGTCCCACATCATGGCAAACTAAAGCGGGGATTTATTCTGTCCCTATCCTCGGAGTCAGGCTAGAACAATATAGATGTCTCAAGAGGTGGACGACTTTCTGTGTTCATTGTCATCTTACTAGTGTGGCCGTTGAAGGAACTCTGGCTTCCAGTTCCAGGAACTCCAATTAAATGGTCTAGGACATTGGACATATATCAACTGCTTTGAGCTTCAGTTATAACAAATCTAAAACAAAACCAATTGCAAACCTTGGATGTGTCCGTTAACTAAAGACGATGTTAATACCTTAAAAGCTCTCCAAACTGATCCCCAGGTTACTAACCAATCTTTTAGAATAGCCTAAGCTTGCTAATCTCTTTTAAATGCACTGACAGCCCTTAGTAGGCTGAGCCCAGCCCACAGGCTGCTCACCAGTTTGCTCTCTTCTCTCACCATCTAAGTTATATGTCTGCAAGGAGTCAGTTGTATTATTTTTATTTTCACCAAACCCATTTATGGTTGTACTGGCTATTCTCATTAAATAATTTAAACAAATATTATATACTGATTAAATGAGTATAGGGGAAACAAAAAAATAAGCATGAAACACTAGAAATTTGCTGCTAAAGTCAGTCATGGAAAAAACCACTGAAAAGGTTTAGACAAAATAATAATAAAATTCTAGAAAGAATCTGCACTTAGATCACTCCATAAATATGTGAAGATTTTGGGGTCCTTTTAAAGAAAGAGAAACTAAACATTGTAAGTGTTGCATTCCGGATAGGGTATATGCAAGAAAAACAGTTTCAGACTCTAATCAACAAACCCATGCTTAAAGAAAAACCTTTGACCTTGCATAAACTGACTTATTTGATTAACCCAGCAATGTCCTATTCACACTGAATAAGAGGTCTTTTGCTGACGGAGAAATCGATTTAATAAAATAAATACACCTTCAGTTAATTATTCAATACAATAATTATAGTATCTAATGTATTTATCGCATATTTAAACATAAAAGTGAAGGTAAAGCAGCAAATCCTTGAATATTTATATCCATCTCATATATTTTTCCCAATGTTAGTGTTCATTTTATATGATAAGATACTCTTGTAATTAATGTAATGAAGTACTGGTATTATGTTTATGGAAACTTTGGATTCACATAGACAGGTTTAAGCCTTTGCTCTCTCTTGGGCAGAGTACTTAACCTCTCTCAAATTGTTTCCTCCTCCGTAAAATTGGAATCAGGCTACCTTGCCAAGGGTTGCTGTGAGGATTAGAAGTAATATATGTAAAGTGCCTTACTGCAGTGGCTGGCACGTGATAGGCTCTCAATTGATAGTAGCTTTTTTTTCTTTAGGAAGATATTGTAACATAAACATCCTGTGACTTTAAGTTTTAGAAAAATAATCAGTCATCAGGACTTCAACTGGATTGTCATTATCTTCCTGAAGCCATGTGGCTAGGATATATCAGTTACACTTCTATGAACAATGCACCTATGGCCACCAGGCCCGGGCCGATCAGGGATGGGCTTCCTACTGTGACTGCGGACTCCTCAGCTTTATGCAGTGATCCAGGTTAAAGAGACCAAGCGGGAGCAGGCCTCTGAGTCTCCTTCTGGAATATTAATTCAGCTAATTTAACAAATATATTTATCTTATGCAGGGAAGTGTGGCACTCAGTTTTTCCACTTCCCTATTTTCTCTTTTCCTTCCTTTTGCCTTCTCTTTCTTTCCTACAAAGCCATAGACAAGTTTCTTGCTGTACTTATTTGATTGTTTGTTTCACCTTTCTTTCATCTAATAAATATTGATTGAGTATCCACTATGTGTTTCATGTATAAAAATGTGGAACACAGTAATGAAGGATGTCCCTGTCCTTGAATTAATAATGGTAATGACTAACATATATTGATCACTTATTCTGCTAAGCTCTGTCTCTAAACCCTTCATGAACATTATCTCGTTTTTAAAAACCCCAATTCTTTTAACAATCTCACAACATAAATACTATGATTATCTGCCTTTTATAGGGGAGGAAACTGAGGCTTAGCAAAGTATGTAGCTTTTTGAAGATTAAAAATCTAGTCCATGGGGCACCTGAGAGCTTATATTCCTGAGGACCTTATTATGATATGACTGACATGGCTTGAAACAGAAACAGATATTTTAAAAAGATAATTACAGCCCAATAAAGTAAAGTCTTCCCTATTATGAGAGCACAAAGGAGAGGCCGGGTGCAGTGGCTCACGCCTGTAATCCCAGCACTTTAGGAGGCCGAGGTGGGTGGATCACAAGGTCAGGAGATCGAGACCATCCTGACCAAACATGGTGAAACCGTGTCTCTACTAGAAATATAAAAATTAGCTGGGCGTGGTGGCACGTGCCTGTAGTCCCAGCTACTTGGGAGGCTGAGGCAGGAGAATCGCTTGAACCCTGGAGGCGGAGGTTGCAGTGTGCTGAGATCGCACCCCTGCCCTCCAACCTGGCAAGACAGCAAGACTCTGTCTCAAAAAAAAAAGAGAATGACTGCCACTGAAAGGAGCACTAAGAAAGGCTTTATTGAGGAGACAGTGTTGGAGCTGGGTTTTGAAGGATAAGTAGGGGTTTTCTAGGCAAATAAAATAGAAAAAAATTATAGTATTCTAAAAGACCATAAATTATGTGAAAAGCAAACAGGTGTGGCAAAGCATTAGCTAATCTGAAGGAGAAGTACAGTGTGGTTTGAACAATATAGTGTGTCTGATGGAATGTGGTAGACCAAAAAAGTCTGAGAGATAGATTGAGGCCAAATTGAGAGAGGCCTTGAACATCCCTTGAGTTCTGGAACTGATGTCTGCCATTTTATACCCACTGGCAGAACGAGGGAAGGGAAATAGGTATTAACGTTTAGTGAGTTCTCTTAAATGCCAGGTACTATACTTCGTGTCTTATTTATATTATTAATAATATTTCATTTAATATAATGAAATAGTTCTCACAGCCATACAAGGAAGTAGGCTCCAATCATCATCATCATTATTATTACTCAGAATATGCGAATTATAAAGGTAACATTCACTGGATTTTCACAAAATGAACATACCAGTGTAACTCGCAGCCAGATTGGAAAACAGAATACGGAACCACAGAAGCTACCTTGGGTCCTCTTCTAGTCATTACACCTCCAAGAATAACACTACCTGACTACTGGCCCTGTAGTTTACCGTTGCCTATTTTTGAACTATAGAAGTAGATATTGCACTTATAAGATTCAAAATATTATATTGGATAATATTTTATGTATAGTGTATTTTCTTCAGTGTAATGCTTGTGAAATTCATTCATGCAGGCATATGCAGTTGGAGTTCACTCCTTTTCCTTGTGGTATAATATTCCATTGATGACTATGTCATACACTATTTATCCAGCTTTGAAGACCTTATTATTATCTCCCTTTCAAAAATGACAAAACCAAAACTTGGATAGGTTAAAAAACTAGTTTTAAATCACAGAACTAGAGAGTGGCTGAACTAAGACTGGTCTAATATCATATTATTCTAAAGGCTAAACAGCAATATAAGATGTGGTTTGAATCACTTAATCTCTAGTCAACAATAATTTATTTAGTGCTTGCTCAATAAATCACACAATAATTATTGTGTTCCAAGAACCTTTCTAGCTTCCAAGAGCATAATAAGAAACAAAGCATATTCTCTGCCCTGTTGAGAAACATTCAGACATACAAAAAGATAACTTAAGTTCCCAATAAGTGCTATGAGGAAGATACTCATAAACATGCATGGAATACTGACTTTTTAGAGGGTCCCATTCTGTTCTGAGTACTTTACCTGTATTACTTCATGCAGTTCTCAAAACGAACCCATGTGGTACATACAGCAGCTGTTCCTGTGATCCTTATTTTACAAAAGAAGGGCTGAAGCGTGGAGACTTGAAGTACCCAGTCTTATGTCCCACGGATAGGAAAGAGAGGAGCCAGGTTCCAATCAGGGCAGTGAGGCTGCGGGCCCTGCGCACATGACCACACCTTTATGAAGGGTAAAATAATTTGTGAAGGGTAAAGGGGTATAGAATGAGAGGCAGATTGTTAGGAAAGGCCTCCACGAGGGGGAATGTTTGAGCTGGAGACCCAAATAGTAAAGAGGAGGTATCTATTCAAAGATCTGGAGAGAGAAGGACCCAAACGTAAGAAGCAGCAAGTAGAAAGATAAAAACACCCTGAGTCAGATATGAGCTTGGCATATTTAAGGATCAGAAGGAGGATAGTGGAGGGAAATGAGGCCTTGGCCAAGTACAGGTTGGGAGCTCTAGAGACATGGGTTTTGGAATACCACCTTTAGCCTACACCAAATGCCATTTCTCTTTCTACATTGTTGTTTTCTAATCAACTGCATTGGTTTCTTATGTGGAATGGGTATAATGATGCACATAAAGGCTTAGAACACTGACAAAGGAAGTCGTACATATTCAAAATTTGGTTTGTTCCTGCTCTTGCTCTTCTCCAATGTCACTCCTACCCTGATGATGGTGGTGAAACCAGGAACAGAATAGGAGGAGGCCAGTGGGTTGTGTAAGAATGTGTTTAACTTATATTTTCTCAGAGTTGCCCATCTGCTATTTTTCACTACTGATCACACATTGCCAGCTGGGGTTTGGAATTGTCATGAAGGGCATCTCAGGTCAGAATCCTTTTCACATTCATGTGTCAGATGTGACAAGGAGTCAGAGTAAAAAAAAATAGAGGACAGGAAGAACAGGAGGCTCAATGAAACTTTACCAGGACACCTCTGAAGTCTGGAACTGTGTTTCCAGGAAAGCCAGAAATCTGTTGGGGTTCCTTTCAGATGAAAAAAAAAAAACTGTTCCTGTTTGGGAGTAGTTATTATTTGTGAGGCAGGATGCTCTACACTGTCTCAAGGTGAGAAAATGTTATGTGCTCCTCGTAGTTATGAGCCTGTTCTAATTATATGCCTCCTTGATTATTGTTCTGCAGATTGATTAGAACCATATTCAAGACATTTGTAGATCATGGTTCCTGGACACTTCTATATGTTAGCAAATCAAGTATGATTTATCCCCGGAATTACTGGTTAGGGATGGCTTCTTTTTTTCAATGCATGTTCTCCTTAGCTTATAATTTTAATTAGCGCTTGCTCCCAGTTCACACTGAGAATGGGGATGATTGTCACTTCAGCACTGATGCATAGCCTTCGCTTGTAATGCAACTTTGACTTTTGCATTCAGATTCGTTAATCAATGCTGGATGGAAGATAAGGGAGACTGCTGAATTAAAGTTGCAGTGCAATAGGAAATTCAATAGCCTTCAATTTAGGAGGTGAATTTGAATTAGATTTCTGCTAGACAAAGCTGGATTTAACAATCCAGGGATCCTTATCCGCCGCACTCAATTCTCGGTAAAGATCATCCTTCTCTCACATCCCGACCCAATGGCAAGGGACTAGACCTATATGCTGGAGAGGGTCCAGCACACCTGGGGAGACCCTGCTGTCACTCTTCTCTGTTGCTTGCAGCTTCTTGAAAAAGTGAATTGCAGCTATCATCGTTGTGCTATTGTTGCAGCGTTTTCTGATTAGACTGCCTCAGCATCTTTCTTCCTGCCACACAGAGACATCAGATTTTCTCCCTTTTCTTCTTTTACATTGAGGGAGATAAACAGTGGCTTCCTTGGAAGTTCCCTATCTTTTGGCTGTGGCAAATGTCTGTGTATGAGGAAAATACAATGACTTCCTGAAAATGTAAAATAATTGTGAGAAAAACCTGCTTTGAATTTCTGATTACCCTCCTTTTACCCAAGATAAGATTGTATTGTTTCTTGAAAGATCTAGTATCTTGAACAAGATAATTATATTCCTTCTAATACTCAAGTAGAATTTCCCCTCTGTGAAATACAAGAGAGGTACCTATTTCAGAAAGATTTAAGTTCAAATTTAATCACGTTGTCTCTGAACTTCGAGTGAAATTTCATTATCATCATCTTGACTCACATTGACTAATATACAAACAGAGCCAACAAGAGTGGAAAAGTAAGAATATACGGGAAAGAAAATAAAGAGCTGAGGGGACTTTGACAGAAGTTTGGAATTTTCAAGAATGCAATCTGTTCCAGCAAGTTCAAGCTTTTTTTTTTTTTCCTAAAAATGCAATTGGTATTAAAATACAATAATGCTTGGCAGTGCAAATATGAATATTTAACAGTAACAAGTTGATGCAGTTTAAATGTTCCTGGGTCCAGGCTTAACAGAATATTGTAAGGAAGATTTACTTTCATGAAGTGAAAGTAAGTGTTTTAAATGAAGTCAAATACTCTTGAGGTCTTTTATCACCCACTAAAGCTTAGAGAGGCCGTTTTATCCTAGAGTTGAGTTTGATTATCAGAAACCAGCATAAACTTTGCCCTAAATAAACAGTTCAGGTAAGGAAAGGATTTTTCCTTAGTAAAATTAATGTTTTGATACTATTGTATTATGGTTCTAGAGAGAAACAGAACCAGTACAATGTGTGTGTGTGTGTGTGTGTGTGCGTGTGTGTGTGTGTGTGTGTGTACACACAGAGAGAGATTTATTTTATGGAATTGGCTTACAAGATGATGGAGGCTCGGCCAGGTGGGGTGGCTCACACCTGTAATCCCAGCATTTTGGGAGGCTGAGGAGAGTGGATCACCTGAGGTCAGGAGTTCAAGATCAGCCTGGCCAACATGGTGAAACCCCATCTCTACTGAAAATACAAAAATTAGCCAGGCGTGGTGGTGTGCACGTGTAATCCCAGCTATTCTGGAGGCTAAGGCAGGAGAATGGCTTGAACCCAGGGGGCGGAGGTTGCAGTGAGCCCAGATCGTGCCACTGCACTCCATCCAGCCTGGGCGACAGAAGAAGACTCTATATCCAAAAACAAACAAACAAACAGAAAAAACCAGGGAGACTGGCAAGTCCAAAATCTGCAGGGTGGGCAGCAGACTGGAGACACAGGGGGAACTGAAGCTGCAGTTTAAGTCTGAAGGCCATCAGGCTGAAGAAATTTTTCTTGCTCCGGAGAGTCTTTTGTTCTGTTCAGGCTTTCAACTGATTGGATCCGGCACACCACATCATAGAGGGCAATCTATTTCATTATTTTTCAAAGTCCGCTAATTTAAATGCCCATCTCACCCAAAACACTGTCATAGAAACATCCAGAATAATGTTTCAGTACTTACCTGGGCACTGCAGTCCAGCCAAGTTGACATAAAATTAATCATCGTAGTTGTTGATGACAAGTTTTGTTTCTACATTCAGTCGGAGACATTTTCAAAGGATTATTCCATTGGCTTCTAGGTTTTGCTTTATTTGTTAAACATTTTAAATTTTAGGACTCTTTATATCAGAATCAATAATAATTGCTGTGTAATGGACTGGGATTTTAGGAGTAAAAAAATGTTAAAATATGGATAATTAGGGCTATGTGGATAGGGAGAGCTACTCATAATAAAAAGAGTCCAGCTGCAGAGGTCTCTCTGCTCTTCCCATTCTTCATCACCTGCATCTGACAATTTGCCAAGCATCAGTTTAATTCTCTTTCCATGAAAGAAGATAAAACTGTTGTTTATTCTTTGCAAAGGCACACTGATAAGTCCTTAAACACATTATTTCAATTCACACATCTTAAAATCGACCGCATCTTTTCCGTTTCTGTTACCACTGCCTTGGTGTGAGTTCCATCATATCAGTTCCTATAGAATGTCCTGCTCCCCCTCCACTCTCCAATACAGACACTGTATTAACACCACATTTATTTTTTCCAAGACTTTGCTCCCCTCTTTCCACTCCCTTCCTTCCCAGTGACAGCAAAATAAAATCTTCATTCTTGATCCTTGGCATTCAAATCTCTCCATGGCCTGACCCCATCCCACCTGACCAAACTATTCACAAGCACTTTCTTTTTTCTTTTCTCTTTTCTTCTTTCTTTCTTTCCTTTCTTTCCCTTCTTTCCCTCTTTCTTTCTTTCTCTTTCTTTCTTTCTTTCCTTTCTTTCTTTCCCTTTCTTTCTTTCTCTTTCTTTCTTTCCTTCCTTTTTTCTTTCCCTCTTTTTCTTTCTTTTCTTTTTCTTTCTTTCTTTCTTTCTTTCTTTCTCTTTCTCTCTCTCTTTCTTTCTCTTTCTTTCTTTCTTTCTTTCATCTCTCTCTCTCTCTCTCTTTCTTTCTTTCATCTTTCTTTCTGTCTTTCTTTTTTTTGACAGAGTCTCGCTCTGTAGCCCAGAGCGAGATCATGTGCAGTGGCATGATCTTGGCTCACTGCAACCTTAGCCTCCTGGGTTCAAGCGATTCTCCCGCCTCAGACTCCTGAGTAGCTGGAATTACAGGCGCCTATCACCATGCCCAGCTTATTTCTGCACTTTTAGTAGATACGGGGTTTCACCATGTTGGCCAGGCTGCTCGCGAACTCCTGACCTCAGGCGATCCGCCCACCTCCACCTCCCAAAGTGCTGGGCTCTGTTCACATGCATTTTCCACTACTGTCCACCACTAGGTTTCCAGTCCAGCCGGGCTGTTCAGTGTCTCATTCCAAGCCTTGCTCTTGCATGTTTCCATCTATCTAAATCCCACCCGCCATCCTTTCTCTGAAGATTCTCTAATTTCCAGACACCAGGATCTACAATTTGATGGACTCTTTAAGCAACTGTTATGTTTCAGCCATTTTATCCCAGTGTAAATGAAAATTAAATATTTTTATACCTGTATTTCTTGTTTGTAATTTTAAACTCCAATAGAATATAATTCTCATTAGGGAATGTAACGTGACTGCCTTTTCTCCCCGGTATCCGTAGTTTCTAGCAGTGTTCTTGACACACACTAAGCACACATTAAATGTCCCTATATATTAAATATATGAATGAATGAACATCTGTTTCTGGCAGTGAAGGGCTAGATATCATATATAAAACTCCCACTGAATACACTTAAAAATGCTAAACACGGCCGGGCGCGGTGGCTCACGCCTGTAATCCCAGCACTTTGGGAGGCCGAGGCGGGCGGATCACGAGGTCAGGAGATCGAGACCATCCTGGCTAACACGGTGAAACCCCGTCTCTACTAAAAATACAAAAAATTAGCCGGGCGTGGTGGCGGGCGCCTGTAGTCCCAGCTACTCGGGAGGCTGAGGCAGGAGAATGGCGTGAACCCGGGAGGCGGAGCTTGCAGTGAGCCGAGATCGCGCCACTGCACTCCAGCCTGGGCGACAAAGCGAGACTCCGTCTCAAAAAAAAAAAAAAAAAAAAAAAATGCTAAACACATATTTTAAGGTGCATTGATGAGCTGGCAAGAAAGTAAAGTAAATAACTAAGAGAAAGATGGAGCCTATAGAAGATAAACTAAGTGAAACACTGAAACCAAATCTTACCTCTTCCCTCAGGGCATTTACTGAACCTGGAAAATGTGATCTTTGGTTTTCATGGTGTACTGAGGCACAGGAATTAGAAGACAATTTCCAGGGACCTCTCCTGAGAATTAATAACTTCAAGTTGGTTTACATGTGGCTTTTTACCTCAGATTCATACTGGGAATATCTCAAGTTTTTAAATGTTTTTAAAAGGGCCTGCTTACATGAAAGAATAGTAAGAAGTTGTCACTTTCTAAATATGTAGATGCTGAAACCACTCAAAATATGAAGGACTCATCATCTAATATTCAGGACTTTTTAAAAAAATGCATCCCGAGCAATAAACCCATCCTCATTTTTATTTCTCTTTCTAAATTCATCCAGTAAAGAAATAACAGAACGTTTAAATGACAAGAGTACATTGCATTTGCAATCTGGGAAATACATTATCCATAAGTATGCATTTTTGTGGCCACAGGGTCAGAAAGAACCATGGTATCAATGTGTCCTGGAAACTGCTGCTTTTCATGAACCCCATCAAACTAAAACAACAGAGATCCTGTTATTACCTGGTCTTGCTTCAGTCTAGGAGAGCTGTTTCCTAATAATATGTATTAGTTCTTGGAATCTGGGCTCACGCCTGTAATCCCAACACTTTGGGAGGCTGAGGAGGGCAGATCACTTGAGGTCAGGAGTTCGAGACCAGCCTGGCCAACATTGTGAAACTCCATCTCTACAAAAAAATAGAAAAATTTGCTGGCATGGTGTCAGACGCCTGTAGTCCCAGCTACTTGGGAAGCTGGGGCAGGATAATTGCTTGAATCAGGGAGGTAAACATTGCAGTGAGCCGAGATCACACCACTGCACTCAGGCCTGGGTGACAGAGTGAGACTCCGTCTCAAAAAAAAAAAAAAAAAAAAAAGAAAGAAAGAAAATATCAGCCTTCTTTCTATTAAAAATGTATTTGTTTCAGTTTGGAAGATGAAAAAAGTTCTGGAGATGAATGGTGGTGAAGGTTGCACAAAAATGTGAATCCACATTGAATGGTTTAATGCCATTGAAATTAATACTAAATTTTATGTCATGTATATTTTACCACAATTTTTTTCTTTCCAACTTTTATTTTAGGTTCGGGGGTATATGTGCAGGTTTGGTACTTGGGGAAATTTTGTGTCATGGGGGTTTGGTGTACAGATTGTTTTGTCACTCAGATAATAAGCATAGTACCCAATAGGTAGTTTTTGATCCTCATCCTCCTCCAAGCCTCCACCCTCAAGTAGGCCCCGGTGTCTATTGTTCCTTTCTTTGTGCCCAGGCGTACCCAATGTTTAGCTCCCACTTATAAATGAGAACATGTGGTATTTGGTTTTCTGTTCCTGTGTTAGTTTGCTTAGAAAAATGGCCTCCAGTTCCATCCATGTTGCTGCAAAGTACATGATTTTGTTCTTTTTTTATGGCTGCATGGTATTCCATGGTGTATATATACCACATTTTCATTATTCAATCCACTTCTGATGGTGTTGATGGGCATCTAGGTTGATTTCATGTCTTTGTTATAGTGAATAGTGCTGCAACGCGCATAAACGTGCCTGTGTCTTTATAGTGGAACAATTTAAATTTCTTTGGATATATGCTCAGCAATGGGATTTTTGGGTCAAATGATAGTTCTATTTTAAGTCTTTTGAGAAATCTCCACACTGTTTTCCACAGTGGCTGAACTAATTTAGATTCCTATCAGTAGTGTATAAGCATTTCTTTTTCTGCACAACCTCGCCAGCATCTGTTATTTTTGACTTCTTTATAGTAGCCATTCTGAATGCTGTGAGATGGTAACTCATCGTGGTTTTAATTTGCATTTCTCTAATGATTAGTGATGTTGAGCATTTTTTCATATGCTTGTTGGCTATGTGATGTCTTCTTTGAGAATTTTCTATTCATGTCTTTTGTCCCTTTTTTTAATGGGGTTGTTTGGTTTTTTTGCTTGTTAACTTGTTAAGTTCTTTATGGATTCAGAATATTAGACCTTTATCAGATACATAGTTTGCAAATATTTTCTCCCGTCTGTAGGCTGTCTGTTTATTCTGTTGACAGTTTCTTTTGCTGTGTAGAAGCTCATTACTTTAATTAAGTCCCATTTGTCAATTTTTGTTTTTGTTGCAATTGTTTTTGGAGTCTTCATCACGAAATCTTTGCCATGGCCAATGTCCAGAATGGTATTTCCTAGATTTTCATCTAGGGTTTTTATAGTTTTAGGTTGTATATTTAAGTCTTTAATTTATCTTGAATTGGTTTTTGTATACGGTGAAAGAAAGGGGTCCACTTTCAATCTTCTGCATTATGGTTAGCCAGTTATCCCAACACCATTTAGTATAGTTTGAAGTCAGGTAGTGTGATACCTCCAGCTTTGTTCTTTTTGCTTAGGATTGCTTTGGCTATTCAGGCCCTTTTTTTTGTTCCAGATGAATTTCAGAATATTTTTTTCTAATTCTGTGAAAAATTTCATCTTTAAGACAATTTTTAAAAAGTTATCTAGACTACTTTCCTGTTTATTATAAAATATCAGTTATCAATTAAACATATATTGAACCTGTTTACAACTGGTATAAAATAGACCCAGAGACCGATTGAAAATACTTTTTCCTAAATAAGACCCTTGGTCTTCAAGAAGTGTCAGTGTATAAAAAGTAATATCATACAAATGTAGGAAATATGTTAATTTTTGGGAGAAAAATAGAGTCTCAGCTGAAGTGACATGCAAAAAGCAATTAGGCAAGTAAAAAAATTATGACCATTAAATATTCAAATGTGAAAGTTAAACACTTTAAAGTTAAGAAATATAAAGAAGTTATCTATATTTATAGAAAGATCTTATGTTTATGGGAGCAATGAAGGAAGGCGTGATATAAATGATTAGATCACATGAAGTCATAAAATCGTACCTAGAAATAATGAAAAAGTATGAAACAAGCAATGTCCAATAAATGCATTAAAATATATTCAAGTTTACTGGTATCAAAGAGATGTAAACTATTACCAGGGAGAACTGGTGAGTTAGTAAAACAGGCAATTCCACATCATGGCAAAATGTCTAACTGAAGCAGCCTCGTTAGTATTTGAACCAAACTTATCAATAGTGAAACCAGGGTATTCTGTACTGTTTTGACCTTCACTAATTATTTATGTGGCAAATTTATGGACAAGTTCATGAAAAGATACAGATATAATTAGATTATTAAGACCTACACAGCAAACTCAAAAAACTGGTATTTATTTAATCTAAGAAAATGATGTGTTTAAAACTGTAAAAGCAGAATTATTATTATATCAAAGGGGTACTAATTGGTTTCATTTCTATAGAAGAAAAAACAGGAAGTAGATCTTATATGATAATTTATATTACAGTCAAAGGTGTTTTGGATATTCTCAAACACCAATTTTTTAGTAAGTTAGAATGATAGTTTGAAAATCTTTTTGGATGATTTAAAAACAAAACAGAAGAGATTTTCTATTTCAGATGAATCTGTTTTAGGTTAGAAGCTCCACTGAAAATCTTCCTCAAGGACTCCTTTAGAGTTGTGATTCCAAATCGAGACTTTATACAACGCAGCTTTTAAAAAGCATGTTTTAAATAGATCTCACCGCTGGATAAAACCAGCTTTCATGCTCTTGGCTAAAATACTCTTCTAATGTTATGGGGCTCACTTACACATGGTAGTTGATTCATTGCAAGATCAAGTGAGTGGAGCAAGTTATTTGCTCCACCAAAAGAACTCTCTTTGGGATCTGGGAAAAGTAGGTATTCTCTCAGGGTTTATGTGAAGCAGATTAAATGAGTTAACAGTATGAAAAGGCATAACCCAGAACCTCATATTAGGAGGTACCTCAGCAAGAAGACTTGGCATACTAGCAGAAAATATCAAGAATTAGAATATATATATATATATATGTGTGTGTGTGTGTGTATGTATACATATATATTCAATATATATGAATATATCAATATATTCAAAAATGGGCTTACATTAGTGCCACAAATAATAATAACAACAATAATAATACAGATAATGTTTACTGTGTGCCTGACATTTACACAGGCTTCAATAACCCTGTGAAGGAGGTACCATAACTATCTCTTTCTGAAAAGAAGAAAGTAAGGCACAGCATGGTTAAGAGAAGTGTGGAGATATGAAGTGACTAGGGGGGAATCTGGTTGGAAAACAGCCTCAGGACAGATTGTGGGAGATTTAGGATATTGTGATAAAAGTGTGTATTTTAATCTAGGTAGCCTTTGTGAGTTTTTGAGATGAGGAATCACCAATTACAGATGTGCCAGCATTGTACACAGTTCTTATGCCAATGGTGAATAGGGGCTGGGGGTGAGAATTTAGTATTGAGGTATTGGAATGGTTCAGATATTAACAAGGAGAGAAGAGTGGGATGAGAAGGAGGCCTTAGTTTGGTAGATTATGGAGGAAGGATTTACAGGGCTTGATTGCTAAGTATATGTCCACAAGAGGGAGAGAGAAGTTGAGGACATTTTCTCTTCATAAATTTAATTTTAAAAAGTAGGATTTCATTTCCTGACTGGTATCCACACACAGTTGATTATAATTTGTGAAATGTGTTGATTATTCTGGTAGTTAACTTTCATACATTTTTAATTTGTTTTTGGGATTTTAAATATCCTGCCAAACCCCCAGGTCTCTCAATATATAAAAAATAAAGCCAAGCACAGTTTTGAATATGTGACTAAATAACAAAGAGATTCAAATCAATTTGGGTAGTTAATGAAATAGATTAGCTCAATAAATATTTCTTGAGTCAAGCAGGTAAGGGACCACTTCTCCCAGATCATTACAGTCAATTATTTTAAAGTTGAGAAATTCTTGGCAACTTTTTTTGAATCTAATCAAAAGTTCAAATGACAAAACCACTAGTCACAGGATTTTGATGCTTGTAATTTCCAAGAAAGTAGAAGAACAGGAGAAATTTGAGAATCAGTACTTCCAAATCTACATACGAGGAAATGGCACCATACACATTGGTGATGCGAGCAAATTAATAAGAACCTATCCTCTCGAGTGCACGTTCTTCCAGTCATTCTAGTTATTCTTGGCATCCTGATCTCACAATCCATTCTTCCCTCTCCTCCCATACTAATCTCACCACTCAAGTCAATTTTATGCCCTTCATTCAGTTCCTGCTCTCCTTCATTCTGGAGACACCTTAATTTTCTGCTAATTACAGACCTTTATGCCTTTCTTTCCCTGTGTCTAGAGTGTTTCCCCCACCTGGATTTGCCAAATGCTTTCCCTTATAGCCTTTAAAGATCTCTTTTATTTTTCCTTCCTCCCTGTAGCCCATCATGACTAAATTTGTGTGATATTGAATCTCTCCTTTATTCTAACAGGCTATTTGCTCACTCCACAAAAACCACAGCTGCTGAACTCAAAACATAATGTAATACTTACTTAGAGTAGGCTTGCTTTTGCTCTAATATCACTCAGGTTGGATAATTCTATTTTGACCACGTTAATATTGTGTGGTCTGAAAGGTAGGCATGTAGACAATGGAAACTGATTCTATTTGACTCACTTAGAAAAGCGTAAGCATAACACAATGTGACTCGCTGCACTGTTAATGAGTTCTTCAGTGGGTACCATTTTGTTACACTGATACTAGGAATCAGACTAAGGTGTTGTGTAGAATGTCCATCTTCTGGCTGCATATGTATTTGTGTTTTATGGTGCAAGGTTTGAACCATGGTCATAAAGGGAAATCTGAGGTCAGCGATTGCAGCAAGAAAAAGGAAAAAGAAGATGAAAATCACATATGTCTTACAAAACTCCACCTAGTAAGTCTGTCCTCTCGTCCCACTGGGACTGTGGCCATTCTCCCCTGGTTGATGCTGCTGTCATTATTTCTCCTCATGTGCTCTCTCCTCTGCTTCATTAGCTAATCATAGCGCAGGAGCCGTTCTACCAGCATGCACTGTTTCTTCTAACTCTGCAAGTAAAGCTGACACTCACTGCTTAATCACTTTTATCTCAACAGGTAAGGATAATAAAACAGTGGGGGAAATGACAAAATTTAGTGCACCGTTTTCTATTAAGAGCCATGGACTAACTTTTTGTATGACATTCAATCACTTACTGTAGCACAGCATGAAACTCAGGCAGGTGCGACCTCAGCAACCTCAGTTCTGACATAGGAATAAGCGGTATCCTCTGGTTCAAAACCTGGGCTTACTGTGCCTGCAGTACTGACTGCGAGATGGCAGCAGAGGATCGAATAAAAAACCCTGGGCCATCTCTTGCAGGACCTCAATTTTTCCCAGTGCATTTGAGGCGAAAATGATGAAATGGAGATCTGGAAGGGACACTTATTGATGCCATTGACTCCAATGTCTTATTTATAGATTAAGCAACCAAGGCCTATAGGATTGAAATGGCTTTCCCAAAGCACACAGTTGTGTTGGCAATTAAGTTATTCTGACTCGTGTGGTAGATTTTTAAGTTAAGTAGCATCAGTGAACTCTGATAACATTTCAGAATTTGTTTTTATTATATTCCTGTGGACACATTTTTTAAACATAAAACATTAGCAAGCAGTAACCTCCTCATATGTGTAAATTAGATTATAGTAGACTTCACCAGTGTTTTTCAATATAAAGTTAACCTTTTTCTAAGACCACTGAACACTATTCTCCCCAGCCTTTTTGCAGTTGGGTGAAGCTCTGTGACTTAAAATGTGTTCCTTCAGAGGTGAGGCAGTGAACATGACATCTGCATGATTTTTTCTAGCTCTTTCTCTATCCCTTCATTGTCTAGGGTGGAGGTAATGGACCAAGATACCTGAGCCACAGGATTGAAGCAGCTTGGATCACTTAGTAATCCCATGGATGACTGGTTGCTCTGGAGAATTGGCTAAAGGAGAAAAAAGAACTATTATATTTGAAGTAACTGAGTTTTTAGTATAGTTTGTTACTGTCACATGAACATAGCCCATCTGACTAATGGAAAGATACTGGTATTTTTCTGCATTTTCTATGATTCTCACTCTTGGATATCATTTTGTGCAGACATGATGTATTATTATTTATGTCACATAAATAGTGTTCTGACAGAGATTTCCCTTCATACGTGATTTCTGATCTTTCGTGGCACCCTACTGAATAGATCCTTGGCTGGGATTCTGTGATTCCCCATCAGGCTTGCTTCCCTGTGTTCATGGCTTCCTCTTAGCATGGGTTTTCTGGAAGACAAAACCTGAAGCAAAAGCATAAGTGCTAATACTTTATGGGAGTTTTGTGATCGGCTGACTGCTCAGTTTCTCAGAATATCTTCCGAGAAGCTGAATGAAGCTCCTGTGACTCCAAACAGTATGGAAAGTGGAGCAGGAGAAAGAAAAATACATTAAATACAGATTTTTACATTAAATATACATTCTATAGAGATCAATTTTTTCGTAAGATTTTTTTTGCTTATGTCATATATGGTTATTCAGAAAATAGGCAGAAATAAGCCAAAAAAGAAAAGAAATTGATATAAATCTGCCTGGGTATGGCAGCATCTTAGGTCTCAGTGACAACAGAGAAGCCCCAGAGCATGAGTTGAGTTGATGTTACCCTGCTGTGCTGAGACCCAGCTCCGTGGTGGGAGGAGCAGAATCTAGCCATTGCTGTAGTCACTCCAGCTAGACAGCGTGGCAAATGAGCAGAACTTGGGTAATGCAGAAACCAAACTGGTGAGTTTTATAATTAAAAAAAAAAAAAAGACAATAATTCTATAGCACATTTAAGGATTAAAAGATATAATGTTTCTAAAGTGCTTATCATAGGGCCTTGTACAAACTAATAATTGGAAGCCAAAAATTAATCAGGTGATAATATAGCTTGTTAAATGTACACAGGATTTTGCACTTTCACTATCCATGTTCTTTTATTAGATCCCTGAGCAGTAGGAAGGGCAGCTCTCAGTCCTATTTTACTGGTAAGAAAATAGAGGCATCAGAGGCACGAAATTACCTTCCCAGGCCACTCAGACCTGGGTGGTCAAACGGGAAGGTCCAGAAAGAGAGGCTGGGTTTCCCATTACCAATAGGTTCCGTTCTTTTTCTATTACACTACTTTAATGTTTAAGTCACCATAACATTTTCCAGTTATTTAATTGAGAAACAAAAGAGCTAGATAAGCAAAAAATGAAAAACAAAAACAAACAAAACAACTCCTCCCAAACTCCAAAGACCAAAGACAAAAATAAAAAACCCAACAACAAAATAAAACAAAAAAACAGAACCAACATGACTGCTATGCCAACATTTCCTATTTTACTCAAAACCTAGACTTTTGGTAGCCATAAGGCACCAGGAGCTGAACTCTCCTAAAAAGAAAGAATTCATTGATTCCTCTTATAGCTTGAAGAACAGTTGAACTATCAATTCGTATCTGATATATAAGGTTGATGTGTCTGAATAGATTAATAAAATAAATATTGTGGAAAAGTAAAATTCAGATTTACTCTCCAGTCAGTTTTTCATGAAAAAGATTAAACAGAAATCAGTAACTACTTTTTTTGAGCAACTAAACAAATGAAAATCTTGGGATCTGACAAAAAGATTTGATAAGAATTCTGGTACTATGGATATTTCTATAGAGATCAATTTTTTCATAAATTTTTTTTGCTTATGTCATATGCGGTTATACAGAAAATAGGCAGAAATAAGCCAAAAAAGAAAAGAAATTGATATAAATCTCAATAGCTAGAATTAAACACCTCTAAATCAATTTTGTCTCCTCCCCACCTTCCTTCTTTTCTCTTTGTTCTCTTCCCCCTTCCTCCCCTTCATTCCGCCCTCTAGCTCTTCCTCTTTCCCCCTTTTCTCTTCCCCAAATGAAAATCTGTTTTTAACTGGCTTTTTATACTCAACATTATAGATAAGATAATATTTTGAATTTAGGCAAAAATTGCATTTTTATAAATTTCTACTGCTTTCGGAATTTTGGCTAGTAATTCTCAGAACATTTCTAAATAGAAGATTACGACTTACCAGTTGTACAACCTACATTTAGGGCTTGTTTTGCCCAAGGTCACATAATCTGATATCCTAAGAACATGGTTGAGTTGGCTCATACAGTGGGAATCATCAGCTCAGATGACAGCACCTCATCTGCACTGCTCAGGGAGTGACACAGAAGTACTGGCTGGCTGTAGTCTCATACCATTAGGAATTACCCCAGGGATTTGTATTCTTTGAAGATTAAATGTTCATTTGTCCAATCACAGTATTGTAAAGTTGCAGGTATGTTGTCTTCCAAATTTCAGAGGTATTGAGACTACTCCTAAAATCTATTGAACATGCTCATAAAAAAAAATCACAACCTCAGAAGATTTTGTCAGCAGAAACCATCAACCCTGAAGAAAAGAAATGATTTAAGAAAAATCCCCTGATTTAAAAAGTGACCCCTAGAATAAGTTTGGAGTAATACATTATCTACTTTGTTTTTATAACTGTGCCATTCTGTCCACGATCTGTGTGGACAAGCAGCATCAAGAGAGCAGCTCTTTCATTGCAAAGGTGCAGAGGTGTAATTTATGACTCCTTTGCAGACACACTGCGGACCTGGACATCATTTCACTTTCAGCTACTAGCATGCAGGAAAAGCAAATGAAAAGTATTAATGTGATACATCATGCCTTTGGAAATTGGGAAAATAATTAAATTCCTTGCTGATTCCCATTAACACAGTTTGCCATTTGCTATAACAATCCAGCCCCGACACACACCTTGGAGTGATTACAAAAGACACAGTGAAGAACCCCAAAACTTGAGGCAAAAATTTCCTAAGGTGTGACCTGGGTGTGCTATGAGTAGCCCAGCAATATTTTTGATGGCTCGCACCAAAGACCACTTAATGGTTGCAAACTGCAAATATGAATTGCATTTGAATTTTGTCTAATCAATTCAATATATCAATCAGCCATATTGTTAAAAAAAGAAATTTGGTTGAACAATTTTGTCAATTCCGTCAAAATGATCAAACCAGTTATAAATATAACCATGATCAGGGGCTTGTTTCTTCAGGCTCTTGTGCAGTTTCTGTTGGGGAAAGCCAATTCAAGAAGCATTTATCAAGTGCCTACTATGTGTCAAGGCACACAGTAGCACTACTTGTAGTAGAAGTGTGTATATAACACATTATCTTTCCTCAAGGAACTTTCAATTAATATTTAACAGAGTTATTACAAAATAGTTGTGAAGAATACATTTCAAGATAAGTCCCAGACAAGTAGGAATGTTGGAGGAATTTGGAAGCAGGTGAGAACAGGTTTTGTGAAGTGGTCAGAAACACCTTATCAAAAGAGCAAACGCTGGGTAGTAATTGGGTTGGTCCTTAAATTACAACTACAATTCAGAGGGAAAAAGAAATGGCAATGGAGAATGGAGGCAGAGCAAATGGTCCAGTGAAAAAACAAGAGAGAGCAAGGCATTTATTAGTTGCCTCAATTAACTTATCAAATATTTATCGAGTGATCTATATGTGCCTTCCATTCTGCCAGGTGCTGGAGTGATGAGGTCAACAGGACAGACATCATTTCTTGTGGAGATGTTAGGTAACCATGAGGAAGTCATGCTGGCTGCCAAGGAGAATGAGATGAAGTTGGACAAATAAAAGGAAAGTCAAGAGAACTCATATAATATATCTCATGTTATATTTCATCTTTTCACCCACAGCCAGGTAATGAACACCTGTGTGGTTTATAAAAGCAAGTCAATGTTAACACTGGGAGCAGACCTACCTCACCAGGATACGGCAATGAGCTTACGTGGAACATATGACTTAGGGTGGGACATATGGCACTGTGATCTTGTGTGAATTGGTTCTCTGAAGAGCAGGCAAGCCTGGTGCAGTGGCTTACGCCTGTAATCCCAACACTTTGGGAGGCCGAGGCGGGCAGATCACTTGAGGTCAGGAGTTTGAGACTAGCCTGGCCAACATGGTGAGACCCCGCCTTTACTAAAAATACAAAAAATTAGCCTGGCATGGTGGTGCACACCTGTAATCCCAGCTACTTAGGAAGTTGAGGCAGGAGAATTGCTTGAACCAGGGAGGCAGAGGTTTCAGTGAGCCAAGATCGCACCACTGCATTCCAGCCTGGACAACAAAGCAAGACTCTGTCTCAAAAACAAACAAACAAACAAAAAAAAAACAAAACCAGATAGGTCCCACTCAAGGGCTGTAATGGTGGTGAAACTGAAGGGAAAGGGATTATTTGAACTACTATGCACAAAGCACTGTGATAAATGTTTCACTCTCACAGCAATCTAATTATTAATATTATTGCAACAATATTGTTATTTCCATTAGATGGACAAAGAGACCAAATCTTAGATTCAGTTGCTTCTCCAAGAGCATACAACTAGTTAAATGGAGAAGCCAAACTTGTAACTCAAATACAATTTCTCTGCTCTTTTAACTACTGATATGGTTTGGCTCTGTCCCCATCCAAATCTCATCTCAAATTATAATCTGAATTGTAATCCCCATGTGTCGAGGGAGGGACCAGGTGGGAGATGATTGATTCATGGGGGTGGTTCTCCCATGCTGTTCTTGTGATAGTGAGTGAGTTCTCACAAGATTTGGTTGTTTAATAAGTGTCTGGCACTTCCTTCTTCACTTTCCTTCTTGCCTGCTGCCATGTAAGATGTGCCTTGCTTCCCCTTTGCCTCCTCTCATGATTCCAAGTTTCCTGAGGCTTCCCCAGCCATGTAGAACTGTGAGTCAGTTAAACCTCCCTTCTTTAAAAATTACCCAGTCTGGGGGTCAGGCGCTGGGGCTCACACCTGTAATCTTAGGACTTTAGGAGGCTGAGGCAGGCAGACCACCTGAGGTCAGGAGTTCAAGACCAGCCTGGCCATCATGGTGAAACCCTGTCTCTACTAAAAATACAAAAATTTAGCCTGGTGTTGGTGATGCCTGCCTGTAATCCTAGCTACTCGGGAGGCTGAGGCAGGAGAATAGCTTGAACCTGGAGGCGGAGGGGTTGCAGTAAGCCGAGACTGGACCACTGCATTCCAGCCTGGGCAATGGAACAAGACTCTGTCTCAAAAATAAATAAGTAAATAGATAAATAAATAAATAGGATAAATAATAAAAAATAAAAAATTACCCAACCTCAGGTAGTATATTTATAACAGTGTGAAAATGGACTAATACACCTACCCATGATTGCTATACTTCTACATTGCTATTGAGAAAAATAAGGGTGTTAGGATCAGAAGCCATTTTAAGAAGAAATATAATGAATTTAGCAATGAAATTTAGAATTCTATTCTCCATTCTCAGATATAAACTTGCAGTGTAAGAGATCTGGGTTAATAATAATAGGGATGTAAGAAGAAATAAAAAGAAAAATTAAAGAAAGACAACCCTAAGGGTAGTAATAATTAAATTTTAACAAGAAAGGCCTATGTAGACAGAAACCAATTACATTAAACAAAATATACTTGTATCTTTTGAAAGGATTTCAGAAGTATGAATTTGGCTTTGAACAAAACCGTAGTGGGTGGCTACTGTTTTTTGAGTCTTCTTCCATTGGTAGAAGCCATATGTAGTGGGCATAGTAGTGGTCCCCCAAAGATGTCCATGTCCTAATCCCCCGAATCTGTGTCTATGTTAATTTACACAACAAAGGAGACTTTGCAGATGGGGCTAAGGTAGAGATCTTGAGATGGGGAGCTTATCCTGGATTATTTGGGTAGACCCAATGCAATCACAAGGATCCTTATAAAAAGGCAGCAGAAGGGTCAAAGTCAGAGGTGGCAATGTGTCAATAGGAACAGAGGGAGTGAAGGGGGTAAGATGAACTAAGGAATGTGGGTAAACTCTAAAAGCTAAAAAAGACAAGGCACCCTATTCTTCCCTAGAGCCTTCAGAAGAAACACAGCACCTATCAACCCATTTTAGACCTCTAAGCTCTAAGACCTTAAGATAATATATTTATATTGTTTTTAGCCATTAAGTTTGTGGTGATTTGTGACAGTGGGAATAGGAAACTAATTCACTGTAAGAAATACTTGGCAATAAGCAGTGAATTTGGGGCTGCAATGACTTCTGACATCAATACCTGGAGCTGGGCTACACTTCACAGATTAAGGGCACAGTCCTCCATGAGGCTAACCTCACTTCACCCACAAGCTAGGATTCCACAGACCACCCTCACTTCTTTCCAAATGGCTACAAAGTCAGGGGTTCCCACGAATCCTCCAGACTCAATAATTCACTAAAGTAATCTACAGAACTCAGGAAAGTGCTATACTTGTGATTCCAGTTTTATTAGGGCAGAGGGATACATACCAGCACCAGCCAAAAGGAGAGATGCATGCATCACTGCAGGTGAGGTCTAGGAGAGTCCCAGACTGGAAGCTTCTGTTGTCCTGTCTCTGAGGAGTAAGGATACATTAACCTCCTATATAGGCATACTGAAACTCAGTTTATATCAGCAAGATTAATTCTTCAGCTGGGAGCTCACTGATCTGCCAGCCTTAGCTCTGATTGGCTAAGCGCTCAGAAGGAAATAGATGAAGAATAAAATTGTTGGTAGCCATGGCATGGGCAGATAGGGACTGCCTTTACCAGTTCTCCATCTTACGGATCTGTTCTCAATCTTGTCCTGAGATATAAAATAAAATGCAGTAAAATCTTGCAGTGGTAAGTTACATAAGTGAAAAGGGTTGAAACTCTCCCTTTTATTTTGCCTGCTTTAAGTGCATGAAGAAAATCTTAAATTGGAGCAAATATGGTAGGTTTTTTCCCAACGAGGGTTTGTTATTTGAAAAGGTGATACTTAACACATTGTCCCAGAACGATGGAGGCCTTCTGATTTCTGAAGACCCAGTGTGACACTGGGTCTTCCTCAACAAAACTATAACATATGGAAGTTAAAGGTCACTCTTTCCAGAGCTTTATCATCCCAGTCACATGGTCACTGTGAATGGGACTTTGAAATGCCACCAATAACTCAGAGTGTTCTAGTCCCCTTCCCCTGCAGTAACAGTACAGAAGAGCCATTTAATGGTGGGCAGTATGTGAAGAGAAAGCTTCAGAAAGTGACTTTAACAGATTGAATGATGCCCTACCCCAAAAAGATATGTCTGTGTTCTAATCCCAGGAGCCTGTGAATGTGACCTTATTTGGGAAAAGGATCTTTGCAGATGTTATTAAGATAAGGATCTTGAGATGAGATCATCCTGGATTATCCCAGTGGGCTCTAAATCCAATGACAAGTGTCGTTATAAGAGACACAGGAGAGATGCACAGAGAAGAGCAGGCCACATGAAGACGGAGGCCGAGACTGGAGTGATGCAGCCACAGACCAAGGAATGCTTCCAGCCATCAGAAGCTGGAAGGGGCAAGGAAGGATATCCCCTTAGAGCCTTCGAGGTGAGCATGACCTTGCTAACATCCTGATTTCAGACTTCTGTCCTCCAGAAATGCGACAGAATGACTTTCTATTCTTTTAAGCCACTGTTTGTACTAACTTGTTATGGCCGCCCTACAAACTAATATGGTGACCATGTAAATACATAAAAGTGGTTTTGAAATTTTTCCCCTTCGTTATAAAACATGTTAATTAATTCACTTTCATGGATTTCTGCTGGCAGTTACTCTTTCAGTTCTAACAACTAACTATTCAGATTACAGTCATTACCACAAAGAGCAAAATGTGCTATCAAAAATGAAAAGTTACAATAATAAGACAAGAAGAATAAATCTATTGTTTAGTTAGTACTCCACAGATGTTATCTTTATAATATATTTAAAGAGCCACACGAAAATCTTGAGCTGATTTGAATTTACTTTGTAAATACACATATCTTTTAAATGCAAAACGAAGGAACAGAATTATTGGTATACCAGTCAATAATCAACCTTGAAACTAAAAGTAATATTTAAAGTTTGTTAAAAATAAAGCTTTAAAATTCACAATTAATATCAACCATAAATATGTGAACCAAAATAAGTACAAATTTCACAATTATCCAATAAGCTCAAAGTAAAACATTAACCTGAATAATTAATGCTGCCAGGAATATGTGGGTTATTTTGGTAGCCCAAATTACTCAAATTTATTATCTACTTGAGCTATGCTTCTTTTCTGACTTCCTCTAATTTTCTGTTGATTACTTATTTTTTCCATTTTAACATAAGCAGTAATTTCCTTCCATCTTCCAAATCTTTGTTAAATATCATGGATAAGAGTTTACCAGCTACTCTCTAGGGCAGCGTGAGAACAGTGCCATGCTCTGAGTTATCTTGTCAATTTCAGGTCCTTCCATGCTATGCAGCTGGCATGAAACTACTAAGTCTATATGTACAAGAGAGGTAGATCAAGTCAGTGAATAATCTTTATTTTCACATAGTGTACTTTTTTTTAGGAAACAACAATTTATATCATATTTTAAAATTTGCATTAAAACCTAGGTTTCATTTTTTTGATAATGTGTGTACCTCGGTGTAGAGGTTTATGATGGTTAATTTTAGGTGTCAACTTGACTGGATTAAAGGATACCTAGAGAGCTGCTAAAACATCATTTCTGGGTGTATCTGTGTATTGGTTCATTTTCACACTGCTATGAAGAAATACCAGAGATGAGGTAATTTATAAAAGGAAAGAGGTTTAATTAACTCACAGTTTCGCATGGCTTGGGAGGCCTCAGGAAACTTACAATCATAGAGGAAGGTACCTCTTCACAGGGCAGCAGGAGAGAGAAGAGCAAGCAAAAGCAGGGAAAACTGCCTTATAATACCACCATATCATGAGAACTCACTCACTATCACAAGAACAGCATGGGGGAACCGCCCCCATGGTTTAATCACCTTCCTCCAGGTCTCTCTGTAGACATGTGAGTTGGTGCACTGAGTGGGCAAGATCTGCCCTCAATGGGGGCGAGCACCATCAAACTGGCTGGGGGCCCAGGTAGAACAAAAAGGCAGAAGAAAAGTGAATTTGCTTTCTCTCTGTCTCCTGGAACTGGGACATTCTTCTTCTTCTGCCCTTGGACATCGTAACTCCAGGACTTTGGCCTTCAGACTCTAAGACTTATACCAGCATTCACCCTGATTCTCAGGCCTTTGGTCTTGGACTAAGAATCATGTTATTGGCTTCCCTGGTTCTAAGGCCTTCAGACTTGAACTGAGCCATGCTACTGGCATCCCAGGGTCTCCAGCTTACAGACAGCCTGCTGTTGTGGGACTTCTCAGCCTCCTTAATCTGTGAGCCGATTCTCCTAATAAATCCCCTCTCATGTCTCTCTCTATCTAAATATCCTATTGGTTCTGTCTCTCTGGACAACTGTTAGTTGTCCAATGGCTCAAATGGTGGATTTAGGAACAGGGACACTTCGGCGGTTTTGCCATTGATAATCCATGGTGCTTTGGTTAAAACCTTTCTGTATGGTGAAATGACAGTAGTAGTAACTGACTTCTGGTGCCCAGGATTTTGTTTTAAGGCTCTAAGAATAGAAAAAATGTGATAGCACTGTTAAATAATAGAGATTATTGTCATTTGACAGCTAATCTTTGAAACCAAAATGCAACGTACTTACCTTCAGAACACTCTCCATCCAGTGTATTTATTTCATCCTCAAGTGTGATGTCTTTCATATTTAATAAGTCAATTGTGATTCTTTTAAAAACTCATCATAAGAACCTGGTTGAACTTTCATTTAAGCTATTTTTGACAGCAGTGAGTGACCAAAACTCCAATAGGGAAAATGAGGCCTTTGATTACAAGTTTTTCATGCAAAATCTATGCTATTCCTGATTCTCGGGTCCCTTTAATATTCACTCTCAAGTTAGACTCAGTTGATTTTTTCAGAGAGAATTTTGGCTTCCAGGCAAGAGAGTCTGGGTCTCCTCATTGTCCTAGCCACCCTCTGATACATGAGCCAGATACAACCCAACTGTTCCTGCAGATACCTTTTATAATCACAATTTTAGGAAGGGAGATGAAACCCTGGTGGATTTACAACGTGATTTTTATATCTTCTCCATGGGGTATCATCTTCCTATTCTTCTGCCTCTGAACAGTGGTCAGTTCACCAAGGCTCAACTCCATTCTTTTGTAGCTTTTGCTTGTAGAATTAGGCACTAATACTTCCAGATGTTCCAGATGTTCTAATGCTTCCTTGGTAAATCACTTATCAGCCTGGATTTGATTATTCATTCTTATTCCTGCCTCTCTCTTTACTCTTTGAGGACAGGGCTTGAGTCCTTTGTGTATGTTTCCCTGACAATGACTCCAGGGAAAGATAGGCCCAGAAATGAAGTCTGAATGAATGAATGAATGAATGGATTACTTTTGTTTTTATAGAAGCAATGTATTAGGATACATTTTTGACTTAGATCTTGTTCCAATTCATTTAATGATTGGTTAAATGAAAACAGATTTCTGATATTTTTAAATTAAAGTATAACTATGAAGGTAATTTTTATTTAAAAAAAATCAATGAAGTACAATGCCCCAAAGTAACGATTTTGATTTTCTGATATTTTAGATTATAGCTTCAAAAATAGCTAATGCAACGTCTTATTTTCTTCAGCCAGGCAGGAAAGTAATTTTGGTTCCTGATGAGTTTAAAAACAACACAAACTATAATACCTTAGGCTCCCAATCAAACAAGATAAGCTTTCATTCCCAAAGTGAACAATTCTTTAGAGGCTAAAAGTTTCAGGAGTCCTCAGGGTGGGTACAGAGAGTGATAACCCTTTTAAATATGTCAGCCCCTTTCTAACTAACATGAAAACTGGTCAGGTCTCCTCTCTGCCCCAGTACCTCTGCCATTCCTCATGTTGGCCACCACTGTTCTGGGACCTGGAAGATCTCCTTCCTCCCCTTCTCCATCTGTCAGATACGGGGCCCCCATTGTCATCTATATATCTTCTCCCATTATTCACTCTACTATGCCCTTTCTGGCCCCTGCATCCTGGTGCTGGTGCAGTGGAGCAAAGCTTTCAGCCCTTAGGAATGCACCTTCCTACATCACCTCTCCTGGACCTAAGGTGGTATCTGCAGATGGCTCAGGATGAATCCATGAGTTGAGCCAAATGGGGGTCAGGGTTGTAAAGGAGCAGCCAGTTTTCTCTCTGAAATACAAAGCTCCAAGCCACGGAAGGCAGGAGTGTCCAAAGAACTATTGAAATTTCTCAACCAGTGAGCATAATTTCCTAAAATTCTGCTGAGCTTATTGGAAAAGTGTATAAACCTGCCTTAAACCATTTGGAACATGCCATTCCCATCTCCTAATAGGTTTTTAACTCAATTTTCACATTAGAATGTATAATATTCTATAGGAAAAAGGTAGCCTTGCCAATATAATTTCAAGGTGACTGCATCTTTTATGTAACATATGTCTAATGCCCTGGGTATAATAACTACCACTGTGTAACATCCCCTAAATTTCCATGGGTAATTAATTGATAACTGCTCTGTGGGTGTTATATAAACCCTTTATTAAAACACATAATTCAATAAAGAGGATCTAAATCCGAATCACAGTGAAGGACAGCATTTGCACTGCTCTCATTCTGTGTGCAGCTAAATTGAGGCTGCCAGGTTGAGACCATTGCCCTCTTCAAGGATGGGGTGGTCAGTCTCAGGGAAAAGAAGGAAACTGAACATCAGTTAATTTAGGTAACCATTTCAAATTAAGCTGTAAAAAGCACAGCTATCTGGGAGGGCTGTCCTCTGGCTGGGGTTAGCCTCTGTGGTTGGCACTTGGAACTTTCTGTAATGAAAGACAAATTAGCACACTGCACATACAAACAAGAGAATCAATGAAACTGAAAAAAAAAAAAAGCTGTCACACAAACATAAAGATTAAACAGGAGATAAAGAATGATGTCGTCAAATATTGGAAATAGTCCTCACTAGGCAAAGGCTCTATTGTATTGTTTTGCTAAAGCGGACCATAATTTTGATGTTTCATAAAAATTTAAGTGGAGATTTTCTTTCTGTGGCAGATATAAATCTCCTGGAGGAAAGATTTTATATGTAATTCCAATTTTGTGGTGCTAAGACAACAAGGAACAGGTGAAGATTTTACTGCAGGTAATTTTGTAAATTACTAAAGACAAAACCTCCCACAGCCATGCCGTAAACACGCTCTCTATCAAAAGCTAAAATAGCAAATCAGCAACGCCTGTTTTAGGTATTGTAAGATACAGTTCTCAAATCCTAAACTGGAAATAAAGCTACCTATAAATATTTACTGGTGAGATGACTCTGTGATAATAAATAGCTATTTCAAACAAATGCAGAACATATCAAAATACTGAAATATACCCGTGACTGAATATGTAAAATAAGTGGATCTATGCAGCGCATAGCAATGTGCGTGCTAAGGCTTTGCTGAAAACTGCATCTTTGGGATTTTAAATTATTTAAGGGGCATAAAATAGTTCATTACAAATCTGGTTTTAAGAAAGTACAGAATTAGTAGTATAATTGGGTCCATTCATCAAGTTTAGGAGGCAAGTCAAAAAAAATTTTTTTAATGGCATGTGTACAACTCAAAGAAGTTCTTTACCATGTGCGGGAAACAATAGCTGCACTTGTCATCTTGCTAAATTTCACCTTTCCAAAGAAAGCAAAAGAAAATTGGCATGAAGAAATATTGCTTGAAAGAAATGAAAATGCTCTGTAATTGATTGGTTGATCAACATCCTTTATCTTTTGATACAAAAATTCATTGTAGTAGATTGTTTATTTCCCTCAATTTATTAGAGAGCAATAAAAGGAAATGATGTTGGAAGCTTATTTTATGGCTGGAAATAGTTTAATTCTTAGAGTGTATGTCCTACTTTGGTTAAGAACCTCTTGGCACCTTTCTATCAAATGAACCCATTATGACAAGGATGATTTTTACACATCTTATAGGATTGAGGCAGAATTCTGGAGAAATCAGGCATAAACTGAGACAAAGAAAAAGAGAGAAGGGAAAGTAGAGTAACAGAGAAGACAGCCAAAGAGGCAGAGAAGGACAAAGGGAGAGCAGGCTGAGAGAGGCCACGGAGGAGGCAGAGATGGGGACGGACAGACAGGGAAGGCAAAAATCTTCCTGGTGAGCTATGGAGGGACTATTGTTGCTTTCAAGGTTAACTTAACAATCCTTGCCAAGGTAGCATGAATTTAATATGATCGGTGGCCTGCTTCCCGTTTTTGGTTATCATATGATTATAAATACATTTTATGGGCAATTTGTTATGTCAGTCTTTTACTCACCATTCTTCATCTTTGGCTTCATTCGCACAGCAGAAAATTTAAAAAAATTGAAAAGTGAAAAAGATGCTCATTCTGCAGCCCCCTGCCACCCAGCCCCAGAATCAAGCATATTGCTCAGTGGTTTCCCTTAAAACCCAGGGGCTGCAGCTCATTAATGTGGAATCTTATCGAATCCCTGGCTTGCTTGGTCAGGCCCCTGGGAGTCTCATCAGAGGCTGGCAGTCATGGTGCTTGAAGAGAGTGCTGCAGCTGCTTCTGGGAAAGATCCCATGGAGCCTGGTGCCAGCTTGAGTCAATCTGTTGGTGGTTCCATCCAATCTAGGGTTACATTCAAAGCATGCTAATCAGCATACTTCACCCTCATTCTTTCTTTCCATCACCTGCCAACACACAGGTTAAGTCAGAAGACCAGGAGGAAGTCCCACAGGCTGCCTCAGACAATCTGTGTGGAGCTGGATCTAGAGCATGTCACAGAGTAGCTAGTGTTGCACTGAAATGGAATTACTCTTTGCCCCACTTTAGAAGTGGGTTCAAGCCTAGAAATAGAAATGCTACACTATATGCCATCTTTCTGGGTATTTCTTGATTCCATTAATGTGTTCATGAATTCCAAGGGGCTCTCCCAAAGCTAACTCAACTCTTGCTAAAATCGCAGGGTACACTGGTGCTAAGACCAGGGACACAGACTGTGTAAGTAGAATAAGTAGATCTAATTTCACTATGAGGAGGTCAGTCTGCTCCATGCTTCCCATAAAGACAATGCTTTTTAACAGATTTTATTGGAGGAGTGATTTTATGTCCTTTTTCTCATACAGATTTTGCTGTTTTGTAAATATTTTACTTTTTCATGTGGGAAAGGCATTTGAGAATTTTCTAATGTTTCCATTTGAAAAAAAAAAAAATGACTTTTGGCTACAACTTAATGCAACCTGTGACTTATCTCCCAACTCCCTATACCCCTCCTTGAATCTTGTATTCCTAAATTTAAAATTTCAGGCTAAACTGCCTTTGTTTGTACTGCTGTATCTGCAAAGCCTCACCTCTCAGCCTGCCTGGCCATGCCTACTCATCTTTGAAGACATAGATTCAGCTTCACCTTCTCCTAATATTTGTTCTGACTAGCCCTCTTTCTCTCCTCATTGCCTGGGAGCATAGAGACTTCTATCTCCTATAGACTCTCATCCCAGGATAGGGCTCTTGACTCCCTAAGGCACCGAATATACCTTAGAAGTATTTTCATTCCTAGTACAGGATCAGGAACACAGCACTTATTCAATAAAATTAACGAATGAATGAGCAAATGAAACCAGTGGAAAGAGTTTGGACTTAGACTCAATCAGATCTGTGTGTGAAATCTAACTTGATCACTTATTAACCATGTGGCTTTGGGTAATTTACTTAGTGTTTCTTAGTTTCATTATAGACATTTGTGAAATGGGACTAATAATAACATCTTCTTCCCAGAGTTTTTGTAAAGCTTAAATACAATAAATATATCAAGTACATAATAAGCATTAAATTAAGTATAGTTCTCCTTCCCCTGTGAATACGTAAGTGTGTGAATTTATATCTGCATGATAAAGGCTGAAATAACCAAGGCCAGTAGAAGCATGTATAATTTGGCCTTTTCAGGAAATCTTCCCTGCTCCCCGTCTTTCTACCCACCATGAGGATTCTTTCTCAGGATGGTTTGCAATATTTGTCTAGTTTAATGTACTCTTGGAGATTTAGCGAGTTATCTACAAGGCTTGAATCAATTCTGATTGGTTTTCCCATTTCCAAAAATGGCGAGTTAAGAACTAATGTATTTAACCATCTTCAGTCATTTACTTCAGACAGTTAATTAGTTTTTAATTTTACAAATGTCATGATCAATTTTCTTATCACTTCCACAACTTATTCTGTCATGTGTGGCTTCTGGAATGTTTATTATTGGACTGACACTATTTAGAATGCAATAATAATATTATTGTTAGTAATAATAATAATATGAAAAAGTAATCGCTAATACACAAAATGAAGCTAGAGAGAAAGTGTTTTAAAAGAAACAATAAAAAGCAAATCTGAATTTATAATGTTTCATTCAACAACTAAAACATCCAAATATCTAAGAGATTTAATGGCTCATCTTATGGCTGCTGAGAAAAAAGAAATAACCTATTCATATGAGGCCCTGAATACAGAATAGTAAAGACATAAGGCATTGTAATATTTCAAGCATCTTTAGTTTGCGTTCTGGAAGGCAGAAATGGGGCTTTACATTGTTCGTCTAACATGGGAAATATTGGAAAATGAGAGTCTGAATGAGAATAATTAATAATAAATTCTTGCAATTACAAAGCATGTTTCATCCCAACATCCTTAGGAGTTTAATGCTCCTTAGGCACTGTTTAATGCTCCTCTCATGCAATTGACTTACAACATACTGACATGGGGAATCAAAGGCAAAATAGCACTTAACATTGAAAGATTGAGCCACTGCAGCAAGACCAAACACAAAGCTCATTCTAGTAAACTGCTTTTTTTCTTTAAAAAAATATCGGGTTTTTTTTTAGAAGCTAATAAAGCCAGCCAAAGCTGTTAGCCTCATCCCACAGTCATTGCTCTGTAGCTTGGACTAGCCCTTCTTGTTGCCATGATAGGTCAAATTAATTCTTCATTTTTATGCACAGTCATGACCCTTCTCTTTGCTGGCCCATTGGGACATATATTAATCATCTTTTAGTAGCCCATTAAGTGTAGTCGTATCCTGTGGCAACTAGGTCTCTATTAATTTCAAAGTCTTTAGCTTTATGCAGCATATCCAATAATGCATTTTTCCATCTGTTCATGTAAAGAGCAAGATTGGAGATAATGGTCAAAACAGTGCTTTGTAAATTTTCATTAGATCACACATTTTTGGGGGGTGGAGGACAATCCTCTAAATTATATGAATTAACTCTATGGACTATATAATAGGATCATTCTCACAAGTAAATACATAGTTGTTAGTCCAATATCTGTGTACTGATACAAAGATGAATAAATATGCATACATTACATTCCTGTTTGGACCTCGATAGACCTGTTTCTAATAAATAACAGTCTTGCTGCATCTAGACAGGTCCCCTTTTCTGAAACCTGATGCCTGGAAGGAATAATGCTTAATATTCACAAATGGGATATGTTATATATTAAATTTGGGCATGGTAGCAAGAACTTGATTCTAAAAACTGGCATTTATTGAGCAGAATCATGCCTGGCATGTTATCTCTGGTAATTGTCACAATGAAAAGTAGGTATTCTTTTTCAAATTTTGAAATAAGAAAACTGAACTTCAGAATGGCAAATGATCTAACTGACTGAATTATGTGCCCAAGGTTATTCAGTTAATAAATTAAGACAAGCTGAAATTTTACTTTGTGGTCAAGAAATTTCTTAAAAGTGATATAATAGAAAAGAAAATTTAAACTGTATCTCATATATTAAAATACTTTAGGCTAGAGTTTGCTATTCAACAATTAGTCTGCTATCTCCAGGGTGGCAGGGGTTGTGTCCATTTTATTTATCACTATCCACCATGCCTATGCAGTTTCTGTCACAGAGCAGGTGAATAAATATACGTAGAATAAATGAGTGAGTGAAAACCATCCTTTATGGACATGCCTGTCACCTTAAAAATGACCACACATATAGATGTATCCTAGGCTGAGCTATGCCTTGATTTATCCTCTAGGGAGAAGTAAAGTTCATTTATTATGTTAGAAATATCAGAGCAAATCAATCTTCATAAATTATATGAAATATTGCTGCTCTTTTTGAGAATGCTCAACATGTTTCTGATGAATTGGACACTTGTACAATTTTGATTTCATGAATTCAGCAGATATTGCTTTGTTGCTATGCTGGACGGTAGATACATAAAAATGAATAAGATAGTGACTCTATCCTCAGTAACTGGCATAACATAATGGCAAACAATGGGATCAGAAAGAAAAAACCTTAGAAACCTGTGACCTTGGGCATATTACTTAGCTTATTTGAACTTGGTTTTCTCATTTCTTTTATTGACTGTTTACTTTCGGTGTGTTTTAGGAGTGTCTCTTATAAATAGCATATTGCTGGATTTAAAAAAATCCAGTATGATAATATTTATCTTTTACCTGAAGAGCTTAGGCAATTTATTTTGATATATTTGAACTGTTCCTACTTTCTTATTTTATGCCTTCTATTTGTCCCTCTTTTTCTGTTACTTTTTTCCTATGCCTTTTTTCACCTTATTTTATATTGGATGAGTTTCCAGTAGCCTCCACTGCCCCACCAATCTTTCTCCTCTGCTATGTTTAAATGTATCTCCTCTTGAGTTTTTAATAATATTCATTCTGACTGACGTGAGATGGTATCTCATTGTGGTTTTGATTTGCGTTTCTCTAAAGATCAGTAATATTGAGGTTTTTTTCATATGCTTCTTGGTTGCATGTATGTCTTCTTTTGAAAAGTGTCTGCTTACGTACTTTGCCCACTTTTCAATGGGGTTGTTTCAATGTTATTCCTATCAAACTACCAATGACATTCTTCACAGAACTAGAAAAAAACTATTTTAAAATTTGTATCAAACCAAAAAAGAACTTGAATAGCCAAGGCAATCCTAAGCAAAGAGAACAAAAATGGAGACATCATGTTACCTGACTTCAAACTATACTACAGGACTACAGTAGCCAAAACAGCATGGTGCTGATACAAAAACAGGCACAGAGACCAATGGAACAGAATAGAGAGCCCAGAAATAAGGCTGCACATCTCTGACCATCTCCTCTTCAATAAAGCTGACAAAAACAGGCAATGGGGAAAAGACTCCCTATTCAATAAATGGTGCTGAGATAAGTGGCTAGCCATATGCAGAAGACTGAAGCTTGATCTCTACCTTATACCATATACAAAAATTGACTCAAGATGGATTAAAGACTTAAATGTAAAACCCAAAAGTATAAAAACCCTGGAAGGCAGCCTAGGCAAGACCATCCTGGACATAGGAACAGGCAAGCGTTTCATGACAAAGACACCAAAAGCAAAAATTGACAAATGGGATCTAATTAAACCTAAGAGCTTCTACACAGCAAACGAAACCGTTAACCGAGTAAACAGACAACCTACAGAATGGGAGAAAATATTTGCAAACTATGCAACAGACAAAGGTCTAATGTCCAGCATCTACAAGGAACTTAAACAAATAAACATACAAGAGAAAATGTTGTTGAGAGTGGATTTGTTATAAAAGTGAGTGTGGCTCCCTTTTGTTCTCTCACCCACTCTTAACACTCCGTCTCATGTTTTCTCTCTCTCTCTCTCTTGCCATGTGATACCTTCTCCCACAAGCTGACTCAGCAAGAATGCCCTGAACAGATGCAGCCCCTTTACCTTGAACTTCCCAGCCTCCAAAACTATACGAAATAAATCTTTATTCTTTATAAATTGCCGTTTCAAGTATTCTGCTATAGGAATGCAAAAAGAACTAAGACACCCTCTCTACCCTTCTTTGGAAGGTATGTGCTTTATACCTATTTCTTCAGTGGTTTCACAATTATTTTAACTTGCAGACTTAACTAAGTCTAAACTTATTCATATTTTACTCATTGTTCCATGCAATAAAAGATTTTAGAAGTCTTTAACTAATTAACTTCCTTAACTGTAATGGTTAAATTTATGTTAATTTTTGAGTGGGTGCCCATTTTAAACATTGTTTCTGGGTGTGTCTGTGAGGGTGATTCTGGATGAGATTAGCATTGGAATCAGTGGACTCAGTAAATTTGATTGCCCACTGCCCTCCCCAATGTTGAGTGGGTATCATGCAATTTGTTGAGGGCATCAATAGAGCAAAATGTGGAGGAAGGAGGAATTCTCTCCTTTTTTTCTTGCTTCACCACTTGAGCTGGAACATCTCATCTCATCTTCTACCCATGGACTGTGCTTTATACTATCGGGTCCTCTGGTTCTCAGGCCTTTGAACTGAGATTGAATTATAGCAGGTTTTAAGATAACATTGTTTTGTTCAACATCATTTCATTATAACATTGATAAGGAAAAAAAAAACAATTCCATGCTGGGGCCACTGTCTGAATTTACATGCTCTCCCAATATCTAGGTGGGTTTTCCCTGGGTACTCTGGTTTCCCTCCATATTCCAAAGATGTGCATTCTAGGTTAATTGGCATGTCTAATTTGTCCCAGTAGGAGTGAGTGTGGGTGTGTATGAGTGTGCCCTGCCATGGAATGGCATCCTGTCCAGGGTTGGTTCTGCACTCTGAGTTGCTGGGATAGATTCTGGCTACCCACAATCCTGAACAGGAATAACTGAGTAAATAATTATCCTAGCTATTTTTTACTTATCTTTTTAAAGTGTATGTATAGTTTACATTTATTTCAATGTTTTATATTAGAGGTGTATTGGTCTTTCTTTAGAAGTTTGGTGATGTTTTTTGTGACCAGAATCATGCCATGAGAACTTAAATTTTATTTACATCAATTAGCTTATGGTAAAATTGGCTGTGTTGTAAGTCATTTCACTTAAAGTTGCAGCTTCCAAGACTGTCAATGGTGTTAAGTGAGAACTTACTGTACACCACTGGCTTTTCTGAGTTTCTAGCTTGCAGATGGCAGATCATGGGACTTCACAGCCTCCATAATTGTGAGAGCCAATTCCTCATTTTGTACAGATCTCCTATTTGTTCTGTTTCTCTGAAGATCTCATATACACCAACCTACATGCCTTTGTTTTGAAATACTTTAGATCTAGCTTATTTCTTAATGTCTTTACCTTCAGCAAATTAGTTATCATGATTGTTTTATATAGTATTGTATTAGCCTGGGCTCCCCAGAAAGCAGAGCCTGAGACAAAGGTTTATGAGCCAGTAATGTGGTTTATTTGAAAGTTTGTTAACTGAGGAATGGTGAAGTGAAATAGTGAAGAAAGGAGGGCCAGTGTAAAGGAGGATTGCTGAGTTAACCACCAATGGTGTGATTGGGTGTGCAGTTTTTTAGGACCATAGGATAAATCTTATCAAGTGAGTCCCACATTTTTTTCTTTCTCCAAGTGGGAGGTGCTACTGGCATGTAGTAAGTAGAAGCCAAGGATGCTGCTAAACACCTTACATTAAACAAGACAGCCCCCCACAAAAAAGAAAGTTCAATTTTTTTTTTTTTTTTGAGACAGAGTCTCGGACTATCACCCAGGCCGAGTGTAGTGGCAAAATCTTGGCTCACTGCAACCTGCACCTCCCAAGCTCAATTGATTCTCCTGCCTCAGCATCTCGGGTAACTGGGATTACAGGTTCCCACCACCATGCCCGGCTAATTTTTGTGTTTTTAGTAGAGATGGGATTTCACCATGTTGGCCAGGCTGGTCTCGAACTACTGACCTCAAGTGATCCACCTGCCTCGGCCTCCCAAAGTGCTGGGATTATAGGCGTGAGCCACCATGCCCGGCCTAAAAATCTTTTTAAAAAACGTAGTCTAAAATCAATTCTGAAGTTTTTTTACCCCAAAAGTTAGTGCTGAGATTGATAAACATAGTTTACACAAAAACAATTAATAGTATCCCCCAACTGAACCATCTGAAATACTCATCAACAGGTGACTAAATTGTGAGGTGTTCATGAATAACAATAAGCAATAAGAAGAAGCCAGCTACTAAAATAGGCAACAATATGAATGAATTTAAAAAATACCTTGCAGTGAAAAGTGAAATACATAAAAGACCACATCTGTTTGATTCCATTTATTTGAATGTTTAGGAAAGACAAAGCAGACAGCAGATCAGTGGTTGCGGGAAACTGAAGACAGAGGGTGGTGATTGGCTGCAAAGAGGCACGAGGTAACTTTTTGGAATGATGGAGATGCTTTGCATCTTGATTGTGGCGGTAGATACACTGCAGCATACTATGTCAAAAATTTTTTGAAATGTACCCTCAAAACGTATGCATCTTATTGTATATTAACTTTTCCTCAGTAAGTTGATTTAAAAGAAGAAAAGAGTCTCAGACTGAAGTGTTATTCACTGGCTCCCAGTTCCTGAGAGCAAAAAATTTTGGTTATCCCTTGGGACATTGATTACTTTCTAGTCTTGGGTTGAATAAGTGTGAGAATCCCCATGGCAGCAGGTGAGAGGTGCAGTGCTGTCAGGCTGCAGCTATGTGAAGTTGATTGAAATCTTTATACAATTGGTTTGTGCAGCTGTAGCTGGAATCAAAGATGTGGCAAAGGGAAGTTGAAGAGGTACACAGAAATGTCCAGTTTGGAGGTCAACATTCATGGATGTGTTTATATGTTTACAATACTTACATATTTACCATTAAAATGTTAATGTTTCTTCTTGGTTCTTGGATTATTTCCTTCTAAAATTTCCAAAATTGATGAAGCAACACAATTAACCAGATATAGGAAGCTTAAAAAATCCCAAGCAGGAAATTATAAGAATATTACACCTAGGCAATTCCTTTGCAGAAAATCCTTGGCAGTTTCCCTTAGTGAAGATCTTTTTTTGTAGTAAAAACCTCAGTTTTTGTTTATCTGAGAATGTCTATTTCTCCCCTACTCTGTTCTTGAGAGATTGCTTTCATATTTCAACATAAGTAAAACTCTATGCTGAAAGTTGTTTTCTCTCAAAACATTAAAGATACTATTTTACTATCTGTGACTTCTATTGGTGATATGTGATTTCAGCCTTCAATGTAACTGCCTTGGTTCTTTGTAGATGAGCTGTCATTTTTATCTGGCTGCATTTATGTTCTTTTTAATTTTGTATATTACCATTTCATTTTGATTTGTCTAGGTATGATATTCTTATAATTTTCTCTTTGAGATTTGTTGGCTTCCTGCATCTGATAATTATTATTGCTTCATCAGTTTTGGAAATTTCTCAGCCATTATGTCTTTGAATATTGTTGCTTTCCCATTCCTCCTTTTAATTCTATCTGGAACTTTGATTAGATTGTCTCATTTTTATTTCTGTCAATCTGTATTTATATTTTGTTTCTTTGTGCCTCTCAAGTGCATTCTTGATAATTTTTAAAATTTTATTTTCTGGTGCACTAATTCTTTCTTCAGTGGTATCTATTCTACTGTTTAATCCATCTATTGATTCCTTTACCTTAAATACTTATTTTTTTATTTATAGGAGTTCTATTTTGATTCTCTTTCACATGTGCTTGATCTTTGTAATCTGACATTCACTGCTAATATTTTCATGCTTTTTTATTGAAACAGATCAAAGTTATTCATTTTTATATTCTGTGTGTGACTATTAATTTCTGAAGTTCTAGCGGGTGTAGCTTATTTCTGTTGCTTCTCCCGATTCTCATTCATAGTCTCTTCTCTTTAGGTATGTTTTGTGATTTTTTTTTCATTGTGCATGGCCCATTTTTCATATGTCTTGTAGATTCTGTGCTATTCTCCAAGTATTAGGCTGCTTTTAATTTCTTTAGAGAAAATTTATATTTGTTTCTGGCAGTTACCTGTTGACATTATCCACTTTAGAACTTTATTCTAAATTAAATTATCCACTTCTGTATTTTATAATGATATATGTAACACACATTTAGATCACCAACCTCTCTGAGGGCTAGTTGCATTTATAGACTGTCAGGAGATATTTTTTATTTTAGCCATTCAGAACCAAGATTATTGCATGAAGGCTCTTTGCTGATCATTACCGCATAGCATATTCTGTTTTGAACTTAATCTTACATCAAGGGTAGAGACCTTTGATATTCCATTGAATGCAAGTATCTTCTACTAGATCCTTTACCTTGGATCACCTTGGATTTTATCTCCTAACTGCCGCTTGTACTGCATCTGTCAAAGATGAATCCCAAGATTTCCAAGGCTTGGCAGAAACTCTCAGGACAAAAGCCAAATTTGGAATCTACTTTACTCCAAGGTTCTGTGACTTTGCTTTTAGTTCTATGAATTCCTTAATATTGTGCCTACTCAATAATACATTTAAAATTATTTTGCATTTTATCTGGCATCTTGAGTGTCTCAATAGAAAAATTTAGATATCAGGAATATAGTCTTCATAACATTAGAAACAGTTCCTGACTCTCACTTTTTCCCTAAACTTATCTTTTAATCATTTTAATCATTTAAACTTAATTTGAGCACCCTCATTCTTCTCTTTCTGATTCCTTTTCTTCTCCAGGTTGTTATTTCCTTCATCTCTGATTCTATTTCCTGGCTCTTACTATGTTTTCCCTTCCCTGATAAAATAAAAATTGGAGAGAACACAATATCAACCATTTACAGTTCTTGGTGATAGATTGATTTATTACATTCTAATGTAGTTTTAATCTTTCAGTCACTTACCTTTTATCTTTTCCTGCCTTATGAAAAGAGGACTTTCTCTCCTTTTGTTTGCTGACATTTGAAATTCTTCTAATAGGGGACAAATTGCTTTTGGGCATAAATACTACTGAAACTCATTTTCCACGAGTCTATGCTGATGACAAATGTAATTTAATAGTCTAGTTATAATAATAGCCCCCTTCTATTGAACACCTGGTATTTGCCAGGCACCATGTTAAGTGCTTTATGTATATGAGCTGAAATTGTCACAACCACCTGGTAAGGTGAATATTATTGCCTTTATTCTATCAATGAGGAAAACTGAGGCTCCAGTTGGTAAGGTCATTTATCCAAGTTTACACAGTGAGTAAGTGAGATTCTTCTCTGGTTCCCAATCCTGTCTTTTCTTTCCACTGTCTTACACTGTTTTTTTTGACTAGCTTAACTTACAAAAACTGGCTCATGATCTCTCCCCTTGGATCACTGTTAAGTTTTATGTGGAAAAAATAAGAAGGTTTAGATCTAGTTGTATTTCTGTGAGACTTATTTCCAGTTTCCAGGTAGAGGCTGGAGGTTTCGAGATAGGACCATTGGGTCATATGTTTTTGCTTCCTGTATGCATTTCTTCTAACACCAGAAGCCTAGCTGATAAATTCTCTGTTTCAGACTTTCCCAAACCCAAATTTTACCCCTGCTTTAGCCATAAGACTCTCTGAATTATAATTTTAATTTTGGAAGCATTTGATATTATTTCAGTTAGTGTCAATGCTATGATTGGTTCCTTTACTAACGTTCTAGAATATATCCCTAATGCCTCATATATTTCAAGCTCTAGTAATAAAGTGTCTGACAATAAAGTATGCTGTTTGAGCATGGCATCTTTATTAATAGAGGTATGACTCTACTTCCCTCACAAAATCCTTTTTGGATGAAAGCTAAGGCAGATCAGCCTTAGCTAAAATTTGCATATTCTCCAGAGTGGTTCTGGAGCACTGCTTTTAAACTCAGTCATTGCCTTATGCTCTCTTTTCATTTCAGATAAATGAGAATCATACCTTGCTTCCAATCTCCCTAGATGAGGAGGGTGTTAAGTGGGTAGATAGGGAAGCCAATTAAATGCTTTGAATTCCTAAGACAAACTATTATAAGTCAAGCTATCATAATTATAAAGGAGTTTATTGCATTTGTAAAAAACAAATTTAAGTAGAGTAGCAATTGAGTTTGCCATGCAGAGCTTATAAAAATACAGTGTTAAACTGTTTGTATGTTAACATCTGTAGAGTGTAAAACACTGTAAGGTTGTAGCTTTCATGTTTTAAATGTGTAAAATAATGTCTTCTAAGTTGCTTATCTGATTAGCTATTTTCTGTGTTCTAATGAATAGTTCCTTGTGAGGGAGACTTATAGAAAAGTCAAAGGTGAGAAAGCCTGGAATTGGGCAACAGAAGAGCATTCTCTGGGTGACCATCCCCATGCCCCATTGTATACTTAGCAATCACATGCAGGAGTACTGGTATAAATCTCAGGCCAAGCAAAGATTTGCCAAAATGGCAAATTTGGTTCTACAGTGTTGTGGTTGTTCAAGATGTATGTTATTTATTAATTTGGGAAGAATTAATAATATGTTTATTCCATGCTCAGAGCTAGGGGTTCAAAGGTGATTAAGTAAAAATTGTTACCTGGAGAGAGATATGACACCAAATCACAATAGAGTGAGGGTAAGCTCATCACACAACAGTGGACACACCAGACTCATGAGAGGGAGGAAGGGAAAAATTCTATCCAGGGATATTAGGGAAGGTGAATTAGGGAAGGTGAACATTACTAGGAGTAAAAAATTACTGTAATACTAAAGTAAAATACACTGTTCCTTGGATGTTGTATAGTTTGGTGCTGCACTTAGCAATAAGCCCACATTTAAATTCCCTTAGCTTCAATTTGGGGAAAATAAAGCAAGGAAAACCAACTGCAACCAAAAACTGTAAAAGTTCAAACCCAACGCGTGTGTGTGTGTCTGTGTGTGTGTATGTGTGTAGGGAAGAGAAAAATTCCACTTTCTGTCCCCGCTCCTTCCTCCTCCAGCCCCCAAACCTCTCAAATCGGAGCTCAGTCTCCATAAAGAAGCTGAAACGTGACATTTTCTCTAAACAGACTCAGTAGCTAAACTATAAAATGAAGCTTCTTTATTGGCATAATTTCTCTGTTGTGTTTCCACAAGGCAGATCTTCTCATTATGATGGCATCCACCCACATCCAGGGGAAAAGGGAGCCCATGACTGTTCGCACACCTTTCTGATGGCTCTCTCTTCCTTTCCATTCCCTTGCTCAGTTATGCTTAGTTGTGGCGCTTTGAAGCCTTTCCCCACAACCAGACTTCATCAATTCAGTGGATCAGATGAGCTTTTCTCTCTTCAGGTGTCTGGCAGGAAGTGTATTAAGCTGGACTTTATGAGCAGTCTTTAAAAATGGCTTCTTTGGTGTGAGGATATTTCAAAGAGGAACCGAAATTGCTAATTTTAGCTCATTCCCAAGGGAACTTGTTTGCATGGCCCAGGGTGACAGCTTTAGATGTGTCTTTTAAAGCAGAAGGCAATGGTGCCATTTGCAGTCTGAGCACCTGGGCTCTGCCCCACTTGTCTTGTAACCTGCAGTGGGTTATTGCTCTCCCTTAGATAAAATTGACATAGCATCTTTTATTTCTGGCTGGAGTAGACCTGGTACAAGAAAGAACATTCCAGGATGTAAATAAACGTCCACTTATCTGATATTTATTTTCAGAGGGATCCTTGAGACAGTTCATTGCTTGTCTCTAGAGTCCCGGTGTCTTCTTTCAGCAAGGGCTGGGTGTTTGGATGAACTTTAAAGCTTCCTGATTTTTGATGTGGTGCTGAAACAGAAGCTTTGATGCTTTAAGCTGCTGACTGCAGAGGAATCTCAGGGTTTAAAGCTTATCAGCAGATGCACAGAACCCACAATATCCAGAAACATTTCCCTCCATAGTAGAAACACTGGGAATTGCATGGGTTCCATGATAGCAAAGGACAGGCTCAATTTGTTACACAGAGACCTCAAGAGCTGCTCCCTGACTCCCTAACCTGCCCCAGCACCCAGCATTTCCCTGCTCCTGCTCTCAGGTTTCCACCATACGGAACCCCAACCAGCCATGGGGAAGCATTTTATTTCTAGGCATCCTGTCCTTTGATTTTCTTTAGTCGGGATGCTCTTTTTTTTTTTCTTTGTCCTGGTGTGTTAGTTTCCTATGGCTGCTGCCACAAAATATAACAAGCTAGGTGGCTTATAACAACAGAAATATACTATTTTATAGTTCTGAGGGCTAGAAGTCCAAGATCAAAGTGTCTGCTCTCTCCAAAACCTGTAGGAAAATCCTTCCTTGTGTCTTCTTAGCTTTTGGAGGTTTGTGGGCAATCTTTGGCATTCTTTGGTTTGTAAATGGATCACTCCAATCCTCTGTCTTCACATGGTATTCTCCCTGTTTTCATATTGTCTTCCCTCTATGTGTGTCTGTCTCTGTGTCCAAACTTGCCCTTTTTACAAGGACACCAGCCCATTGGATAAGGGTCCACTCTAATGACCTTATTTCGACTTGATTTTCTCCATAAACACCTTAAAATAAGGCCAAATTCTGAGATACTGGGGGCTAAGACTCCAATATATCTTTTGTAGGAGGACGTTAAACTCTTAACACCTGGCTAGTATCTTCTGAGGACTCAGCTTCTAAGCAGTCTTTGTGTTCCCCACAATGAGATTAAATACCATTTCTGTGAATTTCTTTAGCACTTGGTACTTACCTTTTAATGAGACTTTATATATTATATTGTCTCCTTAATTGATTGTCTTCCACAATCAATGGTAAACTTTTGAAGCCAAAGACTGGGCTTTGCCTCCCTAAAAGTTACCACAGTGCCTAGCACTTAGGGAGTACTCACTGAACCAGCAAGATAGGAAGTGAGGCAAAAAATTTCCACACATCTGATTTGCAAAAGGTTTAGCATTTTCAGTGATATTCAATAGGAAACAAGAAAACAGTCTGTCAATTTACTAAATAGATGATTCGATCTGAAAATGACAAAATGGCTATACTTTGCCTCAATAAGGAGAATTTACAATGAGTCAAAATCATATTTGAGAAGTGAGGAGGGTGTTTTTAGCCTTTTCACAGCCTCTTTTAGAGAAGATGAATTGGACAGGGCTCTGGGACAAGTGTCTCTGTAATAATGGGGTGTGTGAGAATTGAGTGCTGTTGAGGTGATTAGAGCATGGGGTGGCTGGTTCGAACAGCTGGCTTCTATTCCTGACTCACCCTGGATTCACTGTGACCTCTGGCAAATCACTTACCTTCTGAGGCTCTTTTAAGTGAGCTTTAAAATAAGGATGGCAATTGCGATCATGTAAACATATGGAATGTGATGAGGACTAATTTTAAGATAAGCGTTTAAAGAGATTTTCATGAAAGCTATTATTTACTTTAAGTGTTGTGAACATTACAAACTGGCAAACAGGCCATGTTAGCTAAAACAAAGAAAGATAAACTAATTCAAATTAGTAGACTCAACCTCATTAAGTTTGGATACAAATATCTTTTTTCTCTGGTAAATAAAGCCAGATGTATAGAAAGCAAACTGCTTTGTAAAAATAAATCATGATTCATTTCAACTTTTTTTTCCTTGATCCATTTTGTTTCTTTCTATAGAGAGTTAACTGGGAAGTTGATCTTTGGAGAGAGGTTGGATATGAACCAAAATAGCAGAAGGAGAGAGTGTAAGGGAAGTAGAGTTGACTTCACCAGTCCTTGGAGGGTTTTGAAAGAGAAAATAGAACTAGAGCCTACACTCTATTATCTACATGAATTGCAGAGGAAAGTAGCAGAGCAGCTCCAGAATGTCCATTTGTGGGGCTTAATGGTGGTGGTATTGTTGGAATGGGTGCTGGTGGCAAAGATGCTTGAAGTTACACCTGCAGAGCAATTTATTTTAAATTATAAAATTAAAGTTAGATATTTCAAAGGATGGTGGGACAGAACTGATTGAGTTACAGCCTAAAACCTCCAGTTTCGCTCTTACACACCCTTAGCTGCCACTGGGTACTAGGGACAATGAAAGCAAATCTGTGAAGCAGAAAGGGACAACTATAGATGCAGACACATCCCAGCTGAGAATGATGCCCCCTCCTTTATTTTAGAGCATTAATTCTGAAGGAAATACATAACACACTTGGATTCCTGAAACAGGTTTCTGATTTCCTCTGAAACCACAAGACTAGTCAATTGATCCATACATCCAGATGTAGATGTTGACCAACTATTGTTTTCTCTACAGTGTGTTAAGTGGTGATGTGGGGCTACTCAGAAAAGGGAAGGGTGGGAAAGTACATGACATTGTCCCTGCAGCCAAACTGTTTATGGTTTGGCTAGTGAGGCCAGCTGTGCTGGAAAGAAACAATTGGATGATAATACAAGAAATGTATATTCTATGATACAAAATGCTGTGGCTGGCTATGAAAGTAGAGACATTTAGGGATAGAAGTATTTAGTATTTAAGGCTATTATGGAAAATATGAGACTTCAGCTGGACCTTGAGAGAGATTTAAGTTAGCAGAGAGGAGGAATAAGCCAGAAATGGCAAATATGTATATCTGCACACTGTCTCTTCCTTTGACCGTGGCAGACGTTATTAATCAATCACTCTGGAACAGATTTGTCTTTCCTCAGAGAACTACCCACGTCCTGCTTTCTGGGATTTATTTAAGTCACTGGCTTATTTCCCTATTTAACTACAGACTCCTCTAGTGTTCAGGTAAGCCTTGTTTACTTCTGTACCTACTGAGTTTGGCACATAGAAGAGGTTCACTGTGGCAGCCACAGAGGTGCACTGCTGGATCTTGCTTCAAGAAAGAACTTCTCATTCAGCTGCAAGGAATGCAGTGAGCTGAGAGTCTCTTTGGGGGATCTGCTGCTGCAGTCTTTGAGCCAAGGTCATGCTCTTCCAGGCAGCCCCCAGCCAATGACTGAGCACGGTGGGGGAAACTAGGGTGTGGCCATTTGCACCATATGCGGGACACCTCTAAAGGGCAGTCTAATCTGGGGCTCCCCATTGGGTTGGATGAGTATTTGCCAGATGCGCATTACAGTCTGAGACTCTCCCTGCCCAGTCCTGCCTCCTCTTCCTTTTTCACAAGTGTGACCTCCCAGTTAACCTCTCATATTCCTAGCTGGGTTTCCATGTCTGCCTCCAGGTCACATTCCTAGCTGGGTTTCCATGTCTGCTTCCAGGTCACATTCCTAGCTGGGTTTCCATGTCTGCTTCCAGGTCACATTCCTAGCTGGGTTTCCATGTCTGCTTCCAGGTCACATTCCTAGCTGGGTTTCCATGTCTGCTTCCAGGTCACATTCCTAGCTGGGTTTCCATGTCTGCTTCCAGGTCACATTCCTAGCTGGGTTTCCATGTCTGCTTCCAGGAGGACTTGGCATTGACTTAGCAAAAGTTTATGGGATTGAATGGAGTTAGTGATAAGTTTTCGTCGGGTCATTCATTCCATGATGTCTACTTCCAGGTTGTGACTTCATTCTTTTATTCTACAAGCATCCTGAGCACTGACAAAGTTTTGGGCTCTGAGATAGATGTTGGAAAGTCAAAGATGAATAAGGCTGATCCTCAACTTCCACAAGATACACTCACAGACATAGATGTAGAAAATGAGACTCGAGAGACGAGCAACTCGTTCAAGGCTTTCTTAAGTGGCTAACATGTTTAGAATCCAAAAAAGGGTTTCGGTTCCAAAGTATGAATCCTTTCCACACTGATTTTCTGCTCTGTAACATTTGCAGTAGAACCCGTGTAGTTAAACACACTAGCGTTCACATGACTTGGTCCTGGTTTCGTATTCTTATAGTTCAGTGTTAGTGGTCTTTGGAACACTAACCACTCAAGTGTCCTTCATGGAATGAGCATGCTAAATATATTAAGAGAGGTTTCTTGGCTGGGGTTTGGGGGAGTCTTTTATATGCTAAGGAACATTGTGCATTTGCAAGAACAGGTCGAGTAGACCGTATTATCCGAAGTTACATGGTGTAAGAATTATTTCACAGAATATCTTTGAGGAATGCTCTTCTACCCAGTTAAATTAAATGATAGAATATTATTTACTACAACATCCATTCAAATTTTTCTATCTGCTAGTCCCTGGAATCCTGTGAAGGAAGCACTCTTATTAACCCTATTTTTCCGATGAGGAATCTGAGGCACAGAGGTTGGATAATTTATCCCAAGCTACACAGATGGGAAGTGGTACCATGCCCTGTCTCATTCGCCTGCACTCCCCCACCTCCCATCGTCTTTTATGTGCTGAAACCTTTGAGCCTGCCCCTTAATTCACTAAGGGTGTATTCTCGGTGCATGTGAAAGAATGAAAATTGCCTGGCTCATCCACAGGGACCATGGATTCTGTGCAGTTCAGTGAGATGTATGCACAAAAACCTGAAAAGAGGCCAGGCGCGCTGGCTCACGCCTGTAATCCCAGCACTTTGGCAGGCCGAGGAGGGCGGATCACGAGGTCAGGAGATCCAGACCATCCTGGCTAACACAGTGAAACCCCGTCTGTACTAAATAATAATAATAATAATAATAATAATAATAATAATACAAAAAATTAGCCAGGCATGGTGGTGGGCACCTGTAGTCCCAGCTACTGGGGAGGCTGAGGCAGGAGAATGGCCTGAACCTGGGAGGCGGAGCTTGCAGTGAGCCGAGATCGCGCCACTGCACTCCAGCCTGGGCAAGACTCTGTCTCAGAAAAAAAAAAAAAAAAAAAAAAAAAAGCCTGAAAAGAAGACTGGTTTGAATGGTGTTTGGTGGAGGGATAAGTTGGCCCAGCATTAATGCTTCCCTCTGGCAATCTGGCAAAGAGGGCTTCTCTCTTTAGAGGGCATACCTGGGGCTAACTCTTCCCTTTCACAGTGCCCCTTCATCTCCCTTTTTATACTCTCTTCTGTCTTCAAAAGCCTCAGGACCTGTCCCCCACACCCCAAAACGTACCATCAGATGGAAGCAGACAGAATATAAGAGCAAGGGCTTTACAATCAGACACCTGGATTTAGATCTTCCCCTTATCACTTGCCAATTGTTCAAGTTGCTTAATCTTTCTAAGCCTCAGTTTTCACTTGAGTAACATGGGGCCATAAAAAAGGTCAACATTATAAGGTTATGGTAATGATTCAAGAAAATAATATATGTAATGCACTTAGTACATAGTGCACACTTAATAAATGGTGTTGGCTGTGAAGGCTTCTCTCTCTAGCTGTTTCTGAAATTAGATAGTGACTTCTTAAACTGAATATCCTTCCAAATGCAAGGAGAGAAAAATCTAATTTCAGGCACTGTGCAAGTAATAGGAAAAGGAGAAAATATATTGCAAAAGGGATGGTGGCCTATAGACCCTCCCCCAAACATAGCCTCTAAAGCCAGGACTGCCGCAGATCACTCTCACCTGTAAAAGAGACTGTGTCTTTAGTTTATCTGTGATGACTTCAGGCTCCGCAGTACCAGGTAATCCTCATTCTTAGTGGGTTTGTTGGCCATTGGCCTGTGTTTTCTACTGTCCCCTCAATACCTAGCTGATAATTTGAGTCTTTGAAGAGGCAGACAATGAGAGTTTTAGTTGGCTCTAATGTCTATTCTGTGGCTTTATTTGCCTCTTTCCCAGAGATTGAGCATTTGTGTCTACGGGCATAAGATCGATTACCACATTGTGCCGTGGAAATGAAAGGGAAACATTCTTTCTTTCCTCTCTGGCTCTGCCTGGCATTGAGTGCCCTCCTTTGCTTAGCAAATGGCCTAATCCGAGCGGTTGCATGGCCTGAACGCGTGGACACAGCAACCGTAATTGCACACTTATCTCAGACAAAAAAATAAATGAAGTTGCCATCTAATTTATTCAGGTGGCTCTTAAAATGTGGCATTTCATGTAATGATTTGATTTCTAGGAACTAAAAAGTAACTATGCATGCTTTGTTAGGAAAATTACTTCAGCACAAAATGAGGCTGCTTTTTTTTATTTTCCCCAGCCACAGTAACTAATAGCTTCAGATATAAGATAAAAATAAGGTATTTTGTAATTAATATTTTAATTTACTAAGAAGGGAGCTAAATGGTGACTAGACTTCTCTTCCCCTTGATAATAATGAACCCAGGCAATTTCAAATGAAGAAGAGCAGCCAAGAGTTTAATACCTTTGATTAAGAACGTGTTTCCACAGTGGCTATTATGTTCCTATTTAAAAGAGCAAAACAAAACTCAGGCTTATTTTATTTTGGAACTGCAGGGGGTCTTATGGCATCAAAAGAGGACAAGAAAATGTTTAGAGGTAATTAAAAGCAATTTGCCTCATCAGGCCTTTTTTTCTCCTCCTTTTTTCTCTACTCCTCTTTCTCTCCACAGTACTTGCTAATTGCCACTTCAGTGACCTGAGAATTTTTTTTTTTTTTCCTGATGTAACTTGCCTATTTGGCTGTTGCTCACACTTATAATTGACTGCATAAATCAATGAATCTCCATTAGTTCATTTTAAAAACAGAACATTTATAAGACTCCCTGTCTTTAAGGAGAGCTAAAGGCAAGAAACTAACAAGCCTGAGTACTAACCGTATACCAGGTGCTTTACACATGCTGATGTATTTCATCTCCGAAAGAATGCCATGAAGTCCCTATAATAGAACTGGGAACAGGTGCAGTTTGCTTGGGGTCCCACTGCGTAGGGTGAGATTAGAACTCCAAACTTTGTTTTCCCTTTATTACCTCTTTTCCTTAAGTCTTCTCTGTCTCTTTATTCATTTTTTTAAAGTTTCCATTTATAATTTTCATTCGTTCCTTTTATTTGAATGCCCCTGGCATGCATTTAAGCTGATAATATTTAGGTTGCAAAAAGCGGACTTGGAGACTCTCAGAAAAGGCACTGTGAAAAGTCATTCACAGCAGCTTCCCCAGGGACTGAGAAAACTCAGTCACCTCTAGGAAATTTTTAGCTAAAGTTTTAAAATAATAGAACTTGGGGTAGGAACTTAGCACCTGAAATGGAAGGTGTTTTAATTCGACATCATGTTTTCAACCCTGGAAATTGATAATAAATGGCATCACACTCTCCGATAAAGTGACCTCCTGGGAAAAGGAGTTGTCTAGAAACTTTTGACCTCAAGGTTTACACAGGTTTTCTTTAAACTCAGGTCAATTGAACAGCATGGACTAAAGTGTCGCATGCTGAGTAAGTGTAGGAAAGTGATGCTGAATTAAATAAAAGATTAAATTGTGTATTTTGATAGAGAAACCCGCAATGACCATACGTTTGGAATAGGGTGGTTTTCCTGCTGGCTTGCAAGAGGGGTGGCACAGGAGATAATGGGGACAAAGAACAATAGTTGCACATTAATTCTTCTGCTAGATAGAATATAGAAAAATAAGGGAAAACATCTCAATCTGATCAAATATACGAACCTTAGAGAAGTAAGAAGTAGCTTTATTCTCCCTTTTGGGTTTGCTTTCTACTAAACTCCTTACTAATCCCAAAATCGCAACACATACACACTCCCAACCAATGTGTGCCCAGAGTTTGGGTTTTCAACTTTTGTTTTTATAGCTTTGAGTTTTAACTTCATTTTACGTGCAGAAAGAGCCAAATATTTGCATGTAAAGCACATTTGGTCCAACTTCTAATTTCAAGAGAATTTAAAACAATATTAGAGATAAAGAAAGATTTTGGAGAGTAAAAGAGATGAGGATTAGCGGAACATCCCGAGAACGTCCTGACAGTCAGCTTAACCTGCCCCTCAGCTTCTAAGGATGAGGAGGAAGGACGTAACTTTTAGCCTGAACATTCTCAAAAAGGGAGAAAGCTGAGTAAACTAGTTTTTAGTTCTATTTCTCCACCACCCTTTGTTCTGTGTCCTGGGAGATGTTTGCAATCCCTAGAAATCTGTCATTTTATATCCTAGGAACTCTACTTAGATTTTGACTACTGATCAAAATTGATCCATCCTATTTGGAGAAAACATTCAAGAACTTGGAATTAGTCAGAGTTGAAAATGAGCCTGTGGATTGAGAAGGTAAATACTTTTGAATGATAAACTGCAAGTGAAATACAAAATTCTAAGTTTGGGTTAATTTTGAGATCACAAGCATCCTACATATGACATGGTTTTGGATAAAAGTATTTTTATGCCGAGAGGTGGATGCAGTCCTGTGGACTGAATATTTTCTGTTTCTTCAGCCTGATCTCCTGTGATTCTCCTCCTCACTCACTTGGATCCAACCACATGGGCCATCTTCCTGCTTCTCTAACCTGCTAGGCTCCTTCAGACCCAGCCCTGGCACCCATGGTGCCTTCAGTCTACAACACTTCTCCTGGATCTCTACAGCTTCCTTTTGGGGCTAATTACTGCTCATTTGTCAGACTACTAATTGTTTCTTGTTTTGTTCTCATACCACCTTGTATGTTTCTTTATAGGACATATAACCATAATTGAAAATTATTTGTGTCATTCCTTCTTTAATATCAGCCTCTTTCAGTAGATTATAAGAATCATGAGGGTAGAGGTTGTAATTTATCTTGTTTACCATTATTTGGTAGTTGTAAGCTGTAGCCAGTCCTTGATAAATCGTTATATGAATGAGTGTATTACTAGTACTGAGGCTTCAAAAATAGGAGAAATATTTAACTGCCTGAGGCAACTGAAGTGAAAGTCACATCTTCATATTGAGGATGAAATAGCTGCAGGATTCTAAGTGCTAAAAACAAAGGAAAATGGACGTTGAATACACATTGAGTAGTGAGGAGTGCTGGAGAGATAGAAAATAAGCAACATTGACTATCTGATATTTAGGTAGAGAACAAAGATTGAGGTTTACCTGGGATCATTGCATACAGGTAACAGAAGGGGATTGTAGATAGAATCAGTTTAATGGTACCTTATAGAAAGTCCCTAGTATCAAACACGCTATCCGTGGTAAGACAAGTCTGTCAGTAATTTCCTGACCTTCCGACAAAGGCTGGGAGCTATGGACTCAGTGTTGTCTACTCACATGCACAGAATGCAATATTTCTCATCCTTTGGGTTTCTGGGATACCTGACGTTTACACCCTTCTCTGGGAAGGTTGCTCTGAGTGATGTGCCTTTCCTCTGTAACCCCATAGTGGCCTCTATAATTATCATTACATATATTTACCTATTTGTTTCCTCTGCTAGACTGCAGGCTTCTTAATGGTAGTGATTTTTTCAATTGCCTATAAATTCCCATGACTAATTTAATTCCTAGCATGACACACCTGATCGCCAAACTTATTTGAACTCATTTTAATTAAATACTTGTTTCATTTTTCAAAGTAAATAAATTGGTTGGAAAATGGTTGAGTTCATGTAAGGGGTGCCTAGCAGAGTAGATTATACAGTTAAAACTTAATATGTTTTGTTGTTTAACCAATCTCAGTCATAGATACTTTGGTAGATTGATTACAAAAATCACCCAGTTGTTCAGATCTCCCTGTATTTACGTCCCCCACAAGGTATCTTTGCAGGATCTCCCATCAAGAGATGGAGTCTCTCTACCCAATCCTTAAGTCTTGGCTGGACTTAGAATTTACTTTAGTCACAAGAATGTGACAGAAATGGTGGTGTGCCAGTTGCAAATCTAGATCTTTAAAATTCTAGTTACACTGTGAGCAAGTCTAGACAGCCATAGCCATTCTAGCTGAGCTGAGGTCATCCTAGACCAACCAGTTCCCAGCTGACCTGATAGCTGACCACAGATGTGTTGATTGAGCCCAGCTGGGACCAGAACTACCCAGTTACACTCAGCCCAATTTGCTGACCTGCAGAATTGTGAGCTGAACGATTGACTGTTTTTTTGAGTCATTACACTTTGTAATGTAATGTAGCAAAAGTTAATTGTTTCTAATATGCTATTTTTAATTTGCTTAGTTAAAATAGCTGACAGTATATTTTGCCAAAAATAAAGGTGATGAGATCTGACCCAAGCATAGTACATCCCTTGGAGAGTCCTATATGGAATTACCTTGGAAGTAGAGGACTTGAGACATGAGAAAATTTGAATATTTCCTTGAGCGACAAAGGAAAACATCTTTCTTAGAAAATAAACAATAGGCCGGGTGTGGTGGCTCACGCCCTTAATCCCAGCACTTTGCTAAACTGAGGTAGGCAGATCACTTGAACTCAGGAGTTCGAGACCAGCCCGGACAACATGGTGAAACCTTGTCTCTACTAAAAAATACAAAAATTAGCTGGGCGTGGTGGCACATGCCTGTAATCCCAGCTACTCGGGAGGCCAAGGTATGAAAATTGCTTGAACCCAGGAGGTGGAAGTTGTAGTGAGCTGAGATCTCACGACTGCACTCCAGCCTGGGCAACAGAGCGAGGCTGTTTCAAAATAAAATAAGATAAAATAAAAATAATAATAATAAAATAAAAATAAAGAGTGGCTAATAAATAAGCAGACTGTATGAGGCATCTCAAGAAGAGTGCAAGCTTCCTCAAAATTGGAGGTGATTTCTGAGGGCCAATCAAACATAAAGGTGAGATGACTTGATATCTTGGTACACAAGATAAGCTTCTGTTTTTCTGGTTTTTTTTTTGTTGTTGTTTGTTTTTTTGACAGAGTCTCGCCCTGTCACCCAGGCTGGAGTGCAATGGCGTGATCTCAGCTCACTGCAAGCTCTGCCTCCCGGGTTCACGCCATTCTCCTGCCTCAGCTTCCCAAGCAGCTGGGAATACAGGCGCCCACCACCATACCTGGCTAATTTTTTGTACTTTTTAGTAGAGACGGGGTTTCACCGTGTTAGCCAGGATGGTCTCGATCTCCTGACCTTGTGATGTGCCAGCCTTGGCCTCCCAAAGTGCTGGGATTACAGGCATAAGCCACCGCGCCCGGCCAAGATAAGCTTCTTATACAATGGTTGGTAAGAGTCTGCATGAGTTACTGACAATTACAATCTATCAGTATTTGAGAAGAATAAACATCATAAACAAATAATTATAAGCCATGAAATAAAAATCAAAAGTAATTTCAAGAAAAGAGAATTAAGGAGCAAGATCTGTAAGGATGAAGAATGTAAATAGCCCTTCTGCTGCAAAGTGTGGAGATCTGAATTTGCTTTCTACCATCACTACTTTTTGGTTTGAAGAAAGTTACTGAGCCTTAGGTTCTTCAGGTGGAAATTGGGTTACTATAACTCTGTTTTACTGAGAAAATCATTTAAGATAATGGGCAGGAAAGCTAGAGAGCTGACACAATGACTCTTAATATCTAAGTTTGACATTAGAATACGAGTGGTGAGAGAGGGCATCTTGTTTTCTGCTGGTTTTCAAAATAAATGTTTCCAGCTTTTGCCTATTCAATATGATATTGTCTGTGGGCTTGTCATAAATAGCTCTTATTATTTTGAGATATGTTCCATCAATACCTAGTTTATTGAGAGTTTTTAACATGAAGGGATGTTGAACCCAAAGGCCTTTTCTGCATCTATTGAAATAATCTTGTGGTTTTTGTCCTTGGTTCTGTTTATGTGATGGATTAAGTTTATTGATTTGTGTATGTTGAACCAGCCTTGAATACCAGGGATGAAGCCAACTTGATCGTGGTGGATAAGCTTTTTGATGTGCTGTTGGATTTGGTTTGCCAGTATTTTACTGAGGATTTTCACATCGATGTTCATCAGGGATACTGGCCTGAAGTTTTCTTTTTTTGTTGTGTCTCTGCCACGTTTTGGTATCAGGATGATGCTGGCCTCATAGAAGGAGTTAGGGAGGAGTCCCTCCATTTCAATTGTTTGGAATAGTTTCAGAAGGAATGGTATCAGCTCCTCTTTGTACCTCTGGTATAATTCGGCTATGAATCCGTCTGGTCCTGGACTTTTTTTGGTTGGTAGGCTATTTATTAATGCCACAATTTCAGAACTTGTTATTGGTCTATTCAGGGGTTCGACTTCTTCCTGGTTTCGTCTTGGGAGGCTGTATGTGTCCAGGAATTTATCAATTTTTTCTAGATTTTCTAATTTATTTGCGTTGAGGTGTTTATAGTATTCTCTGATGGTAGTTTGTATTTCTGTGGGGTCAGTGATTTATCATTTTTTAATTGTGTCTATTTGATTCTTCTATCTTTTCTTCTTTATTAGTCTAGCTAGCAGTCTATCTATTTTGTTAATTTTTTCAAAAAAACACCTCCTGGATTTGTTTATTTTTTTGAAGGGTTTTTTGTGTCTCTGTCTCCTTTAGTTCTGCTCTGATCTTAGTTATTTCTTGTCTTCTGCTAGCTTTTGAATTTGTTTGCTCTTGCTTTTCTAGTTCTTTTAATTTTGATATTAGGGTGTCGATTTGAGATCTTTCTAGTTTCTGATGTGGGCGTTTAGTGCTATAAATTTCCTTGTTAATACTGCTTTAGCTGTGTCCCAAAGATTCTAGCAGGTTGTCTCTTTGTTCTCACTGGTTTCAAAGAGCTTCTTGATTTCTGCCTTAATTTCATTATTTACCCAGGAGTCATTCAGGAGAAGGTTGTTCAATTTCCATGTAGTTGCGCAATTTTGGTGAGCTTCTTAATCCTGAGTTCTAATTTGATTGCACTGTGGCCTGAGAGACTGTTTGTTATGATTTCAGTTCTTCTGCATTTGCTGAGGAGTGTTTTACTTCCAAATATGTGGTAGATTTTAGAAAACGTGCCACGTGGCACTGAGAAGAATGTATATTCTGTTGATTTGGTGTGGAGAGTTCTGGAGATGTCTATTAGGTCCATTTGATCCAGAGCTGAGTTCAAGTCCTGAATATCCTTGTTAATTTTCTGTATCATTGATCTAATTTGACAGCATGGTGTTAAAGTCTCCCACTATTATTGTGTGGTAGTCTAAGTCTCTTCGTAGGTCTCTAAGGACTTGCTTTATGAATCTGGGCGTTTCTGTATTGGGTGCATATATATTTAGGATAGTTAGCTCTTCTTGTTGCACTGATCTCTTTACCATTATGTAATGCTCTTCTTTGTCTTTTTTGATCTTTGTCGGTTTAAAGACTGTTTTGTCAGAGATTAGGATTGCAACCCCTGCTTTTTTTTTTTTTTTTTTTTTTGCTTTCCATTTGCTTGGTATGTATTCCTCCATACCTTTATTTTGAGCCCATGTGTATCTTTGCATGTGAGATGGGTCTCCTGAATACAGCACATCAATGGGTCTTGACTCTCCAATTTGCCAGTCTGTGTCTTTTAATTGGGGCATTTAGCCCATTTACATTTAAGGTTAATATTGTTATGTGTGAATTTGATCCTGTCATTATGATGCTATCTGGTTATTTTGCACACTAGTTGATGCAGTTTCTTCATAGTATCATTGGTCTTTACATTTTGGTGTGTTTCCGCAGTGGCTGGTACTGGTTTTTCCTTTCCATATTTAGTGCTTCCTTCAGGAGCTTTTGTAAGGCAGGCCTGGTGGTGACAAAATCCCTGAGCATTTGCTTGTCTGGAAAGGGTTTTATTTCTCCTTCACTTATGAAACTTAGTTTGGCTGGACATGAAATTCTGTTTTGAAAATTCCTTTCTTTAAGAATGTTGAATATTGGCCCCTACCCTCTTCTGGCTTGTACAGCTTCTGCTGAAACAATGACTAGGTAATTTTCAATGATCAGCTCCCTGACAGTCATATAGAATATATATATTTTTTCATCCATGGTTTCTGTCATTTATGTCAGCCTTTCCCCTGCCATTGTCCTTCTCCTCACTTTCCTCCAGAACAACCTTGCTTATTGCAGACAGTGGTAAAGCTTTTTTTTTTTTGCTGAGGTTGGGATGTTCAATAACCCTATGAATCAGGGTGATGATACAGCTTCACCTGTTTGTGAAAGTTTCTTCTTTTATATCCCCCTGATACACTCCAGGCCACTGAATGGCAAAGGTGTGTTAGAGAACAGATGTGCCCGGTGCTATTTTGTTACCTTATCTTTGGGATTAAGATTTTTTTTCAAGGAGGGACCAAAAAGACATGATAATATTTTGAAACTTTCTTTTCTGTATTTTAAATTTCCATTAGTTCATTCTGCACCACAGTTCCCACCCATTGAGTCATGACATTCTTTTCTTGAGGGGCAGCCAAGAACAAAGGAGACCATGTTCAGTTTTTGAATTCCGAAACCTGCTCTTGAAGCTAATTTCGAAGGCAGTGGTAGTGAAAAGCCAAGGCATTCACTTGCAATACCTAGGCTTGTTGAAAGAGAAATCGGAAGCATTCCTTTAAATATTAACTATTCCCTTAAAATATTAAGAGGCTAGAGGACCGAGGTAAGAAAGATTTACTATAAACCACAGAACAGAGACTATGTAGAGTATGACATAAAGGTAATTTCTCATACCTGGAAAGAAGAAAACTGAAGGGGAGGATCCCGGGGACAGAGTGACAGGCAAGCAAGATGACTGAGCCCAGAATTGGGACAAGTTCCTGGGCCTGGTCTGTATAGAGACCTCAGATGGTTCTGGAAATCACTGATGAGAAGGGGCTGGGTTAGCACACCTTGCCTGGAACTCTAGATGGAGATTATCGCCTCAAAAGGGGCATCCTTGGTAGAGCAGTGATTGTGTTGCTATTTTGTTTAAGATGACCGTGCCTGAGAAAGCCTCCTTCTGCCACCCCTGAGTCTCATTTGGATCCAGGGAGGAGACCCAGGAAGGTTCCCAAAACTGTCCCTGAGATGGTGTTTGAGAATTAGAAATCAGCATGGCTGTCAGGAGGCTGCCACAGCTTTTAACAGGAAATCAAGGATTGGTTAGCCCAAAGCAGGAATGATACGTAGGACATGGCTAAATCTCAAAATGTCAGCTGTGCATGTTAGTGCTGTGGTGAAAGCCTGGTGGAGCATTGGGAGGGAAGTTTGAGCTAGTTGAGAGCCATCACCTCCATGGTTATACTAAGAGATCAGACCGCAGATCAGCATCTCACCCTTTAAAGCAGTGATGGAAGGCAGTCAGTGCTCAGATAGGGCAAGTGACAGATGTCCTTTTTCTAATGACAGGACATTCATGAGCCCCCAAGAGTTAGGAGAATGATGTTGGGGAAAATCCTGAATATGACAACCCAAAGAGATTAAGTTTTAGAAAGAGGAGCGTAAGTTAACTTTAATAGCAATATCTACTTTTTGCTTCTGCCATCAATGGAAGTGAGGGCTCATGAGTATAATAGTCTAGATCTGTATCTTACTGTAGGGGTTTTGACCCCACGATATCACTATTCAGAGATGTATGTGGAACATATAATACCAATTTGGCCCCCCGATATGGGTTAACCTCTTTTTTCTATGAGCCTCATTTAAAATCACTCCCTGTGTTGTATTATGTATGCATGTGTTTGTCTCCTACACTTGATGGTAAACCATATGGTCCCTTGATGGTAGGGACCATATCTCATTCCTTTTTAAATCCCCAGCTGTTGGCACAGGGTCCAGTACACAATTATTTCTCAAGAAATGCCTGTTGAATGAATCCATGATGGCAAACAAATTGCGTAAATTGTGAACATTTTTATAAAAAACTATGTGTGGCATTCTAGAAAATCTGATGATTCTTGAATTGATCGTTTTGTCTGTGCTGTGGAGACATCCCTTTAGTTGATAGTTGTGGAATGCCTACAGTGTAAATCACCCCAAACACCTTTCACATATAAATCATTGAAGACTCCCAAGAATCTTATGATGTTGGTCTTGTTGCCCTTGTTTTACAGATGAAGAGACTGAAACCTGAAGAAGATAAGAAACTGATTCAAGATTTCAAAGTTATTCAGTGGGCAAGCCAGGCATTGAATGTGGCTCTAGCCTGTGTTTCCAGCTGCTATGCTCTATGTGACTCTAAATGTGCATAACAGTGTCCTCTTATGAAAGTGGTCAGAATAGTTGTGTTAGGGAACAGCTACATGATAGTATTTTCATGTAGAATGTATATTATCTCATAGATGTGTATACTCAAAGCAATGTTTAGGGAGGCTATAAAGTGTTTCAGCAAATGACAAGAATCTTCCCCAGCAATAGGGGAAAAATGACATCTATAATGTTTCTTTGAAATATTAAGAAATACTAACAGGAATTTGTCAATGTTGACTTATTATTTCTTTCAGGTGTGGGAAGTCTTAGTGAAGTCAGACAGGGGATGGAGCTTCCTCTATCATTCCTTTTGGGAGCTTCTTCATGTCAGTGGCTTGGAAAGTGGCCCTGGGCTCCTACACCCATCATGATTCTGGAAAGAGCTCCAGCTTTCTGTTCATTGGATAGGGACTTTTGGAAGGGAAAGAAGGATTAAGGTCCTATGAAGGTGGAACTGCAGCACTGGCCTGCCTGTCCCTGACCTAGTCCCTTTCGGGTATGCATGCATAAATGGAGGCTGGTACCCCCATGGGGATAATCAATGGGACCCTGTGACTTTTTCGCTCTTTAGCAGAGTGCAGAGTGCAGAGTGGAGTGACAATCTCTCTTGGGATAAATCCAGGTCCAGAGTGTCATTTTGAAGTACTGCTCTGACATTGTGTGTCTTGAGTCTGACTGGGAAAGTGAATGATTAGCAGAGACCTGGGAACCCCTGTAATATGAAACTACAGCAGGAACTACAAGGACCTTCAGCATATATTTTTATATAACTCTGGAAAACAAAGCTAACTCTTTTGACTTACCCCAAAACAAAGTAGAAAATGTTATGTAATATTTGGGGGTTATTTTAGCATGGCTTTAGCAGGTGTTCTGTCAGTAGGCACCAGTGTAACTGTAACTGATTTTTATGCATTTGAATTGGTCTATGCTTGTGCCATGTTGGCTGTTTTTCATGTTGCATATCACCTTCTGGGCTTAGGAGAGGAAAGAATATTGCCAAAATAGAACTAATTCTACAAATATATTGAGATACAGTCTTTGTTTCGCTTAATTTTTTTTTCATAGTTTTTCTAGGGTAATAAACATCAAAGCTGGCATAGTCAATGATCTCTTTCCAGAGATATGACCAGACAAGCTTCCTTTCACTGGGCTCTTGGGGGCAGTACATTTCCAGGAGGGGAGAGGAACATTAAACCACGTGTCAAGTCATTCTGCAGGAATGGAAATGTTGGTTTCTCTGGCTGTAATAATTCAGGAATTAAATGTTGGACGTGTGGCCACAGGAAGGCTGAGATTTCTTTCATAAATCATGCAGTCTTGTTTACATTGCTCCTCCTGCATTCATCTCCCTTGGAAGGCCATACAACTTGTCCAGCATGCCATTGTGTGGAATTGTGTCAGTGAGTTTGTGGGCCTCCAGATAAATCGTATCATGTAAAGAATACCTTTATAAGCCAATCCCCCACCTGGCCACAGTCCTCACAAAAAAGAATGTGCTTCGTTATATGTGATTGGAAGCTTCCAAATTGGTCTTGGCTATTTTCTATTACTTAGATGCCTCTAACTTTTCCTTAGCTACTGTGGGAACATTGCCTTTCCTAGGCTCGCCATCATTCTAGTGCCCTGAAACTTTATCAGAGGGAATACTCTCTAATCATTTTCAACTGTGCAAAGGCTTGGGACTTGACTTCTTATCACCTGTAATCCTCAGTACCATGACCGCCTTTTATTTTCCTGCCTACTTGTCACATCTTCATTGTTGGAACATAATATCTGTGGCTCACAGAATCCCACAGCTAACCAAGTGATGGATGTCCTGTCAATGATTAATCCACATTTCTATGTAGTTTTGAGTCTATTGCTTTTCTATTGATTTGTGCTAAGGGTTGAGCAACTTACTAAATGGCTGCTAAGGTTTGATTCTTCACTGCGAAAGTTTTCCTGAGTGTTTGGCTCTACATTCTCTTAAACCTGATGGTGGTCAGATGGGCTATTATTCCAGGGAAAACTCAGCAAAGCAAAGCAAAACAAAACAGAAAACACTGCATAAACTAAGAAGAATATACAATTTAGTTAAACATTTGTCATTACTAAAGAGGGCTGCATTGATATCTCCCTCTGTTGTTCTCTCTCTCTTTAGGATCTCAGATATAGAGTCTTTAGTTAATTATACTCTTTGGTTCCCAGAAGTCAGATTAGCATCTGTCCAGTGCAAAGACACTCTGTTATTTATTTGTTTCAAATTTATTCCCTTTTATCTTTATCCCACCCATTCTCCTCAGAGCTGAGGTAGATAGATGGAAAGAGTTCCAAAATCTTAGATTTGGGAATCTTATCTGTGTTCTGGGACATGAGGAAGAGGATTGTTCACTCAGGATAGTGTGAACGGCCCTCAGCAAATTATTGAGTCATTCAGATATTTTATTAAGTTGTCAACATTAGTTCTATTACCATAGGCAAGTGTTTTGATGTGCATCTTTTTGTTTCATATTGTTTTTTGTTTTGTAGATTTTTATTATGTAAATGATATTAAATGTGTATCTCATTCTTTTCCTTATTTTTTTTAGGGTCCAGCCATGTAGCTATGGACATGCCTCATTTGCTGTATTTAATTACCACATGATGCTCTGTGATGTGCCTCCAGTACATTTTGCTCATCCACTTCCAGTGATTGACTCCCTTCCCCAACCACAGCTAATGCTGCAATAACTGCCCTAGCTCAATATGTTTACCAGTTCACTGATGGGGTTTTCCTTTCATTTGTCTTATAATTATGAAAAACAGAATTTATGAGATAAATTTAGTTTTTGTTTCAATTCTTTCCTTTTTTTTTCTTTTTTGAGACGGAGTCTCGCTATTTCACTCAGGCTGGAGTGCAGTGGTGCAATCTCAGTTCACTGCAACCTCTGCCTCCCGGGTTCAAGTGATTCTCCTGCCTCAGCCTCCCGAGTTGCTGGGATTACAGGCATCCGCCACCACGCCCGGCTAATTTTTGTATTTTTAGTAGAGACGGGGTTTCACCATGTGGGCCAGGCTGCTCTCGAACTCGTGATCTCCGGTGATCCACCCGCCTTGGCCTCCCAAAGTGCTGGGATTACCGGTGTGAGCCAGTGCGCCTGGTCTCAATTCCTTTTTACTCCTTTAAAAAAAATCCTATAGCATTTTACACATCTCCATTGTAGAAAGGCTATTTATAGATTCATCATGCTCTTTGCTCATAATTGATCTGTTTTCTCTTTTTCTAAAGTTACAATGATCATAGTTTTCTGTTGTGCTCACTAGGTGACATACATGTTTCAGATCATAACTCAGTTTGCATTTTTGTCATGGCAACAATACAGTTTTTTATAATAATTATAAGTATAAATTAAGAAAATCCAGTACTACAACAAACAGTCAGTGAAAATCTGTAGAAGGTTGTATGTATCATTAAAAAAAATTTATGAGTAACAGAGTAAGACGTGGCTACAAGGCATGTTTTTCACATATTTTTCTTTGTTTTAAAGAACTGGTGTGCTAGCTATGCCATTGGTGACTAACCTTATGGGTCAATGTTTTACTAGTCTCTAGAATACTAAGCCAACACTAAACTGAAAATAACAAATATAGCTCCATTTACTTAAAAAAAAATTCTTCACAATGCTACCTTTCAGAGAAATCTGTAAAACTGTGAGACTCTGCTACAACCAAAGCTATCTTTTGAGATAAGCTGACGGGGGTGAGTTATACAGTGCAGGGTGTCATATGACCTTCAGCAACTCTTACAGTGCCAGATTGTATTGGGACTATGTAAGCGACCAACACAACCATATATAGACTGAACAGTGATCTATGAAGGGGTCCCACATGACGTGGCCCCAAAGAGGTGCTACAATTGGAGAGACACTCAGAATAGGGAGAAACAGCAGATAAAAAGAGAAATAAAGTAGCTAAAGCAGGAAATGATAGGTTGATTTAATTTCTGTGGTATCCTAAAAGAGACTCCAATTTTCTTTAGACCTATTTGAATATTGAGACAGTTATCTGTGTATGATTCTGTTTCTAGACTATATATATATTAAAAAAATCAACACAACCCAAATAAAAACATACAAGAAGCCTCAAGCCAAAGTTGAAAGTGAAAATAAGGACAAAATGGAATGCAATTTTTAGTAATTTATATTGTAAGTATAAGTAAAGAGGTTACTCCACCAAGGAAAGTTCATGGAGCTCTGAGTGACTACAGAGTGAATGAATATTAAACTCATTGCATCCATGTGTTAGAAATGGAAGGAATGATTCACAACTTATTTTTCCAGTAGAATCGCTATTGAACTCTGCACTTGGGACACCACAATATGCTAATGGAAGGTAAAGATATTTCCCAAGGCAAAAAAGCTAAAAAGTGGCAGAAGTGGTTGTCACAGGAAGCACTCACCAAATATTCATGTACTCCACTATATTTACAAACTTCCTTGTTAGGTTAGTTATATGATGACTTCTGGCCAATAACCTGTGTATGAATGTGACGTGTCATCTCCAGATATAATGCTTATGATCAGTGTGTGTTCTTTTCACTTTCTTCTTGCCTGAGGTCTTGAAGACCCCAGAAGCCATGAGTTGAGATGATGGAGCTACAAAATAGAACCTGGAAGAATCCATACTTAGCTGCTGGGAAGTGAGCTGCACTGGAGAGTATCCAGACTTGCAGAGGGTTTGGTGAGTGGGCAATACACTTTTATGTATAGAATGACTAAGATGCTTGCAGCTATTTGTTACTGCCAGAGTCATACTAGGTGATATTTGAATTCTGACCAATCTATTTTACTAGAAATATTTCCCTCTTCTCACCATACCATATTGGTTTAAAGAAGATGGAAGGCTCTAAGATAGATGGAGGAGTCTTAGCTTTGTCTTCTCAAAAAATGGAAAAAATGAACCCTAGACTATAGAAGTGTTAGAAAGTGAGACAACTCTTAAAATGTAAGTTTTATGTTTATTCAAGTTTGCTAAGGTCAACAGAGGAGAAGATGATTGGCATTGAAAAGATAATGTGTTACTCACAGTTTTCCAGAGAAGGAGGCATGCCTCACCACACAGGGCCACACAAAAGCATCAGGGTTGGTTAGATGGAAGAGGGAGTGAGGAAAAAATGTGGGCAAAAGTCTTTATGGTTGTTTCTGTGGGAAGGAATGAACAAGACAGGGTAAGCAAGCTTATGATTGGCTAGTTTGAATAATTTCAGTGGGCTCTGAGGTGTGAGAACTTCTCTAGTTGTCTGGTACCTGGTCATGGGGTGATTAGGACAATGGGATCCTGGCTAGCTTGAGAGAGAGCCTGAGAAAGGAGGTAAGTGGCGCATGGGTTCTGGATTGGTTGATTTGCATATAAAAGGCACAGGATAGGCACAGGATCTCCAGGAATTGGCTAGCCCTGGGAAGGGCAGTTTCTCCAGGGTGGGCAAGGGCCCAGATATCAAAGTATCAGGTTCAAAAGACATGCTTAATACAACATATAGAAAAAGTACCTAAGTGAGGGTCTGGCCCAGAGTAGAGGCTGAGATTAATTTAAAAATAAGTTGGAAGGGAGCGAGTCAGAAACCTAGGAGAACAGTTAGGAAGAATTGACAGGGTGCACTATTAATCTATTCTCTATAGTGCAAAGAGATTCCTCTAAAATGTGTTTCTGATGATGTCACTTCTCTTTTTAAAAACTCTAAATTAATGCATGCTTTTCTCCCTGTTTGGGTCATTCTAGCTTCCACATTAATCATAACAAAAACCCTACTCATTTTGCAGGTCTCAGCAGATGACATTTCCTCTGGCAGAACTCCCCCAGTGCTGCCCACCCATCCTCATCCAGTGACCCCTTCCCCCATTAGGTCTGCATTAAGGGACATGCACACCTGTATTAGCCAGGAAGCAACATAAAGAGAGAGAGATTTAGAGAGCTCCCTTATCTAACATGGACTAATTCCCATAATATGAGCTGTCTCTGTTCCTATAGTTCTCCTTTGTAGCATTGCCAAGTTTTTTTGGTAATGACTTATTCAGTGTTTGTTCTTATCTTCAACTATTGGCTACAAAACGTTCTATCTTGTTGATTGCATTAATCCTAGCACCAAGACATATGGTCCATGCTCAGTGCATGTTTGTGGAATGATTGACAGGCAAGACTTGAATCTGTCTTATTCTTCCTAATGCAGGTGCCTTTAAAACAGTGCTTGGCCCATTACAGATGCTCAGCAAAAATTATTTAAACAAAAGCAAATATAGCTCCTCATAAAAATCCATAAGTTATAGCAAATAGATACCAAGGAGATGAAGACTTACTTGCCCAAGGTGCTCTGCAAGAAGGAGGCAGAAATTGAATTCTTCTGACTCCAATGCTTGTTTTCCGTTTGCACAATGCCCAGTCTTAACAAGCAGGCTGATTTAACAACAGTGGTATAGTTTAGTGATTATCAAAGTTTAGTGTGCATATGAGACACCTGGGAGTCTTGATCAAATGCAGATGATGAGTCAGTGGGGCTGGAGTGGGGCCTGAGAGTCTGCATTTCTAACAAGCTCACGAGTGATGCCCAGGCTGCTGGTACAGCAATCATACTTTGAGTAGCAAAGATGATGATGGCCCACAGGTTAATTTTCCTTTTGTATATACCTATAGCTTCAAAACAGAAACAAGAATAACATTAACCAGTATAAAGGCTTCTTCTTACAAAGGAAGGAATAGTCAAGCAAAATTGGTTATCTAAATGGATCAAATTTCACAGATAATTGTTCAGCTCTATTCTTCCTTCTGGGAGGAGAGGGTCTATAACTCTGAAACCAGGTCCCTACTTTTGTTTTAAGAAGTTGAAAACAACACAACTTCTGGTAAAATAAACTCTACATTTTGTAATGATTTCATATGTAATGGTTCAGTTACATTGTCTTAGTATGGGTTCTCTGGGAAATAGACTTTGAGATAGAGATGTGCCTGTAGCAGGTTTGCTGGGGAATGAAGGAAGCAAGATGGATCCAGGGAGAACTAGACCTGCAGTGCAACTGCCGCGGAGCTTTGGCTGACCCTACGGGGAACTCTGAAACAGAAACGGCTCTCAGAGTTGTCCCAAATCAAGGCAAGCACACTGTGTCATTATACCCTTACACTGACCAGTGATTGGGTGCAGACTGACACCTCCAGGAGGAGAATAACTTGGATGGGCCACTTTGACCAATGGCGGTTCACAGAGAATGGCCTGGGCTGTGAGCCAGTCAGCAGCCCTTATTCCCAGAAGCTGGGGAAATAAGAAACTCAGTATTGGCAGGTCATCTGAATGGGCTCCACAGCATCTACCACACATTGTTCCTAGCACTTAGACAATTCTAAAAATATCTTCTGCACTATCTCTGAGTTTTGTAAACATCAGCTCTGTAGCTTCTCTGGAGAAACAGGCTTTTAGATGCTGGAAGGCATTAGAAAGTAATGGGGGCAGGGAGAATGAATTAGAAAGGACAGCAGTTTTCTACTACCTAGACCTGTGAGTGATCGTACCCAGGGCCTTCTGAAATAATTACAAATGCAAAGATTTCATTCAACGCACAACATGTCCATTGGATCCATCCACTTATCTGCTCTTTATATTTTTCTAGCTGTATCTTTCTCAGTTTCTCTGTCATAAAATGTGAGATTTCAAACAGATGATCTATAAAATCCCAAGCAGTTTTAATAAAATTCTGATGATATAACTCTTTCTCCTTCTAAATCCCTGCCCTTATCAAATAGCTCAGAGAACAGAAACTTGGCTTAACCCAAATATGTTTTTTGCCCACAAACATCTATTCCAAGAATCAAGAAATACCTAACAGGGACAAAGAAAAAGAAGAACTGGAATTAATATAGATCTTTTTATATAATAAATCTCTTAAAAATTAAAAAATTAAGTGAAAGAATAATTTTATAGAAAATCTGGAATATAGAGAAAAGAATAAAAGCACAACTATCTTAACAAATATGTAATATTCAATTGTATTTCTATTTTCTACTTTTTATATATAATTATAATCACATAGTTATACAAGTTTGCATCCTATTCTTTTCATTTAACATTGAATATCCAAAGCATTCCCACATGTATTGAATGACCTTTGTAATATTTCAATATTTTTATACTATGTCACACAGAGAATAAATTGGAATTTACTTAATACTTCTAATTTAGAAGATTTCTATAATTTTTTTTGTTTGTTTAACAAACAGAGATTTGTCCTTAACTTTTTTCTAAAATTTGGATCGTGTTTTAGGGTAGAATCTCAGAAATGGAAGATAAAGCAGGTTTCAAGGTCAAGGGAAAGCAATTGAGATGATCACAGAAACAGGAAGGACAAAGCCTGGAAAGATATTGTTTTATCAACAAGACCGCCTTGTTCTCTACATCTATTTGAGGATGACATTTATTAATGACAAAGACTATGACCTGATTCTTTTAGAAGGTCCAAGATTGGCAGTAAACATCATAAAAAAATTAAAAGAGGAAAAAAAAGGAAGAAAAGGAGGAGGGAAGAAAAGAGTACAAAAGAATGACTAAACCTGAATTATTTTTATACATTTGTAGGTCTGACAAATTGATCTTCTATTTTCCTCTGTAAATGGCACTTACCTAATTGGGGAGAACACAATCAAGCAATATTGCTTTACACTCTATTTTTTGTGTGTATGTGTGAGCAACATGGCTGTTTATTTCACCTGGGTGCAGGCGGGCTGAGTCCGAAAAGAGTCAGCGAAGGGAGATAGGGGTGAGGCCGTTTTATAGGATTTGGGAAGGTAATGGAAAATTACAGTCAAAGGGGGTTGTTCTCTGGTGGGCAGGGGTGGGGGTCACAAGGTGCTCAGTGGGGGAGCTTCTGAGCCAGGAGAAGGGAATTCACAGGGTTAATCACTCAGTTAAGGTGGGGCAGGAACAAATCACAATGGTGGAATGTCATCAGTTAAGGCGGGGCAGGGCCTTTTCACTTCTTTTGTGATTCTTCAGTTACTTCAGGCCATCTGGGCGTATACGTGCAAGTCACAGGGGATGTGATGGCTTGCCTTGGGCTCAGAGGCCTGACATTCCTGTCTTCTTATATTAATAAGAAAAATAAAACAAAATAGTGTTGAAGTATTGGGGCGGCGAAAATTTTTGGGGGTGGTATGGAGAGAGAATGGGCGATGTTTCTCAGGGCTGCTTCAAGCGGGATTAGGGGTGGCGTGGGAACTTAGAGTGGGAGAGATTAAGCTGAAGGAAGATCTTGTGGAAAGGGGTGATATTGTGGGGTTGTTAGAAGAAACATTTGTCGTATAGAATGATTGGTGATGGCCTGGATACGGTTTTGTATGAACTGAAAAACTAAATGGAATAAGAGAAGGAGAAAACCAGGTATAAAAGGTCTAAGAATTGGGAGGACCTAGGACATCTGATTAGAGAGTGCCTAAGGAGATTCAGCATAGTCCTGCCAGCCAAGATTATTTATTTACTTTAAGAGCTTAGAGTGGCAGTTTGGGGATAGCACCAAGAGACATCAGCTGTGATGGCTTGGAGAAACAGTGTAAACCGGCAGTGTAAACAAGAGCAGGGCATGTGTGAGTAGATGAGAACGGTGAATAGGAGTATGACTAGACAGAAGATAGTAGGGATGACAAGTTTTCTTGGGGGCACAGTCTAAGTTGGTCTGGTGTCTGGAATGAGACTGGGGCCTAATAAAAAGGAGTGTCTATACAGTAGCTCAAATGGGCTGTACCCTGTAGCATTCCGAGGACAGGCCTGAATTCCGAGAAGGGAAAGTGGTAAAAGTATTGTCCAGTCCTTTTTAAGTTGGTAGCTGAGCTTGGTGAGGTATGTTTTTAAAAGACCTTTAGTCCATTCTACTTTTCTTGAAGACGGAGGACCCTAAGGGATATAAAGGTTTCACTGAATACTAAGAGCCTGAAAAATTGCTTGGCTGATTTGACTAATAAAGGCTGGTCTGTTATCAGCCTGTATAGAGGTGGGAAGGCTAAACTGAGGAATTATGTCTGACAGAAGGGAAGAAATGACTGTGGTGGCCTTCTCAGACCCTGTAGGAAAGGCCTTTACTTATTCAGTGAAAGTGCCTATCTAGACTAAGAGGTATTTTAGTTTCCTGACTCGGGACATGTTGAGTAAAGCTAATTTGCCAGTCCTAGGTTGGGGCAAATCCTCGAGCTTGATGTGTAGGGAAGGGAGGGGGCCTGAATAATCCCAGAGGAGTAGTAGAATAGCAGATGGAACACTGAGAAGTTATTTCCTGGAGGATAGATTTCCACAATGGAAAGGAAATGAGAGGTTCTGAGAGGCGGGCTAGTGGCTTGTACTATAGCATAGCCTGCCTTTGCTGGTGTATGGCAATTAGGCCAGTGGAACTGCCATCAATAAATCAAGCGTGATCAGGGTGAGGAACAGGAAAGAAGGAAATATGGGGAAATGGGGTGAATGTCAGGTGGATCAGAGAGATACAGTCATGGGGGTCAGGTGTGGTATCAGGAATAATGTGGGAGGCCAGATTGAAGTCCGGGCCAGGAACAATGGTAACTGTGGGACTTAAAGAGTGAGTACAGCTGAAGGAGCCGGGGAGCAGAAAGTATATGCGTCAGGTATGAGGAAGAAAATAGATTTTGGAAGTTATGAGAAATGTAGAGAGTGAGTTGAGCATAGTTTGTGATTTTTAGGGCCTCTAACAGTATTAAAGCAGCGGCAGCCGCTGTACACAGACATGAGGGCTAGGCTAAAACAGTAAGGTCAAGTTGTTTGGACAGAAAGGCTACAGGGTGTGGTCCTGGCTCTTCTGTAAGAATTCTGACCACGCTAACCATGCCTAGGAAGGAAAGGAGTTGTTGTTTTGTAGAAGGTGCTGGGGTTTGAGAGATCAGTCGGACACGATTGGCAGGGAGAGCACGTGTGTTTTTATGAGACTTATGCCGAGATAGGTAACAGATGAGGAAGAATTTGGGCTTGATTGAAGTAATAGGGGCTGTCTGTGAAGCTTTGCAGCCGTACAGCCTAGGTAATTTGCTGAGCTTAATGGGTGTCAGGGTCAGTCCAAGTGAAAGCGAAGAGAGGCTGGGATTAAGGGTGCAAAGGAATAGTAAAGAAAGCACGTTTGAGATCTAGAACAGAATAATGGGTTATAGAGGCAGGTATTGAGGATAGGAGAGTGTATGGGTTTGGCACCACAGGGTGGATAGGCAAAACAATTTGGTTGATAAGGCACAGATCCTGAACTAACTTGTAAGGCTTGTCTGGTTTTAGGACAGGTAAAATAGGGGAATTGTAAGGAGAGTTTATAGGCTTAAAAAGGCCATGCTATAGCAGGCGAGTGATAACAGGCTTTAATGTTTTTAAAGCGTGCTGCGGGATGGGATATTGAGTGGGGTAAGGGTGATTAGGTTTTAATGAGATGGTAAGGGGTGCATGATTGGTCACCAAGGAGGGAGTAGAGGTATCTTATACTTGTGGGTTAAGGTAGGGGGGATACAAGAGGAGGACGCAAAGGAGGCTTTGGATTGGGAAGAAGGGCGGCAATGAGATATAGCTGTAGTCCAGGAATAGTCAGGGAAGCAGATAATTTAGTTAAAGTGTCTCGGCCTAATAAGGGAACTGGGCAGGTGGGGATAACTAAAAGGAGTGCTTAGAAGAGTATTGTCTAAGTTGGCACCAGAGTTGGGGAGTTTTAAGAGGTTTAGAAGCCTGGCCGTCAATACCCACAACAGTTATGGAGGCAAGGGAAACAGGACCTTGAAAAGAAGGTAATGTGGAGTGGGTAGGCTCCTTATTGATTAAGAAGGGGACGGGCTTACCTTCCACTGTGAGAGTTACCGGAAGCTCGGCATCCGTGATGGTCTACGGGGCTTCCGAGGCGATCGGGCAGCATCAGTCTTTAGCCGCTAAGCCGAGAAGATCTGGGAAGGAGTCAGTCAGAGAGCCTTGGGCCAGAGTTCCAGGGGCTCTGGGAATGGCTGCCAGGTGAGTTGAACAGTCCGATTTTCAGTGGGGTCCCACACAGATGGGACGTGGCTTAGGAGGAATCCTGGGCTGCGGGCATTCCTTGGCCCAGTAGCCAGATTTCCGGCATGTGTAGCAAGCTCCTGTGGGAGGAGGTTCTGGAGGAACTCCTGGCCGCTGCGGTTCAGGCGTTTGGAAGTTCTTGTGTGCTGGAGATGTGGCTGGGGTTTGTCTCACAGTGGAGGCAAGGAATTGCAATTTTTTCTGTTATTGTACACCTTGAAGGTGAGGTTAATTAAATCCTGTTGTGGGGTTTGAGGGCCAGATTCCAATTTTTGGAGTTTAATGTCGGGAGCAGATTGGGTAATAAAATGTATATTGAGAATAAGACGGCCTTTTGACCTTTTAGGGTCTAGGGCTGTAAAGCATCTCAGGATTGCTGCCAAACGAGCCATGAACTGGGCTGGATTTTTATATTTGATGAAAAAGCCTAAATGCTATCTGATTTGGGATAAAGAAAAAGGAGCATTAACCTTGACTATGCCTTTGGCTTTTTAAGAGTAAATTGCTGGGACAGGTTGGGGAGGGCTAGTCATGGAACAAAACTGCAAGCCGGACCAGGTGTGAGGAGGGGAGGTGAAAAAGAGATTATAGGGTGGAGGAGCAGAGGCTGAGGAAGAACTGGGACCTAGCTCGGCCTGGCGAGGAGCAGCCTGGGGAGGAAGGGAGAGGTCAGATGGGTCTGTAGAAAAGGAAGATTAGAAAGACTCAGCGATGCTTGGGGTTGGTACTGAGGGGACAGGCGGGAGGGAAAGAAGGAAGATTTGGGACGAGTTGCACTGGGCACAGAGACTAGGAAGGGACTGATGTGTAAAAGAATGCCTGGATGTCAGACACCTCAGACCCTTTGCCTATTTTACGACAAGAATTATTTAGATCTTGCAGGATGGAAAAATTCAAAGTGCCATTTTCTGGCTATTTGGAACTACTGTCGAGTTTGTATTGGGGTCAAGCGGCATTGCAGAAGAAAATAAGGCATTTAGGTTTTAGGTCAGGTGTGAGTTGAAGAGGTTTTAAGTTCTTAAGAATATAGGCTAAGGGAGAAGAAGGAGGAATGGAAGGTGGAAGCTTGCCCATAGTGAAGGAGGCAAGCCCAGACAAAAGAGTAGAGACACGGAGAAGGGGTTGGGGGTTCTTGCCCTCCAGAAAAGCAGAGAAGGGGTTGGGGCATGGAAATAAGGGATTGGGGCACAGAGATAAGAAGTTGGGGTGTGGAAATAAGCGATTGGGGGGTTCTTGCCCCCTAGGAAAGCGGGACTTGCCGCTAAGGGTGAAGGAGAAGGGGTTGAGGGGTACTTGCCCCTGCCCCAGGAAAGCAGAGAAGGGGTAGAGACAAGGAGAGAAGGGGTTGAGGTACTTGCCCCTTCCCCAGAAAAGCGGGACTTGCCGCTAAGGGTGAAGGACCAAGGCAGGCGTCCCTGCGTGGTCTGACACCCTTGAAACGTGGGTGTATAATCAGAGAGGCGTCCCTGCAATGATTAAACACGAAGGGAAGGCTGCCTTCCCAGTCCGTGACCGGCGCCGGAGTTTTGGGTCCACGGATAAAACGTGTCTCCTTTGTCTCTCCCAGAAAATGAAAGAAATTGAAATTAAGAGAAGGGAGAGATTGAAGAGTGGAAAGGATAAAGTGGTTGAGGGACAGTGAGAGAGGTTGGAGAAGAGAGTAAGAAGAGGCCACTTACCTGATTTAAAATTGGTGAGATGTTACTTGGGCTGGTCGGTCTGAGGACCTGAGGTCATAGGTGGATCTTTCTCATGGAGCAAAGAACAGGAGTACAGGGGATTGATCTCATAAGGGAGGTCCTCCGATCCGAGTCACGGCACCAAATTTCATGTGCGTCCCTGTGAAGAGACCACCAAACAGGCTTTGTGTGAGCAACATGGCTGTTTATTTCACCTGGGTGCAGGCGGGCTGAGTCTGAAAAGAGAGTCAGCCTACACTCTATTTTTGCAAAAGTCTTTGTGTGATGAACAAAAAGGTTGATTATGGAAGTCATTTTACACCGTAGGCAGAATGTTATTATTCTAATATGTGGTTTGGAGCTGGGGTGTGAAATTCTCCTTTACTGGAGATAGAAGAGAATGGAATGTTATTTCTCATTTGGGAACACAATTTTGGAAGAATGACCAACTTTTTAAAACAAAACCTCTTCCACTACTAAAAATCTTAAAAAATTAAAGAAAAAGAGCCAATTCTTTGATTTCCTTTTGTATTTTTCTTTTATCAAAACTTCCTCATGTTCTACTAAACTTTCTTTTTTTCAGGATGTCTATGTCTCTATTTCCCAGTTCCCCAGTTTCGTTCCCTCTTTTGCTTCTATTTGGCAAGGGTGACCAGTTAACCTTTGAAGAACAGCCTGGGAAAATTTCCAAGGTGCTTAGCCATAGACAATTTCATAGATTCCCTCTGCCTAACTGAAAGAAATAACAGGTTAAATCTGGAGCCACTGGGTAATGTCTAATTGCTTTTTGGCATAGCTCAACCAAGGCATAAGCACTCCTAGCTGGGTTTGGGCTTGATATTCATAGATGAACTATTTTTCTTTGTATATATTTTTAATGCAGATCAATGCAAATCAGTCCAGAGAAGTAAAATCGTTTCAGAAAAAATTATATATGTAGTGGACAATCATGGCTGCTCGTAATCATTCAACCATTGATTCTGTCACATCATTGGTTTTAGAGGGACAGTAGGCTTAGGTGGGCTAAGAAAAGCAGGGAATGATTGTGAGTTTTTCAGCAGCTGCAGATAACTTTCTTTGTGTAGAGCACTTAATCTCTTAGAGTTTCAGTTTACAGCTCTGTAAAAATTAGTAGAGCGCAGCAATACTAACTGACCTCTGAAGTGATTTGGTGAAATACTATTAAAATTTTGGAAAGTAAATATCAAATGCTAGACAAACATTTAAGAATAACCCTTTTCTCTTTAATGGTTTCAAGTCCTGAGCTTTTCTCTACTTCCTGAATGATCTTTTTCCTTCTCTGCATCATCCTTTGTATATAATGTACAGTGCCTCAGCAAGGCTAGCTGAATGTTTGTGTTGTAGATAAATGCTCCTTTTCAATGCTCTGAGCCTGCATCCTATAACATGCCTGTGAATGATCTAATTCACTGGTACACAACTCTCAGGAGTATATGTTTTCAACAGAGTGAGTAGTACAGGCACAACTACCTACAGACCTTACTCCCTGTATGAATAAACATAGAAAAAATACTTGATTCTGGTAATAGCACATTTTAAGTCATTTGGATTCTAGAAAATGCTTATTTCTGAAGCTTTACTTATTCATCCAACAATTATATATAAATTTAATGTTTGTATTCCTTCCTTTTTAGTTTTGGGAATTAATAGAGTATTAAAGAAGGGAAGTAAGTTCTATATTCTTAGTTGGAAGACTTGTATATAAGTAAACAAATTATACAATAATGTCAAAAAATCCATAAATGCTTTATAGATAGCAAAATAGGGTTGCATGAGACCCCATGAAAAGGATAGCTACTTAGATTGAGTGGCCAAGGAAGGCTTTCTGAGTGGTGGCAGTTGCTTAAGAGCTGAATGATAAAAAAATATAAACCATCAGATGAAACATTTCCATCTGCTGCCACCACCATGTCTCTCCACCTCGGGAACTCTGTCCTCTTCCTTGTTGCTATTGATGATCTCTCCCTGTGTGTCTCCCTCCCTTGTCAACTGGATTCTAGCTTCTTGTCCCCACTCAAGGGAATCACACAATTATTTCCTTGCTTTTCTGCAAAAACAAATATTCACTTTCTAATAGTCCATTCTTATTGAGACCTAAGCATAATTGTAATTTTTCTTCTATCTTGAAAAATATTCTGACTCTACATCCCTTTCCTATTACAATCTCAATTATCCACTTTTTTAAATTGAACATTCCTTGAAAATTTTCCTTTTTGTCTCTATAGTCTGTTTGGGAGCCACTCCAATTATGCTTTAACCCTCAGCACTCATTGAAGCAGCTCTTATCAAGGTCACTGATAACCACAATGTTGATAAGGATGGTGCTCATTTATCTAAACCTGACCTATCAGTAGCAGTTAACAGAGTGGATCACCCTCCTTGAAACACCTGCTTCAACCTAAACTAAGGACACCATGCTGTGGAGATTCGTGCCCACCTCACTGCCTGCTCCTTCTCCTGTCCTTGGATCCCTTGCTCTCATTTTCTCCACATGTTGGAGTTACCTGTGGCTCAGCTCGCACCCTTACTCTTCTCCATTTATATTCACCACTTAGGTAATTTCATGGATTTAAATTCCATCTCTATATTGGTGGCTTCCTAACCTATCTCCCCAGCCTGAAGGCCTAGGCTCTTTTATCCAAATGGTTGCCTGATACGTCCAAAGGCAAGTCTAAGAGTATCTCAACTTAGCATATCCCAAAAAATCCCTGCAGCCTTAGAAAATAATTTGTCCCTTTGATGAAAAAGGGAAACGTGAGAGATAAAATGGTTTTATGAGAGAAACTGAAGCATTCAGTTTTGGACCACTGTTCCCAGGGTCACCGGCATGCTGGGCAAAATTTCAAGAAACTATTAGGGCCAGAGTCAAAGACTTAGAGAAATGCTTCTTATTTTCACAGCATCACAGCTGTTAGAGATATGATTTTTGTTCTTCTCTTGGCCATCTACCAGTGTGAACTTCGGAATCTAGAAAAGAACAAAATTTTTTTTGGATGTGTATGTGAGTATGTGTGTGTGTTTATATTACATTTTTGAAACAACTTCTATCATTTTGGGTGGGCAATATATGATGAATAGGTCTACCCAGCCTACTTATACTATAGCAAACTTTCAATCATTTAAGAAACATTAAATTACTTAAGAAGAATTAATTGAGCTCCAAATAACCACCAACATTGTGATATATATTGAAAATATAAAATACTATGATGTATTATCTGATATTAAAAGCTACAGTCTCTGAGAAGACTTATAAAGTAAATAGTGTTATAAATGGAATGTATAGTAGTAGGTGTTTACCAAATGTGATTTGAAATGAATAAGTTTTAGCTCTAAATACTAACAATATACCAGGAGGCTATAGTCTTATATTGCTTGAAGGATGTGAAATTTGCTATTGTAAGTCAGTTTAACTAAAACATCTCCTAAAATAATTCAACAGAGACAAAAACTGTCTGATATGCCAAATTTAGATATTCTCTTGGTTCATTATAAAAATTAAATTGCTTTTTATTGGTTAGGTTGATGTTGAATATGATATTCAATTTGAAAATGTCAGGGGAAAACTCAGAAAATAAAACTTGTAGGGTATATATCCCATATAATTCTAATTAGAGAGTTGTTTTGTATTCTATTTATATTTAATACAAAACAAAACAAAGAACATTAACAGTTTTCTGCATGAAAAGATTTAAGGTAAATAAAGAAATGAGAACCTTATACATAGGTGAGCTTACTTCTTTTAATTATAATTTTTAAAGGAAAAAGCCAATTAGAGTGCATCGAGCTTGGAGAAACTAAAACATTTGGATACCACATTTGTGTGTTTTTTTAAACGCTTCAAGCTCCCCAAGTTTATGAGCCCAGGACAAACACAATTAAAGTCATTGGAAAAAAACATGGAGCTATTTTGGGATGAACTTTTAATAAGTCAAAGTTTTATACATTAGGGAACAGCTTATAGAGATGTGTGGTTTTAAGAGTATGAAAATAGGGAATGAGGAAAAGTGAGGCTAGAAAAGTTTGTGACCACTGACCAACATATGTGTTACTGCCCCCATCCTTGACACAGGGTTCATGGTTTACGTTTACAAAGACTAAGCCACTTAGCTAAGTGGAGAATCACCTGCTAAATCATGGTGAATTCTTCACTGGTTTTCTGGTAGACTGTTCATTGTGTTTGCTTTCTGGGGTCAACATGCCTTCATTTTCTCACTTTCTGCTACTTGTGGGTTTGCAAACAATACCAAATTCTTCTAGCAATCCTTTCCAGAAATGGTTTCTGTAGCTCTGAGCCAGTAAAGAAGACTCAACTTTCTCTTGTGATAAATGTCTTCCTTGTTTCTCCTTAGAGACTTCCCATCTCTGGTGCTCTGCTGACAGCCCTCTTGACATCTGCTTCAAGCCACTGCTTCCTATCTCAGGAGGGAAGCTGGGAATTTTGATTTGTAAAAGGGTGCTCTTCATTGAAGCTAGGGTTTTTTCACAGCTTTTATATACAACCTTATCTGTCTCTGGAAATGTGATCTGCATGATAGATGTGAACATATGAGTTGAATAATCTGTTCTTTCTTCTCTTTGGATCATCAGTTTTCCCCATGTTGACTGGGAAACTTGCAGATATCTGTAGAGCTGGCATTTTCAGTGGAAAGGAAGAACTGAGTCCCAGGTTGTAACTGGCTGGAAGCCTGTAGTGGGCCCAACATTATGATTGATGTTGGAAATGCATCATATAAGAGAAAAACATTCTCCTCTAAGGGTTATGCTTTTATTGAATTGCCATTTGCTTCCCGCTGTCCTTATCCTAACTCTGTCTAAAGCTCCATTTCTGAAATAGTGTCCTTCCTCTCATTTGTCTCAGAGAGCCATAGTCAAACATCATGAAAAAGCACTGGGAACTAAAGATGCCTTTAAACTGAGAGGGCTACTCAGCAGGGATCCAGGATTTCAAATCTCTGCCAGGAAGTGGCTTCAGACGCTTGAAGCCTGAAGATGGAAAATCCTAACCCTTGGTTTTGCTTCAGGTTCCAGCAAGTAGGAACAGAGTTCCCATAAAATGAAGCTAAGGTCACTGGCAGAGTGCAATGGGTTAAACTGACATGACCGGAATTGGACAGTGAGCACTGCTGGCCCCATCTCGGAAACGAGGTAATTAGCAAGTCCTGTTCCAAGTCTCTCCTTTGTCCTTGTGACTTTATGCACTTAATTGTAAATTATCTTTCCTCCTCTCAGTTTCCACTGTGTGTGTGTGTGTGTGTGTGTGTGTGTGTGTGTGTCGGTGAAGCGATTCAAGGAGAAGTGCTGGGACTGAGCTCCCACTGTAAAAACAAAAAAAGCAGTGCTCAGTGCCTGTGAGGGCCCGCTCATGCCGGGCACTGGAGCTGGTGACATTATGGAGCTTGTTAACTCCAAATCTTCTTCGTTTTACATTTTTTTGTGATACATTTTGCAAAAACCCACCCCGGGGAGAGAAGGGCCAGTTGCCTCTTTATTACACTGTGGAAGAGGCACATTAGCGTTCCAGTCTATATATTATGAAATTAAGTGGATACCCTTGGGGTTAATTCCTTGTTGTAATTGTAATGAAAAGAAACAATTTCTAACCCTCCATTTAAGATCTATAGCTATTAAAATCCACTAGTCTTAGTGACTCCTGGGGCCAGTGGAGTGCTTCAGTGTGTATGAAAAGGGCACTCCTACAGTGTCCAATATCAGTAATTTACAAAAATAACCACCTCCAAGTGGGAAAACTAACAAACGAGTTTTCCATTTAGCTCCTCCCTGCTGTTTACCCATGGTGTGTTATATTCATCAGCTGTGTGAATTTGTGTGCGTATTAAAACTTCAGGCCTGGGTTTTAGGATTTTGGTTGGGTAAGAGGAGGGGAAGGGTACAATGTGATGCTCTTCAGGAAGAAGTTTAGAGTGAATCATCCTAAAGGACAAAGTTGAAAGAACTGAGAAAGAGGACCAAGTTAGAGAAAACTAGCATGTTGCCTGCTCCTCTGGCAAATCCAGAGCCTTTTCTGCTTGTCTTAGAGTGGTTTTCACATGTGCTTTCAATTGCAAATAAATCTATATTTTGCTCTCTAATATTTAGCCTACTATAATTCAGTATATTGTTAGTGGCAAAAAATGTACATTCAGTATATGACATCTGATTTAATTTCTTTATTACAGCTATTAAGGCCATTAAAATACCAAATTTACTAGTGTATTATCATCTGACATGGTGTAAATCACTGGTAGGTACATGCACAGTGGATGATGACAATAATTTAAAATAAAAGAAAGGGACGTTTCAGTTTATAATAGAGTTAGTGTGTGAAAAAGACTTTGTGAGGCTTCTAAGATTTCTGGTGGGAGTTCTTTTTAATAAATGTATTTGTTTAGTTGTGGCTGATACGATCATAGCTCTTTTATTTCTCTCCTTTCACTCATCATAATATGAACTGCTTTAGAAGAAAGAAAACGCAGTTGCATGCTTGACAGAAAAAGAGCAAACTAAGAAATAATTGTTGTATTTTTAAAAAATTCCATTCTATTGCCTCAGGAAATGTGATAAAAGGTTCTATTTAGAGGTTTTTTTTTTAAATAATGCATCATATTATATGTCACAACTTATTGGGCAAAAGTTTTATTTTGGGTGAATAGTTCCTGTTAATTCATGCAGCATAGCTCCTGGTGACTTTCTGTATATGTGTGTGTCTCAGAATGCTCGTGAAAAGTCATTAATCCTTTGCTGTTCTTTTGCCATTTGCAAATTTTGGCATTCCCAGATTTGACTCCTATGTAATCATTTCAGAATGCCAGCAGAGGGCTGGTAATGGCCCATCATGTTTAGGTCACTGGCTTGTGTTGAACCAGGCAGGTGGTCTAAGTGAAATTAGCAGGCTTGTCTCAAGTCAGTTCCCACTTTCCTCCAGTCCACTCAAACAAACCATTTTGCCAGTCTCATTTCTGAGCTTCTCTCTCATCCTTAATTGGCCACTTCAGAGAGGAGAAGATTTTTGAGACACTTCAACATGAATATGGCAGTAGAAGGAAAAACTGCTTTGTGTTGAACTCTACCTGGGACTATCGAACTCCTAATGATTTTTTAATTTTGAAATTTTAACTTTTGAAACAATGTTAGACTTACAGAAAATTTGCACAAACTGTGCAGGCAGTTTGTGTGCCCTTCATCCAGCTTCCCCCTAATATTAACAAGTTACATAAACATGATACAATTATCAAAACCAGAAAGTTAAAATTGCTATAATACTAGTAAATGAATCATGGTATATTCAAATTTCTTTAAATTCAAGATTATTCAAATCTTAGCAGTTTTTTCCTTAATTTTTTTTCTGTCCCAGGGTCCAATCCAGGAATCCACATTGCATTTAGTTGATTTTTCTTCTTATTCTCCTCTAATCTGTGACAGTTCCTCAGCCTTTCCACTCTCAGTCTCTCAAACTTGGCTTGCTGATATTTTTTAATCATTGGATTAAGGTTATGCATCTTAAGCAGAAATACCACAGATGTGATGTGTCCTTCTTGAATGCTGAGTATGCTGTACATGATGTAGGTAAGTCTTATTATTAGCAATGTTGACCATGATGGCTTGCTTAAGGTAGTGTCTGCTGCGTTTCTCCACCATAAAGCTACTACTTTCCTGATACAGTGGTTTTCACATTCAAAATTATAAGACCATTCCAAGGAGGTATCTGTTTGTGTGTATATTTCAAGAAGGAAAAAGGAAGAGCTGCCCTTCTCTTTAAGTCTTGCATTTACAAAAGTCTAAACTTATTTATTTATTTAAGCAATCTTCATTTTTCTATCTAGCTAGTATTGAAGGTGCTTGTCTTAGTTCAGGCTGCTATAACAAAGCATAAATTGGGTTGCTTATAAACAACAGTAATTTAGTTCTCACAGTTCTGGAGACTGGAAGTCCAAGAGCAGGGTGCCAGCATAGTCAAGTTCTCATGAGGTCCATTTTCTGGATACAGACTGCCAACTTTTCACTGTGTCTCACATAGCGGGAAGAACGCGAGAGAGCTCACTGGGTTCCTTTTATAAGGGCACTAGTTCCATTCCTGAGCGCTCCACCGTTATGATCCAATTTCTCACAAAGGCCCACCTCTTCATACCATCACATGGAGGGTTAGAATTTCAAAATGTGAATGTTGGTTAATCCGTTGCAATGCTCAAATAGTTGAAGTAAAATTATCCTTAGTTTTGTGGTCCTACAACCATAATTATAATGTTGGCACATGAGAACAATGTAAGTGCTTGGAGGCAAGAAACCTCTAAACCTGGGCCAATGGAAGCTATTGACATTAATTGCTGGGCCAAGCAAATGAATGAAATTTGGAATACAATTTGAGCTGTATTCCTGAAATCGCTTTTTAATTTTACTAACATGATGGGCTGAATGTTTGTCCTCCTGTATTAGTTAATGTTCTCCAGAGAAACAGAATAATACACACACACACACACACACACACACACACACTCCAAACATATATATGTATATATATGTGTATATACATATATACATATACATCCACATAGACATCTTTCTCTCTCGCTCTCTCTCTCTCGACTGAATTATACTATAGGCTTTCTCAGGCCTTGCAATTCAGACTGAATTATACTATGGGCTTTCCAGCTTGCAGACAACCAATGGAACCACTTGGCCTCTGTAACCAGTCATGTGAGCTAATTCCCATAATCTACCTCTCTCAGGAATTAGCTCACATGACTGATTACAGAGGCCAAGTGGTTCCATTGGTTGTCTGCAAGCTGGAAAGCCCATAGTATAATTCAGTCTCAGTTGCAAGGCCTGAGAACCAGGGCAGACAATGTTGTCAGTCCCGGTCTGTGTCTGAAAGCCTGAGACCTGGGGTGGGAGGGTGCTGGTGTAAGTCCTAGAGTCTGAAGGCTCAATAACCAGGATCTTCAATGTCCAAGAACAGGAGACAGTGGATATCTCAGCTCAAGAAGAGAGAGAATTTTCCTTTTTTCTATCTCAATAGATTGGATGATGCCCTCTCGCACTGGTGAGGGCAGATCTTCTTTACTTAGTCTACAGAGTCAAATGCTAATCTCTTCTGGATACCTCCTCACAGGCATAGCCAGAAATATACCAGCACCCTCTCACTCTCTTTTTGCCATGTGAGAATACCATGAGAAGTCAGCCTTTTACAACACAGAAGAGAGTTCTCACATTGGTACCCTGATTTCAGACTTGCAGCCTCCCTAACTTCCAGTCTCCAGGGAGAAATATATTTCTGTTATTTATAAGCCACCCAGTCTATGGTACTTTGTTATAGCATACTAAACTAAGGCAACTACTTTGTGTAATTTATAAAATATGTTTCTGTCTGTACCACTGTACTGTGATCCCCAGGAGGTTGGGAATTGTGTGTCATCTCTCTTTGAACCTGCAATATGTGGCAGAATACCTGCCATACTAGGTGACTAATATGTGTTTATTAAGTAAAAGAATACATGCTCAGTAGGGAGAAGGTAGAAATTAAAGGGACCAGCATTTAGCCAAAGAAACTCATGACTAGACTAAGACAGTCACAGGGATCTATAATCATGATATGTGTCACCATGGAGTGTATCTTGTATTTTGTACACTTGTGGGAAAAGACTATGTGCACCCTGTTTACTGTTTTATTCGTAGTTCCTAAGACAGTTACATGGAACATTTTAGGCAACTAATGGATGTTGGCTGTATTAGTTTTCTATTGGTGCCATACAAATTACCACAAATTTAGTGGTTTAAAACAATATTTCTTATCCTACAGTGATGTGGGTCAGAAGTTTGACACAGAGATCTCATTGAGCTAAAGTTAAGATATTGGCAGAGCTGTATTCCTTTATGCAGGCTCATTGAGGTTATGGGCAGAATTCAGTCCCTCGTGACTCTAGGATTGAGGTTCTTATTTCCTTTCTGGCTGTCAGTTGAGGGCTGTATCCAGTTTCTGAAGGCTTCATCCCCGCCTTGGCTCATACCTCCTTCCTCCATCTTCAAAACTAGCAGTGGCGTGTTGAATAGGATTCTCTCTTCCCTCTTCTTTTGTTGTTACATCTCTCTGACCCTTCTACCTTTCTTTTCCACTTTTAGGGTCCATGTGATTCCATTTGACTCACCAAGACAATCCAGGATTATCTTTATATTTTAAGGTCTGTGTGGTAAGCAGAATAATTATTCCTCAAAGATGTCCATATCTTAATGCCTGGAATCTGTGAATATGTTAAATTATATGGCAAAGGACAATTAGGGTAGAAGAAGAAATTAGGTTGTTAGTTTGCTGTCTTTAAAATGGTAAGAGCAGCCTGGATTATCCAGGTGGGTCCAATTTAATCACACGGGTCTTAAATGTGGAAGAGGCAGTCAGAAGAGTCAGTGTCAGGGTAATGGGCTGTGAGACGCTCCGCCAGCCACTGTCAGTTTTGAAGAGGAAGGGAAGCCAAGAGCTAAAGACTGCAGTTAGCCTCTACAATCGGAAGAAAGCAAAAAAATGGATTCTACCCTAGAAAATGGATTCTACCCTATAGCAGCTAGGAAGGAATTCAGCCCTGCTAACCCCCAGGAGACCCATTTTGGACTTCCAACCTTCAGAACTACAAGATAATAAGCCTGTGTTGTTTTAAGACACGAAGACTGTGGTGATTTGCTATACCAGCATAGAAACCAATGCAGTCCATAACCTTTTTTCCATCTGCAAGTTTCTTTTTACCATGGAACATAGCATAGCAGACATCTTTGGTGGGACAGTGGGGTGTGTCATTATTTGGCTTACCACAGTAGAAGAGGGACTAAATGAGATTAACATTGTTAGTAGAAGAAGAGTAATAGAAACAACACAGGTGGCAGTGATCTCTTTCTACAGTATTTTGAAAGCTACATGCTACATTCTTGTGCTTGTGCTTTACATATTATAGATTAGGTTGATTTCATTCTGTTTTTCAGATGTGGTAAACGAAGAATCAGAGGGCTTAAGTAATTTGCATAGTTGATAAATGGCAGTTAGAATTTTATTCTTTGATTTTCAAACCTATTTCCTTCACCACCATCCCCAACCCTTTAAAAAATTTTGATCTAATACTTGTGGCAAAAAAAAAAAAAACAAACCAAAAAAAAAAAAAACCAACAAATTGAATGGTAAAAATTTCCTCTGGCCCAATTCCCTTTCTGCTTTTCTATTAAACACTAGCCTTTGAAGTCTTGGAATGGCAAATCAGAACTAAAAGGTAAAAACAGCCAAGAATAGATTAAATAGACCATAAATTGAGAAAGTAAAGATACATTGAGACACTTATTAATATTTTAAAATGAGAAAATAAATATGTGAGCAGTAGAATCACCGAATTTTCCTTCTTGGGGCTGTAAAGTTTTCGACGGTTATGTTTACCTCTTCAAATTACACAGGTGGCCTTAGAACCTGTTTGGATTTGGAACTGAATTAGTAAAAGAGGCTAATTATGAAATGAGTATTACTGCAATTGATTATCACTGGGCCAAGGATAGAAAAAAATCCTGAGAGATCATAAATTCAGAGAAATTATGACCACATTAAGAACCTGCTCAAGTTGTTATAGAAACTCTTAGAAATGCTCTCCAGTGAGGTTACAACCACAGGATCACAGAATTGTTACAACTGAAGTTACATTTATTAGGTTGGGCAAAGATTTTCTTGCTTTTGGACTAGTCATGAAATCATGACTTCCCTCAGACTTTCCTGTTTCTGCTGGGCTATGTATTTGTTACTGTGGTGCTGTTGACATCCTCAGGGCCAGCAATCAGTGAAATCCATCCAACCACTGAACAAAGATCCTTCTGAGAGCAGCTAACAGATTATGTGTCAGATCATTCCTGCCTCTGATATTCTGCCAGATCTACTGTATAGAAAACTGTAAATATCTGAAGGCTGCCTTTCATTTGTGATCCCCTTATTCAGGGTGTAATATGTCTGTTGTGTACTTCCACTATTGGACATTGTCTCAGCTTCCAAATATTAGGGCTAAAAAGTTCTTCGATTTTTCCAACTGCTTCTTGTTCCTCAGTGCTCCTTTACAAAAAAATCATTAGATCTTCTTAAATGAAACTTTTGATAAATGTACTTTTGTACTGAAGTTAAACCACTAACATATATTTTAGATTAATCCTCTCACCTCCCACACCCACTTTTCAGGTATAGATGTCTGATATAGAAGTATATTATTGCTTATGGGGTTTGAAAGCTTGATTGAGCCCATTTCAGGATTTCTTTATCCTGATTAAAGAGTCCAGAAGAATGGTAAGTCATATTCAGAGTTTGCGACTAGTGATAATGTTGAACTGTATTGGGAATAACACGTGTTAATCCAAACAGAATTACAGTTGACGCTTGAACAACATGGGGGTTAGGGATGCTCACCCCTGTGCAGTCATATAATTTTTGTTCACATATAATTTTTGAATCCCCCAAAACTTAACTACTAAGAGCTACTACTGACTGGAAGCCTTACCAGTAACATAAATAGTCAATTAACACATATTTTATCTGTTACATGTATTATATACTATCCTCTTACAATATAGTAAGCTAGAGAAAAGAGAACATTGTTATTAAAATCATAAGGAAGAGAAAGTATATTTACCATTTATTAAGTGGGAGTGGATCATTATAAAGGTCTTCATCCTTGTCATCTTCATGTTGAGTAGACTGAGTAGGAGGAGAGAGAGGGGAAATTGGTCTTGTTCTTTCATGGGTGGCAGAGGAAGAAGAGGTGGAGAAGGTGGAGGGGGAGGCAAGGGAGACAGGCACATTATGTGTAAGTTTAATTTTAAAAAATCACGTATAAGAGGACCTGTGCAGTTCTAACCCATATTATTCAAGGGTCAACTATACGCTTTCCGGTAATTCTTGAGTGGTTTAATTCTTGATGGCCATCAACTTTTCTCAGAAATGGTACTGTCTAAGTAACTCTGTGGATTTATAGACATTTAAAAAGAATAAGAAGCTCAGAAATGAATATTATTGGCTAAGTACAGATTGAGAAATGTAGGACTTATTCCAATTTTTGTTATAATCTCTGCAGGAGTTTATAAACTAGGACATATCTTCTGGACTTGTCTCTGAACACAGCTTGTTTGACCTTTAAACTGGCCACTACATTCAATAAAACCAAGTGTCTGATGGTTGTTTTTCTAGATTGATTGGCCAACTTAGTGAAATAAGATTTTGTCCACTCTACATGCAGACACTGCCCACAAAACCTATGAGATGGGGAGAGCCATACCCTTTTTTGAAGCAAAGCCATCTGTATTAGTGTTCTTCAAAGAAACAAAACCAATAGGAGATATATACAAAGATATTTAAGGTAAGAATTGGGTCATGTGATTACAGAAGTTGACAAATCTCAAAGTCTGCAGGATAAGTCAGCAAGCTGGAGAGCCAGGGGAGCCAATGGTTTAGCTCCAGTCTTAACCTGAAGGCCAGAGAACCAGGAGAGCTGATGGTGTAGCTGTAGTCTGGTGAATGGCTCAGGTGTAGTTGCAGTCTGGTGAAGACTCAGGAAGAGCTAATGTTTTTGTTTGAGCCCAGAGGCAAGAAAAAAAGCCAGTGTCCCAGTTTAAAGGCAATTAGGCAGGAAGAATTCTCTGTTAATTGGGGGAACTTCAGCCTTTTTGTTTTATTCAGGCTTTCAAGTGATTGGATGAGGCCCACCCACGTTACGGATGGCAATCTGCTTTACCCAGTCTACTAATATAAAGGTTAATTTCATCCAAAACCACTGTCACAGAAACACCCAGGATAGTGTTTGATCAACTATCTGGGCATCCAGTGGCTCAGTCAAGTAGACACATAAAATTAGTCATCAGTTTTCAAAAGTGTAGAGTATTTTAAAGTGCTTTAAAAAACATCACATTTTACCAACTCTAAACTCAACCCCAGTAATCTGTCTGGGGTACTCTTATTATTACTATTTTTAAACATAAGAAAGTATATGTGACAGGGTTCAGATCATACCAATAGTCGAAGAGACAATGAAGGTCAAGATATTTGCTTCCTTGATCTACATGAATCTCAAAGAATAACACAAGTATTGATCTGTGTTATGAAAATTTCAGAGAAGAGGTGTGGAAATCTATAGCCTGTGATATTTTCTCATTGATAATTCCTTCTCAGGGTGGCCCTGTGCTCTTGATATGCCATGTTTGTGCCATAGCTCTCTCTGCTCCATGGAAGTCTTCTCGTGCCAGCCTGTGATGGCTGCCCTCAGCATATTTTCTGCAGTCGTGACCTCTCCTTGTGACTCTATCAGCTCATGTGGCTGCTGCTTTGTCATTCTGTTGGCATCTGAGGAGAGGACACCACAGATCCTGTCCCTAAATGCTTCAGAAATGATGATTAGAGGGAGAACTGTCAGTGAGTCATTGTGGAAAATGATTTTTCTGTAAGTAAGAAGGAGAAGTGTGTTGTTGAAGATTATAAACCCCACCATAGCATCAAAAACCTGACTATTTAAAGTATACATGGCAGTTTTCAAAAGAAGAGATGAGCTCAGTGGGATTCTTGGTTGTTATGCATTCAATCTTAAATGGATTTGGGGGGAGAAAAAACACCATTTGGTTATTTTAAAGAGTTTAAGGTGCTAAGAAAAATAAATGTTATTTATAAATACTCAAACTTTTGAATATTCTGCCTACATTTTCTACATTTTACTTCTATTACTTTTGTTGATCAGCTTATCTTCTCCCTTAGAATACTTTCTCAGTGATTTTTTTAAAGTCTTAAAAACCATATTGCCACACTCCTACCACCAAAACACAATTAACTTATTTTTATAATCCTATCTAAAATGTATTTTTATTATGTATAATTCTATGTAGCTGTAATTAAAAACTCATATCATTTTAAGATATCAATTGTTAATACTTGGCTCCATTGAAAGGAAGTTTTTCTTCTTCTTCCTTTGGAAAAGGTTTCTATTCCATCTCTAATCTATCCAATGTCAGCCATGAGTATATGGTAAAACTGATAGGTGTGATAAGCAAAGAGTTTCTCAGTTTATTCCATGATTTCAAGTAAATATAATGTGATGCATCTGTTGTTATAGAGGCAATCAAAATGCTTTGTCAGATCCATTCAATGATGAAGCTTGTTGAGATGAGCCCCTAGGGTGATATAGTCTTATAAAGTATTACATATTTGAATATATATATATATATATATATACTTTAAAATACAAGAGTATATTTTAAACTACACATATAACATATATAATAAATATATATATATAATGTAGGTAAAATATATTATATAATATATAATATATGTATTTAAAAATATACTCTTGTGGAAAATAAGTTAGATGCCATGGTAACTTTTGATTCAGTCTTTAGGAGGAGCTATTTTAATTAAAAATAAAGTCTTTCAGAATAGTCTTTTAGTAAGTAATATGGCAAACTCTGTTATCTATTTCTAGGACAGTGCAGTTTGCATGACAATTATTGAACTCCCCAGGCCCAGTGATGTTTGTGTGCTTAGTGAATGCCTCTAACTTGACAAATATATTTTAAATAAAACAAATTTTGATTTTGGAACTTGGTGCCAGAAGACATCATTGAAGGTGGAAACATATGGCTATGACTGGAGTCTGGTTCAGGGCCCTGAAGTTTTAAAATCCTAATGCTTCCTGCAGAAATGGAGCTCTGAGAAGGGAAATGAAAGAATTATCCTTTCTTGATACCCCAGAGTACTGCACTATCAAGTGCATTATGGTGGTTTTATACATTCTCAAGAGGGTCATTAGTTTATTTCTCTACAACAATTTTTATGTTTTTTAATGTACATCAGTGTGGAAGGAATATCTAACTAAATTATTTATAAGGACCATAAAAGATTGCTTTTCCTCTTAAAATTGTGTTATGAAAATGAGTCTTCACATAGCTTTATTGCTGATGTGTTTTCAAGATTTTTTCTTTTTGTGAAAAATATATTTTCTTTTAAAAGTATTAGCCATTTTACTTGTCTTTTCTCATTAATGAAAAGAAAGCCATTGTTAAAGGTCAATTGAGAAGAGAGCAAACTCCCAAATTATCTCCAGACATGATGAATTTAACCCTAAAGCTACCTACAAAATCCAGTATCAACTACAACAGAAAGGGTTTTCCTATTCACAACTGAAGACGACTTTCTGTAGCTATAATCTAAGATAATTATTAAAAAAGTTTTAAAATTCTAAATTGGCAGTAAACCAATCGTAAAAGACCTCTCACTATTCCCTTTCTAGCTCTGCCTAAAATGCTTATTTTAGTCCCCTAAAATAAGCACATTGTATCCCCTAAGGAATTTATGCTGTGATTTTTTGTGACTTACTGTGCTACCCATTGATAACACATACAGATATGTATCTGCTAGGAGCGCCAAGTTATACTGTAGTAACAAACAATCTTTAATTCTCATTGGTTAAATACATCAAAGTTTATTTCTCTCCCAATGCAGGGCAGCATAGAGCTCTGCTCATTGTAGTTACTCAGAGACCCAGACTAGGAAGGTTCGATCTCAACCATGTGGCAGGAAGAAGGAAATGTGGTGAATTTGGCATTAGCTATTAAATCTTGCAGCTGAAAGGGATGCATTTTACTTCCCCTCACATTTCACTGGACGGAGCAAGTAATAAGGTTATGCCTAAATTTGAAAGGGTCAGGAAAATGAGAAATATGGTGAATGGTCTTAATGACTGTGATAACATATTATCTATATATGCATGTGTGTGTATAAGCATGAATCTGTGATGGAAAGCAAGCTGGCTTAGGTAAGATAGAGCTAGGATTATGATGGAAGGAAACTGCCGACAAATTCCATGGGTTGTAGAGATTAAATATTTTAAAATAATTTTTGATTTACAGAAAAATATGAGGATATTACAGAGTTCCTGTATACTCTACATTTAATTTCCTATTATTACATTTATATTAGTATAGCAACTAATAATCAAATACTGAAATGCTATTTTTAACTAAAGTCTATACTTTATTCAGATTTCCTTAGTTTTTACCTAATGTTCTTTTTCTGTTCCAGGATCCCATATTGCACTTAGTAGCTATGTCTCCTTAGGCCCCTCTTGACTGTGACAGCTTCTCACCATTTGCTTGTTTTTGATGACCTTCACAGTTTTAAGGAACACTGGTCAGGCTTTTATGGAATGTCCTTCAAATGGATTTTGTCTGATGTTTTCTCAAGCCTAGACTGGAGTTATGGGTTTTGGGAAAGGTGATCACAGAGGTAAAGTGCCATTTTCATCATATAGCATCAAGGAAAATAATATCAACATGATTTATCACTATTGTTATTGACCTCGATGACCTGGTTGAGGTAGTGTTTCTCGTTTCTACACTGCAATCTTTCTCTTCTTTCTATTTTTTCATATTGTACCTTTGAAAAGAGTCACAATGAGCAGCCCACCCTTATGGAGTGGAGAGTCATGCTCTATTTCCTTGATGAGTGTGTATCTATATTATCTATATAAATTATTCAGAATTCTTCTGCATGAAAGATTTGTCTTCTTCTATGTATTTGTTTATTTCTTATTTATTTGACATTTATTTATAGTAATATAGACTCATGTATATTTATTTTATGCTTTGGGTTATAATCCAATGCTACTTAATTTTTGTTTTCTCAAATAGTTCCACCTTTGGCCACTGGGAGCTCCTGTGTCTCCATAAGATACCCCATCAGCATTTATTTATTTTATTTATTTAACATTTTCTTACTTTCTGCTACAGTTGTAGAGATTATGCCTCTAAAAGTTGAGTTCATGGTCCGAATGAGCCATCTGTTAAAATAATTTCAATAATTTCATATATGTTCCTTTTCACTTTGTTGCCTGGTCTTTGCTAAGAAATATAGGAAGGTGTCAAAACGCCTGTCAGATAAATGGATCCATTAAAACTGGCACTGACTTGAAGTGCAATGAACAACAAAATTCCTTTTTCTACAAGAGATTACAAAGTCCAAAAGGGAAAAAATTGCTAAGGGCTAGGTTGGCTAAATCAGTTGTTTCTGCCCTAGAGAGACTATCTTCTTTCTAGCTGTAGTAGCTGTAGGAATAACAACCCAATGGGCTCCTTCATTGTCTAGCATAGTTGCAGGAAAAGGGAATCTAACCTGCATTAAGATATTGAGTGTCCTGATGACATTTTCTTTTTAAAATACAGCATCTATTTAAAATTTAGCTTCTGTGTAAGGTACAACAGTTGTGTAATTAAGTAGCTTATTTATTATAGTGGTAATCATTTATATTTTTGCTCTGGAAGGCTAAGGTTTAAACAAAAATCATTCCACCATTCTTGCCCTATGGTACTAGCAGACTGTAATCTCTGACTCTTTCTCTTGCTTTTTCTGTTACAAAGGAAGCAATTGCTAAAGCTGTTCATAAATGAAAGGCTTTTTATTAAGCATTCACTTAAATTGTGATTTGGTTTTGTTGCCATAGCATGGACTGTCACTATCAGCTCGGGCCATAAAGACTTTGGATAACTGGTAGACAGTAATCATCACCAATCTGGGCTACATGTTTTAATTGTCAGTTCAGGCCTAGAGAACTCCAACTTGCTTCACATCTGCCAGCAGATATCCTTAGGCATGGGAATATCACTGCTATTGGAATATATCAGTTTTTTTTTTGTTGAAAAATATTAGAAGTATACCAAAGGGACATGAGGTAAAGTGACTTTTATTTTAACTGGGATAAAGGACATTGGATAGAAACATGATGAATGGTCAAAAACAGTTGGATTCCTTGTTTACAGGCAAAGTAGTTCAGAACTACTTCACACTGGAGAGTACTCTTGGAATTGGGTGAGAAGGGACATGGGCCAAGAATAGACTCTCAGGCCTGCAAGTGAACATTTCTAGAGAGATTTATTCTTCCGTGTGTGCTGTAGAAAAGTGAAGGGAATGTGGCAGAACATGCGATATCAGTTGGTTTCTTCCATAGCTGAATCCCACATCATTAAGGGCCGGCCTTGAAAATGAAACAGCACTTTAAATTGGTTGCTAAGTTGTGCTTGTAACTAGCAGAGAGAACAAAGGTTTTGGGCAAACGTGTTCTTGGCGGCCTATGCTACCTTGTAAGAGGGTTGATGTTTTCTACATTGTATAAAAATTATCTGTGACCGCCTGTGCCATATGCCATTCCCAATCCCCTCAGCACTAGGAACACTTTAGCCGCTACAAAAGACCTCTTTACTACCACTGGAATTCAAAAGACTTGAAAGGCCTCCAGGAGGCACTGTAGAGAGAGAATTTGCAGTTAGAATTAAATACCTTTTAGTTGAGGAGAACCAGTTTCACACTAGTCTCTGAACTTGGAAATCTTAGCATTTTTTCCCCTGGGAGATGGGGTGTTGAAATCAGATTGCTGAAGCTGTGTCACATGAATGAGAGCTTAAAAAAAGATTAAAGAAGTTTAAGGCAAAGTTCAGATATATCTTTACTATCTTCCCCAGCACATTGACACAAAGGATTAAATACAGTTTAGCAGAAAAGTGGAAAAATGATTTTAATAGAATATGGTCAGAATTTGGAATCTCAAGGATTGTTATCTATATTTCTAGAAGTAGAATATTCTCCATAAAATTGAGAAGTCATTGAAGTTATATTCTTCTGTAATGACATTCAGAAAAATCCCTATTTATTTTGACCTGAGAGAAGGAGCTGGAAAAAAAAAATGTCTCCTAGTAACCAATAGTTTATTTCACTTTCTTCCTGACTCACGATCATACCTGATTTATTGTTACATCTGCCAGTGGCTGAGGATGTTAAAGATCCCAAACTATGCTTGAAGTCTCTTTACAATCAACACAAACTTTATATAAAATAAGTATTTCTCACTGATGTTAGTACAACTGGGATGGAAAAAAAAAACTACTGGAAGGGAAAACGCTTAATACCTTATATATGTACAATCAAGGATTTAAATGAGTTTGCTTTCTTGGCACTTACTTTTCGAAATTAAATTAAGACTGAGATAACACTTTAAGACATTGTACTTTGATAGTACTTGGTAGAGGGAAAAAAGGTCCCACAAGTGCCTAACTTGAAGAGCCCCACGAGATTCTGAGAACTATACTTTTTGAATACTTCAACATACTAGTGTCTTTTCGGTACTCAATTAGCATAATTTGACACAATTATAGGTATAAACATTTTATAGGCACTTGGTAGCAAGAGTGTTAAAAAAGGGTTGATCTCCATTCGCTTCTATTGGCAACATTCACCTAGTTCTAGAATGACACTTGAATGAGCACTGAAATATGCTCCATACTGTTAATAAAATTCAAAGCATATATCATCTTGACACCATATCACAAGTTTGACACTGCGGTTCCTCTCTGAGGAATTTTGAGTCATGGAGACATCCCCTTGCTACATCCCCATCTCAACTAGATGATAATTTGATTCAGACTATTTCAATACATGCCAATATGTATATCTTCCCTGCAAAATGGAGTCATACCCACAGAGAAAAAAAGATAGAACTAACAGGTCAACATCATTTTTGTGAAGCGGTACCTCAGTGGTTTAAAAAAAATACTTAAGTATGACTTTTACCAATTCTCATTTTTATCATGCTTCATCAACAGGTCCTTTAAGAATATGAAATTGAATGAAAAAAAGAAATTGTGACTTTTAACTGTCTTGATGAGGTTCAATTTTTAATGAAGTGCTTTTCAAAATTTCAGTAATAAAGGAGGTGGTTTAAACAGCTGTAAACCATTTCCAAATCCCACAGCATGGAAATTTATGGATATCAACAACTTCATACAAGTGTTTTTGGTTTGATTTGTTTTCTAAATAACTAGACCTTATTGTGTGTGTACTATCTAAAATATTTGAAAAGAAAAAAATAAGAAATGTAGGAGAAAGAAACTCAAACATTAGAAGAAAAGGATAGAAATGGTGAGATATGACATTTCTTCCGTTATATTTTCCCTCATTGTTAATCATTATTTTCAGCTTTCTCAGAATTAAGATGATATCCATTTGGTTTGGTGCTATTTTTACCAGTTCTGATTAAAATTTATGCCCAATAAAAATAATCTGATTCATCTTAATACTATTGAAAATGGAAAATAAGCCCCATCTCAGTTAACAGTAATTTTTTGGGGGTCAATCTAATTAACCACACTAGTCATTTTCATTTTTCAATGCTAGTTTCTGATTAGAAATTGATTTTTAGAGATGTGTTTTCTTAAATCTCCTATGTACAATCATTTTGCCAGGTCTAAGGTTTTTTTTTCTTGATTTTAAATATGTATCAATCAATCTGATACTTATAATAATAGTATTATGATAGAGATTTTTAAAATGTAATACCTCTAAAAGTAAGAAGGGTGAATTAATGTGAATAATATTCACTTATATCTGAAAACTTATATACAATTTTTGCCATATTTTGACATGTTATTTCAGTTGATATTCACAATAACCCTTATAAGTAGGGAAAACAAGTCTCAGAGTAAATTGAAATATTCTTTAATAATTAGGAACTAAATACTCTTGTAATTCTGACCACATTATTGAATTGTATCACACATTTATGTATATCTTCTAAGGTTGGCACAATTATTCTCCCCATTTTGTGGAGGAAAAACCTGAGGCTTCTAGTAGTTGGGTAATTTGATTAAGATCATGAGTTGGTGAGTGTCAGAGTTTGAATTTGAACTCAATTCTCTTTGCTTCCAGAGTTCAAGGTTTCAACCTTTAACCTGTGTTGTTTGAAAGCAGTTCATCCCACTCTCATTTTTTAGATAAACTAAGTTTCAGAGGAGCTAAGCGTTTGGGAGCAAATTTCCCAGTCATTTAAAAGTAAAACGAAGGGCCTGGGCTTGGTGTTAGCAATCCTATAGTACTGAATTTCTGTGGCTACATTGTTCTCTCAGTTGTGCAGTTCTATATATGGATCACTGCATAGGTGAAGTAGTTACTTAACTCAAATGCATTTGATAATTAATGGCAACTAAAGGTGATTTCTTACCTGTGTTTCATGAATGAGATGTTTCAGAGCTGACGCTAGTATGGATTTATTCTCTAGCTCAGATGGGATTTAAGCTTGCAGTGATCACTAAGTTGTATGGATCAAATCATACTTTCTAAATGCCATTCCCCCTTGATGTGCTATCCCTTTACCTACACTGATCAATGGGCTTCTGGTTATAAAGATAGGATTGGAAGTGGTTTCTTTGATTTCCCTTGATGATTTCAAAGGCATGAAAGGATACCGCCCCTTTTGTGGGCCCCCGGGCTAAGGGTGAGGGGATGGTGCACATTGAGATAGCCAGCCAAGGCCAATCCTGACCTTTCTTTGCTGTTCCTTGAATAAGATTTTGAAACAGAAAGAGACAAAGAGGGAAGGACACACTGTAGAACAATATAGCTTTTAACATTTATGTCGCGCTTTAGGAAGATCACAGGGGAGCTAAAGCTGAGGGAGGAATGGTGACAGTGATCCTTTCAGAGTGAAAGGTGGCAAAAGTGGAGAATACAGAAGGGAAGACTGCAAGATGGGATGAGATGCCAACAAGATTATATAGTTCAGTGAGGTCCTCCAAATGATTTTTTCCCCATCTCCATGTTTTCTTGTTTGTTTTCCTGGAAGAAAGTACATGACAGCACAGAACTAGCTTTGGGGCATTAGTTGCTCCACAATGAGCCCATTCTCAAAGGATAATTTTTGCAACTAAAAAGTTTATATCAATGACTTTAAAACAGATGGTGGGCCAGAATGACTGACTTAGAGTGCTAGTGATTTTTATTGAATGATTGATTGGAGTCCTTTTTGGAATTCTATTAAGTGCATTGAATTTTTCCCGACGAAAATGAAGACATGCCTGTACCCCATTTTTTAAACATATAATGTTTGACTTACAGGATCCTTGAACTCCTGGTTAAAGAATGCTTAGTTCAGGCAGTCACACCAGACTTCATAAGGAGAGCAGAGAGAGTGTGAGAAGATGGGTAAGTTTGAGATAGGGAGAAAGATTAAACATGAGACATGAACAAAGTACTCAATGCGATTGATGAAATAGAATGGATGATTGAGCTAAGAGAGTTTTTCCTCCAGCTTTCAGCCTCTCTCTCTCTTCATTGTTCCACTACTTAAAGATTCAGTCGCCTTGGTAAAGATTTGTGCCCTTCGTCACCCACTTTCTTTTCCTTGCCTTATTCACCTCTGAAGATTGAAACTCTGCTAGGAACTAGCAGTCAGACTGGAAATGCCTCCAAGCCTAATAGCTATGTATGTCAGCCGCAGCAATAAAATGGTTACAGCAACCCTATGTTTCTGGGAAATGTGTACTCAGCTTTAACTCAACAGCCCATCTTTTAGGCCAGTGCTTCTGGAGCTGCAATGCATATTTGTCTCCCCTGGGGATATTGGTAAAATGAAGACTCTGGTTCTGGAGGTCTAGGGTGAGCTGGGGTCTGCGTTGCTAACAAGTTCCCAGGTGATGCTGCTGCTGCTGTTCCATGGGCCACGCTATGAACAACAAGGTTATGGTTTTCCTAGGAAGCTAGCACAACTGTCTTCATAACTGTGGGTTAATTTTTTTATGTATGTCAAATATTCTGTTTACTTTCCCCCAAAATGCTAATTTCTAAATGTGATACCATAAAAGAAGATTTTGAAGCAAACAAGGAAGTTGAAGATCATCTTTTAAAAATCTGAATTTTTCAGAGTATTGAAAAATCAGCTCTTTGATCTAATTCAATTGAGGCTGACAACATATCCTGGGGCACTGGCTGGGGAGTAAGAGTAATATAGATACCTGTCTCTCTCCACATGAATCTCAACCAGAAATACCTAGAGGAAGCTTACTCTACTTCCATAACAATATATAATTTATACACATACACACACATTACACACATGCAATTGTATGTAAAGGCTAAGTAAATTTTACAACAAGATGGAAACTCTTTTCTCATACACATTTCAAGAAGTAAAGTAAAAACTTGCTGTGTTTCATTGGTTTTATACACTTACTGCTTCATATTTTAACATCCCTGAGTTAGGATGTGACTAAATTCGATAGAGTTTTGCAATTGCTGTTGATCAGATGGCAGCAGTAAGAAAGGTGTCATTGCGTGTACATGTGTGTACAATTGTTATTCTTGGTGGCATGACCGGACAATGGCAGCCTCTTCACATTTCAGCCAAAACCATCGGGACTATCTGAAGAAGAAATACGAGTACAGAATGGGTGTCAGTAGCTTAAAAGAAAATCATGGGGACAATTTTAAGGAATGCTGCATCACCAATGCTCTTGATGGCAGAGAGGTTAACATTAGTGTAATGTGTTCTCTGTGGCTCTGAGATGAAACATAGCACAGGAAGGTTGGATTCTACACATGCAGAAGTGTTTAAAGTATTAGTTCATATATATTTTGCTTATATTTTCCTTTTAACTTGTGAATAATAGTAATGATAAAAATCCATGTGTAAATGAGACTGAAAGAACTCTTTTACTAAGTATGAAATAAAAATATTAAGTAGCAAGAAAACATCACTAGGAAATCAAAACATAATGCTGGTGCATCTTACAATTAGTGGCAGCTTAATTTGATGAAATACTTCATTTTCAAATTTGCATGTTGGGGAAATAAAGTTATATCATACAACTGCAGATAATAGAATCAAAAGCAAATCCAAGAAATTACCTTCACTTAGTGTGTGTCTAAATCAACCACGACACATCAGGCCCAAGGAAACAATGGAGAATAGTGAGTGTTGCTATAAATTAGAAAATCCAGGTAGTAGATTTGTTTTTGATACTGAGCATATGTGTGACCTTGTGTGAGTCATTTTAACTCTGTGAGTCTCAGTTTTCTAACTTACAAAGTTTGTCTTAGATAATCTCCAACACACCTTCAAGCTCTTGGTTTATGTACACTAAAAAAATGTAATAAATAAAAGGTTACTCTTACCCACTATCTATTGTTTTATTCCCTTTACTATATTGAAATTTTTCCTGATGAGGAACTGATTTTACTTACATTTTAGCTTGTATTGAGCCAGGGTTCATTTAGCTAAAATCTATTTAGCTCCTAGTCGGATATGGAGAGCAACTGGTCAGTCTCTTCCTAGCAATTCTGTAGATTCTTGGAAATCTGTAATGTATAGATTTCAAGGCTTTCTCTTTTCTAGAGAAAATAAACCTATTTTTCGAATACGTCCAAAAATAAGAAGCTTGCAATCCTGTAACAACTTCTATTATATAAACTCACCATTTGGTTTTTTGACTGTCCAACAACCCTTCCTCTTTCCAAACAGTGCCCTGATTTCTTTTGACGAATAACTTATCTAACTCTGTGTAGTCTTACTGGGGCTATAAATCAAGGTTTCTGCATGCCCTTAGCCCCAAATGGACAGGTTTCTCAGACAAAAGTAATCACATTTTGTTATTTTAGGGAACTCAGAATCCAGAGCCAAGTGTTACAAGAATGAAAAAGACAATTGAGTTTACTCACTCCTGTGAAATGTCCTGAAGGTGGTCAAGGTGGTCCTGTGGCCTCGACGTCCATAGCTTGTCTGGTCCTTCGTTTGATGCTGATTTGCCTCCAAGCCTGGCTTTCAGCCTCAGTTCCATTTTGAGCTCCCCAAACTTGCCCTGTTGAATTCTCTTTTTCATTTAAGTTAACCAGAAATTCATTTCTGATGCTTACAATCAAGGAAGCCTAACGAGTACAGGGACAGAATTTGCGTGGGGAGTTCCAGGACTCCAATATTAAACTGAATTCACCACTCCCATCAGCGTCTTGATGCACGAACTGTGGAGAGGGTGGAGGGAATCGTTCAGAATTCCAGCATCTCATGGCATACCACCTGAAAACAGTTCAAATGTCTCCACTGGTGTCAAATAGATATAATATAAAACTAAAAAGTCTCCACATACTGTCTTTGCTTTTACTTTGGATTCCCCAAAGCCTTTTAGTCAGTGTGATGGAGTTTGGTTTTGATTCAAATTACATCTCCAAATAGAATTTTGAAATGCAGTTTTTCTATCTATCCTCTGTCCATAATTAAAAGTAATTGAGTCCCTTCCTTGACTGATCACCAAATGTAGTGTACAAAAAATATCCAAGAAAGAAAACCACTAAAAGTCTGCTTTATTCTATTTGAACGTCTCTTCACACAAGGAAAGAATATAAACTGGGTATTTCTTTTGTGCTACCATCGTTCTATTCATTGTTGTAACATTTTGCTAATTTTCCACAAGCCAAACTGCCGTTTCTTTGGAAACCCATTACCTTGCTGATACCATGCCAGATTTTAGAAACTATTCACTATTGAAATGAAAAGAAATATGATGGCAAAAAAAAAAAAAAAACACTTAGAGAAAGCAACTCCTGGCTCCCCAAGTTACCCCTCTTGGAAACACATGCTCTGAAGGATCTCAGAGGCCTTTTCATGTTGTCCTCACCTCCTCCCCTGCCACTTCCAAATGGCTCTCACTTGGCTTTCTCTTTTGCCACTTCCAGTTCACAAGAAACATTCCTGTATGTATTTAGGATAGCAGTTCAAAGTTTGAGCCCTAGAATCACATTTCTTGTGTATAAATACTAGATTCATTATTAATGTGATCTTGGGCAAATTAATCAATGTCTCAAAAGTTAAATTTTTCTGCCTGTAAAATAGAGTCAACCAGAGTACATCGCCTTCTGATTACTAAGAGGCTTGTTTGAGGTAACTGATGTAACACACTTAGCATGCCATCTGGCACTGTATTAGACCCTTGATATCAGTTATTTGTTTTGGCTATTTTTTTTAAGTTACATAATAGACAAATGCAAATACATAATGGAGGTAGAGTTTTGAATGAATCACATGGTGGACTGCAGAGGACAGGATGTGAAGCATCAAGGTTAGTGGATTTCTTTTGCAGTAGATCTGACATGATGTTTATGTGGTCAGATATCGTAGGTGGAAAGTAATGATGCAAAAGAAGGGACAAATTAAATAAAGGGCTAACGGAAAAGGCTTGCTGATGATCAGATGAGAGTATCAAAAGGAAGAGTCATTCCTGTATGGTTGAAGGTGAGGAAGTCAGGAAGGAGATAAGATGCAGGGATAACAGGCAGGCATATTATTTTGTGTAGGAGAGGCATTCACATAGAAATGTCCAGCCAAGAGGTGGAAAGCTTGGGAAGTGCTGAGCTGAAGTCTGTAGTAAGTCTTTTGTATGAGTAAACAGAGCATGCCACCTTTTTCTGTTCCGTGAGATACATCAGAACATTGCGGAGAAGCAGTGGCTTTTGAAAAAACACACAGCCTTATTAAACCTCAGTTTCCCAATCTATAAACCTGATATTGAAAGATCTTTCTGGGCTACTTATCAAATGGAATGGAAATGTAAAGTATAAATGTAAGGATTAGCTGTGTTGAAGTGAGAGTTAAAACAGAAAATTGTATAGGATACTATTCTTTACCAGTTTCTCTATAAAATTTTCATTTTTGTTCTGGATGTTAGAAATATTTAAGATATTATTGGAAAATGCAGACAGCATGTCCAAAAGGCAAGAAAATATATCTCCTTCCTCACTCTACTCCACAGAGCTGCCAGATTGGATGCAGGGCACACAGATATAACTAAAGTAATTGGCAAACAATAAATGCATAGTCTAACAGCCTAAGGGTTTTATATGACAAACATAATATAGAAAATAAGATTAACTTCAAAGGAAAAACACACAAAGGGATTTTTTGTCTCTATCAGAAATAAAAACTGTAAGAGTGAAAATACATAGCACAAAACCTTTGTAATTTGTGTGTTTGTGTGTAAACTATTCTCAATGAAATACAAATATGATGATTAAGCATGTCAGGTTGGATTGTGAGCACAGAGTCTAATTGTGCTCACCTAATCATCCATTATATACACAATTTACCAATTTGTACGCTCAACTAGAAAGGCTCCAATATCTTCTAAGTGTCACTTAAATATCCATCATTTATAAGTTCAGAGTTGTTAATAATAAAAAGGTTCACTTCTCTAGTAGACATACCACTTTACCTTGCTTATATTTTAATGCAACAAAGTGTTTATAGGTTATTTCTTTCAAACCTCTTTTTAACTTTTTAATTTTTTTAATTAAACATTTTTAATTTCAAACCTCTTTATGCTTTTAATTATATACAGCTAAGTTTGCTACTTTTTTTGGCCTACTATAAAGAAAATTCATTTTATTTTATTTTAGCTGATAATGAGTGTGCTGATTCATATTAAATCATTGTATCCATTCTTGTTTCACAGGCTGTAGAGTTTGGTGTAGCCTTTGAACTCAATTATACTTTAATAGTGTATTTTACCTTTTGATATCTTAATTTATAGAATTGCATCTTTCTATTGTGGGGCATTTGAAACTTTGAGAAATAGTTTTATGTTAAAGATTGGATTTGAAAATTTATATTCTTTCCCCAATTTTCCATATCAAGTATTTATTTTGGTATCTGATCTTTTCTTTGTCTCTAAGGTCATCTGGTGCTGGGTGCATGGCTCTTGGCAGAAAATTTTGGTTGAAGAGATGTGTGCTAGAATGGTCTTGCAGTTAATTGTACTGACAAATAGAAAATATCTGGAAAGAGACATAAGTTATATTGTTGTCTTTAGAATTTTATACAAGAAGAGCTTTCTTTTCCTTTTGCTGCACCCACCTGAAGTATTTCTTTGGGTTTTTTTGTACCTACCCCCACGTAGATGTTTGTCTGTTTGTTTTTGAGATGGAGTCTCGCTCTGTCACCCAGCCTGGAGTGCAGTGGTGTGATCTCAGCTCACTGCAACCTCCGCCTCCCGGTTCAAGCAAGCAATTCTCCTGCTTCAGCCTCCTGAGTAGCTGAGATTGTAGGTGTGCACCACCACGTCCAGCTAATTTTTGTATTTTTAGTAGAGACGGGGTTTCACCATGCTGGCCAGGCTGCTCTTGAACTCCTGACCTCAGGTGATCTGCCCGCCTGAGCCTCCCAAAGTGCTGGGATTACAGGCATGAGCCCCTGCACCCAGCCCAGATGTTGACAGCAGGGTGGTTAAGAGTTGGGCCCTGAACTCAGGACTTTGGGTTCAAGTACCAGGTTTGCTAATCACTAGCTAGGGGACATTGAGCATATTTTCTAATCTGTGTAAGCTTCAAATTTTTTGCTAAAGTATATTTTAAAATAACAATCCTTTAATGGGTTGCTAATGTTTGTCTTATAATTGATATGATGCACTTAAAAATAGTAAACAAATGTTTGTTACTATTATAATTTTTAGAGTTTCCATTTCTCCAACTTCATCATAGTGAATTATCTTTTTGATATGTTGTTGGATTTGGCTAGCAAGTATTTTGTTAAGGATTTTAGTATCTATGTTCATCAGGGATATTGGTCTGTTGTTTTCTTTTTTGGTTATGTCCTTTCCTGGTTTTTGTATTAGGGTGATGCTGGCTTCATAGAATGAATTAAGGAGGGTTCCCTTTCTCTATCTTGTGAAATACTATCAATAGGATTGGTACCAATCCTTCTTTGAATGTCTGGTATAATTCTGCTGTGAATCTGTCTGATCCTGGACTTATTTTGTTGGTAATTTTAAAACTATCATTTCAATCTCACTGCTTTTTATTGGTCTGTTTAGGGTATGTAATTCTTCCTGATTTAAGCTAGGAGGGTTGTATTTTTCTAGGAATGTATCTATCTTTTCCAGGTTTTCAAGTTTATGTGCATAAAGTTGTTCGTAGTAGCCTTGAATGATCTTTCGTATTTCTGTGGTGTCAGTTGTAACATTTCCCATTTTGTTTCTTATTGAGGTTATTTGGATTTTCTCTCTTCTTTTCTTGGTTAATCTTGTTAATGGTCTATCAATTCTATTTATCTTTTCAAAGAACCAGCTTTTTGTTTCATTTATCCTTTGAATTTTTTTATTGTTTCAATTTTATTTAGTTCTGTTCTGATCTTGGTTATTTCTGTTCTTCTGCTGGGTTTGGGTTTGTTTTGTTCTTGTTTCTCTAGTTCCTTGAGGTGTGACCTTAGAATGTCAGTTTGTGCTCTTTTGGTCATTTTAATGTAGGTGTTTAGGGCTGTGAACTTTCCTCTTAGCACTGCCTTTGCTGTATCCCGGAGGTTTTGATAGATTGTATCACCATTGTTGTTCAGTCTGAAGAATTTTTTAATTTCCATCTTGATTTTGTTTTTGGCCCAATGATCATTTAGGAGCAGGTTATTTAATTTCCATGTTTTTGCATGGTTTTGAGGTCCTTTTTGGAGTTGATTTCCAGTTTTATTCCATTGGGGTCAGAGAGAGTGCTTGATATAATTTTGATTTTCTTAAATTTATAGAGTCTCATTTTGTGGCCTATCATATGGTCTATCTTGGAGAAGCATCCATGCACTGTTGAATAGAACATGTATTCTTCAGTTATTAGATGGAATGTTCTTTATATATCTGTTAAGTCCATTTATTCCAAGGTGTAGTTTAAATCCATTGTTTCTTTGTTGACTTTCTGTCTTGATGACCTGTCTAGTGCTGTCAGTGGAGTATTGGAGTCCCCCACTATTATTGTATTGCTGTGTATCTCATTTCATAGCAGAAATTGTTCTATAAATTTGGGAGCTCCAGTGTTAGGTGTATATATGTTTAAGACTGTGATATTTTCCTGTTGGACAAGGCCTTTTACCATTATATAATGTCCTCTTTGTCTTTTCTAACTGCTGTTTCTTTAAAGTTTGTTTTGTTTGATATAAGAATAGCTACCCAAGCTTACTTTTGGTGTCCATTTGCATGAAATACCTTTTCCCACCCATTTACTTTAAGTTTATGTGAGTCCTAATGAGTTAGGTGAGTCTCTTGAAGGCAGCAGATAGTTGGTCAATTTTTATTCATTCTGCTGTTCTGTATCTTTTAAGTGAAGCATTTAGGCCATTTACATTGAATGTTAGTATTGAGATGTGAAGTACCACTCCATTCGTTGTGCTATTTGTTGCCTGCATACTTTGGGGTTTTTTGTTTGTTTGTTTGTTTTTGATTTTTAAATTGTATTTTGGTTTTATAGGTTCTGTGAGCTTTATGCTTTAAAGAGGTTCTGTTTTGATGTGTCCAGCATTTGTTTCAAGATTTAGAGCTCCTTTTAACAGTTCTTGTACTGGTGGCTTGGTAGTGGCAAATTCTTACAGCATTTGTTTGTCTGAAAAGGACTGTATCTTTCCTTCATATATGATGCCTAGTTTTTCTGGATACAAAATTCTTGGCTGATAATTGTTTTGTTTGAGGAGGCTGAAGATAGGGCCCCAATCCCTTCTAACTTATACGGTTTCTGCTGAGAAATCTGCTGTTAATCTGACAGGTTTTTCTTTATAGGTTACCTGGTGCTTTTGTCTCACAGCTCTTAAAATCATTTTCTTTGTCTTAACTTTAGATAACCTGATGACAATATGCCTAGGTGATAATCTTTTTATTTTTATTGTACTTTAAGTTTTAGGGTACATGTGCACATTGTGCAGGTTAGTGACATATGTATACATGTGCCATGCAGGTGCGCTGCACCCACTAACTCGTCATCTAGCATTAGGTATATCTCCCAATGCTATCCCTCCCCCCTCCCCCCACCCCACAACAGTCCCCAGACTGTGATATTCCCCTTCCTGTGTCCATGTGATCTCATTGTTCAAATCCCACCTATGAGTGAGAATATGCGGTGTTTGGTTTTTTGTTCTTGCGATAGTTTACTGAGAATGATGATTTCCAATTTCATCCATGTCCCTACAAAGGACATGAAATCATCATTTTTTATGGCTGCATAGTATTCCATGGTGTATATGTGCCACATTTTCTTAATCCAGTCTATCATTGTTGGACATTTGGGTTGGTTCCAAGTGTTTGCTATCGTGAATAATGCCGCAATAAACATACGTGTGCATGTGTCTTTATAGCAGCATGATTTATAGTCCTTTGGGTATATACCCAGTAATGGGATGGCTGGGTCAAATGGTATTTCTAGTTCTAGATCCCTGAGGAATCGCCACACTGACTTCCACAATGGTTGAACTAGTTTACAGTCCCACCAACAGTGTAAAAGTGTTCCTATTTCTCCACATCCTCTCCAGCACCTGTTGTTTCCTGACTTTTTAATGATTGCCATTCTAACTGGTGTGAGATAGTATCTCATTGTGGTTTTGATTTGCATTTCTCTGATGGCCAGTGATGATGAGCATTTTTTCATGTGTTTTTTGGCTGCATAAATGTCTTCTCCTAGGTGATAATCTTTTTGCAACGAATTTCCCAGGTTTTCTTTGTGCTTCTTGTATTTGGATGTCTAGGTCTCTAGCAAGGCCAGAAAGTTTTCCTTGATTATTCCCCCAAATATATTTTCCAAACTTCTAGATTTCTCTTCTTCCTCAGGAACACCAATTATTCTTAGGTTTGGTCATTTAACAGAATCACAGACTTCTTGGCGGCTTTGTTCATATTTTCTTATTCTTTTTTCTTTGTCTTTGTTGGATTGGGTTAATTTGAAGATCTCGTCTTCAAGCTCTGAATTCCTTTCTTCTACTTGTTCAATTCTATTGCTGAGATTTTCTGGAGCATTTTGCATTTCTATAAGTGTATCCAATGTTTCCTGAAGTTTTGATTGTTTTTTTCTTTAAGCTATCTATTTCCTTGAATATTTCTCCCTTCACTTCCTGTATTGTTTTTTGGATTTCCTTGCATTGGGCTTTGCCTTTCTCTGGTGCCTCCCTGATTAGCTTGATAACTAAACTTCTGAATTCTTTTTCAGGTAAATCAGGGATTTCTTCTTGGTTTGGAGAGTTCTTTTTCATAGTTCTTATTAAAAAGTCTCCTGAACATTAAAAAACTCCTAGAAATATATGTGTTTTGAAAATACTAACGCACAAAAAAAGAAAGGCAACTAACATATACTCCTGGGGAGTTGAAGTACCAGACTACTGGCCCATTTTCATAAGAATATTTATCAGGTGCTGTATTCCAGAGTAACAGAAGCAATAGTCTATATATAGATACATAAGAGAGATTTGTCATGGAAATTGGTTCCCACCACTATGGAAATCAAGAAGTCCTCCCATCTGCCATCCACAAGCTGGAGGACCAGGAAAGCTGATGGTGTAATTCAGTCCAAGTTCAAAGACTTGAGAACCAGGAGCTCTGATGTCCAAGGACATGAAAAGATGGATATCTCAGCTCAAGAAGACAGAGAATTTACCCTGCCTCTGCCTTTTTGTTCTATTCAGGCCCTCAACAGATTGGGTAATGCCTGACCACATGGTGAGGGCTGATCTTTACTCAGTTTACTGATTCAAATGCTCATCTCTTCTGGAAACACCCTCATGAACACACCCAGAAATAGTGTTTTAGCAGCTATCTAGCCAAGTTGATACATAAAATTAACCATGATAGCTACTTTTCATGAAATATGGATTTTAAATCTTAAATAATCTGTAATGTCAGCATTGTTGTTATTTTTCCCATTTTATTAATGAGAATATTAAGACTCACTGAGGTCAAATATCTTTCCCAAAATCAAAGATCTAAAACTTGTACATTATGGAATTCATCCCTTGTACAAAGTCTGGGTTTTTGTATTTATGAAGTTGCTTTTTTAGTTGAATTAAAAAGAGTACAGCCTTTTTACAAATTAAAAAGGAAAAAAAAAACCCACCAAGAATAACTATGCACTCGCAGTTTCTGACAACACTAGTTTAAATATATTTATTGATTCAGAATATTGAGAAATGCAAGTCAAATGAGGTATATGTGAAAATAATCCTTCATCAATTTTGAGAATATATTCTTATAAAGAGGAAAAAGCCACCTTTTCCAAAATTTAATTGCTTCCTTTAAGTCATACTGGATTTTTATTCTTTAGCTTTCTCTATTCACTTGCCAAAATGTTATTAGATTGGTTATCATTCAAACAAATAAATAAGCTTATGTCTTTCTATTAACTTGCCAACATGTAAAAAGGCTAGGAGATTGATTTGCTCCAGGAATTAATTTAAAGGAAATTTTTCTAGATCTAGTGTAACTTTTATTTTTTTAGTCTCTCTGTCAAGCCAATCACCTCAGTTTTGTTTTCCTGACCTTGAAATTCCCCCTGCCCCAGTCAGCTTTGGTGACATGAACTAGATATAGTTCTACTAGGTATTTGTTTTAGCAAAAATATTCTTGATGTAAAGGCAAAGCAGAAGATATAATCACAAAAAATTGCTCAACTATCGTTGGACTTTGCTTTCTATAGCATTTAGAAAAACAGAACAAACACAGAAAAGTCAAAAGTAAAGTCTCACAGTGTAAGTGTGATTGTTCAAAAAGCAATAGTAAATATATACATTTCAGAGGTATATATGGACAAAGAGAGAGAGAAAGATAGAGAAAAGATAGAGAAAAGGTGGGGAGGGAAGAAGGAAGAGACAGAGAGAATGAGAGAGAGAGAGAAAGAGATATGGGTCAAGAAGAAAATGAAGAACTATGTCCTAGAAGCTGAATGTTATTTCTTTATTTGTAGAAGTGCCCACTACCTTTATTTCTAATTTATGTGCTGGGACACTATAGCATAAAACTTTGCATGTGCTTGCAAATAGACTACTTCAGCAACATAATGTCACATAGGTATCTCATTTCATTTGTGAGTATAAAAAAATTGATTCATTGCAGCAGTACCACAGATGTTAGAAGACTGCACAAAAAAATGGCTTCTTTCTGGCCGAGCGTGGTGGCTCACGCCTGTAATCCCACCACTTTGGGAGGCCAAGGCGGGTGGATCACGAGGTCAGGAGATCGAGACCATCCTGGCTAACACAGGTGAAACCACATCTCTACTAAAAATACAAAAAATTAGCCGGGCGTGGTGGCGGGTGCCTGTAGTCCCAGCTGTTCGGGAGGCTGAGGCAGGAGAATGGCGTGAACCTGGAAAGCGGAGCTTGCAGTGAGCCGAGATTGCACCACTGCACTCCAGCCTGGGCAATAGAGCGAGACTCCGTCTGAAACCAAAAAAAAAAAAAAAAAAAAAAAAAAAGCTTCTTTCAAAATGTGAAAACATTAACCCCACCAATTTACTCATTACTCTTAACAAGATCAAATCATGGCAATATCCAACTCAGCAGGCATTTGTTTATTATTGTGATTTAAAATGTCTGGCATTGCAGAAAAAATAAGTGACTTGTGAAAAGTGTAATAATAATAACAATTCACTGGGAACTTACTATGTGCTGGAATTTTACAAACACTGTCCTTAAATACAAGAATTCCACAATGAAGGAGTTATTTTAGTTAGAGAATTTAAGCCATTTTTCAACGTCTTTATAATGAGTAAGTTCCTAAGGGAGGATATGAGGTTCTTTTGTTTGGCTTAACAGACTTTGCTTCTGTGCCCCCTACATTGAGCTGCTGCACCTAAAATAAAATAGTATCAATATAAAATCATATACATATCTAATCTTGTGTATATAAAATAAAATCTGTATGTTTAAACCGTATCCAGATCTGTATCTATACATACACTTTCTCATACCCCTACCTATACCTATTCATATACTATCTCTTTCTCTCTGTCTATATCTTTATCTGTGAATTAATTATATTTTAACATATAAAATAATTTTAAAATGAAGGCATAATATGAACAAGTAAAGTACACTCTGAACTGAGTAGAAGGTGAAACTGGTCAAGAAGGAAAACGATTAAGAGTGCATTCGTTTAAACTTTATGCAGAGGTACTTATGAGTGCCTGTAAACTGTCAGATTATTTAAGAGTTTAGAAATAAGCAAAATGGGACAGAATTTACCAGATGTGTAACAGGCCGGTCTGACAACACAGAATATAATTCGGACAAATTTAGTAATCTAATGTACAACATGAGGACTAAAGTTAATAAAATTGTATGAGGAACTGTACAATAGACTTTAGCTGCTCTTGTCACAAACAAGTAACTATGTAAAATGATAGGCACGTGAATCTGCTTCACTATAATAACCATTTTACTATCTCTATATATCCTATAACATCATGTTGTAAACCTAAATATGCACAATAAAGTTAATCTTTTAAAAAAGAGCTCAGTAAGGTTAGGTTAGGAATTTCTCACTATTCTGCATTATGTGCAGGGTAGAGAGATGGAGATCCTAGTATTTTTAAATGAGTTCACATGTACTAATTCAACAGAATTATACTGGGGTGGGGGAGTCTTGAGAGTAGTCAAAAATGAGATTGCTGAGCAATTTTCAGTGGTTTTATCATTAAGAAATTCTGGAGAATGGGAATTGGCAAACTGGAGATAAGCAAGTATCATTTTGAGTTTTGAAAAAAGGAAGAAATATTTTGCAAAGTAGAGACTGACAAGCTTTATTTACCTCTTGCAAGACTAGAATGAACTAGAGGAGTGTGGTTTCACACCTGTATAAGAGGAAATGCTGGTCGTTAGGTCCCAGAATAGACTCACTGAGATCAAAGCGTAAGAGAATAATGCATTTCATTTTTGAATGGCATTGAGTTTCTGGTAAAACAGACCAATGAGGTGACATTTCATTCACTGAGTTGCCTGATTATTTTACATCTGCCCTGTCTGCAGATCTGCAATATCTATCCCACCGCATTCCTAACTCTTTCTTGATGACCATATATATATATTTTTTTCACTGAGAAAATAAAAGCTATCAGAGGGCACTTTTGTGTGTTTCCACCACCTGAACATGTCTGCCTTTCCTCCTGTCCTGGAGGTGAACTGTCCTGCTGCAGTGTAAGGCCAGCCCCTGTCCTGTGCTCCCATGCCCTTTAGTTTATTCAAAGCCATCACACCAGTGAGTATCACGTCTTTCTCCTATGATAAAAACTTCTTTTCTGTTGGATCATATCCATCAACACACAGATATGTTATAGTATTTTCCACCTTTAAAAACAGATAAAACCCCAAAACAAACAAATGAAACCAAAACTTAACAAATAAAACCTTCCTTTATTTTTCAATCTACTTCCAATGATTACTTTGTTTCTCTGATTCCCTTTTGTTGAACACTCCTTGAGTTACTTGTATTTTCTGACTCTCATTCCCCTCTTTATGTTTTTCCTTAAACCCACTTGTTTCAAGTTTCATTAGCTTCAGTCCAATGAAACTGCTCTTGAAAGAGGTTTTGACCTAATTCACCTGGGGTGGGCCCTGGGCCTTGTTATTTTTTATAAGCTGTCCAACTGATTATAAAGTGTGACCAAGCTGAGAACTGCCCTAAACCTTCCAAGTAAGGATGAAGTCCCTCAGTGTGCTTACTCCCTCAAAGAGCTGGATGCACACCTCTGAGACCTTACCTAGACATCTAGTTACCTAGATCATCATGTACCAAAAAAGACTGATTCATGAATTTTCTGAAACATAGCTATTGCATAAGACCAGGTACATATTTATTTTCTTTTGTTGGTGCTTGAGTGCATTTATCAACTAATAATCAGAAAGAATATGGGACATAAGAAAATCATTATAACAACTTTATTTTGTCTTGTGTGAAGCATCTTCTCCCAAGCAATTTAAAATAGTTTACATCTTTGTAGGACAATTCTCGAAATGTTGTATTCTTGAATTGAAATATATGCCCAGGCTGCTAAAAATTCATAGGTGATCTTAAGCTGTGGTTTCTTTTGCTTGTGTGCACAAAAACCTTTGAGGAGTTAAGTGTTATGTGTTGAAAATGTTAATAGTAGGTGAATTTTCTATCCATCAATCTCTGGGTTTGTCATCTACTTCTACAGTGCTTATCACCCTATCATCTATTTGCTACATATTTTCTCAAGATATGCAGTTTATACTTTTCTCCATACTTATGGCACATAATGATTTTTGATGTTTATTTGTTCCTATTTCTCTTTTGAGGGAGAGTAAGATAATATCAGTGCACAGTAATGGAAAGAATGAGAGAAAGAGTTGACTTTTCAACATTCCATAAAAACTTTGAAGATCAAATCAGCAGTTGAATAATCTGAGCACTACTGGCAATCACAGGAGTGAGAAGAGATCAGAAGTGATACGAAACTGAGCTTTCAGTCCTAAGTTGGCCAGTAATCAGCCATATGACCTTGAATGAACCTCTAACTGTTCCAGGCCTCAATTCCTTCAACTCTAAAGGAGTCTAACTTTTGTTGCTCCAAAATGTTTGGGATTGTATAACGCTTTTTATAGTGATACCTGTGAAAACTGTAATCTATCCTTGAATAAGGATTTTATTCTTTAATAAAAAATGAGAATAATGAACGTCATAATAGCTGTGAATAAACCCTGTTTTAGTGAGTGCTAAAATAAATTAATTTGGTAATTTTTCTTTATGAAAATTGCCAGAGAAATTAGATCTGTCTTTGAGCACAAACATGAGAGTCAAAAGAACAGTAAATGCAATTTCAGTTTCATTCATCTCCTTTCAGAGACTGGAGACAAACTTGGACCTCTTCCAAAAGACCAAAGTAAACACAGAGGAAATTTTGGAAGATTGAATCAGAGCCAGAATAAACTAGGATTTCTAATGTTTAGGACGAATATTGCAAAGGGATCAGAAAATGGTTCAAGGAGAAACATTTAGATCTGAAAACCAGGCCAAGTTGCTTTAATTAATAATTTTCAGAATTAGGAAATTAAGTTGTATCAATATCAATCTGTGTGAGTGACTACTAAGGATATACAGAAAGGACATTCTGACTAATAAACTTTTTCCCCCTATAGCATCGTTGCCTATTTCAACTAAATGAATAAAAAATTCAAATTAACTCCATGTAACTGCTTAGTATATGAATGTAAAGATTGAATTTAAAACAACTTTATCATTGTTTTGGTTTTGTCTTTGAGTATAAGTGAAATAGAAACAATTGTACTTTTAATAGAATTTCAGAAAAGATCATAAGTTGTAGCAAAGGCACTCAAAGCATTTAAAAAGAAATAATGACCAATGAGGTCAACATACCATTAAAATAGGTCTTACTGTCTGGTGTTTCATTGGCCCAACAGTAAAAAAGAAAAAAGGATCAGTGATATTCTCCATGCTATAGTGGAGTTCTGAAAGAGCCAGCCTTCACTCTTAGAAAAGTGAGTCTTATTATTCAGGTTAGCTTTATTACTTGTTTCTGGACAGATTTACTTAGAGTCATTTCACATTCCCAACAATGAGTCTTCTACCTTGTAAAGTCTGATCAATTGACTAATGATACAATATTATGTAAAGAATGAGTGAGTTGTTACAAATTTTAGGGAACTGCAGATGGATGGAATACTGCACTTGGATATCTCACCTGATACTAATGTGATTAATAAAAATTATTTTTTCTCTTGATTTTAAGAAAAATGATAGAAACTCTTGGATGAATAAGATCCTAAACAGCAATAGAAAACACCTCTGATTTTAATGCTTTAGAATGTTTGGGGGATTCTGTAGGGACTCTAGCACCAATGAATAGCACAATGTGATTTGAATTCTGGAGTTACTGATAAGGAACAGAACTGCTTTCAAATCTGTCTACTATTCATCTAGAGCGACACTAATCAGATAACTGAAGGGGTGAAAATTTATAAGATATTAGAGCTGTCATCTAAAAAAGTTATTTAATATAAGGTTTTAGCTAGATATTTATTTATAATTATTTATAGTAACTGTGGTAAGATATTTCACAAAAGAGTTACCCTTTAGTGGAATGTGTTCTATTTTACAGAAGTAAATATAAACCCCATTCATTTATTCAATAAATATTTACTGAGTGCCTACGATGGCATGGTGCTTTGCTAGGTGATGAGAATTTTTCTTCCTTTTCTATTCTCACTTTTGCTAAGTATAAAACTTATACTTTACTTTTCATTACTCTCCATTAAATGCTTTTGATTTTATGTTAGGATAAAAATGGAACACATGAGGAGATTTTTTCAAGACACATTTTAACTTTTTTAACTTGTACTTTGAACAATGTATTGGATCATCAGTTTTGTTTGGGGTTCCCTAGAATTCCGGCAGACTCACCTGGTCCACTGTCTTCATAGGCAGCATTGCTCATGGGGACACGGAAGTGTCAGGGTTCTGCAAGCATCACTTGGAAGTGACTTTCCTCTTCCATAGTAACATTAGAACTCATATCATGTACTAAGTAACGATAGTCATTAGCAACTGAAAAACAAAATGGGGAGGACAGAAAGTATTTGGAGCAAAGCAATTGTTCACGAATTTGTTTGCCTCATATAGTTGTACCTGTACAATTGTGAGTGCTGACATTTTGGAATCACATAACTAGAAACTTGGCCCTAAGAAAAATACAAAACTCCATGGCTGGATAGGGCCATGGCAAATCCACTCCAATATTTGATCTCTTTTAGTAGGTGAAAATATACAGTTAAAGGTGCTTCAAACCACAAGGCATTGAAATTTATAGTAACACATATCTGTGTTTGAACTCCGGTTTTACCACTTGGCAGTTGTGGGACCTTGGACAAGTTACTTAACCTCTGTAAACCAAGAAAATAGTGGTAAAAGGGGTAGGATAATCTCAACTTCATAAAATTATTGAGGATTAAATGGAATGCTGATTAACAAAGTGTTTATCATGGGCTTCATCTGTGGCCTTAAAATGTATTGATCGAATTCCATCTTCATAGGTATGTATTCATGAATATGACTACCAAATATTTATTTAGCACCTTTATATACTAGAGTCTTTGTCATGTGTTGGAGGTATAAAGTTGAGCACCTTCTGGTGGGAGGGAGAAGAGATAATCAATAGTTATGAAAGAATGTACATATACAGGAGTTATACTGAGCTTCACTCACTGCATGCATATTTCATGTAGTGGGAAGTTTCCTTTATGGGAAGGAAAGTATTTTCTGTTATTAAAAAAAAATACTTCTTGGGGCTAGGCATGGTGGCTCACACCTCTAATCCCAGCACTTTGGGAGGCTGAGGCAGGTGGATCACCTGAGGTCAGGAGCTCAAGACCAGTCTGACCAAGATGGTGAAACCTTGTCTCTACTAAAAATACAAAAATTAGCTGGGTGTGGTGGCAGGCACCTGTAATCCCAGCTACTCAGGGGGCTCAGGCAGGAGAATTGCTTGAACCCTGGAGGCAGAGGCTGCAGTGAGCTGAGATCACATCATTGCACTCCAGCCTGAGTGACAGAGCAAGACTTCGTCTCAAAAAAAAAAAAAAAAAAGAAACCCAAAAAACTTCTTCTGGTAAAGCCATGGAAATCTTTGTTTTACATTATAATATCTACAAAGATGATAGCAGAGAGATTAAAAACAGAGCTCTGAAATTAGACTGCCTGGGGTTCAGTTTTGGCTGAATGTGATTAATAAGAATTATTTTTTTCTCTTGATTTTAAGAAAAATCACTAGCTATGTAACCTCAGACTATCTACCTTTCTCTGTCTCTGTTTCCTCAATTGAGAAAAGGGGATAATATATTACCTGTGATATAGTTGGATATTTGTCCCTGCCCAAATCCCATGTTGAAATGTAATCCCCATTGTTGGAGATGGGGCCTGGTGGGAGGTCATTAGGTCATGAGGGCCGATCCCTCATTCATGGCTTGGTGCTGTCCTCATGATGGTGAGCAGGGACTCATGAGATCTAGTCATTTAGAAATGTGTGGTCCATACCTCTGCCATGTGAGATGCCTTCTCCCCCTTTGCCTTCTGCCATGTCTAGTAGCCTTGTGAAGCCTCACTAGAAGCCAAGGAGATGCTGGTGCCATGCTTCCTGTACAGCCTGTAGACTGTGAGCCAATGAAACCTCTTTTCTTTATAAATTATCCAGTGTCAGGAATTTCTTAATGACAGTGCAATAATGGCCTAACACAACCTGTTACTTGAGATTGTTGTCAGGTCTAAATATTAAAATAAACATAAAATTCTTAGAGCAGTTTCTAGCACGTAATGAACATTCAGCAGGTGTTGATTGTTACATGCATTATACATTACAAACTGTATATAAAGACTGTGTGTGTGTGTGTGTGTGTGTGTCTGTGTGCATGCACGTGCGTGCATGTGTTAGGGCTTAGAACTACAAAGTGCTATATCAGGCAAAATAATATTAGCATTCTGTATTCCATTCATTTGTCTTTACCCGTTTTAATAATATAGCCGATAACTATGTTCAGTAATATTACGTTTAGTCGTAGGAATAATAGTGTCAGGTATAAATGGCACAATTAAAAACACTACAGAAGCTAAGTTGCTCAGAAAGTTGCAATGCAAATGTTCCTTTCTAAGAGCCTTGCAAATGCAGAGTGAGAATAAAATGAGGATATCTTATTTTATTCCCTGTTGGGAATTTATTCACATCAAATATACTATATAATTCTGCACGTGGACAACTTCTGCTGAGACTCCCTGCCTCATCATCCAAGCCTTTCAGAGAAGAAAATTGATGGACATTGATTTCATTTTAAAGGAGTCAATACATTATAATGTAAAAGTAGAAGTGTGTCACGTGATTCTCAGAGATATTTTGGAATATATCTGGTTTAAGAGAGCTAATATTAACAGACACTTGGGTTAAGATGAAAAATCATTGTCAAATGATATTTCTATTACATCCAAAACTGTTTTATAATGACATTCATTCAACTTATTTCAGGACTATGATATTAATTCGTTCATTCATTTATTGAAAAATTGTGTGTTAAGCACTCGTGATACATTAAGCACTGTACTAGGCACTGGAATACAAAGACTGATTATCTTTCACTAACCTCAGGGGCTTACGGTCTAATAGGGGAGAAAGGGAAATAAAGTAACTTTTAAGAAACAGACACTATGTTAGATTCATACAGAGAGATTTAGAGGACAGAAAGGAGGTTTTTAATTAAGACCAGGGTGAGTGTCACCAAGGGCTTCCAAGAGTTGAATCTTGAAGCACTGGCTGAGTAGGTGTGGGTGCATATGTTCGGCACCCTGGTATGGGGTGAGTACTGAGGGAAGGCACACTTTATCTAGAAAAAGAGAATGGCTTGTGTGCAGGGACAAAGGTATTAACAGCAAGTGTTCCTTGTGGATGGAGCACAGGGATCAATGAATTTACAGAAAACTAGGAGTTGCCTGGGAGGGGACACTGGAATATGGGATCTTGGGTTAGGAGTAGGGATGAGAATGTCCCTTGCCCCTGGAGCACAGTGTTCAGAACACAGAGGGTGATTAGGGAGCCCATACTTTGGAGAAAACAAGAAATGAAATGGACACAGGAAGCGGAACATCACACACCGGGGTCTGTCGTGGGGTGGGGGCAGGGGGGAGGGATAGCATTAGGAGACATACCTAATGTAAATGATGAGTTAATGGGTGCAGCACACCAACATGTCACATGTATACCTATGTAACAAATCTGCACGTTGTGCACATGTACCCTAGAACTTAAGGTATAATAATAATTAAAAATGAGTGAGCATGTAGCAGTTGCTGACATTTGGATATTCTCGTTTCTCTTTGACTGCAGCTCTCTGTGCCCTGTTGCAATAAAAAATTCAGTTAATACTGTAAAAAAAAAAAAAAAAGAGAAAAGCTAACAGATCAGATGTCTGAGGAGGCAGCCAGGTAGCATTCAGATCACAGGCAGGGACTAAGAAGAAATCAGGGACCTGTGATGAGAACAGAGGCTCAAAGCTGCAACCAAGCGACGGGGTGTGATATGGAGCTTGGAGGAAATTCCTGAGCAGCCGGAACATCGCTGCAGCAGATTTTTATAGGGCACTTGCAGCCTCCTGAATGGGCAGAAAGAGAGCTGTTAAGGGCACTGATCTGGCTCAGGCAGAGGGCCTTGAACTACACTGACGAGTTTGAACTGTATCCCGAAAGCTTTGGGGAGTCATTGCAGGGTTTTAAGCAGGGCAATGGTGTGATGAGATTTGCGTTTTAAAAAGATCTTGTTGACTGTTGTGTACAAATGGATTGGAAGTTTGTTACTCTGAAGGCACAGAGATCAGGTAGGAGGGTTTCTGCAGATGAAAGAGGATGGGAAGCTGATCTAAGGTGCTGCACTGGAAATGGAGTGGGGAGAAGATGTTTGGGAAGATGTGGAAAGTGGAACAAAGACTCATGAAGAGTAAGAGAAGAGGAGAAATAGCAGAGCCTATGTGTCGTCTAATTTGTCTGAATGAGGGACCTAGTGCCTAGTATAGATAGATGTCTGCCATTGCCTCCCAGGGGAGGTGCAGGGGAGGAGAAAAGCTGATTTCAAAGGTAGAGGTGTTGAATTTGAGGGTCCTGCTGAAAAGCTAGGTGGGGACGATCTGAAATCTGTTGCATAGAGGTCTAAAACTTAAAAAAAAAAATCTGAGGGATAAAGATCTGGAATTCATTATTGTTTAGATGGTAATTGAAACTGATGGATTTGGATGGTGTGTGTAGAGTGAAAAGGGTGGAGCCTTGGTAAACACTGACATTTAGAAGAGAATGGAGGAAAAGGATTCATGACATTGACATATTATGGCCAGAAAGGGAGAAGGGAAGTGACAGTCAGGAGTGATAGGGAAACCACATGAGAAAATAATCTCAGGACAAAGGAAGAGCTGCAGAAGAGCCAAGCATGATAACGAAACTATACACCCGTGCAGGACAAAATAACAATTGTGCAAAGTTTGCCAGACACTTTACATATGGTAGCTCCTCTGATCCTCATGACAACTCCATGGGTTGGATGCTGTTGTTATGCTTGTGTTCCAGATGAGGCTATGGAGGCACAGGAAAGTTAAGTGACCTGTCTCCCATTATAAAATGAATCTTCAAACCAACAAAATCTGACTCCTGAATTCAGACACATTACAACCACCTCTGCCAATGCTGAAGTACGCAAAAAACAAAATATAAGGCTACATTGCAGTGAGCTGAGGAAGGACAGAGGAAGTAGGAAGTAGAAGAAGTGAGTGAATACCTCTCTTAAAAATTTTCATAAGGAAACTAGAAAGGCCCTCATTAGAGGGGAAGCAAAGGTAGGGTGGAGGAGAGATTTTTTTTTAAAGATTGGAAAGACCTGAGATATTTATGCATTGAGTTAATAGAGGGGATAAAGATGTGGATAAATGATAACATGAATCCTTAGAGACAACAGAAGGGGTTAGGATCAAGAATATTGGCACAGACATTAATTTTGAACAAATTTGTATTGAACACAAACTATGTAGTTGGCCCTGTGTAGGTACTGGGGATACAAGGTGTGTAATATATGGCAGTTAACCTCAAAGATCTCAGAGCTGAGCTGGAGGTAGACATTTATAGCATTATATCATATCCTGTTAAGAAAGGGGGTTTGATGGACTGACTTTGAGGGGATGGCAGCAAGACGTTTGGGAGTAAAGCTCATCTCCCACCACCTTAGTCAAGGTTTTGGCTCCAGTTACATTGGTCTCCTTTCAATTTCTGATCATGCCAAAGGCCTTCTAGTCACTTACCTATCCCTTCTCATCCTCAAGCTTCTGTTGTAATGTTACCTCTGCAAAGAGGCCTTCCCTGATCACCTTGTCTAAAGTTATGTTTCCTCATGCTTTATTCTCTCTCCCATCACTCATTGACTTCCTTCAGGACTGTTTTCACAATCTATAATTGTCTTCCTTATTTACCCATTTGTTTATCGTGTATCTGCTCCAGGTGTAAGCTCCATGACAGTAGGGACCATCTAGTGTGTAGATGACACGTGGCTCATTGGTGATTGTCAATACGCTTTTGAGTAAATGAGTGAATACCATAATAGTGTTTGGACGGTCTTTAAAAGTAGCCATTGGCTATGTAAGAGAGATGGAGAGATGATTTTAGGTAAGTGGGAAAGTATGTACAATGTTACAGAAGCATGAGCCAGGATGGAATAGTTAAGAAGCAGTCAGTAGCTTGGCATGTTCATACCATACCATAAAATAACTGAGTGCCAGCGGTAGTGAGGGTAGAGGGGGAAGGGAGAGGTGTTGGCAAAAGAACAGTACATTAGGGCCATATAAGGAAAGGTCTTATATGCTAAGTCAGTGATTCTGCTGACAATGGACAGTCCATTGAGAAACCAAATATTATGGAAATTAGATCTTGAAAATAAATTCTGTATGAATTCAGCTATTAACATTTATGCCTGAATTTTGAATAATTAGAATATATTCCCTTTAGTTTGTCCTCAAAATCTTCCATTGAGTTCTGTCTTGATGTAATTATGATCATACAACACAAACTAGTGACCTAAATCCTTCAACAAAATTTGATTTCTGTGAAAAATCAAGAATTCCTGTTAGTGTGTATTATATGTTTTCTTGTGATCACTGCCTAGTAATTCAGTAGCCAGAGAATAAAGGGCTTCATCATTATATGAAGACATCAATATTCATTAAAACATTTGGGCTGGTCTTTGTAGGTATGGTAATGAAAGTCTGCAAACTTGTTTAGCCAAAGATCAAACAACGTAATTAAATGTTAGTCAGTAATAATAATAACTTCACAAAATGGGAAATGGTAGAAATACAGCACAAAAAGCAAGCAAGCAACATTTCCTGAGAAACCTGTCTTTGTTTTTTTAATTAATTACTAGATTAGGGAAATGACATTTACTGAAGAAAATAACAGATCATTTAATGGAATTGCCAAAGGTCTTTCGAACCTCCAGAGAATTGGAGAAATGAGCTAAATGATCAGAACTAATGTTTGGAGCCAGTACTGTAATACTTGCTAATATTTTTGCTAATTTGATAAGTTATATAAGCTTCTAACCAATATATTGAGAGCAAAGAGAAGACTGTGGTGGGGACAAATACATTTTACAGCACTGTTTGCTGCTTTAGATACCTGAGGTTATTACCATGATGAAAACATTGCCTTGTGGGAACTTTGGTAGGATAGATATCACTAGCCATATGTAAGTAGACAATTTAATTTACCCCATAAATTCTGTCACTTTTTTGGAATAATGTATCACTTTATAAAAATATAATTTAACAATTTACATAATTACTAACTAATCAAAATAAATCAAGAGCACAAGTAGTATCTTTTTAACTTTCTAGCACATTGAATCAATATATTTACTTTAATTCTGTTTTTGAGGTGTATATTCAGCTTAATTCTTTGCACTTGCTTGGAAATGTATAGCTGTTTAAAATCTGTATTCTTGTCCTGGGTCATTTACAAAACCATAGGCATCTACTTGTGCTGAGCTGAATGTGGCAGATACCTTAGCACTTGAGGTGTCTTTACTCTGCATGGTTGAGAAAACTAGATCATCACTACCTGCATACGCCTTCTCGTGTCAGAGTGAAGCTCAAGGAAACTCCTCGCGGTCATTGATCCCTGAAGAACACTTGAAGACAAACCCTATTGGATAAAGGTGGTGGATTTTTAGCTTTTCTTCTTCCACTTCAGGGCTCAGCAAATGATGGCCCCTGGAATAAATCTGATCGGCTGTGTTTTTGTAAATAAAATTTTATTGGCTCACAGCCATACCCTTAAATTTATGGGTGTATTCAATTATGGCTATTTTCATGCTGCAAAGATAGCATTGAATAGTTGCTACATTGCAAAACCTAAAGTATTTTCTATCTAGTCTTTACAGAAAAAATTTGCCTATCCCTTCTCTAGTACAAGATTTTCCTAAATATTTCCATATGACAATAGTTAAAGGGGATTTTAATGGGTGGGACTAATCAAAGGTCGAATAGTTAGGGAAACTGTTTAAGCAAATTTAATTTTTTCCTTACTGCTGGAATTCTCAGAGTGATTAATATATGAATGTATATTTTGACCCTTTTAGAAGGAAATATTGTATTAGTATTTCCCCAAATTACTTGACTATCATCACTTTTATTTGTGGGCTAGGTATGAGATTAGTGATCTTTGAAACACACTTTCAAAAATGCTAAAATACTAAAATACATGTTTTCTTCATGACTTTCTATTTATAAATTCTGCTTTACTGCCTAAGAGGACTGTCAATTCCCTATTTTCTCCATAGTGTAGATATTGCAAGAGTTATTTAACTTAATATCATGTGTACCTTGCTCCTTCTATTTCAATAAGATCCCAGTAAGGATTATTTTGATGTCTGACCTCATTTCGAAAGGGATTTTTTTTTCATTCTTTTGAACAATTTTAAACTTAACTTGAAAAAAAGTGTATATTAAGCAGTTATGTAACTGCATGATTTTTTCCTTCACACCACTGCACTCAGAAAATATTTGGAAGCAAGCTATATAAATTAGCTGGTTTGGAAAATTAAATGTATACCTAGCATCTTCTTCACAGTGGACAGTCTGAATTAATAACTCATCCTTCCTTATATGGAAGTAATTATTTACAAAAGAAGAAATGCACATGGGGAATATAACTGTGTGGTTCTTTCCCCCTTAAGTGCAAGCGTTAACTTATATCAATAAAAAGTAGTGATTGAAGACTGTGTGATGTGTTTCAGTTAAGCCAATAAAAATTTGTGGCTTCTGTTTGTTTTTGTTTTCTTCTGTCATGTTACACATGTCCTCAAAGCAGAGGATATAAAGGTTGAGCATCCCTAATTCAAAAATCCAAAATCTAAAATATTCCAAAATCCAAAACTTTTTGAGTACTGATATAATGTGACACGTGAAAAACTTTATACGTGACCTCATGTGACAGCTTGCAGTCAAAATGAAGCTGTGATATATATTTTCTGCACACACCCAGATTCCCCCACACGAACACACCTACAAAGAATAATAAAATGGCACATGTGTAGGCTGGATGTGCCAAGGACAGGTTCTCCATGATGCCCCGCATAGGGCCAAGACCTGTGTGCATTACTGGCTGTGTTTTTCTACTTCCCTGCTCTGTAGTGTAAAAATATTGTTGAAAATGTCAGAAAGGCCTACAGATACTCCTACGGGTAACAGTGATGAGAAAGAGAGGGAGCATTCCTTACTTTTAATGGCAAAAACTGCAATTACTTTTGCACCAACCTAATATGTTCATCTGTAGCCACAGAAAGTCAAGCTGTTGGTGAAACTGGGTAGTGGTGTAAGTGTGAAACATCTCACAGAAGAGTGTGGTGTTGGAATGACCACCATATGTGACTTGAGGACTTAGAGGGGTTGTGTCCTTGTGTCTTAATAGTAGTAATCTGCATGATCTTCTGCGATCCAGTGTAAAACAATTATGAAACTCCATCATTTAAAATGAGATCAAGATTGTAAAATACAGGGTAATCACATACATTTTTCTATGTGCTAATTCTAGGTCTGTTTCTACCTTTGAGCCACTAGTCTACAAATGTATAATTTAATTTGCTCAGCTTTACCATACCATTAGAATATTTTGATTGAAAGCTAAGTTTTCAATTTATACCAAATTAAATAAAACTATGTTGAAAATCATAGTTTTACTTAATTTTGATTTATAGTGTACGTTGTAGTTGATGGACACTATCAATTTATTTGCATAGTTATTTATTAATATCTATTTCATAAACTGGACTATAATTTCCATGAGGGCAGAGACTATATATTTGTATAGTGTGCTTGGTACACATTAGAATCTCACTAATATTTGTTGAATGATGAATTTCAATAACCTTTTATAAGACTTTTAAAGGATCTAAATAACGTATATATTTAAAATTTATCCTGTACAGGTAAATGTAGCTGTATATATTGCTTTGGTTTTGTAATCATTCTAAATCAGTTGACAATCTATGGCCTGCAGGCAAAAGCTGCCCCATTGCCTGTTTCTGTAAGGCATGGGAGTTAAAAAAATGGGTTTGTTGTTTTTAAATATTGGAAAAAAATTAAAAGAAGAGTCATAGTTCATGATATGTGAAAATTGTAGGACATTCAGATTTCAGTGTTGATAAATAGTTTTATTAGAATACGACCATATTCATTCATTTCTATATAATCTATGGCTGAGTTTGTCCTAAATGGCAGAGTGGCATAGTTACAACAAAGACTGTATGACCCACAGAGCCTAAAATATTGACTATCTGTCCCTTCATAGGAAGTTTGCAGACGCCTGTTCTAAATAAATAAAAAAGACACTATGCAGTTCGAGCTTTTGAAAAAATCAAGATGAATGACTACATACATATTTTAGTCTTCTATTTAACTATAAATTATATTTATATAATTTAGCATCAATCATGACTCTAAAGTTATAAGCTATACAATTTTTAAAACAATATCCCTACAAATGAACCAGTATTAAATATATACATTGCTAAATGTCAAATTAGCTCTTATTTCAAAGCTCTGTGTTTCCAGTTGTTTTCATTTATATACCCTTAAAAATGACTCATATATCTGTGTAGCTATGAGTTTGTATTTTTTTTTTTTGAGAGCAATGGACTTAAAACCTAAATTCTAAATTCAGACTTCTTAGTAGTGTATTCGACTAATTTCAGAAATACTATTTTGTTTGTTCTGTTATATACATTTTCTGTCCTCTCTTTCTCAGCTCTGAAGCTTTAGGTCACTAGCTGCAACAATTTGAAAAAGAAAAAAATCTCTGGAAAATGATGATGATGATAATAATAACCCTTTATATTTTATAGTTTATTATATTCTTCTAAGTTTTTCAAAAGCTTTCATATACATCGTGGAAACCAGCTAAACTTATTTTAAAGCCTTACATGTTTCACTCTTGAAATTAGTATGAGTGCAACTATAATAGAGGTGAAGACATTAATATCCTTACCTTTTTCTAGTCTATTAATTCCCATGCTGATGTCAGAAACTGTTGACATAAATATATAAATAAAAGATGAAAGGTTTTTCCTTAATTTTAGTAGTTGAAAGCAACACTATAGGTAATTGGAATCAGATTTTTAAAAACTTTTGTAAAGAAATTTATCAAATAACATAGGGCGACTTTTTCACTTTTGTTTGGAGTAAATAGGCACATATAAACTATGGTTAAATTAGGCATTTCTGGTAGTTCCAGCTGTACACAATTCTCATTTACTGAGTATTTTTGATAAACACTCCCATAATTTTTTCTCTTCCTAATAGGAACTGTGTTAAATTGGGTATAGGATAAATTTCTATAAAAAAAGAGAATACAAACTAGTGGTTTAAAATGATAGAACTGCTTGTTTCTCTTACAGTAATCCATAGTTAAGTGATCCAACGCTGATAAGGAGATATTGTCATCCTCAACACATAGCTGTTTTCTCTGGGTCCACAGTGGCTGCTCCAGGTGTTACCATCTTCCAGCCAGAAAGAATAAAGGCCTGGGAGCACACACATTATTTTTTAGAGAGAAGGCCTCACCTTGGCATACGTATTGCTTCTGGTCTCATCCTATTATTTAGAATGCAGGCCCATGGCCATACTAAATCTAGGGTATGTAGGCTAAAGCAGAGAGGACGTGTGCAAAGCTTAACTCAGTCCTACTGTCAAAAAAAGAGACAGTAGATATTGATAGATAACTAATAATCTTTATTGTATACATGGTGCTGTCAGTTTTATCTGTCAATGTCTACCTATCTTGATCAATCAATATAAATAGACATAAATATAGACACTTCTCCCTTTTACTAACAGAAAATTTGATTAGATATAAATTTGCTCAGATTGACTTGATTTTCTGATACCAATATCTCTACAATATTGCGCACAAACTGCTGAATATATCTGAACACTTTCCATAGCCATTATGTGACCATTTCTTGACTTCAAACCATTTCTTCTGAAACTGATTTGAATACAGAGCATCCTAAACTACAAAGGATCCATAACTTTACGCCAGCTTTCTGGGCCCTCGGATGTACAAGAGGAAACCTATAGTTTTCAGTTCACTAGGTAAAAAAAAGTAGAATTAGAAATTCTCAAAGCCAAAAAGATTTAAAAAGTGACAGATAATTAAAAAACCCTTACTAATAATATATTGTAAGTGTGGTGTAACAGAAGTCAACACAGCTAATTTGATTATTATGAACAACTTAGCTTGAAATTGAGTTGATAGAGGGATGAGGTTCAATAAAGGGTTAGTGACTGTTAATTCTATGAGGTTTAGTTTCAAATGTTATTTAAAAACTAGCTTGCAAATATTTAGAAAACCTAGGATACTGTACGCCCAATTAACACACATTTTAGGTGGCATTTCAATAAATTTCAAGGATAAACTCAGTAAAACTCATTAATTTCTAAATTTTAAATGATTTGCACCAGCTATGCCTCTTTCTTGGATGAGTAGTTCCTCTAGTAAGTACCCTAATATTAGACTGTCTCTTGAATTTTTAAACGGACTTATTAAAAGAAACGGCTTGAGTGAGAAAAATCATACAATTACAAAGCCATCCTTTCCACTTACTATTAAGCTAACAATGTAAGCTCAATATTTAATGTTATTAACAATGCCCAAAGTCAAAGGTTTGTGATTAAATGAAGGATACAAAAGGACTGCCATATTTAAAACATTTAATTTTTTTAGAAGAATGCAAATCAAAGACCAGAATTAAAGCCCAAGAGAAAATTTTATTTAAGCATATTTGAATTTCTATTGAGTTCCATTTAACCCTGAGGTTTTTTTCTCCCCTTCTGATAAACTTTTGCCCTCTAGCCTGCTGTGAAAAGAACAATGAAGCAGCCACCAATGCTCCCTAAACTCTCTGTAAGTGACTCTTCCTGAGTCATTATCCTTCAGCTTCCATAAGTAGCATGAAAAATCTCCTTTCTACCTCTCCCACTAGGAATCCGGTGCAAAGCATTGCATTTGATGTCTTGTAGAGCGGAAATCAAGAAACACAGGGCCCATCTGTGTCCATCTTGCATGTTGAATGAAAAACATTACCACCATTATAAATTAATGAGAATCTTTTATCTGGCCAGGGCTCTTTCCCCACACAATGTGAGTAACGTGGCAAAGATCTGAGACTTCCATAAAATGGCTGCCCTGAGTCTGGCCTCTTCTAGTGTGAAAGAAGAATGGGAACCTGGAAAATTTTCACTGACTGACTTAGGCCGTGAATCTGCTGCTGGGCTGCAGGAACCTTTGTACTTTAAGTTTTCAGCTTTTCATCAAAAGAAGAAGAAAGGCAAAAAGGGAGAAAAGATTCAAAGCAGCAATTTAAATTTCAGAAGTGAAGAAATTCTGAAAACTATTAATACTGGTTTTCTATCTCTCCCTCTTCTTTTTTGTCAAGTAACCAAACTCTCATTTTCATATGTAGTTTCTCTGCTTCTTTGTCAATTCATTAGCCTGTGAATCCACAGTAGATTTCATCTAGGAATCGGACTTCAAAATCCCAGGAACCTGAGCGATTCTATAAGGTGATAACGCCATTATCCAAATGCTGCATACTGCCTTCTGATAAGCCTGCTGTCTCCTTAGGAAATCCCAAGGCTTTGCTAGTCACTATTGTTTTAGGTTCCTGGAACAGTATTTATTAGCATGTGGAGTCATTCATTACTCGATCAGAATCAGGAGGGTAGGATTCCAAAATAAAAACTGCAGGGGGTATACATACACACACACACCCACACACCCACACCCACACACCCACACACACACATTCCTGCTTTAACCTGCTTACTAGCCAAGGTTCATGCCTTATAGGTGAAATACCTGAATATTTTCTGTGAATGATACTTCCCCACTTAGTCTTATGTCTTCCACTCACCTGCTTGCCTTCTTTTAACTAGCCAAATGGCCACTCCTGACTTTTTCTCTTGTTACTCTCTTTACCTGCTCTGGATAAATCTTTTTCTCCCATTGCAATCAGTTCTTACAATGACTTCCTAATTAACACATAGTAAGTCTCCTCTATAAAAATACGTATTTACTAATTATACACAGGCGCTTTGTCTTATAAGTCTTCAAGGTGGTGAAGGGTTTCTGTTATCTGTCACGTAGAAGACAATAAACTTAATGACAATTGCCACATCACCTGTGGTGTTGCTGTGTCCATCATAAAGAGTTATTTATTCACATTTATGCTATACATTTCTGTGGATAAACTCATGTTTTTCTTTCTGGAAAGAAAAGCACCCATCCTCTCTGGTCTTTCTCTTCCCATTTGCTCTATTTTTCTACTTTCCATCTTCTTCTTTCTCTGATTTCTAATTGAGATAGAAAAGATTAAAAAGCTCTTTGAATAAATCCAGTAATTTATACAGGCATTCCTGCAGGCATTTTCGTCCCTTCAGCAGCGGGTTATGCTAAACATTGATTTACACAAAAGCAACTGTAACTGCATCTGTTACTGTTTTGCATCATAATTTTGGCTCAGAAATTACAGCTTCCATAAAAGTCAATTATTAAATGGCAGAACTCGAAACGATGTTGCTGAATTAGTGATTGTGGTACAGATTGACTTAGTCTTCCAATACCAATACTTCTACCACATAGAGATGCACAGACACCAATGAATATCCCTAACTGTTCTTTATATAAGCTCAATGAAGCAATATCATAAGCAAATATAACCTAACTGGCATTTGGCATAATGTTTTTGTGATCTGTAACTTCCTTGTTGCAGAAGTTTGGTCTCAGCATCATTTTTCTGTGTTGTCTTTTTTAACTTTTGAGGGGTGGATAACCCAAAATTAAATGGCAATGCCCAAGGACAGAAAAACCAAAATGAAAGAGAAAGGAGATTTCTATGTAGCAAATTCTGTAAGTGTGAAAAATGTATCAAATATCTAACTAGATATTCCTGTTGCCCACGCAACAGCCAAGCTCCTTGCACAAAGCCAAGCTCCTTGCACAAAGACAGAGTTTTTGGTTACAAATGTTAGCCTGCTCAGGAATGTCTAGTTAAGGTTGTTAAGCCTAGAAACGAATATCTTGTGAAACTTAAAACACATTGTTTTTCTGGTTGAAAAATCAAACTGAGACTGAATAGTAGTGATTTATCTCATTCTTTAACTGCTAACATGAAACATTGCATTTGAATTTTAAACTTGCTTATAGGAGCTTCTGCATGTTTTTAGCATAGGGAATGGATAGTTTGTATCAAAATAAATAACATTAACACTTGAAAGACAAATAACCAATAAAAATTTTAAACAATTATTAAAATCACAATATTGCATTATTTTAATTAAATAAAAAGTGGTAGATAAAGCAATAATGTGATAACAGAATATTGGTAAAAGTATCGTTTGTAAGTTTCTGGTTTGTGTGAAAATTTAAAAACCCATAAATTTATAATTCATCGTATCGTGGACTCACTTCCAAGTCACTTTTAATTAATGCAAAAGCTACATAAACTAAACAATTCAGAATAGGAATGTAGAATTTTGTTGCAAAATTAAATGTCTCTGTTGTAGGCTAATAAGTTTGCCATCCAATTAGATTAAAAATGAATACTGCATATATAGTACGTATTTATAGACTAATTTCCAAGCAAGAATTTTTAGATAAATTACATAAACATAATTAAAACATACATTGCCCAGAGTATACCTAAGAAAACTAAAATCTATTAAAGTTTTTGAAGTTTTGAAGTCCACTGTATCCCTGGAGAGGAAACTTCATGGTTGAAAATCTTTTAATAAAGTGATAAAAAGGAAATATGTATTCATAATATCTACTTGATATCAGAAACTTTCCAAAAAGAATTTTATTAAACCAAATGGGTAATGAGAGGATCTTTGATAATCATGTGTGTCCTGACTCTTAAAGCAGTCAACGAAAACACATATGAATACAGATGACTGAGATTTAGTCTATTTTAATTGCCATTATTTTCACTTGGTAGAAGGTTAATGTATAATAATCGCATTACCGGGAAATACTGAGAAGTTGGGGACAAACACCTGAAAATTTCCCACTGAATAAACTTCATTTTCTAAGCCAAATATATGAATAAAATGAATTTGGTTGCCCTGGAAGTTTCAGTTAACAAATATTGTTTTCAGAGTCTCAGAAAATGTCTTTTAATTTCCCCTTAACAGATTTTTCTGAAGATACGCAAAAAATTGTAAATACCTAAATTTAAGAAAATATGCATACAGTTAGAAACGTTTGTTGTCTTTATTGAGGGTGATAGATACACACACAAGTGGCATTTTCTTCTCATGGACAAGTGAATGGTGGGGTTGAGTTTTGGAGAGAGAGCTGTTACACTCCACAAATAATTACAGAAGCACAGTGACTAATGATGCTTCTCCCAGATGCACTTTAATTATTTGCTTTGTACCAAGAACCTTGTCCTTGTTTGGAATACAGAGTCACACTTCTATCGACACATGGTCACAGCCAGTATTTCATGAAATCATTGAATGAAAATCACTCTTCAGAAAGTGAAGTTATATTTTATCGCCCTTACTTAATAATATGAAATACCCTTGTAATTAGATACTTTATATTGGTGTAACTTGCATGACATCCTTTTATTTTCAAAAGTTATATTATTTATTTGTGTTAGGTTTCTAAAATGTAAAACATGGAAAGAAATTTTTTCCCCTTTATGATATTCAGCAAAAACATGAGGTTTGGAATCAGATAATCTGAGTTAGTGACTCACAGCTGTCACCCTCCTTATGTGATATTAGACAATCTACGTAGCCTCTAGTCCTGGGGTTTTTTGTCTTTCAAATGAACACATAGGTCTTCTTCACAACACATCTTCACAACCTCATAGGACTGTTGTGAAGAATCAGTGAGGATAAACATGGTAGAATCTTGCAAACTATTAGGTTGGTTCAAAAGTAATTGTTTTTTGCCGTTAAAAGTAATAGGGGCTTCTAAAAGGGGCTGTTTGAAAGTGAACTATTTTAAGTGTCTTGGTTATGGACGTGTGAAAGATTCCCAGCATTTATGGGGAAACATGTTGACTTCTGAGATAAAGATGTGTTGAGAAGGGAGTAGGTGGCTGTGCCAGTTCTGTAACTGGAAATGTGGACTGTGAGCCATGACTTCTGCCTGAGGGGATGACAAATGTGAAAGTAGTAACAGGCAGGAAAAAGGCAAAATATAGTGAGGAGATTTTTTTATGTTGATAGAATATAATTGTCTTGGGAATTATATGTATCTTCCTTCTATATTGTACTCTTATAGAACAGGTACTTATAAAAATGGGCTAAGTTGTGAAGATCTTCTTCTGGATCATCACAACTTAAAAGGGACAGAGGAAAGTTGGAGAGATTTTTAAGGAGGGCCATCAATATAATTACATGATTTGAGTATAGGACCTGTGGGGGAAATGTTCTAGGATTATTCAGTATGCTAAGGACAAGGTTAAATGTAAAAATGTGGGAATGTGTAATACACTAAGGATAAAAGAACATCTGTTTTCTGTGTCTAAGAAAAATCCAAAAGGAACTGGGCTTAAGCTATAAGATAACAAATTTAAATTAGAAACATGAAATAATTTCCTGACAGTGAAGGTTGCTGGGCATACAAAGACTTGCTGGAATCTCCTTTGCACATCTTTGAAAAAGTGTTTTCATTTAAATGGAATGGTGTAGGCTTTGACCTTCCTGAATGTAAGACAATGGGTCAAATAACTTTTAAATAACATTTCTAATTCCCTTGATTGTGAAGCGCTGTGACTCTGGCAAAATAGAGAACTGCGGCAGAAATTGTACAAAATAAAAGGCTTAACTATTTGCATGGAGAAAGAGAATATACATTTGATCCTAGTTATCCTACATGGTATTATTGTACAAAAACTAAGTGATTGCTTGGAACATTCTAGAATATGGAACATATTTCAAAAAAGATTATATAGAAGTCTCCTTGGAAATTCTCTTTTTTGAGAAATTCTCTACTTCTGAACTCTCTCAACCCTGGATTGAGTGTAATAGGATATGCAAAGTGTGGGAAAGACTGTTAGCTTTTCATTAGATACTTCTTATTTTTCCTGTGCTAGATTATCTTTTCCAACCTCCTTTGTTCTGATGTATAGCTCTATGTTTGAGTTGCAGCCAGAGGAACATGAAAGTGGTAGATGTGATGTGTACCATTTCTGGACCAATGCTTTTCAGAAGAACGTATGCCCATTTTCACAGACCATGACTAGGTACTAGGGGATGGCTGAGCCACAGTTGGAAGGAATCTGAGTCCCTGAGTTACTACATGGAGGGTCACCTGCCAATTAGGAACATCTGCCTTAGTTGTTTATGTGAAAAAGAAGCTTTTGTTTTATTTGAATTATTCTGCATTTTTTAGATTTATTTCTTTTGCAGCCTTCTCCAAGACATTGAGTAGCCAAGTCCATATTCTTCTGTTTATTTCTTCTCAGATCTTAGTCAAATACTTTTCTACTTATTTAGATTTCTCTTCTATTAAATGGTGAGAACTATGAATTCACTTTTTTTGGGCCGTATTGGAATGATGGATCATATTGCACCTTGAAAGGTAGTTTTATTTTATTTTTTTTATTTTATTATTATTATTATTATTATACTTTTAAGTTTTAGGGTACATGTGCACATTGTGCAGGTTAGTTACATATGTATACATGTGACATGCTGGTGCGCTGCACCCACTAACTCGTCATCTAGCATTAGGTATATCTCCCAATGCTATCCCTCCCCCTTCCCGCCACCCCACAACAGTCCCCAGAGTGTGATATTCCCCTTCCTGTGTCCATGTGATCTCATTGTTCAATTCCCACCTATGAGTGAGAATATGCGGTGTTTGGTTTTTTGTTCTTGTGATAGTTTACTGAGAATGATGATTTCCAATTTCATCCATGTCCCTACAAAGGACATGAAATCATCATTTTTTATGGCTGCATAGTATTCCATGGTGTATATGTGCCACATTTTCTTAATCCAGTCTATCATTGTTGGACATTTGGGTTGGTTCCAAGTCTTTGCTATCGTGAATAGTGCCGCAATAAACATACGTGTGCATGTGTCTTTATAGCAGCATGATTTATAGTCCTTTGGGTATATACCCAGTAATGGAATGGCTGGGTCAAATGGTATTTCCAGTTCTAGATCCCTGAGGAATCACCACACTGACTTCCACAATGGTTGAACTAGTTTACAGTCCCACCAACAGTGTAAAAGTGTTCCTATTTCTCCACATCCTCTCCAGCACCTGTTGTTTCCTGACTTTTTAATGATTGCCATTCTAACTGGTGTGAGATGGTATCTCAATGTGGTTTTGATTTGCATTTCTCTGATGGCCAGTGATGATGAGCATTTTTTCATGTGTTTTTTGGCTGCATAAATGTCTTCTTTTGAGAAGTGTCTGTTCATGTCCTTTGCCCACTTTTTGATGGGGTTGTTTGTTTTTTTCTTGTAAATTTGTTTGAGTTCATTGTAGATTCTGGATATTAGCCCTTTGTCAGATGAGTAGGTTGTGAAAATTTTCTCCCATTTTGTAGGTTGCCTGTTCACTCTGATGGTAGTTTCTTTTGCTGTACAGAAGCTCTTTAGTTTAATTAGATCCCATTTGTCAATTTTGTCTTTTGTTGCCATTGCTTTTGGTGTTTTAGACATGAAGTCCTTGCCCATGCCTATGTCCTGAATGGTAATGCCTAGGTTTTCTTCTAGGGTTTTTATGGTTTTAGGTCTAACATTTAAGTCTTTAATCCATCTTGAATTGATTTTTGTATAAGGTGTAAGGAAGGGATCCAGTTTCAGCTTTCTACATATGGCTAACCAGTTTTCCCAGCACCATTTATTAAATAGGGAATCCTTTCCCCATTGCTTGTTTTTCTCAGGTTTGTCAAAGATCAGATAGTTGTAGATATGCAGTGTTATTTCTGAGGGCTCTGTTCTGTTCCATTGATCTATATCTCTGTTTTGGTACCAGTACCATGCTGTTTTGGTTACTGTAGCCTTGTAGTATAGTTTGAAGTCAGGTAGTGTGATGCCTCCAGCTTTGTTCTTTTGGCTTAGGATTGACTTGGCGATGCGGGCTCTTTTTTGGTTCCATATGAACTTTAAAGTAGTTTTTTCCAATTCTGTGAAGAAAGTCATTGGTAGCTTGTTGGGGATGGCATTGAATCTGTAAATTAGCTTGGGCAGTATGGCCATTTTCACGATATTGATTCTTCCTACCCATGAGCATGGAATGTTCTTCCATTTGTTTGTATCCTCTTTTATTTCCTTGAGCAGTGGTTTGTAGTTCTCCTTGAAGAGGTCCTTCACATCCCCTGTAAGTTGGATTCCTAGGTATTTTATTCTCTTTGAAGCAATTGTGAATGGGAGTTCACTCATGATTTGGCTCTCTGTTTGTCTGTTGTTGGTGTATAAGAATGCTTGTGATTTTTGTACATTGATTTTGTATCCTGAGACTTTGCTGAAGGTGCTTATCAGCTTAAGGAGATTTTGGGCTGAGACAATGGGGTTTTCTAGATATACAACCATGTCATCTGCAAACAGGGACAATTTGACTTCCTCTTTTCCTAATTGAATACCCTTTATTTCCTTCTCCTGCCTAATTGCCCTGGCCAGAACTTCCAACACTATGTTGAATAGGAGTGGTGAGAGAGGGCATCCCTGTCTTGTGCCAGTTTTCAAAGGGAATGCTTCCAGTTTTTGCCCATTCAGTATGATATTGGCTGTGGGTTTGTCATAGATAGCTCTTATTATTTTGAAATACGTCCCATCAATACGTAATTTATTGAGAGTTTTTAGCATGAAGGGTTGTTGAATTTTGTCAAAGTCTTTTTCTGCATCTATTGAGATAATCATGTGGTTTTTGTCTTTGGCTCTGTTTATAAGCTGGATTACATTTATTGATTTGCGTATATTGAACCAGCCTTGCATCCCAGGGATGAAGCCCACTTGATCATGGTGGGTAAGCTTTTTGATGTGCTGCTGGATTCGGTTTGCCAGTATTTTATTGAGGATTTTTGCATCAATGTTCATCAAGGATATTGGTCTAAAATTCTCTTTTTTGGTTGTGTCTCTGCCCGGCTTTGGTATCAGAATGATGCTGGCCTCATAAAATGAGTTAGGGAGGATTCCCTCTTTTTCTATTGATTGGAATAGTTTCAGAAGGAATGGTACCAGTTCCTCCTTGTAGAGGAGCCTGGTAGAATTCGGCTGTGAATCCATCTGGTCCTGGACTCTTTTTGGTTGGTAAGCTATTGATTATTGCCACAATTTCAGATCCTGTTATTGGTCTATTCAGAGATTCAACTTCTTCCTGGTTTAGTCTTGGGAGGGTGTATGTGTTGAGGAATTTATCCATTTCTTCTAGATTTTCTAGTTTATTTGCGTAGAGGCGTTTGTAGTATTCTCTGATGGTAGTTTGTATTTCTGTGGGATCGGTGGTGATATCCCCTTTATCATTTTTTATTGTGTCTATTTGATTCTTCTCTCTTTTTTTCTTTATTAGTCTTGCTAGCGGTCTATCAATTTTGTTGATCCTTTCAAAAAACCAGCTCCTGGATTCATTAATTTTCTGGAGGGTTTTTTGTGTCTCTATTTCCTTCAGTTCTGCTCTGATTTTAGTTATTTCTTGCCTTCTGCTAGCTTTTGAATGTGTTTTCTCTTGCTTTTCTAGATCTTTTAATTGTGATGTTAGGGTGTCAATTTTGGATCTTTCCTGCTTTCTCTTGTGGACATTTAGTGCTATAAATTTCCCTCTACACACTGCTTTGAATGCGTCCCAGAGATTCTGGTATGTTGTGTCTTTGTTCTCGTTGGTTTCAAAGAACATCTTTATTTCTGCCTTCATTTCGTTATGCACCCAGTAGTCATTCAGGAGCATGTTGTTCAGTTTCCATGTAGTTGAGTGGTTTTGAGTGAGATTCTTAATCCTGAGTTCTAGTTTGATTGCACTGTGGTCTGAGAGATAGTTTGTTATAATTTCTGTTATTTTACATTTGCTGAGGAGAGCTTTACTTCCAAGTATGTGGTCAATTTTGGAATAGGTATGGTGTGGTGCTGAAAAAAATGTATATTCTGTTGATTTGGGGTGGAGAGTTCTGTAGATGTCTATTAGGTCCGCTTGGTGCAGAGCTGAGTTCAATTCCTGGGTATCCTTGTTGACTTTCTGTCTCCTTGATCTGTCTAATGTTGACAGTGGGGTGTTAAAGTCTCCCATTATTAATGTGTGGGAGTCTAAGTCTCTTTGTAGGTCACTCAGGACTTGCTTTATGAATCTGGGTGCTCCTGTATTGGGTGCATATATATTTAGGATAGTTAGCTCTTCTTGTTGAATTGATCCCTTTACCATTATGTAATGGCCTTCTTTGTCTCTTTTGATCTTTGTTGGTTTAAAGTCTGTTTTATCCGAGACTAGGATTGCAACCTCTGCCTTTTTTTGTTTTCCATTTGCTTGGTAGATCTTCCTCTATCCTTTTATTTTGAGCCTATGTGTGTCTCTGCACGTGAGATGGGTTTCCTGAATACAGCACACTGATGGGTCTTGACTCTTTATCCAATTTGCCAGTCTGTGTCTTTTAATTGGAGCATTTAGTCCATTTACATTTAAAGTTAATATTGTTATGTGTGAATTTGATCCTGTCATTATGATGTTAGCTGGTTATTTTGCTCGTTAGTTGATGCAGTTTCTTCCTAGTCTCGATGGTCTTTACATTTTGGCATGATTTTGCAGCGGCTGGTACCGGTTGTTCCTTTCCATATTTTGTGCTTCCTTCAGGAGCTCTTTTAGGGCAGGCCTGGTGGTGACAAAATCTCTCAGCATTTGCTTGTCTGTAAAGTATTTTATTTCTCCTTCACTTATGAAGCTTAGTTTGGCTGGATATGAAATTCTGGGTTGAAAATTATTTTCTTTAAGAATGTTGAATATTGGCCCCCCCCCCTCTTCTGGCTTGTAGGGTTTCTGCCGAGAGATCCACTGTTAGTCTGATGGGCTTCCCTTTGAGGGTAACCCGACCTTTCTCTCTGGCTGCCCTTAACATTTTTTCCTTCATTTCAACTTTGGTGAATCTGACAATTATGTGTCTTGGAGTTGCTCTTCTCGAGGAGTATCTTTGTGGCGTTCTCTGTATTTCCTGAATCTGAATGTTGGCTTGCCTTGCTAGATTGGGGAAGTTCTCCTGGACAACATTCTGCAGCATGCTTTCCAAGTTGGTTCCATTCTCCCCTTCACTTTCAGGTACACCAATCAGATGTAGATTTGGTCTTTTCACATAGTCCCATATTTCTTGGAGGCTTTGCTCATTTCTTTTTATTCTTTTTTCTCTAAATTTCCCTTCTCGCTTCATTTCATTCATTTCATCTTCCATTGCTGATACCCTTTCTTCCAGTTGATCGCATCGGCTCCTGAGGCTTCTGCATTCTTCACATAGTTCTCGAGCCTTGGTTTTCAGTTCCATCAGCTCCTTTAAGCACTTCTCTGTATTGGTTATTCTAGTTATACATTCTTCTAAATTTTTTTCAAAGTTTTCAACTTCTTTGCCTTTGGTTTGAATGTCCTCCCGTAGCTCAAGAGTAATTTGATCGTCTGAAGCCTTCTTCTCTCAGCTCGTCAAAGTCATTCTCCATCCAGCTTTGTTCCGTCGCTGGTGAGGAACTGCGTTCCTTTGGAGGAGGAGAGGCGCTCTGGTTTTTAGTTTCCAGTTTTTCTGTTCAGTTTTTTCCCCATCTTTGTGGTTTTGTCTACTTTTGGTCTTTGATGATGGTGATGTACAGATGGGTTTTTGGTGTGGATGTCCTTTCTGTTTGTTAGTTTTCCTTCTAACAGACAGGACCCTCAGCTGCAGGTCTGTTGGAATACCCTGCCGTGTGAGGTGTCAGTGTGCCCCTGCTGGGGGGTGCCTCCCAGTTAGGCGGCTCGGGGGTCAGGGGTCAGGGACCCACTTGAGGAGGCAGTCTGCCCGTTCTCAGATCTCCAGCTGCGTGCTGGGAGAACCACTGCTCTCTTCAAAGCTGTCAGACAGGGATGTTTAAGTCTGCAGAAGTTACTGCTGTCTTTTTGTTTGTCTGTGCCCTGCCCCCAGAGGTGGAGCCTACAGAGGCAGGCAGGCCTCCTTGAGCTGTGGTGGGCTCCACCCAGTTCGAGCTTCCAGGCTGCTTTGTTTACCTAATCAAGCCTGGGCAATGGCGGGCGCCCCTCCCCCAGCCTCGTTGCCTCCTTGCAGTTTGATCTCAGACTGCTGTGCTAGCAATCAGCGAGACTCCGGGGGCGTAGGAACCTCCGAGCCAGGTGCGGGGTATAATCTCGTGGTGCGCCGTTTTTTAAGCCCGTCGGAAAAGCGCAGTATTCGGGTGGGAGTGACCCGATTTTCCAGGTGCTGTCCGTCACCCCTTTCTTTGACTCGGAAAGGGAAGTCCCTGACCCCTTGCGCTTCCCAAGTGAGGCAATGCCTCGCCCTGCTTCGGCTCGCGCACGGTGCGCGCACCCACTGACCTGGGCCCACTGTCTGGCACTCCCTAGTGAGATGGACCCGGTACCTCAGATGGAAATGCAGAAATCACCCGTCTTCTGCGTCGCTCCGAAAGGTAGTTTTATTATTTAACCTAAAGAGTGAAAATATTTTTCTAGTGGTTGAATAATCATATCAGAATGTACTTGTTACAATATAAAGATTTACAACCCACCCATTTTTACTCTATCTCAAAAAAAGAAAAAAAATCTTTAAAATATAGGAAGATGGCCAAAGATTTACTACATATTTCCAACAATATTTGTTAAAAACGTGGTGTCTTTTTTACTGAGAGGATTTTCTTCAGTATGATTAATGAATCACATATCAGAAAGCTGGATTTAAATTCCACCTTAGTTTGGGCAGCTATAACAAAATACCTTAGCCCAGGTAATTTATAAACAACAGACATTTGTTGTTTCTCATAATTCGAGAGGCTGGCAAGTTCACGAGTAAAGCGTCAGCAGATTTGGTGTCTGCTGATAGCCTGCTCTCTGCTTCAAAGATGGCGTCTTGTTGTCTTCACATGGTACAAGACCCAAACAAGTTCCCCTAGACCACTTATAAGGGCACTAATTCCATTCCTGTAGGTGGGGCCCTCACTACCTAATCACCTTCCAAAGTTCTACCTCTTAATATTACTACATTGAGGATTAAGTTTCAACATACAAATTTTGGGGGAACACAAAGGTTCAGACTACGGCATATCTGTAAACAAGAATTTTTACATTTTATTCTTTTCTGCCAGGAGCCAGTACAGCTAATACTTTTACAAAGAAAATTCTATGTGCATAATATTTTTTACTATGTTTCTCTGAAATAGAAATATAAACTAAAAGATGTATAATGAACTTTCTAATTATTTTTCCTGTTTATGGACATTGGAAGTCACAAATATGTAGAAATATTTGTATGCTAATTAGTGAAATAGATTACTCAGAATGTATCTTCCGTGTCCTATTCTGGAGGATTTTGAAGACTGGTATAGAAATTTAATAAATGTTAGTCTACATCTAGTTTCACAAGGTATGAAAACTTGTCTTAATATTACAGGACATAATAAACAATCTCTTACTCTCCTCTGGCCCCTAGCTCTATTTGAAACCAAATCATTCATTCATTTAGAGGTAATATTGTGTGTTATTAGGAGCTTGGGCTCTGGAGCTAGAATACCTGAGTTTACATCTGGCTCTGCTATTTACTGACTATGGGACCTAAGGCATTTCAGTTTCTCTCTTTTCTCAGTCCTTTCAGCTTTCAAACTGAGGCCTATTATAATAGTATCTACATTACATAGTTTTGTGTAGAGCACAGTTTAGGGCCTGGTACACAGTAAAGAGCCAATAAATCATACCTATTTGATATATTTTTATTGATAATCTGCTATAATAAAAACTATAATACATTAAATTCACTATATGTCAGACTATGTAGTCAACATCAAGTTATCTCATTAAATTCTAACAACTCCTCTGTGAAGTAGGTATTATTATGTTATTGGCACAGATGAAGTAAAAAACTCTGAGAGATTAAGTGACTTGCCCAAAGTCACAGAGTTAGCAAATGGTAAAGCCAGGATTTAAAACCATGTCCACTAAATTTCGAAGAATTGTGTGTTGGCTGACAGAGGTAGGTGCAAAGATAAAAATGATAAATTAATTAAAGATTAAAGATAAAAATAATATATTTCTTCTTCTAGAGAAGAAATCAGTTTAGTCAAGGTATAGATATTAAAAAGTATATTCTTGCTAAGTGTTAAAATGATGGTATATAAAATAATAAAATGATAGGCTGTGGGAAGAAACCTGGTGTGTTTTTCCATTGCAATTATTATAAAGCACTGTATTTTCCTGACATTGATTGGTTGGAAATTGTTGCTCATGAGATGATTGTTGAGGCTTAATTATTGACTAGTCTCCTTTGTGCTCTTTGATACCACTTCACACACTTCACACACACACCGCTCCCCTACCCCTGCCAGTTATCTCATGGGCAGGTGTCTTGGGTGCAGAAGATCAATACAGGCATCTTTGGGTAGAACTGAGCAAGGGCATCACTGCTATTTGAAAAGCCACTTAATGTGGACATGTAGGTCAACAGTGGAATACTCAGTTGCACATAGCCTTGTCCATTATGACCCAAATTTGATGTATCTTTGGTGGGACTCTACATTGCGACTTAACTAGATTCTAGATAAAGGTGACATTTGGAGTTCTCTATTTACACACTTTTGTTTATGCACAATCTATAACTTCCCATCACTTAATTTGATTTCTTTCCTGCAGTTGAGCTAAAATAATTCAGTCATTTATTCAGGTAATTTATTTGGAGAGATGAGAGGAGGTAGTGACATTAGACAATCATAGAATTATAAAATTAGAAGAGACTTTGGGAATTGTCTAATCCAGTGTCCTCAGTATACTAGTGAGGAAACTGAAATTTAGAGAGCCAATGGCTTGATCTGGGCCACTGTCGGCTGTGTGCAGACTTTCCTCTTGTGCACCAGAGCTGGGCCTGGTTCTGACTCCAACCAGGCTCTGTGCTTGGTCTGTTACCACTGGAAAAATTAGATACTAATGAGAGAAACTGCTTTAAGGGAAGAGAAGGAAGACACTAAAGAGAAGCTGTAATGAAGTTTCAGAATGTCAAAGCTAAGAGGAATCTTAGAGATTACCTTTTCTACCTGTCTCATTTATAGAGGATGAAATTCAGTGCCAGACATGTTGAGTGGCTTTTGAGGCCATACGGAACTGGGGCTAGAATTTGGTTCTTTATTACAAATAATTCCTTCATTATACGAGAGCCACAGTAGGTAAATTTACTGAGAATATATTTTATGACAGGCATTGTGCTAATGCATGTATTATGTTATATAATATATGTTATCTTATATAGCATTTAAAGGCTGGCTCTACTTTACAGCTGAGTAAACTGAGGCCCAGAGAATTCAAGTAACTTTCTTAACATCACATAACGAACATAACAACAGAACCAGGATTCCAGTGTGGGCCATATCAAGAACTTGAAGTGTCTGAAATTTCCATCTTCTTGAAAGCTAACAAGTCAGCCTGCTATAGTTTCATGCATGCTGGCAGAATACCCGAGACTCTTGCGTCAGAGACACAAGACTTTATTATTACTCATATTAATAATAGTGGTCATAGTGTCAGCAGTTTCCTGAGCCCCAGTTCTTATAGAACTGTGGGAAGAGGGCTGGGGGTCACCTGCACATGCAGTGAGGTGTGCTTCATGAGAGGAACCCTGAGTTCAAGAGACACAGATCTTTATAGTGGGCAGTAAGTATGGGGGCTTTTTGTTCCGGAGGGAGACACTGTATCTTCCGTAGCTGTTTGCTATTTAAACTTTCTTGAAAAGACAGTTTGGAACAAAAGCAGTCAGTGCCACTGCTTGCAAGACATGCAGAAACATGAAAGACTCATGGAGAATTGCCTCCCAACATACTTTGACTGTAAAACTCATATTATCAACCACTAACGCACTGGCTCAGTAGCGGTGCAGCTGGCAGGAAGACGTGATGTTGTAATGGTTTGCTGTTGAAATGGAAGCATTTCAATAATACAGATTTCTGCCATTGAAATGCCCATTGGTAGTCAGCCCATTGCATCCTGAGAGAGGTGCATATAAAGCCACAGATGTATAATTGGGGCTGATTTTCTAAAACATTTCCTGTCTTTAGGCATTTTTCTCCCTTATGTAAAAGCTTACTTGAAGGAAGGAAGAAGTAGAGGAGAGAAGAGACTCAAAGTGCCGTTTGAAGAGAACAGGGTCTCCAGGCTTTATACAGTCATTGACTGCCAGTCTTCACAGGTTGATGCTGGTGTTGCACAGGTCTGTTCACAATACAAAAGGAGGGTAGCTGCTAAGGTGGAAGGAGCAGGGCCTTTGATGTTTGGTCTCCTGAATTTGAATACATTCTGCTTCTTTACTGCTGTCCTTGCATAAATTTCACCGCCATCTCTGGAGGTTTCATTAGTTCTAAGGTGAGAGTGACTCTTGGCAACTCGTAGTACATGCCCTGACAAATAATAAGCCCTGACAAATAGTTATTATGACTAAAAGTAGTAGAAATCTGCCACACATAAAAGTAATACTGGAAGACACTTTAATACACAACACCCCATAAGAAATATCACTTTGAGCTAAAAGACAATGCAAGGAGGAATTTTAAATTGACAAAGTGAATTTTTATTATTTAAAAATGTAGAAGTAATCTGTTAATGCCACTGCCTTTAAATCCCAGAATGAAACTCAACTGGCTTCATTTATGCATTCCAAAAAAAGGGAACCCTTTTGTTAAGCCTCACTTAGTCCATCTTAAAGCACCTTTCAGTCAAAGAACAGCTTCTCATTAAGGGAAAAATGGTTATTAACATCCTCATTTTGCTTCCTCTCGTGAATTATTTGCATTCAGAAATGTGCATGGCATTAGTTTCAGGGTAAAGGCAAATATGACAGCGGGATTTCGCACCAAGCTCTTTTTTATTATTAGCTCTTTTTATGTACTCCATTTATTATTCCCTCATCATTTTTCACATTGTATTAAAATGTTAGATTTCTTAAAATAATAATATTTCTTTCATTCGGTAATTGTCTCAGCCCTGTCTACAACAGTCTACATCATAGAGTGCCCATGTATAATTTGGAATGGCTTGTAATGACTGTTCATTTTTGCTTAGGGGAGGCCCAGGAATTAGCTATCATGTAACTGAATCCCCTCTCTCCCACCGAGAAAGTGATTAGTACAGGTGAGGTTCATGAGCTCACAAAAGAGGGCAGTGGTGTGAGGAAGGCTTCTGCTGTGAGAGCTGCCAGTATATTTACAGTCTGGGGCTAGAAGAGAAATTAAGATTTTTTTTCTTCCCTCAGCTTTGAACAGTGTCCATCTTCAATGCTTTTTAAAGACAATGGCCTCATACCATATTTTTCTCTTGATGTTGTGAAGTTGTTGTGTGAGAAATGTTTGTTTGCTGCATCCAACGTTCTCCTTACAAGGAGTGAAGGAATTGGGAATCTAAGGATTCTTATTCAGAGGGTAGTGGGCACAGCCTGGCTGAAGTGGAATCAGGGAATCAGGGACATAATTCCCACGAGGGTCTGCCTTGACAAACTGGTTATAATTACTTTGTTTTTCTCTGGTCATAAAAAAAAAGGTAATAGATCTGACTAATAAAACCAAGCTAATAAAATCATTTGATCATTTTGATTCACTGCACTTCACTATACCAAGCTTCCCTGTTGACTCACAAATTGTTGCTGTCTAGTCTTTTTACATTTTTTTTTTTTTTGGATGTCACTTAATGTCTTTTGTTCTCTCCCCTTGTTACTATCCATCATTTCTCTTCTTCCCTTCAGGGAGCAAGGGAATGATCAATGACCAAGGCTCAAAGCAAGCTATCCAGCAGATCATATAATCATGTCTATATGGTGTATTATGCAACATGTAGATACTTCGATGAGGCTTTTACAGTGGGATCTGCTTCTTAGTGCATTATGAACTATAGGATGTAGCAACTAGCTTTCATACCTTTGTTGTGTGCTATGTAAATTTTTCCTTTCTAGAGTATGAGATGGGAGACAACTGACTTCACCATGACCTGGAAGATAGGAGCAGGAGCAAGCTTCTGACTCAGGGTTCAGTGGGTACCGGTCTGGGCTTAGACACACTCTTTCATATATCTTATGCTGTCTATGTTGCCTCAATTTTATTAAAAGTCAGGTAGTGAGTAGTGGGTCAGCATAGATCAACTTTGTTTTGTGGGTGGGAAAAGAGGGATAAAGAATTTCTCACAACTTCCAATGGGCTGCTGAGTAACACACACCATTTAGCCTAAAGCAGATAGCACTAATTGTGAGCAGTTACTATATGCCTGACACTTGCTAAGTGCCATACACACATTTCACTACATTTTTACAACAGTGCTGTGAGGTAGTTCCTATGTTACCAGCTTTTATAGAAAAAGGAAGTTTAACGTCAAAGAAAGTAATTAGAACTTCTCAACATAGAATGCCTAAAATATTATATCCTGTTGCCCACTGAGGAAAGTGGATGAGGATGTCTGGCATTAGGGGCAACTGACCAAAGGTCCCAATCAAGCCAATCTCTGGGCAAACCTGTAACCCACAGCACAGCCATGTGCATTATGATGGTGGTTTCAAGCTACCATTGTTGATGATTTTTCCTTCTTTTTTTTTTTTGGAAGGCTATTTATATTACTGCTTTCTGGAATCATCAGTTCATATACTTGTCCTGTTTTCATCCTTTGAAAAAAAAATTGTCTTTTCCTTATTGATTTGCAAAACTGACTTAGATATGGAGAGGTGGGCAAGTCTCGGGCGCTGGACTCAAACTTCCTGGGTTAATGTACTGGCACTGTTCATGCACTGCTCATGGTAATGTTCTGTCACTTGCTAACTGTGGCAACTGTCAAGTTACTTAACCACCTTTGCCTCAGTGAAATGACAATTATAACAGAACCCACCCCTTGTGGTTCTTATGAAACAGTACCCATGAGCTATTGAGAACACTGCCTGTTACACAGGAAGCACTCATAAATGTTAATCATTATGTCATGGATACTAGCACTTTGTTACATACACTGCAAATATTTTTCCAATATGTCTCCTTCTTGTCAACTTTGTGAGGTTTTTGATATATATTTAACTTTTGATGATAAATGACTTTAAAACAAACTCACAAAAGTTAAAAGTAAATAACTTGTTTAAGGGGAAAGAGGATGCTAGAGGCTGGGAAGGGTAGGAGGAAGGAAAGGATAGGTCTAGATTTCAAAATTACAGCTAGATAGGAGGGAGAGGGTTTATTGTTCAATAGCACTATAGGATGACTGTAGTAAACAATCATATATTATATAGTTTCAAATAGCTAGAAGGAGGACATTGAATGTTCCTAACACAAAGAAATGATTAATGCTTGAGATGATGAATATGCTAATTACACTGATATAATCACTGATGTGGTTTGGCCGTGTGCCCACCCAAATCTCATCTTGAATTGTAGTTCTCATAATCCCCATGTGTTGTGGGAGGGACCTGGTGGGAGGTAATTTAATCGTGGACGTGGTTATCCTTATGCTGGTCTCGTGATAGTGCGTAAATTCTCATGAATCTGATGGTTTTATAAGGGGCTTTTCCCCCTTTTGCTTGGCATTTCTCCTTGCTGCCGCCATGTGAAGAAGGACATGTTTGCTTCCCCTTCTGCCATGATTGTAAGTTTCCTGAGGCCTCCCTAGCTATGTTGAACTGTGAGTTAATTAAACCTCTTTCCTTTATAAATTACCCAGTCTCAGATATGTCTTTATAGGCAGCATGAGAATGGACTAATATGATCACTATACATTGTATGTATGTATGTACTTATGCTCCCCATAAGTATGTACAATTATGTGTCAATTAGAAATCAAAAATTTTTTAAAAAGTTTGTTTAAAAGAGGTACGCATAGTTAATAGCAGTGATAAAATACATATGTAGAAGAAGACACCCACAACTATTCTGATAACACTTTATTTTATTCTTTTATCTATTTATCCCAATGATTTCCTACAATAGAAGAAAGCAAATAATCTATGTTATATTTACTAGTTAATTTCTTCAGGCTTTTCCCCCTACCCTTGTTCATCTTTTGGCAGTCTGAAATGGAGAAAGCATTTTCATCATCTCTAAGGAACTGCAGGGCTCGGGGATGCTTGAGTTTGATGCCCTTCCTGTACAGCACCGCACTATCACTGTAATGCACTCAGAGTCATCATTCAAAACCTTGGCCAATTGAATTAGGAACTCTGGAGCATAGGGGTTACAGCAACGATTTAATTGCCATCCAGGCAGCCACCCAGGGGGACTGGACTACTAGGTTGAGAGATGGTGCCACCATTGAAGGATGGTCCCTATATCAGTGTTATGTGTATTACGTGAATGACAGGCTAATACAATTCCTCGTCCACAGAGAGCTGGTAAGAAAAATGCACTCCAAATGGAACCAGTAAGAATCGTTGTAAGTCAGAAGATAAATTGCCATGACTTTTTTTAACCTAAAGTAATGGTCTCTTTCTGATTTTTATATTTTTTTCTTGGAAGGATAACCACCCATTAAAAAATATAAGCTTGACAGAGTCTTGCTGTTCTTTTATAAACCATATTAGATATGATAATTTTCCTACTTGGTTTATCTACTGTACGACCAGCTATAACTTTATCAAAGGAAAAGTCGAAAGGTACAGATTTTTTTAAAAAAGAAGAAATCAACAATGAAAAGCATAAATATCTCACATACTTCAGATCTCTGAAAGTAGTGATCATGTTGGCTTGAATCTTGGTAAAATAGGTTATTGTTTAGAGAACCCAGCGAACTTAGAAAGGTTCATATCACACCAGTGTTCAGCAAGGTACACATGATTTGTATTATTATTATACATGTCAATAAAGAAAACTATATGTGCCAAAATTTTACATGACAATAAAGAAAATTACAACACTGGTACAATTTTTAAACATGTTCAGAATAACCAAATGTGTTCTATCAACAAACACAGTTAATCAGCGTTTGGATGTTCTCAATTCTTTAGGTGATTCCAGCATCCGTTGATCAAACTCCAGGCCAAAAACTCCTTCAAGCCATGGGTCTGCCAGAAAGGAACTGGCAAAGGTTTCCCCACTTTGCTACAGCCTGGCTGGGGACCAGTGTGAAAATCTATATAGATGAACATACAAATAAATCTACCATCCATATTAAAAAGAGGGATCTATCATCAGCTTAATTTTGGTCCCTAGGTGATGCCTGTCTTAAACTTGTTATGATAATGTGGCTGGCGTTGAGGAGAATATTTGGCTAATGGTGCATTAAAATATAGTCACTCATATATTAAGAAGTTAAGGGAATATTATAATTATTGAGATAACTCAATAAGCATCTGTCTGGATTGGTACTAATGTGTGCTAGTGTGTGCACATGTAAGTTAAATATAAACAGATCCTTCATCCTCTAAAAGCTTTATAAGAGTGGCATATGCATGAACAGACTGACATACACAAATGCCAACACCAACCAAAGCAGTAAATTGAACCAAATATTTGCATGATGTACAATTGCTTGTACAATGCTTGAAAGATGAAATTTGAAACATGAAATTTGTCTATCAGAATATTTGCTCTTGAGAGAGAAATTATCTCATTAATTCCAGTTACTCATGGAAATTTTTTAATAAGATAGTCCTCCATAAAATATGTCTCTATATTTTAAGGGGCATCTGGATGATAGATGCTCAGTAAATTTTTGCAGAGGGAAGGAAAGAAAGATAAGTTACGTTTGGAAAGAAAGTCTCAGGTTTGTGTGGCGAGAAGATTTAGAACCTACAAAACGTAGACAATTTGATTGAGGGTTCTTGGAAAATATCTTTGTTAAACAAAACAGACAAAAAACAGGCAAATAAGTAGAACCTTAGAGAGAGGAGAGATGAAATGGAAATTTAATTATAGTTTAATGCTTCTCAGATTTTTATAACATTTTCCTGCTTATGTTTGGCAAACATAATAATGATTGATTAATTGTATCAGATGAAACGATAACAATAGAGCCGCTTGTCCTGTTTTTAAAGTTTTTTTGTTTGTTTGTTTGTTTGTTTCCCAACTTCTATTCCCACTTGTTGGGAAAGGTGGAACTCTTTTGCTCAGGATGGTATAAGACTGATGTGGAGACCTTTGGCTCTCTCTGTCTGATGTCATGACTATGGAAAAAACTATTGAAAAGGTTTTTCTGATACGAAGTGAGAACCATTAATTTTCTCTCATTAGATTTTGATGTGTAAGACCTTAGTTTCAAACCAGTGGGCTTCTGCACTGCCAGGTGGGGGTAGTGTGTGTTTCAGTAGGGCTGTGTTCAAAAGAAAGTGTGGCCAATCATAATGCCAGGGTTGTCTTGATTATGATGTTGAGATATTCAACCTGGCCAGACAATAAGGCCTACAGTGACAGCCCTACATTGTTTGGGCAGGGACCCTTCCAACCCTCCAGAAGCGGCATAGTCAGAAAAGAAGTGGAGAAAACCACCATAACTACTTTGAAGAAAAAAAGAAGGAAATCACAAAAGAAGCCCATGACCGGGGAATCTGATTACAAAGAAATGAATAAAAACCAAAATTCCCATTTCTCAAAGTGGGCATTTGAAAATCATACATTTTATGATCTGAGTTTTCCCTTTCTGCCAGCTAGTGGGTTTGGTTTTCAGTATTCTGAAAGGAACTGAAGTGTAGTAAGTGGCAAGCCATTCCCCACCCACAGAAGCATGCAACCTGCTCTAATAAAGATAGCAGGGTCTTTGGAATCAGGTCCAAGTTTAAATTCTAGCTTTGTTCTTTACCTGTTATGTGATTTTCGACAAGTTAGTTAACCTTTTGGAGTCTCACTGTCCTTTCCTGTAAAATGGAGATAATGGGATCTATTCAACAGGATTATTGCAAGGATTTGATGCTATAAAGTCACCTAGCATTACTGCCTGTGAAATGTTAGTTTTCCTGCTAATGAAGAAAGTGGGGAGTAAAGAGAACCTATTTCTGAGAGAGAACCCATTAAAAAGTTTCCATGCATTTTTGTAGTTTCAGTAATGTAGTGATGCTCAGTAATAAACCAAATCTGAAAATTTAGCCAAAGGATAGAATTATGATGTTGTACAAATATTTATCTAAAAGAATGTTACTTGTAGGTTTGTTCATAATGGAGAAAATTAGAAATCATCTACATGTTCAACATGGGATTGCTTAAACAGATTATAGCAAGTGTACTTGATATAATACTAAGCAGCCATTAAAAAAGTCTTGGAGCTGGATATGTAAAGTTATGGAAAATGTTTACAGTGTTGCACTGAAAAAAAAAAAAAAACTGCCAAATCGAGTTACTAGAGGATTCTGGTTTTAAAATAGAAAATTATGTAAGTATTATTAAAGCACATATTAAAACTTTGTCTCCTTGGGGTAATATTGTGGGTGATTTAGTTTATGTCTTTGGTTAATTTTGGTATTTCATGATTTTCAACAGTAGTCAGAATTAATTTTGTAATGGAAATGTACTTTAAAAATTATTCTTAGGATTACATTTTAATAGAACAATTGGTTGGTGACACAGTTTTCACAATCACAGGGTCAAAAGATAAAAAATAGTGGAATAAATATTAGATGAATTATTTTTCTGCATCTGTCTCAATAACACAGGTGAATCTGTATGGTTGATGATGCTTATCAATGTCTGGTTTATTTCTGATTTTTAGATACTTTAATGTTATTTCTATATTAATATTTTGTCTTTATATTATAGATTATGAGGGTGTGATATTTTATATTATATATATAAATTATTTATTTATTTTTATTTTTAGAGACAGGCTCTCACTCTATTGACCAGGCTAGAGAGCAATGGTGAAATCACAGGTCACTGCAGTCTTGAACTCTGGGCTCAAGAGAGCTTCCCACCTCAGCTTCCCCAGAAGCTAGGACTATAGATGCTTGCCACCACACCCAGCTAATTTTTAATTTTTTTGTAAAGACAGGGTCTCACTGTGTTGCCCAGGCTGGTCTCAAACTCCTGGCTTCAAGTGATCCTCCTGCCTTGGCCCCCAAAGTGCTGGGATTATTGGTGTGAGCCACTGCATTCGGGCTTTTATGTTTTAAAATATGATATAATATGATACCTTCAACAACCAGAAGCATTTTAGTTTATATTATAATTAGCTCCTTTAAAATGATCAAGATAAAAAGTTTAGGTAGAGCACTTGGTTTTCATCTGGTCGTTTTTATAGAGAGACGTTTTGGTTTTTGACTGAGCATGTTAAGACAATAGATATTGCTTTTAATTAGAAAACTAAATAAATGTTGAAATTTAATTCACTGAAAAATAATAGTGGTTTAAAAAATGCACTACTCTATGCATTCGTTTATTTATTATTTCACCAATTATGCCTTTCTTCTATTCAAATATAGTTGGAGTTTGAAATAAAAATGTGTAATATGGCATTTACAATATGGTTCTAAATATAATAAAATAATCTAGGAACAACAACGTTCCTACTGTTCTTCAGTCTCATTTTAGACTACACAAATCACAAATCTAAAAAAAAAAGAACTAGCTATGCATTTGCTTAAAATAGATTCCATAGATAGTTTATAATAGGCCTTTGTTGTAAGGAAAATAATCCAATCGTTCCATTAGGATAGTTAATAATTTTGGAGAATTTAGGGAATCAAATTTTATTTTAATGAAAGTTATAAGATCTCTGTTTAATTTGAATCTGGAGTTAGCTGATATATAGTATTTTTTTTTTTTTTTTTGGTATCACGAGGTTAATATGGCAGATACTTTGCCAAGACAAGTTGTCTTCACAAGCTTTTGCATCAACTATTTTTAGTTATTTATTTTCTAGGCAATCTCATGATTTATTTCTGCAAAATCACTTTTATTAATTATGAAGTAGATCTGATTTGTCCACTTGGGAGAGTAAAAATATATGAACCTTTTGAAATTCAGTACATTGATGTATGCCTTAAGAGTAAAGACAGTTAGGCTGGGCGCGGTGGCTCACGCCTGTAAACCCAGCACTTTGGGAGGCTGAGGCAGGTGCATCACCTGAGGTTGGGAGTTTGAGACCAGCCTGACCAATATGGAGAAACCCCATCTCTTCTAAAAATACAAAATTAGCCGGGTGTGATGGCACCTGCCTGTAATCCCGCCTGTAATCCCAGCTAGCTGGGAGGCTGAGGCAGGAGAATCGCTTGAACTTGGGAGGTGGAGGTTGTGGTGAGCCGAGATTGTGCCATTGCACTCCAGCCTGGGCAATAAGAGCGAAACTCTGTCTCAAAAAAAAAAAAAAAAAAAAAAAAAAAGTAAAGACGATTAGGGATTAAGAATGCACAGAATGTGAACGTAGCTTCCTATTGTCTTACCACATCATCCTTTGATAAAGGATACAAAAACAGAATTCCTGGGTGACGTAACTCTAAGACTGCAATTGACTTCAGTGGTCATAAATGTCTTGTGCTGATATCAGGTTTTAGTGAACTATTAAATATATTTTAAAATTTATTAAGTTCCTGCTTTATATCCACATAATATTGTATCATGTAATCCATTATATCATATAATGTGATCTCATACTATTAGATACTTACATATTTTCTATTAAGCATTTTTAATGACTGCATAATATTTCTGTGTTTGAATAAAGTATGATTTACTTAACCATTTATTATGTTTAATATTAAGGTTTTGTTGAACATTTTATTGACAAATATGATACTCTGATGAACACATTTAACCTCAGTCTTTGTCTATGTCTGATGATTGCTATGTCAGATTTTTAAATATGTATATAAATGTGTTTAAATACATTGTCAGGATCTAAATTGATTTCTTGCAATGAGGCATGACTAACATGAGTGCCATTGAGTGCCAGCCATATGTTAGCACTGTTCTAGGGGCAGGACATCATTTATACTGATGCCACTGAAATGGCTCTTGTCAAGGTCACTGTGAACCTATAAGTTGCAAAATCAAATGGTCAATTTTCATCTTTTTTTTTGATGGATTCATTAATGGCATTTGACACAATTACTTAACTATGAGGTTGGTGCAAAAGTAATTGCAGTTTTTGCTTGCAGTTTTTGGTATTACTTTTAATGCAAACACCGCAATTACCTTTGCACCAACCTAATAATTAAAGACATATTGTTTTCTTCATATCTGAGATACTGTTCTTTCTTGGTTCACCTTTCACTTAATTGACTGCTCTTTCTTTGCTTATCTTCATTTTCCTGACCTGCACATCTTAGAGTGACCCAAGCTCACCTCTCAAATTTCTCTTCTTTGTGGTAGTCACAACCTAGATGGTCTCTTGTCTACCCATAGCTTTACATTCCATCTGTTCCCTGATAAGAGCCAAATTTATTTATCAATCCCTGACTTTTCCCTAAACTCTGAAGTAAGAAGCACAACCATCAACATGGCCTTGCCCCTTAATATCTAATAGCCATTTCAAACTTAACATGTCCAGAACTGAACTATTGATTTTGTGCTCTCCTACTAGCAAAACAAACAAATAAATAAACCGGACTCTGAAGTTGTTCCCTTCCTCCTTCAATAAATGGCAACTCCAGTCACATAATTTCTCTGTTCAAAACCTTGGGGCCACCGTATCTTTTATTCAACAAATAATAAATGAGTGGCCCCAGGCTCTATGTAGGTGCTGGGGATCCATCGGGGGACATATACATACATACATAATCGTAATGGAGTTTACATTCTAGTGAACTTGATTTTTGTCTCTTTGTCTCCATCATTCCATCAGCAAATTCTGTTGATTCAGAATTCATAATATTCAAGTTTCATAATATATGTGAATCCGGCCACTTTCCATAATCTCTGCCGTTTTCCATCCAGTCAAGACATCATCTTTTTCTTGGACTGTTGCATTAGTCTTCTAACTGGTCTTCTTTGCTCCTGTCTTTGCTCTAGTAAAGTTTTTTTCAATACAACACTCAGAGTGATCCTTTTAAAACTGATGACAGATTATGTCACTCTTCAATTTAAAATCCTTCCCTGTAATAAAGAAAGAACAAAAGAAAGGAAGGAAGGAAGGAAGAAAGAAAGAAAGAAAGAAAGAAAGAAAGAAAGAAAGAAAGAAAGGAAGGAAGGAAGAAAGGAAGGAAGGAAGAAAGGAAGAAAGGAAGAAAGGAAGAAAGAAAGAAACATCCTTCCCAGTTAAAAATGAAACACAAAGTCCTTGCCATGAACTTCTAGACCTACAGTAGGAACTCAAGAGATATGAGGGTTGAAGGGCTGGATAAGAGAGTGAAAGGATGTAATTTACAGACCTATGTAGAGACCACCTGAAAAATAACAATTTCAAAGCCCAAATCAGGCTTATTATTATGGTTGTCTATGGTGGAGGTGGTGGATTGTACTAACAGAGCTCTGAATATTTGATTGAAAAATAGTCAATCAAGTTTTTGATATGAAGACCAATCTGGTTAGACATGGCCATGACTGCTCCAGGAAGAGGAAAGAATCCTAAACTCAATCTTTTCAATAGGAAGGAGATTGAGTTGACATAAAGGCTTTACTCTTAGCCTTTTACTATTCTCTTTTATGTGGCATTAAAGAGCTATAAATTCAGATACTCAAGTTATGATTCAATCTATCCATATAAAATTCTTGATTTATTTGAATCATATGTATCTATTGCCCAGTGGTTATGCATATCAGTCACTCTGCACCCACCTCATCTGTTATCGTTAACAGAAACTGGTTGACCAAGCTTGGCAAGGTACCCAGACTTTAATCCATAAGTGGAAACAAGGAAAAAAAATCAATTCTTTTTGGTTAACATGTGTGAAATTAAAACACTTCTAGTTTAAACACTGCCTGGGCTAAAAGAACTAAGTTTGCCTATCATTTAAAAAATAGAAACATTTGTTACAACTTTCCTGTTAATGTGTTGGTCAGTAGCAAATTTCACTTAGTGGAATGCAATATTAATTTTAGTAGCTAGCTCAGTGGCTTGCCTTACAAAGGGGCTATTTGCTGCTTTCTTTCTTTTAAAAAATGGGAGCAATTATTTGTGCTTATGAGAGCGATGGGAGCAACCACACACTAAAAATAGAAATTATGAAATTAGCCACAGGCAAATTACAGAGCAGGGACAAGTTCACGAACGTTTCCTCTGACTGGCCTGCTGCTGACCTCCCTCTTGAAGTGGACAGGCTATTTACTTGAATGGATGACATATTGGGGAACCTCCTTTACTAACCTGGTTCCGTGTCTCTCTAGCTCAAAATGCCAATTGAGGGCTTAGTTTGATGCTGCATTTTGGTTCCAGAGACAAATCTGTTAGAGCCATAGCTGAGAGTAGAAAATACATTATGTCAGAGCCACCTGTTAAATTTGAGCCATAACCTTTGGACTGGGTGACAGTTTTGTGGTTTTTAATTCTACTTTCATGTCTTTGAACTTTAAGCTGCTTCTGTGAAAAGTCACCCTTAATTGATATATTTAATGCAAGAAAATGTTTTGAATCAAAGTGTTCTTTGTTATTACTACCCAAAATACATATATCCATCCCCCAAACATAGTCAATTAAAAAAATCTGATTCATCTTTGGAGAAGAGAAAGAGAAAGAGAAAAAAAAAATATGTCAGTGGGGAAAGGCTCTAAACAAAATCACATTTAGTGATCAGATTCTCTGTTTTCTAGGCTGCTGTTGCCAAGACATCTGTGATTATTATCCTTTTTGTATCAGGTTGAATACACAGAAGCAAACAGAGCTTGTACTTAGCAAAATGAAATATAAGAATCGTTTGGGTGTAGGTGTAAAGGAAGTGATAGAGTTCAGAGGAACAGATGTTCTAAGAGTTATTAAAACTTTGCAAAATGAAATTTCATATCCTATCTCTAATTACTGCATTGCTCTTCTTGGAATCTGATGAGTCAAACCTGTTAAAATTCTTGAAGAGAGTGAAGGGAAATGGCATGGAAAGGCCAAAGCAACTTTCAGCCACTGACAACTTTCAACCTAAGACATGTTGACTCTCTCCAGCTAATCATCCACAAGGCCACAGCACTGCCCACATAAATGCCAGAAAAGAGCACTTTTAGCTGCATGTTTTGCATTTTTTAAGTATGTTATTAGAATTTCTCTCAAAACCCCCTGCTATATCACTGTGCTCAAAATAACTGCTCTTTGATTTGCTCAACTTTGTGTTTGCAATACTCTAAAACTCAGATTCCATTTTGTTTTGCAATGCCAAGTTATCTAAGCATGCATTTCTTTCCATACAAAATTAGGCTTTCTGCACTCACAGATTGGAAGCTAAAGGCTTCATATTTATTATCTTTAAGGTGCTGTGTTAATGAAAGAATTTTAATCATTGACATTGCTCTGTGAATTATGTATTACAAAAACCCCTGCTGGTGAGTTAGACAAAATTAACCTACTGTAAGGGGCATTAAAAAAAAATCACAGCTAATTAGTAAGCCAACAGGAACAAAGAGAATGTAAAACAAAGATGTTGAGAACAAGACATTGAGGTAGGAACTGCTGTCTTCTTTTCAGATGTGGCTCCTTCTTTCATGTGGGCTACATTTGTAATACTGCCTGCCATTGCTGGAATCTTCCTCCAATCTGATATGTTCCATTAGACTTGAGCATTTTTATGTTTTGTAATTAGTTTTCTAAGCTATAGTCTCTTCACTCTTTCAAACTGTGGAAATCCAAAGGCTCATAATAGAAAATGGAAGATATTTTTAAATGCTTTAAAATTATTTCCCAAGCGATATATATTAGAGACGTAAGGCAATTCACAAGGATTATAATGGGAAATGATTTCTATCGCTTTTTTTTTTCCCTTGAATCACTCTGTATGCTTATCATATATCCTGTATCCATTCCTGTATTTTAAAGGAGCAAAACTTTGTCCAGGCTCCCTTCCTGATGGAGTTCCATGTGGAGCGGACAAAGGCAGGCATGGGTTTAAATCACAGGCCACTTGCCTCCTTAGCATTTCCTCCAGCCGACATCCAAGGGCTATGCATCACTCTGCTGGTGCAGGGGCTGGGAGGAGACAATTGACCCTGAGAGGCTGCCAGAGAGGTGCTCATGCTGGTCCCCATTTGTTTATAATTGCTCTTTCTAAGTTATAGGTGGAGATAAAGCAACCAAAATGGGACAAGCAGAGGCAAGAGACGACAATAATGTCTCTCTCAATTTTTCCCTGCTCAACAGAGGCCCCAAGCATTAAAAAGGATAAGACAGTTCTTTGACCTTTTGTTTTCTTCTGCATGATTTCCTTTATTTTATTTTTTTTCATGTTAAATATTCTCCCTTACCTAACAATAACCAAGACTATTGTGTTTCTGATGAGAACCTGATTTGTTGGTTTTTAGAGAAAGACTCATTAATCTTTCCTCTTTCATCCTGCTAGCTTACTGTCAGAGTAACCTCCAACTCTTGGGTGATTTAAAATAAAAGCAAACTGAGTAATTTTTTACAAGTCTTGCCTTTTTTAGGCAAAAGAAAATGGTCAAAGAATCCATAGCAAGGAAAGGATTCATATTTTAGAAGGGACTTAAATCTCAGAAGGATACAGAAAGGCAGCAATAGGATGTGAGCACTTCATGTGGGAATTTGGGCCCCCGTCGCATTCAACTTTGAGTAGCAGGCATCTCTTTCATGTCATTCTTCACTGCTTTTGCTGGGCTTAGAGACCTTAAAGAATGTTCCATGTTTCAATTCAGATGAGTTTCTTTTTTATTACAAGATCAGTGAAAACAGGTTGGAATCCTGTAAAAAGTTTGAATGTTCTTGAGTCTAAGAGTTCTCTTCCCTTGCTTTCTACTTTCCTCACCATGATAAGAAGAGAAAGGCCCAGGAACCTACCTTTCTCTCCTACAGCCTCTCCACCACCATCTCTTGGAACCATTATGCTCCTGTTCCTATTAACGTCAGTCAACACAGGAGCCCCCAGGTCCCAGGTCTCCTTTTTTACCCTGTTTCTACCACACTCTAGTCCCCACAGAGCTTATCCATACCTTTCCTTCAAACACCTGACATCCTTCCAATGGGACTTCTGTTCCATTATAAGTAAAATATCCTGTATTCTTGACTTTATCTTTAAATATTCCCTGCATTGTTGCATTAGAATCGGAATCTAGTGCTCGTCTGGGACTTACATCCTGATATCCCTCTCGGGTGGTAATTTCTGTGGCCTCCCCACAGCTTCTGCCCACCAGCTGGAGGTGGAGTGGCTGCTCTGGCTTCTCTTGCCGCTTCCAGAGCAGTCTCTTTCCCCCACTCTAAGAAAACCCAAGCTTCATCTCAGTCTGTCAGCTGGCCCCATTGTTGCTGACATCTACTGATGTCTGGATGGTTTTCCTTCTTTGTTTGAGGACTTTTGCTCCTGGTTCATGGCCACTCTGTTCAGGATTACCTCTGACTTCATGACTTCATTCGTGGTAATTTCAATATGGCAGAGTTGATCTAACACCTGGCCCCTCAGTTCCTTGACCTTCTCTCTGCTAAGAATCCTTATGTTCCCCTTACTTTTGTCCCTTCTTTCTGAGATCACATGCTTAGAACTACATCCAATCATTATCAATCACAGCATCTCCCCAGAATCTGAATTTCCTGCCGCATGTTCTCTGAACACTGCTTCCTCTCCTAGATAGAGTTCCAGGCCTTTCTCTCTCTCTCTTTCTCTGTCTCTCTTTTCCCATCCTAAATGATCTTTAGGTACCACTGTGACATCTAATCTATTGGGAGGATTACTTTACACTTTCCTCACCAACCCAATGTTCTTGACAACCAAATATTATAATTATGCCTTGCAGACACCCTAACCCCACCCCACTCTTGCTCTGTGGTATTCACTTGAGAAAACCAAAATCTTGATTGTATCCAACTCTTTGCCTTCTTTACGCCTGAAACTAGACAGATGTATATGATTAGAAACAAACACAAAATCACATAGTATGATTTCATTTCATGCTCATAACCAAGAACAGAAAAGTAGGCTTTGCCTGCTGCTGAGTAGTAGTAGTATATGTTTTTAGTGCATTCACTCCCCTACTTTCCTGGGCAGTTTACAAATTCTCCTCTTCTGTTTAATCTCATGCATAATGTATTATAAAATATTAGACTCTTGGACAGTTTATTAATATACTATACTCTTTAAAGGTTTCCTGAGAGCTCCACCACCTTATAGCTGTGTGATCTTGGACAAGTTGTTTAACTTCTCTGTACTGCAACTTGCTCATCTATAAGATGAATATATTATACTTATATCATTGGATTTTTATAAGGGTTAATTGAAATAATATCTATAAAGTCCTGAGGATACCACTCGATACATAGTTGGGACCCAATATATATTAAATTATTACTACATTTACTTTTTTGAATCAGGAATTCCATTTTCCTGCTTCTATAAACTCCTACTCATCTTCAAAGCCCAGGAAATAAATTTTCCCTTCTAATGAATTTGTCCTGCCATGTATCTTACTATAGCATCCTGTGCAGGTCTATTGCAGAAGTCATTACATTGCATTGTAATTGTTTCTTATACATCTGGCTCCTCAGCTGTAGTATCTTGTCCTTGATAACCCTCCATATGTCTTGTTTAAAGTTGCCTCTTGGGTGGATCGCTTGAACCCAGGAGTTTGAGACCAGCCTGGGCAACATGGTGAAACCCTGTCTTTACAAAAAAATACAAAAGTTAAAATGGCATGGTGGTGCATGCCTGTAATCCCAGCTACCCAGGAGGCTGAGAGGTGAGAGGATGTCCTGAGCCTGAGAAGTTGAGGCTGCAATGAGCCATGATTATGCTACTGCACTCAAGCCTGGGCAACAGAGTGAGACCTTGTCTTAAAAAAAAAAGAAGAAAAAAGGCAAGGTGTGGTGGCTCATTCCTATAATCTCAGAATTTTGGGAGGCCAAGGTGGGTGGATCACTTGAGGTCTGGAGACCAAGGCCAGCCCGACCAACATGGTGAAATCCCGTCTTTACTAAATATACATATATATATATATGTGTGTGTGTGTGTGTGTGTGTTTGTGTATATATATATGTGTGTGTATATATATAAATTAGCCAGGCATGGTGGCGCATGCCTGTAGTCCCAGCTACTCAGGAGGTTGAGGCAGGAAAATCATTTTAACCCGGGAGACAGAGGTTGCAGTAAGCCAAGATGTGGCCACTGCACTCCAGCCTGGGCAACAGTGCGAGACTCCGTCTCAAGAAGAATAAATAAATAAAAAATAAATAAAAATAAAGTTGCCTCTGAATCATTTAGCTTAGTGACTGACAAAAAAATATGCTAGTGGTGTGAATAAAATAGTTAATAAGTTAGTATTTTTGGTAAAATGTGATACCTCTCATGTTTAGAAAAATTGCCAAAAATTATTCTCAAATAACAAATTACTTTTGTTAAGAATTACTTGAAAACAAAGACAATGGTAGAATTTGAATACTGCTTAATGTCCATACATATAAAAATTACATCTAATTAGTCCAGATAGTTTAATGGATATTATCAGTTGTATATGTAGCCCATTATCAGGGCTGACGCTAGACCTAGGATCTTAAACACCACCCCAGATATGGTTTGGCTCTGTGTCCCCACCCAAATCTTATGTTGAATTGTAATCCCCATGTGTCAGGGGAGGGACCTGGTGGGAGGTGATTGGATCATGAGGACAGGATTTCCCCATGCTATTCTTATAGTAGTAAGTGAGTTCTCACGAGATCTGATCATTTAAAAGTGTGGCACTTTCCCTCACTCTCTCTGTCTCTCTCCTGCTTTGCCATGGTAAGACATGCTTGCTTCTTCTTCCACCACAATTGTAAGTTTCCTGAGGCCTCCCCAGACTGTGGAACTGTGAGTCAATTAAACCTCTTTTCTTTATAAATTACCCAGTCTCAGGTAGTTCTTTATAGCAGTGTGAGAATGAACTACTACAACCTCACTTTCCATCACAAGGCCCTGTCAGACTAGCCCAGTCTTAGGTCTGTGTGCGTTGAGATGCCTTTCAGAGTTCATGGTTTATTCTGCCATGGATTTGACAGAAAAATGTATGAATTGCTTCCCCACATAAGCTCAACTTCAGACTTCAGTGTGAAAGGCTTCCATCTATCTGCCCCTTGGGGGGTTCTATGGTACTCTTTCCTTGAAAAACTCACTTTCACAGTTGCCCAGGATCATAAGATGCTGGAAAATTAAAGATTTGATTTGAGACTGGCTGGGAAAAGGACTATCTTGCTGCTATTGTTTTTGATGCATTTGTCCTACAAATTTTTATCTTTACCTCTTCAAGAAGATTACTTAACAGAAAACATATAAGCAGATATTATTGTATGGATTTTACTGGTGAAATGTGAAAAATGAGGAGTAGGTTGCTTATCCTCGTGTAAAAGTGAGCCATCCTCAGGTCTGGGAATCGTTCTACAGCCTTAACACACTTTCCCTTGCTGTTTGAGTTTCCATTACTGGGGCTTGACTCATATAAGAAAGAGCTACTATTTCAAGTTTATGTTTGGACATATCACTTTTCTAAGAGAAGGTGGGAGAACAATGAACAAACTGTCTGTGGATGTTGTCGCTACTTATGAACAGTTTTGCTGAGGGCATTACAAGGTGCGAAGAACTGTCAGCTGAAAAAAGATCTATTGGTTCTCTGGCTTTCTAGCATCTGGGAAAGAACCGAGAGGCCAGTTGAAACCTCATACGATCCAAAATTATGTTGGATTATTCATGGTTAGCTCATTCCCCCTCCTTTTTTGAGTGGAGAACTCCTACAGGGGCCTTTCCCCACTCTCTCTCTACATTCAGCCTAATGGGTCATCTAAAACTCTCTTAGGGCACTTCCTCAAGAATTACACAAAGAAATATTATGCATGTAAAAATGCTAGAAGGGAACCATACAAATATCTGCATTCATTTTGTAACTTAAATATCCAGAGAAAGCCTCTTTATAGATTTGAGTCTTCAGGTAAGGCTGATTGTTGTCCTTACGGTTGATTAGTTAATCTGTTATAAAATAGTAAAAACAGGCAAAGTACAAGGAATTATTTAACAAGGCAGTCCTTTGGTACTTGTAGACTACTATCTTCTTCCTTGGAACTGCAGTATCTGTGCAATGAACTACAGGATAACAAAAGATCCTTAACAACAGAAATCCAGGGCTGTGAAGCACAGACCTCAGGCCAGTTGTCTTTCTACTAATAATGAGAATAATATTATTAGTAGCCATCATTAACTACCAACTGATTTCTAAGTGCCAGCTGCTGTGCTAAACAATTAAATACACATATTTATCTTGTTTTATACTTCTAAGAACCCTGTGAGCTTGTTCTATTATTACCACTTTACAGAAGTGGCAATTAAAACTCACAGAGGTGGCCAGGTACGTTGGCTCACGCCTGTAATCCCAGCCCTTTGGGAGGCTGAGGCAGGCGGATCCCGAGGTCAGGAGTTTGAGACCAGCCTGGCTAACATGGTGAAACTTCGTCTCTACTAAAGTTACAAAAAATTAGCCGAGCATGGTGGCGAGCGCCTGTAATCCCAGCTACTCGGGAGGCTGAGGCAGGAGAACCGCATGAATCCGGGAGGAGGAGGTTGCAGTGAGCTGAGATTGCACCACTGCACTCCAGCCTGGGCGACAGGGTGAGACTCTGTCTCAAAAAAACAAACAAAAACAACCACAAAAAAAAAAAAAACCCAAAAAACAAACTTCACCGAGGCTCTTGCCGTGGGCTGGCAAGGATCACTTGCTAAACTCACTCAGAAAGTAAGGAAGTGGGATGACTCAAAAGCCTGTGTTTACTTCATCCTCTTTTATTCCTACTTCTCAAATCTGCAGATTACAAATCTTTCCCCAAAGCTACACGTTAGATGTGCTTCACAGCCAAGAAATAGACTTGGAAAGCCCAAATAACAGGTACAGTCATGATTACGTCAGTTTTAAAGTCAGCAAACATTTGAACTGAACAAGTAAGTATGGATTGCATTCTAATCCCAAGCTCAGTAATATGTTAAACTCTAGATGAGAATAAGTGCTTGCAGTTGAAGAAGCTTGAGCTTCTCAGTCCTCTGCCGAAGAGCAAAGAATTCAGCCCCCTTACCATCTCCCACCACCCACAAGCATGTTTTCTGTCACCAAAGTCCTAAGCATTCATTTGGGTAGGGAGATTATGTGCTCCAGTTTGCCCTGGGTAGTAGTGGGTTATACCCATTGTTCTAGTGTATTCTTAATAAGCACCCACTAGCACTCTCAAAAGTGTCCTGGTTTGGACATTAACTGGTAATGAACTTTCCCCATGCATTATCTTGTCCCTGGAAAACCGTTTGGGAAGGAGCATGAGAAAAATAAGAGAGAAACTAAAAAAGTTTCTTCAACACATGGAGTCACTGGACAGTCTACACTCTGAATCCTCTTCCACCCCCTTGATATGTTATCCTGGGGGTTGGCTTTTTTAGCTGGTAAGTGTGTGGGCCACAGGAAATTGTGTACTTTTTGGCTTTCAAGCTCTGTTGGGGAGAGATATTTCTTAAGGTGAGGTCTTTTGATTACATGAATTTCAAGGCACAGTTTCTGATGAACCACTCAGGCCTCAAAATCAATGCCAAACCCCTTTCTGAATTGAAACTTTGGTAGCATCTGTGCTCTTAGAAACAAGCAAGCAACTAGACATTCCACCACTTCTGCACAGCAGCTGACACCACAGCTGGGAGCACGCATCCTGCCTTGGCCTCCTGTGCTGGGCACTGGTGTCAGATGGAAACAGTTGTGGGGCTTTCTAGGCACCTTCCTCCTTCCCTTCCCCAGTTTTAAAACCCTGAGAGAGTCTGAAGGGAATGAACAACTTATTTGTCAATTTTAATGAGCACGGGATTTTCATATATAAAAATGACCGAATGAATTAAAATTTAATTTAGTTTGTGAAATTCAAAAATAGCTGTGGTGCTACCGGAATGCCACCTTTACTGGAGGCTTTAGGTTGAAATATCAGGATTCTGTTTGCAGTCTGGGTGAATGTTTTGAACTGTAACTAAGTCACCTCTGTGACTGTCTTAATGTGTTTTCATAAAGCCTGGCAAAATTATATAAATAAAACATCTTCAGATTTTCATCTTTGCTCAGCTGTGTTGCAAAGGGGTCATTGGCCCCCACTGCAAGCGCTATGGAAAAACACAGCTTAGCTGACAAATTAGTGGTATTTGGTGCTAATATTACTAATTCACCATTTGGAAGCGTTGCTCACTGGGAAAAAATAACATGTTCTATAAGACACAGGAGAAACTAGGGAGATAGTTAATGGGTGTTGGCTCCTCTGCACATCTCACTCACAATCCTCTTCAAACGGCTGCTGACTTCCTGCCAATAGACATGGAAGTAATTGTCAACAAGATTTATTGTTACTTTCACATTTACACAGTGAGAGAGGAGAGGTTGAAAGAGTTCTGTGAAGTTCAGTACCGACTTCTACTGAACCATAGCAACGCACCCTGATTATCGCTAATGTGTGCTACAGAAAGGATTTTGCATCATTTGAGGCTTTAAAGTCATTCTTCTTGTCAGGAGCAAATTCCCCCACCGTCCTCAGTAATTTTTCCTAAGATCAATGAGCTGAGTGTCGGTTTGTTTTTTTCCACAGCGAAACGGTTGTTTTGCACGTGGTGAAGCAGAATTCTTCAGTGACAGAACTAGGAGTCGGATTTAGAGTGTGACCAACTAATCCCAGCCTGTGGAACTAACAGAAAACCTAACTTCAGAAAGAGAAGGCAGCTATTACAGAGTTTTCAAAGGGAAAGGTTTTGCTTGCTAATTTAGAAAACATCAGTGAAGGAATGTACTTGGTTAGAGAATATTCAAGAGCTTCTATAGTAATAGATTTTTTTCCATTTCAGTTCTATTGTTGGGATACCTGGTTTGTACAGATTTATGAAAGATTTTTTTTCTCTCTTCAAATGGCACCTAGATCTGCAGGAGTAAAATTAAGATGATGAGGTTGCAATCTTCTGCTATTTAGATACATTTTTCTAACAGTGAGGAACTGGTACGAGTGTCAAGAAATATTTTAGCAGACTGTAGGCTTCTCAAACCATGCATACAATTAAACCCACACACACCACTAAGGCACACAGAAGATTATCTCTTCCTTGAATTTCAGGACGGCATTTCCAGGCACAAGAAGCACCTGTTGGTGGCATTTCTCCCTGTAATGAAGGCCATCTGGATAGGAGACAAAAGTAGGGCGTGAGGACTCTGGTAAGTGGAGAGAGAGCCCCTGGTACTGACTGAAGCAGCAACTGCTCTGAGAACTCTTAACAACTGTGGGGAAACAAATACATTGGACAAGGAGTCATTTATCTAAGCAGTATTTACACAGGCAGCAGGAATCTGAAAAGGAATGGATTTAGATTATGAAATCTTTTTTGTTCCCTATGCAAAAAATAGGCATGATTCAGGAAATCTGAAACCTTGTGACATTCTTCCTTGTCACTTGAACATTTACCATGGTGATGGTTTTCATACCATCGAGCGCTTATCCCTTGATTATTTTTTAGCAAGGGAGGAGAATAGATAAAAAGAACCTATAATTTTAAATGCCACCTTTCAAAATTTAGCTACAAGTGGGGCAGTAGCTGTGTTGACGAATAATGCTAGTCATGGTGGATGTCAGAGCAGAACATAGCACTTGCTGTACTGAAATGACGAAGTGGCCCATTCAGCTTTGTATTTTGCATCTTAGAGTGGCACAAAGCATTTCCTGGAAGGCCATGGTGGCTTTGCATGGTATGAACCTTCAAGCAACATGGATATAAACCTCTTTGAGGATTAGTCATCAGAAATTCATGAGCGCTTTTGTCTTTTTTATACATGTTTTGCTTTCAGACCTCAGTACTTTTACTAGAAGATAATCATTAATTTATTTAACAAATATTTACTAAGTATCTACTCTGTGCCAAGTACATTGCTCTAGGCACTGAGGATCCAGCAGGGAGGAGAACCACACAGAACAGGAGATAAATATCTGCTCTCTCCTTAGGTTCATATTCCAAAGAAAAGATCATCATCGCAAAAATATTAAAATGAATGGCAATAAGTGAGCCATGGGGAAAGTAAAACAAGAAAGGAAGTATTTGGGGTGTGTGGAGAGGAGGATTTCAGTCTCAAATTGGGTGGCCAGAGACAGCCTTATCAAAGGTGGCATTTGACGGCTGGGCGTGGTGGCTCACAACTGTAATCCCAGTACTTTAGGAGGCTAAGGGTGGCGGATCGCTTGAGGTCAGGAGTTTGAGACCAATCTGGCCAACATGGCGAAACCTCGTCTCTACCAAAAAAAAAAAAAAAAAAAAAAAAAAGAAATAGCTGAGCATAGTGGTGCGTGCCTGTAGTCCCAGCTACTTGGGAGGCTGAGACAGGAGAATCACTTGAACCCAGGAGGCGGAGGTTGCAGTGAGCAAAGATTGCGCCACCGCACTCCAGCCTGGGCGACAGAGTGAGACTCCGTCTCAATAAATAAATAAATAAATAAATAAATAAATAAATAAATAAATAAATAAAATAAAATAAAAACAAAGGTGGCATTTGAGTAAAGCCCAAAGGAAAGTGAGGAGTAAGCCATGTAGGAGAAGAAGGTTCCAGGTTGAGTGAAGAGGGGGTGCAAAGGCCTGGGCTGGCCTGGTACTTCAAGGAACAGCAAGGAGGCTGCTGTGCTGCGGAGATGGTGGGAGAGTGACAGTAGATTATAGCAGAGATAACTGGAGGCCTGATTGTGTAGCATCTTGCTGGCCATTTTAAGGACTTTAGTTTTTCCTCTCAGAGTAGGATGGGAAATCACTGGAAGGCTTTAAGAAAAGAAATGACTTGTTTGAAACAATTTGCTGGCTGTGTTGGGAAAACTTCATAGGCAGGCAAGACTGGAAGTAGAACAGCCAATTCATGTATGACATTGCCTTTGGACTTTTAGCTGTACCATTGGCTCTCCTGGGTCTCCAATTGCCAGCCCACTGCAAGGGCAGATTTTGGACTCCCTAGCTTCTATAATTGTACAAACCAATTCCTTATATGAAATCTCATATTTTTATATCAATAAAGTAGGTGTGTTTCTATCTATCTATCTATCTATCTATCTATCTATCTATCTATCTATCATCTATCTATCTGCTGCTACTGAAATAATGCAGGCAAGAGAGAATACTGGTTCAGATTCAAATGTTAGCAGTGGAGGTGGTGAAAAGTGGTAGGATTATGAGAATATTTTAAAGGGAATGGGCCAAGGAGATTTGTTGATTTATTGGATATGGAGTATGTATAGTGAATTGTCCTTAAATAATCCTTTTGCAGCTTCTAGGACTAGACACACAAACTTTTGCATTTGTTAGAGAAGCCCCAGTTCACCTCACCTACAGTTTTCTTGGTTTTTAAAACTTTGATCATATTTTTCACCAAGACTTTGCTAGACAGAAGACTGAATACTATTCTCATACAGTAACCTTCTGCCTGCTCTCCTCTTGACCTCCTCCAAGTTCATTAGGGTGACCTAATTTAGGTGAGTGCAGTGCTCCACATAAGTTATACTGTGTCTTGATGTGCAAATCAATATGACATTTATCCAGAAAAATGTATTACTATTCCACCCTCCTTATTCCATGTTCCCTCTTCCCTGTAATGTCATGAACAAGGTATCTAAATATAATATTGATGAGTCAATCCCAGTACTGAATGCACTTTATTTACTTACCTGGATAATGTGACTACTTCTGGTCAGCAGGATTCTTTCAATAATTCTGGTAATGGTAATTTTAAATAATATTTAACAAGTCTTATTTGTAGCAAGGGACTATTTTGAGCACATTATACTTATTTTCTCATTTAATCTTCACAGCCATTCTCTGAAGTAGGCACTAATAAGGAACTGAGTTTTAGAGAAACTACCTGTCTTCCTTAAGGTCATATAACTAGTAAGTTTCAGCTGGGACCTACAACTAATTATTTGGCATCGTTGTTGTATACATTTTACGTGTCAACTTGGAGGCTTGTTTTCATGAGATTAACGTTTAAATCAGTGAACTCTGAGTAAGTACATTACCCTCCATAATGTAGGTGAGCCTCATCTAATCAGTTGAAGGCCTGAATAGAACAAAAGACAGGCCTCTTGAAACAAGAAAGAATTCTTCAGCACATTGCCTTTGGGCTTTTATCTGTACCATTGACTCTCCTGGGTCTCCACTTGCCAGCCCACTGCAAGTGCAGATTTTGGACTCCCTAGCTTCTATAATTGTACAAACCAATTCCTTACACTAAATTTTATATTTTTATATTAATAAAGTAGGTATCTATCTATCCATCTATCTATCTATCTATCTTCTATCTAAATGCACACGTACTCAAACATCCTATTGGTTCTGTTGTATGGAGACCCCTGACTAATACATTTGGAGTTTAAAAAAAAAATCTTATTGAAGAAGACTTATCTTCTGAAGTGCAGTCATCATTAGAAATTCAGTTTAAGGCTCTTTAAGACTAAAGGCATTTAATCGGTTACATCCTGAGATATAGAATTTCTGCTCACATAAGAACAATATCTGCCTCCTCTCCATCACTATTGTTTCTATGCTAATTTGGGTTCCAAATGACCAAGCTGTGACACTAGTGTTACACCATTTCAATCCTACCTAATAATAACCACCCTGCATATCTCTACTGCATGAATTAAAAGCAACTCTTTCATTGTATCTTTCTGCTTAATGACCTATAATGGGTATGTTTTTTATTAAGTTGATAGAACACCTTATAATAGTCTTTTTTTTGAGGAATAATGAAAGCACGGTTAATTCATCGTTCTGAAAGTGTTGCTTGGTGCTCCAACTTAGAAAACTCAAGGAACGATTTCTAATTGCTATTGGATATAAAACTAAAAAAAATCTTTTTACAAAGTTTTTAGATGAGAAAACACTAAAACAAAACTAAACCTTACTTCCTGGAAACAAATGAACCTTTCCTCAGCATCTAGGTGAAGTTTCCAGGATATTGTTGCATCCTGCCAACCATTTCTTTAAAAAAAAGTTGCTAGTCTAGATTTTCAAGGCAGATTCCTTTCGGAGGTGCCAATACTGGGTATTCTCAATAGAGATCAGCAGTGTGTATTGGAATAAAAATATTGGTAGAGAAACTAGGAGAAAACGGTAAGATTCTGTATTGTTTTAAAAAGATTACATTATAATTACTATTTTCTTTGTATAATTACAGAAGGATAAAAAAGACATTTTTCTTAATTCCAGGTTCAGTTCATTTAAAAAAGGTCAGTGAAATCAGTTAAACCTATGAGTAAATTAAACAACATTTACCAAATATATAATGAGTAAATGTAATTTACTAAAACAAAGTAAAACAAATATCATAGTCTTGAGGTTGATAATATATAACCTTTCAGCTTAAGAAGTCAGAATTTCATAAGAAAATTGTCATATAAATGCACTAATTTGAATTTAATTTCATAATGGCAAGACATAGATTAAGTATAAAACTGATTAAAAAAAAGGACTTTGAACCCAAACTAGCTATTAATTATGGCCTTATGGTCTTGAGGTCTCAGACTGGCATGCATTTATTCTACAGTCTTCCTTTTCTTTCTTATGTGTTTATTTTAAGACAGGGTCTCATTCTGTTACCTGGGCTTGAGTGCGATAGTGCAATCATAGCTCGCTGCAGCCTTGAACTATTGGGCTGAAGCAATCCTTCCACCTTTTATATCAGGCAGAGTAAGATGCAGAGGAGAAAGCAAGGAGTATGTAAACAAATGACTTGGGTTTATTTCTTTGCTTTGTAATTTCTCCTTAACTTACTACATGTTTAACCTTTGTCCACTTAACCTGCCTGAGCCTTTTTTTTCATATGTAAGGGCTGCTGGGATAATTAAATAAGATAATTTATGTTGTGATAAAGTAGCAGGCAAAATGCAAAGATTCAAGAATGATTTGGTCTGCAAAATTGTGGGCATTACTATAAAGCAAGCATCAGCAAACCACAGTCTGGGGGCCAAATTTGGCCCACTACCTGTTTGCAAATAAAGTTTTATTGACACACAGCCACACCCTTTAACTTATTTATTGTCTAAGGCCGTTGTCACACTGTAAAGGCAGAGTTGACTAGTTGTGGCAGAGGCAGCCGGCAAAGCCTAAAATATTTACTATTAATATCAGACAGTTTACAGAAAGAGTTTGCTGATCCCTGCTAAAACCAGTATAAAGATCACCATTAAGTAGATAGTTGACATTCTCTTAACAAATCATTTGAAGATTCCATGGAGTTGGAAGCAAAAGATTGATATTTGAGAAAAATTCTGGTCCTGTGTCTATAAAACCTGCAGGGAGGTAAAGATAAAACAACAATCAGTAACAAACTAAGAACCCTTGCCACCCAATTCTATGGCAGACTACAACACCTATGTTGCTAGAGGCAAGGGAACTTGGAGCCCACTAAGTTCAGAACTTGGGGTTCAATTTGGCATCTCTAAAGTTCAAGTGGTTTAAAATGCAACAGTGTGGTTTCTTCCATAGTGATACATATTTGTCTTTTTGCCTGAACTGCATGGTGAGTATTAATTGAAGTGGTTTTCTGCAAAAATTTGTTCCTCAGGGAGGAAGAGAATACTTTCACAATCATTTCACTATGCTGAGATAAAAAAAAAAAAATTAGCAGAGGAGCATAAAAGTCCATGACCCATTTCATTAGATTTAATCTGTTCTTTTTCTGTACCTCGGACAAAAAGATCGTTCTCCTTTTTCCCCTTAATCTACCATAGCTACAGTACAGAATAGCAGTGAAGTGCACGGACTTTGCAGCTGATGCTCTTGGTTTCAAATCCTGCCTCTGTCACATACCAGCTGTGTGACCTTGGGAAATCACTTAACCTCTCTCACCCTCAGTTCCCTTATTCATTAAGCAGGAATAATAATTGTACCTTCCTTGTATGGTTTGTTGAAAGGATTACATCAGTTGATACATGTAAAGTGCTTTTAACAGCATTTGGCACATAGAAAGCACCAAAATGCAATTTGCTGTTATTATTATCATCATCACTACTATATTGCTTTCTTCAGAAGACATTTATTCCAGTGCTCAAGACATTTTGAGTCGTGTTTTAGGTAAGATATTGCTTATACTTTTAGTAAGAAAAAAATACACTTCTGTCAATGGATATCGTTATTTCTCATTCAACTAAATGCATATCTATATAGCAGATTATTTGCCTAATACTATACTAGATTGTTGGCATTAAAAAGTGACATCATCCCTGCTCTCAGATAATTTACAGTCTAGAAGAAGAGGTAAAAATATACACATATGAAACAATTAGAAATGCGGTTGCATCATCCTCATTATCTCATCACTCAACTTCTATTTATTGATCACTTATTCTTGCCAGAGTCTATATTTTCTGTTTTACATACATTACCTTAGTGAATCTTTACACATTAATCTTGCAATAAAATATTCTTATTCATGTTTAACACATGAAACACATGAAGAAATGGCAGCTCAGAGAAGTTATATGACTTGCCCAAAGTCATATGTACAATAATACTGTGTCCCTGTAGCCACTAAAAAAATATGATTTCAAAAATTCTTTGTCTCTTTGCATAAGCTTATTCAAAGGTATATAGTCAGATTCAAAACAAGTGATGTGTGTTACATGCCTTAAAAGTTAAAAGTTAGAATGTGAAAAGTTAGAAAAAATTGTGGGGTAGACTTTGTGAAGTTTTCAATGACGATTTTTGGTGGTTATTTTAATTCAGAACTACTGCTTTTTGTGTTCAAAGATTTACTCTTGAAGATCAGACATACATGCATCTATTATATTAATTTTTTCACATTAAAAAATTAAAGTGGCATTTATTTATGGGTTACAAAGTTATGTTATGATTTATGAGTACAATGCAGAATAATTAAGTCAACAAGTTAACATATCCATCACCTCAAATACTTATTTTTTCTGGTAAGGACACTTGAAATGTACTCTCTTAGTGATTTTATCCTATTTTATGTTTTTTGAGACAGAGTCTCATTCCCTTCACCCAGGCTGGAGTTATCATGGCTCATTGAAGCCTTGACTTCCTGGCCTCAGGTGATCCTCCCACTTCAGCCTCCTGAGCTGCTAGGACTATAGGCATATGCCACCATGCCTGACTAACTTTTTTTTGTATTTTTTGTAGAGATAAGGTTTTGCTGTATTGTCTAGGCTGGTCTCTAACTCCTGGGCTCAAGTGATCTGCCTGCCTTGGCCTCCCAGTGTTGGGATTATAGGCTTGAGCCTCCATGCCCAGCCTCTCAGTAATTTTAAAATGTACAATACACTATTACCAACTACATTCGCTATGCTATGTGATAGATCTTAAAAAAAAATCCCAACTTACTCGTCTTGTTTAACTGAGCCTTGGTACTCTTTAACTATCATCTACCCAGTCCCTCCACCCCCAGACTTTGGTAACCATCATCTAATCTCTGCTTCTTTGAATTCAGTTTTTTAGATTCCACATATAAGTGAGAACATGTGGTATTTGTCTTTCTGTGCCTGGTTTATTTTACTTAGCATAATGTTCTCCAATTTCACCTGGGTTCTCACAAATGACAAAATTTCTTCATTCTTTAAGGCTGACTAGTATTCCATTGTGTGTATATACTACATTTTCTTCATCCATTCAATCCATTCATCTGTTGATGAACACTTAAATTGATTCTATAACTTTGCTATTTGAACAGTGATGCAATGAACATGGGAGTACAGATATCTCTTCAATATACTGATTTTAAATCTTTTGGGTAAATATCCAGAAGTGAGTTTACTGGATCATATGGTAATTCTATTTGTAGTTTTTTGAGGAACCTCTGTACAGATTTCCATAGTGGCTGTACTAATTTACATTTTCAACAACAGTGTATAAGGGTTCCTTTTCTCTGCATAGACATACATTTAAATACATGCCAGAAAGCCTGTAAATGTCACTATGCCATTCTATGTGGGTATATTTTGCTTTATACAATAAACATATTTTTTTTTTTGAGATGGAGTTTCGCTCTTGTCATTCAGACTGGAGTACAATGGCACAATCTCAGCTCACTACAACCTCCGCCTCCCGGGTTCAAGCAATTCTCCTGCCTCAACCTCTTGAGTAGCTGGGATTACAGGCATAGGCCACCATGCCCGGCTAATTTTTGTATTTTTAGTAGAGACGGGGTTTCACCATATTGGCCAGGCTAGTCTCGAACTCCGGACCTCAGGTGATCCACCCACCTCAACCTCCGAAAGTACTGGGATTACAGGCGTAAGCCACCATGCCCAGCCCACAATAGATGTATTTTTAAAATAAATTGAAACATCATATCTTGGCATGTTGTGGGTACTTATTAAATACTAGCTAAAAATTAATGAATATATTTACGTTGAATTTACACTGTATTTTCAGAGTTGCCTTATTTTTATTTCTGACAGATATTTAATTAGTTGTGTTCTTGCCACTCTACCTTGAATTATGTCTATTCCAACAGACTGTATAGCAAGTAGTGTTAAGTGAATACACACTTAAATGTCTGAGAACCCACTAGTCAAAGAACTCCAAAGTACACCCTTTTGAAAAATATTATTTTAATGTAAAAAACCAAACCAAAAAAACCCCTTGATTTATCTAATCTCTAGCTTCAGTGTTTTTAGTGTATTGTCTTTTCTTAAAATACATTTTATAGAATGTTAGAGATAAAATTCAGCAAACTTGCTATTAAAATGGGGAAAAATAAAAAGGCATATTTGTATGTGTGCTTAGGGGCATAATTTTCTCGGCTGTAAAAGATGTGTGTGGAGAGAAGATGTGGGATTTTAAGAGATCTACAGTCATTTTTGTAATTCTATTGAGAATTTTACATAAAATGGAGGCAAATATTGTCAATTGTTCCTTTAGTCCAATATTTTTCTAGGTGAGCTTTGAGACCTACCTGCATGGGTATCACCTAGGACATCTATTAAAATGCAGCTTCCTGGGCCTCATTACAGACATATCAAATAAAAATGTCTGATGTTAGGCCCCAGAACATGTATTTTGAGCAAAGATGTCAGGATATTTTTACACACATTAAGATAAGAACCACTTTTTCAGTCTTAAAGAAGCCCGAAAAATATTATCTAGGCTCCTTAAGTTTTTGAAAACTGACATTTAAGTTACATATTTACTAATATGAAATCTACAGAACACAAAAATATATATCCAGAACATCACAAGTCCTTCCCAATTAAAAATTTTACACTTTAAAAATAGAATATAGGCTATCAATTGAACAATGAATAACCTAATTGAGATGGTGGTATAATAGTTAACATTTATCTCTGAAATTAAAAATATTATCAAGTTGCAATTTGTGCCTCTTTACCAAGGCTGGCGTGAGGTTAGCGGGAGGAATGAGATGTTTAATTTAACAAGTGATAAGATTTGTAGTTTTAACTCCTATAAAAGCTGCTATGTTTTTCTAGAAGTTCATAGTCTTTAAATCAAACATATTTGAATTCTGCCCAATATTTTCATGATTACTATACAATATTTAAAAAATTAAAAATGATTGTGATGCTACCATTAAGACCGTAGGTCAGAGTCAGAATGTACTATTCTTTCCTATAAATCCTAACTTTGGTGGCTCAATTTTTTTCCACTAATACTTAGAATAATTTTTGGCAACCCCCCAAAATCAGGAGAAAATGATGATGTCATGTTTATGATGTAAATGTCTGTAGGTATTGAGTACTTATGTTGCATCAATCTTTTTGCTTTACATGTTGCTATTTATGCATATTTCTCAGAGAAACCTCAAAATCAGCTTCAAGTTGGTATTATTACGAAGATTTTGCAGATGAAGTTATTGGACTGGATTGCTATCTAGATAGGTTAAATAACTCATCTGTGTCACACAGATGGTTAGTGATAGGGCTGGGGAGTGAGCTCAGGAACATCTGAGTTCATAGTCTGGGAGCTTAAAGAGTACCTTGCCATATCTGACAACCCGGTCATAATTTGGTAACATGAGTAGTGGCATGAGATATTAATGAAGCAAAGTAAAATATCTATCTCCCTGTGTGCTTAATCCCTTTGTCTGCTATTTTTTTTTTTTTTTTTTTTTTTTGCCTTCTTAATGATACGGACAGGAGGCAGGGAAATACAGAGTAGAAGAGGGCAGTTTTCTGGCAAAAGCCCCACCCTCCAGCCTGGAAACTGCGGCCCCAAATGAGAACAGTTATCCCTGTTTTCCTGCCCAAATGTTGCCTTTTTGGCCTGCCCCGCCCCCTGTCCTGTGCCAATATAAATCCCAGATCTCAGTTGGCAAAGAGATAAGCAGCTGAACATGGAGAGGAGAGGAGGCAACTGAGCATCGGAGACTATGGATAGATGCAGCTTAACTTCAGACGGCACAACTTCGGGGATGAGCCTAGCTGCACACAGCTGGGCTTCAGGGAAAGACCATCTTCTTCCTGCTCCATCCCCCTTCCAACTCCCCTTTTGCCGAGAGCCACTTCCACTGCTTAATGAAATCCTTCACGTTCATCACCTTTCAAACCATTCATGTGACCTGATTCTTCCCAGATACTGGACAAGAATTTGGGATGCACTGAGTGTGAGAACCCAAAAAGGCTGTCACACTGGGTCTTCACTAAACTGTTTAACACTTAAGTCATCTGTGGATGGCAAAGCTAAAAGAGCACTAATTGCAACACACTATATGCTGGAGCTGAAGCCCCAAAGCGCTCTTCATGGCTCTGGCACCTGCTTGCCTGCATCCTCCCTCCCATGAGGGGTTGAGCCCAGTGGGCTTCAGTGAGTGAAGTTCATCCTTGATGGCACTGAAGTGGCTGGCTAAACCCAGAGCTGGTGCACTCCAGTTCCCATGAAAGGGTCAAGGCAACTATTCCATCTCATTAGCCTCTAGGATTATTAGTCTCATTGGCCAACCTGAGAATTTGTCATGTTTGACTTGCATATTTGATGTCTAACATGCCTGGGGTTTGCAGACATGCAATGATGGATGTGTTAGGCTGTTCTTGCACTGATGTGAAGAAATAACTGAGTCTGGGTAATCTATAAAGAAAAGAAGTTTAATTGGCTCATGGTTCTTCAGGCTTTACGGGAAGAATGGTGCTGGCATCTGCTTGGTCTAGGGAGGCCTCAGGAAGCTTACAGTCATGGCAGAAGGTGAAGCGGGAGCAGACATGTCACATCGTGTGACCAGATCTCATGTGAACTCAAAGAAAGAGCACTTATGAGCAGTGGGCTGGCCCAAGCCATTCATGAGGGATAGACCCTCATCATCCAAACACTTCCTACCAGGTCTACAAAAGACCTCAAATAGCCAGAGAAATCATGAGCAAAAGTAACAAAGCTGGAGGCATCACACTAGTTTGGCTTCAAAATATGCTATGAAGTGATCGTAATCAAAAAGCATGGTAGTGGCATAAAAACAGACACATAGACCAAGGAAGCAGAATGAGGAGACCAGAAATAAGTCCATGAATTTGCAGCCATTTGATTTTTGACAAAGATGTCAAGAACACACAATGAGGAAAGAACAGTCTCTTTAATAAATGGTGTTGGGACAACTGGATATCCACACACAGAAGAAGGAAACTAGACTCCTATTTCTCACCATATAAGAAAATAAACTCAAAATAGATTAAAGACTTAAATATAAGATCCAACTGTAAAACTACCAGAAGAAAACATGAGGAAAAATCTCTGCGATCTTGGCCTGGGCAGTGGATTTTTAGGTACAGGCAACAAAGCACAGGCAACAAATGCAAAAATAGACAAATGAATTACATCAAACTAAAAAGCTCTACACAATTGAGGAAATAATCAACAGAGTCAAGAGACAACTTACTGAGTGGGAGAATATATTTGCAGACCACATATCTGATGAGAGGTTAATATCCGAAGCATATAAGGAGCTCAAATAACTCAACAGTTAAAAAAACAAACTGCTTAAAAAAATGGGCAGAGGATCTGAACAGATACTTATCAAAAGAAGACATATAAATATGGCCAAGTATATATAAAAAGGGTCAGCATCAATAATTATCAGAAAAATACAAATTAAAACCACAATGAATTACCACCTCACACCTATTGGAATGGCTAATTATCAAAAAGACAAAAGATAAGATGTGTCATAGGGGATGTGGAGAAAAGGGAATCCTTGCATACGGTTGTTGGTAATGTAAATTAGTACAGCCATTATGGAAGACAGTATGGAGATTTCTCAAAAAATTAAAAATAGAACTACCATATGATCCAACAATCCCCCTACTTGATATGTATCCAAAGGAGATAAAATCAGTATGTCAAAGAAATATCTGCACTCTCATGTACATTGCAGCATTATTCACAATAGCCATGGTGTGGAATCAACTTACATGTCCATCAACAGATGCATGGATAAATAAAATGTGGTATATATACATAGTGATAGACTAAAATTTAAAAAGGGAAGTCATCAGATTTCAAAGGCAGGAAAATTCAGTACAGAAGAATTGTGAAGTGAAAGCCCAGATCAATAGGAACCCTAGAGAGAAATGAGTCCAGACTGGAGCAGGTCAGAGCACAGAATTTCATTTTAAGCTTTTGGTTGATGGAAGTCAAGCTATGATATAAAAGAAGTTTCCACTACCTATGCAAATGGAGAGCTCTTAGGGCTGAGAGTGTGAACCTTGAGCGAGAACCTTGAACCTTCAAGCAAGCAGGAATGGGACTGGATTTAGAACAAACCTAGATTCCTCAAGGACACAGTACTTTATAGGAAGAGGGATGGGAAAATAGCAAGAAGATGGAAATGTTAGCAAGGCTGAGTACAATATCTAAAGCAGAGGGAACTTGTTTGGAATTCTAGAAAGAGATACAGTCATAATATAGAGCAATAGAAGAGTCAGAATTTTGTTTGTTTAGGCAAAGATAGGACTTACTACCCCATAATTTCATTCAAGTAGAGGCTAGAGTAGAACAGGCCATAATTTTCCATGCTTCTCTTTAGGAGATGCTGAAGGTAGTGCTGGGTGGTGAATTGATCTAGATGGCTCAGCATCTAAATGAATGGAAGTGCTGTACTTCAGGGAAACTTCTCAGGCAGAGTCTTCAACAGGATTTGAAGCCAGACCTCAAAAGATCTGTCAAGATTTAGTCATCAAGGGAATGTACTGAGTCCCCAGAGCAAATGGCTGAGCTCTCTGGGAGCAAATATGGCACTCATCTTTAGAGAGAACAGACTCGAGTCTGAGAGAATTGTATGTGTGTGTGTGTGTGTGTGTGTGTGATGTATGTGTGCATAGCTTTGAGATCACAAATATTTATTAGTGAATGAGAAGGAGCACAGAAGAAATGCTAAAGAGAAGGACTTAGAAAGGTGTACTTGGGACAAAAGAAAATAGGTGACTTTGATAGGGCACCATGTCCAGTTTATGATATTTTATAATATTACTATAAAGGACATATTATGATGTTGCATTTTTACAACATTTGGCGTAAAGAACAATATTATTGCTTGAAATTTGATCCAGAAATGGAATAAAATTAAACTAGGACTGGCCAAGATTCGACTCTTCAGAAGATAATTTCCCATTCCTGTTGCATATAGGCTAATTAGTTCAGAATATGTTTCTACTTGCATGTGGATTAGTGGTTGGTGAAAAATAACATAAATTATTTTTCACAGGATTTAAGGAAGACTACAATAAAAGATGAAAGAAAACATTTTGTTCCAGGTCTGAAACATAGGCCATAAAAAGTTGGGATATAAGCCAGAAAAATATTGGTCTGATTATCAAAAAATAGGATTTTTCTGAAAGGTTGAAGACCAAGAAGCAGTATTAGAACTGTTGAGTGAAGCACAAATTTTAACAATGAAGGGTGGGAAATAATAGAATTTCAGCTAATAACTTATAGCCTGGGCTAAGATCCAAACTACATGTGCCAGAATATGGAAAGAAAATTCTATATAATTACAGAATTTTTCTCTCAGTGGAGACTAAAGAGCCCTCAGGATTTTATGAGACATCTACTTCAGTGAAATTTTTGGGGGGAACTAAGGAACTTTCAATTCAAACCCCATTGAGATTTGTTCATCAGTAGTTGTTAAGCTTCCAATATATTTTGACAATTGGACATAATAATAATTATTGTATTGTATGCACTTGTAGCGGCCTCAACTAGGATATAAAGAAAGTGAGGAAGAGAAGAAATCATTTTGTGTATTTTATTAACTCATTCATTATATGAGGTGACATTGGTTATATCAAGATTGTATAATAGTCTATTCTAAAGCATGGATTTTTTTTTTCATGAAACAGCATGAGTGTATCATGCCAAAGTAATATGAATGTGAAAGAATATCCATCATAGAATAATAAAGAAAGGATAAAATCATTTTGCAAAATGAGACACAGAATGCATTCACTCAAGTAGTTGCCAGTGGTTGTCTGATAAAAGAACTAATACCGTACATACAGTCAGGTTGTAGACATTTGTATTGATGGTAAAAATGGCACTTCAGCCTTGCAGGTGGTATGCTGCAGGCACTACAAAGTGTATGGAGAAGTTGACTTTTAAATATATTAGTTCTGCCTGTGGTCTGGATTCTGTCCCACCTTCTTCACTGTGCCATTTTGATCATCCCTAATTTTATCTTTTTGGGCCATAATGAGCCATAGTTTCTGCATCTGTGAAATAAGGGGGTCAGAAAAAATCTACCCCTAGTTTTAAAATATTATCATATTTTGATAATAAAATATGATTTGAACTAAAGGTGAGGCATAGTTAATTAACTGCAGCTCTGAAGATTGACTACTTCTGCTGATCAGTTTCAAGAGGTCAATTTCTACCTAACAGGAAGCATTATGGAAAATGCTTACAATGATTGTGTGATTGTGTAAAAGATGTTTGAGAAGGAAAAAGTGACTCATGGTGTCTCTGACTGCTGGCTATGTGGAGCTAATGGGGAGTATTTGAATCAATTGGCTAACCTTGGCAGTGCTATACTGTGAGGAGGTCATTTAGAAAGCTGTTCCCGGATTAAAGAAGAAAGAAGGAAGGAATCTATGATAAAGAAAGCTGCATAAGGGAAAAGAAAGCAGAGTGCAAAGTTGTGCATGTGTGTGCACATATGTTCATATGCAGGCAGCCATGTTTCTGTGCACATATGTGCATTCCATGTTCTCATTTGAAAGATAAAGAGATTTAACCAATCTATGGTTCCTTGCTTTCTCAATATTTCTTAGCTGAAGTTTCACATGAATATTCAAAATTGAAAAAAGTTTGACACTTCTTTCTGGTGAAACAGAAATGAAGATAAAAGTTTCCTGTTATGTTCAGATTATTGTAAGACTAAAATCCTGGCTTTTAGGAATACAGTTTTAAATTTGTCAGCCATTTAAAAAGTTATATTTCTGCATTCTTTGTACTACATTAGACAAGTAAAATATAAACTTACAATAATAATACAGGAAAATATCTTTAAAAAATTAGAACCTGTAGCAATGGACCAAATCAGTTAGAAATTTAAGTTCTGGGCAATGAATTGGTCAGAGATACATTGAACTTGAGGTTATGTGAGTAACTTTGAAGGAAGAGATATAGCGTTTAAGGGTTAATAACATAGATTTTAGAATCAGACAGATATAGTTTGAAATCTCTCCCAGCCCAACTGTTTGACCTTGGGCTATTAAAGTTTTTAAGCCATAATTTTCTGATATGGAAAAAGAAGATTATATTTCCTATCTCCTGGTGTTGTGAAAATTGAGAAAGATTATGTATAGAATGCATTTAGCACAATGCCTGGATCAGAGTGTGCGATACATGGTCATTATAAGCATTTTAAAAACTTACTCTCACATAGTAGGTGCTTAAGAAGAAGAAGCATTTGTTTTATTAATATTTTCTATAGTCATGGGTTCAGGAAACAAAAAATGTCATGTTTATTACTGGTATGACTAACTACAACTGCATAAAAACTATTAGTCCCTTTAAAAATCCACCAATGAACACATCATTATGCTTTGCTCTGTAGACTCCTCTGGGAGTAAAGATACATTGTACTTAATGAAGCTGCTAAGAGTTATGGGAAAGGGAAGTTCAGTAAGTCACTAGTGGTAAGGCTTTGACAAGGAGCAGGCCTGGGTGGAAGGTGGATGACTTCAGAGGTAGGACAAATAGAGATTTCAGAATATGGAAACATCACTGATCACAAAGCACTAGCTCAAGATGTTTCCCCTTCCTTCCCTCCCTCCCTGCCTCCCTCCCTCCCTTCCTTCTTTGCTTCCTTTCTTCCTTCCTTCTCTTTTCCTCCCCTCTCCTCTCTGCCTTTCCCTTCTCTCCCATCCCTTTTCCTTTGCATTCCTTTTACTCCTGTACTCAAGAATTGATTTCATTTAGGAAATGACAAACCAGACTGAGTATGTTTTATGTTAGGCTAGGCATTTTTGAGATATATGTGCACTTTCACCTGCTTTCTGTGAAACTTCAGGTTTCTCTGAGATGCTTCTAGAGAGATTCACATGTAATTTAAAAATATTTTATATTTATTTTAGAAGCTGCAACCCAAACCAAAGAAAAGCAGAAGCAAAAACAAACCCCCAAGACCCAACAACAACAACAACAAGCACTGATACGCGATAGTCGCCAATTTTCAGCACTTTAGAGACGATTAAGCACCCATGTGCACTGGGTTTAACTGGCTTTCATGCAGATTTCAGTCTGTGGCTCTTTTTATTTATGCATATATGTGACCTTTCTACAATGTGTAATTGATTAGGAAGAAGGAGGTTTTGCTCTGGTCTTTCTTTGAATTCAAGCCTGCACAGGTCTACTCATGTAAAATTATACAAGTGAGTTCACTAGTTCAGCACATATGTACTGTGCTCAGCTAAATGCCAGGCAAAGCTCAGGCACATCTGCTCAGCTCATGCTCTTATCATGGCTTATTAAACAATTGTGCAATAAGGAGTGAACTCTACACATTGTATCTTGACCATATTGTACTAAAGATAGTGTCAGATTTTAATTGCCTAAATTAAATATACTCATAAGTGTAATTGTTAAAATTGAGGTGAAATAATTGCTATTCAAACCAGAATCTGATGGCTAATTAAAAACAGGAAGTTTCAAAAGAAAATAAAATTTCATGGTAGATATCATAAAAATGATCAGGATCAGATGACACAAGCCAAGTTATATGGTGCTCTCTACGCAAAGTCCTCATTCTGTTTGTGAAATTAAAATTTGCAAAATTCTTTTTTTCTCTGAATCCTGACAAGTTCTGAGGTTCTGAAATAAAATCTTGACCTTGAATATACATCTCTCAGCATCTGTTAGTACAAGTTGAACCACTCAATGTTCTCGAAAACGTATACTTAAAAATGTAAATGTAAATGTCAATAGTGCCATTTGAAGCTATCATGTTGTAAGTAAGGAAACAGCACAAGATATCAAGAAAATACTCATTCAACCCCATGTTATTGATTTTGCAACAGTCATGGTAGATGAGCAAGCAATGAACATGCACTTATTGCCATTATTTTAAAATTCTATGTGAAAAGAACATTAAGAAGCTGCTCATGAAGAATTGTGTATTTTAAAAAGTGAAGCTTTTGCAATTGAACAGTTGCAAGTTGTAAATACTGTGCATTACACCAATTTGTTGGTTTTTATAAGAATGGGCCATATAAGTAAGTATATAGAATATATACTACCGGGTCAAACCATTTAAGCACATACAAAAGGAAAAATGCTTAAACTTTATGCTAATTTTTTAAAAATGCCATCAAATAAGTTGTCAAGAATGTATGGGTGTTGAAATTAGGATTGAGAAAGTAATGACTGGAAAAACTATAAGAGCTGCGATTCATGTAAGAGCGTTTGCCAAAATGAGTTTAAATAATTGTGGTATGTTCTGTAGACAACTACTCCCTATTAAGAAGATTAATGAGCATCTTTCAAAACAGTGTTTGGGTTTGTGACAGGAATTGCCAATTCTTTAAGTTATACTTTTTAGAATGCAGAATTTTTAGCATTATTTGTGGCTATATAGATGATGAATTCCAATATTCACTTTTCAATTGAGGACAGTTGGTTCTGCCAAGGCGAATTCGTGACACAAATCTTTCAAATGCAATAAGATTTGAAGATGAAGGCTGAAAATGAAGATAAGATTAAAGACGAAGAAATCTTTTCTTGTTTCCTCCTGGTAGTACCACCATTAACAAAACCTCTCTTAAAACATGGTTGTACTTGCTTTCATCTCTTGCTGACATTTTTAATAACCTGAAGGGACTCAATATGACAATGTGTTAGCCTGCCATGTTAATCTCATTTACAGCTGCACATAAAGTTTTAGCAAAAAAACCAAAACAAACTTTGGATTCAATATGCGAAATAAAATAAATATGATTCTTATGAAACTCTGAGTGAAAAAAAAAATATATATATATAACAGAGATGAGTATTGAGATAATAAGATATCTTAATGATATTAAATATTTCAAGATATGCATATCTTATATATAGGCATATATATTTATATATATTAATAAAGATTTAGATTTATTGAGAAAACTGTTCATCAAATATAATTCTGAGATACTGATAGTTATTCAAATTGCAAATAAATTTTGTGTTACTCTTCTTCCAAGTTTCTGGATGTGTTTAAATGAAGACTTCTGAGATTGCAAAGTGAAATGTTAAAAAACTTAACCAGTCATCTGTGTAAATCAGGATTTTCTCTATCCTATACAAACGAAACAAATGCAGAAATAAATTGAATATTTATGTTGAAATCAGATTACAACCATCAGTTATAGCACCTGGTTTCAAAGTTTCATTTACAGTCTAATAATTTTATTTTATTTATTGACTTTTTGAGTAAATGTTATGAATTTAAAATTGTAGATGCTTACTGAAACATACACTTGTTTATTTTTTAGTTTTAATTTTAATTTATTCATTTATTTTTGAGACAAGGCCTTGCTCCTTTGCCTGGGCTGGAGTGCAGTGGCACAATCAGTGCCCACTGTAGCCTCAACCTCCCAGGCTCAAGAGATCCTCCTGCCTCAGCCTTCCGAGTAGCTAGGACTACAGGTGTGCACCACCATGCTCAGCTAATTAAAAAAAAAACAACAACTTTTTTTTTTTTTTTTTTGTGGACATGGGGTCTCATGATGTTCCCCAGGTAGGTCTTGAACTCCTGAGCTCAACAGATCCTCCTATCTTGGCCTCTCGAAGTATTAGGGTTACAGGTGTGAGCCACTGTACCCAGCCATGTATATTTTTTATATTAGAGCATCTGCTCGAGATTTTATTTCATTTCTTTTTTTTCCTTTCACTTTTATAATTATGCTATCTTTCATTGGTATTCATTGAACATTTCTTATGTACAAACAATGTTCTAGGTTCTAGGGATTTAAGGATGAACAAACCAGACAAGGCCCCTGATTATATGAAGCCTGTATTCCTTTAGTAACAAAATAAAATTGTTAAATTTTAAAAATGATATAGTTTTGTTTTTACAACATGGTGGTTCTATCCTGAATCTGCAAATCCTTCTTCTCCTGGAGATTCTTGGCAATGGAGCAGACCTTCTGGAGAAACTTGGAATGAGCAATGAGCAGACTTTAGAATTAAGGCAGAGAGCGCATGGAATATATTTGGTTCAGAGTCAGTTGTTCAGAACCTAAGCTTGAAAGTTGGGATTTATTGTGTGGGGACAGAAGAAAAAGTGCAAAAACAAAAAGAAACAACAACAGTAAAAAAGCCCACAGCACATGTAATAGCTATAGTGCATAGTAGTGTAAAAGTTCTAAACGTAAAAATCAACCAACAAATATTTATTAACCACCAGCATCTTCCAAGGGACTCCATGAGAAATAAGTAAGAAATATTGGATATTGTCTTAATCCTTAAGAAGTTTGACAACTAACTCTGAAACGAAATTAGCCTATTAACCAGACACAAACAGATGGAAACAATCTGTAAAGTGCCATTTAGAATCTATAGATAGATTTAAAGTGAGACAAGGTAAAGCAAGGAATTAAGCTTTGTGTTTTTTTGTCCTATTTTTGGAGCAAAAATTCAAGAAAAGAGTGCCAGATAAGTATCAACATACTATGAAGGAGTCCAGGAACACGGCTAAGGAGGGATGTAGTCAGAGATTACTGTACAACATAGAATATGATAGGGCCATAAAATAATGAAAGTGTGTGTGTTTGTGTGTGTGTGTGTGTGTGTGTGTGTGTGTGTACCAGCAAAACTTCTCTGGTCATACAAGTAAAGATTACAAAACTCTAGGATAGGGATTAGCAAATTTTTCTTGTAGGAGTCATATAGTAAATATTTTAAGCCAAGCTTGTTTAACCCACGGCCCACAGGTTGCATGAAGCCCAGGACGGCTTTGAATGCAGCCCAACATAAATTCATAAACTTTCTTAAAACGTGAGTTTTTTGTATTTTTTTTTAGCTCATTAGCTATCATTAGAGTATGTTATGTGTGGCCCAAGACAAATCTTCTTCTTCCAATGTGGCCCAGGGAAGCCAAAAAATTGGACACCCCTGTTTTAGGCTTTGTGGACCATGTGGATTCTGTTGCAACTACTCAATTCTGCCTTTGAAGCACAAAGGCAGCCACAGACCGTATGTACATAAATGGCTGTAGCTATGTTTCAATATAATTTTATTTACAAAATCAAGTAGCAGGCTAGATTTGGCTCACAAACGATGAATTGCCAACTGATGTTCTAGGAGATGCCTCAGATGTGGATATTTCCAACACATTGCAGGACATCTGTGCGAGTGTACAGGGTTGCCATGAGAGCTGGTAGAGCACTAGAAGACAGGGATTAAGACAGAGAGACCATTGTTTTGGGGGGAATGGTGATTGAAAAGGATAATGGCTGGGTCCAACATGCAATCCCCACAACACCAGAGTATGTTTCAGGCAATAGTACCCAAAAGACCAGAGCGAGCAGCTAGTCACTGCAAAAGGTCCCGAGGATACCAGTGAGGTCCCCTTCAGGTACTGAGCTTTGAAATCATGTAAGCTTGGTCACCTCTGTGTTGTCCATACCTGCTGCTATGACAAAATACCATGAAAATGGCTAATTTGTAAAAAAATAGAAATGTATTGCTTAGTTTTGGAGGGTGGGAGTTCAAAATCAAGGTGGCAGCAGATCTGGTGTTTGGTGAGGGCCCAGTCTGAGTTTCCAAGATGGCACTTTGAACGCTGTCCCCTCACATGGTGGAAGACAGAAAGGCAAAAGGAGTAACACTGTGAAGTTTCTTTTATAAGGGCATTAATCCCATTCATGAGGGTGGAGCCCTTATGACTTAATCACCTCCTAAAGGCCCCACCTCTTAGTACTAACACATTGACAATTAATTATTAATAGATATGTTTTAGGGGACACATGCAGACCATAGCAGCTTTCTTGGTCACTGTACACCCAGGCATCATCCTGCAGAGAAGCAGAGGAAGAGGAGGTTATCTAAAAAACTCAGCATTTACTAAACAGACCTTTAAGCTACCCAGATGGTAACAGATTGCATTAGATTTAGCTGTCTACCCCTTGCTACCCAGGAGGGAGAGGGTAATGGAGAGAGGTTGGTAGCTTAAGGGAAAGTTGATGTAAGTAATAGAAAAATAAATAATCCATTCTCTTTGCATGTCTGTGTGTAGTATGAGTGAAGTGTTATCTTACTAGTGGTATCTTAGTGTTAGAAAGCTCTATTCCTTTTGATACACACGGCCACGTTGATTCTTACCCTACTCTCACTCCCAACCCATATTTTAATACTCCTGGAGGAAGGGCATGAAAGAGGAAAGAGAATCAGAAATATCTTTTACTCATTTCTACCAGGTAAAAATACCTTGATGAGGTACTAAATACTAAAAACTTTCTAAAGTTTTTGTAAAACTAAAAACAGAAAGTTTTTAGTGTTACAGATAGTTTCTTTTTCATATTTCAAATACAAAATTCTAATGTGTAACACAATTAAAAAAACACACATGCATCCTTTGACTCTGATTTTGATACTTATCTCTAGGAGATACTTAGCTCTTCCTCCCCTACCAACTATTCCCTTACCTGTTCATTTGCTCACCCCTACCTCAGCTAGTTAAGAATCACTGATTCATCCATAAACTATTCAATTAAGGGCCAGTGATACTGCATAGTAAAAATAAAAGACCTTTTCTAGAAAACATACTTCTATTTTAGATAGATCATTGTTTTTGGACATAGTTTAATCCCTGTTATGGGTTGAATTATTTGTCCCCCAAAATGTTGAAGTCCTAATCTGAGTCGCCCTGTAATTCCTAGATAGCCCTTGCCAAACATCTTATTGAACATACTGAACTAATTCTACATATTTCTACCCACCTCTGGATAAAAGTTCATCTTGAATGGCAGTCATACACAAGTGTATATAAATCACGATTGAAAAGTATCATCAAATGGCTTCTGCTGTTTTTCAGGGCAAGACCCTGGTCATGGATCTGGCTTTCCTCTGCTGACCCCAAAACCTTGGACACATGCCTCAAGGCAATGAAGGGAGCTCCCAACCCTGATATTTTCCACTTCTATTAAATTCTTAGCATTTCTTTCCTGAAGCCATAAGATAAAGGTTGTGTCTTCAGAGCAAAAGAGAAATTCAGAGTGGGTAATTATCCTGTTAATTTTAAGGGTATAATTTTAGGCTCTGAGTTGGATAGTTTTTATTGGAATGATCCAGTTTGGCCGGGTAGAGAAAGCCAAAGAAAACACAAGTGTGACAGACTTTCATTTGGTTCCAAATCTGTGGCTTCTGCCCTTTCAGAGAGTTGTTTGAGCTTTGAGGATGAATTCCCTCTGTTGCCAGGTATTCCATTAGTGTACAGGATATTTTTGTGCTATTCTTTAGCACGCATGCATGGTATTGTGTAAGCTGTACCACAGGGAACAAGGCATGATTAAAAACATTTGTGGCTCATCGTTAAATATAGAAATCATTATAATTGGATTAATTTAGGAAATACACAGTGATGCCTGAGTTTCCCCTTGAGAGCCAAATGTACATTAAGAGCTAAAATGTTCAAAAAGTACAGAGTTGACTTTCTCTCATATAAAAAATATGGATTCATAATTCAGACTCCCTTAATCCCAGGCTGCGCTAAAGAAAGCATAACAGCTATATGCCATGTTGGGTGATAATTTTACTTGAGTCAAATCCATCTTCTCTCAAACCTGTGAATATGGATTTCTGCAGGCAAATCTAGCACTGAAAATTTGGTCCTAGAGGTACAACTGGACTTTTGAAAATGCCACTGGAAGCAGTTACATCAATCCTAGTAGAAGAAAGGGGAGTAGCTGATGCAGGAAATATAAGTGATGGAATAATCATACAACAAAATACTTTCAACATATCTTTTGTATTGTAATGTTACCCATGACATGCCTATCAGTAATATTGTCAGAGGCTGTAATTGAAAAGATATATTAATTATTATCAGTCACCTCCAGCACTCTTGCAGCTGGTGGATTGATGCCTTCATAAAATGATGACATAGATGTTGACTGGTGTGCAGGAGGCTGCAGAGATAAAATTTTTTGCAGTAGGTTAAGATACTTTGGATGGGTTGGATTTCATTTCAGCACCATTTTTAAATTGCTGGACAGAAAAACTGCTGGGGATGAAATGTCCAGCTTCCTCTCTCTCCCCCTACCCCCATTTCAATCTGCTTTGGGAAAAGAAAAATGAAGAATACATTTGCTGAGAATCCTGGGGTCCTGGGCAGGAGAACTGGTGTGGGTTTTGGCTCTTCAACTGGGTTCCCTTGTCAGTGTGGCTTTCTCTCGGCCTCCTGCCCATTCCCGCGTTCTGCACGGCAGAACAAAACAAGTTGTGATCAATTAAGGCAGCTCTGAGCCTGCCCCTTGTTTTCACCATCACTTCCCTTACAAGCTGCAATTTTGTAGAGACAGGGAGTGGGTTGTTAAAAGAAAGTAATAGATTCCCAACAAGTTGGAAAAGGCTTTTTAATATACAGCTTTTGTTTGTAATTGCAATTGGGGAAATATGTACAGAATAAAACTTGGCTATTTTCAACTTCATTCTTTTCCCAATAATTTGAGATAGTCCCCAGAATTACAAAAACCTCTCTTGTAGCCCCTGTCTTAGGTAAGAGTCTATTTGGCACAGGTAGGAGGCAGAATAATTCTTTTAAATCAGCAGCAACAGTGTGACATCAATGTTACTCTGAACATCTCGCTAGATTATTTGAAATGGTTCTAGCTGGATGAGTGGGAAAGTGGAAAAGTGCTAAGAGGAGGAATCTGCACCAAGGAATGGAGGCAACATTTGGAAAAAGTTTGTAATTTTTCTTTAGAAGATTCTATTTAGGTGTATGTGGATTTTCCTGGAACCACATTTATGTCATTCTGATTACTCCCGACAATTTTCAATCATTGAAAACTCAGATAAGTGTTCACTTTTCTTATATGAAACAAGGCTGGAAGTAAAAAAAAAAAAAAGCCAACTAAGTTGGCTCAGGACTAGCTCTTGATGGGGATCTGATCTTGGTCAAATGTTGTCTAATTTCCTATTCATGGCATTTTTTGGTGTTGTCAAAATTTCTAGCTTAGGTTGTTCAGAATATTATATCATCAAAATTTGATCTCCATTATTTCAAGCCTTTGGTAGTTATCTATGAGAACTACACTTTAAAAATTACAGATTTATTTATCTGAGGACATTGTTTTCATACTGAAGTCTTACGTGCACACGTTGGAAATTCACAGCCATCTCAGTTATCATTTGTGTGTCTCGTTATCTGTGCCTAAAGGTACTATTATTCTTCTTGCACATCTTTCTTTTTTCTTTGTCTTTCTCATTTTACCCACGCTCACACACAAGCACATATGGAGACATGGAACACAGGGAGAATGTTCCCTGTGTTTACATGGAACACAATTGGAATGTTATGCTGATTTTTGCCTATAAATTTGAAAATGTTTTCTTCCTTGCCCACCTAGCTGCAAAATGTTTTGGTGCTAAAATTTATTATTAACACCAGAAAAAAGACAGTGAGATTTTCCCAAGTATTTCATACTGGGAAATTTTTTTGGTAAAATTGTTAAATTTCCTAGTGAGATCTGTTCAGTGTCATTAAAAATATTAATCCACTACAATCTTTCCTGTCTTCCAAAGGAATTTAAAAAGTAATTCTGTTCTTTAAAACCTCAGAACATTGAATGTTATAACTCCTATTTAAATCTTCCCTGTAAGACTCAAGGAACTGAAAAATTAAGTTGCCTAAGCTATTTTTAAAAATCTCACCTCCCTATGTGAATACTTCTTTTTTTCCATAATACTCTTGCCTTTTATGGACTAATTTCTGGCAATATACAATTTTCCTTTAGTGTATGTAAAATACCATTTGAAGAATTTGGAGCAGTCAGACTTAGCTGATTATAAGAATTCCTACATACATCACCCTCAGCACAGGGCTTTAGACTGCCACTGATTTTCCATCTTCAAATTACATTATGGCAATTCAGAGGGGCCAAGAGGGAGTATAGCATAATGGTTAACAAAATGGATTTTGAGGTTTGAAAGACTGATTTAGAAATGCTGGTCAATTCATTTTAGGCAAATTACTTAATGTCTCTCTTCCTTCATTATGTCATCTATAAAAATGAAGATAATGATAGTATCAATCTCATTGCCATGAGGATTGAGATATTATAAGGAAAGTATATCAGACATAATAAATACTCATTAAATGTAAGATATTAATAAGATGTTGGTTTATCACTAAAAAGGTGCCAGAGATTCTGTCCAAAAATAGCAGGGTTTTGTTGTTGTTGTTGTTGGACATGTTATTTTACTTTACTTTCCAAGTTTAGTCTTTATTTTTGACATAGGTGTTTTCTACTTGAAATGTGGAAATCACAATTTATCACAGCATGTGCACAAAGCTAATGGGTTTAAAAGGGACCTGAGAGGTCTCTAAGGGAATGTACATAGGCATGTTGCATGTATGGTTTGTGTGTGTGTGTGTGTGTGTGTGTGTGTGTGTGTGTGTGTGTGGCGGTCTTGCTCTGCTGCCCAGGCTGGTGTGCAGTGGTGTGATCTCGGCTCACTGCAACCTCCACCTCTCGGGTTCAAGTGATTCTCCTGCCTCAGCCTTTCCAGTAGTTGGGATTACAGGTGCACATCACCAAGCCTGGCTAATTTTTGTAATTTTAGTAGAAACGGGGTTTCACCATGTTGACCAGGCTGGTCTCAAACTCCTGACCTCTAGTGATCCGCCTGCCTCGGCCTCCCAAAATGCTGGGATTATAGGTGTGAGCCACTGTGCCCGGCCGTTTTTGTTTTTTTATTTGCAGATTTTGAATTCAAATCCTACAATTAACAACTTTTGAGCCCGTTTTGGCTCATGAGTCTGCAATAGGCTGTCAATGGAAGGGAGTTCTAGGGAAGTGGAAGGCACACTGGGATTAGATTCAAATTTTAACTAGTTACCCTAAATAAGGGTTTTTTTGGAATGAGTAATTTAACCTCTTGTACTTCAGTTATTATACATATAGATTGGGTAATAATACAGTACTCCATGGTGTTGTTAGAATTAAGTGAGACAGTACATGTAAAATTGGTCAAAACCATATTTGCTATCATTAAGAACTTAATATTAGTTAAAGCTAAGAAAAAAAAGATGTGCTTAGTTTTGTATACATACTTTGCAACTCTCCTTTTTTGGCACTCAGACTTACTGGTATCATTGTGGATATGGACTTGCTTTGGATAAAGGATATACATATTTGAAGTTTCTACTCAGGTAGTTCTTATGTTAAGATTCTCTGCAGCTCTTTCTGCCATTGTCAGCCTGCAGATCTGTCTGGAAGATGTGGAGAATTTTAACCAGTAGGAATTGCTCTGTCATGCTGGATAGATTAAAGCACAATTAATTTAGTTTAACAAATTTTATCAAATCTATAGTGTCTTTGATTATACAAAGATTTTTAAAAGACATCCAGATTTCAGAAAATGTACATTATAGACTTGAAGAAATATGGTAAATATCAATCTTCAAGTGTTCAATCTCTTAGGGGGCTGAATATGCTTTGTGATTCAAGTTCCCTCTTCCCTCCTCATCACCAGCCTAATGGGCTGATTGGCATTTACAAGGATGAGAAGGCTTAGGGAACAAGCTTTGACAAATATATTTGGATGCCTTCCTTGGCAGAGCCAAAAAATTCGCAACTTTTCAAAGACAGCTAGTCTAATGCTACATTAGAATAATTTTATTTTTTAAAAGACAGTGTAATAATCTCTTTTATTAAGTATAACTGAACGTAGCTATTTTATTGTGTTGGAGAATAGAATATAACTTATAATAATTGATGTTATACATTTGACAAAAATAAACATGTTTATGTAGAAAATATTTGTGATTATGATGAGCTATTTGTATAGTTATTTGGAGTGTTATATTACTGTTAAAATCTATTCTTTATTGTAATTTTAGAAAACAACATAATGATTTAACATATCTGTTATCTCACAGCCAATCTCAAAAACTATGGGAGTACATGTATTTTTAATACATGGATCATATGGATGAAAAATGCATAGTTTATAGGAAATCTGGGTCTTCGGATGAAAAATGCATAGTTTATAGGAAATCTGGGTCTTTGATTTCACCATTGCTTATTGGTTTCAGATCCACAGTTCTTAGTTTGTGGAGTTCCTTTTCATTCTTGGTGGAAATCTGAGCTGTGAATGATTTTGCCCTCAAAATTCTCCATTTAATCCCATGTAATTTGCTGCCTATATCTATAACTTTAAGGTGGCCAATGGACCTGACATATTGGCTTCACTCTGGAAAACAAATACATACAGAATTTAAAATTTTTTTGTGGAATTATAAACTAATTTATTAAAAATGATTATAAGGGATAATATATAACAATATCATCCCTATAATATAGGGATATCATATAATGAAATTATTCTTATTATATAGGGATATTATATATCAGAAACATATATAATATTATACCTCAAAAATTTAACACCTACTTTTAGAAAAATAAAATATTAACAGCACTCTGATTAGATGCATCCTGTAAGATGGGTATTAAGGTGTGATATAGTAAGCCTAGTCTAGGCTTCAAGTCAGAGAGACCTAATAAAAAATCCTAGTTCTGCTGTGAATTAGCTATGATCTTAGCCAAGTCACTTGACCTTTCTGAGTTTCAGTTTTCTTATGCATAAAAAACTAGTAAATACCTTTCTTATGTGTTGAGAACTTGGTTGAGTTATGTGAAAACAGTTAACTCCATGTCTCAGATATACTAAGCAGTCAAAATTGTTTTTGCTTCATTCTTTCTGAAAATCAGTATTGTGCATTGATTATTGTGTAAAAGAATGTATTAATACATGCAATGCATATAATATGATTCTGTAATCAAGAACACCAAACAGCAATCCTATGTACATATGGGCGAGGGGCTTCAGTGCCTCTCTCTGTGTTCCATGTCTCCATTGGCAGGACCGAAGAGGACATCCAGGTGTCTGCCCATTTCTCAACTTTTCATTGCTCCTGCCTCACCACCACTATGGGAGACCCACAGACCAATCTATGTTATACTTTTTATTTCTGTTTGTGTTTATCTCCATAAAAAGCCCCAGAAACCCATGCCATTCTTCATCGGCTGCACTCTAATTCCCTTACATCAGTTCAGAATATCCTGACATAGGACCCTCTGGAAATCATGGGCAATTGTTTACAAAATCCTCTGTATGGTCAGCACCTTCTCTGAACAATTGTCTCACCTTCTTGCTCTAACTGGAAACCTGGCTCTGAACACTGCTACCTCTGCAGCCCTCTCCACTGGGTGCTGTTTCCACTCTACTTAGCTATCTGCGTTAGAAGTATGGTAGGGGTCCACCTTGTTCCTTGTTACTGTTTCAACTTCATTTTCTCACCTTTCTCCATAAATTGTCTTAGCTTTGAATCTCCAGTCATCTACCTTTTACCACCATCCTCCTTGTTGTAATCACCTACTAATCTCTGGGTCACTCCTCTTCCTTACTTGAAGGGCTCATTGCATCTCAACCTAATACTGTTATAACTCTTGGTGATTTTAGTATTCTCATAGGTGATCCTTCCTATATGACAGCCTCTCAGTTCCTTGACCTCTGCCACCAGTGATAATGTTTCCTATTGGACTGCCGCCACTCACTCACTCCCAGGGTCACACCTTAAACCTTCTCATTACCAGAACTTTCTCCATTACCACAGTTGTATGCATCCTATACAATGACCAGCACCTCTTATTTTTGTTTTTCACCTTGATTTCAATGATATTTAAGTCCTGCTGGAAACTATGTTCATGGATTCTCCTGTTTTCATTGTCCTTTGCACATATCATGTTTTCACTTCTCTCCTCAGACAGCTAAGATTTTACGTTTAGTTAATAACATCATCTCCTACCATTCATTTTCAGTGTTCTCATTTAATTATGAAAGAGTTGGTCTGGTAGAATTGCGGAGATGTCTCACATCCACCTTTGAAAAAGTTATCCAGCACTGAGGAGTATAGTTAGCTGACAGCCTCCAGCTTTTAACACCTTTGAGTCTGCTGTTAAATCCTTGGAGTTGTCCCAGCTGATGACTAAGCAAGACCCTGGCACTGAAATGTAGCCAATGCCAGCCAATGGCTACATCTCCAATGGGCTTCCTGATCCAGGGGTGGCATTTGTCAGTCAGCATTACCGTCTGCTGGCTTCCTCCCCTTTCATTTTGGAGGCATACCTCTCCAATAAGTCTTTGATACTCCACATTCCAACTCAATAGCTGGCACAGCTGGCAAAAGTACAACCTTGTCTATTTCATACCTACGTCTGTGCATTGCTGTCTGGTCTCACTTTAAATTTATCAAGTAGATTAAGTGGGCCCTTTGTGCTGCCAGACAATCATACTAAATTGTTTTCAGTCCATTTACTACCTGACTTTCATAGAACATTATTTTATATCTTTTAGTTTTTCCCTCATTATCTATATGATGATAACTCTCAAATTTGTATCTCTAGGCCAGATCTCATGCCTAAACTTGACTCTTTCATCTAATGGTCCTCCCACCATCCTTATTGGAATGTTTAACGAGTACCTTCAATGAGCCCCAAATGAGCTGATTTCCTCCACCGTCCTGCTCCAAACCTGCTGCTCTTCTAGTATTCCCAAACTCAGTTAATAGCAACTTCATTATTCCAATTGATTAAGCCAAAAACATTGTCATCATTCTTGAAGCTTTACTTTTTCTTATAATTCACATTTGAGCTATTGGCAAATTCTGTAGCTTTAACTTTAAAATATATCCTGAATCTAACCACTTATCACTGTATCTTTTGCTATCACCGTATGCTGCTACATCTTCTCTTGCCTGGATTGCTGCAAGTGTCTTTTAACTGGTCTCCCCACTCAGTCCTTGTCCCCACCGTCTACTGTTAGCACAGAAGCCATAGTGCCACTGTAGAAGTATAAAAACCAAGTTCAATGGTGACATTCTTGCACTCAAATCTCTTCAGTGGCTCCCACTCATAATAAAAATGTATACAAGCCAAAGTCCTCAAAATTGTAAGAGTTTGACATGACAGGAGCACCTGTTACCTGTCTGGCCACTTTCCTTTTGCTTTCTTTACTCTTGCACAAAGTCTTTTTGCTGTTCCTTGAACACCCTAGGAATTTTTTCACTTCATAGTCTTTGCTTCTGCCTGGAATTCTCTTCCTCCAGATATTTATAAGTCTCACTCTTGAACTATCTTCAGATTGTTCCTAAAATGCATAACCTTGCTCTCCACCCTATTTCAAATTAATTGCCCACTCCTGCAATATTCCATATTCCCTTTTCCTGCCTAATTTTACTACATAGGACTTATCAGCACCCTGCACACCCTCTATTTTACTTATGTATTTTATTTCTTGTCTTCCTCACTAGACTATAAGCTCAGTAAGAAAAGGAAGTTTTTCTTGTTTTCTTTACTTCTCATTTCCAGTTGACAGCACAAAGATGACATATAGTAGGTACTCAAAAACATTTGCAGAGTGTTAAGGAATAATGAATTATATGTTCATTATAGGTTTTGCACATCTTGTTCATGGTTCTAGGGACTAGAAAAGAAATGGATATCTAGTTTATGCCCTTGGCCTTTTTGTTACCTAGTTGAACAATTTTTACTGCCTGTGCATATACAAATGAATTAATCTTTTAGTATAGCCTCTGCTAACATAGGTTGGAAAGTCATCAGTGTGTTAGAAATGCAGACATTTGTCGACTTCTAATACCACAAAGTGGCACTTGTTCTTTGGTGTCATGCCTTTTAGAGCTCAGTAATGTTTAATTCAAACTTTAATTTATATGTTTTTTCATGATGGTTTAATAGCTTCATGAGGGTAATTCTCATTTTCAACACAATAACATAACAGTCTGGTTGAAATAAAAACTGTGTTACTTAATCTAGACCAAGGGATATTGCAGGCATCCAGATTCTTGAGTATTTGAGTTAATTAAAATGATTTTCTGTAGTAGCAACTCTGATTAAAGCAGAAGGTCTAAATAATTAGCTTTTGGCATGGAAGTTTAAACAGAAAACAATTCATGAAAATCCTTATTGCCCGATTACCATTTATATAATTATGACTTCTCAACCTTTATCTCTAGCCCAGATCTCTATCAATGCCTGACTCAGATTCATATACTCCTCTAACTACTTCATACTTTCATCCAGTTGTCCCTTGGCATCTCAAACACATAACCCATGTGTCAATGAATGATACCTTCATCTACATAGAAGCCCAAGGCAGAAACTGGGCATCATCATAGAGTGATCTCTACGTGTATAGTACTATAATGCCCAGAGTACAAAGTTGATTAAGGTACAGATCGTGCCCTTGAGTACGTTCTATCTAATAGGGTAAATTGACACAAAATTTTAATTTCACTTTCTTGTGGTCAGTGGTAAGAATGATATAGAAAAAAAAAGTCCTTTTAGATTAAAGGACTGTTGAAAAATTCCCTGTACTGAGAATTGAAGGGTGAATCCTGAAGTTGAAAAGCAGAAAGACTATTTCAAGCAAAGAGAACAATCAAAGCAAAGACACAGATGAATTACAAAGTTTAAGAATTGAAGTGTGGTATGAACATTTGTTTAACAATAATGTATAACACAATAATGTAATGTATAAAGACATTAAATGGAATATGAAGTTGGATGGGTAGATATGGACAAGGTCACATTGAGCCCTGCATACCATGCTAAGAAGCTGTGGGCAGTAGGAAACTACTGACACATTTTTCGTAGAAGAACTGATGGTCACACTTGATTTTAGATCTCCCACTTTAGATTTTGTGGGGAGGATGGAGCAGAAAGTAGGAGAGCATGGAGGGAGACAAATTAGAAAGTTATTGCTTTTGTCCAGGAACACAAGAGGGACTGACCTAGAGGAGTGACAAGAATAGGAAGCAGGTGATAGACACAAGAAATAAAGAGAGATAAAAATCTAAGTATCAGGTGGAGTTAGAAAGAGAGAGTTTTTGTTTGCTTGTTTGTTTGTCTTGAGATATGGTCTTTCTCTGTCACCCAGGCTGGAGTGCAGTGGTGTGATCATGGCTCACTGCAGCCTCGACCTCCTGGGCTCAGTTGATCGTCCCACCTCAACTTCTGACTAATTGGGACTACAGTTGTGTACCATCATGCCTGGCTAATTTTAATTTTTTTTTTAGAAATGGGTCTCACTATGTTGCCCACTCTAGTCTTGAACTCCTAGACTTTAGCAATCCTCCAGCCTCGGCCCCCCCAAAGCTCTGGGATACAGATTTCTTTGGCGATTGAAGAGATTTTTATGCTAATATCTACAGGGAGGGTGAGCACTTATATGAGTTAAGATAAGACTTGTTTAGGATGTGCTGATTTAAAAATGACCAGGAGACAGGTGACGTCATATCTATAGCAGTCAGTTGCATATGCAAATCTGAAATTTAGAGGTAAAATCAAGGACTTAGCAATGGGACTCATCAGTGTATGGGTGATTTTCAAAGTCACTGGAGTGGATTGCCCAAAGAGAAAGTATAAAGAAAGAGACAGTTATCAAGAATAGAACCCTGAAGAAAGAATCAGGATCTGAATAAAATAGAAGCCCATGAAGGATATAAAGAAGAAACTTTCAGGTATGGAGAACCAAGAGAGGGAATAGAATATTTGATTACTCATTGAGACACCATTAGAGATAAATCCCATGAATAAGATCACTGAGAAGTGGGCTGAAATGTGTCTACTGAATCTGTGATTAGAATTTATGGATAACATGGGCAAGAGTAGTTTTAGTTGTGAGTGTAGAAATGGAAGCTAGATTATAATGGATTGATTATATGAAATAGTGTAGAAAAATGAATACAGACTACTCATTTAAGAGTCTTGGTTGATAAGAAATCATAGAAAACTGCGTATTGTTTTGAGGATTTCCAATTTATGAGCATCTTATAAATGAAGAAACTAATGCTTAGGAAAGTCAAGTAATTTGCATAAGGTCACCTGCTAGTAAATGTTGTACTCAAAGTCGTAGTTTTTGACCCCTAAACCTGTTTTTGCTTTAAGCCAAATAGGCAATGTAATATTAACGGCAAAAGTAACCAAATGATCATTAGTATCCTCATCCTAATATTCTATCCTTTTCCCATAGTATCACCTTTCCTTGCAGCTGCAGTTGGACCTTGTTTCAGCAAGATAATTATGGAAACAAAAATGAGGATGGATTGAAGAGTAGGGGTATTGTAAGCAGTGGAAAGGAGGCAAGGGAGAGAGAGAGTTGTTAAAGATGACTTCAGGGTTTGTAGCTTGGTTGATTGAATTAATGATGATGCCATTAAAAGAAAAAGGCAGCCTCAGAAAAGAAACTACATATTGAGAAAGGAAGGAGAAAGAGGTGGAATGGTCAACATTGTGGTAATGAATCCTTATAGCTCCTTCGCATCTGCCAATCCTGATATTCTTAACGTATACACAATACCTCTGAGAATTCTGTAACACATGACCAATTTTTCATTAGTAAAAAGAATTCCTATATTCAGTGTTGCATCAACTAAAATATAAATGAAAAACTAAATTTTACCAGAAACTGCCTAATTCAGAGCCAACCTAGCTGATTATTGGTATCACTTAGCTAAGATTTTAAGTGGTAGATTGTTCTGAAGATATTGTAAATGAAGTGGGTTTTTTTGTGGTTTACATTTTTTGAAAGATAAATTTGTGGAAAGTAATGGATGGCTTGGATGAAACCACTGGGGAAAGTAGTATGGTCTAGTTTTTCAGGCCAAAAGCCTTGTTGTTTTTTCTAGAAAGAGAAACTTTATATTTTAGTCCTCATGGCCTCTTTACAGTCCAACTATGATATGAAATGCCTTACCTGGAATTAGCCTACATAGCAGTTGGAAATTTGCAGAAAATAATTAAAGAAGAATTGATAAATGAAACCAGGTAGGTTGAATTCACCATTCCATCAATATATTAGGGAGTTAACTTTTGAGTTTATACCTATTTCTTTCGATTCCTGAACCTTAAAAATAGTTATCTATTCAAATCCTTTGGCCTACATGACTGAGGAAAGGGAATCAAGAGAATATACACTACCATTAAATGAAAATATTTGATAAACCTAATTTTCATTATTAACTTTAGTTATGGAAATGGCATTTGAATAGATGGCTCAAACATTTTAGAAATGAGTTTGAATAAGTACTAATGTCTTCCTTATGTTTGTTAAATGTTTGTATATCCTGATGGCAACATCTGTATTCATGGCCTTTATTTCTACTACCCTGAAAGATTAAGGTGAGAGCAGCGGCAGAGATCATTTGTAAGGCAAAAGCCTGGATTATAAAAATTTCAACTATGCATTGTTCTCCTGATATTCTTCCCTAAAAATTGCCAGGATAGCTACCAGTAAAGAGAGGGTCAGTATTAATTATAGCAGGTTTAGCTTTCCTGCATATTGCATGAGACACAAAGATAATAATAGTCTCCTACGTTTGTACTTTTGTGTTATGTTAATGATCGTCAGTAAGGCAATGTGCCAGGAAGACTATACAGTCTTCTACTTCTGCCAGAGGTATCTGCGTTTTAATCCAAAATATCTATGTTTAAATTTCATCTCCCAAAAGAGATTGCATTGAGTCCACTCTGTCTTTTGAAACACTTCATTTTGCCAGTGAGTGGATTTTCATGCTGTGGTGCAGTCAGATGCACTCTAGCTCTACAGCAAGTGTTCCTCAAAGAGATGCTTCTGTACTTTGCTTCCTCCCTGGATATAGCTTTGGCAATGGTCCAGTGAGACTGAGAAAATACTCTCAAATTAGGCATGGGCTGGTGATAATTGTTAATTATTGAATGCTGCTGGGTGAGGAAAAATTCATGCAAAGGCAAATAGATGGTATGTGAAAGTAGCAACCACACTGTCACGGTATTCAACCCATCAGTCTTTATAAATAAAAGGCGAATTCAATTAGGCTAAGTAGATGGTTATTTAACAATAGTCAATAAAATATTTCTTCACCGTATAGTAAATAAGGCTTATATTTAACCACAGCTTAGTATATTCTAATGTTAATACCAGGGCAGTTTGTTTTCATAGCTTGATCTAAACAGCACTTTATGTTGACACTTCTATTGCGTATTTAATGAACTCATATCAAATATGCATGGCAAATAAATACTATGTTCCTGGTAAACGTTTATTCTTTCCCCACTCTCTTGATCTTCTCAAGAGAAGTAACACACTTTTCACAATATATTTCTTCTCTCAGAAAAATGGATTTCACAACATTGTAACTAAATCTTATTTCAATATTTTTGCAAGACAGGAAAGAGAATTCTAGATCATTGTAAGTACAGACTGCTGCTATTTTAAAATGCAGCTCTGAAGTCTACCTCAGTTTGCCTCTGAGCAGCCAGTCTATTAAGAAGTATCCTTCTGACAGAAAGGATTAAGTCTTCCTGAAAGTCCTTAATCTGCTGCCCATACGGAAAAGCACTGTGGCAATGCATATGATGCCGCCAATAAGAATCAGAGCTGCCAGTGATGGCTGCTCTTAGCCCTCTATGTGTAAAAACGTACAGAAAATGGAGCCACAGTGTGGCTCCACGTTTGGGCATAGGAGCATGGTATCATTAATTTCTCCCAACAACAAAGTAAGGAATAATATTCAAGTAATCAGGGTTGTTGGGTGTGCCTTCACTGTCCATGAGGTTGATACAAAGTAGTAGTACAAGTGACTTAAGTTTCAGAGATTGGAAGGGGTCATATAATTGGCAGGTCCCTAAACCTCCTGCCTAAGCCATTAGTTAAAACACAAGTAAAAGCTGAGTAGTGGAGAGGAGATGAATCTGTCAATATATTGCCTCTTGATTTCTGGCAAAGGCATATTTAGATTGTGATACTGCCATGAGCATCACTTTCATGGAGGGAGCAGAGGGTGGCAATCTGCTCCGCAGGTTTTTAGAACTGGCATGTGGTTCAGCAAAACAGAGAGCAAGACAGTGATTTCTTCCTTTTCTTGCAGATAAATATGAAGAGAGAAACTGCTATGCAGGGTTTGCCTTCCCCAGAGAAGGAATGTGTGATCTATAAGGGTTTTCCTGGTAATTAAAAGTTGTAAAGGATATGAATCCTTTTATTTATACTGGGTAACTTTGAGACCAGAAATAACAAATGTTTGATTCTTTAGCTCAATGGACTTTGAAATAAATGCTTATTTTTGTTCATCTCCAGCTTTGGGTATTTTTTGAAATTCAGCTTTAAAGCTAGCCTTCCTTGTAATTCACTATGGGATGTCTTTATACACCACTGACAGTAATACAACTCATTTTGGGTGATTAACTTAACCCCCAGTATTGCAAGTGTCATGCTGCATTAGCATATCTTTCAAGGAATAGTTGCAGTGTGAGAAAATTGCCTGTAGGATTATTTGCAACTAGGAACCTGTGAAATGTAAAATAAAATTGAAGACTATAAAGTAAAACATCAAAGCCACCTAAAATATTAATAGCCAGCACTCTAAAAAGTAATTTAGAAGATTGCATGAGGTAGTGAAAATTACTAATTTAAAAACAGAGTTTAAAAAAGGCAGGAGTTTTAGAACAACAGACAATAGAAATTCATTTTATTTATACTATAAAAGGAGTTCAAGAGATATGGAGGCCCTAATAGTTGAGAGGGTCCAAAGTTCAATATTTGGCCATTCTGAACTAAGAAAAAAAAGGAGAGCAAAACTGACATTTCCCCTACTTGAAAATCGAAGGGAAAATATAAGTTACCCTTAGGAAAATATTGTGGTGGATCCAAAGAGCATTTTCAATTCTCCCTGGAAATTTTGTTTCATTGAGACATTTGTTTTTTAACTTGCTCTGTGGTATTCATCTGTGGCTCAGAGGTCATTTGATTGGCTAATTCTTAGGCATTTTTCATGTTCAAAGCCAGTTCTTGACTATTCTCATTCTCGGTTGGCTTTTGTTTTGATAGTAAAAGTATCAAATGACATGGTGAATGTATCTCCTTTTCTTAGAGGATAGAATTGGTTTTTAAGGTATAATACATGTATTTTGGAGTTAAGCACACCTGGGTTCAGGTCTTGTGCCTGCTACTTCCCATCTGTGTGACCTTGGGCAAATTGTTTAACAACTTAAGCCCTAGTTTTCTCACTGTAAACAGGTCATAATATCTACCTCAATGTATTATCCAAGATTCCATGAGATAATGCCCATAAAAGTTTCAACATATTGCTTGGCGAATAGCAACACTCAATATATTTTAGTTATTTTATGTTTCATCATTCAAGCTGATAGTTTCAGAGATGGACAACATGGCCCAACAAGATAGCATGGAGCTGTGTGCATGACATAGCAGATGAGGCGGGGGGCTTTTATGGTCCCTTTCACACTAGGAAAAGGGTTCTCTGCTTAGATTGGTAAAGGTAGAAAGGGGGCTGTGGCAGAGAAGAGATGGGAACTGGGAGAAGGGGAGGAGAACTGCATTTCTTGCCTCTAGGGAGTGGTGGCTTAGTGCTTCTGCTGGTGCCTAAGTGTTGGGATGCCTACCTAATGGAGAAAAACTAAGTTAAAACCGGGCATTTAAGGAAAAACATGTTTCCAAATATTTCAAGATCTCCAGTGAAGTGCAAACTGTACCCAGGGTTAGAAGAGTGAGGTTAAAGCAAGATTGGAGCAAGTAACATGCATATTAAAGAAAAAGATAATAAAAACAATAAAAAGAAGGAAGGAAAGGCAGAAAAAAGAAAGGAATCACACACACTAGAGAGGTTAAAAAAGAAACAAAAGAAATAACAACTTAGAATAAGGATGTTGAAGAAAATAATGACAATGATGACACTATTTTATTAAAACTGACTGTGTGTCAGCCTTTATCCTAGGCATTTTAGTTATGGTATTTATTTCTAACTCTTGAGTTGAACAAAGATCTTATTATTTCCTGTTATTTCCATTTTACAAGCAGATAACTAGTTTTAGAAAAGTTATGTTGTTTGTCCAAGATATATAGTATTTAGGAAGTCAGGAGTTCAGAAAATATGAGCAAAATGTTTTTTAAACCATTAGCATCAAATGAGATCATGTTACATGACTTAAAGAAACCAGACTATGATAAAGGAAAAAACACTGTGAAAGCCACTGTGAAAGTTGGACTTAAACCATATAAAAGCTATGAAATTATAATGGTTATTATATATGTAGTATATTATGGCAGTTTACTGTTGTTGTAAAACATTATGTATTTATCACTTTATTCATGTCATGTATAGCATGTGTGTATGCACAATGAAAACATGTCTTTGTCTTAATTATTATGCATAAAGTCAGTATATTTTAATATTAACCAAGCATTATTAGAAGTATATCACTTAAAATATGCTGAGGAATTAAAAAGACAGATAACACAATGCCTTCCTTTATACTTAGGTGTCGACATCTAGTCCTTAGCAGGTTGTATTCTGTGTTCAGCATTTTGCTAGGACTTTGTGTAAATAAAAAAAGAAAATGTGATCCATGTTGTCACTGAGCTCATAGTTTAGCTAGGGATCATGAGATACATGAAACTATATAATATAAAATTATTATGAAAGCAAATAATTATAACAAATGATATTGCTCAATCTGTGCTATAAGAATTCAGAAACAAGTACATTGTGGCTGGAGTATTTGGGAAGAACACTAATAAATGCTGGTAATTAATTTGTAAGAGGTTATATAAAAACAATAAGAGTACTAAAAGAAGACACTGGCAAAATCCTTTATATTTCTAGAATTAGGAAGGGTTTAACCATAATTAAAAATTTAGAAGTCAAAAAAATGAAACATTTTACTATACAAAAATAAATATCTACTGAGTAAAAATGCTTTAAGCAAGGCTATAATTCAATAAGCAAATAAATGCTCAGTTCAACCAATATATGAGACAAATGGGTCACTCTTTTAACTACATAGAGAGCTCACAGAAAATTTTAAGAGTGGTACGCATAATCCTCTCTCAAAATGGAGCCAGGATATGAATTGACAGTTCACTAAAAAGGACCTATAAATTGTTCTTAAGCATATGAATATTTACTTAATCTCACTCATAATAAGAAAAATGCAAATTCAAACTACATTGATATAGCATTTTTTAATCATTTAAGCCAGGAATTGACCCCCAAATAAACTACATGGACTAGTCAGGAAGACAAGTTCCCCAAAAGAATTTTGGTTTTATGTCATACAAAAAGCAGAAATAAATTCTGGGTTCCAAGTGATAAAAAAAAAATTAACTACCTAGTATAAGTGCTAAAACTATACTATGTCCATTTTATCTTGATATGAGTGTTTCTAATGAAGTGGTTATATATTCAGGAAATGTTCAAAATAGTTTGTGTACTCGAATATGTTTTAAGACTTTTACTTTCTATCAAAATGGAGTAACAGGGCATGAGATTTACTCCCCGACTTGAAATAACTAAAAGCAGTGGACAAAATATACTAAAGCAGAGTTTTCAAGACATTGAACATTGGAGAATGAAGGACAGTGATCCTGAAGTCAGAAAACAAACAAAGTCAGGCCTAAAATTGTCCCAGTTTATTGCCTTAAAGGATTTTCAGACTGCAGTACATGAAGGCGGAAGCCAGACAATGCCCAGAATACTTCCTAAGGCTTCCTAAGAGAAGGAGCTGAGATTTTAGGGAGATGACCATAGCTAGAGTTCACATTGCAGAGTAATGGAAAGAAGGGAGGTACACAACAAAACAGAAAACAAAACCTCCAGGTACCTGCAAGAGTTCCTCCTCAAGTAATCAGCGAAGTACTGCTCAGACAATACGTCTGAGGAAATTGCTGGAGGCCAGGAAAAGAACTACCTCATAGAATTGAGAGCAGCCGTACTCAGAGCTCACACAGGGCTAAGGATATTGCTTATTCTCCAGCCAGACTGGGAAATCATGTAATTTACAGTGAATTGGGTAAATACTCAGAAGCGTCTTGCCTCAGTAGAGGGGAAAAATTAGACATAGACTACTGTTTTTCTTCAGCCTAACAAATCTTAAAAGCAAGACCCAAAAGAATCAAACCATTTCCAAGTTACTTAACAGAGTCCCAGAACAATGTTCAAGAATTTTAGAGGAATATAAAATATCCAACATCCCACAATGTATGATTCAAAATTTCTGGCATGCAATCAACAAATTAGTAGGCATGAAAAGAAGCAAGAAAATGAAATTCATAATAAGGAGAAAAATTAATCAATTGAAACCAACTCAGATCTAAAACAGATGTTAGACTTAATACACAAAGACATTAAAAGGTTTATTATAACTGTACTCCATATATTCAAAATCTAAAGAAAAGATTGAAAATGTTACATAGAGACATGAGGAATTAAAAAATAGACCAAAATCAAACTTCTAGAGATGAAAATTATAATGTCTGAGATTTAAAATACAATGAGTGGAATTAATGGCAGATTAGATATTGCGGAAGAAAAGTTTATTAAACGTTAAGATTGAGCAGTAGAAAATATGCAAAATAAAAAACAGAGGGGAAAAGACTTAAGGAATACAACAACATATGTTTGTTTGCTGTTTGTATGTCTTCTTTTGAGAAGTGCATATTCATGTCCTTTGTTCACTTTTTAATGGAGTTATTTGTTTCTCATTGATTTAAGTTCCTTATAGATTGTGTATATCAGTCTCTTGTCAGATGCCTAGTCTGCAAATATTCTCTCCCATTTTGTGGTTCTCTGTTTACTCTGTTGATTATTTCTTTTACTACGCAGAAGCTTTTTAGTTAATTAAGTCCAATTTGTCAATTTTTTGTTTCTGTAGCGTTTGCTTTTGAGGTCTTAGTCAAAAATTCTTTGCCCAGGCTCATGTCTTGAAGAGTTTTTCCTGGGTTTTTTTCTGAGATTTTTATAGTTTGAAAATTTAAATTTAATTCTTTAATCCATCTTGAGTTAAATTTTATATAGGGTGAGAGGTAGGGGTCCGGTTTCATTCTTCTGCCTATGGCTAGCTCTACATCACTAATCATCAGAAAAATGCAAACTAAAACCACAATGAGATATCACCTCACACCCATCAGAATGGCTATTACTAAAAAGTCAAAAAATAACAAATGTTGGCGAGGATGCAGAGGAAAGAGAATGCTTATATGCTGTTGGTGGGAATGTAAATTAGTTCAACACCCTATCGATGGAAAACTGTATGGAGATTTCACAAAGAACCAAAAATAGAACTACCATTCAATCCAGCAATTCCAGTATTAGGAATTTACATTTTTTTTAAATGCTTTGTATCTTAAAAAGAATACAAAGACCATCAGATGAACACACACACACACACACACACACACACACACACACACACTTTCTAATACATGTGTAATTGGAATCCCCAAAGGAGTGGAAAAAGGAGAGGGGACAGAAAATGTTTGAAGAAATTATGGAAAACTATAAACCCACAGATGGATTGAAGAAGCTTAATAGACCCCAAGTAGAAAACTATACACAGGCACAAAATAATTTATTTACTCATAATGAATGATAAAATGGAAATCTTAAAAGGAGATAAAAAGACATGTTGTCTACAGAGGACCAAAAATGGAATGGCAGATTTCTTGCTAGAAACAATGCAAGTGAGAAGACAGTGGAGCAGCAGTTTTATAGTACTGAAAGAAAAAAAACTGTCAACATGGATTTCTGTAACCAGATCAGTTTCTATTTCAGCTTCAAGATGGAAAGGCCTGGAAAAAACACTGCAACAAGGAAAATGCTGGACAAACTGCAAATTAATGACTTTCATTGAACTTATCAGAGAGTTGCAATGGGAAACCTTGGGATAGTGAGGCATCTGAGAGAGAAACGGGATCCAAGCATTTGCTTACCGAGGCTAACACCACTGGCTACTATAAAAGCCAGTGAGAAGATAGAACTAAAAATCGCTAAAAATAGAATCTGTGGGCTGGCATGAGAGTGCAAAGCCTCTGGAGACTTCAGAAATAATAACATTTTCATATTCTAACATTCTTTTAGGAAAGCCTTGATGCACAAGGCTCTAATAGGATGATGGGAAAAAATCCTGTGATATATTTTCTCATGGTGATTGATGCAGAAAGGGAAGAGCAGCTACCAAAACATTAGCCCTAATTATTTTTTCTATCTCCCTTTCAGATTAAATGCCTTAATCTTTGAGGGTGAGTGGTGGTGGTGAAGAGTAACAAAACGACACTGCTTTAGGGCACTGGTAGAAACCCACTGCAATTTGGGGAAGGAAATTTTTATAAAAGCACTACCCCTGAAGAGGAGCAAGAATAAGTTTCAGGCTCGATACTACAGCAAGAAGAGAGGCAAGAGCATTTGTAAAAGACGCTTCTTTGTTGGACTCACAGGCATTGTAGTAGCCTAAGACTGAGAATTATTTAAAACAGTAGAGAATACCTCCTTTTCCTCCTCTGCCACTAGGCTAACAGCTGTTGAATACGGGTAAGAGTGGAGTACAGTTGGAAGAGCTGCAAGAAACAGATTCTCTCTGAGGAGCAGTGCAGTGGAAAAATACCAAAAGGGAAACAAATATTAAAAAAATTACCCTAGCCAACCATCCCACACCCTCAACTCAAGATACTACTAGAGGAATTTGAAGCCTGTGGTGAGCTAAGGCTAGCCATAGCAACAACAAATCTCAAAGAGAGCTCAGCTCCGGACTAGATCAAAGTAAACCCCTCAGTAATGGGCTACCAGAAAAAAGATGTGTTCATACCCAAGCATAGAAATACTTACCTCAGTCTGCACTGTCCTATACAAGATGTCTGGCTTTCAACAAAAAATTATAAGGCATATAAAAAGGCAAGGAAAAACATATTCTGAAGGAGATAAGGTGATCACCAAAAGGAGACTCAGATATGACACTCATGTTGGAACTATTTGACAGAAAATTTATAATAACCATGATTAATACCTTAAAAGCCCTAATAGAAAAGTTAGATTGCATGCAAGATCAGATGACTGGTTTCAGCAGAGAGACAAACTAGAAAGTTTTAAACAGAAATGCTAGAAATTAAAAACATTGTAACACAAATGAAGAATGTTTTTCATAGAATCATTCGTAGACTTGACTTAGCCACGGAAAGAATCAGTGAATTGAAGAGAGGCCAGTAGATTGCACAAAGTAAAACACAACGTGCAAAGGGTGGAGGCGGGCGGCGGTGGGGTGAAGGAAGAAAAGAAAAACAGAACAGAGCATTCAAGAGTTGTGGGAGAACATTGAGTGGTTTAATACAGGCATAATTGAATTTCTTTCAGGAGAACAGGAATGGGTGGTAGAAATATTTGAAGAAATAAAAGTTGAAATTTTCTAAAATGATGGATAGACATAAGCAAATTAGTCCAAAAAAATTAGAGAACACCAAGCAGAATCAATACCATGAAAACCACACCTAGAAATTTTATATTTAGACTGCTGAAAGTGAAATATTAAGAGATGATTTTGAAGGTAGCTAGAGGAAAGATACATTACCTATGAAGGAACAAGATGCTAAATATAGCAGACTTATCAGAAACCATGTGATCAAGAAGACAAGTGAGGAGCACCTTTAGAATGATGAAAGAAAAACAAAAACAAAAACAAAATCTGTCAATCTAGGATTCTATGCCCAGTGAAAATATTCTCTAAAAGTGGAGTAGAAGCAATACTTTCTCAGACACAGAAAAATGGAGAGAATTCATTCCTGGCGGCCTCACTTTATACAGCATTTTAAGGGAGTATTTTTTCAGGCATGAGTACTATAATATTTATCAGAAGAAATAAAGGGTGTTGAAAAATAAATAAAGGTAAAAATACAATTTATTTTTTCTTAGAATTTAATAGCTCTAAAAGATATCGTTAAACCAAAAATACCAATAACGTTACACATGTTTAGAGTATATTGGAAAGCCCTATGGCAACCACTAAGAATTTTATAAGGTACAAATAATAATTTAATATAAGAGGCAAAATGAAATCATTAAAATTGATCAACTAACCCAAAAGAAAGCAGAAAAAGCAGACAAAAGAAACAAAGAAAATTATTATTGAGATGTTCCCCTCCTAGGTATTTATCAAAGCAAAATGAAAACATGTTTATTGAAATATTTGTATGTAAAGGTTCATAGCCGCTTTATTTGTAATTATAGAAACTGGGAAACAACCTGAATACCCACCACAGATTAATGGATAAGCAAATTGTGGAATATTTTTTTCAGCAATCTAGAGGAAGCCATAATTGATATATAACAATTTAAATGGATCTCAAAATAATCATTATGAGTGAAAAAGTTGGTCAGAAAGGAGTATGTTTTTATTTGTATAAGATTCTAGATGAGGCAAACTAATCTGTAGTGACAAAAAGTAAATTGATAGTTGCCTAGAAATAGGGGCAGGATGGTTAGGATTTGGGGGACGGTAATGTGACAGGAGGAAGTTTTGGGGGTGTTGGATAAGTTTATCTTGATGTTATGGTTTCATGAGTGTGTGTATATATAAACATCAAACTGCAGTCATTAAATATGTGTAATTTGTTGTATGTCAATTGTACCTTAATAAAGCTGTTGGGAAAATATGTTTAAAGCAAACATTTATTATATAGCACCTCGTTGTTTGAAACAACTGTATTTTTCATTTCCTTACAACTTTACTGTGCTTCCATAAATTTGTTCTCTTATTAATATTTTTTTGGATGCAGGATCAGAATATCGTGGCTACCTTCTCTTATACAAAAGTTGTGGTCCCAGAATATTAATACATTTGTGGTACATCATATGCTACTTAGTAGTATCACAACATCCAACATTCTGACTTTTAATTTCCATTTCGTTTTCTCTCCGCTAAGTCATTATGTGGCGAGCAGCTCACCAAAGCATTTTCCTTTTATTTCTGTGCACACAGCTGGACCATATTTTCCATCCTCCATTGCAGTTAGATGTGGCCATTTGACTGAGTTCCAGCTAATGGCATATAAACTGAAGTGATAGGTACCACTTTCAGACCTGGCCCATAAACACCTGTTGTACCCTTCTTGTCTTTCCTCATTGTCTGGCCGAATGAGGACCCCTCTAAGACCCTATAAAACAGCAGAGCCACAATGTAAAAATGTCTTTATGCGTTGAAATGTAAAAAGCTGTCTCTTTAGCTACACAACTAAACTGTTGTGTTGTCATGAATTAAATTTTATTGGAACAAGACATGAAATTTGGTGGTCGGTTTGCGACAGCATTCGTATTATCATAACTAATATACGTTGTTAATTTTTACAGCATTAACGGTGGTGATAAAGGTAACCCTTAAGATGGCAGTGTCTTTTCCAAAGTGTCTTTTTTGAGCTCTTTTTATACATGTTACTCTGGTGCCAAACTCACAATAGATATTTAATAAATGCCTTTTAAGTTTATTGACTTATTTTGTTCCTTTTCTTTTTGGAATACAGCAACAAAAAAGAGACTATCCTATTATTTGTTTCAATTAGCATTTAGTTATGATAAAATTAAAAGTAAATTTTAGAGGTTTTGTCAATACAATTGTCTTACAGTAGCTTTCTCTATTATCTGCAAGAATAAAAATATAACATTGGAATTGAGGGAAATTATTATTATTGAAATAGAGCGTATATAAGGATTTGTAGTTACTTGCAGAAAACTTATTCACACTTTTGATCAAAATTCCATTATACAATTCCAAATTATGTTTTCAAAAACAAATTACAAAACAAAATGTTCTTTTTTAGTGCCATATCATCTTGTAAAAGCATTATTTTCATGAATAGTGATATTTCATTTCAATTTGTGGGTGTTATTTCTAAAGAAACTATTAACTGGCTCTATTTCTCTGCAGGATTTACTGAAACAAACTTGACTACATGAATACAGAAGAAATGTAGTTGTTTGGTTCTACTATCAAACTAACTGGTAATTGTTAAAAAGTTAATCCCGTGGCATTCTATTTCTGTGACACCGCCTCCACTAGACACTTGCTCCACCTTGCAAGTGGCATAACCACAGACTCTAAATTCAACACCTCAGAGGAGGAAAAAAGGAGGCTTTTATTAAATTGCAAGAAATAGCCTTTCTAGAGAAATTACTTCAATCACAGAAGAATTGCTATTGCTTTAAGGAGTGAAAAAGGAATATATGTGGATAGTTGGGTCTGGAGTTTAGAGAGGGAGGTGTGAAATGGCCACTCAAAGATGTAGATAAATCCCCTCTTTTGCAGCAAATTGTTGAATCGGAGTCCTTGCTTGACAAGTTACAGATGGGCTCTGAAAAAATGCAAGCTAATTCAGTTCAGAGGGTAGTATTACCTTGGGCGATGCACTTTACAAACTGAGATCACAGATGTTCAATGAACATCAAGATATTCTTGATGAAGCTCTGTCCGTATGACTTTATTTGCTTATTTATTAGATATAAATATTCACTAGAGAAGTAGACACATGTTTAGTAACTAGTAAACTCATTTCATAAATACTTAAAATAAAATCTTTATTCAAAGAGTGGAGAGCTTAATAGCTCAAATAGGTTGGGAATACCCCAAAGAGAGGTTGAAGAGAAAGCCTTGAGGCAGTTCATAGGTCACAGACCTTCAGATGAGTGAGGAGTCACTCAAAAACTCTCCTCTATACCTTATTCAAAATATATGAATGGACTTAACGTGAACAAGTTAACTCCATTCCTTTTTCCTGGAAGATCATAAATAGAAAATCAAAGTGCTAAAATCAGAGGGCTAAAAAGGACTTACAGAAGTCACAGAGTTCACCAGTTTGCCTCCCAGCATAGGATGGCATCTAAGTCTAACAAGACAGGTGATGAATATTCTTAAAGGCAGCCGATGGTTCACCCTGTTCAAATGGATGTCCAACTACTGTTTATTAAAAGAAAGAGCCTTTAAAAAACTAATACTAGTGGCAAACCCTTCTAACTTAAACGTGTGCAATATCAGAAGCCACCAATGCTCTCATAGAGTTTTACATTTCTTGGACTCCTCACCAACCCTAGGCAGTGTGATTTAGAATTATAAGTTTTGAATCACTTATCTGTGGACTAATGGGACAGATATTTTTTTAAAAACACTTTTGGCCTTTACTTTTCACCCCATTCACAAGCAGTTGGGATTAGGTTTAACAATGTTTTCCTGTGTCCTTTTCTGCTCTGCTATAGTTTGGGTATTTGTCCCCTCCAAATATCATGTTGAAATTTAATCCCCAGAGTCATGTTGTTGGGAGGTGCGACCTAGTGGGAGGTGTTTGGGTTGTGGAGGGTGATGCCTCATGAACAGCCTGGTGGTATTCTGGTGGCAGTGAGTGAGTTCTTACTCTCATGAGAATCAATTGGTTCTTGAGGGCATAAATTAGTTTCCCCAAGAGTGGGTTGATATAATGCCAGGACACCTCTGGGGTTGGGCCCCTCCTTGCATATGATCACTTTCCTTTTGACCTTCTCTCTCATGTTCTGATGCAGCACAAAAACCATCATTAGAAGACAGAAGCCAGTGCCATGCTCCTTGTATGATCAGCAGAACTATGAGCTAAAGAAGCTTATTTTCTTTATAAATTACCCAGACTCCACTGTTCCTTTATAGCAACACAAAATGGACTAAGACATTATCCCTCTGTCTTATTCCTAGGGTCATGATTTGTGATTAGAAAAATCTGGCGTAATAGAGAGAACTCTGGACAAGAGTCAGGAGTCTCAGATTCTAGTGTTACTTTCATGATGTACTTTGAGGCCTTGGACAATTCATTTGGCTTCTCTGAGAGAGGTTGTAATAACCTCAGAAGTCACTTTAATTCTATCAAATGCTATTTGTTGAATACCTATTATGTGACACTCACTTTACAAGCATGCTGTTATTTAATCCCACAACCCTTTCAGATATTCAGTAACTTGTCCAATGTCACCAGGTGGGCCAGTGGCAGTGTAGGATATGAATATTTGCTTTACTTCTCAGGGTATCTCCCAACCCTACTGTTAGTCTTGGAATGAAAGGTGCTATGTTAGGAGCATCTGGGAAGGCAAGAATTTTTGCCTTTGACTAATGCCATTTCTAGCATGAATTGAAATCATCAAAAACAAGGAAACAACTTTTTTCCCTATCTAAACCCCCAGATAAAGAAGACTGTGGTCTGCTGAGAACCAGATTTCAATGTCTGGGGACACTAACCTATTGTCAGTGATATAAAGGGAGTTGTAGAAAAATGTTAACTGCTTTCTGGCTTTACTATGTTTAAATTCTGACACCTTAGCAGTCTTATTGATAGCAAATAGGCATTATAATCTGTTCGAGGATTATTGTCAGCAGCGAACAATAGTTGAGATGTGTGGTCCTCAATTGGTGGCAATTTTACACCCCTCCCCACCACTGCAAAATTTTGCAATGTTTGGAGACATTTTGATTGTCACATCTGTGGACTCGGTGCTCTATTAACATCTATCTGGTGGGCAGAAGCCAGGGATGCTATTAAACATCTTACAATGTGCAAAACAGCCCCTACAACAAAGAATTATCTGGTCCAAAAATGTCAATAATGCTGAGAGAAGAAATTCTGGCTTAGTTCAAAAACATCTCTTTAATGCCATCTTTGTGCCAGACAGTCTGCTAGTTGCTAGGGATGTGAAATGAATAGGAAATAATCTGTATTCCTGGAAGATATCTGTCTATAGGAGGAGCAAGTAAGCAGTTTCAGGGTAGTGTGGTAGATGCTCTGCTGGTGGTACATGTAGCAAATCACTGATGGGCCAGTGAAACCTTATTGGAGAGTCAGAGAAAGTATCTTGGAAGTGATTTGGCCAAGTGGAAGGAGATGGAGATAGGTGAATAGTGATGTTGCTCCAGGCAGAGGAAATACCATAATCGGTCTCAAAGCTGTTAAATAGCATAGTCAATTAGTCATTACTGAAGACTAGAGAGGGGAGCATGGAGAACCAGAAGATAAATCTGGAGGTATAGGGATAGGCCAGGACACAGGGGGACTTATTATGGGGAGGATTTTGGATATTGTCACTGGCATGTTATCACATCTTAACCTTTCTGATGGTCCTTTTGTTTTTTACATGGGAGTAATTCAAGAATGAGTTAGCAGGAGATCAACAAAGGTTTCAGATAGGGGCTACTATGAACAGGACTGGAAGCAGAGTGGTAGACCACTGAAAAGGGAACCAAAGAGGGAAATAAGGGCCCAGTTGTGTTTTCTCTCAGTGATGCATTCTGATGAGCCATCCTGCTGCCCAGAACAGTGATCATTTCTAAGATTTAAGCAGCTATGTCTGTAGTTTAGATTTTGATGACCAGACCCACTTTAATTCAGGTCAAAGGTTGACCTGAGATTAGGACAAGGAGACAAGATTATTAGACAACCTGAAGATTAGCTGGCAGAGTTTTATTGTCATACAAAGCGATGTCTGACACTTCAGATGTCGAATCATTCAAGAGACTACTTATTTTTCTACTTATTTGGTCTGAAATAACTAATTATACAGTGTGATAAAGGAGATTTATACATTTTTCCCCCGACAGTATTGGGCTGAAGGCACAATTTCCATTTGTGACCATAGTCCATCCCAATCCAGTGCAATTTATTATTATTGCATTACTTCCTTAATATGCTGACAAGGGTCACATGGCACTGATACGTTTATTGTCTGAACTATCTTTTCTTCAGTGCTAACTTGGGCTACAAAGTTCCAACATTATTTAATCTTGCCACTAGTTGCAAAGTCATTCTCCCTTAGTGGTGGTGTTTTGGGTCAGCTTTATTCTATAAATGAGGATAAGAATAAATAGTTGAAAGTGGGTATTTGGGAGTTCATGTAGTAAAGAAGTGGAAGCCCACGTGAACTCTTTCACAGACATAACAGCGGCTGTAATGTTGAGATGTCTGTAGGTCAGTACATCAGTTGGTGTTCATCTTGTATTCATGTTCGTCCTCATGTACAGAGGCTCTGCCCAGGCTAAGCAGGGATGTGCATAGTGAAAAGGAATTGTACAACGTCAAGGCTTGTCTACATCTTCCCCAAGAATTCCACAGCCATTTGTATTTTCCCAAATATAACAGTGCTGTGCCAGTCTGGATTCAAGACTGGTAAAGAAAATAAGGTTGCCTTCTGGTCTGAAAATATAAATTAGTAACACATTTTTAAAGAATGAAAGAAACAGAGGAAGGAACAAAGTCTCCAGGCTTAATCTCAGCTTCTCAGAATTCTGAGAAGCCGCAGTTCTGGGCCTGGGTTTCTGCTTTCCCATCCATCCTAAGCTGCTGTTCTCATTGCCATCTTCTGCTATATGTTGAGAGAGCATGTTTTTTTTTTTTTTCCTCTTGGAATTTCCCTAAGTATCTAAATTATGACTGAATAGAAATAAACTTTCAGGATAGTGGGCCAAGCCTATGTAGCTAATATTTGTTCTCAATTAGGCCTGTTTCCTAATTTCAGTCTCTTTGGGTTAGAGAGGTATAGGAGATTCCTCCACACATATAAATCCCTTTCTGTGAGTGTCTTCCAAACTTTTCTGGGTCTCCAGAAATAATGAGCACATATAATGGTGTGTCTGAAAAGGAGAAAGGACTGGTTTACAAGGTTTACCAGCTCTAGCTCAAGTGCTATTTAGAGAAGGTCCTACTTCACTTTTTACTGTGTAAACACTGAGTCAAATGAATTTATTTCTGGGGTTAACATTTATTGTCTGAAATCTATTATATGCAAAGTAATTCCATTTGAGACCATATTTTAGATTTCCTGGTAGCAGTTGAAACAAATTATTTCCAGATTATTTTTCTAGCACCATATTTTAAGAAACAAATTTTCTTTGTCATCTTTTAATGGATATGTTGGGTTGGACAATACTTGATTTGTAAGACAAGGGTAAGTTACTTCCCATAACATTGTACTTTTCTTCTTTGGGTATAGGATCAAAGTAAAATCCCTTAATTTTGAAGACTGTCATTAGTGCCATTAGAATTTATTCAGTTAGCTTGCAGGTTACTATTTTTGCTAATATGAATTTTCACAAACCTAGTGGTCTGTAAACAACTAATTATATAGTGTGACAAAGGAGAATTATACATTTCTCACCCAAAAGTGTTGTGCTGAAGTCACAATTTTCATTTTATTTTTCACAGTGTTAAAATTAAAGGCAGATTTTAGGACAAATAATTGTCTCAACTTCATATAGCTTTCTTCTATGTTACTGGCTCTCATTGCATGTGAGAGATGATGGGGGTTCAGTGGGACAGTTCTATTGTTTAATTTGATATCCTGGCGTTCTAATGTTTTCATCACGACATCTAGTTGTCCCAGATCTCTTTATGCTGTTTTCTGGGAGTGACAGAGTCAAAAAAAATATGCCTCTTTAAGCTGTCATTCTGCTTAACTCCTCCTCTGCAATTACATTTGCATGCATAATACATCGTAACAAATTAGATATTACTAAGACACACGACAGAAATTATGTGAGCTTGTGGCAAGAGATATAACTGATGTGATAGAAGAGAAGGAGATTGCAGAGTAAAGGAAGGAGGAGAAGGAAAACTAATGAATGAAAACCAGTACAGAAAATGGCAACTGAAATATATCTTCTCAACTTTTTAAGGCCAGTGATCAATTGCAGAAAAGTAAATGAAAAGGGAAAATGCAAAACCAGTTTTGTTCCTGTGTCAGTCAGCTAAGAGATTAAAATTAAACAGTGTATTTGGTTCCAGAGGGAAAGATATTCATTGGGTTTTTGGCAGTAAAAGTAACTGTGACTAAGAAAAACTCTTTATTTCACATGTTAATCTAAAAAACTAAAATGATATTGGGGTTGTAATTCAGGCTTATTGGAAGTGTTTTCTAGTAGACTGGAAACAATCTTCTTGACTGAATGGACCTAGACTGAGATTACAGCTATAGCTATAAACACCACAGCCACTCTGTTTTGCTCCTACTTTATAATGACTGGATTAAAGTGTTTTTCTTATGTGATGGTATGTCTTCTGGCCTCCTGACACTCAAAATTGGCCAATTTAGAAGCACTGATGCCTGATGGTCATTGAAAGGCCATTGTCCCTGAAGTGCTATTAGTTCATGTCATACCTTGGCCAATAACTGAGGCAATGACCAGCTCCGTCTCTAAAAGGTTTGAATAGCCACTTTCAAAATGGCAAGGTTCAGCCAATATCCACTGACGATTTTAAGTGTTTTACTTGGTCTGACAAAAGCAGGAGAAACAGGAATTGGACTCACAGTCCTCTCCATTTTTTGTCTCTTTTTTGGGTCTCTTTCCATTTTCCTTATTCATTTGCTATCTGTTTTCTACAAATCCATAAGGGAAATAATAAATTTTCAGTAACGTGGAAGTTGGATTAAGTTCAGGAGGAGCCCAAATATTAGAGTGGCTACAATCCATGCTATAAATCTTTTCTTTCTGTCCTGCTCTCCTTGGGTTCTATTTCTTTCACTTCCTCTCAGTCCTATTACTTCTCTCATCTCAGGCCAGGCATCCCACTCTGCAAGGAGGAATGTAGCAGATTGCTTCAGTGAAGCATTTGCCATTCTCCAGGTTTTTTCTCATCATTCTCTTTCAGCCTTTTTCCAGCGTTCCTGACAATGTGGAAGAGCTCCCCAGCCAATCATTTTCTCGCATTCCTTTGGTGCCATGGCAGGATCCGAGGAAGCCCATCGGCCTCTGCTAGGCTGATAACCGTCATTGCTTCTAATGTGTGCTTCGGAATTTCTCATCACAGCACGCATCTGTTGGGGAGATAAAAGGAGGGATTTACAAATATATAACCAGCAGATGTATGAACGCTGTTGAGGCAAAGTAGACTAAGAAAGAAGCATATCCACATTTTCTTGGAGTAAGAGTAGATACATATGCTGGCTTTTGTATGATTAGGTCATTACTAACACCTGGAGGCTGTCTCAGTCCTTGGAGAAAAACCATGGAGAATATTTGGTAAGGAACACATTTGGTTCACAGAGGGGGTTATTCTGAGCCAGATTGGAAAACATTTTAAAATGGAATATTGCCTGCATAAAAGAGGCAGATATTTCAGCTTTGCTACATAACAGGAGTTCTCTAGTGGATCCTTCTACATAATGGAGCCGTATGGTAGGTCTACGGAATATCACACTCTGATGTCAGAAAAGCATACATATCCTTAGCCAAATGTTTGCATGTGCATTAGAGCATACACAGTATTATTTAATCACTTTCTCCTAGGCCCTTGTGTGTTAGTACCACAGTCCCAATTGCACAAAGAACCTCACTTAAAACCAGTGGGGTTTCTGAATACTAATGGAGAGTTTTCATAACTGTAGTCTCCTAAATATTGTTGGAGCTTATCTTCTGTTACTCTTTAGTATCCTCTTTTTTCCCCCTCTAAATTTCCTACATGAAAAACAAGGGAAATTTTGGAAACTGTTAGGACAAATATCAAAATAATTTTATATTTAATTGAGGCTTTCTGCTGATCTTAACGGATATAAAACTGATAGACATTATTGTCTCTCCTGATAAAACGTACTTTATTGATGGATTTCTTTAGCAGGTGTGTTAGAAGCTATAATTTTGAAGGAAGGGAGAAAGGATAGCTCATAAAGCTAGGGGGAAGAAAACAAATACCAAGAAATTAATTACCTAGCCTTTGCTTGACACCAAGAAAAACACTGTGTAGTGATTTCTCACCAACGACCCAGACTTCTAAAAAAACTATGTACATAACCAAGAGAAGCTCTGTGGGTCACACTAAGTCATCAGGATATTGGGAGGTTGCATTAGGATGACACTGTCCGACAGAGAGGAATTGCCTGGCCTGGTAAGAGATTAAACATTTAATACTGTAGGATATTATATCATTCCAGGCCTCTCTATTCCTTTCCACTTTCTCTTTCATTGTTTTCTCCTTTTTACTTTATCTATGGTGAAAATCTTCTACTTCTTTTCAAAAAATTTTAAAGAGTTTCAATCTTTTTCTTTTGTAAATTGAGTATCTCTCTGTGCTAAATTTCTTAAAACTGAAGTTTTCCAGGCAGGGTGCAGTGGCTCATGCCTGTAATCCCAGTACTTTGGGAGGCCGAGGTGGGCGGATCATGAGGTCAGGAGTTTGAGACCAGCCTGACCAACATGGTGAAACCTTGTCTCTCCTAAAAATACAAAAATTAGCTGGGCGTGGTGGTGTGTGCCTGTAATCCCAGCCACTCTGGAGACTGAGGCAGGAGAATCTCTTGAACCCGGGAGGTGGAGGTTGCAGTGGGCCAAGATCGTGCCACTGCACTCCAGCCTGGGCAACAGAGTGAGACTCTGTCTCAAAACAAAACAAAGCAAAACAAAAACAAAAACAAAAACAAAACCGAAACAAACAAAACAAACTGAAGCTTTCCTACCTATATTCTGGCATTAAAAGAAAAAAATTAACCTGGGTAATGAATACTCTGTCTACAAAAAAGCTAAATGGCAGTGATTTTTGGAAAGGATTAAATGAATAAAGACTTGAAAAAAAAGTGTACAGAATAATGTAAATGCCAGCATCAGACATGCTGGCTTCCTTGGTTTAACATTACCTAAGCTATTTTAGGACACAGTTACCTGTCTTTAATGATTACAAATCTTCTTTCATCTCCAGAGTGAGATCAAAAAGAAATTATATCTGTTTTTCTTCATTGTCTAAAAGGTATAAACATAATCTATATGATAAACATGTGGCAAGCAACTGGAACATAAATAATTCAGGAATGTTGAACAGGGGATACACTACAAAATGCCATTCCCCACATCCCACCTCACCCTTGCCCCTCTCCATCTGCACTATCCAAAGCCAGCCTGACATACACTGAGGAGGCATGTTCAATGTGAAATTTAAGAAACTCCTCAAATTCTGTTATAACTCAAGAGTAAAACAAAACAAAATAAAACAAAAAACTTGTTGTTTCATTTGTAAAATACTATATTCCCTATTTAAGAGACAAGTTTACCCCCTCTTCTAGGGAAACAATTTTGAAATTCAGATAAAACTGAATTTGGAGAGGATTTCTCTCTCCTTACTTACATCCTACTTCATAGACTTTCTGTGAGTCATCTTGTTTCAAGGTTTTATAAAAAAATATACTTGGTATTATACCAAAAAACATTTGTCCTTGAGATTCTTCTAATATGTTGCATTTGGATTCAGTGAAAGAGTTTATGTTCATAACTTTTGCTATCTTATGGAATTTTGTTTGTGGCCTGTCTTACGGCAATTTGGGGATGAGAAGGGAAATGAGAATTGATATTGTATTTTCAATTTCTGTTAATTGTCATCAGCCTCAGTCCTTCCCTCTGCTATATCCTCATCCATATTATCTTCTCCTTTTATGGCATTTGTATATGATCACACTTTGCTTCACAGCCCAAAAGTAATTGTGTGAAGGAAAAGAAAAAAAAATGCCATTACAGAACAACTATTGGTTTTGTGGCCAAACTTGTCTTCAGTTCTTGATGCAGAAAATACAGATTGTAGCAATTCTAGTTTTGCCATACATTCAATAGCTAATCACATTACTATTTTATGTTATAGATATGCCTACTTTACCTGATAGAAATGACTTTTTAATTCTTAATTTGGATACATATTTTAAACAGTGAAAAGAAAATATTGAAAAGACTTAGAAGCTTATAATATGGTAATATCTTATATGCATGCAGCCTTCCCTCTGTGTTGGTATTGGTAAGCAGATACTAACAATAACACTCAGAGAAGTTTATTATCCAATTTTGTGTGCATTCAATAGGATTATGAGGCTTTGATCATACAAATGCAAAAGAGATTTGGCAGTAACAGGAAGTAACATAGTTCTAGAAGCACAATTTCTATTTTATTAATCTGAGAGAGAAATACTTTTTCCAAATTGCTACACAGCTTGAAGGATCTGCTTAGCTCTCTCTGTTTATTCCTTGCACCACTAACCTCAGAATGTTGGTGGTTTACATAAATTCACAATCCTATGAAATCTGGGGGGCTGGAAATCTTTGGATGCTATCCACAGGACTAAGTTGGAGCCAATAAAATGTTTAGCTTTCTTTGTGGGTGGTCTCTGTTAGCCTTGGTTAGTGACCTGTGTAAGTTAGAAGCAATGAGAAAGACTCCAGAGATTTATTTAAGGTAAATAATTTTAGTATCTCACAAATTTACTGGGACTGTCTCTAATACGACTTTGAAATCCACGCTGAAATTCTCCTTCTATATGAGAAGCTCTTAAAATGAGATGGCTCAGTTACCTCAGCAACTATCTCCCTTGAAAGGACCCATCCAATTTTTAATCCTACATGACTTGAGTGCAGTGGGTGGCCAGGTTCCAGAGCTATGACCATTACAAAAAGGCGAAGGTCTGGAACTCCTCCACAGAGTGCACTATCCCAGAGCCTGCACTGCCTCTTTCAGGATGTGCCACCTTTATACAAAATACCCTGAGGATTACAGCATCTGGATGAGCCTCTGATTATCATCTGCTGTGTTCCAGTCACCGCATCTCCTTATTGAGGCAGTTGGCATCACCTCATGGTCCTCCTCTCCACCATGACTCCTATCTGTGTCCAGGTTGTATCTCACTCAATTCTGAGTTGACAGAAAATATTGCCAATCATAGTGTTCTTTTTTATTTGTATTTTTTTGAGATGGAGTCTCACTGTGTTGCCCAGGTTGGATTGCTGTGGTGCAATCTTGGCTCACTACAACCTCCGCCTACCAGGTTCAAGTGATTCTCCTGCCTCAGTCTCCCCAGTAGCTGGGATTACAAGCATATGACACCACGTCCATCTAATTTTTGTATTTTTTTTTTTTTAGTAGAGATGGGGTTTCACCCTGTTGGCCAGGCTGGTCACAAATTCCTAGCCTCAAGTAATCTGCCTGCCTCGGCCTCCCAACGTGCTGGGATTACAGGCATGGGCCACTGCACCCGGCCTGTAGTGTTCTTGTTCCATAACTATTTTATTGGGCTGATATCAGCAGGAGACTTCCATGAATTAAACTGAATCTCAAGTTTCAAGCCTTGATAATTGGGTTAGTCATGGTACCATGGGTAGAAATAGAGACTTTGTTGGGGTGGAAGGCTCTAGTAGAGTGGAGTGAGAAATTGTCAGCTCAGTTATTGGATGTGAGGTAAATGTAAACATCCCACTTGAAAGGTCCCTTAGAAATTAAAAATGTAAAATTGGAAATTTCTGAAAAGTTGTGCACTTTGGATAGTGATCTGGAAGTTGCCTGATTAGTTGTCACCTCACAACAACAGCAGTAAAGGAAAAAATTCCATATTTCTTGCTCAGTCATATGTTCTTTTATACATGTTCTCCCGTTTAATCCTCTTAACAACCAAAAGGGAGGATATTTATTCTTCCCATTTCACAGATTAGGAAACTAAAGCTTAAGGAATCTACGGATATAACTTAAGACACCTCATTGGAAAGTTGTAGAAGAAACAGAGTCCAAGGGACATAATAAGACAGGTTTAGTATAAGCAGTCATTCAACAAATGCTTAATGGTTAATTGATTTAACAGTGTCACAAAAACACAGAGAAAAGAGAATTCAAGGTGGCTTTTGATGCCAAATGCCATGTGTTCCAGGGAGGAAGAAGAAGAAATAGACTGAGAGGAAATAGTTTGGTATTCCCAGGTCACTTGTTGGTGATCCTGGAAAATGCAAGGCTCAGTAGGGTGAAAAGGATGGAAGTTAATCACATGACACAGGAAAACCACAGCTTGGAGAAATATGGTAGTGAGTGGATGGAGAGCTTGAAGGGGCAAGAGATTTACATGAGGATTTGCCTTAAATTTGTTTTGTATTTTGTACTAGTTGATACAGGCTAGGCAGCTCAGGTGGAATCCCACTGGGTACCATAAGAATGTGGCCCTTTCAAGTAGTCACTGCAGGAGGGTGACATAAGGCAGTCTGTATCGTGCAGCCGCTCAGCATGCTAGTGGCTTTTGGATTGCCAAGGCAGCAGAAGAGAGATTGCAGGGAACTCAAACACACTCCTAACCATGTCAGACCAGAGCGTCTCTTAAGCTCACAGCCCATTGGCCGAGAGTCAATGGCCCTAACCTTCCTTCAAAGGGAGGCTAGAAAATGCGGGTGCACCTGGGCAATATTTGGTGAGCGCTACTCTCTCTGCTGCATAAGTGAACTAAGTCATTTTGCTTGCTGAGATCTTGAAGCTGTATTATATGCATTGGACTTTACAACTGGACTTAGACTGTTGTAAGCCAGAGGATCATGGAGGGATTGACAATTCTCATGCAGAAGTTTCTCTGAATTAGGTTGTTCTTGCCCTCTTTGCAATGATGCCTTTGACTTCATAACAAATTAAGACTAGGCATGGTCATTTTTGGAAAATTTTTACACAGAGAATGTAAAGTAACATTTGGCAGCTTCGTAGATGCTTTTGGAGATGGAGTCTCACTTTGTTGGCATAGGATGACCAGCTTGCTGGCCTGGGTAGAGATAAGCTAAATGTAACAGGGAGAAGAAAAATTGAAAATAATAAATGGATCAGCAAGACTGGCTTCTTCTGGAGACTCTGGGATTGAAGCCTTACACTCTACCTCCCTTTGTTACCATTTATAGGTTTGCCAAGACCGCATCCATTGTGCATCAAGGTTAGCCTTCATTCAGCCAGCCTGAGGTGCAGAGCATGGGGTGGGTCGGGGAGGGCCAGCCGTGTACTTCTAACTTCCACTCTGCCAGCTGGTAGCAACCTGTACTGTTTTTCCTGTCTGGAGATTCCACACCCAGATTTTTCTAGCATATGATACGTGTAATGGTTGCTATCCCTAACTCTCCCCAGGTCTCAGAACACCATCAACCATCCTGAACAAAGCCCTGGAAGCTGCAATAAAAAGGTTTTAAAACCTCAGAAAGGAAAGCCTGAGGGAGTACCACACAGTCAAGGCAAATTAGCATCACCCAGTGGAAAAGAAAGGCTCTCCCTTCCATAAAACGATATTCATCAGCGTGCCTCTTGAGGCATCAAAGATTTCCCGAGGCCCTGTGGACTAACGAGTTAGGCCCCATTTTAAGACAAATGATCTGATATAATATGGTGATCCATGGGCATCATTCAGCAGAGAAAACAACGATACGCTCTCAGAAAACAAAACACAAACTCCTGTAGGCAAAAAAGAGGAAAATGTGAATGAAAGCCATATATCAATAACCTTATTGCTCATGGAAGATAGTAACTTTTCTCTCTCTCTCCCCCTCCTTTCAACTCCTCCCTTCTCTCTCTGAGTCTCCCCTCTTCCCTCCCTTTCAATCTCTCTCCCTCCTTTGGTGTTGGAGTCCAATGATTCTCATGTAGAAACCCAGTATGTCAAGTGAGATTGTACTTTCTCTGGCATCCTAGCAGGGGGCAGGGTGGTCTGGAAGGTAGGCAATGCGATATCTCTGGGCTGGGGCCCTCCCTGCCCTCCTCTTTGCACCAACTGAAGCAGCTTTGCAGGAGTCTAGGACTCCAGAGAGCTAGGTGTGAAAATCACTGATCCAGGGCCAAGGAGGCTAGTATTAAAGGGCTGCAATCATGCATTCATAATTTTGTACTCAGATAAAAAGAAATCCTGAGTTTATAGCTACAATTCTGGATTTCCTCCTGCCCATCAATTCCAAATCCTTGATGTCTAGGTTTCTGTGTGATCTTACTTCTCCCTGCATTTCTAATATTACCCAGCTCCATTCTGCTCCTCATTTTCTATGTGTCAGAGTCTCATCCATGCTACTTTCTCTGCCTGCAATCCCTCTCTTTGTGCTTATCTGGGTAACTCCTACCTGTCCTTTAGGTGTCTGCTTAGTGTCATTTATAGAGAACTTCACTAAAATTTGAAATGTAGTTTAGGCCTTGTTTTATATTCTCCAAACATATTCTTCCTTCATAATACTTTGTAATGATTTCAATTATATAATTATTAGTGGGATTATCTGCTTAATATCCAGCTCCTCTTATTAGACTCTAAACTCTATCTGGAAAGTTTGTATATATCTTAATGATCACTTTGTAACAAGCAACTAACCAAATGAATAGAAAACCATGGGAGATCAATAAAGATTTATTACATGAATAAAAGTCAAAACCAGAAGCCTTCCCACTAACTTCTCCTTAAGATCAAATAAAAAGGTTGCATTTCTAATATGCTAGTATATGTTTCCAGTTTAAATCTCATAGACATTGGATTGATGATCCAACAATCAGATGTTTTCTTGGCATAAATAATGGCCTCATGTATTTGGGATTTATTTATTTATTTATTTATTTATTTATTTGGGGAAAAGAAAGAGAGGTCAGATTGTTACTGTGTCTATGTAGAAAGAAGTAGACATAAGAGACTCCATTTTGTTCTGTTGAACTAGTAGTCTGATTTCTACGAATGTTTAAAAAATTTAAAGTATAGAGTGCTAGATTAAGTTGCATCTGAGGAGTGGAACACTCCTTACAGAGACACAGTAACAGTCTGATCTCTGTTTCTTTTCCCCACAATTTATTTATTTATTTTATTTATTTGTTTTTGGAGACAGGGTCTTGCTGTGTCACCCAGGCTGATGGAGTGTGGTGGCATTGTCATAGCTCACTGTAACCTCAAACTCCTGAGCTCAAACAGTCCTCCTACCTTAACCTCTCAAGTAGGTGGGACTATAGGCATGTGCCACAATGCCAGGCTATTTTTTTTTCCTTCATTTTTTTATGGAGACGGGGTCTCATTATGCTGCCCAGGCTGGTCTTGCACTCCTGGCCTCAAGCGATTCTCCTGCCTCAGCCCTTCAAAGAGCTGAAATTACAGGTGTAAGTTATAGCACCCAGCCCATGGTCTTGGGTGGTTGGATGATGCTTTTTATTAAAATGCTTTCCCTTGCATGGTAGCATTTAATCTTCACACAAGCCCTGTGAGGAATCTAATTCAGTTATCATTATCTTGTGCATGAGAAAACAATAAATCAGTGGAGAAGTTGTATGTTGGTTTAGCTTCTAAAGCTGAAGCTTCTAGTTCTGTCAGTCCGGTGATAAAGATAGAATAGGATGCACAATCCTAGCCCAGGGGTAGTTATTATTTTGTTGATTATGTACATAGGAGTATCCAAACTTAGAATCTACTCTATGAGCAGTCCAGGAAAATCAAATCTATACTATATCTCCATTGAAGTCAGTACCATTGTCTTATGTCTTCACTTTAGGTTCTGGCTTATCTAACTGAGTGAATGGAAACTCCTCAAGAGGGTTTCTGGATATACAGTCAGATTGTCAGTTTATATACATCTTTATTTTACAGAAGTATGTTATCCTCTCATCACAAATCTAAACACGACTATTCAAAACTGGCTTTTTGCTAAACAAGAGGCAGTAACAATCAGGACATCCTGTTAAAACAGACACATCCCAAATGATAGGACAGAAATAAGAATGAAATGCCTTCTATGAATCTACTCTGGTGAATGTAATTTCAGTAACCAAAAGGGTTACAAAGTGAAAAATATTCAGGGGAAGCTTTGTTAAAGGAAGTAGTAATGGGATATGGGAGCATGTTATTCTCAGTTTGTGGGCATGAACCCAGACTTAATTACTGGTAACCAAAAATCTATTACATTTGGAAATTTTAGAAGCTCTGATGGAATAATTTAGGATGGAATGCTTCTGTTTAGTGGATCACTGTGCACTGACACTTTTATTTTTTAAATGATTTTTTCATGTGCATATGTTTTCTTTTTTTCTTTTTTTGAGATGGCGTCCCACTCACTCTGTCACTCAGGTTGGAGGGCAGTGGCGAACTCTCGGCTCACTGCAACAACCTCCACCTCCAGGGTCCAAGCAATTCTCCTGCCTCAGCCTCTCCCGTAGTTGGGATTACAGGTACGTGCCACAAAGACCAGCTAATTTTTGTATTTTTAGTAGAGGCAGGTTTCACCATTTTGGCCAGGCTGGTCTGGAACTCCTGACCTCAAGCGATCTACCTGCCTCAGCCTCCAAAAGTGCTGGGATTACAGGCAAGAGCCACCATGCCCAGTCTCATGTGTATATATTTTCTTTGGACTCCTTTTACTTTTTGCTGAACAGGTACTTCTCATGACTTCATCTTCTTAAGATGTTTCATGCTAAAGATAATCTGTTTGCAGTCCATTGAAACTTCACTTTAAGACTATTTGCCTCTGAAAATACTTTCATAATTAAAGCAAATCCTTTTGGATCCCACCCAAGAGAATTTAATTTCTGAGATAGCAATTTACTTCTTATTCCACTGCAGTCTTATCTGAAAAAGGTCCCCAAGTCTTGGGACTCTGAAGACAGCTTTGTGAAAAACTGCCACTGAATTCTCATAGTGTTCTAGAAAGACTGTGTGGCACAAGATAGAGCTCATTTTGGTTCTTTGCTATCCCTGGGCCATCCCACAAAATATTTATTGTTATGTGGGCAAAGGGTGTATTCTGTCAAAGGAGAGGTCAGAAAGAGAACTGGGAGAAAATTAAGGCAAGGCCAAGATGAGAGCTGTTGGCACTGGCTTTGCCACACCATCCACAATGCACACTTTCTGTTTTAGTTGGAGGGCATTGAGCAGTCTCTACTATATTAATGGCTCTGGGCCAAGTAAAGAAGGAAATGAGTCAAAATTATATGAGGCAATACGTTGGAGAAGTAATGTGTGTATTTCCAGGCCCAGCTGATTCTGAAAAATCACCACTGAAATTGGTGGTTTTACTGGTAATGTTCTAAAATAGACCAAGAGTGATAGGGCCACAGAGGCTCAACTTTATTGATCTCTAGAAATAGAGCATCTGGATTAAGCTTAAGGCATACTAGTGGAATTTGGGGAAGTTTTTAACACCTTAAATGACACTGCCTCTGCTGCACCTGTTCATTGGTGAAATAGAGGACTTCATTTAGGAAAACAAGCACCTTCCACGAGCACTCAATTTGCTTGTTTGAAAAAGTAATTGGAGAAAAACAAAGAGATTCTTGTTCAGTCTGAAATTCAGAAGAAACTCTTGCCAACTTTATGAATAATGAGAGTTCCCCTTTCCATGTCGAAATTACTGGCCCTGTTGCTGATATCCATAAATTAAGCAGTTGGGTTGTTGGTTTTTTTGTTTTTCCTTTTTGCAATTAAGCATGCAGTGCTCACAATGCACAATAGGTCCCCTAGAAGTGTGTCTAATCTTTCTACTCCTGTTTAAAAAAAAAAAAAACCTGGATACAGGATCTTAAACAAAGAGTCAGTTGCAGTACATCTGTACAGAGCTGGAGAGTTGAGTCCCAAGAGGATTTACATTGGGAAAATCCCCAAAGCAATAGAAGAGACAAGCACAAACATGTCCACACTCCAAATAGTGAGGCAGAAACTGCTCCCAGGCCAACATGTTGTTTCAAAGGACTGGAAGGCTTTTGTTTAGTAAAACATAATTCAAATAGCGGTGTTCACCATATAACAGTTTGCTGATAATGATTATTTCAATAAAGAGTGAATGTGTAAAGTTATTTTCTAATGTAATATGCCAATTTAAAATGCCCACACGGCACATGTATACATATGTAACAAACCTGCATGTTGTGCATATGTACCCTAGAACTTAGAGTATAATAAAAAATATATATAAAAAAATAAAATGCCCACATTCTTGCTATCGTGGTGTCATGATTTGAAGATAAGATCAAGCAGTAGAAAGTTGACGTCCCCCTCCAGTGAACTCTCAAAATAGACCTTTAACCGAAGCTGTGAGACTCTGGCTCCTTTCTGATAATGACAGACCTTAATCACCGTAGTAGTTTTAAAAATTTTAGGGTAGCAAGCACCACCAATATCTTTGTTCAGGTCTAACTACTTATTTAGAAGAGAAGTTTTCTGCAGTCGGAGTCATTCACCCTGGGAGTTGTGGCACTCTTTGGTTCACCTTCACCCCAGCATGACAGAGCAGGCGGCAACCTGGAACATTCACTGGGGGATGGAGTTTGGCTGTGTTTATAAGCAACACCTGTGTTTATCTGTGACTCGAGGTGCCAGATACCCCTTGGTCAAAAATAGCAAAGCTTCCACCAATATGCTAGTCATTTCTGATGACGGCTTATAGTATTGTTTTGTTTTCCAAAGAATCCTTTTTTCTCCATCTTTCTACATTTATTTTGATTTGAATAGAATTAGGAATGTTTAGAATCAGTAATTCTAGGGCTGAATTTCTAAACCTAAGTGAAAGAAATAACAATTTAAAAATGATAATCCTCTTAATGTATTACAGAGAAAGACTCCTTTCTTCTTTATCCTTATTTTTTCTTTCTTTCTTCCCCCACATCCCCTGCCACAAAGCAATCATGCCCATGCTTTTGGGGACATAACAGCTCTCACCCATCTTGAGAAACAGAAACATTGAAATGTGTCACTATTGTGATTTCAGTTCATGGTTTACTTTGGACCTTGAGCTCATTAGGGAAACATTTGACATCTCAACTCCAATTATTTAGTAGTCACCAAGCTGCAAAGGCCACACATAACTGCCTGCAACTGGTTATAATTGGAGAGGATCTGAAGAACGATAGCAGAGAACTGCATTTCTCTTAATCTCCAAAGACAACAGTACCTCAGGTCATGGTTCCTTTCCAAAGTATACTGAAAGGCTGGAAAACAATAGAAGTCCTTTCAGATTAGAAGCAACCAAAACATTTCTGCAGATTGGAAATATTATAAAGTCATCCCAGGAAAGTCTTATAGACCTACATGTGTTTCTCTCTCTCTCACTTGCTCTAACTTTGTGTATAAAAGCATTCTTAGTTTTTTTCTGGAAAGATTCATTTAGTGAATAGCTGCCTGGTTCTTCCTCCCCTTTGTTCTTCTCTGTCTTCCTTGTCCATAACCCAGTCTTAATTCCAAGTCAGCCTGCCAAGGCATTTCATTGCCAAAGGAAAATATTTGTTTCACAAGAGCTCTGTTTGTGAAAAGAAACCACTTCCTCATGTATAATATTTCCTTGAAAACGATTTTTCTCTTATAGTGTTTTGTAGTTGAATCTTCCTGGAGGCTTTATTTTACAAACACCTTCTTTGCTTTCATGGAGGAATCTTCGTGGTTTCTATGGGTTTGAGGAAGAGGGTAGAGTTTATTTAAAGACAATTAGTTTTTCATTTTAAATATCAATTCCTAAAAAAATTAAAAAGCTATTCACAACTAATTATTTTGTACTTCTTTCTCTCTCTGCCTTTTTTCTTCCAGTATAGATGCACTTCCTTTTCTTTTAACACTATAACTTAAGAATGTCCTTTTTTATTTTTTTGAAAGGAAAGTGTAAGGAACTCATGTACCTCTCACTCTACTTCCACAGTTACCCCCATTTGACCACTGTTGTTTAATCTCCTCATTGTTAAACCATGAGAATATTATAATGTAATAGCTATAACACCATTTACATAACTCATCTTCTATTGTTGGATATCAGATTATTTCTAATTTTGCAATATTAGGACAAAGGCTGTCAATTTTATTACATGCTTTGCACCCTCACATTTATGTTGATTTCCTTGAGGCCAAAGACTATTTTATATACTCTTGACATGTATCGCTAAATTACTTTCCAAAAGCCTTGTGCCAGTTTATACTCCCAATCACAATTTTATTTTATGTAATTAAAAAGTTATAGGTTAAAGACTATTTCTCTTTGGTTTATTTGATATTTCTTTTATTAATAAAAACTCTGAACAGCTTTCCTTAGTTTCCATTGCAGTTGAACTTTTTTGTTTTGGTGGTAAGTTTTTTGCTCATCTACCTATTGGGTCCTTAGTATTTTTCAAGTTGTATATATGACATCTCTGGTTAATAAGGGTATTAACCATTTGAGAGTGGTAGATTTTAAAGGACAAAACTATACAAAATGCTTACTTGTTTAGTGAAGAGCTAATATTAAGACATTTTCAGTCTGTAAAGAATTGACTTGTCATGGTTTGATCAGACCTGCGAAGACACGGTAGGTGATTTCATGGCCTCAGTCATGTTCTTAGACGAAATATTGTTTAAGATCATTGACAGATCCTTTTTTTGTTGACATTGGGAGGTAGATGTATGAGAAAATTAATTGATTGGTTATCAATCAATCAATCTATTGAGATACATTTATGAAGGACTTAAGATAAAAATGCCTGTGAGAAAACTTAGTTTTAATTATTTTACTCCTGTACATATAATTTTAAAGAGATATTGCCATTAACGAACAAACTTAGAGAAAACTGTATTGAGAAATTTAACCCACCAAATTTGGAATTGTTGTTAAAATGCATTTTAAATAATGAGTTTTCCAAATAACTACTCTTTATTTTTTCATATTCTTTTTAAATATAGAGTGGACCAGGAGGAGTTTTCAGAGGAGTCTGTGATAGGCGCTTTGTGACTCCAGGACACGTTGAGGTATGAGCTATGCTATTATGCCTGGAACCAGTCCTGGATCTGTCCTTGATATTTAGGTGATTGTTTGCCCACAAATATGCAATTTTTGTTTATAAATGAAAAATATATCTTTAGCTGCGACTTCTGCCTCATTTTGCCCCTGACTCTAAGAAAGAAGAACAACAAATAGAACTTGAAGGAAGAAAAGGTGACAGAAAATGTACTCTGAAATTGTACGTGTGGTTGGCACCATGAGGGGTTGCCCTGTAAGTCTGAAAAGGCTAGTGTTATTGTGCAGAGGTGTGGCTGTGCTGAGGACAAGCTATTGCATATGCTGTGGAATGTGAAAATCTGTCTGACAATGCTGTGTGCATTAATGTATTCAATGGCCACTTCCATCAGCTTTGAGAAGAACCAGGCCCAATAAATTCAAATGTATATTTTAAAAGTACCAAGACTATAAACACTACTAGCCTTTCCCTTCTCCATCCTGAAATATCAAATATACCTGTTCTTCTTCTGCATGATCTGGTTCATCAAGACTTGCTAGATGATTATAGTTAATTGGTTAAACAGAATTGTAGAATGATATTAATGGCTTATAATTACCTAATGCGATACACCCCCATCTTCACACAATAACATAGCAGTTTTAACAAAAGTCTTTGATGCCAAACTATGGCCCCTGGTGGAAATCTGTGAAGCAACGATTTCCTCATTATTAACCAATCAATCAATCTATCTATTGAGATAAATTTGTGAATGACTTAAGCTAAAAATGCCTGTGAAAAACTTAGTTTTAACTCTTTTACTCCAGTACACATAATTTTAAAAAGACATTGCCATTAGTTTACATTAAAATGGAAATAGTTATTCTCTCTTTAATTCCAGGCTAGTTTTCTTTCTACAGGAAAAGTAGATTTTTTATTGAAGTGGAAAAAATTCTGCCCTATCTAACAATGTAATCTAGGCATCACATTCTCAGAGCCTCAGTTTACCTATCTGTAGAAAAGTATCAATGGTACCTTTAATTGAGGATTGTTTGAGAGTTAATAAAGACAGTATGGGTGATTAAACTCATCTACAATTTAATAGGCTACTGTGACATAATTGATGATCAAGCTGGAATGTGAGAATTGCAATTTAGAAAAGAACAAGAATTGAGAAATTCTGACACATTCATTTTTTTTCACTATTTGTTTGTTAGAAACAGTTATATTAAAGGTGATTAAAAACCATAAGGCTAGTTTTGTTAAATATACTTGGTTGATGACCTCTAAAAGGAACATTTGCTTAGTTCAAATAATTGGAAGAATAAGCTTTTAGGGGGCTGCATTACTTGTATTCTATTCATTGAAATATGGTGGAGTGACTTCTAGTATCTGCGTGTCAGGAGAACCGATGTATTAACAAATTCCAGGGGCAGCTGTGAAGACGAAAGCTGTCAGTAACTTCTCATTAAATTCCAAGCTTCGGCCTAGCATGGAGAATGTGCTAGTCTCTGTGATGGATGATCTTTTTCAAATGCTGCATGGAAATGGCTTTCTATTGTGAGTGGTTAATCTTACTGAATTCAAATCAAGACTTTCTCAGAATTTTGTTGTATATCCTTTTAGTTTTGAAATCTGGGATATTTAAGACTCAATTTTTTTATTTTTATTTTTGAAAGTGTTCTTTTTGATTGGAACAATAATTGTACATATTTAAGGGGTACAACGTGTTGTTTTGATACTTGTATACATTGAGTAATGAGCAAATCAAGGTAATTAGCATATCTATCACATTAAACATTTATCATTTCTTTGTGGTGAAATCATTCAAAATCCTCTCTTCTAGCTATTTTGAAGTGTATCATACATTATTGTTAACATGCAGGATAGTCATCCTACAGTGCAACAGAACACCAGAACTTGTTCTTCCTATTTAATTGTAACATAATAGCCACTGACCAACCTGTTCACATCTGTCCATTCCCCCCTACCCTCCACAGCCTCTAGTAGCTACTACTCTACCCTCACTTTCTATGTGATCAACGTTTTTATTTTCCTCATATGAGTTAGAGCAAGAGATATTTGTCGTTCTGTGCCTGTCTTATTCGCTTAGTATAATGCCCTCCAGGTTCATACATGTCACAAATGACAGGATTTTATTCTTTTTTATGGCTGAGTAGTATTTCATTGTATATATATATATCACATTTTCTTTATGTATTTATCTGTTGATAGACACAGATAGTTGATTCCATATCTTGGCTATTGTGAATAGTTCTTCAATAAACATGGGAGGGCAGATGTCTCTTTAACATACTGATTTCATTTCCTTTGGATATACACCCAGTAGTGAGATTGCTGGATCATATGGTAGTTTTATTTTCAATTTTTTGAGGAATCTCTATAATGATTTTCACAGTGGCTATACTAATTTACATTGTCACTGACAGTGGGTTTCCTTTTGTCCACATTCACATCAAGACTTTTCATCTTTTGTGTTTTTGGTAATAGCCATTTTAACTGGAGGGTGGTGGTATCTCATTGGGGTTTAATCTGCATTTCTCTGATGACTAGTGATGTTGAGTATTTATTCATAAACGTATTGGTCATGTGTATGTCTTCTTTTAATAAGTGTCTATTCAGGTTTGTTGACCATTTTTTAATTAGGTTGTTTTTGTGATTGAGGTGTTTGAGCTCCTTATGTATTTTGGATATTAGCCCCTTGTCAGATGTATAGTTTGCAAATACGTTCTTCCATTCTGTAGGTTGTCTCTTTTCTCTGTTGATAATTTCCTTTGCTGTGCAGAAATTTCTTAGTTTGATATAGTCCTATTTGTTTATTTTTGCTTTTGTTGCTTGTGCTTTTGAGGTCGTATCCAAAAAAAATCTTTGCCCAGACCAAGGTCATGAACATTTCCCCCTGTTTTATTCCAGTAGTTTTATTGTTTAGAGTTTAGGTCTTTAACCTATTTTGACTTGATTTTTGTAAGTGGTGAAAGATAAAGGTCTAATTTCATATTTCTGCATGTGAACATCTAGTTTTCCCAAAACCATTTATTGAATAGACTGTTTTCCCTAATGTGTGTTCTTGGCACCTTTGCTAATAATCATTTGGCTGTATGCAAATTTATTTCTGGACTCTCTATTCTGTTCCATCGGTCTATATATCTGCTTTTATGCCAGTATGATGTTGTTTTGGTTGTTATAGATTTGTATATATTTTGAAGTCAGGTAACGTGATTCTTCATTCTTTTTTTTCAAGACTCCTTTGGTTTTCCAGATCTTTTATGGTTTCATACACATTTTAGGATTGTTTTTTCTATTTTTGTGAAGAATGTCACTGGTATTTTTATAGAGATTGCTTTGAATTTGTAGATCACTTTGGGTAGTATAGTTAGTATTCGATTTTTAAAAATCATACCCAAGGCCATTCAGTGGCTAAATTTTATCACTGAAAGTGAAAGTTTTTGCACTGAAATCTGTTGTGTCCAAAGCCCCCAGTCTTTAACCACTATGATTTTCTACCCATCACTAAATTTCATTACTTTTGGGGTCATCTCTAGTAAGTCTTATCATTTTATCCATCTACTTTAGGCCAATATTATCCATAATACTATTACTATTATGGAAGGAGGTGTTTTTATATGATGGTATTGTCTCATTTTGCAAAAAAAAATATTAATGTGATTTAAGATGAGGTCTCACTACCAGATCATTGAATCTATTTTGAGGACAGAAATATTTTTTATCAACATTTGAAATAATGCATAAAATGAGTAGAAAGTTAATTAGCATTTATTTCACTTTACATGATCATTGTAGGTGTGCACCTCTTTAGCCGTTTTGGTTAACTTTGGCATTAAAACAATCTCTGAGAAAAGTTTGACCTTTCAGAGAGATGGTCGTCTTTCAAAATTGCATCAGTGGGATATTCTCAGGTAGGATTATGCAGGAGTTCTTCTGTTATGGCAATGCTTTAATGAATGTAAAACCTTTCAGATGCTGGATGACTTGCTGTGTCTGATTCTCTTCACCAGGTTGACAGAGTCAGGATTTTTGCCTTTTAATGAAATGAGTTATCTCTTGGGTCCTTTGAAACCTAATTGGCAGAAGGGCTGGGTACAACCCTGATAGGGAGTGCCTTTCATAGAAGGATTTTTTTTTTCCAGCCTTAAAAGCTAAAAAGAAGCTTTGTGCCAAAAACCTTTATGATGTGCAGTTTTCTATCACTAAAATGACCCCGTGTTTTAATTCAACAGGTTTTAAACACACATTTCTTAGAAGCTAAGAAGGGACATTTCAGAGTTTATTGGGACCTTTCAGAATTATGAAAATATCCAGCCCTAAATGCTAAAAACAAGCTTTGTGCCAAAAAGCTTTATTATGTCTTGATTTTTTTTTAATTTTTAATTTTTATTATAAGTTCCAGGGTATATGTGCGGGATGTACAGGTTTGTTACATAGATAAACGTGTGCCATGGTGGTTTGCTGCACCTATCAACCAATCACCTAGATATTAAGCCCAGCATGCATTAGCTATTTTCCCTAATGCTCTCCCTCCCCACCCAATCCCCTGACAGGCCCCAGTGTGTGTTGTTCCCCTCCCTTTGTCCATGTGCTTTCATTGTTCAGCTCCTGCTTATAAGTGAGAACATGCAGTATTTGGTTTTCTGTTCCTGCATTAGTTTGCTGAGGATAATGGCTTCCAGCTCAACCCATGTCCTTGAAAATGACATGATCGTGTTCCTTTTTATGGCTGCATAGTATTCTATGGTGTATATGTACTACATTTTCTTTATCCGCTCTTATCATTGATGGGCATTTAGGTTGATTCCATGTTTTTGCTATTGTGAATAGTGCTGTAATGAACACACAAGTGCATGTATCTTTGTAATAGAATGATTTATATTTCTCTGGGTATATACTCAATAATGGAATGGCTGGGTCAAATTCTATCTTTGGTTCTAGATCTTTGAGGAACCGCCATACCATCTTCCACAATGTTTGAAATAATTTACATTCCTACCAACAATGTAAAACTGTTCCTATTTCTCAGAAACCTTACCAGTATCTGTTGTTTCTTGACTTTTTAATAATTGCTATTCTGACTGGCATGAGATCGTATCTTATTGAGGTTTTGATTTGCATTTCTCTAATGATCAGTGATGTAATGATGTTGGGCTTTTTTTGATATGTTTATTGGCCACATGAATGACACCTTTTGAGAAGTGTCTGTTCATATCCTTTGCCCATTTTTAATGTAGTTTTCCCTGTAAATTTGTTTAAATTCCTCATAGATTCTGGATATTAGACATTTGTCAGACGGACAGATTGCAAAACTTTTCTCCCACTCTGTAGGTTGCCTGTTTGCTCTGATGATAGTTTATTTTGCTGTGCAGAAGCTCTTTATCTTAATTTGATACCATTTGTCAATTTTTGCTTTTGTTGCAATTGCTTTTGGCGATTTAGTCATAAAACCTTTGCCTGTGCCTATGTCCTAAATAGTATTGTCTAGATTTTCTTTATTTTATTTTATTTATTTATTTTTGAGACAACGTCTCGCTCTGTCGCCCAGGGGCTGAAGTGCAGTGGCATGATCTCTGCTCACTGCAACCTCCGCCTCCGAGGTTCAAGCGATTCTCCTGCCTCAGCCTCCCAAGTAGCTGGGATCACAGGTGCACCACGCCCAGCTAATGTTTTGTATTTTTAGTAGAGACAGGGTTTCACCATGTTAGCCAGGATGGTCTCGATCTCCTGACCTTGTGATCCACCCACTTCAGCCTCCCAAAATGCTGGGATTATAGGCATGAGCCACTGCGCCTGGCCTTGCCTAGATTTTCTTATAGGGTTTTTATAGTTTTGAGTTTTACATTTACTTATTTAATCCATCTTGAGTTAATTTATGTATAAGGTGTAAAGAATGATCCAGTTTCAATTTTCTGCATATGGCTAGCCAGTTCCCCCAGCATCATTTATTAAATAGGGAATCATTTCCCCATTTCTTGTTTTTGTCAGGTTTGTCAAAGATAAGATGGTCGTAGATGTGTAGCCTTATTTCTGAGTTATCAATTCTGTTCCATTGGTCTATGTGTCTACTTTTAGACCTGTACCATGCCGTTTTGGTTACTATAGCCTTGTAGTATAGTTTGAAGAAGGATAGCATGATGCTTCCAGCTTTGTTCTTTTTGCTTGGAATTGTTTTGGCTATATGAGCTCCTTTTTGGTTCCATATGAATTTTTAAATTGTTTCTTCTAATTCTTTGAAGAATGTCAATGGTAGTTTAATGGGAATAGTATTGAATCTATAAATTAGTTTGGGCAGTATGGCCATTTTCAGGGTAATGATTCTTCCTATCCATGAGCATGGAATGATTTTCCATTTGTTTGTATTCTCTCTTATTTCCTTGAGCAGTCTTTTGTAGTTCTCCTTGAAGAGGTCCTTCACTTCCCTTGTTAGTTGTACTCTTAGTTATTTTATTCTCTTTGTAGCAATTGTGAATGGGAGTTTATTTATGATTTGGCTCTCTGCTTGTGTGTTGTTGGTGTATAGGAATGCTTGTGAATTTTGCACATTGATTTTGTATCCTGAGACTTTGCTGAAGTTGCTTATCAGCTTAAGAAGCTTTGGGGCTGAGATGATGGGGTTTTCTAGATACAGGATCACATCATCTGCAAATAAAGAAAATTTGACTTCCTCTCTTCCTATTTGAATACCTTTATTTCTTTCTCTTGCCTTATCCCCCTGGCCTGAACTTCCAATAGTATGTTGAATAGGAGTGGTGAGTGAGAGCATCCTTGTCTTGTCCTGGTTTTCAAGGGGAATGCTTCTAGCTTTTGCCTATTGAGTATGATATTGGTTGTGGGTTTGCCATAAATGGTTCTTATTATTTTGAGATATGTTCCCTCAAAACCTAGTTTATTGAGCGTTTTTCACATGAAGTGATGCTGAATTTTATCAAAGACATTTTCTGCATCTATTGAGATAATCACATGTTTTTGTCTTTAGTTCTGTTTATATGATGAATTATGTTTATTGATTTGCATATGTTGAACCAGCCTTGCATCCCAGGGATGAAACCAACTTGATCATGGTGGATAAGATTTTTGATGTGCTGCTGGATTTGATTTGCCAGTACTGTATTGAGAATTTTTGCATCAATGTTCATCAGTGATATTGGCCTGAAGTGTTTTTTTTGTTGTTGTTGTTGTCGTTGTTATATCTCTGCCAGGTTTTAGTATCAGGATGATGCTGGCCTCAGAAAATGAGTTAGGGAAGAGTCCCTCCTTTGCAATTGTTTAGAATAGTTTCAGAAGAAAGGGTATCAGCTCCTGTTTGTAACTCTGGTAGAGTTCAGCTGTAAATCTATCTGGTCCTGGGATTTTTTTTGGTTGGTAGGCTATGTACTACTGTCTCAATTTCAGAACTTGATATTGGTCTATTCAGGGATTCAATTTCTTTCTAGCTCAGTCTTGGGAGGGTGTATGTGTCCAGGAATTTATCCATTTCTTCTAGATTTTCTAGTTTATTTGCATGGAGGTGTTTACAGTATTATCTGATGGTTGTTTGTATTTGTGTAGGTATTTGTGCTGATAATCCACTTTGTCATTTTTTATTGTGTCTTTTTTATTCTTCTCTGTTTTCTTCTTTATTAGTCTACCTAATGGTCTATTTTATTAATTTTTTTTCAAAAAACCAGCTCCTGGATTCACAGATATTTTGAAGGGTTTTTGTGTCTCTATCTCCTTCAGTTCTGCTCTGACCTTGGTTATTTCTTGTCTTCTACCAGCTTTGGGGTTTGTTTGCTCTTGGTTCTCTAGTTCTTTTTAGTTGTGATGTTAGGGTGTTAATATGAGATCTTTATAGCTTTTTGATATGGGCATTTAGTGTTATAAATTTCCCTCTTAACTGCTTTAGCTGTGTCCCAGAGATTCTGGTATGTTGTCACTTTGTTCTCATTAGTGCCAAAGAACTTCTTGATGTCTGCCTTAGTTTCATTATTTACCCAGGAGCCATTCAGAAGCAAGTTGTTCAATTTCCATGTAGTTGTGTGGTTTTGAGTGAATTTCTTAATCTTGAGTTCTAATTTGATTGCACTGTGTTCTGAGAGACTGTTATGATTTCAGTTCTTTTGCATTTGCTGAGCAATGATTTACTTCCAATTATGTGATCAATTTTTTAGTAAGTGCAACATTGTGCCAAGAAGAATGTATATTCTGTTGTTTTGGGGTGCAGAGTTCTGTAGATATCTCTCAGGTCCACTTGATCTAGAGCTGAGTTCAAGTCCTGAATATCTTTGTTAATTTTCTGTCTCGATGATTTGTCTAATATTGACAGTGGGGTGTTAGAGTCTCCCACTCTTATTGTGTTGGAGTCTAAGTATCTTTGTAGGTCTCTAATAACTTGTTTTATGAATCTGAGTGCTCCTGTATTGGGTGTATATATATTTATGATAGTTAGCCCTTCTTGTTGAATTGATCCCTTTACCATTACGTAATGCCCTTTTTTGTCTTTTATGATATTTGTTGGTTTAAAATCTGTTTTGTCAGAAACTAGGATTACAACTCCTGTTTTTTTTTTTTTTTGCTTTACATTTGCTTGGCAAATATTCATGTATCCCTTTATTTTGAGCCTATGTGTGTCTTTGCATGTGAGATGGGTCTCTTGAATACAGCACACTGATAGATCTTGACTTTTTACCAGTTTGCCATTCCGTGTCTTTTAATTGGGGCATTTAGCCCATTTACATTTAAGGTTAATATTATTATGTGTGAATTTGATCCTGTCATCATGATGCCAACTGGTTATTTTGCAGACTTATGTAGTTGCTTCATAGTGTCATTGATCTGTATACTTCAGTTTTTTTTTTTTTTAATGGCTAGTAATGGTTTTTCCTTTCCATATTTAGTGCTTCCTTCAGGGGCTCTTGCCAGGCAGGACTCTTAGTGACAAATTCCCTCAGCATTTGCTTGTCTGAAAAAGATGGCCAGATAAGAAATTTTAGGTTGAAATTCTTTTCTTTAAGAATGTTGAATATTGGCTCCTAATCTCTTCTGGCTTGTATTGTTTCCACTGAGAGGTGTGCTGTTAGTTTGATGGGTTTCCCTTTATAGGTGACCTGGCTTTTCTCTCTGGCTGCCCTTAACATTTTTTTCCCTTCATTTCAAACTTGGAGAATCTGATGATTATATGTCTTGGGGTTGGACTTCTCATGGAGTATCTTACTGGGGTTCTCTGGATTTCCTGAATTTGAATGTTGGCCTGTCTTGCTAGGTTGGGGAAGTTCTCCTGAATCATATCCTGAAGTGTGTTTTTCAACTTGGTTCTGTTTTCCCCATCTCTTTAGGTACCCCAATCAGTCATAGGTTCAGTCTTTTTACATAATCCCATAGTTCTTGAAGATTTTGTTTGTTCCTTTTCATTATTTTTCTCCAATCTTGTCTGCCTGCCTTTTTTCAACAAGATAGTACTCAAGCTCTGATATCCTTTCTTTCACTTGGTCTATTTGGCTGTTTATACTTGTGCTTGCATTGTGAAGTTCTCGTGTTGTGTTTTTCAGTTCCATAAGGTAATTTATGTTTCTTTCTAAACTGGTTATTCTTTTTAACAGCTCCTGTAATGTTTTATCATGGTTCTTAGCTTTGTTGCAAGGGGTTAAAATATATTTCTTTAGCTCAGTGAAGTTCATTATTACCCATCTTCTGAAGCCTTCTTCTGTCAATTTGTCTCCACCTAAGCCCAGTTCTGTGCCCTTGCTGTGTAAGTGTTAAGATCATTTGGAGGAGAAGAGGCACTCTGGCTTTTTGAGTTTTCAATGTTTTTCTTTGATTCTTTCTCTTATTCATGGGTTTATCTACCTTTGATCTGTGAGGCTGTTGACCTTTGGATGCAGTTTTTGTGGGGTCTTTTTTTTGATGATGTTGTTGTTGCTTTCTGTTTGTTTTTCTTTTAGCAGTCAGGCCTATCTTCTGTGGGGCTGCTGTGGTTTGCCAGGTGTCCACTCCAGACCCTGTTTGCCTGTGTCCCTCTTGCACCTTGGGGTATCACCAGGGGAGGCTGCAGAACAGCAAAGATGGCATTCTATCCTTCCTCTGGGAGCTCTGTTCCAGAAAGGCACCTACCTGATGCCAGCCAAAATGCTCCTGTATGAAGTGTCTGAAGACCCCTGTTGGGATGTCTCACCCAGTCAGGAGGAATGGGATCTGGGACCCACTTAAATAAGCAGTCTGGCTGCCCCTTGACAAAGTAGGTGTGCTGCCCCCTCATCTGGGCTGCCCCGACTCTCCAGAGCCAGCAGGCAGAAAAGACTAAGACCACTGATCCACAATACTGCAGCTGTCCCTCCTCCTAGGGGCTTCTATAAGGGAGAGCAGAATTCTATCCATAAACCCCTGGCTGGGGATGCCGATAATCCCTCAGCGAGACCCCACCCAGTGAGAAGGAATAGGTTGGGATCTTGCTTAAAGAAGCATCCTGGCCGTGAACTGTCACAGCCACTGCAGTGTGCTGTGGGGAAATTCTCCTGGTCCAAACCGTCTGGTCTTGCTGGCAGCAACGGCAAGGGAAAATGGCCGACTGGAGCCACAGTGATGGCGGCGGCCTTCCCCACCTCGAAACTCAGTCTTCTTAGGGAGTTTCTAGCCATCTGTGCTGGCTGGCATGGATTACAAGTGAGTGGGCTTTAGCTTCAGCTTTTGGGGTTCTTTGGGACTGGGACCTGCAGATTGAGGCTGCTTGGCTCTCTTGCTTCAGCCCTCTTCCCATGGGAGTAGATGGTCTTCTGCCTCACTGAAGTTCTAGAGCTGTAGTATGTGAAAACTCCTGTGTCTCAGTGCCTGCCTGAGTGGCCACCCACCCAAGCAGCTGCAGTGAGTTTGTGCAGCTCTGTGCTTGGGACCCAAAGCCTTGGCAGAATGGGTTCACGAGGGGAACTCCTGATCTGCAGGTTGCAAAGACCATTGGGAAAGTGTGGTTTTCAGGATTGGGTAGCACAATCCTTCACCACCTTCCTTGGCTGGGGGAGGGAGCTCCCTTTGCCCTGTGCAGCTCCTGGTGGGCCCTCACTCCACCCTGCTTTTCTTCACTCTCCATGAGTCATGCCAACCACCTAGTCAGTCCCAGTGAAAGAATCTGGATATCTCAATTGAAGATGCCAAATTCTCTTGCTATTTTCATTCTTCTCTATGGGAGCCACAGAGTGGAGCTGTTTCTATTTGACCGTCTTGGGCTACAGACCAGAGCGGTTCCTATTTTGCCATTTTGGCTGCTCCCAGCAGATGGATTCTTAGCAAAAACCTAGAGGTCAGCTTTTTCCTTATAGAGTGCAGTGGATCTTAGGGTGTTCTGGATAATATCTGCCTAAAGTAGACGGATAAAATGATAAGACTTACTAGAGATGATCTCACAAGTCTTGAAATTTAGTAATGGGTAGAAAAGCATAGTGATTAAAGACTGGGAACTTTGGACTTAACATATTTCAGTGCAAATTTTACCTCTATCCCTCAGCCACTGAATGGCTTTGGGCAAATGGCTTATCACTCTCCATCTTTGTTTTCATGTCTATAAAATAGAAATCCAATTCCTATCTCTGAGTGTTTTTAGGATTAAATGAGTTAATATAGATGAAGCACGTAGTAGAAACCCAGACTCTATTGGCCTGCAATAAATGGAAGTTTCCCTAGGTAAACCTTTCCCCTCATTTAATAATCTGCTTCACTTTCCCCACCATTATGAGCTGCCAGAACGAATGCTATTTGGGGTATAATAGAAAATCTTTCTCAGATTTTTCTCCCACAGAGAACAAAGAATATAGCAAAAGGACCTCTATTCTTGGGCCATCATTATTCTCAGTGTCTGACTGACGTGGAGCAAATGCATGGCCATATTTGAATGCCCCGCTATTTCCTACAGCAGCAGTCAAGGTCAGAATGATACTATTGGCCATCAAAAAATATAATCTGTTGGATCTTGAAAGGCTTTAACTAGAAATTCTTCCCCTTCTCATATGCACCATCGTAAAGGCCAGTCTCAAAGCTTTTTAGTTTCTCTTTAGACTTTTATTTTTGGTCCTACATACTGTTAGTGTGCATTGCCTTGAACTATTTGAAGTTCATTGTTTACTTTCTTCTTCTTTGGAGTGTATTTCAAGCATGTTATTCTTCATGGTCTTTTGTTAAACCTCTCAGAGGCCTTCAGGCTCTAAGACAACAATGAATTAAAAGTTAATGTGTTATTATTTTTCCCTTGCTTTAATTCCATCTTATATTTGAGATGGCTTAACCCAGGAGTGCCAAAGCTTTCAAATACCTGACTCTAAACCTGACACAACACTTTAAATTCCTCTCAGAATTTACAAAGACTCATAAATGAACCAGTGGAATGATTTTCCCAATGTTACAGAGTCTGAAACATAAAGCTTTAACCTGTGAATAGCTATGTAGGAGAAACACAGGCAGAATGGTAAATGGTGAATTTTCCTGGCACAATAATTCCATGTGAAAAATGATGGCTTCTCCTAGATTACTTGTGTAGATTACTTTTCAGTAAACTTTAACTTCTTTATCTTTCCTGCTTAAGAAATAATGACTAAATATGAAACCACCTTTGCAAAATTATGACAGCAAGAGAAATCTGACACAGTTGACTCCATCTTGCTTCTAAGCTTCATGCTGTCCTTGTTCAATCCTGGAGATAGGCTAAGCTAATTTAGGGAGGAATTTAGTTTATAGTTTAACCTTAAAGCATGGACAATAATAGCTCTTTCCCAAACTAGACCACCTTTGTAAAACTAATGAAAGGCCACAAAGTTATAAGAGGGCTCTGAATTCTGATAAGATGTAGGCAAATTTTCTATAATTCCTTACTGCTCAGGAGTCATGTAGCCAGAGGTAACAGGATTTGTGACTTCCTCAGTTGCTCCTATGGATAACATCACCATTGTAGAACCTAAGCTTGATCTTATGAGATTTTTTCAGACATTTTTACAACAGACTGGCCCTGCCAGGACCTGTGACTCATGATACAACTGGTCCTGTGGCCCTACCCAGAGGCAGCCTCAATGCATGAGGACCATTTTCCACACCCTATGATTTCATCCCCAACCAATCAGCAGCACCCATTCCCTAGTCTCCCAGTCATCAAATTGTCCATGCAAACCCTAACCTCTGAGCTTTTAGGGAGGCTGATGTGAGTGATAACTCCAGTTTTTCCCATGTGGGCTGGCCTCTCATCAGTTAAATTCTTTCTCGACTACAATGCCATGGTCTCAGTGAATTCATTTTGTCTGTGCAGCAGGCAGGAAAAACCTGTTAGATGATTACAAATTTTCTTTCTTTATTATTTATCTCCATCTACACATGACACTAAAAAATCACCAATTTAAATAAATTATTAAAAATCATGATTATTCCCCCCCCAGGCTATATATAGATAGAAGCCAAACCACCTGTGTTGAAGAGACACCTAAACTCAGTATGGTACAGTATGCTAGGTACAGTCAGAGCAGAAACAGTATAGCTCAACCGTAAACTATTTATTACTTTTTAAAAATTTTTGTCTAGATTTTAATTTAATGCCCTTAATTTTCTAAATCTTGACTTAGTTTCTTGGATGGTACATCCTAATTATTGATCAATTACATCTTTAAATTCAATTTTTCCAAACTTGTGCCTGAAATATATTGATAGCTTTATGCTATGATATTACACATTGATGAAAGGGACAATAACACCCAGAGTGTCTAGTTACCACAATGGTCCTGGCAATGCAGAGATTACACACTTGGCTATGAGCTGAAAGCATACCTTTTGCATATCACTTGAGCTGATGGATATTTTGATTTCATACTCAGGACTGTCAGCCTGAAATTTTGATCATAAGTACCAGAAGGAGTTTCAAAATTACCTTGATAAAATTCTTAGACACTGCTAGATAAAGTACATTATTGTGTTCAGTGCAATGCATTTTACTAAACAGTCTACATTTACAACATTGAATATTTTACAACAAAATAAGTGTAAGTTATGAATAAATCAATTTCATGTCAGAACAGTTTATATTACAGAAAGTTGCTCCAACCTGAAGTACTTAGCATGTTTGCATTTTAGAGCTTTCAATTCGACTGGAAAATAGTTCAGTGTTTTAGATAATTAATATGATGCCCTACAAAATAGGTAAAGGTATTTTTAAAGTTAAAAAAAAAAACTCAGAAAAAAAAATTGGAAGAGAATTTGTTGTGATTATGGAGGAGGTTGGAAGACTAGAATTAAAACAAAACTGCCCTAATTGTAACTGCTGTGTTTGTGATGGGTGTAAGACAACAGTGATGAATTATTTCCTCTCTTCTAGAACTGGCTGCCTGCTTCCTCCCATGATTTCCAGATATAGACCAAAATGTACTAATGATGCTTCTTTGCTGTATTATATAACTGTTGACCTACAATCCGTCTTGCAAAGGGGTTTCTAAAGGCTTATAAATCACAATAGCCATTTACAATAATCAGCATAGGATAATTAATTATTCATTCACCTAATTGCTTACATTAAATGCCCCCTTCCTAGATGTCTAGGTCTTTCTTGATAAGGAAATCTAAGTGGTATTTTTTCTTAAATCTTATATAATCAAGTACTGGTGTAGGCAGAGTCAGTGGCCTGGAAACCAAGATTCTTAACAAATAAATTTACAAATAATGGATAGTTTTCGTTAGGTTGTTTTAGAAAGCAAAGAAAGGAGAGAGTGACCCTTGAAAACTGATCACTAAATAATTGTCTTGTGTAATCTCATGAAGAGTTTAGAAAACAACTTTGTGCTCTAATAGTTGTTCACAAAAGATTATTAATTGAACTGCTATTTTTTTCCTCAATGGTTATATATTGCACTTTTCGTTATAAGTGAAATAAAACACTTAAAGACACACATTGGATAAAAAGCATTACTCTCAGCTTTTGCAACACTCTCTGATTTATTTGAGACCGTGTCCTCTATCCTGTGTCTGGTCATTTGAGATCTGCCAGGTAAGTAAATGAACAGACTGAGCATAAACGTGTAAAGCTTTCTATAATTTTGAAAACAATGAAACTGTAGAAGACAATAGAACTTGCAGCAGTAACAGTGAAATGGCTTACCAAAGTGAATTACTGGGTTGCACCAGATTTCATCTAGCTCTTTAACATATGTTTATCTATCCAACTATCTATTTATCTATCTAATGTGTGTGTTTACACACAATACATAAATGTTATGCAAAAAGTATATAGAAGCAGATGTCACACAAAGATTAAATGTTATTTTTTATATGTCTCTAAAGTCTGTGTCTCAAATTAATACAATGGATTGTCAGATTTTTCCATTGTTCCACTTCAAAGCATGCAATTATATTGCCTTAATTGGAAGCACTGATGTGTTTTCACCAAGGATGTTTATTTGTATTCTGACTACTGAGATATAAATATGGGACTATTTGCTATTTTTAGTTTTCTACTAACATGGATTTTTTTTTAAAACAACTTTTTATCTTTATAAACAGACACATTGAGTTTATCGTCAGTTCAAAACTCTGAATTTATGGTCAATCTTAAAATCTTAACTAGTTTTTGTACTGAAATGGATCTTTATTCAAGAGGCCTGATAATACATAGCAGAAAGTATAACAGACAAATCCAGGGACTTGCTGACTTATGTATTACCATAAATCCAACTGGCATGTATTTTATCCAACAAGCTTTGGTGTCCATTTGACCAGAAGATCCTTAAATATTTCGTTATCTCTGATCAGTTTGGTCAGCAAGGATTTAAAATAACTTTTCAATAATCACATGTTGTTAGTGAAAATAGTTTGCTTCAAAACTTTGAGGATATAATCTCTCCATGGATTTTAGTGGAACAGTATTTTCATCTTGTCAGGTTATATCAGCATCAAATTATACTAATTCTCACCTAATAGGAATTATAGGCTTTTCTTTAACCCTGTGTATGTCATCAAGGCCCTGTTGACCGAAGCTGCACAGATTTTGCCATTCCTCCCATATCTGCAGTCTCAGTGAGATGAATTAACCTGTTGACTCAAATTGTCTTTGCCATAGACTGAAGTAAACATAACTTCTGGAAATGCCATTTTTAGCATTGACTAAGATCCAGGTACTATTTTAAGCATTCACATATAGAAACTCATTTAACCTTCACACCACACATGATGTGCATATGAATCGTTTCCTCATTTTACAGTTGAAGGAACCCAGACAAATGGAAGTGAAGGTACTATATGCTCTTATAGCGTTGAGGCTACTGTTCTTTAATAACAAAAATGTCTTCACAAATAATTAGTATATATCGAGCTTTCATTAGGAGACCATCATAGTGCCAACATTTCATTTGATTTTTCTCAATGTCTTTCTTCAAGACCCCTAGCGCTTTCTCTGAATGGGAATTCAGTCCAAAGAGCTCAAAATTGAGACAGTGGTAAAACAATAACTTGTTCGTTCATTCATTCATTCATTCATTCATTCATTTGTTTAACAAATATCCTATTCACTGCACATCTCCTATGCGCAAGGCACTTTCCTAGGCAGAAGGGGTACAAAGGCCCTCAGGGGCATTAGGTTATATTACACAACCAAATAAATAAGGTCATTACAGATTAGCGTGTGCAGTCAGAAAAAAAAAAAACCCAGCAGAGAACAGGTTTAAAAATACAAAGAACGTCTTCCTTTAGAGAGGAATAGTTATAAAAAAGCTTTTCTGAGGAGATGACACTTGAAATGAGAACTAAGGAGATGAGTCCTGTGAAAAGCCAGGAGAAAGATATCAACAGGCACCTGATGAAAGCCAGAGCTTAGACTGTTCCAACTGACAGGAGGCAGTGTGGCTGGAGCAGGGCAGTGGGTGAGGGCTGCACATCTAAGAGGAGGCTCAAGAGGCTGAAGCAGTCAGATCTTGCCATGGTAGCAGAGGCACCTCCACCCAGTCAACTGCCCTGATGGGCTCCATCAGCACGACACAACCTCAGAGGTGTTGGCTTCATTTTTTTTCGGTGAAGCACATTCCATGCCAAATTTACTAAATAGGTGTTTTATGGTATCCCAGTAACAGGTATTTTAACTATTCTTTTTCACTGATGGTCCCAATCCTATAACTAAAATGCAGCTGTAATTACTTACCACAAAACAACAAAAATAACAATAAAAAAAACAGATCCAGAAAAGTTAAGTAACTTGCCCCAGGCTACAAGGTCATGAATGAGGAATAGAGCCTAGGCTTCACCTCAAAGCTTGGAATCTTTCCACTATAAGACTCCATCTTAAAAAAAACAAAAACAAAACAATCAAACAAAAAAAAAAACAAAACTGTGGGGTGGAGTGGCAGGTAGAAAGATATTATTGGTGCACCTTCAATCACACTAGTCTAAGTCTCATCCTTCACTTAGTAGTTCCTCTTCTGATCATGCAAACTGTGAAAGACATGGGCATAGTCTGAGGCTCAGAGAACGTTTTAAGAATACGACATTGGTCTGTGTGCAATGACATTCCTAATAGACCTAAAGAGCTAAGTGGGGATTTCTACTTGGTTTGAGACTAAAAGGATGGAAGCTTTGTAGCTCCCCCTTGGTATTAACATAATTCCCCCTTTTTGTATTCAAGTTACATATGCATAGTTTTATTTTTAAAAATAGAGCCTCTGTTTTCTCTCTCCAGAAATCTGAGCACTGGTATCATATTGTACTTAGTTGTTCCATGGGACAAAATGGATCACAAGTCTGTGAATTCAAATGGTGGCCTATTGCTGCTTTTTAAATCACTGGGATCCTGAATATTAATTTCACATATGCACATTTTAAACCATAATTAAATTGAACAGCAATCTGATGGAAGGTTCCATCTTGTAGTACTTAGACTTTATTCTCAGACTCCTCAGGGATACTATAGTTTTCTTTTTCTGTTCAGCATTCTGCACTTGATATATCTCTTTTGGGTCATATTTTTCCATGAAGTTATTTTAATTTAGGAGCATTTTTGTGGAAATAAATTCCTCACATTTGGGCCACTCTAATAGGATAAGAGTTGTGGAGAGGAGTGGAATAGGATGTACAGTGAGTTTTAAAAAAAACAACAAACAAAAAAACCAGGTTCCTGACTGGTGTAATACTGTGTGACTTTACTTAATTGAGACTTGTTAACCGACTGACTCTAATGGAAGAAAAGAGGAAAGCACAAAGAGAGAAAAATTGTGTTCCGTAGTGGTATTTTTCCAGTTTGTCTTTTTTAAACATGTTTTTGTGGAGTCATGAGTTGAAAAATTTCTTTGGGCAACTGTAGTTTCTTAGGATCTCCACACAATAACTTTCTCCCCATCAGTCTTGGGGAGTTCTACCAGGTGGAGAGGGTTCAGGATTTGGGGTAAGCATGTCATTAGAACTTTCCAGTTGCCTAGGATTGGCATAACCTAGAGTAGAAGGTCCCAGACGAGGACTGCATCTAGTAACATAACGATCTGGGAGGTTTCTAAATACAAAGGCCTAAACTTTATATCCAGTAATTCATCTTTAATAGGCCTGGGTTGGGGTAGGAAGATGATAGAGAAGGTGGGGGGATAGGGGAAACCCAGGAATCCATGCAATTTTTTAAAGGTTTCCTTCAAATTCTGATGCACAACGTGTTTATGAATTACTGAGTAGAGAAATAAAGCCATAGGTAGGGGACAACTCTCATTCAGTCGCTAGGGAGTCCTCTTGTTTTCACTCAGCTCCTCATGCAAGGAGGGGCCAACTCGCAGATGAGAGATTGTCCAGGCACTGAAGAGGGCAACTCTTTTCTTACTAGTGTTTCTTCCTTAATTTCTCTTTCTCTTCTCCTTATTCATTTTCCTCCTTTTTAACCTCCTGACTCCTTCTTATTTATTTTTGAGGAAGGCAATTCACAGAAATTCATAGAAACACTGTGAAATATGGGCAGAAAATGTATTATGTGGACAACTATAATATTTATGTTTAAAAATCAAACTGTATTCTGTGAGATGAGCCTTTCATTCCTTACTGCATGTAATCTGCTTATCCTCTTCTTCTTGAGTGTGAGTGGGGTGTAGTGAGCCTCTTCCTTGTCCTTGTCTCCGGCTGACAGATTCTATACCACTAACCAGCTCTTGTTACTCCACTTTCCTTCAAGTGAAGCCCAACACCTCAGGACCTTCCAAATCCTAATGCACATATCCACTGCTTTCATGAATCTACTTTCACTGAGTCTGATTATTTTATCACCTGCTTAAGACATTTTCTCTCGACACCATCTCCTACAGTGGATCTCAGCAATTTTGACGTCATGGTCCATCTGACACTATGCTGTTGATGTGATTCTTTAGACACTCCACTGTCTTTGGGTTAGTCCCCATCAAATATGACCACTTTCTAGACTTCATCATCACATTGATCTTGAACCATCTGCCCTCTCTGGACATAACCTGTTTGCAAATTGTTTCCTCTTATTTTGAAAAATCCATAAAGATCTTTTTTTTTTGCCCTTATTAGGCCCCCTGGACATTATAACTATTTCAATAATTGCATCTGATTTACTTGCCCCCTCAAGATGTTTCATAAGGCATTAATCCATAAATGAAGACAGAGCCCTGATAGCCTAAACATCCTGTAAAGACTCCTCAATACTGTTATATTAGAGATTAAGTTATCACATGAGTTTTGGAGCAGACACAAACATTCTAATCACAGCACCAATCATGAGGAGTAACGTGACAGATGATAAATGTAAAGTCAGAGTTGAAAGGGGTAGTGAACTTAACTAGTTGTTATTAAAATAGCTTACTTTTGCAATGTAAAAGGAAGTGTGATCCTGTGAACGTATCTTTAGGTCCTCTCCTAAGGATTTTGAAGATGCTCATATCAGTGAGGGGCCCTGAAACTGCATTAACTTCCAAGTAAATTTGTCTCTGCAATGATGAGCATTTACATGGTTCTAATAAGTAAACATGGAATATTGGTCTAACCAAAATGACATTTTGAATTTTATTTATTCTTGCATGTGCTTTTTAACATATTTAAAAATAGGGATTATCATATAATAAATGATATCTTACAAATGTCTTTGGCCAGGCAGCAATTCATAATAAGGTTGTCATTACCTATGCAAGACAGCATGGGCTGGGTTTGGTGGCTCACGCCTGTAATCCCAGCACTTTGGTAGGCTGAGTCAGAATTACTTGAGCTCAGGAGTTCAAGACGAGCTTGAACAACGTAGTGAGACCTCATTTCTATTTTAAAAAATATCAAAATAATTAGCCAGGCTTGGTGGTGCACACCTGTAGTCCCAGCTACTCAGGAAGCTGCGTTGGGAGGATCACTTGAGCCTGGGAGATTGAGGCTGCAGCGAGCTGTGATTGCACCACTATGCTCCAGTCTGGGAGACAGAACAAGACCCTACCTCAAAATAAACAAATAACAAACAGAAAGCAAGAACATCAAAAAATGCAGCATGCTGTGTTGGAGGTGTTCTGTAATTGGTTTGGTGGCAGCTACATTGTTATATACATACATAAGGCATCAATGGTGTGGGAATAAAGTGAAGTAGTAAAGTAAATGTGGCTGGCAATATTCTTGATGACGGAGAAAAAAAATCTAGCTAGCTGTGCATAATGCAAAACTTAATTAAAAGGCCAACATCGGGAGGAGCCAAGATGGCCGAACAGGAACAGCTCCGGTCTACAGCTCCCAGCGTGAGTGACGCAGAAGATGGGTGATTTATGCATTTCCATCTGAGGTACCGGGTCCATCTCACTAGGGAGTGCCAGACAGTGGGCGCAGGCCAGTGGGTGCGCGCACTGTGCGCGAGCCGAAGCAGGGCGAGGCATTGCCTCACCTGGGAAGTGCAAGGGGTCAGGGAGTTCCCTTTCCAAGTCAAAGAAAGGGGTGACGGACGCACCTGGAAAATCGGGTCACTCCTACCCGAATATTGTGCTTTTCAGACCGGCTTAAAAAACGGCGCACCACGAGACTATATCCCACACCTGGCTCGGAGGGTCCTATGCCCACGGAGTCTCGCTGATTGCTAGCACAGCAGTCTGAGATCAAACTGCAAGGAGGCAGCGAGGCTGGGGGAGGGGCGCCCGCCATTGCCCAGGCTTGCTTAGGTAAACAAAGCAGCCGGGAATCTCGAACTAGGGGGAGCCCACCACAGCTCAAGGAGGCCTGCCTGCCTCTGTAGGCTCCACCTCTGGGGGCAGGGCACAGACAAACAAAAAGACAGCAGTAACCTCTGCAGACTTAAATGTCCCTGTCTGACAGCTTTGAAGAGAGCAGTGGTTCTCCCAGCACGCAGCTGGAGATCTGAGAACGGGCAGACTGCCTCCTCAAGTGGGTCCCTGACCCCTGACCCCCGAGCAGCCTAACTGGGAGGCACCCCCCAGCAGAGGCACACTGACACCTCACATGGCAGGGTATTCCAACAGACCTGCAGCTGAGGGTCCTGTCTGTTAGAAGGAAAACTAACAAACAGAAAGGACATCCACACCGAAAACCCATCTGTACATCACCATCATCAAAGACCAAAAGTAGATAAAATCACAAAGATGGGGAAAAAACTGAACAGAAAAACTGGAAACTCTAAAACGCAGAGCACCTCTCCTCCTCCAAAGGAACGCAGTTCCTCACCAGCAACGGAACAAAGCTGGATGGAGAATGATTTTGACGAGCTGAGAGAAGAAGGCTTCAGATGATCAAATTACTCTGAGCTACAGGAGGACATTCAAACCAAAGGCAAAGAAGTTGAAAACTTTGAAAAAAATTTAGAAGAATGTATAACTAGAATAACCAATACAGAGAAGTGCTTAAAGGAGCTGATGGAGCTGAAAACCAAGGCTCGAGAACTACGTGAAGAATGCAGAAGCCTCAGGAGCCGATGCGATCAACTGGAAGAAAGGGTATCAGCAATGGAAGATGAAATGAATGAAATGAAGTGAGAAGGGAAGTTTAGAGAAAAAAGAATAAAAAGAAATGAGCAAAGCCTCCAAGAAATATGGGACTATGTGAAAAGACCAAATCTACGTCTGATTGGTGTACCTGAAAGTGATGGGGAGAATGGAACCAAGTTGGAAAATACTCTGCAGGATATTATCCAGGAGAACTTCCCCAATCTAGCAAGGCAGGCCAACGTTCAGATTCAGGAAATACAGAGAACGCCACAAAGATACTCCTCGAGAAGAGCAATTCCAAGACACATAATTGTCAGATTCACCAAAGTTGAAATGAAGGAAAAAATGTTAAGGGCAGCCAGAGAGAAAGGTCGGGTTACCCTCAAAGGGAAGCCCATCAGACTAACAGTGGATCTCTCGGCAGAAACCCTACAAGCCAGAAGAGAGTGGGGGCCAATATTCAACATTCTTAAAGAAAATAATTTTCAACCCAGAATTTCATATCCAGCGAAACTAAGCTTCATAAGTGAAGGAGAAATAAAATACTTTACAGACAAGCAAATGCTGAGAGATTTTGTCACCACCAGGCCTGCCCTAAAAGAGCTCCTGAAGGAAGTGCTAAACATGGAAAGCAACAACCGGTACCAGCCGCTGCAAAATCATGCCAAAATGTAAAGACCATCGAGACTAGGAAGAAACTGCATCAACTAATGAGCAAAATCACCAGCTAACATCATAATGACAGGATCAAATTCACACATAACAATATTAACTTTAAATGTAAATGGACTAAATGCTCCAATTAAAAGACACAGACTGGCAAGTTGGATAAAAAGTCAAGACCCATCAGTGTGCTGTATTCAGGAAACCCATCTCATGTGCAGAGACACACATAGGCTCAAAATAAAAGGATGGAGGAAGATCTACCAAGCAAATGGAAAACAAAAAAAGGCAGGGGTTGCAATCCTAGTCTCGGATAAAACAGACTTTAAACCAACAAAGATCAAAAGAGACAAAGAAGGCCATTACATAATGGTAAAGGGATCAATTCAACAAGAAGAGCTAACTATCCTAAATATATATGCACCCAATACAGGAGCACCCAGATTCATAAAGCAAGTCCTGAGTGACCTACAAAGAGACTTAGACTCCCACACATTAATAATGGGAGACTTTAACACCCCACTGTCAACATTAGACAGATCAAGGAGACAGAAAGTCAACAAGGATAGCCAGGAATTGAACTCAGCTCTGCACCAAGCGGACCTAATAGACATCTACAGAACTCTCCACCCCAAATCAACAGAATATACATTTTTTTCAGCACCACACCACACCTATTCCAAAATTGACCACATACTTGGAAGTAAAGCTCTCCTCAGCAAATGTAAAAGAAAAGAAATTATAACAAACTATCTCTCAGACCACAGTGCAATCAAACTAGAGCTCAGGATTAAGAATCTCACTCAAAGCCGCTCAACTACATGGAAACTGAACAACCTGCTCCTGAATGACTACTGGGTACATAATGAAATGAAGGCAGAAATAAAGATGTTCTTTGAAACCAACGAGAACAAAGACACAACATACCAGAATCTCTGGGACGCATTCAAAGCAGTGTGTAGAGGGAAATTTATAGCACTAAATGCCCACAAGAGAAAGCAGGAAAGATCCAAAATTGACACCGTAACATCACAATTAAAAGAACTAGAAAAGCAAGAGCAAACACATTCAAAAGCTAGCAGAAGGCAAGAAATAACCAAGATCAGAGCAGAACTGAAGGAAATAGAGACACAAAAAACCCTTCAAAAAATTAATGAATCCAGGAGCTGGTTTTTTGAAAGGATCAACAAAATTGATAGACCGCTAGCAAGACTAATAAAGAAAAAAAGAGAGAAGAATCAAATAGACACAATAAAAAATGATAAAGGGGATATCACCACCGATCCCACAGAAATACAAACTACCATCAGAGAATACTACAAACACCTCTACCCAAATAAACTAGAAAATCTAGAAGAAATGGATACATTCTTCGACACATACACTCTCCCAAGACTAAACCAGGAAGAAGTTGAATCTCTGAATAGACCAATAACAGGAGCTGAAATTGTGGCAATAATCAATAGTTTACCAACCAAAAAGAGTCCAGGACCAGATGGATTCACAGCCGAATTCTACCAGAGGTACAAGGAGGAACTGGTACCATTCCTTCTGAAACTATTCCAGTCAATAGAGAAAGAGGGAATCCTCCCTAACTCATTTTATGAGGCCAGCATCATTCTGATACCAAAGCCGGGCAGAGACACAACCAAAAAAGAGAATTTTAGACCAATATCCTTGATGAACATTGATGCAAAAATCCTCAATAAAATACTGGCAAACCGAATCCAGCAGCACATCAAAAAGCTTACCCACCATGATCAAGTGGGCTTCATCCCTGGGATGCAAGGCTGGTTCAATATACGCAAATCAATAAATGTAATCCAGCATATAAACAGAGCCAAAGACAAAAACCACATGATTATCTCAATAGATGCAGAAAAAGCCTTTGACAAAATTCAACAACCCTTCATGCTAAAAACTGTCAATAAATTAGGTATTGATGGGACGTATTTCAAAATAATAAGAGCTATCTATGACAAACCCACACCCAATATCATACTGAATGGGCAAAAACTGGAAGCATTCCCTTTGAAAACTGGCACAAGACAGGGATGCCCTCTCTCACCACTCCTATTCAACATAGTGTTGGAAGTTCTGGCCAGGGCAATCAGGCAGGAGAAGGAAATAAAGGGTATTCAATTAGGAAAAGAGGAAGTCAAATTGTCCCTGTTTGCAGACGACATGATTGTTTATCTAGAAAACCCCATCGTCTCAGCCCAAAATCTCCTTAAGCTGATAAGCAACTTCAGCAAAGTCTCAGGATACAAAATCAATGTACAAAAATCACAAGCATTCTTATACACCAACAACAGACAAACAGAGAGCCAAATCATGAGTGAACTCCCATTCACAATTGCTTCAAAGAGAATAAAATACCTAGGAATCCAACTTACAAGGGATGTGAAGGACCTCTTCAAGGAGAACTACAAACCACTGCTCAAGGAAATAAAAGAGGATACAAACAAATGGAAGAACATTCCATGCTCATGGGTAGGAAGAATCAATATCGTGAAAATGGCCATACTGCCCAAGGTAATTTACAGATTCAATGCCATCCCCATCAAGCAACCAATGACTTTCTTCACAGAATTGGAAAAAACTACTTTAAAGTTCATATGGAACCAAAAAAGAGCCCGCATCACCAAGTCAATCCTAAGCCAAAAGAACAAAGCTGGAGGCATCACACTACCTGACTTCAAACTATACTACAAGGCTACAGTAACCAAAACAGCATGGTACTGGTACCAAAACAGAGATATAGATCAATGGAACAGAACAGAGCCCTCAGAAATAATGCCGCATACCTACAACTATCTGATCTTTGACAAACCTGAGAAAAACAAGCAATGGGGAAAGGATTCCCTATTTAATAAATGGTGCTGGGAAAACTGGCTAGCCATATGTAGAAAGCTGAAACTGGATCCCTTCCTTACACCTTATATAAAAATCAATTCAAGATGGATTAAAGATTTAAACGTTAGACCTAAAACCATAAAAACCCTAGAAGAAAACCTAGGCATTACCATTCAGGACATAGGCGTGGGCAAGGACTTCATGTCCAAAACACCAAAAGCAATGGCAACAAAAGACAAAATTGACAAATGGGATCTAATTAAACTAAAGAGCTTCTGCACAGCAAAAGAAACTACCATCAGAGTGAACAGGCAACCTACAACATGGGAGAAAATTTTCGCAACCTACTCATCTGACAAAGGGCTAATATCCAGAATCTACAATGAACTCAAACAAATTTACAAGAAAAAAACAAACAACCCCATCAAAAAGTGGGCGAAGGACATGAACAGACACTTCTCAAAAGAAGACATTTATGCAGCCAAAAAATACATGAAAAAATGCTCATCATCACTGGCCATCAGAGAAATGCCAATCAAAACCACTATGAGATATCATCTCACACCAGTTAGAATGGCAATCATTAAAAAGTCAGGAAACAACAGGTGCTGGAGAGGATGTGGAGAAATAGGAACACTCTTACACTGTTGGTGGGACTGTAAACTAGTTTAACCATTGTGGAAGTCAGTGTGGCGATTCCTCAGGGATCTAGAACTAGAAATACCATTTGACCCAGCCATCCCATTACTGGGTATATACCCAAATGACTATAAATCATGCTGCTATAAAGACACATGCACACGTATGTTTATTGCGGCATTATTCACAATAGCAAAGACTTGGAACCAACCCAAATGTCCAACAATGATAGACTGGATTAAGAAAATGTGGCACATATACACCATGGAATACTATGCAGCCATAAAAAATGATGAGTTCATGTCCTTTGTAGGGACATGGATGAAATTGGAAACCATCATTCTCAGTAAACTATCGCAAGAACAAAAAACCAAACACCGCATATTCTCTCATAGGTGGGAATTGAACAATGAGATCACATGGACACAGGAAGGGAACTATCACAGTCTGGGGACTGCTGTGGGGTGGGGGGAGGGGGGAGGGATAGCATTGGGAGATATACCTAATGCTAGATGACGAGTTAGTGGGTGCAGCGCACCAGCATGGCACATGTATACATATGTAACTAACCTGCACAATGTGCACATGTACCCTAAAACTTAAAGTATAATAATAATAAAATAAAATAAAATTAAATTAAATTAAAAAAATCTATGGTGTCATTATAATTGTATTTTGAAAGAAAATGCCTGTTTTTGAATATTCTTTCATAGATGTTAAAAACCTGATCCATAAATACACCATTTCCTTTAAGTTTCTCAGATTTTAACATCTACTTTCAGCCCAATTTTTAAACAGATCGAAATTGGAATAAATGACAATTAGAACAGGATCCAATTCATATATACTTCTCTGGTTTAATTATAGGAGCATTTTATGATATCTAACAGATTTATACAATACAATTTAATGATGCATCACATACAGGATAAAACTGAAATATTGAAATGTTTTATAGTTAAATTATCTAGAAAACAATTATAGAAACCAATAGTGTCAAGATAATGTTTAGGGAATAAATTAAAGCATTTGGTCATATGCATTAAAGCATTGGGCATAGTCATATCAGAGGAAATAATGTTTTAAAGGGAACCATGTTAATATATTTTTAATAGTATTTTATAAGTATATCAAATTATGAAGTTAATCAGATCAACTTCATATGATAGTGCATTTTACATATTATTATTAAATTATATTCAAATTCAATGCTTTGTAACTGTAAAACAGAACTATCATTTTTAATTTTATTATATGCTAATAGTTAAATAATTTAATATAAAAATTAGTGTACCATTTTGATAATACACCAGGATTTATAGAAAATTAGTTTCTTTTATCTTTTATTCCCAAATCCCTAAAATAGGTGTAGCACGTGAAATTCAATTTATATTTTCTCTTATAAAGATTTCTCTTGAGTGAATTTGAATACAATACTTTTGAGGATCTAATAAAAATTTCAACTTTGAAAATGAAAATGAGTGTATTGAAACACGATTTTCTGATCAATATGTGCGCTTGTCTTTTTGTGCACATATTGAGAGAGGGCTTATTTCAACCCCAGGTTAGGTCATGTACAATAAACAGTACTGGGATGGCTTCAAATTCCTTGCTTATTTATTTTGTATTTGCTTGTGTATGTTTGTGTGTGCATGGTTATGGTTAACACAACTTCACATATTCTTATTTATTTACCTTTACTATTTTACTATCATTAGTCAGAGATAACCCTTGCTGTATTTTATATACATCTTATTTTTCCTCCTCCTCCCAATTCGTAACTTTGTATTACAGACTCTGTGTGTAATTACTAGGAGGATTCTTTCCTTTACATCTGTACATGGATGCAACTAATCATCTAGTAAAATTTTGGTTATCTGTATACTCAAATAGCTTTACTTTAAGAAGGCAGGATGTGTAGCAGTTCTGAGCACAAACTTTGCAGTTAGGGTTCACTCTGCCATTTTCTAGCTGTATGATTCTGAATACATCACTTAAACTCTCTAAGTCTTAATTTCTCCTCTGTGATATGGGGATAACAATACACATAAGAAAACCTACATCATAGGATTATCATAAATATAAAATGAAACAACATAGGTAAAACATTTAGCAACATGCTTTGCTTATGGTAAATGGTTACTATACTGCCATTATTTTAATTAAGTTCAATTGGACTAGCATTCACTTGGATGTTGTAGTGGACATCAATTGGAATGTCTTTTTAGAACGGTATGATCTCCCTCTTTCTGAGAAAGGTGAGAATATTCAGACGTACATCGTAATATGGCCTCTTTGATCAGAGTCAACGGGTCTAGGGGTAGAACCTGACCTTAGCCATGCCAGTCAAGCTCCTTCTCTAGAAGTTTTCTTTTTTCTTTTCTTTTTTTTTCTTTTTCTTTGAGATGGAATCTCTCTCTTGCTGCCCAGGCTGGAGTGCAATGACTCCATCTCAGCTCACTGCAACATCTGCCTCCCAGGTTCAAGTGTTTCTCTTACCTCAGGCTCCTGAGTAGCTGGGATTACAGGCATGTGCCACCATTCCTGGCTAATTTTGTATTTTTTATTAGAGACAGGGTTTCTCCATGTTGGTAAGGTTAGTCTTGAACTCCTGACCTCAGGTGATCCGCCCGCCTCAGTCTCCCTAAGTGCTGAGATTACAAGCGTGAGCCACTGTGCCCAGCCTAGAAGTTTTCAAACTAAAGCTGGAGAAAGAGCCTTACTGAATCTCAGAAGGTGGAGCTAAAAGATGTCATACTTAAACACTGTAGGGAGCTTGTATAGTAGCATGTGAAGGGATCAGAGAGAGAATATGGTTAAAAGCAGAAAGAAGCATTGCTTCAGTCTTTCATCCTGTGTTTATTAAGCACCTCTTTTCTAGATACAGCTATAGGCACTGAGGACACAATGGTGAGCAGCATCAGACAAGAGTCCTGTTTCTGGGGTTCATCAGCTGGTGTTGGAGATGAGTGTTATGGAATAAACACAACCAAGAGTGATTGACTGCACAGTAAGTGCTATGAAGGGAAGGATAAAAGTCCATGACATCTTCTAAAAAAGAAAGCAGATGTAGCCTAGGGAGTCAGAGAAGCCTTCTGGGAGTAAGTCACACTTGAGCTGATACAAAGAATCAGAATTAGCTATCTAGGTAAAGATGGAGAAAAAGGTGATTCAGGTATGGGGGAAAAACATGGATAAAGTCCAGGCATTGGCTGGTTGTGGTGGCTCATGCCTGTAATCCCAGCACTTTGGGAGACCAAGGCGGGAGGATCACCTGGAGGTCAGGAGTTTGACACCAGCCTGGCCAATATGGTGAAACCCCGTCTCTATTAAAAATACAAAAATTAGCCGGGCGTGGTGGTAGACACCTGTAATCCCAGCTACTTGGGAGGCTGAGGCAGGAGAATCCGTTGAACCTGGGAGGCTGAGGTTGCCGTGAGCCGAGATCGTGCCATTATACTCCAGCCTGGGCAACAAGAGTGAAACTCCGTCTCAAAACAAAACAAAACAAAACAAAACAAAACAAAACAAAACAAAATGCAGGGAGGAACACATAGCCTTTAAGAAACTGAAAAGAAAAGTTAAGCATGAATGGAGGTTCAGAAAGTAGGATCTGGACTCAAATTAGGTGGCTTCAAACAGAGACCTACTAATAATTAGCTGTGGCTCTTTGGGTAAATTGTTTAACCACATTCTGCGTCAGTTTCCTCAACTGCTTAAGGGGATGACACAACTTACATAGCAACCTCAAAGTGGTCTGTGAGGACTGAGTTAAATATTATATGCAGAGCAGTAAGCACAATGTGTTAAGCATGCACTATGTGTTCAATGTATACGGACAGTCTCTGACTTATGCTGGTTCAACTTACTATTTTTCAACTGGATGGTGAGAAAGCAATATGCATTCAGTAGAAACTGTATTTTCCATACCCATACAACCATTCTGTTTTTCACTTTCAGCACAGTATTCAATAAATTACATGAGCTAGTCAATACTTTATTATAAAATAACCTGTGTGTTAGATGATTTTGCCCAACTGTGGGTTAGTATAAGTGCTCTGAGCACATTTAAGTTAGGCTAGTCTATGATGTTCAGTAGGTTAGGCGTATTAAATGCATTTTTGGCTTACAATATTTTCAGCTTACGATGTGTTTATCAGGATGTAACCCCATTGTAAGTGGAGGAGCATCTGTATCTACTATCATAGAGGGTAAGAGTGCTGCAAGAATAAGCTGACAAGTAGCCAAGTGCATGAGAGCTTATCAGATTTCCATTTTGGAAAGATCACCACGTCTGCAAAGTAGAAAAAAGATTTGACAGAGACAAGATTAGTTAGAGAAGCCAGTTAGGAGGCAATTGCCATGCTACAAGGCTAGGTAAACGATAACTTGGATGCGGATGATGACAGTGGAGAGGACAGATTTTAAAGAGTTTGGGAAGTGAAATCTGTGGGACTTGGAGACAAACTGGTAATAGAACATAAAGGAGAGGAAGGTGTCAGGAGAAGCAGGTAAGTTCTAAGAGATGAAGGAAGAGGTGAAGGGGCAGGAAATACAAATACAAACAATTATAATTCAGGATAATAAGTCTTACTGAGGAAATGGGAGCAAATTGCTATGAGAACCCAGGAAAGAATATGTTTGTAAACAGTCTGAGGGTCCCTGGGTCTTTCCATTACATATTTTGGGAATTTTTTGAACTCACTGTCAAAATAGACCGAAAATAATGTTGAGATTATTTTCTTATGCTGTTCTCCAAAACATCAGTTGGTGACTCACTAAAAGCACAACATTTACATAGCTGAGTGCTTTATCTTTATGCTTCATTATTTTGTCAAAACTCTAAGGCCACCATCCTTAGCAAACTAACACAGTAACAGAAAAACAAACACTGCATATTCTCACTTACAAGTGGGAGCTAAATGATGACAATATATGGACACAAAGAGGGGAACAACAGATGCTAGGGCTGACTTGGAGGGGGAGGGTGGGAGGAGGGAGAGGATCAGAAAAAATAACTGTTGGGTACTAGGCTTAGTACCTGGGTGATGAAATAATCTGTACAACAATTCCCTGTGACATGAGTTTACCTATATCGCAAACCTGCACATGTACCCCTGAACCTAAAATAAAAGTTAAAAACAACAACAACTCTTCTGTACTTTATAATACATTATTCAATGCTGATTTTCAGATACAAAAATATAATTAGGAAAAGCAAGCATTTCTGATAGACAGTGCAGACAATAGATATTGGACCCTAATGGATCTTACCAAGCAGATAGTTATTCTCTCTTCCCTGAGGGAAGTAAACAGAGGGGTGGAGTGGGGGCAGTGTTCACTCCATGCTCTGTTCCCTCTGTGAGAGAAGAATTTCCTTCCTCTAGGGAAGTGGCCCCCAACCTCTTTGGCACCAGGGGCTGGTTTTGTGGAAGACAATTTTTTTCCACGGACCAGATGGTGGAGGGGGATGATTTGGGGATGATTCAAGTACATTACATTCATTGTGCACTTTATTCCTCTTATTATTCCATTGTAATATATAATAAAATAATTATACAACTCACCATAATGTAGAACCAGTGGGAGCCCTGAGCTTGTTTTCCTGCAACTAGATGGTCCCATCTGGAGCTGATGGAAGACAGTGACAGACAATTAGGCACTGGATTCTCATAAGGAGCCTGCAACCTAGATCCCGTGCGTGCACAGTTCACAATAGGGTTTGTGCTCCCATGAGAATCTAATGCTGGTGCTGATCTGATGGGAGGCAGAGCTTAGGTGGCAATGCGAGTGATGGGGAGCAGCTGTAAATACAGATGAAGCTTTGCTTGCTCACCTGCTGCTCACCTCCCTCTGTGCAGCCCGGTTCCTGCTGTACCATCCGTGGCTTGGGGGTTAGGGATCCCTGCTCTAGGGAATCTAGAGGAAAAGGGACAAGCAGATCCCCCACAGCAGCATGATGTAGCAAGTTAACTAAAGAATTGAATGAAGTTTCTTCTGAATGTGTGAGAGGCATATTTTATTTTTCATAAAACAACAAAAGAAATTGGGCAAAAAATACTTTCTTATTTAATAATTTGGAGTTTATGCAAACAAAAAATAATGCAAGTTTTAAAAATGCTAATAAAATTTGTATTTCTGAAAATTGATTCAAAAATATATATCATTGTTTAATAAAGAATAGTTGTAATAATAAACTGTAGTTTTACTAAAATGATAAAATTCACTGGAGGATATAAAAAACAGGCAGCAATATTACACAATCTTTAGATAGGAAACTGAAAAAAAAAAAGAAAAGAAACCCAAACCACGAAATCCCTAGCTAATGTTGAGTACACAAACACCTAGTTCTATTTTTTAAATGCTGTTTTGTTTGTCTGTTTGTTTTGTTTTATGTCATGATTTAAGATGTCAATTCTTAAATAAATTATTCTCTAAAACTTTAGAATTTCAAAATTCTTGTTCATATTGATACCATGAGGTTCTACCATGAAAGTGAATTTTGATCATCCTAGTGTTCACTTACTAATAAGTGTTTATATTATATATATATGTGTATATATATGTGTGTGTGTATGTGTGTGTATATATATAAATATGCAGTATGGTATGAGTTTTCTCTTAATGCCCTAACAAGTAGCCACAAACATTGTGGCTTAAAATAAATGTATCTCACAGTTCTATAGATTAGAAGGCTGACATGGGTGTCACTGGACTAAAACTAACATGTCAGTCTAGCTGCATTCCATATGGGAGGTTCTGGGGCAGAATCTACTTCCAGGCTCATTCAGTTTCTTAGCAGGATTCAGTTCCATGCAATTGTAGGACTGAAGTCGCTGTTTCCTTGCTGGCTTTTGGCCAGGCATCCCTAGCTTCTAGAGACTATGCGAATTACCTGCTATACTTCTCTCTGTCCCCACCTTCTGCCTCATCTTTCTCCTTTCCTAGCCCACATTTCTTTGACTTCATCTGAAAAGAGTCCTCTACTTTTAAAGGCTTGTGTCATTAGATTAGGTATATCTGGATAATCCAGGATAATAATAATCTTTCTATATTAAGGTCCATAACCTTAATTACATCTGTAAAGTCCCTTTGCTAAGTAACAATGTTACATATTCATAGGTTCCAGGGATTCCAGTATGGAAATCTTGGGGAGGGGGTATTTTCCTGCCTACCACAGGGATATATTCCCAGACAGTTATTTGTTTGAATCTTTGGTGTATTCATAGAGTCTAAAAAGTTTTTTAATAAGCTAGTAAAAAAATTAAAAAGATACATAACATGAGTACTGCATTTTCATAAGGAAATTTGTAAATCATACTTATATTAGCTAACATTGTTTTATTTCTTAAATTACCATCAAATTACACATGTTGGGTAACTCCCTTTGAAGTAAATGAGCAGCATTTATTCTCTATAAAGCTTCCATTTTAACTAGGCACATTAGATATCATTAGCACAAATTCATTATAAATTACATTCCAGATTTCATACAGGGTTTATTTACCCAGATCTTGTTATATGTGAAAAGTTAACTAAGATAATATTAATATTAGTTTTAGTAAATGCCCTGCAGTTAACGAGAGTCTGCTTAATATGAGAAGCAATTCTTGCTTTCTTTTGTAATATTCACAATGGATGAATATCTAATCCATGTTTAGTTTATACTTATTAATCTAACCATTCTACATTTATTTTCATTCTAATGCTATATGTAAATTCAAAAGCATAATTTAAGATAAATGGATTTTAAATTTCAAGCTTTGGTACTTAATATCATTAATTATGCTAAAAGGTACATAAATTCTCTATAATTACCTGGCTTATCACTATTTTAATGTAACATCCTCTTTTAAAAATGTAATTTAGGTTTTTTGGCATTAGTCTTTGATTCATATTTTATCCAAGCACTGCAGTCTTGGATATCCCCTGCAGAGATGGATCTATTCCTAACAAGGTTATTTTTGGGACTTGGTAATGATTATAATACTGATGACAATTCCTGTCACTCTTATTAGGCTGTAACTTTTCAAGGCAGAGTGGTGCTCCCTGATCCTTCTTAAGCCCCTGTTTAAATGTAAATTAGAGTAGACCAATTTGTATTACCTATTCCAGGCATCCATATGCAACACCAGATTGCAAAAAGAAATATTTATAAGGAGCTATCCCTATATTTATCTTATGACACTCATCACTGTGACACTTCAGTGCTTGAGCAGCCAAACTAGAATCATTTCTATTATCTACCTAAGAAAAAAATCATACAAAATAGACAGACTTTTGTGTCTTTCAAAGCTGGGTTGAGTAAAACGGAGTGGCTTTTAGTGCTCTTGGTCTAATTAGATAGCAGTTTGGTCAAAAGTGTTATTTGCATCTTTTCCTGAATTAGAGAGATTAAATGCCCTTAACTGAATTTTGAAAGGCAGAAACAGACCTTAGATGGTCTGACATCACCTTTTCTAGTGTAGCATTTAATTTTTAAAATGTTCCAGCTCTAGGTAAATGATGGTACAGTATCATGGGCCGAAGGCAATTATGAGCAGCATTCAAGGACAAAGTAGAAAGAAAAGCAGCAAGACCCTTCTCCCAGACTGCAGAAGGCAAAAAGTCAGTAAAAATTTGGACTCCACCTTTGAAGAGAAAGTACATTTTTCTAAATTTTCATCAAGTTTTCTACTTAACTTTAACTTTGGTGATTTGTTATCCTATTAATTTAGAACTTGACTGGAAATTTTTCTTATCAGCCGAAGTGCAGTTATTATCACCAAACCTCCGTCACCTGAAAATAGGCCAGGAGAACAGAATATGGTCCTTGTTGGTATTTAGTGAATGGGTAAAGTCTCACTGATATCCCTTACACAAGGTGTCACCTGAAATCTTTGGATTAAGCCTCTTTGCTTTCTCACTTATAATCTATGGAACTTTAATTCTCTGGGCCTAACTTTTCAATGGCAAAACTGGGTCCATATTACCCATTTCACAGATTTGCTTTAATGGCTAATGGAGATCATGCTCATGAAGTCTTTTGCTTATGTTTATTATGTAAGTGTGCAATAAATGCAAGATGTTATCAATGCTATCATATTATTTAATTAGCTTATCATTCCCCCTTTATTCCATTAGCTCTGTCTTAAATCTGTTGGGTAATAAGACAACTCTAGGGAGCTCATAACAAATCTGTGAAATAGTCAAGATAGGCATTATTATTATCATTTCACTTTTAAAGAAATTGAAACGGAATTAGTTAGAAGCTTTCTTGTACATGATGAAAGGTTCACAGTGATTTCCACCTCTCCAGGCTGCTTCTCAGCCATGCAATTTCCATCTAGATATGAAGGAAACATAATTCAGAGTTTTTTTTTATTAAAGATATGGAGTCACCTATCATGGACATAACACACTGCTAAGTATGCCAGAGGAAACAGAGAGCACAGTTGTTATCCATGCTTCCTGTTCATCAGACATGAGGCCTGTGATACTTGGTTCATGGCCCTTCTTGGCTCAGAAAGTTGACTCAAAAGCATAACCACGGTGTTGAGGTCAGCATTAGTATAGTGCTGCTGATAACATACACGCTGTTACATACCAAGGACTTGGTGCTAAAACTGGCTTTATTCTTCATTCTTCTATTCAAAATAATCACTCCTCATTATCCATTATTTTTCATTTTTTCTCCTCATTGAGTAGACTTTTATTGGAAGATAAGCAGTTAAGCCTGACCTCTCTAGCGGGTAAATGCATAATGCATTATTTCCTTTATGTGTTTGTTTTAATGTCTCTGAAACAGCAAAATGATTAGCCTTGAGAGTGAAAATACAGATGATGTTTTTCCCCATCTATCTATTGAAATTAGCTAGCATTAGGTCCTTAGTAACAATGTTAATAAGACATTTGAATTTCTCTTCCTTGACATCGAAATTAAATAGCACTGGTTGAAGAAAACATACATTCTTTTTTTCAAATGTTGGATTGTAAAAGGGAAGGTAGATGGTGTAGGGTTGGAAAGGTATGATACCTTTCCTCGCCCAATGTAAGGGTTGTGGCTGGCACTTCTATAACGAAAGACAGGTTAACAAGAGAAAAGCATAACAAACTTATTTAATCAAAATTTTATGTGTCGTGGGAGCCTTCAGCAATGAAGGCTCAAAGACGTGAGGAAAACTATTTTTATGCTTAGTTTCAGTGAAGAATAGACAGCTATGTAGAAATGTGATTGGGCAGCAGGGTATGATCTAATGGTAATAGACTGAGTGGGAAACCCAGAAAAGCCAGTCCAGTTTCTTCTTGGCCGCTCTGTGTAGCATTCCTACCTCCTGGGTATAGGATAGGACCCCTCTGGAATGAGGGTCTTATGACCTACTATCTGATAGGGTAGGTCACAGAATTTCTTTATGGCCAGTTCCTACACAGAAAAGCGGAGGAAGGTTAGAATAATAGTTTTTGGTTTTATAGCTTGCTTTGGAGATGAAGAGTTCTAGTTTCTATGACCTGTCTTAGGGAATAGGAATTCTGCTTTTTGTGATGTGCTTTGGTGGAGACATAGGGGCAAGAGATCACAGGGCAGGAGAAGGCCAGAGAGAGGTGGCTTCTGGGGCCTTCCAATCTCCTTTAGTTCAAAGTACTCAACATTCCGAAGCACTATATTTTAGGGTATCATTTTCTGAACCCCAACAGGAATTTTCTTATAAACTTTTTTTTTACAACACCAAACAGAACCAGCATTATCTTTTGAGAGACACAAGGAGATGGCTGACATTCCCTGCAACCTGAGTATGTTGTCTTTGATCATATAACATGCTGACAGATGACTGTTGGTTACAACAATGTAAACGTATAGGAACTAAGCAGGTAGATTGAGTTAGATGTTGGTATGTTTGTGTTTTATGTATGTGTGCCTGTGTGTATTGTAGGAGTGAGGTTAGGTGAATTGGAGTTGCTAGATATTAAGAGTGGAAGAAAGAATAAAAACAAGATACAATGGCACACACAAACGGTCTAGATTAGGGTCCAAAACCCTAAGCTCTGATTTTGGTCAGAATCCAATGGAGCACACACTTTGTATGTCTCTTACAGCTTATCATTCTCCCTTTATTCCATTAGCTCTGTTTTAAATCTGTTGGGTAATAAGACAACTCTAGGGAGCTATATTTTTTCCCCCACCAGTTTCATTTCAATATGAGCTCTGTGTAACTAGAAAAATCTGTTTTGAGGCAAACAGCATGACCCACACCATAAGACTATTTCTGAATGATAGAGAACCAGATTGGTTATAGTAAATTCTAATAACCTTTTCTGAGCTTGTTCCTTATAGCTCAGTCTTAAAGCATTTATCTTGCCATTGGGAAGATGGACTAGTTGTCTTAGGTTTGTTTTGTTTAATTGAAATTATACAGGCAAGAGACAGGAAATGGCCAGAATTGTGATTCACCATGTAAATGGGAACAAATAAAATCTTACCAGATGCACTTCCACAAATCGTTGTTAAAAATCACAGAAGATTGCCCTTATTCTGAATTGTAGATGTCCATCATATTTTAGAATCCAGACAATCTGATAGAGCGTAATGAACTACTTTTCCAAGGTATCTCTATGGGATTTTAGGTACATTTTTCTCTTATGATAAACTGGGATCCTATATCTGGATTTTAGAACCGGAAGGTGTTTTATAAACCAGCTAATTTAACCACCATTTAATAGAGATATTAACTGAATCACAGAAAGACCAAGGAACTTGCCTTATTTTGCATAGGAAGTTAGTGAAAAGTTCTGAATAAAAACAAATTTAAATCTCCAGGAAATCTCACATGTTGGAAAAATCTAGGAGAAAAAAAAACATGATCAAGAAACTGAAAATTGTTGTTAAATGAACTATAGTGAAGGTACTCTAATTTGATTCATCTAACAACAGGAACAATTAAACTACTCTTTGCAGACCTAAGTGATATGTGGCTTTCCGAAAATCCAGTTCTTTCAGCTGTAGCTACCCAACATGCCTCTTTCTGGTGAATGTCACCTCACAGCTGAAGCAAGTTTATGGGGCACTGCAGTTCCCCGGGCGCTCTTTGTTCCGCGAGGAACCAGAGAACTTCAGTCTCAGGGACTGTGAATCCACCACCTTTCATCAGTCTGAAATGCATTTTAAATCAATGTCAGGCTGGCTGCAAAATTGATGTCGCCAACTTCATAGTAACTCCAGCTGTCCCACAGTCCCGGGAGTACCTATCCCAATTACATATGATAAAACATAAGAAATGAGCAAAAACAATAATTTTATGCTAGCTGACTGAGATAAGAGACAAAAAAGACAAAATTATAAAACTGCAGAATCGAAAACAATACTCCTAGCCGGAGCCCATACAGGGGAAAAAATCTCCTGGGCATATTATCATGGATGTAAAGAAAATATATATGGATAGAAGCTTTATGTTGCTATATATACCAAAGTGAAACTATTAAATTTTGGTGTCTTCTCTGGAGAATGTTGAAAATCTTTCTTTTTCTTTTGTCTGGCATTTCTGAAGCTATTTTTCTCACATCTGACTTTGGTTAGCCAGTATTTCAAACATTATTATACTGAAAACGTTATTATATTGGAAACTCAAGTAAAATGATTTTGCCTGTAGGTCTCAGATTCCACTCAGAATTCTTTAATTATTAGTAAAGAAGTTTTGATTTTTGCCATATTGAAACCAGTCTCCCTAGTACTTCAAGGATGCAAATATTTTTGGTTTTAATTTCATATCACTAATGTAGTCATCAGAGTTTGCACATTTTGTTATTCACTATTTCCCTGATTGGCGATTACCTGACCAGAAGTGGAAAAGCCCTCCATGAGGTAGTGCTTAACAGCCATTTGCCTGCATGTACAATTTGGCTGAATGTGTTTTTGCTACACTGACAAATCTGAACACAAAGTGATGGCCTGATAATGTCCATTGCCTAATTGGCATCACTTGGAAAGTTGTAGAGAATTTTGATATGCTGGATGATGCTTTAATATTGTTCAAAGTAGAGGGTAAGACCAGGTATGGTGGCTCGCACCTTTAATCCCAGCACTTTGGGAGGCTGAGGTGGGTGGATCACCTGAGATCAGGAGTTTGAGACCAGCCTGGCCAACATGGTAAAACCCTGTCTCTACTAAAAATACAAAAATTAGCCCAGTGTGGTGGTGGACGCCTGTAATCCCAGCTACTTGGGAGGCCGAGGCAGGAGAATCTTTCGAACCGGGAGGCGGAGGTTGCAGTGAGCCAAGATCACACCACTGCACTCCAGCCTGGGCGACAAAGTGAGACTCTGTGTCAAACAAACAAACAAAGTGAGGGGAAAATAAGGTGTTTTTTGTAACCAGACATAAGGGAAAGTAATAAGTAAAAAAATAAGAAAAAATAAAAATGTGACTATCTGAAAAAGAAAGTGTAAGCCAATTTTTCTATCTCTGTCAGTTGCTTGGGAGAAATAGGGTGGGGGAGTGGAAAACAGGATTTATTTTTAATATATTGAGAAGCAACAAAGGGCAATGGTTAAACACTCAGATTGTGGAGCCAGAATTTCTGGGCTTGAATCTTATCTTTGACACTTTTCGCTGTGTCAACAATAGCAAACTGCTTAATCTGAGCTAAGTCTCAGTTACTTAGATCTGAAATGGGGCTAATAATAGTATCTACCTCATAGACCCATTGGGAAGATTGCATGAGATAAACCATGTCTTGATCCTAGTCCAGGGCATGACCCTCTGTAAATGTTAGCTGTTATTATTATTAAATCTCAAGAGTGTGTTGTGGTTATATATGGGAGAGTTCTAAGGAAAACTGTAAAGCCCGACCAAGAGAATATAAAATCAGTTTTGTAGATAAAAGGGATTTGATAAGACAAATGTATGCTGCAAAGGCTACAATGTAAACTTGCTGGAAATAGCTTTAAGAGTGTGGGATCATAACAACCAATTTTAAGTTGGAAGAAAAGTAAGGTTATTATTTTTTAGGTCCAAGTAGAATTGCCTAATCGATTCCATACATGGTGTAAGACTATATGCCTGGCGTCCTTTCCCCAGCTCCATTCGTAGGGGGAGGGTGGGAGATCTAGTAGAAGGTGACTTGGCATACTAAGCAGCTCAATCTGTATATTCATTCTCTCAGGAGATCCTGGTGAGACAAGGAGCTGCAGACAATCCTGGAATGGGGACGCGAGTTTCCATCCAGTCTTCTTAGGCCAGAAAATCTTGAGGCCAGAGCAATGATTCATCACTAGACTATGCTTGCCCTAAAGGGAAGCCTGTACTTTGGTAGTTAAACTGTTTGGTAGAGATGAAGTGGTAATATACAGGTGCACTTACAGTGGGGTAGAGGGGGCAGGTTCCCCTATGGGTTGCAGTTTCCATATCTTTAAAATTGTTATAATCAAAACTTTCTCACTGCTGAGTTATAAAATTAAAAGCTATCACTTGTTTAAAAAACTACCTAGTCCAAAGTTTGGTAGGTAGTAGTCATAACTACAATTGTTAATTCCCTTCCCTTCACCTCTTTTTTCAGTATTTTTTTCCACTATTCTTTTAGATACATTCTTGCTTGTAAATCCCATTGTGGCATTTTGTTGAGAGAATGGTGACTTCTCAATCATTTTTCTTGCCTACTTAGTTCAGTTGATAACCTATTGCTTTTCCCTTGGCATTGTACATTTTCTTTGTCTACTTTCTTGGTCCTGTGATGGATGGTCCTTTTCAGCTCCCTTCTGTGCTCAATATCTTCTATTTGCTCTTTCAGGTCCATTTACTCCCTTCCCTCCTCTGCTCTGCTTTAAGGACTCTGTCAGTGGCCCCATGCTTTCTGGCTTCTGGATGGGTTTGACCAATGGAGAAAGGGAAAACACTGAAAATGAGGAATGTATTTCATCAGCTCCCCTCCTATGGGGTCACCTTGGGCTGGCTGCATTGGTAAGGTGGTCTTCTCTGTCTCCTCATTAGGGTTAACAACCCTGCTCCACTTCCCATCAGACCTAGTGGTAGCTTCTCAGTTACTAGCCCAAGACCTTAATAAATAGCTCCCTTTTAAACTCTCCTCTAATTACCCAATTTAAACCATGCTATCTCTTTCCAACTAAAATCCTGAGACAGCATACTGCCTCTACATTTGGATTCAACCATTCTTGAATGTCATTTTACTGTATTTCAATAAGCACGTATCTTACATTTAGAAAGCTTCAAATTGATAAGAAAAATCAAAGAACATTTAAACATATCTCAATATACATTGCTTTGGTTTCAAGGTTTCACTGATCCAGTTATTAGGTGCTCCAGTGGATGAGTTCCTAATCTGTAAGTACATTTTTTCATGTCTTAGTATAAAAGCTAGAACCTGGCTAATGATATAATATAAATTGTAAAATTTGATGTAAGATTACTTCCTTTCACGATTTCTTGTTTAGAAAATAGTGGCTGATTGTCAATGAACTTTATAAATAAGATGCTCCCAGGTATAAATCTCTGGGATAGAATTATGGTGAGGTTTTATGTTCTGTGTGTATATATTTAAATATACAGTAAATTTATATCACTAACCCAAACACTAGATAAAATGATAGGTTATTTTAGTGCATTCTAAATGAAATAGCTACTATTGAAAATTTTTATTACTTAAAATTCTAAAGATTTGAAATTAAGAGCTGAGTAGAAGTGTATTCAAGAATATAAAACATACAAAGAAAAGATGTTTATCAGAAATTAAATGTCCTTTTTAGAACTAAAAACATAGCTTCCATTTGACCCAGTAATCCCATTACTAGGTATATACCCAGAGGAAATTAAGTCATTCTACCAAAAAGACATATGCACACATATGTTCACTGCCACACTATTCACAATAGTAAAGACATGGAATCCACCTAGGTGCCCACCAATGATGAGTTGGATAAAGCAAATGTGGTATATATACACAATGGAATACTATGCAGCCATAAAAAAGAGTGAAATAATGTCCTCTGCAGCAATATACATGCAGCTGGAGACCATAATCATAAGTGAGTCAATGCAGGAACAGGAAACCAAATATCACATATTCTTAGTTATAAGTAAAAGCATGAGTTGAACAACCACCTGTTGGGTACTCACTACCTGGGTGACAGAATCCATACCCCAAACCTCAGCATCACACAAAATATCCATGTAACAAACCTACACAAGTACCCCTGTATTTAAAATAAAAGTTGAAATTTAAAAAAAGAATTGAAATATAACTTTTAGGCTGGGTGCAGTGGCTCACGCCTGTAATCCCAGCACTTTGGGAGGCCGAGGCAGGTGGATCATCTGAGGTAAGGAGTTCGAGACCACCCTGGCCAACATGGTGAAACCCCGTCTTTACTAAAAATACAAAAGGTAGCCTGGCATGGTGGTGCATGCCTGTAATCCCTGCTACTAGGGGGTGCTGAGGCAGGAGAATTGCTTGAACCTGGGAGGCAAATGTTGCAGTGAGCCGAGATCATGCCACTGCACTCTAGCCCGGGTGACAGAGCCAGACCCCATCTCAAAACAAACAAAAAAAAGAAGACGTGAAATATCTTTTAAAAATTAAATCTGTTTTTCACATCTGAGAAAAATCAAATGGACTTTAGCAAATACTTTACAAGCACGGTATAAGAAAATGTAAGTGATATAATGGTCAATTATGAGACGGACATAATATTTTCTCTTATTTTTGGGTGGTCTGTTAAAATTCAGAGTTCTGTGTTACACTACAGCACATGTTTTAGGAGTACTATTAGATGTGTGCTATAGTTGCTAATTAGTACTGGTAGTTCCTCAATTTGTAGTCAATAGTACACTAGATATTGGATCAGAAAAAATCTGACATGCACTGATACGTGCACTCAAAAAGCAAAAACTAAATATGTTTCTATGTTTCTAGAGAATTTTTTAAAAGATTACTTTGGTTCATAAGTATTCTCTGGGAAACATAAATGTGAAAACAGAATTTAACTTTCTGGTGTACAAATAACTTTCTGCTTGTATGATGCCAAATAACATCGATATAGAAAATTTTCTGTAAAAATTCCAGTTTGTCCAAATGCTATTTTATTCCAAGTATAGTACAGCAAATGTAATGATAGTTGTGTTAATTATATGTTACATTCATGTAACACATATAATACATGATGTATTACAAATATGTATGTGTATGTGTGAATGTGTATATATGTACACACATATATATTCTATTTATTGATTTACTCAAGAAATATTTGTTGAGAGACATGGTCTCTGTCCTCATGGACATTACATGTAATTAAGCATTTGTTATATATTTGAGTAATTTTCTCCATAAAGAACACTAGTATTTAGGACTATTTAGAAACATAAATAGGAAAATGAATGAAATATTGTTAATTGAGGTCTTTTAAAAACAGTGGATTTTCTCTTAGGTTTAGAAAATAACTAATCTCACATAAATCCAAATATTAGATCTCAAGATATCTTTTTCTCATTCCTACTTTTAATGTTAGTAAAAGTTAAACTGGGCCTGGTGCGGTGGCTCATGCCTGTAATCCCACCACTTTGGGAGGCTGAGGTGGGTGGATCACCTGAGGTCAGGAGTTCAAGACCAACATGGAGAAACCCTGTCTCTACTAAAAATACAAAATTAGCCAGGCGTAGTGGCACATGTCTGTAATCCCAGCTACTTGGAAGGCTGAGGCAGGAGAATCGCTTGAACCGGGAGGCGGAGGTTGCGGTGAGCCGAGATGGCGCCATTGCACTCCAGCCTGGGCAACAAGAGCGAAATTCTGTCTCCAAATAAATAAATTAATTAATTAAATAAAATAAAAGTTAAACTTTCTCTGATCCTCATTTTATAATTTTAGGGATATATTTTAACCATACTGTTAAGTTATTATAACCTACAAATTATAGCATTTGATCTTATTTAGATGTCATTCAATAATATCTTGGAGGCACTTAGTTTTCATACATACTTGCATTTTTGCTAGGAATTATACTCTTTCTATGTTGCCAGGAAAATGGTTTCATTTTCTAAATACCATGATCTGATCTCTAGTTTTATATATTATGTACAATTTGCAAATTTTAAAAAAATGAATAAATAATACATTGTCTATGGTGTATGTTTAGGGGTTGCTCATGTAGGACCCAAGCAAGGGTATGCATAATGACAAGTTGGCAGTGGGCAATTCGGGGACCCTAATGACCTCCCAAGATAGCTTCAAAGATTTTATTAATTTTACAACCATTGTAAAAACAAATAAGAAAACAATAATGTAAATATAACAATAAAATCTGATAATAAAAATAAAGATAATAAATTATTAATGGCACAATAAAATGAGAATATTGTAGAAAAATGTAATAGAACTAGATACGATATAGCCCATAACCATACATTTAAAAAGGCATTAAATTGCAAGTGTTCCCAGCATGGTCACCCAAGTTGAATATCATGAAATAGATAATGGTTCACTTGATACTTCCTAAAGTTTAGAGAGCAGCAGGGGTAGAAAAATTCATTTGTCATTTGAGCTCTTATGAATGACTAAGAGAAATATGTTCTCATCCACATTCACCAGGCAACTGCAGGAAGAGTGGGAGGCACGTGGTGGAGGCCTGTGACATCCAATGCAAGAACCAAAAGATGTACAGCTGTTGATGAAGGAAGGGAATGCTGTTTAGTGTGGGTGGAGAAACAGTATCTTTGGAAAGAAAGGCCGGATCCTGGCAGGAAGGAAATTCAGATCTCATGTACTGATCCTGAAAATAGTATAGAAGTAACCTGGAGTCTTCATAGAGTTTGTGTTCTGCAATAATCAACCCAACCATGGTTCTTCCTATCCCTCACGGGTATGTTTGCAAAACTACAGTGCCACAAGGAGATGCCTTTGGTTATCAAACGTGGCTGGGCATAACCATGCACAAGTAAGGGAGCACAGACCTGCCCTAAATAATTTTGCTTCATTAACCTGCAGGATTATTTTGAAGTGCTTTAAGGGGAAAAAAACAAGTTACAGGATATAATTGCTGAAAACTTTAACAGAAATTTCATAAAGCCTTTAAAAGATTAAATCATAAAAGAAGATCAGAGAGGACTACTGGGGATTAAAAATTGTTTATAGAAGAAAACACAAAGAATAAGCATCTATGGGCCATTTTCTGTATGATGAAAGGTAAATGGATACCTGAAGGACCAAACTCTGAGTAGAGAGCTTTAGTATGTTTATGACCTATGAGGGAAAGGATTGCAAACCCTGCTAGTGATACAAGGTTATTTAGATTGAAGATGAATAAAAACTCAGAACCTAATTTCAGATTAAAAGAAGATTTTTCAAATTCTTAACATACGTAAAGAGCTTTAAAAACCTTGACATGAGAGTGCATATATGTAAGAATAATTTCATTGCTTACTCCATTCAGTAGTTATTATATTCAATCTCATGTAGGCCAGCATTTTAGTCACCGGCCAAGAAATTTCTGTAAAGTTTGTGAGATGCAGAAATCCCTGGGATGTATTTTATTGGGTGCTTTAAATGTACTGTATAAAGCATTAGTGAGGAGAAATTATAAAAATTATAACACAATAACCCTTTCATTTTTAAAATGAGTTATCTGTATATTAAGTGCTGATGGTGTAAGTTAAAGGCACATAGGGAGAGCTTAAATATATGAGTAGGGCACAAAATGCATACTCTTATTTTCCATTTTCTCTGGCCACTTTCAGGCACAATACATATCAATTAACTTTCTAATCCATTAATAAGGATGGTTTCTCACCTGCACGTGCTCAAATGGAAGTCTAGAAATATCCCAGTTCAAGACTGCAGTGGGTTGTTATCTTGCCTTTTTCCTTTAGTTTATGATTTATTGCTGAAATGAAGCCATACTGTGTCTAGTGTAACTGTACACTTTATTTGAGGGTGTAGAATTATTATATCTTAATAAAAAAGGTTTTTCTGTTTATGTACTTTGTGACATAGGTGAATTTACCCAGAAAACTTATAATAAGAAAACTGCACAAGTTACTGGGCGTCTGAAGATGTCAGGAGGCATCATGGAATTTTTAATGTGCTGGAAAGTAAAAGAACCACTTGCTGAGTTTAAGTAAGCCCTATAATATCTATCCCATGCCAGAGCTAACTTCTGAGAGTAAAGTACTTGTATTCATCAGAAACCTAAAATGGGTGAAAATGAACCAAGACCATGGAATCTTCATATGAAATAGTGTTACCATGAGCAAATGATGAAAGAATTCTTTAATGTGCAACCACTCAGACACTTCTGCCAGTAGTTATAGAAGAGAAACTGAAGAAATCATGTCACACTCTGAAAATATAAATAAATTATAAAAAAGAAAAAAAAGAAGTAAGCTAAGAGAAAAAAGAGCTGGGGACTAGTACTTTTTAAGGTTTAAGTTTAGGAGCTAAGCCTTGTCAGTTTTTATTGGTTAATAAGATTGAGGGAATAGGTGGCAAGTACAGACGGTAAAGAGACTATATTTTGGGTACAACCCTAACGGCCTTCAAAGTGTATATCTTTTTTGCGATTCTTTCCTAGAATGTTTTGTCTTACTTGACAGTGTCTCAGAGGATTTAGTCCACTCTTCCAACTTTAACTTCCACCTACATCCTGATGACATCTAAATAAATATTTCCAGCCCCAATATCTCCCAGAAGTTCTAGATGTGAATTTCCAAATGTCTACTTTACATGTGCCTCCAGATGCTTTACAGGCATCTCAGACTCAACCTGTTTGTTGCTTCCTGTTCTTTCTATTTTGGCGCTCCGTGTGTTCATTGTCTTAGCTGATGCATCACTGTACACCCAACTACCCAAGCTAAAAGTGTGAAAGTCAAGCTTGTCTCCTCTCCCTTCTATCTCCCTAAATCCAGTCCATCAGAAAAACTTTTCAATTATATTTCCCAAATATTTTACTAAGCCCACGTCCTCTCTTTTTTTCTGACAATATTGCTCTAGTTGGGATCTTTATCATTTATCTTCCAGATAATGCCATAGTTGCCACTTAACTGCATTGAGGCTGTCCTCTTCTCTAATCTGTATTAGACATAACTCTCAGTAATATTTCTTAAATTGATACATACATGTCCCCACCCATTCTCCTCAAAATCTTTACATTGTTCCCAAATTTCTAAACAAGTTGTCCAAACTCCTTATCTTGTACCGTATCCACCAGCAACACTGGATTCAGTGGTTATTCCATGAGTAAGCCGTGATTTTATGCTTCCTTTTCTTACTCAAGAAATTCCCTGTTTACAATTACCTTCTGTCCAATTTCTTCTCATGGAGCTTACAAAACTTCTTGTTATCCTTTAATTCCCCAATTAAATACCACATCTTCTGTCAGACTTTTCTGACTCTTTTGTGCAATTATTATTATTATTTGAGATGGATTCTCGCTCTGTCACCCAGGCTGGAGTGCAGTGGTGCAATCTCGGCTCACTGCAACCTCTGCCTCTCTGGTGCAAGCTATTCTCCTGCCTCAGCCTCCCACATCGCTGGGATTACAGGTGCCTGCCACGCCCGGCTAATTTTTGTGTTTTTAGTAGGGAGGGGGTTTTGCCGTGTTGGCCAGGCTGGTCTCGAACTCCTGACCTCAGGTGATCTGCCCACCTCAGCCTCCCAAAGTGCTGGGATTACAGGTGTAAGCCACCGTCCCTGGCCTCTTTTGTGCAATTATTTATTCTTCTGGGCTTACTTAATTTACTTACTGCCTCTATTAAAACATGAACCAAATTGTATTAAAAGACTTTTTAAATGGTTTGTTTATGTGTATATTCTTACCTGCTTCATTATTTCTTTTTAACTTATTCTTTAATTCCACTCTTTTCCTTTTATGAGACTGCAAGATACTTGAAGATGACACCTTTGTATAACTAGTGCCATATATAGGATTCAACACATAGCAGGGTCTCAGTAAATGTTTGATGAGTGAACTAATCTTATAATGAGAGGAAGATGTGAAAATAAGGGCCTGAGAGATTTAAGTAGCTCCTGTGGACTATGGCAAAAGTCATTGAATAAGAAGAAGTAAAATGATTTCTAAATAGTATTGAAGGTTTAGCTGAGACTGGAAACCATATCTTTATTAAGGGTCTAGTCAGCAGGTGCACTGCTGTAGGCAAGGCAGTGCAAGGAAGAAGAGAAGAGAGTTTAAGCTTATGTTGACAACAATATGGATGAAATAATTGTCCCAGAGGTCTCAGACAGTAGTTGATAAATGAAGCAACATTGAACAATTGATCAAGGTGAGCCTGAGACCATGAGCGTTGGTCTCAACCATGGTTCTGAGACCAGGAACACAAGTAATGTTCTAGGATAATAATCACATAATTTCCAAGTTTCTCATAAAATATATGGGGATGTTAGTATTATAAAACTGGTGGCAGAAATACCAGAGAAAAACTCGCTTTGGGTCTGGATTTCTGACTATTGAACTGAGTAAATTTATAGGTGGTCAGGAGCAGCATGGAAATTGTAATTCAAAGGGAAAGAATGAGCTACAGGATCCAATTGGAAGTAAATGTTACTACTTTCTGGCCTTATTATTTTCCGTCTGCTGGATGTTTGTGATAGGCATAAATTTTTTTTCATAAAAATAGCTAACTTTTCTTTACCTACTTAACTGTCCATCTACTATTCCATTTCTTTCCTTATCTTTATAGCAAAACTCCTTGAAAAAATTTTACTCATTTTCTCTACTTTCTCTTTTCCATTGTCCCTTGATCCCAAGATTTTGCTCCTATGACTCCATTGAAACTCATCTTTTCAACTTCACTAAAGATCTCTAAGTTACTACATCTAACTCATAATTCTTGGTCCTCCTCTTAACTGGCTTATTGGCATCATGATGAAATTGATCACTTCTTCTTCCTTAAAATGTTTATTTTTCACTTGACTTCCAGGACTCCTCATTTCTTTGTTTTCCTTCAGTTTAATTGGCTGTTTCTTCCCAGTTTTCTATGTTGGTTACTGGTTTCTATTACAGACTATTGGGCACCCCAGGGAACAGCCCTTAGATATGTTCTTTCTTTCTCTTTCTCCCTCTCTCATTACACTATGCTCACTTCCTAGTTTACCTTATCTACTCTTGTGGCTGTAATTCATATTTATCATGGATAATTCCCAAGTGTATGTTTTCAGATTGAGTATCTCTTTTAACTCTAGACTCAACTGAGCACTTTACATTTCAACTCGGATGGGCAATTGACATCTCACACCTAATACATCCAAAACCACATGCCTAATCTTTCTTTTCAACCTGCTCTTCCTGCAATAGTTTTCATCTCAGTTAATGGTAATTCTGTTCTTCTAGTTGCTTAGGTTAAAGTTGTTGAATAATCTTTGACCTACCTCTTCTTCTCACACCCCACATTTAATCTTATTGCAAAACCTATTAGCCATACTTGTCAAATACATCTCAAGCATGATGACTTTTACCATCCCTCCACTCTCTTTTCTGACCAAAGCTCCCAACGTCTTCCATCTAATACATTGCAGTGGCCTTATAAATGGTTTCTTGGCTTATTTTGAACTATATGCAGTATAGCAGCCAAGTAAGCCTGTATAAATGACAATCAAAAAGCCTAATAGCCCTGTGCCCCAAACCATCCAATAGCACTTTTTCTATCCCTTGAATTCCCCTTCTGGTTTTGTCTAACATGATTCTTGCCCTCACTGTGCCTCTTGGCCTCACTCTGGCCTCATTAGGGTTCTTCAGACATACCAGGCAAACTCTTGCCTCACTGCTTTGATACTTACAGTTTCCTTTGCCTAGAATGTTCTTCTTTAACAAACACAAATAATTCAATCTCTGACTTCTTCAACTTCACCTTCCCAGTGAGGCATCCCCTGGCTACCTGTATTAGTCAGTTCTCACACCACTAATAAAGACATAACCAAGACTGGGTAATTTATAAAGGAAGAGGTTTAATAAACTCACAGTTTCACGTGGCTGGGGAGCTTCACAATCATGGCTGAAGGCAAAAAAGAAGCAAAGTCACGTCTTACGTAGTGGCAGGCAAGGTAGTGTGTGCAGGGGAACTCCCCTTTATAAAACCCTCAGATCTTCTGAAACTTATTTGCTATCACGAGAACAACACAGGAAATACCCGCCTCCATGATTCAATTACCTCCCACCGGGTCCTTCCCTTGACACCTGAGAATTATGGGAGCTACAATTCAAGATGAAATTTGGGTGGGGGCACAGCAAAACCATATCACTACTTGATCTAAAATTCGAAAACTTCCCATTTCTCCTCCTCTCTCTTCCATTTTTTTCCCTTAGCACATTTCTATTTAACAAGACTTAGCATTTTCTAAGAGCAAATCACTGTCCTAAACACTGATGAAATACTAACTTTTTAAATAATAATAACAATGCTTTGAACTCAACATCATTAGTTCCATTTTACAGATGAGAAAAGTGAAACCCAGAGAGGTTAAATGACTTGCCCAATGTCAAGATGGATTCAAACTCTGTAGGTTGTGCTCTTAACTATCACATTAGGCAGTCTCTCACCATGCAAACACTTCATACAAGTTACTTTTTGAATTTTTGGAATTTCTGTCTCCTTGACTAGAATGTAAGCTCTATGAAGGCAGGATTTGTGCCAGTTTTCTTCAGTTCCGTAGTACCAGCACCTAGAATAATGTCTGGCACATATTAAATATTCAATAAATATCAGTTGCATGACTGAATGAATGAGTGACTGAATAAAGAGTTTCTGTCTTTATGAGACTAATCATACTTAACTAAGGAAACATAAAGTCCATGAAGTATTTAGCTCAAAGTGAAGTGCTAAATTGCAGGTTACTGTGTGCGCAGGGACTGACCACTCTATGGACAATTTGTTGCTGCTGCATATGATAAATTGGTGTAGGAAAGAATTGGTTGGATTCTGAGTATAATGTGAATTTTGAGAAGGAAGAGGAAGCTTTCTGTGGGCAGGAGAAGCTTCATTCATCTCTTGATATTTGGTACTGAATCTCTCCTTTCTCTTCATAGCAAGCTCCTTGGAAGAATAATCCATGCTGCCTCCACGTTCTTGCCTCTCACTCTTTCTTCCGTGCTTTGCAATAGGGCTTCCATATGCATAATTCAATGGAAATTGCAACAACAAAGGCCAGTGGTATTTTTAACCATCAATTGCAGTGGCACTCTAAATTTCTCATTTTAATTAACTTGCCTGTGGTATTTGACCAGATCATTGTTTCTCCAATTTTGAAACTCATTTGATTTTCATATAACTCATTGACAATTTATTTGAGTCTTTTGTGAGTTCTTTCTATGTGTAGCTATTCTTCTCATTTTACTAGTTCACTGTAGGTAATTTCTTCTCCCAATATTTTAACTAACATTTAAATGATTTTGACATTCATACTCAAGGTGTTCAAAATTTGCTTTATTTATCTTTGCTTCAAAACAATCTCTCTTAATGTACTCTAAGTTTTGGTCACTGGACCATCCTCCAAGCTAGATATATAGTGGTTACTTTAGAGTCTTCTCTCTCCTCCCTCATATATCTATATATGGTCGGTAATTAGGCCCTGTTGATTTATTGTCTCAACTATATCTTGTTTTGGTACATACCTCTTTGTTCTTTAGTATAGGCATTTAGAATCTTTTCTCTGGACTCCTACAGTAGTTTCCTACTTTGCTTCTCTTCTACCACTACAACCTGTCCAGTTCAACTTTCTTGTCACTACCAGCTTTAATTTTCTAACCTCAAGTTAGAGCATATTATTCCATTAGTTAAAGAAATTATTGATTCCTCATGTACTTTAAAGAGTTTTTGATAAATGGCTTGTTCATGATCTGGCCCCCTACATACCTCCACAGGCTTATTTAACATTAAATCTGATATTTAATTGCTGGAACCACTAACAATTCCTTAAATAGAGTATATGTTTTTCATCTCTCTGGATCTTTAATCTATGCTTATAAAGCTGTTCACATTTTTGGTCTCAAATGAATTTGATCAAGCACAGGGTTCTTAATTTCTCCAGACAATTGTTTTGAGTCTTTCCTTTATGCCTTATGTATCTTGTACCTACCATTTCTACAAGAGTGGTCATTTTCATGAATGTTTGTCAGTTTTATTATAGGTATATAGACAATAAAGACCATGTACCCACACAGTGCATGGAGTACTATATTAAATGAATAAATGCCAAAGACTATGTATCTATTTTACTGGTAAAATTGTGGAGGGTATCTGTATTGGAAAGTATGAGGAAGTAGTCTTAGAGACACGGTGTAAGGGATGCTTTCAGAAGTCCTTGAAATCACATTTTTTTTTAAACAGTAAGTATTCATTTTATGTAGACATGATATTTTGAAGATGATATGGCAGTGGAGTGCATAATGAAACTGAGAGAATATAAAGTTTGATGTCCCAGTAGAAAAATATTAAAGTAATAAAACTGTAGATTGATGAAAAATAAAAAAATTAAAATGCTATAAAAATTGAAGAATGAAAGGATGGGAATTGTCATCACGATGAAAAAGAAGAAACAGGTAAACATTACTGTGGGTTTTTAGCTTGAGATAATAGAGAATTAGTGGGATTAGTAAGATGCCAAAGATTTTTTGATATGGAAAGTCATTCCGGAAAGAGAGAGAAAATATGGACAATGATAGGAAGAGGCTAAGAAAACTGGAAAAAAAAGGGTGAGGAGGAGGGAGTGTGAGAAAAGAGTGTTTGACTGATGGGGAGAGTGAGAAAGGGAATGGACAAATGCAGTGCCGTGAGCTCACATGTTGTATAGGACATAGGGCAGAAATTATGAGACTAGATTTCTGGCTTAGTACCTTACCTTAACTATCCGGATGGCCTTTAGCACTCATTTAATCACTCTGATGCGGACTCTCATGCTAATTATGAGGCTTGGCTTTTATGAAGCTTACACATCTGTTGTTAAGTCAGTTTTGAACTTGTTGGGTTGGAGGAAAACATGGGAAAGCCATGCATGGATATTCTGTAGCATTAGTGAATTGAAGGTTTGCTCAAGTATAAGTCAGAGCCGGAGATGGAGAGTTGAGAGCCAAGGTAGAGACTGTGATGTATTCTCTGAAATCCATTTCCATTTCCTCTTTGGTATATCTTGACCTCATACTTCAGTCTCCCTTCCAGTTAAGTGTAATCGTATCACTGAGTTATGGCCAATGTAATGTAGGAACAAAGTGATGGGTGCAACTTTCAGACTGGGTCCTAGAAACAAAAATAAAAACAAAAGAGACACAAAACTCTTGCATAATTTTTAAGCTCACTCTCTCTCTCTATCATCTATTAACCAGAACACAGAAGATCTAGTGAAGGATCCTGAGGTTCTCATGGGTGGAATGGGGCAATTGCAGAAGTGCTGCCCCAGGAGGCAACTGATAAGGAACACATGGGTGGGATCAGCACATGAGCAATCCAAAAACGTAGCAATTGGTCTTTCATGAGTAACACAGACATCATACACAGAGAAGGTATAGTTGAAGATAGTGATTTAAATCATTGAAAAACTCAAAAGATTAAAGAATAGAGAACTAAGGGCAGAGTCCTGGGACACACAATTGAAGAATGCAAAAGATAGAATGTAAATCAATGAGAGGAAAGTAGCAAAACAATTTAAGATGGTTCACTATCACTGAAATCAAGGCAGAAAAGAATCTCAAGAAAGGAATAGGTTAAGATCAGTGAGAATGTGCCACTTAGAATGACTAGAAACAGGTTAGTGCTACATTAACTGAACATAATTCGTGGAAGTTTAAAACAGGAGTAACCTGAGCCTCTTTGAAGATGGAAACATAAGAGCCAGTAAGAACAGGTGAATTGAAGAAGCTAGGGAGAGGTCCATGGAGTTAAATTATCACAGAAAGTGGGAATGAGTGTTTTACAGTACAGGTAAATGGAGTAAATTAAGAGAGGAAGAGAGAAACTGTCTTTGAAGGGAAAGATGAGAGAGCAGAGAACCACCCTGACACAAAAACATGTTTTTTGTTTTATTTCTTCAAGATAATAAAGAAACAATGTTCTGGCTGAACTTGAGAATGCAAAAAATATTCACAGAGGTTATTATGGATTGGAGCTATGCTGTGGAAAGATGATGTGAGAATTCTAAAATCTTGGTGTGACTTCTGGTACTTTCTAATACAAATAGAATCAAGGAAGAAGAAAAATCTACATGTGCCATAATATATTTTGGGACCATTTAAAATCCATCCATCTCTTCTAATTCTACTTAGACAACTGATTTAATTTGGGTAGCTGTACCAGTATGGAGAATTGTGGACAAATAACACAAAAGACATTTTTCTTTTTTATGAAATGAGAAGTCTAACCAATGACAGTAACAAGAAGAGCAATTCTTAAGTCCTCTTATTCAAGTACAATAAATTAGTAAAAGATTATTGGCCATGTTTATGATTTACTGTTCTATTTTTGTTTTGGGAAGACGTCTTGAATAGGCTTCTAGTAAGACTAGGAAAATAAAGTACATGGTAAAGAAATGGTAGAATCAGTCACATTTGGTCTCTGTCTCTGATACTTAGTTCATCACATGTCAATTCACTGATCACCAAGGTCCACTCAAGTCATAAAAAATTCTGTAATTCTACAAATATAGTACTTCTTGTTGATGCAAATCCGTTGAAAAGATTACTACATCAGAGAAAAATAGGTAAGCAGGTGACCATTCTCTGATGTTAGAGGAGAGAAGTAAAATATGGCATATTTTTTAGACTAAGATTAGCATGAGCATTGGTAAAGTCCCCTCTTCTTCCATTCCCCAAGACAAAAACTAAAGAATACTTCATCCAAATCTTTTTTTATGAATTAAAAACATTAAAAAAATTTGTGGAGATAGAGTCTCACTATGTTACCCAGGCTTGTCTTAAACTCCTGGCCTCAATCAGTCCTCCTGCTTAGCCCTCCCCAAATGCTGGAGTTACAGGGGTGAGTCACCATGGCTGGCCTCCTTTACATCTTAAAATAGCTAGCAACATCCTAAATGCTAATCTTGATTCTGCAACTGTTGTATTTCAATTTCTCTTGTTTCTACTGAATGACGTTTACAAAAGTGCTGTACAGAGGAACAACATAAGTTCTCTGTTTATAGACAAGGAGCAATGTGATAAATGCTGTCACATTTGTTTTCTAAGTAACTCCTGCAGTGGCTTGAGTGATTATACAATTTGTGTGCAAGCTTTAGAACTAATAGTATTGGTATTCATAATATAGCAGAATGTCTACTTAAAGTCTAATAGGATTTCCAGTAAAATTTTCATGGCATAAGGACTGTCTCAGAAATAGACTCTTCTTTTCCTATAAGCTAGCTATGTCAACTCCAAGACTCCTTCTTGTCTATATGGAGGTCATAATGCCCTGGTGCAAATTGGAATTCTAGCTGTAATCAGTTAACATAACCGTTACAATTCATTTAAGAAAAATATTGCCTAACCTAAGAAAAGGAGCATGTTGCTAAGAAATTCTGTAACAATTAGCAATTGTAACCTTGTGATTTATTAAATAAATATCTTACATGATTTGTCTCAGCAATAAAAGTGTGTCAAGTCAGGGAAAACTGTGAAGAGGATGACTTTAGCCTTGATCACCTTGTTTTATTCTTTCTGTTATTTTGAGAAAATGAAATAAATCCTGGTAGGAATAGATCAAAAGGTTATAGACAGGAGGTAGCATCATTGTCTTTCCTGATTAGTCTATAAGGACAATTAAGCAAGAACTATAAGTCATAATTTTTTTTTCTGTCTATTTTTGGGGGTAAGATATGACATCCTCTATAGTCACAATCCTTTTGAATGCTATTTTACATGTCGAGATGCCTAAGGTCTCTTACTAATTGGAATACCTTTGCAGGGGACTCATGTTGGGATGACACCTCTCACTGAGGGAGACCGTGTGGAGTATAAGACAAGCAATGAGATACTTTTTACACTTCTATAATTTCTATGTACATTTTAAGTTTTGCATAAGTCAATTAACTCTCTCACCCATTACTAAGCATTGTCCAGATCTTCCCCTATTTTTAGATTGTGCTTCATATCTGAAATTGTAAATAATGCACAAAGTGGTGGCTACCTACCATGAGTCTGTCTTTTGGCCTAGTGACCAGAGACCCACATGGGCAAAATATAGGATTTTTTTTGTTCTACTGTAATTTACTAAAGCATAACCATAGAAAGGGAACACTTCTGTTTTCTAAAGGTGTTTAGACCGGTCTGAGTGGTTTCATTTCAATATTTTAAAGTAGAAAAAACATTGGTTTGGATTTAGGATATCTGGATTCAAATCTCAGCTCCATTATGTAAGAGCCAGGCAAGTTACTCTCTTAGTCTATTCCTGTTCTTATTAAAAAAAACCTTAGGCATTTATAAAAACAAAAATTTATTCCTCACAATTCTGAAAGCCAGGAAGTTCAAGATCAGGGCACTAGCAGTTTTGGTATCTGGTGAGGGATCTTTGTTTCCAATATGATACCCTATTGATATGTCCTCATATAGTGGAAGGGCAAAAGGAAAGAACTCACTTCCTGAGGTCCTTTTATAAAGGCACTGATCCCCTCCGTGAGCATGGAAGGCTCAATCACCTTTTAACAACCTCACTTCTTCATATGGTTGTACTGGGAATTCAGTTTCAACATGAATTTTGGAGGAACACAAACATTCAAATCATACCAGTCACTTAATCTGCCCATCTCAGTTTTCTCACCTGTAATATAAGGAATTAATAGTAGCTAACCCTTATAATTAAGGAGATTCAAGAAGGAAATTTATAGAAATTAATTTAGCACCATCCACTCATCTGGAAGATGTTCAATCTGAATCCTGGGGAAGAGTAAACAAGCCACTTTCTAAAGAATATATAAAGACCTGGCTTTGCTGAGACTCAGGCACAGTTGGTATGACAGCGGGGGGCTAGCTGAGACAGCTGAAGGAAGGGTAGTCTCTAGGAAATGGATGGGAAATGCTGAGGCCAAAGTGGAAGCCACAGGCAGAATCCAGGCAGGGCTGATTCAATGGGAACAACCTCAAACCAGGCAGTGAGGCATAGTTGGAAGAAAACAACAGGATTTGGACTAGGAGCTTGAATGCAGCTCATAATTGCATCTGTTCGGTAGATCTCTAAAGATACAGAGTTGTCACTTATGATTGAGGATGGGCCTTTCTAATCTTTTAGTTATGAACACCTTTCCTGGTGTGAAGAGGTTTAAGGCTAGTGGATTTAGGCTGTGCAGAGAGAGAGAAATGTGGTCTTGCCAGCACTAATAATAGTAAGGGCATAAACACCGAGTGGTTTTCCCAATTCATGCAGGCTGTCTGGCTCTCCTCATTTCTGCAGGATCTTATGTAACAGAGATTTTCGAATTAGAGGAGATTAATTCTAAATTATAAGTAAATGACCCATGAGTCCTCTCTGGAACTTGTTCTTATCCCTAGTATTAAGTGGTGATTGGCTACATCCCAAGAAGCAGTTTCCCAAAAAGGACAAACTTATATATCGGTTTTGGTGTCAGATAAAACTTATTTCAAGTCCAAAATCTACCATATATTAGCTGCAACCTTGGTAAATTTATTTGGATTTTAACAGTAAAATGGGGAGATGGATCCTCACCTTATTATTAGGATTGAGTAAACCTTATTATTAGGATTGTGATGTTTCTGACACTTAGTGTACATCAGTAAGTATTAACGATTACAATTTTGAAAGTGGAATAAACATATGAAAACAATGACTACTAGTTTAATTAGGTATTTTCTTTCTTTTTTAAAATTCTACAGATTAGGCCTGGGTAGGATGTGGACATTCCCAGAGAAGGACCATACTTTCCCCATTATTCAGTGTTTATTACTTCATGATGTTTCATATGTTGTCTCAATTACATTTCCATTTGCCTTTGATCACTTTGTGTACTGGGTACAAATGTATTTGTAGAGCTAAATTTTATTTGTCACTGCCAACATTGTCTCAATATATTTTTCAATGCTATTAACATTGCTTATTAATGAAAAGATGGATGGGTAATAATGATAAGAGGAAGTTTTACTGATGCATTTGCTTTCCTCTTTTCCTTTCTTCCTTCAGAAGTTTCTTAAGCATTCCTATCAGCATGAAATAGGTAAGGATCCTCCTGGGCACAGTGTAATTCTTGTGGATAAATGGTATATATCAAGAAATCTGTTGACTTATCATGTAGTGACAGCCATTCAACTACCTTTCTCCCGACTGTGGAGAGTCACTGGCTGAATCATCAGAAGTTGATTAATAGTCAAAAAAGAAGAATCTGCTAGGATGTAGGAAATAGGCGCTCTCATACACACTGCAGCTGAGGATGAAATTGGTTCAATTTTTTTTACAAAGGAGCATTTAGCATGAATACATACAATCTTAAGTTAAGGTTGCTCTTTGACCTAACAATTGCACAGTTACGAAATAATTCTAGACACATAATCAGATAAATGTGCAAATATGTATGTACAAGGATGTTCACTGCAGCGTTGTTTATAATAAGGAAAAATTAGAAACTGCCTAAATGGTCAGTAAAGCAGGCCTGGTAATGATACTGTTATAAGACAGAATAATGTGGGCATGTTTTCAAATGCTATAAAAACTTCATAATGATATAAAAAATTTTCATAAATATCCATAACATCAAGTGAATAAAAGCAAAGCAGAAAGTTGTATGTTTAGGTAACATTCTGCATTTGTAATAAAATATTTATGTTTATATACTTAGAAAAAACTATAGGAATACGTATCAAAAGGCACAAGAATTGTGCTAGTGTGTTGGTGCTATCATAGGTGATCTTATTTTCTTCTTAAACTTATCTGTCATAAACATAATTTAGTTTTATAATCACTCAAACATAATTGTAACTTAGAAAGCCTGCCTTTGTGGTGTCAAAGCAGAGGTTTTTATCTCTTTTCTTCACTGCTCTATACCCAATAGCTAGAAGAATGTCTGCCTATATTAGAGGCTCAATAAATCTCTGTTTAATGAATAAATATTCACTGTGTTCTACATTCTCAAGCATTAACAGAGATTGAGCACCTTCTCAGGACAGTTGTGCTAAAATAAATGGGAGCCTAAATGACTCAACTTCCCAAAGGAACCTTCATGTACAGAACAATACCAGAGGTTTAAGGCAATAAATTAATGCTTTAAGATACCCCCAGTTTAATTTACATTATTTGTAGGGTTTAAGGTAGGAGCCAGGTGTCAAAATAGATAACAAATTAATCATCCATTTGTTTATCCATTTATTCAACAGACATTTGTTGCATGCTAATTTCTTATGTTCATTGTGAAAATTGCTGGGAGTATAACAGTAAACAGGTAAAGATCTGCAGTTTAATATTTCATAGTGTTGACTGCCCAACATCTCCCTTTTTATGTTTGGAGAATTTCTCCTCTTATGAGACCTGTATCTTCAAGATAGATGTCAGAAACTTAATTTTCAAACCTTTTCTTTGCAACCAGGGCCCAATAATTTGATTTAGGTTTCTCCCATCAGATATTTCCAAGCAAGATTTTGATTAGGAAACATAGTAGGAAGAAGGAGGCACATTTCAGAATCATTTCCTGGTGAGAATGACAGGGAGAGAGGCAGTATTACATGGGTTCCAACAGTGGCACCATGGGGTCCACACAGGCAGGAAAAACTAAGGTACCTGTTCCTAGCAGCAGTGGAAAACTGTGTCTTGCTGGCAATCTTCCAATGTAATTTGGGTACTGTCCTGGTTGGACAGCCTGCAATAATTCTTTGACCTTCCTAAAGATCCTGTGAAATGCCTAATTATGTCTCACAGTGTGTCTCCCCTTTTACCAGTGATAGAACACCCAATAGAACACTTGCTATGATCTTGCTTTCCACCTCACCGCAGCTGCTTATGCCCACGGTCACATATGTAACGCGCCATTACCAAAACCCCATTTCAAGTGTCCCATTCTTTGATTGCCACTTTCCCCTCCAGGTCACTGCTTCAATTTTTCCCACTCCAGTAACCCCTAGAATGGCTGGTCCTGCTCATTTCACTATCTGTGGCTCCCACTCATGTCCTCACTTTCTTCCTTTGTTGGTTCACTTTGTGGTCCATCACTGTAAGTCATCATTTGCATTCACTCTCAGCTCCCCTGCCATTCTGTTCTGCTATCAAACTCACCTGAGAAGACCCCATTCTGGTTAAATCCAACTCCCCTTCTCCTTCATCCTGGCACCCTAGCAGTTGAATGAGACTGACATAAAATACACTAACATGCTGACTATCTCAAGTTATATCTCACTATGTATATCACACCTTAGTCCTCTCCAGCCAGCCGAATATGGCCGTGTTTCATCAGTTGTCTCTTGCACACTGACATGATTTCTTACGATATCCATCCCCTTTCCTCTCTCCATCTATAAGGTGTTGTGCCACCAGAGATACTGCCTCACTTGCATCTACTCCCAAGTACCCTGTATCCCTGTCTTTTACAGTTGAACTGTCCCTGACCCATAATGCCAGCCCATCGTTTTACAACCTGTATCCCACCTTCAATCACCTATTAAAGGACACGACATTGGGTTTCCTCAATCCTATATCATTACCATTTCCCTCTTAACTGGATCATTCCCACTAGGGTAAAATATGCTGTGATGTGTCATAGTAATATTCTCTGACTTCACTGCCCTCCCCAGTAAATTAACCACTTCTCTGCGCTCTTCTATAGCACACACCCTTAAAAACGTTGTCAGTGTTCATCATTCCCACTTTCCTGCATCTGCAGTCACCTTAGGACAAGCTGCCACCATCAGTTTTCATCTGAACGACTTCTCTGTAGTCTCCCAGCCTCCTCACTGACACACCTACAGGCTCCTCAAAGCAGCTAGAGTGAGTCTTTAAAAGTAGAAATATGGTCAAGTCACTCTTGGCTTAAAAGTTCCCATGCTTTCATTATACTCATGTAAAAGTCAAAAGCCCTTGCCAGAGCTTACAAGAGCTTAGGTTGGCACCAGGCTACTTTTCTGACCTCATCACCTACTCCTCTCACCCTCCTCCAACTGCTGTTCTTCTTTTTCTTTTCTTCAAACATTACAATATGCTTCCACCTCGAAGCTTGTGATTTGCTGTTCCTTCTTCCTTGAATAGTCTTTCCCAGAGCAGTCACATGTCTTCCTCACTCAATTAAGGGTTTTACTTGAATGGTACACTGTCATGGAGGATTTCCCTTCTCCTCTGCAATAGCTGCTCACCACCCCCATCACTCTTTGCTTACCCCAATTTCTTTTTCTTTGTAAAACTTATTACCTCTGCCATATATTATGTGCTTTTTAAAAATTATTTCTCTACTCCCATTAGAATATTATCTCCGTGAGAGTGAGGATGGTGTTTTGATCACTGATATATTCCCAGTGACTAGCGACGTTGAATAAATATTTGTTGAAAGAGTGCCTGGGGTTGTATGAGAGCAGAGGAGAAAACATCATGCTCTTCTTAGGAGGTTCTTCTCTGAGCAGGTGACTCTGGAACTAGTATTGAAAGATGGGAAATATGCCAGGCAACAAGTGAAGGCAAGAGGAGAGAACATTGTGGGAGGGGAAATGATATATTTGGAGGCAGAGAGAAACGGAAATATTAATCTTAGAGAGAAAAGTATTTCCATTACAACTAGAGCCTAGCAGTAGATACAGTAGAGGCGGAGGTAGGGTTTTCAGAGATAAACCTGGAATGGTAGACACTGTAAGTGTGTTAGGCTCTGTCTTCCAAAGTTTAGCAGTGTCACTTTATGAATACTGTACCATTCCAAATATTTTTCCTATATTTTTCATATACTTATATTTTTGAGTATTGGAAAGAAAATTAAGCCACTCTATATTGCTGCGGATGAAATGATGCAGAACTAAAAATCCAATTGCCTAATTTATGTCATCCTCTCTGAAAATGCGTCTAATGCTTCTAGTATTTTCCAGCCTTCACCAAGTGGTGTAGCTTTATATATAAACTATATACATGAGCTAGGTTTATATGAAGTTACAAATCCAAGATCAAGTCACTCTTTATTTGAATAAACAATGTTGACTTGTGTCAATCTCATTCAAGAATATAAATGGGGAGGATGATTTTCATCATATACAGTGTATTTTTAATCCTTTAAGGCTCTGATCAAAGCTATGGATGGTCTATCCAGAAAAATATGCATAAACACACATAAGCAATTTTGAATAAAATTTCAGAAGGTATTAGATGCCAGCCTAAGGTTGTTCATACTTTCCTCATGTCCATTGGCTGGGTTAGTATCCCCTTTTCTGACACATTTTGTGTGTGTGTGTGTGTGTGTGTGTTACACATATGGTGCCTACCAAATTAAAAGAGTGTGAAATGGTTTAACTAAACTTGCCCTGCCCATGTCAGAGACTTTCCTTGGGAGCCAAAATTATTATATATGTGAATGTTCATTTTAAGGGATCAAATACAATCCAAAAGTTGTTACTTTTCAAAATTAAACACTCGTGAAAGATTGCTAGCATGTGATTTAAAAAAATATATGTGATGTCATTATTTATCCCATGTGTGTCTGAATGATTTATAAAAACACTGGATTCTCTAAAGATAAAGATCTAGAAAGCTTTGGAAAATAGTCTCTCAATGAAAAAACAAGATAAGCATATAAGCAGTATTTTAGATTAACTGAATTTAAAACATAGGCCAAATTAGAATACAAGCATGATCACTTAATGATGGGGATACATGCTGAGAATCTGTTGTTGGGGAATTTTGTTGTGTGAACATCATAGAATGTATTTACACAAATCTAAATGGTATAACCTAGTATATATCTAGGCCATAAGGTATAGTCTGTTGCTCTCAGGCTACAACTTGTACAGCATGTTACTGTACTGAATGCCATAGGGAATTGTAACACAATGGTAAGTATTTGTGCATCTAAACATATCTAATAGAAAATATACAGTAAAAATACAGTATTCTAATCTCATGGGACCACAGTCATATACATGGTCTGTCATTGATAGAAACGTTATGTAATGCGTGACTGTATTTCCCAAGTTATTGACCAAGCAGTTAAATGGTGACTTACACTATTTAGTCTCCAAGGTTGACCAATAAACCAAATGTAATGGAGATTTTTATTGGTTACATATTTGGTTGCAAACATTTAAAAACACAACTTGAAAGGCTTAACTCTAGAAAAAGTTTATTGTTTCATATAGAGTTTCTATATAGGATGATACAAGTGTCACAAGAAATTAAAGTTCTTTCTATCTTTCCACTACCACGATTTTGGATCAAGCTAGTCTTGATCCTCAGGCTAGCTTCCCTTAGGTTGCACTCTGACTACCATAGTTCCATAGTCACAACCAGACATGTCAGTATTCAGAGAAATAAAATGACAATCTCTTCTTTGTGCTTCTTTTTCTAAGTCGCTATCCTTAGACTCATGAGACCTGCTTCTTAGATCTACGACCGGAATGGGTCATAGTTCCATCCGTAAACCAATTATTGAAAAGCAGTATGAGTTAACCCGACAGAGTTAAACTATTCAAGATTTACTTCTGAACTGAAAACAGAATTATATTCTGTAAAGTAAAGTATAAATATATGGATAAAATTAGGGCTTCCTTAGTGAGCAAGAAAAGAAAAATTACAGGGAGGCAACCATCAATCTCTCCTACAAGAGTTAAATAGAAACATGAAGAAAAATTTATTTTTTAGAAAAGCAAGTTCATTTAGAGTGTGTGTTTGTAACTTTAGCTTCAGTAGGTGATAGGTGGATGAAAAATGTCAGGAGATTACTAGCTTCATAGAAATTGATCAATATGCTTTGTGCATACAAATGGAAACAGTCATAGTGTTATCAGAAATATCAGTTAATATTTGAGAAGATAGTGTTGTGGTTACCATGAATAAATCATTTATCCTCTGTGAGACTGATTTCCTCATTTGCAAAATGCAGATAAAGCAACTTGCCCTGCCTACCTCATAGAATTTCCTTGGGAGCCAAAATTATTATATATGTAAATATTCATTATAAAGTATAAAATACAATCCAAAAGTTGTTACTTTACAAGAAGGAGGAACATCTACAATGAAATTCATGAGTCAAGCAAGAGTTGTTCCAAATTATCCTTACATATTTTTCCAAAAGTTAAACAAATCCGTGTGATATTTTTGTTTATAGACTATTTCTCTCAAGATTTCAAAACACTTGACATAAATGGTCATTAAATTGCTGTCAGTGAAGTAGTTTACAAGTGCTATTTGTTCCTTGTTTAGAAAAAAAAAAGCCATTTAGAGATCTTGACTTGCACAGGAACAAACAATGTAAAGGTAATGAAACTAGAAATAGAATCATGTTTTTAAATATCTGGCTCAGGTTTTCTTTCTGGAATTTGACCATTTTGACATTAAAAATACATTCTAACATTGTGTCTTAGTTTCTTCTGTCATCTACAACAGTGACTTTAAAACTTTTTAACTGTGAAAGAAAAATTTAACTTTATATTATGAACGACTGCAAACACACACACACTCTTTCACACACACACTCTCTTTCACACACACATGCCACCTGTCTCTACACAAATACATACATATAAAATGGATATGAAAGTATAGGAAAACAGTACATGCTGCTTTATGTGACATTAGCTGTGATATTTAACACTATTACAACCTACTAAATTAATTTTATAACCAACCAATAGGCTATGACTCATACCTTATAAAACACTAGTGTACAAAACAGTGAAAACAGTGGCAATCTAGAGACTTTGGGTTCTGTCCATCCAGCAGAAGTCTGACAGATGTGTTTTGTTAGGCCTGAGCACTGTGTTTATTTATTTGTTGGCTTTTTATAATTAACCCAACTTTCACCTCAGAACTACTGAAAATATCTAAGGCAAGGCTTGAGTGTGCATACTTTGGAATATTCTTACAGTTGAGAACACAACTGTTTACATTTTTCCTGAGTAATTTCATCCAATACCACGGTCTCACCACCAGCACTATCTTACTGGACTGGATGCCCATGTATCATCATACTCAAGATGTACCAAATTGAACTCAAGATTTCCAATCTCATCCAGCTCACCCCTCCCTTTGTCTTCAGTGTCCGCATCCCATACCCGCATTATCTTCCACAACAGTTTCCAGGCTCTACATTTTTTACCTATGGAGGGCATCACCATGAACTCACTTAGCAGTGAGTTAATCTCCCTTTTATTCATCTTTCCTCCATTATGAAATTAATTAACCCTACTTGTTACTTCCACTGTCACAGCCCCTGCCTTAGTTCAGGACCTCATCATTCTTTACCTGGACTGTTGGAGTAGCCTTCTAAGCATGTTTCCTTATCTTTCCTTGTTGTCTTCAAATCAGTTATTGATGCTAGAAGCCAGAAGGATCCTAGGAGGGTTTTTGCTTAAGCAAAAGCTCTTCAGTGTCTGCCTTGCAATAGGATAAAATCTCAACTCTTTTTTTTGGCAGCAAATCAAGAGCAAGGTCCCTATGAGCTGACTTGTAATTGATTTTCCCCATTGTAATCACTGCAGAACCTTTTGGATCCATCTTCAATTTAGCAGGTTCCCAATACATTCCACACTAATTCATGCTTCTGTACCATTGTACATAACTACCCTACAGACAGAGTTCCCTTATTTGATTCCTAGCTCTGGTCTTTTCTTCTCTCAATCAATATTTGCGCATCCTGCCTGATGTTGTGGAGATATACTTGTGTTCTTTATTTTTTTATTTTTTTGAGATGGTGCCTCACTCTGCTGGAGTGCAGTGGCGCGATCTCGGCTCACTGCAACCTGCTCCTCCTGGGTTCAAGCAATTCTCCTGCCTCAGCCTCCCGAGTAGCTGGGATTATAGGCACGTGCCACCATGCCCGGCTAATTTTTGTATTTGTAGTATAGATGGGGTTTCACCATGTTGGCCAGGCTGGTCTCAAACTCCTGACCTCAAGTGATCTGCCCACCTTGGCCTCTCAAAGTGCTGGGATTACAGGTGTAAGCCACTGCGCCCAGCTAATACGCTTGTATTCTAATTCTAAGTCCATGTGAAGGTTAATTTTGTGTATCAACATGACTGGGCTAAGGGATGCCCAGATAGTTGGTGTAACATTATTTCTGGGTATGTCAGTGGGGGTATGTCTGGAAGAGATTAGCATTTGAGTAAGTAGACTGAGTAAAAAAGACCCACCTCCAACAGAGTGGGTGGGTATCATTTAATTCATTGATGGCTCAAAGAGAACAAAAAGGCAGAGGAAGGGCAAATTCTCTCTGTCTCCTTAAGCTGATACATCTTTTGTCCTCATACTTTGAAGTTCCTGGTTCTTGGACTTTCAGACTCAGACTGAATTACGCTACTGTCTTTCCTCATTCTCCAGCCTGTGGAACTTCTGGTCCTCTGTAATAATGTAAGCCAATTACCATAATAAATGTACACACACACACGTGCGCGCACATGCCACACACATATGCACACACACACACACACACATCCTATTGATTCTGTTTCTCTGGAGAACCCTGACTAATATAGTCCGTTAATCTTTTTGTGTGTGTGATTTTATGCAAGATACCTCTCTGCACTTTAGTCTGTCCCTTTGACTTGTAGGAATCTTTTGGGGTTTAGACTAAATACATGTGACATGCACGACACAACTTCTGGGCATCTACGCAGACATTTTCTAACCCTTGATTTCGTGTTTGTAAGTCAAATCTAAGTTTTTTGCATAGCAAAATTAACAAAGTTAAAATATTTTGCTTCAGAGGAAATGACGTATTGTCTAAAAATACACTTTCAAATGTTTGTATATTTATTGACAATCTATGCCAAATCTAGAGGTAATCTGGAGGTAAAAAGTGAATAAACTACTGACACTTTAATCCATATTGTTTTGCATCAATATCACAAACTGTACACATTTTGGGGACATTTGTTTATTTCTAATAATTATAATGACTTGTATAAAATATTTGGTCGCATCATATCTTCTTGTTTTCTTTAGCAGGGAGGTGGGAGTGGGGGGTGGCCTCAAAGGGAAAATATCGAAAACCAACTTAGTTTCGTAACCAAAGCATCACAATGCTTTCAAATGGCTAGGAGTCGATCAATTTGGAGAGGTAGCTAGTCAACTGTAGCATTAATATGACTCACACAAAAAAATCTTTAATAATCTCTGTAAAAGAGTAAATAGAGCTTCAATGAAATTTGGAAACGATGACTTTATTTGTAAGAAGAATCAGAAAAAAATGGACCATGCAGTGTTGGAGCATTAATAAGGCTTGCAGCTTAGTGAGATTTAAGTGTAAAGAGAGACAAACTAATCAGAAACACAGAAATACAATAGGCAGAAATGGCAGCTGAGGTATAGAGAGAGGGCTGCAGGACTCATGGGCAAATCTCTCCTTAGTTTAGAGAGTGCTAGGAGGAGGGTAGCTAAAGACAGGCATTTTAGTTTGCAAAGCTCTTCAGGACGTTATCCTAATCTCACTCTCCTGGGGAAACAGTGCACACAAAACATTTTGCATGGAAAGAGGTGTCTGTATTTTCTGAGGGCAGCCTCTCAGGAAAGAAAGGGAGCTGGCCACTGGATTTATTCTAGATGAATAATAGGAACCAGGGAATAATTGAAGGCATATTAAAATAGTATAAATATCCACAGCAGAGGAAATTTTTATATAGGGTCTAGGGAATTAGAATAAGGAAAAAGGTGAGCAAATTAGCAAAGTCGAATTTTAGTTCTGCTTTTCAGGGAAAAGAACTGGAACTCTGCTATTCAGAAATAAACTGTGAAGAAGAGTGGCCAAAACCTATGACACAGCAGAGGCACTAATTTCTAAACGACAAATCCTAAGATGTACTGCTCTAGACTGATCCTCTGTCAGAACAAGATTAAATGGATAACCGATTTGGTCTTTTCCATCTCTAGCTCCTTTTTATTTCCACATCCATTATTCTATGAATATACAAGAAAGGGAAATATAATATTGTTAAAGCTCAGGTATGATTTATTGACTCACTGTATCTTTTAAGATAGCACATATACTTTGTGTTGTCATACTTGATAGCACATTTTTTCATGAATAATTGTGAATAAACAGACTCATAAACCCTGTTTAAAGTGTCAGTGCATAAGTTACTGCCAGTGGTGTCTTGGGGCTGCATTAACTTACACGTGTAATTTTTCTTCCTTCCTCTTTCTTCTCTCCTCCCTTTTTTAATTAATAGATTTTCTCACTCTTGAGCATTTAGCATCGCCTTGTTTGCTTGATGCAGCTCCCTTTGGGGTTTCGCCTGCGGATGAGGCAGAAGAACCTGGGGAAAGCAGTTTGATGAATCACAGTTTGTTGAAGGCCATTATGGTAGTAGCGATAGAGAAATCGAATATTTGCAAAATGCCAGAGGTGAAGGAATAGGACACACATGATTAAAGTTGCCATAAAATCAAAGCTGTCAAAGCAACAAAAGCCATAAAAAAGAAATATTCTGGCAACGTCAGTCTCCCACACATCCAGGGGAAGCATGTTACTGAAGAAGTCCATTAGGAGTAGAGGAGGGATTTTTTCCCATTGACTATGAAAGCATGCGCTGAACTATAAATGTTCTTTGCCCTAGAAATTTTAGCTGAGACACCTGGGGACTGCAACCTTAAAACATCATTCAGGATACAAATCCTCTCAGCACTGTTGGAAAGGGCTGAAGAAAGGGCAAGGCAGGGTGCAGCGGTGTGGTGTAAAGGGTAAGGTAGGAAGAGTAATTGAGGAAGGAGATGTGAAGACTGGGGCTGACTTTGGATGAGGAATCGTGTAGTGAAAAGCACCTGTGTTGTCCTTTCCTAAAGATGGTATTATCAAGGAGCTGGAAGTATGGAAAAAGCCCTCATTTCCTCCTCAGAATTCACGACTATGGAGCAGATAGAATCTGCTGAGTGGTTCGTGAAATGTGTATTAAGAGAACAAAATGATCGTTCTTCCTACCTGAAGAGATCCAGGTACTTTGGTAGAAGTGGTTGTTTAGAAAGAGAGAAAGCAATTTGTAAAGCTCACAAAGTAATCTAACTATCTAAGGAGGTACCAGGAAAGGGCTACAGTGATTACTCTTGCCGCCCTCAATGGAAAACTCTTGATTGGAAGGTAGAGGCCTAGGATTCAACACAAGTTCTGAAGTTGTGGAAAGGGTTTGAGTGGGAGATCAGAGAAAACTAAAGGAGTACAAAAGAACAAATTTGCAATTTGGTTTAAACAGAAACAAACCGTCTTATAGCTCCCTGCTTGGAAAAAAATATTACACATTTTTTTTTCCTGTCAGGTTACTAGCAGCATCATTTAAAATACTTTTGTATTCAGTAGGTGCTTGCCAAATTTAGCTGCACTCAAACAACCTTCTGGCACCGTGAATCCATGACCACTTTGTAATGAGGAGTCTAGTTTTTTTTTCCAACATGCTTTTTCAGAATCTCCAGTAGGAGCTGTGATGAGGCAGTGAGACAGTGAAGATGCAAAGCTGGGGCAATTGAAAACCCGCTGGTAGTAGATGTGCTCCACTCCTGGAGGGACATCCCAGAGACCGATAAGCAGGAGAGAGAGTTGACAGTCAGGTAGGAGGGACACCAGATAGGTCTAAAAGGCCATCGAGGTCTCAATCTTCTACAAATTATTTTTGTTAATTGCTGTTCAAACGTCCCAGAAAGGTTCCTTTTATTGATACCTAGGGCTACTTGGGGCCACTTGATTACATTCAGCTGTTACAAATAGAGGCCAAAAAATAATGCATACACTTGTCCTGAGGGATTGGCTCTATTCCTGGAATGGAGCTAGTGCTCAGAAGAATTCAGCTGCTATGTCTCCTACTGTCTACACAGCAGTCATGAGAGGCTTGCCACTTAGTGGAAAATTGATCCTGGGAAAGTCACCTACCTAAGATCCCTTATTTGCAGAACGAGAGTACTGGCAACAGATGACCCATAATGCCCCTTCCGGTTGGAAAAACTTTACAGTTTTAAACAGAGAGTTTAAAATAACTTCTCTGTTTTCTCATTTGTAAAATGGGGACATTAAAATTAATCCTTTTTCCCCCAGGGTTATTGTAAACCATTAGCCTGTTGCAAACTTTACAATGTTATGAAATTATAAGAAATCATTATTGTCATCATGATAATCATCATCACCATTATCTCTTTATTTTTAACATTTTCCTGTAAACATGAAAGCTTCCATTTGGGAACACGTTCAATTTCTTTGAATGGATTGAAAGAAAGGCACACAATGTTCTTCTAAATATATTTTGCAAGAGTTTGCTTTAATTTTAAAAAATAAATATCTGAACTCATCTTGCAATAAAAAATACACTTGTGTGATTGTAATCATTTCCATGGTAGCAAATTGGGAGGTCACACAGAAAAGGTCTGAGACTTGACTGCAGGTTCAAGCAGCAGGAGAAGCTGGTTTGAGACCAAATAAGCTCTTATTCAAGTAAAACTGTCGAAAAACACTGCCAAGGGAATACAGAAAATAACTGGGAAAGGAAATTGCTTTTGGAATAAATGTTCTGTTCTTTCAAGTTTGCTCTGGTAGAAAAGTGCCTGTTTGAAGAGACTTAATAGAACCATTAGAGGGACAAAACATGAAATATCTCATGAAATCTTAAAAGGTTTATTTTATAACCATTTTTTCTAAAGGCATATGTGGAGGAAAAAGAAACCAAGGAGATGAAATTTGTACTCTTGTACACAAATGCGTAAGGCTATTTGATGTAGAACAATTACTTGTGTCTAAATCTATTTCAAATATGCTATTTGATATGTGCTTTGCCATGTTTCTTGTTATTATTTATGTATCCTGTGCTACCCATAGGTCTCGACATCAGACTAAAGTGCTTTGTTTTCCTGGACTTGCTCTTTTATAAACCTTTGCAGTTACTCCTAGCTCTTTAATAATCATCAATTGAATTCTCCTCAATTTTAGTAAAAGCTTTTAGCATAACTTTCAACCTGTTATTTATCAGTTACTGAACATCTACTGTGTATCAGGTACTGTTCATTCATTTGTTCAACAAATATTACTTGGCTGCCTGTCCTAGCTATGGGAATAAAAGACTGTATAAGATATAGTCCCTACCCCCAAATAATTTATAATTAGGTGGAATTTAATATCTAGACCATTAAAATATGATAAAAAAGGGTCTGTCTTCTATGAAGAGCAACTAATCCAGTATTTCCTGCAGGATGGATTGAGATTGTTAGAGGTATTCATAATTTGGTTGAGGCATCAAAGACCAGCAGGAATTAGTTCATCCAATGGAGGAGTGAGAAAGGTATCCAAAAAGAGAAGGGTGGGGTATTCCTAGGCTTGGAATGGAAGGAAGATGTATTAATCTTCTACGGCTGCTATGACAGTTTATGAAAGACTTAGTGGCTTAAACAACAGAAATGTATTTTTTCACAGTTTTGGAGGCTGGAAGGCCAAGAGCAAGGTGCTAGCAGAGACTGTTTCTGGTGAGACCTCTTTTCTTGCCTTGCAGATGGCTACTTTTTTGCTGTATCCTCAGAGGGCCTTTCTACTGAGTGCATGCAAACCTGGTGTCTCTGACTTTTCTTGTAAGGACACCAGCCCTTATAAGGGGAGTAAGGCACTCATATGGGGGGAGTAAGGCTCCACTTTTATGACTTCATTTAACTTTCCTTATCTCTTTAAAAGCTCTATCTGCAAACACAGTTACATGGGGGGTTAGGACTTCAACCTACGTATTTAAAGAGTTCAGTCCATAACAGAAAGTAATGAGCTTATTTCAGCAGTTCAGCATCATTTAAGTCTAGTCAGTGAATAAAATAATAGAAAATTTGTAAAACACTTGAATGTCAAGCTATTCATCTAAAGTTAATAAATCACAGGGCACTGGTGAGCCATTTAAAGGTCTGTCCAATGGCCTACTGTGATCAAATTTGCTCTTCATCAGGATCATTCTGGTTGCAGGGTGAAGGATGAATAGAGGTGGGGTCAGTGGCAGAGGCAAGATCAGACACAGAGAGAGTAAGAGTGTGGCGGTTGGCCAGGCCAGTGACATTGGTGGCTTGAATCAGAAGTGGATAGATCTGGAAGAATTTCAGGAGGTAGAATTGATAGGAATTGATTAGTTGTGTACAGAGAGTAAAGAAGGGAAAATTGTTGATGTTAAGTTTTTGCTATTTGGAGTAACCAAGTGAGATAAGCAATAAAGAAAAAAATACTGGAAATTAGGAGTTAGACAGGAGACGATAGGACCAGCTTTGACATGGTAAACTTGGGGCTGGTACAATATCCAAATGGGCATGTTTGAATAGATATTATATATATATATATTAGATATAAGCCTGAATCTCAGTAAAGAGATATTGGATGAAATCAGTTTAAAACTATTTAGAACATGAGCAAGTTCGCAGTTAGAGCTATGAGAGTAAAATAAATTATCTCTATTAATACAAAATAAGAAGACATTGGACAAACTACAAATAGGAAGTCAGAAGTATTGCCATTAAAAATAAGAAGAGAGGAAGACAATTTCTTCCTCTTAATGGTAGATATATGAAATGTAATTCAAATATAACTCTATTTGTGAATTTGAGTCAATGCCCTCAATAAAGAACAAATTATGTTTTTATTGTGATTTACCAAATAAATTTCATTAAAAAGATTTGTTTCTCTTGTATTTATATAGTTTTATTCTCTCTGATTTAAATTTCAATTTATGATTTGATTTTCAGCTTAAAAGTCTTTTAAAATCTAATTATTATTTTGACTCCATTAATTTTCCAAGTGTTCCAGTTAGTCTAAGACTAAAGCCTAAATCCCTATTAACTAGCAATGGAGTTTACAAATTTTGAATTACCCCATAATAACTCAAATCTGAGGAAATTTGACTTTCTAAACATTACATTATTTTCTGCTTTTGAATTCAAGTTGCATAATTTTAACAGCTATATTTTAAGGCATTATCAAAAAATGTTAGTTCCTGTTCTTGGTGAAGATATTTGTTGCTCCTGTATCTCATTCACAGTACTAACACACACACACACACACACACACACACACACAAACACACACACACACAGTTATATCTACCTTAGGTAAGTATACTTATTATGGTTGTTTCCAGGGAATTGGCAAGGCTATCAAGGAGGGGGAAACCCATATAACTGGTTATTATTGATTCTTGAGCTTTGGCAAATTCATTCTTTGAGCATATATCTACTGTATCTTTGAGCATCTATCTTCCATTTCAAAGGCTGTGCTAGGTGCAGTGAATAGAGAAAACAGCCATGAACAGAAGTGACATGAGCCCTGTCCTTCCTCAGCTTACGGTATATCTACTTCGGTTTTGTCCCCCTAGCTTCACTGAGGCTTGATTAACAAATAAAAAATTGTATATATTTAAGGTATAAAAGGTAATGATTTGCTGTACATTACAAAATGATTACCACAATAAAGCTAATTAACATATCCATCGCCCCATCTCACATACTTTTGTGTGTGTGTGTAGTGAAAACACAACATCTATTCTCCTAGCACATTTCAAGTATACAATGCATCCTTACTAACTATGGCCACTGCGCCGTATATTGCTGTCCAGAACACATTCATCTCATGATGGAAAGCTTGTACCCTTTGACTACCATCTCCCCATTTCTGCCACCTCACGCCCCTGGTAACCACCATTTCACTTGCCATTCTTATGAATTTTATATTTTAGATTTCACATTTAAGTGAGATGATACAGCATTTGTCTTTCTGTGTCTGGCTTATTTCACTTAGTATAATGTTGTACAGTTTCATCTGTGCTGTCCTAAGTAGCAGGATTTTGTTTTTTTCTTAAGGCTGAATAATATTCCATTGTGTGTGTGTACATATATCTCTCTCTATATATAGATATAAATATATATAGTGTGAGATACATATGTGTGTGTGTATATACATATATCATAGTTTCTTAATCTATTCATCTGTTGACAGACACTTCGGTTGTTTCTTTATCTTGGCTACTGTGAATAATGCTGAAATGAACATGGGAGTACAGATATCTTTCTGAAATAGTGTTTTCATTTTCTTTGGCTATTCCTTGCCAGCATATATACTTTGTGAACATGCCTAAAAATACTGCTCTACAAACCTTTTCCCTACGCTATGAGAACACGATCTTTTGCTTGCAGCTGTGTGTAGAAGAAGCCATTGTAACTCAGCTTGTTAATTCCATCACCTGCATGATGTCTTGCTGAAGGTACCTACTCTGTGTCCCAAATCTTGTCTCACAGTCGGGTAAGTATTGGCCTGGACCAACATCAGCCATCATGGAGTCAATTGTTATCAGGCCCAAAAAGGTAGGAATAAAGGTAGGTCTAGGGTTCTCTTTGGATTGGTATTGTTTCCAAATCTCTGTTCATAGGTCTACCTCTCCAGCTTCGAATATTCAGGAATGCAGGAGATATTAGCTGAAGCAGGAAGAGAGCAAATGGGAGGTAGTATTAGTTAACTTAAAAGTGACATCCTTTGGACATGTAAACTGTGGTAAGAATTCCAAGATCTCCACTGCCTCTTGCCTCTTGATTTCCACAGACTTTTGCATCATTTTAAAAAAAGTGTAGACTAACTTAAGGCAAGCAACATTATCTACATTACATTCTTGTCTTTAGAAAAATGTAATGATGTGGACAGATAAAATGGAAAGGACTTAAAAAATTGTATCTAATGCTTTGGTTGATCTGCTAAATAATATTTATTATGCCTCCATTTAGAACATTTGGAAAAAGAGAGGCCTATACAATTTTTCACACTCATTTTTTGTTAAAATGGGAAAAGAGAGAGCTGTTAGATCAATATACAATCATTTTAATAAAAAATAGTACCAAGTATCAAATGAATGAATGTTTTCATTGTCCATTATTTTTCTTATCTGCCAAGCAGTAGATCTGAAAAACACAATTAGAAGATTTAGAAGTACTTGAAATTGGAAATGCATTTTGTTATTAAATTGGCCTAAGAAAGTCATGATTTTTCCTCAGGGGTACTTCAGTACCTTGATAGATTATAGATGGTGGGTTATTATGAAATGCTGACAGAAATGGCTGTGATTTGAAAGCTATTCCTTAAGAATTCGATCTGTAATTTCTTTTAACATTTGACAGAGTTTCATGACATTAGAACCACTAAGTTCATTGAAATTCAATGATGGTAGAGTTTCTTACATACACTTCTCTTTTAGAGATAACATTTCTGTTTCCTGACACAGAGATTCAGAATGAATATCTCAGGAAGGAGAGAAAACAAAACAGAAACTACAAAAAACTCATTTCAAAATAAAATCAAGCACACCAGAACAAGTATCATATTGGGTAATACTTGAAGTGTGGGAAAAGGAGCAAATTTAATTGATAGAAAACAGACTTTCGTATTCAAGGTCAAACATTTCATCTTTTCTTTCTTGTCAAGGCAGTACCAGATAAATTTAAAAATTAAATAGTAATAACTCAAATTGCTCTAGGGCTGTTTTGTCAACCTCAGCAGTTCTAGAAAGCATGATTGAAAGTGTAGCCCTCCCACCCACAAATATTAACCTTAACCTTTCAACAGCTTTTTTTTTTTTTTTGAAAAGGAGTCTTGCTCTGTCATCCAGGCCGGGGTCCAGTGGTGCAACCTCAGCTCAAAACAACCTCTGCCTCCAGGGTTCAAGTGATTTCCTGACTCAGCCTCCCAAGCAGCTAGGATTTCAGGCGTGTGCCACCACACCCAGCTAGTTTTTGTATTTTTAGTAGAGACGGAGTTTCACCATGTTGGCCAGGCTGGTCTCAAACCCCTGATCTCAGGTGATCCGCCCGCCTCAGCCTCCCAGAATGCTGTGATTACAGACATGAGCCACCGCTCCTGGCCGTCTTTCAACAGGTTTTGCAACTCGTTTTAAGACATGCATGACCAGGAATTTTCCAATCAGTTGACTTTTTTCCCTTTTTATCCCTATGTGGACACATTTATTCAATTTATATAAATCGCCACTTTAAAGTTAACTGGGCAAATTGATTCAATTTAACAACTCCTAAGTGTGATCTTATGTATATTTGATATCAGGCTGAAAAATAATCAGAAAACTTTCCTCCTGCCCCCGTGGGTTTTTCAGGAAAAAAAATTAGGGAAAAATATATTAGTAGGTACTGCAACTCCTAAATGGGTCCCCTGATGAGAAAATAGCACACAAACTCACTGAACCAAAATATGAAGCAGGCGATGTGCTTGCTGATTTTTAGAAACTATATTTTGCTAAGCAAAGGTGGACAATATTTTCCCAAAAACTAGGCAATTTTTTTTTCTGGCAGAGCCTATGAAAAATGATACATCAGTAGTTAAAGTTCTCTTTATGAGATTCTACCCATTAAAATTGCTCAGAACGTATAAAACATTTAAATTGGTACCATTATTTCTGTTACCTAAAAGACGACAGGTTTTCTCTGCTGGGAAAACATTAAAATTTATACAATGAATACATATTATGTGCCTATTATGTATCAGGCATTGTGCTGTTTTTCTAAATTCAAACAAAACTGGACACACAGGCTCACACCGGATCATTGTACACTTGCCATAGTCTTGCATTTTCCTGTATGTCACTTACAATTTCCAACCTTTAAATATGCAATGAACTACAAATCAGTTAATTTTCAGGTTACAGATACTCTGTGATAGTTGTATTCTGAATATCAAACTTGGAATTTCCAGAAAGAATAATAGCTGATGCTACGGAATAAAAGGATAAAACATTTGCAATTGTGGCTACACAAGCTGAAATTTATGGACTGCATTCCTGTGAACCACCAGGAATAATGCCCTTTAGATTAGCATGTGTATGTATACGCTTACAGCTTTATGAATGTTAGAAATCTGACTTAAAGGCCCATTGCACCCTTGAAATGTCTCATGTCAAAGAGCCCAGTTTCTGGTTTCTATTCTGCACTTCTAAGTGATTTTTGGATTCTTTGGAATGCCTTGCCTGCAATGGCTGTGCCATTCTTACAGCTCAATCCATGCCTTCCATGCAACTTGATTTCTAATTAGTTGTTGCCTGCTTGGAAATGAAAGCCATTTTTGCACCTTGAAGGGCAATGTGAACTTAATGAAAATATGCTGATTCAAGTTAAAGATGTTTCCGTTATGAGCAAGGGCATTGAAGGTTAACCCTGACCTTCTCAGGGAAATTGCTATGCTGTGTTTCAGTTAAGATTATGTATTACCATATTTCTTTCAGCTAAATCAGGCACATAATTTCAGGGTGAAAAGAGCTGTTTTTTTCAGAGTCACTTAAACATGAGTTGGTTTAAAAAGCCACAAAAATAAATCCTTAGCAGCAATAACAATACTAGGATAGAATGTGATGTGCTTATCAAGAGCTGCATTGGTGTAGGGCATCTGCCTTCCTATTTGTTTTTCTCTGGTTAGAGAAATAATGTCCCCACTAGCAATAACTTCTGAAATGTCTTTATGTATCTTGAAGTATCCTGTAGTGGACATTGTGATGTGCTGCCTAGATGCCTCTATAAGGAGCACTTGTTGGTCCAGCTGCTGGGAATGCTGTAGAGGAAAGCTTTTGGCTGTCAGCCCCTTCCGGGATTGCCTTAGCTTCAGAGAGTGGTCCTACCCAAGGGCAAGCTTTCCAGGCAGCAGCCAGCATCAGATGACTGATCAATGTGAGTGGAGGGACATAACGGCATGGCCACCTCAGCCCAATCTGGGGTAATTTTGAAGGGCCATGTAGTTTTAGGGTTGTCTGTGAAGAGATAAGAGAAAATATAACTTCACTTAAATTCACCCAGTTATCACCTGTGCTTCGTCTGTCTCTCTATGTGCACATGTGTGCATTGCAAAACTTTTAATTTCAGGCATTGTGATGCACCACTCTGAAATACATAAGCATTTATTTTCTAAAAGTGAGAATGTTCTCCTGCATAGTCACAGTAATATTGTCACTCTCAAGGGCTAGAGCATTGATAATATACAATCATCATACATACAACTCATATGCTAATATTCCCAATGTCTTTTATGGCTGATTCCCCCCCACTGAAAATCATCAGTAAATCAGATATTGCATTTCTCTCTTCAGTCTTCTTTAATCTACATCAATTTCTCCACCTTTTATGGAAGAAAAATCATGTGCGATACTGAAGTTTTTAATAGTTCAGGACAGTTGTTTTGTGGAATGTCATATAATCTGGATTTGCCTGATTGTTTCTTCATGATTAAGTTCATATGCAACATTTGGGGGAATAATACTACATAAGTGATGCTGTGTCCTCGGTGCATTGCATCAGAAGGCATGTAAGTTCAACCATTTTCTTTTGGGTTTTGGTTTTTTTCTCCTCAACTTTTAGAAGCTATTTATGTATCAGATAGGTTATTGATATGTAAGTATTGAATATTTGCTATACATATTGCAAATGTTCATTTTTGTTGGTCCTTTGCCTTTTGCATTTGCTTGTAATGTCTTGTTTTGCTATGCAAGATTTTTAAATAGTCAAAATTATTAACAGTTTACTGGTATTATATTTGGATTTTGAGTATAAAGGAATCCAATCAAATTTTCTTCAGGTATGTGATTTCAGTTTTTTGGTACACTTATATATTGTGATGATTAATTTTATGCATCAATTTGGCTGAGCCATTGTGTCCAGATATTAGGTCAAACGTTTTTCTGGAAGTTTCTGTGAAGGTGTTTTTTAGGTGAGGTTAACATTTAAATCAATAGACTTTGAGTAAAGCAGGTTACCCACCATGATATAAATGGGCTTCATGCAATCATTTGAAGGCCTTAATAGAGCAAAAACTGACCTCCCCTTAGCAAGAAAGAATTCTACCAGCAGGTTGCCTTTTAACTCAAACTGAAACTCTTCCTGAGGCTCCAACCGGCCAGACTACCTCATCAGATTTTGGACTTGGTAAGCCTCCACAATTGCATGATCCAATTCCTTAAAACAAACCTCTCTATATTTGTATATACATATTCAGTTGGTTCTGTTTTTTCTGGAGAACCTTAATACACATACCTTATCCATTTGGAATTTGTTTTCATGCATGGTGTGAGGTATGAATCCCATTTTACCTGTAATCCAAAAGGATATTCAGTGTGTCAACACTACTTATTAAAATGTCTATCTCTGCCAGGCAATCCCAGCACTTTGGGAGGCTGAGGCAGGTGGATCACGAGGTCAGGAGTTCAAGAACAGCCTGGCTAATTTGGTGAAACCCCATCTCTACTAATAATACAAAAATTAGCCAGGCGTGGTGGCGTGTGCCTGTAGTCCCAGCTACTGGGGAGGCTGAGGCAGGGCAGTTGCTTGAACCTGGGAGGTGGAGGTTGCAGTGAGCCGAGATTGAGCCACTGCACTCCAGCCTGGGCAACAGAATGAGACTCCATCTCAAAAAAAAAAAAAAAAAAGTCTGTATCTTCTCAGTGATTTCAGAGGTCATCTTTATGATATACAAAATTTTCATCTGTATATGAGTCCATTTCTGGACATTCTATTTCACTGGCCTAGGTATTCTTCCAATAATCACTTATTTCTTGTTAAACTATAGGAGTGTTATAATATGTTTTCATTTCTAGTAGGGCTAATGCTCTTTTACTGCTTTTCTTTTCTCTCCTACATTTTATCATGAAAAATTTTCAAATGTTCAGAAAACTTACAGTGAATACTCATCCATCTATCCATCCCTCTCTCAGTTCATCTTATTTTACGATACATTTCAAAGTAAATTGAAGACATCACTATCACCCTCCCAAATACTTCAGTATGCATAACATCAAATAGAGTTAAAAATTTGTTAGTGTTCCCTATTTTCCTGGAATAAATTTGTTTGTAATGAAAGTCACAAATCTTGAATGTAGTATCCAATGAGTTTTGAGAAATCTGGACACTCTCTGACTCCAGTAAAATTCTTTTTCTCAGTAAATCCTCACTTATATATACTCCTGTCCCAAAGGTAAATGCTATTTTAATTTTTTTTCTTATCATAAATTACTTTTGCTTGTTTTAGGACTTCATGTAAATGGAATCATACACTAAGTAAGTACACTTTTGTGTAAAGTTTCTTTCATTCAGTTAGTACGTCTTTATAGTCATCCATATTGTGTGTGTGTCATTTCTCTTAATTGCTGAGTAGTATTCCGTTTTATAAATAAACTATACTTTATTGCTTGCTGAGGGACACTTGAGCTGTTTCCAGTTAGGGTCTATTATGTATTAAGCTGTTATGAACACACTTGAATAACTATTTTGTGGATGTATGTTTTCATTTTTCTTGGGTAAATATCTAAGAGTAGAATTATTGGGGTACAGGGTAAGTGAATGTTTAGTTCAATAGGGAACTATCATTCTTTTATCTAATAAGTGCAAGTTCCAGTTGCTTCAAATTTGACGTTGTAAGTCTTTTTAATTTTAGCTCATCTAGTGAAAGTGAAGTAGCAGTAGGGTTCTTCTTTGTTAGGTTTTATTTTTACTAGAATTTCTTGCATTTTTTTTCCTGTATGATTTTTAGAATAAATTTGTCTAGGTCCAGAAAAATAGCTGTTGTTGTATTTTTGAGATCATATTAAATTTATATTCTTTTGAGAAAATAAATTTCAGGAGTAATTTTTTCCAGTGACAATGCTTTTCATTTGTCCAAATCTACTTTTGTATCTTTCAGGAATCTTTTTAAAGTTTCCTCTTTTTTCCACATTTCTTATTAAGCTGACTCCTAAATTTTTATTTTTGTGTTGTTATTATAAATGGGTTTTCTCTTTCACTGTATCTTTACTTGGTTATTTTATTTATTACTAATGTCTGTTAATGTATAATAGTCACATATTGATTTTAATCTTGTTATCTTAATAAATTATTTTCTTCTGTGAGCTACTTTCATTATCGCTCTCATGAGTTTTCTAGGTATAGTGTCTTATCACTTGTAAATAGAGCAAATTTACGAGTTTTTTTAGTTCTTATGATTCCAATAGTTTTCAATTTTCTTATTGCATTGGTTCTTGCCTATAGTAAAATGTTAAAGAACAGTGATGATTTTTTGGAATTCTTATCTTGTTTATAACATTAGTGAGAATGTCTTTATTATTATTTACCTATTCAACAAGAATATTGGCTTTAGGGTTAAATAATGTATTTTTCTATATAAGTCTAGATAGCTAAATAGCTGATCGAGATATACAATGGATACATACATAGAGATATTGATCTATCTATCAATCTATCTAATCTATCTAAACTACCCATTTATCTATGTAATCATGCTGAGGAAGTATCTGTTAATATAGCAGCCTATTTTTATTGAGTATTTTATCAGGAATGGGTATTTTGTCAAAACATTTTCAGCATCGAGGGGAAATCATAAACTTTTAAAAATTATAGTAATATTTCTTTAATGATTTCCTATTATCAAATTATCCTTTTATTCCTAAATCTATTCCCACCTGGTTATGATATATTATTTTCTTAATTTGGTATTGAATTCTATGTGCTAACATTTTATTTAGAATATTTGCTTTGATATGAGATCGTGTTTTTAGTTTTTCTTGTACTATCTTTGTCATGTTTATGTTCTATTGTTATACTTGATACAAAGTTTGCAAGCTTTTCCTCTTTCTTTTCTGTATGCCCTGGAACAATTTATGTAGTGTTGGTGTTATGTGGCCTTAAAGGTTTGGTAAAATTTATCTGTGACACCATCTTGGACAATTGATTTTATTACGTTGACTTTTTAATTTTTAGGTGTATGGTAGTCCTTTGGTAAATATTTTTATTTCTTCTGTGGACATCTGTCTGTTTTTTTGTTCTGTTTTCTTTTGAAACTGAATCTCACTCTGTTGCCCAGGCTGGAGTGCAGTGGCGTGATCTCCACTCACTGCAACCTCCACCTCCCAGGCTCAAGCGATTCACCTGCCTCAGCCTCCCTAGTAGCTGGGATTACAGGCTCAGGCCACCACACACGGCTAATTTTTGTATTTTTAGTAGAGACAGGGTTTCACCATGTTGGCCAGGTTGGTCTCGAACTCCTGACCTCAGGTGATCCACCCGTCTCAGCCTCCCAAAGTGCTGGGATTACAGGCGTCAGCCACCGCACCTGGCCCATCTGTCTGTTTCAACTTTCTGTTTCAACTGAGGTGAATTTTGGGAAATGATTTTATAAGGAAAATGTTAATCTCATCTAGGTTTTCAGTTTCATTACATAGAACAATAAGAAGTAATCTCTGGGGTTTTAAAATTTCCCCTTTTAAATTTTATATTAATGAAATAATAACTAGAGGAGAAAAACTCTTATTTTGTTTATTTCGGCTTTTTCACTGCTTTTTCTGAATTTGGTCAGCTAATGATTTTGTCCATTTTTGTTTACTTTTTCAAAGAACCAGTATTTTCACGTATTTGTTTTATTGTTTTTCTATTTTCTATTTTGTCCTTTATCTTAATTGCATTTTATCTCATTCAGTTACCTTCTTATGGAAGCATTTTTATTGTGCATTAAATATATGTAATGCCTTCTAATTATTGCTTTAAATGTATTCCATGAATTCTACAATGCAGTGTTTCTTTTACTACTTTTTAAGAAATACCACAATTTAAGTTGTATTTACTCTTTTACCTAAGATTTGTGTAATAGAAACTTAAAACATTTCCAGGTGGACAGGCCTTAATTTTTTTCTTTTTTGTTACTTTCTACTTTCATTGCCTAGTGATGAGAGAATCTTTTGTATGGACTATGCTAAAATTATTGAGGCTTTCTTTGTGCCTAGTGGTTACACAGAACGTTTTTGTGTATGCTTCATGTTTTATCTACAATGAGGTATATTTTCTATTATCAGATTGCAACATTACATAAGGTATTCGTATGATGTACCTCATTAGGATTATGTTGTTTAGTCCATCCGTATCTTTATACATATCTTTGTCCACTTGACCAGATTTGATCAGAGACTTGTATGTTAAAGTCTCCTATTAGTATGTTTCTGCCTATTTTTCCCTGAATATCTCATAGTTTTTGCTTTATGAAGGTAGTTACCATGGTATTTGGTACATAGATAAAACTGTTATGTCTGCATTAACATTTGTGATTTTAGCATTGTAAACTTCCATTGTGTATCTCTTTTTAAATAAACAATTACTTTGTTTAATAATTCCAAAACCACTTATAACTTTTTCTAAAAATAAATCATTAATTTCACTTAGATTTTCAAATTGATCTTCTGTGAGTTGACCAAACTCATATCTTGGGAATATCTTAGGTTTTTTAGTATCTTTGCTTATTTTGCCATTTTTAAAATTTTTATATTTTGTATAGTCACACTTAACTCTCTTTTTCTTTTTGTCGTGGATCCAACATTGTCAGATATTAATTAAGATTCCTAATCTTGCCTTCTTTTTGTTTATATGTGTCTTGTATACCTTTCCCTAGCATTTTTTTTTTTGAGACCTTTTGTTTTGACTTTGTGTCTTTTTACAGCAAGTTTAAAAAAGTAGGCTTTTGTTGTGTTCAGCCTGGTACCCCTTTTCTTTGATTTTCTTTCTTGCATTATTATGGGTTATTTTCTTGGCTTTCTCTTATGTGTGTGGATTTCTTTCAGATAATTTGGAAGTTTGCCTCTTCGGTTCTTTCAGTGATTACATTTATATCATAATTTTATGTAATATACTAACTACTACTCTTCATTGTTAGGCAGTAACTATTAAATCTCCATTTTGTGCAATAACAAAATTGTTGTAATTTCCCCATCCTTCCCTTTATTTCTACTATCAAATTACAGATGAACACAGTCTTTTCCTTGCTTTACTACTTTGTTCCATTATATACTTTTTAAAAATGTTATCTCTATTACATTTATATCAGTCTTTTAAAAATATATTTTAATCACTAGCTACTAAAGATGAGGAAATAGAGTACTTACACCACTTTCCATTTTTCTCCTCCTTTTGTATCCACATTTTGGTTAATATGTTTTTGACTTATTTTTATGGTTTGCAATATTTTCTTTTGCTTTTCTACCCATAAGTTTATCAGCACTTTGGTCTTAGTCTTGGGGTTAAACGAATTCAATATTCTAACCAATCCTTTACAGTTTCTCTATTTGTCTTTTGTTTGGCTCTATTAGTTTCCTTAAGAAGGGCTTATGGGAATTAGAATTCCCACACATGTAAAAATGTCTGTCTTCTGCCTTTGTTTGCATTTAGATTCCTGATTATAAAGCTTTTCGTGTTACGATTTCTTTCTCTGAAAATGTTGTAGGCATTTAGCAATCCAATCCATTCTACTATTAGAAAGTTCTGAACAGAAGTCTCTAAGGCTAGCCTGAATCTTCCTCCAATGGTAACTTTATCTTTGTGAACTTGATGCCAAGCAGAGGTTTTTTCTTTTGTTTTCTTTTTAGAAGACCACTAACTCTACCCATGTATATTTTAGGCTTGATCATTCTGTATCAATTTTTCCTGGACACTTTTCCCGGACAATTTTCTCTTTTATTCTGTAGCTCAGTTATATTTCCAGAAAATAATTTTGATTTACATATTTGAAAATGTTTCCATTCCAATTATGGTCACTGCTTTTTAAACTCATTGTTTGGATGAGCATTGCTCATTTTTTTCCCTCAAACTTTGACCTCCATTTACTTGTTTTGTGTTTTTAGCAGTAGGTTTTCCTTTGCATTGTTGTCAGTGAAGCTTCAATAATTGTTTTGTTTTCTATTCAATGGTTTCCCTAAGCTTCTATTTCTTTGCACTATTATATATTTCCTTAAGCCCTGTGTATTTGCTTTGAACCCTTTGGCTATTTTACTAAATTTTAAAAATTTCATAATAATATGTTTGATATTGTAATTGTTTCTGTTGTTCTTTCTAGCCTTCATCTTTCACTTTGTAGCATTTTGGGGGACTGGTTAAGTTTGATTGTTTAAATAAGCTGAGCTCTTCCTGGACTGGCTCTGTGCAGAAGGTTAGTGTGAGAGATCAAGGAAATGCATGTCAGCTAGTAGGAATTCACCTTTATGTACAAGGATATTCAAGGTGTCACCTTGGATGAGCGAACAGATTTATTTTAACCATGACTTTTACATGGCCAGGAAAGGTGAATAGCTATAAAAGCCTCCAAACTCCTCCTCAGGTTTTCCTCTCCAATCTGTCTCCAATCTCTTCAATAATGTCATGTATGTCTGTTTCCTTGTGGAATTCCTGATACACCATGGTACCAAATGACATCTCGTGAAGCTTTTCCCACCAGCCTGGGTGTTCTATTTCTTTTGTTTTAAACAGAAAAGATTTTAAACAAAAAATGTTATTTCTTCGGCTTCTGAGGATGCAATCCCTACTTAAGGATGACTACGCTCTTCTGGTTTTGCTTGAGATCTACAGGTTTTCGCATTTGATGTTTCCCCACACCTGTCTAGTCTTTGCTACATTTTGCAGTTCTTCCATAAATTTTGAGGGTTAGGGTTAGAGTGCTCTATAATTTTGGAAAGGTAAAATAATTTGTATTTTTATGTCTTCAGTTAGTGTTTTTGAGGGATTTTTATGAGCAGAAAGACAGAGCTATAAGTACTCTGCTATGTTCTTTGGCTTCTTAATACTGGAGGGCTAAGGAAGTATTACGAATCTTAACTAATACAAAGATCAACATGGGTTATGCTGAGACCCTGAGGTATTCGTAGTTTATGAAACTGCTATCAAACACAGAGGTGCTTAAGATATGAAGTGTAGAATTTGAAAAATAAACTCAATCTTAGCCTTTTGTGTATGTGAGTATGTTCTTTATTGAGTTATAATTTAAATGCAAGAAAATGTACCAGGTTCTAGCTTTATATTACCCATTGCTTTTCCAAATTTGTTTCTCTCTGTCTTTTTCTTCCGTAATCACCATTTACTTTTATCTAACTCCTTACCATTTATGGTTTCATATAGAAAGTTTTGGCCAAAAGTAACAGAACTCAATTCAAAATGATTCTTTCCAGTGGTTCTCAAACTTTATGGGACCATGAAGATCACCTGCCCAGAGTTTCTAATTCTGTAGTTTTGGGGTGGTTTCTGAGAATTTGCATTCCCGACAAGTTCCCAGGTGATGTTGCTGCTGCTGATCTGGAAGCCACACTTTGAGAATCACTGGGATAAACAATTTAGAGATTTATTATCTTGCAGTGAAGGGTGGTAGGATGGTTCAATGGCTGGTTAATTTTCTATTTCAATGATCACATTATTCTTTATTCTCAGAAATAGGGTTTCTCTCTCATCATAGAGCAAGCTGTTTGTAGCACCTCAGGGGACAACAGTGTTCAGAGTGAGGAGGAAAAAGAAAGGCTGAATCCTCCTTATTTTCTGTGCGTTTCCATGAAGCACTCTCAACTGGTGAAAATTAGGCAACACAATCTTTTCTAAACCTGTTTACTAGCCAGGAGGATGAAATTACTATCCATTATTAGATTGAACTAATCAAAACTTACTTCCTGGAACTGGCCCCAGTCTAAATAGCTAAATGAGATCTGAGCTTGGGGCTGGAAGTTGTTGGTTAAGTTGCCTAGCTGGGCAATGTGGCAGAACTATAAATTATTATATCTACATGTTTCCTATGGTCTTTTTACACTTTGGGGCCAGGCTTTCCCAGTTTATTTTCATCTGTTCAGTAGTTAACATCTAAGTGTTAAATGTCACATCAACACTTTTTGTTAATTAGCAAGAACAACAATGTCTCAACTGATTTTTTTCAAATTTACAAGTTCTATTCTTACTGTCTTTTAGAGGAATCAAATTCTGCAGTTTTTATGTTAGCTGTGTAAAATATCTTCAATATTTGCTTCTATTTTGATTTTTCTTCCCTGTTTCTTTCTCTGTTACATACATATATAAAAATATGTGTATTTTTTTCTGTTTTTGGAATAAACTTGAAACAAGCTTTCTTCAGCTGAAATTATGAGCTTCTTTTTTTGTTGTTTTGGCTATTTTAGTGTTTCATGTGTTCATGATTAAACCACAATGGCCTTGTTCTCGCCAGGTAATTATACCTTGTTTATAATAAAGAGACTGGAGAATTTCATAATGGAGCCCAGTACATGTTGAATAATTATCATATCTGTGATGGTTTTATAGACATTTTATTGAAGTACACAAAAAATAAGTAATTAGTGTGATAAAAGTGAACATACCACCTCTATCATCAATCAGGTCAGTAAATTGAACATTACAGTCAGCCCTCCATATCTGCAAATTCTGCATCCACAGATTCAACCAACCATGAATTGAAAATATTCAATATAATATATAAAAAGCAAAGTATAATGACTATTTATATAGTTTTTACATAGTATTAGGTACTGTAAGTATTTTAGGGATGATAAAGTATACTGGAAGAAGTGCCTAGGTTATTTGCAAATACTATGTCATTTTATAAAAGGGACTTGAACAGTTGTGGATTTTGGTATTCCAGGGGTCCTGGAACCAATCCCCAGCAGATACTGAGGGATGACTGTATGTGCACCCTAAAAGTCTCTTTCAAACACCCTGCTACCTACCACACCTCTTCTCCACAAGGGAATATAGATTAGTTTTGACACATAATATAAATTGAATCATATAGTTTGAATTTTGTGTCATTCCTCTTCTGTTCCACCTTGTGTATGAGATTCCCTGTTTTTTCATGTACCAAGCAATTGCACCAATTTGTATTCCCAGGTATATGAACATTCCAGTAGCTTCATATCATGACAATCCTTATTATTTTCTATATTAAACTTTAGCAGTTCTAGTGGATGTGGATAGCACTTATTTTAGTTTTAATTCATATTTGTCTATGGCTAATGAAGCAGATTTTCATCCCAAATTTAATGTCTTACGTACATAAGACTATTTAGATTTCTGTTTTTTCTCATCAGTTTTGCTAAGTTACATTGTTGTAGTTATCTGTCTTGTCATCTGAATTTGCACTTATTTTGGCATATAGTTGTTTATAATAGCTATTTTTTAAAAATCTCTACAAATTCTGAAGTGATGCCTCTTTTTCATTCCTAGTATTTATATCTTATTATTTATTAATATTTTAATTTTGCTTTTTTTTTGCTAGGGTTTTGCTAGGGTAATTTGCCCTTTCAAAGGCACACTTTCGGTTTCACTGTGTTGTTTTTTTTTTCCTATTGAGATTTTTTTTCTTTTATTTGATTAATTTCCACATGTTTTTCCTCCTTAATTTCCTTCATTCTGTTATCTTTGGGTTTAACTAACTGTTTATTCTCTAACCTTCTTGAAATGGATACTGCTATGGTTTGAATGTTTTACTCAAAGTCCATGTGTTGGAAAGTTAATTCCCACTGCAGCAACCTTAACAGGATCTTTAAGAGGTGATTAAGTCATGAGGAATCTACCCTTGTGAATGGGCTACCCTCATGCATAGGTTCATGCTATTACTGCAGGAATGGGTTTGTCATCATGAGATGGATTCATTATATGAGAGAGTTTGGTCTCTCTTGGGCTTTCTTGTGTTCTCTTGCCCTTCCACCTTCCATCATGGGACGACACAACCACAAGGCCCTCAGCAGATGCAGTCCCCTTAACCTTGGACTTTCCAGTCTCCAGAACTCTAAAAAATAAATTTCTTTTATTTATAAATTAACCAGTCTGTGGTATTCTGTTATAGCAACACAAAATGAATGAAAACAATTACATAAATAATTTATTATCAACCTTTTTTCTTTAAATATGTATATTTCAGATTTAATTTACTTTAGATTTTTATTTTGTTAAAAATATCTAATTTTTCAGAGATTTCTTCTTTGACTTATGAACTATTTGGAATTATAGTTCTTAATTTCCAAATATCTGAGGGTTTTCTACATTTTAAAAATTGTTTTCTAGCTTAATGCCATTGTGTTCAAAACAAAATATGTATAGCCTCAATTATTTGAAATTTGTTAAACTTGTTTTATATCCTGGTGTATGACCAATGCTGAAAATGTTCTGTAGTTGCAGGATGCAATGTTCTATAGATAGCAATTAGTTCAAGTTTGTGAGTCATATGTTGCAAATCTGTGATTTCAATGATGTTTTATGTTTTTCTGATCAAGTATTGAGAGAGTTGTGTTAAAATCTCCTTTTATAATTGTGTTTGTGCTTGTGATTTCTTCTTTCATTTATGTCATATTTTGCATTACATATGTGTGTTCATGTATTTAGGTGAATACAAATTAATAATTTTTTTAGCTTCCTGGTAAATGAAACACTTTGTATTATGAACTCCCTACTATTACTTTTTCTATAAGAATTTGCATTCTGTATTCTAAATAACTAGGTTATAAATTTTCAAAATATATCATTTTGGCAATATTCCAAAGTTTTCCAGCATTACATCCAAACGAATTGTTGTGTTACAGGCCTTTTGATGATACTCAGTTGTTTACTGGCTTTTTTAATTGCAAAAGTACTTTTAAGTCTTTTAGTAAATACTTTATGGTGCCTATTTGGCTTTGAAACCTTAAATTTTGAAGCAGACCTGTCACCTCATAATCACCTATTATAGTCTGTTTGGGCTGCCATAAGAAGAAATTATAGACTGGGTAGCTTAAACTACAGAAGTATATTTTCTCACAGTTCGGGAGACTGGAAGTCCAAGATCAATGAGTCAGCAGGTTTGCTTTCTCCAGAGGCCTCTTTCCTTGCCGTGTAGATAGCTGCCTGTTCATTGTATCCTCACATGCTCTTCTGTGTGTGTACATCCCTGGTCTTTATTTGTGTGTCCAAATTTTCTCTTCCTATCCCCAGTCATATTGGCTTAGGACCCACCTCAATGGCCTCATTTTAATTTAATCAAATGTTTAAAGGCCTTCTCTTCAAATATAGCCATATTCAGAGTTACTAAGTGTTAGACTTCAACATATGCATTTTGGGGGTACATTTCATCCCGTAGCAGCATCACTGGCTACTACATCTACTACTAGATTTAGTAGGAAGGAATTTTATTATGCACTTTTCTGATGGTTACATTTTTAACAAACTGTTTATATGATATTGTTTCTTATTTAAATGCTTTTATGTAATTAAGAAATTTTCCTCTTCATTTTCATGAGCATTTGTATATGTTACATGAATACCTCATAATACTCTTTAATATTTAACAACAAGTATTCTTTCAGTAATTAACATGTAAAATGCACAAAGAGAATATGCTTATTTGGAAAGGTTGCAAATAACACAATGGAATGTTGAAATAGCTCCTTGTATCAGAACATTCAGACAGACCTACATATTTTGAATACTTTTCTTACATTTTAGATAGCTCACAATCCAACCAGTCAGTCATTTTGATTCAAGCTTACTTGATTTAAAAAAAAAAAGAAAACTATAGTGCTTTCTTATGAGGCTCATAAGTCAATTCTAAATAGCCATCAATTTTCATCTGTTCTTGCTCATGTGTTGTTTGTCAAGAGTTGAGTGTTGTAAATTCCAGCCTGAACAGACAAACATTTTAGATGATATGACAGACTACTATGTGCTTTTAAAAATATTAAAACTTTTTTTTTCTTCCTAGCCTTGATTTAAATTGAACGAGGCCCATGTGATTGAGTTCTGGCCAATAGAGTTTAGACAAAAATGATGGACACTATTTCCAGGCCGAAGTAATTAAAACCTTCTGTAATCATTCCTTCACTTTCTTTCCCCGTACTTTTGCTGAATAGAGATTTCTCAGTGGATTCAGAGGAGGGCAAAGCTATAATACAGAGGAGTCTAGATCCATAATTGGCAATATGGAAGGCTGTCTGCTGATCAGGAACATGTAATTTACGCACATAAAAAACAAACTTTTATTGTAATATGCCATTGAAATTTGGGGCCTTACTTGCCACAGCAGCAAATATTTACTTAACAGAAACATATGGTCAATATGCAATTTTACATATTTACGTATTTCATATAATATTCATTGCTGAATTTTATTTTACTTGATTAAAATGTTATTGATGTTCTAAATGATGTCCATAAAAAATTAGAAGTTTCTTCCACTGCTTCTTACTTCTCCATTCTTAACTTTCTCTACCCCACTTTGCATCATTTAGCTTCTAGTTTGATGAATTTTCTACTTATTATTTCTCAAACATCAAATAATTCCCTCTATACATTTGTTTTTCTGGTATATCTTCTCCCACATGGTCATTGAAGTCCTGCATTTTCTGTTAAAGGCTTTATTATTATTCAGTGAATTATTATGTTATGACTCTTATTTCTGAACCATTATTTTGAAGGACTCTAGTCTTTATCAAGTACCTCTTACGAACCACTATATATTGTAGGCGTATTTAATGGCTACAATCAATTGAGTGCTCACTATGTGCCAGATGCACATAAACAAATTCGTTCAATCACCAGAATTACCTTATGAGATATATATATATATATATATATATATATATATATATATATATATATACACACACACACACACACACAGTGTCTCACTGTATCACCCAGGCTACAATGCAGTGAGTGGCGCAATCTTAGCTCACTGTAGCCTCAACCTCCTGGGCTCAAGCGATTCTCCCACTTCAGCCTCCCGAGTAGCTGAGACTACAGGGGTGTGTCACCGTGTCCGGCTAAATTTGGTATTTCTACAAAGAGATGGAGTTTTGCCATGTTGCCCAGGCTGGTCTCAAACTCCTGAGCTCAAGCAATCCACCCTCCTTGGCCTCCCAAAGTGCTTGGATTACAGGCGTGAGCCACCGCACCTGGTTTATGAGATAGATTTTTCACTCTCATTTTATAGAGGAAGAAACTGAGGGATTAAAGATGTGAAAAAGTTTACAACCTAGTGGGAATTTAAAAAATCATGCTTTTCCCACTACACCGCATGCTACTTACCTTTCATGAATAGTTTCTGTTTCTTTCATTAAGCTTGAAATGCATCTTAGATATCTGGAGTCAAATATTGTGCTTTGCACCACAATTGTTCAGTAAATATTTGGTAGTTCATATCTACATTTGGGTTTCTTTCAGAGCAGTGTGTTTTGTTGTTGTTATTGTTTTTTGGTTTTTGGTTCTTTTTGGAAACAGGGTCCCATTTTGTTGCTCAGTTTGGAGTGCATTGGCCCAATCATGGCTCACTGCAGCCTCAACTTCCTGAGCTCAAGTGATTCTCCTGCCTCAGTCTCCCAAGAAGCTGGGACTACAAGTGTGCATCACCATGCCGAGCTAATTTATTCATTTTTTTGGAGAGAAGGGGTCTCATTATGTTGCCCAAGCTGGTCTTGACCTCATGGCCTCAAGCAACCTTCCCATTTAGGCCTCCCAAAGTGTTGGTACCACAGCGGGAGCTGCCACATCCAGCCCAGAGCAGGTCTTTATTTCCGGAAAATGTACTTAGGTTTTAACCCTATGCTTGACCTCTCCATTTGGCAAAGTCAACATCCATGTTCAAATGTCCAATACCATGATTCATTAGTCTGGATCCCTGGGAATTCAATCAGGAATTTCCTGGGATTGCAACTCATATTCAAGTCAGGCATGGACAAATCCAGATTTATTGAGGTTATTGTATTTTTTAAGTGAAGGGGCTGGCATGTACCCAGAGCAAGTCTAGACCAGAACTGCCCTGTTGATATTTGTTACAGCTCAAAGTTCATATGTTCACCTGCAAGAATCTGTCTTGATATTCCATCTTCTATGAAATAATAAGCACTCAAAATTTGTCTGACTCATTATAGCCTTACCTTAGTTTATAATCTATGTTTCCCTGTAAGAAGAGAATTAGGAGATGTTTAAATGAAGATCAAAATGAGCAGAGTCTAATTAGGGCTGCATTCTATAACAACCCTACTTTACTTATTTAATACTATTTAAAAGTTCATCTCATGTACTTTGGTCACTGAAAAATATGAAATTATTTTAATTAATAATATCATAATGTTTACAATGTGTTTTCAGGTATTCATGAATTTTATATACATTTATTATTTCATGACAATTTATATATTTTATGCATTCCGTTTTCAGCAGAAAAATGGGTTGTAAATAAAGTAGGATAATTGCTAATATATATTCCATGACTTTAATGGCCTTTTCTTCCCTGTGGATCATTATTAGTTTTCTCCTAAAATCCCTTTTAATTAATCAAAAGAAAATAGGAGATTTCCATTAATATCTGAGCATCTTTTCACCTTAATTTGTTCTGAAACGCATGTGTGTCATGAATTGTGAATCCTTGGACAGTTAGGGGGAAAATAAATGAAATTCATGTTTTCTTACATGGGTAAAACATGGTCACTTCATGATCTGATAGATTATAATGGTGCTCTTGGCCTTTCTTTTAGCACCTGTTTCCCTGAAAATATGTTTATTCAGGTTTCTCTGCCCTTTGTGTTTGACAGCCCCTGGGAATAGAGTGTTCATAAATGTGACACTATTAGACTCACTGACAGATTTTTAAAAATTATGTAAACCAAAGTCATATCATTTGAAAGTTTCATTTGGGTCTAAGGGATAAAGTAAGCACATCTCACCAAGGACTGCACTTTACAGTGTGTACTCAGCAGAACTGCAAACACTAAGAAATAAATATCATTAACCTATGGGTCTCAGAAGAAAGAAAACAACAAGTGGCCCCTGGGGATTTTGCTCGTAGGACAGATGCTATATTTAAAATTAAATTCTTCTCCTTTAAAATTAAGCCAGGAATTACATAAAGAGACAATGAACACTGCGATACTTAAGAATATTGAAGACAACTATACTTATATGGTTTTTCTTTCTGATTTTAATTTGTATAGGTCCCAAAATATGAGAGAGAGTTTTCACTTAAAAACAGAAATGTTCAGGCAGAGCAAAATCCCAAATGAGGGGAGGTTACAGAAACATCAGGAGAGCAGAGTCCATTGTCACTGGGTATTGTGTAACTCACAAATGAAATTACTACTAACGTATCTTATGTCCCAAACTGAATTCACTGGAATAGCAGAAAACAAGTGATAGTTTTTCTGATTTCCTCTGGAAAGATGAGTGTGTGTCTGTACCTGGAATCTAATTACAGGCAAGCCACTAATAAAACTACGAGATACTTGACAATATGAGAGGGAAAATTGTACAAACAGAAAATTTATGACAGTGATTCACAGCACCACTGCAATAAAAGAATCTAGTTTGAGTGACACTTCCTGAATAGTAATAAAAATTAGAAGCCCATTCAACCACCCAGGATATTATCAATATTTACTCCTTCTTTGGTTGTCAGTTTCATGTCATGCCCCCAAACCTCCTTTAATGGAAAGGAAAGAAATATAGGTTCTCCTCCCCACATAAATTTAAAGAATAAGTCTTTAGCCTTTAGGACTCTTGTTTTTCTGCAGGCAAAAGCAAGGAATTCACTTTTGTCACTCTTGAGAAAAGCTGATCTGTGGTGAAGAGCACAATTTTAAAGCCAGACAGACTTAAACTTTGATACTAACATTTCCAAATGCTAGAAGAATGTGATCCTACCTGTTTAAGCACTGATTTTTCATTTTTAATATGAATATGATAATTGCTTGGGGAGGTAGTGGAATAATTAAATTAGGTATTATATTAACTGTGAAATGCAATGTCTTACAAAGGTAAACACTGAATACACAGTAGCTGAGAGAGAGAGAGAGAGAGAGAGAGAAAAACAGACAGGGGATAAAGAGTGGTATAAAAACGGGGAAGAGGCCGGGCGTAGTGGCTCACGCCTGTAATCCTAGCACTTTGGGAGGCTGAGGCGGGGGGATCACGAGGTCAGGAGATCGAGACCTTCCTGGCTAACAACAAGGTGAAACCCCGTCTCTACTAAAAATACAAAAAAAAATTAGCCGGGCGCGGTGGCGGGCGCCTGTAGTCCCAGCTACTCGGGAGGATGATGTAGGAGAATGGCGTGAACCCGGGAGGTGGAGCTTGCAGTGAGCCGAGATACCGAGACAGCGCCACTGCACTCCAGCCTGGGCGAAAGAGCGAGACTCCGTCTCAAAAAAAAAAAAAAAAAAAAAAAAAAAAAAAAGGAAGAATTTAAACCATGATTCTGCAACAACTTTTCAGACAACATGGTCCAAGCATTATCCAAATGATTTGGTCTTTTTAAAGCAGAAGTAAAGAAGAAATGGATAACTTTTGAAAAGTTACATTGAAGATGTTGGTTTTTCTACATAGAATTCTGGTTGGCTGCTGATTTAATTACATACCTTAATTTAACAACTCCATAACTGGAGATTGATCTTTATCTGTTATTGATCATTAATTGAAAAATTCCCAAGGACACTCCCTAACTCTCATAGTAACATATACAGACAGTGAAATACACTGGGTTGAATACCAGGTAAAATAAAGTATTAATGCAATTAGTAATCATTTCTGTAAGTGTAGCTAATAATTGGTTGACATTTTTATTCTTTAATTCCTGGGTGTTATTTTTTCCTGAAGTGGATTTGTGGATTTGTGTCTTTACCCATTCTTGGCCAAAGACTGAGACCAAAATTAAACTACTTCAAGAAAACAGCAGTGTTCTGGAACATTGCCATTATTTTAAGTATTGGTAGAATTTCAGAAGCCTTTATTGACTATATCTTAATTCTTAGGGATAGTATTGCTATAGATAAATGATTGATTTTAGGAGACTTTGCTCAGGCTAATATCATAGCATATATTAACAGTGAAATGCAATGTCTTGCAAAGGTAAACACTGAATACACAGTAGCTGAAAGAAAGTGAGTGAGTGAGAGAGAAACAGACAGGGGATAAAGACAGATAGAAAAACAGGGGAGAATTTAATCCGTGATTCTGCAACAACTTTTCAGACAACATGGTCCAAGCTTCATCCAAATGATTTGGTCTTTTTAAAGCAGAAGTAAAGAAGTAATCGGTGACTAATAAAAGTGCTAATTTTATCTCAAGTCAGCAGAGAATTCAAAAGTATAATTCTGCAGACTTATATACAGGCATTTCCTAATGATATACACAGAATTTAGCATCAAAAAATGAAACAAAACAAAACAAAACAAAAAAACAAAAGCTACAGAGATTGGGCACTATGTTCCATGGAAACATGAAAGCCGTTCCTAAGAACTTTCATGTCATGATAGGTATTATGGATATGTACAGCAATCAATTAATCAGCAATCACAACTTTTTTCCCCCATCTGTATTTATTTTGCTTGTCTGTGGGGAGGAAAGAAATGTGCAGAGGAAGGAGAGACTTTAAAGGGGACAGCAAAAATGCATAATTCTACTTTCTTCCTTTTCTTCCATCTCTTCCATACAGGGAGGCGAAGGTCCACAAGATCTAACATTCCAAAAATCCAGCCAGGGCCATACTTGGTTCTCAATTGTCAGATATGAAATTAGTTACAGAACTGCAGCTCTAGAGCAATGTTTTCCTCAGTGTGATCCTTAAGCCTCTGGTAGACTACAGGGAACTTGCCAACTTCATGGAAAAATAAAAACAGCAAGTCATTTATGTACTTCTCATGCCAAATGACTAGCAATTCTGTGTACTTTTACTCCAAAGAAAATTGGGCTATTTAGGGTAGAGTAAGGGTTAAAAAATTCAGTATCCTTAAGCAAAAACAGCATGTTACTAGAACTTGGATGACCTGGTTAGTATTCCCGTAAGAGGTATGACTGCCACACAACTCTCATAACTTTGTAAAGCTCCTAGTCTGTCCATATACATGGAATTCTCTCAGTATTGGGGGAACAATGGAATTCTCTCAGTATTGGGGAAACATACTTCATTTTCAGAACATCTTGATTTTATGAAAATTGCCTGTAATCCCAGCACTTTGGGAGGCCAAAGCAGGTGGATCACCTGAGGTCAAGAGTTTGAGACCAGCCTGGCCAACATGGTGAAACCCTGTCTCTACTAAAAATACAAAAATTAGCCAGGTGTGGTGGCCGGCATCTGTAAGCCCAGCTAATCTGGAGTCTGAGACAGAAGAATTGCTTGAACCCAGGAGGTGGAGATTGCGGTAAACCTAGATCACGCCACTGTACTCCAGTCTGGGTGACCGAGCGAGGCTCTGTTTCAAAAAAATAAAAATAAAATAAAATAAAAAATTGTCAGTTGCTACATTTTTTTGCTGGTCATGTATTATTTGAATTACTAATAGGTGGATCTTTTGAAACTTTTATTCATTCTGCTCTTTTGTTATCAGTTCAATTTTTATTTTGTTTTTTGTAATTGTTAGTTAAAACAAAGAACTTTCTGTATTTCCCAACTTCCAAAATTAGAATGTGGGAATGCAAAGAATAGTTTAAAAACTGAAACTGCCTTTGCAAAAATGATAACTGAGGAAATTATGACAGTGAAAGAGATCAGCTCTAACTGATTCCATCTTGCTTCTAACCTTTAAGTTGTCCTTGTTCATTCAGGGGCATAGGCTGAACTAACTTTGGGAAGGAATTCAGTTCATGGTTTGACTCTGAAACAAAATTGATAATAGCCCTTTCCCGAAAAGACCCCTGCTTGCCTGGGGACCAGTATGCCTTTGTAGGACTAACAAACTAGCTGCAAGATTAGAAATTATGATTGAGGGGTCATGCAACCTCTGGCTGCAAGAGTCTGAACCTCCCCAAATGGCTCCTGGGGATAATATCATTACTGCAAAACCTAAAATTTTTTAGGCTGCTTGAGATATTTAGCAGACCTTGCATTCAGTGGATCAGCTGACACCACCCAAACTGGTAATCTGGCTCAACCAGTTCTGCCATCCCACCCAGGAACAGAAGACACCAACAGCAACAAAAATTTACTTTGACCCCCTATGATTCCATCAACAATTGACGCTACCCACTTCCCAAGCACCTATCCACCGAATTATCTTTAAAACTCTGATCCCCAAATGTTCAGGGAGAATGATTTGAATAATAATAAAACTCTGGTCTTCTGCACAGCTGGCTCTGCATGAAAAACTCTTTCTCCATTGTAGTTCCCCTTTCTTGATAAATCAGCTCTGTCTAGGCAGTGGGCAAGGTGAACCCCTTGAGTGTTTACAAAACCACTGCTCTAGAATTGCTTATTCATCTTTTTACCATTAGAAGGAATGATGTTTTCCAGCATAGACTGACATAAACCAGTCCCCAATTAGAGGGATTTTTAGAGATTTAATCCTTGATTAGACTGGCTAAGATCAGATTGCCTTTCTCAGAACATGGAGTCTAGTCTAGTCTTGCACTACTAAGAAGTCCAGTCTTGTCCTACTGGCTCCAGTTTATCAAGCTGGGTAGAAACATAATCATGCTGGACCAATCATATTTGATTGATAAGACATTTGGAATTGGAATTCAGAGACTCTGGTTAGACTCTGGCAGTGCTTGTTGGAAAGCATTGGTCTTAATATGCAAAAAAACTGAAAAGGGCAGCAAAATGGTTTTCATTAAACCATGGGTTCTTTGTCCTGCTTTTCTAAAGTTAGAGAAAGTAATCCTAAGAGTTTTGGAGGTATCTACATTTTTAGTAAAATCTCCAAGTTTTTACATAGGCAGAATATGCTAATCAAGAAATGGGTCCATTTCTACCTATAAACCGTGACTCATGACACTCAAAATGGTTAATGTTAATCTATGAGAGAGAAGTATGGTCACTAAAATGACAAATCAGAGTTATATTTTTGTTTGTGTTCCCAAGGGCAATGTATTTAAGAAGGGTCTTTTGCTTTCAGTTGGCACTCACAACTGGAAGTGCCCATTCAAAATCAAATCTCTTTTTATTTACAAATGATTATTAATGGTATAAAAAAGGCAGATAGAACCCCCTATTGAAGAGAGAAGTCCTCAAAAACTCACTTGAGAGTTTTTAAACTTTATTATGCTCAATATCTATGGACATGGAAGTTCAATTAAATATGGTCTATGAATTTGATAATTATTCAGATCATTTGCCCTGCTCTCTGATATATGTCTCTGGCAGCAAAGCATAGATATAGTAGCATAGCATACATGTATTTATCTGATAGCCTAGATATATTAATAGTATGTATAATATATAATACATCTATGCAGGAAAATAGATAGTATATATTTCTAAATCTTTTCTATCAAAGATATAAGAATAGAATATTTTAGTATTCTCTTTATTCTTAAAATATTATTTGGGAAGTCTCTAGGGTAAAGCAACAAAAGATGAAAACATGCTATCCTTCTATTTTAGGGAATAGCAAATTAAGTTGCCATAAGAAACTCTCTTGGCCGGGTGCGGTGGCTCATGCCTGTAATCTCAGCACTTTGGGAGGCTGAGGCGGGCAGATCAGCTGAGGTCAGGAGTTGGAGACCAACCTGGCCAACAGGGTGAAACCCTGTCTCTACTAAAAATACAAAAATTAGCCTGGTGTGGTGGTGCATGCCTGTAATCCCAGCTACTCAAGAGGCTGAGGCACGAGAATCGCTTGAACCCGAGAGGAGGTGGAGGTTTCAGTGAGCCAAGATTGCATCACTGCACTCCAGCCTGGGTGACAGAGCGAGACTCTGTCTCAAAAAAAAAAAAAAAAAGCTTTCTGGTGCAGAAAGCTCTCTGGTGCAGCCAGATTTAACTGATTTAAACAAATGGATTCAAACAATTCAGTGTGTACAATGATGAAAATAAAGATGTCCCAATATTGTTTTCTTCTTCAAATATAATAAAGGATACTGTCCTCCCCACCAAGATAACTTTTAAAAACATAATATTTGAAGAAACACAGCCTGGTTGCAGGTTAGTACAACTCACCAGTGGAATACAAGAAGGTTAATGAAAATAATTAAAGAAGAAATGGGAGCGGCAAAGGGGAATTCTACTGGGAAAAGAGGCTTGTTGGGTATCCTGGAGGAACCTGGAGGTTCTGAGTGTGGGGCTGATGATTGCCAATCCATTCAATCACATCTTAATCCGCCACTGCTGGGTTGGACCTAGAGCAACATAGATTTTTCTGTACCCCCTGCCAAGAGTCTAATAATCCACATCCTTTCTTTTGAAGGGTAGAAATCTCAATAGGATTGAAAACAAGTCACGGAAAAGGTGCCAGCGGGGGGCTTGTTTCATTATGATAACAAACCAGCTCCTGCTCAAAGAGAAATCGCACTGAATTCCTTGCTGTCTTGTCCTAGTTGATTCCTTTTTTATCCTAAATATTTACCTTAATCCCTTTAAACTGAGGCCCTCCCGAAGGAATAGTTGCACTTCTTCCTGTATCTGGAGACTACTCTCTTTTGTGGGATTCCTTTAGTTGTTGCTATGAGTTTTCTATCCTCTGTAGAGAGGTTTTAGTTGCTTCTTCACTTTCTGGCTCTACATCTTATTTTCATACTAAACTGTTAACCTGAATTTACTTTTCTTTTTTGTGTGTGTGCCTTTTTCAAGCCCCTAATATGGAATCCTACAGGTATAGACAGTCTTAAATAGCTAAGTAGGGCATATATCTATTCCAGTTAGTTATTGATATAGATTGTGGTCAGACCTAGAGAGAGAAAAATATTCATACTGGGCCCTCTGCTTATACCAACGTTGATTCAGCCACAGTCTTAGCTCTTGTCATCCTGGTATCAATCAAATAGCAACTGACTCTAGGAGATTTGAAAATATAGCATTCCTGAGAAGACTCTGCCAAGACCAGGTTGCCTTTCTCTGAAGATGGAGAGGATTGTGGTCTTGACCCATGGGACCCAGTTTATTAAGCTGGATAGATAACTGACCCAGGCTGGACCAATCAGACTTGATGAGAAGACATTTGGAATTGGAACTGAGAGATGCTAGTTAGGCTCTGGTAGTGTTTGAACTGAGACAGGAGACTGCCCCTGTAGACAGCTGTGTTCTGTGCCTGGGAAAGAGACCTGATGAGAGGACTGATCTGAAGGGGAAAAGAATGCTAATAGCCAGAGATTAGGCATAAGAATCCAGGCACCCCTGATAGGCATGAAAGGAGTAATGATGCGAGATTTTCCTCAGCCACTTTACCAGCTCCACACCTCTGGCTGACAACACCCTGCCCAGGTCTTTCTCATCCCAGGCATGCTGCAAGAGTTGTCTTGTCTACTCAGCCCACTGAGCCATGCCTGGCTTGCACTCCAGCACATATCCCGTGGCTGCTGTAACTGTGTGCTCAGTCCCTGAGGGGAGGGGGTTTGTGAGTGAGCCAGTGTGGGGTCTGGCCAGCCATTCGAAGTGTGGGCACAGGAGCAGGCTCTGTGTGTGGCTTGCAGATGGACCAGGCATGTTGCAAGCAACAACTCCTATGGTGGACTCTGGTGTCCAGACAAGGGGAATGCAGTGGTGCTCAGGGAGAGGTGCCCATGACCTTGAAGCGCCAGAGGGGCTGTTACAGTGTGCTAACTAGCTCTTTTATTCCTGTTGCCCTGCTCCGGCCTGCAGCTCCGGGGCTGGCTCAGTCCCACTGCTATTTCCTGTCACATGGGGTGCCTGCCCTACACTGGAGGAGGGCAGAGGGCCACGGTATTACAGCCTTCTTTGTGCTGTGTTTGGTGGGTCCTGAGTTCTTGTCCTGCATCCAAGAAGAATGAGGTTATGCTGACAATCAAAGGGTAAGGAGGGTGGAGAATAATTGTATTGGGCAACGAAACAGCTTTCATCAGAGAAAGGACGTGAGGATGGTCCCCCACCCAAAGAATATTTAACCTCTCCCATTGTGGCTGGGTCTGGTGCTTTTATGGGCTCAGAATGGGAGGGGGTAGGTGCTGATTGGTTTGTGAGTATGCAAAAAAAAAGGCTAAAACCAAGGTACCACCCAAGGGTGGGCACGACAGTGTCAAAAACAAATTAGGGAAGAGTAGGCATATCTAAAATATGTGAAGGGTGGAGATCAATCAGAGGAAAGCACACCAAATAGGAAGACAGGCTCAAAATCCAGTCCATGGATTTGCCTGGGACTTGTAGCTAGGCTTTAAACTGTCTTTGGCTTGAAGGTCATGTTTCACCTGACACCTGCTCTTGTCTGCTTAGGATTTGTCTGCCTCCTGCCACTATCAGTAAGTTAAAACCTTGTAGTTCCAGTTTATAGTACTAGTTCTGGAGTGGTCCCCCATACTTGCTTACCTAGGGATCTGTGAGATAGCCCCATGTCTCTATCATAAATCTATCTTTTTAATTACACTTGCTTAATTGGGATTCTATTATGGGAAACACAAAGACCTCTGAAAAAGACAATTGGTTTCACGATGGTCATAGAATCCTGCTATCTCTTAGCTTGACTAGATTATAGATATTTAATTAGACTCACTCATTTTACACATGACAAAACTGAGGCCTGTAAGTAATGTATTCATGGTTGTAAAAGATAATTAATGGCAAAACTGAGACTAGAAACACAGATGAGTGGTAAGAAGGGCTGGCAATCTCCAACACAAACAGAAAAGCATAATTAGGGACAGAGTACTGGAACCAAAGTCAGAGCATATGGAATGTTAGTCCTTTCTTAAAGACTCACTAGCTGTGTAACCTTGAGTATGTTTTTGGAGCTTTGGATTTGTATCTATTAATGAGAAGTTTGGGGCATATGTTCTATCTGATCCTCTCTGACTCTAAAATGATATGATTCTAAGCAGTGCCTCCAAACACAAAGTGAACTGGGTATTGGGAATAATTATCTAGAAAATGTGAATATGGTTGTTTGAGGAAGAAATAAAGCAGTTCACGCAGGTTGAGTGTCCAAGTGTTAAACTGAAAATGCTATTTTACAGCTAAAAGTTTCCTATTGAAGTCAGTCAGGGAGTCCCCAAAGTGGTAGGTTTACTTTGTGAGTTTTTCATATCAATTCAAGGCGTAAACTGATTATGTGTGTAAACAGTGAGTTTGTCTTGAGAAGCTGTCTGGAAAGTATCCAGAATCAGACAGATGCCACAATGGCATTTCTTCTTTCAGCTAGTAGGACTATTGGTGAAAGGTTAACAGTAAATCATTTGGCCTCCTGGATATTTGAAGAAATAGAATGAACTGAAATAAATCTCTCTCCCCAAACTTCTCTTTCCCACCTCCCACCTCTCAGCTAATCATATTATGCTTGTTGAATGAGTGAATGTGAATATGAGAGATTTTTTTTTTTACTTCCACTCATAAAGGATATAGAACAAAGAGATTACCAATGAAGTGAGAAGTTTTCATCTCCAAAATTTTAAGCTCTTGAGAACACACATAATATACACTCATCAGCATATATACATGGGACCTTGAACAGCATAAAATTCCCCCCGTAAGATACACAATACAACTACCAATTCCCTCTGCTGGCATATATAGGGATAACTTTCCAGTAGGCCACATCTGTATTTGAGTTCCTTTATCTGCCCCTTCCTGAGGCCTTTCTCAGCCAGTGATGAAGCTCTAATTACCAAATTCAGTAACCTTTCCTAGGTCTCTTTTTCAGGTATCACTTTTGCTGATTTGACACATTTGCCATTTTTTCTTCTTGGAACTCTCTTTTTTTTTTTTTTTTTTTTTGAGATGGAGCCTTGCTCTGTCACCCAGGCTGGATTGCAGTGGTACAATCTTGGCTCACTGCAAACCTCCGCCTCCTGTGCTCAAGCAATTCTCCTGCCTCAGCCTCCCGAGTAGCTGGGACCACAGGCACATGCCACCACACCTAACTGATGTTTGTATTTTTAGTAGAGATGGGGTTTCATCATGTTGGTCAGGCTAGGCTTGAACTTCTGACCTCACCCACCTCGGCCTCCCAAAGTGCTGGGATTACAGGTGTGAGCCACCACACTCAGCCTCTTCTTGGAACTCTTTTTCCCTCAGTTTGTACGTCATTGCAATTCCTTGATTCAGTTAATCCTGACTACCCTTCCTGTCTTCATCAATTCTTCTTCCAATTCTCACCTTCTAGATGTGGCCATTCCTAAAAGTTTGCCCTTGCCTCTTTTCCCTCAAATCCAACTAAGCTCTTTGGTTGTTTCATCAACTCCTGGTATAGTTAACTTTAAACGATCATTCAGTGATGTGAGGAGGAGGAGGAGGCTGGGGGTGCATAGAAAAAGTAATGGTGAAAGAAATTTTGGAGGCAGAATATTTAACCTTGGTTTGATGTGGGGTATCTGATATGGAGAAATTGATGTAAATCCAACTTTAATATTCCCTACACCATCTTGAATAAAGACAAAGATTACTCAATAGTCCATATATGTGAATGTATGCTTTTTGTTTGTTTGCTTTTATTTTTGCAATTGAATAATTTTAAGTTTTAGCATCTGGGTAAATACAGTGTGGTCCTGATAGTACGTGTGGAAACCAAAGACTGGAAAAAGAGTGGATATTTATACATTAAGTCCTGAAGAATTTTCACACATCTTTTAGAGGCTTTAGATTTCCCCAGGAAGTACAAAAATACGTGTTGTTTGGGTAAAATCTACCTAGCTGTAAATGGCAAGGAATTCAAGTGACATCTAAATTATACTATAACTATTTACAGGTATAAACCTAAACTCATTATCCTTTCTCCACCTCTGGAATGTTTCTCCTCCAGGATTATAAATTTCTCTCAGTAGTTTCATTCATTTCCCCTCATCTAACAGTGATTCACAAACTGATTGCAGTTGTGAATGGAGCTAAGGCAGCTCAAAATCAACAGTAGGTGAGGCTTGAACCTGGTCAAATTTGGGCTAGATTGTTCCCTTACAGATGTAAATCTAGATGTAGATGTAAGAAAATCAAAGGTGGATAATCAAGAAATGAAATATAGATGACAGGAGTGAAGCTGGACAAATCAGTAAGTAAAGAAGTAAAGATAAAACTCAGAATTAAAAATAAAGCAAAAATCTGTTATCTCCAAATCTAAGTGAAATTGTCAACTTAGGTACTGCTCTAGTTGGTTTTTAATTCCTGTCATTCTGTATATGTTTCCACCCCATAGAGTTCCCTGTACATATTCATAGTAGCATTGATCACTGCATGAAATTTGTATTTCACTTTTCCTTCTTTCCTTCTCCTTTGCCCTTGACTTTTGTATCCAGTTGAGTCTTCCTTCACCAGTTCTCTCAGTTCTCTTCTTTTCACTTCTTCTACAAGGCCTTTGTTCAGGTGCTGACCACCTTATTTTTAAAAGTTTGAAATAAATCTTCTGTGTTCTTTGTTCTCACTCTAGATATCCCGTCATGGACACTTCACAATTCACATTGTTACAAAGGCTTGTTCATGGCACTTACCTGCTCAAAAATATTTAGAAATTCCTTATTGACTGTGGCTAAAAACATCCAATCTCATTCTTTAAGGCCTTAAAAAATCTTCCTCTACTTGGCTTTAAGTCTTAGCTTCTATTATCCTCTATATATTCTACCTTAAAAAATGTGTCTTCTTTTTTTCATTTCTCAAATATGTCTTGTTTTTACACACATTCTTCTTTCTTGAAGTTTCCTCCCTATTATATCTAGTTGTAGAAATCTTAACAATTTTTGAAGATTCAATTGAAACAAGGTTTGTATTCATTCTACAAATTCTTTTTTAATGCTTACCAAATTCCAGACTAAGTGCAGCATGCTGAGAAAACAAATGTATGGCATTTTCCCTACTAAAATAGAAATATATGATTCCTTAGAATATGCTAACATGTAATATGATTATATTACACAATATAACATATATTATGTGTTGGTATATTACATAATATGTATATTATATATTACATATATAACATATGTATATTATAAGGTAGTTACGTACTATAATATATATTATATTACAGTAAGAAACTATAGTATCACACATCTTAATCCAACCTGGGGAAGGCTTTTTGGAAGGGGTTTCTCTTAAGCAGGGTACTGAAGAAGTGTACCAGGAAAAGAACAGCAATTGGGTGTTAGAGATTTTTTTTTCATGAAAAGGAGCAAGTCTATTAAAAACATGAGTGATATGAGTTTACCCAGAATCCCATGAGTATATTAAGCCGGTTGCTCTAGCCAGACATTGTCTTTTTCCTCTTCAAACTATTACTCATACTACGCATAAGATATTTTAAATGTTCTCTGTATATACTGGTTTTGTCCGTTTCTCTCTAATTCTCATGAAAGGCAGAGATTATTTCCTACATCTTCATGCATGTTTCTCTCCCAAGAGTAGCGGTGCACACTTAGTAGATGTTCAATATTCAATAAATAGGAGTTGAACAAATAAAAGCTGGCATAGGCTGGGTATGTGACTCCTCCTTCATGGGTTGGTTTTCCTACTTGTCCCCTACATTGAGGAAAATAAAAACCTGACCATTCTAGGGGCATCGTGTCACTCAAACAAAAGTGGGAAACTGCAAGTAAATGTCATAGAGAGAAAGGTAGTGGGGTTTGATGGATTTTTTTTTACCTAACAGGGGAGCTCAGAATTCTGTTCTGTGGATTTAAGACAAGGGCTTTTTGGTTTTTGAGTGCAGGAAATTGAAAAGTTACGCACAATGGGTTTTCTGACTGGCATCTTGAAAGAGAAGGACATATTCAGGGTTCTTCTAAATGTAGAAATGTTATAATAAAATTTATATTACTGGAATGCTATAATTTTAAAATCTTAAGTTTTAAAGGTTAAAAAATTCATAGAGAAGGCTGACCATGCTACTTACTTCTGCCCCCTTGGCAACTGTTTGGATTACTTGTAACCCATGTGTGGAGAAGTCAGCCCTTAGAGAGCTTGTTACCACGTGTTAGGAAGTGAACTGAGGTCTCCTGATGTAGTGTTGTTAGGTGTCTGACATTTTCTCTTCAAACCAGAAGAATCTAATATGGTGAAAGCCAAAAGAAATAGACATTTTATTGTGTTTACATTTTCCTCAATTCTGCCACCAGCCCTCCTCACCACCACACGACTGATGCCATGAACCCATCATCAACCTGGATCAGCTGCATAAGGTTACTGCCCTGCAGAAGGAGGACAGTGTCACATCACCACCATCAATCATTCTGATTTACTCCTGCAGTCGCTAAATTCTCATGTCTCCGTTCTTTACATCCTCTTTGCTAACATGTCTCTCCAAACTAGCTCCTAACTTTTTACCTAATTTACCTGAACATCTTTTCTCCCAAATCTTCTCAATAGACTATTCCTATATTTCTTAATGATACAACTATTTTCCCAGCTACCTAAACTAGAAAATGTGGAATATGACTTGGACTGCAAGCATACTTTATATCTTTAATATCTGGAAAGTCTAGCCCCTTATTTTCACTTCTGTTTTCCATATTTTAATTGAACTACCTAGTTTTTGCTGAGCTGCATTGCTGTGATACTCTTCTAACTGCTTTTTCTGTCTCTTCTCCATTTTCTCATTTGGAATACTCTTTCCAACTATTCCTTCAGTTGCAGATTGAGTGATAACATTCTGCTACTCTACATCTTTCAATAACTTCCTGTTTATCCACAAACTGCATAAAAGATTCTTCCTTCAGACATTCAAGGTCATTTCTACTAAGTCTTTCGTTTCACTTTCCCAGGCAGTGGAGGAAGTAAGAGCATGGCTTCTGTGGAGAGATATGTGGATTCAAACTGTGTCTGTCTTTTACTTGCTGAGTGATTTGAACAAGTTACTCAACCTGCCAGTCCTTCAATTTCCGCATTTATAAAATAAAGTGACTGGTAATTACCACAGAGACTGGATGATAATTAAATGACTTAGTGCTAAAATTTGAATGTGTCTCCTAAAGTTCATGTGTTGGAAGCTTATTCTCCAATGTAACAGTGTTAAGAGGTGAGACCTTTAAGAAGTGATTAGGTCATGACGGCTTTGCCTTCATGAATGGATTAATGCTATTATTGAGGGAGTATGTTAATTATCGTAGGAAGAGGTTTCTGATAAAAGGAAGGGTTCAGCCATCTTTGCTTTTCTTTCTCATGCAGATTATTTTGCCCTTCTGCCTTCTTCCATGGGAAATACAGCAAGAAAGCCCTCGCCACATGCAGCCCCTCCATGTTGGACTTCCCAGTCTTCAGAACCATGAGCCAAATAAACTTCTATTGTTTATAAATTACTAAGTCTCAGGCATCTTGTTACAGGAGCACAAAATGGACTAAGACATTTAGTAATGTGAAATGCATTGAAGTATGCTTTGTACATGATAAGCACTGATTAAATATTAAAGATCCTTATTAGTATCTTGCATTGTTACCTCTCTTATAATAATTTAAAAGTTATAAAACCAAAAGCCTTCGAACTGTAAAAAGAGACTTTGAGGTCTTCATTTCACTAATAATAAAAGTGAAGTCCAAAAAGATTAAAAAACTTTCTCAGGGCAACACAGCAACTTAATGACAGGTGAGAAACATGACCCTGTTTTCTGACCAGTGTTTTAAGGCTTTCACTGTTCTAGTCACTGATAATTTGTGGTGACCAACACTGAAATCAGTGATTCATTTCACAGATAAAATATAAATTAAAAGTTCATAAGCCTATGAATTGGTAGACTAAAAACCATGGAAACAAACATCTGTGAGTAATAATCTTAGACTATTTTTCTCATATAGAGAGAGAGAGTCTAAGCAACTAATAATCTGACAGCTTCAGGTTTCAATTCTGAAAGCTGAGTATGAAAGCATCCGAGAGTGTATATGCTTTCTTAGAGTAGTATGTTTTTCAATTTCATATAGCAAGTTTTATTGTTGTTTATTTTTAAAGAACATTATCCACATATTTTCTGCTCTACATTTGCAGTTAATCAAGAGTTCACTCTATTGGATTTTTGATTGTTCATTAAAAATCTCTTTTCTGGGGCATAAATTAAGAGCAGTGTATGCAAGTTTGTCAGTTTTACTTGTATCTTATTTGCATTGCAAGTCTAGATACACACTGATCAGCTGCCATCACTTTTTTCCTTCTCTACAAGGCTAAGTCGTCAAGTTATTACCATCTGTTATTCCATGATTCACATTCTCTGAAATTCTCTGATTATATAAGACTTAAGTTTAAGGTACAGTGAACAGCTGAAGGGCCCCATCCTTCCCATTCCAGGTTGCTAGACCATGCAGAATCTAACTGTTCAACTCAAGTTCCCTAAATGCTTGGCATATTACAACATTTGTCTTTATTTTTCATTAAAAAAATCATCAGTGGTAACATTGCTGTTTTTGTCACAATAATATTTGTAACTCTGGCTGGAGTGCAAAATATTATAGTTATAATTTCTTTTAGTCATTCTATTTTTTAAAGGAATAAGAGTCTATGAAAAAGTCAGAATGAAAAGAAAGTCCCAAATGGATGATAGAATAAAATTATAAAAGGTTAAATAGAATAAGCTTTAGCTCCTAAAATACAATAACAAAAATAATACCTTTGCAAATATGTACTGTGTGTAAACTACTTCATCTCCAATCCTTGCAGCAATCCTGCATAAATAAGGATTATCATCATTATTCTAGAAATAAGGCACTCAGGCTGAAGTATTAGTGGTTTGCAAGGACATAGAGCCAGTATTTGCCAAAATATCATTTTTTTTCCACAGGTTTGCCTAAGTCCAAATTTTGTTCTCTCTCCATCATTGCATACAGCATCCATAGCTCATTTCCTTTCAAAAAAAAAAAAAAAAAAAAAAGAAGCAAACAAAAAAAAAACCTTAGACAAAATGTTTCTCTCAAGTTGGGTTCTGGGTTAGGAACATGATGCCTATATGCATTCCTTTCTACCATTTGCATCATTACACAAACCTTTTAAAATCTTTTTCTTTTTAAGTCAAACTTCCCTTTCTTTATTTTTAGATGATGTACAGTTTCAAATTTAAAAAACTATAACAACAACAAAACTCAAAACTTTGCAGGAAGGAAACTTTGAAGTTTTAATGATTTGGTGAGCATGTGGCAAGATAAACCTCCCCAGGCTATGAGAGGTTATTACAAAAAGGGACAAATAATCTTTAAAAATTATGAACACAAGTCATACCCCTAAAGGTAACATAAAATATTGCATTAAGTGGATTTTGCAGTAGAGGAAAGCTGAAAAATAATAGGAATTGGAGTAATCCACAGGAAATGAAACTATCCACGTACTGAAACAAGGATAACTAGCCTTAAAACTACAGTCTTGATTCCAGGTGTTCAAACCCTATGTCTGTATAATCATTATGAATAAGATTCTTCAACCTCTGAAATAAATTAATAAATACATTTAAAAGCAACTTTAAATTAATTTTTGATTAATAAAAAAATAGTGCCAGGAATGAAGAAATAAGAGAAGAATTGACACTCCGCCTTGTGACTGACATTGGATTTAGTAAAACATATTACAAAACTTTGTATAATGAAACCAGGCCACCTTTAGTGTTTAGAGTTCAGGGTCAAGATTTTGACAGCATAAAATTATGCGGCAACAATCCAACTTGTGTAAATCAGATTTCTTTTTCATAATCAGATATTTTCATCCATGCCTTTCGGGATCAGAAGAGTTTCGTGGCACACTCAGGAAATGACATCAACTGTAATTAGCGGCAAGGGGTCTTCAACTAAAGAAAGAAAACGTTCAAATCCAAAAAATAACAACAGTGGCTAATGGAGAATGAATGATTCCAAAAGTCAGAAAAATGAAGGCAAAGCTCATATTTTTGATCCTTAGAGAAAATATGGAAAAAATGAAAATAATGTCCAGCCTGCTGTAAGAAGATTCTGTTTGGCTAGAAAGTGACCAAGATGAACTTAAAAGACACATCAACAATTTATGGTAGAAGAAATAACAACCTTAGTTCATCTAGGTCTGAAAATCCTTTTCCTGTGAATATCTATGTTGAAAAAGTTTTTTAAAAAGCATTTCCTGGGGTGGGCACGGTGACTCACGTCTGTAATCCCAGCACTTTGGGAGGCTGAGGTGGGTGGATTACTTGAGGCCAGGAGTTCTACACCAGCCTGGGGAACATAGTGAAACCCCATCTCTACTAAAAGTACAAACATTAACTGGGTGTGGTGGCATGTGCCTGTAATCCCAGCTACTCAGTAGGCTGAGGCACTACAATCAATAATTGCTTGAACCCGGGAGGCAGAGGTTACAGTGAGCGGAGATTTCATCACTGCACTCCAGCCTGGGTGACAGAGCAAGACTCTGTCACCTAAAAAAAAGTTTTTTGTTTTTTTTTTTTTGAGACAGAGTCTTGCTCTGTTGCTCAGGCTGGTGTGCAGTGGTTCAAGAAATTCTCCTGACTCAGCCTCCGGAGTAGCTGGGATTACAGGCACCCACCACCACGCCCAGCTAATTTTTGTATTTTTAGCAGAGATGGGGTTTCACCATGTGGCCAATCTTGTCTTGAACTCCTGACCTCAAGCAGTCTGCCTACCTCAGCCTCCCAAAGTCCTGGGATTACAGGCATGAGCCACCACACTCAGCCAAAAAAAACATTTGTTTTCAGCTTTTTCTTATCTCATATATAAGGATGCAGATTATTAATCATTTTTATATCTCTTTCCCCCACCACACTAGAATCAAGTCTTCCTGGAATCTATACTCTGAATCTCATAACCACTTTCCTACTCTAGAACCTCACTCTTTCCTGAGCTTAGCATAGTGCCCAGTGACAGAGTGTGTGCTGCACAAATATGGACTGAATTAATGAATGATGGTGTCTGTCCATAATGTGTCTGTCACAGTCTATCTTGTGTCTGTCACTGTTCTAGGAATTGAGACCAATGAGAAAGATAGTCACTGGCTTCAAAGACATCCACCCGGGAGACAGAAAAAGAAACCACAAAATACAATGCAATAAGCAATTTGTTTTTCATTTTTTTCCTTCTCTTTTCTTACAATGCAATAAGCAATTTGATAGTTATTCACAGGGTGCTCTTAAAGTAGGAAATTCAAGTAACCCAACTTAAAGAGGGGAATTTAGAATAATTTCTCTGTGTTTGAGTGGAGTCTTAAAGGATATGTAGATGTTAACAGAAGAAAAGAAAAGAAATAGGTGAGAGGTCTTTTAGGTGGAGGTGAGACTCATCAGAGTATTTTTTTATGCCTAGAACATAAATACATGTTGAATGGCCAGAGATAAGCTAGAAAAGTGGTCAGTGGTTAGACCATGAAAGAACTTACATGCCAACCAAAAAAAAAAAAAAAAAAAGTTTATCTTCTTTTTCTCAATATAATTGGCAAAAAAAAAAATTGGATGATAACCAGATTCACATCATATATAGGTCATCCTCACAGCAGTTTGTGGTATATGAGTTCAAGACTTGAGAGAGGGAGACTTTTGAAATGACCTAAGGAAAAAAATTATGTGAATTTTCTAAACCAAGGACCAAGGTCAGGGCAAAAGGGAAAGGAAGAGTGCTATATTATTCTCCTATAAAGAACATGGAGTCTTTATATTATCAGTTATTGAGATTTGGGGGCTAGGGCTGGTTTGTTATTTGGCTCAAACTAGCACATCCTAAATGCTTCAGAAATTGATATGAGGAGTGGGGTGATACTGAACAAATAAAATATTAAATTGTGTGGTATTAGCTTAAGGTGGGGAGCTGTTTGTAGCTTTCAAGGAAACTGATATTTGAGGCTGAAAGAAAGGCAACCCATATTATAGAAGTTGTTTAAGACAGTTGCTTTGGATAGCAAAGAAGGAATATATAATACCTAAGAAGTTTGTAGCTCAGGGAAGGAATTGGATATTAGAATGTTAGTATAATACATGGACTGCTTTTGGTGGCCTTTGACAAGATAACATAGAAAAGAGGTAAGATTAAAAAATAGGCCAGGCATGGTGGCTCACGCCTGTAATCACAGCACTTTGGGAGGCCGAGGCAGGCAGATCACGAGGTCAAGAGATCGAGACCATCCTGGCCAACGTGGTGAAACCCTGTCTCTACTAAAAATACAAAAATTATCTGGGCATGGTGGCGCATGCCTATAATCCCAGCTACTTGAGAGGCTGAGGCAGGAGAATCGCTTGAACCCAGCAGGTGGAGGTTGCAGTGAGCTGGGATCATGCCACTGCACTCCAGCCTGGGCGGCAGAGGAAGACTCCATCTCAAAAAATAAAAAATAAAAAAAACTGGTCAGTTTGCAAACAGGACTGAAAGAGTATGTAGTCCAGAAACTAGAAGAGACAAGTCTTTCTAAATCCTAAAAAGTAACACCTAAAATTGCAATGTTTTAAGCTACAAAAACTTATTAAAACAATGTAGAAACAATAAAATCATTGACATGGCTTTCATATCTATTGTTAAAACTTCTGTAGTGATTAAGAACTGCCCAATAAATCTTTTTGGTTCAAAGAACAATGGTTCAGGGAAAGGAATATAAGGATATGGCTCTACCACTGAAACCATATGGCTTCCAGATATGTGCAACTAAGTCAAGAGAAAAAGAGACAAATGTCTTAAAAAGAGATTTTTTTTTGGTGCAGCTGTCAGCATATGGAGCTGTTGAACAAAAGGAAAGACACCAATTAAGAAGAAACCAGGACTTTGATTAACAGATTTTGTAATTGCTTGATAGTTAAGATGACCCTCAGGCCTTCAATCTTCTGTGGGCAGGAAGCAGACTAGAGAAGTTGTACGGTTGACAAGATAAATTGAAAAATGTACCAATGCTCACTTTAAAATGGACAGAGAATATAATGGACAAAGATCAGATCTAAGGATCAGGGAGAACTAGGAAACCCTTCCCAGGGGATATAATTTAGACCTAGTCAAGAAGCATCCCCCTACTCTAGGGTAGGGGGCTGTGAATACTGTGTGTCTTTTGCTCTTTACCTTTCTGAATGGTAGCGTTTATTACAGTTACTTTGTTCCAGTTCCACAATTTCACATTGGTTAAGGAAGAAACAGACAATTTTTTTCATTTATAGTTCTCCAGATAAAGCGAAGGTCCATCTGGATATGAAGGACACACTATTGCACATCACCTCAATATAGAAACTACCATGAATATCCCAGAGCCTGATGCCATGACTGTATGGAATTTTACAGCTTTTTCCCTTGGGGTAAAGATGAACATAATTTTCATGCAGAAAGGAGGATGAACCAAATATTCGTTGACCCAGAAGAGCACACTGTAGTGGATATTGTGCTATTTGCTAAATAGTTCAGGTTCTCTTTTCTTCTGAACACATCCTGGCTCCCATGTGGCTGTATTGGACCATGGGACTAGGCCTGGTCAAATAGTTGTGATTAAAGCGTGATATATCATTTTTAGACTGGAAACTCTTCTGAACACATATTTGGCCTCTGGCTCAGTAAATAAGAATGTTCAAGATGATGTTTATTTTGTCAGCCTGGATCCCAGAGTGAAGAAATATAGAGCAGAGTCCCCAGTCATGATGGAATTTTAGCATGAATGTGAAATAAAGCTTTATTTTTCTAACCTCCTCCAATGTGCAGATCCTTTGATATGTCAGCGTAATTTATCCTATCAACCTTGGTAGATGCTGGGTCACCAATACATACACTGAATGCTGCTCTTTTATTAAGCATATAGAAGAGAACCAAAGCATGTCTATTTAAATGAATGAATGATCACACACACTTGTTCTAACATTTACTTTAGGGTTTGATATTTTCCGTGCAATTATGTTCAGAATTAGAGTATTTTACAGTGAATCTTAAATTTAGTTTTGGTAACTCCTTTTTAAAAATACAAATTGACCAGTCAACTTTTAAAGTAATATTTGACACAATGCTGTCTGTGTGAATACATTTTTATCCTCTATTTTTCTTCTCTCCATTTTCTAGTATACGTGATTGATGAAACCAATGGTACATCTGGAACACTGGCTGAAATGAAGAATGGAAAATGTTAGCTTTCCAGGCCTCCTCAGGCCAGGAAGGCATACTGGAGAGATACGGCAGCAGAGTCACACAAGCAAGGCAGCTGGATTTGTGACAATGAGAGAAGCGCGGGGTCAAAGAACATAGAGTGTTTTGAGAACAGTGTCTCCAGATGAGAGGGAAGAGAACTGGTAAGGGATGAGAATGGTGATGTCACAGGGCCACATTAGGGGCTAAAGAGCTTCATATTGCTCTAGAATGCAATGGAAGCCACTGAAGAACTTTGAGAGGGGGTGGAGAGGTGTGGCATGTTTCAGATTTGTTGGAAAGATCCTGCTTTTACATTTTGCATATGCAGTACCACTTCTACCTTCCATGCCCCACCTCCTCAGTTCTATTTCGCATTATTATCTAAATAGAAACCTTCTGGAGAAGACAGAAAAGGCATTTGCCCTGAATCTGTTTCTTCGGATATAATATCCATTACAAATGCTACTGAAAGTCTTGATCTGGTAGCTCTAACTTGATTCAAAATCATCGTTCAACAACTTGAGCTTTTAGTATTTCCTCTAATTTTTTCAGAAAGGAAAGCACCTCAGCTATCTGCAGCACAACTATGAAGGCAAACTTCGTTATTTTGTATAGTTGTGACATTCTAACATTGTAAAGACAAGTTTACAGAAAAAAAAATGGGTCCAGTATGAACCAAAAAATGGGTTCAGGGCCCAAGATATCTCAATAATGTGCTGCTTCTTCATTATGTTAAAATGGGGATGCAGAGGCCAGGAGCGGTGGCTCACCCCTGTAATCCCAGCCTGACCAACATGGTGAAACCCCGTCTCTACTAAAACTACAAAAACAAAACAAAAAAAAAAATTAGCCTGGCGTGGTAGTGCTTGCCTGCAATCCTAGCTACTCAGGAGGCTGAGGCAGGAGAATAGCTTGAATCCGGGAGGCAGAGGTTGCAGTGAGCCAAGATTGTGCCACTGTATTCTAGCCTGGGTGACAGAGCAAGACTCTGTCTCAAAAGAAAAAAGAAATGGGGATGAAGAATATTACAAACTCATTGCAAGTCCTACATTTTTTGGACTGATTTGTTATGGGTCTTCCAGAAATTTCAAATTCAAGATGGTGGTTTGTTTCCTAAAAAAACATAAAACTTGCCAAAAGCCTCTTCTACATGCCAAATCAATTTGACAATGCATTTCAAAAGCAATTGGTAGAATCTAGGCTATGCCATCTGAAGATTTGCTCAGGGAAATGAAATTTAAGTAGAATGTCATCAATTAATTTAGGTTCTTGGCATATGGAAACTTTGGCTTGGTACCTTTTCTACCCAAACTCAAACAAAATGAAGTAGAATACTTATGGCTTACCTGTATACAATGGTATAAAGAAAGAAAGAAAGAAAATATTGACATTGCATGGTGTTAGATAATACTAATATGTTACCAATATATCATATCTGAATGTTACTGTGTCAGAATGAATATGAAGCATAGTGAGTTTGGGGCAGCCTGGAAGAATGGATATTTGGGGAGCTGAACCATTTGGGGTGGAGAAGATTATGCATATGCTATTGTCAAGTAAGCCTGTTCATTGATAAGAATGCCTAATCTCTACAAACTGGTATCTGGAGGATTCTTATTATGAATTAACTGAATATTGAGCTGCTGGGTGAGATCCAGAAAGACCCATTGATGACCTAAGCTTTCATATCCAGTGCAAGGATTAGAGCCGTACTTTGGGCTTCTGCCATAAATCTCAGGACCCTGGACTCCAAGAAAAGATTTGCGTTTGATTATTGACTCTGCTTGTATCATTAGTATATAAACCTGAGCAAAACTTCAACCCGGCAGGACTCTAAGATATCAATCTGGAATCTTTTTATTCTCTCTCAGCCTTTCTCCGTTCTTTCTAGTCCATATTTTGAGTAGGAGCTAGGAAAAAGGGGGAAAAAAGTGCTCTCAGCAGGAGTTGGCACGGTGAGGAGGAGCAAATCATCTTTTCTTCCAGTGATTAAAGCCCTGACCTTAGGCAAGTATCCTGGACATATTGTCTTTTCTCTTTTAGACTGACATAACCAGTGCTCGGCACCAGAGTAGCTTCTGAAATTGAATACGACTCTTTCTACTCCACTTAATACTGTCAGTACAGCAGTTCAGGTCTGGCTGTCCCTTGCACAGTTGCTGGCCCGATTAGTGCAGCACAGTGTAAAGATTACAAGTCCCTGTTCTGCTCCAAGTGTCAGTGATTTAATCAGCCCCTTCAGGTGAAATGCAAAGCCACAAATTCAGTGGCAGAAGGTGGTGGTGGTGTGAATATACCCATTGATTTCCACTTACAAAAACAGTTTTCTTTGGAGAGTGACTCTTTAATTACCCTTTGCTGGCGTCTGGTAGGCCAGTTTCCTCATGACAGATTAAATTTACCACATTCTGTTTTGATACCAAGTGAAAATTTCCGAGTCATTCTGATTATCTTTCTCCTTCTTTCTGCTGTGACCCTTCATTACCTCCTGTGGCCTTTCCTTCTGTTCTGTTCGCAGGTGCTTTAACTTTCTTTTCCTACAATTTTCAATTATACACCCACTCTGTTTTGTCCTTCTTTTTCTTTTTTTACTGATAGAGAGATACAGATGTTGCCCTGTAATTTCTCCTAACAGCTTGAAAGGACAAAAATAGACAAGCTCATTGAAATAATTTCTTTGAAAAATATTTAAAGTTTACAAATCCCAACACTCTATCCTAGTACAACTTTTAAGATAATAAAAATTAAAGTTGGGACTGAAATGTTGGGTAGCTGAAGAATAACTTAATACCCAATTATGTGAAGAAAGAAGAACTTTAGAAAATTATGTTTTATGAATAGTAAATAAACTGCAGGCTGAGAGACTAGCACCTCTGTGTTTACTCTCTCTACCTCATTTCCAGTTTCTTTGTCCATTTGTATTAACAGAGCACAAAGCAACTTCATCTTACTTCTGGCTGTGCTCCAGGTAGAATTTGGAGAGGTCATTAAATCTTTCTGGCCTCGGTTTCCTAATTTATAAAATGAGAAAGTTGGGGTAAATCATTTCTGCCATGTCTCTCAGCAGAAGCATTCTGTAATTCTATGAAATATTTGAGAGTGAAAGGATATTTTAACCACAGACATAGCTTGTCTCAAGAAGCCCTCGGTGGGCCATGGCGTGGAAGGTTCTGATATGATCCAGCTTTGATGTCAAAGTGGTTTTTTTTTTTTCCATTTACAACAGATCAACAGTGGTAAAGGCATGTGAGGTTTCAATAATACTTTTTCTTTCTTGAATTTAGTAAACTATATGCTAAATAACTCTTGGATTGTTTCTTGTTTCACTCCACTTTCATGCAAAAGCAAGCTCATAGTAAATTTCCCATTATTTGACTTGTTCTTGCAGTAATTTATCACATTGGGGAAAATGCCATCTAACCTCAACAAATTAAAGCCAAATTTGATTTAATCATTTTCACTTTAACAGAAGCCATTAGCAAGGCAGGATTAAGAATAAATTCTCTGTTTTGATTATTTGTGTTGAAAACATTTATTGGATTCCTTACCAAATTACTCTTTACATTCTCTTGCTGCTCTGGCCCTGATTTGTTTATTAATGATTGAGGTCACTGCCCGATTTATGAACAAAAGCATCTGTCATATTTACAATACTGCTCATAAAAATTCCTGGTATTTGTTGCATTGCAATGAAAGCACTGATGGTGATTAGTGTTAAGCAAGACTCTAAATATTTATAAATTGATACATAAAAGTATCCAAAGTGTGGATTCTGTAAAATGTGAGCTTTGTAACCATAGTAGTTATGTTTTTCACAATAACTATTATCTGATCCTCAGAATGAACTTGGGGTGTATTGGATTTTGGAATCTATCTAGAGTGGATATTAATACTTAACATTTATTGAACATCTATTTTGTCCCATGCATTGTTCTAAATCTTACAGATGTATTAATGTATTGAATCTTCACAATAATTCCATCAGAAATGTGTTTTATTATTCCTAATATATAAATAAGGAAACTGAGACACAGTTAAGTACAAGGTCAAACGGTCAACAAAAGGAGAGTCAGATTGTTCTGCAGGGCAATGTGGTAGTAGAAAACTCATTCTTGGCTGGGGACAGTGGCTCACACTTGTAATTCCAGCACTTTGGGAGGCCAAGGTGGGCAGATCACGAGGTCAGGAGTTCGAGACCAGCCTGGCCTACATGGTGAAACCCCATCTCTACTAAAGATACAAAAAATTATCCAGGCATGGTGCCGGGTGCCTGTAATCCCAGCTACTCGGGAAGCTGAAGCAGAAGAATCGCTTGAACCCGGGAAGCGGAGGTTGCAGTGAGCCGAGATCACACCAGTGCACTCCAGCCTGTGCGACAGGGTGAGACTCCATCTCAAACAAAACAAAACAAAACAAAACAAAACAAAACAAAACAAAACAAAACAAAACAAAACAAAACTCACTCTTAACCCTTCTACTCCACAGCCTCTGACCTGGATAATAATTGTAGCTACACTATTGTAACTCTTGTCATATGCCAGGAACTCTTCAAATAATTTTACAGATATTACCACACTTAGTCATCACAACAACCCTTTGAGGGAGGTACTATTTTTATACCTTCTCTACAGATAGTGAAGCTGAGGCACAGAAATTTTCACTAACTTGTCCAAGGTCACAGAGCAAGCAATGGAGCCAGAATTGGATGCAGCTAGTTCATCTTCCGGGCCTGTGTTCTTTAAGAGTAATTACTTTAACTTTTCTTAGAATGAAAGTGTTTTATAATTGACTAGTTGTGTGTAATTTTTTAAAGCACTTCACTGGTTCTATTTCTAACATATGCTTTTCTTGGTTTAGTTATCTTGATGATCTTTACTACCCTCATGATAGTAAACATACCTGGAGTGGATTTGTGAGGCTGAATTTTACATTGTGTGTAAAATACCTGGCCCAGTATCCTGACATAGAAACACTGAATAATTATAGTACTTTCTGTTTACTCCCTCTTCTTTTGCATATTAAATATTTATTGCACTAGGTACATAGAAAATAGCTGTATTAGTCCATTCTCACACTGCTATAAAGGACTGCTCGAGACTGGGTAATTCATAAAGGAAAGAGGTTTAATTGACTCAGTTCTGCATACTGAAGAGGCCTCTGGAAACTTACAATCATGGCAGAAAGGGAAGCAAACATGTCCTTCTTCACATGATGGCAGGAAGGAGAAATGCCCAGCAAAAGGGGGGAAAGCCCGTTGTAAAACCATCAGATCTCATGAGAACTCACTCACTATCACAAGAACAGCAGCATAGTGTAACGTCCCACATGATTCAATTACCTCCCATTGGGGCCCTCCCATGACACATGGGTATTATAGGAACTAAAATTCAAGATGAGCTTTATGTGGGGACACAGCCAAACCATATCATTCTGCCCTTGGCCCCTCCCAAATCTCATGTCCTCACATTTCAAAACAGCATCATGCCTTCCCAACAGTCCCCCAAAGTCTTAACTCATTCCAACGTTAGCCCAAAAGTCCCAGTCCAAAGTCTCATCTGAGAAAAGGCAAGACCGCTCTGCCTATTAGCCTGTACAATCAAAAGCAAGTTAGTTACTTCCTAGATACAATGAGGGTGCAGGCACTGAGTAAATACACCATTTCTAAATGGGAGAAATTGGCCAAAACAAAGGGGCTACAGGCCCTGAGGAAGTCTGAAATCCAGTGGGGCAGTCAAATCTTAAAGCTCCAAAATGATATACTTTGACTCCATGTCTCACATCCGGGTCATGCTGATCCATGGCCTTGGGCAGCTCTGCCCCTGTGGCTTTGCAGGGCACAGCCCCACTCTCATCTGTCTTCATGGGCTGGTGTTGAGTATCTGCAGCTTTTCTGGATGCACAGTGCAAGCTGTTGGTGGATCTATTATTCTGGGGTCTGGAGGATGGTGGCCCTCTTCTCACAGCTCCACCAGGTAGTGCCCCAGGAGGGACCCTGTGTGGGGGCTTCAACCCCACTTTCCCATTCTGCATTGCCCTAGCAAAGGTTCTCCATGAGGTCTCTACCCCTGCAGCAAACTTCTGCTTGGACATTCAGGCATTTGCATACATCCTCTGAAACCTAGGTAGAGGTTCCCAAACCTCAATTCTTGACTTCTGTGTACCCATGGGCTGAACACAATGTGAAAGCTGCCAAAACTTGGGACTTGTACCCTCTGAAGTGATGGCCCAAGCTGTACCTTGGCCCACTTTAGCCACAGCTGGGACATAGGGCAACAAGTCCTGAGACTGCACAAAGCAACAAGGCCCTGGGCTTGGCCCACAAAAGCATTTTTCCTCCTAGGCCTCTGGGCCTGTGATGGGAGGGGATGCTGTGAATACCTCTGCCATGTCCTGGAGACATTTTTCCCATTGTCTTAGTAATTAACATTGGCTCCTTGTTACTTATGCAAATTTCTGCAGCCAACTTTAATTTCTCCTTAGAAAATGCGTTTTTCTTTTCCATCATATCATCAGGGTGCCAATTTGCCAAACTTTTATGCTCTGCTTCCCTCCAATTCCAAACAATATCTTTGTGAATACATAAAATTGAATGCTTTTAAGAGCACCAAAGTCACCTCTTGAACCCCGCTGCTTAGAAATTTCTTCTGCCAGATATCCTAAATAGTCTCTCTCAAGTTCAAAGTTCCACAGATCTCTAGGGTAGGGGCAAAATGCCACCAGTCTCTTTGCTAAAACATAGCAAGAGTCCCCTTTTTTCCAGTTCCCAACAAGTTCTTCATCTCTATCTAAGATCACCTCAGCCTGGGCTTCATTGTCTATATCACTACTAGCATTTTGGTCAAAGCCATTCAACAAGTCTCTAGGAAGTTCCAAACTTTCCCACATTTTTGTATCTTCTGAGCTCTCCAAACTGTTTGAAACTCTGCCTGTTACTCAGTTCCAAAGTTGCTTCCACATTTTCAGGTATCTTTACAGCAGCACCCTACTCCTGGTGCCAAATTACTCTATTAGTCTATTCTCATGCTGCTATAAAGGACTGCTCAAGACTGGGTAATTTATAAGGGAAAGAGGTTGAATTGACTCATAGTTTTGCTGGGGAGGCCTCAGGAAACTTACAATCATGGTGGAAGGGGAAGCAAACACGTCCTTCTTCACACGATAACAAGAAGGAGGAATGACGAGCAAAAGGGAAAAAACCCCTTATAAAACCATCAGATCTTGTGAGAATTCACTATGACAAGAACAGCATCATGGGGGTAACCACTCCCATGATTCAATTACCTCCTATGGGGTTCCTCCATGACATGTGGGGATTATGGGAACTACAATTGAAGATGAGATTTTGGTGGGGACACAGCCAAACCATATCAATAATAAATAAATGTTAGTCATTATTAAAATAAGTTAAGTAAATTGATGAAATTTTAGACCTGAATTGAAGCTTCATGATTCTGTGTAATATACACATATTATATTTCCTAGATGACATAATCTTTTCACCATTATTCACCAAGTGAACTTCATTAAGATTCCACTTCAAAATCCTTTCTCTGTGAAGCCTTCGATAGTTGCCACCCATGACTGTTAGATGTTCCATTTTCTGAGCTTCCAAAAACCTTTTCCATTGATCTCACTATAGCATGTATTATCATAATGATTATGACTGAAATGAAAGGAAAATAAAAATCTCAAGACCCCAAACTCACTATGGCAAGGGGAAAAGTCGAGCTTGGGAATTGTGTCACACAAAGTGCCTTTCATTTTGTTCCTGAATAGATAGCTGCAAAGATAGAAGGCTACATACCTCCCTGGGGGTCTTCTTCACAATTTGCTCATAAAGAAATTCATTGTCAGTCTCAAGATCTTTACTCTAAAACTTAGTTCTGTTGAATTTCACCCTGACAATGTAAATTAACAGCTTATCTTTACAGGGACAAGACAAAGACAGGACTAGGAGTCATCCCTCTGCTCACATGAGACAAATGCATAGTTAGCTGCTTCCTCTACTCTATGTTCATTTTCCCTTATATAAAAATTCAGACTCACTAAATGCCAGATGAATGCATAATTGATGAGTCCTCTGCACTCTCCTTTCACATGTAAAATGTGGATTCAGTGAACACTGATCAAAGTTTCAAATTAATGCAACCATTTGCATTTTATCTATCTTTTATCTACCTTCCCTTGTTATTTCTTTCCTCTTTCCCCTACAGCCCACTCTTTCTCCTTTAAATATTGAAGTCTTCAAAACTCTCTTTGGGAAGATCACAATGTTCCTTTTTGGACACATTCTCAATCTTGGCAAAATAAACCTCTAAAATAATTATGACTCCCCTCAGTCATTTTCCTTGATTTATATTCTTTTGGCTTTGTACCTCCTGGAATGTAGGAATTCTGTCTCTCATCCTTGGTAATCTACCATTCACCTTCTTTACTGCACAAATATTAGTCAATAAACATTTGATATATAAATGAATGAACACATATGCAAAAATAAATTGAGTTCAAAATAAAAGCCATCGTGGATGCCATTCAAGAGCTTTTAATAATTAAAGTATAGATTCTAAGTTGGTTTTACCATTAAAGTATTTAACTCTTATGATATGAAGCCTGAAGTGATTTGGTGTTCGTTTCTTCATAGAAGGAACAATAACTTGGGTGATTATCTTCATCACAATTATTTTTCTAACTATAACCCAGATTTCTCAGTGTCTCCTGCTTGATCATCTTTCTGCTACCAACAACTAAATTTGATTTATCCGAGACTCAGTCCTCACACTAAGTCTTCTCCAGTTCCATGGCTTTATTTTATTTTTGAGACTGGGTCTCACTGTGTTGCCCAGGCTGAAGTGCAGTGGTGCAATCACGGCTTACTGCAGCATTAACCTGGGTTCAAGCGATCCTCCCACCCCAGACTCATGAGTAGCTGGGACTACAGGTGTGAGCCAACATGCTGGGCTAATTGTTTTTTAATTTTTAGAAGAAATGAGGTCTCACTATGTTGTTCAGGCTGGACGCAAACTCCTGGGTTCAAGTGATTTACCCTCCTTGGCCTCCCAAAGTGCTGGGTTTACAGGAGTGAGCCACAGCTCCTGGCCTCCTATGGTTTTAAATACCATGTGTACATTGACAACTCTTAATGCATAGTTTTTGTCTGGGCCTTTCCTCTGAATTCCAAAGCATATCTATAGCTGCAACTCAGCATCTCTACTTGGATGCCTAGTGGTTATATCAATCTTAATATTTCCAGTGCTCAGCTCTTGAAGAGATGTGCCTTGTTCACCATCCATTACCCTTTCCTACAGCCATCTGACACCAGATTCCTTCCCCACTTAATAAGTGGCACCTCTACTCATTCAATTGCTTAGGCCAAACATAGAAAATTGTTCTTGACTTTTTTTTCCCCATCCCCAGGTTCCGATGAAGAAATTCTCTTCCATATACCTTCAAAATACATACCACTATCCAAAAGCCACCATCTTCAGTGCTACCACACCAGTCCAAGTCACCATATTCTTATACCTCTGTGTCTCAGTTCATTTTATGTTGCTATAATGTAATGCCCGAGGCTGGGTAATTTTTTTTTTTTAAAAAAAGGTTTATTTGGCTTAAGATTCTGATGGCTGGAAATTCAAGATTAGGCATCTATATCAGATGAGGTCCTCTGGCTGTGTCCACTCATGGCAGAAGGCTAATGGAAGCTGGAAGATCACATGGTGAAAGTGGAAGCAGGAGAGAGAGGGAGGAAGTGTCAGGCTCTTTTTAACAACCAGCTCTCCAGGAAACTAATAAAATGAGGACTCACTCAACTCCATGGGAGGGTATTAATCTATTAATGAGGGATCTGCCTGCATGACCCAAAGCCCTCCTATGAGGCTTCACCTCCTGCATTGGGTATCTAATTTCAATATGAGGTTGGTGCGGACAGATATCTAAACCATAGCACTGGGTCATCCCTTTAACTAGACTTCCTGTTGCTTCTATTGGCCTTTTGAAAATGTCAGTCAAGAATGTCACTTTCTAGCTCAAACTTGGACCTAACTCCTTCCCTATGTGGCTTACATGATCTGAATCCTGCCTCTCTATGACTTCATTGCTACTCCCAGCCTTGCCCACTCTGCTATAGCCACATGGGTCTTCTTGATTTTGCTCAAACATGACATTTGTTTATTTTGCATGGGTTTTCTCATTTTCTTTCTTTCCCCTTGGTATTCACAGGGCTATTTTTTTCATTCCACTCCTTTCTATGCTCAAATATCCTTGCTTTAGAGAAATTATCACAAATTACTCTCTCTCCAAGGCCCTAAGTTTCCCATTCCATCATTTTCAAGTTTTTGCCTTAGCACTAATCACCACTGAATATGACTTTATATATTTATTTTTATATTACCTGTGTTCTACACCAGAAAGTAAGTCTTCCAAGGTCAGGGCTTTCACTCACTTTGATGTGAAGAGACCACCAAACAGGCTTTGTGTGAGCAATAAAGCTTTTTAATCACCTGGGTGCAGGTGGGCTGAGTCCAAAAAGAGAGTCAGCGAAGGGAGATAGGGGTGGGACGCTTTATAGGATTTGGGTAGGTAAAGGAAGATTAGTCAAAGGGAGCTGTTCTTTGGCGGGCAGAGGTGGGGGGGTCACAAGCTGCTCAGTGGGGGAGCTTTTGAGCCAGGATGAGCCAGGAGAAGGAATTTCACACGGTAATGTCATCAGTTAAGGCAGGAACAGGCCATTTTCACTTCTTTTGTGATTCTTCAGTTACTTCAGGCTATCTGGATGTATACGTGCAGGTCACAGAGGATATGATGGCTTAGCTTGGGCTCAGAGGCCTGACATTCCTGTCTTCTTGTATTATTAAGAAAAATACAACAAAATAGTGGTAAAGTGTTGGGGCGGCGAAAATTTTTTGGGAGTGGTATGGAGAGATAATGAACGATGTTTCTCAGGGCTGCTTCCAGCAGGATTAGGGGTGGCGTGGGAACCTAGAGTGGGAGAGATTAAGCTGAAGGAAGATTTTGTGGTAAGGAGTGATATTGTGGGGTTGTTAGAAGAAACATTCATCATATAGAATTATTGGTGATGGCCTGGATACAGTTTCATATGAATTGAGATACTAAACGGAAGACACAAGGTCCAAATAAGAGAAGGAGAAAAACAGGTATTAAATGACTAAGAATTGGGAGGACCCAGGACATCCAATTAAAGAGTGTTCAAGGGGGTTCAGTGTAGCCCTGCCAGCAAGATTATTTATTTACTTTAAGAGTTAAGAGTGGCGGTTTGGGGATAGCACCAGGAGATATCAGCTGTGATGGCTTGAAGAAACAGTGTAAACCAGCAGTGTAAACAAAAGTAGGGCATTTATGAGTAGTTGAGAACGGTGAATAGGAGTATGACTAGATAGAAGATAGTAGGGATGACAAGTTTTTGGGGCACAGTCCGGGTTGGGCTGGTGTCTGGAATGAGATTGGGGCCTAATAAAAGGAGCGTCCATACAGGAGCTCAAATGGGCTGTACCCTGTATCATTCCAAGGACAGGCCAGAATTCTGAGAAGGGAAAGTGGTAAAAGTATTGTCCAGTCCTTTTTAAGTTGGTGGCTGAGCTTGGTGAGGTGTGTTTTTAAGAGACCATTAGTCCATTTTACCTTTCCTGAAGATTGAGGACGGTAAGGGATATAAAGGCTTCACTGAGCACCAAGAGCCTGAAAAACTGCTTGAGTGATTTGACTAATAAAGGCCGGTCTGTTATCGGACTGTATAGAGGTGGGAAGGCCAAACCGAGGAATTATGTCTGACAGAAGGGAAGAAATGACCACAGTGGCCTTCTTAGACCCTGTAGGAAAGGCCTCTACCCATCCCATGAAAGTGTCTACCCAGACCAAGAGGTATTTTAGTTTCCTGACTTGGGGTATGTGAGTAAAGTCAATTTGCCAGTCCTGGGCAGGGGCAAATCCCCTAGCTTGATATGTAGGGAAGGGAGGGGGCCTTAACAATCTGAGGGGTAGTAGAATAGCAGATGGAACACTGAGAAGTGATTTCCTTGAGGATAGATTTCCATGATAGAAAGGAAATGAGAGGTTCTAAGAGGCGGGCTAGCGGCGTGTAACCTACATGGAAGAGGTTATGAAATGATGACAGAATAGAATGGGCCTGTGAGGCTGGAAAGAGATATCTTCCTTGGTCCATTTGTCTTGTGTGGGAAGAGACTGATAGGTGGAAGTTTCAGTGGGGAAGTAGGTGGGATTAGCCAGATGGGAAGGAGAAAAACTGCCGTGAGGGATAGAAGTTGGAACGCTAGCTGATTTTTTAGCTACCTTATCAGCATAAGTATTGTCCTGAGCGATGGGATCTGATGCCTTTTGATGGCTGCTTTTTTAGCTACCTTACCAGTATAAGTGTTGTCCTGAGTGATGGGATCTGATGCCTTTTGATGGCCCTTGCAGTGAATGACTCCAGCTTCCTTTGGAAGTAAAGCAGCTTTGAGAAGAGCTTTTATCAAAGAGGCATTAATGATGGAGGACCCTTGCATAGTGAGGAAATTTCTTTTGCTCATATAAGAGCATGGTGGTGCAGGATATGGAAGACATACTTAGAGTCAGTATAAATATTGACATGTAGTCTCTTTGCAAGAGTGAGGGCCTGAGTTAAGGCAATGAGTTTGGCTTGCAGAGAGGTAGTGGAGGGGGGCAGAAAGTATAAGCATCAAGTGTAAGGAAGAAAATAGATCTTGTAAGTTATGAGAACTATAGAGAGTGAGTTGAGCATAGTTTTGATTTTTAGGGCCTCTAAAAGCATTAAAGCAGCGGCAGCCACTGCACACAGACATGAGGGCTAGACTAAAACAGTAAGGTCAAGTTGTTTGGACAGAAAGGCTACAGGGCGCAGTCCTGGCTCATGTGTAAGAATTCTGGCCACACTAACCATGCTTAGGAAGGAAAGGGGTTGTTTTGTAGAAGGGTTTGGGAGATTAGCTGGACACTATCAGCAGGGAGAGCACATGTGTTTTCATGAGAATTATGCCAAGATAGGTAACAGATGAGGAAGAAATTTGGGCTTGACTGAAGTAATGGGGGCTGTCTGTGCAGACTTGAGGCAGTACAGACCAGGTAATTTGCTGAGCCTGAGCCTGATGGGTGTCAGGGTCAGTCCAAGTGAAAGCGAAGAGAGGCTGGGATGAAGGGTGCAAAGGAATAGTAAAGAAAGCATGTTTGAGATCCAGAACAGAATAATGGGTTGTGGAGGGAGGTATTGAGGATAGGAGAGTATATGGGTTTGGCACCATAGGGTGGATAGGTAAAACAATTAGGTTAATAAGGCACAGATCCTGAACTAACCTGTAAGGCTTGTCTGGTTTTAGGACAGGTAAAATGGGGGAATTGTAAGGAGAGTTTGCAGGCTTTAAAACACCATGCTGTAACAGGCAAGTGATAACAGGCTTTAATCCTTTTAAAGCGTGCTATGGGATGGGATATTGGCATTGAGCAGGGTAAGGGTGATTAGGTTTTAATGGGATGGTAAGGGGTGCATCATCCATCACCAAGAAGGGAGTAGAGGTGTCCTATACTTGTGGATTAAGGTGGGGAGATACAAGGAGAGGATGTGAAGGAGGCTTTGAACTGGGGGAAAAGGTGGCAATGAGATGTGGCTGTAGCCTAGGAATAGTCAGGGAAGCAGAAAATTTGGTTAAAATGTCTTGGTCTAATAAGGGAACTGGGCAGGTGGGGATAACTAAAAAAGAGGGCATAAATGAATGTTGTCCAAATTGGCACCAGAGTTGGGGAGTTTTAAGGGGTTTTGAAACTTGGCCATCAATACCCCCACACCAGTTATGGGGGCAAGGGAAACAGGCCCTTGAAAAGAAGGTAATGTGGAGTAGGTAGTCCCCGTATTGATTAAACAGGGGATGGACTTACCCTCCACTGTAAGAGTTACCCAAAGCTTGGTGTCTGTGATGGTCCAGGAGGCTTCTCAGGTGATCGGACAGTGTCAGTCTTCAGCCGCTAAGCTGAGAAGATCTGGGAAGGAGTCAGTCAGAGAGCCTTGGGCCAGAGTTCTAGGGGCTCTGGGAGTGGCTGCCAGGTGAGTTGAACAGCCTGGTTTTCAGTGGGGTCCTGCACAGATGGGACATGGCTTAGGAGGAATCCTGGGCTGTGGGCATTCCTTGGCCCAGTGGCCAGATTTCCAGCATTGATACCAAGCTCCTGGGGAGGAGGTCCTGGAGGAATGCCTGGCCACTGCGATTTAGGCATTTGGAAATTCTTGTGTGATGGAGATGTGGCTGGGGTTTCTCTCACAGTGGAGGCAAGGAATTGCAACTCAGAAATATGTTGCTACTTGGCTGCCTCTACTCTATTATTGTACACCTTGAAGGAGAGGTTAAGTCCTGTTGTGGGGTTTGAGGGCCGGAATTTAATTTTTGGAGTTTTATTTAATGTCAGCAGCTGACTTGGTGATAAAATGCATATTTAGAATGAAACAGCCTTCTAACACTTCAGGGTCTAGGGCTGTAAAGAGTCTAAGGGTTGCTGCCAAACGGGCCATGAACTGGGCTGGATTTTTCATATTTGATGAAAAAGAGTCTAAACGCTAACTGATTTGGGAGAGGTTGGATAAAGAAAAAGGAACATTAACCTTGAGTATGCCTTTAGCTCCAGCCACCTCTTTAAGAGGAAATTGTTGGGCAGGTGGGGGAGGGCTAGTCACAGAACTAAACTGTAAGCCAGATCAGGTGTGAGAAGGGGAGGTGATAACAGGATTATACGGTGGGGGAGCAGACGCTGAGGAAAAATTGGGACCTGGCTCAGCCTGGCGAGGAGCAGCCTGGGGAGGAGGGGAGAGGTCAGATGGGTCCATAGAAAAAGAAGATTCAAAAGACTGAGGGACACTTGGGGTTGGGACTGAAGGGACAGGTGGGAGGAAAAGAAGCAAGATTTGGGATGAGTTGCATTGGGAACAGAGACTAGGGAGGGACTGATGTGTAAAAGAATGCCTGGATGTCAGGAACCTCAGACCGTTTGCCCATTTTATGACAAGATTTATTTTAGGTCTTGTAGAATGAGGAAATCGAAAGTGCTGTTTTCTGGCCATTTAGAGCCATAACTGAGTTTGTATTGGCATTAAGCAGCATTGCAGAAGAAAATAAGGCATTTATGTTTTAGGTCAGGTGTGAGTTGAAGACATTTTAAGTTCTTGAGAACACAGGCTAAGGGAGAAGAAGGAGGAATGGAGGGTGGAAAGTTGCCTACAGTGAAGGAGGCACGTCCAGAGAAAAGAGAGGGTAGAGACATGGAGAGAAGGGGTGGGGGGTGCTTGCCCCTCAGGAAAGTGAAGAGGTGGGGACACGGAGAGAAGAGGTGGGGGATGCTTGCCCCCCAGGAAAGTGGAGAAGGGGTGAGTAGAGACATGGAGAGAAGGGGTAGGGGGTGCTTTCCCCCCAGGAAAGTGGAGAAGGGGTGGGAGGTGTTTGCCCCCCAGGAAAGTGGAAAAGGAGTGGGAGGAGACATGGAGAGAAGGGGTGGGTGAGCAGCCCTGGGCTGCAATGTGGGTGAGCAGCCAAAGCAGGCATCCTCACAATTGACTTCCCACAAAGGGAATGTGGGTCAATGACCAAGGTAGGTGATCAGACAACAATGAAATGTGGATGAATAATCAGTCAGGCATCCCCGCGTGATTAAACACCAAGGGAAGACTGTCTTCCTGAGTCCATGACTGGCGCCAGAGTTTTGGGTCCACAGATAAAACGCGTCTCCTTTGTCTCTACCAGAAAAGGAAAGGGACTGAAATTAAGAGAAGGTAGAGATTGAAGTGTGGTGCCAAGATTGAATGGAGAAGAGGTTGAGGGATACTGAGAGAGGTTGGAGAAGAGAGTAAAAAGAGTCCACTTACCCGATTTAAAATTGGTGAGATGTTCCTTGTGCTGGTTAGTCTGAGGATCAGAGGTCATAGGTGGATCTTTCTCATGGAGCAAAGAGCAGGGGGACAGGGGATTGATCTCCCAAGGGAGGTCCCCCGATCCAAGTCACGGCACCAAATTTCACTCGCGTCCGTATGAGGAGACCACCAAATAGGATTTGTGTGAGCAATAAAGCTTTTTAATCACCTGGGTGCAGGCAGGCTGAGTCCGAAAAAAGAGTCAGCAAAGGGAGATAGGGGTGGGGCCGTTTTATAGGATTTGGGTAGGTAAAGGAAAATTAGTCAAAGGGGGTTGTTCTTTGGCAGGCAGGGGCGGGAGTCACAAGGTGCTCGGTGGGGGAGCTTTTGAGCCAGGATGAGCCAGGAGAAGGAATTTCACAAGGTAATTTCATCAGTTAAGGCAGGAACAGGCCATTTTCACTTCTTTTGTGATTCTTCAGTTACTTCAGGCCATCTGGATGTATACGTGCAGGTCACAGGGGATATGATGGCTTAGCTTAGGCTCATAGGCCTAACAAGGGCCTTTGGCTTATTCATTCTTGTATGTATAGCAGCTAGAATATGCAATCAGGATATATTTGTTCATTTGTATGAATTCTTCATAGTATTAATACAATAATTCAATGTATTTGGCCCATGGTGATTGCATAAATAGTCTATAGGCTATCTATAAGAAAATGCTCCTTGCCAACTTTTGAATATTCTCTGGACTCCTTTCTGATCAGTAATTCTGGTTTCAATCATGGGTTAGCTATCTTCCTGTTTTCTAGTTTCTGGCTGTTTCCTGGCATCTACACCTATCTGCTTATTAGTCCGTGGTATCTCTATAGCGGAATAAAAACTTCCCTGGGGATGTGGCCCCAGACTTCCTACCTAGAGTATTGACTGTTCTCATAAGCAGCCCTTGACAAGAATTGCCAGCCATTATGTATAATGTTGAATTGTGAATCCTCTGACTTCTGGTATAGAGAATGTCCAATTAATCTTAGTCATTTTTTCCTGAATAATTAAAAAAAGTCTTTCTAGGGGTGGATATACCTGTGACTCTTTATCTGTTTTGTGCTTATTGCCCATAGCCTGCAGTCACTCTCCTAACCAATCCTTTTATCATTGAGAATAAAATATGGATTTACTAGGATCTTTAATCCTAAATGGCATGTGTGTTCTTGAATTAGTCTGCTGCCTTCCACTAGTATTCAGGATGATTATTTTTATTACTATTTACTACTTATGTGACCTTGGGCAGATTACATAATTGTACTTTTCTCATCAACAAAACAGTGATTAATAACACTTGCTTATCAGAATTATTGTAAAGATTAAATTGAAACTGATACATATATATATATAGAAATAATATTTATAAAGGTCATGGGTTGTGAAGTCAGAAAGATTGGGGTTTTAATGCAGGCTTTGCCTCTTACTAGCTGTATAATTAGCCAATATTCAATTTTGTAAGGATACTACTGGTCATCCTGTGGATATTGTTAATACTGAATTTAAAAACTTGTACATAGTCCCAAGGTAATCACTAAACTTTAGCTTCACCCCGTTATGTCCATGTTCTGTTGCTATTTTCATCCTATTTTGCTGAGAGGCCTACCCAGACAACTTGCTAAATCCTTGCCATCCCCCTTCCCAGGTAGTTAGACCTGTTCATGTATCTCCAGCCAACTATTTAGGTCTTCTTAAAATTCAATTGTCCTGGGGTGCCTCATAGCTTAGCAAGAATTTTCTTTGTCCTTAAATCCTTACTTTTGACTTCTTTCACAACACTGAACTCACAGGTCATTGTTCACTCAGCTCATTCTGAAGTTAGCTGTATTTCTTGAACTTTGTGATTTTGAATATTCCCCACCTTTCTCCCTAGCCACAAGGAAAAGTTCTTTCATAATGCTAGTGAAGTCCAGCATACCTATATGAGGCAGAATAATGGCCAGATAATCCACAAGAAGTTTTTAATTTTGTCTTAACTTATTGTTCCTTTTTGCATTGCCCCATAATATTTTAAAATTATGCCCACATTCATTTGGAAATAGGTTTGTCTCTAAATTATGCCCACATTCATTTGGAAATAGGTTTGTCTCTAAATTATGCCCACATTCATTTGGAAATAGGTTTGTCTCTGGCATGGCAAAGAGAACCTATTGGTAAACTTATCACTTTGGGTAAGATAGTTAAGTTAATTATCTGAACAACTGCCTAAATAATTAGAGCTTATTCCTTTGTTTTAAAAATCGAAGATTGCATTAATTGTATACTTCTTTTTACTAGAGCAGGAAGCTAAAGAACTGGCGCCAGAAAACCACTCCCAGGATGCCTACTTTTCATGCTGCGTGTTTTCATGTCAATACCTCTTCCTGTGGCTTTAAGATTGGAACTATTTAAAAAATGTCACTGTCAATTACATGCAAACCTTATTGTGGTTAGTCTGTTGAAAAGGAATTGATGACTATGAAAATGTGATGTTTATACATAAACATTTTACATAGAAGTCAGAATTCTGAGAATGTATTTATAGCCCTTGAAGATGGGACAATTAAATCAGAGCTTTTGAGGTTTAGAAGTACAGAAAAAAACTTACTTTTTTTCCTGAAGACATTTTCTCCTTTGTTCTTTTTTTCCTCCCCGTATCTATTATATTTGGTTAGTTGGTAAACAGTATTGAGGAAGACATACCTTTAAAAAGTACCCAAAATCTTAAATATATTTCTCAAAATTGTAGACATAACCTTCATTTTATTGTATCTGTACATTTAAATCACCAATCATTTAACTCATAATTTGTTCTAATCAATTCTAAAATTAGTTCCCAATTTGATGTTACAGCTTGACAAAAATAAACCTTGAAAGTTAATTGCAAAGAATACCTCAAAGTAATATCGAGATTTGCTCAGGTCCTATAATTTTGAGATTATAATCTCATTGGTACTATTTACCAATAGCAAAACAAGAGTCTAAATCATGTGTAGACTATCACTACCATACTTCAGTTTGATACATTCAGAAGACAAACTGTATTATAACCTGAAAGAATCAGAGGTTTATTTTTAGTTATAATTAATCTTAAAGCAACAAAATATTGAAACAACATAAATTAATTTATGTTTCCTTTGTGGAGAGCATTTTAAACATTTAAAAAATATTACTGAGCAGTACTTTTAAAATTCTCATGGGAAATATAAATCATATGGTAAACTGGTTTTTTGAGATACTATGATCATTAAAGAATTGCAAAGATAGTATCTCCTATCTTACAGAAGAGATAATATATGGAGTAAAATGCATACCTGTCTTAATGAATGAGTTGGTAAATTAGCTTCTTATAATTATCTCCCTAAGTGTCTTTTTCCTTTGACCATTGTTTTTGCAGTACCACTCACTTTCATGAGTAGATTAGGACTTGCTTCCTAAAGACAAGTAGATTAGTTTCCACTTATATCATTCCTTTCATCTGAACATCTTTAAAGTCTGTTTAATTATCCCATTTTACAGATAAAGTATCAGGACTCTGAAAGTTTAAATAACTTGTCCAGGCTGACAGAGATAGTCAGAGACAATCAGCTGAAGAATCATGAATGTCTGGAAATGTGTTGCATTGTCCAAACACAAGATATTGCTATCTTTCTCCATAAGCTTGAATTTTACATACTGTACTTACTAGGGCAAGATGACCCATTGTGCTTGATAAACTGCAGTGTATATATAATCAGTTTTCATTCACAAAACCTATCTGGTTGTCAGTGGAATGCTGTTCTGTTTATATCTACCAAAACCACAGCTGTAACATGTGTGAAATAATTAAACTTCAATCAAGCTATACCTCAGAGCACTCCAGATCCAGTATCATTTAGATGGACACAGAGGTAGAAAATAAAAGTAGTTTTTGGGACTGAAATGTCCCCACTATGCATCCTGGAAATGTTTTGTAATCTTAAATCAATTAAAGTGGCCTGACAACCTGATTGGCAACTGTGTTTCTCTTTCTTCTCTTAGGAGAATTCTCTATATGCTCGTATTACCTGAATTGTTCTTTGGTGGCAATTTACCCTGGCCTTTGGTGTGAAGACAAAATTCTTGATCAAATTTATTTTGAAATCTTCAAATATTAATTTTAAAGGGTGAAAATGACATGATTACGTGAAAAAATAGTAGTGAAATTGAGGCCACCTATAAATACCTGGTAATGTTTGGTGATACAACTATAAAACATTGAATGATTTCCAGTTGCAGTGATAATCTCTGAAGTCCTATGCCTCATCCCATTTCTTTGTGTTTTGTATTTCTTGGGAGTAGGGAGAGGTGGTTACAATGTTATGTAATTCTACTGTCTTTTTTAATTCCTACATACCCTTTGATAACTGTTATGTGATGCTGGGGCTGAGAACTTGCAAACTCTATTTCCCATGATTCTTTGGTTCTTTTAAGAGACAGCAGATATGAGAAGCACAATGAGGGGAGAAGCCATCCTCTTTTCTACTTCTCTTTTTCTCTCTCTCTTGCATTCTCTCTCATTCTGGTAGTGTTTCTGGAAGTGGCTCAATTACTTCTATGATCCTAATTTTCGAGACACTGTCTCCTCCTCCCTGGTCGCTTGCTGAACGGGCTCTTGAACGAAGTGGCCATGATGACAGTAATTCAAGTTATCCATAGGGCCAAAACTGTAGACTTTCCTTCACTATGTTGATGTGGTTATTGTTCTTGTTTAGGGACCAACCTGTCCAAAATCAAACGCCAGAAATGAATTGCTATATAGCCCTGATCCCAGGGGAATCAGTTTGCCCGGTGCAATTATTTCAGTTAGCCCTCTTTCATCATGGAAATGACTTGAATAAAAACCTATTCTTGACGTGGACTTGTTTTTGCTGTCCACAATCCTGATGCCATCACCATCATCCATTGATTATTGGAATGCCTTTTTCAAAACTGCTATATCCCATGCAATAATGTTTTAGATCAAGGAATTTATTTTACATCAAAGGAATTACAGCAGTATGACATGGATAAAAGGAAAATGGACAGGCAAGAAAAAGAATTCAAAAGAAGTTATTATATATTCAAAAATTGTTCTATCGAAATAAGGAAAAAATGTCCAAAACTATTACAGTCCTAATTTATGGTACAGTCACACATTGCTTATAGTCATGGGGACAAGTTCTGAGAAATGTGTCACTGGGCAATTTTGTCATTGCACAAACATCACAGAGTGTACTTACACAAATGTAGATGGTACAGTGTACTATACACCTAGGCTATATGGTATACTCTGTTGCTCTGGGTGAGTCAGTGAGTGAGTGGTGAGTAGTATAAAGACCTGGGACATTACCGTATAGTACTGTAGGCTTTATAAACATTGTACACTCAGTCTACACTCAATTTATTTCATTTTTCTTCAATAAATTAACCTTAGCTTATTGTAACTTCTTTATAAACTTTTTAATATAAAAAAATTGACTCTTTGTAATAACACAGCTTAAAATATAAACATATTGTACAGCTATATAAAGATATGATCTATCATTATATCCTTATTCTATAAACTTTTCCTTACTTTTAAACATTTTTATTCTTTAATTTTTTTGACTTTTTAAAATTTTATGTAAAAACTAAGACACAAACACACACATTAGCCTAGGCCTACACAGGGTCAGAATTATTGATATCAGTCTTCCACCTCCACATCTTGTCCCACTAGAAGGTCTTTAGGGGCAATAACATGCATGAGGCTGCCATCTCCTGTGGTAACAATGCATTCTTCTGGATGTTTCCAGAAGGACCTGACTGAGGATGTTTTATAGTTAACTTTTTTTAAGTGTATATAAGTAGGACCACACACTAAAGATAAAAAGTATGGTGCAGTAAATACATAGGCCAATAACATAGTTGTTTACTGTAATTATCAAGTATTAGGTACTGTATATAATTATACGTGCTGGACTTTTGTATGACTGGCAGCACAGTAGGTTAATTTACACTAGCATCATCACAAACATGTGAGTAATGCATTGCACTATCATTTGATTATGGCTACACTGTCACTAAACAATAGGAATTTTTCAGCTTCATTATCCTTTTACGGAACCACTGTGTGGTCCATCATGAAATGTCCTGAAACGTTATTATGCAGCATATTACTGAAGTTATGATCTTCCTTCTTCTACTCCACATTCCCTTTGACTTTAGCAAGTACCTCTCAGTTGGTCATGGTTGCTCGTCTATTGGGTGACTCAAAACTTCAATCTTAAAAGAGTCCGTATACCTATATCATGTTGCTGCAGTTTTCTTTAATTTTTATCATGGGACAGTGGAGTACTTAGAGGTACCCTAGATGATTTCCTGCATTCAGACTTTCTCCTCTATTCCTTCATTAGGTAGAAGCAATGCAATTTTCTGTTAATAATCAGAATCCATCGCCAGGCCCAGTATACTAACACCCTTTTTGCCCTTGGCTTGCTGACATCAGAAGCCTAAAATGGTCAATTTAATAGGCCTATTGTGTTTCCTGGTGGAAGCATATTTCTTTGGGAAACTAACATCTCTAAACCAAACAGAGCTGTCAGTCGCAAGAATGAGAAGGTTAAAATTTACTAATGGATAGTTCAGACTAATAACAAAAAGAGTTACTTCTATTTTTACTTTGATTCCCAGCCCAGTGAAACTTAGATATTAGAGAAATAGAAACCTTATGTATAACTTAGAATATATACCACATCCTGGAGGGCATTACTCCAAATCTGCAAGGTGTTGTCATGCATTTGGTGCTGTAACTAATACGTCAAGTGGCCAATCCATTATTCTGTCAGGCTAGCTGCTTCAGGGTGATTGGCAACATGGCAAGACCAGTAAATTCCATGAACATGAGCCCATTTCCACAATTCAATTGCTATAAAAATGAGTTTCCTGTTGAGAAACAATGACAGGTGAAATAGTCAGATGGTGAATAAAGCATTCTATAAGTCCACAGTCGTGGTTTTGGCAAAAGCATTAAGGCAGGGAAGGTAAATCTATATTGAGAGTAAATATCTATTCCAGGGAAACTTACTCAAGCTCTGTTGCGTGTATGATGGAAATGGTGAAATGTAACCAGCCCGCCACTAAGTAAGTCGCATGGGAATTTCTACCAGATAGGTAATGCTACTATACATGGGGTCTCAGTTTTGGTCTCTGCAATAGGCCAGGTAGACACTTGGCAGTGGACATAGCCAAATTGGCCTTGATAAGTGGAAGCTTGTGCTTCTGAGATAAATGTGTAGCCTCCGTCCTTGTTACCATGGTACTTTGTTCATAGTCCTATTGGGCAAGAACAAGGGTGAAGGAAGAAGTGTGACTAATACTCAAATGGGTTTAGTTGAATATTAAGACTTTCCTCTGCTATGGTGCTTTTTGGTGAGCCTTCACATGGGACATAAATATCTTTATACTCTCTAACCAATCAGAGAAATCTACGTTTATATTTTCCCCACAGGATTTCTTGCCACCAATTTTTCAGTTGTGTCTCTTTCAAGTTCCTGACCACCCAACCACCATTACTCATGAATTGATGCAGATACATACCTCTTGACATCTCTGCTTTCTAGCGTAATTAACAGCCAGGCACACTAACTGAAGTTCTGCTGACTGGCAGATTTTCTTTTACCACTCTTCTTCAAATTGATGATGGCATGCTTGCCCAAATTGCTGGTTGGGTGAGACAACACTACATTTATAATGGGGATCTCAGATTATACTGTAATATGGTGTGCCATGGCTAAAAGTTGTGCCATGGCTAAAAGTTGAGTATCTATTAGGTCTCAGTAGGAAACCAGAAGCTGTTTCTCAAAGGATAATAAGTGTTTTCCAGAGCATAATTTTGTGCCAAAATTCTAAATCTGTGAATTGTATAAAGGCATACCACAGTATTGCTGTCTGCCATAGTCACTTAATATACCATCAGATCTGCCAGCTAACGTGTGCTATTAAGAGGCATGTAATGCACCCATATGTTCATTGTAGTGCTATTCACAATAGCAAAAACATGGAATCAACCTAGTTGCCCATCAGCAATGGATTGGACAAAGAAAATGCGCTACATATACACCATAGAATACTATGCCCCCATAAAAAAGAACAAAAGCATGCCCTTTGCAGCAACATGGATGCAGCTGGATACCATTATCCTAAGCAAACTAACATAGAAAACCAAATACAGAAAACATGTTCTCTCTTACAAGTGGGAGCTAGACATTTGGTACACATGGACATAAAGATTGGAACAGGCTACACTGGGGACTACCATAGTAGGAAGAGAGTGAGCCAGACAAGGGCTGAAAAATTACCTCTTGGGTGCTATGTTCACTACTTGGGAAATGGGTTCAATCTTACCCCAAACATCAGCATCACACAATGTATCTTTGTAACAAACCTGTATATGTACACCCTGATTCTAAAATAAAAGTTGAAAAAGAAAAAAAAAATAGGCATGTAAAAGCAAGCCACATGGAGAGAGACACATATGGGGAGAGAGAGAGACAGAGAGAGAGAGAGACAAAGAGAGAGAGAGAGATACTGAGAGAGAGAAGGAGGCCAATCTTCCATCCATTCTCACCAAAGCACCAGACCTGTAGTGAAGCCGCCATCTTGGATGTTTTAGCCTCCACTTCTGTCTGACTGTAACCTCATGAGTGACGAAAACTCACACCAGGTGGAGCCTAAGAACTGCCCAGAGGAGTGCTGAATTCCTGACCCACAGAATTGTAAGAAAATCAGGATTGCTATTTTAAGCTAATAAGTGTGAAAATTTATTAAGTTGCTTTTTGGTGTGTTGGTGGGTCCCATGTAAGAAGCCCTCAAACAATTTTTTTACTCATGATATCAAGAAAATCCTGGCTTTTCTATTTAGTCTTACTTTCAGATCATCTCACTCATTGTGAGAATATGTCAGACTGTCAGCTAGTATTTCTCTCAGAATATATGCTCCTCCTCATATCTAGTTTTGAATAACTTAATAAGGTAGCAAAGTGTAGTCTGTTAGCTAATCATATAAACATTGACTGAATTGATAGTAAAAAAATCTCCAAAGTATTATTTGTTATTGGTTTAAATAAAGCAAGTATGGTAATATAAGGATTCAAAATTCAATTCATAACTTCTTAAGTACATAGAAAAAAAAATCACTCCAATTCCCCTTGCTTTAATACATGTTTTCAGCAGAAAGTTTACAGGGATCTTTATTTCCTCATCTTTACACAAGTATAGAATGTTTTCAACCCAGTGAAGTGTCCCAAGTATTCTAAGTATACATTACTTATTTGTATAAAAGTGGCTAAAAGACACTTCAGCTAGGCAGAGTTGCACAGTCAATAAAACTAATTTTAACAAAAGCATTATTATGAGAACATGGCTTGTTCAGGTGAAAATTAATAAAAAGGGAATTTATTTTCATTCAAGGTACGTAAGCTTTACTCATTTTGCTGGACTGCATCCAGATACAGTCTTTATTTATTTGAAAATAAAAAATAATGTTATAAAGGTTTTTGGTATAAAATTATACATGCTTATCATTATTAATAAAAATGAATTTTAAAAGAAATAAAAAACCACCTAGATTCTCTTCATGGAGAGGTAGCTACTATTAACATTTTTATACACCTCCATTTCTACATCTATCCTGGTGTACATGGAATGCTTATGTGTTCCCCATAAGGAGCACCCTGCAATTTATATGCTGTAGATGCTGCTCTGTAACTGCTATTCTTGCAGGGACATTTATTGAGAATTAGTTTCTTACCACAGCCAGGTAGATTTACTGTGTCACTTGGCAATCCATGCTTACCTTCTAAGGAAATGCTTGCTCTCTTCCCCTTAGTCAATAACTAAAACCTACTTCAGGGTCCCAACTTCTGAACTTAATTATATCAACGCCTTCAACTGTTCTTCATTTCTATTAAATGTCCTTTTCCTTTGTATTTGGATTATCTAACTACTGTGACCTTACTTGTTGATTAGTCTAGAAGCTCTACTAATAATTTAGGCTCTAGCTTATTAAAAGAAACTAATTAAGAATTAGTTGAATATTAAAAAAGATGTATTTTTATTTTATTTGATGAATAGTATTCTGTTGATTAGATATGCCATATTGTGTTCATTGATTCCTCAGTGATATTTAGGATGTTCTCAAATTTTTACTATTATAAAATCTATTTTGTGAACATTGATACTAACATACAAAACGTGTGTATAGATATACAGAGATATACCTTCATTTTGTTCAATCATCGTCTCAGGATATAATTCAAGAAAAGATATAGGTGGTTTATATACATTTAAATATTGATACGTGTTACCACATTCTTTATCAAAAGCTTATGCCAATGTATGTTCCATGGCATTTTTATGAGAGTGGTGGTTCTTTTTAGAGTAGGACATTCACGTAAATTAGAAGGATATTAAAATGGAAAGTTTTTCAGTCCTCTTAAGAACTGAATTATTTATTCGTCTTTCTTCTTTTTTTAAATAAAGGATTATTTTAAACATGGTTTTGATAGGTGGCTATAACTGGGGTAGATTCAGTATATTTTAGACAGTGTCTTTTTTATAGTTTTTTTATTCTTTGGCACTCAATAGGGATTAACACAACTTTAAAATATAGAATTGCTAAGTTTCTTTTCTTGAAGAAAAAATTATACTCTGATTTCCTGGTAAATACCTGAAGCTTATCCTTCTATTCCACATCATTTAGTTATACTCAGAGGCACTCTTTTACATAGATGTGATGGAATTGGATTTCTAAGTCAGCAGTAGGCAACTTTTGAGATAAATTTCTTTTCCTAGAGATGAAACCTGAAAAAAAATGCCTATAATTATGAAGGTGTATACATACTATTGAGGAAAACACATATGTAGAGAGAGTAGAAATATGAGAAAGCAGCAGCCCCAAAGTGTCAAGTGTGAGTAACAAGAAAGAATTAAGGGAAAAAGTCCCTTTCAAACTAATACACAATGTTTACACGATAAAATAGTGAATTTACTTGAGGTCATAATGACGGAAGTGAACATGTTTTCTTCGACAAAGATTATAAAGATTATCAGTTTCTCTAATGTATTCATTCCTGACCAAGCTGCTGAAGATACTTGACCATCTCCTATCATTACAATCTCTGTGTTTTCTTTCTTCCTCTCACAATTTTGCAGAACAAAATAATATTTCCAAACCACCAAATTGCTGCTTAGATGAGACAACACTGAGTTTATGATAGGGAACCCAGATTATATTGTAACTTATAGTCCCATGGCTAAACATTGAGTTTCTACTAGGTCTCAGTAGAAAACCAGAAGCTATTTCTTAAAGGAGAAAAACCGTCTTACAGAAGATATATTTGCTTCAAAATCTTAATATATGAACTGTAATTCATCTATAGGGGCATGCAAAAGGTTTGACATAGTATCGGTATCTGCCATAGTCACTTAGTACATCAGAACTGCTGGATAATGTGTGAAATTAGGAGGTATTTTTAAAAGCCCCAGCCAGATGCCTGTCACTTAAAAGAGAATATTCACTACTTTTAGTCTAAAGATCCTTGTTTTTATGGGAATACTCTATATTGGTTAAAAAAAAATGGGTCCCGCTTTGTGGTAGTTTTGACAGATTTTCAAAATTTTACCTCCTTGACCTCTTCTTGCTTATGCTCTATACCCTGAAAACTCAAATATCTTTCTTCATCCCCAAAAGACAATCTTGAGACCAGTGCTTGGGTGGTGAGATAATTTGTCACTTCTACAATCACTACCTCAGGAAATTATCTTTGTTTAGTTTGATTTTACATTTTCTGGAAGGGAATCACATCAGATGGCATACATTTTGAAATACTCAAGGATAGAAAATTGGAGTATTTGGTTGAGGAAGCAGAGAAAAATAGTCAGGAGGCAAGGCAAATTTGTCTGGTACTGCATGGCTTCCTGTGTCTGCTTCTCCCTGCTCATCATTCTCTGTTCATTTTCTTTTTGGTAACTTGGCTTCCTCTTCTTTATTTACTGTCTCAGTTCTCCCTTCCTCGACTGTATTTGCATCTCCAGTTTTGAAGTTATGTGACCTTTCAGCTCCAGAGCTTGTAACAACACACTGAATACAGTCAGTATCTGGAACTCTACATCCATTTTTCTCAGGAGAGGAATCTGACTGGGCTGACTTCCAAAGCAGAGACAGGTTGGTCTCTACTTTTCAAGCAGAGACAGGTTGGTCATCAGTCAGTGTAGCAGAAAGAGTTCTAGTTTGGGCATGGAAGATGAACCAGATGACCTCCAATTCCTTTCAGCTCTAGGATTCAAGCAATATATCTTTGTTTAAAACTCTCTCCCTAGAAAATATCTTCCAACATAAACATCTACGTCATTACTCTTACTTCAATCTCTGTCAGAAGATTTGCTACTGTCATCACTGAAAAATGATGTCGAACATTCCAGCAATTTCAATTCCTCAAAATGCCGGATGTTATATTATTAATCATATATATATATAAATATACATGTATTTACATATGTGCAGCATGAGATATGTATGTTCAATGGTGCTAGATAAATTCTTTCAGAGAATAAGCTTTTTAGTGGGAGCATTTCCATGATAAATTAGTTAAATCCTACATGTAATCCACAGCTATACTCTAGGCAACCTAGCAGTCAGTCTTTGTGTGACTACTATCATGAATTTGAGCTAGGTGCTTAATACATCTGGGTAACATTTCTAAGGAAACCATTCCCTTGGTATCTTTGTATTCATGAAGCTTTGTTTTGTTTTGTGGCTGACTTTAGGATACTATGTATTTAAGATAGGATTAACATAAAATGTTATTATTTTAAAATCCCAAAGAGAACAAAACCTAAAATTACCTGCATTTTCAATTAACTCCCCTTTAAAACGTGTATCAGTGTAAAAGTTTAGGCAAAGATTGAATGAGACTGCTTCTGTGTGTCAAACTTCTGTTCTTTCAGCCACAATCAGAACACATTGATTAGACTTGATCTGTTTTGTTTCAGAGAAAAGCAATTAGACTATTTTTACTTCACTCTGTCTCTAGGGGTAAAAGGATGATGTCAAGCAGCATGCTGTTTTCTCTGGGGGAAAAACTAGCACCTTCTGCTGAGTCTCCCTTTCTCTTTCTAATCCAACTTTGAAAACTGCCCTTGTGAAGCAATAAAATGAAATTTCAAGAAGATGTTATGCCTCTTTTTCCATTTTTTCCCATTTAGGGATAATTCACAAACAATAAAATGCAGTGACCTTAGAAATTCATGTTGAAGTTCAGGTAGACACATTTTGACAATTGTACATTCCTTTGTAAGTGGCACCCCAAATGAGATATATAACACTTCCTTCACCCCAGAAAGTTTCTTCATGACTATTCTAGTGAATTAACTCTTGTTGCTCCTCCAGTACAATCCATTTTGATGTATATTATGTAGATTAGTTTTGCCTATTCCTGGACTTCGTATAAGTTTGATAATTCAGAATGTGTCCTCCCTCCCTTCCCCCCTCCCTCCCTCCCTCCCCCCTCCCTCCCTCTCTTCCTTCCTTCCTTCCTTCCTTCTTTCGACAGAGTCTTGCTACGTTGCCCAGGACTGACTCAAAACTTCTGGGACCATGCAAGCCTTCTGCTTCCTGAGTAACTGGGGACTACAGGCATGTACCACCATGCCGGACTCAAGCATGTATTCTATGTCTGTTTTTTTCTCACAATATGTTTTTGAGATTCATCCATGTTGTTGCATATAACAATAGTACATTGTGCTATATTGTTTGGTAATATTCCATAACACAACATATTTCCCCAGTTTTTATTCATTCTCCTGTAAATGGACATTTCGGTCTTTCTTGTTACTGCCTTTTTAGAATAAGGCTACCATAGACATTCTTGCGCAATTCTTTTTTTGGACTTATTATTAATATTTCTTTTGGGCATAAACCTAAAAGTAGAATTGCTAGTTTATAGGTTAGAAGTATACTTAATTTTATAACAAACTGCCTAACAGCTCTTGCAAGTGATTTTACCATTCTTCACTCCCACAGACAATGTAGGAAAGTTCCAATTGTTCCACATTCTTGCCAACTTCTGGTATTGTCAGTCTTTTTGATCTTATGTATTGGGTACACAATGATGTCGCACTGTGATTTTAATTTGTACTTCGCTAATATCGAATAATGTTATTTGATTTTTTAAATTTATTTTTATTTATTCTTGGTCATTTTATATATCTTTTCTTGTAAAGCATCTGTTCAAGTGTTTCCAGTTTTTAAATAGTGTTGTTACTTTTTCTTAATTTAAAAGAATTCTATACATATTTTCCATGAGTCTTTTGTCAGAGAAAAAAAGTTTTATAAACTTTTTTCCCCAAATGTGCCTTAATTATTCATTTTCTTAATGACAATGGTGGTGATTAACTTCATGTATCAATTTGGCTAGGCTATAACACCCAGATATTCAATCAAATATTAACCTAGGTTTTTGTATTTGTGAATACAAATATACACTGTGTGTATCTGTGTAGTATTTTGTAGATGCAATTAACATCCATCATCAGTTGATTTTAAGTAAAGGAGGTAATGTGTATGGGTCTCATCTAATCAGTTGAAGGCCTTAAGAGCAAAAACTAAGGTTTTCCAAAGAAGGAGAAATTCTTCCTCCATACTGTATAGAAACCCTGCTTGAGTTTCTATCTCCTCATCCTGCTACAAACTTTTAAAATATTTTAATTTTAAAATTTATAGTGCTCTTATGACTTTTGCAATAAATCTTTGCCTACCCCATGGTTGCAAAATTATTTTTCTATTTTTCTTTGAGTCTATGCTTCTGTGTCAGCAATGTTTTGTTGTCTTTAGTCATGCATATAATCTATTAGACTTATTTATAAGTATTTAATATTTTTATATGTTCTTTTTAATGATTTAAAAAGTTATTTCCTAATCATTCATTGCTAGTACATGAAAATAGAATTCATTGTTGTATATTGACGTTGTATTATGGGACTTTGCTGAATTTTTTGTTACCTATTGTTGCTATACAAATTATCCAAGCTTAGTGATTTAAAACACTACATATTTATTCTTTTTTAGTTTTGGAGTTACCAGTCCTAAAATGCGTTGGCAAGTCTGCATTCTTCTTGGAAGATCTAGGAAAGAATCTTTTTTCTTGCTTTTTCTAGCTTCTGGAAACCACATTCATTCCTTGGCCTGCATTCTCTTTCCTTACTTATGATCCCTTGTGATTATATTGTGACCATATAGATAATCCAGGATAATCTTCCCATTTTAAGATTCTTACTTAATCAGCTCTGCAAAGTCATTTTTACCATGTTTATTAACATATTTACAGGCTCCAGGAATTAGGATGTAGACATCTCTGTGTCTCTGTGTGTCTGTGGGTCTGTGTGTGTGTGTGTGTGTGTGTCTGTGTGTATTGGGGGGCATCTGTCTCCCACATTTGCCTAGTTCTAATAAGTTTTACTTTCATGTTAACACAGCCACACCCACATTACCTTTCTTTCACTGGTGCTTGTATATCTTTCCTTATTTTTCATGTAAATAAACAATTATTGTCTTTTTATTTAAAGTGTGCCTCTTGTAAACAGCATATAAATTGATTTTGCTTTTCATAAAAATCTAATCTAACAGTCTCTTCCACTTCCATTTAATTAGAATGTTCATTCCATTTATATTTATTATAATTATGGACATAGTTGGATTTAACTCAAAACTATTAACATTGTTTTCTATGACTTCCAACTTTTTAAAATCTCTTCATTTCTTGTTTCCTGTGTTTCTTTTAGGAAACCAAGTATTTTTTGTATTCCATTTTTATACTGTATTGATTTTTTGCTATCCTTATCTGTTACGTTTTGGTGATTTTTCTAGAGATTTGAAAATGCATTTTATCATAGTTAATAATATTTAAATTAATATTTTATTATTTCCCAGACAAAATAAAAACCTTATATGCACACATTTCCTATGTCCCCTCCCTACCATTTCCTCCTGGGTTGTCATGTATTTTACTTATGTACACATTGTTATTATTTTTACTAGAAATCATTGATAGCCTTTTAAACAAAAGTCTTATCTTTGCCTTTATATTTACTCTCTCTGTTGTTTTTAGTTTTTATTCCTGATCTTTGCTCTGTTATTAATTTTCTTTAGCTTGGAGACTTCTATTAGCATTAATTGTAGGGCAGTTTGGCTGAAAATTTATTTTCTCAGCTTCTTTCTAAATGTTTAAAAATATCTCTATTTCGCCTTCATAATTGTTGAATTTTATTGGATATATAATTTTAGGATAAATTTTTCCTTTCCTTAGGTTCTTTTAATATGTTGCTCAACTTCCTTCTGGTCTCATTTTTTTTTCTGATGATGTCAGCCATCAATCACTCATTATTTCTTAATATGTAATACATCCCACTTTGGATTGTTTTCTCTTTTTCTTTGATTTTCACAATCCTGACTATGTAGTGCCTAAGTATGGTTTTCTTTAAATTTATCTTGCTTGGTGATTGCTTTACTTTTGAATCCTAGGATTGATGTCTTTCTTTGACTTTGAGAAATTCTCAATCATTTCTTTCTCAGTCAAATATTTCTTCTGCTCCACTTCCCTCTTTCTCTCTTAGATTCTAATTATTCTTATGATAGACCAGTTAAGATTTTAATATTGTTACACATATCTTATATACCAAGTTTTGATTTTCCATTTATTTTTTCTTTGAATTTCAGTTTAGACAATTTATAAACTTATATTCAACTTCACTGATTATTTCCAATCCTGTTTCAAGTCTTATGTGTAGCTCACTGTTAAATATTGTTTATTTCTGATACCTTTTTGTATTTCCATTTGAGTTTCTTTGGTTCCCTTCTCTCTGGTTAAATTCCCCAACTGTTCATGCATGTTGCCTACCTTTCCCTAAAGTTCTTTAGCATATTTAAATACAAGAACATAGCATTTAAAAATCCTTATCTCATAATGCCAACACCTGCAACATTTCTAGATCTGCTTCTATTGTATCCTCTCTTAATTGTAGGTGACATTTTCTTGATTCTTTGCATGTCTCATAATTTCTAATTATATTTAACACTAGAGACTGAAATAAATATTTATTTTCCCCAAAATGACATATGCCCTTCTATCAGGCTGCTGGAGTGTCCAGTGATTATTACTAATCAGATAATTGAGGTGAGTTTGGACTTTGTGGTAGTTTTAGTTAGGTGCAAATCATCACTAGCTTCAAATGTCTGACGGACTCCAGAGATTTCTTTATGCATTAGAGTCTGGCTACTAGCTGTACAAATTGAGGCAGTCTCTCGCTCCTTTACAGCTCAGCTGCTTGTTTTGTCAGTGACTCATGAGTTCTCTTTTCATACCAGCTTCACCCTTGGCATTCTTTACCTTAGGAGTAACTCCCTCTACTCTGTCTCCTTGCATTGACTTTTGGAAGACCTCTGCGTTATGCCAGGTCAAAGTTCAAAGTGTCCTGAAAAAAAATTTTTTTTTTTTTCAGTTCTGCTACCCTTTCTCGGATTTTTTTTTTATTCAGTGACTTTACTATATGAAGGCTCATGGTGTACCCCAGAGAGATTCCCCTTAGCTTTCTTATTCCACCTTGCCACTGACTAACACTAGGGGAGCCCTACAAATTACAGGAGGAGAGCTGTCAAAATTCCTGTCTTGCTCTGGCCCTTGGGGTGTTGCATCCATGTGCTTAGTGAGGTGTCATGGGAAAGTGTTGGCAAGGAGATGCAGATTCACGCTGTACTTTCTAGTGATTCTAATCTCTCACACTAGCCCACATGTGGTCATTATGAGTTTGTAAAAGTTTTGCTGTTTCATCTTTTTAAAACTCCTCTGCCTCTCCAACAGCACTGTAAACAGCTATCAGTTTCCTTCCCTAAAATTCATCACATTCTGAAATTGTATTTTTCCTCAGTTCTCTTATTGGTTTATAATCTATGACTTTGTAATTTAACTGGCTCATTGATAAGGTGGGAAAAATGGTACCTTATAACTTTCTGAATCCTAACCAAAATTGGAGGTTCTTTCTTGATCCCTTTTAAATGTAATTTTTAAAAAAACAGACTAGTTATTTGAGACTATGAGTGACCATGATATTTACAGTAAAATTTTATTTCTTCTTTTCATTCCCTAGCTGAAGATATTATGAGAGATTTAAAGGTAAAATTACATACAGTTATGCGATTGGATGCCATCTGTGATTTGTGTACATCTACTGGTGAATGCTCAGCATGTAAAAGTGTGCTTCTATATGGTGGCCTAAAGCAAAAAACTCTCAAAAAATAACAAATACACCTAACAGGCATGGAACAATTCTTAAGGAAACAAAATAAGATGTGAGTATGAGGTTATTGTCCCCAGTGATTCTTATACATTGTCAGATTTTGTCACCCATGCTATAATCCATGGCATAAGAAGTGAGTTGTTCTTGTTTGAATAACAGCAACTGCTTTCTTATAAACATTCTCACCAGCAAAATAAGATGTTATGACTACTCCAGAATGACCCTCTCAAAGGAACATCTTTTCTTTATGTGAAATAAAGAAAACTGAAAGCATAGGTGGAAGGTAAATGGTAATAACAACACCTGAAATTCACAATTTTAAAAACATAAATGAAAGAGACAACCAAGCACTAATGTGACTGTTTGAAAAGTTAGAGAAATTGAAAGAAGAGTTAGGTCACAAACAAGTACTGTGCTGGCATGCAGGCACCAAAATGAGTGATTTTACCAGGTAAATAGGAAACAGGAGAGTTTTGCATGTGCAGGACACTATGTGGAACATGGGAAATTTCTTAGAAGCATTGGAGTCGATATACTTTTGCAGAAAAGGAGTTAAAATTTCCAATAGCAGATGGCTTGAATCAGTGAGCAAAAGCTGTGGATGAAGCCCATGGTAATAAAACATGGTTCAAGTCAGAGAATATGCTCAAATCAAATGAGATGCCTATAGACCTTTAACCATAGCAGTGCTAGCAAAACCTCTGTAACCCTTAATGCATAAAATAAATTATTTTGAAGATTACCACACAAATAATAATGCTATAGAAATACTCATGAAAACAAAATATTTGACTACAATAACTATATGAAAACAACTGATTTTTCCTTAAATAACCATATAACCCATGCTTGGAGGCTATCATGCTATTTAGTGATTAAGCTCAAGAAGCAATGTCTTTTAGTCGTCTGAAGCTGGGGAAGAAAACAAAAGGCCAATTTCTTGTTTTACCCTGTGTATAGGTGATAGTGAGGGCAAGAAGTTTGTTGTGTGTGGGTGGGGCAGGGGAAGGAAAGGAGGAACAAACTTCTCTTTAATTTTTTTCTCAAGATAAGAAAGAGAAATTTCTTTGATGAAACACACACACACACACACACACACACACAGAAGCAGTAGAGCCATTTTGAAACTATGAGCGAGGAAACTATTTTATTTTTAAGTAACTGTACAGTGAAGGACTGTAGAATTACAAAGCACAGCGAATCTATATCATTTACTGAGTATTTCATATTATTCTTTCTCGGGCCTTTTTCTGATTTGCTACTAATGTGGAAAATATAAACTCTAAGATAAGATATTTTTGTGCTTCTGGCAGAGAAAATAAGCAAAAATAAATACATATTGCAATCATTTACAAACACAGCTTAAACATATTGCAATAATTGCATTAATTTGCATGTTGTTGTTGTTTGTTTGTTTGTTTTGAGACTGAGTCTCACTCTGTTGCCCAGGCTGGAGTGCAGTGGCATGATCTCGGCTCACTGCAACATCTGCCTCCTGGGTTCAAGCAATTCTCATGCTTCAGCCTCCTGAGTAGCTGGGATTACAGGTGTGCACCACCACGCCTGGCAAATTTTTGTATTTTTAGTAGAAACAGGGTTTCACCATGTTGGCCAGACTGGTCTTGAACTCCTGGCCTCAAGTGATTTGCCGTCTCAGCCTCCCAAAGTGCTGAAATTAGAGACACTGCACCAGGCCAAGATGTTGGAGTTTTGAGGGAAACCACTGATAATGTATTTTTCTTACCCAAGTTTGGTACCATTTGAGAAATAAATACAAAAATCAGTGAGAAGGAAGAGAAATTAAGAGTTTTTCTACTGATAACCAAAACAGCATGGTACTGGTACCAAAACAGATATATAGACCAATGGAACAGAACAGAGACCTCAGAAATAATGCCACACATCTAAACCATCTGATCTTTGACAAATCTGACAAAAACAAGCAATGGAGAAAAGATTCCCTATTTAATAAATGGTGCTGGGAAAACTGGCTAGCCATATACAGAAAACAGAAACTAGACCCCTTTCTTACACCTTATACAAAAATTAGCTTAAGTTGGATTAAAGACTTAAATGTACAATCCCAAACCATAAAAACCCTAGAAGAAAACCTAGGCAATGCCATTCAGGACATAGGCATGGGCAAACACTTCATGACTAAAACACCAAAAGCAACTGCAACAAAAGCCAAAATTGACAAATGGGATCTAATCAAACTAAAGAGCTTCAACATAACAACAGAAACTATCATCAGAGTGAACAGGCAACCTAAAGAATGGGACAATTTTTGCAGTCTACCCACTGGACAAAGGTATAATATCCAGAATTTACAAGGAACTTAAACAAATTTACAAGAAAAAAACAAACAACCCCATCAAAAAGTGGGTGAAGGATATGAACAGACACTTGTCAAAAGAAGACATTTGTGCAGCCAACAAACTATGAAAAAAAGCTCATCATCGCTGGTCATTAGAGAAATAAAACCAAAACCACAGTGAGATACCATCTCACACCAGTCAGAATGGCCATTATTAAAAAAATCAGGAAACAAGAGATACTGGCGAGGATGTGGAGAAATAGGAATGTTTTTACACTGTTGGTGGGAGGGTAAATTAGTTCAATCATTGTGGAAGACAGTGTGGCAATTCCCCAAGGATCTAGAACCAGGAATACCATTTGACCTAGCAATCCCATTACTGGGTATATACCCAACGCATTATAAATCATTCTACTGTAAAGACACATGCACACATACGTTTTTTGTAGCACTATTTACAATAACAAAGACTTGGAACCAACCCAAATACCCATTAATGATAGACTGGATACAGAAAATGTGGCACATATATACCATGGAATAGTATGCAGCCATAAAAAAGAATAAGTTCATATCCTTTGCAGGGACATGGATGAAGCTGGAAGCCACCATTCTCAGCAAACTAACACAGGAGCAGAAAACTAAAACCACATGTTCTCACTCATAAGTGGGAGTTGAACAATGAGAACACATGGACATAGGGAAGGGAAACATCACGCACCGTGGCCTGTCAGGGGACGGGGGTCAGGGGGAGGGAGAGCATTAGGACAAATACCTAATGCATATGGGGCTTAAAACCTAGATGACAGGTTGATAGGTGCAGCAAACCACCATGGCACATGTATACCTATGTAACAAACCTGCAAGTTCTACACATGTATCCCAGAACTTAAAGTAAAATAAAAAATAAAATTAAATTAAATAAAGAGCTTTGCTACTGAATTGAAGACAGGAAATACATGTGTGGCCACAATAGTCTTGCTAATACTTTACCTTCTACTTAGACAAACTTAGTTCCTAGTCATGGCATGGCTGAACAGCTGTAGGCCTTGACCCATTGAGACCCTGCCCCTAAATCCTGCAGCATGGAATAGCAGAAAATGTATATGCCTCATAAGTAGCTACTTCAAGAGAGAGACAAGAAGGGATTGAACAGAATACTTTTTTTTTTTCTCTGAAACACACCAATTAAGCAAGTAATCTCTCCTCCTCATGTGTCCATGAGAGAATGGGAGAGAAACCAAGAATGTTATCCTTGCAGAAGTCTCTTCTCCTGGAAATATGTATGATCCAATGAACATAGGTTATTTAATACTCTTATTATAACTTTATCAACAAGAAAAATTTACCCTAAATTATACATGAAGAAACTGAGGCCAAAAGACTCAAATATTTTGCCCAGATTAAAAGAGCTAGTGTAATAGAGGACTTACACTTGGTTAAAGTGTTCTCATTCCATGCTCTCAAAAAACAGTAGTTTTCAATTTGTTCTCAGAGACACTAGTGTGTCTTGGTAATCTTTACTTTAGTCTCCAAAATATTCTTAATCTTAAGTTTAAGAGAGTCACTTCATTGCCCACTTCAGAACACATTTTTTTCTGCATTTATGGGTGACTATTAATTCCATGCCCTATGCCAAATTGAGATTTAATATGAAAAAATCACAGATTGGAGGAAATTCACCTATTTCCTGAAGTCAATGAACCAAGTATCTTTGCCCATTTTGATGACTTCATGTAGCAAGGTCATGGTATAATGGACTAGAAAGCATGCCTTCTTTACAGTTGCCATTGTAGTTCTTATTACTCAGACAGCCACACTTGTAGCACTGAACTCTGAAAGCCTCTCCACGCAGGGGCCTGGCCCTCTATAAAAGTAATGGCTGGAGAAAATAGCACATGCATCCTGTGAGCAGCCTTTCAAAAGAGAGGAAAGAGGAAGAGTGTGGACTGGGCTGATCTACTTTATTCTTTATCCGACCTTACCAATGAAATAAGTTCCATTTTTCTCTTGGGAAAAATGAAAAAAGAAGCCATGAGAATCAATAAGTGTTTTTTTTTTTTTTTGTCTGTTTGTTTGCTTTTTTTGAGACCGAGTCTCGCTATGTTGCCCAGGTGGGAGTGCAGTGGCGCGATCTCGGCTCACTGCAAACTCTGCCTCCCGGGTTCAAGCGATTCTCCTGCCTCAGCCTCCCAAGTAGCTGGGATGACAGGCGTGTGCCACCACGCCTGTTATATTAGCTGACTTCCATGAGGAAGAAATCATCAATGTGTGTTAAAAAGCATAGCTATAAGCACACATTGTCCCTGCACAAAATGTTAAGTTTGAATGTGTTCTGTTATCCAAATTTCCTCTAGTCTAGTTTTTCAGATTTATATTCTGTGAATATATTTGTAAAGCCAAAACAGTGGACCTCGTTGTTCATTAAACACTTCCTGTGCTCTGTCACATTTGTGACTGTGCTCTCATTAACAAATATTTATTATGTACCCGACACATGCCAGACACTCCTTAAGGCACTTGGGATATATTTGAAAACAAAACATACAAAAATTCTTGTCACTGGAGATTTTATATTCTAGTGGGAGATGGATAATAAACTATATGTAAAATATATGTTGGCAAAAGCATTTTAGAAAGTGCTATGTGCTGTGAAAGTAGAGCAGGATAACAAAACAAGAAATACCAGAAGCATTGTGGAAAGGAGAAGACATTTTTGAAACAATGGTCAAGGTAAGGTTCATTGAAAACTTGACATCTATATTGGCTTTCTAGGGTTTCTGAAACAAATCACCACAAACCAGGTGACTTACAAATACCGAAGTTTATTCTTTCACAGTTCTAGAGGCCACAACTCCTAAATCAAGGCCTTGGTAGGACTGCATTCCTTCTAGGGTCTCCAGGAGAGAATCCCTCCTTGCTTCTTAGCTTCTGATGGCTCCAGGCACTCATTGGTTTGTGATTGCATCACTCTGATCTCTGTCTCTCCCTTCATATGGCCTCCTTTCTATGTGTATCTCTTCTCAGTCTCTTATAAGGCTACTTATCACTAGATTTAGAGCACATCCAGGTAATCCAGGATGTCCTTGTCTTAAGATCTTTAACTTAATTATATCTGCAAAGGTCCTTTTTCCAAATAAGTGTACATTCACAAGTTCTGGGTGTTAGGATTTGGAGATCGCTTTTGTGGGGGGCACCATTCAAGCCACTGCCACATCCAAGGAAAGATTTGGAGCAGGTGAGAGAGTCAGCCATGTGGTTATTTGTGAGAAGAATGATCCAGGTAGGGGAATAGGAAGAGTAAAGTCTTCAAGGTATGTGTGTGCCCGGCATATCCAAAGAGTGTCAAAGGGGCCATTATGGCGGAGTACAGTGAGAATCAGAAAAGGTGACTAAGATGAGGCAGCTGGGGAGACAGGAAAAATACAAGGCTGCAATGTCCTAGTAGTCAAGTGAAGAAACAGTCAGAAGGAATAGTTAACTGTGTGTAGTGATGCTGATGGGTCAAATAAGATAAGTCTGATTAACTTGAAGGTCACGTGTAATTTTGATAAAAAACTTTTCCTAATTGAGGGAATTCAAATCACATCTATTCCACAAAGCAAAACTCGATGACACATCTATGAAAGTTTCCCTGACTTTACTACTGCCACAGTAGTGAATTTAAATATTTTAGCACTATCTTTCACCTTTGTTTTAAAGTGGTTTGTGAGCTTATTTTACTTTTCTTACCAGATTTCAGACTTATTATGGATAGAGCTTACTTTAAATTTATCTTTGTGTCCCCAAAGGGCTTAATATAGTGTCCTAAGTGGTTCATAGTAAATATTCACTGAATAAATGAATGAACTCTAATTATGGTCACATTACCAGAATTTCTATCTAAAAAAGGGTAATCTTCTTTAGGAACAATCCATTGTCAAACTGAAGGAAATTATTTTTCATTGTCTACTTTTTTCACTATGACAGTTAGTTGAAAACTCTGCTGCAACATGATATTCAACACAAAGCTTTTAAAGACTGTAAAAAAAAAAAAGATATTCTGACATGTAAGAAAAGAAAAGAACAGTTTTTTTTCTTTTTCATTCTACATCTTGAGTTTTGTCTTGCTGAAGTCATAGCACCAAGTCCATTCTTTCCATTCTTAGTTCCAGAGAGAAATGATATGGCATATTGCCTGGCATATAAAGTTTGCCCTGCAGCATAAAATTATAAGAGTTTTGATCATAATTGTGCCTAACTGGAACAAGAAACATTTTCTTATAGTATAATTTTGTATGGCTTGTCATTGTGTGAAGGCAGAGTGTGGTGCAAATGAAGTGATGGAGGCGAGGTCCATATGAAATCGTTCTGAACCTCCAACAACGCAGTCACTGTTTGCCAAGACAGGATGTCAAGGTTATTTCTGGCAGATTCAGTGACAGCAGTGCCTGTGATGCCCCAAAAGAGAGAGAGAGCTGACATTTTTCCCATAGTACTTAGTTATTAAATCATAAAATAGAAATTATTTTTGACCCTGTATCCTCAATCATTTTCAATAAAATACTAAAATTCTGCTTACTGGATTATTTTTCCTATTCTACCAGTATAGGAACATTTATGGGTAGAGGTGGCTCTTTTTATTTCTTTGCCCGTGTTTTGCTTTATTATCCCAGAATCTACCTTTAAAGATAATGCAGACAAGTTGGCAGATACCTTTCCTCCTGTGTTGATATTAACTGATATCTGAACAGTGTCTTGAGACAAAGCTGCCTTCTACTCCTGTGTTGATATTAACTGATATCTAAACAGTGTCTTGAGACAAAGCTGCCTTCTACCATGGGAAATGGTTGGTGAATACGTGTCTTTTTGTATTGGGTTGGCTGCACTTTATTTATATATTATCCTGAATCTTTAGCTGTCAGATTTCATCACTAGCCCCACACCTAAGATCTCCTCTGCCCTGTAGCGATAATGCTGGGATTCACTTCCCAAATTCCTTTCTTCTAATGGTTCCAAGTTCAAGCTTGACAATGAGAAGACAAAGAAGAGAAGAAGGCATGATTCTCAAAAAATCGTGCCTACCAGACGCTGTGGCTTCTCAGTCTTTTCCAGCCACACATGGCAGATTCTCAGACTCCATTGCAAGTTCTTGTTCATTTCAAGATTTTTGCAGCATCTCAAACTTCTCTGTGAGCTCTGGCGTCCCCACCCACTGCAGTGCCGCAGGTGGAAGTCCTGAGTGACTGTGTCCCCACCCTCCCACGTGTAGCCTTCCAGACCTTCACCTCCAGCAGCTTCCACATTTATGTTATTCACACTTTTGATACGAGACTCCTTTCCCTACATAATACTAGTAGTCTCTCTCCCTCCCTCTCTCTCTCTTTCTTTCTTTCTCTCTTTTTTTCCTGCCCCAGACACAGACTGATACACTACATTCCATAAACATTTTCTTTGTAGTTAGAGAATCCTGTGATGGGTGAGGCTCTGGGACTGCAGAGCTAAAAACGTGGTCCTCCTTGAAAAAGCTGAAAATCTAATGAAAGGATAGAAAAGCGAGCACAAGGTACAAGAGATCACATAGGAAGCTCACCTCACGTAGCCTGGGGAGGTCAGGAGACAGCCTTAGGAAAAGGCAAAATCTAAGCTAAAATCACCTAGGTTCCCTTGCTACCTCTTCTCACATAGCAGAAACGTGTCTCAATTTTCAGCATCAAAATTATTCTGAGTTATCTCTGAATACAATTTGCTTTGTGTGACTTAAATGTAAACATGTTTGCCAACAATAAGCATTTTCTCTGAAATCACTCTGACCACAGAAATGCCTAGGCATTTAATTTTTATCTTTGCATGCACAGTATTTTGGAGAGTTTCTACACAAAATGCTCAAGTGTTTGGCTTTGCCTTATTTGAAACAATTCAATTTCCATCTAAGGAATCCCTGAACAAGGCAGTTTCAAAGTTCCCTCAGTGACTGAGCACACCCGCCCAGGAGTGTATCATCAGCATAAAGATACACACAACACTCAGAACCCTGCCTTGTCAGCTCATTTATAAAGATCATAAATAACAATGGTCCAAGGATTGATCCCTGAGGAACCCCCATAATGACATCCATTAAATCTGACATGACACTGTTTAATAACACAAGTGGTATGTGCCCTCTTAAGTAGCTAGCACACCAATTAATTAAGGATGATGCCATACCTAGTCCATTACATTTATCCAGCAAAGAAGTATGTGCTACCAATTAGAAAATAAAACGATGTTTGAAGCAACACCAGTTATTTATCTAAGAGAAGATCTCTTGACATGAGCTGTAACCCTGAGATGACTGTGTGCACACGCCCCCTCCTTCTGTGAGCTGTGACTATGTTGACATTTTATTTTACTATGGAAAGAGAGGCATGATTTTAACTTGGAAATGACCCTTAGATATCACAACCACGATCTTTTTAGTGAAGGCATACTTAGGAATAATTGCAGTAGATGGAGCTTTGAAGTAATAATCTTGCGTGCTCACTTAAATAGTTAATAGGACAATCTACTGCATTGGTACTTCACAGGAAGCCATTTCCACATCTTTACACCATTGAGTGAAATCTAAAACCTTGTCCAATGCCAGCTTTCCTTGCCAATTTATCTTCAGTTAAAGAGCTGTAAATAATTGCTGGTAAAATGCATAAAGGGAAGAAACAACAGAAATGACATTGGCAGTCTATACAGTGCTGGGGAAAAGGGAAAGAGAGAAAATTACTTTTATATTTATGAACAGGGAAGGGGACTATAAGAATAAAGATCCTCTTATCTTAGAAGCTGTGGGAAAGGAAGAGAGGAAGGGAGGAACATGTTTGGCCTCTCCAGCCGCCCAAGATAATGATGATGATAATGTTACATGATTGCACTTAATGATGTTGTATCAATTTATGATGATGATCATGATGAGTTTTAACTTGAATCATGTAATGTCCCTTTATCGGGAGGAAGATAGAAGAGAAAAGAGATGGGAAAGGAAAATGGAAAAGAAAGGCAAAGCAAGAGGAGAAACACGGCAACTGAAGAGGAAAGGGGAGATGAATCTACTTAGTCTTTTTATTGTCAATACTAGTTAATTTAGTATTTTTAATATCATATTAGTATGGTCTTTTTTTTTCAAAATACAAGATGCATCTGGTAATGAAGTTTCTTTTGAAATAATAAACTTTCAATACACTTATGAAAAAATAGAGAGAAATAAGGAAAAAATTAATTTTCCTTTATGTGGCATTAAGATAGCCATCCTCAATTTTCTAGCAAATTTTGATAATTAGGCGCATTCTTAATTGTAGATGAGGCTCCTAATTATACAATTAAGGTTTAAAACTTTTGAAATCCTAATATAGGGAGTGCTTTCATGTGCCCTTTTTGTTATCCACTTGCTTTCCCTTAGATAAGTGTCCAGAAACAGGGTTAGACTAGAGAACAAAAAGGCCCTGGTAAAAACATGGTCAGTGTTCTCCCTCTTGCAGAAAAAGCCAACTGAACAAATGGCTCTTGCCCCATGGGTCAATTCAAGCCTGGTCAGCGTAAATCCTCCTTCTAATATCAGAAACTCTCCTATCCTTCCTTAGACGCAGCTGCAGCAACCTCTTTACTGGAGGAGGCTGTGTTGAGTGCTTGACATTTGAAAGCTGCTTATTTCTTCAAAAACTTCAGCCTTTACAAACATAAAAGTCATAAGTTTTCTATAATTACTATCTGGGGCAAGTGTGAATTGGCTATAGATTGCAAAATAGCTTCTGTTGGATTTGGTTGCTATTACAAGGGTTTAAAAAATAAGAAGAAAGGCGCGTGTATGAAAGCACTCTCCATATTAGAATTTCAAAAGGCTTAAAACCTTAATTGTATAATTAGGGGCTCACCCACAATTAAGAGTGTACCTAATTATCAAAACTTTCCAGAAAATTAAGGATGGCTATCTTAATGCCACACATAAAGGGAAATTGAGGTGTTGCAGAGATTGAGGTTGATGTGAGATATCTCAGCGAGATGCTATAAAATTCAGGCCCCTGGTGACTGATTGCTTGTGACAAATCTGAAACCTAAATGTGACATTTGTGAAACCTAAGTGTCCATGATACAGTTACATATTTTACATCAGTGCTATTCAAAGTGTGGTCCATAGACTAACAGCATGTGTATCACCTGTGAGGGTGTTAGAAGTGCAAATTCTTAGGCCTCACCGCAATCCAACTGAATCAGAATCCCTTGGCATGGAGCCCAGAAATCTGTGCTCTGACAAGCTCACTCTTGAGGTGATTCTGTTGCTCATGAAATTTTGAGAGGCCTCAGAACTATTTGAAAATACCATTTACTTAATTTCATCTTTCTTACTACACTTTTTTTCCTTGTGTGTGGACTGCAAGTTTTAATTAAATTCCATAATTACTCACCTTTGAGATGTTACTGCAGTCGGAAGTGTCTGCTAGTATTTGGGAATTTCATGGAAACATCTTCAACGTAGCGTCTTTCTTCAATGAATTGTATCTGTTTCTGATATGGTTTTAGCTTCATTGATTTATTTGTTTGTTTATTGTGAGAATTAATTTTACATGTCAACTTGGTTGAATCAGGGAATGTCCATATATCTGGAGCACCCTGATTAATACATTTATTTATTTATTCCCTTTCCCACCCTCAATTTTACATTCATTCACTAGTTATAATTGTGCCCTTCTGTGTCTTCAAAAGTCAGTTCATTCTCAACTCTCCCCAACCTACTGGAGATTCCTAATAAGTTGTCTCTGTGTATTTAACAAACTTCAATCTGCCAGTATCTTTATTATCAACTGTCAGTCTACTCTTCTCTCTTTGATTTAGAACAGGATGAGATCTTCCCAGTGACAGCTTCATTTTCTTTTCAGCCTGCCCAAGCGCAATGCTCACAAGCAACCATCCTGCTCCCATACCATCCCTGTTCTCACCAGCAGATGAAGGCAATCATCTACCATCTTGCCACTTCTGCAGCATTAAATACAACTCTCCTGCAAAACCTTAGTAGCATTCCTTTTTTTTCCTTTTATTATACTTTAGGTTCTGGGGTACATGGGCAGAACATGCAGGTTTGTTACATAGGTATACATGTGCCATGGTGGTTTGCTGCACCCTCAACCCATCACGTATATTAGGCATTTCTCCTAATGCTATCCCTTCCCTAGCCCCACACTCCCTGACAGGCCCCGGTGTGTGATGTTCCTCTCCCTGTGTCCAAGTGTTCTCATTGTTCAACTCCCACTTATGAGTGAGAACATCCAGTGTTTGGTTTTCTGTTCCTGTGTTAGTTTGCTAAGAATGATGGTTTCCAGCTTCATCCATGTCCCTGCAAAGGACATGAACTCATCCTTTTTTATGGCTGCATAGTATTCCATGGTACATATGTGCCACATTTTCTTTATCCGGTCTATTATTGATGGACATTCGGGTTGGTTCCAAGTCTTTGCTATTGTGAATAGTGCCACAATAAACATATGTGTGCATGTGTCTTTATAGTAGAATGATTTATAATCCTTTGAGTATATACCCAGTAATGAAATTGCTGGGTCAAATGGTATTTCTAGTTCCAGATCCTTGAGGAATTGTCACACTGTCTTCCACAATAGTTGAACTAATTTTTGCAGCCAACAAACATATGAAAAAAAGCTCATTATCACTGATCATTAGAGAAATGCAAATCAAAATCACAATGAGATACCGTCTCACACCAGTTAGAATGGTGATCATTAAAAAGTCAGGAAACAACAGATGCTGGAGAGGACGTGGAGAAATAGGAACACTTTTACACTGTTGGTGGGAGTGTAAATCAGTCCTTTTTTTTTTGCTTTACCATTCTTGATATGCTAGGATCTTTGTAAATTTTTTAAATCATTCTTTCCACTAGCTTTCCTGAACCAATCTGATGCCCTCAGTAGCTGGCAGAAGGAATGAAAAGATCACCAGAGGCTTTGGTGGTGGGTTTCTGTCCTGTGGGAGGCCTGTGACCTTTCTTTGCCATTGGCAGGGTTGCTGTGCTGCAGTAAGTCCCTCTTTAGAGATTTTCTTTAGTAGGTTTTCAAAGATTCACTCAGTAGACTGAAATGTCCCTGCTCAATAGAGATTGATTGTGAACAGTGATTCTGAGAGGCTAATACAGGAGAGAGACTCCCCTGCTGGGAAAGCAATGTCCTGCGGAGGGGTTGGGGGAAAGGCATGTTGGCTGCTATGATATCTGATTGTTTTCCTTCCCTTTTTTGATTTCACAGAGGCAAATCCCTAGGCTTGTAAGGCTGCTTTAAAATTTCTCTGTCCATGGGTCTTTAATCAGTGATTTCACCTTTGTTATTTTACATGTATCAGACTTAACATTTCTCTCTCCTATTTTCCATTTATTTTTCATATAACTTCTATTCTTTTTTTCTTTATCTCTTTAACTTGGAACAAGGAAAGCATCAAATGGTAAATATTTACATTGTCTTCCTTTTGTACTTTTTAAAGAAATTGGTTGTAGAGGAAGAACCAATGTTTTGCTGAGCAATAGATGAGAGTTCATATGGGAAAGTCAGGAGAAGGTTGAATTATTGTGTAGGGCAAAAAAAAAAAAAAGGTGAGGTGGGGCAATATATGAACCTGGAGGCAGCCCAAGGGTACAAGGACCAGACAGGAGAGTGGGAGTGAAGTGGCCCAAAAAAGAGGATGGGGTAGAGAAGTGTGGAGGGTGTTGAGAGAAAAGTTTTCATGGGAGAGTGAGAAGAAACATTTGCAAACAAAGAGAGATACACTTTGAGGAAAATGAGAAATGGTCAAGGAAATGTTTAGAAAATCTAATTGGATATAAAATGAATGTTCTTTACCTCATTCTTCTAAGAAAACTTCACTAAAAAATTTAACTTGCCATCGTGCTTTGGAGTTAGATAAGTCCATTTCTTTAAGAGAATATTGAGACTTTCATCAGTTATATTTGAGTTTAAAATTTTCGTTTTCATGGGAGGAAAAAACTGTAATTTTTAAAAGAAGACGTACCATGCAAATTGAATGAAGGATATAAAAGACTGATTTTAGAGGTGCTATTTTACAGTGACTCCTTTCTTGTTTTACTTTCTTCAGGTCTTTCCCAGGAAATTGCTTATTCCTAGGCATGCATGAGTTTCAGATTGAGAAATCTCTTGCATTTGTACACATATAAAAAAACTCATATCGCAAGTGCTACATACACTAGCCAAATAATTGCAAGCTTCATGACTCTTGGGCAATATAACATCCATGGTGTCTACACAAATACTGAGACACTAAAGTTGTGCAACATTAGTCCTATAGAAGCCAATATGCTAGCGTGTGCCCTATGAATCCCTATTAATGTTGATAAGGAGTTGTAATTTCACAATTCTTATGACAATTGCCACAAGTGGAAAAATGTTACTGAAATAATTCTAGTGGTGCAGTGAATACATTAAATTCTGGAAATAGAATTGATGAGAACACTTGATTTCAGTTCAATATTTTTGTGGGTTCTATTTTGTACACAGATAATGTAAAAACTCCAAAATTTTGGCAAAACTATTTATTTTAAAAGATCTAAGCTTTAAATGTTTACTTTTAAATTATTATTAACCTTAAACTTGGTCCTTAGCTAATCAGTGATGTTGAAACACCCAGAATCCATCAATTCTTTGGTCATTTTTGGTCAACTGATTCTTTACTCTTTGGCCAATCCTTGGTCATATTGATGCAAATATTTCTAGACTATATTCGATAATTTATTTCCATTGTAGACTGACAGTGCTGAGATCACATGGTTTAAAATAAGTTCCGATTTGTTCCTAGTATCTTGACATTTGCCTTGATTGAACTTCTAGTCCTTGAGAATTATTTCTCCTTGTATAGTGCTATTAAAATTAATAATTTTCTTTTTCTTGAACTCAGTGTCCAACGGTCTCGCTCTAGTACTTCTTTTTTAATCCTCTTATATTTACCTTCAGCATTTGTAGCCAGTTTAGCACTGGTTGCAGCCAACAGCAACATATATTGGTGTATTAGTCACTACCCATCACTAAATGATGATTCAATGGAGTGAGTTTAAAGTTCCAAGTCATCTAGATCAAAAGTAAAACAATTACATCATATGGATTGCTTAAATACAATATATTAGAATTATATTTGCTGTGTGTTGAACAAAAGGGCATTTTATTTTTCCATGTCTGGAAGTTGTCTGCATGTTGGCTCTGCCTCCCCAGCTCACTAAATAACCTTGTCAAAGTCATTTAACCTCTTAGTGTTTGTGTTCTCATCTGTAAAATGAGGATAATTATCCTTACCTATCTCATAGGGATGGTGTTCAGATTAACTAATTAAAGATTAGAAACTGCTACAAAAATGCTCAGTATTATTAAGGAAAACTGAAGTATTTTCAGTGCCATTGGGTAAGAGTGCTATTTAGCAGCAATGACTCCCAACAAGTGTTTGATAGCCTGATAAGCTGCCAGCTCCTTCCCAGAGGAGAGATGACTTGCCCTGGGACCTTGCCCTTCATTGCTGTTTTGTTAGCGAAACAGCATAGAGGCTGCCCATATAATACCCAGAAAGCTGGGATCAATGACACATTTCCTGACTCTGACACATTTGAAGAGCTGACAAGTGATGGCAAGATGTGCCACTTCAACCCAAAGAAACAATTATACCTGTCCAGAATGCAAAAATCCCTCTGGGATGCAGTTATTATAATTGCAGTTTATAATATATCCTTATACAAAATGAACCCAGCTGTGGATTTTCTTTACAGGTTAAGAAATATTTGTGTACATCTTTAGATTTTACCTTTTGCCTGGCAGACTCATGGTATCTGGCAGACTCATTGGCAATAGATAAAGGTTTTCTGTCAAGGTTTTTACATCGGCATTTGCAGCACAACGGGCCTGACTGTTCTTTTGCATCTTTCTGGATGCTGTCTCTTGGCAGTAGAGAATGAGACACAATCCTCAGGACTTTGCCCGGGTTCTTTTTTTTGATCTAAGGATGTTTCTGGATTCTATATACTCCTTTCTTCCCTCATTTCCATTGCTATAGTTGATGTTCTTATTCCTTTTCTTGGTTCAGTGTTCTAAGTCACTAACTGTCTGGTCCATTCTATGTGGGCACCCAAGTTGTATTCTTAAAACACAAAACCTATTGTTTAACTCTTTTGCTTAAAGACTTAAGGTCTTTGAAAATAAAATCTTTAAGAATAAAAAGTCTGTAAGAATGAAGTGCCTCTTAAGTGGCTCCCTTTAGTTATTGGGACAAAAGCCAGCTACTCAGTATGACAGTTGAGGTCCCTCACATACAGTCTACAATTTACTTTACAGCAACATTGCCAGAATTACTGATCCTAAAAATCTTTCACTTGTGGGAACAGCTCCACACAACTAATAGTGTTTACTCTGTCTGAAATGTTCTTTTTTCTTAAGTTAAATGCTATTAGTCCATGAAGAATTTGTTCTAATGTCAGCTTTCCTTTGAAACTTTATCATCATCATCACCACTTATAAAATGTCCTTTTCTTACAAATTCCATTGAAGTTTTTAGAAGAAATTTGGCTAGGTCCCAGTCTACATCTTCTGCTGTCTTTAAGGTGTGGGAAGTTGAGCACCCTTCTTGTTATCTTAGCTTCTTGTTATATTAATTGATGGTGTCAGGGGTAATAACTTACCTACTAAATAGGCTTGTTATTAGGATAAAATGAAATGAAATAATGCATGTGAAATTGCTTTGCAGCACATTAACTGTGAGACAGATATAAGTTATTGCTATAGTACTTATCACTTTGCCTTGTAGTTAGTTGTATAAGTGTTCCCTTCCCCTAATGTATTATGTAATCATATTAGGAGAAGAAACTGTTGTATAGTAAGCTTTGCATTACCCAGCATCTACAAGCATGTCTTGGATAAAGTAGTTGCTTAATAGATATTGGTTGAATGCATGAGAGGAGGCAAACAAGCAACATAAAGATTCCATGCTTATTTTCAGTTGTGTGGGGATTCCTTGCTTTCACCCAAGCCCCTTTTTTTCCTATGTCCATTCATCCAAAATGTGCAAGGCACTACTTGTTAGAAAAGAAATAGTGTGGAATGACTTTAAAAGATGTACTCTTTACCTTCCTACATACTTAGAATGAAGAATGGGTTTTGAAAATTACTTACATTGAATCACTCCTGGGATTATAATAACAACAGCTTTTGTGATTTCATTATTTACAAAATATAATTAACCTATAAAATTACTTGATTAAAAAAACCCTGTTCATATTGATGGGCAAATAAATATTCACTCATCATCAAATATAATCGACTGAACAAGTCTTAACAATGCAGTGCATAAAATTGTTTAGTGCCTTAAGAGAATTGTAGTTTTTCCAATTACTATTAGGCACACACAAAAAAACTCCTCTTGGCAACTATACTTTTCAAACTACGGAGATGCTAAGGGAGAAAATGGCACCAAAATAAAAACTTCCCCTCTTCTCTATGTTCTCTTTATAAGCTTAGACTTAAACATAGCTTATAAACGTTTAAATTTTAGGTGATAGCAAATTGAAAACTAATTAGAGTTTTCATGTATTAGAAATTCCATGGTTTTATGTTTTCAAATTTACAGTATTAGAAATTTTTCCATTGTTGACGAACATGATTTTTATATTTGTAGCATCATTTTATACAAAAACATTTCAGAGGATGGTGGTTATTCAACATAGAATGGAATTCATATAGAAAGAAATTCAGAAAACAGGTTTGACAGAAGCAAAAAAGTTACTTGAAACTGTGTTTCTTAAAACTTAATTATATTTTCCATAATCCAAAATGTTACTGAGTTCACCATTTGTCGGGCTACTGACAAAGCATTTTTTTCAAGATGGGAATGTAATTTATACTTTTCATTAAAAGCCTTTTCACTCTCAACTGAATAAAGCCAGCTGTTCTTTTCACTTCCTCTTCTATAGCAGCACATCATAAACATTTAGACCAGAGTTCTGGATGACACCGAAACTGCTTATCCACAACTGTCTTTTTTCTAGAAGTCTGTTAGAGGATAGGAACTGGCAAAACGTAAAGAAAAGATACCTTAATCAGAGCTCTGCTGATTGCTTGATCCAGAGGAGTTTACCACCTATGAATAGCAAAGTGGTACTGTTATGAGATCATTTAACGGGTAGAGAAAAAACAATCCTGTAGTGGAGGAGTTGCCTTGATGCTTCTTTGTCCCTCTAGAGTTCCTGGGACTACCAGAAAGGAAATCTAGAATCCATGATTATAATCCCAAAAGAGAACAGCAAAAGCCTATTTGCTATCCTCCCTTATTTCTCTTCTAACTTTTGGCTATTTCTTCCTTCTCCCTTCTCTGGCTTCTCTTTACCTGCTGATATTTCTAAATGAAAACTTCTTCCAGAATCCACCACTGTTTCTTTTAGTGGATTCATCCTTTGCAAGGCTTCCACTTTGATTCCTAAGGGTGTGACTCCAGAGCTTTTTATTCTGTCATCTACTTTCTTCTGGGCTCAGGCCTGTGTAACTCACTCTTTGGATCTGTCTTTGGTATCTCTTCCGGTCTAATCCACCTGACACACTGCTATTAGATGGAATCATCCTGAAGTACATCTCTGATATTGTTACTTTTCTGCTCAAAAACTCAAGGTCGCTTTATCACCTACAGAAGAGATTCTAACTCTGTAAAAAAGGATTCAGGATGCTTCACAATTTGTCTCATACTTTTTTTCCCTCTGATCTTATTATTATTTGATATATTTATATACTTTCATATCCTTGTCCAGTGCTGTCCAGTAGAAATAGAATATGAGCCAGATACATAAGTTTAAATTATTTAATAGCCACATTAAAGTAAAAGTTAAAATTAGGAAATAAAAATACTTACTAATCTATTATATTTATATTATTTATATATTTAAATGTATATGTAATTTATTCTATTCATATTATATATTTATATTTGTGCTTAAATCTATTTTAGTAAAAAAATAAAAGAAATAATATAAATCAGATAATCAATATAAAAATTATTAATTAGATACTTATATGGTAACCAGCTTCCAAAATGATCCTCATTGATCTCTGCCAATGTTCACACCCTGTGTAGTCCCTTCCCACACTGTCAGGGTTGGTTGGTGCAATCAATAGAATATGGCAGATGGTATGTCACTTTTTAGGCTAGATTGTAAAAGACCTTGTGGCTTCTGCCTTGCATCATTGATTCTAGGGGAAGCCAGCTGCCTTGTAGTGAGTGCACTTAGGAGGGCCTGTGGAGAGGCCCATGTAGAGAGAAGCTGAGGATTTCTGCCAACAACCAGGAAGGTACTGAGGTCTTCTGCCAATAGATGCAAAATTGATCCATCATGGAGCAGATTGTCCAGCTACAGTCAAGCTTCAGTTGACAACCCCAGCTGATAGCTTGACTGCAAATTCATGAGGGAATCTGAAGTCAGAACAACCCAGCTAATCTGCTTCCATATTCCTGCCCCTCGGAGACTGTTTGAAATAATAAATATTAGTTGTTTTAAGATCCAAATTTTTGAGGCAATTTGTTATGCAACAATTTTAAACGAATACAGAGTTGGCTACTTGGCAGTGGTGTGCAGTTGTAATAAAAACCCAAAATGTGGCAGTTGCTTTGGAACCCAGCAGTGGGTAGAAGTTGGCAGGTCTTTAAAGGGAGCCTTGTAAAAGTCATTTTTTTTTTTTTAGAAACATGATACCATTTAAGGAGCTGTGAATAAAGAATTAATGGAAATGGGGGAAAGCCTCGTGTAATGCCAGAAAGTTTAGTAACATTATTGCCTACAATAACCTGGAAAGTAGAAATGTGCCAGGTGAACTGGGTGATCCAGCTCAGGAGATCTTCAGGCAAAGTAGTAAAGAGGCCACTGGCTTCTTCTTGCTGTTTAGAGTAAAATGAGAGAGGAAAGGGATGAACTATAGAAATGACTATTCAGTAGGAAGGAACTAGAACTGGATGGTTTTTAAAATTCTTAGCCCATCCACATGGAGAATGATATTAAAATTAAGAAATATCTTATGAACAAAGATCAAATCCAGCGTGCTGCCAAGAGACCTCAGAAAGATTATAGGTATTTATTGCCTCAGAATGTAATACAGTTTAGTCAGACAAAAGACCCTCTCAAAGGTTTAAGTGTATGCCTCACAAAACCTCTCAAATGAACAGTAGTTTAAACTTCTTCTTCTCCTTCTTTTTTTTTTTTTTTTCTGACAGAGTTTTGCTCTTGTTGCCCAGGCTGGAGTGCAATGGCACGATATCAGCTCGTCACAACCTCCGCCTCCTGGGTTCAATTGATTCTTCTGCCTAAGCTTCCCGAGTAGCTGGGATTACAGGCATGTGCCAACAAGCCCAGCTAATTTTGTATTTTTAAAAGACAGGGGGTTTCTCCATGTTGGTCAGGCTGGTCTTGAACTCCTGACCTCAGGTGATCCACCCACCTTGGCCTCCCAAAGTGCTGGGATTACAGGTGTGAGCCACCATGCCTGGCCTAGTTTAAACTTCTTAACACTTAAGGGTATCTTTCTTTGGCCATCTGGGGAGAAGCCAGAGGTAGAGAAGGACTTGTTTTGAAGAGAATTGTGAGTGTGTCTTTAGTCTAATGCAATGAACCCTAATAAGAATCACAGGAGATCCATAAAATTTTAACAAGAATTATATTCACAGAAACATTGTCAGCTTAAACTGAAAGGTACCCAGACAATACAAAATGAAAAGAGAGCTTTCAACCCCCAGAATTCAATAGGCAGGAAGGAGGCTGAGGAAACTACATAGCTGTAAACACAGGCTACTTTCTTGTAAAAGGAAAGATGAGTCAAAGGGTGGAATCAAGAGCCCAGAAAGTAGAGCTGATAGCCTTGGAGAATTATTCCTGTGAAGGAAAAGGGCTGAGTCAAGGGACTTTGATCATTTGCCTGGCTCCATTTCAGAAATGTTGTAGACTAGTGACCCCTTTGTGCTTCTTGTCTTTCCCCTTTTTAAAATAGAAATGCCCATAGTGGTTTTCTTATGCTTGTCCCATCATTATATGTTACATGTCTGTTGGACATATAACCTGTCTCTTTAGTTCACAGGTCTCCTGATAAACAGAAACTGTACTTGGGGAGCTGTAGCTATGGAACTTAAGGCACTGTATTCAAGGAGCCTCATCTGCAGCTACACCCAATCTAGTTGACAAGATTCTAGGCTTCAAGCTGATGCTGTGATGGGATTAGACTTTTGGGGCCTTTGGGAGAGAGTAAATATACTTTGCTTGTGGGATGAATAAAAACAGTATGTGACCAAATGGTCAATTTTGTTTCACATAGGTTCACAAATTATTTAATACTCTTCCTTTCAGAAGATGGAGTCAAATTTTCAGTGAAGAATTTCTAGTGGAAAGCATACAGCAAAGATGTTGGGTTTGACTTTGGAGACTAAGAAAAGACACTGTGACTTCCTGCTTGCTTTTTCTCTCTTTGGTCACTTACTCTGTGGGGAAGGCAGTTGCCTTTTCATGAGGACTCTTATCTATGGAGATGTAATGTGCAAGGAATTGAGGGTCTTGACCAACAGCCAGTGAGAATCTGAGGTCTCCTGCCAACATTGATGTGAGTCAGCTAAGAAGTGGATCCTCCAGCCTTACTGAAACCTTCAAATGTCTGTAGTACTGACATCTTTATTGCCACCTCAATAGAGATATTGAATAAGAATTACTCTCAAATTTCTGATCCATGGAAACCATGAGGCAATTAATGTTAGTAGTTTTAAACTACTGATTTTCTAGGATAATTTGTTAAGGAGATTTATTAGATTACTAGTGCATTTTACAATCTCTTTTAAAAAATACTAAGTCTTTTAAATTGAGTGTATATTTTATATTTATGGCACATTTCAATGCGGATTAACCTTCATTTCAAGTGTTCAGTAGCCATATTTGCCTAGTGTCTATCATATTAGTGCAGCCCTATAAAAAATACATATCTCTATATGAACTTAATACTCCAAGATTTTTGCCCCTCCAGACCTTTGACTATTTAGTTTTCTTTGACAAAAGAATGTCCAGTTATCCCCTTTCCGTCTGGCGACAATCTCCACATCCTTCAAAATCTCACCCTTTTATTAACTTTTCGATGATGCCTTTTACTACCCAACCACTCAGAAGTAGTTATTACTTTTCACCTTTCTTATCACTGTTCTTGTAATTAGTTATGCATGTCTCTTTTCTTCTAGACTGTGAGAACCCTGAGGGCAGGATGTATGTGTATAGTTTTAAAAAATAATTGCATGTGCTTAGCTGACTGCTTAGAACCTGGTGTTCAGTACATGTTTGTTGGATACATGAATGGTAAACACTGGACAACTACTTGGCAGTGTTGATGGGGAAGGGGTTCTTGTACTGCATGAATAATTCATCTTCGAGATCCCTAAAAATTGCCAGTATTCTATAAAATGCATCATAGAGAAATATAGTTCCTCCCTAAGAACCTTCAAAAACATATGACACACTCTTCACCCTCACATGAGCGTGTGCAGATTTGTTCTGTGTAACATAAATGATTGATTGAGGAGGATTGGCCATTACTACCTGGATTCTGTTTCTGTGAAGAAAGTCCTGTTTCACAATTCCATTTATTTGTGCCTAGGTAAGGGCCCTTGCACACCATGAAAATTGACCTTTAGGTGCTCCTATGAGCTGAAACTTCTACTAAGCATGTTCAATATTTTATTATAGATGCTTGAGGTAGGAATCAAACAGCACAGATCCTAGGTACATAACGAATTACTCTCTTCTTTGGTTTATGAGAAAAAGAGCTATTTTTTTTCCTGTGAGTGGGTATTCTTCAAATGCAGGGATAATTTATAAGAGCAAGGTAAAGAAAAACACAATGTTTCACATATAGCATTATTAAGCAGGATGTGGAAATTATAAGAATAATACCGGGGAACTGTCTATCAGCAAATAGACATCCTTTCCTTTTTTTAATTTTTCAGGCACAGGAAAGCAGATGGAGGCAGATATGAGTCTCACTCTGGTGGATTATTGTTCCAAACAGTAGCATGAAGTATTCATCCGACCATTTCAGCCGTGAGCTTCCTCTCAACATTGTGTGATGACCCAGATACTGAACTTTTGTCTTTTGCCTTTTACCCCATTTTCTAGAATAGACAATGCACTTTCAACTCCAGGATGATCATGCAGCCTCGGGGGTCATCAAATGAATTGATTTTTCTTGGCAATTTTTTCCTAATAAAGTACAGCTTTCAGGTTTTTTTTTTTCTATTTCTTTTTATGCCCCCAAAGGAAGGATGCCAGAAGCAGCATAACTTGTTCTTGTCATGTTAGTGAATTGTAGAAATATTAGCATTCTGGATAAGAATGCCATGGAAGCCAGGGGCCAAAAGCTCAGCAATCCATATGGTTTGCAATATATACCCTTAGGCAGGCCTCATGGGTTGTGGTTGTTTAAAAGAAAAAGAACAAACAAATACAAAACCAAACAAAATCAGAGGGAGAAGTAAAAAGTAATTTCTTGAGTGAGAAATCAGGATGGGGGAGTCTGCCCTTTAAAACTGATCTCCTTTGTCTGCAGTGCCCCTAAACTTGTCACCCAATTACTCATGGAGGAAGTCTGCATAGACCTACATGGGCACCCTCACAGGAAGGCAAACTCAGATCTATTTCCGTATCCACCTTGTAATTAGTTTGTACAGGGGAAATTACTGTGGACTAATGGAGTAGCCTCTTTCCATTTGTGGCTTCTCTGTTAGTTTTCAGCAGGGAAAGTGTGGGACAGAAAATTTGCTTTGTAAAAACCACATAAAACTTTTCAAGGTACTCTTAACTCCTAGCTCTCTTAGAAAATTAAGGTTTCCTTCTCCTAAAAGTCTATGTTAGCTTGTTTTCAAATAAAGTTTTGAGTTATGTTATTCTCTCACTAAAACTTTACCATCAAAGTAATACTGAATATAGTCACTCCTTGTAGATGTTAGGCTGTGATAACAATAATAATAATCTTGCATAGTTGATTATAATTTCAACAATGAAAACACTCATTTTATATTATTAAGATATGAACTTAAAATTGTACAAATTGTATTACAGTCTAAATTTATGTGAGACAGAGAAAATAACATTCTCAGATGTTTTATAAGAGACCATTGACTAATAATACTTAAGTTCAATTATTTAATCATGTGCCTATGAAGTTTATCTAAACCTATTTATAAAACTCATCTATATATTAGTATATTAATGCTTTGCTTACTTCTAATTTTTATTTTTTATTTTATTTTACTTTTTGAGACAAAGTCTGGCTCTGTCACCCAGGCTGGAATGTAGTGGCACTATCTTGGCTCACTGCAACCTCCCCATCCTGGGCGCATGTGATCCTGATCCTCCCACCTCCGCCTCCTGAGTAGCTGGGACCACAGTTGTGCTCCAGTATGCCCAGCTAATTTTGTACTTTTGGTAGAGATGGGGTTTCACTGTGTTGTCCAGGCTGGTCTTGAACTACTGCACGCAAGTGATCCACCAGCCTCGACTTCCCAAAGTGCTAGAATGACAGGCATGAGCCACTGTGCCGGCCCGATACTTTGCTTACTTCTAAGGATTAATTTTATGTGATGATTCTTTGCTAACAATGAAGTTTTTTTGTTTTGTTTTGTTTTTTGTTTTTTGGTTTTTTTTAGTTCTACTGCATAGTGTGGTAAATACAGTTTATAGAGTATTGAACATTTCCAAATGGCTAAAAGAGTAAATTTTAAATGTTCTCACTAAAAAAATGCTAAGTATTTAAGGTGATGGATATGTTAAGCAGCTTGATTTAATTTTTATTCCACATTATACTCATAAATCATAACATTACTTTGTACCCCGTATATTTATACAGCTATAGATTATCAATTTACAATACAAATGTCTTTTAAAAGATTATTTTGGTATTGTTTATTTGGACTTCTGAAATTGTCAGTATTATATGAACTTGCCCTTCAGGTTCATAGGTATGTTAAAAATGCCTTTTATTTTTCCTTCCACACTAGTTTTTTTCTTTCATATATGGTTCCATTTATCTAGAATGGAGAGTTAATTTGGAAGATAAGATGAAACTATTGGAAGACAACCAACGAATATGTTAAGGACTAATGATCATGAATTTTCCAGTTAGTGTCCCCTTGAGACTGAGGTGACTATTTGCTCATCCTTAAGCTAAAATGTGATTAATTCAGAATGAAAACCTCATCAGGCCCCATGTTCTCCACCAGATTTGACTTAGGATGATTTTAAGCTACCAGATGGCAATGGCTTTGCATGTCTCCTAGAACCTAATAGGCACTTGTTTACTGAGTATGATGTTGGTGATCATGGTGTTGATGAAAATAATAGGAAACCCATCACACTGAAGCGGAGCCCAAGGTTAATGCATGACGTATCTGATCTTAATGAGCTTAAAGCAGTTGCTGTAAGGACCTGAAGGAGCCGGTGATACCATGTAAAGGACCAGAACTAATGGCAAAAAATCCTGGCTAGTTATTACCTTTTCAGAAAGAGTGGTTGGATATATTATCAGGCTGTTTGAAAATACGTTAAATCATGATTATGCATGCATACATACTATGTGTCAATTCTCATATATGACAATCAGTGGGAAAATGCACTGTCCTGTGACTATAAAACTAAATCTGGGTTCTGGGAATTATTTTTAATATGTATTTAAATGTATTGACCCTAAAAAAATAGTTTTAAATTTTTATCTATGTGCCTTTGTTTCCTAACCCTAAATGAGAAAATGTGCCTGATTTTTTCAGGAGCAGATTAACCTTTTGTTATTGTTTCATTTGTGTTTTTTTTTAGAGAGGGTTTCACTCTGTCTCCCAGGCTGGAGTGCAGTGGCCTGATCTTGGCTCATAGGTCTCAGGTGATCCTCCCACCTCAGCCTCCTGAGTAGCTGAAACTACAAGAGCATCACCACGCCCAGCAAAGTTTTGTGTTTTTGCAGGGGTAAAGGTGAGGTTTCTTCATGTTGTCCAGTCTGGTCTTGAACTCCTAGTCTCAAGAAATCCACTCACCTTGGCCTCCCAGAGTGGTGGGATTACAGGCGTGAGCCACCGCATCTGGCCCAGATTAACCTATTGAGTATGACAAGGGAAATGCTCTTTCCTAATTTTAGTATCTTGATTTCCTAACATGGCATAAGTGGAAATTCCTCCACCTCCCAACAGAACAGCAATGCCATCACCATTTCTTCTAACATCTTCTCACACTTACCTGAACGTAAGTGGGAAACAGTTACATCTGAACCATTGGTTAGGAGCTGACGCTAGACTGAGATGGTCTCCTCACAGTGGTGGGGAGAGAGATGCTAGAACCACCACAGATGTATTGAAATAATGAATGGCAGCATGATTGCTTGATCCTGGTTGTTTCAGGTTCTGGCATATCTTAAGGCACTGAATAAGAATGGACATCCTCAATTTTATTCTCCATTCCAACTCAAAGCAGGAAAATATACTCACTATGTAACATTTAAAGGATTTTAAGATCTTTGTATAAAGTACAAAGTTCACAACATTTACAAAAACTTAGCATACACATACACCCACACATACACAAACACACACCCTGAATTCAATTCTATTGCCCTATTGCTTTTAAGGCTGGCAGGGAAACCTCCTTCTTTTCCTATTGGTCTATTTTTCTATTTATCCTGTTTTTCAAATAGTTTCTTGCAGTGTTTACTGTATATATCTGAACTATGATTTGGGCTCTTACCAATGAGCTTGCCTTCAAGGGTTTATAAATGTTTCTCACTCGTTTTCTCCTCATATCTTTAGAATCATTTTAAAGCTCTTGTTGGTGGGTAAGCAATGATGAAAGGTGGCAGGCAAGACCTCTTGTATATTTCTGGAGAAGTAATTAGTGAGTTAGGTCCCTGAGAGACATGGGTGATATATTACAGCTTGTAGGTGGTTTGGCAAGACAGATATTACTCCCCCTTCGCAACTCTAATCAACTTACGTATTTTAAAGCAGAGGTAAGACAATGGCAGCAAATGGAAGAAAGTGTGTTTATAAACAATATATTTGTGTTTTCTGTGTTGACACAGAAACTCTCTAGACATTCATTACATACTTAATGTCAGCCTGACAACTGATGGTGGAAGTTGGTAGGTATCAGTAAACCCTTTAATGTTTATTTCAACAAACACTGATAAGGAACTCTGAGCTTGGATTTTACAATAAGAAGAAAATAAATGATATATACTGGGCATACTCCCTTTTCACCTTCCCTTAAGGGTAGCCAGGCTTGACATTTACTGTGGCATAAGTGAGACCAGAAAACTGAACTGCAGAGAAGCTTATTACTTATAATAGTAAAGGTAGCAGTGTTTATTTCTATGCAAACATTCCATTTCCTGTTGACAATGTCAAGCTACATATTTAATTGATCTCATTAAACATGGTCAGATATTTTTACATTACACCTTGTGAATTTGAAATGAGAATATATTGATTAAGATAGGGCTCTGGAATAAAAATCCTTCTAACCCTGTCATAAACTTTCATAAATATGTTGGTTGAAACTACTTAGCATTTCTATATCTACAGTTCTCAGGACAATTTCCAAATTGTTCATCAGGAATGATGGACAGCATGCCTGGCCCAGGTAAGGAGCAGATATTCAACTCATATTGCAAAGAAATATGCTTCTTAATCCTATCATGGGAATGAATGGAATACTAATCCTACCCCCCACCCCATATTCCTATCACCTTTCTGGTATCTGAAGAGTGAATGCAAATACTTGGCTTGCATTCCACCAGTACTCAGTCAAAGCCTGTCTGACATCACTAACTGATTATTGTACTCTTGGCTCTGTGGCCCAGATGTGGTGTCAAAATCCTTGTCAGCATAGATCTCTAAGAAGCGACTCTTAATGGTTCAGAATTGCCTCTTGAGATGAGATTTATTTCATCATTGTCATACTGGCTTTCTAGTTCCTTATAGACTACTCCTTGACCCCCTTTATACAAGAAAAGCTCATCTCTATATTATATTTTTGGATCCTTCCTTGATCTCTTGATAATAAGAAGTAGATTCCTGTTTCTCTCTCTATAATAGTGAGTAGCATCTAGGCTATCTATCTATGCTTTGAACACCATCCTATTTCTCAGTTCAGATTACTAGTACCAGAAAAAGTGGCACATGTAAAATGGAAAAGCAGAGAAAGGTTAGCATTAAAAGCCAAAACAGATTTCTTGATTTAATTTCTATATTCCCTGACAGCTATAATTATTGTAATTACAATTATTATAACTACCTGTAGATCTCACTTCAGCAAAATGTTTCTATTGTCCACCATATGCCTCAGTTCTTCAAGGCTCTGCTCTCATTTCTCTTCTCTGAGAAACAAAAATCAAACAAACAAAAATTACTCATGTTTTATGAGGCAAGGGGACAGGGATTGGGAACTAGATGCATGAAGAGTAGTGATGACCTCAGCCTAATTTATATTTATCCATCCATTAATTTATTCCATAACTACTTAGCATCTGTGATATGCCAGCAGTGGAGAGCCTAATGAAAAGGAAGCAGTGAGCCAAACAGACTTAAAGAGCTTATGGTCTAAAATCGAAGGGAGAAATTAATCAATGCACAAATATGTAAATACAATCTGTGATACATCCTATGAAAGAACAGTAGAGAGACTGAGGAAACAGAGCAGAGAACTGATCTAGTCTGGCAGAACAGGCTTTTCTGACGAGGAAAGGTTTAAGCTAAACTTGAAAGGCTGAGTAGAATGTAATCAGGTGGAAGGTTGATGTGGGAGAAATAAGGAGAATCTCCCAGGTAAAGAGCATAGCAGGTGCCAAGTCCTCTAAACAAGAAGGTATGTCTTTGAAGGATGTCTTTGAAGAATTAAGTGTGAAGGGAGAGCAGAGTAAAAGGGAGACGTGAGTAAGTGGTGGAAGATACTGCTAAAGAGCTAGGCAGGGCCTAGGCAGACCATATGATGCTTGTTGACCATGCCCATAAATGCAGATAAACTGTTTTAAACAAGAGTTATCACATGGTGTCCTTTGCTTGTACGAGATCATTTCAGTTTTAGATAATAAATTGGTAACAGATAAGAGTAGATATCAATATTCAAGAGGTCATTGCACTTGTCCAGGTATGACATGATAGTTTGGACAAAAGTGAAGATGGAGATGAAGATAGGTGGACAGACGTAAAATGTATTTAGAAGAAAAATCAACTGTGTTATAAGATGATGGAAGGCCAGATGTGGTGGTTTATGCTTATAATACAGCAATTTGGAAGGCCAAAGTGGAAGGATTGTTTGAAGCCAGGAATTTGAGATCAGCCTGGGAAAGACAGTGAGACCCTGTCTCTACCAAAAAATATTAGCTGGGCATGGCGGCTTGCATCTGTTGTCCCAGCTACTTAGGGGGCTGAGGTGGGAGGATCACTTGAGCCCAGGAGGTCAAGGCTGCAAAGAATTATGGTTGCACCACTGCACTCCAGTTTGGGCCTGGAACAAGACCTTGTCTCTAAAAATAAATAAATCCATACATAAATACATAAATAAAATAAAAAAATAAGGTAGTGGGAATAGAGGGGCTAACTTGGGATGTAGAGGTCAATGATGATTTTAAAATACTAGTTTGTCCACCCAGGATTGAGTTTTCTGCTGTTCACTGAGTCAGGAGACAAGGAAAGATGAGGTTTTGAGGATTTTGACCATGTATTTGGTGTAATTGATTTGCTGGTGAATTTCCAAAATAGAGTTGGCAAATAGTTGGATATACTGATATCAATCACTTTGAGGTGGGAATATATATATGTGTGTATGTGTATGTATGTGTGCATATATATATGTGTGTGTATATATATATATGAGAGTCATTGACATATATCCACTCATTTTGTAATTATATCCATAAAGATTCATCGACCCAATTAAGACATTTTCCTGTTTAACTTATTCATAGGTTTTGTTTCCCTATTACAGACAGATATCAACTGGTTTCTAAATTATTAGATTGGTATGGAGGTGGTGGTGATGGGGTCGATTTACTGACATGTATCAAGTAAATGTTATGTGCCAAGAACTGCACTAGGTACTCTACATATATTATCTTATTTACTTATTCTCACACCTGGGAAATATTCACTTTTACACAGGGGAGAAAATGGGCTCAGAGAAATTGAATACTTTTATAAAGATCTTTCAGCAACTAAGTATAATTCTGAGGACGCTTGCACTTTCTACTGTGATAAGTTCTTTCTCACAGATTTCAAAACAGTAAGTGATTGTATGATAGCATATATGATATCCAAATGCAATGTTTCAGATACTATATTGGTTCTTCCATTTTAGAATATAATTTAATATTGATTCATATTTTTAATAAACATGTTACTGGAAAATATTTATGAGAGTGTCAGTTTAAAAATAGTTATTCATGAAACTTTTGATGAACACGGACTATGTGGTAAGGAATTCTTATTAGGGCTGGGAGAATATAAATTTCAACCGTTGACACTCCCTCCCATCAATTTGCCCTTTTCTAATAGCAAGAATAAAGAAACACAGTACTCATATTTATCTGCAGTTGCCTATGTGACTTGCTTTATGCCAATTACTTTACATGGTGTTCTTACTTAATCCTTATTATGTGATTAAGAGCTAGGTAGGTATCATGTTCTCCATGTTAGAGGAGATAAAAATGAAGTTCAAAGTCACACAACTGGTAAGTGGCGGATCTAAGTCTTGGATTCAATTTGGTTGGAGTCCATATTCCAAATTTGTGATCAGTAGATACTGCTGCCTGTCTCTCTTTTTGACTAATGGTTAAGCAAACCATTTGATGGGTTATGCTAGTTTTCATTATCCTATAAAGTGGGAAAATGAAGGACGAAGTAGTTATGCAAATGAAAATTTCTAGAAAGACAGAAAATAATGAGTTGTATTTAAAGGAATGTCTTACAACTTATTTTCTATTAAGGGAGATAAATGTATACATTTACTAAGTGTTGATAATAAATATTATACCATTTTTCCATGGAATTGAAAATTGAAACCACTGCAGAGAAATGGTGTACTTTAAATGTGCTTATTAATTCAGACTCTGAAGAGGTTTCACATATTGCCTTTCACACGAAGACAATGGTTTATTTTATAGGCTTTGTGCCATATTCTATTTTAATTCAACTTTGCAGTGGGTAGAAGTGTTCCATATTTGTTTTCCTGTGAAACTAGATATTGTCAAAACACAAATCAAATTTTAAAATAATTTTTTTCTTTTATTTATTGGGAGTAAATTTGAAACGTAGGATATTTCGGTTTAAGTAGCTTATATTCTAAAGTTTTACTATTGAATTCTCTTGGCTGTCAGTGGAAAAAAAAAAGCTTTCTTCCTATGTAGTTTGATCACTTGGCTACAGTGAATTTCTATTTCTGAAATAGGAAAATGTTAGTGAAGGAGGCCAAGATTCTTATAATAGCTTAAAGTTATGGTTTTTATATTTTAAAAGTTCAACATTAATGCTTCATGAAGTCAAGGGTGTTTATACTATTTAATCAGAGTCTGAAGTTAACGGGAGCTTCTAGATGCCCTTGACTGTCTTTAGAGCCAAATAAGTAGATATTGAAAATAAAACCTTTCTTAATTTAAGCATCCTAATGTTTTCTAATATTTTGAAGCACATGGACAAATATATGAGTATGTGACATTATTCACAACAATTTCATATTACAAGAAGAAATTTTGTGTATTTGTACATTCATTCCCTACTAGGTGCCAAACTATGCTTAGACAGTATGTATACAAAAATGGATGTGGTACAATCTGTGTTTTCAAGAAACTCATAATCTATTGAGGAAGGGGACAAATAAAACAAATACAGATGGTGCCCAAATTGCGATTTTCCAGCTTCATGATGGTGTAAAAGCAATATGCACTCAGTAGAAACCATACTTCTAGTACCCATACAACCATTCTGTTTTGCACTGTCAGTACAGTATTGATAAATTACATGAGATAGTCAACACTTTATTATTCAATGGGCTTTGTGTTAGATAATTTTGCCTAACTGTAGGCTAATGTAAATGTTCTGATTACATAATCTAGGCTAGGCTGAACTATGATATTCAGGTTAGATGTTTAAATGCATTTTGACTTACAATATTTTAAACTTATGATGGGTTTATTGAGATGTAATGGCATCATAAGTGCAGGAGCATCTGTACTCTAAAACTGAAAATTACACAATTAATCAAACAGAATGACCTAGTTTTTTATGATAAAAGGAAAGGAAAGCAAATAATTTAAGAGTAAAAGGAGGGAGAATGGAAGAGAGAGAGAGAGAGAAACAGAGAGCGATCCATTCACAGAAGCACAAAATATCACCCCTACCCTCCTCTCCAAAAAAACATTTATCTAAGCTCATTCATGGTCATGTCTGTTTGTATACCTATGTGTTAGCGACTCTGGGTGCAAACACAGAAGTTAAATTAATGTGTTTTAATATATATGCATGCTGAATTTAACTACCACCAAATTGTTTTTCAAAAGGATTGCATCAGTTTACAACCCCAACAGTAGCAAACACAGGTCATATTTTTCCAGTCTCACCAGCACTTTCTATTTATATTATTATTTTAATTTCATTTCTCTTATTTTTTGTGCAGTTGAAAAGCTTTTTACATACATATTAATCTTTTTTTTATTTTCCTATAGTCAATTGGCTATTCACATCTTTTTCTAAATTTTGTTCTATATATGAATTCTTGTTAGTTATGTATTTTGTAATCTTCTTTTCCCAGTGTCTTCTGTCTTTTTAGTTTTTCTATGGCAGATTCTACTTTGTAATTTTGATTATATATTTTACAATGCTGTGGTCTGAACGTTTATGTCTCCCCCCAACCCCAGATTCCTATGTTGAAACCAAGTCTACGGTGTGACGGTGTTGAGGTGGGGGCCTTTGCAATGTGGCAGAGCTCATGAATGAGATTAGGGCTGTCATAAAAGAGGCCTAAGGGAACTTGTTTGCCCCTTCCACTATGTGAGGATGCAGCAAGAAGACATCATCTTTTTTTTTTTTTTTTTTTTTTTTTTTTTGAGATGGAGTCTGGCTCTGTCGCCCAGGCTGGAGTGCAGTGGCGCGATCTCAGCTCACTGCAAGCTCCGCCTCCCGGGTTCACGCCATTCTCCTGCTTCAGCCTCCCGAGTAGCTGGGACTACAGGAGCCCGCCACTATGCCCGGCTAATTTTTTTTTTTTTTGTATTTTTATTAGTGATGGGGTTTCACCGTGTTAGCCAGGATGGTCTCGATCTCCTGACCTCGTGATCCGGAAGACATCGTCTTTGAAGCAGAGAGCAAGCCCTCATTAGACACCAGATCTGACAGTGCCCTGATTTTTTATTTCCCAGCCTCCAGAATAGTGAGCAAAAAATTTTTGTTGTTTATATATCACCCAGGCTAAAGTATTTTGTTATAGCAGCCTGAAAGAACTAAGACAATTCCTAAAAATGTATTTATTAATTTGTGTTTTACTTGGTCTTTAAAACTGCATCCTGTCTTTGTTTATTCCTATTTAATAATTCCAGTATCTGATGTCCTTGGTGGACTCTAAACCTGTTGTTTCATACTCAAGGTGGCGTGTTGCTGTGTGTTCTTGGTGCTCATTGGTGCTGAGTTCATCTTGATGTCTTAATATGTAGGAATTCTATAGGCCTAAATTGGAGACGCTGTTCCAGAGAGGATCTATCATCTGCTTTTACCATAGGATGATCAAGCAAGCGATGACCACAGAATGCAAAAATATGGGACTACCCATTTTAATTCATTCACATTTTGGATATTTTCACGACAGTTGAGTTTACTCTGATTCTTTTACGTGAAAATAAAGTCTCTGGAGGAAGTCCAAACATTTCTGGAAAATACTTGAAAAGGTGTTGGTTGCCACGTAAAAGACAGGAATATAGAACATCACTAAAATATGTTATAATCCAAATGTTTTAGTGACTTTTAAGAATTGGTTCTTGTGGAAACTAGTCAGCATTGTGGGAAAAAAATGCTCCATACTGAAATGGTTTGCTTGATCTTTGGGGTAATGTTTTCTAAATTTTATGCTGACAATGTTAATTTGCTGATATTTTCTGTCATTTTAAATGGCTTTTTGAAAAAGTGTGATTGATATAATACAAAGATGTTTCAAGTCTTTAAGAAATTGGAGCTCAGAATTAAAACTGCTCCCAATAAAAGACTAATAATGATCCAGAGGTCCATGGAAATAAAAAGCCAAAGGAAGATTGTAAACATGTATTTTTCTCTCAGAACATCTGTGACTCTTGTGACTTTAGGTGTTATGAGTATATTTTGGGGGACTTACTTTGACTTTGGAAGATCTTTTGCTGTTCAGAGGGCTGATGTCCAGGTGACACTGAAAAGGAGATCGTTGGGAAGTTTGCAGCTAGGTCCTCGTACTTGAGCATAAAGTCAAAAAGAAAAAACTATAATTTGATGACACTGTTAAGTGTGAAAATATAGAGCACAATGCTTGACAATTGGTGGATAGAAAGAAACATGAGTCAATAAGCTCTGTTTTAGAGCTAGGTAGAAGAAATATGTTGAATTTAAAATCTTAGCCTAAACTCACAACCTTAGGGGAGAAAGTTAATTTTTTATTCAGTTGCTACAATGATTTAAATATTTTCTTCTCTTCTGTCATTCTGTTTATCTCCAACAGATTATGGTTTGTGATGTTGTCCATCCTAGTCCCAGATTTTGTTCTCTACTACTATCCCTCACTGAAAGGAGCCAGGTTTCCTTGTAGAAAAGATTGTTCCATGTTTGGGACAGGAGTTTTCAAGATAAACATTTACTTGAGATAGATAAAAGTCATACCTATTAATCTATCAATGTGATCAATCATTTAAAATCCATTTGCTCACATGCAAGCGCACAAACACACACACATACACACAGGCTAGGAAAGGATGCAAACCATCTAGTAAGTAAAGGAAAGTGAAAAACTTTTATTTGTTTAAGTGATAAAATACCTTATTAATATTGAGTGGTTTGAGTTGATGTTGATATCCATCTGAGATTTAAAAGATATTTCCCTTGTTCAATTAACCCTCTAAAAACATAAAATTGAGGGTTGGTGGGAGGAGAAGACCTCAAAAAGGTATGAAATCCAGGCCTAAGTGTGGTTCCCCCAGCTAAATTGTGTGAACCTTTGCTTCACACAATGTAGCAGAAAACATTCAGGGATGTTTTGGAGTTGTTCTGAACTAGTGACTTGTGCTTGGAGGTCAGGCAGGCCTGTTAGAGCACCTTACTTCTCAGAGGATTTTGGACTATTGGGAAAACTCTATCCCCATCTAAGCACATCCTTTGCTATTTCTGGCTTTATGGATTATTTGTCTATGTAGTTTTCTGCTTCTTTTATTAAAAGAGGTCCTCTTCATTCTTTGTGCATGCTGGCATCTATCAATCACATCTTTGAATCATTGTGGCAGGCGCCACACTAGATTCCGAAGTGGACTGGACATCAAAAGATCAAGTTCAGAGGCTCAGTTTTAAGGTCAAAAGCAAAAAATAATGTCATGGAAACATACTTTGCATGTTACATTTAGGTACTGAGTCTACTGAGCTGAAACTGTATAAAGATCAAAGCAAGTAAATTAAAATAATCTTAACATAGAAAATAATTCATTCTAATGAAAAAGTTGTTTGGTATTGTTTGCTAATTAATTGTATCATGTGAAGTGATATATACCCTTTGAAGTTGAATAAGGAGAGTCTTAGTTATTAAGAAAAATAAAAGACATACTTCGGGACATACAATAATGAAGAAGGTAAAGTTGAATAGGATTTACTGAAAATAAATACTATAAAATTAATTGACTAAACCAATAAACAATATTTTATGAATGTGAATACGAATTCATTGAAACGCATTGTATATACCTGAAGCTGAAGAAGGGAGGTAAAGAGAAAAAGACAAAACAGAAAACAAAACAAAACAAAACAAAACAAAACAAAAAACGAGCGATTGAGGAAGGGGATGAGGTTTGTTTAGGTGAGAGCAAAATGAATTATTTGCTTGAGTATTCCCCAAAGAAGAGGAAGGTAGTATTCTAGAAACTGCAATGCATTCTCCTTAGGGGAAAGTGTGATGTTAAAAGGCTTTACCATCACACTAGAGCAGATAATTAGGCAATTACAACTATTAAATTTGACAGAGCGTTAGTTTAAATGCATTACACACTAGAATTCTGAAAGAAGTAACAAATAGTACAATTTTTAGTAAATACTTTTGATAAGTCATTGAGGACAACATCTCACCAGAGGGCCAAAGGGTGCTAATGTATTCCCATATTTTGGAAAAGAGCTTGTGCATGGAGGCACATGCGTGCATACACACTCACACACACAAAAGGTTCTGGAAAAAAACTCTCAGGAAAGCCTGACAATTCTCATGTCCTTTTCCTCTTTTATATTCAATTATTGCAGTGTACTTATAGATATTAACCCACCAATCATCAAAAGACCTTTCAAAAGTAGACAGCAAGTATCATTTCAGAACCTTCTGCTTTGATTTATAGATATTAAAACAGAAACAAAAAGAAGTCACCTTGAAGGCTGGTGGAAAGACCAAGCCTAAGATTTAAGTAATTGAAAATTATCAAACATTTGGTAATGCATGATTTAGTAATACCGGAGTTAACTTACAACACTGTCCTCATCACCTTGCTATAAAATCTTTCAATGGATTGCTGTTGCATTTTTAAAAAGTATGAAATATTGCTACACTGAATAATAATTGAATATAATAATCACATACTGTTTATCACTTACCTTCCAAATTCCATGCTTTACAGGTCTCACTAGATACTGCAAGTATACATCTGAATTGGTATAAAGAACTTTTAAAACAACAGTCATGTCTGCTTGCATTGCATCAGAAGTCCCAAACGCTTTGGTTCTAAAGATTAGCAACTAGTTGGTGGTATCATTTGCAGCCCTGTCATTATCAACTACCCTCAGGTCAGTGACAGAAAATGATGGTCATAGTGGATCTTAGCATAATGATTAGACCTATTAAAGATCTTCACTTTTATTGAAGTGCACTGAGGCAGGCTCTCAGGCTGGGTTGAATGTCCAATGGGGTAGGGTCCTAGCTTGTTCATCTTTGTGATCTCTTGCAGTATTAATGTGCATACTTCATGTTAGTTCATTGTTGGTTGAAGGAATGAATGAATGCAGGATCTTTTCAATATGCTTTTTCTGATGTTCTCCATGGATGTTTTTGGGTGTCATGTTATGTATTCTATATCGACTTCTATCGCAGTATTTACAATCCTGCTTTGCAATTTCCTAGTTACACTTTATAAGTCTGCTATTTTCATGGCCTGGTAACTGCTAGTTCTCACCTAGACATGTGCTTTGCTAATAACTGTATATTTAGTGCCTAGCACATAGTAGATACACAGTAAATATTTGCTGAATGAAATGCATGTGTTTCATCCTCATATCTATCTGTAAATTTATACCTCTCTGTGAACAATAACGATAATGGATATATCCATACGTTTAACAAATGCTAATATTATTATAGAAATATGCTATTACCTGGTTAATGGTCAATGGAGGCCTCTCAGTGATGTTAGTGATTTTATTCTATTTCTCAAATCTGCTACCACATTTTTTTGTCAGTGTCTTTGTAATTTTTAATGTCAATATGAGGTAATGTGTTCATAAGGAATTCAATGTGACTTTCTAGAAAAAGCACTGTGGATTTGTATTTAGGAAACCAGTGTTCTTGTGTTGGGCTTGCTTTGAAAAAAGAAATTAATGTCTCTGAGATGAACATCATCATCTAAAATAATCCAACCCTGCGAAATTTAAATAGCAACTATTCTAGAAAAAACAAACTGAATAAACATTTTTGGACTGCTATGTAATAATAGTTTACTGACTAAAAGATAACATTCAAAGAGATACAGCCCTTGCTGGGTTCCAAATACTCTTTAGGGCAGTGCTATCCAATAGAACTTCCTGCAGTGAGGGAAATGCTGTATAATCTGCACTGTCCACTACGATAGACAGTAACAGGTGTGACTACGGAACATTTGAAAGGTGTATTAGTCCGTTCTCACACTGCTAAAGGCGTATTAGTCCATTCTCACACTGCTATAAAGATACTACCCGAGGCTGGGTAATTTATAAAGGAAACAGGTTTAATTGACTCACAGTTCAGCTGACTGGGGAGGCCTCAGGAAACTTATAATCATGGCAGAAGGCAAAGAGAAGCAAGGTACCTTCACCACAAGGTGGGAGGAAGGAGAAGTGCCGAGCAAAGGGGGAAGAGTCCCTTATAGAACCATTAGATCTGGTAAGAACTCACTCACTATCATAAGAACAGCATGGGGGAAACCAGCCCCATGATTCAGTGACCTCCACCTGGTCTCTCCCTTGACACATGGGGATTCTGGGGATTATGAGGATGACAATTTAAGATGAGATTTGGGTGGGGTCACAAAGCCTAACTATATCAAAAGGTGACTAGTACAATTGAGGAACTTACTTTTTAATTTTAATCAATTTTAATTAATAGCTACATTTGGCTAGTAGATACTGTATTAGAAAGTGCAGGTTTAGGCTGGGCGCGGTGGCTCACGCCTGTAATCCCAGCACTTTGGGAGGCCGAGGCGGGCGGATCACGAGGTCAGGAGATCGAGACCATCCCGGCTAAAACGGTGAAACCCCGTCTCTACTAAAAATACAAAAAAAAAAAAATTAGCCGCCGGGCGTAGTGGCGGGCGCCTGTAGTCCCAGCTACTTGGGAGGCTGAGGCAGGAGAATGGCGTGAACCCGGGAGGCGGAGCTTGCAGTGAGCCGAGATCCCGCCACTGCACTCCAGCCTGGGCGACAGAGCGAGACTCCGTCTCAAAAAAAAAAAAAAAAAAAAAAAAAGAAAGTGCAGGTTTAGTGAGACATATACAAGAATAAATAACTGAGCTTGTAATAAGTTTGATAACAGAGATGCGATAGGGGACAAAAGTTAAATTTTAAAAGCAGTACATAGTATATATTAAAATTAATTGAGTACTCAAGTATCTGTGTGAGAGTCTTATCTTTTTAGTAGTGTATAAATGACGTTAGGTAAAGGATTTTTCCAGAACACCTAAATCTGCTTATAACACAGATTTTTACCTAAAGATTAGAAAATATGGAGGAACAGGACAAACACAATCATAACATTTTATATAGTTGGTTTATGGGATTCTAAAGGACTACGATGATCTCACAATAATGCAAATGAGTAGAGGGATTAAAAAAAAATCCTAAAGGTCAGAATCAGAAGCAAGGTACAACATAGATGCTGGCTTAATAAAATGACAGGAGAAATAATTGTGCAAGTATATTAATACATTACAATTCTCACTATAAAATACTTTGGCAAAAATAGAGTAACAAAGTCCATGTTTAGAAATATTTTATAAAGAAAGAGGAGATGGTGAGTCAGAGCAAAGATTCAAATCAATCAAAGTTATTTTGGCCTAATAACTGTGTTCCAGAGACTGGATTGCATAATGAAGGTGAACCCCTGTTTGGTTAGTGTGCTATATACACTTCAGGTGTCCACATTATTCTTTGAAAGGACATCACTAAAATTGAAGAGGTAGAATGGAGGGCAACAAAACAGACTTAATATGTGAGAGATCAGAGTATTATACATGAAGAATGATTATCCAGCTCTATCAAATGTGGCTTCAAAAAAGATGACTAAGAAGAGAACTGCCAGAGGTTTGTTAGGAACAGCAAGGAAAGGCTGGATTGACAACAACCTGAAAATGAAAGGGGAAAAACGCAACTTAGGAAACACCGCCTCATTGTCAATCAAATGGAAAAGCTTCCCAAGGGAGGTTGTTGGAGTACCATTACTAAAGGTAGTCAAAAACTGATTAACTTAAAATTTTAATCTTTCCATTGGTAAAACTTTATAAAAGAATCTAGAACCATAATGTTGATAATGGCAAACTGAGTAACTAGGTTATGGGATATACAATATATTTAAAAGAACTATAGGTTTAGTTTAGTTTTGTCCTAAACATTTGAAAGGCAAACACAGAAGAAATACAACATAGAAAGGACATTGATATTGGAACTGGAAAGACTTATATTTGAATTCTCATTCTGCCACCCCTAAAATAATACTCACAACTTGAGCTAAATTGCTTTACCTCCCTGAATCTCAGCCTTCAAAGCTGAAACCAGTTCAGGAGGTATACTTCAGTAGAACTATTTTGACATTTAATGAAATAATATATGGAAACTGCCTAGCACTGTGTCTGGGCATTCCTTTGTTTCTTATAAGTGTGAGCCTCAATTCAGTTGACTGTAATTTACACATACACACCAGCCTGAACAATTCCTTCTGATGTTTATTGAGCACAACCCTGTAAGAGGCATTCTCCTAGGTACCAGCTGTCTAAATATAGGAAGGAGGCTGCATTCTTTGCTCTCAAGGAATCATAGTCTAATCAGGGAAATAGACTTATAAACAGTGATTGCAAAAGTCAAACCATGAGAAGAGTTCTAAGCAGCCACGGACAAGTACTTTGGGAAAAGAGAAAGACAAGATTAGGAGGGAACAAGCAGGATAACATGTACTAAATAAAAAAAGAATAAACTATTTTATTTCGGTGTTAGTGGGTCCCTCTCACTTCATTAGTTTTAAGAGTTTATTTATTTACTTCTTTCACACATATTTAATTAGCACCTACTGCAATCCAGTCTCTGGAACACAAAGATAAAAGAGATAGAATGGTACTTGCCCTCACTAAGTTTATAATCTGGTCTAAAATAAATTGGAGAGCTGTGCTAGCCCTCATTTCAAGGTTGTCCATATAGGACATGTGGAATCCAGGGAAAATGTCATGTCATGGCCCCCATGTCTTACAATGTTAGGTTAAAAGGAGCCTCAGGCTAGGCACAGTGGGTCATGCCTGTAATCCCAGTGGTTCAGGAGGCCGAGGAAGGAAAATTGCTTGAGGCCAGTAGTTCCAGACCAACCTGGGCTATATAGCAAGACCACATCTATTAAAAAAAAGTAGCCTCAAGAGCAAATCTGAAAGCCTCCATGAAAGGCAATTTACAGACTGACAGTGAGTGCATACATGAAAACAGGGAGGGTCAGTCCTTTGTTGCCTTCCTAGTCTAGTCTTTGAAACCTCAATACTAAATAAATATTTGTTTCATAAATTAATAAATACATGAAAATATATAAGTTAAAAGGTTTATATTTTCATCCTGAATTGTACATTTCTAGTAATTTCTATCATAATAATTGTTCTTTTTGTGGAGGCTGACATTTCAGTTGCCCTCTTCAGAGATCTGGTATTTATGAGGAAATTCAGAGTCCTATTACGGTAAAAAGTAACTAAACATTGAGTTTACACTATATTTTCCCTTTATCCACAGCCTGACTGAAACATTTATGTCAAAAAATATTTAATGAGCGTGAAGAAAATATTTTTCTTTTTTTGTTAAACAACTTTGCCATTTCAGATTCAAATGCCCTTCTTTGTCTTCTTGCTCAGAAAGCCATAAAAAGCAGGTAGTGCTAACAGCCATTAGAATTACCTAGCGTAGTGAAGGCCACGTAAACACTCAGCAAGATTTATTTGAGATGGCTGCATTTAATAAACCTCCCAAATCTAAGTTGAATTATCTATGGACCAAAATTGTAAAATATTCTAATAAATTGCCAGTGCTTAAAAATATATTTGTAACAGTTAAGAAGAATCCTAGTGCACTGAACAAAATGATCAAGGGGATTGATGTTATATTTGAAGAGATTCAGAGATCAAATACAGTCTTATTAACCCTCAGGTACACTCGAGATTCTGAGTGTGTTAATTAAAAATTATATGTTGCATGTTTTTTAATTGTTAATTGATTTATTGGGTAGCCTCTATAATCTAGATTAATTTTCCTCTTGTTTCTTGTAGATATCTGTAACCATTTTAATGAGTCAACGCATGTTCCTAAAATTTTCCCCAGCACATGGCTGTAACACTTATACTTTGCTCTATTTCTCTCTTTCTGTAGCACTTTCTAATTAATTTGAATATTAATGAGTTAATGCTTGTATTTTTGGTCTCCCTAGAGAAAGAAAATAAGATTTGAACTCAGTGTTGGCTTACTTATCTTTGGATTGTCTAGTAAGAAAGCAATACAGAATTGTAAACACTTTGTGAATTGTTTGGTATCATTTGCTCATTATTTCTGAAAAGACAATCACAGATAATACTATGGGAGACAATGAAGGACTAGATGAGTTTAACACTAGGTTTTAAATAATGTCCTTTCGTTTGAAGTTAACTGGTCTGTTTAGGACTCAACCTTTGACCATATCCTTATGAGTACTCAGAACTAGTCAAATTAACTGGTCCCATTTTCTTATTCTCATAGCCACCAGGGAATATTCTTAGAGATAGAATAGAATGTAACAGGTGTTATGATCTCTACTTAGGGGCCATTGATTGTCTCAAGTCCACTTTTCCTAAGTTGCAAGAACATAAAACCTAGTGAAATATTTTAGTATTGGGATATCAGTTGTCTTTTATGATGGTTTTTGGCCAAATAAGAATATTGTCTTTTAAACTTTCTATGGCTAAATTATAAATCACCATAATTTGACTTGTCTCCTGTAATTTAGATATCATTCTGGTAGGTAGCTAACATTAAAACGGCAAAAGCCCTTAATATACCTATGGGGAAATGAAGTTTCTTCTCCATCCCAAGACAGCAATAAAATGCAAATAGAAAGTGCTTTCATCCTAATGCTGAATTGGAGTAAGAGGTGATAAGAAAACTTACTTGATAAGGTCCAACCACACAAAGATGATTTTCTGATATTAGATTTATTAGGGAGTTGCTGCCTAAGAGTAAAATTACGAAAGAAGAAATTAAGTACCATTTTATATATCCCTGGCAGCTAAAGTGGTTTAGAATTGTTCGTGCCTCTATCCCTAAGATAATAATCCAGTTACAATAGTATGCCTGCCTTATATATCATTTGATTTATAAAGATCAGGCTGACAAAGAGGTGTTATGACAGAGAGTACTTTGAAAAAAATGTGTCTTCACTGTGGAAGCCCTTCTCAAGTATAAGCAGTAAGGTCAGATTAGGATAAAAGACTAAGAATTTTGACAATGCTGGAGTTTTTCACATGAGGGTCTCCTTCGTTGATCTATGACAAGAAAGAAAATATACTTCATCTACTGTGTGAAGTGCTTGACAAATGCTCCTAGAATGTGTTCCAAGATGGATGCATTCTCCTGTTCTATTTCTGAGTATTCTTGAGTAAAATGTATGCAACCTTATTACTTATAGCAGCTATTCAACTTTAATGGGAAAATAACTGTAATCAATATTGAGTATCAATTCTGGTTGACATTGATCCTAACCATATGTCTTATTTTGCTTAAAAGATAGCAGTTTAATATGAAAGTCATTGTATGTTTTTCTATTTACATGTGAATATAAATAAGTGTATTTCATTTTGAAAATGTTTTTTATCTAGGCTTTCAGTGCGTTGAAGTTTCTTAGGATCCTGTAGTCTACTTCAAATTAATGTTAATCCAAGTCATTTCCCTTTACTTAAACTAACTGTGGAGATTTGTGCTCCTTAATGTCTTTATCTCACTTACATAGTTAGACCTACTTAAATTCTAATTAATTGCTTTAACTGTCTCAGATTTCAGAGTTTGAGAGAGGAATTTCATGGATGGTTTGCATGGAAAACTAAATATCACTTTATCATGTATATTTTCATTAAAATAAGTTTGTTAATATAATAATAGACATTATTTAGTAAAATAGGTAAAATAAAGTAAATAATTTTAACTACTGCTTAAAATGTCATTCTTCATTTAATGTGTTACATGACCCTATATACTTTGAGCATTTATATTTCTGCACTCTTTTGAATAAAGATACTTTAGAAGCTTTGAAAAGATAAGAAAATGAAATAAAAGTGATTGAACTTACTACTTATACGAGTCATTGGGGGAAATCAATGACCAAACGTTAGGCAAAAAATAATTCAAGCTCTAGCTCTTCCACCTCCTAAATGTGTGACCTCAAATGAATTACTTCACTTCTATAAATCTGGGATAATATAATCTCTGTAATAGATTTGTTGTTAGAATTAAATAAAATCATATATAAATAAAATAAAATCATATAAAGGAATATCTGTCATCATCATCATCATCATCATCATCATCATTCCTGTCAAATTTCATGTAGGTTCTCTTCCATTTAAGTGTGTTCTTAATATAATGCCCCTTAATATCTACCTTTTTGTATGTGGATGACTTTGGAAACTGTGATCAGATTGCTAAAAATACAATATTAGATATGTAGAAAGAATGTAGGAAAATGACAAAAAACTTGGAAGCCCTTTTTAAAAACGTGGTTCCATTCAAAGATTTTTCAGAGATAGAGATTCTGCTAAGCATTGTAACCCAGGTAGAGCTACAAATTCTCTCTCTGTCTCTCTCTCTCTTTTGTGTGTGTGTGTGTGTGTGTGTGAAGTAGGAGGAGGAAGAAGGAAAAGAGATTGGAAAATAGGAAATGATCTCTCTAACCCAGTCTACCTCACCTTTTTTCTCCCATGGGGTAATTAGGCCAAGCAGAGAAAAACAAGCTTAGATAAAAGCCAAAAGGCCAGTGTGTTACTAATTGGGTAAATAAACAGTATGTTGTAAACCTTGTTAATTTGATATCAGGATCATTCAGAATAGCATGAAATTTGAAGTAACTGCTATCCTTCAGCCCTATTAGATAAGATTTCCTCCATTAAAATCAGTCATTTAATCCAAAGTACAAAAATATATATAATTTGAGGTGGAAATTGGTTCCCAAGGGTACTTTGAGTTGCTAAATTAGTTAGATAACTTGAAGTGAATGTCACTAAGCAGCCATGAATTAGCCGTAGTGAAGGAATGATCTGTGAACCACTCTGATTACTTGTCAACAGCATAAGAGAGAGAGTGACTTAGACTATAAAGGAAGTAACCTTTGTAGATGACTTCCTCATATTGACAAGTAATCTGAACAATTTATTGTGTTTCTTTGAAGGTTCATACATGCTTAGCTCTCATGCAGGTTTAATGAGATACAGACATTTGATACTCAAACCCTTTTGACTCAAAATTGCCCTTCTCTTCTAATTAACTAGGTTTCATAGTATTTTTATTTGTTTTCTACTCTCCTTTTTGGCCTTAATTAAAAGGGACAGTATGATAAAATGGCTATTTTCTTTGTGCATGCACATTCCCTGATGTTTGCAAGTTTAACGTGAGCTTCCGGATAAGAGCGTGGCACATTGGGTTGGAACATGCATTAGGTTCCAGATATCAAAGTTAGCTTTAGTTTGACTTTGTGAGATTCTAAAAGCAGCTGTGCTTTGTTGCACTTGCTTAGATCCCAATAGTGATTTAGTTCTGAGGATTATATATTTGTCTTTTATGTGTCAAAAGTCTTATCCCTTGTGACTTTACAACTCTGTTTTTGTATTTAATGTAAAAGCATGATAGCTTTGCATTGATGATTGTCAGCAGTTGCTATTTATCATCTGTAAAAAGTTTTTCTCATGGGAAGGCAGAAAATCAAATGGATTATGACTGTTTTTTTAGTTGCTTCAAGGAATCTTACATGACACAAGGCAAGAAAAAAAAGGAATTGTAAAATGATTCCTTGACAAGTAACTTAACATTCAGATAAATCTGTGATTTTATGCACATAGCATAACTGTCATTCACCCTGACAAAATAGCATATTTTAAAATGTTATGTCAATTTGCTTGTTTGACCTCTAGGTTGCTTTACCACCTGGCCTGGTAGTTACATAGTTTTGCAGTTACTTATGTTTCTCATGAACTCATAAACTGAGTGGTTTCATGGCACATGAAAAATGTGAAAGAAATGCAGCTAAAGGATTTTTATCCTCTTAGACTTCCATCTGATTGCTGAGATTATTATTAAATTCTGGTGACCTGTCAAAATTAGAGAAGCCAACTCATTGAAGAGATCAGTGGAATTTTAGTGATTAATTTTTATTGACCTGAAACATAAGCATACATACTATGTTACATTTGCCAATAGAAATAATGATAATGTTGTGTGTAACAGGAATCAACTACATAGAAATTTGGAATAAGAAACATGCACACCTTATAGAACTATATGAAATGAAAATGAGAATTATGTATTAGAACTACTCATATTTACCAATAGACATGGAGTTAATAGGATTACAGGTTACCTTGAAATGTCTCTTGTCAACTAGATTTTATTTTAGAGGGGAACACGGGAACACAGAAACACAGTCTAGCCCAGAGTTTCTCCAAATTAACAATAGTCACATTTGCTATGGGAGGCTGTCTTGTGCATTGTAAGATGCACAGCAACCGCCCTGACCTTTATTTAGGTCCTTACCTAGATGCCAGTGGCACCACCAAATTGTGACAACCAAAAATATCTCTAAGGATTGCCATATACATACTAGGGGCAAAACTTTTCTGGTTGAGAACCATTGTTCTGGAGGCAGGAAGGTAGGAGTTCATTATTTCTTTGAGACAAAGTTTTGAATGTATTTTTCTTGTCTTGGAATTACAACCAGCACCCTAAACAGAAGAAATGGCTCCAAGTACTTCATGTTTTAAGTTCAAGAAGTCACCATGAGTTGGGGCAAACTACTTGCCTGGAAGTCAGTTTAAAACTAGTCCCATTACAAACCCATTTGCATGCTATACCCCTAACCCCAACAGCCTATGCTCAATAGATCAATATAAAAAGAAGACCAATAGCAGAGATAAATCTTATTTATTTTTTCTTTCTTTCTTTCTCTCTTTTTTTAAGGAGTTCAATGTTGATGGTAAAATGCTAGACTGTCTCTTTTCCTGGCAGAGAAAAGATTGCTTTATCTTCCCCTACGATGAAGGAAAGTTTTCCAAGAGAATCATTTCTAAATACAGTGTGTGACTGCAATTAGTGGAGACCAACATTCTATTCCTCAACTCTATGTTTGTTACAGGGTTGCAAAGCCCTTAATCCCACCCTCTGTCCTTCAGTGGAGTGGAATATATTGCCGTGTCTGGTGTCTGGTAGAGCATTCTGGAAACATAGATGTGATAGCACATTGTCCTTTTCAGTTCCATTTTTTATTATAAAGTAGAAAAAAAAGCTATACTTGTTAATGCATTCTCTAAGATTTGGGGACACTTTTGAATATCAAAACCATCTAATTCTTGTCTAAGGATATCAATATCTGGAAAGTCAAGAGTCCTTACAGATATCACAATGTTGTGTGTCTTGAAAAAGGTGGAGATAATCCCTGCCCCAGCTTATTGTTCCACAGCTTCCATGACTGTGAAAGTTGTTCCATATCTGTATCAACACCTGATATTATGGATTCCAGGGAGACATGGAAGCTGTGGAACAATAAGGTGGGGGCATAGCCTAGATAGCTGCTTGCCAAGTGATGGAAAACTCATCTTGATAAATTGCTTAGAAGCCTAGAACTTAATGATAGAGGGAGCAAAGGTAAGACCACCACATATGGAGCCTCACGTGGATCCAGAATGAACCAGAGCAAATCCAGGCACACCACTGCACCACCATATGTGACCCGACAGGCAAGGAGACCTCTTCTCCTGTCACTGCTTCCTTTCCCAAACATTGAAGCAGAAAGCTCCTACAAAGTTTAATTCTGCAGGAACATATTAATTATGTTCACATTGTTTTCCCAACTGATAAGAATCCTGTCAGGAAAGTTGCTTTGGCAATTGTCTATATTGAGCTTTGTATTAGAAAAATGTTATGTTGACAAATCTGAGGTCTACAGAACTGTCTCTCTCTTTTGATACTTTCATGACCATATGACTTGTGCTCAGCGGTTGTGTCTCTTAGTCTTCTGAATTCAGGCATGACTGGATATTCAGCTTTGGGCACAGAGAACTTTTCTTGAACCAGCCATTGGCTGATACTTTCAGTATGATAGCTTTTTTTTCTTCGTCTCTTTGAATCTTTTTTTGATATTAATTTTCCTACAGGAAAAAAAGTCTTTCTTTTCCAGCTGTATTTCCTCTTTACAGAGGACACATATGCCATCTGTATATTGTCCATGTACTTCCTCCTTGTCTCCTTAATCTGCCATTTCCAAAATTCTGTCTCTCTCTTTATACTGATTTTGCATTACAGAAACCCAGAGAACCACCTGGTATGAGCAGAAAATCCTCTTTGGAAGAGGGCAACAAACTAAAAGTGCAGAGGTCAGAACACTCATTAGCATATACATAAGGAAGAAATATTTGGAATAATACATTGATAATTTTCGTTCCACCCCATCTTTCCGGTGGGAATTTGTGGCCCTCGAAAAGAGAGAAACAGTATTTGAATGTACGGCCCAGACATGCTCTCTGTTTGTAATCCATTACTCATTTCTGCCTTTTTCTATGTGGAATGTGCACGTTACCTCTCATATCTATTTGTAGCCATCCTTGGTTCAGGTCATGATAGTACCTGACTTTCACAACTTTGAGAGTAGGAAATTAGTGCCCCAGATATTCCCCTCCAACAATAATGGCTAATATTTCTTGAGTACCTACTATATGTAGACATTTAGAATTTGTGTGTATATGTGTGGACTTTTAAATGTAACATGCATATAGACAAATGGGTGAAACAATGGTACAGCTTGATGAATGTTCACAAAATAAATCCACCCATGTTAACAACCTGTTTTATCATGTTCCTCTCCTAACACTAACACACAGTTACTATTCTCATCCCCAAATGTAATCTTTATCCTGATTTCAAATACCATATATTAATTCTGCTTCCTTTAGAACTTTATATGAATCCAGTCATACTGTATGTACTCTTTTGTGTCTGGCTTCTTTAATTCAACATTATTATCGTGAGATTATTTTTGTTGTATGTTTATGCATTCTCATTACTGTAAAGTTTATTTATTCTATTTCTGCTATTATGACTACTAATGTAGGACCATTCTTGTACATGATTTTTGGTGAAATATTTATTTTATATCTATACGTAGGAGATAAATTGCTGAATTATAGGGATATACTACCAAAGAGTTTTCCAAAATGGTTGTACAATTTATACTCCTAATTGAAATATATGAGAATTTAGTTGTTTCACATCTGTATCGACACTTGCTATTATGTCTTTTTTAATACTAGCCTTTCTGGTGTTTTTTTTTTTAAATCTAGTTGTGATATTAATTTGCATATGCTTTATGACCACTGTTGTAGAGTAACCTTTTATATTTTTTGTGACTACACCAATATTCTCTTTTCTGTCAATCAAGACTTTTGTTCAACAGTTTACTAAGATATCAGCATTTTTCATATTGATTTAAATAATTATTTTCAGGGGTGACGGATGTATGTGAATACTTTGTCAAACATATTTTAAATATCTTCTTATACTTTGTTGATGCTTTTCATTTTTTTATTGTATTGTTTAATTAAACAATAAGTTCTCCATTTAAATATAGTTAAATTTAACACCTTCCTCCTTCCTCCATTTATGGTCATTGCATTTATGTCCTTGCCTACCTCAAGGCCAAGAATAAATCCTTCATATTTTCTTCCAGAAGGATTCTTGTTTTCCCTTTAATTTTTAATTTTTAGTTTCACAATCCATATGGAATTGGATTTTTTGTATAGTAGGAAGTGTAGATTGACATTTGTTTTCATACATAGATCTAATTGATTCAGTACAATGTATTGAAAAGATTCAGTCTCAACTGCACCATACTATCACATTTGTAAAATAAGTAAGTGACAGTCCCATGCAGAGTCTCTTTCTGGATTTTCTCCTTTTCCATCAGTCCATATGTCTACTCTTATTACAGTTTCTTAATTACTATTGCTTTATAATGCATCTTGATATCTGGTATGTGTGTTCGTTTTTCTTCAAACGTCTCCAGTTTTGCTCTTTTTTATGCTTGTCTTTCATCTTTTTTGCCCCTTACCTTTCCATGTAAATTTTTTAAAAAGTTCCTTAACACTTCTTCCCCATCCTTTAAAACACACATATACACATTTTCAAAAAAAATCTATCAAGATCTTTATTGAAATTGCAATGCATCCATTAATCAGTTTGAGAAAATTGATTTTTTAGTTAAATATTTGAGCTTCCAATCTATAAACATGATACGTTTTTCTATTTCCTTAAGTTTTCTTTAGTTTCTCTCATTAACATCATCAGTGCTTAAGTAAAGTGTGCTAAAATGTCCCACTATTATCTGGACTTTTATATTTCTCCTTTTATATTGGAAAATTAGTAAGGTATTTCATATCTACGTTATTAAGTGTATGCAAAGTTTTCATATTTATGTTTTCCTGGATGAATCTTTTCATCATTATGAAATATCCCTCTTGAGTGTTAATGATACTTTTTGCTTTGAAGTGTAACTTTGCCAGATAAGAATAAAATGGCACCAGATTACATTCGCTAGTGGTTACATGGTGTATCCTCTTCTGTTCTTTTACTTTTACATTTCCTGAGTTGTGTCTTTGTAGGGACTGCAGACGTTTGTTTTTGTCTTTGTTTTTAGTCTTGTTTGACTAGGTCTTTTTGTTGCAATTTTAGTCCACTCAATATTGTTGATATAGTTGAATTTATAACTACTTATTGTCTATTTGTTTTCTGTTTGTCTCCTCTGTTATACATTTCTTTTTATCACTTCTCTTGTATTTAAAGAAAATCGTCAGGTATTTTATCCTTTAAAATATTTTATCCCTAGATTGTTAACCTAGAGATTACATCTTCTGTAATTTATTAGAATCTAATATACACATACTTATAACTTTTCCCAGACAATGCTAAAACCTTCAAATAATTTAACTCCATTTGTCTGTTTCCTCTTATTATGTTATTATTGTCATGCATTTTAATTCTAAATACTATTAAACTCAACAGAGCATTATTACTGTTTTGTGCAGTGTATATATATTTTTGGTATGTATCAGATATTTCCTTTTGTTCTTTTTCTGCTTTTCCTTTCTGTGTTTCTGTCTAGGGTCATCTTTTTTTCTGTTTGAGGAATTACTGGGGGTCTGCTAAAAGCAATCCATCAGTACTTTTCTTTTTTGTCTGAAGATACATTTTCTATTATCCTTTGAAGGATATTTTTATTAGGCATAGAATTTTACACTGGCTGTTATTTTCTTTCAGTACTTTAGAGTTCTTTTTCCTATTGTTTCTTTACGTTCATCATTTCTGCTGGGAAGTTAGCTGTCAGTTTCATAATTGTTTTTCGTAATTGCTTTTTAAAATTGCTTGTTTTTCTTGTTATTTAATTTTTTCCTTTTTTTGTGTTTAATTGTTTTACTGTAACATCCTTACGTCATGGTTTTATATGTATTTAACCTACTTGAAGTCCGTAGACTCTCTGTGGCTTGAAGTTTTTCTTTAATTTGGGGTAAAACTCGGTCATTATCTTTTCAAGTATTACATCTGCCCCATGTTGTCTTCTCCTTCCTAATATCCTAATTATACATTAGGCCAATTCACCAGCTTTCATATATCTGAGAAACTCATTTCTGTATTTTCAATCTTATTTCCTCTATGCATCAGTCTTGATATTTCCTACTAACACATCTTCCAGTTCAATGACCTCCTCCATATCCAATAGGCTGTTAAACCCCTTTATTGTGTTCTTATTTTAAGATACTGTATTTTCCAGTTCTAGAATTTATGTGGCAAAATGCTTCATCTGGTCATCTATCTTCTTGAACATGTTAATTATAGTTTTTCTAAATTTTACATCTATTATCTCTAATTCCATATTACCTGTGAGTTCCTTTCTATTGTCTGTTTTGTAATTCTTGGTCCTGCCTATGGGAGTGTGCTCATTTTTAACTGAATACCAGACATTTTTTATGAAAAATGACCTATTTATCTATCTATCTATCTATCTATCTATCTATCTATCTATCATCTATCTATCTATCTATCTCAGAGACTGTTCACCCTATTCTCTGGCAGACAGCTAGAATAGGGGCAGATCACCACCATCCAATTAGAGTCTCAGCTGATGGGGAATCGCGTTTAACTCTTTGTATTCTTTGTAAAGTTTAGTCCTTTCCTAAGATGCAGCCCTCCAGTGTTTCCAACTGACACTCTGAGGTATTTACTGGAGTCCTTCCTCTATGGTCCTGAACGATAACTTTTGTTTTTCTAGTGTCGCAAGAGAGTCAAAAGCTCTGCTCAGTTATGCACTGACTTATCCTTATTTTCTCATATTCTTTCCTGTTAATTTAAAAATTGGCAGTAGAACAATGATTATCAGAGCCTGAGAAAGGTAGTAGGGATAGGGGATGAAAAGGAGATGCTTAATGGCTACAAATATATAGTTAGATGGGAGAAATAAGATCTAGTGTTCAGCAGTACAATAGAGTGACTAGACTTAACAATAGTGTATTGTATATTCCAAAATAACTAGAGGAGTGGGATTGAGATGTTCCTAACACAAAGAAATAATAAATGTTTAAGGTGACCAATAGCCCAATTACCTTGAATCAATGATTACACATTGTACGCTTGTAACAAAATATCACACATACCCCATAAATATGTACAACTATTATGTATCCACAATTCTTTTTAAAAAGCATGTTCTCAACACGCACAAAAATTGGTAGGTAAATCAGGGAGGAAACTGATTTAGACTGTTAGTTTCACTCTTTTCCTCCTTCCCTTTTCTTTAGGATCTGAAACCCTCAACTTTTCTAATGCTTTTAAATTGGGGATTATTAACCGTTGTTGTGACATGAACATCTTTGTTAATCTGATAAGGTCTAAGGGCAGCTTCTCAGAATAATAAGTATACCAAATAAAGTGACATGGTTACAAAAAGGAACTAATCATGTTGAAACACTATATCAAAATACATGTATATTTTTAAATTTAGAGTTATAATATATGTGCTTCCTTATTTTGTATTATTAAAATCTAGCAGCAGATCTAACAACTATCATAATTTTGAGGTAGGTTGTATTAGAGGGTTCTCTAGAGAAACAGAACCAATAGGATAGGGTGTGTGTATGTGTGTGTGTGTGTGTGAGAGAGAGAGAGAGAGAGAGAGAGAGAGAGAGAGAGAGAAGAGTATCTATCTCCTTAATAGGAGATAGATTCCTATTAAGAGATTGGTTAATGTGACTATGAAAACTGGCAGGTTCAAAGTCTGCAGGATAGGCCAATAGGCTGGAGAACCAAGGAAGATCTGATATTGTAGTTCAAAACCAAAGCCCATCTGCTGACAGAATTCTTTCTTTGTTCTTCTAAGGCCTTCAACTGATTGGATGAGTCTTACACATATCATGAAGGGCAATCTGTTTTACTCAAAGTCCTCTGATTTAAATGTTAATCTCATTAAAAAAAAAACAGCCTTGACCAGGCACCATGGCTCACGCCTGTAATCCCAGCACTTTGGGAGGCCAAGTGGGGGCGGATCACTAGGTCAAGAGATCAAGACCATCCAGGCCAACATGGTGAAACCCCATCTCTACTTAAAATACAAAAATGAGCTGGGCATGATGGCACGTGCATGTAGTCCCAGCTACTTCGGAGGCTGAGGCAGGGGAATTGCCTGAACCCAGGAGGCAGAGGTTGCAGTGAGCCGAGATCGCACCATTTCACGCCAGCCTGGGTGACAGAGTGAGACTCCATCTCAAAAAAAAAAAAAACAAAAAACAAAAAACAAAACAAAACAAAAAAACAGCCTCACAGAAACTTTCAGAATGTTTAACCAAATTTCTGGGCCCTATGGCTCAACCAAGTTGATATATAAAATTAATCATTACATAGGATTAAGCATATATCATATTTTAAGATACTCGCAATAAGCATAATATGAAGTAAAAGCATCTGTAATTTTACTGTTAAAATCACACATACTACTAACATTAGTGCAGTTTGGGCTTATATTTATAATTGAAGAAAATAACAAATGTTAGTTTGACATCAATGAAAAGAAACAGCAAAATTATTTTTTCCCATTCAAGTTCACAAACTCCATAAATTCTGTCCATGGAACCCTATTAAGAAAGCTTGCCATTTTTAAATTCCGCTTTTTTGATTCTATAATAGTTTTTTTTTTTATTGAAGTCATTGACATGCTACAAGCTATTCTACCATAGGCAAAATGAAAGTCTTATTAGAAATTTTTGTATAAATTAACTACTTTAATCCTCACAATAAAATCGCATGGGGTCAGTTATTATTTTTAGTTTACATATTAGGAAACTGAGGCATGCAGAGAATAACTAATCAGACTGTTACAGCTAGGAATTTTCAGAGGTAGGATTTAAACTGAAGTTGGCCCTGGAGCTTATTGTACTTTTACTCTAGAAAAAGCTAACAGCATTAGCATGTCTGTGGGGAATCCAGTTTGAATCAGGCAGAGATTTTGAACTAAACACAAGAATTATTAGCAAGAAGTTAACCCCCTCTATTCAACAGAACCTTAACTAAAAAAAAAAATTAAAAGTCAGAAAAGCATAAATTGATTGCCAGTTAATATTGGAAAAACTTTACTTCTAGTTTGCCATATCCTAAAAAGTGGGTCTCAGATTTCCTTTATTAATTAAATAATAAAAGCATCTTGTAATTTCTTTTTTTTCTTTTTTTTGAGACGGAGTCTCGCCCCGTCACCCTGGCTGGAGTGCAATGGTGCGATCTCGGCTCACTGCAACCTCTGCCACCTGGGTTCAAACGATTCTCCTGCCTCCGCCTCCTGAGTAGCTGAGATTACAGGCACCTGCTACCATGCCCAGATAATTTGTGTATTTTTAGTAGAGATGGGATTTCACCATTTTGGCCAGGCTGATCTTGAACTCCTGACCTCGTGGTCCACTTGCCTTGGACTCCCAAAGTGCTGGGATTACAGGCATGAGCCACTGCGTCTGGCCAGCACCTGCTAATTTTATCTATTGTTGATAGCTGCAGTTCTGTAACAGGGCATTCTCCCATAATTTTGACTTTACTATAGTTCTTATAACGTTCCTGATTTTGTAATGTTATTTCAAGATCCAACATGGAGATGGATTGATTACTGTCCCTCTTTAGCTTTGTTACAATAGTCGCGTAGTCATAGTGAACCTTGTGCTTGGTTTAGGCTTAGAATAATAATGTGAATTAAGGATATAGTATAGAACTGTATCTCAAGTGCAAAATCCAAAATGACAATCCATCATCCCCAATGTAATCCTGGTAAAGACAAGATCCATTTGGTCCACTATTAAAGTGGATTATTGTACAAAAAGTAGATAACTTAAAAGTGGCTCTAGTTTTTTTCTTGCATTTTCTTCCTTTTCTTAACATAATTTGTATCACATATATTTGAGGATTGTATAATATTAATAGCATGATGTTCTTTGTTTATAAATTTATCAATATTTTCTATACTTCTATTACATTTTAAACACCTTAAATATAATTATATATAATGTATATATATGTACATATTTAATTGCATGTGAAATATTAATGTTAATTTGTTAATATTAATTCAAGGTATAGACAGGACTGAGTTCCTTTCTGGAGGTTCTGTGGGAGGATTCCTCTCCTTGTTCATTCAGGTGGTTAGCAGAATCCAGTTGTTTTTCCTAATAGGACTAGGATCCCCTTTTTTGTCTGGCTTTCTGAGGGCTTTTACTGGCTTCTAAAGGCCACCTGCAATTCTTGGCTCATAGTCCAGTTCCTTTAGTGGAGCCAGTAGCTAAGTACTTCTCATACTTCCAATTGCTCTTTCTTCTTTTCTCTCATCTCTCTGATCCACTCTCCCTATCTGACCACTAGACATAAACCTGTGCTCCCTCAGTAAAGATGTGTGATTCCCCCTTCACAGCACTTAATACACTGACTTGTGTGTTCATTATTTGTAGCCACTATTGGACTGTGCCTAGCAAAGTGCCTAGCACATAGCTGGCACTTCGTAAATATTTGTGGAATAAATGGATGTCCAAGGCATATCAAATACCATGTGGGTTATTAAGTATCAACTTTGGGAATTCTTATCCCATTACCTGGGCTGAAATATAACATCTAGAGAGCAAAAAAGGCAACAGAACAAATATAAAACTACGTGGCATAGGCAAAAGTTCCTAAAATGGAGAGTTGTCACAAAACATATTGATGGATGTATATAGGTGTTTGTGTATGTATACTTTCCATGTTCCAAATGTAGTTCAGATGGCTTAGAGGGGCACATGAAAGACAATACAACATGTCATTTTAAAACATAAGAAAACAATTGAGAAATATAAAAGAATAGGAGCATTTCATAATGCCAAAAAGTCTTAGTAGCTTTGAGATGTTTCATGGAGGGCATCAGAGTGGATTTGAGCGTTTAAGAAGCTCATTTAAATGTTGAGAATGAAAATCAGGAGAAAGAGGAGGGACTCAAAAAGCTAGGGTACTATTTTAAGAAAAGAGAATGGTATTAATGTGTTTGACATATGGACGGGGAAGTTTGAATTCCTTGTGGAGGTTTCTTTGGATAAAGGAGAATAAAATTATGAAAACAAAATTAGAAGAGGCTTTTTCAGATACCTGGGCAAGCAAAAAGACATGAAGTTTAAACCTGACTAGCTTCCAAGTTCACCTGCCTGTGCATGTGGTAAAGTGTCCCATCCAGATGAGAATCAGGATTTTTTGTAGGAATGAGGAAAAGTGAGGCTTGAGAGAAGAGGTGAAATGCAAAAAACTTTAAAATCCCAGAAAGTTTGTCTTTACATGTGCTGACAAGCTACTGGATGTTTTCCCATAATGGCAAGAAATCTTCAAAAGATCCAGTTAGAGAGTGAGTTTAGTAAAGAATAGAGGCAAGAAAACCCATTGGACGGATATATGTGTAATTCATGAGGTAATAAACATTTTAACAGACTTCATGCAATGTGCCATATTGGCAATTGTGTTCTTTATGAAAATTACACCTTTTTCACTAGTGCTAAAGATGACAAAATAGAGCATTGCTTCTGATGAAAGAAATTACATGAAAGGAGGAAGATTATTTCTATTAAAAGTCATTTTTTTAAATGAGTCTTTCAGCACAATAATTAATGAATTGGGGCTTTTTTAGTTCATAGTCTAATAATTATAAGTTTGACATAACAGTATTCGTTTGAGATTTTTGAAACAAAATATTAAAATTATTAAGACTTTTTCTTTTGTTTTGATTTTGATTGATATGTATGTGTTGAAAGATGTTGGACCCAAATCTCTTATCACATTCTCCTCTGTGCTTAGAACTGCCATAGACTTCACTGAGAGCTTCATACAGAAATAGAGTCCTTGAAGAGATCTTTAAACAGAAATTTAGGCATGCTATCCTGGTTCTTCAATTGGCAAATAAAGCTGAAATTCAATTTTTTGGTATCTCAGGAAAATACTATGTTTTCTAACAGAATGTCAAGATATTTTCTTGAATAGATAAGATCAAGGTAAAAAATATGTGAGAAAAGGAGCTTTCTGATGATTCTTATAAGGTCTGGTAAAGCTTTCTTTCTAAAAAAAAAAAAAAATGTGCATTATTAGACGTATCTATTGTGTCCAAACTTTTGGGACAGAACTGAGAAAAGAGTGAAGTGTTAAAAAGGAAAACTGGAGAGATATCTTGTAAAATGCACACACCAAGAACAATCAGTACATGCTAAAACTATTGAAGAAAATGTTGCAGGGAACAGAATATTCACTTGTGAGTAGGCATTACCTTGACATTATTTGCTGGCTGCAGTGGGACAAATAGGTATTACGGACAATCTAGATTGAAATTTTGTTTGAAAAAATCATGCAACCATTAACAAAAATATTTGGGAAGGGAGACACCTGGAGGAATTTTAATATGAATTAGTTACCAGGAATAAAATATAATGATACACAGGTATCAAATTATAGTTTGGGTCACTTACTTGCCACTATGATGTATGTTGGAGGCGTGAGTGTGTGCCTGCTGTGTAAGTGTGTAATAGGGAGAGGCAGGGACTGAGAGAATCTCTCTAATGGACTCCTTTAGGATCAAGTACATTAAGAGAGAGAGAGTAACAGACAAAAGAGAGATGGGATGTTGAGTATGTAAAATAATATATTTATATACCATTCCCTCAGTTATAGCCTCCATTTTCGGGAGTTTGTTCTACCATTTCTCCTATCACTCTGCTTCTCAACTTCCCTCTGGAGATGCCAGAAGAAAACTAAAAAATCTCTTATATGCAGAAGAATAATAAACTTTCAGATCATGACAATTTCATTTTTCACAACCAGAAAGGATTTTCAAGTTATTTTCTTAAAAAGTAAAATAAAAGTAAAACAAAACAAAACAAAACAAAACAAAAGACTGTGCCCTGAGTCTCCAAACTTATCAGCAAAAAAACAAGCAGAAAGCTTTGAAATTCGAGCCTTGAAAAAAATGGCTTCTTCTACCACCTTTGGGTGGTAGTACCAGTCTTTGGGTAGGAGGTGGGGAAGCATAAAAATCATTTCTTCCTTTGTCTAATAAAAACCATAAGTGTTGGCCAGACACGGTGGCTCACGCCTATAATCCCAGCACTTTGGGAGGCCAAGGCAGGAGGATAGCTCTAGGCCAGGAGTTTGAGATCAGCTTGAGGAATATGACAAGACCCCATCTCTACAAAAAAATTACAAAATTAGCTGGGCATGGTGGCATGTGCTACCCAAGAGGCTGAAGCAGGAGGAAGACTTGAACCCAGGAGGTCAAGGTTGCAGTGCACTGTGATCACACCACTTCACTCCAACCTGGGTGACAGAGTAAGACCTTGTCTCAAAAAAAAAAAAAAAAAAAAAAAAAATTAAATCCTAGCTGTTAAGGTTCCCTATCACCCAATATCTTTAGTGTTGTATACTGCTTATTATCTGTGATCATAAATGTTGTATGCATTTCTAGTTTCTGAAAGTTACTGGCATGCTAAGATGTTAGATAAATAGACTTTCTTTTTAAAATGTTTACAAATATATTTGGGGGGTATGAGTGCAGATTTCTTTCATGCATATATTGCATCCTGTTGAAGTCTGGCCTTTTAGTGTGCCCATCACCCAAGAAATGAACATTGTACCAAATAGGTAATTTTTCAGGCTTCACCCCACTCTCACCCTCCCATGCTTTGCAGCCTCCAGTGTTTATGATTCTACTCTGTGTACCCACTGTTTAGCTCTCACTTATAAGTAAGAACACATGATATTTGACTTTCTGTTTCTGAATTATTTCACTAACAATAATAGCTTAGAATTCCATCCATCCATGTTGTTGTAAAAGACATGATTTCAATCCTTTTTATGGCTGAGTAGTATTCTGTGATTGAGATATATATATATATATATCTCACATTTTCTTTACAGATGAATAGGATTGCTTCTATATTAGTCTCTTGGCCTAACCCTCCTATCCTACATTTTTTTTGTATTTTGCTTCTCAAGTCCTGCAAGTTCTTTTTTAAATAAATACTAAGATCATAGTATTTATGATCTTAGATCATAGCCAGGAGTGTTGCTGCTGGGTGATGAAGACAAAGACAACGAAGATGGAGGCTGTTTCTTTGTCACTGGGACATAGAACTGTTGTTCCTACTCTATGAGCCTCTGCTGAACTGGGAGTTCTGGGCCACTGTGTCCCTCCATGGCCATGGCATATCTGGGAACATTCTCTCCACATTTTAGGCCATACATTTTTTAAGTGTTTCTATTGCAGATTATTTTGCCGTATATGACAAAATAGTCTGCTTATTAATTTGTCAATAGAAAGTTCATTACATGGTGAAAATCTGCATTTCATTCTACCTCACAACATTCCTCCCAGCTGTCATTAGCACTATGTATTGCATAGGTGAGAAGCCCAGGACTGAAGAAGAGAAATGACGGACTCAAAGATCACTGGTGAGAGAGCTGGGCACAAGGTCTGGGCTTCCTGCCTCTGGCTTTTGTTGTAGCATGATGTTATAGCATGATGTGAAATTTTATTTGAAGTGTTATCTTTGTGCTTACACATGTCTCCTTCTACTGTCTTCTCCAGCCCTAACCTCAAGTGGGGTCACTCAAACCCATTTACTACATCAGATAAAAAGCGCAGGGGCAAGACATTCTTCTCTGTTTCCTGACCACCCTGACTACTGCAAAACTCTACTGTTCATGAGAGCTCTTGAGAGTTCATGAGAATCTGCTCTCTGACCCCTAGGGAAAAGAATCAGGGTCAATATTTTAACTAAAAATTCTTGCCATTCTTCTTTATTCTACATGAAAGGTCACTTCTAATGAAATGTGGATATAAGAGAAGTTACATTTTCAAGGTGGTAAAATAGAATTGAGCTGCAGAGAGAAATATGACACCATTAACACTAGTAGTGTAAAGTATTTATTCTTTTTCTACAATCTTAACCTACCTTAACTCTAAAGGCCCTCACTTCCATGTCATTGTACCACTTTTGTTCATCTCATGCCAGAGATCAGTGTTATTAAACTCGCTATGAAATGTAAAATCTAGAATTTCTGTAATTGGATTCAAATGATAAGACTATCCCCTCTAGTGCTTCATTTGACCTTTCCACTATCTCTGGCCTTTAATGAATCAAAATCAGCAAGTATTTTTGAGCTCCAGTGAAGTTCTCAGACTGTGTTAGGGTACACAAAAGAAGCATAAGACTGTGACTGCCCTTAAGAAAATTATAACCTGAGTTGGAAGATAAGAAAAATTTTTGAAAAAGATCAGATAGCAGGATATGCAGTAACCCAGGTATAAGACAGTAAACACTGCAAGTGCCTAAAGATAGTGAGGAAATGTGTATAACAGAGAGCAGAGTGAACAGGCAACCTACAGAATGGAAGAAATTTTTTGCAATCTATCTATCTGACAAAGGGCTAATATCCAGAATCTATAAGGAACTTAAACAAATTTACAAGAAAAAAACAACCCCATCAAAAAGTGGGTGAAGGATATGAACAGACACTTCTCAAAAGAAGACATTTATGTAGCCAACAAACATGAAAAAAAGCTAATCATCACTGGTCATTAGAGAAATGAAAATCAAAACCACAATGAGATACCATCTCACGCCAGTTAGAATGGTGATCATTAAAAAGTCAGGAAACAACAGATGCTGGCAAGGCAATGGAGAAATAGGAACGCTTGTACACTGTTGGTGGGAGTGTAAATTAGTTCAACCATTGTGGAAGACAGTGTGGTGATTCCTCAAGGATCTAGATCCAGAAATACCATTTGACCCAGCAATCCCATTACTGGCTATATATACCCAAAGGATTATAAATCATTCTACTATAAAGACACATGCACATGCACACATATGTTTATTGCAGCACTATTCACAGTAGCAAAGAACCAACCCAAATGCCCATTAATGATAGACTAGATAACGAAAATGTGGCACATATACACCACAGAATACTATGCAGACATAAAAAAGGATGAGTTCATGTCCTTTGCAGGGACGTGGATGAAGCTGGAAACCATCATTCTCAGCAAACTAACACAGGAACAGAAAACCAAACACTGCATGTTCTCACTCATAAGTGGGAGTTGAACAATGAGAACGTATGGACACAGGGAAGGGAACATCACGCATTGGGGCCTGTTGGTATGTGGGGGGCTAGGGGAGGGATAGCATTAGGAGAAATACCTAATGTAGATGATGGGTTGATAGATGCAGCAAACGACCATGGCATGTGTATACCTATGTAACAAACCTGCACGTTCTGCACATGTATCCCAGAATTTAAAGTGTAATTTTAAAAATCATAAAAAAAGAGAAATATTGAAGGAAATATGGCAATGATCAGAGATTGAGGATATGGTGATGAAGGAAAAGGAAGAATGAATTGTTTATAAAGTTTCTGACCTGAGAGACTGGAATTTTAGTGGCACTGGGAGAGGAATATCAACAAAAAGGGGTGGGGTCAAGTTCTATATTTGAGAGCTTGCAGGCTGTAAAAAGGATTATTGTGTGTTCCCAGTTATCCCAATGTCTAGATTTTCTTTAGATTTATGTGGCCTTCATAGAAGATAGTCCTCAGAAAATTGCTATTGGCTCAAGTGCTCTAACCAGTGTATTCTTAACAAGAAGTATGAGAAGGAGCAGGGTAAGCAAATACAGATTTTTGTCTCTGACTTTCTTTGTTAATGGCCTTCTAATTTGATGGCAGCACTGACTAAAATTGTTAATAGCTTTGAAATAAGAAACTTTTCCCATTTGTTAGAGAAGAAGATTGATGGACATAATGATTCCTATCCATCTGGACAAAAAAGGGAAAAGGCTACATTTAAAATGTCTATAGAGGAACTAAACATATAGTTCTAGAAACCAGCATTTGAGCATTCAAAAGACATAGCACAATTCTATACATGTCCTTCAAAATTTTTGTAAGTTCTCAGATATATGTTGGTAGCATACTTCAAAAAAATGTAGACCACTCTTAGTCAATGAACAAAAGTTTCACTGATGAACTGAAGAGATAAGGTCTTATGCTTGTAGTAATAATACAGGACTTTGTACTTCTGATAATCCTTTCATCTGAGAAGCTCAAGGCACATTAAAGGAAAAATAGAAACAGGAGAAGTGGGAGCAATAATAGCACAGTTAAAGCAAGGGTAGAAATATTCTGTATAGATCAAGGTCAAGAATTTCCAAAATGGTTCAGTCACGTAACTGCATCGTTCCTGATCTCATACACAAATGTAGCAGCCCCTGCAGATTTGCAGCAGAAAACAGCATAGAAATTGAAACTACAAAAATAATTCCCCAAAGAATTTCAGTCTCGCTACAACTCTTTAAGGCAGAATTTTATAAAATCTTTTGAACCTTAGTATAATATCTTGTCTATTCACGAGTGAACTTTTAGATATTGCTGTCCAAAAAGTAACAAGAAAGAAATCTACGTTGAATTAACATGATTTAGCACCATATTCTCCATGAGGACGACTACATAGAAAAACAGACAGAATTTAGCCACAAAGGATAGAGGTGATTTCCCAAAGTGTCCTATGAGTCTCTGTGAAAGTGACAATAATTGCACTTAGTGAAATACTTAGAAAAGACTGTCCACACTTACCCCTTGTGGAAATTCAATATATATATTCAAACCGTTATATGTCCTCCCCCGTCCTCTTTCCTCCCAACAAACACTTAGTAATGTTTTTTGGGACACCTGTGGTTTTCAGAACACAGTTTGGGAAAAGTGACACACTGGGAGTAAAATTCCTCCAGACATTAAAAGATCTGGTTCCGAGGTCACCTGCTAGATATATGACCATAGATAAACCATTTTGGTTTTCTAAGCCTCAGTTTATTTGCCAATAAAGTGAGGATTTTGTAGTAGACAACATAATCTGTAGTTCTTTTTGGCAACAAAATTCTGTGATTCTGTTTGAAGCATTCATTTCGAGCTTAACATCTGTAAATACACCATGTGGGCCTTATGCTAAATTCACAATAATTTATAGAAAACTTAAATTCATAAGAAAAAAAGTATTAGTATAATGACCTAGACTTCCTATACACCCTTGTTCAGGTAAAATTTCTTTCTTTTACAAGGGCAGATGTAATCGGTTGCTTTGATTCCTCATGAGTACCTTATTAAATATAGTGTCTAAAACAATAACATGATATAAAAGTTTGGTGACGTGTAATCTCTACATGACAGCATTTTTCCTGGAACACCAATATGTTCAACCCAAAGAGCATCTCCAGCAGTTAGCTCTCTCTATTTAATTTCTAGGTGGCAGCAGTGAAGCTGCTGTCTCATTCATCAGAGTGTTGAGAGCACATGGCATTTGTCTTTCCTGGAAAAGCTGCTGTGGAATATGGTAATGCTCAGAGGCCCTGAGTGCCTGCCTTACCGCTTCAGCTCCTTCTTCTGCCCAGTCATCCAGGGTGAGAGAACGTGCTCAGCGTTGTAAAATCAAGGAGAAAATCAACTCAAATGATCTTTTGGAACCACTGAAATAGAAAGCCAAAATAGAAACTTCCAAAGATTTTTCTTGGGATGTTTCACTGACCCATTAAAAAAATACCCATATGTTTCTGCTCTATCTAGATTGCATGTAGTCTACTAGAGTGGCTTCTAAACCTGGCTGCACCTTGAATCACATGATAACCTTTAAAATTAAATTCTAGGTTGCTGTACTCCAGCAGGAACTATAGAACCATTATGTTGTAGGGTGAGACCCAAGAATTTAGTTCGTGGAGCTTATCCAGTCTGTCTGGCACCAGCGTGCTGACTACAGCATGGGAGAAAAATGGAGCATCTTTTCTTGCAGGAGGTGACCCCCTTAGAAATAGCTATATTCCTACTCAGTTTGGAGAAGTATGCAAATTCTGTGTGTCATTTAAGACAGCTGCTGCCAATTCGTGGTCAGCTATGGACATTGTGGCCTGTTTAATTAGCTAGTTGTCATCATGGATGATCAATGATATTTTCTTTTAATTTAAGCATTTTTGGCCATTTGTATAATATCATTTGCAGCCACAGTTTACTCACTTGTTAGAGAAAATGCTGTATTTTGCAAAAGGAAAGCTAACATACTTACATGTAAGAGTACAGACTAAAAGTAAATGACATGGGTATAAAAAGGCAAGAAAGGAAAAGATTAAAGTCTCTTTGACATGGATGGTTTATGTGCTCTTGGATAACTGACTTGTACTTCTCTGATCCTCAGTATCTTTATCAGTAAAGGGACAGACAGGAAGAAAGTGTGAGAGAGGATTGTAGTTGCTGCTTCAAAAGGGAGGGAACAGCAAATATTTATTGAGTGCATATAATAGTATAACAGACCCATTGTTTGGTGTCTTTACAGGTATCAACTCATAATCGTTACAAGGGCACCAAAATGTTTTTTAATACTCTCATTAATACCGATGAGTAAAGGGCTAATTAAGAGTTCTAGGGTTAGCAGATGGGACAGACATATTTATACCTTCTCTCCTGAAATCCTACTAATATTATAGTGAAGTGAGTTTTTAAAAGTAAAAAGAGGAAGAAATAGACAACTCCAAAATTTAGAAGCTAGAAGCAAACAGGTGAATGGTAATTGACTTAACATATTCCAGAAAGTTGCATCATAAAACAACAGTGACAAATTCTAACAAGCAAAACTACATGTACCACAGAACCCATAAAAGGTACTAAAACGGGATACTACAGGTATTTCTGGAAGACTGTTTAAGGTTGGTGCTAAAAAAGAATTATAAGTTGAAAGTCATATATGAAGTAGTCACTCTTATCAATCCTATTATTGTGTGTAGTTAGGCAACTCTTCCTCCTCAACCTGGGAGAAGACTGGAAATTTCTTCTCTGAAGACAGTATAAGAAACGGACTGTGGGCAAGAAGTTTAGTTGAGAGTAAAAATCCTGTACTGAAAGTACAGATATTAAATGGAAGATTACATATGGAAAGTTAAGGTTTTCTCAAGTATTTTTACCACTTGTCCCCAAGAATACAGGTAACCAGCCTCCTACCCTCCAACTGGAAGTTTGGAAGAATCTTCTCCATGGAATTTGACTATCCTGAAAGAAAAAGACCTAAAGATAATGACATAGGGGTTCTCTATCCTAATTGCCCATCCAGACCACCCTATAATGAAATTGACAGTGGAGAATTGCTACCATGGGTTTAGAGCTTCCAATCAGCTGTTAATTGCCCTCTTTTCATTATGAGCAGGCTGCCAGAATCACCAGGCAATGAAGGAAATCCTTTATGATTAAAGTCAAAGACAAAAATCATACAAAAGGAAGAAAAATGCTTTGGAGCAAATTGAAACTACAAGAAAAATTTTTTAAAAAACATAGAGAGATATAAGAAGATATTGACTTTATGAAATAAAGACATGGTGCTGTTATAGTTTAATATTTAAAGAACAAAAAGTACCACGTGGAAATTAAAAACATGATAGTGGAAATTTTAAAAAATCATTTGGAAGGTAAGCTATGGAAATCTCCCCTCAAAAAAGCAAAAGGAACATGAGATGTATGTCAGAAGGGATAGATAAAAAAAATTAAAGGACCAGTTCAGAAAGAGAAAATAGAGCAAGGGGCAGATAATTATCAAAGAAATAAAGACTGTATTCCAGAGCTGAAGGACATGAATTAAGATTGAGACACTCTGCTGTGTGCCAAGCACAATGAGTAACATAAGATCCACGCTATAATAATCATCATGAAACTTGAAAACAGTGGGAAAAAAAAGAATACGTGACAATTTCCAACAAACAAGATTTCATAAAATGATTAAAAAATAAGAATGACATTGGACTCTTGAACAATATCAATCAGTCAACGGACTCTTAAAGTTTTTTTTTTTAATTTTTAAAGTTCCAACTTTTAAGTTTAGGGGTACATGTGCAGGATGTGCAGGTTTGTTACGTAGGTAAATGTGTGCCGTGGTGGTTTGCTGAACAGATCTTCCCATCACCCAGTTATTAAGCCCAGCATCCAATAGCTATTCTTCCTGATGCTCTCCCTCTGCCCACCCTCTGACAGGCCCCAGTTAGTGTTGTTCCCTCCCATGTGTCCATGTGTTTTCATCATTCAGCTCCCACTTATACTTGAGAATATGCTGTATTTGGTTTTCTGTTCCTGCATTAGTTTGCTAAAGATAATGGCCTCCAGCTGCATCCATGTCCCTGCAAAGGATATGATCTACTACCTTTTTATAGCTGCATTGTGTTCCAGAGTGTATATGTACCACATTTTCTTTATCCGGTCTATCACTGATGGGCATTTAGGTTGGGAATCTTAAAGTTATTAGATAAATGCTTTCAAAATTTTGAGGAAGCATAAGTTCTAAACAAGAAGTCTATGTTAAATATGTATATGTATATAATAAATTAAAATAAGCTGTTAATAAAAATATTTACCTTACAAATATGCCTTCTTAAAAGCTACTAAAATATATATTCCAGCAAAATGAGTGAATAAAAAAGAAAGAGGAAATCAAGGGGTCTAATGAACATTGGATTTAACTGAAGAGATAAGTAAAGAGAATTCCCCAAGATTATGAGAAGACAGTCTATGGTGACAGCTGTTCTCTACATTCAGCACTTTGGGAGGCTGAGGCGGGCAGATCACCTGAGGTAAGGAGTTCGAGACCAGCCTGGCCAACATGGTGAAACCCGTTTCTAATAATACCAAAAATTTGCCTGGGCATAGTGCTGGGCGCCTGCAATCCCAGCTACTGTGGAGACTGAGACAGGAGAATTGCTTTAACCAGGGAGGCCGAGGTTACAGTGAGCCAAGATTGCGCCATTGTACTCCAGCCTGGGTAACAAGAGTGAAACCCTGTCTCAACACACACACACACACACACACACACACACACACAAGAAAGCTGTATGAGTAGTTACTGCAAAAAGATGACTAGATATAATACCTAATTTGTTTTAATGTATTGAAAAGGATTAAGTAATTGGCAGAGTGCTTGGATTTAAACTAGTGATACCGATAAAGAAAATTAAGCAAGCTATAAACGAGATAATTACTAACACCAGGAAAAATGGAAAGTTATGCAGAAAAGAAAATGACATCATATATCACATGACTCCAGGGTGAATATTTTTGCATGGTTAAAATGAACATTGAATGTGAATCTAAGCAACGTTATAATATGCCTACATTAAGAGGATGAAGGATTGAAACTGTGTATGAATTTGCTGGAACCCAGGTGAAGGGAGAGGAAAGAGTGAGATTCTCATCTTCCATAGCTGGAAGTCAACAGTTAATGCCTAAATCTGAAATTAAGAAAGGCATGGTTTTGAAAGCAGGAAGCAGGGATAGTAGATTGCAGGAGGCAGAGAAACTGATCTTTTTCAAAACAATCCTTGTGGAAATAGTTGACTCTTAAAACTACGTGATGTATTAATTTGACAAGAAATCAAATTAAACAAGTCTATTTTTGAACACTTCATCATTTCCAGCCTAGATGCAATTTGATTTGGAAGCCTGGTGACACAGTTTATATTTTTTATTTATATACATACCCAGAAATGCTATAAATCAGTGTAGCATTGATATTTACATTAGTATTTCTAGACAGGAAATTCTGTGAAAGAGGTTATAAATTTCTTAATTCTTATGTTGCAAAATGATGATTTCACAGATAAAGTACTATGTTTGCATTTGGTATTGTCTAATACTGCTGCTCTATTCTCAAAAAAACTAAAACTAAAACAAAAAAACAAAAAAACTCATAGCTTTCAGAATGAGGGGCCAAGTTTCAAGGATTGTTGCGAAACAATCTTTGGGTCATTTTTCTTTAAAAGGAGATTCTAAGGGTGCATTTAAACATGAAAAGTAGAATTTTGAAGACATGGAACCACAATTCTTACTAAGAAAAAGAACACATACTCTGTTTTATGTGCTGATAATTCCGAAGGCCGCATTGAGATTTGGGAAAGTGTCCAATAAGACTACAACTTTGCAAAAAATATTTAAAACCAGCCATTACATTTTCACACCTTTTCTTTTCACATTCCAGTTACACAGCAATAGTACTTGTAGTATTTTGCAGAAATACAATAGTAAGGCTTTGTTTCAGAATTTCAAGCCATTAAAATTCTCATCATTCCAAAGTGTGGCTTTTATCAAATTCTGGGACTAGTTTCTGTTTATTTCCACAGAACATTGGAGCCCTATAAGGGTTGTTGTGAGGGCATCCCATTGAACTCGATCCCAGAGGCTCTCCTGCCTCTGGAGTGCTGTTCATTCCATTCTTCTCCCCAGAAATTTCTGCCTTTTCAGTTTTGACTTTCCAGCTTCTTTCTATTTCTCAAGGTCCAGCTCCCGATTATTTTCATTTGTAAGTCATCATTAGACCATTCCAGTTAGAAGTGTCTTACTTGTTGTATTGCTTTATAAGTTATTTTTAAATTATGTTGTAACTTCTTATACCGTAGCATTTGATATTAATTATTTACTGTAGTGTTTACTTTTAATTATATTTATGTTCATTTCTTAAAGTGAAAAGTAGCTCTTTGAGGGCAGGGACCATCTCCAATATATTTCTGTATCACTTCTGTGTGATATAAAAAATTATATCACTTCTGTGTGATATGAATGTGCCTTCCCACACTCATTAAATCAACATTCAATAAATTTTTGTTCAATTGGTCTTAGCATTTATTAATTAATATGCCAGCCAGTATCTGGGGAATAACTGTTAATAAAAGAAATATTGTAGTTACTCTAATAGGGGTTGCAGTCTACTAGAGGAAATAAGCATTGATAAAATCATGAAACAAGTACAATTATATTTAATCCAATGAAAGGTACAGAACACTTTAAGAGCATGTAGAGTCAGTGAGTCAGGGATGACCTTTCTGAGGCTTGTGTTAATCTGTTAACTGGAGGCCAACTATTTCTGAATGTGTTGGGGTGGGGACTTTCTATACTGAATGGTAAAGGCCATGCCATTTGGAAAATTATGAAGTATTCAAGCAAATGAGACATAGCCAATGTATTGAGAGTGCAGTGGAGCAGAAAGTGGGTAATGAAGATAGAGAAGGATAAGTTCAAGATGAACCTGGAAAGATAGGGAGAGGTAAGATTATTCAGCATCTTATAGACATATTAAGTTTTTTGTGTTTTAGGCTAAATACAAAGGAAATCTGTTGAAGTTTTTTTAGCATTGGGGATATATGATTCGTTTTCCATTTTGAAAAGGTCACTCCAGTTGTAGTGTGGATATTAGATTGCAGTGACTAGAAATAAACTCAGGGAGAAAAAGCTAATAGATTATTACAGTCATGCAAGATTATTGCATGTTAGAGGTAATTTTAAATTGAATTTATAGAAGAGAAGGGGGGAGTGAAAAAGAAGTGGGGGAATTAAGAGACATATAAAAGTGTGATTATAAATACAAAGGTGTGATGAGAGGGATGTGTTAACAAACATTATTAGAAATTCTCATTTGCACAACTAAAAATATGCTGTTAACATTATTGAGATTGATCAGGACCAGGATGGAAAAGAGGCAGAGGATGAGGTAGGCTTTGAGCCAACCAAATGCAATGTCATAGGCAGGTATATGGTACAGAACACAGAAGAAAAATTTGAGTGGGAGCACAAATTTGTGAGTCTTCTCCATATCTGTAGTGATTAAAACTAGCTGAGGCAAGGTGCTGATTATACACCTGTAATCTCAGCACTTTGGGAGACCAAGGCATGAGGATTGCTTGAGACTAGAAGTTTGAGACCACCCTGGGCAACATAGAGAGACCCTGTCTCCACGAAATATAAAAATGTTAGCTGAGTGTAGTGACACATTCTTGCAGTCCCAGCTAGTTGGGAGGCTGAGGTGGGAGGACTGCTTGAGTTCAGAAGGTTGAGGTTGCAGTGAGCTGTGTTTGTGCCACTGCACTCCAGCCTGGGCGACAGAGCAAGACTCTGTCTCAAAAAACAAACAAACAAGCACTAGCACTAGCTGAGGATGTGCAGTTTAAGAAGAGGGCCTAGCACAAAGCTGGGAGAATCTTCAACAACTGGAATCAGGAAGAAGAGGATTATTTGTTAAATGAGACTCAGAAGAAGACGGCAGAGAGAAAGGAAGGAAATTTGGGGTCATGGAAGTTGAAGGGGAAGAGTATTTCCAAAAGGATCAAAGCGTCAATAGTGTCAGTGCTGTGGCTACATCAAGTTTGATGAGGCTTTAAAATGAATCATTAGATTTAGTGACGTGGGAGAGTCACAGGTAACGAAAAAGTTAAGTTGATGTCAGCTTAGAGTATATAGAAGCTGGTGAGAAACGATGGCAATAACTTTATTTACACTGACACTTTTTGAAAAAGCTGCCTGTGAAGTAAATGAAAAATAATAAGAGTATATCTGGAGGGGAATGTGGGATCAATTAAAGAACTTTATATATATATATAAATATATTTATATTTTTATAAATATACATATAAATATATTTATAAAATATAAATATATTTATATTTTATAAATATATTTGTATGTATTTATATTTGGTCTTAAATATATAAATATACATATATATGGTCTTAAATATGAAACATGTGAATTGTATTATAAAGAAAAAGGCATTCCTTCTCAATTGAATTTATAATGGAATTTACTGAGGCATCATTGAAAAATATGAATGAATCCAGAAATTCTTTGCTTTGCTAGGTGGACAAGATTTTCCAGGAAGGAAGTCTTGGTAAATTGTACAGGGAGATCCAGGCAAAAGATATATGTACTCTTATTTTTATCATAGCCCTAAAATAATTTTATTCATATAAAGATTGAATGAGTGTTTTTGAATTGGTGTTTAGTCAGTTATCCTGTAAAAATTTATTTAATAAGTATTTTTTTAGCACTAGAGATATATAGATAGGAAAAACAGACACAGTTCTTGCGTTATTATTATTAAAAAACAGTAAATGGGTGGGATTATTAATTTTATGTGTCAACTTGACTGGGTCACCACAGAGTGCCCAAATATTTGGTCAAACATTATGCTGCGTGTGTCTGTGAGAATGCTTTTGGATGAGATTCACATTTGAATCTGTAGACTGAGTGTATTAGTACATTTTTCAAGCCGCTACAAATAACTGCCTGAGACTGGATAATTTATAAAGAAAAGATGTTTGATTTACTCACAGTTCAGCATGGCTGGGGAGTCCTCAGGAAACTTAGAATTAAAGAACTTACAATTAAAGAACAGCATGGGATCTTCTTCACAAGGCAGTAGGAAGGAGAATGAACGCAGGAGGAACTACCAAACACTTATAAAACCATCAGATCTCATGAGAACTCACTCATTATCATGAAAACAGCATGGGAGAAACTGCCCTCATGAATCAATTACCTCCATCTGGTCTCTCCCTTGACACATAGGGATTATGGGGATTATAATTCAATATGAGATTTGGGTGGGGACACAAAGCCTAACCATATCCCTGTGTAAAACAAGTTGTCCTCCGTGTCAGTGGACCTCATTTAATCATTTGAAAGCCTGAATAAAACAAAAAGGCTGACGCTCCTGTGAATAAGAGTGAATTCCTTATGCATGAATGCCTTCTAACCAGGACATCAGATTTTTTTCTGCCTTTGCATTCTAACTGAAACCTCAACTATTCCTGGGTCTTGAGACTGCTAGCCTTTGAGCAGGAACTGCCCTATCATCTATCTCATTTCTCATGCCTTTGGACTCAAAGTGGAATCATAATATTGGATCTCTTTGGTCTCCAACCCGCTAACTGCACATCTTGCAACTTCTCAGACTCCATAATCACATTAAACAATTTCTTAAAATAAATCTCTCTATTTCATATCTATTATCTATCTATCTATCATCTATCTATCTATCTATCTATCTATCTATCTATCTATCTATCTATGTATCTATCTATCATCTAAATTTACCATCCATCCATCCATCCATGCATCTGTTGGTTCTGTGTCTCTGGAAAACCTAGACTAATACAGCAGTTTTGAAATTGTTACAGAGGAAAAGTTAAGGATTCATGGGAAGCATATAACATATAATGGGAAACCAAACACAGTTTGAGGGTTACAAGAGATTTCTTGGGGGAGGTGACGTTTAAGTAGGGGGCTAAATGATGGGTAGGAGTTAGGGAGGCAAAGAAAAAATAAGGAAAAACAAAACGTGTTAAGGCCCTGGAAGATGAAGATAGGAAGGGGTTGAAATATTTTAAATTCATGATCCACTGAGTTATCCGTACATCTTGGTATAGTTCTCAACATTATTATACATAAATAGTTGTTGGTATTAATTAGGATTCTGAGAACTTTGTATGTATGTATTTAATTGGCTTGGTCAATAGTTAGCACTCAGGATATACTTACTGAAAATAAACATAAATATGAAAAAAAAGTTTTAAATTCCTTTAAAAACATGAGTTCCCTAGTGTATTGGTCTGCTCAGCCTGCCATACTGAAATATTAGATTGGTGCAAAAGTAATTGCGGGTTTTACCATTAAAACCCGCAATTACTTTTGCACCAATCTAATATCATAGACTGGGTGATTTAAACAACTGTGAATTTATTTCTCATAGTTCTGGAGGCTTAGAAATCCAAGATCAAGTGCCAGTAAGGTAGATTTCATTCTCAAGCCTGTTTCCTTGATGTATAGGCAGCCACCACCTCACAGTGTGTTCACATGGCATCTCCTCTTCTTTGTGCAGGCAGAGAGTGTGAAAGAGTGCACACTGGCATCTCTTCTTAAAAGTACACTAATCCTATTGAATCAGAGCCCTTTCTTTATGACTATGTAACCTTAGTTACCTTCTTATGGACCCTATCTGCAAATACAATCACATTGGGGGTTAGGGTTTCAACATATGAATTTTGGAAGTACACAATTCAGCCCATGGTATTCTGCTTCTTGTCCCCTCAAATGTATGTCCTTCTTGCATATAAAAGGCACAATTTTATCCCAACAGCTTGAACAGTGTTGTCTCATTCCAGCATCCATTCTAATACCTAAAATCTCATCTCACTATTATCTAAATCAGATATGGGTGATACTCAAGGTATAAATTATCCTGAGGCAAAATTTTTCTCTACCTGTGAACCTGTAAAACCAGACAAGTTATGTACTTCCAAATACAATGGTGGGACAACCATAAAATAGACATTTTCATTCCAAAAGGAAAAAATTAGAAGGATGAAAGGGACAAAAGATAAAAGTTGCTTGCCAAAACTCAGCAAATTCCATTAGATCTTAGGGCTTGAGAACTCTCCTGTTTGGTCTGATGCTTTGTCCTCCAGGTACGCAGGGACGGCAGAATCACTCATATGATCAGCTCCAAATCTCTGTGGCAACCACAGCCCTTGGCTTTAGTAGGGTGGCCCCAGCCATGCAGTTTTCTGAGGTGTCTGCCTGGCCTGTTGAAACTGATGGGAAATCAGCCTAGCCTCATTAGCCTGTCAGGGGAGTGGCAGCCCTAATGATCTCTGAAACATCATCAGGGCCATTCTTCCCTTTCATTCCTGACATCTAGTTTCCATTGCCTTCAGTTCAAACTGGCGGTGTTTTTGCTTATATAATGCCGTAATCTCTTTATTGAGTGATAGTCCAGACACACCTTTAGTGTTCTCTTCTAAACAAGCTTTCTTATTGTTATAATATGAACTGGCTGAGAATTTTTCAAATTTCTTTCTTTCTTTCTTTCTTTCTTTCTTTCTTTCTTTTCTTTCCTTTGCTTAAATATTCCTTCTTCAATTTATCGTTTTCCTCTTCCATTTTACTATTAACAGTCAGGAGGACCCAAGCTACATTCTCAACTCTGCTTAGAAATCTCTTCAGTTAAATATGCAGTTTTATGGCTTGTAGAGTTTATCTTCCACAAAACACTAGCACACAGTTCAGTCAGTTCTTTGTCATTCTATAACAAGGATCACTATTCCTCCAGCTTCAAATAACCTGTTTTTCATTTCTGTCTCAGACCTTACCACAACAACCTTTATCCATTATCCAGTTCCAAAGCCACTTCCACATATTTGAGAAATATTTTACAGTAGCACCCCACTTCTGGTACCAAAATATTCTACACTGCCTTCTCTCTCCCTGCCTACATCTGGGAGAGATGGGGAATTCCCTACAATCAGTGGATAGTAGAAGGGAGGACTCAGACCTGGCTTACAGATGTATGATATGCAAGCACCACCCAAAAAGTGGACAACTGCTGGACTATAACCTCTTTCTGGAACATCCCTGAAGGACAGTGGTGAAGTGAAATACCCCCAGTGGGTAGAAATTTGAACAGTGCATCTGATTGTTCACTTTGCTTGGAAGGAGAACTGGTCGGGTGTGTGACTTTATACTAATTCATGAGGTGTTGCGTGTTGTTTGGCTGGATGGTCAGGAAATTGGAAGGAACCTAATTGGAAAATTAGTGACAAGGAAATCTGCAGGATGGGTATGGAGAGAAACCTCTCTTAATGGGCAAAAATCATAAAGGTATTTGCTGCCCATGTGAATGTTCACCAAAGGGTGACTCGGTAGACAAAAACTGTAATAATCATATGTATAAGATGACCTATTCTGTGGATGTCAGTCAGCCTCTTTCCCCAGCACACCTACCAGTGCTCAGCGGGCTCATGAAGAAAGTGATCATGGTGGCAGAGATGGAGGTTATGTATGGGTTTAGCAACATGGGCACATTCACAAAGGCCAACCTGCCTACAGCCACTGTTGAGTGCCCAATCTACCAGCAACAGAGACCAACACTGAGTTGCTGATATAACACCGTTCCCCGGAGTGATCAGCTAGGTGGCAGGTTGATTACGTTACATCACTTCCATTATGAGAAGGGCAGCATTTTGTTCTTATTAAAATAGATACTTACTCTGTCTCCATATTCGCCTCCTTTACATGTACTGCTTCTGCCAAAACTACTATCCATGGACTTACAGAATGCCTTATACACCATCTTGCTATTCTATACAGTATTGCTTCAGATGTAGGAACTGACTCCACAGCAAATGAAGTGTGGCAATGGGCCCACACTCATGGAATTAACTGATCTTATCTTGTTCCCCATCGTTCTGAAACAGCTGGCTTAATAGATGGTGGAGTGGCCTTTTGAAGTCACAGGTATTGCCAGGTAGGTGTTAATACCTGGCACAAGGTTCTCCAGATGGCTGTTTATGTTCTGAATCAGCATCAAATAAATATGCTGTTTTTTTCATAGGCAGGATTTATGGCTCCAGGAACCAAGGGATAGAATTGGGAGTAGCAGCACTCACTATTACTCTTAGCAATCACTAGCAATTTTTTTTTTTGCTTTTATTTCCCCATGGTCTTATGCTTTGCTGGCCTAGAGGTGTTAGTTTCAAAGGAAGGAATGCCACCACCATGAGATAACAATAATTCCTTCAAACTGGAAGTGAAACTGCTACCCAGCCCCTTTGGGCTCCTCATGTCTCTGAATCAACAAGTGAAGAAAGGAGTTAATGTGCTAATGAGGTGATTAATGATGACTACCAAGGAGCAATGGGTCTACAATTCCAAATTGGAGGTAAGGAAGAGTATGTGTGGAATACAGGAGATCTTTGAAGGCATCTCTCAGTATTATCATGTCCTATGATTAAGGACAGTGGAATACAACTGAATACAGGCAGTACTGCTAATGGCCTGGACCCTTCAGGAATGAAGGTATGGGCCACTCCACCAGTTAAAGAATTACAACCAGCAGAGTTGCTCGCTGAAGGAAAAAGGAAGACAGAATGGGGAGTGGAAGAAATTAGTCACAAATACCAGCAATGATTACCTGGCCAGTTACAGGAATAAGGATGACATTTCTCATGAGTATTTTCTTTTCATTTTGGTTTGAATATATTTTGTGTATGTGTTTGTGGTTTGTGTGTATATATTAAGCAAATCTCTTTCCTCTCTTACTTCCTTATCACGTAACATAAGACATATTGACCCTATAGTGTTTAAGCCTTGTTCATTTTACATCATAGTATTTAAGTTATGAAATATCAAAGAGAAGAGTAAATGTCACTTAAAAACTTTATCTCCTCTTCTGGGAAAGAGGTTAGTATGTTTGGTTGTATATAGAATAGTCATACCACGTAAGGCAGAATAACCTTGTTATTGTCTTTATTTTGACATTAAGTATGATATAAGGAGATGTGTATGGGTGCAAAGTTGACAAGGCATGGGCTTGTGATGGTTAACTTTATGTCAACTTGATTGGATCAGGAACTGCTCAGATATTTGGTTAAGCATTATTTATGCCTTTCATCTCAAACTGAAACATCAGCTTGTCTCGGGTCTTGAGTCGGCCAGCTTTCAGTCTGGAACTTACACCTTTGGCTCGCCTGGTTCTCAGGTCTTTGGACTCAGACTGGAATTACACTATGGGCTCTCCTAGGTCATCAGTTTGCCAACTGCATGTCTTGGGAGTTCTTGGCCTCTGTAATTGCATGCAGCAATTCCTTATACTGTTTATTCTGTTTCTCTGGAGAACCCTGACTAATATACATAGTTATCAAAAGATAGATATCATTTCTGGTTAAGGCTGAGAGGCTATAGGAGACTACTGCTATTTAAAACATGTGGTCATCTGGAAAAATATTTTTAATAGTAATAAAATAGGATTATTGAGAACTGAGAGAACTAGGTTATTTATATATATTTTTTTCAAGTTGGTTCTACAAAATTTACCACATTCTTAGTCGCCATCTTGCCTTTGACTAGAATTTAAGTTATCTGAGAGTTATGATTCATGATATCAGCAGGTGCTAAATCAACACCTATTGATGAATTAATTAATTGTGCTATTGTGGAATTGATATCTAAAAAAAAAAAAAACCTGTCTCAGAAAACAATAAAACTTTTGAAGAATATACCTCAAACTGAATTTAAAGAGTTTCAGCAGAAATAAATACACTTGGTGACATGGAGATGCCTGTTTCCTCATGTACAGCTTAGTTTATAATGCACCAAGAATCCTTCCCCCAAAGACTTTGACCAGAAAAATAAAGTTGCTTCAGATTCATCCAAAAGGTAAAAATCCAATTTTAAAATATCACATAGAAATGGTTCAGTAGCTGTTTCAGTTTTTCTGTAGATGGCATGATCTTGTTCCTCCAGAGAGGTGGTCAGACTGTGAAACCTAACTTCCACTAGCTAGGTTTATCTGCACTGCATAAGTTTAAGCACTGTCACCTGCAGAGAGAGGCTGGAAAACCTAAATAATGTAGCAGGATATCTGTGGGGAGCCACACACACCATATGAAGGGCAAGAGAGTCTCATTTCTCAGAAACCAGTTTCTCCTAAACACTCACACATCACCTTCTGTAATCAAAGATGAATGCCTAAAAATTTGCACAGTTATAGAATGCAGTGTTGCACTTAGTTTTTGATGTTTCCGGTATGCAACAGAAAAAGTTTCAAGAGAAGGAATCCAAGAGATCTGTATCTGCAGCATTCAGCACTTGTAAAACTGTGTCATAAAGCACGTGTCTCAATTTCTATTTGTATAGTCTCTCTCCAGGGAAATGTGTACAACAATTTTCTTTTCTGAGAGTTGAATTCAGAATCTGGTGAATGCTGAAAATGGTGCTTCTGTGTCTTTTGTATCAATAATGATGATGTCCCATCTCTAAATACCATCACAATGGGGATTAGGATTCAACATATGAATTTTGAGAGTACACAGACATTGAGTCCATAGCAATGCTTAATAGACGTTTTCATAGGCTGTCCTAAATCTGTATTAAGGCATTAGTAAACAGCCATTGTAGAAAACATAGCACAAAGATTGGTGGCTCAACATCAAAGAAGAGGAAATTTATATGGAAAATTTTAGAATGCATCTAGAAACTTGTGAAGTAAACCTCACAAGGGGAATTGCTCTGTGCAAAGGATAATTGAAACAAATGTGGAATGCCTAAATAAATAAATTAATTGAAGGGATATTTATGATTTTATTGTAAACTCATTCATTAACCAGTTTTGTTTTACTGTTCTGTTTACTTTTAATTCCTAGTACAATATTCTTTTACCTTGGTTTTAACATTGAATACATTACAGTAAGGTTAATTATGAGATTTGTGATGCAGTCAGGCAATATTTATGAAGCAGCATGTACAACACCTCTCTCTCTCTTTCCAAATTCCCCGTGCCGCTTATTTGGGTGGTAAAAAGAGTTGATTAGTAATGATCTAATAGTGAGATAATGTCATGTGAAAGGGTTTATTATATTAATAATAAATTTAAGTTCAGGACCATTTACTCTTTATGTGTTTCTGGGAGTTTGAAGTCAAACAATTAGTAGGAATGTCAAGAGTTTGTAAATAAAAGAATGTTTGATTCAAGCATTAGGGTCAATGGACCCTTGAAGATAAATGAGAATAATTGACTCTGATATACCAGGATCAAAAAAGCTGAAGCATATTATAATTTCCTCGAAGTCCAGGAAAATGTATAGATTTCAGTGATAAACTCCTGGCTATTGCTGAGTAACAGGGAAGTGATTTAAATAGCCAAATAGATTTTTGCATTAAATAGGAAAACAACGCCTCCACACCCACCATAGCTGGTCTGTGAGTTTGTTAATTACATACATTTTTAAAACCAAACATCAGTCTGCTTGACTTAACTTAAAGATTTATGACAGACTTTATTTTCCCTTGAATTGATTGTTCCACTAAATTAACCAGATAAAACTATTATCCTTTGAATCTCTAAATCAATCCAAGAATTCCCAAATTCTCAATCAAATTTCCCTGGGAGACCATTAATTTTAATTATTGGTGTGATGTTTGAGAAAAAGAATTAAAATAATCAGCAGAAACTACTTTTTAAATAAAAGGTGAATCAAAAATCATATATTTAAAATAATTTCCAAGTCATCCCAGTAAGCAGATGAAAGAATTTATGGAGTTTTCTATCTAGCATATAATTTCTCCAAAATGGATATTCTAGATTATTTTTCTCTATCTCAGGATTTCAGAATAGACCTCTAACTCTCAAATGTTGGCTACCCCCTCTGTAAATTATCTTCTTATGAGGTAGAGGCACATACAATTTTCTATGGCTGTTTTAGAATTTGAATATAAAAGCCCATATCTGTAAGTGGCCTTACCAATGAAATTGAGTAATTCACTAATGCATCTATAATCAAAGCTAGACCCTAGGGAAGAGCTAGAACTTAGTATGGTTTCATACAGAATGCTTTCCATTTGATTGGGCCATTTACTGGCTACAATTGATGAAAACAATTCACTTTGGTTAAAACTGTTCGTTGAAGGTTATTTTACTTTAATAAACATAGATGACATTCATACATATTTGTAAAGTAATGTACTTAAACCTCTCAATGGGAATTAAAGGCAATAATATTTAGGGAATTGCCATTTGTCAAATGCTTAGGCATTTTATGTATGTGATTTTTTCCCCCTATCCATTGCTTTCTCACTATTCCTCCCAGCCTCCACTCTACCTCACCTCATCCAATCCCCCTTAACCATCCTGGACCCAAAGAATCTGAAACTAAGTTCACGGAGTAGATTTATACTCTAAGGTGGAAAAAATACAAGCGTTCTCTCACTTTGTGAGGGAATGCTTCTTGGCATTTATCAAGTGTTTATTACTTGTCAGTCTGTGTTCATTAATTATGAGATTGATAATAAATTAGTACCATTTAGTAGATCGAGACATTGAGACACAAAGAGGTTAACAACTGGCCCAAATTTACAGTTCCTGACTGCAGAGTGAGGATATAAGACCAGTTAGTGTAGGTCTTTACCCTTTATCACTGTGCTTTTCTGTATCGGAGAAGATTATTATTTGCGGTACAAAAAGGTCTGAATATCCAAAAGTCTTTTAGATACTTGACCTATGTACCACATCCCTGTAAAGATCTCTCTACCTTTCCAGATCCTGACTTACCGTGTCTCTCCCCTGTAGGACAGGGACACTGGAAGGACAAAAGAGTCACTAACATTCCCTGCCTGAAGTGAGACATAAGAAGGTAAACTCTTTGTGGGGCAAAGAGCAAAGAAGCAGCTTCAAATGGGTAGATTGGGGGTTTCTGTGGATAGGGAGAAAGTGGACAGATGAAGACAGTGGGTGGGGGCACTGTCTTCCAACCAAAAGGGTGGCCATAGGCTGTCCTTTAACAACCTAACACAAAGGTCTTCCCTTATGCCAGAGCCAAGTGATAGATTTAATATCTAAAGCGGTACTTTTCAAAAATTGTGGCCTCAAAACCATTTTACTCTTTTAAAATGTACTGAGGATCCCAATAAACTTTTGTGTGTATTATACTGATTGATATTCACAGTATTAGAAATCCACACTGAAAAATTTTTGAAGTATCTTTTTATGAGTGAAAATAATAACTTATTACATGTAAACTATATTTTCTTAAAAATAGAAGATGCTCTTTTTCATTTTATAGCAATTTCTTTAATATCTGGCTTACTAGAGGACAGCTGGATTATAATACCTGCTTCTGCATTCATCTGTTTTACTATTACAAGTCATGTAGATTCTCAATAATTCTAAATGAATAAGGGAGAAAGAAGCTAAAAATTGTCTTGGCCTTACTATGAAAATAGTTTTGACTTCAGGAATGCTCCAGGGGTTATAAGTTCTTTTTGAGAACCACTGATCTGAAGACATATTCCAGGATTTTTTACCTCCTTGAGGGCTCCCTATGTGTTGGAACTGTATTGCTTATATCAAACTAAAGAGCTGATTGAACACTATTTGCTGTTGTGGATGTGCGCTTGACTGTAAGACTATTTTGTAATGGAGCAGCTCACTTCTCTAATATGATGAGAAGAATAATAGAGGTAGTAGGCTAAGAGATACCCGTTTTGAATCTCAATGCAAAATCCTTTCTATGGTAAGCATAAGATAGATGTTCAGCCTTCAGAAAGGAAACTGAGAGGTTGAGAGTGGGGAGAAAGAAAAGAAAGGATGCTATTTAATATAGATATTACCTTATTTAATATTAAAGCTACCAATACAGTGTTAGTAACCTTATTTTACGCATATATAAATATCCTAAGATTCACAGACATTAAATAATTTATCCAAAGTCAAATACCACATGAATAGAATTTCAGAGATTTGAACCCAGGTTTATAAGTTTACCTACTATCTAACAAAAATGCAATTACAAAAAAATAGTTCAAGACTTGGAAATGAGCAGAAGCATCCTTTCAGTGGAATGCTGAGCATTGTCTAGCAGACTTTTGGGTTGGGGGAGAGGAGTTCCGGTTCTATAGGCGTGTACACCATTGATTGTCTTTCTCTTAACGAGGTTATTGTTTACTCTGTAGGGGTAGATGTTAAGTTGTAGACAAACGACAGTAAAGCAAATGATCCTCATCCATAGTAATGCAAAGAAATATTGTGTGTTACAGGCCTAAGTGATTTCTACTCTGTGGAAAAGATATACCAAAATATTATATTTCATTGCTCTATGGTAGGGGGTCATCAGCCTTTAGCCTGTTTATGCAATCAAGACCAAATGTGACCTGCAAATCCAAAATATTTGCTATTTGGACCTGTACAGAAAAAGTATACTCACTCCTATCTCTCTTAGAAAATTCATTTCTATATTCCTAAATATTTATATACAAATTATTACATAATTATCTATATACATATATGTATCTCATCTCTATATACTGTTTATAATTTCTATAATTTATTCAAATCTGTAGACACTGTATAGAAATCCTTGCTGAAACTATAAAGTTTTTAAATTATTAGTGTATTACAGAAAATCTAAGGAAAATGATTTAATTTAGTTCTCTACATTTTCATGAAATGATTTCTTTTAATAAAGAATAATTATATCAAGAATTTTTTCTGTTAATTTACTTCCATTGATGAATTTAAAAATGTAATTTTAGGCCAGGCATGGTGGCTTATGCCTGTAATCCCAGCACTTTGGGAGACCGAGGCGGGTGGATCACCTAAGGTCAGGAGTTTGAGACCAGCCTGGCAAACATGGTGAAATCCCATCTCTACTAAAAATACAAAAGTTAGCTGGGCGTGGTGGTGCATGCCTGTAATCCCAGCTACACAGGAAGCTGAGGCAGAAGAAAAAAAATGAACATAGGAAATTATTAGTCTTAATTTTTAAAATGTTTTCCTGTGTGTGTGTTTAAATTTATAAAAAATACTTTATATGGGTATACTTAGTCTGTTTATTATACTTTTAGTTAATTTGAAAGAAAGTGATTGTTGGACTTGTGTTTAATATTACTTTTTACTAGTTATTCTTTTTGAAGAAAAATGAGAGAAAGAAAAATAATTATACATTAAGTTCAATAATTTCATATGAGATCATAATTCACTGCTCATTCAAAGGAAACCTGTACCATCCACTGCCTAAATCAATGCTGCTTATTTATATAACGGTGAAATCCTCAATGGTCATATTGAAAGGAACCCTGGGCTTTTGCACTGTATTAATCTGATGGCCTTTGAGAACTAAAACAGAAATGAAATAGTAATAGTGTTAGATTTTCAATTGTCTTCCATACTGCTTATGACAACTTCACAAAACCTTGATACATTTCTACTAAAATGAATTATTTATAGGCCTACAGTCTTCATTTTCAAGTTTTCTTTTAAAAGTCTACTGACAAAATTTGTGTATTATAAAATACACAATTATCTGCAATACCTGCCATCATAGTCTAGTATCGTTCTCTGCCCTATAAATTGTCATCTTTCGTGTAACTTATTTGTTTTGTAACTCAAGTGTTGTTCGAAAGCAGAAATTTCTTTTTAGCTCAGGTTATGTTTTGCCATGTATATTTCCATATTGTTATGCATTATGTTGAAGTCAAAGGTGGAATGAAATAGCTTTTCTGCAAAATAACCAAGGGTTGAAGATCATAGAAGACATGAGATATTAAAGATGTTGTAAGGATTTGTTCAGATTCTCAATAATGCGTCCATAAGGGGCCAGGTTAATTAATATGGTAACATTGATCTAGGAAAATAATAAATGCAACCAAACATCAAAACCCCTTGGGAAAGGAGCTAGCAAAATATCAAATGTTAATTCTTCCAATCTTGGAGTGTACATCCTTGAAAAACACAAAATGCTACTGTGAGACACTCTTATCCATTTATAATTTGAAGCACAAGTACTACATATAGCATTCAGAAGTTTTCTAATTTAGGTAGAGAAAAATATTTTTTATCCAAGAGGCAATATTAAATCCGTATGGGAGGTAAGGAGGGAGTTTTAATGAGGCAGGATGAGTGGGTGAGGGAGACACGAATTTCAAAATATGTTCCATAAATTGTTGATCTTAAGTAGGACATTTCCTTCATTTAGGGTGTTGTTATGGTTTGAATGTGTACCCCAAAAAGGATGTGTTGGAAACTTAATTCCCAATGCAACAATGTTGGGAGGTGGAATCAAATGAGAGGAGATTAGGCTATGAGGGCTCTGTTTTTATGAGAGGATTAATGTGGTCATGATGGGAGTGGGTCGATTGTTACAGGAGTGGATTCCTTATGAAAAAACAAATTTGGCCCTCTCTGGCCTCTCCTTTACCCTCTCTTTGCCCTTCTGCAATTGGATGATGCAGCAAGAAGGCCTTTGTCAGATGCAGTCCCTTGATCTTGAACTTCCCAGCCTCCAGAAAAATGAGCCAATACATTTCTATTCATTATAAATTACCCAGTCTAAGATTCTGTTATAGCAGCACAAAATAAACTAAGACAGTTGTCTTTTAACTTCAATATTGAGGCAAAGAACTAAAATGGGATAAAGCTTGCAAATCACATTGACTGGGCTGTTTTGTCTCTGAATATAAAATTAATAAGGTATGTGAAAGTTGTTTACTAAAACTACTAAAAATGCAGCATTTAATTTAAAAATGTCCTTTATTCCAGATGAATGGCTAAAACTAAAATAATGTAGGGCAGAGCAACAAAAACAATCGAGAAAAAAAAGGATTAATATGCTACTTCAAATTAAAAATATATAACCTATTAATTAAAATTACATTATGGCCATAGTTCCTGTTTTAAAGGATTTCATCTCTTTACTAAATTGCTACTGTATAATGTATAATGAGACAAAAAAATACAAAAAATTTAAATTATAAAGAAGCAGCTAATTTCTGGTTCTAGGACTTTGGATAGCATTCATTTGAAATACTTAGAATGATTTACAACTGCTTAATTATTTGTCTAATATCCCATGGAGTACTGGGATTGTAGTTTGAAACTGAGAAAGGGAAATTTAAGGCACTTCCTGACATAGGAAAATATTGGGTTACAAGAATAGTCTTGCAGGAAAAGTGAGTGATAGAAGCCTAATCACCAGGGACATACTAAAGTCAACAGTGCTAAAATATTAGAAGGTTTATTTTAGGAAGCAATTTTCCCCTGCCGGGGTGTGTTTGTGGACTGGATTGCTTACTTGAGCTTTCTTCATCTCTATTGTCCATTTCCATGCCTACATTTGAGTACATAAAGCAACATCCTTAACATTTGAGTTTATATTCTTCATCTCATGCTGCCCAACTCTCTGACATTTTTGACCATCCAAGAAAAATGTGAAAACAAATTTAATGGGGCTTTCTGATGGCTGTCCACCTAAAAGACTATATCATTTATGTGATGTTCACCACCCCTTAAGATTTCAAAATAATGCGTAATAATCTATGACCAACCACAGGAAACCATTATATGGAACACAATGCACTTTAGCGAATGGCTCTACATTGGAAAAATTTCAGATACTATATGAGTTCATTAAGGCAATTATCCCTTAAATTCTGAAAAGACACGACTGGCTTGGTCATGGTTAGTGTTAGTGATTTCCTGTGGTGTGGTGTTTATGATAGTAGCATAAACCCAACATGAAGTTACATTTGCCTGGGGGCAGTTGTAACTTAAGTGCTTGCTTTCTTGACATTTATTCATATTCTTCAGGAAGAAAATGTATTTTTGTTGGTTTGTTTGACCAGCCTTTATTGTTAAAAAAAAAAAAAAGAAAAGAAAAGAAAGACGATAGAACCTATATGGCTCAAAAATGTATGTTACAAATGTACCTGCCAGGAAAGGTAGAGTCCTTCTGTCTTTGGACAAAACAGCCTATTATTTTGTACAACATACTTCTGATGGTGAGATCCTTTTCCTTAAGAAATGATATTCTCCAAGTTGATGTTTCTTAAATCAAGAAGTCAAAAAAAAATACCGCTATGACATTTGAAAATGGATGAAGTTCTGCGTACTGCCATAGGATAAGGGAGCTTTCACTGTTTATCTCACTGAGAACCATTAAGCAGAGAAGGTACTAATGCATGTCAGTAGTATCTACATCATGCACCCTACAACATTCTGGTCAACAACAGACTGCATATAAGATGGTAGTCTCATAAGATTATAGTACTATATTTTACTATGCCTATTCTATGTTTAGATACACCAATATTTACCACTGTGTTACAATTGCCTACAGTACTCAGTACAGTAGCATGTTGTACAGGTTTATAGTCTAGGAGCAATAGGCTCTACCATCTAGCTTAGGTATGTAGTAGACTATGCCATCTTGTTTTGTGTAAGTACAGTCTATGATATTCACATAATGTTGAAATCTTCTAAAGACACATTTCTCATAACATAGCCCTGTTAAGCAACACTTGACTGTATTTGAGTTATATTGTTTGCAATTTATTCAACAAGAAGTCGTTGCTTTTGCTCTCACTTCTTTGTATATAATTTTGGATTTTAAACTGAAACTTTACCATTTATACTGACATCTCTTTCAAAGATATCATTTGTATACTAACAGCAGTACATACAGGATGGAGGAGTTTCCTCAATAAGACTAAATGAGAACTTAACTGCTGTTGGCTCTGCCCCTGCCTTTAACAATCTGTACATGTGAAACAGATGGGGGATTTAGGAACTGCTCATTCTACTTCTATTCAGTTACAGTCTTTTTGAGGGTTGTCTAAATCCTGATAGGTCTGCTTTGCTCATATATTTCAAAATACTGTCAATTCATTTAAACATACATCTAAAAATGATAGTAATATTGTTATACTACTGTCTAGAACAAACATTCCACTAGCTCAAAGCTTAGTATTCAGGAGTCTAGAGCTGGAAAGCAAGACTGGTATTTTTTTTTCTCTTTTGTCCTAAAAGTGATTTCACACAATTTGTTTGGACATTTCTGCATTCCAAATACCAAGCATAGTAAGGGAGACATTTGGTGATATCAGATGTCATTCTTTATTTACATGTATTGTCTAATCTCAAGTTGGATAAGAATACATCAATTTTTGTGGATCTTTTCATTGGCAAAGTTGAATGTACTAAACAGAACAGTGAAGCTTTAAATAAGCCCTGTGACATACTTACAATCTCCGTACTTAAAAGATTATGCATTGTAAATCTTTTGATAGGGGCCAAAATTAAATAACCATGAATTATTCAGTGACAAGCTGAAGGATTCAAGTGCAGATTGGTTCACGGTACTATTTGTTAAAGCTAAGCAAATAAGAAGGGTTTGGCAGTGTGCCTCCTCCCTTGGTTTGTGGGTTTTGACTTTTCAAGCACTCTGACCCTTGCCCTCCTCCTCTGCGGCCATCAGTGGAAAGTTGTAGGGTAGCTCAGGAAGAAAAACAGCATACTCTTAGAAACTTTGGGTTTTTGGACTGGACCCAGGGAAATCCCTGGGAAATAAGAAAGCAGTATTGTTTATGTACAAAAAAGAGACTTATTTATAAAAGATTTAAAGCACTTAATCCATTTTGCAAAGCATAATTAAGTAAAATAAACACCAAATTGTAGAACAGAACAATAAATAAACAAAAAACAGATTTAGTACTAGCCGAGTAGCATGCTTGTAACCTAATGAGGTAAACTTGCTATTACCCAGTATTTATCAAAAAAACACAGTAAGTGGAATCGCACAGACTTGGGTTGAATCCTATTTGGCTGCTCTCTAGTTGTATCGGCCTGAGCAATTTGCTTAACTTCTCTGAATCTCAGAGAGTACTCTACCCAGTTGTTATTATTGTCAATAAAAAAAGATACTGCCAGCCAGGTGTAATGGCTCATAACTGTAATCCCAGCATTTTGCAAGGCTGAGGCAGGCAGATCACTTGAGGCCAGGAGTTTGAGACCAACTCTGGCAAAATGGTGAAACCCTGTCTCTATATTTTCTGTTAGTAATCCAAATTAGTACTACCACTTTGCTCACAGGCAAAGGTAACAGACAGGGCCAGGGAAGGAAGCTATCATTTTCTTTTTGGTGATTCTGAATTCTGTTGTCTTCCTTTCATAAGAACTCAGAGCAGTGTGCCTGCTTCCTCTCTTCCCCATACTCTCACTTTTTGATTTTTCTTGCTAATAGAGTCCACTCTCTGCATTAATTTCTGGAGTAGATTTCTGAATATCTACATTTAAATTCTTTCTGTAATACACCTGAGCTTGAAGTTTTTTCTATCCCATTCAGGCATTTACAGATGAATTCAATTAATTTTTTTTTCTGAAGGCTTACTCTGCAAAATTTTGTATAAAACGCTATAAAACTGCACATAGGCATGAGTCATGGTTTCTACTTCAAAGAACACATAATAAAGTAAGGGTAAAAGAGTACATGATAAAAAACTACTAAATAAAATTTTGTAAGCTTTAATAATTATATAATATAGTAATAGTTAGGGTAATGATGATAGCTGATGCTTATTCCCAGTTCACTATCTGCCTATACTTTTCTAAAAGTTTTGCATGTATTAGCTGATTTAATTCTACCTGCAACCTAAACAGGTTGGCACTATCATAAGCTTCATTTTACAGATGAGGAAACTGAGGCAAAGAGGTTAAATTATTTTCTTAAGGTAGAACAACTAATGAATGACATAACGGTCCCTTAAGAAGAAGCACTGGGTGCCTCGGATGCAGTCGGGCTCTTGGACCTTCCGTTATCCACACACTTAATCCCTGTGCAATGTAGGCACCAAAAGAGCACCACTTCAATTGGAACTGACATCACTCTCTTGAGGGTTTTTATTTAGCTGGAATAGTAAGAAAAAACCCTTAATTACAGCTGGATTGTTCAGGTAATGTTTCCTAAAGAAGATTAGCTTCTGAAAAATTACTAAAAGAGCAGACTGAAATTTTTTAGTAGTATTCAATTTTCCAGATAATAAAAATGATATGAGTGCACTGCAGAAATTTTAGAAAATACTAAAAAGCATATAGAAGAAAATAAAAATTACTCATAATATCTATACTCAGAGTTAATATCTGTTGGTATTTGGGTATGTATCATCTGGGTGGGAGTGTGGGTAATTTCCCTTCTTTGTGCTTTGATATATTTTTCCAACATTTTGCAATGCAAAGAATTATGGTTATAATAAGAAACAGACCAATTGTGCAATACTTTAAAAATATATTTTTTCTCATTAATTTCACTTTTAGAAAGATTTCCTTGAGAAATCTGGAATGACTATAATACATACATATACACACATATATATTCATATATATATTCCTTTATATATATTCTTCAAAATACATATATACAAATTTCAAATATATATATATATATATATATATATATATATATATATATATATTTGGGATTATAATACCATTTTAAAAACTTCTATAATTTTTGGTATAATAATTACCTTCTCATGTTACCGCAAATTTTTCTGTAACCCATTATTAATTGATATAATTTTTTTAGCCAATAGCATGTTTTTAGATATTTAAAGAGAGTGGAATGGAAACATTTAAAAATACTTCCTTTTTTTGACTTCCTTTTTTTGACTTTTCCTTTTAAACTACAAAAGCAATAAATCTTTTTTGCAAAATGCCTGGTAACATAGAGATGTGTTGCCAAGAAACAAGGAGCAATTTTTCCTTCCCCCTGCTCCCTCCTTTTTCTCTCATCAGACTGACCTTCCTACATTCTCCACTTGCTCTGTTATCAATTTTTGGTGTATATCTTTTTGCATTCACCTCTATGCCCATTTCATATGTACACAATCCAAATATTTGCTATATTTATATATGATTTTCTCCTAATTTAAAAAATAAAAAATTAAAAGTGGACTGCAGAGTATTATATAAAATGTGAATACATTTATGCCCAATAAGAATAGTATCTTAAATGAACAGATGAACATCCTTCTTCAAATATAATTTTATATGTCTCTGAGGAGTGTTTTATTAGGCTAAAATCTCAAAAATGAAATCAACAGGTAAGAGGATATTCACAATTTTTAGTGTGTTGATCCACATGGCAAAATTGCCCTACAGAAAGATCAGACTGATTTCACACTTGTTCAGAAATGTCAATGCTGCTATTGTTTCTAGTGTGTCATATTTAATATCACCATGGAATTGTTACTTTCATTATATCAGTTCTTTAATTCGGCTAACTTCCTTCCATTTCCGTGTGGTATCTTGTAATTATCTTTCTTTTTCATTTCAGAGAATCTTTGTTTTATTATAATATTTTGTTGAGAACACAGTTTGAGTTTATGTATCAAAAAATTTTAATTATATAAGCCTATCTTCTTAGTTTTATGTGTAATATTCTTTTCACTGTCCCCATAGTTTTTAGTTTTATTTCTTGTTTGGTTGACTGATTGGCTTTGTTTTCCTCATTATTCACCCTCGATTCTAGGCCTGATATTTACACAAAAACAGTGTAAGTCGATTGTTTTTGAGACTCCTATTAACTCCGTGGGTGTTGTTATAAGTCTTCTCTCAAATTTCAAACTGTACTGTGGCTAAGTTTACATGATCAGATCCTAGATGCCTGAGAAATGTGAGGAGGGCATACGGACTTATGCAAATCTTATGTAGTTGTGTCTTTTCTGTTTTTGCAGAAATCAAGGGCATACAATGTCGTCAAAGTAGTAAAACACAAGGCATATTTGGCCAAAGGTCCAGATTGTTGAGAAGGAATAGTAAAAGATAAGCTGAAGCTTAGACCAGATTTAGAGACCCTTGAAGATAAAAGAAAAATAAAAATATGTGTATTACACTTCACAGTTTTCAAAGTGCTTTGACATGCACTATTTACTTATTCTTAAAATAACTTTTCAAATAAGCCTTCGAAAGTTTATATTCCATGCACAGATCATTCAACTAGTAAGTAGAAAAACAGGGGTTTATTCTTGAGCCTTTCTGGTTCCAGAGCCCATGTTCATTTTTCTACCCTCCGCTGCCTCAAAAGAGAATGATCATCAGAGATTCACTTTGTACAGAGATTCACTTTGTATGAACCATAATCCATTGGTAATTTGCATGGTGGATTACAGAGAGAATATACTTGTCTTCATCTGTACAGGCTATTATAACAAATTACCACAGGTTGGATAACTAATAAGCAACAGACATTTATTGCTCACAGTTCTGGAGTCCAGCAAGTTCAAGATTAGAGATCCAGCAGGTTTGGTGTTTGGTGGGGACCTGCTTTCTGCTTCACAGGTAGTACCTTCTCACTGTATCCCCACATGGTGGAAGGGGCAAACAAACTCCCTTGGTCCTCTTTTATAAGGCAGTAATCCCATTCATGAGGGTGGAGCCCTCATGGGCCAATCATCTCCTGCAGGCCCTACCACTTAACACTACTGTATTGGGGATTAGGTCTCAACATATGAATTTTTCGGGGACACAAACATTCAGGCCACAGCAATACCAAAGAAGGTTCTTCTTTCCTTCTAATCAACCTGTGGCAAATAGCTTAGCATAACTATAATACAGCAATGTGCTTGAGAGTATGAAGTCTGGAGCCAGAACACATAGATTCACATCCTAGTCCATCACTTCCAAGCTGTATAACTTTGGGCAAGTTACTTAACCTTTTTGCATTTCAGTTTCCTCATATTTAAAATGTTTACATTTTAAAGTCATTTTGAAATTACATAAGTAAATATATGTAAAGTGCTTAGAAAGATACCTAACACATAGAAAACTCTCAATTAGTTGTAGTTATTATTGTTTTAGAGCAACCAGCTATTATAAGTCAGCCCTCTTGTGGGGCAATTTGCATCATTTTTAACCTCGTGAAGTAGTTCTGTCTTCTGTTTAGAGAAGGTGAAAAGATTTGAGAAAAGGCTTCCAACATCCTCCTGGTGAATCTTACTTTTCTGAACCATTATAGCACTTGTTTTAATTTGTTTTTGTAATTAGATATTTTATAGTCTCAATTGCATTGGAAGACGCTGAAGGGATGGCTCTTTTTTCCTCCTGTACTTGTCCATTATTGCTGGTTCTGTTGTGCTGTGCCTAAAATATAGGAAATGCTTGATGGCTGTTTATTGATGGTAGCAATGATGATTATGATGTTGGTCATATAGCAGATCAGGGAGCAGAGGGATTTGCTTGTGGCACAAGAAAATACTTTACAGACTTATAGCCTAGGGGAAAGTTCCACCACCTCGCTCCCCTAAAGAAGCTCCAGTAAGTTTTCCAGAAGCTACCCTGAAATAGTCTCCATGGAGTGATTCTTCATTATTTTATTTTGACATACGCTATTTATTTATTAGTAGCTTATTGCTTTTCTATGCTTTACAGAACCCATATTTTTTCCTGACTAGGGAAGACACTCTGAGAAGATAAGTCAGAATTTTGACGCTTCTATTAAGAATACAATGGATCTAGCCTTTGCTTTTACTCTCTATCGCTGACACAACCATGTTGGGAAAAGAGATTACATCAGAAGAAAAGAGTCTTTCTTGCATTTTATTGTTTATATCCTCTTTTGCAGTACATCTGAAACTAAGAGTCTGAGCCAAAAGGTGAGGGAAGGTATCACTTGTTTCTGAAGGCAACTAAACTTCCAAGGAGATAAGTTTTTTGATATGTCACTTATGATTTTCTAGACCTTCTCAGGTTTTGAAACTGTGAGTCAAGGCACGTATATGTTACAGGAAGCGTTTTAGATCTTTCCTGACCAGCAAGCTTCTTAATGTCTCCTGTGCTTAGCAATGTGCCTCAGTATTTAGCATGATGGACTAATCATCTGTGCTCAATAAATATATGTGCACAGATGAATGATGGCAACAGTCATGGGCCACTGTGATTCAGTGAGACTTCCCTATATTCTAGTTTTAAAAACACATATGTCACTAGAGAAGCTTACATTTTGAAAACTGTGCATATCCTTTTTATTATCTACTGCAAGCTATAGATCTTTGTGTTTTTATTATCACCATTTTCATATGCCTTAGTATCAAACCGTTGCAATCATACTACTACTTAAGTACAAGATGTTAGGGGAACAGATGAAAGTGTGAAATTTGGGGTTCTGAAAGAATAGGAATATTTTTAGCAATGAAAACTCATTCAGCTTTTTGATTCAACATTGAGAAGCTCATGTAGGCCATTGGATGTCCAAATGATACTTCACCTAGAGGGTAACTTTTGAGCAAAAGCCTCTGAGAATGTAGAAGCAAATCATGTAGTTAACAGGAAAAAAAAAGAGTTCTACAGAGTGGAAAATGCAAGACCAAGGCCACGAGGGAGGAAATACCTCTTGTGTTTCTGGAGCACTGAGGAGGTTAGTCTGACTGAAGAGCAGCCAGTGAGGGGGAAACAGTGGGGCATGAGATCAGAGAGGTAACACAAGTAATGGAGAGGAAAAAAAAATAGATTGTGTAAATTTTGTAGGTCAGTATAAACGCTATGATTTCTACTCATGATGTTGTTTCTTGAATCTATTAGAATCCATAAACGTAACAGAGTCATTAACGATCTCACTTTTCTAAAATACATTTTTCATTTTAGAGTAGTTTTAGATTTACAGAAATGTTGAGAAGGACAATATGAAGAGTTTGCGTTACTCCTCAGCCAGTTTTTCCTGTTGTTAACTCTTTCTTTGGTCATAACTAATGAACCATTATTGATGCATTGTTATCAAGTAAAGTTAATACTTCATTCACATTTCCTTAGTTTTTACTCAGTGAATTTTTTTTTCAAGATGCCTCTCAGAATATGAAAATAAAACCCAATTTTTTTTTTATTCTTTTACTCAATAATCAATATGGAAGACTTCTGTGACCTCTGGTCACCGAGAAGGGTATCAATTTCTCCCCATCAGCAACTAACCAATTCTGCAGTGGTTACTGGCTGGGTGTCCTCTAATTCAATTCATTCTGACACTATCTACCCAGAGACTGCATTAGATCTCACAGGTTGAGGGTTCAGTCTCAAAAGTCTGCATCCACTTCTGATGTCAATGACAAGCTCCAGGTTATTGTACCTGTGCTTCTGACAGACTGGCTATAAATCAGGGTTTCTACAACCCCCTCCTTGGGTTCAATTAATTTGCCAGAGTGGCTGACAAAATGCAGGAAACACTGAAGTTTACTGGTTTATTATAACTCGTATCCCAAAGGATACTGATGAGCACCAGATGGAAGAGATCCATAGGACAAGGTATGTGGGAAGGGGTGCAGTGCTTGCATGATTTCCCCTGCTGTCCACCCTCCAGGAACCGCTACATGCTCAGCTATCCAGAAGCTCCCAAACTTAGTCTTTTGGGGTTTTTATAGAAGCTATATAGGCATGATTGATTAAATTGTTGGTCATTGGTGATCAACTTAACCTTCAGCCCCTGTCCCCTCCGCAGAGGTTGGAAGGTGGAGCTGAAACTCCCAACCCAATAATCATGCTTTGGTCTTTACAGTGAGCAGCCCTCATCCTGAAGTTACTTAGGGGTGGGGCCAGTCATCAGTTCACTCACTAGCATATATAAAAGACACATCACTTTGGAGATTCCAAGGATTTTAGAAGTTATATGCCAAGAAAGTGGACAATGACCAAATATATATTTTACAATATGGCAATACTACATCACGTCTAGTCATTTTGGCTCCTTAGACAACTAAACACTATGAATGTTTCTCAGACTTTCCTTTTATGATGACCTTGAGAGTTTGAGGGAGGATTGTGTATATGATTTATTTGAAAATCTGCAAGGAAGATTTGTATAATCTCATTAATTAATTAAATTAATTATTTATGTAAATATTTATTGTATTTTGGGGGTTAAAATCCAATGGTACATGCTTTATTTTATTGATCAAGTCTTCCCAGTTTTGTCATTGAGAATTTTATCAGCTGTCTCCTGTATTTCTTTGACATAGCCCCATCAATGTGTGTGTGTGTGTGTGTGTGTGTGTACACACATGTGTTTCAGCATGCTTTCTTATACTACAGATTCTCCTTACTTTCTTATACTACTAGATGCTCCAGGTGCACCTTGTATGTTTCCTCCACTAGTTTTAGAATCAGCCACTTCTAAGAAACCCCAGTTCCTTTCATTGGAGAAACCCAAGGGCCCTGGGTATGCTCATTGCTATTGCTATTGGGATCTCACTGCACTAGGCCCTCTCAGCTTACAGCAAGTGAGTTCATATATCACTTCTAGCTTAACAAGATCACTCTGGCTGCTGTGTTGCCAAGAGATTAAAAAGGAGGGAGACCAGTGGAGAGGCAATTATCATAGTTCAGGAGACAGATGGTTTGGAGTAGGGGCTGAAATAATAAAATACTGCTTGATTTAGTTCATTGCTGGTTTTCAAGTGTCTAGTGTCTACAAAGAGTCTCCTATACTTTTGTAAGCTATTTGGTCACCAAACATTTGAATATTTTGATGAGAAAGCTAAGCGTTGGATACAGAAGATACAGACATGCGCATGACATGAAACTTTTATATTTACACCCACATTCCTGCATATTGTTTAGTATTATTGGGATTATCAAAAACAGTCATGGTGATGATATAGGAAGGAGTGTGAAAAACTAGGCTTGGAGTGGTACCAGCAGTCATAGAAAGGGTTGAATACACAAGAAAGGCAAGTGGATAGGGAATCAAGAAAACTGATATTTAACTATGTATTGGAAAGTAAAGCATTGGTCAAAGATGAATTCAAGCTTTTAGACCATTCTCAGGATAATGACATTCAAAAAAACAATGGATTTCAGAGATGGGATTTATTTGAGGGAGGTTAATGAGTGCCATTTAAAATAAGTAGAGTTTGCGGTAACTTGAAGGTTTTTAAGCATACTTAAATGGAAATATTCAGTTGCCCTTTTTGAAAAGAAAGAAGCTTCATTTGGAGACTAATCAAGAATCCAGTAACTTAAAAGTGTATGGTTTAATGTATCTGAATGATGCATATTTTAAAATTTGTTATCATTCTTGTACAGCAAACTTTTCCCCACCCATTTAACATGCACATGTATATTAAGAGCATATGAATTTCATATTGTCAAAGCTTATCTTGACAGGTAATAATTATGGCTGAATATAATTGATACTAGCACTTACTGAGCATGACCAAGCATTTAATAATTTCACTAGTCATCTCCCTAGAACTGTAGAAAAACAGAGAAATTGTAAATGCCTGTTCTCTTATGGTCAAGTTTTATAATTAATTTATTATGAAAAATAGATTGAAACAATAAAGTTGTCATATGTTACCACGTTAGTCTCAAGGATCCATTTCATGTTTAATAATGTTTACATACCTGAAAAGAAAAGCCATGGATTGACTTGATAATGTCTAACAGCTGCTAAGATCTGGTACTTTTGTAACGGCTTCAAAGGAACTGGATCAAAAAGGAATTCTTTAATAGAATACTTCACACATTAACATCCTTTAGAGGAACCAGTTCAATTAACTACATTTTGTAGATAAATCCTCAAATTCATCTAAGAAACCTATGTAACACCTACTGTTGTTCAAATATAAAGAGATCTAAATGAGATCAAGAATGTGTACACTTTGCCAATTGTACATGTGAGGGTATTAATATTCTCAATTCTTGTGAGCTCTAAGACTTGTTTCTGTAAAACAGATAAAAATTTTAAAATGTTACACTTGTGCAGACTTTTGCAAATGAAAACCTTCTTTGCATGCATTATCTCATTTAGTCCTCCAAAGAGCCTCACACTATTAGAAAAGTAGATAGGATTATTTCTAGTAATAATAATAATTTACAATTTAAGAAAATAGGTAACTTGTCTCAGATCCAACAGCTGATGTATAAACAAAAAAGCAGCTGGAACCTAAATCTTCTGACTTTTAGGCTGAAAAACGTTCACCATTACACTATTTTCTTAGAATTCAAAACAAATAAGAACATGTCACATAGTTAACACCTATGAGCTTCAATTTTCTCATCTATAAAATGGGCATAATATTAACTCTCCTACCCACTTCACAAATTATAATTAAATATAAGTTAAATCTCCAAACTATATGAATTATCTTTTCACGAAACAGTTTATAGATTTTTTTGAAGTCCCTTCTTTTTACTGCATTTGCATCCAAATTGATTATGTAGAGATTTGAAAATTGACCAAGATTTAACAGTTTCCATGCTCACATTTTACATATAATAAAGCCCCTCCCTCTAATGTTGACTTTATTAATTTTAGGATTTGACTTGAAATTTACTTTTCTTTTGAAGCTCATATTTTTCATAAGTGGCATATGTCATTACTATAATCAAGAGCATTAAAATTTTAAAAATAGTTATTTCAAGTATTTTAGCATATGTCATAAGTGGCTTCAAATTACTTACTGCTTTGATTTTAATACTTTCTCTGCAAATTGGAAAGACTGTTGGGTGGGTCAATGTGGGACTGTTTACTTGAGGAACAGAAAAGTACTGTCCTAGCTACTTTGGACTGTTATAACAGAATACCAGAGACTGAGTGCTTAAAACAACAAACATTTATTTCTCACGGTTCTAGAGGCTGCGAAGTCCAAGATCAAAGCCCCTGGCAGATCTGGTGTCTGATAAGGACACTCTTTTTGGATTGCAGATGGTAATCTTCTTGTTGTATTCTCACATGGCTGGGAGAAAAATAATCTCTCTCATATCTGTTCTTATAAGGGTACTAATTTCCCTTTAGGGTGCCACCCTCGTGACCTGATTACCTCTCAAATGCCCTACTTCATAATATCAACACATTGGGAGTTAGGATTTCAACATATGAAGTTTTGAGGGCACAAGCAATCTCTATAATAAGAACCCTGGGAAAAACCACTCTAAGGGAAGGAATTGTTAGGAACAAAGTATGAACAAGAGGTCAGAGTCAGAGGGCAGGAAGTATGTTGCTCATCCGTGCTATTTTCCTCTCATCTTCCCCAGTGGATCTTTGCCTGAAATCTGAAAACACAAACACTTTAAAACACATTAGTAGTGATTTCACTGAACTCTTCATAATCCGAAGAACATCTGAATTCCAGAAGCTAGATCACAAGAGAGAGTAAAAGCTCTTTCTGTGCATGCCTTTTCAGATGAAACACATTGAAACACAACATGGAAGGTACCCATGAACTAAGGCAGCAAAACAGAATGATCAGGATAGGGCAAAGCATTTTGAAGATTTCATGGTAAGAAAACATATCACCCTTGGGAACCAAAGAGAAAAAGATAGTGGTGAAGGCCAGGAGATACTCAAGAGGAAGAGTTCTTAAGCATGAGAACGAGGTTGAAAGAATTGAAGGCCTTGTTTTCCAACAGACTAGGTGGGTCATATTAGCACTTCCCCAGGTCACACTAGCCTGGGTGGTTACAGTAAAAAGCAGGGAGAGTTTTATTAGCTCTTCCTCACCCCTGGCTGGCATGATCTGTAAAAGTACTGGTACCATTACATTCCTTTACGCTTAGACATGTGAGTTAAAGAAGGTGATTTTAAGCCACAAAAGAGCAGAAAAGACACAGACAATGCATTTACTATGTTGTTTTTGTTAAAAGTAACACAGGTAAATATATTTTAAATTATTTGAAAAGTTGCCTTTTGGTCTAATTTAGTCTGATTTGTTTTTTTTTTAATGAAGGTTAATTTTACATATTTCAATTTCAGTATGTTTTCTTGAAAATGGTTATTTCTTGAAATGGTTGTTCTTTCTTTCATTGGTGAGAAAGATGTGCAAATTGGCCTTTCATCTTATTTGTTTTTACTTAATTGAACTGTTTCCTCCGAGCTGATATTCATATTCTTCCTAAGTACTAAGAACTTACTTTTTGTGGATGATCTCTATAATCTCTGAAGTTGATAGTTCCAGGATAAACAGAACCATTTAAAGATTAACCCTCCCCTTTTAAAATGTACTAAAAATTTCTAAATTTATTATTATCAATGTGATTATCTATAAAAATAGCATCTTCAGGTTTTCTATTTTAGTTTATAAATTTTCAAAACTGAGTTTGGGTTATCTGTTTGAACAAAATATATAAATTCTGAAAACAAATTTTAAATCATGTTGTGAATATTTTAGTTAACTTTTATTTGGAAGCCATATATAGGTTCCATCCTAAGAACTTTGCAACGTATTATCTTACTTGATTCTCACAACATCTCCATGATGATAGAAAACTATTATATTATGTCTATTTTTCTCCTAGTCTTCTAATGCATTTTTTTAAAAAGAGTACACATGAGAAATAATACATGTTTAAAATGATTCAGTTGATCCTACCATGTGGGATTCCTTCATATGCTATCCAGAATATATCATATTAAGGCTAGTCTCTCTTTTGAATAATACCAAAAAGCTACAATTTTGTAATAGAATTAAATGCATACAAAGAGATATGCTTGTTATTAATCTATATGTATATAATAAAAGATGTCTATTGATTGTTTTCACTGGAGAATTTTTTTTCTTTTCTGGAGATTATCTATCAAAACTTCAATCACTCTGTTCTACATGTGGTTCATTTTGCTTCATAGTTTGAAGTAAAATGTGCTTATACAATTGAAAATTATTTAAAGTCATTTTTTTACTTAACAACAAGTCTATAAAAGTATAAAAACCAACTGGTGCTGTATATATTGAAATATAAGCTACCGAGTTGTTGACTCAATGGGAATTCATTCATTGATTTATTTAATGAGTGTTTATTGGTATCTGTTATGTGCCAGTCCTTGTTCTGAACACTAGTGGTGTTACAGTAAGCCAGTCAGTCTAGGTTCTTATTCTCATAAAACATAGATGGATGAGACAGACAATGAACAAGTAATCGAAGAAATAAAGAATGAAAATATCTTTTACGTAGGTAATTGAAAGGAGAATAGAGAAGAGAATAATGAGATTGCACATTCCTGGTGGAGAGAACATTAGATAGTGTGGTCTCTGTGGAAAGGTGACATTTAAATTTAGATTTATTTCAATGAAAAATTTCAAGAGCAATTTCAGTTAATATTCTCTTAGAATTTGGGGATGGTTATCAAAACAAGATTAGGGAATCATAAAATATAAGAGCTTAAAATACTTTAGAGATTGTCTACTTGAATACTTTCATATAAAAATCAGAAAATTTAGGAAGAATTGGTGACTCGTCTAAATTTTACAGCAAATGTATCAGAACTGTGGAATAATAAAACACAGTACTCTGGATTTGCAGATCCATATTCTTGTCTTACTATGTTGCTTGAATAAAAATATATTTTTCCATATAATATGTCCTTCCATGCAAATTCAAATGCATCAACACCACCACCTATTCTCAAAAGCATTTGATAAAGTTTATTTTTAAAACAATAAAAACTGTTTTTTAAAAGCAAACAAAACAATAGGCGATAACTAAATAATAATTAGGTACAGCCTAATTACTTAAAACAATTACATCAGAAAACTGAAAACAAATATAACACTATAATTAAACATGAAGATTATAAACAAACTTCTTGGAAGTCAAACAAATATAAGCACAAAGAATTAGATGGGTTTTAGTTTCTAATTCAAAGAATCTCATCAGTTCAACAAAAGAGAAAAATATTTTTAATTATGAACATAATTAGTCACATGAGTTTTTGCATTGGGCACAGTGAAAAATACAGAGGACACCATCTTCAATTAGAGGTTAATAAATGCAGGTGCTTTACAAATTGATATGATTATGGACCCTCAATGAGGGGCATTGGTATAATATTTTTACTTCTTTAAAGGCTCTCTTCTTTACAGGAGAAAGGAAAGAGCAGGTGGTGGAGGAAACAATAACATTGTCCAAAAATTTGGACAGTTCTGGTCATCTGGTCATCTTCATATTGGAAGGCATTTTAGAGATTTTTGAAGCGAACTTATTTTCTTAGATTTCTCTAAGAAAATTTTTCTATCTCTGATCTATTGAGAGTAGCAAAAAGACTTTCAAAAGGAATGTAAAGAGTAATGGTCCTAAGTAAAAGAGACAAGATACCTATTACAAATTCAGACCTGTCCTGATGTATTTGAAAGTGAAGCAAAGCAAATCAAATCTGTCTAGTGAATAAGGATTCTCAAGATGAAGACTCACTTTACAGAAAGCATAAGCTTGGTCCAAGGATAATGGGTGAAGGATCAGGCAGAGTAATTTGCTATGTTGCAGGGTATGTGTTTTATGCAGAAAGCCACGTCCACTTCCCATTCCATGCTGTTTTGCCAGAGTTCTGGGAAGAGCAAGAGGAGACAAAAGTATGTTTTAATCCTTATGATGTGTGATAACTCCTCTGCCTTTGAGATCTGGATAGCTTTACTTGAAAAAATCTCATTTTTTTCACTTGGGGTAGCCTAAAACTTTCTAAGATTTCTGTAAACTCTTGGAAAATCATTGCTCTGGCTCCTGAGACTATACCGATTTCATCTTGTGTCAATGTTAATACAGCACTTTACCACTTTCTCAATAAATCCAATTAGTCAAGGCTTTTAAGAAATTTTGCTAGAATTAGCAGATCAAACTGAAAGTGTAGGGGTTACTGAGAGAGGTTGTATAGTACTGTGCAATCTTCTCTTAATATCTTCTCCTCCTCCTTTCACGCTCCAGCTTTTTCTCTTTCTCACCACTTTACGGTCTTACACATCTTCTGTTGTTTACAAAATGCCCTTGAGCTCTCAGTCTCCACTTCAAAAGCCCACTGGACACTTAACAAAATATTTCTTTCAAACAATCACAGGGTTTTCACTGAGAAATTCAGATGGACATTTGTTTTCACCATCTTATTCCTGTGTCGTATCACTAAAATCTCTTTGAAGATGTTGAGTGCACAAAGCAACACAAATGCTTTGTATCATATGAAACAACAAAATGGAACACAAATTTAGATGTAGGACATTTCCCCTCCTTCAGAGAGGTAATGCTTGTAGCACAGAACTGAGCTATTACCATCAGCAGTGACAACAGGAGACAGCCACAGTGGCCTAATCTAGACTAGTTTCTACTGGTGTGACAACCAGAAAACCAGGGTTTATAAGACCAGCAGGAGGAGGACAACAGCTTTCTTTCCTTGGTGTTGAGCCCTAGCAGTGATATTGGGAACAGAAGGAGACCCACCGCAGCTGCTGTAGCAGAGGGTCAGAACTGATATAATGTGATTTGGGGATTCAAAGTTACAGTGCCAGGGATGGGAAAGAAGAAGGCTGTTTTATGTATTAGATAGGAAGACTGCATCCAGCAGTAAACATGAAACATTCTCTGCAGAATTCCTGAATTAGTCGGAAGAATTTGAGTGAGAGCTGGGGTTTCCACAATGCTGTGGATGAGGGCTAAGCCTGAAAAGTGCTATTGTGTCATCGCTTTTGTGATATTATTCCACTTCTCAGTTTGATGTAGTCTGAACAAATAAGGGTTACACTTGCGTTGCACCTACAGGTAACAACTAGCAAAAGACCTCCTGCTCATTTCAATAAAACCAGTGCTTTCTTTCAGGAGTCACAAGTGAATTCCAATGCCAGTGCCACCTTTTTCCTGAAATAATTCAGACTCCACTTTACAGTGATGTTGTTATGGTCTCAGAGACCTGTAACCTTCATTTGATGTTTATAGTTGGAAGGAATATTTAAAGTAATAGAGAAGGCCAAACGCATGTGAAACATTTGCGAAGGTTCAGTAATAACTCAATGCATCACGTGCCATTTCCCCTCTCTTCTTACTTACTACCTAGATATTTCCTGAGGATTAACATTTTAAAATTGGCACCAGGAACTTGACAATTATAGAGAAACTAGTGGCTGGGGACTAATTATTCGGTTTATGAATTATTTGCCTAGCCCTTTCCCCTTTCTCTTCCCAATTTTTTTGGCATTTGCTTTAGCTTTTATTATTATGTCTATGGCACTCGCTGATATAATAATAGGAATTCTAATAGCTAATGATTTTGGATATTTCCTAGGTTCTAGGTGCTTTACATACATTATATCTTTTTATCCTTAGAGCAATCCTTGAGATAGTTATATGATTCTCCTATATTGATTATTACAATGTAGCTAATAAACAGTTAATTATTCCTATTATATAATGTTTATGATATTATTAATGGTTATTCTTATTTCCCCTATTTGTAGCTGGGAATTAAGAAAGGTTGAGTTTTCCAATCTCCCATAGGTAGTAAATGCCAGTGCTAGGATTTCAAACATGAGTTTGTCTGGTACTAGAGATTTTACATTATTTGCTATGCTATATTGCTTCCTCAATTTCAGTACTAGGAATGCAGTTGGGGAATAATGGAAAAAGGCTTGTTTTGCACATCAACAACTGTGGTCGTTCTTTAAGATGACTGTTTGCTTAAGCTGGAACTACATTTTCCAGAATCTCTTCCCTGTATGGTTGCCAAAAGATACATTCAAGTGAGATTTCAAAGGCAGAAGCAAAGGAGCAGCCATGATTCTCTGAAAGTCAGGTGGTCAGATTCAGGGAGAGAAGGATTCCAAGAGGCTGACTGCTTGATGTTTTCTAGGAACAAGGAGGACTAGAGTGGAGAGAGTGGCTGCAGTAGTATAAGTGAGGGGCAGCGAGTAGCAATTAAGCCAGGGACATAAAAGGAGACCATTAGGACCTTGTCAGGATTTTGGCTTTCGCTGAAAACAAAACAAGAAACCAGGGGTGGTAGTTAATTTTGCAGAGCATCGATGTGATCCTACTCATCATTTTAAAGGCTCACTCTGGCTTTTGTGATAAACAAAGCTGAAGTCACAGGTAAGGCTGGGGGGCACTGAATATTGGAAACTCAGCATTTAGAGTCAAGAGACTGGATGTGATTATTTAGAGATTGGGTGTCAATAACGTGGTGAGGAGGTGCGAAGATAGAGGCCTGAGGTACCCCATTTGTTTTTTGTGGAGACAGGACTTCACTCTGTCACCCAGGCTGGAGTATAGTGGTGTGATTATGGCTCACTGTAGTCTCGACCTCCCAGACTTAAGGGATCCCCCAACCATAGCCTCCTGAGTGGCTGGGACTACAGGCATGCACCACCACGCCTGGCTAATTTCTGTACTTTTTGTAGAGATGAGATTTTGCCATATTGCCCAAGCTGGTCTCAATTTCTGAGATCAAGTTATCCACCTGCCTTGGCCTCCCAAAATGCCAGGAGTTATAGGCATGAGCCACAGCACCTGGCCTCCAATTTTTATTGAAGATCACAAAGATGAAGCAACAAATGAAACTAAGGGAATAGTCTGTAAAGAAGGAGAGAAAATAATGTTCTGGATGCCAAGCTGAAAATATTACATGGCAAGAGTGGTTATCTTTGTTAAATGATGCCAATAAACTGAGTAAGATGAGTACTAGCAAGAATTGACTGAAAATTAGTCAATGACTTACTATTTAAAAAGGGACCTAAAATAAAGGAAGGAAACAAAAAAGGTAATAAATGATATCACTTCTTCATGGAAAGCCCTTTTTCCCTCTTGGATGGAAACTTCTATTCATCTGGAGTTATCAACCAAAGACAGTATATCTGTGAAGACTTTTCCAGTATTTGTTGGTAGAAATAATTCTATCATTCTCTGTATTCCCCTAGAATTTCCTTTGCACCTCCATTGTGACATTTGCTAAAATGAATTATAATTAGTTAAAATTCTTTTTTCCTTTTGTAAAATGTGATCTTCTAGGAAGCAGGAACTGTATTTTATCTATGAGTCTGGCATATATGAAGACGAATGTTAAGTAGAAATAACATTTACTGTGTACCTAATATATACTAGACATCTGATAAGGAGGTTCATATTTTTGCACTGAGTTTTTTGATAAAATTACTATTATTATCTAATCAACTAACTTTAACCCACATTTTACAAATTTATTAGCTCTGGTTCATAGTTGTTAAGTGTACACATACACACACACACAATGTGTATATATATATATATATATATATATACACACATATGTATGTATATATGTACGTATACATACATATATACACACACACACATTGATGGCAAAACTGGTATATCTGACCTCAAGACTCATGATATTCCCACTAAATTATAATTAATAAATAAATAGACAAAAGAATGAATATGTAGTACTTTCTCTTCTTGAATGTAACTACTGGAATGATGACCTATCCTAAGGGTGCTACATCCCAGCCCAGCCCCTCAATAGACACAGAGATACCACCTTGAACAGTGACAGCAACAGAGCATTAATCCCTTCCTCATCAAACTTCTAACCTTATATATTGCATGTTTATGCTAAATGCTTGATATAGATATGTTCAAATAAAAAAAAAGGGATCTCCGTCAGATAGTTTCTTTTACTACAGTACTAGAAATTCAAGCCTCAACATTATTTCCCTTGTCAGGGCAATCTGATCATGAGCTGAAATTTAAGTATCTTTGACTATACTGCTTTGCCTTCTGACATTATTTGTATTCATTTATAGTCTAGATTTCTTATATTTGCATTTCTCTCCATCTTGGATGCTGTGATGAGCCGCCCAGGCCTCCTTTAGGGAATCTTTCAGCTTTTGGGAGAGCTGCCAACTGAAAGCTCTCAGGTGGCAGCCTGGTACAGGGATTGCCTTGGATGCAGAGATCTGCCTTGCTCAAGGTCACACCCCCTTAGTACTATTTCTTGTATCCAGTGATTGATCGATGGGGAAACATACAGGCTCACTGTCTCACTTGAACTCAGGATAACCTGAATGGTCATTACATTGTCAGAACTCCCAGTAAGACCCGCTGAGCCATGTGTTGAGACTACATCAGAACTCACTGTCTCCCTCTATCTAATCCTGCTTCCTTCCTTTCCCTTCCACAAAGCAGTCCCTACTAAACCTCCTGCTTGTTAATCTCAGAGCCCGATTCCCAAGGAGTTTGAAGCCCGAGACCCCTGATGTTAAACGACTTCATTACATTGCAATGTCCTCAGCCTCAGACAGGTTTTGGTGGAATCAGGGAGTCAGAATACATGGGCTGAAATGCCATGTCTACCATTTATCAGTTGTAAGATGTTGAACAGATCAGTTAACATCTCTAAGCCTCAGCTTCCTCACCTGGAAAACGGCACTAGTAAGCATGGGTTAAACAAGAAAAATAAATGTAAAACACTTAACATACTGACTGATACAGGGAAGCTCTCAATATATGAAAAATATTTTGGTTATCATCAGCGGAGGAAATATACCTCTTCTGATATATTGAACAAAAGAGTCAATGGAGATGATCTAATATGACTTCATTTCACAGATAAAAGAGGATTAAGTAATTTGCTAGACATGCATAGTTAGTTGGGGCAGAATTGAAACTAAAATGCAGATTTCTTGACTCTACTATGTTATGCTGACTTTATCTTAACCAAACATCTTGAGAGTATAAAAATGGTGCTAGATAGCAATAGTTGTATTTCATATATCTAGGCTTAAAAGTAGTTAGGTTTTGGGAGGGATTATAATCATCCTTAGGTTATGATTATGAGACTAGGATTCAATTAAGATTCTTTATTCAAAGGAACTTGTGTGAAAGTACTGGTATTTTTTAGTTGTCTTTGCTTCAGATCCCAATTGAAACCCTGTATCTACTAAAAATACAAAAAAATTAGCCAGGCATGGTGGCAGGCGCCTGTAATCCCAGCTACTTGGGAGGCTGAGGCAGGAGAATCACTTGAACCTGGGAGGCGGCGGTTGCAGTGAGCCAAGATCATGCTACTGCACTCCAGCCTGGGCGACAGTGTGAGACTCTGTCTCAAAAAAAAAAAAAAGAAAAAAAAGGGAAAGAGAGAAAGGAAAGGTCTGGGAACTTTTGGCTAAAAACAATCTTCTATATTTCCAAAGCATCTTCAGGACACAATTTAGATGTTCTAGGAACTTATGGCTCTTTTGAGCATCTTATTGTCATAAAAGAATCAAAGTCTTTCTGCTCCCCAAAGGTAAATTATCCTTTATTTTTTCCCTAAAAAAAAAAGAGAAAAAAAATCAGTTTTAAAAAGAAAAATACCAAAGACAGATAAAAATTACTTTATCTGGATTTTAAATTGTATAAGAAGTGACCATAATGTTCAATCTAAGGATTATTGGAGTCATAGATGACATAATAAAATTTAACATTTTTTTCTTGCTTTCTTCAGTCAATACTTAACCAATCAACAAATACTTATTGAACACCTACAGTAAACCCGGCAGCTTCTACCCTTCTTTATCTTCCAGAGGAGTAAAACAAATTTATTCCATTAAAATTTGAACTTTCACTCTCATATATTTACAGAAGACATTTAAAGTGTTAAGTTCAAGAAGCACTCATTACAGCATTTGCTTTGTATAAACTTGAAGAACCTGTACATCATCCAAACTCTCATCTCTCCATTAATACTGAGTCAAATAGCACTGCCTTGATACATAACAATAATTCAGAGATAACTGATAAGGTACTTACAGAAAATGACCAAGCATTTAATTGACTCCTTAATTCTTAAGGGTCATGCTATGTAAGGTAGAACATATATGTTCCAAATATGTTCAAACTTTATAATTCAATTAACAGTAAATATGATTCACATCAAAATGGTGTCATAGGTGAGTGGAATTTTGATGCTCTAATTTATGAACACAGAGCAAGAAATATTGACCCTGTGGCAAAGAATAAATATCAATAAAACAGCAGGTCTCTAATAAACAGATATAATTACCAGAATGATCTGCTTATTTACACATCAGGACTACTGTCTTCACATATCTTAACCTGCTACATAATTATCAAATAAAACAGTAATTCCGGAATAAGTAATATCAATCACACAGAGTACGGCATGGTTAAATATTTTCATCTTTGTGGGAAGACACGTGGATATAATATGTAACAAAAGGATCACTCTGAATCTTTAAACAGTGAACTAATACCAAACTGGCGTCTGAAAAACCAATCAGCTATCAAGAGGGCATTGCTATAGTGATTCTTACCTGTTTTTGACTGCAGTGAGAAAACACAAAACTGTCTATTTTAAGACATGATGCTTCTTCATCTTTAACTTTTAGTTTGGGGGTTGGGGGAGTTCCTTTTGTAAAATCAGAATTCCTTAAACGAGTGCATTTGGCACTGTGACAGGAGCTGCTTCTGCTTTTCAGGCAACTATCTCAGTATTCTTTTTCTTCCAGTGCTTTGATGGGCACACTAAGAACAGTTTCTTGCTGAGCTGTGCAGCTCCTACAGATGAGGACAGCAGGAGAGCAGGCAGATAGCCAAGGCAGAGAGAGAGAGGAGCGGAGATCATAGCCAAGGCTGCAGAAGGAGATCTGCTACACACTGGCAGAAAAAGAAAAAGGTCTGCTCTGAACCCTAAGGTGCTCCTTAAAGCCTGCTGGTTTGAGGATTCACCCTCAATTGACCTGGAATTGAGAAAAAGATGGGAAAGAGAATTATTGAGATGCTCGGTTTATGAGTCACCACCACTTTGCATCATAATAGGTTTGGTAAAGTCTCATTGGTAGAAATAGTATGCAGGTGTAGGGAGCGCCTTGGATTGATTGATAGGCCTCTTACTTGCTGTCATTCAGAAGACTCTTTAAGTTCCCTTATTGGATGAGATTTTGGTCAGTTTCACTTCAAGCCATTTTCTTTTAAAAACTCTTTATTGTCCTTTAGGATTAGTGCCACTGTCCTTCAGTCTGAGCAAGATGGAGCATTTCGGTGTCACTCACCAGTCAGCCAAATTGTGACAAAAGGCAGTCCCTTCCTGGCAGGATCTTGGGGAGGAGAGGAGGGGCCCCCTCAGCAGGGTCTCTCTTTGTAGCACTTAATGCTGTTGGTCCTGAAAAGAAAGAATGGGAAGGAGCAGGAAATTGGACTTAAGTCACCTCCAAATCAGTAGAGTTCAATCCTAGCTGATGTTTGTTTATAAAATAGCTCTCTAAGTAATTCACACCCTGTTTCCCATTTAACCTCTTGGACACATGGTGTTTGGCCTACCAAGGCGTTTTTTGGAATTGTTCATAAAAGTACTGAGTTTGACACCGAAAGAAAGGAATTTGGGGTCAGATTTACTATTTTAAACTTAGGCCTTTGGGATTTATAAAAGATGTTTCCGATATGCTAAAACAGTTGGAAGAGCTTTTGAAAACTGTGGTGTAAGCGAGAGGCTCCCTAATTTGTATTGCAGGTGAGGAAAACCAGGCCTAGGAGGTTGGCTGACTTTCTCTTGCACCTTCAGAACTCAAGCGATAACATCTTGCAGTCTCTATGGCACAGAACTACTGAAGGCGAAAGCAAATTCCTTCAAGCTCCCCAGACTACTTCCAAGTTGAACTTGCTCTTGAGGAGGGGATCCTGTGTCTCCTGTCCCAGCTGAGGGTGTTTCAATCTTTGCCAGATAAAAAGAGACATTCAAGGTCATTAGCCCAATTTTCCTCTAGGGTGGAGCTGGGATTGGCAGCTGAGTTTTTCTGATGACCCAGAAATTACATGTATTCATTTCTTTCTTTTTAGATAAAAGTATTTCTATTCCAGTTTTTCTATGGCTCTTTCTTAAGAGAAGGGGGGGGGAAAGTCCCACATTTTAGCTAGCAGATTCTTCTTTTTCTATGCAGTCTTTTATAATCCATCTTGATTCTCAACCCATTCCTTACCCCTGCTTTTTTTTTTTTTTAATACTTTGTGTCTTTTAATCACCTGCAGGATCTGACTCAGTGTCCTTCCCTCTGAATCACAGGCTGCTCTTCCTTCAACTGTGTCTCCCAGGAGGAGAGGGAGGGCTAAAAGTCTTTTCTCCTATGTTGGCTTCTGTACCAACAATACAGCTTCCTTCTCTCCCAGACCTCTTTTGGGCTGTTATTCATTTCTGAGGTTGATTTTTTAAAATATTTCTATGTAAAAACAGAAAAATCTGTTAAGTCATATCATTATTAAAACAGTCAAGAAATTGTCTCATATATATGTGTACACAAATGTCAAAAAATATGTGTATAAGACCAAGCATGGTGGCTCACACCTGTAATCCCAGCATTTTGGGAGGTCAAGGTCAGTGGATCACTTGAGCCCAGGAGTTCAAGACTAGCTTGGGCAACATGGTGAAACCCCTATCTCTACAAAAAATGCAAAAATTAGCCAGGCATGGTGGCATGAGCCGAGAGTCCCAGCTACTCAGGAGGCTGAGGTGGGAGGATCCCTTAAGCCTGGGAGGTTGCGACTGGGCAACAGAGAGAGACCCTGTCTCAAAAATAAATAAATAACCCAGAAATATGTACATAAATGTGTATATCTGCCCTAATGTATACCAAAATCATGAAAAATAATTTTTTAGCTGTTTTTTTAAGTGCAATAAAGACAAGCCAAAATGAAAGAGAAAAAACAAAGAGCATTTAATAGATGCTTTTTAATAGTTTTTTTTGGGGAGATGTGGGCAATTATATGATAAGATATTTTCTATGCGGATCATATATCACAAACGTTCTTTATTACTACACTTCACATGAGACATTGGTACAATAAAGGTAATATAGATCTCCAGTTACAAAGAAAAAAGTAAACAACAGTCTCTCATGCATGACAAAAGTCATTTAAATGTGAAAATATCAATGGAAGTGTTAGGACCAAAACTGGTCTCATTTTAGACTGTGGTTATGATTTGACTACAGGCCTTACAATTATGGGCGGATTTCTTTTGGAAAAGAAACTTTCTGTTTCAGTTCCAAGTTTTATTCTTTTAAGAATTATTTTTTCTCTTTTCCATTCCACAATCAGATAGACACAGTTTTGCCAAATGTCTGAAGGTTTATATAGAACGATGAGTTTGACAAACTGTAGTCTCCTTTAAGTTGGCATTTCTAGCTTCTCTAACAGTGCTAGGTGCTGGGTTATATTTAGAATGCTATGCTGCTTTTTGGTTTTTCACAAAATACTCATTTGATAAGAAATGTCCAATTGGAAACAGCTGTCACAATTAAAATATAACTTCCTTCTTATATTACTGCCGACCTTTTTGATTTCTACATTTATCCATGAATCTCAGTATATGAAATTTCAGTAGTAGAAATTTAAATCACAACCCTGGCTTCCCCTTGCTGCAAAGTATCAGCATCTGTCCGAATTCTGAAAATGTTTATGTTAATATTTTCTTGCTCCTCCCTCAGCATATCTTAAACAAGTATAGCACCAATACTGTGAAAGGAAAAGAAGGTATATTTTGAAAAACACCAAAGGAATGATTGTGAGAGGGGAGCAGTACTTATATTGCATTATGTAAGGCAATAAGTACCATATTGCTACAGCCTACAATATTACACAAGAAAATTTACAGTAGAGGCACAGACTTATTGTTTCTGAAGACTATATTATAAGTCCTCAGATTCTTTTTTATGTATCATGATAATACTCAAAACAAGCTCAAGAAAATAGGAATGGCAGAGGTTTTTATGTTCTAAGGCCACATCCATCAAACTCCATCAGATTCCAGTATAACAATTCTGTCCTCAATGGCTTTTCATTTGCTCATTCATTTATGTTGTAAATAATTCTTGATTGCAGATTATGTATTAGGACTACACTACATGTGAGAAATTTGATCCAGAGTTCCTGCTGTTAAAGAGCTTATAGAAAGACAGAGGAGATATTTGTTAATCAAATAGTCATATGTACAAGCACAACCTGAACAAATGCTAATCTCGACTTAAAGAAATGGGGTAATAGGATGAGGACGAGTTCCTTGAAGAAATAAGAGTGGAGGTATAATCTAAAGATGGGTAAGAGTTAAGGAGGTAATGGGACCGTGACTAGCTGTCCAGAAAGAAGAAATAATGTGTGCAATGGCCTTTTGGTGAGAGGAAGCATGCCACATGCAACATAAGAAAGCTGGGACATGTAGAGGAAGAGATGGTCTAAATGAAGCCTGAGAGTTAAACAAGAACTGTGCATATCAGTGAAATCACTGTGGTGTGTAGGATGAATAGAGAAGGGCAAGACTAGAGTGGAACTAGGAGAGTGACAGTAGAGGTTGGGCAGACATAAGGGGTACATAAGAGGCAAAACTGCCTATATTTGGTGGATGGGGAAAAGGGACGAACCATGATTCTAGGTGTAAGTACTTAGATGCTCGGAAGATGTTGAAGTATAGAGTATGTGTAAAAAATCCAATTTAGGAAGTTAACAATGATGACTTCAATTCTGGAAATGTGTGAGAAATGGTTAATAGGCTTTATGATAATGACTCTAAACATCTGGAGAGACAGTGCTATAAATATACATTGGGGAATTTTAACATGTAAGTGGTGTTTGAAAGATGGAAGGATGAGTGAGATTTTCTAGTGAGAGTATGTCCAATACTAATAGTAGTGGGCCAAGGGCATAATCCTGATGAATATCAACATTTAAGGAGCAGGAAGAGAAACAAGAATACATGAGGAGACCTGAACAGTTTGATTTGTAAGAGAAGAACTGGTTAAGGAGGGTGGTGAAGAAAGTCATGGGGGTGAGGTAACAACACTGTTAAATGCAGCAGAGCTGTACTTTAAGACCAGTGAATTAGGGAATTGGCATTCAGGAGATCAGTAGTATCCAGATTGAAAGAAGTTGAGTGATGAAGACACAAGAAGTCAGATCACACTAGACTGGGAGGCAAATGGGAGCTGAGAGGTAGAGAAGACTGGAGATGCGAAAGATCAGAGGGAGTGTGATACAGGATCAAGGGAGGATTTGATAATGATGTATTTACACGTTGGGAAGGGGCCAGTGGAAATAAAAAGGTTGAAGTTATAGGAGGGAGGGATGATAACAAGGACCTAGAACAACCCTGTTGGGCTGATTTTAAGTAGGACTGAGGACATCTATTCTTTGGGGGCGGAGGAAAGTAGTTAGACACACAGATTATAGATAGTTTACTTATCCCTTTTCACTAGGGGTTTCTTCCATTAGGCAGTGTTTTCTGCAAGGGAGGACAAGTAGACTTAATAATATGCTATAATAAATCTATAATACAAGACTAGAGGGAAGAAAGAATGGCAACGTGGTATCATTGAAAGAATGTAGTTGTGGTATACATAGTTCACATCTAGCATCCACTATTTTTTATCGTTGTAAGAATAAACACACACACACACACACATGCACACACGCATATTTTTAACTTTGTAGAGCCTTTGCATCCTGTGTTATTATCCCATGGGATAATGATGCCGTCCTCACAATTTTGTATCTTGGGTTAATCAAGATAGCATATATGTTCATTATCTCAGACAATAGCCAATCAGGAAAACAGAAGCCATTCTGAATATTTCAAACACAAATACATTAAAATAGGAAATTGGTTACACACGTGATAGGATAATTGAGAAGCCCAAAGGGATAATGAGGCAATGTAGAGATTAGACATAGGTGCTAGGCATCACCACCCTTATTCCTGGAAGAGCAAAAGGAGTAAGTGGCTTTACTGAAGCTTACATTCAAGGGCAACTTGAAAAAAAAGTGGAACCAGGGAAGATCTGCTCAGCAGTAGCTGGGTCTCTGACAGAGAGAGAATGGCTCATGAAACCAGGAGCCACAGAGGAGACTCAGATGCTGCCAGGAATGCCAAGGAAAGGAGACTAGGCTCCCCAAAATGCCTCTCACTGGCCAAACCTACAGGAAAGTGAGAGGAAAATGTCTTGGAAATGTAGTCCCACAAGAAACAACACAGCAGAATAAAGGCAGAGAAAGGATCAGAGCAAAATAGGCAAAGGACAAATCACAGGCATGTGAATTGATCTAACACCATATCTGCCACAGAGTAAACACTTAATAAATGTGACATTCCTCAGTTACATCAATCTGTTTTAATGAATGCAGATGGCACCAGTTAGTTGAAAAGCAGGGTAAAATGAAAAGTCAAAGATTTTTGTTAGAGTAGCTACTCATAACAACTGAGCTGACCTTTGGTCCTGCTTATACAACATAGCTAAGTTAGCCTTTAGTTATTGAAATATTTTCAAGACTTACTCCATCACAGAATTGCAAATATGTTGTGGGGAAACTTTCTAAGGCTTGAGAAATATATTAATCAGCTTCTAAATTTCAAAAAAACCACTGGCACTGCCCAACTACTCATGTTTTGTGGCTAGGAAATGGATGCCTTGTATTCCACTCTTTAGCTCCAGTACCTCATAGCTACTAATAAAATATCATCACTACCAGCGCAACAGGATGTACTGCTCAGAGGATCTTGTCTTTGAAGTAAAATGAAACCCTAAAGCTTTCATTTGGCTAATGAAAACCTCAGCCAGAAACTTTCCTCATTTCTGATCACATATGGAGTCTTCTGAGCTCATTTTGGCTTGGGACACCAGATGCTGGCCCTGCACGTGGTATTCTCATCCAAATTTGGAGCAGGTGCTAATTATCAGAACAGGAAACAGATACTCAATCCCAAGAAAATTCCTCCCTTGGTTATATAAGGAGGGCAGTTCAGTGCTAAATTATAAAGGATCCCTATTAGCTTACTACCCAAATTTTCAGTGCATACACATTTTTGTTTTCTTCTTGGCCTATGATTTCTTGGAAACTTGGGTATAAACATTCAGATATCACATAAAAAGCCTTTATATAAATATGAATGTGATTTTCCCTAAATCTAAAGGTGGTTTTCATTAAAAAGCAACATTAGACCCACCTTAATAGCCAGTAGAGTATGAAAAAAAATTACTCCAAATAGATCTGAGAAAATGGGCACCAACATAGATGTTTCTGTGTGGGAGCCTCTGGCCTTCCTCCCTTTTCCAAATATACAGCACTGAGTGGTGGCTGTCAGGGTCAGGAGAGGAGGAAGTTCTCAGATGCCAGTGCAAAGCAATAATCTTCAAGTGGATGCCATGCCAACAGGGATATGGTGTTAGTTACAAGGAAGTCAGGAGGCCGAGACTGAGAGTCAAGGAAAGTTAAAAACAAAATCAGTAAGAGGGGAAGGGTCACAGAGGGAAGCAAAGATGACAGTCAGAAGGAAAACATCTGCAGACATTGCAAGAGCTAACAGGAAGGGGAGGGGAATTGGGAAGAACACATTTTTTTCTTCCCTTTCTCTTACACATGGCACGGTTTTGATATCCTCCCATTTTTTTCACAATATTCACAACTCCAGACTACTAATGTGTGGTGATGAGTTACTCTTTCTAAATTGAAGATCACTAAGCAAATGTTACCACTCGCTTACTCCTCCAGTGCTGTGCCCTTGTTTCTTTTACCAGAAGCCCAGCCCCCGTCAAAAAGTTCAGCTGGTGTTTGGACCTCATGTGCCTGGAATATTAGGGAACACACTCTAGCCCACATCTTGCTGCATTACCCTGAGATGATGCTATTTTTTATTATTTCACTCAATAGGATTTGTGTTTCCTTGTTTCTGATAGTATTTGGAGAGTGAATCCAAGAAATGTTTTGTTGTTTTTTAAAAGTCCTTTTTTTTGTCCTTACAAGCAGAGAAATGACTTACTTATACTCTTCATTTCATAGCACATTGTCAACATAAGTCCTCTCTCTTTTTTTATTATCTATTAGTTATTCTGTTTTTTTCTCCATCATCTATTTCCACTTTTATCCAACTCTCTTCCCACAGGTACTCGCACTAATGTGATTCGAGTCTTTCAACTTGAATGCATCTTTACAAAATAGTGTCATTTGGCCATTCAAAAATATAAATGGGCTGGGTGCGGTGGCTTACGCCTGTAATCCCAGCACTTTGGGAAGTCGAGGTGGGTGGATCACTTGAGGTCAGGAGTTCAAGACCAGCCTGACCAACATGGTGAAACCTCGTCTCTACTAAAAATACAAAAATTAGCTGGGTGTGGTGGTGTGCGCCTGTAATTCCAGCTACTCGGGAGGCTGAGGCAGGAGAATTGCTCGAACCTGGGAGGCAGAGGTTGCAGTGAGCCAAGATTATACATATCTATGTCTATATTTTATATATATATAGATATCTAGCTAAATATATATTATGATACCTAATAATATATGATACCTAATATCTTCCTATGCAGAAACACCTGGATGACTGTTTTAATCCCTCTTACAACACAGGGCATATATATTGTATATATAGATAGGTATCTATCTCTCTATATGTATGGTGTGTGTGTATATATATATCTCTAGCATATATATATATAGCATGTATATATATATGGTATTGCCCTGTAAACTTTATTCTGCTTCTTTTTTTTCATTCTATACTATATTTGTAAGTTCTGTGCATTTTGCTATATGTATATTTATGTATCTACAAAATTCATCTACCACATTTTAGTTAGCCCTCTAACCTTTCTTTTACTGATAGATTTCAAGGCTGTGTCAAACCTTCTTCTTCTGTAAAAACAGGCATGATGAACAATCTCAAACATGTTCCCTTAGGGATCAATGTGAGAAATCCTCTGGGATACATCCCCAGGAGAAAGATGGATGAGATGCTGGCTATACTCACACATTATTCTTCTCACTACTATCAGATGGTAAAGCAAATATTTTAAAGTTCTGGTTTCTATTTGACCTCCTAACTACACAAAAATCTCGAATCAATGCTCCTTGGTTTCATCTCTCACTGTTCCAAAATTTCCTGTATAAATTTGTTTCTTCCTACTTGTCATCTTTTATAGAACCACATTATGACCTGCAGACATTTTGCTGCATCAAAAATAAGACTGGGTTTACTTTTAAAATGGTGAGCTACATTTATTAGAATTGATACGGATTGAGATGCTGCAATATGATTTTTTAAAGTCATTTCTTGATCATTAAACACTTTAATTTGCTGCATTTCAAATCATACTATCTGTCCCAGGTTAGATGTAGTTCATGCTGAGAAATGTGGGTAAAGAATTCAAGTCCATTTTAAAATTCTCCAATTCTGCAGGAAACCCTGCAATGATTCTTGTATCACGAACAGTTATACCTCTTAGCACGATTAGATAAAAGCTATGAAATATGATTCTTTCACAGACAGTTTTGGTAAGACACTTTATAAAATTTCCACAACTCTTTCCCTTTAATAGTCAAAATGTTGGCAAAGTTTAATGGCAAGTATAAATCCTGATTTATAAATCCTGAGTAGAAAGACCCCAAACCGTAGGCTAAGCTTGTTTTTTCCTCTCAACTCCCTGATTGCTTCTTCTAAGCCATCTTTGCTGGCTTCACCTACTGGCCTCCTGGGACCTTCTCTTCTTTTATACCCTCATCTTCAGCTTAATGTGGCCTTCTTAGAGAGAGTTTCTCTACCCAACCAATATAAAGTAGTCATATAGCCCGTCTCTCTTTCTTTCTCCCTCTTCTTCCCTACTCCCAGCTGTATAGAACATATTATGACACCCCTGTCCATAGAACACAGGTTTCCCAAAAGTAAGGCCTTCATCTGCCTTGTTGACCTCTGTGTCTCCTGTGTCTAAAACAAAATACTTACTGAGAGAATGACCAATGGTAAGGCACCTTTAGTGTTATGTGCTCCAGGCAGGGTTTTCATACATGGACCACAGAAAAAATGGCATCTGAATCCCACCATCAACCATAACCCCATCTTCTCACAATACTCTCAAGAGAAGAATTCTTGAAAATGTCAATGGCACAGGAACCATACAAGCACTTTGTTGTCATCTGGACTTGTGTCCAAATCTGAATGCAAAGTTCTACCTTCAAGTCCTGAGGAGACTCTATTAAATCCTAGCCTAAATCTTAGAGGGTTTTCATATTCTGGCTGGCTTTATAGAATCTTGGGACACTAAAAAGAAGACAGAATCAATATTTAAGATGTAAGCGATAAAGAGGTAAAATAACTATGACTACCTCCTTATGCTGCAGCCTTACAAAGCAGTGAGAGAGGAGAACAAGTCACATCCTTGTGTGGCATTTCAGTGCATTCAGAACCCTCTCATGAATAACTATGGCCATACAGTCCTGGAATAAGACCAATCCATTTATTTTTTATTCTTGTTGAAGAGGTATATATTAGTCTGTTTTCACACTTGCTATAAAGAACTACCTGAGACTGGGTAATTTATGAGGAAAAGAGGTTTAATTGACTTAACACTTCTTTAGGCTGTACAGTAAACGTGGTTGGGGAGGCCTCGGGAAACTTACAATCGTGGCGAAAGGGTGAAGGGGAAGCAAGCCTCTTATTCACATGGCAGAGCAGGAGAGAAAGAACAAAGGGAGAAGTGCCACACACTTTTAAACCATCAGATCTCAAGAGAACTCACTCATTATCATAAGAACAGCAAGGGGGAAATCCACCCCATGATCCAATCATCTCCCACCAAATCCCTTCCCCTACATTGGGAACTGCAATTCAAAATGAGATTTGGGCGGGGACACAGAGTCAAACCATATCATTCCACCCCTGGCCACTCCCAAATCTTATTTCCTTCTCACATTTCAAAACACAATTATGCCTTCCCAACAGTCCCCCACAGTCTTATCTCCCAGCATTAACTCAAAAGTCCCAAGTCCAAAGTCTCATCTGAGACAAGACAAGTCCCTTCCACTTATGAGCCTGTAAAATCAAAAACAATTTAGTTATTTCCAAGATACAATGGGGGTACAGGCATTGGGTAAATGCCCCCATTCCAAAATGGAGAAATTGGCCAATACAAAGGGGTTACAGGCCCCATGCAAGTCTGAAACTCAGCAGGGCGCTCATTAAATTTCAAAGGTTCCAAATATTATCCTTTAACTCCATGTCTCACAACCAGGGCACACTCCAAAGGCCTTGAGCAGCTCCACCCCTGTGGCTCTGAAAGGTACAGTCCCCACTCCAACCCACAGCTGCTTTCATAAGCTAGTGTTTAATGCCTGTGGCTTTTCCAGGTGCACAGTGCAAGATGTCAGTGGATCTACCATTCTGTGGTCTGGAAGATGATGGCCATCTTCTCACAGCTCCACTAGGCAGTGCCTTAATGGGGACACTGTGTGGTTGCTCCAACCCCACAATTCCCCTCTGTACTGCCCTAGTGGAGATTCTCCATGAGTGCTTCACCCCTGCAGTAGACTTCTGCCTGGACATCCAGGCATTTTCATACATCCTCTGAAATCTAGGTAGAGGCTTCCAAGCCTAAACGCTTGCCTTCTGTGCACCCACAGGCCTAACACCACATGGAAGTTGCCAGAGCTTGGGGCTTACAACCTCTGAAGTAATGGCCTGAGCTATACCTTGCCCCCTTTTAGCCATGCTGGAGCTGGAGCAGCTGTTATGCAGGGCTCCATATCCTGAGACTACATAGAGCAGCAGGGCCCTGGACCTGGCCCATGAAACAATTTTTTCTTCTTTGGCCTCCTCTGTCATAAAAGGGGTTGCCACACAGGTCTCTGAAATGCCTTTGAGGCATTTTCCCCATTGTCTTGGATATTATCATTCACCTCCTCTTTACTTATGCAAATGTCTGCAGCTGCTTGAATTTCTGCCCAGAAAATGGGTTTTTCTTTTCTACCAAATGGTAAGCCTGCAAATTTTCCAAACTTTTATGTTCTGCTTCCCTTTTAAAGTTCTAGATTCAAGTTATTTCTTTGCTTATGCAAATGAGAATAGGCTTTTAGAAGCAGCCAGGGCACTTCTTGAATGCTTTGCTGCTTAGAGATTTCTTCCGCCAATACCCTAAATCATCTCTCTGGAGTTAAAAGTTCCACAGATCTCTAGAGCAGGGGCACAATGCTGCCAGTCTCTTTGCTAAAGCATAGCAAGAGTGGCCTTTACTCTAGTTCTCAGTAAGTTCCTCATCTCCATCTGAGGCTACTGCAGTGGCGACTTCACTGTCCATACCACTATCAGCATTTTGGTCACAACCACTCAGCAAGTCTCTAGGAAGTTCCAAACTTTCCCTCATCTTCCTGTCTTCTTCTGAGTCCTCCAAACTGTTCCAACTCTGCCCATTACCAAAGTTGCTTCCACATTTTCAGGCATCTTTATAACAATACCCCACTTCTCTGGTACCAATTTTCAGTATTAGTTTATTCTCATATTGCTAGAAAGAACTACATGGCATTGGTTAATTTATGAAGAAAAGAGGTTTAATTGACTCACAGTTCCACAGGCTGTACAGGAAGCATGATTGGGGAGGCCTCAAGAAATTTACAATTGTGATGGAAGGGCAAAGGAGAAGCAAGCACATTCTTCACATGGTGGCGCAGGAGAAAAAGAGAATGAAGGGGGAAGTGCTGCATACTTTTTTTTTTTTTTTTTTTTTTTTTTTTTTTTTGAGACGGAGTCTCGCTCTGTCGCCCAGGCTGGAGTGCAGTGGCGGGATCTCGGCTCACTGCAAGCTCCGCCTCCCGGGTTCACGCCATTCTCCTGCCTCAGCCTCCCAAGTAGCTGGGACTACAGGCGCCCGCCACTACGCCCGGCTAATTTTTTTGTATTTTTAGTAGAGACGGGGTTTCACCGTTTTAGCCGGGATGGCCTCGATCTCCTGACCTCGTGATCCGCCCGCCTCGGCCTCCCAAAGTGCTGGGATTACAGGCGTGAGCCACCGCGCCCGGCCGCTGCATACTTTTAAACCATCAGTTCTTGTGAGAACAAACTCACTGTCATAAGAACAGCAAAGGGAACATCTACCTCCATGATCCAATCACCTCTCACCAGGGCCCTCCTGCAACATTGGGAATTACCATTCAATATGAGATTTATGTGGGGACACAGAGCCAAATCATGAAAGTGTAGAGCAGGTGACCACATGGGCCTCCTTCCCATAAGCTTCCATTTAATCCCCCCCCCAACTTTTACTGAATTCTGGTCACTGCCTGGACTACAGCTGTCACTTTGAACTTTTGAGGAGGAAAGGGAGGGACATTTTTTTAAAAGCACTCTGCAGTACTCAAAGCACTTTGGCCATAAAATTATCTCTTTTGTGTTTTACTAGGGTTTTATCTCGTGAGATAGACAAGATAATGCTTATTCTCATCTTAAGAGTTAAGAAACTCTCGGTCCCAAACTCAGAAAGTTTTGCTACAGCCATTGGAAAAATGCAGTAAAGTTCTGTGTCCTCTTCTTTTTTCCTAATTATACCTCACATACAGCAAGTAGCTAGGATTGGGCTCTGTATAAGTAAGGGTATTATATTTGATGTATCCATTTCTATGGTTGATTTTAGTAATTACTTAGGGTTTAGTTATTTTGACTGTCAACAGACAGTTCTAAAAAGCCCAAAGGCATATTTGGTATCATTTCTATCACCTTTCTGCTTTATCACGGATGAGAGTTAACTTAGAAGTTTCAGAAAAAAAAACTAAAAATAAAATTATACTTTTCAGCTGGATAATAGAGGAGAATGTGTAGGAGTTTACAATCTATGTATGCATGGTTGACAATTTTAGACTTTCCATTTTCCTATATTCATGAAGAAAAGATGAAAGGTCATTCAGAAATCTAGTCTACAATTTGCTCAGAAAAAACGCAACTTCTTTAAAGTAACGAAAGCAACTCTCAATCTTCTAAGAGAAGGAATTTGGTGCTCACAATTCTGCAGATGGAGGTCCTTAAAACAAAAAAATTTTTGTCTCCTTAGCATGTATCCTAAATAGCTTTTACTGAGATATGCATTAAGTTGCTCACTTTTAATTGTAGTTTGCATTTATACTGGTCTATGCCACATTTCTTGGCTCAAGCTGAAGCTAAGGCAATAGGGAATGTGTTTTATCCCTGAAGGATATTACTGTGTGAGACACCCTATAAAAGTTGAATTTATTTAATACTTGCAGCAAGTCAACACTTTAATGATTAATATGGCTATGGACCACAGCCTTTTTATATACTATTTCTAGTCAGTGTTTGAAGATCTCAATAAATCATCTGGTTTCAGTGAATTTGGGGCTCTGCCTAAGAAATTTTGATCCAGTTTATTGGGCCACACACAACAGATTTGCCATAAATAGTAATGTTTTATTCATGGCTTTCCCCACTCAACTTAATAAAACACAAAAACAAATGATGGAATAAACATGGAAGAATAATAGTAAAAACTGAGTAAATTCTTACTATCCCAGCTAAAATAGTAATACAGAGTTACTATATTTCAAATTGGCTTATTGGTGTGAATGTGTGTGTGTGCATGTGTGTGTGTGGTGTATGGTATTTGTTTTCTCTGACACTCAACAGTTCAATCTTATTACATACAAATAGATCTCATGTATTGCTGTTTATCTTTTAAGTCTTCTCTTATTGATCAATCTGCTTAATTTGTGATTTTGTTGAAAGCAGTTAGCAAGTAAATATTTGATGGGGGCACTCACTTAATGGTTCTATAACTTTATAAACTACAGTCACTGGTCTACCTTCAACCAAGGATGCTTCTTGTTGTATAGTTAGCATCCTTTTGGCTATACATAAAAATTAGAGAAAGACACAAATAAAATAGTTCATGGAGAGGAGAAGCAGATGCATGAAATCAACCTTATTTCCACTGTTCTATTTACTATTACAGTGTGAGAAAACTGCATATCAGAAAGAAGTGTCCAGGAAATAAAATCAGATATGATGTCTCTATTCTAAAGAAAGGGTGTGAAAGTTCTTTTCACCTGATTATTTGCATTGGTGCAAAAGATAAGCACTGTAGACTGAGAAGGGAAACTCAATGTCTAATAGTTTTTTTTTCTTAATTTTGATCTGTAGTTCATAAAATAAGTGAATATCATATTTTATGGTGCCTAGCAGAAGCTAATATATGGAAAGATTCCACAATTTTTACTAAGTGTGGATGTGTGGCTTTATTATTATTTATTATCAACTTGTGACTATCAGATCTCTTAGCAGTTTATCACCCATACTGTTTACCTGAAAAAGTGTGATTGATCTTTGGTATTAGTTACAAAAGGAAGGGTCGTAGGGTTTTTCAAATCACTATTACTCAGTGAGAGGTCTCCAGTCTGGTTGGGCGTCTCTTCCATGTAGACCTCCCTTCCCTCTGCAAGTTCTCTGTACATGCACACAGTGGGCACACAGTATACAATGCGTACTGCTCTAAGAGTTTTACTTGGCTTTTGGCCACCATAGGACTCAGGGAAACTGATCAACAGGAGAATATATCTCATCTGAAGCAAGGATAGGACTTACATTTGCACACAACATCTCTTGGTCACCTCCTACAAGTGAAAATATTTGGGAAGGAAAATAAAAACCAACATCAACTCATTAAATCCTCCCACAGGTCTATGAGGTAGAAAGGATAGATTGCTATTACATTTCGCAGGTAAAAAAACTGAGGTTAAAAGAAATTAAGTAATTATTCAAAGTCACCATATAGTCAATTTATTAGTTAGGCTTCCTGCAAGATAGGGGTCGCACGCACACAAACTGGGTGATTGGGGAGAGTTTGATAAAGGGGCTATTTACAAGGTTGTGGGAAAGATTTAGGAAAAATAACAAGGAAGTGCACTATATACTGAGGCTCAGAACCATTTCTGTCTCTCAACCTGAAAGGGTGAGGGGGAGAGAACAGTTCCTAAACCCCATGAGTGGGCCATCTAATAGGCCATGTGGCCTTCAGTAAAAGGCCACAGCTAATTTATAGTGATCTGAACAGGAAGAAGGTAAAGGAACAAACACCCTGGCCCCACTTTCCTCCTGCTCTTCAATATCTGCTGCCTTCTGTTGGCTAAAGTCAGAGGAAAATAAACGAGTCTAAAGATGCAGCCCATCTAAATCAGCTTCCTGAGACACAGAGCACCTATTAGGGAGCAGAGCTGGAATTCAGCTCTTTCCATTATATGTTACTGTCTCAACACAAGTTCTAGTCTCTGTGGACCAGTTACAATTTTATATTTCCCTTAAGGCAAGTAGACGGATCTATCACATTTAGTTCCCTCCTTAAACAAAGGATTATCAGTTGATTTTCAGGCTACAAATGAAAATAGCAATGATCATGATTAATATCTCTGAAGACAATAAAAATAGCTTTGCTTCTAGATGGACAAAAGTAATTGTTTCTTCTTTCTAACAGGAAGTATATGGCAGAGAGTGATTGGTCAGTGATTTATTTAGAAATTACTTACTAGGCACTTATTTTAGACCCAATGCTGCATTACATCTTTCAGGGAATGCAATGTAAAAACCCAGCCCTTGAGAAGCTTAAAGTTAAAATCACACATACTATTGTCATGAAAGCTATAAAAGCAACTCTGTTTTCTATTTGATTTGTATCTACAATAGTTGTATCAGGGTATGTTAAGTCTTGTGCTAAAAACAATTGTTCTGTGGCCTTGTAAACTTGGGGAAAATGGAAATTAAACAGTTTATTTGCCACAGGCCTTTTCAGGGCCTTAATTATGCTAATACGCTTTGCAAATCTTCAAAAGTATGTAGTATTTTAAAAATTTATTTCCCAAACACTTTCTCTCCAGATGTGAAGTCCTTGAAGACTAGGTTCTCCCCCTCAAAAAAGTTTTTAATTTCTATGACCTCATGACAACTTATTATTCTAAATTTTGGGTAGATCTTCTAGTCACAGAAACTTCTGATATTTTAGCTTTAGGTTATGTGTCCTCCAAGTTCTCTATCAGGTCATTTTGAACAAAACATAAAAGCTTAAATACAACAGAAGAAGTGTCATTTAAAGCGAGAATTTTAACTTCTAAATGTAGATAATTATCCTTTGACTTATGGCCTATAAACCTAAATTTTTATTTCCCAAATTTCTTAAAGTAGAAAACATCTGTATTTAATTTTAAGAGTTCAAGGAATCATGTTACTTTTATTATGTTCAAATTTCTTTATAAAAACTAAGTGATTAGTAGTAAATGAGTGCAATCGTTCTATAGTCATAAACATACAACTGCACATACACGAACACACACACACGTAATTTTTAGGATGAAACCTGTTAATACTTTTCACTAGATTATGGATTTTTTTTTCTTTTCCTCTTTTCTTGACTTTCTTCTGGTTTTGCTCTGCAACTCCCTGAGGCTGATACAGCTCTAGGCTAAGCAGCCCTGAGCATGGGGCTCTAATAGCACATACATTGCCCCAAAATCACAAAACCACATGGACAGCTTTACTAAAAGTTAATGGAAAGAAGAGTCAGAATCTGTTACTGTGAAGCCTTAGCCATTCATTAACTGAAAGCAACTTTGTTAAGTTCTTTTTAAAAATCAATGGATGTGAGATGGTCTGAGGTGCTGAAATAAGACTGGACTTCAGGGTAAGGAGAGAGTGTAGTCTCAAATCTGCCCCAGATTAGTTGCACAGCTTTAGGGAAGTCACTTTACAAGGCTGGGCAGAGACAAGAGGGCATGCTGGGCAGCCCTTTCAAATCAATCCTCTAGAAATCTCTGTTTCCATTTATTAAGAGGAGCAATTGAGTTCTGTTCATGGGTAACTCAAGAAGAGAAGGAGAATCACTGTTGTGACTGCCCAGCTTGCAGATCTGCCAGTGTTCTTTGAAATAAGGAGACTAGTCTCCATAATGGAAAGTTTAGAGGTCCTGAGTAGTTACTAACACCACTTGGTGGTCTTAATCTTTTCCTTTCCCCACTCCTAAACATTCCAGGCAATTCAGTGTTAAAATATTTTTTTATACATCCCTACTACAACCCCAAGAAAAGTTTTCATAGAATTTCTTTCATTTGTTAAGATTTTCAATAATATTTTAGCACCCACATAACTTCTTAGCATCTTTTATGGATTAATGCTTCCAGATAATTGATTGGTTGGTGAGAATTTACTCAATTTTTCCAATTAAGGCCAATTTTCTTATCTTTCAGATATAACAGTTGGATGAGATCAATAGTTACTAAATCTAAAAATCAGAATAATCTAAGGAGACATTTAAAAAATATAGATTCTCTGCTTTCATTCTAGACAAACCAAATCAGAAGATTTCAGAAGTATATATATATCCACATATATATACATAAACATATATAAAATTCATCCTTTAAATGCCACTTCTGTTGTGTTTAAGCTTTTATATTTTGTTCAAAATGACCTGATAGAGAACCTGGAGGACACATAACCAGGTAATTTGTGATGGCTTCTTAGATCTAAAGACTGAGATCCAGAAGTGAATGACTTCGAATTGACTAGATACTGAATAAATGCATTATTATGTTGCACAAGGAGATTTTATTCTTCAATAGAAACTTCATTACTGCTTTAAGGAATTCACAGCAGTCATCATTACCCTTCTTTTACACAGGAGGACTCAGAAAGCTAGAGAAGGTAAGGAACTTGTGAAAGGTCATTAGCATTGGATGAGGATGCAGAGCTCCTGATTTCTAGTGCAATGATCTTTAAATTATAACAGTTCTTATCAGTGAAACAATACTGAAGAAGGGGGGCTTTAAATGTCAGTATCAACTCATTAATATTTTTCCCTTCCGTCGATTCTTGGCCAAGAGAAAGAAATGACTTCTTCTGGGTATGCTGTGGTTTTCTTCTTTAAATGAGCCCATTAAAATTGTCCTCTCCTCCATCTGCCTAACTAGTCTCTCTCTTGGTTCTCAGTTGATGAAATAACATGCACTACTTAAGATTCATATTTCCTTTCTAACTATGACTTGAAGGAGCGGGATTAACTTTCTCAGCTTCTTCCCCAGCAGTAAACTCTAATTGGCTGACAGCTTGCTCAGACAAACACACAGCCCCTGAGGGCTTTTATGGTAAAAGAAAAGAAAACATGGGCACAGATCCACCCTTTCTCAATGCATTTCTCCCACAAACTATAAAAATAGGACTGCCTCAAGAAACTGAAACAAAGATGTTAGCTACTGGCCAATAAAATTTGAAAATGACCCAATATCATTTCTTTTTCTTGGAATGTTCTTTCTATTGTCCCATATAAGAATATATTTTCAACTTTGTAAATTCCAGTGCATGACCATATATATAATGCCCTGATGAATTACCCCAGCCAGAAACCTACAACTATCTCAAAACTGACCTCTCATATCCTGCCTATGGGTTTGCCTTTACCCTGCCAGTGTCTGTTGGAGACATTGCTAATCCTCTTCTCAACTTCCACTATGTTCCACTTATACCACGTAGCGACAATGGATTTTGACAAGAATTGACCCAATCCACTAATGCAGTCTCATGTGCATGGATGTTGATTGATTCAGGTAACTCAAGCTTGAGCAACTGTGGCATGACTTTCCCTAGCATACAAGAATAGGATAGAGTGGTTCAATCAGCCTAAAGTCCAATACTTTGTCCAGGAATTTGGCACTGGGAAATGCTATCTTTCTGGATAATGTGGGTTTCAGAAGCCTAAACTGCTGTAGCCATTTTACTATCACAAGTAAAGTCATCCTGCAGATGAAGCAAGCAGAATGGAAAGGGCAGAAACAAAAAATTACATGGACATAGTGCCAGAGTTATTTCTGACTACAGTTTTTACTGTGATAAAATGTATCAAAAATACCATTCGGATCTGGGATTTGTTATTTCTATTCTCCATTAAGCCAAGTCTCAAAAAGGGTTTTAAGATTGCTAAGGAGATAGATGAAGAGGATGTCATAGATTTCAGCAAGGCTTTTAGCAAAGTCTCTCATAAAACTTATACATCCTGTGGAAAAAGATAGTTTGAGGGAATATCATTGAAATGCTGCGATCTCCAGTCCTGTGTCACAGGGCTCTGGGATATCCAAAATTAGTGTAACTGATTGGAGTCAAGAAAGAGAAAACATGCTTAGCAAATTTGCAGATTTAGTAGGCTAGATATTATGTTTGGTGATTAAATCATAATTTATAATTATCTCTATAGTCTAGAATGAATAAAAAAGGTAAATTTGAACACACATATAGTAAAGTTTTGCATTTAATAGTGTTTATAATAAGGATAGATGGGCATAGAAAACAATAATTCAATGAAAAATTCCTGTGGATTTAGTTGACCACAAACTTCATACGAACCCATAGCGTGACAGAGCTATTGAAAAAGCTAAGACAATTTTAAAGCTGTATTTAACAGTAGTATAATGTCTACTCCAAGAAAATAAAGACCAATTGTGCTTTTCTAGGGCTTAGTTAATATTTGGAGTTGCACATTCCATTTTGACATTTTATCAGTTAGGTCACTTAAGAAATAGTTACACATTAAGAATTGCCAGAATTGTGAAGTGTCACATTAAAACTACCTAAAATAACCGAGACTTTTTAGTCTGGAAAAGTGAAGATTGATGGAAGCCAAAACAGCAATCTTCACACATTTATTCATTAATTCAATAAAAAAATGTATTCAACAGTTTCAAAATGATGAAAAATGTGAGAGGTACTGGAGACACAAACATGGACAAGAACTGAAGATACAGTTTAGTGAAGGACAAAGACACAAGAATGAGAAATTACAATACAGTAAGATGTCTACACTACTATAAAAGCATCAGTAATGGAGCCACTAAACTAAGCTTGATAGGGGCATCCGCCCCTAATTTGAGTCTGGAAGAAAGAGTATGAGGTTCCCTAGGCAGAGAGAAAAGTATTCTAAGAAGATAAATAGCAAGTTTAAGGCCAAGAGATATAAACCCTACATAGCCCTTTATGACCAGACCATTGAGAAAGCTTGAGAGAGGAGGAAGAGGGAGCTTGAAAGAGAAGTGGAGACCACATTATTTAACTGAGGTAATTTGATTGGGATGGAAAAAATAGATCCGAATCCTAGAGGGATTTATTAGAGAGAATAAACGATTAAGAGGAAACAATCCAACTTTGAAAATAAGAAAACTGAAGAAGACCTAACTACATTAATAAAAACATCATGATATTTTGGAAAGAATAGCCACATTAACAGAACAAAAAGAAGTCCCAGAAACATATTCAAGCATATATAAAAATACGGTATATGAAAAAAAGAAAAATTCTAAGTGTGGGGAAAAAACAGTAATTCAATAAATGAACAAAAGTTTCTGAGATAATTGGTTAAATGTTTGGGAAAAATTAAATTAGGACTCAATGTTACATGTCCAAATAAATTCCAAATGATTCAACAATTTGAATATAAAAACACGAAAATCTTAAAATAACTAAAAATATACATAACTACTTCAGAGTAAGAAAGGTTTTTCTGAGCATAAATCCAAAAGAACAAAAAAAGAGAGTGTAAAGGTTTATTTGTATATGTTTGGTTTATTACAAAGAAGGAGAAGGAGAAGTAGAAGAATAAGAGGAAAATAAAAATAATCAGTAAGTGATATATGTCCTACTTTCCATGCCACTACGTTCGTCTGCACTCAAATCCCTTTTTTCTGCATTTCTTATTTCAGTAAATTGCATCATCATCCACCTAGTTACTCAAATCAAATCCTTACAAGTCATCCTTGACTCTCCCCTTTTCCATTTTTCCATATACAATCTGTCAACAAATATTGTCCACTTTACCAATGAAAATAGATTCCAAGTCCATTTCCATTTCTTCATTGGCCTCCATATCTCTATTTCTTTCCATTTATCTTGCCATCACCCTGATGCAAATGACCATCTCTCAGATTCCTGTATTGCTTCCTGAATAATTTTCCTGTTATCAATACTTGGTGCTTTAAGATCCATTCTCCAGTAGCAACTAGAGTGGTTAAAATGTTACAGTCATGTTCATCATTCACTTACCTAATATTATTGAGAACATGCTATGTGCCAGGATTACACTGGCAGTTGCCAAAGAAGTCAATAAAACAACTAAAATTTATGCCTTTGTGGGACTGACATTCTAGTAGGAGCAGAGGGTGAAGTAAGACAATGAAAACATTAGTCAAGTCATATTTTAGAAGCTAAGAACTGTGGAAAAATATAAAACAGGAAAAGGGTGTGGGGACTATCTGGCTAGTCGTCTTCTGCAGATGTATGCTTGATGCACTGCATAAAAGGATGACAGAAGTGATGAAAGGGATTGAAATCCCAGGGAGGTAATTTTTCTGATTCTTCTGTCCAGATGGGGCTCCTTTTTCAAACACATCTGCCCCTAGTAAATATCTTTTTTCTAATTTACTGAAAAGCACAGTTAATGGGCCATATGGATGTTTTTGTTTTGTTTTGTTTTTTGAGATGGAGTCTCACTCTGTCGCCCAGGCTGGAGTGCAGTGGTGCAATCTCGGCTCACTGCAACCTCCGACTCCGGGGTTCAAGCGATTCTCCTGCCTCAGCCTCTTGAGTAGCTGGGACTACAAGCAATGCCACCACGCCCGGCTAATTTTTGGTATTTTTAGTAGAGACGGGGTTTCACTGTGTTAGTCAGAATGGTCTCCATCTCCTGACCTCGTGATCCGCCCACCTCGGCCTCCCAAGTGCTGGGATTACAGGTGTGAGCCACCACACCCGGCCAATGGTTTTGTTTTAAGAGGATCACTGGATGACATGTTAAGAACAGAGTGCAAGGGTGGAAGAAAGGATGTAATTTATGAGATTATTATAAAATTCCGGATGAAAAGCTATGATGGCTTGAACAGGACTACAGTGGTAGAATCTATGAGAATAGGTCAGATTCTGGATATATTTTGAAGACAGAGGAAATAGAAAATTTGATCTTGGATTGCATATGGAAACTTCCAAATCTAATCGCCTTCTTTTTGCCAATAGAACCATATTGAATTTGAGCTTTCCGACTCTTTAGATATAATCTCCATTCATTCTCCAAGATGCTCACAAAACTTCAAATATATCGCCTTTCTTTTTTTCCCTTATAGCATCCAAGCCCATTCTCAATCCAGCGCCTTAGAATTGGCTCATTTGCTGTTCTCTACCATGAACCTCTCTTCTACCAGATCTCTATATGGCTTACTCATTCTCATGTCACCTTGTCACCAAATGTCACCTTGCACAGGGATGCCATCTCTGACCATTCTATGTAAAATATCACTTGCAGACATTCACCACATGTTTTACTGATTTATTATGTATATGTAATTTATCACTGTCACTAATAAGTAATTACTCATTTGTGTGTTGTCAGTTTTATTACAATGTTAGATCCATGGAATTAGAAATATTATCTTGACCTAAAATAGTGTCCAAGCAACAGTGGCTGTTTAGTAAACATTTGTTGCTTCAATTGGATTATCCTAGAGCATTCAGACATTTACTTTAGAACTCCCATTGTCTTTAATATGTTTGAATACTACCCCCAAATCAAAATTCTCTCCTTTTTGAAAGAACTTTAATGCTAGTAAAGTGGGCTTACATTGCACAAAGTTATAAAGAAGATGAAAGTTTCTTAGCTTCCCTTACCCCATTCCCTGTAGAGGTGCCTAGGGCATGTAAGTGTGGATAATGGTAGCTATTCATTTTCAGTTTTTAAATGCTGCACTCTTTACAGTTATTGTGGAAATTAGCTTATATTGATAATGCTCAGTTATGTCAGAGATTATAAAAGTTAGGAAGATGAAGATAAAATAAGCTTACATTAATCAGAAGTGATTATTCAGAATGAAGTATGTTAGTTCTAAGCCAATAATATAATATTTTGTTATTACATACTGAACATCAATTATGTACATGAAGTGTACATAATTGTCTATTTATAAGTCCTGCCTAGGGGTAGTTTAATTCTATGGCCAAGCTGCTAGAGATTCAATTGATGCAGTGCAAATTAATGGTCAATGCTAATAACACAAAGTTTATGAGATTTAGATCCAAAACAGAGGCTGTTACAAATAACATTTCAATTATTAGTTCTCCTGGTGGTCTTTAATAAAAGAGATAAAATAGTTATCATTCTAAAGCCCTGGTTAGGTTCAAATTCTCTTAATTTGCCTATATCAAAGATGTTGCAGAGATTTATAGTGTATTTCTTTATGTGAATATCTCAGTTATTTCAAATTCTTTTGTGTGCTAATTGATATGTAGGGAAGCAGTTTCAAATAATAAGCCATTCTTCAGATCACCACAGTAAAATCACAGTTTGGGTTTATTTCTTTCTACTCTGTTCCCAAAGCAACATAGCCACATTGAGATTCTAAAATCTTTACCTTAGAAAACGACACCCAAGCCAGCAATGGCTAGAAATATAGGGTCAAACTGTTTTTTAGTAAACTCAGAAAAAAAGCCACTCAAAATGTAGAGTCAAGGTGAACTTTGAAAGATTTCATTTAAATTCCTACAAATACTTAGCAAAGTCTGTATGAGTGAGCAAGGAGACAATAATATATATTCAACTGTGAAAGCTGAGAAAGATGGGAAACTGTGACAGAGAGAAATGGACTCATTCTGCAATCATCTAAATGTGGCCTTCCTTTCTGGGTGTTTCCATCGCACGATCCCAGACTCTAACCCCATATGTTACTGCAAGCGTCTTCTACCTTCTCTCTGCTGGTCTTACCTTCCTAAAATCCATTATCCTTCCTTAGGCCAAAATAATCTATTATGTTGAATCATATGAAATTGCCACCTAGACACCATCTTCTAAAAAAAACTTGTCTTAAAACCAAGGTTTGACTATCCTGGGCTTCCTTCTGTATTAGCAGTCACCATATCCTATTGGAATGAAGTATTCACATCCCTCTCTCTCTCACCAGACTCAAGTGCAGGAGCTAGCTCAAGGGCAGAAGCTGTCCTATTCACGTAGTATCCTAATGCCTAGCAGAATGCCTGGCCTATAATGAATACTCAAAAACATCAGTTATGTTGAACTAATATTGAATAAGTTTTAATTTTTAAAATTTATTATTTTTGTTTTGTTTTTTAAAATTTCCCAACAATGAGAATAGACATGGAGCTTGGGATTAGAATGCCCTCCAAATTTATTTACATTTCTGTAAGAATGTTTTAAATATGACAGTCTTTTTAGCATACAGTGATCTAGTTCTCCAAACTTTATTAAATACGTATATTTTAGTATTATTAAAATACACTGGGCCAGGCGCAGTGGCTCATGCCTATAATCCCAGCACTTTGGGAAGCCAAGGTAGGCAGATGGCTTGAGCCCAGGAGTTCGAGACCAGCCTCAACGACATGGGGGAAACCCAACTCTACAAAAAAAACAGAAAAAGTAGCTAGGCATGGTGGCACCTGCCTGTGGTCCCAGATACTTGGGAGGCTGAGGTGGGAGAATCACCTGAGCCTGAGCCTGGAAAGTAGAGGCTGCAGTGAGCTGTTTTCATGCTGCTGTACTCCAGCCTGGGCAACAGAATGAGGCTCTGTCTAAAAAAAAAAAAAAAAAAAAAAAAAAATGAGTTCAAAACTTTGTAAGATCTCAAAACTATCACTGCTTGTTCTAGTTCATTTCCAAAGTAGCTTCAGTACAGGATGTCTGTGTTTCATTTTCATTTCTATCTTTACTCAAAGAGAATAGGGACTTTGTTAAAACTTATGACAATGAAAATACATATTACAAAAGGTCTTTTATTCTTAGAATCTAAAGACAGATAGAAGACTTAAAAGATAGGCTTTTGTGTTTACTTACACTGTGATAATAGTGTGATTACGACTGGAGCTCGAACAGGATAGGGATGTCTTGAAAAGGAGGATCTTCTTAATTATTTTTCATAGACTACCATCCAACTCTAGTCTGGGTGACTTCTCTTCTATTGCACACCTTCAGTTTCTCATTGAGTGTGGTATAGTATCAGTGCCACTTTTTATGGAGCACTACATAATTTTTGTGAGTCCCTAGAGCCAGCTATTGACTTGTAAGTCTCCATAAAGCTCTACAAAGCATCAGCTACTCTTGAACAAAAAGCATTGTACATCCAGCATCCCTGGAGAATGACTGCATAAACAAACCTCTCCTGGAGATCAGCATGCGATTGAAATACAATTTGCACCTGGTGGCAAAAGTTGCACAAAGTCAATACTTGATGAGGGAGAACTTTTTAAAATCCTTGGAACAGCAGAGTGGCTCAAGGCTATTTGTTGTATTTGCAATAAAAGGGTAATCCAGTGTAATATGCAGGTAGTTACCAACTAGAGAAAACCAGCTGTGATACTATTGAACAACATCCCTCTCTCCCACCAAATGAGCTGTTAAGAGAACAAATAGAAGGTAAAGGACTAATAGGAATTAAAAAAAAAAAAAAAAAAACTTCAGAAAAGGTTACACGTTAGAGTTATACTAGAAGCTATAACGATTACAGAAATCTTGGTGGTTCTACAGTGTATATTTCAGATACTTAATTCTAGGTTTGGGAGATGCCTGAAGAGGAAAAGCTGTGTGCTGAAAGAAACTTTGGTGGAGAAACATTAAGCCATACAAAACTTACTTATTTAAAAAAATTGGAAGCAAGCATGTTTGTTAAAAATACTGCATTTTGTGTTTTTATAAACCTTATGTTACTACCATCTGTAACACACTTTTCTGGAATCTAGCTGGTTTAATTTGGAGCTGATGTTATTTCACTACATGAATTTTCACACAGAACACTCTCTTATTTGTAGCTATGGTTTCTGGCTAATATATTATTATTCCATGCAAAATAATAGAAAAGATACATTATTCCTTAAAATCTCCAGCACTTTCAGAAGTAGGGTTTGTTCAATGAGAGTCTAAAAGGATTGGAAATGATTAGACAGCTGAAAGAATAAAGAAAACCTACAGTCTTAAATTCATGTTAAATTTTTAACATTTATTTAAGAGATAGTGATTCAAAATTTTTTTAAAAAATTGCCTACTTCTTCTGATACTTATAATTTCCGTTTCTGAAATCTCAAGGCAATGAAGACATTTTTATTTTATCATTGAGAATACACAGCAGAGTCCCTTTAACCAATTAAATTGGAAATTGTTTTTCTCTTAGCTAATTGATTACTGGCTAATGTCTTCTTTAAATTTGGCTTTTTAAAAAAATTGTGTAAGATTTATTAAAATAAAAATTCAATATAGAACTTCTGGAATTGGAACATTCTTTGATCCAGAAAATAATCAAAGAAGGTTCAAGATGTAGAACTCTAATAATTTAAATATGGTTTCTCTGACAAAGGTAGAACAGTAGGGAAGTAGAGTTGATTTGGATATATAGATAATAAGCTCAACGTGGACATACTGAGTTTGAGATTTGGGTGGGATTTTCAAGTGTAAATATCTCAAAAGCATTTGAAATGTGAACCTAGAAATGAGTATAGAAAGCAGAAGTGACAATCTTAGTTCTACTTATTAGTATAGACATAAAAGTCAGAACCCTGAGGAGAAAAGAGCTCTCCCCTTTGCTGGATAGAGAAGGTATGTGACATACACCTCTATGTTGGATAGAGACGTATGTGAAGTAAAGAAAAACAAGATAATTAAGGCTGAATCTTACAGAATGTGCACAATTAAAAGATACTAAGAGGAAATAAAATATAAGAAATTTTAGAGAGAGAAAAACTGGTGGCTGCTCTGAAAACCATTCATAAAAATATTTCAAGGAAAGGACAGCCATTATCAGCATCTAAAGGAGAAATCAGTGGAATGAAGAGAGAAAACAATTAGAATAAATTAGAATTTGTTAGTAATAATCAAGAATCTTTCAGTAAAATAATGGGCATTTCCCTTTCTTTCAAATAAAAATGGCTGAGTAGATGTCATGAATTTGTTAACAGCAGATGTCTTCTGTAGAAAATATACAGAGAGGAAAAAAATGTCACTTGTTATAATTTCTGCCTTTTCTTGTTAGAAGAAATGTATTTTTGACATTTATTGGTAAATCATTTGTAACATAAGTCTTATCTTGACTGGTTTTACTTTAAAAGACAAGCATAACTATCTGGTTCAAATGTTATTTGAAACTAAGATACAACTTTTAAAGCATTTTTTATTTAAACAAATGAAAGTAAGTGATGAAATTGGTATCACTAGTACATAGACATAACTTTATGAAATGAATTTGTCCAGTCTTTGAGAGGAGTAATTTAATTTAATATTTTGTGTGAAAAAGTAATGAACAGGTTGTTGAATTTGTATTTTTTAAAAATTAAAGAACTCATGGCTTCAGACAATACGGCTAAACTTCTGAAAATGAGACCAAGTGATGACATTTGACAGAAGAAACAAATTTTCTTCTAAAAATTTCAATTTTCCATCAGCTTCTGTTTATGTCATATTGGCTTTTATATCATTGTTAATCATTTTTAACTCATGAAAAGTACCTGGTGCTAACATTTTTAAAACTCTAGCTTTAAAAAGAAATAAGACATCTTAACATTAGTTCTGGTTTCTTGAGACTAAAAGATGCAGTAGAAATTACTTTTTTCACATCTCCCTTTCATACATTTTTCCAAAGAAACCATAAGTAATCCATATTTAAGTTAGTGCTTTATAATGTAGTTTAGTATGTATGTCTTATTCTAATATTTTAAATTTTGAAAGCCCTGAGCTTGTTCTTCCAGTATAATGTTCTGCAAAAGTATCAATACTTTTCAAAGAACTACTCAGAAATTGGATTTTATGTTAATTGATGCATACTTCAATCATTCCACTTGGCTACAGGCCCCTTGAGAAATGCTGTATCTTTCATTTATATATGCTCAAAGGCATACCCAATGCTTGGGTGGAATATAATAAGGGATCAATTAATAGTTGCTGAGTAAATCAGTGGATCACACACACACACATATATGGGAGATGTTTGTGTGTGTGTGTATATATATATATATGCTTTGAATATATCTATGGCTATAACTCAGACTTATATGAGGATTTTTTAAAGGTTAATTCAATTTAATTAAACAATCTAATTTAAAAGTATCATGTAACAGCACTTTCCCTTCTTAACTCTCAAACCAAATCCCCCTACTTTTACCCCACAACACAATATACTGTCTTAGTTTAATTCTCAATCATTATTTTGCATATTCAGATGATATTCCAGTTAGTTTATTTAATTCAACATATCTGGAGCAATTTGTAAATACTGACTATAATCTTTATTGAACTCTGAAGATATGCCAGTACGCAACTACAGTGAAGCATGAACAAGGGATTAGCCAGAGAAACTTAGGCTGGGATCTCTGATCTGCCAGGAAGTAGGTTTTACCCACTTGATCCTCAGTCTCTTCAACTGCATACATGAGATTCTACTAGTTCTTCTCAAACTCCATTATTATATCAAGATTGAAGATAATAATGGTAAAATTATCAGTAGAAACTTTGCCTATAAGCTTAATAAAAACTGATTTTAAGTACACCTTATCTATATTTTAAAAGCCCAGACTTTTACTTTGTTCCTTAAGTTGACAAGTTTTGGATGCAATATCTTCTGAAATATTCTTAGTAATTTAGCCAGCATGTATTTGATAAATGACTAATGTTTCTAATACTAATTATGGCCAGAGGCAATGTTATGGATGATTGTTTCAGATTTGAAAACAAATCATATAATATGTAATCTCCAAATAGGTTTATCTTTTCAAAAAGGATAAATGACTTCTTAAAATTCTATTGGTTTGCTTGTCTTGGAATGCATAGATTTATGTTTGCTCTTGTCTTTCTAAATAGCGGTCTTATAATGCAAGTTAGCATCATGTTCAGAAAGAATTGTAAGTATCATATGGCTGTCTAGCACTTTCAACTTTCTTAAATATGCTTTCGCACTTATTAACTCATTTCATTTTCCCAAAAAGTCATGAGAAGTAAATAGAACAAATATTAATTTTGTTGTTTGTGTGATGGGGAGAAGTAGACATACTGCATATGAATAATTGCTCTGAGCAAAGCAGGAAGTGGGGCATCTTTTGAACTTCAGACCTTCAGTCTTGGATTCTCAGCACTAATTCCAGCTGAAATTAGCCTGGGTTTTAGAAACAGTTTTCTTACAGAAGTGGTGCAGATGAAGTGTACAGAGAGAAGAACGTAAGAGTTGAAGAACATGAGACCTTTGGGGGAATTTCCACAAACAAGGGAAGTCCAATAGTTATAGAGGAGGCACCAAAGGTTATTATGCCAGGGACCATGAATATATGAAGCTACTCATTTGTACACATACACAAGAAAGGTCTGGGAATTTTCTTGGTGACAATATTGGTGGACTGGATATTTGTATGTGACAAATCTGTCTTCAAATAATGGTTTCACCATAAGAGATGTACTTTCTCTTTTGTATAGCTATAAACATACTATTATCTTTATATTTAAGGATACATTATTGCGCACTTTAAAATATGTTAGAAGGATAGATCTTATATTAAGTGTTCTTATTGCCTCTGCCCCCAAAACAAAATACAAACAAAAAACAAGAGGACAGTTTCAGAGGTGGTGAATATATTTAGTACATTAATTGTGGTACATGGCTGTAAACTCATCAAAATATTGCATTAAAATTTGTGCAATTTGTCGTGTATAAATGATGCTTTAATAAAACTTTAAAAAGAACACACTGTCATAAAATTTTTCAGAAGAAAATATCAAATATGTTTATCCAGAGTATTCTCTGCTTTGCTCTACAAAAATAATACAACCAGCTTAACCAAAGTTGACAGCAGCACTGTGGGTCTTGGCTATTCAAAAGTTTAGAGCTGGCTATTGAATCAGTTCCTGGAGGTTGCTTATGTAAAGCTCATTGCAACAGCAGCCCATGAACTTTACACCTCATTGTGCAAAAGCCTATTTGGAAATGTTAAGCCTTTGGCAAGGACATAGGATCTATAAATCAACCTTGCATGGTTTAGAAATTATTGTACATGAACAGAACCAATAACAACACTGTGTGCCATATTTTCAACATTAAGACTGTATTCCATTAAAGGGAATTGCCATGTCCAGATCCTGCAGGGACCAATATTTAAGTTTCTATCAAATAAAACAGAATGTCAACAGTGTCAACAATTTTACTGTGAAAATATCTGGGATGAAGAATGAGCAATTAACATTATCAAAATTAGAAAAGAGATTTTGACCTAATAGTATTTTCCTCTTTTATCACTGTGATCAACAGAATTGGCTTTTCAATGTTTATAAATGTCTATGTTACATGTTGTGACAAATATCTACCTTTCATATATTACCATCTGGACGGCTGAAAAAAAACCATGGACTTTGGCACATATACTGATGTTTTGATCATGACTTTATGTCACCATTTATTCAGGACAGACTTGCTGAGCCCTTACTATTAGTCAGGCACTGTTCCAGCTATCAAAATTACAAGGATGAGCACTGAAACACTGTTTAGTGGGGAAGATAGACATTAAACAACATAATCCCACAAATAATTTATAATTGAAATGTGAGTAATGATCTCAAGTACGGGCAACTAGAAGGAGACCTAAGATAGACACAATTCTGGGGGATGGAGGCAAGGGTTGCCAGGTAAGTTTCAGAATGTCCAGTAACATTTGAATTCACAATCAGTAACAAATGATTTTTAGTATAAATATGTTCAAAATACTGCATGGGAAATACTTTTACTAAATAAAGTATACACACACACACATATATACAGGCATATATATATATATATATATATATATATATGCACACACATACACATTTATACATATAAATGAAAATATATTTATATCTTTTTCCCTAAATTTGCCACTGCCAGGTAGGGAGTGCTGATCTTTAGTCCTAAGGGGTGTCAGGAAAGGCCTCCCTGAGGAAGAAACATTTAAACTGACAGACCCTAAGGCATGAATGGCAAGTAGAACATAAAGAAGGAAGGGAAAAGAATATTCCAAATATATGAAGTATTGGATTGGAAAATTCTAAATGTACAGAACCACTCATTGTTTTTCAGAAACAGGGAGAAATCCGGGCATGGACGCTTAGTGTGCTAGAGGGCAAAGGCCCACGTGGCTCCGTCATCCGGGGCTTTTCATATCTTACGCTGACCCGCCTGACTTCTCTGATCCTCAGTTTCCACATATGGATGCTAAGACAATACATTCCTCCGAGGCAGATGTGGAGAATTAATCTGAGAAATGTAAGCGTAAGACTGGATACAGAACCTTGGCTGACTCTTTTCTCTTTCTTGCTGTAACTCCCCTGACTACCTATGGAGGTTTTTGTATTGTTTTGTGAGAGACATTTTCTACTCGCTTTAATTTTTCCCCAACTTAAGGAGTGACATTTAAAGATATCCTCTCCTTTGTATTTTAGTTGCCTGATGTGTTATTGTATTAAATCTAAACTTAAGAACAATTTTGCCAGTGGGCATCTGCGTGTCTTGGAAGTGATTATTTCTTGGTTCTCCACTTTCTTTCAAGAAAATATCTCATTCACTGATAATACAAGACCCAAATAGGTTTCCCCTCTTTTTCTATCATACGGAGACTTTTAAATGCATTCTTTTTCAAAGGTTATTTGGGAGACCACCTTGAAATGCTTTCTATGGTTTTAAGCTAGAACAGGATCATACTAGGGGAAAAATCGCCTTTCCTCGTACCCTGGTCTCCTCCCCTCAACTGCTGGCCACCCCAGAGACAACTTCTGTCTAGTGCTCCGACATGCTGATATTGAGTGAGTAAGTCGGCCTGGGAGTGGCAGCACCGGGCCAGAACTCTCAGTGATGAATGTCAGCACAGCAGCCGCAGTCTTTCTACCAGACAGGAGGCTAACAGGCAAACGGCAGGGAGTTCACAAGCTTGGAGGCGCTTGTTAGACAGAGTTCAAAATTCTGGTGAACATCTCTCTGCCACTCCACAGAACAGCTGCAGCCTCAACAGTGGGAGTCTTCACACTGATTTTTCAAAAAGCTCCCCCTCAAGAATGTAGTGTCATTGTACACTGTTAAATGTCCTAAATTATAGTATATTGTTATCCATCACACTCTACCCTCACCATTTGTTGCTAATTTGGCTAGAGATTATTTCACTTATTAGAATGAATTTTCTCTCATTCTCTCCTTTCTGAGAATTTGTCAGCTTTCTGCTTGCAGAACTTCTGTGTGAAACTCACAGTCCTTGCTTTAGCCCAACTTAGGTATTAGTCATTTTAAATTATTTCATAGTAAGAAGTAAGCGATTTCTTGAGAAAACAGATTCTAAAAATTTGGTTTATATGCAAGCCATCTACTTATAAAAATATTTTGTCCATTGAGTATTAAGATTTTGTTATTCAATCGTTAAGTTTTGAGGATCTACCAGTGTCTGTTGCGGGCACTGGTGCTGAAACAGTGCATAAGACAAAGTCCCTGCCTTTCTATAGCTTGCATTCTACTAGAGACAAACCTTAAGTCTGCAAATAAACAAGACAAATACTTTCAGGTAGTAATAGATGCTATAAATTAAAATAAAAGCAAAATATATGCTATGGTATGAATGTGTCCCCCCAAATTCATGTGTTGGAAACTTGATTCCCAATGAGACAGTGTTAGGAGGTGGGGCCTGTTGGGAAGTGTTTGAGTCATGGGGGCTCTGCCCTAATGAATAGATTAATGTCATCACAGAAAGAGCTTGAGAGAGTGGGTTTGTACTCTTGCCCTTCTGCTTCTCACCATGCGATGACGTTGCAAGGATGTCTTTGCCAGATGCTGGCACCTTAATCTTGGACTTTCCAGCCTCCACAAATAAATTTCCATTTATTATGAATTACCTCGTCCCAGGTATTCTGTTACAGCAGCATAAACCAGACTGAGGCAATAAGGAAGCCCTGTTGGGGAAGTGGAGAGGGCAGTGTTTCTGACAGGGTAGTCAGGGAGAGGGGCCAAGGATTCAATATTGGGACTGAGCTCTGACGGCATGGATGTGCCAGTGGCACCTACAAGTTTGGGATGTTTGAAGGATTAACATGAGGAATGTATATATAAGAACAGGCGCAGGCCGGGCGTGGTGGCTCACGGCTGTAATCTCCGCACTTTGGGAGGCCGAAGCGGATGGATCACTTGACGTCAGGAGTTTAAGACCAGCCTGGCCAACATAGTGAAACCCTTTCTCTACTGAAAATACAAAAAATTAGCCAGGCATTGTGGCACACACCTGTAATCTCAGGTACTCAGGAGGCTGAGGCATGAGAATTGCCTGAACCCAGGGAACAGAGGTTGCAGTGAGCCAAAATCATGCCACTGCACTCCAGCCTGGGCAATAGAGAGAGATTCTGTCAAAAAAAAAAAAAAAAAAAAAAAATGGATGCAGAGCTGACAGCAAATAAACATTTGTTGATTGTTTTTTTTTCTCATAATGTTCATGCTAGCTAAGTAAGGGTGAAGAGGATTCTAGGCACAAAGTCAGCAAATATAAGCTTATAAGCAGTGGTACAAGCTGGGTTCTCCAGGAACCAGTCTCTGAGAAAGAAATTAGCATACAAAAATCGCGATAGTGAGTACTATTAAGAGCAATGCCTGTAGAAGAGAGGAGTGGGATGCAGGTGTGGGCAGAGGGAGAAGTCAGGCCACAATGAAGCCTCAGTGGGAAATTCAGCTGACCTCCCTGAAGGGAGCTCTAAAGGTGCAATTAACCCTCAGAGCTGTTGTGCATTAGGGGGCGAGGGCTAGGCCTTTATTTCATCCTGTAGGTCAGTTATTTGATGCAGGCCTCCCAATAAAGGGAATGTGACCCTTTTGGATAAGACAGCTCTCTTCAGCCTAGGCAATTCACCAAGAGCCGAGCACAGGAAAATATTTCTCCGTGGACCTCTCACCTTTCTGGATGAGCAGAGTACAACACAGAGTCCACCCAGAGGTCTAAGCAGTTAACTCTCCTTTTGGGAACTCCTAGATTACTTTTGATCAGACATTCAAACTCGGCTTATGCTAACTAAGATTGTGTTTCCTTCCTTGGTTATAATAATGGGAAGATTTTGAGGTGCCAAATATGAACCATGTATAAATGCAGTATTAATTCAACCAAACAAATATTTTTTGAAATGCTTGTATGTGTTTTTCTCAAAGAGCTTAAAAACCACTAGAAGCAGCAGATACAAAGCCAACTCGCTAAGATCTATAATACAAGATCAAGTGAAAGCAAGATGAAGTAGTAAGTAACAACAAAGTATTTCAAAATGCAAGTATCTTTAAATGAAAGGTAGTGTAATTAAATAAAGAAAATGTTAAAATGCAGAAGATATCGTTTAAGTAGAACCTTGATGCATTGGAACAGGGAAAACCTTTTAAGCTGAGTCCAACAGGTGAGCCAGCCTGAAGGCATAGAATGATTGATGGTCAATAGGCTGAATGGCTGGAGAGAAAGGCTGTGGAGGGATATACTGAGAGGCAGGATGGAAAAGGTAATTAATACTTGGAATGTTGCAGGCTTTGAATCCCCTACTAAAAAATTCCAGCTTGATTTTTTTTAGACTAGTGTCTCAAAATGTGGCTCATGGGATGCCTGCATTAAGACCATGTGGGATGCTTGTTAAAAATTCAGATTCCCATACTCCATCCTATACTTTCTGAATCAGAATTTCTGGGGCTAGTTCCCTAAAGTCTGTAGTTTTTACAAGCTTCCTACTACAGCTAGAAGATTTCAGCTCTGGACAATGAGAAACTACAGAAAACTCAGTTCTCTGCCTCTATAACTCTTTAGCTTTTGCATGGGATTCCAGGAATTAGGGCCCCAAAGTGTTTCATTTGAAACAATAAGTTAGCAGTTTAATATGCTCATCTTCCATTTGCCCATTTCCATTAATGTAGAATATTCCAAGACTTTTCTCCTCTTGCCAAAAAATTACTTACTTTTATGAGACGCTCAGAGATTGTTGTCAGTCCTGTAGTTACTATTCTTAGTCTTAGTGGAGCATTTTCCAGTCTTCCAATCATAAGAATTATTTTACAGCAAAATAAAAGAAGCATCCTTGGGGCCCTTGGAGACTGTTTTCTGAGTTGCGGTCATAGCAGGGAGTTGATTTTTTTGTTTATGATCTATAATTTTCCTCCCAAATCTCTGATAGGTTTCAGCCCCCTTAGCATCCAGTCTAATATTTTATTTTTCACTTGCAAGTCAGCCCAATAATTTAAAATTTTTCCCAAGGAACTGTTTTTCCTTGTTTCAGTCATAAGTACTTTTTTCACCTGCTTCATTTTAGAAATGTCTTGTTAATATTTTCTTTTATCTTGTTCTTCTTTTCTTTAGGATAAGAAGGGCTGTGCACGCTAACAGAGAAGTGATGTATTTTATAAAGCACATCAGATTCCTCACTGTCCTCATTTATTAGCAGTAGAATTATCACAGTCGTAAAGCATATAGTGTAAATACCAGTGCCTCTCTTTCCTCCATTTTCCTCCCCCAAGTCATATCTATTTTTACATCTATTCTCATATTTTGTTTCCCTAGATTTCCTCTATGGGAGGAGAAGAAATTAATACTCTTCTTCGGCAAAAATGTCAAACATGGATACTAATGTGATTAGGGAATTTCCCCCAAAGCCATGCAATAAGGGGTTGGGTGAAAGAAAGAAGTCACACTTTTTCTGGCTGTTAAGGTGTGGGGAGATCGAAATTAACAAGTGATTCTTTACAGCCTGTCTGTGATCTGCTCAAGGAAGTTCCATCTGTGCCACATCCAAGATGCAAAATCAAGAAAAGGGAGGTCAGAAGTGGGAGTAAAAGATTCTAAATGTGGATAAAAAATGTGAGAGGAAATTTATCAGAATTTGTTTTGGAAATTTATGATAGAGAGGAAATTGATCTTCTGTAACTATGTTGGATATGGATGGAGAGAAAAAATAGTATTTTAAAAGTATGGTTGTGGGCTAGCTTTCCCCTTTGTAGTGTGTCAAAATGCCATTAAAACACTTTGAAAAAAGTGGTTAATGGAGCTGTATGTATATGACAGTAATTCTGCTCTGAGGCTGGGCCACATGGATTTTTGAATTCAGAGTTGTTCCAAGTGAAGTCAACAAGCCAATTGTAAGTAAACAGGCTTTGCTTGTTACGAAGTGAGGGGAGTGTCTGCATTAATATCCCTAGAAAAGGGAGAGAATTGGTTCATCACTGATACACGAGGAATGAGTTTTCCCAAAAAAGCTGCAGTAGTATAGGCCCAGACTACAGTGCAAGAACTGAAGCTATCTGGACAAGCCAGTTGTACTGGAGGTAGTGAGGATGAGACCCAAAGGCTAGAAGTAGGGGGTGCAGTCATCAACAGTATTAACAGTAGCAGTATGGACTGTCTGCCTGAAATAAGAGACTCTCCTAGGCATAGAAGAATAAGGAAGTGCTGTGGCAAGCTGGCGAGAAGTGAGCAGGTCAGGATTCTAGCTGTTATATTGTTGGAAAGTTAACCATAGAGTCATTGGTTCTGTTGCCATAGTAGATACTCATTATAAGCCCTCAGTTGTAGTTTCCCAGGTGTTATCTATGATATAACATGATGGCTGTCATATAATTTATGATATACATGATATAACAATCTATACTGCCAAATAAAACAAACTTCTGTGTTTCTCTGGCATCCTTCTGCTAGCATTATTTCTCTGTCCCTTTTGATAGTTGAATTTCTAGGAAGTAGTCTCTATGGTGTTGACTTGGCTTCTTCAACTTCCTTGATTCATCTGTTTCCCTCATCTACACCCAAACAACACCAGCAAGTGTTGGTGTTTTTGTCACCAGGCACCATGTGAAATATGTTCACCTCTTTTTGTCTTTACCACAGTTTTCTCTGACTGTAGAGCTTCAGATTGCTTTTTTTGGTAAACAATTTATGTGCCCACATAGGGCGATTACAGGGAGAAAAATAGTAGTAGCTGGAGAATGTAAGTGCCAGTTCCCTTGATGGTTGTGTGTGTCATTGTAAAATCATGAAAATGTAATTCTAGCTTTATATGTCAGTCTTACAAGCTTGATTAATATGGACCTGTCTTTGAGAGGTTTACCCATTCCTAGTATACTGAAGGAAAAAAAAAAAAAGATTTCTAAGCCTGAAGGATTGAGGATGCGACCTAGGCACACTGTGATGTCACTCAGACACTATCAATAGGATAATTTGCTGGCAACTACTCAGTCTTACTCGGGGCAATGCTGTCTATTTGTTTTCTGTTTTAAGTTTTATAATTACCACTGTCTCTTCATCCTCTATTTTACTTATTTGACCAGGTAATTTTTCATTATAGTTGTTCAAATAACTTAATTGCTTCCCTGTATTTACTTCAAAGAGCTTCTGAAAATCACTTCCTTCTTTACAAAGATAATTGAATGAATTTCAATAATAATAAGATGTTATTACACAGGATCTGTGATATATTTAACAGTCTTGAATTTGACTATATCTGATTTAGTGATGCTGATAATTGACTGAGTTCCAGTGAAAACCATATCTTTATCTGAACTTAATATTCCTTAATACTGTGAAGGAACCAATCATTTGTAATGGCTATTATCCCTATCAAGTCTCTAAAGATTTTCAAATCATTATGGAGATGTTCATCAACCCTTATCACAATCTCATTATCCTTATATTACTTTACAGTATTTTTTACTGCCTTTATTTTTCTTTTATTTGAATTTGCCTTCCTTAATCTGGTTACTTCATATAATACATTAAGAATTTCTTAAAACCATTCTGATTTTGTTTAGTCACTGCATTTTGAAAACATATTGGTATTTGTTGCATCCAATGAAAAAATGCTGCCTTTCTTAAATTATACAACTACATCTGTGGATTTTTTAGAATTCCTTTCAATTTTTTTAATGTAGTATTCTACAGCAAAAGAAAAATAAAAAACTTGATGACCTGCCCCAGTTTAGTTTTAACCATTTCACTTATTCTTGATGTACAACATAATGTATGTGACTGAATATTTCTTTTCTGTGTTGTTCTAGAGTATTGGTTTATTTAGATGTTTGACAAAACTCCTAATTAAACTAAATCAAATTAACTTAGTTTAAAATTAGTTTAACTCATTGAATTTATTGTATATATGTATCTTATATGATATGGAGTAAAGCCATGATATGGCTTTCTAATAGAGCCTTTGCACTAAGGAAACCTAGCGCATTTGCATTTTAAGTCTTCCTTGCTTCTAAGAGAGAATTTCGGGCATGTGCAATCTAACTTTTGAATTTCTTTCCCTTTTAGAATACTTTAAAAGAATTCATTACCTCAATAATGTCAACCATCTAAACTGACTGTAAGATTTATATTATATAGCCTATTTACATATGGAAACCTTCTATATATAAATGCTATTCTTCTGCTATCACCTCGTATATTATTGAAGTAATACTGTAATAGTACCTTTGATTTATGCAGCCCAGTATCTCTAAGGAGTTAGAACTACTTTATATTATCTTATTAATTCTTTTAATATTGCTATGAAGTATGTAATGAAATGAGTGGCATTTATCATCATCTTCATTTTATAGTTAAAGAAGCCAAATGAAAAAGGTGACTTAGCTTTCCTCAAATTAAAAATTTCACTAGTTGGAAGACAGAGGAAATAACATTGAGCAATAGATTTCTGAATCTTTAACCAGCTTGTGAGTTACAGCTATGTGAAAATCACTAGAGGTTGTTCTAAGTGTGTAAATATAATACAAATAATATATTTTATATCATATAGAAAGTATGTGTATATATATTTCATTCTATTCTATTCTAAAAGTCATAAAAGCAATCATGTCCAGGAAGCTTTTTGTCACTGTTATGAATAACCAAGGTTTTCTATAAATGTGTATGTGTGTGTGTTTGTGTGTGTGTGTATTTCCCTTACTTAACATCTTTAAGTTTTTGAAAACTCTGTCCCTCAATAAAAGGCCATTAAAGTTTTTTTAAATTAAAAAAATTCGTAGAGATGAGGTCTCACCATCTTGCCCAGGTTGGTCTCTGACTCCTGGCCTCAAGTGATCCTCCCCCTCAGCCTCCCAAAGTTCTGGGATTACAGGCATAAGCCAGAGTCCTGCCCGCCATTAAATTCTTTAAAAATTATTCATTTAATGAGGAAAATTATGGTGTATTTAATTTTTGCACAAAATGCCCAATTTTTACATATAGAAAATATGTCAATTGAACAATTAAAACAAATAATAACAAAATTTGAAAGTACATTCATTCTGTACATACAACATAGTGATAGTTAATTATAATTTTTATTTTTTCAGCATTATCTTCAGCCACAAACATTTCAACTTTATGGGGCCCATAGTTACACACTTCAAAATAAAATTGTAGCACAGATAAATATTTTTAGGTAAAACTATTTTAGATAAATATATTTTAGGTAAATATTTTAGGTAAAAATAAGACTGTGTATGATAAAGCTTTGAAACATTAAAACAGCACACACACAGTAACTAAATTAACCATAAAATAAACTAAGCAATATAATATGAGTTCATCCAAAGATAATACATTACTCAAATGTATTTTTCTTTAACTGAAAATTGCTCATTCTGGTAAATTGGTGAATGTGTCTTTGACCTCACAATGTCAAGTCATCACTTTTTATAACATGTTTATTCTGTGTGTATGTGTGTAAAAAGTCATAGCATCCAAAATGGGTATTTTGAAAAGCCATTATATTGAAAAGTTATCACTTGAATGGTCATTTTGTGAGGTTACATCATATCTGGACCAGTGGAGAATGTTATTTTAATAAACTCAGAAATCAAATTCTTCTTAGTTGATTAAAGTGGAATTCTAGGAGAAGAAAAAAGCTGTATTCTGTGGCATGAATCCTGGCTGTATTTTTTGGAAGCAAGGAAGACTTAAAATGCAAAAGGTCCTGTGTATGAGTAGAAAGCAATTCAGCTAGAATGGTCCTAGTTGGAAAGGCAAACCATTGAACACAGTTTGATTATAAGTGTTCATTTATTCTGCTAAGTTATTAAAAGTCATCATTCTAGGCTAGAAATAATCAGCTTTGACTGACCCAATTTCCAAAGTTGAAAACTGATATTCTCAGTAAATAAATGTGTTCTCCAAATTTATGGAAGAGAATATGATCCGCAGATCCAATCAGTTTTCAATGTAAGCAGTGACTCTCCATAAAAAAGGGCTTCTAGGCCGGGAGCGGTGGCTCACGCCTGTAATCCCATCACTTTGGGAGGCTGAGGGGGGCGGATCACGAGGTCAGAAGATCAAGACCATCCTGGCTAACATGGTGAAACCCAGTCTCTAGTAAAACTATAAAAAAATTACCCAGGCATGGTAGCACGCACCTGTAGTCTCAGCTACTCGGGAGGCTGAGGCAGAAGAATCGCTTGAATCCAGGAGGCGGAGTTTGCAGTGAACCGAGATTGTGCCACTGCATTCCAGCCTGGCGACAGAGTGAGACCCTGTCTCAAAAAACAAAAAACAAAAAACAAAAACAGAAAGGGCTTCTGGTTTTCCTTAGCAGGTAAGGTCTGGCAGTGATGCAAAGGATTTAATAGAAGTTATTCAATAATAATCTGAAGATCTTATGCAGCTGACCCAAAGAAGCAGTCATCCAGACAACTGTTTGACAAAAATAAAGGTACAGATGAAACACCAAATTTCAACTACAGTAGTATACTTTGCTAGAAGGGCATGCTCAAAGCTATTAAAAAAGTCACTTAATTACCATTTCAATCTTGTTGCTTGTTATTGGTCTGTTCAGGGTATCTAATTCTTCCTGATGTAAGCTAGGAGGGTTGTAGTTTTCCAGGAATTTATCATCTCTTCTAGGTTTTCTAGTTTATGTGCGTAAAGGTGTTCATAGCAGCTTTGAATGATCTTTTGTATTTCAGTGGTGTCAGTTTTAATATATTCTGTTTCATTTCTTAATGAGGTTCTTGGGATTTTCTCTCATCTTTTCTTGGTTAATCTTGCTAAAAATATATCAATTTTATTTATCTTTTCGAAGAACCAGCCTTTTGTTTCATTTATCATTTGTATTTTTTTGTTTGTTTGCTTCAATTTCATTCAGTCTGCCCTGATCTTGGTTACTTTCCTTCTTCTGCTGGATTTGGGTTTGGGTTTGGTTTGTTCTTGTTTCTCCAGTTCCTTGAATTGCGACCTTAAAATGTCAGTTTGCGCTCCTTCAGTCTTTTTGATGTAGGCATTTAGGGCTATGAACCTTTCTCTTAGCACCGCCTTAGCTGTATCCTAGAGGTTTAGTGTCATTATTGTCTTTCAATTCAAAGAATTTTTTAATTTCCGTCTTGATTTTGTTTTTGACCCAATGCTCATTCAGGAGTGGGCTATTTAATTTCCATGTATGTGCATGGTCTTGAAGGTTTCTTTTGGAGTTGATTTCCAGTTTTATTCCACTGTGCTCTGAGAGTGTGCTTGATATAATTTCAATTTTCTTAAATTTATTAAGGTTTGTTTTATGGCCTATCATATGGTCTATCTTGGAGAAATTTTTATGTGCTGTTGAATAGAATGTATATTCTGTGGTTGTTGAATGAAATGTTCTGTATATATGTGTTATGTCTGTTCCAAGGTATAGTTTAAATCCATTGTTTCTTTGTTGACTTTTGTCCTGATGACCTGTCTAGTGCTGTCAGTGGAGTATTGAAGTTCCCCACTATTATTGTGTTGCTGTCTATCTCATTTCTTAGGCCTATTAGTAATTGTATTATAAATTTGGGAGATCCAGTGTTAGGTACATACATGTTTAAGATTGTGATATTTTCCTGTCGGACAAGGACTTTTACCATTATGTAATGTCCTCTTTATCTCTTTTAACTGCTGTTGCTTTAATGTTTGTTTTGTCTGATATAAGAATAGCTGCCCCTGTTTGCTTTTGGTGTCCATTTGCATGAAATGCATTTTTTAAAGAACTACAAGTAGAACTATCATTTGATCCAGCAGTCCGACTACTGGGTATCTACCCAGAGGAAAAGAAGTCATTATACGAAAAAGATACTTGCACAAGCATGTTTATAGCAGCACAATTCACAATTGCAAAATCATGGAACCAACTAAAATGCCCATCAATCAATCAGTGGATAAAGAAACTGTGATATATATATATATATATACACATATATATATATATATATATCTCACATATATCATCATATATATGATGGAATACCACTCAGCCAAAAAAAGGAATGAATTAACAGCATTTGCAGCAACCTGGATGAGATTGGAGTCTCCAATCTCATCCAGGTTGCTGCAAATGCTGTTAATTCATTGTGAGATTTTGGCGCACCCATTACCCAAGCAGTATACATTGCACTATACTTGTAGTCTTTTATCCCTCACCCCCCTCCCACTCTTTCCCTCAAGTCCTCAAAGTCCACTGTAGCATTCTTATGCCTTTGCATCCTCATAGCTTAGCTCCCACATATCAGTGAGAACATACGATGTCTAAGTGAAGTTAACTCAGGAATGGAAAACCAAACATCGTATGCACCAAAATCTCACAAATCACCACTAAAGAACTGACTCATGTAACCAAATACCTTCTGTACCCCAATAACTTATGGAAAATTTGTTTAAAAGTCACTTACTCAACTGCCTTACAATTTTTGTTCAGAATAATTGTGAGGTTAAATAACCTACTGCTGGAAAGCTTTGTATGGGTATAGCTATTCACATTAATTGGAGGACTCCAAGATATTTTTATTTCTGAGTTCATCTACAGGATAAACATGGGCCTTAACTAGACACATTAAATTTTTATTTTATTTAAATAGAAGTCAACAAACTTTCTTCCAAATTGCAAGGCAATCTGATTCATCTGAAGATAAGTACAATTTTTATCTTTAAAATATATTCTGGCCTCCCTGTGTTTTAGCTTGATCTTATTTTAACTATAAAATACCATTTATATACAGATGTTTTATTTTTTTCTGAAAAAATACAAAGGTTCTACTATAAATGCCTCTCAATTAACAGTAAGTTTATATGAAATTATTAGAACTCTTATGTTTATGTTAAATATATTAAATTTTGACTTTATGATAAGCATTAATATTCTATATATATAGTCCAAATAATGAGATTAATTTCTTTTTTTTTTAAGAGAAGTTGAATTATGCATTTCTTTTCTTTTTTTCTTCAACTTTTATTTTAAGTTCCAGGTACATGTGTAGGATGTGCAGGTTTGTTACATAGGTAAACATGTGCCATGGTGGTTTGCTGCACCAATCAACCCATCGCCTAGGTATTAAGCCCAGCATCCATTAGCTATTCTTCTTGATGCTCTCTGCACCCCCACCCCCTCTGACAGGTCCCAGTGTGTGTTGTGTTCCCCCATGTGTCCATGTGTTCTCATCCTTCAGCCCCCACTTACAAGGGAGAACGTGCAGTGTTTGGTTTTCTGTTCCTGCACTACCTTGCTGAGGATAATGGCTTCCAGTTCCTTCCATGTCCCTGCAAAGGACATTATCTCATTCCTTTTTATGGCTGCATAGTATTTCACGGTGTATATGTACCACATTTTCTTTATCCAGTCTATCATTGATTGGCATTTGGGTTGACTCTATGTATTTACTATTGTGTATAGTGCTGCTATAAACATACACATGCGTGTATCTTTATAATATAATGATTTATAGTCCTTTGGGTATATACCCAGTAATGGGATTGCTAGGTCAAATGATATTTCTGCTTCTAGATCTTTGAGGAATTGCCATGTTATCTGCCACAATGGTTGAGCTAATTTACACTCCCACCAACAGTGTAAAAGTGTTCCTTTTTCTGTGCAACCTTGCCAACCTCTATTGTTTCTTGACTTTTTAATAATTGCCCTCTGAATGGTGTGAGATGGTATCTCATTGTGGTTTTGATTTGCATTTATTTAATGATCAGTGATGTTGAGCTTTTTTCATATGTTTTTTGGCCACATGAGTGTCTTCTTTTAAGAAGTATCTGTTTGTGCCCTCTGCCCACTTTTTAAAAGGTTGTTTTTTACATCTAAATTTGTTTAGGTTTTTTGTAGACTCTAGATATTAGACCTTTCTCAGATGGATAGGTTGCAAAAATTTTCTCCCATTCTGTAGGTTGTCTATTCACTCTGATGACAGTTTCTTTTGCTCTGCAAAGCTCTTTAATGTAATTAAATCCCATTTGTCAATTTTTGCTTTTGTTGCAATTGCTTTTGGCATTTTTGTCATGAAATCTTTGCCCTTGCCTATGTTCTGAATGGAATTGCCTAGATTTTCCTCTAGGGTTTTTATAGTTTTGCATTTTACATTTAAGTCTTTAATTAATCTTGAGTTAATTTTTTGTATATGGTGTAAGTAAGGGGTCCAGTTTCAATTTTCTGTGTATGGCTAGCCAGTTTTTCCAGCACCATTTATGAAACGGAATCTTTTGCCCATTGCTTGTTTTTGTCAGGTTTGTCAAAGATCAGATGGTTGTAGGTGTGCGGTCTTATTTTTGAATTCTCTATTCTGTTACATTGGTCAGTATGTTTGTTTTTGTACCAGTACCATGCTGTTTTGATTACTGTAGTCTTGTAATATAGTTTGAAGTCAGATAGCGTGATGCCTCCAGCTTTGTTCTTTTTGTTTAGGATTGACTTGGCTATTTGAGCTCTTACTTGGTTCCATTTAAATTTTAAAATAGTTTTTTCCATCTGTGAAGAATGTCAATGATAGTTTAATGGAAATATCATTGAGTCTACAAATTACTTTTGGTAGTATGGCTATTTTCACGATACTGATTTATCCTATAAATGAGCATGGAATGTTGTTCCATTTGTCTGTGTCTTCTCTGATTTCCTTGAGCAGTGGTTTGTAGTTCTCCTTGAAGAAGTCCTGCACTTCCTTCATGAGCTGTATTCCTAGGTATTTATTTTCTGTTTGTAGCAATTGTGAATGGAAATTTATTCATGATTTGTCTCTCTTCTTGTCTGTTGCTGGTGTATAGGAATGCTCATGGCTTTTGCACATTGATTTTATATCATGACAATTTGCTGAAGTTGTTTGTCAGCTGAAGAAGCTTTTGGGGTGAGATAAGGGGGTTTTCTAGATATAGGGTCATGTCTTCTGCAAAAAAAGACAATTTGATTTCCTCTCTTCCTATTTGAATAACTTTATTTCTTTCTCTTGACTTATTGCCCTGGCCAGAACTTCCAATACTACTTTGAGTAGGAGTGGCGAGAGAGGGCATTTTTGTCTTGTGCCCATTATGAAGGGGAATGCTTCCGAGGGGAATGCTGTTTTGCCCATTCAGTATGATACTGGTTGTGAGTTTGTCATATATGGCTCTTATTATTTTGCAGTATGTTCCTTCAATATACCTAGTTCATTGAGAGTTTTTAACATGAGGGGATGTTGAATTTTACCAAAGGCCTTTTCTGTGTCTATTGAGATAATCTTGTGGTTTTTGTCTTTAGTACTGTTTATGTGATGAACTATATTTATTGATTTACATATGTTGAACCAACCTTGCACCCTAGGGATGAGGCCAACTTGATGGTGGATGAACTTTTGATGTGCTGCTGGATTCAGTTTGCCAGTATTTTATTGAGGATTTTTGCATCCATGTTCATCAGGGATATTGGCCTGAAGTTTTCTTTGTTGTATCTCTGCCAGGTTTGGGTATCAGGATAATGCTGACCTCATAGAATGAGTTAGGGAGGAGTCCCTCCTTTTCACTTGTTTGGAATACTTTCAAAAGAAATGGTACCAGTTCTTTATACCTCTGGTAGAATTCAGCTGTAAATCCATCTGGTCCTGGGATTTTTTGGTTGGTAGGCTGTTTATTACTGCCTCAATTTCATAACTCATTATTGGTCTATTTAGGGATTTAATTTCTTCCTTATTCAGTCTTGGTAGAGTGTATGCATTCAGGAATTTATCAATTTTTTTCTAGATTTTCTAGTTTATGTGCATGCAGGTGTTTATAGTATTCTCTAATGGTTATTTGTATTTCCGTAGGCTCAGTAGTGATATTTCCCTTATCATTTCTGATTGTGTCTCTTTGATTCTTCTCTCTTTTCTTCTTTATTAGTCTAGCCAGAGGTCTATCTATTTTATTATTTGTTTCAAAAAAAAAAAAAGCAGCTCCTGTACTCGATTTTTTTGAAGGGTTTTTCATGTCTCTATCTTCTTCACTTCCACTTTGATCCTAGTTATTTTTTGTCTTCTGCTAGCTTTGTTTGCTTGCTCTTGGTTCTCTAGTTCTTTTAGTTGTGATGTTATGTTGTTAATTTGAGATCTTTCTAGCTTTTTGATATGGGCATTTAGTGCTATAAATGTCCTTCTTAACACTGCCTTAGCTGTATCCCAGAGATTCTGCTGTGTTGTCTCTTTGTTCTCATTAGTCTCAAAAAACCTCTTGATTTCTGCATTAATTTTCTTATTCATCCAGGAGTCATTCAGGAGCAGGTTGTTCAATTGCCATGTAGTTGTGTGGATTTGAGTGAGTTTTTAAATCTTGAGTTCTAGTTTGATTGCACTGTGGTCTGAGAGACTGTTTGTTATGATTTCAGTTATTTTACATTTGCTGAGGAATGTTTTACTTCAGAATATGTCATCAATCTTAGAATAAGTGCCATGTGATGATGAGAAGAATGTTTATTTTATTGTTTTTGGGTGGAGAGTTCTGCAGATATCTCTCAGGTTCACTTGATCCAGAGCTGAGTTCAGGTCCTGAATATCTTTGTTAATTTTCTGTCTTGATGATGTGTCAATGGGTGTTAAAGTCTCCCAGTATTATTATGTGAAAGCCTAAGACTCTCTGTAGGTCTCTAAAAAATTGCTTTATGACTCTGGGTGCTCCTGTATTTGGTGCATATATATTTAGGATAGTTAGCTCCTCTTGTTGAATTGAACTCCTTACCATTATGTAATGCACTTCTTTGTCTTTTTTTGATGTTTGTTGGTTTAAAGTCTGTTTTGTCAGAAACTAGAATTGCAAACCCTGCATTTTTTTGTTTTCCATTTGCTTGGTAAATTTTCCTCCATCTCTTTATTTTGAGCCTATGTGTGTCTTTGCATGTGAAATGTGTCTCTTGAAGATAGCGTACCAATGGGTATTGACTCTATCTATCTTGCCATTCTGTGTCTTCTGTTTGGGGCATTTAGCCCATTTACATTTAAGGTTAATATTGTTATGTGGAATTTGTCCTGTTATCATGATGCTAGCTCATTATTTTGCAGATTTGTTTGCATAGTTGCTTCACAGTGTCATTAGTCAGGGTATTTTTGTAGTGACTGGTAACAGTTTTTCCTTTCCATATTTAGTGCTTCCTTCCAGGGCTCTTGCAAGGCAGTGCTGGTGGTGATGAATTCCCTCAGCATTTGCTTGTCTGAAAAGGATCTTACTTCTCTTTTGCTTATGAAGCTTGGTTTGGCCAGATATGAAATTCTGGGTTAGAAATTATTTTCTTTAAGAATGTTAAATATTGGCCCCTAATCTCTTCTGGCTTGTAGGGTTTCCACTGAGAGGTCCACTGTCAGTCTGATGGACTTCCCTTTGTAGGTGAGCTGGCCTTTCTCTCTGCCTGCTCTTTACATATATTTTTGTCATTTCAACCTTGGAGAATCTGATGATTATGTGTCTTGGAGTTGATCTTCTCATGGAGTATATTATTGGGGTCCTCTGAATTTCCTGAGTTTGAATGTTGTCCTGTCTTGCTAGGTTGGGGAAGTTCTCCTAGATGATATCCTGAAGTATGTTTTCAAACTTGGTCCCATTCCCCTGGTCTCTTTCAGGTACCATAATCATAGGTTTGGTCTTTTTACATAATCCCATATTTCTTGGGGGTTTTATTTGTTTCTTTTCATTCTTTTTTCTCAATTCTTATCTGCCTGTCATATTTCAGAAAGATAGCCTTCAAGCTCTGAGATTCTTTCCTCTGTTTTGTCTATTCTGCTATTGATCCTTGTGATTGCATTGTGAATGTCTCATGTTGTGTGTTTCGGTTCCATTAGGTCAATTATGCTCCTCTCTAAACTGGCTATTCTAGTTATTAGCTCCTTTATTGTTTTATCATGATTCTTAGCTTCTTTGCATTGGGTTAAAACATGTTCCTTTAACTCAATGATGTTCATTATCACCCACCTTCTGAAGCCTACTTCTGTCAGTTCAGCCATCTGAGCCTCAGACCAGTTCTGTGCCCTTACTGGAGAGGTGTTGCGGTAATTTGCAAGAGAAGAAGCATCCTGACTTTTTGAGTTTTCACCGTTTTTGCATTGATTCTTTCTCATCTTTGTGGGCTTATCTACCTTCAATCTTTGAAGTTGCTGACCTTTGAATGGGGATCTTTGTGGGATCTTTTGTTGTTGTTGATGTTATTGTTGTTGCTTTCTCTTTGTTTGTTTTTATTTTAATAGTCAGGCCACTTGTCTATAGGGTTGCTGCAGTTTTCTCCTTACCTGGAGGTATCATCAGTGAAGACTCCAAAACAGAAAAGATGTCAGCCTGCCCCTTCCTCTGGGAGCTCAGTCCCGGGGTGATGGGGGTGCGGGGCGGGCACTGACCTGATGCCAGCCCAAATGCTCCTGTAGGAGGTGTCTGGAGACTCCTGTTGACGGGTCTCACCCAGTCAGGAGGAATGGGATCAGGTACCTGCTTAAAGAAGCCATCTGGCTGACCATTGGCAGAGCCAGTGCACTGCAATGGGGTAAAGTCCAGACCACCCAGACTGTCTAGAACCAGAAGGTTGGGAGATTAATTTCTTAATATGATATTGAGTAGTAGCTATGAACATGGTCTCAGACTTAGGTTCTAGTCGGCATCTACTTTTTAACTGGATAGATCTTAGGCATTTATCTTAACTATGCTTCATATTTCTCATTTGTGAAATGGAAATTATAATGGTAACTAGAGTCATGTATTGCATAATGACATTCTGAGTAAGAATGAGCCATATATACTGTGGTGGTCCCATAAGATTATAATACTATATTTTTACTGTACCTCTTCTGTGTTTAGATATAGTTAGATAAAAAAAATTAAACATTGTGTTACAACTGCCTATAGTGTTCAGTATAGTAACATGCTGTATAGGTTTGTCACCTAGGAGCAATAAGCTATACATATAGCCTAGATGTGTAGTAGGCTATATTGTTGTGGCTTTTTGACTCTCATAGTTTGGTGGGAAGGAGTGTTACAGCTCTTTTACTCTTCCTGCCCACGGCTCAGTGAACAGGAATGTTACAGCTCTTTTGCTCCCATAGTTCAGTGAGTTATGGGTTCTTGTCCCGTGGCCAAGAGTAATAAGGTACGTGGACACTGGAGGCAGGGTAAGGCAGAGTAGAATTTACTGAATGAAAGAAAAGCTCTCAACAGCAAGAGGGGACCCCAAAGAGCGTAGCCGTCTATGAGGCTGAATCCAGGGTTTTATGAACTTAGAATGGGGGGAACGCATGCTGATTGATTTATGGGTGGGCTTGGAAAAGGGAGCATTTGATTGGCTAAAAGGCATCATTCAGAAAGAACCAATAGAGAGAGAGTAGGTAAGATGGAAATGGAAGTTCTCATTCTGGTCCGTGAATTCTATCTGTAACTGTTGCTTGGTTTTCAGGCTTTAGACTGTTCTTGGCTTGAAGGTTGAGTTTCACCAGGGACCCATCCATGTCTGCCTTGTCTGTTTCTTGTTGCTATCAATATCATCTAGGTTTGTGTATGTACACTCTATGATGTTCACACAAGGGCACAATTACCTAAAAGTGCATTTCTAAGAATGTGTCTTCATTGTTAAGTGATGTATAAGTATATTAAAAAGTTCTGTCAGAATTAAATGAACTAGTCAATGCAAATAAACATATTATCAAAGTTCTTGTCATATAGTAAAAGTTCAATAAATTTTAACTATTACTATTATAGCATAGATTAATTCCTTTCTACACTTCAACTGTGGAATAAATACTCTTTTTTTCAGTTTTCCTAGATCAACTTAATTTTAGACTCTGTGACCTGATTTCACTTCAGTGAAATTCAACTTCAAGTAGGAAAATTTTACTTCATCTAATTGTGGGGCTTCTCTCTACATCTGAGTTTTGCTATGATGCCAAGAACCCAGAATTTTTGGTAGTATCAAAAATGACGTAGAGAAGATTATGTGGTTACCCATCATCTGTCCACATCAGTTAACAATGAGGCACCCATTTTCCCATCTTGTAGTGTCCCTTCATATCCTTTGCTGTATTTTGACCTGTTCCAGGCAGAATAATCTTTGGCAAGTCTTGGATTCCCAGGCCTCATTCACTCTCTGATGAACACTAGGGTAAATGTTTATTCCAGGCTCTGGGCACCACCTCCAACCTGTGACTTCCATAGCCCTCTCTCCCTCCTTCTTCAATCTTGGAAACTTCCTAAATCAAACAAAGAAACAAAAACCTGTTAACAGCTTTGAATGAAGAAACAGAAAAAAAAATTTCAGGGAGAAGCATAGATTTGATATTTTTAGAAAGTCTTTCAATAATATTTAAAATATACTTAATATATTCTAAAGATATTTAAAATATACTTTAGAGAAACTGTACCCTTTGACCATGCCCTCACCTACTTAGCACCCCTGTTTTTTTCTTTATAGTTAGATACTTAGTGATATATTTTCCCATGGCATGTAAAAGATATTGAAAACTCATCCATGAGGGAATATTATGTGACTCTTCTGTTACTGTCCTTGCCTTAGCTCTTACTGTATTCTGTCTCCCACTCCACCCACCTCATATTGAAGAGGAATTAGGTGGAATCACCATTTTTACAAATAAACATTAAATTCTGTACTTCCTCATTTCCTTCATTTTCATGGCAGAGTCCCAACAGTACCCATGTGAAACAGGCAGACCTCATATCAGGTGCAGAAAACAAGAGAGAGTGGTGCTTGATGTAAGAAAAAAATACTGGTTACGCTACCCAACAAGATATCTTTAAATAACTACATTTAAATAAATGGCCTTATTTAATTTGAGTATTAAATGACACTGGGATACACTGATGATTTCTGGCTGTTGAAACCAGGTTCCAGAATATACTTCAAATTTTCCAAATTTGAGAAAAATTGTCAATATAGGTTGTAGTACATTAGCTCTGAAAAAAGCATACCTTTATTCCACCATGGGAAGAAGTATAAGGGGCCCAGGGAAAGAATTCAGATATTATACCGTTAAAGTTAAGAAAGGGTAAAGTTTCATATTAATGTGTCATTCTTGTTATTTGAAGAATTTTGCCTTTGAGGTGACTATATTAATAATAAAAGTTTGCTTTTTATTTATTTATATGGGGGCTCACAATTTGCAAATTTATTTCATTACTTTTATCATTTGATCTTTGGAACAACTCTATGAGATAGGCAGAGAAAGTATTAAAATTATTTATTACCAGATGAGAAAACCCAGGCTTAGAGAAGCTTGATCAGAGAAGAGCTGCTCAAGGTTATATAGAGAGATTCTAAGTGCTGGGCCCAGAACCTCAAATCTGGCCTTTTGATTCAAATCCAGTGCTCATTTCATTTATAATCTGAAGACAGGTAACAAATCTCAGGTGGCAAATAGCATCCACTTTGCATGCCAACCCTGATAAATTGGAAAGTGTGCTTGAGATGAGTCCTGAAGGACATACAGGACATAGTCAGGTGCACCTAGGGCATTTCAGGTGAAGATGCCCATATAGATACAGGCCCAGTGATAGAAGACTACATATGACATTTAAGGATCTCCAAGTGTTTCTCTTTAAACTCAAAATGCTTCTTATTTTAATATTGTTTTCTTTGCCTTCTGACTCTTCAATGGAAAATCCTCCTTGATTATGCCAAGCTCCTTTGAGCCTCACCATGGCTCACTACAGCTGAGTCTCCACAGTCATGTCAGGCCTCTGGATCATTTATTCAGAGTTACTGCCAGGTTAACCCAGTGGCAGTTAATTGATGTGTCTTTCTAGATGTTTGTTCTGGATAATTAGAGAAAGACTTCATCATGCCCAGTGTCTGACTATGAAATATTTTCTGATTCTATACCAACATTACGAACAGAATAAACAATCTACCTTGGTAATGAGGTTCAAAACGTTGCGATTTAATTAAAAGATTTTGGAGATTTTAAAAAACATTTTCATTTAGTAATTTATGATAGTTATGGCTCTGATGAAAATTAACATAATAATTATTATAGCCAAAATTATTTTGCCTTTGCTATGTTTCATAAACTGTCTTAATCACTTTACAAGAACTGCTATATTACTTGTAATCCTTACAATAGCACACTTATCTCCATTTTATAAATGAGGTAAATGAAGCCTAGAGATGTGAGTAACTTGATAAAGTCACAGAATCATTAAGAGATGGAACAGGTTTGCAAACTCATGTCTTCTTGTTCCCAGATATGAGTGCTTTAACTCTCACCCTTTTTTTTAATCACAGCTGCTCAGCTTTGAAGGTAAAATGAGGAAAGCAGAGAGAAAAAAGAAAATCACCTTAAAATATACAGATATTTTAAAAAATAGAAAGTCTTTGCTCAGTATGCTTGTGTGATGCATATTACTTATTATCACATGTAAACATGTCAATTTGGTTTCATTATATTCAGACTATTTTTTTCATTATTTCTTCCAGCAACCTTGCTTTTAATAATCCCACTTTATATTCTGACTCAAGAGTTTTTCTGAAATTCTGTGCCCAAATCAATTTTTTAGGCCTTATTTGCCGTAAGGACACTCTGAATCTGGCTTGATTTTTGGTAAAAAAACAAAACAAAACAAAAAAACAAAAACAAACAAACAAAAAAATGCTGGACTCCAGAAGCATATGTACTCAGACTCCCTTTGGCTTTTTTTAATGCTTGATGTTGTTTTCATACCAATATCTATTGATTGGTTTTCCGACCAATAGCTGATTTCCTTGGATTTCCAGAATATTGCTTTAAAGAACATTACCAGTATGGCAAATTTTCTGGTCAGCATTCAGACTTGTTCCTCCTGTGAATATCTTCCACTGCATGTGAAGTCAGCCTGAGTCAGGAAGATGTATCCAAGAGCTACAGTGATTAAGAATCACTGACAAATCTACCTCTGCTAAGACAGAAAGCAAGAGTTCCAATGGATGATTACCAGATGCTTATTTTGGCTATGTTCTAATCTTGATAAGCAGAAAGTTGCTCAACATAATATAATCACTTGCCTCATATTACTTGTCATGGAATAAACATACTGATTGCTTTGGAGTATTAGATATGATATAAGTGAAGTGCTTACCAGAGTACCTATCACAAAGTATATGTGATAAAAAATACACTGCATTCTCTTTCATTATTTCTTTAATAAAACCATGTGAATCATTACTTTCCTTTTTGGGAAACTCGTGCAGTGTCTTTCATGCAGAGACTATTAAAAATACCGTCCTGTTTTGCTCCTCTCTTTGGGCCTATCAAATGGTTCAGTCTTGACTTCTATCAATTTCAACATTATCATGCAATTTTAATAAACTATACTTTGGAGTGCTTCATGAAAATAGGTTATTATAAGGTAGATATATACCATATGTAGTGATGTTAACTTCCTCTTGACCTGAGAACTACTTTGTACCTTAATTTTTAAGAGTAGAGTCATGAACACTAAGAAAGGCATTGATAAAGGAAATAAAAATGCATTCTTTCCGAATTGCTAATTTTGGTCTAGGGCATAACCAACAAGCAATTTTCCAAGTGTTTATTAAATCAAGCAAGACAGTGTTTTTCACATGTCTTAGTGCTTCTAGAATCAAATCAATTCAAAATAGGTGAGGAAGGGAAGTGTGTAAATCACAATTTACATTGAGAAATTGATTCCTTTCCCCAAATGAAACCATGCTCCCTGTCAGAGTGCAGGAACATCAAAGCAACTATGAACAATGAAAATAAAATAGGGGTTTTGAAATGAAAACTGAACCTTTAATGCTTTGCTTATGGTGTACAGGATGTTATTTCAGGGTAAAAACAGCCTCCTTTTAAAATTTTTTCACATCGGAATAAATTAATGATTCTATTAATGTTCATTGTTCTTTAGAATGACCCAATGTTTGTATTTTCTTACTGTGTAATCTTTCATAGATTTTTAAGTCTGTTAAAGGAAAATCAAGAAGTTTTTGGTTTTCGTTTTGTTGTTTGGTTTGGATATTTTACAATAAAAATGCCTAACTAATCTTATGGGGATACAGACTCACTGATTTTAGCCAAGCCGAAGGCTTTGTTATGAAGTTTGTGGCCCAGAATAGTCAAGTGTGGTCTTTACAGGCTTATGCCTTTTTGATTTGACCCTCTGATGTATAATTTATAAATAAGTTGTGTAATCTAAATTCCAAATGAAGACTGGATAATTATACCCAGTCATCATTCTTGTTCCTAAGTTGCAGCTTAAGTATGAGAGTTCAAGAAAAATTATGTTATATATTATGATATTTTATGTGATGAAAAATGATTCAAGTACTTTATATTAAAAAAATTAGTTTCCCTGTTTTCTTTTGGTGAAATGAGTCTTCTATGAGGTGTGACCACAATGGTAAAAGTAAGGCGCTGTGCATTAAAGGTCATATTACTAATTTTGGCACATTTACTTGTTAATCTGTATTAGTAAAAAAAAAAAATCCAGTCTTTAGTTGAATGGGTTTTGGACAATAAAATGGACTTTCATATAAAACTTTATATGCTATATTAAGTTGGTGTGTCTAGGTGTGAGTATAAACAAGCAAAAAGAATTTTTCAATAGTTAAAGTGGCATTTGAAAATATTATAAGAGGGCTTACAGGAATTATGGGAAATCATAATAAGATTATACCTTCACATACTAGAAGTTTCAGAAGAAGAAAAGGGAAAAGGGCCAGGAAGGATTGGTTGAAAATTTCCCTAATCTGTGGATAGATGCCAACAACCAGGTAGAAGAACCACATAGCTCTCCAATAAAATCCAAGCCAAAGAGGAGTACATGAAGACACATAATAATCAAGCTAACAAAATCAAAAACAAAGAAAAAATTCTGACAGCAGCACAAGATAAGAAACACATCACATACAAAGGTGTACCAATGCAATTGTCAATGGATTTCTCAGCAGAAACCCTGCAGGCCAGGAGAGAGGGATGATATATTCAAAGTGCTGACAAAAAAATCCTGCTAAGCAATAATAGTTTTCCCAGCAAAACTATCTTGCAGAAATCAGGGAGAAGTGAAAGCTTTCCCAGAAAAACAAAAGCTAAGGGAGTTCATCACTGCTATACTTGCTTTATAGAAATTGCTAAAGGGAGTTCTTTAAGCTGAAACAAAAATATAATAATAACATGAAACTACAAAAGCACAAAACTGAAAGTATAAGTAAAACAGGGCTATATTCAGAATACTCTAGGGATATAATAATGAGGTGTAAGGCAATTTTATCTCCAGTGTGAGGGTTAAAAGACAAAACTATGTGGTTAGCTATAGATATTATAGCTAATAAGAACAATAATAATATCTATAGCTATAATAAATTGTCAAGAAATACACACTGCAAAATCACAAACTCTAATGTCAAAAACATAAAATGTCAAAAGAGGAATAAAGTGTAGAGTGGTTGTATGCAAAGTTAAGTTGCTATTAGCTTGAAATAGTGTAAGAAATTCTATGCAAGCCTTATGGTATCCACAAAGAAAAATCCTTAGTAGAAGTACAAAGCAAAAATGAAGGGATTCAAAGCATATAACTACTTTGAACCTTCAAACCACAAAGGAAGACAGCAAGCAAGAAAGAAAGATACGAAGTATCTACCAAAAAGAAAAAGAAACAAACAAAAAACAGAAAACAACTAACAAACTGGTAGTAGTAAGTCCTTACATATCAATAATTACTTTCTATGTAAACAAATTAAATTCTTTAATAAAACATGGTAGAGTGACTGAATGGATAAAAAAATAAGACCCAACTATATGCTGCCTAGAAGAGACTTGTGTCAGCTTGAAAGACACATAGACTAAAAGGAAAGGGATGGAAAAAGCTATTCTATACAAATAAAAACCAAAAGAGAGCAGAGGTAGCTATATTTATATCAGACAAAAATAGACTTTAAGTCAAGAACTATAAAAAATGACAAAGAAGGACATTATATCATTATAAAGGGATCAGTTCTTCAAAAAGATACGACAATTGTAAATATATATGCACCCAACATCAGAGCACCTACATATATAAAAACAAATATTAAAGGATCTGAAGGGAGAAGAGGACTGCGCTATAGTAGATGCCTTTCAACAATAAACAGATGGCTGAGACAAAATATTAATATGAAAACATTGGACTTGAACAACACGCTAGACCAAATGTACCTAACTGACATTTACAGAACATTCCATTCAGCCGCAACAGAATACACATTCTTCTCAAGCACACACAGATAATTCTTCAGGATTAATCACATGTTAGGGCACAAAACAAGATTCAGCAAATTTAAGAAGATTGAAGTTATATCAAGTATCTTTTCCAACCACAATAGCATGAAACTAGAAACCAACAACAGAGGAATTTGAGAAAATTCACAAACACGTGAAAATCAAACAACATGCTCCTGAATGAACAGTGGGTCAATAAAGAAATTAATACAGATATTTAAAAATATCTGAGACAAACAAAAATGGAAACAGAACATATCCAAACTTACAGGATGCAACAAAAGCAATTCTAAGAACAAAATTTATAGCAATAAATGCCTACATCAAAAAAGAAGATCTCAAATTAACAACCTAATATTGTATCTCAAATAACCAGAAAAAAAGAAACTAATCCCAAAGTTAACAGAAGGAAGAAAATAAAGACCAGAGAAGAAATAAATGAATTAGAAACTTGAAAAACAATACAATGAAACAACAACAACAAAAAAACTACAGTTTTTTTTTTGTAAAGATAACAAAACTGGCAAACCTTTAGCTAGACTAAGAAAAGACTCAGTAAATAAGATCAGAAATAAAACAGGAAACATTACAACTGATGCCACAGGAATGCAAAGAACCATAAGAGCCTACTATGAACAACTATTTGCCAACAAATTGAATAACTTAGAAGAAATGGATACATTCCTAGACAAATGCAACCTACCAAAACTGAATCATAAAGAAATAGAATATCTGAGCAGAACAATAATGAATAAGAAGATTGAATCTGTGATAAAATGTCTCTCATTGAAGAAAAGCTCAGAACCTAATGGCTTCACAGCTGAATTCTATCAAACATTTTTAAGAACTAATATCTATCCTTTTCAAACTGTTCCAAAAAAAAAAGGAAAAAAATATTTCCAAACTCTTTTTACAAGGCCAGAATTACCCTGATATCAAAACCAGACAAGGGCATTACAAGAAAAGAAAATTACAGTCCAATATTTTTGATGAACATAGATGCAAAAATCTTCAACAAAATACAAAAAAAAACCCCGCAAACTCTACAACACATTAAAAGGATCATTCACCATGATCAAGTACAATTTATCCCTGAGATACAAGTATGGCTCAAAATATGCAAATGAATTGGTGTGATACAGTACATTAAGAGAACAAATGACAATAATATGCCCATATGATCATCTCATCTGATGCAGAAAAGCATTTGACAAAATTAAACATCTTTTCATGATAGAAACTCTCACCAAATTAGGTATAGAAGGAATGTATCTCAACACAATAAAGGCCATCTATGAGAAGCCCACAGCTAATATTACACTCAGTGGTGAAAAGTTTAGACTTCCTTTAAATCTGGAAAACAAGGAGGATGCCCACTGTTACACTTCTATTCAACATAGTATTGGAAGTCCTTCTCGGACCAAGTAGGCCACAGAAAGAAATAAAATGCATTTAAATAGGAAAGAAGGAAGTGAAATTGTCACTGTTTGCTAATGATATGATCTTATATTTAGAAAACCCTACAGACTCCACCAAAAACTTGTCAGTGCTAATAAATGAATACAATAAAGTTGCAGGTTACAAAATCAACACACAAAAAATCAGTACTGATTCTATACACTAACAACAAACTATCTGAAAAAGAAACCAAAAGCACAATTCCATTTATAATAACTACAAAAATAAAATACTTAGGAATAAATTTAAACAGGAAGGTGAGGGAAGTGTACACTGAAAACTGTAAAACATTGATGAATGAAATTGAAGAAAACACAGATAAAGGGGAAGATACCCCATGTTCATGGATTGGAATAATTAATATTATTGGAAAAATTAATAATATCAATCTTTCATACTATCCAAATCCATACTGCCAAATTCATAGTAATCCATACTACTCAAAGCAATCCACAAACTCAATGCAATCTCTATCAAAATATCAGTGCTATCCAATGTCATAGAAATAGAAAAAATAATACTGAAATTCACATGAAACCACAAAAAAATCCTAAATAGCTGAGGCAATTATGAAGAAACAGAACAAAGCTGGAGGTATCAAACTATCTGATTTTAAAGTATATTACAAAGCAATAATAACTAAAATAGTGTGGTATTAGCCAAATAAAAAGACACATTGACCAATGAAACAGAATAGAAGGCCAAGAAGTCAACTTACATATATATAGTTAGCTGATTTTTGACAAATGTGCTAAGAATACACAATGGAAAAAGGACAGTCTCCTCAATAAATTGTGTTGGGAAAAGCAGACTTCCAAGCGCAGTAAAATGAAATTGGATTGCTGTTGCATGCCATATAGAAATCAACTCAAAATGGATTAAAGAATTGAACATAAAACCAGATACTCTGAGACTAAAAGAAGAAAACCTAGAAAAAAACTGTATAACATTGATCTGGACAATTATTTCTTTTATTTGACCACAAAAATACAGGCAATGAAAGTTAAAATAGACAAATGTGATTTCATCAAATTAAAAAGTTTCTGCACAGCAAAAGAAACAATTAACATTGTGCAGCAACAACCTACAACGTGAGAGAAAATATTTGCAAGTCACACATCCGATAAGGAGTTAATATCTAAAATATGTAAGGAGCTTAAACAATGGCAAGAAAACAACCCAATTAAAAATGGGAAAGGGGCCTGAACAGACATTTCTCAAAAGAAGACATACAAATGTCAAATAGATATATGGAAAAAATGTTCAACATCACTAATCATTAGGAATATGCAAATTAAAATCAACTGAGATATCTCACACCTGTCAGAATGTTTTTTTTTATAAATAAGATGAAAGATAAGTGTTGGCGAGAATGCAGAGTAAAGGGAACCCTTATACAGTGTTGGTGGAAATGTAAATTTATAGAGCCATTATGAACAGTACGGAAGTTCCCCAAAAAACTAAAAATAGAATTACTGTATGACCCAGCAATTCCACTTCTGGGTATTTACCAAAAAGATTTAAACTCAGGCTGTCAAAAGATGACTGCATTCTCTTGTTCATCGCAGCAGTATTCACAATAAGCCAAATTATGGAGTCAACCTAAGTGTCCAATAACAGATAAATGTGTAAAGAAAAAGTGGTACATCTACACAATGGAATACTATTCAGCCCTAAAAGAGAATGAAAGTATGTCAGGTGCAACAACATGGATGAAATTGGAGAACATTATGCTAATTGCAATAAATCAGGCATGGAAAGACAAATACATGTTCTCACATATATATATGGAACCTAAACCAATTGAACTCATAGAAGCAAAAAGTAGAATCATGGTTACAGAGGGTGAGGAGGTGGGGGAAATAAAAAAATGATGGTCAAAGGGCACAACATTTCAAACAGGAGAAATAACATCTTTTTTTCCCAAGATGGAGTTTCACTCTGTCATCCAGGCTGGAGGGCAGTGGCCTGATCTTGGCTCACTGCAACCTCCATCTCCTCAGTTCAAGCAATTCTTCTACCTCAGCCTCCTGCGTAGCTGGGATTAAAGGCACATGCCACTATACGTTTCAAAATTGCTAAGAGAGTAAATTTTAAATATTCTCGCCATGAAATATGTTAAGTATTTGAAGCAACGGATATGTTAACCTAGCATGATTTAATTACTGTACATTGTGTTCATAAATTATAACATCATTTTGTATCCTATATATTTATACAATTATGGTCAGTTTACAATAAAAAAGATGCAAATATATATTCATTGAACATTGATAAAAGGCACTATATCATAAAAGAAGAATACTGTTTTCTCATGATAATCCAGGTATGTATGTGTTATTTTGTTTTGTTTTAGTGTGTTCATTGAAAGTACTTCTGTTGTCAAGAACATTCACGTGTGAGTCTGTGTACTGTTTTGAGTATCTTCCATTTTTCTCCCAGATATGCTCTCTACACTGTTCTGTGCCCAGTGAGACCACCTGTGTGGTGTGCATCCATGAACTCCCTTACCCTCTAGTTTCCTGGTTGGTTAAGCAAATGAGGAGCATCAGAAAGAGGGAGGGAGTAGAGTGAGTTTCTCTGGCTTCCTCATTATGGCTTTGCCAAGGGCTGTAGCAGCTCCTGCCAGGCAGTCCTCTTCTCATAGCGCTCTCTCTCCATTTCCATTATTGTAGCCTCTTTTTTCTTTTTTACTGGAGAACTATAAATACTGAGACTATCCACTGTTACTAGACCCAGGTGTTGCACTGATACACATTTTCCTTCACAAGGTAATAGAAGAAACCCATGCGTCTTCTAATGGCAAGTGTTCTTAGGTCTACTACAGTGAAACAGAACACTCACGCAAGTCAAGCGAAGCAAATTTACTCCTCACAAATAGGCAGAGGATAAACAGAAGCCTAGAAGCCATGGCAAGCAAGTCCCCCTATGTTTAGGAAAGCTGCTCAGGGAGTATGGAGTCTTGTCTGCCCATACCCCATATTGCACCAATGCTGAGAGACCCTGGAAGTGCTCCACTCTGGGTTTTACACCCTGGGCACAACTTGAATTGCTAGGCACAAGTGTTGCAGAACATCCTTTTCTGGAAGAAATGAGAATATAGTCTGGGATGTTCTGGATATTTCCTTCTTATCTTAGGGTATTGCATTCTCAATGCATTCTGCTTGAGAACTGAAAGCAAGAAGGGCAAGATCTGGGTTGGTCAAGTTCATCTAGGGACATTCCCTCGTACATGAATCCATCTCCATAAACCTGGCAGTTCTTTGACTCCAGGCAACTAATGAACATTCATTTTAGGATTCTCTTCCTCATCTCAATGACCACACCCCTCTTTGGCATTGATGTTCTCTCCTAGAAGTTTTAGTTTCATGGATATTGGTTTGCTTTAGTTCTTTGTTGATGAATTGAGATCCAGCATAAATACATCCTCTTCCATAAAGCCTTATTCACAGTTCTGCCACATTATGCTCCTAATCAGGATCAGGTCTTCCTCTTGGCATTGTATTGGCTCTTTGTTTAAAACACCGCTAAGGAGCATTCTCATCCATTAGCATACCAGAGTCATGTTTTTTTTTTTTTTTTTTTTTTTTGAGACGGAGTCTCGCTCTGTCGCCCAGGCCGGACTGCGGACTGCAGTGGCGCAATCTCGGCTCACTGCAAGCTCCGCCTCCCGGGTTCACGCCATTCTCCTGCCTCAGCCTCCCGAGTAGCTGGGACTACAGGCGCCCGCCACCGCGCCCGGCTAATTTTTTGTATTTTTAGTAGAGACGGGGTTTCACCTTGTTAGCCAGGATGGTCTCGATCTCCTGACCTCATGATCCACCCGCCTCGGCCTCCCAAAGTGCTGGGATTACAGGCGTGAGCCACCGCGCCCGGCCCAGAGTCATGTTTTTAAATATAGGTTTCTTGAAAGCAAAGACTTTCAATAACCATTTATCAAATATCAGACAAGGGGCTCTGCTAGATGCATTGGAAGGAGGATATGAAAAAAGAATACAAGTTAGTAATCAGATTCACAGTTTCTACCAACTTGCTCTAAAAAGAAGCCTGCCAGTAGAACTTAGGTTCTTTGGTAGTAATTTTCTCCAAACACAAGTGTAAAACATTACTATATCACTCCTCTGGCCAGCAAACAAAACTCATAAACAACCTTTGATGTCTTTCCCTGTTTTCAAAGTAAAATTTAAACTTCTGAGTATCATATGGAAGTACTCAAAGAATGGGACTCCAGGCAATGAAGGTTTAGTTTTCATTCTGCCATGTGACTACTTCTAACACTGCACCTCATTGGATTGCTCAGCACTCCACTTCATGCCCCATGCCTCTGAGGTGGCACACTTTTCTTTTGCTTATCTTTTCCTTTACCATCATTTCCATCTGTTAGAGGAAGGGTTTTCCTGCAGGAACCAGGAGCCAGACCAAATGCCAATGTTCCCACCAAATCTTTCCAACTCCAATGAATGGCAATATGTTACTGGAGTTTGCCTTCTACCAACACCCATGGTGTGCTGTACATTTTTCCCATTAGATTCTAACTTCTTAGGTGAAGGAATCAAACTTATTCATACCTGTAGTCTGATGGTGTCTAGTAGAGGGCCTCCTTTGTACATGTATTTTGAACTCAGTAAGTATGTCTAAAGTGAAATGACTTACTGATGCTGTAACTAAACTAGAGCCACCATTCTTCAGATGATAGCAGTAAGTTAGCTGCACAGCATGAAGGGTAATATAAAGTTAGTTAAATTTGCAAGTTTTAGCCTTATTAGCTTTTATTTAAATTAAAAACTTCATTATTTTAGTTTCCGCCTCTGGCACAAGACTATGTTTGGCTTCCATTTCTTCTCTTTCCACATAGAATTACTCTTAAAAACTGCAAAAGACAAGTTATACAAGGTTATCTGTTTTACTCCTTTTGAGTTTGCCTTGCACCTTTAAAAATATGTCTTTCAAAACTTATTGGCCTGCTTTTTAAAATAATTATATAATTAAGCAAAATATGAAAAAATACATACTTGACCAAGATGCAAATATCCATGATTTATAAAATAAAGAATTGGCTTTGGTCCAATTATTAAATCTTAAAAGTATTAAAGGGGCTTTTTTGAAACATCTAAGGATGTTCTTTTTTTTTTCAAAAATAAATCTCCAAAGCTACCTATGGATTTATTGAAATATTTATGATGAAACGAATCCAGAAGCTTTATGTTGGTGGCATCAGAAAGAGGCTGAGTGATAGGCATGATCTGATTCTTAGGGTGAATTATTAAAAATATATTCTTCTTTACAGATCAAGAATTGAAAGATCAATCAGCACAGTTCAAAAGTTGAAAGAGATTAGATAAAAGATGGGTTGTGCAGAAGAACCCAAGGAAGAGATGAAACAACTGGTGAGTTGGTCACTAAATTTCATTGCATGATGTATGAGTAAGAGAGAACTTACATTTTCTAGAGACTATTCCTGTATGTGATTAGTGGCAAATATGAAGTTTTATATTTGTCCTGTATAAATAAAATATTCACTTAATACTGCTACTTCTAATAAAATAAGTATATACAATTTTTGAGCATTTATCAAAGGCCACATGTATTATTTTATTTAATCCACATAAGATCCCCTTGAGGAAGACACTGCTATTTCTCCTATCATACAAAAGAGAAAACAGAAGGAGAAAAATTTCATAATTTGCCTAAAGTCAAACAGAGAGTAAGTGTCAGAGAAAGGATTCAATTATAGATATGTCTGACTTTGAGGTCTCAATTATTCTATATCCTGGCTCCCTTATTTCAGATACAATATGTAAATGAAAATTAAAACCTTGCCTAGAGTACTCTGATAAGAATTTAAATGTACCCCCTAGGCTTTGTATCTATGTATCACATGTCCTATAGTTGTGATATTCTCTGATTATTCACTAACCCATTCCATAAATATTGTTAGGTAAATATCACAAACCATGTGAACCCAAGCAACAGGAGATACAACACTGAAAAAATTATAGTTTTCCACTCAAGCAGCTCCTCATTTAGGAAGGGATATAGGTAAGTTAATATGTGGTTGTGACATTGCAGATAAATTACAGTATAAAGATAAGTACAGGAAACCCAAAGGGGCCATCCAGCCCAGACTTGTCTCTGTGTGTGTTTGTAGAGGGGCATCAGATAAAGCTTCGTGAGGGAATGTCATCCAAGTTGAGATCTGAAGGATAAGAGTTGAAAGTTACCTGAGTAAAGGGAAAGAGATCCAAGCAGAAAGATGAGCCATCACAGAGGCACGGAGTTGAGAAAGGATTAAGCATTCAGATAACAGCACTTCGGAGTGGCCTGGCCTATAACTCTCAAAGGCAGACAGGGTAGAACGTGGCCTTCCATGTCACTCAGTTCACACCATTGATCCCAAGTATGGAAGATGCTGCCTCTCAAACCAAAAGATATCTACCTGGATATTTCATTTTGTTTTTAGTGATAGGAAGGGCAATATATCCCAAACTACTGTAGACCACTGAATCTTTATAATTTTCACTGGGCCCCTTATTAAATAGAGTTTATTTCTCAGGATCTGTAGAGTATGAGTCCTATTAAGACCTCTGATATAGTTACTAATTCTTGCTTAACTTATCTAGTTAATTGATGTCAATGGTAAAGTGAACCATTGTGACAACCTGTGAAAAGTCAAGATAGTCAGATCCCTTCAAACTCTATTATGACAGAGGCTGGGTGTGGTGGCTCATGCCTGTAATCCGAGAACTTTGGGAGGCCAAGGCAAGTGTATCAGTTGAGGTCAGGAGCTAGAGATCAGCACAGCAAACATGGCGAAACCATGTCTCTACTAAAAATACAAAAATTAGCCGGGCATCGTAGCCCCGCCTGTAGTCCCTGCTACTTAGGATGCAGAGATGGGAGGATCGCTTGAGCCCAGGAGGCAGAGGTTGCAGTGAGCTGAGATTGCACCACTGCACTCAGCCTGGATGACAGCATGAGATCCTGAAAAAAAAAAAAAAGAAGAAAAGCAAGAAAGGAGAGAAAAAGAGAGAAAAAAAGAAAGAAAAAAAGAAAAGGAAGGAAGAAAAGAAGGAAAGAAGGAAGGAGGGGGGAAGGAAGGAAGAAAGAAAGGAAGGAAGGAAGGAAGAAAGGAAGAAAGAAAGGAAGGAAGGAATTCCATAGAAATGTGTCTACCATTGAGGCAAAGTACTTTGAGAAAATAAAGAGGATGGAGGAATAGGGATTTCTTCTACATTTTTCAGGCCAGAGCAGTCTTTTTCCCAGTTAATTTGGCCAGAGAAACAGGCTGGTGAACGTGGCGAAACTCCATCTCTACTGAAAATACAAAAATTGTCCAGGTGTGGTGGCACACACATGTAGTCCCAGCTACTCGGAAGGCTGAGGCAGGAGAATCGCTTGAACCTGGGGTGGAGGTTGCAGTGAGCTGAGATGGTGCCACTGCACTCCAGCCTGGGCGACAGAGTGAGGCTCTGTCTCAAAAGATAAAAACAAACAAACAACCCCCACCAGCATAAAATCCCAAAACTCTACTATGACAGAACAAGGGAAATTAACAAGCCCAGAGTTAGACCATAAATGTATATTGTTGCAGTATTGGGGGATACATGAATGCAAACTGGCCACATGTTATAAAACTAAGGCTATTCTAATCTGTTCTAGCAAAGATACTAACACAGCTGCTGCAAGTGGGGCAATTACTTGACTGAATTTGTGTTAATATGTTGTCATTCTCCAGGATTCATCTGGTTTTTTTGTGGTTATTGTGATGAATTAAATGGGATATGATTGGGACTACCATCTCTGAAACCTTTAGGTTCTAAGGGTCACACTAAACTCTGATATTCTCTCCAGAATGCAATCTTGTTTTTAACTTCTGTTTTGGCTTAGGTGGGGATGGAAGCAGTTTTAGAGGCTTCCCTTGGTCCTCTCTACTATGGTACAATTTATCCACAGTCCAAATAATCCATGTGAGTAATCTGCCTACTACAAAATGTGTCTATTCCACTCCTAGCTTGAATACTTGGAAACTGGCCACTTAGGTTTGTCTGTGGAAAATGTGGACCTACTGCCAGGTGGTCCTGGGCTAAGTATCTATTTATTACCTGGCCATACCCATATCCCTGCATCCTAACAAAGGGAGTAATATGGATCACCAGAGATCATTGTCAACTAGAACCTTGCATCTAACAGTGTCTAAATATCTGTGTATCTCCATTTTCACAGTATATGGTTACTTAAGGAAATCATCACAGTAGCTTTGGAGAAGTTCTGGTGAACTGTCACCAGAAACATTGGCATAATGTTGCAGGTTACTTCCACTGCAGCCTGTCCTCTTAATGGGTGCTGGATCTGAATACCGGCAAATCCAGAAACTAGGCAAAAGATCATGACTTTTTTATTATAGCAGCTTCCCTCAGCCTCCTAAGAATGCAATCTTGACTTCTTTTAATTATTTAGATTGAGAATACCCTTGTTAGTTGCTCATCTTCATTGCCCTTGCATATACCATATTTTATAATCATCTCCATAGCTTTCTCTAAGTCAGCACTACCTCCTACCCACTGCCACTTCAATTTGCTGCTCACTAAGATAACTATACCCATTACTCTGATAGTTAAACACTTCCATCTGCCTCTATTATTATTATCTTAGTCCTATAATCTCCATTATTATCATGAAGGCCTATCCTGAAATAACATATTCTATGGTCAGTTCTGATCTAGATGGCTATCACTGAGATTCTTGGAATATTCCTTATTGTTTTGATAAATGGAGTGTCTTCTAGGACTCCCTGTGCAATATAATTGGCAAGTAGTATTTCCATCCTTAGGTGTGTAACTCTTACCATACTCATTCCTCTGACCTTTTAGCCACTTCTTCCACCACCTTTCATGCTAATTCTTGCATTTCTACTTCACTTTGTATTTGTCATCACTTTCTCCAAGTTTCCTAGAGCCATTCCGGTAGGGTTTTGGTATACCCTTCCAGGGTCCTTACCAAGGTATTAAATCCAGTATCAAGGAAGAATACTCTCATATTGATAAACTCTCTCTCTCTTTTTTTTTTTTTTTTTTTTTTGAGATGGAGTCTCTCTCTGTTACCCAGGCTGGAGTGTAATGGCGTGATCTCGGCTCCCTGCAACCTCTGCCTCCTGCGTTCAAGCGATTCTCCTGCCTCAGCCTCCCAAGTAGCTAGGATTACAGGCGCCCACAACCACGCCCAGCTAATTTTTGTATTTTTTAGTAGCGATGTGGTTTTGCCATGTTTGCCAGGCTGGCCTTGAACTCCTGACCTCAGATGATCCGCCCACCTCGACCTCCCAAAGTGCTGGGATTACAGGCGTGAGCCACCGTGCCCAGCTTGATAAACTCTCTCTTCTTAAACTCTGTGGTCTAATACCTACTTTCTGGACACCATACATACTTCTCTGGCTTCTGCGGATATATTTTGGCTAAGTTCTGTGGTTTCCTTGGGGTATAGGCTCTTTCTTCCCTCTGCAGCTGCAGCATATCCTCAGCTAAGTTATAGTGTACCTTCACCTTACTTATTGGTCTGGTGACCAGGAGGGGTGCATTGTCTTGCAAGACAGAAGTCTTTGACTTGTCTTCAAATCATGATTAGTGCTACCCCTTAGCAGGAAAAAATAGGCCATTTGTGGAAGCCTAGGGAGTTCAGCAGAACCCAGAGATTAAAATTCTGCAGGAATGGATCCAGATGTTTCCATCTCAAAATGTTAGGTTCCACTCCTCAATCAGGGCCCTGATCTTGTCATAATAGAGTTGTAGAATTGAAATTCAACCTTTCCTAAAGTTCAGCTACTCTTATAATTAAGCTCTGGGCCTAATCCTTAGCTGTTTTACTCATCCATGTGCAGGAGAGGAGATTCTTTTTATATGCTACTTACGGCATTGCCTGGGGAGGTACTCAGCTGTAAGCCATCTGCAGTAAGTACTCCCGACCACTAACTAGCAGAATAAATGCCTATGTTCAGAAAACAACCTCAATGACTGGTCATGTCATCCACCAGAAGGGAAGGGACAGCTTCTTTTTTTTTTTTTTTTTTTAATAGTGGACATTTTATCATTTTAATTATTGATAAAAAGAGTTAAAATTTAAATTACAAAGAGGAAAAGGAAAATTATACAATGGAGCTTTATGAAGGACAAAATAAATGTGATCAAAAGTTTATGCAACAGCATTGGCCTTGGATTGCAGAAGGGCACTTACTCTGTTGAAACTAGAGGAAAAGAGGAAAGATGAGTGTAATGGAGGAAGGTTTTTAGGTTTGTTGGCAAGCAGTTGACTGATTCTTATCTGATGGAAATGAAGTAGGAGGCAGAATTGTCTTTTAAGAATGAAAGAGTCATTTGCCAGTGGTAATTTTTAGGAGAACAGAGAAATATTGCAAAACTTTCATTAATGAAAAAAATTTTTTTCCTCTTTTTAATTTAACTTTTAAGTTCAGGGATACACGTACAGGTTTGTTATATAGGTAAACTTGTGTCATAGGTTTATTTGTACTGATTATTTAATCATCCAGGTATTAAGCCTAGTACCCATTAGTTATTTTCCTGATCTTCTCCCTTCTCCTGCTCTCCACCCTCCACTAGGCCCCATTGTGTGTTGTTCCCCTTTATGTGTCCATGTGTTCTCATCAATTAGCTCTCACTTATAAGTGAGAACATGTGGTATTTGGCTAAGGAAAAGAATTTCATTGTGCTCCTACTGTGTGCTTTTATAGAAAGTAGGAAAATGAACTATCCAGAGAAGCATGGTAAAATTGACAGGCATTGTTGAGATCTCAGATGAAGTTGGTGGTCAAGAATGTTTTGTATAATCTCCCCTGTTTTGTGACTTAAGTCTTCAATAGTACTAAGCTGAGTCAGAATAGCATGGAAAGAATGCATACCTGGCCAAATCCAGAGTTAAATTTTGTCATGTGGGCTTAATAAAAGTGGAGGTGAGTGGGATATTGGTGGAGTGTTATACAAGGAAGTAGAAGAAAACAGGACAAAATCAGAAGATAGTAATAAATGGACACATAACAGACAACCACAATTATATGTTACAATGGCTGTGCTAAAAATAGTTGAACATGTAACCTGAAAATACAAATCACTTTAGAAAAGTGATTTGGGCACAGGAGTGAATTAGATCCTAAGATCTAAGGTGGCCCTTGGAGTAGACGGTGGAGGTGAGATCAAGAGAAGTCATTGCAGATGAGGAAGTCAGTGAACCCACTGCCAAATAGTGAAATCAGCAGTTTTTCTATTCTCATCATGATTGGCCTTTCAGTAGTATTCAATACCATTAATATCTTGTTCTTGAAATACTCATACCTTAATTTCTATGCCATCGCACATTACTGGTTTCTCTCCTACCTCTCCGTCCTCTTCTTCTCTCCTGCCTTTGTTAGTTCTTCTTTCTTTAACTTCTTTAATGTCTTTCCACGCAGTCCTGTTCTCACTCTAAATTTCCTCCCAGGGTGATTGCATTTACATAGATGGATTCAAGTACATCTGTATACTGATGGTCCTCAAATTTACTTCTCTTGTCAAGGCATTTCCTTTCAGCTCCAGACTCATATATTTAATTAGCTCATCCGCATCTATACATGGTTTTGTCTCATCTTCTCATCAACATCTTCAAAACTGAATTTTTGATCTTTCCCATGAACTTGGTCCTCTTCCAGACTCATCCATTGAATTAGGTCATTCATATCTGCAATTGGATGTTTCATCTTTATCTGTACCTGTAAGTTTCAAGATAAGAATGCAGCATATTCAGTTACCTTTCTCAGTTCACCTCTCCTTGTATCCATTCCCTGTGGCTTGTGACTTTGCAGTTTCCCCCCACTAAAGACAGAGTGTACTTCTCTTTTTCTTGACTTAGGGCTCAGCATGTGACTTGCTTTGACCAAAGGGATTTTATCTGATGTGTCTCAAGCAGAGATATGAAATGTATTGTCATGGCTGGGTTTGCCCTTTTGCTCTCTGCCATCATTACTAGAAGAACAAATACTGCTGGCTTCAGGAAATCGAGATGCACACAGAATAAACCTCTCCCAGTAGACATAAGGACCTGTAGCCTAAAGGAAAGCCATCCTGCCAACTCATAGACTGCAAAGTGAGAATAACTGTCCTAAGTCACTGAGCTTTAGGGTGGTGTGTTTCTCAGCATTAGCACGTAGCAGTAGCCAACTGATATAGTGAGTATATTAGCGGCTTTGGTGCAGGGCAAAAAAGATCAGTTTGAAATGACACCCTCAATGATTTGATGTACCATCAGACCTCTATTAGGTGTTATGTAACCCCTATTTCTTTCCTGACCACTGGCCTACTAGTCCTTGGATTGGAAAACAGATATAGATTTTAATTGAAGCCATGGGAGCAAATATGATTATTACTAAAGAGTGAGAAATGAAAGACACATGAAGTAAATTTGAAGCAACACTCATATCTAAATTTAGTTACAGTAAGAGAAACTATTAAAGCCAGGAAAAGACAATAACCAGAGAGAAGGAAAACTGAGATTTTGGTTCTTCATAGAAGATGGTCAAATAGTAAAATGGAAAAAAGGATATGGAGAGGTCTTTTTCTTAATCGAGTATTACAATTATATTCTAGGACATGACCAACATTAGCAAAAGAAAGTTTGTCTTGTTGCTGAATCACTATGACTTATCTGGGTGAGCTAGTGCCTTTCAATTATAGGATATGAAGAACTGAATATTTATTCTCCAAAACTGGTCCAGGACCTTGTGGGGAGGGAGGGTAAAGTTGAAAAAGTCAGAGGGAACTAAGGCAAAGGAGAACTGTGTATGAGACTATAGGGAACGATGACTCCAGCAGGCCTGTTCGTGGGGCACACTGAATGGCAAAGAGGCAGCATGGCACAGCAAGAAGGCTGGCCCTCAGCTTGGATTTCTCTCCTGGTTCCACCACCTACAAGCTATGTGACCTTGATTTGCCTTATTAACTTATGAAATGGAAGCACCAACCTTATACGATTGTTTTGAATATTATGCGAATTAATCCAAATAAAGTGTCTAGAACTGAGCCTGCCATATAATGAGTGCTTGAGTTGTTAGCCATATTATTGCGGACCTGTTAGATGTGTCAAAATCTGGTGACTTTTAGCCAGTAACTGTTTCCTTTTTTTTCTGAATGCAGAGTTAAGCTTCATTTCTCAGACCCTTTTATAGTTAGGTATGGCCATATGTGTAGTTCTTGCCAAAGGAATGTAAAGAAATGATGGTTTCAACGTAAAATGAGGCTTCTAAGGTTTGCCTACTCCGTGCAGATGACAATGAGACCTTAGGGGACAGTGAAGTCTCCCACATGAGGGAAGAAGCCTGAATTCCTAAATCACCATGTGATGAAGAGACACCAGATATCCAGAAATATCTACCATGTACAGGCGTACCTCATTTTACTGCACTTTGCTTTATTGCACTTTGCAGATACTGCATTTTCGTTTTCTTTTCTTTTCTTTTTTTTTTTTGAGACAGGGTCTTGCTCTGTTGCCCAGGCTGGAGTGCAGTGGCATGATATGGGATCACTGAAACCTCTGCCTCATGGGTTCAAGTGATTCTCCTGCTTCAGCCTCCAAGTAGCTAGGATTACAGGCACCCGCCACCACATCTGGCCAATTTTTATATTTTTAGTAGAGGCAAGGTTTCACCATGTTGGTCAGGCTCATCTTGAACTCCTGACCTCAGGTGATCCACCCGCCTCGGCCTCCCAAAGTGTTGGGATTACAGGCGTGAGCCACCGCACCTGGCCCAGATATTGCATTTTCAACAAATTAAAGATTCATGGCAAGCTCGCATCAAGCAAGTCTATTGGCACCATTTTTTCCAATAGCTTGGGCTCACTTCAGATCTCTGTGTCAAAATTTGGTAGTTCTAGAAATATTTCAAACTTTATTATTATTATATCTGTTATAGTTATCTGTGATTAATAATCAGTTATCTCACTATCGTAATTGTTTTGGGCACCAAGAACGATGCCCATATAAGATCGCTAACTTAATTCACACTATGTGTTCTGACTACTCTACTCACTGGCTGTTCCTTGGTCTCTCTCTCTTTCTCCTTGGGCCTCTCTATTCCTTGAGACACAATATTGAAATTAGACCAATAAATATCCCTAAAATGGCCTCTATACGCTCAAGTGAAAGGAAGTGTCACACATCTCTCTTTAAAGCAAAAGCTAGAAATGATTAAGATTAGTGAGGGAAGCATGTCAAAAGCCAAGCTAGGCCAAAAGCTTGACAGTTAGCCAATGTGTGAAAGGTTCTTGAAGAAAATGAAAAATGCTACTCCAGTGAATACATGAATGATAAGAAAGTGAAACAGTCCTACATCTGATATGAAGGAAGTTTTAATAGTCTGGTTAGAAGATCAAACCAGCCACAACATTCCCTTAATTCAAAGCCTAATCCAGTTCAAGGCACTAACTTTAATTCTGTGAAAACTGAGAGAGGAGAGGAAGCTACAGAAGAAAAGCTGGAAGCTTGCAGAGACTTGTTCATGAGGTTTAAAGAAAGAAGCTGTCTTCATAACATAAAAGTGCAAGGTGAAGCAGCAAGTGCTAGTGGAGAAGCTGCAGCAAGTTATCCAGAAGATCTAGCTAAGGTAATTAATGAGGTGGCTACACTAAACAACACATTTTTCATGTAGATGAAACAGCCTTATTTTGGAAGAAGATGCCATCTAGGACTTTCCTAGCTAGAGAGGATGTCAGTGCCTAGCTTCAAAGCTCCAAAGACAGGCTGACTTTCTTGCTAGGGGCTAGTGAATTTGGTGACTATAAGTTGAAGCCAATGCTCAACTTAAAAGGGCCCCCCAAACCCGAGAGCCCTTAAGAATTATGCTAAATCTGCTCTGCCTATTATGTTTGACCCATTATATCTTTTGAGGACTATATCTTTTGTGGAATATTCTCACCTAAAAAAATGCAATGGGTAAAAATAACAAAAAAACCTTATATCACATTCTACATTCTGGTATCTACATATTTCCTAGATAGTATGAGTTAAAAAGCACTGGCATAATTCTAAACAATACATACATCATTTGTCACATAAACAAATAGAACATTGCTCTTTAATTTGTTAAAATAAGTATGGTAAAAACATTGCATATTATGCACCCATATTGAAAATTTATAACGCATGGCAACATGAAAACTTTAGTAAAGAGAACTCCAGTGTTTTCTCAAATTTAATTGACCAAAATATCTTTTTTTTGTAAAGCTTCTGTAAACATTTTTGAAGACAGTTTTGTTGACTTCAATTTGGATGATATTGGTGGAATAGCCATTTTCAAAAACTCTAGGTGAGAGGGTGAATTGGCAAATACTTTTTGGAGGACAAATTGGTGCAATGTCCATAAAAACCTCTAAATCAGTAAGTTCACTTCTTGGAATTCCTCTTAAAAATAGAAAAACCCCATAGGAACATGAGTGCAAAGGCTATCAGTGTTATTATATTAATAGCAGCACAAAAAAACTAAAAATCACCTAAATTTATTTTAATAGGGGGATGGTAAAAGAGGTTTGGTTATATTCATACTCTGTAGCATACTAGTTATTAGAAAATAATAAGCTATACATCAAACAGAGTGCAAGCTTCAAATGGGCATGAATTTTTGTTCTCTAATGTATCCGTCTCCAGAAAATAGAAAAAGGCTCTGGTACATTATAGCTGTTTAGGAAATGTTTGGTGAATAAATGAAAATGCATTGTGATGAAAAGGTATCTGAGACATATTAAGTAAAAAAAAAAGTAATTTTTAGAATAATTCATATTCAAATTCATGGGCAAGTTCTAATTCATATTCAAAGAAATAAACATAGAGATAAAGAACCAGATGATACCCTTTACACTGCAACCAGAGGTTACCTCTGAGGTTTGGAATAGGAGTGGTGGGAATTAAGGGGAGAGCTTTGGTGGTACTTCCTGTACTTAGTTAGCTATTGCTTGCCTCTTTTAAAACAAATATATATATATATATATTATTTAAAATATCATCATGGGTCTTTTGAAAATAATTTGAGATGATAATCTAAAGTAGGGTATTTATATTTTGAACAGGAAATAGTAATATTAGCTAAAAACTTGCTGAGTGCTGATCATGCGCTAGGCACTGTTTAGATACTTTACATGTATTAACTCACCTATTCCTGACTCATTTAATTTTATAAGGGAAGTATTGGTACCATTACCATTATACAGGCAAGGACACTAAAGGTAAGGCACTTGTCTGAAGCCACATAGCTATCAAACGGGGAATTTAGACTAGAAACCCTAGAAATTAGGCTTCAGAATGTACAATATCAATCTTCCCATTGAAGCTGTGTTTGAATATTAGGTTGGTGCAAAAGTAATTGTGGGTTTTGCCATTATTTTAGTGGCAAAAACTTTTGCACCAACCTAATAAAATCAATATTCTGAGTCAATGAGGAGCTGTTTGGAATAATGAGAAAGAAGAGAAGTACAATAAGTCTATGAAGGTTGATAGCAAATCTCAAAGTCAAATGCTGAAGTATTTGGATTGTTTTTATACTTAGCAGAGCGATAGGATCATGAGGTCCTTTAAGCTTGCTGATGTTTTTTGCAAGGAGAATAGAGTAATTAGAAGACAGTAAATAAAGTCGTTTCCCCACCCATACATCTTAGCTAATGTATTGGTAGTGGTAAAATACTCCAAAATCCATTACTGGAAACAAAGGTAGCAATATTTGGCAATGGTGGTCATAGTGCTGGTGAATAGAATCATCAAAACTAATTGAATTGTGTATTTTTAATAGTATTAATGGTAACAATAGAGAGATTCAGGAAAGATTATTTCCTCAGTAAAGCTGAAGTCCTCAGGTGGTCTAGCCAGGTCTGAATCACAGTCCCTGGCATCAGACATATGTGAACACCTTTGAAGCATTGTTCATTTCTTTGGCTGGGAATTCCCCTGCCCCTACTTGAACTGGCAGATTCCTACTCATTTTTCAAAGTCAAACTTGGAGTTATCTCTTCTCTAGTATCTCCCTTGAGTATCCTCCAAGGAAAAGATAAAATATTCCCTCTTCTGTGTTTCCTTGCTCCTTTAGTCATCTTTGTACTATCACACTTATTAGGTTATCTTATTGTCAGCTATCCACATAGGTATCTCCCTGGATAGACTCCATATGTTCTTTGAAATCTAGAGTCTTATTTTATTGTATCCTTGTTTGCCAAAAAACAACATGTCCAGCAGAATAGGTACTTATGAAATAGTAATTGAATAAATGCATGTATTTTAATTTATTTACTTAATTATAACCCACCTTATTAAAATAATTAAGATGTCTTATAAAATTAATAATGAGATAAAAAACATTCTAGCTGAAGTTTATTGAATACTTTATGATGGGCATTCTGTTAAATTACACACACACACAAACACACACACACACAGTATCTCATTTCACCATTGGCCCATATAACTTCACCATTTTACAGCTGAATAAACTAAGGCTAAGGGAGGTTAACTGGGCCAAACAAGTAATAACTCTCAAAGTTTGGCTTCAACCTCAGGTTTGTTTGACTCCAAAGCTTACGATTTCATTAGGTGAAAATTAGAAGCCATGAGAAAGATAAGCAAAGGCAATGTAAATGTAAGAATAAAAAGTCTGCTGATTAGAGAAATGTGATATCTACCACTTGTCTAGCAAAACAGCATGATGACTCTGGCACACACAGTGTGCTAGTTCAAACCCCCATGCCAATCTTTGTAAATAAACCAGGGAATAAACCAACAATGATTGGCTGTACCAACACTATCTTCTTCCCTGTATTTTAATAACACTGACTTGTTAGACTCCGTCTGTTCAGTTCACAGTTTTGTTTCTTGTACTATCCAGAAACTTGCCTTTGTTTTGTCAAAAGATAGAAATAGTGCTAAAATAACTTCAGACATCTTATTTCCAGGTTGCAAAAGTAGAAATTCTAGCTGTAATGCATCAGGAAAAATAATATACTGTGGCTATTAACCATTAGCTTTCAGTCTAGATACACATTCTAGCAGTCAGTCTTCTGAAGCTGATAAATTCCAGACAACTTCCTTTGCGTCAATTCTCAATGATTCTGTAGGAGAAGATATTCCTAAGAAGAGTTGACTGATATAAATTATTTTTAAAGACCAGGGACAGCCAAGATCAGATTGTCTTACCTACTAATATTTTATATTTAGATGGATAATCTATCTGAATCATGACCAGGATGAAGAAAAATTCTCTAGAACTTAAAGTTTTTAATCATCTTATAACATATTCTAAGTTATTTCAGGGAAGTATTTAGGGGATGACTATTATTGATTTGCTTAGTTGATGACTGGAACAGCACGGATCCTGCATGATAGAAAGTTTTTCTTTAATTACCACAAGATCAGCTGGAGATGCATCAAGCAGTTTGGGGTGGCTCCTCCCCAAATTGGTTGGGAGCAGGATTCATCATTCTCTTATTTACATAAGAATTGATTGTGATTGGCTGATGTTGCCTCTGCCTCTCATAAGATGTGCTTTAAAAAATAACAAAAACTAGGTAATCTGCTTACTGGATAAGATAGTGGCCAACCTAATGCAACAATAAAAATGGGTCCTGGTCATTCTGTCAAGCATTAAATATTTTGCAGGTCTTTCTGCTGAGTTGAAAAAAAAAAAAAAAAGGAAGTTGGGTTTTATATTTAATTTTGCCCTGGGGCATTATTACTTTGAAAGTAATCCAAATATTTTGCTTATATTGGAAGGGTTCAGTGAGACATAGTTAACTGTGAATAGAATTCAAAACAATAACTCTGGAAAAGAACTATTCCCTTTGGTCAGAGGCTATTGTGTCAGCGGTTATGCCGAGTCAATCAAAAAGAAGAAAGAGAAAGAGAGAACACCAACTGTGAGAATGGAGCTGTCAAGCTGATTGACTAGACAGCAATATAAAATTTGAAATGCTCTATGTGATAAGGTAAACACACAATTTTTATCTGAGCATTGGCAAAAACTAAATGCAACAACTTGAAAATCTCATGGAAGTGTCATTAAGAAATATAGAAAAACAAAATTATTTCTGCATACAATTGAAAACAACAACAAAAATTCCCTATTTAATCTCATTGTTTGATACTGCGGAGAGCTTTGAAGAAAAGTATTAAGACCAAATTTCAGAACTGAATGCATGCTTATAGTGGCTTTTTTCTTTTCTACCACTTTGATAAACAAGTGCCTTGTCAAATCCACAAGGTTTGCTTTAGTAGTCAGTTACATTTATGTCAAGTATTTGACTTTTAGGAAAAACATTTTAATAGTGGAGCGCTAGAGAACTCTTTATTCCTGTTGATTTGAATAATAAGACTGAAAACAATAGAAAATGTAACTTGTTTAATTTGTGTTTTATTGCAAATTGCTGTTGAATTTTTTGTGTACTGGCTCCAGTTGACTTTTCCGATGCTGTCAAGAAATAAAGCATGAGACACTATGCTAGTCAGTAATAGGGCTGGGCGGGACAATCACTCACCACAAAGTTCCTTGGATTGTTACTTTACTATAACTTGTGTCTCTTCTTATTCCCCACTTCACATCTTAGCTTGCCATCCATTTTCTATTTTTTTTTATTTGGCCTATATAGTTTTTGATTAACTTATGCTTTGAAAATTTAATTAAAATGGCCCATCTCATCACATTATTCATCATTTTCTCTGCTTCTTGATAGCTTTCATCATTAAGTCAAAAACTGTTTTCCTTCTCATATTCAACTTTCTCATGTAATCATTTTAATCACATATAAAATAATATTCATTTGCCTTGTTCTGTTTTTCTGGTTCACTGACTATGTCCCTTATTTTGAACTCTTTATACAAATTTGCAGTTTTGGTTTCAAGTTCACTGCTATATGTAGAACATACATCTTTTGCCTCCCATTTTTATTTCATCTCTTTCTTTATAGTGCCACCTGAAAACACATTTTGCTCTATTTCCGGCTTTACACGTTTCTGTCTACATTTCAGTATGTTTATAAAAACAGTTTAAAGAGCATTTATATCTCCCCATTTTTCATTTTGTGGTTCAGTATATAATTTACTTTTTAAAGTATTTCTCAAGAAAACGTGCTTGTTATTGTTATATCATTATTCCAACTGATGTCTATGTGACCACTGAATACGTCAATCTAGTGTTCAACGGTCAACCACATTAGAAAGACGCTAAAACTCAAATCTATAAAATTTATATTCACTGTTGAAAGAATTGTAACTGAACATTTGAAAAGATCTCTTTGGTTGAAAAAAGGAAATAATATGTTAGCATTTCAAATGCATTTTTTTATTCATCTGTAAAACACTATGTTTTCTCAAATTCATTACTTGTATTTATTTTATTGGAGAACAGTGAGTTCTAAACTGACAATTATTTTAATATCCTATGAAAACTTATTTGTTGTAACTAGCAATCTTTATTTTAACCCACTGAGCACTGTACTTTATTAAATATATATTATTCATATATAATTACATTATTTATATAAATAACTATATATAATGATTAAATACTATGTAAACTTATTTCAGTGGTTATTCATCCAATAAAAACTACAGTACTATTTCAAACCTTGTTTGAAAATTGTAGTCTTTATTGGACGAATAAAGGTTAACTTGCAAGAACTGGATTTCATCTGGAAAGCGCTGCCAGCTACAATGTTCTTTGGCTGCAGTGTGGTGTCTTGAAAGTCCTGGGAACCAGAAAAGCCTGTCTCTGTTAGTGAGCTTTGTAATATTGAACAAAATATTTGTTATTTCTGGTCTCCATTGCTTATTTTATAAAATGAGAAGATATGATTAAATTACCTTCAAAGCTCTTAAGAGCTCTAAAACTTTGATGATCTTACAACTTTACACCCATTTTTAGAGAATCTTGATAAGGCAACATTATCTTTTAGGAAATCTTAAATACATGTATATGAAAACATGCACAAGGAATTTATGGTAAATGGGAATATAGTGTAAACAAGTAGTTTATGAAGTGCAGCAAGCCATGACTTTTTAAGTTAGTATTTTATATTAGATTGATAAATATAGTTATTTTATTCTGTGGTTTTTATGCAACAATCCCTGATTCTTTAAACTTTGTAAAGACTTCAAAGTTTATAGTATAAAACTGTGATTACCCAAATGACATTACCAAATCACAGTCTCTGTCTTTGCTCTGAAAACTCATGTTGGCTGCTCTTGATTAGAAATGGAGATAAAATTAATTGCCTGATTTTTGATAGGGATTTTCAGAAGCTTAGCAGATTTTATTAGCTAATCCAAACAATCTCTGGGCAAGACAATTTGCTGCTTCTTTTCTCCTTCTCCCCGCCCCCTTCACTCTTTATAGTCTGGATCTGGAACAGCAGATTGACAGGCGAACACTTGGGCCAGAGAAACAGGTGACTTTCCTTTCACAGAGTCCTTGTTCTTCTTAGCTTGGCTTATATCCTAATAACAAAGAGAAAGTCAGCATTTCACATCCCAAGAGAATGAACTTCCTGCCCTGCTTTGACTCATGCAAAGAACATCTCCAGGCCCAGTGTCCTCTGGTGGGTAGAAGTATCCTTGCAATTTTTATCACATGGCCTGCCCTGCAGCTTCTTCTCCAGTACCATTCCGTGATTACTAAATGCACAGATGTAAAAGAAACCTGCCAATGCCTTGAAGTGAAATCTCAGAACATCATAACATATCACGCTGAAAGCAATGTAATAAAAACAGGTATTCAGGTCTGAGGAAATAAGAGAAATCGAACACCTCAAAGACTAGGACAAGGATCTTTAGTTCAACGCCTCAGCAGTCAGCTTTGGCATATGTGAGAATGTAAAAGAGGGTGGCACACGTTTTGCTTTGAATGTTTCACCAATTGATTCCCCTGGCTGCCTTCCCAGAGTCTATGAGTAACATAGTCCCTTAATGAAGGCTTCATCGCATTCTTTTGAACTTATTCTTGCCAATATCAAAGAAGCACAGCAGAAACAAAAACACTGCTCTGATGTTAGAAATCACAATTGTTAACTTTGAAAAGAAGTCTTGGTATGCAGGTTCAAGTAGTAAACTGATGAATTTACCGGAAAACTCTAAAAAATGAAGTGGATGGGGAAGAATAATACTCTTTGTCTGGGTACCTACTTAGAAAAGTAAAGGAGAATTTAAATATCACCATACCATGTTAAATATTTTTAAGCATTTGCTTCTTGCACGAAACTTTATATAGGAATTGGAATAAAAGATGTAAAATAAGAAGTTAGCAATTTTTATAGTAATCTTTTAAATAAAGTTGAAATATATGAAACACATAAAGAAAAAATGTAGTGGTTCTAGCAAGGTTGTGCTATTTCTTGAAAAATATATAAATAGAACAATCTTATTTTTAAGATTTGTAACATCTATTATCAATACTCTATTTAATATATATGAAAATACTGAATTAAACATGTTTCTGGATTTGAAGGGACCTTAAGGATCTATTAATAGCTCCTTAGAATATGTTCTTGTTCTATCTAGATTTCTCCCTTTGAGGCTAATTACTGATATTAGTAATAGCTGTCTTTCTCATTTTTAAGACATCCTTCAATTTATTTTAGTATATATAACTAAATTATATGCATCATTTAATGATAAAGCCACTATACCTGATACTATTGTATGGATTATATCAGGTGAAAATTCTCATTTTATATTAATTACCAAATTTACCAATTAGCTGCAGATTTCTAGTTCTGCTGTGGGGTAAGCCAGATAAGTGCTCTGTGCCTCAATTTTCCCACCTTTATGTGCTATAGCAGGTCACCAAAATAACTTTATAATGATCTCCATTTAATGCCAACATGATCCCAAATAAAGCTTAATATATATACCTTTAGGGTGAATGTATGAGCAGATGGTTAGTCCTCTGCCCTATGCTCTGAATACAACTGCCTTTCTTTAGAAAAATATATTCAATGAGACTTTGCACCATTTAGTGTATCATTCTAATCATATACTCCTTGTTATGAGCTATTAACTGCTCACATTCTTCACACTAGCCTTGTGCCCCTTAATAATAAGGACCATGCCTCTCTCTCATTCTTCTTTTATTTCCAGCCCCACTACCAACTCCGATACATTATAGACTCTCAATAAATGCTTTTCAAATACATGAATAAATGAGTGAATGCATGCATGGATGCTTGGAATGACCCAGGCCAAACATGCAAATGGAAAACTTGTTTTAGTAGGCTGCTTCTTTTGCTTTCCTTTACACCTGTGTTTATATTAAAATTCACATCATCATAAAACCAGGGTGCGAATCGCAACACTCAACAAGATTACAGAGATGGATCTATTTTTAAAATAAAGGAGAAAAAACAGGACGGAAAAGCTTTCGTAGGTATGTGTAGCACTATTTAGAAAAGAAAATAACTTTGCTATTATTGCAGACTTATTAATGTTTGCAGTTATCCTGATTATTCTAATGCAAACCAAATGGCATTTAATTTGGGAGAAATTGCTCTGGACGTGCAATCTAAAGAGGCGAGAAATGGAACAGACTTTCTTTATGCAGTGTTTGGGATGTGGTTAAATTATTTTAGGATGTTCAACAGTGTAGTGCAAATTCAAATCCTGTGGGCAAAGCTAAACAAGCAATGCTAGGCAGCTTAGCCACTTAATCTTCTGGTGTTCAGTTTGTTGGGTCTGTGCTGTGAAATGGCTCCTGTGGCTTTCATGTGGAAAATGAGAATGTTCTGGAACGGCTGATGTGGGAATAAAGAAGTAAATACAAGGAAACTCTTACAAGCTTTTAATATTAACTGCACTAAGTAAGTGTAACTAACTGCATTAAGTTATTGATTTATCAGGGCTTGACCAAATACTATTTCCCTTTATCCTTTTTGGGGACAAGGACAAAAGTACAAAAAAGTTAAATGAGCCAGTTGTTAACTGGGTTACTGATGAATGTACTGATTATTCGTCTAGCTGTCGTAGTAGGAGAATGTCCATGGGACCATTTGTGATGGCTGGAAAACTGACTAAGGCTTATTGATCCTGATCATGTAATGATTAAAGTATCAATAAGTATAACTTTTCTAGAAATTTTGTAGCACTCCATCTCCTCAATAAATGAAATTCGATAGGACCATTTGGACTGAAACCACAAATTTCAAGGAGTTGCCTCATTACTTTTTATTTTCCCCTTTAAAATATTACTAAGTTACTTTAACCCTGGTGTATAATGATGGAAAAGAAACACAGCCTGTTTTCCATGGCTAAAGGAAATAAACTATTAACTGGCAAATAAACAGTAGATTGGTGTTTAGGGATGGATTTTACACGATATATTTAGGATATATTTAGGACGTGCAAAGGACACTTAGATTTCAGTCACATTTGGGTAGGTTCCAGATCCTATTAAAACTGACAATGAAAGTAACTTTATTTACTTAGAAGCTTGAAGGGTCTTCTTGGGGTCTTCTCTGTAACTGCCAGACTCAAAGGAGCTGCAGTATCCACTCTCTCAGGTTGGTGATTAGACTTTTAGACCATTTTAAAGGATGCAGAGGGGGTTTCTCTCTAAGTTTCTAGGGCTTTTAAGCACAAATCCCAATTGTGAACTTCAGCACACTTGAATCCTGATTACCTTTTCAGTCCCTAATTACCCAGGAATCAGGTTATTGGCAGGAACTGTTAACAACAACAAAAACAGAAAGCAGTGTATATTGTTTGCTGTCTGAAGAATGAATTGACCTTCAGTTTGCAAACATTGCATAAATTATTTGGTGTGTCAGAAACATCCCCAACCTTATGCCCCCCAAATAACAAGCAACACACACACACACAAAACAGGTTTATCTCTCCAACCCTGCTGTCCTCTTGAGACGTAGACATGTTTAGGCTGAGAAAGTCAAGTCTTCTGACCATCAGATATTTAAGTTACTCATGATGCATATTTGTGAACGAGGTCTTTGAATGGCTTTTTTTCCTGCTATTCCATTGCTAGTACAATCCCTTAAAGAAAACAGAATTCCCTGCCATATCATTGTTTTTTCTATGAACCATACTAAGAGAATTCCCACAACTGGATTTTCTTGATAATAGGGACTGTATCTTATAATTTTCCACATCTTAAAGTTTTGTATATCCCTTCTAAAATACAGTAGAAGGTCAATAATAACTTACTAGCTGATATAAAATAAATGTACGTTTGAGTATTTTTTTTTCCACAACTCTGATTATCTTCTTGAAGACAAAGCAAAATGTTAGGTTTCGAGATTATATTTTAGAAGTCATAACCAGGAATAGAATTTTCTCTCTCAGAGGGAGGTTTATAAAAGAACACAAAAAAGACTTCTTTTTGCCATTTTATTATTGTGGAATATTTATATTTTCATCTCAAAATACACGTATTCACACTCCTAAAAAACTTGCATTTTGGCCGGGCGCAGTGGCTCACGCCTGTAATCCCAGCACTTTGGGAGGCCGAGGCGGGAGGATCACGAGGTCAGGAGATCGAGACCATTCTGGCTAACATGATGAAACCCTGTCTCTACTAAAAATACAAAAAAATTAGCCAGGCGTGGTGGCACACACCTGTAGTCCCAGCTACTTGGGAGGCTGAGGCAGGAGAATGGCGTGAACCTGGGAGGTGGAGCTTGCAGTGAGAAGAGATCGTGCCACTGCACTCCAGCCTGGGGGACAGAGCGAGACTCCGTCTCAAAAAAACAAAACAAAACAAAACAAAACAAAAACCTTGCATTTTGTCAGCCTTAATACATTTGCACTTTAATTTTTCCTATAGCTGTATTGCTGTTTGCAATGTTTCCAAGGCTTTGGCCCGCTTACATACAGAGTTTTTGGATATAAGCTGTAAAGGTCTAATGGATTGTAGACTGAAGAAATGGATTGAATAAATTTTGAGAGAATATTAGATGGAAATATTGAATGTCCAGCTAATCATTTTAAAGAATAATTAATATTTCAAAATTACATTGATAAGATCACCTCCAGCCATTTACCTAAGGTATCATTAATATTCTCAATAACAACAATGAATAGAGGATTTTTTTCTTTCTCTACTAGCTCTTTCTCAGTAGCATACATACTATTATAATTTGCAACTAAAAAAGATTGACTATTTTCATTCTACTTACCCTTCCAATTGCTACTTATTTTGTATTGCTCCCATTTTTTTTGTTTGCAAAATACCCAGAAAAAATATGTATACTGGCTGAAAAATTTCTTTCCTCCCATTCTCTCTTGAGCCCATGCCGTTCAGACTTTGGCCTCCACTACTACAATGAAACTGCTCATGCCAAAGCCAACATTGACCTCCATAATATTAAATCCAATCATCATTTCTGAATCAGGTGATCTCTCTCTCCTGATAAACTTTCATTACTTGGCTTCTGGGGAACCATGCCCTCTAGGTTTCTACTTCTCTATCTGATTCATCTTAGCCTGAGTTGCAGATTCTGCCCATATTCCCAAGCTCTTAAAGCCTCATCTTTGGAGAGCATCTCTTTTTCATCAACACTTATGTCTTTATTGAACTCATCAAGTGTCATGGGATTAAATACTATCTATACACCCATGATTCCCAAATATATAACTCCAGGCTCAACCACTTCCATGAACTCCACACACATGTATTTAATTACCTACTTGGCATCTTCTCACCTCTACCCAGCACCTCAAACTTCTACCCAATTTTCTACCCACACATCTCTTTTAGCAGACGTCATGATCCTAGTTAATATCTATTTTAGTAGCTTGGGCCAAAACCCATTAATTTACTCCACACTTTCCTCATAGTCTTACACTATACATCCAAAATTTCAGCAAACTCTGCTGACACAACCCTCAGAAATATCCAGAATCCAACCTTTACCACCACCTCAGCTACTATCATCCTGGTTCAGACTGCCACGATCATCTTGCCTGCATTACTGTGCTAGACTGTTTACCCATCTTCCTACTTGTGCCTTTGCCTATTGTTTTGGGCTGGATTCCCTCTCAGGAACAGACCTTGAATGAAAATTTTAGTACCTGTTTGGGAGGTGATACTGTTAGGAGGTGGTACTAGGAAACACCCTAGAGAGGAGTGCAGAAATAAGAAAGAGGAAAAAAAAAGAAAATGAATAAATGTTTATTGAACACAGTAGGCAACTGAGGTTTCATCTCTCTGGTGAACTCTAGGAGACATACAGCCTGTCTTATTGGGTATTCTGGGGTGCAGGGACCACTTGACATTTCCCTCCAGCCCCATATGGACTGGATGGGCTCCAAGGGTCAAAGGAAGTCCTTAAGCGAAGTCAGAGGCAGCATCTTCTGCATAATTTGTGGGGCCAAGTGTCAAACGAAAATGGGGGGCCCCTTGTTAAAAACGATTGAGGATTTCAGGAAGGTGACAGCAATGCATGAAACCAAGGCCCTTCTGAGCATGAGACCCTATGCAATTCTATAGATTGCACGTCTGTAAAATCACAGGAACTGGCATTTGGGATGTGTTGAGACAGAGTGCACAGGAATGATGAATACCTCAGTGATGTGAGTGGGCTACCATCAGAGTCTCCTACAATCCACCCAAATACACTCAACTACAACTCTGATTATTTCTTTTAATTGGATTTCCAGAAATGGAATTATCAGACAAAAGCCTATGAATGTGTTTATGTCTCTTGACATCAATTGCCAAATTCTATATAGGAAAATTACATAAATATTCCTGTTCTGTTCACTGTACCTTTGTTCACTGTACCCTTACTAAGGTAGGTATAATTTTTCTTTATTTATATAAATTTGAAGGTGTCAAAAATGGCATTTCAGAGTTGTTTCTACCATGCATTGTTTTTGCTAAAGATAACATGAGAAATATTTGCATATATTTTTGGTCATTTGTATTTTGTGTATAAAATTCATGTGAAAATGCAAAGGAGCCACAAAAGCCAAAACAATTTTGACAAAAAACAACACTTTGTACTTACACTACCTGATTTTAAAACTTAACTATAAAGCTACAGGAATCAAGACACTGTGGTGTTGGTGTAAATTTGGCATCAATGGAAAGGATGGGAGTTCAGAAATAGATGCACACATATATGATCAATACATTTTGGGCAAAAAGTGTGAAGGAAATACAATGGAAAAAGATGGTCTTTTCAACATATGGCGATGGCACAATTGCATGTCCATATGCAAAACAACAAAAACAAAACTTCACCCTTAGCTTAGACCATATAGAAAATGTAGTATCTATATATATGTATAGCCTGTTTACCCATCTCCCTACTTGTGCCTTTGCCTACTGTTTTAGGTTGGATTCTCTCTCAGGATCAGACGTTGAATGAAAATTGTAGTACCTGTTTCGGAGGCAATACTATTAGGAGGTGGTACTACGAAACACCCCACAGAAGAGTGCAGAAATGAGAAAGAGATATATATAGGCGCGCACGCGCGCGCGCACACACACACACACACACACACACACTAGGGAATACTATGCGGCCACGAAAAAAGAATGAGATCATGTATTCTGCAGGAACATGAATGCAGCCGGAGGCTATCATCCTTAGCAAGCTAACACAGGAATAGAAAACTAAATACCACATGTTCTCACTTATAAATGGGACCTAAGTGATAAGAACTTATGATCACAAAGAAGAAAACAGCAGACACTGGGGTCCACTAGAGGAGGAGAAGGGGAGGAGGGAGAGAAGCAGAAAAGACAACTATTGGGCATTGGGCTTAATAGCTGAGTGATGAAAAATATGTACAGCACATCCCCATGACACATGTTTACCTATGTAACAAACCTTCATATGTACACCCAAATCGAAAATAAAAGTTTTTAAAAAAAAGAAACTCAAAATGAGTCACAGAATTAAAATAAGACTGAAAAGTATAAAACATCCAGATGAAAACAGGAACATTTCAGAAGCAACAAAGATTTCTGAATAGAACATAGACAGCATAAATTATTAAAGAATAAGTTGAACTTCATCAAAATTAATATGATAAGTTTTCATCTTCAAAAGTCACTGCCAAACAAATGAAAAGACAAGTTGTAGACTGGGAGAAAATATCTGCAAAAAGTATACCAGATAAAGGGCTTCTTTTAGTTGTAAACATTTTACAACACAATAATAAAAAGACAATCCAACAAAAACCGGCAACATATTTGAGAAGACATTTATCGAAGATGTATGGATTGCAAATAAACAAAAGAAATGACCCTCAATATCATTGGTCATTAAACAAACACAAAATCACAGTGAGATAACACCACACATCTACCGTTATGTCTCCAATTAGAAAAACTAACAAAGCCGTGTGTTGGCAGGATGTGGTACAAACGGAACTCTCATGTATTACTGTTGAAAATGTAAAATGGAACAGCCACTTTAGAAAATAATGTCATAGTTTCTTATAGAATTAAACATACAATTATCATGTGACCCTAAAATTTCATCCTTAGATAATTTATTCAAGACAAATATTAATAAAAGCATGCCCCCATAAATGGACTTGAACTTGAATGCTCACAGCAGCTTTTAAAACTGATGCTGCTCACAGCAGTTTTTAAGCCATAAGCCAAAAAGCTGAAAACAATCTAAATGTCCATCGGTTTCTAAATGACTAAGTAGATTGTAGTATATCCACAGAAAGGTTACTCGTCAATAAGAAGAATACTAATAAGGCCACAATATATACAAATCTCAAGTAGTATGCTTAATGAAAAAATATGGCCCCAAAATAGTATATACTGTATGATGTGAAATACATAGCAAATTATCTTAGCACCTTTATCTTTCCCGTTGGTTTACAATGCTTTGACACTATATTACAATTCTGTGTGTGTGTGTGTGTGTGTGTGTGTGTCTATTTCAAGACTTGTTTTTTCATTTTATCTGTCAGTTTACATGCCAGCAACATTTTTTAATGTATAGCTTAGTATGAGTTTTAATACCTTTCACATCAAATTCTTCCATGAAATTCTTCTTTTACAAGATTGCCCAAGTCACTTTTTTTTTTTTTTTTTTTGAGACAGGGTTTTGCTCTGTTGCCTAGGCTGGACTGCAGTGGTGTGATCATAGTTCACTGCAGCCTTGAGCTCGTGGGTTCAAGCAATACCCCTGCCTCGGCTTCTCAAAACATTGGAATTACAGACATGAGCCATTGCACCCAACCCGAAGTGATTTTTAATAAGTTTGGCTTTCAGATGATGTTTAAGATAATTTTACCAACTTAAAAGGAAAAAGCTGACAACAATAAATTACCAAACTACCTCCAAATGATTTCTCAATAAAAAATTGTGATAAATTGCAGATTACTTTAGAAGAATTAAGATTTTCAAATCAGTAAGTACTTCAATTATGATATATAATATGTTTTTCCATTTAACTAAGTACAGTAAGTCCTCCCTTAGCTGCGGGGGGATTATGTTCCAAGTCTGCCAATGGATGTCTGAAACCAAGGACGCTGACCAAACCCAAATGCCATCAATTGGAACAGACTTCTGTTTATGTCTTCCACACACAAATTTACTGTCTTTTTCATCTTAACTAAGCACTCACCAAGCACTGTGGCCTTAACTTTTGCAGTTTGAAGTACATCAGCAAAACTAGCATGCATTTCTTTTTGCTTCTTTGCAATTTCACAGATAGAAGACTCATTTTTACTGTAGATCTTAGTAACTCCCACATATAATTTTTAAATTTATTTAGTCAAGGACATTGACCTTTTCAATTGATGCCGTCTCTTTAGCATATCCGAATTACCAGTATCACCACTCTTGTGCTTTGAGGCCATTATTAAGTAAAATAAGGGTGACTTGAACACAAGCAACCACAACAGTCAATCTGATTACACACATGGCAGCTAAATGACTAATGGGCAGGGAGTATTTACAGTATGGATAACTCGTAGAAGAGAAGATTCACGTCCCAGGCAAGATGGAGTGTGAAGGTGTGAGATTTCATCATCCTATTCAGAACAGTGTGCACTTTAAAGCTTATCAATAATTTCTGGAATATTTTATTTAAAATTTTTAAATCACAGTTGACCATGGTTAACTAAAACCATGGGAAGTGAAACCATGAATAAGAGGGACTACTGTATGTTTTCAGGCTTAGGTAACTTGTTAATTAGTATCTATGTATATACATATTTATATGCATGTACATTTCAAATGTATTTATGTAGTGTGCACAAACACCTATATGTATGCTACAGATTTTAAATTGAGATTATCCATATAAATTTTATAAGTTTTGTTGCATTTTCCATATTACATTTTCCAAATGGTTATTTGAAATATATAGGAAATTTTTTTTCTATTCATTTTTGTTCTAGTAAAGTCAGTATATTTTCTAAGTAGTTCTAAGTAATTTATCTGTTATTACTGTTGCTATATGTTATTTTATCTTAAACAGTAACAATTTTGGCTGGGCGCAGTGGCTCACGCCTGTAATCCCAGCACTTTGGGAGGCCTAGGAGGGGAGATCACCTGAGGTCGGGAGTTCAAGACCAGCCTGACCAACATGGAGAAACCCCATCTCTACTAAAAATACAAAATTAGCTGGACGTGGTGGCGCATGCCTGTAATCCCAGCTATTCGGGAGGCTGAGGCAGGAGAATCGCTTGAATCCGCGAGGTGGGAGTTGCGGTGAGCCAAGATCACACCATTGCACTACAGCCTGGGCAACAAGAGTGAAACTCCGTCTCAAAAAAAAAAAGCAAAAATTTTTTGTTTTTTCCTTTCTAGTCATTATAAGTCTTATTTCTGTTACCAACCTCACCACAGTGAATAGAGCATTCAGAACATCAGTCTTACTCCTGATTTTAATAGAATTCCTAGAACAATTTGCCATTAGTAAGAGGTTAGGGAAGGTGTTAAAGAAGAATCCTTATGGAAGCAAGTTCTAGGGATGGGGGTTAGCTTTTATTTAATATCATTTTAGCATTGAACTAGGAGTTTGTCCAGATCACAGCATGGACAAGAATTATACCAGAAACATGGATAAGATTGCTCACACTTTAGCTTCCTACTGAAGAAAAAGAAAAGCAGTGCAAAGAATGCACATAATATTAAGGGTATGTGAGAGCTGCAGCTCCTTGATGCCTTCCCAGTTAATCAGAGTGAGAAGATGACTACCCTGAAGGAGTCTAGGACTAGAAGTTCCTAGTTTGGGCATGAGATGAAGCTAGAATAGGAGAAAGTGGACATGTAAGCACTCAAAGTCCATTCTATTACCACATGACTAAGATTCTCTATGTACTGCTGTGATATATTTTCAAATTCTGTTTCTTCATATATCATTGTTCTTATTTGGGTGTTCAGTATAGTATATCTGGCCACAGCCTAACACAAGAAACTATTAAAGTCCCCATATTTTATTTATTCAATTGTATGTAATGTATTATATTAATGTATTGCCTTAAAGCTAAGTGAGCTTTTCATTCTTGATAGAGTCTTTACGTGGTTAGGGTAGATATTGTTTAATTTATAATCCAAATATTTTATAAAAGATTTTGACAACAAAAGCATTTTAATTTTAGGATTTCTCAAATTTTACATATTTGTGTTAAAATTTGGCAGCAATTGGCATTAGGGTTTTTCTAGCTTCTGAAATAAACTTGTATTTTTTCACCATAGTTGATGCTCTGGAATAGATGCTAGGATATGGGAAATACCTATACCTTAGAAAAACTGTAACTGTATAAACCTAAATATTTTTTGATGATGTTTTCAGTCTCCTCCATGATAATTCATCAGTATAGTTTGCTTTTCTTGAATAAATATTTATTTCCTAGAAAATGACTCTGTTTATTGAAAATTTCAAATATTTAACACATATTTTCAAAAAGCAAATGTATAACTTAAAACAAAAACTCCACCTTTGTTGCTATACTTTCTTCTTTATAATTTACTGGGTCATGTTTTATTTTTCTAATTCATTAATTTGTCTTTATATTTGGTATTATTTTTCCTTGCAATTGCTTTTGTTGCTGTCCTGGCTCTCAATTCACATCTTTAATTGAACTTTAAATATTGATTTTAATTACATTGCTTAACTTTTATCAAAATGTTTTACTCTCATTAATTCCTATGTAGCTTGTATTTATATTTTTTTTTTTTTTTTTTTTTTTTTTTTTTTTTTGAGACGGAGTCTCGCTCTGTCGCCCAGGCTGGAGTGCAGTGGCGGGATCTCGGCTCACTGCAAGCTCCGCCTCCCGGGTTCACGCCATTCTCCCGCCTCAGCCTCCCAAGTAGCTGGGACTACAGGCGCCCGCCACTACGCCCGGCTAATTTTTTGTATTTTTAGTAGAGACGGGGTTTCACCGTTTTAGCCGGGATGGTCTCGATCTCCTGACCTCGTGATCCGCCCGCCTCGGCCTCCCAAAGTGCTGGGATTACAGGCGTGAGCCACCGCGCCCGGCCTTATATTTTTAACTTTAAATTTTTTTGTCAACTTTTATGAGAAAATTGTTTAACCTCTATTTTATTTATTTACTTACATTTTAATTTCTGCTATATTGACAGACATTATAAAATGGAATCTTTATATTTCTATCTGGTAGAATTTTCCTTCTTGTTTAGTCTGTGACTAATTATTAAAAATAATCCAATTAATTTAAAATAATAATTATTTAAATATCTTGAAATTAAGATATAATCCCTATAATTCTTAAAGTTGAAAAAACCCATCAACTAAAGTGTTGATCAAATTACCTTTCTGCCCAAAATTCTATCTTTTAAATATTATTATCTTTGTTTACTTTTATTTGCCTAATATCATCCATATCTTGTCTGCTGCCATGGTAACTATACATCTGCTGATTATCAATTATAAACAGGAGTTGTACATGCATTTAAGTTTGGACCTTTAGGGGAATTTGTATACAAAAGATAATGTATTGGATATTTCCCTAGCCTTTTATCATTTAAATAATATAGGGCACAGAAACAAACAAAAGCATCAGAAGTCAAAATTATCTGTAATTATCTTTGGTTTGCCTACAGCATCTGTATTCAGAGTGCAGATATAGGGCACTATGTATCATTTAATATGAAAGGCAACATCTTGGAGTTTTAGAAATTCCTGTAAGAATTTGAAAAAAAAAAAAAACTTCATGATGCCCTGCAAACAAAAAGTAAAACAGAAATTATATATGAATGAGATATATTGTCATTCTTTTAGAGGGTCAGTTCAGTTTCATAGAAATGCGGCAAGTTGACAGGATTCAACAAAGTGTTTTTCTTTTCATGTTAAGTCATCTCATTTGCCAAATAGATCCCATTAATTAAGTAGAGCAACCACAAGGAGAATAAAACAGTAAATGAAAAATAAAGCACTTTTTAAAGAGTTGTCATGGGCAATCAGCTATTTTTAGTGACTGGTTATATAGTCACAGCTACTACTTAGTCAAGTGAAGAGACAGTGAAAACCCAAATTTAGAACATTTACACTGTAGCTCAGTGATGAGACAGTACCTGTCCAACATATTTTTCATATCTTCGTACCCAGACAGGAGTTTTCCTTTTTTTTTTAGTTTTTATACTATAGAACAATGGTAAAACTGTTATAAAAAGCTCCTGCTGCTACTTCTGAGCTAGCTGTGCTGTAGTTAAAAAAAAAAAACAAAAAAAACAAAAACCACAACTCGCTTTAGAACTGAAAGGCAGGTTTGAGATTTAGTTCTGACACTACTAACCGTTTGACATTGAGAAAGCCATTTAACCTCTAAGTTCCTGTTATGTTACTTGTAATATGAGAAACTTTTGGAAAGAGGGAGAAACTCAAATTTAATGAGACCTTCCTCTTTTCTAGACTCAATATCAGGAGATTCTTAAACACTCTCTTATGTAGTCTACACAGTAATTCAAGTGTTATGTGTGATTAGTTGCAGTTTATAAATTTAGAAATTAGTATTTCCCTAAGTTTAGAACTAAGCTATTGGTCACACAACTACTAAATATTTGGATCTAAACTGTGGTCTGTCTGACTCTGAAAACATTTGGACATATTGTGTTAGGGCTTGAGGAACCAAAAAGAAACTCTAGAAATAGCAGAAATGAAGAAATCCCTGTTTGGCTTTAGTAACAGACTAAACATAGTGGATAAAATCAGTAAACTTGAAGACAGGTCAAGAGAAAAATTCCACACTGAAACAGAAAGGAACGATAATAATAATAACATAACAATAATATCAACAAGAGACTAGTGTATGAAATATGTGGGAAGTATAAAATAATCAAAAGTACTTGCATTTGGATTCCCAGAAGGCGAGGAGAGAGACAGACAATGGGGCAGAAGAAATATTTGAAGACATAACAGGCAATAACTTATTGAACCTAATGAAAACTTCAGCTCACAAACCCCAGAAGTTCACGGAGTCCCAAGAGTGATAAATACCAAGAAGCAACATTAGCTAGAAAACAATCAAATGACATTTAAGAAGTGTTGGTAGAAATTAAAAAAAAAAAAACTGTTAAACAAGCATTCTATATCCAGTGAAAATACCCTTTTATATTTAAAAACATATTTATATTTTTTACTATTTAAAATATATATTTTTTAATATTTAAAAAATGAAAACATGTGGACATATTGTGTTAGGGCATGAGGAACCAAAAGGAAACTCCAGAAATAGCAGAAATGAAGAAATCACTGTTTGGCTTTAGTAGCAGACTAAACATAGTGGATAAAATCAGTAAACTTGAAGACAGGTCAAGAGAAAAATTCCACACTAAAACAGAAAGGGATGATAGTTAAAAATTTTTTTTTAATATTTAAAAAATATATTTGTTAGTGTTTAAAAAATCATTTTTGAAGCATTAAAGCAAAACAAAGCTAATTGCAAACAGGAAAAAAATGGAATAAAATCGTTTCTACTTGACCTGTACTTTAAGAGATATTGAAGATAGTTCTTCAGATGGAAGAAAAACATTACCATATGAAACTTTGACTCTTCAAGGCAAGAATGAAGAACAGCAGTAAGGGTGAGTATTTGGGCAAATTTTGAAAGCATTTTGTGGTAGATCTATTTACATAATATATATTATGATGCTATAGTAGATCTACTGATGCCTCCCCCTAGCTTAATTATTTTTGTGTGTTTGTATATTAATGGCACCAATTAATTATGCCTCCCAGTATTAATTCTCATATGCAGTCCCCTCTCAGATTCACTCAGTGTCACCATGTGACTTTCTTTGGCCAGTTAACAAGCATGACATAAGCAGACACTCAAAAAGAGCTGGCATATTTATTAGGCTAGTCCTGGAATTCTTCATGGAGTCCAGCTCCATATTGTTATAATGAGGTTACCTTGAGACAGACCTTGGAAGGGGAGAGACCTTTTTTGGGCATTCCAGCTCCAGCCAAGCTCACAACTGAATTCAGCCATTTGACCTAAACCAACATCACAGGGAGTAGAATTGCTTAGTTGAGCACTGTCCAATTCCTGACCAACAGGAGGTAAAGAATCAATAAATCATCATTGTTTTCAGCTGCTGACATTTTTTTCTGGAGCAGATACATATCTATAGAAATGGAATTGTGTGATAAGATTCTTATCTTGCTCATGAAGTAGGATATATTGGTTAAGGTAGGCTGTGATAACTTAAAGGTGAACATTTTAATCTTTAAGTAACTATTAAAACTTTGTAGTAAATGTAGCCCAAAAAAATCAATAGAAGAAATAGAATACTGAATAATTTCCAATTAATTCTAAAGACCTCAGGAAAGGATGAATAGATACAGAATAAATGGTATAAAAAGGAAAAGAGAATGCCTGCCAAGATGGCAGGTTTAAATACAAAATATCAAGTAATATAATAAAAATAAATAACCTAAACACTCAATTGAAGGCAGAGAATGTCAGATTGAAAAACAGAGCAGGACTTTTCTAAATTTAGTTTATAAGAAATAGATGTAGATGGTAATAAGAGATACATTATTTGAACATGTCAGATAAAGCTAATGCAGGAATTTTTTGGAAATTTGTAGTCTGAAATGCTTATTAGAAAAGATAGGCTAACAATTAATATGCTAAGCATCCAACTTAAGAAATTTGAAAAAAAGAAAAGAAGAAGTCTAGAAAATGTAGAAGGAAGAAAATAATAAAATAGAAAACAAAAATACATTCAAGAGGATATAAAAGGTAGTTCTTGGAACAACCGAAAAAAACTACAAATCTCTGCAAGATTGATTAAAAAGAAAGTGATAGAAGACAAACATAATCAATATAAGGAATGAAAAGGGGACAGATTAAGATAAGGCAAACAGTTTCAACAAGGGAGAAATACTGTGAACAACTTATGGAAATTCATTTGACAATCAGGTCAAATAAAAATTTTATAACACATTATAAATTACTAAACTAACTTAATAGTACAGAAAACATTGGTGAACTTGTAATCATTACATAAATTGAACCACTTGTTAAAACCTAACTTCCAAAATAAAACAAATCTATCAGAGATATAAACCTATAGTAACAATTAAGGCAGTATGACACTGGCACAGAGATAGAGAAGGAAACCTACAAAAAAAAAATATATAGAATCCTCAAAATGACCCCTTAATAAAGCAATACTGAAAGTGACTAGAATCAATGACTGAGCTACAGGGGTAGTTTGCCCAGTATACACTTTGGAAAGACCAAGTTTTAAATCAGACAAGATGGTTTGGAGTTTGCTTAGGTTCACTTTTTTTCTAGTTTCTTCAGTTATAAAATTGGAAAACAAACAAACAAAAAAAGCAATGTGCAGTCTTTTTATGTGTATTGAATAAAAGGATTTGAGAAAAAATCGGTACTCAACACATTCTCAAATAAGTAATGTCACTGTTCTCTTCAACTGAGATACCCACATATTAAAGGAAACGATGCTGGATTAAAGAGAAGGTAAGTAAGAAAAATGTGACAATTCATATTTATTACTGTGTTCTTCCTTTATCTGTGCATTACTTTCTTTGTGTTTTTGACAGTTACACTGATTTATAAAAATTAAAATTAGCAAAGCAAAATCTAGATTTGATCAGTAAGAATATAACTAGTTTTCTCTCTTTTAAATTTTCCTCCCTCCCTTCCTTCCTTCCTTCCTTCCTTCGAGAATGATTGCTACAGTTTTCATGAAAAACATGTAGCGAGTCATGATATGAAAGCATGCCTTAGGCAAGGGACAAAGGGACTTTGAGAAGTCTCAGAGTCATTGTACAATCCAAGAAGGTGTTTTATTGCCCACTTCTTTGCGTGTTAAAATATTCCCAGTTGAGAGTTGGGATAATAACTCACAACGATAATTTTAATTAATTAATTTTTTGTTAGAATTTTTAAAAATTATGTCTTTTGTTTTAAAAGCCTCAGGGCATAAACAGATTGTAAAAAAAATCATTAATTAAATATTCTAAACAACCAATAGTAGCATTAGTAAAATGAAGAGGGGAAATTAAGCTTTCAGGAAAACACCGTACCCAGTGGACAAACTATCTCGTGCATTAAGATCAAGATCAAAAATTATCAGCTTGCTTAAAATTCAATACTGGACACCTGTAAGTGTGTCAGAGAAGCTTATGCAATAATGTTAGCTTTCTGAGCTATTCAGCAATTCTTGAAGTTCTGAGAATGCCAAATGCTCACGTGCCACTATTTTGACAGAGTTATAGAGACCCTGAATTAACGTTATAAAGAGATTCCTGTTTCCTCATGACAGGGATAGATTTGACACCTTGTGGCTTACCATTATCTGCCTTGAGAGTGTTCCAGCTCTGTGAATTTTTTCTAACAAGCTGAAGCAGGGAGTTTTCCGAATGCATCCAAATTATATGCAGTAATATTTCTTTTGTGAATAGTAGATATGACATTTCTGCCAGGCAATTTAATATGCCATGGTGAAATTAATGAGCAAACATCTAATAAGTTTGTTATTATTATGTTTCCTCTTTGCATTAACGAAATAGAACAATAGTTTAACAATGTGTTGCCACAATTTTTTTCACATTAATTCATCTTCTCATTTCCATTTCTACTCAGTGTCCTCTCTCAACTCTCACCTAATACATAGAGAATAAATAAGAAAAGAAAAAAAGGAATTAGCATGTATTTTGTACTTAACATACACCAGGAAATATGCTCTTTTCCTCTTTATTATTTTTTTCAATCCTTAAAATAGTTTTATGTGATAGTTCACGTACTCTTCTTCATACGAATAAAATAAAAAGTAAAACTCAGAAAGGTTATGCCACCCTCCAATGCCACACAGCAAATAAACTGCATAGCGGAGATATGAGTCCCAGATTGTGAGACTGCAAAAGCTAGGCAAAATATTCAGCCGACACTCATTTTGCACTCCCCAGTCATTGTGTGATATCTTGTAATGTCTCAAACAATTAAATCCTATGGATCCTGATTCCAACCTTGAATATCAGAAAACTTTAAGCAAAGAATAATAAATAATTCACAGTCCTTCTAGGTCAAGCCAGATTTATCCCCCTAGTAGTAAAGCTTTGAGCCTGATAGTATAAGTAGCATCTTCATTTTAAAGATGAGGGTAAAGAGGTATAAAAAGGGTAAGAAACTTACCCAAGGTTTACACAGATAGCAAATGTTAGAACTAGACTGGATCTTTTAATGATTTTGTCGTATACTGCCTTCACGATGTAAAGCAGCAGAGAGAAAGTTTAAAAAGTGGCTAAGAACTTTAACTTTCATTTCTGTTCACATTATTCCAATTATATTTTTTCTGGTAAGATATATAATATGTTGACATCTAGGCTGGGTGTCTCAGAGTTACTGCAGCCTAATTTTCACACAGAGCATGAGAACGCATGGTATATTTTTCTATACTTAACATCATGTTTGAAGCTAAAAGGAACTTGCAAATTCAAGTAGGTTAGCTAAAGGAAAAAATAGTACATAAAAAATAACTTAAACTCTCCTGATGACAGAAATATAGTTTTATATTTTAGTTTTTGAAATTGTTTTTGGAATATTATTACCCAAACATACTACCAAACAAATGAAAGTAGTTTTAATCTCTCCTATAATGAAGCAAATACTTAAAAATTGTTTTAAAAGTTATCATATAAACAGAACCAAAGACAAAAACCACATGATTATCTCAATAGATGCAGAAAAGGCCTTTGACAAAATTCAACATGCTAAAAACTCTCAATAAATTAGGTATTGATGGGACGTATCTCAAAATAATAAGAGCTATCTATGACAAACCCACAGCCAATATCATACTGAATGGGCAAAAACTGGAAGCATTCCCTTTGAAAACGGGCACAAGACAGGGATGCCCTCTCTCACCGCTCCTATTCAACATAGTGTTGGAAGTTCTGGCCAGGGCAATCAGGCAGGAGAAGGGAATAAAGGGTATTCAATTAGGAAAAGAGGAAGTCAAATTGTCCCTGTTTGCAGATGACATACATGATTGTATATCTAGAAAACCCCATCGTCTTAGCCCAAAATCTCCTTAAGCTGATAAGCAACTTCAGCAAAGTCTCAGGATACAAAATCAATGTACAAAAATCACAAGCATTCTTATACACCAATAACAGACAAACAAAGAGCCAAATCATGAGTGAACTCCCATTCACAATTGCTTCAAAGAGAATAAAATACCTAGGAATCCAACTTACAAGGGATGTGAAGGACCTCTTCAAGGAGAACTACAAACCACTGCTCAATGAAATAAAAGAGGATACAAACAAATGGAAGAACATTCCATGCTCATGGGTAGGAAGAATCAATATCGTGAAAATGGCCATACTGCCCAAGGTAATTTATAGATTCAATGCCATCCCCATCAAGCTACCAATGACTTTCTTCACAGAATTGGAAAAAACTACTTTAAAGGTCATATGGAAGCAAAAAAGAGCCCGCATCGCCAAGTCAATCCTAAGCCAAAAGAACAAAGCTGGAGGCATCATGCTACCTGACATCAAACCATACTACAAGGCTACAGTAACCAAAACAGCATGGTACTGGTACCAAAACAGGGATATAGACCAATGGAACAGAACAGAGCCTTCAGAAATAGTGCCGCATATCTACAACTATCTGATCTTTGACAAACCTGACAAAAACAAGCAAAGGGGAAAGGATTCCCTATTTAATAAATGGTGCTGGGAAAACTGGCTATCCATATGTAGAAAGCTGAAACTGGATCCCTTCCTTACAGCTTATACAAAAATTAATTCAAGATGGATTAAAGACTTAAATGTTAGACTTAAAACCATAAAAACCCTAGAAGATAACCTAGGCAATACCATTCAGGACATAGGCATGGGCAAGGACTTCATGTCTAAAACACCAAAAGCAATGGCAACAAAAGCCAAAATTGACAAATGGGATCTAATTAAACTAAAGAGCTTCTGCACAGCAAAAGAAACTACCATCAGAGTGAACAGGCAACCTAAGAATGGGAGAAAATTTTTGCAACCTCCTCATCTGACAAAGGGCTAATATCCAGAATCTACAATGAACTCAAACAAATTTACAAGAAAAAAACAAACAACCCCATCAAAAAGTGGGCAAAGGATATGAACAGACACTTCTCAAAATATGACATTTATGCAGTCAAAAAACATATGAAAAAATGCTCATCATCACTGGCCATCAGAGAAATGCAAATCAAAACCACAATGAGATGCCATCTCACACCAGTTAGAATGGCGATCATTAAAAAGTCAGGAAACAACAGGTGCTGGAGAGGATGTGGAGAAATAGGAACACTTTTACACTGTTGATGGGACTATAAACTAGTTCAACCATTGTGCAAGTCAGTGTGGCGATTCCTCAGGGATCTACAATTAGAAATACCATTTGACCCAGCCATTCCATTACTGGGTATATACCCAAAGGATTATAAATCATGCCGCTATAAAGACACGTGCACACGTATGTTTATAGCGGCACTATTCACAATAGCAAAGACTTGGAACCAACCTAAACGTCCAGCAACGATAGACTGGATTAAGAAAATGTGGCACATATACACCATGGAATACTATGCAGCCATAAAAAATGATGAGTTCATGTCCTTTGCAGGGACATGGATGAAACTAGAAACCATCAAGGTTTTTTGCAAGGACAAAAAAACCAAACACCGCATGTTCTCACTCATAGGTGGGAATTGAACAATGAGAACACATGGACACAGGATGGGGAACATCACACAGTGGGGCCTGTTGTGGGGTTGGGGGAGAGGGGAGGGATAGCATTAGGAGATATACCTAATGCTAAATGAAGAGTTAATGGGTGCAGCACACCAACATGGCACATGTATACATATGTAACAAACCTGCACGTTGTGCACATGTCCCCTAAAACTTAAAGTATAATAATAATAAAATTAAAAATAAATAAATAAATAAAAGTTATTTTTGATCAAACTAATACTTCACACATTATAAATATAAAAAGGATTATGATTTATCCAGTAGCCCTAATAGCTAATAATAAATATGATTTTTTTTCTTTTTTTGATGTACAATTTACAATGGTGAAATTTTAATAAATTTGTTTGTCTCATGCTTCTTTCAGTTAATGTTCTAACACAGGAATTTCTCTGTTTTGTTATCCATTGCTGCATAGCAGATTACCCCAAAACTCAGGGGCTTAAAACAATAAAAAATTGCTCAAAATTTCTGTGAATCAGGAATCCTTAGCTTAGCTGGGTGGTTCTGGCTCAGGGTCTCTCATGAGGTCACATTCAAGGTGTCAGCCAGGACTGCAGTCATTTGGCAACTTCACTGAGACAAGAATCTGCTTTCAAGATGGCTCACTGACAGAGCTGTTGGCAGGAAGCCTCAGTTCCTCACTGGCTATTGGTGAGAGGCCTCACTTCCTCCCTATGTGGATCTTTCTGTAGGACTACTCAGATGTCCTCACAGTGGCATGGCAGCTGGCTTTCCTCAGAGTGTATTTAAAGGGTACAGAGATGGAAATCATAGTGTCTTTTATGACCTAATCTCAGAAGTCACATGTCATCATTTCTGTACTATCCTTTCAGTTACATAAATTGATCCTATTCACCATGAGAGAGGCTCACACAAGAGTGTGAATATCAGAACACAGCAGTCACTGTGGCTTACCTCGGCTACCACATTATTATTAACAATTTAAAAATACTTTAATATACTGGTATCAAGGACTGCTTCTGTTTTCCGGGAAATAGCTTTTATAGCCCTGGAGTTGAAAAAAAATGATTGGTAAATATATGTTATTCACAGGTCAAGGAACACTCGGATCTTTCCAGCAGACCCCACAAGACCTTTGAGAGCCCTTCTCCTGTAAGACATCTGAGACTGTCATTTCACACAACTGGCATCACTACCTGCTATCTTTATTCCCCATTATTTTCTGGGACCATCGCATTATCCTTCAGTGTATTGCCCCCAAGTGACCATTAAAGAGGAGATGAGGCGGGATCCATGTCCTTAGAGTCTATTGGGTCTCAACTCATCTCTGGTGTCTGCTTAGAGAACAACAGAAAAAAAAAAGAAACTTTGCCTCATGCCTCCCTCTTCTCTTCATCCTATCCCCCTCAAAACAAGAGAAACACATTCAAGAAGAGGGAGGCTGTGTGTGAAAGTAAACCAACATCTGTATGTGGGAGTCATTTGGAAGTGTTCAGTGAAAATGATATCCAAATATTATGTATTAATACATATTGGCACTCATTCTAGGAAAGAAAAACACATTCCCATTCTGTTGTTTTAAAATCCTTGATTACTACATCTTAGAAAGTGAGGATATAGGAGGACCAGAGAGAGTTTATAAACATGGCAAAAAGGAACTAGACCTCCTTAGTCAAAGTCAGTTCGGAAATAGTATGCATTGCATTGCTAATTATAACTATTCAACTAAAACTGTGGACTTGTTAAAGGTACCCAGTTGGAGGCAAGGTTCTACTAAGGGGCAGTATAGGGACAGAGTCCTGATTTAGGGCCTAGGCCTTGGTCATTAAACCTTTCAATTCCTAAATCATAATTCTAATGATAACTTGATTGTGTTGCATATAAAAACTGCTTTCTTCTTTTTTAACAGAATGCTAACACATGCATGTCCACACTCAGTAAGGCTCCAGAAATGGTTTTCACTCTAGAAATCCAAGTGAGGTTAACAGACACATGGCAATTGGGAAACTAAAGACAAATCATGAAACATTGAGCTCAGTTTTGAATTTATTAGATTTTCTGCCTCAGATTTTAGTATTTTTTGGCAGTTTTTCAACATCAAACATAAAATGACATTTTCCTGAAACAAATAAATCAATAATTAGTTGGGATCACTAATATAATTCTAACTGTATGCTAGTCACTGTTCTAATTGCTTTACAGATATCATCTCACTGAATCTGCCCAAAGCCCTATGATTTTTAACCTGTGTTTCTAGATGAAGAAACTAAGACACACATCCATTAAGTTGCCCAAGAGTCACATAGTTGCTAAGGAGTGGAGCTAAAATCCGAAAGATGGGAAAGTCTGGGTTCAGAGGTCATAATCTCAAACTCCCCTGTATGCTGCCTCCCAATTACAGAGAAAGTGAGACAAATCAAGTATGTGGAGTTCTTGGGACCTAATTCATGTGATGATAGGCAAACTGTTCACAGTGCCCAAATATTAAATGCCTTACTCTGCCATATGTGGAGTGTCAGAAAGATTTCAGAGAAAAATTCGGCATTTTAGGCAAATAGTGATGCATAGGTACATGATGTAATTCTATTAGAGACCAACATCTGTAATGTGGGTACTCTGCTGTCCTCCTGGTCATGCACATAACAGCAGCACAGGGTTTACTTTCATGTGAAAAAGGTCTTAAACCAAAAGTAGGTCATTATTTTTCTGTTCTATCTTTTTGCAAGAAGTCACTAATTTGAGGATGAATGCCTTTTTGTTTTTGTCTCAGCAGCCTAAGGAAATTTCAGGACTAGACAGTACTTGGATTTGTCTTCCCCCAGACTCTGAACTTGCAAATGAGGGCAAATATACAAATCATTACATTTAAGAGAAGACAGATCTCTTATCAGTGTCAGAAAAAAATGGAAACTAAAAGCTCATAAAAATGCTAATGATCATATCTTTCCCAAATGCTCTGGTTTAATACAAAGTTTCTTTTTGATAACACCACTATATAATGCTCTCCTCCCTCTCGCCCATTAATCTCCATTTCTCAGTGTGAACTTGGAGCAAATAACATAAGTCTATAAAAAGATACTCTGAATTCTCTTCCAAATATAATACTTAGATAATAATGTGACTGTTGGGCAAAGTAGCATGCTTTGCTCGTTAGCAATGGACTCGGATGTGGATGCTCCTCTGTCCCAGCTCTTCTCTCACCCCATTACTGTTCTCCAGCAGCAGTGTCTGAGAGCCTGCTGGGCATGTGCTGCACCATGGAGGCCACCCTCTGTGCACCCCCATTAGCTTCTATCCTTTGTTTTAAGTAAAATTCCTTTAAATACCAAACACAGAGAACTGTTTTTTCTTTTTTTTTTTTTTTTGAGACAGAGTCTTGCTCTGTCACCCAGGCTGGAGTGCAGTGGCACGATCTCGGCTCACTGCAAGCTCCGCTTCCTGGGCTCACGCCATTCTCCTGCCTCAGCCTCCCGAGTCAGCTGGGACTACAGGCACCCGCCACCACGCCCAGCTAATTTTTTGTATTTTTAGTAGAGACGAGGTTTCACCGCGTTAGCCAGGATGGTCTTGATCTCCTGACCTCGTGATCCGCCCACCTTGGCCTCCCAAAGTGCCAGGATTACAGGCATGAGCCACCACGCCCGGCCAGAGAGAATTGTTTTTTCTAATTGTGTGGCTATTGTCACCCCTGCAGTTATAAGCCTGGGCTTACTTAAGTAAATAAATGGGGCCTGATGCACTGAGGCTACCATATTCATTGAGAAGATTTCCATTGAAATCTATGACCTCATCATTTACATACAGGCTAGTTCTGCCTCTTGCTTGAGTAAGGTCCATTGATTAAAGTTGAAAAACATAATGGAAAGTAATCAAAGGCACATAACTAATTATGAAGCAACGGTAAGCCGTGAGGTAATTTTTATTGATTCTTAGCAATAAGCCTTTTCCCTAGATAACAGGTATTGTCTTATTCCGTGAAATAGAGAAATTCACTAATCCACAATTAGCCTATTTTTTAGCATAACCTCCCATGGGTGACATCCAATAACCAGAATGACCTGATCTATTTCTAAGCCAGGTGGTAAAATGAAGTACCTGCTTACAAATAACGAAAAGCTCCTATTTAAAGATGTTTGATCTGCTTTTATCCCAGAATTAAAAAAAATTTAAACAATCTGTCAACTACATTTAAAAAAGCTAAGAAAAAATTATGACAGAACAATAATTATACAGCAAATTATGGGATATTTAATTTTAAAATTGGATGTAGAGTGCTATTATATTTGAACTTCATATTTTTGCTTTTGTTAAATTTTTGTTTTGAAAATGAACTTATTGCAAAATAGCATAGCATTAAAAAAATACTGTATCCGGTTTTGTTATTGTTCCAAAAGATCATTTGTGACCTTAATAAAAAAGCAGCTTTACATAAATACCTAATTCTCATTTTGTAGACTCTTTTTGTTGTTGTTGTTTTTCTGTTTCTAAAATCGGAAAAACAGCATAGATCAGGCAAAAGTGATTGGCTTGTCCTAGTTAAGGCTGGCCTAAATGAAATTTAGTTGGTGATTTAAATTTCCAAGTATTAAGACAAATTCAATAAGCTTCTAAAATAAAACTTAGTAGAAACATGGCTTTTGTAACTAGAATTTGGTGGTTGGAATATTAAATATTGTTTTATATAGTCAACACTTGTCATTCTATACACTGTCAGATTCTGCTTGTTTTTTGACTGGGTTTGTTACTTCCTTCTTGTCTTTGTGCTGCTGGGTCATATTTTCCCCCATTTTTCATGTCTTTTTCCTAATTTCCTAAAGACTTTCTTCACTTCCTTTCTGCAGTTACACAAAGCAGAGTTTGTTTGCTTGCTCTGTGACTGACTCAGTCTTATATATTGGAAAAACAGCTGTATACACTAAAAATAGAGATAGTACAGGGTTTTTTGTTGTTGCTGTTGTTATCTGAACACTATTATTATGAGCTAAGAATGCATTTGTAATGAACTCAGGGGGCCTCAGTTGAGAAACTTACCTGGATATAGGGTTGGCCAACAGAACAAAACAAAATGACAAACTACCAATTGCATTTAGTAAGTGTCATGTGTTTTTAGAAGTATGATAGAAGATTATAATGTGATGAACAAGAAATACCACACAGAGTATCTAACTTGAGATCAGGCATGAGATGACATCAACTTGTTGGTGCTTATGTCATTCCGTGGAAGATAGTTATACCTAGGTTTCATAATGGTTCCCAATGATCTGGGAATCCTGGTGTTCACACACTGTGTAGTTCCCTCCCATACAATATGGTGGAAGTACTTCCGAGATGGGGTTATAAAAGACAACTCAGCTTCCGTTTCAATCCCCCTGTCTCTCTCTCGAATCAACTCCTTTGGAGAAAGCCAGTGGCCATGTGATGAGCAGTGTTATGCAGAGGCGCACAAGTGGGGAACTGAGGCCATGCCTAATGGCCATGTGTGAGAGAGTACGAAAGCAGCTCCTTCAGCCCCAGCAAACCTTCAGATGACTGGAGTTCCCGCAGACATTTTGAGTACAATTTCATGAGAGATCCTGAGTCAGACCCACCCTACTTGTACTCCTGGACTCCTAAACCTAAGTTAACTGTGTGAGCTAATAAATGTTTGCTATTTTAAGCTGTTAAATTTGGGGCTAATTTGTTACAAAGCAATAGATAGCTCATATCTTGCATTAGCTGTCTAATACAAGGACTGTTGCCAGGGGCTTAGGAAAAGGGTTTAGTTCTCAAGGAGTGGGGCAGGACAGTGTTGTAGGCCACCAACCAAGTGAGCTGCACCAAGGGCAATAATCAGTGAAAAAGAGATACAAAGACAGATTTGGCTTCGTATCCTACAATGGAACCAGCACATAACATTTGCTAAGTTAGTTTCAGTAAACATGTTCATAACTCCTTTAGGTTAACTCAAAACAGTTTAACCAGGAAGGTTTATTTTCTCATTTTTACATACAAAGAAAGGCAAGTCTCAGATTCTCAGTAATTTTGAGGTCATGCAGATGTCAAGTGGCAGAGCTAAGAATTCAAACTCAGTTCTGATCGACATTAAAGACCACATTCTGTTTTTGTTTTTGTTTTCTTTTACACAGGCCCTTGCTCTTTTGCCCCAGCTGGAGGACAGTGGCATGATCATAGCTCACTTTAACCTTGAACTCCTGGGCTCCAGCCATCCTCCCACTTCAGCCTCCTGAGTAGCCAGGACTGCAGATGCATACCACCACACCTGGTTAATTTATTTTCATTCTTTAAAGAAATGGAATCTCATTGTGTTGCCCAGGCTAGTCTTGAACTCCTGGCCTCAAGTGATCCGTCTACCTCAGCCTCCAAAGTACTGGGATTACAGGTGTAAGCCACCATGCCTGGCCAAAGACCACATTCTTAAACTGATATATTTTGTGGCCTCTGATAATTTTTAGTATTTACTGAGCCATAATGTATCCCCATTACTATGCCATCTCTCTTTCTACAGTAAAACAAACAAACAAACAAACAAACAAACAAAAACTTCTCTAACCCTAAAACTACCTGCAAGGTAGGTATTACTTCTGTAAATAAACAAATGGAAAGGACCTTTTCAAAAGTGCAAATAATAACATGGGAAGTGGAATGATTTTAAGAATTCATTTCATTCCTCAGAGTCTCCCCTAAGAATCTCTGAGCTACATGCTTATTTTGTTATATCTCCAAATTAAAGACTCTTATGCTGCTATTAACAGATTTATCAGAAGGATTATTTCCTCTTTTTTTTTTTTTTTTTTTTTTTTGAGATGGAGTTTTTCTCTTGTTTCCCAGTCTGGAGTGCAATGCCATGATCTCGGCTCACTGAAACCTCCGCCTCCTAGGTTCAAGGGATTCTCCTGCCTCTGCCTCCAGAGTAGCTGGGATTACAGGCATGTGCCACCATGCCGGACTAATTTTGTATTTTTAGTAGAGATGGGGTTTCACCATGTTTGTCAGGCTGATCTCAACTCTTGACCTCAGGTGATCCACCAGCCTCGGCTTCCCAAAATGCTAGGATTACAGGCATGAGCCACCAAGCCCAGCCTTTTCCAAATCATTCACTCTGCTCCTCCTTTCCCTTAGCTTGATATGGAAACAAGGCCTGTGTGCCTTCTTTGTAAACATAAATTTGAGAGAAATGGAAAGCAAACTTTTAGATGTATCTGAGACTATTTAGATAGAAAGCTCTAAAGAAGCCATGCCCTGGCATCAAAGTACACTATCCGAGCCATGTTGTTAACATGAGAAAATTAATTATTAGCTTTGAATTGACAATAAAAATAAGAGAAAGTCTTACACATGAATCCAATTGATGATTGCTAATGACATTTTATTTTATGACACACTTGCTGTTCAGGTGTGACTGTTTAGTCCTGGAACTTAGAGAGACACAGCCTGTTTTATGAGGAAGGTCATCTTTAGGGGTAGAGATTAAGCATGTCTTCTAGCCCATCAAAAGTTTTTGAAAACTTCACCTCCATTAAAAACAGATATTTGGCAGGGACCTACAAATGTTTAAGTTAAAAGAGATGTGAAATGAAAAAGATATCCCTGTATTGTATTAACTTTATAAAGGACTGTGTCAGATTCCTCTCAGTGTAGACATATTACTTTGTGATACAACACACACACACACACACACACACACTGACATGCACACACGTATTTCTTATTCCTCTTCTTTTTTCTCTCTTAACTTTAGAGGAAGTTGGCTCTTTTCCCCCAAAGTACACAAAGAAGAGACCCTCACAGATTATCAACACCTGGAATAGATTTTCTCTTGGCTGTGGTCAAATAGGCATCGTTACTCTGACTTGGGAAATAGATCAGACTCTTGTCTTACTTGACTTAAACATTTACTTGGTATTAACCTAGTTTCCTTAATTTCAGTGTTTAAGAATTAGATACTTTGAGTATTGAGATCATTTTTCCTCTAAAGTAAGAGTGACCTTCTATTTTCAAAATGGTCTTCCTTTCTATAGTAGATAATGGATCCTTGCAGCCTGAAACTCGCAATAACTTCAGAGGCATATGTGATGGAAGCAAAAGTAAATGGTTTGAGAAAGCCTTACGGTAATATTCCCACATCCAGGCTTTACTATTATCAGTGTTAACTCTGATTTATGTTTCAGTTTAATTTCCTAAGTTAAAACATTCTTGGCCACTGTCCAGTGAGTCTAACCATCTTACTTTTGATTCTGGTCCCAAGCTCACCCAAAAAAATGTTTTCGATAAGTCAATAGCTATTTATGGTTTGCTTAACCATTAGTACCACTGAAGTTATCAAAATGTAAAGTTGGTTGAGAACTTAATATGCATCCTGGATATCTCAGGGTAACATACTCGGGCCACTCCAGGATAAGAAAACATGCCCCAATTGAGGAAATGGAAAATTAGTCCAAGAAGTGATAGGACCGTCAAGGAGCATGGAACTTCTTCCAAAGACATATTAAGAGACAAGCAGAAATGATGATTATAGCAGCTATGGATGTTGATGGCAATGCTGCCAAAAAGTTACTATTAATGACTCAGGTATAAGTTAATCTTTGATCTCTCAGCTCTCCTCCAAATTTTTTATACCCCTCTCTCTACTCGGAATGAGAATTGCTCATAAATACTCTGAAGTAGCACTTACCAATAACCTCTGATAAAACTCTACAACCTGGAACTGCTAATTCAAAGAATTTCCAGATTTTACAGCAGTCCTATAATGGGCCTGCTTGGGAACTGGATTCACTCTTTCTCAAATTGGCTGAACTGTTGAGATAGGATTTAAAGTTAGCATCATCCACAACACCTTTTTGAAATTTTAAATTTGTCTAATTCTGTCATCTATTGACATGTTTTACACTTTTTAACACTCTTTGTTCATGTCATATTATTTGTGTGTGTGTCTGAAACCACTTCAGTAAATTGTAAGCTTCTTTGTATGTTATTCATCTTTATATTCTGCATTGTAACCAACAGAGCACTTTATCCTGAAAATATGATAGAGCCCTAAACATGATAGCAGATGTAATCAGCTTTATAATTGTAAACCAGGAATGATAATTCTATTTGTACTGCATCAGTGTAAACATTGTATGTTTTCAATCGAAATAGAAAACTAAAATACAAAACATCTAGGAAAACTAGAGAGCTTTCTTATAGATGCAACATATTTGCCCCAAAGATCTCTGCTGTTTTAGTTATGTTAAGTATATTATTTACAAATAAAGATGATGAAGATCTGATAGATAGATAGTAGATAGATGACACTTAATAGTACTTAATATGTGTCAAGTCCCATTGTGAGTGCTTTACAAATATTAATTCTCCTGACAACTCTATGAAGAAGGTACTATGATTATATTCACTTAATAACTGAGGACATGGAAGCACAAAGTAACTTACCAAGGTCATGTAAGTTGTAAATGGAGGACACCAGATTTTATCCCAGTGCCCACTACTTGAATCACTATGACATACTGATAGAAAATAAAATAGACATAGAGTACCAGTATTATCTCTCCTGCTCATCAGTTTTTTAGTTTTTAATTTGGAAGCCAGTCATTGTCATTCATCTGCATGAAAAATGCTCATAAGGTAAACTAGAGCCAGAACAGGAAAAATATTACTTACCATTTTTTTCTTCTACATAAAAAATACACATATCCAAAATTTTCTTATTTCTGTGTTGTTATAGGAAACAATTCTGGAGTAGGGTCAAAGGGTAAGGACAGTTGGAAAAAAGAATTTCTTTTGGTAGAAGACTGACTAAAAGGCTTTGCCACCCCCTGTGCAATATTTTTTTTAACCTATAATTCTTTCTCCACTAGCACCTTAAAATATATCTCTGATTATTCCTTTAACACTATAAAATGTAGTGTTTGGAATATACCTCTTAAGTAAGTAACAAACATCACTTTAAACAATGAAGCCTGAGTAGAATGAATGCCCATTTGGGTGAGCCAATTTTTTCCCACATTTCTGTAATTCTTCCTGGGTAGGTGGCGGGGAGGGAGAGTTACTATTAATGAACTAACAAACAAGCAAATAAATCCTCAGGTATTTAACTCTGGCTAGTCACGCCTAACCCTTAGTAGATACAGAAAATCTTGCTCATGATTCAAGCTAACTAGATTCTATCGATTTTACTTTTGGTGTCCTCATTGTTTGGAAGGTGCAAAAGTTAATTAAGCATTTAGCTCCATTCACTTGGCTATATGTGTGTTTATTATGCTCCAGCTGGATAGCACATTGTTTAGTGAAAACTTTCTTTGCATCCCTAAATCAATGTGTCTATTAGACAAAACCCAATGATGTACCAGCCGTTGTTAATGCACTGAAAGGTCACATAAGCATTGAATGAAGTATGGTCCTGGAGAAAGCTGATCCTTTCTGCAGGATGTCACATTAGGAGAGGAGCTTGTAACAGCGTATCTCCATTTCATACAGCATCTGGCATACACCCCAAGTGACCACAGGATGCCATATTTATAGGAAGGATGCCACTGTATTATCAAGTGATTTAATAACTTTATCTAGAATTTAGGCAGGAAATATCTTCTAATGCAGGAAAAACAAAGGAAGACATTTAAAATTAATTTTCAAACAATTAAATTACATCAAAACACAATATTTAGACCCACCACTTTAAAAGTAAAATTATTAACTTCTTATTCAAGCAATGTTTTAGGCACTGGGGATGGAATAGTAAACAATGATTATTAAAAACAAACTCTGCCCACACAACCAGTTTTAAAAACAATCTAGAATACACACTATAAGTATCTAATTTCGTTTCCTATTTTTCTATATATTTAATAGATGAAATGTATTTTAGTGGAGTAGATATTTTATAGGGCTTGTACTGGGTCTGCTATATATATTATTTTATTGTTTTATATACCATTTGTTATGAGTGTTGTTATCTTTATTTTTCAGGCATGAGAACTGGTATCAGTAAGGTTAGGAACCTTTCCATAAGATTGTCGAGACCGATACTTGAATATCATGAAACTTAAATGCTACATTTATTTTCGTTATGTTTACACACAGCAATTATATTTCTGCTAAACATTCCTTTGAATCAAGGCCAAAGTAAAATTTGTTTATTTTTATTATATCTTTTCAGGAGTGTTTTTCTAAATAAACTCTGTGCTCAAGATTGCCAACCAAAGTTACGCCTCAAAATTTTGCACTAGAAGTTCTTAACCTTCTTTAGCATCACAAATTTGCCTATCACATTTCATTTTCAAAGGGAGATTTCCATTCTTATGCAGAACCTCAAAGCACTAGAGAATAGATTTTGGGCTACAGTGAATAGGAATTTGCTCATTATTATTTTGCCATTTAGAAGTCAGAAGTGAAATCTCTATTTTTTTTAATACTGTATATATAAATTGCACCATTTCCTGTCATGAGGAAAAAAGAACTGAATGGATTCCTTTGAATTTAGCCCATCTTTTTAGTTTTCTAGATCCAAAGCTTAGCCTAATAAAGTAGTAATTAATTTATAAATCAACCTCCTTTATATAGTCCAAAAGGCAGTCATCAAATTTTATTGATTTTTTTCCCATATCATTGTTCCAGGACCTTATTTTCAATAAAATTTTTTTGGATTCAGAAAGGTGCCAGAATTCCCTTTCTTCTCTATCAGACCTTATTTTTTCTCCAAATGATGTTCAGGAGAATGATAATAATAACTGGCCTCAGTTTCTGAGGACTTGCCAACATTTTTTTGAAGGAATGCGATAGTCTGGACCTACAATCATTTCCACATGTCTTAGCTCCAAAACTGAAGGGAGTAAGTGCCAATCCCAATAGCCTTATCTTAATATTCAGTGAGCCCGGGAGGTTGCAGACAAATTTGCTTTAGATGCAGGCACTATCATACATCACGGCAATTTCTCAGCCCCTTCATCACACTCACTCAGAGGTATTGTACTGAGATAGCCAGAACAGTTGTTTTATGCTCTATAATGAGCTGACTCAAAGAAAGCTGTCTTTAACATTAGAACAATCAAAGTCCAATTCAGAGTTTTTTGGCCCTCAGTTTAGTTGTAGATAATATTTTAGCTGCTATAACCATATCATTAATTCTTACAAAGTTTACTCTGTAGGATTCAGTTCTAATAGTTAGAAAAATAAAAATGAACAGCGGTATCTATTTACTTAATCGACGGATGCACCCCCATGCACCATCCTGACCTGGCTTCTGTAATAACTTCCATAGTATACTTGTTTGCCTTCCGTGTTCTGACAGCATAGAATATAGTCATCATTCAATTTTCCCTTTTGAGTATGCACATAAGAAAGAGAAAACAACATGGAATAAAATGACATACTTTACAAGGCAAATTTTGCATAGTGCATAATAAATTTTGTTGAGGTCACATTCTGCACTTCTATTAATAATAATAAGATTTGTGATTCTAACTGAGCACTCATAAACTTAATCTTTCATCTCAGTTCTTAAAAAATCTTGGTGTGTCAAAGTTGGCAAACTCTAGCTTTACTGAAATGTACTATCTTATATTCTTTTGCTGTTTCCTTTCATAGTGATATTTCATGCACTGCCAGAACTTCCTGCATTGCAAAATGCTCATCTTTCTATGCATAAGACTATAAAAGGAATTTATTTTGCAGAATATGTTATAAACATATTTGGTAGTTTATATCTGATTTAAATTACTGCCTTTACATAATTATTAGAGCCTAGGATGCATAATTCTCACTTAGCCATATGGAACAAATATATGCCTTTAATGTTATAGACTTGATCAAGGTAGTGTCGCTTGAAATAAATACCCTTGAAAGCTATTCTGAAGAAGTGAACATCACTGAACATAAAGCAAACATTTTAAGTTCATCTCTAGAGTTGTCTTTCAAGCTCAAATAAGAAAAGAAACTCATTTGTCCTAAATTGGAAATATACCTAAAGTGCTATTCTCTGCCTTGGTGAAAAGGGGAAACCACAGTAGATTTCAGGAAGTGAGTGTGGTTTGTGCTCTTCTGGAAGGGGATTCTAGTCTTGCTCCTAATATTGATCATTACCACCAGATACCTATCCACTCTCTTCTTTTGCCCTGGGTCAAAGCTCTTTGAAAACCTCTTGATTTGGAAAGATGCAAGTCATGATGTTATCTATATTTTGAAAGCTTTTTGTGGCAGAAGAGGAAATATTAAAGACAATGAGAGAAGGATTACTTAGGCAGTCTAGGGTGGAAATTGTCAGGAGTGTGGCAGTGGCTGTGAGAATGGAAAAGAGTGTAAAGGTATAAAGAGATGTAGAATTTGTAGAAACCAGAAAAGTAGACAAAGTTTAAACATCTTAGCAATCAAAGAGATGTATGTTTGCTAGTATCCAAGGAGGTTTCATAGCCCATGTATTTGGATTAACTCTGGGCTAGCCTTATGACTTGAAGGTTCTGGGACCTCACATTATGAAGTTTACAAGACCATGATATTAATACAAGGAATGATTTAATTATTTTACTTGATAACTCTATTACAGAAAGCAGATCACCCAATCATATTGATCTGCTCATTTTCTTCACAGGGACTCATTTGACAAAATACTAAGAAAATACCATATAAATAATTAGTTCCTTCCTGCCCTTCTTCCTTCCTTCCTTCATTTCTTCCTTCTTTCCTCCTTCCTTCCTTCTTGTCCTCATTCATCTCTTTCTCTCTCTCTTTTAATGAAAACTAATCATTATGATGATTGGACTGGAAATCTATCTCTCCTACAAATTTTTCAATAAAACAAAGCCAATAAAGTTTGGGTTTTTTTTTTCCATTCAGCTCAATGCATTTGTAAGAAAATTCAGATGATTGGATTGACTATACGCAACGACAAAAATGTCGGTTTAAAAATGTGTTATTTGTATGCATTGGCATTCCTTCCAGCTGATGAAATTTCAGGAGCTTTTAATGAATTAAAGCCACATTGCCCTGAAGAAGTCAGCAAAGTTACTGACTGCTTCAAAAGTAATTGTGTACTGTAGGATGAGAAGACACTTACACAATGGTGTTGTTCTTCAATCATCAGTATTGTTTCTGCCAAATTCATAGTCTGTATATAAGAGCACGTGGAATGGATTTCTGTGTACCCAAAACAATATAGAAGTATGGCACAGCAGATAGGAAAACGTAATCGAGAATGCTCGTGTTGGTGTATATCAAATCAAACAAGAATTTCAAAACAAGTGGTGCCATGTAGAAAATGAATATAAACATATTCTCTGAGGAGAACCATACTCTAAAAGAAAAAGAGCAGCTATTCATTGCAATACAAGATATCAAAATATGGTTAATGATCATGAAAGCCAGCCAACTCTGGACTACCTCTGTGCAATTGCCCATAATCTATCCTTGTAATACATTTCTCTATAGGTCAGATTTCTCTTTCAGTTTTTGGTTGGTTTTTTTTGTTTGTTTGTTTTGGTTTTTTGGTTTTGATTTTTCCTTTTTAAAAGTTTTTCTGCTATTTTGAATTGTCAGCATTATTTTTTACAATTTTCTGTGCTATGAATTTCATCTTTGCATCATTACCAATACTAAAGGTATAAACCACCTAAGACTTATAGAGATTTCTGATTCATTTTATGCATTTTTTGCATATTTGGCTCCATGAAAGTATATTACCACCACATTGGCTATGTGTATAAACATTGTGCACATACATAAAAACATTAAAACTTCTGCAGTAAATGAAAAGATGTCCTGTTTTTACATTTACATTTGGCTTTTTGAACAACTGTATATGCGGTGGTGAACCATCACAGTTTTTGACCAATCTCATCAAAAGATTTCCATTGTCCATTATGATATTTTAGTGACTGCAGTAATAAAGCTGAGTGCACACAACTATAAACCATAATTATATAAATTTACACATTTCCTTTTTGACCTGTTTCTTTATGACTACTGTTCATCTGCTCATAACTGTTATACCCATGTGACTGCCATTAGTATATCTGAGCATTTATGTTTCCAAAAATATCTATGTTGTTATTACTTATTTTATTGTGTAAAGTGGCCTATGAAGTGTTCTGTCATATTTTTATGTGTTTTCAAATAAATTCCATTTAAAAAAATGTAAATCAATATCTCTTAAATACTTTTTAAAATTATTTTTTCCAGAATTATATTCTTGAGGTCATGCTCTTTCGGGATTTCAATATTCAGAAATTAAAAATTATGGTGTTTGGGATGTATCTTTCAAGTTTCTAATTGGCTCCCAACTCACAGTGATCTATCACAAGCAGTGCTAATCCACAAATAGATTTTGTTTTGTTTGCGTAGTGTTTAAAATTTTGCATTTTAATTTCCGTAGATAAGGCATATTCTGCTAAGGTTGACACAGTCCCTCCTACTTTATGTTATTATATACAAGGTTTATTTCACTACTTTTTATTTCCTGCCTTGCTCCTGAAAACACTGGAGTTTGTAATCATGGGAACAAGAGGACAAGGAAAACACAATTCCTTGAATGACACAACAGTTCAGTAGAGAAACAAAATCTGAAGAAAGTAATTTGGATCCTAACAGGATAACCAGATAGATATTTTCTAGCAGATCCAAATGAATAGACAAAGGTGATGAAAAGCATGTAGTACAACAGAAAAGTGAATAAAATGAAGAGTAAATATAAGACACTGAGAAAACTGTTGGGAGGATATTGGTGAAACTTGAGAAAGAAATTTCAGATTTTGAAGGAAGGGGGCATATTCTGAGGGATAAAGAGTGCGTACAATGAGGTAAATAGAAAGAGTGAGTATAGGTAGACAACTTCAATAATACTCAGGCAGACATGCCCAGAGCTTTTCAATCACACTGAAATTTACAACTATATATCCAACTATCTACTCAGCATTTTTTATGCAAAGTATTTCACTCAAAATATCTCTCATCTCAGCTAATTGAAACTTCATCTTTCCATTTGCACAGACCAAAGTCCTTGGATTCGTGCTTGGCTCCTTCCAGCACAATATCTTCAGCATCCAACCACTTCTTAATACTTCTTCTCCTATTGGCATAGTTTGAGCAATTGTCATCTTTTACTTAGTACTAAAAACAACTCACTAAGTTGTCTGCCTACCTCTTTCCTTCTTTTCTTTCCTCTGTACATTTACAATGAGACAGCCAAAGAGATTATTTTAAATGCAAAATTAGATCAGGTTATTCCTCTCTTGACAATTCTCAAATGGCTTAAATTTCACTCCAAGTCAAAGTCAAAGCCTTTACAATGGATTACAAAGCCATGATCTACCCTCTTACCCCTTGACCACATCTCCCACTACTCTCCTAGGACCCAGATTTCTTTTATTATTTTACTTTTATCTTACACTACTTGGAAAGGGGGAGATAATAACTGGGGAGATCAAAATTTTGGAGAAATCAAATGCACAGATGTTGAAGTTATCAAGAATAATACAGATAGCAATAGTGAAGAAGCAGGTGTTCAGGCAAGTACTAGAGTCTCCAGAGAGCAGGGGCAGCAAACAGGGTGCTGATAGACTATAGCAATAAAAAATGAGCAAGTTTGATTGATCTTTGGTTTATGTGTTAGGATGGGTTCCTGAAACACAGACTTCGGAATGGATATTTCTGTGCAGGAAATCTATTGAAGTGTGCACTTAAGATGAGCATCTGTGACCAAGAAAAGGAAGCAGGATTGGGCAGAGGGAGGAATGGAATAGCAATCCTCAGAAGTCAGAACAAAGGTCTCTACCCGACCCAATCCACTAGGAAACTATGATACTGAAGTGGCGCCTCAGAATTGTCTCACCTTGAGGAAAGTGAATTGGTCCCCTCTGTCCATCATCATTGGCTGTGGTATGGGAAAGGGCATAGTTTTGAATGCTCTTTGGCTAAAGGCAATTCTTAGAGAGGGATTCAGCTGAAAGTCATCACCTATCACTAGTCCTGGCAACTTGGAAAATGATTTCTCCCTGGAATCTAGGTGGTTCATCCAACATCTGTTACAGCTTGCTGGAAAAAAAGGCTATTTTTTTTTTTTTTTTTTTTAGAGATGGGGGCTTACTCTGTTGCCCAGGCTGGAGTGTAATGGCATGATCATAGCTCACTGCAGTACTGCAGCCTTCAACTCTCAGGTTCAAGCAATCCTCCTGGCTTCAGCTAATTAAAAAAATTTATTTATAGGATCTTGCTGTGTTGTCCAGGCTTTTCTCAACTCCTAGTGTCAAGCAATTCTCCAGCCTCAGTCTCCCAAATAGCTGGGATTATGGTTGTGAGTCACTGTACACACTTGTTTTTTTTAAAGGAAAAGGAACAATTAGTGTAATAAGTCATTTGGAGAAATGAGGACACTAATTTGCCTTATAAGACATGTAGTATTGCATTAAGGGATTTAAAAAACAACAACAACAAAACCTTCAACGTGGCCTGTGTGGGAATCAGGGTCCTCCAAGGACAGCCAGGTATGACTTTTTTAAAAATGTATAGAATATTTGAAAATAATTTGAGAAAATGCTAGAGTTTTATGAAGAAAGACCTTAATTTATAGAAGGTGGAAATGTGGATTCAAATTATTATATAGTCAGTGAAATATGTGGGGATACTTCTGTACAATCACCACATATTAGCTGAGATTTTGGGCCATACACTTAACCTACTTGAACCTCAGAATACTCATTGTAAAATTGGGTTAAAGAGAGCTGCCGGATAGTTTTTTGATTGTTTGTTTTTGTTTACTTTTTAATGTCTTTTTTTTTTCCTATTTCTTTTCTTTTTTTTTTTCCTCTTACTGTGTGGGAAGATGTAAGAGCAGTATCAATAATAGAAATATTGTTAGTATTGATATATAATAGCTATGACTTTCTTTGATACTTAAATAGTTCTCATAAATTATCATTCATATATAATGTCATTTTCAATTTCTCTAATCATGATACTGTGTGTCATACTTTTTTGCATTGTGATATTTGTTTTATATATCATATTTTTCCCAATATGTTACAAGCTCTTAGGAAACAGGAACTTTTACTTTTCTGTGCTTCTTTATTACCTAATCCATGCTAATGCTTTCAATCAATTGTTTTACTAATAGCAATTCTTTTACTACCCCTGGGGAAAACTTGGGAAAATTACCTTTTACATTCTCAATTTCCCCCATTTAATGATACCTATTGTGCAGGGTTTCTGTAAAATAATTTTAAATGTCTTGCACGGTATCAGGTACATATTAAATATTATGTGTTTGTTCTCATCTCTTCTATATTCCATTCAATAAATAATTGTTGAGGGTGGAAATGACTATTACTTAATGTCTAATTAGCATCTGAGAGAGCACAGACAATGGGTAAAGAGGATATGACAAAAGGAGTCTAAAGGAAAAAGCTGCTATAACATGTCCCCATTTTATTAGATAGAAAGGAGTATATGATAGCAAGACATGGTTAGTTTTGGTGTCATATGATATTTTTCGTTATTCCCAAAATCACCGTATTTACTATATCCATGGATGTTTTCCATAATTGAACAATTATTTTATATATAGGAGTGTATTTGAAGAAAGCTGCTCTATTGTAGGATAATCATCCAAAGTTTTGTCTCAGTAATAGCTTCCTCTTCACCTGTTCCAAATCGTGAAAGCTGTGACAGGTCGCTTTGACACAAGCTTTCTGTCTTTGGAACCAAGTGGTGAGAGCAATCCTGTTCCTTCAGTAGGAGAAAGCGAGCATCGCCTGCTGGTGAGGTGGGTTAGCAGCTCTGGTGCTCTAAAGCACAGAAGTTCTCTCCAGACTGCAGCTGAAGCAGACTAAAGTGAGAAATCCATTATAATAACCTGCTTTCTGAGGAAAGGGGATTACAGGTAATTTTCTTTTATTCCCTAGTAACAGGGTTTTAATACAGTGCTGAGACAGTAGTTGAAAATCAAATACCTCATTGAATTAAGGTGAAAAACAGACGAATTGTCTCATTCCTTTCTCAAGGCTTTGAAAATGTGGAAGTTAGAATTTTTTTTTTTTTCTGAGTAAATTTTGAACATCAGGTTTGCTTCCATATCTAGAAAGCACATTTTCCTCCTGGCCTGATTGACTATGAATAATTGTAAATTCTACGACATTCATGTTAATAGGGTTTTGATAATAGAAAGCTTGAAAATGACCCATACTTGGAAACACACATGCCAGTGAGCGTACACCTTGCAGTCACAAATTTATCATGTCTATCAGTGAATTCCTTTTTCTGAGATGAGGCTGAAGAAATTCAGGAAAACTGTAGCAGAGATGTGGTTTTTGTACTCTTGTCCCTTTTCTGTGCTGGTTTGCCTGCTGATTGGTGACTGTGGCTACAATCAAAAAAGTATAGTCTCTCAGACAACTCTCTCCTTGTTGGCTTGTGGTCAATATAGAAAATGTTTGTTTCTAGAATGATAATTAGGCAGCCTGTGCTGTTGGCTCCCACAGATGAACAGCCTAAATTTCCTGAAATTCTCTTTATGCCAACCCCTTGAAACTCATTCAGTATAGATAGGATGGTGTACTAGAAATATTGCTGGACCAGGAAACATATCCAACTTCTCCATATGCAAAGAAAATCACATATCCTTTCTGAGCCTTAACATTTTCATTTTAAAAATTAGAGAACTTATTTTAGATAACCATGACAGTCCAGACCGGTTCTACAATTCGGTTACACACACAAACACACATACTCACACTCACCTTCACTAACAGACAGTAGCTCCTTCAGAGTATGGTTTGTAAGTTCCCAGCACATAGAAGATAATCAATAAATATTTGTTGAGTAACTGAGAGGAATCTGGGCCTGTGTATTTTGTTAAATAGCAGACTTTACTGGATACTAAAAGCAACTCATTTTTTTCCAAGTGTTATTTGTAGGCTTCGGTGTTTTGTGCATAATTTCAGATCTATTGCAAGGTGGAATGTTGATATATTAAACCCTGAAAATGGGTTTCTAATGGAAAAACCAATTGACCATTAAGTAGAGTGGTGTTAGCGGCATCTCCTCTAATGGTACATTTATAATGAATAGCTGATTAGCACCATGCTGTGATTAAAGAGAGGTGAATAGCCTTCTATTTTATCCCCTTCTGAGGACTTGTGCTCAATGCTAAATTGTTTTGAAGCCCAGCTTTGTGTTACTTCTGATTTTGCTGAGCGAGTAGAAACCTAAAATTATGTGGTTTTCATAAGAATTTACTCAGCTCATCTTTCCTAACAATGCCAACGCACAGTGTTTTATTGGGGGATCGCATAACGTAAATATGGAATAAAATCAAATTTTTAAAAGAAAATAGCATAAACTCAAGGTTAAATAGAAAGATCCTCATAGATAAGAAAAATTAATCAAGGGCAAATAATATTATCTACTTGTACAGGACAGTGAACATCTAACACAACAGAAGTGAAAATTCTGATCACACTGTAGGACAGCAGGGGAGAAAACATTAACATCATAGATGGGCAAAAAAGCACATGGGATTTTGCAGGAACATGTCTCTGTCACTGGTGAAAGTTAAATTAACTGGGTAAAAGCTTCTGAGTACAGAATTTCTCCCTATGAGTTTTGAAGGGACAAAAATGAGGAGAAAGAGGGTTGTCTCAAATGTATGGGCAGACTTTATTTCTGCTTGTGAATTCCAGCATAAATCAAAAAGGCAATAGAAGCTGATTGAAGTGGAACTAAAGCCAGATGGTGACACAAAGGAGGGAAGGGTCCTCAGCTGGCACTCACTACTGCCCAACCATGCCATGATGACAACGCAGGGAGTTGTTGGAAGAAGAAATACTGTTTTTCTCCCTGTCAAATGCAATTTCAATCATGGCTGACTTAAGGCATATTACAGTTTAGTGGAATTTCCAATGTATTATTTATGTGGATTTGTAAATTACATTCATTTCCTTATAATACATAAAGGCAGTATTAAAATTTCACTAAACTTGTCTCTCATATGAGATAACACATATTATTACTAATATTTACCGGCATCATTTTCCTTAATCACCAGAGACAGAATAACAGCTGGGGATTGTCTTTAATCTGCTAAATATGATATCAAATACAAATGCATAATCTTCAGAATTATTTCTTCAGTTTCTAAAACAAGAATATAAACATGAGTTATCATCTGTCACAATAGCTTTAAGCGATGAAGCCCTTGCAATTGATCAAAATTAAACTATTCAGCAAAATTATAATAAAGGAGAGTATATGATAAAAAGATCCCTGTGTATCCTGAATATTTCACAGCTATAATGAAATTTGCCTGGGGGTAATACAGTATATTTCATGATGTCACCAAGGTTCTCTAATATCTATATCCCTGGGGCTAGAAATTAGGCCTGAAACTAGTAGAGCTGTTGAAGTTTCAGTGGCAGAAATTCACTAGCAACACAGATATAAAGTCTATGGACATGTTTATCTTCTTAGAAATAGTTAATAGCGTGCCAAGTAGGTGGTCTTCAATCAATGATGCCTTCTTTATGCAAAAAAAGAAAACAAATACAAATATATATAGGATAGAGGAGGCAGAGAGCCAATGAAGAATTAAAGTTTAAATGCATACATCACTTTTCTTTTACTGCTCAAATGACAGATCCTTGTGTTATTGTATGGCGAAACATCTACCCACTGAGGAGAGTTGGGTAGTTGTATGAACATATCAATGTTTCCATGGCTAGTAATTGAAGTATCTTCAATACTTGAAATATAGAATACAAAGCTGAGCATTTGATAGGCTCTTCTTGATTCCAAGGAATAAAGCCAATGGCTAAATCTTCCACCAATAAATTGCAAAAGTACCTGGGGGAGTAACAGCATCATGAACCACCCACACTTCCATGCCTCTCAAGAAATCAGCTAGGTTTTATCACGACTAAAATGCATTTCTAGAACTAGAATGAGCATTCAGGACACTATACAGGACTCAACAAAGTTACCTTGTTGGTAACCTCTCTGCCACTTTCAGTGATTCTCTACAATAGTTTCATCATGTGTTGCAAGAATATTCTTTTTCTATGATCCTTGATTCAACTATATTCTATCGGAATTTGGTGATTAGTGCATTTACCAATATTTACTGAGTACTCTTTCCTATGAACTGGGGATTCTTAAAAGCAAGACAGACATAGCCCCTACCCTTATGAAGCTCAGAGTCCAGTGGGGAAGAAAAGTATTAAATACAATTCACAGTTAAGATAATGCTACAAGTCAATTCGTAATTGCAAAAATATGAAAACAGCCTAAATGCCCATCCACCGATGAGTGGATAAAGAAAATATGGTAAATATACACCATGAAATACAACTTGGCCATAAAAAAGAAAGAAAGAATGACATTCGCAGCAACCTGGATGGAGTAGGAGACCATTATTCTAGTGAGGTAACTCAGAAATAGAAAAACAAATATCATATGTCCTCACTTGTAAATGGACCAAAGCTATGAAGATGCAAAGGCATAAGAATGATATAGTGGACTTTGGGCACTCAAGGGGAATGGTGGGAGGGGGGTGAGGGATAAAAGACTACACATTGGGTACAATGTACACTGCTCAGGTGACAGTGCACCAAAATCTCAGAAATTACCACTGAAGAACTTATCCATGTAACCAAAAACCACCTGTTCCCCAAAAACTATTAAAATAAAATAAAATAAGTGCATGAAAAAATATAATGCTACAAGAGAAAAGTATAGACCGTTATAAGAGCAAGTAACAGGTGATTTTACCTTGTGTTTCCTACTTAATTCTACTTATTTATGCTTCCTACTATCTCATAGGTCCTGCTTACACTCATCTCTTAGTGGGCCCTACTTTAGATGCTATCTATTAACCATGACTCATTATTCTGTCACAGAGGAATTGATTGATTGATTTGATCACTATCAACTTAGAGCATCTGCTTTGGGAAGAGCAAATATTGCCAGGATGTCTAAAGAATCACTGAAAAAATATAAGATTTCTGTCTCTGCAAAAGTCACTCATTCATTTGTGTCTAAGGTAAAGGTGACATATATTTAAAACGTGAGTATCTATTTATAAAGAACTCCCTGGAAGGAGTATAGGTGCAGCAGGGATTTTGAGTCTTCCATTTGAAACACATAGGTATCTCACACGACTTAACCAATACTGGCATACAAACATCTTGTTCATCTTATAATAGTTTCCTATCTTGAGAAAATTCCCTTACAGACTACAAGAGTCCATTTAGTACACAAAAATCACATATAATTTGAACAGGAAAGTATAATATTAAGAAGTATTAAATTGGTAAAAGAGGATTCAGTTCTAAAAAGGAATGGAGAACTCTAAAGGATGTAGGCATAACAGAGTTAGAAAACATCACTATCTTTCGAGCTGAGGGAAAGAACCCAAGGAAAGATCTAACATGCTAGTGAGCTCCTCCCACCTTCCATCACAGAGCTGAGCTTCAGACTCTGATAGAGGGATGTGGCTGAGGTCCCCTTGGGTGGCAGAGAAGTTCACTGAGATGCCGCAGTAAACCACCCCTGAGATGCAGGTAAAACTCACTAGGAATCCATTTAATGTGGTAGCCATGAAAGCCACTGAGAAATTGTTTGCCCTGATGTGAGGAAACAGCCTGCTGTAATGCTGTAGTGCTGGGAAGTTTCACTGGAAGCAGCTAGAGTATAGTGGTGAAACTCACTAGGAAGCCACACTGGAGTGTCCCTCTAGAATGTTTAGCATCACTGGGCAGCTGGCAAAGAAAAAAGGTGGCAGAATCCAGTACCAGCATCATAAAGCATGGAAAAAGGGGGTAGATTTGAAGTTGAGAGATATTTAAATTGATAATGGGCATATACTCGTATTTAGAGTTGAAATTTTAGCTTTTTTGTTACCATGGTTTTCAATTATCCTGATGACTTCAGTGATTCTCTGATGAAAATCAGTCATTATATTTGTGCTTACATCTAGAAGGTGTTTATTGCAAAATTATTTATTCAAACTAATAATATCTAATACAACTCCATCTGAGAAAACATAATGATGAATTCAACTATTTTATAACATGCTTGTTCACATATGAATTTATTAGATGTATACACCCTAGGAAAAATTTGTTAGTGCAATTTAACTGAATAGTTATTCACTACCTATTATGTACAAATCTCTTTAAAAAGATGCAAAGATTTCAAGATGATACTGTCCTCCTGATTGTATAAGATAAATTCATACAAAAATAACTTTCACAGTCCAAATTTTTACATTATTTTATTCAGTCATGATATGGTTTGGCTGTATCTCCACCAAAATCTCAATTTGAATTGTATCTTCCAGAATTTCCACGTGTTGTGGGAGGGACCCAGAGGGAAGTAATTGAATCATGGGGGCCGGTCTTTCCCGTGCTATTCTCGTGATAGTGAATAAGTCTCATGAGATCTGATGGGTTTATCACGGGTTTCCGATTTTGCTTCTTCCTCATTTTTATCTTGTTGCCGCCATGTGAGAAGTGCCTTTCACCTCCTGCCATGATTCTGTGGCCTCCCCAGCCATGTGGAACTATAAGTCCAATTAAACCTCTTTTTGTTCCTGGTTTTGGCTATGTCTTTATCAGCAACATGAAAACAAACTAATACAAGTCATTTGACACACATTGTTTGGTTGCCGACCATGAGCATGTAATTGAGTATAGTAACAAATTATAAAGGCATTAGGGAGTTCCCTGGAGGTCTCAGAGATTGGTTATAAAATTTGGGATTTAAATTATGCTTTGAAGTATGAAATTATTCTTCAGTAGCTAAATTTGAAGGATAGAAAATGAGCAGGCAACATAGAGATAGCCATTTGAGCAAAGTAGAGTGTAGAAATTCTTTCATTTATTATATTCAAATCATAATTTAGCTTTGATATCTGTTTACATATTTATTAAAAATTGGGACAAACCCTTGCTATATTGCCCAGGCTGGAGTGCAGTGGCTATTCACAGGCACATAGCTCACTGCAGCCTCAAACTCCTGGCCTCAAGGGATCCTCCCGTTTCAGCTTCCTGAGTAGCTGGGACTCCAGGTACCTGCCACTGTGCCCAGCTGTATCTTTTATCTAAATATTAATAGGTTCCCTTCCCTCTTCTCTCTACCTTACAGTTTTCATACACACTATAGGTAAATTAATCTTTGCACAAGGAAGTTTAGATTGTATCTTTATTGCTCGCCATCTCAATGCCTTCAAATCCCTGCACGATGAAAAGAATAAATGCTTCCTGGTTTTCAAGGCCCTCTGTGGTGAAGCCTCAAACTCACTTTTCAACTTGTCCTTCCACAACTCTCCAATGCTCAACTCAACTAATTTACCTTAAGTGTCATTGTTCAAATGCACTTCAGCTGGAATACTCCTTGCAACTCTATCCAAACCCATCCTAAAAGTTAAGATTTCCATAACGATAGCCTTTATTTCCCACTGGGTGAAGCTTCTTTTCTGTACCCCGATGTGAGTAGAAGGGTTCTCAAGATCAATGATGGGCCTGACTTGTTATTACAACTCAAAGATAGCAGTGAGGGTTATGAAAAAGCTGCAGGGCTACCGAATATGAGATGACTGATGTCAAAGTACCTATCACTAGAAAGGAACAAATGTTATATCAGGATAATGTAATACCTACTCAGAAAGAAGATGGATCCCAAACCCCCAAATCAAACAGGCCAAAAATAAAATATCTTTTTCTTGGATAAGAGAAATAGCCCGTGCATTCTATTATTTTTCTCAGACTTGTTCTAGAAATAAATGGCTATCCACTTCATGTCAACTTCAAAAGGTCAGTTACATGCCTCACCATATCCTGGGTTTTCTTATAAAACTTCAGTGGGGAGAGAGAAAGCCAGAAGCAGATTTACTACCTATTTAGAGTTGTCTGATTATTTATACTTCTTCATTCTTTCAGGGCTTCAATGAATAGTAAATTTGCAGTTGGCATCTATGATTGCACTTCAGGTGCTATAAATCGAAGACCAAAAGATATCATACTTTTAGTTTTTTTAATGATCAAATGTTGGCAGTCCTGGGGTCTTTAAGAAGGGTTTTTCTATCCAAGTTTTTTTATTTTCCATGTGAAAAACTTATTATGAATGTGGAATTACAAGTTAGATTCCAGATGTCTGTGCAAACAGCTTTGGAATAGAATAAAATAGTATGAAAGACCATGATCCCTCTCTAATTTCACAATTTATTCTTCAGAGTTGCCTGTCAATCTTGACACATCACTGAAATTTAGCAATGAAGGAAGCTAGATTCCTTGTGCTGGAAACCACTTCTTTTGAAATACACACTTCTGTGGCATAGCAGATATCATGGCTCTGTGGTCTCTGATGATTTCTTGTGGATGAGGCACACTATATACTTTTCACTTTCTTTTATTTCTAGAGAGTTGGATTTATTAAAGTGTAGCTGATTTTTTCTCATAATGTGTCAAACTGGCATTTTATTGATGTAGGTAGTGGTGTAATACTATAATACTTTTAATATAATTTTATATTATAGCAGGATTTGGAAAGAGAGTCACTAGCTTCACTTCGTCTTCTTCCTCTCTCCTCTTTCTCCTTTTTCTTCTCATATCTTTTTAAATGAACAGTTTAACATAGATTCACTCCCTTTGATACATAATAAACAAAATTTACCGATCGAATAAACTTTCTGAACTTTTTGCTGAATAACCCCTGTACCTTTTAAATTCGAGTTGCAGAAACCCTAACAAGTCATTTGAAGCAAAACAGAACAACTTCCCAAATCATAAGCAAATGAAATGATAGTTTATTTTTATTCTTGTGGGATAACCATTCTCATCCTTAGTTTTATTTATTAGGACTTATTAAAACCCAAGAACATTATAGTATGTAAATTATACATTAATGTCAATTACAGTGAATAACCCTTTCCTTGATTACTGGAAATATTTATTTTTCTAAACCTACCAGAATCTTAAACTTGTCCATGTTAACAGGCAGTCATTAAATTATTTAAGCTCAACTGGAGAAAGCTTTAGGTTTAGTGTCATGGAAAATTTTCAACATCAACTCTACACTACCAAAGAATGGAATGTTTCAAAGTACTAACAGTTAACTGCTTAACAATCAACTTAAAAGATCTGGCTTTAAAAGTACATGCACAGACATTTATTGTCTACAAGACTGGCATCACACAAGTGAGACTGGCTTTTTATACTTTTGCTTTTCACTCAGGGCACCTTTGACTAGGAAGACCATTTATCACGGTCACCATTGTCTGGCACTTTAGAGATCTCACTACCAACAGGAGCAGCAGGAGACTCCGGTTTAGAAGAAGAAACGGTTCCAAAATCATTTTTAAAGAATCTGAACCATTTAAAATTCTTTGTATTTTGACTTGTTCTATATTAGTAACAATGTCAGTAGCACTATTGTCAATGTGCTCTGAATACATACTTATTAAGGGGCAGCCAAGATATTAGAAACTATATAACTCTTAAGGTTGGCCTCTTTTTTATCCTTTTGCCAAAGGGCTCTGACTGAAAGGCAAGGGGATGGCTTTAGTTATGCTGGTCTCCATAGCCTCTAAAATCGATGGGCCAGCTGAGTCCAGGGAAAGAGCTGGGGAAAACAGTCTTGTACCAGTAAAGGTACTTGGTCTCTCCATAACCCTGCAATTATCAAACCTTAAGTTTCAGCAGGAAATTTTAATAAGTGATAACTTCTCAAGAGCATTTTAAATCACACAATTTATTTCTAAAGATGAGTCAATATAGTTGTCAGGACAAAACTACTCTCCAGCCAAAATATTGGCATGTCTTTCACAGGTTTTGGTAGCTGTTTTTCTGATACTCTTTCATTTCTTTGATAAATTAGGCTGAGAATAAAGGATGAGGCTATTATATCATGATGCTTTATTGCTTGAATTCCACAAGATGATTTTTTCCTCTTATAAAACAGAGCAATGAGCATAATTAGAGGATTTATTCAAAATTCTCAGGTAGGATAATTAACCCTGAGATGCTCCGAGGTCTAAGAGATACAGACTGGATTGGGGGTCAGAGGGCCTCGTCCTCTTCCCAGTGTTGTCTGACCTGCCACAAAAGCTGAGAGAGTTGGATTGCTTCACCTGCAGGACCAAGATTGGAAGCTTTTAAAATCTATGTCTGTTGTATTATTACTCAGCCTCTTGCTTTTCTTTGTTACTGCACAGATCTGACTTAATGTTGGGTAAAGGAGATTGGTAACATATTCCATACTCCTTTTAGCAAACACACCACTGAGAGTAACTGCACTTGACACACAACCCTGTGGAAGGAGTCATCTTATGAGAGCTGTGTCTCTCTATTGTATACCCTTGCTAGAACTTGTACTTCTCGTTCAAAGCACTTCTCACAAGTGTACTTCAAATAAAAGCATGCATGGTTATCTATTTAGAGTCTGTTTTCCCTACCAGACTCTGCAGTCTAACATGCAAGGAATTATATCAGTCTTAGTCTCCACTGTGCTTAGCACATTGTCAAACATGTAATATGAGGACTTATTAAGTAATAGTTCTATTAATAAATAATACATTTCAACTAAAATACTTCAGAATCCCTATGGCCCTAACTTTGGTACTTTGAAAAAGCAGGAAAATATAAGTGGAGTGGGAGAAGGAAATGTTGGGCATTCTTTTATTTTAATTCACCAGAAAAGCCCACATTAAGTTAATACTAAAGTCATTTTATAAACTTCTGTTTGTAACTAATCAAAATATTCAGATATTTTTGATAATGATACTAACTTCTATTTTAAGATAGTCAATCTAATTCTTAATGTTGTGGTTATATGCAATAGCATTCTATGAACCAACCCTTTTACCATCATCAAGAAAGAAATACATGGATAGAGAATGACTTATACTGATAAAGAAGGCACTTTTTAGAAACCTACAACACTTGAGACAGAGCAATACAGATTCAAGTCCTGACTAACTCATTTTAACTCATTTTAGGCAAGTTACTTAAATTTTTATACTCATAAAATGTGGATAATAGAGCTGATCAATAGGATTATTGTTAGGGTAAGGATAACTTTGCATAATAGATGCAAAGCATCTATTATGGTGCTTGGTGCATAGCAGGCACCTCATGCATATTAATAGAAATTTTATCATCATTATAATAGTACTTTTTAATCATAATTTGAGTGTCTCAAGTCCACAAAAATAGGTTCTCTATTGACTCATCTGGAACTTATTTTCTGTGAACAACAAAGTTTACTTAATCTCAATGCCCTCTTTGAAGTTTCCTTCCATCTGTTCCTGAATCGAGGCTATTTCTGAAGATCATAGCTTCCCCTGCTCTCACATGGAAACACTGGCTCCGACACACCACACATCATGAAGCCTGGAGATGCCCTCCTTGATTTTCAGTCTGCTGTCCGCCGATTTTCTCACTCCCTGTCAATTACCACAGTGCCAAAGAGGTGCCTGCCATCAAACTATACTACCCACGACCCCTCCTTGTGCACTACCTCACCATTACTCCCCTCATCATTGAATGTTCTGGAAATTGACCCACTGTTTTCCCTGTAGAGACTCTTGGCATCATTCTTGGCAATTTTTAGAACCACATAGATGGTTTGTCTGATGCTGACTTCAGTTCTTTGACCGTAGCATTAATCTTGTCCTCTACCCCTCTTCAGAGTCCTGTGACAGGACTTACGTCTTGCCATCACCAATAACTGCCTCTCTTCCAAATGCCCAGATTCAAGCATTCTATATTTTGACTACCATTTTATAGTTTTCCCAGCTTACTTTCTGTGACTGTAGTAATTCTTCAGCCACTCATGAGCTCCAATCTATTGGCTCCCTCCACTTTCTCACGCTCTATAATTTCTGTCCTCATCCTTATCACTCCTACTTATTAGGTTTGCTCCCGCGGTCCTTCATTGAAATCATTGAAATGTTTCTCTTGCAGATGTTTTTATAACTCTAATACACTTTTCCACTCTTTGTTCATATCAGATGGTCAAAATAATAAAACATTTTTGTTTTAATCTGAAAATAGCAGTGAAAAGAGAATTACACTTTGCTATCACTAAATCTGTTTCTCATCTTAATGTAATCTTAATCACTAAATCTGTTACTCATCTTCATGTAACCTTATTCTCTATATTATTTCCCCTCTCCCAGTAATAATTACTGTTCTGTAGAAAGCTAACCCCCTCAACTTGGTCTCCATCCCCTTATCTCTTACTTAAAGACTTTGCTCATGCAATTAGTTCTTCTATCCCCTTTGCCATCAATTCGTGCCCCACACCCTCCACTATTGGATCATCTCCAATAGAGTAAAAATGTAACAGACTAATTAAAAATACCCCTACCACCAGCTCCTGTCACTGTTCTCAGTAGCCTTTTGCAACAAAACTCCTTGAGTGATTGGTTTATGCTCACTATATGTTCACCTCTTAATTCCCTCATTAATGTCTTATCAGAATTTTGTCACCACCATACTATTGAAGCTGCTCTTAATAAGGTCACCAGCAAATCTGTATTGTGCAAAATACTAGATCCAATCTATATCTTTATCACATTCAAACCCACAACAGTGATGGACACAAATGATTACTCTTTTGTTCTTGACTAGTTATTCCCTGTTAACTTGACTCCTAAGACACCAACCTCTTTTGTTTTCCTCCTACTTCATTGACTATACAAAATCTTTCCTCCCTACCTCTCCTTTTCTCCCTTGAAATATTGTCAGCCCAAGGTTCTTTCTCTTCTCTGTTTATGAACACATCTGAAGGCAATCTCATCAGCTTCTGTGGCTTTAAACATAGTACAATTTTATCCCAACTCTCAAACCTTTATCACCGTACTTGAATCTAATATGTAAAACTTCTTTCTCATTATATATAAACAAAATTCTGATTACTACTCACTATCAGGCCTAAATCTGACCCTCCTAGTTCCTTCCTATCTCAATTAACAGCACAGCCACACATTCGTTGCTCAGGCAAAAATGTTAAGCAGTTTCCTTATCTCTCACTTTCCTCAATACCCCCTTTTCATTCAACCAGCAAGTTTCATGGGCCTTATTATCTAAATACATCAAAATTTGATCTTCTTCTCACCATCTATACTGCCAAAGGCCTAGTGCAAGCAACAGTTATCTCTGGCCTGAGATGATTATTAATCTGATATATTACATAATTACTAGACAGATATATTAGTTTTCTAATTGTTCTCTCTAGTTTATTTATAACTCCCATAGTATATTCTCCACAAAGCTGTTAAAGATGTATTTAAAAAGGAAAAATATATGATGATAGTATTCTGCAAGATTTAATCACTGTCACTCACTATCAAGCCAAAACCCTAGGAAGGCTTCTCCTCACATTGTGAATAACATAAAAAGTCTTCAGTTTTCATTGTAAAAGCCTTACACTTAATGGTTCTCGATGCTTTTTCACTCACTCATTCACTCCACTCTAACCACATGAGTACTGTTGATGCTTCTCAATGAAACGAAGTCAACCCTACCCCAATCTTGACAGTGGCTGCTCTGACCAATGGGAAATGCCCTTTGTTATATCTTCATGTGATTTGCTCCTTCCCATCTTCTCAGTCACTGTTCAAATGTCAACGCCCTAGGAAGGAATTTCATGATGGGTTTATTTAAAATAACTCCTCTCATTAGATTAGTTTTGTTCAATGCTATAATTTCATGGCATAGAACAGTGCTTGCCCAAAACAAAAATGAGGATGCAAAGTAAAAATTGTGAATAAATATATAGAGAAACTATCTTATTCTCTTTGAAGGTGTTTTGCTTTGTTTGTTTAGTTTCGAGAGGGATAGGAATATAATCTCATCTAGTCAGCATGCTGTGCTTCCTGCCATGGCAACCCCAGAAATATCTGCTTTTAAATATAGTCTTAAGAGCTTCATAATAACTGACTTTTTTCATACCTAAGGAAGCTAAAAATATGCTGTATCAGGGAGGCAGTAACAACAACAAACGAACAATTTGAGTTCAACAATTCCATTTTGTATTCGATTCTATTGCCTTTGTCTAGTCTCCTTGGACGCCGTTAGGAGTTGAATCACTGCCCAATTTGCCTGAGCCCCAACTTTACTTGGAAAAGTTTCTTGGCCAATTAAAAACTCAATAAATATTAAGCCCCTACTATATGTTAAATACTTCTGAAGACAATGAAAAAATGCCAGTGAACGAAATGAACTCCAGTATATCCAGCCTTCATTCAGTTAACAGTCTACTGGGGAAGACATTCATTATCAAGAAATTGTAGGTGTGATGGGCATTACAAAGGGAAATTATAAGGCACTGTATCCTAGCGGTTCTGTCTGCCTAGGGATAGTCTTTCTTCAATCCTTGAGGGTTTTGGGTGCCTTTGGCTTTACTGCTGCTGCCAGCTTGCTTCCTCAGGCTCCCAGCAACGTGAATTCCTGTCTTTTCCTCTTGTGTCTTAAGAGTTCCCTATTGATAAAGAAGTTATGTTCACTCTGCACCAGTTATATTCCAAGAGCCCTAGCCATTAAAGATCTGAAAAGTAGTCAGACAAAAAAGTTCCCTTATGATTTTAGCATCCCAGGAATTTTTCCACTAACCTGATATTAAGTCTACCTTGGAACCAGGGGTAATTTATTATTATTATTATTTATCATTGAAATGCTTACCACCCAATAGCGCCCAGAAAATAAAATATCCTATTTTTGTAATCAGCTTTTGCTAATAAGACTCAGGAAGCAATACTATACTGAACCAACTGTCTCCAACTCCAGTCACTAGCCTAGGGTTAGCCACTGTTAAACTGTATGTGATTCAACTTGAAATCTCCCAAAAATTATGGAATGTGACTGGCTGATAAATTTTACAAGGTCCACAGAAAAATATAGAAATTACAAACTATTTCATTGAGAATATTTACCTTTTTTGGGTTGGAGAAAAAGATGTGAGGAATGATATTAAAATGAACTTGACATGTTGTGAACATGTGGTCATGTTATATAGCAGAATGGCAATGAAGTAGGAACAAGATAGTCTGTTTTTTCATTTGGGCATTTTAAAGTAATGCTGTTTTAATATTTGATAGATATGGAATTCTGAGCTTGAAATAAAAGAGAAAATTATATTTGTTTCTTGTCTTTTACTTTTAGATACTTTTTCAAGGCCTTCATGACTTGTAATTTCTCAAGGTTAACATATTCAAGCTAAGATGCTCACCAAGCATTTGATTTATTAAAGCACGTGTAGCTCCTTACTGAGTGGAATTGCTGAACCTCTTCTAGTGTACATTTTTAAAGTAAGTGTGGTGAAGCAAAGCAAAAATTGTGTCTCTTTTGTGAATGTGAGTGCCAACTCTTTTGGCAGAACACTTAATTTCCAAGATGTATGTGCAGTTGACACTGGATGGAGCACATTTAAGCTTTTAACCCTCCTACAAAATAACTGAACCACATTGTGATTTTAACTTTTTTCTGTACCTGCTTTAAGCTAAGGCATTGTGATCCACTGGCAATAGACAGACTTCAGAATTTCACAGGTCAAAACAGGATTGATAATGAGTGCTTTGCTATTAATGAATTAGACCAATCATGGAAACTATATGATACAAACCCAGCTAAAAAAGTAATGTGTTATTAAAAAGCTTAGTTTATGATCACTTAATGTACTTATTATAAACCTTTTAAAATTAGTAATTGGATTACAAAATTGAGAAACATTAAAAAATGTCAGGCTGATAGAATACATTTGGTCTATACAAATTAAGCAACTATCAGGGCATATTTAAAATCAGGTAGCATTAGAATTTTCTTTGTTTCATAGATTTATTCTTTATCTCCTAATATCAATGTTTTAAAAACATGCATGTTTGTTATACATTTTCATGCATTAAATTATTATTCTGACTGTACATTATTTTTCAGAGTAAATTTTGCAGAGACCCTCACGCTGAAGTAATGGGATGTTTGACATACTGACTTTTTATTACTTGTATCTAAAATATTTCCTATTCTCTGAGATTCTCAACTGTAAAGAAGTTTCTTGTTCTATGTTAACTAACACATTTTTTAATTTTAATTTTTAAGGATACATAATAGTTGTACATATTTATGGGATGTGTGTGATATTTTGATACAAGCATGCAACGTGTAATGATCAAACCTGGTTAATTAGGATTTCAATCTCCTCAAACATTTATCATTTATTTGTGTTGGGTACATTCTAAATCTACTCTTGGAGCTATTTTAAAATATACAAAAAATTATTGTTAGCTATATTCGCCCTATACTGCTACCAAACACTCGAATTTTTTTTTTTTTTTTTTTTTTTTTTTTTGAGACAGAGTCTCACTCTGTCACCCAGGCTGGAGTGCAGTGGTGTGATCTCAACTCACTGCAACCTCTGCCTCCTGGGTTCAAGCGATTCTCCTGCCTCAGCCTCCCAAGTAGCTGGGATTATGGATGCCCACCACCATGCCCAGCTAATTTTTGCATTTTTAGTAGAGATGGGGTTTCACTATATTGGCCAGGCTGGTCTTGAACTCCTGACCTCAGGTGATCCACCCACCTCAGCCTCCCAAAGTGCTGGGTTACAGGCATCAGCCACATCTTATTCCTTCTATCTAACTGTAGTTTTGTACCAATGAAACAACCCCATTTTATTATCTCCCCTCCTCACTACCCTATGTTAACTGACAAATACTATAGCACTATCAGAAATATGAAATTTTAGAAAAGAAATGTAATCAATTTATGACATATATTAAGATTCAGGTGTTAGGCAAGTTTTTCACTTTGTTATATTCGCGTACTTGGCAGTTTAATGTCTAATTGCTTTCAATTATAGCTTTAACATGTTTGAGACTTATCTCTTTTCAGAAGATCCTGCTTCTTGACACTAACTTATTTATCTTTTTAACAGTATTTCCATTATACTAAAGATTGCAGAAAGCCTCCAAGTCAAATACTGTGCTGACACAAGACACAGTGCTTAAACTCCCTAAGGAATGAAAGGCTCATCTCTGATTTACTCTTTCTAATAAGGAGACTCTTCTTCAATGCTCCAACATCAACAAGTTGAATCTATTCAACTGCATAAAAATGCAGATCTCTCTGCTGGAATTCTTCTTGGAAAAACCCTATTTCAAACTCATCTTATTATCTGAATTGTTTTTATACATTTAATTTTCTTGGCTGAATTGCTCCCCAGTTAATCTTCCTCAATCCAGCCGTGCCATTCAGGTTGTTCATAAGCTGACGGTGAATACTAATGTAACCAACAAAGGAGTTTTTCCTGAGCACTGCGTAAAGAAAGACCACTGCATTGTAGTGGAGAAAGTGTTTAATGGACACGGGGCTGGGCACAGCTCCTAGGGCAGGGGTTTTTCAAAGGCAGTTTGGATGAAGGGGTGGGGTGGCTGGTAACAGGTGCTTGCTGCTGATTGGTTGGGAAGAAGATGGACTCACAGTGGGAGTCGAAGCTGTCCTCCTGCTGGCTGAATCATTTCTGGTTGGGGCCACAGAGTGGGGTTGGCAGGTCCAGGTGGAACCATGGGTGTTAGACATGAAAAAAACCTGAAAATATATGTCAAAGTTCAATCTTAGGTTCCACAGTAGAGATTCTATTTGCAGCAGTAATTGGAGAAGTTGCGTATCTTACACCTCTGGAATAATGGCTGACAATCGTTTACGTCTCAGCCTTAGAAAGACCTAGTCTCCTCTCCTTCCCTGAGCCTGATGGCTTTACAAAAGTGGTTGAGTTTTCTGGTAAGGCCTATTATCATTTACAATGTAGCCTACATTTCTTCCAGAGTTGGCTCTGCCAATTAGCCCAGGAATAATTAACGGAAAGGCAAGATGGAGGTGGGTTAGCTTAGCTTACTGTTACAATTTTTGTCATTGATATAATTTTTGCAAAGGTAATTTCACTGTTATTCAAGCTTTTTTTTCTTTTTCTTTTTTTAGACAGATTCTCCCTCTGTCACCCAGGCTAGAGTGCAGTGGCACAATTTCGGCTGACGGCAATCTCCATCTTCTGGGTTCAAGCAATTGATCCTCCTTTAGTACTCAAGCTTTTATTACACATGCTCCATCAGGCAGGATTTTGTCCATCTTCATCTTCTATAGTTTATATTATGAGAATAATAATGACTTTCATTTTATAGCATAAAATTATATAACATTGAAGGTGTTTTGAAAGCAGCCTCTATACCTATTATTGCTCTTAATCATTTTTGTTATCAAGAGAACAAAATGTTTATCTCTTTCTATATCAGGAAGTGACTTCAAATGTCTCTGCTTATGACAATCAGTCATTAAAAATAGCTTGCCTCACCATTTTTTCTTCCACTCCCTCAAAAACATTTTTTTCTTAGACATAAATCTTTATTAAAAGTCTCTGCATGTTGTATAAAAGATTTCCAGGGGTATGTAGAATATATTTGTGGCACTTTTGTCAGAGGTGTTTGAACTAGAGCAAATCCATCTTGAATAGAAGCTGGGTAAAATGAGGCTGAGACCTACTGGGCTCATTCCCAGATGGTTAATGCATTCTAAGTCACAGGTTGAGATGGAAGGTCAGCATATGATACACGTCATAAAGACCTTGCTGATAAAACAGGTTGCAGTAAAGACGTCGGCCAAAACCCACCAAAACCAAGATGGCGATGAGAGTGACCTCTGGTTGTCCTCACTGCTGCACTCCCACCAGCGCCATGACAGTTTACAGATGCCAAAGCAACATCAGGAAGTTACCCTATATGGTCTAAAAAAGGGAGGCATGAATAATCCACCCCTCCTTTAGCATATTATCAAGAAATAAGCATAAATATGAGCAACCAGCAGCCTTTGGGGCTTTTCTATCTATGGAGTAGCCATTCTTTTATTCCTTTACTTTCCTAATAAACTTGCTTTCACTTTATGGACTCATCCTGAATTATTCTTGCGTGAGATCCACGAACCCTTTTTTGGGGTCTGGATAGGACCCCTTTCCTGTAACATCTTTCTGGTGACCACGGAAGGGACTGTAGTGCAGAAACCCCCGATCCAAAGGCTAACTTCGGGTAAGTGGTGGGGTCTGGAAACATCTTTTTCCTGAACCCTGAAGGGATGATACTAAAGAAACCCTGCAACCCAAAGGAAATAGACTGCAGTGCTGATCGGCTGACTTTGGGTAAGTGGTGAGGTACCCGGGGAAAGGATGGGATTGGGTTATAGGCCCAATTTAGGGGAGTTAGAGTCTCTCCTAAGACAGAGTTGGTTACAGGCCCCTCTTAATAAAAGGCAAGGATGCTTGATCAACCTTGGGTTAGAGGCCCACCTCAGGAGGGTTAAAGTCCCTTCTAAGATTTAAGGGGTTAGAGGCCTCTCTCCATAAAATACCTTACATCTAAGAATGGGTTTGGCACCACGGGATGTTAACTGCTATTCTCTTTGGAATAATCTGCCTTTTACACTCAACAGCCTGAGCTTTTCAGTGTCAGCTGCAATTGGTGGGTCTTTTCTCTGGCCCCCTTGAACACCTCACCTTCCCCACCCTGCCACAGGCAATGCTTTTCTGTCTCTTCTTACCCTTATCTTTTCTATTACTCGGGGAGACCATCTTGCCCAAAGACCACAGGTTAAAACTCCTGGTTGGAGGTTGGATTAACTATGATGGGCCCCAACTGGGGACAAGTTTTAGCCTTGCCAGTTTGATATTGGGTGCTAAGCATAGTGGCTAATGTCTATGTTTTGTAACATGTATTTTGCTCTGGCCAAAATGGAAAAAAAATACTTTTCCCTTTTGTTGTGGCTTGGCCCCCAGGGCTAGAGTGCAGCCAGCCGGGTCATTAGGGTGTGTCAAGGAAAGAGAACAAAGAAACCTGGCATACTGGCAAAAGGGGAAGGATTTCTTACTAGCTAGGCTTCTGGTCTCTCTCTCTTTCTCTCTCTCTCTCTATGCAAATCGGCTGAATGAGAGGTAAAAATCACTGTTTATCTCCTTTGTAAAGTTTTGATTAATGGAAGAAAGATTTTGTGAGGCTAGGCTTAAACTGTAGGAATCTAGTGTGCTTTGTGTGTCTTTCTGTATTTTTCTGTCATAAAGAGGGGTACCTTAGGAAAGATTGGGGCCTAGGACCCCTATACACCTGGTTTTCAAGATGGCCCAGCAAACTGGTCAATTACAAATTTTGCTGCAGGTCACAGAAAAATCTATATGAGGTTTTCTTGTTGTCTTTTATGTCCTTGGGAGCTTGACCTTGTAACCATGTGGCCATGGTTTCTTTTTTCACAACGGTAACCTGGGTTTGAGGTTCAATTCCCAGCTTAGGGGATGAGTCATTTATCTTCTTCTGTCTGTGTACTTACATGCATTATGTGTGATATAAATATTAATTGGTTTATAAATAATAAGTGCATAAATCAAATATTTTGTAAAAAAAAGTGAAAAGTTTAATGTCTTTTAGTTCAAATGACTTAAGTAATCTTTGGGAAATAAAGACAGTTTTAAAGATTATTGGTAAAATATAAATATCTTCAAAAATGTAAATATTTGCTCTAAATTATACAGGTCAGATATTAAATTTGCTAAATGCTTTAAGGTCATAAACTACTTCTTTGACTTTTGAAAATTGTTCTATTTATTTTGGAGAATTAAATTCTGTGTAAGGCCTGGGACATGTGGACTTAGATGCTGGAAAGAGTCAGACTTTATCTGCACTTCTGTCTGGGTCATAGGCTTCATACCTAGTACATAATTAAAATCCCTTACTTACCAAGGTTTTCACCAAAGTAACAGTCACTAAGAGTTAACAGTGTAACATGTATTTGAGACTACTGAAGAAACAGTTTTACAAGCAAGGTGTATACCAAAAGTGAAATGAGTTTTTGGTAAAAGATTATCAGAAGGCATGGGAATGTGAATTTTTTTTTTTTTTTGCCTAAAGGGTTAAAGGATTGTTTTAAGTTAAATAGGAAAAATCTGAAGGTTTAAGCAAATTGTGGAAAGTTTGTGAAAAATTAATTGTAAAAGAGATTCTATGTGTGGAAACTGGGCTAAAGTTAAAAATGTATTTAGTTTTTCCATAAACTAAACATTGGAGTAAAAGCACAACAGGTTGTTTTTAAAGCCGAAACCTGTTTATGATCTGCTCTTTAACAAAAATTTGTAAAGGGTTATAAAAGGTTTATAAAAATCATACCTTATGGTCAGACTGATTAAAATTAAATACATTTGTCTATAAGGTTTTATTAAGAACTGGGTTTGACATCAATAATACATGAATGAAACAGTGACATTTGCTTTATTTGGTATAAAAGTCATATAGGAAGCATTATCAAATGTGAAATGGTGTTTAACTTTCTTTAGGTTATATGCATATAAATTTTTTATTAGTGTGTGTTTCAAAATTGCATAAGATTCCTATAATTCTAATATGCCTCAGTATATGTCATCAGTAATGATTATAATTGTTACATTAAATCACTGTATATGCAACAAAGGTAACCAAATTGCTTTGTCAATCATGTTTTTAACTGTGGCTGTCCTAAGATGTTTTGACATCCATACACAATTGTTGTCTTGTTTTTGTCCTCTTTAGAAGGTGGTTTATAATCAGCTATAGAACTCTAACAGGTGTTCTTAAATACAGGTTTCTGATAACTTTGAAGATTGTGACACTAGAATAGAAGAAACAACTTTCAGAACTCTCGTGGAAAACTGGAATGTTCATGAATATTAAACAGAACAGGAGTTAACTGCATGGACTGAACTACAGAAGCTATTCACAGCTTGAAGCAATTAAGTAAAGTATACTCCTATAAACAAAATTTGGAGCATATTTGTTTCTCTCTACCTAATTTCTCCAGAATTTGGAAACTATTTGTAAGTATTCTTAATTTACAGCAATATAGTTATTTGCCTAAATGCAATAGGTATCTGTTTTTCTTTGCAACAAGACACAGTTGGAGAAACTGGTTATTTTACCAGTGCTTTCCCTGGAATGGTATGTTTTCCTTTAAGGAATCAAATTTGACTTGTAAAGCCAATAAAAGACCCTTGGAGAACTAGCCTCATATCTTGCCTACACAGTCCCTTTACAGGGTTTCTGACCTGTGGTAAGTAAAGAATGTCACTTTCTAACAAGTCCAGGAGCCCCAAGTTATCTTGGGATCTCAAGAGGAGAAGAATTTACCCAACTCATAGGTATTTGAAGGTACAAACTCATGGCAGGGCTCAGCTCTAAAAAAGTCTTATCTAAGATTCCTTCTATGGAACAGAGTTCCATCCAAACCAATTTAAAAAGAGCTTATGTGAAAAATAATTATTCTTGCTGCACTTTATACAAATAATCAGGCCAAGGATAATAAAGCAAATGGATCTTATCATGATTTGTCTTTATTAAAAATAGAAAACTGGAGAGAACTATTATGTTTCAAGAACTATGGTACACTTATTATTAAATTCTAGTCTCACCAGTTGTTTTTAAGTTTGTTTCTGAAATTTAGGCTAACCCTCCTTATTCCTGTAAACCAACCAGGACCTGTGATGGCTGCTCAGAAGAAACAAGAGGGTTGGGTAATGTAAAAATCTGAATCAGTATTCTAATTCTGGGCATATACTGGAATCATGTAGTAACCCCATATTAGCTTGGTTCCAACAGTTGTCCAGTTCATGGAAAGTCTTCTAATTTAGTGTACTTGGGCTATGTTACTTATTTTGCTCGTCTTTTGTGGAATTTATTGCTGTTGTACTCTTTATGTAGGAATGAGGATAAGCTTACTCAACATTTTCTTAAATTAAACACTTACTAATCTCCCAGATATCATCTGCTGTCAGAACTAAAGAACTATGAATGACCCTCACCATACTGATGCTTTCTGACTGAATGCCTCTCTACTCTGAATACGAGAGATTGTCATATTTAGACAGGAATATCATTGCCCCTATTCAGCCTGAAGAAGTTACAGAAGATGAATGTTCATCTCTGTGCAACCCTTAGGATTAAGGGTGCTCTTATAAAAGGGAGAGGGAAAATGTCAGAGGTGTTCAAATCAGAGCAACTCCATCTTGAATAATTGCTGGTAAAATGAGGCTGAGACCTACGGGGCTGCATTCACAGATAGTTAAAACATTCTAAGTCACAGGATGAGAGAGGAGGTCAGCACAAGATATAGGTCGTAAAGACCTTGCTGATAAAACAGGTTGCAGTAAAGAAGCCAGCCAAAACCCACCAAAACCAAGATGGTGATGAGAGTGACTTTTGGTTGTCCTCACTACTACTCTTCCACCAGCACCAGGACAGTTTACAGGTGCCATGGCAACATCAGGAAGTTACCCTATATGGTCTAAAAAGTAGAGGCCTGAATATGGGATAGCCATATTCAGGCTGCTATGGAGTAGTAGTACTATGGAGTAGCCACTCTTTTATTCCTTTACTTTTTTTATAAACTTGCTTTCACTTTACTCTATGGACTCGCCCTGAATTCTTTCTTGCAGAAGATCCGAGAACCATCTCTTGGGGTCTGGATCTGGACCCCTTTCCTTTAACAGTCTCACCACTTACTAGTAAGTTTCTTACAAAATTGTTATTTTCCTGGTCTTATAAAGTGTTCATTAATATATAGAATAGACTTTACACATAAATTATGCCAGTACAATTAAACTGAGTAACAATATTTGAAACCTTTAACTATACTTTTCTAGATAAATGTATCTCAATAGTTATACTTTAAGGAGTTATAATTCTATCTTTCTGTCACAAAGAGCAATTTTTCAAAATGGCTTGAAGGAATCCACATACTCATAACACACATTTATACTCAAACTTTGAGGATAATAATATATTGAATATCCCCCCCCCCCAAATTAAAACAAGTTTCTTTTTGGATAAATTCTAGGTAATTTTTAGTTCAATACTCTTCTACAGGAACACACAAGCTTAAGTTAACTGTATTATAGTTCTGACTACTTTTACTGCCAGCAGAGAATCTGTATGGGTCTGCAGCAACCTCAATTCTTGCCTTCTCAGAAGAAAGAATTCGACAGAGGGGCATAAGGCAGAAAGAGAGCCTGAGGCAAATTTTAGAGCAGAAGTGAAAGTTTATTAAAAAGCTTTAGAGCAGGAATGGAAGGAAGTAAAGTACACTTGGAAGAGGGCCAAGCTGGCAACTTGAGAGATCAAGTATGCAGTTTGACCTTTTGAGTTGAGGTTTTATATGTTGGCATATTTCTGGGGTCTTGCATCCCTTCTTCTCAATTCTTCCCTTGGGGTGGGATGCTTGCATGTGCATTGACCTGCTAGCACTTGGGAGGTGAACATGTACAGTGAATTTACCGGAGCTGTATGCACGCTCACTTGAGGCATTCTTCCCTTACCAGTCGAATGTTCCTAGAATGTCATGTACCAGTTAAATTTTGCCATTTTGCCTCTTAATGCGCATGCTTGAGTCCACTCACCCAACTCCTGAGATCTTATCAGGAAGCTACTGAACACCAATTTCAGGGTTTTTTCTATCTATCAGGAGACTGCTTTTCCCTGGTGTCATCTGTGACCAATTATTATTTTAGAGAGACAGTTAACCACCTGATGGTCACTTGACATTCGTGGTGTGTGTGTGTGTGTGTGTGTGTGTGTGTGTGTGTGTGTGTACTGGGGGGAGCCCTCTCCTGCCCCGCTCATGCCTGACTAGCTACCTACTGTAACACTTCTTGTTTCTTTTTTTAAAAAATAGTGTCCAGAGTAACGGTGATCACTACCAAAAAATCAAAATCAGAAGCTCTTGAATATTTATTCAGCATGTTATCAATTATTAACAACAGAAGCTCATTACATTTAGTTATTTAGAAGTATATGTTGAGATTCAGTTTTCCCCTCAGATATTCCCTTCTACAAATTCCTTATTGATATTTTTCTATAGCCAGTAATGGTGTATGCTTTACATTGTTCTTTTCAAGCAAAGTTTATGAGAACCATAACCTAATTTAAAATTTTGGAGTTTTGAGCATTAATTTTTATTCACATTGAAGTGAAACCAGAACTTTTTTGAGTAAATTTTGCAGCTGTCCACTCTAGTTCCTCTGTGACCATGTGTGCGTGCAGGTGAGGTTATCACGGAAGTTCTCAGATGAGGTCATTAGAGAGTGATGACTCTGCCTTCCCTCAGGTGATTTGTTACATGATGAGCATAGTGTATGTGAAGTTCAGTTTTTTGTCAGATTATGTAACCTTGAATTCACTGCTGCCTTCATCAGAACTTTGGCTATGCAATCAGTATTCCTTGAGGACTTAATAAAAATAAAGTTTATTCACTTGAGGAGTTAAAAAAATACATATGCCTAAGACTCACCTATAGAAATTCTGATTCTGTTATTTGGGGATAGGAATATGGCAACTCTATTTTTCTTTTAAAACCCATGGTTGATTCTGAAAAATAATGAGGATTAGAAACTACGTTTATAAGTACTTTAAGTTACATTCCTGAATCATGTCAGAGAACTTCAAACTCCCAATTGCCAGAAAAAGCTGTAAATTTGATTTGAACTTTTTTAGGAGACTAAACTCTGAGGCTGCACGTATTAGAACAGTCTCATCCAACCTCCTGGAATCCATTGAGTCTATTTGTATTACGGGCTTGGGGTGAGACCTGGAGCATCGTGATGGTACAGAATGTACTGCACATTGAGGTACTTCATTACATGAGATCCTGTCTAGACAGTGGGACAGGAAAAGATTCCCAAACAATGCCAAGACCCTCTTCCTGTTGAACTCATCTCCACTGAACCCCTGTGAACTGCCCCCGCAACCCCCACTTCCTTCAGGAGTCAGATCAGACTCTGGTTCCCACATTATTTTGTTTGAATCTCTATCAACAGCTTTTATTATCCTGATGGGTTAGAGTTAGTCATGTGTTTCTTGGTCTTTCCCTGAGTCTTCCCTTTGAGTAAACAGATATTGACTTTCCAGCACTTTTCCCATCAGCATCATCCAACATAATGTCTTTCAAAAAGGTGTGTTCAGTGAAGAGATGTTCCTAGATCCCAAATATAAGCTGAATCCTAAGAACATAACTGATATTGCTTCGTTTGCAAAGTTAATATACAATCAGTTATAACAATTTCCTTCTTGAGCTAGTTTTTTATTACTTGTCACAATTAATACTGTAACAAATTTTCACACACTTAGTGGCTAAAACAACACAAGCTTATTATCTCACAGTTCTGTAGATCAGAAATCCAGGTAGAATTCACTGGTTCCTCCACATACCACCTTCCAAAGCCAAAATCAAGGTGTCAGCTTATTCGTATTTTGTTGTGCTAGGAGAGGATCCACTTAGCTCATTTAAGTTGTTGGCTACGCTTAGTGTCTTGCGGTTGTAGGCCCCAGTGCCTATTACTATGCTGGCTGTCACCTGGGAGCCTCTCTCAGCTCCTGAAGACCATTTGCATTCTTTGTCTTGTCTCCAGCCAACAAGCAGGAGTCCTTTTTATGCATCCGGTACCTCTGATCTCCCTTTCTGATGTATGTCTCCTGTCTCTAGCTTGAAAAATGTTCTCTCCTTTTAAGTGCTTATGTGATGCCATTGGGCCCTGGTGATCCAAAATAATCTCCCCGTTGTGATTATATCTGCAAAGTCTGTTTTGTTATGAAACATAAAATATTCACAGATTTTAGGGTTTTAGGGAATGGACATACTTGGGGATGGTTTTTCTACCTGCTAGACTTTTGTACACCTATTGTCACTCTACTTTTCCCCTGTCCATTTGCTATTTACCACTGTAACTCATGAGGTTTTCTGCCATCATGTATCACTTTTTCATAGAGCTAGTCTAATTGTATTAGTCAGGGTTCTCCAGGATGGATGGATGAATAGATAGATAGATAGGTAGGTAGATAGATAGATAGATAGATAGATAGATAGATAGATAGATAGACAAGCGGTAATTCATTAGGGGAAGTGGCTCATAGTATTACGTAGTCTGAGAAGTCAGTCTCATGATAGGCTCTGTGCAAGCTGGAGACCCTGGGTTGCAGGTAGCCTGGCTCGGTCCAAGTCTGAAGGCATCAGAGCCAGGGAAGCCAAAGGTATAACTCTCTGTCCAAGGCTAAGTAAGGTGGGAGAGGCTTAGAAGCTGCTGGCACAAGTCACAGAGTCCAAAGACCAAAGAGCCTAGAGTTTTAATGTCCAAGGGCAGGGTAAGAAGGGTGTCCCCACTCCAGGAGCAACAGAATTCATATTTTATTTGCCTTTTTGTTCCACAGGGACCCCCAGCCTACTGGATGTTTCTGATCACCTTGAGGGTGAATCTTTCCAATCAGTCCACTGAGGCACATGCCAATCTCCTCGGAAACACCCTCACAAATACACCCAGAAATAATGGTTTTTCATCTATCTAGGTTATTTCTTAATCCAGTCAAAATGACACCAAAAATTAACCATCACACTAATGCTTAATCAAAAGGCTGGTGAGATGCTACCTCTTTAGGTAGATTCTGGTAAATAGCTGGGAACTATTGATACCACAACCTCTCTTCCCTCCCAAAGAAATACTGATACTTTGGAACTAGTTTTCTTCCTTCTTATTCTTATTCCAACTAAGCCTTAGCACACCATGGTCCAGAATATACTGGCTTCATATTTGATTATCTCTGAGCTCATAACATGTCTTCACTTTAGAAGCTGCAGAGAATATTTTTCTGAATTTATATAAATACTCTTTCTTATTAACTTACAAGAATGAGCATGAGTCATTTAAAATGTGTGATTCCCAATGGATTTAATCTACAATTTGTTCTTTAAATGCAGAAAAATAAATGGGATATTGGAGATGTGTTCTCGTGGAGTTTACCAAAAGAAAACAATGTACATTTAAATTGCAAATTCAAGATTTGTTTCACTTTAAAAAGAACCAACCCTGTCTTAAAGTACAATAGCATTTTGTGTTAAAGGCTAAATTACTAAAACACATTTATTTAAAATAAAATCATAATAGTCTCAAGAGCTGCATCTTATCACACTTACTTGTCAGCAAAAAATAGTGTTGTGTACAGATGGCAGCAATGATGTAATGTAATGTATGTCAAGAATATTTGTTAAGATAACATTGGGGGCCAAGACTTTATAGCAACTGCAGTCCTTTCTTGGTGAGCTTGCTTTTAAAAAACGATTTCTCATCCATTCAGACAGGTTCTTTTGCTGAAAGTCTCCAAAGACTGTTTCATTATCGTACCTTTTCAATGACTTTCCATAAAGGAATACAAGATGTGAATCTGGCTTTTAATATGTGCCATTTAAAGTAGTTATCAATGATACATTAGTCATTCCATCCAGTACCCCTGTGAGGTGAGTGAGTGAATAATTATAGGTGACCTTCAGACAAGTGAGGATCTAATGTAGCCTTGAAGGCTTCTAAGTATGGGGTGTTTTCTTTGATGAGTGAGTAATCACTGAGTTATTAGCATGACATTTGAGAAGTCATTAGGGATTTGTAAGTAAAACAAATCTATTTTTCTTAGTCATGATAATGGGCTACTGTTCTAACCTGTAATGCTGGATTTTAGCTTTTTCTTTTCTTATCTCAAGATTTATCTCTTAATAGGTATATTTTCCTTCAGGAAAGGACACAAAGTTGGAGCTATCAGAAGCAACAATGTTTAATAAAAACAATTTTTTTCAGCTGTAAAACAAAAGAAAAAGTCAAGAAAAACATGGATTCCTATTTTCTCTTCCATGACTAATTTGAAAAACAATAACAACAATAAAAAAGCCATTTCAAAGCAATTCTAAATATCTAACTCTAGTTTATAAAACTGACCTGTTCAGTTGCTTTGAATGAATCATTTATCCTGTTAGTTACTTCATTAAATCTGTCAAACTATCTCAGCTTCTCTGGAGGCTGAAGCGGGAGGATCACTGGCGCACAGGAGTTTGAGGCTGCAGTGATCTATGACCATGCCACTGCACTCCAGCCTGGGTGACAAGGTAAGACCCTGTCTCAGAAAAAAAAAAAAAAAAAAGACTATAAACAGTGTATGGAAAGACATTTGCCATCCATTTTTGTATTCCCCATACCCTGAATAGAGTAGGAGCTTAATAAGTATTTGTTGAATAATGTTGCCAATTTCTTTTGGTATTCACTTTTATTGAATAACCTCTTTCTCTACCTCAAAGTTATAGGAAAGGAAGGGAAAAGAAGTAGGGAGTGGGTGAAGCATTCTCTGCTTTTGATACTTTTTCTGGTTGAGTCAGATTCAAGAAAAGAAACAATTTAAGCAGTAAGGGATTCAGTACTGACTCTACCAACATTTATTTTTGCTTATTCAATGCACAAAAAGAATGATGAGAAATCATTTCTCTCTAGTTTAATGTTATTTCCCATTTTTTATTTCGATATATATTCCAACCTGTTAACTTTATTTCTTCTTTCCTGTGATGATCTCCCCCATTCCCTCTTCTGCAGCATTTTCTCTTCTTGTTATTCAATTAACAAGAGACCCTAGGATAACAACCTTTCTTCTTTACAGACTAATTGTTCTTTTTTCTTAGACATAAAAAACTAGATGGGCATACAAATATACATCAATTGAGTTGTGAAGGTTAAAAACGATTCACTTTTCTTTTCATCTTTTCTTCATTTTCCTCATGCTTTTTTTCTATTCATGTTTTCAATGCCCATCTTCAATTTTACTTATCTTTCTGTTCTTTAGAGATAATTAGCAGTGTGTCACTTTTTACACTCAATCTCCAAGGCAGAATCTACTTCATAATTAGTTTGAATAGTTATGCCAACCTGAGCAGTCCTTGGCAGCAGTTTAGTTAGGTACTAGAAGCATATGGTAAGGATTTTGTTCAGTATATAGCAGAATCAATATGAAGTTGAGTTAAATTTATTTATTGTAACAACACCTGAAAGCAAGCTTTCATTTAAAGCAAGACACACTTGCCTTAATCAGATGGTCAATAATTGCAACAACTAAGAGAAATTGAATTGCTTTACTCAGAAATTGCATCATTTATTTAAGGAGGGGAGAAAATATTACTGAAATTGTCTTCCAACTCTTTCAGAATTGGTTTGCCCTGTATTAGGAACAAGTACAAAAGACTGATAAGAAGAGCCTTTATCATTTCATCTGGAGGATACTTATAAGGTCTAACTATCTATCAACAAAAACTCTTGTTCATACATCGATTCATTCATTCATTTACTCACTGAACAAACATTTATTGAGCTACTAGCATGTGTCAGGGCACTGTGCTAAGAACTAAGACAAATTTTTTTTGCTTATCCACAAAAATTTGCTTATTACAAATTTTTATCTTAGTTTGGGCAAAACCACCCAGTGAGTAAGTAGCAGAGATAAGATGATAAGAATACTGACCTCTTTCTTCTATGAGTCCTAAGTGAAAAGTCTTGCAGTGGAAATTTCCAAACTCATTTACTGAGAACGCAGCTGTACAAAATTGGCCAAGCTTAATATAAAATAAAATGGAGAGTTTTTTTTATAGCTAATTTACTGTTTATATAGTTTTTAAATGCACCATGTTTAGTTTCCATGGAATCTGTGAACTTGTGGGGAATATAGTGTACTTTTCTAAGGTCAGATGCTTAAGTTCTTTCAAACATCTGACATAAGAGTTAAAGTGAGAGACAGGATGATTACAGAAAGTGGGTGGAACAGGCACCATGGATACTCCATGCTGAAAATGTGTGGCCTTAAAATTTTTGAAGGGTCTTTTGAGTTAGCTGATGTGATTGCTTCTAAAGCTCTAAACTCACTACAGTAAGTAGAGCTGCTTTTAAATGTGCCCACAGCCCCAGAATTTTCTCTTCACTCCCCTTTACCACCTGGTTGTACTGACACACAGTTATACAACTAAACTCAACACAGATAGGAAATAAACTACAAGGTCCCATTTTCTTTCCCTACTCTCTCATCTATAGTAGTTCTTCTCATTTCCTATTTCTGAAAAATGGGCATCTTCCCATGTACCTCATACTACTATGAAAATAAATTAATAAATGAAAATAAGTCGGCTGGGCATGGGGGCTCATGCTTGTAATCCCAGCACTTTGAGAGGCTGAGGCAGGAGGTTCAGTTGAGGTCAGAGTTTGAGACCAGCCTGGCCAACATGGTGAAACCCCATCTCTACTAAAAATGGAAAAATTAACCGGGTGTGGTGGTACATGCCTGTAATCCCAGCTACTCAGGAAGCTGAGGCAGGAGAATTGCTTGAACCCAGGAGCCAAGAAGCAGAGGTTGAAGTGAGCTGAGATCACACCATTGCATTCTAGCCTGGGCGACAGAATGAGACTCTGTCTCAAAAAAAAAAAAAAAAAAAGAATAAAATAAGTCTATGCAGAGACTTATTTAAATATGATAATGCAATTTAAGTTTCCTAATCGTTCATTCTGAAGGGCAACGTTGGTAAAGGAGAAAGTATTCAATGCTTAGCTAACAGTTTTGCAAGAGTTGCCCTTATATAACTCGAAACCAAGTCACTTTTGATATTTTTGGCGTATTTGTACCTTTTTGAAAAAATGTTTTGAGAAAGCCATAAATGAGAGATTTGTAGATGCAGTTATAATTGTCAATATTCTTAAAGAAAGTAATATAAATTTTGGGGGAAAGACTCCCTCTCACCCAGTAAGCTTCTAATAGCGAATCTAGCTCAGATGAATAAGAAAATTATTATTGAGCAAACATTTTAGTGATATTATTCCTTTTGCTTCCACCTTTTCTCTGCAATAAATGTGAAAGCCAGTTACCTGATGATATTATTCTTTATCTGCAGTTTCCAGCTGGCGAAGGAACACCCCAAGGATCCCATGACAATACTTCATATTTCAAAGCCTATAACTTCAGGATAATAATGTCTTATATTTGTAATATGCTTTCATGTTTCACAATTTACAAAGAATTTTTACATGAATTGCCTTTTTGTTTCTTAAAAAATCACTTAAGATGGGTAAGGCAAGAATCCTTCCTTTCATTTTATAGATGAGCCATGTGATGTCAGAAGTGTGATGTGCCATGCTCCACTACAGACAGGAAGTGGAATAGCCAGGAACTTGAATCCAAGCCTTCTTATGCCAAAATTCTCCTTTGATACGTGAAGGCAGCCTCATCACTCCAAAGGTAAATGAAATCATTAGGTAGCAAATGAAGACCCAAAGAACATTTTTATTGACTCTCTATTGCTGAATATTTGTTTTTTTCCTACAAATCTTTCTCAGATCCATTCTTTGTTTTACAATGCAAACTCATCCCATGATATATCAAAGAAAAGCAAATAAACTGAATTGTTGATTCTAGAAGAATATATGGAGGGTTTAATTCAGTCAGTTTAATCTCTTGCAACCAAGAACCCTAATAAACTGTGACAAATACACCATCAGCGAAATTGGCAAGTTGTTCAACTTTATTGTCTTCAAGTTTTTTAACTTTAAAATGGGGATTATAATTATACCTACCTCAGATAATCATATGAGAACTAAATGATTTAATACGTATAATGCTCTTACTAAAGTACCTGGAACACAATAGGCACTATGATGGTTAGCAATGATTAACTATTATTAGTGAATAGGTTATAATGATAACACATTAACTGGTGCTTTAATTATTCCAAGTAGTTTTAAAATCACACGAATTTAAATAAACTTTCTCTTTCTTTTTTTAAGATTTTCACATATTATTTCAAAGGCTGAGGTTTTCAAACAGAAAAGATAAGTTTTATTGAGATTAAGTAACCTCCAGGGTTAGAGTTTAGAAAAGAAGGTCAGTGCTACACATTCTGAATGTGTTTTGGACTTACACATTTTTAGATATTTCGACCTAGGAGCATCCTGGCAGTTTCAGACTAAGCATAGAGTGCTCTCTTGCTTCAGTAATTGGCACTTAGAGTAATAATTACATCAATCATGCTGTCCAGAAACATACAGTATTTAGACTTAATGGGAAGAAAACAACTTATTAGAAAAATTCTGTTAATAATGTTAATCTTCTGTATTACGCCCCTGTGCATATATCAACAGAAATGAATGACCACATTTGAGAGACTAAAAGTTCTCCTCAATTCATGATTCTGTTCACTGCATTCTCTTACCAGTGAGGCCCAGTCTTCAGGGAATTGACAGCTTGTTATTAGTTATTCATTTTGAAATAAAACCTCTTTTTTGTAGGATATGGAGTTCAGATAGGAAATAGATGGATTAATGGCTAATTTTAAAAGGAAGAAGGGAGGGAGGGAGGAAGAAGAAAAGAAAGGAGAGAAGAAAGGAAAGGAGAGAAGAGAAGGTGAAAGGGGTGGAGGAAGGGAAGATTGGAGGAAGGTAGGAAGAATTTAGAATTCTTTTAGTTTCAAATAACAGGTAAAGAAAAACAAACCTCCAGCTAGTTTAAGAAAATTTACTTTGTGAATACTCAAGTGTCTCACACAACTAAAGACCACAAATGCATCTGAGTGTTGAGGACGATTAGAACTAGAGTGAAGGTACTATCAAGAATTTTTGTCCATATTTTTTTAATGTGGGAAACAAGACTGTGAACAGTTCCTAAATTTTACATGTAAGAATCAACCATACCATGGAGATTGACTTGATATTTTCTTTGTCCAAGACCTCAATTCCTAGCGAAGGAATTTACTGGTCTAGATTTAGTGAAGTTAGAGCCTCAGTCCCACTCGCTGTGACTGGGGTGGGAAGGGAAAGAAGTGGGGCATTGTAATCAGCCCAGTTTGGGTGAATTATATACTCTTCAACCAATCACCTATGGTCAGGGGTCAGGGTCATTACTAATTTGCTTGTGCCTGCTCCCACTATGTGAAGGTAAGGGAGAATAGTTGCTAGAAAAGGGGTATAGACAGGTAGCCCTATTGCATTCCACTGAAATTCATTTGTTTATAAAACATTCATACAACTAATGTTTAATGAGCAACATCGATGTTCTAGGTGCTGGGGGTACAGCAATAAACAAAACAAACACACTGAACTTATAGAGAGCTTGCATTGTTTTTATTAGACAATGATTTCAGAACATTATGGTTACTATTCCCATTATTTTACACCCACCTCCAGAGAACTTAAACTACCCAAAGTTTTTGTTTGTTTGTTTAATTTTTTAAACTTGGAGCTAAAATTAGTTCTTACACCATTCAATTTGAACACAGTAAAAAGATTTGGGTTTGGATGATACGCTGCTACTCTTGGTTGATCAAAGTCTGAAGTGTCTACCAGGAGGTTGCATGTTTCAATGTTAGTGTTTTTTACCCACTTTTTTCTTAGGTTTTCTTTTTTTCTTTTCTTTTCTTTTTAGATCTTTCTACTTGTTCCTCAAAGGAGCAGTCTATTTTTAATTTAGTAAGTTATAGCCTTGGAACCTAATTTGGTAAGCCTTCTGAGACTTGAAAAACTTGGCCTTTCTTCATGGGAAGTCTCACATGCCAGGCCTCTGAGAAGTTCATGACCATTTTAGCTAAACTTCCTTTGATAAGTGCAGAGAAGATTAGGGCACATAAAACAGGCTAGTGGAGGCTGGCCGCGGTGGCTCACACCTGTAATCCCAGCACTTTGGGAGGCCGAGGCGAGTGGATCACTTGAGGTCAGGAGTTTGAGACCAGCCTGGCCAACATGGTGAAACCCCATCTCTACTAAAAATATAAAAATTAGCAAGGGGTGGTGGCATGTGCTTGTAGCCCCAGCTAGTCAGGAGGCTGAAGCAGGAGAATTGCTTGAACCTGGGAGGCGGAGGTTGCGGTGAGCCGAGATTGTGCCACTGCAGTCCAGCCTGGGCCACAGAGTGAGAATCTGTCTTAAAAAAAAAAAAAAAAAGCCAGTTTGGTGGAGTGGAATGTTCTTCCTGAGGTCTGGTGGAGTGGAATGTTCTTGCTGAGGTCAGATGTCCAATTTTACGTTCTGAGAAGAAAGCTAAAACTACTGGCTTTAGGATGAAGAGTGGGCAGCCATCCTAATGTGAGAAAATGCCAGGCATTATGCAGTATACGAAGGCATAAAAGGCATTAGTAGCAGAGTGGAAATACTTTGGAAATAGTACTCAGTCAATAAAAGGAAATGAGATGAAGCCTCATCTCAGTTAGGAAGAACCAGAGAGTGTAATTATCTGTAAAAATATTTTATTCAATTTGTTTCATAAGACAAAATTGCCATCTATAAAAAAATTAGGTCCTATTCATGAATAGACACTTCTCAAAAGATGACATTCATGCGGCCAACAAACATGAAAAAAGCCTCAACACCATTGATCATTAGAGAAATGCAAATCAAAACCACAATGAGCTACTATCTCATGCCAGTCAGAATGGCAATTATTAAAAAGCCAAGAAACAACAGATGCTGGCAAGGCTATGGAGAAATAGGAATGATTTTACACTGTTGGTGGGAATGTAAATTAGTTCAACCATTGTGGAAGACAGTGTGGTGATTCTTCAAAGACCAAGAACCAGAAATACATTTGACCCAGTAATCCCACTGGGTATATACCCAGTGCTATATACCCAAATGAATATAAATCATTCTATTAAAAAGATACATGCATGTGTATATTCATTGCAGCACTATTCACAATAACAAAGACATGGACTCAACCTAAATGGCTATCAGTGATAGACCGGATAAAGAAAATGTAGTACATAAAACCATGAAATACTATGCAGCCATAAAAAGAACAGGATCATGTCCTTTGCAGGGGCATGGATGTAGCTCAAAGCCATTATCCTCAGCAAACCAATGCAAGAAACAGAAAACCAAACACTGCATGTTCTCACTTATAAGTGGGAGCTGAATAATGAGAACACATGGACCCAGGGAGGGGAACAGCGCACACTGGGGCCTGTCCAGGGGTGGAGCCGGGGGAGGGAGAGTATCAGGTTAAATGGTTAATTCATGTGGGGCTTAATACCTAGGTGATGGGTTGATAGGTGCAGCAAACCACCATGGAACACATTTACCATTGTGACAAACCTACACGTCCTGCATATGTATCCTGGAACTTAAAACAAAATTAAATGAAATTTTTAAAAATGAGGTTTTATTGAAAGAAAAAATGAAGAATGTTATTTGCTAACTTCCCATTATTAATGATTTATTAGCATTAAAGATATTCACCATTAAAAGCAAATTTTCTTAACTGAAATGTTAAAGAATGTATTAAAGAAGGCCCTGCTTCCTGATTTTGCTAAATTAGTGGTTTTCAAAGATGTAAACATGCAAGTAATTTCTAAATAAAATACATGACATGGTGAAAATATTTTTTTAATTAAGGAGACATAGAGTGCCATTGACCAGTTTGAAATTGTCTCTAGCTCATAGTAGATGCCAATAAAGTTTAAGTGGATTGTACCTTATAGTTTGGTAAGTTATTTTACTTCTTTTGTGGTTTAAGATGGAATGTATAATAAATAGGACACTCATCAGCTTTTTTAAAGGAGGCAATACAAAATACTACACTAGACAAATTACTCTAGATTTGAATGGCAATATTTCCATATGTATGTCCAATGTTCTTCAACACTACATACTATTATGTTTAATGAGAGAGAAAGAACTTTTAAATTGCACATTATTTTGCATATAGAAGGTATGCAATGCATTTATTTAAATGAATTGTGCTAAATTATACAAGAAGAACTTATACACACTGGGTTCCTCTTGACTCAAATATCCCTGAAAGTTGAAGTGTTTTGCATGTTGGTCAGTATTTCTGCATTTGCACGTAGCCAGAAGATTGATTGCCACTCAAAATCATCAGCAGCAGACCCATAAAGTATGTGTTCCTCTCTATGGTATTTCTGTGTTTTGCTACAAGCAAAACTCTGTAAAATAAACACAACAACTCTCGTTGCATTAGAGATGAAGTTGTCACAATCATTCTAGTTCATATCCAGATGATATTAAAAATAGGGTTTTTCACAAGGTAAGCAACAGGGAAATTACATTTCCTAGATTCAGGTCCCCTGCACAATTTCCAAGTGGTGTAGCATCAACATCAGGCAAGCCGTTTGATTTTATGACAATGTGTTTACAAATATATTAAGGGTGGAATTTTCAGCACCCTGAATGGGATTTGAGATTCAGTTCTTGCTTATCATACCCATGGATGCTTATCTATAGTTGTGTCTCTTGGCAAGATGATAAAAATGAGTCCAGTGTTTATTTTTGTTCCTCTTTGGTTTAAACTATCCCCCCACCAAAAAAGCAAACAAACAAACAAACAAAAAAAACCATTTAGATTATATTTTAAGTGACAAAAGGACACATTAATTAAAGGTTATGGAGTGAATGTTCCAGAAAAGATGTCACTCATACAGAAAGCTTCAGTAAGGAGTCATTTTTGAATACTGAGAAGTCCCAAATAAAATACAATGTAAATTGCAGTAGCTTATCAAAACTAACATACATCTCATGAACTATTCAACAGTTCTCCGTTACATAGTATGAAATTAAAATTCGTATGTTTTACTCTAAGGTCTAGTCCCCGTTGTCTCATATTTTTGATGGATAAACATTACTGGGATATTACTTTAAGTAACTTACTTTTCCTCTGTTCTTTTTTTTAATATACAAGTTTAATTTTAAACTTTTTGCACTTGGCAATGTATAATATATTGGAATTAGTTCAAGGGCTACAGTTTCCTACAAAGATAAAAGTTAAAGTTAAGTACAGTGTAACCTTTTCCAGAAAAATTTCCTGAATTTTTTTTAGATTCAAAAAACGGAGGCAAGTTTAAGAACATTTGCCAAAGATTATGGTGATTTTAGAGTCTGTCCATGGCTTTAGTGTAGACCCTTTTTCTGGGCTAATGCAGATTTTAGAGAGAATAACAGCCTCTTTTTTTTGTTTTGACTTTCTCTGGTACTGTTTGTGCCTTTCTCCTTCACACAGTCCATTTCCTTTATGTTGTGCTGGGTCTACATCAGTAATCAGGAAAAGAGAATTAAAGTAAAATGTGTTTTTCCACCTAAAAAGTACAAATTGTTTTTTCTTTCACCTCACTTAATTTTGTTAGCCTTGCTGAAATAACTTTGAAAAACTACCAGGGAAATGTGTCAGCCAAAGGCAAGACCTGTCCAGTTTAAAATTAAAACTTTGACTTGAAGTTCTGGCAGTTTAGTTTTGAAAAATTGTTGTGTTTGGGGGAGCAATTATAGCGCTGAGTAAGAGAGAGATGAGAGCTGAAGAATTTTGAATGCACAGTAAGATTTTTGAAATGAGTGGAGGTAGGGCATCAATCCATAAACAGATACAAAAAAAATAGCAAAATAAATTTTAAAAAAAAGAGAAATAGATCTCATGTCTCAAGGAATAGTCCTTTTTGGGGTACCATCTATTTTACTTGGTGTTCATAGCTCTGTGTTATGGCTTTTATTTCTCTAAAACAAGGGGCAAAATAATTAGCACTGCTTTTGTTGTTGTTATTTTTTCTCTTGAACTAGAGTCTTGAGTTTAGATTTTTGTATATTGTACGTTTAACTTTGGGCAAGTGAGCAAATCTCCTTAATGCTCACATTTCTCATGGGTAAATAGAAGCTAAGAAAGAATACTTACCTTGCAGGTATATTGGAAGGAAGAGAAGTAAAATATATTAAATTCTGGACACTTCTAAAAGTCTAACAAAAAGTAACTGGTGGAGCTGCTATGGAGGATGGAGACTGGAGGGAGGGCTAAGGCTAGCCAAAGGGTGGAATCTTCACTGTAGGCTCCAACAGTCAGTTAAACCAGAAAGAGTTGATTGTTGGTGGAAGCCTGCTCTGGGTTGATAGAATAGATGTGCAAAGAGTGCTGACTTGGGGTCAAGGGTTATATCCAATGGTGTCACTAACCTACTCCTGGAAGCCAATGATGAGAGATCATAGAGCCCTAGGCAATGTGAGTTATAGCCTAGGGCACAGGCAGCCAAGGAAAATGTCCATCCTTTAGAGCAGATTGAGTGCATATCAACAGTGAGCTCAAAGGCTAATGGTGTACACAAATTGACTAGGGTCAACAAAGGCAGTGCACTACAGAATTGGCAGTAAACCTTTCCCTACTAGGAAAAACAAACTTTTAAAAAGAAATAAAGAATATCCAACATGGCCCAAAAGGACTTCCATCATCTATCTCCAGCCTGCCTTAATGCTCACTGTGAGCCATTCCCTTTCTCTCTGAGCCCCAATCACACACGATTTCTGTGAGCAACTTTAAGTATTACATGTCTTATATTTAAGGCTCTTTTTTTATGTAGCACTTACAAATGCCTACATTTCCTTTGATGTTTATTGAATGACCTTTTTAAAGGCAATCCTTACCTGTTAAATCTCTAATCTCTGCCAATATACTATTTTGTAATCCTGTAATATTGTGCCATCCTCCTTCTTGTCATTAATAGTAACTTAGTTAAATAAGTGAGGATCTAATTGGTCATTTAAAGTTTCTTAACTTGCTTTTTATTTTTTTTTTGAGAACAGGGATTTTGTCTATCTTATTCAGCCAGTCCTAATATGATCAGTGCTTAGCATGGAATCTTACATAACATGGGAAATTAATAAGTATTTGCTAAGTGATTGAATAGTAATCAGACAGATAAACTTAAAAGCCTTAAGTCTAAGCCTAAGAACCTTAGAAACAACAATAGGTGAGAATCAGAAAAGTCTATTACTAGGGATGGGAGAGAAAAGGAAAACAGAGATTAAATGGGGAATAAAATGAAACCAGGCTTCCTAATTTAGGGGTTTATTGATCTATTGATGAAATACTTTGAAGCTTAAATATTCTGTGCTAAAGTTAGGGCTTTAATGCATGCAATGAAGAAAGTCTGTACATGGTTTCTCCTTACGTTGTCCTGTTTTTTTTTTTTTTTAACTAATACATTTGGTGATTGCCAAACTGTGATTCAAATAAGCTTTAGTGTTAATAAAAACTGGTACCTAAACTGAGTAAAGCCACCTTGTTAGTCATATCTTTTAGTAAGAATGATGCTTAATATTGATGTCAGGTATTGAGTAATTTCATATATTTTCTCACTTAATCTTATTAACCCTCTGAGGTAAGCATTATTTGAATTTTACAGGTGAGGACGTTAAAGTTCAAAGGGGGTAAGTAATTTGTCTGAAGTTATACAGCTGTTATGGGGCAGCGCTGAAATTTGAACTCAATCATAAGTTATTGCAAAGCTCATTTTCTTAACTCTTACGCTATACTAGAAATAGTATGACTGGTGCTGGCCTGCTTTTATTGCTTTATCAGTTTAGACAAGATTTTATAAAATGGTATCCAAATGTGAATTTTTTCTATGTATCAGAAAGCCTGAGTCTTCTGGCAAGAATCTACTTAACAAGTCAGGATTATTTTTCTATGCGACTTTCCTTTCCTTTACTTCTATTACTTCTTTTAAGTAAATAAAGTGAAAGAACATATACAAACACTTTGAACTCGCCACTATATCTTGGCAGGAAATAGACTTCATATCAGTAGATTTGGAACCAAATTGAAGCATTTCCAAAGATGTTAACAGATTGCAATAAAACTTGGTACACTGGTGAGAGTAAATCTAGAAAAACAACAACAACAAAAAGCAACCCTGAAATTTAAGCAAATAAAAGGCCCGTTATATTTCAATGTAACCTTTTTGTTTGTCTGCTTTCCTGTTCTCTCTTCTCTCATGTTAATTGTATTTCATTAGCTTCTATTATTTCTCATTAATTTATTTTAAATATTTTTCAGACCAATATCTTCTTGCATCTCTTCCTCGAATAATGGTTTTCCAAGCTTCCATGTTTATAGACTTGGCCCCTCTCCACGGTCCTGTCTATACATTGCTATGAATTTACATACTCTGCCCCTTCCTGCCAAAGACTGGATCTAGAGTATGCTAATAATGATTCCTTCATAGAATTACAAGGCTCTCAAGGAGACTGCATTTTGCATTTATTTCCAGCTTATGGCCAATTATCAAATAAAGAAAACTTATGTTTTACTCTGCATAAAGAACTGGATGAAAGTGAAATAGTACATTGTTGGGATATTTGACCCTTTTATACTCATCAGTGTTTAAAATTCCTTTAGTAGAAAAGTTTACATGAAGTAAAATGTGCACATCTGAAGTGAATTTTAAGAGGCCTGACAAATTTATCCACCCGTGTAAGCTACACTCCTATTAAGATATAGCTGCCGCACCAAAAAGTTTTTTCCTCCATGATCCTTCTCCATAAATCCTCCTCAATTCACAAAGGCAAATGCTTTACTGATTTTTTTTTACTATAGTTTGCTTATTGCAGAGGTTAAATAAATGCAATCCCACAGTAAGTATTCTGTAAATGACTTGTTTCATGCAGCATAATGTCTATAAAATTAATTCATATTGTTGCTTATGTATAGCAATAGTTCATTAATTTTTATTGCTGAATAGCATTTTATTGTATTTATACTGCAATTGTTTTCCCATTTTCCTGGTGCTGAGATATGGATTGTTTCCAATTTGGGACTCTTAAGAATAAGGCTGCTAGAAACACTCTTGTACAAGACTTTTAGAGAATGTATGTTTTCATTTCTCTTGGATAAATACTTAGTCATTGAATTATTGGGCCATAGGATACATGTCTATAGACATTTGTAAGAAAGTACCAAAAACATTTAGATCCCCATCATCACTGTCTGAGTGTTCTGGTTGTTACACATTGTCAACACTTGGTTTTGTCAGTCTTTAAATTTTAGCCATTCTATTAGGTGTTTGGTAGTACTTCATTGTGACTTTAATTTGCATTCCCTTGGTGACTAATGATGTTGAAGTCTTTTTGGTTTTATTAACAAGTTGAATATCTTACTTTCAAAGTGTCTAGTTTTTTGTCCTTCTTTCTCTAATGGAGCTGTCTTTTCATTGTGGAGTTTCAGGAGTTCTTCATATATTCTAGATGCAAGTCCTATTTGGCAAATATTTTTCCTAGCCTGCAGCTTGCTTATACATTTTCTTAATGCATTTTGATGAGAAGTTTTAAATGTTGATAAAGCATAATTTAATTTTTCCTTATGATTATTGCTTTCTGTGTACTGCTACAAAATCTTTGCCTATTTGCAGGTTGCAGTGGAACTCTTCTTATGTTTTCTTCTAAAAGCTTCATAAATTTAGCTTTTCCCCAAATTTCTTACCTAATTGTTTACATTTTTTTACCTAAAATATTACACTTTGCAATGGGCTACATAGATACCCAGTAGATGTTCTTTCTATGTTAGTTATCAATGAACCATACTACTCCTGACTCTTTTGCAAGTATTTGACTCCATTTTTCCTTCTTCATCCCTCTAGTCTAAAGGAAAGGTTTTATATAAATACTGTGTATAATTTAGGATCTCGTCAGAAAGGAAAAACTACCCTTAGTATTTCAGACAAAGAGAATTTAATTCAGAGTTGGTTACAGGAATGTTGGGGAGAGGAGTTAGAGAAACAAGAGGGGAAAGTAGTTTTACCAGATGCTTAGTAACTGTGGACTCCAGAGTTGAAGGAGCAAAAGAGAAGCAGATCTTTCCCAGCTCTTGAGGTCACTGCTGTTACAAGTTCCTGCTGTTAGCACTAGGACCTGCCCTCCCAGGCCTCTGGCATTGTGTCTCCTGTCATTAATGCTAATCCTGCTCCCCTGCTGCTGAAGATGACACTGGAAACTGGGAAGATGAAGAAAGTCACTCTTCTGTCTCTCTTTTCTTCAATCTCCCAACAGTGCCTTTCATTGGCAGAACTGAAACAGAAACTAATTTTTAAGGGAGTCTGGGAAATAGAATCTGTAGATTTCTAGCCACTAAAATAGAGAGAAGAGCACATCAAAACAAGAAATTGGCTAATAGCACCAAAATAATTGACCAGCATAGAAGCCATCAGGTCCTGTCTCATAAAATAGCTTTTTGGGTTGTAGGACTTTAAGTCTACAATCATCATGTTGCTGCAGATGACTGATGGACAGCAAATATTTGTTTGAGGCCTTCCCATGCCTTCCCTAAGATTCTGTGCAGCTTATTTAAGTCATGAACCAAACAAAAACCTCAGTAAAATACTATTTTTATCCTTACTCCTCCCACAAAATATAAATCAGGACATAAAGCGAGAGCCATCTGCTGAGGAAGTCCTGACCAAGCAGGTTCCCAAGGCCCCCCTCATCTATATTCACAGCTCCAGGGCTTCTCTGGGCTTTGAGGTCATTGAGCTGCTGACTGGAGCAATCCCACAGCCTCATGTGGCCAGAAAAATGTTTGTGGAGACAAAAATTATACTATAAAATTATAATCCCTTCCCATATAATTGCATTGAATAATACAAACAGGAGAATGAACCAGTGTAAAACATTCTAGGGAGGAGAAGCACTCCAGAATGGTGGCATGAGGAGCTGTGCAAAGTCTCCCCAGAAAAACAACTGTAACAAGTAAGTCAAATTTGCAAACAAACAAACAAACAAACAAAAAAACAAAGTCTCAGAAAATTATCTTAAGCAAATGGAAAAAGAATTTATGCAAGAAAATCTATGAAATCTTGGTGAGAACAGTGGGCATCTGTGGCATCTGAGCAATGGCCCCACTCTCTTCCCGCCTCCAGCCCTGTGTGATGGAAGTCTCTGGACAGATACAGCCAAGAATAGGAGGCACAGTCAGGGGTCTGTCTTTACTTGGAATAAAGTGTGAGGGAAGTTCAAGCCTGAAGGCACTGTGAAAATAATGGAGATTTTAGCTAAGAAGCACCTTTCTAGAGTATAAGCCAGCCTCAAAGACTGGCCTTAAAAACTATCCCTGCAAAGGGTTCATGCATTATTTGATCATATTTTGGGACAATTTTAAGATCCATGACATTGTTGAAAACAAGAGGGCAATCAGCTAGCAGTTGGTAAAGGTTAATGTCTAGGTGTGATACCAATAGAGAGATACCAGCCAGAAACTCACAATGAGATAAGGGACATCAGCGAAAGACACTGTCAGAGAGGTCAGGTAAAAGCACTGTTATCCCTGGGATGGGAGGAGGGAGTCAAGGTGAATATGCATGCCCAAAGTTGCACCCTCTGAGAAGGGACACTCCAGGCTCTACACTGTAGGAGAAAAATAGACCTCAATGGACAGAGCCCTAAAATATATGAAGCAATAACTGACAGAATGGAAGGGAGAAACAGACGATTTAACTATAATAGTTGGAGGTTTCAAAATCTCACTTTTAATAATGGAGAAAATAAGTAGGCAGAAGATAAACAAAGATATATGACTTGAACAGCACTATAAACCAGTTAGCCTTAACATACATCTCTAGAACACTCTACCCAATAGCAACAGAATACACATTTATCTCAAGCACACATGGTACATTTTTTAAGACAGACCATAGGTTAGGTCAAAAAACAAAACTCAATAAATTTAAAGGGATTGAAATCATGCAAAGTATGTTCTCTGACCTTGAGAGAATGAAATTTAAAATAAAACCTAACAGGAGGAAACTTGGGAAATTCACAGATATGTAAAATTAAGCCACACACTTCTAAGTATCCAATAGGGCAAACAAGAAATTACAAGGGACATTATAAAATTCTTAGAGATAAATGAAAATTTATAAAAAGAAAGTAAAACGAAACAGCCAGGTGCTATGGCATGCTCAAATCCTGGGCTCAAGTGATCCTTTCACCTCAGCCTCCCAAGTACCTGGGATTATTACTCCCAAGTACCAGGAGTTTGAGACCATCCTGGGTAACAGAGCAAGGCCCCGTCTAAACTTAAACTTAAAATTAAAACAAATAAACAAAAGCCTCATATTTTGGGATGAAGCAAAACTAGTGCTTATAAATACAATTTATAGCCATAAACACCTTTAATATAAAAAAGGCCCAAATCAACCTTAAGAAACTTGAAAAAGAAGAACCAACGAAACGTAAATTAAGCAGGCTGAAGGAACTAATAAATGTCAAGTCAGGAATTAATGAACTAGAGAATAGAAATACATAAGGAAAAAAAAATCAATGAAACTGAAACTTATTTTCTATTTTTGAAATCAACCAAAGTGACAAGACTTTAGGGCAAATGAACAAGAGAAAAAGAAAGAGGACTCAAATTACTATAATTGAGAATGAGAGATTAGATCTCACTGTCAACATTATGGAATGAAAAAGATTAGAAAGAAATATTTTTAAAGAATTTTTAAAAAATGATTACTTAGACAAAATGGATAAATTCCTATAAAGACCCAAATAAAAAATAGAAAATATGAATTAGACCTATATAAAACAAAATAGATAATTTTAAAACTCCTTGAAAAAAGCCAATGTCCAGTTCCTTCACTGGTGAATTCTAACAAATATTTTAAAAATTAAGATGAATTATTCACAAACACTTTCAAAAATAGAATAGGAGATGCATTTCCAGTGTATTCTATGAGGTCAGTATTACTCTGATACAAAAACTGGAGAAAGAAATTACAAGAAAAAAATACAAACCAATATTGCAAATGAATATAGACCAAAAATCTTCAATAAAATATTACCAAACTGGATCCAGTAAGACGCAAAGAGTAATTTACAATAAACAAGTGTGATTTATCACAGGAATGCAAGGTTGTTTTAAAATATGAAATTCAATCACTGTCTTATGCCATATTCATAAAATAAAGAATAAAAACCACATGATTATTCCAATATGTGCAGTGAATGTATCTCAACAAATTGCAAAAGCTTGTAAAGAAAAAGGAAAAGTTCTCATCTTGATAACGAACACCTATTAAAAAAAAAACCCTGCAGTTAGCATCATTAATGGTATTTTTTCCCCTAAGATCAAGAATAAGACCAGAATCTCTGTTCTTGCCACTTCTATTCCATCCACATTGTATTGAAAGTACTAGTCAGGCCAATTAGATTAAAATAAATAAATAAATTTTATTCATATTGTAAAGACAGAAGTAATATGATCTCTTTTCACAGACAACATGACCTTGTATATAAAAATGTCTAAAGAAATCACTAAATACCTATTGCAATTAATAAGCAAGTTCAGTAAGCAAAGATCAATCTAAAAAATTAATTATCTTTCTATAGTCTAGCAATGGACAATGAAAATAAAATCTGAAAATTAATGGCATTCACAGCAACCTGGATGGAATTGGAGAATATTATTCTAAGTGTAATAACTCAGTAATGGAAAGCCAAACATTGTATGTGCTCATTCAAAAGTGGGAGCTAAGCTATGAGGATGCGAAGACATAAGAATGACACAATAGACTTTTAGGACTCAGCAGGAAAGTGTGGGAAAGGGATGAGGGATAAAATACTCCAAGGTGGGTTCAGTGTACACTGCTCGGGTGATGGGTGCACCAAAAGCTCACAAATCACCACTCAAGAACTTACTCACGTAACCAAATACCACCTGTTCCCCAAAAACCTATGAAAATAAAAAATTTTAAAAAAGGTATCAAAAATAATTTTTAAATGTAGAAATACATTTTATAAAAGATGTACAAAACTTATGAAAACAACAAAACTGTTTTGAAGGGAATTGAAGACATTTAAATAAATAGAAAGATATCCCATGCTCATGAATCAGAAGACTTAAATTATGAAGATGACAAGATTCCCCAAATTGATCTACAGATTCAATGAATTTCCTAACAAATTCCCAGCTGGCTTTTTCAAAACTTGATAATCTGATCATACAACTGATATTAAAAATGCAAGAGACACAGAATGGCAGAACAATCTTGAAAAAGAAAAACAAGTGTCAGGACTCACGTTTCTCGATTTCAACACTTTAAAGCTACAATAATCAAAACCATGTGGTACTAACACAAAGATGAACAAACAGACTATAAAATAGATTGAGAATAGAGAAATAAACATTTACATGTATGGTCAATTGATTTTTGACAATGCTGCCAACAATTCAATGGAGAAAGAATCGTTTTTTAAGAAATGGTACCCGGACAACTGGATATCCACATGCCAAAAGATGAAGATGGATGCCTTCCTCATATCATACATAAAAATTAACTCAGAATGAATCTTAGACCTTAATGTGACAGCTACAACTATAAATTCCTAGAATAAAATTTAAGAGAAAATTCTTATAGTATTTTATTAAGTAATGGTTTCTAGGTACAATACCAAAACCACAAACTGTAAAAGAAAAATAGATGCATTGGACTTCATCAAATTAAACAACTTTATGCTTCCTATGACACAATCAAGAAAGTGACAAGAAAATCCATAGAATGGGAGAAAATAGTTTTAAATGATGTATTTGATGAGGAGTTAATACCCAGCATAAAGAATTCTTAGTATTCAACAATAAAAACACAACAAGGCAATTAAAAAATGGGAAAAATCTTTAAGTAGACATGTACCCAAAGAAAATGTGCAAATGGCCAATAAGCATATTAAAAGATCCTCAATATCATTAGTCATATAGAAAATGTAAATCAAAACCATGATGAGATACAACTTTACACCCAGTAGGATGACTAAAAATGACAAGACGTAACCAGTGTTGGCTACAATGTAGAGAAATGGGAACCTTAACATATTGCTTGTGAGCTTGTAAAATTGTACAGCTACTTTGGAAAACATTCTAGCAGTTCCTCAGGATAGTAAACATAGATTTACCATATGACACTCAACAATTCTACTCTTTTATTATACCCAAGAGAAATGAAAATATGTCGACAAAAATTTCGTACCTGAATATTCTTGGCAGCACTATTCATAATTATGAAAAATCAGAAACATCCCAAATACGAATTAACTGTTGAATGGATAAACAAATTGTGATATATTCATACAACAGAATATTCAGCAATAAGACATGAAATACTGATATATGCCACAATATGGATGAAACTTGAGAATATTATGCTAAGAAAGGAGACAGTCACAAATGAAAACATTGTGTAATTTCCTTTATATGTAATGATCAAAATAGATATACATGCAAACAAGAAAACGTAGATTAGGGCATGTGGTTTTTGCATGGACAATGAAAATATTTTAAAATTATGTAGTGGTGATGGTTGCAAAATTTTGTGAATATATTAAAACTATTGACTTGTACACTTCAACAAGTAAATTTTAAGGTATTTGAATTACATCTCATAAAGCTTTAATAGCAAGTAAGCAAACAAACATAACACCTGAGGAAACTCTATTTGATTCTCAAACACTGAAATGTTTTTCTTGGCGATTCTTATTTACATAAAAGCCTGTAAGAGCCACTATGATGATAAGCACTTTACATATATATTTTCACTTAATCTCACTTAATAACTATAGCAACTCCATGAACTGAGTGTATTGTTTTCCCTGCTTCGTAGATGATATAACAGACACTGAGAAAGGTTAAAGCCATTGGTCGAATTCACATTATTACTAAATCTCACAACCAAGTTATTGTTCTTAACCATTGTGTTGTTGTACTGTTCACTCCACCCTAGCACCTCAGATAGGACACTTAGATGCTTTTGACTGTGAAGGACCTACATCACTAGATGTTGTGCACAATTCCTATGCTCCTTAGAGAAATTTCAGAATTCCAGTAACAGTAGTGGCACAAAGGAGATTTTGGCTGACCAACAGTATGTTTGGAATAATAAACTAATTGCTTGTTAGCTCTAACTTTTTGGCATGAAGAGAGGTACAATAAGCATGCAGTTCAAACAACTCACAGTGCTCTATGTTTTCTCTTTCTTTTCAAATATGACAACTTATCAAATAATAATATTCATTTTTTAAGGTGTCTTTATGGGTTCTCCTTTGTTACTTATGCAATGATGCATGGTGTAGGTTGCAAACCCACAAATCATAATATTGAACCCAACAGAAAAGAAGTTATCAACACCAACTAATGACAATTAACAAAATAAAGTGATGAAAAGTAATCAACAGATCATTTTATGTACTCTTTCAAATTAATAAACAATTGGGTTCAAGTTTGCCTTTTAAGTAGAATTACTCAATTCAAAGCCCCACAAAAGTATGTATAAGGACACAACTTACAATTCAAAGGGATGCCAAAGTCATACAGATCAATGAAGTCTTTGCAGATTAATAAAGTGATGGCTCAAGAAACTCTTCTTTCTTCAATGTCACAAAACTAAGCAGAGATAGAACCAGAGCTAGAATCTAAGTCTCCTGGTTTCCAGCCTAGTTGCAATGTTGCTCTCTCCCGTTTAATCCCAATGGACTCAGAACAATAATATAATGTGGGTACATTCAGCTTTTATTTATACTTGACAAAGTAGAAAACAATTTCTTATCAAATGTTGAAGTAAAAGGAATGTTGATTAGTCAACATTTTATGAAGATTTATTAATTTTGTCTCAGTTATTCTTACATTTATTTAAACATTGATTACCTCTCTCTTTCTCAAGAAAACAATCTTTCTCTGGCTCCCTAACTGTAGTACCAAAATATAGGAGTTTATTTTACTAATAGTACAGAATTAAGGAAGACAGCTAAAGATTAGAGAAAGGGATGCTGTAAGAGATCACTGGAGAAATCGAGAAAATAAGATGTTAAAAACCTAAAAAATAATATTCTCAACATACAGAGAGAAAGTTCACTTAAAAACAAACTTTGAAATGTAAACAGAACCCTCTTTTTTTCTAGCAATAATGCTGAAATAGTACAAATCCCATCATCAAATATCACAGGGCAGCAATTACTTGTGTAATATGACAACATTAGTCTAAGTTCTTAAAGCAGAGAGAGTATCACAAGAAGCTATTTATGTTACATGTTAGGCTCTTTTGGCATTAATTCTCATTGGGTTTGGCATCATTTCCAATCCACAGAATTGACAGGATATGACATCGTAAACTGTATTTTCTAGAATTTCTTTGTGAATAATTGTATAACATTCCTTTGATTGTTACTTTCTATTTGTTGATGAATCCTTTTATATTTTGATTACTTTGTCCCCAAGCTAGATTGTTCCTCTTTCTTCTTAATCTGAATATAGCTAATGGATAATTACAAATTAGTGGAATGTGCTTCTGATATAATCTGTAATCACTTATTTCAATAGTGGCAACAAATTCTAATCTTAAAATCTGATGGTAAGTATGTGGTCTTTAATAAAATCCAATGAGAACAGTAAATAAAAAAAACAACTTAAGTGAAAAAAAAAAAGACTTTATGGCAAATTTTTAAAAATGACTTTTTTTCAGCTACTTTCCTAAGAGGAAGAATTGTAAGACATTACTCATTCATTCACTCATTCATTCATCGTTTATATTGTTCTTTATTCAAGCCATTAAGGTTTACATTGTCTAATATTTTTTGACTTGCTTCTCACCTTCACCTTCATTAATATTGCAATCGAATAGAATGTGAGTAAAAAAATATGTACCTCGATTATTTTTCTTTGACTTCCAAGACACGGATTTAAACTATATATGCATATATGGTGTATGGTGTATTTGCTATTTATATAAAGAAACACATCATATATATATGATTTATAGATGTAATATATCATTTTAAATAAAAGTAATCTATTTTCATTATAAAAAATTCTGGAAGATGCGGACAGTTGTTTTTAACTATCTATGCTCCCAGCACTTAGAATTACCCAATCTTAATACTTTTATTTATTTTCCTCTAGCCTAAATAAATGTCTGAAATAAAGGTTATATGTTTACTTTCCATCCTCATCATAACCAAGTGGAACTGTACTGCCACAGAGTCACAATAATATAAAGATCATTTTCTAACACAGCAGCCAATTAACATGATGAAAAGTCTAAGGGTAGCATAAAGCTTGATCTTTATGAATTTGAAGTGGCATGCTCAGTTTAGACAGATTAATTAAAACAACCAGGTACATGTTCTTATCATATTCGATTCACATCTTCCAGTATTAAGGTTGTATTAGGTTTTAAAAATGAGGAATTAATCCAGAGAGGTGCTAATTAAATGTAAATAAAGGCCATTATCAACTTCTCAATGGAACTCAACTGGTATTATTATATCAAATAAAACTGGTGTCAATCAGATGCCCAGGTGCATGACCTCTTAATTTTCAGCTTTAGGTTTTTCAAAGAACCATTATTGACTAGATAAATTTAATTACATATTCATAGAAAGGTTTGCTGACCATTTTCTTGGATAGCACAGAATATGCTGCAACATAACTATTTATTCCCTCAAAACAAAGGTTTGTTTCATCAACAAAATGACTTTAGACTATAATTCATATCAAGCTGTTCAGTTCACCCAGAACATTCCTGGAGTACAATTATGGATTTTTTTCCAGGAAAGTGATCCAAGGAAATTTCACATTTTACAAGTGTGTGCTATGAAATATGCTCTTACTCGCCTTTCTCACTCAATTTTGTTTGAACATATCTAAGTGTCCATAGGTATTAAAAATGAATATTCCATATCAATTTCATAGATATATGAAGCAAAATGACTTTTTTCTGTGAAAAGAAAAAAGGGATTCAAATGACAGAATTCTGGTCTTGAAAATGAATGTTTTTGAAAAATAGTCTTGAAATATTATGATTAATAATAATTAGCCTAGGCTAAATAGTATTACCATTTGTTTGCCATTGTTTAGAAAAGTGGAAAATTGCAGTTATAATTGTTCTCCTCTTATTTTAACTACTCTTTATTGCTTGCACTAAGCATATGGTTGATTACGATGTTTGATGAATTTCAGAAGTTGAGGTTGCCTCTAAGACCCAAACTTTTAGGTTGTTTTTAAGTTCTCTATAAAACCATGACCATACTTAATTGTTGGTGTAAGTCAAGTTAGAGCATTTTGTTTTATCTAATTATTGGGTATCTTTCACATTTCCTTACATTAAAGATCTGCTACCTGAATAATGCTGTTTTAAACATAAGCATCCAAATAATACAACTACCTAGTAATGTTGTAAGTTCTCAACAAACGTTTATTATTTTGAATGGATTTAGAAGCTCTCAAGGAGCTTAAATGTCAGACAGTGAGACAAAAATAAAGCAAACAAAAAACATTCCTAATGCAAACACAATAAGATACTTTAATAGAACAGTCTTATAAAAACTGAAGCCATCCCATAACTACATTGGTAAGAAGAAAACTTACATTTGTGATATGTTTACCCTCTCTGGAAGTAGAACTAATTATCTCCATGTGCTTTCTCCATAGGTTTCTGGAACTGAAATAATAACATCATGTCTTGTTATTGGAACAATATATCAAAAGACAAGCAAATATAAAGCTAATTCTCTGTGGAATGATACTTTCAAGTTGGAATTTATGTTACATTAACCTATTGTTTGAGAGGTTATATATGATGATATTTTTGCCTTAAATATTATTTGACTAGTGTGGGTTTACCAAGCTAACTATGCCAATAAAGAAATTCTGGAATATACTTTCTGTTACATACTTTGAAGGATTTTTCTCAGTGAGATAAACTAACAAGTCTAATTACTTCCAAGTCTTTAGGACATTTTTCAATTAGATCTTAAGCCAAATAAAGCTATCAATAGCACGTCTTTAAGCCTAGGGATGGAGATTTTGGCTCACTCTTAGACCAGAGAGAGAAGGTCAGGTATGTTGCTTCCCCCAGGCTTTCTATCTTTCCTAAGCCTGCTAATGAGAGCTTCACCAGATGAGGAAATTCCTTATTTGGTGTAATCCAAAATCAGAGAATTTACAGACATGACTAATCGAAGATTATAGGCAAAGATTGTAGGCAAAGATTGTTGATGAAAAACACATTACTTTTGGATCAGTTAAATCTAGGTATAAACTTTGTTTCTGCTACTTACTAGCTGGGTGACCTCAGGGAAGTTGTTTACCTCCTCTGAAACGTAAGGATAATAATGACTACTATTTAAGGTTATTGTAAGAATATCATGTAACTACCTAGGATGGTGTCTGGCATTCAAAAAAAAAGGATCAGAAAATGTTACCCATATTTTTATTTGATCAATAATGTATATAATATAAACTTAATGTTTTAAGGGAGTAGAAATAGTAGAAATGTTTTGAGAGAGTAGCAATACTTTCACACATACATTATTAAAAACAATAACAGCAACGTCAAAAACCTCCCAAAAATATACTATAAAAGACAAACCCAAGTAGAGAAATGGTGCATTGCTAATGTATTATTGCTAATGGTGACATGTTAAGTATTTTAAAGATTCCAGTAAACGCAATGCAGGGATTTTTAAATAAGACTCTATGGTAGCCTATTAAAAAGAAAGGTATCTCCATGAAGAAAAGTTAATGACATTTGGAAACTGATTTGTGGAGTGAAAATGCAGAATTTCTGTAGAAATGGGTGACTCATAAAGGGTAGTAAGAACCCATGATAAATTGAAGAAGAATCCTTATTGCGGGAAATATCAAGCTTGAAAGCTTTGCAAGTAAAAGGAAGAGAAAACAGAAAAGAAAGACAAGCAGAAAGCAACCCAAGTCTTGCTAAAGTGTATAGACATAGGCAACTCTGCTCAGCGAAGCCAAATGAAGCCAGGGTGCTCAGGGCCAACAGAGCACTTTATGTAAAGGGCCAGGAGATGGAGAGTGAACTTTGAAACACTCACTTACCAGAAAATCCAAGAAGGTCCTAGTCGGTAAACATAAGCTCTTTTTCATCAGTAAATGCATTTTGTATATTCTTATTACTCATGAGACTAGCGTACTGTTAACCTACAGAAATAACTTATGTTTTATTATTATTATACTACAATTAATTACAGAAAGTGACCTTGACTATAGTATTTGAGACTGTTCTTAGGCAAGTGTTATTTAATAAAAAGAGAGAAAGGACTTTTGGTAAATCATGTAATTTTAGTTCTTGGGGATAAAAGGCCAAATGAAATTCATAATACTCCTAGAAACCTAACTCAAATAGGAAAAAACTTTCTCATATGACTTTGGATGTTTTTCTACTTCATGAGTCTTTTCTGTGCATTTGACTAGTACGATCCTTCCCCAATCACAAATAATATATATATTTTAAAATCTCATTCAATCAGTCTCATGTCATTCACATAGAGTGTATTGTTCTGAACTAGTCATTTGATTGGTGATGATGGATGCTTTGCCAGAATGAGTTAGGTCATACAAAATAGGGAAGTGGTTATTTGGAAAATGAAAAGTAACAGAGATTATATAACTCAACTCACTATATTCAGGATGAGTTTTACCTTTTTAATCACATTTATTCAAAGGGATTTTTAAAACTTCTCATTTATAGTACAAAAGTAAGGAATTAAGATAATGACAAATCCTGATACTCAAAGAAAATATTCTAAATAGAAGAAAGGTAAGAATAATACTTTTATTGAGTATAATTATCAAGTTTTACCTTAGGGGTGGATGGATAGGAAAAGGACACTCCACATTGATTTTAATTTATTTCCATAAGACCACAGTTACATATTAACAGTCTAATATCAATGCAAACTTTTCAAATGCTAAATCAAGAAGTGCTTTTTAGCAATTTATAATGCTTTTTATATTTATAATTTGCAGAAAACTAAAGTAAGGGGGTTTTATCATATAATTCCCATATACCAGTACACAGGGCACTGCCTTCTGTGAATTAAGTGAAATATTTCTTCAGTGATTCCATCTTTTCTATCTTCGCCTTTTCTAAATTTCAGCAGCTCCTCTTCTCTTTTCTCTTTTCCTTTTTCCCAGCATTTCTAACAATTCTAATATATATTTTAAAAGATTTATCAAGAAAAAAATACTGAAAGCTTTTCTTTAAATTCTAGAACAACTGCACTTTGGAATAAATTACAAAATTGATATATTTCTATCAAAGACACAGTTAGCACTTTGAAAATTATTAGGTTCAAAAATTATCAGATTCTTACACGGAAATGTAAGAGCAAAAAATTTTTTTAGTCCAAAGTCAAAGAGAAGATTTAATAAGCTATATGAAGAGAAACTATAAATATTTTAAACAAATAACATTATTAATTTTTAAAAGAATAATTTTATAGGCCAGGTGCAGTGGCTCATGCCTGTAATCCCAGCACTTTGGGAGGCCGAGGTGGGTGGATCACGAGGTCAGGAGTTTGAGGCCATCCTGGACAAGATGGTGAAAGCCCGTCTCTACTAAAAATACAAAAATTAGCCAGGCAGGGTGGTGGGCGCCTGTAATCCCAGCTACTAGGGAGGCTGAAGCAGGATAATTGCTTGAACCCAGGAGGCAGAGGTTGCAGTGAGCAGAGATCACACCACTGCACTCCAGCCTGGGCAACAGAGCAAGACTTAATCTCAAAACAAATAAAAAATAAAAAAAAAGAATAATTGTGTATTGATTAAAAAAATTAGTCATGCTCTTTGGTCTTTGGCAATATAGTGCTGTGGTGAGGAATGAAGTTTTGGGATCAGATCTTTATTTCTTTATTCCCTAGCTTACTGACATTCCGGAAGTTATTTTACTCCAATAAGCCTCAGCTTACTCATCTGTAAAATTGTAATATCATTGTATCATTTTGAATATTGAATGTGATAACAAATGGAAGACATTTAGCATATGAGTTACTTGATATCTATGAGCTAATATTATTTATCTATAAACTAATTCAACTATTTACAAAAGAAATTTTATTTATGTATTTCATATATTTATTTATTTATTTATTTTCTGAGACAGAGCCTTGCTCTATCGCCCAGGATGGAGTGCAATGGCGTGATCTTGGCTCACTGCAACCTCCGCCTGCTGGGTTCAAGCAATTCTACTACCTCAGCCTCCCAAGTAGCTGGAATTACAGGCACCTGCCACCACACCTGGCTAATTTTTTCTATTTTTAGTAGAGGGGTAGTCTCACTATGTTGGCCAGGCTGGTCTTGAACTCCTGACCTCAGGCGATCTGTCCACCTCAGTCTTCCAAAGTGCTGAGATTACAGGTGTAAGCCACTGAGCCCAGCCAGGAATTTTAAAAGGTCATAATAGATGTGTCCTTAGAATATAGTTATGTTGAAATTTCTGTTTGTATAGAAAAAAACTATATAATCTAAAAGGAATAAATGCTTCAAGAATTCTAAGGAAAAGATATTTCAAAAATCAACATTTATTTTTTCAGTGGTATATCCTGGTTTTATTTTCTTAAGAGAATTACAATTATATTATTATGTTGGTACAAAAGTAATGGCGGTTTTTGCCATTACTTTTGCACCAACCTAATATTAATACTACTTTGTTTAGCAAAGATGGAATTTACTTGCTAATGATCTTTTATCAGGTCACTCTTCACACAGTAGCATTTATTGTTTTGACCCTGGGAAATAGGTGAGCTTGTATTCTGTGAAGCCTCTGACCTTTCTCCTTTCCAGTATCTGCTCTTATGTTTTTCAAGGCTATTATCATCTTTTAAAAAAAATGGTTCATGCACCAAAAAAGAGCCCGCATTGCCAAGTCAATCCTAAGCCAAAAGAACAAAGCTGGAGGCATCACACTACCTGACTTCAAACTATACTACAAGGCTACAGTAACCAAAACAGCATGGTACTGGTACCAAAACAGAGATATAGATCAATGGAACAGAACAGAGCCCTCAGAAATAATGCCGCATATCTACAACTATCTGATCTTTGACAAACCTGAGAAAAACAAGCAATGGGGAAAGGATTCCCTATTTAATAAATGGTGCTGGGAAAACTGGCTAGCCATATGTAGAAAGCTGAAACTGGATCCCTTCCTTACACCTTATACAAAAATCAATTCAAGATGGATTAAAGATTTAAACGTTAAACCTAAAACCATAAAAACCCTAGAAGAAAACCTAGGCATTACCATTCAGGACATAGGCGTGGGCAAGGACTTCATGTCCAAAACACCAAAAGCAATGGCAACAAAAGACAAAATTGACAAATGGGATCTAATTAAACTAAAGAGCTTCTGCACAGCAAAAGAAACTACCATCAGAGTGAACAGGCAACCTACAACATGGGAGAAAATTTTCGCAACCTACTCATCTGACAAAGGGCTAATATCCAGAATCTACAATGAACTCAAACAAATTTACAAGAAAAAAACAAACAACCCCATCAAAAAGTGGGCGAAGGACATGAACAGACACTTCTCAAAAGAAGACATTTATGCAGCCAAAAAACACATGAAGAAATGCTCATCATCACTGGCCATCAGAGAAATGCAAATCAAAACCACTATGAGATATCATCTCACACCAGTTAGAATGGCAATCATTAAAAAGTCAGGAAACAACAGGTGCTGGAGAGGATGCGGAGAGATAGGAACACTTTTACACTGTTGGTGGGACTGTAAACTAGTTCAACCATTGTGGAAGTCAGTGTGGCGATTCCTCAGGGATCTAGAACTAGAAATACCATTTGACCCAGCCATCCCATTACTGGGTATATACCCAAATGAGTATAAATCATGCTGCTATAAAGACACATGCACACGTATGTTTATTGCAGCACTATTCACAATAGCAAAGACTTGGAACCAACCCAAATGCCCAACAATGATAGACTGGATTAAGAAAATGTGGCACATATACACCATGGAATACTATGCAGCCATAAAAAATGATGAGTTCATATCCTTTGTAGGGACATGGATGAAATTGGAAACCATCATTCTCAGTAAACTATCGCAAGAACAAAAAACCAAACACCGCATATTCTCACTCATAGGTGGGAATTGAACAATGAGATCACATGGACACAGGAAGGGGAATATCACACTCTGGGGACTGTGGTGGGGTCGGGGGAGGGGGGAGGGATAGCATTGGGAGATATACCTAATGCTAGATGACACATTAGTGGGTGCAGTGCACCAGCATGGCACATGTATACATATGTAACTAACCTGCACAATGTGCACATGTACCCTAAAACTTAGAGTATAATAAAAAAAAAAAATAAAATAAAAAAAAAAAAATAAAAAAAAAAGAATTGTAAAAAAAAAAATTATAAATAAAACAAAGAAGAATATGTGAGAGGAAAAAAAAAAAAAAAAAAAAAAATGGTTCATGCTAAGGAGCTAATAAAAAAAAAAAATTTCTCTCTCCACAAAAAAGAAGACAACTTGTTTCCCATTTGAATCCCAGTTCTGCCACTTGTTAAGTATATGATCTTGGTCAAGTTATATAACCTGTTGGTTTCTGTGTGTGTGTGTTTTTTTTTTTCTCATTTGTAAAGTGAGGACAATAGGAGAGTTGTGGGGTGTTTAGAGAATTAAACGACTATTGTATTAGAGGGAAGGGGAGAAAGGGACAGAAAGTGAAGAAAAGAAGGGAGAGAGGAACAAGTCAGGAAGGAAAACCAGATCAGCTGATGAAGACAACTCAGCACAAAAGGCAGACGTGATAATATTGGAATTTCTGGCTTTAATAAGAAGCTACTAGTATAGAGGACCTTGCTGAACAGTGTAGTTGTGTCTAAGAGGGGCTCTACCTTTATATTGCTCTTTTTCCTTTTCCTCTGCTTAACATTCAGCAAGGGTAACTTTAATGATTTAAACAACAATGGAAAATGGAGGAGAGAAAATGAAGAAAATGTCCACTATGCAATGAGGAATTTTTTTAAAGGGATGGTTCCAACTGGAATGGAGTGAACGGTGTTGTTGGAATAGTGCCCTCAGCAGGCAGAGAGTATACATATCTACAGTGTATAAATATCTCAAAATTATTTCACCATGTGATATCGTTTATTCCCTTTTATCGCATACATTTTTTAGTCTTATTTAAAAGTTAGAATATGTTTTTAGAATAAACATATGTAATAAATAAAAAATGTTTTCCTTTCTTTTTTCTATTTGAAATGTAATCTTGGTAATTAAAGAAATGATTTTGGGGTACACAGATTCTTTTGATAATTATCACTTAGGAGGGATACAGGAATTGCCCATAACCCATACCTTTCAAAAGGATGTTGAAGTAACAAGTGATCCCACAAGAAAGCTATGCCACCCTTGGATGAGACACCCAAGAAGTTAGAAACAAAAGTCTCCTAATGGTGATAGGAAACTGCAGCATGGAACTAATTGGAAATCATGTTTGTAATACAGAATGGTGTTTGTATTGTTTAAGATTTGTGAATATTTATTATATTTTCAAAGTATTTCTCAGTGAGCCTGGTGAAGGCACTAATCAATCAGAACAGACATCTGAACCCTTAGAAAGGACACTTATCAGTCAGGACACATGCTGGCCATTACAGAGTATGTAGGACAGATGCTCAGCCTGCTTTTAGGAAGGAAGCCTCAAAGTTCACTTTATCTACTTCATGATGCTGGAGGGCCTCCTGGCCAATGACATTAAGGCAGTCCAATGGATTTCCACCTGCACTGTATTTAGCCTGTGATCCCACAGAAAACCAGGACTATTATATCTTTCAATATGATATATGTCATTAAGAATTTGATAAAAATTATTATTCTATTCTTCAGAAACGAGCACACTGCATAACACTGCCTATAATATTAGGGAGCTCAAAGATGTTAGAGTCAGCTAGACCTGGGTTTACAGCTCAATTTTGCTTCTTACTTAGCTTTGTAACCTTGAATAAGTCACTTAAGCCTTCTGAATTACTGTTTTCTCATCTGTAAAATAAAGATATTATTACCTAATCTTTAGAGCTGTTGAAAGGATAACATGAGATTCTTTCTAACTTCCTTACCTTATTCAAACTATCACAAATAAATAAGAAAAGTCTATATATAATTTTTAAAAAAATCTTCATTTGTTTGTATTTGTCTAAAGAAAAATTTGTGATACTTTTCCTTAATACAATTTTCTTTGCATGAAATTCCTTTGGAATTTTGTTAATTTCTTTTCCTTTTATATCACTCAAATCACTAAGCAGAAAATAATAGAATTGTATTGCTGTTTTGACAAGGGTGGGAGAAAATGTGTAGTTCATTTTTATTGCAGGTTTTGATTGGCTAAAAGTGTGAAAAATAATTAGTTACTCAAGTTGTCATGTAACTCTTCATGAATACAGCTCTCATTTACCATTTCCTTTAGAATCTAAGAGATGTACCTGTCTAGCTGAATATTTGCTAAATGAATCAGCAATTACTGAGATAGGATTACATGCCCACCCAATATTGACCTTCAAAATAATGAACCAAATAGCTGAGGAAGTTTATCTATATATTTTAGTAGTATTTCTTGCAATTTTGGCATTTTCTGAAACCAACTTAACATTTTCAAAATTCTTGTAATTAATGGCTATTAGCTTATAGAAAGGACAAATGTTTCCTCTCTTCCTAGAATCTCACCTTGAATTTTGGTTGCCTGCTGGGTTACAACTGCCATTTATTCAAAGTCTACTTGACATGGTCTTTTGTTGCTGCAAAAAAACCCACAGAGTCCTTGTTTGCAGACTTTGTTTTCATATATTTTATGTAACATGTACAACAAAGTCAACATTGTAACTAAAATTATGTGGTCATTATTCTTTGCTTGAAAATCTCTGTTGACATCAGAAGTTTACTGTATAGCTTGTCTGTTATCCTTGTAATATGTAAATTCCTTTTTCATGTTATTCAGCACTGACAGAAGCAGGCTTACTTCATTGTAAAATTATGTTAACTTGTGACTCTTTTAATTTTTCATTCTTGATTCAAATATGTAAATAGCAATGATTCCAATTTCACATGCTTCAGTGGTTTCTTAGTAGCCATTAAAAGAAGCTGGTAGGTTCAAAAAGTCTATGTTGGTTATCATTATAGAAAATAAAAGTCTTTGTAACTCTAGTTAGTTGCAAAACAGCCCCCTTTTGGGGCTTGCATAGCTGGAAACAATATTAGGGTACAGATTAACATGAAAAGAAAGGTGTTTGAACTTCCTGGCACACAAAGTCCAAAGATTTCATTCTTGGCTTCCAAAGGATTCAATGTTATTCAACAGTTTCCCTTTGTTGAAAAGTAAAAGTCCATTCTTCCTAACACATCATACCAATTTCTTCATAAAACGGTACCAATACAACTTTGCCTCCTCTGATTCTGCATTCTAAATTTCAATCCTGTGGAAATACTTGGAAATATAGTATAGAAACATAACAAAAAAAAAAATCCATGCCCTCATGGAGCTTACATTATAGTGAGGGGAAGTGGATAAGGCACAAAGGACAAGTAAATATACAGAAAAATCCCTGGGGATAAGTGCTGTGGCAAAAATTAATGCAGGAAGAATAGGATGGAAAATGCCAGTGTTGGTTGTAGGGTGTTTTATGACATGGTCAGGGATGGCTTTTTAGATTAGATGACAACTTAGCGGAGATATAGCAGAAGAGAACAAATGAAACACGTGGCTATCTGTAGAAAGAGTGTTCTCGGCAGAGGCAGTGCAAATGCATAGGTCCTGAGGTAGAAGGCTATTTGGAGTGTTTGAGTACTAGCAAAGTAACCAGTAGGTCTAGGGCAGAGCAGTCCAAAGCTATGTGGTCAGAATGTTAGTCAAGTAAGGGACTGGGGATTCAAGTAAAGCCTGAGAGGACATTTTCAGGACTTTGATTTTTCTCTGGGATATCATTATTTTTACTTGATTTTATTATGGAATACCTATTCTTTGATTTTATTATGGGAGTCATTGGAACAGTTCGAGTACTTAGTGAAATGATCTTATTTCGATTTTATAAAAATCTATTTGTCATTAGCCGGGCGTGGTGGCGGGCGCCTGTGGTCCTAGCTACTCAGCAGGCTGAGGCAGGAGAATGGCATGAACCTGGGAGGCAGAGGTTGCAGTGAGCTGAGATCACACCACTACACTCTAGCCTGGGCAACAGAGTGAGACTCTGTCTCAAAAAAAAAAAAAAATCTATTTGTCAACTATGTCTGGAATAAGCTGTAGAAGATGAGAACAAAAGCTGGGAGAATAGGCTTTTGCAAAGACCTGTCATGGAGTTGTTAGTAGACCAAAGTGCCAGGTCGGTAGAAAATTATTTGTGCTATTGAACTTTTTTGTACATCTTTGGCCTGAAACATTATTTTTTTAACCACGAATTTCTCCTTCCCTTAAATCCTGACAAAGATGCATTCATCCTTCAATACTGGTATCTAATGTCTCTCCTCTGTGGTCCTTTCTGATATGCTAGGTAGGCGATACAAGTTCTACTATGCTTGATTAGTTCTTTATGCATGGTCTATTGTACAGTTTTTACAACATTGGCTTGTACTTATTTGTTAATGTCTTCCTAATTAGATCATGAGTTCAACAAAAATATTGTGTTGTTTTAAAAATATTTATATCCCTTATACCTAGCACAAAATATAGGTATGCATTGAGGACCCCATAAGTGCTTGTCAAATGAGTAAATACCTCCAACTGCATAACAGAAAACACTTGAAGTGACTTTCTTCCTTTCCTTTTTTTTTTTTTTGAGACAAGATCTCACTCTGCCACCCAGGCTGGAGTGCAGTGGTAAGATCATGGCTCACCGCAGCCTCGACCTGCTAGGTTCAAGTGATCCTCTTACCTCACTTGTTGTCCAGTCTGGTGTCAAACTTCTGAAGTCAAGTAATCCACCTGCCTCGGCCTCTCAAAGTGCTGGGATTACAGGCATGAACCACCGCACCCATCCTGAAGTGACTTTCCATTCCGCGAAAAATAAAATAAAATAAAAAAGCTAAATGGTCTTAGGGAAGGGATACCTAACTTCCTTTTCAAAAATTTAGAATACACCAAGTGAGGGTAAGCTGTTTGTCACCTTACCAGAACATACCATAGGTTCCAGTGTCCCTCCTTGTAGGTCACAAGAAAAATGTGATTCTATAAGTAAGAGAATGTGTCATTTTGTGAAAATTCACAGGGAGTCTCTCCTTGAGTTTGCCTACTTTCATAAAGAATAAAGGAGATACCTTTATTTTTCCTATACTGAGGCCAGACAAGTGAGATAAGTAGCATAAGTGGAGCACACTGAACCATATCATAAGTCATTCCTCCAGATTTCTAAATGGAGACCTTATGGTACAGGTCCTGCCAGCATACTGTTATTTTTTGTTTTGTTTTATGTTTGTTTTAATAACAGAGCTATTGCAATTAAATTACAGGAGAGCTATAGCCATAAGCATTGACTTGTCTTCTCATGGCATCTTTGACTAGAACTGAGCTGGGTGTTAAAATACTTAAGAAATTTGTAACTGGTGAATGAACATATCAAAAAATACTATACTAAGAAGAGAGATTAACCACTGATGCTGTGACCTTCCACACTCTAGGGATTTCAAGGACATCACTGATAGCAAACTTCTCACTATATATGAATAGTAAAAAGCTCGGAGGTTTAACTAAGTTTTAAAAAATGTTAAGTCAGGAGGGAATAATGGGCTAAATTTAACAGATTGAAAAGTATTAGGGATAAATGTGCAGCCCTATTTTTAGTTTCCAAGACCTAGCTACAAAAAAGCAATATGGGAAAAAATAAGAACAATCTTAGGATACATAATGGAAATATAACGTCCAAGATGAAAAGTAATATTTCCCCTTTACCATGTACTGAAAAAGGATGTATTATATTCCATTAGGTACTACATTTGAGGAGAAAAATAGTCAACATAGAACACACTCAGAGAGGGCAGTTAGAATGAACAAACTCAAAACACAGTTACCTGAGAAATAGCAAAAGACACTAGAAATTTTAAGCCTGGAGGGAAAAGAAAAAGTTTAATGGGATATAAGGGAGACCATAAGATATGATATAGAAGAATTAGGGGATTCTGAAAGAACCATTAGGATAGAAGCTTAAACAACTAGGTTAAAAAATGGCCAGTAATTTAGGGTAAATAAAAGGAATAAATTGTAAGTATTTTAAAATATGTATACTATACTGGGCGACTTTATGAAAGAGTTATGGTACCTTCAACGGAGATGTTCAAAGGTCATTTTAGGGTGTTTTTGTCTGTTTATTTTAGCTACGTAGCAGAGAATGATAAAGGGAGGCATTTCTTGGGTTATAGGGTGGAGTTGATAGTCTCTAGGATGTCTTCTGACTCTAATGTTCTGTGATTTTGTTGTGGTGTGGTCGTTTTATTATAATGAAATTTATTTCTCATCAATAATTAGAATGCAGTCTTAGTAATGCATAAAATGTTAACAATAATAGCATTAATGATAAAAACTATTCATCATTTGCAGGTTCCAGACACTGTTCTTCTTTCATTAGCTAAATCTCACAGCAGCCTTATGAAATAAGACAGATGAAACATCCAGTTTTAGTGAGTTAAATATCTGGGTAAATTTGTCCGTGGCCAGGCATTACCTTTAGGCCATGTAGGTTTGTTTTTCCTCTTACGGGTTTGTGAGAATCAAACAAAAAAACATGATTCTTAAGCAATAGTAGCTGACACTTACATGCTACTTACTGTAGCGCTAGGCACTATTCTTTTTTTATTTTATTTTATTATTATTATACTTTAAGTTTTAGGTTACATGTGCACAATGTGCAGGTTTGTTACATATGTATACATGTGCCATGTTGATGCACTGCACCCATTAACTCATCATTTACCATTAGGTATATCTCCTAATGCTATCCCTCTCCCCTCCCCCCACCCCACAACAGTCCCCGGAGTGTGATGTTCCCCTTCCTGTGTCCATGTGTTCTCATTGTTCAATTCCCACCAATGAGTGAGAATATGTGGTGTTTGGTTTTTTGTCCTTGCCATAGTTTGCTGAGAATGATGGTTTCCAGTTTCATCCATGTCCCTACAAAGGACATGAACTCTTCATTTTTTATGGCTGCATAGTATTCCATGGTGTATATGTGCCACATTTTCTTAATCTAGTCTATCATTGTTGGACATTTGGGTTGTTTCCAAGTCTTTGCTATTGTGAATAGTGCCACAATAAACATACGGGTGTATGTGTCTTTATAGCAGCATGATTTATAATCCTTTGGGTATATACCCAGTAGTGGGATGGCTGGGTCAAATGGTATTTCTAGTTCTAGATCCCTGAGGAATCGCCACACTGACTTCCACAATGGTTGAACCAGTTGACAGTCCCACTAACAGTGTAAAAGTGTTCCTATTTCTCCACATCCTCTCCAGCACCTGTTGTTTCCTGACTTTTTAATGATCGCCATTCTAACTGGTGTGAGATGGTATCTCATTGTGGTTTTTATTTGATTGGTGCCAAAAACAAATTCATTTTATAGATGAAGAAACTGAGGCACAGAAAGTAGCTTGATCATAGTCATAAAATTAGAAATCGGAAGAACTAAAATTCAACTCATAGCAGTCTGGTTCTGACTGCTCACATCCTTAGCCCCTACTCTACAGAATCTCTCTAACCAAGAGAAGCCTTCTTACTTTTAATGAAAAAGATATCATTACAGTGATATTATATGAAACAGCAATAATAGGTTAAAGTGTCTAGAGACTTTTACAGTGTGTTAGCAATTCAACTTGTCTTTTTTTCTAGCTATTGAGCATCAACAACAACAGTCTAAGCCACTATTCTCCAGACCATGTTGGACAGTAAACTCAGAAGATCTCCTACAATGGTGAATTGACTGTTTTATAATGACTATCCTTGGTGACTCCAAATGTTTCTGCACTTGATTTCATTTTACAGTTTCTAAAGAAGTGTTAGGTTGGCACTCCAAGTAGTACCTGGACATTTATGCACTGATAAAGTGCACGCATGTGATCAATTGTAAGCAAGCCAATAGATAACATTGTAGTCAGTAACTGGCTGAAGTTCAGACAACAGGAAAAGGCTGGGTTTAACCATTTTCTAGCAGGAAAAGGCTGGGATTAACAATTTTAAAATTGTTGAGATTAATTTGAGCATGAGCATCATTTTTGTAAACTTCAGAGACAAACTACCTGGACTGGCTTCAAGCATCAGGCAAGCAGTTTTCAGGCAAGTCTGGCAGTGAATCACAATGTCAACCTGCAATCCTTCTGCTGTCAGTGACCATGGTCTGTCACTACCAGAGGCTGCCAAAGTAAGTGCACCATGCCAAAATGTGGGAATTGCACAAATATCCAATGGGCTCCATATTGATCATTTTTTGCAGTTTAGTAATGGCAAGGGCCTTTGAAAACGCTATTGGCAAACCAGCTCTCTCTCTTTCTTCCCCATAATAATTGCAACTGAGTGACACTCTTTAAAATTACAAACCTAAGATATTTGAAAAAGTTCTTCAGTGTGCTCGGAGTGCCTGCTTCCCCAGACTGCTGAGTTCAGCCATGTTTCAGAAGTACCCTGGAGATGTTTCTCCTGCCCATGGACATGATTTAGAAATGATTAACAGGGAGAGGCTGGAGACCACAGTGGCTCTAGCGGAGTTAAAATGTTCAGTTCTTAGAATAAAGATTTCATTAAGACCATAGAGTTTGGATATAGACCTGTCACTTTAAAATGTGCCTGCTTGACTGCTTCCACTCTGATGGGTCTTTGAAAGCCTTCCCTTCCAGAGCAGGAGAAGAGCAGAGATGCCTCAACCATACTTTAAAGTGACAGATCTGAATATTTAGTGTGAATGGAATCACTGTATCCTAAACCCCAAAGTAAATGTGGGAGCAGAGATGATGTATTCTGTCAGCCTAGGCTTTCAAATAAAATTGTCACAGGGAATTGCCCAGAATAGCCCAACCTAATTGCAGAAAAGGACTATAGCAATATTAGGGAGGTATGAAGTAAGCCATTTATATTCCACGAACCATTGGTCAGCAGAGTCTATCTGTGAAATACTGAAGGTGTTGTCTGTGATTGATTTAGCATGGAACTTGTCTTCTATTTGTTTTATTTGATTCCATATATATTAGGCTTGGTTGCTTTATTGAATTTTGCAAAAATTCGTATGTGGAAAAAAGCACAAAATCTCTATATAGGTTATACACAGGTTTTATGAAAGTGGTAACTTATTCCATATAACTGAAAGACTAAGACCTAAGTGGTGTTATTTCAGGTTTCCCACTAAATGTGTGTGTTTGGATAGAGGAGGTATTATAAAGGTCTTTCCCATGAACTCATACTACAAGGTAGACCTTCTTAACATTCCTAGGCACTACTAGGTCTGCATTTAGTTGACACCTATGCAACTTTGCCACATCGATAATAAAAGGGGAAGTGTGGAAAGGCAGGAGTTTAGAAATTGTTGCTGTATAATAAAAAAATCATTTTATGCATATAAAAGAAAATAAACTATTTTTAGGGATAATGTGGAGGTACTGGAGGGCAGGAGAATGGATAGAGAAATTGAAACAACTTTCATTTTCATTTGTGAGGGATTTGCTACTTCTTTAATGACTGAGAATAGAAACATTATTGGTTGAAAAGCCTCTTTCATATTGGTGCATTTTCAGGATTCCGTCCTTTGTTCTCTTTTCACCTTATTTCTACCTCGACAACCCCGTCTAAATTCAGTTTCAACTCCATCTATTTGAAAACAGCACACACACACACACACACACACATATAATACATATAAAATACAAATATATTAGTTGTATATACACACATAAATGCATTATATATAATACATATATATTAGTTGCTATACATATATATATCTATAACGTTGGACTCTCTGCTGAACTCTAGACCCCATATGTATTAGGGTCTGCTACTTATCACACATCTTAAGTTACATGTCATCAAGGCAACAGACAACTCTCAGTATGTTTAAAATTAAACTCATCTTTCCTTCTCCCAAAATATCTCCTCCGTTGTTGTATATTTTATTTATACAAATAGAAACCTAGTTATTCCTCTGAACTCCTCGTATTCCTTTCCTACCACTCCATATGATTTCTCGAGTGTGTATATTCTATCTTCTGAATATCTCCTGAATGTACACAGTTCTCTCCAACTTGGTTTCAATTTCCTTAGTTCACATGCCCTTCATTTCATGCCTGAAATGCTGTAAAATTGTCCAGTTGTTCATACTAAAGCAAGCCTAATCTCTGATATCCCTGTGCCATTCTACAGAGGGTGATATTATAAAATACATATCTATGATCACCATAACTTTAAGGATAATGTTTTTTCAGTAAATGTAATCTCTGCCTACATTATTATTCTCATTTCCATCATCTTCTCTCATATATGTGTTACATCAAACACATAGTTTGCTATTTCATGCTTCCAAACTTTCATACATGGTGTTGCTATCTCCTGAAATATCAGATGCCTATTCAGCAACTAATAACTGGGTGACAGAGCGAGACTCTGTCGAAAAAAAAAGAATTCAGTTATAAGTTATGATGACAGTGGTTTCCACTGCAGGAAAAAACAAAAACATGCATAGACCACATGGTGTGGATAAACAGAGAAGAGAAACCTACTGTGCATTGTGAAATTTAGGGTAAAGCTTCCCACGGTTTCAGCAATAATGAGCATTGATGGATACTATTTAGTAAAACAGCTTTTCTTTTTGTGAAAAGGAGGGTAGGGAAAATATGACATTTGAATAAAGTTTTACATTTTGAACAAGTAATAAAATTAAAATTAAAGGTTACATTTCTAGAGTCATGATTGATAACAATTGCTTGGTTTAACTGCATTTTATAGGTTAGGTAAGCAGTTTAAATTAAAAAGTGACCTACACAAATATGCAGTCTTGAAAAGAAATGAAAATTAATAGCTTTTCTTTGCAACTCTAAGAAACCTGATGGGATTTTGAATTTCGAGAGATTTGAGAAATTAGAAGGATATATTTTGTAGTGCCTTCATAAGAGACATGTTTGAAGATTTGTTTTTCTTGGAATAATGTTTCTGTTATGACTACTAAAGCATTCCCTTGGATTTTGCAACATGTTTGAAATATAGTTTATTACGATCAATTATATTGTAAGACACCATAGTTTGTCTCTAAGGATGTGTTTGTAAAATATACCCTCCTGTCTATTGATCCTCCACAATTAAAAATCCCTCCAGGGAATCACCTGGTTACCTCAATTAGAAGAGCCTGTGATGGTTCTGTAACTCTGAGACAACTTCATATGGTGTTAATAGTCTGTGGCATAAAGTTTCAATTGTCTGCTTTTAAGTTGTAGATACTTCAAAATCTAAGGTATTATTTCCATCATGGTTTGCTTAGACAAGTACTACACTGGACTTGCATTACTAACCAATTATCCTACACTTTTGAAGGAGGTAACCAGAAGTGAACTAAATAATAGTGCATCTCTCTATATAAATTGTATATTTAAAATCTGTGATGCAGGTTATTTATTAGGTTTTCAAAGGGTGTCTCAACATGCCATTTGACCTCCAACCTTTTTACTTGTTCCTCAATACTTATGCAGATTTCAATCCTCAGTTACCAGCTCACTTTTTGAAGAGTTTTAAAAATTTTTTTGTAGTTTTATTTGTAAGCTCAACGAACATATTTAGACATTCTGGTATAACTGGATTTCATTAAGGGTGCACATCTTTCTCCAAAGTTCATTCACTACCAAATAAAACAATTGAGAATGCTGCTGAGATATTAAAATAAAACTATGGTTTGTTTGGAAAAGTTAGACATTTTCCAGATGAATTACCTAAAAAATTTGTTTTAAATTGTATATATTTAAGGTGTACAACATAACGTTTTGATATACATAGTGAAACTGTTACTATAGTCAAGCAAATTAACATACTTGTCATAGTTACCCTTTTATTTTTGATAAGAGCACCTAAAATCTACTTTCTCGGCAAAATTTCAACATACAATACAATATTATAGTTATATAATAATAATAATAATTATAGTTCTTATGTTGAATCTACAGACTTATTTATCCTACATCTGCCTGCAACTTTTATACCCTTTCCCATTTCAATCTATGTATGAAAATGGAGTCTGCTTAGACTTTCTCCTTTATTCATACATTTCAGGAAAGACACACACATCTCAGATTAAACAAAAAGAAGAAGTGAATTGTATTAAGTGGCTCATTAGGCCATTAATTGATTTGATATGTCTGACTTTTTTTTATTTGGGCATAATAGTCAGTACTTGCTTTTATAAATAATTATTGCACACTGTACCTCAAGTCTTCTTGTATGTTTACAAATGTGTACATATATATAATATTAATATAGATAGTTGATTAATTCTTGGGTCACAAATTTTTCTTCTTAAAGTAAATAGCATGGTCACTTATTTATGTATTTAATTAAGTCAAGTATGTAAAGCAAAATTTTGCATAATAAATTTACTTTAAGTGTACTGCACCATTCAGTATTTAAAGTCATCTTATGGTGAACATACTTGTATGACACTAAGTCCTATTGTGTCTTGAATAAGTCATATTGTGAATTATGTCTTTTGTATCTTTGACATTTCACGTCTATTACATTCTTATTCTTAAAGTGAAGCATTTCTATCTGAAAACAATGGTAGAAATAACTTCACTTAGTAAAAATGCTTCTTGATCTTGAAAATATTCAGAATATCTCTAAAAAATTTTCCAAAAGAAGTTTAATATACTGAGCTTTCTGAAAAGCCTATATATGGGAAAAAGGGAAAAAAACACTTAGAAAAAAACATTTCCCTTTTTATTTAATGTGGCACAGGAGTTGAAAATTTTAGTTTTGTTTAAAATGTGATATCTTTAAATTTTTTAAGAATGAGGAAGTAAATATATGCCTGAAAGTTGGCAAGTTTTAGTTAATAATTTAATGTAAAATATTATACTACTTTTGATAAACAGCCTTCGTATACCTCTCTACCCCCAAATTAGGAGCAATTCCTAATCTCTCTAGTCTCTCTTGCCCTGTTCACACTCTTTTCTTGTCATGAAATGATCCTCTAAAATTGAATCCATATGTAGCCTAGGTTGGTGTCTGGAAAATCAGAGATGTATCTAGGTTGTCCTAATTAACTAATTAATTTAAATAGTTTAAGGATATATCCTTACCTAGTGTGCACAATTGATCTTCATAAATAATTCCCACTAGTACCTCAGAAATAGCCATGCTTCATAACACATGCTTTCAATGAAAGCATGCATTTACATGACAGGTAAGAATGGCTTCACTATGTCAAGTAAACAATTTGATTTGTAGAAGTCTTTGAATAAGCACTTATGTGGAATTATATTTTATACAATCCCAAATTTGCAATTATATGGTAATGCTAATTTTGATAACTCCCTACATATATATTTGCAGAACAATATACAGATATTAAACTTCAATGATTTTGAAAAAGCATTAGCAGTGTTTATGGTAAATAAATATTCTAATGCAACATGGACTTGCGATGATCATTTCCAAAGTTTAAAATCTATTAAGAAGGCCTTAGAGAAATGAGTAATTTTTAATGTACTACAAGTTTTAGGTACGAAAAATAGATTAAGGGAAAAACTCTTGCATAAGTGATCCCTTTTAGCACACTATACATACTCTTCTAACACATAATTTTCATATAATATTCTATATTGAAGATCTTTTTATATCAGTGCACAAATAATATATTCTTTCCTTTTCATGGATGCATAATATTTATTGTATTTATTTTACTAATTTCCTACTGATGGACATTTGTGTTGTGTCTAGTGTCTGCTAATTCAAAAAATGATACACTAAAAATTATTGTGCATATGCATTTTGCATGTGTTCTTTACCTAATTTCACATTTAACCCTCTCAAACTCAGTAAAAATGTACACATTATTATCTTCCTCTGTAGATCGAGAACTTGAGACCCAATTAAGTTAAGGAATTTGTCCACATACACACACTTCATAAAAGATAAATGTTGTAGATGGGCCCAAGTCTATTTTATTCAAGGAGGGAAAGCTCTCTTTTTACTGGAAAATAAAGCAAAACAAAAGCAGACAGGAGGAATAAAGGTGACATGGTTAATTAAAAGCTGTACAATATTACCACTTTGTATTTATATAATGTATAGGTTATTTTTACTAACTCTTAGCTATTCCAATATGGGTATATTATATGTATAATTGATAGAGGGCTAACTTAGTGTACATACTTAATAAATATTAAATAACGAAGGAAGATACTCATGCATATATCAGATCAGAAACTTCTAAAAGTCTCTCAATTTCAGTGCATTGCTATTCATTTTAAAAATATTCAAGTTGGAGAAATAATTTTCAGAAACTCCATTATTTAGAAATACTCTAATCTCATTTAGTGTTCATGTGTTTTCTCCTGGGAAGATGCTTCTAAATTATATAGCTAGGATTTAAGATTTTCAAATAGTTTTCTTAATATATTTCTGAATATGATAGCTGTTGCTGCTTAAACCTAATCTACATGAATAATTTAATTGTAGTAATTTACTCCTCCGGAATACAGAAAAATAATTTGGTTAACTCTTCATTAAATAGAAGCTTTCACTATCCTGGAAGAACATCAGTTGTATTTGGAAACATATATGGCTTTTTGCTTTGACAACTGCCAGAGCTACCATACTCAAAGGCTTGATGATCTACTACTGAATTTGAAAGGGAAAACCACAAAAAATTTACAAGCACACTACAGAAAGATGTCAAAATTTCCCAGAAGAGGTAGATGTGACTGAATAGTTTAAACGCACTGTCGTGAAATTCTAGACACATCGAACTTAATGCAAACGAGTAAACTCATGAATTGGAATGAAGTAACACTTCTTTAAGAATGCAAATTAAAAAGGAAACATCAAAATAATGAAATCTGCCATTTTTTTCTCCACTGAGAAAATTCTTTACCAGATCTCAAAAACAGGCCAGGCTCTTTGGAAAACAATGATAGAAAAAAGGTATTTGATGTAGAAATGGGTATTGAGAACACTCCCAAGACACTCTGGTTAGTATTTTAATAACCTTATAGGAAAACTACTGTAATTAGTTTTATTCATTATACATAGTTAAATATTCATTAAATCAGAACATATTGTGGAAGAAAAATAAATTTATTTTCAGAAACATTGTACAATTCAATGTCACTGTCTATTATCTCCATAGATTGGAATAATTCTTTTGTCTGAATATATGTGTGACAGTTAAACTTTCAATCAGGTATAATAGATGTTTTAAGATTGTACATTTCAAATACTTAGAGAAATTGTCAAATTTAAGTTTAGAAATGTCTTAAATAGCTTTTTTAAAAAATACAGAGGTAACGTGTACATTATTGGGAATCTGGAAATCACAGGAAATTGCAAATAAGAAAATAAAAGTCCCATATTACCACCACTCATGAGTATCCATCCTTAGTAAATTAAATTTTCTTCCAGTATTTCTTCTATATATGAAATATCATGTTAAATTGAATTACCATACTATCTAGCATTGTGACGAGATAAAAATCACAATTACGATAAAAAAATTTCTATGTAAATTTTTTGGCATAAATCAGTTTCTATTTCCCTAGGATAGATATCTAGAAGCCATTTTGGGGGGGCGGGGGCAGTAGGAAATGCATGCATGTAGAGAACGGTAAAGTAGGTAGTGCAGCCTTGCAGTGTCTTCCTACTCTTTATCAGTTGTGTTCTTGGTCAGCCTGAAGCACTGACTTTCTTCTGTTTTTTCTTTACTTGGCAACAATGCATTCTGTGCCAGTATTTTCTAAGGCAACATCCATCCAACCACCTATGTCAGCATCACCTTTGGCACTTCTTCAAACACAGATTTGAAGGTCCAGTCAACAAATGTGAGAGTGCCATAGTTTCATTAATATATATTTTTTCACAAGCACCCTGGATGTTCTCATGTGATGTAGAATTTGAGAACTGCTTCTTGATTAATGGGAGAAATCTGGAGCTTGATTCTTCTTCTTATTATTACTTTGGTCTCTTTTTAACTCGGAAAACATGAGAACTCATTCAGATTTGCTTTGAATAACAGATCCACCACTAACTATATGGCCTTAGGCAAGCTTGTTTGAATTCCTGTGTGTCCAAATGAAGATGACAACACTGGCAACATCTACTAGAGTGAGTTTTGTAAGAATTAAAAGGAATAATGCATGTGAAACTTCATGGTACAAAGCCTGATAAATAGTAGGCACTTACGGAATGTCAGTCTCCTTACTTCATTAAAAGTGAGACAGGATTTTAAAAATCAGCCAGACTTATCCTTAACTTTGCACATGGAGAAACTAAGACTCAGAGGAAAGTTAGTTGCTAAATGTATCAACAGATTAGTCTGGCACTCATAAATTATGGTTGAGATTAGTTATATTGAATCAAAAGTAAAATTAAAAAGTGTGTTTGGAAAGAGGGTTCAACAACAACAACAAAAATCTATTATATGTGTAAGGTAAGTTATGTTGAGTCAAAGTGAAACGAAAATGTGTGTTTGGAAAAAGGGTTACACACACAAACAAAAAAAAATCATTACTTGCATTCTGATGATTACTTGCATTTGTACAGTGGCAGGTACAAAAAATGTTTGTAAACCACCTGATGGTACATTAATTATTTTTATTTTATTGAGTGTGTGTTCTTCTGTGAAACAGGTGTGATATACGTGAGACTACACGTTGCAGGTGGGACCCAGAGGCTGCACTCAAAAATCTACTGTGCCATTTTCTCTGAGATCATGCTTCCTTCAGGCTGCCAAGAGACAGTGGCTGCATGTGGCAGGGACAGGAGACCAGGGACTCCTTTTTCCTCTGACTGGCTTGGGGAGCACCTAATAGCCTTGTTGAACCTTCCTTATACACCTGGCAATATGCTTCCACCCATCATTCCTTTTCTTGATACTTCATTAAGGTTAAAACTACACCCCAGTCTGATGGTTCTCCCAGCCTTTTGAGGCTCCTTCCCCAGTTTGCCTCATAGACATTTTCCCTAATAAAATCCTTACACAATTAATCCCATCTTGGCATTTGCTTTTTGAAGGATATGAATGAGCATATCTCCGCAAGCTCCCAACTCATCTCATCTAAACTAGAACACAACCTTCTTGATGTCAATAAGAATCACTAATAAAATTGTGTATTTTCTGTATTTAGGAAAATGCATATTAGAGATTAATTCGTTCATTAAATATTTATAGAACAGCACTACAGCATGTAGTTGATAGTGAGTAGATGAAGATGTAAATGATATAAATTCACTACTACCATAAAATCTAAATCAGATGTTATTTAAATATTGTTAGAACAAATGGAGTGTATGTGTAGATACAATGTGTATGTATAAAACGGTGGAAAAACATAGTCCAGTTACTAGCGAACTGTGGGTCCAACAATATTAGCATGAATGAGTTCAGGTGGGCAGAAGAGTGAGGAGTGCTAGGAAGATAGAAGCGGGGGAGATGGAACCAGGTGATGCCTGCTCAGTTTTTCACAGAGTGAATACATCCTCATTGCTCTAGGCATGCCTATAGACCGAATACACAATTGGATACATATACAAAGAGCTTTGTCCTTTATGTACAATGAGGTTATAAATAAGGATGATATGAACCAACTATGGAAGGATTCTTTGCCCGTAAGCATAACCTCAATTAATGGATTCTTAGAACAACTATCATATGGGAAAAAAATAACCCTTTGACATTAAAAAGAGATTTTCTTCAAAAAGTTAAAATACATTGGGAAACACTATAAGCAGATTAGAAATACAAAGAAAGGAGAAATCATGAGTGTATATGAGGATGATTTTCAAGAGAAAATGAGATTTGATCTGGGCCCTTAGAAATAATTAGCACTTGTCTTGGAACAGAAAAGATAAAAAGGCATCACATGTGGAAGTAACATGGATAAATTTTGAGCCCTAAGTGTTTGTGAAGTTCTAGGTATTTCGTATGATAATTTATGTACCTGTTATAACACCAGTATGAGAATGGTAATAATATCTCTATTTTAAATCAAAAATAAAATAGAGAGCTAATTTAACATGTTCAAGGTAATAGACCTATTAAACAATGAAACGAAATATAACCGAGGCCACTAATAGCACACGTCTCTCACCCATCCCAAGCTCCCCAGGTATTGGGGGCTATATAATTTATTATCAGTTAGGTCTGTTGGAGGACATTTGTTTTCCTAGGATCCAGTTTACTTTGTTATCCTCGTTCTTATTATTCAGTCAGAAAAAGAAAAAGAGAGCGAAAAAGAAAAGAGAAGGAAGAAAGACTCACCAGCAGTGAACTTAGTGCAAGGCATGGCTCTATACACTGTGATAAAGTATATATAACCTGTGATTATGGGTGCTTTATTATATCCCTTTATTCAAGAAGCAGGAACCCAGCCATGGTGGCCCTGTTAACCATGTAGAAAAAAATATGTGCACATATCTCAAATGCAGAATAGAGGACAATAAGTTCAATACACATGCACATATGTAATATTCTATGAGAAAGATGAAATAACTTCTGATGGGGAAGAGGGAGGAAAGACATTACAAAGAAATGACAGTGATTTTTAAATCCTGCAGTAATCCAGAAGCTAGACTCAGCTGTACCTTAGGCAGAGTATATAGGGCCGAGTTTTCTTCTTGCCAAGTTTTCAGAAACTTTGGGGTGCAGGGATGAGGCAACTTTTAAGGTACAGAATATGATAATAAGGATAAATAAAAATAGACAAAACCCAGTTTGGATACAAAGGATTTATCACATGGAAGTGGTAGACTTTTCCAGGGTAACAACTCCTGAAATAGCTTTTATTTAAATGGTCTACCTTTTATTAAAAGATCTACCCTTTATTACATTGTTTCGGCTGTTTGTAAGCAAGAGCTTTTCAGATTGCTCAGGTTGGACCCACAGTTCCTCAAAACAGGACAGTCCTTTAATCTGTCCCCATATCAGTCAACAGCATTTACTAAATGACCCACATATGAAGAGCAAGAGCCCAGTGCTGCTCTTGAGGAGCTTATGGCCCCATGAAGGAGACAAGGTAGAACAATAAAATCAGAAACTTGAGTGACAGAAACATCTGCCAGATGGAAGCTGTAAAGAGACGTTTACGTAAGTGTTCAGTATTCAGGAAAGTGGACAGGAAGAAGTTTAATGACTGAAACTAAAAGAAGCCAAGTGGGGTTAGTTTGGAGATAGCTTCCAGAAGGAATGCACTTTTTTGGCTTGGTTATGGGAAACATTACCTGGTTGCATAAACTTTTATTTCTTTGTAGCATTCCCCAGATGAATACTCTATTAAGCTGATGTGACTATAGTTGTCTTTATTTCCCTTCTTCCCCCATTTCCTGTAGAGGACAACCTGGTCACAACTATATTGGCTGAATACTCTATCCCAATAAGAGACCTGGATCACAGGGCTGTCCATTCCAGTCTATTCCTTACACTGTAATATTTTCACTCTGTTTGCCTTATACCTGAGCCTGCTCTCATTACAACACCGGGCATGTGGCCAAGTCTCATCTTCTTACTGTTAGTTTCTAACACTAAAAGCCATTCAATTTTCTCTTCTACCCTTAAACACCTCAAGAAAGGATTTTTAAAAAAAAAAATTAAGAATTGCTACTGTGATGGAATTGCATTGTGTTAACTTAAACTAAGCTGGAACTATATTTTTCAGAATTACTTACCCTGTGTATTGTGGGTATGTGTGGGATTTGGAAAAGGAATGTGAAGCAGTAGCCATATTCATTGTACATTTGGAAGGTTGGACAGGACATGAAACTGTGTCGCAACTGAAAGCACATTCTCCCAAGCCTCCTGGCTTACCCTGTTGATGCAGGACAACAGCCATGCCCGCAGATTCTCCAGTTCTCACCTGACCATCCATTAGTTTCTCTGAATCCTAGGCCAGGTGTGTGTTTATCTCTGTGAGGAAGTGGGCCAACTCTTTCAGTAGGTCACCGATATCATCTAAGGTGGAGGCTTAGAGAAGCTTAGAGGAGCAAAGTTTACATTCTAAAATCTTGGGTTCTATCTCACTTTGTGAGTTGCAGTTTGTCTTTGCTGTTACTTATTTCACATCTATCTTCTCTTCCAAAAGACCTGTTGTACACGGATAGAAGGCAACAGCTTCTCACAGACTGTTACACCAACTACCACAATTGTGTAAGTCAAAATCTCCTTAATAAATTCATGTCTGTATGTGTATGTGAGGATATATGTGCACATACACATGTATATGCATGTGTGCATACATATGTGTGTATGTGTGCATGAATGTGTATATTATATGTGTGTTTGTATATGTATATGTATATATGTGTGTGTGTATGTACATACACACACACATATACACACTCAGGCACCCATATACACATATGTATATATAGTTTGGCTGGTACAAGTTCCTCATATTGTGTTCTAATTGCCAACACATTATCTTTTTAACCTTGGTCCAGATAATTAAAAGATTACAATTGTGCTCTCTGTGCCTGGCTAACTCCCTTCCCTTCGTTCAACCTGAGCTCATTGGTCCCTTTCCTTGAGAAGTCTTCCCCAAACTCCTTAAAATTCTTTCAAATGAAATTTGTTCCTTTACTTCACAGAAGTTTTCAAAATTTATATTGTGCATAAACATAAACTGAATTTATTTGTTTAAAATCAATTTTCCTCAATAGATGGTAAGTCACAAAAAGACAGGAAACGCACCTGTTTTGCTTGTCGCCATCACCCAGAGCCTAACTCGGTGCCTAGAATGTATTAGGTGTCCAATGTAAGTTTTGAATGAAAGTTTATTGAAAGTCTATTCATACTCTTTCCTTTCATCATTATCCTCTCTTGACCCTTTACTGTTGGTCTAGTAGATGCATCCATTGATATTCCTCAAGGCATTTGTTATGTATAGTCATTCTGTGCCAATAACTGTTCCATTAAGCATAGCACCTGGAAGCTGGTGATTTTTTTTTTTTTTTTTTTTGAGACGGAGTCTCACTCTATTGCCCAGGCTGGAGTGCAGTGGCACGATCGTCACTGCAAGCTCCGCCTCCTGGCTTCATGCCATTCTCCTGCCTCAGCCTCCCGAGTAGCTGGGACTACAGGTGCCTGCCACCATGCCCGGCTAATTTTTTCTATTTTTCAGTAGAGACGGGGTTTCACCGTGTTAGCCAAGATGGTCGTGATCTCCTGACCTCGTGATCCGTCCGCCTCAGCCTCCCAAAGTGCTGGGATTACAGGCGTGAGCCACCGCGCCCAGCCCGAACCTGGTGATTTTTAGAGCAGCTTCTCCTACACCCTATGTAAAAGCCTTCCTCCTTCAACATCATGCTCTCCAGCTATAGTCCTCTACCTCTCCTCATCCCATTTATCTCCTGATCATCTGTCTGCTCCCCAGTATCACTTTCTGGAATTAGACCTTCATCATGCTTTCCTATGTTCATTTACACATGCATTTATTCAACAGATATTTTTTCAGGGCTTATGATGTGCCAGGCCTTGCGATGTTGTAATGAGGGACTAGATTTTCCTATTTTCCTGAATCCTAGAGAAAATCTGGAGCTGTTTCCTTTTAATCCAAACAAGGAAAAGTGCTGGGGACATTTCCTTCCACACCAGTACTGTTATCTCTGGTCATGTAAAATTCCCCTGACTGATTCTTGATGCTTAAGGCATTAGGAGTGTTGGAAGTTGCGGGGGGTTGAGTAGAGGGTCACTTTATATGGTATTTAGATGAGTTGAGAAAACCTTGAACACTCATACCTGTGAGACACTACAGAGGTGAGATGCAGATGGCAGCTCATATGGTGCCTTTGCCAGAGAGCCTATAGGCTCCTGCCATAGCCCCTCAGCAAGGCACAGCTATCCTCATACTGTGCTTGCTTGCGTTTGCATAACCCAATACTTTATAGGTTTTCTTCTTCTTCTGCTGATAAGTTTTGGTAACATGACAGGCTCTTACTGAATTATGGTTTTCCATTTGCAAAATGGCTTTGGTGGTTGTCCTCTTACTTGAAAGCCCTGCTTTTATTATACAAAATTTGTCTTCATTTTCAGAACTATCTATTTATTTTTGAAATGAGCTTCAAGAGCCTAATTTTAGGTTAAAAAGCTAAATATTGATTTTTTTTTCTCTTTACAACCTACTTATCATCACTTGTAGGTGTCTGCTCATTAGGAAGACTGTCATCACAAAGAAATTCTCAGGAAGAAAGAACATCAATATATTTTTAAATATGGTATCACTACACTATATTTGATGCATTGTACCATAACTCCAGCTAAGGTTGAAGGACATGAATTTGATCTAACAAAAATATTTAGGGTTTTGAGGACTCTTCTTGCAGCACTCAAGATCCTGCATAGAGACGGTATAGTTTTGGATGAGTTAGGAATCAGGTCTTTTCTAGATAATTAGGCTTAAGGATGAACACTCATGATTATTGAGTGACTGAAATGATAAACCATGCAGTCTAAGATGGATAGAGAAGTAGGAAGGCCAAGACCAAGCACAACTGGGAGGGAATAAAGCAATCGATAGGCTGAATATCTCCACAGATTTAAGAGAATACGAGAGAGCATGAAGGAATGAGAAAAATAAATGAATGCCAATGAACTGGAGAATAACAGTTAAAATTTCTGACAGGGAACAACTTGGGAATCTAAGCGTATGGTCAGGAGTCTGAGTGGCTAAAGTAGAGTAAAAAACATGGTCATTGCAGTTCAGAAAATAAACTATGAAGTTAAGATGCATGATTATTATTGTTTATTTACCTTTCTCTTAAATTTTGTGAAGAAAAATACCATGCCTGTCTTACTCACCATAATATCCCTAGTTCCAACACAGTGCCTAGTAGAGAGTTGACACTCAATAAAAATTTGTTGGAGCAGTATCCAGGTCTGGCCATGTTAAAACATGCTTTCTCTTACCAATAGGATTTTGCAGGATCTTTGTCCTCTGGATGGAATAAAAAAAAAAAAGGTGTCCAAACTTTATCTTGTTAAATCATATAATCATTTGGGTCTCAGCTTAGTCATCAGTTCCACAGTAAGTCTTTCTTACATCACCATGCTTTAGTTATATATCTTTTCTTTGAATTTTCATAGCACCCTGGACTTCTTCTATTCTCAGACTTATTCAACTTGCTTCAGTGTAACTTCTTTTTTAATTTTCTGCCTCTTTCAATAGACTGAAATTTCAGCAGATCAAGGAGAGTGTTTTATTCATCATCATTTTTCCTTTCATTATAAAAGAAATAAATAACTTACTATTTTCTTCTCTCCTGCTAGTGAAACAATTTAACCTTATGTATTGCCCAGTCTTTATGAGGAAACTCAGTAACAAATTCACAAACATTGTAGATGTGAATGTAGATTAGTGCATATTTGTAGAGGATAAGTTAGCACCAATCAAAATTTAACATAGAAATACTGTTTGATGCTAAATTTCATTTGGAAAATTTGTCCTTCAAATGTATGTACATAATTAAAACAAGAGTGAGAGACTTTGCAAGCTTTGTTTGACTGTAAAAAACAATGAAAACAACTTAAATGGCCATCAATAAATAACTGGATATATGATCACTATGATGCATCCATATAATGGTATTCCATGTCAACATTAAATAGAATGTAATGGATATCAATATTTTTCTATGTAAAGTTCTGGAGATATTGGAGTATGTATATTGTGATGCTATTTGTATCATTTTTAATACTACAATTTGCCTTTGAAAAACAAAGATTTGAACTATGCGGGTGTACTTATGTGCAGACTTTTTTCACTAAATATATTGGAAAAATTTTTAGAGATTTGTAACAATTTGAAACAACTTGCAGAAGAACCACATAGCCTAGAAATATCAAAAAAATTAAGAAAAAGTTAAGTATGCCATTGATGAAAAAACATACGTAAAAACTAGTCTATTTTATCATTTACCATAAAATATACAAAAACCTATTATTAAGAGTTAAAATGTATCAAAACTTAAGCACATAAACACAGACTATACATGCCACTAAACACAGGCAGGAGAAATGTAAACAAATGTAAAAATGCAGTATTAAATCATAGTCACATAAAATTAACTTTAGTACATACTGTACTACTGTAATAATTTCATAGCCTCCTCTGGTTGCTATTATAGTGAGCTCAAGTGTTGCGAGTATTTGCCCAAAACACCATGTGACACTAAATCATTTCTGCTTGAGCAGTTCACTCTCCAGTAAATTATCACAGTAAAAAATGATCTTTAGCAGTTCTCATGTATTTTACATTGCGTTTAGTGCAATACCATAAACTTTGAATAAAACCATGGAGAAAAGTCATGACATTACAAGAAAAAGTTGAATTGCTTGATACGTACCAAAGATTGAAGACTACAGCTGCTGTTGCTCATCATTTGAAGATAAATGAATCCTGCCTAAGGACAATCGTAAAAGAATAGGATATTTCTAAAGCTGTTGCTGCAGCTATGCCAGCAGGTGGGAAAACCTTGCACTTTTTGTAAAATATGTTTTTTTATCTAGTACTGAAAATGAAGCTTTTATGTGGGTGTTCGGTTGCTATAAGAAAGGCATACCTATAGACTGTAATATGATTTGAGAAAAAGCGAAGTCATTATATGACAACTTAAAGCAAAAAGAAGGTAAAGGATCTAAAGCTGGAGAATGTAATGCCAGCAAAGGATGGTTTGATAATTGTAGAAAGAGGTTTGATTAAACAAAAGTCATCATAGCAGTAGAAGCAGGTTCTGCCAACCAAGGGGCAGTAGATGAGTTCCCAGATGCCATTAAGAAAGTCAATGAGGAGAAAGGCTATCTTCCTGAACTGGTTTTTAATGTAGACAAAAGTACCCTGTTCTGGGGGAAAGAAAAGAAACAAAGGACATTTATTAGAAAAGAAGAGAAGCAGCCAGGTGCAGTGGCTCACGCCTGTAATCCCAGCACTTTGGGAGGCTGAGGGGGGTGGATCACGAGATCAGGAGATCAAGACCTTCCTGGCTAACATGGTGAAACCCTGTCTCTACCAAAAATAGAAAAAAAAAAAAAAATAGCCGGGCGTGGTGGCTGGTGCCTGTAGTCCCAGCTACTCGGGAGGCTGAAGCAGGAGAATGGCATGAACCCAGGAGGCGGAGCTTGCAGTGAGCTGAGATTGTGCCACTGCACTCCAGCCTGGGTGACAGAGCAAGACTCCATCTCAAAAAGAAAAAAAATAAAAATAAAAAACAAAAAGAAAGAAAAGAAGAGAAGCAAGAGCCAGGATTTAAGGCAAGTAGGGACAGGCTGACTCAGCTGTTTTGTCAAATACAGTTGGATTTATCAACAGTACTGCCCTTATCTAAACAGCTTCCAACACATGAACTTAAAAGGAAAAAGATAAACACCAACTGCCAGTCTTTTGTTTGTACAACAAGGTCTGGACAACAAGAACACTTTATCTGGATTGGCTCCAATGATGCTTTGCTCCTGAAGTCAGAAAGCACCTTGCCAATAAGGGACTCCCTTTTAAAGTTTTTCTGATATTGGACAATGCTCACTGGGTACCCAGAACTCCATGAGTTAACCCTGAAGGTGTCAAAGTGGTCTACTTGCCCCAAAACACAATGTCTCTAATTCAGCCTCTAGGTCAGGGGGTCGTAAGGACATTTAATGCTCATTACACATTGTACTCTATGGAAAATATTGCCAGTGCTTTGGTAGAGAACCTGATAGAAAGAACGTCAAGAAACTCTGGAAGGATTACACTTTTGAAGATGCCATCATTGTTATAGAAAAGCATGAAAGCCATCAAGCCTGAAACAATAAGTTCATGCTGGAGAAAACTGTGTCCAGAAGTTATGTGTGTCTTCAGAGGATTTATGAAAGTGCTGATAAAGGAAATAATGAAAGACTTGGTGGATATGGCAAAAAAAAAAAAAAAAAGTGGGGCGGGGAAGGATGAGGGGTTTTAAGAGTTGGATCTTGGAGAAATTAAAAAGCTATTAGATACCACAGCAGAGAAATTAACAGAAGATGACATGATGTAGATGAGTGCTTCTAATCAGTGCCAGACAATGAGAAAGAAAACATAGAAGAAGCACTGCCAGAAAACAAATTGACATTAGACAATCTGCAGAGGAGTTCTGATTATTCAGGACTGCTTTTGACTTCTTTTAGGGCATAGGCCCTTTTTTGAAACTAAAGCAAATGATGGAAGAAAAATTTGTCTCAATGTAGAAACATTTTCAGAGATACTAAAAAAATTAAAAAGTCAGACAGAAATTACCATGTATTTCTGTAAAGTTTCACAGATCATCCCTGCCTCTCCTGCCTCCCCTTCTACCTCCTTCAACGCTTCCACCTCTGTCACCCACAATACAGCAAAATCAACTCCTCTTGTTCTTCCTCAGCCTACTCAACATGAACACAAGGAGGAAGACTACTTTGATGATCAACTCCCATTTAATGAAGAATATATTTTTTCTTCTTTATGACTTTCTTAACATTTCTTCTAGGTTGCTTTATTGTAAAAGTATAGTATATAATACATATAACATACAAAATATGTGTGAATCAGCTGTTTATGCTATCAGTAAGGCTTCCAGCAAACAGTAGGCCTTTTTTTCTTTTTCCTTTTTTTTTTTTTTGAGGGGGAGTCTCACTCTTTTGCCCAGACTGCAGTGCAGTGGCGTGATCTTGGCTCACTGCAACCTCTGCCTCCTAGGTTCAAGTGATTTTCCTGCCTCAGTCTCCCAAGTAGCTGGGATTACAGGTGCCTGCCACCAAGCCCAGCTAATATATTTTGTATTTTTAGTAGAGACATGGTTTCACCATGTTGGCCAGGCTGGTTCAGAACTCCTGACCTCAAGTGATCCACCCGACTCGGCCTCCCAAAGTGCTAGGATTACAGTGGTGAGCTACTGTGCCCGGCCAACAGTAGACTATTAATAGTAAAGTTTTGGGTGAGTGCAAAGTCATATGTAGATTTTTCAACTGTGTGGGGGTGTTGGTCCCCTAATCCCTGTGTTGTTCAAGGGTCAACTTTATGTATGTATTATTTATACCAGCAAAAAAATGTATTTTTAATGAAATGAGATTAAATAATTTTTGGCGGTAATCTTTTAAAGTAACAGACTACGATTGAAAAAGATGACATTTTTTAATAATTGCTGAGATGCACTATGACTATGCTTTCAGTGCAGCTTTGCCAGCCAGAAACCTCTGTGGCTGCAGCACCTCTGACTGGATTTTGCTTGGGCCCTCTGGGCTTGCTCCTCCTATTTGGTCCGGCTGACTGCACTCGGCTTGCACTACCTGCCAGATCTCACACCCATGCACCCACTGCAGCTCTGTGCTAGGCTCACAGCCTGTCCAGGCATGTTGTGACCAGCTTCCACCTTGGGCGCTGATGTCTGGATGAGGGGGATGCAGTGGCATGCAAAATTTTGGAAATACCAGCAACCACAGAGCCCCAGTTTTTGTTCAGGGAATCCCGAGGTCTGAGTCCCAGGAAGAATTACAGTGTGTTACAGCTCGTTCATGTTACAGCTCGTTTGTTCCGACCGACCACATGCTTCAGGAAATGGGGGCATGTCATAGCTCATTCAGTCTCACAGCCTCACTCTGGCCCATGGCTCCTCACCTGGCCCAGCCCCATACCGCTGCTTCCTGTCACAAGGGGTGACCGCCTGGTGCTGGAAGAGGGCAGGAGGGTTACAGTGTTACAGCTCCTTTTGCACCCACCATTCAGTGGGTTCTGGGTTCTTGTCCCACAACCAAGAAGAATGAGGTTACATGGCCATCTGAGAGTGAGCAAGTCAGGGAAGAATTGTATCGAATGACAGAAAAGCTCTCAACAATGAGAGGAGACCCAAAGTGAGTACCCCTCTGTGTGAGAGAAGCCCTGAAAGCGTGTAGCCCATGTGTGGCTGAGTCCTGGGTATTTATGGGCTCAGAATGGGGGAGTGCATGCTGATTGGTCCATGGGAGGACCTGGAAAAAGCACCATTTGATTGGCTAAAAGACATTGAGGAAGTTCTCACTCTGACTGTGGACTGGCAGCTCGGTTTTCAGGCTTTAAATTGTCTTTGGTTTGAAGGTCGGGTTTCAGCCAGGACCAGCTTCTGTCTGCCTAGGAATTTGTCTGCTGCTGCTATCATTATGAGTAACTTACATCATCTTTTTTATGTTATACTACTCTCCACTGTTTTTTTTTTAGACCTCTCAATTGTTTATTTTAATTATCTTAGCTTTTACAACAGATGTGTATCTGCATCTCTAAACATTTCCTCCAATATTTTCTTTGGCTTTTAGAACTTGCATTCACTGAAGCAAATATTTCTCATCCTCACTACTATCTTCAAAACTGATCCCTAACCTCTTCATCAGCTGTGGATTTTGCCTACTATTTCCTCAAGAAATTAGGGAACTCAGGGTCTAAATGGAATTGCCCCAAATATTTCTCCTATTTCCTAAACCCAGTTGTATTAGTCTGTTTTTACATTGCTGATAAAAACATACCTGAACTGGGAAGAAAAGGAGTTTTAATTTGACTTACAGTTCCACATGGCTAGGGAGATCTCATAATCATGGTGGAGGGTGAAAGGCACTTCTTACATGGCAGCAGCAAGAGAGAATGATGAGGAAGCAAAAGTGGAAACCCCTGATAAACCTATCATATCTCATAAGACTTATTCACTATTATGAGAATAGCACAGGAAAGACCTTCCCCCATGATTCAATTACCTTCCCCTGGGTCCCTCCCGCAACACGTGGGAATTCTGGGAGATATAATCCCAGTTGAGATTTGGGTGGGGCACAGCCAAACCATATCACCAGTCTTAGAAGACAAGGGGCTCTCCCTCTGCTCAAGGCCAATGCTGTGGATCTGATCTATCTCATAAATTACCTCCTTTCTCTCTCTCTCCCCACTGGATCTGTGCCCTTGTACTATAAGCATGCTAAAGTCTCTTCCTTCGTAAAGAAAAATAAATACATTATTAACAAATAATCCTCTTCTGGCCTGGAGTAAGAGCCCTCTTTTCTGGGCCCAAAGTAGATGAAACATGCCAATTCTATTTTCATGATTAATAATCACTCCCAAATTTACTGACATATGGTTTTAGTTATCAATACTCCACTAAAACTTTTTCTAAAAATCACTGAAGCACACATTTAAAATTGAATTGAATCAATTCATTTTTTTTCCTATTCTCCTCTTACTATACTGAACACTGTTTGCCACTCACTCCTACCTGAAAAACTCTGTTCTCTTAGCTTCTATTGTTCTTGAACTCCTAACCATTCTTTTTCATTTTTTTGTAAGTCCTTTCTCCTTGACCAACCTGTCAAATATGAAGTGCAATATGTTAGCCATTGCTGTTTCTTTAGGCCTACGTAGTATTTAAAAGGGACTCGAAATAATTCTAAATATTTTAAAATTGTTCGATTTTACATAAAAAAATTGGACTTTACAATTCCTCTTGAGAAATCAGAATATATGTTAGTAACACGTTGTACACATACCCCATGCAAAATTGGTAGAACTGTGTAAGCACTGCCTCAATACACAAGCCATGCACTACTTCTTATTAATTTTAACTTGCAACCAGCCTACTCCACTCCTTTATATCACTTGCCTTATCTTATAAATCAGAGAACTCTAAACATTTTGATTACACAGCCCTGCAGTAAAAATGTTTCAGCATTGATTTCCATATATGTACAATTTTACATATAAATTATATTCCAATACATTTTTAATTTCTAGAAGTTCTCTTCTATTCTTTCACATATCTTCTATTTTCACTCTTGAGATTTTCACTTATTTTCTTCTATTATTTTTATGTTTCTTTAATGTTTTTGATAATTTCTTACATACTTTCTTCAATTGTTTTATTATCTGACGTTCTTGGACAATCTAATCCTTCTGCTTATATCTGCTGACTTTCTGTCATGACTGAATATTTTTTCATGAGATATATGACTTTGATTTTTAAGTACATCTCCAGTGAGACATTTTCTATAAAATCTTATAAAACTTAAGTGGACAACATGCCTCTCCAAAGCCTGGCCTTTGCTTCTACCAGAGTTCCAAACATATAGGTGGCCTGAGACAAACTTTTTATGCTGCTTTCTTGTCTTGGGAGATTCCATGATTACTAGGTAGTAAAAAGTCCAGACAACGTCAGATCATAGACCTTTTGTATTGGGTGGTCTGTGGTTAGAAATTTTCAGGGACAAATTTCTATTTTCTTCTAATACACAGGTTTTAAGACAGACAAGTTCCATTATTATCTTTCTGGAATGCTGGTCATATTATTTTCAGTTCATTCTACACAAAGTCTTAATTTCATAGGTGGTGGCCTAGATTCCTGTCCGTACACAGGCATTCAATCACCTGCTCCAAACTTACAAATAGTTGGTCCACACCTGCACACCTGCTATCTTCCCTGCTTTTAAGAACTTGCCTAACTTTTTTTTTTTTTAACTTGAAGTGTTTTTTTTAGTTTCCAGGGGAATAGAGCTGTACATATAACTGGATATTTGTTTCATAACATCTAGCTTTTCCAGACTTCCTATAGAAAAAATCTTTTCATGTTATTTTGTCCACCATATGTGCAAAACCAGAAATCCATGTTTAAAAACTATATGTAGGCACTATGGTGCTAATAGATTATGTATCTTGTAAGCCATACACAAGATGAGAAATTTCAAAAGGATTCATAAACTTAAAAAATAACATGCCCATAGTATTTTGGCTTTTCTTAAAATTGTGTTTTATTGTTAGTAGCATAGATGAATATGTTTACTTTTAAAAATTCTGGTTTAAATCTTTCTGAAACAATGACTTAATCCAGTTTGTTTCAAAATGGCTGTCATAGCTGGAAAGGATACTACTAAAACTCTATAGATACAAGTGGGAGAAAGACACATTTAGTAAATTATCCTCCATTTCTTCTCAAAAATTATTCTAGGTATTATTTTTTAAGTTTCATTGTAAATGTCTGTCTTGTTTGATATAAAACAGTTCTTCTTGCGAAGGCTTCGGTAATACTTAGTAAGACTATTCTTTTGGAATATTTTCTAAAAGGAGCTTAAAAATTCGGCTTTCAATTTTTTAAAGCATTCATGTATGAACATTTTTATTTACAAATCATATAATAAAGAAAATATTTCCAAACTTCCTCAATGCACTTTCCATAGTACAAGTTTCCTACTCATTGTTAAAGTATCATGTTTACCTTGAAGGGAGTATCTATTATTTTTTAATAATATGTGAAAATGCTCTTGACAACTACTTATAAAAGTCATCAATTTGAAGCTTTTTTAAAAAATAAAAACATTAAATGACACTATTTAAAAACTTTCTATTGTGGAAAATGCTAAACTTTCACAGAAATAGAGAATATAGAATAAAGAACACTATTATATCTTTCCTTGTCTTTCATAACCTTGACACTTTCAAAGAGAACACGTCAACTGTTTTGCAGAATGTTTCTCAATCCGGCTTTTTGTGATGTTTTCTCATGATTAGATTAAGGTTTGGGATTTGAATGAAAAATACTACAGAGCCACAGTGGTCCTATGCCATTCTTGATGCATTGTATTAGGGTGTGCATGATGGTAAGTTTTATTACTGATAATATTAATCTTAATCACTTGTATAAGGTGGTATTTGCCAGATTTTTCTACTGTAAAGTTAACTATGATAAATGCTATTAAATGTGTTTTTGGCATCTTTGGAGATGATATCTTTTCCTTTTGCTCTATTAAATGATAATTTATATTAATGGATTTCCTGATATTGAATTACCTTTATACTTGAAATAAACTTCACAGGGTCATGATGCAATAGCACATAACAGTGTATTTGCTGACAAGAGAATATATAAATGTCCTACTTTAGTAGTTGATGACAAATTGTTTCCAAGTAGAGTAGTTATACACATCCCAAGGATAGATGAGAATTCCTGTTAACCCATATTCAAGCCAATATCAGAATTGTTCAACTTTTAATTTTTCCAATGAGTAGGAAATTTGTATGTGTAAAAAATATATAGATACAGTTTTAATTTAAATTCTGATTACTAACCAGGTGGAACACTTTTTTCCATATGATTAAGAATCTACAGTGTTTCTTCTTCCGTGAAATGCCTGTTCATGCTTTGCCCAATTTTTTACTGGGTTGTTTGTCTTTTTCTTAATGACTAATGGATATTAATTCTCCCTATCTGTTTAATGAATACATTTCCTTAGCTTGTCTTTTTTTTTTTTTTTTTTTTTTTTTATCTTTTGGAGACAGAGGCTTACTCTGTTGCCAGGCTAGAGTGCAGTGGCGTGATCTTGGCTCACTGCAACCTCCATCTCCTGGGTTCAACTGATTCTCCTGCCTCAGCCTCTCAAGTAGCTGGAATTACAGACACCCGCCACCATGCCCAGCTAGTTTTTGTATTTTTAGTAGAGACAGGGTTTCACCATGTTGGCCAGGCTGGTCTCAAACTCCTGACCTCAGGTGATCCACCCGCCTCGGCCTCCCAAGGTGCTGGGATTACAGGCATCAGCCACCACAGTCAGCCTTCAATAGCTCTTTTTAAGTACTTTGCCATAAGACAACTAGAAAATATTTTTTTTTTTAGTACAATATGTTTTTAAGGTCAATTTTATCTCATGAGGTAGGATTATCATTATTTAAAGTAATATATTCTAGCAACCCACTTTAAAAAAACACTGCTTTTGTAGAACAAGCTGCAAACACACGAATAAGCCCAGTTCCACTGTCAATTCCTCATTATTGTAGAATGCTCTCTCTTCTCTCAAGTTATGTGATGTGGCACACCTGACATCTGATCTAAGGACCAGATGAGTAGGATGGGACAACCTTCACGTTTACTATTAATGACATTTAACTTAATCATATAACTACCTGCAAAAAACTCTTCTGTAGATCATAAGGGTCCTTACTGAACTTGGCTGGCCATCAGTGCCATGCCAGGCTATCTAAAAGTGATCCTATATTACCTTCTCAGTCTCTTCTCCCATCTTTACCAGTTTTAGAATCTCACAATCTTCCAAAAGCCTCATGCCAGTCAACAATATATTTTTCTTGGGTAATTTCTTGTCTCTAGAATCCTCTTTCCTCCTCGCTTTACCACACTTGCCCCTCCTCATTCTGCAACACATAGTTCAGTCATTGTTGCCTCTGGGAAATCTACAAATTATTAAACTCTAAACACATTTTTGCAGTTGTCTTTTTCCCTTATCAGACTGTAAGATCCTAGAGGGCCAGGCTTGTGTTTTATTGATGGTTTCAAATCCAGATGCCAGCATAATCCTGGTATGTAAAAAAGTACGTATTTAATAAATGTTTCCTGAATGAAATTGAATCAAACTTGACACTTAGTAAAGGTTGGTGGATATGATTTTATTTGATATGACGGCTTTTATGAAACCACCAATTGACTGGGGAAAAAAAAACGCCCCTCAAATAAGGAATATTTCTGGCATTCCTTTCAGTGAACATTTGTCTTTAATTGACTAATGTAAAGCCTTCTTTTAGTTAGTTATTTGCTCCAGAAAAGGCAAGTCCCTTGACAGCCAAATTCCCTTTAATTTCATTTTCTGAGTCGGGGGAAAAAAGAAAGCTTTTTATTTATGAACCTTACAAAACATTCTTATAACATCTGATGCACAAATATTGATCCAGGAAGGTGTTACCTCCTGTGGTTACCCTGTGGGTTTCCACTTTGAATTGCCAGGGAACTCACACTGAAATAGGAAAGTAATGTCATGTTATATGTCCTTTTTCTAATACTTAGTCTTGAAAGTCAAATATTTTTTAAGCTCACAATAACATGTACAGACATCTAACATCAGAAAAATAAAACAGTATAGTTTAAGAAAACTCCTGCCTTTTAAAAAAAAAAAAGTTTTTTAGTTGGCACAGAAAAAATTAGTTAATTAATCCATGAATAATAAGACTGAAATTTAAGTTGCAAGATAGTTGTATTTGTTCATAAAGAATTGTTGTAATGATTCGATGACTCATTATTTCCTCCCTACAAAACAGTACTTTGTTCTTAAAATCTGTGCATTTAAGCTGAGAAAAGAAGAATAATATTTATGTTCAGAGACAAGAAAAGAAATTGCAAGAGATTTAACTTTTTTATCTACTGCCAATATCCATTTGACAACTGCTTGGCCTCTGGCCAGTCACAATCGAACCCCCTAACAAGACTGTCAAACTACTTTAAATTTATTTCCAGATAAAAATCATGTTTTAATTTTTTTTTTAGTGACATTGAAAGAAAATTTAAGAAACATTCCAACCATAGTTATTATAAATTTAGATATATAATAGCTTCATCCTAGAATAAAAGGCTTTATCCAACCAAGTGATTTGAGACAATAAAGTATAGAATTCTATACATAATTTCAAAACTCCAGTTATATAAAAGTGTTAATGGAGTGAAGGAAAGAGAGGCAATAGTTTAGCAGCAACCAACAATATAACATGCCTGTCCATAAAAGAAATATTCAATTAATTGTTATTGATTAATTCATCCAGTAAACTCTCCCCTCACCTAAATGAAGGGGCCTGAATCTGGGGATGAATACTATAGGGAACAAATTTTGATTCAATATGAGAAAATGCCAATTACTGTGCCTGAGAAAGGATAGGCCTACTTTGAGAAGGGAGACGTCCATTCATTGGAAGAAAAAAACTGCTTGAGGTATAATCGCAGAATTCATCAGTTAAGGCAAAATATTGTATTCAAACTTTTTGTTTTTTAAATATCAGAACTACTTAAGTCAGTCTTAAATATTATAGATGACAACCCCAAAATTTTGTTTTTGTGTGTTATATCTATTGATATTTACCATATTATAAAATAAAATGGAAAAAATTTAAACTATATTACCTATTTATTTAAATAAAACAATAGTAAATATAAACATTTTTGAAGATGTATCTAAAGTTTTTAAAAAATTAGGGAGAAGAATGGCAGTTCTTCACATTTTTGCAAATCACTTTAATATCTAGTGTAATAGAAGAAATCTGGATTATCATACCTATTTCTGCAGTCTGTCAATTGCACTATTACATGTATGCAGTCTCTGGAAAAGTCCACAGCTCACTTACAAAGAAATGAAAGTTAAAGAGCAAATAACATCCTACTATTATTGTAAAAAATAGTTTTGTCCCCGAAAAGATCAATGTGACCTTAAAGGGTCTTGAGAAACAATGTACTTTAAAATCTAAAAGGTCTTTTAAGGTATCTGATTCTATTCAAAGCAAATCACCTTCCTACTTTCAGTTTCTAAACCACTATGATACATAATTATCTGATTTTTTTAAAAAATAGAATTAAATACAGAGATGAGTAACTTTGGTTGTTTTTTTTTAACCCTCATGGTTTTTATAATCTGTGGATTTAGCCATGAAAAGCAAAATACATATATAGGCATGCACATACGTATACCCATTTAAAGTTGATAAAGGGGATTATGTCTCAAAAAAAAAAAAAACCTTGGAGTTATAGTTCTGTCTCCAAAATGTGTTAGGAATATGACCTCAGAAAAGCCAGTTAATCTCAGTGACTGCATACCTCACATCATTCTTGGTAGGATTTTTAAAAAGATAATAATAAAGGACAATTTCATTGATTCATATTATTTTTGTGGTTTTTTTCAAATGTAATAATCTTTTTGTAATTTCTTAGCTAGGTTTGCCCTTTGCATCTTTGTTTCGTGTGTGTGTGTGTGTGTGTGTGTGTGTGTGCGTGTGTATTTCCAACTGGCCAGTAAATACCTGGACAGACAGTAGTATGGCCCTTAACTGTCTGGCACCAGGCCCAATTATACTTTATCGAAAGCCAAAGCATTACTTCTTATAAAAACTATCAGTAAAATGTAACGTAACGTTTTCTATTTTAACCGCGAGCTCTTGAAGGACAGAAACTTTGTCTATGTTGTATATGTTTGTATTCAAAATAACACCTCACACAGTATAGGTGCTAACAGCATGTTTGTTAAACGAATGAGTAAATAATTGGTAAATTAATAAAAAAATCAATCCTCAGATCTCTATATCTGTTAATTTCTGAAACTTTATCCTAAAATTTTCTAAATATAAATACTATTGTCAACTTCAAAATAGTATACCCTAGTAGTATTTCAAGTGTAAGAAGGAGTTTAAAGGATACCTGTTTTCTCGATTAAGAAATGCTCCCTGTAATAACCCTTATAAATGTCATCTTTTTTCCTGTTGAAAACTAAATAGTGAGAAACTCACTCCTCATGAAGCAGCTCATTCCACTTGATAAACTGATCTTTCTTATGCCGAAAATGTATCCCACCTGTTTCCTAATGCCTAAATTTTAAGTCCCTGTTTTTTTCAGCTCTGCAATCCTGAGTAGATAAAAGCATCACCAGCATAATCTCCGAGCACAAATTGACTCTCCTGAATCCATAAAAATAATTACTGCCTGACTATTTCTGATCTGTCTATGTTGCCTTTCTGTAACCACAACAGAGGCTGAGTGAGCTATTTATGAACTCGAGGTGAGACTCGCTTCCTGCACTATCCCGTCGCCATGACTGCGCACTCGACAGGTTTTCTCTATATTTCCATTCATTGCCAGCCACTATCATCCGTTGGAAAAACTGAATGCATGTAAATTTGAAGAAGAATGTGAAGAAATTGAAATTGATCTAGACAACATTTTTTTTAACTCTACCATGTGTCAGATATAGGCATAGTAGATAGGCAAAGGCATAGTTTGTGCTCTGAGCTATTTACTGGAAGAGACAGACATGTACAAAATAGAATTTTGTTTAAGTCAAAGCAGGCTTTCAGAAATAGTGTGGCAACTATAAACGAAATGAGTGCCAAAGACAAGAGCTTAATTCTGATTGGAAGGATGAGGAAGAAAAAAGTTAATGGATTGGAGAAACTGCTGGAATTAAGTATGAATGTCAAGAGAGTAGTGATATTGATTAAAGTAGGCATCTGTAAAATCATCCAGGTAATAAATCTAATCTATTCCTATCAATTTTCATCCCAATGGAACTTCTTGCATGATTTGGTGTGTTGACTTTCTCTTCCTTCCTATTTCTCGAAATATTTCTCCATTTTGACTCCCAAGTCACTTAATTACTCTTATCTCCCACCTCTTTTTTATAATAGCCATGATTGTCAACTCCTTCAATCCCTTAGGCAAAGGAATTTTCTTCCCTAAGTGGTCTCAGTGACATCACAGTTCCTTCAAATTCTGCTCTGTTTTTGAAGTATTTCTAGAATATTTTTAATTTCTTGAGTTGTCAAGGAATTGCCATGTGCAAATTGGCTAACATAAATTAAACAATATGGACCACAAAAAACTTAACAATAGTGAGTTTAAATACCAATGTTCTTAAATAATTTGCTATCTTTTTAAATAAATTATGAGAGACACATGTTTATCTCTACAATACCCTCACTCACTCACACTCTATGCCTTAATGAGTGAGACATAGTCTGCATATGAAGATTACACAGAACCCCTCAGCCTGCTTCATTTTGTACTGCATAATTTGCTTTATTTTCCTGAATATTTTAGGAAAGATTCATCAACACTCTGGGGATGTTGTACACATGTGTTTGGCATTTCTCACATGTACACCGTGTGGTGGCATCAATATTTCCTGCCCTCACAAAATGGATCTAAGTTGGAAGCTACAGCATTTTCCATGGCTTGCTCTTAACAGTCGTAGTCTATTGTACATAATGAGGATGCTATAAATGATTTAAGACTAAGTTAGTTTTATTTAAGGGAGCAGATGACGCTATGACATAGTCGAAACATCTTTCATATTTAACCACCTCTTCTTTTTGGTGTTCCGTGTTGCTAAATATATTTTCTAATCCTTCCTAATTCAATTAAATGAGTTAGCTGCCACCCAATTAGTCAACTACAGTCAAAAAGTCACAAACAGTCTTTTTGGGGTCTTCTGCTCATTAATAGAGCTCACATCTACCCAAATTATTAACAGAGATAGATCTCTAATGGCCACTTTCAGATAAAATAAAAATCATACAACAAATGACAGAAAACAATCTGGAAAAAATAATGTTCTGGAGTGGAATTAACAAATTGGGATTCAGTTCACTGCTACCAAGACACCAAAATGCCTGCTACTGTCCATGATCAGTTGTACACATGTGATTCTATCTAGCATCAATAGTTTGACAAATTGACTTTTTTTTCTGCATTTTCTCCTTTGCCTTATAGACAAAACAATTGACTCCTTTAGACCATATATAATTTAATATTTACTAATACAAATATAAAATGTGATCCTTAAAATGTTTTTAAAACAATAATTCAGTGTCAGTTACGTTTTTAAAAGTGAAGTTTTTAAAGTATTTTAATCATGATTTTAGTAGCAAAATTATTTGCTAAACAAGCAGAATTAACTCACTGCAAATAAAAATTTTAAAATTATATTTTTAATGTTGTCAGATTTGAAAAACTCACATTTTACCTGAGTAAATAAGTAATAAAGATGTCATTGTCTTTTTTTAATCATTGACAATTTTATATAGCAAAATAAGCCTCTATATGTATATCATAGAGATGTTTTAGTGTACTGTTTGTACTGTTTGATAATGAACACATCAATAATTTGGGTATAATAAAAAGTATAATTTTCAGAATAAAATAACTGTTTTAATCCTTCATAGATTTTCCAAAACCATGAAAAATAGCATAAATTCAATATGATGAAGTGAAACTTATTACCACAGAGTTGCTGAAGCTGAATGTATTGTTTCTGGAAATGGATTATTACTCTGCAGCCAAATAGATTTGATATTTGTATATATCTACCCAGTATAATATGAACTGGAAATTTAGCCAATATATGGTTTATTTGATCAAGTTAGACAACTAATTTAGAAAATGAAAGGTCTTTAGTGTCCTATTTCACTCGACTGTCTCCACTGATCCTATTATGGGAGAACTGCCAAATCTCTACTTCATTTCGGGTGATGGAGACAGCCCTAAGAAAAATGTATGGGAGTTATTTCGTTGTGAGTTTTTAATCTTTTAAGTTTTCCACTGAAACTTGTTTCATTAAAATGGGAGAAACCTGTCAGAGAGCTGTCTCTGTAGTTTGTATTATTCCTTTAGATTTGGTGATCTGCTTTATGTACAGAACTCCCCCCATGACGGGTTATTGTGCTTTCTAAGCCATACGCTTTTCTGGCCATGTTTTGAATTTGTGATGACATTGTTTTGGTTTAATTGACATCTAATGTATGTTTTAGATTAGTTTGATTCTCATTTAAGGTAACATTTAATAATAGTCTGAGAATTTGAAAGTTTTTCCACCACTCACATGCAGAATAGTTACTAGAGATGCCAATTTATGCCACACAAAAAAGCTATTTATTCCTTCAGTATCTGCTAATTTGGTCTTTAAAAAAAATGAATATTTTGACTGGAGGCAGAATCCATCCTTTTCCTTAGTGAAAAGCTATTTTCAAATTTTACCTTTGATCAAATTCACAAATACTTTAAAAAAATGGATCACTTTTTGTATGGTAATGTTATTCTCAGGAGTATAAATGTGATGCTTCCTTTTGTGACATTTTCTTTGGGAGTGGGACGTTGTGGCATGGCAAATGGAACTTTCTAGGCTTTTTGACTCCTTTATACTCATTTGCTTTCTATTGTTCAAGACTGGATTTAAAACTAAACTTGTCTTTTTTGGTACTTTTTTTCCGTAGGCAAAAATTCTGGGACTTTGAGATTCCAGAAGCATACAGGTTACGGTTAAAAGCATTTTTAGTTATAAAAAGTTTAAATATTAATAATAATTGGAATGGTTCTCAGTTTTGTAATCCTTAACTCTTGAGAGGAAAGTAAACTGGAATGCAGAGACTGATCTCAGATGATTAATTCAAGGTCACACAGGGGAGCAAGAATGGGAATTGTGTGTTCTTAAGGCTCTACTCATCTTAATGAGCCTTCTTAACAACTATGATTGATGGATTACACTTGTTAAACACTTAATATCTATAGTAAATTATCCCAGCACTTTGAATTTAGAATGGAATACAATAGATTTTAGTCATGGGCTCTATTTTTAATAAGATTTTAAGCTGATCAGTAAAGGAAGATGCACAGATATGTTTTTCCATTTAAGAACCATAAACTAAAGATTCATAGGATGCTAGACACTGTGCTGAAATTGAGGATGTGAAGATGGGTGAGACAAGGTATGACTCTTACCCTCAAAGACAGAAAAGTCTAGTTTAAGAGACAGTCATGTGATAAAAAATTATACTTAAAGAAACAGATAAGAGATAAGAGAAACTATGTTTAATAAGACAAAAAGTTAAAAAACACTATCTGTGAAAATAACATATTGTCCATATTACATCAAAATGCTATTTTATCTAGATGATAAATTTACTGATGGCCGGGGCTATACCTCACAATGCTTTCACATCTTCCATAGGATCTATAAAAGCATTATAGCGTATATAGCCGTCCTTGACATCTGCAATGGATGGTTCCAAATAACTTCAACAATTCCAAACTTGAAAATACTGTACTCTCTAGAGAACACATTTTCCACTAGAAGTTAGTTATAACAATGTCACACGTTTTCTAGCCAGTGACTCACTGTCATTCATATTCTGGTCTCCCAGATTAAAAAAAAAATCCACAACACAGAAAAAAATTCACATTTTATACACCAAATATCTCTCTTCTCATTTATGATAGTCAAAACTTGAATGCTATATTATCGAAGGTACAGATAGGAGATGGTCAGTGAACATTTGGTAAATAAACTGAGGTACTCCACAAAAGGCCACATGTTCAGGAATGATTTCCATAATTACGAGAAAAGTATAATTGAAAGTATGAAGCACGGAGTGATGTATTTCACTGGATTAGCATTTCTGACTAGTTTAAACATTTTTCTCCAATTTATTTCACTATTAAATTCCCTGAGATACTAGGCACTACATCTAAAAACATTACTTACACCTCCTGCCCTACCCTCTCAGAGTACTAGAGGCCCTGCTATTCTCAGGCCTGGTAAAAACAGATTCATTACCTGAACTCAAACCCAGCTTTGCCATTAGTTAACTCTGTGATCTTGGACGTGTAAAACTTAAAACTTCCTGAAATTTGTCTTCTTCTCTGAAAAATATAGACAGTAACACAGATCTTACAGGGTCGTTTTGAAGATTCTATGAGAGAACATGAAAAGCAAGCCCATAATGGGTGGTAATTTTTTCCTAATGCTCAGGCTATAGTGATATTCAGATGAATGTACTCAAGAAGTTTAGGTGTGTTATCCAGTTTAAACTGTATTTCACAATGTTCAAAAGTCATGTTGTTGTTTTCCTTTGACACAAGGTAGGTGCTCAATAAATTGTTTTGAATGAACAAATGAATAAATGAGTGTGGACTACTAAAGAAAAATCTTCAGATTACACCTGTAATCCCAGCAATTTAGGCGGCTGAGGTGGGCGGATCACTTGAGGCCAGGAGTTAAGAGAGGAGCCTGCCAACATGGTGAAACCCCGCCTCTATGAAAACATACAAAAATTACCTGGGCATGGTGGCGCGGGCGCATAATCCCAGCTACTCAGAGGCTGAGGCAGGAGAATCGCTTTAACCCAGGAGGTGGAGGTTGCAGTGAGCCAAGATCGTGCCACTACACTCCAGCCTGGGTGACAGAGGAAGACTCTGTCCCAGAAAAAAAAAAAAAAAGGAAATAAAAGAAAGAAAGCAAAAAAGAAAACTCTCAACAAAGTGACCTTTGTGTTCAGTATTAACCATCATGTTATTTTCCTTCAAACTACAAGAATAACAAATAGTATTATACAGAACCTCACAAAGTTTGGAGATAAATTGGATATATGTTATCCTTCAAAATGCAACCATCAAATTCTTAAATTTGGGTGATTTTGTATCCAATCAAATTGTGATCTAGTGAAGGGCAGTATTCTCCTCTAGAAAAGCTCATACTGTTTGATATGACACTAAAAATAGTCTCATTGCTTTGACTTTTCTTTGGAGCGTCCAATTATCCACTTAATCTTCACCACCTTATAAAAACCAGTAAGAAAAATCAGGATTTTTTTTTTTCCTAAGTACTTACCAGAGGGCAGTAAGGTGATAGTCATCTTATAAGATTATCTTGTTAGATTACATGGTCTAAACCTAACATCAGTCCTACAAACTTTAAGGATAAGAATCACAATCCCAAATTGACACATAGAGGGAAAAGATTCAGAGAAGTAAATCTGTGCTACTTCAGGAGGCAGAACTGAGAATCGACTTCATTTGTCCACTTCCATGGCCCATATACTTAGCACCACACTTCACTGTATTTTATAATCAAGACAAACAAGCTGGTGGATTTCTGGTTTCCAGAAATGTTTGCTTTAGAAGGCAACCCTCTCTGTGATAGTACTGCAAGTATGGTGGCTCATTATAACTGCACAAGGTTCTTGCTATGAACTTTACAACTTAGTGCTCTCACAGTGATAATGACTATTATCCATGATGGGGTGTTTGTTTAACTAGTTTTGTTAAAACTGAAAGGCCAAGGGTTATAATTTAATGCTGTCTATTTCTAAGACAACTGTGAGAAGAAAAAGAAAATCTGTTTCAAATACAAACCTGAATGAATTAGAAGAGACTAAATTAAATATATTTACTACCCCATCTTGGATGAGGTCATTCCCAGAGAAATTGTTGAAAAAGAAACAATTTAATATCTAACTTCAGATGATATGCTAATTATTTTTTCCTGTTTTTAGAGCATACTTAGGGAAGGGGAAAAAAGTTTATAAATCCTCAAGTGACCAAATAGAGGTTAGTGTTTTCAAATATTAATAGCAACTAGAAAAATATGACATCACCGTGTAGCACAGTTGATGTGCAAACTTCAGCATCACACTTAAAAAGCACAGAACTAAAATATGAACGTTTCCATGCTCTCAAACTAAGTAGTCATGTGTCTTATCTCAAAACCCAGTTACATGCAGCTTTCCGCTGTACTGATTGGGGAGGACAACAAAGCTGAAGGAATTTCCTGAATAAGAAAGAACAAATGGCAACTGTGTTATGATACCAAGAGTGAAAAATAATTATCTTAATAGGAACTTTGATATTGTGGAAAATGAAAAAGTAGCAGGCTTGCTTTGAGCATGTTTGTGAAACTTTATTTGAATTAGTAATTTCCTGGCATTCTGCTAACATAGGTGGCATTTGCCTATACAACATTTTAAATGTCATTACAGTGCTTCACACAAGGCATTAAACATAGAGTGCCCTCAACCCATAATTTTTAAATAAATAAAAGGATAAAAACACAAATACAGTGAACTTTTCTTATTTTCTACTAAAATTACATTTCAGACTATGTTATATGGTTCTGATAAGTTTTTTTTTTTTTTTCCCATGGGACATGTTTTGAATGTTTTGCTCTCTTTTGTGGCAGAAAAGGCCCATTTTGTTTTGTTTTGTTTTACTTCTGCAGTTTGCACATGTTGAACATCTGGATGTTACAGCATCAAAGTCAGTTGACACAGCAAGCCAATAGACACTATTTTTGCTCATAACCAAATGAGATGCATGATTGCCTTTTATCAAGCTTCTTCTTAACTCAGTGAGTAGAATTGATCTCTGATCAATAAATAACAAATCATCTGTTTCATAAATCAGACCTGTCAAAGCAAAGCAGCTCCTCATGCTGGGTATACTCTTCTGTGTTAGCTCAGGCCTGGTAGCATCTTGTTAGTAAAAAGGGCTCCTTATACTTTTGACAGTTGTTTGGATATTCCATTTCAGCGCTGTTCTACTTTACTAGCTATGTAGACTTACTATCTTTCCTCCCCCTTTCTTCCTTCCTCTATACCTCTGAGTTGAGACTCTCATCTCATGTAAGGGGGAAAAAAAACTGAAGTGGAGAAGAAGGAAAGAGCATAAATAGGTTTTCAGTTGCCAGTTTGATTTTCTTTAACTGAAACTTTTGCTAAAATCACTATTTTTTTTTCTACTACATACAGTTTCCTACCACTGAAATTACTGACATGAATCAAGTGGTAATAACTTGTAAATCCATCTTATAATTTTTTATTTAACTTTATTTCTCTGCAAATAATAACAACAGCTAACATTTATTAGTACCCTTCTTGCCAATCACTATTGGCTTTCAAAACTAAATTCATTTTTTAAAATTCTCAAAATCTTTTGAAATAGGCCGGGGCCAGTGGCTCACACCTGTAATCCCAGCACTTTGGGAGGCCGAGGCAGGTGGATCACGAGGTCAGGGGATTGAGACCATCCTGGCTAACACGGTGAAACCCCGTCTCTACTAAAAATACAAAAAATTATCCAGGCATGGTGGCGGGTGCCTGTAATCCCAGCTACTCCGGAGGCTGAGGCAGGAGAAGGGCGAAACCCGGGAGGTGGAGCTTGCAGTGAGCCGAGATCATGCCACTGACTCCAGCCTGGGCGACAGAGCGAGACTCCACTTAAAAGATGAGAAACAGAGATTTACTTACTTGCTCAAGTTCATGTATGTAGCAATAGAATCCAGAAAGTCAAATTCCAGAACCAACACTCTAAATCATTGTTTCTGCATATCCACTCTGTGTATCTACTTAGAAAAGTCTTCCCTCCCATCCTTTCCATTGCAAACCTAATACTTCCTCCAATGCCCAGACTATTTCTTTAAGACATGATCCCACGCATTCTAGATTCATCCAATTTCCTTAGGTCTTTACAGATATGATATATGCCCAACTACATCTTATTTGCTCTGGAATTGTTCCCTAGTTTATTCAGGCGTGAATCCCAACATACACTGTACATTCTTTTTGGGCAAGAACCACATTTAACTTCTTCAGTAGCCCTGCAGCACCTGGAAGAAAGCAATTCATTACATTTATGATTAAAACGAATTTATGTGACATTTGTATTTCCTATTGCTGCTATGAAAGGCCTTGAATAAGTAGTTTGGCTTTAGAGTATGTGATTTCTAGAATACTTAGTGTTTTTTACTCTATATGGCAGGCTTTTCAAGTATTTCTGGACTAGAGTTATATTAATGAGTTACTAAATAAAATGATTTTAACAATATTAATTCAGTTGTTGAGAATGGAAGTTAATGAAGCACTCTACCCACATCGCTAAATTTCTGTTATGATGAGTGTTTGATATTATTCATCATGACTGAAGATTAGCTAAGCTTTTCCCTCTTTTCCCCTCCTTTCTAGTCATGGCATACATTTTTAAGTTTCATATTCAAATATTTTAGGGATGACAGTTGCATATCTTGTTTCCCTGCTTACTTATTCTAGACCACAAGTAAAACTCCTGCAAATATTCAGAAGGAAAGACAATCATTTCTTTTTTCTCCAGGGTGACCGTCTTTTGTTTTTCTTCTGTCTATTACATCTATATTCATTTCTCATTTCATTCTTCATTTCAGTTTTCTCTAAAACCCTTTCTTATAACACTTCCTTGCCAGATTTGAATATAAGTAGTGGATTTCCTATTAGTAATATCTGTCTATATATACATATATAGATATATAGCTATCTATATGTGCGTATATATATATTACAGTAGCGGTTAAGATCATGGACTTGAATCAGACTGCCTATTTAGCTGTGTGAATTTGAGTAAGTTGTTTAGCCTTATTTTGCTCAGTTTCCTTCCTAAAGTAAGGATTGTAATACCCACCTAATAGGATTGTAATGAGAATTAAGCAAGCTAATATTTTTAAAGCATTTACATCAGAAGATGACACATTGTAAGTGCTATAGAACTGTTTGCTAAATGAATAAGCGATGTTAACTTTGTATTGAGAATTTATTCAAAGCCTTCTATGCACTTATAATCTAAGCTTCATAATACCAGTACATAATGATAATATTGCTTTATATTTATTTCATAGTAAGTGACAAAGCATAAATCTAAGAAAAGACGTAGAAAAATTTCTGATTTCTCTCACTGTTGTTCCTCCACTCCAGTACTCTTACTGCACAACTAAAACACTATGTTTTTGAGAATATGCGGCAAATCATCTTTTCTTCATAGTTTTATCCATTCTTTTACATCAAAACAAGTAGTTAAGTTTGATAAGCCTGTGTTTATTTATCTTAGTGTGTTTATTGTGTATGAATCTGGATTCTCCCAATGTCCTATTTGAGTACAGAGCTCAGAAGGGCTTTGGGGTTAAACACTGTGTATTGGATGAACTCTGAGAGGCAGCTAATTGTACCTGGCATATGTTTCTTGTCTTTTTAGCTTTCTGGTTTTGGCATTATTGGGATTGTCTGTTATTTTTCTCTTGAATGTAATCCTTCTTTGGAGAACAACACAGCACAACTATTTCCTACTACTTTATTGTATTCTTTGAACTTAATTTACTTCTTATTAAATTTGGTTTCTGCCTCATTCACTCCATTCATTGACTTCCCAAGTAATAAGTCACTTTAAGCAACATTATATTCACTGTGCTTAGATAATCAAAATCAATAGTTGTCTTTCCTAAATCATAGAAGGTTTCAGGTATTTTTTTTTTTAATTTGGAAAACTTCAGAGTTAAAGTTGATCTCAAATAGCATTCACAGAGCAGTTCCACACAAATAACTCATGGCAGGTGCATAAATATTGGCTCTCTTCATCCAGTTCAATGTGCCAGAGCCCATTTTTCTTATCGCTTATAGTGATGCTTTTCGACTGAGCCAATTTGTTTAGCATGTCTTCATTTAGAGAGACTGAAATTTCCTCTCCCCCCCAATTGTCTGGGTCAATGTTTTTCAAAATAGAATCCTTGGCTTTTAAAAATTCACCTTATATGTATTACACATTTGTATCTACACTGAAAATTTTTAAAACACGTAAAGAACCCTAGTGAACTATAAAAGGGACATATTATTATCATATTCCAGTTGTTTCAGGATGGTACATTTAATGATTAGAAAGCCAGATTGGGAACACTTAAAAAAAAAAGTGTGAAAGTCTAGAATCTAATAAAGATGCCAGAGTTGGAATCCTGTTTGAAAAAGGCATATAATCAAACTGAGTCATTTGTTATTAGAACTAGAGGTCAAAGAAGGACAGTACAAAGATTTTTAAATTTTTCATCACTTTAAGCTTCTTTAAGGGGGTGGTATAAACCTTGTAACTTCCTTTCCTGGTACTTTAAAATTCCTTTTATATCCATATTTCTGCTTTTGCTCCTCACCACAAAGTCTCTAAGTTCACCTGATTTCTACTTTCATTATAGAAAAATGTCAAAATATCAAAAAGTTTAAAGAATAATTTAATAAATGCTGGGATGTCAACACCAAGCTTTATGAAATTGTAATGTTTGTCATATTTTCTTCCGTTTTTTTTCTTTTTTCTTTTTTTGAGACAGAATCTCACTCTTGTCGCACAGGCTGGAGTGCAGTGGTGTGATCTCGGCTCACTGCAACTTCTGCCTCCTGGGTTCAAGTGATTCTCCTGCCTTAACCTCCCGAGTAGCTGGGATCACAGGCATGTGCCATCACGCCCGGCTAATTTTTGTATTTTTAGTAGAGACAGGGTTTCACCATGTTGGCCAGGCTGGTCTGGAACTCCTGACCTCAGGAGATCCACCCGCCTCAGCCCCGCAGAGTGCTGGGATTACAGGCATTAGCCACCGTGCCCAGCCTCTCCAGATCTTTATAAGAGATAAAACATTACAGATATATTTGGAATCTATTATGTGTCTCTCTACAATCCATTTCCCTTTCTTCCTTCCTCTAACATTCTCATCATCCTGAATTTGTTGTACACCATTCCCATGTGTATGTTTGGACTTTTACCACACATTTGTGTAGCCATCATAAGGTATATTATTGATTTGCATGTGCTCAAGTTAAGATAAATTGTATCATAATTACATAAATGTGTTATTTCACAAATTGAGTTTTATTATTCAACATTTTATTTGTGAAACATCCATTTGGATATGTGTAGCTCTAATTTGTTCATTTTAATAGCTTTCTGATATTCAATTACATTCATTTACCACAGTTTACATATTCATTTTCCTGTTGTGAGATAATTCGTTACAATTTTGACCTTTGTATACAGTGTTATAAAAAATGTTCTTAATTGTGTTTCACTGTAGAAATACAACAGTGAAGTTTTTCTAGGAGTGGGGTTATTGGGTTGAAGTATATACCTTGGTTCTCCAGTAGATTGTCAAATTCCTCACTAATACGTCTCTGTCCATTTATATGTTTATTTTCTGGCTATGTAAGTTTGTGTTTCTTAACATCCACACCATCTTATCTTGTTATTTTCCAAGCTGGTGAATATAATATTGTCTTTTCTAAATTTGCATTATTCTAATTACAAGAGAAGTTGACCATATCTGTGAAATGCCCTTCCTTTCATCCTTTGCTCATTTCTTGATTGGATTTGTCTTTTGCTTTTGACTTGGAGAATTACTTTATATATTCTGGATATTATCCCTTGGCTGTTTATATAATTTGCAAATATTTTCTCCCAGGCTATACCTTTGTTTCTGGTGCATTAATAAATACAACATTTCCTCTTGTATTCATATATATCAATCTTTTCCTTTACAGCTTGTGAATGTAGTCAAATATATCCTCCCTTTTTGGCTTGTGGTTTCTGCATCCTGTTGCAAAATCATTCTCCATTACCAGTTTTTAAAACACTCTCCTAAGTTATTCTAAAAGTCTAAAATTTTGCTTTTTGCATTTACAAATAAGTTTATTTTTCTTGTATGGTATGTAGTACAGAAAATCAATCTCCAGAGCATTTATTTAATCATCAATGCTTTCTCCTCTGTTCCCTCCATCATATACCCAAATTTCATATGTGTGTGATTCTAGGTTCTTTTTAAAGTTCTACTGCTCTGGAACTGGGTTGACAGTAATTTCCTTATTTTGCTCAAGATTTTTATGTGCTCAAGATTTTATATGTGTGTGATTCTAGGTTCTTTTTCAAGTTCTACTTCTCTAGTCCTCTATCTAAGAAGAAATAACATACTGTTTTAATTACTAGACCTTAAATTTCTTAGCTACTTTTAAGTAACTCCCTTAACTTTATCATTATTATTATTATTATTATTAATGAAAATCTTTCTTGCTATTCATTTTTTCTTTTGGTATGAATTTTAGGATTGACATAAAATATCACAAAATAGCTATAGAAATTTTGATTGGGATTGCATTGAATTTATGGTCTAGTATCAACAAATTTGATGTAATTAGAGTATTTTGTTCTTCCACCCAATAACTTGGCATATCTCTTTACACATTTAGATTTTCCTTTATGTCTCTCTATAGTGTTTTATTTTATAAAGTAGAAATGTATTTTTAGAATTATTTTTGAAAGCCGTTTAAGTTTCATTTCTATTGTAAATGTTATTTTTTCTTTCACATTACCTATATATTTTTAAACAGTATAGGAATCTTATTGATTTGTGTTTGCAAAACTTGCCAGACTCACTTATTACATTTACTAAGTTGTCTATTCTCTTATATTTTCTTGGTAAAAAATCATATCAACTGAAAAATGTTTTTTTGTCTTCTTTTCTAATTATCACTATTTTTTTCCTTCTCTTCATTTATCATTTCAAGCGCTAGGACCTAGAAGCAGTGTTCACTAGAAATGGTGACAGTAATTTCCTTATCTTGCTCCAGGTTTTTATGTGGTTGCTTTTGAGTTTCATATTTATAGTATTAAAATAAAATTTTGGAGACCTGGGTCTTTAGAAGAGCTGGATAATCATTTCTGATAATAGCCTCCTTGGAATGGTTCTCATGAAGTTTGTGTGGTGACATCTTTGGTGTAGGGTGACTGGAAATGGTGGTCTTACCAAGGGCAATTGGAAATCTGTGTGATTATTTTCAATTATATTAAAAACTTGGAATTGTGTTAAGCTGTCAAGCCTCTAAAAATTTAGAGAAGTGGATATTAAAATAAAATTTTAGGTGGGTAATGATGAATGCTTACAAGCTTAAGTGACTCGGCTGTGGGCATGTTCAAATTTTGAGACAAACTCAGAAAACTGTTCTCAACTCAAACCCTGCTACAACAGAGGCCAGAACTATACTTTACCACAAATATGCCTGCCACATAAGTGACTTTCTCTTTGCTACATAATTGTAAGTAATTAAAAGGTCATCCTTGTCTCCCAAAACTGGGCAATCACTTTTGTTTCATGGTCTTTTACCCAATCTCTTCTGCAGATCAGTAGTAGATAAATCATACTCTCTCAAAAGTTCAATTGAAGATAATTTATGATATCAAAGAGACTTCAAATTTCTTCATATTATCTCGTTTTTAAAATATTCTTATTCAAAAGGATATACAGATTAAAAGAAAATGGGTGCCTGTAGTTCTTGCTTTATCTATAGAGCATTCTTGTAAATTTACTGAACTTAAAAGTTTATTCCTTTTTCTATCAGATTAGTCTTTTCATCTTATGCCTTTCAACCCATTTTTCAGTATTTAACTCTGTAATTAGTACTTTATTACATTTAACATATCTGTCAAATTGGGCTACTTACTATTCTACAAATAATTCCTATGTTTAGCAGTCTCCAAAATCTTAAAATCCTAAGTTCCTCACACCCCTTGGAATGGTTTTGCCTTCCTTATCTGCCTGTTAAAATTTATCGATCTTACAAAATCCTATGAAATACTACTCCCTTAAGGAAAATATTGCATTCTCATAGAATTACCCCATAATGCCCTTCCATTAGCCCTTTATTTGTATTTCACTAAATTTCCTATTCATTTTTATGGAGTGTTGATTATTGGGTATATTTTTACTCTTTGCTAATAGGAGAAAGAACTCAACTCACATAGGGACCGCTTGTTCAGAGCAACTACACCGTGTGTGTGTGTGTGTGTGTGTGTGTGTGTAACCACTTTATTGAGATAATTCATGTAACATAAAATTAATTTAATGGGCTTTTTAAGAATATATCCAGAGTTGTGCAATCATTGTGAAATCTAACTTTAGAACATTTACTACCCCAAAAAAGAAACTCTATACCTATTGGCAGTCATTCCCCATCTTCCCAATCCCTAGACCCCAGGTAACTACAAACCCACTTTCTGATGTAGGAGGGTGTTGTTTAATTTTCATGCCCTTTGTAAATTTCCCAGATTTCCTTCTATTAGTGATTTCTAGTTTAATTCCACTGTGTTCAACGAATATACTCTACATGACTTCAGTTCTTTTACATTTATTGAGGCTTGTTTTATGGTCAAATGTATGCTCATTCCTGGAAAATATTTAACGTGCACTTAGAAGAATGTATATTCTTCTTTTGCTGGGTGGATTATTCTGTAGATGTTTGTTAGGTGACCTTGTGTATAACATCTTTGTTGATTTTCTGTCTAAGTTGTATTATTCATTATTGAAAATGAGACATTTAATTCTTCAAAAACTACTGTTAATTTTTGTATTTTTCTTTTCTATCTAGTCAGTTATTTGCTTCAAATATTTTGGGGCTCTATTGAGATGTATATGATAAATTAATCCTTTTATTATTATAAATTTCCCTCTTTGTCATTATTAAATATTTTCATCTATTTTGTTTTTTATTTGTTTAGCCATTCCAGCTCTCTTTGGTTAGTGTTTGCATGGTATATATTTTTGAATTTTTTATTTTCAACTTTTTAATTTTTTCAATCTAAAGTATGTTTATTGTAGACAGTAATGGATCATGTGTTTTGTTCATTCTGCCAATGTTGTTTTAATTGTAGTGTTTAATACATTTAAATTTAATATAGTTACTGATAAGTTTAGATTCACATCTATTATTTTGCTATTTGCTTTCAACATTTGATATATCTCTATCTATTTCTCCATTACTTCTTTATTTTGTGTTCAGTAGATGTTTTATATTATGCCATTTAAATTACTTTATTTTTTTTTACTATATATTTTTATTTACTGTCTTCATGGTTGCCTGGGGATTAAGTTAGCATCTTAAAGTAAACTACTAGTACTAATGTATTTTCAATAGTATACAGAAACTCTGATCCCATCTCCTTCCTTTCTGCTATTATTGCCATATAAATTGCATCTTTATACATTAGGAGACCATCAACATACTTTTATAACTATTACTTGTATTATACTTGCATTTTAAATTAGGAGAAGAAAATAATTACAAACAAAAATGTATTTATACTCTTTTCCACATTTACCAATGTTGTTAACTGTATGGTGTTCCTTATCTTTGTGTGTGGATTTGAGTTACAATTTAGCCTAAAAAGTTTCTTTCAGAATTTCTCTTTAAACAGTTCTAGTTAGGACAAATTACCTGTATTTTTCTCATTTTAAAGAGTTTTTGCTGGATGTAGAATTCTTGGTTGCAAGTGTTTTTTTTAATGTTTAGAATATGGAATATGCCATTTTCTTGACTTATGACCTTTATATTTTCTGATGAGAAGTCAGCTATTAATCTTATTGAAGATCCTTTTTATGTAGTGTATCTTTTTTTTTTTCCTTTCTGCTTTCAACCTTTTCCATCTTTGGCACTGACAGTTTGACTATGATGTACCAAGGTGTGGATGTCCTTGAGTTTATCCTATTTGGAGTTTATTGAGCTTCTTAGAAATGTAGAATAATTTTTTTAAAAATCAAAGTTGAACATCAATGAATTTTTTTTAAAAAAACTATTTATTATACTTTTTAACTCCAGGACTTTTATTTGTTTCTTCTTTTATAATTTCTTTCCCTTTATTGTTTTACTATTTGGTGAGACATCACTGACATAATTTCTTTTAATTCTTTAGACACAGTTTATTTTAGTTCTTTGGTCATATTTATAATAGCTTATGTGAAGTCTTTGTGTAGTAAGTTGAACATATAAACCTATTCTGAGATAGTATATATGTATTTCTTTTTTTCCCATTGTATGGGCCATACATTCTTATTTCTTAATGAGTTTTATATTTTTTGCTTAAAAACTATATATTTTAAATATTTGAGATATTTTGATGTGATAACTCTAGAAATCATAACCTTCCCTGCCAACCAGGGTTTGATGCTGTGGCTGTTTTGTTGTTGTTAGTGCTGCTATTTTTTAGTTATTGACATTCTTGGAGTAACTGTATATAGTTTGGGTTCCCTGTAGTGTGCATTCACTTTAGTCTCTACTCAGTCATCTTAGCGATCAAGTAATTATTGGTCAGATTTTCTTAGTTGCCTTGAACCAATAGTCTTTCACCTTTTGTTGAGGAATTCTGTTTATTGAACCCTGTCATCAATGCTCAAGGGTTTTACAACCTCTTTATTCTTTACTTTTTGCTTGGGAAGGGCCTCAAAATCAGCCAGTGGTGAGAGATAGAGACTCCCTCCTTTCCTGAGCAACCATCCAGACCTGCATCTCTGCATAGACTTCTCGAACTCCAGGCATCTATCAGAACTTTGCAAAGCCCCTACGGACATCTTGTTCCCCAGATCTTTTAAAATTTTTAGTCAAGCTCTTATTTATCTAAACCGATAACTGCAGCCTTAGGCAGCTACAATGTTAAACAATTTTTGCTTAATATTTTCCACAAAGACTCTGGAGATAGGTCTTTTCCTATAGAGGTAGTTCCCAGACAGATCAAATAATGACAAACTGCTATGAATGGGGCTTTTCCAGGGGGCTGCCAGACAAGTCAAATAGTGACAATTCTCTATTGATGAACCTTTTTTTTGAGGTCCAAACCTGGTTTACTCGCTCTGATAATTGAACAGCTTCTGTTTTTCACGGATACTATGATTGCAAGGCTGCTAGTTTTTAAGAGGTCTGTAGAAGTAGGAAGAGGAAGAAGGGAATATGTAAAGTTGAAATGTTACAAATTCTATTGTTCTTACTAAGAATTAGCAGTTTTTCTTGAATAAACGTTTCTCAGATCTTTTTCAAGACTTTGGCTAATTTCTAGAATTTGAAAAAGTTATTTTTGGCAATGTTTTGTCAATGTTTCTGTTGCTTTTTTGGAGGGATGGGTTTGTGGAAGACCTCACTCCACTTCTGGAATCAGAAGTCCTATTTTCCCATCTCAGAGTTTTAACAGCACTAAAGATTTTGTTTAACTCTACCATCTATATTTGGAATGAACTACATTTAAAAGCATTTGTTCAGAGACTAATAATGCAAAGAAGTATAAAAGCATAGTAATAGCTTTTAGCAAACTTAATGTTCTATGGATATAAGTATGACCTAAATATAAATAGTAAAATATGAAAATAAGACACATATGCCAAGTCCACACACACACACACACACACGTCTTGTAAATTTAAGCTGGACTAACATGAATATTAGAGTTCAGGTTATACTAGCCCTTTACAGTAAAAAACCAACCAAGGTCAAAGATAAATTTAGAAGAAAATAAAGGTCACAGAACACCTGAGGGAAGTTATCACTTGGTTAGCACTGAAGCACTGCAGTGTTAATGTAAAGATGGCCATGTGTGGAACTTGTAACTATGGGTACTAAGACTCAGAAAATAATCATCCAAAATGAAAGCTTCAGAAGCAAAGTCTCTGACATTCTCCTGAGCTCCTGTCTCTTGCCCCTCATTCTCCCTTGAAGCAAGCGGTAGAAACTAGAATTCTTCTTTCCCAAGGCAAGTCATGGAAACCAAAACCCCTTTTCCCCAAAGCCAACTGTAAAGCCTAAAATTATTACTCTGACTTTCCCTCACCTTTCTTTGTAACAGCTGGCCATAAAGAAATTAGGACTGTCCTTCCAGAGGGGTCCTGCCCCATACACAAGAGGTAGGAATGTTATACAGAGAAGCCAAGAAGAATCTGAACAGACAGGCCTTGTTGGGTTCCCCACTCTATTTCCATTAGTTCATACACTTTGTCCAATCACATTTCTACAACAGCTGTCCCTGCTTTATAGAACCTAAACATAAAAATTGATAGTTTCCCCTGTATCTTTAGAGTCTCTATTCTGAAGTCTCCTCTGTCATGTAAAACTGTGATCAAATAAATTTGTTATGCTTTTCTCTTGTTAACCTGTCTTTTGTTATAGCCATAACCTTAATCATAGGGACAAAAGGAATTACCCTCTTTCTGCCCCAATACAGGCATTCTGAATTATTCTTGAGTTTATATAGTAGGTCATACAATTTCACCTCACACAGTTCCCTATTTCCAGTTTGTAACATAATAGTCACTGGGCAGCCCACAGAACATCAGGAAGTAAAGAAGCAATTTTTAATAGAAATCACAAAGGAATTTTGTTTCAGAACACAAGGCGTAGTTTTACCAATTAGGCTAGAATTCTGTTTCAATACTATTATTCTTAGATATAACATTGGAATATTCTGCTATAAGAAGTAATGAAGACACTACTATTAGTCATTTTAAAATAATTTGAACAACATCTCTGCTAATATTATTCTTGTTACAGACTAATGTGCTATATTCCTGGAGTCACCAGTACCTTGTTTATTACAAACTTCTCTTCTATCCAACACTAATTTTTTAAGCAATTATTTTCTAAACATAATGTTATATTTTAGCTTTCTTGGCAAATTGGCAGATAAAAACTTGTCTAAATTCATATTTTTCAAAGAATTAAAGGCCTAATATAGATTCAAAATTTTGTTTCAAATGGTCCCTTATTTGCAACTAATCAAAAATGATGCTAACAAATGACTGGTCTTTATCTTATCTGGGTAACTTAAACACCAGTTTTGCTAAGTTTAGGCACGTACTGATTCTTTGGTTTGAATTTATTTTCTTTATATCACAAGTCATTTGTGATCTTGAAAACATCTGGCAGTAGCTTTTAATTTTTATAGCTTTTAAGAGCTAATCATGTCAATGAAGTGACATGAATTTTATATAATTATAGAATTCAATTATTCAAAATTATAGAATTTTATAATTCAAGAGTTTATAGAGATCACATAATCTAATTTACTCATTTCTTCTATGAGATACTGCTGCCTGGAGAGCTTAAGAGATTTGCCCAAGGGTACATAGTGCATACAATTTCCAGGCTAAAACCAATTCTTCTCTCTCTACTGCATCCTAATAATATACTTGTTTTTCAGAGTAATAATATCTATTTATTATTATTGAAATTGAAAAAGCTGAAAGCTAAACATTTAAATAATAGTAGTTTAGGTCCTTAAAGAGGCCTGGAATTATATTGGAAATAGTGGAAAGCTCTTAGTAAAATTGTGATAAAATAAGTTTTTTAATTATTAGGAACAAAGTGGGTTTCATCCTCATTAGATTGTATGACACTGTAGAGAATTTAAAAGATTGAAATGCTGTCTAGACAACTTTGACTTTTACTATGTGGTAGGCAGGATAATGAACCCCTAAAGGTATTGACACGTTAATCCCCAGGACCTATGTATATGTTCCCTTACATAACAAAAGAAAATTTTCAGATATGATTAAAATTAAGAAGCTTGGGATAGGGAGATTATTCTAGATTATCCAGGTGGTGGGCCCAATCCTTAAATGTGAGAAGCTTTTCTGGCAGAGAACTCGAGACATGGTGTGGCAAAGGAAGAACTTGACCTGATGTTGTTGGTTTTGAAGATGGAAGAAGAGGCCACAAACCAAGGCGGGTGCCTTCTAGAAGCCAGCAAAGGCAAGGTTAGGGATTCTCCCAGAGAGCCTCCAGAGAGGAATTAAGTTCTGTTGAGACCTATATCTTAGTGCATTAAGACCTGTGTTGAATTTCTGCCCTACCCAACTGTAAGATAATACATTTCTGCTGTTTTAGCCATAAGTTTGTGATGATTTCTTACAGTAGCAATAAAAAACTAATATATACCACAAATCCTCATTCTATCAACGTGGCAGGTACACTGACTGATTACATTACATTTATTCCAGATTTAATTCTATTCATCAAATAAGAAATATTTTATTTGAAACCAAATTTCAGAATAATGCAGGAAGAAAAAGCAGTGTGGTTACCGTTGGGACAGGTGTAATTTACAAATCTGTTAGCTTATATGGAACCAAGACAAACAAATAAAAAATAATGTGTACAGTTTGAGGTCATAATAGAACTACTCAAGTAATCATGAAGGCTCAGACAACATGAAGAAATGTAAACTTTCACCTTTTTACTCTATTTCAGTCTTTTATAGAAAGTTCCAATAAGCTAGGACTGAAAGAGTGAAAGCTTGAAGAAATAATTCTTGGCTTGTAGTGAGGACTGTGGCATGCCCTTGACCACATTCTCAGCAGACAGTTAAAGTCAAGAGCTGTGCACATGTCTTGCTCTGAACTTCTGATTCAGAGTGTGTTTTACAGGTGAGCAGGGTCACAGCAACATTCTTAACCTTTAAGAGGTGACATTTCGAAATGTTTGAGTATAAGGGTCACTTTGTTTAAAGGGCTAATTTGTGCATTTGAAATTAAAATGCTCATATTTTAATGAAAATTCATATTTCTTTCCATGAAGAGGTACAGAGTGAAGTTATGAAAGATGTGGATGTTCCAAAATTTTCTAACTTGAGGTTTCTCTCTCTCTTTTCTTGTTTAACAAGAGGAATGAACACAACTATATTGACTCATGCCCTAAGTGAATAGCTGTGTGGCACTTTTTGCCAAGCTATTGGCCTTCTTCAGTCTCTTTTGATCTATTTTTTCACCTCTCTTGTAACCTTTATGAACAGTTGAATGATGTGTGGAAATTGAATTCATCCCAAAATCAATGCCATTGAGTATGCTATGTGATCTCTCAAATACTATATAAAAAGGAGAAAATCTCAGAGTTTCATTACCACCAGCTGTATATGTTCTATTTAGTAATATTCAGATTGAATTCCATTTTCACTGCGAATGTGAATGCAGCTAAAAAGTTACGATTTAGCCTATCAACCTGCCAATTATTGCAGAAATGGGACAGTTTGCACTGCTTTTTTTCTAATATCTACAATAATACTTTACACATTCAGGTCATTTTTCATCAAGAGATCTCAGAGCTTTTTATAAATATTTATTTCCATATCTCACTCCCTGTCCAGTGACTTTAAAATTTGTAAACAACTGATGAAATTGAGACATTATTTTAATATTAGGATTCCATAGTGAGTTGGTGGACTGGGCTAAAATATAAAATGTCTCAATACTTTCATCTAAAGTATTGATACTTTGTCACAGAGAAAAGTGGTTTTTTAATTTTTTAAAAATTTTTGTGGGTACATAGTAGATGTATATATTTATGAAATACATGATATGTTTTGATACAGGCATGCAATGTCAAATAAGCACATCATGGAGAATGCACTATCAAATAGTAGGTCTTACTCATTTTTTCTATTTTCTTGGCACCCATTAATCATCCCCACCTCCCTCCCAACCCCCTACTACCCTTCCCAGCTTCTAGTAACCATCCTTCTACACTCTATTTCCATGATTTCAACTGTTTTGATTTTTAGTTACCAAAATAAGTGAGAACATGCCATATTTATCTTTCTGTTCCTGGCTTATTTCACGTCACATAATGATTTCCAGTTCTATCCATGTTGTTGCAAATTACTGAATATTATTATTTTTTATGGCTGAACAGTACTTCATTGTGTTTATGTACCACATTTTTTAATCCATTCATCTGCTGTTGGAAACTTAGGTTGCTGCTAAATCTTAGCTATTGTAAACAGTGCCATAACAAACATAGAAGTGCAGATATCTCTTTGACACACCGATTTCCTTTCTTTTAGCTATATGCCCAGCAGTGGGATTCCTGGATCATATGATAGCTTAGTTTTTAGTTTTTTGATGAACCTCCTAACTCTTCTCCATAGCGGTTGTACTAATTTACATTCTCACCAATGGGTTACAGGGGTTCCCTTTTCTCCACATCCTCATCAGCATTTGTTATTGCCTCTCTTTTTAAGTGGGGTGAAATGAAAACTCACTGTAGTTTTGATTTGCATTTCTTTGATTATCAGTGATGTTGAGCACCTTTTCATATGCCTGTTTGCCATTTGTGTGTTTTCTTTTGAGATATGTCTATTCAAATATTTTGCCCATTTTAAATATCAGATTATTAGATTTTTTCTCCATTGAGTTGTTTGAGCTCCTTATATATTCTAGTTATTAAACCCTTGTCAGAAGGGTAGTTTGCAAATATTTCCTCCCATTCTGTGGATTGTCTCTTCACTTTGTTGACTGTATCTTTTGCTGTGCAGAAACTTTATAACTTGATGTGATCCCATTTGTCCATGTTTGCTTTGGTTGCCTGTGCTTATGAGGTATTGCTCAAGAAATCTTTGCCCAGACCAATGTCTTGGAGATTTTCCCCAATGTTTTCTTGTAGCAGTTTCATAGTTTGAGATCTTAGATTTAAGTCTTTAATCCATTTTTATTTGAATTTTGTATATGGCAAGATATAGGAGTCTAGTTTCATTCTTTTGCATATGGATATACAGTTTGCCCAGCACCATTTATTGAGGAGACTTTGTTTTCTCCAGTGTATGTTCTTGTCACCTTTGTCAAAAATGAGTTTACTACAGGTGCATGGATTTGTTTCTTGGTTCTCTATTCTGTTCCATTTGTCTATGCCTCTGCCTTTAGGCCTGCACCATGCTGTTTTGTTAACTATAGTTCTGTAGTATAATTTGAAGTCAGCTAATGTGATTCCTCCAGTTGTGTTCTTTTTCTTAGGATAGCTTTGGCTATATTGGGTCTTTCGTGGTTCCATATGAATTTTAGGATTGGTTTTTCTATTTCTGTGAAGAATGTCATTGGTATTCTGACAGGGAGAGAAATGAGTTTTAAAGATTTGGTTGCTTATTTTTAAATTGTTTCCCTCTTTTATCTCTCTGCATAGTAGAAAGATTGAGTGGGCACTAGAATAGCATTGACCTACCCAAGTCAATTGGGCAAGAGGAACATGGCTGACATTCTAACATGGGTGAGATGTCAGCCATGAGATGGAGGCTGGCCAGGGTGCTAAGCAATTGGAAAGAGCCCTGTTTTTCATTTTTTTAAATTAAAACTGTCACTTTCCTTCCTCTCTCTCTCTAGCATTCTTCACATCTTTTATGATCTAAGGTCTAAAACTTGGATACAAGATAACTCAACCACAGCATGCACGTTCAGTGGCCTTGGTTATGTTCCCTGTATTTAACTTTTTCCCTACAGAGACATTGACCATTTAGATTTGCGCAATTACACACACACAAATGCTCAGATATATTTCTGTTTTTGAACTGCTGTTTAATTGTAGTCACAGAATGAAACTGTAGTTGAGAGCTTTCGTAGAGGAAGTTCAAATAAACATAAGCTATTGACTGGATTTCCCCCAAAACTTGTTTACCCCCAAAATTCACATTCATATAGTTTGGTGTATTTTTGTTTGTTTCTTTTTCTTTTTTTGCTTTGGCTTACTCAGAAGAGGAGCCCTATCAATATATGGAGCAAATGATATTGAATAGAAGTAGAAGATCACTATGGTTTTGCCTGCCTTTTACAGTTTTGGTTTTATTTCTTTGTTTTGTTTTGTTATAAATACATGCTTCTCTTTACTTCATTGGTCCTGGTTTGGTTTGGTAATGTTGTCATGATGAACAGCCTATCTGAGTTTTAAATAGAAATCATTCAATTATCATATTTGAGAATTTTTGCTTAATATTGGCCAAAAATAATTCTCGTGTTTTCCTTTATCCAAATTTGGTTTCTTAGAGAAACTATACCTTACAGAAAGTTGGTTTAGCATGTATTTATTCCCTGCTTATGCATTTTCATGGAGTCATCTATTTTCTAGGTACTGAAAAATGAATGGAACTCTGTTTTTGTTCTCCAGTGACTTATAGCAATCACCTGTTGATGACTAAGAAGATAAATATGTCAAGGCAATGAAATAAGCAAAATATTCTCCAAATTTTTTTCTTAAAATAAATTGGTAAGCCAGAATCCAGTGTTTCTTTTACTTGCACATGTGGAAAATTTCTCTCTCAAAGAGTATGAAGAAGGTATGCTAAGAACAAAGAATATTTCATACTTATTAAACGTAGTCAAATTCAAAATTCCTATATGTCACAGAATATTATGGAAGAGGTGCTAGTACATTTTTAAATGATTTAGTCACTAAACATATGGTGTTTTATTGGTCTCCTTACTGCACACACACAAGTTAATATTTTATGGAGTTCTAGTAAACTAATGGGCAAGCTTTCAAGGAATGGCGCAAGTGTGAGTACCCAAATACTTTCATTACCAAAATTGGAAAAGTTACTAAGAATGAAGGGTTTTACAACATCGGAGTCAAAGCAATCCAAATCTCCCATTAGAAACTGATCTAAAGTGAATTCCAATAAAAATGGGTAAATCAACTTACAGTGCTTATGCTTATCATCCTGTGTTAAATTGTGAAATCACACCTTGGGAACTAGAACTACCATATTTACCAGAATCTCTTTCATGATTTATTGTGATGACTTCATCATAAATATGTTTTCACTTATGTCGGGTAAAATGCCACTGGACAAAGGTGTGTAGCAAAATTTTTAGCTTTTCATTTCATGTCATAATATGCTTTTAGAAACGTGGCATGAAATCCAGAATTCTTTTTCTCTCAAATGCCTTTTAAAATAGGAAATTAAATAAATGAATCCACAGAAGAGAGTTTTTAAGATGCTATTAGTAGTCGCTAAATATGCAAATAATGCTTATGGTTTGAGAAGGTGGGTATCATTCACATGATTCTAATCAAAATAAGTCTCAATGATATGGAAGTCTCAGGTAAAGAAAACTCTTTTTAATCTAAATTATCTATGAACTTATATTACTTCTTGATTTCACTTGAGAACCTTTTGTGACTGAAAATATTATTATTAAAATAGAAAATGGGAACACAGGGTAGTGGTATGATTGCTCTGTGGTCTTCATTGCAAGGTTCTAGCAGTAAAAACTAAGTTTGATATTTTACCTATGAAAGACTTCAGGCTAAAATTTGAAAAATAGTCTTTTACTTTTCTACTAAGTATTCAATCCTACTAAAGAGACTTTGTATATATATTTATACATATGCTCAGAACTCCCTCCAAACCTTACAAATGTTGTAATGAGATTTCTTTAATATTTCTGCATTTGAATATCTGTTAGTGAATGTAAAAATGTACTTATGTTTAGAGTGATCTATTTCTACCGTATTACCAAAAATAAGTCTTGGCTTTGTCCACAATGAACATTGCAATATTTTTGTCTTTGTCACTCACTGGGGAAGGGTTTCTACCTGGTTTGCTTTGGAAAACTTGTATTAAAGAGGAAAGTCTTGGATGCAGGTTTTCCCAATATGTCATCATGTTCTTATTGTATTTATGAGTCTCTGAAAGTGAGTTGTGCTCCAGGATAAATGTTTTAGATCCTGGAAGAAAGTTGGAGCATTCTCAGTGTCACCGTCCAATCCTGGAAATGTGATTTTTACAACTTTGTCATTCATAATAAAGCTTACAAGAAATCTTCTGGAGAACATTAAGTATATATTACATGCCATGTTATCAGTGATCTATTTGTTTTCAATTTTGTTTTAACCTTTCAATTTAGCCAAAAAGTTTCCACATTTTATCTGCCTTACATGTTCCTCTTGTGACTGAGATACGGTCTTTAATTTTGCATCTGTATTTGCTAACACATACATGCTTATATCATGATTTCCATTCCACTGAAACTTTAAACATATTGAAGATAGTTCTATACTTTGTGGGGGAAATGCTTTAGCAGGAGTATAGACATGGATGCATTTTTCTCACATGAGAATTTCTCATGACCTACAAAGTACAGAGCAGTATAGGGCAGACTGAGAGAGATGGCACTGCCAATAAGCTAATCACTTTCTACTTTTTCAAACTGACATTTCTTAAATATTTACTCACCACCAATTTAGTGCAGTGGCTGAATTCTTTGTGAAGGATGTAGCAAAGGAGGACTAATGGTGAAACCTGCTCCCTTGACGACACGATTTAACCATGGACCCACATGTGCATATCCTATTCTTGAAAGCACTGAAAGTGGCTTTTCAAATATTTCTTCCAACAATTGCAATCATTGACAGTTTCTCTGTGACATAGAATTTTCTCCATCTCAGTATGTTCCCAGTGTTATCTTAGCATCAAATTAATATTTTAAAACTCTTATAAATTGGCTCATAGAGACAAGTGGCCAAATTTTTGTCTCTTAATTACCCTGTGGCAGTGTAACAAAGTTGGAAGACCATGTGCTTTAGAATCAGATACGTTGATGGAAAAACAAGTTCTACCACATAAAAGCTTAGAAAATTTCTAAACTTTTGTGGCCTTGTATTGGCACTTGTGGAAAAATCCTCAATAAGTTTTTATGGAGACATGACTCATCTTGGCAATTAATGACAAAGAAGAAGAGGTCTGGAACACCTTGGGTTTGTACAGAAAATAAAGCATTTTTAGAGTAATAGAAATAAGCGCAAGGTGAATAAACAAGAGTTAGTAGGAAAAAATAAGTCAAGCATTAAAATGAATGTCTGATGATAAACCAAATCAAGGAATATTTAGTCTTGGTGTAAATGTAATTTTAAAAATTTTACTTTCTCAAGTTAGAAATGAAGAATAGTATACTAAATATTGGAGAAAGGAGGAGAGTGTAGCATAACAGAATAAGCAAAAGGAGCTTTTGATTCACCAAGGTTATAGGGAAAGAAGGTCATGAATAAAATAAAACCTGGATTAAAACTGGTCAAATATTAGGCAAGTAAATTTAGTGAAAACAGCAATAACATTTACTCTAATGCTGTCATTTTCCCTAAAGAGCTACACAAATTGTTCCAAAGACCATGTTTAAATGAGTCATGGTCATGATAATCAATATTTTCATTAATTTTGTCAAAATAGATCTGTTATCTTTTTCCCAAGATCCCCAAGTGTTTCTGTTTTTCTACCTTAGTGAAAACAATTCAAATTTGGACCCATGGAACCCAAGATGCAGTTGAATATCAGCCAAGAGCTCAAGAGAGGCTCCTGGGACTCATGGGCATGCAGCTCAGTGGCCAGACACATTGTGAATTGACCATGGTAGAAGGCAATGTCCAAATGCTACGTCACTGGAAATGTTCATTCTTGCAGGCAGTTTTGGACCACTGGTAAATAAAATCATGAATTATTTGATGAAGAGGGAATGTTGGGAAAAGATATCTAAAGGTGACCATTTTTAGACAATGGGCTGAGGAACAGGTCGTAAATGAAATGAAGGGAGAAGTTAGAAAGCTGTATTGCAATATTTCAAGAAAACATTCAACTTAATGAACAGCATTAAATATAATTAAATGGTAATACTGTAAGAGTTTTAAATATTAAAGTACTGATTATCCTTAATGCCACCACATTGAGTTAAACTGCTATTAGTATTTTGGGTATATGTACATTTTTCCTTCAAGAAACAGGTCCTGGGGATCCTTCAGTGAACTAAACTTACATGACCAAGTATAATTCTAGGACAATAACCAAACAAGGAAATCTCAGTAAGTGCTTTGGAGGAACTTGATCAGAAACAGAGCCTCCATGGATTGTTCCTTGGAAGCCCGAGAAGGTCTCCATGAAGCCAAGACATAAATATGAGGAAGCCGGCCATACACAGGGGTAAGAGTCCAGGCAGCAAGATAGCAGTTAGTGCAGAGGTTTTAAGGATTATTAAAACCTAGCAATTAAAAAAAGCTTATGTGTCAGGAGTTTGTATAGATACATATTTTTCTAATCCATTATTGATAAGATAGACAATTCTGAGTACCAATATTATCAAATGGAATGAGGAAAGCTGTGGGGCCTAGGACAAGTAAATTAAAAACACAGAAGTTGGGTATAGTGGCTGACACCTGTAATCCCAACACTTTGGGAGGCTGAGACAGGAGAATTGCTTGAGCCCAGGAGGTTGAAGCTTCAGTGAGCCGTATTCATGCTACTGCACTCCAGCCTGGGTGACAGAGCAAGACTGTCTCAAAACAAAACCAAAAAACACATTTACAGATATAAAATGCATCTTCGTGTGATGATTCAATCAAAATAGTGTATGTAAAATGCAGTGACTGGCACTTAGCTTTCAATAAATCTAAGCTATTGTAACCCCCAAAATTCCTCTTTATGATACAAACCCTACAAACCACTTTTCAAGTTAAGATAGCATTGCAATACGTTAGTAATTTTGCTCTTAATTTCTGCATTTCCTTACTATTGATCAAAGGACAAATGTCCCTGAATATGCACATATATTTAGGTATACATTAACAGTTTGAAGCTTTAACCTGCACCCTTGATTCCTGAGCCTCCTTACTCTATTCTATTTTCTTTCTGGTAGTATTTGTAACTTTCTAACGTGCAGTATACATTTACTGTGTTACTGTGTCTGTCATTGTCTTTGTCATAGTCATGGTCTAGCTGGATTGTAAGCTTCATAAGGGATGAGATGCATGTTTCATTCACTGATGTATCACGAGTACCTACAACAGGGCCTGACATTTAGTATTGTACAGTATGTATTTGTTGAATGTAAAATAAACAATAGATGATAAAACTTAAAAAACTCAACGTTAAAAAGCAAGTAATCATTAGAAAATGGACAAAAAACATGAACAGATATTTCTCTGCAGAGAATATACAGATGGCAAATAAGCATATGAAAAGATCTTCAACAAAATTAAATCCTCAATGAGGACAACACACCTATCACAATGACCAAAATTAAAACATAGTGATAACATAACACTATTCAATTCTTGCTGGAAAGAATGCAGAGGGACTGGATCATTCATTCATTAGTGATGGAAATTTAAAATGTTAACACAACCCTGGAAAGCATTTTGGCAGTATCTAAAATACTAAATATGAAACTACAGTATGACCCAACAATTGCACTACTGGATATTTACCCCATAGAAATGAAAACTTATATTCACACAAATGCCTATATACAAATGTTTATAGAAGCTTACTTCATAATAGCCAAATACAGTAATAACCCAGATCTTCTTCAGCAAACAGAGAATCACTAAACAAATGGTGGAATATCCACATCATAGAATACTACTCAGCAATAAGGCTGAATGAACTATTGATACACACAACAATTTGGATAAATCTACAGAGAATTATGTTAAGTTCTACATAACATAACATAACATAACATAACATAACATAACATAACATAACATAACATAACAATTCTACAGAGAATTATGTTAAGAGAAAAAAGCCAATTCCAAAAAGTTACTTACAGTGTGGTTCCATTTATAAAGCAATATTGAAATGACTGAATTATAGTAATAAAAATAGATTAATGGGAGCCATGGGTTAAGGAAGGATTGGAAGTAGGTGTAGCTATAGAAGTGCAAAAGAGGAGTTCTTGTGATGATAGAAATACTCTGTGTTGTGATTGTATCGATATTAATATCCTGGTTACAATATTGTACTATAGTTGTACAAGATATTACCATTGGTAGAAACTGAGCAAATGGAGCAGGTGATTTCTCTGTATTATATCTTAAAATTGTATGTGAATCTACAATGATCTCAAAATGAAGTTTAATTTAAGAAGTGGACATGGAAAAAATTGACATGGAATGCATAATATTTTAAAAGGTAATATTTACATAGTATCTTCCATGATACAGACAATATTCTAAGTGCATTATACCAATTAACTCATTTAGTTCTGAAAACAATCCTAAGAGTCAGGTATCTCTTATTCTCTCACAATTAAATGATAAACTGAGTATTAAGTAATTTGCCTCAGGTCACAGAGCATTATATGATGAAACAAGTTTTGTTCTATTTAATTTCAAAGTTCAAAAAGAAAAGAGAACATAGCATGAACACATCATCTGGTTTCAATAATTATCACATTATGAACAGTCTTCTTTCATTCAAATCCCTATACTCTCCCCATCTTCTGGTTTATTTTGAAGCAAATTCCCCATATCATGTATTTTAATTATAAGTATTTTAGAATCCAACTCTATGAGATAAGGAGTCTTTTTAAAAATATAACCTCAAAGCCTTGACCACACCTAAAAAAATAAACAATAATTCCTTAATATTATCTAATATCCTGAACAGATGTTTTAACCCAGGCCATATGACTCCAGAATGATGTTTTAACCAATAGGTTTTCTCTGATGAAAGTACAGATCTAATACCTTATAGTCATCTAGAGCTAGGAAGAAAAATGAATGTTGGGTTTTAGAACACAATATTATGGCAAAGGATAGCCTTATACAAATACAAGGTTAACATATCATTTTATTGATAAGCTAGGGTATAATGCTGAATTTAAATCCATTTCTGCTCTGATCTTCGATTCCCTATGTGTTTAATTGGTGATGATTTTTCCCTAGTTAGCTTCAGATAGTCTTATTTAATAATTATTTCCCTTTCCAAGTGATCTCTTTGAGGTCTCTTTGTTGTCTGTCTTTTGAGGTTTCAAGCCACCCCCTAGTTATTGGTCTTGAAGCACATCACTCCAATATTTCATTTTTCTCTCAGATTTAGATCACTGTTAGGCCTCCTTATCTTATATGCTTAATAAATTAGTTAAGTGTCTGGTGTGCTTGTGCAAGGTAAGAGACTGACATTTTGAAAATTCATATCTTTTAAATTTTGGTTTGTACTCACATTTATACATTCAGAAATAGCACCATATTCTGAAACACCAACAATAAAAATACAGAAAAACTCTATACAGGTATGGTGTTTTAAGACATGATCTGTTTTTAAGAAAGTCAGAAAAAAAGTCTTTAAGGCATATTTCACAGCTACAGAAATTGAGGCTAAGAGTGTCAAAGAGAATGATTAGTTTCCTAGGTGACAAAATCCAGCAGTGTTGTGTTTTAAAACATATTCTTAAAAATATTAAACTGAAAAATGTTAATGGTGATTGGAAACATTAAAATACAGTTCAAAGAAGAATAAAAACTGGTACTTAAGATTTAGGTATGATTTATTAGAGCTATACTAAAAAGTGCAGAAACTTTCTAGAGTCTAATAATATAAAATATCTACTTCTATTAAAGCCAACCATTGAGCTGCACTTAAGAGTGCACTTTCTAGTTAGTCTTTCTATAAATAAAAGCTTTATTTATCAACAAATCATTGTCCAAAGGTGTGATTTGTATAACACATATATACTTGAAAATCACTTCATATTTTTTGCAAGCTATAAATTTAGATAAAGGAGACTACTATTTGTATTTAAGTAGTGAAGGAAGTAGTTAATTATTGGATTATGTTCCAGATAGATGTTAAAAAGATGGTAATACCATCTTTTTTTCAACAATTACCACTGAGATTTCTCTTTCTAGAGAGTTCATGAGACATAATCCATTGCTAATTGCTTTGATTATGACTTACCTAACCTCTAATACCCCATGACCTTTTCCAAGTTCATTTTCAATTTAATGAGCCAAACTAGTAAAGTTTACACTGTCCTTTTGATAAGGGTTTCTAGGATGTCGTTATGAATTAAATAATTTTTTGCTCAAACTCTGCTCCTTCATACTAAATGAGGTGGAAGAGCTGATGCCTTTTCCTTAAACTTTGCCATCTATTTACATAATTATGCCTCGAAATATGTTTATTTCTTTGAGGTTTTAAAACTTTCAAATACTAAGGTTTTTTGTTCTTTATTAATTTTATATTGCATTTCACTGCTAATATTATAAAGATCCACTGCTTAACAATTACTAGTTCAAATAACAACCAGAACTGACAGGTATAAAATTTACCCTCATACTTAAAAGAACTACAAAAACAGTATAAAATATATGAAACAATGAAGCCCAAGTCATTGGCATTAGGCAATTAATAACAATGATTCCCGAGACCTGAGAAACAGAGAAGGTGAATCCTAGGATTGCCTCACCTTGCTGCCTGGGGAAAGTTTTCAGATTGTGGTACAAAAAGAGGGGAATCTTGTGGTCTTCTCGAGTCAAGGAGACAACTGGAAATCCAAGGAAGACAAAACAGTGAGGTCACAGAGCAGAGTCTCAGAGATGAAAGAGCTGCACAGAGAAAGAACTCTGTAGATCTGCCGGGGGTCTTTCTGGAGGATTCAGTTGAGAGCTCATCAACACAATTATGTGAGGAAATTATCATAGGATGGAAAATGAACCACTGCAAAGAGAACACTGCTCAGAGATCCCACAGGGACAGGAATATTGTGTGTTCCCAACAGTCAGTATGGAAAACCTCATAATTCAAGAGGTATTGGTAAGAATACTAAGAATGGCCTTCCCTTCTAAATATGGAAGCTGGAGATTAACCCCATATTAAACACAGTTCCAGTCCCACATAACAAAGCTTCAATAAAAGACCTGAAAGGATCACACTGATTCCAAGTAGCTTAACCAAATCCCAAAACAAGGCTTGATAATATTTTTATGAATACTAGCAAGATAATATTCACAATGTCTGGTATCTAATCAAAGATAACAAGAAATGCAAAGAAGCAGAAAAATACTAACCATATGAAGGAGAATAATCAATCAATAAAATGTGGGGCAGCTACAAGTGGCCAGCAATATATGTATTGGAATCTTGAAGGAATTGAGGCAAGACATTTGCAGGAATAATGGTTAAAAAATTTCCAAATTGGAAGAAAAATATAAACTCAAGACCCAAGAGGCTCAACACAGCCCATGGAAAAATCATAGGGAGAAAGCTACACCAAGACACATCATTAAACAATTTCTTAAAACCTGTGATGAAAAGAAAATATTATATCTTAAAAGCAGATGGAGGAAAAAAATGTTATTTACAGAGAAAAAAGATAAGGATGACAGCTGATTTCTTGTCAGAAATAATGCAAGCTAGAAAAAAGTGGAGAAACATCTTCAAAGTATTGAATTAAAAGAAAACAAAAAAAAAACTGTCAACATAGAACTCTTTACAAGCAAAAATATCTTTCAAAAATAAAAATACATTTTTAGATGCACAAATGCAAAAAGAATTTTTCACCAGCAAATCCATGCTGCTACACGTGTTCAAGAAAATTTTCAAACCAAAGGAAACTGACCTAAGATAGAAACCTGGATCTGCACACAAATTTACTGAATTTCAGTAAATGTTGCCCTGCCTTCTCAATCTGTCTTATCCAAGTTGGGGTTACTTATTAAATTTACTAAACTGTATTGACTGTTTCAAGAATGTGTCATAGTGTATCAAAGACCAGCATTCTCTTTGTAAATTAATCATTACTACATCCATTATGCCCAACATAAATCCTAGTTCCTAACAGAAATCTAAAGCTTGCAGGTTATTCATCATCTTTCTTATATTTATTTGTTAATATCTTAACCAGTTGCAATCTGAAACATTGTGGAGCTCTTTTAACTTTTTACCTGCCATGAACCAACTCCCTATGTCATTAACCTATTCCTGAATAATCCCTTTACCTCTTGCTGTGATGAAATTTGTCTCTCTTCCAAGGATACTTACTCCCTTGTAGTACTCAGGTAGTGGAGGCTGCGTTTTCTTTCTTACTCAGGTATCCCTGGGCTGGTGATAAGTTCAGTGCTCAATTTGCTCATATCACATTATAGAAGATTCTGATATTAAATTATAAGGCTTGTTCCACTTAATGGTAACTTTCACATAACAGTTTTCAAGATCTCAATCGTAATGATTGGTGGTTGCAGTGCCTGCTCCATTCTTTTTATCTCTAACCTCACTGCTCCCACAGTCCACAGTGGATGATCCATCAAACCACTTGGCCTCTTATTACTTCCAAAAATTTTTACAACCACAAGACTCCTCCACTCACCCAGGGAATATTATAGTTTAGACAGGTGAATATCATTAATCAACAAAAATAAATGACAATAATTCAGGAAATAACCAGGAACACACTGGATGGTTCTCAAATGTTGCTCTTCTTAATAGTTCAAATTTATTTAATTTGTAGGGAATATCTGTTAGTCTTGCTCAGACTTTAAGTTTGAGATGTGGGCTACAATTTTGAAGTAGTTGTTACAAACCTATTATTTTCTCATAGTCCAAATTTTCTCACATTTGTAGGATAAAAATGTTTAGCTAATAAAAACTAATAAAATTTTTTTAATTAAGAAATATGTAACTGCAACATCTATAAAAGTAAGTACACCCTACACTAGAAATAAAATGCCAAATTAATAAGTCCTGTGTCTAAAAATGCTTCTCAGTGATTTTATTTCCTTATGTCTAAGGACAAAACAACTCAAGATTTACATTTCAATTATTTTCTAATTTTGCCCATGATTGTGTGTCCATGTGTAGGTATGAAATATTATCTTGGGAGCTATAAACATGGGTGTGTCCTCGTTATAGCTTTTTTATTTTTATATAAGAACACATATCTCTGTTTTACACTTGATTCTAAAGAGTACACATTATGTATGTATTTTAATTATAAATCACTAAAACACTATGTTGTTTTATTTTGGATTTTCCTGTGATTTTTTGTTTCTGTAATTTTTATGATTCATTTATTTTTATTTTATTATTTTTTTTTCTGAGATAGGGTCTCTCTATGTCACCCAGGCTTGAGTGCAGTAGCACAATCTTGGCTTACTGCAACCTCTGCCTTCCGGGTTCAAGTGATTCTCCCACCTCAGCCTCCTGAATAGTTGGGACTACAGACGTGGACCACTACGCCTGGCTAATTTGTAATTTTTGGTAGAGAAAAGGTTTCACCATGTTGGCCAGACTGGTCTTTAACTCCTGACTTCAAGTGATCTGCCCACCTCAGCTTCCTAAAATGCTGGGATTACAGGTGTGAGCCACCATGCCCAGACATGACTGTCTTTTTATCACAATGGTGCACTAGTCAAAGACTGGCCATCATCATCTTCACATCTCCATTCCTAGAACAATGATGTCAGATTCATATTTGTAAGTGTTTAAGAAATGCATGTTGTATAAAATGTAACTCAAACAACAACAGAAAGATATAGTATAAGTAAAAATAACAATAAAAAATCTATTTCTGACATTCAGGAAACATTTATTTTGGTTTAAAAAGAGTCACGATTCTGAAGTTCTTATTAGTAAACAAGTCATTAAATTTTAAGACTGAACATACTTTAGAAATCAAAATATGGCTGTGTTAAATGTTTAAGAGTAACGGAACTGAGATTTAAGTTTGGATTATGAATACAGATCTCAAAGAAGGAAGGATGTGGCCTAGAAAGATGACACCACAGTGTCAACCACACCAGGACTTTGTTTGATGCCAAGGCTGGTGTAAGGCAATGTAGGACATTGTCCCAGCAATCAGGAGAACTACAGTTAACTCGGTAAGCTCTGAGAGACCACATGCAAATTAATGATGCCATAATGAAGAGCTAGCTAAGAATATAAGACAACTAATGAGCAACGTAAAACTCAGCAAATGATTAAGTAGCAAGACTCCAAACTTAAGCAGTCTTCTGGTTTGAGATAATACAGTGGCCAGCTAATGTTATGTACTTCTTCCTCAGATGCTGTGGAGCATGGAGGTGTATTGTTTAGGCCTTTGGCTGTAGCTGCCAGATGCCACATCTGCATCTTTGAAATTGACTACAGGGTTCATGCTAAGGCCATGTTCTCACTGGCCATTTTTATAGGCCAATAGCTGAGCATGGAGTATGGTACTAGAGCCAGGCACTTCAACCCTTTAATGGGAAATCTTTGTTGTAGGATCTCCATCAGCCTGGACTCATCCAGGCTCAGAGCTGTGCTGCAGTGTGAGAGTCTTTCTTCCCAATCTCCTTTCTTACTTCTCTCTAACCCTTCACAGGTTAATAAATCTCTTGTAACTTTAATCTTGTCTTAATGTCTGCTTCTTACAGGACCTGAACAGACATAAATGCCTTTAAAATTCTGGTAACACATAGCCAAGTATGCAAATTTTTATGAGAAAGAAATTGAGGGGATCAACTGTCCAATTAGCGATTAAAACACAACAATACAACAAAACGTATAGAAGACAGAGAACAGATAGAAGTAGACACGGCCAAGAGTAAGAATGGACAGAACCATAGGAAGGAAGAATTTGGTTCATCCTCAGGATTCTCAAAGAGAGCAAGAGTGAGAGATAAGATGAAAAACAGAGATAAACACGTTCTTATGTAAAACCGTTGGCCCTCACCCTTACCCCATGTTCAAAACATTAGCCAGACAGGCATCACCTTTTCAATTAAATATATATTCATGTAACAGCACTCCTCAATATTTATTGTTACAGTAAATATTATGTTGAGCTGTATTAAATTGCTATTTTTGTAGGCCAAAGAAGTGAAATATTGTCCATTTCTTTTCGTTCAACAAGATAGTCAGAATAGTGTAAATAATGTATTAAGGGTCAACTTTTAGAAATAGCAGTTAGTCATAATTGAGAATAATATATATGACTATATGAATAATAATTTGTAAGATTATCTAACAGCATCACTTTAATTAACCTTGATGATATTAAAGTAAAAGTACAAGTGTCAAAATTTTAGAGTTGGCAGTCAAGGATGCCAGAAGATGGATAAGGCCATTTTTTCTATTTTTCAATATGCAACTTATGAAAGAGAAAATGGGACTGGGCGCAGTAGCTCACACCTGTAATCACAACACTTTGGGAGGTCGAGGCGGGAGGATTGCTTGAACCCGGGAGTTCAGGACCAGCCTGAGCAACCTGGTAAAACCCCATCTCTACAAAAAATAGAAAAATTAGCCTGGTGGAGTGGCTCACTCCTTAGTCCCAGCTGTTTGGGAGGCTGAGGAGGAAGGAGCCTGGGAGGTTGAGGCTGCAATGAGCAGAGATCATGACACTGCATGTCACCTCGGCAACAGAGTGAGACCCTGTCTCAAATAAATAAATAAATACGTAAATAAATAAAGGGGAAATAAAAGTAAGGTTATATAATTTACAGATGCAAAGGTAATGATAATGGGACTAGGAAATGATGACATGACTATATTGCTATAGGGCAGTAGAGAAAGAGTAAACAAGCAAATTCTCATCTATATAGTAGGAAATCAAAATATCAAAAATTGATAATCTAGAGAAAGAAATGTTAGACTATTACTTTAATTGTTGTTTCTCCATTGGAGTAATAACAGGAGAAAAGAGATTGGAGGTTAGGACTTGTTGGCTTTGTAGTATAAGACTAAGAAATGATCACTCATGCTGAAATCGTGCAAGGCAATTTTCATAATTGTGGGAAAAAATTAGATAATTTCATAATCTTTCAAAGGTTTCTCAAAAGATTAAAAAACTATTTTGGTCACTTACAAACGTTCAAAAAAATGAAAACAACCATGAAACTAATATTTATTTAGTATAATGTAATTAGAAACATCGAAAATTAAAGTGTTTTAATTTCTTTGCAAAAATGTTATCAGCAGTTGTTTGCATAATGCCCACCTTCTCTTCATATAGTCTACAGACCAAGTACCTTTTTCATGCCTTGGCAAATTGTCATACTCCTTTCTACATTTGGATCAATTTCCAACATTTTATCCTATGTGCTTTCAATGTCATAAAATATCTTTGAGAGTTTTTCAGTTTTTTTAGTTTTTGCTCATGTCACTTTGGACATCCACAACCTTTCGACAAAATCATTTATCTCATTTATGTCAACACATTTGCATTTACTAAATTCCTCTGGCTACATATCTAGCAACCCTCAAACAGCAGAAATGCCAATGTAATCAGCTATTTCTTCTATAACTCCATTTACATTCAATTTGAATTTCACTATCAGTTATATCACTTTGTCTTTCTTTGCTGCATATTCATTTCTCTCTTTTTCCTTCCTTCCCTCCCTCCCTCCTTCCCTCCCTCCCTCCCTCCCTCCCTCCCTTCCTTCCTTCCTTCCTTCTTTCCTTCCTTCCTTCCTTCCTTCCATCTTTCTCTTTTTAGAGATGGAGTCTTGCTCTGTGTCCCAGATTGGCCTCAAATTCCTGAGCTCAAGGTATTCTCCCATCTCAGCCTCCCTAGTAGCTGGAACTACAGGCATTTACCACTGAGTCTGCCTCTGTTTTTTGTTTTCTTTCTTTTTTTTCTTTCTTTCTTTCTTTCTTTCTTTCTTTCTTTCTTTCTTTCTTTCTTTCGTGTCCGTCTGTCTGTCTTTCTTTCTTTCTTTTTTCTTTCTTTCTTTCTTCTTTCTCTCTCTTTTTTTTTTCTTGAGGCAGGGTCCTCTTGACCAATTCGCTCTGTCAATTATCCATTTCTGTAAAATGTCATATGAGTTTTATCACTGGCAGACAAGGAGGCAGTAAAACTAAAGGTTGTAGTGTATGTATTTGAAGTGAATAACAGATGAGCAGTGATCAATCACAGACAGACTTTGAAAGAAGTGACATGATTAGTCACTGATCATAATGTGCATCTGTTACTTATGTAGCAATTTGGGGACTAAAGTTTCAACAGCCAATTTGGTATTTTATGCAATTACTTAATTAAAATATTGTGGTAACTGAAATTTGAACCATGTTGTTGAGGGAATGGCTTTATTCAACTAAATTTCTGGAACAGAATTGGTGTATTCTGGTAATGTGCAAACTGAAGAGTGCCTTTTAATCAAAGGTTTATTAATTGTCTTTTTCTTTATTGTATGTGTATTTGTTTATTTTTACTTCGTTTTCATTCGTTTTAAGTGCCATTGGGCAAAAACTATACCAGTTTTACTCATTAATGTAAAGCTAGTCCCTAGCACATCTGCATAAACATAGAATCCCAAATAGCTGTTGAACCAATGAATGAACAGAAAAAACAAATTCTGTGTTTTTAGGAGAGTTACCAGTTGGCCTCTATCTTCTTGGAGGCAATGCAATTCAGTTGCCAAGTGTGACTTCTAAAGTTAATTTACCACAGTGAAAATGAAATTCTGGATGAAAATCCCAGCTCTGCTATTTATTAGCTATGTAACCCTGGACAAGTCATCTAAATATCCTGTGCCCCAGTTTTCTCATCCATAAAAAGGGAATAATTGTAGTGCCTATTGTAGAGGATGCTGTAATTATTCAATGAGTTAATGTACATAAAACAACTTGACAATGCCAAAATAGTAACGACTATACAAATCGCAGTCATTATATAGAAGAAGACTGGGTTTTTGGAGAAATAGTATAAAATATTGCTACCCGTAGGTAGAGTCATTAATTATTTCCATGTGCAAAATATCTACTGAGAAATGATTAAAATACTAAGGAAAATCAAGCTGGTGTTTCTGGGATTTTGTGTATGTGGTGTGTTTGTGTGTGTGTGTGTGTATGCACGCGTGTGCACACACAGACGTGTGCAAAGAAAACTAGAGATATTTGCTTAACTTGATTGCATTATAAATGCCTTCCTAGAAATCAAAATCTGACATTGAATTTAACTAACATTCTTCCATTCTTTTAAAAAATATTTTCATGAGGAAGGTGTAAACTATTTCTTTCTTTGGTAATAGAAATTTATTCCAGAGTTTCCTGTTATAAAATAACCAAAATGGAAAGTAGCAATAAACATGTTTTCTTTTTTTTTTCTTTTTTTCTAAAGAGGAAGAAACAAATGTCAGGCTTCAGTTTTAATTAAGCAATTAACTAAAATGTTATATTAAAAAGACAAGAAAAAGTTCAATTGTGTAATTTAATTTTAATTGAACAAAATAAGTTAGTGAAGACTAGTTGCTGTTTCATGAATCTTTTCATAGAGAGTGAATGGATTTTGACAGCAGAGATGGGGAAACATTGAGTCTAATTCTATTTAATTAGCAGTGTCCAACCTTTCTCAACAGAAAAGCAATATTATTATTAAATAATACCAAAAGTACAGTGGATTTTGGCCCCAAATAATTAAGGTGTGACCTCTACAAATAAGTATTTTCCAACAGTGGATTCTGCATGCTTCCAGAAGAGTATGTTCAAAATTTTCAAAAAGTAATTACACTGCTTCTAGTTACTGCAGGATGAGAATAGCAGCATGGATCTCACCGACACATGCACAGATAAGATACACATTCTTTAAAAAAAATTAAAGATTTCAACATTGAGCCATATTTTGCCCATAATCAGCTATCTGTTTATTGTTTATATTCTTAGATAAAGCTTTTATCGAAATATAACTTACAGATTATAAGTATGTAGATTACTAAATATGCATGAAGTTAACATATGTTAAGTTATTAGTGCCAAGACCAAGAAAAAGAACCTTGCCCAGCCCAGGCACTATTGCTCCTTTCAAAAGAGCAATCAAGATGCTGATTTACATTTACTTGTAGATTATGCTTACTTGTATTTGAGGTTTATTTAAATAGAATTATACAGTATGTATTCTTTTGGATCTGCCATTTTTTTGCCCAAAATTTTGTTTATGAGATACTTCTACTATGTCATATGCATTCTAAATGATTCTTTACTACATTTTATTGTATTTGTGTACCACAATAAGTGTGTTTATTTTCATACTGATGAACATTTGCTTACTTCCTGGTTTGAAAGCTATTAGGATTGGTGCTGCTATGAACATACTTGTGCAAATCATTTGTGAACAAAGAATGGGTTTCTGTTGGATACATAGTTGGGAGTAGAACCACTGGCTATGCTTACATCCAGCTTTCTTTGAAACTTCCAGAGTTTTCAAATGCAACTATAACAACTTATATTTCTACTAGCAATGAGCATAAGTTCAGTTTTTCCACATTCTAGTGAACACTAAGAAGGAATCTCTCATTCTAACCATTCTGCTGGGTGTGTAAAAGTATTGCACTGCAGTTTTAATTTACATATTCCTGATGACTACTGAAGTTGAGCAGTTTTTCATGTTTACTGGCCTTGTGGATATTCTCTTTTGAGAAGCACCTGTTATAAGTATTTTTATCATTTTTATGAGATTATCTTCCTTTTTTATTAATTTGCAGAGGTGCTTCATATATTTTGGATATTTGTCCTTTGTCAGATATATGAGTGTATTCCAACTATTTTCTCTTACCCCTTGGCTTGACTTTCAACTGTCTTGATGGCATTTTCTGATGAATTAAAATTCTTAATTTTAATGTAATACAGTTTATAAAATTTTATTTTATTTTAGAGTCAGTAGTTTTGTGTATCTTGAAAAAAAATTTGTATGCCCAAAGTCACTCAGATGCATTCCTTCATTTCTTTCTGGAAGTTTTATTGCTTGAAGTATTGCATTGAAGTCAATCAATATACCTGGAATTGAGTTTTTTAATATGGTGTGAGAGAGGAGAGGTAAACATTTATTTTTCATCCACATGGAAAGCACACAGTGACCTTAGAAAATTCTAGAAAATTATCTGATGCCAAAGGATAGAGCCTCATCTTGAGGGAAAATTGCTAAGAACCAAATCCAAATACAGTAGAGAAGGAAACTTGGGAGTAAGGTAGAAAAAATTTTAGATAACTGAGGGGAGCTAATAGTGGTCCAGAGGAGATCAATTCTAGAAAGTATCTTAACAGAAGAATACGCAGTATAAAGAAGAAAGCACTATCTGGTGGTGCAAGTTCTAGGAAGCACAGCATTGAAACCAGAAAGCCTTTTTGACCCAGACATAGCTCTCAGAGATGGGACTACAGAGAGGCTATTTATTTTCTACTGTAGTTGGAACATTTAACATGAGACCTCTTAACAAATTTTTGAGTGTACAAAACAACATTGCTAACTTTAGGTATGACGTTGTATAACAGATGTCTAAAAATTATTTATTTTATATAACTGAAACTCTAAACTTATATATCCAACTGCCTACTTACATCTTTGCCTGGATATCGAATAGACATCTCAAATTGGAGTGGTTCAGAGTATTTCATTCTAAAATAGACCACATATTGATTATTTCAAGGTGAGGGCACTAGAGAAACAGCAGATGCAGGAAAAGCTCTCTGATCTTCCCCTTTCTACTTACAGCAAGGTCATAAAATTTCCCATGAGAAAGGTGCTCTCTCTGTACCAGGAAGAGAAGAACATTCTTATCACTAGAGACTGGAAGTTGAAGCCAAAATAGATATGAAGAATAAATCTACTAAAATAACTTATCATTTCATTTCCCCCATATATTTCTTAATCACTGTCCCACAATTTATTGCCCTCAGCTCAAACACCTTTGTCTTCTCACATTGTTAAAATTTATCATTTTCTACTTAAAAAGGCATATGAGCTTTTGACCCTAATGGCTTCTTTGGGTCTTCATTTTTCTTTTGAAGATTCCCCTCTGCAAGTAAAAATATTAAATAACCTCGCATATTTTTGTCTTGTTACTCTGTCTTATGTCACTTTAATTCTTAAGTCCAGTCACAAAAACTAAGAGGTAGAAAAAGTTTTTCCTCTCTCAGAGTTCATCATATTCAAAACTGAACACCTGCTCTACTGAATCCCACCCTACCTTTAGTCTTCCCTGTCTCCATTAACTGGAAATGACGTCTTCTATTTATTCAGGCCAAAAGCACTGAAGTCTTCCATCACTTCCTCTTTTCACTCATACGTGACAACCAATTTGTGGAGAAATTTAATGGCACTACCCTCATAACAAATCTAGAGTATGCCAACATTTTATCAAGTACACTGCTACCCAGCTGAGGTTGTTACATCACACACACTGCTACCCAGCTGAGGTCGTTACACCACATGCACCCTACCCAGCTGGGGTCATTACACCACCACATGCATTGCTGTTCCAGCTGAGGTCATAACGCCACATATACTGCTTCCCAGCTGAGGTTGTTACAGCACATGCACTGCTATTCCAACTGAACCACCATCATCTCCAGCCTGGATTACTGCAATGACCCCTACGTGGTCTCACTGCCTTTACCTTCACTACCCTCAACCTAATCTCAACTCAGCAGCCAAAAGAATCCTCCCCTTAAAACATGACTCAGATCATGTCACTCCTTTTGTTAAGACCCGCACATGGGTTTTCATTTCACTTAGAGCAAAAAACCAAAGCCATGGCCTGTCTGATTTCATCTCCTACTCCTCTCCTTGTCACTCCAGTTCTAGAAAAATGTGGTTGTAAAATGAAGAAGAAGGTAGTGTTAAAGTGCAATATTATAATTACACAGTACCTGATATTCATATTTTCAAACTCATGTAATCTTGTTTTCTTTATTTAACCAATAGGCACACATTTATATAATTGCTTGCCTTTTCTTTCTCCCATTATGCTAATTGCATCATAATACATTGAGTAATTTGGGGGTCAATTTCAGCCACTTAAGAGTTAGAAAGAAACTCAAAGTTGAAGACTGTAAAGTATATACAGTCTAAATAATTTAAATTTCTGATCATAGCCTATTTTTGATATCACAAGGATGACGTCTTGATCTGATAGGAAGGATAAGATAACAAGAGGGCCTAGACTAGTTTGTTTTACCTTTATCCCGCTTTCTAATGTCCTAAAATTGAAAAGATAATCCTAATATTTTCTCTTCTTCCCTCTAGCAAATTAGGATAGGCGTTCAGGGCTTTGGAAATTCTGCTAATGATATACTCAACTCTTCCTCTAAGTCAAGTTTAACATATAACAAGAAATCTCTCTCTTGGCATTTTGAATGTTGTGTGCCCATGAACTCTACCAAAATTCTACCTCCCAAATATTTTTTATTAATTTATGTTTATCCATAACTCTAAGCATAATGCTTAACATACACAATCACCAACAGGAACTAGATGTATCCCAAAATTACATGTAACAAAGGGAAAAAATGAGAGAAGACAATCATTGATGGCCTACAAAGACAGGAGAAGCGACAAAGAGGAATGGTGGTCAATTCAGTTATGTTTTCCCGAGAAGTTGTGCAAGCATCACTCTTATATTCTACTTAATAGTCATAATTTCAATCTAAAAATAGTACCAAGAGCAAACTGCATTACCATTACTGATGTTTCTTTTCTGCCACTTTCTTGACCTGACTTCCCTAGTTTACATCTAGCTACATCTTATCAATTTTCCTCTTGCTCTACACTGTTTAATGCCAAAGACCTGGAGTAGCCAGGTAAAATTAAAGCAAACATGGAAAATTTATATCCTCTGTCTTCAGATATGTAAAATTTCTACCCTCTGTCTTAACAGAAATAAAAAGGCTTTATTCCTTTTGCTCAGCTGAGGATGAAATAAAATATCTCAAAAAGTAAACTCCAAGGTTCTTGGTTTTCAAAAATGGAAAGAAGAATTGGAAGTTAATTTCCTTAAAACTCTCTATACTCTTTGTACCTCAGAAAGTCTGAATATACCCCAAGGTTACAAAAGTCCCAGTTTGAAAACCAATTAGAGAGAAATTGCAAATATCATTTTAACATGTAATTACTTTTTTCAGTGAAAGTTTTGAATTATCGACTTTGTGTATTGCTTATTTAACATATCAAATGTATGTTCTGTACTTTAAAAGCTATTTTCTAACAATGTTAAAAACTCTAGCATTCACTATTTAGTTTATTAACATTCACAGTTACAATAATTATCATTTATCTTATAGTACTAAATGTGTTAAAGAATTATTCTAAGTCGTAAATTTTTGTCTCTTTTAAATAAGCAGTCTTTAAAACTATAATCTCCCATTTTGGTACATCTGTAATTATTAAATAGTTGTGTCTTCTCCTTCTGTTCTTTCTTTGCCTTTATCTTTTTTCTTATTCCTCCTTCTCCACTTTGATAAAATTTTTGCTTTCAAGTTACAATGTTAGAAGGGTTGTTACATATTTTACTTTATATACAGTAAATAATCCTTTGAAAAGAGTAGCTGACTCTGCTTTAAAAATACATAATTTTATACTTATTAGACATATTCCTTAAAATTTATGAAATCAATTATTAAATGCTCTCTAAAGTTAAGTTTGGAATTAAACTATTATTTACGTTTCTAACTGTGTTGGGATTATGTTATTCAGTGCACAAGGGTAAAAAACAACTGATTTTACTAATGATGTATCTTGTTACCAGAATTATTTTCATCCTCAATTTTAACTATTTCCTTTCTATTCCACTGAATTTTGTATTAAAATTGCCATCATTAATTTGCTAAGTTTTTAAAATCTGAAATATCTTTACTTATACCCATTATTCCTTTATTGAATATTGTCCCAAATTGATTTGGGGGAATAGATCTCATATTGTTGTTTTAAAAAATATTTAGTAACTATTTTTTAAGAAAATATAAGGAAAATTAAAGTCTTCTGTAATATACTTTATGTAGTCACTTTTAATAGTTTAGTGCCTTTTCTTTGTATTTTCAAATTTTATCTATTTTTTTGCAATAATATGCCCTGTATAAATGTCTTTCAATTGGTATAGACATTTTAAGATCTATATAGTAATTGTCATATTGTTCTCCAGTTTTAAATGTTATTTATGTGCTTGTTTCCTATGTCATTATTGTTTTCTTTACCTTAAGTCTTTTCTGTATCGGTTAAAGGTAGCTTGTTTTGATATTTTATAGTTATTTGTAATGCAGATAAAATTGAAAACTAAAAAAAATTTTTTACACTTTTTGTTTCTCTTTCTCTTTCCATCCAGGTCAATTTCTTATATTTTGTAAATGTAATCGGGGATCAGAGGGTAAGATTTTAAATCATAAACAGTATTTCAAAAGAATTTTTATTGGTTTAAATTTTTTTACTATATTTACAATATTTTATACTTCTCTCTGTTTAACTGAATCTCAGTGTTAACCCATATTTCTTTTACTTTTTTAGAGAAAAAAGTTACCAAGTCTTGAGTTGTTTATTTTGATTCTTTTTCCCATTAGCTGAATTATATCTTTAAAAAAGTATTCTCAGCCCAGAGGATGAAAACAACGTGTTTCATGGATCTTGTTATCTGAGATTATTTTCCCATCACATTACTGTAAGAACAACCTTTTAATTATATATTTGAATCTGTCTGTAGAATTTCTATAGGAAATTATCCATTTAATTTCAGTGTTCAGAATTTCCCAAGGCTGGGCATGGTGGCTCACACCTGTAATTCCATCACTTTGGGAGGCAAAGGCAGGAGGATCTCTGGAAGCCAAGAGTTCAAGACCAGTCTGGGCAACAAAGGAAGACGCTGGCTCTAAAAAAAAAAAAAAAAAAAAAAAAATATATATATATATATATATATATATATATATATTATATTATATTATATTAGCCAGGCATGGTGGTGCATGCCTGCAGTCCCAGCTACTCCGAAGGCTGAGGAGGGAGGATTGCTTGAGCCCAGGAGTTTGAGGTTGCATTGAGCTATAATCATGCCACTGCACTGGAGCCCGGGCACCAGAGTAAGTTCCTATCTCTAAAAAAACAAAACAAAAACAGAAAGAATTTCCCAATAAAACTCTAAAATCAAAATTTTTGCCTGAGTATGTATAATGTTTTTCTTTTACCTTTGGTTAGATACGTATAGAGTTATTTTCTTTGTCTTTTAAGGTCTAAACTGCTATCAGATTATATCTAAATAATCACTGGATTTATTAATTTTGCCAATTGACACTAATTAATTTGAAAATTCAAAAGTTCTTATCTCTTGAAAGTTTTCTTCAATCATGTCCCTCAGTATTTCTTTTCATTTTATTCTGATTTCTTCTTCAGGAACATTAGTTTTTACAAATTGCAGTCATTTAGTCCCTTCTTGCTCATCTCAATCTGTTATCTTTTCTTCTATTATTTTCATATTTTCTGTTCTCTTTTCAATGTATCAAGAATTTCTGAAAATCATTTAATTTCAGAAGGATCATTTCCACAGTCTGCAAATATAGAATCAAGTTTTTAATGGGTTTCTAGATCTCTTTATTGGATTTCTTTTTATTGCTGTTGCTTATGTTAGACAAATTCGGTATAATTTTAAACTGTTTGCTCTTCCTTCATGCTTATAAAAATCACTTTTTTCATTAAATTTGAAGAAACTGATAGAAGAAACTATTTTCCTAAATTTCTTATATTGCCTGTAATGCAGAGAAACATAGAAATTTCTTTACATCTTCTGGATAATGCTTGATTCTTATATCCTACAGGAATATTTAGAAAAGTGTCACTGTGTATAAATTCTTTATTCCTATTTGAAAAAAATGAGACCTATTTAAATCCAACATCTTTCTATAGAATCCATGATGCTTGTACTACCTCTAATCTTTCATTCTTCTTTCTTTTTCTGTCTTTCCTACCCTCCTCTTCCTTTCTCTCCCTCCACAGAGCACTTTGGTCAAACCTAGAATCAAACCTAACTTAGTCACTCTCAAGTTTTAGGTTCCTCAGTTTCCTAATCTATACAATGAAGACACAAGTACTTTCTATCTTATAGTGTTAATGTGTCAATTACAATAGACTGTAAGTGGCTAGAACTTACCTAAAACATAGTATGCCCGGATATTTTTAAAAATTAAATCACAAGGGAATAGTAATTAATATTAACTATTATTATTAAATTGAAATTAAATTATATGACAATATTAATAGTGTTATTACTAAAATATATTTCTATTATAGTACAGGTGTTCAACTTCAAACAGACGCATAAAAACGATGGATAATGTGGCAAAAGGTACAGGCTGAACCACCACAGTTGTTTCAGTGATAATTTATATCAATGAGAATTTGGAGTGGAAAGTCCATGTCTGGTAAGTGACACTCTTATATCTCAGCCAGTAAGATTAAATTAAATGTTATTATTCTTTCCTTTACAACTTTGCAAAATCCAGAATATTACTTATTTATTCATTCACCTCAGTGTTCCAACTAGTGAATATCTGCACCTCACTTTGACATTTGGTCTTCTCTTTTCACTAGTTCCCATACTTTAGTCCATTTTTGTCATTATATTTAACACTATGGGTTTTTAATGTGCAGACTTTTTGGATATTACTAATCTACTGTCATGTTGACAATAAAGTTCCATTCTGAATTTTAATTACTTTTCCCTCCTTCAAGGATAATATAGCTGTTTCTGCAACATAAGCATAGTTTAAGTGTGTGGAAAACTATGATTTTAATTTAGTTGGTCAATCAATATGTGCCAATATATGGTTGCTTAATGCCCACAAATACATATATGCAATATAAAGTATTCATCTTGTATACATCATTTCATGAATTTTATATATTTAAAAATATTTATCTATGGTTTTGACTATAAACAGTTAATATATGGCAACATATTCAACCTTTAAAGGAAAAAATGCCTTTGGAATTTGTTTTTGTAACATCTGCAATAGGCAATATCACCTTATTTGATGGCATACTCACTGAAATTACAGATAGTTTATTGATTGAGATTTTTCAATAATAAAGTCATGCCACAAATTTCTACAGTATTTTCATTCAGGATGGTGTTTTACATACTTTAGTAAAAGTCTTGCGTTGAGTTTTATTACTTGCAGTTAAAATCGTATGCATTTGTCATCACTGCAATTTTCATTTCATTAAATTAAATATTCACATTAAAATAATTTATATTATGACTAAATACCTCGAGAAGAAAAGGACAATGGGATATGATAGAAGATGTCTTCTATTTTTCCTCTTCCTCTTAGTGAGTCACAATGGTAATTATTCAGAAGGAAATGTAAGATAAATTATTGTAATGCTATTCATTAAATCTTTTTAAAGATAATTAGCAGAAACTCTGTCATCTTTATGAGAAGTTTGCTTGGCCACTGTGAGTCCAAGATGATAAGGATATCCAAAAGAAATACTCACTTTTGTAGAATATGAAAGATTAAAGGTGATATAACCAAGTTTAATTGACTGGCTCTTGTCACAAAATCTGAATGAATGATGGTGTTATTTCTGAACAGTACTTTGCATAAGGAGAGTTGAGAAGACTAATGCATGCAATAGGAGAAAATCATAAGCACATTCGAGAATTAAATTATATTTCTGCTTCTGATATGGAGAGTAATCACTGAGTAAAGTGTAATACTTTCAAAGTCTGTCTCCACTCATGAGAATATAAGTTCCACTGGAGTAAGCATGATTTTAAAGTTAAAAACCCTTTACAATATAAAATTACTATTAATTTCTTAGAAAAAAATAACCTATGAAGTAGTTTCTAGCTTTGTTACTGAAAGGATCAGGCTCACCATGTAGCACCAATAGCACTTGGAATGTGGTCTCTGAACACCACTTTCCAAAAAAAAGGAATCAGGGATTCCTGTAGAAATTGGTCACTCCAGACTTAGGAAAAAATTCCTAAAGATGAGTATGAAAAATTATGTTCTACCAGATTGCATGGTAGTATCTAAGACCTCTAAGGTCTTATTAAAATGTCCCAGAAGCCAACTTCCAGCAATTAGACCATCACACAAAGCAGAGATTGCAATGGAGTTAAACACATCAAATATGTTAATGTTCCTGAGCTTATAATAATAGAGAAAGAAAAACAAAACACCTTGCCTTTGGTTTATATTTGGTTCTCTGTCTTGTGTTCAACTCATTATTCTACAAACCGGTGAATACAGGGTGAGAATAAAATATCTCACCTATGTTTTCTGAATAAACTTTTTTTTCATGTAAACACAGTAATTCATAAGAAAAGTTGTTCTTTACAAAAAAATTCTATAATATGCAGGAGAATAAAAAATCAAAATATTATCATTTTATAACAAATAATGAATGCAAGGATTCTAGGAAATGATCATCAATGGCTAAAAAAAACATGAGGTAAAAGCCAGTGGGGAACTTTATAATGAATGAATCAGGCTGACAGCACTTCAATGTATTGATCAATATTAACATTGCTAAAAGACAATAGATCTCCCAATACAATGCAAAAAGATAGTATACAACAATTTACAAATCAGATATGCAAAGAAAGAGGGGGAGTCAGTCACTTTTGATAATTTTGTTCACAATTATATCCCTCACACCTAGAATCATGCATGCCTGACACATAGTAGGCACCAAGTAAGTATTTATTTAATGATTGATTAAAATTAGGCAGCAGTATTGTTGGAACTATAAACACAAAATTGTTTAATTGTTGTCACTGATAACTTTAAGTCACAAGATCTTACAAGTGAAAGACTATCATAAATGTGTAAATGGACGCTCCAAACAGGGTTTTGGCAATTGTTCAGCTCTCATGTTCTTTTGTTTGGTGTGTAGACTTAGCCTTAATTCTCCCAATAAAATGGATAGGACTTACAGTTTTTACTTATATATATTTTTATCATTAATACTATTTAACATATTGCAGTATTACAGATATATTTTATTTACATCTTCCTTTTCCCCACCAGGGAATCTCATATTAATATCCTTGGAGAAACCTAATTGCCCCCAAAACACTTCCTCTTTCAGTGTTTTGTTGAATTTGAATTAAGATTCCCTATAGTAAATTGCAAAGTTGTTCAAAATTGACTCCAGGCATTGTAAGAACCCTAAAGCTTCCAAGGGACTTGGTAAAATCTAAAAACTCAATATCTCCTGAAGGAAAACCACATGTTAGACATATTATTCTGTGTTACTGTGGTTTTCGTTCTAATTCAATTTGAAATCAAAAAGAAAGTATATGTCCTAAAAATTGCTGTTATTTTTCTGTAATAATTCTAGGAAAAAAGTAAACAAAATAAGAATAACTAATGTAATTAAAATAATTTACAATTTGACACATTTTATTTACAATACATATTTTGTTATATGGTCACATTTGCAAGTGACAATCACGTTAGATTTTGTTGCTACGGCACTGAGACAGCTAAAATAATTTTACACTTAAAATGATTAAATTTTACAATACTATTCTTTAGATTTATTTTTCTTTTTGTTTTTCATGCTTACTATTACATTGTTTTAATAATGAGATGACGTTTATATTTGTAAAGATTAAAGTTAACATTTCAATTGCTTATGTTGCTTATGAAAAAGATGGTTTTTCGCTTTTTTTACCTTAAGATTAAAAAAAAAACTATTATGACAAATTGAAGTGTTTAAGTGAATGAATACAAAAATATGTTTTAGTCAAATGCTTACCCAATATGTCTTACAAGTCATTATATTATATATTGCACTATATGCAAGGAGAATATAAAGCTAAAAGAGAATAAATATGTTTCCTATGATTATAGGTCACTAAGTGCAAGAAACAGGAATTGTCCCGAGATGTGTCTGCCTCTACAATTCTTCCACAATATCTCACATTGCCCATTTCATTGACAATGGATAACCCAAAATGATCTTTTAACTCTTCAATCATGCTACCCACCTCCCTGCTTTGCTCATGCTGGTCTCTGTGTCTGGAATGTTCGTCTCTGTTCTGGCAGCATGTGGTGCATCTTCTTATCCTAGAGAGGCCTTTCCTGGCCACACAATCAATCTTGGTCCTTTTGCCCCAGTATTCTCTATCATAATATCTTGTTTGTTTTCTTCATATAACATTCCGCTGTTTGTAGTTTTATAGTTTGTATGTGGTCTGTCTCTCCCATTGGACTAAAAACTCCACAGAGAAGAGCCCACTAACACCCAGTACCTTGCAAATAGTCATTCAAATAGTTTCTAAAAAAAAAAAAAGTCAATGAAAGCTTGACATCTCTGCTCTATTTTGTATATTCCTTTAAACCTCAGGACAACGGAAATTATTTAAATGACTCTATTTCCTTCTAAGCATCAAATATTGGAAAGCTTACAGCCTGTTCTTTTAGGGCTGATTAGGGCATGGTAACCAGACAGAAACTCAGTAACTCAGGATAAATCTCAAGTTAGAACTGTGAACATGTTTATTAAAAACTACTGCTGTGATGGTGTGGACATACCTTGATGGTTTTCAAATTCATCGTGCTTACACAATTCAGTGAGGGATACAATCTGTGCATTGACTCTACCTTATGTACTAATGGCTCTTCTTTTTTCCAATACTTTGCACTTAGACAAACATGTCTCACATATGTTTTTGAGTGGGTCCACTTAAATTACACCATACAAACTTCCATGGAGAGAGAAACCAAAATAAAGTCTACAGCATTTCTCATTAGGCCCGTTGCCTGATTTTCATTAGGCCTGTTGCCTCTCTCTCATTAGGCCCACTGCCTGGTTTTCACTGCCTAAGCTTCATTAGGCCTGTTGCCTGACTTTTATTAGGTACATTACCTGATTCTTATTAGGCCTGATGCCTGATTTCTTTTGGACCCTCGGCACATGGGGCCAGCACTTATTGTCATGGCTGGTTTATTGGTTGTTGACTGTCTTTCCCTAAATTTGTTATAACCAGAATTCCTAAGTTTCTTATGCCCAATGAGAGGCACAAGTAAAGAGAAATTTTCACAATAAAGGCATGTTTGAAACCTAGGCATCCCCACATCCATTGATAATTAATTAGCCTTTTTAAAAATTTGAAGTTGATGTAAATTTTCAAATCAGCACATGCCACATGAAATACCCTTGCAGCAGAATGAAAAAAAAATGCCATTAATTTGAATTCATTTGAATTGGAACAAAAATAATTTAAATTATGTTATTAGGTTAATTAAGTATTTTATTTTCTATTACATTTACTTATTACACATTGGGAAATCAGTGACCTTTGTCACAATGTGTCTTTTGTAATTACAAAACAGAATACAGTTTAGTGTCATTAATTTATTCAAATAAAACTAGATTGATAGTTAAGCCATCTTAATCCAAATTCAATGTATTTATAAATAGAAAATAGTATATTATGCACATAAACTTATATGCTTTTATTGAGACATCATACTACACAGTTCACATATTTAGCAGCCAGAAATAAAATAGTTTTTCATTTCACTGAAGGCAACTCTTTATATATTTTTAGATTGTATTAAGTATAATTTAGCAGCTTTAAACACTAAATAATCTCCATTCTCTTTGAAATATGAAAGACAATATATAGTTTCTGAAAGCAGCATGCTCCAAATATTAACCAATAAAATGTATATATGTTTCATTAAAAAGTAGTATACATATCATTAAAAATGAATTTATGTAATTAACTTCTAGATGTTACTAATGTTATAACTTACATAAATAATATTGGCAAACTTAAAAATGTTTTGAATTCAAAAGTACATTCTCAAATTGTTTCAAGTTATTGCATATGTAATAACATCAAATAATGATATTCAAAATTTGAAAGTTGTTCACTTGAACATTTGGAAAATATTGTCATTCATTCTTATCAAGGGAATATTAACATTTCTTTGACAATCTCTGAAATTTTACTTTTTGTGAAATTTCATATACTCAAAAAGTAAAATGTTTTTTATTTACTTTAGAAGAATTCAGTGCCATAAATAGAAGAAATTATAGATTGTGTTTATCAGTGTGTTTGTAATACAGTGCCATAGTTTTTGATTGAGGATCAAAAATTAGTCCTGAATTCCTTTGAATCATCTTCTATTTTAGTCCAAGAAGCATGGTGAGACACCATTTCTAATTTCCAAATGTTACTCTCAAACATTTTAGGCAGTCTGCTGACAGAAAGGGAGCATATTATATATCAGATAGGATGTTGGCCTGGTCATATCTGGAGGCTCTATCCCTGTTCAAAGACCCGTACTTATACACTCACTGCTAAATCTGTCTAGGACTGCAAGAACTTTGATCTTGAAATTGTCACTCTATTAATCACTTGCATTTGAAAAGCTGACGACCAATAACATTCTCTCTTGACAGTAGTGTTTAGAAGAACTGTTCATTAAACATTTGGCCCAGGCATTATGACAGACACATTGGTTTGAAAGACATATTTTGACGAAATGTTGTGTTGGGGAGATTCATACATCACCAGTGTCCACATGCACTGATTTATTCCTTGTCAAAACATTAGCTTGCCAACACATAGTCACAGGCTTGTCTGGATTAAGTTGTCTTTAAGCACTCTAGAAAAATAAGCAATCCCTTTAAAATTCTTCTGGGAAGAAAATGTTAAAAATGGGGTAATAACCTACTGACATTGACTTCTACACCCACATTGAACTACATATTGTATACTTCATTGTCATGTTGATTTAAAGAAGACAGTCTTGAAAAATTAGACCCCTTTATTCATTTATATAGAGCCATAAGGGGCCAAACTACACATTCCTTAAAAATGCCTTTACCCTAATAGGCAAGTGTGATTAGCATTACTTACTTTTTGAGAAAATCTGTCTCTTTTCGAGAATGTATTAGTGCTTCTGTTTTATTTTTTCTATTTCTATAACGCTATAGCAGATAGAAGTTGTTTTGTGAAATTTAGCCATTGACTCTAAAATAGTTTGAGATATGAAAAACGATGCTGAAAATAAGTATTAAGAAGAAAAATGCTTCTCGCACTACAGTTTAATTCTGATAATAAAGAACTTGTTAATATCTAGTCTTCATTGTTTCTAGAAAGACTTCCCTTTTACTTCATTCAGTCTTTGATTTTAAAATATTGGTCAAGTATCATATTCAGGAAAGTTCTTGGCTGGGCTAGGCAATTGTGTATGCAAGCAAGCTATCAAAATCTAAGGTCAAATCAATTGACTGAAATGCAAACTATCAGAGTTTAGATAATGTGGATTACAAGGCGACCCCATCGACTGTACATGCACCTCCTTAGGTCTAATTGCACTAAAAGGAAAGCTATTCATAGTTCATCTAAGGCAGTGAGTTCATGGATCATCCCAGAAGGGCTTTTCACCTGTTTCTGATTCTTGGGGTTGTTTTCAGGCTTATAGACATAAAGATGTACAATGTTTTAAAAATTAAGGCGAGGAGAAAAAGAAAGCCCAAGATTCATATCCTTGCTTAGACTTCCGGAGGTTGGAGATGGATTGTGGTACTAACAAAAGCATTTCTCTTAACCCACTTCAACATACAGATGTGGCATTTCTATCTTAAACTAAGACTATGCCTGTATGGCTTTGAAAGTGGGATGGTTTCATAGTTGTTGCTGCTGGGAAAATTTGAAGTACTGATTGAAGAAGTAATTCTATTATAATTTATATAAGTGTCGAAATGTATTGAATAAACTGGCCATAGAATAAATTACTCTGTCCCTCAACCCTTTCCCCAAAGTCTGAGTTTCTACTTCTTGGAATGTATCCCAACCTCTTATCTTTCAGGTTTCAAATCTGCCTGTCAGCCCCTTCCTACATCCTCCTGTGTACTGGTAACTCCGCCTCCCATCAAATCATCTATGGAGCTTTTTTCTCCCTTCTGTATCTTCATCATTATCTCAAACCTTACCACCAGCCAGTATTTCCTATTTACATCACCCACCTAGTCTTGTATCCATCAATACATTACTGATGCCTCTGTCCACCACCAGTTTGTATAGGAAAATATGTTCAAATGCTTTGTGCTAAAAGTTTGTAAAACCAAAGAAATATTCTGGAGAAAAAAAGAAATCAAGTAAAACCACAATTCCTCTCTTTTGTTAGTTACCTTAATAAAATCGTTTTTCCCTCTTCTGTAAGATTTAAATAATCCTACCATCAATATATTGCAGTTACTGAAAATCTTTACTCCTTCCATAATTATTTCTTTTTTGTTCTGTAACATCTATTGTTATCTTCTCAGGGAGGGGGCACTTTCTTGGTTAAACCCAATAGTGAGTTTAAAATTCCCCTTTCAACATTTCCTGCTCTCAGGATTATCTCTTTGCTCTTCATTTAAGTTCCATTGCTTATATGTTCTCAACAATCTATTGACAATTTTATATCACTGTATGGATGGCAGTCAGTGTCTGATTCACACTGGCTCTAACTTTCTGAATAATTCTGAAATTTCTTCTTCAGTTTTGATCAGAGCTGTTTGGAAATGTTGACATAAGTTTTTGCACAGGCACATGTGCATAGGCACATTCAACAATAGCCTGAAATTCAACAAATATTTGTTGTCCACTGTGGCAGGCTTTATGACAGATGCTGAGTGAATGCTAAATAATGTATAAGAAGTCGTTTTTGCAGTGAGGGAGCCCATACTTTTCAAGTAAAAATGTAACAACCCCAGAAGGCACTCTTAAAAATCATAAACATATTATATATGTTTTTGTGTTCAAAAGTAATATTTATTGATAACCATCAGTTCTCTAATAAGGTGAAATTATACCTACTGGGAGAATCCACTATGAATAAATGTGTTTTCTAAAATGTTGTTTTACATTAAATATAATGTAATGTTGTGAATTTAACTCATAAAATAAATGAGCCAGTGTTATATCCACAGGGCATTTCAGTATATCATCCTCCAACACGTATCTCCTTCAGGCTGTCAAATACTAAGGGATGTTAGTGATCTGAAAATCCTCTTGATTTCCTAAATTCTATAATACGAGATTAACTTCGGAGATCCTGGGCTATGCAGTGTGACAGATAAAACTCAGCTTATGTAAGAAACAGAAGTATGACTGAGAAATTTGAACTTAGAACCTATGAACTGTTTTACAGTGTAATATAGAGTCTTCATGTACTTTACCTGTAATGCTTATTTGATTGTCCCACATTTTTTAATTTCATGTATGAGTCATATCTTTTTATGCCATTTTAACTGACTCAAATTCACCACTTTTGGAACTACTATTGTGCCCATACTGTAAGCCATGTATGGTTTAAACATGGCTCCATAACGACTTGATTCATGATGTTCATGGCATTCTGTGAAAGCTCTTCACTGTAGTTGGCTTAAGTTACAACTTTAATATTGTCTTTTGAGTGTGCTTTTTTGTTTTTTATTAAAAGAAAAAAATGCAAGAAAAATATGTCATTGAGATTGACTGTAATGGGCAGCTATTACGATCTCAATGGAAATATTAGAGCCCCTGCCTAAGGTGCGTTGAAGAGTGCCAAGCCTCATAGCAACTCAGCTCATCCTAAAAAGCACCATGGCCTGGAGTGAAAGCTGCAATTTAAAAATCTCCCAGAGACCCATTATTTGCAAATCATTGACACAACAAACTGTAACAACCCTGGTCCTCCTTGTCAATGCATGCTTAGGGAGCTTTTTATCCGCAGAAGCTTGCATGCTCAATAACTTTTTATACTAAAAATCCTTATGAAATTTCTGAAGAAAATGAGCAACTGAGCATGGGCCAAAATCCACTTTCAACATTAAAAAGGAAAATTACAATTGATTAGACTGATCAGTGGTATTATATATGGAAAAGAATTCTCACAAGTCCAAGGTAAGCTTTCATGTAACTAGATTTTTTAAAAATAAAGCTAACTGGTTATTCAGTTTTCTAGTAATAAGAATCATCTGAAACATCTGTTGTCACTCTCTCCCGTTTCTTCCGCTAAGATCTTAAAAATAAACTAATGGTTTTACCTCTAAACTTGAGGAAAAGAAAATATCACTCCGGAGTGTCAACCTTTTGCCAAGTTTAACCACAAGAAGAAATTTCGCAGCTGAGATATTAACTTTTCAAACAAAGGATTTATAGTGTAAACATGGAAACAGGTTTAGCTCTTAGTAGTCACTGCAGGGATATTCCTCAAAGAAGGACTTATTTAGGTTTGACCTGTTAATATTTTAATACATGATACTAGCTATTTACAGAAATGTAATTTGGTTGAATCTTATTTTGTTGCTAGAGTTTATAGTATTTCTAAGTGTGGTGTCATTAGAAAGCCTCTACAAAATTTTGAAAATAAAAGAAATGTATAGGATGATAAAGCAGAAGTATCATTAACAGAGGATAGAAAATTAGAAGCATAGACAGAAAAATGAATAGTGTTTTAGATTGCTAGGGAATGAGGACACTGGAATAGAGAAATCCCAAGATGTGTAACCAAAAGGCAAACTACCAAAAACAAACAACAACAACAAAAAAATCCAAGACTATTGCAAGAAAAAGATATTGATTTGGATACTGCAAATGCTTCTTCTCATACATACTATATGGGACGTATTCTTATCCATACACAGAGAGAGGTCCCCAATAATTCTGCTAGGTTTGAGTTATAATCACCATATTAACAGTTAGGAACTGAAACTCTCAAACTATGAGAGTTGTAACTATCACCAAGTACCCAATTTATTCCATATCAAGCTTCCCGACTAGTTCTTTTTTTAGAATAAACTATTTCAATGTTTAACACTAACTTGTGTTAGTCCAATAATTATAGCATCAAAATGTCATTTCATCATTTCTACTATCTTTTATCTTGTTAATACGTCTTGCTTTTTCAAAGACTTTCATACCTATTATCTCCTTTCAGCAGCTAAACAAATAACACAGAAGATAAGGTAAGAATTACAGTCTCCATTTTACAGAGAAATCCTAGTCTTAGGTGAGCTGGATCATCATTAAACACTGCACATAGACTCCAGTTTTTTAGGTCTGGGCTCTGTGTATTGAGAGATAAAAAGATACACAGATTACACAGCTATAACTATAGATAATATAGTCAATATAGTGATTCTCACTGGAGACTATTTTGCCCCCAAGAGGACATTTGGTGGTGTCTGGAGAAAGTTTTTTGTTTATCTTTCCTGGAGTGAGAGAGAGTGCTATGGCATCTAGACGGTAGAGGCCAGGGATTCTGCTAAACATCCCACAGTGCACAGAATAGCCTCTTCTAACAAAGAACTGTCGGACTCAAAATTTCAATAATGCCAAGGTTAAGAAATCTTGCTATAGATGAAATGGACATAGTTAATACAGCCACAGATGATATAGATGTAGATATACAGACATAGATTTAGACCTAAGTAACATATAGCTCTACCTAGATCTACCTCTCAGTATTGTTCTGGTTCCTCTGAACAGGTGGAATCAACCTTACTATGTTTACCTATTTTACTGGTATTTTAGAAGAACCAGGTTTTCTCCTTATTCTTTCCATTTTATTAATTTCTGCTCACATCCTTATCATCTTCCATTTTTTCTTATGTGCATTCTGTTTTCTTTTACTGTCCCAAGGGAACACAAAAATATTTTGGTTGACTTTTAATAAATGCATTTGAGATAAAAATGCATTTATAAAAATGCATTTATAAATTTTCCTCTCATTTGAAAGCATCCCACATATTTTGATACATTGTTCTTTTGCTTTCCTTGCCAAATAAGATGTATTTTCAGTTTCTCTATTAAAATAATGAATTATATAAGAATGCATTTTTAATTTTCCAAATATACCACAGAAATAAACCAATTTTTATTATTAATTTCTTGTTTAATTGCATTACAGTTATAGTATAGTATCTGATGATAACAATTCCTTTGAAAGTTATTTTGTTAGTGGCTATGTTTTAAATTATTTTTTTCTAAATATTATATATGAAAATGATCCTTGAATGTAGGGTTATATATGTGTATATATATATGTGTGGGTGTGTGTGCGTCTGTGTATGTGTGTCTGTATGTGTATTAGGTGAAGTTTGTTAATTTGTTGTTCAAATTTCTTATATTTTTATTTGCACATTTTAGTTGATCTACTGTTTCTAACATTGTATGTTAAAAACTGCAATCCAGATTGTGGATTTGCTGATTTCTCTTTGCAATTGTCTCCTTTTTTGTTTTATATAATTCAGATAATATAATTAGGGTATATAATGGTTTTTATATATTCCTACAGGGGTGGTTACTTTAATTATTATGCAGGATTCCTCTATTATAGTTTGAATGCGGCCCCTCCAAAATTCACATGTTGCCAATGTGATAGCATTAAGAGGTAGATTATTGAAGTGGTAATTATGCCATGAGCACTTGTCCCTTGTGAATAGGACTAGGCCCGTAGACAAGAGGCTTCCGCTATCTTGCTCTTTGGCTCTTCTGGCATGTAAGAACATGGTGTTCTGCACTTCTGTAGGATGCAGCCTCACCAGACAACTCAACCTGCTGGCACCTTAATCGTGGACTTCCCAGATTCTAGAACTGAGAAAAAATAAATTTCTGTTCTTTATAAGTTACCTAGTCTTGAGTATTTTGTTATAGCAGCACAAAATATACTAAGACAACTTCTTATTGCTTTAAATAATACTCTGCTTGTTAAGGCAAATAATACTTTGCATTGCTAGGGCAGTCTTCTCTCAGTGTTTACAAAGTATTGTTATTTTCATTCCTTTATTTTTGCTTTTTTGGTGGGGTTTTGCTTTTAGATATGATTGAGAATATAGCATATAGCTAGATCCTCTTTTTTATAACCAGTCAGATAATTGTAGTTTTTTAATATAAGTTTCATTTATTTGCATTATTTTTAGTTAGATAATTGGATTTTTTTATAGTTACAGATAGCCCTTAAACAATACGGATTTGAACTACATGGGTCCACTTATACACGGATTTTTCCAAACAAATGCAGATTTGAGGCATCTGAAACCTTGCGTATTCAGAGGGCCAACTTTTCACATACCCACATTCTCCATGACCAACTGCAGGACTTGAACACGTGGACTCTGACATATGCAAAGGTTCTGAAACCAATTTCCAGAGTATACCAAGAAACAACCATATTTTGTGCTTCGGTTCACTAGCCTTTTTATTCCTCTTCATTTTCTTCCTCTTTTTCCTCCCCCTTCTCCTCGTTCTTCTTCCCTGCTTCCTCCTCCTGTTTCTCTCCTTTTCTGTCTTCTACTAGGGTTGATAAGATTTTCATTACTCCTCCTCCGTTTCCTTCTGCTGGTTTGGACACATTGTATTTCTGGTCTTTTAGTGAGTAATCTAAATTGTTCACATAGTAAACATTTGTTAAAGAATCTAAAATTCACGTTACTGCACATGTACTCACCGGGCCAGCAGGTGGCTTGGCTTAAATCCTGCCTGTATTCATGTTTTCCTTTTTCCCTCTGGCTGTAAGTTCTCTAGGATCCCATACAGCTGCAGTGTGAGCCACATTCTAATCCACAGCATCAAGCTTCAGTTCTGGTCCCCAATTAGGCATGTTGCTCTATTGGTTCCCAATATTTCATACATGCCAAATTCCCAGCTCCCCTATATAATTCTAGACTTGAAAATAAGGAGACATGTGGCTTTAGCTTTGCTTCTGTGTTTTATTTCTACTTTGTTTAGCATTTAGGGGAGTTGTGTCACAGCATAAATTCCTTGAGCCATCTTGCCCAATGTCTCTATGTTTACTTAGTTTGTCTCATATGTACAACATGATGAGAGACTAAGGTTGCGGCTGAGACACATAATAAAATAACTCTTCAGGAATCACTTGGATTTCTAATGGTAGCCAAGAAAAGAATAGGAATGCTCAAGGAGCTGTGACATGGTTGCAGAATGATGAGCAATTGCCTCTGGCAATGAAAAAGAAGAAATAATGGGGCATGCAGTAACTGTCTACTGAGTGGAGAAATAAATAAACAGATTATTTAGAAGCAAGGAGAGAAAGTAGTAGTGGACACCAACAAATAATTTTCTTTCTAAGTAATTTTACATGTCACACTATTACTGTGGTATATCCACTTTGAGAAAATAGACTGGAAGTGCCTGTGAATTATTTTGATATGTTTCATTTTATTTGTTATAGACTACTTTTAAATTTAATATAACTATAAAACAAATGTGAACTGCTTTTGGTTTACAAAAAAAAATGAGCACATATGCAAATTTGAAGAAATATGATTTTCTTTCAAATTTGTCCAAAGAAAGTGAGGTGAGAATCGGGAGGAGGGAGGCTTGACAAAATTTCCAGATGAAGAGTCTGGATCTTATCAATTTCACAGCCCAGGAAAGTTCTTCACATTTAGGAGTTATATTTTATTATTGAGTTGAAACAAACAGTGAGAAGGTAGATCATATTACAGAATATAAGAATTTTAAAACATTCCCCCATGCTTAAGACGACATTTTCCTCCCTAAAATTATAAGATGAATTTCATGCTCACAAAAGATGGCAAACTGATTGTCTAAGAGAAATTTGCCCTCTATTTGTGGAACAGGTTTAATGTGACCAGCCCCTACCTCTACTTCACACAGAAACATTTTTCAGTGTTGGATTCTAGCACATTCAGAGGATATGGTGAGCTCAAACAAAACACGATTAATTATCAGAAACTACCACCCATCTATAGCAGGATGTGTTCAGCATGACAATAGCACAGCTGGCATAGCAGGGGTCAATGAAATTTTTCTGTAGAAGGCCAGACAAGTAAATAATTTGGGCTTTGTGGGCCACATGGGCTCTGTTGCAACGACTCAACTCTGTCACTGAGGCATGAAAGCTGCTGTAGACAATACATAAATAAATAGGCAGAGCTGTATTCCAACAAAACTTTATTTATAAAATTGGGTTGTGGGCTGGATTTACTGCATTGTCTGTTCTTTGCTGACCCTTGTCTTAGAGCTCTTGTGGACCACAAAATAAGGCATTGTGTGTCTTTAAGTAGACAAATTTATCATTACATCATTCTATTAATTATGTGGCTGCACCTATCAGAAGTTATAACTCTGGTAAGTGGTAAAACAGAGATATGAGAAACCCGTTTTCCTGACGTCCAGTACAAATACCAGTACACAACCAAATCATGATATCCAATTGTTACCAGTTTGAGAAAGATCCAGAAAGTATTATTTTTTAAGCCATCCATATTACCTTGTGACCTTTAAAATACGTATTATCTTCACCACTCTCTGTTTAAAATTTCCCTTTTATCAAGATTTATAGAACCTGAAGTAATGTGAAAAACTGGCAATTTTCTAGTACATGTAACTGAGGGGGGAACTTATAGAAATCATTTAGATCCAAAGGTGACTGTATTGCCCTTAAATTTCATTGCTTTCCTATGTGCATATTCCCAAATGCACAGAATAATTAGCAACTTCATTTTGTGCTTACTACGTTATGTATTTTGTATTTAGGAAAGTAAAGGAATTCATTGAATTGTTCAAAGAATTTAAGTCTACTAAACCACAGTAAAGTGTTAAAGAATTACATCGATTCATCTCTAAATATTATAATAAATATATCACCTCAAATTGCTATATTCAAATATTTGACCTGAAGGAATAGGAAAATATTAAAAATTCCAGGTTAACTACCTGAGCATCAAAGTCTCAGCAAAGTTAAGGATATCCAGCAGAAAACCACAGCTTTTTGCCAGGTGACACACCTCTTAATATCCACATTCTGTCATAATTCTCCCCGAAGTCCCAACTCCAAAGAAATAATACATTTTCTAAAAGTCCAAAATATTACAAAATATAAGATATGATTAAAACGACATATACTATGTTGTGAAACAAAATTTTATTTTTTCTGTGATATTTGTTATTATGCAATTCTTAAAAAGACAAGAGATCTGTGGTCTGATATCATGTCTTATTAGGCAAATAGGAGTGGAAAGTCCTTATATAGTGCCCATCCCTTCCAGCATGAGCCTCTGCTACAAAAACATGTGAGGACTGTGCAAAAAAAAAAAAAATCAATAAAGGTAAATTAGAGAAAAAAATTAGAAACAGAAGTAACGGCAAAAATTTCCTTTTAATAGGATCTACTTAGAAAAATGTAACAGTGGCTCCTTTTTTTAATACGACCAGGTTGACTGACAATACCACCCCATATAATGATTGGCTTTCTACCTCACATAATCTTACATAGATTTTGTTTTTTTGTGTTAATTCTACTTTAAAAAGAAATAAGAACATAAATTCAATTGTATAGGTAATTCAGGTTAAAACATGTTTTTATCAGAGTTATACAAGCAAGACCATTTAAAAGTTACCTGGGTTCCCTAGATGATTGGCATAATGCCTTTGAGAGATGCCATTCTACATAAATAGAACTTGAGCTATTCATTTTCACAGATATCCATAGGTATCATATAAAGCATATGAAGTAAAGTATGCACTGGCAAAATATGCTGGAAAATAAGCTGATTATATGGATGGTTAATAACCACTCAAATTTCCTAATATCAGTAGTCCAATGTTCCAGGTAACTTAGTTTGGTATAGCTAAGAGAGTTTATCTGTTTCCCTTTGCATGTAACTGATAGGGAATGTGGCTTGCTGTGTTATATAGTTTTTGTTAAAATTATTTTATTGGTTATCAGTCAGGTCAACAGATAAGATGCAACATAATTATTTATAAGAAAATAATGTGTGTATAATATGGTAAAATCACCAACTTTGAGAACCTCACACATTATGGTTTATCTTTATAAATAGACACACATATATGTAAGCATTACTTTATAGATGCAGATATAACTATGCTGTACAAATATAATATTAGAAACCATAAATGGTCCTTCATAATCTTTTCTCCCCTTTTTAAATATTAAGAATTTTCATCAGGACTCATTGGTACCTTGAATAAAGGCTTCATTTCTGAAAGCACAGGTAGGTGTTGCCATGAAACTGTGTTCTAGCCCATTGATAAGAAGAGCTCTTCTATACCAACCTCTTTTTTTAAAAAAAGAAAAGTATGTATCTTTGTTGATTGCCTTTCTTGATTGTCCCTTATTTTCTGCCAGCTGGATGGTAGATGTGATTTTAGGAGTTGCATCAGCCAGCCATCTTATCTTGACTTAACATTATGAATGGAGGCCACATGACAGAGAACATTGGCAAATGCTCATGGCAAATGCACATGAGAGCAATGCAAAAACCACAGCAGCCTTGAACTAATTATTAACTCAAGAGCTTCATGTGAAACTAAAACAAAATTCTGTTCTCTTTAAGTCATTTTCAGGTCCCACTTATAAATATATACATACACACATACATACATAATTGGAAACATAATCTAATATGTTATAATCACTATAGATTAAATATGAGTGCATTCTTACTTTCTGAATAATGTAATCACTGTCAATAAGGTAATTAATGTTAATAGTAGATGTGTTGTCAGGGCTCCTGAAGATTAGATTAACCTCATTGCCATCTGAGAGGGAAGGTGCTGGTTAATACATTTTAATTCCCTAGAGGCTCAGTGTCCTCTCTTAATTTGGAGTCTCTGCCAATTCATTGTCTTTTCTTTGAATCCACCCTCCCCTCTTCCTCTGGTTACCTTCTTTTGTCATCTTTCTTCTGGTCTTTGCTTTGAGATTGCTTCTTCTTCTAGCCCACCCTAAATTCAAATCAAAATTGCTTGTTAATTTGGTCCTCTGGCAGCATGAATTTCCTTTGACATAGCAGATGCTGTAATATAGCAAAATTGCTTATCGATGTTCATGAGAGAAAACTTCCTAAAGGCAAGAACTGTGTCAGACACATACCACAGTCTTGATAAATATTGTGGGATAAATTAATGGATGCCTTAACTTAGTCCTCTTTCTTATTTTCACTTCTGTCATCACATCAGAAAATATTCGGATTTTTAAAAAATAGGATAGAATTTAAATGTTGCTTTTATAGTCTTATCTACTTCATAGACTATCATTCCAAAGCCATTTTAACTTCCCTATCTTATTCAGCCTGAAGTGCATCTCTTTTCTCAACTTCCCAAATAACAACAATATTATTTTCAAATTAATTTTACTAATGAATACATTCTTTCTTCCTTTGCTAAAAATAGAGAGAGATGGAAAATTAAAGGACAAATGCAAATATCTAACCATAGGCCAATATGTTGAATTGCGTAAATGAGCATCTCTTCTGATTCTTAGCATACTGGCAGGTCAAATGCTAAGTTACAGCAGTGTGACAATGCACACTCAAGGAAATATAGAAAATACATCATCCTCATTATTGGAAAGAAGAAAGAAAATTTTTCAAGAAACATTTCTGGTCCTGAATCCTGAGAGAAGTTTTCAACATGATATAATCTATAGAGGGCATTGTGCAATGCAGTGGGCAATATCATTTAGTATGGTATGCAGAAATTACATTTATATAGCCAATTCTTATAGCTGCATTTCATAAAAGTGAAAGGTTTAACAATGAAGTGAAGCTCAGTGAAGGTGACTGGGTGATGGTGTCTAATTTGATCAAAAAAAGAACATTTGATTTTCCAAAGAAATAGAGGGGTGGCAGGCACCTTGGAGAACTCTCCCTTGAGCTCGTCTTTGAAGAACTGTTACTAAGAGCCAAACAGCAATTAATTCAAGGTTTTCCTGTAGGACAAAAGGACTGAAGTCGTTTTGTTCTTAACAGGTTTTTAAGAATAAATTTCGAAGCTTTGAAAAGCCATGTGAGTGCTATCATTTTTTCAAAGAGAATTAAGGATTCTCTATATTATTCTCCACAAAATGGAGAAATTACCACCCCTTCAAGAATGTATCTACAGGAAAGACAAACAAAAAACTACTTTTTTTGTTTTGTTTCACATCAGAAGCCATTTGAACACAGTTCTTGAATAAAACCTGTGTAAAGGCTTTGAATTTTTACAACATGGCAACTCAGAGAGGGATATGGCTTGAAAAAGCACCCAGACCAGGTGATGCCAAGCTTCTACCAAGGCCGCAGAAAGATCCAGCTATAATCCTAAGAAACATTTATAAGAATGTAGTTTCACAAGAGTCAGAAGGAAAAATGGGAAAATGCATCTCTAATTGAATTGCTGTATTACAGAGCTCTGCGGCATATTTGATCCTAAACATATAACTATTGGAGAATGTCTGGCAGAAGTAACAACTGCTGTTTTGCCACAGTGCTTTTTCCTAGCTAAAAGGTGGCTTCTAGGTGACATAGTTCGTAAGACTACACCTATCTAGTTCACAATGAGATATTGGTGTCTTCAACACATAAGGACACATTTGTCTTCTTATTTACTCTGGCAGACAAATGGTTACTGAGGGTCTACTCAGTATGGGCATCCTTAGCGGACAGGATACTAGCAAATCCAATCTGTTTTCATGAGTGGAAGAGCTTTTGTCATTCCACTACAAGGATAAATAACTCCAAACCTGCGTGCCACAAATGTTCCTGATGCTCAATCAACACTATTTGCACTTTAAAATACGCAAAGATTTTCTGCCATTTTGTGACCATATGAGCTGCATTTTAGAAGTAAATCAACATGCTGTAGTTTCCAAAGTATGCTTCAGTACTTAAGGGATTTTGTACAATATACTTAATATTTCAGCAATGATAGGAAAGTAAATATTAATCTCCCTAGTCAATTAATCTAAACAGAATTCTCACCCTAAAGTAGAAGAGTTTTTATACAGCTGTGTTACCCTGTGTCAAAAGGAATGGCATAAACAAAATCTGCGATTAAGGATTTGGCACTGTGTCAAGCATCTCAGAAACAGCATCTTTCTGACCTTTTAATTTTTTTTTTTTTTGCCAGATCCAAATTATTTTGCATTTGATACAAGTAGAAAGGAATTGAGGCACAGAACAATGTAAGCAAACATAGTATCTCCTGTCCAACAGAAAGCCAGTGGGTAATGTGTCTGAAAAACTCAGTAACTGCTTCTCTTTATTAGCTTATGGCTAGCCTGGAATAGGTATTAGCACTTATACTTCTTCCCTGAGTGTGACTGGAAGATTGTGCTCAAAAACCTAAGCAATCTGGGAACAGTGGGAAGCAGAAGCATAGGTGGGGAGCCCTGGGAAATGCGTGCAAGACCTAAGAACTTTAAGAGAAGGTAAGTAGATAGTAGAGCATATTTATCAATGATTAAAGCATATTTTAACACTGACGTTCAAAGCTTTCATGATACAATGATGAATTTAACCAGTTACACTAGTTTCCTATTGCTATTATAACTACTGATCATAAACACAGTGGCTGAAAGCAACACAAATATATTATATTTGTATTATATTTCAGCTTCAGGGATCAGAAGTCCAACTCCACCCTCACCGGCCTAAATAAAATCAGAGGAGAAGGGCTACATTCTCTGTTGAGGCTCTAGGGGAGAATGAATCTGCTTATCTTTTTCCAGCTTCTAGATGGCACCTGCATGCCTTCTTGGGGCCACATTTCTTCAACTCCAAAGCCAGCAACATGTGGTCAAGGTCTTTTCGTGCTGCCATTTATCTGGTTCCTTTTCTTCTGCCTCCTTTTTCCACTTATGAGAACCAATGTGATTACATTAGGCCCACCTGTATAATCCAATATCATCTTCTCATCTCAAAGCCAGCTAAATAGCAACCTTAAATTTCATATGCAACCTTAATTTTCCTTCGCCTAACCAAATATATTCAGATTCCAGGGACTAGGATGTGGAACATCTTTGTAAGGGAGGAGAATCGTTATGCCGCTTACTGCACATATTATATGTGTTAAACATATATTTTTGTTAAATCTCTTTACTCAGTAAAACTTTTGATGGATTCACTCATTTCAACAGAATGTCATCTTACCTCTTGCATTGCACGCCTGTCCCTCCCTATACTTTGAACCCCATTAAGCCCAATCCCAGTAACAGAAATCACTTACTTTTACAAACGGATGTTGAAATATTATGGCTTTGTCTTTTTAATGTGTGGGGAAGACTGCCATCTCTACCCTCAGAGGAAGCCTAAATATTACCTATTCTGTTACCATTTTTCTGTGTCCCATTTTATTCTCCTCTGGATCCATAGTGCAGTTTACTCATATCAACATCCTGTACATCACTCGATACATGACTATCTCCTCCCTTAGGTTAGAGGATACCAGAGGACAGAAATTGTCTAAACTTCATCTTTGCCTTTAGTAGGAGTCTTCACTTCAATAATGTTATTAGTAGAAAGATTTGTTCTGTGAAAAGTGACCCAATCTATGTTTCTTATATTTGGACCAGACCCATACTGCAGAATATTATTCATCCCTGAGCCATCCGTCAAATGCATTTTATACATTTTACCACCATAAGAAGCCAAACTGTGTAATTGTCTCATCTCAGTGTCTTTCTTTCTACATTGCAGTAGAGACTCAACAGAGTTCATTGCCGAATAAGACAATAAAAGACCATGAATTTCACAGACAGGCCAGAGATAGCAGAGGGCTAGGGGAACCAAAGCTTGGCCAGGGAAATGGACAGAAGAATGAAAAAAGAACATAAGTAAAAAGCCACTCCAGAAATTACAGAGCACTAGTTAGAAGAAGGAAGTATACTTATTCATATATCCTGCTTTATGGGAGACAGGGGGTAATTCTGACCTAAACCAGGATGAAGAAAGTGAGACGACTATTTCATCTGTTTTCCAGATGGACATGTTAATATTAACATCTTACTCAGGAAATTCTACTGCTTTCTTATAAAAGAGATCTTTAGCTTTTTAAAGACCTTGCCATACCCTCTGAGGTGTGTTTAAAGAAAGAAGTAGGAGCAGAAGGGATAAAACCTTAATGTTTACATTAATGTGTTCAGCAAATATTTATATTTGTTGCAAAAACATTAAATGGCCAGATGTATAATTGAAAATAAAAAGAAGAAAAAAGAAAAGTCTGGAACCTATTTCAAAAATGATTATGAATTTTGAGACACATTAAAACAAGCACAAGGCCCTTCTATGTACAGGGTCTGTGCAGCTGCAAAGGTTCTATGGCTGGGAAGCCAAGCTTGCACTGATCTTTGATTTTTAATTAAAACTTCCTAGAATAATGAAACAATTACTGAAATTCAGGAATATTGCCTTAGATCTTTCATCATACTTAAGGACTGAAGTAAAAGCATAATATCTATCAAATACTCATAGTTTTTTTTCATATTGAAGTAAACTTAATGTGTATCTCATCCAATACCACTTGACTATAGAAGACATAGATTTTGGAGCCCAAATTAGTGAGCTAAAATCTCATATCTGATCATTTAGTAGCTATGTGACTTTGAGAAATTCACCTAGTCTCTTTTCTATACAAATGTAACACAGATTAAGCATCCCCTAACCTGATAATTCAAAATCCTAAATGCTCCAAAATCTGAAACTTAAGCCTCAACATTATGCCACAAGTGGGACATTCTCCCCATGACCTCAACTGAGAGGTCACAGTAAAACTTAGGCTCCCAAGACACAGTTTATTCGGCATCCCCAAAGGAAAAAAGGCCCCTCCAGCACCCTCAGCTGTGATATATCTTTTCTGAACACACCCAGATTCCCTCATACAAGCATGATCACAAGAAGCAATAAAACGGCATGTGTGAAGGCTGGACACACCAAGGGCAGGTTCTCCATGATGCCCCACCAAGGGCCAAGACCTAGATGCATTTCTGCTGCATTTTTTTTTACTTATTCTCTGCTCTGTAGTGTAAAGATATTGTTGCAAATGTCAAAAGGCCTGCAGATAACCCTATGGGTAACAGTGATAAGAATAGAAAGCATATGTTTATCTGTAACAAGAAAATCAAGCTGTTGGTGAAACTGGACAATGGTATAAGTGTCAAGCATCTCCAAGAAGAGTCTGGTGTCAGAACAACCACCATATATGACCTGAAGAAACATAAAGATAAACTGTTGAAGTTCTATGCTGAAAGTGATGAACAGATGTTAATTTAAAAAAAATAGCAAAACCCTGCATAAAGCTAAAAATGAAGATCTCAATTGTGTATTGAAAGAGGGGATCCATCAGCATCACAGTGAACACATGCCATTTAATGGAATGCTGATTATGAAACAAGCAAAGATCTATCATGATAAACTGAAAATTGAAGGGGACTGTGAATATTCAACAGGTTGGCTGCAGAAATTTAAGAAAAAATACAGCATTAAATTTTTAAAGATTTTTGGTGACAAAGAATCTGTTGATCATGACGCAGCAAAGAAATCCATTGGCAAGTTTGCCAAAGTCATCCTGGATGAAAATCTGATGCCACAACAAATCTATAATGCTGATAAAACATCACTTTTCACATAATTGCTGAAGAAAAACACTGACTACAGCTGGTCAGACAGTCCCAACAGCAATTGAGAATGCCAAGGATAGAATAACTATACTGGGCTGTGCTAATGCCACAGACACATATAAGTGTAAACTTGCAATGATTGGTGAAAGCTTACATGCTTGCTGTTTTCAGAGTGCATTTCTGACCAACCCATTATTATGCTTACAAAAAGGTATGGATCACCAGGGACATCTTCTTCGATTGGTTTCACATTTTATATCAGTTTTTTGTGTTCACTGCAGGGAAACTGGGGTAGATGAAGACTGCATGCTTTTGTTATTCCTTGACAACTGTTGTACTCATCCTTCAGCTGAAATAATCATCAAAAATAATATTTATGCCATGTACTTTCCCTCAAATATGACCTCATTAATTAAGCCATATAACTAGGGTAGTTTTAGATCTATGAATAACTATAAAAGCACTTTCTTGAACCATATACTAGCATGGGATGTGGATGGTTACCAAAAGGAGTTTAGCATGAAGGATGCCATATGTGCTGTTGGCAGGGCTCCAAGCACTGTGTTCCAAACACAGTGGCTGGCAGAACCACTGGCACAACCCATGGCCTATGACTATGTTCAGTGATAAGGATGAACAAGGCAGCGACTTTGAAGGATTCCACATGTCAAGTGAGAGAAAGATGACGTCTGAACTCCTTACACGTGCAAAAAATATGCCGTCAGAGTTTTTAACATCAGTAATGAAGCCCAGTTGTTCATTCCTTGATTGATGGTAAAATAGTTGAAAAGCTTTCGAATCAAGGTGATCCTAATCATAGTGATCATGGTGATGATGCAGTTAACACTGCAGAAAAAGTGCCTATAGACAACATGGTAAAAATGTGTGATGGGCTAATTGAAGGACTACAGAAGTATGCATTCATAACAGAACAAGAAATCATGTCAGTTTACAAAATCAAAGACACATTTCTGAAACAAAAACTTGTTGTTAATGAGGCAGATGACTCTGGAGGAAACATTTTTAAAAACCATCCAGCAGAATGCTTCCTCATCCCTAAAGGACTCACTCCATGGTGTCTCAACTGCTTCTGATGTTTCTTCTCACCTAAAAAATTTATGGTATACAGTAATATTTTAATCAAATCACAGCATTGTAGGTAGATACTGAAAGCTGGCTGTTGTTTGTTATTGCTGTTGATTAACAGCTGGTATAGGTACTCTGGTGAAGTCACTGGGATGCTTAGTTACCTGAACACATTATTTTTTTCACTGAATCAACAGCACGTCATATTTTTACTGTTAAGTCCTTGTGTGTGAGTAAGTGTAAGAAAATCATTGCTTATTGGTAGCATATAAATTCAAAGTTAGGAATGAAGATTATGCCAAACAACCACAGATCGTCCACATGGGTGGCTGAGATAGTGACCCCTTTGCTTTCTGATAGTTCAATGTATACAAACTTTGTTTCATGCACAAAATTGTTTAAAAAATATTGTATAAAATTACCTTGCATATTAAACATGAAAGAATTTTATGTTTAGGCTTGGGGCCCATCCCCAAGATATCTCTTTATGTATATGCAAATATTCCAAAATTTAAAATAATTCTGGTCTCAAGCATTTAGGTTAAGGGATACTGAATTGATAACAGTATCTACCTTTTAGAATTTGGGTAGGATTAAATGAAGTAAGATAAATAAAGCATGAGAGTAGTCCTTGGCACACAGTAAGGATGCAGTAAGTAAATGTCAGTTATTACTTATTATTCCTACTTATAGAAAGAATGTCCCAAGCTTTATGTGACTTGCCTGCCACTTCGCAACTAGGAAGTAAGCAAGAATGAATGTGTCACCGACTAGTATTCTGTCCATAATACTAACATCATAAGGTAGCCAACTTATAAAATTATTTTTTTAAAGGATACCTACTAGAAGAAGGGAGTCCTCAGTAGAACTCTAGAATGTAAACTAAAATTTAGAGGCAGAAAATTTAACTTTTTTTTCCTCATTCAGTCAACAGGTGTTTATGAGTATCTGCTTTGTGCAAGATTCTGTGATAGACTTTCTTTAAAACTAAAAGGTAGAAAGCTTTTTGTGCAATCAGTATATAATTTAGTAGGTGCAATTCAGTTACCTGTAATACAAGGCTATGTGAGCCATCACATGAGGGGTCTGCAGAGTTCAAGGGCAGGAGAGAGGAAAAGAGTCTGCCTGAATTGATTCGGAAACTAATCGTGTGAGAAATAACATACGGACTGGACCTCCATGAACGGATGAATAGAATTTCAATAGCAAATATCAGGATGGGAGAATACTCCAGAGAGAACAGCATGAACAGAAATAGAGAGCTGAGAAACATAATGTTTCAAAATGCAGCTATTTTTACTTTTTCACTCTATCCATTCTAGACAAGACTTAAAGTATCCCCAAGAATACATAAATTACAACAAAGTAATATGATTAACAATTATATTAAAGAACACTACAGGTATTTCTTAGTCGAGTTCAGGCTACTATTATGCTAGTAGTAAGAACCAAAGTTGGAAAAGTGAATTGGGATCAGAATTTGGTGAGTTTGAAACGCTGAACTAAGAGTTTTGTTTTATTCTTAGGGAATCAAAAGGCATAGAAATTGGGTGAGCAGAAGTTGAGGGGATATTGATGGGCACTTGAAAGAGCACACAGGCAGCAGGCTTGAAGATGGGTTGAATGGTGTATGTGGGGGAGGGAAGGGGGCAGGTAAAAACCGAGAGATGGACTAATTGGAGGAAGGAGATCCACACAGAGTGAAAACATTTTGTTGTAAGATTATGACAGCAGGAATGGAAAAGGAGTGAAAGATGTGAGAGATAGAATAGAAGAATTCAGGGAAAAATAAGTTCTTTCATTAAAGTAGTAACAAAAAGGAAATATCTATCAGGAGTAAGTAGGGTTGACTTTGTTTTTGTTTGCTTGCTTTCATCCAAGAGAGATGCAAATTCTCAGGGTTGTTGCTTCTAGTAGTAACCTCATCCTCACCAGCAGTTGCCTCCGGCCATGGGTGTAAAGGATAAGAGGGAGGTAGACAGGCAATCAGACTCTCTCTCTTCATTTAGGCAGCAATGAAAGACTTTCGGGGGAATACAGATGTGTACATGTAATAAATCTCAGCAGAGCTGTCCCGGAGAGATTCATAGCCCAGGATTTGGACTAGAGAGATGAAAATAATTCAATTTGGCACTCTGTGGCTATAAAGAACCTTGCAACTGAGAACGCCTGAATATATTCAACTTTCAATTAGCTATGCTAATCAACCATCCACATTGTACAAAGAGCAAACATCAAATAGGAGTTACTTTCATATGTGATTTTGAAATGTTTATGATTACTATCACATACATTTAAACATAAGGCAAACCTGAATACAAGGCAACTCCTCATTTTCCCAGTTGAAAGAGTTTGAGGGATGGGGGGGACAGTTTGAATATATAAACTTTGAAGCAAGTACATTAAAGAGTCAAATCACTATAATATTTAATTTAGTGATATACAATTTACATTCAATAATTTACAAAATCATGTGAATTTATAAGATTTTCCCACACATGAATTTTATGAAATACTTTTATCACTCTTCACATGATCTCTAACACTTGTGACATCCCCATCACCAGAGTCCCCTTAAGAGTCATCTTCCTCAATCTTCCATAGCACAGCTTCTATCAAAGTTGTTTGAATTCATTTTGAACTCATATATGACACTGTCAGTACAAACTTTATCTCCAGTTGCAAGTACCTGTTCACATATCATTCTAGAATTTTAAAAATTATTCTGAAGGTATATTTTTATTGTCTTGACAAGGTAAAATTCTACCATTTATCCTTTAAAAGTAATCTTTAGAAGGATTTTCTACAGTAAGATCCGACATTTAAAATTGTGAGATCATTTGTCCAAGAATAACCAAATATTGTTGCCTCCATTTTTTAAAACAAATTTCTGTCATGATATCTATAAATATCTCCAACTAGAATTGATTGAGGTTATCGCAGGCTCATGTTTAAAATCAAATAATTGAGACCACACTTTATATGACAGACTGTAAGAACTCAAATATATGACAATTCTTTTTTAGGATATGAATTTTTCAGTGAGAAAAAAATGGCTTATATTTGGAGACAGATAATAAGCAAGTATGAACATATCTAATGTTTTGTGAATTTATATTTTTAAGCTAAAGAATAAAACCAAAACATAGCAACTATTTAACTTTTCTAACTGTCCTTTTCCTGGTTTCTTTTTGCTAGCTATCCCTCTGATGTGGAGTGGAGAAAGAAACCTTCCTATCTGCAGACGGTTCCTGGCTTATGAAGGTTTGATTTACAATTTTTCAACTTTAAAATGGTAGGAAAGCGATAAGTATCCAGTACTCTCCTTGACCTACAATGAGTCCATGTCCAGATAAATTCATGATAAGTTGAAGAGCATTTATATTTATGGGGATAATTAATAGGACCAATGACATAATTTGTGGAGTCCAGTGCATAGTGAAAATCTGGGGGCTCTTGTTTAAATGTTGTTAAGTATAGAAAGATAATGACAGCAGAGAGTTAGTGTGTAGGTCCTTCCAAACATGGGTCCCTGTTCAACTGCACAAATTGCAGGCCCGTGAAGCCAATCCTGATAACTAATATTGTTTATCCTGGCTGTGTTTTGAGGCAAGTGAGAGTATTAGTGAAGCAAGGGAAGTTCAAATGCTTTGACAACATTCAAGGATTGCATATGCATAAAGGAGTTTTACATCCCTAAAGGATTAAAAAGAAATCACTGGAAATATCCAGAATAAATTTGCTGTATTTCTAGAATATTTCTTCTTTCAGTGGGGTTTATAAATGCCATCTGGCTAAAGAGAGAGTGAGAGAGAAAGGGAGAGAGAGAGAGAAACAAAAAGAGAGAATAAAATTAGAAAAAATTCCAGACTTTCAAATCCTGTAGAAAACTAGAAGTTGCTATTGAGACTTTTCTGATAAGAAAGTAAACAACTTTTATTCTTTATTTGTACAAAGTATAAGTCAATGATGCATTTTTCCTCTGGATGCTAAACAAATCATATCTCCTAGAAAAAGGGACAATTATTCATCAGGAATTTATTTCCACAAAATCACGTCTCTTCACAAGAAATTTAAATTTGATGAAAAAAAAAGAAAAAAAACTCCCATTTGAAAATCTAATCATTTAAATTTTACAGGATTTTCACAGTTGGAACAGAAGTCATTGCCATGATTTCAGAAAAAAGTCCCACCCACATTAGGAAGAACCAGACAAACATTTCCTGTTACATGTAAAAATAACGATACTTGAATGCAGAGATATAAAAATGCGAATTGTGAGCGGGTGTGGCAGACTCAATTCCTCTGATGGATTATCTTTAGGAAGATATAAATTTATGGTGATTTAAAATAAAGAAAATTTAAAAGGCATTAGAACATGTGAACCTATTCATTTTATAAAATTGTTTAACTAAATGTCTTTACTAAAATGTTAACAACACTTTACTGTAAAAATAAAATAACCGAAGGGAACAGGTTGTCAAAATACAATAATTCTCTTATTGTCATAATGGGTTAGCCAGTTAGTTCATGAAAGACAGGGTGACCTTCTGGAAAAGAGCTGGATTTAACCATTTGTAACTAAAGAAAGGGCATGTCTGAGCCAAACTCAAAAGTAGAAAAGGTGAGATCTTGTGCAACTATAAAGTGAGACATTGTGCAACTATAAACAAATCAATTGTAGGTTGTATGTATAATACTAATTTAAAAAATAGTTTAAAAGTTCAGTAGTTCAAACCAACAATAATTTGGATTTGCAATGTTTTGACCTTCCCTTAAAGTGAATTCTCTCGAAAAAGCTTCTTTTTGCAGGAGCAGCTCCTAAACAGGCAAAAGAATCAGACAGGGCAGAAAACAGTGACAGATGACATAAGTCACATGAAGGGACAGACTCCAGAACCACCCAAATCTAGTTTCTGGGTCCATGAATGTGTCACTTTTTTTACTTTGAGCCTTGTTTTTCTCACTTGAAAAACCGAAATAATAATCAGGTAGGGTCATTATATTATAGGATAACATATTATATCTCCTTGATTCCAAGTCGTTTATTGCTTTCTCATTTTAACAAATCAGGATATGTCTTACAATTGATGTTGGCTCTGAATCAATAAAATGCAGTATATAAAATTCCTGGCACACTGACGTACTCGGGAGCTATAACTTACTTTGATTAGCTTTGTGTTGTCCGTTTTCATCATCTATTTTACTAATCTCATGCACTTTCGATGTATCACCTACACAATGAGGAATTTCAAATTTATCAACATCAGACTCAACTCCTAATGAGGTAGGAGACCAGCGGGACTTATTTCCTAATCCCAACAGGATGAAGACAGACACTGGCAGGAACCAGCAGGTGGCGCCAAAGGCAACCTCTGGTTTCCCGCGCTGCTCATTAGCATAAGACACTCCCATCAGTGCCTTGACAGTTTACAAATAGCCTTGGCAACAACCCCGAAGCTGCTGCCCCTCTCCATGACAATGACCTCGAAGTTACTGCCCCTGGTTTCCAGAAATTTCTGAATGACCCACCCCCTAATTTGCATGTAATTAAAAGTAGATATAAGTGGATATAAATACAGCTGCCAATAACCCATATCCTTCTGACTCTGGGAGCACTACCTAGGTGTTAGCTCTGCTCTGAAGGACCAGCTCTGGTTCAAAAAAATTCTAACACTGTCCGGAATTGGTGGGTTTTTGGTCTCACTTACTTTAAGAATGAAGCCGCGGACCCTCGTGGTGAGTGTTACAGCTCTTAAGGTGGCGCGTCTGGAGTTTGTTCCTTCTGATTTTCAGATGTGTTCGGAGTTTCTTCCTTCTGGTGGGTTCGTGGTCTCGCTGGCTGAGGAGTGAAGCTGCAGACCTTGGCAGTGAGTGTTACAGCTCTTAAGGTAGCGCGCCTGGAGTTGTTCGTTCCTCCCGGTGGGCTCCTGGTCTGGCTGGCTTCAGGAGTGAAGCTGCAGAACTTCGCGGTGAGTGTTACAGCTCATAAAAGCAGTGTGGACCCAAAGAGTGAGCAGTAGCAAGATTTATTGCAAAGAGGGAAAGAACAAAGCTTCTATAGTGTGGAAGGGGACCACAGAGGGTTGCCACTGCTGGCTCGGGCAGCCTGCTTTTATTCTCTTATCTGGCCCCACCCACATCCTGCTGATTGGTAGAGCCCAGTGGCCTGTTTTGACAGGGCGTTGATTGGTGCGTTTACAATCCCTGAGCTAGATACAAAGGTTCTCCACCTCCCCATCAGATTAGTTAGATACAGAATTTTGACACACAGGTTCTCCAAGGCCCCACCAGAGCAGCTAGATACAGAGTGTCGATTGGTGCACTCACAAACCCTGAGCTAGACACAGGGTGCTGATTGGTGTGTTTACAAACCTTGAGCTAGATACAGAGTGCCGATTGGTGTATTTACAATCCCTGAGCTAGACATAAAGGTTCTCCAAGTCCCCACCAGACTCAGGAGCCCAGCTGGCTTCATCCAGTGGATCCCGCACCAGGGCTGCAGGTGGAACTGCCTGCCAGTCCCGCGCCATGCGCTCTCACTCCTCAGCCCTTGGGTGATCCATGGGACTGGGCGCCGTGGAGCAGGGGGTGGTGCTCGTCCGGGAGGCTCCGGCTGCACAGGAGCCCACGGAGGTGGCGGAAGGCTCAGGCATGGCGGGCTGCAGTCCTGAGGCCTGCCCGGCGGGAAGGCAGCTAAGGCCCGGCAAGAAATCGAGCACAGCGCCGGTGGGCTGGCACTGCTGGTGGACCCAGTACACCCTCCGCAGCCGCTGGCCCGGGTGCTAAGTCTCTCATTGCCCGGGGCCGGCAGGGCCGGCTGGCTGCTCCGAGTGCGGGGCCCGCCAAGCCCACGCCCACCTGGAACTCCAGCTGGCCCGCAAGCGCCGCAGGCAGCCCCGGTTCCCGCTCACGCCTCTCCCTCCACACCTCCCTGCAAGCTGAGGGAGTGGGCTCCGGCCTTGGCCAGCCCAGAAAGGGGGCTCCCACAGTGCAGCGGTGGGCTGAAGGGCTCCTCAAATGCCGCCAAAGTGGGAGCCCAGGCAGAGGAGGCACCGAGAGCGAGAGAGGGCTGTGAGGACTGCCAGCACGCTGTCACCTCTCAACACTACTGGCTCGCCCTTGAATTATTTCCTGGGCAAAGTCAAGAACCTCTCCGTGCAAAGCCCCGATTTCAGGGCTTGCCTGCCTGCTTGCATTGTCTGGCAACCACAGAGATGAAGATAACAGAGATGAAGAAGACATCAAAGATGATGATGACAAAGATGATGAGACAGCGATCAGCTAGATGACAAGAGACAGTGAGATGGCGATTGACTAGACAGCGAGAGATGGAAAGAGAGAGAGACAGCAATCGACTAGGCAGTGAGAGATGGTGGCTGCAACAGTAAGGAGCTGCTAACACTGCAGCGTTGTAACACTAGCCAAAGACTCTTTTAAGAGCCATCATGTTTCCTGAAAGGCGGTGGAGCTGAGCAGAAGGGTGAGCAGCAACAGCACGGCCTCATGTGAGATCCACTGCTCCAGCTGGTTGGTCACAAGACCGCATGCTGGTCCCCTGTGGTAGCCGAACTCACCCCAGCTGGGGGAACATGGGGAAGACCTTCACCCAGGCCCCAAGCTGTAGATTCATCAGGGCCATTTTGGCTCCTACAAACAGGTGAGTGTTCCCTCTGCTTCTTCCCACTTGAGATCGGGTGAGCCAGGAAATAAGTCAATTCACAGTCCCCCATAGCAGTCCTGACCAATGACATCCTTGTTCCTACTTCTCTTAGTCCTTTCTCCACTAACACCATATCATTTTTCCGTGGCCCAATTTTGTTTTCTGCTCTGAAATGTATGTTTTGTTTGCAGGGTTTTTTTTTTTTTTGCTTTAGCTCCCTGCTAACTGTATTTGGGCAATTATTTAAGGCAGGACACTTGTTTGTGGGTGTTTCCCCATCATGTTGACTCTGCAGCACCAGTCATGTTGTTCCGTGGCCCCAGCCAGGCATTTGGGGTTCACTACTGGCTGACTCTGAATGCTTCAGGTTTTTGACATTGGTTGGACCGTGGATACTCCAGGGTTTTAGGCATTTGGTGTGGAGACACTCATTGGCAAATACTTGGGGACTCTGGTGATTTTAGCACTTGGTATTGTTGGCTACTTCCTGGATGCTCTGGGGTTTTTGGCAGTGGCATTCTTTCTAGGACTGTGGGTAAGATAGAAACCCACTGTAGGAGAATCTGGTCTTACCTTTTTGTTTTCTGTCCTAAAGTTCTGTCACTCTATTTTCACTTTTCCTTTTATACTTGCTATGTAAAAAATACTTCTTTTGTTGTATTTCGCTTGCCGGCATGTGCAGTACTCTACTGCCTGCTTGTATCTCACAATCCACTTTCACAGTGCTTTGAGACCTATACTCACACCTCTGCATGAGGTAAAAATCTAAAATGGAAAAATAGCAAGAACCGAATTGCTTTTTCTTTCACTGGACTTAGAAAAACTTCTGTGACTGGTAAAGATCCTTGCTAGACATAGGGAAATGGTGAGCATTCCAGACGGCTTGCCACTAGGTGGCTTTTAGGTAACTGGAGCAAATTCAAATATGGCTTAAAGAAGGAGGAGCTCATTTTCTATTCCAACTCTGCTTGGGTCCAATACAAATCGGCAGACCAAGAAATTTGGCCTAAAATGGCTGCTTACATCATAATACTATTTTACAATTGGACTTATTCCGTAAAAAAGAAGGAAAATGGGAAGAGGTGCCTTATGTACAGGCTTATGGCTCTTTAATGGCTCATGAAATAAAGGGCACCAAGAAGCCATGTTTAAGGGGTCCCATCCTAACTGTTCCCACTAGAAGGTATAGGCCCTCCCCACTGTCTCCTTAGTTTCCTCAATTCTGAGGGGGTCTACCAGTTCTCTAACGCAGGATTCTACCCCAAGGTCATGAGGCATGGCACCCCTCCCCATTATCCAACTAGCCCCAGCCTATAACCCCTACTGCTCATTGAAGTAAGCCCAACCAGTACTACCAGGAGTGGAGCCCCTTATCGGCCCTTAAAATGAAAGCTGTGTCCATTGCAGGAGGTAGCTGGCAGGGAGAAGGGAACACTTAGAGTACATTATGCCATTCTGTGTGTCTGATTTGGCTTTATGCAGGGAGAAATTTGGCCAGTTTTCAGATAACCCAGGGAAGTTTATAGAAGAGTTTGTTAAGTTGACCATGTTCTTCAATTTAACTTGGCATGACTAGCATGTATGGTCATCCACTTGCTGTGAGTGGAGAAGCAGAGGATTCTGCGTGCTGACTGTGAGTATGCAGATGGAGCAGCCACATGTAATGAAGGCCATGCATAGTTATTGTATCAGAAGTTCCTGATCTGGACCCTTAGTGAGATAACCAGGATGGTTCCCAAGATCTTGAATGCAGAAATCACATGGTAACATGTTTAATATATTTAAAAACATGCTTCGTTAAGCCAGTTAAACATGACAAAATTAAAGAAGTAACTCGGGAAAGACAAAAGTCCTGCTGTGTTTCAGAGCCTTTTTGTTGAGGTACTCAAGAAATACACTAATGCAGACCCAGACTCCCTGGAAGGGCAAACTCTCCTGGTTGTGCATTTTATTACTCAATCTACCCCTGATGTTGGGAGGAACCTAAAAAGAGCAGCAGTGGGACTCTAAACCCCTATAAGCAAACTCTTAAACATGGCCTTTGGACTTACAACAATAGAGATGGAAAAAACAAAAAACAAAACAAAGCAAAAAAAAAAAAAAACAGAGAAAACAAAACCCCAAAAGTACAATCATTAACATCTGCTTTAAGCCCCTTGCTACCTCAGGATTATCTATCTTGAGAAAGTGTCATGAGATCAGCATCTGGGATGCCCAGACAAGAGTCCCCAGCTTGCTGGCCCCTGGGCCAGAATCAGTGTGACTACTATAATCAAGAGGGGCATTGGCAATGAGACTATCCTAACAATCCCTGGTGAGAGAATAAAAAGGCTCCCTGTCAATACCAGAGCTAACCATCTTCCATTCACCCCAATGAACTGCCTTGGTTGAATAAAATTACTGGGGTTCCTGGACCCTTGACTTGACAGACAGTCTGCAATATCAACTAGCAGCTACCCAAACACTTTTCATTCGTGTCTCCGCTGCTGGGTGAGTTCTCTGGTGGCTCAGGAACTTCAGCATCTCCCCTTGAGCAACATGGTTCACCCCCTCCCTTAGATGGCACCCTTTCCCTGCCTCTCCCTGTATTACATACCTATTGAAGTAAACAAAGTTTTGTAAATAACTTGGATCCAGCCATCTTGTATAGGTTGCTTTGTTTAATATGTTTCTGCTTATGTGTATATACAGGTGTTGTGATGTGTGTTGTATCTAACATGCTATCAAATTGAATTATAAAAAAATGGCTCTGATAAACTAAACAGATAAGACCAAATACTTCTCAAGTTCACATAACTTGGTAATCTTTGGGTGAATGGGACTAGTCTAAACTTATTAGTTTGTTGGTAACATTGTGTCTTTTAAAATTTAACTTTAAGGTTCTTACCTAGGTGAGATGCTAAAGTTTGCAGGCTTTAGAATTGCTAACAGAAAAGTGGCTTTACATAGTGATTGGCTATACATGGCATTTTAGTTGTAAAAAGTAAATGAACCAGTCGGTAGAAAAGAGAGATGTGGAAAAGGTTATAGATACAAAAATGTATTTTTGGTAACATAGGATATAGAAAGTAATTTTAAATGAGGGAAAATCTTGTATGGTAAATCTTATCCTAGAATAAACTGACTGGTATTTAAGAGAAAGGTGGTATAAGACAAGTCAGAAAGGCCAAACATGTCATAGATGATCTGTGTATGTCATGATAAGGTTTGTGAAGAGGAATTTATGAAAAAAAATTGTGTGTGATTAAACTAGCTATAATTAACATGGAATTGCTTATAATAGTCTTTCTAAAGAATGGTCTTTATATTAAAACAGTTTTCTTAAGATATTGATTTGCTTTTTAATTTTATAATGTGTATTGTTTAAAACCTTTTTTCATTCATATCTCAGAGGTTCAACCATTGTTATGTCTCACTGCTTTCAGCTTTTTCTCCCTTTGAGAAAGCCTGAGATAACTCTTTCTTCAGCTTTTGTCAGTTCCTGTAATTTTTCCTTCTCTGTTTCTAACTGTTGTTATAGCCTGATGCTGAAATATTTTATCTTAGAGGTCTATAAAAGCACTAATTTCCTCCATTATAACTTAGATTTATTTATTTATTTATTTTGAGATGGGGTCTTGCTCTGTCACCCAGGCTGGAGTGCAGTGTTTCAATCTCAGCTCACTGCAACCTCCACCTCCCAGGTTCAAGCAATTCTCCTGCCTCAGCCTCCTGAGTAGCTGGGATTACAGGTGCCAGCCACCATGCCTGGCTAATTTTTGTGTTTTTTTTTAGTAGAGATGGGGTTTCACCATCTTTACCAGGCTGGTCTTGAACTTCTGACCTCGTGATTAACCTGCCTTGGCCTCCCAAAGTGCTGGGATTACAGATGTGAGCCACCATGCCTGGCCTAACTTGATTTTGTTAATATGTAACCTTATTTTTGTATTTTGGTTTTTGGCTTCTATATTGCTTCAAAAGTGTTTTAAGGACTAATGAATGCCTGCCCACCTCCATTTGCATCTGGCTTAAAATTTTAATTGGCTATAAGATGCCCAAAAACTTAATTTGAGCCATGATGGGAAACAGGAGGACAGACATATCTTACTATGCTCCCTTTGGAACTTAGACCAGGTTCAAAAGACCTTTGAAAAATATGAAAATAAAGCATTCCCCTTGGAAAATAATAGCTCCCCTGTTCAACCAGGAGACTTGGTCCTATTAAAAACTAGGAAATAAGGACCCCCCCGCCAAGGATCAATTCCACTTTGTTACATAGATATAACCAGGACACTGACCCCAACTGTATCTGGTTCACTGTCAAAAGTACCCTCTCTAGTCTCACCTAGTTTTCACCCTTCCTAGGACCTTTGATAGCTATCTTGTTACAAATAATTTTGTTCCTTGCTTGTTTAACCTACTTATAAAGTTTGTGTCTTCTAGACTACAACAATTCCATGTAAAACAATGGTGGTAGAAGGCTTCTGATCCATCCCATCTTCTGACATAGAAAATGAAAACATGCTCTCATTCGGCCAATAAGCCCCTTAGATGCAGCATCCAGGGATTTTTACTGCTCCAATGCTAGGCAGGGCCTATCCCCATAAAATCAGCAGAAAAACCTCCTCCCTTCTGCAGCTCCCTTAAGATTAAGGAGGAGTGTCTAATCTTTGAGGGGGAACGAGATAGTAGACCAGCAGGATGTATTTCCTGGTTGACAGGATGAAGTGAAGGAACTGGCAGGAACCAATAGGTAGCACCTAAGGCAACCTCTAGTTACTTTCACTGCTAGAAATTTCTGAATACCCCACCCCCTAATTTGCATGTAATTAAAAGTAGGTATAAGTGGGTATAAATACAGCTGCCAACAGCCCATACACTGCTGACTCTGGGTGCACTGCCAACAAGTCCGCCTTGCTCTGCAAGGAGCAGCTCCAGTTCAATACAATATTGCTGTTTAATACTGTTGGCTCACCCTCGAATGCTTTCCTGGGAAAAACCAAGAACCCTCCTGAGCTAAGGCCCAATTTCAAGGCTTGCCTGCCCACCTGCATCATCAGCCTGAATATGAACATAGATTATATTCTTTCCCAGCTAGTTGACCATGGGAAATTGTCTAATCCCCCTGCATATTGGTTATCTAACAGGTAAAGTGGTGAGAAGCGATTCTCCGTAGGGTTGGCATGATGGTTACATGAGAAAAGTTATGTTGCAAATGCTGAAAAATGCATAAAAAATACAGGGAAAATGTGTGTTCTTTACAAACTTACTTACTTGGTGTTAAAACCATGCAATCTGTTTGTAAATTTCGACGCTATTTACTTTCACTTTCTGAACCTCTCCATTTTGTTTTCTCATTTGTAGAACGGGAATGTGTGATATTGTGAAATATATATGTTTGGTCTTTGGCTCAGTTCCCTGGTTTACAACTCCTACAGTCTTCAGACTATCCAAAGTGATGTATTTTTGTATACTAATAATTGACTGAATGCTAGAAGTCCCTGGGCAGCTTCAGGATGGAGGCTGGTCATCAGAAAGACCAAGGCATAATTTTAGAGGGTTTGGTCTTTTAGCCCCACCCCCTGACTTCTGAGGAGGGGAGAGGGGCTAAAGGTTAAGTCAATTATGAATGGACAGTGATTTAATCAATCATGCATATGTAATGAAGCCTCTATAAAAAACCAGAGGGACAGGATTTTGAGAGCTTCCAGATTGCTGAATACATAGAGGTTGGCATGACTAGGGAAGGCATGGAAACTTTGCACCCCTTCCCCCATACTTCATTCTATACATCTCTTCATCTGTATCCTTTGTAATACCCTTTATGATAAACCAGTAAATGTGCTTCCCTGAGTTCTGTGAGCCACTCTAGTAAATTAATCAAACCCAAAGAGGGGGCCATGAGAGCCCCAACTTGGAGCCATTTAATCAGAATTTCCATAGGCCTGATCTGAGGTCTGAAGAGGAAGCAGTCTTTGGACTGAGCCCTCAACTTGTGGGATCTGCTGCTACCTCTAGGTAGATAGTCCAGCATTGAATTGGAGAATACCCAGCTGGCGTCTGCTGCAGAACTGATGGTTTGCTTGGTGTGTGGAGCAAACCCCCAAGCATTTGGTCACAGAAGCATTTTGTATTGATTGTTGTTGAGTGACAGAATAGAAAAAACACTTTGAGTTTATGTTTTCCATACATGGGATGCTAAAAAATCAAAATAAACCTATTCATTTATTAAAAGACATATATGATGTATATATAAAGTATGTTATTGATAATATATTTCACATACAATCTTACAGTGTGTATTAGTCCATTTTCATGCTGCTATAAAGAATTACTTGAGACTGGGTAATTTATAGGAGAAAAAAGGTTTAATTAACTCACAGTTCCACATGGCTGGGGAGGCCTCAGGACACTTAAATCATGGTGGAAGATGAAGGGGAAGCAAGGCTTGTCTTACATGGCAGTGGGGTTGGGGGGAACTGCCAAACACTTTTAAACCATTAAATCTCGTGAGAACTTTCTCACTATCAAGAGTACATCATGGGGGAAACCGCCCCCATGGTCCAATTACCTCCTACCAGGTTCCTCCCTCCACACATGGGGATTATAATTCGAGATGAGATTTGTGTGAGGACACAGAGCCAAATAATATCATAGTGGATATAATGTATTATGTATAATGTGTTTGTTTTATTGAGCACCTATTACATACCAGGCATTCTTCTAGGCTCTGGAGATTCAGATGTAATGTATGTGAAGGTCTTGGCTTTATGACCACTCTGTGTCTTGCTGTGCTTCCATTTCTTCACTTATGAAGTCAAGAGAAAAATATCGCCTACATCATATGATTGTTATGAGAATTAAATGAGCTAATATTTGTAAATGCTTGGAAGAGTGGCCAGGAGAGAATAAGATTTAGGTCTTATCATTACATCTATTCTCATGCTGCATTTTGTGGGAGTTAGGGCATAGGCTCTGGAACTAGACTATTGGGCTAAAATTCTAGGTCTATCATCTACCCACTGTGTAACCTTAGACTATTTACTTAATCTCTCTGGGCTTCTGTTTAACTATCTGTACAACAGGAATAATAAGATCCACCTCATGGTGGTTGAGAGGATTGAATATTCTGATATTTGTAGAGCACTCTGTGTCTAGCACATAGTAAGCTCTTATAAGTATTTGCCATATCAAATTAATAAATAAAAGTGTGCTTCCTTTTATATGAAGTCCTAGAACAGGCCAAACTTATCTATAATTATAGAAATCAGATCAGCAATTTCCTGTGGTGAGTGATGGGGGAGGATTTGTTGCAGAGACAGGAAGGAAATTTTTGGAGTGAAGCCAGTGTTCTATATCTTGATTGGAATGGTGGTTACATGGGTGTTTTTCAAAAGTCATCACACTGTACACTTAGAAATGTGTGCATTTTAATACATGTATATCATGCTTCAATAAAGTTGCAAAAAAGGTCACAACAAATGCTTGCTCTAGCAGCACTGAGGCCAAAATTGAAGTGATCGGGAAAAGATGAATATAGTCTTGCACAGGATCTATAAGGTGGCCATGTATTAGATGAGATCATCCACTGTGTGTTTAGGAGCAATGACTTTGAAATCTGATGGACTAGAGTATGTACTATGAAACTTATTAGGTATGTGATGAAAGAATAAACACTGTTCCCATATAATAGATGAGACAAATGAAAAATGTGCCCTTGGGCTGATCACATCACTTTTCTGAACATTAGTTTCCTCCTTTGTGAGTTATGGGAATTAGGTCATTCCTGTGGCCTTTCACTTCTAAAATTATTTGGTTGTATGACTTAGAAATACCATGATAATTAGAGATGGAACAAGAAACACTTTTTTTTCTGTTTTTTCTTTTCTTCTTTTTTAAACTTTTAATCCTCAGGATCGATACTAATTAGGGGTAATTTAAATGAAGATAATAATGAGTATTTTTTTTTGAATCTTCTCTTGGAAAACCTATAGCATTAAAAGCTTTATTTGTAAAATTGGTATTTTTTAGTTATTTCTTAAAACTGCTATTGTCTTTGAATATGATGTCTGATGCACTGAGGTTTAATTTGCTTTGGGGGTCTTAAAAAAATAAACTGCACAGCAATACCATTAGATTCCTCAAATTCCATTTGATGTAGCACTCATTATCAAAAGGTTAATGCCAGAAATAAAGCTAGCCTCACATGCCATTACTATATGTTTGAGTGATGAGAGGTGAGCTAGTGCTTGTACTAAAGACAACTTATGTCTGAAAAATGTTGGGAAAAGCACACTGCCCAAATTTTTAAAAGCTATTTGTTAATAGTTTTTTTTTTTTTGCTATCACAGTTTTCATTTATATTTAGACAAAACAAGTAAGATTTTTAAAAATTTCTGTATGCTATATATAATGTACTTGGGTTTTTTAAAAAAATGCCTATAACTGCTTTTCTCCACTTTTGCACAAAAGCTTTCATTTACTCTTATTTGCAGACAAGGTTTTTGAATTTTTTGCACAGATATTTGAGACAATTATGAAAAATGTGTCCCTTGGTATATCTTTATAACTACATCTTACAATTGTGCAATATAAATGAGAAGTTTTAGAAGGGTATAGCCTCATACATGAAATCATAAATACTTGCAAAACACTCCTTTTTCCTTCATAGTTCCAATTACCTCATTAATATTTGTTTAGATGCAGCAAGCAGAAAATATACTTTGTAACATCTGTTTGTTGAACGGGGTTTTCACTGAATCACAATTGGCCACTAATAGCTGCAACAAAGAAAATTATGAGAAGATTGTTTCTAAAGCACAAATGCTTTTTTGCCATTGTTTTCCAGCAGTGAATATGCTTGTAGGAAAAAAAAAGAAATAAACATTAAAGAGAGTAGCACTGTAGTCTCCTGGCTATGTATGTCCCATATTCTGTGAATGCGAGCATCATTTTGTTACTGGATAGCTAAACAACTGCTTACGTGATCGATAAAGAACATTATCTTAAATCATAGCATGAATTCCCAATATCATACATAAAATCAATAAAACAGACAAAGACCAGGACTGAATTTTTCCACTAAAAGATTGCCTGCTGCTTTGGAAAATAATATTTAGTAGGTTGGATTTTTTTTTTGTTGTTGTTTTACTAATTATGAGCTCAGTGGCAGTTTATTCTGCAGTAAATCTGCTGGTGTGAGATTAAACCTGTTATTGAACAGAGTTTTGAATCTACTGCAAGGCACTCATCACTGCTGGAGAGTGAACATTGCTGTTATCTCATTTAAAAGTTGGCCAGCAAAGCAGCCCATTTGTTTAAAATGCAATTAAGCTGGTGTCTTGAAGAGAAATTAGCAAGGAGTACTTCATTTTGGAGGCATAAGAGGTCTGTTCGTAGACACATTAATCCTGTGATTTGGGACATCGCTGCAATTTGGGACCCTGTTCTGAAAGGCTGCTCGGAACACACAGCACAAAAGGGGAAAGCTGGGTGAGAATAAGGTTCAGTTTTGTTCTTGATCAAAAGGAATCACGCCCACATATTCACACCCTAAACCTTCAGAACAGCCTTGCACTTTACAGGAACCAACTGAAGAAATTAAAAAGCAAGTTTAATGAATGTTGCTGCTGAACTGAATCAAAAAGTTCAGTCACTTTTCACATAAATGTATGTATGATAACAATCTATTTTTAGAAGAAAAGATGTAGTAATTTCACTGCTGGGTAATTGTTTTAAAAATGCTTAGTATTGAGTCCATTTTAATTTCACAATGCGATGATTACTACAAAAACAATGGATGGATATTTGTCATAAAATTTCCCAGAGACTCAGTTACATGCAGCAGAAAACTTATCTTTGAAACAGTGCACTTTCAGATCTCTTCTATGAATGCTGTTTCTAATTCTAGAAAAAAGTAATGTTTCGGGTGATACCACCAAATATGTTATTTTGCAAGAACAAAGATTTTATCTTGCAAAAAGCAAAGAAACTTCACAATGCTTTACTTATTTCTCCAGGTAGTAACAATAATAAACTATATATAGCATGAGATTAAAAAATGAAGCATGGATTTGAGGTAATTACTTAGATGAGTCAAGCAAAACACAATTTAAATTATAGTAATTGTTCACAGAAACAACAGATATTTTGGTGTCTGAAATATCAGGTGTTTATCCTCACTTCTTTTGGACTTCCTAAAGTGACCGCCATGTAAGATATTTGTGTACTGTAAAGATTCAGTGGGTGCCTATTTCTCCCAGACACCCCTCTTTGTTTTGGTTGATACTCTCAAAGACAGCAGAACAAGCAGCTCATTTCAATGTTTCAATCAATCCTACCTGCTGAAGAATTGTATGTAGCAGAATTTCAGCTTTGCCGAGATCTCAGTTGACTCAGAGAGAGAGAGAGAGTTGCATGTTAACTCTGTAAGAGCCAGAATCATTTTAAAAATCAGTTCTGCCACAAATCCTTACAAAATATACCTTGTGCTTTATTGTCCTCTTTATCAGAACACATCAGTTTAATTTCACTGTTTCTAATGAATCAAGATCATTATAAGTATCAGCTATTAAGATAAATTGAAACACACACACACATATACACTCACAACACAAACAGCTAGTGTTTTCAAGGGACTAGGTGGAAGTACCCCAGGCAAATTTAATAAAAATCCTGTTCAAGATGCTGACATTATAATCACTTCAGCAATATTTTATTTAAATTATCAGCTAACCTGTCTAAGCTCCTTGAAGGCAGGGATAGGCTGCATTTATCTTTGTCAACCTAGCATTAACCATAGTGCCTCGATCATTTTGAATATAATAAACAACTGATTTTTTTTCATTGTAAAATCTGGGCTGCTTTTTATTCTCATTTCTGATTCTAATCAATGACCCCATCACCAATCTTCCCCAAACTCTTTGCAGTTTTATTTCCTCTTTTGTTTTTTCCTTTTGACACAGACAAAAAGGCTGCTTTCTCAGGGCAGTCAAGACTGTCTACTCTTTTTTTTTCTTTTTTTGCACTACTCCCTAGTACATGGGAGGGGACTTGCCTCTCTTTTCTCTCCCTGGTTTGCATCTTGCTACAATAGAAATTAGATTTTTGCTTATCTATGAGAGCTTCTTTTTTCTTAATTCAAATTACATTTGGTTCTAAATTTAGTCTAGAGTCTCTATATTATTGGAAATTTATTTTAAGAATATTAATTTGTATTTCTTTGAATATATGAGTTTGGGCTTTTTTCCTCCTTGCTTTATTTTTATTTTTTCAACAACTATTAATTTAAAAGCCAGTTGAGCCTCATTGTAATATAATTAGTGTATTTGTTATCTTAATTTTTGGATATTTTCTATTGAGTTCTTAATATTTTTCCTATTTGTGATCTTAATATGTTAAGAATATATACCCTGTGTCATATTTATTTGAAATATTTCATTGTTTGCTTTTTACTGTTGAATTCAGTTTGGTTTCTGAAGTTCAAAAGTTTCAAAGTGTAATATAGTTATATCTATATATCTTTCTCATTGCTATTTCATTTTACATAAAAAAAATCAGAAAAATATTCACAAATATTATCTTCTATTTCTTCATGGTTGGAATTTTTATATTTAACTTTTGTTCCACTTGGAACTTATTTTCATAAATAGCTTCAGATCAGAATCTGAATTGATTTTTATCCAAATAACCAACCGATTGCCCCAGCTCTGTTTATTGAAATAATCTTTTCCTCTTCCCACCGATTGGTTATGCCTCCTTTATCATCCATAGCCTATTAGTGGGCTACTTGCCAGTCACCTAGAACCATATTTAAAAGAAGGTGGGATAGCAATTATAAGATATAGAAAAGATGGGGGTGCACATGCCTAAGAGTTATTTAGAGTTTGTTGTGAGACATTGGCCTGCTCCAAATATTGTATATAGCTTTTTGAATGGTGTTACCACCACAGCTGCTATACATAGTGCAACAAAACTCCACTACTCCTTGCAATAATGTTTGATTAAGAAAGAAAGTTAGTAGATAATCAGGAAATAGGAAGTATGCTAAAAAAATTTATAAGCTAGAAGGCAGGCTTTTAGTTCATACTTACACTTTGGCAATATTTGTTATCAAAATATGATTGCTTTGTAACCCACAAAGTGGAAAAAGATATTTGCCATACATTTATCTGACAAAGACTTGTATCTAAAAATCAGTGAGATAAAAGGAAACTGCTTAATAGAAAAATGGAAAAAGATTTGAATATAGACTTCATCAAAGAAGATAGACAAATGGCAAATGGGTATAGAACAAAGTACGCAATCTCACTAATCATTAGAGAAATGTATACTAAAACATCAATGAGATACTGCTACCACTCATGAGAATGGCTAAAAATAAAATGAATACCAAGCACATTTTTGGTAAGGATATTAAGAAACAAACTCATATTCTGCTGGGGAATATAAACTAGTGTAACCACTTGGAAACCATATAGGAAAGTCTACCATATTGCTGACCAAAAACATATCATATGATCCAGACTTTATACTCCTGATAGCAGCAGGAGGCAGACAAATGCCTAGGCAGATAGGGGCAGGTCCCCAGTGAAACCCTACCTCCAAGCCAAAGACAGTTTAAAGCCTGAAAGTCAAGCTACAAGTCAAAACCATGGTCCAGATTGAGAACCTGTCTTCCCATTTGGTGTGCTATCCTTTGATTGATCCCTACCCTTCACCTATTTTACATATATCTGCCCTTTCCTAATTGGTTTTTTTATACTGTTATGCCCACGTTTGAGTGGTGCCTTTGTTTTAACCTGTTCTGCATACTCACAAACCAATCAGCATGCACTCCTCTGTTCTGAGCCCATAAAAGCCCTGGACTCAGCCACACTGGGAGGGAAACCACCAGACTCTGGGTGGTTGACCATCTTCTCATCCCCTCTCTGCTGAGAGCTGTTTTGTCACTCAATAAAATTCTTCTCCATTCTCCTCACCCTTCAATTGTCAGGGTTTCCTAATTCTTCTTGAATGTGGGACAAGAACTTTGGAACCACCAAACATGAGTACAAGCTATAACACAGGTGGGCTGGGGCACACCTGGGCCAAAGGCAGGCTGAGCCAGTGCACAAGCCAGGTGAGGCCCAGGTGGACTAAGTGGGTGGGGTGTCTCCTGAGGCAGGTAGCATGGCCGAGCAAGGCCTGGGCAGGGCCGTTGCCAGCTGGAGGTCCTTGGTTTGCAAAGTGAGAAAAATCCTGTGTCACTTCTAGGTATGTACTAAAGAAAATGCATATTCATGATCACCAAAAGCCACATACTAGAATCTTCATAGCTCTTCATAATAACCTCACACTAGAAACAGCCAAAATATCCATCAGCAATAGAATGATAAATATATCACAATGTATTTACAGAATGGAATAATATATAGCAGTTTTTTTCAAAAAATTTGTATTAGAATCATCTGGAGAGTTTTTTTTTTAAATACAGATTGTTTTGCCCCACAATGAATTTCTGATTCAGCATTGTCAAGTTGGCAGCACAAGAACCGCTTTGATATTTGCATTTCTAGTACGTTTCTACAATGCTGATAACTGATGGTGTGGGAGCACCTTTTGATAATCACTGGACACAGTAATTAGAACAATCTATAGCTACTGCAACAACATGTGGGAATCTCCCAAACCTGATATTGAGCACAGGGAGCTAGAAGCTGATTTAAAGGTGAAAAACAGGCAAAACAATTTCTTAGTGTTAAAAGTCAAAACAAGGTTACACTTGGAGGAGAAGGAGTAAAAGGAAGGAGGCCAGACGAGTTCTTCAGTGGTGCTGGCTCTGATATGTTTCTTGATCTAGGTGCCTGTTTTATGCATATTTTATACATATATATGTAAAACAATCCATGTAAAAATTAAAAATGAAACCTAAAAGTCCAAATACTATATATGTATCTCTCAGATTTAATCAAATGACCATGATGTTGATGAATTCTAGTCCAGAGTATGTGTTCATATAATTAAACGTTAGATTTTAAACTTGACCCTCAACCAAGGATTTCTCACTGTGGATGAAAATGTACCAAGTACTTTTGCTGTTCTGGGTGTGATCGGTCAAAGCTCTTCTAGGTGAACCCTCAGAGCCCAGCAGTGAAGGTGCAATCTCTGGCCTGCTGCCCTCAAAGCAGATCACCTATGGCTTTCCAAGCTGCTGCATTCTGAGGATGTGCCCTGTGACGTCTCCTACAGCTGCTTTTACAGGAAAATAGGAATTGATGGAAGGAAAGATGGAAGCAAGAAAAGTTAGGAAATATTCCAAGAGTGAAGAAAAGCAAAAAGGCTTTCCAGCTGAGGAGGACAACAGAAGGCTTCTTCATAAGGAATAAGCACAGAGATTAATCTTGAGAAGAGAAGGGAGACAGGACATGCTTTATTGCTCTTGTTGTTTTTGGCCTTGTGACTATGCCCTAATATTGCCCCAAACTAGAGTCTGCAGACCGGAAAACGCTTATAGGAGTTTATTTCCCTTTATACTTTGCTGCTGCTATTGTTTCTCTCTCAGGGTCTTTCCTCTTCAAAGCCAGGTTAACAAGACAAACATCTTTTTTTTTTTTCTTTACGAGGTAAGTTGCTTTCACAGGGGAAAAAGAAAACCGTCCATAAAGACCCTAAATTATCTCCATCCACTTTCCCTTGGTGCTCAGTACTTTTCATGGGCCTGAAGGTTAACTGCCTCCAGCTCCTGGGACATCAGCTCCTGGGACACATCACTTTACCTCATCCTCAGCCTCCTCAGGGCTCCTTTCCTTTATTTTTTAAAGATGGTCTTATTAGGCTTGGTAGTTGTAATAGCTTAACCTATGAAGGGAAAAACTTGCCTATTTGTTTTGAACTTTAAAAACATTGGGATAAAATTAAAAACATAAGCAGAAAATAGAGAAAAAAATTGAATATGGGTACTCTGTTATCTACTCATTTTCCTGGCATTTATGTGTAAATGAGTGGCAAAGTTCATCTGCATTTTACATAGGAACATTAGCTCTTTCATTGTCAAAAGATGCTCTTTTCTTAACTACTATCAGGAAGGGAAATAGAGGGAAAGCACAAAAGAAATACTTTTTGCAGTTGTCAATTTTATATGCCAATGCTTGGAAATTCAGAGACCAGCTCTACCAACAAGCATAACTTTGAGAAAGAATGAATATTTTTTGAATGCATAGCTACAGATCAGTTAACAAAGAGACCCCTAGATGTTATACTCGATGTTATGGGGGGAGACAGAGTTACAGAAAATAAATAAATGAAAGGCAGGATTCCTTTCCTCAATGAGTTTACTGCCTAATAGCAAGCAACTAACAAAATAAAAGAATAAGAGTGCCAGGATTAAAAGAAAGAAAAGAGAAAGATATGAGAGATAAAGTCTGTTTATATTGAAAAAGACATTCAGCAGGCTTTGCTAGACATCTCAATGCTGCTGACTAGTTCAATTCTACTTTGTTTAAAAATAAAATTCTTTTATTTGTGAATTAATCGGTAAAGAACTATTCTCATCTATGTATTCTCTATTTTTCAGAGCCATTTTTTTTCTTACACTTTCTCTAGCTCTTCAAATGCACTATAAACATTTTCAGAAATAGGATATATTCTTTTTTATTTATTTATTAGTACCTTTCCTCATTTCTCCTCCATCTCCAAATTATATGGATTATAAAGATATAGGCTTGGTGGTTGGTGCCTATAATCCCAGCTACTTGGGAGAATTGAGGTGGTAGGATTGCTTGAGCCCAGGAGTTTTAAGCTTCAAGGCTGTAGTGAACTATATAATCACACCACAGCACTTCAGCCTGGGCAACAGAGTGAGACTCTAGAAAAACAGAGTGAGTCTCTAGAAAAAAAAGGAAAAGAAAGAAGAAAAAAATAGAGCAAAGAGAAATTAAACATATAAAGAATATTGTAGAGTAAGGGATAAAGTTAATAACTGAAATCAACACTATCAAGACTTGGAGAAAAGCAGGCTGAAAATTTGATCTCTGCTTTTTAGGGAAACACAACATGCCTTTCACATGGCAGTTATGTGATCTTTTCAGAACACATGTCTAACCATGTCATACTTTCCCAACCTGCTTAAAACCTTCCATGAGTATGCATCTCCACTTTAATTTCTTTCCTTATCTCAAAAATAGGTCAAGTCCTTTATTCTATGCTCTAATGGCAAGATGAAACCGTTCTTCATAGCACATATTGCATTTTCATTTTGACAACTTTAAATAAGATATACATTTCCTGCCTCTCACATCTTAAACTCTAAGTTCCGTGAAGTTAGTGACCATGTCTCTTTGTGTTCATCATTGTATGCTCAGTGCCTTCTGCATATAGTAAGATTTAGTTAGAATTTGTTAAAACAGGCCAGGCATGGTGGCTCATGCCTGCAAACCCAGCACTTTGGGAGGCCAAGGCGGGTGGATCACCTGAGGTCAGGAGTTCAAGACCAGGCTGGCCAACATGGTAAAACCCCGCCTCTGCTAGAAATACAAAAATTAACTGGGCATGGTCGTGGGTGCCTGTAGTCCCAGCTACTTGGAAGGCAGAGGCAGGAGAATCGCTTGAACTCGGGAGGCAGAGGTTGCAGTAAGCTGAGATCGCACCATTGCACTCCAGGTTGGGCGACAGAGTAAGACTCCATCTCAAGAAAAGGAATTTGTTAAAACAGTGAAGAAGGGAGGAGCACACATCTTTTCTTATTGAAACCTGATAAAAATGTCTCTTTAGATCCTCAGAAAAGCAGAGCGTGTGATATGGGAAACACTGCACTCAACAAAAATATCTCATTATAATTAAGTACAAGGTGGGATATTTACCTACCGAGAGTGTGATGTGGGAAACATTGCCCTCAACAATCTCATTATAATTAAGTGCAGAGTAGGATATTTACCTATCCATAAACATTCTTCAGTGCCAGACTTCCAAGATACTAAGGCATAGTTTGATAATAGCAGCTTGATAGCAATCCAACATGATCCAAGGATAAAATTAGGCATAATAAAGGAAGGCTCCATATTTTTTCAAAAACAGTAATTCAACACCAATGTTCCCTACAACTAAACATCAAATAGAACAGTACTTAAAATTGAGATATTTTTTAACTTATTTATGGCAGAATGATATCGTTAAGAATCAGTTGATCTGAGGTAAGCCTGACATTTGCTTATGAAAACTGAGGAGCCCAACTAAAATGCAGACTGGATAAGAGGTGGAATTACAGTTATAGCCAGTGTTAGTTGTAGAGATGTAAAATATAATCATTGCATGGATGAAACCCTCTTCACTTCCTCTCAAATGATATCTTCTTTATCAACCTCTACTTGGAGTCTCCTATAATTCCCTTTCCTGAGTGGACTTCAAAGGCTGTCGGTTCTGAGAAAAGGTCTTTGCACATTTATTTGTAAAAACATGTCAGTTGAAATGCTTAAAAGTTTATTTCCTGAAAATCAAAAGGCATAAACTTTCATAAGTCTTTTATGGTGACCCAGATCTAAAATTGTTGGCAATCAACAAAACTAAGTATGAAAATAAATTTATGGGATGAGGCGTTAGCATTAATCAGAAGGGTTGATGTTGGAATGAATATAAATAATTGCCAAGTAAAGCTTCCATCAACTGGAAATGGAAACTCACAGGATATTTGAGACCTATGATGCCAATGATGGAGCTCAGAAAACAATACCCAAATATAAGGCCTCAGAAGCAAAGTTTCTCTCAGACCTTCTTCTGCCCTCCTGTCATTCATCCTTCATTTTCCCCTGAGGCAAGTCATAGAAATTAGAGTTCCTCTTCCTCAGGGTGACTCATAGAAACTAGAATCCCCTTTGCCTGAAGTCAGCCGTAAGGTCTAAAAATAGAGATTACGCTAACTTCTCTTCCCCTCCCACTGCTCCACTTTTCTGCATAAGAGCTGGCCATAAAGAATTTAAGACTAAGACCCTCATTCCAGAGGGAGCCTATTCCATATTCAAGAGAAAGAAATGCTACAAGAGAGAGACCAAGAATCTGAACGGACAGGCCTTGCTGGGTGTTCCCCTACTGGCCAGTCAATTGGTATTACATTATACCCTTTTTGTCCAATCACATTTCTACATGACTGTCCCTGCTTCATTGACTCTGAGTCCTAAGTAAAAAATCAAATAGCTTCCCCTGTATCTTTGGATCTTACTTCTGAAGTCTCCCATATCATGTAAAACTAAAATTAAATTTGTTATGTTTTTCTCTTCTTAAATTGTCTTTTTGTTATGAGGTACTGACCATGACCCTTATGATGGATGAGAAAAGGTATCACTCCTTTCCTCCCCTACACCAAAAAACCTAAAATTTTTAGGAATATAAAGGAGATAAGACATTCTTATTCTTCTAGCTGAGCTGGAAGGGGAGAAGGAAGGGAAAGCATGTCACAGAGCAGGGATCATTTTACTCTTAATGGTGTAAATGGTGAATTATAGAGATTATAATTTGTGTGCATATTTTTTTCCTGATTAAGAATATTCTTCCTCTAAGAATGTTAGCAGGTGGAGGAAGAGGGGGCATTGTGTAGGGATGGCAAGTAGTATGAGCTGTAGGTCAGGACTATTCTGTAAGCTTGACTGTTCTGCAAGAAAGAGAAAATGGAAATATATAGGCAGTGAGAATTTCCTGACTATGGCAGTGGGTAGATGGTTGGGTCCTGACATGACTTCTCTGTCAGCCTAGCAGTAAGAAGGGCAGGGAGTCCAAGTCCTGAGTCCTTGAATCTGGCTAAATCCTCACCTAGTGTGAGCTACACTGACCACCAGATTTCAGGCAAGCCACTCTGAACAATTTATTAATAGATTCTCATAGAGGGGTTAGGGAGTGTCCACTCAAGTGTAGTCTATATCCTTTCTGCAGCTTTTTACTGGTTTAGTAGAAAGCAAAAATGAAAACTATTTTACACAAATCCAGTCTTTGAAACTACACCAGATGTTGTGATCTGGCTAGTCCACAGGCATGTAAATTCAGAGGTACTGATGTGACTTTCCAGATTTTTAGCTCACGTGGAGGATTGTTGGTTCTCTGGAAATGAGGACAGCAGTTTGCTGGTTTCTGAGAATTGCCGAGATTGGAAATTCTCTTGAGGAAAGCACCTGTGAGCTAGCGGGATCACAGATAAAGGAGTAGCATCATAGAACACTAAGAACCATGCCTTTAATTGCCATGCTGAAGGGTCCTCATGATTGAGTTTGGCACTGAGCAAGTGGGTACTACTGATGGGTCATCTCTATTCAAACTGCCAGTATGAGCTCAGGGAGGAAGCCATACAACACATAGCCAGGGTGGAATGGAAATGTCTTCATTCTCTGGCAACCTCGTAATTCTGAGAATTCTGTACAATACAGTCTGAGACCAGAAAATCCCAGAATGAGTGATATTAGAATTCTTGCCAATATTGATAAGCGAGTGCTTAGAGCCAGATTTTTCATGTACTCTGGCGTTGTAGATACCTGTTACACAAGCCAGCCGCAGGGATCCAAGGCATTTCTTGAAGCTGGAAAAAGACAGTCCAAATGTTTTCTTAGAAGGGTAATTAGTGCTAAAATTAGCCCAGTTTATTCCAACATCAGAAGAATTGGGAGATGCATTGAGGCCAAATGGCTGCAAGTTATAGGAAACAAAGAAGAAAAGAAAAATCAAAGTGAAGTTTAGCAGTAATTAGTTAATACAGTAGTTTAAGATAGGAAAGTATTTAATTTGGCTAAGGTGTTTGTATTGTGAATTAATTGCTAAACTGAGACTTACAATTAAAATATATTCTACAATATTTTAATAAAATGTAACTTCCTGTCTGAAAACTCTTTATTTCCCATCACTTTCAGGATAAAGATAATAGTCTCCTAAGAGATCTCTTTTGCCATACCAACCCTCCCGCTTCCTATCTTGCACAACACAAAAGCCAGGATGATCTGTTTAAATGGGTATTAAATCATGGCACCTCTCTGCACAAAACCTGCTAGGAGTCTCTTATTTCACTCAGAATAAGAGTCTAGCAATGGTACAAGAGGTTCTACATGATTGGAGCCCACATACACACTTTCTCTGATCCCATCTTCTGTTATTCTCATCTGAATTACGTGATTCATACCAATTGCCTTGCTGTCTTTAAACACTTCAGTTATGCTCTCACCTCAGGGCCTTTGCACTTGCTTTTCTCTCTGCCTGCTGTTCCCAAAGATATACTCTTGATGTGCTCTATCAAATTTACTTTGGGTCGCTGCTCAAACACCACCTTATCAGTAAAGCCAACGCTTAGCACATTATGTAAATAGTAATCAAACTCCAACTCTCATGTTCTTTGTTTCCCTTGTCTATTTTATTATTCTATTCTGTTTTACCATTATTCATTATTTTCCATATTATTAACCACATCTGACATTCTAGAAATGTGCTTTCTTATTGTATTTTTCCTTCTGAAAGGCATTGTTTCCTGATGCTAAGTCAGTACCTAGAACAGCTCCTGGTTCATAGTAGGCCCTTTTCTTAGTCCATTTACACTGCTATAACAGAATATCACTGTATTAGTCCGTTTTCATGCTGCTGATAAAGACATACCCGAGACTGGGTAATTTATAAAGTAAGAGAAGTTTAATGGACTCACAGTTCCATGTGGCTAGGGAGGCCTCACAATCATGGCAGAAGGTGAAAAGGCACATCTTACATGGTGGCAGGCAAGAGAGAATGAGAGCCAAGCAAAAAGGGAAACCTCCTGTAAAACCATCAGATCTCATGAGACTTAGTCACTACCATGAGAACAGTATGGAGAAAAACATCCCCATGATTCTATTATCTCCCACCAGGTCCCTCCCACAACACATGGGAATTATGGGAGCTACAATTCAAGATGAGATTTGGGTGGGACACAGCCAAACCATGTCAACCACAGACTGGGTAATTTTTTAAAAACAGAAATGTGCCCTCACAGTTGTGGAGGCTGGGAAGTCTAAGATCAAGGTGCTAGTGGAGTAGAACCTGATTTCACTGCTTCCAAGATGGTGCTTCAATGCTGCAGCCTCCTCACATGGCAGAAAGCAGAAGGGTCAAGAGACGGCCAAACTTGCCCTCTTATAACCACATCAATCCCACCCATGATGGTGGAACCTTCATGGTCTAATCACCTCTCAAAGGTCCCACCTCTTTATATTCTTACAATGCCAATTAAATCTCAACATGCATTTGGGAGGGGACAAAACTCCAAACCATACAAGCCCTCAATGGGCATTTGCTAAGAGCATAAACACAATCCACAGTGAGATCAGCTATGTTAACACATGCACAGGTTGCTGTTTAAACCTCCATTCTCTCCTTACAGTTTCAGTATTAGCTACTTCTGGTTTCCTTTAAGTTCGTGGAACACAAAATTCTCCTTTTGACCTCAGGATTTCTGTCCATTCTTTTCTCTATGCATGGAAGCCCTTCCTCAGTTTCTTTCCTGATGGGTCCCTATGTATCCTTTAGAGTTAAGCTAAAATGTTAATTTGTCAAAGAATCTTTTCCTGGCCAGCTCCACTATATTCAATAAAACATCTTGATTGTGTTCTTCACAGTTCATAACATGTCTGCAGTTCTCAGTAATGGGTTATCTTTGGTATTTATTGTCTTAGCTTTTTCTACAAAACCACAAATTCTGTAAGGGATTTCCTTGTTCACCAATGTATCCCCAAAGACTAGCAAATGGCTGGCACATAGGGCATGGGAAAAATTATTAAATAGATTACCAAAGAGAGGGTGTTTTGATAGACAAAAATTAAAATGAGTAAGTTTCTACATTGGGTTCTAATCATACATACTTGGTTAAAGTGGAGTTGGTTGTTTCTCACAATCTTAACTATGGGAATGACCAGGTAGTGTCATTTCTGACATATTGGTAGCCAGATTTCTAAAATATACACATCCCATAGGAAAAGACTCAACTTTCATAAACAACAACAAATATTGGCTTTATCTGTTAGGGAAGCATGAAGATTATTTTAATTCTAGAGATTCTTTACTATATCTATAGAAATACTTCAGAATTATTTAGGTTAAAACAGAAGAAAACATTCATTTGGGTGGAAATTCTAAAAACAGTTGCCAAATGCTGGTGGCTGACCCCAAGATTCCTTGCTGAGTGGTATTACCTTAATGAAATTTCTACGGTGCTTGGTCTTACGGGTACAAAAATAGAATTTTATGAGCAAACATAGAAATAATTAGACATTTAGAGAAAAACTTATTATAAAAACTAGATTTACTTTATACTGATAGGTGGACAAGAAAGCCAAGTTATTAATTTATAAAAAGGGAATATTCATTCTAGTGACAAAGGTGCTTATATCTCCTGTTGATGGCCACAGTTTTTCTCCGTATGTAAGTATTTAGTAAGATGAACTATTAAATCAGAGGCCTGCTCAGTAATTGCAGGATGAGAACAGAGTGGTTGAAAGCCTTGAGGATGGTTCATCAGACCTTACGAGTCCTCGTGGTCAGGATGCTCACAACCTCCTGGTCTCTCCTCTTGTCTCCTAGATTGTGCAGGGAGTTGCATCCTCTGAAGCCAGTTTGCTACGAGGCTGCTCCCTTTGCATAATGTATGCTGACTGTAGATGTGTCAATTTCACTAATTAAGTGTTATTCTAGTATGTTCCCATGGAACTAGAAAACATTTTGCTAAGTGTTGTTTTCAAGTCATTTAATTCTCACAGGGCAACCTCATTTCCCTTTTCTCTAAGTACTTAGGGAGTCCTCATTGCTCAACCCTATGGGCTTGGAACTACATAGAAATAAATTACCCTTACCCCTCCTAAGGCAATGGAGATGTCTACAACTCACTAGATATTACAGGAATATTTCTAAAAGTTCCATATTAACATTTTCCTACTATAATGGGAGAAACCACTCAAAAGCTTCCTATTCATTCTAAACAATGGCTGGTGCAGAATCCAGGTTACAGCCAGGAGGGCAAAGGTATTGACTAGAGCCAAGAGCACATGTGGACTTTGTGGACACATTCAGTTTCTCCTATACAAAAGGGATTCTTCTCATTGTTCCCTTGGGAGGGAAAATAATGAGGTGGTGAAACACGAATGTGTGTATGTGTGTGTGTTTGTGTGTGTGTGTGATCACTTCTTTTCTTATACTTGGATCACAAAGAACCATCTCCTCTTCCCACTGTCGTGTTGCCATCCTGGATGAAAATAACCCCCTGATTCTATATTGTATACCTTCCTAGCTAAGCCGGACTAATAATAAATGTTAAGGCCTCTTTCAGTGGGTGGAGAAGGGGGATTTGATGCTCTGATAGTAAATTTTGCCAAGAAAACAGCCTTCCCATTCCTCCCAGTTTAGCTTTAGGCTATTCCTCTTTCACAAGAATGCTATCACAAATGGGCTGAGAAACACCACACAGAGGCTCTGTCTCTGCCCTTGCAAAGGGACAGTGGCAGACTAGGGCATTTAAAGCCTTTATGTGGCGCCTCCTGAGTCACTGAATAGCTCTCAGCTGAAATTGCCAATGGATAAAAGCTCTCTCTAAAATGGCCCTTCGATGAAAAGTTTTGGAATTCTTAGGATTATAACCCTTCAGCCAAATCCCATTATGTCCCATTTCTGCCTTTGAACTACAGGGAACTACAGAGATAAAGCCATTCTGGGAGAGAAGGGAGGGGAAGTTTGCTCGGAAGGGGAGGAGAATGACTTAGTGTCCTATCTTAGCAAAAAAAAAAAGTATTTTTTTTTAACAGAAGTTTCTATGAAATGAAAGCAACTCTCAGGGGGAAAGTTCAGATGCCGCTGTGATTGGGAACTTGGCTGTGATGGCAGCCTCACCATGATGCAGGTGTGGAAGACCCTGTTGTCATAAAAGCTTAGGTATAAGATCAGGCAGTCCGCAATTAGATGGTGTTAGGAGCTGTCTGTCACTGTGCCTCTCAAAATAAGCTTTAATAATTTTCCAGTTGTGGCTACATGCCTTTTACTGTCCATTTTCTCTCTATTTACCATCTTATTAAGCATTTCCTTGTATTCTATTTTTAGAAATTCTAATAGTCATTAATTGGGTAATTGTCACATTACTGCAAAGAAATTCACTACCAGTGTCATCAAGGTGCCTGAAGAAGGAAATGGGAACATGGAGAGGTTAAGTGAATTGTCCAAATTCACTGAAGCCAGTAACCAGAGCAGAAGGGGACACATTCTTCACTTATGATTCCTTGTCTGTGGTGGACCCAGGGAATGGGTGGCCACTTTAAATTTTCACTTTGAGTGATATTGTTGTTCACATTTGTTATCCAATTTTTCCCTATTTTCCAGGAGAGTAAAGATCTTACAGAGGCTTGGAAATCATCTCCAGAACAGGTGCTTTTTCAGTGATGATATTCAGGGCAAAGCACATTTTAGAAATTACTGCTGGAAGCTACGAGTATTGCAGAAAAAAAATTCAAAAACACCTCAATGGGATTTTACCTCTCTTCCCTTCCAAAAATGCATACTTATCCCAAACCACTATCAACAAGAAAAGTACACAGAGACACTTGTGCACACATACTTGAAAATCACACACACACACACACACACACACACACACACACACACACAATTTACTTTATACCAGGCAACTGTTGTCTTGACTCTAGTTACACTGATTTAAAAGGATAAAGGGAAGATTCTGACATTAAGTTGAAACACCAAACTGGAGATTTTAGACCCAACATCAGGGTTCCTAATACTTCCAATAAACACACTGTGAAGAAAACCAATCTTCCAGATTTTTTATCAGTCCCTCTTTCTTCCTTTGGAAAAAAAAAATAACATGAATTCACGGAGTTAGAAGTGGCAAATAAGGAAAAATTCTGTAAGAATTATTAAGTATTATTAGAAAATGAAATCTTTTAAATGAATATGATATTAAGCTTTCCTACGATGCACTGTCTTTTCTGCATTTAAGACCTATTTTTAATTTAGGCATAAAGGATAGACAGGCAATTTCAATCATTTGAAGATATAGATCTTCAGTAAACCAAAGATGGTACCATCTTTAGCTGTCCAACTCTCCTGACTTATTAGTTCTCAAAATAGCTTCTGTAAAGGATTAAATAAAAAAGGTTTCAGATAAAATTTGGAATTCAACCTATTCAAGTAGGGGAAAAATAGACATTCTTTTCATGAAAATAAGTTTATTGGCTGGGTGCAGTGGCTCATGCCTGTAATCTCAGCACTTTGGGAGGCCGAGGCACATGGATTGCTTGAGCCCAGGAGTTTGAGACCAGCCTGGACAACATGGCAAAATCCTGTCTCTACAAAAAATACAAAAATTAGCTAGGCATGGTGGCACATGCCTGTAATGCTGCTACTCAGGAGGCTGAGGGGGGAGGATCGCTTGAACCTGGGAGGTCGAGGCTGCAGTGAGCTATGATCATGCCACTGCACTCCAGCCCTAGTGACAGAGCAAGACCCTGTCTCACAAAAACATAAATAAATCAATAAATAAAATAAAATAAATAAAAAATTAAGAAAGAAAATAAGTTTATTATTTTTTATTCAAAATTAAACATCAGCCAAGCACATGAGCCTGGCATAGCAGGGTGGATAAGACTTAAATTATACTAAGCTGCCATGTGGACATGACCTTTAAATCTAAGAACTAAAGATGAATAATGGCTAACCCAGAGGCAGAAGGGAAGAGCGGGATAAACGGTGGGAGCAGGGGCGCTATTCCTAAAGGAAGAGACAGCATGTCTGAAGATCAGGAAAGAGAAAGAATAACACAGGTCAGGAGATATTTTCAGTGTTGCTGGAACACTGAACATGAGTGGAAGGGTGAATAGAGAGATATAAAGCAAATTGGAAAAGGAGCAAGAAGCCAGACCAGGAAGCAATTGACAACGGTTTGACTTTAGGTTGGGCTTATTTGGGTAGGGAAGAAAGAGGGGAGTAACCTCATCTCTTTCCATCAATGTGTAAAACACTACAAGAAATCCAGAAGAATGTACAATCCATTCTTCACTTAATATTTAAGCAACATGAGCCATCATTTTCAGAGTTAACAGAATAATGGCATTTCAAAACTGGTTTCCCAGGTCAGTTCAAAATGGGACATGTTAATCTTGAGACGTGTCAGAAGCCACAAATTACAAATACAGACACAAGACTCCTTGGACCATCACTATTGTATTATCTTCCCCTTCCACACAAACTTTGTCCTAGTACTGTAACAGTCCAGCCCCTGCCAAGGCACTGAATCCCAAAGTATGAGGTCTCAATATGAATCATTAATCTTTATCTGCTTAGCCTGTGGCTTTGCAGGGTCTTTACTCAAAGGGGCCCTTGCCTCTCCTTTAGTAAAATGCTCTTGGTCCGAGAAATGATTTGAGGGTAAAAGCTGGGCGAACGATTGTCCTTTTCCACTATAGCAGTTAACATAAGATTTCTTCTCACTTTTTGTCATATTTTTGGTTACAAAAGTCAAATGATATCTTTGTTGATGGTCCAGGTATCTCAGCTCTGAAAACACCAGTCTCTTGTCGTTGCCACAGTTGCCCCCATCAGGGTGGGCTTCATGGTGTACACCTTGTGCAATTAAACAGGGCCCTGTGCTCAGAAGTGTCCCATGCTTGGTTTCTCTCTCTGATGTTGTTGTCTTAAATTTTTAGTAATTTTTAATGTGCCTGCATTTTCATTTTGCACTGAGCACTGACAATTATGTAGCCAATCCTACCCCATGTTTCAAAGCCCACAGAATGCAGCCTTGCTTCCCTCTAACTTATACCCACCATGCCTTTGATGGTTAAGTGCTATTACCTGGTCTCTTCTGTTCCACAATCCTGTTAGCTGCATTGACTGTAGGGACCCCAGAGCAGTATCTCTTAGTTTACTCTAGCTTGTATAAGACAGCCAGCACTGAGCTCCTTAGCCATGTCGATGTCCCTTCCCTTGCATAATTCCTATTGCTTTAATGAAAGGAGTGTTCTGTAAACCTTCCGCAGAAACATAATTAGCCAGTGGTTCTCAGGTCTAATGCAGTAAATCCATTCTTGCATATTGCGTCTTTCAGAGCCTTCTAACTCCTTCCTCAATACTCTGCAAAGGTAACCAGGCACATCTGCTTCTTTTATTAGAGGCCATCATTTTTTTCCAAGCTTCAAGGTGCCATCCAAGCAGCATATTAGAACAAGCTCCAGGTGTCCTTGCCAGTCTGAGCCACAGAAAAATGTCCCCGTGTCAATATATCTCCCTCATCCAGCCTTGTATTCAACCCCCACACCCAGTCCAGAACTCTCAAGATCCATGGTGAGGCATATTAACCAGTGCCATTGCTCGGTCCTTTAACCCTTTTAATACATTAAGTCCTTTCTTCCCATAACACAGATGGTACTTCCCCAATGGGGCTCTGCTGAGACTTATCTTTAGTTATTGGTCCAAAGGCCAATCTGTGAGTCACAGATCGGGAGGAAGTTGAGCATCATCTATTCAGGTAAACCACCTCAACTGCAGCCTAAGCATGGCCTCCAGGTAAGGGGAAGCTGCTCTCCTCTAGCAAGTGGGGCACATATTGTTTGGGGCACAGAAAAAAGGGCTCGTAAAAATCTAGAGGCTCAAGTGCATTCACTCAGATGTCCTCATTGGAGTTCTCAGGAAGCTTGCGGGAGCTGTGAGTTCATGTTTTTTGTTGTTGTTGTTTTTGTTTGTTTTTTTTTAAATTTTACTACTCTCAGAAACAAATCCTGGTAGTGATTTTTCAGAACTATCTCTCCACTAACTATAGGAATGTGGGTCTCTTTAAATGTAGCCATATGTTTTTGGCTTTCATAGTATACTGTAGGCTGATAGCTGGCTTACCCAAACCTGTTGTTTACTTCCTTCGGAGGTTTGATGGCAAAAACACCCCCTTCACAGCTTTAAAAATGCTATTTCTGAAATGATTAAAACAAGACATTTCCTTCTATCTGTATCTCATCTACCACAGGTGAGAGTCTTAATAATTCTCAGTAATCACATGCCAGACATCGTCACCACCCCATTCATGAATGCAATAACATCCTTGTTCCATATGGCCAGCAAAACATTCAATTCCAGAATCACATTATAAGAATCTGCTTTCTAGGACTACTTTCAGTATCAGCAGTCTTGATTTTATCTTTCAGAAGCAGACCCTTAGACTAGGAGTCAGGTTGAAGTAGTTTATTTCTGAGGGCAATACCAGGAAACACTATAGAGGTGTGGATAAGTGCCTACAGCCAGTTAAAGGTGTGTTATCGCAGTGGTGAGCTAAATCCCACCATGCAGGACCAGGAGACAGTATGGGACCTGTGTCTTGGGAGTTTCCCCACCTGAAGCTGGAGCAAACAGAAATATTCATCCACTCCCTCCATGCCCATTAGTCATTGATTAAGTGCCGCTCCCAGGGAGCTCTGTCCTACTGAAGTGAAAACCAGGAATGGATTATGCTTGGCAATCCCAATAGCACTCCACACAAGCAATTGTAATGCAGCCCACAGAACAAAGGGGTCAGAAGTGGAAGGACCAGGCTTATCTCTTAAAATTATTACTTCTTACTGACCTATTTTACTTTAAATATTTAACGTTTTTGAGTCTAGGGTTTTTTCCTTGAAAAATAGAGAGACCATTATTTTATGGGATTAATATGAAAACATATACATAAATTCTTTGTGCATTATAAAGCTTTATATCATGAGACTCTCAACATCTATTGGTAAAATGATCATATTAATGGCATTTTGTAATTGGAGAGTTTATCTTGAAACCCCTGTGAACTTTGAGAGACTGAACTGAAGGGCACAAAATATTCTATTCACCGAGAGATAGCTTACTAGGATTTTATCACATTTAGTTTTAACTCATCAAACTAATTATAAACATTTATGTTTTTATTTGTTTAAAAAATCTCAAATATTTTAGTATGCACATGAAGTACATATGAGTTGATTAATATCTAATTTCATTTGTTCAACAAATATTTGTTGACTTGTGCTACGTGCTTGGCACCAAGATAGGCCCAGAAATAAAGCAGTGAATAAGACACAAAAGACCTTTGTCTCATAGAAAATTTGTGTGTGTGCATGTGTGTGTACACATACATCTGTTTGATGTTGATTCAGACTATGGAATTCTAAAATGTTACATTGCACCATTTTTACTTAGAACATTCAAATGGGGTGACAAAGATTTATCCATCTTAATTATACTATTTTCAAGGAAAAATTTAAAACCTAAAACAGGGAAATACTACAGTTATAATTTTAGTCTATCAGCAAGTGGTTTGGGGAAAAAATGAACAAGATAGACAAAGGAGACTGAGCAAGCTGAGTGATGAATGAGATGATATTAAAGTTTCTGGCAGAGAACATAGGTCATATTAAACACAGAAAGGGGAGATTCATCTGGGTACATAAAACTGTGGCATCTCCATTCAGAGGAACTACTCCCTGCATTTGTTCTATTATAAAGCTATTAACTTCTATGAAAATAAAAATTAAATTTGCAAGCTGGAAGATGCTTATGGAATTAATTATGATGATATGTGAAAAGAAAAGAGGAGGTGCTTCCTTTGGGCTCTGGGTATATTAAAGAAAATGAATAGAATGGAAGGAATATCTCCATTTGGGGTTTGTAAAAGACTTTCCAGGAGGAAATATTCAGATATTTTAGGGATTGAGTAAGGTTGGTTTTACACATAAGTTTCCTCAAGTAATCTCACCTGAATTATAAAAGTAAATGTGTTATGTATTCTATACCTTCCCCCATTTTTTTGGACACTTCCAACAGGACACCCTCCCTATGGGAATCTGTGAACATGGTTTGAAAATTTTTCTGATAGAATGATCCCATGGGATCCTGCTTCACAATGAAATGGAAATGAAGCCTCTAAGTGGCTTTCAATCAAATGAGAAAAAATGAAGCAAAAACGTGTGACACAAAGTATTGTAGCTAGCGTTCGGATTTCTAAAATGAACTCTAAGCTCAAATTATCAAGGGGCAGCATATGAATGCTGAGGAGGAGAATTTGTCCCCATGATCCACATTCATACACTCACCAGCTGCCTTGCCACTTTTCTCCTTGTTTATTTGTTTGCCAGAAAGATATATCAACTAATCATAAACAATGGGGGAAATGGTAGTTTAAAAGCAATAAAGTAAAAAAAAGCATGAAAAGAGGAATTGAAATCATAAGATGAATGTGTGTAATATAGTGCAGGGCAGGGGGTAATCCAGGCAGACTCGATTAGACACAGGACAATGAGAGACACTTTATTAAAGTCTTCAAAAAGTCTTTGGGGCCTTGGACACAGAAGTCACTGGAGGCCTAAATGTGTTACACATCATGACTCTAGAATTGAGTCTCACACCAGTAGGCTGTGGCTTATTAAAAACACAGACACTGGCCCAATTGTCATGCTATTAGGCTGAAGGTGCATAAAAGTGTATGTGATACACAAAAGATGAAAATGAGACTACAGGTGTTCAAATCATACCATGTACTCTGTAATCTCGAGTTCCAAATAATGTTAGTTCTGCAAGTACTTTCTAAAGGTGAATTTAGTTTTCATAATTTAATAAGGTACATAAAACCTTAATAACATATAAGAATGTTCAAGCATTTCATAGTGCAGACTTCAAGTATAAGCAAAAATTACTCAAGGTTTTAGGACGGTCTCTAAACCTTAGAACAAACACCCCATGAGATCTTTAATGTCATTACAAAGCAAAGGAGTCTTAAGTTTATAAGTTCTCATCTGAAACACCCTAACACAGTGAAGTACGTGCCGGTTGATTTATCCCTTCTGGAAGAATGAAAGGTTGCGTTGGACCTGGTGAGATTTTAACCTGTGATCCTAGAGAATCTTCCAGAGCTTCAAACCTGAAGTTTGATGTGTAACCTACTGGTTTAAAGGGACCTACATATTAGTACTGGAGAGTCTGACATAGTGGGTGGGTACATCAGACATCAGAAAGAGCAATTTAGTCAGCAAGACACCTATATTCCCTGTTCTAATCATAAAAAAAGATAATCTTTCCAAGAGCTACCACAAGAAGAATTTTGATAGGCACTGAGTGAAAGCAAGTCATATTACTGGAATTTTCCTTTATGGAGCTTCAGCCTCAGTTTGGAAAAGGGTCCCAATTATTTCTGAGAATGTAATGGCTCATTTTTACTACAAAGATATTTGAGGTGTATATTATGCTATGTTCAAATTTGTAAGATATTGTTGAATATACATTATTTTCAAGTTCAAAGTACAATCATCTTATTTATCTTGATTTAATTAATGCTTCTTAGTATCACAGTTCATTATTACATGGATTCAGGCAGACACATTACATTCCCCAAAACATAACTCGGCATACTAATGACCTGCTGCAGCACTAGTTCTTACTAAGGGGAGCTTTTAGAAATGACATTCCCCACTCCTTACTACCACTCCCTACAACCTGCCCCATGAAGAGGCTAAAATCCCAGCCATTAGTACAAACTTTCTTCCTTTCCTGGCTGCTGTTTTTGAGCCAAGCCTCCCTGAATGTAGTATTTTTCACACTTTATGCTTGGATGCTATTTTCATTTGTGGAAGGCAGAAGAAGGAGAGGGAGAAAGAGAAAAAAGAAAGAAGGAGAGAATAGAAATTTTCAGAGGATAAAAGACAAGCTCAATCTTTTTGTACTGTGATATAAATCTCAGTACAACTAAGATTTTTTGAATCAGAAGCAGTATCAATTTTGTGACTGGTTTTACTCGTTAAATTATATTTTTTCTGCTTCTATTATCAATTTTGCCCAAATGATTAGATTTGCTTTGAAGTTAATCAAATTTGGTTTTAAAAATAGCCAAAGCAAGCAGAAAGCTTTAAAAATATCTAAATAGTTTTCTTATTTTTTCTAAATTATCTTACCTTGCCTTTGTTTTTTATTTTCTTCCTTTCTTATCTATCATCTCCCTTTTTTACCATCCAATTCTGTTCTCAAGAAAATGAATCTACTTCTAGAATAATGGGTTCTCTACTGCTGTTAATTCCAGAAATAAAAAAGTTTTACTAAAATTTAACATATATAAAGTGTCCTTTCATTTCCCCAGCTCTCCCTACAAGAAGGAATTAAGACGGAGCCTCAAAAAACAACAGTCATACATCTACATTTAACACATCTATACAATTCACTGAAAGAACATTTTGGTAGAAATTGCCGTTTTGCATCTTGACTGATTTAACTGCCTAATGACAAGTCTTACCACTTAAAATATAGTCTGGGGGAAAAAATTCCTCCCACACCTGTGATTGCATATTATTCACTGGGCTTAGGGTTGCCAGATTAAATAGAAGATGCCCAGTTAAAATTGAATTCCAGACAAAGAACAAGTAACTTTTTAGCATAAGTATGTCTAAAATATTATTCTAAAAGTTAGTGTTTGTCATCTGAAATTCAAATTTAACTGGTGTCTTTTATTTTGATTTGCAAAATCTGGTAATGCCAATTGTGCTTAAGGATGAAATAAAAGTGCTTGTATGACCTGAAAGGTGAACAGTACTTTTATAGTGCAAGGTTTTTGCAGAGTTTTCATCTGTAATTTGAATAAACTGTTGCTTGAAATTTTAAACAAATTGTTTATAACTGTGGATACTTTTCTTGACAACTAGCCACCTGTGGGTGTTTCTTCTGTAAATCTTAAATACTTTGGTGTTAAGAATTGTTATTTTGATGCTGTATCGATGTCTGTTGGCCCTAGTGGTAAAATTCAAATTTGCATTTTGATAGTACCAGGCTAGACATAGCTACAGTCATAGTAAAATGTTTTAAGATTACAAGACGTCTGGCTTTCTCAAAATATCTCCTTGACTCTTCTATCACTAGCAAAATGGTAATTTTGTTGGAAAGGGGAGGGATATGTCTCACTTCCCAAAGCCATGAATAGACACAAACCTCAGAAAAGTGCTGAAACTGGGAATTAGCTGCCTATTCACTGCAGTTTTCATCTTTACTCTTCCCAGAGTGTTGGCTTCAGTCTTTTCATTATAGACTCTTCTTGGCTCTTTGCTCCACAGATAAAACATTGGCACCCCAAAGTTCTGACTTTAAACATACGGATGTATACCATCAGAACATTTCAGTTCCAATTCCCTAAGAATAAAAACCATCACACCCAACTTGGAACAGATGAACACCTTTGTGCCAATAAGCTATTGTCAAGGGGCAGTATAATCTATTAGATGCCTATCTAATGGTGGCTTACTCTGGAATGTGGAGTAGCATCTATGGAAAAGACAAGACATTAATGTGTAGGCTGGAAAGATAGCTCAATATGTACCCATTACAATGACCAAAGGAGGTAAGTTTATAAGTAGAGATAAATTATAGGGCATAGGATGAGGTCAGGCTTGGGTAGGTTGAAGCTTATTGAGCACCTCAGAAAGAGGGTAGAGGAAGTATAGAGTAAAGAGAAAACCAAGGAAAACTTGGCCTTATCCCAGAAATCTTAGAGAGATCAAATATTTCAATGATTAGCAATGGTGATATTTTAAACTCCTCTTTTCCAGTGTTTTATTTTAATGCTAAACTGAAATCTCAATTTCAATGACTCATTTGATCATTTTGACCAAAAAAAAAATCCTCAAATATGTGGTAAATGATTAATACGAAAAAGACACTATGCAAAGTTCTGAAGCATGTTTTTAAAAGTGTATGTAAGAGAGAGGTAAAGTAAAGACTTTGTATTTTTAGATTTAAGTATTTGTTCGTGGCAGTATTGGTTGGAAGAGTTTTGTTTGTTCAACACAACATTGATTTAATGATAGTTTTGTTTAATAATTTTTAAAAGAAAAGGTAGCTGTGACCTCATTAGTTTGTTTAGAAGTAGAGCACTCTTTTTCTTTCATTAAACTTTGATGGAGATTTTTGGTACTTCTAGATTAGCACTCATGTGAAGTTACAAATTAAAATCTTACATTCTGCTTTCTCCAATGTCTGACTAATTCTTATAGGAGCTTTTCAGTAGTAATAGCCAAAGGCAACCATAGCAGTTAAAGGAAAGGGATTGAATTGAATTTTTAAGGTGAGATGAGTCTAACTACTCTTGAAATAAATGTTACGTTTGAAGAGGCAAACCAAGTGTATTTAATGATAACCATGTTCCAGGCATTATTCTAGGTACTTCTTGAATATTAACTTATTTGTTCCTCAAAACAGTACTTTCAAGTAGCTGCTAATATCATTCTGATTTTTCAAATGAGGAAACTGAGTCAAAGATTTTTCCAAGGACACACATCCTACAGTGGTGGAGCCAGAGTTTAATTCCTGTGGTCCTTGGTCCTCATCACTGCTACCTGCTGTCATGTAACTAAGACATAAACATACTATTCTCAAAAACAATAGCTAAGTGTTAATATGGTTATTCATGTTCCAAGATAATTATTAGGCTACTTTATTTTATTTTTTCTCTTCTTATTTTTATTTCAATAGTTTTTGGGGTACAGGTGGATTTGGTTACATGGATGAGTTCTCTTGTGGTGATTTCTAAGATTTTAGTGCATTCATCACCTGAGCAGTGTACACTGTACCCAATATGTAGTCTTTTGTCCCTCAACCCCCTCCCAAACTCTCCTCCACCTTCAAGTCCCCCAAATCCATTATATCACTCTGTATGTCTTTGTGTCCTTCAGGCTTATATATTTTAAATGTTTGATGTATTCATGTTTATGACACCTTTCCCCTTTCATGTTCTTTTACCTTTAAATGAATATTTATTATATTAAAACCAAGTATAGAACCCCAAAATTCTGTAAGATAGAATATAATCCTGCCTGAATATATTGAAAATTCATTCTTAAGAAATTTTGCAGGTCAGGCGCGGTGGCTCACACTTGTAATCCCAGCTCTTTGGGAGGCAGAGGAGGGCGGATCATGAGGTCAGGAGTTCCAGACCAGCCTGGCCAACACAATGAAACCCCGTCTCTACTAAAAATACAAAAATTAGCTGGGTGGGGTGGCAGGCGCCTGTAATCCCAGCTACTTGGGAGGCTGAGGCAGGAGAATCGCTTGAACCCGGGAGGCGGAGGTTACAGTGAGCAGAGATCGCGCCACTGCACTCTAGCCTGGGCGACAGAGCTAGACTCTGGCTCAAAAAAAAAGAAAGAAAAGGAATCATGCAAAATGTGTAAGAATCTTAAAAGTTCTTACAATAATTTACAATAAACGTAAGACTTAAAATGAACATAAACTTAAACATTAGAGATACATTATTGTAGCAGACCAATAACACTCATAAAAGCTGTTTTCTCAGTTTGATTTCTCCTTAATTAAGGGAAGGTGATATTATAATAATAAAATATCTGATATAGGAATGGGAGGTTCTTTTTGACACTGTTCCAAAAAGTAATCACTTAATGATAGAAAAAATTCTGGTTACTAAAAATACCATAAAATAAAAGTGTTCTTTATTTTGGGAAGGGCTTCAAAATCATCAATTGTATTTCATATTCACTCCAAGTTGTAAAAACTATCTTGGAATAAGTGTATCTGTATTATTACATAATTTCCATAAATGGAAAACCACCTTTCCCCCTCCTCTAAGCTTTAATAAAACAAGCAAATATACATCTCAATGGCAGATTAAGGCTTTTTTTGTAGCTAAGCCTAATTAAAATGGCAACATTCCAATGGTTTCTTTACCAGGGAGCAAGGACATCTGCAAGGGATAAAAAGATAGCAAGCATTTTGATGCATTTGTTTCCAGTGTTTAAATGTGGCAACAGAAAACAGGGATTGATACTGGCTAAGTTACAAGCAACATTTGAGTTAAATGTTTTAAAAGAGTACAGGAAATCAAAGCAGTTATATAAATTGTGATTTTAGGTTGTTGTTTTGCCTGCTATTTCTGCCTGTTTTCAGTAGCATAGACTTCCCCAAATCGTGTCCCAGCATATAATAATTCCCTCTTGGAATTATTTTATACAACCGAAGTTCTACAAAAAAGAAGCTGGTTCGGCTTTAATTAATCCAACATTTCTCAAACTCATTGACCTTGGAATAGCTTTTGTTTTCTTTCTTTTCCAGCATCAACTACATGCACATTTGAGCACCGTTTGGGAAAGGCTGCTCTAGCATACCATCCCTTGCCATTTTAGAATATTGCCTTAGTCTGTTTGTGCTGCTGTAACACAGTGCCACAGACTGAGTAATTTATAAATAACAGAAATTTATTCCTCACAGTTCTGGAGGCTGGGAAGTCCCAGATGAAGGTTTGGTGTCTGCTGAGAGCCCAGTCTCGCTTCCAAGATGGCGTTTTATAGCCGCATCCTCTGGAGGAAATGAAAATGATGTCCTTACATGGCAGAAGAGCACAAGAACAAGAGAAGTTAACTCTCTCTGAAATCTCTTCTATAAGGGCATTCATTCTTTTGTGAGGGTAGAACCCTCATGACTTAGTCACGTCCTCAAAATCCCCACCTCTCAATATTACCACGATGAGGATTAAGTTTTATATTTTGGGTGACATTCATACCATACTAAATATTATTACTAAACCTCCAATGTTTTTCATTCTTTTCTGTTTCCTGATATTATTTCACAGTGACCACACATATTCTACATATTAAGGTGCCAATCCAAATTACAAGATAGGAAAGCAGTGAAGGAGAAATTTAACTTTCACTGCCACTTAGAGGAAATCTTAAGGCATTTATTAAAAACTGCTTCTTTATGTTACACTGATTTGTATAAATTCCCTTTTCCACTTCTCCAGTAATGAACTGAAAACATTTTGTGGCACCAGACTATGCTACATTCAGATTCATTCATAACTGTCTTAATACCTAGCAGTGCACTGAGAATACAGGAATCAACCAATAAATATTTACTGAATCAAATTAAACAGCTTAGATTTCCTCAGCCTATTTATTTTCATTCTATGCCTCTTAAATCCTTGGAATTATATCAGCTGAAAATTGACTCTGACTTTTTTTAAAACAAAATTACTTTGTGTTCATGGTGGAATTTAGCAACAGGTGAATTAATAGTGAATTTCAAGTATACAAATGAGATAGGCAGGACACATATGTCGATCATTTTTTAAATTCTTATGTTGATTCATACACATACTAGAACTGAGAATGCTAACAGTACTTTTTCTGAGGCTTTTATGTATTTGTATATTTTATTTTACAAAGGATGAAAATTTTCTTTTTCAAATGTCAAAATGAACATGATGCATATATTTTCTTCTAATTTCATCATTTTAAAAATCCCAAGGATTTTAAAACTGTGAGAGAAAGATACGAAAACACTGCCAGGGGCATTTTCCTTGCAAGCAAATATTTCAGATGAACAAACTTCACTTAGTAGAAATATCTCAAAGCATCAGTTTATTTTTCTAAGGTTACATTTTTCACCTGTCATGTGGCACAAGATGAACAGATAGAAGGTTACAAGAGCAGGATTGGGAAAAGGCTTTCTTTCACACATAGTATAGCTCATGCCCCCAACTAGTTAAATTCTGTCCTGACATGCACATAATGAATATGTTCTTTAATGCAGTGACTTTCCTTTATTTGCAGAAACTTCTATTTTACACACCATTCCCTGAAAATAAAAATAAAACTCAGCCTTCTTTCAAAGGACAAATTTATTCAGTAAAATAACATTCTAAAATTTATTATCTAATATTTATTAGCACTTGAGTTTTTTAAATATACCTTTAACAGTTACAATAGTCTGGCATTTTCTGCATAAATGTGACTTGACGTCATTTTGGCAGGACAAAAATTCTAAGCTTCATTTAAGTACTGCAAGTGAAAAATACATATCTATTAATCTATAATAAAGTGTTTCAAGCATCTGCTAGGTTATTAGTAGCAACAATTATAGTCAGTTATTCAAACACTTTAAGTTTAAAATATTGCAAATTTTTTATTTCAGATAAAAAATTTTGTCATGATTTTTTTCTTGTATTTAAGCAAATATTTTTATTATTTTGACTTTCATGTACACTTTTATTTATTTGGCATATAAAATTACAATGCATTGGAATTTTTTCTATTGACATTATATACCAAAGTATAATGATTAGCTTTTGTTTAAGGAAACAAAATTTACTCTAGATATGTCAAGCAGAAAAGAATTTAATATAGAGGGTTGGGGTTGTAAATATGAACTAGAAACTGTCTGCCTCTCTTCCTGCTTTAAAAGATACTAGCAATGGCAGTGATGGTCACCTGTGGAAGGATGTTATCTTGAAGCAGGGAGTCAATGTAGTCAGGTGACAACCTGTAATGACAACTTGCACTGGGTTTACATAAGGACAGCCTGTTGGAACAGGATGGCAGGGACATCCCAGAAGCCATCAATGCAAGCCTGTGAGAATTTGATATGTTGGAGCAAGGCAGTAAGTACAGTAAGTATATGCAGTCTGGCAGGGATGGTGATTAGCAACATTGAGGGAATTGGGCAAATAAATAAATGGAGTATGGGAACAGATTTCTCACTGAAGGAGAAGGAAGGTACAAATATGGAAATAAAGGAAGTTGGAATAAACCTGTGGTGTTAGACTGAAATTGGCAGTATGGCATAAACTCAAGGTTTTTCAGATAGATAGATAGATAGATGATAGATAGATCATAGTTGACAGATATGTAAAAATATAGACATAAAGATGTATGTATGTGTGTGAATATGTGTGTAGTTGTATATCCATATTCATTCTTACATATACTTCCTCACTCTGTTAATAAAATGTTCTAGATGTAGCAACAACCCGGTAGCAATGAGCTCTCCCGGCATGCAAAGCTTGGTTTCTAAGTACAGTACAACTCTTCATTACAATAAAGTAGAGCTCCTGGGTAAATGGCAGAGTCCAGGGCTGAATTTGGAAAAAACAAAACAAAACAACAACAACAACAAAACAATATGTTCCTGGAAGTAATAAACTATGTAAATAAGTAATGCAACATTCAAAGAAAGAATAAAAGCGTTTTGCAGGGCAAATGAAAAGGGACAAAGAAAGCCTGCTTGAAGTGACTCCCACTGGCCAAATCCAAGAAATTTAAGCATCAAAATGAATATAAATAGTCACAGATACTAATCCATAGAATGACATAGAAATCCATGAATCCATACGGATAAATAAGTAAGAAAAAGAAAAACCTGCCCTTCCATTAATGCCAACCAGTAAATGTGAAAGAGATGATTGAATTAAAAAAAGTTCACCATTTTGCAATTATCACAGTACTAATTCAGACAAGAAATGTCAACAAGTACTAAAACTGTTGGGTGAAAGTGGAATGACAGAAGAAATATTAATACAATGTCAAATTTTCCACAGAAAACACTTTGTATCTACAAAGTAAACAAAACCAAAGAAAACAAAACTTAACTGTGGAGAATCTTGGTATTCACAATTTTAATCTTGCCATCGAAATTTAAACCACTAGTAATGGGACGAATCAACATTGTGTGCTACCAGATGTAATGAGAAGTACTGCATTACTTCTGTGCTATTCCTGCCCAAAATGTATAGCCCAGCTCTAATCATGACAAAATATCAGGCAAATCCAATTGAGAAACATTCTACAAAATTGTTGCCTTGTAATCTTCAAACACATCAGGGTCATGGAAATGAAAGACTGAAGCCCTGCTTCAGGTAGAAAGAGACTAGAAAGACAATTAGATGCAATGCATGATTCGTGTACCATAAAAGACGTTAGTGGGGATATCAGTAAAGCTTAAGTGGTATCTCCAGGTGAAGACTATGTGGTGCTTTGCTCTATTATTTCCGGAAGTTTGGAACTATTTCAAAATAACAATTTAAAACAAAAAGCACTAGAATGACAATGACTAAAGTGTCTGGTGAAAATGCTGATAATTTTCAAATTGCAACTGGCATTCTGAGAGTTGGAAAGCTGCAGGAGTTTAATAAAATTGCCAGTGACAATCCAGAAATTAGGCAGGTGATTCAAAACTAAACACAGAGGCTGTTGCAAAATTTCACATGTTAAAGACTCACATATCTGTCAGCTGTTGCCAGAGAAGAAGTCATACGGCTTTTGATTCTGTGCTTCCTTCCAAATCTCTTGTTATTCTCATTTGAGGAACAAACCTGGAATACTGCTGGTAGGGGCTTTTGGGAAACGTAGTTCCCAGACCTCAACCCTCTGGTGTGTCTAGAAGTGGATGCTGCCAATATGTCTATCTGGTGCACAAAGCATTACAGGTCAATTTGGTTAACAGAAAGTTAACTGCTTTTTGTTATTCATTAATAAACAGGGTTGGCCGGGCGCAGTGGCTCACGCCTGTAATCCCAGCACTTTGGGAGGCCAAGGCGGGCAGATCTTGAAGTCAGAATATCGAGACCATCCTGGCTAACGCGGTGAAACCCCGTCTCTACTAAATAACAAAATAAAAATAAAAAATTAGCCTGGCGTGGTAGCGGGCACCTGTAGTCCCAGCTACTCGGGAGGCTGAGGCAGGAGAATGGCGTGAACCCCAGAGGCGGAGCTTGCAGTGAGCCGAGATCGCATCACTGCACTCCAGCCTGGGCTACAGAGCAAGACTCGGTCTCAAAAATAAATAAAATAAAATAAAATAAAATAAAATAAAATAAAATAAAATAACAGGTTGCAGTTTGAAGGCAAAACCTTTCACTTTTTAACCAAATTTGCACATTCATTTATTTGTTCAGTAAGTATTAATTTTGTGCACCTAGTAAGTGGCAGGCACAATTATCGGTGCTGGGGATTCAATGGTAAACATGCCAGAGAAGGTTTTGGCCCTTTTCCAGTTTGAAGCTCTTAATTGGGCCTAGAGAGACAGTAAGCAAGTTAGTGAAAAAGAAAACATTCAATCCAGACAGGTACTATGAATCAACTAAATATGGTCATGTGACAGAATACCTGAGAATGGGGGAGTACTTTATGTAGAAGAGTGAGAATGAGCTACTCATAGGAGGCATTGGAGGAACAGCATTCTGGGCAGATGGAGCTATAAATCCAAGAGCCCAGAAGTGAGGAGGGTGCAGAGGCAGATGTAAAGAAAGGTGTCAGGATAAGGAGTTTGTGCAATGAGAAAGTAATCAAGCAGAGAAGTAATGTGATGTGATCTATGTTTTAAAACTATATTTCTGCCAACTTGGTAGACAAGGAAGCATGGGGGTTAGGGCGAAAGTACAAGCAGGGAAGAAAAACTAGGGGGTTATTTTATAAGACTCAATAAAAAAAATGATGATAAACTCTAGAGATACAGGAAGTAAAGAGATGGAAGTATGTTTTGGAGGCAGAACTGGCAGGACACTCCTTTTTATTCTGTTATGTATATAATGTTGTTTTGTTGGTTGGTTTGGTAGCTCAGAAAACACTGTGTGTTTCACCAAGGATGAAGCCCCTATACAGGACAATTAAATGTTAAGGTTAATGTAATAAACAGTTGTTTTGGCTACACAGAATCCTGTCATCATCTTTTAGTAACAGAACTCAATCTTCACTTTTGTTTCCATGACTTTACTTTCACTTTCCCATAACAGATAGCCTCTGTGCAACCATCAATCACATTAGTTCTACCTCCTCCACCCTGTCTCACCCTCACCAGTGGGTGAGCACTTGATCCAATCTAGTCCATTCAGACTTTCCTCTCCACAGAGGTATGGTAACTCTAGACCTTTCTCTGGCCAGGTATATCACATTTTCGTTTAATGTAGGAGTTGTTCAGTGCATTGTCCTTCCAATAAATTCCTTCTATCTCTGTTCATCCAGACTCAATTTATGTTGCTTATAACCAGTCCTAACTGACACAGTGATTTTCCTGATGCTTAGATACATTTACTTTGGAATGTAGCAAAATATTCAAAGCAATTGTCAATTTAAAAAGGCATCGTAAGACAGGACATAGTGGCTCATGCCTGGAATCCTAGCACTTTGGGAGGCATAGGCAGGAGGAGCTCTTGATGCCAGGAGTTCAAGATCAGCCTAGGCAACATAGGGAGACTCTGTTTCTATTAAAAAAAAGAAATTTTTTAAAGAAAGGCAACATAGAAAAATAAGGAGGAATTTAACTATAATTTCCTATTACTAAAACCCAAGTAGAAAAGCAAAACAGAGACTTCACCTAACTTTACATTTAAAAATAAAACTAACCCACATATGTCTAAAACACATGCACACACACAGTCACACACACACACAATAATAATAATAATAATAATAATAATAATAAGGTAGACTTTATGAGCAGCAACAACTCTTTGTTCTATCTCCACCTCCATTCTAGTCCCTGGAAGTAACATCTTTTAATCATTTTGTTTTTTAGATTTTTCATTGTGTTCTTATTTTTACATAAGTTACTAATTTTACTGTTCCTGTTTTTTATTGTAAATATTATTATCACCTTCCTATTATGACATGTAAAGACTTAGATTCTTTGCATCAGCATTTTTAATTTTCACTTTATTTTAAAGCTACACACTTACATCCTTTTTTCTTATCTCATGAACTGAAGAGAAAATATCTGATCTCCCACAATATAAAAATGAGGATTTTATTTTCCCTAAATTTTCTTTCAGCTCTTAGTATGTGGCATCTGTTTATGTACTTTTACATTTTTAAGTTTGATACGTTTTATATTTAATTCAGCAACTTTACAGTTATTGCATTTTGCCCATTGAATTTAAATGTTGAAAGTTAATATAGAGCATTTTCAATATTATCACTCTTTCTTCTTTCCTTCCTTTCTACTTTCCCCAAGCTCTTAAACAGCATTTTCCCTTTCTGTTCTAGGAGTTGAGGCACAGTGGTAAATTCTGTCCATTACACAGACAGGTGATATGCATTATATATCTTCTGCAATATTTTTATTTTCCTGAAAATGCTAATCCTTTTAATCCACTCACACCAACGTAAGATTTTTTTCCTTTTCTTTTTCTTTCGTTTTTAAATTCTCTGCTTACCATGTTCTTAATTGTGCAAAGTATTAGTTTTCTAACTGCCCCTCTTCTCTCAGCCCCACTGTTTCTCCATGGAGACCCTCCTTCTGAAGCCTCCACCTTTTGGTTCTAAGCTGGAACTGTTAGACATCTATCATCCTGGGGCAACCCTTCATAAATGTGCTGATTAGATCTGCCTCTAACCGGACCCCATGACTTCATTCTTTACTTAATCCCTTTTCATGCTGTAGCATATCCTCAATAAACTTTCTAAGATAATATGCAGGAAATACAGCCGTGTCTAGAAAGTCTTTCTTTTGTCCTTATATGCGATTTGATGATTTAGTTCAATATAGGATATCTAGTCTAAAATTATTAGTCCTCATAATTTTAAAGGTATTTCTCTGTTACTTTCTAGCATTTAATATTGCTGATAATGTCCGATGCCAGTCTGATTTTGCTCTTTTTGTAAGATAAAGAAATATTTTATCTCCTTCCTTCTTCCTTCCTTCCTTCCTTCATTTCTTCCTTTCTTCCCTTCTCCTTTCCTTTTTTCTTTATCTCCTTCCCTTCTTTCTTTCTCTTTCTGGAAATGTTTGAGGTTTCTCTTTATTTTTAGTGTCTTAAAATTTTACAATGATTTATTTGTTTTTTAAAATTCGTATTTCACGATTTGTTTATTATTATATTTTTCCTGTGATCAGCATTCTCTGGGACCCTGTGACCTTTCCATTCTGGGATAATTTCATTGACTATTTATATGATAATTGAATTCCATCTATTGATTTTTTTTTCAAATTCTAGAATTCTTAATACTTGGATAATGGGCCTAGTGGATAGAATATTCACATCTCTATATGTTTTACTTTCTTATCTTCTTATTCTAATATTAAATTTATTTCTCTGACAATCAGAAAGCCTGTCTCTGCAATCAGGGACTGATGAACTTCCACTGCCTCATAAGGGCTGCACAGGGAAACAGAGGGTACCCGAACAAATGTGAAAATCTTTAAGGAAGAAGGAATGGAACCATGAATACTAAAAAGGCAACCAAAATATCCATTATACTTGCAATCTATTTATATCAACCAGTCAGTTAATGACAATATATTCAAGTTACTGTGCCATAGAAGGTGTTTGATAGACTCTAGTAAATAAACCATTATAATGGAGATATTTATGCTAAGATGATGAGCCTGGAGAGAGAGGCAGGGTCCAGATAAAGGAGAGTCTTACAAGCCGTCAAAAGGAATTTGGACATTAGTTTTATGCATCAGAAATTGTTAAAGGGTTTTATATAGAAGAGTCACTTAATACCACCTTTAAATAATATCTCCTGGGGACAGCTGTTTGGTGGCTGGACTTACAGAGAGCAGGGCTAGAGTCGGAGAAGCTGTTTAGGATGCCCTTTGTATGGCCTCCTGTCAGAATTCTGAAATTTTTAATCCCTTTGCATCTGTTATTCTGATTATTGTTTTTGAATGTTAATTGCCAAAATGTAAGCATAGATGAGGTGAATTCTCTCAAGTCTACTGTTAAACAACTGCAGGCATCCTTTTCATAACTTGTTTTCTCATCACAGATATGCTAAATATCACATCACTGCCATCTAATTTACTTTGAGGAATGTTTTAGAAATTATAACCCCCTTCCCTTTGCTTCTGTTTCATGGGACATGAAACAGATGTTTCATGTTAATTGATGTTAATTGATGTTTAAATCTACAATATGATTAGTTCACACACAGTATATGATACTTGTTTATTCTACTTTTAATCAATTTTTTGTCAAAGTTATTTACAAGTTGATTTACACTTCTAAATTCAGGGGTTTTGTTTGCAAAGTATCTATAATGTGGTAATTAAATATAGCTTTTAATAACGGAAAACTCAAAAGCAAATCTAAACTAACATAAGTATGTCTACCTAAAATTATGAAAGTTTTTTTTTTTAACTTTCACTCTGAACTTTACCCGTTTTGCCTAATCCTGATTATTTTTTAAAGTACATCTGCTAAGAATTCTGCAGTATTTCTACAAGCTGGCATTTTCATTTTTGAAAGGATTATTTGAAATTTAGATTTGGCATCTGTCAGAAAAAAAAAAAAAACACTGTCATCCTATTGGATGTTATCATACAGCAGGTAATGATTGCTGAAATTTAACCAATCACACAGAATGACAGTGGAAAAACACCCTGACAAGAATTTTATGTCAAAACCATAGAGGAAAAAGCAAAAGAGCTGCAAGTTAATGCCGTCCTAGTATAATAGATTTTATTCTGATTAGCCTATGCAAAGTTGATGGTGCCAGATAATCCACAAACAGAGTCAATATAATATTTTTTTGTAAAGTCCTGTCAGAAACTTTTACGCTGGTACCAGTATTGTGATCCTCAGTTCGAGGGCCTGTCTGACAGTCTAGGACACAGAGAGCTGTCAACCCAGGAGCCGGCCGAAGATGATTGTTAAGGGGATTTGGTACTCCTTCTATTTGCCTAATAGGGAGCCTTGCGCTCAGCATTTCCTAAAGCAAAAGAAGACAGATGAAATCTCTGGGCACTTCATTGCTGCTGCCTCTCAAAGATTTCCTGTCAAAATGGGCCTATAAGGGGAGAAAGGTTTTCAATAATTTTTTTTTTTTTTTTTTTTTTTTTTTTACCTGGCAGGATTTCCAGCCTTGCTATGAAAAGAGTTTGAAAGCTCTTTCTTTGTTAAAGGCGGGGAGGGGCCAGGGGAGGAAGAGGAAGAAAAAGAACAAAAATAAGAAAAAAAAAATAAGAAAAAAAAATGCTGCCAAACTACCAGATCTAGACTAGTTGTGTTTAAAAATAAAAAAGCAATAGAGGAATATGGCTCATATTACCGTAGCATACACAGAAAAACCAGCTTTGATTGACATTTTATTCATATTTTATATAGGTTGGTTTATTCCGCCCCCCCGCCCCAACTCCACCCTGCTTCAAATGGAGAAAGTGACCTTGATGTTCTTGTGGAAAGGATGTTTGTTGTAAACTATTTTCAGGACACTTTTAGTAGCTTATGTAGGAAATGAGGAGCGCAGGTCTCATTTTCACCAAAGGGATGTTTGCCAATCTGCTGTTCTCCTTATTAATGCTTTCTTTATTCCTTCACTTCTGCCATCTTGTCAGGCAGCCAGCCAGCCAGCCAGCCCACAAATGCTGTCTAATCGCTTGTGAAAAGACAGAGATTCTGTCCTCAACCGCCTTATATTCTATGGGAGAGACCATTGTAGTGGGGGTAATTTCCTAAGTTTCTAGGAAAATATATTCACACTCAGATCCTTTCTACTAGTGCCAGGCAAGTCAGGAGCCACATCTGTTAGCTATCCATTCTTTGCCCCAGACAGGGGAACTGTTTTTGTCCTCTGTTTAGCCTGGTTAATGTGCAGTCACAACTTTCGCTGTTCCTTCTCCCATACTGTATTCCCCTGAATGGAATAAAGGCAGAAGAACCTGAACAAAATAAAGGAAAAAGCTGATGAAATAAGGATAATAAGGAGTGAACTCAAAGTTTTCTCAAACTGTGATTCCCAGCATGGCTTTTGGTGCTAATTTGTTTAAGACAACCTTGGTCTTTTTAAAACCGTGATGTTGTTAGTAAAGCAAGAACTGATAGCTGACACAGAACAATAAAACCAAGACAAACAAACAGTAAACTCTCAACTGTCTGTGGGCGTTTAACATAGGAGCACACAGGTCAGAAACCCCAAGGATAATATAGAACAGATCAATTGATTTTTGTAATGAAGAGCTTCAAGTCATTAAGAAAATGTTAAATCATGTTGGCCATAGTTTTTTGCTATGATACCAAAACATGCTATGTATATAAGAGCATTTTAATCAAAATATATATGTAGTAAAAACGGGAATATAAATACTGCCTGTGTTATTTGGAAAGTTTACTTAGGGAAGAAACTTCATTCCACCAAATAAATTGGATAAATGAGCTGCTATTGTATGTTGTAATAAGCCATATTCCACTGAAGTAGCTTTATTTCATAATATTATGTTACATTTCTTTTTCTGCAGTGAAGTTTTAGAAATTTATAGGTCAAATTCCTGTAACGTTAACATGTCAGTTAACACAGTAGATAACAAAAAAAAAAAAGTTTCTCTAAAAAAGCAGCCATAGTTGCGGTAGAAGACTAATTGGCAGCCTGTAGGCAATGTAAAGGCTTTTTTTAATGGGGAGTTCCCAGGTGGAGGGAGCCACCTCTTAGAAGAGCAGCAGATCTCAACAAAGGATTTCTTTTTTTCCTGAGAAGGAGGTGAAGATGTGAAGCAAGGAAGGTCATAAAGTACATGGTCATGAGTTAAAGATGAAAGAATATCATGGAATGTTTCTGGCAGTGCAGGGACATGAATGAAAATATGAGATGATTAAATTATGTATAGATGTGTGAATAAGCATGTATGTTTTATTGTTTAGAAAAGACTGGGGTCATGGTGAAATCATTTGCACAAACTCCAGACCAACTCTTTTGATAACAAACCACTACTGTAATGTCTGTGTAGAACAAAATCTCACCAAGCACTAGCAGTAAAATACCTTTTATTATTATCTGTCGAAACCAAACAGTACCATTAAAAAAAAAATGTAACCCAAAATAACACTAGACAGTCCCTGGAAGTAGTAATAGGATTTGAGAGCTGAGAAATTAAAAAAAACCTATAAAAAAGAGTGAACTGTCAACAATATACAGTAAGCTGAATTCCCAGACAACAGCATATTCAGACAGTGTTCTAAGAAGTGACACTAAGTTCTCTACAAAGGTGGGATAGCGTGGAAATCAAAGACAAACTCAGAAGATCATTAGAAACAGGGAAATGAAGGCATTGAGGATAATCACAGGAGAGATTCTGAATAAACTAGGATCCTGATGAACATCTTTTTCAGTTATTGATTTTTCATTTTTATAAGAAAGATGGTCTAATGGATACAAATTTTCTTTAATTTTAATTACTACTTGAGCTACCTTTGGCATTCCTCATGAAGTGTTATCAACCTAAGATTGAAGAGGCTAACATGCTTACATGAAACAACACAAAAGTTAGTGTAGTATCCATGTTAAATCAATAGATCAGAGAGGCAGAATGTCAATTATTCGATCCAACTGGATCCCTTAATTCTGAGTGCAAAAATAATCATGGGAGAGTCTGTGATATGTAGATATCTGTATCTATATCTGCATATGGCTATAGATAGATTTTGTTCATTTGTCTGTTGGAACTGTAAGCATAAGAACAAAATCTGTGAAAATGAATCAATGAAGATTTTGTAAATAGGACTGTATAAATAAAAAATTAAAAATCTCTGGTTTCAATTCAATGGAGATTTTTTTCCTTCCACATCTAATAGCTCAAATGTTACAAACAAAAGCAGGAGACAGATTTGGTTCTGCCCCTGCCTGTTCGTGCCCCATTCTGCCACCCACTGCTATTCCTAGAATTAATGAAATATCAAAACCAGGCTAGTGGAAGTGCTGCTAATTTGGCGTGTAATGAAACAAAAGAATCTAAAATGCATATCTGTCTACTTTTATACGAAGAGAAGATGATAAAAAAAAAGAACAAATTACACTTCGTATCATGGGATATGAAACAATTACAGGAGGAGGAAGGTGGAGGATGTAGGACTCAATGGACCCTTTAATGAATAGTAGCAAAATATCCACCCAAACAAATGACATTCTTCATACCTTAACGATAGAAAATAACCAGCTTTCATTCAAACTTTTATGAAAGGATCTTTATAGATTTTCCCCCCACTGACTTAATATCAACTTTTGGAGTTAATCGGCTTTCATCAGGGGATGAGGACATGCATCACAACAGCTTTTATATTTTCCAGTCGTCACTTCATCTGGGATTGAGTTCATCCTAGGGAGTTTCCACATTCATCTGACATCAATTATGCCAGCTCCTGCTGATACTCAATTCATGTCATAATAATTAACTTGTATCTATTATAACCACATTTCATAATTAACGTTTTATTTTTCAAATTTTTTTCTCATGCACATATTTTAAGATATAGCAATCTTAATACCTTTGAAATGTTCTTCTGTTTTCATCGTTCATAGCCATAGTAAGACCGACTCTGTCTTTCAAATTTAAATGGTCATGCACATTAGCTCTTCGTTCGTATTTTTAGTATTAATGATGAGGAAAATAGTAGTGGAAACTGAATTTCCTCAAAGTGGACCAAGTTGCCTTAAACTTAAAAAATCAAATAATTATTTAAAAATTATATTACTACCCCATATTTTCTATGGAAAAATTGTAAATTTTACACCATAATCTCTTTATCCTCTTCAGTTTTGAAGAATTTCAAAGATAGATGTTTGGTCAATAAATAATTCATAACAAGGTCATGCAAACCAAATAGAAAAAGGACTTTGTAGCACTTTTAAGGTACATATTTACCACAGCAATGGCATGGAACTAGTTTGACACAAAATTTGAGAAATTCCGAATTTGAATCAGATTCTACAGCCTTTGGAAGAAGGAAATTATATATCTAAAACATTGAACAAGCTTATAACACTCACAAAATTCTCTCATCAATTTCATCAATCTTCTGAGATACAAAATAAAAATTTAAGCAAGGTATTGAAAAGGATAACGCTCCTTCTGCTGTGATTTGGGTGGATGATTGGCAGTAAACTTAATAATTGCTCATGAGCTGAAAACCTGAAAGGGTTTTCCATTACATATGGATAACTTTATTTGATCTAAGGATAACTGAAAACAGCAAATGGACCTTCATGAACAAAAGTTGTAACCCGAAGGAAGAATGTTCTATGTATTCTAAGTGTGTTTTTTTTTTTTTTTACGATATCCACTGGAGTCACAGACATGCTAAAATGGCTATTCTCTGTGAAAGACTAAGGTTGGTTTCTTCTCTTACCTGTTTTAAGATGTATAATTAGGTTAATACATTTTTATAAGCCAAATAATATATTTAATTACCCCAGTTCTAAAATACCTCAATTATACTTTTTATATATTAAGAAGCTGCTTTATCAAAAGATAAACTTCTTGTATTTTGTAGTCAATATTCCTTATAAAAGTATAGAGAAAATTATAGAAGCAATTGAAATATTTTGGGAAGCATCTCCAAAAACTGTAATGAGGCTTCTCAGAGACCAGACAAATAACATATTAATTCTGATATTTTATATTTATGTACCATTTTACCTTTTAGATAGATAGTATTTTTGGATGTATTATCTCATAGAAATACAGGATATACTATAACATAGAAATTTTAAAAATAGGGGTTAGAATAAGGAAAATGATTGTCTGAAGTTTCATATCTACAACATAGTAAGTCAGAGTCTCAAATCCAGGCCATCCCACTCTAAGCCTATGCCATCATGATTATTTTGAGGGTGTAGAATATAAACACATATTGTCCAATGACAAATGGTATGGGAACAAAAACCTTCATGAGTTCAGGAGTACCTTAGTTTACGGTTCTCAATTGCTGGAAAGAATTCATTCTGGTTAGTTTCTTGAATATTTGACTAAAATATTAGAATCACTCTATTCTTCTTTGTTACAGCCACCTTTCTGTGTTGCCGTTTCTACTGATTCTTTATTCCCATCTACCAGGGATTCTCAGAGTCCAGTGGGTGAAATGAGGGGAACCCACCAAACTTTTAGTTTCATCCTTTTCTCCAAGTAGGTGAGATTACTAGGGGTGTTCCCAGAACTAAACCAATCACTTAGACAATGTCAAACTATGAAACCCACAGTGAAGATATGACACTGGTATGTCTGAGTCTGCTCCAGTTGAAAATCATGCCTTGAAAATGCAACCTGAGACTCCAGGCACCTAATGACACCAATTGGTATTCACGCAGAAGTACAGACTGTTACATATGCTCACTGCAAGTTTTGCTTCGGGGAAAAATGGAGAACCGTTTAAGTGACTCCTTCTGTGCATTGAACTGTCAACTTACAGAAATGCCATACTAATCTTAGGGAAACTCTCTGCAAAGCTCAGTTGCGTGGTGAGTGAATGTAAATGTCCCGACTTATTAAATATCTACTTCATCAAACCTGGCAACCAGGGGGCGATTGATTTTGCACTCAGCTCACCCACACACCCTTATTTATTATATATTATTTTAGAGGGCCTTGATCCTTTCCTCTATATGTAAAATATTTTTCTCCTTCTTAGATATATAATAAAATACACTATTTTAGACACAAATTTGCCATGAGTAGTAGAATTTCTGCAGCAGATATCTTTTTAAAAAGATATCTGAATTATCATACTTAGACATATGTAATATATTAGATAGATTTATATTTATTTTATATTTTAAAGCTCTACCTCCAATAAGCTTTACACAGCAGAAACTAGACACAATGAGAAGTGGAGCAGCAGTCAAAAGATAGTTTCTACAGTTGTAAAAGCAACGCTAACCACTGACCCATGATCTTCAACCATTAAAGTGAGAAACAAAACAGAGGTTCAATAGCATTTGTAGAAACTGTAAAATAAAGCCAAAAAAAAAGTAACAACAGAAACAACATTTAACCCTGCTCTTGATAACGTATTTTGTAAAACCTGATTTATAAAAAAAAAAATGTTTTAAGAAAGTCTACATTTTAAATTTTGGAAACTTGACATTTTTCCCTCTACCTGAAAAATGAATGGGGGCGGGGGGTGTGGGGGGAGAAAGAATGCATTTGCCAGGTGGGTTTTCCAAATCCTGATTATTAAACAGTAATTTTCATCAGATTTTAAATGCACCCATCAATAGCAAGATTGTAGAAGGATGATACAGCTAAATCACTGCTGATAGACAATTAGTTGAGTCTGCTGTCTCAAGCCAAGATTGGCAGCGTCTGCTGCTCTCCTAATCAAATTCCTCAGCATTCAATATAGCAGGACTGAGTTTCCTAGTTAATGCTATAAAGCAACACTAAATAAATACAAATGGCTTAATCTTCTTTTGCAGTCATATCCTCCCACACTGGTGCCTGTAATTAGAAAAATACTACATCTCATGTCCTGAATAGTGAATACAGCAGATTGTTAATCATTATATTTACATGGCTTATATGAAAAGTATTTAAATTCATGAGTACCATAAGATTTCTTTTAAAGAATATTAATACGTATACAATACCTAAATGTGTATTTTCCTCTCTACAGAGATAACAGTAAGCTACAGCTTATTGATGTGTTTATAGTACTTCTTTAAAAATTGTTGCATAACAAAAATTCAGGTGCCCCAAATATTGACAAAACAAAATATTGAAGAAAAAAGTGTATATATATTTTTGTTTATATCTATATCATCTCTATGTATAATTATAACATAAACACATATATACATAAAACAAACAAATTTGATGGAATTTGCAAACTCCAAGGAAAAGACACATTCACACATACATGAAAATATAATCCCACATTCAAAGAAAAATGTGACATATTAAAATGTATCAAAAATGTATTTCTAGTGAAGCCTATTTTATAAAATATATTGTGTACTATATTTTATCTGTATTTTACACCAATGTAATATTGATTTCCTACAAAAACACATTAAATGAGAGATTTATGAGAAGGGTAGCAAATCTCTTTTGGCCAATAAACTGTAACTCTTTTGTATCTGCTTTATGAACAGGAGCAAAAATGGTAATGCGTCACATATTTCAATAATTTAATCCAAAATTTACAAATGTTTGTCATTTAAAAATAATTAAGAGAATAAGAATAATAATGGGTGATTAATAAGGAATTAATAAGTATTTGTTTAACTCTCAAACACCCTTACAAACAACAAAAATATATATGTATATTTATACACATCTAAGTACATATATAAAGGCATGGGTATTTGCACTTTCAAAGATGAGTTTACAAATAATAAATAAAGGAGGAAATTAATAGGCAAAGAATGTGGCTTTTGAAATAAAATAGGTTTTTGAGACATAGCAAGCAACAGCGATTACTTAAAAAATACAAAACAGAGCAGCTTGAATCTGATTGAAGTGGTTACACACTGTGCGAGCAAAAGGATGCAAGAGTCTCGAAGAAGTCTAGGCCGAGTACAGGGAAAGCACGAATGAGCAACACAGAGAAACTGCTCTCTTTTTATCTCTATAACCTCCACCCTCCCTTTTACCTTCCAAAGTTGTAACCCTGAACTTGAGACAACAATCAGGTGATTTCTGTTGAAGCTGTCCTTCCTTCCCCTAATCTATTCTTTCACATAATTAACTGCCTGACTTACTTGTCCTCTGATTTTATCTGAGGAGCTGGCAAATTTCACTAATTCCTGCAGTTACCACATATCAATGTTAAAGATGTATTTAATTCCCAAGATGAAAAGCAAACACTCAGAGTATGCATAAGAAAGACGGAAATACTGAAAAGTTAATAACACTTGCCACTCTTGTAGCACCTTTCAGTCAGTGATTTCAAAGCCCTTACAAAGCAAAGGCTTATCATTCTCATTTTGCTGAAACTGAAATGCAGAAAGGTTAAGTGATTTGTTTATTTATTTATTTGTGATTCATTTATTCTGCCCTAACAAGTCAGTAATGAGCTGGGAATAGGAGCCAAATGTCTGATGCCTTATTCTCTTTCAGACCACTCACCTTGCACATGGTGGAAGCTGATGACATTTACTTTTATAAGTCAGGAATCATCATTATTAAATTGACATGCCTATACTATGCTTAGAAATAGTCACAAAAGTCAAGGGCCATCGCTTTGGAGCTCAGAGTTCAGAGCAAAGTTACTTTGAACAATTATAACTTAAAGAAATAGGGAGTTAACTGAGACATTTGTTCAGTGAGACCCTGGTGTGAAGTCACAAATCCTGCTAACATTTATTGTACACCATGTGACAGGTGCTGTCCTCAGTGCACTGAGTTCATAAAATCAATTAAGCCATATAATAATCTTAGCTGTAGCTACTGCTGTTATTCAATTTTCCAAAAAAGAAAATGGAGGAATAGAAAAGTATTTTGCCCAAATCACAAATTGAGTAAAACTGGTAGGGCCAGAGATGCACAATGCATGGCACCTGACTTCAGAGCCTAATGATCTCTACTAAGCAACACTGCCTCTCTTTTGCATCCCTGCACCATGCCAAAAAATTAACAGCAGAAAGAGCGTTTAGTACAAATTAACAAAATGAAGTGCTAATGTAACTTTGGATGTGCTCATAATCTACTGAACAATATTATTTCTAATTGTGAATATAACTTCATACCAATTTTTTTAAAGTAAAATCCAAAGTTTCCAATGCTTATGGGAGAAACAAAGATAAAAAGGATTTTTTAAAAGTCTAGTTTGAACTTCTAATTTATTGCAACATGGTTGTATCCTTTTTGCTTTGGGAATGGATGGTATAGGGAATATTTTGAAAGGAGTGTTCAACATGAATCCACATTTTGACTACAAAAGTGACTAAAAAGGCTATTAAGGTTATTTCACTCTTTCATTTTCAAAACAATTTTATTAGATATTATCCAAGTGTCAGATGTATAAGGAGGATCTACAAAATATAAGCTTAAATTAATAATATTTATTGGAAGCTAAATATTAAAATTTTAAATAATGTACTATGTGGTGTTGTGAAAAGAATACTGACCTAATCAGTCCAGACCTGGTTTCAATGTCTGTCCCAACCAGAGACTAGTGTGACCTTGGGTAAGTTATGTAAACTTACTGATGTCTAATTTTCTCAGTTCTAGAATCATGATATTCCTGCTATGCAAGGCTGTTGGGAGGATAAAATAGACCATCCACTCTGTGAAGAAATGACTCAAATCTTTTTGTTCACCACTTCCCAATGTTCAGCCTAGCATAATCTTTGGTTTATTATAGATGCTAAATACATATTTGTTGAATGAATGAGGATACTTACAGTTCTAACATATCTGGCATGTTAGATGCTCAATACATGTTACAATTTTTTAACTTTTAAAAATTATTAATGTTATTATTGTTAATAATGTATATGCAACAACTGCTAAGGATCTGAGAATGACAATACTTGGAAGCTGACAAGTTAGTTTGCCACAGTTTCATGAATCTGAGTGGAAGACACGAGACTCCTGGATCAAAGACAAAGTAGTTTATTACTCGCAGCAATAACCACAATCAGGGATTCACAATTTTTGCACTGAGTCCCAGTTCCCTCAGGACAACAAGATGAGGGCCAAGTAATACCTGCACAATCCATGGGTGATATCATAGGAGAATGGTCAGTAAGCATGTTTGCCTTTCACTCCAGTGATAGGCAGTATCTCTATCCTTAAGGCTGAAAGCAAATCTGCTCTTTACTTTGATGTGCAGAAACATGGGAGACCCATAGAGAATTGTTGCCCAACAGTATAAAAGCACACAGTATATTGAAATGTGATCAGAATGTGGTTTTCAATTATAAAACAACAGTCTAGGATATAACAAAGTCATCTTATTTTTAAAGAGATTTTAATGGTATATTTAATTTGTTAGATGCCTTGCTGTCTAGATTATATTTTTTTCTTCAAATTTTACCATTTTGTGAGAATATAAACATTGGTTCAGGAGTCAGAACTATGGCTTCTTTGAACACTATTCCATTCTGAACAAGGGTTTATGAAAGAATTTTTATCTATCAAAAACAGAAATCATGAACTTGAAACTATTATTACAGGATTCTATGCAGACAAACTGAGCAGCCATATATTTGCATATTGGAAATATACAGTCGTGGAACATCCCAGGCAGCAACTGTAACAGTGATAAACTTGCAGTATTCTCTGCCAACAGCTTTCTCAGATTATTTTCCTATTTTTCTACACTTGCCGCTGCTAACCCTTGGAAGGAGTGGTTTCCAATTATTGCATTCACTTCTTCAATAATCATTCATTCAGCCCTTAATCCCTTAATGTCAGGCTTTAGTACTAATGGCTCAAGAAAACCATTAAATATCAACAGTAAGATTTAAATAATCAAATTCAATGACTTTTACAAAGTCTTCTCCTACTTGTACTTTTGGTATCAGCCTGTCCTTTTTGAAAGTCTCTGCCTTTTGAATTCTATGCCTAGTTCTATTCCCATCTCTCTGAAAGACAGCACTTCAAATTTCTCTTACCTGGTTCTGTTTCACATCCCATCTGTTAAATGTTAGTCTTTTTTGGGTCCTTCATCCTTTTCTCTCTTCAGGCTCCTTCTCTCAGTGACCCCATGGTTTTCAAGCTTTAGTTCTATAAAGATGGCATTGAAGAGTAAATCTCCATTTCTAAACTCTCTCCTCATTCAGTCTCCTATTTTCAGACATCTGCCAGACACCTCCACCTAATGCCCTAAGCATATCTCAGACTCAACGTGTCTATCACTTAACTTCTTCACTTATCCCGCCAAATCAGTTCCTGCCCATGGCTACCCAATCTCTTCTAAGCACACTGTTGTCGTGGAGTACAGTGCTTTGGCTTGTCCCCTGGCATTGTGGCTGAATGGTAATACCTGTCTTTCATCATGTTACCACCACCCTGGTTTAGAGCCCTATAATCAACCCCTTAGCAAATCTACCCCTTGGCAAATGCAAGAGCATCCCGACAGGCTTTCCCGCTTATGGGCTATACTTTTCCCTGCATCCTGTTTCTGTTTTTCACTTCTAGGAGAAGAGACTGCTAGTTACTCCTTGCTGCCTACTAGACAAATCCATGCCCGTTAGTCTGGTGTCAAGTCTCTTTACAACCTGGCCTTTTCCTGCTTTCATTCAACAGATATTTAATGGACTAGGAATAATATAGAATATTCATAATCAGACACGGTACCAACTTGGAGTGGGTACCTCAGGTGGAGGAATGAACTGACATTAATCAGTTAATGTATTATTATAAACCATGAGAAGTGATACTACAGAAAGTCATAGTTCCACCTTTATGTGCTGCTGCTGTCCTCCATATATCTGATGTTCTTACCAAGTTGGATTGTTTGATGATGGATCAAACTTTTGTTTCCTTTTCCTTTTCAAAATATAGTAGTTACGTATTGTGTCTTATCTGAGCTTCCTTCTTCTTCCTGCTTCTCACTATCTTTTGAAATCTTTTCTATTCTATGAGGCCCAGCTCTCAAATGTCATTGCTCCTAGAGTCTGTCTTTGATCACCTTAGCCACTCTCAAACCAACTAGAGCTCTTTGTATGATGTTTATGAGATTCGCACTTACCATATTATTCTGTAGTGTGTGTGCACGTGGCACCTGCCTCTTCTATATTGAGAAAAAGGCTGAGCGGGGGGCACCATGTTTTAATATTTGTGTGTAATCCCTACATGCCAAAAATATTAGCCGTTCATAGTAGACCTTCACTATTTGTTGAATGAGTGAATGAATTAATACAGTACTCCTAATATCCAGGGTGTTTCCTCTGGCTAGCTGCTACTTCATAGAAAAACAGTCCACGGCTAATATGATAGGAGACTGACCCTCTGCTGGCAAACAAGTTAACAAGGCATTATGATAGGCAGCAGTTTCATCTGTAAAACCTCCACCTGGAACCCAAATCTCCCACAGAGCAGTTAGGAAGGAGGTTAATTTCCCAATAGATGGGGGGAAACAAAATCTACCTACAAAATTCACTAGAGCAGGGGTGCCCAGAGCATAATGTTGTCACCTTCTTGGGAACACAGTATTTCTAGTAAGAGTATCATCAGAAATCAGTCACTCAACAGTTCTGTTCTTGCCATATCATTTTAGGAAATGCTATTTGCAGAAACAGTAAAATAGACAAAGCTTTGCTATGTCTCAAGACACTCCTCTCCTAAACCAGAGGCCTCCAATTTTCTAAGCTCATTAAACCACTCTCTAATTTTATGCCTAAAACATGCTGCTATATATGTGGTTTAAAACAATCATAAGATTTAGCATATTATATCTTCATGGCTCTTTGCACACATCAAGTAATTATCCACATAACACCCCTGCGATGATGGTGTTATTATTCCCATTTTATAGATAAGGATATTGAGACACTAGAGATCTAATAATTTGCCTAAGGCAGTATAATAGACCAGCTGCAGAAACTAAATTAAAATAGAATGTTCTGACTCTTTGTCCTGATTTCAAACTGCAAAATTATACTGGATATCAGGCTTTTCTCTATATGCGTACTTTATAATATCTACACGGGTATGCATTGGATTGCATATGGGTCTTACAAAATAAGCATCACTATTATTTAACAGTAATAGATACACTTCCACATATGCTGCTTTCTGCATGTGAGAGAAGAGAAATAAACATTATCCTGGTATGCTTAGGAATTATATATCAATTATATAATTCTATCTAATAATCTGCTCCTCTTAAAGATATAACATTCCACACTGTTAGCAATTTTAGTATTCTCACAATGAGATGATTAGAAACAAAATGGCTGGTTTGAAAAATATTTCCAACTACATTCATTTTGTGCTGTAATGCCTCACCAAAATGGGAGGACATGATAATCCTGTACCTCATGCAAAATCAATTACATTTAGTTCAAGATTCTCAGTGACTGAAACAGAGTATTATTTTATGTCCTGAACACTATGTTGTTTCGGTTACTAAGGAAACCAGTAGCAAAAACTAAGTTTACAGTGATGCATTCTCAAGAAATTGACTACAATGTCAGTCTCTGGGGTATCATTACAAAGTGCTATTTGCATTTAAATTTCTTATAACCCTTAAGCAACTGATCTGTTTGTTTATAAGCATGAGTATGCATTTTTTTTAGCTCTGGAATTTTTTTTTTTAAAGATTCAACCAATACGTTGATATTTAACCATTTAGAGAGCTACCTGTTAAGCATACGTACGATGTCCCTTCCTGAATTATTATGTGTGGATTGCATTTCTGTGGGTTTCCAATGAGACCTCCTTTAAAGCCTCTGCACATAATGTGCTCCTCACTAATGAAAGCCGCACATTCTGTTTCACACATGGTAACAAATAGGCGAAGTCATGTTGACTTATACTGTTGCATGTCACAAATAACAAGATTCTACAGGAATCAATACATCTATTTTGCACACAAGGTTTCTGGAGTCTAGGGCTATTCAAGACAGACTCCAAGTTCCTCGGGGAAGGCAAGGAAAACCCTAGATTTTTCTTGACAGACACTTGCCTCTTTTGTCAAAAAGAAACAACAAATATTCTGATGAGTTACTGATGCTTTTATAGTGGAAAATTCTCCTGACAAACTACTCTACTGACCAGAAATGACAAGGCCTTGACATGCTGCCTTTGCCTACAGAATATATAGAACTGCTGCAAAAGCTGATCGGACTCAATACGGCCACAGAGAGAGGGAGAGGGATGGAGGCAGAGCAGCGTCAAAAGACACTGACTCTGGGCTATTTTCCCTTAGTGATATCAAAAATCCATTCATTCTCCCACCAGAATTATTTCCCAGCACTGTTCTTTGTCTTAAGGTTTTGCAGTTAAAACCTTGTAATTATTTTTGCATAAAAAACACTTCTTGGGCTTCAAATTTATTCTATATTTAGTGAAATAAAACCACACAAACAGTGTAAAATGAGCCTTTGCTAAACAAATCACTTTTATGACTAAGCAATTGCACACACTCACCCCAAGGAACACACAAACAAAATAGAAGAGGCAAGATGCCTGTTTGAAACTGCAGACAAGCAATTGCAAATACAGCACTCCACAGTAAAACAAAATTAAGTAACATTCTAACTTTAGAAAGTATGGCACTGATTTAGATCAGATGTTTTTTGATAGAAAATTATTTCAGCAAAGTAATTGTAAGCCAGTCTTTTGCACTGCTCATTTCCTTCTTCCCTACGATTTCACTCCATATCAGTATCCCCAGTAAATATATTGCTCTTGAATACTAAGAAATTATGAAAGCAAGGAACAGAGATCAGGCATTCCTGGGTATCTGGGAAACAAGCACACTGGAGGCTAATTTTGTGTAAGATTTCTTTTACTTCTCATCAATATGCCATAAGCCTGACCTGGAGGATCCCCTTCAATTGATGCAAGAAAGTAATTAAGTCTCCAGGCTCATCACAACCTGTGCAATCTCATGTGCAAAGATTGAGCTTTGAGTCAAACAGCTTTTAGTTTTATGACAAAGAATCTTGTAATGTGGGGTTAACAATTAAAGCCAGGCAGTATGTTTCTCTCACGAGGCTTGGTGCTCACTCAAGTGCTACGATCACCAAATTCATTTAAAAGGAGTTGAGTTTAAACCCAGATTTTTCTTTTTTGCTTTTATTTTCTTATCCTTTTTTTTTTCAGGTCGGCCTTTCCTTGCTCTGCCTGCTTTGTCATCTAGCTTTCCTTGTGGTCCTTTCTTTCTTGTTACTCTTGGTCCCCACCCTTAGGAAATGTTAGAGTTGTTTCCTCTTTGGTGTGAGTCACATAACAAAAATCAAATCCTCAGCCAGTGTGTGGGTTGAAAACAAAATGTATCATTGACAGGCTTAAGGAGAACTCCTGAGTGTCTGTAAGGTATCAGTTCTGCTGAGTCCCAGCCAGAAAGTCAACACGTACCTACTCACCGATACCCTGGGTCTATTTAGTGCATTTTCTCATTGGCTTTCCTCCTTGCTTAATCAAGTGGAAGACGCAGCCACCTCATTACAAACAGAACAGAATGAAGGCTTACCTTGCTTTCTCCCTTTTAACGGGGTTTGACCTTTTTTGTCTCCATGCTAGACATCTGCTTGCTTTCTACAATGGCTCCACATTATAATAGTCCAGTGTGTATTTTTAAACGTATGTTTTAAAATACATGTCATTTGTTTGGGGACTAATAATATGGGCCACATGTTATTAATATAAAGATTGATTTAATCATTAGCTCTAAGAATGTATGATACAGCTCCAAACCCCCCACCCCCCCGACGCCAAACACACACACAAAAATGAAAAAGGAAAAAAAAAAGTGAATGTAGGCAGACAGGCTCCTTCAGGAGCACATGATCGGTGGCCTTCTGGCATACTCAAGTCCATATGAGACTGAAGACCATAACAGTTTACACAGACAGACAGGTACACTTTTAAAAACTGATGTCTGGGGCAATGGTTGTTTTGCTTTTTTAAAAGAGAGACATTTAAGATCTAAAAGAATACATAAATCCTCTCAAAATTTGCATCATTAAGGCTTCCTTCTAATTGATTCTTTTCAAAAATTGTTGTATTTTCACTGCTTCAGAACAGAACTACAACAGCTGAGAAGGAAAAGGTGGCAAATACAGTTCAGAATGTGACTAAAAATCTGTCATTCTTCTGCAAGCATTTAATTGTTGAACACAGCATCCTGAATGAAATGAAGTATATCTGTGCATGTGGTGCACAGTGCACAGACTCAAACCCATGGTACACAGTGCACAGAGCCTCAAGCCAAGACATTACTGAATATTCTTTAACCTGTGTTGGAATTTAGCGGTAGTATTTTCTTGTTTTCTACAAATCTGCTACTTTTTTGCTAGCACTTACTTTGGACAAGGACAGAGGACAGGGCTGCTTTGAAGAGGAGATGACTGTAAACTAAACATGTGAAATTTTTCAAAACGATCGCCCTGGCATTTTACCCTTTGCATCGTGGTCAGAATTCACTGATTTGCATATATAACTGCAGGAGTTAAAGGTGCAAATACAATAATCACAGCACAACTCAAGATGCAGATGGGAGAACCAGCAGTTGGCCTCTACTTGAGTTCTTCCCTTGAGTGATGGAAAGGGTCCCAGCTTCTCATCTGTTTCCCTCAAGTTGTTTCACCTTAACTCTGTTTCAAAGTCATAATAAAAAATCTTCTATCTTAACCTTGGCATGAGGTCAGGAGAAGAAAAGATTTTAGAGAGCGCACTTATAGGTTTTTATCCTGCAGTCTCAGGGGACTGTACATTCTCCAGCCAGCTGTACCTTTTGAAGTTTCACAGAGATACTATACTCTTTCTAGTTACAATTTCCTTTTTTTTTTAAGAATTTAAGCTGATTAGTTAGCAACTTTTTTTAAACTATTTCATTTGATGTAAGTGGTTTAAGCTATATTGCCTCTTGTCAGCTCTTCTCTTCACAATGACAAGTTTGTCTTTCCCACAAAACTACCTCTGATAGCCTCAGTGTTGGTATATTTGTATTTCTAGTAAAGTTGAATATGGAGATAGCCAGAAAGAACTTGCGTATGTAAATCAACTTATTCTTATTTAAAATAAATATATCAGAGAGGAGACAATGTGTTTTCATTTTTAGATATAAAGAAGTTACATCCAGATAATTCTGTGTTTGAAGGGAGATATTATTTGAGGCAAGAAACATATACTACCATAAAACACATTTGGCCATATTTTAAATATGAGTGTGTTGCATAAATCCTAATGTTTATATTGTTTTTAACATACTTGAGGTGTAAGAAAAAAAGAAAGTTATGCTGTCCAGCTAATAATTAAATCTGACCACTATAGGATTGTTTTCCACTGCCCCACATTCAAGAAAAGTGCAGGTTTCTCAGCTACAGCTGAATGTAAGTGTCAGGTGAAAAGACTGAAGTGAGGGTGTTGCCTCTTCACAGTCTCAGTCCCTCCTCACAGTCCTACCCAATTCCATCCTGACGTAGCACAAGACAAGAGCTTGTCCTCTGCAATGAGAGTGATGACTAGTGACTGAGCATTTGTATGACCTGAAAACATAACTGAACGGGGAAAAAATTGAAAATTAACTTTCAGTGGCTAAGAAGGGGAAACTTAGTAGCCTGAAAATCTATTTGTCTACAGTACTAAAAGTAGAATGTAACCAAATAAAAATATATACAAGTCAATGTGTATTTTCCTTACTTAATTTAAATACCACAAAAAAACAAAATAGCTGAACCATGAGAGTCCTCAGAATAACAGAAAAGAAGGCTCCCATAAACAATTATGGTTTCAGATATGATATTGGGTGATTGTTCAAAAAGACTAAGGAAGTTCCACAGGAATTGTGCCAGCCAGAAACATGAAACACACACACACACACACACACACACACACTCTCTCTCTCTCTCTCTCTCTCTCTCTTTAAATGTACCCTTTGGTTTATGGAACAAAACCTTGTGGTCCTCTACTAGATGTGTAAAAATGCACCTGAGAGAAATAGGGAAAGGAGGAAGATTTCAATGTTCTCCATTTACCTCTCTGTAGGACATTCTCAGGTTATTCCTTAAGACATAAATTCTGGGCAAAACTTCAGGTTAACCTCCTAGCCAGGAGCTAGTAAATGCTGCCAAGTCCTAAGAGAGAACCAGCTAGAACTCCTGTTGCTGGCATAATTGGGCAGCAGGCAAATTGAGTTGAGCCCACACAAGCCTGTACCATCCACATCACCTTGTCCTGTCTGCACATTTGAAAATGGAGCGAATTATATTCTGGGAATATAACATTGTGATTTTCTCAGGGAAGTGGGTACTTTATTTTGAGTTAAAATAATACCTCCCACATCTCCTGCTAAAACACACACACACACACACACACACACACACACACACACACACGTCTTCTTCCTATAACTTCCTAAAAATGTATCCAGGTCCTGATTAACGAACTTTATTCATTTTATTTTAGGGAGTTGGGAATGTGTCTCTACCTTAGTAAAGGCAGACCCTTTACAAACTGTGTGAGGTTGTGATGGAGCGAGTGATTTAGAGCACAGGCCACTGATGGTCCCCTGGTACACGTTCTAGTGTGTTACCTTGGGTAGGTAATTCAACCTCTTTGCATTTCAGTTCATCTGTGTAATGGAATATTAGTAGTATCTTATGAGGTTTCTTTGTGAATTAAATAAAATAATGCACGTAAAAGCCCTAGGATATAATAAACAATATGAATTATTAATATTTGTATTACTAGTTTCTAGCAGAGTAATTTTTCCATAATAAGTATTGTTCAATCAAAAGCAAATGATTTTTAAATATCTGGTTTGTTTTGACTTACTTATTTCACATTTTAAAATGTTCTACTAGCTATAGATAAATAAAAAGTAAGATATATAATATATCGCTAGATAATAAATAATATTTTTAACTAATATAACAAAAAGTCTTACTAGGGAAATTTAGGAGTCTTGAATGAGGATTTGCCATAACTTTTAATTAGAATATTGAACTTAACTGTCATAAAAGTTACTTTGTTAATGATTTAGCATACTGGGAAGTGAATATCACGCTATCATAAAATTAAATTAAGGGAAACTTTTAAAACATACAACAAAAGAGATAAATGTCTCATCTTTTGACATTGAATGTAATTGGTATAGACCTCTATATTTTGGACCAATTTGACATAAATTTGGCAACACTGTAATGTCATTTTATTTGGTGAATAAATAAGAAGCTAAAAGTACTGCTAATATATTGAATACCTTACACTGGGATTTAAGGTGATGACACCCTTTCTGAAAGATTGCCTGGAACAAAAAAAAAAAAAAAAAAAAAAAAAGGAGCAAATAGAGTCATAGAATATGAGAATTTAAAAAGAATTTAGAGATTCTAATTTTAATCTTTGAATGTTAAAGAAAACATGTCTAGGGAGGTGAAGGCTTTGCCTTAGTATTCAGCAAATTAGGAACAAAGCTAGGGTTAGAACCTAGATCTTCTCAGATTTCTGACTATCAACTTCAGGAAAATAAAAAAAAAAGTTTTAAATGTAATTTCTGTCACTTAAAAATTGTTCAAGTTGAAATAGTTTTAGGGGTAGAAATGTTACATAATAGAAAACATTAAAATTACTCAGCAAATGTTTACAAGGATCTTTATTCCAATAGCTATTTTTATTTGCTTGTCTTACATTTGTACCAGAAAATTTATGTGTGTACTTAATTTTATCAATATTTAGATATAATTTCATTATCTATATTATTGAAAAACAAAGTTTCAGTGTATTGTATGTTTATTGTTTTTAATTTAATTTTTATTTAAACATCTCCATTTTTTATTCGAATTTTTGTATTAAAATAAAATTTCAGATTTTTATGAGAATAGTTGGCACACATTCACCTTGTTTTTTTAAAACCCTGTTTTATAAAATAAAGCAAATGAAAAATGGCACATCCATGGCACTTCTTATTAATAGTGGCACTTAGAATTATAAGAATTTTGAAATCACAATAAACAGAATTTAAATCATGTTTATGAAGAAAAACAAGGTAATTCACAGATAGTGATGGGATAATAAAACCACAACTTTCTGAATCATGTCTAGAAGGTAAATTACATTACTTCACAGGTTGTCTTTCTAAAAACCTCTAAGATATACCAGTAGTTAAGCAGATAATAAATACTTCTCTCTTTCTAAGGTGGAGATGTTGAATGCTTTTTTCGTAGTTTGCTTTTATTGTTATTTTTTAGTATTTAACACATTTTGCACAGCAACTAAATTGATTTTATATGGACTTCAGAAATTTTAAACCTGAGGCCTAATGATGTAGAAGTCTTATTTGAATTAAATAAGGATATTATCTCTGCCAGAGACAAACAAAGAATGTCAGATTAGACACTAAATTAATCACAAGACCACAAATATCATCTCTGTTCTTCATATAGTGTCCCTATGGATGCTGACATGTGTTAACCATATAGAAGAGATCACGTAATTATTATAACAATAGATAGCAAGAAACTTGGCTTTCATTTGATTCCTCTGCCCAGCTTCTTATAAAGTGACATCCATCTTATTTCTGTATTACACCAAAGTAAAAACAATATTTATATACATTAAGATTATGTAAAGACTAGGATGCTGTAATGGTGTCTGGTATATATATCCACGATACAATCATATAGTACCTCCACTCTGAAGACACAGAATATGAATTCGCTTTAGTACCTAGCAAGGAGCCAAAGAGTACCTTACTTCCTATGTCTGAGCATTTGACCGAACTTAAGAAACAACACCCCAGCAACCTTGTCATTTCAATTTTTCACACTTTTGTCTGTATGTGTTTTATGTCTCAACAAAGACTTATCTCCCCAACCCACTGCCACAGGATAATTCTCTGTAACAAAGCTCAGTCTCAATCTCCACCCAAATGAAAAAAGGGCAAATCCCCAAAGAGAAAAGTAACGGTCACAGCCATTTCTACGGGTCCCAATCTCACAGACCAAGGAGGGACCGATGACAGTTCATCGCTACCATAAACCGGCGAGTATGCCCCAAGGGGACTGGAGGTTCTGTAAGGGGATTTTGCAGGAAGAATATCTTTCTGAGCCCTCCAACAGAGAGAAGCGTTTTTTACAAGTAAGGAAGCTGTGTTGGCACAACGGACAACAATTTCAAGCTGCGAGAAGATGCAAATGGCCACCAGTGTGAGAATTTTGTTGTCTGACAGACACAGGGCTTCCTAACCATTCTTCTTCCCTCCGTCTTTTGTATAACAATGTTTGGAGGGAGAATGAACTCAACATTGTGCAAACACTTTTGCTATAAATCACCACAGCATCCAAATTATCAAGGGCCCCCCAAACCTTCAACCTGTCTTCCTTTCCTGGTCAGGGTTAGAATGTAATTAGACAGCCAAGCGAGAAAAAAAGGGAAGAAAAAAGGGGTGGTTGGCCAAGATGTGTAGCCATGCTTAAAATTGCACCTGGAACATCATGGCCTATTTCTCCCATATGATTGTTAATAAAATAAAACTTTATTTTATGTAGTGTCTTTATGCCAAAATGCATCCCCAAATACTTGACAGACTTAAATAATGCATTTAATACAACCGTCGTATGGTGTTATGGTGTCCCAGATCACTAGGAATCTTGAATTAATACATTATAATGATTTCTCCCCAGAGGGAGCTGGAAGTGCCTTGTTGCTGGGCAGATTATGGTAAGGGGATTGGGGTAGCATAATTAAGAGGGGAGGTGCTTGGTAGCTGGCATTCTTCAGTGATTCTAATTTTCTTTTCTCTATTTGAAAAATCTGTAGGAGACTATTCTGTGGGCAAACTACAAGCCAGAGAATTTTTTTTTCAAATATAATGAACATCCAGACACTTTCCTGTAAGAAGTGGAGAGATACTGGATGATGATGATGATGATGATATGCTATGGATGAGAATGCTGACTGTGAGTTAACCTCTTGTAACATCTTTCAATAAGACAAAGGCTTAGCTTATTCGCCTAAACATCTTCATATAAATGAATAAAACGCTGAGCCCCATGTGGAACTATTTCAGGCAGTTTCTAATACACCTAGCATGTGACCTTCCACACCCCCAAGTCCCTCGTGTATGGCATATTCCAACTAATATAGAGGCTTTTGTCTCTTTCCATATGCTGGGCTGTCTCTCTAACACAAAAGCCACTTTTGAAGTGCAAAAATAAATGTGTTAAAGGGCTTTTAAACTAAACTCACAATGATATAATCATTTAAGGGAGTTGATGTAATCATTACAAGTAATTTGTCCTTGCCAAAGATTGAAAAATGAGTTCTAAAAGGGGAGAGCTAATGCTGAAGCCTGCATCTTGCTTCGCATAGAAGGACAAAAAATGCCTCTTACATATTTTTGCATAAGTTGTTCCACTGCCTAATTGGGCATGAGAGCAGGATAGAATTTATGGCTCAGAGCACTCCTCAGCCACAGGTGTAGAGTGAGATTGGGATTGTTAGCAAGCTGATATTGGTCTGGAACCCAGTTTAAGCATTTCATTTCTAGCAGTTAGACAGATGTCACACATTCTCAGGCAGCAGAATGTGCTCTTCCCTTTGCCACAGAGATTAGCCACAGCCTGTGATGCTGGTACTTTGCTGGAAGGAATAGGACAGGAGCTCCACTGCTGTGTTATTATCTGGGATCTATTATGTTTTTACATTTTTCAAAAATCTTTAAGCTAGATCTTTGACATTCAACTGCCTATAAAGACATGTGCCACCTGATGAGAAGCTTTGATGTGCATTTTGAGGATTAAATAATCTAGATAGAAGGCAATGTGTTTCCAGCCAAGAAGAAAACTATGGAGAAAATTTTGCCTCCTGCAGCTAAGCTCTGTTGGCAGTCAATACCTTTTAGCTTACCCTCTATATTTGATTTCATACATATTTACAGACTATTTTTCCTCTTAGTGCTAATTCTTTTGAGACCAAATTAAGAACAAAGATAGCAGGAACAGGCTTCATCAAATAAAAATGTAAATATGCTGCATCTCATTTGTGCTTGAAGAAACTTTATTTAAATATTTTTTATCAAGTGGAATAGTCTGGCTATATCATTATCAGTGTCTGGGAAAGTAATAACCTGGCGAGTCAGTGTAAGTCAGGGAGGGGAAAGTGAGCTCATACATTCTGTTAATGTGGCCTACTTTGGAGTGAGATTTCTCTATGACTTCCAAAAAGAAAGTGGTAATAGTGTTGATGTACACAGTCTAGGACAATTGTCATGATTAACTTCATTTTACTATATATCAAATGAAGAATTACTGACTTCGACTAACGGTATTGTGCAAAGTAGTGATGATGTATTTTTAAGTGAATAAAATGGGGGATAATTTGCAGATTTTTATCTATTTTAGACTTTGGTTTAAAGAATGGTAAGAGAAAGCTCCAGGTAGTCACAAACTAAATAGACTCTGTTGAATTTTATTTCCTCTAACTTGGTGCAAAGTATGATATTGCATCTTCAGCAGTGGCCAGGAAGTAAAGCAAAGAATCAGGCTTGCCACATAAAACATGCTACTCATTCAATAAAACAGTAAGAAAAACACTATTTTTTAAAGACTTTCAAAGAAAAGAATTCTAAACCTCAGTCAGAAATTAGTTTTCATTTTTTCAGGTGTCAAAAAATATCACTTACACTTTGTCAAATTACTCTAATCTGTCTTTCTTTAAAAAGAAACATTTAATAAATTCTGAAGAGGTGCTCTTTTCTCTGGTTGTGGGTGAAATTTTATATTTAAACTAAATGGATTTTTTAGAACAGCAGTTTGAGCAGATCAGTGTGCTATGTCAACTGCCAATGTGATGAACATCCCAACTCTCCTTCATTTTTCTTTGGGATCCCCCACAGCCTCCCCCCAATTTACACACACACACACACACACACAGAGACACACACACACACACACACATACACACAACTTATTTATTTATTTAGCCAGGTTATTCTTAATAAGGGGAATGGGAGTAAAAAGTACAAACTCTCCTCTGTCATTGATTATTTTACATGATCTCCTTTGTTCACACATTTGCTCAAAATACTAATTGTTTAGTTCATTCAAATGTTTTATTTCTACTGGCTTTGAATGAAGGGGATGGCAAGTTAACTTTTAAGAATTAAAAAAAAAAGCTGAACATACATGATTGACCACTACATTCAAAAACGGAATGATTCTACAGCATTTATGGCTATTTGAGGGCATATAGTTCAACACAATGAACTCCTGCTACGAAGCAAGGAAGAAAGACGGTCTTATTGGGAAGAAAAGAAAAAGGCAGTTAAGATTGACCTCTGAGAGAAAAATGTTTCTTGCTAACTACTTTTTATGTGTGAGCCTGAATGACTGTCCTCTACAGCTCCGCAGATGAAATGTGTTCATGCCAATAAAAGGGAAAACTTTAAATATCTCGAGTATGAGAATAATGAAACTAGCATTTCTCATCTACAACATTATAATCAAAAGAGTTAGAAAATACTTTCCATAATAACTATGAAAGTGATTTATACAAATAAATGTTTCAAAATCTCAAAGGTTCCACCACAGTAATTAAAGGTGTAACTTTTGCATTTATTTTGCAATTCATGTCTCTGGAGGCTAATTTAGGGTACTTTTTACACAACAATATTAATTTATTTCTTTGTGCTACCTCTTACATGATTTAAAGTTAACATCTACGGTGTCCTTGCTTTCAAATGTAGATTTTCTCTTTCTGAATCTTGCTTGCTAGGAGAGCCGTGTATGCAATGCATTCACAATCCCATATATACTTTTCATACATACACATTCATACCCACACACAATCACAATGCACACAGAAACACAGACACCCTTTCTTCAGGGTAATATAGGAATTATCTCTAGGTTTTTCAGGGTGGCCCAGATGATTTGAAATGAATATCTCACTCAGAAACCTTAAAATGTTGAGATCATCATCTTGAAATCAAATAGATTGAACATTATTTACCTGTTTGAAATCAGTAGGCAGGATTAGTCACATATCTGGCTTTTTTGAATATCTAATTAAATCATATTATATCTATGTCAACTGGATACAAATTTAACATTAAGAGATTACAAAAAGAAAAAACGTGGCCAAAATTAATACTAGACATCTCTGTATACTAGATAACTTATTTCAGCCAACAGTCTTACCAATTGCTTCCTTGAGGGTTGCTGAGAAGTGCCCTGTTCTTCATGGACTTTTGTTGTCTTCTGGAAGCCTCCCTCTTGGCCCCCAGACTCTAAGTAACCTAGTTAGCATATCCCCCTTTGCATGTAAAAAGGGATGTACACTGTAACCTGAGGCCAGGCCCACCTTAATTAACATTTCAAATCAGAGACTCTAAGCAGATATTTTACAGAGGTACAGAAAGGGAAAGAAAACTGGCAGGGTGGGATAAAGCCAAGCCTATGGAGGCCTAATTTACTGAGCATTATTAAACAAAGGTTTCCTAAAGAGACAGCAAAGAGAGAAATGGATTTCTACATAGAGTAATAAGCATTAAGAAACTAAGCTCATGTCTTTTAAAATGAGAACATCTGTGGCCAATTTCATTCTTTGAAATAGGTTAGACCACAACAAGAAATTGGACAACTACTTAACAGGGAACTACTTCCGAGGTTTTGGGTTGATATCCACCCTTACCTGCTCCCAGCACACCCTGTGAAACCCCCTACTTTAATCATTTGAACGCCTAAGTTATTTGTCTATAAATGGTTTTTACTATGTACAAATAGAATATTTAGAATTCTTTAGTGGATTGAATCAGTGCAGACACGTTAACTGGACCAATCAGGTCTCAAAGTGTTTTGTTGTTGTTGTTGTTTTTAACTTTAAGCATTTTATTCTTCCATTTTATTTGTCTGGGGGTTCTCTAGGACCATTAAACTGTGGTAGTTTGGGGGTTATCAAAGCCAAACTAAATGGGATGGAAATACTGAGTACAATTAATTAATCCAATTTGTTACTCTGCTTCCAAAACCAGTCAAGTGTACATTATTACCTTTTCTTTGGTATAGCACATGTTTTGGAGGCCAGTGGGTATAAATTAAACATATAGAAGTAAATAAAATACTTGTCTCTGCAGAATTGGACCTACTAAATGTTTCACTCCCAGTATGGTGTGCCTACAGTCATAAACCCAGTCACCACCCAGAATACTCATGGAATTAGGTTCTAATTATTCAGTTTCTATAAAACATTTAGTTGCCCAAATCTCTCATATTCCATACTATAATAATAATTCTAACAATCTACAGATTTTTCATCAAACTCAAAATTATGAACTGAACAATGACAATTTTACAATGTTATTAGTTGTTGTCACTCCAAAGATGGAAGTAGTACTTTTTCTGTTCATATAATTACAATGATAACACTGGTAACTCTTTCACAATCTTTGTTATTTTGCTAGGATCAAATAATTTAGAAGACTCTTTGTGCTAGTTGAGGCAGTTGAATGAGTGAACTTCAGCACAACTTCCAGAGTAATAAAACAGATGGATTTCTGCAAAAGCAGAAATATATTTTCTTCTACCCTTTTACCTGGCAGCAGTATTTTAAGCTAACTAGCTCCAATAGAATAGCTGATGCAAAGAATTAGAACTGGAAATTCCCTTGGATTGCCAAGGTATAAACAAGGGCATGACTCTAGACGTGGCACTCACCTGGCATGTGTGCTTTGTGCTGTTCCAATGCCTGAGATCATAAATCAGTCACAACCTTTTCTGCATTATTAAGACACAGCCTCAAAATCCTTCATGCCAGTGCTTTCCAAGTTCCACAGAATCATATAACATGCCCATAATTTCATCATATTCATTTTTACGTGTAGTAAGTAAATATCATTTACTTAGTTTTTTCCTTTAAAGTGACAATGTTTCACTTAATTGTGGTCTATAAGAAAAATGTGTGTTACTTCATTATATCCGTTAAATCATGGTTTTGTTATGCTAGTTAAATTTTCCTACTATATTAAATAAATGATTATTAAAATATAAAATGTTATTTTGCATACCATCTGAATACCAAAAGCAGGGTGGAAAATATTGTTCTATATAGCGGTCAATTAATAGCTAGTCAGTCATGAGAAAACTCATTTGCTTTCTTTACTGTAGAAAACATATCCACCAGGGGGAAAAAGTGTTTCACACAAAGTGATTCAATTAAAGTTAATTAAATAAATATGTATTGATTACCACCTCCAGACCTGAAGGGGAAATGGGAGGGAATGGTTGCCAGATCCTGGAAAGAGAACTGGAATGAGCTGAGGCCCTTGGAGGAGGGATGCAGTGGACTCAAGGTCCCAAGGGCATGGAATCAAGCCCCTACACCACATCCTGACTCTCTCTCTCATCTCATACCAGGGCCTCTCGTTAGCAGCGACCAACTGAAAGTCAGGCCGAGGGAGTCCATTGATGTAGTACACATGGATCAGTCTCCAGGACATAAGGAAAGCTTTTAAGGATGTTGAGGGGAGCTGGAGGGCAAATGGTACATATCCAGATGACTGAGCATATCTCTAGGCACTGGAGATACAGTCCCTGAAGGGATATAACTTAGGACTTACAGTTTATGAGTAGACAGAGAAAGAAGTAAGCACTATGAAGTGGGTATGTATATAATGCATAAAAATAGGCAATTAACCAGACTACAGAGCTCCGGGAAATCTTCCTAGGGGAGGTAAAATCTAAATGAAATCTTCCTTGAGAAGTAGGTGTTACACAGCTCAAGGAAGGAGATAGGCATGGGATATTTTCCAGCACAATGTTGGACAATATTTAGTATCACTGGGGCAGGTAATAGATTGTGAACGGAAAGAAAAAGTTTGAGGTTAGAAAGGAAACCAGAAAGAAAATCAGAGAATATAAAGAAGTTTATTTATCATGCTAAGATATATTTAACCCTCAGAGTAATGGTAAGCCACTGAAATAGTGTAGTGCAATCATATTTGTATTTTAGAAATATTGCCCTGATTGAAGAGAGGCAGGACTAGAGAGTAAAGACCAATTAAGAGCCTGTTGTTTTAATAAAATAAGTGGCAGTGATGTGCAGACTTGGAAGAGTTCCAGTGGGATGTATTTACAGACATATTTAAGGGGTACTATCAATAGGTATCTTGATCTGTTTGTGCTGCTATGACAAAATACCGTCAATTGGGTGGCTTATAAATAACATAAATTTGTATCTTCTGGTTATAGAGGCTGGGAAGCCTAAGATCTGGTTGCTAGCATGTTCAGCTTCTGGAGAGGGCCCACTTCTAGGTTGCAGACTGCTGACTTCTTGCTGTGTCTGATATCATGGAAGGGGCTAATGAGCTCCCATAGGCCTATTTTATAAGGTCACTAGTCTCATTCATAAGGCCTCTGTCCCCATGACTTAATTACCTCCCCGAAGTCTTCACCTCCTAATACTGTATCACCTTGGGGGTTAGGATTTAAACATACAAATTTGGGTGGAGACAAACATTCAGACCATGGCATTCTTTCCCTAGCTTCAATTCATGCCCTTCTCATATGCAAAATACATTCATTTCATCCCAATAGCCTCAAAAGTCTTTACACATTCCAGCATCACCTCAGAAGTCTAAAACCCAGAGCATCATCTAAAGATCATCTAAATCAGATATGGAGAGACTCAAGGTTCCCTTTATTCTGAAGCAAATAGCTCTCCAGCTGTTGACTTGTGAAATCAAGCATGTTATATGCTTCCAAAATAAAATGGCGAGATAGGCATAGGATAGACATGTCCATTCCAAAAAGGAGAAATAGGAAAGAAGGAAGAGGTAATGGGTCCTGAGCAAGTCCAAAACCTTAAGGGTCAAAAATAACTTCTTTGGCGTGAAACTGTGCCGTCTGGGCACTCTGGAGCAGTGGCTCTGTCTTCCAGGCCCACTGGGATGATGGCCCTGTCTTCTAGGCTTGGGTGGCTCCACCCATACGGCAGTTCCCTGCAGTAACCCCACCTCTGCAGCAGCAACGTGCCTGGGTCGTGTCCCTGTGGCTCTCCTGGGCTGGAATTGCACATCTATAGATATACTGGTCTGAAATTTAGGGGACACCACCACCCTCAAACTGGTTTTCTACCTGGATTTCTTGGCTTTCCGGGGAATCCTTTGGAATCTAGGTGGACTTAGCTAGATTTCCTCACGGCTTTGCTGGTAGTAGTACATACTATACCAGGACCCACTGTAGTCACACCTGGGGCAGCCAAGGAGTATCATGATGGAGGGCAATGAGCAGAGCCTTGAGGGGTGCAGGGCATCAAGTGCAGAGGTCTTGAGAACACCCATGGCCACTCCTTTGAAATCACTCTGTTTCCCCAGGACCTTGCACTCTTGGCCTGTGATGGGAGTGGCAACTCTGCTACTCTTCAAAATGCCTTTGGGATCATTTTTCCATTGTCCTGATGAATAGCACCTGGTTTATACGCACGAATCTCCTTACTGAATGGTTTACTGGTCACACCCTTGATGTTCTCTCCACAACATGCTTTCTCATTTTAAAGAATAAGAACAACCTGAGAATTTTCTAAAATTTGACTTCTGCTTCTCTTTTGATTAAAAATTCACTATTTAATTTTTCGGTATTAAATTTCTAAGCAGTGTTGAGGGTAAGCCAAGCCATGCCCTCTATACTGCTTAGAAATTTCTTTGGCAAAATATGTATTTCACTACTCATAAGTTCTACTTTCTACAAAACTAGTACACTTTATAATAAGGGGCACTTTTCCTCCAGTGTCCAAAGGTATGTTCCTCATTTCTGTTTAAGACCTCATCAGAATGGCCTTTACTGTACATATTTCTACCAACATTGTATTTATGACCACTCATATGTTTGCTAAGAAGATGAAGGCTTTCTCTACAGCTCTCCTCTTCTTCTGAGCCTTCCTCCGCATCTCCCTCTATGATCTGTCCATGGTGACATAAGCTTTTTCCAGCAGGCACTAGAAAACCCTTCCAGCCTCTACTCATTATCCAGTTTCAAAACTGCTTCCATATTTTTGTTAAAGCAGCAACCTTACTCCTTGGTACCAATTTTCATCTTAATTCAATGTGAATTGCTCTAACAAAATACTATAATAAAAACTGGGTGGCTTATACACATACAATAAAGTTATTTCTCAAAGTTCTGGAGGCTGTGAAGTTCAAGATCCAAGTGCCAGCAGATTTGTAATCTAGTGAGGGCTCATGATTTCCTGGTTCATAGATGGCACCTTCTTGCTAGTTGTCCTTAATGGTAGAAGGAGAAAATGAGCTTAATTGGGCCTATTTTATAAGAGCACTAATGTAATTAATAAAAGCTCCACCCCATGATCTAATCACCCCCAAAGGCCCTGCCTCCTAATCCCATTGCCTTGGAGGTTAGGATTTCAACATATGAATTTTGGGGAGATACAAACATTAAGACAACAGCAACAGGTTTAAATGACTTGTGGAGAATGAGAGAGCAAGAATGACTCCTTATTCCTGTTAGTCCAAACCTTACCAAATCAATATGCTCACATACTGTAGGACAGATAAAAAACACTCCTTTAAAAAGTTAATTATATATGGTTTTTATGTATTGAATTATTTTTCCAATTTACCTTTCATGAGAAAATCGCGGATGTAGTCTGAGGTGGTGGCAGGGAAAGCTGATTTCAAAAAGAATGCCTGGAAAATATTAAAATATTCAGATATAATAACACACAAGTATATGAATCAGTGAAGTTGTATAAGAAGCACAATTAGGATGAGTTCTTTCTCATAGTTCTAGTAATACTGTGGGCTAACTATAGAGCCATCTAAATTCACATAACAGTAATATTCAAAATAAATCACTAAATAACAAAACAAATTTAAGAATTATTTTTATATTTGATAGTAAAGAAATTGGGCAAAACATAAGCTACACCATTTCTAAAACTCTCTTCTCCATTCTCTTTTGCTGAATAAGAAAACCTTGTTAACTGTGTGATTCTATAACTTTGAGGAAGCTATCTTTTAAATGTAAACATGCCACTCTATGTAGAAGGGAGGATGAGACTAGAAACAGCATAGGAATTGATGTAAAATATAGCAATGAGTGAATAAGATTACATCCACAGTAATGCTGTATATTAGTTTAACATGTTCAGGCAAATGTTATTTTCTTCATTTTACAAATGAGGAATCTGAGACTGAGAGATTAAACAACTTGCTCAAGGTTAGTTGGTTATTAAATTGGCAGAACTGAGACTTGAATTCAGGAAATCAGAAGTTTGTAGAGTTACTTTAGCAATATCACATTGACTTTCACACTCAAGAGTATCTGAAAATGTTTTTACCACTTTTTTAATTAACCTAATCATTGATTAATTAGCAGATAATGCTTATTTTTTTAAATTAAATGGCTTTATTTAAATATAATTAATATGCATCAAATTACACATTTCAAGCGTACAATTTAATCACTTTTGATATGCATTTGTAAAACCATCACCACAGTCAAAATAATGAACATATTCATCATTCCAAAAATGAGGAACTTTTCTCCTGCCCCTTAGTAATTCCTCCCTTAACCCCAGGCAGCCACTGATCTGCTTCCTGTCACTATAGATAAGTTGACATTTTTTAGAATTTTATATAAATGAAATCATAAACTAATGTACTCTTTTGTTGTCTGACTTCCTTCTTCCAGCATAATTATAAGATTTATCCATGTTGTAGGTATAATTAGAAAAACATTTTTAATGACAGATATTTCTCTTTTTTTCATTTTATTTTTCTTTTATTATTATACTTTAAGTTGTCAGATACATGTGCAGAACGTGCAGGTTTGTTACATCGGTATACACATGCCATGGTGGTTGCTGCATCCATCAACCCATCATCTACATTAGGTATTTCTCCTAATGCTATCCCTCCCCTAGCTCCCCACCCCGCAACAGGCCCCAGTGTGTGATGCTCTCCTCCCTGTGTCCATGTGTTCTCATTGTTCAACTCCCACTTATGAGTGAGAACATGCAGTGATTGGTTTTCTGTTCTCGTGATAGTTTGCTGAGAATGATGGTTTCCAGCTTCATTCATGTCCCTGCAAAGGACATGAACTCATCCTTTTTTTTTTTTTTTTTTTTTTTTTTTTTGAGACGAACTCATCCTTTTTTAAGGCTGCATAGCATTCCATGGTGTATATGTGATTTGTTGTCTATCAAGAGAATGCTTGTATTCAAGAGTCCCATTTCTACCCTTTCTTCATTCCCTCATGCAGAAGAGATTTTTTTTTTTTCAATCTGGTTAGGCTGTTTCCTTGACTTTTGTGATACAAAATCAGAGAAGTGGTTGAGGAAGAGGAGATTTGAAACGGTAGATTTGAAGCAGAGCTGGTGAGGTTAATACTCACATTACAGAGTTGATGAGGAGAGTTTGACCAAATGAAATAGTCCAAGAGAATTGGTGAGAGACAGAAAGGGAAGTGCTGCAGAAGGTCATGATCTGAAGCCATTTAAAAGTTCTTACAGACACAGGATTCAAGAATCAAACCTATGCTTGCCAGTTTGGTAATGAGTCTTTAAATATGATGTCACTCTTGAATAAAAACATTTAGGTTATTCTTTTTGTGTATTCTTGAGTTTGTAGTCTGGAGGTTTTGACTTTATAACTCACCACTCAGCTCTATTCCAGATTAAAATCATTATGTCAGAGCTGAGAATTACTTTTTTACCATGACTGCCTGCTATGGTCTGAATGTTTGTGTTCCCCTCCAGAGTTTGTGTGTTCAAATCCTTACCCTCATGGGAATGGTATTAGGAGTTGGGGCCTTTGGAGAAGTGATTAGGTCAGGAGGTTGGAGCCCTCATGACTGGCATTAGTGCCCTTTTAAAATAAGCTCCAGTGATCTCATTAGCCACTTCCACCATGTGGGAATACAGTGAGAAGGCACATTTTATGAACCAGGAAATTGGCCCTCACTAGACACCATATCTGCTGGTGCCTGGACCTTGGATTTCACAGTCTCCAGAACTGTGAGAAATAAATGTTTGTTGTTTATAAGCTACCCAGTTTAAAGTATTTGTTATAGCAGCCTCAATGGACTATGAAACTGAGAAATTATTGAATTAATAGTGCAAATTAACTGCAATGGACCAGCTCCAAACACCGTGATTATTAGAATAAGGACAAAAAACAAAAAAAAAAACGACATTGAACCTCAGGCCCTGAAATAAGAGTTGCACAATGAGGACAGATGTGCCAGCCAGAAAAATCAAACTTATTCAATACTGTGTGATTTGATTAACATAAGGAAATCTTTTAGACTTCCCTACCTCACTTTCTAGGAACACACTAAATTATATTTTATCCCAACATCCATGGATGTCCAGTTTCTTAAGAATTATTTTAAGAAAGCCTATATGTATTAAATACTAGTGCTACTTGGACTAGTTAAAATAGTTAAAAGTTATTGCCAGTTTTCAACAAGATATGGTTAAGCCTGTGAAATGAGTTATATTGATCAACATTCTACTAGAAATTGGGAGAAAAATATTATAGGAAGTAATGTACCAGGAGTCAGAGGAAGTAACTCTGAGGCATAATTAGTATGCCTCAGTATGACACAAAAATACAAAATGATAATAAGTTCTTGTACTAAGATAATGTTTTAATGAGCACATATAAAGCACATATAAGCACATAAATTAGGCCCGATTATGGATCACAATCTATGTGATTAGCATTTCTGTAGAGAGAGCTTTATTTCGTTAAAATGTATGCAAGGCAGGGAATAAAGTAATTAAGATTAAAATGAAAAATACATAATGCTGGGTAACCAATCAAGAAAAGAGAATTTTTTGGTTTTTTGTTTGTTTTTGTTTTTGTGCTCAGACTAATATTTATTGCAGTGCTATCCACTAGGTCTAGAGCATGGCTGAAGCTCAGGATAGCCTAAGCTGAGTTTATGCCTAGGATATACAATCAAGAATCACTGAACAATATCTCTTCTTCTTTTTTTTCTCTCTCTCTTTCTCTGAAAAACCCTATGAGTTCTTGCTGTTAGTGAATTTAATCAAGGCTGAGGACAAAAGGGAAGTAACTTGAGCATGCAACAAGGACTAGGGTACAGCTGTGATTTGAGAAGCTGGCAGAATTGGGGGCACTAAAATTCTCTGGGTACCGGCTCTTATAGACACTCCTAACAAGTGGCCTTGCTGTAAATTTATGGGCAGTATGAACACAGGCATCCACCTTTCCATATTATTAAATTATTGAAATGGAACTTACAAATGGGAAAACAAAATTCTACAGCATAACTAGAAAAATCTATGGTTGGTTAAACTGATATTTGCCAAGCATAGAAGCCAATCTACAGATTTGAAGAATTTCTGCAAGATAGAATACATATGGGAAAAATACTTTGAAGGCACATATTAAGGCATGGATATCACTCTACAGGAAGACTGGAGAGTCTGGATAATAAATAGAAGACCCCGGAAATCTTTTGTTTTATTGCTATTGTAAATGGAGGTGAACTGGAGTTAATATCAGGGGAAGAGGCTGTGCAGCAGCACACCAGCCAAATTCTGTTTTGTAGACTTTGAACCTTAGTAGAGGCATAACCCAGATTTCTCATCAGTGTAGACCACTCCAACAAGACAGAATCTTGGCCCAGTGATAAGAAAAGTCCTTTGCAAACCTACACAGCAAAGAAACAGCCATGTGGCAGCTTTCCTGTAATAATCCATGATGTGTGGGACAGAAATAAGCTCTATGTTAAAGCTGAAGGTAATAAAAGACACTGAAATAGTGATTTCTCTGTGCTAGGAGATTAATTTAGTGATTTACTTAATCCCAACAAACCATGAAATACATACTATTAGTACTCCCATTTTATGGATGAGTATACTGAGGCACAGAAAAACTAAGTAATTTGCCTGAAGTTCACAAAGCAAGTTAAGCAGTAGTTATTTCATTTAAACTTTGGCAGCCTGGCTCCATAAAATCCATTTAAAGAGGCACTTAAAAGGAATCAAAGAAACAGTGGCTTAAACAAAAAATAAATGTAACCTGCATAAAATTCAGAAACAAGCAGGTCAAAGCTACCCAAGAGCGACTCCTTTCCACCAAATCCTGAGAGACCTACGGTCCTTAGATCTCATTGTTCCACATTTCCTGGACCTCAGTCCCAAAATTATTTCACAGACCAACATGGACCTTCGGCAATCAGATCAAAGTCTCAAGCAGCAGGATGGAAACCAGACGTTTTCAGGCTTCAGACTGCAATGCTTCATGACATACTCTGAATGTCAATGTTTGGTTAACATTGGCTGGAATATTTGTGACAAAGAAATCCAAAGTCAACAGACAAGAAAAGCCATCAAAAAGATCTACATGGTGATGATAAACAAGAATTTTTTTTGGCAGATTGTACATGCTAGGAAATAAAAGCTGTGAGTAGAATTTAGGAAACATTTACAGAATTCAATAGGAATCATCATAAAAAGGAAAAAAAATGGAAGAAAAGGTATAAATGTAGAAAGGTCAGATTCAGCAAGTTCAAACTATGAGTCATAAACATTTTTGGAAGAAGGAACAACATAGATATAATAAAAAGAAAAAATGAAAAAATTGAAGAAATTATTCTTAATTCTAAAGAGATTATTTGTTCCAATAACCAACCAAGTGTACATATCATTTCTGAGCCCAGCTTAAAAAGAACACCATACTTCAAAATGATCTGGTGAAATTCGAAACTTCAAAGACATAGAAGAATTCTGCAGGCATCTAAGAGGCAAAAAAGCAGTTTCATTACAAGAAAAGAAAAATCAGGCATGCTTCCATGTTGGTGCAACGCTAAAGGACAGAAAAAATTGGAGCAACAATCACAGTGTCCCAAAGAAAAATGTTTTGACTCAAGAATTATATTTCCAGCCAATTTGTCATTGATTTATGAACCCAGGACAAAGCAATTCCTTGATGTGCAAGTGCTTAATACTATGCCATCCAGTTTGTGTTCTTTTCAGGGTAAACTATTAAACTGCCAGAAGGTCTATTACAAAATGATGAAATATGAATCAAATTATAATGACAACATCGTAGCTGAAAATAACTGACAGGTTGAGCAGTAAAATCTGTTAACTATATTGAGATAAATTTTAATATTGGTTTTAGTATAGTTAAGATTTGGTAATAGTTTTTCTTTAAAAATTGAAAAAAGTTAAAGTCACAGAGTTCATAATTTCAAATGAGAAACAAGTACTGAGCAGGTGTATGTGACAAGGGGAGGATTGAGAAAGTCTTCAAAATGTTCACATTCACAAAAGGAAGTGGAAACTATTTAAATTAATTCCAATGATAAATGTAACCATGTCTTTATAAAATTTTAAGGTAAACATCAGTAGAAACAAAAGTAAAAGTCAAGCCATTGTAGAAACAGTAGATTCAGAGCATTCAGCAAAGTTTGAGACATGATTATGGGTGCCTTGCTTCACCTCCCCACCTCCCCACAATTGATCCTAATCTATCTGCCTGTCTTAGAATCTGCTTTGGTTCCAAAAAAGAGCATTTATGTGGGGCTTTGTTTTTTTCAAGTTGGCAAGTACCTAAAGACCCACATCAAACAGTGCCAAGGTAACAATTACAAGGTACTGGATCTTTGGAATAACCTGGCCCATAGAGGGGTATGGCTCTCTCAGGATAAGTTGAAAATTGGTCTCACTTCAGTGTTTATTGTACCTGCTTTCAGGAGGTCGTGAAACAGCTGAATAGGTGGACTGCATCTTCTTGCACCTGAGGCCTGACTGTATGTGCATATAAACACTACTTCTCTGTCTCTACTTTTGGAAACTCCACCAGTTAGGATCCTAGCCTATAACAATCAGACTAATTACCAATGAGTCTAGGAAGAAAAACAATCGTATATCTTTAGGTGCTCAGCAACCTGAGATAATTATCAGTCAGAGCAGATAAACCACAGGCCCATTGATTTACAACTGTTAGAAAAGATAGGCATGAACTAACAAAGGAACAAAGGAAAACACCTTAGAAGCTGCAAGTGTAGCATTCAGGTAAACACATGCATGTCAACACACACATACATGGACTTGCTAGACCTAACATAATGATTTACTGTCTGAATGATTTGTAAAAGAAAAGTGTGAGTATGGCTGAAATGTGTGTATTGACTTGGAAAAGTAAATAAATACATCCTGATTTTAAAAGTCAAAGCACAGTAACACAAAGAATTAACAAAAAGAGAGAACATAAAGAGAGCCGGATGGAATGAGATATGAGACTTGCAAGGTAGATACGGGGAACCTAGCATGAGATTAATCAAAGTTCCAAAAAGATGCAAAGGAACACATGGATGATGGACAATAATTAAACAAATCATTGAAGAAGTTCCCAAAGTTGAGGAAAGAACTGAATTTGTAGACTGAAAGTGCTCAGTGTGTTCCAGGTTAGAAAAGACACAGGCATTGACATATATAAGTACATTTTCTTTGGATTTTTTTTTTTTTGAGATGGTGTCTCACTCTGTCACCCAGGCTGCAGTGCAGTGGCGTGATCTCGGCTCACTGCAACCTCTGCCTCCCAGGTTCTAGCAATTCTCTTGCCTCAGCCTCCCGAGTAGCTGGGATTACAGGCACATGCCACCATGCCCGGCTAATTTTTGGATTGTTTTTTACTAGAGATGGGGTTTTCCCATATTGGCCAAGCTGGTCTCAAACTCCTGACCTCATGATCCACCTGCCTCAGCTTCCCAAAGTGCTGGGATTACAGGTATGAGCCACCACGCCTGGCCTTTTTTTGGATTTTAAAAATAATGACAACATGTTACATTCTTCTGAAGAAAAAGGACATGTTTCTGGCAAAGGCGAAAGAATCAGACTGGCATCGGATTTCTTATCTGCCACATTGTAAATTACAAGGGAACATTATTTACAGACTTCTGAGAGCCAGGAATTCAATCCAATAGTCCTATAATCAGATTAATTATTTTTCACCTGCTGGGATACATATATTTGTACATATGCAATAATTAAAAAAAAACTCGGCACCCAAATCTAAATAAATAATTGAGAAAAATTATTTCTAAACAACCAATACTTCATAATAGATACCTTAAAATGTAAGAAGTATTCAGAGCTACATGATGAAGAAATATAAAGAAACAAATAGGTCAGTGGAAATAAAACAACAATTAGTAATGACTCTAATACATATGGAAATTTAACATGATTAAAGTGGCATTTCTGTTCAAAAAAAAAAAAGTAGAATCTTTACAAAATTGTGTTATTTGGCCGGGCGCGGTGGCTCACGCCTGTAATCTCAGCACTTTAGGAGGCCGAGGCGGGCAGATCACAAAGTCAGGAGTTTGAGACCAGCCTGGCCAATAAGGTGAAAACCCATCTCTACCAAAAATAGAAAAATTAGCCAGGTGTGGTGGCGGGGGCCTGTAGTCCCAGCTATTCCGGAGGCTGAGTCAGGAGAATGGCCTGAACCTGGGAGGCGGAGCTTGAGGTGAGACCAGATTGCGCCACTGCACTCCAACCTGGACAACAGAGCCAGACTCTGTCTCAAAGAAAAAAAAAAAAAAAGAAAAAAAGAAAAAAAATTGTGTTATTTAAATATTGTTAAATAGTCAGTTACTTAGAAGATAACAGAATTAAACCCTATTTTTTACCTTATCAAATGAAATTGTAGCTACATTAAAATATTGAAAATATAAAATAAACAAGAAATATTTTGAAAAATATCTAAGAGGTTACATATAAAATCCAGAGGCTGGAGACATTTGCTTCCTAAAACTAGAAATGTAGAGACTATAAACCAAAAGAGACATTTAACTAAATAAAATTTTTTTAAATTTTTGAATGGCAAGTGATACCATCGGTAAAATCATAGACAAAGACACAGATTCAAAGAAGTTATAACACAGAAGAAAGGCAGAGAGTAGTATCTACAATATATAGAGATCTCTTATAAATTTGCTAAGTAGGCATAAAAATTCTATTTGAAAAATTAAGCTGACAATGTGGAGAGTAATTTATAGATGAGTAAATCAAAATGGCTGGTAAACATATAAAGTTTCCCAAGCACATCAGTAGTCCAAAACGGGCAAAAAAGTATTAATAAGATATCACCTTACATCTATCAGAGAAGAAAATATTAAAATAACTGAGAATACTGTCCATGGTGGGTATGTGAAAAAATAAAAGGCTGTCTCATATGCTATGAGTAGATAAATGGATGGGTAGAGTCTTTAAAACAATCATTCAACTTTTGTTAAAGTACCTATCCAGTTTAACACGTCCATCTCTCTTCTAGGAAGCTCTTTCTTTGTAAGAAAATAAAAATCACATAAGGATTTATGGAGCTAGATGTTGTCAGTATAAAATGGGAGAAAATATGCAAATAAAATTCTAAACACAGTGAATAAATGACCTTCCCTAAGGAAATGGTTCAATACATTATGTTAGAAACACAAAACAGACTAAAAGGAATTATAAAACTTAAGAAATAAATGGTCATCAATAATGGGACAGATAGACATCATGTTCGTTTTGATGTGATAAATAATGGGACAAATAGACATCATGTCCATTTTGATGTGATACTGAGAATAATCTAATGCCACCTACATGGTATTCCTGCCCAAAATGTTTAACCAAACATTTTGGTTAAATGTTTGGTTAACCAAACGATTAGATGATGTTTAATCAAATCATCTAATCGTATGATTAGAATCATAAGAAACAAATTGAGAGATATTTTTCATTCTAACACAATTGACCTGAACTCTTAAAAAAAGTCAGTGTTGGCCAAACGCGGTGGCTCATATCTGTAATCCCAGCATTTTGGGAGGTCGAGGCAGGTGGATGGATCTCTTGAGTGCAGGAATTCAAGACTAGCCAGAGCAATATGCGGAAACCGCATCTACCAAAAACAAAAAATTACAAAAATTAGCCTGGTGTGGTGCCGAGCCTGTAGTCCCAGCTACTTGGGAGGCTGAGGTGGTAGGATTGCTTGAGTTCAGGATGTCAAGGCTGCAGAGAGCTGTGCCACTGCACTCCAGCCTGGGCAACACAGTGAGACCCTGCCTAAAACAACAAAAAAGGCAATGTCATGAAAGACAAAGCAGATTAGATAAGTATTCTATATCCAAGAAGACTATAACAATGATAACTAAATGTAATGCATGATCCTTGATTGAATGCTATTATAGATGGAAAACAAAGCTATAAATGGATGTAAGTGGTACAACTGAGAACATTTGCATAAGGATTGTTTTAGATAGTAGCATTGATGCTAAATTTATTGAGTGTGATCATTGTTTTGTGGTTCATAGAGGATTGTCATTATTCTTAGGAGATACTTTTTTTTAACTTTTATTTTAAGTTTTGGGGTTACATGTGCATTTTTTTTTACAGGTACACTCCTGTCACGGAGGTTTGTTGCTCAGATTATTTAATCACCCAGGTACTAAGTCTAGTACCCGATAGTTATTTTTTCTGCTCTTCTCCCTCCTTCCATCCTCCTCCCTGAAGAAGGCCCCAGTGTGTGTTGTTCCCTTCTTTGTGTTCGTGAGTTCTCATCATTTAGCTCCCACTTATGAGTGAGAAAGTGTGGTATTTGGTTTTCTGTTCCTGAGTTAGTTTGCTAAGGATAATAGCCTCCAGCTCCATCCGTGTTTCCACCAAAGACATGAAGGAAATACATATTAAAATATTTAGGCCTGAAGTTTATTAGTGTTATCAACTCTCAAATGGTTTATTCTATTATTCTTGCAACTTTTCTGTGAGCTTAAAATTCTTCAAAATAAAAAGAAAAAAAATGAGGAAATTGGAAAATTTATTTAAAAATTATCTTTCAAAAAACAAAACAAAACCTTCACTATGTTTTTACCCAATTCTAAAACTGTGGTGAGAGGGCAGAATTGGTTTCTAGTCCTTGGGAAACTACCAGGCTCTCCCTTGGGAAAATAAAAAATGTGGCTTCATTATGCAGAGAGGAGAAATAAGAGGGAGGGGCGAGCTCAGAGCTAAGCCTCTGCCTTTTCCATCTCCACCCCGACCTCTACTGCATCACCAGCTAGATTTCTTTTTTCTTTCCTATGCTGATAAAAGTACAATGTAAATTCCAGATACATAAAGCGAATACCTCTAAATGTACCTACTTAGGTGAGTGTAAAACTGATCTTGAGCCAGTCAAGTCTCTCCTAGTGATTTTTGAGAAAAATCACTGTGACCGTGCCAACGAATGTAAAAGGAAAGAAAGCAACAGCAAACACTAGGTCTTACAAGTGCTTAGTTGTGTTGCCATAATAATATTCTATAAATAATCAAGTTAATAATAAATTTACTGAACTTGTACCCTATGAGAAGTGAGATAATTCATTTGGAAATTCACCAGGTTTTCTTTAAGAAAATGGATACTACATATGTATATATTCCCTGACACCTGACACGTCTGAGATCATGTATGCCAAATTTTAGCCTGGAGGTAATTTTTACCAAGAAGTTATAAACCTCTGAAAATAGAGGTTAATAGGAAAAGCTAAAACATCCTTAATGACAAGGTTGCTATGGCAACAATATAAGCTTACCAGTAGCATCAAATATGTGTTGCATTTAGGTCTCCATGTCTCCTTTGATAAGTTTTCCCTGAGTGAAATAAAAGCATCAGTTGACTAGCACGGGAAGACTTTTTTCCTATGTCATAGAATCAGTGACTTACTGTGTAATTAGGTGAGCTAGTCAGATGGGAAGAAGATAGAAAAAGAAAGAACACAGATATGCCCAAACCAATGTTAACTAGGAGGTCGCTATAACCCAGTGCATGGTGACTTAACAGTTTTAAAAAGGAAGATCAAGGCAGAAAATTAAAAAGTAAACAGTTGAATTAGTATGGAAAAAGTAATCATGCAGTCATTTCTTTTAGAAATGGCCCAAACAATAGGCCAGACATATTTCTAGATTTTTACAAATTTGTTTTTAGTAATTCTAGCGCAGTGGTTCACAGAGTGTGGTCCACAGTGTTCCTCCAGGTGGTCAGTAACCTGGTCTCTTGTGGGGCTGACATTTCTCGTGTGAATATGTGGTCCTTCTGTTTCTGGCAACTATTAAAAATGTACTTATTTTATGTAATCAAAACCAGCCATAATTTTAGGAGCATCTCATTCAAAACTTCATTGTTCCTCTCATCAATTCCACAAAATGATTCTGGGCATTGCAAGCAGAATGGGGGAAATAACTGATCTAAATTGTTTTTTATTTTTACCTGATGGGAATCAGTCATTTTAGAGTAATACTAACATATTGGCATGAGTTTTTATCCCTTTATCTGCATTTCATAATCTCAAGAGGCATCAGGAAAAGTGAAGGGATTCAAATTTTGTAGATAATAAGACTTGAAAGAGCAAAAACCAAATTGTTCCCTTCAGACACAAAACATTGATGGCTAGATTTTCTCTTCAAGGGCAGACACACCACACAGAGTCCAATTCTAGGGCCTAACTCACCTTTAGGTATTTCCATCCTTCTGGAAAGTGAGTGACTCTTTTATGCCTCTGTTCAGTTCTTAAACCAAAAAAAAAAAAAAAGAAAAAAAAAGGCAGTGGAGTCTTTCATCATCTATAACTGGAGGACAAATTGGTGGGTCACTTCCACCTGATAAATGTCCACTGACCAAGGAGCACTGTCATTGGCAAATTATGCTCTTCTCTGAGGAAAATACAATCAGAATACTTGCCAGGCTCAAATATGAACATGAGAGGGGAAAATATTGTGTAGTGAAAAGACCATGGGCTCTGGGTTTGAATCCTGGCTATGTTCACTGGTTGTGTGTCTCTAAGCAAGCTACTTAAATCACTGAGTTGCAGTTTTGTCATCTGCAGTGTGGATTAACTGATACTTAACTCACAGATGCCCTGAGAATTAAGTGAAACAAGAAATATTAAGACTTCAATAGAGTTTATATAGGCATGTAGCAGAATTCTATACTATATATATATATATATATATATATATATATATATATATATAGTGATGTTTTAAGTTACTTCTGCATAAGTTTTCATTCATATGTGGACATGTCTCCTCTGCCATTAAAACATGCTAGAAGTCACCTCTTCATATGCAGAACGCCATTTATAGCTATTCAAAACCAATCAGTGTCAACCTACCTATGCAAGAACATCCTAATGATAAAGTAAATAATAAGGTATCTCAGACTTGGGTAAGAAAAATTGACATAATCACATCATTAGAAATATCAGGCTTGAATATTGGGATTTGAATAATTCAAATAAGATAGTAAACACAGCAAAGCTTTTTTTTTAACCCAGACAAGAATAAACTTTTATATATTTAGAAACATAATCCATAGCTAATGAGCCCAGTAGTTTAGAATCCGTTAAGTAGGTTTCTCTAAGAAGGAGATGTTGATATAAACAAATATACTAAACAACTGTCATTAGGGAAGTGCCAGTTATAATGAATCATATCGCATAGGCCCATTCCAACATTTGTATTTAAGTGAAATCATGTTAAGTGAACATCAGGTTGGGTTTTCATAGAAACGCAAGTCATGAAGCAATTCACTTGAGGAGACAGTGAAGGGGGTTCTAGCTATAATCCATAGAGCTAGTATCAAAGATCATGGGCAGACAGCATCTGCAGATGAGACTTGATTCGTCTACTCATCTAAGAGGGTGACTTTTTTTTTTTTGAGATGGAGTCTTACTCTGTTGCCCAAGCTGGGGTGCAGTGGCATGATCTCAGCTCACTGCAACCTCTACCTAGGAGGGTGACTTTTTTTATTTTTATTTTTATTTTTTTTATACTTTAAGTTCTAGGGTACAGGTGCACAACATACAGGTTTTTTATATACATATACATGTGCCATGTTGGTGTGCTGCACCCATCGACTCGTCATTTACATTAGGTATATCTCGTAATGCTATCCCTCCCTGCTTCCCACACAACAGGCCCTGGTGTGTGATGTTCCCCATCCTGTGTCCAAGTGTTCTCATTGTTGAATTCCCACCTATGAGTGAGAACATGCGGTGTTTGGTTTTTTGTCCTTGCAATAATTTGCTGAGAATGATGGTTTCCAGCTTCATCCATCCATGTCCCTACAAAGGGCATGAACTCATCATTTTTTATGGCTGCATAGTATTCTATGGTATATATGTGCCACATTTTCTTAATCCAGTCTATCATTGATGGACATGTGGGTTGGTTCCAAGTCTTTGCTATTGTGAATAGTACCACAATAAATATATATGTGTGTGTGTGTATTTTTAGCAGCATGATTTATAATACTTTGGGTATATATCCAGTAGTGGGATTGCTGGGTCAAATGGTATTTCTAGTTCTAGATCCTTGAGGAATCACCACACTGTCTTCAACAATGGTTGAACTAGTTGACAGTCCCACCAACAGTGTAAAAGTGTTCCTATTTCTCCACATCCTCTCCAGCACCTGTTGTTTCCTGACTTTTTAATGATCGCCATTCTAACTGGTGTGAGGTGGTATCTCATTGTGGTTTTGATTTGCATTTTTCTGATGGCCAGTGATGATGAGTATTTTTTCATGTGTCTGTTGGCTGCAGAAATGTCTTCTTTTGAGAAGTGTCTGTTCATATCCTTTGCCCACTTTTTGATGGGGTTGTTTGTTTTTTTCTTGTAAATTTGTTTGAGTTCTTTGTAGATTCTGGATATTAGCCCTTTGTCAGATGAGTAGATTTTTTTAATTTTTTGTAGAGATGGGGGTCTCGCTTTGTTACCCAGGCTAGTCTCGAACTTGTGGGCTCGACTGATTCTCCCGCTTCGGCCTCCCAAAGTGCTGGGATTACAGGAGTGAACCACTGCACGCGACCACTTATTTCTGTTTTTGATGGGATGCAGGCACCTCTATAGGTAGTGCAAAAATAGGAAAAGGGTTACTTTGGGAAGCCCATTTTAGTGACTGCACTTCCGCCTTCTGTAACTGGAAAATAATGTGCCTTAAATCAAGTGGTACTTCTAAAAGAATGTCTGGCATGATAGAATCAAGAGTGTGCGTGCATGATATTAAGTGGTTGGTATTGTTTACATCTTGGAAGCCAGGAATAGCTCACCATGAGCTTGATAAATTAGGGAAATTGGCAGAAATAACTAGGGGAAAATAAAATAAAGTATAATAAGAGGTAGAGGCTTAAGGAAATTAGTAATTTTTACTGCTGCTTCAGGGTAAGATATGACACTCAGAAGCCAGAAGCAAAAGGCAGAGATTAAAGATAGGTTCTGTCTGCTTCAGCGTGACTACAACAGAAAGTCTGGAGGGATTGCAAACCTAAGATGAATACCAGTCAGCAAAACAGTGCTGTTATTTAAAAGCCTAACATGGTAATATATTAACGTAAATATGACATGCCAAGCCCAGGAAGTAAGATTTCGTTTCTACGGCACTGGTGAAGACCTTATTAACGGATAGTGTCTAGTTTTGTTCTCAACACTTTAGGGGAATGTGGCAAAACTGGAGAGAGTCCAACAAAGAGCAACAAAAATGATAAAAAGGTAAGAAAATAAAGGCTGAGAGGAAAGGTTAATAACTAGGATTGTTTAGCCTGAAGGAGCAAGAAGGCTGGAGGGTGACTTAAAATCTGTTTAAATACACGCCTGGCCATTGATAATGAGCATGCTGACTAGCTGTTCCTCATGGACCTAATGAGAGAGTGAGGAGAGTGAGGAAGGCAGATTTATACTACAGCCTTAGATTTCTGTTTGATATAGGAAAACATTTTTTGAAGGGAGAAGAAAATGTTTTACACAGAAGCACTATATGAAGAGAATTGATGCAATTACTTTTGTTCAGGGTATCTAAGACAGCAACACAATGAGCATTTACCTGGTCTTAGAGTCAGGGAGCTGAGCCAGCCATAGAGTTTAGTTAGCCACTTTTACTTTCAGAAGGGATAAATGAAAAAAGGTTTAGTGGATATAGTTTATAAGGCTGCTGCCACAGGGGGAAAATCCATTTTTATAGTCATTAAACTCATTTTTCTTGGAAATACAAATACAAAAACTTTCAACTCCAGTTTTGTATTTGTGATTCGGGTAGAAAAGAAAACAGAGGAAGGTAATTTGGATTTTAATCTCTGCTCTCTCTCTTGCCCTGGTGAGATAGGAAGCTCTAATAGTGCCCAATGTTCAACCAAAATATTGGTTTTTGCCCTGGGGCCAGTTCTAGTCTAGAGCAGCAGATCTCAAAATGTGGTCCACAAAACCCCTGGGTGTAGCTGAGATATTTTCAGGAGTCTGCAAGGTCAAAACTATTTTTATATAAACACTAAGATGTTTTTTGTGGTTTCCACTGTAATAATTTTTGCACTGATGAAGTAAAAGCAACAGAGTATAAAATTGCTGGTGTCCTATTAGGAATTAAGGCAGTACCATCAAACCATAATAGTAGTCATCATATTCTTCACAGATAGATAGGTTCTTGCTGTAAAAAAAAAAAAAAAGTGGTTATTTCACCAAAAAATGTTGTTGAAGCAGCAGTAAGAATTACTAATTTCCTTAGGCCTCTACCTCTTATTATATTTCCCTTAATTTTTTTGTGGGCAAAATGGGAAGTATGAAAAACAAATTCTGCTCCACAAGGAAGCATGATGATTGACTCAGGAAAAAGCACGTGGATGATGGAGTTGTGAGCTGAACTAGCTGTAGTTTCCATGGAACATCATTTTTACTTAAAAGAATGATTGGCTGACAGACGTGGCTACTTGACAGATGTTTTCTCAAAAATGAACTAGGTTAACTTGTCATGTCAAGGAAATAATACAGTATCTGTTGACAATGATAAAATCTGAGGTTTCAAGGAAAAATTAGAATTTGGGAAGAATGGGATTTTGGACAGTTTCCCAATACTTAAATATTTTTCTAATGAGATGGGTGGGGGTATTCATAAGTGTGACTTTTTTTTATTGTGTAAAGAAATGTGTCAAGATTTGGAAAATCTATATTGCTCAATGAATCAATATTTTAAACATCACAAATTTATGATGTTACAAAATTATACATGGGTAAAAAGCACATTCAAAGTGCAAGTTAGTCAAAAGTTTTTAATATTAGAGCAGGAAAAGTTCACCATATGTTTTCAGATTGCACATTGACACTAACCGTAAGACACTAATGTGACAAATTATGGTAAATCTCAAAGAAGAATATTAACAGTTATCTGAAAAGGCTATTAAAATATCTCTTCCTTTTCCAACAACATATCAGCATGAGGCCAGATTCTCTTTATGTAGTTCAAAACAATATATTGCAAGAGATTAAATGTAAAAGTAGAAATGCTACTTTTCAAAAAATTGTTTTCATTCTGGAAAAAATTTTAATAAAAATATGCTGATTATATTCCCATGTTGCAGTTTTTTATTGCGATTTACATAAATATTTTTTAAAATTCTCAAAATTCATCTCCAGTGTAGTAAATATTGATAGATATAACTCACATAACCAAAGCTGTTTGGACTCATTAATAAATTTTTAGCATAAGGAATACCTGAGACCAAAAAGTTTGAGAACTGCTGACTTAGACATTTACTTTATGTCTCATGGTTCTCTAAGTTCTATTATTGGGCTATTATTCTCAACTAGTTTTTTGTTGAGCTAGTATCTTTCCTGTGTAACTATTTATTGGTAATAGGAGTTATGTTAACTGCTTGGATCATTTTTTCACTGACACTTTATCTTTATGGCATAAGCACTAACTGTACCGTAGCTCCTGGATAAGCAGGTACCTGGCAAATGCAAAGGTAGTCATCTTACCAGGTGTGTACAGATACAGAATGTCCAGAGGGAAAATAAATGTGAACTCATTTACTGGATACTGTGCTTATCCATGATACTCAGCTGACTGCAGCCATCCGCTTTTAAGCAGTATGGGATTCCAAGGCATGCCACATTCCTCTGAGCCTATCACCCCATCATGGAGTTTGTGAGGCTGCACAGCAGTCTCAGTATGACCCACAAGTTATCCACAGGCAAACTTAACAAAGCCAACCACTTCACAAATGGAGAAGATCAAATTCCCTAGTTATTTACAGATCTTCCAGGTTATATTAGGTGCCATATAAAAACCAGATTGGATTTTTGTTCCACAGTTGACCAAGATTCTACATTTCTTCTCCTCTTGTATCTGTAGAAATTTGCTGAGTTAATATAAGACTGGTATCTGGATGAAGATGACTTCAAAATATTTGGGGGCCTGATTTTGGACTTTGAGCTTAGGCAGAGAGTTTTTTAACTATTCAATGAAAATGTCTTTCCAATTATTTTCAAATATTTGATAATAGTTGTAGTAGGACAGTTTTCCTAGGAAACTTATTCTGAGATGCAAAGTTGCATGCAAATGCTTCATTTCTAGGAACAATATCTATTACAGTAAACAAGACCGGATTGGTCAGAGGGAAAAATTACAAGAGACACCTCAACCAATTCCACAAGGATCTTGGGAGCTGGGATGACCCTTTAGAATTGCTTTGAACTGAGGAAAGAGGTTCAGCCCACCAAATCCTGAATTTATCAGTAACTGAATTTAGGTTACCTCTATCTGGGAAAGAGACTGTAAACCTTTGTGAGGCCAGAGACAGACTCAGCCATAGGGGTCAGTAACTAACATCCCTGGCATCAAGAGAATGAGTGCTTTAGTTTTGAAGGAGCTGAGTCACATACACTGGTACAATGGATATTATGTATTCTGCTTCATTTTCCATTATGAGAAAATTAAATGGTCTAACGTAAACCTATATTTCCTTAGAATGTTTTCCATGTAATGTAATATTGGTTTTTATTTACTCTAGCAATAAGAAAAAATGTATTAAAAACAAAGGAGAAATTTTAAAAGGTCCCCTAGAAAAACAACTTTGAAATTGAAGCAAAGACCAACTTGACACATTGATTCAAGGATGCTAAAATGGGAAATCATTTACTTTTTGAGATTGGCTAGATAATGTTCAAATTTTAGCTCCCCAAATTTCTACTGATACTGTAATGTTATTAAGATTCAACAAACCAGATTGGCTGACTCATTTTTTAATATTTTCTCAGGACCTGTAATCAAGGGCCACTATTATGGAAAAAGGCAACATATAAAGAATAGAAAGTTAGAACTAGAGGAGACTATCTACCTCAGCCTCCTTATTTTACAAATAAGAGTTAACAGCTGTTTATTGAGTGTGCTTATTATTTCCAATGTTGTGTTATTAAATTACATATATCCTTTCTCTTCCTCACATTTCTGCAAGATGGTTGTTATGTTCATTTTACAAATGAGAAAACAGAAACTCACAGAGCTCAGGATATATTCCAGGTCACAAAGCCAAAAAAAAGCCAAGCTGGAATCAATAGCCAGGTCTGCGTTATTTGACCCTTTAGCCTACACTTAAATACTGAAGTATACTACTTAGGCAGATAACCATAAGATGTTTAGAAAAAACAACTCAAGAAGAGTGCTGTTATCCCATCTCTAAATTAAGAGCATAAATGTACCAGCAACTTGACTTTGCCATCTGATGGGTTGCTTTTGTGGGTCATTGAATGACTTTTGGAAACATATAATATTATAAATTCAGAGACACTTATAATTGCAAATGTCCTCTTACCTCTCTTATCTAAAGTGCTGTCATAAGTCATAGCCAAATAAAAAGTTTGCTCTAGATTAAGGGTAATCTTGGTGTCCTGAAGATTCTAATGCTTCTTTTGGCACCACACATTTTAAAGAACTCAGGGAACCCTGACAAAAGAAATTTGCTTGCTTTTTTTTGTTTGTTTGCTTAGCCTTTCTGTAGTCACAGCAATTGTGTTTTTTCAACAAACCCAATGCTGTGACTGTATAATGTCATCGTTTCCTCTTTCTTGCTCATTTATGCCTGTTTTGCTGTGACTTTTAAAAAAGTTATTGAATTCAATTATATAAACAGAAAATGACATTATATATACACTTTAATGGAAATATATTATTCTAAAGTGTATTATACACACAGAAGGGCACATATACCACACATGTACAGTTTGATGAATCTAATTTTCACAATTGGAAGATATCTGTGTACCCATCACTTTGTATTCTTTTTCATCAGATGTCTTCTGTATCAGCAGTATTTGGCTTAGAGGGGCAAACGTCACATAATGTGATTTGTCTTGTCTTCTTCCCCTACTTTCCACCTCTGTGTAGAAGTAAATGGCCAATAACCTCAGGTTTTATAAAGAGATGAGCAAAGAGTCCTCTTTGACTTTATAAAGGTGGGAAGAGCTAAGAATAAAAAGGTAAATTGGGACTGATGGAAGAACTTCAAAATTCCAAGGTGCAAATATATTGTCAGAGAAAAGACTTAAAAGAGAAAGGGTTAGGAGAAAATTGTGTTAATCTGTTTTGGTAGTACTGGAAAAAGTAATTTCAGAAAGAATAAAAATGTGAGAGATACTGCGGAAATTGAAGCAATACAACATGTCAACTCCTGGCCATAAGGTGCAGAGAAGAGTAAGGAGGCAAGTACTGCTCCAAAGTTTTAATCTTGGGTATCTAGGAAAATATGAATACCACTGAAATGAAATGCGAGCTGGAGAAGGGTGGTACTGGAGAGAATGCAGTGGAAGATTTTAAGACAGTGCAGTGTTAGAAATGTCAATTGCTTTACAAAGAACAAAAACAGGGAGGGCTGGAAAACTGTCATTGGATTTACTTATTGGAGCAGAAAGCAGATCCCAAGGAGTGAGTAGGTGGCAAGAAAGTGGAAACAATAAGTGTGAACTACCCTTTCCTTTCAAGAAATTTTACAAAAAAAAAAAAAAAGAAAGAAAGAAAAGGAAAAAGAGAGAGAGAGAGACAAAATCGCAAAACCAGGTAGTGCTTGGACAAAGGAAAAACTTGTTATGAGGATATGTAGAAAAAGGATGTGATAAAGCCTTAGCAAAAAAGAGGGAAGGCACTGGTGAAAGGTACAAGTGAAAGGCTTAGCAGGAGAGAGGAGGGCACCTTCTATGAGATCAGAGGGAAAGTTCAGCTTTTACATAGAAGAAAAAGGGAGAAAGCAAGCATTGGCCTTGACTTTCTCTATGTACTGGGAGATCATATCACATAAGAAACTGAGGGCAGGAAGAAATCTTGGAATTGACACTATAGGGGATACAAAAGGCTGTAAATCAGCAATGAGAACAAGTACTATCAAGCAGGAAGGAGGGCCCAGCTGATTTTAGGTAGCTTGGAACTGTAGTGGAACCAGTCAACCTGGCTTTGTGACTTTCATCAGCAATGTTTGGCAGCTTGGGACTGTGGGCTTGGAAGGCAGATGATGTTATTTACCCATTCTTGGGGATTGGAATGGCAGCCCTGGGGAAAGAGAGTGTGAAAATCTAATAAAGTGGCTGACCCTAGTGTCAAGGCTGGTTAGGCAAGCAAATGAGGCCAGAAGAGGGGCTGATGAACTGAGACAGTAGTGAGCTACCAAGGAATGGGGAGGGGGTAATAATGAGACTGAGAAACAGATTTCATTAGAAGTGAAGAGATGAGAGACTTCTATTGATAGGAGTTTGTACTCAGAGTTTATTGTAGCTTCAATTCAGATCATTTTAGAAGATAAACAAAATGGACAAATACGATAATACTAAGGTCTGACGATTTGGGGTGGGGGCGGTTTTACCAAAGTTTATTGTTGTTTGTTTGTTTTAAAGCCAATATTGTATAAACCTGTGCAGATACAATCACAAGAACATTATATCTAATAAGTCTGATGATTACCGTCTGCAACAATCTTCAAATTTATAGATGAGTTTTATAAGTTGTGAGGCCACTTTCATAAACAAGAATTCCCTTAATCCCTGCAACAAACTATGTCACTTTCCTTTTGAAGATATTAAAACTGTAGGTTAGAGAAGATCAGTGATTTATCTGAGGTCACAAAGAGAGTGTATTGGCCCATCTACATACGGCTATAAAGACTGGGTAATTTTTAAAAGAAAGAGATTTAATTGACTCACAGTTCAGCATGGCTGGGGAGGCCTCAGGAAACTCAACAGTCATGGTGGAAGGTGAAGGGGAAGCAAGGCACCTTCTTCACAAGGCGGCAGGAAGGAGAAGTGCTGAGCAATGGGGAAAGAGCCCCTTATAAAACCATCAGATCTTGTGAGAATTCACTATCACAACAACAGCATAGACGAAACTGCACTGCCACCATGATTCAATTACCTCCACCTGGTCTCTCCCTTGACATGTGGGAATTATAGGGATTACCATTCAAGGTGACATTTGGGTGGGGACACAGAGCCAAACCATATCAGAGAGTAAAAGCAAAGGCAGAAGGGGAAACCCTGGCCAAGACATCTGACTCCAAGGCCAGAATTTCTTTAAGTTTGTTGTCTTGGGTCAAAGTTAGGGTTGTGTTATCTGCCTTTGCTTTATAATGCTTCGGTAGTTTCTTTAATGCTCAGAACCTGTGGACATGAGCTAATTTACACAGCTGGATTTTTCCCAGCTCAAAAATGAATACATGTTCAATTATACTCTCAAATTTTGTAAATATCACCCTTAGTTTGTACTTGATAAACAGAGGCAGTATTAATTTTCAGGCATGATTATTTGAGTACATAAAGTTCATCATAAAATTACTTGAAGGCAGAGAAAATAAGAACTGAAAGATATTTATATATGATGTTATTGACCTGACTGATGTTAATATAGTAGACACAATATAGATACCACTCCTGTTTTTTTTCTCATTTAGGGGCAGGGCAAGAATGCATGGCAAGAAGCAAGTCTTTGTATCTCCACCTGTCAGGGTGGTAGCAGATTATAGAAGAGAGTGAAAATTTGTACCTGTTTTATGCTGGAATATAAGCTTTCTTCTGACCACTCAGCTTGAGCTGCCTGTCCATAAAATGGAGGGTCAATTTGGAGATAGTCATGGACATGATGGGCTGATGGTGAGAGATATATTGTCTTGATGTTCTGTGGTTCAGGTCTTGAGTGCTCTATGGCTTTATTCAGTAGCCTTTTTGTTTAGAGGATATTGCATTTAAACTATGCTCAACTGCCTTTTTTATATCAATAACCACAAAACTGGAGACAATTGCTGTCCTACTGTGGGCACCAAGTGATTGCCACATATCACAGTGATAGTATATGGCACTAATGGTTGACCATTTTTAAAGAGTGATTTAAGACAACTTTCCAAATGTCATCATAACCTGGGAATACAGAAAGGTTCAGAGGGTAAAAAGCAGAAAATGTTGGTGATATGTAGAGATTTCTGGGTCATGATGATGTCTGATAAATTATCCTGAATAACTAGAATATTAACACTAGCTCTTTGTTACCTCTTACATATCACTCTAGCTAATATTTCTTCCTTTCTGCTGGATAGCGAAAAAATTGCTTTGCTGAACATCATATTTCAATGTTGCCAGCTTTTCATTTTGTGAATTTGTCAATAGCACGGATCAAGTCAAATTACTGTTAATTAAATCTCAGAGGGACATCTTTAAGTTCTTGGTGTTGTACTTTCACTGCTGACAGCTTTTATTATCTAGAACATTTAATATTATAAAGGTACGTAGAGCCTAGAGGAATTAATACAAATGAAATGTGATGAAAGACCACAGGAAACATGGAAAGCAATATATATATATACATATATAGCAATATATATACTGATACAGCAATATATATAGCAATATATACATACATATATACATACATGTATACATATGCTATATATATACATATATACACACATATATACATATTGCTATATATATGCACTCATATTTACATATATGTACATATATGTATATATACATATATAGCTATATATATAGCAATATATATACGTGTGTGTGTGTGTGTGTGTGTATATATATATGAATGTGAGGCATGAGATAGGGAAGAGTCAAATAAAATGTAAAGAGTGACTGGTAACCATCTGAGCCAAAGTAGTAACTAACCAGATATGACTTGATGATGCATTTTATGTAAAATTGAATGTCTAGTATTCATCAGCAGTTTAGGAAACCTTATATACTTGTCATTATTATTTATTCACACTCATGGAAGTAAAGAGTGGTAAATTTGTTCTTCAGTAAACTTTCAATTTCTTCTCTTGAATTAACTTTTATATTCCATTGAGTTTTCTGTGTTTGCCTGAGTGAGAAAATCTGAAGTGGACAAATTACTCCCACTGAATTGGAATAAGTAAAAGACACATCAAACTTAATTGGGAATTGGTCTTACTTCTCTGGGCCTCCCTTATTGATAGAGAACATTTGGACTTGTTAATCTCTGCCCTTCTAACATCAAAGCTCGCTGACATATTATTCCAATCATCCGCACTCAATCCACGTGACAATGTGAATAAGCAATTTCTTAAAAGCCAAGATGTAGAGGGTTTAAACATCAGCAGTTTGGTCCATTTGGGATACCTGCCTGGATGAAATAATCAGAATTGTCCTGATTTAAATTTATTTTTAAATAAATTGAAGCTCTATTCAATGGCAATAGTCTTTGAAGCTCTAAAAATACATTGTTTCTGGGTTCATTTGCCTCATCTGTAAAGTTGGAGTTTTGTGTTAGGTGATATCCAAATCTCCTTCTAGTTCTGAAATGTCTATGAGCCTGAAAACTGTTTTTTTTTCTTTTTAAATGATGATTTCAACCATACTCAATTTTGTGGTTTTCCCCCCCTTTAAACGAGAGAATTACATGAGTTAAGATTTAGAGTTTTGTAACATGATAATTTTAGTCAACCATCAACTTATTTTTGATTGCTTAATCGTGGCATGATAGATACTAAACAACTGAATCTTTTCATCCTACTTTTCTGCTGGATATTTTGATAACCTATAATTAGTTTTAGAACCAATGTAAATAGTAAAAACTGGAAAAAAAGTAAAATTAGTTAAGTAATAATATATATCATGGTAGGTTTTTAATGAAATCTCTTTTCAATTTAAAGTTAAAACAATTTTGAAAAATAAACATTTGAGAAAATAACTATTGTGTGGTTGTGTGTTTATATCATATTAATAATGAAGTACATATAATCTCAGTATTAGTTGATGTGTCTATTTGCTTAATGGCACGTATGAGATGATAGTTAAATGGCAGCTTTGAATTGTGTTTTCTTTCTTCAGCATTGCTTTAGGGTACTTGTCTTTTAACAATTCTGATGGTCACAATAATTAAAGTTAGCAGCAAAGTCTCCTGGAAAGGGTGAGTACCAATGGAAAAAAGATAATATTTTCTAAGAATTTCTGGGAAGTGCTATGCTAATTAGGAAATTCATTTAACAATATAGTGATAGAGTGAAGTTAATGCTATACATCACATTGAAGAAAAGATGAAATTAATATTATTATTTAAATAAGGGTATTCAGCCTAAGTGAACATTCTTGATAATTTTAAGGTGTTTTGATTCTTAAATTTTAAGAATTAGACAAAATGGGAATTTAAAAAACGCTTTTTCAAAGATTTTGCATCACTGCTTAGTTTCTATTAACTTGTTTAAGTTTGTAATCGAGTATTTTTAAGTGCATAGCTATTGGTATACTATACATTTTTCTTCTTTTAGTTTGTTAAGATGTGCTTTACGTTCAAATACTATGATTTAGGTTTTTAAAGACAGCTATTAAATTATAATTACAATTAAAATTTCCAAACGGTTTTGCTATAGCCTTAGAGTGGTAGGTTAGTATGTATGTACTTTTTCTGAGAAATTGTATCTAAACTCATTAAACACTTGCACACACGTATTCATTTTTACACAGTAATACATACATATATGACATATATACACACATACATTGTACTTGAGTTTTTAGGACTTATTTTATGTATTTGGAAGCTACAAAATATACTAAAAACACCTATTTATGACTATAAAGGTTGTATTTTAATAAGTACTAATATAATACTAAAATGCTATAAAATAGGCCAGGCATGTAATCCCAACTATAATGCTGTAAAATAGGCTCACGCTGGTAATCCCAGCACTTTGGGAGGCCAGGCAAGTGGATCACTTCAGTTCAGGAGTTTGAGACCAGACTGGCCAACATGGCAAAACCCCGTCTCTACTAAAAATGGATGTCTGTAACCCCAGCTACTCAGGAGGCTGAGGCAGGAGAATCACTTGGACCCAGGAGGCGGAGGTTGCAGTGAGCTGAGATCATGCCACCGCACTACAGCCTAGGAGACAGGGCGAGACTCTGTCTCAAAAAAAAAAAAAAAAAAAAAAAAAAAGCTATAAAATGTTAAAGCATGTGTATGTTTCATACATGATGCTTTAGTAATCAGTCTGGAAATATATAATACTTATAACACAGTAAATGTCCATTTTCAGATTTTTTTAACTTTACTATATTTGGTTATCTTAAACTGAATGACATTTCAACATAGTTCATTGCACTGAAAATATAAACTAGTTGGTGCCATGGTGCCATCAGTTTCAATTTAGCAATCATGATGTTGCTTCAGCTAGCAGCAAACTTCTAATGGTCCAAGCATCAATTTTGTCCTTTTAATTTATTAAAATGAATTGCTCCGAAAAGATATTAAATGAGAATGTGCCCTGGGGTGCATATTCAACACTTTGTGGAGTATTATAAACTAAACATAAGGTAGTCAATGATTTTTACTTAGCAATATTTCATTTTTGTATGATTGCTAATAACTGAGTATTTACTACAATATCACTATGTAGTGGTAGATGGTGGACCTGTGTATGATACAAAAAGCTCTAAATATGATACAAAAAGCTCTAAATACAAAAAGCTCTAAAATTTGACTTATCTCAATTTCACATTCTTTTGTGTTCAGTTTGTGGTGCCTGGTTTCTGTGTGAAATGATTTCCAAGCTTTCAAATGAAAGCAGTTAAGAAACAAAATATTTACACCCTTCTAACTTGTGCTTCCTGTATAGCTAGATACAATACAGATGCTAAGTCACTGGTCTGAAAGAGCTTCCACAAATCTATAATAAAATAATTAAATTAGTGAGCTGTGTTTAGATCAGAGACCCTTGGTTGCCAACTCCTAAGAACTCAGGGAATTCAGAACCACAGAAGGATCATTTGGACTCCATTTGGCAGAGACGTCAGAAACTCACTGCTCTTGGGAACATCCTTTTCCAATAACATTTATAGTTCTAGATGGAAGCGAAAAGCACCATATGTTAAGAGTTTCCTGCAAAGCTTCCTGGTAAGAGAGGAAATAAATTCAACTTGTCACATCTGCTCGTGGGCCAGTCAAGTAGGATTTTATCACAGCCTTAAGTGGTTTACAAAACTGTCCTGTTATCGACTGAAGGGGCTTTGCATTTTAGGTTTTTTAATACTGATGTTCATAACCTAAATCATTAAACTATTTTTCTTCTTTGGACTTTAGCAGCATGCATCATTATTTGCTTTTAAGCAAGAAGAATTATTGAAAGCAATTCAACTAAAAATCACATTCCCATAGCATAGTCTCCATAGCCCTCCATGGCTTAAACTGCGAGAATGCCTACGGGTCTCAATTCTACCTCAGTTTCGACCCGTGGGTCCTTACACTTTGCATAATTTAAGATGGGAACTGCATTTAATCAGGCTAAATTGATTATCCACCATTCCAAAAAGTCCCAATTGGCTTAAACCGTGGCAAAGACCCATAGGGTCAGAAAAGATTTTTCTGCCAGAGGTATAGGTAATCACAGGAAAGGTGTTAAAACTTGCACTGTGAGTCACAAGTTTTCCCCTAAAGTGATTCATCTTTTTACCCTCATGCTTAAAAAACAAATGTTAGAGTCACTATGGGCATTTCAGTTTTCTATCATAAGCAAAATCCTTCTTAGTTTCCAAATCTACTGAAGATATAGTGCCATATGTAAGCACTACCATTTCCTAATTAAGCACAATTTAAATTGATAGCAGTTGTTCCAAACTAAAAATAAGTTCTCAATTTACCAACTCACAGTTTTACGTTCATGTCTTGCAATAAGGGAATAATCAAACCTACTAATTAATTTTTAAAATCATTTTAAAATTTAAAGATGCTTTATGTTAAAGTAACAATTGCAATCTTTAGATATTCCTAATTCTTTAAGTAATTATTGTATAGTAAGGGAATGTAACAGTTTCAGAGTGCCATACTATGATAAAATTTTCAGCATTTGTGTATATGTTTACATATACATATCACTCCAACAGGTGAATTATAAAGACACATACAAATTTAAATAAATCAGAATGAAGGAAAATAAAGTAGAATATTAAAAGAAAAAAATTTGACACACCAACCTTATAAATTTAAAAAAATAGACCGTGGAATATGCTCTAATTTTCCTAGTAGCCAAAAAAGAACAATTGAATGATTCACATTATTTTCAATGGTAGAAAACATTGTCAAAAAGATTTTACCACCACTGAGGTCTAAGAGAATCCTCATGGAATGCTGAATGATGGAGTCAAATACATGTCAGTATCTTTTCCTCCTCTCACCTCCAAAAGCATAAAGGCTTTGGCATGTTTCGTGGAGATATTTCCTGCACTATCATTCAATGTAACTTTGAACTTAAAGTGCACTTTAATAATAATAATAATAATAAAACACAAACAAAAACAATTCTACCAGTGTTGCTGCATTGCACAATTCTGAGGGCACTGTTAGTGTAGGTAGTACTGAAACAGGAAGCAAAAGCATCAATTGTAATAGAAGAATGGTGCTGGTTTCATAAATATGGCAACAATGAATACAAAATCTGTGATAAACTCTTTCCACAGTAACCATGGAACTTTCTACTACCAATCTTTGACACAAATATTTATTATAAAAGAGAGTCAGAATGGTAATTATGTACCTATGCTTGCTATGCTCCTTATAGATGACCCTGAAACTGCCCCATTCTTGATCTGTTTTCCCCTTCAGTATTTAGTATTAGAACCTAGTAACTTTATTTCCCATCCTCTTTTACAGCTAAGTTTGACCTTTCAGATCAATATGATGGGTGTGGAAGTGACACATGCCACTTTTCAATTATTTCTTTAAATGTACTTGCCATGAACTCTTTCTTCCCCCCATTCCTGCTGGCTAAGAAATGTTGATTCCTGGAAAAACTCTGGAAGTCATGTTTTGAGAATAGTGGAGTTGTCTCACCAATCATGCTTTTCTCACCTCTGGACTGTTATGTGAGAGAGAAATAACATCTATTTTGTTTAACAACCTGTCTTTTGTGTATGTTTTTAAAAATAAACCTCTTAATCCAACATCAATGTTATCTTCATCTGTGTTTACATTCCCATAGCTTTGGACTAGAGAATTGTAAAGAAAAAAACCTGGAAATAGAGAGAGAGAAACAGAGGGAAGAAGGAAGAGGAGGAAAGCAGGGAAGAAAGAAGGAAAAGGATGTTTCTATTTTAATCAGATGGCCAGAGAATCACTCAATGATCCCATGAGTCTGAATGTTTCACTAATAGCAATAATAGAATATTAGAATAACATTACATTTGGTCCAGCTGTATCAGTATTCAAATTTTGATCCCAACCTTTCCCTGCTTTGTGACCTTAGACGAGAGACTACAACTTTTCTGCTTCATTATTCTCTATAGTGTGATTTTGAAAATTTAAAAAAGCTAATTACTTACTGTATGCTGGGTCCTAGTCTAAGTGCTTTACATGTATTATTTAATTTAATCCTTTTTGCAATGCTATATATGAGAAACTAATACTGTCCTTATCTTATAGCTGAAAATATGGAGGCAAGGAGAGTTGAAACAACTTGCCCGAAATCCAAAACTGGTAGGTGGTGGAGCAGGCTTTTGGCATTAATTTCCCTGGTGTCTAAGAGACAGTGCCTTTCTAAATGTGATAATCTTTAAAGTACTTAGTGCCATGCTTGGCTATGATTATGTCTGTATAATTCCTGTTTAATAGCATTTCTCTGTTATAAAAAGTTGTACTCATAAATCATAATTATATTAGAAAATGCACAATAGCACAAAAAGCAAATAAAAGTCACTCACTCTCCCTTCACGCATAATCATTGCTAACATATGCACATAGACTTCTCTTTTAGTATCAGACTGTTCTTTTAATTGCTTGTATTACTTCACCTCATGTAGCCCAAGTGTCAGCCTTTATGCCCACCCCTGACTAGTCTCACCTGCTCTGATTTGTAACATGTGGCATGAGGAAGGATATTTCTTGTTGCTGAGTTAGTCTAAGACTTTGTTCTTCACAGTCATATTCTTTCTCAGCTATTTCAGCTTTGCTTCTCACTTTAGGCTGTCTCCATTGGAACTCTGGGACCCGGTCTTTCTAGCATATTGCTTCCATCCTGAAACATGGTGACTGGTGGGGGGATATCAGGTAGGTTACACTTTTCTTTACTTTTTGTCCATTTACTTTTCACAGCATCTTAACTCAAGTCTCTGTCTCCATATTTGACTTTTTAATGTGCTTGGGTAACTAATGGAATTACAATAAAAGGAAGAACACTGTAAGCATGTTTATTCAATTTGATTTTCTCATAATTTAAGAGAAAGGCAACCAAGAAGTTAATCTCATTCTTGGCTTCCTGGGCACTCTACAGTTTCTGATCTTCCTCTCCCAAACTCAGGCCTCTGTGTGGAAATGCAAAGGCAAAATGGGGATATTATCATTACTTTACTCATGGAATATTGTATGTATGAAATAATATGTATATGCTTAGTGTCTGGCATACAGTGGGTGCTATATGAATGCTATTAGTATTGCTGCTATTGAGGAGGCAGAGTGTAAACTAGCTTCCTGAATTATGCAGTCACCTCTTTAACATTGGAAAACTCACTTCACATTATTAGGCAGAACAACACTGGATACTTTTGTTTATATCTGCCTCACCTTTTAACGTGTGGCCAAGCAGCCTTCTGGGAATAAGAAACGCACCATTGTCAAGTCAAGTACCTGCTAAGCATACTTAGGCTACAAAAGAATCAGCTGAAGTTTTTGGATTTGGGCTATAAGAGATAACTTCTTTGAAAACATGCTTATTTTAGTCTCTGTCTTGGGAGAGGGCAGGGGTCAACCTAGTTTTATTCTTCTACTTAGACACATAGCATGAACATTTCTCATATTATTAAATATCCTTATAAATCTTGGTTTTGATTATGGACATGCTGAAGTGAACTGTTGAGTCAGAATCTTCTTGCTTTCATGAGGAAAGTAGATTTTCAAGAGGCTTTATAAGAAACTATACCTTTCTATAATTTTCTATGATAGTTTGCAAAATGATCTGCTTGTATCCCAAACACACTTCCTGCAAACTAATAGTAGGGAATGATTATTTACGTAGACCGGCTACAAAGTTTAGAGAACAAGAATATTTGAGGTAGAATAGATGTGTGTCTGGAATTGGTTCCTTCCGGTGGCTTCTTGGTCTTGCTGACTTCAAGAATGAAGCCACCGACTCTCCTGGTGAGTGTTACAGCTCTTAAAGATGGTGTGTCAGGAGTTTGTTCCTTCCGATGTTCAGATGTGTCCAGAGTTTCTTCCTTCTGCGGGTTCGTGGTCTTGCTGACTTCAGGAGTGAAGCTGCAGACCTTCCCAGTGAGTGTTACAGCTCATAAAGGTAGTGCGGACCCAAAGAGTGAGCAGTGGCAACATTTATTATGAAGAATGAAAGAACAAAGCTTCCACAGCATGGAAGGGCACCCAATCACGTTGCCGCTGCTGCCTCGGGTGGCTAGCTTTTATTTCCTTATTTGGTCCTGCCCACATCCTGCTGATTGGTCCATTTTACAGAGTGCTGATTGGTCCGTTTTTACAGAGTGCTGACTTGTGCATTTGCAAATCTTTAGCTAGACACAGAGCGCTGTTTGGTGCGTTTTTACAGAGTGCTGATTGGTGCGTTTTTACAGAGTGTGGATTGGTGCATTTACAAAACTTTAGCTAGACAGAAAAGTTATCCAAGTCCCCACTCGACCCAGGAAGTCTAGCTGGCTTCACCTCTCAGATATATGTTTAAAAACTAAGAAAATTGGTTATTTCAACTCAACAGTTCAGCAAAGATGTCTTGAGGACCGAATATATACCAGGTCACTTGCACTGAATATACAAATATGAGTAAGACTCAGTCCCCGCTGTTAGGATGTAACTGTCAGAGTCCAGCGTAAAGACTTAAATGAGGGGAATGATGAGTTTTACAACGATGTTGACCAAGTCATTATGGTTAAATTTTATCACCATTTTAGATCTTCCTGAATGTAAGAAAAGCAGAAAGGAACATTCAAATTATCATGAGACAATATGTTCCATTTATCAAATGCTGAAAAATAAGACCAAAAGAGAGACTGGCTAGCATGGAGTGATCAGGAGCTAAGTGATGCATCATTTCAAGGAAACAGTAAAATTCATATAACCTGTGAAATAAAGTAGGTGAAGAAACTGTAGATCCTTTTAGGCTGATTGTAGACCCTTTCTCAAAGTAAGAGGGCTTTATCTGTTTTTAATGAGAAAAATTATATCAGTGATTCATCAATCAGATATGTCAGCAACACAATGAATATAGCAGCACCTTTTATGGTATTACTTTTGGATGTGTGTGTGTGTTAATAAACATGCACGTATGTCTGTGCTCTCAGATGATGTATGCTTATTATAAAGAAACGATAGCTTATCTAAGTTCTTCTATAAAGCACTTAATAAAATTCAATAGATGTAGAAAGGTTTATACTATGAACAAAAATCACAGTGGTCCAGGAGCAACTTCAAGTTCAAAGAAGCAGCAGTTTGCAATAATGTCCTGTTATTTTACTATGTGTATGAGTTATTTTCAACTCCTTTCACTCTTGTATTACATTGGTCTATCTTAATATCGTTTCTAGAAAATGACAGTTAAATAAAGCCTAGAGGTCTTACAGAAGGCACAAAATACAGCCAGCAAACACTTGTTTCTGGGCATGAATGGGTCACTAGACTAAACGTTTTTGTCAGCTGTTAGAGCTAATACAAATGTCAGAAATATATCCCAAATTATTTTACTCTTTGGCAAAAGCAAGTAGACCATTATCCATGATATCTGATATAAACAGAATACTTAGCTGCTTAAGTTTATATTTTTCCTGTAGATGCACATTTATACCCGTGTACTCCTTTCTCAGCTGCAAAACTGACAGTTACATATGTTCCTTTCAATGCCTCAAAGAACCAACAACCAGGATACTAGAAGCACAGGCATTCCAAACTGGCAAGCAATATCGAAATATATGTGTAATGTCACTGGATCCAGAGATATAATAGCCAATATTTCTTAGCTTACATATGTATGTTAATATGCTTACGGCATGCCACGAACTATTCTGTTTTGTGGTGTTAGCTCATGTACTTCTCCTAAGAAGTCTGTGAGTAGGTGATACTAGTGTTCCTATTTTATAAGTTTGAAAACTTAGGCATAAAGAGAGTACATAACTCTTCAAAAGCAAAATAGCTATGAAGTGCCACTATGAGGTCTAAATCCATAGATTTCTCTCTCGTTCTTAACCACTATGTAAATGTATGTTCTTACATCTAGCCAGTCTAAGATTGACATGATGCTGATCTGGGAGTAGGGAGGGGTGCTTGGAAGGGAACTAGCTTTAAATTGGCCAAATCGGATTTCCACTACTCCCCCTTTGCCCTTATTTTTAAGATATTAGGTTTACATCATAGTTCTTTGTACAAGAGACCTACACAACTACTTTAGCCTTGTCCCGACACTGCCCCTTTGGTATAAAAGATACCGGGAGTGATTGCCCATGTGACTATCAGAAAGATTAACTTTTTTTTTTTTAAATTTTCAAAGCAGAACTAAACAATAACAGTTAATTTTTTTTTTTTTTTTTTTGAGAGGGAGTCTCCCTCTGTTGCCCAGGCTGAAGTGCAGTGGTGCAATCTTGGCTCACTGCAACCTCCACCTCCCAGGTTCAAGCAATTCTCCTGCCTCAGCCTCCCAAGTAGCTGGGACTACAGGCACGTGCAACCATGCCCCGCTAATTTTTTGTACTTTTGGTAGAGACGGTGTTTTACTGTGTTAGCCAGGATGGTCTCGATCTCCTGACCTCGTGATCTGCCCACCTTGGCCTCCCAACGTGCTGGGATTATAGGTGATAGCCACTATGCCCGGCCATCAATAACAATATTTTAAACCATATCACCTTTCATGCGGTACCACTAGAGAGAGAGAGAAGAGTAACATGTTGGTTCTTTGCATTTATGTTTTTTCTTTGAACTATATGGAATATTATTTCCATTAAGAAATATTATGTTCATTCAGGAAAAATAATCAATATAATTGAATATCTTCCCCAGGTCTGAATGTATTAATTTTTTCTTCTTTGCAGAAACATGGATGAATATCACACCCATTCTGCTAACGGGTAAAAAGAAGTCAGTTCAAACTTATTACTAAATAACTGTTTCAAAAATGTAAAGTTGGAAAATTATAGTATAAGAACAAGCAACAGATTTAAATCATAGGATTTATCACCCAAAATATGTATGCTTGCATTTTTCTTTGCATTGCATTAAGATGAAAGAAGAAACATGTAGGTCAAACCCTACTACAAAGAGTATCATTATCACAAAATTTCAACCCAAAAGACAGAAGAAATCATAACCAGGTGCAAGAATTAAGAACTTCAGATTTGATGACAGTAAAGATTGTGGAAAACTTTTTAAACACTGTGGTAAATTAATTCTAATTAAGCATCAACCAATTGCTTGTGGGGCTTCAGGAGTCAACCGCACTGAACACAATAAGGGTGCAAATACAATTTATGACTTGATTGCTACTTCTAGTACTGATGGCACACACCTAACTCTTATGGGCTTCATGAGATGACTGATGTCTTAAATCTTATTTTATTCAGTTTTCACAAAGGCACTGCATACCTGTCAAATCTGAGGTGCATAAGGTTTAAGTAACTTGGACAAATCTCTATCTCTAGGAAGTTACAGAATCAAGATCCAAAGCATAAGTATACCTGTTGATAAGACCATACAGGCCTTTGGAGCCTACTGAGAAGAGAGTAAGTTACCCAAGTAAGTTAGCTCCTTTTTTTTTTTTTTTTTTGAGACCGAATCTCGCTCTGTCACCCAGGCTGGAGTTCAGTGGCACCATCTCTGCTCACTGCAAGCTCCGCCTCCCGGGTTCACACCATTCTCCTGCCTCAGCCTCCCGAGTAGCTGGGACCACAGGCGCCTGCCACCATGCCCGGCTAATTTTTTGTATCTTTAGTAGAGACGGGGTTTCACCGTGTTAGCCAGGATGGACTCGATGTCCTGACCTCGTGATCTGCCCGCCTCGGCCTCCCAAAGTGCTGGGATTACAGGCGTGAGCCACCGCGCCCGGCCAAGTTAGCGCCCTTTTATGAGCCAGGCAAAAGCAGAGCTGTTGAATACTTAGGTCTATTCATTGTTGATCGTGCTGGCTTTGCGCACAGTGCAGAGCCAGATGCCTGAGGGTCATGAGCTTGGCAAAAAATAAGGTCCGGTCATATCCTTTGTCCTTCATGCTTTGCCTTTGAGGTTCTCCATTAGACACTTAGGCCGAGGTCCCAGAAGCCATGGAGCCATTTGCATCAGAGGGCTATGTTTAAGACCCATTTGCTTACTCACTTCATTGGTTTCCTTTTTTATCCACTGGATGTAATAAATCTCTTATGTTTTTACCCTTGTTTTATTACCTAGTATATTTTAAAATTTGTATTGGTATTCATTTTTCTAAGTCTCTTGGTGTTGAAACCCAGCTCTGACATTTATTAGCTATGTAATCTTGGGAAAATCACACATAGACACATGCACACACAAACATGCATGTACTTTTCACACTTTGTATATCTCATCCGTTAAATGGCTATAATCTGTCTCTCTCCTAGAGCTGTGAGATTCAAATGATCAAATGAATACAAGGTACTACATAGATTAAGTGGTGAAGAAATCTCCTAGCTATTATTTCTGAATTTTCTAAATTCCTGATTTTTATCTAACTTTGATGGAAGGTAGATTAAGATGAATATCATAATGCATATCCATATACTAATTTGTATACATTTTCAAGGAAGAAAGATGCTCTCTTGATCATAGGGGTTTTCTGGCAACTTATTTCAAGACTGTGCTGTGATATGGGATAGGAAAGAACACATTCCTTTCAGCAATGTCTTCACTTGAAGGGTTCCCAGTGCTTTCAGGGAAAGAATGTTCACCAAGTTTATTCAGCGCATAACCTGAGCTTGAATGACTTGTCTTATTATATTGATTCTTTACAAAAAGAACCTCTGATTTGGCCAGTGTGCCACCATCCACTAGTGGGCAGACAATTCAGCTAAGATGCTTCAGTGATAGTTATTCAGCATATACATAAATGGTTGCTTTTGACTGTTATAGCAATCCTTTGTTCAATCAGGTGCTCCCAAGGCACTAGGATATGTTTAATAATCATAAGGTTTTCCCTTATGTATACATTTTTAAATGTGTATTTTTAAAATATATATTTTTCAAAAGCACACACACACTTGGGTCACTTTCCTCATTAGTGAGTTGTGTAACTGGCAGGATCTTTGAGACTTACAGTTATTTAAGAAGGAAGGGAAATGGAGCCTTGGAGGATGGGTAGCATTTTGGTAGATGGATATGAAAGGGAAGACATTCAGACAAGTTCTGGGGGCATGCTCACAGCCAACACCAGATGTCAATACATGCAAATGTACCCAAACTCATTTTATCTGCTATGTTGTCATCTTTACTCAAGAAGTACTACTAAAAAGAAAAATTGAAAAAATATATTGTTACAGCAGAAAAAGTATCTCCAACATGTCATATGAAGGTAATTTCTTAAGGTCACTATAATATTTAGTAAACTATTGATGATAGGCTTGAAAACATCAATACAACATCTTATTTCTACTTAATATATCCAAAAAAGAATAATATATTTACTGGGACAACAAGTTGTTCTGACACACAAACACAAAAATTCAGTCTTAACTGCCTCAACTGCAGGATCATTTTGGAGCTCACCTCCATCAGGAAACCACTGAACTCCTGGGTAAGTCTCTCAGGAGTTCCTGACCATTAGGATATTCTTGAGCAATGGGAGAGAAATGGGCCTGGAGTGGCCAGCAGCCTGTGGAAACGTTTACAAAAGCATTCAGCAGTCCCTAATGGCCTGAAAGCAAATGGATATTTTGCTGCAACAATGAAAAGAAACATTTCAATTTGGATGTGTTTGCTTCTGAAACAAATGTTTACAACAGAAACCTCCATTTGGGTTGTTAGCACACAGTCAAACAAAGTATGTATTTACTGAAGAATCAAGTGCAGCTTCTCATTGTAAGAATTGCCTCTTTGGGGACAGGCTATATGGTCAGGATAATGTGCTGATCACAAAAAGGAAATGAAGCTACAAGATTTTAAGGTAACAGGCAATATGCGTTAACCCCTACCTGCCCTGCAAAAGTGACTTTCCTAGGAAGTTTGTATTAGGTAGGATAGAAATACACCTGCAGTAAACAAAGACACCTGGAATATGGTGTCTTAAATAAGGTAGAAGGTAACTTTCATCTCTTGTACCAATTCAGGTGTTTGCAGTGCAGGCCATGTGTCAGGGACTAGGCTCCCTTGAGGTTTGGCTCTAGCATCCTCAGCATTTGGTTTTCCAAGTGTGGTCCACACTGGATGCTCTGGCTGTAGCTAGCATTCCTGCCTTCAAGCTTATGGAAAAGGGAGGAGAGTAGAGCGCTGCCTTGCTGCTTCCCTTTAAAGCAGTGGTTCTCAACCGAGGGCAACTTAGCTCCTCCCCAGGAGAAATATTTGTTTGCTATAACTTGGGGAGCAGGGTGGTGATAGTCCTATTGACATCTAGCAGATAGAGGCCATGGACAGTGCTAAACATCCTGTTGTAAACAGGGCAGTCCCACATGATGTAGAATGTTCTGGCCCAGTATTGCTAAACTTGAGAAATGCTAGACCAAAGTGAAAGCTTCTTATTGGTAGATATTTGTGGGTGTAGAAGCTGGAAAAGATGGTTTCCACTACAATCTTGCTGCATTCTCAGTGAGTTGCCTGGCATAAATGAACGTCATCTTTGGCAGAGACTGCCACTGGTCTCATGTCTGTTCTCTTCTTCTTACATGCTAATAGACGTTTAACCTGAGCCAGCTAGTTTTCCAGCTTCTCCCCAAGTGTGACAACCAAAAATGTCTCCAAACATTGCCAAATATATCCTGGGGACATTCCTAGTAAGAAACATTTCTCAGTTGGATGTCCTCTGGCAAGTCAACTAAACCTTTGAAATTTTAGTTTCCTCAAAGGTAAAAATAACAGATATTTGTCTCTCAAGATTACTGAGGTAGGCAGAATTCTAAGATGTCTGATATGGTTAGGCTTTGTGTCCCCACATAAATCTCATCTTGAACTGTAATCCTTATAATCCTCACACACCGAGGGAGAGACCTCCTGGGAGGTGATTGGATCATGGAGCAGTGTTCTCCATGCTGTTTTCATGATAGTGCATGAGTTCTCATGAGATCTGATGGTTTTATAAGTGTCTGACAGTTCCTGCTTCACACACTCACTCTCTCTCACCTACTGCCATGTGAGAGGTGCCTCTTCTCCTTCTGCCATGATTATAAGTTTCCTGAGGCCTCCCCAGCAATGCAGAACTGTGAGTCAATTAAACCTCTTTTCTTTATAAATTACCCAGTCTTGGATATGTCTTTATAGCAGTGTGAAAATGATCTAATACAATATCCCTCAAGAGTCCCACCTGCCTGGCATACACAAACCTTCTCTCAGTTATTCAATCAAGCACTAATCTGTGTGCTGCTATAAGGGATTTTTGCAGATATAATTAAGGTCCTAAACTATTTGACTAAGAAAAGGAAATTATCCTTCATGGGCCAAATCTAAACATGTGAGCCTGTAAAAAGGATGGGGCATTTTCCTAGTAAAGGAGGAATTCAGGCTGGGCTCAGTGTTCACACCTGTAATCCCAGCATGTAGGGAGGTCCAGAAGTTTGAGACCAGCCTGGGCAAAATGGCAAAACCCTGTCTCTAGAAAAAAATACAAAAATTAGCTGAGAGTGGTGGCACATGCCTGTAGTCTCAGCTACTCAGAAAGCTGAGGTGGTGAATGGAATGAGCCAAGGAGGTCAAGGCTACAGTGAGCCATGATTGTGCCTCTGTGCTCCAGACTATTATTATTTTTAAATAGGGAAATTCAATGCAAAGGAGGGTCTTCATTGCTGGCTTTGAAAAGGGAGGAGGTCATGTGGGACCTGAGTAATTCCAGACTGACAGCCAGAAAGAAAATGAAGACATCAGTCCTGCAGCCACAAAGGATTAAATTCTGCCACAACTATATGGGCTGGGAAGATCCTGAGTGCCAGATGAGGACAGAGCCCATCTGACACCTATGTTCTAGTCTTATAAAACTCTGAGCAGAGAACCTAGCCACTGCATGCCTGGACTTCTGACCTACAGAACTGTAGGTGTTATTTTAGGCTGCTAAGTTTATATGGTGATTTGTTACACAATAACAAAAACTAACACAGTCATTATGAAGATTAATTATGGTAATAATGCTTATTCTTTCAAGAATGCTACTATGTTCCAAACAACTAGATAGGCATTTTAAGAGAAGCATTTATTTTTTTAATAACCATTGTAAAATCAGACATTATTTTCCCATCTTGTAGATAGAGTAACTGAGGCCTGGAAAAGTTACATAATTTGCTTAATGTCTCACAGCTAATGACAATTAACTAGAATTTAAACTTCGATTTCCGTGTCCTTTCTTCCTTGCCTAACTTTATTAAATATAAAGTGTTAGAAAAAGTTAAAAAATCTTAATTTTATTAATTTTTCTATTTATATGCCATAACAGATTTATAGGCTAGTGAACTTTCTGAGGGACAGTAGACCATAAACATCAAAACCTGAGCAAATACACATATGCTGAGGTTTAGTTATGGACTTCATGATGAGGACTAATTACAAGACAAGTCCTACCTTCCAGCTTAATGACACTTATCCATACTTATTTTTTTGATTGACATCATTTTTCTTTTATGTTGCATGCAGCTATTAGGGGTTTTTTTTGAAGCCCAACTATTCTCCATCTTTACTTTTCAAATAATAATTGAAAGAAGATTTTTAGGTTTGATAAATATTAAGGAAAGGAGTGACAGAAAACACCTATCTAAATGTTTATCTAAAATAATAGTAATTTTGGTAATGGTCATTTGCTGAGAGTTTATGATAGGTCAGGCACATGCTAAATGCAGGGTGTCAGGCAACCCTCACAGAACTCTTATAATGTGCCGGTATTATTAACCTAATTTTCCAGATGAGGAAACTGCTTCAAATAAGTTTAGTACCTTACCCAAGCAAACTTGCAAGTGGGCAGCAGAACCAAAACTGAATCCATGATCTGTTAGTCTCTGTATATCTTACCCTCCTGTATATATTGTTCTTAAGCATGAAATCTCACCAGGATTCTTCAAATCTGTCCTTGGAATAAATGGACTACCAAAGTGTGTCTCCAAGAGAATCTGGAAACTCAAAACCTGGTACCTGAAATTTATCAAATACAGAATCTGTTTTTAGGTACCAACTAGATATCAGCTTCTTTGTATGCATATAGTTCTTTACATGCACATCATTCTTCAACAAGACTCATCTGGAGTGCTGCTTCTGGTGGATCCTGTGCCATGGCCATGAGGGAGCCTTATGGCTGGTGTGTATCTGATGGTGACGACTTTTGTTGCTTTACCCATGTTCTTTCATCCAAATCCTTAAAGGCTAAAGCACTTCAATACAGCTGGTGAGGATTAGGGTATATTGTAGAGCAGAAGGCTAAAAGCAGATTTCTCCATGCCATCTGTAATGGCTGTGCAGCTGCAGTGCCCACACACATCTGGAGAGCTGCTGTAAAATAAGAGCCTAACATTTGGCAAAGGTAACAGATGGCCTTGTTATCAAATGTGAATAGAAGCAGAGTCAAGCTTCTGGGGAATGGCAAGTTTAAGACTAGGAAGGACAGTCACAACAACAACAAAGCATATAGAAAGGAAGAAGAGCACCGGACAGATAACAACGTATTACGAAATGAGAAAAATCTATGGAGAAGATGGTGAGATAGCAGGATGAAAGTTACTGAAAATTTTAAATAAGGAGAGACAGATTCAAACATGTCTTCATTCTCCCAGTAATTAGAAACTGTCAGAATTGTGCTTAGTTAAATCTGGTTAATTTGCTAGACTTGGCAGTGGAATTGGTGTTAAAGTTTGCCACAGTCAACATTTGGTGTGGTATATCCTGGGGGCATTTCATCATTACTAATTGAGTAAATGACATTAACAGAAGAGATGGACAGGTCTGTCTTCTGCTCATTTCACGGAGTCCTGCTGCCTTTTAAGGATCCTACCAACCTCAGGTTTTCTTTGATTAAAAAGAAAAAAATGGTGCTGGAAGTAGCTTTCAGAACTGGGTCAATAAGATGGTGGAAACAGATACAGATCTCTTTTTTAAAAGCATGTCTACCCTGTGGTCAATTCCCCTCCAGTGCTCTGTAACAGATTCTTCCAAAGCCTTTGATTCTTCCAACAAGTTTTCAACAAAAATCCCTGATAATAGAATCTGCTCCTATAGAAGAGGCAGATTTCAGAGCTGAGGGAGAGAGGCCATTTCATGACAGAATCAACGTAGAAGGAAAGTAGAGGGGCCGCACCACAGTGTGGAACTTGGTTTTGCTCTAAGTAATTGGCATAGAGCTCTTATTCTGGGCCTTGGAGCTCTTTTTAGTCCTAAAGTAGGAAGCTCACAGGCGTTCTTTTTTTCAGGTTGAGTTGACATTGAGGAAACAATCTGCTCTAGTTGGAGCCAAACCAGACAACCTGCCCATTCTGTTAATTGGATTTTAGGATCTGTATTGAGGTGGCCTGGGCTGGAAGTTTATTCACCTCTGCTCAGATGCCAAATACATTGGCCTAGAAGCACACAGAACTTAATAAAATAAATTAGCAAAATGGCTATGTCATGGCCATTTCCAAAATGTATATCTTGTGGTTGCTCTCAGTTGGGGACTCTTTTATTTTTAACTGATCAATTAAACTTGTCTAGCTACATGAATTGTTCTAATTACTGAGTTTTCCCAGAATTAAATACTGTAAGTTAAATCAACTAACATTTAACAAACGGGAGCTACTTCTTCTGCTTGTCTCCTTAAGAGCCCTCCATAGAATTAACAGTTAGGTGCTAATTGCAAATGATTAAGTGCTCACCAGTCTTGGAGTTCTTTCTTTAATATTAATGAGATGGATTAACATGGAACATGTCTTCTATTAATATTATAAATGGAAGCCTGCATGGATCACTGAGTGCTGTTTTGTATTATAAGGAGCACTTAGTTTAAAGGAGTAAAAAAAGTACACTCCTAAAATGTATCTTCCTTTCAATTGAGAAGTACAATTACTGAGGAAAATGTTTAAATATCATTAACTTAGAGCAACCATGTAGCATTTTAGCAATAATCACAGTAGCAAACTTTTATATAAAACTTCTTTCATCAGTCTCCGTGAGCAGGCACTGTACATTAAACCAGAATAGAGCTTAAATTATTCCGTAAAACACACACAGAAACACCCACCATTCCATACTACTCAAATAAATTACTTGGCAGTTCAGAATTATTTTCATATATCTGAATTTCCTTTTAAGACCACTATTTGCCTCTTAAAAATGCTAACTAATTTCTCTTGGCTACTTGAAAACAGCAAATTGACTGCATTTTCTTTCTTTCTTTAAGAACAAATATAGTTAAAATCACCTCTCTCTTGCTTTTCCTAAGAAGATGCGATAAAAAAGTAAAGCTTATATTTCATACATTACTGGTTTAGAATCTACCACAATGGCGAGAGCAGTATAGTCTCTAAGCTACAGGAAGGGCATCACTATGTTTTAATTCTATAAGTCTTATTATTTAAAAATATTGTTCTTTTTGATAAATACTTTTTGAGTATGCCACACTATACCATAAAAGACACTGAAATGCAAAACAGTTATTTTAGATCATAGTAAATTACCATTTTTGCTCTTTAGCCTGTTGCAAACATTTGTAAATGAGAGAACAAAAGCTTTATGCATTCAGACCAAATCTGGCCCTGTGTTAATGCAGCATGCATCACACTTTGATTAAGGACTTAACCTCTGAGTCAAACTTCTGGTTTTGTCCTTACTCTTTGAACTTAAAACTATGTACACATTTAACATTTGCTCTAGATAAACATGCTTTCACCAGACAATACCAAGTGTTGACCACTTATATGCTCACAGTAATAGAAGTGATGCTTGTATTCAAGATTGCATATGTTAAAAATGATAAAAAGGAATATAAGATTTCTAAGATCATGGAAAAAATGGAAATATATAGCTAGGATCTTGCATTCAACCTTACAAATATTTTGTTTAATCCAGAATGTGCATGATGTATAGGTCAATTATGTTTCTGAATAAATTAATCAGATGTCATTATGATTTTTATAATCATCTCAAACATAATCTAAGTAGTCATAATTTATAGGTAACTATGAAATATTCTCTAGAAACAATAATTTCATTTGAAATATCTGGTCTTCTGATACATTTATAATTATTCTTATAAGTAGCATATATCTCATAAGTAACATCTGCAAAACAAATTCATGAAAATTGTGGCAGGTCAAGTTCTAAGATAGCTCCAAATAGCTACCTCTTGATGTACACACCCTCTATAACTTTCTCCCCTTGAATGTGAGTAGGACCAATACTATTTTCATGATTAGGTTATTTATCAGTTGATTTTGAGTGAATCAAGAAGATTAACTTGGATGGGTTTGGCCTGTACAGGTAAGCCCTTTAAAGTTAGGTGAAGTGTCCTAGAGATTCTCTCCTGCTGACGCAGAAGAAAGCAGATGGCCATACTGTGAGAGGAGGTGGCAAGAACCTGAGGAGAGTGGTCCTTTGCACACAGCTGGCAAGGAATAGGGGCCTCAGAAATGAAGTCCACTGACAACCTGTGAGTTTGGAAGAGGACCAGATGAGATCACGATCTTTGAATTTGAACGATGAGACCCTCAACAGAGGACCTAGCCTGGGCTATAGAAACTATAAAATAAAAAAATTATGTTGTTTTGTGCCACTACAGTTTATAATAATTTACTTGCAGCAATAGAAAACTAATACCAACAAGAATCTGGTTTGATCCATGAGGAATAAATTTAACTGAAAACATTCACTCTTCTCATTTAATGAAATCTGGCTGCAAACTTACAATAGCCCACAAAACATGATATCATTCATGGCAAATGAAAAAAATCATGTAGCCCCAAGTAATACTGCTAATTAAAAAGGAAAACAAGAGTTTCATAATTTTGCTTCCTTCTGTTCTTCGGATAGATGCCATTATCGTTGACAATGACACTACCAATCATTCTCAGATGACTTTGCAAGAAATTGGCTAGGCATGTCTCACAATTGTCTTCACTCTCACAGGTTTCAGACTCATAAGGGATGCTAAAAGTCATTTCCCCAGATTGTAAAAATGGTGCATTGTCCCATATGCCATTGGGAAAATGTTGAATTGATTGCCTTCTGTGGGAACTCAGGCTCTTCTGACAATGGGTTCTGTTCCCAAAGCCCTTTGAAAAGGATCATAATTAATTGTGGAAATGTTTGTCTTACTCTCTCCACAAACTCACCATTCCCTGAGTATCAGCCCCTGAGTGTTAACAGTAGACAGCACTGAATGTGTTTCAGACAATGATTCTGAATGCCAGTGATATTGCTCCCTGTTTCCCTTGGTATAGAAGGCTCTGCTTGGCAAGATTTTGAATCACATGGATACCTGCCTTTAACAACTGTGGGGAATCCAGACCTGAGAATCGTTTTATGTAGTATAAAATTGGCTAGGGTCTGTAGCCTGATAAGCCAGAATTTGGAGGGAATGGCTAACTAGTGTCTGCCATTTCCTTTTTTTCTTCTCTGTAGGAAAATTTAAAATTTCCAAATTCAGGTTAGAATGAAAGTATGGCAAAAGCAAAAGAGTTATCCAATATAGACTCTTTGCTATGCACCCTAATAATGCAATCTCTATTAAAGATTATGATTAAAACACAGCCACAACAGATACACTGTGAGCATGTGTGCATGTGCGCAGGCACACACACACACACAACGTTCAATTTCAAGTGCACATAGGCTCCTATTTAAGAATTCTTATGATTGGTATTATTTCTTCTCTTCTAAACTGTCATATTATCCTACAGAGAGAAGAGCTACAGCAGAGGCTGTAAAAGAAACTGTCCTCACTCTATCTCCATAGTAAACCGCCCTTATATTATTTTTTAAAATCCCCATGATAATATGCTTTTGTAGCTATGGCCTAGTTACAATGCTGGGGCAGCATTAAGTCATTAGTGAAGCTGGCTTTTGCTTTCTTTGCTGAGAAGACAAATAATGGTCATGATCAGAGATTCTTTAACACTATAAGTGTTTATCATACTTTTAATTACTGATGCTATAGTTATGTCATTGATTTGTAGGCACCATGAATAATCTTAATACAATTAATTGTGAAACTTAACACAGTTAGGCCCACTTTGTTCGTCAACTTTCCCTATCTTAAACCCACAGATACAAAGGCGTATTTCCCCACATATGCCAAAATCCGAAAGACCAAGGTAGTATATTAAGTTCTGTGTTGTTCTTGAAAGATCTCTAGAGTAACAGATCTGAGTTTGAGGGTTAGATCCAACTCTTCTTGGCAGCTTGACCTCTCTAAACTCCAGTGGTCTTGTCTTTTTGTTGTTGTTGTTGTTGTTGTTAAAGAGCACAATCAAAAGAATCCTTGTAGAGCATTGATGATCTCATGAAGTTGTGATAATCAAATGAAATAATGAATGCTGTGTATGCCAATTACCTGTTTCTTTCTAATTCATTCTGCATCCTTTACTTGCTCCTCTGTATTGCAGGAAACTGCAGATTCCATGTTTTCTTGCTTTCTGACATCTACATTTCAGCCACTTGGAAGCAGCTTTAGAAAATTCAGACAAGAGTTAAGAAAAGGCTTCGTATTTTTCCTCCTTTCTCTCTCTTGAGGGAGTACGTCTTGCTGTGGCTCCTCCACGGCTCCAGCTTCCACCCATCAGCCATTTCCTGTATGGCCTTGTTGCTGGGCAGGGCAGTCTCCAGTGGATTTAAATTCCTGCTAGATGGTTCCTTTTCTGGGTTCTGGTATTACCAGTTCCTCCTGTTGTCTCTCTAGCTCTAGGGGTAGTAGTTCCCAACTTTTGCTCATCTCTAAGTTGTTTTAGCATTTCATATATGGCTTCATTTCCCATTAGGTAAATACTCAATACCCTATATTAAATCCTTTCTTTGTAGAAGACCAAGAGTAGTTCCTATTTCTTGACTGGACCCTGACTGACACTGACAGGAAAGTACTTTACAGATTATGATAACTCTTAATATGTAAATCATTAGTATTATAGTCATTCTAATGATTAAATTATATATTCTGAAAGTGACATATTTATGGCATTTTGGTATTCTTCCACTATTACCTCCCTTTATGGATATGGATTATCAAGAATCATAAAATATCCATGAAATTATATATAGAGGCATGAACTATTATATTATGTTTCTGTCTTATATGTATGTCTGTTAATGAAAAATATAGAATTAGAATTGGAATACTTTGAAATGTGTTTGGGTATCTTCATTCCAATTTATTTTAGTGTAGAATACTGGGAATAGTGGAAATTTCCTTTAAACAACCTTGCCTATTACATCTGCTGATTTTTGTTGAAGAATGCAATAGTCTTCAGCAAGAGATCAGTGAAAATGAACAAAGCAAGCATTGGAATGAAATACTGCAGTGGTTTATTTTGTCAAATAACAAATTTACTGCAAAGTTTCATGCCTTTTCTATGTATTATATATAATCTTTTTACCTGTCAACTTGTAGAATTCAGAAGTTAGAGTCTCGTAATAGGCACACATATTAACAGATTTATTTGGATTGAAAGATGAAGTCAGATTGTTATGCTGAAGTTAAAGCTGACTTGGCTGATTGAATTGAAAATGGATATCAGCTCTAATTCATATCAATTGGGTCACACAGTGAGCATTATCCAAAAATTGAATGAACTAATTCTGTAGCTCCAAGCTTTTTGATGAAATTGTAAAGCATGTGACATCATAAAATCATTTTTAAAGTGTTTTGTTGTTGTTGTTTAACTTTGTATTTATCAGGTCAAACAAGGTGACTGTAAGTGGAAGAGGAACAGGTGTAATGAATGACTTTTTGATAAATGTTAATAAACTTTTTCCTGAAGCAGAGAAAGTAGAAGACTCTAATGACTGAATAGCAAGCATTTATTGAATCATTCATCGCATTCAACAAAATTGAACAAAGATCTAATTGGGTTGTCAGAAGATTGATTATTACAAAGAATAATAGATCACAATGTAATTTTTGACATGTACCTCAGAAAATGTTGAAAAAGTGAAAGGTGTTGCCAAAACTAAACTCCTATCCACATCTACTTATTTATAGGAACAATTTTTCTAAAAACATACATTTTTTAAAGAAAACAAACAACAGATAGGAATACAATTATCAAAGATTCCACTAACATTTATCAATAAGTTGTATTCTTTTATAATACATATACTAATTGAAAATGACAATCCTATTTCACTAAAAATTATTTTTAATAAAATTTACTTTTTATATATAATAACCAAAATATTATTTGGTTATATAATATTAATAACTGTTAGAGTCCAGGAAAATTAATAAAAGAATAATTTCAATTTATATTCATATTTTTGTGACAGAAAAGACATGCATAAAATATATTCCTTTTTATATAATTTTGTATGGTAATCAAAATGGAAATACAAATTCAAGGAGTTAAGGAAATAATACACAATTTCTGACTCAGAGAAAAGCTTGCTTATGTACTCTTTAAAATGGATTTTTTTGCAATCAGATTACTGGTATTTAGATTCTTTTTAATACATTTTACAAAATAATCTAGCTATTTTATTTAATAAATGCTATTTCTTATAATATAGCAGAAATTGTATTCTATGCAACCAATGAAATGTGATGAAAAGTCTTTTAGCCATTATGTAAGCAAAATTTTTTAAGACCTACCAACACTATGCTCTCTCTTCTCTGATCTATAATTATACTTATTCTGTTTACATGCATCTATCTGAGCACATGAATGCATCCCATCTTGCATTAATTAATTGCTTCCCTTTCCTGAGTTTTATCTCCATCTGGATCAGCTATAGTGTCCAGCTCTATGCTGAACTCGTAGCATAATAATGCACTTCAATATATTTTAATATGTTGAGTCATCTAAAAAACAAATAATAAACTCATATATAGAAATATCTTCTGACTTCTCTTTATCCTTCATACCTTTTGAGAATGCCTTATTCTTGGCCATTTTCCCCTTATTTTTGCTGCTGAGTTGAATTTCCATAGCCCTCATATCCCTTTTTACAATCTCTTAATCCCTCCTCATTCAAAGCATTCGAATTTAGCTTTACTATTGGGTGACTACCAAGTGAATCATTTGGATTGTGAAAAATAACCCTAGATCAATTTCTTTTATTTCCTCACTACACTGTTTCAGGCCTGTTTTACTTCTTTCTTTATGAGGGTATTACTCTGGCACACATCCCGATTGATGGAGGATCTCCAGAAAAGAGTGTTAAATTAAAAATATCAGTTACTGGCTTACCTCTTAATGAAGCAGCTGGCTTAAGAAGCTTTAGATTTAAATTATCTGCCCCGGCACTATTATTCAGTCTTAAGTGAGGCAGTGCACCAACTTTCTTATAAGTAATTGGCTGAAACTAAAAGTCTGAGGCGCCTACATTAACAGACCGATTAGACACATTATGGGGACTGGAGGGGGCAGTTCTTTTAGGTGAAGTCAAGTTCAGTACTCTGAATAGTACTACAATTGAAGCGAGTGTTAAATTAATTTACAGTGGAGCTCATATTAGCAATAAGAGAATCAGTGGCCAAACTGATTTGATGGATGGTCTCATTATGATACACCATAGATCAAAAAGATTTCTATTATGTGACAAAATCTCTATGGTTCCCATTTATTTTCATTAGTTGTACTAGTACCACTAACATTTATTTTTTAAATAGGTATTTCTTATTTTGTATACATAAATTATTGTAGGTCTATATAGTGTCAGTTGATTTTTTTGTGACTCAGGGAAATGATATAGTTTGAATGTTTGTCCCCTCAAAACTCATATTGAGGCCGGGTGCGGTGACTCATGCTTGTAATCCCAGCACTCTGAGAGGCCAAGGTGGGCGGATTACCTGAGGTCAGGAGTTTGAGACCAGCCTGACCAACATGGAGAAACCCCATCTCTACTAAAAATACAAAATTACCTGGGCATGGTGGCACATGCCTGTAATCCCAGCTACTGGGGAGGTTGAGGCAGAGATTCACTTGAACCAGGAAAGCAGAGATACTGTGAGCCGAGATCGCTCCATTGCACTCCAGCCTGGGCAACAAGAGCGAAACTCCATCTCAAAACAACAATAACAACAACAACAAGAAGAAAAAACAACAACAAAAAACCCTCACATTGAAATTTAATTGCTATTGTAACAGTATTAAAAGGTGGAACCTTTCAGAGGTGATTAAGACATGAGAGTTCTGCCCTCATAAGTGGAATAATGACATGTTCATGGGAGTGGATTTGTCATGGAGGGAGAAGGTGCCTTATAAAAAGATAAGTTTGGCTGTTTTGGTCTCTCTCACTCTCTTGTCCTTCTGCCTTCTGCCATAGGATGATGCAGGATGATTGCCCTCATCGGATGTGGACCTCTTGATCTTAGACTTCCCAGCCTCTAAAATTGTAAGAAATAAATCTCTGTTCCTTATAAATCACCCAGTCTCAGGTATTCTGTTATAGCAGAAGAAAACAGACTAAGACAGGAACACAGAATCTATCATTGGGGTTACTAGTCTTGGCCCTCTTTCACTTTCAAGTAACTGAAATAATGCTTTTTATCAGCCAGCTATTGTGTGTCTTGTAAGGTTGACTCAACGTTTATGAAATCACAGGGCCAGAGAATGCTAGAATGTTAGAATTCTCAAAGACCTTAGAGATCGTCTACTCAACCACTCTTGCTTTGCATTTGAGAATTTAAGTCACTTGACCAAAGTCAGACAACAGTGATTATATTACTACAGTGATTCTGGAGTGTTCTCAACAAATAATAACCTCAGAAACAAGTAGGCACTTGGAGACATTGGGCTGTGGATTCAGGTTGCCTAGGTTTGAATCCTAGTCCCAACATTTACTAAGGCTCTCTGATAGTGGGCACATTATTTAACTTCCTCAGACCTGTTTCCCCATCTACAAAATTGGATTACCTATGCTCCAAGGTTTGTGATCTAGAATTCAACTAATAAATTCAGGCAAATTATTCCAATTATATTAAGCACTAGTACTCAAAGCTGACATTTGAGGCTCAAATGGAGTGTCTTCTTAGCTTTTGTCTCCTGTCATTTCAGCCCTAAGCCGAAATCCAAAAATAATGGGAAAATTCTATGCCCTGATATAACACAGAATTATAAAGGAAGCTACAATATCCCATACTCCTTGCTTCATACTCTAGAATCCATTTAAATGAGGTTTAAAATTGTTCCGGTTGAGTCATTCCTTCCAGTCAAGGCATATTCTATCTGAAGGACTCAAATTAATTAGCTACAGTTAACAGATTATTAAGTCAACTGGCTTCTACGGAGATGGTGGTGAGTGTATCAAAAGTTCGGATTTGGCATACCATAGTAAATGGTCTAATTAGCCACATCGTTTATAAACTGGGAACAGAGAGAAGAGTGGATTTTCAGAAGGAAATGGAGTTGCCCACTTAATTTTGCCTAGAGATAGCCTTCATAGCCTTCATACATGCACAACTTCCTCATATACTATTTTTTTTCTTCTTTTTTTGTTTCTCCCTATTGCAATGTACAGCAGAAGACAGGGAAGGATTTTGTTAAATAGAAGTTAGTTTTTGGCTGGGTGCAGTGGCTCATGTTTGTGATCCCAGTGCTTTGAAATGCTGAGGCAGAAGGATTGCTTGAGGTCAGGAGTTGGAGACCAGCCTGGGTAACATAAAGCTACCCCATCTCTACAAAAAATAAAAATTAGAAAATTATCCAGGCTTGTTGGCACATGCCTGTAGTCCTAGCTACCGGAGAGGAGGATCTCATGAACCCAGGAATTTGAGGTTAGAGTGAGCTCTGGGCATGCCGCTGCACTATAGCTTGGGTGACACAGCAAGACCCTGTATCTTAAAAAATGTTTTTTTAAAGAGAACTTAGTTTACAACACTTCTGAGAATTAAATAAAATGAGAAACAGACAAAAATGCAAAGAATAGGAATACCAAAGAAGCAGCCCCGGCATAGGGATGAGCAGTCAGGACAAATGAGAAAGTCACAGACTTGCTAACATGAGAATGCAGGTCCATAAGATGAGAGATGTATCTGTTACCTTCAAAAAGAAGGACATGTGAAATATGGCAGTGCTGTGAAAAAAAGAGTTAGAGGGCTGTTCAAGTTAAAAAACAAGGACAAATGAAGCTGAAACCACAGTGTCCTTTTTTCCCTGTTTTGTTATGCATCATATCAGGTCATTAGGGGTTTAGGCCTTTCCTTAAGGCATCCTTATCATCAACGCCTTTACTTACCTCAGTCAGCTTGATGCCCCTGCTGTTATGGATATTAATGATGTTGTGAACTTATTTAGTGTAAGTGTGGCTTAATGTGCATTATTACATTATCCATCAGTTGTACGTCACCCTTAGCAACTGGCATAAAGTTATCTCTAGTCCTCTGCTAACTTTATATCTATCTTTGTTGGGTCAGCTTTGCCGGTTTCTCTGCTTCATACTTTCTGAGCTATAACTCATGACAGTGTTATAAGAGTCACCACTTTATAACTGTGACCATAAGCACTGATTGCAGTAGAGCAATGACCCTTGGGTGGATGGGGTCTAAAAAAGGTCTTCGGCATCTTTTTTTTTTTTTTTTTTGGCTTAAAAAGCATTCTCTTGGTAATATGCTCTAGTGTAATGAGCACAGATCTATTCTGCGTGAAATTTCTGTATTTAGATAAATCTATGCATGGTTGCTAATTTTTTTTTTTTTTTGAGACAGAGTCTCGCTCTGTTGCCCAGGCTGGAGTGCAGTGGCATGATCATAGCTCACTGCAACCTCCACCTCCCAGGTTCAAGTGATTCTCCAGCCTCAGCCTCCCTAGTAGCTGGGACTACAGGCACACGTCACCATGCCCAGCTAATTTTTGTATTTTTAGTACAGACGGGGTTTCACCATGTTGGACAGAATGGTATCAATCTCTTGACCTCGTGATCTGCCAGAACTCGGCCTCCCAAAGTGCTGGGATTACAGGTGTGAGCCATGCCCAGCCAGATGCTAATTTTTTTATTTGGATGTCTTTCTCCCTTTTGGGTTTGAAAACTGACCTAGGGTAATGTATCTGAAAGAGAATGGAAGGCTATATTGCCTTTCCTGAATGAGCTTTAAAATATACACTAATAAAATAGCTTGCAGTCATAACTAACACACAGAAATTTTTGTAGTCTGATTAAATTGAGAAAATGTTACTCCTTTGATCTAAGGTTAAAATCTGTGTTTGATTGGTAAAGTTCACAGCAATGAGTATATTTTAGAGTTAGTCAGAAATCACTTTTTAAAAATTATTATTCATTTGCTTGTTTGACTAGATTTGAAGCAGAATGGGTAGCTAGGAATGAAGCCATTAAATCCGTATGAGAGCAAATCATCTCAATTTCACATTTCACTATTTAACCTCTCTGGGTCTCTTCCCTCATCTGTAAAATGAGAAGGTTAGACAGCTGATCTTTAAGGTCCTGCTTGGACCAATATACAAATGACTGTACTTTCTTCCTTTTCTCCTTCTCATAGATTTTCATTGAGTGAAATGTTCTATACTCTATCACATAATAGAAGTCTGGTTTTAAAATAAAACAATGTGAGTCACGAATAATAATCATAATAATTAAAATAGTAGTTATTATAAGATTGAAAATAATACATGCTTATAAAATTTTTATAATTAACTCAGCTTTGATAATGATTCCAATGACTAACTGTATCTATTTTCAGAACTGCACTTTTTTTTAAATCAAATGCTGTCAGCAGAATCATATTTTTTCTTAATGACACTGAACAATGATTGAATTAGATTCTTCTAATGGGCAGGATAAACTCTGGTTAAATGGAAGGATGCTCTGCTAAAAACCCCTAACATATTGTGTGGAATAGTTGATCCTCAGTGGCAATTAGACATCTTTGTACATTATCTATTAGCCCATTAGTATACTTTATAAGCACACAGCAGGAAGTTTTGTAATTAAATTGAGTAGTGTCTCACCCATTTTTGGTTTAACTATCCTGTTCACCAGTATGCCTCCAACATATATTTTGGTATACTAGGTCATACGAAAACTGTTCTTAAAGAATGTGTTCCCTGCCTCCCATCTTCTTGCTTTGACCCCTACAGTAAAGCCTGAAGATACATTTCAGTTGCTTTACGAATACTGTTTTGCATGTTTCTGCATAGATTTGCATGTTAAATTAAAGGAGTTTTAATTCCAAGGTTTGTGATGTAGAATTTAATTAATAAATTCAGGCAAATTATTCCAATTATATTAAACACCAGTACTCAAAGCTGACATTTGAGGCTCAATTTGAGTGTCTTCTTAGCTTTTGTCTCCTGTTATTTCAGCCCTAAGCTAAAATCCAAAAATAATGGGAGGAAAAAATTCTATGCCTTGATATAACACAGAATCATAAAACTCTTTATGCAGAGAATTCCAGGCATAATCATCCCAAGCCTTTTCAATGATCTGTATGGCCCTACGTGATCTACCCTTAAACTTTATCTTGTTTTTCTTTGCTATGGATTGAATTGTGTTCTCCTGAAATTTGTATGTTGAAGCCTTAATCCTAATGTGACTATATTTGAAAACAGGAATTTTTCAAAAGTAATTAAGGATAAATGAGGTCACAAGAGTGAGGTCCTAATCTGATAGGATTATTGGCCATATAAAAAGAATTAGAGAGAGAGAGAGATCTGTGCTTGATTATTAAGGTTCACAGCAAAGAGTGTATTTTAGACTCAGTCATATGATGCAGAAATCACTTTTTAAAAATTATTATTCATTTGCTTGTTATAATAGTAGTTATAATAATATACTATTTAATTATTATCATTATTACTAGTGACTCAAATTGTTCTATTTCAAACCCAGATTTCTATTATGTGATCGAGTACAGAACATTTCACCCAATGCAAATCTGTGAGATTCTTTCTCTCTCTCTTTCTCTCTGTCTGTACACACCCACCAGAGAGAGGCCATGTGGGTACACCATGAGAAGTCTGTCATCTACAGGAAAGGAAGAGAGCCCTCCCAGGAAACTGACTTTGCCAGACTTTGACCTGGAACGTCTATTCTCCAGAACTGTGAGAAAATACATTTCTATTGTTTAAGACAACCAGTCTATGACATTTTGTTATGACAATGGTGCAGATTAAGAATCTTATCTTCTACTATACCCGCTTGCTCACTCTAATCAGAAGCATTGGCCTCTTTCACATTCCTTAAGGATAGTATGTTTTAGGGGCTTTGCACTGTTTCTACTGCCTAGACTTCTTTTCCACCATGTATTCTACATGATCAATTTATTTGATCACCATCTTCAAATCTCTGATCATGTCACTTTCACAATGAGGTCTTATAAGAACACCCTGCTTATTACTATAACCTGCCACCTCTCCAGCCTGGGTCCTCCTGAACCCCTTTATACTGTCTCATGTTTAATATTTCTATTTCTTTTCTCTCTTTCTTTCTCCTCCCTCACTTTTTCCTTATTTTTAAAATTGACATATAATAATTGTACACATTTATGGGGTACAGTGTCATTTCAATATATGCATGCAAGGTGTAATGATCAATTTATGGTAATTAGCATATTCATGACCTCAAACATTTCATTTCTTTGTCTTGAGAACATTCAAAAACCTCTCTTCTAGATGTTTGTGAATAAAATAAATTAATATTAACTATGGTCACCCTACAGTGCTATAGAACACTAGAATTTATTCCTCCTGTCTAGCTGTAATAAGGTATCTCTTAACCATCATCTTTTCCTTATCCTCTCCCATCCCCTTCACAGCCTCTAGCAACCAATATCCTACTTTCCAATTCTGTGAGTGGAACTTCTTTAGCTCCCATACTACCCTTTTATTTCTATAGCAATCATCACCTTCTACCAGGCTATGTATTTATTCATGTCCGTTATTTATTATCTATTATTTTCTCTTTTGTTTACTGCTGTATTCCAGCTGTGTAGAATACTACCTGCATATAATATAGTAGGTGCCCAGTACACATTTGGTAATTAAATAAACAAGGTTTTGTTTTTGTTTTTGTTTTTGTTTTGATGAAGTCTTGCTCTATGTCCCAGGCTGGAGTGCAGTGGCACGATCTCAGCTCACTGTAACCTCCACCTTCCGGGTTCAAGCAATTCTCCTGCCTCAGCCTCCCGAGTAAGTGGGACTACAGGCGCCCGCCATAATGCCTGGCTAATTTTTGTATTTTTAGTAGAGATGGGGTTTCACCATGTTGGTCAGGCTGGTCTCAAACTCCTGACCTCAAATGATCCATCCGCCTTGGCCTCCCAAAGTGCTGCGATTACAGGCATGAGCCACTGTGCCAGACCAATAAACAAGTTTTTATAAATAAATATTTAAAGGTACTTCTTGGAAATGTTCTTCATATTTTTCATTGCACTTAGTCATAGCATTATGAATTTTTAACTTTTATTTATTCGTTCATACATACAGCAATATTTCTTTAGCACTATTAGGCACTGTGCTAGGAATTTGGAATAGGAGGTGAGACAAACAGGCATACTTCGTGTTCTCAAAATATTTAGAGCTATGAGAAGGATGATATTGTCCAATGCTTTTTAAAGACAAATTTTAGAAGAGGACTCTTTAATCAAATACATTTACATAAAATTTTAGATGAAACATAAATCAACACTGCTCAATTTGAAGACATGGAAGGAAGTAGAAACCTCACTATGATCAGAGCCTGGAAAATCATTAATAACTTCATTTTATAGCAGGAGTTTATGCAGGACATGGATGAGTTGAATGATTCTTGGTTTCTGTAAAGGCAAGTACAAACATACTTGGCTTCAGGGAAGCTGGGTTTTCTAACATGAGTTCTTCACTGTGATGTACTAAATTTGCACACTCAGACACTGACTTTTTGAACTATTTGAAGTTATCTAGAGACTCGGCGATTGTGGTTTTTATTTAATGCAATTTGTTGTTAAGATCTTTATATTGCAAATTTCATTTGTGGGAATCTGTCAACTAATGCTTGTGAACCTGCTATTTTCTGTAATAATCACAAATTAATTGCTTGAGAGTTTGTATTTTTAGGGTATTTGTGTTTTCTGTAATCTCCTGGATCCTGAATAAGGGGTTTGTACATCCACACATAACATTCTTACATTGTGGGAAAGTTACTGCTAGGTCTACAGAAGACAGGCAGCAATGACCCCAAACATCTTCCTGTGTCTGGTAGCAATGACTAAAATTACTCCATGACCTTTATAGCAATTTAATTCTAAAACTTATTAAGAATTTCTCAAAAGGTCTTTGCTGTCTTACCACATTTTACTATTAAAATTATAGCTTTCATGTGAGTTGAGAGATAACTTGTGTTCACATTTAATTTCTATCTATTTCTACCAAATTCTATAAAAAACAATTTATTCATTTTGATAATTTTATTGTTTAAAATTTTCTATTACGCAGTACTCTGTTATAAACTGATACAATAAAAATATGGAAAGAAAGCGTAAAAACAAGCTCAACAATCTCTGGTTTGGAAGAGATAATATTCATGGAGTCTGATATCACCTCTATCTACATCACCTCTGCCTATTAACTATCTAGTTCTGAGTACTGAGACAGTCCTGGTGTCCTCACCATTGCCAAAAACCCTTGTTTAATATTTAGGCTATCAAAATGGTCAGGAAGTTCTTCCATATATTACTCTAAAATTTACCTCACTGTAACTATCCAAAATTGATGAGTTGGAGAGCCTACTTCCTCTTCCACATATCAATCCTTTAAATATTTGAAGACCAATTTTCTTCACCCTTGAGCCTCTTCTCTAGGCAAAAAATTTCTCAGTTCTTTTGATTTTAAATTTTGTAAAACCCTACCCCCACCCCAGTTTTGGAATGTTCAGTATCCTAATCACGACCCTTTGAATTGGATGTGTTAGGGTTTGCTGGCCTCTCTTAAAATGTGATACCTAAAAGACTAGTTCTTTTCCTAATTTAGCTTTTTGCCTTCCTACTTCTGATTCATATTGGCCTTCTCTGAACTTTCCAACACCTGTTTTTCTTTCATATAATTTCCTCTATTTTATTGAGAAACTCCTTTTCTTCTCTGATGAGATAGTAACCTGTTTTAATTTAAGACATAGGTTTCCTGCCTAATCAACTTTCCAGTACCGGAGCTACTTCTCTTGGTATAACACCAAGCCAAGAAATGAAATATAGAACTTCTGATTCCCCTTGGCAGCTCCCTGTTTAGCTATTGGGTCAACAAGAGCTCACCATACAATGGCTAGATTTTGACAGCTCTCTTAAGTTCTACCTTCCCTGGACCCTTCACTGCCTTTCAAGAATCTAATAGGGATTTTTTTGGTACTTAATAATTGTGCATATTTATGGGGCTTTGTGATATTTTGCTACATGCATAGAATGCATAATGATTAAATCAGGGTAATTAGCTTATTCATAACCTCAAGCATTGATCATTTCTTTGTGTTGGAAACATTTCAGATCTTCTCTTCCAGCTATTTTGAAATATACACTAAATTATTGTTAAGTAGAGTCTTCCTACTGTGCTATTGAACATGAACTTATTCTTTCTATCTAACTGTATTTTCGTACCCATTAGCCAACTTCTCCTCATCCTTCCCCTACAATAGTTTTCTTCTTCCAAAGAGTTTAGGTAATTAAATGGCAATTGCCAGCAAATTATCAGTTTCATCCAGTTATTTAAAAAGTCTGTTCTCTCTAGGATGTCTGCCTTTTCACATACTGTTGGCTTTTCTGGAATGCATTTTTTGGGGGACTGTTCTCTTGGCCAACACCTTCTCCTGCAGATTTCAGTGTTCAAGTCTGTTGTCACATTGAACCCTCTTAAACTACAGGCCAATTTAACTATCTTTTTTTCTGTGCATAGATGTGTCATGGAACAATGTGAGAATTCTGTATTGTTATTTCTGGCATGGTTGTCTATAACTCGTACTAGATATTTAGCTTTTGGAAATGCTAAAACTTGTCTATTCAATTTAAAATAATCTGTACAATGGCAGACTACAGGCATTCAATGACTATCTGTTAAATTTATGTAGGAATAAAGTAATGAATAAATGACATCTTGTTTATTCTTTATGTGAAATATATCATATATATGACAGTATATGAAACATGCATACTACAGTATGAAGAATAATAGAAAAATGAATTTACATTTAGCCACCACATAGCTAAAGACACAGAATGTAACTAGTAACGTAGAACCCTTCAATCTAATCCCTCTCTTCCCAGCAAGTTTATTGTTTTTTTCTAAATATTATTTTAATCATCTTCTTGTGTGTGTGTTTTAAGTTTTAATACACATATATTAAACACTAAATAATATAGACTGTAGTTATGTCTGGATTGAAATGTATATAGAGTGATTATATTTGTATTCTTTTATTTTGGTTCAAAATTTTATCTTTAGATTTATCTATACTGATATTGTAACTGAAGTTTAATTTTATACTGGTATATAATATTCCATTTTATGATATTCCAAATATGTATATATCTATTTTACTCATAATGGACATTTTTATTATTTATAGATTTTTATTGTAATAAACGATGTTAGTATGAACTTAAAAAATCCCCATGCAAGACTTTCTCTAGGACACATAACAGTGTATTTGCTGACAAGAGAATATATAAATGTCCTACTTTAGTAGTTGATGCCAAACTGTTTCCAAATACTTATAGCAGTTATACACATCCCAAGAATAGATGAGAATTCCTGTTAAAACATATTCTAGCCAATATCAGCATTGTTCACCTTTTAATTTTTTCCTCAATCTTGTATGTGTAAAAAATATATAGATACAGTTTTAATTTAAATTTCCCTGATTACTAACCAGGTGGAACATTTTTTTCCATGTGATTAAAAAACTACAGTGTTTCTTCTTCCGTGAAATGCCTGTTCATTCTTTTGCCCAATTTTTTATTGGGTTGTTTGTCTTTTACTTAATGACTGGTGTTTTTTCATTCTCTGTACTCTATTTGTTTAATAAATACATTTCCTTAGCTTGTCTTTTAACATTTTTATAGTTTGCCATTAAGATTTAAGTCTTTAGTCCACCTAGAATTGATTTTTGTGTATATATGAGTTATGGATCTAATTTCATTTTTATGGGTAACCAATTATCTCAGGATAATTTATTAAAAATAAATTTTAAAATATTCTTTCTACTCTGATCGAAATGTCTGTATTGTCATAAATCAAACTTCCATATATGCATAGCTTTGTTCTGAGCTCTGTATTCTGTTCCACTTGAATATTTGCTTAGCACAGTATCAATACACTGTCTTAATAGCTTAGATTTATACAGAACCTTGATACCTATATTTCTTCTATCTTCATTCTATCAACCTTGTTCAGAACCTGTCTCAGAAATATCTAAATTATTCTTGGTGGTTTTCTTTTCCATGCAAATTTTAGATTTAGCCTGTCAAATTCTGTAGAAAATTTATGTTGTTGTTTTGAGGAAAATTTAAAAACGTTCATCTTTTTATGATACTAAGTCTTCCAATCCATAAACATTGGGTAAATTCCAATATAAACATATTCTTGAATTGTATTTTAATGCTTTCTTATATCAAAAAGTTGAAATTTGTTGGATTTATTCTTAGGCACTTTTACTGGTTGATGTTATTAAAACTGAATATTTCATATTGATAATTATAATATATTGTTGCTGTTGGATAAAATTTAATACATTTATATATTAACAGTCTATTGAGCAACCTTTTTACATTCCTATTAACTCTTTTTTTTTTTTTTTTTTGAAACAGGGTCTCACTCTGTTGCTAGGCTGGAGTGCGGTAGCACGATCTTGGCTCACTGCAACCTCCGCCTCCCAGGTTCCAGCAATTCTCCTCCCTCAGCCTCCCAAGCAGCTGAGACTACAGGCACCATGCCTGGCTAATTTTTGTATTTTTAGTAGAGACAGGGTTTCACCATGTTGGCCAGAATTGTCTCAATCTCTTGACCTCATGATCTGCCCGCCTTGGCCTCCCAAAGTGCTCGAAATACAGGGTGATTCTAATAATACATAGTTTCTTCTAGAATTTCTCTGTTAACTATTATATTATCTATGAATGCTTTAGTTCTTTATAATATGTATACATATTTTTTATTTTTTAATATCTTACTATTAATATCTTAACATCAATATATTATTGTTTTTTGATGTCTAAAAATCCTCAGCTGATTTTCAAATTTACTTAGTCATTCTGCAGTCTTATTGCTTGCTCCTGTTTTCAAGCTTGGCTTTATTTTATTTCTTATTCACTTATACACTAAGTCTGTATTTCTTCTTGGCTTTATTTTATTTCTTATTCACTTATACACTAAGTCTGTATTTCTTCGCCAATCCCACCTTTATCATGGGATTTCCTATCAGATGCTTCACCCTACATTTTACTTCCTGTTCGTCCCTGCATTCCATGTAAGAATCAACACAGAATTTTGCAGAAACCAGAGCCAAACAAGTGGCCTCCCAAATGGCCTGTTCTTATATTGCTTTTGTCTTATTTGAATGTTTCTTTGCGTGCCAGATATGTAACGAAGTATATGTATGTGTGTATATATACGTATATATACACAGATACTTATTATATATGTAGATATAGACATAGAAAATATCCAGATGTATTATATATACTATCTCCCTCTTTGTCTATGCATATGAATACATATACACATATGTATGTTATATGTAATTAATATATATTGTTTATTATATATAGATGAATAGATTATATATACACAGATATACATACTTGTATATAATTTTAATCTGCAATTATGATTATTTTAGTCAGAAGCATTCAGAATATCTGCCACACTATCACATACAGCAGTCTAACTTACATTTATGAAACGAACATGTTCATATATTATAATCTAAAAGGTTAATAGTTACCAGCTAGATAACATTGACTAGTAGGCCATGAAATAAGAAGAAAGTTAGTTTAACTGCCATTAGCACTGTCTATCATTTTAAAGCCAGACAGGACAAACTCTGAAATTTGACCTTCTCAAATATTTCTTTTCATAATACTTCATAAGAACAATGATTTGCATTTGCATACCAATCTCATTTGCATTTGCTACTTTGATACCCTTGCCTATTCTTTGTGGCAATTAAGTTAGCCCTATTTCTGTTTTAAAGATAAGACTTAGAGTCACTAAGTGACTTGCCCAAGGCCAGAGAGCAGAAGGTAGACCTCGGCCTGCATTCTTAGTACTTTAAATGAAGTGTCCTTTTCTCCAGCAGTGCCTTGTCTCAGAACAGAAGAGATTTCAACTTCTCTGCCTACAGCTATATTTTCCTTTTTTTGTTATAAACAATTAGTTGCTATATATAGTAACCTTTCCACCAAATTACAAGAAAATATAACTGTACTATAAGTTTTAATTGGAAAGTGAGCTTGTAAAGTGTAAAATGTTTTCAGCCAGCCCAGCACCTAATGCAAGTGCTTTAATTTCCAACCCATCAACTCCTTTAACTGCATATACAATATTGAGCTACCTTTTATTTTCTCACCACAGATCTGTACCCTGTGCAGCTTCAAAGAGGGCAGTTTGATCACCAGTCTATTAGATACATATGCACATCAAAAATAGACAAGAATTTCAGAAAAGAAAAAAAACACCTTCTTATAGTCCAAGGGCAAAGGTCATTCCACTCAGAGACAATATACTGTGCATATGTTATTTATATGTCACCATTTTAACTGTTCTTCAATGAAAAACATCTTGTCACCATAGCAACTGCCACATTGTGTGCTGTGTTCAAGACTACTACATCATTGTACTAGACGCACAGAAAGATACTCACATCCTTAAGTCATTTCAAAGTCCCTCACTTTAAGAAAGTTTAAAGAAAAAAAAATATGTGTTAGTTATCCCCCTTTTATTGTTTTGCTTTAGAAACACTTGGCTCTACATGCCTATATCTTTTCTTAAATTTTAACCAGTAAAGGGAACGTTGACAATTTATGTTTCACTATGCATTAGAGAAACAGACAACTAAGCAATTTAATAGGAAAAGAATTATGATCTGACGGTTATGGCTGTATTGCATCTATTTGTTTTTACATTGAGAAGTTCATATCCTGTCACAATAGTGACATCTCATTGAGCCATAATGTGCTGTTGAAAAAATATGTGTTTTCATTCTTCAATACAGAATTTAGACATGCACATCTATCTTCTGTCTAATCCTCATTTTGCAACAATTATCATCAAATCCCAATGATAAGATATATCTTTATCTGTAAAAACTATAGTGGAAGTGCATTGCCTATAAAATTCTATTTTGGTCAAGTGAGCCATATTTGCAGCTGTTAATAAGAAATTCTATTAATAATAAGAACCAATAAGTGTGGTACATGCCAAACACTGTGCTAGTACTTTATTCATTATCTATTTTAATCTTTAATTTAATGATGTTGATACTATTATTATGCCATGTTATAGATGGTAAAACTGATGTTCCCATAATTAAATAATTTCCCCAAGGTTTGATATGTAGCAAATGGCAGATCTGAGTTTCCTACTCATATCACTCTGGCATGGAAACACAGCTCTTTACTTTTGTGCTGTATTGAGTTCCTTGCTAGATAGACTGGTAAACCTTTTTGGGAAAAAAAAAACCTTTTTGTTTATCTAACACTTTACTAACAATTTCTTGTTTTAAATGTTCTGATTTTTAAGAGAAAAATCATGTGAAATCTCAGCAATGAAATGGCAAAATTAAGTGCTTATAATAAACTCATGCTCCAATCAGTTAAAATGTCCCTGATTCTAGTCCAGATATTCTCTTGCCATCCTAACAGTGTTTTCTTTAATTCTCTTCATTACTAATTTAAAAACCAAAGTAATCACAATAATAAGCTCATGCTAAATCTTAGTATTAATTATTAGGAAGTCTTGGACATAAAAATATTTTTGCTATTACTAAAACAATAACATTTCTGAGAAAAGGTAGAAATGAGTTCAGCCAACAAGTCAATGTAATAGGACTCAAGGATCCCCCTTTACTACTTCAGCAGAGCTCAAGGGACCTCAAATCTGACATGACATTTTGGTTTAGAACATACGGTAAAACTGGACTCAGAATCTCTAACAATGGAACATCTGCTTGCCTATGCTGTCTTCTACAAATTGCAATTGTAAACGCTACTAATTCACTTGATTACAAATATAGATATAAGGAAATCAGAAAATGAGAAAGGCGAGATTCACTAGATCAAACCCACATGGTGTAAGCACATTGTGAACACAGAAAGACAGTTAAAACTTTGGAGCTGAAAATGATGAGCAGTACAAAGATAACATTCCATGTGTTTAAAGTCTTTTTGTTCAATACCTGTGTGACCCTAACAATCCATTAATTACATTATTTTGATTTAAAATTTAAAACCTTAGTTGAAACCCAAATGGTTGTCCAGTTTAAGTTAAAAATGACAGAAATTACATAAACAATAATAAAAGTAATTTTAAATAATTACTATTTTTTGAGTTCTTACTTCATTTGGAATATTGTACTGTACTCATAACATAAACTATTCTCCGTGATAATCTTATCTTGCCTTGTAAGGTAGGCTGATAGGGGTAAGTAGATTTGCTCACAGTCACACAACAAGTAAGATTTCCAGCTGCAATGGAAATCAAGTACCAGGATTCCAATATCCCTTTCCTTTTTGGTAAAGACAAATTCTGGCCTAAGATTGATTACTTCTTCCATTCTTTCTTTTTAAATGTCCTGCTTTGGGGAAAAAAAAAAAAGCAAAAATGTTAATTCATGAATATCTAAGAAATTTTCAAATACTTTAAAAAATCAGTTATATAATTCTTAACCTACCAAGAATAACTGAACCTATTTATTTCCAAAGTGTTGATCTTGCAGGGCCCATTAAATGACCCACAGATTTTACACATATAGATAACTAAAGTAATTATTCTAATAGTTCAATTGAAATGAGATGAATTTTTGTAGCATTCATTTTTTTCCAGAAGAATATATTCCTATGTGAATTATTTAAATTAATGCTTCTATATTGCTTTGCAAGTACAGACAACAAAAATTTCATTTTGAAAAATACCTATCAGTCTTAATAAAGAGTGGGTTAGCTTACATATTTAAAATACAATGTCTTTAAGTGAACTATGTTTGCAGAATAGGGGAAAATACATATTCAGAACTAGCCTCATCTCTTTGAGCACCTGGGCATGATAATGTGGCAAGGCCGTTGTCCTTACAACCACATTAGTTTACCTTTGGAAGGTGCTCTTAGGGACTAGTAGATAGAGGTATGCACACATGTACACTATGCTTGTATTTATATTTTTCTGAGAAAACAATTGAAATAATAGGTGTACTGCTAAATTGGCATATGGATTAAACATTTATTTTATTAAATTTTAGCAAATATGTTAAAAAGTTTCCAATACAATGTGCTCAATGCCATAAAGGCATACATACTTTAGTTAACCCAAAAACTTTGTATATATTTACCCTTTGGTATGATACTGCACTAAACATTTGAATAAATATTTAGAATTTATGGTCAGGTAAATAGAGGATAATGTTAAATATATGTATGTACAGTTTGTGAGAGTTTAGTAATGTAATTGTGTACCATTTTGGAGGTTAATGCATGTTAACTTTTCCAAAGACTATAATTAAGCAAAAGTTTCCTTCCATTCACTGTTAAAACCTGTTAGTTGTTCCAAGAAGTCATTGATTGCCTGTTATTGAGGCAAGCATAAAAGGCTAGACAGATGGCTTAATGTCACAAAGTTGTTGGCTCATATAACTAAATTTTTATTACTAAGTTTCAGATGAAAAGAGAAAGAGCTGTGAATAATAAATATAAAGCAAAATCATGTATATTAGATCAAGCTATTCTCCAATATTAAAAATATGGCACCAAAAGTTTTAAGTAAAAGTTTTACAAGGGTAGGGGAATGAGATCTGAATATGCCTAAACAAATTGAATCCCAGTGTATAAAAGAGAGTGAGAAAGTAGTGTTCGTTATCCATGACCTTGAGAAATCTGCTGACCTTCTTAACCCACTGCCCACATTAAATAACATACAGGATTTTTTTTTTCTTTTATTTGAGACAGAGTCTCACTCTGTTGCCCAGGCTGGGGTGCAATGGAGTGATCTCGGCTCACTGCAACCTCTGCCTCCTGAGTCCAAGCAATTCTCCTGCCTCAGCCTCTCGAGTAGCTGGGATTATAGGAGTGTGCCACCATGCCCAGCTAATTTTTTGTACTTTTAGTAGAAATGGGGTTTTATCATGTTGGCCAGGCTGGTCCTGAACTCCTGACCTCAAGTGATCCACCCACCTTGGCCTCCCAAAATGCTGGGATTACAGGTGTGAGCAACCGCACCCAGCCATGATTATTTTGAGTAGTGAATTATTATGAAAAGTGCTTTTCAAGTTTGTTAGAAAACAATAGAAAATAATCACAATGAAATAAACTCGTTTTTAAGCTTAAGATATATTTTATATGAATTTATTGGTATTTTAAAATGGAATAATTACTGAAATTACAGCAAATTAAAATTGTTTTAAATTCTCTATATATTTATTTCCAAAATGTTAATAAAACCTGCTATAAAGACGTATTTGTATCACTGCTATTATTTCCCTAGTAACAAGCTTTGCAAAGCACTTTTTATAGTAATCCAATGTTCAAAATATTTCCATATATCCTTTAACATTGCTAATTGATAAGGAAGGTCAACAAATTCTTCAAGGTCATGCACAGCAGAACAGAAAAAAAGCATTCTTTCCTCTTCACATGCCCCTCTTTGTTTCCCTGTCCCTTTCCCGTCCCATCTCCTGTGCTACACAGGTATTGTAGTGTTTGAGGTAGAAGGATGAATAGCTTGGCTTGACTATGTTACACAGAATCTTCTTTTCTCTAAATTAATTCACATTTTCCTAACCATTATCCGTGAATTATCCTTGCATATGCATAGAGAAGAATAAAATTAAAAGTAACGGCCAAGAAAAGAATGCCAGTATATGCATTTGCTTTTAGAAATTCTTAATTCTCTACCTCTGTTTTCCACAAGGAAACTGATTTAGTAAACATAGTATGTTTTTTCTTTGATTTTGCATTACTTTGCAGTTTAAGACACTTTGATGTGTCTCCTGAAATTTTCCAATAATGTTAAACTTCTTATCCTAGGTTTAATATGTTCTAACATAATTTTCACAGGATCTGAGGGTGAATGTTTCTTTTTCTTTCTCTCTGCCTCTATTTTTAAGACCATCCTGCTTAGTTCTCATTGGAAAATATTTGACATCATCTTTTTTTTTCTTTTTTTTTGGTAAACACAGAACTTAATACAATCCTCAACCCTTGACCTTTTACCCTTGACTTCCTCCCAAATTATCTTCCAGTTAAACATGTGAGTCAGACACAAGAAAGGGAAGCAGAATGAATGCATGGAAGAAAATAGTTTTCCTGGTAAGGAACAGGCATGTGAAAGCTTTCAGAACTTCCTTCCCAAACTTTATGCCTTTTTTTTTTTTTTTTGATGATGGGATGGCATGGGTAGTGGAAACAGATGCTATCAGCTCTTTTGGCTCAGAATAAAGTGAGCAAAGGCTAAGGGAGTCATGCTGTTTTGCAAACTGACATACACACTTATCTTTCCAAAATATTTCTAGGTGAAAAAGCAAATTGACAGGCTTGATAGTTCTGTAGATGCTACCATTTCTTCAGTTAGGGGAGCATAGAAAATGGAGAATAGAAAACCAACTAGATTATCAGTTTACAGTTTGCAGAGCCAGGTATCTCTACCATGTGCTGCAGCTGCTTATTAAATTACATTTCTGTGAATTTAAAATCTGTATGCAAAACACTTGCATTTCCAAAGGGCCTTTGGATGCTACTGCTGCCTCTGGTGGTATGAGTTTTCTGAAAAACCAGCACAAGAGGGAGGAAAATCCAAGTTCCCTTTTTCATTTTGTTCTTGATTATTTCTGTGTCCTTGAATGAATCATTGATAACTTCTTAGGCTTGCTTTCTCCATTCACAGGACTAGTAGATTATTGCACTATGACTCATGCTGCTTATCTCATAGAAGTGTGAGCTAAATGTTTGTGTATTATTTTACAACGGAGAATACTTAATTAATTAAGTTTCCTCTGTGGCTGATAAGACTTCCCGTTAAATATATAATAGACATGATTGGCTGATAGCTGTCATCTGTTTTATCAGTAACCTTGTAATAATAACAATTACAAGTTATTTGGTTTTCAAGGAGATGTTTCCAAACAAGACTAGCACAGACCCTAAGACAACAGGGTGTGATCCGCTGGAAGATGATGAGAAAATGAGAGACAATGTCCCTCAGGATACAAGCTCTGATACACTCCTTTCCATGCCCTTGGTTCACCAAGCCACATATGTCAGAATCAGAGCTGAGGGCCTTGTTTTCTTTATGAACTCTTACTTCTGCTTTTAGGGTCTATCTACTGCAATGCTCCTAGCGTTAACAAGCCCTGGACTTCTGGTGGTTTCACATACCACCCAAGGGAGAGGCTGCCTGGCTGGCTCTTGGCAAACTACTCTAAACAGGCCCTCAAAGTAAAGTGCTAAGATCTGCTAATTTGCCCTGAAACTCCTTTGACCTTCCAGGATATGTGTATAAAAACTAAATAGTACTTACAATAAATGCTACATTGTGAAGACAGGAGGTCGTGGCAACTGAGGGTGGGTGTCCAGGGAAGTCTTCACGAAAGTAAATAGAACTAAACTTGGGGTCTGAAGAAACAGTGGGATTTAAACCAGGGGCAACTGGCTGGCTCCTCCTGGGACCAAATAAGCTAAAAAGGCATGTGCTGTTGGTAAGGATTTTTGCTGTTGTTGTTGTTGTTGTTGTCATTTTACTTGATTTTATTTTGAGCTGTGAGCATAAATGCTCAAAAAATCTGACTCTGTTTCTCCAATGTCCTGACACCTTACTGGCTTACAAGCTGCAATTTCACACTTTTGAGCTTGCTACTCCTGGCTTAGATAAATGGAGAGCAAGCAGCAGGGAGAGACACATCTGGAGCAAAGTCAGGGTGGCAGGAATGTCTGTGTTTCATTTGAGGAAAAAATTGGAGAAGAGCAGTAATGTTGGAAAGGAATTTTCAGTAAGTGGAGTTTAGGAAGCGTATTTGAAAAAGAGCTTCTTAGAATGTTTACTCAGCTAAAAGATGTTGTCTACCTCAATGAAAATATAATCATATTTAATTTCCTGCTACAGTTTCAAGTTGGAAAAAATGTAAGGTAAGGTGCATGGGATTTGAATATGAAAACACAATCCCGTCATCCTTGCCCAGCTCTTGCGTTGCTCCACAAGACACTATTCATGCGCTATTCCAAACAAAGACTTTGTTATCTGGAATGCAATACTTAGGGTGACTGGGGAGTTGTACAACAAGACAGACTGATCTGTGCTTTCAATTTTTTTAACTTTTTTTTTTTCTTAAAATGCCTGTAGCAATGTTATATTCTTCTTGAATGGGAAGCAAGAAATAACCTGAATATTGCTAAATTAAACAGATCATCAACACGTAGGACAAAAAGACCTTTGTAATCAGGCAAGGTCATCATAGTCACAAAGACATTCTTAGCGGTATATAGTTTTAAAATCATTTCATTGTGCTTCTCCAAGATACAATTGTGTATAATAGGGTATCACATTAAGCGAATTTAGATGGAAGTTTTCCACCGTAACTTTCCATTTTCAGACTGAAAAAAATTAAATTTATAGACGAAGCTCAATTTGGATTAAAATTAGTCTCAAAGAAATTATTTAAGTTCACTTTTCTTATAATTTGTATTTAAAAATTTATTGTATTTTACGATTATTATTCATGAGTAAGCTTAAGCAACTCACTAATAAAACTAATGGTATGCCACAAGATGCAATTAAAATTGCTCAGGTAAAATAAGATGACTATTAGAGGCTCCTTTAGAAGAATAGCAAGTGCCCAATAGTGAGAGTGGTTGTTGAGTACATGAAAAATTTAATTTGTCTAATTAGTGACCTGGGTTTGATAGGCAATTACTTTGGTTATGAGAGTCCTGTGGTTTCTATACTGTCCTTTTTAAAAGGAAAATAATGTGATATAAGGACTATTAAGAGAAAGTTCACTTAGAAAGCAAAGAAGAAAATATATAAGGATATCATTTTTCCTTTAATAGTGTGCCCTAGCTGAGACGTCTTTTTCCACCTGTATGCTGGAGGCAGTAGCCCTTCCAGCCAACCTTTCACCTCTCACATTTTCTATTCAAAGACTGTCAAGGCAGATGAAGTAAGTGCCATCATTATTGAATCACAAACCTTAGCACCTTATTCAAAATATTCAAGTGTTAATCAAAGTTCCAAGATTTGAAGAAAAAAAAAAAAGGCCAAGTTGTAAGAGTCAGAGAGATGCACCTCTACATGGAAACTCTCATTTTTCTCAGGTTGCTGAGAGTATGTTGAGGGAAGTTTTATGAAGCAAGTTACTCAATCGTGAAAATCAACAAGAACAGCAGTAGCAACAACAATGGCACAACAACATCAAAACTCATGGAATTTCCCATAAAGTTTGCATGCGTCTATCACAGCTTCTTGGACTACTCTTTCAAAGAGGCTGAAGCTCAGCACTGCAGGTACTTCTGGTCAGGTTAGCCTTCTTTTTCAGTGAATTAGTTGAATAGTGGCAAAATAACTGGAGTTTTAAAAATCTGCTTAAATGCCCACTAATTAGGGTAATGCTTGTGGATATCCAGGCATGGGGGAGAACCCAACAGGTCTGAAAGAAGGAAAATATTATTCTACACTGACCGGAAGCTCATCATATGTTTGGAAAACAACAGGATTGTTTCCCTGAGGCAATCTATGGAATCAACAGAAAGCAAGTGTCTTGCAGCACCTTAAGAATACAGAAAAGTGTTGAACATTTGGTTCTTTACATAGTATTCGTAAGCAGGAAATTCTGATAGAGAATTCATCTGTTTACCGTCACTATCTAGAAGGTTTTGTCAGTTATTACCAGTGTGCAAGAACATGTGAAAATTCTTTGGGTGGTGATCATGGAGAATTCTGGTGGATTCTTAATGAGAAACACTTGTAAATAGTGATGTCCATGTTTTAGAAAAATAATTTATCATAATGGAACACGTATACTACAACTGAAATGTATACAGCATCATAGCGACTCCATCTAATATGAAATGGGTGGCCTTCTTAAACGCCACCATACAATATAAGAAAAAAAGATTTTTTTTCTTTTGGAGCACTTACGCTCACAACTCGCCATTTGCATTTACAAACTGGCCTCTTTCAGGCAGTCATAGATCTGGTTAGAGACTTCTGCCTTTGCACTTACCCAGCATATAGAAACAGGAATAAAACCTTTTGAATTCTACTTGGCTTCCCCCATACAGTTTCGCATATTTGGCCACACATTTGTGAAACACAAGAATTGTTCCAAAGAAGAAAAGCTTTTTTTTTTTTCTTTATGTGCAGAATTTGTTCCAACTTGTCTCTACACATCTGTATGTATTGTAGATGAATGCAGCTTCTTTCATGAAATCCCATAAGGTGTTTCTGCAATGAGCAACACTCATTTAACAAGTGCACTCTGCCATGCAGGCGGGACCTGCCAGGAGCAACAGCATGCCAGGAACGGAATTGTTGTTTAATGAATATTTATTGATTATGAATATTCATTAAATTAACATCTTTATGGCCGGCCCCAGGCTTTGTAACTTATGTGGCAGTAAAGTGGTTAAGTAAAGTTTTCAAGCCAGCCTTGAAGACCTTTGAGGTTCAGATAACTATAAAAATTACCAAGACTGTTTTCTTCTGGAACAGAAATCAGCTCTGAAATATTGTGATGTGGTTACATCTGGCATCAAAGCCTTTGGTTTTTGGATCATGGTAAGAAGTGACCTGACCCTTTATCTCAGATTTTTTAGTACAATTTCCACAGCGGAGTGCTTTAGTCATTAGCTCTCTGTGTTTTTCATTTTCTCCTTCCTCGTGCTTACTCTATGAATCCTAAATATCATCATGTTTGGCGTGGATTACTGAACCAGCTTACTTCTCTAGGTCTCTTTGAAGGTAAGCTTGCCATCCTTTAACCTATTTAGGAGTGCATAATCTTCCTGAAACACATTTTTGATCATGTAATTCCCCTGCTTAAAATCCATCAAAGATTTTCCATTGCCTTTAGGATCAAATCCAAGGTCCTCACATGGAATCTGCATCTTGCTATCTGTCTATTTATTTCTCACTCCTTCCTGCTCTGATTTTAGGTGCCAGCCATCGTGAAAAATTCCTCATGCTAACTCTTGCCTACAGGCCTTGGAACATGTCTTACTTTGGCCTAGGAACCTGCTCCCCTTACCCTAACTCTTTAATCTGGCTTGACTTCTACTCATCTTCTCAATATTGCCTTATGCCTCATTTCCCTTGGAATCCCTTTCTGGATCTCCGGTATAGATGCCCCTTCTTTGTACTCTTATATTTCCAGATTTAGTCCTATTTTAGGACATACTGCTCTGCACTGAAATTCTCTCTTTAGTCTTCATAGCTCCTGTCTCCTTGAACTGTAGCTTGTCCATCAATGATACGCCAATATCCAGATCAGCGTCCAAACACATGACAGTTGCTTAATACATGACTACATTTTCTAAGAGAATTAATCAACATGCTTGATTCTGCCCACAGCCTTCTTCGAGGGGCTTGTCCGACCCAAGATTATGCCAGGCAGTTCAGTTTGACTGTGGGGAGTATTGGTAAGAAGTAATGACCATGGATTTTTGCATTCGAATAATTGGGAAAATAATTAGGGGATTTTGGAGGTTTCATCATACCCCTTGTAAAGCAGACTCAAACCAAAATTCAATTATCAATTGACTTGTACAACTTGCTGTGTCAAATATGAACCTGTGTTCCTGTTCAAACAGGAACTCAGTTATTCTATAGCATATAGGACTTTGATTATCAGTAACAAAAAAAATCTAAAGTTAGTTAAAGCAAAAGAGGTGTTTATTTTTAAAATATAGAGGTAGCTTACAGAATGTACTGGAAGCAGTATGGTGGGTCTCAGTTGGGAAGGATTTTGGAGCTATAAATTAAAATTGGAGCCATAAACTAAGAAGGATTCTGTGAATCTCATATTTGTCTGTCTTTGTATTTCTGTTGCAGACTTCTCCCTTTCCAGGCTTCTCCTCTGCTTCTCAGACCGCATGGCAGATACCTAAGTTTATATAATCCCATTCAACACACTAGCCTAGAAGAAACTAGAATGCCTTCTGTTCAATTTTTTTTTTTTTTTTTTTGAGACGGAGTCTCACTCTCTCACCAGGCTGGAGTGAAGTGGCATAATCTTGGCTCACTGAAACCTCATCCTCCCAGGTTCAAGCAATTCTCCTGCCTCAGCCTCCCAAATAGCTGGGACTACAGGCATGTGCCACCATGCCCAACTAATTTTTGTATTTTTTGTAGAGATGGGGTTTCACCATGTTGGCCAGGATGGTTTCTATCTTTTGACCTCGTGATCCACCTGCCTTGGCCTCCCAAAGTGCTGGGATTACAGGCGTGAGCCACCACGCCTGGCCCCTTCTGTTCAATTTCTAGGGAAGAAACCATTACTCTAAGTTGGAGACAAGTACAAAATTATTGGAGTCTTACCTCATAAGGTGAAGTTAGTTTGTTTTACTTTGGGAGTTTGTTGTGAGCTGAAAAATCAACCCAAAAGATGTAATTCCTAAAGTACTGTTCTCTATATAAACCACCTAAGCCTTTTCCTCCAAGGCTGGTATTGTGAATTCAGATATTTTTTGTTTGTTTTAAGTCGCAGAATTCTCTATCTTAATTCTAACAATGCTTTATCTGTCATGATACAACTATAGAAAATATCATTAGTTTTTCTTATTAGTGCCATACCAATATTAGTGAGGTATATTAGTCAGGGTTCTCCAGACTTCAGAGCCAATAGGATATCTATCTGTATCTACATTTGTCTATAAAGATATTTTTCTAAGGTATTGACCTACAGAACTGTGGAGGCCGAGAAGTTTCATGATCTCCTGTCTATAAGCTGGAGACCCAGGAAAGTCAGTATTGCCTGAGATGCAGAAAGCTGATGATGTAGATTCCAGTCTGTGTCTGATGCCCTGAGAACCAGCAGCAATGGAGGGCAGATCAGTCTCCTAGCTCAACCACTCAGGCAGAGATAATTCAACTTTCCTTCACCTTCAGGCCCTCAATGGATTGGGTGATGTCCACCCACATTGGGGAGGGCTATCTGTTTTACTCATTTACAAGTTCAAACGTGAATATCTTTCAGAAACACCTTCACAGACATACTCAGAAATAATTAAAAAAACAATTATCTGGGCATCTCATGGCCCAGTCAAGTTGATACATAAAAATAACCATCACATGAGGCTATCTCAGATCTAATGTTAAGGCCTAAGCAATGCCTATCCCTGTCTCTCACTAGAATTATGGACATGTCCGTTGGTATCTTCTGTAATGATCAGAAGCCGTGTAAAATTGTTTCTGTTCGATATAACTTGTCTCTTGATATCATCACGACTCAAGTGTGTTTAGTCCTATTTGACTGGTTCTCTGGTTGTAATTGCCTCTTTTTCTGTGGTTGATTTCTCAGACATTTTGTTTCCTCCTTTTATCTTGTGGGTTTGAATTTGGGAAATATTTCTAATCATAGAGGCAAACAAATGACTCTCAACCTATTAGCTGCCACACTTCAAACCTTTGCTCTCTGTGTCATGATTCCTGTATCACAACTTCAACTGTAGCTGCAGCAAATTTGTAACTGAAATTTTGGAAGAAAAAACAAAAGCAAAAAAAGATACCTTTTCAATACAAAAAAAAATACTATCTTCAGTCTATGTTTCTTTCCTGTGATTGAGATTTGAGTTCCACCAAGAGTCCCTGTGATCACTGTCCCTGCACAGGGTTCATCTATCACCTTGAGGGGCTGTATATGAGCTGCAGTGAACTTCCTGTTAGTCTGCCTGGAGCCTAATGCTTCACTGTGTAAACCATCTTCCATCCTCCTTCATTAATTCTTTAGTTTTCCATTTTCCTGCGTGGGGCAAAATAATGCTTTTGTGTACAGACTTTCTGCTTTAGCTTCAGTAGAATCAAACCATTGCACTGTTACTGAACCAAAGACAGCAAAAGTAAGAACTGCCTTACTAACTACATCAGAGACATCAATCCTTTATGTTCATGTCAGAATACTTCTGCCTCAGGCTCCCTTGGGCAAGTCTGACCCCATTTGCAGTTGTTTCTGGTTCCCCTGTGGAGATGGGCCTCACTGTTTAATGTTTAACAAATGTTCTACAACACAGGGGTCCAGCTGCAACATTTTCTCTAATCAGAGTGATGTCATAGCTTTGCTCCCAAAGCTGCATTCCCTATGGAGGATGGTCTGCTTGTGCTTGCTCTGCTTCTGCTAAGACCAGGCATCCTCGTGGATCAGGGTCTAGAGTGCCTGAGGCTATAGGGCTTCTAGTACTTGAAGGGCTTTTTTGGAGAAAAAGGAAATAGACAGAGTTTAGTAGGTCTAAAGGGTAGAACTGGGACCAATGAGTAAATGTTATAAGAAGGTAGGATTAAATTCAACCTAAGAAAACATTGAATAATGAATTAGATGTGTCTAACAATACAGTGGCCCTTGTGGGTTCCTTGTCACTGTGATTGATCAAAAAGAAGACAGATAAACAATAGTTAGAGAGAAGAGGAGGGGATTATTTCATTGGTGACCATATTGGGCTAGATCACTTCTAAGGGTCCTTGAAGTTTTAGGATTTTAATAATTTCATCTTAAGGACTTTTTTCTTCCTTTCTTTCTTCTCTCTCTCCCCTGTTTCTTCCTTTCTTTCCCACCTTCATTCCTTGTTTCTTCCCTTCCTTCCTCCTTTTCTTTTTTTTTCTTTCTTCCTTTCTTATTTTTAAATAAATTTAACTGTTTGAAATTAAATTATACTCAAAGGTAGTATAATTGACTTCAAAATCAGCAGAAAAAGCAATGGTTGAATGCCTTTTTCTTCCTTTTTTTCTTTTTCCCCTTTTCTTTCTAAAGAAGTCAACATAAGCTTATAAAGTGAATGATCCTATTCTCAGAATATTTTACTTTCAGGATTTTTATTAATTTTGATACTTATAGCCAGTGGAAGAAAGCACACTAGTCTTTGAACTCCAGAGCTGTCAGTTGTCTTCCATAACCTCAGTGCTGAGGTTTTGACATCAGTTTTCACCACTTCATCACAGCTGAAAGTGCGAACAGTTACCCTTAAGATCTTTCCTAGTTAGGAAACACTCGCCTGCAAGTGTAGCTGCGCTTTTCCTCATAGAAATTCAGATTAGTAGATTATCTTTTAAGCTTCCCATTACAGAACTAGTACAGAGCCTGCTTAGTGAAGAGCTCCTATTTTAGAAGTTTGCCTTCCACCAAATTGGTGGAAATTAAAAAAATACCCTGATTTCTGTTTTTTTCTGCCAGTGTGTTTCGCTTTTCACTGCCGGCTTCCACATCTTAATTCAGGCCAATTAGTTCAGATCACAGTGCTTATCATTGACTTCCCCAGGATGATATACTATCCCCCAGCATTCAAAAGTTGATACAACCTACAGCCTTGGGTGTAACACTTTATTTGTAGGACAGCAGAGTGGTAGTGATCAAGCAGTGTCAAGTAAAGACCCTTCGGTATTTATCTTTACTTTTTTTTTCTTCTGGAAAAGAGTAAATACATTTTATTTGCCAAACACACTATGTTGATCTGCAGAACCAAAACAGCTTTGAAGAAACAGTCCTTGGAACTCAGCATTTTGCCAAGTTGGAGGGTGTTGAGCAGAGTTAGGGCTATCTATTGTTTATATTTCACTACTTAGAGTTCCAAATTAGCACACATCCAACAACTGTTTTACCAGTATTTTACAGATCCTCTTAATTAAATTAAATTGCTTTCCAGCTACTCTGACATATCAATCTTTTTCTTAGGGAAAAAAAAACCACAGCTTGTGATCTATATCTGCACATTTCTAGGTAACATCTCTTTTGGAAGGCTCACTGGCATCATCTTATGCTTAACAAGTCTGCAACAAAACTCACGACCTTCCTTAATCTGCCACTTTCCAGACCTCTCCATTCCAGTAAATAGCACTTCTTCTTCCTTTACACTCATTTAAAGTACCCTGATCTTTAATTCATAACATTCAATATAATTTGTAAGTTTGTGCGTGTATACACGTGTGTGCGTGATTATTTTTTAATGCTCATTTCCCTACTAGGTTATAATATCTATGAGAGCAAATGCCTGGAACACAGTAGGCTGTCAATAAAAGTTCACTGAATAGTATAAATATAAAGTTGTGCCACAGTTTATTAACTATTAACCAAAAATTATTACCTGTAACTCACCCTGCTTTTGAACTTGTCAAACTGTGTAATTTAATAAAAACACACTATCTCTAACAAATCCTTAATGAACATGATGATTCATTGTAAGATACTACAATTCCTCTTTAAAAAAATTTAGAATTCAGAGAGAGTTCCCATAACTTCTACTAGTTCTATCCTACTAGAGTACTCAGTAATTCCTAGGGTGGTGTGGTAACTCCTTGAGTTAGCAGATCTATCTATTCTAATTATATATTCAATAGTTGGGAAATAATTAGGAACATTTGGTGATTTCTCTTTACCTGTTGTAAGACAAACTCAAACCAAAATTCAACTATCATTTGACTCTTCTAACTTCCTATTTTAATTGTATGACAACTGTGATAATTAAGATATCCAGGATTTGCTAATAAATAAGATACTGCATATGATAAACTCTGAAATGTTGAGAACTTTTTTCCCATTAATGTCACACAGGTGAGGTAAATTATGGAGGGTGAGACAAACAATAATGTAGACTAAGCTGTCTGCTGATTGATCTGGCCAACTTAATGCATTTATCAAAGCAGGGTTCATTTGCAATATGCATACAACAGCATGCAGATCCCACAGGCTAAAACAGATTTTTGAGGTCTTTCTGAACACACAGATCAGCTGAAATTTACTTGGCTGCTTATCATAAAAGCCATCATCATAGATCAAAATCACACTGTGAATTAGCATTACCATTTCCAACTAGAATACAAAATAAAGGTACTTAAAGATTTTTTGTTGTTGTTCGTTAACCTTTCACCCAGTGTTTTAGAATACAGTTTACGACATAGTGGATTCTCAATAAATATTTATTGCATAAATGAATATGGCTATTGAAACAGCAATTCTTTGAGCCCGCCTACTTCTGGTTCCTCTCAGTTTCATCACTGTTAGTTTAGTTTCTTTGCTTCAGTCGCAGTCTAAACCTACATAGTATTTGGATCTTGCCCAGGTGTATATTTTACTTTTCAAGCTGGAGTTGGAGGTAGGGCAATAGGAAATGGTTAATAGGGTTTAATGTGTGACATGCCTCTAAACCTTTCAGACTCCTCTGAGTCTTTCCATATGTCCCCAGTCCAACAGGCAGAATCTGAGATTTTGACAGTGGGAGTGAACTGGCACAACTGTACAATTATTTGTCACAGCAGCCATTCCTCAGTCTTCTGGGGTGAGCATGGTCACTGTGAGAGGGTCATATGGTAACTGTGGTTGTGTTGTGTTTTATTTTGTTATGTTTGTAGCCTAGCAACAAAGGAAGTAACTTTATCTTATTTATTTATGTAGGTTTCCTGGAGCCAAAGTAGCATCCTGGAAATGCCACATTTCCTGATCTCTTTTATATCTTTATGTCCCATTAAAGTGGCAGCTCCTTTGAGCCTCAGTTACACTCTTCAACTCCCCAGGTATTATAAACAAGAACTTAGCTATCATCTGTGCCACTGAGGACCACAGCCAGAAATCTGTTCGTTATCTCTTAATTTGCCTGTTCATAATCTCTTCTGAATATATAATATATAATATTATATATTTTTTTGGGGGGGGGGTTGTATTTTTGATCCTCATTCAAACTCTGTGATAATAGTGATGTGAGTCACATGAGGCCATTTCATACAGAAAAACACTGAGGCCCTGGAGTTAACTAACTGTTACAGAGGCACAGGGCTTAGTGGCAGAGCCTTGATTGAAAGTCTAGAGAATCCTCCTCCTGAATTTGTTCATATATATACATGTGTGTTTGTGTGTTTGTGTGTGTGTGTGTGTGTGTGTGTGTGTGTGTGTGTATACATATTTAAATGGATCTCAGGTCCATTTCCAACACTGGTCTGGGTATGCCTGGTCACAGGGAAAGAGTATCTGTGAAAATCTATAGGAATTCAAGGTAGAAGGGAAAGCAGACCTCATCCTAGAAGAAATCCCTTCCCTTCTCATTCACACTCACTGGGTCTTATTTTGGCTGCTTTAGTGTGGCATATGGGGTCTGAATGGTTTGGGTTTTGTCAGTGTCTTCAGCCTCATTGTGAGCTTCCCATTCCCCTGCTCACTGCACACTAATTTCACTACTCCTTTATTCCTATTTGTGCCTGACTCCTTTCCACGCCATGCTTTTGCCCTGCTAGTTCCTCTTCCTAACAGCCTTTCTCCATTTCACCTGCCAGCTCCCACTCAAACCCTGAATGCTTCTTCTTCGGGGAAGCTTTCTGTGATTATTATATTAGTTGCCTCATTAGAAACTCTCACAGGCTCTCTTCAACCAGCAGGCTCACCCAGAGCTCATCTCAGTCAAGCTAGTAGTGTATTAATGCTCCAGGAGTTGTATCCCACCCCCAGTGCACCCTGGCTGATTTACTGAATTCTGGCTTTGAATCAGAGAAAACATAAGGACGACATAATTACCTCCTATCTGACCATATGAATCTGGTTATAGAAATGCCACTAGATTAGTAAGATAATGACAATAACAGAATTCATATTAACAACTAATATTCATTATTTAATGAATAAGGCATTATACTAAATGTGGCGGGCTGTATTTTTGATCCTCATTCAAACTCTGTGATAACAGTGATGTGAGTCACATGGGGCCATTTCACACAGGAGAACACTGAGGCTCTAGAGTTAAGTAACTGTTACAGAGGCACAGAGCTAACTGGCAGAGCCTTGATTGAAACCTGGAGAATCCTTCTCCTGAATTAGTTCATGCTGGTGCACTGCCTCCCAGTTGGTGGAAAAGTAGTCAGCTATGTCTGTTTGCACATTGATAACTTAACTGCCAGATTTCTTTTTAAGGAGTAGTTCACAGCCCCATTGGTCAAATCCTAGACCCAACCTGGACATTCCCTGTGAACCCTTCCTTCACCCCTCACTGTGGTTTGGCATGGTTCACAGCTTAGACCTTATAGGATGTGACCTATATAAGATGTAAGTGTTAGTCCATTTTCATACTGCTTTAAAGACATACTCTCGACTGGGTAATCTATAAAGAAAAGAGGCTTAAATGACTCACAGTTCTGCATGGAAACTTACAATCATGGAAACTTACAATCATGGTGGAAGGGGAAGCAGCACATCTTACATGGCAGCAGGCAAGAGAGAGAAGTGCAGAGTGAACGGGGAAGAGCCCCTGATAAAAACCATCAGATCTCATGAGAACTCATTCACTATCATGAGAACAGCATGAGGGAACCACCTCCATGATCCAATCACCTCTCACAAGGTCCCTCCCCCAACACAAGGGATTACAATTTGGATTACAATTCAAGATGAGATTGAGGTGGGGACACAGAGCCAGACCATATCAATGTGTCATTCTTGTAGATAAAAAGGAAGGATTTGCTACCTTTCGGAGAAAAGATTTGGGACAGGATGGGTGGGGATATGGGAGAAAAAGAGAGAAAGTTACAGGAAGAAAGAGTGATACATTTTTGTCTGAAAATATGTATGAAAATAATCATTTTCATATGCTTTTCTGAATATTTTCAGTGTCTCGAGAAGAAAAAAGGTAGAGTAAATTAATTTTATTCATCTATGTCTGAAGAGTACCTTAACATGTATGGTAGAAAAACAAGGAATAAATTAAGAACATTAGCAAGGAATTTGAAATTAGTGACGCTGGGGAAAAGTTTAGATAGGAAGAAGAGTGAAGGCAGGCACTGGCAGATAATGGAATTGGGAAAAATCAAGTACTAAAGAAAGTGTGTACATCAGAACTTTGCACTTGAGTGATCTTGTGCATTGGTTAAGAGGCTATTTCTTTTCTTTACGCTGCCAATTATTTTGGTAGACCTAAAGGAAAGCACAGAGATGGCCTGCAGAAGGCATGGGTGTTCAGGGTCACAGCAGTGAAGAAGGCACATCCCTCCCCACCCCCACCCTAATCTCACACACCTGAATTTCCCATGAATTTCCATCACAGATTCCATCTGCCAGGTTCAGCATCCAGTTGAGTGAAGGCCCAGCTTGGACAATTTTCCTTCCCACCTAAAATCTATTCCTGAAACACCTTGAGCAAGTCCATTTTCTCTGGGCCTCATGTACTCACCTGGAAAAAAGGTATGATGGAGCCCAGAGGCTTCTGAGAGGCGTGCAGCCATGAATTTCAGGTAAAGAGCCATCCCTGGACTCTGAAGGCAAAAGAGCTTTGCTTCCTGGTCTTGACGCCTTCCTGCACTCAGCATTCCTTCACAGTGGTTTGTGCACATCCCCATGCCTGAAGGGCTACTGGGCACCTCAGAGCCAGGGTCAAGTTCTTCCTCTTTCCTCTCCCCAGGCCTTGGTTTCAGTCCCAAGTGCTTGAGCTGGCAAGGCCAGCAGAGTGCTGAGGTTGGCAGGATGCCCATTATCCTCTGAAAGGGCAGCAGAGGGTCTGGTAGAGAAATTACTGTCTTCTAAGAATTCCAATGCAAAAAGCATAAGCCCAAGGAAAGAATTAAAAAAAAAAACTCTTTGTACTGATTTATATTTATTCACTCTTTTTTCATTATTTTATATATTTTTATTATATAGATACTTTCATTATTATATACAAATTTATTGTAGGAAATTGAGAAAAAGCATACAATATAAAATTTTAAATGCTACCATTATACATCACAGAACTTAATACTTGGGATATTTTCACTTTTTTATGCATATGAATTCATTGGAATGGATAGCATGTGTGTCTTTCTATTTAAGGTTCAGTTAAGAAAATCTTAAATAGGAAGACACACATCTTTGAATTTTTTCGTTGCCAAATAATCTTCATAAACAAGAAATTTAATGGCTGCACAACATGTGTGCCATAATCTCTTGAAACAGTCTCCTAATGTTGAACATTTAAATTATTTATGATTTTACCAGTATAAACAACACTGTGTTCTAGCACATAAATTTCTGTCTCCATTGCCTATTCTATCAGAACAGATTTCTAGAAGTGGAATTACTAGTTCAAAGGGTGGAACACTTTCAAGACTGAATATATTGCCAAATTGCTTTCAGAAAGACTGTATTAAATTTTACCTTCTCATGTCATTTACAAGAGTTCCTACATCACTAAACTCCTACTACTGATCAATTTTACCATTATAATTTTCACAAGTGAAAAAAACCTGATTTATGTTCTAATATATATTCATTTAACTATTACAGAGGTTAAACCTGTTTTTATTGATGGATAATTTGTAATTACCCTGTGACTTATACTTTGCCAGTGTTTTGATAGTAATGCTTGAACTTTCTGTATTGATTTGCAAAGGGTTCTTTATACATCAATGATACACATTATTTGTCATATTTGTTACAAATATATTTTCCTTTTCATTTTCTTCTAATTTTATATATTGTTTGGTCTTTTTGGAAAATGAAAAAATTTTAGAGAATCAGATTTACTGGTCTCACCTTTGTATTTTTTTTCTTTGCTTTTGTGCTTATAATCTGTTAAATATTCACATATTTGTTTTAATTTTACATTTTTATTTCTCTTTTTTTGTAAACTTAAAGCCTTATATTAAATTTATTTCCATGTGGTTGAAAATCAAATACCAACTTAATATTAAACAATACTAACACAAATATGAAAATATAATATTCTCCCCTTCACTCCCTCCCCATCTCCAGACCCACTCCTAAGAGCAACTACTTTTAGCTATTTGTTTTTCGAGTGATTACTCAAATCTGTATCTTTCAATATGTGTTTACTGTTCTTTATTATTATACAAATTTTAGAGATTATCTATTAACTAATAACAGATAAGGATTTATCATTTGAGTAAAACCCTACTTCTCCTTCCGTCATCTTTCTGATATAATTATATTGCAATTTCTAATTAAATCAATAAGGAGTATTTACATTGTAATGATATGTATGTTGTGTCTGCCAAAGACAAGCTGTTCACTGTTATTGAATTTTCTTTACTGGATATTTTTTCTAAAAATTATTATTCATTTTTTATTTATTTACACTCATCTTTTCTATGTTAAATCTCAGCTATGTTTTTCCAGTAATACCAGAATGCATCTCTTTCCCTGCTGTCATGTTCTATACCTCAACCACTCACTTACAAGGCTGTGTCCAACTCTTCTAATTCAAGATGGTTGTTTCTAGGGTTTGTGTGAGGTCATCATCGTAGGCTTCCTTTATTCCTTTCTGAGATGAATCATCTTCTTTCAGGAATCCTGTTCCCCTCCCACTCTTTGTTGTGTTGTTATTAGTCTTCTGTTGCTGCTATAGCAAATTATCTCATAATTGGAGGCTTAAACTAACACAATTTATTATCTCACAGTTCTGGAGGTCAGAATTCCAAAATTTGGGCAGGACCATATTCCTCTGAAGGCTCCAGGATAGAGTCTGTGCCCTTGCCTTTTCCAGCTTTCAGTGGTCACTTGCATTCCTTGGTTCATGGCCCCTTCCTCCATCTTCAAAGCTAGCAGCATAGCATCGTTGAATCTTTCCCTTTCTCCTGCCTTACTCATTCTCTAATAACGATGCTTTTGACTATATTGGGTCCACCTTAATATTCTCCCTATATCAAGATCCTTAACCTCATCTGCAACATCCCTTTTGCCACGCCATGTAAAACAACATATTTACACGTTCTGAGAATTAAGGTATGGATATATTTGGGAAGCTGTTTTTCTATCTACAAGAGTTATGTTTAATTTTATGTTTACCTCAACTTTTCTGGATCATATCTTCAAAAAATTTTTTAATCAAAAGGGCATGGACCATAAATTTTCTGACTGTGTCTCTTAGAATGTCTACAGTTTGCACTTTAGACAATATAAAAGCAATATAGTTAAAAACATTGGTTTCAGTTTGTTTCTTTTGGTTTGATTTTTGACTCTGCTATTTACTAGTTCTGTGTCTTTGAGCAAAATTAGTAAATCTCTCTTTGCTTTAGTTTCTTTACCTGCAGAATGGGTATATTAATAGCATCTAATCATAGGGTTGTTATAAAGATTAAATGAATTCATTCATACAGTTCCTGCCACTTAATAAATCACTTAATTAATAGATTGGCTAGGCTTAAAATCTAGGCTAAACATTATTTTCTTGTCAGAATTTTGAACTCATTCTTTCATAGTCTTTTAGGACCTACTATTGCTGTTGAGAAGTCCTTTACCATTCTAATTAATGTTCACATTGCTGACAGGCTCTGTCACTATAAAAGCTTTAGACTCTTTTATTTATATGTGGTGTTCTGAAACTTCAAAATGCCTAAGTGCATCATGTTTCATTAATTCAGTAGGACATTTTTCAACAGAAATTTTTGGAACTCTCATCAGTGTTCAGAAATTCACTTCTATTTGCTTCTTGCTCTTTAGAAATCATATTTGTCAGTGTTGATTTTTCTGAATCAATCCTCTATGTCTACTATATTTTTCAGCAGTAATATTATTTCTAAAATTTAAAAACTTAGTTTTTTCCAAGATAATATTAATATCCCTTACTATTCTATGATTTTCTTTTTTTAAAAAAATTACATTTAGACTGTTTATTAGTTTAGGTCTTTTGAGAAAGAGATGCCAGAGTAGATATGGACACGCAAGAGACTTGTTGGGGAAGCACCTATGAAGGAGAAAGTAGAGGGAGGCACATGAAGTGGGAGACAGTGAGGCAGGTCTTTATCTGTGATGGAGAAGGGGAAGGAAAGTGAACAGGGGAGACAGCCTTAAATTCTGTAGAGTTATAAGAAAGTTTTGACCAGACCAATGAAGAATCTCTGAGACAAAAGTACACCTTAAAGGAGAACTGCATCTCATAGGATTTGGCCTCCATTGGAACCCCCATATTCTCCTTCACTAGGTGGGAGTAGCCTATGGATAGTGTGACATTGCTGCAAACCCAATACTGGATCCACAAGGGCAGGAGCTGATGTGCTCAAACCATTAGGCTTCTTGCAGCAGGAAATCTGAGCAGTGCTTTTTCATTGCCACCAGAGTCAGTCCCCTGTGTCTCACAGATACACAGGTGGGGAAGAAGCTGCTCCTGTGGGTCTTTCTTGCGGTTCCTGTGGGTCTTTCTTCCTGAGTGGGAATGGAAGATGGAGGTTGGCAGAATGAACAGTAGCCTCCATCGTGCAGGTAGTCTCAGGGCCACACCTGTATTCACCTTTTTCCCTTTCCACTGTCCATCTGAAATTGTCCTCACTCTCATCTGTCATATCAGGACATCTTGCAGGCTTACCTCGTGGGTCAATCCAAGCCTGAAATCCTGAAAGGTATGAACCCTAGATTGGCAATCACACTCTTTGGGCTGGGGTGGCTGTGTGTGTCCATTATAGTTACAATGGTGCAAGGGAGTACAAGGAAGCATTCTCCCTTCACTTATTGTGTAAATGGAGCCCTACCTTTGCCTGCTGTTCACAGTTGATTCTTCCTATCAGGATGATGATGACTCTTATTTTCAGCTGTTGGTTCCCAGATACAAAGAAGTCCATAGTCTTCTGGCAGCAGCCATAGCTTGTAGTTCAGTGGGACCTCGACTTTGCAAGTGTGCAGAGCCCAGCATTGTGAGGAGGAGGAGGAGAAGCTCAAAATTCCCCAGTGGGTCAATGGGAGTGATGATTAATGGGGCTATTACTGCTTCCACTCCTGGCTCCCAGGCACATTTATTCTTCCTGCTGAGAAGACTGTGTCATACAGAGGTCTCTGATTTAATGTATATGCTGTATCCTGAAGGATGACACCATGTTATTTCAGAGTGATGCCTCTAAGCTGGTGCTCACTGTCTTTTTTCCTAGTTATATATATTAAGTGACTCCTTATTTTTTCAGTATGGTGATCATGCTCTATGAACCATCTCCATAATTTGCTGTGAGCCAAGCCCTTTCCTCTTTCCTTCCAAACTTATCAATTATTGTGGTAGCACCTGTTAACTTCTGTTGGTTAAGCCACCACCTGCCTTTTTTATTTCTGGGCCTCACCAATCCATGGATGTTAACAAGCCCTAGTCTGTGACCCCCTTTCACTGTCAGACGTGGCCTGGAGGGGAGAGCCACCACTGAATGTATTGATTCTAGGGCTCCTCTCTGTAGTGTGGTCCTGGTATCCTGGTGGTTGTGGAGAGTGGTATGTCTTTTGCACTATCTCATTAATCCTTGAAAGGGTTTTCTGGCATCACCTAATGTGTTTATTCTAGCATGCCCACTTCTTTCAGTCTTTTTATTTGTTTTACCATCTTCCAGGGAAACTCAGGCATTTCCACTTTATCAAGGACTGTTCATCACTTTTTCAGGTGTCTAAAAGGCACCCTGACAAACTGGTTCCAGCTTCTGAGTCCTTTAATTCTCATCTATCTGGTTATATTTTAGCCCTTTTGATTTAACACTATCAAAATTCAATTCCAAGGGATGAATATATACTTCCATGATATATTAGTCTATTTGGGCTGCCATAATGGAATACCATATATTGGGTGGTTTAAACAACAGAAATTTATTTCTCACTGTTCAACAGGTTGGGAATTTTAAGATCAGAATACCAGCACTGTTGGGTTCTGTTGAGGTGCCTCTTCCTGCCTTACAATAGCCGCCTTCTTTCTGTATGTATTTACATGGTCTGCATAAGCATGGAAAGGCATCTCTCTCTCTTCCTCTTCTTATAAGCAATTTATCTCTCTTCCTCTTCTTATAAGGCCATCAATCCTATTACATTAGGACTTCACTCTTATGATCTCACTGAATCTTTATGGCTTCCTAAAAGCTCTATCCCCAAGTACAGTCAAACTGTGGGTTAGGGCTTCAACATATTAATTTGGTGGTGGGAAGGGAACAGTTTAGTCCATAGTACCTTTCTCTTCTGAAATATGCAAATTCTTGCAGCTCTATTGGTGTATAATCTGTTTTCTCACTTTTCAGGCCCAGCACATCCCCAACCTAGATTTAACTCTAGCTATTGACCTAGTGGCCAGGAGAGAACGTGAGGGTAGCTCTTGAGGGTGCTTCTGCTGCCTTGCAGGGAAGCGTCCTCTACATCTCTCAATACAGGAGAAGTACTAGTTCTTACTCAGGAAAAGATGGACCACCTCTAAAAACTAAGGGTTAAGGGGATCTTCATAGCCAACATCCTCATAGGCATCCATATTTCTGTTCCCATTTCACATTTCAGGGCCCCAGATTTTACTCGCCAGAGTCCTAGAATTATCATAACACACCTGCCTTGCCAGCTCATTTAAATGCTTCTGGAGCTCTGTTAATCAAACTATCAAAGCTTCATTCTGCTGCTCAGCTCTATGTATCTATAAAGGAGGCCCTCTGGCTCTTCCACTTGGCCTTTAACTGCCTGTTTACAGTCCTCAATTTCTAATTATACCTCTGCAGGACATAAATAAAACTTAGCAATAAGTATCCCTCTCCAGTGTCTTTGTAGGCAGTGCCCCTACATCCTTTATATTTTTCAAATTGCAGAATCATGGAACTTGCAAGGATGTTTCCTTCCAATAGAAAGTTTTCCCTGGTCATCCTGGTAAAATCTTTAGCCACGAATATATTCCAGGGACTATTCTTGCTCTGTATACCACTCAGAATGCAGACTTTGCCTCCAGGAAGGAGAGGGAGCCTGTCCTAATACCTGCCACCTGTGTTCTCAGAACATTCCCAGAACCATGTGAGGGCTTCTTCAAGAAGCAAACAGCAAGATTATATGTGCAAATGATTTACTGTGGGACATGCTTATAAAGGGTAAAAGGAATGGGACCACAGAAAGCAGGGAGAGCCTTCAGACCATGATGCAGCTTTGATGCCTGTGAAAGGAGAGCAAAGAAAGAAGGATTGGGTAGAGTTTTAGACAGCAGTGTAATTCTCAGAAAATTTTAGGCAGCCTGATGGGAATTCTTAAGCCAAAGAGTTGTGTTAAGGAAGCCCCATGTCTTGCATCAATTGGTCTGCATTAATATACCTACTACACTCAATCACTGGTAGCAGTCCTGGGACGTGTGACTACAGTGTATACTCGATGGTGAATCCAGAAGTTACCTGGGTCCATCACTCAATTATGCTTCTTGCAGCAGGTTATCTGGGTAGTACATTTTCATGGACACCATAGGGCAAGTTTGTAAAATTATCTTTCTAAGTTCAGTTATTTTCCCATCATTATCTCATTTTTTCCCTTTAACATAATTTTCCCCATTTCTTTATCTCAGTCTCTTTCTTTTTATTTCAAGTTTTCCAATATGTGGTGACCCTTGGTTTCCCTCACAATGTGTTGAATTCATTGATGGCTGGAACAGTTGAATAGGTATTGATCAACCTGGTAATGAATCTGAGATTATTTGAAACTCTATTTTCCAGAAGAGGAAATCTTTGCTTTGGAGCATCAATGCCCACAGATTGCTTTAGTTCTTCTTGTACACATAGTTCAATGTTTAAGAAAACTATAAATTTTTACCTGGCATGAGTCACCAGCTCTTCTACATGTAAGGCTGTCTTAAATGACCAATTTTCAGTTAATCCCTGGGTTTTTAGTCCTATGGCTCTTTTCTAACTCTCCTTTGAATCTGTTATTTCCAATTTTTAAGCCTATAAGCTTATTTATACTTTAGAAAACTATTTTATTACATGGTTGTTTCATAGATGTGACCTGAGAATCTACTGTTTTTTAAAAAAATTGTTACTTGATTAATTTTAGTGGCCCAATATAGAGAATTTCAATTTCAGAGCAAAGTAATATGAAAGACTTTTCTAATTAAGAAATTTATACTAATTAAAATTCCTAACAGTTTGTGAGAATGCTTGTTTCAACATGTCAGCCCACACTGATTAATACAACTAAAACAAAACTAAAGCAAATGAAAATATTAAAGAACAAAAACCAAATTTTACCATATTTACATGTGAAAAAATAACATCCTGTTTATAGGTAAATCAATATCATCTTGTCATTTAAACTGGTTTCTGGCCATTCAGATTTATCTGTGTATGTGTGTGTGTGTGTGTTTGTGTGTGTGTGTGTGGTGTGTGTGTTGTTTATATTCTTTATCTATTTCTAAATTTAGTTCTAAGTGTTTGGCTTTTAGCCCTTAAGGAAATAACCTTTACTTGAATTATTGTTACAATTTATTTTTCAGTTTGATAGTCTGCTTTTAATTTATATTTTAGTGTTTTTGACAATGAAACAACTTAATATATGCCATCAAATATCTTTTCAATCTGAATTTATAATCTCAAATATTTGTTTTTGCTGCCTTTTTTCTCCTTAATGGTTTCTTTCTTTTTAAAGCTACTTAGGATTATTCAGTAAAGTAATTATACTTCAAAGATGTCAAAGGTCACTACCCTCTAAAGGACAATATATGAGTTTTGGTACAATGTATTAGAGAAAGGTAAAGCATGTTAAAAATGCTACACTATCTCAAGAAGTTTTGACTTGATTGTATAGTCTAAGAGGAGTAACTAAAGACTCTGTTTTACAGATGCTTAATGTTATTAGTTGCATACATGTTGAAGCAGAGGTTCAACATAACAAATGGTGTTTTAGGAAGCCTATATGCTAGTGACAAAAAGATCTGCCTAAAAATCATAGGCATCTTTGGATCCCTATGCTAGTATAAATGATGGAACATACTGCATCACTGAAGACAACAAAAATATTCTAAAGCTAGCCTGAAATCTATCATTCACTCATTCAATAAATATTTATTATGCCTTTACAAAATGGTCAATATATCTATAACATGTTCATGTTACAAAAATGAAAAAAATTATGGTTCTTGCTTTTAAGGATTTTAAATTCTGGCAGAGCAGCCACTCTGTACACAAATAAATTATAATACATCAGGGTAATTCTAATAAGAGATTTATGAACAATTTTCAATTGTTCATAACATAAAGGAGGAAGAAATTAAATAAACCACAGGAATTAGACTCTGTTTTGAAGGAAAAAGTGATGTTTCAAATGGATCTCAAAAAATGGGCCATTAATGCAGATCTTTTCCTGGCCACAGACAACTTCCAGGTGGATTTTGGAATGAACAATTTCCATGTGTGAGTTTTTGGGAGCAAAAGAATAAGCCACTCTGAGAGTAAATGATTTAATGCTTTGAAGAGTAAGTAGGAGATAACGAGGCAGAGAAAGTGACAGCAGATCACCTTTTTAACGATTTTGTTTGGGCTGGACGGGGTGGCTCACGCCTGTAATCCCAGCACTTGGGAGGCTGAGGTGGGCGGATGGCTTGAGCTCAGGAGTTTGAGACCAGTCTGGGCAACATGGCCAGACCCTGCCTCTATAAAAATACAAAAAATTAGCTGGACATGGTGGCACTTGCCAGTAGTCCCAGGTACTTGAGAGGCTGAGGTGGGAAGATCACTTGAGCCTAGGAGGCAGAGGTTGCAGTGAGCCTAAATCTCACCACTCACCTCACTGCAGCATGGGCGACAGAGTGAGACTCAGTTTCAGAAAAAACAAACAAAAAAGTTTTGTTTGTCCTGTACAAGGAGAAGAAGGGTGATAGGCACATGCCTCTTAGCCCTTCTCACATTCAGGAGCAAAGCCTGCCAGTCTGCTGCTCTTCTCATGGCCACATACCCTGTAGGGTTGGTACCAGAGTGTAAATTCTGTTAGGTTAACTTCTGTGGTTTGGACAAGAATCCAACTCCTTTCCCCTACATGAGCAGAAATATAGGTTGCTATTTTTTTCAAAAACCTGAAATACCTTGAGGCCTTTTAATATTCAATTTCAGATATGACTTATGTTAGTTGAACCCTACTATGTGTCAAAAACTTTCCTGGAATCTTCCTCATGTAGTTTATATTGATCAAAAAGTATCATGCATTTTTACATACTTTTCAGCCAAAAAAAAAAAATCTCTCAAACATGGGATTTTCCTTTAGTGGTGCACCAACTACATAGAAATATATAATATACTAAGATGTATGACGCACTAAGGCAATTTGACCTCCAGATGTTTTGTTCTAAAGCTGATGTGGCAGAAGGCTGAATGTTGCAGGTCTTGTTGAACAGTTGGTTTGCAAAGCAAAGTTAAGACTATGGGGAATCTCCCTTTCTCTCTCTCTCTCTCTCTCACACACACACACACACATATGTGCACACACACACTCCAGACCGAAAACCATTTGCTTCAAAATAAATAATAGGAAAATCAACTACTGACTCTCAGAGGAAATATTGTGTCTTCTTTCAATACCTGAGAAGATTTTCTCAGAAACTGTGTAGGGTTGGATTGCCGGCCAACTAAATGCAACTGAAAAACTGGAGATGAAATGGGGAAACAGCTAGCAGAAAACATTCACTGGCTCCTCAAAGCTGGAACCACTTTATATCAATTTTAAATTAAATGTGAAAAAAAAAAAGAAAACGGTGCAATATATTTTCTTCTGCTTCATTTCTTTTGCATTGCATTCTCCTGGGCATTTTGCTATGTAGAAGGGTAATGTGTTTATATGTTTTGGAACTAAGCAGTCATAAAACTGTATAGGCACAGCTTGGAACCACCATCCACAAATTAGAAAGTTCCCCTAGACTTGCCCATTTTATAAACACTATGTGAAGAGAGAGAAAGAAAAACAAACAAAACTGGAGGAAGGTGGTTTAGGTTTAGTTTTTTTTCTCCCACTCTTCCCCCATATAATTCCTAAATAGTTTATTTGATAATTATGCACATAGAAATATGATGCAAAATAATGTAAATATGATTTTCATCATAAAATGGAAAACTTAAAAAAATTGCCTTTAGCAGTGTCAGCTGGAATTCAATAGACTTTATGCATTTTTGGAATAAAAAACAAATTGTACTCTATTCTTCATTCTAAAAAGCAAAGACTAATTGAAAGAAGCATCAGTAAACATATTTTTGTTTTGTTTTAAAATACATTTTCTTTTCAGTCAACTAAAGATTTCAGAAGTTATTAGTGGTCAGAAGTAAAATGATTTTTTTTCAAAATTTCTTTGATGATATTCTGTATTTTCTAAACAATCTTCTTGCTTTTTGACCCATATAATTCAAGAAAATATGCTGAGCATTGTTTGTTTGGACAAAGATTCTAATGCTCTGCTTCTGATGTACTCCCAGATTAAGATAGCACGTAATTTGCATCCAAAAATGTAAAATAAACAAAGCATAAGGCACTGCATGTTGGAAGTGTAACTCCTTCAATAAAACTATGAAAAACTTATTTACTTGCATCAGCAGTAATTTCCTCTAGATTGCTGCCTCACCACTGTAGGCACTGCAATTATATTAAATACAACTGTATTAACTGCTGCTTTTGTTTTACATCAGATGAAAACTAAAAAACACAAAAACTTGAAATAAATATACAAGTAAAAAAATAAGTACAAATTCACTTGCTGTTCTTGCAGGCTATGTTGAATAGGTTTAAAGGCCTAATAGTCTACTAGTACATGTGCTTCGAGTAGAGATATTCCATATATTGTATTTAGCCAAATTTTGTCATCTAGCCCATCTATCAACAAATGACAAATTAAATTATGGTAAAAAAGAGGAAATGATTGTGAATACTGGTAAAAGAATAGACGTTAGTAAGTAAGATTGATTTTAATACAATCTATTGAAGATTTAAACATGTTCCAGAATCAGACTATGGCTGATGCTTGGCACATTGCAGCTACTTAAGAAATATCTGTTGAATGAATGGATAAATTGTATTCATTGCAGAAAATGTCAAAATGCTCCCCAAGGAAAAGGAAGTACTGCTTAGTATGTTTCTGACCTCAAGCTTCATTTCATAGGGTACTGAGCATGCTTTTAACAGAAAGTAAATGTTCTATAGAAGTTTGGGGTGTAGGTAGATTGATAACCACCTTTGATGCTCAGCAGGGAACTCATAAATAGTTAAGCATATGCAAATTACTTGAGAGATGTTGGTCTTCATTTGTGGTTTTAGGTCAGACTAATGATTTTCTTTTTCAAACAGAACCAAATGGATGTGTCAAAGAGGTAAAATTCTTAATGGGAGTGGACATAAATAGTTTCTAACCCACTGCTAAGGTTACAAATGTCACTGGTAGTTGTCATTATAGTAGAGCAGAGGGTCCTTCATCATTTCAAACACATTTCCATATCCACAGGTAGTCAAATAAGTGACCATTACCACATGTAGCAAAAGGACAAACAGATGGTGTTCAGATCATTCATTTTTTGTGTGTCTTACAGGATTCCAGCATTTTAGAAGTCATTAGGAGTCATGTGTTTTATATCAGCTTATGTAGAAACATTTACGTATATTGAACCCATGCCCTATCACTCATGCCTTTGTTTCCTCCATCTCCTTTTTCCTATTTCCCAAGTGTGCAAGTGTGAAAGGAAGTATAGATCTTTCTCACTGTAGAGTGATTGAGAAATCTTCCATTAGGATTCCAAATGAGCATGTACTATTAATCTTCTGGTCTCCCAGCAACCTCCACACATAATAAATAGCACAATCTGTATCACTTGCCAAGGGCCTGTTCCCCCTACTTGAGTCTTCCACAGTTTAACAGTTTTGCCACAGAATTTGAAGCAGGGTGGTGGCCATATTGACAGAACACAACCAGATTACCCTGGCATCGCCGATTCAGAAATTCCCTATAGTTTTCCCCCAGCAGAGTTTCAAACAGATTGTAGCCACAATCTAAACAGGCTATGGATATGGCCAAGAAAATGAGCCGGCTGTGCTAGAGTCGATTTTAGGGCTGTTTTGTTGTTGCTTAGTCATATAGACAAAGCCAGTGAGTGTCATTATACACTGTCCCTTCCCAGTCTGTTGTAATTACCTCACTGCAGCTCACCATAGAAGCAAGTGGTAAGCTGTTCAGCCCAATCGAACCACACCAATACAACCTGTGATTTTGAATCATTCCAGATATTGCTGAGAATTGTAGGTTTGACAGCTGTGCATGGTAACTCTAGTGAAGGGGGCCATAGGTTTTTAGAATTAATATAACATTTTTATTTGCAACTCTCTCCCACTCAGCCCTCCAGCACACACCAAAATGATGTTGCTTACAGTGCCCTAAATTGACCTCTTAAGCAGAGTGACTCTAAACCACAAGATTTTCTGGCCCAAATCAAATGTCTCATCTTTTTTTCTAACCATATTCCTGTCTCAACCAATGTCTTACTCTATTCTTCTCTTTAATTTGGGTTTTCTGGTTAGATTGCTTGACTAAGAATTTAATGAATTTAGACCTGTGAGTGAAATTACCCACAACTAAGTTCAATTTTCAGCATTCAACTCCATCAAAGCCCACTCCCATTTGGCCTTACCTAGCTAAGAAAGGTCTGCTAGGATCAGCCTTAGAGATAAACAGCTCACTTCACATTTAGGTCCCAGAGAAATTAAGCTACACGAATAACATGTTCACAGGCACTGAGCTAATCATAGCTAAGTGTAGAACTTATTTTTCTCTTTTCCATGTTTTTCCAATATACAACAAAATTCAGCAAAAAAAAAAAAAAAGACTATACGGAAGTTTACTCACATCAATAATATGCATTTCAGTAATCTGGGATGTTTGAACTAATGCACCATCTGAAAAGCATGACAGAAGCCCACAGCTGTGAGCAAATCAGAGCATGTGAAATCTCCTTACACAGTTTGTTGCCACAGGATTTTGTTTTAGTTTGTTAGAAGTTTTGTAGTAATTACTATTTTTTGATGTTCTATCTCTGCTTTATGTGGAAGTACAATACTGTTACATTTGAAATGAGTACCCTAAAGCTTGGTTGAATCATCAGTGCATTTATTGCTCCAAACCTCCTTGGTCAAAAGCCTGTATTTAGGCATTATCAATTTACTGAGGCTTAGAAATGTGTTCTTCAATGCAAAGATCTTAGACACTTAAATTTCTTTCAGTCATGACTAAAAGGCTTCTCCTGTGGTGTGATATAGACAGTAGCTTTCCTTACACAAATTTGTCATGTGAACGGATTCTATAGTCTTGCCTCAAAGAAAGTATTCTGAGATTTACATGATGCATGCATTTTTTAATTAACAGCATTTGTTTATTATAAGTTACAAGCAACTTTAAACCAATAGTAGATAGTTTGAAATCCCCCTAATCATCAACTAGCATTAGTAACTCATTAGTTACTAATGCGTTACTTGTCTTAGTTGGAGAAGTAGCCACTAATTCATATTCACTGAGATTCGTAGTGAAGATCTTAACATTAGACCTTAATGTATCTGTGTGAATTATTAGGAGGTAAACACACTTGCCCTGTGGGTTAAATATAGATACTGAGTCCATTTATTTGCACTAATTCCTCATTCATTCATTTAACAATATTTATTAGTACTCTCTATGTGCTAGTCGTTCTACTGGTTATTAAAGACGAATACCAAAACAAGAAGTGATCTCTTCCTTCAAGTTACACATTTTCCATTTTTATTATTTGATAACAACTCATAGATCCGTTCAGGCTGTCTATCTGTGGCTTCTTCATTAGCTTCAGTTCTCACTTTGCCTACTTTTCCATTTTTTTCTATTTTCCTTTAAAACTTTTCTTTTTATCCAAGAAAGACAAACACAAAATAATAAAAATCAAAACAAAAAATCATAATCTCCAGTTGTCAGATGGGAATCGTTTATTTTGCCAAAGAAGTTAATGCATTTTTTTCTCAATCTTATGATTTCCTGAAACATTGCCAAGTGCACATTGGATGTACAAGTTTCACTTAGGAAATGGCCAACTATTCCTAGTTTTCATTCCACACAATATTAATTATTACAGTGCCTGGTATCATGTTTAAATTCACAGATGGCAATGAAATTTAACTCTTTTTAAAAATACATATTCTCCTAAGTATTAAATTGGTTAAAATTTATTTTCTATTACTCAAGAGGATCTAGCCAATGTACTAAGACTAAAATAAGAAGTAAATAAATAATACTTATGATTTAAAGGCACAACCTAAATGATTATTATTTGAACATAATATAAATGGTTACCTAGAAAATTTGTTAATCATCTGACAAGCCAAAAGAACAATTAGATAAGTCATTAAAGTGGTTCAATATTTGATCAATGCATAAGTTTGGTACTGTAAAGTATTTTTGATAATGTAAAAAAGTGCCAGCTTTCTTATGTAACAGCAATAGCGAGAGAGGAAATGCAATAAGAAACTATAATGAGATAAACTTTTATTGCAGAATAAAACAATATATAAAATACTGTATAAAAACTTAGCATTATAAAAGAACATTTATATGAATGTAAAATAAAAGTTATAATATTTTTTGCCAGGAAGATTAAATATTATAAAAATTTATATTTTCCCCAAGTTAATCTATAAAATTATCTCAATAAGAAGCTATAACTCTGTATGACACATTTATAAACATTTGTTTTCTAAGCGTCATTTACAGGAATGGATCTGCAAGAATGCCCAGAATTGACAATAACACAGAAACATTTGCCCAGATATTAAAACATACTCTAAAGCTAGAAAAGTTAAAGAACTTGGTATTTGTGATGGAAGAGACAAGTCAGCTGTGGTCCAGTACAGAGTCAAAGTATAGTAAATTTGATTTTCCATGTTTGTTGAGAAAGGATGCATTGTTAAACAGATGACAGTGGATCAGCTGGCTATCTACCCAAGAAAAATAAAATCTCCGTCATAGCATTCAAAAAGATAAATTCCAGGTACATTGAATATTTACATAAAACATGAAGCAGCAAAATACTAAAAAAAGGCAAATATTTGAGAATATTAAGGAGTATAAAATAAAACCCAGAAGTCACAAAAGAAAAATATCAGATTTTACTTCAAACATTTTAATCACTTTTGTATGGGAAAAATACATTATAAAAAAATTGAAAGGGAATTTATTTATGAATATTATTAACTATAGTTGTCAAACACTTTATATCTTTATTATATCCTACTGCCTACATATGTAACAGAAAACAAAAAATAAAATATTCCAATACAAATTAAAACATGATATGAAGAGACAATTCAAAGAAGAGACTACAAATGATCATTAAACATATAAAATATGCTCAAGCTCACTAATACTCAAAGAAAGACAAATTAAAATAGTAGTGATAAATTTCACTATAAGAATGGAAATGGAAAGAAGATATTAATAGAAAAGCGTTAATCTTCTAAGTTGGTCCTGACATTTGTTGGTTTATCCATTTGTACTAATATTTATATGAACTTATATTTTAATTAGCAATTCCCCTCATACACTTCATCCAACAGAGACTCAAATAAGTCTGCAAAGGATGTTAATTACAGCAATGTTGGCAAAAGTAAAATAAATCGGAAACAATCTAAATACCCATCAGTGGGGGACTAGTTAAGTAGAGGGATGCATTCATAAAAAAAAGGCAATAAAGACATTATAAAGAAAGTACTCTTTATGTTCTAATATTGAAAGACGACTATTAAATGAGTGACTCCAATGAAGCCATGTGAAGCTGAAAAACATCCCAATTGAATCCTGCCTGAATTCCTAATTCAGTCTTGAGGAAAAAAATAAAAGCATTACTTGACACCCCAAATTAATCTATAAAATTATCTCAATAAAAAGCTATAACCATGTTTCGGGGTGGTTTTTTATATAGCAACAGAAACCCAAATTAGAGACTAAAATAGAAAGAGAACAATCTGCTGTTGGACGTATAGATGGAGTAAGGAGATTAGCCTGACTACATTGCGGAGAAGAATAAAGTTGGGATATATAATGTCGGGCAAAACATTAGGATCTTGAAAACTAGGCAAAAGATACTCTGTGTTCCGAAGAACAGAGAGATACTTGTTACATAGCTAACTCTAAACATCATCATAGTTTTAGAGACAGAAAGAGATAATTATATTCCCCATCTAGCTGCCTCAACTACAGATCCTTTGTTCCTGGAGACAGAAGGAAAAAAGGATCTCATGAGAAGGGCTCATTTCAGCAAAGACAGTGAAAACTTCCACGTTGTTGCATCTCCCAGAGAATGTGAAAGCTCCCCAAATCAAGCAGATGATCAAGAGTCCTTCCGATTCTTTGATTTTTTTTTTTAGGAGAACAGCTTCCTTTTCCTAAAGTATTTCTCAAATGGCGTGACTAGAGCCCTCAGTATTCTGTTCTCTGTAGTTGCTTTTAGCTTGTCAATGGCCCTTTTAAGTGGGACATCTGGAACTGGACACCATACTCCTACTGTAATGTGGCCTGCATAGGGTGGAGGGTACTGTTACTCCCACAGTCCTAGTTATTTAGCATGCCAGTTTTCCAAAAATATCTAAATATTAAAGGACAATATTAATGGGATATCTAAATATTAACTAAATAGCTAAATGCTGATAATAATAGGGAATACAGAATATCAGAAAACAATATATTCTGTACATATTTTAAAAATTGGTCTCATTATAAAGGTAGCTTAGTCTGCTTCATATAAGCCTGTTGATAGTCATTTTATTCTTCAGTAGTGTTCAAACAGCATTCTTCCTAGCATGGTTATCCTCTCACAGCAGATTAATTTACTTCTTCCTCTTTCAGAGAAAAGTTACTTAAGGCACAGCCCTTACATCATTTTCCTTCACTCCACCAAGAAATGTCTTTGAGTTGTTGTCAGGGTCTTTCCTAGTTTTCTCCTCCACCAATCCCTTAAATTTCACCTAGACTCTGCCCCGTTATGTGTACTGAGACAATCTAACAATCACATTCTTGCTTTTTCCATTTTGCTTTCTATATTGTCATTCTCTGCCACACCCACCAACACATTCTCTAACTCACTCATGGACCTTATTTCATCAGATGACCATACCTTTTATCTTCATTTCTCCTTCACTGAAACCGTTTCCTTAGTTTAAAAGTATGTATTTCAGACCCAACTAAACAATTCTTCAAAACACTAAATATCTGTCATCTTTGCCTAGAAATCTACACTTAGAGAAATTAAAAACATTTTTACTTGCTAGACCAAAAAGAATAAACAAAACCACACCTGGAATTGTGTTAATGTTAGAGAGAGCATTCAGATAAACGGACTGTCTTTTGTAGAGTTCTTTTCAAATAGAACGTTAGTTAAGTAAGCTTTCTACCTAGAAAAAAATGAGTTTTTTAAGCACTCTATATTTTTATAGCATTGTGTTTATAAAGGGTTATTATTATTTATTTATTTAGTGTCCAACCACAAACTCCTATTGAAAAGTGCCATTATGGCCATTTTAAAGATAAATAAATGGAAGATAAGAGAAATGACACTAAGGCCCAACTTTAGTCACAGAATGACTCAATGAAAAAGTGAAGAATAAACTCATTTTCTATTTAAGTTATCTCAAGCCCACCAACACAGGCGTGCTGGTATCAAACCATATTGCAGGAGGAGAGGGGTAATCTCTTTCTAATTTGCTGACACACACTTCATTAAAAAAATACATTTTCAGCTATCCTTCCAATATTTCTATGCTGTAGAATTCATCATAGTTAATATGATGGTTAAGGCAGTATAATAAAAGAATCTGAAAATCTAATATAATCCTTATTATCACTATCAAAATACTTTGCATTTGTTTACATGAAAGATGATATTACTCTACAAAATCATTTATATATGTGTTATTTCACTTACAGAAATATATTGTCTTTATAAAAATAAAGACGTATAGACATTTGGGACATGATTTAAACAAATACAATATTTAAATAAATTAGTTACAATATTTAAATAAATTGGTTAAAATTTTGAATAAGTTAAGGGCTATCCATTTAAGTATTTTTCTAACATAGGTCACAAATGAAGATTCTGAAAGAGAAGACAGAATCACTGAGAGAAACTGGGAAGAGGTAAATAGTGTTACAGAGGATACTTTACTAGAAAATGGATAAAGAAAAGAAATAACATGGTCCTTGAGAAGTTGTAAACATAAAGAACCACATCCTTTGGATATAATTGGTAGGAAATTTATTTATTTTATTTTATTTTTCCATAAGTTATTGGGGTACAGGTGGTATTTGGTTACATGAGTAAGTTCTTTAGTGGTGATTTGTGAGATTTTGGTGCACTCATCATCTGAGGAGTATACACTGCACCATATTTGTAATCTTTTATTGCTCGCCCCTCTCCCACTATTCCCCCCAAGTCCCCAAAGTCCACTGTATCATTCTTATGCCTTTGCGTCCTCATAAGCTTAGCTCCCACATATCAGTGAGAACATACGATATTTGGTTTTCCATTCCTGAGTTATGTCACTTAGAATAATAGTTTCCAGTCTCATCCAGGTCACTGCAAATGTTGTTAATTCATTCCTTTTTATGGCTGCATAGTATTCCATCATATATATATATATATATATATATATGTTTATACATATATCACAGTTTCTTTATCCACTTGTTGATTGATGGGCATTTGGGTTGATTCCACAATTTTGCAACTGTGAATTGTCCTGCAATAAGCATGCAAGTATATTTTTCAAATAATAACTTTTTTTTCCTCTGGGTAGATACCCAGTAGTGGGACTGCTGGATCAAATGGTGGTCCTAGTTTTAGTTCTTTAAGGAATCTCCACACTGTTTTCCATGGTGGCTGTACTAGTTTACATTTGTGGTGGGAAATTTAGAATCACTACAGTGAAGAAGTTTCAAACACTGTTGCTGCGAATGCCATTCTTTCAAGTAAATAGCTTAACCTCGACAGAAGTCAATATTCCCCTTTAAATAAATATCTACTGGGCAGTTTATTTCATGTGAACATGAGAGCAGATAATGGTTTAAAAGTGGTTGAAATGTTGAATACCTAAAGTATCGAAAAGAAGCTATTGTAAGAAATGGCATCTCCTTTTACCATTTGGGTTTATTACATTAGCCATCCATTCAGTATTGTTTAGTGAAGAGCATTGCCCAGTACTTAATCTTGTTTATTCATTCATTTATTTGCATTCACTCTAAGGTTTTCTTTCTGTTCATAATTTTGCATCTGTACCAATTAACCAAGTGTTTAGGTGAGAATCAGGGGTCAGCTTAGAAAGCTGAAATATTCTGCAATCTAGCTGGTTAGGCTCTAAGCATAGAACTGTCTAAGCACAGAACAACTCTTGAATAAAACACAGGTGAAATATAAACATATATAAGATTCACTAAGCATAGAACAACTCTTGAACAAAATGCAGGTGAAATATAAATAACATATAAGAACTTGCGCTCATATAGGATAGATATAAGAAAAAAGGTACAACAGCAGAGTTGAAGTATGCTTTTCAGTAAAGAGTCAGTATGATGTTAGTCATGTTTTACCATAGACAATTCCTCATTATCTCTTTGAATTCATCATTTCTTTGAATTTTTCCACATTACATGTATATGTGCACATGCATGCATGCAAACACCAAGCTAGTTATTATAAAGATATGCTAAAATATACAAGGACTCAAACACCTTGTGTCCTCAATTTGAATATATCAGGAGAGACGAAAGGGGATGTTGATGAGGGCTCAAACCATGGAGACTGTCCAACGTGGACTTGTGATGAGCAGGAGAACCTAGAGCTTGTAGCATCAGGGGTCTGAGCTTGCTGGAAGTCAGTCAGTAACCTCTGAAATTTTGAATTAGACTATAAGCAGTAAGTTCGTTCTAGTGAGGATAGCCTTCATCAGAAAGCAGAAATCTTATATTCTCCCATTCTGTTGCTGATCACTGTGTAACTCTGAGTAAGTCACTCAACTAGATTTCTGTCCTATCTAACTCATAAGGTTTTGACTCCTATGTATCACTGTACATTCCCCACATCCAACAGGTCACTCAGTACTGTCATTTATTCCTACATTTTATATTTGATGAGGGCAAGGCCTCCATATTGCAAATGAAGTGGCTGTAATGGTTGGCAATTAAATTAAAAAGGATAAAATGAGACAAGGATGTCTTAATTCACATTCAAAAATTGTTCTAAGAGCCAAGAAAAAAGCATTAATTGTAGCCACAGAAATAATTCACAGCACACACATAGGGCTTAGTTGTGGCAGAGATGGGACATGCCATTTTAAATAATTCAGAGCATCACTTTATTCATTCATTCATTCATACATTCAACATATAGCTTATTTAGTGTCTTCTATGTGGCATGCTTTGTTTATTCTTGGGAACACTTTATTGAACAGAGCAAAGATTTCTGACCTCACTGCTTTTACATTCAAGAAGAGGGAGACAGAAAACAAACAATAAACATAATAAATAAGTTATTTAGTGTATTCATAGATAATAAGTGTTAGACGGAAAAAGGAAATAAAGTAGGATAGGGAAAAGTGAATCAGGAGTGCCAGGGTTTGCAGGAGGGAGTTAGATTGCCATATTAAATATTGAGGTTAAGGCAGCATCATTGAAGTGACATTTGAGCAGAAATTCAAAGAAAATTAAGGAATTAGCAGTGAATATGTCAGGCCTCGGAGCCCAAGCTAAGCCATCATATCCCCTGTGCCCTGCATGTACACATCCAGATGGCCGGTTCCTGCCTTAACTGATGATATTCCACCATAAAAGAAATGAAAATGGCCTGTTCCTGCCTTATCTGATGACATTATCTTGTGAAATTCCTTCTCCTGGCTCATCCTGGCTCAAAAGCTCTCCTACTGAGCACTTTGTGACCCCTACTCCTGCCCGCCAGAGAACAACCCGCCTTGGACTGTAATTTTCCTTTACCTACCCAAATCTTATAAAACGGCCCCACCCCTACCTCCCTTCACTGACTCTCTTTTCGGACTCAGCCCACCTGCACCCAGGTGAAATAAACAGCCCTGTTGCTCACACAAAGCCTGTTTGGTGGTCTCTTCACACGGACACGCATGACATTTGGTGCTGTGCCTCGGATCGGGGGACCTCCCTTGGGAGATCAATCCCCCGTCCTCCTGCTCTTTGCTCTGTGAAAAAGATCCACCTATGACCTCGGGTCCTCAGACCCGCCAGCCCAAGGAACATCTCACCAATTTTAAATCGGGTAGGGGGCCTCTTCTTACTCTCTTCTCCAACCTCTCTCACTATCCCTCAATCACTTTCTCCTTTCAATCTTGGCGCCACCCTTCAATCTCTCCCTTCTCTTAATTTCAATTCCTTTCATTTTCTGGTAGAGACCAAGGAGACACGTTTTATCCGTGGACCCATAACTCTGGCGCCGGTCATGAACTCAGGAAGGCAGCCTTCCCTTGATGTTTAATCATTGCAGGGATGCCTCTCTGATTATCACCCACGTTTCAGAGGTGTCTGACCACGCAGGGACGCCTGCCTTGGTCCTTCACCCTTAGCGGCAAGTCCCACTTTTCTGGCGGAGGGGCAAGAACCCTGACCCCTTCTCTCTCTGTCTCTACCTACCCCTTCTCTGCTTTTCTGGGGGGCAAGAAACCCCTGATCCCTTATTTCCACACCCCAACCTCATCTCTGCACCCGGATCCCTTATTTCCATGCCCCGACCTCTTATCTCTGTGCCCCAATCCCTTATTTCTGTGCCCTGACCTCTTATCTCTGCACCCCGATCCCTTATTTCCATGCCCTGACCTCTTATCTCTGCACCCTGATCCCTTATTTCCACACCCCAACCCCTTATTTCCGTGTCCCGACCCCTTTCCCGCTTTTCTGGAGGGTAAGAACCCCCAAACCCTTCCCTCCATGTCTCTACTCTCTCTTTTCTCTGGGCTTGCCTCCTTCACTATGGGCAAACTTCCACCCTCCATTCCTCCTTCTCCCTTAGCCTGTGTTCTCAAGAACTTAAAACCTCTTCAATTCACACCTGACCTAAAACCTAAATGCCTTATTTTCTTCTGCAACACCGCTTGGCCCCAATACAAATTTGACAATGGCTCTAAATGGCCAGAAAATGGCACTTTCGATTTCTCCATCCTACAAGACCTAAATAATTTTTGTTGAAAAATGGACAAATGGTCTGAGGTGCCTTACATCCAGGCATTTTTCACACTTCATTCCCTCCTTAGTCTCTGTTCCCAATGTGATTCCTCCCAAATGCTCCTTCTTTCCCTCCCGCCTGTCCCCTCAGTTCCAACCCCAAGTGTCGCTGAGTCTTTCTAATATTCCTTTTCTACAGACCCATCTGAACTCTCCCCTCCTCCCCAGGCTGAGCTAGGTCCCAATTCTTCCTCAGCCTCCACTCCTCCACCCTATAATCCTTTTGTCACCTCCCCTCCTCACACTCGGTCCGGCTTACAGTTTCGTTCCTCAACTAACCCTCCCCCACCTGCCCAGCAATTTCCTCTTAAAAAGGTAGCTGGAGCTAAAGACATAGTCAAGGTTAATGCTCCTTTTTCTTTATCTGACCTCTCCCAAATCAGTTAGTGTTTAGGCTCTTTTTCATCAAATATGAAAAACCCAGCCCAGTTCATGGCTCCTTTGGCAGCAACCCTGAGATGCTTTATAGCCCTAGATCCTAAAAGGTCAAAAGGCCTTCTTATTCTCAATATACATTTTATTACCCAATCTGCTCCTGACTTTAAATAAAGCTCCAAATATTAAATTCCGGCCCTCAAACCCCACAACAGGACTTAATTAACCTCACCTTCAAGGTGTACAATAATAGAAAAAAGTTGCAATTCCTTGCCTCCACTGGGAGACAAACCCCAGCCACATCACCAGCACACAAGAACTTCCAAACACCTGAACTGCAGCAGCCAGGTGTTCCTCCAGAACCTCCTCCCCCAGGAGCTTGCTACAAGTGCCGGAAATCTGGCCCCCGGGCCAAGGAATGCCTGCAGCCCAGGATTCCTCCTAAGCCGCGCCCCATCTGTGTGCGACCCCACTGAAAATCGGACTGTCAACTCACCTGGCAGCCACTACCAGAGCCCCTGGAACTCTGGCCCAAGGCTCTCTCCTGGAACTCTGGCCCAAGGCTCTCTGACTGACTCCTTCCCAGGTCTTCTTGGCTTAGCGGCTGAAGACTGACACTGCCCAATTGCCTTGGAAGCCCCTAAACCATCATGGACGCTGAGCTTCGGGTAACTCTCACAGTGGAAGGTAAGCCCGTCCCCTTCTTAATCAATATGGAAGCTACCCACTCCACATTACCTTCTTTTCAAGGGCCTGTTTCCCTTGCCTCCATAACTGTTGTGGGTATTGATGGCCAAGCTTCTAAAGCTCTTAAAACTCCCCAACTCTGGTGCCAACTTACACAATATTCTTTTAAGCTCTCCTTTTTAGTTATCCCCACCTGCCCAGTTCCCTTATTAGGCCGAGACACTTTAACTAAATTATCTGCTTCCCTGATTATTCCTGGGCTACAGCCACACCTCATTGCTGCCTTTTCCCCCAGTTCAAAGCCTCCTTCACATCTTCCACTTGTATCTCCCCACCTTAACCCACAAGTATAAGACACCCCTACTCCCTCCTTAGCGACCAGTCATGCACCCCTTACCATCCCATTAAAACCTAATCACCCTTACCTCGCTCATTGCCAATATCCCATCCCACAGCACACTTTAAAAGGATTAAAGTCTGTTATCAATTGCCTGTTACAGCATGGCCTTTTAAAGCCTATAAACTCTCCTTACAATTCCCCCATTTAACCTGTCCTAAAACCAGACAAGGCTTACAGGTTAGTTCAGGATCTGCACCTTATCAACCAAATTGTTTTGCCTATCCACCCCGTGGTGCCAAACCCATATACTCTCCTATCCTCAATACCTCCCTCTACAATCCATTATTCTATTCTGGATCTCAAACATGCTTTCTTTACTATTCCTTTGCACCCTTCATCCCAGCCTCTCTTCGCTTTCACTTGGACTGACCCTGACACCCATTAGGCTCAGCATATTACCTGGGCTGTACTGCCGCAAGGCTTCACAGACAGCCCCCATTACTTCAGTCAAGCCCAAATTTCATCCTCATCTGTTACCTATCTCAGCATAATTCTCATTAAAACACACGTGCTCTCCCTGCTGATCGTGTCCGACTAATCTCTCAAACCTCAATCCCTTACAAAACAACAACTCCTTTCCTTCCTAGCCATGGTTAGTGTGGTCAGAATTCTTACACAAGAGCTGGGACCACACCTTATAGCCTTTCTGTCCAAACAACTTGACCTTACTGTTTTAGCCCTCATGTCTGCGTGCAGCGGCTGCCACTGCTTTAATACTTTTAGAGGCCCTAAAAATCACAAACTATGCTCAACTCACTCTCTACATTTCTCATAACTTCCAAAATCTATTTTCTTCCTCGTACCTGACACATACTTTCTGCTCCCCCGCTCCTTCAGCTATATTCACTCTTTGTTGAGTCTCCCACAATTACCATTGTTCCTGGCACGGACTTCACTCGGGCCTCCCACATTATTCTGGATACCACACCTGACCCTCATGACTATCTCTCTGATCCACCTGACATTCACCCCGTTTCCCCATATTTCCTTCTTTCCTGTTCCTCACCCTGATCACATTTAGTTTATTGATGGCAGTTCCATCAGGCCTAATTGCCACTCACCAGCAAAGTCAGGCTATGCTATAGTATCTTCCACATCTATCATTGAGGCTACCGTTCTGCCCGCACTCCACTACCTCTCAGCAAGCTGAACTAGTTGCCTTAATTCAAGCCCTCACTCTTGCAAAAGGGCTACGCATCAATATTTATAGTGACTCTATGCCTTTCATATTCTGCACCACTATGCTGTTATACAGGCTGAAAGAGGTTTCCTCACTATGCAAGGGTCCTCCATCATTAATGCCTCTTTAATAAAAACTCTGCTCAAGACCGCTTTACTTCCAAAGGAAGCTGGAGTCATTCACTGCAAAGGCCATCAAAAGGCATCAGATCCCATTGCTCTAGACAACACTTATGCTGATAAGGTGGCTAGACAAGCAGCCAGCTTTCCAACTTCTGTCCCTGCCAGTTTTTCTCCTTCACATCAGTCACTCCCACCTACTTCCCCACTGAAACTTCCACCTATCAATCTCTTGCCACACAAGGCAAATGGTTCTTAGACCAAGGAAAATATCTCCTTCCAGCCTCATAGGCCCATTCTATTCTGTCATCATTTCATAACCTCTTCCATGTAGGTTATGAGCCGCTAGCCTGTCTCTTAGAACCTCTCATTTCCTTTCCATCCTGGAAATCTATCCTCAAGGAAATCACTTCTCAGTGTTCCATCTGCTATTTTACTACTCCTCAGGGATTGTTCAGGCCTCCTCCCTTTCCTACACATCAAGCTCAGGGATTTGTCCCTGCCCAGGACTGGCAAATTGACTTTACTCACATGCCCTGAGTCATAAAACTAAAATACCTCTTAGTCTAGGTAGACGCTTTCACTGGATGGGTAGAGGCCTTTCCTACAGGGTCTAAGAAGGCCACCGCAGTCATTTTTTCCCTTCTGTCAGAAATAATTCCTCAGTTTGGCCTTCCCACCTCTATACAATCCGATAGCAGACCGGCCTTTATTAGCCAAATCAGCCAAGCATTTTTTCAAGGTTTTGGAAATTCAGTGAAACCTTTATATCCCTTACGGTCCTTAGTCTTCAGGAAAGGTAGAACGGACTAATGGTCTTTTAAAAACACACCTCACCAAGCTCAGCCACCAACTTAAAAAGGACTGGACAATACTTTTACCACTTTCCCTTCTCAGAATTCAGGCCTGTCCTCGGAATGCTACAGGGTACAGCCCATTTGAGCTCCTGTATGGACGCTCCTTTTTACTAAGCCCCAGTCTCATTCCAGACACCAGAACAACTTGGACTGTGCCCCAAAAAACTTGTCATCCCTACTATCTTCTGTCTAGTCATACTCCTATTCATCATTCCCAACTACTCATACATGCCCTGCGCTTGTTTACACTGCCGGTTTACACTGTTTCTCCAAGCCATCACAGCTGGTATCTCCTGGTGCTATCCCCAAACTGCCACTCTTAACTCTTGAAGTAAATAAATAATCTTTGCTGGCAGGACTACGCTGAATCTCCTTAGGCACTCTCTAATTAGATGTCCTGGGTCCTCCCAATTCTTAGACCTTTAATATCTGTTTTTCTCCTTCTCTTATTCCGTTTAGTTTTTCAATTCATATAAAACCATATCCAGGCCATCACCAAATAATTCTAAATGACAAATGTTTCTTCTAACAGTCCCACAGTATCACCCCTTACCACAAAATCTTCCTTCAGCTTAATCTCTCCCACTCTAGGTTCCCACGCCACCCCTAATCCAGCTCGAAGCAGCCCTGAGAAACATTGCCCATTATCTCTCCATACCATCCCCCGAAATTTTCACCATCCCACCACTTTACCACTACTTCATTTTATTTTTCATATTAATATAAGAAGACAGGAATGTCAGGCCTCTGAGCCCAAGCTAAGCCATCATATCCCTTGTGACCTGCACGTACACATCCAGATGGCTGGTTCCTGCCTTAACTGATGACATTCCACCACATAAGAAATGAAAATGGCCTGTTCCTGCCTTAACTGATGACATTATCTTGTGAAGTTCCTTCTCCTGGCTCATCCTGGCTCAAAAGCTCCCCTACTGAGCACCTTGTGACCCCCCACTCCTGCCCGCTAGAGAACAACCCGCCTTGGACTGTGATTTTCCTTTACCTACCCAAATCTGATAAAACGGCCCCACCCCATCTCCCTTAGCTGACTCTTTTGGGACTCAGCCCACCTGCACCCAGGTGAAATAAACAGCGCTGTTGCTCACACAAAGCCTGTTTGGTGGTCTCTTCACATAGACGCACATGAATATATATGGAAAGAGAGTATTCCAAGCAAAAAAACATAATGAGAGCACATCTTTTGAGGTGATAGTCTGGTCATCAAATTTAAGGAAAAGTAAGGAGAGCTTATAGCTGTAGTAGAAAGTAAGCAAGGAGACCATATTACTAGCTGAGGGCAGGAGGTAACTGGATTCAGGTACAGGGGAAGGGGCAATTTAATACTTTTAAAGAAATTTGATTTTTAGTCTGGAGGAAAATGAAAATGGAAGCCATTGTGATGGTTTTGAGCAGAGAAATGATATGATCCATCTTAAACGCTAAAAGCAGCACTCTGTCTACTGTATTGAGAATAGAATGTCAGAAGAAAAGGGTGAATCCAATTAGAAGGATATGCTGGATGTATGCAAATTATGAGAGAAAAGTAAGAGTCAAGGGTTAGTAATAATCATGATAATAATTGGATATAATAGTACAATAATAATAATTTTTTATGCTTAGCAATTGGATGGAGTTTTCATCAATTGAGATGCGGAAGGTTGCAGGTGAAACCACCTGTTGCTTAGTTTGGGGCATACTGATTTTGAGATGTCCATTAGACATTCAAGTAGGTAGTTAACTAGAGAGGGGTACAAATATGGTATTTAGGATAAAAGCTAGGGCTGGAGATATAAATTTGTGAGTTGTTGCCATATGGGTTATATTTAAATTCATGTGATTGGACAAGATCACCAAAAGCATGAATAGAGAGAGTGAAGAGACCAAAAACAATGTGGGAGTCTTCCCAACTTTAAGAGACTGGGGAGAAGAATAGAATGCTTAAGCAAGATTGAGAAAGAGAAACCAGTGAGAAAGAATGAACATCAAGGCATTGGGTGGTATTAAATGAAAATGAGAAAAGATCTATCAAGGAGGTAGGATTGCTGCTGAGAGTGGCTGTTGATTGGTGGTAAACATGAAGAGAGTAGTGTTGATGGCGTGAGGGAGGCAAAGGCTTGACTTGAGTGGATTTAAAAGACAATGGGAAGAGAGAATTAGAAACTACAAGAATAGGTCATTCCCTCAGAGTTTTTCAACAAATACAACTAAGTAATAAATGGATAAGAGACAGGGAAAGTGGAGCAAGTAAACTTAAGAACTTAGACATATCTATATATTTATGTACATCTATTTCAACGAAAAGGAGAAAGAGAGAAAAATATTAACATAAGAAGAAGAGGGAAGTATTACTGGAGTGATATTCAAAGAATTCAAGGAGTTCCTGGAATGACATCCTTAAACAAGCAAGAGGAAATGGTATCTTTGTAAAAGTGGAGGGATTGGCTTTAGATAGATGGAGATAAGATTAAAGCCCATTGTTTACTGCCCTATACAGTTCCTATTTTATAACATACCCATGAATATCATTGGGTGATTAAACACTTACCGAGGAAACAGAATGTGTTTGTCTATATTATGGATATGGTTTTTATTATGATTGTAAGGATGGAATTGAGAACATTTTGGAAAGTCAGAAAGGAGTAACCTGTTGCCAGCAATGGCAAAGTGGGCATTAAAACTGATTCTATACCCTTTGAATTGTTTATATCTTCATATTAATTTCTTATTCACATGACCACTAAATGCAAAAGGGTCTTGAAGCTAATTTAACATTGCCTTAATCCATGGATTATATTCCATTCTCAAGTCACCACTAATTGAGGTTGGACTGTCAAAAGAGCATTGAATTAAGCTCCAAACATCTAGAATTAGCAACTTTTTAAGAATGAGAATATGTTATTGAATATAGGCCTCAGAATGGTTTCATTGAATGAGGCTGTTCAATTAGCTATCATGTGGTGGAGACATTCCCTTGGCATTTAATCGTTTTTCTTTCTTCCAATTTTTTTTCATTCTAGTATTCTGTCCCTCTACTCTCCTACTATAAGCCATTCATGAAAACATGGTCAATTTAATTTTCCTAAATTAGCAGAAGCTCTTTCATGTCACTATTTGTTTGTTTAAGGCATTTAAAAGTTCACCATTTCTTAGAGAATTAAATTCCAATTGCCTTGATTTGGTAGCCTTTGTCATCTTCACTATCACTTAATCCAAGCTGCCAGTTTATCTTGTTGTGATAGCCTGAAAATTATTCCATCTTGTGCACATCATATACCACTGTACAATCCATTTTTACATTTACCACTGTCTCCATTATCTATATTATATTTATGCTGCCTAACATAACCACAAATCCTAGTGGCTTAAAATATTAAATATTTATTTAGTTCACAAATCTGTGGATTAATTGGGCAGCCTTCTGGGACTCACCTGAGGAATTCTGCTGATGTGAAGAGAGGGCTTAGCAGGATTTACTTACCATTTATAAATGAGCTAGACTGCTTGGCTGATCTTGGCTGGGCTCTCCCAGGTGTGTGGCTAGTGGCTGGGTAAACTGGAAGGGGCTGAGTTGATAAAAATGCTCTGCTCCACATTTTCTCATTCAGCAGGGTAGCCCCATGCAGATTCTTCTGGTGGAGGAAAAGAAAGTAGCAGCCTGGATGTGCTTTTCTGAGTCTCTGCCTGGGTCTGGTTTGTTACTGCTCTACTGGCCAAAGAAAGTCACATGGCAAGTGGAGTCATTATGGTAAAGCACTAGAAAAAGGGCATGGATTTATAAAGGTGTGATAAATTGGGGTCATTAATGCAATGAAACTACTAAAAACACCTATTTTTTTTTTTTTTTTTTTTTTGAGATAAGGCCTCACTCTTGTCACCCAGGCTGGAGTGCAGTGGTGCAGTCATGGCTCACTGCACTCTTGACCTCTCCTGGGGCTTAGTCTATCCTTCAGCCTCAGCCTCTGAGTAGCTGGGACCACAGGCCAGCACCACCATACCTGACTGATTTTTGTATTTTTTGTAGAGATGGGCTTTCTCCATGTTGCCTAGGCAGGTCTTAAACTCCTGGGCTTTAGCCATCCACTCACCTTGGCCTCCCAAAGTGTTGGGACTACAGGTGTGAGCCATTGTACCTGGCCCTAACTTCTTAATATGTGCTAATATAGTCTCTGGTTCAAAGCCCCATCTCACACAGTTTTTCCCCCTAGCTGTTGAGACATCATTTTCTTTGGCCCATTTATTTAGCCTGATTCCTATTTGTCCTTTATTTCAGCTCAAATATCAGTTTGTGTAGGAAACTCTGATTTACCAGGCTAGTTCAGAAGCTTTTCTCATAACCCTTCATAGAATCATGTTCTTGTCACAGAGCACTTGACTTGGGTTTAATTATAGTGTAATTATTTGATTAATTTCTGTGTTCCCACTCCACTAATACCTCTCTAAGAACAAGAACTTTGACATCTCTTTGTAGCACCTAGTATCCAGTATTATGCGTGGCCCATAAGAAATGTTTAATAAATGTTTATTGAATGATATTACTTTGAATTTTCCTGGTTATTCTTTCTCTTTTCATTTTCCTTTTCTTGAGAAATCTTATCTATTCTGTAAAATTTATTAACAAATTTTTAATGGGAAACTGTCATCTATCTTTCCATGTACCTAATACGTTCACTATTTTCCTTTCTTGTTTGCCTTTTCTCTTAGACCCTCAGTTAGACATTTTTCCTAAGTTCCTGGTCTCTCAGCAGTTGTTTCCTTTGTTAAATAGCAAAATTGAAATAGGAAATTATTAATAGTTGTCATTTCTCTGGCCACACCCTCCTCATTCTATTTTGGTCTTTGAAAAGGGAGCAATAACATACAAATTAATCCTGTGAATTAGAGATATGCTACCATGTCTTCCCTAGAGAGATGTCTACTCTAGTAATGGAACATTAGACTTAGAATCTGGAGATGTGGTGTAAATGACCTGTTGGTCCCTGCCTGGGTCATTTTTACCTCTTTAGGTTCAGTCCTATTATAACATTTAGAGAAGACATAATGTCAGATGAAGTCTAATACTCTCACTAACTTTAAGAAAAATTTTCAAGCAGTGTTTTGGTGATCTCGTATCACATTTCCTCTGTGTTCTTCCTTAAATGGCTGCATATTTCTCTGATTAAACTTACTCTGCTATGTTGCATAAAATGCCTGGCTTCCAGATTCAATCATGATTTCTTTTTATCATTAAGAACCCTGTCTTCTTCCTGGTGCTTGGCACAATTAATTGCTGAAAATTTTTAAGCTCAGTGAAGACTTCCATCCAATTCTCATTTATGCTTGTACACTTCAGGGCACATATTTTCAGAGAACTCCCTTGTGCAGAGGCTATTGCCTTAGGTATAAGTTAGACACATTGGAGACTGCAACTGGGAGCTGTTAACTCTCATTCATTAGTCCTTCCTTGAACGTGATAAAGTTATATTGAATAGGTGTCTTGACATGCTACTTTGAGAAAGGAATGCAAATGTAAAATGCAAAAATATAAAGAGCATTTTGAATTTATAAATTTGTCTTTTGGAATCACATACCTTGGAAAGAATGCTCTGAAAATCAAATTTCCTAATATTTAGCATATACTAAAGTGATGGGGAGAATGTTAATATCAGATTGTGAGAGTTCCAATTATTGAAGCCATCCACCAATAACTCTACTGAAGTAATGTCAAGGAATCCCAAGGGTGTGCCAGTGAAAAAAGAGTTTATTATGGAAAAACTAATGGGCCGTTTTCTGTAGCTGCTCCTGCTGGTGCTACTATGATGGGTAACATACACCAAGTAAAATATCCTTCTCATATGTTTAACCACACATTTTCACCCCAGGGAAATAGAATGGGCTTCATCTCTGTTAAATGTGTTTGGTTGCTTTGGGATATTCTCTCTCCTTGTGTTTTTTTCTATCGCTGTTTTATTTTTAATAAAAATATTTTATAGCATTCATGCAAAAAACAATTCAATAGTATCTTTTTTTTTCATAAATAACTTATGTTAGGAATAGAGTTAAATGGCTCTCCTGTGACCTCCATCTTGTTATGATCCATAGGTCCTTACAATTTTGCCTTCAGGGTGTTATGTTAGGATAATGAATCCAATGCTTACCGTGGTTAGATGGCCAGTTCTGGTGGTGCAAGCTGAGTGTGCACTGTCTTTTAACTTGTTCCCAAAAAAAGGTGTTTGATGATAGCCAGTCTTTGCTGCATGCATGGGAAGTTATGCTGGTTTGGAAAAGCTTAAACTTTTGCATGTGTTCTCCGTTAGCCATACTTCTATGTTAAGAAAATAATTTCTTCAGGAGTCCATCTTAGCCTTGATTTTTCAAGGATAATAAAGAGTTAAGAAATCTGAATCTCTTAGACCCTGAAAATGAATATTATTTTCCTAAACATATTGCACAGATTTTTGCAGATATGTGTGGTGAGGGGAATGTATCACAATAGAAAGCACGGGCATTTGTAATTCTGCAGAGAATGAATTAGAACATCAAATCTCTACTGAAGCTATTTCTATTCCATTCTGTGCCTGTTTCACAGACTGTCCCAATTCTCTAAAGAACAATCAATGAGTCTACTTTAACATATAAAATTATGGAACCTGGGTCCCATTTTGTAAAAGAAAAAAATAACTTTATAAAGATCCGTGTTTTCTTTGGAGAAAAAGGACAAATGCATCATTTCCACTTCCAAGTTACTTCATCATGACAAATGTAATTCCAGTCCTTGCCCCTGCAGGGTTAGCAGCTGACTAGACTAATATAACACATAAAACCCATAAAATTTATTGCAGATAAATTTTAAACAAACTTTCCAGTAGAGAACTTTGACAATTGTCCCAAATGCATTAGAACTCAGATGTTCTAGAATATCATTTGAAATCAAGATTGATAGGTATGTTATTTATAACTCATTCTCCTTAAGAATTTTAATTTGTGTAAAGTATTTCACTCTCAAGTTCAGCCAATACAGAATTCAGGAGTCATTTGGCTTTGCAGTGTTGATTCCATTTTTTTTTTCCTACAGTTCTTTCATGGTTGCTTCCATGTTCAATTCCATAAAGTTTTTACTTATGGTATATTTCCCTGGCTTAATTCTCCTTTCTGTCTCCATGGATCACGGTGTTTGACAGAATTGCAGAAGAGAAAAAGACTCACCACCAGATTTTCCACTCAAACTAAAAGATTAAGTCAAGTTCCAATAGAAAATTCCTTAATCAAAGTTGTCAGCTTTCATATGGTCGCTAACTTTAATACAGTCAAGTGGATATATATATGAAATGTTGTCAAGAGCAAATTTAGGGTCCTGTTACATAGAAAAACACTATGGATCACAGATTATTCTCATTTCTTCCATAGAAGTAAAAATAATATAAATAATAATAAGAACTACGTACCATTTATTATGTGCTAATTATAGCATCATTGTGCTGAGTGCTTCACTCAAGGTGATACTTGGGATTGTTCAGTTATTTACATTTCATGGTAATTCTAAGATATCCTATCCCAGGTCATATAGCCTTTAAGTTGTTTAATGTGGAAATTAATGCCAAATCCATTTCCGTTTTCCATCAAGGCCTGTATTCCTAACCATTCTGCAATACTACTCATCTAAATCATGATGATGCTTTTATCTAATGATAAATGACTTTGGAACTCAGGAGCTTCAAACTTACGATTTCATATGAATCTGTGATGAATCCCCTCTAAGGGTTTCTCTGAATGTAGTCTCTGCCAGGATAGAGGATCAAACTAAGTTGTCTGTACAATATGACAAGTCGATTTGCCCCAGACACTATTGTTAGTGTTCTGAGTATTGAAACAACTTACTCTTCAGGATTGTCCCTGAGTAAAACACAATAGAATAAAATTTAGAATTGGTTCTTTGTAACTTCTATTTTCTGAACTTCTGGTAGATTCATGCCCTAAATCATCAGACAGCTTTATAGTCTAGTCTTCTAGGAGAACTGTGTACCTTTGAAACTGTACCCTCCTGGGGTCCCAAGCCAAAGTAAAAAAGACAGGACTCAGTCTAATACCATCATGATAGTAAATTATGCAACACCTCAATCCCGACACAAAGTTTATAAAGATAAATCTTTTGTTCACCTTCCTATATCTTCTTTAAAGCCTCCGAATTCAGTTCTCTCTACTCACCTAAATAAGCCACATCCAATAAACGGTAGCTGAGTAATTTTCAGGGTAAATGAAAACAATAAAGCTTCAAGTGCATGGAATAATTCCTTATTCCTAGGTCTTATCATGCTCTGGCAAGTTCTAGTCCAGTCATAGTATTAAGAATTATCTCTAAGGTGAGGTACATGCATGTAATCCAAGGTGGATGCAAAATGATCCTCTGAATAATAGTAAGAAAATTTTAGGACTTCTTATTATATTAATTTTACCTCAATCTTTAAAGATTTTATTTTAGGGAAAGTTTCAAAAAATAAATGATATAAAAGTGTAGTGGTACATTTATGTTACATATAAAAATACACAAGTAATAGGCTCAACATATCTGGAGACTCCTGGTCTATACCACAATAATTAAGCTAAAGGAATTCTAGGTAGAAAGTATGCAGCCACTTATTATGATACTACAAATTTATAAATATTGATGCACCAAGTATCCAAAATTATGAAAATACTATATTCTAAAGAGGGGGCTACAACTCCTGATTTTACATACTAATTTTTGATTGGGAAGTAAAAATAATACCTCTAAAGGTAAGGCCTCTAGGTTTTTTTTTTTTTTTGAGATAAGAAAAAATGCAGATTGAGATTTTCCATCTACATAGCTTAAAAAGACAAGGGAGTGGAACAGACTTGTTATACCTTAAAACAGTATTTCCAAGGAGGTACTCTTCAATGCTATTAGGCTTTCTAGAGGAAGAGGGGGGTTTGTTAAACAGGTTTCTTTCCTAGAAGAATTATTAGAGCTCCTAATAGGAGACTCTAATAGGCACTATCTAAGAGGCAGACAAACTTATTTGACCATTGCATCATGTTTTTGAGAAGCACTTCCTCGAATGAACCTGTTTTTGAATGTACTTGGAAAATGCTGACTAAAGTAAATTGCAGTTTTCTGCCTAGGGCCCAAACTTCTACCCATTAAATTAGTGTCCATCCCTGTTCAAGTTAATTCCAGTTTAATTTTTGCCTTACCAAGAGTCAGGGTAGTCTCTCTCTTTTCCCTTCTACCTTAATCCTCTTATATTCAATATATATGTTTTGAGTTCTTTCCATTTATCCAGTACCGTGCTAAGTATAAAGAGAAAATTATAAAAATACATAATCTTTATTCTAGACATTATACACATACTTATTCACAATTATTATAAATCAGAAGTTATAAATAGGTTTCAGAGGGAAACTGTGCTTGGTTTGGTGCATTAGGGAAGCATCCATGAAATGATATTTCTGCTGAGATATGAACGATGAGTTGGAAATGGACATTTGAAAAACAAGGGAGCTCCTAAAATAAAGGAAATAAATATACAAATGCTCTGAGTGTAGGAGAGATTTGTTCATCATCACCATTAGATTAGCAGGGTAGTGTGGTTGGAGCAGAGTGGATGGGATAGAAAGCTTATATGCATGGGGTGGCAGAGTCAAGGAGGAAGCAGATTACACAGGGCCTTGAGAGCCATGTCAGGGCTTTGGGATTTTAATCTAAAGCAAAGAAAATTATGAAAAGGTTTTAAGTAGCAAGTGACAAGATCAGAATTCTCCTTGAAATGATCACTCTGGATATTTTGTAGATGATGAATTGGAAAGAGACAAAAAAAAAAAAAACAGACATTTCCATATCCTTCTAGATAAACCCTGCAAGGACAGGTATATTTTTCCTTCACAAAGATACCCTAAACATTTATGACAGTGCTTGGTACTTGGCAGAAGCCCTACAGATATTTGCTAAACAAAGGAATGAAGGTATGCATCCAGTTAAGACCCTATTTTAGCAATTCAGGTGAAAGGTGTTGGTACATTGTACTTGAAGGTGACAGTGTAGCAATACAATTTTGGTGATTAACCATTGGCTTCACCTCCCATTACTTTCAATATATGTATTTTCATGTGAGGGACTCTTTTGATGGAATATTAGATATTAGCCAGAAATTGACAATATACAGATTTTGGAGACATGAGGAATTACTAGCAGGTCCTGCACATCATAGGCAGCTGCCTACTTTGCCCATGAACTTATATAGCAATGTTTAGGTAACTTTTCAATTCCTCATTTTTAATATATAGTCATATCATGATTCCAAGCTCATTTGAACTTTACATATGTCAAGATTAAAACAACCATAGAACCTGTTAGGAATTTCATTTATTATTTTAAATATATACAGTTTTGAAGACCCAGCTTAATTATTGTTCCGAATAGGTATTTATGTTACCCATAGAATTTACACAAAAAAATAAAATTTTAAATTACGCTCCAAATGAAAATGAGAAAAGTGCTTGTTATAGGTTGAATTGTGACCTTCCAGTTCATATGTTGAAGTCTTAACCCCTCTACCTACAAATGTGACCTTGTATAGAAATAGAATCTTTATAGAATTAATCAAGCTAAAATAAGGGCATTAAGGTGGGTCCCAATCCAACATGACTTGTGTCCATGTAAAAAGGGGAAATTTAGGGACAGCCACATATGCAGGGAGAATGACATGTAAGTATGAAAATCTACAAACCAGAATGACCTAGAACAGATCTTTCCCTCACAGCCCTAAAAAGGAACCGATCCTACCAATCCTTTGATTTCAGACTTTTAGCCTCGAGAACTGAGAGTCATTAAATTTCCAACAGTTTCCAGTACTTTGTTTTGGCAGCCATAGCAAACTAATGTAATGCCTATAAACACCAGCAACTTTATTAAGATTCTATTAACTGTTCTTTATATTCTTTATTCTGGTTGAGTCTGCCAAATTTAGCAACACATGCTGGTTGCTACCCCGGATGGTGATTAGTTCTGTTGTTTATAAAGACAAGCAAATTGTATTTAAATCTTTTAAAGTTGGAAAAAGGTGGAAAGCAGGAATGGCAACTGCAGTTTTAGTCAAGTCCTGTTTCTGACTCTATTATTGTTGGAACTAGAAGGAGTATTTTTTTATTGAGAAGCCATTTGTTTTTCTGTGTGATTATTTAGAATAAATAATATTGGCAAGGCCACTTCAGCTTTAGTTTGAGATGGTGCAAATGTCATATGAATTCTTGGCATTTTGCTTTTCTCAAACATGTTTTCTTCACTTTAATGATGAATACACCTGCTTCATTTTATTTAGAAAGAAGTCATTCTCTTCACTATGACTGAACCACCACTTTTAAATACACAGTCAGTCCTCCATATGTGCTGCTTCTGCATTCTCAGATTCAACCATCAGAAGCTGAAAGATATTTGGGAAAAAAACAATGAAAAATAATACAATTTAAAAAATACAAATGAGGAAACAATACCATATAAGAATTATTTACATAGCATTTACCTTGTTTTAGGTATTATAAGTCATCTAGAGATGATTTAAAGTATATAATAGGATGTGCGTAGGTTATGTGCAAATACTATGCCACTTTATTTCAGAGATTTGAGCATCCACGGATTTTGGTAACCTCAGGGGTTCAGGAGCCAATCTCCTGTGGATATGAAGGGTCAACTGTATATTATAATTAATGGCTGAAATAATGTGAATAAACATTCAAATTTATTTCTTTATATTCTTTTTTGGAATTGAAGGATATAAAAATTAAATAATATTAATACACAAAGATTTAAAGGTATCTTGAATTTAATGTTATTAAATTCTCCAAAGTCTAATGCCATGCAAATCATATTTGTATTTATCCTCAATATTTTTTCTTGACCAGTAGGTTCAATATTTTTAATACTTTTTTCCAGATTTTACACTTTAATTTTAAAAATCATTGTCAATGCAGACACGACAAAAAACTAGTCCCGAAGTTATAGTTCCTCAGCTTCTGAAATATTTGCATATTGGTTTCTTTTTATCATTTTTCAGGGCTTGGAGCTCAGATAAATTCTGCTCTGTCAACACATATTTATAGATTGTTCAGAATCACAGTACATGTGATAAAAATTACAAACAAAACTGAAGATGTAACTCTTACTCTAATAAACAGGGAATGTTTTATAGAATAAATTGAACTTACATTAAAGTCAAAAGAAAGCATGTGTGAATGTGTGCCTGAGTGCGTGTGCACACATGCTAAAGGAACAGCGTGAGCCAAGGCACAGAGTCATAGTGAGTACATTTTAAGTGAAGATAAGTAGACTTGATTGGAACAGAGATTTGATGTTGATGACTTGAGTTACCTTAGATTATGTAGGTAAGGAGTGATTACTGGAGGCCTCAAATGCCAGTAATAGAGATGCTTTCATTATGGGTTGAATTGTGACCTCCCAGTTGTACCTGAGACTGATGAATAACAGGGGCTATTACAGAGGATCTAGAGCCTGGCTTCCCATCCTAGCTCAGCGTTTACTGCTCTTTGCATTCCAAGCTTTTATACTGTTTTATTTTTATAGTGATACAAGAGTGCCAGGAAGGGAAGGGCGTGGTCCCTTTAAATGATATGGAGGGGGGAAGGGAAGTGTTGGGTAGAGGAGGGCCCTGACTAGGGCTCTACCCCCACGGACCTAGGTGAGGACAGGCAGAAATGTTGCATTTACCAAGACCGCTCTGGCCCACCACAACCCCATCCTGGGCCTATAAAAACCTGAGACCCTAGCAAGGCAGAGACAGAAGCTGCTGGATGGCGAGAGGAACACATCGGCGGAAAAAGATAAGTGGCCGGACATTGAGAGGATGTTGAGGGAAGCACACCAATGGAAGAGCACACTGACTGACGCCGGCAGGAGGCCAGGCCGTCCTCTAGCAGGACTAGGTGGAGTTTGGCCTGGGGAAGTCTTAGGAGAGCCAGGGGCCACTGAGCAGCCCAACTCCAGGGGAAAACCATCTCCCTTCTGGCTCCCCCATCGGCTGAGAGCTACTTCCACTCAATAAAACTTTACATTCATTCTCCAAGCCCACGTGTGATCCGATTCTTCCGGTACACCAAGGCAAGAACCCAGGATACAGAAAGCCCTCTGTCCTTGGGATAAGGTAGAGGGTCTAATCTAGCTGGTTAACACAAGCTGCCTATAGACAGCAAACTAAAAGAGTACCCTGTAACACACACCCACTGGGGCTTCAGCTGTAGACACTCACCTCTAGACACTGCCGTGGGGTCAGAGCCCCACAGCTGCCGGTCTGTATGCTCCCCTAGAGGTTTGAGCAGTGAGGCACGGAAGAAGCGAGCCACACCCCCATCACCAGCCCTGTGAGGGAACAAGGGAACTTTCCCATTTCAACAGCATGTATCACCCTATCAGACATTGTAACAAAATCATTTGTTTAAATGGTTTTATTAAAATGTTTAAGTTTTTAATGATCCTTCTCCCCAGGCAAAATGCCAGACTTCCAGGAAAGAATTATTCTGTTCAACTATTACTTCCTCATATTAGGCTGATGCAAAAGTAATTGCGGTTTTGGATCGTGAATTTTAAATCATTATAACTAGGCTCAAACACATCTTCATTAATCAAAATAGGAACCATTACAATCAACACATTTTTACCAATGAAAAATAAGTTTGTTTATTCCTGTAGCATAAAAATCCGTGCTTCAGGATTCAGTGAACTCTTGGAAAGCACTTTTTGCATTCTACTGGTTGTGGAAGTGTTTTCCTTGCAAAAAGTTGTCGAGATGATTGAAGAAGTGGTAGTCGGTTGGCGGGAGGTCAGGTGAATATGGTGGATGAGGCAAAACTTCGTAGCCCAGTTAGTTCAACTTTTGAAGCTTTAGTTGTGTAATGTGCGATCATGCATTGTCGTGGAGAATTGGGCCCTTTCTGTTGACCATTGCTGACTGCAGGGGTTGAAGTTTTCGGTTCATCTCTTTGAATTGCTGAGCATACTTCTCAGATGTAATGGTTTCGCCGGGAGTCAGAAAGCAATAGTGGATCAGACCAGCAGCAGACCACCAAACAGCGAACATGACCTTTTTTTGGTCCAAGTTTGGCTTTGGGAAGTGTTTTGGAGCTTCTTGGTCTAGCCACTGAGCTGGTCATCACCAGTTGTCGTATAAAATCCACATTTCATTGAACGTCACAAACTGATTGAGAAATGATTTGTTGTTGTTGCTTAGAGTAAGAGAAGATGACACTTCAAAATGACAATTTTGTTTTTTATTTTATTTTTTTTTAAATTTTCACTCATCTCATGAGGCATCCACTTATCCAGCTTTTTCACCTTCCCAATTTGCTTCAAATGCTGAAAGACTCTAGAATGCTCAACGCTGAGTTCCTTGGCAACTTCTCACGCAGTTGTAAGAGGATCAGCTTCCATGGTTGCTCTCAGTTGGTCATTGTCAACTTCCTATAGCCAGCCACTGTTTTCCTCGTTTTCAAGGCTCTCCTCTCCTTTGCAAAACTTCTTGAACCACCACTGCACTGTACATTTGTTAGCAGTTCCTGAACCAAATGTGTTGTTGATTTTGCGAGTTGTCTCCACTGCTTTATGACCCATTTTGACCTCAAATAAGAAAATCACTCGAATTTTCTTTTTCTTTAACATCATTTCCATCATCTAAAATAAACACAAAATAAACAACAAGTAATAAGTGATTAGCAAAAAAAATAAAGTGAGAAATGCCCATTAAAATGATGTTTAACAGAACCACATTTATTTAAGAATGTATTCCAATATCAAACGGTAAATTCCAATAATGCAAAAACCACAATATTACTTTTGCACTCATACTTAGAACCATGCCTGGGGCATTATGAAAACCCAATTATTTAATTTTTTTTTTTTTTTTTTTTTTTTTGAGACGAAGTTTCGCTCTTGTTGCCCAGGCTGGAGTGCAGTGGTGCGATCTCAGCTCACCGCAACCTCCACCTCCTGGGTTCAAGCGATTCTCCTGCCTCAGCCTCCTGAGTAGCTGGGATTACAGGCATGCACCACCACGCCCGGCTAATTTTTGCATTTTTAGTAGAGATGGGGTTTCTCCATGTTGATCAGGCTGGTTTCAAACTTCTGACCTCAGGTGATCTGCCTGCCTCAGCCTCCCAAAGAGCCGGGATTACAGGTGTGAGCCACTGTGCCCAGCCTATTTAATGTATTTCTAACTCACTTTCCTTATATTGATATGGCAGTGGTGATGATGATATTAATAAGAATCACAATAATGCCACAGTGGTATGATAAGGCTTATACATAGATCCATCTAGCACAGGGTTTTTCACATAAGTGCTCAATAATTTTTATTTATTTAATTTTTTTTGAGACAGGATCTAGCTGTGTTGCACAGGTTGGAGTGCAATGGCATGATTCTTAGCTCACTGTACCACCTGCCTCCTGGGCTCAAGCAATCCTCTCACCTCAGCCTCCCAAGGAGCTGGGACTACAGGTGCATGCCACCACACCCGGTTAATTTTTTAAGTTTTTTGTAGAGACAAGGTTTCATCATGTTGCCCAGGCTGGTCTCTAACTCCTGAGCTCAAGCAATCTACCTGCCTCAGACTCCCAAAGTGCTTAGATTACAGGCGTGAGCCCCTGTGCCTGGCCTATGCTCAACAAATTTAGATACCTTTTTTCTTGTTGCAGATTCTTGCATTGAGACCAACATAAAAAAAAATTCTAAAGGAAGTCTTGTAGATTGACTTTAGGATGCTGATTATTTTCAAAACAAGTGAGAAACCCGGGGTGTAATGAACACTTAGTTCTAGGCTTCAATAAACAAAACATTTATTTGAAATTAGTCTAAAATAGAAAAGTAAAAAATGGAAAAAGATAATGCATGAATTGCAGTATCCAGCAAATATTAAATAATTTTTTGGGGAAAAAATAGATAGATAGATGATAGATGATAGATACATAGATGATAGATGATTGATAGATAGATAAATAGATAGATGATAGATGATAGATAGATAGAGATATATGTCAGTGAGAACAGGACAAGCTAATCAGAGAAGGCTTCATGGGAGAGGAATGGATTTGAATTTGGGATTGAAAAATGGGCCTGATCTGTCAAATGCCCACAAGAGATCAAGGGAAATGAAGCTGAGAAATAATCAGAATAAAATTGCTAATTTTAGAGTGAGATTTCAGCAATTTGATTGATAGAGAAGATGCGGAATTCAGGTAACACAGGAAGTTGTTGAGTAGGAATCAGTATTTTTGGCTTCTAGTCATGTTTACAACTTCAAAAATGGTAAAAAGAGCATTGCTAAATATGAGTATCCTATCTATAGGTTTTTTTTATATGATACTATTGTTTTTTAAAGATTGACTTTTCAATTTCAAGTTCAGTTATAGAAAAAATAAAACATCTGGAGTTTGGGAACTCCCAGAATGAGATTTTATTCCCTCATTGGTCATGTCTGAAGATTCCAGAGCTTAGAATTCCCTTCATAAACCTTACTTTTCTTAGAGGTAGTTCTACCCACGGACACATTTTCCTAAGTATAATCTCTAAAAGAGTTAGAATTTGTGAGTGAGTTATGCCGAAGTGTTGAGAGTAGCATTTCCCAAGATATGTTCAATGGAGCACTAGTACATAGTCTGTTAATAGCTGTTATATGAAAAAAAAAATTACCCTAGTCAAACATATTTTTGAAATGCAAGTTAAAACAAACTCAGACACTTTCTTTACTGCAGGACTCCTCAGAATCTCTTATTAGTGTGCAACTGTGAATATGAAAGTAGTATTTAGGGTAGCAGTTGTTTTCAAAACACTTTGCCCAAGATATCATTTTTGTCGTGAAACTCACCTTTGGACTTGTTGAGTGGGATGTATTTTATTTAATATTTTCCAGCTCCTTTTATCTCAAATGTTCCATGATATTTTTATGTTATATAATGAGCACAAAAAAAATCACTTAATAATAATAATGATGTATACATACAGGAACTGCCAGTCTTTTTTTCCTCTCCTTCCTGCCTTCCTTCCTTCCTTCCTTCCTTTCTTTCTTCCTTCCCCCTTCCCTCTCTCCCTCCCTTCCTTCTTTCCTTCCTTCCTTCCCTACTTCCTTCCTTCCTCCTCCCACAAGAAAGAATTTGAGGCAAGTCCAGAGTAGAGTGAAAGCAAGTTTATTAGAAAAGTAAAGAAACAAAAGAATGGCTACTCCATAGCAGAGCAGCAGTATGGGCTGATTGACTGAGTATATTTGTAGTTATTTCTTGATTATATGCTAAAAAAGGGGTGGATTATTCATGAATTTTCTGGGAAAGAGACAGACAATTTCCAAAACTGAGGGTTCCTCCTGCTTTTAGACCATACAGGGTAACTTCCGGATGTTGGCATGTAGACTGTCATGGTCTGGTGGGAGTGTCTTTTTGCATGCTAATGCATTGTAATTAGCATAAAGTGAGCAGTGATGATGACCAGAGGTCACTTTCGTTGACATCTTGGTTTTGGGTTTCGGTGGGATTTGGCCATCTTCTTTACCACATCCTCTTTATCAACAGGGTCCTGTGATTAAGAATGCCTGACCTCCTGGGAGTGCAGCCCAGTAGGTCTCAGCCTTATTTTACCCAGCCCCTATTCAAGAGGAGGTCACTCTGGTTTGGACACCTATCTCCTTCCCACCCTTCCTTCCTTCCTTCTTTCCTTCCTTCCTTTTCTTTCCTTCCTTCCTTCCATATTCTCTCTAATTAGGAGACTGTTTCAATGGACTCTTTAATTTTCATTTAAAATAAAGAACTTGTACCAGCGAATTAGATTTCAACTGTAACTATATACTGAAAAAATTATAAAGTAACTCTCAGGAAACATCATTAACAAAATCTGTGGGACTGGGATATCTAAATTTCTTCATTTCCACTTTGTAAGCTCTAGTATTTTGGGGCTCTAAATTTCTTTGAAAACATGTGAGGGTTTGAGGTACTGGCATGCATAAAATTCTTTAGTAAAACAGGAATATTGAATATGCTTTTAACTTTAACACTAAGCATTTCTATGATTGCCTCCCACTTTTTTTTATCGGTATTGACTGCAGTGGATTCATGAGGAGGACATATGTTCTTAGCAAAGACATATAGGACGATTCTGCGTTACATCACCACCACCCACCTTCATTTAAGCTCTGGAAAGAGACAAGCTCTTCCAAATGTTTCCAATTTTTATTCTGCTTTACTCTCACACAGATACTTCTCCGGAATGTTCTTATCTCATCCACCATGATTTCTTTGTCTCTCAGCTTCGTTCCTCTGCCCTTCACAGAAGTTATGTGATCGGCACATCTCACTGCAGCCTCTGGATACACATTCCCCGCATTGTGCCCCTCACCCCTTCTCCTGTTTTTGAGGCAGTTTCCCCAGTGCCCAGAAGCTGTCACCTTGTTTCATACCAAAGTCACTTATGTTTTCCCTGTTTCTGATTCACAGCTTTTACCTACCTTGCAGTGCTTTTCTGGAACATGTTTGGCCTCCCCAGGTTTGTTAAAGCCACAAAGAAACACCAACATTATCTATCTGAATGATTCTGGTTGTTTTTTAAAAAGCCATTCGCTTTGTGAAACCTACCTTTTCAAATTCCAAGGTAAATTGGCGCCTTGGAATCCTGCATTCCTGTGGTCTGAAATGCTTCTTGATATGCAAGTACAGCAGGAAGATGCAGACACAGAAATGCCTGGGCAGAGCTGTGACCAGCTGCTCTGTTCTGTGAGGGAACTTCAACCATAGTTCAGGCGACAAGAAGCCCTTATATGAAATAAGCCCCTCTGCCCTTCCCTTGCTCCTACTGTGTTCCCTAGAAACAAAAATAAAGGACACCTCCTTCCATAAATAGACAACTACTTCAGATGGAGTTAGTCAGATGAAAGTCACAAGATGACTCAAAATGCCTATTTCACAGGCATAAAATACTCTTAGTGATTGAGATATAAAAGAGTCAGCTTTAAGTGTTTCATGAAAATCACTGCAAATACTGTGCATAACAATTTACCAAGAACTCATGAAGCTGCTTGTTTAATAAATGAAGCTCATCTATAGTAAATGGCTTGGTGCAACCAAAGTGGCTCTAATCAAATTGGGGACAGATGAGTTCTGTACATGCAGCTTATTTCATTAATTTACTACTCTTTAGGGTTCATAGGCAATGGCCAATTGATATTATTTGTGACAATGCTAAATAAAATAAGTAAAGGAAAATAAGTTGCATGATGTATTGCAGAGATATATCACACCCCGGCAAATGGGGAACTGAAACCCTCCAGCAGAAGCACTTAGCACACTTCATTTGATTCCCATTCGTCAGTCTCAGTGCCGGTGGCTCAAAAAGAATGCAAAGGTAAATGAACACCAAAATATGATTTACAGTACTGGAAAACAGTCCTACCCAAATAAATCAAGGTTCCACTTCATTTCAGGCATTGGTTTATTCATAATACAGGGCTTTTACAATCAACCCCTGCCAATTGTAAACAAACCGCAACAAAACATACACCTGCACAAAGAGATAGGCATGATACTGTGTGTGCATAGAGAACTAAAGAGGTTTAGAAACAACTGCAGCTATTCGGTGGATTGAAAAAGGAAACGGGCAGCACATTTTAAAAGACCTCGTTGGTTTGAGCAGTAATGTTGTTGCAGTCTGCTTACATGATTAGGACAGGAGAAGCCACATCCACTTTCAGAATATATAGATTAAAAAATGTTCAACCAGACTGTTTCTATACAGAGCTTTGTTAAAACTCCTGGGAAGACTATCATGAAGTTCTGTTCTTATTCAAGATTTTAAGAATTGTGCTGGGTTAGAGATAAAAGACGAGAGAGAGGAATAAGTGAATAGAAGAATCTATTAAATGAGATGTCTTCTAAAATAACTTAATTTCATTTTAATTTTAGGCTCCATAGATTGTAACTGCCACCTTGCTACTGGGGAGATTTTCATCTGATGTAAACCAAAGATAACAAACGAGGAAACTGAAGGGTTTGTGTCATAAACATCTCTCTTCAGCTAAATATAGGTGATTGCATATTGCAAACATAATTCTGTGTTGATTTCTTTTTATTAATAATAAACCTAAAGGAAAAAAAGAAATACTTAGTTGAAAACAAACAAGCAAACAGAAAAAAAAGGAAAACCTTGAAATTACAGTATTTTTAAACTGGAAAGAACTTCCTTATAGATCATTTAGAAGTCTAATTACCAAATTCTGCAAAAATAATCTTAGGATTTAAAAAATATGAGTAAACCCAGGTCACAACATTAGTTAACGACAGAGCCAAACTCCAGCTCAAGGACTTCAAAATCTTTAAAAAGTTTGTGCACAAATATGTTGAAATCTTTATATCCTACAGTTCTTTGTGATATGCAAAATACACAGATAAATGTTTTATGTTCTTACATACCCTGTGTATGTGCACGAGTGCGTGCACACGTGTGTATATCATGGATTTTTTTTATACATATACTTATGTCATGGATTTTTTTTAATTTTAGGTTTTCTGCTTTTCTTATAGACTTACAACAATATTTTATTTGGTTTCATTATAATCAAGCAATTTTTCCAAGAAGCATTTAGTGTGGTTTCCAACACGGAAGTGTCCTCCCTGAGGTTATTGTTGCACTTAAATGGCTTTTGTTTTCCTGCCTTCTTATTTGTGTCCTGAAAAAGACATACTGGACTGACTGGTTGTCTACTTAGTGCCATGTCTCCGAAGGTTGTACATACACTGTGTTTCCTCTAACAAGCCTGCAAAGCAACTGCCTAGAGAAGCATTTAAAACCAAGTGCAAAGTCTTTTTTATAAAATATCTTTCCTGGGATATAATGTAGCACTTTTAGTATTTGTACTGCAGATACTGCTTATATTATTGAAAGTTAGTATTTTATCCCTATTTGCAGAGGTATTACAAATTACCAAACCTATACAACCATGCTGCCTGAAGTTAAGATTATACATTGCTGAGGTTTAAATAGGTGTTTGCCTAAGAGCAGCATTCTCCATAGAAAACAAGTTTTCAGAAGGAAAGCAGAAACAGTTGGGTTTTCATTCTATTACCATTGAAATTGCACTTCTTTTTGTTAATGATTGAATAAATCAGAATTTCAGTGGTTTATTCTCAGCATTTTCTTCTATTTATTCCATCTGTTAGGGGAAAGCACCAGCATCTTGAGAAATAACCCACTTTATAGTCAAAAAGTATAGTCTGCAAATTTAAGCTGTTTATTGTGGGATAAAAATAACCATAAAACAAACAAGCTCTCCTTGAATATTTGTGCCCCTGGTTGGAGAGCTCTTCCATTCTCTTGAAGGCTTTTGGCTATAAAACACCCTGAAAAACAATTTCTCACAGTCCTAGCTCGTATGTAGGAAGCTGTTTCTCTCATTCTGATTAACTTGACTGCAGGTTTGCCTGGGGATTAAATAAACTAGCTAACTTCCAAAACCCTTCCCAGGGAGGGAAGGTCTCTTCTGCCTTTTGTCTATTTCAGTGTCAGCCCTTGACACCCAGGCAGGAAGATGGGGATGGGGTCGGGGAGCGGTGTAACTTGGTGGGAATTGAACACAGAAATAAAACCCAAAAGAACATGGAGGCTTTCTGTAGCACTGCTGGGAAATAGGATTGCAGCCTGCCCCTCCTGGTTCATGTTTTCTCTACCTGTTACAAGTCATTTATTTTTATCACACCTTTAATGAAAGTGACCTATAGAAAGGACTTTTACCTGGGCTATGGTGAACTAAGAAAATAAAAAAGAACTTAGAATTATAGTGTTTTAGTTAGCCATCAAGGAAATAAGAGAAGTTAAGTTTTCATAAGATATTTTTTAAATGAATGTTCTAAACAAAATAATGTAATGTACGAGAGGAAGAAAATCTAGTTTATTGTCTCCAACTGTAATTGATTCACCAAATATGCATTCAACCTTGAGCCATGTGTAAGCTTCACTTCTTTGTCTTTTCAGAGTTCAAATGCTACCATTACTATAAATATCTATACTTCAAGGTTTACAAGTTAGTAACAATATTTTCTATTGACTAACGTTAAATATTCTCCCCAAATTTACAATGTTTAAACCATATCAGTATTTTGAATGACAGAGAGGCTGGCATAACACTTTTGTTTTCTTTCTTCTATTCATCTGATACTAAAGCTTCAGGGGGATTGCTAAGTTTTTCTTCCAAACATTCTTGTAGGTTATTTCCTTGTTTGGCAAGGGAATGAAATTTACCATCACTTGGGAAAATTCTGAAGTCAAGCTGTGAAACTGAACAAAATTTTCATCAGCAAAAATTGAGCTTGAAAAACATGTGTTCCCCCTTTGGTAACAGGAGGATGCAAGGTAGATAGGAAGCAGAATCGCAGAGTTTAAGCCTTCATTATTCTTTCCTGTGTAACCGTTCAGCAGCAAGGAAGAGAAAGAAAAGAATGCCAGCTGCAATGCCCAAAGCAAAATCTTTATGAGACTGAGCGACAGAACTTGGAGAAGCAAACCAGGTGTCCACTCCTTGATCTTAACACACAGCATTTGTATACACAGCAGAAAAGGAAAGACAAGCCAAGAAAGACAGATCCCTGGGGAACATGGAGAAAGAAAGTAGAGTGAGAAATCTTAAGAGGCTGCGGGTCCTCGTAGTGTGTTCACACAGGCATGCTGAACAATAAGTCCAAGATTATATTTTCATAAGGGAAATAGTATAATTGGCTATTTCCTAAAGTCACCTAAGCCCAGGCCAAAGGATACGTTTTCAGGGATAACAATAGCTTAAGTTTTTATAGCACTTTATATTATCTTGTTTGATCTTATCTGATCTGCACAACAAGTCTATAAGATAGGTTACAATTATTCAAGAAGAACTTAATACTAGAGAGGTAAAATCACTTTCCCGTAAGCCAGAATCAGTCTGGCAGTCTGTTGCTATAATTTCTTGTATGATATATTACTGAACCAAGCAGATTTACACTAAAAAGTAAAATTCACAGCCCTATTATTCTCAGAATAAATATGAAAGAGTTATCTACCTTGCAATGAAGGAAACATGTTTTATAAGAATTGATATTATGAACTTAAAGTAAAATATAGAAAATCAGAGTAAGGGCTCTTTCTGGTGACCACACCCTTAGGGTGAGTTTAGTCTATCCTTGTTACATAAATATAATGTAACTTTCACGTTCCATTGCTCAAATGTATCATTCATGACTATCTTATTACTTCTGGTTGCTGACATTAGACTGTAGGCCTTACTCTTATGCGAGAGAGAAAATCAACAATACTGCCATCATTACCATAGAAAATATTTAGTGAGGCCTCAATCTGTGCACCTGTTGTTGTTTTGCAAAGTGGGTTATTAGACGTGGTTCTTGTCCACTGGGATCTTAAAGACAAAGGAAAGGACATACAGACAACTAAACAAGCAATGAGACTTGTACACAGGCACATATGTGCCAGCTCCTATTTGCATATGGAAATCTCGACTTTGTAGATTCAAGTTAATGATGTTTTGCTTTTGTCAATCCATTATGAATTGTCAGCTATTAAAATCTGGCCCCAAGTGGTATCTCAGCACAGTGACTTGCCTGATCCTGCTGTTCTGTTGTGTAGGTTAAGATCTCAACGTTCCTATCAAGCTTCAGGGAATTCTTAGCTTGTAAAGACCTTGCATTCAGGGTCACTGATGTTTCAAGAAACAGCTTAGCCAAACATCAATTTTTTTTCTTCAAATTTTAAAAAGTTACTTTAACAATTAGGAAACCAAATCATCTGCTGGCTTCTCTCAGAAAATAGAATTTAGAGGAACATTATGAATTGAAAATGAAGCTTAAAACACTTTCTATTTTGAGCTCTGATAAACTTGAGACAAAATATAGCTTTCCTTTTTTCAGTTCTCAGCACTATGAGAAGGCTTATTTCTATCTTAGGAATCCTCATATCATTAAAAATATGTTATGCTTCATGGCATCATTTGATGCATAAATATGGATGGGAGTAAGAAAATAGAAAGATTGCCGATCTTCACCTCTAGAAATTTGTTTTTAATATGGTACCTATGCACAACAATGGACTAGGTGCTATACATAATCTCATTTAATATTCACAATTGTTGCATGGAATAGAAACTATTTTACCATACCCCACCCTCCCTTTTACCGATGAGAAAATGCTAAATGAGTTGATCTAGGCTGCACAAAGAGCAAGAATTACCAAGAATGTTCAAACCACAATTTATCTGACTCCAAAGCTCATCTATTTAATCTGTGCCTATCTACTTTATAGAATAATTCTAAAAGGATGCAAGTCTTTAACTTCTTTCTTTCAGAGAAGGTATGCCTTTGTGGTATGCATTGAATATTGAGTACCCTAAGGGAAGAGTGTACCATAAGCCTTTCGTGTCTTCTCAGCCTCATCTCTTCCACCAGTCAGCTGCACCATATAGTCTGTCGTAGGTTCTGGCCAAGCTCACACAGGTGAACCTGACAGTGTCCTTCTTAGGTTCCACAGGGACTCCCTGATGCTGCTGCATGGCACGTCTGTGCCAGTCACACAACTTGGTAGTGTGGGGAAGTTCACGTCCATTAGGTCACGCTTGACAATAGGAGAGCCGGAGCCCACGGAAAAAAAAAAAATCATTTCCATTTTATCTTCCAGGTGAACAATTCTGAAATACATTTCATAAGCCTCCTTAGAAAGTCTGGCAGGATGGAACACCATTTGCCTATAGTGGTGGCCGATGCATTCATTTTTGGTTTGGCTTTCCCTCCTGCGTTTCATTCTCTCTCATTCCTGTCCCTTGGGTTCCTGTCCCTAATGGTCTGCATGCAAGCTCTTTTTCTAGGTTATGCATTCAGAGTACTTCAAGCTAAGACACAGGTAATTTGTTTTATTAATTATTATATGCCCATCTTCTAGTAATGTATCTGACAGAGTATATATATAATCAATGATGATAAAACTGAAATTTTTTCTTATATTTTTACATTGCCTAAAATGTGCTTGGGGTAAAGGGAGTTAAGAAATTGTTATTTTTTTCACATTTGAGAAACTGTAATGATGCTTAGTTGTTGCCATGGATGTGTTGCCTTGGAAGCTGAGGAATTGGACAGGGTTGAATCCATTCTGGTCATTTCTAGGGGTGTTAAATGGGCACACACATCCAGAAAAAGTAACTTCTAATTCCCTTGATGCCAAGATCAATGTAATCAGTGCTATTATTTTCTAATTGTAAAAGCCATATTCCTATTACTGAAATTTGTAATACAATTTTTATCACTCATTCCTTTTTCCCCCTAGTGCAAAGTGAATACCGTAGTAAATTCCTTGCTTTTTCAGATATGGGTAATTATTTTTAAGCAACAGGATAGCTCATACTCTAAATTGAAATAAGCCCATCTTATTGATTCATATCCAATTTGTCATCAGATAGATATCAGCCTTTAAAAATAGAATCATAACTAGGATTAATTAAAACAATTTAAGAAGGTCTTGTAAGGGAAGCCAAACAGTGAAAAACGGTTGAAATTGAACCCCTTCTCTCTGTTACTTTCTGATCAATGTTTTCAACGCCCGTGGGCTTTCTGGCAATAAGTGTTCTGGTGTCAAGGATTACAACTGGGATCCCTTCAAGAGCAATAAATTCACTTAAAATATATAAATATGTTTCACTTACCACTGACCTGGAGGTGAAAAGTTCTATATCAAATTACTCACAGCCTGAGATACCCATTCTCCTATTCTGATTCTAATTAAAAAGGGCTGAGAAACAAGCTATGTAAGAAAGTTCATTTATAGTACAGTAAAAAAGTAAGGAAGATTTACTAAGTGTTACTTGCCACACAAAGCTGCAACTACAGCAAACCAGGAGGAAAGGAGACTTCAATGTTTCTTCCAAATAGAACATGCTTTTCCAATTAAAAAAAAAATTCACCACCATAATCCAAGAACTTGTCACTTCATGTCGATCTTTTGTGAAAGCTTTCTAATTGGATTCCCTGAGTCTTGGAGTTTCCTTCATGGGTTTTCACACTGCTGGAGTAACCATTATGAACATTGTGATGCACATGATATTCCTATGCCCTCAAATTGGCAGGGATCCACCATTGCCCAGGTTAGATCATTCAAAGTTTTTCGTCGAAGCATTCTAGCTATCTTCCAAACTTCCATCTCACAACTGATATGGCTGCCAGGAGAGGCAAAAACAAATTCTTCACAGGCAGTGAAATGCCTTCTAAGTGCATTGTGGCGTGATGGTCAATCTCATTTCATTTATTTTCCTGGTCTACTGGCAAGTGTGAGGCCAGGAAACATCTTTCATACTGTCTTTTTTACAGACACCAGGCACTCAAACAATCTTTTATTAATTGAATGAGAATTGTATCCCGTTCAATTGGGTATTGTTTAGATGCTGTCCTACATATTTTACCTTTAATATACTGTAGGTTCGATGAACAAACTAAAATATTTCAAATTTAATTACCCTGAGAAACTACAATAATTAGGGACAAATGGAGAAACTGAGGGCTGATTCCGCTCTCACTTAAGGCCACACTTATGATTGTGCGGGTGATACACTTCAAAACTCTAGAAGCCTCAGCTACATTATAGTGGATGTGAATAATGCCCCCTGCCCTCAGAAGGGTTTCAGGCAACACTTGCTGAGCCATACCTGGCAGCCATGCTGACCTTTACTAGCCTTGTAGATTTGGACAAGCTCTTTAACCTCCTAATTTATGAATAGGGGACAGTGTACTTCTTTAAAGGATTGTTGAGGATAAAATTATGTATTATTTCTTCCTAGCATTGTTTACAATTATGAATTTGGTTAGTGTCTAACACTGGAATATGTACCTTTCATGAATGTAGGGAGCATGTCTATTTTTGCTTATCACAAGAGTGCACTTTTTTGTAATGTGCCAGCTGTTGAAAAATATTGGTTAAGGAATGAATAAATGTCAATTAAGTTATGCAGAGTACCTGGCACATAACTGGAGCTAAGTAAATGTTGGTGCCTTCTTATCCCCCTTCTATTGTAATTAAAGATAAAAAATTTCTAGGGAGATATCAACAGCATTAAAATTGTTTACCACTTAAATCTATCTATATGCTTCTTTAGCATTCTAAGAAAATAAGAATATAGGATTAAATATCTCAATGATCAAAACAAGAAGTGCTAAACCTTCAAAGCATTGTCTCTGGAATTGATTAGATCTGATTTTGCGACCATGCTCCTATCGAAGTAACTGAGCAAGTCCGAATTCTTTTGTAATTAATAACACCTGTAGCCATTAGCTACCTTACAAGTTGATGTAAGAATAAATACAACATTTTGCCACTGTGACAGAGGTTTCCAAATGTGGCTTCATAGAACTCCAAGGACTTGAAGCCAAGTAATATAAGCAACAATATCACCAATATTTTATTTTATTTACTTTTTTTATTTTTATATTTATTTATTTATTTATTTAATTTATTTATTTATTTTTTTTTTGAGACAGAGTCTCTCCTGTGGCCCAGGCTGGAGTGCAGTGGTGCAATCTTGGCTCACTGTAAGCTCTGCCTCTTGGGTTCACGCCATTCTCCTGCCTCAGCCTCCTCAGTAGCTGGGACTACAGGCGCCCACCACCACTCCAGGCTAGTTTTTTGTATTTTTTTAGTAGAGTCGGGGTTTCACTGTGTTAGCCAGGATGGTAGGATGGTGTCCATCTCCTGACCTTGTAATCCGCCCACCTTGGCCTCCCAAAGTGCTGGGATTACAGGTGTGAGCCACCGCGCCCGGCCACCAATATTTTTAAAAGGCTTTTATGTTTCCCCACTTTATTAAAAAACAAAGCAAGGCAAAATACAACAGAAAAAACACATGAATAACATGCATTCATATAATTTTTATATATTTCCTCTTCAAAGTTTTTTTCTCCTTCAATCTTTGTTGCTTTTTATTACTTATCTACAATATATAAATTCTGGGATAGTAACTAATGTATGGTAAGATAATATATCTAGTTAATAAAATCAGATATATTGACGTCTCCTTTTACAGCATGATGACCTTAATGCTTTTCCATCACCTGAACAGGTTGAGAAGCATTGCTCTACCAAAATGAACCACGTGTTTATAATTGCAATTACCAATGCCCTTTATTTTGAATATACAACTAGCCAGGTTATTCAGAGAGTAAGCTCATGAAGATTATGATCAGGTTAAAGAGACAAACCATGTAATACACAAGATAAATACCCAACAGTAAAATCAGTGATATTAAATATGCCTGAGCTGCAGGGAATTCTATCAGAATTTAGCAAAATGAGATAGCATGGTAGGGCAGGGTAACCAGGAAAGCTTTGAAGTTTGCTAAGAAGTTAGAAGAGCAAGGGAAGGTAGTTCAGCTGAGGGGAACAGCAAGACCCACCATTTTGAATTATCAAGGATCTTTTCAGCTTCTTAATGTTCAAAGGGCTTTTTCTTTCCCGGTGGTGTATTCTATTCATGTGAGATATTCAAGTTTTTGGTGTATGTAGATTTTTCCCTTCATTACTGTATAGTGCAAGTTTTGTGAAGGCAGTATCTTTTTTAAAATTTATTTTTCTCTCCTACAAGCTAACCTCATGTCTCAAAATAGTGACCAACTGATGATAAATCTAGAATTGTATGAAAGTTAAATCTCAGGCTTAAAAATGAAGATTATTGTTTGCAGTTCTGCTTTAAATATTTACCTGTGTAAGTTTAGACAAATTATCTAACTTCTATGAGCCTCAGTTTTTTAAAGCTATACAATAAGGATAATAGAACCAACCTCATAAAATTATTGATGCACATAAAGTGCTTAGCAGTTTGGTACAAGGTAGCTATTTTTTCATTATTTAAATGAAATTTTAAAGGAGTGCATTAACAAATAGATGCATAAAATATATAGAAATTAATAATAAAAAGAATGACTACTTTATCCATTAAATGATAAAAATGACAAAACCTGGTAAAAATACTCAGTATATCTCCTAAAAAAGAAATCAGATGGCAAGAACTTCAACAATTACTCATATAAACAAGGCAGAGAAAAAGATATCAAAATAACCAATGTTAAATACATTTACTATGATTTTGTAAAATAATTTTACAAGACAAAAATATCATAGGAAAATAGCATTGACCTAGGGGATGGGGAGAAAAGCAGATCAGAAAATGTTGAGTAAGATAATAGAATAGGCAAAATGGTAGAATAATACTCAAGAGGGTTTTCAATTTCCCTTAGACAGGAGCGATAATGGAATTGCAAAGGCAAAGCATATGATGCTGGAGGTGGTAGAGAGCTGTCTTTTTCTTGCATTTATGGAGCAGCCAGTAAGTTTAGAGGCTATTTTGGAGTAAGCCCTAAGACTTAGACCAACTATGATGAATGAGACTGAATTGAGCAAACAACTAAGGCTTAATGCTCACCATATCAATTCTTGGCTGGCGAAGCCAGGCTTTTAAAGATTTTAGATTTTTTTTTTAAACTAGACTTTTGAAGAGATATGTAAGACCAAATGTGATTGAAATAAGTGTCTGTCAACAAAATTCAGCACTGGAAATGTGTGAAGTTTTTAAGGATCACTGGAAAGGGTTATATCAGCGTACTCTCCTACCAACCCTTTCCCCTTCTTGCATTTTGGTTTAAATTAAATGGAAGTTACACAATGGGAAATCAATATTTTGTTGTTCCAAACACTGCATTCACCTTGGGGGCACAACATTCATGTAATTCTAGTGGGAAATACTTTTGAAGGGGAGTTGAGAACAGCTAGAAAAATGTTGAGACTGATCAAAAAGAGTAACCTCCTAGTACAGTGTTGTCTTTCTAAGTGAAAGTCAAAAAATTTGAAAAACAGAGGCTCTTATTGAAACTGACACTATATGGCTTTAATTTATGTCTTAAGCCTGAGAGAATTTCTTCCTTAAAGCCGTAAATGCACACAAGACTTATAAGAATGAAACATTTTAATAGGAAGCTGTATTCCAGTCTGCAGGTCAAATTCCAGGTGTTACCCAAAGTCATTGACTAATTCCCCTTCACCATCCCAGTGTGGTTACGCTTCCAGAGCTTCCCCAGGCATTGCTGAAAAACAAAGATATGTATAAAATAGGTTAGAGTATTCAGTTTCTAAAATAGCAATCAGGTCCAGGGATACCATCTTCAAATGGTTTAAATAATTCTGTTAAGGCATCCATTTCCAAAATATTTTTTATTTATTTGTTCATGTTTTCATTTTTTCAATCAATCCACAGTTATTTCTTGAGTGATTTCTATATCTTTATTACTATCATCAGACTATACCCAAAATTTCACACAGAAACACATTGCTTTGAATCCTGTTTAATTTTCAATAGCCCCCTCTGAAAATGAAATGTCTATGAAAGAGCATATTATTAGTAGATACTTGTCATTCATAATAGCTTGTCCTGAGTGAGTAGACAAAGAAGCAAAGCCTTTCTTTAAGCATTTATGCTCAACTATGACTGCATAGGATGGATTTTTGGATAAGATATTATGATTAGATGGTTGGATACCAAGAAGATTGCCAAATGTTATTATTTGTTCATGGGTGCTGAGATTCATGATTACTCCTAGGCTAGCTAAAGCCTCAATTTGCAAAGGTGAAACAAACAACTGAGAAACCCAACTCCTGTAGTTAGCTCTGTAAAACTACATAAAGAAGATGAAACATCAAGAGAGAGGTAGATGATCAAGTGCCAAATACAAAATTGTTCACTTTAACATTTTACTTGGAGTTTGCTCCTATCAAGATCTTTAAGAATGAAAACTTGTGGAAAAAATAAGCAAAATCCTTCCTACATGTTATTTCATTTAGATCCTGTAATATCTCTATGAGGTTGGTACCAGTACTAGATCCATGGAAATTTAATGATGAAGACCTGAACTCCAAGTACTTAAAACTTGATCAAACTTCCAACTTTCTATCTATCACTGGATTCCAAAGTCTCTATGGGCAAAGTACACTACAAGCCAAGGCACACATTTTATTTATGGCTCAAGTATCTGCCCCATATCTGTGCTTAGCATACTGTGTGGGGGCTGAGCTGAGTCATATAACGTTCTTGAAGACCCATCTCCCTTTTACAAGGACTAGTCTTAATGCTGCCTTGAAAATTCTGCCCCATATGTTCTTTATTTGACTTCATCTAGTTTCTATTTCTGATACATGGGTGAGAAGTGATTCCAAATCCTAACATCTGACCTGGCCACATAAGCCACGACAAATATAGAAGTGGAAAACAAAAGAGGTTATAAGGACCTGTTATAATTACCTCATCTCATAAAAATCTTCCCACATCAGCATAGCAGTGTGTATTTTAAGAATTCTAATTTGTCTTTGTTTTCTTATCAGGGCTCCTTCTTCATAGGCTGGGGGTGTATACAAAGAGGATAATGGCATTAAACCAGCAAGGAAGTGTTGCTCTCCAGGATAGAATGTACGATTAGTAGATGAGAAACTGAGACTCATGGAGGTAAAAATAGCTTGGCTTCAGTTACGCAACTAACCAGTTATTGGTACCATAGACCCTGGTTTGACTGAGCCCAAAGCCTCACTCTTTGCACTATAAAACTTTATAGAAAGGGCTTAGTGGCTACTCTTTGCTAATTTTAAGGGTGAATTTCTAAAGTCTCTTAAGGATAGCATAATGAGATTATTCCATAGCATATGTTAATCTATAGCATTGCTCCACATTCTAGAATTTAGATAATCATAATAGTAATCTGTATAACCTCCAATGTTCAGTACTCATATAATATACCAGTTATTCAAGTAACAGCATTACATGAACTATTTCATTTTAATCCTGGAGGTGAAATATTATTACCTCCCACCATGTCTTAAAGAACACTGAAGTTCAGAGAAAAGAAATAACATATTTAAAGTCCTTTAAGTGTTAGACCCTGGACTGATTCCTGTTCAGGAGCTCTCCTGCATTAATTAGGCACTTTTTAGCCAGTTTGACACACCCCTCTAGTTGATCAGCAGTTTATATGACATTAAAAGGCTTTCAAAAATTCCAAAAAGACTAAAGATCTAAATTACCAAAGACCAAAAAGATCTAAATTACCAAAATTTCTACAAAATTTAGTAAAAGCAAGAGGAGGCAATCTAATAATCAGACTTCCAATTATATACACAAAGCTCATTTCAAGAAAAATAGAAGAGCAAACTTCAAATAGTATTCTACTAATATGGTGTGACTGTGTGTCCCCACCCATATCTCATGTCGAATTGTAATTCCAAGTTGTTGGGGAGGCACCTGGTGAGAGGTGATTGGAGCATGGGGCCAGATTTCCCCCTTGCTGTTTTTGTGATAGTGAGTTCTCATGAAATCTGGTTGTAGCACTTCCCCCTTCTCTTTCTCTCTCTCTCCTGTCACCATGTGAAGATGTGCCTGCTTCCCCTTTGCCTTTCTGTCATGACTGTAAGTTTTCTGAAGCCTCCTTAGCCATGCTTCCTGTATAGCCTGTGAAATTTTTAGTCAATTAAACCTCCTTTCTTCATAAATTACCGAGTCTCAGGTAGCTCTTTATAGCAGTGTGAGAATGGACTGATATATCTGCTATTTGTCACTAGAATATTGGGCACTGTACTATACGTGGGAGAAACAGTGGTGAACAAAGTAAATAATTTCATGAAGTTTTCTGTCAGTGAGATTCAGTGTACACATGTGAAAGACATAAGAATTATGTAACATACCATAGTAATTAAGAAGAATGAAATATATCTATAAATATCAACATGCATAAATTTCAAAAATATGTTGTTTACAACAGAAATGGTATAATATTTCTGTAAATGAAAAACATACACAGTGCAATACTACATTATTATTAATGTAGTTTGTGTGTGTGTGTTTAAGTATTAAGAATGAATTTTAAGTATGTAAATCAAACTCATGATAGTGTTTCTCTTACATCAGTGCTGCAAGCAAATAGGACTAGGAATAGAGATCAAAGTAGCCTCCACACAGAAGAAAACACTGGAAGGAAATGAAATTAAATGTTAATTAATTCTAGGTTGTGGATCATTTTGTTATAGTCTTTGTGATGGTTAATTTTAGGTAGCAAGGTGACTGGATTAAGCGATGCCTAGATAGCCAGTAAAGCATTATATCTGGGTGTGTCTCTAAAGGTGTTTCCAGAAGATATTGGCATTTGAATCAGTGGACTGATTAAGGAAGATCCACCTGTACCTGAAGTGAACAGACACCTGCCAATCAGCTGAGGGCCTAGATAGAACAAAAACACAGAGAAAATGTGGATTTGTACTCTTTTGCCTTTCTTCTTCTGCCCTTGGATATCAGAAATTCAGGTTCTCTGATCTTTGGACTACAGGACTTAAAACAGTGGCCTTCTGCAGTTCCCAGGCCTTTGGTCTCTGACTGAGAATTGTACCATGCCTTTCCCTGGTTCTGAGGCCTTTGGACTTGGACTGAGCCAGACTACCAGCCTATGATGGGACTTGTCAGCCTCCAAAATTGCATGAGTCAATTCTCCTATCAACAGTCATCCCTTGGTATATGTGGAAGTTTCAGGGTCAGCCCTGCATAACTCATATACATATATATATATATATATATATATAAAACATTGGCCCTTTCTATACATGGGTTTCATATCCTGTGAACACTGCATTTTCTTATCTATTTATTTATTTATTGATAGTCTTGCTCTGTTGCCCAGGCAGGAGTACAGTGGCATGACCATAATTCACTACAGCCTTGAACTCCTGGGCTCAAATGATCCTCCTGCTTCAGCCTCCAGATTAGCTGGGACTACAGATGTGTAGTCCCAGCTAAAAATAAAATAATTTCATGTTTTTATTTTTTTGGTGGGGGAGTCTTGCTATATTTCTCAGGCCGGTCTTGAACTCCTGGCCTCAAGTGATCCTCCTGCCTCAGCCTCCCAAGTACCTGAGATTACAGGCATGAACAGATACTGTATTTTTGACCTGCTTTTGGTTGGAAAAAAAATTGTGTATATGGACCAGTGCAGTTCAAACCTATGTTGCTCAAGGGTCTATTATGTGTGTGTGTGTGTGTGTGTGTGTGTGTGTGTGTATGTAACTCTTTCTGCCTCATTTTGTCTCTGTTTCTCATCTGTCTTTGGATAATGCTAACACCATCTTCTTTATCCTTCTGTGTGTGAGTAAATTTTTCTTATTAAATAAATTAGAAAAACGCAGAGTGGAAACACATGACAGTCAGTTTAGGGAAATCTCTGTGGAAAAAGTGATGCTTAATTTAGAACTTACAGGACGATAGTAATTTTCTGAGTATAGAAAAAGGAAGTGTGTTACAGATAAATGACTAGCATGTTCAAAAACCTGGAATGAGAATGATCTTGGTTTGTTTAGAGAATTTCCCCTTCTCTGAATTGCTCTTATACCCCAGATTAGGCTCCAAAATTGAACTAATGGTAGAAGAGAGACAGCAGTAACTTGGCTTGGGAATTCAAGCAGGGAATTGGCTGGAATTCCTAGGAAGATGTCTACTGGGGGCTTAAGAAGCCTGGGAGTGCTTGCCACATGGCCCTGTACTTGGCCACATTCACTACTGAACACCAGTTCAACACAGGGTTCTCTCTGCTGGATGTTACAGGCAAAAACAGCAACTGTGAATAAGAGGGAAGATTTGGGCTATATTCCAGCTGATGTTAACACTACAGCATTTTCTCGACTGTCAGATTTAGGCTGGCAGTATTTCAAAGAATGCTTCTTTCTATACCTAAATACAATTTTGCTGATTCACAGGCAAAAGGATGTGTACATTAAGGTAATTGTTTTATATTTTCTATTTCTTTTTGGAATCTTTCCTTCCATTCACAAATGATGACAAGGGACGTAACTCCCCACAGGACCCTGATTCTTCTTTGCAAAATAATGAATCTGCACTGATAGCTGCCTGGGATCAAGGATGTAGTTTTTGACCTTGAGACAGATCCAAATTGTTGGGTTCACATTCTAGTGCTAACACCCCCGTGTTATAATTCCATTTTTTCAAACTGATTCATATAACTTGAGTGGAGAATGCTTGCTAAGATTTTGAGAAGTGGTTTATAAAAGGGATGGGTATTCGATGTCTTGTAAAATTACTGATTTAAAGAAAAGTCTAATTGCTACAGAGATATTATTGAGACTTAGGAAATCAGTTTTATAGATTTGATATGACCAGCCAGAATCACTTTCCAAAAAAGCAAATTGATAGATTCATTGGTTACTTTTTCCTGGTCTAAGCCAGTAAATATTTTTCTGAGATTTAAAAGTTCACTCCCACTCTTTTATATCATAAGGTATTATATGAATATCAATGGAACTTTGGATTGAGTTCAAAGGCAGGTTCCCAGGAATGAGCCAAATTTACACTAAAAGCAAGGATTTATGCACTTTTTAAATGCCTTAGCAGTACTCAAGAACATTTGAGAGTGGTCATTGTTCCTAGAATGTCCTGTCATGTAGTGAAGTTTAAAGGACAGTAAGCTCTTTGAACACATAGTATTGTGTAAATGGCACGATGAAAGACAGAAGTTAGCCCAAAAATCTGAACTCTGCCACCTCTGGACTTTTTGTCTGCAGTGACTGAAAAGTTCCTAAAACTGAGTCAGCAGAGCGTCTTCACTTAATAGCTGACCATTTCTTAAATATCTCACCAGAAAGTATGTTGTATGGTTGTTGCTGCCAAGAGATCAGAAGTTCCTATCATTCTTGGTATTATAGCTCAAAAAGGGACAAAAGATAAGTGTTATTAAATCCTTCAGAGCTCTACATATTTTCCTAGGTTAAAATTTGTCACTGTAATTTCACTCATTTCTGGTTAAAACATTGAAATATTATACATATCTAAATCATCTTATATTTCTCTTGAGCTCTAGAAAAACATGGTCATCCAGATACTGTAGGAAGGCAGGGAAGAGTGGCTCAACTAAGGGATATGAGCTAGACTGCTTGAATTTTAATCCTGCTGACATCTTTTAATAGCTGTGTGACTTTGGGAAAGTTAGTAAAGCTCTCAAGATTCTTAGTTCTTTACCTATGAAGTAAGGATAATAATAATATATCCTCTTTATCATGTTGTTATGATGATTAAATTATAGTTGAGCTTTAAATGCTGTGGGTTTGAACTGTGTGGGTCCAGTTATATGTGGATTTTCTTCTACCTTGAGACAGTAAGCCCAACCCCTCTTCTCTTCCTCCTCCTCCTCAGCCTCAACATGAAGATGATGAAAATGGAGACCTTCATCGTGATCCACTTCTAATTAATGAATAGTAAGTATATTTTCTCTTCATTGACAACATTTTTCCTCTTACTTTATTGTAAGAATACAATATACGATATATATTGCCATGCAAAATATGTGTTAATTGACTATATTATATTATTGATAGGACTTCTTGAGAACAGTGCGCTATCAGTGGTTAAGTTTTGAGGGAGTCAAAAGTTATATGTGGATTTTTCGGCTGCATAGGGGTCAGTTCTCTTAACCCTGTATTGTTCAAGGGTCAGCTATAGTTACTATTTGCAAAGTACTTAAAACATTGAGCAGGTAGTAATACAAGTGTTTGATTTATAACCTTGCCTTGGATATCTCATTGATATCTGTATATATCTTTACATCTATATATCCAAAATTTACTGCATTGTGTTCCCCTCAAATTGGTCTTTCTCCTATGTTATTTATGCCTCTAAATGACACCTTCACTCCTTAACCTGGTTGCTTAAGTAACACCTCTGATGCCTCGTTTCCTCTCAACTTTTCACCCTTATGTTCTTTTAAAATGTGACTTTGTTTTTCCTCTATCAAGAGGTAGAGTCTATTTCCCTTTCCCTAAATCTTGGCAGGCTCTGTAACTTGCTTAATATAGAGAATAAGGCAGAAGTGGCATTGTATGACTTCTCAGCTTAGACTTTAAGAGGCCTGAAATTGTGCATTTTAATTCTCTTTGAAACATGTCACCATGTAGGGAGGCTTGGGCCGAACTGGGTGATCAGACATCATACACAGAGAAGGAGCAAGAGAGAGATTACACAGAGGAGGAACAAGGTGTGCAGCGGACAGCCAGTGCCAAGACCTCAGACACGTGAGTTGTGGAGTCATGTTGCATTTTCTGGCCTTGGTCAAACTGTCCCAGCTGACACCAGGGAAGCAAAAATGGGAGGATTCCTTTCAACCATGGATGAATTCTTGATCCACAAACTTGTGAGTGATAAAAATAAATTTTATTGTGGGATTAAACCGCTAAGTTTTTGATAGTGTTTATAGGTAACTAAAACAATCACAAAGTGCTCTCTATTATAACCTTTGAGTATCTCTTAAAATTATCTACCTGTTTTCATCTCTGCCATCCCCAAGATTATAACTTCTCTCTCTCATAGGTTATTGCAATGTATCTCAACTAGTATTCTGATTTCTTGTTTTGTTCTTCATTAATCTATTCCTATTACACAATGAGGTGATTTTAAAAAAATTAAAAAATAACTATGTTACTTTTCCTGTTAAAATACTTATTAAAATACCTATACTTAAAATTAAAAAACAATTATGCTACTTTTGCTATTAAAATACTTATGAGGTACCCATACTCCCAAGTATGCCTCATAAAAGCCTTCATAATCTGGCTCCTTATTATATCTTCAGGGTTTTTTGTTTCCTTGTTTGTTTTTACCTTTTTCTTTGTACTCTATGATTTAACCAGGAAGAAGTTCTTAAAAATGTTAGAACCTGTTCTGTAAATGAAATCTTGCTCATCATTCAGTTCTCAGCTCAGAAGTTGCTTTCTCCAGGAAAACACTCCTCATTAGGGAAGACTGACTAGAAGCCCCTTCTGTTTCAGCCTGTACCTCCGTGAGATTACACTTATTAGGATATCCTTCCCCTTCCGCATGGAACTTTGTTTATTTGCCACTTTCTTACTTGATCCTGATAAATTTGAGAGTAACTCTTACTCATGGTTGTAGCCAGTGACTACTAATGAATGGACAGCTAGAAAAGTTCAGTAAACGTTTGTTGAATGTATCAGTGAATAATATTGTGCCACTTTTCAGATGATGTAATGATTTTTCCACAATAATAGAAAAAAATAGCCGTCGATTCTTTTTTAAAACTTGATGGTATGTGTTTGCAAAGAAAGGAAGAGGAGGGTGACAACAGGACCAATCTAAGTTTTCCAGTCTCAGTTCACCCCTGACCTTTGACATGGGAGGTGAACCACTCTGAGCGTGCCCTGTCTCCTCACTGTTAAATTGGCTGTAATAAGCCAGTAATCTCTTGTGTACTGCAGAACATGTGGATATTGCAGCAAGTTAAAATCAAGATGTCAGCAGGACTGTGTTCCTTTCTGGGGTGTGCATGGGAGAATCCATTTCCTTGCCTTTTTCAGTTTCTACAGGGCACACATTTTGGCTTGCAGCCTGTTCCTTCCATCTTCTCATTCAATAATGTTGCAACTCACTGATTATTCTTCTATATCACATCTCCCTCCTTGATTGCAACCAAGAAATGTTCTCTGTTTTAAGGATTCATGTGACTAGATAGGCACACCTAGATAATCCAGAATAATTTCCCCACCCCTGAATCCTCCATATTTACTAAACAGTTTACATTCATTTTCTATTGCTGCCATAACAAATTACCACAACTTTAGTGGTTTAAAGCTACAAATTTGATATCTTATACTTTCATAGGTCAGAAGTCTGACATGGATCTCACGAGGCTAACCTCAAGAGGCTAACAGGGCTGCATTTCTTTCTGGAGGCTCTAAGGGAGAATCTGTTTCCTTACCTTTCCCAGCAGATAGAGGTCTCCCACGTTTCTTGGCTCATGACCCCTTTCCTCCATCTTCAAAGCCAGCAACATCACATCTCCCTGACCTCACTTACACAGTCATTACAGGCGTTCACCGTTCCCAGATGGGAAAGGTTTCTCTGATCTTCAAGACTCATGTGATTAGATTGGGCTCATCTGGATAACCTAGGCTAATCTTATCTTGATGTCTTGTGGGCATAGTAACATCTGCAAAATCCCTTTTGCCATGTAGGGTGACATGTTCACAGGTTCCCCAGATTAGGATGTAAACATTTTGGGGAGTCCATTATTCTGCCTACTAGAGGTATTCTTTCTATTTTCTATGTTACCGCAGGCAGTAGTTTTTCTCTTTGTCTAGTATACAGCTCAGGTTTCCCTTTCCATAGCTTCCAATACCAATTGCCTTGCTGTCCTTCCAGACTCTACTAAAAATCTTCTCAAGGTCCTTTGGGCTTCTACCAGTCACCTGTTGCCAAAGTCATTGTCACCAAATGATTTAGGTTTCTATTACAGCATCTACTGGCTATAAACCAAAGATGCATGCACACACACACACACACACACACACACACACACACACAATCTACCAAATGGATTTAAGTGCTTAAAACAAAATGATTTAAAGAAAATACAGAAGAGTTTATAATCTTTTGATCTAGAAGCCATAAAGGAAATGCTTAATCATTTCAGTGAATAACATTTCAAAAGTCTGTAGAGCAAAGGCAGTTAGAGAGAAGAGAAAACAGAAGAGAGTCTAGGAGAAAATGTTTGCTTGATGGATCCCAAATAATAAATTAAGAATTATATATTGTATTTTATAAATTATCACGTGAGGACAGAGGTCAGAGAACAATAGAAATGTTTAAGAAAGTTACAAAAGTTGGTCAACATTAATACTTGTTAGTAAAATGCTAATTAAAGCAACATTTTAATTGGGACCCTTCAGGTTAGGGACTTTTTTAAAAAAAATCAATAAACATCCGATTTTGAGGAGACCTGGGAGGAATGGATACCTTCTGTTACTGGTGGTAAGAAAGTATATTGCTACAACTTTTTGGAATTAATTAGAAAACGTTAGAATAGTAATATTCTTTTACCAAGAGTTTCACCAAAGACATATAACACAGCGTCGCATAGTTGCATAAGCATGCACACAAATGTAAGTGATTGCTCACACAAGAATGCTCACTGGCAGTGACAACTTCCTCTCTATAACACAGAAATGATTGAAACAGCTTCAATGTCTAACAATCTGAAAATTGTTATATTCATTACAATAAATCCACACAATGGTGTAGTCTGTAGCAATAGAAATTTGGGTGGACCTAGATGTAATGACTAAATGTTTCTATGACATTATTGAATGAAAAAGCTAGTTGCATATTATTACTACTACTGACACTATTCCCACTACTATATTCACTAGATAAAATTTAGTGAGGATTATTTGTTTGGCACTTCCCTACATATGTGTCAACTTTGCTTAATCCTTATAACCACCCAGGTGAGAGACATTATTACTATCTTTATACTACTGAAGAGGAAACCAAACACCAAAGAATTTAAATAAGTTGTCAGGATCACATGACTAGTAGATTTGGAACTGGGATTGAATCCAGGTAATCTGACTACAAAACACACACTTTTTAGTCACCATAGTATTTATTCATTAACACATCAACTACTTCCACGTGTCAGGCACTCTTCTCAGTGATAGAACATAGTAGTAAATAAACCAGACAAAAAAAAAAATCTGCCTAGATGAATCTCGTACTCTAGTGAGAACATGACAACAAAAACATAAAATATATGTTATTTATAAGGTGATAAAAACTCTGAAAACAGATAAGCCATGAGCAAGGATAGGCAGGAAATAGGTATAGGAGAGGAAGTTTCAGTTTTAATAGAGTAATTAGGAAATGTCTTAATAAAAGGAGATGTCTGGATAAGGCCTAAGAGAGGTAAGGAACTAAGCCTCAGAAATATTTTGAGGAAAAACATTCCAGAAAGAGAGTAAACAGCAAATGCAAAGTATAGACATGTATAGGTATGAACTCATGGAAAGTCAAAACAAAGTAAACAAAAATATATTTGGCATTAGTTATATATGTGTATTTAAATACATACAAATATTCTAGAAGAAAGCATATTAAAGCACAAAAAGGAACTGTATTTGTAAAAGAAGTGGGATATGGCAGTTGGGTGTGGTTCGTGTGTGTGTGTGTGTGTATGAGAGAAAGTAAAAGAGATGAGGGGGCCTAGCGTGCTGGCTCACGCCTGTAATCCCAGCACTTTGGGAGACCGAGGCGGGCGGATCACGAGGTCAGGAGATTGAGACCATCCTGGCTAACACGGTGAAACCCCGTCTCTACTAAAAATACAAAAGAATTAGCCGGGCGTGGTGGCGGGCACCTGTAGTCCCGAGGTTGAGGCAGGAGAATGGCGTGAACCCGGGAGGTGGAGCTTGCAGTGAGCCGAGATCGCGCCACTGCACTCCAGCCTGGGCGACAGAGCAAGACTCCGTCTCAAAAAAAAAAAAAAAAAAAAAAAAAAGAGATAAGGGATAGTGAATAAAGGGGGTCTTTTTTACCTTTGTCTTACACACTCTATTTTGTTTTAATGTAGGAATGTGATTGTGTGTTATTGATTTGGGAGAAAATGTTTTGAGAACCTCAACGCACATCATGTATGAGCCAGCATAAGCATTATACTAATTGTGTCATATATATGTACACCAGCACATTTTAAGGTTCATACAGAAACATAATAGTCTTCTTTAACATGTTCTGTAACACTTTTATAAACAGAAAAATCAAATGCATTTACAAATATGAAGATATAGTGCATGCCTTCAAAAAAACAATTGAAATAAGCAGCAAAGGAATCAACTGGAATTGCCCTGAAGAGATTCACGGTTTGCCTTCAGTGAAAATGTAGTAGTTTCCCCAGATCATATATCAAACTTTTAGTTCAATAATTCACCTTGACATAAGCTACTGTACTTAACAGATCTACTATACATTATGCAGGGCAAAAGGGCAGAAGATTAGGAAAATACACACATCTTGAATTATGTGTGAATATGGGCTGATAAGTTTTAAAAAACGCAACTGACAACATGAATCACATTTAGATCAATATGGCTTGCAAACCTGAAGGATAATGCTTAAAATCTAATTATCACTAAAAACTGAATGGATCTAGGGAAAATTGAAATTAAAAAAGAAAAATCTATTAAATGACATATAAGGAATTGTTCATTCTGACATTTATATGTGTATATCTTTTTAGATAGGGTAACAGGAAAAGTGTCTATATAGATATTAGTAGAAAATAAGACATAACGAAAGGGAATTACTGTTTTTTACAGAATGAAATTCCAGGCTAAATGCTAAAATGTCTTTTTTTGTTGTTTTAGGATGTGAGGACTTAAGATGTGACACATACAAATAATATAATTAATTAATTATCTTCAAGATTAATTCTAGACAAATATAAAACAGAACCTAGAAATAAGTACCATAGTAAGAAAATAACCATTTCTACAAATTTATTTAATTTCAAAGAGATCCTGGAAACCAAGAAGCTTCTAACATAATAAAGATATGTTTGAAATACTTAGAGACAGAAACAAACAAAACCCCTTAAACTAGCTTGTTTCTTATAAAGCATGGAGAAACTTCTGAAATATAAAATATAGGAAGCACAAATATAATGGTAACACACAAGAAGAAGAGGGTAGGTGGTTGTGGATGGAGGGGATAAAAGGCCATGCCATTTAGGAATTCTTACAGAAGCTTTTTAACTACACAGGCCAGAGAAATGAAGTATTTTATTTTGTCGCATTTTGAGAGAGTTCCCAGACTTTAAAGACAATTAAAACCCTATTTAGTTTCTTTGTGTGTTGTGTTTTGAGGATAACAAATCCTATAGATGGGTTTACACAGGCAGTTCAAAATGTATGTTTTTAATTGAAATATATTGCTTTGTTCCAGCTCAAATTTAAGGTGACAGGATTAATTCTTGTGAGGCCTAAAACAACATTTTACGATCAGATCTTGGAACAATGAAAAATTCCATGTTATCTTGGCATTAACTGGGAGTTTTTAGATATTATTTTATTTTTATTCAGATAGATCTCTCTTCACTTGACTTGAGGGCAAAGTAGTGTGTTGGCTCTCCACTTATAAACAACACCCTCCTTTGACAAGCAAAGTAATTCAGACCTCCCTACCCATGTGATTATAGGACTCAGTTGGCAGGAAATATAAAATTTGAGGAAAATTATTATTGGGTTCCATGGGCTAAAAGAGCCAAACAGCAGCAATCTACTCTTGCTCCGAAATCATTTCTTTCCTGCTGCAGTCTCCTCCTCATGCTCGTCTGCTCTCCAATCAATCCAAATTGCCCTATTCATGTCATCTCCCTCAGCTGCAGTTCTTAAAAACACATTCTGGCTGCAAGAAGCAGAGTGAATTCATAAGGAGCCTAGTGCCTTCCCCCACAAGCTCTAGGTTGAGGAATAGGCTATTGCTAACTGAGGAGAGACATTTTCCTGGCTTTTTGGGCAAGCGATACTGATCATATTGCTTTCATGGGTAATACAACTTGACGAGTGGGTTTGGTTGGGCTAGGACCAGAATGGGGACCAAGAGAATTTTTTTCCCTAAGTGCATGGAGACAGCATTTTGGCAGTCACACTCCTGTAGCTTCTATTAAGGCACATGCAAGACCTGTTGTCTGTCAGCATTTTTCTGTCCGCAAATGACAGAAACTCACCTCAAAGTCACTTTAGAAAATGGGGTAACAGAAATACCAAATTAAATAAACTGTGGAGCAACCAAACCTGGAGGAAGAAGGAATTGGGGTGGCTTCTGAGACTTCAGGGACTCAGAATTCTCTTTGTCTTTCTGGTCTCTCTGCTTTTTGTTGTATGTTGCCCTTGTCCTCCCAAAACAGCTTTTCACTTGAGCCAGAACTACAGCTACTTAAAGCTCCAGACTTACTCACAACTGCCTAGCATGGCTTCCTGAGAGGGAAAGCTCCTCTTCTATTACTTCTAATTTGGAAAATGTTATGGAAAGTCTCTGATTGACCCAGCCTGAGACCAATCACTGGCTGAGGAGAAGAGTATGTAACAGTTCCCATTCCCACATGTGACAGTATAGTGTGGAATCTGAAGATCAATTCAGATCTCATTAGAGAGGCTTGGCAGACAAAATAATAAATGCCCACTTCAGTCTCACAGTATCCAGCCAGCGAAAGGGCAAATGGGACTAGCACTATCACACCTCTATTCTCTATTTCTTGAAGAGTGCTTTACAATTTTCAAAGTATTATTTTTAAGTGCAGTGTCTCTTGAATTCTCAAATAACCCTGTTAGGTTATTATCACTATTTTCCAAATGTGTAAACTTATATAAAGTACAGTTGTACAAAGAGATTTTGTCATCTTCCCCAAGTAAATGGAAGAAGTATTCAAATCTCAATCTTTCAAGCTCTGACCCCAAGCTCTTTGCATGAACAACATGAGCTAAGGAATGCGTGTTGCTAGTAACCCACTATGTGCTAATGGGAGATCAAGGTATTTTCATTGCTTGTAACTCTTCACAAATACAGAACAACCACGAAACACTAACAATATTTTTCACCAAATATCAAGTCAGGAGAAGGAGAAAGGGAAGGAAAAGGAAAGGTGGAAGAAAAAGAAGAGGAAGGAGAAGAAGAAAAACAAGCAAACAAAATAACCAGCTTAGATTTGCTCAATAATAATAATGATAATAAGCTGTCTAGAGAGGTTACACAACTATTTCACATAAATTATTTCATTAAATGCCACACAGCATAGAAAAGAAAAAAAAATTATTTCTATTTTGCAGATGAGCTTTAGGGAGGTTAAGAAACTTTCTATGAACAGTAAATGCCGGGGTTATTTCTAAATGTCAGGTCATCAACATTTTGCCACAGAGGATATAACCCTGGTTGCTGATCCTTCATTGTTCTTCGAATGTTTTTTTTTTTTTTTTAATTTTACACTAGAATCTCTAGTGTGTGAAAAATCTCAGTGGAGGTTGATGGCAGGACTTCAATGTTAGGTACGTAACAGGACCTCTTGAAATTTAATACAAATGTTTGTGTGTACATGTTTCTGGTGGGAGAGTCCTTAACTTTTACCTGATTACCTAAATTCTGCAACACATACCACAATAATAAACTTACAAACCAGTTTGTTTCCCTTGCTGTAAATTCAGTTCAAGCCAGATGCAGTGGCTCGTGCCTGTAATCCCAACATTTTGGGAAATGAAGTTGGGAAAATCACTTGAAGCCAAGAGTTTGAGACTAGCCTGGGCAACATAGCAGGATCCTGTCTTCCCCCAAAATAAAATAATTAAAAATTACTCTGGTGTGGTGGTGCATGCCTGCAATCCTATTTACTGGAGATGCTGATTGAGGTTGGTAGATGGCTTGAGCCCAGGGGTTTGAGGCTAGAGTGAGCCATGCTTGCACCACTGCACTCCAGCCTGAGCAACAAAGCATGACTGTCTCAAAAACAAACCAAAAATTCAGTTCAGTTAAACACACTTCGATTGAGCACCCACTGTGACCAGCATCATACTTGAGTGCCAAGGGTGCTAGGATCTTTGGTCCTTGTCTTCAAAGGTCACAGCTGACACTCAATGCACAATATCATTTCTTTTGTTTCTTTTATAAATCAGACTGTATCCTGCTGATGATATATATGTCTATATGATTTTATTCTGCCTCCGACCAATCTTATTTTGAAATTCTCCAAACTGCAGCTAAAATATCACTATCTCGGTGCTCAGTGTTTACACAAGTGGGCTGACTCTTCAGTATGCTCCTAGAACACAAATAGCTTTCAACAGATTTTCTGCCTCCCAATAGCTCCTTCTGGCCATATTCACTTTAGATATAGTGTCCATGAAAAACCTGTACATGTGATACACTAGGATTTCAAGTGGGCATCAAGAGCAAGGGTGGGCAGAGATGCACAGTGAGAATAAAGGAGGCCACACGGTGCGTCTGTTGATTGCTACAGAGTGGCAGCAGTGGGCATTGCTGGAAAGAGGTTGGAAGAAAGCTGCCAGCTGCTCCTTACCATCTCAGGATGTCAGGAGGGGTGCCCTCAGTGTTAAGAATGACAGGAGTCATTGAGATGTACAAAGGAGTCAGTGTCTGGGTGGTGGTGAGGTCTAGGAAGAGAGGAGGGCTGCTATCATAGCAGCTTGAAGTCTGATTAAAGTGAAATGCCAAGTGAAGAATTTCTTCAAAAGAAAAGCACAGTAATAGCAATATATCGAAGTTGTTTGGGGCTATTCATTTTCAAAATACAGCCTATTACACAATGAAAAATAGGGCAACCTGATAGAATAGACAGAGGGCCTTTTGAGACAGAAAATATCAATAGATAAGATCATACCTGTAAGTGGAAAAGGGCAAAGGGATTCTGAGCAGCAAGTATTTGAAAAGTACTGTTCCAGCCCTTTCTTTTATAGTTCAATATTGCACCACCACATTCAATACAAAATTCAGTACAGTATTATATTTCAAAGTCTGGCCATATTGAAGTTACCTAAAAGGCAAGGAAGCAAAGTCTTTCATCACCCTCATTGTGAATGTAACAGACTTTCAAAGGAAAACTGCCTCTGTTTCTGATAGTTCATTCCCATTTCACAAAGATGTGTCGGGATCAGCCCGTGTCCCTGCCCTCGCATGCACTGCTTCCCCGACTGAATCTACTTTCCTGCTTTCACGCGCAAGCCTGAGCCTGGACTTCCCCAGGGACTGGAAGTTGCTTCAGTAGAAAATATATTAAGATGCTTCTTTGTTAAGGCAGATGGTTTTCTTCCTGCCGAAGCTGTCTTACTTCTGCTGCCTCATGCCTGTTTCTTCACTCCATAGTTAGGTTTCTTGGCCCTAAGATAGAGCAGAAAGTCAGTTTAAGCCAGACTTGGTGGTGTGCACCTATAGTCCCAGCTACTCAGGAAGCTAAGGCAAGAGGATCCCTTCAGCCCAGGAGTCTCAGTCTGGCCTAGGCAATATAGCAAGACCCTGTCTGTTTAAAAAATGAAGTGTGTATAATAGAGTAGAAAGAGATGGAATTCAGAGTAAAGAAGACAAATTCTAAATCTGGCTACTAATTAGAAAGATGAGTTTGGCCAAGTTACTTAGCATCTCTGAGCCTAGGTCTCTTCTTCTTACAATGGGGGTATTAGTCTGAGCACAGTGCCTGTCAGATCATGGTTTGTTGTTGTTATTGTTGCTTTGGCATGTTTCGCACCGCCACTCCTTGATTTTCTGCTTTCCTTTCAGCTCCAGTGTATTGCCTCATTCACGTCTGCCTACTCGGCTGTTGTCTTACATGTGTTCTTCTGGTTTCATCCACCTGTCCCTTGTGTTGTTCAAACCTATATTTTGTCTACTAAGGAAAGTCAAACTTTGGACAGATCTTTTGATGCTGCCTTGATCACTGCTTTTGTGTGTGTGGTGGCCAAGAATAGAAGCTGCTCAGATCTGCTGCAGGGAGCAGAACTGACTGACAGCCCTAGCCGCTGCCGTGCTGCCTCCACTGCTGCATTCATGCGGAGGCCTTACTTCCTGCAAGCTGCTCCCAACCAGCGACAGAGTATGATGACCACACTGTGATAGCCAATTTTACGAGTAAACTAAACAGATATTTGGTCAAACATTAGTCTAGATACTTCTGTATTGTTAATATGAGATTATCATTTAAATCAGTAGACTCTAAGTAAAGCAGATGATCCTTCATTTCCTCTAGTATTCTTCTAGCAGACGGCCGTCGGACTCAATCTGCAACTCATCCCTGGATCTCCACCTTGCCCTGAAGAGCACATATACCAATTCCTTTACATCTCTCTCTCTCTCTTTCTCTTTATGTGTATAAACATACACACATCCTATTACAGATATGCATGTATATGTGTATATGTGTGTATGTATCACAACCTATGGGTTCTGTTGCCCTGGAGAACCCTAGCTAATATGCCTACAAACAGGCCAATTCTAGCAAAATGTGAACTCCTTCAACACACAATTTTAACTTCAGAACTCCCCACTGGCCCTTGCTGAATCTTTCTGGAAATGTCATTGTTGCCTGTGACTCTTTATACCTGGTATTCCTTCCTCCCTCTCTCCTTCCACATGTGTCAGGTCTGCATCATGATCAGAGTGCACCCCATGTAGGGTGCTCCTATGGCGCACCGCATACAGTGCACTCCTATTCCCTCCACAGATACATCTCCTGTAGTTCTAGTCTGTTTTAGTGTCCATTTCCTGGTAATTTTTTTTTTTTTTTTTTTTTGTTTGAGACGGAGTCTCACTCTTTCGCCCAGGCGGGACTGCAGTGGCGCTATCTCGGCTCACTGCAAGCTCCGCCTCCCAGGTTCATGCCATTCTCCCGCCTCAGCCTCCCAAGTAGCTGGGACTACAGGCGCCCACCACCGCGCCCGGCTAATTTTTTGTATTTGTAGTAGAGACGGGGTTTCACCGTGTTAGCCAGGATGGTCTCCATCTCCTGACCTCATGATCCGTCCTCCTCAGCCTCACAAAGTGCTGGGATTACAGGCGTGAGCCACCGCGCCCGGCCTTCCTGGTAAATTTTAAACTAATGCAATGTGCTTGTTTCTCTGCTCTCAATCTCAATTTTTGTCTCCAGCTTTGTTTCCCACTACTCTTCTACATGGTCCTGAATGAAACTTTTCAAGCACTAAAAAGTTGTTATTCATCTTGGGTGAAGTGCTTATCCTGCCTTTAATGTCAAAGCCAGGACTTGCTAACTTAACCACACTGAATACCTTTCAGATGACCCCAAATGTGCCAGATTCATGCTTGCTTTGGCGTCTGATCCCAACTCCCCCAATCTCCAACCCTCTTCTATCAGAGTTTCACCTTTGAATTTGAATACAAATTTCCCCAGGAGCCCTTTTTCCATCCCTTAGACATGGGTTATATGCTATTCCTCTGTGTTCCTATAACTTCTTGTGCCTTCCATAATATAAGGCTTATTAATCTATATTCTAATTGCTTCTTTACTTCTCTAATTTTCCCTTTCTAGTCTAAACACTTTGAGATAATAAACAGTGCTTTAATTGTTGTCTCTTTAATGAGTGGTTCCATAGGTGCTCAATAAATACTATTAAACAAATGAACTCCAAGTCATGAAAACATCCAGAAAAGATGTTTTTGTATTTCTACGACTTAGTATAAACTGAGTTCTTAAAAATAAGCTCTTAGATGACTGGGTGTATGTGACTTCCAAGAAGGCACTGAAGGTCAACTCCTTGAGTTCTTGTTTATTTCAGGGAGCAAGCCAGGGATAGAGCAGGGAAGGAGTTTAGAAACATTTTCTTTGCCAAAGAAGTAGTGTCTAGTCCCTACTAATAACTGGATTTTAAGCTGCTTGTTAAGAAGATGTGCATAAAAATGTGTAGCAAGGCACCTGACACACAATAGATTTTCAGTACTGACCAATAGCTTTCAACCCTACTTTCCATCCTTCCTTTCCTTTCTCTGATTTCATCTCATCACCTTTCATTGTTGTTTGATAGCTACAGTATGGGCTAAGTAGACATTGCTGGGGGTGAGGGGGCAGACAGTCTTAAGGGAGAAACTCACCTCTTCCATTGCTAAACCTTTCCTACTCCCCCATGCATCACAGCGTGAAATCTGTAAGTACTTACTGAGTACCTTCTAGGAGCAAAGAATATTCCTAGACACTGAAGAGAAAAAGGGAAAGGAGATAAAAATGTTTAAGACAAAAACCTCTGCTTTCTATGAATTTACAACCTAAGGAGGGGGAGACAGACACATAAATTAATTCAAATACAAGAGAGACTGTGAAAACTGCTTTAGAATACATGTTCACACACCGTCTCTAATAGGATCTTATGGAGAAAGTCTAATCTCAGCCCACCCCTGTGAATGTGTAACCCATTTGATACCTTGCTCAGTAGTTGGTATCCAGCTCAATGGCATTCCATGCAGGAAGCTCTTAATGTTAACTATGAATTACATAAGCATTTTCCCTCATTTTCATGTAAATTCCATGTTATCTAATTTCATTGACTTCCTAATATTATAGGCAAAAGTGAATAGAAGTACTCAACTGGCTTTTTTGTTTTAATATTTCATTTTTTTACCCTCTTCTAACAAATTTCCTCTTTCTTTCCTTTCCAAATGAAATAATCCTGGCCTTTTTCATCTCTTCTCATGTGCATCTAATCATTGCACTTACACCTCTGTAGGCCTTTCCTACAGTCTCTTTGCTGTGAACAGATCCTTTATTGAGATGTTCACAATGACTGCTAGACCTTTCTCCTGAAAGATTATAGTTAATCCAAAATCTATCAGTGTTCATTCATAGCTTAAATTATTTCTTATAATATAGAGTACCATTGTTTTGTCTTGGCTCAATTTTATCTGACATCAGATTATTCAACTACCTAAATTTTGTTGGGCCCTTGTGGAGTTCCTCAAAATATTCCCCACTCCCGACTAGCCTAAATAGTTCTCCATCCCCAACACATTTTGCAACCTCATTATTCGGAAGCATTTCCAGATTGATTGGTGTTAACATATACAAGAAACTTGGTTCCAACACCATTCCCTAGTGCACCTTTCTATTAACTTCCTTTCAGACTAACAACATCATTTATTCCAACCTTTTATTTTCATTGTTATCCAGGATTTTTTAGCATCAAGGATTTACAGACAAAATTTTACCTCTCACCTCTTGGGTCCTACAGAAGGCTGAAATGGATTCTAAATGTTTTCTGGTTAGGGGCTTGATCAAAAGCCTTTTGAATGTCTAAATATTTAATGCCCACTACTTCTCTACACTTCAGTATTTTGTTAACTCTTTCAAAAAAATTCCAAATAGATTAGAGAGGCATGATTTATCCAGTCTGAAGCTCACATACTATCCACCTGGGTGTTTTATAACGCTCAGTAATGATTTTATCAGCTATTTTTTTCCCATCCTGCAGGTAACACTCATTGGTAAGTAATCCCCCAGGTAACTCCAAGCTCATTATTTAAAGATGGGCATTCCTGCCTGTTTGTCCAGACAAACAGGCACCTAATGGAAATTCAGGCCAAATAACATAAAACCTGTTTTCTCTCTGACATATCCAACCACTATCCTAAAACATGCTGGGGCATGTCAGAGCAAAAGAAAGTCTTAGTTCAACTATTAAATATACACCATGTACTTTGCCTGCTCTAAAAGGAACATTAAGCTAGATTTAGTTTAGATACAAGGAAAAATTTCCTGACAGGTCTCTTTAGCCCCCAAATGAGTATGGAGGGAGGCTATGAATTCTCTTTTTCCCAGAAATCTCTTAGAGTAACTCTTCATTCTTCAGACACGGCTTCCTAGCAGTCCTTCCGAAGAGGGAAGAATGTAATAACTGCTGGAAGCCACCTTTCCGTTCTATTTTATGATTTTTTTGAACTCAATAGATCTTAGAGGAGAAAAAAGGAGAGCAAACTTGCAGAATATCTCGCAGAGTAAATTGAATGATAGCAGCTGTCAGAAAGTACAAACAAGTTAAAAACTGTATTTAAATTAAAACTGAAGTACCCTCAAGGTGACCCAACTAAATTTGCTGAAAGGATGAGAGGAATTGACAAAACTAATCAACAAAGGTAATCACCTGAATATACACTAAGTGCTCCAGGTGCAGAATTGCAAAAGGACCCTCCACCCAGACACGGGGGGCTCACATGGATAGCAATCAGCGAAACAGACAAACACCTGAAAGAGGAGTGGACACAGAGTAGGAGGAAGACAGGACAAGTGGCAGAAGATTGCTCTTTCTCTTTCCTTTTTTGACTTCTAGTGGTTCAAGTTTATCATAGGAATGATAATTTTATGTTGATAATAGTTGACAATCAGTGAGTAAGGAGTGGCTGTATCAGCGCACTGTGTTCAGGTGGGGAGATGGACGAAGGAACAGAGGCTGAAGGGTGATCTTTCTAGAATATAAATAGAACCTATTTTCTATTATGAAAATAATTTGTTGGCTTCCTATTGATCTGTGAAAAAAGAATAAAATATTAACAGGGTTATCATGTATTTTTTCCAGGCTTAGCTTCACAATTTGTAGGGACCCTTGTTCAAAAAGCAGGGAGAAAAGCACCCTTAATATCAAACTTTGATTTTCTTCCATTTTCTTTCTCCTTACCTGTCAGTGTGGTTTTATATTTGCCATTTACTATAGGGTTTTTCTTAGGCATGGAGACATCTTCCCTCTCGGGCATCTCCCATTCTCATAGTCCTGACTCCCAAACCTGCAGCTGCCAGGCCACACCTAAGGGTTTGCCAACTCTGTGCTGGTACTGGATTGGGGTTGAACGAGAGGCTCATGAGTTACACTGTGCCATGTCCCACCCAAAGAGGCCACTGGGCACTTAACAGACCCCAGTCCTCCCCTCCTCTGGGGCAGAGGATGGCAGTAGTTGCCTGGCAATGGCAGGGAGCCAGAGGCCAGGTAGGACCTGCAGCATCAGAGGGTGGAGAACCTGCAAGAGGTATCTGGGAAGATGAGACCGTGGAGGACCCAAGTCTCCAAGCCTCTCTTTTCCACACACATTCCATTGCTTATTGTCCCACCAACCTCACTTCCAAAACATAATTTAAAGAAAATTTTAGGAATTTCATGACAGTGACACAGGGCATTAAACCCCAAGCTCAGAGCCCATGTGAGGGTGGAAGCCTGCATGACTGTCCAAGTTATCTGCCCATGAAGCCAGCCCTGACTTTTTCATCCAAACCTCAACACATTTGAAAATGGAAGGGTACACTAACCAGATAGGATTCTGAGATGATAGGAGTAAGCAGGCAGAGTTCCATGCATACCAGGGCAGTTTAGCTGCCCCAGAGAATTCCACTGTATGATCATATAATTATTTTTCTAACAATTCTTTGGCTTAATGACATTTATTTAGACTGATCATAACATTTCACTGTTGCAGGCAATATTTCAATAAATATCTTTGGAGGAGTCTGAGTATTTGTTGTAATTTCTCTAGTAGGGTGATTTTCATATTGAGGGACACAATCAGGATCAATTGAGTAATGAAATCAATTAGTGGTATGGGACCAGAGTGGAGTAGATTGGGTTGAAGTAGAGTGACATTGAACAGAATCGTATAGAATGGAATAGGATCAAATAATAGAATAGAATAGAATAGAGTAGAATAGAATAGAATAGAATAGAATAGAATAGAATAGAATAGAATAGAATAGAATAGAATAGAATAGAATAGAATAGAATAGAATCCAATAGAATAGAATAGAATAGAATAATAGAATGATTCTATCAAATGAAATGCAGAAGATTATTTTATTGTGAACTTTTACTTCAGTTATGTGTATGAATATGCATGTATATATTCTGTTTTGCAATGTGAAACAGTTTTTGTTAGCTTATTTTGTTTTGTTCTGCTATGGATTGCTGCAAAAAAAAAAAGTTTGAAAGCACCTTTTCTAGAGTTTATAAGTCAAAGTGGAATTGCCAGGTCATAGGATATATTTGACTTTTGTGGATATTGACAATTTCTCTCAAAGGCAGTTGCTCCAATTTTCCCTCTTTGCATTACGTAAAATGTTCTGATTCGCCACCTGCACTCCAGCAACTAGCATAGTCAAATATTTTTGGCCAACATGATGGATAGGAAATTTCATCTTGTTTAAATGTACATGTTTCTGATGAGTGAACAACTTTACACTTGGTTATCGGTCACACAGTTGTCTCCTTTAAAATTTGTCTGGTAATATTCCTTGCCAATTCCAATTTTTCTCTTGAGTTGTCTGTGAATTATTTTCAAATTTGTACATCCATAAATATACTTAGATATGTTTGTATATATATATTTTTCAAAAAAGCATTTATAAAAATTGTTCATGTTTGTAAGTGGTCCTTTGGAAAAAATAGATATATTTTCTAAATTGAGGTACTGGAATACATACGTAGCCATCAAGCAAGAGTTGTTCACATATCTCTTAATATTTTATCTAAGTGATGTCTCAGTTATGAAATAGCTGTGTTAAAAATGCACCATTGTGACTATGGATTTTAAAGTGTTTCCTTAAATAATTCTGTCAAATGGAGTTTCATTTATTTTTAATTTTTATGTTTGGACACACACAGCGTTAACATTTTTATAGCTTTCTATGATTTTCCCCATTATATTGTTGTGTTAATAATGAACTTTGCTTAATAATAGTTTATAATTTAATGCTCACTTAGTTTCATATATGTAACTATACCACCTTTCATTTGGTTATACTTTTGTGCAGCCCTTTACTGTCAACATTCCTGTGTTCTTACACTTTATGTGTTTCTTGTAAATTGCATCTAGTTTGATTATAGGTTTTTGTCCATCTAATCATATAATTCCTATTTTTAGATAAGTAGATATCATCTATATTATTGTGATTCTTGAAATACTTGGAAATATTACTGCCATCTTCATTTTGAATTTTCTATTTCTCATTCTTATCACTTATTTTCCCTCCTCTATTGCCTTCTAGTAGACAAATCAAATTCCCTTAATCACCTCCCTGTATTCTTCCATTTGGTTTCAAAGTTTTAGATTTATTATTTAATGAATACCTTTACATTTTACCACCTTTACTTAGCTTGATGAAAACTAAGTTAATAAATATTTATATTCTTCTAATCAGTACAAAAAGCTCTCCTTCTTATATTAGGCAAGTTTATTCTACCTTCTTTTATACCTGTCTCAAACTATTAATGATGATTATTAATTTAGAGTGTTTATTTAGATTTCCCAATATGTATACCCTCCTTTTTTTTGTTTGCCATTGTTTCTTTTATTCCATTCATGTCTTCTTGGGTAGTTCTTTCAGTAATCGTCTGTCAGGGATAGAAAACCTTAGCCTTTGTTTTCTTGCAAATATCTTTATTTTATTCTCAAATTTGAGTGATTGCTTTATAAAATTCTATGGTGACAGTTAATTTACTACTGCTGTCTTTTGACATTTATTATTGCTGATGAGAAGTCTGCTGTCAGTCGGCTGACACTTATTCTTTTGGAGATAAACTATTTTTCTTCTCTAGTAATTTTTAATGTAGTCTCTATGTTCATGAGTTGATGATGTTTTAGCATGAGGTATCTGAGTTTATGTTTCTTGTTCCTTTTTCTTTTGATTCAGTGTGCTTCTAAAATGTGAAGACTCATATCATTTTCAATGCTAAAAAATTCTTATTTTTTGTTTGAATAGATTTTACCTCCATTTACTTTATTTTCCTCTTCTGGGACCTTTAAAAATATGTATAGTGGCTTTTCACCCAATGATCTATATATATTGATATTATTTTTACATTTCTTTACTTTTCTGTGCTGCCTTCTAGATAATTTCTTCATATTTATAGTTTTTGGTTCATTAGTTATATATTCAAAGGTATATATAATCCTGTTCAGTTGCTTTTTAATTTCTATTACTATATTTTTTATTTTCAGAAGATCTGATTATTTTATCTAATACCTTGTCATTTTTTATATAGTACATTTCATCTTCATGATTTTATTTTCTTGAAAAATATCTTTAATCATGTTAAACACACCTATTTTGCTGTCATTCAAATTATTCTTTTTTCTTCAGGGACAGTTATTCCTATTTATTTGAGTTTTAATTCTTGTTTTTGTTATTTATTCTAGCTAGCGGCTTATCCAGGTTTTGTGGGTCCTGACATTTGTATAATTTTTAGGGCCTTAACCACTCCCACTTTCATTTATCTGTCTTCTAGAAATTTTGCTTTCTTCCATTTGAGTTTGATAATAGAGTGAAAATCACTTTTTGTTAATGATCAAGCATTTATATCTTCTGTAGCTAAAGGTGTCTGTCCGAGTCAATTTGCTTCACTCTATTGCTGGAGCACTTTACCTCTTTTTGTACCCTAACACTGTTTTCCATCTTTTAACTCACTTTGCTACAGCCATGCTGACCTTCCATTTCTTTAATTCATCCTACTGCCTCCTGGCCCCTGATCCTGAACATTACCCTTGGAGGGAATACTTCTTTAACGTCTAATCTTTTTATTAATCTGAGTTCAAGTGTCAATTCCTCAAGGAAGTTACAGATCCACACCAGGTCCCTTGCTCACACATTCCCATTTTCTCATACACATTTCTTGCCACAGCACTTGTCATTTACAATGATACATTTCAATGATTTATTACTATCTGTCATTCCTGCTGAAATATGTATTATGGTGTAGAGTGCAGAATGGGATTTCTCCTTTGATGAGAGGTTAAGGGAGGGGGAATGGTGACTAAAACTCATGGCTGAGGACAAAAGCACCCAATATGCTAAGCTGGAGGCTCTACCAGCATAGATTCAGCACAGCAAATCAGAGTATTTGGCTGTCACATGCACTGTAGTATTAAAAGTCTACTATACTTAGTCTACTATACTTTTGCTTGTAATCTGTATGGCTTTGCTAAGATAACCAACATTTTTCACCATTAAATAATTTCGGTATTTAGCCTTGACTATGTTTTACATGAATTATCTCTTTGATTTTCATAAGCAATCTTAAAGGACAGGGAGTAAATTCTGTTGGTTGTTACTAAAAACTTTGACTAGCACAACCTGTAAAATCTGAACTTGTAGATGGTGAAATTGCTGTATTTCAAGTATATACATCTTAGTATTATTCATATAACCAGTTCGATGAATTTGATGAAAGGAAGAGAAATATGTAACATCCAGTGTCAAAACCCAGAATAGCTAGATAACACCTCTTTGCATTATAAGATGAAGCCTGGGATATTTTCTTTATAAAGTAAGTTCTATATTTATTCGTTTGTTGAAAAATGCATTAACTCTTGGCAGAGGTTGGCTTGAGATGTTTTGTATGGTTGCATATTGAGATACAAATAGTTTTAGATTTCAGAAACCAGTAAAATTATAAGCAACACACTATAAATGAACATCTACTGTTAGCATGATTTCATAAAAGAAAAGGTCTTTTTAACATCAAAAAGGGAAAACATAATGGCATAATCTCAGAATTAAACAAGGCCATTTAATTTGAATACATTTATCTCCCAAAATGTTACTTCATTTCCCTTCATTTTCTTATTTCACAAGAGCATGGTGAACACTTCATTAAGAACTAATATTTAGGAGCCAGTAGTATAGAGAAGGAAGTTGAACCCCATGTGGCTCAGACAAAGGATCTTAAAGGTTAAATGTTAAGAACCATTTATATTGAAGATCAATCAGAAAAGATGAATCATTTCTGGTTTTATAATGGGATTTATTTGCACAGAGATTTTCGGGAATCCACTGTGCAAAGAGAGGTGCAGCTGCATCTTTTTCATGCATATCCCTATTGGCAGCAGAAGAGCACAGATACGTAGATACCAATTACCTTAGTCTATAATAGCAAATGATGTGCCCTTCTTAATTTCTTCTTGGAAAAGCTTGCTACGAGTGCCATGTTATTGCATTCTCCTAACACATCTCTGAATTCTAGATGTACAATGCTGAGTGCCACCCAGCGCTTTGTAATGCTTTCTTCACAGCTGGTTATTTTCAGCTTCATTCTTCACGTTTGTTTTAGCTCTCAGACATGTCAACATGTTCCCTTCAGCCCTGCATATCATAATAGATCTCTCTGAAAGTGACAAAAATATTCTCATAAAAAATTTCTGTGCAAAATTATAACACCACACTTTAAAATAAATGCTGTCTTGACTGGTTACCATATTTCCAGAAATATTCTAAAATAGTTATCTTCACGCCCCAATTTCCTCATTTGGCTTCGAAGTACTTTGTTCTCTGACCTTGTGAAGAAAACGATGGCTTCACATATGCTTCATTCTTCTTTGGGGAAGAGACAGCGTCGTTACTTTTTGAGCATCAAAGTGATACATGAATTGCCATTAGGGAGAGCAGCATATTCTCCCAGGACTCAAATCTTCCCTGATACCTTAGAAAGTGACATTCATTTCTACAGGTCATGAGAGTAGCTTTTACCTCATAACATTTTATGGGGTCAGTGCATCTGAATAACACAAGACTAAGAGGAAGAAAATGGAATGCAAAATGTTATCAGTGCCATCCATGTTCAACACAGTGATTACAGATACAAAAGGGGAGTGGGTGGGAGCCATAGAAAGGGCAGTCCACAGGGACAGAAGGCCTATGGTGAAAAACTACTGCCTCTTTGGGACTAAATATCACTATGTGGTGCAGCATTTTGTGAGAAAAGCTAATTTGAGCAGCATTTTTTTATCCTGAAATTTTGCTATGGTTTTTTTTTTTTTTTTTTGTCTTATTCTCTTTCTTTCCAAAAATACATTTTGGTCAGTCTTTTGAAAATAATCTAAGTTTGCAAGGAATGTAATGTTATTTCATTGAAAGAAAGTATCTCTATTCCCAAATGTCTATGTTTATAGGCTGCACTGTATTTACTAGGGAAGAGATTTGTATCGTAATTGAAATAGACTCATAATAATTTCCTGGAGATGATAACTGCATGGTCACAGATTTTTAGGACCCTGCTATATATGTGTATACATAGCTACATATATTTTAGGACCCTGCTATATATGTGTATATATAGCTATATATATTTTAGGACCCTGCTATATATGTGTATGTATGCATATGTCTGTGTGTGCCTATATACATATGTATATATATTACATGCATACACATAGATTAACATTTTAAAAGTACATATACTTTATATGCATATGTATATATGTGTGTGTACATATATACATATGTACACACACATATATACATATATACATGTGTACATATATATTACATGCATACACATAGATTAACATTTTAAAAGTACATATACTTTATATGCATATGTATATATGCATATGTATATATGTATGTACACATACATATATACATATGTACACATACATATGTATATATGTGTGTGTACATATGTATATATGTACACACACATATATACATATGCATATAAAGTATATGTACTTTTAAAATGTTAATCTATGTGTATGCATGTAATATATATACATATATATACACACACACACATATATATATATACACACACACATATACAGGCATACTTCAAAGATATTGTGGATTTGGTTCCAGACCACTACAATAAAGTAAGTCACACAAATTCTTTGGTTTCCCAGGGCATATAAAAGTTGTGTGTATGAATAATAGCATTATGTGAAAAATTCCCAATGTTCATAACTTAATTTAAAAATACTTTACTTTATTACTAAAAAAAAAAAGCTACTGCTCATCTGACCCTTCAGAGTCTTAATCTTTTTGTTGCTAGAAGGTCTTCCCTCAAGGTTGATGGCTGCTGCTGAATGATCAGGTGGTGGTTACTGAAGGTTGAGTTAGTTGTGGTTATTTCTTAAAATAAAACAGGAAAGTTTGGTGCATCCATTGACTCTTCCTTTTACCAACCATTTCTCTGTAGCATGTGATGCTGTTTGATAGCATCTTACCCACAGCAGAACCTTTCAAAACTAGAGTCGAACCTTTCAAATTCTGATGCTGTCTCATCAACTAAGTTTAGAAAATATTCTATTTTTGTGTGTTGTCATTTCAAAAATGTTCACAGCATCTTCACCAGGAGTGGATTCTATCTCAAGAAACCTCTTTCTTGGCCTATCCATAAGAAGCAACTCCTCATTTGTTCAAATTTTATCCTGAGATTCAGTTATGTACTCAGGCTCCACTTCTGATTCTACTTTTCTCACTCTGCCCACTACATCTATAGGAACTTCCTCCACTGAAACCTTGAATGCCTCAAAGTCTTCCATGAGAGTTGGAATTAACCTCCTTTAAATTCCTGTTAGTGTTGATATTTTGATCTCTTCCCGTGAATCACAAATGTTCTTAAGGACATCTAGAATGGTGCATCCTTTCCAGAAGATTTTCAATGTACTTTGCTCAGATCCATCATAAATGTCACTATGGCAGTTGTAGCCTTATGAAGTGTTTTTCTTAAATAATAAGACTTGAAAGTAAAAATTACTCCTTTATCTGTGTGCTACAAAATGGATGATTTGTTTGCAGGCATGAAAACAACATTAATCTTCTTGTATATTTCCGTCAGAGCTCTTGGGTTACCAGCTTCATTGTCAATGAGCAGTAATATTTAGAAAGGAATCTTTTTTTTGAAGCAGTAGGTCTCAACAGTGGGCTTAAAATATTCAGTAAACCATAGTATAAACAGGAGCGCTTTCATCAGGCTTTGTTGTTTCATTTATAGGGCACAGGCAGAGTAGGTTTAGCATAATTCTTAAGGGCCCAAGGACTTTCAGACTGGTTAATGAGCATTGGTTTCAACTTCAAGTGACCAGCTGCATTAGCCCCTAATGAGAGAGTCAGCCTGTTCTTTGAAGCTTTGAAGCCAGGTATTGACTTCTCTGTAGCTACGAAAGTCTTAGATGGCATCTTCTTTCAGTAGAAGGCTGTTAACACATGTTGTGTAGTGTAGCCACCTTCATCAATTATCTTAGCTAGATCTTCTGGATGACTTGCTTCAGCTTCTTCATAAGCACTTGCTTCTCCACTTGCACTTTTATGTTATGGAGATGGTTGCTTTATTTCCTTAAACCTCATAAGCCAACCTCTGGTGGCTTTAAACTTTTCTCCTGCTGTTTCCTCACCTCTCTCAGCCTTCACAGAATTGAAAAGAGTTAGAACTTTCCTCTGAATTAGGCTTTGGCTTAGGGGAATGTTGGGGCTGGTTTGATTCTCTATCCAAACCACTCAAACTTTCTTCTTTTCAGCAATAAGGCTGTTATGCTTTCTGGTCATTTGTGTGTTCACTGGAGTAGAATTTTCATTTTCCTCAAAAGCTTTTCCTTTGCATTCACACCACAGTTAGCTGATGCAAGAGGCCTAGCTTTTGGCCCATCTTATCTTTCTACAGACCTTTCTCACTAAGCTTCATCATGTCTAGCTTTTGATTTAAAATAAGAGACGTGCAACTCTTCCTTTCACTTCAACACTCAGAAGTCTTTGTAGAAGTATTAGTTGGTCTAATTTCAATACAGTTGTGTCCCAAGGAATAGGGAGACCTGGGGAGAGGGAGAGAAATGAGGGATCGGCTGGTCAGTGAAGCAGTCAGAACACTTAACAATGTTTAAATGAGCATAGTTTGTAGCACCACAAAACAATTACAATGATAACATCAAAGATCACGGATTACAGATCACCATAATGGATATAGTAATAATGAAACAATTTGAAATATTGTGAGAATTACCAAAATGGGACGTGCTGTCAGAAAAATGGCATCAATAGATTTGCTTGATGCAGGGTTGCTGCAAACCTCCAATTTGTAAAAAGTGCAGTATCTGAAGTGCAGTAAGGCAAAGCACAATTAAATGAGGTATCCTTGTGTGTGTATATATTTATATATATATTGAAAGATGTATATATATAATGTCCTTATAAGCTTGAACATTTTTCATAAAGTGTGTAATAACCCTTGCCTTCATGCCTAAGTAAAATATTTCCAACAGTCATCTGGTAACTTATTTATTCCCCAAGAGTATATGGCCTTATTTGGATTATTTTCCAATTTTTTATGTTTATGAAACCAGTTTTCTATGGGTATTTGGAGATAAATTCTAAAATAAAAATATTATTTGTCTTTTTTCTGATCTCAATAAATAGCACTTGTTTTTATGTGGATATTTTATACATAAAGATATACTAATATTTATATCTGAAATTGAGACATCAATTTTGGAGAAAAAGTGGTTATTCATGAGTGTTGGGACTGTCCAGTCTAGGATCTTGATATTGTTTGTATACTCTAAACATTGAAAATCTATTTCATATTAATGCTTATTAATCTGAAGGTGAGTTAAGCATGAAGGTCAGGTCAGCTAAATTTATATTGGCAAATGACTTTCCTGATGGCTCACTGAAGAAATTATTTAAAAAATATTATTTCAGATTATCTCTTTTTAATTTTTTTTGGAAACAGAATCTTACTCTGTCACCCAGGCCAGAGTGCAGTGGCACAATCTCAGCTCACTGCAACCTTTGCCTCCCAGGTTTGAGCAATTCACCTGCCTAGGCCTCCCAAGTACCACAGTAGCTGGGACTATAGGCACATGCCAACACCTGGTTAATTTCTTTTTTTTTTTTTTTTTCAGTAGAGACGGGGTTTCACCATGTATGTATGTTGGCCAGGCTGGTCTCAAGTTCCTGGCCTCAAGAGATCTGCCTGCCTTGGCCTCAGATTATCTCTTAAAACTGAATGTCAGAGAGTTGATACTCTTAAATAAGGAGCAGGAGGTGCTTAACTTTTGACTTTAATTAAGGTCATTCATGAACTGATTTATGTTTTCAGAAAATACATATGTTGGGTTCTTCTCTCAAAAAATGTCTTGTCTAGTAGAGAGATGGCAAAATCAACAGGCATTTATAACTCAGAGTAGTAGACGTAAACTTCTCAAATTAAGGGGCATTTAGTTCCCTGGTGGATGTAGGAAAGGATATCCAAGATCCTGTCTGTATCTATGAAGACTAGGAATTAACCAGGAGAAAGCAGGACTGCCTACATTCATTAGAGAACTGTAAGGACAATGATGCTGCACAGTAAATATTAATATTCCCATTTTCTAAGGAGGAAACTGAAGCTTGAAAAATATATACACCTACCATAAGGTAGAGGCAGAATTTGAGCCCAGGTTCCAGTTACTCCAAAACTCATACTATTACCTCTTTTTTATATCAACCATTACCTACCAAACTTTCTATTTAAAGAGACAATATTTAATGCTGTGATTTAGTATGCTGAACTATATACCTGTATGCAGTTCTTGAATATTCTGTGCTGCACCATTACTGTTCTCTACAGCTATTATAGATACATATGTATGCTATACAAGTTGTAAAAGAAATAATTATAAAGAAATAAATTTACAAGGTACATGCTGTACTTTGATGATGCCAATTTGTTTTCTTTCCCAAATGTTGCTAATGTCACTGTCATCGCTACTGCCAGAGGCATTTCTGTATAACCTGTCAGCTGTTATGCTCATTTAGAAAAGGAAACCTATCGGTACAACAGGACAGGAATTTCCTCCCACCCCTCTTCCCAGGATGAGCTTCATCTCAAAAGGCTGTTTGTTTTGTCCTAATTGTAATTGAATGCATCTTGGTCATCCATCAGTGTCTGCATTTCACAATCTGAGGTTGATATCTCATATTCATCTTAAGCATAGTAATGGCACCAAATGGCACACGTAATAACTCTGCTTAAAACTAAGTTGGTTCACTCAAGGAGGGGCTTGAAGATGAAGAAATCACCTGTCTGGCCTTAGTCTTACAAGTATTTCTACAAATGCAGGGCTCTTACTTTCTGGCTGTCATGGAAATTCAGTGAAGAAAATAAACAACATACATTGGAAACATGCGGTACTCAGGAGATACATTGGCTAAGGCTGGCTGAGTGGTTCAAGCCCTGCAAAGCCAATGACAGCAAGAGAGAGAGAAGGTTCTGCTCCTCCAGGATTCATTGATCCCTGACTTAGAAGTTCTGGGTGCCCAAACAAAACCTCCAAGTGCATTCAAGATTAATTCTATGTCACCTTAAAAAATAAGAAAAAGATAAAGAGAAGAGAGGAGATAGCATTTATGGATGGCACCATATACACCAGGCTCTGTACTGGGAATTTTATATCATAAATTGTCTTATTGAATCCTCATAACTCTATTAGGAAAGTATGATTTGGCTCACTTTCTCTATCAGAAGTTCAATAGTTGGCCAAGGTCACATGTCATGGCAGACCTACGATTCCCATTTGTGGTACCTCTTTCAACCTTCTTTTTCTATATATGGTAGGCAGGTAATTTGCAGTGGAAGGCAAAACTTGTCCTCATGAAATCTCTCTGTCACCTCCATTTCCATTCTACCTATTCCCCTTAAGTAACCTTTTCCTGCCACTTGCTCATTTCAACCTCTACTAATCTGACCTAGCCCATGGTTCCTGTTTCTAGGCCTGTTTAAATCAAAAACTTCAATCACTGATTACTGAAGTTGGGACTTACATCAGGATTTAATGTTTTCCAGATGCTCAGTAGATAGGACAATGTTCAGCTGTCAGTTCTTAGACTGGTAACAAGTACAACAGAGGGGCCACTCCAACCAAACACGCATCCTTATTCTTAACTGGGACTTCTGTCCTGAGCCTGCTGTGTTACCACAGTGGAATGAGCTAGATGATGGGGAATCTCTCAGGGGACTCTCTTGCCCTCTGAGGCTGAGCTCAGAACAAGCTCCTTTGCTAAACCTGCCCACACCCTGGTGTTCCTTTTAATTGTTTTCGGACTAAAATTACCATCCAAGCAGGATACAGCCCCAAATCTCAGGTCTCCCTACTCTAATTGAAAATCAGCAAACAAGAGTAGAAGGAAGCGTAGAGAGTAATTTGCATTTCTGGGTATGTAAAAGTGGAAAAACTTTCTGTGTTTCTGAAAAGGATATATGGAAAAAGTCACAGGCAAAAATGGGATGTGTTGGTTTTACTTTTACTTTTGTTGCTATTACAGTTCAAAGAAGTCCTAGTTTCAACTGATCCTAATCTCCTTGTCTCTTTTTTTTTCTGTCTTAGGGCTTTTAAGAGAAGAAATGCAATTATAAAATGCACTTTTTAAAATGCTAGTTTCGGTGCAGGCTGTCTGGGCTGTCCCTTCCAGCCTACAGGCCTGCCAAGATGATGCACTTATTTATTTACACTGCTGTAATCTTAGCCTCCTCTGTTTTCTTGTCTGTCTGAAATTTAGCAATCTCTTTTTCACTGACTATTTATTTTTTAAAATGGCGTCTTCTTTCTTGTGAATTTTAACAAATTATTTCACCATTTAAAAGCCTGTAATCCCAGCACTTTGGGAGGCCAAGGCGGGCGGATCACGAGGTCAGGAGATCGAGACCATCCTGGCTAACACAGTGAAACCCAGTCTCTACTAAAAATACAAAACATTAGCTGGGCGTGGCAGCATGTGCCTGTGGTCCCAGCTGCTGAGGAGGCTGAGACAGCAGAATAGCATGAACCCGGGAGGCGTAGTTTGCAGTGAGCCAAGATCGCTCCACTGCACTCCAGCCTGGGTGATGGAGCAAGACTCCGTCTCAAAAAAAAAAAAAAAAAAAAAAGCCTGTCTTACTATCTCCCTACCCTCAGAGCAATGCTCCACTATATGAGTTTTGCCCTACACAGCTGCGGGTCTGAGCAGAAGGGCCCTTAAGTACTGAACATGCTAGGACTATGACCAGGAAATCTTAACTAACCCTGAAAGTCGTTGGCTAAATGTAATCATTGGCACTGTTCTATTGTGGCGCAGTAGATAATTAGTTCTCATCTGTGGTTGTATTCTTATCAGAGAGTTATGGAGGGACCTGTTATCACCAATCATTATGTTAATAGAGATAATTTATGTGCAGCTCAAATATCAGTGCTTGGCTCCCTAAGGTAAGCACTCTCAATAGGCTCTATTAGTTTAGTCCATAAGATTTATTTTTTCTAACCACATTTCTTTTCCATGTGGTATGTGGTGAAAAACAGAGAAACAATAAAACCCAAGAAGTCTTATTATTATGACTCCCTTCTTAAAATGCCCAAAGAGCTCAAGAATAGTATCTTGGGAAAATTACTATGTGTATGGAATTTTTCCAGGTGATAAGGACCTAGAAATGAAAAGACACAGCCCACAGTTACGTGAGAAAGATAGACTTGAAAAGATATTATCATAATATTCTGTACTGATGCCATATTAGCTTGTCTCAAAGTATAATTATTATACAAAGGATTGAGAAGTCAGGTAACACTTCAAGGACTATATCTTGTGTGATAAAACATGATACATGTGAATTGGGGCTAAAATACAGGAATATACTACATAGGAAAATCAGCAGAGAAGATTCTGGAGTGGATTCTCTGGAGAGAAAAGGAAAATAAACAGGGTATTAGAAGCAATCAAAACACAAGGCAACTGCCTTCTACACTAAGGAATAGGTAAGTGTTTAGAACATGTAGCTACAAGGTAGATAGTAGTTTAAGTAGACAGATACTACTGCTTGAATAAACTGTGGCTTCCTAGAAGTCAGAAGAGAGAGAAACTATATGCCTGCTCAGACTGATGAGGTTTTCTGCTTGGCTTCAGATGTGTACTATCTTGAACAATAGGCTTTGTGAAAAATGTTGAATGTCAGGAGTTTAGAACATAGAGGATTTGAGCAATGTTAAATGGGTTGACTATAGTATCTGGTTTGAGTGTGGAGATGAGGATGATTGATGTGGACAAAGTAGAAAGTTGGGTTCTGGTTAAAGTGTAAAGCTAAGTGTGAGGGCCAGGGGAGAGTCAAAAGGAAAGGAAAGTGGGAAATACAGGAAAAGAGAACTGCCTCCTATATGCAATGCACCATAAAGTGTTTTCTGTCCCAGGATTCTAGGAGAGTGTATTAGTTAGACAGTAGGCATGTCAATTCAGAGGTCTTGAAAGTAAAATAGTGTCATATGGAAAGAAGCCCAAGAGAGGAAAATGCTTGGTGTTTCATGTGTCTTCTACTTAGAATCCCCTTGCCAAGAATTACTGATGAGTAATATCACTCTTTCTGAGTCTGAATTTGGCCTCGAGATCCTTCTTAACCCAACAATAGTCAGTCATTAACAATTCATTGATATTGACATGAAAGATAAAATCTCATTGCTCCCTTTGACTTAGGTAACAATTCATTGAAATTGGAATGTAAGATGAAACGCCTTTGCAGTCTCTGACTTAAGGTGCTGTCTATGCAGGTAGGAACTTTAATTTTCATTTCCTATTCCATTTCCTTTTGCAGTCATTTTTGTGACAAAAGATTATTCTGCGAACTCTGTTTTCTACTGATGCCAAAGTTTTCACCTCTAAAACTAACCAATATTGTAATGTGGGGGCTTGTGGGTACCCACTCATTTTAGGCTGGAATGCTCAAGTAGTTTATGCAACTTGTTTCCCTAAGTGGATAGTGAGCTTCACAAGGAAATTGCTACTTATTTTACATTCTCCTCAGTGCTTTGCCCCATTTGGAGTACACAGCAGGCACATAATAAATACTTGTTGACTTAGTTGAATTTCAAACCTTTCATATAAGCCATTTTGATTTAGCTAAAGAATGTTATAGCCTGTAGAAGGACTAATTAGAGCCAATAATTTGACTGACCTGTGTTAGCTCTGAAGCACTTAGTGGTAATAATACTGTTTTTGCAAGATGGATATTGTACTGTTGAGCTTGTCTGGTTTGAGAAGCTCACTGTTTTATGGTCTGTGTGTGGTGATCATTTGGATGTAATGATCAAATGGGGGTTGCCCAAATTGATCGTTATAATAGGATTCCACTGTAATTACATTTCCATAAATGATACTCAAATTCACTAGGGAAATCAACAACCCCTTGGTGTGCCTACTTCCAGCTCTGATTACAAGTTCAGGTTCTGTAGCATTTTCTAAACAAAAGGTAATTAAAATTTTACAACCCATAGTTAAGCCAAAATAAAAAGGCAGCTTTTTATTCTAGATTGAAAAGTACTGCTCTTTGTAGACAAGAGCAGAAGACATTTCAATTTAGAAGAATAGGCAGATGTTTGGATCTTATACAAATTAATGCATACATATTACTGAGACATAGGCAGTAAGTAGGTTGGAGTCGGGGTCATGGGTTCAAATCCCAGCTCCATTAATTCTATATCTACATCATCTTGGATGTCATTGAATCTTCTGAGCCTCAGTTTCCTCATCTTTAACACAGGAATAATATGGTTTCTGCTTCATTAGGTTTTTGAGATAATTAAATGACCTATTGCTTGTAAAGTGCTAGCACAACCCTGGCTGGACATGTTAGTAAGTGCTCAATATGCGTTAGTTTTTATTGTTGTCATTTAGTTAGATTTTGCTTGTTTGTTTTTTGGCTTTGGTTTTTACGGATTCAGCCATCATCTTTCCCTGGTGCCACTGTAGGAAAGATTGTATTTTGTTTTTCTGCCTTAGAGTGAACTGAATGTTTCCAGTCCCATGTATACCAATACCTAGTATCCTTAGTTTATTAATTCTTCTGTTCTAGAATTCACTGGCTTAGCCTCCATATCTCAGACATGTTTTATCATATTCATTTCCAGACAGTGGGTTTGTCTACATTACCAGATTAACTAGAATATTCCATCAACTTCAGAGTCTTGTCATCCTAAAGCACATATCACCATAAGAATGTAAAAGGTCATGGGATGATTCTAATGCACATTTCTATAGCACATTCTACAAAGGATGGTGGAGAGGGAAGGTTTCAGTTCAATTTAAATACCATTATGCCATCAAAATAGCATTTAAGATAATATGCCAGCTTTTGAACCTCTTCCAAATGCAAGGAGTGGTTGTAAAGCATTGCATTTCACTAGAGAAATTTATCTATTCAGCAGAATTTCAGCCAAGAAAAATCATTTTCTAAATAGAAACAAACTAAGGGTAAATGTGGTGTGTGTCATCCTCTGACACCAGTATGATCTGTACCACAGAGGGCATCATCAAAGTTTATTGGTGAGCCATATTACAAAATTCAAATATTAATAAAATCTCTTATAAGGATATAAAAAGACCAAATGTCCAAAGCTCCAATATGTTACCTTTTTGTTTTTAAGAAGAGTATTTTATACTATGCAGCCACAAAAAGGAAGGAGATCATGTCCCTTGCAGGCACATGGATGGAGCTGGAAGACATTATCGTCTGCAAACTAACACAAGAACAGAAAACCAAACACCGAATGTTCTCACTTATAAGTGGAAGCTGAAGGATAAAAACACAGGGGCACAGAGAGGAGAACAACAGACACTAGGGCCTGTTGTGGGTGGGGGAGGGGCACACAAGGGAAGGGATCAGGATAAATAGCTAATGCTTGTGGGGCTTAATACCTAGGTGAGAGGTTGATAGGTGCAGCAAACCACCATGGCACATGTTTACCTATCTAACAAACCTGCACGTCCTGCATATGTATCCTGGAAATTAAATTAAATTAAAAAATAAAAATGATAAATAAGAAACCTAGGCAAAAAAAAAAAAAAAAAGAAGAGTGTTTTAAAAAGGAATGTGTTCCAGTAGCCATCAAGAGTCATAAAAAGAACATCACACACTGGGGCCTGGTGGGGAGCGGGGGGCTAGGGGAGGGATAGCATTAGGAGAAATACCTAATGTAGATGACGGGTTGATGGGTGCAGCAAATCGCCATGGCACATGTATACCTATGTAACAAACCTGCACGTTCTGCACATGTATCCCAGAAGTTAAAGTATAATAAAATAAAATTTTTAAAAAAGTAAAAGCCTCTGCCCGGAGAGAACTCCTAGTCTCTATTATTTTCTTAAATTATTACTTCTGGGTTAGTTTAACAAAAAAAAAAAAGAGACTGATTGCCTTAAGACAATGACCCCTCAAACTGGGGGAACATGAATAACTACATGGGCAGACATTTTGTCTAGAAGGGAGAAATATTCTAATATTTCTGTTGCTTACAGTTTTCTTTGTATTACTTGTCTTTTCTTCTTGAGTTCTATTCTTTCAGATTCCTTCATAGTTCTTGGGACTTTTATTTTTATTTTTGACTCCCTGACCATCTGGATATTTGTGGCTTCTCTCAGTAATTCTTTGTCTGTATTTTATTTACTTTTATAGAACTAACATGATTTTTAAACATTAGCAGAATTTTGTTTATGTTACATTCTATAATAAGTAATCCAAAATGACCAAACCACAGAATAAATTCTCCACTCTAGGGCATAGGTCAACCATTCAGTATGTACTCATTGAGTTCTTTCTATGTCCCATGCTCTTTGCTAAGTATTGGAATTGCAAGAGATCAAGCAGGAAGTAATTTTACAAAAAGTGGCAAGGAAGAGCACTACTAGTTGAAACATGCAAGTTTCTTTACCACATTTTTTAATGTATAAAATTAAAAATTTTATCTTATGTTCTAGCTTACAATATCTCCTGCCACTGAACAAACATCAAGATAAGCATTGGCCTTCTTCTTTTATGTCCAGTGTAAATGATAGTTGATGAGTTCTCTATAACTTCTCTGACATATTTATATTGATATTAACTGTTTAAGTTGAACTTCTAAGGCAATCTACCAGATAGTGGAATATAGGTAATACCAAAGAGGTCACAACATATTTATATCTGATAAGTTTTACATGTATTATATATTATAATAGATTATAAGGTATACTTCAAGCAATTTAAAAATCTTAAACCTTGTTTGATTAAAATTAATTACATAATTGAGCTATTTTTTCTATATCGAGCCTATAGAAAAAAGTCATTAAATGTTCTGATGACTTTCCATGCTACCATTTTTTAATCACCATCTCCCCCATCCCAAACCTAGATTTTTTTCCACACCTGAGTCAAATTTCAGTTGTTATTTTTTTTTTAATTTTGCTTGGGCTTATCATCATATTGGGACCTTTTCTCTTTTATCAATTCAATCCAGGCTTTCACAATGTGTCTATACCCTCTCTCTGTCTTCCCATTATTCCTTTTGAGAAAAATTTTTATGTGAAAGAGAATAGACAATTGAGCAGGAATCAGGGCATTCTGTAGGGTCAAGTGCAAGTATTTTCACCGTTTAAGAGGCAAAATACTTGATATGGTTTGGCCATGTCCCCACCCAGATCTCATCTTGAATTCCCTTGTGTTGTGGGAAGGACCCAGTGGGAGGTAATTGAATCATGGGGGTGGCTCTTTCCTTTGCTGTTCTCATGACAGTGAATAAGTCTCATGAGACCTGATGGTTTTAAAAAGAGGAATTCCCCTACACAAGCTCTCTCTCTTTGCCTGCTGCCACCCATGTAAGACGTGACTTGCTCCTCCTTGCTTTCTGCTATGATTGTGAGGCTTCCCCAGACAGATGGAACTATAAGTCTAATTAAACCTCTTTCTTTTGTAAATTGCCCAGTCTTGGGTATGTCTTTATCAGCAGCATGAAAACAGCCTAATACAGTAAATTGGTACTGGTAGGGTGGGGTGCTGCTATAAGGATACCTGAAAATGTAGAAGTGACTTTGGAAATGGGTAACAGGCAGAGGTTGGAAGAGTGTGGAGGGCTCGGAAGAAGACAGGAAAATGTGGGAAAGTTTGGAACTTCCTAGAGATTTGCTGAATGGCTTTGACCAAAATGCTGATAGTGATATGGACAATGAAATCCAGGCTGAGGTGGTCTCAGATGGAGATGAGGGACTTGTTGGGAACTAGAGCAAAGGTGACTCTTGTTATGTTGTAGGAAAGAGACTAGCAGCATTTTGCCCCTGCCCTAGAGATTTGTGGCACTTTGAACTCGAGAGAGATGATTTAGCGTATCTGGCAGAAGAAATTTCTAGGCAGCAAAGCATTCAAGGGGTAACTGGGGTGCTGTTAAAGGCATTTAGTTTTAAAAGGGAAACAGCATAAAAGTTTGGAAAATTTGCAGCCTGACAATGTAATAGAAAAGAAAAGAATTTTTCTGAGGAGAAATTCAAGCCAGCTGCAGAAATTTGCATAAGTAACAAGGAGCCCAATGTGAATCACCAAGATAATGGGGAAAATGTCTCCAGGGCATGTCAGAGACCTTTGTGGCAGCCCCTCCCATCACAGGCCCAGAGTTTTAGAAGGAAAAAATGGTTTTGTTGGTCAAGCCTAGGGTCCCCGTGCTGTGTGCAGTCTAGGGACTTGGTGCCCTGCATCCCAGATACTCCAGTTGTGGCTGAAAGGGGCCAATGTAGAGCCTGAACCATAGCTTCAGAGGGTGGAAGCCCAAAGCCTTGGCAGCTTCCACATGGTGTTGGGCCTGTGGGTGCACAGAAGTCAATAATTGAGGTTTGGGAACCTCCACCTAGTTTTCAGAAGATGTATGGAAATGCCTGGATGCCCAGGCCAAAGTCTGCTGCAGGGGCAGGGCGCTCATGGAGAATCTCTGCTAGAGCAGTGAGGAAGGAAAATGTGGAGTGGAAGCCTCCACACAGAGTCCCTACTGGAGCACTGCCTAGTGGAGCTGTGAGAAGAAGGCCACCATCCTTCAGAACCCAGAATGGTAGATCCATCAACAACTTGCACTGTGTACCTAGAAAAGCTGCAGACACTCAACACCAGCCCATGAAAGCAGCCAGGAGGGGGACTATACCCTGCAAAGCCACAGGGCCAGAGCTGCCCAAGGTCATGGGAACCCACCTCTTGCATCAGTGTGACCTGGATGTGAGACATGGAGTCAAAAGAGATTACTTTGGAGCTTCAAGATTTGACTGGTTTCAGTCTTCATGGGGCCTGTAGCCTCTTTGTTTTGGCCAATTTCTCCCATTTGGAATGGCTGTATTTACCCAATGCCTGTACCCCCATTGTATCTAGGAAGTAACTAACCTGCTTTTGATTTTACAGGCTCATAGGTGGAAGGGACTTCCTTGTCTTGGATGAGACTTTGGACTGTGGACTTCTGAGTTAATGCTGAAATGAGTTAAGATTTTGAGGGACTATTGGGAAGGCATGACTGGATTTTAAATGTGAGGACTTGAGATTTGGGAGGGGCCAGGGGTGGAATGATAGGGTTTGGCTGTGTTCCCACCCAAATCTCATTTTTAATTCCCACGTGTTGCGAGAAGGACCAGGTGGGAGGTAATTGAATTATGGGGGATGTCTTTCCTGTGCTGTTCTCATGATAGTGAATAAGTCTCATGAGATCTGAATGTTTTAAAAAGAGGAGTTCCCTGCACAAGCTCTCTCTCTCTTTGCCTGCTGCCATCCATGTAAGACGTGACTTGCTCTTCCTTGCCTTCTGCCATGATTGTGAGGCTTCCCCAGCCACGTGGAACTGTAAGTCCAATTAAACCTCTTTCTTTTGTAAGTTGCCCAATCTTGGGTATGTCTTTATCATCAGTGTGAAAATTTACTAATACAATATTAAACGTTATTGAGTGCTATGTGTCAGGCACTATGTCCATTGCTTCAGATTAATAAATTATTTATTCAACAATATCAAGAGGTAAGTACTAGTATTTGCCTCCTTATTAGATGAGAAATATTTGTGGCAAATTTAATTTTATAGGGTCACATGGCTAGAAATTGGCAACTAAACTTTTGAATCCACATAGGCTGACTCCAGAACCACCATGTTGTATTCCTTCCTACCATAGTATGTTGGTATGCCAATGTAATGAATAAACAGAGAAAAATTAATAACAGAAAAAGAGTAACAAATATGGGGAGGTATTAGAATTTATAGCACAAATAGAAATTTTGACCACAGAAATAGGGACAAAAGTTTAAAAGATAGGTGCAGCAGAGTAATCTGCACAAAGGTTTTGTCCTAAAAAGATGAAGAAATTCTTTCTGATAGTTTTTGTGCTCAGAAAGGTATGGTGAGTTACCCTTAGTGAGAAGGAAGAGGGACAGGATGTGATAGGTTTGAAGAATGACAACATAGTAAGTGTATTAGTCATGTTGGCTGTCATAATAAAATACTGTTGCTTAAATAACTGAGATTTACTGTCTCACAGCCCTGGAGACTGGAAGTCTGGGATCAGAATGCCAGCATGGTTAGGTTCTGGTGGAGGCTATCTTCCTGAATTACATGTGGCCCTCTTCCTGTGTCTTTACATGGCAGAGAGAGAGGGTGTAAGAGAGAGAGCTGGTCTTTCTTCCTCTTGTTATAAATGCACTAATCACATCATAAGGGGGATCTATTATCATGATTTCATCTTAACATCCATACCCAATTATCACTTAAAGCCCTTATCTCCAAATACCATCACCTTGAGGGTTAGTACTTCAACACATGAATATTCAACGGATACAATTAAGCAGTAGGAATTAGCAGCCAGACAATCAAATTGAGTAAGTAAGCACCAATGCAGAAAAAGTTTACGAATAAATGGAAAATATGAGCAAAATAATATGAGCTATGGAAGAGAGATCTGGGATACCTAATGTATGAATAACATAATTATTAGGGGACAAAACAGAACAGAGGATAAATAATGTACAATGAAATAATGGAATACCAGTTCACTGAACTGAAGACAAACTTAAAGTTTCAAAAAAGGCCATTGAGTTCCAAACATAATTAATAAGACACACATACATATTGTGGTAAAGCTTTGTAAACTAAAAAGTTACAGGAAAAAAGAGTACAATGTCTTCTAACTTCTAGAAGCCCAGTGCAAGTAGAAAGATAATGGAATATCAATATCAATATCAATGATATCAATATGAATATCAATATAACAATAGCAATAAAAATTAACATATAATTGTGAATCCAACAAAACTATCTCTCCTTAAGTAACGAAGATAAGTAAGAATATATTCAGAGAAACATAAAATGAGTGCTTACAAACAACAGATGTTTTTCAGAGAATATTTCTTTTCTTTCTTTTTTTTTCCCCCAGGCTGGAGTGCAGTGGTGCAATCTCAGCCCACTGCAACCTTCACCTCCCAGGTTCAAGTGATTCTCATGCCTAAGTCTCCCGAGTAGCTGGGATTACAGGCGCACGCCACCACACCCAACTAATTTTTGTATTTTTGGTAGAGATAGGGTTTCACCATGTTGGCCAGGCTGGTCTCAAGCTCCTGACCACAAATGATCTGCCAGCCTCAGCTTCCCGAAGTGCTGGGATTAAAGGCATGAGTCACCGTGCCTGGCCATCAGAGAATATTTCTAAAGGAAAGGAAAAAATGAAACCAGAAGGGAAGTGTGGCAGAGATGTGCTGTGTTCATCCTCCAACCCCCATTTTCCCTGGGAGGTTACTGCAGCTAGATGGAGACCATACTACAGGTGCTGACTAATGAGTCATGAGAAGAAGGGGCTTATGGGACTGGGGGAACATATAATCATAGTGTGTCCAGAATTGGTGGGTTCTTGGTCTCACTGACTTCAAGAATGAAGCCACGGACCCTTGTGGTGAGTGTTACAGTTCTTAAAGATGGTGTGTCCAGAGTTTGTTCCTTCAGATATTCAGACGGGTTTGGAGTTTCTTCCTTCTGGTGGATTCATGGTCTCGCTGTCCTCAGGAGTGAGGCTGCAGAACTTTGTGGTGAATATTACAGCTCATAAAGGCAGTGTGGACCCAAAGAATGAGCAGCAGCAAGATTTATTGCAAAGAGTGAAAGAACAAAGCGTCCACAGTGTGGTAGGGGACCCGAGCAGGTTGCCACTGCTGGTTCAGGCAGCCTGCTTTTATTCCCTTATCTGACCCTACCCACATCCTGCTGATTGGTCCATTTTACAGAGAGCCAATTGGCCCATTTTATAGAGAGCTGATTGGTCCGTTTTACAGAAAGCTGATTGGTCCACTTTGACAGGGTGCTGATTGGTGCATTTACAAACCTTGAGGTAGACACAGAGTGCTGATTGGTCCACTTTGACAGGGTACTGATTGGTGCATTTACAAACCTTGAGCTAGACACAGAGTGCTGATTGGTGCATTTACAAACCTTGAGCTAGACACAAAGTGCTGATTGGTGCATTTACACTAGGATAGCATGGTAGGGTCCTCATTGGCTTGGGTCCTTGACTGATTTTGAGGAGAAGCAGCCTCGTTTGACATGTGATATGAGTGAAAAATACAGTTTTTGATTGTGAACCCCCTGAGATTTCAGGTTAATTTATTGCCTCAACCTAACTTGCTTATTCTGGCTAACATGGAAAGCCCATGATTAAGAAGCTAATGAGCAAGGATCTTAGTAAACATGTAAGGAAACCTAAACAAACAGATTTGTAATTCTGTATTAAAAGTGTCTAATTTGTAGGGTTACAAAAATCAGAACTGAGGTTGTATTGTAGGTAATCAACAAAACCCACTGCCTCTCCTTCCTGACACCTAGCTAGACTACAATTCTCAGCTCTTCTTGTACTTATTTGTGGCCATTTAAATAGGATGGTCTCCATAATGTTTCCCTCATAGCTACACAAAATGGAGATTACTTACAAACTGACCTTATGTCACATTTTTTAAATGAAGGATCTACCAGCTGGAAACAGCCTAAATCCTGAATTACTGCTTGAAGTACCTGCCAATATCTTCTCTAGAATTTCACATGGGTAGGAAATAAAATTTTATTATGTTAAGTCACTATTTTTTGTAGTTTATCAAATAAGGACAGCCAAGGAAGTTCCAATCTTTTTAAAGCTTATTTATAAAATTGAGCAGATATTAGTCCATCAAGGAAATCTAATGAATTTCATAAGAAATAGGTGTCACACAAATCTCCAGTCAAAATGAAATTAAATTAGAAATCAATATAAAGATTGCCTAACAAAAATGCATTTGTTAGATTTAAAAAGTCAGACATAAATAATTTTGGGGTTACAGAATAAATATTATTAAAAATTTGAAACACTTAGGTCTGAAAGATAAGGAAATGACAATGTGCCAAAACTTGTGCAATGTAACTAAAAAAGTAGCTACAACAAAATTTACAGCTTTAAATGCTCATATTCAAACAAAAGAAATGCTGAAAATTAAAGAGCGGAAGATCTAACTTAAGTTAGAAAAGAAACAACATCTCCTTAAGCTGATAAGCAACTTCAGCAAAGTCTCAGGATACAAAATCAATGTGCAAAACGTACAAGCATTCCTATGCACCAAGAAAAGACAGAGAGCCAAGTCATGAGTGAACTCCCATTCACAATTGCTACAAAGAGAATAAAATACCTAGGAATACAACCTATAAGGATGTGAAGGACCTCTTCAAGGAGAACTACAAACCCCTGCTCAAGGAAATAATAGAGGACACAAATAAATGGAAAAACATTCCATGCTCATGGATAGGAAGAATCAATATCGTGAAAATGGCCATACTCCCCAAAGTAATTTAGAGATTCAATGCTATCCCCATCAAGCTACCATTGACTTTCTTCACAGAATTGGAAAAAACTACTTTAAATTTCATATGGAACCAAAAAAGAGCCCGTATAGCCAAAACAATCCTAAGCAAAAAGAACAAAGCTGGAGGCATCACACTACCTGACTTCAAACTATACTACAAGGCCACAGTAACCAAAACAGCATGGTACTGGTACCAAAACAGATATATAGACCAGTGGAACAGAACAGAAGCCTCAGAAATAATACCAAACACCTACAATTATCTGATCTTTGACAAACCTGACAAAGACAAGAAACGGGGAAAGGATTCCCTATTTAATAAATGGCTTTGGGAAAACTGGCTAGCCATATGCAGAAAACTGAAACTGGACCCCTTCCTTACACCTTATATAAATTAACTCAAGATGGATTAAAGACTTAATTGTAAGACCTAAAACCATAAAAACCCTAGAAGAAAACCTAGGCAATACCATTCAGGACATAGGCATAGGCAAATGCTTCATGACTAAAACACCAAATGCAATGGCAACAAAAGCCAAAATAGACAAATGGGATCTAATTAAACTAAAGAGCTTCTGCAAGGCAAAAGAAACTATCATCAGAGTGAACAGGCAACCTACAGAATGGGAGAACATTTTTGCAATCTACCCATCTGACAAAGGGCTAATATTCAGAATCTACAAGGAACTTAAACAAATTTACAAGAAAAAACCAACAACCCCATCAAAAAATGGGTGAGGGATATGAACAGACATTTCTCAAAAGAAGACATTTATGCAGCCAACAAACATATGAAAAAAAAGTTTATCATCACTGGTCATTAGAGAAATGCAAATCAAAACCACAATGAGACACCATCTCATGCCAGTTAGAATGGCGACCATGAAAAACTCAGGAAACAACAGATGCTGGAGAGGATGTGGAGAAATAGGAATGTTTTTACACTGTTCATGGGAGGGTAAATTAGTTCAAACATTGTGGAAGACACTGTGGTGTTTCCTCAAGAATCTAGAACCAGAAATTCCATATGACCCAGCAATCCCATTACTGGGTATATACCCAAAGGATTATAAATCATTCTACTATAAAGACACATGCACATGTATGTTTACTGTGGCACTATTCACAATAGCAAAGACTTGGAACCAAGCCAAAGGCCCATCAATGATAGACTGGATAAAGAAAATGTGGCACATATACACCATGGAATACTATGCAGCCATAAAAAATGATGAGTTCATGTCCTTTGCAGGGATATGGATGAAGCTGGAAACCATCATTCTCAGCATACTAACACAAGAACAGAAAACCAAACACCACCTGCTCTCACTCATAAGTAGGAGTTAAACAATGAGAACACAAGGACACAGGGAGGGGAGCATCACACACCAAGGCCTGTCCAGGTGTGTGGGGCTAGGGGAGGGATAGCATTGGTATAAATACCTAATGTAGACGATGGGTTGGTGGGTGTAGCAAACCACCATGGCACGTGTATACCTGTGTAATAAAACTGCACGTTCTGCACATGTAACCCAGAACTTGAAGTATGATTTAAAAAGAAAAGAAGCAACACAGGATAAACTCAAATAGAGTAGAAGAAATAAAATAATGAAAACAGAAAGTCATTGAAATAGAAAATGAATTTTAAAGAGATAGAATTAATGATGATGGTGATGTTGTTGGTGATATCACTAACACATAATACTTGCTATGTAATAAACCAGGAACTAATTTAAGTGCATTATATATATTAATCTATTTTGTCCTCAAAAGAACCCTATGAGATTGGTTCTATTTTTATCTCCCTTGTTACAAGAAAAGAAACTAAGGCATAGAGAAGTTTAATCAAAAAGTTCAAAGGTAATTCTTTAACAAAACTAATATAATACACAAACCTTTTATGAAACTAATCAAGAAAAATGATAGAAGACAAAAGTAAATAAAACTAAGAATGAAAAATGTATTTGAATTAGAGATAAAACAGCAATTCTAAAGAAAGACACTATGAATGAAAAGTCAGCAGACAGTTTTGCTCTTGTTGCCTGGGCCAGAGGGCAATGACGCAATCTTGGCTCACCGCAACCTCCACCTCCTGGATTCAAGCAATTTTCCTGCCTTAGCCTCCAGAGTAGCTGGGATTACAGGCATGCGCCACCATGCCCGGCTAATTTTGTATTTTTAGTAGAGACGGTGTTTCTCCATGTTGGTCAGGCTGGTCTCAAACTCCCGACCTCAGGAGATCCACCTGCCTCAGTGCTAAGTTTACAGGCCTCCCAAAGTGCTAAGTTTACAGGCGTGAGCCACGGCACCCGGCCTTGGTCTTGCTTCTAACTTTAAAGTCATTATTTTAGAAGCTGACTAGCCTACTTCATCATTTTATCTAGCATCCCTGGAATTCTGTATTATCTATGCTTGTGTGATTACAGTTTTTTATCCTAAATAGTCACTGTGGTCAGGTGAGGTAGCTAATGCCTGTAATCCCAGCATTGTAAGAGTTCAAGGTGAGAAGATCTCTTCAGCCAGGATTCAAAACCAGCATGGGCAACATAGTGAGATCCCATCTCTATTTTTTTTTTTTTAATAAAAAGATAAAAAATATTTTTTTAAAAAATGAAATAATCACTTTATCTTAATAGGAACATGATATATTATTTGAATTTGTTGTTAATATCCAAATGTTCTTTTTTAAAAAGACAAGCATTTTAGATATAACTTGGATGAAAATCTCCTGCATTTTATATGGTAAATTATTTGTCAATTGAAGTATAAATGATAACCTTTATCATTTAAAGGTTAAAATGCTGCAATAATTAGTGATGCTTGTGAAAATTTTTAATTTTACATACACAACGGTTATCAGGTACAAGATATGTGGGGAAATAGTGACAGTAAAAACATTTAGCAGAGTATGTTGGCACATAACTTTACTATAACTTAATAGAGAGAAGTTTATTTTTTTGAGCCTTCAACTCTTTGTATTGTTTACATAACAATAAAAAACAGAATAACAGAGATTAGATTATATGATCTTTCTAATCAGGCTGGAATTATTTGGTGAACTAACGGTTGCAGACATACACTAAGGTGACCCTCGGTGAGTCACATCCTTGTATAATCCCCTCTCCTTGAGTGCAGTGGAAACTGTCTTGCCTTTGTCCAAAAGAATTGACAAAGTAAGATGCCACTCCTTGGTAAGGTTATTTTATGTGCCAAAGGCTATGCTATGTCATTCCCTTGATGGCACTATGTTATGTAAGACTATTTTAACACACTGCAGAGAGACAATCTTTTGCTGTCCTTAGGGAGGCAAATGGCTCTGTAGTAGAGAACAGCACATGACAGGGAACTTCGGTGGCCTCCTGAGGGTGCAGCTTCAAGGAACTAAATTGTGCCAACAACCAATGAAACTGACTATACATAATCTGTACCATCATTTGTGGACTTGGACTTTGAAGTTGGCCCAGCATAGCATGAATTCTTAGCTGTGTAACTCAGTCATTGTATATGACTTGGGTTATTTTTTGAAGTCTTCAGTGAATTAGTGCCTGCAATGGAAAAAAAAAAAAAGCCAACCATATTAATAGCCTAACAGTGTTGCTCTGAGGACTGGAGATAATGTATGCAAAATGTCTGGCACACAGTAGATTCTCCATTACAGTTATTGGGAGGGGGAATGAGTGGAGGTCACTGGCCTCTTCAAGCCTCTGCCTTTCATCTGGTAATAACACCCACACATTGTTGAGAAGATTAAATAAGATAACAGAAAGGAAAATCCTTAAGGTCTCAATAAGTGCTCATTGAACAGTGGCTATCCAATGCTCATACTACCTTTTCTCTCATAAATATACATGTACATATACATATTTTCACATATGTATATATTTATATACCTATAAATAGAGAGACAGAGAGAGAATACCAATACTAAAATTAGCTCATCTGATGATCTTTTCTAAACATTAAAGTTGACAGAAAATTAGGATCTATGATTAGTTCTGAAACCACTTCCTATTCTGAACAAAAATATCCCTCAAGATGTCTCAGGGAACAGTCTATTTCTCTTATATAAACTATCATTATCATTTCTCTTTCAGAAAATGAAGCCATCATTTCTGGAAAGGAAATGGATGTTAATCCATATCTTCCACCATACTCATCACATCTTACAGTTTTCTGCAATTCCATCTCTCACTCTTCACACTCAGGATTCAGATACAGCCATTGTGTAATTATATGTTTTTCAAGAGAAATTGATGAGAATGTGAATACTCTGAAAAAGTATCTTGTTTCCTCCGATAAAACACAACAATATTTTCTGTGTCTACAGACGACTTGAAAAGCTGGAGCAATCAGTACCAATCACTCCTCACTCAAAAAGAATGCACAACCCTGCTGCCCGGAGTGCACTGGTTCTTATCTGTGACCCTAGCAGCAGACGCACACTGTCAAGTTCTAAGATTTTAGATGCAGATGAGCTTAATTGTTCTATCTTACCAATGAAGAGCACTTGGCAGATTCAAAGTACCTTTACAGAAACAATCTCCTCTGACCCTCTCAGGCACAGAAGGTATTATTATCCCTGTGTTATAAAAGAAAAAAACACATACGCAGAAGTAGAGTAGGTACCTTTCTCAAGCCCACTTTACAAGGAAGTGGTGGGGCCATGTCTGTCGTCCTGGCCTCTCTTCTCCTTAATGATGTTTTTCAAAACTCATAATAGATGTACCTTCAGACAATTACTACCAAAGCTTTTAGAATTTGATGAAACTTGGGATTGAATCTCAGCTCTTTCTTTTGCTAGCTATGTGATTATAGGCAGATTATTTAAGCCCTACAATTTCATTTTCTCATTTGTAAAATGGGATTAGTAATTAGGCATTTCAAGTTATGAAAATGTTAGATGACATAGTATTTGCAAATAGCCAGCTCTTAATAAACTCAATGTTAGCTCTAATAATTGTCATAAGAAAAAATATATTCTGCTATCTTTTATGAATAATTCTACATCTAGATAGGAAATATTCAGTATATAATTCCAATTTCTGTTGAATAGAGATGGTTCTAGGAATAAAAAAAAACTTTACTATTTGTAAAAATAGAATATGTTCCTTTTCCTGGGGTTCATAAAGAATGAAACACTTATCAAGTTGCACTTCAAATAATATAGGTTTTCCATGCTCTAAAAAGGCATATTTTTACAGGCAAATGAGGCAAAATATGCCTTTTGTCATTCTAAAAACCCAAGTGGGACAGTTTCAGTGAAGGCTCGGGAATATATATATTTTTCTTAAATGATGAAAATAGTTTCTCCAAGACCATATCTATTTTATCTTTATATCTAGGCAAACTTTCTATATAGAATCCCAGACAAGAAAAAACATATGGCTGTATGTCACTATAGAGCTTGGTAAATGAATGCTTTTCGTTGATTTTTGGACTGTCTCATCAAAATAACTTGATATTTTGGCACCAGGTAGACAGACATGGTTTCACAAAAGGCAAGAGAGAAATTACATTTCATCAAAGAGAGGATATGAATGGGTAGATATTAAATGGCTCAAATATTTTACATTAGTGGCTGCTTTTCTTAGTTTGCTTTATGCCTATATTTTGAATGTTAATATGATACATACTAGCAATGTCAGGAAAAGAATTGAAGTAATTGCCTGTCAGGTGGCTCAATGTAGCATGAATGTGAACATGTTGAAAGAATTTTTCAATGTTTCTAATAATAAAAATAAATTAAATAACCATTTTTTCTAGAATATAAACTAAAGTAAGAGATGCCAAAATTAATTTAAAAGATTTGAATTGTGTCTTTACAGTTCTCAGAAGCAACAATTGATATAATGCGTAAGTGCCATTTCCAAAAATTAAACAATGCATCTTTGTCTTAAAATTAGAATGTTAGTTTTTCAGTAAATAAACTTAAAAGAAGCGAATTCAAAATAGAGCAAACACATAGACATTGATTTTATTTCAAACATTTTTGCTGGAAAGAAAAAGGATTTATGCAAGTCTGTTATTATCAAGAGATGACTTCAGATGGCATCATGAATGATTCCACTTTCTTGGAACATTGTACAGATGATATGCATCATCACTGGGCTGAGATCACAATGAGAAGAATCACCACTCATCAAATGGCTCTCAGAGCTAATAATTTTTATCTTAAATGTAAATGAATGAAAAACATATGGAAAGAAATTCAGTGCACAGAGTGATTGAAGGCTTGTGGAAGGCTGCCAAGGGAAAAGATCATCTTCAAGCATTATGTTTCAAGAATCTTTCATTTCAGGCTTTACAGCTTCTAGATGTCCCTGGCCAAAGGTATGCACGGGGAGTCCTGTTGTTCCCATTACACTATGAATGGTGAGATTCTGTTTGTAAGCTTGCACAGTTCCATTTCAAATATCTTATGGGGCAAAGATTCCAGAACACCTTTCTGGAAGAAGCTTCTGTGATCAGATACTGTTATCAGTGACCCAAGAAGTGAGGAAACTATTCTCCACTCCAAATTGGGACTGGTGGGAAGGGTATGAACAACAGGGCTACTTTGGATCTCTGGAGAGGGTCTTGGTTTCCTGCCTCATTTCTGTACGGTAGTTGACTGATTTAGAAGTTCTTCTTCCACTTTGCCTCTCTTGATATTCTGTTTTCCTCTTGAATTAGTTAAGATTCATTGTGTTACATTTAGTAACAGAAATCAAATTGAGCCAATGCAAGTGAAGAAGAAAGAAATGAAAGAATCAGGAAGCAAAAAGCCTTAGGGGACCCTGGGCACTCAAACTCTCCATCCTATGTCTCTGTTCCTCTTCGCACATGTCCTTCGCTTTGTCTCTCTACAGTCCAGCTGCCTTCATCTCTTCACATACTGAAAAGCAAACTGGCATTTCAAAATCTGAAGTGACTGACAGCCTCTCAGCCCCATTTACCAATTCCTCAGAAAGAATTAGTCTTTAGCCAAGAGAACCTCCCCAACCCATCCATTTACCTCCCATCCAGGGGTGTGGGGTCATATGTGACACATACTGTTATCAGGTCCAGAGTATGGGGTTGAGGTGTGACTTGCAGTTCAGAAAGAATGGGGACTGAGTTGAGCAGTTACCCCAGAAATTGTTGTCTACATTTTGCTATTGCCAGGGAAGAGATCTTAATATGGGCAATAATATTCAGTATCCATTTATTTTGAAGCTCAAACCTTTCTTCCCTCTTCAGGAACACTATTTGTTGTGTGTTTGTTTGTTTGTTTGTTTTGAGACAGGGTCTCACTCTGTTACCCAGGTTGGAGTGCATTACCACCATCATAGCTCACTGCAGTCGCAACCTCCAGGTCTCAAGTGATCCTCCCACCTCAGCCTCCAAAGTAGCTGGGATCACAGGCATGCACCACTATACCTGGCTAATTTTATTTTTATTTTTGTAGAGATGGGGTCTCACCATGTTGCCCAGGCTGGTCTCCAACTCCTGGGCTCAAGCAATCCTCCTGCTTTGGCCTCCCAATGTTCTGGGATTATAGACATGACTCACCATGCCCTGCCAGATTGATTTCTTTCATCTTTATATGTGACTAATGAAATCTGCCTCACAGGATTGTTGTGAAGATCAAAATGGGTATCTCCTGGTACCTAGTATATATCACACATTTGACAAATAATAGGTATTCTTATTTTTTCACTTTTTATAACTCTTTGTAGCAAACAGGTAGGCAAATGAACTGGGTATTATGTCGCCAACTCTGAAAATCAATAAACATCACCAGTGTCTATTCTCCCATTCTTCTCTATCAAATTGTGATTATTAGCAGCACTCATCATGATTCAGAATAAAATAACAAACATTTTCTAGTCTTCCTTATTGCTGTATTAGTCTGTTTTAATACTGCCATAAAGAACTACCTAAATTGGGTAATTTATAGAGAAAAGAGGCTTAATTGACTCACAGTTCAGCATGGCTGGGGAGGCCTCATGAAACTTACAGTCATAGTAGAAGGTGAAGGGGAAGCAAGGCACCTTCTTCCCAAGGCATCAGGAAGGAGAAGTGCTGAGCAAAGAGGGAAGAGCCCCTTACAAAACCATTACATCTTGTGAGAAATCATTCACTATCACAAGAACAGTGTGGGGGAAACTGCCCCCATGATTCAGTTACCTCCACCTGGTCCTGCTCTTGACATGTGAGGATTATGGGGATTACAATTCAAAATGAGATTTTGGGTGACACAGCCAAACCATATCACTGTGCATGGAACATTGGCCAGTGGAATATTAAGAAAATGTACCTGGTGTTCAACAATAAGATAGTTTTCTTCAAGTGAGAAGTTTCCCCTCTTGTTTCTCTGTTGTTTGTGATGGAAACACAATGGCATCTAGGCTGGAAGTACTACAAGAAACATCCCAGTAGTAAGTGCCCAATTCCCTATATGTGCTGCACTTTATAGGGTCAGAGGCTATAGAATAATGAAAATCCCAGGATGAATAAGTGGATTTAAAAAGGAAGAACCTCCAGAGCTCAGCAGCCAACAACAGCAGCCTGTAAAGCATGAATGCATAACTCCCCGGCTACCTTGGTTATCTTAAATGGCCAGTTTGTCACACAAGACACCTCTGTGAGTTTCTCCCACAGGAAGAGCTTGATTGAATATTCCCCCACAGTTTGAAAAGTAACACCATAGGAAATGATATGGACAACAGTGGGACATGGAGAGGGAGGTTGTGTTAGTCAGTTTTCACACTGCTATAAAGAACTACCTGAGACTGGGTAATTTATAAAGAAAAGAGGTTTAATTGACTCACAGTTCCCCATGGGTAGGGAGGGCTCAGGAAACTTATAATCATGGCAGAAGGCAAAGGGGAAGCAAAGCATGTCTTACATGGTGGCAAGAGAGAGAGAAGAGTGAGGGGGAGCTGCCAAACACTTTTAAACCATCAGATCTCATGAGAACTCAATCACTATCATAAGAACAGCATGCGGGAAACTTTCCTGATGATCCAATCACCCCCAACCAGGTTCCTCCTTCCACATGTGGGGATTACAATTCGAGATGAGATTTGGGTGGGGACAGAGCCAAACTCTATCAAAGGTTGAACCAAATTGAGACAGGGGAGGGACTGGACCAAGTGTTTTATAGGTTTATTTAATAAACTATATAAAACTTCCTATTTGCCAATCATTAATTCATTTAATCTTCACAATAACTTCATGAGGTAGGTACTACTACTAGTCCCATTTTAGAAATGAAGGAACTGAGGCACAGAGATATTGATAAGTGTATAAGGTCACACAACTAGTATACAGAGGGGTTAGGATTTAAATTAGACTCAAGATTCTTTCCTTAATCACTATGCTATGTTCACTCTCCCTAAAGCCATCCCCCATTAAGGAAGACCAGCTAACATCAACTGCTGTGTGACCTGTGTGAAGCACTGTGCTAGACAGTCTATTTACCTTTTTTCATTGGATCCTCACAATAATCCTAGGAAGTAGGTGCCATTATTAGCCCCATTTCATAGATGAATAAACCACATATTCGAGAAATTAAATTATTCATCCCAAGGGCAAACGGCTTTAAAATGAATGAGCTAAGATTCCAACCTTGGTCTTTCAGACTCCAGAAAATCTACTAATAACCACCACACCACATGACAAAATGTGTAAGGTGGATTAAGGAAGAGAGGGAAGGGGACGTTAATGTAATTCAAACTGAGTGGAAGAACTTAAATCTAAACATGGGAGAGCGAGGGACAATAAGAACCCATACATTCCTGTATCATTAATACAGTAATTTAGATTTCTTTTAAAAAGACTATGTTTTATTCATTGGTATAAATATAATCATAAATTGCATTGCATGGGGCAGTTTATGAAAAAAGGGGACTCCAACTGCAGAAGATCTGAATTAACAAAGATCCCTTCTGAAGTTTAGCCTGGGGGGCCCAGAATTTACATTTATACCCCCTAGCTGGATTAGAAAAATATAAAAGCCAAACTGCCAGGTTAGCCTTGGAATCTTTACATTGCCCACCAAGAAGCATACGTTGATTGAGTGTTGAGCACAGCAGGAAATATCATTACAGACCTGGAATCCAGATTTCTACCAGAAAATGCGAAGCATCTGGCAGTTTTGAAAGGTAATCTTTCCAGATTTACTTTCACATAAACTGTACTCCACTATAGCACCAAAAATCATGGAGGAAGATTGTTTTTAATATAGCGGTTCAGAGCAAAGCACAGAGAAATTTAAATGAAGACAGCGATTCATCTCCAGGCCTTGATTAGCAAAAATAGCACCCCCAGACCTTACTTATTTGTTAAGAAAGGTGGGCTCACTTGGATAGTCTTAAGGCATTTCCCAGTGGCTTCTTTGTAGCACATTAATTTCCAGGGAATTCTGTGGGGTGCCTCTTTTCTGAAGCAATTGGCCATTGATTACCCATTAGTTTGGTGGTTGTTATTTTGCTCTACAGGAAGCTAACTGAAGTTTCAAATTATCTTCCATGACTTTGCTGTGAGCACAGCACCAAGTTTCTTTTTTATTAGTTGGAAAGACAGGTTTCTGGGTTTTTTCCTTTAAATTACATCTCCAGTTTTAAATCCATATGAATTGAAGGGAAACACATCGTTTTCTTTTTTCCCCTTTTTTTTGGAAATAAATATGGATTGAGCCATGCCTAAACAATTGAGGAAACATTTTCATAGCTTTCATTACACGCCTAACATTTCTTAGATGATTTCTCTCAATGTAAGGCCTATTATAAGCAAGAGAAGTTCAAAGTGTAGGTTAATCTTGGAGGGGGCAGTGAGTAAGACAGAAACTAGAGTGAAACAGGATAACTTGAGAAATTCTCAGTGATCAATATATGCCATGTTTTTCAACATAATGGAATGGAAATCGAGTTTTAAAAAAAAGACATCTTGGAAGAAGTCATTTATAGCCGAATGCACAATGTGAAATGTTTGAACTGCATGAGAAATATAAAAGCCAAGCTGAAAATATACACTTACATTATCAAGATTGTTAGACAACACTGCATTATCATTTTTCCAAAAGCAGAGCGTGAGTTTGGATCTTAATTACAATGAAAGCAAATGTGTCAAAGAAAAGTTTATTTCCTATTGTTGTTTGCCTATAATTGATAGTGTGACAAATAACTGCACAGCTATTGTGTATGGCAGATAAGCAACTTCAGTAGAAATCTTGCCCTACATGGCAACCAAACAGCTGTTTATCATTGGCCTAATTATCAAGTTAATGAGATGCTAATTTCTATATTCATAAGGCATGCATGAGCAAGTACTAGTGTATGCAAAACAGAGTTTAGTGACAAACTTAATAAAATAAATAGTAAGGTATGGGTAAAGAAATACAAATGGTATTAAAAGCTAGGACTTAGTTTATTGAGAAATTGTACAATTCCAGGATGCACACCCGGCAATCTACTGTGTTTAATGCATACACAGCACTGACAATAGCCTTCTTTTGCTCAGTAGTCTTGATTCAGCTCCTGCAGTGTCTATAGAATTCTTATTACAGTTGCTCAATGGGGACAAAATCAGGCACACTGTGCAGATTTATGGATAGCCGTTTCAATCCCCATGGGATTGTGGTGCCAGGCTTCCAATTTCCCCAGCACAAGATGGGATGCCCCCTTTTTAGGAAATCAATATTATCAGGAAACCCCTCCAATAAACACCGCAGTCACACATGCTTTTCCCTTCTCCCAGTCAACAGTGCCCCTGTGGGTAAAGCTTGTGTAACACCCAGGTTTGATGTTTCCTTACTTACCTGAAGAGAGGAACCATTATTTTAAATAATAATCAGGAGTAGTAATAATAAGACTTAAGTAGTAAAACCAAACAGCAAACACACGACAATATTCAAAAGTTGTATTTCAGGCATAGAGTAGCAGAGAGAAAAATGATTTTTTTTGGAAATAGAATTTCAAACTTTTGAAGGGGTTGAGAAATGCTGACTTACGGCAACTCCTTCCTGTCATAGAATATAAGGCCACTAATGTAAATGCTTTGGGGGCAGCTGATCAGTCATCAAGAGACTAGGTGCCTTGGTGACCTACTCACACCTTTTTAGTATGCACAATAAAATGCAGAAGAAAAGCGGTGGATCCAGAAAGCAAAGCCCTAAAGCAGGGCTACATAGCCTGCCAAGGAATTTTCCCTCCTTCATTTTTCAGCATGGCCACAGGCATGACATATTGAACAGTTTACAATGAAAATACAGGAAAGACTGGAACTAACCCAAATGTCCATCAATGATAGACTGGATTAAGAAAATGTGGCACATATACACCATGGAACACTATGCAGCCATAAAAAAGGATGAGTTCATGTCCTTTGCAGTGACATGAATGAAGCTGGAAACCATTATTCTCAGCATACAATCGCAAGGACAGAAAACCAAACACCACGTGTTCTCACTCATAGGTGGGAATTGAACAATGGGAACACTTGGACACAGGGCGGGGAACATCACACACTGGGGCCTGTTGTGGGGTGGCGGAATGGAGGAGGGATAGCATTAGGAGAAATACCTAATGTAAATGACGAGTTAATGGGTGCAGCAAACCAACACGGCACATGTATACATATGTAACAAACCTGCACGTTGTGCACATGTACCCTAGAACTTAAAGTATACTAATAATAAAAAAAGAAAATACAAGAAAGACTGGAAAAGATGGGACCAAGAACATGATAGTGTATATTTTTAATAGCCTGCTGTTTTAGTCTGTTTTCATGCTGCTGATAAAGACATACCTGAGACTGGGAAGAAAAAGAGGTTTGATTTGACTTATAGTTCCACATGGCTGGGGAGGCCTCGGAATCATGGTGGGAGGTGAAAGGCACTTCTTACATCACCATGGGAAGAGAAAAATGAGGAAAAGCAGAAAACCCTGATAAAACCCATCATATCTCTTGAGACTTATTCACTATCACGAGACTAGCATGGGAAGGACCCGCCCCCATGATTCCATTACCCCCCACTGTGTCCCTCCTACAACAAGTGGGAATTCTGGGAGATACAATTCAACTTGAGATTTCGATGGGGACACAGCCAAACCACATCATTCCACCCCTGGCCACTCCAAATGTCATGTTCTCACATTTCAAAACCAGTCATGCCTTCCCAACAGTCCCCCAAAGTCTTAATTCATTTCAGCATTTACCCAGAAGTCCACAGTCCAAAGTCTCACCCAAGACAAGGCAAGTCCCTTCTATCTATGAGCATGTAAAATCAATGTAAAATTTGATCTACATAAAATCAAAAGCAAGCTAGTTACTTCCTAGATACAATGGGGGTGCAGGCATTGGGTTAAATATGGCCATTCCAAATGGGAGAAATTGGCCAAAACAATTGGCCAAAAGGGGTTACAGGGCCCATGAAAGTCTGAAATCCAGTAGGACAGTCAAATTTTAACACTCCAAAGTGATCTCCTTTGACTCCAGGTCACACTGATGCAAGAAGTGGGTTCCCATGGTCTTGGGCAGCTCTGCCCCTATGGCTTTGCAGGATATAGCCTCCTTCCTGGCTGCTTTCATGGGCTGGTGTTGAGTGTCTGTGACTTTTCCAGGCACACGGTGAAAGCTGTCAGTGGATGTACCATTCTGGGGTCTAGAGGATGGTGGCCCTCTTCTCACAGCTCCACTAGGCAGTGCCCCAGAAGGGACTCTGTGCACAGGCTCCAACCCCACATTTACCTTCCATTCTGCCCTAGCAGAGGTTCTCCATGAGGGCCCCACCTTGGCAGCAAATTTTTTCCTGGGCATCCAGGCATTTCTAAACACCTTCTGAAATCTAGGTGGAGGTTTGCAAACCTCAATTCTTGACTTCTGTGCACCTGCAGGCTTAACACCACATGGGAGCTGCCAAGGCTTAGGGCATCCACCCTCTGAAACCACAGCCCAAGCTGTACGTTGGCCCCTTTCAGCCATGGCTGGAGTGGCTTGGACACAGGGCACCAAGTCCCTAGACTGCACACAGCACGAGGACCCTAGGCCCAGCCCACAGAACCACTTTCTCCTCCTGGGCCTCCAGGCCTGTGATGTGAGGGGCTGCCATGAAGGTCTCTGACATGGCCTGGAGACATTTTCCCCATGGTCTTGGGGATTAACATTAGGCTCCTTGCTACTTTTGCAAATTTCTGCAGCTCGCTTGAATTTCTCCTCAGAAAACTGGTTTTTCTTTTCTATCATATAGTCAGACTGCAAATTTTCCTAACTTTTATGCTCTGCTTTCCTTATGAAACTGAATGCCTTTAATAGTACCCAAGTCAACCCTTGAACACTTTGCTGCTGAGAAGTTTCATCTGCCAGAGACCCTAAATCATCTTTCTCAAGTTCAAAGTTCCACAAATCTCTAGGGCAGGAGCAAAATGCTACCAGTCTCTTTGCTAAAACTTAACAAGAGTCATCTTTACTCCAGTTCCCAACAAGTTCCTCATCTCCATTTGAGACCACCTCAGCCTGGACCCTATTGTTCATATTGCCATCAGCATTTTGGGCAAAGTCATTCATCAAATCTCTAGGAAGTTCCACACTTTCCCACATTTTTCTGTCTTCTTCTGAGCCCTCCAAACTGTTCCAACTTCTGCCTGTTACCCAGTTCCAAAGTCACTTCCACATTTTCGGGTGTCTTTTCAGCAACACCTCACTCCTGGTACCAGTTTACTGTATTAGTCTGTTTTCATGCTGCTGATAAAGACATACCCGAGACTGGGAAGAAAAATACATTTAATTGGAGTTATAGTTCCAGATGGCTGGGGAGGCCTCAGAACCATGGCAGGAGGCAAAAGGCACTTCATACATCACAGCAGCAAGAGAAAAATGAGGAAGAAGCAAAAGTGGAAACCCCTGATAAACCCATCATATCTTGTGAGAATTTTTCACTATCATGAGACTAGCAAGGGAAAGACTGGTCTCCATGATTCAATTAACTCCCACTGGGTCCCTCCCAAAATACATGGGAATTCTGGGAGACACAGTTCAAGTTGAGATTTCGATGGGGACACAGCCAAACCATATCACCTGCTATATGACAATACTGATTGAGAGGTGTGGGGCAATGTCAAGTCTAAAGTTGTGTCATTGTTCATGTAGATTTCCAAACTGAAAATCTACAGTGGATGCTGAGTGAATGAAGGCACATATATTTACTCAGTGTGTAATCAGGTTGGGATATCCTGTAATATGCTCCCAATCATGTTTTGAATATTATTGAAAGAAAACAGTCTCAACAGCTAGTTTTCTCATTCTAATGACAGTATTATTAATGATAACTCCATCTTGCATTTTATGCTTATCATAGGTTAACTTTTTGGAATTTTACACTAACCCTGAGAGTTTAGGTTGCACGTAATTCAGTCTCATCATTTTATGGGTGTTGTTACTGAAGCCCGGGTTATGGCAATTGTTAAGTGACAGAGCTGGAACTAGAATTCTGAATCTGTGCTCCTTCCCCTTTCTCTATTTGAAAGTCAAGCTGAAAAAAATGATTAGGATATTTAACCTGGCATGCCTTGCAAATGTGCTTGTAACGCACAAAACAGAAAAGTGTCTTATGTCTGACATGATTATGAAATGAGAATTTCCAGCTTCCTGTACATCCTAGTAATTACTAGGCATATGTCTCCAGGGAATAAGAAAATAATTTACCACTTAAAACTGGAAATCTCTGCTATTAACAGCATACCTCAATTTCTAGTATAACTTTTTCCTTGTTATTCAAAAGTATTGAATAATCTTCCAGAGGCTTCAACTTATTCACTTCAACAAACATTTGTAGAGATCTTATCTCATAACTGGAATCTCAGACTGCACAGCCCCATGTTATGAGTGTGTGTGTCCTTCAATGGAAGATTGGGGCCCTTCTGCAGGTGATTCAGGGGCTATTGGAGTAAACATTACAGTGAATTTATATGGCTGAGCTGTTAACATTGATCAAGTTTAGCTAATAATAAAAGAATTTGATTCCTTTGGTTTCAGTCAAAACTGCCTTAGTGAATTATCATGGATATGTTTTAATTCCCATTGTTTCTTTAGACCCAGGATTGAGACTAATGATTGGCAGAAAAAGTAGAGTCAACTCTGGAATTTTTGAGGTGAGATAGGAACACACACACAGCAGTGGTCCAGCCTGGGCTTCTCAAACCTAAATGTGCATAAGATTCACTAGCACCTCATCAAAAACACAGCTACTCCAGAGTTACTAAGGACCAGTCTCCCACTTCTTACATGAGAGTCTCTGAACGAAGGACATAAGCACCTTCTTTCTTAATAAGCTTCATAGGTAAATTTAACATGTATTTAGTCTAAAGTCTGTATTTAACATGTATTTCAGTCTAAAGTCTGAAACTCCCTAGGGAGGTCTTTGAACTCCATGAAGTCGAGGCCAGTCTGTCTCATGAAGTTCTGAATCATCAGTGCCGAGAACATAATTGGCACACCTAATAAGTATTCTTGAATGTTTTCGTTAATGAAAAAAATAGATCCTCAGGAAAGCACTATAAAATCAGAGATAAAGAACAAAGAGTAAGATGCAATCCAAACAAATAGAGATACCTTACTTAGACCAAAGCTTCAGGATGATCAAAATGATAAGGCAGTTAAGAATAAAGAAATCCCCCAAAATCAAGTCCAACAAAGTCAAAAGACATCTGCATGGTCCTTACATGACTGAGCATATATGAAAAACACTGTGCTTGACCAACCCAAATCTCACACAAGCTGCTGGATTTCCTCAGGCTCTTTACTTACGTTTGCATATTTCTGAAATCAGGATGCCCCTCTCATTTGATGTATCTTGTAATGTTTCTGCTGCCCTGGATTGAACTCTCCTTTCTCCTTCCAGGTAGCTTTTGTGTTTGTTCTTGCCAGTCACCTGAGGGCACTATCCAGTGGAGTCCACTTCAATTTAAATCCTCTGCTAAGAATTTCTGTACCATGTTAGCCCTGTGAATTCAGACTGCACACCTGCAAAAGTGGCGGATTGTAGTTCACATTTTCAGGGGAGGTATTTTTCCCTTCTTCCATCCATTGTCAATATTGAAACGTGCAAGTTTCTTTAACTGTTCCAAACATTGGGCTTAATTCATATTTACCTCTGCAGTGAGGGTTTAGGATGGTTTTTGCTGGAATCAGCTGTTAGAATTCCACTCTCCCTCTCTCTCTCTCTGTCTGTCTGTCTCTCTCTCTCTCTTCCCCACACCCCCTTTATCTTCAGTGGAGCATTAAATAACATTGCATCTTACAATCACGGGCATATTATGTGTGAGAAAATATAGGTTCTTTATACTGGGATTGAGCTAAAATTCACAGCTGAGCAGTCTCAAGCTTGCAGGGAGAATAATGAAAGTGTCAACATCTGCCTAAAGGAAACTGTAGCAAACAAAGCCAAAGTTCAGATCCTTACAACTACTTTTGGATTTGTAGTGTGCTGGAAATGGAAACAATGGCACTTCAATTTCATAGGCCATTTTGGATTGTAGTAGTGCTATTTGCCGCATTTATGGATTCATCGTGAGCTCTTCTTTTTAATCTCCTGGTACAGTGCCCAGCATGTATTAGATGATCATCTAGTATTTACTGAACTCCAATTTCTAGAATATGTCTATAAACCCTACTTGATCTGGCTCAGCTCTCAAAACAGATACGCTTCTTCATGTTGGTTTCCAAGATCTATCCAACAATCACTTTAGGGCAACAATCAGGAATTATACAAAGTTTGTAGGCAAACATTTTAATATAATTTTTAACTTTGCAGAACTGTTTTAATGTTGCTCTCTTGTTCTTGATATAGTTCAGATGAATTTATGGTTTTTTTTGCTTTTGTTTTTTCTCCCCCTGAAGAAATTGTTGTTATAAATTCTCATTTTAAATAAAACCAGCTTTTTAAAAAGTGCATAAAATACATTGTGATGATGGCTGGATTGTTGATTTTCTGGCTTAGCTTATAGTCTATTCATTCTCCCTCCTTCAACAAGACAAACCAATTTTTCTGTAGAGTGTTGTGGACTGTAGGCTACATTTTTTTTTCTCTTAGTCTGTAGTTACTCTATTGCCACCCAAAGTTGACTTTTTTGACTCCAGTTTGTTTTTCTCAAAAATTGAATTTCACATTTATCTTTGTTTCCCTTTTTCTTGATGTTTATGAGGTGAAGGCCCACTAAAATTCTGTGGGCCTGCAACTGTCTCCTAAAAAAACTAGTTTGAAGTACCACTGGCCCCACCCACATCTTCCTCACCAGTTGCCAGCCCACTGGAGCCAGGGAGGAAACTTGGAAAGCAGAAGAACCTGTTCCAATTGTCAAGAAAGCAAATTCTGAAGGAATGACTAACAGTATTATCAGCTCTATATATCTCCAGTTTCTCAAAGGAATGATAATCCTATTATGGTAGATAAACCCAATCTTTGGGTTCCAACGTACAGATAATCAGTTCAGTTGTTCTTCACATTCCATCAGTAACCTGAAATGTAACTCCTTTCCTTTCATTCTTTTTTTTTTTTGTCTTCCTCTATCTCCCTCCCTCCCTGCCTTACTCCCTTTTATTTTTCTTTTGTCCATATTTTTTGACTTGAACTTATTGAGTATCATTTTTTGGTAATGGTGATCATAAATCACTGTCACTTTCAACTACCTATCACACTTCCTACCAAAGGCAAGTATGTCAAAGCATATTTGCCCCTGGTCATTACTTCCCCAAATTCACCTTTGTTAGGTCTTGGAATGAAGTAAAACGAGAAAAACATGTTTACATAGTTGCATGTGGTCTTTCTAGTCAAATCATTGTGATGATAAGAATCTTGATCAATTTTATATTAGGTTGGTGCAAAAGTAAGTGTGGCTTTTTTCCATTAAAAGTAATGGTAAAAACCACAATCACATTTGTACCAACCTAATAGCAATGGCTAGCATTTTATGGAGCTCATACCTAGGTATCAGACATATTCAAAATTCTTTACATGGATTTTCTAATTTAATCCTATGAGGCAAATACTGTATTTCTGCATTTCATAAATAAGAAGGGTGGTCCCCAGAGAAGTTAAATAACATTGCCAAAGTCATAGAATACTAAGTTTGGGTTAGGATCCTGATATAAGTACCTTGATACTTGGGAGCCTTTTTGGTAAAATAAATTTAAAATTTCATACAGTCTATACATAGAAGACATATCCTGAAATAAAGACATTTAGGAGAAAGAAAATGACTATAACAAGAAGTATGTAGTTTAAGGCACTTACAAATGAAAGAAGATCCCTTGTCTGAGCTGTGTTATTCCATCCCTTGAATCAAAAATAGCCTCTTGTCTGTGTAAGCTGGATATCATTCCTCAGACTGGTTTGCCTAAGGTAAGGTTAATAATTTCTGCAGAGAGGCGCACACTTGGTTATTCAAAGCCCATTTGTTAGAAATGCTTCCTATTTCAGTGAATGATTGGTGCCTTGTCACTGGTGCTCCTTGACTCCATAGTTATAAAGTTTCTAAAATTCTTGGACCACTATCATACAATCCTTCTCTCCTGGAGTAGCCTTTGGAATTTATTTTTCTTCCCAAAGCAGTTCCTGCTATATAGTCTTTCAGTAACATTCCCTGGGACACTTGTTACATAGACAATGGTGCCATTTTGACCTTGATTTCATCAGACTGAGTAACAAAGAGTGATTCTCTTGATTTTTTTTCAGCATCTTTCCACTTCATTTATTCTACACCCTTCATTATCCTTCAAACGTATCTTTTTCCTCTATTTTGACTCTTGCACAATCCCGCATTCCTAGAGCAAAATAGTCGTCTTTTCCTCCATATGTCTTCCTCAGGACAATTGAGAGGATTTAGTTAGAGTATGCAATCCCAGCAACTATAGGGCAGCTTTAGTTGCTCCATGAGTATTTTAAGGATTGAACAAGAGATGCTTACTTTTGGGCTGTTCTTATACTTTTTTGATCACCCCAGTTCTCCTTCTTCTAAGTGCTCCTGAGGCCTCAAAGAAGAGGTACACTTAGATTAGTGAGTCTATCCCTTATAGTCTCTGTTAACTAGCTCTACCAATAGATGGTTCCTAGGGTGCCCATACACCAATAAGTAGGGCTGTTGTGATGGATAATGCTGAGTGTCAACTTGATTAAATTGAAGGATGCAATGTGTTGATCCTGGGTGTGTCTGTGAGGATGTTGTCAAAGGAGATTAACATTTGATTCAGTGGGCTGGGGAAGGCAGACCCAACCTTAATCTAGTGGGCACAATCTAATCAGTTGCCAGCGAATATAAAGCAGGCAGAAAAACATGAAAAGGCGAGATTGGCCTAGACTCCCAGCATCCATCTTTCTCCCGTGCTGGATGCTTCCTGCTCTCGAACATCAGACTCCAAGTTCTTCAGTCTGGGAACTCAGACTGGCTCTCCTTGTTCCTTAAGCCTGCAGATAGCCTATTGTGGGAACTTGTGATCGTGTAAGATAATACCTAATAAACTCCCATGTATATATAATCTATCGTATTAGTTCTGTCCCTCTAAGAAATCCTGACTAATATAGCTGTAAATTTGCACTGGGATGACATACCCTGCAATGTGCTTTACACATACATATTGATACATTATAAAAGTGTGTGATTATTCTGTTGGTTAAAATACATTTGGTCACTGTTCTTTTACAGAAACACTCAGGTACCACATCAAAGTCAATGTTTATCCCTAATTTTATCAGCTTTTAAATATTTTCAGAGCCAAGGATTCCTGAATTCCTCAACTATTCAAAATTATTTCACCAACAATGAGTATACTACATGTTCCTGCTTTCAATCTTGATCTATAACCTATTACATTTGTTTTGATTATGTAAACTATGTACATTTCTAATTAAATTACAGAGGGAAAGAATTAAGCAAGCCTCAAATATAAGAAACTAATTTTTTTATATTTCTAGAGGTTGTCAAAATCCTGTTATAAAATCTTACTATAATATGCAAGAAGAATGGAACAGAAACAAAATTAAGTATGATTTGACTCAAACAAAGCAACGATTTTTTAAAGTTTTTATTTAAAAAAATTAAATGCCTGTAAATAAGAGAAAATGCTTAAAACATCTTCCTATGATAGCTACTTAACTTCTGTGTGTAATGGTTATGTGCCTGAAATGTAATAGGTGACTAAAAAATATTTGTTCCATGTGTGAACCTGAATTCCTAAGGGGTTACTCCTAACATAAACAAACAAACAAACAAATAGAAGTGAGAAAGGAACTGCACCACTCAGAGGTTATTTGTTGCAAGATGGAAGATGTACAGAAGGCAGGTGCAGAGGCTTCCTGCTAAGGCCTGTGGCTGTCAGAAGAGCAGTTGGTGGCCAGGAGAGCAGCATACCTCAAGGAGGGTGAGGCAACTGGATGGTTAGGGAGATGGAATGACTAGAAGCAGCTGCAATGAGAAAAAGGGCTTAAGGGGAATTTTAGGCAGTTTTCCTATGGAAGAACTCTATAAATCTTTTATACATTTTTATACCACCCTCGAAAGAAACTCATAATAAAAGTTGGTTATTCTTCAAGGAGTTTGGAAGTCAATCCATGTAATTTTGAAAAAAACACAGATCTGAGACTGGTCCTGCAGTAGTAGCAGTTTTATTTAGGTTTTCTCTTACCCCTGGTGCATTTATCAAAATACTTTTCCACATCAGTACATTCTCTAAAGAGAATATATTAGTCGTTCTATCTTCAGGTTCAGAAATGCATCCTGCTTCACAGGCTGGGAACAGGCTGAGAGAAGCCAGACTCTGACCATAAGATTTACTCACTTTAGCAGGATCAGTCCTGGAAGAGCTGACCTGAGTTGCAGGGTGCATGGGTTCAATCAAACTCTAGTTGTATTGAAGGTGAATAAAATAGGTGGTTGATGGGATCCCACATTCAAATAGTTGCTTGTTTGGAAAGACTGGGTTACATGACACTCAGAAATTTAGTTGATTACAGCAGCTGCTGGCAGGAAGGCTGGGCTTGCTTGCTGGGTTTCAGGGTCAGGTCTGCAGACTTATGAAAACTAAGAAAGTTCTAGCTGGTTTCTTGGTTACAGTCAACTAAAATCAATTAAATCTTGAGCACCATGCTCAGAAGATGGACAGGAAAAAGGAAGCTGGATTATTGCTGCCACTGACACTCTACAGAGGATGCTGTACTACTGCTGCCCACAGGAATTCTGAATTGTTCCTGCATTTATGGACATTTACTCCAAATGCCCTGGCAGGAGGAGTCAAATGGCACAAGCTTAGGTCATTTGTGAGTTTCCTTTAGCTGCTTTTTAATTTTTTAAAAAACATAAATATTAAAATAATTTTTAATTAAAATGTATTTAGACTTTTTAAAATAGAAATTAAACATTTTTAAATAGAAAAATACCTTTTTTTCTCCTTGGTTTCCCTCCAGGAACCAACTTTCTGTCAAGAGTTACATGATGGCAGATTCCAGAAGCTTATGAGATTTTAGATGTGAAAAAACAAATGTCTACAATACTGATCAAGAAGAAGAAATGATTACTAGATCACTTACCAGAAGGCAAAAAATGATGGAGCTCAGTTATGAAAACAGGGCACGCGAGATAGACTGGGGATGGGGAACAGATAGAGTTCTTTGCCAGAGTTGGAACGCTGAGTGAAGGCTGATCTAGTTGCAGCTTGATTCTGAGCATGGTTCTTAATCTCCTGACACAGTGAACATTCAATCTTGGGATGCGAGGCTGTTGTTGAGCCTGCTGATACCCAGATTGAGGCTGATTATCAGCCGTGATGGTGAAGACTTTTAACATGGGATTTAGTAGACCATATTGGCATTTTAATAAATGCTATGATAAGTTATATCAAATCCCTTATTAACAAAGCGAAATAGTGGGTTTGGAAATTTTATACAAGTAATTTAGTTTGTTTTTGTGTTAATTATATAAGCCCATTAATTTACAGGTGACCTATAGGAATAATAGTGTTACCAATTGTTAAATTGGTATGTAATGAGTGGACTTTGAAAAAGCTTTGTGAAAGTAAATAAACCTTGAAATTTAAAGTTAATACTGACTAGACACCACTATTCTCATTTTACTGCAAAAATACCTTGGCTGCAGTCTTTAATAGCTTTCATTCCCCTCCAGGTCTCCCAGAATTCCTTGGCTAGATGCCAGGGCCTGAGCTGGCCACTGGTTGGATCTGGGACCTCTGATGTTTAGCAACAGTTAAGCTATTTGCAACTACGTGTTCCCAGGTGCATTCCTTTCTCCTGTGCCTAAGGATGCTGAGGGATGCTGAGGGTATCTTTATGACAGCATACGATTCGTTGTCACAGGAATAAAATTCAGTGGGCTTTTATAGCAGCAGCCGCTATACTGGAATTGGGAGAAGTAATTCTCCAGGTAATCACAAAAGTACAAAGGAAAAGGAAAAGGTATAAGAAGAAGAAATAGAAACAAATATATTATTTTCAGGCAAAGCACCAAGAGAGCGGGAGGGAGGGCTAAGAACCAGCATTTATTTTGTTGTGACTATGGCTTCAAGGTTTCCAATAAGCCCAGGAAAAGGAGAAATGCAGAAGTCAGATGTGGATGTAACAGCCAAGAAATGCTGTCATCTGCAACACTGCCAGCTCTCTGGTCTCCAGGGCTAAAATTGTAGAAGTGGTTTTCTAGTCTGAAAAATCTACAGATGTAAAGACAAAAAGTATATTGGATATATCAGAATGTTGGATAGCTGGTGATTAAGTAATGGAAAAAAGAAAAAGAAAAAACTCTTTGAATAGAGCACATTCCCCTATCTGTTATATTGTGTTAGTTTGTCAGACAGAAGAAAAGTCTTTACAATAAAGAAAGTCACAAAGACCTGAGAGTGATGATTGCGGACATCCTTTATGGAACCAGAATTAGAAGAAAAAGAAAGTAACGTAATAAGGTTGCCTCATTATTTTGCAAATTTTGGCTGTGAGATGAATTCTTGTTGCAAAAACAGGAGGTTGAATTCCTGTGACCCCTTTTGGAGAACGAGTGAAAATTCCGTCTTGGACAGGCAACATTTTGAAAATAAGTGGGATCATTCATCCTCTGACTCTAACATCAATGGTGATTTCAACTGTTTTGAATGGATTCAGGGAAATAATTCACATTCTCTACTAGAAGCACACACACACATGACCACTAATGCATATTTCCACATAGCTTGCAAATTTTGCCTGCCTTAAGGAAATTATCTTCCATCTGAAGCATGTCTGCTGAAGTATGGTGTGCCAGTCATTATGGTGTCCTGTGGTGTCCTGTGCTTCCAGTTGTAGCCAATATAGATCGATTTACAAAGACTTCTCAACCAACAGATCTATAGTGTAAAAAATAATGGCTAATGTTTCTTTTTAAAGTGTTAAAACCTTTCTTGATTCATAAACAGTAACAGGTAGCACCACCTCTGAATACCTGGTAAAAGCAACTCTTTCTTCTGCAGCACTCTTCAGTGCACTTGAGTATTCTGGATTCTCCTCTAGGACTCTGGTAATATGGGAGAGGATGCATGGTGGGGAGGACTCCATTCTGTGCCTTAGCCAACTAATAAGGAAGCCGGCTTATTGACTGGATCTTGAGCTCCCCATTTCCCAGGGCTTCTAAGCCTGTACTTGATTTCTAAGTATTTGATTTGTTCATGGAGGCTAAGTGCCTGCCACAATTTCTCCTCCTTTCTGTTAGCTTCACAGTAGCTCTTCATTTCCTGGATTCAGTCCATTCTGTACTTTCAGAATGCTAAATAGGCAATGCCTTCACTCATTTCTGGAACAAACTCTGCATTGACAAACATCCTAATTTATCCAACTTTGTTTCTTTAAACCCATCTCCATATATCACTGTGATAAAAATTCAAGCATTAGAATAATTCTCCAGCTTATATTCACACTTCTCAAATATAGCATGGACTCTCTTTAAAATCAAATTATGTGCAATTTTGAAAGGTACATAAATTGTACTTACTTTCATTTATGCCATTTTCCTATTTTCCACAGCCTTGGTATAATAAGCATATGTCCTGGTTGATTATAATGGTGACATTCATTTATCCAGTTTTTTACTTCAGAAAGATGTCCATTTCATTGAAATAGTTTATATATGATACTTTCAGTGTAAGTGAAGAGCAAAAGCCCCTACAGTCTTACTTGCTAGGTATGGCTCTACGCAAAGTGTTTCTATAGCTTCTCTGAGAGTTCCCGAGGGATTTCTCATAATAATTCAGGAATAGGTTGCTCCTGTCCTTCATACAGGAGTCCTTCCTTTGTAACACACTCCCATCTTTGATGCTGATGGGATATGAAGGTAGGTAGGCACTCCATCTAAGTCAGGCAGTTCTGTTGCTATCTCCTCTCTGGCCTTGTGGGTCCCAGAGTGGAGGAGACATTTCTCCCCCATTTTAGTAAAATGCTTCTGATGATGGTAATTTAAATGAGGGATGTGGGAATGAGGTACATCCAGCCTCACCAACTAGATGAATGTGGTACTGTTCTCTGAGTTAATGATTATAGGGGGAGATAAGGAAGTGCCTTGGGAATGGCATGAAAAGTCCACTTTTGCATATTAGTTTGTGTTAACATCCATGTAAGGTAACAGAAGGCAGCTGGATAACATACAAATGAATCTTATGAGAGTGGTGTGGTCTAGAAATATAATTGAAAGTTATAAGGAAATAAATGGTAATTAAAGTCATGAGAGTGGACAATTTAGCCCTCGAATTCTGTGGTAAGAGAAGAAGATTTCAGAGAAAGGATCAAAAACATTTAAGGCACAGTCAGGGACTAGCAGTCCGAAATGGACTCTGTTGGAAGATCCAAGAGGAGTAAGAGAAAATCCAGTAGAGGAAAGAACTTGGCCATTTATTGGATGTGACAATAACGCATAAACAGTTAAAAAATGATTCTACCCCTATAATCTCAGCACTTTGGGAGGCTGAGGCAGGAGGACTGCTTAACCCCAGGAGTTTGAGGCTGCAGTGAACTATGATTGCACCACTGCACCCCAGCCTGTCTCTAGAAAAAAAAAAAAAGATTCTAAAGTTTTGACTATGAGACTTACTGGTATATATTGGTGACCTGTAAATGTTTATAAATGTATTTGTATAGTTAAATTCCATTTTAACAAGAACTAATATGGGGAAAAAGTTTTCAACAATAAGATTATTTCTAAGCCCACGTCAATGGCTTAGAGCATTAGGGCCTTGTTGATCTCATCACAACAAAATTCCCTACTATGAATTATTTAGTATAATAACTTTCCTCATAAGAATACAAACCATTTCATGAAGGTTGATTTAAGTTAAAAAAGTCATTCTCTAGAGTCAGAGTGATTTATCCAACGTGAAATGTGTTGTGCTCTACTGGAAACTGAAGATGGGCTCTGGGATGTGCATTTAAATGGAGCTAATGAATTTCCTCTGTACAGTCCAGCCTGGGGAGAAGTGGAGAAGTCAGTTTCATAAAGCATGCGGTAGAATTGCCCTCTCTGGCTCTCCAGATTATAACATAGATTTTGTCCCCTTTTCTCTAAATCTATTCTTGTGTTTTGTGTGTTACTGTAGTTTTTACACTTTCATCATCTAATTTTCTTCTCTGCCCTCTCTCCCTTCCTTCAGGCCTCCCTCTTTCTCTACCTTTCTACCTCCCTCCCTGCCTTCCTTCTGTTTTCCTTTAATTAAGACTGGTGTCTCAGTGATGATCTGAAGAGATGCTCACTGCGTGCTTACAAGTTCTTCCACACACGCTGTTCTCAGCTGTTCTCATGGTGTGCACTCTCCTGCTAAGAGCTGCAAAGTGGGGCCTCTTCTGATTTGGTAAAGAAGAATCTGACTTTGTGCAAGAAATAAGTGTGTTTTTAGTCTTTATTGTTTTTGTTTATTTGTTCATTGCTTTGGTGCGCTTTTTCTGAGAGCTCTGTTCCTTCTGTTTTTTATTTGAGTCTGGGGAGATGGGAGGTGATTTCCCCTTTCAGACTTTTTGTTTGGGCTGTGCATTCAGTTCAGAATTTAATTCTGGTCACCTCAACTCTTTTCGAAAGAGCCTTTTCACAAGATCCTCAAGAGGTGACCTGCACTGTTATCACCTGGGGTGATAGAAACCCTAAGGGCATAACTTAGGAATCTTTCTTTTTAGTTAAGTTATTTGGGTAATCACTATGCTCACTGAAACCTAAGACCTTCACTCTAAAAGCATTTTATAGGAAGACAACAATCACATAAACTGCATTTTCCTCACTCCACATCAGTTCATAAATAAGAGTGTAAACTTCCTTAGGTCAGGAATCTTGATTTTATTTCTTTGTATCTTAGACAAGGCATTATGCAACCATGGGATAAGTGCGGTTCTAGAAGCCAAGAACATCTGAGCGCCAACTCTCTCTGCAGTGTCTCACCTGTGAAGTTCATTAACCACCCTGAAATATAATATTCCTAAGACAGTAATTAAGCATTAGTTTCCTAGCCAACTGATATAAAATGGAATGGATATGTAAAGTATCCGGTAGGAGACCTGGAGTTGGAGCTTTAAAAAAATGTTACTTTCACTTTCACTTTCTATGAGACTTGATTCTTTCATTTATAGAATAGAAATTTTATACTGATATTATACACTGGTGAGAAGACAAGAGTAGGAAAGTATGTGAAAACAAAGCTTTGCTTGCCATATGTGACTATTATCCTTTAGGTATATATCATGATATCAGTCAATCAAGCTAGAGGTATCACATAGATGATACACTATGTACAAATAGTGTTATGTACAAATATGCCTACTATGTACAAATCCCTCTGCTGGGTGAGCTTGTGGATTCAAAATTAAAATCACAGGATTCCTGAACTCCAGGACCTCACAGTCTAATGAGTAACAAGAGTAAGTACGTGTACAATTCTTATAGAAGGTAACCTATGCTCTGTGCTGCCTATTCAGTAGTTAAAAACTTAAAGCTTACAAGAGTTGTTTTGGAGGAGGAAGAAATTAATTCTGACTAGGAGATTGGAACATTTCCCCCATTTAATGCTGGCTGAATTTAAAAGAGAAAATAAAATTAAGGAAAACCCTATCTCTGCTTATTTAATCTGCTTGGGAGGGCTTTAATTACTTAGAAGAGAGAAGGAGCAAAGTACAGTAGAACCTTATTAACTGGAACACTCTGAATTGGGATAATGGGATTCTCTTGTTAATTTTCTCCTTAAGACCAAAAAGTCTGTATTTTGTTCTTCCTATTCCTACATTTAATAATGCCTATTTGAATAGTTCTTACTGAATTAATCTAGGTTCAACAATGGTAGGCACTATAGTGGATATGGATGATTCATAATAGATAATTCCTGACTTCCAGAGTTTATTATCTCATAGATTAAAAGAGATATTAACTTATGAAAGCATAACAACAACATAAGGAAATATATAACCAGCTGGAAATAAATGAGTCCTTTAAAGATTAGGAAATGAAAAATATTTTCAATTGGAATAGATTAATAAGATTGAGTCAGAATACATTAATTTGGATCAAAAGATGACATAATAAAGCAAGTATTTGGAAATATTAAAAAGCTGACAGTATACAGAATGGTTTGAATTTGAAGAGACTTGAAAAGACAAATCTGGCAGTTTTTACAGTATCTGATAATCTCACTTAATATTTCTCAGATGATTAAATTCTGGAGTTCTCATTTTGAAGACCGTCACCATTGGTTAACATTTCCTGAGTGAGTACAATGTACAAAGCAAACACAAATGCTGTCAGACCTACTGATTAAAAGTGTGGGATTAGAACTCTAAGGACTAGAGTTAAATAACAACATTGGCAATTGTCTTTGGAGACTTGGACAACTTACTTAAACTTCTAAACCAAGGTTTCCTGAGCTGTAAAGTGATAACAATAATAGTGTCTCACTTTTTCTTACTTATGGTTATTTGGCCCAGTGCCAGGAACATGGTAAACATTCAGTAACTGTTAACAACCATTATCATTATTGAAGAGTTTTAGAGTTTGCACAAAAGTTGTGGAATTTATACAGACCATTTGAAATGCCTAGACAGTTTTATTTAACATGAATTTTGGGTATACACTTCTTTTGTTTTCTACTTGCTTTTAGTTTTGAGTGAATTAGATTCTGGTTGTTTTTTTTAGGATTTTATGATGGTGCAGTGAATGCTGAAGATGCTGTGCCACCCATATCCCCTTGGCCTGTCTGAGTAGTGACTTCACACAGTGTCCCTGTGAGCTTATTGCTTCCTGAGTCTCTCTGCCTGAGGCCATTCTCAAGCCAGGGGTCTGAGCTTGGCTTGCCTGGGCATGCCAGGAGCGCAAGCCAAGGAGCAACCCTAGGAGTGGTCCTCGAGTTATGTATGAGAAAAGGAAATTTGTAAGAACTTCAGCTTTCTTTCCTTTTATGAGGTGACTGAGTTGTGTCCTGGAAATTCTATTAGATGATAGCCAGTGGACATGGATTCCAGTTTCCCCAAAGAGTAATCTGCTTGTAAAAGGAGGTTTTATGAATTTTCTCCTTTCCATGTCTAACTTCTTCACTCCCACATTTTGCTTCCTATGCCAGTTATTAATTCATTGCTGCCTCTCAACTCCAAATCTACCCTTTATTTCCTGCTCTATGATAATGAAGCTGGACCCTGTAAAATTCTCCCTCCACTAGCTGGCACAATGTTAAGCTTTCTCAGTAGAGGGTGGTGGAGAGAGAGAGAGAGAGACAGAGAGAGGCAAATGAGAGAGAGATACTCTGATGAGGCCATGATTTTTCTCCTCCTGATTTCAGCATGCCCCTCTAGGCAAGCTACAGCAGCACATGAAGCTTGCACATACCTGGCAGCCACCTCTCCATGAGCAGCTTCTCCTTGCACACTCTTTAGGTGCTTTTGAGGCATGGTGCCTCCAGCACAGCACCTTCCATGAATGATTTCCATGTCAGCCCCTGTAACAACTTCACAGTAAAGTGATATTGGCACCCCTCCATGGGGATGACCTCCCTTGGTTCTCCTTGGACACCTACACAACCTCAATGAACTCATTGAGCCAGAGCTGCATCCTATTCAGCAAGGTCTGGACCTTAGCCCTGGTGAGAGGTGTGTGTGTGTGTGTGTGTGTGTGTGTGTGTGTGTGTGTGTGTGTGTGTGTGATGCAGGAGCAGTGGCCCTCTACTAGAGGACCTTCCATGGCACTCTATCTCAGCCTTAGAGATAGTTCCTCCTCCTTATATCTTCTATTCCTATGTTCTTTGTCTAAAGATAGTTATGAACATTGACTTATAACTGATTAAACAAAGCAATGATGTAAGGAATTATGTACTAGCTGAAAGTCAATGAGTGCTATAGGGATTAGGAGATAAAAGAAGCATCAGAGTAATAGGATTGAGTCTGAATACACTGATTTGGACCAGAGAAATCATATAAAGAAGTGGGTAAAGAGCAAGTATCTCTTTACTCCTTACTAGCTTATCTCTTACTCCAATCTCATAGTTAATATTTCTTAATATGAAATCTTCTGATATGGTTTGGATCTGTGTCACTGCCCAAATTTCATGATGGACAGTAATCCCCAAGGTTGGAGGTAGGGCCTGGTGGGAGGTGATTAGATCGTGCGGGCGGTTTCTCATGAATGGTCTAGTACCATCCCTTTGGTGCTATTCTTGTGATAGAGTTCTTGTGAGATCTGGTTGTTTAAAGATTTGTAGCACCTTCCCCCTACTCTGGCCATTTGAAGTGCCACACCCTCTCTTTGCCTTCTGCCATGATTAGAAGCTTCCTGAGGCTTCCCCAGAAGGAGAAGCTGTACAGCCTGCCAAACTTCTTTCTCTCTTTCCCTTTCTTTCTTTCTCCTTCTTCCTTTCTTCCTTTCTTTCTTTCTTTCTTCTTTCTTTCCTTCCTCCTTCCTTCCTTTCTCTCTTTCCTTTCCTTTCCCTCCCTTCCTTTCTTTCTCTCTCTCTCTTTCTTTCTTTCTTTCTTTCCTTCCTTCCTTCCTTTCTTCTTCTCTCCTTCTCTCTCTTTCATTTGTTCATTCGTTCATTCGTTCGTTCTTTCCCTTTCTTTTCTTTCTTTTTTTGAAGAAGGGTCTCACTCTGTTGCCCAGACTGGAGTACAACGGTGTGATTACAGCTCACTGCAGCCTCCATCTCCCTGGGCACAGGTGATCCTCCCACCTCAGCTTTCCGAGTAGTTGGGACTGCAGGCATGGACCAACACGCCCGGCTAATTTTTAAATATTTTTTGTAAAAACAGGATTTCACCGTATTGCCCAGGCTGGCCTCAAACTCCTGGGCCCAAGTGATCCACCCACTTCAGCCTCCCAAAGTGCTGGGATTATAGGAGTGAGCCACTGCATCAGGCCTAAACCTCTTTTCTTTATAAATCACCCTGTCTCCAGCATTTCTTTATAGCAGTGCAAGAACGGACTAATACATCTTCCACGTTCAAATTTCTGGGTAGTTCCTATGTCTTAACTGGACCCAGATTTATACATCTCCCAAATAAATTACTTGCATTCGGATCTCTGTCTTAGGGTCTGCTTTTAGGGGAATCCAAATTAAAACTGTGGTTTTAGTAGAGGCATTAGAAAAGACTCTCTGGATGATAATCTGGAATTGGGTTGCCTGCTGATCGCATGGAAACAAGGGTCCCGTTTCTGGTGACAAATGGAATATTATCGGCCATGTGTGATGTGGTATCATAATCATATAGATTCTCATCCCTGGTGAATTGGGATGAGGGACAGGGAAGAGAAAGCTCTGACTTTTAATAGCTCTATCACACTGGTTCCCAAAGTGTGGTGTCTGAACCACCAGCACTACCATCATGTGAGAACTTGGTAGAAATGCCAGTTCTCAAACACCATCCCAGACTTGCTGAATCAGAGACTCAGGGGTTGAGGTCCAGAAATCTGTGTTTTAAAAAGCCCTTCAGATGATTCTGATGCATTGTAAAGCTTAACAGTCAATTCTCCCTAACTTAAAAAGTATGAGAATAAATATAAAAATTGTACAACAGATTGACTTTTTATAACTGACATAAAAGCCTTGCAGAAAAAGAATGACAGCTTAGGTCAAACAACTATCTACTCAGGGCTGTAAAGGCAGAAAGCTTTCATGGCAGCGGTTGAGACCCTCTACTGCAGATGAAGTATAACATGTGCTAAAAATTAGGCCCACCATTTGATTATAAGAAAGGTGGAATTACTAACAAATCTAAATTCACAGCTCCAGAAAATCTATGCCAAAGTCAGGGCCATAGTAGAGAAGTGAGACACTGGGACCTCAGCTGAGACATTTAATATGTAGATATGCTATAGAACTTTCAATCCCTATGTTATGTATTGAATGTTTGTGTCCTCACCAGATTCATGTGTGAAGTCCAAATCCCCACTGTAAAGGCATGTTGAGGTAGGGCCTTTGGGAGATAATTAGGTCATGAGGTAGAGCCCTCATGAATGTGATTAGTGTCCTTAGAAGAAGAGATGGGACAGCTTTCTCTACCTTTCTGCTCTCTGCCATGCAATGATAAAATGAGAAGAGCCTGCAAACCAGAAAGAGTGACATCACTAGACACTAGATCTTCCAGAGCCTTAATCTTGGACTTACCACTTTCCAGAGCTGTGATAAATAAATGTTTGTTGTTTAAGCCACCTAGTCTATGACACTTTTGTTCTAGAAGTCCAAGCTGACTGCCTACCTCTCTCAAGATTGCAAGAGGAGAGCATTGACCTCCTTGCTTGGAAACCACTCCAAAGTCTCATCTAAGGTCAATGTGTGACAGAGGATGTTTATCCTCTTCAAGCTCTGTGAAGAATTACTTGCCTCCCCCTAGTAATTCTGGATCACTAGCATCAAGCCTTATCCTGGCCTAACTGGTATGAATTATTCACCAAAAGAAGCTGAAGCATTTATAATATTTAATGGCACTTAATAAGATAACATTTATGTTATCTTATGACGGTGATCCTAGAGTGTTGCACTGAGAAGCATTTGAAATATAAGGCAAGACAGGGAAGATTTATTAAAAATAGGGCAATCTTCTGTGATTTATGATTTAATATCCTCACAGGGACATGGAGTGGCTCTTTGAAGTTTAGAGGCACAGATCGCCTATAATAAGTGGGGTAAAATACCAGAATTATATTGACTGAGTGTTGAGGAAGAGAATAGTAGACTTAGACATGTGGACCTCTAGGAACAGGCACTATGCCTATAGATCTTTGTGTCTTACATCAATGCTCACTAGAGTGCTTACTACAGAAGACCTGCTGGACAACCAACTGGAGAGAATGATTCAATCAGTACGTGTAAGCCAGCTTCTGTCATTAGCCATGTTGGTGCTTGTACAATGGGCCCATGAACAGAATAAATACAGTGGAAGGAGGCTATCTGTGAACCCAACTGCTTACACTTCCTTTCACTAAGCCTGATGAGTATCAGAGACCATCACTGAGTCTTTAATAGTACCTTTAAGGGTACCATTTCTTAAAGACACCAACCAGTTCTTTGGCAGCAAGTTAATTACTTCAAAACTTATGGAGAAAGCAACCTAGAGCAGTAAAAGTGTAGTTTGAGAGTGAGGGTATCCAAAATATTAGTAGAAGAAGGAAATAATGAGCCCTTATTATTGCCTTGGGATGAAATGCAGCAATAGGAAATGTACCAAACTTTCTGCACTAACCCTCCTACTATGGAGTATGAAGCTCAGAATAGAGGGAGTCCTAAGTGCCAGAACAAGAAATTGGTATTTTATTTCTGGATGAATAAAAAAAAATACCAGATGATAAGATAATCAGATGTGCAATTTGTATTGATAATCTTCACCCCCGAAAAAAGGTATTCCAAAACACACATACATGCACAACAAACCTAAGTACATGCACGACAAACATAAGTACATACACGCACACAAAGTATGATGGAATGTCAGAGACTAAAATTGAATGAATCAATCTATAAGGTAACTTTTCCTGAATAATTGCAATAATCAAATTTTTTTCTATGTTAATTTCCCTGGAGTATAATAAAATTTACAAATTTTAGGGCTCCTGGCTAAAATAATATTATGAAAATAATGTTAACATATTTTGAATGCTTACTATAATCTAGACTCAATGCTAACACATTAATAACATTATCATTTGCAGTACTACAGATATTTCTGTGAGGTAAATAATACTATTTCTATTTTATGGAGAAGAGAACAAAGGCTTAGAGAGGTTAAGGTTTGTGCAAGATCAGTTAGGAAGAAGCAAACTTACAGATTCAACTCAAGTTCTATTTAACTCTGAAATTCATGCTGCTAACAATGGTGCCATATTAGTCATCAATACTTTTCCCAAAAGAAGTGGTGAAAAAACACAGCACACTGATAATTTTACTCTAATTTTCTATGTTGTCTTTCGAAGTGGCAAGACAAAAAACACAGCACACTGATAATTTTACTCTAATTTTCTATGTTGTCTTTCGAAGTGGCAAGATTCAGACTATGAGCACTGGTACTTTGATTTGAAAAGGGTCATAAACGGAAAGCCTTATTTCTGTTATCCTATCTACAGTGTTTCAGGTAATTGCCAATAATCCAAATAGAGGTTCTTGGCTGCTGCAGCTTATACTAATGATTAAATGAAGTATAATAAACACAAATTTAGTAGTCTATAGTGTTTGAGGGATAATGAAAGATATTATATTGCTTCTAAAGCAAAGGATCTACAATACAGTATTGCAAACCAAAATGTTAATTTATTTTTATGAAGAGGTTTAGGCTTAGAAGTAGGAAAATGTTTCAATGAACCATAGGAGAGTTCATTTATAATAAGAGAACTGTCAAGTTTATAGTTAGGCTGCCTATATAATGTAAATCAAGAGTTGAGAAGTATTTTATTTTGAATTGCTTTTTAAGTCTGTTGAACTCCTGTTGGTTTATACACAAGATTTATGCCAACATGTTCTTTCCATCTCCATTTTCTGTGAAGGGAATATTAATCTTTGATTACCTCCATAATCATGGGAGAAGGAATAGTTTTCTGGGGTGTACAGCTAATCTTTGATTATTCATCCTACCAGCAAACACATTTCTACATTTTAAAAGCCTTGAATTTACCTTATGTTAGAACTATGGAGAGCAGAGAGACATGGACTCTGCAGGATATTGGTAGTGCTCAACCATATTCAGACAAGCTGTCTTATCTTCTCTTTTCTCTGCTTCTCAAATCTAGGACCATCATATGCAATTCAGGTTGATCAAATTTCCATAAGGTCTAGTTTTTCTCCTATTATCCCTCAAACAAAAGTCAATCATTTCCCAGTTTTCTTTATTTTGTAAAAACTTATTATATTATTGGCAACTATTTAAGTAAAAAAGCATAGAACAATAATACATTTGAATTTGATTGCAGTCTATTCTCTCCAAAACTGGTTGGTACTTCTAACCAAGAAGCGTAGTTCATATACTCTTAACCATAGAGAGAAATTTTCTTCTTTAAAGCGTGATGGTGGCTTTACACAATAAATATTTGTTTTTCAATCATGTACATTCCAATTCTGGGTAGTGACTTTTCTAGGCTTTTGTGATCCAAATGCTACTCATGATTTTGATCCCAATAGCTTAGGGATCAGCTTAGGGATCAGAGTGCTCCCATTAATTAGAACAATACAAATAATGTGATATAGAGAAATCTTGGAGGGCATGTATTTTAGCTAGAAAGACCACTTTCAATAGGCAACATTTGAGCTTTAAGAAAGAAAGATCTATCCCCTGACTCCCTTCCCCAAAATGGAAGAGAGATACTTTCATTTTCATCTCTGATCTGTAAAGAGTGTGGAAGTTCTCACTCTTGTGCTTACAGCAACAACAACAAAAAAAGATGATCAAACTGAAAATCAACAACTTGTCTTGAACTCGTAGAAACTTGAGGTTGCAAAGCAAAATACCCTAAATCTGGAGACGTATGAATCCAGACAGTAAGAGCCAAGATTTGTCAACCTGAAGTGGAAGTCTCTGGTGCCATAAATTGGTATATATGGCAATTTTGACAATTTGCTGGAGTCTGAGTGTGAACTAGCTTCAGAATGAGAAACTATTGGAGGCCACAGTGTTGGCAGAGCACGCTTTTGTAGATTTTACCACTGGAAAACCAGCCCCTTCTTCCTTAACCCCAGATTCTCACAGTGCAGATTCAAGAAAATACCCTTCTACCTGTAGCAGCAAAAGAAGACTACTCATCATGAAATATACCTAGAGATTTCTCCATAACAAAGGCCTGCTATCAAGGCGGGGGGAGGACAAAACTGGTAAATAATGATGTACTTGATTAGCCAATTTTATTGCTCCCTTTTTATATTATACTAATATTTTTTAGATTCATAGGACCTTATATTTTATTATACCATATTCAAAAAGGAACTCATGAAACTTCTTCACCAAGCTATGAAATTTGATGTTCATAATAGAAAGACACTAGTAAACAAATGAAGAAACTATCTGGAAAACAACAACAGCAGTGCCATATAGGAACTTCAGTGTGATGGATATAACTAAAATTGGTGAATTTTTGAAAGTAATGGAAGAATTTATACAATAAATTTTGATAATTTTTTGGAAGAGTAAGGAGTCTGTCTTCTATAGAAAAAAAAAGCAAGCATTTACATAATTCCATTTCCAAAGCTTCTAATCTAATCATGAACTTCAGTAACATTTCTCATTTAGTAGTAGAGGGCACAATTAATCAATTAGTTGAATTTTTAAAAATGAAAGTACCAGATTGTTGAAATGTATTTTCAAATGTTTTTTCAAATGTAAGTGAAAGGAAAACTGTCTGAAAATGATTACATAGCATTATATTTTTAAAGTGAAATATTAGAAAACATACTTATTGCCAAATGTTTGAAATGAGGACTGTCTTCTCAAATTAATTCTTAAAGTAGTAGGATATTAAAATTATGAGCTTTTTGGGAAAACTAGAAGGAAACACTTCAAGGTCATTATATTCAATAAGTGAAATAGGATCTGAAAAGTGAAATCAGAAAACCTCATTGTCAATTAAATAATCTTAAAGCCTGAGGATCAACCTTAGTCTGGGAGTCAATTTCAGGCCAAAAATTATAGCAATTCAATCAAAGAAAATCTATAAAGTTTTCAGATTCTACAGGCAAGGAAGACAACATTTGGATCACAAATGCTGTCTAATGAGTCTTTACTAGGGATGTGCCAAGCCAGGTAAAAAAATCTTACTGGTCCGTATTAAATACACTGTCTAAATTACACACACATACACGTGAACGCACACAGTGAAGACAACATTCATTTACCAAAAATCTTTATGTTATGGGGTTTATGCCTGTGATTATCAAGCATTTTCTTAGCAATTTTCTGAATTGGTGTAAGTCAGAGGTCAGCATCCTTTTTCTGTAAATCTTTGTGGACCATGTGCCTGTGATCTCTGTCAAAGCAGCCATAGACAATGCATGAACAAGAAAAGTGTGTCTGTGGCAATAAAGCTTTTATTTATAGACACTGAAATTTGAATTTTATGTAATTCTCATATTTTATAAAATATTTTTTTCTTTTGACTTTTTTCAACTTTTAAAAAATATAAAAACCATTCTTAGCTTGATAGCCACACGAAAGCTGGAGTTGGACCAGATTTGACATACAGGGAAAGTTTGTAGACCACTACGCTATACCATCTTTCTTATCAGAGCTGTGTGTGAGTGTGTGTGTGTATGTGTGTGTATGACATCTGTAATGCACTATATTGCTATGGTTGCTATTGTCCCGTATTCACCTTCCATTGATTTTAGACTCTTTTATGTGGATGAGCAAGATTCAGTTATTTGGCATTAATAAGAAGAGAAATAGGAGGAGTTTACTGTATGAGCTCATGAACGGTTCATTCCTTGCTCCAATATTGTCTTTTCTCTCATACAAAAAACTCTTACCAAGAGAAACTCTTACCTGAGAAACAAATATATATTGCTAACCTGGAAGAGTTAGAAGGCAGTGTCTTTTAGCATTACTCTTCAGTGTTACAGTGGTCACAGAATATTTCACTTCTGTTTTTTTCTGATGTTGCCTCTGATGTCTGGCATAGAATGAGAGGTTTCTACATAAGACCCAGGAGACATATCAGGGACTTAGACCTAATTGAGTTGACTTAATCAAAGTGTCTGGTTATCCAGATTCACATAAATAGAAACTTTTTAAGTGCATAAAAGTAAGCCTCATTTGATACTTTAACCTAAAATGCCATTGTTAAATTGTGTGTTTTTTTATTAAGTAGCTTTACTAAAAATAAGACTCAGAAATGCTCTTCACTTTCTGGAAACCATCACTGCCTTCTTCTGAATTGTGACAGTGGTCCCTCTAGGGATATGTGGTAAAATTATCAAGTTTTTACATAGATGAAAATTTGACCCATAAGGGGTACGCACATGCTTTGTGATGCATGGAAAATCTAGTGTTAATTAGAGCTCATTTTTCAACTCCTTCTAGGATTCCTAGATAGTAGATAGTAAAGTAACAATGATACAAATAACATCATTTAACATAAAAAATAATGTTTTATTTGGATTGTAGTTGGCAACAATATATCCTAAAAATATTAAAATGTTACATGTTTATGGGGGTGGGGGGAAATATGAGAAAGAAGGATACTATAACTAGGAAAAATAATTTTAAAATGTGCACTCCTGTGGGACAAAAGGTAATGAGATTTCCTGTGATAGATTGTATTATTGCTAACAAAATAAAGTTTGCTATCCCTCCCTGGGAATATTATACATTTCATTTCCATTTATGTCAGGCTAGGCCACAAAACTTACTTTGCCCAGTGAAAGGTTAGAACCTGAGAAGATGTAAGAACCAATGCATGGTTAACCAAAAATTTTTTCCTTTTCCTGTTAAGATGACAAGCAATAGTAGCCAGAATCCTGGAGTGAATAGACATGGAGAAGAGCTGCCTTTTCTTCTCAACTGACAAGTCACGTGGGTAAGAAATTAACCTACTTTTGTTGTAAGCCAATACAATTTTGGGATTGTTACTGCAGCCTAACCTACCCTTTACTTACTGATAGACTTTCTACAAGGTGCAACAGATTTCATCCCTGTTTTTTAAAGCAGCAACTAGATGACTCAATGTTCTAAATACTACATAAGGGGCTTTTTTGAAGGGCTCCCTTGGTTAAACAGTTAATAATATCCCCACTCTACAAGAGTACAGTCAATAGTTTCTTCAGTCAGGGCTAGAAAATCTTGGCTACAATGAGTAAATAAGGTCTGTCCTGTCCATGTGACAATGTACAATTGTGACAATAAAGAAAACAATACACACTAGAGAATGAAAAGTGCATATAGCTAAATGATCAAGGTATCTAAAACATAATCATATAAACTAGAATATGATGTAGCGAGGTTCAGATATTAATTTTTTATTTTCCTCACTCAACAGTTTTGATGTTTTTTTGTTTGGTTAGCTTGTTGTTTGTTACTACAGCTTGGGTCTCTTCCAGTCTTTCATTGTTCAGGTTCTATGGATATTCTTCATGATGTTGTGTACTATTTTTTTCCATAAGTTTCTATTCCAATATATAACTTTTTTTCTTTGCAGAAAATTCTGCATCTTTCCATTTAGAATTGCTCAAAGTGAACTTTAAATTTAATGATTATCATCTATATTGAAGGTAGTTTTCTTTTCAAATGGTCTTAAAATTACCAGATGCTAGTTCTTGTCACTAAGAAATAGCTTCTCTTGTCATGAAGTGAAGCTCTGCTTAATAATAAAAGTGATGATGATAACAATGATGATAATGACTGTCATTTATTTTGACCCACCAAGTCTCAGGAAGTAGAAAATATTTGGTATTTTATAAAAATTATCTCATTTAGGCCTCTCAAAATCCATACAAAATAGTTGCTATTTTCACTTTAAATTTAAGTAAACTGACAAGAAAATTTGCTTGCCTAGTGTCCCAAAACAAGTTTCAAAGTCCCTTGTTCTTCTGCTAAGCTACATTATCTTCTCACACTATTCTGTGCATCTGTCAGTCATCTGTCTCTCTATTGCATCCTGTGCTCTAGCAATGGGAAATCTCTAATGAGAATGCTTCTTTAAAGCAAAATGTAATTATTGTTTGGCATCTGAGTGGAAAAAGATTACTTCTATTGGGTAGTAATATGCTCATCATGGCATTTCTTAGATAAGACCGTTAAACACCTTCCTGATTATATCAACCTTAATTTTATTATGCCATGCCCAGTATAATACAAGAGGAACTAATACTCATCAGCAGGCTTAGAGAAATGATGAAGGAGCGGGAATAAAGCCAGCCAGTGTTAAGGTCTGGCCTCCAGGGAGAGGTAGCAACTCAGCTCTATTTTAGTCAGCTGTTTTTAATAGGATTATTTCTGAGGAGTTGGGTAGAGGATCTCTAAGCAAAGTGAGATGAGTAATAGAACAGTGCTTCTAACACCATTAAACTGGGTTGAAGGAAAGCCCAAGCTATTGGGTAGTGTTATGCAGATCAGGGACTAATTTGTTGAGAAAGGGGGAAAAATATATGCCAGAATAGGTGAGGCTCCAACCAAAAGAATAGAGCAGAGCCTCAAGGGCAGCAGCGTAAATCAATCATCACTTAGTAAACTAAACATAGGGTTATTGGTGACAAAGCTCAATAGACACATGAAAGCCAAATGACCCACACTCTGTGCATCCACTAGGATTAGAACTATTAGACTAACTTCAGGTCATGAATGACTCCTGAAATCATTGGTTGGCAGAGATTCAAGGTTTATGGTGAGATGCAACTGTAGGATAAAGATTTTGATTAGAAAGCCCAGATCTGCCTTTCACACACTGTGATCATGGGCAAGTTACTTAATTACTCTAGGCCTCAATTTCCTCAATTGCAAAATGGCGATAATAGTAGCACACACCTCAAGAATTTCTTCTTTTTATTATTGTATAATAAACTGTTTGCTATTGAGTAAAGAAAAAAATACTGATGGATGAGCAATTGGTTCAAATTACTTGTACTAACCCTTTAAACATTAAGAAGCTCTGTAGAAGTTAAATTACTAGAGGGCATTTCCTGGAAATACAATGAGCTCAGAGGAATTAGAATTCTTTTTCTAATCCTCTATTCCCACCATCACCACTACAGTTAAGTCCAATATTACCATCTGTCAATTGGATATATTTACATTCATAGTGTGCCTTGAATAACCTTACTCTCATACTTGCTTCTCCTTTCACTGGTCTAATATAGTTCACAGGAACACATGCTCATATGCACCAAAGTTCAGAACCACTATTTCTTCCACTTCTATGTCTAATTTATTTCCAAGTCTTACTCATTCTACCTCTATAATATTTCTCCTATCTTTTCTCTTTTGTTCATTTAACCATTGGACCCCCTAATTACCATTTGGGTAGTCTGTTATAACATGTGATTTGTTTGACTTCTTTTTCTCTAAATTACTTCCCTATGATCCAACCTGTGTGCCATCTTTATCTTATGAAAGCACATATAATCAAGCATTTCCCTTACCTAAACATTATCAATGGTTCTTCATTTCCTGTTGAATAAAGTATGTATGCTACCCTGGCATTCATGGTCTTTCTTAAATTGGCCTCAATACACGGTTCATTGTAATCTTATTCTTATTACTCTCTTTCTTGCATTTTATTTCTGGGCTAACTATTCTAGGTATTTTGAACACAGTTTCTCATGCTTTTCTACCTTTGGCTTTATTCATGCTGTTTTTTTCTGTCACCCAATGTGAAATATGCATAAAATCATATTCATTCTTTAAAATTCAATTGAAATACTTTTATTACTGTATTTCTTAATGGCCCTCATTGCTTTTACTTTGAATTACAGCTGAGTATGTTGTATAGATTGAATTGTGTCTCGATCTATTTCCCCAATTCATGTGTTGAAGCCCTAGCCCCCAGTGTGACTGTATCTGGAGATAGGGTCTTTAGGAGATAATTTAGATTAAATGAGAAATGAGATTATCTGGTAGGACTGTGGTTTTATAAGACGGGAAAGATCTCTCTCTCTCTCGATCTCTCTCTCTCTCTCTGCTATATGAGAACATGGTAAGAAGGCAGCTGTCTGCTAGCCAAGGAGAGAGCCCTCACCAGAAACTGAATCCTACCAGAATCATTAACTTGGATTTTCCAGCCTCCACACTGTGAGAAAATGAATTTTGTTGTTTAAACTACCCAGCATATGGTATTTTGTTATGGCAGCCCAAGCAGACTCATACACATGTCCATGGCCTATTAACTTAAACTGTAAGCTCCTTAATGAGAATTCTTGCACCTTAATAACCTTTGTGTTTTTCAATTTGTGTATCATAATTTATTGTACAAAATTGGTGTTTGATAAATGTTAAATTAATAAAAAATGAATAAAGAAATACATAAATCCAGGACATGGAAAGTGAAATGCCTTCTGAAAGAAATGGGTAATTACGGGAAGAAATGTTTCAAGGACGATTTTTTTAGGCCACAGCTGCATATTGTTTTATTTACTGGCCTGAGTATTTATCACATAAACTATTCTCCACATTTAGGAATAGTTTTAAATAATTATGTAAAAGCACACATTATTTTGTTTTTTATCAGATAGAAATCCTTTCCTTTTCAGAAACCCACACACTGAGGATGAAAACTCTTATAAAACTGAAGATCAAAACTTCAACAATTTCAGAGGAAATTGAAAACTTTTCAGAGAAAAAAGTGCAGTCTCTCTGCAGCTAAATTTTTGCCAAGTATATATCAGTATTTGTGATCTGGATAGTTGGAGTGTTTTTGTTTAGAAAACACTGAAGATATTATGAATTTAGGAATGAGTAGGAAGGAAGTGTGTTGAATTAGCATATGCATGCTAACATCTGCTGGAGAGAGTACTGAGGATGCTCAAAATATCATACCCTTACAAGGGTGAAGGAAAGGAAAGGAAATGAAAGAAAATGGAGATGTAGGAAAAGGAGAAATGCAATCTTTGAATCATCTATAGCTTTTTGAAACAAAGTTCTGTATTCTCAGTTGTTCTCTACAGAGCTAACCTCACAACTTGAATTCAACAAATCATGAATAACAATAATTCTAATACTATAATTTGTTATTATGTAGTTTGTCTTCAAGGTATAGTCAACCTAAACCCAATAATTAGGGGAATATCAGCAGCTTTATATTTAAGTATTTCCATATTTAATGAACACAAATGCCATGGCTAAGGTAATCATTCCTAACCATTACCATCACCGTTTATCTTAAAGAGAAGAAAGACCCGTCTTAGTTCGTGCTGCTGTAACAGAATATCACCAGCTAGGTAATTTATAGAGATCAGAAATTTATTTCTCACAGTTCTGGAGGCTGGGAAGTCCAAGATCAGGGCACTGGCATTTGTATCTGGTGAGGGTCCCATTCCCTCTTTCCAAGATGGTGCCTTGTGACTGTGTCCTGCAGTGGAGACAAACGCTGTGTCCTTACATGGTGGAAGATGGAAGGGCAAGAGAGAGGGGACAGACTTTCTCTGAATTCTCATTTATAAGGACACTAATGATTTCGTGGGGGCTCTCAATCACTTCCCCAAAGGTTAGACCTCTTAATACCACCACAATGAGGATTGACTTTCAACAAGAATTTTGAAGACACAAATTCAAACCATAGCAAGTCCTTTGTAATTTCACACAATATAAGAATCTTAGACATGGTGCAATAGGACAAAGAAAGCTATTGGTTCTGCTACCTTTTGACACATTAGGAAAAAGTGTATTGTTATTTGAGTGTTACATTTAAATGACTACTACTGAGAAGTGCTCTTTCACAGCCTCATTTATTTATGACACAATTACTTATTAAGCATTTGCAATATGTGGGGCATAAGGCAGCAGACAAGACAGGTAAGCTTTTTACCTTCATGCAGCTTACATTTAAATAAGAAAAAGAGAAAGAAAGGAAGAAAGAGAGGAGATACTTAGAGATTTTGATACATACTGTCAAGCAAATCAACAGTGAATGTGACAGAGTGTTATTGTGATGGTTGAGAGCCAAGGTTCTACTATAGAAAGAATGGTCAGAGAAGTCACGGGTATCATTTGGGACCTGAAGTGTGAGAAGTGGCCAGCCAGGCCTAGAGCAAGAGTAGGGGAAAAAACATTGCAGACAGAGAAAAACAAATTAGAGACTCTGTAAAAGGAAATATGCTGGAATGTATGACATGAAAGGAGGCCAGTGTGGCTGTACCCTGCAGAAAAAGGCTGATAGTGACATGAGACAGAGCTGGAGAGGTAGGCAGGAGGTAGCATGTGTAAGACCTTACAGGTCCAAGAGTTAGGTTGATTTTTTTCCTGAGTTCAATGGAAAACGATGTAACTACCTCAAGCAAGGTAGCAATCATTATAACCACTCTAGTTGCTGTGAAGAGAATGGAATAGAAGTAGAAAAGAGTGAACATATGAATATAGAGAGGCTTTTGCAGTAACTCAGCAGCAAGATGATGATTTAGGACTGAAGGTAAACATGAAGAAAATGAAAGGATTTAAGACATTTTATAGATCTACAAGTAACAGCAATTGTTGATGGATTATATAGAGCTGGGAGGTGAAGAAGAGATAGAAATTAAGCATATCTCTTAGGTTTTTAGTTGGAAGAATTAGATGTATGATGGCCCCACTTTCTGAGATGGAAAAGACTAGGGATTAATTTTTATTGTCCTCCTAAATATGTGAAGCTTAATATCTGTTAGCCAATGAGACATAAAGTCAGTAAGAAAATTAAGCTTTTGGTGCTACAAAACTCAAACTTAGAAGACAGATACAGGCTCAAGATACAAATTCAGAATTTTCTTAGATGGTTCTTCCATTTAATGACAGAATAGAGACAGAAATCCTTGTCAAAAGCATTGAGGATGGTCAGTAAAGTAAAAATTCAAGAAAACCAAGGAATTATGGATTCCATAATTCCAAAAAGAGAACATTGAGAGTAGCATGTGGTCCAGTATGTCAACAATTGCCAAAAGTAGCATGCAATACAACAAAGAGGTTTCTATCAAATTGTAATTTATTTTGATTAGCCAGCATAATTGGAATATAAGTTCTTAATCAACACTTGGTTTTCTAGGATATCTAACTGGCTTTTTAAAATCCAATTCAAAATGATAGAATGCTGCAATTCTTATGAATTCATTTGTTCATTTGATCAATAACAGGTGTTACACTCCTTGCTAGACACTATTGGAAATACTTTATCATCTCCTAATCTCTTATTGCAACCAAAATTTTATCTCTATAATTTAAGACCAATCTGTTTTAGAATAGTCTAATTTCAACTTATGTCATAAATTCTAGACCAATTACTTTTTAGTTCCCAATTCCATTTAAATTTCCTTTTGCAATGATAACAATTATCCCGGCCACCTACCATTTCCCAAGAATGTAGCATTTCATAAACTTCTATTTCTCCTACCATTGATATGGCCATGAAATCACATTTGGACTGGAACAGACTTAGGAAAATAGAATCATTAAATTAGAGCTTAATGAAAGTCAGGCTATTTTTTCTCACCTAAACACGTAATGGAAAGGAGCTTCTCTGAAAGAAGAAAAAGACAGGTGATCATATGAAAACATAAAACAACCAAAAACAACAACAACAACAAAAAACTAATGACTTGATTAGGCATGTTATTCTAATTTTTTTTTAGTGGTTTCATTTTTCAATCATTTTTTCATGGAGATTAGGAGACTGGACTAAGGCCGTTGCAGAAAAACAACAGTAGAATCTCCTATAATGGCATTGAGCCAAACGTCTCATATTATGAGTTTTGGCACAAGGTGTCACTTTGAAAGTGCAGACCTGTTTCTATGTGTATCAGGCAAATCCACACTGCATTCTTTATAAGGCATGGTCTTTATTAGTGCTTGGTCTTTTACATTATACATGGTCCACCTATTGGCACAGCTTTTCAAGGATTTTATTAAGTGCAATTCTACATGTTATTTGCAAGCATGGTGTTTGTTAGTGACATAATTATCCATCCAGACCCAAATTATAGAAATTGGAAATTTTAAAGTTATGCGTTTTACACATTATGAAAAGAAAAGAAAAAAAAGATCCTCTGGTGGCCTGTTCGTGAAAATGTTATGCATATGATATAATGATCTTTAGTTCAAAAATACTTACTGTGCAGATCTTAATAGAAAATCTAGAGTTTTACCTTCATGGTGACATTTGTCACTTAACTGGGTGAGAAAGATGATATGAAAGCATTCTCACATGGGGGTCATAGTAAAATAACTGAAGGAGATACAGATGAGGCCAATAAAAGCAAAAAATCCCATATGATGAACTGTTCAGATGTGTCAGTAGGAAAGAATAAGTTCTTTAAATACTTATGTCAGTATTGTTGCTATTTTGTTTTTAATATTAATAAATATTACTATTTTATTTTAATATTTAATTAATATTAAATTTTTAAATAATTTTTAAAAATTTAAATTATTTAAATTTAATTTAAATTATTTAAAATATTTTTATTTAAATATTTAAATTAATTTAATTTAAATAATTAAATTAATTTAATTATTTAAAAATTTTAAATACTTAAATTAATATTAAATTAATATTAAATTTAAAATTAATATTAAATTTGTTGAGGCTGCTTTTGGAAATCAATAACTTGATTTTCATTATCATTTTAAAGAACATAAGGCCATTTATTGATTTAAGGTGACTCGATTTAAGTTTGGGCCTTCCTTCCTTGCCCCTTTAGCCTTGATATGTGATACCAGGATAAATAGGATTACATAGCATTGCCTCGAAGTAAAAAGAACAGGTGGAGGCTGTGGTTGTATTTTTTTTTTCCCCCAAGAGCAGTTTGCACTTCTGCTTGTTAGCAAATTACAGCCTCTTGTATTCACTTTCCAAAATAGAAATGGAAAACTGAGATAAAAAGAATAACAACAAAACACATAATACCTCTATTACCTACACCAACACAAGCTTACTTTCTATCATCTATTGACTGTTTACAAAGAGAAAGATGAAAATCCCACCACATTAATGTGTGAGGATCCACCTCAGTGGTTTAGGGTGAGAACTAGAGATCTTAAAATCTTTTATTTTTGTCCTTGTAAATCATTCTGTTATTAATAAAACAAATTATTTTTTATGTTGTTTGCTCTACTGCCATTTTATGGGCACTATTGCTTGTTTCTGGGCAGACGTTTAGTTGATTGTCTTAAAAACAGTGGGCTAGAGCAGTAGTTTCTAAATTTTAATGTGCATATGAATCACTTGGGAATATTGTTAAAATGTAGATTCCAACTTGATTGGTGTAGGGTGGAGCCTGAGATTCTGCACTTCTAACAAGTCCCAAGGTAGTAAGATACTGCTGGTCCACGGACCACACTTTGAGTAGCAAGGGGTTGAAAAACTGGAGGGAGACACCTCTGACTTATCTTTCTGAGCAAGTCACATACATAGTGTATCCATAGAAATGAAGTTTTAAAATTCCTTTTTTTAGGTTTAAATGTAACGGAACTTATTCTGTGGTTTTATCTGGATTAGTCAAAAACTTTATTGAGAAGTGTAGGTTCCAGAATATGATACATGGAATGGACTAACACGATTATTCCTTTTCATTGTATAAATTTTATATTGCCAAGAATAATCACAAGTTTGTAGTTGTTCCTAGAATACATTTATTTTTAAAAGTAGGAAAGCTTTTGGCTATGTCTGTGCCTAAATTGCTCTAATTTGTGGTGTCTTTCTTAACCAATAGCGTTCCTCTTATAAGACGTGTATTTTGAGGCTTCCCAAAAGATTAACCTGATCACATAACAAGAGTGTAAAAACTTGTGGTTGACCGCTGATCCTTTTAACATCGATCTAACTCCTTTGGCAAGTTAGAAGAAAAAGAAGTAATCCAGTGGTTTTCTACAAAAGTTGAATTAGTTGTAGCCATGTGGGGATCAGAATCATCTGGAGAACTTTTAAAAATTATACAATTCTCCCTCCCCAACTCACATGCCTTTTCAAATATTAAGATCTCATGGTGGGAACATGGCTATTTTAATTTGAAAAAAATGACCCAGGTGGTTCCGATTTGCCTCCTCCATCCCGCCCAAATTAAGAACTGCTGAAATAAATTAATGACATACTTTGAGTCTCACCTTTCATTCCGAATTTTAAAGTCAAAGCCATAAAATGTCTAAACTGTTTTGTGTACTTTTATTTTTTCAAACAGTTATATAATACTAAAGGTTCTGAGTTAAAATGTTCTCACAAGACCAAGGAGCTACAGCAAACTTACATGGCAGCATATTCCATTGCACAGGCTAGGGGTTCTCAATCCTGGCTGTAACCCTGGAATAACATGGGAAATGTTTTAAAACACCAAAGCGTAAGCCCCACCCCAGACCAATTAAATCAAGCTCTGTAGGCATGGAGTCTGGCATCATTATTTTTAAAGCTCCCCAGGTAATTCTTGTATGCAGTCAGAACTGAGAACCATTATGGGCCAAAGACCCAGAAACCCTTTGTCTATAGAGCAATCTAGAGTAAGTTCTTTTTATATTAAGTAAAATATTGAGTTTCAGAGTATGCAATCAATGACAGGAACTTCCATTCTTCTCATGGAATTATTCAAGACTTTTTTTATTCCTGAGTCTATAGGATCCTTTGGAATACTAAGAAATAGATCATCACACATTTGACCTTTTCTGAAAATAAGTGGCAATTATAATATCAAGCAATATGTCTTCACTAATCTCAATATATGTCTCAAGGTATGTAGAAGTGAATGAATTCAGTTTAATAAATTTAGTGCTAATGGCATTTGAGTATATAGTATGTACATTATTAGGTCCTTTCACTTAAGGATCTGCACGTTTTTTTGTTTGTTTAGTTTGCAATCCAATTGTATGTTTAAAAAAATAAACAAAACCCAAAAATGTCTTACAGAGGAAATAAATCCCTTGAGGACAGTGAAGAAATAACTTTGAGATCACCTTCCCATCCTTCCGATTTCTTCAATGAGAGCTTAAATGGATTTTCAAAAAATCAGGTATAGTTTACATGAAGTGAAATTCACCCTTTTCAGTGTGTAGTACTGAGAGATAATTCTCCATGGGTCGCTCACATTTTTGCATGTGTTGTGAGCAGAGGCACTGGCTGTCCTTTCTTCTGGGCTATCTTTCAAGGATGTTTGTATAGCAAGTAGCCTTGGAAGACTGTTTCCCACTGAAACAAGAAAGCATTTTATGAGTCACCAGGTAAAGTTTCCTGAGACTATATGGGCAGATTCTTTTGTTTTGTTTTGTTTTGTTTTGTTTTGTTTTGTTTGTTTTGTTTGAGATGAAGTCTCACTCTGTCCTCCAGGCTGGAGTGCAGTGGCACGATCTCAGCTCACTGCAACCTCCATATATGGGCAGATTCTTAATGTCAGTTTCCTAGCAGTCAAAGAAAAAAATATTGCTTCAGCTTTCTACCACCAAAATGAGGCCCAACACCTTACTGAACTGCTTGACTATTCGGGACAGTGTATTTCTACCTGGGGCATTCTACTGGGTCTATTATATTGGCTAAGCCACAAATCAGCATGTTTTGTGTGTGAGGTCCAAATTAATAGATTGTCTAGAAAGTTGTGGCACACTCTACATTTGGGGCCCCACACTCCTAAAAAAAAATCCCTTAAGAACAATCATATTAGTAAATTCAAAGTATATTCTGGAACCCTCATTTCTCAATAAAGATTTTTACTAACCCAAATAAAACCACAAAATAAGTTCCTTTACATTGAAAGTCTCTGTGACTTGGCTTTGCCAAGTATCCTATCAGAGGAAAGTAACCTCTATTTAGGGGAGCTTCTTATGGTTTGGACTCATTGCTTCTGTGACGCAGCTACCACCCTTTCTGAGAAGCAAGTATTGGCTTGTTCCTGGGGTCTTGCCAAAACCGAACTCCCGGCCCATGGACGACTTGTAACGCTACTGCTGAGCGTTTCCATTTGAGTGTATGTCAACTCAGACTCAATAACTACCAGGATGGGAGGTTACTGAGTTACCAACCAGCCTTGCTTGTCCAATGCCAATGATATTTTTAACAACATCCCTGACCTCAGAGGTATCTTGGCTTTACAAGAATAGCTGACAGTTATCCCTCTGTGGGAAGCTTTATCTCCACTCTTTTTATGTACAGAAAAGCTGGCTCCAAGGGGTCCTTGATTCACAGATGTTCCCTAAAAGCTTTGACTGGGTTCATTGACAGTTTAGCTAAGCTGAAGCTTAATGTTGTCCATTGGACTACCACAGCCATTTAACCTCAGTATCTGCAATGCAGAATGAAAAATGGATGGGGTCGGTCCATTCAGAGCGCAAAACTCAATGCTCTTCTCACAGCTCTGGCTACTACTCCTTTGATGAAATGCTATATTTTTACTGACTTATTGCCAATGGACTAGCAATTGTAGAAAACCACAAGCTGGCAAATTGAAGATACCCCTTTTTGGAGCTGTGAATGACGGATACAAATCATGGCAAGGGAGCAATTCGTCACTCATGTAGATGTCCATGGTAAAATCTCATTCTCTGAGAAGACTGAATAGAATCAAACCTGAACACTCCCAATTGCCATCGTTATTGCCCAGATCCATCATGCTACTAAACACAGCACCATACCCATTATTATAGACTAGGAACAAAGTAAGGGACTCTATCTCTCTGACACAGAAGTTACGAATGCATGTCAGAAGTTGTGAATCCTGCTAAAGTTGACCAGTGTTTTAGTAGTGAAGGAGGCCACAACACATGAGGCATTGCTTTTATTCATTCCTGGAAAAATGACTAAGTTGAAACTTTTACTAACTGTTCTGGGCTAAAGTGCTGCCTCACTGCTGTCAGTGCCTTTTCAGGTCACAGTGTTGCTCTTCCAGTCCAATCAGCCAACTCTGGCCACACTACCATGGTTCTTGATCCTAATCTGTGTCATGTTTTCAGCTTTCTGATGTTACAGAGCTGCTGGTCAAGGTATTCAATGGGCTACCGTGCTCTGTAACACCCACAGGCACCTGGTCAGTTTGAGCATTGAAAGGATCTCCTCAAAAATCAACATAGGAAAATTTCCAGCTCTACTCTTCTCACCTCTTCCTTAGTAAGGCAGTTTGGTCACTGGATTTGGCTGTCTCTGAAAGACAGCATTCCCTTTGGCTGCTTCCTGGATAATAATCAAGATGAAAGGTGGGGGAACTATATAGACCATTTAGGATTCTGCCTTGACCATTCCTAGGCATGATTCTTCTTTCATTCCCTTGATTTAGAATGAAGGGTTTAGAAAGCCTGGTTCTTAACTCTCTTGGTGGCAGCCTAGTGAAAAGATGGTCTAGGTAATTCAAATTTAATTTTGGATCAGTTACTTAGATTCTCTTGATTGATTGACATGATCCTGTATCATAAGGATAATAACAACATTGCTGATGACCTTTCTCTCCAAGTCCCCTTACAGTAGCCCACATATACCAAAAGTGGGGGACATAATGGGTCTTTCTCATTTTTATAAAATTGTCCTGCCTCATTTACACATAAGCTTTCTGAAAAAAAGGTCTGCATGAAAGTACAAGATGATTGCCTAAAGACACAATGATGACTGCAGGAATAGAAAACACCAATTTTTGTGTAGTGGAGGGAAAGCCAAACCTTGGCACCTGCTATGGTTTGAATGTCTTTCCCAAAACTCATGTTGAGATTTAGTTGCCATTGTAACACTATTAAGTTGAGTGGTGATTATGTTATAAAGTCTGTGCCTTCATGAATGGATTAATGGATTAATGCTGTTACTTTGGAAGTGAGTTATCACAAGACTAGGTCTATTATAAAAGGTAGTTCCACCCTCTTTCTTTCTCTCTGTCTTGTTTACTCACTTGCCCTTCTGCCTTCTGCCTTCTGCCATGGAATAACACAGCATGAAGGCCCTCACAAGAAGCCTAGTCTCCAGAACCATGAGCCAAATAAATCTCTTTTCTTTGTAAGTTACCCAGTTTTGATATTGTTATGACAACAGAAAATAAGACAGCACCTATGGAAAGAATGCCTCAGACTCAAAGAGTTATGGGAGAAGAAGCTATATTAATTATTTTTTTCCAAACATAAGGACTAGTTTCAATTATTCACACTGAACTGCAAATACTAAAGCTTACTAGCCAGCCAGTAATGAGGCTAACTTGGAGGCAATGCCAACCCATGCCTTCTATATTAGTCACGGTTCTCTAGAGGGACAGAACTAATGTATGTATGTATATCTATATAGATAGATAGATGATAGATAGATATATCTATATATTTATAAATTAGAGTTTATTAACTAGTATTGACTCACACAATCACAAGATCCCATAATAGGCCATCTCCAAGCTGAGGAGCAAGGAAGCCAGTCCAAGTTCCACAGCTGAAGAACTTGGAGTCTGATGTTTGAGGGCAGGAAGCATCCAGCATGGGAGAAAAATGTAGGCTGGAAGGCTAAGCCAGTCTAGCCTTTTCATGTTTTTCTGCCTGTTTTATATTCGCTGGCAGCTGAGTAGATGATGCCCACCCAGATAAACGGTGGGTCTGCCTTCCCCAGCCCACTGACTCAAATGCTGATTTCCTTTGGCAACACCCTCACAGACAAATATGATATTTGATAAGTTTAAAATTATAAATTAACCTATCAACACAACAGCAAATATCTAGTTATCTAAATACAGTAAGTATTTTATTGGAAAGATTAAATGGGCATAGTAGACAATCAATTAAAATCGCCAGATTTAGCAAATAAAAATATATGATGCTGTGTTTAGTTTGAATTTCAGATAAATAACAAATATTGTTTTTAGTATAAGTATGCCCAAGATATGTCATGGGACATACTCAGATAACTTATTTGTGGGTTACCTGAAATTCCAATTTAACACAGCATTCTGTATTTTATCTGGTAACATTACACTCAATTAATGTTCTTTATAATCCCTACGATTGTTCTCAGTTGCAATCTTTAAAAACCTTAGGTATTTCCTCACCCCCTATTTCATGCCAAAGGAATAGCACAAATCCAAGTGAACCTCCTTAGCAACTTGGGGAATCTGTAACCACCAACGCCCTGGAATTAGTCCCACCCACCTGGGATATCCTGAAACTAAAGCCAAGCCAAGGTGAAAGGATTGTTTTGTGGTTATGTGTTCATAAGAATTTTAATCAGCAGCTACATTCCTTGTGAGGCCTTGGAACAATCTTCTGACCTTAGTGGAAACAAAAATTTTCCCTTTCAAATTTATTGCCGCTTAAGACCCACACTTTGCTCTAAAGGGACTGCCCAATACTTGGCATTGCTACCCTATAGTCAATAAAACCAAGATCAAGGTCATCAGCTCATGTTTCTTTTGCTCCATAGTGAATCTCTGAATCAGTGGCTCTCAAGTTTAGCTGCATCAGAATCACCTGGAGCACTTGATAAACACAGAGTGCTGGGCCCCACCCCCATGTTTTGATTCAGTAGGTCTGGGGAAAGGCTCAAAGGTCTCTGATGACACTGACACTGTGGGTCTGGGGACCACATTTTGAGAATTACTGCTCTAATTTAGAATTTCTAAAAGGAACAACATTACATTTGATTAACTGAGTGTGCTATTCATTTGGTATCTCTCAAAAGTGAGAAAGTGTTGGAGACAAATTAAGTTTATAATATTGATCACATGACATTTTAGTCTTTAAATTCTTTCTGAATCATTAAAGCGAGATTGCACTATGTGAAGTCTAAAGCTTAAAGTTCTTCCTCTTGTAATGTTTTGAAAATTGATAATATATGTTGTTATACGTATGATACCTCTCATGTCTAAAAATGCCAAATAATAAGGACATGCTATATTTTATGAAGCTAATTTTAAGAACATATTCCCAGTACACATAAACTTATATTTAGATGTAGACTATTAGCATTTTTAAAAATACACAAGAATAAAGAACAAAATCCTTCAAGTACAGTACAAGTTTTTTTGTACTTACAGTACTATTGAAGGAAGGTGGATGGGAAGAGGACAACATTCAATGAGTAAAATTATAAGCAATTCAGTTTTTGTTATTTCTCTAAATAACATACTTCCTCTTAGGCATTGAAGATATTTTAATAACTTTAACTTTGCTTTTTCTGTGAAGTGGCTAATCAGCAAGCACTTCCAAGTGTAATTTAATGAAACGTGAAAAAGTAGTTAAAGAATTTATTAAGCCTAGTATATTAAAATCTTCAAAAAAAATTCTATGTTGGACCAGCTGGCTCAAATAAGTAAAGCTAACACATCAATTTCAGCAAATACATAGCAGTGAATTTTGAAATTAGAATATAAAAATGTCAGCACTTAAAAATTTTAATCACTGAGTGTCACCTGCAACTCAAATTGACAGAGTGGATAGCAGCAAGGAATTAAGCATAGAGATTATTTTTACAGAATATAAAAAAAAGAGAACCCCTGTAAGCACTTTGAGTTTGTACCATCTCTTAAGATGCTGTTGCTGTACCCTTCAGCACATTATCTAATGATACACCAACTGATGTACAGAAAATTACATTAAGAAGGCTGGCATGTTTTAGAAGAAGCCTGTATATAACAATCAGTCCTCAGATCTCAAACCAAAATGAAGCTTTAAAAATAGTGGGTAATGTACAAACTTCTTAATAAGGCTTTAAATTCTGGGAAGTACTAAGTAAGTGTATCCTCATCTTTCATTAGCAATACTTATCATTAGATCAAAGAATAGGCATTATTAATTTATTAATAAATATAACAAGTATTTCTGAAGCTCCTACTATGTTTCAGGTCTTATTCTAGGTAGTTGGCATATTTAATCTCACTTTTTCCTCAAACAATATAAAATAAATCAAGGCAAGATTTTCAGATATGTGCAAGGTAGAAGCACTCTTGGCCATGCACTTGAATTTATAACCACTCCTTTCTAACCTCTATCAATATATATAGATTTATCACATAACTGATTTAAAAAAATGCAGAACAACCACAGCATATGCAATCTATTTCCACAACTCACCTACACCACAATACCAATTGGTTAATCCTATTCCATCCTATAGTTTAAACAAAGAGACACATAATGATCCTATGTATTATTGTAATTCAGCTCTTCTCTTGGGATGCCAAAACAGTGAGTTGAGACAAGGTCTATGTTTTTCCTTCTGACCTCTCAATTCTCCACCACCTCCAAAGGCCTACCCAAATCAGTGATGTCCAACTTTGTATTTTTTCTCTTTTATGTTAGTGTGCCATTTTAGTGAGAAAAGAAGAAAAGCCAGAAGTTGAGCCTGCTTTGGATTCACTTTTAGAATGATTTTTTATCTAAGAAAAAGCATGTCTGCACAAATGGATGACTTGCTCATAGGAATTGTATTTTGCAGTGTAGGGCTATAATCTTGGAGTAATATTAATTTGTAAACATTGTCTTTGGCACATATATTTGCCTTTGTGGGGTAAAGTTGATGACTTTAAGATAGTATTGGAGTGTCCAAAGTTCTTTTAACCAAATACCATTTTAATATCAATCTTTAAATGCTTTGCTAAAAACTGTACAAGAAAATTAAAATATCCCAAAGCTGTCTTGGATTGCATCCAAAAACAGGTTAGCTACCTTAGACATAAAAATATGTAACTGTCACATAATCACATATGTTGGAGAGTAAGGACAAAACTATTACATGACATTCAATATTGTTATGTTGGGAAAAGCAGAAATAGAAGCTTCTCACAGGGTCTTTGGCTCCTTTACCATTAACTCTCACCTCATTACTTGGTGTTCATATTTAGCAATTAAAAGTTCTGATTTTCTGATCCCGAGATGAGAGCGCCCTGGAACCAGAAAATAATGTAATCTAAAATACAAAATCTCACTAAAGAAAGTACAACTTTCCTAGATATAGATTATAAATATTTCCTTTTCTAACAAAGAATAACCATTTAAGCAAAATAGTACAAACTTAAACTTTTTAAATATTAACATTTAAACTGATATTTCTTTAGGTACAATTGCACATTCAAATATTCTTATTTGTATTCAATTATCTCTGTCTATGTCGTTTGTTATTGCCCAATTTAAGCAATATACTTCTCTTTAATTGATACTCCATCTTATCTTGCAACCTAGTTTTTCCGTCCTTTCACATTAGGGTATTTTTACTTTAAAAACTCAAATATTTGCTGTACTTGAATTTAGAAAATTATTCCAGCAACTACTCCTTAAATAGCTTAAGTAATTATCACTAGATCTTACCTTCATCTTTTCCATGAGAGAGAAGAGAGTATATACTTAAAAAAAATGAGTGTCAGTTCTCAAATTTGGCAAGTAATTCTAGTCTTCATGCTTATCCTATTACTTGCAAGCCAGTCAAAAGGAAGTGCAGTAGATGAACTAAGGAGAAATTCATGGGGCCTAAATGACTGACATTTACCAAGCATCTTACCAAATGTAACTTCAACAACTCTCTACCAATACATAAGATTTACTTGTTTTCATTCACAGAGAGCTTGGACAAAAAGTTGAAACAAGTTCATATCCTAAGCATGATGAATAAGCCATGGCAGCTTACACAGACTTGAAGGCCAACCACCTATGGGCTAGCACAAAGGAGTTCAGCCTTTTTTGAAGTGGGTGGTTTGACCTCTCTTTATTGTGGAAGCAAAGCAAATGGCCCCAAACCATCTGGTAAGTGAAGCTGGAATACCTGCTATGGTAGGCACTATAGGGCTGTTTATATATAATCCAGACCTCCTCCTCCAGGCAAATAAGGGATTGTACTTCTCTTCCTTCTTTGAAATTAGGCATGGTCATGAGGTCTGCTCTGGCCAGTGAAAAAATGAGTAGGAGTGATGCATGTCTCACCCAGGTGGAAGCCACAAGAGCCAATGTGTGATGCGCCATGCAACCTTCCACTTAGCACACAATTGCGGCAGTATGGATTGAGCTGAAGCATCTATGAGATGGCGGTCCCTTGGATTGCTATAATGAACAGAGTCCTATTGCTGACCTGTTTTGTTCACATAGACTGAGTAGAAAATCTATTTATTGTGTTAGATCATTGAGCTTTTGGAATTGTTACCACAGCAAAACGTAGCCTGCCCTGACAGATACACAAGCCACCCTCTATTTGGGGAAAGTCAGGTTAGGTCACTTAATAAATTTTCCATTTATCTTTGAAGCTCAACATATACCATAAAGTTGCACAGAAACATATTTGGCCCTGAGGAAACCATATAGTTGGTGACCTGAGTAACTGGGGGTGAATAGGGAGTAATTTTCCACTTAACTAATTTCATTTCAAAACAACACAACTCCTAATGCCTTAACCATAGCTTAGCAACCCAGCAACTTTTACAAATTACTGGTAAAAGAATTCTTTAGGAAATGATTTCTGAATATCCCTATGTCTCTTACATGGAGGAAGTTTACTTAACAAAATTTATACAAGAATTGTAAGTAGAGATTTAAATTACATTTCTTTTCACATAGAAAAAAAATCAGCTTCTTCTGTGGTTATCAAGACTGAGAAGCAGGGATTATAGATAAGAATGTTATATAACCAGAATGATGTTTTGATTTAGAAAAGAAAGAGAACACATTTTCCAGTGTCTGGCACAATTCAGTCCATTCATCGAGACCATGAAACACAGTTCAATCCTTCGACCTCAGTTTCTTCTTTATGAAAGGGGCAATGGTGCTCACTATAAGAGGGCTATAACGGTTCATTGCCATTATTATTGTTGTTGGCTGAGATACAGGTGTAAGAAAATATATCAGTCAAAGCTTTAAAATATGGGACTTGAATGCTTTGTGATTTAGATATTTTTCTTCCTATCTTTGTGTCAAACACTATCCACTGAAGTTTTGAATGTTTAACTTATGTGGTTGTTAAAATATTGAAGTCCAGCACAAGCAACTCTATTATAATGCAAATCCAGTTTCTATTATCATCTAATAAAATCGTGTGTTAGAGGGAGCAGTATCTGAAGATTGTCCCTTAAAAAAGCACTTGGGCCTGAGCCCTAATGACACAACCCAGATTCCAAGCCAAATAGAGGTCTGTGCTTTCATCAGGTAGCTCCTTTCTCTTCTTCTCTCTTCTTTCCTGTGTTACATTCTGGAGTGATAGTCCTTCATGAAGAAATAAGAGAATGGTTTAGTGTGCCTGCTTTCTCAATAAGTGTGAGGGGATTGTGAAAAGTGGAGATTTTTAAATTTTCTTTTTGACTTTTACATTCAGGGGGTACATGTGCAGGTTTGTTACATGGGTACATTGCATGTTGCTGTGGTTTGGTGTACAAATGATTTCATCACCCTGGTAGTGAGCATAGTACTCAATAGGTACTTGATAGTTTTGCTACTAAATAGTAGGGAACATTCTCTCCCTCCTCCCACCTGCAGTGTTTGGTTCTCAGTTCCTGCGTTAATTTGCCTATGATAATCGGCTCCAGCTGCGTTCGTGTTGCTGCAAAGAACATGATTTCATTTTTTCATGGCTGTATAGTATTCCATGGTGTATATGTACTACATTTTCTTTAGCCACTCCACCAGTGATGGGCATCTAGGTTGATTCCATGTCTTTGCTATTGTGAATAATGCTGTGATGACCATATGGGTGCATGTGTCTTTTTGGTAGAACGATTTATATTCCTTTGGGTATATACCCAGTAATGGGATTGGTAGGTTGTGATATTTCTGCTTTAAGTTCTTTGAGAAATCTCCAAACTGCTTTCCATAGTGGCTGAACTAACTTACATTGTTGCTAAACAGCTTCACTCCATTTTGAATCCACATCACTGACTGGACCCTAAGCGTTTTTAAGCATCAGGCAAAAGACAGTCTACTCAGGCTCCTCTCTATCTTAACAAACACTTGAATTAAAAATGTTGTGCCTAACAGCAAACATTTCTTGGGCAATTTTATGGAATGTAAAGGAAAAGAAAACTACACATTTTTGAGTCTACTATGTGTTGGGTGCTTTTCTAACAGTATCACACTTGACCCTTCCAATTCATTGAGTTGGATAGTGTTACTTCAACTTTTCAAACGAAAAAACTGCTTTTTTGGAGAAGTAGAAGAAATTCACCAAATTTATCTGTTGCTAGTTCACTCTTGTGTCCAGACTCACGATCTCTCTATGGCACCATACTGCTTTCTTTAAGGAAATTACAATTTAAATAAGCCAAGCAATTTACCCTACCTCTACAAACCTCAGTTACATCCTTTGGAACATAATGATAATTATAATTCATAAAATTCGGGAAAAGTAAATAGAGGAACAAACAGGATTAATTGTACAAATGAAAAATTCACATAGGCTGTTCTATATGATAAGAGTAAAGGAATGTGATAGATCGGAGTGTTTGTGTAGAAATGAAGTAGGACAGAAACTTCAAGGTGAAGTGTGGTCAAGCTTCTTTTACTCTTGAATTTCAAAACTTTGTATTTTACAATATGAGAAATGATAAAAGATTGATTAGCTGTTAGGTGGGGTGCAAAGTAGTAGACAGATATGAAACCTGAACATTATCTGTATAATGTATTTTAACATGATTATTTCTTCAAGGATCTGCTGTTATCACTAGAGGAATTATTGCCCAGAATGTGGACCAAAGGTTAGAAGACTCCACATTGGAATCCTGGGTCCGCCGTTAAATAATGAGGAACAAGCACTACCTCATAAGATCTTACCCTCATCATTTATAAAGTGATGATTTAAAAATAAGTCTTTCCTATGTTGTGATCCTAAGGATGCAATGTAATAAAGCATTTAAGATCATAGGCCTTTGGGGGCAGAAGAAACTGGCCTACATAGTCCTCTTCTAGCCATGTTTTAGCTCTCTTATCTTAGAAAAAATAAAATCTCTTTAAGCCTCAGTTTCAATAACTGGAGAATAGGGAAAATAATAGTTCATTCCTCATAGGGTTGTTGAGAGCATTAACAATAGATAAAATTCTGCATATATATAATTCAAGACTTGGCATATAGATTGTTTTAAAAAATATATGTAATTATAGTGAGTAATATACTCATAGGCATTCCACAAGGAGACATCCAAGTGTGGTGTCAGTCTTTCTAAGTTTGACAAACAAGTAAGCTGTTTAAAGCCGACCACCCTCTAGAATGAGAGGTTGGGATTACTGTGGACTACAAAGATGTATGGCAAACAGTATTTTATATTCTTCTTGGATGTCCTCCTCTTCTCAATTCCCCAGAATATAAAGTCATATTTTGGGGGGACTGTTTGTGTTTTGACTATTAGAAACATAAGCTGACTTAGGGCATGCAGTGAGGAGTACCGAAGGCAAAAAACAAACGATGAGACCCCTTTCAACAGCCTCGCATCTAGGGAAAAAGGCACATGCTGTGTGTCAGCCCAGCCCACCCTGGGAGAGGAAAAGACTACTAGTGAAGTAGTAATGTTAAAGAGAAGAAAAAGTGAGTGTTTTTTTGGTGGGGAACCATTAACACTTTCCAAAAATACACAAAACCAACTTGAAGTTCAATTAAGGGCTGCAAAAGGGAGAAGAGTATGCTATATCTTCAGCATCTGGACCAGAACTAGTACATGAAGTAATACATATCTGTCACTGACAGCTTTCTTGGCTATTTTTAATTCAGTCTAATTAGTCATGTCTTCTCCTGCAAGTATAGGAATCAGTCAGAATGTGGGTAACAGTTATGAAACTACCTTTTGGAGAACTCCTTTGCATATTATTGTAGAAGACAACCATAAAGTCCTATAAATGATAGTCTCCATAAATGTCAACCCAGATAATTCAACTGATGTCAAGAAGCAGAGGTTGGATGGGCTGTCATACATACTGGGGTTGAATACAGCATATGACATCAAAATCATGGCTTTGTAAACATTTCCTTCTTCGCATGCAGATTTAATTATCTTGAACCCCAGAGAAGAGCAAAGCTGGGGCCAGCATCATTTCAAAGGAAAGAAAAATGTGTTCCTATTTTTACAGCCTTGTAAAAGCAAGGAAATGTCTGAAGAGAAGAAAAAATAGTTTCGAAGAAGAATGCAATATGCCCCAACCCAAACTTATTCAAGATGTCATTCCTGGATAGAATTCTACACTCTCAGCATTAGACAGGCTGCTTAAGCAAAGGCAGGTTCTACATAGACTGTCATCTGAACATGATATTGATGGATCGTTTTTACAAACAGGCTGGACTGCAATGAAAAGCCTTGTGAATGTGCTAAGACTGCTTTAAGAAGTCACTGGAGACCAGAGTGCCTGAAGGAGAGGATCTAAGCCAAGTCCTATGAACAGTTCATAATATGTGAATAATGAAGCACTTCAGGAAAAAAAAAACATATATATGATGAAGATATTCCCAAAGACATTTCTTGTGTCACTAATATTTTCGAGAACCCTCCTAGCAGCAACCTTATTAGGTGTTTCAGGATATGCAATACGTTTTTTTCATGACACTCTGATCCACAGTTCTTTTTTTTTCTCTCAAGTCACATAGAACAGGCTTCCATTGCACTAAAGCAGGTAGAAGTCTTGTCTGAAATAAGCTTGAGACAATATAATGAATCAACTCAATGTAGAAACATTATACACACACGTGTAACTAGAACTGTTGGGGCCTTTCAAGGGCAATAAGGAAAGAGAGGATATTGATGAAATAAAAAAATCTGCCTTCTTGCAAATGGAAAACCTGCAACTATTGCAAACAATCCCACCCAGAACCTAATTTCAACACAGAACATATGACTCAGACCAAAAGGCATTTGGTCATTTTTTGCTCACTCACCTGCCCAACTACAATTTTTCTTGGAGCTTTAATATTCAATTGCAAGTTCTGGAATTGAAATTTAAGGCTTTGAAAATATATTAACTTAAATTATTATCTAGTTTACTGATTTTTCATCACTTAAATCAGGTTTTATAAGAGGAGTTTGTTATTGTACACTCCCAGAGATTTTAAGTTCAAAAGAAATGAACTGAAATGGCTTTATTTAAATTGCAGATGGCTACTTAAAAAGATTCTGGTTAGAGCATGTTCAGATAAAAAATAAAGACAGGGTACCATTATTTTTCAAATATAATCCTCAGCTATTGTTACCAACATATGCCTGCCATAGGATTACAGAAAGGAAAAGTAGGAAGAAGTTTAAGGGGTCATCCTGCTCATTTTTTGGCATTTAAGTCTTTATTTAAAACAAACAAACAAAACAAACAAACAAAAAAAATAAGACAGAACTTCCGTATACCCTCTTAGCAAGCTCTTTTAGTACATCTGAAAGCCTATTCCTTTAGTCATATGTTCACTGAATATTAAACATCACTGTTTACCATTCTTATAGGTAGCCCTTTGCATGGTGAAGACTTAATTGTATCTATTTATAGACAGTTTTTCAGTTGCTGAATCACATTCTTATAGGCCTACTTTGATCTTCACAAAATTCTTTTGTGATAGACAGAGCAGGTCAACCCTCAGGCGCCAGGGCAGGGTTTATGTTTTTCATCACTGATGCTAAACATATAGAATGTGCTTAATGGTATTTCTTGAATAAATGGTTGAAGTATCCCCTTTCACACAACATGAAAACCAAGGCTCCGTGAGATTCAGTGAGATTCCCAAGGTCTATTTGTTGAAAAAGTACCATTGAGGCTGGCTTTGAGGGATTTTGATTATTACTCTGGAGTTCTGTGCACTCACTAATTTATTAGGTCTTCATATAACTTACACATACTACCTTCTAGTATTCATTCCCAAACTCTAAAAAAAAAAAAAAAAAAAGATAAAGAAAAAGAAAAAAAAGCTTATGAGGCAGAATAAAAATGAAAAATCTATTGGCTTCTTTATTTTGAAATCTTAATACTAAATTGTATTGTAAAGACCAAAAAAAATTAAAATAATAAAATACATTCTTTTCTGAGAATTCATTCTTCATAGGAGAAAATATTGGCTCAAGAATAATAGTTAAATGTTAAGTATTCTATATAAGTTGTCTATTGATTGATAATAACATTGTTTTAGATATATTAGATGCTTGTTGACTCAGCACTTTCACATATATTACTTTCTGAACCCACGTAAGAGCATTTATTCCCATTTTACAGATAAGGAAGTGGTGAGGAAGAGGCTATATGATTGCATCCAGGTCTTAGGTCTTAATCTCAGGTTGTCTGCCTCTACGGAATGTTGGCTGTGACACTGACATTTATCAATTTTGATTCCTATTTTGAATGATGACCCTTTTAAGCCTTGTTGCATTTGTCTAACTATAATTCTTTTTTTTACTGAGAATTTCAGGGTAAAAAGGACACTTGCCAAAAAACCTAAGGGAATGCAGAGTACGACCATATGAAACTGAACAGTGCTGACTTCTATATTTTACTATTTGGCGGGGTTATTCAATGAATATGGGAATGGGTGCCTAGCCAGGAGACGTATGTGTAGAAAAGAGCCACCAGAAGTCATTCTGATTAAAATATCTCTTCTCTTATAAATATTTGAGCACTTAGAAATTAATCTGGACTAGGAAACTCCTCCTTTTAAAAGCAAATATCCTGGGAAGATCAAATCTCTAAGTCATAGTGACAATTATTTTAATAATCACATGAATATCAAGCTGAAAATAAGTAATTCAGGAAATGGGAGTTTTGCTGGGCAGAGGAAGAAGAGATCATTTGAGAGCATTGAGGATATTAAGCACCAGTGGTAAGGGAAGAACTTTGTACAGCTAGAAAGCATTAGAAGGGCTCTGAATATTAGGAAAGTTGAAGGCAAACAGGCGGTCAATAGGTAATTGTACACTAGAGGTTACTTCTGCACTGGGCCCTGGATAGCAGCCGTGTGTTACTGAAAATTATCTTCTGTACATGGCTGTTAATTTTGGATATCTAGATTCCAAATAACTTTTAAGGATACAAATATAAGTCTTCTTAAGTCAGCTCTGTGTCTCTGCAGTCTAATGTAGCTTAATCTTCTGTAAGTCACTGCTACATTAAAGTCAGAGCTGTCCTAATCGGTTGCTATAATGTACAGGCACACACACACACACACACACATATGCACACATACATATATACACAAGCAGGCACTAATAAGGAAGATGAGAAGAAAGGGCTAATTTCCAGACACTTGGCAATTCTAATTTTAAAATTCGAACACTCCCTCTCTTAAGATCCTTTCCTTTTTGTCTTTCTCAACTTCCCTTCTCATTCATCCATTCAACTAGTATTTTCTATGCTCGAATTATCTGCAAAGTAGTGTGTTGAATTTTAGAGATTTTGTAATGAACCAACTGACTCCTGCATCGAGGAGCTCAAATTCCAGTGTGGTGCTGTAATGGGAATATAGATAGGACGGTATGGGAGCAAGAAAAGTGTAGTCCTTATTGAGCTGGAGTGTTAGGAAACTTTTAGGAGATCATGTTAGTTGAGTCTTGCTTTTCAGGTGGGGTTCACATTTCTGCAAGTTATCAACTCAGTTGTTTCTGAGGCTCTGTTAAGTTCTTGCTAAACCCAAATTCTCCCTACAGGAAAAATCCTACAGAGGCTGGTAAATCTAATTATCATTTGGGCATTGAATTTTAGCCATCAAACCACTACACCATTTCAGGGAAATCTACAGCCATTTTTCTTCACCTAATGACAAAGGTATACATGCAGTTAGTCAACAGCAGTCAACATATTCCTATAACAAAAGAAAAAAGATAGGTTTTTTAATGTTGAATTAATATAATAATATCAGTTCTCATATTAATGAGATATAATAATATTGAATTCTAATAATAATATCAGTTCTCATATTTCAAATTCATTTAAATATGGGTTTATCACTCTATCTGACCCTTGCAGTTCTTTATGTAGTAAGTATATATAAATGCAAGCTCTGCATAATGATTTATTGAATGAAAGACCAACAGTGTGATCTTAACTGATTTTTTATTTTTCTTAGTTGTCTACGTCTTGATAGAAGAGTAAAACAGGATCTGCTTTACATGATCAGTTTCAGGCCATTAATATTTGAAAGATTTTTCTAGGCATTTGTTGGAAAATACTTTTACATTATAAGCACTTTGTGGTGTGGTCACTTTTTAAGGTTTAGGAACTGTCTGTCTATGTCTAAGAATTACTTAGAGATATTATTAAGACTTAAGCTCCTAAGTCACTTATATGCACGCTGGGTGGGGAGTGTGTGGGAGGGAGAAAAACATTGAATTGTTTTGTTGCTCTTAGTTCAATAAAGTGAAGAAAAAAAATGGGGACAATCTCTTGGATTTGTAGCAACAATGGGATAGAACATATGATAGAATGAGGGAGACACAGGAGGGGGCTGAATGGTCCCCAGCCTCAACAAATGTGTGTAATGGGCCCTAAATTTAAAAGGAAAAAAAAAATTCCTAGGTGACTAATGTGGTTATAATGAACAATTAAAGCAGGTTAACAAGCTGCAGAGTGCATTCTTATTCAACCAGCAGAAATCAGTCATTGGGGCTTTCAAGAGATAAGAGAAACTATTGACAGGCTTGAGGAGAGCAGCTGAAATTACACAGTCACTCCACACTCTTTATACATTTGTCACTAGTGGATGTAAATATTTATGGCTCAGATGACAAACGACTTACCTTATTTGGTGATTTGAGCCTCTGCTGCAATTCCAGGGTCACCAGAGTGGTGTTAAGTTTCTGCTGAGATCTGGGCTGGATTAAGGCTAGGGAGTCGTAGCAGCTGCAAATGAAAATGTGTCATAACCCATTCCACCCCTATAATCCTCCAACTTTCACACATGTCCCCAAAGCAATCCCCTGCCCCCCACCAGAAAAATATTAAGAAAATCTGTTTCTTGGGCTGTAAGGGGAAACTCCAGTATCTGGAATTTAAAAGAATGTGGAGTGCAGAGAAGGAGCTAAACTAAGCACGTTCAGAGTGTGCATAAAATTAAAACACACCAACCTCATCTGTTGAACAGCATGGCGCTCTGGCAGTTCATAAGCAAATGTTTAATAATATTTATAGTTCAGCTAAATAAGGAATTAATAAAGAAAAAAGTGGATTGTCCTGGATGAGATCAACTCGGTATGCTCTCCCAGATGTTGGTTTTAGGTTTAGGTAGCATAGAATCACCTATGGTCACCAAAGAGTGCAGGAGAGTTTGGTAAAGGAGCTCAGCCCAGGGAATGCCTTTAAAGAGATAATCTTTACATGCTTTCCTATGCTTCGATAAAATTCTGTGCCACTGGTCAGGGAGACAACACTTTTTCCTTCTGTTTTCCAACTGTGATCCTTGGTTACAACCACAAGAATGTGAAGAAAAATCTACTTAAAATGGTCTTTTAGGGGTAGAACTTATACCAGATGAGTTACAATTACAGAATATTAGAGATGTTTTTTGTCCTAGATACTGGGTCTTGAAACTACTTTCCTTGAAACTATTAAAACCTTAAGTGGATTTTTAACCCCCTGAAGTTGACTACACTGCTGTGCATCCAGACTTAAAGCTGCCCTGAGGTTCTCTTGATGGGAAGTTTTCTCAACTGACAGCTCCCAGATTTGAGGAAATAAGTCTATAACCATGTATTTATATATATACACATATATATAATATATGTATGTATGTATATATATGTATATATGTATATGTATTATCTATCTATACATATATATGCATATATATAGAATATATATGTATATATGCATATATACATATATATGTACGTATATGTATATATGCATATATATACGTATATATATGTGTATATATGTGTATATATGTATATATGTATATATATGTGTATATATATATTCTCTGATCAAGGCATTTTTATACTACTACTTGGGGGAAAATGACTAGAAAGCCTTCTTTTAGAAAGAAAAAAATTCATAAGAATTAACATTCCAAGAATTACATGGAAATTACGATAAATTTTCCTTTAACTAATCTTCTGTGCACCAAGAGATCCACATTTATATGCAGCTTTTTTCTACCCAATACAGGTAAGTACAACAGAAATTGAAGTTGCGTTGGCCATGGTGATGCCCTCTCTAGATCCCCTTTAGAGAAAGAACTTGCTGTTTAAATTCCCCTTCAAGAAAGACTTTTCCCAGCTGCTAAGGTTGCTGTTGGCAGGCAAGTGTCAGCTGGTAGCCCCTTCAGGGATGGCTTCAGCTGCAGAGAACTTTCTTACCTAAGGCAGTGCCCTTAAGAAAGCAGCCCACTTCAAATGACTGCTGGAGTATTTATACAAATGCCAGGTCATTTCAGCCAATGCATGACAACATTAAGATACGGTTTTAGCTCTAAAGTATCTCCATGAGGTTGGTCATTGGCTGAGGTTGTCATTAGGCCAGCATCACTCCTGCCAGAATCTGCTCCCTTCCTCTCCCTTCTATAGTTGTTGATTTGCCTCATGATCTATCTCAGTCTCCTTTCCAGAAAACCCAACCTATGACACATGGTCATAGACAAACGTGAAGATGTTGGCTCCAGCTTTAGGGGAGAAAGTAACTTGTGCTGACTTGGCCTCCCAGTGGAGATCATCATCTGCTTGTAGAATTCCTCAATCAAAGAGTTAGGCAATGGATGACTCTCTCTCTAAATCAGGGGCAGATCATTTAGAACTAAGGATGACATAGAAGTCTTAACCTTGACTTTCTTATTTCTCAATCTCAGCAACCTGTTGTTGCTCTAGGATTTAAATATGTGGAAGCTATCTGTAGAATTCACATAAGCCAAATAAAGTTTGGTAAAGATGATAATTTTAAAAGAAGGAACATGCATATATCCTAGTTTTGCTTGGCAATTTTTGTGTGCTCAGTTTATTATTCTTTGCCTTTAGATGTGTTCGCTGCATTTCTTTATCTCGAGCTCCAGAATCAATCCTGGTCCCCAAAATGAATGATTTAAAAGCCTGTAAATCACTGATTAAGCATGATAAGCCTTTGTATGGTTCTACTAGGGTCTTAAGTGCCCTGATTTCTTTGAGACTTAGCTTTTAATTTGTTTTCTAGAGAGTAAATCTCAATAATGTAGCCTAAAATATATACCAGGAATAAATGCTCTACTGCTAAATGCCAATCTCTGCTTATGAAATCTTGGTTCCTCTTTTGTACCTCCCCACTGGCTATCAGTGACCTGTAGAGTTTCTTGCAGATCAGGTGATAGTATCAGTCAAAGAAGATCATTACCCAAAGGCCAAGGAACTTGCATTCTTATCCCTGAATGGCCTAATTATATTAGTAGAATAAAATTTCCATTTCTACTCATAAATAATTTCTAAGGGGAAAAAAGGCCATAGCTTGATAAAATTAAAGGTTTATGGGTCAAGCCACCTTTAAACTCAGCTACTATTTTTCACAGCACAGGTCTTTATTCTTCCCTTTCCTGTATCTAACCCCTACCCCATTACCAATTTGATCAAGCACAAAGAAGAAACAGACTCAAGTTCAATTGGCCTAGTCTGGCTGAAAATAATCTGGGGAGAAAAGAAAAGGTCAAGACCATAGCAAAGTTCTTTTCATTAAGAAGATGTCATAAGCAGAGCATAAACACTGTGATCACTAAGAGCATGGAATAATATTCACATTGACAGAATCTTAGCATAAATAAAAGAGTTTCATTAAATTGAAATGAAAAAGTTCAGTGACCCTTACCACATCCAAGGATATTCCCAGAATTTAGCAAAAAGAAGCAAATATATATATATATATATATTAAGAGAATGTTTTCAAGACTTCTTTCTAAAATGATTGTGGCAATTACAGGCACAATCTGGCAGGAGGTACCATGGATCTTGCCACCCAGGCAAGACTCATCTCATTGGTCACCTCTTTGCTCCATCTCTAAAATTTCCTCTTTCATTTCTTAAAAATGATGCTATGTTTCTCTCTTGCTTACATCTATCAAACCTAATTTTTGGAACTTTTCTTCCTGTGCTGTACTTGATTAAATGGAGTCTTAACCCCTTTTATCTTGTTGGAATTATATCATCTGGCCAGACATTTCTCTTTCTGCCTGGAGTCTTAATGGCTGGCTCATTCCTTATATTTCTTTCATTAACCTTTTACCATCATCAATATTGGCAGAAGAATGTACTTAATACGAATACATTTACAAATATAAAATATACTTATTTTTTCTCAAACCCAAACTTCACAATTCTGGGAAAGAACACAAACTGTCAGGGAGCCTTGAGCTAAGTGGCTTCCATGGAGTCAGATATATTAGCTTTCTTTACACAGAGGGCAATGTCGGGAGGAAAGTTAGGGGGCAGAAGAAGGAGGGGTCTTCCTAAAACACACTCTCAATTGGATAGAGTAATTTTTTGACACATGAAAACTCCTTAGGCATTTAACTTTTGTTGTCAGATAAATTTCTGGCAATATCTAAGCAGACATCTTGAGAATTAATATCTAAAACTAAGTTTCTGGCCCCAAACCTCAGTGCAGTGGTTTAAAAAGAAAAACAAATCATCCGGCCCACCACGGTGGCTCATGCCTATAATCCCAGCACTTTGGGAGGCCGAAGTGGGCAGATCGCTTGAGGTCAGGAGTTCGAGACCAGCCTGACCAACATGGAGAAACCCCGTCTCCACTAAAAAAAATTACGAAATTAGCCGGGTGTGGTGGCGCATGCCTGTGATCCTAGCTACTCCGGAGGCTGAGGCAGGAGAATCGCTTGAACCCGGGAGACAGAGGTTGCCGTGAGTCGAGATTGTGCCATTGCACGCCAGCCTGGGCAACAAGAGTGAAACCCCATCTCAAAAAAAAAAAAAAAAAAATCATCAGACCCTATAGGTGTAAGTTTGTGAATAGTTAAAAGAACAGCCTTAGTTCCTGTTTCATTTTTTTATTTGGAATTCTTGCCACTCTGTCACTGAACATCTTGAGTTTGTTTTGCATATCATCAACTGTATGAGATGAAGGTTTTTTTTATCCTTTATTAACTATGCAATCAAAGTATCAGGCCCTGCATGATTCCCCAAAATTTGTGGTTTTCAGATCAGCAGTGCCCTAGTTCAAGAAGAAAATTGCTTTCAGCCAGTATTATTCAAAGAGTCTTGTTTCCATTTTATCTTTTATTTAACACTGCTGTGTCATCTAGGGGCCCGTTCACAAGGACTCCAATTATTTGATAGGCAGCAGCCAGTGACATTTTTCTCTCGTTTTCTCATCTGATAGGCATAAGTTAAAATTTATTTTTATTAAAAAATTAGGCACCTACTTAGAGGTTGGGGAAGTTTACATGAGGGCCACAAAGATTTCACTGTGAAGCAAATTTTTAAAAAAAGAAAAGATCTCTCTGAAATGAAGACTGCTGCACAATTACCTGAAGAGAGCCTATAGCCATGGCTTAAACCACCTAGCTTATCTCTCTCTTGATCCCCTGATGACTGACAGACTGATAGCAACCTAATATACCTAGTGTTTGAACAGAGGCCCTTGGTTACTTCTTGGCAAAAGTACAAATAAGCCATTGGCTTTTCTTTTGTCTTGAATTTGACTCAGTCAACTTCATTCAGGCACTGGTTATAAAAGCCAATCCAAAAGTTGTTTTTAAAAGTTACTAGATGATTGTCCTTTAAGAATGGATAATCTTCCATAAAATGTTGAAGCATGTCTCTCTGCTTTTTGGCGCACCTCTAACCAGGTCTACACCTTGATGATGATGACATTTTTAAGCCAAATGTGGGCCGAACACACAGTTTATAGGAATCATTTATTCCCTGCCATAATCCTATGAAGTAGGCCTTATCATTCCTACCTTACAGAAAGTAAATAGGCACTATCATTCCTATCTTATAAGAAATTGAGGATTGAGATGTTAAGTAACTTGCACAAACTTATATATATAATAGTTGGTAAATCCAGAGTTAGAACCCAGAAAGTTAAAACTACAAAAGCTGTGCTCATGAACACTTTGCCCCACTGCATTTTATACTTATCTTCATCTACTTATCTAACCATCTATTTATGTTTTTGTGAAATACATGATCATGGTAAATTATCAATAACATTAAAAAATAAAATATTTGCTTATTTTCCCTCAAAGGGAGAAAATTTTCTTGACTATCACTTAACACCTCATTTATTCTCTTCCAGAATTCACATTTTCTTTTTCTCATTCATTCACTCTTTGTCATTTAATATCCTACTTTTTAATTTAACATTATACATGAGCCTTTTATGTCATTAAACATAATATTCTTCAAAAATCTGATCTTAATGGTAACACAATATTCTATTAAATAGCCATATTTGACATGTATTTTATGTTGAGAAATAAGATCTTTTCCTTCTGGGAAGTACACATTTCTTATTCTCTTTCCTTTCCCACAGTCTCCAGGTGTGAGCACATAACTCAGGCCTGGTCAATCAAAGTGCCATATATTTTAACCATTTTTCTTTTCTCTTCTTTTTTTTTTCTTGAGATTGGCATGTAACTCAAAGTGTTTTAATGTGAACTCTCAAAAATGTTTACTGGTTCTGTTGGAAAGACACTCTTTCTGTTAATGTTCCTAAGTCGGCAAGTCTAGAGTTTCTGGTGAGTAGCTATCTGAGAATGGAGATATCACTGCAGAGAGCTGGTTAAAGTCCTGAGAGCTAAGTTCCTCATTGTGTTGCTGGATAGCTAGATGGAGCCTTACCTGATGTTAGCTTTAACCCTGAACTTTCATACATGTGAAACTATAAGCCTCCTTTTTTGCGTAAACAGCAAGTGCCAAGTTCATGAAATAGGATCCTGCTGTCACCACTGAAGAATAAAGAGAGGCCAGTGTGGTGTGTGAGGCAAGGAGAATGGCAAGAGATAAGCACAGAGAGAGCACAGGACCAGGGCTAAGTCACACAGTGTCTTAAGGGATATATATATATATATATATATATATATCTGGAATTTGTCCTTTATGTCAAGTGAGAGAGAAGTCAGTCATTGGAGGGTTCTGTGCAGAGAAATGGCATAGCTTGACACCATGTAAAAAAAAATGACCCGGATCATTTTTTTGGAAGCTTTTGCTGGGGCAGAGCAGAGAGATGAATAAAAAACTATTCTAAAAATCAGAGGAAAGACGATAACACCTTTTACCAGAGTGGTAGCCTGGTTGCAGTGAGAAGTGGTTAGATCCTAGATGTATTTTAAAGATAAAATTAATAGGATTTGCTGAGAGTTAAAATGTGGTATGAAAAAGACAGAGAGAAGTCAGTAATGACTCTAAGGTTTTTGCCATTAGCAATTGAAGAATGGAATTATCATCAGCTGAGATTGGGGGATACTGTAGGAAAAACAGATTTCAAGGAAGGAGTAAAGCCAATAGTTCTGTTTAGGACTTGTTAAGTTTGAGATGCCCTTTACTTGTCTAGATGGAAATGTCAAGATCTCTGTTATATGTCCAAATGCATATGGAAGTCTGGGTTTCAAAACAGAAATCCAGGTTAGAGATGTGAAGTTGGGAAATGTCAGCATACAAATGTTTTTTAAATCCCTAAGACTAGTAAATGAAACAGAGAAGAGGTCTCAAGACTGAGGCCTGAGTCATTCTAGAAATAAGAGTTTGGGCAGATGAGGGAGAACCAGAAAAGTTGGTTGAAAAGAAAACAGCCAGTGAAGTAAGAAAGTGAGCGACAGAGAGAGTAGTGGATTGAATAGTGCAGACTAGTAGTTGTGGGCTGAATATTTGTGTCCACCCCACCATTCATATGCTAAAGTTGTAACTTCCAGTGTGAGGGTATTTAGAGGTGGGTCATTTGGGAGGTAATTAGAGTTAGATTAGAGTTTGGGGGCCCTCAAGATTGGATGAATCCTCTTACAAAAAGAGGAGACTTGGAATCTTGCTCTCTGCTCTCCCCCATTTGGGGACACAAGGAGAAGATGGCCATCTGCAAACCAGGAAGCCAGCCCTCGCCAGACACTCAATCTTTTGGCTCCTTAATCTTGAACTTTCCAGGCTTCATAATCATGAGAAATAAATTCCTGCTGTTTAGGCCACCCAGTTTATGGTACTCTGTTATAGCAGCCCAAAATGACTAAGATACTAGTGGAGAAAGGAGTGATTAACTGTGTCAAATGCAATCTATGCTGAATAATGACAATGAGGCAGAGCAAAAGTGAGAGTGTTAGTTGTAGAAACAGGCCAGCTACATGGGAATATGACAGGTGCAGTCTCACAGGGTCCCATGCTTAGGGTTTTATGCTCTGTGGTGGCTATCGTGACTTTTTTTTCAAGTTTTATTTTAGTGTGGTAGGAACACAACATGAGATTTGATCTCTTAACAAATTTTAAAGTGAAAATACAGTATTATAAATTATAGGTGCAATGTTGTACAGTAGATCTCTAAAGCTTACTCATCTTGTTTAACTGACAGTGTCTATCCATTGATTAGCAACCACCCTTTTTTCCTCACCTCTTTCCCTGGTAACTACCATTCTACTCTCTGATTCTATGAATTTGACTGCGTTAGATACTTTATATAAATGAAATGATTATCTGTCCTACATCTGTCTTATTTCATTTAGCATAATGTCCTCAAGGTTCATCCATATTGGTACATATTATAGAATTTTATGCATTTTTAAGGCTGGATAGGTGTCACCAATCATTAGAGAAATGCAAATCAAACCTATCGTGAAATCTCTCATAATTTATCTTTGAATTCGTGTTTTGTAAATGAAGTCCAATGGGATATTGGAGCATATACTTGGGTCTAGGAGCCTCAGTTTACATGTGATTTGCCTCTCTCAGCTTCTCTGCCTCCTTGCGAGGGATTCTCAGCTGTCACTACCCCACCACCACGCAATAACTGGTGCCTCTGTTGCCCTGCCCACTGTGGGGTCCTGGGTGCAGCTATAGGGAAGGTGGAAGTCAGGCACATGCCCTGTGTGGTGAATCTCAGTCAATCTGAGCACATGGAAGGGTCTGCACTTGCCTATGACTATCCCTATGCCCAAGAGAGGTTATATTCAATGGCAAATAAATTCAATGGCTTTATGAAGGGTTAAAAGAGATCCCTAGGATTAGAAAAAAAAGAAATCTTTTTCCTGCTTTGTGAACAAAGGGCCTCACAAATTTTGTGACCAACCCTATATAAAAAGTTCATTTCAGTAGTTTAAGGAATCAGTGCATAGTTAGGATATAAAAAGGGCAAGACTAAGCTGTTCTCTTATGTAAAGGAGGATATTGAAGGGAGACTAGAATTGATGTATACTTTTTAGTGTTTCTTTGTTGGAGGAGGATGGATTAATCTGAGCATTTGTGAATGTCAGTGGGCAGGAATCAGTGGGCAGGAATCAGTGGAGGAATCAGGTAATAAGAGGGAAGTAATGAATGATGGAACAAATCACTGGGAAGACTAGAGAAGATGGAAGGGTCTCAACCATATCAGAATCCTTCAGGCAGAATCGTGAGCACATTTAACACTGAAATAAGTAACTAGTGAATAGATTGTCTGAGCATCTCTCATCAGGAAGTGCTAGGCATTGCCTGTGGGGGGCCTGACCGACTACAACCAGGAAACAAGAGGAGAAAAGCCTCATCGTCAGAAAATGGACGTTAAGGTTTGAAAAAGAAAGTAAAGGTAGGTGGTCCCTCTGAAGCCTAAGAGAGAGTGAATGCAAGAGCTTTTGACATGTGGCCTGAATATATTCAGTCATTTGAAAGGCAAGGTCATCGTAAGAGAAAATAAGCAAAGGAAGTGAACAGAGATGTAAAGAGAGAAGACACAATTTAGAGAGATGATTATGAGCATTTCCAACCAATGGAAAGGTTCCATGCGAGGTCACATGAGATGCATTTGTAGTGACCCAGTACTTTGCTCATAGCAGACATTTAGAAAATGTTTGTTGAACAAATTCTGGATAGGATAGGCCCCATTGTGGATCCCCATCAAACAGTTTACTGTGACTGCACAAGACTAGAGATGACCGGTGTGAGCAGAGGCTCAGGGCTGCCAATTAGCATGGCCGAAAATCGCAGGCCTCTGCCCGTTTCTGCAGGCTCCAAGCCTGTGATTCCTATCTTACAGTCTCCTCTCCAGATACTGAATACCACTCACTATTTCTTAAAATCACTTCTCACCCCCACTTCTTCCTTTGCACATGTTATTTCTTCTGCAGGTAATTCCTTCATAGCTTGAAGAGCTCCTATTGGGCTCAAAGTCCAAATCCAGCTTCTGTGAAGCCTTCTGTGATGGCCTTCTGCATAGTCATGCTGCCACAATATCTTGTACATAACCCCATAATTAGAACTTATACATTGTTATTTTAATTAAAGTTTATATTTCTTCTTCCCACTACAGTAAGAGTTCCTTAAGAGTGGAAATGTGTTATTGCAGCCGTACTATATAATACCAGTCATAAAGAAGGTGCTCAATAATTGTTTGTGGCCTGAATGACTACTTGGCTAAGTAAATGACTGGCCAATTAATCATTAATAAAGAGTATGATGAAACTCAAAAGATAAAATGTTACAGAGGAAATAAAGTGACACAGGGGCAGCAGTCGACATTTGCTATTTATTATCACTCAGTATCCATTTCTCCCTTCTCTTACTGCTGGAAACATTTTTTAATATTAATAGTATCTACATTTTCCCATGGCTTCTATGGGTTTCCAAGGCCATCTCAAACTTCCTTGGCTGTGAAAGAGAAAGCCTGCGGTCCAGCCAGTCACTGGCAGCCATTTTTGTAGAGAAATCCTGGGACAGTAGAGCCAAGCAATGCAGAGACGGATTCATCTACATTGTTAGGGTAGCCAGATAAAGCCTCTCTGAAACCAGTATTTCCTCTGAACTTTGTAAATCACATGCACCAATTCTTAATTGCTGAAGGTATTTGGTATTGAGTCTTCTATTATCTAGAGCCCAAACATCCTAGTTGAATCAGAATCATGGAGATAACCCAGTCATCTCCACTGGGTTTGAAGTCGGGGAGAGTCTTGGCTCTGTGAATTAGGGACAAGTAACACATTTGATGAGGTGGAAATAAGTCCAGTGAGCAATAGAATGCCATGATAATGATTGCAATACTCTTTTGACCCTTCTGCAGCTGGACACTCAATATTCAACAGCTTGGTGTAAGACTTATGCTTGTGTTGATAAGGATCTTTTAGTCATGACCCTGTGGTTCTCTAACTGAATACACTGGCACATTCAGAGTCCGTTATCTTTTTGTTTTATATATTATTCTCACTTAAAAAATGTCTGAGAGAACCTTGGCCTGTGTGTGTGTGTGTGTGTGTGTGTGTGTGTGTGTGTGTGTGTGTGCACGCACTTAGCACTGACCCATGGCAATGAACAGAGATACATTATGCATTTCCCATGCATAATTTCAGAATACCTGTCCCTTCCAAAAATAAACCATCCTATGGCTCTTGGTAGTGTTTAAATAAATCAAACTGACTCACACAGCTTCCAGACCTTCAGCTGAGCTTCTCTGTTTGGACTCAGAATAGAGTGCATGCACCCCTGGCTGGTTCTTTGTTGCTGAGTCCAGGCTCCATGTCTTGTATCCTTTACCATGTCATATATCATAGGCTGCCACCCTCTTGTCTGAGCTCTGTTAACTTTGCCTCCTGCTCATGCTGAAACAGTGCCAAGGGTGGGTCATGGCTGTCTCCCTTCAGTGCCTTTCACTTTACAACTGACTCCCCCAGCTGACTCGTCCTCTCTCTGCCATTTCCTTGAAGCTTCCTGGAATCTCTCTCATCAAGGAAACCGAGAAGCACAGGCATAAGGGTATTATTTGTGACATTTCAGAAGGGAGAAAATGTTTTTGCAGCTCTTTTTCCCTGCCCCTTAAGAGAGAACACTGGTGGAACCTTTGAAACAGTAAATACACTTGAAATCTTCATGTGTTCAAAGGCTCTCTGGCTAGTCACAGAAGCATGTTCCCTGGAACAGCCTGCTTAGAGGAAGGTTCAACTATCTCCTCAGGCAAGTCCTGAGTAATTCCCTACTTTAAGAGCAGTAAACCCTTCTTCTTCTCCTCCCTCAACAGAGAATTTCTTCCTAGATGTAATAGCCTTTGGCCCAGACTGGAGCATAACATGATTCCCTTCTGAAAGGGTCTTTGGAAGTCTCTTTGCTATAGGGAATGCCTAATAGCCCTGTGCAGCATGATTGACAGCTATTTTGCCATCAAACTTAATACCATTTGTCTAAAACAGGTACTATTTTTTTTTTCTGATGAAGAAAATTGGCATATCCAATGTAGGCAGCTTTTAAAAATTTTAATGTGAAGGGAAAATTAAGAAGAGTATTAAAAGGAACTCTGATATCCATCCTCCCCAAAATGTTATTGTAGTAGCTCTCACCCTTCCAAACACTGTCACATATCCATTATGCTGTCATGGATCAGTGTACAATTGACAGGGAATAAGATTGAGACAGTCCATCAATCTAATGTCACACCGTGTAATAAAAGTCTACAGAAACCCTGTAAATGCTACTTACACTGACAGATACAGCTCCAAAGTGCCGATTGGTATAAAATGTTCTAAATGGCTATAAATAGGTAATATAGCCTAAGGAAAATCTGACTCTTTAGTGGTATTGAAAAGAGAAAATAGCAGAAATTACAGATTATTACCAATGGAAATAAGGCCAGAGGGCACTCGCATGAGGAGATGGGTCTAGGGAGATAAATGAAAAGGAGATAGCCCTATGTCAAACAATCTTTCCTATTCGCTATTTATAATGGTCTATACGCTTAAGGCCTTTTTGAGTACATGGGAAAAATTGCAATCTTTACTGAAATTGCAAGAATTTAAAATCTTATCTGTCTAGTCCAAACTTTGCTTAGAGGAGCTTTGGTATTTGATGAAAAGGTGGCTCACAATTATAGTATTGTATTTACTAATTTCTTAAAAAGTAAAATTAATTTAATTACACAAAAGTATTAGAGTATTTAGCCACTATTCTATAACCTTTTATGAATGACTTTTTAATCCTTTGAAAATGGACATACTGAGGCATTTGTTTATGTTCATTTTTCAGTCATTGTCAGCTTATGAGCATGTTCAAAATCTCATAAGAAACCATCGTTCTTATAAAAACATAATTTGACATTTGTGGGGATACCAGAAACGGTTCTGTTAACAAATGTGTGCTACCACTTTGAGTGCCCAATGGCTGGAAGGAGTATTGGCAATATAATGTCTATCAAGAGCATGAGCTTCCAGTGTCTGCAACCAAAATTCAAGACATAACATTATAATAAAAGAACGCAATCAGTATGTTTGGTCCATGAATATACATATTTGTATGTTCATCACTGAATATAATTTAAATACATGCTTAATGATCTGTTTAGCCTAGAAATGTTATAAAAGACAGACTACATTTTAAAGTTAGGTAATGTATCAGCAGGGTTCTCCAGAGAAACAGAAACTAGATAGATAGATAGATAGAGATATAGATATAGATAGATAGATAGAGATATAGATAGATAGATATAGATAGAATACAGATATAATATATATAGTTTCTATATAACCATATAGATATATATCTTTTTTGTTTCATTTTATTTTTTAAGGAAATGGTTTGCATATATCTTTATGTGTGTGTCTGTTTTTAAAGGAATTCTTCACGTGATTATGGAGGCTGGCAACTCCAAAATCTGTAGATCAGGCTGGACAGCTGGAAATTTGAGTAGGAATAATGCTGCAGTCTTGAGGCAGAATTTCTTTTCCAGGAAACCTCAATGTTTGCTGTTAAGGCTTTCGACTGATTGGATGAGGCCCACCAAACTTACTGAGTGTAATCTCCTTTAATTAAAGTTAACTGATTGTAGATAGTAAACATATCTACAAAATACAGTATTTTCTCCCTTATCTGTGGATTTGCTTCCCTCAGTTTCAGCTACCCATGGTTCAAAACTATAAAATGAAAAACTGCAGAAATAAATAATTCATAAATTTTAAATTGTGCAACATTCTGAGCAGCACCATAAAATTGTAAGTTGTCTCACTCAGTTCCTCCTAGGATGGGAATCCTTCCTTTGTCCATCATCTCCACACTCTCTACTCTCTCACCCCTTAGTCACTCAGTAGCCTTCTCAGTTATCAAATGTACTGTCACGGTACCGCACTGCCTGTGTTCAAGTCTCTCTTATTTTACTTAATAATGACCCCAGATTGCAAGGGTAGTGATACTGGAAACTCAGATAGGCCGAAGAAATGCCGTCAGGTGTTTCCTTGAGATGAAAAGGTCAAAGTTCTTGACTCAATACATAAAAAAAAAAAAAAGTTTGTACGTTGAGGTTGCTAAGATCTGCAATAATAATAAATTTTCTATCAATGAGATTGTGAAGAAGGAAAAAGAAATTTGTGCTAGTTTGATGTAGAGCCTCAAATTGAAAATGTTTTGGCCATGGTACACAGTAAGTACTTAGCTAAGATGGAAAAGGCATTAAATTTGTGGCTGTAAGACAGGAAAAGAAACATATTCCAATTGACATCAATTGGGTTCAGTACTATTTGTGGTTTCAGGCATCCCCTAGGGGTCTTGGAATGTATCCTCCACAGATAAAGAGGGAGTGTTGTACCTTCAGAGCAATATTTAGATTTGTGTTTGACTAAATAACTAGGTACTATGACCTTGCCAAGTTGAAACATGAAATTAACCATCACAAGTAATGAGAAGGATGCTAGTTTAAGTTGTAGTGTTACTGTAGCTATATTACCTTCCTTAACTAAGAACACATCTATGAAGTCACATCTAATTTCTGTTTGTATATCGGTTCTGAGAAGGGATCTAAATGGTTCATTACTTAGGTATTTCTCAGTTTATCAAAGAAAACTGAAAATTTTGAACTGATGATTTCTTCAAAATTTTAAGTCTTGCTGTAAGTCACAAAATAAATGTTGTATGTTTTATATCTTTAAAAAAAGACACTTACGTACACTCAGTCATATTGAATTAGGGCTCACCCTAACTGCCTTATTTTTATTTATTTATTTATTTATTTATTTATTTATTTATTTATTTATTTATTTGAGATGGAGTCTTGCTCTGTTGGCCAGGCTGGAGTGCAGTGGCCCGATCTCGGCTCACTGCAAGCTCCTCATCCTGGGTTCACACCATTCTCCTGCCTCAGCCTCCCCAGTAGCTGGGACTACAGGTGCCTGCCACCACGCCTGGCTAATTTTTTGTATTTTTTTTAGTAGAGACGGGGTTTCACTACGTTAGCCAGGATGGTCTCGATTTCCTGACCTTGTGATCTGCCCGCCTCGGCCTCCCAAAGTGCTGGGATTACAGGCGTGAGCCATCGCAACCAGCCAACTGCCTTATTTTTAACTTAATTATCTGCAAAGACTCTATTACCAAATAAGGTCACATTTTGAGGTACTAGAGTTTAGCACTTCAACGTATGGATTTTGCAGGGCTACAGTTCAATTCATAAGGCATTTCAGAAGCCATCCTGTATATTAATTCTAGATTTTAAATTAGATCACGTAATGTCAACAGAGTGCAGATGCCCTTATTTTAGCTCTAGCTCTGTAGTATTTATTATCTTATATGCCAAATATCTTGACTATGTGCATTCTCAGTTGTTTTTTAAATTAAAATATAACACATTTTGGGCTAAAATCTTTATCCATACTTCAGAACTTCTTCATTTAGTGCATTTATGAAGTGCGTGTGTACGTGTATGTGTGTGTGTGTCTGTGTGTGAGAGAGTTTGCATTTATAGCCTCAGTTCTCTCCTTTAGATTACCACGTGATTTCCCACTTGCCAGCAGCTCTTCACATTATATGAATCTGAACTACTCACATTGTGAAATCCCTTTCATTCCTATAGCTTACAGAGTAATTGCCTGCCAGTATCCCTTTTTTTGTAATTCACTTTTAACCATAAAGGAAAGCCTTATTTTAATTCTCTTGAACGCCAAATCATTCAGTACTGAAGGTATCATTTCAGTGTGCTGTATAATCTCACTCAAGGCAAAAAATGGTCCATTCTGAACCTTGATTTTTTTTCTTTTTTTTTTTTGAGACGGAGTCTCGCTCTGTCGCCCAGGCTGGAGTGCAGTGGCGCGATCTCGGCTCACTGCAAGCTCCGCCTCCCGGGTTCACGCCATTCTCCTGTCTCAGCCTCCCTAGTAGCTGGGACTACAGGCGCCCACCACCATGCCCAGCTAATGTTTTGCATTTTTTTTAGTAGAGACGGGGTTGTCTCGATCTCCTGACCTCGTGATCCGCCCACCTCGGCCTCCTAAAGTGCTGGGATTACAGGCGTGAGCCACCGCGCCTGGCCCTGAACCTTGATTTAAGGGACTCTACTGCTTAGATCATCTAATCTCTATAAGAAAATGTTTGAAACTTTAACCCAGCACAAAGTGCTTACACATCACCATTGGTAGTAGGGTTAGTGATGTTATGAGTCAGGCTACACCTGGGGCATATATTTGTGGGGGTTAATGCTGTGGATTGCAAAGAGCAGTAAACTAAGAATCAGGAGACTTCTAAAGGACTAGTCCTACCATGCCCCAGCTTTACCCTATAGACTTTCATTTATTCATTCATTAATTCCTCTTTGTCAAGATTCTGCATTAGGTACCAAAAGCATAGAGGTGATTAATATACAGCATGTGACAGATTAAGTAGATATTATAAATAAATTACAATATAGAGTAATTACATCTACAGTAAAGAAAATATAGTGTGTATTATGTGCAGGCTAAGTTGCTAAGATGAGACTTAAAAACACAGTTACGTAGTTTGGGCCAGAGGAGCAAAATGTGGCTTCCATCTCTGGGTCCTTGGTGGCTGCTTTAGTTCTCACTATATTCCCACCACAGAAAAGAGTGAAAGAGGCAGAGGTATATATCTATATTTCACTTCAGGAGCACAATTGGGAAGTGGCATACATCAGTCCTGTTCACAACCCATAAACGGAAATTAATTACCTGTCCACACTGAGCTGAAAGGAGGCCAGGAAAGCAGTCTTTAGCTGGATTCCCATATTTGTAGCTAAAATATGAGGGTTCTACTAATAAAATTTTATCCATTACTGATGAATATTTATGGAAAAAATAGTAATCCCTGTTCTGAACTGTAATGGGAATATTGAGCAGGTGGTTGGTGTGGTAGGTTTGACATCCCTTACTGAGAAAAAAATATCCCCAAAATATTCTAAAGAAGTGATAGCAAACCTAAGAAAGAAAACGATTGTGCTTAATGGTTAGAGACTAGAGGTGTTTGAGCATTTCAGACAAGGAAAACACTCACAGAAAAAATCTTGAAACACTAAAATCCTAGAACAGAAAGGAACAGAAAAGTAAGGAACAGAAAAATAAGTTAAGATTGATATGAAAGTATTTTGCCAGAGGAAGAGTGGCAACGGATGGGCCTGGAAATATAAGCAAGGGTCAAACTGTAAAACAATTTTGGTCTTCATCCTGCGAACTACAGGGAGGCATTAAAGAATGTGTACTATGGGAAATGTTCATGAGATTTTCATTTTAAAGTGTTGATGTTTAAATGAGGATGGAAAATGAAGGGGGAAAGGCTGAATGGAGCTACGGAGAGCAGTTAAGTGGCTTCACAAGTAATCCAAGTAGAATATTTGTGGATAGATTCTGGTGTTAATCCTAGGAATGAAGCTGAGTGGACACAGGCAATCCGAAGTCTAAGAGACAGCGCTTAGTGATGATAGGTTGTTGGTTCCAAGGGACAAGAAGTATTCAAGGATGACTCCCAGGACTCTAAACTGAGCAACTCCATAGTGGTGACCGTTTGGTGAGCTGAGGAAATTTAGGAGTAACTTTAAAGGGCAAAAGACAGTGAAAGAAGAATTCAGTTTGAAATAATCAACTCTGAAGTACTTTGAGACATTTAAATAGCCATTTCAGAAGGCTCTTGGATAGACTTGTCAAGAGCTGGTGAGATAAGCCTAAGTAGAAAGTGTAAATCTCAGAGACATGGAAGTGGGTGAGATTTCCTTTGGATGTCAATCAGAATGAGAACAGAAGGAATAGATATGGCTGTAAAGAGCAACAACATTTTAGGAGATTGCAAAGTGAATGGTAAAAAGAGAAAGCCCAGAAGGGCAGGAGAAAAGTAAGATAAGGACAAGGACATGGACATCAAGTGAGAAAAATTAGTTTATTGTAGGAGTGCTGTTGCTACAGATAGGTTTCAAGCAACCAAAGACGGATTGGTAACAAGTAGGATAAGGAGGATAAGGGCTGAAATATGTCTAAGGAATATAGCTACATATGTGTGTGTGTGTGTGTGTGTGTGTGTATATATATATATAGTGAGAATATTTTTATTATAGTCATATTGTCACTGAGAGGGTGCTTAAACAATGACAATATGACTATAACCAAAATGTACAATCACATTGTGAAAGTCAATGTGACATCCAGGTTTAATTATTTAAAGATATGTGACTGCAAAGAGTAGGAGATATATAGTGCAGTGGCAAGAGAAGATCGTGATGAAGTTTTTTTGTTAGTTTTAATTGTGTAGGGTTATCTGACAAAGCTTTCAAAGGATAAGGATGTGATGACATTATATACAACTGTGTATTCAAAGCCGTTAAGTATGACAAGTCTCTGAACTTTTGTGCTACTTTTTTTTGTCTTAAGTAATTTTTCTTTTCACCTCCACTCCCTGCCTGTCCCATTTCACATATAAATGGGAGATAAATTTTTCTTAAAAGAGATACTGTGGTTTATGTCCTCCCTAGATGACTCTTTTTTATATATAAAATAATAGTAGTGGCATTAAGTAAATACTAATTAATTTGCCAGGCACTGAACAAAACACTTTTCAAGTATTACCTCCTTTAAGCTTCATAACAATACTATGAAATGTGAGGTTTTTGGTTTTATTTATTTATTTATTTGCCTTCATCTTATAGTTGAGAAGTTGTAGACAGTCATATAGCTAAGCAAATGGTGCATCAAAATTTGAGCCCAGGTAGTCTGAATACAAAATCTGGATTACTCTAAACTTGCAAGATAGAATGATGAATTAATTCTTAAATATTGTGTTTGCATCAAGTTTGATTTTGGTTTAAGGATAGTTTTCATACCTAGAATAAAAAACATTTCCTCCTCAAGTGGAACATCACTCCTTGGTTTTAGCCATCTTTCATCAGAATGGAACTAAAATTAAAAAAATGAAGTTGCTCTATGATATGATCGTGACAAATTTTAACAGTAATTTTTTTCATATTTAAAACTTGATAAAACTTTTTTCTGACTGATTTTGACCATTTAAAAAGAAAGCCAGATGTTCTCTCATCATTCATGGCAGAAAAAGGTTTTTGTTTATTACATTATTACATGAAAATTTATGCTTATACAATTGGGAAAGTTTCAAAAATTTAAAGGTTTGAATATGATACATTGCAATAATTGTGACTTAAAATTTTGTAATGACCAGGTGACACCTTTTATGGGAAAGTGAGAATAAATTCTGATCCCTATTATGCAGGGAAACAGAAGAGAGCATTGTTTTTCATCAGGGTGAAGTTGGGGCAAATAGGAGGGGTGAATGATGAGGCAGACAGAAAGAGACAGACACTCCAAACTGCTTGACAATGAGCTCATTTTTAAATGTATGTAATAAAGTTACCACAATAATGTTGTAGCTCAGTAATGCAGTCTTAAAATGCAGCAAGCCAATTATACTTTCGTTTGAAATTTCATGTCCTCATAATAAGGTTTGTTCTTTATTTTAGGGTTTTACTGTAAGTAGAGATGAGTTGGTTTTTTATTACCTGCGTCCATCTCTGGCTATAATAAAAAGCTTTGTGTGTGTGTGTGTGTGTGTGTGTGTGTGTGTGTGTGTGTGTGTGCGCGCGCGTGCACGTGCGTGCGCGCATGCGTGTGCAGTGGGTGCATGTATTCTAAAAGAACTCACTACTTATGATTAGTCCTTGCTCTAATCATTTTCCCAGAGATTACCTATTGTAGGAAGAAGGAAGGATTTTAAAAATAACATTTATCAGGATGTTATCTAATCTATCATTTCTTCCACATGCCTGTATTTTTTCTTCCTCATGCCATGTATCATTACATTCCATGCAGTTTTTATCATTTGTTTATTTTTCTTAAATGCGTTCAATATCCACCAGACTAAAGTTTGTCTTTTTTTTTTTCCCAAAATGCATTCCTTTGGTTCTTTTGGAGATAAATATAATGATGGGCTTGAAACACATCCAAAATTAGGTTATCAGTAATATTCCAAATTAGAGCACTATGTAGAAATTGATGCCATTTGGGAGCTATAATTCTACCATATGGTCTCTGCATATATTCAATATGAAGACATTTACATCTTCCTCTATTTTCTCTCCATGATGAATTTTAGTATAAAAAGTTACAAAAACAATGTCAATCACATCCCTTTCTTATTTTTACCAACCTGCCATATTAATCATATTAGAATAATTTTCTCCCTCATATAATGAGACTCGCTTTCTTACCATGGATCCAAATCTAGAAGGAATACCATTATCATCATGTCTGAATAAAAGATTCATTCCTGTTTCTTTTTCTGTTTCCCATCCTATTAAGAAGCCTTGTGATTTTTCTGCATGTTCCCAGGGATGTCCTCTTGGTATTGCTGAATGTCATCTTAGGTAATTCAAAACCTCTCATTTTAATTACCTATGTCCATTATTCATTTCCCACACTTTCCACAGAAGAGTGAAAAGAGACTTCTAAATGTTTCCATCTTGGCTGTTCCAAAGGACATCTTGTTTAATTAAAACAGTATTGTCAAAAAAAAAAAAATTCCCTAGGTGTTTGAAGGTACGTCAGCTTTGGTGATTACCTGTCTGTCATACATTTATTTTAATGTAATAAAAATAATTTAAAAAGAACTGTATTTGTTTTAAAATAAGACTTCTTGAAATACATATAATTAAATCACACCAGCAGACATGTAGGTCAGGAAGTAATTTAGTAATGTTTTAGAATTTACTTGCGCAATCATTATTTTTAAATTAATTTTTTTGAAAAAAGAAATAAACTCACATAGTTCAAGAACAAAATTCACAGATATATAAAATATATATATGTACTTTTTCTCACAGCTGTCTGCCATTGATCTAGTTTTCAGCCTCCACTCACATCTCGCCTTCAGTTTTTAGTTATTATTATTAATAGTCTCTTATACATTCTTTCAGAATTTCTTTAGGCAGATAAAATAAATATGAAGATATGTTATCCGTTCTCTTTTCTGCAAAATAATATCTTCTGATTTTTTAATTCCGTTCATATGTTATTATTTTCCCCCAAGCACAATAATATCTATCTTTTATTTGTCTTTTTTGTTGGTTAGTTTATGAATAATTTATCTGTATTATAAACTTTCTCAAGTACAAGCTTATTTATTTATCTGTTTATATATTAACTGTACTTTTTTCTGTTGGCTAACATTAATTATTGTTATATTTTGGTATTTGTTTCTTTTGCCACGTAACAAATCACAAAAACTTAGAAGCTTAAAACAAAACTCATTTAGTATCACATAGTTCTGTGGATCAGAAATGCAGACAGACTCAACTGAGTTCTCTGCTTAGGGTCTCACTGGCTAAAGCAAAGGGGTCAGTTGAGTTGGGCTGGAATCTTTCCGGGAGGCTTTGGGATAAAATCACCTTCTAGGCTCATTCAGGTTGTTAGCAGAATTCAGTTCCTTAGTGTTATAAGACTGAGGTTCCTATTTACTTATTTTAACTAGGGTCATTTTCAGTTCCTAGAGAGCCCTCTTAAGTCCATTCCAAGTGGCTCTTTCCACTTTCAAAGACACCAAAATCACATGGATTCCTTCTTGTGCCTTAACTCTCTCTCTGAGTTTCCCTTTTGCTATCAGATGGAGAAAACTCTGCTTTTAAAGGTCTCATGAGATTAGGATAGGTTCACCCAAACAAACTCTCTATTGATTAACTCAAAGTCAATGGATTAGTCTCCTAAGTACATCTGCAAAAAAATAAAAAATCTCTTTGACATGTAACATGATATAATAAGGGAATGACAGTGCATCATGTTCACAGTCTCAGAGGTTAGGATAGAAAGCCTTGGGAGCCATTTTAGAATTCTGCCTGCCACAACCTGTCTTAGACTATTCAGGCTGCTGTAATGAAGTACCACAGACTGGGTGGCTTCTAAGTGACGGTAATTTATTTCTCACAGTTCTGGAGGCTGGCAGCCTGAGATCAAGGGGCCTATAAATTCAGTGCCTGGTGAGGGCCCGATTTCTGCTTTATAGATAGCCACCTTCTTGTTGTGACTTCACATAGTGGAAGGGACAAGAAACCTTTCTGTGGTCTTTTCTATGAGGTCACTGCTACCATTCATAAGGCTCTACCCTCATGCCCTATCTACCTTCCAAAGGTCCTATCTCTTAAAACCATCACGTCGAGGTTTAAGATTTCAACATATGAATTTAGGAGGTGGGGTAGGAACATTCAATCCATAACCCTTCCATAAGCTTTCCTTTTATTTGTTTCATTGTTCTTTTTCAAAAAATTTTTCACGAATGTCGAATTCATTTCTTTTTTCCTTTGATATTGGTTTTTATTGCTATGATTTTTTCTCTGTAAGTGCTTTTAGTAGTACATATGCAGTAGTAGCATATGTATTGAACATACAAATGTAGTACATGCAGTTTTTAATATAATTTAACTTCATTTAAAATTTCCCTTTTACTCAACAATTGTTATAGAGTTTTATTTGTCAGTATTTACCAGAGAACAGAACCAATAGGATATATAGAGTGATATATGAAAGGGGATTTATTATGGAGATTGGCTCACATGATTATGGAAGCTGAGGAGTTCCATCATATGCTGTCTGCAAGTAGAAAAACCAGGGAAGCTGGTGGCATGGCTCAGTCCAAGTCCAAAGGCCCGAGACCCTGGAGGTGAGGGGAGGTGACTGGTATAAATCCTGGAGTCCCAAGGCTGGAGGACCTGGAATTCTGATGTGCAAGCATGGGAGAAGATGGATGTCCCAGCTCCAAATACATTTGCCTTTTTTCTGTTTTTCTGTTGTGTCTGAGTCCTCAGCCAATTGGATAGTGCCCACCCACACTGAGTGAGAGCTGGTCTTTCTTACTTAGTTCACTGATTCAGATGCAAATCTCTTCTGGAAAAACCTTGGACATGTCTCAAAATAAAGCTTTACCAGCTATATGGGTATCCCTTAATCCAGACAAATTGACACTTGACATTAACCATCACAGAGATACTTTTTACTTTTATAGGCTGAGTAGCTTTTTTGGTTTATTTTCATGTTTTCTTAATAATTTCTGTTTGTTCTTTTGTATTGTGGTGAAATAATGTTGTCTGTTTTATTTCTACTTGTAGAAATTTATTGATGGTATACTGAACCACAAATAAAAATCTCAATAAGTTTGAACCTTCAAAGAGACACAGATGCAAGGACTTGTTTCCTTGAGATGGATGCCAGATGCTATGCAAGGCCGTAAAAGTAATTCAATTAAAGTTTCAATGAATTTCTAAAGGCTAGCATAAAAATGAATTAGTATAAAAGTACCAAACCCTTCAGGTCTATACAGAGGGTAATTTTTACTTACTAGCAAGCTCTTATCAATGGACCACAGCGAAGTATCCATGAGAAATATTTGGGGCAGGGAAAGATAGCTGAAAAATCCTCTATTCGGTTTCAGGCTGAAGGGAAAACAAAACTGCTCTAGTAGAAAAGATACAAAACCCTGTCAAGATCCTACTCCCTTATCTTACCTACAGAACACAAGCCTTACCCTGTTTAAATAAAGGGCATCAACCACAAGTGAGGACTCACTGCATCTAGGGGTAGGGAATAGAAATAAAATAAAATCTATCCATATCTACCCTTAAGCAGAGACAGCAATAATTCTTGGGCCCAGACCATCAGAGGTCTTCGGTCAGGGAGACACAAGATCACTGAGAAGGCCCCAACCACTGAGATCAGTGACATAGTACATACCTGAGAATGAGGCTAAACAAGAACAACAGAGAATAACCCTCTTATATCACAGTACAGAATGAGATGGTCCCACTTTCACACAGAAAAGCTATGCACCATAGTTTCCACTACACTACATAGCATGTCCAGCTCTGAACAAAACATTACAAGATACACAAAAAAGAAGGAAAAAAAAAAACAACCTCTGCCAAGAGATGAAGCAATTGACAAAACCAGACTCAGATATGACAAAGACATTTAAACTATAAAACAGAATTTAAAATAACTTTGATTAATATGCTTAAGTCTTGAGTGAAAAAGGTGAATGAAATGCATCATTAGATAGGTAACTTCAACAGAAAGATGAAACTTTGAAGGAGAGCTCAATAAAAATATTATACAGAGAAAATACAATAACAGAGAAGAAAAAATGCCTTCAAAAGGCTGATAAGTAGACTTGAAACAGCTAAAGAATCAGTAAACATGAAGATAGGTTCATAAAAAAATAAGCCAAAAAAACTGCAAGTAGAAAAGAAAGTGTTCTTGTTTTTGTTTTAAAAGGAACAGAGCATGCATGAGCTGTGGGATAATATGAAATCACTTAATATAAGTGTAGTGGCAATTTCCACAGATGAAAGAAAACCAAGAGAAAGAATGATGGAGAAGAGATAGTCCAAGAATTTTCAACTTGAAAAAATGCACAAGTGATTCATGACACTCAGAGAACAGCAATCAAGACAAATAACAAAATAAAACAATAAAAACAGAAATACTTAGACGTCTAATATTGCAACTTCTGAACACAAAAAAATAAAAACACATTGCTTAAAAGTAGCTAGATAAAAATGGCACACCTATACAAAGGAAAAGAGAACTACAGCATATTTCTCTACAGAAAATATGCAATCTGAAAGAAAAATGGAATTAGGTTGTTAAATTCTGAAACAAATTGTCAACCCGGAATTCAATTCCTTAAAAAGTTATTTTTCAGAAGGGAAGGAAAATTAAGAAATTTTCCGAAACACAAAATAGAGAATTTCTTGCCAGCAGCTCCATAAACAAGAAATATTTCAGGATAACTTCAGGCAGAAAAAATATATTAATTATAAACCAACTTGGATCTAAGTCAACAACAACAGCAACAACAACAAAAACAAACAAACAAACAAACAAACAGGGTAATGAAACGGCATATGAAAGCAAATACAGGAAGGCCATTTTTTTTTCTTATTTCTAATTACTCTGAAATACAACTGGCTGCCTAAAGCAAGAGAGTAGTAAGGTATTGACTTTTAGAGCAAACATAAAAGTAACCTGTATGACAACATTACCAAAAAAATAAATAAATAAAAGGAATAGATTGAATATATGTATTTGTAAGATTTTTAACTATACAAAAAGTAGTATAATATTCTTTAAAAGCAGACAGATTAGTTAAATGTGTATTTTAAATGTATATTGTAAACCCTACGAGAATTACTAATTTTTTAAAAAGTAATATAAATAATAAATCAATATTATAGATAAAATAAAATAAAAATAGTCAATTTATATAAAAAAAGAAATATAACAGAAATGGGAAGAAAAGAAATAGTACATGAAAACAATAGCAAAAATAAAAATAGTAAATATTAACTTAAGGATATCAATAATTTCATTAACCATAAGTAGTTTAAACAAATCCATTAAAAGACAAAGATTGTCAGACTGAATTAAAAAGCAAGACTCAAGTATAAGCTGTCTATAAGAAACTTAATTTAAAACTAAGGTTAAAAGTGAGAGGATAGAAAAACTATAGCATGCAAACACTAGTCAAGCTAAAGTGGTTATATTAATATTAGACAATATTATCATTACATAGTGATAAACAGATCAATTCATAAAAAGACATAACAATCCAAAGCATATATCTACTTCTCAGCAGATCTATAAAATACTGTGCATACAACAAAAACTGACAGAACTGAAAGTAGAAATAAACAAAATGTGGACTTAGTTTAACTCTCTTCTCTCAGTAATTGATAAAACAAAAAGACAGTAAATTAATAAGAATATGGAAGATCACAGAAATACTACCAACCAATTGGCCTAATTAGTATTTATAGCATAAAATATACCACAGTATACACATTATTTTCATGTACAAATGGAACATCCATCATGATTGACCATATCACGAGCAACAAAACAACCCTCAACAAATCTTAAAAAAATAAAATTACAAATGTAGTAAGATGTATACATTCCCCCAACTAATCTATAAATGCAACAAAATTCCAATAAAAAAACCCATGCGCATATTTTTAGGAATTAAACAAGCTAATACATTAAAATATCTGTGACAAAGGAACTAAAATAACCAAAACAATTTTGAACTAGAAGAATGAACTTGAAGGATTCATGCTACCTGATTTCAGAATTTCCTATAAAACTACAGTAATCAAGACAGTGTGGTGCTGAAAAGGATATAGGTACAGATACACAGAAGACAACAATGAATACAATAGACTCAGACATATAGTCTGTTGGTTTTCAACAAAGGTATAGAGGTAGTTCAATGGAGAATGAAAAAGCCTTCTCAGCAAAGTTGCTCTAAAAGTTCAGATATCTATGCACAAAATAAACTTTAATCTGTACCTCACTCCCTTCATAAACTCAAAATGACTTGTACACCTAAATCTGAAACTTAAAACTACAAAAATTCTAGAAGGTAACATGGGACAAAACCTATGTGACCTGGAGTTAAACAAAATTGTTTTTGATCACACAAAATCATAATTCATAAAGAAAAAAAGAGATAAATTGACTTTCCCAAAATTAATAATTTTTGTTCTTTAAAATACTCTGCTAAAAGACTGAAAAGACAAGCCACAGATTGGGAGAAAATATTTGCATATCACATTTATGATAAAAGACTTGCATCCAGATTCTAATAAGTATTCTAAAATCTAAGGAAGGAAACAAATAATTCGATTAAAAAATGGACAAACGGCTTGAACAGAGACTTCACCAAAGATGATTGGTATACAGATGGCAAATAAACACCTAAAAAGATACTCAATAGGAAATAGAGAAATGCAAACTAAAACCGAAAAGAAATGTCTCTACATACCTACCAGATTGACTTAAAACAAAACAAAAAAATAAGTCTGACAACATCACTCATTGGTGAGAGTGTGGAGTTACTGGAACTTTCACACATTTCTGGTGGTAATTCAACATGGTTTAGACCCTTTAGAAAAAAAAAATTGGCCTTCCTTATAAAGATATACATTTACTTAACATGACCCAGGAATTCTACCTTTAGTTACTTACTTAAGTGAAATAAAAATGTACGTCCACATACAGAGCTGTATGTGAATGTTTTATAGTGGCTTTTTTTCAATTGTCAAAAATTTGAAACAACTCAAATGTTCCTTACCTGGGGGAACAATCACACAGCAGAATACTATCCAGCAATAAAAAAGAATGAGCTATTGATACATGAAATAGCAAGGATGGATCTCAAATGCATTATGTTAAATGAAAGACACTGAACTCAAATTGCTATACACTGTATGTTTCTATTTAACAATATTCTAGAAAAGGCAGAACTACAGAGACAGAAAACATCAATGACTTCCAAGGGCTGCAGTAGAGAAGCATGTTTGACTGCAAAGGAAGATCTGAAGATGTGTGTGTGTGTGTGTGTTTGTGTGTTGATAGAATTATTCCATATTTTGATATGGAATAATATTTGGTTTTTATATGACAGCATGCATTTGTCAAAAGTTGTAGAACTCTACAATAAAAAAGGATACTTTTTCTGTATGTGAATTCTACCCTAATTAAAAAATGAAAAAAAAAGAATATTCCAGTTATTAAAGAAAACACAATCAGGAAACTCACTGTCTTTTCATCTTATTTCTTCTTTGTCCTCCTAATTTGTGTAGAAGTTATTTTATTGCTAAATTATTATGAGACATATGCCATTTACATTAATTCTGCCACTTTAATCTCCAAATTTGTTTCAGTGTTAGTTCTTTAGTAAAATATATTTAATTCTCAATACCCTTGTGCCATAATATCTCCAGTTATAGAATCTCTTGGTTGGCTGAAATTTGATCTCTAGTTAGTAACCATCTCAAGAATGGGTTACTGAAACACTATTACCTGATATCTTCCATATTAAAACTTTCTTGTCTGTAGTTTTGTATGATTTCTGATTACTCACTTTTGTCGGTATGCATTGGTTCTCTTTTCTATAATTTTTCTTATGTATCTTTGTATCATTTGGGGCCAGTACTGTTTGTTTTTTGTTAATTCTTATCAGAGGCTGATTTGAACTTTCCTAGAATGATTTGAAGTTAAGGCAAAGAGGCAAGGTATTCTTCCAGCATTTGTAACTCAGAGGTTCTCTCCTTTTCTGCTTTCACAGAGATGGACAGCTACCTACAAATATCTCTCTACTATATGACTCCCATTTCTTCTTTCTGATCTAAACCAAAGCCATGAAGGCTTTTGTTACAAACTCTGCTCGTGCTCGTTTTCTCACTTTTTATTGCAAACAGGATATATGGCTTGACCTTCAAGGTGAGCCCTTGGCCTCTAGAAGCAGATTTTTCCATTATAGTCTGAGATCTGCCACCACCAAGCCCTTTTGCCATTTTCCATGCTTCCTACACTTCACATATTCCTGCATGCCTCTAGCTGTTAAGCTGCCTCTAGGAACCCCTGCATATATTTTGAAGTTGGAAGATTGTATACTTCCAAACCTCTGTGAAAATTAATTATATGTATTTTCATTGTTGTGTTTATATAATTTCCAGAAGGAAAGAAAGAATAATGCTGACTTAGAGTCATACTAGTAGTTGCAGAGTAAAGTTGATATATATTTTCAGATGTAGAGGGCCACACTTCTAAGATGTCCAGGTTCAACTGCACCATTACTTTGATTCCTACCCCGCAAAACATCAGCTACTGTGTTCCTCAAACTTGTTTACAAAATGAACTATAAATATTACATAATGCCTTTTAGTTAAAGAAAATTAAAACAACGGAAGGAGGAAATTTTCTGCAGGGACTTTCTTGTAACCCCTTGGAAGAAAACATTCTCTCTTCCTCTTTCTGTCTTGCTCATGGCTTTCTCACACCCAAAAATCAGGTTTGAGTAAATACTTTTCTTCTTACAATTTCTTGCACTATCAATATGCTCTTTTTCTAGTTCTTGGATTGTCTATTTATTGATTTTTTTTTCTCTTTTCTGAGTGAAAATGCTGAATGCAGTTCCTCTAGAAAAAAATGCTTAACTTTCTGTCAACCTTCTGGTTTCCTTAGAGGATTTGGTACAACATAGAAATGTGATTGGCGATGTCTATTCTCAGGGGCCTGCCTCTCCTTTTGAAATAAACAATGGGTTAGGCAGTCCCCTGAAGTATACAGGTACCACTGAAGGCTATTATTCTGAATAATCTGCTCTGGCACAGGAACATTTATGCAAGGTGTTGAATGTCTTAAAATATGCAGTGCTACATGAGTGCCTACAGCACCTCAGGGTAAAAATTGGGCCCAGTGTAAGAATGAATCATGGAGCCTTTGTGTTTTTCTCAATGTTCAGGCAGGTGTGTTGGCATTTACACATGCCTATGTGATGTAGTATTCAGAGGAAGATAAAACTCTTTGATGATTCTACATTTCTACTGTACAAAGAATTCATCACCTTGCTAAGACGGTTTGCTTCTAATTGTTATGTTGTTTCCTCCTTTCTCACATTATCTTGTTTCATGGACGAGGTGATTTTTACAAAGTTACATTTGCTTTTCATTTAATTTTGCAAATATGCAACCAAATCAAAGGGAATTGCAGCGTGCTCTCATGTTTAAAGGAAAAATACACGTTGATATCTTCACTTTAGGGAAGAATCCAATGTCAGTGCATTCTGAAACTGAATATTTTCATAAGATAGATTTTGTTACTAAAGAAAATTATAAGAATTTCTGCTGAAAAAATATGATTAAATATGTATGCGGGAAGTTGCAGGGGCAGTTTGTGCAAGAAGTGAAGGGAGAAGTAAATAGCTATGCAGGAAAGAGGTAAGAAGGCCACACTCAAATGAAACATGGGAAGAAATGACAAAGCCTGTTTATGCTGAAGGCTATACATCCCACAGATTGAATCCTTAGTAACACAGACATAAATCCGTCAACGCTAATTGCACACTTATCACAGAAATGACTTTGACACCTATGTTGAAGATTATCTAAAAAAAAGAAATAAAAGTGTTGTCCAATCCTTAAGGAATTGCCAATGAAGGTAAATTACAGAAACAACCAAATGTAATTCAAAGTAGAAGTTATGTTTTCAAGAAACAAAGAAGAAAGGATGCTTTATTTTGCTCAATGGGTATAACAGAATGTTTCTCAAGGTAAGGTTGAACCAGAGCATTTAAAAGATCTGGCCCCTGCACACCTTTTAATTCCCACTTTTATCCATTTCCACCAAGACACTTCTTACTCCAGCTTTTTTGGACTTGTTTCCATGTTTATTTATACTAACTCTCTCTTTACCACAGGGCTTCCTTTGCATAAAGTATTTAATCTGTCTAGGAGATTATTGCTCTTCTACCATTTACCTTAACCCATAGTCTCTGTGAAGACAAATGAGATTATACACCTAATGGACTTAGAACAGTGTTTGGCAAATAGGAAGAGCTCAGTAAATGTTCAATACTACTAAGTAATAATAATAAAATTGTAATGAATTTATTTTAATGTCAGGATCATATATACCCTCAATGGTTATATGTTTCAAAATGCCTAAGAAGAGTTGGTGGAGGAGGCAGCACTGGAAGCAGGCACATTGATAGAAAGAAACTACATTTTTAAAAGTAAGTTAAAAAGCAGTTATAAATAAGAAAAGCATAGCTGTTACAATCTGTAGCATAGATTCCCTGTAACAGGCTTTAAAGACATGGTTATATCACACCACAGTGTTATGACTGATAATTATTTCAGAAATTCAAATTATCTGAACTTCTAGTTCAGGAGGCCAGAATATGAATAACCCAATTAAGAAATGCTTTCCTCCCAATCATGAAAATAAAAACAAAAACTTTTTAGCAATAATGAATATTAATTTCAGTTACCTGGGAAATTGTCTTTATGTGACTTTCATCATTACTCTAAAATGGAAAAATATACTTCCATTTTTTATTATCTAGCTTATTGACTAATATACAGCCTAAAGCAATATCTACTCCAAACCCATAAAGACCTCAGTTGAACAGATTGAATTAAAAAGAATTTGACCTGCTATCTAAAGTTTTCCAAACCTTGAAATTACATATATGTCATTAAAATAAATATGGGAAAACTAATAACACTGATTTAAAATATAAAAAATAATAAAGAATATTAAAATTACTATTCATAATTTTTAGAGCATAGGAATGAAAACAGATTGTCACATAATGTCTTTAAGCAGCAACATTTTGCACTGCTTCAGCAAATACAAAATGTGAAAAACATCTCAGATAGGAAAATAAGTTATGCTTGATTAGAGTACTTCTCTAGCTTTGATTTATCAATTGAGTAATTGATTGATTAATTGGATGTTTTACTTTAGTTTTAGAACTCTGGGAAGCAGGCAAGGTTGTGTTTGGAATGCAAAGGTACAACTTTTCAAGAATGAAACACATTGCTCTGCTAGTAGTTTGGTCAACAGAGCATTCAAAAATTCAGTTCAACAAACATTTGAAATTAATGCAATATTTGTTCACTTCATTAGCAAATGTACAAGTCCTTGCGAGTACAAGATCTTGTGCTAGGTGTTGAGGGTTCAGTATTGATAAAACACTGTCTACTCTTACTGGAATTACAATTTTAGGCAAGCACCCCAAATTATGCCATAATGAAATCAGAATGGATAGGAAGGTGGTGGGAGGAGGTTAGGAACACAGTTCAGAAGGAGCTATTAATTTTTCCGGGTAGAACCAGGAGTGTTTTAAGAAGAGCTGAAATTTGCACAAGGTCTTTGGTAAAATTTTGCCAGGTAAGGTGCAGAAGTGTAATTCAGGCACAGAAGATAACAAGAGAAAAACTTGGAAGCAAAAAAAACCCACAAAAATCCCCCCAACAAAATACAGTTGTTCGTGTGATTCAATATAATTTCTTAAAAATAGTTTAGTGTGACAAAATATACAGTGCTGGAGTAGAAAAAAGAAGGATAGTTGAGACCAGATTTTAAGGGCATTATATGACTTGATGAATGTGGCAGACAGACTCTAAGATGACCTTGTGATATTCATGGCTGATGCAATCCCCTACCATTGAGTGTGGGCAGAGTCTGGGGCTTGTTCTAACCCACAGAATGTGGCAAAGGTGATGTGATTGCATTGCCTAAGATTGTAAACTCCATCTTATAAGGAGACTCTTTCCCTTGCTGGCTTTGACAAAGTAAGCGTCCACATTGGGAAGATTCATGGAACAAGGAATTGAGGCAGTCTTAGGTCAACAGCCAGCCAGGAACTCAGAACAGCTTCTGGCCAACAGCTCACAGGAGCTGAAAGATACTAACAGCCACATGAGCTTGGAAATGGATTTTTCCCCGGTTAAACTTCAGAGCTTGAAACAGCAGCACCAGCCTATACCTTGACTGTAAACCTTGTGAAACTCTGAATCAGAGTAGACAGCCAAACCATCCCTGGACTCCTGACCCACAGAAACTGACATCATAAATACTGACATCATAAAAAATAAGACAATAAATGTGTTACAATATTGTTGCATAACCATAGCTAGCTAATACAATGGAGAATTTGGAGCTTATCTTAAAATCAATGGCAAGCCAGCTGCTAAATATTGTCAAGCAAGAAAGTGGCTTGACATCTTTCCTTTAGGAAAGAAAATCTAGGGCTAGGCGCGGTGGCTCACGCCTGTAATCCCAGCACTTTAGGAGGCCAAGGCGGGTGGATCAGGAGGTCAGGAGATCGAGACCATCTTGGTTAACACGGTGAAACCCCGTCTCTACTAAAAATACAAAAAAATTAGCCAGGCTTGGCGGCAGGTGCCTGTAGTCCTGGGGAGGCTGAGGCAGGAGAATGGCATGAACCCAAGAGGCGGAGCTTGCAGTGAGCCAAGATCGCGCCACTGCACTCCAGCCTGGGTGACAGCAAGACTCCATCTCAAAAACAGAAAAAAAAAAGAAGAAGAAGAAAAAAGAAAATCTAGGAAGCAATGTGGAGAATAAATAGGATGGGGGAAAATGAAATGCATAAAATACAGCTTGGAGATTATTGCAACAGTCTGAGTGAGAGGTAAAAAAGAAAACTAAACTGGTAATACAAAAAATGAAGAGAAAATATTTATTTTTATTTTTAAGTTATATTTTAGGTTCAGGGATACATGTGTAGGTTTGCTATATAGGTAAATTGCATGTCACAGGGGTTAGTTGTACAGATTATTTCATCACTCAGGAAATAAGCATAGGCCCTATTAGGTAGCTTTTCAATCCTCTCCCTCCCCTATCCTTCAGCCTAGTAGTCTCTGGTATCTGTTGTTCCCCTCTTTGTACCCATGTAGTCTCATTGTTTAGCTTTCATTTGTGAGTGAGAACATGCAATATTTGCTATTACGAAAATAGTGTGTGATGAACATTTGCATTCATGTGTCTTTATGACAGAATGATTTATATTCCTTTGGGTATATACACAATAATGGGATTGCTGGGTCAAATGGTAATTCTGTTTTAAGTTATTTGAGAAGTCATCACACTGTGTTCCTCAGTGGCTGAACTAATTTACATTCCCACCAGCAGTGTATAAGCATTCCCCATTCTCTGCAACTCCACTAGCAACTGCTGTTTTTTGCCTTTTTAATAATAGCTATTCTGACTGGCATGAGATGGTATCTCATTGTGGTTTTGATTTCTCTAATTATTAGTGATGTTGAGCTTGTTTCCATATGCTTATTGGCCACATGTATGTCTTCTTTTGAAAAGTGTCTGTTCAGGTTTTTAGCCCACTTTTCAATGGGGTTGTTTTTTGCTTGTTAATTTAAGTTCCTTATAGATTCTGGATATTAGAATCTATGAAGAACCTATCTTCATCAAATCATAATTTGCAAATATTTTCTCCCCTTGTGGAAGTTGTCTGTTTACTCTGTTGATAGTTTCTTTTGCTGTGCGGAAGCTCTTTAATTGGGTCCCGTTTGTCAATTTTTGTTTTTGTTGCCATTGCTGTTGGCATCTTTGGGAAGAAAATTTTCCCAGGACCTATGTCCAGAATGGTAATTTGTAGGTTACCTTCTAAGGTCTTTAGTTTTAGGTTTTACATTTAGGTCTTTAATCTATCTTGAATTGATTTTTGTATATGGTGTCAGGGAGGGGTTTAGTTTCAGTCTTCTGCATATATCTAGCAGGTTATCCCAGCACCATTTATGGAATAGGGAGTCCTTGTCCTATTGCTTGTTTTTTGTTAACTTTGTCAAAAATTGGGTGGTTGTAGCTGTCTGGCATTATTTCTGGGCTCTCTATTCTGTTCAGTTGGTGTATGTGTCTGTTTTTGTACCAGTACCATGCTGTTTTGATTACTGTGGCCTTGTGGTATGGTTTGAAGTCAGGTAATGTGATGCCTCCAGCTTTTTAATTTTTGCTTAGGATCACCTTGGCTATTTGAGCTCTTTTATGTTTCCATATGAATTTTGAAACAGTTTTTTATAATTCTGTGAAGAATGTAATTGGTGGTTTAAGAGGAATAGCATTCAATCTAAATTGCTGTGGGTAGTATGGCCATTTTAACAATTTTGATTCTTCCTATTCATGAGCATGGAATGTTTTTACATTTGTTTGTGTCATCTCTGATTTCTTTGAGCAACGTTTTGTACTTCTTGTAGAGATGTTTATGTTTCACCTCTGTCATTAACTGTATTCCTAGGTATTTTATTCCTTTTTTGGCTATTGTGAATAGGATTGTGTTCTTGATTTGGATCTTAGCTTGAACGTTATTGGTGTATAGAAATGCTACTAATTTTTGTACATTGATTTTGTATCTTCAAACTTTGATGACTTTTTTATTGGATCTAGGAGTTGCTAGGCAGAAACTATGGGGTTTTCTAGGTATAGAAACAGATTGCAGATAGAGATAGTGTGACTTCCTCTTTCCCTGTTTGGGTACCTTTTATTTCTTTCTCTTGCCTGACTGTTCTGGCTAGGATGTCCAGTACTATGTTGAACAGGAGTGCTGAGAGTGGTCACCCTTGTCTTGTTCTGTTTCTCAAGGGCAATGCTTCCAGCATTTGCCCATTCAGTATGATGTTGGCTGTGGGTTTGTCATAGATGGCTCTTGTTATTTTGATGTATGTTTCTTCAATGCCTTGCTTGTTGAGGATTTTTAACATGAAACGATGCTGAATTTTATTGAAAGCCGTTTCTGCATCTGTTGAGATGTTCATGTGGTTTATTTTAGTTCTGTTTATGAGATGAATCATATTTATTGGTTTTGTACAGGTTGAACTAATCTTGCATCCCAGGAATAAAGCCTACCTGATTGCTGTGGATTAGCTTTTTGATGTGCTGCTGGATTTGATTTGCTAGTATTTTTGTTGAGGATTTTAGCATCTATGTTCATCAGGGATATTGGCCCAACATTTTCTTTTTTTGTTGCATCTAAGCCAGATTTTAGTATTAGGATGATGCTGGCCTCATACAATGCGTTAGGGAGAGTCCCTCCTCCTCAACTTTTTGGAGTAGTTTTAGTAGAAGTGGTACTAGCTCTACTTTATACATTTGGTAGAATTAGGCTGTGGATCCATCTGGTCCCTGTTGTTTTCTAATTGATAGGCTTTTCATAACTGATTCAATTTTGGAACTCATTATTGATCTGTTTAGGGATTCAGTTTCTTCCTTGTTCAACCTTGGGAGCTTATGTTTCTAGGAATTTATCCATTTCTTCTAAGTTTTCTACTTTGTGTGCATAGGTATTTGTAGTTGTCTCTGAGGGTATTTTGTATTTTTGTGGGGTCAGTGGTAATGTCTTCGTTGTCTTTTCTAATTGTGTTTATTTGGGTCCTCTCTATTTTTTTCTTTATTAGTCTAGCTAAGAGTTTATCAATCTTTTTATTCTTTAAAAAAATTAAAATTTGGATTTATCTTTTTTGCTCTTCATCTCTCAATTTCCTTCAGTTCAGCTCTGATTTTGGTTATTTCTTGTCTTCTGCTAGCTTTGGGGTTGGTTTGCTCTTGTTTTTCTAATTTTTCCAGGTGTGACCTTAGGTTATGAATTAGAGATCCTTTTAACTTTTTGATGTGGGCATCACTATAAAATTCCCTCTTACCACTGCTTTAGCTGTGTCCCAGAGATTCTGGTATCTCTGGGATACCAGAGTTTAGTTTCAAAGAATTACTTGATGTTTGCCTTAATTTCATTGTTCACCCAAAAGTCATTCAGGAGCAGGTTGTTTAATTCCAAGTAATTGCATAGTTGTAAGCAATTTTCTTAGTGTTGATTGTTTATTGCACTGTAGTCCAAGAGTAAGTTTGGTATGATTTCAGTTTTTTTTTATTTGCTGAGGGTTGTTTTGTGGCCAATCATGTGGTTGACTTTAGAGTATGTGCTATGTGCAGATGAGAATAATTTATATTCTGTTGTTTTTGGATGCGGAGTTCTGTAGATATTTATTAGGCCCATTTAGTCAAGTGTTGAGTTCAAGTCCTGAATATTTTTGTTAGTTGTATGTCTCAATGATCTGCCTGATACTGTCAGTGTCATGTTGTAGTCTCCCACTATTATTGTGTGGTTATCTACATCTTTTTGTAGGTGTTTCAGAACTTGCTTTATGCATCTGGGTACTCCTACATTGGGTGGGTATATATTTACAATAGTTAGGTCTTCTCATTGAATTGAACTCTTTGTTATTATTCAATGCCCTTCTGTGTCTGTTTTGATGATCACTGGTTTAAAGTCTGTTTTGTTGGAAATAAGAATAGGAGTCCCTGCTTTATTCTGTTTTGTGTTTGCTTGGTAGATTTTTCTTCATCCCTTTACTTTGAGTCTGTGGGTGTCACTATTTGTGGGATGGGTTTCTTGAAGACAGCATACATTTGAGTCTTGCAGTCTAGCTTCTTTATCTAACTTGCCAATCTGTGCCTTTTGATTGGGGCACATAGCCCATTACTTTCAAGGTTAATATTCACGGGGGGGTGGGGGAAGGGAATTGGATCCTATCTTTGTGTTGTTAGCTGGTTATTATGCAGACTTTATTATGTGGTTGTTTTATAGTGTCCATAACCTATGTACTTAAGTTTGTTTTTGTGGTGGCTGGTAATGGTCTTTGCTTTCCATGTTTAGAACTCCCTCAAGTACCTTCTGAAAGGCAGGTCTGGTTGTAACAAGTTCCCTTAATATTTCCTTGTCTGAAAAGGGTCTTATTTCTCCTTTGCTTATAAAGCTTAGTTTGGCTGGGTAGGAAATTATTGGTTGGAGTTTCTTTTCTTTAAAAATGCAGAATATAGGCCCCCAATCTATTTCAGATTGGAGTGTTTCTGCTGAAACAGTCACTGTTAATCTGATGAGTTTCCCTTTGTAGGTGACCTGTCCTTTCTTTCTAGCTGCCTTTAATATATTTTCTTTCATGTCAACCTTGAAGAATCTGAAAATTATGAGTCTTTGGGATGGTCATCTTATATAGTATCTTGCAGGGGTTATTTGCATCTCTTGAATTTGAATGTCAGCTTCTCTTGTGAAGCTGAAAAAGTTTTGGTGAATGATATTCTCAAATATGATTTCCAAGTTGCCTGCTTTCTCCCCTCTCTTTCAGGGACGCCAATGAGTTGAAAATGTGTTCTCTTTATATAACCTCATATTTCTTGAATGTTTTGTTCATTTTTTTAATTTTTTCTTTATTTTTGTCTAACTGTATTTTGGAGAACCAGTCTTTGAGCTCTGAGAGTCTTTCCTCAGCTTGGTTGATTCTGCTGTTAATACTTGATATGGTTTGGCTGTGTTCCCACCCAAATCTCATCCTAAATTGTAGTTCCTATAATCTCCATGTATGGTGGGAGTGACCTAGTGGGAAGTAATTGAATCACAGGGCAGTTTCCCCCATGCTATTCTCATGATAGTAAGTTCTCACAAGATCTGATGGTTTTATAAGGGGCTTCTCCCTCATTTGGTTCTCATTCTTCTCCTTCCTGCCACCATGTGAAGAAGGGCATTTGCTTCCCCTTCCACCGTAATTGTAGGTTTCCTGAGGCCTTGCGAACCCTGAGGAACTGTGGTCAATTAAACCTCCTTCCTTTATAATTTACCCAGTCTTGAGCAGTTCTTTATAGCAGCATGAGAATGGACTAATACAGTAAATTGGTACTGGTAGAGTGGGGTGCTGCTATAAGGATACCCGAAAATGTGGAAGTGACTTTGGAAATGGGTAACAGGCAGAGGTTGGAACACTGTGGAGGGCTTGGAAGAAAACAGGAAAATGTGGGAAAGTGTGGAGTTTCCTAGAGACTTGCTGAATGGCTTTGACCAAAATGCTGATAGTGATAGGGACAATAAAGTCCAGGCTGAGGTGGTCTCAGATAGAGATGAGGAACTTCTTGGGAACTGGAGCAAAGGTGACTCTTGTTATGATTTAATAAAGAGACTGGTGGCATTTTGCCCCTTCCCTAGAGATCTTTGGAACTTTGAACTTGAGAGAGATCACTTAAGGTATCTAGCAGAAGAAATTTCTAAGTGGCAAAATGTTCAAGAGGGAGCAGGGCATAAAAGTTTGGAAAATTTGCAGCCCAATAACTAAATAGGAAAGAAAAACCATTTTCTGGGGAAAAATTCAAGCTGGTTGCAGAAATTTGCACAAGTAATGAGGAGAGAAATATTAATCACCAGGACAATGTGGAAAATATCTCCAGGGCATGTAAGAGACCTTTGTGGCAGCCCCTCCCATGACAGATCCAGAAGTCTAGGAGGAAAAAAATGGCTTTACAGGCCCAGGGTCCCCCTGCTGTGTGCAGCCTAGCAACTTGGTGCCCTGCATTCCAGCTGCTGCAGCCATGGCTAAAAGGGGCCAAGGAATAGCTTGGGCCATGGCTTTAGAGGGTGCAAGCCCCAAGCTTTGGCAGCTTCTACTTGTTGTTGAGCCTTCTGGTACACAGAAGTCAAGAACTGAGATTTGGAACCCAAGACTATGGGAGCCCACCTCTTGCATCAGCATGACCTGAATGTGAGGCATGAAATCAAAGGAGATTATTTTGGGTCTTTAAGATTTAATAACTGCCTTGTTGGATTTCAGACTTGCATGAGGCCTGTAGCCCCTTTGTTTTGGCCACTTTTTCCCATTTGGAACAGGTGTATTTACCCAATGGCTGAACCTCCACTGTATCTAGGAAGTAACTAACTTGCTTTTGATTTTGCAGGCTTTTAGGTGGAAAAGACTTGCCCTTGTCTCAGATGAGACTTTGGACTTCAACTTTTGGGTTAATGCTGGAATGAGCTAAGACTTTTGGAGACTGTTGGAAAGGCATGAAATGTGAGGACATGAGATTTGGGTGTGGTGGAATGATATGGATTGGCTGGGTTCCCACCCAAACCTCATCTTGAATTATAGTTCCCATAATCCCATTTCTGGTGGGAGGGACCTGGTGGGAGGCAAATGAATCATGGGGGAAGTTTTCCCCATGCTGTTCTCGTGACAGTGGTAAGTTCTCATAACATCTGATGGTTTTATAAGGAGCTTCCCCCTTCACTCAGTTCTCATTCTACTTCCTGCTACCATGTGAAGAAGGACATGTTTACTTCTCCTTCAACCATAATTATAACATTCCTGAGACCTTGCCAGCCTTGTGGAACTCTGAGGCAATTAAACCTCTTTGCATTATAATATACCCAGTCATAGGCAGTTCTCTGTAGCAGTGTAAGAACAAACTAATACAATAATTGTGATTTTATTATGAAATTTTTGTAGTGTGTTTTTCAGTTCTATCAGATCCATTTGGTTCTTCCTTATAATGGCCATTTCATCTTTCAGCTCCTGTATTGTTTTGCTGCAATCCTTAGATTCCTTGGATTAGAATAAAATTTTGACTTTCTTCTGAATCTTGATGCTTTTCATTTCTATCCATATCTGAATTCTATGTCTGTCATTTCAGTACTTTCAGTCTGGTTAAGAACCTTTGCTATGGAACCAGCACAATCAATTGGAGGAAAGGAGATACTCTGGCTTTTTTAATTGCCAGAGTTCTTCTATGGGTCAGGTCCTTTCTCATTTGTGTAGGCTGTTATTCCTTTAACTGTGGTATAATTTGAATATCGTCCGTTGACTTCTTTTCTGGATGTTTTCAGAAGGCCAAGACCTTTGTGCAGGGTCTTTATTTGTAGCTGAATTCTAATTTTTGTCCTTGATTTCACAGGTGGGTATATTAGCAAAATGTTTTTGGTGACGAAGTTTGGGCTATGACTCAGTAGATGGTGCTTAAGCATAATGGCCAGTAGGTAGGCTCTTGCTCAGCCATGTGGAACCTCTGTATTTCCTCCCAATTGTATCTGTGCTCCCTCTTAGTGATCTGAAAGTGTCGGCTCCTCCAGAATGCTGGCTGTAGATCTTAGCTTGGCATGCCCAGGATCCACACTGCAGCCCTGGGGTAAGCTCAGGCTTTATGTTCCCTCCCCAGCTTGGAGGAAGCAAGAGATGGGACCTTGGCAATGGTTGTGGCAGCAGGACTTTCACTTGTTTCTTGGGGCTCCACTCCAGAGATATGCAGAGCCACTACCAGTTGGTACAATCAGCCCTGGATGGGGCAGCTGTGTTGTGGATTCAAGCCAGGAGTCCCTGCCCAATGACAAGCAGTGGGGACCAGGGGACCTGGGGAGACAGACTGGCCTCTTCTCTTTAGGGCAGCCGTGGTTTATTGGAGGTGTGGTTAAAGCACTCATGGTCTTTGTTCCTTTCCCAGTCTGAGGGCAGCAAAGGAAGTACCACTGCAGTTACAGTGGCAGAGGAGTTTTCAGTTGCCTCTTGGAGCTTCACCTCAAAGAAATACAAGGATCCTGCTAACCGGAATGTTCAGCTGGGTGTGGCTGAATATTCATCCAGGGACCCTGCTTGGTGAAAAGCTGGGGGTCAAGGCTCACAGGAAGGGGTGACTATACTCCTATCTGTATGGTGACTGTGGCAAGCTGGAAATGTGAGTAAAGCCCTCAAACTCTTTGCTCCTTTCCCAGTCCTGGGGCAGCAAGGGCAGAACCACTGCAGGAGCCATAGCGGAGAGGCTGTTGGTTTCTTCTGAGAGCTCCATCCCTGGGAACCCAGAGCAACTACCAGTAAGAATGCTTAGCCTGGGGTGGGGCAGCTGTTCTGTGGTCCTGAGCCAGGGGCCCTGCCTGGTGAAGAGTTGGGGGTGAGGACTCACAGGGAAGAAAGACTGAGCTCCTTTTCATAGGGTGGCTGTGGCATGCTGGAGGTGCCAGCATATCAACCAGGCCCTTTGTTCCTTCCCCAGCCTGAAGGCAGTAAGGGCAGTACTACTGCAGCTGCAATGACAGAGGGGCTGTGGATGTCTCTGTGATTTTTTTCTTCAGAGAAACGCAGAGCTGCCACTGACTGAAGTATTCAGGTGCGGGCAGTGTAGTTATGCTGCAGGCACACCTCAAAAAGCCCCCTGCCCAGTGAGGAGTAGCAGGGCCAGGGACCCATGCAGAAAGCCATCTGACTGTTTGTTGGTAAGGCAGCTGTGCTGTGCTGGGGGCCCATGATAGTCCCTAATCCCTGCACTACCCTCCCAATCCTGAGAGCAGCAGGAATGAGGACTGTGGAGCTGCAAAATTTGCAGGCCTGCCTGTTACCCCTGGGAGCTCTGTTCCAAGAAAACGCAGAGCTGCAACAGGCCGAAAGCCCAGGTTGGGTGTTTCTGAGATCCTAGGTCAGGAGGCCTTGCCCTGTGAGGAGTAGCAGGGGTGGGGACCCTCATGGAAAACGTCTGGCCACTTTTCTGTAAGGCAGCTCTGCTATGCTGGGGGTCTTCATTAGTCCACAGTCAAGGTGCTCTCTCCCATGGGTGGAGGGGTCCTAGGGTATTTCCTGTGCCCAGGATTGCAAAGGGGTCCATGGCAGAAGTGTGGTCCCCAGGGACCCTCACTCACTGACCATTTTCCCGAGGTGGGGGCCTCCCCTGGCTCTGTACCACTCACAGGGTGGGCAATTGTCATATCTCACGCTTCTCCATTCTCCGTGGGTTGTGTTGTTTTCTTCATGAATTCCGAAGTTTACTCTTGGATGATCTAGTTGAAGAGCTAGTGTTTACTGATCACACTGTCTTCTCTCCTTGAAATTGGTGCATATTAGCTGCTTCTAGTCAGCCCTCTTGCCCAGAATACCCAAAAAGAAAATTGTTAGTTCAGGGATTGTAGCTTTTTTTTTTGTTTTAACATGAGATATGTGACTATAATAAACTTCAAGTTTTCAGGACCATTTTATGGATAAAAGGAGAATCTAACTTTTAAAAGTTGGGAAAATGATTTAATATTGGAAACTCAAGAGTTACAAATTCTTACAGTTATTTCAAAACTAAAGGTTTCTTTAGAACCAAATTTAGAGCTATAAATCCTATATCCGTAATCAAATCCAGTACTGATAACAATGAACAATTGCTGAAGAGTAATATTCTCTCTCTCTTTACCAATGTAAGCCTTAGCATTGGTACTTTCTTGTATTATCTTTTTGCATGCCATTATGATCAGAAAAAACAAAAAGCTACCCAGAAAGGGCAGCTACATTCTAAATGATAGCTTTTACCTCCCTGAGGAGCTGCTAGTACCTACCTGATTAGAATTCATTTGTAAACAACAGAGGCCTTTTAAATCTAAATTACATTTCCTAATGAATTGTTTCTGTTTATTCAGTTTACATTAAGAAACTCTTCATTCATTGAGCAAATACCTACTGAAACCTATATTATGCCAGGCATTCTGATAAATACTAGGTATGTATCAATAAATAAAAATTACTCCATTTTCAGAAATATTTTGAATAACTCCTATGTATTAAGCAGGAATTTTTTAAATATACTAAAAACAGACAAAAATCCTGATCCTCATAGGGCTGCAGTCTGATGGAGGAAAGGGGAAATCATGCAAACAAATATGTATATCTCTGAAATCTCTAAAATAATGTCAATAAAGGATTAGAATTATAAGGAGAAATAAAGCAGAGAGAAATGGAGAAATCCTGGGTGTGATGTTTAAGTCACAGTGGTCAGGACACACAGTGGTTTAAGTCATCTCTGGAAGTGATTTTGGGGACACAGATTTGAATAAAAGAGAGATTGAACTATAGAATATTTATGGGAAGAGGGCCAGGCGCAGTGGCTCACCCCTGTAATCCCAGCACTTTGGGAGGCCTAGAAGGGCAAATCACGGGGTCAAGAGATCAAGACCATCCTGGCCAACATGGTAAAACCCTGTCTTTACTAAAGTTACAAAAATTAGCTGGGTTTGGTGGCACATGCCTGTAGTCTCAGCTACCTGGGAGGCTGAGGCAGGAGAATCACTTGAATCCAGGAGGTGGAGGTTGCAGTGAGCTGAGATCACACCACTACACTCCAGCCTGGGTGGTGACAGAGCAAGACTCCATCAAAAAAAAAAAAAAAAAAAAAAAAAGAATATTTGTGGAAAGAAATTCATGAGAAGGTTGAGAAAACTGTGCCCGGCAGAAAGGAACTATTGCAAAGCCCTTGAGGTAGGAAAGTGCTTGACTTATTCAAACAGAAGCTAGAAAGCTAGTGGAGTGAGCAACAGGAAGAAGGGAAGGAAGTGAGATTGAGGAGGAGGATGCAATGCTAGATTACATAGAACAATATTGTTTAGAGTTTAAAAATATGAACTTTGTTCTATGTGTAATGAGAAGCCAATAAAAGTTTTGAACATGAAAATGACTACTGTGGTTAGTTTGCAGATGATGGAATACAATGTGTAATAATGTAAACAGGAAGACCAATTAGAGAACTATTGCACGGGCTAAAGTTAAATTAGAAACAAAAAACAATGATGACTGGGCAAGGATATCAGACGATGCTAGATGGTAAATTTAGGATGCTAAATTTCAGATTTACTGGGTTTTAACAAAGTTTAAAATTATTCAAATTTTTAATGTGAGCAACAGTGAGAAATAGTATTTTCATTTCCTAAGATGAGAAAGAATAGAAGGACATGTTTGATGGGAGGGTAAGCAGGAATCAGAAAAAAGGCTTTGTTTTGGATTTCTTTAGTTAGAAATATAGATTTTGCAGTTGAACATATGAATTTGGAATTCAGAAAACAAATTGGCATCAGTAATATAATGTTTGGAAACTTTAATGTTGAGGTGATGTTTAAAGACTTAGGACCCAATAAGATTATTACTGAGGGAGTATGCAAAAGAAGAAGTCTGAAGACTCAGCTAGGATGCTTCAACTTTCAGAAGTTCAGAAGAAGGTAGAATAGAATAATCAGTGTTACAGGCTGAATGTTGTTCTCCCAAAATATATGTTGAAATCTGAAGCTTCAGTACCTGTGCATGTGATCTTCTTTAGAAATAAGATCTTTTAAATGTAATCAAATTCAAAGGAGGTCATTAGAATAGGGATCCAATATGACTGGTGTCCTTATAAGAAGAAGGGATAGAAACACACAGAAGAGAATGCCATGTGAAGACATGGATGCATGAGGTGAGAATGACATGATATTGGAGGCAGAGATTGAAGTGCTGCTGCTACAAGTAGAGGAATGACAAAGATTGCTGGCAAACCACCAGAAGCCAGGAAGAGACAAGAAAGAATTCTTCCTTTATGAGTTTCAGAGGGGAGCATAGTCCTGTCAACATGTTGATTTTGGACTTCAATTCTCCAGAACAGGGAGAAAATAAATTTCTGTTTATTGTAAACTCCCCATTTGTGGCACTTTAAAAAGGCCACCCTAGAAAACCTAAGTCAGCAAGGGAGGAGAGAAATAAGTAACTATGTGGAATTGTCAGTAGTAGATAAAATAAGATGAGGATTGAGAATTGACCTTTGAAGATCACACGTGAACAAAACAGTAGGAGCATCTATGATGACTGCGGATGGAAAGTTGTGGGGTTGCAGATTCGAGAGATAAAGGGATTTTCACTTCCTGCCAAGAGGGAGTAACAGAGACTGGACTTACTCTCCCACATGAAGCAACTAAAAAAGTGGACAAAATATTTAAAATAAAAGTTCTCAATACATTGACCATTAAAAAATGAAAGACAATGATCCATTGACAAGAAGCATGAGCCTTTTGATTGCTCTATTTACTGCCTGGAGAAAGATTCCAGGTCATAGCACAAGGAGGACCTGGGTGTTTTCTAACACCAACAACCAATTTTCCAATTCTCTGATTTTTTACACCAACCAGAGGTCCTACAATTAAATTCCATTATGACACTAACTACCTAGAGTTTGCATGAGACTCTATAGGTTTGAAAGCTCAGTCCCACAAGACTGACCACACTTCAGACTCCAGTTGCTAATGGGGTGCCTAGGCTACCTACCTTTATGCTTGGCCAACTACAAAGTAAGGGGTTCCCAGGACATCCCCCCATGATTAAGAATTTGGTGTAGCAATTTACAGACACTGGAAACAGCTTTACAGACTATTAAAAGATAAAATTAGGCAAATTAAAATCTTAATGAATTTATTTGAGCATGCAGCAATATACGGATTGGCCAGCACCAGAAAACAAGCAGTTAGTGCTCCATTAAGGGGGCATGAGGCAAACACTTTTATAAGGGACACATGGAAACATGACAAAGAAAATATTTGACCAGTTAAAGTGGAAGTCCTTAGAGGTTGATTGGCAGTAGCTGATTAGCTAAGCTTAAGTTTCATGTTACTGTTGACACTGAGTTGGGTTTTGGTTTGCTTCTGTAAGAACCCAAGGTGCTAGTTGTCTCAGCCTATTGGCCTCCCAATTAATTATTTTAATGTTACTATTGCCAGTTTATTATAAAGCTCAGGAACAGCCAAATGGAAGAGACACAAAGTTCAAAGTATGGATGAAAGGGTGCAGAGCTTCCATGACCTCTCCAGTTGCACCACCCTTCCAGCATTTCAATGTGTTCACCAACCTGGAAGCTCTCAAACCCCATGGGTTAGGGTTTTTTATGGAGACTCCATCACATAGGCATGATTTGTTAAATCAGTGGTCACTTGTGAGTGAAATCAATCTCCAATCCCTCTTCTCTCCCTGGAGGTTAAGGGACTGAAAATTCCAACCTTCTAATGAGAAGGCTGGTTCTTCTGACAACCAACCCCCACCCTGAAGCTATCTCACGGCCATAAGAGGGTCACCTCATTAGCATAAATTCAAATGTGGTTGAAAGAAGTTTGTTATTATTAACAAAAGACACTCCTATCACTCAGGAAGTTACAAGGCTTTTAGGCTCTGCTTTGTACCAGAAATGGAACAAACAGTAAATATGCATTTATTCTTATACCACAGAATGGGAACACAAGTGAAACACAGAACTTTGAGTTGAGGAGCTGGAATTGCAGAGAGATCAAGGTGGCTGGCATGTATACAGCACAGTACTGAAGTACAGAGAGCTATACAAAGAAATAACCCCAGAAATCTCCAGAGTCCCCCTTGTACATACAGCTGAGTACTGCTCAGTGCATGTGAGAAAACTACTTGAGTTTGGGAAAAGAACCACCTGAAAGGGTATGAGGGAAAAGTCTTCAATGCTCACAAAGGGATAGGAATAGTGTTGTTCTCAACAGCCAGAATGGAAAACCTCATGATTCACAGGACATCAGGTAGATTGCTCAGAAGATTTATGTCTAAACAGAGGGGTGAACTTAGTCCTAAATGAAATGCTACTATCTTCTCATGCAACAAAGTTTATAATAAGACTCATATAACTTAACTATATCTCAAGAGGAAGCTCAATAATATTTATAGAAATAAAAAAAAAAACCAGCACCAACAAATTAATATTCACAAAAATTTTGCATTCTCCACAAAATTACCATAAATGCCAAAATACAGAAAACTACAATCCATAATAATGAAAGGAAGTAGGAATAACAAGGAACCATGAGGAAATTTTCATGGGTGAGTTTGGTTCATAACTGCAGTAACGGTTAAGTGGGTGCATGCACAGATCAAAACTTAACAATGATGTGTATATACTATATGTCAATTATGCTGCAATAAAGCTGATTGAAAAAAAACGAGACTGGAAGGTGAAGAAGTGGAAAGAGCAACTCTTTGGAGACTTTTCTTTAAAAGAAAAGTTAATAGAAGAATGACGTAGTGGTTGGAAGAAGAGATAGGATAAACAAATTTTCATGTTTTTTTCTGTTTTGAGGAAATAAATAGTATTTAAAAGTAGAATTTGTAGTAGATAGTAACTAAGTGGACACAAAAGATAGGATGAAATGGATTACTGGAACACATATAGTATAGCATCAGAAATAGAGAAACCTGGGTTGCAATCACTGTCGTGGCACTTCATTGTTGTGATCCTATGCAAACCACTTATACCAAATGGACCTCAATTTCTTCATTTGTAAACTGAAGATAACAGCAATATGTACTTGCATTGTATTTACAATTTTAAAAATCATAAATACATAATAGAATCCAGCAGCAAGCATAAAACATAATTAACATTTTGCCTTTGCTTTCTCTGCTCTGTGTAGATAATAAAATGATACACTTTGCAGTGTTTTAGGAAGCTTGTCTTATGTAAACACAGAATAACAGTTTACCAATTTTGTAATATTTTTATTTCTTCCAGTCTGTTTTACTTTGCTAATTGCATACGGATCAACTGTCTTAGAAAAGTACTTTTATGATACTTACTATCTTGGGGAATAATCTTTAGAGAATAAAATAATATTTTTTGATCCTTCAGAAGAACATATAGAATAATGTATTAACTCCATTTAAGATTCTGTCTCCAGCCTCACCCAAGCCGCTTTTTACCTTCGACCATATATTTTATTCCTCTGTGTAACTCAGTGTCTCCTAAACCCAAACATACTCAGGTCTCTGTACATTGAAATATTGCAGCCCTTTATTTCTCCTGGGACACATTCTTTTCTCTCCACTCCCTCCACTCCTTCCATGCTGTTCTCACCTATGGCCAACACTCAACTCACTTTTATGGAGTTTATCAAACTACCAATTCTTCCAAGTGTTTCCCATTTTATGAAATATTTCCCAAAAGACAGCCTCTCCTAGCACCGTTGCCTGACATACCAAGCTCTCCACTACAACTCTTTTTTCACACTAGTGACACACACACACAAAATCTGTATTTTATTGGCCTCACCAGCCAAACTCGTGTGCCATATTTATAAAATAAACAAAATATCAAAATTCTGATGCCTGCTGCTCCTTTTCTCCTTTTAATATCTTGGAGTTTTGTCCTTTCTGAGGATCTCCTACTTGAGACCACGGAAAGCAGCACTGTTAGTAATAGAATTCTGATGTTGATGCCAAGACATTAACCATGTTTCCAATAGGACACTGACAAGGCCAACAGGAACAAAGTGTATTTCTAACAGGACGTGGCCAAGATCACACTGAAGCTACTTCTGAGTTACTGCTGCTTTCTTGCGTAGCTGATCTGGCCTCCTGAACAAAGATTACTGAAATGTCCGGTAACTAAACTGCCCCCTCTTCTTGACAGTGTATCCAGATCGGCTTCCACATCCCTAAGCCCTTCTTCAATAATTCAGCACAAGGAGAAACTCTGTTAAAACCTGCCACTCCTCTCACCGAGAGGCTCTACGCTTATCTTCCATTGTGTTTCCTTTACTACAACAAGATTAAAGACCCTACCTTTTTTTTTTCTTTCCTGTATATAAGTGGTTGGTGGATTTTAACACACCAGTTATTCCTCCTGTGAATCCCTCAGAGATGGTGGAAACTGAGGCTGATGGGGGAACAACTTTAGCTAGGGAAGGAGGGTATTGGTTCTCACATTTGACCCACACTCCTCCTGCCCGGGGTTGTTCCTCTCTGCCTCCCTTCCCTACACTGCTGCTGTCCTCTTTTTGACATTTCTATTTATTTATTTTTCTGCCCTCTCAGATCAGCAGGAGAGCACCTAGGTCTCAGGGCCAGCTCTCTATGGCAGGCCTCTGCAGCAGCACTTGTGAAGTGCTAGTGATTCACTTCCTTCTCTATTGCTCACCCTTCTCTTTCTTGGCAGGCAGTCCAGGGACTGGAGGAGGGTGGAGTATAGCAGGGAAAGCCAGGCACTGCCTCACATTTTCACTGGAAGCACTGCTCCCTCTTATTGGCAGGCCAAGTTTTTTAGTCTGAGCCATCAGACTAGATTTTGCCTTCACTTGCAGTGATCTCCCTCAGCGGCCCTCTTGCCCTTCCATCCAATCTGGCCCCTGTGTGGAATACCAAAACAGCAGTTAAATTTGTGCATGTGGGAAAGTTAACTTACCAAATTCTTTTTCTGCCCTTTGGCAAATTAAAGGATGTAACTGGGAATATCTTACAAGGCACAAACATGCTAGGATGGCTAGGAAAGTTCTGGCTTATTCTGTTAGGATGCTTGTCTGCTCAGCACACACAGAAAACCTTTGGAGTTTATAGGACTAAACCTCTTGCTAAAGCCAACTGGAGTTTTATGATTGCTTATGTAATCCAAACACTACTCTTTAAAAATATAGCAGTTGATTTTATATTAATACTGATTTTGTGTTTAGCTGCCTCCCGCTGTGAGATTGTGAGTGGCCTGCCAGGAGGAATTGGTCTTAGGGGAGTAGCCCCTATCACGTCTCTGGGTGAGTAGCCCTAGCACAGCAGTCAGCATGGAATGGATTCTTATTGGAACTATCCATGAAGCGTTTATAAAGATGCACAAATGCTAGGACATTCAGCAAATCTCCTAATTGGTGTATTGCTTATACCAGGCAATTAAAATATTATTTCATATTGCATGTTTAAAGAAGCTAATACTCGTTAAATTCTTAGTAATCAAATTGGACAAATTAATAAAGTGGGTCTCTTGGCTATGATTTGATTTTGGTTGTACAATGTCTTCAAAGATGAGCCCATTTCCCTACAAAAGATAGTTCCCCACAAAAGAAGTCGAATTCTGTCCAGCAGACATTCACATATCCTAAGTGATTTGTGTGGAACATTGACAATAGTAACAATTTATACCGCTGGCCTCCTAAGTAGCACCAATAATTTTAGGGAGTTGATCTTAACTAATTCAGAGCTCAAATATGCTTGTTCAATAAATTAAAAACTACATTTGGTGGACCTCAAAGCACTAAATTATAAAACTGATACAATATTTTGCCAACACAACATTATGCTTGTTATAATGCCATGTCACAATCCATCTGATATTTTGTGGACAGACACCGTAGTTCTTTATGTATATTAATACTCACAGCAATCTTTGCAATGGGTATTATTATCTGCATTGAAAGATGAGGAAACTAAGGCACAGAAAAATCAAATGATTTTTCTCATGTCAGATGGATGGTAAATTTAGCAGTTTGGCTCCAGTAAGCACATATTTCAAAACAACCCTGTCACAACTCTTTCTATGCTCTACACAAGATTTCTATGAAATAATGTGAAGAAGTTCCTAGCAGTGAGACCATAACAGAGGATCTACCCTAAAAAAAAAAAAGGGGAAAGAAGGTTGTCCTAGATATTCTCAATGATTGTTGCATTTTTAGAGTACAACTTGTATCAGTTTAGCAACATTGAACCTATTTTAGCTTCCTTGCAAGCTACTGATTTTTTTCCTCATTATAAAACCTTCAACTATATAAAGATTTTTCTCAATTCTTGCAGAAAACTAGGATGAATAAAGCAATGAATATGGTACCCTTTTAAATAACACACCAGGTTAGGTAGGAATTTTAACTTTTTTCTTGCTGTTGTTGTTTTTGGAAGATTTATAGCAATTAAATAACATGGTCTCTGGTAGTTCTGGGACTGTATTAACCATGGAATCATTTTATTTGTACATTAATGAAATTTAGGACTATCATGAAATTTATAAAAAATAACATCTAACATATTTTTAGTTGTAAAACCTACATTCACAAGAATCCAAAGTCCTTGTAAAAAATAACCATCTTCCATTAAACATATAAATCACCCCTTCAAAGAGTATCTGTATCCTTGATTTTTCATGAAATTGTGAGTTTCACAACATTGGGGAAGAATTAAGTAGTCTGTATAGCATTAGTATGCTAGGTCATCAAAGGAAAAATGGATAAATATCAGAATTTATTTCCAACAAGAAAATTGTTGTGCACAACTATTCATAGTTCAGTTTTGAAAATAATATTTAATATGCTTTTAAAATGCTAGTCAAGATATTCCAAGTTTTCTCATGCATCATTTACCTTCAGGAAACATGAAGAACTCAAATGTAAAAAAATATTAAAAGAGAAAAAGCCACCCTACCTCAAAAAAGAATGGAATTTTGGGGGGTTTTGTTCTTATAATGTCTTAGTAGATAATATGCTGAAATATATAGAATGATATGTCAACATAAGTCTTCATTAGATTCTAAACTAATGGAGTTTCATGTATGCCTATGACTCTGCATAGTTAAAATATCATCCTGGCATTTAAACTCATCATTGAGATCAGAGCTAACTTGGGAGATCCAGGCTTGCATTGTGAAGTTGCAAATTATGGCAATTTCTCAGGTAATTTGAAGCAATTTCAATGACTTTCTCCTGTCTGCTTCAGGAAAGTACTAAACAAAAAGTAAATGTTATGTTTCATGTTGGGTCACTGATAAAACGTAAATGAACCCAGGACTCAGAATAAATTCCAGAGAGAACAGTATTTCTGTATTCAACGTGATGGTAAAGGCCAATGTATGAGGTTGAAACATCTTTATAATGTAGGTTTGCAAAACTATGTTTACTAAACCCTATTAGCAATATAGTCTTAGAATGGAGTCAAAAGCTACAAAAATAATTGCATAAATAGGTAATGTATGTTAATAAACATCTTATTTATATAACTTATCAGTGATACTCCAGACCTACCACCTCTTTTGTTTTGCTTGAGATTCTGACCTTTTAAACTAATCATTTTTGCTTCCTACATCTTCATTAACACATCATTAACTCTGGAATTTAACCTGAGATCCGTTCTTAATTCTTCTCTCTCAAACTCATAAGGGCTTTATGATAGCTATGTAGTAAAAACAAGGTCTCCCTCTCTCTCTTTCTCTCTCTCTCTCTCTCTCTCTCTCTCTCTCTAAGGAAACACTCAAAACCCTCTACATAGCTTACTGTTGCTTGAATCACCACCAAACACTTTCTCTCCCCTCTCCTGGTGGAACATGCTAGGACATCCTATGAATATGTGCTGGGAGTGTTTTATGAGTGTGATTTTACCTAACCAGGAAGTCAGGAAGGAGGAGAATGACCTAATCTGCCATGTTTTCTTTATGAGAACATCTTCTTGGCAATGTGTGGTTTCAAGAAGTAGCTATAGAGTTTTAAAGTTGCCCTTACATCCTGAGTCAAGAAATGCTACCTTTCCTGCCATTCATTTCAATGAACCTGTAGTTTATTAAGCCAGTATCATTACTTTGAATTTGATTTGTGAGCATTACACAAAAAGCTGTATATGCCTGTATTTGATAAACAGAAGCATCTGACTTTGATTTGCATTACTATATTTGGATTCTTCAGTGATTGCTTGAAATGGCTCATGTTGATCCTTATATATCTTTCTTTTCTTCCTTCCTTCCTTCATTCCCTTCCTCCTTCCTTCCTTCCTTCTTTTTTTTCTTTCCTATTTTTAAAAATTATTACTTTCAGATGATGAAAAGAAGAAAAACAATGAGAGTGACTAGTTAGGAATCATCTAGAAGCTTTAATATAGAAACAAAAACAAAAATAAATACTCCCATCCATACACCCATTTTTTGCTTGAGAATCTCAGGGGAACTAGTTAAAACAGTTGCTAGGCAGCCTATTCCTCATCTCACAATGGGTTAGAACTTTAATCATGTTTACAGAGATACCATGTAAAACTCTAAATGAATAGTCTTATTTTATAGCTCCAATTTAATTAATAGCTAATATTTTTGGCATGTTTATACTAATTGATTACATAGAAATATACTCTATGATATATACATATTTCAGAAATTCTATGATATTTTTGGAAACTTGGTTTTTTTAAACTTTCATATTTTACTGCCTTGGAGTTTACTTGGAAATTGCATACACCAATCTGCTCACACATATCTAGTCTGTTTTTTTCATTCTACAGAGAAAGCTATATTTTATACTACATCCCTTGAGAGATAGTACCTGAATCTACTAGTAATGATATTGTCAAAGAAATTATATAGAGAGCTAGGAAGATAGATAAATGGTATATCTCTTACATACACACATATGCACACACACGTGTTTGTGTGTGAGAGAGAGTACATATGTTCATTCCTATAAAAATACACATATATAGCTTTCTCTGTTTCTAGTTATAACTCCATTAACCATGATAAAAAAATATGTCTTTCTTCTCTTTATAATTTAGATATCTCTATAGACAGTTTTCTTTATTCATGTTGGGAAAATCTAAAGTACTTTTAATTTTTCTTCATTTATTTCTCTATTGTGTTATGTACTTTTACTGCTTTTCCCTTGAATTTTTATTTAAGATGTTCAGTCAAATAAAATAGTCCAGGTATAGTCTCCACAAAAAAATGGGGAGTCCAGGGATACAGATCCTTATCTAAGTCACGCTACTGAAGGACTAGCATATTTCAGGCCCAGGTTCTTCTATATCCTTGCCATTGGTCTCCTATTCCTTCATGGCTCATTGTGAATTCGTCTGTAACATTCTGTCATCTATTAGTCTTTCAGTTCTTACTATGTTTCAAAGCTGGTACACTGATTCAATCTCATATTCCCAGACCAGGGTTTCTTAACCTACAGGTAATGAACAATCCCATGTGTATCTGTTTTACCTTTTTGTTTCTTGGTCTTTTCAGTTTTGCTTTGTTTTTGTTTTATTTTATGAGAATGAGGACCATATATTTTGTTTGATTTTTAAAGAGACCCCTCAAATGCTAAAAAGGGTCATCCTAGATAACAGTCAAGATCTTTGTGACAACCCAGAGTAATTGTGGACACACTTCCATGCTGTCCTGATGTCTTCTTCACCTATTAGGATTGAAGAGGAGTCATGGTCTGCCTAATGTTATAAGGGGCAAGTCTGACAAGGATAAACTCAGATGAAGGTGCTCTTATTTAGAAAAGGTTAATATGATCTATAACATTAAAATTTCGATTAACCCTCTAATGACAATACAGCTGATTTTTTTTGTAATTTTTAATTGAGCTTAATCTCTCCTTTAATAATAGCAAAGAAGATCTTGAACATTCAGAATCCCTAGACAGTAAAATCCTTAACACAGAGAGTGTGCCGGGGACATGGCTACCTATAGTTCAGCAGTGCTGACAAGCTGAATGACACTGGATAAATCATTTAATTTTGATGTCCCTTAGTTACCTTGCCTTGAAATGGGAATGCTAAAAGTTTCACTACTTCCTTTGCAAGGTACTGTGAATGTAAAATAGAATAACTAGAAAGCTAAAATATATATGTAATTTATGTATCTGTAAGTAATGTGTGGAACTTTTAAGCCTTGTATGGGAATAAAACAAATATACACTGTACTATTCTATGAACAAATCTGTTGGCCAACATTCTGATATTGAATATTTATACACGATATAATGTCTTCATTTATTTTCTGGACAGAATATATGAGATTTCTCAACAGAGGATTTCCCGTTCTCTTATTTAAGTATTCTCCTCGGTGTTTGGGAGGCTGTATATTAAACTAGAGAAAAGGTATTTGTTTGTAGTCAAACATAAGCTTTTGTATCTACTCTGCCCTTTTACTAGATCTGGGTCTCTGGGAAGTTAGTAGGTCCTTTATGAATGACAGTGTTCTTGTGTTTTGGCAATACCAACTATAGGTTTTCCTAACATCAGTTTTGTGCTTTGTCAAGTCTCTTGTTTGCTTGGTTTAAATCCCACTTCCAACTTCTTAAAGTCTAATTACAGAATTGTCTTGAGTTTATTGATGTTTAACTTCTAGGGCGGTCTATGAATGTCATCGAAATGTCGATAACTTATTCTTCTAGCAGAAAGAAATCCTCTAGGATATGCTGAACCTTCTGAAAATGATTTTCTTACCTCTATTTACAAGTATCTCAATTTTAAAATCACATTTCTCAAAGTAAAGCAAAAATAGCCAATGAAGAATATTTCTAAAACTCAAGTGAATAAAAGCTGCTTTATTACAATTTTACTCTATTCACGTTTTGGCATGCACTTTCTCTTTTTATTTAGCTAATAGTTACTCTTTGGGAAAAATGCATCATTTAAACATTTATAAAATTTAATTTTAAGACTTTTGATTTATGATAGCTTCTTAAGTGATTATGAAATCTATTTTTGTAGAATATTCAGAAATAACATTCATGTAAATGACTTCAGTTTATCTTGTTAGAAGTATCTATGAAACAAAACTTTCCCAAGTAATTTTACTTAAGTTATCCTTGGAATGATAATTAAACACAAAGACATGGTAAATTGAAAAGTAAAGAAATTAAAAGGATAACAGACAGGTGTGTCTTTGTTTGTTTCTTCCTTCCTTCTTTTCTGAATTATTTAGGAAGTGTCATAACATTTGCAACTTACTCTCAGTAGATTCAGGATGAAAAGAGAAAAAGAAAAATATGCAAATGCAAATATAGCAAAAGTTTTAGCAAACATGTATAATTATTGTACTACTGTTTCAGATTTTCCCTAGGTTTGAAAGTTTTTAAAACATAAATTTAAAATATCTGTGTTTATCTAGCTCCTAATATATATCAGGCACTTTGATATATGAAGTGAATTCAATGTTGAACAAAAAAGACCAAGTCCCTGGCCTCATAGTGCTTAAGGTATTTAGGTAACAGTCATTAAACTAATACTTACATAATATTAAAAACCAGGGTCGATAAGTGTAATAAATGAGTCTGGTGCTTGTGTAGGATTCATGTGGACTCCTGCTTCTGCTGGTACAGTCCAGCACTGGCAAATCTGTGGCAAGACGTTCAGTTCCAGAGCCTCCATGTCAAGGCCATTCTACTGGCTTCAAGCCAAGGGAAAGAAACAGCCTCACTTGGGTCTTCTCTCCTCCTCCCATTCATTTGGCTCCTACTTATCCTCGCATTCATGGGATCTATAACCCACTTTCTATAACCTACTTCTCTATATTACCCAAATTAATTTCAAATACCATGCACAGTGTAAATACAAAATGTTGAGAAAAAACCTCTGGGCTCTGAACAAGCAAGTTTTAGACTCTGAATCAAAAATTCTCTTGGAGTCTTACAATGAATGGAATGTGAATGCATGCAGTGCATACAATTCTAGGGTCACTTTTCTAAAAGGAAGTTTCTTGCTTTTGACTTCCTCATTCCCCTTTCTAAAGACCAGAATGAGAGTGGTTGAGAGACAATTTTCCTCTTTCAATAGCACCATGCATGATCTTATGAGGCAGAGTAATTTCTCCACCCTGGCCATGCCCCTACCTCTGGTCTATTATATAAGAAAAAAATAAAATTATCTCTTGTTTGACTTGCTCTAGTTTTAGGTCTCCTTGTTATAGCCAGCTCAGTCTATATTCTAACTAACATTCATCTTAAGTAAAAATCCAGAAATCATAATTGGCTACCTTTCTTTGTTTTGTAACTTTTCTCCTACCATAGTTTATTTCTTCATTAGCCCTTGACTGAACTGAAGTAGTCACAGCCTTGGTTTCCAAACCTTTTGATTTCCTCCTCTCTTATTCATCCTTCACAGTTCCATCAGCATAATCTTTCTAAAGCCCAAATTGCATTTGCATTACGTGTTCTCCTCAAGGACATTCAAATGGCTCCTCTATTACTTAGAAAATAAAACATGAACTCTTAGCTTGGCATTCAAAGTACTGTAACTTGTGGCTTCACAAGCAATAGAGTTATGAAGTTACTATGTTATGCCCAAGTGGTTTTGTTGAGAGAGCAACACCCTCCTCCAACTACTTCACTCATTGAAATTCTAATAATCCTTGAAATTCTAATAAGGCTGCCTTGAATTCCATATATTTTATGAAAATCCTTCCTTAGTTCCTCAAATTGAATTCATAATTCTTCTTCCACTATTCAGATAAAATTTTGCTTTTACCTCTTTTGGATATTTTATTCAGTCAAATATTATAATTTCTTTAATATGTATCTATCTCTACCTCTAGAATATAAACTCCTTGAGGATATGCACTGTATATTATTTTTCTGTATCATTTTTATTGCTATCACCCATGGAAACGTGCATATTTCTCCACATATCAGAGGTAACAAAAAATGTGTACTGAATTGAACTAACTTGAAAAAGGCTAAACTATCCAATTCTTTCCTGAACAAGAATGGTCATTTCTGTAAGCCAAGATACTACCAGAAATTGAGAGAGAGAGAATATGATTTGATATAGTCCTCCAAAATTGGGTGTTTGAGTTTATTTACTTTAAGCAAGACATGATTTCCATTTTCCAAAAGAAAAAAACCTTGAATATATTATAAGAAAACGATAAGGCTTTCTGGACATCAAAGAATTCTTACAAAATAACTTTTGAATTAGTTAACTATAAAAGAATCAGAAACATACAAATTAATTTCTCCTTGAGATACACTGGGCTTAAAAATAAAGAAGAAACATGTTTAAGATTATATAAAGCCTACAACTTTGAGGAAAGATTTCAGAAAACAAAACACTGAAGTCTAATAATATGGTAAAAATTTAACTATAATGGCAAATTATTCAAACATTTTAACTCCCTACTAACCTTCTCCAAATGTGAACCATTTACTAAATGACAGATTTTTTTTTTTTTAGGATTATGGCTTAACTTACTGGTCTCAGTTATATATCTTCTCATTTTGCCACAAAATGCTAGTAAAAACTTTCATTTAGCAAGTGCTTACAATATGATAGGTATATTTCCAAATATTATCTTTACTCTAAACAACAGCTCATGTTTCCAAAATGGCAGTTCCAGATGTCAGAGATTTTTTTGACTAATCCATGCTGTCTCAGCATGTTTTCTCATATCTTGAAACTCCTTCTAACTTCATATATTATGAGAAATCATGAAAGGAACCTCTTATCTGCCCAGAAAATCTCACCATATCTTTGGGAAAAAGAAATAATATCTACCTCATTCGTAAATGTTGTGATTAATTGGCCAATGTGTAATATTAATAATAGCAAACATCTATGGTGCATGCTTTATTATGTGAGATGTTGTATTAAGTGTTTCAAACATCTAATTTCAGTTTTCACAACTTCATACAAGTATTTTGTTATCCTCACTTTACAGATAGAGAAATGGAAACTCCAAAAGATTAAGCAAGAAGCCCATAGGAACACAATTAGTAGAGGTAGGATTTGAATTTATATCTGCCTAGTTCCAAATCTTATACTATTTACTATGATTTCACATTGTTTTTGCTTCAAAAATTATAAACGATTCATAATAAAGTATACTACCATAAAAATTGTTTCATGCATTTCAAGTTTGAATAGCATATAAATTTACATTATCAAGATAATTTTTTTACTTTGGAAAACTTTTTGTTCATTTAGATGAATAATTTTCTAACATTAATGTCATATCGAATTACGGCCAAAAAATCCCCTTTAAGTTCTTATATTAGCACTAAGAGTGGATGAAGAGAAAATCTACCAATTCCTTACTTAGTTTTATATCTCCTCTTGACAAATGGAAACCTCATCTGTAGACAGGCAATATTTAGCTACTTTATCTTGATTAATCCGTGGGATAGAGTGAGGTTTGTTAAGTAAGCAATAACACACGACATGATGCATGTTACACTGTAATGAAGCCATGCTTGAGCTGTTTGGTGATACATGAACATCCTCCTCCATCGGATGCTGTTATTCTGTAATAGCAGGAGCTTTGGAATTAGCCACTGATATTTTGATGCCCTCCATTACTGAGAATGTTCATATAAAAATCAAAATAATATGAGACCATATACTATGAAAAGTTTTGCTCTCACTCTCTCATCTTTCCCATCCAAGAGGCCCATCACCATCACTACTCACTTTTAAGCTTATCCTCTGGAGATTTTCTATCCAAATGCAAACAAATACAAACATAAATTCTCATTTTCCTTCTTTCTTACATGAGTGGCAGCAGACTATCCACACTACTTTGTACTTTTTTTAAATAGACTTTTATGCCTTAGCAATCTTTACAAACCTATGACAGCTTCATAGTATTCCATTATTTAGACAAGTCTATGCTTATTTAACCAAAAGTTTCTGGTTGAGCTATGAAAATATCTGTGTAAGGAGAAAGCTTATGTGAAAGAGAATATATAATGTCTACCAAATACACTCTTTTCTATTTTCTATCCCATTTGCAGTTAGGGGACAAGTGCCAGGTGATAAGATCTGGCCAATAATATAAAATTCAAAGGAATGCATGCCACTTCCAGTCAGAGGCAGTGAAAACTCTCTATGTGGTTTTTGGTTCTCTCTCTCACTATGCAATGAAGAAAGAGGCTGAACATTCCTGATGTTGCAGCTACAAGATGAGGGTCTTCATCAGTTCACATATGTGGGCAAACTTGCAGCAAAACTCTGCCACACTGCAATGGTCACATATGGTTTTGTTAGATCACTATAATTTGGGACTTATTTTGATATTGTATAGAATCAAACACTTCGAACTGGAGTAATCCTTGATAATATTCAAGCCAAGAAGTTCTTAAGTCTCTGTGTTGCATGGGAATTTTAAACATATGTTCAATTTAGTTTTCTGGAGAATCGTTAGTAATGATTAGGTTCTTAAAAGGAGTTCAGAGCCTACAATTAGCTAAATTTTATCAATGTGACCTAACCCCTCATTTTACAGACAATGAAAATGAGATTGGGATGTTGGTTTAGAAGGTGTGGCTGAGTTGCAGATCCCCTTCTTCTCAGTTCTATACCGTGCCTCATCACGGCCCATTCTGAGGAGTCCAACTGCATTAAACTCACAGCCCTGATGGAGCCAGCTGTTGTTTTCTACTTCATAAACATACACACCCTTTTAGTAACTAGGGCCAGCATCACAACCTACTTATGTTCATACCCTTCTTCATCTCATCTGTTCAAGTACTCAAGCCAAAAATTTAGGATTTTGCTTTGATCTCTCACTTCACCCTTTCTCCCTCTGAGTAAACCTCTCCTACATATCATGAACTACCAAAAAATCCTGCTCTTCCTGTTTCCATTCACGACCTCTTTTGGACTTGTGAAAGAAAGCAGGAATAATGATCTTTTCAAAAAGTACATAGAACCTCTTAACGTCTTCTTACCACACTTAGAAAGAAATTTGTTCCCAGGTTGCATCACTGGTCTCATCCACCAGAAAATGCTTCCGTGGACATTTGCATGATAACATTCCTTATCATTCAGGTGTCTCCTCCAAGGTCATCTTTAAGAGCGGCCTTCTCTGATGACTTGGCCTGAAATACTCCTTCCCTCTACCACTTTCAACCCATTTACTCTATTTTCTTAACAGAAGGTAAAATAATTTTTAAATTTTATTATTCATTTCTAAGGGTCCATATTCCACTTATAGCATAGATTCTGTAAGACTAAGATGGTGTCTCTTGCTCAATGCCAAATCACAGTACCTAGAACACTAGCTGGTGCTTATGAGTGCTTAATACTTATTAAATCAGTCAACAAATGTTAATTTTCTAATCGTTATCCAAGGTGTTGCCTTGCTCAGAATTTCTTTCATTTTTTTCTTGTATTAGTTAAGCATTACCCATCTTTGAAGGTTTAGGACCATCATGATGGAGCTCCTCCACCTGCCCTCCTGATATAGTTAGTCCCTCTTCTGATACCTACGATAGTTTCAGTTATAAGGTAGACCTGTACTCTTGACAGTTGAGACAGTATTACTTGTGAGAAAACACTTTGCCCTAGAATTCAGAAGACTCAGCCACATCTACTTTTGATTCTAATAGTATTGAGATATAGCCTTGGATAAGTCATATAACTTCGCTAAATCTCAGTTTTCTAACCTTGGAAATGAGAAAGACAAAAATGATAAATAATGATGATACTTCCTTTGAAGCTGCCCACTCCATCTGTGTTTTATGTAATACTCAAGTTCAAGGGCATACTTCATGTTTATGTACACTGTAAAACATAATGCCAATGCAAAGTACTATGATTATTACTGTTGTTATGTATTGTGTGAAGGTATAGTTTATCTCCCTGACTCAGTTTTCTGGGTGCTTTCTATTAGCACTAGTAATAGTGCCAATAGGAACACCTAGGAATGAACCCTTTCAGCTTTTACAGCATTTGTTCCAAGAACATTATAAGGGTGTTTTGAGGGCTGTTGTTAAGTTAAAATACCATTGCTTTTGCTATACCCGCATTTTATGTAAATCAGAGAACTTTTTTCCTACCATGAGAATATTATATCATTTAGCAAAAATGGAATCCCATAGAGCCCAAAATTTAAAACCTTTCATCAATTTTCTGCTAATATCCATTGGTATCAACTAATAACTTTACTCCACTAGTTGTAGAAACTATGCTTTTCTCCCTTTAATTGGCCAATGTCTACAAAGAAATTAGCTGATTTTATTATACATTTTTTTTCACTTGAGGTAATTTTGTAACAACCCTTAATTTAATCCTATCTATGTATGCTATATAAGTGTGTGTATCATGGTTACACAACAGGCTGCAAAAGAACTGCTTCAGAAACATATTGAACAAACTAAGCAATGAAAACTTGCTAATGCACTGTGAGTCACATACTGTGCAAGAGCAGTAAATTGCTTCCTTGGTGGTTTTGACAACATTGCCTCTGTACATAATTGAATGTCATTCATTTATATGTTTGCAAATAAGGTCCCAGTGACATTACACCTGGGAGTGTGCACACTTGGTCATCTGTTTATGACGGAGGAGCCAGACATATGGCCTGTGGACTCGGTTTGGCCCAGAGCTGTTGCAAAGTCCTCCTACCAGTTTTCAGCCAGTCAGCCCCGTCACTGTGAATCAGCTCTGTCAAAGGCAGTGCTTCCCATCAATTAAGGAGGGGAAATGCAGCTTACCCAACTGCCAGTTTGCCAGGGCCTCAGTCCTGAGATGGCAAAAATACTTGAAACTGCAAGAGAATGTCACATGCTATGTAAATAAAAGACAGGAGATAAGACAAGGAGAAAGAGAAATGTTACCATTAAACTTGCAAAAGGGAGAGTCTAGAAAAAAAACCTACTGCATGGAAGTGATTAAGTATGAGTTTTAATACTTACTGTGCTCTAAAGGGTTTGTGTGATATTAGGCAAGTCTCTTTTACCACATCAGCCTTAGTTTTCCTCTCTGTAAAGGAGCTGAATACATTTTTCAACATTTTTTTCTCAGTCAGAAGTATTTTCATCTTTTCTAACTACAAATTCGAAAAAAATTATTAAACAAACTATGTCTATTAATTTGTTTTCCAACTACTATAAAGACATCTACAACTACCAAACCACAGTTACTGATCAGCATGATTATTAACATGTTGGGTTGGTATAATTTCAGCAACAAAGATGTCATTTAACTTTCCGCATAGCCTTGGAATATTTAAATACCTTAGAACTATCTGTAATGCTCCATGGATTTATAATCTTCCTGTGAAAATGCTATGTTTAGTTTTTATTTCAAAAATAGTTAATAAATACTGAGCCAGGCACTGGCATTATTAGGTACTGAGGTAACAAAAACTGTTCTTGATGCATTTCCAAAGTGGTAGAGAAATTGGTAAAGAAAAATCAAATTCAGCAAAAATAGGAAATACAATAATAGACCTACAAATAAAATCTGGGATCATGAGAAGGCCTATCAATATCCTCATTGAAAGAAAAGAGCCACAATAACAAAACCCTATTTGTAGAGACTCACCTAAAAGGAGGAGCCATCTGGCCATACTGCTTACCAGACGTGTGCTCTATGGAATCAAAGCCCTGGAGACACTCATTCAAAAATAGGCTCCCAGACTTAATTTTGCTTGACAAACACAATATTTTCTGTCTCACTCTTAAAGATTTACAATGCATATTTGCATATTAAAGGCTCTAAGAAGTCCCAAAGGCAAAGAAACACATCTAACTTGGCTTGATATAAATTTTCTGAAATATTTGACCAAAGAATCTACTTTTGCAGAATAAAAAATAGTAGCTTAGTTTAGGACACTCTAAATATGGCTTTTGGAATAAACAAGACCATAGCAGAGCCATGTTTTATGATCACATTGTTTTGTGGCCCATTGCCAGTTCCTACCTAGAAAACTTCAAGACCTACAAGACAGGTATTATCAAGCTGCACTGTGGCAGTCTACATGAACATTTACAAAGAAAAACCTCAATGAAATGCATTGAGTTGCTATAAAGATAGCATTAAAGTTGCTGCTCAAACATCACTCAATAGAGACACAGAATAGATTTTTTTATTTAGGTACTCATGCCAGGAATAATGTGTACCTCCCGAATAATTTGTTTGTTTTCTATCATGTTAACACCATGATTTAACTGGTCAATGTTGGCAGAAAAGATCAGAGTCCATTTTATGACTCACAGCAAATGTAGAGAATTCTATATGCATGTCTTGTGTATTAATGTTACTCTTGATTTCATTGTACTTTTTCTACTTTATTTTTCCTTTGCCCTAATTTTCTTATTTTTGAAATGTATCAACACTATAAATGAATATCATTTTAAGAATTCAAACAATTTAAAATCAATTAAAAATTCCACTTTTACCCTTCTCTACTTTGTCAAACCTCTCCTGCCTAACTGTATGCCTATTACAGATAGTTTTGATGTTTCTTACAGTGTCTGTTTATAAAAAGAAAAATATATTATATATATAATTTTGAATAGACTTTATTTTTTAGAGAAGTTTTAGTTTTATAGGAAAATTGAACAGAAAATACCAAGAGTTCCCTTGTAGCCCCTCCTGCCCCACATGCTCAGCCTCCCCCATTATCAACAGTCCTCACCAGAGTGATACTTTTGTTACAGTTGATAAACCTATATTGAGACATCATCATTACCCACATTTCCTACTTTATGCTGGGGTTCACTCTCGGTGATGTACATTCTGTGGGTTTGGACACATGTATAATGACATGTACCACCATTGTAATATCACAGAGTAGTTTCACCTCCACAAATATCCTTTGTGCTCTGCCTATTGATCCCTCTCTCCCCCTAACCCTGGCAACTACCAATCAATTATTTTACTGTCTCCATCTTTTGTCTTTTCCAGCATGTCTAATAGTTGTAGTCACATAGTATATATCCTTTCAGATTGGCTTCTTTTACTTAGTAATGTGCATTTAAGTTTCCTCTAGATGTTTTCATGGCTTGATGGCTTCTTTCTTTCTTTTTAAAGCACTGAATAATATTTCACTGTCCTGATGTACCAAGTTTATCCATTCACCTACTGAAGGACATCTTGGTTGTTCTATGTTTTGGCAAGTATGAATAAAGCTGCTATAAATGTTTATGTGCCAGTTTTTGTGTGGACATAAATTTTCAGTTTATTAGGGTAAACACCAAGGAGTGTGATCGCTGGAGAGTATGGTCAAAGTATGCTTAGTTTGGTAAGTGGCTGTACCATTTTACATCCCCATGAGCAATGGATAAAATTTCTTGGTGCTCTACATTTTCCACAGCATGTTCTGGATTTTGACCACTCTAATTGGTAGGTAGTGGTATCTCGTTGTTTTAACTCACATTTCCCTGGTGACATATGATGTAGAAGAGAATCTTTTTGGTAGTTTATTTCACAGCTGTTTTATATATATACAATGTTAATTTGTTAATGAGATCTTAGTCTATGTTTTATTTTTTAAGTTTCTTTGTCAGTCTGGGAATTTTTTTATGGATGGGGTCTTGCTATGTTGTCCAGACTGGTCTTGAACTCCTTGCCTCAAGCCATCTTCCCACCTCAGCCTCCCGAGTAGCTGAGACTACAATCATGCACCACCACACCTGGCTAATTAAGTCATCTTCTAATGAATGTATAATATCAATATAATAAGTAAAACAGTATTTAACCATTCCAATATTGATATTATACAGTTTTCTTCTATTAAAACAAGGATACGGTGGAGCCAAGATGGCCGAATAGGAGCAGCTCCGGTCTACAGCTCCCAGCATGAGCGACACAGAAGATGGGTGATTTCTGCATTTCCATCTGAGGTACCGGGTTCATCTCACTAGGGAATGCCAGACAGTGGGTGCAGGACAGTGGGTGCAGTGCACCGTGCGTGAGCTGAAGCAGGGCAAGGCATTGCCTCATTCGGGAAGCACAAGGGGTCAGGGAGTTCCCTTTCCTAGTCAAAGAAAGGGGTGACAGACGGCAACTGGAAAATCGGGTCACTCCCACCCTAATACTGCCCTTTTCCAATGGGCTTAAAAATCGGCATACCAGGAGATTATATCCCGCATCTGGCTCGGAGGGTCCTACACCCATGGAGTCTCGCTGATTGCTAGCACAGCAGTCTGAGATCAAACTGCAAGGGGGCAGCAAGGCGGGGGAAGGGCGCCTGCCATTGCCCAGGCTTGATTAGGTAAACAAAGCAGCCTGGAAGCTCAAACTGGGTAGAGCCCACCACAGCTCAAGGAGGCCTGCCTGCCTTTGTAGGCTCCACCTCTGGGGGCAGGGCACAGACGAACAAAAAGACAGCAGTAACCTCTGCAGACTTAAATGTCCCTGTCTGACAGCTTTGAAGAGAGCAGTGTTTCTCCCAGCACGCAGCTGGAGATCTGAGAACGGGCAGACTGCCTCCTCAAGTGGGTCCCTGAGCCCCGAGCAGCCTAAATGGGAGGCACCCCCCAGTAGGGGCAGACTGACACCTCACACGGCCGGGTACTCCTCTGAGACAAAACCTCCAAAGGAATGATCAGGCAGCAGCATTTGCGGATCACCAATATCCGCTGTTCTACAGCCACTGCTGTTCTGCAGTCACCGCTGCTGATACCCAGGCAAACAGGGTCTGGAGTGACCTCTAGCAAACTCCAACAGACCTGCAGCTGAGGTCCTGTCTGTTAGAAGGAAAACTAACAAACAGAAAGGACATCCACACCAAAAACCCATCTGTACGTCACCATCATCAAAGACCAAAAGTAGATAAAACCACAAAGATGGGGAAAAAACAGAGCAGAAAAACTGGAAACTCTAAAAAGCAGAGCACCTCTCCTCCTCCCAAGGAATGCAGCTCCTCACCAGCAACAGAACAAAGCTGGATGGAGAATGACTTTGATGAGTTGAGAGAAGAAGGCTTCAGATGATCAAACTACTCTGAGCTACAGGAGGAAATTCAAACCAATGGCAAAGAAGTTAAAAACTTTGAAAAAAAATTAGACGAATGGATAACTAGAATAACCAATGCAGAGAAGTCCTTAAAGGACTTGATGGAGCTGAAAGCCAAGGCTCGAGAACTACGTGAATAATGCAGAAGCCTCAGAAGCCAATGCGATCAACGGGAAGAATGGGTATCAGCGATGGAAGATGAAATGAATGAAATGAAGCGAGAAGGGAAGTTTAGAGAAAAAAGAATAAAAAGAAAAGAACAAACCCTCCAAGAAATATGGGACTATGTGAAAAGACCAAATCTATGTCTGATTGGTGTACCTGAAAGTGATGGGGAGAATGGAACCAAGTTGGAAAACACTCTGCAGGATATTATCCAGGAGAACTTTCCCAATCTGGCAAGGCAGGCCAACATTCAGATTCAGGAAATACAGAGAACACCACAAAGATACTCCTCGAGAAGAGCAACTCCAAGACACATAATTATCAGATTCACCAAAGTTGAAATGAAGGAAAAAATGTTAAGGGCAGCCAGAGAGAAAGGTTGGGTTACCCACAAAGGGAAGCACATCAGACTAACAGCGGATCTCTCGGCAGAAACTCTACAAGCCAGAAGAGAGTGGGGATCAATATTCAACATTCTTAAAGAAAAGAATTTTCAACCCAGAATCTCATATCCAGCCAAACTAAGCTTCATAAGTGAAGGAGAAATAAAATACTTTACAGACAAGCAAATGCTGAGAGATTTTGCCACCACCAGGCCTGCCCTAAAAGAGCTCCTGAAGGAAGCACTAAACATGGAAAGGAACAAACGGTACCAGCCACTGCAAAAACATGCCAAAATGTAAAGACCATCAAGGCTAGGAAGAAACTGCATCAACTAACAAGCAAAATAACCAGCTAACATCATAATGACAGGATCAAATTCACACATAATAATATTAACTTTAAATGTAAATGGGCTAAATGCTCCAATTAAAAGATACAGACTGGCAAATTGGATAAAGAGTCAAGACCCATCAGTGTGCTGTATTCAGGAAACCCATCTCACGTGCAGAGACACACATAGGCTCAAAATAAAAGGATGGAGGAAGATCTACCAAGCAAATGGAAAACAAAAAAAGGCAGGGGTTGCAATCCTAGTCTCTGATAAAACAGACTTTAAACCAACAAAGATCAAAAGAGACAAAGAAGGCCATTACATAATGGTAAAGGGATCAATTCAACAAGAAGAGCTAACTATCCTAAATATATATGCACCCAATACAGGAGCACCCAAATTCATAAAGCAAGTCCTGAGTGACCTACAAAGAGACTTAGACTCCCACACAATAATAATGGGAGACTTTAACACGCCACTGTCAACATTAGACAGATCAACGAGACTGAAAGTTAACAAGGATACCCAGGAATTGAACTCAGCTCTGCACCAAGAAGACCTAATAAACATCTACAGAACTCTCCACCCCAAATAAAGAGGATATACATTTTTTTCAGCACCACACCACACCTATTCCAAAACTGACCACATACTGGGAAGTAAAGCTCTCCTCAGCAAATGTAAAAGAACACAAATTATAACAAACTGTCTCTCAGACCACACTGCAATCAAACTAGAACTCAGGATTAAGAAACTCACTCAAAACCGCTCAACTACATGGAAACTGAACAACCTGCTCCTGAGTGACTACTGGGTACATAACAAAATGAAGGCAGAAATAAAGATGGTCTTTGAAACCAACGAGAACAAAGACAAAACATACCAGAATCTCTGGGACACATTCAAAGCAGTGTGTAGAGGGAAATTTATAGCAGTAAATGCCCACAAGAGAAAGCAGGAAAGATCCAAAATTGATACCCTAACATCACAATTAAAAGAATTAGAAAAGCAAGAGCAAACACATTCGAAAGCTAGCAGAAGGCAAGAAATAACTAAAATCAGAGCAGAACTGAAGGAAATAGAGACACAAAAAAACCCTTCAAAAATTAATGAATCTAGGAGCTGGTTTTTTGAAAAGATCAACAAAATTGATAGACCACTAGCAAGAGTAATAAAGAAGAAAAGAGAGAAGAATCAAATAGACGCAATAAAAAATGATAAAGAAGATATCACCACCAATCCCACAGAAATACAAACTATCATCAGAGAATACTACAAACACCTCTACCCAAATAAACTAGAAAATCTAGAAGAAATGGATAAATTCCTCGACACATACACTCTCCCAAGACTAAACCAGGAAGAAGTTGAATCTCTGAATAGACCAGTAACAGGCTCTGAAATTGTGGCAATAATCAATAGCTTACCAACCAAAAAGAGTCTGGGACCAGATGGATTCACAGCCGAATTCTACCAGAGGTACAAGGAGGAACTGGTACCATTCCTTCTGAAACTATTCCAATCAATAGAAAAAGAGGGAATCCTCCCTAACTCATTTTATGAGGCCAGCATCATCCTGATACCAAAGCCTGGCAGGGACACAACCAAAAAAGAGAATTTTAGACCAATATCCTTGATGAACATTGATGCAAAAATCCTCAAGAAAATACTGGCAAACCAAATCCAGCAGCACATCAAAAAGCTTATCCACCATGAACAAGTGGGCTTCATCCCTGAGATGCAAGGCTGATTCAACATATGCAAATCAATAAATGTAATCCAGCATATAAACAGAACCAAAGACAAAAACCACATGATTATCTCAATAGATGCAGAAAAAGCCTTTGACAAAATTCAACAACCCTTCATGCTAAAAACTCTCAATAAATTAAGTATTGATGGGACGTATCTCAAAATAATAAGAGCTATCTATGACAAACCCACAGCCAATATCATACTGAATGGGCAAAAACTGGAAGCATTCCCTTTGAAAGCTGGCACAACACAGGGATGCCCTCTCTCACCACTCCTATTCAACATAGTGTTGGAAGTTCTGGCCAGGGCGATTAGGCAGGAGAAGGAAATAAAGGGTATTCAGTTAGGAAAAGGGGAAGTCAAATTGTCCCTCTTTGCAGATGGCATGATTGTATATCTAGCAGACCCCATTGTCTCAGCCCAAAATCTCCTTAAGCTGATAAGCAACTTCAGCAAAGTCTCAGGATACAAAATCAATGTGCAAAAATCACAAGCATTCTTATACACCAATAACAGACAAACAGAGAGTCAAATCATGAGTGAACTCCCATTCACAATTGCTTCAAAAAGAATAAAATACCTAGGAATCCAACTTACAAGGGATGTGAAGGACCTCTTCAGGGAGAACTACAAACCACTGCTCAAGGAAATAAAAGAGGATACAAACAAATGGAAGAAAATTCCATGCTCATGGGTAGGAGGAATTAATATCGTGAAAATGGCCATACTGCCCAAGGTAATTTATAGATTCAATGCCATCCCCATCAAGCTACCAATGACTTTCTTCACAGAATTGGAAAAAACTACTTTAAAGTTCATATGGAACCAAAAAAGAGCCCGCATCACCAAGTCAATCCTAAGCCAAAAGAACAAAGCTGGAGGCATCACGCTACCTGACTTCAAACTATACTACAAGGCTACAGTAACCAAAACAGCATGGTACTGGTATCAAAACAGAGATATTGATCAATGGAACAGAACAGAGCCCTCAGAAATAATGCCGCATATCTACAACCATCTGATCTTTGAAAAACCTGACAAAAACAAGCAATGGGGAAAGGATTCCCTATTTAATAAATGGTGCTGGGAAAACTGGCTAGTCACATGTAGAAAGCTGAAACTGGATCCTTTCCTAACACCTTATACAAAAATCAGTTGAAGATGGATTAAAGACTTACATGTTAGACCTAAAACCATAAAAACCCTAGAAGGTAACTTAGGCAATACCATTCAGGACATAAGCATGGGCAAGGACTTCATGTCTAAAAGACCAAAAGCAATGGTAACAAAAGCCAAAATCAACAAATGGGATCTAATTAAACTAAAGAGCTTCTGCACAGCAAAAGAAACTACCATCAGAGTGAACAGGCAACCTATAAACTGGGAGAAAATTTTTGCAACCTACTCATCTGACAAAGGTCTAATATCCAGAATCTACAATGAACTCAAACAAATTTACAAGAAAAAGACAAACCACCCCATCAAACAGTGGGAGAAGGACATGAACAGACACTTCTCAAAAGAAGACATTTATGCAGCCAAAAAACACATGAAAAAATGCTCATCATCACTGGCCATCAGAGAAATGCAAATCAAAACCACAATGAGATACCATCTCACACCAGTTAGAATGGCAATCATTAAAAAGTCAGTAAAAAACAGGTGCTGGAGAGGATGTGGAGAAATAGGAACACTTTTACACTGTTGGTGGGACTGTAAACTAGTTCAACCATTGTAGAAGTCAGTGTGGCGATTCCTCAGGGATCTAGAACTAGAAATACCATTTGACCTAGCCATCCCATTACTGGGTATATCCCCAAAGGATTATAAATCATGCTGCTATAAAGACGCATGCACACGTGTTTATTGCGGCACTATTCACAATAGCAAAGACTTGGAACCAACCCAAATGTCCAACAACAATAGACTGGATTAAGAAAACGTGGCACATATACACCATGGAATACTATGCAGCCATAAAAAATGATGAGTTCATGTCCTTTGTAGGGACATGGATGAAACTGGAAACCATCATTCTCAGCAAACTACTGCAAGGACAAAAAACCAAACACTGCATGTTCTCACTCATAGATGGGAATTGAACAGTGAGAACACATGGACACAGGAAGGGGAATATCACACGTCAGGGACTGTTGTGCGGTAGGGGAAGGGGGGAAAAATAACATTAGGAGATATACCTAATGCTAAATGACGAGTTAATGAGTGCAGCACACCAACATAGCACATCTATACATATGTAACAAACCTGCACATTGTGCACATGTACCCTAAAACTTAAAGTATAATAATAATAAAATAAAAATAAAATTAAAAAAAAAGAAAGAAAGAAAAAGAAAAGTCATGTTCTTGCATCCAGGAATTCCACTTCTAGGAATCTGTCCTAAGGAAATCATCACATGTATCATCAAAGACTTACAAAGATATTCATCACACTTATTTATAATAGTGTAGAAAATGGAAAAGCATATAAATGTATAAATGTTCGTTAATAATAGTTAAAATTGAAAAAAATAAAAAAATAAAAAATAAAAAATAAAATAAAACAAGGATACACCAGACATGCTTCTGTATATATATTTTGCACAAATACATTAATTCACTTAGCAAGTATTAATTGATGCCAATTTTCTTGCTGATAGGTTATAGGTTTTTTTGTGATCATATGTTTTTCTATAGGTTATTTTATAGTTTATAGGTTTTTTATAGGTTATAGTTGATGGGTTTGTTTTTTTTTTTTTTGTGATTCATCAGTGAACAAAAGAGTCAAAGATTTTTGTACTCCTGAATCTCAAAATGTAATGACCGGGATAGGTAATAAAATGATAAATAGTAAAAAGTAAACTATGTAGTATTATAATGTGACACATTCTATGAAAAAAGAAAAAGCAGAGCAAAGTAAATGGGTGCAGAAGTGTAGGGAGTGGGAGTGTATGTTCCAGTTTTAAATAAGATGATTAGGGCCTGTCTTACTGAAAAAGACTTGAGCAAATACTTGAATGAGATAAGGGAAAGTTAACCACATTATAGAAGTTCATTTTCAGGATAGAAACAACAAGCACAAAAGCCTTCAGTTGGGAAGGTGGAGGGAGAGCAGCAGACAGTTGTAGCTGGAGCAGAGTGATCAATGAGGACAACAATGGTCCAGAAGATCAGAGAGGTCTGGGCTGTGGGGGCGGGTAGGTTATGTAAGACCCTGTCAGGCACATGCGAACTTAGGGTTTACTCTGAGTGACATGAGGGGTGGGGTGGGGGAAAACCAGTGAGGATTTCAGAATAGGAGGCGCAAGACCTGGCTTCTGTTTTAAAAGGTTGTTTCTGACTGCCATGCTGGGAATAGATTGTGTAGGGTGAGAGGACACATGCAGGAAGATCAGGTAAAAGGCCATCATAGAAATTCAGGAAATAAATAGTGGGGCACAGATCAGATTTACGGAGATGGAAGATGAAAAATGTGGTCAGGTTGGGAAACAAGTAATAACTTGTTTACATGCTGATGAGAATGATCCAGTAGGAAAAGGGGAGAAAATGGTGTTAAAGGAGAGACAAGGAAATTGCTGGAAAATGTTCTTTGCTAAGTAAAAGCTGCTGGAATGTAGTGCACGTGGGAAGAAACTGACTTTAGATAGTAGTTCAGATAGTTCACCTGGGGCAACAAGATGGGCAGCAGGGAGTGTGGGTTTGTAAACGGTGTGGGGGCAGACGTGGTGATGGGAATCTGTGATGTTTTCTTTTAATCATTTGAATATTCTTCATGAAATCAGATGTACAGTGATCACTTGAGAGTAAGGACAGGGAGGAGGTGTTTTACATATAAGAAAGCAGAAAAAGGTGTGAAATTGAAACAGGATAGTGAAGGAATTAAAGGAATGGGAAACACTGTAATTGCCTGACTAGCATTAACAGATCTCTATGAGGTTTGTGGTTACGAATTTAAGATGAGAAATGATGGTTGTGTATTGATCTCTACCTATGTTTAGCTGCAGAATTATAGACATAGAGAATGGTGATCTGGATTTAACCAAGTTGTGGTTTTTCCAAACAAGTCAAAGCAATAAGAGGGAGGCAGGCAGTTAAGGATGTATATGTGGAAGTGATTGTTAAGGATTTCCCATGGAATTTAACTTGAGTTATGAGAAGTTAGATTAGAAGATCAAAGGGTTGAGGCATAATGAAAAGTTGATTGAATCAATTGATTGGAGATCCCAGTGGGATTAAAGAATTTTTGTTGTCTGGAACTAGAGAAAGTAAACTGGAAAGACAGATGGTGGAAATCAGAGAGAGGGACAAATGTACAAAAAGGGAGAGAGAGGAGGTGTAATAGGAAATTAGATGAGGTTGAAGCAGCAGCCAGGATCCCAATCCAAATGTCTGAAATGTGTTTGCCTAAGTGTATATTATGTATGTGTGTGTATAAGACACACAAAAGAGGAATTGCTGTATCAATCAAATCAATCATAAGATATATCCACTTCCAAACATTTTAATAGATTCCATGTATCCTTTAATAATATTGCAATTTATACCATCATAAACAATGTGTAATATTTATCATTTCTTCAGATACATGCCAAAATTAAATTAGTGCTGATCTATATAAATTTACCCTATTTAAGGGGCAAAGTTATTGCAGGTTATTTAAATAAGTATTTTTAAAGGTTTATAGGACATTTTTATATCATTTATGTTGAATATTTAGAGTTTTGCTTATTATTTTATGTGTTTGCATTTTAAATTATATTGACTTCTAGAGGTTCTGTATTTGATGTGTGTATTAAACATTTATTTAACACATATGTTAAAAGTATACTCTTTTGCTCTGTGCTCTGTCACTTCTATTGTAGTTTAGTTTGTGCTGCCTTTCCCTACACAGGCATACCTTGCAGAAGCTGCAAATTTGGATCCAGATCACCGCAATAGAGCAAATATCACAATAAAGCAGGTCACATGATTCTTTTGATTTTCCAGTGCATATAAAAGTTATGTTTATGCTATACTATAGTCTATTAATTATGTAATAGTATTATTTCTAAAAAATAACCTGCATACCTTAATGAAAATGTTTTATTAAGAAATGTTAATGATCACTTTCGCTTTCAAGCCAGTCTTCATCTGTTTGCTGATGGAGGACCTTGCCTTGACAATGATAGCTACTGACTGATCAGGGTGGTGGTTGCTGAAGGATGGGGTGGCTGTGGCAATTTCTAAAATAAGACAACAATGAAGTCTGCCACATCTACTGACTCTTCCTTTCATGAAAGATTTCTCCATAGCAGGTGATGCTGTTTGATAGCATTTTACCTACAGTAGAACCTCTTTCAAAATTCGAGTCAAATTTTTCAAATTCTGATGCTGCTGATAAAGTTTATCAAATATTCTAGAATTTTGTTATCATTTCAATAATGTTCACAGCATCTTCACCAGGAATAGATTCCATTTCAATAAACTTATTTCTTTGCTCATCCATAAGAAGCAACTCCTTATTTGCTAAAGTTTTATCATGAGACTGTAGTGATTCAGTCACATCTTCAGGCTTTACTTCTTTTTTTTTTTTTTTAATTTTACTTTAAGTTCCTGGATACACGCGCAGAAAGTGCAGGATTGTTTACATAAGTATACATGTGCCATGATGGTTTCCTGCACCTATTAACCTGTCATCTAGGTTTTAAGCCCCACATGCATTAGGTATTGGTCCTAATACTCTCCCTCCTATTACTTCCCATCCCCTAACAGGCTCCGGTGCGTGTCCTTCCCCTCCCAGGCAGGCTTTACTTCTAATTCTAGTTCTCCTGCTGTTTCCACAACATCTGCAGGGATTTTCTCCACTGAAATCTAAAACCCCTCAAAGTAATCTATGAGGGTTGGAATTAACTTCTTCCAGATTTCTGTTAATGTTGATTTTTGACCTGTTCTCATGAATCACAAATGTTCTTAATGACTTCTAGAATGGTAAACCCTTTCCAGAAGGCTTTCAATGTACCTTGCCCAGATCCATTGGGGAAATCACTATCTATGGCAAATATAGCATTATGAAATATATTTCTTAAGTAATAAGACTTGAAAGTAAAAATTACTCTTTGATCCATGGGCTGCACAATTGATGTTTTATTAGCAGGCATGAAAACATTAATTTCCTTGTACCTCTCCGTCAGAGCTCTTGGGTGATTAAGTTATTGTCAATGTGCAATAATATTTTGAAAGAAATCTTTTTTCTGAGCAGTAGGTCTTAACACTGGGCTTAAAATATTTGTATACCGTGCTATCATCTAGGCTTTGTCATTCCATTTATAGAGCATAGGCAGAGTAGATTTTGCACAATTCTGAAGGGTCCTAGGGATTTTGGAATGGCAAATAAGTATTGGCTTCAATTAGAAGTTACTAGCTGCATTAGCCCCTAAGAATCACATCAGCCTGTCCTCTGAAGCTTTGAAACCAGACATTGACTTCTCTCTTACTATGAAAGTCCTAGATGATATCTTCTTTCAATATAGGTTGTTTTGTCTACATTGAAAATCTGTTGCTTAATGTAGCCATCTTCATCAGTTATCTTAGCTAGATCTTCTGGATAACTCACTCCTGCTTCTACACTAGCACTTGCTGTTTCACCTTGCACTTTTATATTACAGATACAGCTTCTTTTCTTAAACCTTATGAGCCAACCTCTGCTAGCTTCAAACTTTTCTTCCAAAGCTTCCTCACCTCTCTCAACCTTCACAGAATTGAAGACAGTTAGGGCTTTGCTCTGGATTAGGCTTTGGCTTAGGAGAATGTTGTGGCTGGCTTGGTATTCTATCCGGATCACTAAAACTTTCTCCATATCATGAATAAGCCTGTTTTGCTTCCTTACCATTGATGTGTTCATTGGAGTAGCACTTTTAATTTCCTTCAAGAATTTTTTCTCTGCACTCATATCTTTGCTAAATGTTTGGCACAAGAGGCCTAGCTTTTAGCCTATCTCAACTTCAACATGCCTTCTTCATTAGTCTTTTCACCTGAACATTTAGAGGGCCACGTAGGATTATTAATTGACCTAGTTTCCATATTGTTGTGTCTTAGGGAGTAGGGTGGCCTGAGGAGGGGAAGGAAGATGGGGAATGGCCAGTCTTTGGAGTAGTCAGAACATACACATTTATCAATTAAGTTTGCCATCTTATATGGGCATGAGTTGTGATGCCTCAAAGCAATTACCATACTAACATGGAAAATCACTGATCACAGAACACCATAACAGATATAATAATAATTTAAAAGTTTGAAATACTGTGAGAATTACCAAATGTGACACAGAGACAGAAAGTGAGCACAGGCTTTTGGGAAAATGGTGCTGATGGACTTGCTGGATGCAAGCTTGCCACAAAACTTCAATTTCTAAAAAAATTCTGTGAAGTGCAATAAAGCAAAGCATAAAACAAAGTATGCCTGTATTAGCAATTAAAGTTTGTGTATAGTCAACTATGTTAATCTTGTTTCATAGTTTCTTAATTTTCTATATGCTTAAGAGATTTCCTCCTAAGATATATATGTATTATTCTACATTTTCTTCAAATTTGTTTATAATTTTTCTTTAACACATTTTCCCATTTTTTTTCTAATTATACTGGCAATTTTATAACACCTTTAATTTTAGGAATGAGATGTGGAAATGAATAAATGATAGCAATGAACCTTTAGACATTTCTTACAATGTGCCAGGTGCTGTTCTAAGGCCTTTACTTGTACTAACTGATTTAAGGTTTATAACAACCCTAAGAGGTAGGTGCTATAATTTGCCTCATTTCACAGATGAGGAAACTGGTGTATAGGAAGGTTTAGTAACTTTCCCAAGGTCAAAAGACTGGTGAATTTTCATCCTGTATTCAAACCCAGGAAGTCTGGCTCCCAAGTCACTACATTATATGCTACTGTCTGGTAAGCTATTAAATTATGCCCCTAAAGTATGGGAAGTTATGCTGAAATTGATATTTCAACTGATCTTCAACAGTGTATTGAGAAATAAATAGAACTGTGATGAAAGGAAGTGGAAATAAGAGCCTATACCATAACACGGCACTGTAAGTTGGTGATATTTTCTAGATATGGAGAAAAGATCATTGTCACAGGTGTATCAGATACATGGGGTGGAGACTGGGAGCTGAGATAAAAAAGGAAGGTTTTCAGTAATGGGTTTGGTCAGGATTTTACCCTGAATGAGAAAGTAACAGTTTGACTGTTGTTGGAGTACAGTGTAGAAGTTAAGAACAGATTTTAATTCTGACTCTATTATGATCTAGCTCTCCAAAATCAGAATCTAACCTTTGGTAGAGTCATCTCATAAATCAAAATAAAAATCAAGGTTGGTTTAAAGATTTAAATATTATAATGAATGTTCAGCATTTAGCTAAAGTCTGGTCAAGTGATAGGCAGTACTCTCAACTGCCATTATTACTAGTCAAAGCAAGATTTGGTGAGATAGTGGACAATCTAGTCAGACAGATGAAAAAAAAAACCTTTAAGTGGTAGTAGGCACAGGTTTTGACTATCAGGCAAATTCAGAGAAGGAGGAAAAAAAACAAATAAGGATGACACTGATACTTTGAGGTTTCGAGACTATGTACTTAATGATGTAAACTGGGGGTCAAAATGAAGAAGAAGGAAGAAATTGAAGGACAAAGTGGGCTGGGCATAGTGGCTCATGCCTGTAATCCCAGCACTTTGGGAGGCCAAGGTGGGCAGATCACCTGAGGTCAGGAGTTCGAGACCAGACTGGGCAACATGGTAAAACCCTGTCTCTACTAAAAATACACACACAAAATAAAATTAACCAGGTGTGGTGGCAGTAGCCTGTAATCCCAGCTACTCAGGAGGCTGAGGCAGGAGAATCGCTTGAACCAGGAAGGCAGAGTTTGCAGTGAGCCAATATTGTACCACTGCATTCCAGCCTGGTTGACAGAGCAAGACTGCATCTCAAAAATAAATAAATAAATACGTAAATAAATAAAATATTAAAAAGAACAAAGTGCTCACTTTATTTTTAGAAACATCAAAGTGAGATACTTCAAGTCTAGCTATGAAGATATAGAATATATGTGTATGTATAGAAGTCTCTCTATATTCTGATTATCCCAATATTAACAAGACATAATAAAATCAGTTTATAAAATATTATATCTACTAAAATCTCTGTTAATCAATATCACCATGTTTTACCAGTAGAATAAAAAATTATAAAGTACATAACATTGACTCTGAGAAACTGTAATAGCTTAAAGTGCCTTCTGGATCCCCAGAGATTAAATTATATAGAGTATTATTTTACTGTTTAATGTATTTTATTGCATTCTAATTATATAAATGTATGTAAACCACAAAAGCTATGAGTATGAAGAAAATGCATTCTGGTTTCTGGAACGGTCTCAATTTTAAGATTATTTATCTGTTTAGTAAGCTGTGTATTTAAAAATAATAACATTTATTGAGTTCATCCACTGACTGTCAAGTATCTCTGTGTGTCCACAGCATAGGCAATGTTAACACAGAGCTGGTGATAGCAGGAGACGGATCTGCAGAGACAAGCAAGGGTAGCTTCATCAAGGCAACACCCATTTCTTGAAACAATGGCTGTCTCCAAACAAAGTCTCCACTGCTCTTTATTTGCCTCTGAAAAATATCTAGCTGATTATGCAAAAATGCCCTACTCTTTTGCTATGCTAGGTTAAATTAAATTTATTATGTTGTTATGTTTCCGTTTTTATTATTTCTGAATACTGATACAGTGTTTTTAGAAGCCAGATTAGAGTTTTTCAAATTAGAGTTTCAAAATGTTCTCCTAACCCGAGGAAATTAATTTTATGAGCGACTTAAGCATCTACACTCTAAAAAGACACCTGCTTTCTCATGGTAAATATATGACTTTAGGATAATTTAAAGAGCCTTTGAAAAGTTAAAAAAGATCAGCAAAATCTACTAATAAAAACAGACAAGATGCTCAGGGGATTCAAAGTAGGTTAAGCTATCAAAATATAAATGCCATTTGAGAGGGATTCTGGCACTAAATTTAGGATTTTAGCATTTTGACACTGATAAATCTTGCTGCAGGGTTCCTAAATCTGATGAGAACACCTGGTAGTGATGCCCAAATGCCTGAATTAAAATATAGTTTTGATATTTCAGTTATTAGATTAAAATCAGAAACCTTTAAACACACAATAATTTATGTAGGATCCTTTTTGTGGGAGACTTCTAAAGTAGAGATTGACTCAGTTTGACTCTGGAAAGCTTCTAAATTGAAGACTTTAAGTGTATATGCCTTGGCCATATGATGCAATTTTATTCCATATCAAATGGAGAAGTCAAAAAGTAGAGTATGATATCATGCTGTTAAGACATAATGAGAAGATTTAAAAATTCTTTTAAATAAACTCTTTAATGGAAATATTCAGAGAGGATAAAAATATTCAGGTGGTATGATTTGACCTTTAGAGTCACATAAGAAAGATGAGTTAAATTCATTATTTATCTAGGTATTGCCTATTATAAAATAATAGAGACTTCAAGTGCTTTATATATAACCATTAGAAAGATTCGTGCATAAGCCAGTCTCCATAACATAATTGAGTACTGCAAAAATATCTGTGAGCTGAGTAATCCAGATGATATACAACACTACTACAAAGCAATTTTAATTGACATAGAAAATAAAGGTATTTTAAGAACACTTTTATAACATAAGAGATGATAAACAGAAAGCCTCTCTTTCTCCAAAGCTTTGTTTCAGTGTTGCTCAGAACAGAATATTGGGTATGGATATAATGAATTTCCCTTTTATTAATATATCAGCATTTTTCAAAAAATTGTCTCATATTAAAGCCCATTAGAACAGCAAAAATAAATGTAAAAGAATCTTCAAACCTGCTGGGAGGAGCCAAGATGGCCGAATAGGAACAGCTCCGGTCTACAGCTCCCAGCATGAGCGACGCAGAAGACGGTGATTTCTGCATTTCCATCTGAGGTACCGGGTTCATCTCTCTAGGGAGTGCCAGACAGTGGGCGCAGGTCAGTGGGTGCGCGCACCGTGCGCGAGCCAAAGCAGGGCGAGGCATTGCCTCACTCGGGAAGCGCAAGGGGTCAGGGAGTTCCCTTTCCAAGTCAAAGAAAGGGGTGACTGACAGCACCTGGAAAATCGGGTCACTCCCATCCAAATACTGCGCTTTTCCGACAGGCTTAAAAAACGGCGGAGTTTATATCCCGCACGTGGCTGGGAGGGTACTATGCCCACGGAGTCTCGCTGATTGCTAGCACAGCAGTCTGAGATCAAACTGCAAGGCGGCAGTGAGGCTGGGGGAGGGGTGTCCGCCATTGCCCAGGCTTGCTTAGGTAAACAAAGCAGCCAGGAAGCTCCAACTGGGTGGAGCCCACCACAGCTCAAGGAGGCCTGCCTGCCTCTGTAGGCTCCACCTCTGGGGGCAGGGCACAGACAAACAAAAAGACAGCAGTAACCTCTGCAGACTTAAATGTCACTGTCTGACAGCTTTGAAGAGAGCAATGTTTCGCCCAGCACTCAGCTGGAGATCTGAGAACGGGCAGACTGCCTCCTCAAGTGGGTCCCTGACCCCTGACCCCTGACCCCTGAGCAGCCTAACTGGGAGGCACCCCTCAGCAGGGCAACACTGACACCTCAAACAGCAGGGTATACCAACAGACCTGCAGCTGAGGGTCCTGTCTGTTAGAAGGAAAACTAACAAACAGAAAGGACATCCACACCAAAAACCCATCTGTACGTCACCATCATCAAAGACCAAAAGTAGATAAAACCACAAAGATGGGGAAAAAACTGAACAGAAAATCTGGAAACTCTAAAAAGCAGAGTGCCTCTCCTCCTCCAAAGGAATGCAGTTCCGCACCAGCAACAGAACAAAGCTGGATGGAGAATGACTTTGACGAGCTGAGAGAAGAAGGCTTCAGATGATCAAATTACTCTGAGCTATGGGAGGACATTCAAACCAAAGGCAAAGAAGTTGAAAACTTTGAAAAAAATTTAGAAGAATGTATAACTAGAATAACAATACAGAGAAGTGCTTAAAGGACTTGATGGAGCTGAAAACCAAGGCTCGAGAACTACGTGAAGAATGCAGAAGCCTCAGGAGCCAATGTGATCAACTGGAAGAAAGGGTATCAGCGATGGAAGATGAAATGAATGAAATGAAGCGAGAAGGGAAGTTTAGAGAAAGAAGAATAAAAAGAAATGAGCCAAGCCTCCAAGAAATATGGGACTATGTGAAAAGACCAAATCTACGTCTGATTGGTGTACCTGAAAGTGATGGGGAGAATGGAACCAAGTTGGAAAACACTCTGCAGGATATTATCCAGGAGAACTTCCCCAATCTAACAAGGCAGGCCAACGTTCAGATTCAGGAAATACAGAGAACGCCACAAAGATACTCCTTGAGAAGAGCAACTCCGAGACACATAATTGTCAGATTCACCAAAGTTGAAATGAAGGAAAAAATGTTAACGGCAGCCAGAGAGAAAGGTTGGGTTACCCTCAAAGGGAAGCCCATCAGACTAACAGCGGATCTCTCGGCAGAAACCCTACAAGCCAGAAGAGAGTGGGGGCCAATATTCAACATTCTTAATGAAAAGAATTTTCAACCCAGAATTTCATATCCAGCGAAACTAAGCTTCATAAGTGAAGGAGAAATAAAATACTTTACAGACAAGCAAATGCTGAGAGATTTTGTCACCACCAGGCCTGCCCTAAAAGAGCTCCTGAAGGAAGCGCTAAACATGGAAAGGAACAACCGGTACCAGCCGCTGCAAAATCATGCCAAAATGTAAAGACCATCGAGACTAGGAAGAAACTGCATCAACTAACAAGCAAAATAACCAGCTAACATCATAATGACAGGATCAAATTCACACATAACAATATTAACTTTAAATGTAAATGGACTAAATGCTCCAATTAAAAGACACAGACTGGCAAATTGGATAAAGAGTCAAGACCCATCAGTGTGCTGTATTCAGGAAACCCATCTCACGTGCAGAGACACACATAGGCTCAAAATAAAAGGATGGAGGAAGATCTACCAAGCAAATGGACAACACAAAAAGGCAGGGGTTGCAATCCTAGTATCTGATAAAACACACTTTAAACCAACAAAGATCAAAAGAGACAAAGAAGGCCATTACATAATGGTAAAGGGATCAATTCAACAAGAAGAGCTAACTATCCTAAATATACATGCACCCAATACAGGAGCACCAAGATTCATAAAGCAAGTCCTGAGTGACCTACAAAGAGACTTAGACTCCCACACATTAATAATGGGAGACTTTAACACCCCACTGTCAACATTAGACAGATCAACGAGACAGAAAGTCAACAAGGATACCCAGGAATTGAACTCAGCTCTGCACCAAGCGGACCTAATAGACATGTACAGAACTCTCCACCCCAAATAAAGAGGATATACATTTTTTTCAGCACCACACCACACCTATTCCAAAACTGACCACATACTGGGAAGTAAAGCTCTCCTCAGCAAATGTAAAAGAACACAAATTATAACAAACTATCTCTCAGACCACAGTGCAATCAAACTAGAACTCAGGATTAAGAATCTCACTCAAAACCGCTCAACTACATGGAAACTGAACAACCTGCTCCTGAATGACTACTGGGTACATAACGAAATGAAGGCAGAAATAAAGATGTTCTTTGAAACCAACGAGAACAAAGACAAAACATACCAGAATCTCTGGGACGCATTCAAAGCAGTGTGTAGAGGGAAATTTATAGCACTAAATGCCCACAAGAGAAAGCAGGAAAGATCCAAAATTGACACCCTAACAACACAAATAAAAGAACTAGAAAAGCAAGAGCAAACACATTCAAAAGCTAGCAGAAGGCAAGAAATAACTAAGATCAGAGCAGAACTGAAGGAAATAGAGACACAAAAAACCCTTCAAAAAATTAATGAATCCAGGAGCTGGTTTTTTGAAAGGATCAACAAAATTGATAGACCGCTAGCAAGTCTAATAAAGAAAAAAAGAGAGACGAATCTAATAGATGCAATAAAAAATGATAAAGGGGATATCACCACCGATCCCACAGAAATACAAACTACCATCAGAGAATACTACAAACACCTCTACCCAAATAAACTAGAAAATCTAGAAGAAATGGATAAATTCCTCAACACAAACACTCTCCCAAGACTAAACCAGGAAGAAGTTGAATCTCTGAATAGACCAATAACAGGCTCTGAAATTGCGGCAATAATCAATAGCTTACCAACCAAAAAGAGTCTGGGACTAGATGGATTCACAGCTGAATTCTACCAGAGGTACAAGGAGGAACTGGTGGCATTCCTTCTGAAACTATTCCAATCAATAGAAAAAGAGGGAATCCTCCCTAACTCATTTTATGAGGCCAGCATCATTCTGATACCAAAGCCAGGCAGAGACACAACCAAAAAAGAGAATTTTAGACCAATATCCTTGATGAACATTGATGCAAAAATCCTCAAGAAAATACTGGCAAAACGAATCCAGCAGCACATCAAAAAGCTTATCCACCATGATCAAGTGGGCTTCATCCCTGGGATGCAAGGCTGGTTCAATATACGCAAATCAATAAATGTAATCCAGCATATAAACAGAGCCAAAGACAAAAACCACATGATTATCTCAATAGATGCAGAAAAAGCCTTTGACAAAATTCAACAACCTTCATGCTAAAAACTCTCAATAAATTAGGTATTGATGGGACGTATTTCAAAATAATAAGAGTTATCTATGACAAACCCACAGCCAATATCATACTGAATGGGCAAAAACTGGAAGCATTCCCTTTGAAAGCTGGCACAACACAGGGATGCCCTCTCTCACCACTCCTATTCAACATAGTGTTGGAAGTTCTGGCCAGGGCTATTAGGCAGGAGAAGGAAATAAAGGGTATTCAATTAGGAAAAGAGGAAGTCAAATTGTCCCTCTTTGCAGACGACATGATTGTATATCTAGAAAACCCCATTGTCCCAGCCCAAAATCTCCTTAAGCTGATAAGCAACTTCAGCAAAGTCTCAGGATACAAAATCAATGTACAAAAATCCAAGCATTCTTATACACCAACAACAGACAAACAGAGAGCCAAATCATGAGTGAACTCCCATTCACAATTGCTTCAAAGAGAATAAAATACCTAGGAATCCAACTTACAAGGGATGTGAAGGACCTCTTCAAGGAGACCTACAAACCACTGCTCAAGGAAATAAAAGAGGATACAAACAAATGGAAGAACATTCCATGCTCATGGGTAGGAAGAATCAATATCGTGAAAATGGCCATACTGCCCAAGGTAATTTACAGATTCAATGCCATCCCCATCAAGCTACCAATGCCTTTCTTCACAGAATTGGAAAAAACTACTTTAAAGTTCATATGGAACCAAAAAAGAGCCCGCATCGCCAAGGCAATCCTGAGCCAAAAGAACAAAGCTGGAGGCATCACACTACCTGACTTCAAACTATACTACATGGCTACAGTAACCAAAACAGCATGGTACTGGTACCAAAACAGAGATATAGATCAATGGAACAGAACAGAGCCCTCAGAAATAACGCCGCATATCTACAACTATCTGATCTTTGAAAAACCTGAGAAAAACAAGCAATGGAGAAAGGATTCCCTATTTAATAAATGGTGCTGGGAAAACTGGCTAGCCATATGTAGAAAGCTGAAACTGGATCCCTTCCTTACACCTTATACAAAAATCAATTCAAGATGGATTAAAGACTTAAACGTTAGACCTAAAACCATAAAAACCCTAGAAGAAAACCTAGGCATTACCATTCAGGACATAGGCATGGGCAAGGACTTCATGTCTAAAACACCAAAAGCAATGGCAACAAAAGACAAAATTGACAAATGGGATCTAATTAAACTAAAGAGCTTCTGTACAGCAAAAGAAACTACCATCAGAGTGAACAGGCAACCTACAAAATGGGAGAAAATTTTCGCAACCTACTCATCTGACAAAGGGCTAATATCCAGAATCTACAATGAACTCAAACAAATTTAGAAGAGAAAAACAAACAACCCCATCAAAAAGCAGGTGAAGGACATGAACAGACACTTCTCAAAAGAAGACATTTATGTAGCCAAAAAACACATGAAAAAATGCTCATCATCACTGGCCATCAGAGAAATGCAAATCAAAACCACAATGAGATACCATCTCACACCAGTTAGAATAGCAATCATTAAAAAGTCAGGAAACAACAGGTGCTGGAAAGGATGTGGAGAAATAGGAACACTTTTACACTGTTGGTGGGACTGTAAACTAGTTCAACCATGTGGAAGTCAGTGTGGCGATTCCTCAGGGATCTAGAACTGGGAATACCATTTGACCCAGCCATCCCATTACTGGGTATATACCCAAAGGACTATAAATCATGCTGCTATAAAGACACATGCACACGTATGTTTATTGCGGCATTATTCACAATAGCAAAGACTTGGAACCAACCCAAATGTCCAACAATGACAGACTGGATTAAGAAAATGTGGCACATATACACCATGGCATACTATGCAGCCATAAAAAATGATGAGTTCATGTCCTTTGTAGGGACATGGATGAAATTGGAAAACATCATTCTCAGTAAACTATCGCAAGAACAAAAAACCAAACACTGCATATTCTCACTCATAGGTGGGAATTGAACAGTGAGATCACATGGACACAAGAAGGGGAATATCACACTCTGGGGACTGTTGTGGGGTGGGGGGAGAGGGGAGGGATAGCATTGGGAGATATACCTAATGCTAGATGACGAGTTAGTGGGTGCAGTGCGCCAGCATGGCACATGTATACATATGTAACTAACCTGCACAATGTGCACATGTCCCCTAAAACTTAAAGTATAATAAAAAAAAAAAAAGAATCTTCAAACCTAATGCCTAGAACATTTTATCAACATTAAACTTCTATTTAAAGTTTATTCTTAGCTATCTATAAGAAACGTTTACTAGGAAGCAGAAAAAATAAGCTCTTTCTAAAAGAGTATATTTGCAATTTGAACTTTCAAAAATTGATAAAGCAGTACACACATTTATTTTTAGAAATTGAAGCTGCAAAGCTAAGCAATTTCCTACTATGACATGTGTGTTGGACAGTGTAGGGCATAGCAATGATTAGTGATTTTCAGCAGCCTTTCTTGAATAGGCATTGAAAATAGCTAAACAAAAAAAGAGAAATGAGCTGAATTCTTGGAGTTAATATTTTGGAGTGAATTATAAAACAGAGTTCTTGCAATAATGCATGTAAATTAAAAATAGGTTAGCAAAGCATGAGTAAAAATAGTCAATTTTCAAATACTTTTCACAGCTCTCCGAGTCTGACATATTTCTCTGGCTAAAAGGGAAGAAACATATCGGCACTCATGTTGGGAAGACCTTAGAACAGCAAAGTACTAAAACTTGCCAAACCAACTTCAAGTGGCTTTCTTGTTAGTGCAATACACACTGCACTGAGTTCCTGAGCATAATATTTCCACCCTTTCCCACGGAGTCTGCTTAAATTTGAAGATTTTTTTTCTAGTAGGTGTATTGTCCTTAATTTTGGAGGAAGTTTTAAAAAGGTGGATTAATGTTATATATGCTTCCGAGAATATTATGCAACCATGAAGCTTTGCACTTCAACATAAATGAATCCCAAAAAGAGCCAGATGAACTGTTGGCTGGGAGGCAGAGCCTTAGGATGTTTCAAATTCATCGTGACTTCACATAAAGGTCCTCTCTGGAGTATGAAAGTCAATTTTACAGGTGTAAAATAAAGGAAAAGACGACAGTCTGAAAGTCAAACGAAATTCCAGGACCACCTGTATTTCAGTGAGGTAAGTGTTATAATAAAGTGTTATGGGTAGATACATAAAAGACAACTAATTTACAGTAAAAATAAATTGGGGGACTATTAAGAGACTGTCTTAATGTGGAATGAATTTTACAGAGTTTTTATGGTAACATTTGTAGATTAAAATTAGGTCAGTAAAGCATGAGTAAAAATAGTTAATTTTCAAATATTTATCACAGAGCTTTCTAGTTTACATTTAAGAATATATTCTGCTGCATTGGTTTGATATGCACAGGATTATTTTGTCTCCACGTAGGGGTAGGAAAGAAAACAAATTTGTTTTGCAATAGCCCAGTTTAATAGAGGTGGTACAAACTTTAGGAAGTATTTTAATTTTAGTTAAATTGATCCAGGTTAATTTGGAGACAATTATGAAGCACATACAAATTACAAATCATAAAATGGTAATTGTATTTGCAGTTGTAAGAACCCAAAAGATTTAAGCTCCATTAGCTAAGAATAAAATGCTGATAACCATGAGTCACAGCCATGGTTTGGATGTACTCAGAAAAGTTAACTACGTAAAAAAATGTCACCTTCTTATTCAGCATATTAGCTCCCTGGGTGTTTTCAAGACATATCTGCTGGCTTTTCTTTTAAAATTACACTTCCCTTAGCTACGCTGTGATATTACAGCTATGGAAGAGTGAGCTGGCTTCACCCTGCCTCATGCATCATCAGCCAAACTGTCAGTAAAGTGCTAATTGCAGAAACTTTATTACTTGAGGTGATACTGAACCAGAGAGAACACAGCTTGATTTTTCATAATCTAAACTTTGCAATGTGAGCAATTAGAAAAAAAAAAAAACTTTCCTTTTTGTTTCAATTTCTAAGCTAAGCAAAATTAAAATGGATGTCATTGACAGTAAAATAGAAACTTAAAAATGTTGTCCTTCTAGGTGACTTTATAACTTAGTATAAAATCCCATTAACCCCTTTTTATAAAAATGCATAATTTGAAGCCTAACAGCACTTGCAATTCTATGACACATTTGGCTACCTGTAATTGGAGAAAGACAGAACTTTATTTTCTGCTTCTGTCATTTTTGTATTTTCTGTAGAGGAAATATACTTCAAAGATATGCTTTATATATACTCTCTAAATTTATATATTTCCTATGGGATCTGAAATATTTAAAGCACCTTTAAACACTATTTCAGAAAATGGGTTTGCAGGTAGCACAAGAAATTTCCTCTAGAAATATAAAAATAGATGAGGATGGTTTAATGGAAAATTTATTGGAATAGATGCATGGAATGTTGGGACCATTTTTAGGGCAAATTCCATGGGGAGTGATTAGAAAAATCAGCAAATATAATTCCATGTGAAATCCTTGGGAAAATTCAGTATACAATAAAACACGAGTGGGATATCTAAATCAGACCTAAGGGTCTAAAAAGAAAACAAACCTATGATAGCCTCTTAAGGAGGAGAAATAATTAGGGACAGGATGGTAGAAAAGGCAAAGAAAGGAAAAATAGTTTTCTCAGTATAGGAAACAATGTACAACGTCCTTGGGATTATTTCTCCTTTTTATGGTTGTAATGTAGAAAGACTGAAAGTCAACAGGAGTAAATTCTACTGATTAAGTGGGTGGTGTGGATTAGAAGGACACTGGCCTATAAAGTTAACTGTGCAAAATCTTGAAAGGGCTTGCGAGCCATGCTAGAGAATTTCAAATTGATCAGAAGGGCAATAGGAAATCATATAGGGTTTTGCATAGGAATTTAACATGAGCAGATTTGTATTTTTTAGGGGTCAGTCTTATTGACGTCTGGAGAGTTGCCTGGAGAGAGACAAGGCTGAAAATAGGGAAACCATTAAAAAAGCTATTACAGCAATCCACATAGGCTATGATCTAAGGCACAGCTGGGGTGGTAGCAGAAGGAACAGATGAATTTGAAAGATACTTAGGAGATAAAATCAACAGGTAAATGACTAGGTGTGTGAGGCAAGGGAGATGGGAGATTCAGAAATGGCACTTGGGTTTCCGGTCAGGACAACAGAATGGACGGTAATGTAATTTGCTAGAACACAGGAAAGAGAGTGGGTTTGGGTAATAAAGGTGATTTCAGCCGTGGACCTGTTAAGATTTCCTATGAGATTTACATGAAATTAATGTAAGTTGAATAGTGGATCACGAAATATAAGCCAGATGGAAAGAAAGTAAAAAGAGAAAGTTGATGATAGGAGGAAAGGAGAGGGGTCAAGATTTGGAAGTATCCATAAATTACATGGACAAGTGTGGAGGAGTAACCACTAGAGGTCCAAGTTGGTAAGAGATTATGCTCAGAAAGTGGGATATCTGCATTCATGAATTCAGAAGTAGACATGTCCTGGTGAAGACAAGTGCACAGGTGGCTGTGGGAGTGGTTGGCTGAAGTGGAGTTAAGGTAAGGGTCCTTGGAAATGAGGCACTAGCAGCTCAACTCAGTGCTGGGGTTTCACTTTCCTGGAGTTCATGCTGCTGTTTCGTTTGGAACTCAGATGCTTTTAGGGTACTGAGTATGTTTTCACTAATATCTGTACCTTAATATTTGTGCCCATACACACAGGGGGTCATGTATAAAATTCTTTGGTGGGTGATTCTGCTGTATCTAATTATCTCATGGAGAAAATGGAACTTACTGAAGAAAAGAATGGCAGCTCTTCTGCAAATAAATAAGCAAATACACATAAGCTTGTAATACATTACTGTTAAAACCAGAGAAAAGAACCTGCTTTATAATTAATTTAATTAACATATTCACCACTATTGGATTCAGTTTAATTTAATAAAATTTGGTTTAAAAGTTCTGGCATAGATAAAACTAAATGTTTATATAAACAAGCATTTGAACAGCTGAGGGAAAAGATTGATCGTTGAGGGCTAAAGGTTTAAGAGCCTTATAGAAGATGTAACAATTGATCTGAACCTTAGAAGATGGGTTAAAATCTAAACTAGGGAACCTATACTATATACTAATTATACATTTAATAGGCTTGGGTTCAAATCCTGACTCTGCCTCTTTCTGGCTGTAAGCCCTTGTTCAAATTAATTAGTCTTTCTAAAAATAAATGTTCTCATCTGTAATATAAAAATATTAATAGTCTTACTTATAAAATGTAAGTACATTTAAAAGCTTTTGTCCTGTAGTAATTGACTGAAATACAAGCACTAAAAGTGTTAATCATCAAAAGCATAAAAATTATATAATATAGAGGTTATATATAGAGAAGAAATTAATATATTTTAAAACTGAACATTTTTGTTGTGAAAAAAACTATAAAAAATTTAAACAGAATTAAAAATGCATTTATTGTATCCCAAATATTGGCAAATGATATCATCAGAATATACCAGATGGTTGATACCATTAGTGTTGCCCAATAATTGTTTATTTTCATTTATCAGTACACAGATAATTATGCTTTCCTTTCTACTTGAAGTTAGGTGTGGCCAGTGATTGGTTCTGGCCAGTGAAATGTAAGTGGAAATATCTCCTTCAATAAAGCACTTAATTACTTGACCTTAATTCTCCAATTCTCTTCTGCCATGCAAACCTCTAAGCCTGGTGTTAAAATGGAATTATCAAAAAATGTAGAATATTCAATAACCTGGTTGTTTGAGCTCCAGATTTCTAATTCACATGTGCTGACCATGAGCAAGAGCCAAATGGGCATTGTTTGTTATGCCACATAATTTAAACTGTACTAACTGATACCAGTTATAAGGTTCTCTATCTCAAATGAGAGAATAGATTGAGAGAAAGCAATGTTATCTTTTATCTAGGCCTGGGCAGACATATATTAACATGCGTTGATAAATAAATATGTGTCAGACACATATTGATAAATCAAGAAGAAAATAGTAAAGTTAAGATATATAATAAATGGTAACATAATTTTATCCTCCTAACAAATACATAGACAATGATATAGTTAACATTATCCATATTAAATAGTTTATCATCTTAAAAATCATTTTCTAAGTTTTTAATTTCATGTGACACAGATAGCATTTCCTCTTTCCATGTTGCCTCCCTTCTAAGAGCTTATAGTCTAAGACCAATAATATAGCATAGGTTAAGTATGAAGCAAACAATCTGTTAAATATATCAGGGTTCTAGGTATGATGAAAGGCATGATAAAAGGCACAATTAGGAGTGAGAAACACATGATGAAATAAACCTAAATGCTCTTTCTACTTGGTGGGTAGCTTGATGGGTTCCCCTTCCCTGATAGAATGAAAAGCATTTGTTGAGAAAGTAAAACATTATTGACATTGGAATACATAATGGAAAAGGGCTAAGACACAAAAGGGTGTTTATGGCAATCATAGGTAATGTCTCAACTCAAAATGTGGAGAAGGTTACCGTAGTGAAGTCTTCAAACTGTCATCTAGGTATCTAGGAACCACAGGCAGTAAGGATTGTGTCTGGATGTTACTGTGCCTCTGATGATACCACTGCCATTTCAGTAGAGTGGATCTCCATGTCAAGTGGATCTATGCTAAGAGTCCTTGGCACAGATTTCTGATCCCTTCAATCCTGAAGAATTGGTATGAATAGTTCCATTTTGCTTTGTGGCAATAGTTCTGACTCTGAAGTCAACCCTAATCACAAAATATCTCTGTGAATTGAAAGTGAACAAGAGATGTCAATGAAAATTCTCAGTGCTTCTCAGAACTGTAAGGCCTCCAAAGAAGTGTAAATTTAGGAAGGCTATGCAGAAAATGGCAGGATGACAGTTCGTTCTCCACCCTATAGCAGAAGTGATCTTTGAAATGCTGGTCTGCTCATATTATTTCTACTGTTACTTAAAACCCTTCAATGGCTTTCCATTCCTCTTAAATTGATGGCCACGAAGAACCTCAAGATAAAAAGATAAAATGACCCAAAAGACAATAAATGATGTGAACACTGTCTACCTTTCCAGCTCTTCTCTTATTCTTTCCTTATCATTTCCTTCCCTGGAGCCATCACTCTAGATCAGCCATGCTTCCTCCCACCATGAAGATCTTACACATGCAATTATCTCTACCAAGATGTTTTTCCTTCCCTTCCCTTCTTAGTAGTTAACACTGCTTATCTCTCAGCCACATGTCATCTACCATTTCTTATGGAGTCTTATATTACTCCTTGGCTAAGTCACATCCTCCTGCAATAGGGCTTTGTACCACTGAGGACCTCCCCTTTGTGGTCATTGTCAGAATTGAAATTTAATAATTGTGTAGGCATAATTCATTGATGGATATTTGTTGTTATACATATTTTTTTATTTTGCTGGAAGGTAAACTCTACAAAAACAAGAGGATATGTAGGTTTCCATTTAGCTTGTTTTGCCAGTGTTTGCTGAAGGGTCAAACAAGTGGCAGATTTTGAATACATACTGGTTGAATAAATTAACATTGTTGAACACTATGATGATACCCTAATGAACAGATGTGCGTTCTGACTCACTTAAATGCTTAAAATAAAAGTCAAGGTATTTTGGAGGGTGTAGATGACACAGACATCCTTCAAAATGTTGCAGTTCACTATTCAGAGAAAAATGTGGAATCTGATGTTAGTCTTTTAAGTTGAGGGAAGGAGAGTAAACTGTCAAAGCAGTGCTTCTCATGGGAATTTTTTCTTTGCCACGGTTCATAAATGAAAGGTAAGGAATGAGTCACCATGTTGATAGTGCATTCAACCTCTCAGATACTCTGCAAAAAGGATTTTATACATTCTGGCTTAATTAGGATCCTTAGGTAATATCCTAGTCTAAAAAAATAAATACAATGGTTAACTAGGTCCTCTGTATATTTCAGTCAGTATTGCAGATTATATTTTGGAGAAGTCTTAGTATTTTTTCTTGCCTTAGAAAGCACCATGGTAGTGGACATCACGGAACCTTTTCCAATGATTCAGAACACTGTGATGCCTCATGGTTGTCATCTTGTAAATCAGTTATTATGGGAAATAGAAATATAAATTTAGAAGATAGAGCAAATTGAACCAAATGACCCTTGGATATAACTTGAAAAAAGTTCTGTTTAAAACCTTCCAGGAGCTTCCAACACTTAGAGTGATATCCCAGCCTTTCCCAGTGCCCAGTACCCTGGAATCTGGCTCCTCCCTGTCCATCCAAACTACCTTCCTGCTGTTCCCACACCTGCCAAATTCCATCCCTCTTTCTGGAAAAATCTCCCACTAGAACTTGAGAAGCTTCAGTCACATCATTTAGATTTCTGCTTGATAGCTTCTCCTCAGAGAGGCTTTCCTTGAGATCCTGTGGAAAATACCATAGTAGACAACCTGGTCACTGTCTATCACGTTAGCCTACTTTATTTCTTTATAACCCTAACTACTTATTGAAATTATATTATTTAGGGTTTGTGTGTGTGTGTGTGTGTGTGTGTGTGTGTGTGTGTGTGTTTTAATTTTTACTGTTCATCTCCTGGACTAAAATATATGCTCAAAGAGTAACAATATTTACTCTATTCTCTGTTTTATCCCCAGTGCTTAGAAGAACATATGGCCCAGATTCCACACTCAGTATATAATTCTTGAATGAAAAAGAGAAATGAATCAAGGGCCTCTGATTCCATGAAGCCCTCCCCAACTGCCCACCACCCATGACATACATCACTTAAGCAGATTGATCATTCCTCTCCTATCCCATTAACAGTTTACATTTCTTGGGCAGGCAGTGTCTAAGACCTTTATATATGTTGTCTGATATTATTTGTCAGGCTGTCAGACTGCCTGATTCTGACCAAGGAGAACAGAAAAACAGGTAAATTTTAGTCTCACGAGGGTCTTTAGAACATATATTAACCATGCATTCATGTAAGCATTTATAAACAGCCTTACAAGTAGAAGAATTCCAAGAGTACTCTTTTGGAATTTAGACATAAAACATTATAATGCCTTTTGGAACAGCTAAAGTCAGGTAACACCCAATTCCATACTGGTTGTGTGAGTGTGTGTGTGTGTGTGTGTGTGTAATTGTTTGTGGACATGCAGATGAAATACAACTTGATTTATTAAATAACTCCAGACCTGTGTCATAAATTTCCTTTCTACACTTGGGCCCTTTGACCCTAATGTGCCAAGGTTATACAGTGGAGATAAAAGCACCAAGGACTTCATCTGAATACATGAATATGCAAACAGGCAAAAATATGCCCTATGCACCTGAGGAACTAAAGGGAAAATATGTCTGCTGTATTTCTCAGGACTCTAATTTTCAGAGACATCTCTAGGACTAGATAGGACAAAAAGAATTACTGGCCAAACCAAAACAGCTAAGGGCAAGGCAAACTGAAGTGTAGCATAGCCCTCCAATATAAGGCATCTGAGCCAGGTACTTAACATGCTATCAGGATTCTTATAGGGATGTATGTGTTAATTTTTCTCAGTCCAAATCATTTATGTCCACTGACAAATGGGGAATAATTGGGCTTAAAAATCTGTAAAATTAAATCTAAAAATGATTTTTAAAATAATAGTAGTCTGTCCACAATTCAACAGCAACAATTATTTTCATCAGTCTAGCAAAAGACAATTTTTTTAAAGGTACTTTAGGTAAAATTTTCATAAACTATTTTGGTTTCAGTGATGCTGTATTGATACCATCGTTGGTTTCTGCAATTATTTAATCTAATTAACTTGAGTTCTCCCTAATGCCTTAACCAAAAATACGTATTAAGCATAGTATATGTACAGTATTGAACTAACTTTCTGATATAAATAATACTAAAGAAGTTTGGACAAGAGAAACATGTTCCCTCTTCAGGACAGGGCATTTCAAACAGGTGAAGAATGAGAGTTTAGTTTGTTTGTTTCCCCAGTCCATCAGAGACCAATATTTTTGTAAAGAGAAAAAAAAAGTGAATTACTACAAAAATAAAATAAAAAAGACATCCAAAATACAAGTCTAAATTATTTAGTTTTTGATTTATCAGGGATAAAATTACATTTCAATAAATATAACCAAAACAACATTTCATAGGAAAAAAGGGAACTATGGAAACTCTGCAAATTGTTCATTTAAAATGTGTATGTAGGTAGAGAATCACTATTATGCCCATATTTTTTTTCTTTCCTCAATTGTAACTGAACAAACAGTTATATGTAAAACAATTCCCGTGCCAAATACATTTTTGCACATGTTGAATGAATACTATGGACATCAATATTTAAAGTTTTCAAATGTGGCAAATGAACATATTTCTTACTTCCTCATTTATCTAATTTAAATTGGATTAATGAATTTCTAAATTTTGATCTTCACTTCTGTACTTATTTTATCACAAACCATAACAAACAGCAAGAATGTAATAAGAGAATTAGACCTTCCCCACAAATTCTTGCTGCTGTGGCCTCTTGAACTCTCTTCTCTGTCTCCTCAATTCAGCAAGACCTTAAATCTGGTGCTGCCAGTTGGAAAATGCTTCCACAGAGTTAGTGCCTGTAATTGTAGGCCTCACTTTGTTTAATACCCTTCTCGCATGGATCATATTCCTGCACTATCTGTTGAATTCCTGCAATAAATGTCTGAAAACATTTGTTTCATATTTTTCCCCCTATTCCCTAGGTGCTTAAGAAGGAAAGGTAAATTCAGGCTTGACTAGGAGCAGAAGTTCCATATCTTGCATACATTCTACACTGTTATATTTTCATTATAAATCACACCAAAATATTTTCTAGTTTGCTTGATTTTTTTTACTTAAACCTTGAAATACTAAGAAATGTATTATTTAATATTATGCAGTTGGGAATTTTCTAATTTTATTTTTATTATTGACTTCTAGATTAATTTCTTCTCATAGCATAACTGAGTAACTTCAATCCTTAGATATTGTTGAAGCTACCTTTTTGGCCTAGCATATGGTTAAATTTCATACATGTATACTTAATATATACCTTGCTTTCCTCAGGTGTTGTGTTTTCTATATATCGATTAGTTCATGTTTAAAAATTTAATTATTCATACCATCTCATTTTTTGTTTTGCCAGTTCTATCAGTTATAGAGAGAAGAGTGTTAAATAATTGCAGATTTAGACCGGGCACGGTGGCTCACGCCTGTAATCCCAGCACTTTGGGAGGCCAAGGCGGGTGGATCACGAGGTCAGGAGATTGAGACCATCCTGGCTAACACGGTGAAACCCCGTCTCTACTAAAAATACAAAAAATTAGCCGGGCGTGGTGGCGGGCGCCTGTAGTCCCAGCTACTTGGGAGGCTGAGGCAGGAGAATGGCGTGAACCCGGGAGGCGGAGCTTGCAGTGAGCTGAGATCACACTGCTGCACTCCACCCTGGGCGACAAAGCGAGACTCCGTCTCAAAAAAAAAAAAATTGCAGATTTATTCTTTTCTTTTTTAGGTTCTGTAGTATGTAGCTATGGTAGTGGATGAATACCCATTTGGTATTGTGCTATCTTCCTGTGGGATAGACTCTATATTTTAAAATGTCCCTCTTATCTCTAGTCATTGTCTTACTTTGAAATCTACTTTGACTTACATTAATTAGCACAGCAGAACTAGCTCTCTGTTGGTTAGTGATTATCATGCTTTCTTCCATTATTTCACTTTCAACCATTCTGCATTCTTATATTTAAAGTGTATTCTTATAAACAATATATAGTTGTTGTTTTATATCTTAAACATAATTGTTTTTTCCTTAATACATTTGATCTATTTTCATTTAAAATAATAATGGATAGAGCTGTGATTATGTCTGCTATCCTGCAAAGTCCCTTTTTTAACTGCTTTCTTGATGACTTTTGATTTTGTCAAATATTGTGAGAACGTTTTTCTTATATTAACTCATTAACTACAACTACTTTGTAGTGATTACCCTAGAGAGTATATAACTCATTCTATACTTATTACAATTTAAAACAAGCTATTATTTATCACTTTCATTATACTACTTGAACCATAGACCTTTTAACTCCATTACTCCCCAACTTCATTTTGCATTCTTATTACTTTTACAGTGGACACATCTTTTAAGATTTTGCTGCTGCATAATGTTGGCTTAAATATTTCCTGTTGCCTAGTTGAACTAAACATATCATGATAGTATTTAGTGAGGAAATGTGTCTGATACCAGAAATTGAATTCAATTTATTAAAGATTTCTTGGCATCTGTCAAAAAGTTCATCAAAATTTTCCCCTTTGCCTGTGTGATATGATTGATTATGGAAATCTATTTTTGAATAATGAAAAATATTTGAATCTTCTCAGAGACTATCACTTAATAATGGTACTTTCTGAATTTAAAGCTCTGATGAATTTGATTTACTAATATCTTTCACTTTGTATCTCTCTATCTATAACCTAAATTTGTCTGTAGATTGCTGTATCTTTTTTTGTTCTGTTTATTTAATATTTATTACAAGCTGGCTAACAGCATCATCCTAGCTTAAAAAATTAATTAGAAAGTTTCTCTTCTTTTCTCCATGTCTTGGAAGGGATTGAAAAGCAAAGAAATTGTGTCTTCTTAAAAGTTTGCAGCACTGTTCACAATAGTCAAATTATGAAATCAACCATTAATGTGTCCATCAAAGGATGAATAAATAAAGAAAATGTGATAATATATTCACAATGGACTACAATTCAACCCTTAAAAAGGGAGAAAGTCAATCATTTGTGACAACATGAATGGAATTGAAGAACATTATGCTAAGTACAATAACCCAAACATAAAAAGACAAATATCATATGTTCTTACTTATATGTAGAATCTAAAACAACTGAACTCATGGAAGCAGCGAGTAGAATGATAGTAACCAGAGGCTGGGGGTGGGGTAGTGGGGAAATGATAGTGAAGCCTCAGTAAGGAAGAATAAGTTTGATTTTTTTTAGACTAATTGCCAACATGATGAATATAGCTAATAATTAATTTATATATCACGATATCATAACGAGTAAATTTCTAATGTTCTCATCACAAAAGAATATTAAGTATTTGAGGTGATGGATATGTTTATTAGCTTAATTTAAACTTTTCATATTACATTCAAAAATTATAATGCCACTTTTTACTTCATAAATATATACAACTATAGTTCATCAATATATCATAAAATAATTTTTTTATGTTTGTAGAAACTCAACTATGAAACCATCTGGGTCATGAAACTATTTGAACAATTTCTTTATTCTGTATAATAACCTAACTTTATGACAAAAAGTTTATTATTTCACTTAGTGTTTAAATGTCTTAAGCACAATTTCATGTATGTAATTAATCTGAAAAAACATTTCTATGACAATGATTATATCACCTTTCATACACTAATGTTGTGAATTACTATTCTCACACATTTTCCCATGAGTATCTTTTAGAGATTTATCTATTTCATTATAGTTCTTAAATAACTAGCATTAGATGTATTTTCATTTCTAACTTCCCTTACTTATGTTATTATCTTTACAACTTCCTTTCTACTGATTTCATAGTGATCGAGGCAGGAGGCAGACAGATGCCCAGGCAGATAGGGGCAGGTCCCAATGAAACCCAACCTTCAAGTTGGAAACTGTTCCTGGTAAATCCTTGGACCCCATTAAGAACCTGCCTTCCTGTTTCATGCACTATCCTCTGACCTTGATCCCCATCCTTCACGTATTTTACATATACCTACCCTTTCTTAATTGGTTTTCTGCACTGTAGTGCCCATCTTTGAATGGTGTTCTTCACTTTGACCTTTTTTGCATACTCACAAACAAATCAGCACACACTCCCTATTCTGAGCTCATAAAAAGCCCCAGGCTCCACCACATTAGAAAACCTTCCTGTCTTCAGGTAGGAGAACCACCCCACCCCTCCCATGTCACCTGCTTTTGCTGAGAGCTTTTCTTTCCCTTAAATTTTACTCCACTCACTCTTTGAGGTTTGCATGCCTAATTTTTCCTGGTCATGAGACAATAACCCAAACCGAGCTGAGCTAAAAGAGCAAACATCCTAAATCAATAGGAGTTATTTCAATGTACTTTCTTATCTCCCTGTTAATATTTAGTGCTGTGAACAATCTATAGGAGATTTTGCAGCTTAAAACAACACCCATTTATTAGCTCACTGCAAGTCAGAAGTTTGCGTGACATCACTGGTTTCTCCTCTCAGTGTATCATAGGGCTAAACTCAAGATGTTGGTTATGCTGAGTCTTCTTTGGAAGTTCTGAGGAAAAATCAGCCTCCAGGATCATTCTTGTTTGCAAAATTCATTTCCTTCCTCTTGTAGGAATGAGGTCCTGGTGTTCTTTTTGACTGTCAACCCAGTAGCTTCTCTCAGCTTCTAGAGTCCCCCCACATTCCTTGCTATGTGACCTCTCCGTCTTCAAGCCTGCAACACTGTATTCAATCTTCAAGCCTATAACAATATGTTCAATCCTTCCTATGCTTTGAATCTCTGACTTCTTGTCTCTTACCTCTGGACCCAGATTTAAAGAGATGACATGGTTGAGCCAGGCACAATTTTCCTATCTTAAGGTCAGCTGGTTTTAGACCCTAATTTACACTAGCAAAATCCTTCACAACAGCATCTAAATTGGTATTTGATTGAATAATGGGAAAAGGTGTGTGTTTATCAACAGAGAGAACTCTTGGGAGTCTCATAGAATTCTGCCTACCACATTTCTATGAGTGGCATATTTAGCTCATTTATTTTTATTTTCCCTATTTTGCAGGCATAAATTTTCAGAGTGCATATATTTGTCTGTGTTTCCTACTTTTTGATATATTCTGTCTTGAAAAGTTGATATCCTCTTTGACTCAAGAGTTCTTTAGGTTATTATTTTTGGTTCCTATGTGATTTAATATGTTCCTTAAGTAATGCTTTTGTTATTAATGTTTTTATTTCACTGAAATAAGATAAGTAGAATTGTTATGATTTATTCTTTTCCTTTTGAGATTTTTTAAGACCCAGGATATAATCAATATTTAAAAATACCTCATGAGTATTTGAAAATATTTTTTAAAAATATATATTTTCTGTCTAGGAACTAAAACATTAATTATATTATTCAATTTCTTAATTTCTTCATTTGATTTCTGATCATTTTATCTTCAGAAAGTTTGAAAAATATTTTCCCATTTATTTTTTATTTTGAACATTTAATATAGTTCAGAGAGATATTATTTGTCTCATAGATGACTTTTGATAGCTAAATCTTCATGTTACAGTACACCTTTTATCCTCATATAATACCTGACAACATGCTAAACAAGGAATTGCTATGATTATAAATGATATTTGTGCAATATGATATTGCCACTAATGCTTTTATTTGTAATTTTCCTTTTGTCACATTATTTTTCATTTTGTTTATATTATTTAGCTATCAGTCTTCATGTATTTTCGTTGTTTTTTGTTTTGCAATCTAATTCCCGAGTTTTCAAGTAGTAGGGTTTAACACTTTTTTTTTTTTTCAGTTGGGCTTGCTTCTGTTATCTACTTTATATTTTATGTTCTTAAGTTTTCATGCTATTCCCCAGTCAGTTCACTGATTTTGCTATACTATTCAAAGTTTCTTTCGTTTTTGTTTTCTAGTGATTTGAGAATAATATACCTATGTTTATTCTACCAGTGATTTATCTTAAAATTTTGAGCATAAATGTATGAACATACATGAACTCATTTTTAAATTTATTTTCCTCTAGCAATAGAGAATGATCTTTTTAATAAAATAAAACCAATAATCTCATTTTCCCACTTAATGTTCTGACTTTCTATTTTTGAAGATAAAAGTCAAAATCTTAGCTTAGACATGAAGGCCCTTCATTAACTGAGTGATGTCTCTTTCTCTTGCGTTGTAACTTCTGTTCTCCTTCTCTTTAGCTATGTTCTGTTGTTTCAGGATTCCGACATTCACACTGCTGTTATGCAAACTGCTATTTTTCAAACTGAAATGCTTTTGCTTCTCTTTTACCTGCTAAATTCTATTCAAACTTCAACATTCAGTTCAAATAATTATGTCCCCTGGAAAACTTTTCCTAGTCACATTCTCCATGCAATCTGATTTTAAAAACCCTCTCCTTCACTGATGTGGCACTCTGTAGATACCCCATCACAGGACCTATCATCTTGCCCTACATTATTAGGTTACTCATTCATCTTCTCTTCTTCTTGGAGCTCAGTAAGGGCAGGGGCTTTGTCTTATTCAGCTTTGAGCCCTCAGAACCTAGTGCTGTCCTTCACATACTTGTGCTACTTACAAATATTTGTTTACTGAATTAAGTATATTAGACAAATATCACCAGTGTTTGCCCATTTTTGGCTCAAATATTCAGAAATTTCATTTATGTTTATAAAATACACAATGTAATTTTCTGATTTATTCTGAAGTACCAGAAACAAAGAAAAAATAGAAAACCGAATATATTATAATGTAACCAATGAACTTTAGCTAACAATGTATCAGTATTGGTTCATCAATTGTAATAAATGTATTATACAAACGCAAGATATTAATAATAGAGGAAACTGGGGTAGGCAAGTACATATGAGAACTTTCCGTACTTTCTGCTCAATTTTTCTATAGGACAAAACTGCTCTAAAAGTAGTATTATAACTAAAAACACCTGTTTATATATTTCAAAAATATTATAACTGAATATACCTTACCTTACTATTTAATAATAGCTCTTTTACATATTAATTTAACTAACATATTAAGCGCCTCTATGCCCATAAGACAAGTGAGAGACCAAGTGTTAATTGCTACATATTGTGATAAGCCCTGTCAAGACAGTATTTTTTGAGAGCATGTAGGAAACCTATCAATCCTAGACCTGGGTAGGTGATCGAAGATTCCATGATGGAAGTGACACCTCCAAGGAAGCCTGAATGATGAGAAGGAGTTTATGAGTAAAGAACTAAAAATAAGGAAAATAGAACCTGGAGAATTAAATCTGATCCTGTTTCAGAGTTTGAACTTTAATCCAGAGGTAATGTGATGCCACTGAAAAGATTGTTAACATGTACATGACATAATCAGATTTCCTTTCTAGAAGGATTACTTTGGATGCTACAAAGAGGAAAGTGGATGAGAAATAGGTAAGATCAGATGGTATCAAAGCAAGGAGACAACTTATGAAGCTTTTTTGGCCATCTAGGCTAGGAATGATGATTCTCTAAAATGGAGTAGTATCAATAGGAATAGGGTGATGAGAATTTCACAGCAGATCAGGAGATAGATGGATTGGATACAAGTGAAAAGGAGGCATTCAGGGTGATTCTTCAGTCTTTAACTATTCAACTGGGTGGATGTCCTCATGCCATTTTCAGAGAGAGAAAAGATAGAGAGTAAATTTGGGTAAAGGAATTGAAAATGAGTTACATTTGGGATTTGAAATATCTGCAGAATATGCAAATGAAGACCTCCAACTGAGAAATGAATGTGGAGATCCTGGCCTATGTAAGGGAATTGGGTCATTAAAAGACAGTAAGAATTGTCAGACTATCTCAATAACTGAAGAAAGGGGTGTGGGCAAATTAGCAACTGAAGCATTGGATACTTTCCCCACTATAGAGATATAGAGAATTATTACTTCGGAAATACAACAACAACAAATATTTTCTAGTTGAGAAACTTCATAGATGTTTATACCATATTTTTCTCTTTGGTGATAAAGTGATTTTAGAAGTAATTTATATTTATTTTTAAGTTGGCATTACATCTTTTTGAAGATACCAGGATATTTACTGTAGAATCTCCAGGCTGCCATCCATATAATGGATCCCAAGGACCTTATCACTTTCTTGACAGTAAGAATGTGTGTACTTTAATGAAGTTGTTATCAGTTCCATCAGATGTAATACTTACTTTGATAATAAATAATGTGGAATGCTCCCTCTACTATCCTGAAATTAAATATACACATAATACCTACACAGATAATTAAAAAATACAGTGCCCTAAATGTAGTATAAAGGAGGAGTAAAGACATCTAATAAAGTTAATATTTCTCTAAAAAACTGCTCAACGTAACAGCACTAGAAGACATAATGAAATAATCAGATACTTAAACCCCTAGGTGTAATTACAATGAAGTTGTAGCTATAAGTGAAGGTTATGTAAACTTCAGAAAGGCATGTGTTTATTCTACTTAGTTCACTGCTATTTCCTTTGTACCTGGAGCTATGCCTGAAACATGGTATGTGCTCAGTAAAAACTTTATTAAATAATTGAAATAATAAATTCAAGTGTTCCTTATGATTTTAAATACCACTAGCAGCACTGCTGTCAGTGATGTGATGTTTCAAAATGTGGATCAATTCTCAGTGAATTTCCAAGCAATAGTTTGCCCAGTTGTTGCATTTAAGTATTATTACTGGTTTAATTGTAAATTGTTAAGTACTAATCCATGAGAATAATCACTAATCTGAACAAGTTTCTTTAAAATAGCTTACTATTAAGTACTTTACTTAAATCAGCAATAATGAATTTGCACTAATTGGTCACCTATTATGTACCTGATAGTAGAGATTGTGCTCTCACACCTGTATATCTTTACCCTTGGAGAGGCATTTACTAATAATTTTTGAGTAAATGATTTCTTGTAACAATTCTGCTCTGTGAGTGTTTTGCCACTTTTAAAAAATTGTCTTTCTGGGCCGGGCGCGGTGGCTCACGCCTGTAATCCCAGCACTTTGGGAGGCCGAGGCGGGCGGATCACGAGGTCAGGAGATCGAGACCATCCCGGCTAAAACGGTGAAACCCCGTCTCTACTAAAAATACAAAACATTAGCCGGGCGTAGTGGCGGGCGCCTGTAGTCCCAGCTACTTGGGAGGCTGAGGCAGGAGAATGGCGTGAACCCGGGAGGCGGAGCTTGCAGTGAGCCGAGATCCCGCCACTGCACTCCAGCCTGGGCGACAGAACGAGACTCCGTCTCAAAAAAAAAAAAAAAAAAAAAAATTGTCTTTCTGATTGCTATGTTTAAGATTTGATTACTATGTTCTATTACTGATATTTGAAGTAACTTAACAGAACTATCTGGTTTATTTATCTACAAAAATATATATTTTACCCAGCAATTTAAGACTATGTTTAACTCATCATTATTTCAATAAGAAACGAAAAATACATTAAACTTATATTTATCATAGTCAGTTCCCTGCCCATTTCCCTTTGGGTCCTTTATCTCTTCTATAAGTGGCAGTCTGACTCCCCACGCATACTGCCATCTGTACTGGAAGGCTGTCCTCTGTTTCCAGAACCTTCTTTGCCAATGCACAGCTAACCAGAAATGTCTGGGGGCTAGCATGTCTCTGAGAGCCTTTGCCAGTGGGTTTAATACCCTAGGTTGCTCATCTTGGCATGAATAATCCTGAGGCATGTCTTTTCACCTTTTCTCAGAGCTGACCTGGGGATTGTGCTCCAGAACAACTTGACGGCCTGCTTTTCCCTTCCTGCATCATCTCCACAGTCCTCTGCTTGTTTTTCCTGCAGCTCCCAAATAAACAAAGCGTGTCTCATCCTTTTCTCAGGGTCTGATTCCCTTAGGGTCACCTAATTAAAGGAGTTAGAAATTGTTCTAGGAAACAGATCCTCAGAGAGAACTTTGGGGTTGGGTCTTGGGGCTGGCCAGATAGCAAAAGACTGCATTGCTGGTGGTAGTCGGGATAATGATAATCTTTGACATTCTATAGCATAACCATTAATGCCCTTTTCACCAGTGGTGAAATGAAATGGAATATCTGTGGAAGAGGATGCAATATCACTGATATTTAAGAGGTATGGTGGCAACGGTCATTACAGACTGTGGAATTCTTTAGTTGTTTTAAAATTCTATTAATAAGCGAAATTAAAATGCTGACAGGCTCAAATCCGAAAACAGATACCTTTTCCCGGTGGGGTGGGAGGGGCCAAAGGGGATCTTTGACAGTATTTAAAGATTCCTTCATCTCCTGCAACTAGAGGGCAGATCAGGACAAAAACTAGACCCAGCACCTAATTGTGAGAGTAGGTGAGTTACAGAGAAGGCATGATTCCTAGTACTTATGTCTCCTATGCTGAATAAAGGGCCTAGGTGCAAAAAGAATGTGCCCTGGCTACCTGGGAGGGGAATATCCGAGCAGACACACTTGAGAATACTTAATCCCCCATTCCCTTGAATCCTCCAAGGCTGCAGAAGAGGCCTGCTTCTCTTGCCTGGAGACCTTGCAGAGGCCTCTGCTGAGATGGATGCTTCCCAAGTTGATAATGGAATTTTCCAAGATTTCCCTCCACTTCCCCTCATCATTTCTAGACTAATAGCTGGTATAAAGTTTAGTAAATTACCTCCTCTGGGAAGAAAGGGATTCTTCCATCCCTTACCTCCTCAAAAAAAACTATAGTTCTTGCAAATATGTACTGACAGGGTCCCAGGAATGAGTTTTGAGGGCACTAGATGAATGGAGGGAAGGTGTTGAGTGGCATGCAGAATATAAAGCTATACGGGGGAGAGTTTGTAAATATAAGAAACAATCTAATGGTACAGTATGCAACATACTGACAAGGACACCTGGAGCTTGTTCTAATTTGCTACTAAAATGGCTCCCTGAAGCTTGGGGAAAAAAATGCTAGCCTCTAATAAATGGATGGAGATGCTGAAATGCCTTGGCAGAATAGTGTGGAAGAATTAAAAATGCTTAGAGAGGTAGGCGTGCTAGAATGAATTTATTCACTATCTGACCTATTTTCTCAATGAGAGCCCAGAGGACTCTCCATTTAGTAAATCAATATGGGATGAGCTAGTAAGGATGGCACCAACACTGTGTCCTTTCTAAGCCAGGGTCGATGGAGGGGACACTGCTTTGGAACTGGACTCCCCAGAGTCAATGAGGACAATAGGATTCAGGCACAGCAGAACCCTGAGGCTGGCATTAAACATTAAAGAAAAATTGTAAGTAGCTACCAAAGTGTAGCAAAGCTGCAATGGCAAACACATTTGTATTTTGCAGCATCTAATTATGATTTTTACGTAAAACTTAATACAAACCTACCTACATTCATTATCATAAACTTAACTGCATATCAGTATCTTAAAATAATCTTCCCATATTAAATGTTTGTGAAAAAGAAATCAATTCTAGTCATCAGAGAGCCCTTGTAATAAATATGCAAGAAAAACAAATTATTGACATTTCCTGGAAAGGTGAACATTAATTTTGTTATACAAATTTCATGACTGAATATTTAGTATTGATCTTTCCAGGCCAGAGTTTTTTTCAACTTTATTTTTATCTTCAAATTTTCACTTTCTTTAACATGTTTCTTCATGATATTGAAGCAGCGTCATTTGTCTGGGGTGATACAGAGGTTCGTTGTCTCATGGCCACAGAAAACTAGGACATGGACACGCGAAGAGTGAGGTTCAGAGCAGAAGTTTAATAGGCAAAAGAAAGAGAAGAGCTCTCTTCTGGGTTAAATGCAGCAGGTTTTATAGATGATCTTGAGGAGACAGTGTCTGATTTACATAGGGCACAAAAGATTGGTTGGACCAGGTATGCCATTTGCATAGGGCACAAAAAACTAGTTAGGACTAGGTGTGCCATTTGCATAGGGCGCAAAAAGCTGGCCACCCCCACCCTGATCTTTTATTATGCAGACGGATTTTCTACCTTGCCAGCGCCATGTTGCCTGTTTGTTTACTGTACACCTGGTGACAAAGAAAAGGGAAGATAGAGCCTCCATGTTGAACGTACCTGGCCCCCAGGTAGCTCTTTTCTATTGGCACAGCTGCTGGCATTCACCCATGCAAGCTTCCAGCTTGCTTATCTATGTCTGCAGCTCAATTTTTCAGGCTGCTCTTTGTTAGAAAATAAATGATTTGGGGGCTGCTTTTTGTTAAAAAGGGAAATTGCACCGAGGACTCTTGCCCTTACTATCTGCCTAAACAGTTTATTTCTATCTCCTGTATCAATATTCCATGCTTCTCTGATAGAAAAAAGTATGTGTGCATGTGAGTATGAGATGTTACCACTGTTCACTAACAGGAGTGAAGATATTACCACTGTTCACTAACAGGAGTAAACTGATTTATATTCTAGTAAGAAACGCATATAACAAGCCATCCCAGTCCCTTTTTGGGTATTTCTTGCCTAGGAGCCACTTTATGCCAAGAGAAGTGATTTATTGGCACTATAGTGTTAAATATTCCCCCATTCTGCTTAAGTGGCCGTATTTAAATGAAGTTTAAGTACTCCAGAACCTGTGGAAGCATTAGCAGTCAAGTGGGCCAGTGCTTTCTATTTTTCAGTGTGTGTATTTGGGTAGTAGATGGCATGCATTTGTACTTATGTGTGAGTCTTCCTGTGTATTCTAGTGTTCTCAAGGCATAACAAGGTACACATTTTATCAGGTTTACTTAATATTTTTGGCTGGTAGACCCCCTATTAAGGTGTTTATTTTCATTTTAAAATTAATATAAATTTATTTTGGGAAATCCAAAAATATATCGTGTTTAAAAATATCACTAACATCTTTGCCACTTTATAGTAATCCAAGTGTGTTTTAACTCACTTCTTTATTTGTTGTATTTATATATTTGCTTTTTATAGTGATTATGCAACTCCAAACCCTTCCTTTTCATTTATGAAAATGATATATATATATTTTTCCAAGAGCTAGCATCTCTTATATAATATTTAATGGCATTATAAAAGCTCACTGAATGTATATACTATAATTACTTAGCCATGATTCTATCATAAACAGAGATTCTGTATCAGTCAGGGTTCTCCAGAGAAAGAGAACCAATATAGATATATAGAGAGATACAGATATAGAAACAGATTTATAAAGAGATTAATCATGAGGAATTTGCTTACTTGATGTTGGAGACTGAGAAGTCCCATGATCTGCCCTCTGCAAGCTGGTGACTGAGGAAAGCCAGTGAGATAGTTCTAATCTGAGTCCAAAGGCCTGAGAACTAGGAGGCTGATGGTATAAGTTCTAATCCAAGTCCAATGTCTGAGAACTGGGGAGAAGACGGTATAAGTTTCAGCTCAAAGGCAGGAGAATATGGATGTTCTAGCCCATCCAGTCAGGGAGAGAGAGTGAATTCTCCATTTCTCTGCCTTTTTTCTTCTATTCAAGCCTTCAACAGATTGAATGCTTCCCACCCACGTTGGGAAGGGAGATCTTCTTTCCCCAGTCTATTGATTCAAATGCTCATCTCATCCAAAAACAGGTATTTGTTTAACCAAACATCTGTGCACCCCTTGACCCAATCAAGTTGACACATAACATTAATCATCACAGGACACAATCCGACTGATTGTTCGGAATTATTCTGTCATCAGTATTTGTGCTTATTTTATCTTTTTGTTCATGTTTCAGAGTTTATAATTAATTTCTTATAATAGATTTCTAGATATGGAATTACCAGATCAAATTGCATAATTAACTTTAAATTTTTAGCTGGGCACAGTTGCTCTTGCCTGTAATCCCAGCACTTTGGAAGGCTGAGGCAGGAGGATCACTTAAGCCCAGGAGTCGGAAGACCAGCCTGGGCAACATAGGGATTCTCTGTTGCTACAGAAAACTTTCTAGAAATTAGCTGGGCGTAGTGGCACACACTTGTGGTCTCAGCTACTTAGGAGGCTGAGATGGGTGAACTCATGAGCCTGGGAGGTTGAGGATGCAGTGAGTTGTGATTGTGCCATTGCACTCTAGCCTGGGCAACAGAGTGAGACCCTGTGTCAAAAGAAAAATCATAATTGTCTCAAATTATTTCTGAAATAATTTTATCATACTATATTTGACCACACATTTATTATTATGTACAATTTCATATGCTTAATTTTAATAGAATAAAAATTTATATTTCATTTTCCCCATATGCTTATTAACCATTTATATGTTCTCTTTCTTTAAACATCAGATCATATTCCTTGGCCACTTATCTATTGGAATTATAGGATTTTTTGATTCATTTCTGAAGTCTCCATTTATTAATACTGTTACTATTAATAATATTGATATTTCATCTAATGTGACCTTCTTAATTGTATTATTTAACTTTGTATTCTTTTTGAACAAGGTTCTAACTTTAGGTACCAAAAATCCATTTTTACTGTAATATACTTAAAATGATAACCATCTCATTATCTTGTGATTTAATGAATTATTATTTTTATTTCTCCCTGAATTCATGTTTGAATATTTGCATCTCATATCTTATTTTGGAATAATATATGAGTTGAGTATATAAATTCATTATTTTCTAAATAGCAAACTGATTACCAAAACAGTTTTATTAAATAATCTGTCTCTTTCTCACTGGTTTGTGATACCTCTATGACTGTAGTAGTTCTCATGGAAGATAAGGTCTAATTCTTATAAATATGTTTTGTAGTGTTCATCGAGGTCTGTCTAATTTTGTTAGTACCATGTTCACTTAAGTATTATAGTTTTATAACATTTGATGTCTATTATGTCTTGCTCCTCATTTTAATTTTTTGAAAACTAGCTCTCCTCATATGATTTAACATATGGAATTTGAAATTTTAATTTCCAGTTTTTCAAAAATTATTTCTTTTATTTATAATAAAATTACATTAAATAAATAAAATAATTTAGCATGAAGATATATTTAAATATGCATCCCTCTTGCTTGAAGCATGGTATATCTATCCAACTTCTTAAGTCTGCTTTAATTCTCTCTATATTTGGTAGTTTTCATTAAATATACACTAGACGTGTTTCATTGAGGTTACTTTTAGGTATTTTGTTACCACAAATGGGAATGCAATTATAGGCAAAGCAAGCAGAAACATACAGCTTTGATGAAAGCTCTAATCTCAACACTGTCCATATATATTTGACCACATCATTAGACCTATAAAAGTTTGCATTCAGGCAATACTCCAGATTTTATTTGATCTCATTTCTTGTTTTGAGCCATCTGGCAAGTATTCACAATTATTGATGGCAAGAATTTCTCAAACTGGATCAATAAAATGTCTTCCTTCCTAAATCCCAGTGGAATAGACTGAGGACTGTGGGGAAAGTTGATTTACTTAAAGATTCCAACAGTTCTGTAGAGGAAGTAAGAATGGAGGAACTAAAAGCTCTGTCACAGGCTCACTGTTCCATCTATACTTTCCCTTCCTCATCTCATTCTCACCCTGAGCACCAACCACCATATGATGTAGCTGCTGTCCAAATATAAATTTCTAGTCCAGGTCCTCTGATGAACCATAGCATAAATATATCTTCACTCAGACAAGCTTGATTTGTCCAAAACTGAACTCAAAATAATTTTGCTCAAGTAGGTTACTTCTGCATTCTATATGGGCAATGGCACTACTATCCCCCCAGCTGGTTAAGCCTAAAAGAGACTATCTCAGTTTTTTGTTTCTTTTTATTTCCCCTAGAGTGTAGTCTCCACGTCTCCTTAACATCTCCTTAGTGCAGAACCTCCTCTGGATCCTATCTGCTACTGCCTTGGTTTAGGGCCCCGTTTTCCCTCTCCCAGGCCTGAGCAATAGTTTCCCCACACTTCCTGCTCTATAGTCAGCTACTCCCACCATCTATCCTTCCCACTTTAGACAAAGGGAACTTTCTAAGAAGCAAATCATTGTTGTTGACTTTTTCTCCCTTCCAAAATACTTCAATGGCTCATTATTAACTTAAGGAGAAAAAGTATTCTATTTACCTGGGCAACTATATAATATCTTGCATATTACTCATCCTGCTAAGTAACCCTTGGTTAAGTGAAAGCATTTGCATTGCTAAGGTAGTACCACGAAATAGAATGAAAGAAAATAGTCTGCCGGGCCTGGTGGCTCATGCCTGTAATCCCAGCACTTTGGGAGGCTGAGACAGGTGGATCACAAGGTCAAGAGATCGAGACCATCCTGGCCAACATGGTGAAACCCCATCTCTACTGAAAATACAAAAATTAGCTGCAAGTGGTGCGGGCACTACTCGGGAAGCTGAGGCAGGAGAATAGTTTGAATCCAGGAGGCGGAGACTGCAATGAGCCAAGATGGCGCCACTGCACTCCAGCCTGGCGACAGAACGAGACTCCATCTCAAACAAAACAAAACAAAACAAAACAAAACAAATAAAATAGTCAATAATCAGGCATTGAACATTCAGCTAGGAAACCTGAGGGAATCAGCGCAGTTTATACCAGAATCCAGCTCCCACTCCGGGAGAGATAAGAAGAAGACTACTACTGAGGCTTAGGACAGTGTAGAGGAATGAGGAAAAGCGACCTAAAATTTTCGTGTCTGGGAGAAGAGGGAATGAGCAGTGGCTGAGGGGAGGAGGAGGTCAGCATGGAGAGAAATAAGGAGACAGTTTTGGTGGCCAGCCCAGGGGCTATGTGAAATCATTGAATGGGAGTCTCACCAATGGCAGAAGCCAAGCCAATGCCTGATTTTTGTGCTAACCTTCAAACTGCCTGTTCCTCTTCTTCCTGTCTTCAGTGGTTTTCAATCAACAGCATGCCATTTGTGGTTCATTCAGAAAAATCGCACTCTGGCCCCATGACTTCGGTTACTTTTTATACAGGCCACTTGGCATGGCCATTCTCCAGTCCCCTTTAATGGTCCAAAACATTTAGAAGACCAAGAAACAGAGAGTGAAGTGAAATTAAGTCCTGAAAGAGCCTTGTGTATCAGGGAAATCCTCAGCACTCCTACTTGGAGGGACGGCATTGCGATTAAAGCACTTCAGTGACATGTGCATACACTTAGCTCTCCAATGTGACCTGTTCCTGTGACCTCCCTTGCTTCAACCTAGTCACCTGTTCTAGTTACCCGTAGATACACCAGGTGGTGGGAAACTTTGACAACTTCACCAGCACTCTTCCTTCTACTGAGAAACTCCCTTCCCTACCCCACATAATTTTCCAGTGCACACATTAATCTTGCAAGATCATATCTTTTTAAAAAGTGTCTGTCTCTTACCTTGTCATACACATGTAAATAAAAAGGTGCAACAAAGTTTTTGGGTGTTGACCCTCCCCACCATTCCACCCACCCACCTCCACTCACCTGTGGCTCCAGCCTCTGGAGCTTATCCATCTCTCTATTACAACAAGTACTCCTTCAAGCAAATGTTGAATAAATGAATGAATGGACAAACAAATAAATCTGTTCTGTCAATCCTTAACAGCCAGCTGAAGGCTTAAATCAGAGAACTTAAATTGCCCCTGAAATAATTACTGCAATCTGTACTACTCTTCAGACAATTCCCTATTTCTGTCAACCTACCCCTAACTCAATATTTAACTGATTTCTAACTTTGTGTCTCAACTATGTGATGCTTTCCAAAACTAGAATTACCTTGGCAGCCAGGTTTATAGACTTCAAAGAAACCTGATGCTGCTATGGATGGAAATAGGGGGCAATAGGGGGCAAGCTGGTTTGTGTGGTGAGTGCCAAGGTTAAGTAAATAGACATAGTGGAGCCAAACATTCACCTGCATTTCAATATGATCAGATTTACACACACACACACACTCTTAAAGTTAGCAATTTATGCTATGAGAATGAGAATATTTTAGACTTGAGGAAACTCAAATTTAATAAAACCTGTAAGATGGCTGGCTATGACTTTATATAAGCTGAATAAACATATCTTCATTCAGACTGATACTTCTGCCTTTCTTCTTTGAGTCTCTAATCATCCAAAGCCAACTTTTCAGTTCCTGAATGCTACAAATTATCTTCTATGAAAGTCATTGTTTTGTCTATGAAGCTTATCATAACTTCAGGGAATTTCACATTTGCATTTCTGATGGACTACAGTCTAAGGTGTTAGCAAATTGGTTTCAGCTTTCCCCACCTTTTTTTTTTCCCCACTGTGAAGCAGCTCATTACAAAATAGACACATTTCTAAATCAAATACTTGAGTTATTATTGATGCGTGAAGAGAATAGAGATGATTTGGTTAAGAAATGCCTAAAAGTTACTTTCTTGTTCCCATGATTTTCTAGTTGATTGAATGATTTATATCCTCAATTCCAAATTTAAATGTATGGTTTTTAATCATCATGATATAGTTAGTGGAAGGCTTTTAACCTTTACATTTAAGAAGCCCTTAGTACAACTCAAGCTTATTGACTTCTAAAGCTTAACATACAATATTTTTAAATGATTCAAGTCTATATATTTTATAGGTCTATAGTTTGAGCAATAGTAGAAGAATGTTTAAAGAGCCAATTGTTTTCCAATTACTGTAGTCATGGCTCCAAGATAGGCATGAATCCCCACCCTAAAAACAAAACGTGAAAAATTGGCATACTTTGAGTAGACTACCTCTGTAAAGTATTAAAATCTCCAAACCCAAAGCGACTCTAAGACTCAGTATAATTCATTTATTCGATGGCACTATAATGGGATTTCTTGCACAATGAGAAGCAAGCAAATATTATCTTCTTTAAGTTCTTAAATGTTTTATTTAGTATTCCTAAATTAGGAAGGCAAACTAAACATTCACATAATCAAATATATAGGGGGGATCTGTATATTCTGTATTTTTTGAAGTTTTTTCTACTGGCAGATAGCATCTCATTTTGCTGTGACGGGCATTAAGACTGTGATTTTGAGATATGGTCAACCAAAACTTCATGCAACTAATTCCAGGGTTTATAGCAGAAAAGAAATTGTTGTGTACCTCTCATTACAACTCTTAATTATTTTTAAGGTAGCTTATATGGTTGGCTTAGGGAAAAGGATGAAGATCCAGAAGAAAAATAGTGAGACTTCAGGTGATAGAGAAAAAGAGTTACAAAATGTTCTAAAAGGATAAAGCCCAAAGGCTGTAGAGCAACATAGTAATATTAAATCCTGGATTAAAGTGAAATGATTTAGGAGACTTTGTAAGACATATCTGCAAAGCAATGCCTTTAGAAATATTTATTTAGTGAGCCTAATTATGTAAAATAGTGAGAATTGGTGAGAAAGTACAATATTGTCTCTTCAGATATATATTTTAAAAATTAGGGAGTTTTGAGTTTGAGCATTTATCATCCTACTAAAGCCTTTAGCACATAGTTAATTCCATGGCATGTATTATCCTGTCTTCCAGAGACAAGTACAATGGGATTAAGGAGTATGAATGGACTGTCTCACTTAGCCTGGGAGATTCAGGTGAAGTTTGTGCACAGACTTGAAAGAAATGCAGAATTTCCTAGGGTAGGCAGGAGATGGGGCTTGCGGTGAGGGAAGTAAATTTCAGAAAAAATATCATGTGCAAAAAAGGTACACTGGTATGAGACAGCATGGTGTCTTTAAAAACTGTAGAGCAGTATTCCGATAGCATTTAGTTTAACTCCATCATTATATTTTTAAGCTATTTTTTGTACTATACTTCTAAAACATGTTTCTATCCTAAGAGAACTTACACAAACACCATAACAAGGCAAAATTTGGCACTAAAGTATAAGCCATAACATTACAAAGGCAACGCATACAGGAGATTTGATATGAGTGTTTTGTACATATTTCAATTATTAGCACAGGGTTAGATATAATTCATCACTCAAAACTGATTGTTTTACTTGTACAGAAGCCAGTATGACTGAAGCTCTCTTTTCAGTCAATTAATGTCCACTTGCCTGCCAGTTTTTACCATACATACCTGTGCCCTCCATGAAGCTAATTCCCCAACTGTTTAGGAAATTCAAATGGAACTCCTAAATAGTTCACACACAGCTTTTGTTAATAAATTACCCAACATATTTCAACCAGGTCAGGCTTCACAGCTATACATTTTTTAAAAAGTGTAAATTAACTCTTGACAAGGGAAATTCAAAACCATTCAAAGGCAAAGCCTGTGAATGAGACAAAGGATGAAAGGAAAATAGATGAAGTAATGCAATAGCCAGCTGAGGAGGAAAGGATGCCAAGTAGCTGTGATACAACAGCATGAAGCAAAGTGACTTCATTAATACTCTGCAAAGTACCAGAATGCTGCACAAGACAACACTTCGTTTCCAAACCAAACATAACCAGAGTTTACCACTATTGATATTAAGTAGCAGCTGCCTAATTGCTAGAAAGCAGATATTTGAGCAGTTGTTGAGATATGCAAATGCAAATAAGCATTGTCACAAATATATCTGTAAACAGCGAGTATGGCTTTTGGTTTAGTTAGTTACACAATGATTGTGATATTTAGCCATCAGAGTAACTGAACTTTATAAAGTAATCAGCAGTAGCAAACAGGTATATAAATAGCAGTTACTTAGATGATAGTCAAATTACAATTAAAAAATATATAAAGAACTTTATTACTGTGCTTTTATTTCCTAATTTTAAAATCATTTTAATCTATTCCAACAATAATTTACTTTAAAATGATAATCTTTGTCACAAGAATATTTATTCTATGAATATTTACTCAGCATCTTCCATGTTAGGTGTTTATGATGCAAAAAACAAAAATTTTCCTACAGTTATTTCTGTGTTGCTGATGTTAAAAGAATTCATAGAATAAACAGCTTAGGGAAAAATGATAAATGTGTAATCACACAACTCCTTAGCATTGTTAAATATGTATCTGAAGAGATCATATTATATTATTCAACTCCCTCAAATTTAACAATCTAAAATAGTGATATATTTTGGCTGGTGAAAATTTTAGACTTGACATTCTACTGTGGATTATCAATTTCAAAGAATTACATTGCCAAGAATATGCTACAAATAATGTTCATGTTATACTGAACCTAATCTAGTTTTGCCTCCACAAGTTAAGAAGATACTTCCAATCCTTTGTCAGCAAAAGCATCCATTTTAATTGAGCATTCTGTTCCATTTACTGTATATTTAAGTTGTTATTACATAGCAGGAACTGTACTAGGAGAAGGAGCCAGAAAGGTGGTGACATACTTTTCCTTTCGTGGGGAAACAGTCTAATGGAGAGAAGGACAAGTAAGAAACCACAAAGTGTATTTTGGTAAGTGTTTTGAGAGGAGCTCTAGAGGCTCAAAGGAGGAGTTGCTGGTTGGGTCCCCTGAGAAAGCAGGCCTTGAAATAAGGATTTGAATAGAATTAGTTTATTTGGGAAATGATTACAGGGAACACTAGTAGGGAGCGAGGAAGCAAGACAGGAAAGAGACAGAGTCAATTAAAGGTGCGTTGTCCAGCAAGTTCCCACCTGGCTGGCTGAAGCCTAATCCAGCTGGGGAAGTTTGGGAAATGGTGTAAGACACAGTCTCAGATTTATCACACCTAAGGGAGAGGGATTTGGAGTATTTATAACTGCCAGCAGTCCTTGGTTGCAGTCTATTCAGAAAGGTATTAATTCTCTTACGCTTATGATTTGCAAAGGAAAAGAAACTCCTCAGACCAAAACAATAACAGCAACAACAAAAAACTGTTTTCGTTTGGGAGGAGGACCAAAAGGAAGGAATAAGGGTCAGGCACTGACTCTACAGGTACTCACTGATCTCTTTGTTATGACTATGGAGTTTTCTTTACTTTATTCCCACATTTTTTCACTGCACTGGGACCTGCATTTTTTTTTTCTGTTTTTGTCATTTGTCACGTTTGACTTTCTGCTTTTCCTTAGTTAGGTCATGAGACCAATCACAGAAATTATTTATTTATACATTTTCAAAATGTCTTTTCCTCTCCTACCCTTCTTCATGCTATTTCAAAAATTACACCACTGGATAAATTTAAATGTTCTTCCTGTTTTGCATCTAAACCCAGCAGTGAACTATCACTAGAGAAAAACACCTGACTTCAGGGAACACCTGGTCTCAGATAAATTCATGACCACAGACCTCAAGTAGGTGCTGAGCACAGCCCCACCATCCTCTTTCTACCCCCATCCTCCACTCCCAAACTTGACTATTTCATAATGGCTCCATGGTCAAAGTTTGATACCCATGCCTCAGCTGATAGTCTTGCCTCCTATTTCACTGAGGAAATGGATGCTGTCATAAAACAAAATACTTCATTTTATCACTAACAATTCTACCTAATTATCATTATCTATGCCCATGAACTCCATTTTCCACCTGTTACAACTGATGAACTTTATTGCTATGGCCAAAACTTCCAATGATACACTGGATCTCATCCCTTTTTTGGTCAACTCAAGAACTTTATTCCTACAGTTATCCATCTTTCCTAAAACATATATCTCTATATCTGTAGGATTAGTTTCATCAGCATTTGAACATACTCTAGGAAGTACCACAGTAATGTGAGCTTTAGTAATTAAATACCAAACTAAATAGCATTTCTAAGCCTCAGTTACTTCATCTATCATAAAGAATAATAAAATCTACCTTTTTGGATTATTGTTAGCATTAAATAAAATGAAGCATAAAAAGCTCCCAAAATATATGACATTAATAATTTATTATTAATATTCTATTACATAGCTAAATATAACAAAGCTAAAATATTGTCTTCTCTCAAGCATGTCTTGATTTGTACATTCATTCTGGAACAGATACTCAGACTCAAAGCTCACTGGAGAGCAGAATGAGTATTCCAAAAATGGCCATCATATGTCTGAACCCATATTCTCTTCTAGAACATTGCCCCTACTCCGTCAAGAAGTTGAGTGTATGTACTTCTCTCTGAACGTGGCTAGGTCCTTATGACTTTTTGACTTTTTCAACTGATATGGTATGGCAGAAGCAAAGCTGTGTGACATCTAAGGCTAGGCATTAAAAGGGGATAGTGCATCCACCTGGTGCTAGTGCTCTCTCACTCTCTCTCTTTTCTCCCTCTCTCTGTCTCTTTCTCTCCTTCTCTTAAAATGATCACCCCTGGAAATGAGCCAAGTAACCCAGGCTACTTGGACCAGCAGCCCATGTTGAAAGAAACTGAAGTTCCCACTCTGCAGTCATGGCTATGCTTTACAGCTGACAGAGCACCACCTTGCCTGCTGTGTGAGTGAGCCATCTTAGAAGCAGATCCTCCAGTGTTCAGATGACTCACATCATCTGGTGTTGTATAGATATGGCTTTTACATAATGACACAAACTCAATATTTTTAAAACATTTATTCATGGAGTAACACTGCCAACTTGGACTGTGAGAGCAGAGACATTAAAAAATGAAAAGGGGTCTTTAGACTCCAAATTTATACAAGCAGGAAGCAGACTGAGAAAACTACTTCATCAAATACATGTTACATATTATGGAAGAGGAAGGATAATTCAGAAGCAGAACCAAGAATTTAAAGACCAGACCCAAGAGCCATGGAGCTGACATGACAAAGTACCACAGACTGGGTGACTTAAACAACAGAACTTGATTTTCTCACAGTTTTGGAGGCTAGAAGTCTGAAGTCGAAGTGTCAGAAGGGTTCCTTTTTCCTATGGCTTGACTTCTTGGCTTATAGATTGCTGTCTTCTCCTTACATCTTCCCAGTGGTCGTTCCTCTGTGTGTATCTGTGCTTAATTTCTTCTTCTTAAAAGAATGCCAGTCATATTGGACAAGAGCTACCCATACAACCTCATTTTAATTAACTCTTTAAACATCCTACTCCTGATGAAGAGTAAACTGAGGCTTAATAAAACCTTAAAGAGTTTATTTGAGCAAGCAACAATTCATGAGTTGGGTAGCTCCAAACCAGAAGTGGTTCAAGAGCTCCAATGAGGAAATGCAAGGAGGAGGATTTTATAGGATGAATACAGAGGGAAAGCAAAGAAAATATTTGATTGAGTACAATTATACAATTGCCTTCTTTGGACTATCCCATTGGAAAGTCTCTAGTTTTACAATTATAAGTTTATTGGCTACTTCTGATTGGTTGAGCTTAAGCTCTGCTTTTCTTTAATATAGGCATTTACAAGTAGCTCAAGTTAAGTTTCACTGATGTTCGCAAATCAAGCAAGGTTTAAGTCATTTATGAGGCCTCACTGGTTTCATCTTCTCAGAGATTTTTTAGGCCTTGTCTCCATTTTAAGGTATTTTAACACTCCAAATACAGTCATATTCTAAGGTACTTGGGATTGGGATTTCAGCATATAAATTTGTGGGGACACAATCCAACCCATAACACCACTGCTTTGGGATTTCTTCTTACATGGTAATAGATAATCCAAACATCCCCTGTTTCCTGATAATATCCTAAATTATTTACACAGCACTTCTGAAAGTGTCCTTTCTCATTCACTTTTGAACCATTTAAGGACTAGGACTTTACTTTGTATTTCTGTAGTCTTCATGCATAGCACAAATTTCACAATCAAAGCCGCCCTGGCACATAATAGGTCTTCAATAAATGTTTGATGATTAAATTCCTCAAAGGCCGCATCATGCTCTCTAAATGTTTTTTCAATGTGCATCTCTTAGAATGGTCTACTGTCATCTATTCTGTGATGGAAGAGGCAGTGTCACTTTTTTTGGCTAATAATTGTCAACTCAGCATTCAAAGCCCTCCAATTTAACTCCAGTCTATCTTTCTTGCCTCATTTTCCACTTCCCCTTACCACTTGCACTACACTTCAACCCATCTTGGCCATAAGCTCTTTCTTCATCATGTTCCACATTTTCTCCATTGTTGGCTATGAATAAGTGGGCAAATGTGCAGAGGTCTACTTCCTTTTGGATATTTTTCTTGATTCCTCCTAACCATCTAAGATAATTGTTGTTTCTGGTAAACGCTTTTACACCATTTTGTACTTTGGCACTCACCTTATTCTATCATGTAATTCATTCATATGTAAACTCCTTCTACCTTAGTTCTCAGATTGTAAGCTGCTGTAAGGAGTGCTTCATGTTCATATTTACACTCCCTGAAGTCCTCAGAAGAACATTTGTAGCGTGGTAGATCCTCAAGTATATGTTAAACTGCTTTAAATTGATTAAAAACTAACTTAAGTCCTCTCTCCTTATGGATATTAAGTATATTGACTTTAAAGGGTTTTCTTGCTGCTACAAGTCATAACAGTAAATAGATGTAGAGAGAAATGTTTACAAGGACTATAATTAAGCAAAATAGGCTTTCTCTGACTTTTGCAAGCAAACTAATTTGCATGTATATCATTTAGAATTGATTAAAATTTTAAATTTAATATCTGAAATTATTTGATTATTTTGGTTCTTGTGTTATAGTTATTTCTTCTGATATCTGATCTGCTATGATGATGTAGGTTAATCTCTTCCAACTTTATTTACAAAACTTGTTTTCAATTGCTGTACCACTCATTTCCTCAAAGGTTGCCTCTCATATCTCTTCATCATATATACCTCTTCAAATTCAATCGAGATTTCAATTCGTCTCACTTCTCCCCAACCTGTGAGTACCACTTTGTTGCACTGTAAAAATGCATAAGAACTCCTTTACATTATTTGAATTTTGCAATATATTATGTATTCTCAGAAAAAGCACTACATTGACACCCATAGTGTTGAACTACATAATTTTAAAAAGAGCTGATTTGAGTACAAAATAATTATTTAACTGACTACTTAATATCTAAGTATATCTTTCACGTAATACAACTGATGGAATTTCTTTGACCAACACCAACATCTCATGTGACTTAGTAAAAACATGTATATTTAGATACTGGCAACAGAAAAATGGCTTGGAGATTTCTCAGCAAAACTATTCTGTTTCAGAAATGTTTTGTTTCATATTTTATTAGTATATAATTATAATACTCTAAATGTCAGTTATAAAAATTAAATGAATAGTTGTGTTTTTGAATATTTACTCTACCACCTCTTAGTGTTCTGCTCAATAATGTACAGTGTGACTAAGTATAGTAACTCTATGAGTGACTATACAGAATTTCATACCCTTCTCCTCAAAGAGTGGTTAAAATACTTGGAGAACATCTCCATTCTTTAATAGATGTTAGAAAAAATCACTTTAAAAAGTCCTTTAGATTTAATAATTTAAAAAACGGGAACTCCTTTTCAGCAATAATTTGATTATAAGGGTTTTTTAAGTTTCCACTATTATTGAATGTCAGTTAATTCTTAATTCATTCTTCCGTATCTTCTGAAAAATGTGGCAGTGAAAAAAATTTCAATCAACCACAATTACATGTCTACCAACCCAAGAATCATTAAGTTAATTAACCTTTAAATTCAAGCATCAACTAAAAGGAAATGTTCATGGAAATCAGTTTTTAAACAAAATTAAAAGTAAGATTCCAAGCCAATATTTTTTTGGTTAAAGTTTTTAGCTTTCAAATTCAGATGATAAAGCAAACTAAATGAATAAACTATGTCTTTCAGTAGCTATAACCCTAGTTCATATAGTAGGAAATTATTGTCATGCTACATGATCAAGTCAACTAAAGTGCCTAGGAACATAGGAGTTATTTAGTCATTCCAATCTAGACCGTTTTGTTAAGTTCCAGAAAGTATAGAATTTACTTAATTGGCACCCTGATAAATGGTCCTCCAATCTAATTGGTATAATTACCAAAAGGCAGGTACAGTGTAATGTATTTAAATGACTCAAAGCAATAGGTTCATGGAATATCTTTTTCATTTAAAGAGAGTTATTAGCTTATTCAATGTAGTCTACTACATATCAATATCTAGCTCCAAATATATTCTAGTATACCTTATCTCCAGATCTATGGTTAAGAAAGAGATTATAAGTGCTTTCTATGGTTTTCATCTATCTGGAACAAAATTGAAAACTTAGCAAAGGGAGATTCTTTTCAACTAAAATTTATCAGAGCTGCACTGAATATGCTTTCTTGTTTACCAAGAACTGCGTGATGATACTTAAATAAATGATTATTTCCATCTCCTATCAAAATGTTCGAAGCCTTGATTTTCATCTGTCCTATTACAGTCCATCTATTGTCTTCTCTGATGCACAGTATCATGAAGAAATAGTTAAGAATTATTATGAAGGAAGTGTCTTTTCTTCCCTTCAGCAGGAAAGATGAATGTTTTACTCATGAAAGTTATGAGGTAGAAAAATAGCTATTCCATTTTGTTTTTCACTTTTGATATGATATAAATTTCAGTGGAGACCTTAGAGATTCATAAGAAAATGAAAAACAAAGTCCTCAAAAATACTTTTTTTTTTGTCAGAAGAGCATCATTATTTTTAAGTTTCTCACAAACTTGTTTGTTCTGTCTCCAGTACTCTGATCTCCTGGTAATTTTAGAGTAATTGAGAATATTTTCTAACATACGTGTCAACATAATGAAGGAGCTGGGACCTAAGTGAAGAAGCGACAAAATTTACAGTGGCTTTGAATGCTGGTTCCTGAATGGATTTGCTTGACTGCAATTCAATCTTTTTTGTGGCTCAAGGCTCACTCACCTCTAAAAGGCACTTTGTTTGTCAGAATCGATTTAAATCAATTTCTGTGGAAATTAAAATTAAATATGGTATCCCTAAGATTCTTGCATTTATTTCAATTTTTAAATTATTGATTTATACATGATTTTTATGCCCCATCATTATATGAACATTTATATAATTAGTGCTGATAACCAATATGCAATTTCATTTCTTTCTCTGAGATAGCTTTCGTTACATTTACTTTTCACATCAGAATCTGGCATTCCAGTCTTCTTGAAGCTTAATTCTTTAACTGAAATTTAGTTATAGATATCCCATGATATTCTCTCCCTGGAAGTTGGTATTATAAGCTTGTTATTGTTTGTTTAAAGTTGGCTATAGAAGGATATTCTTCCCCAGTTTGTCTTTAGAGGTTAGAGCTTATCAATTTTTTTTTTTAAGAGATTTGGGGAGGTCATTTCACTTGTGATCATCAAAAGTTCTGAGTTTCTTTTGTTGTTGTTTTTGTTTGTTTGTTTGTTTGTTTTTGAGACAGTCTCATTCTGTCGACCAGGCTGGAGTGCAGTGGCACGATCTCGGCTCACTGTAACCTCCAGCTCCCGGGCTCAAGCAATTCTCCTGCCTCAGCTTCCTGAGTAGCTGGGATTCCAGGTGTGTGCAAGTTCTGAGTTCTTTAAAGCTTTTTAAAAAGGCTTTTCTAAATGTTTTTCTCTTAGGAGATTTAGAAATTTTATCTATATTTCATTGCATTGCAATTACATCTGTGTCCTGAAACATTGGTTGTTCTTCCGGGTTTTGATGGTTACTAGATGAGTGTGTGTGTGTGTGTGTGTGTGTGTGTGTGTTATGAACAATGCTAGATTATTGGGGAAAATCAGAATAATTTGAATGCCATCACACTATCCACAGGAAAGGCATATTTGTTTATACAAAATTGTCACAAAGAGAAACGAGAAAATCTTTTGTGATCATGCAGGACCAGAAAGTGATCAAAATATATGGTTCTGTAGAAATAAATGTTTAGCTTGAAAGAAATTGGCAGTTTTCCTCTTTGTATTTGCTACCAAATTTCTTCAACCTTAAAGTTTTACAAAATTGTTGATACACAGGAAGAAATGAGAAAAGAGAATATAGGAGAATTTATTTTAGCCAGCGAGAAATTTTAGAATTTGGTGGATATAATGTATAATATAACTATAAATTCAAAACTGTACTTGTCTGTGATATCATTAGTAGAATCTTTTAGAAATCAGGATTTTAAAAATATTAATATTTGTAAAATTAACATTGACACTTAATACAAAACATACATTACCTTGTTATGTTGCTGCATATCCAGAGTGTAAACTAATGATGAAAATGATAATAATGATCACAATCATGCTAACAGAAAATAACATTTGTTGGGTTCTTACTCTTTAACATATTACCTACCGTTTCTCATTGAGTTTTGTGGAGATAGTATGCTCAATGATTTTACTAGATAAGAAAACATTACATCACATGTCTCATACAATTTCTTACTGTTAAAATTAAGTATGATGACTAAAGTAATTATAAAATTCTGTTCTCAAATGCACATTATTCACACACACAATATTTCTTTTTTTTGTTTGTTTGTTTTTGTTTTTGTTTTGAGACAGAGTCTTGCTCTGTCTCCCAGGCTGGAGTGCAGTGGCCTGATCTCAGCTCACAACAACCTCCGCCTCCCGGGTTCAAGCGATTCTCCTGCCTCAGCCTCCCGAGTAGCTGGGACTACAGGCGTCTGCCACCATGCCCGGCTAATTTTTGTATTTCTAATAGAGACGGGGTTTCACCATATTGGCCAGTCTGGTCTCGAACTCCTGACCTTGTGATCCGCCCGCCTTGGCCTCCCAAAGTGCTGGGATTACAGGCGTGAGGCACCGCGCCCAGCCCACACAATATTTCTTAAAATATTATGGATTTATATTTTATCTTTTTAAATCCACCATTAATGTAAATGTATTCACCAGACCCTTAGGGTTTCAGCAAAGAACGTGAACTTTTCTCAATTCATTTGTTTATTCACTGGTAATATTTCATATTGAAATTGAGAAGACGAGAGAATTATGATAAAAGTTGCTTTTGTCCAGTCAATGCTATTAAGCGAGTTAACCATAGACATTCTCTCAAATCAGCTAATAGAATTGTATTTTCAGTGGATATTTTTAATTGCATTAAATACAAAAGATATAAACTAAATTATTCATCCTAATTATACAAAAAAGATGATAAACTTAAGCAATATGACTATCTGTATAATTCACTCAGAAATTAAGATTTTCAAATCACCAACAGTTTAGATCAAAACAAAAGGTATAAATAAAAGGCCTCTAACGGCATCAACTACCTCCTAAATTTCAATAACAGAATCTTTTATGAAATTTAAATTAATACAGCATTATTGAATATACATGAAGCAGAATAATGCTTAAATATATTTGTGCCAATCTGGTTTTGGAGAAAGTTTTAAACTTTATGAAGTCCTAATATATAAATTGTTTTTATATTATGGAATACTTACAAATATCTAATGAGCTATCTTGGCAATGAGACCTAAGTCTAAACATAAAATTTATTTATGTTTCATATATGTCTTATGTACATAACCTGAAGGTAATTTTATACAATATTTTAAATAAATTTGTTCATGAAACAAAGTTTTGATGGCATTTTATTATGATCTGTCACCTAAGATCAAGTAAGAAATTTTCTGATGGCATGTAGGTGCTCAATTTTAGATTTTAGAGTATTCTGGATTGGGGGCATTCCTAATCCAAAAATCTGAAATCCAAAGTGCTACAAAATTTGAAACTATACACACCAATACACAAACATATTTATATTTAGTTTCCTGACATGTGTGCCTGTATATGTGTGTGTTGCTTTTACAGACCATGTCTTTGTGTTGGACATGTCAATTTAATATGCCTGCCATATCCCAATTCCATTTAACATAATTTGTCTTCTTCGAACTCTTAAAAGAGATATGCAACATACCAGCTGACCTCACATGAATGGTTATAGATACAGGCATGCCTCATTTTATTATTATTTTATTTATTGCACTTTGCAGATATCACTTTTTTTTTTTTTAACAAATTGAAGGTCTGTGGCAATCCTGCATCCAGCAAGTTATTGGCATTGTTTTCCAACAGCATGTGCTCACTTCTTGTGTTTGTGTCTCATTTTGGTAATTATCACAATATTTCAGGCTTTTAAATTATTACGTTATGGTAGTCTTTGATGGTGGTCTGTGATCATTGATCTTTGATATTACTATTGTAATTGTTTTGGAGTGCCTGCCATGAGCCACACCCATGTAGATTTAATAAATGTTGTGTGCATTCCAACTGCTTTGCCAACTGCTCTCTCATCTCTCTCACTCTCCTTGGGCTTCTCTATTTCCTCAGAAAAAAATTGAATATTAGGCCAATTAATAACCCTATAATAGCCTCTAAGTCATGGGTGTTCAATCTTTTGACTTCCTTAGGCCACATTGGAAGAAGAATTGTCTTGGGCCACATATAAAATATACTATCACTAATGATAGCTGTTAAGCTAAAAAACAAAATCAGAAAAAAACTCATAATGTTTTAAGAAAGTTTACGAAATTTGTGTTGGTCAACGCATATCCTGGGCTGCAGGCTGAGCGTTGAACAAGCTTGTTGCAAGTGTCCAAGTGAAAGGAAGAGTTGCATATCTCCCTCTCACTTTAAATTGAAATCTCGAAATGATTAAGCTTAGTGAGGAAGGGATGTTGAAAGCTGAGAAAGGCAGAATGCTAGTCCTTTTGCATCAAGCAGTTAACCAAGTTGTGAATGCAAAGGAAAAGTTCTTGAAGTAAATTAAAAGTGCTACCCCAGTGAACACACCAATGATAATAAAATGAAACAACTGTATTACTGATATAGAAAACATTTTAGTGGTCTGGATAAAAGATCGAAACAGCCACAATAGTCTCTTAAGCCAAACTCAAATCCAGAGCAAGACCCTAACTGTCTTCAATTCTGTGAAGGCTGACGGAGGTGAGGAAGCTGCTGAAGAAAAGTTGGAAGCTAGAGGAGGTTGGCTCATGAGGTTTAAGAAGCTATCTCTATAACATAAAAGTCTAAGATGAAGCAGCAAGTGCTGATGCAAAAGCTGCAGCAAATGATCCAGAAGATCTAGCTAAGATCATCAAAGAAAGTGCCTACAGTGAAGAACAGATTTTCAATGCAGAAAAACAGCCTTCTGTTGGAAGAAGATAGCATCTAACACTTTCATAGCTAGAAAGCAGAAGTCAATATCTGGCTTTTAAAGCCTCAAAGGACAATCTGAGTCTCTAGTTAGGGGCTAATGCAGCTGGCAACTTGATGTTGAAGCCAATGGTCATTTATCATTCCAAAACTTCTAGGACCCTTAAGAGTTATGCTAAATCTACTCTGCTTGTGCTGTATAAAATGGAATAACAAAGCCTTGATGGCAACACTTCTATTTACAGCATGGTATGCTGAATATTTTATGCCCTATATTGAGACCTACCCTTCAGACAAAAATATTCTCTTAAAAAATATTACTGCTCTTTAACAATGAACCTGATCACCCAAGAGTTCTGATGGACACATACAAGGAAATCATGTTGCATTCATGCCTGCTAACAAAACATCCATTCTACAGCACATAGATCAAGGAGTAATGTTTGCTTTGTAGTCTTATTGTTTAAGAAGTATTTTAAGGCTATAGGGCTATAGCTGCTATAGATAGTGATTACTTTGATGGATCTGGGCAAAGTAAATTGAAAATCTTCTGGAAATAATTCACCATTCTAGATGCCATTAGTGATTTCTGGGAAGAAGTCAAAATATCAACATTTGTAGAAGTTTGGAAGAAGTCGATTCCAGCCCTCATGGATAACTTTGAGGGATTCAAGACTTCAGTGGAAGTCCCTGAAGACGTGGTGGAAATAGCAAGATGAATTAGAATTAGACGTAAAGAATTAGAATTAAAATTAGAATTAGATATAATGCCTGAAGATGTGACTGAATCACTGCAGTCTTCTGATAAAACGAACAGATGAGGAATTCCTTCTTATGGCTGAACAAAGAAAGTGACTGATTTCTTGAGATGGATTCTACTCCTAGTGAAGATACTGTGAACATGTTTTGAAATAAAAAAAAATTATTTAAAATATTTCAAAAACTTAGTAGATAAAGCAGTGGCAGAGTTTGAGAGGATTTACTCCAGTTTTGAAAGAAGATCTACCATGGGTAAGATACTATAAAAGGAAATAGCATGCTACAGAGAAATCTTTCATGAAAGAAAGAGTCAATAGATGTGACAAACTTCATTTGTTGTCTTATTTCAAGAACTTGGCATAGCCATCCCAATCTTCAGCAACCACCATTCTGATTAGTCAACGGCCATCAACATGGAGGCAAGACCCTCCACAAGCAAAAAAATTACATCTAATTGAAGGCTTAAATGATTGTTAGCACTTTTTAACAATAAAGTATTTTTAATTAAGGTTTGTACATTGTCTTTTAGACATAATGCTAGTGCACACTTAATGGATTACAGTAAGTGTAAACATAAATTTTTTATCGACTGGGAAACCAAAATATCATCTGACTTACCTTTCTGCAATATTTGCATTATTTGGGGGTCTGGAACTAAGCCTGCAGTATTTCAGATGAATGCCTATAATTAGGCTGGAGTGTATATTTGATTCTAGGAGATCCAATCAATAGTCAATCAGTTTTTTCTTTAATTATCAGAAATAAGAGGCAGAGAAACTGTATTCTGAAGGCAACAGGTTCTGCGTTGGACAAGTTATGTAAAAGTTTTGGCCTGAGCTGACAACATTGCAAATTATTACAACCTCCTAAATGATGAATAAACAGAAAGGGTGGGCAGGGAAAATTCAGTTGTAGACTAAAAGAGTGGAACAGACTCTAAGAAGCAAGAAACCGCAGGATCAGAAAGATGTGAAGCTAAAGTGCTTGTTTTAAGATGCCTTGGATCCTATGAGTCCACATTTCCTTTTCAAATCTTTTAAAATATTCAAAAGAAGACATTTATGCAGCCAAAAAACACATGAAAAAATGCCCACCATCACTGGCCATCAGAGAAATGCAAATCAAAACCACAATGAGAAACCATCTCACACCAGTTAGAATGGCAATCATTAAAAAGTCAGGAAACAACAGGTGCTGGAGAGGATGTGGAGAAACAGGAACACTTTTACACTGTTGGTGGGACTGTAAACTAGTTCAACCATTGTGGAAGTCAGTGTGGCGATTCCTCAGGGATCTAGAACTAGAAATACCATTTGACCCAGCCATCCCATTACTGGGTATGTACCCAAAGGACTATAAATCATGCTGCTATAAAGACACATGCACACGTATGTTTATTGCGGCATTATTCACAATAGCAAAGACTTGGAACCAACCCAAATGTCCAACAATGATAGACTGGATTAAGAAAATGTGGCACATATACACCATGGAATACTATGCAGCCATAAAAAATGATGAGTTCATGTCCTTTGTAGGGACATGGATGAAATTGGAAATCATCATTCTCAGTAAACTATCACAAGAACAAAAAACCAAACACCGCATAGTCTCACTCATAGGTGGGAATTGAACAATGAGAACACATGGACACAGGAAGGGGAACATCACACTCTGGGGACTGTTGTGGGGTGGGGGGAGGGGGGAGGGATAGCATTGGGAGATATACCTAATGCTAGATGACGAGTTAGTGGGTGCAGTGCACCAGCATGGCACATGTATACATATGTAACTAACATGCACATTGTGCACATGTACCCTAAAACTTAAAGTATAATAATAATAAATAAAATAAAATAAAATAAAATAAAAATTCACCCAGCCTGTTTTTCTTGGAATATTTTGAATGGGCATTTATTCTTTACAACTAAAATGATTTTCTTGTTTGGCTTTTCTTTCATTAGATAAATGTATACATCTTGGAAAAAAATTAGCATATCAGGACAAAGTTACATTTATACAATTATATTTCATTATTTTTCACTAAAAAATATGTTACTATAAAGCAGGTGGCAGAGTTTAACTTGGAAAAGAAAGCCAATACAATGATGGTCTTTAAATGTGGATGGAGAGGCCTCCAAGGCATGCCAATGTGTCCTACAGCATGACACAGCTGCTGGAGGAGGCAGAGGTGAGGGTAAGAAACAATGTAAAATATTATAAGGGAGGTGACTCAAACCACATGGAGTATGTGCACATGTGTGTAAACATGGATAGAACTTATGTTTCTAACAAAGTGATTCATTTTCTGAAGTCAGGGACTGTTTTATTCTCTTGTACTTCTCAATGTCTTGAATAGCAATAAGTCCATAGAAGGAGCCAAATAAATAAATGAATCTGAGTTTTGCCTTCCTCAATGACCTTGGGCAAACTGTTTAATCTTGATTACAACACAAATATTTTTTATAGCTATAATAAACTATAGCTGTGTTGTGATTGGAATAGATGAATGAATGAATGAATGAATGTTTTTTCAGAACCTGTTAGTACCAGCATATTAGCAAGGTTAGCAAATAATCCTAAGCCCTCCAAATCTAGGACTTTCTCACTCCCCTATCCCCACAAAAAGATGGATTTCTTACTCACCTCACATGATAGCTGCAAATAACTGCTGGTCTGCTCCATGTGTTTTCTCCATCATGGAATCCAGCCTGAAGGTGAAGCTCCTGTCTCCCACATTGCTGATCTGGTGGCAGAGGGAAAGGAGCAATTGAATAACAACGTGATTATGCTTTAAGCTGCTGCTCAGCAATGTCATAAGTTATTTCTACTAACACGTACATTGACCAAAGTCAGTCACCTGACTCAATGGGATGAACTTACAAACCACTCACAGAAACTAATACTGCAAATAACATGGCAATGAGAAGTAGGATATGGAAAGACCCAAGACATTTCTGGATTAGGTATTGTTCCCTGAAAGCAAAACATCTTCAGTTCTTTATTTGTCATGGATCTTGGAACTGACGTCTACAAAGACCTTCTTTTTCCATTCTCTTCCTTGGCCATATCTGAAGAGGTTATTAAAGGATATGCCCTTCTTGGTGGCTCAGATGGCTTTGCAGCCTATTTTCTGCCTGTAAAAGTTTGGATCTCTATATGGGGTTACAAGATAAAATATAGTGTTCACTGTTAAATTTGAATTTTGATAAACTACAAATAATATTTTAGCGTATGTCCTAAATATTGCATGAGATATAATTATACTAAAAATATTATTTGTTATTTATTTGAAATTCAAAGTTAATTAGGCATTCTGTATTTTTATTTATTACTCTGGACACCTTAGTACTCAAAGGGAATTTCAAGTCTCAAATAATTATAGTCTGTTTAATTTAGAGTGCTGGCACAACTCTCTCAAAAGCATAGTAAGATTTTTATTTATTTGATACCAGTTTCCAGTGCCAATGTACACACTTTTTCCCCCTAAAATAGGCCTTTCTCTCTAGTTTTAGCTGCCAGTCATTTAAACTTAGCAAGATTCTATGGGAAGGTCTTACTCTGAGTCTCCTTTCCATGAGAAATTTTGACCAATTGGAAAGATTGAATGGGTGCCACATTAGTTATTTCTGAGTTTTAATAATAGGCTTTAGCTCCCTTAACCCCCAATTTGGTCTTTGTCTTGAGGCTGAGTGTTAACGAGCCTTTGTCACTAAAATTTCACAATGTTACGTTTTACTGACAGAAAAGTAAAGGAATTACACCTCTTGTCTCTGTTAGTAAACTGGCCAATTCTTTTCTCATCTTGTTCTTCAAGTACCTTATCAAATGCTGCCAACATTACATGAGTAGCTTTCTGTTTTCCAACGTCTCCACGTACAGCTCAAGCTCATACAATACATTGCCTGTCTTCTAAGTAATTACAAGCAACAATTATATTAAATGTTCCGCTTATACATATGCATAATAAGTTGTCTTGCATCCCATCAACAATAAATACCCTCTTAGACAACTACCCCGTTCAAAAGCCAATGGCACATATATTGGTGTTCTGTTTCAGCAGAACACAGCTTACATGTTCCATTTTATTAATTAGTTAATTTTGCTAGGTTACACTGTACTCTGACAAAATCTTAGTGGTTTACTACAACTAAGGGTTGTCTTACTCCAGATCTGAGCAGAAAGGCTTTCAATTTTTCCCTGTTCAGTATGATGCTAACTGTGGGTTTGTCATCTATGGCCTTTGTTATTTTAAGGTATGCCCCTTCTATACCCAGTTTATTGAAGGGTTTTAATATAAAGGGAGGTTGAATTTTCTTGAATGCTTTTTCAGCATGTATTGAAATGATCATATGGATTTTGTTCTTGGTTCTGTTAACGTGATGTATCATCTTCATTGATTTGTGTATGTTGGACTCATTGCAGCCTTGTGATAAAGCCCATTTGATCATGGTGAAAATCTGTTGTTGCATTCAGTTTGCTAGTATTTTGTGGAAGATTTTTGCATTTATATTTTTCAGTGATATTGGCTTATAGTTTTTGTCCTTGTTGTGTCCTTGTCTAGTTTTGATAACTGAGTAATGTTGGCTTCATATAACAAGTTTGAAAGTATTTCCTGCTGTTTGATTTTGATTTTGAAGAATTTGAATAAATTATTATTAGCTTTTCTTTAAATGCTTGGTAGAATTCAGCCATGAAACCATCGGGTCTTGAGCTTTTCTTTGGTGGGAGACTTGTTTTATGGCTTCAGTCCTTTACTTGCTATTGGTTTATTTAGGTTTTCTAGTTCTTCATGGTTCAATCTTGGTAGTTGCATGTATCCAGGAAATTAACCATTTCTTCTAGGCTTTCCAATTTGTTGACTTATAGTTGTTCATAATAGTCTCTAGTGATTCTTTGTGCTTTCAGCTGTTATGTCTCCTTTTTCATTTCTGATTTTATTGGGTCTTTTCACTTTTTTTTCTTAGTCTAGCTAGAGATTCGTTGATTTTGTTTGTCTTTTCACAAAAAACAATTATTAGGTGTTAGTAAAGCAACTTACTTGTATGGAGAAATTTTATGTCGGAGAATAACAAGAGCTATTATATGTGAAGGTAAATAATAAAAATTATTTAAAGATTTCTTGTAAATTTAGACTTTTTTCTGCAGAATACGTGGAGGCAAGTAGTGTCTTCATGAAACCAGGCTCTTAAGATACTGAAATAGTATCAACGTGTTGAGTATTAAAAAGTGACACAATTGAGTGGTACTATGCCACTTCAGTGTACTGAGGAAGTAAATGTTAACTTTGCAATTGCTATATACTGTAAAAAAAAGAAAGAAAGAAAGAAGACAACTAGAAGATTATTATATAGTTGGCACGTGTCTTAAGTCCTACCTGAGATTAGAAAGTTTCATTGAATTTTTCTGGCTAAAAAAATTAAATTAAATCAATTATAAAAGTATTCTACTTACACTTGTCATTTTAGCATCAATGGAATTAGAAAAAAAAGTACAGTGACTGAAAAAAATCTTGCAAAATAAAGCTAATATTTAAAAAAATTTTGATTCCTTGAAACCTCCTCAAATTACGACTTTGTGCCACCTCATTGTGAGTCATTAATCAATGCACACTTAACCAAGAAAATAAATTAAAAATTAATTTTGTGCATTGAAAAAAATCCAAATCAACTTGTCAGTAAGAGAACTAAACTCAATTCTAAATCGCATGTGTGAAAACAAAGAGAGGCATGAAATTTTAGGGACTGTCACATTAGCTGAAGATGTCTTAACATGAATGTGCCACTGTTGTTAAATGAGAGCAGGAAAAGGAACTAAGAGTTTTCAAATATCAATGTCCATTGCTTTTCAGAAACAGCATGTACAGACTGGGTTTACTTGTGCTATGTCCATCAAGATACTCAAGTTACTAGAATCTTACGTTTTGGAGTCTCACTTATAGAAGGACCTTGCCCTGAAAGAAAGGTGAGGGGAAATAACTTCAGATTAAGGTGCAGGAGACCTGAGCTATAATTCCTGCTCTGCCACTTATCATGTCTAGGTCTTCTGGTAAGACTTAATTTACCTCTGTCTCAGTTTTCTCTGACAGGAGGGAGTTGGACTTAGTTCAAAAATCACAAAACAACAATGGAGATTTCACCACTTTCTTCTTTTTACATTGGATTAAATAAACTATTATCTAAAGATTTGGGGTCTTCATATTTCACACAGAAATATATATCGAGTAGCAAAATCTTAAAAGAGTATTAAACATCTTCTAAAACACGACACTGTGAAATATCCCAGAGAAACTTTAATTATATGATTATCTAAATACTTGATGGTCTAGAGTCTCTATTAAATTGATTAAACTTAATGATTAAATTGTAAATACCCTCAAATATTAGCCACACAACCAAAAGAGCACTTGAGTAGTTGTTTCCTACATTCAGCTCTGAAATATGCCAAATCTGTGTTTATAAACAATCTTCATTAAGTCTGACAGGCACTGTTGATCTGAGTTAAGTCTCTAATTCTGGGCATCCAAGGCCTCTGTCCTCTCTTTCTTCATCTCTTATTGTTTTCATGATGAGATGAATTAAAATTCTTATTTGTTATGCATTTGGCGTACCACCACTCTTCCTGCTCATCTGTGCTTATAAGATTTTACCCTGCTTGCATAAGTGTTCCTGAGCCCTCAATTTTGAACAGCTGTGAGGAAGGCTGGTTAACTATTTGTAAACACCACCCAATGATGCTTGACAGTGATGGCAGTCTTGCAGAATACTGAAGTGCTATTTTACTGGGAGTGATAATGAGACTGTCTTGTCCAGAGGTCTGGTTATTACACCAACACTAAACATTATCATTTAGTTGTCTGGTGTAAAATAATGAATTAGTCCCATATATTTTATGAGGCTATATCCACATTTTTTTCATAACAGAAAACATATACAGCTATGAGTTTTATTGATATAATTCAAATTTACACCATTACTGAGTTTTCTAATTATCTGCCTTGGTTAGCTTTCAGAACAAATACAGAATTTATATTGTGAATTACTCCTTCTTTTACTAAAAAAAAGTCTTTTTATCGAGTTGTTGGCATGACGTGATTACTAACTAGTAGTTATATATATATTTATATATATATAAAATTACTCATATATATGCATATATATATATACATATGAGATTATTTGAAGTAGAAAGTAGGTTTTCTAGGAAAAAATAAAAAATAAAACCAAAGAAAAATAGAGTTAATAATCTTTACAAGAGTAATATGATATTTAATTATATAAATGACATATTATTCATATGTTTTATGTCATACAGTATTAATGTATAATATTATACATAATAATACATTTTTATAAAGACCCAAATATTTTTCCTATATGGTCTATAAGCTTAGAAATAACAATTGCTTTTATTATATCAAATTACAAGCTAGCTCTAAGAAGTCACTCTTACTAATTAGGGTTGAATAACAAAGACAATTCCAATTGAAAAAGGGCACGGTTTCTAATGAGAGATCAGTAAATAGTTGTTGAATAAATGTATAAAAAGTTATGAAAGCTTCCACTTTTTTTCTAAGAGCATGTAGCTTAAGTTGCAAAGATGCAAATAAAAGCTGTGTTTCTCATTGCAATTCAAGACCTGTGCTGCTCCCATTTTTATGCATGTAGCTTTATATACCTAAATCTTTTTTTATGTTACTAATATCATTTTGTAGATTTCTTTGTAAAGTTTGTGCACACTTTTCATAAAGTATGCACATTACTAAAGTATTTATAAAGTTGTTGCTGATATGAATGACACTTATTTTTCAATTTTATTCTCCAACTGGTTATGGTAGGAATGAAAATAATATCATTCATATTAAATTCTCTTATTTATTCTAAAGTGTTTTGAGTACCTACTATGTGCAAGGAACTATGCTAGGAATTGGGATAAGTGGGAAAAATACAAAGAATCTGTCTTCAAGGAGCTTATGGCCTACATGGGCCAATAACCCTGTCTTAAGTGAGGGCAGAATGGAAGAATTGTAGTTGAGACTGTTGAGACAATTATCCTGTGGCATTCTTGCACCTCTCTATATCTCGATAGCAGAGGTACTGACTGCCTTTGTCCCAACTATCTTTTCAATGATATTTGTACAGTGAATAGACTTGGAAGATATAGTATCTCAGTCCAGAGCGAAGGCAGGCTTGCTTATAGTCTTAGAAGTATAACCTCTCTCTTGGCAGCAAAAGGTAGACATGCTTATTATTCATTATAAAAGTTGGGCTCCCTAAGCTCAAGGTTTCTCTCCTGAAATGCAACAGGTATGCAGGTGTCACTTTAACCCTCTTGGCATCACCCTATGGGAACAGAGGGTCAGAGAATCAGAGAAAATACTAAAACTCTGCTACTGCTATTGCAATGATTAATAAATTTTTTTCCCTGACCCAGGAATGTCCCATCTTCTGCCAGCATCTATAAAACTATTGAAGCCTAACTTGTTAGCTTGCAAGTAGAGTAAACTATCAAACTTTTTAAAGTTCTTGACATGGATCTAAAGTCAAAGTAGGACATAACCAAGCCAAAGCAGGCCAGGGGTAAGGACTTCATAAAGAGCATTGTGAAAAAAGGCCATCACATTTATTGGCCTGGTTTGTTCAGCATCACAGAAATGGACCTGCAGTTGAGGATATGAACTGGAAAGACCAAAATTTAACAGATAATCCTAGCCTAATTTGCTGAGTGCTCACTATGTTCTAGGCACTATTCACATTTCACATTAATTAACTTATTTAATTTTCTACAAACTTTCACATAGGGTATATTTGTGATTCTCATTTTATACTCGAAGAAACAAAGGCAAAGAAAAGATAAGTTACTTGTCCACAGTTCACATATTTAGTTAGAAGTAGAATCAGAATTCAAACTCAAGATGCATGACTCTAGAGTCCCTGGCTCTTGACCTTAGACTTTATATCTCAAGATGGACTTGAATAGAGGCCATATCATAAAAGTCTTGTAAAGCACACTTAGGACGATAGACTTCATGCTAGGAAAATGTGTGCTATAATTTGGATGTTTGCCCCTCCAAATCTCATGTTGCAATTTGATCCCCAGCGTTGGAGGTAGAGACGTAAAGGGGAGTGTTTTGATCATGGGGGCGGATCCCTCATGAATGGCTTGGTGAGTTCTTGCTCTATTAGTTCTGACAAGAGCTGATTATGAAAAAGAGCCTGGCACATCCCCACTGTCTCTCTCTTGCTTCCTCTCTCTCCATATGATTTCTGCACAGATCTGCTTCCCTTTGCCTTCCACAATCAGTGGAAGCAGCCTGAAGCCTTCACTAGAAGCAGATGCTGGTGCCATGCTTCTTGTTCAGCCTGCAAAACAATGAGCCAAATAAATCTCCTTTCTTTATATATTACCCAGCCTCAGGTCTTCCTTTATAGCAACACAAATGTACAAAGACAATAAGTAACCACCAAGAGGCAGGGAAATGACCTGACAGTGATAAACTTTGTACTCTGGAAAAGGACAAATATCAGAGGCAGTGTAGAAGCTGCTGCAGTAGTCTAGGTTACAGACAATGATCACAAGAAGTTAAAAAGACAATTTGGGATCCCTTTTATAAGCTTTTTTTTTTTTTTTTGAAATCTGTAGCACCAAGAACAATGTATAGTAGCAATATGTACTCAGCTGATACATTTCAAATCAATAAATTAATCTGGTCACCATCTTAAAACCTGTTTCTAATTCTAATAATATGAGTGTGCATTTGGTAAAATGTATACAAATGTGTAAGCATATGTGCACATGTATGTTTGTAAAAATTTTAAGACGCAAGTAATGGCAAAACTGAAAGACATTTCATTCAATTTTCTTTGATGTTGAGCTTTGCAGTTGGTGGATTGCTAAACCCCCTTAACTTGAAATCTCATGAAATGCTGTTTTATAAGCGGTGATGTTGGTCCTTGGATATAACCACATGTCCTGCTGCAGCCTGGATCTTGCATCAGGCAATTCCACAGCTTGAACTGGGTAATTTTTGTCAAACCATGGTTAGTTAACTTGGGCCTTTTTCTTAAACTGGAGCTTGCATTGGCAATCTAGATTTCCTGTTTTTTTGCAGCCATAACATGCAACGGTGAAAGAAGCAAAAGTCTGGTCAGAGGAAAAACCAAAAGTCCAGTCACACTCTTTAAGGGTAATAGGACTCTAAGTTCTGACCAGATTTTGGTTTTTCCTCTAATGAAATACAAATAAAAAGTTTTCTTAGATTAAGATAAGACATCAAGTTTCTGATTTATAGCAGATAGAACCTCAGAGAAAAGGATGCTTCACATGACACTGGACTGCATTTGCATTACACTGATTATTGTGAGAGAACTGAGATAAAAATGATGTATTTAATCAATTAAAATTTTATTTTAATTAATTTTAATTTAGTTAGATAATTTCATTTAATTGATACATTCAATTAATATATAATTTAATTAATATTTTTACTTAATTAAAATGTAATTATTTTAAAATATGTAACATAATTCTGTATCACTAGCCTCTTAGAGAAGGCCATATTTTACACATATGTGAAAAGTTCTTTGAAGGAGAAATTCAATATCATTATCCATATTATTTATGTGTTTTGGGAAAGGTCAGGACAAGGCACTAGGGTTGACATCATTATCCATTGTGGTGGTCACTTGACTTTCCTTATTTAATTTTATTTAAATTAAAAATATTGGTTGGATGCAGTGGCTCACACCTGTGATCCCAACACTTTGAGATGCCAAAGGGGGCAGATGGCTTTGAGCTCAGGAGTTCAAGACCAGCCTGGGCAACATGGTGAAACCCTGTCTCTAAAAAAAACACAAATATTAGTCAGACATGATGGCTCATGCCTGTGGTCCCAGCTACTCAGGAGTCTGAGGTCAGAGGATCCCTTGAGCCTGGGAAGCAGAGGTTGCAGTGAGCCAAGATTGTGCCACTGCACTCCAGCCCGGGTGACAGAGTAAGACTCTGTCAAAAATAAAATAAAATAAAATAAATAAAATTGAATAATCTTTAAATTCTAACCTAGACTCTTACCAGGTGGAAAAACTTATCTGGAATGAAAATAAAATTAACTGAGAATTACCTCTGTGTTAGGCATTATCCTTGGCATTGTTGATTATTTCACTATACCTGAAAAATATTACAAGTCAGGCATTTTTTTTCCTCAGTATTATTTTAAGGTGGAATTTAGAAAGATATGACAACTAATAAGTCAAAAAAACTGAATGTTGGCAATAAGTTCATATGACTCGATTGAACAAAATTGTTCATTCTGTTTGAAGTTATACATTAATCAATTTTTAAATTATAATGTCTTTTATATTTTTGCCTTTACAATAAGTAATATTCTAGTTTTCTTTATTATATTTTTGTCAAACAAAATCAAAAAGTAAAATTTTAAAAATGAGAATACTTTGTTTGATTCTATGTAAATAAATATGACAACCTAAAGAAAATATGCAACTTTTTAGAGTAAATTAATCACAAAAATGAAGAAAACATTGAAAACTAAACAAAAAAAATCATATATAAAATTAATAAACGTGGCAGAGTAACACTCGGATAGTGAGGTAATGAAGGGTTTAAGTTAAATGTTTAAACCTTCAGAACTTAAACCAACCAGTTGTGCTAATTCTATTTACATTATTAAAGAGAACTAAGAAATGCAATGCTTGCCAACATCTTTTATAAAAGCAGTAGAACATTGATACCAATACCTGCCAAAGGCAGGTTGACAAAAAAATCTTTCAAGCTAATTTTTGTATGTTAATACACAATCCAAAATAAAATTATATTTTAATGAACTATTAGAATAATCTACTAATATTTGAAAATAATATACCCTATAAACAGTTTATAAGTGGAATGCAAAGATGGTTCAATATTAGAAATTTAATGTAATTAATTATGTCAATAAGTTAAAGTGAAAAATTTGTATTTTTCATAATATGGTATTAGTTAAGATAAAAGTTAAACTGCAAGACTTTAAAGTAACACCAGACTAGGATGCAAGATGAACAAATTAGTTAAAATAGTGTGCACTGAAAACAAAAATATTCCACGTGTTACTGATTTTGAAAAATTTCAAAGTACTAGAGAACAGAAATAAAAATACATCTTGAATAACTATGACCTTTTGTCTAGAAAAGATAGATAACATAAGAGGCTTTTGTTTTTGTTTTGTTTTATCCATAAATAATTTGTTATGACACATTATCTTGAGGAATTACAGAAACATTAGCATAAAAGAGTTTAAGTCTACAAATTAAAAAATTAAATTCTACAAGTTATTTTCCATGTATGTCTTAGAAGAACTGCACAAAGGAGTACCAGATTTATTTAATAAGTAAATAGAAATAAGCCAATATAAATTCTAGAAAGAATATTATAGCTGACATATATATATATATATATATATATTTTTTTTTTTTTTTTGGAGACAGACTCTCACTCTGTCACCCAGGCTAGAGTGCGGTGGCATGATCTCTGCTCACTGCAACCTCCACCCCTTGGGTTCAACCGATTCTCTGGCCTCAGCCTCCCGAGTAGCTGGGATTACAGGTGCCTGCACCGCGCCTGGCTAATTTTTGTATTTTTAGTAGAGACAGAGTTTCACCATCTTGGCCAGGCTGGTCTTGAACTCCTGACCTCATGATCCACCAGCCTTAGCCTCCCAAAGTGCTAGGATTACAGGCATGTACCACTGTGCCCAGCCAACATTTATATATTTTTACCTGACACTCTTTCTCTTAAAAAGAGAGACAGAGAGAGAAAGGAAGAAGGAGAGAAAATCTCACTTCCAACCCGGATTCATATGAAAAATGACTCCATACTTATACTATCCCATTTTTTCCCCTTCCAACCCTGATTCATATGAAGCATGACTCCATATTTATACTACCCCATTTTTCCCCTTGGCCAAAGGTTAAATGAAAGATGGGCTCAAGATCCAAGTTATGACTATTAATGTTTTTCCTCTTTGGTAAATTGACAGAGTACAGTGGTATTCCAGTCCCAGTTAAAGCTGGATTCTTGAAGAGGAAATGGAAGTGTAAAAACTGGAGAGCCTCAACACACCTTTCATATTCTTCATTTTGTACACTAGGATGTAGAGAAAGCTGGTCTGTGAAGAGAAACACTGATAGAGATGAAAAGAAAACAGGCCGGGCGCGGTGGCTCACGCCTGTAATCCCAGCACTTTGGGAGGCCGAGGCGGGTGGATCATGAGGTCAGGAGATCGAGACCAACCTGGCTAACAAGGTGAAACCCCGTCTCTAAAAATACAAAAAATTAGCCGGGCGCGGTGGCGGGCGCCTGTAGTCCCAGCTACTCGGGAGGCTGAGGCAGGAGAATGGCGTGAACCCGGGAAGCGGAGCTTGCAGTGAGCCGAGATTGCGCCACTGCAGTCCGCAGTCCGGCCTGGGCGACAGAGCAAGACTCCGTCTCAAAAAAAAAAAAAAAAAAAAAAAGAAAACAGCCATATAATGACATGGAGAGTAAGATAGGAAATGAAAATGAGGTTTTCCACAGTAGGGTGAGCCCTGGCTCCAGACAATTGTGAGCTAAAATGCAATTTCTCACTTGGTTTGTGAAATATCCCAGAATCCTTATATTTAATATTACACTGTGGTCTCAGAAATGGGTGTAATATTTTTCAAAGTTTAAATTATATATTTTATCATCACTTTAAATTATAATATTTTTGACTTTCATTCATTCAATCTTAGGGTTTCCGTGATTCTGGAGAAATTCTGAAATAATCTGAACAAAGTTGCCAAGTGTTTGTGGTAAATCAGGGTTTGGTGTCCCAATAAAACAATAGATTTGAAATCCAGACTTAAATAAAAGACAAAAGAATTTACAAATTCCAAATTTTCTTACAAGTTAAAACATTTTGGAGATCTGAATTTTATGTTTTATTATGTAGAATATAGGTGGAAAGAAAGCAACTACAGGCTATTCCAGAGAAAACACATATGTGAGTCTGTAGACTAAACAGGGTAGGAGAGAGAGAGACAGGGGAAAATAAAAAAGTAGGAGGCAAGATACCAGTGTCTTTAGTTCTCCATTTCATCTCAATCTGGTTCATTATAGGATAAGCCTCAAGATGAAGATTGAGCAGTGATGGAAAGCCCCAAGAGAGGGATGGAGGTGGGGGTGGCTAAAAGAAAAGGAGGCTGGGGCCCTACAACCTATTGGGACTTAAGGAGGAGGCCACTTGGCTGAATATCCCACAACAATAGTAAGCAACTGCAGCTGAGTAATGATGGCTAAATGTTCGTAGATAGCCCTCCACCCTACTCTCACCTTTGATTCCACACATTCTAAACCTAATGAGGGAACTGTCTCAAAAGTCACTGTGTGCCCACAATGGGGAAGAGAGAAATCATTGGGTAATTAAGAAGGGGTCAGATGAATATCATGACTGAGCTTCAGCAGAACAGCAGTGGCAGGGGAGGCTGAAGTGGAGCCATGTCAGAACAGTGTAACCTGTTTGTACAAGGAAAAGGACCTGCAGGCACTCACTATGCAGAAAAAAAAAAACAAAATAAAACATAAACATGACTTTCATCTGTCATAGATGTCAGAAGTAGATGAGCAACAACCAAGTGGGACAAAGGACATCCTAGGGAACACCACTACTCAAATTTGAGATTTTCTGATGCCTCATGCTATGTCAAGGTACCATCTTGGCTAGGAGAAAGGGAAAAACAAACCATTTTAAAATGAAAGAGATGAGTTACCTTTAAATGACAAATTTAAAATACCATCTATCCTGGCTCCTCCCACCACCATTAAAGAGAATCCAAGTTTCAGAAAATTAGATAAAAAGAATATGACTTTTTTCAGGTATAAGTTCAGCATATGTGAAATTTAACCACTTATCCTACAGTAGTAACACATGATTTCTCTTACAGCCAAAGTTCTAAGAAATGCCAGCACTGAGCAGAGAAAGAGGCTGTTTCTGTTGATCCCAACCCTACATCAGAAGGGATATCGTCGTGGCTATGATAACTAGTAGCAAGATAGCGGCCATCCCTACACTTCTGTTATGTGGCAGCATGATCATTATTACATAATTAAATTGTTTATGTTTTACACATCTGTTTTGTTCTATGAGAGATTATCACAAATACTCTTTGGTTATCCTTGGTTAAAGACCATTAGTATTTAATCAAATAAGTTTAGTGTAGATAATTCTTACTTTTAAGCAATTTGTTGAATTAAATCATTATGAAGATCAGAATTCCAATTTGGACATTTGTTTTCTTCCTTCAGTTATGATTTTATAGTGTAGTTGTGGGGAGTGTCTTCAAGGGAAAGAAATAACATAAGTTCAGTAAATTCAGGTCAATGGTTTATATTGAACTCAACTGGTAGTAATGAAAAACAATATCCTTCCAACTCATGGCCTTCCTGTGAGCACATGTGAAATAAGTTGCTTGCCTAGTGAAAATCTCAAGGTGACTGAAAACATGCACATCACAATATACTCCAGTGTGCATGTTCTAGGACATGTGTTAGGTAGTCTTGGTGAATAAGCAAGGTAACACAGTATTCTTAAGCACTCCTCCATCATTCAAGAAAAGATGAGTGCAGAGCTAGGGGGCAGTCATGGGTCAGTGTCAATGAAAAGTGAAGAAAGTGAGGACCTGCACTTTCTATTCTGCAGGTCAGTTAGGTCTTGCTGAGTCAGTTAAGACCCAGCTAGTCATCAACATCTCAGAGCAAGGTCTGCTCAGCAGGACTTTGCAGACTCTGCAAGTCCTTAAGAAATGGGTTCTGAAATGTCCAATAATAGCCACTGTAATTAAAGCAACTCCTACTCTTAAGATGCTTGGGGTATTTTGATAAATTGAGAAGTCTCTAAATCAATTATCTGTGCAAGATCTCTGAATGTTCAAATAGCAATTTAGATTGTTTTAAAAATCTGCTTTGAGTGTCTGTGCTGGGCCAAATCTGATGTTGATCCCAAAAATTGCCTTCTTCCCCTTCAAAAATATCACACCTAAAAAGAAAGCACTGGAAGACAGTCTCTTTCAAAAGTGATTTCATTATATCTTGGCTATTAATGATGGTTACAGTGTGTGAGATATTAAATCATGACCCTGTAAGATTCTGGAACTTTTCCTCAGCCAGAATGTCATTTTATTTTAACTCTTTAAGGTTGCACATTTTTTTATCCTAATGTAGGATTTGGTGGACTGTAATTAAACGATGGTCAATGGACCTAAATTTTATGAGCAATTAGATATACTGTATTTGCTTTTTTTACCCCTCTACTGAGAATATATGCTGGCTTTGTGGAATCACTAAGATGTATCCCTCTGCCCCCACTTGCTTTTTAGTTCCTGCTCAGTGCAAAGAACACACAGAATTCTGCAATGATGTTGTTCTATTATTGCTTGAAATATCTACTTCACATTCCACTGGAGAAATTTAATGAATACAGGAATGTAAAGTACCATTTAAGCATTTTTTCTATGTTCTCTTCACCTTTTATGTTTCTTTCACGGTATAAACTCCGTCCTCTTCCTGAAATTCCACTCCTTTTAACTGACACACAAAGCTGAAAATGGGCAGGTTTCAAAAGCCTAGAACATCTTATACTCATGCAAGAATATAAGAGACTTATTGTGACATAACTTTTTTTTTTTTGAGAAGGAGTCTCTGTCGCCCAGGCTGGAGTGCAGTGGCGCGACCTCTGCTCACTGCAAGCTCCGCCTCCCGGGTTCACGCCATTCTCCTGCCTCAGCCTCCCGAGTAGCTGGGACTACAGGCGCCCACCACCACGCCCAGCTTATTTTTTGTATTTTTTAGTAGACACGGGGTTTCACCGTGTTAGCCAGGCTGGTCTTGATCTCCTGAACTCGTGATCCGCCCGCCTCGGCCTCCCAAAGTGCTGGGATTACAGGCGTGAGCCACTGCACCCGGCCTATTATGACATAACTCTTTAGATACATTCAATATTTTTTAAAATTAGAAAACAAACCCAAATCAGAATTCAGGATTCAAAATAACAAGGAAATTTGCATTGACAGATATAAGCTACTGTCACAACAGGGCCAAGTATCTTTTCTCCAAATTATTTATTTTTAGTCATTTTCTTTAAAACATTTACACATATAATTGTTGTATTATGGTACCTATGTCCTCTTGGGAATAGGCATTGATGAGACTTATTAAATATTATTTCATTAATAATTATGTGGCTTCCATACCTGATGATGGACATAGCTGGAAGATCATTTTCATCATTATATTTCTTTTCAAATTATTTTTATAATTTAAAAAATTATAAATAAACATTGCTGCTGTGCTGTGATCCCAAAGGGCATTATGAAAAATAGATACACACACAAATATAGGCACATATCCAATTTTACATATTATATATTATTACTAAGGGAAGGGAATATATATTATATATTGCTAAGGGACGGGAATACATATTATATATTACTAAGCCTCTGAGGCTCCTACCACTCTTGATTCCCATAGCAACATAGTTGTTGGATCAGTCAAAACCCCACAGAGACATATGCAAAAGTTCACATCTTTTATGCTGGACCTCCTCAGGATACTCTAATTTGCTACAGCTGCGCCCATGCCCATTCACTCCTAGGTTCTTGGCAAGCCCAGCCTTGATGGTTGACAGGTGTGGGAGCTACTGGCTCAGGGGAAAGAAAATTAACCCTATTTCTGCCAGAACCCACCCTACAATAGTTAACACATAGTTTCTTTTATAATCAAATTTCTAACAATACCGCCCTCAACAGAGAAACAAGAGGCTGATTCATTACTCTTACACTTGAATAAGGAGAATCTTCATTTCTCACCATGATCAACCAGTATAAATTTTTTAATCAGTCAGAAAGCTTTCTAGTCCTAAAAGCACTGGGACACACGATTATCACTAAGGATATTACTTAGAGGTGGAAAGATGAAGATATGAACAGCTGGTTTAGTAGTCACAGCAGAAGACCTTGAAATATCCCTAGAAGAGAAGATTTTAGGTTGTTTGGCTTATTTGGAGAAGAACAGAAAGCCACTGCTCTGTTCCTCCTTTGCATTTTTCCCTCTTCAGAAAAGCAGGCTCTTATAAATTTTTTAAAATAATTGAGCCATTTTGAAATGGTATATTTTTGACCATTTTAATTATTTGATTTGTTTTCGTTTCTGCCTTGTGCACAGTCAGAGGTAAACTAAAATGGCTTGTGCTGGTAGTGGGCCATCGTAAAAAGCTCAGATGACAGTGGGAAATTGCTTTTGTGATGAAGGGAAACATTAATAAAAGCTTCTCTCATGTTTACCCTTTTAAATTGGCCCTAGAGGAGTTATTTAAAGTACCCCATTGGCAGTGGTTGGCTGATACCTTGGTTGTGAAATGTTCTCTGTCCATAGGTGGTAGTTGAGTTTGGAAATATCTACCTTTTTCTGACCTTGTTTGGTTTATCATTGAAGTTTCATTTAAACTCTTTTGTCCTCTTGTGATATGGTAAAGGCCTTAAGTCTTTGCTCATAAAGAAAATATTGTTGTGTGTCTAAGAAAATGTCACATTTTGTGTCCCACAAGGGTCTTAAGATACTAAATCATTCTACCTGTGGCATCAGGGCTTCAATAGACGCAAGTGGCTAGGGATTTTATTTTATTTTTTAATTTACAAGAAAAGTAACCAAAGCAAAATCAAAGTAGGTTTTTTTTTTTTTAATGTGAATTTCCTGTGCTGCCCTCTATTCAACTACACATATGAGATACCCAAGAAAGTGCACTAAATAACTTTTATAGCTCATTTGGGAGTCCCTCCGTTGAGTCAGAGAGTAAGAAAAGATTCATGTGGTTCAGCTGTCCAAGGGTATTGAGCATGAGAAACCAGCGCAAAGTGAAGGCTCCCTTAGGATGGCCTCTCTTATTCCCACTGCTGTGCCATTCCACAATGCTTGTCTTCTCACCCTCAGCAGTATGACAGGTGCTACACTCAGAGCATCTGCAAAGACACTTAGTAGAAGATGAGATCTTTTATAGAAACTTAAATGTCCTCTCTGGAGGATTCAGTTGATAAGGGTACATAGTTGGTATTCTATTTAACTTTACTTTTAGTTTTGAACTTGAAATTTTCTGCAGTGAAAGGGGAGGGGAACTTTTATCTATTCAGTAGCCTCTGAGGGCCAAGGACTTACATTAATTTTTTTGATCACTTGGTTTTTCACAACAAATTTATAAAGTATAGGTGTTTATCTGCATCTAATTTTGTAGATAAGGAAATTCCAACCATAAAAGGTTAAATTTTCTCTCACCAGGCAAATGTGTGAGAACCCAAATGTTTATTCTGATCCAAGACCATCTCTGTTTTCTGTATCAAGCTTTCTCCTCTGGAGATAAAAATAGGAAAAATGTAATAATTTTTTAAGCAACATGTCATATGATGAGTCTTGAATATTTTCTAATTGAACTTTTCTTCTTGTAACATAGAAGGAAATGACGTATAGAGAAAAAGGGACTAGCACCAAATCACACAGTTCTTTTTGTCTCTTTTATGAGTTTAAATAATATACTCTTCTCTAATCAAGTTTTTTGTATAATTTTTATAAAATTTACTTAGAATAACAGTTAGATGAGCTTTGACAACACTAGTGTAATCAGCATCACAATCAAGTTCATAGAACATTTCCATCACCCAGAAACTTCCCTTGTATTTATTTGCTGTCATTCTCCAACCTTTTACTTTAGACATCACGATAAGCTTTATGTCACTATAGATTAATTTTTCTTGATCTAGAATGTCATGTAAATAAAATCATGTAGTGCACAGCTTCCTTAGCTTGCCATAATGCTTCTTATATTTGTTCATGTGGTTGGGGTAACTTAGTGGTCTTTTTTTTTAACTGTTAGTAGTATTTCATCATACACGTATACTACATCTTGTTTCTCCACCCACTTGCTCGCTTGTTGATGGACATTAGTATGGTTTACAGATTTTTTTTGCCTATTGAAAATAAAGCTTCTGTAAACATTTCAGTGCAAGGAATTTCATGTCTCTTAGGTAAATAATTAGTAGTAGATTTGATTGGGTGTATGTCAAAAAAATGGACAAACTGATCTCCCCAGTGGCTATTCAATTTTATACCAGCAACATATGAGACTTACAGTTGCTCCACAACCTTGAAAACACTTGCTATTTTCAATAGTTTTAATTTTAGCCATTCTAGTAGGTATAGAGCAATATCTCATTGTGGTTTTACTTTTATTTCTGTAAGGCCTAGAAAGAGTGAACCTCTTGTTTTGTGTTTGTTAGTCATGAATGTATCTTTTTTGGTAAAATATTTAGTCAACTATTTCGCCCATTAAAAAAAAAATCTGGTTGCTAGTTTTCTTACTGAATTGTAAGAATGATTTTTATATTTTGAATATAAGTCCTTTGTCAGATATATGCAATGCAAATATGTCCACCTCATCTTTAGGTTGCCTTTTTATCTTCTTGATGGTAGTCTTCAAAGAAGAGAAGTGCTGTATTAATTTTGATGAAATCAAGCTTATCAGTTCTTTTTATTTACAGTTTTTTTGCATCTCATCTAAGTAACATTTACCTAATAAAAGATTGCAACAATTTTGTCCTATGTTTTCTTCTGGAAATTGTAAGCTTTCTAAAGTTTTTTAGTTTATTTCTGTGTATGGCATGAGGTATGGGTTATGGTTCATTTTTTCCACAGGGATAGGAATTTGTTAAAAAGATATTTTTCCCCATTGAATAAATGCAATATCTTTTTAAAAAAATCTATTTACTATGAAAGTGTCTATTTCTAAACTCTTAATTCTGTTGCATTGATCTACCTGAATCCTTACAACAATGCTACACTGTTTTGATTACTGTAGCTTTTTAAATAAGTATTAAAATAAGGCAATACAACTTCCTTCTGAAAATGGCTTCAGCTATTTTAGGTGTTTGCATTTTCATAAAAATTTTAGAAACAGTTTGTCACTGCTTTTCTTTTCTTTTTTTCCTTTTTTTTTTTTTTTTTTTTTGAGACAGCATCTTGCTCTGTCACCCAGGCTGGAGTGCTGTGGTGCAATAGCAGCTCACTTCAGCCTCAACTTCCCAGGCTCAAGCAGTCCTTTGACCCCAGCCTCCTGAGCAGCTGGGATCACAGGCCCATGACACCATTCCCAACTGATTTTTTTTTTTTTTCATAGAGAAGGGGTCTCCCTATGTTGCCCCAGGCTGGTCAAATTCCTGGGGTCAAGCAAGTCACCTGCCTCTGCTTCCCAAAATGTCGGGACTGCAGGCGTGAACCACTGCACTCAACAGCTTGTCAATTGTTTTAAAAAGCATGACTGAATTTTTACTGGGATTGTATAGCATCTATATACTAATTTACATTTCACTTATATTTAAAGTATCTTTTAATTGTTGCAAGTGTTTTCAGTTATTCACTGTGTACATCTTGAATATATTCTGTTAAATGTATTCCTAAATATTCCATCTTTTTGTATGCCATTATAAATGGTATATTTTACTTGAAATTGTATTTTCTAATTATGTCTTGCTAGTTTAGAAATACACTTGCTTTTATATATTGCTCTTTTATCCTAAGATCTTGTTAAACTCATTTATTTTAAACATTTTTGTTATTGTTGATGATGATTCTTCATAATGTCCTATATACACAATCATGTCATCTCTTCACAAGGACCATTTTATTAATGCCTTCTAATATATGTATCTTTTATTTCATTTTTCTTTTCTTCTTGCACAGGCTAGACCCTCCACTATAACACTGAATAGAATTAGAGAAAACAGCTATCTTGCCTTGTTCTCTATCATAGAAGGAAGCATTCAGAATTCCACTACTAAGTATAATGGTCACGGTAAGTTTTACACACATACCTTTCATTAGGTTGAGAAATTTTCTCTCTAAGCCTAGTATGCGGATATTTTTAAACTTAAATGAGTGCTGTATCAGGGGAACCTGCCCCCAATATTTCAACCTAGGTTCTTTCTATTTTCCCTAAGTGTAGGCCAGCCTGAGAAATAAAGAGAAACAGTACAAAGAGAGGAATTTTACAGCTAGGCCTCCAGGGGTGACATCACATATTGGTAGGTCCGTGATGTCCACTTGAGCCACAAAACCAGCAGTTTTTTATTAAGGACTTGAAAAGGCGAGGGGGTGTACAAACAGGGAGTAGGTCACAAAGATTACATGCTTTAAAGGGCAATAAAGATCACAAGGCAAAGGGTAAAGCAAAGATCACAAGGCAAAGGGCAAAATCAGAATTACTGATGAGGGTCTATGTTCAGCTGTGCACGTATTGTCTTGATAAACATCTTAAACAACAGAAAACAGAGTTTGAGAGCAGAGAACCAGTCTGACCTCAAATTTACCAGGGTGAGGTTTCTTCCCCACCCTAATAAGCCTGAGGGTACTGCAGGAGACCAGGGCATATTTCAGTCCTTATCTCAACTGCATAAAACAGACACTCCCAGAGCAGCCATTTATAGACCACCCCCCAGGAATGCAATTCTTTTCCTAGGGTGTTAGTATTATATTCCTTGCTAGGAAAACAATTTAGCAATATCTCTCTTACTTGCATGTCCGTTTATAGGCTCTCTGCAAGAAGAAAAATATGGCTCTTTTTGCCCGACTCCGCAGGCAGTCAGACCTTATGGTTGTCTTCCCTTGTTCCCTAAAATCGCTGTTATTCTGTTCGTTTTCAGGGTGTACTGATTTCATATTGTTCAAACACACGTTTTACAATCAGATTTGTACAGTAGTGGTCCCAAGGTGACATACATTCTCAGCTTAGGAAGATAACAGGATTAAGAGATTAAAGTAAAGACAGGCATAAGAAATTATAAGAGTATTATTAGGGAAGTGACAAATGTCCATGAAATCTTCACAATTTATGTTCAGAGATTGCAGTAAAAACAGGCGTTAAGAAACTATAAAAGTATTAATTTTGGGAACTGATAAATGTCCATGAAATCTTCACAATTTATGTTCCTCAGCCACGGCTCCAGCAGGTCCCTCCATTCAGGGTCCCTGACTTCCCGTAACAGTGCTGCACTTTTTTCAAAATTTGTTTCTCCATATATTAACATGATAAAGTGGTTTTTCTCTTTTATTCTGTTAATATGTTAGGTTACACTGATTATTTTTCAAATATTAAGTCAGCTGTTTACTCCTGAGATATACCTCAATTGGTATATATTTGATATTTTGTTAAGGATTTTTAATTCTGTGTTTTTGAAGGGTATTGGTCTGGTTTTCATACAAGCACATGCTTATCTTGTGAAATAAGCAGGGATTCTTCCCCTCTTCTATTTTTTAGAAGACTTTGTATATAATTGATATTGATTGAAATCTCTTAAGCCATATGAGCTTAGACTACTGTTTATAGGAAAAACTTAACTATGGATTCAATATATCTATATATTAGGACAGGGCTTTGGTTGTTCTTTTTCCTTCATCTCAAATTTTTAAATTTTGTACCTTTGAATGAATTTGTACATCTCATCAAAGTTGGAAATTTTAGTAGGATATATTTGTTCATCATAGGCCCTAATTATCTTTTCAGTGTTTGTAGGATCTGTAGTGAGAGTTACTGCTTCGTTCCTGATACTGGTTATTTCACTGTCTCCTATTCTTGACCAGATCTCTCTTAAAACCAGATTTTGCTTTCACTTATTTTTCTATTATCTGCTTTCCATTTGATCATTTTTCTGCCCTTATAGTCAATATTTCCTTTCTTTAAACTCATTTTGAGTTTAATTTGCTCTCATTTTTCCAGGTTATAAAGCATTTTAAGCAACACATTTTCCTCTAAGGAAATAGCCTTACCTGTATCCTACACATTTTAAAGTTGTGTTCTTATTTTTATTTAGTTCAAATTATTTATGAGAAATTATGTTTTACAGGGATATTGTTTAATTTCAAAATATTTGTTGATTTTCTACATATTTCTACTGATTCCTAACATAATTATTTTGTGTTCAGAGAACATGTTTTATAATATATCAATCTTTTTAATTTCTTAACACACTTGAAAAGTTTATGATATAACTTAGAGGATGTATTATGTACACTAAAAATAATATATCTTTTCCTGCTCTTAAGTAGAGTGTTTTATATAGACCTATCAGTTGCAATAGGTAAAGTTGGTTGATAGTATTTTCAACTTTCTTGTTAAAAAATACAATTTAGAAGTATTTTTCAATACTATTCTCAAGTATTTTTGAGTTATCTGTATCTTTACTGATTTTTGTCTACTTATGCTATCAATTATTGAAAAAGGATGTTGAAATCTGCAACTATCAATGTGGATATGTCTATTTCTTCATTCAGGTCTATCAATATTTGTTTCATGTACTTTGAGGTTCTTTTATTAGATGCATACACATTTAGATAAGTTAATAAGGATTTTTATTCTTCCTTGATTATTTAAACCTTTGTTATTATGAAATTTACCTCTTTATCCTTGGCAATTTTCCTTGGAATGTAGTGTACTTTGATGTCAATACAATCATTCCAAAAGTTTTATGCTTAGTGTCTGTATAATATATATTTTTCCATCTGTTATTGTAAATTATCTGTTTCTTTTTACCTAAAGTAAATTTCTTGTATGAGTATACATTTGGGTCTTGCTGTTTTACCTGGTCTGAAAAAACTCTGCCTTTTATTTGGAGTGTTTGATCCATTTACACTTAATGTAATGAATAATAATTAGATAGTTAGATAAATAAGTTTTCTATATCTTTTTCTTGTTTTTGTTTTGCTCCTTTGCCTTCTTTTAATTCGATATTTTTTATAATTATATTTTGTCTCCCCTAGTGATTTATATGTTAGCTGTGTGTGTATATGTGTGTATTTGCTCTAAGGTTTAAAGCACTCATCTTTAATTTATCAGTTCTACCACCAAGCACTGTTATATCACTTCACATTAATCAAACTTATAATAGTTTACTTATTTTTCCCTACTCTTCCTTGTGCTATTGTTATCACAATGGTCTAGTGCCTCCAGTTAGAAAGCTATGGTAATCATAAAGTTCATGCTATGATTCTTTTGCCTCCTATTAATATAAAAAATTCCAGTTCTATTCAGCTTGCTTTCAAATGTCTGGAGTTTTTTTTTTTATAATGCTTTTTCTGTGTCTTAGTTATTTGAAGTGGGAGTGCAAGTCAGTCTTGTCAGTTAGCTTTACATGATCAAAAGCAAAATTATCTTTAACATGATATATTCTTTAGAAATAATATCTTTCATAAACAAAAAATAAATTGACCTGTCAATAATGCTAGCTCTGAGATAATATTTCAGCTGTATTAAAAGGTTTACATTAAGATTTGCTAACTTTACTCCAACTATGATCAACAAATCATTATAAATATTTTATAACTCATATTTATGTTAGAAACATATATGGTCATAGGGGAAAAATTAGAATATATAGATGAAGAAAAAATGAAACTTACCTCTTATATCATACCTAGACATGCAGATTAATATTTTGCTGTAGAATTTGAATATGTATAGTTCATATATTCTAAAGAATTCATATTAGAAATTTTGAGAACCATAGGCACAGACTATGACCAAATAAAAACCAAAAACCAAAAACACCTTCTCATATTCCCACCTCCACCTCTGACTCCTTAGATGGTCATTACTTCCACCTAAATTATAGATACACTTAGCCTCGTACCTAGTTTTTGTCATTAGTTTTGTTTTTTCCTACCTATTCTCATTTTGATCAGAAGGACTTCAATCATACTTTATCATTCCATCACTTAAATTTCCTCAATGAATTCTCACCAAGATTAAATAAATTCTCAACTTCTCAATATAACACACAACATTTTTTGGCTCTAATTTCATCTCTTCTTATTTACTACGAAGCATTACAAACTCTAGCCATTTTGAACACACATATGTGGTAAATGCAGAACCCATCTGCTATTTGTTCTCTGAATACCCTCCATACAACCCCACCACTAACTCTCTTTCTCACAGACTTACTTGTCTTACTGTTTCTTCTTCCTGCTTTACAACTTATGCCTAGGGTTCCATTGTTGGAACACTAAGTATGTGGGAGTTATTTATATCCTATTGCTCAAGGTCATCACCAAGGTCTGATTGCAAATATTCAAAAATTGCAACCTCAGGCATAAATGGATTAAGATGAAGTTCAGGCATCTGTTTGCTTTAGGCTGGGTTAGTTGTATGTATGTATTTATTTATTTATTTATTTATTTATTTATTTATTTTTTGCTCCCACAGTTGCCAGTACACTCATGGTTCTATGATAAAATATTGTGCTGTGGTCTAATATTTTCTTTACTTCTTTGTCTCTCTCACTAGATTGTGAGTTATGTGAGAGCAGATATTATGTTTTCCATTTTTTAATCACTAGGGTGCAGTAGACCATCTGGCACATATTAACTACTCAATATGTATTTGTTGAATGAAATAATTAAAACCATTACTCATGTGATAATCAAATTGGCACTCTTGATTTCACTGACACTTTATGTTAGACCTCTATATTCTTTATCTGTATCTACAAGACAACATCAATGGTAAGACACATCCTCCAATAATATTATGTGATTCTAGCTAAAAGGAACATAAGAAAAATTGTAACTTTTTTCTACTTTTCACACTGAAAACTGTGACATCTATTAAAATACTTTTACCCAAAACCAGAAATATAAAAGTGTATATTCAATAATAAATATTAGGAAATTGATGTCTACAGACATGTTTCAAACATCTCATAAAAGCTCTTTTTTCTTTTGCCACTTCCAAATTAGGACTGTTCTTGTTTTTGAATTCAGCTCCAGGTATTCAATTTAGTCTTCGAGAATTAAGTCTTAATTATCTCAGTGATCATCTCACTGCCTCTGCATTCTCAATTTAGCAATTGATCACAGAGTGAGCACAACATAGCATTTGGACATAAAAATCAACTTTAAGTTTTGACTACAATCCACTCAGTGATTTAAGCATATACTGTGGTCTGAGTCCAAAAATATTTCATATTGATAACAGAGGAACTTTTGTGATTCATTTCACCTTCAAACTCCAGAATATTAGTGTCCCTTAACAAAAACAATTTGTATTGGATAAAAATGTTTGGTATAAATTAGGACTCTTCACAGTTCAAATAATAATAATAGTAATAATTAGAAAACCCAACCTCACCTAACAATGAATGTTTAATGATATGAGTGATTTGTTGGCTAATATAACCAGAAGTTCCAGAGGATGAATGGATTGTATTTGGCTCAGTTTAGCAGCTCAGTATTACCATTAAAGATCCAGTTTAATTTTATTTCCCTATATTCCATAGTACTAGCATTATCCCAGCACTGACTTTCTTCATGGTGTCAAAATGACTTATAGTTCCAGACTTCATATCTTTATGCCACGTCTTTCAGAATGAAACAAAAGTTGGCTACAAGTAGGTCTTTGAGAAATATGAAAATCATCTTTCCTAGAAGCATAATTATTTTTGAAGCTTGACTCAACTTGGCCCTTTTATTTGATCATATGCCCATTCCAGAAAAATTATCTGTCAACAAAGAAATATCATATGCTAACGGTATAGATTTTAGGTCCCTGAATCAATTACTATTGTGGCATAGGGTTACCTCAACAGGGTTAGACCTATCAAAAATCATCTCTGGATCATGGAATGAGGCAATTACCCCTAACCCAAAACCAGGCCGTTTTTAAATAGCTAGGAAGAAAAGTGAGTCTTGGGGATAAAACATGGAAATTTAGAACCAGAGCTGGAAGTGATGAATTCAAACATTTTTAAACAAAAATAAAATTCCTTAAAATTAGGGTTGACAAATTTATTGAATAAAAATACTTGGCACCCATTTAAATTTGATTTTCAGATAAACAATAATTAAATTTTAGCATAAGTATGTCCCATGAAATTGTACTTGAAATCTCATTTAAACTGCAATACATGAGTTATTTAAAATACATTTTTTTTTTGTAAAAGTACAAAAAAAAGACAACTTTTTATGGGAAACAAAATAAATAAAGATAAGACACAGACTGGCTGTAGTTTTCATTTGATTATTTCAGTCAGTGACCACACATACACCCAGTAATTATGGGAATGTTAGGTAGGAAAGTCAGTTCAACGCTCCTGGTCTTAATGAAGAGGACTCATCCCTAAGTACTGCAGAAGGCTCTCTCTGCCTTCTTACTGATTACTAAAATTGGGAACAGTTTGCTCAGCTCTGGGAGGAAGTTGCCTCTCATGTATAAAGGGCAGCCTCTGCCGTTGCAGGCAAGAGGTATCTTGACCCAGTCTGTTTGACTGGATGGATAGGCTCTCTAACTCTGAGCTTCAGACTTAGGAAGGCCATTTCACTCTAACTCTAAAAAATTTGCTTTAAACTTAGATTTAATTAATAATAGGTGTGGGCCGGGTCCGGTGGCTCATGCCTGTAATCTCAGCACTTTTGGAGGCTGAGGCGAGTGGATCACAAGGTCAGGAGTTTGAGACCAGCCTGACCAACATGGTGAAATCCCATCTCTACTAAAAATACAAAAATTAACTAGGCGTGGTGGCACGCACATGTAATCCCAGCTACTCGGGAGGCTGAGAAAGGAGAATCACTTGAACCTGGGAGGCGGATATTGCAGTGAGCTGAGATTGTGCCATTGCATTCCAGGCTGGGCTATAGAGTGAGACTCAGTTTCAAAAAATAAATGAACAAATAAATAATAATAACAATAAGGGTGATAGTCCAGGCCCCATCTTTTACTCCTTTGTGCTGTTTATATTTTCACCCTTGATTGCAGAACTTTATAGGGAAGTTTATATGCCCTCCTTAGAAAATTCAACCCAAATTATTCTTGCTAATTTATACGTACTGGAACTAAGAGGTTATCAATATATGCTACCTATTTATATAAATGGCATAAATTTTGGAGTGTTTATTGATTTAGACTTTTTGAAATAAAGTTTAACCTTTATGGGATAATATTAAACATAAGTTCCCCATTTTTAATTTATTACAATAAATAAATTATATACAATTAGTGGATATAAATATTGAGAGTGTTTCTGAGGATATATAAAAATGGCTGCATCATGACAATTACTCTCAGGAATCCAAAGAGAAGTGGCACTGAAACAGATGAAAGAGGAAGTAGGGACAATATAATGTAATAGACAAGAGGTATGGACCTGAGATATTTAGCTGAATATGTGTACAAATTCACATGTCTGGTCTCTGCTCACACCACCAAAAAACAACCATCCCAAAGGAAGACAAAACATTGTTCTAGAAATATAGGGATGCCAGGCGGAAAGATGAATATGGAAGTGTTTGCAGTAGGCTTTACAATGCTAGTGATGTGCTGTAATTTGAATTGCCACCTTGAGTGGGTTTTGCTTTTCTTACCACTGAAGTTTAGATGACATGTGATGTGGTTTTTCAAAATTAACAAAACAAGTACAGAGACAGAATCATCCAGAAGCTTTCAAGGATATTACATTCTGGACATGAATTCATGAGATAGGAACCACCCTCAGAAGTGGGAACTTTTAAAATAAAGCTATTGCCTCAGCCCATGGTGGGAAGTTTACAAAACCAGCTGCACTTTGCATCTCTGGGTCTAACAAAGATCACAAATCAAAGCTTCATGACCAAATTAATGTGTAGCTTATCCCCCTCCCCAAGGTCTTTCCCTTGGTTTTATTATTACTGACAATATTGTAAGAGCAGTGTGAAATGGCCAATTCACACATGTGCCACGTTTTGCACACTGCCTGAACCTGCTGGAACATGATTTTCCTAAGAATGATGACAGTAATAAACATCTTCTGGCAGAGGCTTGCAAAATCTGCACCCATTTTAGTCACTCAGTAATGGCTCATAAAATTCTTTGAGAACTGCAGGAGAAAAACAATGTACATACTCATGCATAAATTAAAACTAGAAGTGCCAGCTCAATGGAACTCGACTTCTCACACTCTGGGACAACTGTGGAGCAATTAAAAATAAACAAACCCATCAGATGTAGGTACAGCCAACGGTCATCAGAGAAAGTGCTCTCTGTTTGAGATCAAACCATTAACCAGTGCCTTCCTTGAGTTGATTCCCTCTTTGGTCTGCGAAAATATTCAGGATACTTTACATAATCCTTCCTGATGAGTTCTCTTACAAAGGCAATGTCAATGTGAATGGATGAGAAGAAAAGTGCTCATCTTGATTTCCCTTTACATTTAAGGATCATTTTCTGCACAAAATGTGATATAAGCATAAACATTCCTGACTCCCTTCTTTACATAAAAGTTTCAAGTTTGAGCTCTGTCATTTTCATGGGTGAACAATTCAGAAATGCTCTTTATTTTGTCAAGTTTTAAAGAAGAAAATAATCAGAAATACCTAAAAAATATTCTCATAGAACTCAAAACATCATTAGTTCATAGAGCATTTCTAGCAATACTTTAGAATCATTTTCTCAGCCCTGCTCACTATGAGTAGGACTCTTTACAGTTTTCAGAACTGAAAAAAAAAATCGGTTTTATGGTCAAGTTTCCATACTTGTCTTAGCAATTGAAATCTTATTCTACAGTTATTTGGAACGTTCTCAGGTGGAAAGTAATGGGTACCAGTTTTATCTGTCATCTAACATAATATTTGGCAGTTGATACAATGTGGTGTATTAATACTCCCCTCAAATAGCAAGATGACAATTTGGGAATTTTTCCCCAGGTCTGGAAGCAGGTTTAGTTGGTCCTGGGATACTCCCAACCAACTTGCCAGAGATTGCTTTAGTCATGGTCATGTGACCAATTCTGGACAACAAGCCATGCCTTGAGGTTTATGACAGGCCCTTGGGAAAGTTCTTCCTTGCTTTTAAGAGAGAATAGGAAAGCTTTATATTTCTCCCCAATGGTTGTGAATGAGAAAACATGTAGCCCCTATTACTTTAGGCATTTGTCTCAAATCTGTGAAGAAATGAGATAAAGCCAATTGAGAGAGAGTCCATGGGAAGATTTTTGAGGTGCTTGTATTAGTCTGTTTTCATACTGCCATAAAGAACTGCCCAAGACTGGGTAATTTATAAAGGAAAGAAGTTTAATTGGCTCACAGTTCAGCATGGCTGGGGAGGCCTCAGGAAACTTACAATCACAGCAGAAGGCAAAGAGCAAACAGGTACCTTCTTCACAAGGCAGCAAGAAGGAGAATAGTGAAGAGCAAAGGGGGAAGAGCTCCTTATAAAACCATCAGATCTCGTGAGAACTCACTCACTATCATGAGAACAGCATGGGAGAACCACCCCCATGATCCAATTACGTCCACCTGGTCTCTCCCTAGACATACGGGGATTATGGGGATTACAATTCAAGATGAAATTTGGGTGGAGACACAAAGCCTAACCATATCAGTGGTGGATTAGCCAACACTAAACCCTACCTATTTCTGATTTCCTTTTGTATTAGCTAGTAAGTGATCTGTTCTTTTAAGTCATTGTTTCAGGTTTTGTCACTTACAGTAAGAGGCAGTTCAAAAGACTTAAGAACTTTACAAAATGTCCTTTCTTATTACACAGTGACTTATGGGGTGGACGGTTGCAGATGCTCAGTTGTTAAGTGTATGGACCAAAATGACATATGGCAAAGAAGCAGGCCCATTAGACAATGAAAGAATAATGATGTAAGAATGGCAGGCTCTTTGTCTCAGAGAAGTGGCTACACCTGATAAGAATCCCGGCTCTACCACCCATGTGTAGGCCCTCACCAAATTTTTCTGCAACTCTCTAGGGTTTAATTTCTAATTTTTTTTCTCTATATCCTCCTTCTTGACTCTGCACCTGCTATTTTCAATTACAGCCCATCCACCTCACTTGTTGTGTGCACACACACACACACACACACACACACACCACATCACAGAGTATTCTGTGATGGTGGTGTCCCAGATGATTTGGGGAATCACAGGAAGGGAAAGTGAGTCCTTCCTGTATAAATAACTGCATACATACTTTCTGTTTTTTCTCTTGTCTCTTCTTACCTATTCAGAGCCACCTACAAAATTCTTTTTATGTTTTATGCACATGAATTTTATCCACTCCTAGGACATAAAACTTCTTTATTTCTACTCTAAGCAATACACCAAAGAATTTTCCCAATAAATGTTGATCTTCTTCTACAAGGACTCCTTTTCCAACTGCAAAATATATATATACACACACATATATATGTGTATATATTCATATATGTATATATACATATATGTATGTATATATATATTCCCATTGAAAAGTGCACTTCTTTTTCAAATTTATGTGAAAATTGGCTTAATTAGGAGGAAGATGTTCTAAGGATACTGCACCTACAAAATAAAATTCCCAAATATGACCAGGAGCATCCTTCTGAATCAGTGTGACTCTCAACTCCAAATGAAGTTTAGGTTTTGCCTGACCCCTTCCCAAGTAGAAAATGTTTCTCAGGCAACAGGGGCTTTTCCCACAAAAAAGGTCAGTTTTGGGATTAAAGAGAGGTACAAATGAATGGTTTTAGGAGTAGATACATCTTAGGTAAGAAATAGAGAAAAGGATTCATACAAGAACTGTAAGGCTCTGAATTCCCAGGAGAGTATGTAGAGCACTCAGTCCTGACAGTAAGCACCCTCTTTGAATAAATAGAGTCCTGCTAGATGGCAGGATTCCAAGCTGATGCTTTGAGAAGAAAGACCTCTGGAAAAAGCTCACAATATTAATAAATACTTGTCATTAGATAATTTCAGCTGCAAAAAATGCTTCAAATGTCTCTTCCAATATAATTCACCTTTGTTCTAGATATCAAAGATCTCAGAAAAGCAGTTAAGACTATGATGTATAAGTCAGCACTTAAAAGATCTTACCTTTTAATTAACGGTTATAAAAATTATTCACACTCAAAATATCAACTCAGAAAAAAAATCTCACAATTTGGGCCAGTTTTCTTATCCTTTATATAGCACCAAAGTATTTGCTTATTGCAATAGTATAGAGTGTTTCTATACAATCACATATTTTTGCAGATATAGAGGCAGCACACACACAGTTGTTGATTATTAATTTTCAAAAAGAATATAATTAATAGCTTGGAATGGCAGAATGAAGAATGTAATTAATAGCCTGGAATGACAGTATTGCTGAGTGCTAAGAAAGCTATGGTCTTCAGACTGGCGAAAGTGGCAAAACCGAATCTCTACAAAAAATATAAAAATTAGTCGAGTGTGGTGGCACACAACTGTGGTCCCAGCTACACAGGAAGCTGAGGCAGGATAATCGCTTGAACCTGGGAAGCAGAGGTTGCAGTGAGCCACTGCACTCCAGCCTAGGCGACGAAGCAAGATTGTGTCTCAAAACAAAACAACATGACAAAACAAACAAACAAAAACACCTATGATCTTGTTTTGGTTCTAAAAGTTTCAAACTTTACCTTTCCCAGGATGCCTTAGTTTTCTCATTGGTAAATGAGGTAACTGGGTGTTCTGTTCGTTATGTAACTCACAGTTTTAAATTATTAGATCTGATTTTAATGAGCTTGAAAATACAAATCAAGGTATCTAATCTCTTTTGCTCTCAGGTTTTTCAACTATAAAAGAGAATTGTAAGATACCAGTAGTGAGTGTATGCATATAACATCTGGAGCCCTTTTTGGAGAACAATGCTTACGCTCTCCCCAACTCCTGCCCCACCCCTGGTATCTGGGTTCCACCGTAAACTCATTATTAGTTCAGGTGGTTTGAGAGAAGTTGATCAGTTTCTGTCAAGCGAAACACATGACCTGTCCTGAACAATCTTACCAGTGATTAGCCATGGCCATTGTTACAGAAATAGACATTTGACCCAGGCTATACCAATTAATATTCTCTTAAGACTTTTGCTGGACCTAACCAGAAACAAAACTCCCTTTTTCTGAGGTGTAAGCAATGAGAGAAATTTGACTTCAATTTGCCATTGGCCACGTTGCCACTACTTGTAGTGAGAATGAAGGTAAAGTGGGAGTTGAGAGAGAGAGAACATTTCATTTCGAATCCCAGAATTCAAATGCCTAAAGCCTATTTTTTGCTTGTTTGTTTCATGAGCCAATAAATTTTCCTTTTCCTTAAGGTAGTAATTTTCCTTGGATTTCTGTCACTAAACACTGAAAATATTGACAGACATATTACCTTAGAAATTTATGAAACGTAGGAGGAGCCAAGATGGCCGAATAGGAACAGCTCCGGTCTACAGCTCCCAGCATGAGCGACGCAGAAGACGCGTGATTTCTGCATTTCCATCTGAGGTACCGGGTTCATCTCACTAGGGAGTGCCAGACAGTGGGCGCAGGTCAGTGGGTGCGCGCACCGTGCGCGAGCCGAAGCAGGGCGAGGCATTGCCTCACTCGGGAAGCGCAAGGGGTCAGGGAGTTCCCTTTCCGAGTCAAAGAAAGGGGTGACCTACAGCACCTGGAAAATCGGGTCACTCCCATCCAAATACTGCGCTTTTCCGACAGGCTTAAAAAACGGCGAAGCACGAGTTTATATCCCGCACGTGGCTGGGAGGGTACTATGCCCACGGAGTCTCGCTGATTGCTAGCACAGCAGTCTGAGATCAAACTGCAAGGCGGCAGCGAGGCTGGGGGAGGGGCTCCAGCCATTGCCCAGGCTTGATTAGGTAAACAAAGCAGCCAGGAAGCTCCAACTGGGTGGAGCCCACCACAGCTCAAGGAGGCCTGCCTGCCTCTGTAGGCTCCACCTCTGGGGGCAGGGCACAGACAAACAAAAAGACAGCAGGAACCTCTGCAGACTTAAATGTCCCTGTCTGACAGCTTTGAAGAGAGCAGTGGTTCTCCCAGTACGCAGCTGGAGATCTGAGAACGGGCAGACTGCCTCCTCAAGTGGGTATCTGACCCCTGACCCCCGAGCAGCCTAACTGGGAGGCACCCCCCAGCAGGGGCACACTGACACCTCACACGGCAGGGTACTCCAACAGACCTGCACCTGAGGGTCCTGTCTGTTAGAAGGAAAACTAACAAACAGAAAGGACATCCACACCAAAAACCCATCTGTACGTCACCATCATCAAAGACCAAAAGTAGATAAAACCACAAAGATGGGGAAAAAACAGAACAGAAAAACTGGAAACTCTAAAAAGCAGAGCGCCTCCCCTCCTCCAAAGGAATGCAGTTCCTCACCAGCATCGGAACAAAGCTGGACGGAGAATGACTTTGACAAGCTGAGAGAAGAAGGCTTCAGACGATCAAATTATTCTGAGCTATGGGAGGACATTCAAACCAAAGGCAAAGAAGTTGAAAACTTTGAAAAAAATTTAGAAGAATGTATAACTAGAATAACCAATACAGAGAAGTGCTTAAAGGAGCTGATGGAGCTGAAAACCAAGGCTCGAGAACTACGTGAAGAATGCAGCAGCCTCAGGAGACGATGCGATCAACTGGAAGAAAGGGTATCAGCAATGGAAGACGAAATGAATGAAATGAAGTGAGAAGGGAAGTTTAGAGAAAAAAGAATAAAAAGAAATGAGCAAAGCCTCCAAGAAATATGGGACTATGTGAAAAGACCAAATCTACGTCTGATTGGTGTACCTGAAAGTGATGGGGAGAATGGAACCAAGTTGGAAAACACTCTGCAGGATATTATCCAGGAGAACTTCCCCAATCTAACAAGGCAGGCCAACGTTCAGATTCAGGAAATACAGAGAATGCCACAAAGATACTCCTCGAGAAGAGCAACTCCAAGACACCTAATTATCAGATTCACCAAAGTTGAAATGAAGGAAAAAATGTTAAGGGCAGCCAGAGAGAAAGGTCAGGTTACCCTCAAAGGGAAGCCCATCAGACTAACAGTAGATCTCTCAGCAGAAACCCTACAAGCCAGAAGAGAGTGGGGGCCAATATTCAACATTCTTAAAGAAAAGAATTTTCAACCCAGAATTTCACATCCAGCCAAACTAATCTTCATAAGTGAAGGAGAAATAAAATACTTTACAGACAAGCAAATGCTGAGAGATTTTGTCACCACCAGACCTGCCCTAAAAGAGCTCCTGAAGGAAGCGCTAAACATGGAAAGGAACAACCGGTACCAGCCGCTGCAAAATCATGCCAAAATGTAAAGACCATCGAGACTAGGAAGAAACTGCATCAACTAAAGAGCAAAATAAACAGCTAACATCATAATGACAGGATCAAATTCACACATAACAATATTAACTTTAAGTGTAAATGGATTAAATGCTCCAATTAAAAGACACAGACTGGCAAATTGGATAAAGAGTCAAGACCCATCAGTGTGCTGTATTCAGGAAACCCATCTCATGTGCAGAGACACACATAGGCTCAAAATAAAAGGATGGAGGAAGATCTACCAAGCAAATGGAAAACAAAAAAAGGCAGGGGTTGCACTCCTAGTCTCTGATAAAACAGACTTTAAACCAACAAAGATCAAAAGAGTCAAAAAAGGCCATTACATAATGGTAAAGGGATCAATTCAACAAGAAGAGCTAACTATCCTAAATATATATGCACCCAATACAGGAGCACCCAAATTCATAAAGCAAGTCCTGAGTGACCTACAAAGAGACTTAGACTCCCACACATTAATAATGGGAGACTTTAACACCCCACTGTCAACATTAGACAGATCAATGAGACAGAAAGTCAACAAGGATACCCAGGAATTGAACTCAGCTCTGCACCAAGAAGACCTAATAAACATCTACAGAACTCTCCACCCCAAATCAACAGAATATACATTTTTTTCAGCACCACACCTATTCCAAAATTGTCCACATACTGGGAAGTAAAGCTCTCCTCAGCAAATGTAAAAGAACACAAATTATAACAAACTATCTCTCAGACCACAGTGCAATCAAACTAGAACTCAGGATTAAGAATCTCACTCAAAACCGCTCAACTACATGGAAACTGAACAACCTGCTCCTGAATGACTACTGGGTACATAACGAAATGAAGGCAGAAATAAAGATGTTCTTTGAAACCAACGAGAACAAAGACACAACATACCAGAATCTCTGGGACGCATTCAAAGCAGTGTGTAGAGGGAAATTTATAGCACTAAATGCCCACAAGAAAAAGCAGGAAAGATCCAAAATTGACACCCTAACATCACAATTAAAAGAACTAGAAAAGCAAGAGCAAACACATTCAAAAGCTAGCAGAAGGCAAGAAATAACTAAAATCAGAGCAGAACTGAAGGAAATAGAGACACAAAAAACCCTTCAAAAAATTAATGAATCCAGGAGCTGGTTTTTTGAAAGGATCAACAAAATTGATAGACCACTAGCAAGACTAATAAAGAAAAAAAGAGAGAAGAATCAAATAGATGCAATAAAAAATGATAAAGGGGATATCACCACCGATCCCACAGAAATACAAACTACCATCAGAGAATACTACAAACACCTCTACCCAAATAAACTAGAAAATCTAGACGAAATGGATAAATTCCTCGACACATACACCCTCCCAAGACTAAACCAGGAAGAAGTTGAATCTCTGAATAGACCAATAACAGGCTCTGAAATTGTGGCAATAATCAATAGCTTACCAACCAAAAAGAGTCCAGGACCAGATGGATTCACAGCTGAATTCTACCAGAGGTACAAGGAGGAACTGGTACCATTCCTTCTGAAACTATTCCAATCAATAGAAAAAGAGGGAATCCTCCCTAACTCATTTTATGAGGCCAGCATCATTCTGATACCAAAGCCAGGCAGAGACACAACCAAAAAAGAGAATTTTAGACCAATATCCTTGATGAACATTGATGCAAAAATGCTCAAGAAAATACTGGCAAAACGAATCCAGCAGCACATCAAAAAGCTTATCCACCATGATCAAGTGGGCTTCATCCCTGGGATGCAAGGCTGGTTCAATATATGGAAATCAATAAATGTAATCCAGCATATAAACAGAGCCAAAGACAAAAACCACATGATTATCTCAATAGATGCAGAAAAGGCCTTTGACAAAATTCAACAACGCTTCATGCTAAAAACTCTCAATAAATTAGGTATTGATGGGACATATTTCAAAATAATAAGAGCTATCTATGACAAACCCACAGCCAATATCATACTGAATGGGCAAAAACTGGAAGCATTCCCTTTGAAAACTGGCACAAGACAGGGATGCCCTCTCTCACCACTCCTATTCAACATAGTGTTGGAAGTTCTGGCCAGGGCAATTAGGCAGGAGAAGGAAATAAAGGGTATTCAATTAGGAAAAGAGGAAGTCAAATTGTCCCTCTTTGCAGACGACATGATTGTACATCTAGAAAACCCCATTGTCCCAGCCCAAAATCTCCTTAAGCTGATAAGCAACTTCAGCAAAGTCTCAGGATACAAAATCAATGTACAAAAATCCAAGCATTCTTATACACCAACAACAGACAAACAGAGAGCCAAATCATGAGTGAACTCCCATTCACAATTGCTTCAAAGAGAATAAAATACCTAGGAATCCAACTTACAAGGGATGTGAAGGACCTCTTCAAGGAGAACTACAAACCACTGCTCAAGGAAATAAAAGAGGATACAAACAAATGGAAGAACATTCCATGCTCATGGGTAGGAAGAATCAATATCGTGAAAATGGCCATACTGCCCAAGGTAATTTACAGATTCAATGCCATCCCCATCAAACTACCAATGACTTTCTTCACAGAATTGGAAAAAACTACTTGAAAGTTCATATGGAACCAAAAAAGAGCCTGCATTGCCAAGGCAATCCTAAGCCAAAAGAACAAAGCTGGAGGCATCACACTACCTGACTTCAAACTATACTACACGGCTACAGTAACCAAAACAGCATGGTACTGGTACCAAAACAGAGATATAGATCAATGGAACAGAACAGAGCCCTCAGAAATAACGCCGCATATCTACAACTATCTGCTCTTTGACAAACCTGAGAAAAACAAGTAATGGGGAAAGGATTGCCTATTTAATAAATGGTGCTGGGAAAACTGGCTAGCCATATGTAGAAAGCTGAAACTGGATCCCTTCCTTACACCTTATACAAAAATCAATTCAAGATGGATTAAAGACTTAAACGTTAGACCTAAAACCATAAAAACCCTAGAAGAAAACCTAGGCATTACCATTCAGGACATAGGCATGGGCAAGGACTTCATGTCTAAAACACCAAAAGCAATGGCAACAAAAGACAAAATTGACAAATGGGATCTAATTAAACTAAAGAGCTTCTGTACAGCAAAAGAAACTACCATCAGAGTGAACAGGCAACCTACAACATGGGAGAAAATTTTCACAACCTACTCATCTGACAAAGGGCTAATATCAAGAATCTACAATGAACTCAAACAAATTTACAAGAAAAAAACAAACAACCCCATCAAAAAGTGGGCAAAGGACATGAACAGACACTTTTCAAAAGAAGACATTTATGCAGCCAAAAAACACATGAAAAAATGCTCATCATCACTGGCCATCAGAGAAATGCAAATCAAAACCACAATGAGATACCATCTCACACCAGTTAGAATGGCAATCATTAAAAAGTCAGGAAACTACAGGTGCTGGAGAGGATGTGGAGAAATAGGAACACTTTTACACTGTTGGTGGGACTGTAAACTAGTTCAACCATTGTGGAAGTCAGTGTGGCGATTCCTCAGGGATCTAGAACTAGAAATACCATTTGACTCAGCCATCCCATTACTGGGTATGTACCCAAAGGACTATAAATCATGCTGCTATAAAGACATATGCACACGTATGTTTATTGCGGCACTATTCACAATAGCAAAGACTTGGAACCAACCCAAATGTCCAATAATGATAGACTGGATTAAGAAAATGTGGCACATATACACCATGGAATACTATGCATCCCTAAAAAATGATGAGTTCATGTCCTTTGTAGGGACGTGGATGAAATTGGAAATCATCATTCTCAGTAAACTATCACAAGAACAAAAAACCAAACACCGCATATTCTCACTCATAGGTGGGAATTGAACAATGAGATCACATGGACACAGGAAGGGGAACATCACACTCTGGGGACTGTTGTGGGGTGGGGAGAGGGGGGAGGGATAGCACTGGGAGATATACCTAATGCTAGATGACGAGTTAGTGGGTGCAGCGCACCAGCATGGCACATGTATACATATGTAACTAACCTGCACAATGTGCACATGTACCCTAAAACTTAAAGTATAATAATAAAAGAAAAAAAAGAAAAAATAATAATAAAATAAAATTAAAAAAAGAAATTTATGAAACGTTTAGTTAGATAAACTGCAAAAGGGTTGTTTAAAATGCAAGTAAATATGCAAATATATGACAGCTACTAATATTTTTATTTTTCTACAATAAAATTTAGAAAAATACTTTTACATAAGAATAAAATGCTATCTTAATGAAAAGCAGTTACAAAACACCTAATTCTGTACACTGTTATCCTCGAGGCTTTAGGGAAATTTGTTTTATTTATTTCATTGTCAAGAAGCCCAGTTAATAGCTATGGATTTGTTTCTATATTATCCAGTCGCTAAGTAGGAAGTAGGAATACATTTTCCTTACCTCGTAATATAGTTTTCACTGTCTTTTCTAGCATGCTTATAACACTTCATGCTTTTAGAAGAAAGGTGCTAAATGCTATGAATTAGTATTCAAGTGACTTCAATAAGAATGAAAGTAGAGAGTTTGTAAGGTATGCTAAATCTACAAGATTTTAAATAGGGTCTCACAGCTTTAATCCACAAATTCTGGACTAACCCACTTCAACAAAGAGTAGTTTCAAAACTTAGTTTGCAAAATGATTACATGGTTAATGCAGGATTAAATTTTCTTTCAATTATAAGACTGAATCTGGAAAATACTCTACAGAGAATGAAGGAAAAAATAAATCCTGCAAGAGGTGCATTTGGTCTAAAGTGCTTTTAAATATGCTTCTTAATTGCTGGGGGCTATTTTGCTCTTCATCTAATCATTGTCTGAATTACTGAAGCTCAACTCATCTGATAAAATAGGTGAGCTTTGTGGTAATGAAGTCAGATAATGTCTTATATTCGTGTCAGTGTAGGCATCAAATGGGCAATGTATTTAACCATTAGTATGGAGTTTGCAGACTGGAATACTTTCATCTAGGTTTTTTATATGAAGCCAGTTCATTGAAATAAGTAAAGTTTTCAAAATGGGAAAGCATATAAGAAACTGTGGCTTTAACTGTTTAATAAAATTGCTTGCTATTTAAGTAAAGGTAATTAAAAGTGTAATGCCGTGGAACTATTACGCACCTACTCAAAAACGAGTGGATTTTTGTTTTGTGAAAGAGCCAATATCTTGAAGAAGGGGTAGGCTTCACAATGAGAATTCCATAGATATTTTTAAAGAGCTGGAGATTAACTCATTTAAATAAACAGTCATTTTATGGCTTTTTCACCAGGGAGGCCAGCATTTCCTTGGGGTTCTTGAATTAGGGAGTTCCACACCAAGGTTCTGTAAATTAGCTATGTGGGTATTCATATTATCAACACCTTCACCGCAGCAGGAGGCCCCACATGGGCAAAAATCAAAGAAATGTAGTAATCTTCTGACTATAGCAGATTACTCTGCTATAGTACTTTTGCCTCTGCCTGGAGTACTTTTGGTTTTGCTTTGCACCTGACTTTTCAAAAAATATTTCTTTAACCACTATTTGTTTGATTCTGAGTAACATGTATTGGAAGGCCAAGTCTATCTGCATGCCTTTTCAGGTGTTATTCTGACAGAGGAGTTTTTATACATGTTGGTTTTATAGCATAAAATATGAAAATTTATAAAACTGCTCAGTACAAGTTTAAGGGCAGGTTTCTGTAAAACACAAAGATATTTTAAATGAAATATACAAATGTACTGGCTCCTTCATGATTTTTTTACATGAACTAAAGCAAAGCTATATTCACAAATGAAAAACATCCAATTTCATTTCATCCTCCCCTCCCCAACATATGGTAAGTATTTCCTTGGTTTCTAAATCTGATACATTTCCAAATACACTTGGGGAAGAAGTGTAAGTTACTATACTTCCATCTGATTTTTCTCAGAGAAATTTGTACAACATAAGTTTTACAGAATGGATGAGTTTTATTAAAAGAAAGAGCATTTGTCCTTGCAATGCCTAAAAAACCTGTGAAAGTGCAGGTTATAGAGAGAAACCATGGTATTATTTGCTGGCTTTCTGTCAACAAGAAACTTTTCCATCCTCATGTATATCCTGAAGTCAAGTGCACATTTTTAGTAGCAATGGTCCATGAGAAAGCAATAGGCTATCCTGGGTGTCTGGGCCACTGGGTTGGTCAATTAAAGGAGACTGTTGAGTCATGCATTCTACCTTGTCACATTTGTCTGGTTTTGTTTTTCTATAGAAAATCAAAGCAAACAAAGCAGCTCTCAGTAATGCATTCTAAAACTGTCATGAATTAACTGACCTGTGTAGAAATTTCCTTTTCCTGGGTCAATTCAGCAATTTTGTCCTGCTTGTTGTTTTCTAAATACATCAGTTTCATTTTGTGTTGAACATCAAAGCCCTCATGATAAGTACTACGTTTAACTACAAGGCTGAGTTGCTCAGGACCTGACAAGTCATGAAGCATTAGTAGATGACTGGTTCTTCCCGTCTTGGAACTCAGCCTAATACATACAGTATTTAAATAGGGAAATCGCCATTGACTTTGTAATCCCTTGTGTGACACTTGTTCTGTGAACAGATAAAGGAGAAGTAAGTCAAATACACATTTGTTGGGAAGTCTCCACTGTCTCTTTTCTCCCCAAAGGCAGGAACTGTCAGCATTGGTGACCTCAAGCTAGCCCATGTTCTGATATTATGGTGCACATTCCCAGGGAGGATTATTTGGAAGGACTTTTGTGAAGGGAAACATTTCAGCTGCTTTTTACAAGCACTGATTGCCCAGGACAAAGTAACTGACTGCTACAACATTGAAGCTGAAGGACATAAACATACTATAATATGTTTTGTCATAAACAATCACAGATTAAGGCCCTCTTCACAGGTGTTTGAACAAAATGAATAACAGAATGGAGACTTGTATTCTAATGCTTGTTGCTCATGTAAACTCATGTTCTGCATTTTAGAATCTGTTGAAGCCATAGCTTCTGCTTTGGGAATAAGCCCCATTAATCAGGTCATTCCTTTAGGTGTATTCTGAAGTAGCTACTTTTGGTGATTAAACTTCACGTATTATATTAGGTAACACAGCATGCTGTTAACAGCATGTTATCAGTAAAGGCAAGAGAAAGCATTTATTTTAGATAAGGCAGGCTAATGTCTGTCAACTATAACACTGCTCTCTGATATCAAGGTAAGAGTAAGCTACAGAATGCCATCAGCAATAGCAAACATATGCTGAGTGCCTACTATGTGCTGGGCAATATATCAGATGCTGAGAAGAGTTATATTATAATTCATAAGGGATACAAAATAGCAAGCAATTCAAAGTAGTAAATAGATAATCTGCCATATATTTTAGAAATGTATTAAGACAGAAGTTGCTCTAACATTTGAGAGTTAAAGCAACTAAAGTCCTTGCCATTTATGAGACTTGATCAAGCATACATAGTCTGTATGAAGTTTTGAATAAATCTGTTATTCTATCATCTATGTAGTGAGAAACTAGGAAAATAAACCAGGAGTTTTGAGATCTTTAATCCAAGAGATACCTTGTAGTTTGGGCACAAACTAGCTTTCCAGTTTTTTTCTTCTGGGACTAGTATTATTTGCATTTAAGAGCTTCAGGGAAACTTTGACAGATAACTCCAAATATGAGTTTTAAGCTAGCATAAAGTATCAATTTTTAAGCAATAGACATCATGATATTTTTCATCGCCTTTCACATGATGGCATAAGTGAAGCCCAAATGGAAGTTCAATGATTCCATTTCAGCTATAAAAGATTCAGGAAGATTAGAACCTCAGTGACTTTCTGGTATAGTGATTTTTTAAAAATATGTTTTGCTGAACGAGAGGGCTGTCATGAATTAAATGCAACTCTGCATTTAGTTAGTATTCAATTCTATTCTTCCAATAAATAACTGGATGAAAATCATTTAAAGAAAAGCCCTTCTCTTTAAGGAAACATCTTTAGACCATTTTTATGAGATTTCTCTAGCAGACCAACTTGCAACTTCTAGAAAAATAACCCAAACCATGTAAATGTACTAAAGAGAGATCTCCAGGGAAGCACAACCTCTTAGTTCTGTCTTTATACAGCTCATGGTGAATATGGAGTAGAAGAAAATTGTGGTTTCAACAGAATTCAAACATTATTGTATCGGATCTGAAAACATTTATTCATTAAGGCTAAAATAAAGGAAAACATTTGGAAAAATAACAGCCAGTAATTTATGTCTGGCTGGGCTAGATCTAAACTTGAGTTCTGGCCATTTTCATGTATGTTATCGTGAATATTTACCATGACAACATCTGCATAGCGTTACCTACTCACTTCTGAGTATTTAATGTACATACTCTTAATAAACATGTTCCTTGTGGTCTGTTATATATATTTTTAAGACCACATTAAAAGAATCAGAAGTGGAAGAGATATTTTCAAAAACTTAAACATGGACATTTCTCATATGGAGTTTTAAAAATGTGCAGTATTTGCTTTAATAACCAGAGACCATATTATAAAATGCCTGTAGAAACACAGTGAATGAAAAAGTCTCTAACTTTAATGGTTTCAACAAAGTGTTATATTTTAGGAAACAATGAAATGGAACTCCTATGAATATAGATAGTAGAAAGAATGGAGAAAGTGTGTATCTATTCATTATTTGATGGAGTCCTGATATTTTCTTGTAAAGTAGCTGTAAAAGAAGTCCTAATATAAATCTGCAAGTGAAAAAGGAAAGCATGACATCAGTCTCTCCTATAGTTTTGAAAATGCTAAAGCAAAATCAAACTGACAAAACTTGAAGAGCTGATCCTAAAATTGGCATAATAGTGTTTAATTGAAAAATAATGTGATGTAAGGTAAATAATCAGAAGAGCAGGTTTCCAGGATTTCTTGCCCTCAAAGTAATACAGATAGGACAGTACACATATACGGTTATCAGTTTGGAAGAACACTTGAATGAAGGCACTGAAAAGACAGAAATAATGGTGTCTTCTTTTGCTTTGAAGCTTCCTGATTGGAATGCAGTCCTTTAGGGTGGGAGAATCTGCTTTATTTAGAGAATAGCAATTCAAACCATTCTTTTCCACTGGAAATATTTGTCACAGGAAGATTTTCCCATAGTAAAAGCATTTTGTTAATAAACTTTTTTTTTTTTTATGTTGAGGTCCCTTACATGTAACTAACTGGAACCATGCTTTAGCCAAGGTTTTAGGCAAACCTCGGCCTTTGAATTGTACAGGCTTGACATGTCATTGCAGAGACACGTCACATTGCATTATGCTGTCACTTTGCATCCCTTGGCATTTCACTGACATACTGCAGGCTCTTGTTCTACTTTTTTGTGCTGCTTTCCACGGTCCCCATTACAGGCTCCAAGACCCAACAACTCCTGCAAAAACTGATAGCATTTTTTTTGCCTGTGAACAATCACTTCCTTATTTGAATGACTTAAAAAAAATGAGCCTTTGGTTCTTAGTGTATGGAAAAAAAATTTACTTAGGGTGCTTTCAGCCTATTCAAATCACCAGCAGCTCTCTGTATCCAGATGTAAAGCGGGGATTCCAAATCTGCAGAAATAAACTGCATGAAACATATTAAAATAAAAATAAGTTGATTTAAGTAAGATATAAAAATTAGGTTTAAAGTGCAAATATAGGTAATCTCCTTATGAAAAATACAGTATTTTATGACTACAGAAGTTACTCATTTTTATAGTAGGGAGCTTTGGCAGGACAGGAAAGTAAGCAAAATGAAAAAATTAAAAATCGTGTAATTCCCACATTTAAAAATAGCTGCCCATCATTTTGTCTATTTCTATTTATATCTAGAGTGATACTGACATGTAATGCACACACATAAATGATATCACATGCAAAAAAATTTTAACAAGAAATTATATTATAAACATGTCCCCGGTCATTAACATTTGTGTAAAACATTATGTCCATGTATTCTTATTGTTTGTGTGGTTATGCTATATTTCCTTAAGATAAATTTCTCAAAGAAGAATAACATTTATCTAGATGGATATTTACCAAATTCCACCTCACTCCCTCAGAATTTGATGCCTCTTTCCCAGGTCCTTATGAACATTCTCAATGACAGTGTTTAAAAGTGTTGGTTTTCCCTTTTCTTCATCAACACTAGGTATTGCCATTTGTTAGCATAAAGAGTATAATCTTTGTCATTCTGATATATAGAAAAACAGTTACATATCACTTTAATTTGTATTTCTTCAACAGCTAGTAGAGCAAAGACTTTTATTACATGTTTCTGGTCATTTGTAATTGCTTCTGGCAACAAACAAACAAAAAACCTTAAGCAATTTTTTAAAAGCCCATGACATTTTATTTTAAAGGTCCATTTTAAAGCAAAAAAGTAAAATTGAATCATTGCCATAATCAGATTACTTTTAATTAAAGCATTTCACACCTAGAGCCCTCTTGGGAAGGTATGAAGTTTTTACTTCAACTAATAATCCATTCTTCTGTAACCTAAATGGTTCCTATTTGAACAATGAAACATGCATTATTCCTTTAGGACACATGATCAGTAGCCTCGGGATAAAAGCAAAACCAGAAATATTCAGTGTTTGGATCATAAAATCTGTCTCTTCTCCCCAGCCCCACCAGTTTCTGTGGTATATCATTATGGTTCTTTCTCTACAGCTTTCTGTATCTCCCTATTTCTAGCTTCCTTTTTCATTTCAACTTTTATTTCATATCTCTGCAGTCCCATGAAGTAAGTTCAAAGTCTTGCTTTCTTACATATGGGATACTTTGGAATTGTTTTTCCTTAAGTTTTATTTCTTGCTCCCAGTGAGAACAACACAGATGACTAAAAAATGAGATTGCATTTCTTCAATTATTGCAGAAAAATACCTATCTCATATGCACATTGAAGATTTTTAAAGATTTATCTTTTTGAAGTAATAAAACAGAAGATAATTGCTGTAGACTTTATCATATGCTAGGAACTTTTATGCAGTATTTCATTTAATACACACAGAAGTGATATGAGATTGAAGCTATAGCTCCCATTTAAGAGATGAGAGAACTGAGGCCTGAGGACTTAGGTAAATGGAATTAAGAATATCTAACCCAAGGGTGTTTTTTACATAGGAATCAAAACAATGTAAGTGAAAGTGTGTGTGTGTTTCTGTGTGTGTGTATGTGTATGTGAGTGTAGCACATAATTAAAACTGAAATATATTGTTAAGTAAGTGCTCACTTAAATTCTCTGCCAGGAAAGCAAAACAAAAGTTTTCTCATCTCTTCAGATGTTCGTCTGTTTTGTCTTTATTTGTCTCAAATCTTTATTCACTTTGTTAAAGATGTTTCATAGAAGTATCAATATTTATCTGCCTTTCAAGGCTGCTCCTAACCCACTTACCCATTCACCCAAGAGCAGAGTCCTTGGGTGAAATGTTATACACTTAAGATATATATCCCAAGAACCATGACACATAGGATGTTGGGTTGTATAACATATGCTGCTTCCAAATGTAGCCTTGGAAAATAATTTTATTTTTTTTGAGATGGAGGTTCTCCCTGTTGCCTAGGCTGGAGCACAGTGGCAAGATCTCAGCTCACTGCAACCTCCGCCTCCTGGGTTCAAGCAATTCTCCTGCCTCAGCTTCCTAAGTAGCTAGGATTACAGGCATGTGCCACCACGCCCGGCTAATTTTTGTATTTTTGGTAGAGACAGGGTTTCGCCATGTTGGCCAGGCTGGTCTCGAACTCTTGAGCTCAGGTGATCCACCCTCCTCGGCCTTTCAAAGTGCTAGAATTATAGGCGTGAGCCACTGTGCCCGGCCAGAAAATAATTTTTTAAAAATAGTTTAAAAATTTTATTTTACTAATTCTTAGTAAGAGAAGTAATATAATGTAATGTAAATGCACACAGTATTTTAAAGTTTACAAACCACTTCTATGTATCTACTTGACTCTAATGACTTAGACAAGAAGGCGTTATTTTCTTTCTTGAGTTGACGAAACTATAGCACAGAGATAAAGTGACTTGGCAAAGGCCTTATCCAGCTAGAAATGTGCAATTCCAGACTTGAAATGGGGTCCTCTGAACTTAAATCATAGTTAATCCCTTACCTTTTTCTATGCCTCAGCAGCAGTACTCATTCATCCATTTATTCATGCTTTCAGAGAATAATTGTTGGGCACATAGTATGTATTAAGGTCATAGTAAGACTTGAGAGTTAGGGGCATGAAAAACCTAGCCTTTACTCTCTTGGAACTTGCAGTCTAGTTCATGGTTTCTACATTTAAACCCAACTAGATTATATCACAATATATGTTCCAGAAGTGTCCCAGATTTGGAAGAGTGGAGGAAAGAGGATCCATGCGTCTGTGTAGAAAGAAAGACAGCTTTAGGACCGAGTCAGATTTTAAAGGATTTGTGGTTTGTCAAGTATTAAGGATAAGGAAGCTATTCCTAGCAGACCTAATAGCACATGAAAAGTCATGACGAAAATGTCTGATGGGGTATCTGTAGCAGGATGGGCTAGAAAGTTGGCTAAATAAAAGGGACTGAGATGAATAATATGACATGAGTTTGTAGACATAGTCAAACCAGATTATGGGGGCTTGAAATCCTAGCATAAGTACATGAGTTCTATATCATGTAGTGTGGATGTGCTCACATGGATAAGAGTGTGTGTGTGTGTGTGTGTGTGTGTTTCTGTGCGTGTTGGAGGGAGGGAAGGGTGTAACAGTTTTTGACACTCCTTTCCATTATCTTTAAATAAAGAACCTCATTTACTCTTCATGCCAAGCCTTTTCAGATGGCATTATTATTCCCAGTTGCAGTTGGGAGAATTGAAGCTTAGAGAGTAAAAAAAAAAAAAAGTCCATGGTTACCCTGCTTACAAATTACAGAACTGGTGTTAAACCCAAGGTATATCTGAACCCATTGCCCATGCTCTTTGTACTGCACTACTAAAGATTTTTTTAAAAAGTAGAAGACCAATATAATTAGACATATGTTATATAAAGATAATTTGCAACATTTTAAGAGAAATGTGTAAAGATGATTGTCCAAGTGAGAAGGGATAGATGCCTGAAAATAGAGATAGTAGGTGGATTTGAGAAATACAAAGAAGGGTTTGGGGAATGATCATAAAGAGCTATGTAGGATAACAACTGAGAATAAATGACTTTTTTTTTTTTTTTTAGCTTGAATGGCTGTTATAATGTGTTGTCACTTATTTACTGGAGAAGATTCAATTATTACTAGAGGACATTCATGGGGAAAAAAAGAGATTTGGACCAAAAAAGATGTTATTAGTTTTTAATATATCAAGGATGTACTCCATGAGTGACATTTGTTACCGATTACTAGAAACAGAAGTGAGGACAGATGCCAGGGTCAGTAATAGGCATTAATGTGGAGATAATCATTGAAGTGATAGGCATGGGTGAGCTCCTTTAAGGAGAACACGAGAAAGAAAGACAAAAGATCTAGAATTGGGGGAAAACCTGATTTTAAGATGTAACATAAGATTTGTATATTTTAAACCATGGTAGATTTTTATAGAAGAAATCTTGATCAATATTTTAAAAAGAAAGGAAAAAATATAAAACATATTGCTAGAATGGACACTAAATAACATGTCAGGAATAAGATCACAAATATCAATAATTATAAGAAAATGTAAAAACATTTTATTTGTTCATTAAAAAAAAAACAAGATTGTCATAAAGACCAAAAGGAATATGTGAGCTGTATGCTATTTACACAGAGGTGCAGCTGAAAAAATAAAGAAACAAAAATGTTAAAATAAAGAAAGAAACAGATATGGAATAGGCCATTGTAAATGAAGGAAAGCAGAACTAGCAGATTCAATATCAGTCAAAGCAGAATTTAGGGCAAAAACTGCTGAGTGGGAGAAATAAGAATTTATCATTTTAAATAAAAGTACAATTCACAAAACTTACATGACCAATAAAATACTAGTGTGTAGAAAATATACTATTAAGCATAAATCAAGTTAAATATGTTAGATATTGTGAGAAAACTATCCCTAACCATGTTTTCCCTGTACTCTCACACCACAACAATTATTAACACAGAAGACTTCTGCGTCCACATGTGTGGAGGTTTTTTTCCCAACACACCAAGCAGCGGTCACCAGTTGGGTGTCCTCTAATTCAGTCTCGATACTATCTAACCAGAGACAGTGTCAGATGTGACAGGTTGACAAGTTGAAGGCTCACTTCCCTAGGACTCCCCTCCCCCCACACCACTGACACCAGTCACACAAGTTGGGCCTCTGGAACTTCTGACAGACCGGCTTCAGGTTGGGGTTCCCATGACCCCCTCCTTCGGTTCGATTAATTTGCTGGAGCGGCTCACAGAACTCAGGGAAACACCTACTTATATTTATAAGTTTATTATAAAGGATATTGCAAAGGAAACAGTTGAAGAGAAGTGTAAAGTGAGGTATTATAAAAGGGCTATGGAGTTTCCCTGCCCTCCCTGGGCTCACCACCCAACAGGAACGTGTTCAGCTATCCTGAAGTTCAATGAACCCTGTCCTCCTGGGTTTTTATGGAAGCTTCATGATATCAGCATGTCTTCCTCCAGGTATAGGATGAGACCCTCTCATGGGAGAGGCTTAAGGCCCAAATTCAGAAAGGCAGGGAAATATTAGAGTTCTGCCTGGGGGCAGGCGAAAGGAGAGCAAGAGAAGGTCAGAGGCCTGCCCCTGAAGCCCCACACACCCAACATTATAACAAAAGGCTATAATAAGGGCTATAGGAGTTATGAGCCGGGAGCCATGGATGAAAACCAATCTGTATCATAACACCGCAGATGGAAGGAGAAGTAAGGAGAATCTGACAGAACCGTAATCATACTGAAAGACTTTAAAATTTTCTCTCTGAATTTTCTAGACCAAGATGGCAAGAAATATATGATACTAATAATAGATAATTAAATAATATAATTAATAAATTTGATGAGTGTTTTTACGTGTAAAATTTAACAAACAAATTCACATTATGTAAAAATTCATTTTGGAATGTGGTCGTTTGACCGTAAGGAATTAAAACTATGAGTCACAAAAATGCTAACCACTTAATAATAAAAAATCTAGTAAGTTAAGATCTAAATTAGCACTTTAATTTACTCTTGACTTAGACATAGACACTGAAAATGCAGACTAGTTAAATTAGGCACTGTATTAAATCTATATCTCAAAAACTTCACAATGCAGCTAAAGCAACATTCAAAGGAAAATTGATAAAATGTATTTGTTTCAAATAAGGTTGGCAATAATCAGTAAACTGCAGAAGAAAATAAGTTTCTCAAAACCATATGAATTTGATACTAATGTTACCCTCATCTTATAAATTAATTAATTGCGGCTCAGAACCTATAAAACCAACAGAAAAAGACCAAAGACTTTGGAGTTAGATTTTAAATGGAGTCCTGATTGCACTGCTTACTACCTAGGTGAATCTGAGAAAATTGCTTATCCTACATGAATCTCACTTTCTTCAGAAAAGTAGAGAATTTTGTTGTGATTAAACAATATTATCTGTGCAAACTTCTTAGAACTGAGCCTCTCATATGGGAAGCCCTAAAAAAATTCTATTTACAAGGTAAAGCACAATTTACAATCTCAAAATACAGTAGGCAGACAAACTTGCACTTGAACTCCTATTAATCATTACACTATTCTTTTGACATACCATAAATATATTGGCAAAGAAGTTTATGAATCACTACTATAAAACTATGTTAAATCAAGAGCAAGGCCATGTTACTGGATAAAAAGTATAGATTTTGATTCTCCCCAAATTAATCTATAAATTTAACACCTTCCCAATCAAAATCTCAGTACTTTGAGGAGGAAAGGGACTTAATATTTAGCAGTTTTTCATAAAAAATAAATCTGTGGCCGGGTGCGGTAGCTCACGCCTGTAATCCCAGCACTTTGGGAGGCCGAGGTGGGTGGATCACGAGGTCAGGGGATCGAGACCATCCTGACCAACATGGTAAAACCCCATCTCTACTAAAAAATACAAAAATTAGCCAGGTGTGGTGGCACGTGCCTGTAGTCCCAGCTACTTGAGAGGCTGAGGCAGGAGAATCGCTTGAACCCAGGAGGCGGAGGCTGCAGTGAGCCAAGACCACTATACTCCAGCCTAGGCAACAGAGTGAAACTGTCTCAAAAAAAAAATAAATAAATAAAGAATAAATTTGTAAATATAAATGTAGGGAGAGAGAGACTCCTCTTTTAAGGAAACAGTAATTATAGCAATGTGAGTTTGGCACAGAAATAGGCACTCAGGCAAATGAGAAAATAAAATTATAGAAACAGACCTCAGTATAAATGGAAATGTAACATATTTTAAGAGTTTTATTCTAAATCAGTGAGGAAAGACCAATGAGTGCTATTGGAAACTTGTTAAATTCTTACCTCATACCATATTTCAAGATAAAATTTTATTAAAATTTAAATACTGACAAAAGAAATAATGAAAGCTCTAGGGTAGTAGATAGTGAAATATATCCTATAAGTACCAAATTGACAGGAACCATTCTACCTCAAAACAAACTTCTACTTCACCAAAACAAAATAAACAATTATAACAATACAAATCTCATGCTATAAACAATCAAAATATAGACAGCAAACTGGTAAATTATAGTAACCATGAATGTGACAAAATAGGTTAAAATCCTTAATATTTAAAGATCTCCTAGGGCATCAAAAAGCTAAATGCCTTTTTCCTGGCTCAATTTCAGCAGTAGACAAATGGCTTATAGAGAATATTATTAAAAGTAAACACTTAAATGTCCAATAAATTTAGAAAAAATATGTTTGGCTTCAATAGTAAATATATATATATTATATATATATATATAAATTTTACTTTTAAGTTCCAGGATACATGTGCAGAACATGCAGGTTTGTTACATAGGTATATGTGTGCCATGGTGGTTTCCTGCACCTATTGAACCGTCCTCTAAGTTCCCTCCCCTCACCCCCCACCGCCCAACAAGCCCTGGTGTGTGTTGTTCCCCTCCTTGTGTCCATGTGTTCTCATTGTTCAACTCCCACTTATGAGCAAGAACATGCGGTGTCTGGTTTTCTGTTCCTCTGTTAGTTTGCTGAGGATGATGGCTTCCAGCTTCATCCATGTCCCTGCAAAGGACATGATCTCATTCCTTTTTATGGCTGCATAGTATCCCATGGTGTATATGTACCACATTTTCTTTATCCAATCTATCATTGATGGGCATTTGGGTTGGTTCCATGACTTTGCTATTGTATAGAGTGCTGCAATAAACATATATGTGAATGTGCCTTTATAGTAGAATGATTTATATTCCTCTGGGTATATGCTCAGTAATGGGATTGCTGGGTCAAATGGTATTTCTGGTTCTAGATCCTTGAGGAATCACCACACTCTCTTCCACAATGGTTGAACTAATTTACATTTCCCCCAACAGTGTAAAAGCCTTCCTATTTCTCCACAGCCTTGCCAGCATCTATTGTTTCTTGACCTTTTAATAATCACCATTCTGACTGGCGTGAGATGGTATCTCATTGTGGTTTTGATTTGGATTTTTCTATGATCAATGATGTTGAGCTTTTTTTCATGTTTGTTGGCCGTGTAAATGTCTTCTTTTGAGAAGTGTCTGTTCATATCCTTTGGCCACTTTTTGATGAGGTTGTTTTCTTCTTGTAAATTTCTTTACGTTCCTTGTAAATTCTGAATATTAGACACTTGTTAGATGGGTAGATTGCAAAAATTTTCTCCCATTCTGTTACCATATATTTTAATCAAATCAGTAATAAAATATAAATTTCAGCGTTTCAATAATGAAAAAGAATAACAATCACCATATTATATGAAGTGGGAAAACTAGTTGCCCAATACACTTTGCTGAGACTAAATAACTTACCAACAGTTCTATGGGCTGTTTATGTAATTATTTATCAAAAATTTAAATTTACATCACTCTTAACTTTAAAAATTCTATGAATACATATTATGCTAGGGAAGTCTATCCGTTAGGATGCTTTTGAAGGCAAATAACAGCATACTTAACCTTATATTAGCTTAAACTATAAAGTGAGTTTAATAGGTCTATCTTAGACAAAGGTATCTTGCTTCAAGTTAGGTGTGAATTAACAGCTCAAGAGATAAAATGGCAACAACATTTCTTCCTCTGATTATATCTGCTTCATCTGCATGCAGTTTTGCATTGGGCAATAGATCTTATGTTTCAATACTGATTGGTATGAATTCCAAAAGGAACATGATTCTAGGTTCAAATCCAGCAAAGAATAAAAATTCTGCTTGCTTTATAACTAAACTAAAAGTTGTGAAATTGAGACTTTGGGTTATCTGACTCAAATCATGTATGATACATATGTACATTTTATATATATATATGTATGTATGTAATGATACATACAATACAAAGATTGAATTATATATGTATCAGTTTATACTTTTGTTCTTATTTCAACTGTAATTTTTTTCAAGTGATGGGAGAGAATTGTTAAAATTATATCTGAGTTAGACAAAGAGTATTCCCACCAACATTTTTCTCCCTCATCCTTCTCCTCTTCCTTTCCTAATTACAGACATATCTCTTTTTTATTGTGCTTCATTTTATTGCACTTCACAGATACTGTGCTTTTTACAAATCAAAGGTTTGTGGCAACCCTGTGTCCAGCAAGTCTATTGGCACCATTTTCCCAATAGCATGTGCTCACTTTGTGTCTCTGTGTCACGTTTTGGTCATTCTTACAATATTTTAAGCTTTTTCATTTCATATTTAGGAAAAATATGTTAGGCTTCAATAGTAAATATATATTATATTTACTATTATGGTATAAGTATGTTATGTTGTGGTTATCTTGTGGTGACCTGTGATCAGTGATCTTTGATGCTACTATTGTAATTATTTTGGGGTATCAAGAAGCATGCTCATGTAAGACAGTGAACTTAATAAATGTGTGTTCTGACTGCTCTACCAACTAGCCAATGCAATCTCCCATCTCCCTCCCTCTCCTCCGGCATCTCTATCTCCTGAGACACAACATTTAAATTAGACCAGTTAATAACTTTACAATGGCCTCAAAGTGTTCAAGTTAAAGGAAGAGTCACAAATCTCTCACTTTCAATCAAAGGCTAGCATGATTAAGCTTAGTGAGGAAGGCATGTCAAAAACCCAGACAGGCCAAAAGCTAGAGCTCTTGCACTAAACAATTAGTCAAGTTATAAATAAAGAGGAAAAGTTCCTGAAGGAAATTGAAAGTGTTACCCTAGTGAACAACATGAATGAAAAGAATGTGAAACAGCCTTACCGCTGATATGGAAAAGGTTTTAGTGATCTGGATAGAAGATCAAACCAGGCACTCCCTTAAGCCAAAGCCTAATCAAAACAAGGCCCTAACTGTTCAATTCTGTGTAGTCTGAGAGAGGTGAGGAAGCTGCAGAAAAAAATTTGGAAGCTAGAGGAGGTTGGCTCATGAGGTTCAAAGAAAAAAGCCATCTTCATCACATAAGAGTACAAGGTGAAGCAGCAAGGGCTAATGTGGAAGCTGCAAGTTATTCAGAAGATCTAGCTTAGATAATTGTTGAAGGTGGCTACACTAAATAACCAATTTTCAATGTAGACAAAATAGCCTTCTATTGAAAGAAGATGCTATCTGGGACCTTTGTAGCTAGAGGGGAGAAGTCAATACCTGGCTTCAAAGCTTCAAAGGGGATGATGACTGCATTAGGGACTAACGCAGCTGGTAATAAAGTTGAAGCCAATGTTCACTTACCATTCAGAAAATCCTAGGGCCCTTAAGAATTATGCTAAACCTACTCTGCCTGTGCTCTATAAATGAAACAAGAAAGCTGCAATGACGACGTGGTTTATCAAAGACTTTAAGCCCACTGTTGAGTTCTACTGCTTAGAGAAAATATTCTTTTCAAAATATTACTACTCATTGAAAAGGCACTTAGTCACCCAAGAGCTCTGATGAAGATGTACAAGGAGATGATTGTTGTTAACATGCCTGCTAACATATTTATTCTGCAGCCCATGGATCAAGGATTAATTTTCACTTACAAGTCACTCTTTAAGAAACACATTTTGTAAGGCTACAGTTGTTGTAGATAGTAATTCCTCTAATAGATCAGGGCAAAGCCAATTGAAAACCTCCTGGAAAGAATTCACCATTCTAGATACCTTTAAGAACATTTGTGACTTATGGGCAGAGGTCAAAATATTAATATTAACTGCAGTTTGCAAGAAGTTAATTCCAACCCTCATGGATGACTCTGAGGGGTACAAGACCTCAGTGGAGAAAGTCATTGTATTTGTGGTGGAAACCTCAAGAGAACTAGAATTAGAAGTGGAGCCTAAAGAAGTGACTGAATTGCTGCAATCTTGTGATAAAATTTGACCAGATGAGAAGTTGCTTCTTACGGATGAACAATAAAAGTGTTTCTTGAGATGGAATCTATTCCTGGTGAAGATGCTGTGTATATTGTTTAAATGACAACCAAGGATTTAGAATATTACATAAACCTTATTTGATAAAGAAGCAGCATAGTTTGAGGGGACTGATTCCAATTTTGAAAGAAGTTCTGTGGATAAAATGCAATCACACAGCTTCACATGTTACAGAGACATCTTTGAAAACTTCATTGTTGCCTTATTTTCAGAAATTGCTGCAGCCACTCAACCCTGAGCTACCACTACCCTGATCAGTCAGCAGCCATCAACCTCTAGGCAAGACCCTCCACCAGCAAAAAGATTACAATTTGCTGAAGGCTCAGATGTTTGTTAGCATTTTTTAGCAATAAAGTATTTTTAATTATGATATGCACATTGTTTTGCAAACATGTGTTTGCACACTTAATAGACTATAGGTAGTGTAAACATAACTTTTATATGCACTGAAAAACCAGAATTTCGTGTGACTTGCTTTACTGTGGTGGTCTGGAACCAAACTCAGTATCTCCAAGGTGTGCCTGTATTGGTTTTCAGCACTTTGACTATAATGTGTGTAGTTGTGGTTTTCTTTGCATCTATCCTACCTGAAGAGTGTTGGATCTCTTATATCTTGAGTTTGAAATTTTTAATTAAATTTAGAAATTTTTCAGCCATTGTTTATCTGGATATATTTTTCTGAACCATTATCTCGCCCTTTTTCTAGGACTCTAATTGCAGATATGCAGAATGGCTTGATTTGGCTTCACAGGTCATTCTGGCTCAATTTTGTTTTTAACTTCTGCTGTCTGTGCTTTAGTTGAATAACTCTTGGTGCATCTTCAAGTTCCTTAATCCTTTTCTCTTAAATATTCAATCTGCTTTTAATCCTCTTGAATGAACTGTTTGCCTTTTTCAGTTCTGGAATTTCCATTTAGTTCTTCTTTTGAGTCTTTATAGCTCCACAGAATTCTTCATTTTTTCACTCATTATATATATCTTTTCTTATAATTTATTTAATACATTTTAATATTTAAAAGTCATTGTTTGCTAATCACACCATCTATAATTTTTTCTGTGACCTTCTCTATAATGTCTTCCTATCCAAATAGACCAAAAACTTTACAACACAGAGATTATGAATGGCTGTTTCTCTTCTTTATCCAAGAGTAAATACCTAATATGTATTTGTTGAGTGAAGGAATGAATAAAAGATCAGTCCCCTAAGCACCACAAGCTTTACAAGTGCAATGCCATAAAAAATGCTCATAAAGACACTTGTAACAAATTTTTGAACCAAGCCCCAAATATAAAAATGGTTCCAGTGGCATATATATTTTTCACTATTAAAGTTATAGTAATGGAAGTCATTTTACTCAAATGCTTTTTAATTTTTCATAGTTGATATTAACATAAGGATTTTTTTGTCTGGTAGTGCCATAGATGGAGCAGAGTGAAGCAAGATAAAGCCTGTTGATTTTTCAATTCTTGTAGTTTTCCTAAGCTTGCAGGTGAGTAGTCATCATTTTTATGATTCTCTTTTTCAAAACCATCCACAATATTTTCTGTGGTTCCTGTGTGATTCATCTATAGTAGGTTGTTCATGTAAAGACCACATAACTGCAATTGGCTATTCTCTGTCTCTCTCTCTCAAAATTTAACTGGTAAAGCAGCATAAAGCAACACAAATCTCAGTGAGACGCCATTAAGTATACCTGATCTTGGAAGCTACTTTCTTTAAATACATTTAGAATTTAACCTGACTGTAGGTTTCAGAGTCCAAATCAAATCCCATGTGGAAGTCAGCCCCTTTGAAAAATTCTCATAAGTTTACCAGTGGACCAGAATAACATAGTTAAAAAACAAATGTCTGTAGGTTTCAGAGTCCAAATCAAATCCCATGTGGAAGTCAGCCCCTTTGAAAAATTCTCATAAGTTTACCAGTGGACCAGAATAACATAGTTAAAAAACAAAAGTGTGCCAAGTAGAATCAGATGACAAATCTCCAGTATCCAGTATATTTTTAAAAATATGTTACTGTGTTTGAACCAAATACAGTATGGAGGTATGGAGCTGGGAAATTCCAACAATAAAATGACTATGGCAGTTCCTCTGATCTGAAGGGGATACGTTCCCAGAGCCCCAGTGGATGCCTAAAACCACAGATAACAGTGAACTCTACTGATGCTATATATTTTTTCCTATATATACATACCTGTGATAAAATTTAGTTTATAAATTAGGCACAGTAAATATTAGAAACAGTAACTAATAGTTAAATGAAACAATTTTAACAATATATTGTAATAAAAGTTATGTGAATGTGGTCTGTCTCTCTCAGAAGATATCCTATTGTGCTGAACCACAGGTAACTGAAGGTACAGAAAGTAAAATAGTGGGTGGGGGTAACTATCCCATGTATATCCTGGCACACATAGCCCTGGCTACACATAGCAATGACTCAAGGATCAAGTCCCTAACTCCTTTTATTTTATACTCCAGACTTTCTGCCTTTCTAAGAATCTTGAAAAATAAGAGACTGCATTTTGTTTTTGTTTCATTAAAGGCGGGTGTAGTGAATGTTTATAGAATATCAATAATGTAGTTTGTAGCTTTGCATAATTAAAGGCACCCCTTATGTTAATAAAATTACATGAAAAGAGGCAGTACAAAACAAAGCATTAATATGTTCACACATTTGGTCTTATTTCAGGCAAGCTTAATTACAAAGACATGGGTGTCTGCTATACCTATAAAAATATTTTTTGTCACTTAGAGCTATCAAGCCTTATACCCATTTATGATATTAGTGAAAAAGAGCAAACATCATCATAATGGCCCACCAGTGAATACTTGCAGCCATGGCTGTGTAGACTATGAATCTGTAAATAGAAGCATATGTAAATGAACAAAGACTTTCCACACACACACGCAAAAGAAGATAATATGTTATTCTCTGTGTCTATGTTAAAGTGCCAACCAACAGAAAAAGCTGAGGAGATTCATTTCTCACGTGCATCATTAGTGTCAGATGCAGCAATTGTGATAATGCAAAATCCACAGTTGTTTTAAGTCAGAAAACCCAGATTGAGTTCTAGCTTCTCCTGTTCCTCACTTCATGCCATTGGGCAAGACACTTAACTTCTCTGAGCCCCAAATTTTTAATTTTTGAAGGTTAAATCAATAATTTATATAAGTCACGCACTTGGTATGAGGACTATACAAAAGTTACATAGTGATTTATATTTATGTTAATAATTTTTAATATCTGGTGTCTGGCACATATTATGCAGGTAACAAATATTTATTCCACTTCCTCCTCTTGTCTGACAGAATTGTGAAGATCAAGTGAGGTAGTATATATGAATGAACTTTAGATGAAAGAGATAAAATATAGCTATTTTCCTTGTTGTTGCAAAGAATATGAGCACACTAAGTTTCTACCTAGGAACAAACAATTGAACTGTGATTCATTTTAAGTTTACAAGATAGTTCAGGGCTGGATTTTAGATAGAGAGCAGCAAAGCTCACAATGTTTTTGGATAAAATTTACCCTGAGCATCCATTCAGAGAGTGAACTAACTCTGAGACAATCACAGGCAATTGGGACAGCTTTTGGGACTATAATATGCATATGAGTCCCAAGCATGCTGTTCCTTACAAATGCAGAATAAACAATTCCCTACATAAGATTTGAACCAGGTACTATGCAATCCCTATATTTCCATAAATAGCCAGGTTCCAAAGTGCCTTATATTCCATCAAGGGAGATTCATTTTACCATCATTGGTATAGGGGTTACGGAAAATTACAGAAATTAAAAGCACTTTGTAAGCCATTATTCACTCAACAAACTAGACTGATTATCACCTTCATCACTGTCACCATTGCCATCAATTGGTTCTATTCCCAACAAATTACTTCTGGTTGAGAAAATGGGTAAAATTCATTCACACGAAAATGTTAGGTAAAGGACAGGAGAGATCAAGATCACTATTTGCCTTGCTTTGGTGAAATGCTGGGTAAAGAGGGTGACCTAAAATATGGAAGGAGTCAGAAGAAAAAAAAATTGGTAGCAATTGTAACATTTGTTAATAATCTGCCAAATAATGGGCTAAGCTCATTACATGAATTATCTTATTTAAGGAATTAGTTAAGGGATAATTTAGCACATTTACAAATACTTTATAAGAGAATTTGGAGATACTAATACTCTCTGGATATAAAGCTTGGAATTTCATTAGCCATCATAAGCTTATAAAGTAAGCTACCCTGAGAACAATGCTGGCACCCCAAGCAGGGCAGAGTCAAGAGAATCACAGAGACATAGTGTCACTGCCATGATTAAGGGACATGTGAAGCTCACCATATTCTCTTATTCCCCATTAATGTGCACTTCGTGAAAAGTAAACTATAAAATGTAAATAAATAGCATAGGGCCTGCCTGGATGCTATATTTGGCTTGCTCGACCCCTCCAAATGTTATATGGAAATTTTATCCCCAGTATTGGAGGTGGGCCTAACTAGAATTGTTTGAGTTATGGAGGCAAATCCCTCATGAATGTCTTCATCTTACTTTATTAGTTACCAAGAAAGCTGGTTGTTAAAAAGAGCCCAGCACCTCCCCCACCCTTTTCGCCTCTCTCTTGCGTCCTCTCTCCCTTGCCATGTGATCTCAGTACACACCAGTTCCTCTTAGCCTTTTGCTGTGAGTATAAGCAGTCTGAAGCCCTCACCCAAAGCAGATGCTGGCATCATGCTTCTTGTACAGTCTACAGAACTGTGAGCTAAATAAACCTTTCTACTTTATAAATTACCCAGCTTCAGGTAGTCCTTTATAGCAACACTAAATGGACTGAGACACTGGCCTAATGCCTGTAAGGTTTTGCCTATGTATAACCTTATTATGAGAATATCACCTATTCCTTGTGTATACCCACATTGTTGAAATCCACCCATTCCAAAGTATGTCCTTCAAAGAGTGGCACAATTTATATCTAGAGAAAAATTAACATAAGAAATAAGTACTTAAGAAAATTGTCTTCCTTAAATTATAATCTATTTAAAGAGTGTGGGATGTGTGTCAACTTGACTGGGCTACAGGTGCACAGACATTTAGTCAAACATTATTCTGATCGTGTCTGTATGGATGTTTCCGATTAGATTAAATTTAAATCAATAGATGAGTAAAGAAGATTGCCCTCTCCAGTGTGGGTGAACCTCATCCAATCAATTGAAGACCACAATCAAACAATAAGGCTGAGTAAGAGGGAACTTTTCTTGCCTGAGTGGTTTAAGCTGGGACATTGGTCTTTTCCTGCCTTCAGACTCAAAATGAAACATCTGCTCTTTATGGCTTGAGCCTGTTGGCTTTTTGACTAGAACTTACACCATCGGGTCTCCTGTTTCTTAGGCCTTCAGATTTAGAGTGGAAATATACTGTCATCTCTCCTGTGTCTCCAGCTTTCCATGTGACCATAGAACCTCTCAGACTCCATAATCATGTGAGCCAATTCTCTATAATAAATTATATATATATAAATGATATGTATATTATACTATATTATATATCTATTACTATATATAATTTTATATGTAAGTATATATTAGCTACATATTTTAAATTATGTGTATAATGATATATTTATTTATTTATTTATTTATTTATTTATACATATCCTGTTAGTTCTGTTTCTCTGGAGAACTCTAACACAAGGAGAGAATCTTGGTTTTTAGTTATGGTGAAGCAGCTTGATTAGACTAACCCCCCTACTGATAACAACTATAAACTAAGGAAATAATAAAGAAAACAATCATGGAAGTCATTGGAGAATGACCAAAAGCAGAACCTAGAGAGGGTATCACCCTTATCAAGAAGGAAACACACTAGGAGGAGATCCACAAGCAATACTTATATTTTCTCTCAGGATGCTACTAGTCTTGTGGCTCACGAAGGGATAGAGCTCAAACAAAAAGAAGAAATTCTATTGATCTGGGAAGTATTTTTCTTTTTTCTTTTCCTTTTTCTTTCTTTCTTTCTTTCTTTCTTTTTTTTTTTTTTTTAGTTCAGCGCCACTAGAACAGTGGGAAACTAGTAAGGGAACACCTCAGAAAGATGCAGCTACAGAAGCAGCAACTGCAAATATGCACACAAATTCCCCTCAAATCCTGAATTGACCCTGAATTGCACATAGATAAGGCAAGGTTTCAGGGACACTAGCAGAAGGATACAGGTGGAAGGTTTAAAGAACTTTTTGAGATTTCAGTAGCTGCCCATTACCGGACAGACAGAGATTGGAGTTGGAGTCTTGTCAAGTTAGAAAGGCTTAGTAAATACCTTGCATTTTCACTTGACACCAAACTGTATATCCAGTGGCAAAAGCAAAACAGAAGTAGACTTATCCCAACAAAGGCCCAAACGAAGTTTCCACCCATAATTAAACTGCTCACTAGAATAAAACAAATCATCCTTCATAAAAGACTTTTTAAAATGAAAAGATAAAAAATGGGCAAAGAGATGGGTACATTTTTGGAAAAGGTACAAACTGTAAATGAACTACATGGAAATTCTAGACTTGAAAAAGAAGCATGTGAAATAAGAAATTTATTGGATAAGTTTACCAGCATATTTAGCACAACAAAAAAAAAGGATATATGAGGCTGAATCACAGAAAGATAAAATGAATTAAGACAAATGAGCAAACCCTCAATGACTTGTGGTATAAAATCTAAAATACATGTAATCAGAGTCCCAGAAATAGAAGATAAAGAAAAAGGGTAAAAAGTCACTTTTTCAATACATAGATAGAGGAAGATCAGAGCACCCCAAGCAATAAAAATATTTAAAAATACAAAAGAAAACAAAAAAAAAAATAAAAATAGGCAATTTGGAACCAATCTTACATAAACCAAAGAAAAGAAAAGAATATCTTAAAATTGGTTGAGGGAGGGGGAACTATTGCTTACTGGGGAACAACAGTAAGAATGACAGCATTAGGAGATCGAAGATAAGAAAACAATTTTTGAAGTGTTATAAGAAAAAAAAATGTTAGCCTAGGATGATATAAACTGGGAAATCGTCCTTAAGAGATAAAAGCCAAATAAATACATTTGCAGAAAAATCAAAATCTTGAGAATGTGTTGCATATAGATTTGCTCTCCAAGAAATGCTACAGTTTCCTCAAGTTGAATGGAAATGAAGCCAGATAAAACTACAGTTGTCCCTCAATATCCATGGGAAATTGTCTCCAGGACCCCCTGGGATACCACAATTCCCAGATGCTTAATTCCTTTATATAACAAGTGTATTATTGCATACGACCTACACATTTTCTCTTGTATACCTCAAATCATCTCTAAATTACTAATAATACCTAATACAATGTAAATGCTGTCTAAATAGTTGTTATACTGTATTGATTAAGGGATAATGACAAGAAAAAAAGTCTATACAGTTCAGTACAGACCCAACAATTTTTTTCAAATATTTTCCATCTGCATGTATATGAATCCACAGATGCAGAATTCACAGATGAGAAGGGCCAACCGTACAGATCTCTGAGAAGAAATTTAATAATGAATATGTGGGTAGTAATAAATATTTTTTTCTTAAATTCTTTGGAAGTTAACTCACAGTTTAAATAAAAACAGTAATTTTTTTTTTGGTGAGGCTTATAATAGATCCAAAGTAAAATTCATTATAACTATAGCATAATAGACAGGAAGTGTGTAAATATAATAAATTACAATGTTGCAAGGTTCTTACTCTTTCCACATGTTGCAAGATTCTTACTTTTTCCACGAGGTAGTAAAATATTAATTCATAGGAGTCTGTTGTGTGTGTGCATTGTAATATCTAGAGTAATCTGTTGACAAAATAATGTAATGAAGGGACTCTAAAAATCAAATAGGACAATAAAATGAATCCTAAACAATACTCTGCTCAAAATAAGTCAGTAAAAGGAATAACAAAGATCAGAGGGTGCACATACATAAAACTTAGCAAGATAGTGAGTGATAAGCTCAATCACATCAATAAGTGTATTAAATGTAACGAATAAAACACTCTAATTATATTTGTCAATAAATCAATGTAAAAATAATTTAGTTTGCCCAGATCAAGATAATAGATTAAATACAGACATTTAATTTCTGCTCATTTCCTGCCTTATATAAGCCTGCTAAAATTAGAGTAAAAGTGTTTTATTTTTCTTTTTGCCCCAAATGGTTTTTTGGGTGTTAATTCCTAAATCAAAGAGAATATGAAAGGACACAAGAGCATTAAAGATATATATATTTCGGAAAGTGAGAAAAAAGAAAGAAGAAGAAATTATCAATGGCATAAGTCAAGAAGATGTCATAGAACTGAAGGACATAGACATGAGCTCCCAGATGTAAACAGCTCACCAAGCAACTAGTACAATGGTTGTGAATTAACTCACATCATTGTGAAATATCAGAGTGCTGAAGGCAAATAGAAGGTGATACTGGCTTGCAGAGAGGCAAAACAAAAACAAAAAACGTTTTTTATACAAAGGTATGGAGGCTAGTTGATGGAAGTTTTTTTTAAGCTAGAAGACAGTGGAGCAAGTCTTCAAAATTCTGAGCAAAAATGATTTCTAATCTAGAGTTCCATACTAATGCCTAATAATTTTACTTCTAATGTACCATTTTTAATAAGCTACTGAAAACAGAATCCAATAATTTAAACAACAACAAAAAGTAACCAAGAAGGAGAAATACAAGAAATCTAAGAAATAGGGAATCCATTACAGGATGGAAGTTAAAGGAATCCACAGGATGACGGTAGAGGAAAAGCCAACTCATATTCATTTGCTACGTAGCAGGTCAGAAATCTCCCAAAGAGATTTTTTTTTTCAAGAAAATAATGGGTAGAATATTTAATAGGATTTAATCTAGTAAGAATAAAATTGTGTACACCAGTTAAGGAAGGTTTGGGTTTGAAATACCAAGAGAACATAAAATACTAAGACAAAAAAAGTAATCCATCAACAAGGGCAAATGACCAGACCAAGCATATGCCATGTCTGCTAAAATGGCAACAAGCCAGTCTTAACAATGAAGCTAGTTCATGAGGGAAAATCATGAAAATTATGGAGACAGGAGTGGTAGTCGGGTTTATTTTACTTATTGTTCATCACATTCTTGGAGAACACACAGAAATCTAATGGAGCTGGAAGTCAGATTCTTTGTGAGAGACTTTAAAATTACATGATTGGGGAAAATCATGCAATTTAAAGGATACTGACTCTTACTGGTATAAGAGGCTAGCATCCAACAGCAACACAACATGGAAACCAACCCTATTTTATAAGCAACCTATTCATGTATGGAAATCACCTACCTTTCTAAAATGTTATAGGCACCCTCTGAGGTGGCCCACTAATGATCGGCACTTCCTGATGTTCATATTTTTTGTTTAATATCCCATTCTTTGAGTATAGGCTGGACTTATTGACTCACTTCTAAGGAATGGATGCTGTGGAATATCACTTTCTAAATTAGGTTATAAAAAGACTGTGGCTTCCATCTTTGGTTCTCCCTCTCCCTCTGTCTTGTTCACTCCAGGGGAAACCAGGTTCCATGTCATGGGGCAGCCCTGTAGATCAGCCCACATAGTTGAACTTGGAAATAGATTTTCTAAATCTTACCAAGAGTCACATGTGTGAACTTGTAAGTGACTCTCCCCCAAGTCAAGTTTTGAAATTACTGGACTCCTTGATTACATCCTGATAAGGGAGTAAATCATCACCCTCTAGCTCAACTACTCCTCCTTATGACTCACTGTAACTGTGAAGTAATAAACCTTTTTGCTTTCAGTTGCTATGTCCTGGGGAAATTTGTTATGCAGCAATAGACAGCTAATACGCCTAGTGTGATCAGAAAGCTGGGCTTCAGGCCTTGTAGTTACACCTTATATGGTAAGGTGAATGGCTGACCCAATTTACCCCCTCAGCTTTCTACCAAAATTGATTGCCTTAAGCACTCAGTTATGACCAGTTTTCATAGCATTTTGTAGAAGGCCACCTTGCAAAGAAGTCTTAAACAAACTAATCTTTGATTCTCAGTTTAAACCTTCTCTGTGATCACAAAAGGGGACTTCATAGATCAGAAAGATCTATAGACATCAGACCTATAGATCAGATTAGAATACACTAACATGTCAGCAACTTGTAGTTGCAATGCTAGTCACAAATATGATTATGATAAACTCTGGAGGATGGATAACAGAATACATAGGAGAAGAAACATTTCAAAAAATACACTTGAAGCTCTCTTCTATGTCAGACTATGGGAGCTCTGACCTGACTAGAGAAAAGGTCCCAATGTTCTTACTTGGGTGCCTTATACAAACATCCTTCCTGTTACTCTATTCAGGACAATGATTCTCCCACTTTTCCACTTGTTGATAACCTCTATAAAACATAATGCTGGTAAGGATGAAACACTTCTTCATTGGCCAATATTGAAAAGCCATTCCATTGTATAAAACTACCCTTGCGAAAGAATCTTAGCTAGCCCACGGTGACTCCAAGTCCCAGACTATCTAAATGGCCATTTGACTTAGCTTGATGTAAAAAAAAATCTATATTATAGTCAGATTAATCACCCCTACATGGGGATAAAATATAACTGAGGTTGTGGATTATTTTGACTTTCACTATCAGTGCCCTTTCCTTCAGTAAGATAACTTGTTTGAACCACAGGGGCCAGAAAACAAGCCCTGGAAAACTCGCAGTGGCCAGATAATCAATTTAATGCAGCATATTAGAGTCTCCTTTGGCAGACAGGGGAGCATCATGTATCTACATAGAAAGAACCACATGGAAGGGGCACATTGTCCCATCCAGAGAGTGCCATTTATAGTCCTAGGGTCCAGTCACTGGCTGCTCTCATAGATGTTACATTTTAGTGGGTAAGACAGACAATAAAGCAAAGAACCATTTCAAAGAGCTGTGACTGCTATGAAGAAAAAAATGGGTTATGGGTAGAGAGCAACTGAAGAGGGTATGTGGGAGATATTAATAGGGTTGCCAAGATAGATCCCTCTAAAGGAATGATATTTGAGCTCAGAGCTAGTCATACAAAATCTTGGAGAAAATATTCCAGATGGCAAGCAAGCAAGTTCACAGTCAGGAAGAAGTTTGGTATGTCCCTGAAACAGGAAGCTACAATGACTTGAAAGTAAGTGGGAGAGTGTGTGAAAGAGTTCCAAGGGCAAAGGGCCATGTAGAGCCTTGAATGTTTGGGTAAAATTTTTAATTTTAATTTTGCGTATGAGCTGAAACCACTGGGAAATTTTTAGCAGAAAAGCAATAGGATCTGATTCAAGTTTTTAAAAAGATGTCTTTCTGTCTTGGTTGATAATTGATTCCAGGGCATGAAGCAAAAAAGTCCAGGCTGAGGTGGGCAGATCACAAGGTCAGGAGATAGAGAACATCCTGGCTAACACAGTGAAACCCTGTCTCTACTAAAAATACAAAAAAATTAGCTGGGCGTGGCGGCGGGCACCTGTAATCCCAGCTAGTGGGGAGGCTGAGGCAGGAGAATGGCGTGAACCCGGGAGGTGGAGCTTGCAGTGAGCCGAGATTGCGCCACTGCACTCCAGCCTGGGCAACAGAGCAAGACTCTGTCTCAAAAAAAAAAAAAAAAAAAAAAGTCCAATGAGTAGACCATTGTGGTTGTTCAAACCAGAGACGATGGTGGCTTGGAATAAATAAGAACAGTGGCATGACAATCTGTAGACTGGGTTCCCAAATATTTTGGGGGAAAAACTTTAATAACTTGCTGATAGACTGGAAATGAGGAGAGAGAGAAAGCGAAAAATCAAAAAATGATTCTCAAAGATTTACTTTGAGAAGGAGGGAGCTGGTAGTAGAGAAGGTGAAATAAAGCTTACTGTTTTTCATCTATGCAATATTGAGATGCTATTAGTCATCTAAATGAAGATGTCAAGATGGGGGGTCAGTTGAGGTGAGAAACCGAATAAAAATTCAGGGCTTGTGATAAAAATTAGAGACTTACCAGTGTATCAATGGTGTGTAAAATTGTAGAAGTAGATGAGATTAATAAAGAAAAAAATTCGTTACAAGAATCATTGGATAGATTTAGGGATCATGGCAGATGGGAGGCAGGACTAGATTGCTCCAGACACAGCAGTATGCAGAGGCTCGCATTGTGAATTTTACCTCCAGATCGACTGCAAGAACAAACCAGAAATCCCAAGAGGACCCACAGACCCTCTGAAGGAAGCGACTACTCCTGCAGGACCCAGGAGACACCCTAAATACTGTGAGTGCCCCAGCTGCAGAAGTGGGAAAGGGAGAGCCTCCTCTCCCAAACACACACCCCCGCTGGAGAAGCTGAAGGTCTGTTTGCGGGAGAAGTTTCCAACTTTACTTGGAGCTGAGTCAGGTTAGAGAGCCAAGCTGAACAAAATACAGGGGTAGAGGAAGCAGCAGAAAAGCTCTGGGAGCTTGCTGGGTCCCCAAGCAGCCTATTGCTGCCTGGCACCATAGGGATCCATCAGGAGGGTGGCCAGAGAAGCCGAGGGTAAAACTCCACAGGCAGAAGGAATTCTCTAGCTGACCTTTGTAACAATTTGAACAGAGTGAGAAGCCTCCTGGCCAGAACTTGGGAGAGGGTGTGAATCCGGCTTACAGACTTCACAGGTGGAGGAAGAACTAAAGCCCTTTTCTTTCACAACTGGGAGGTGGAAAGCCTCAGGCAAGTTTTCAAGCCTGTCTCACCCTCCACCTGGAAACAGACTTGGGGCTGTTGCAGGGGGCATGGTGGGAGTGAGACAAGCCCCTCGGTTTGCATGGGAGCTGGGTGAGGCCTGTGACTGCCAACTTTCCCCCACTTCCCTGACAACCTGCATGACTCAGCAGAGGCATCCATAATCTTACTAGGTACACAAGTCCAGTGACCTGGGAATCTCATCCCCATCCCCCACAGCAGTTACAGCAAGACCCGCGCAAGAAGAGTCTGAGCTCAGAACCACCTAGCCCCATCCCCACCTGATGGTCCTCCCCTCCCCACCCTGGTAGCGGAAGACAAAGGGCATATAATCTTGGGAGTTCTAGGGCCCTGCCCACCACTGGTCCTTCCCCACACTACTACAGCTGATGCTTTCTGGAAAGCACTACCTCCTGGCAGGAGGCCAAGCAGCACAAAAATAGAGCATTAAACCACCAAAGCTAAGGACCCTCATGAAGTCCATTGCACCCTACGCCATCTCCACTGGAATAGGTGTTGGTATTCACGGCTGAGAGACTCATAGACAGTTAACATCACAGGACTCTGCCTGGAGCCAGGTAGACTTGCTGGGTGGCTAGACCCAAAAGAGAGACAACAATCACTGCAGTTCGGCTCACAGGAAGCCACATCCATAGGAAAAGGGGGAGAGTACTGCATCAAGGGAACACCCCGTGAGACAAAAAATATCTGAACAACAGCCTTGAGCCTTAGAGTTTCCCTCTGACAGAACCTACCCAAATGAGAAGGAACTGGAAAACCAACCCTGGTAATATGATAAAACAAGGATGGTCAACACCCCCCACCCCCAAAATCACACTAATTCACCAGCAATGGATCCAAATCAAGAAGAAATCCCTGATTTACCTGAAAAAGAATTCAGGAGGTTAGTTATTAAGCAATCAGGGAGGAACCAGAGAAAGGCAAAGCCCGAAGCAAGGAAACCCAAAAAATGATACAAGAAGTGAAGAGAGAAATATTCAAGGAAACAGATAGCTTAAAGAAAAAAACAATAAAAAAATTCAGGAAACTTTGGACACACTTTTAGAAATGTGAAATGCTCTGGAAAGTCTCAGCAATATAATTGAACAAGTAGAAGAAAGAAATTCAGAGCTCGAAGTCAAGGTCTTTGAATTAACCCAACCCAACAAAGACAAAGAGAAAAGAATAAGAAAATATGAACAAAGCCTCCAAGAAGTCTGTGATTATGCTAAATGACTAAACCTGAAAATAATCGTTGTCCCTGAGAAAGAAGACAATTCTAAAACCTTGGAAAACATATTTGGGGGAATAATAAACAAAAACTTCCCCAGCCTTGCTAGAGAACTAGACATGCAAATATGAGAAGCACAAAGAACACCTGGGAAATTCATCACAAAAAGATCTTCACCTAGGTATATTGTCATCAGGTTATCTAAAGTTAAGACAAAGGAAAGAATCTTAAGAGCTGTGAGACAGAAGCACCAGGTAACCTATAAAGGAAAACCTATCAGATTAACACAGATTTCTCAGCAGAAACTCTACAAGCTAGAAAGGATTGGGGCTTTATCTTCAACCTCCTCAAAACAATTTTCAGCCAAGAATTTTGTATCCAGTGAAACTAAGCATCATATATGAAGGAAAGATAGTCATTTTAAGACAAACAAATGCTGAGAGAATTTGCCACTGCCAAGCCACCACTACAAGAACTTTAAAAGGAACTCTAAATCTTGAAACAAATCCTGGAAACACATCAAATCAGAACCTCTTTAAAGCATAAATCACACAGGACCTATAAAGCCAAAATACAAGTTAAAAAGCAAAACCAAAACCAAAAAAAAAAATTAAAAAAAAAAGTACACAGGCAACAAAGAGCATGATGAATGCAATGGTACCTCACATTTCAATACTATCATTGAATGTAAATGGCCTAAATGATCCACTTGAAAGATTCAGAACCGCATAATGGATAAGAACTCACCAACCAACTATCTGCTACTTTCGGGAGACTCACCTAACACATAAGGATTCACATAAACTTCAAGTAAAGGGGTGGGAAAAAGGCATTTCATGCAAATGGACACCAAAAGCGACTGGGGTGGCTATTCTTGTATCAGACAAAACAAACTTTAAAGCAAAAAATCCCAGCACTTTGAGAGGCCGAGGCGGGCGGACCATGAGGTCAGGAGATTGAGACCATCCTGGCTAACATGGTGAAACCCCGTCTCTACTAAAAATACAAAAAAAAAATTAGCCGGGCATGGTGACGGGAGCCTGTAGTCCCAGCTGCTCGGGAGGCTGAGGCAGGAGAACGGCATGAACCTGGGAGGCGGAGCTTGCAGTGAGCTGAGATCACGCCACTGCACTCCAGCCTGGGCAACAGAGCAAGACTCCGTCAAAAAAAAAAAAAAAAAAAAAAAAGCAACAGCAGTTAAAAGAGACAAAGGAGGACATTATATAATGCTAAAAGTCCTTATCCAACAGGAAAATATCACAATCCTAAGCATATATGGACCTAAAACTGGAGTTCCCAAATTTGTAAAACAGTTACTAATAGACCTAAGAAATGAGATAGACAGCAACACAATAATTGTGGGGGACTTCGGTATTCCACTGAGAGCACTAGACAGGTCATCAAGACAGAAAGTCAACAAAGAAACAATGGATTTAAACTATACCTTGAAACAAATGGGCTTAACAAATATATACAGAACATTTCATCCAACAACCGCAGAATACACATTCTGTTCAACAGCACATGGAACTTTCTCCAAGATAGACCGTATGATAAGTCATAAAACAAGCCTCAATATATTTAAGAAAATTGAAATTATATCAAGCACTCTCTCAGACCACAGTTGAACAAAACTGGAAATCAACTCCAAAAGGAACCTTCAAAACCATGTAAATACATGGAAATTAAATAACCTGCTCTTGAATGAGTATTGGGCCAAAAACAAAATCAAGATGGAAATTAAAAATTATTTGAACTGAATGACAATAATGACACAACCTATGAAAACCTCTGGGATACAGCTAAGGTGGTGCTAAGAGGAAAGTTCATAGCGCTAAATGCCTATATCCAGAAGTCTGAAAGAATACAAACAGACAACCTAAGGCCACACCTCAAATAACTCGAGAAACAAGAACAAAACAAACTCAAACCCAGCAGAAAAAAGGAAATAACCAAGATCAGAGCAGAGCTAAATGAAATTAAAATAAAAAAATACAAAAGATAAATGAAAAAAAAGCTGGTTATTTGAAAAGATAAATAAAATTGATAGACCATTAGCAAGATTAACCAAGAAAAGAAGAAAGAAAATCCAAATAACCGCACTAAGAAACGAAACAGGAGACATTACATCTGACACCACTGAAATACAAAAGATCATTCAAGGCTACTATGAACACCTTTAAGCCCATAAACTAGAAAATCTAAAAGAGATGGATAAATTCCCGGAAAAACACAACCCTCCTTGCTTAAATCAGGAAGAATTAGATACCCTGAACAGACCAACAAAAAGCAGTGAGATTGAAATTGTAATTTAAAAATTACCAACAAAAAAAAGTCCAGGACCAGATGGATTCACAGCAGAATTCTACCAGACATTCAAAGAAGAATTGGTACCAATCATTTTGACACTATTCCACAAGAGAGAGAAAGAAGGAACCCTCCCTAATTCATTCTATGAAGCCAGCATCACCCTAATACTAAAACCAGGAAAGGACACAATCAAAAAAGAAAACTACAGACAGATATCGTCGATGAACATAGATGCTAAAATCCTTAACAAAATACTAGCCAACCAAATCCAACAACATATCAAGAAGATAATTCACCATGATCAAGTGGGTTTCATACAAGGGATGCAGAGATGGTTTAACATACACAAATCAATACATGTGATACACCACATAAACATAATTTTTTTAAAAAATCACATGATCATCTCAATAGATGCAGAAAAAACATTCAACAAAATCCAGCATCCTTTATGATTAAAACCCTCAGCAAAATCGACATACAAGGGACATACGTTAATGTAATAAAAGCCATCTATTACAAATCCACAGCCAACATAATACTGAATGGGGGAAACCTGAAAGCATTCCCTCTAAGAATGGGAAAAAGGCAAGGATGCTCACTCTCACCACTCCTCTTCAAAATAGTACTGGAAGTCCTAGCCAGAGCAACTACACGAGAGAAAGAAATAAAGGACATCCAAATCGGTAAAGAGGAAGTCAAACTGTCACTATTGGTGACGATATGATCGTTTACCTTGAAAACCCTAAGAATTCCTCCAAAAAGCTCCTAGAACTGATAAAAGAATTCAGCAATGTTTCTGGATATAAGATTAATGTACACAAATCAGTAGCTCTTCTATACCCCAACAGTGACCAAGCATAGAATAAAATCAAGAACTCAACTCCTTTTACAATAGCTGCAAAAAAAAAAAACAAAAAAACCAAAACAAACAAACAAACAAACAAACAAAACTTAAGAATATACCAAACAAAGGAGTTGAAAGACTGCTGCAAGGGAAACTACAAAACACTGCTGAAAGAAATCATAGATGACACAAACAAATGGAAACGCATGCCATGCCCATGAATGGGTAGAATCAATATTGTGAAAATGACCATACTGCCAAAAGCAATCTACAAATTCAATGCAATCCCCATCAAGATACCACCATCATTCTTCACAGAGTTAGAAAAATCAATTCAAAAATTCATATGGAACCAAAAAAAAAAAAAGAGCCTGCATAGCCAAAGCAAGACTAAGCAAAAAGAACAAATCTAGAGGCATCACACTGCCTGATTTCAAACTATACTATAAAGCCATAGTCACCAAAACAGTGTGGTACTGATATAAAAATGGGCACATAGACCAATGTAACAGAATAGAGAACCCAGAAATAAACCCAAATACTTAGAGCCAACTGATCTTCAACAAAGCAAACAAAAAATAAAGTGGGGAAAGGACATCCTTTTCAATAAATGGTGCTGGGATAGTTGGCTAGCCGCGTGTGGGAGAACGAAACTGGATCCTCATCTCTCACCTTATACAAATATCAACTCAAGATGGATTGAAGACTTAAACCTAAGACCTGAAACTATAAAAATTCTAGAAGATAACATTAGAAAAACCCTTCTAGACATTGTTTTAGGCAAGGATTTCGTGACCAAGAACCCAAAAGCAAATGCAATAAAAACAAAGATAAACAGCTGGGACAAAACTAAAAGAGTTTTTGCATGGCAAAAAGGAACAGTTAGCAGAGTAAACAGACAACCCACAAAGTGGGAGAAAATCTTCACAATCTATACACCTGACAAAGGACTAATATCCAGAATCTACAACAAACTCAAAAAACAAACAATCCCATCAAAAAGTGGGCTAAGAACATGAATAGAAAATTCTCAAAAAAAGACATGCAAATGGCCAACAAACATATGAAAAAATGCTCAACATCACTAATGATCAGGGAAATGCAAATCAAAACCACAGTGTGATACCACCTTACTCCTGCAAGAATGGCCATAATCAAAAAATCAAAAAACAGTATATGTTGGTGTGGATGAGGTGATCAGGGAACATTTCTACACTGCTGGTGGGAATGCAAACTAGAACAGCCACTATGGAAAACAGTGTGGAGATTCCTTAAAGAACTAAAAGTAGAACTACCATTTGATCCAGCAATTCCACTACTGCATATCTACCCAGAGGAAAAGAAGTCATTATTTGAAAAAGATACTTGCACACGCATGTTTATAGCAGCACAATTTATAATTGCAAAATTGTAGAACCAACCCAAATGCCCATGAATCAATGAATGGATGATGAAACTGTGGTATATATATACATGATGGAATACTACTCAGCTATAAAAAGGAATGAATTAACAGCATTTACAGTGACCTGGATGAGACAGGAGACTATTATTTTAAGTGAAGTAACTCAGGAATGGAAAACCAAACACTGTATATTCTCACTGATATGTGGAAGCTAAGCTATGAGGAAGCAAAGGCATAAGAATGATATAATGGACTTTGGGGACTTGGGGGGAAGAGTGGGAGGGGGGAAAGTGATAAAAGACAACAAATATGGTGCAGTGTATACAGCTCAGGTGATGGATGCACCAAAATCTCACAAAGCACCACTAAAGAATTTACTCATGTAACCAAATACCACCTGTACCCCAATAAATTATGGAAAAATAAAACAATAAAAATTTCTAAAAAATTAAAGATAAAAAAAGAGATGATTTTTTTTTTTTTAAAAAAAAAGAATCCTTGGACATTTCAGTTAAGGTAAAACAATTCCTGGGGTTTTCACATCTGAGTCATTGAGTTGTCAAAGCAAAAAGAGGCCTCCTCAGTAAACAATGTATTAATATTTAGGTAACTCTGTCTTTGAGAACCTAAAGTTTCCAAACTTCATGTATGTAAACTTACTGAGTGACACCAAGTCAGTGTAGTTTCCTTTATGTAGGTGACTAGTATTTTCTTTAATATTGTAATTATCAGAAGAGACAAAAGGAATTGCTCTGTTAAATCTGTATCTAAAGATGGTGGTATGGAGGCATGGCTTTTTAACATAATGGCTTAGTCTTGTTGATTCATTTTAGAAAAGAGATTGCCATAAAATATGTGGTAAATTGGAGATTCTCAATAACGACTACTTTAAATATTTTCTAAATAAGTATTCACACAACTCTTTTCCATTGAAGCTGTTAGTACCTGTTCATTAGTACCTGTATAAATGTTCTAACACAAGCAGCTGTACAACCAATGCTAAATGAAATAAAAATTGACACATTTCAGAGAAGTCTTGTGTTCTTCTCACCTATTTTTGAAGATTGAAGATTATTCTGTTTTCTTTTTATTATATCAAAAGAGGTATATTTCCTTTCTTTTTTCTTTCTTTCCTTTTTTTTTTTTTTTTTTGCAGAGAAAACTCCAAGTATTTTTTGCAAGGAAAAGTTGATGATACTGATGATGATGGTGATGGTGATGGTGGTACTGATTAGAGTGCTGATGGTAGTAGTCCTGGTGAGTGTTGGTGATCATAGCTAATCATCACTGAGATACTACTGTATTTCAAGTGCTGAGATAGGAGCTTAAACTGTGTTCTCACAACAAAACAAAATGCAAATTATTTGCTTTTTTTGCAGATTAACAAAATGAAGATGAAACACAGTAAATTACTTTTTCAAATTACTTGACTGGTAAGGCTAGGATCCACATCTTGGTCTATCTAACGCCAAAGCATTTATTCTTTACACTTTTTCATCCTGTGCATCAATCTATTAGAGTTCTTGTATTTATGTTAGTCATACTCTTATGTTTAAAAGCAAATGAAGATAATTTCTAAGTCAAATGTGTGTGTATGTGTGTTTACATTTCTAAGGATACTGAGACAATTGCTATACAAAATCTAAAGGAAATATGGCTTCACAAATTGTAGTAGATGTCCCAACTGTATTCCTTGAGATCTCACCATTGTAAGGAACTACTGGGCTTCCAACTGCCTGAAGGTACCATGACATCAGATCAGAAAGTGTTAAAATATATTCTACCCCCCACCCCATGCCCAGTATCTCTCAACCAATGTTAGATTTAGTATGCAAATCCTTAGCTCCTTTGCCCCTGATCTGAGCTAACTCTTAGGCACTTGTCATATATGACCCCAGAGTTCCCACTTGAAATTGCCATTTACCTTGCCGTACTGGTAACTGGCTTGAAAATATACTCTTTATTTTGTGCCTTTTCTTTTCTGCCTCAGTTCTCCACTCTCCTAACAATGCTTCCTGGGATCTCCTGCCAAGTAAACCAGTACTTTTCAAACCCTAGCCTCAGGGTCTACTTCTAAAATAACTCAAATTAATCTTTCTCAAGTATGTCCATGTTTTTATTCTGGCTTGAAAATTTTGGGTTACCTATTGAGATTGTACAGCAAAGAAAATATTTGAGCAGATTGCAGGCAGTATTATAACCACCATGGTACTCCCCCTTCATTTTTAATGAAATAGAGTTTCAACTATGTTCACTGCATTCTCAATCCCTAGTTATTAGATCTGAGACAGTTTTGCCTTTAAACTAAAGGTTATTCGGATTTTTGGTCCACGAACAGTGCAATGCTTGGAACTTCCTATATTTATCTGGTGCAAAGTCCTTTATGTGTGGTAAACAAGAGTCTAGGGCTCTATGGACTCTCACTTTTCATCATAGTTGTTATAGCACTCCTGACCTCAGCCTAGAATTGTGAGAATACAGGGCTGCTCCCAAACAAGTGAGGCTGAGTTATTTTGTTTACTTGACACTTTTGATAGAAGAGAGAGGTTTCATTCTAAAGGACTCATTCCTGTAGAAATTTGATTTACAGACATACCCCAGATATATTGTAAGTGCAGGTCCAGACCACCACAATAAAGTGAATATCACAATAAAGTGACTGACACAAAATTTTTGGTTTCCCAATGCATATAAAAGTTATTTTTACACCACGCTGTAGTCTACTAGGTATACAATGACATTACATATTAAAAAATACATATCTTAATTTAAAAATCCTTTATTACTAAGAAATGCTAACAATCCTCTGAGCCTTCAGCTAATTATAATCTTTTTGCTGGTGGAGGGTCTTTCTTCAATGTTGATGGCTCCTGGGTAATCTGGGTGATAGATACTCAAGGTTGGGTGGTTGTGGCAATTTCTGAAAATAAGGCAACAGTGAAGCTTGTCACATTAATTGACCCTTCCTTTCATGAAGATTCTCTGTGCATGTGATACTTTTCAATAGCATTTTATCAGCACTAAAACTTCTTTCAAAATTGGAGGCAATTTTCTCAAAACCTGCCACTGCTTTACCAACTGAGTTTATGTAATAGTCTAAATTCTTTGTTGTCACTTCAACAACATACACAGCATTTTCACCAGGAGCAGATTCCATCTCAAGAAACACTTTCATTGCTCATCCATAAGAAGTAACTTGTCATCCAGTCAAGTTTTATCATGAGATTGCAGCAATTCAGTCATTTCTTCCAGCTCCACTTCTAATTCTAGTTCTCTTGCTGTTTCCACCACAACTACAGTGACGTCCTCCACTAAGTCATTCATAGAGATTGAAATTAACTTCTTCCAAATTCTGGTTAATGTTGATATTTTGACCTCTGCCCATGAGTCTTAAATGTTCTTAATGGCATCAAGAATCATAAATTTTTTTTCCAGAATATTTTCAATTGGCTTTGCCCAGGTACATTAGAGAAATCACTAACTATGACAGCTGTACCATTACAAAGTGTATTTCCTAAAGAATAAGATTTGAAATTCAAAATTACTCCTTGATCCATGGGCTACAGAATACATGTTGTGTCAGCAAGCATGAAAACAACATTCATTTTATTGTACATCTCCATCAGAGCTTGTGGATGATGAGGTGCCTTACCTTTAAGAAGTAATATTTTTAAAGGAATTCTTTTTTCTGAGTAGTAGGTCTCAACAGTGGGCTTAAAATATTCAGTAAACCATCATGTAAACAGATCCAGGCTTTGCTGTTCCATCTATAGAGCACAGGAAGGTAGATTTGGCATAATAATAAGGACCCTAATATTTTTGGGATGGTAAATAAGCATTGGCTTCAACTTTAAGTCACCAGCTGCATTAGCTCCTAACAAGAGAATCAGCCTGTCCTTTGAAGGATTTGAAACCAGGCATTGACTCCTCTCTAACAATGAAAGTGCCAGATGGCATCATCTTCCAATAGAAGGCTATTTCATCTATATTGAAAATCAGTTGTTTAGTGTAGCCACCTCCATCAATATCTCAGCTAGATCTTCTGGATAACTTGCAGCTTCTATATCTGCACTTGCAGCTTTACCTTGTATTTTTAAGTAATGAAGATGACTTTTTTTTTCCTGAAAACTCATCAACCAACCTCTGCTTCTTTCAAACTTTTTCTTCTATAGCTTCCTCACTTCTCTCAGCCTTCATTGAAGATTAAAGGCTTTCTCTAAATTAGACTTTGGCTTGAGGAAATGTTATGGATGGTTTGATCTTTCTAGACCACTAAAGCTTTTTTCCATATCGGCAGTAAGGTTATTTTCTTACAATTTGTGAATACCCTGGAGTAGCACTTTTAATTTTCTTTTCTTCTGCATTCATAACTGGGCTAACAGTTTGGCTCAAGAGGCCTATCTTTCAGCCTTTCTGGGCTTTTGACATACCTTTCTCACTAAGCTTAATCATTTATATCTTTTGATTAAAAGTGAAAGACGTGTAACTACTCCTTTCATTTGAACACTTAGAGACCATTGCATGGTTATTAATTGTCCCAATTTCAATATTGTTGCACCTCAGGAAATAAGGAAGCCTAAGAAGGAGAAGAGAGATAGGGAAACAGCCAGTGGGTGGAGCTGTCAGAACACATACAACATTTATCACTTTAGTTCACTGTCTTATGTGAGCATGGTTTGTGGCACCCCAAAACAATCACAATAGGAACATCAAAAATCAGTGAAAACAGATTACCATAACGGATATAATAATAATGAAAAAGTGAAATATTGTGAGAGTTACCAAAATGTGACAAAGGGGCAGGAAGTAAGCACTTGCTTTTGGCAAAGTAATACTGATAGACTTGCTGGATACAGTTTCTGCATACCTTCAATTTGCAAAAATTGCAGTATCTATGAAGTGTAATAAAGTGAAGTGCAATAAGGTGAGGTATGCCTGTACACAGTGTAGCACTTAGATGTAATTCTGAATGATTCTGGCTTACCTTCACTCACATTTCTTTATTCCATAAAATTTTTAACTCATTTTATCATTTGTTTTATAAGATAGCTAATGGGATATTCATTAACTTATTTACAGTAGTGGACAATGGTTTGTTTATAGTAAGCTCATTTTTTGCTGCTGTATAATTAAACATTTTTTTCTGAATTTAACTTACCCTGAAGGCATTATTGGAGAAAATGCATCTACAGTATTTACATTTGTAACTCCTTTTTAAATTTACTAGCACAGGGAAATTTTATTCTTTTTAACACATCTTGGGTTTGGTTCTTTGTCTCTGGATCAAATAGAGATCACAATTACTAGAACATTTAATGTCCCATATGAATTTCTCAGGCTCCTTACTCTCTGAGAATTCATCTGCACAATTTAACCACAGGAAGAAATAAACATTTCTTTGGATTTATAAGAAGTAAAATATTCAAACCTCAACCGAAGAAACATTCATATCATCTGGGTATGTTCAAGAAAAAAAAATGTAAGCCAGACCATCCAACAACACATTAAAAGAGATAGTCATTTCTCTCATCTTGGGGCTGGAAATTTCTTTTCCAACTGACGTTTCCAACATGTGAAATATAGCTGCCATCACATTAACCAGATATACAGCACTCTGAGCTGAAAGCATAAATTGTACACATCTTGCTCTCAGTAGCTGTGAAGAGGAAACATAGGTGCAAGGTCAACAAGAACCCCTCCTATAGAAGAAGTCTACAAATTGAGAGGGGATGGGAGATCCTGCTATTGCTGGGATGGTCCTGTTTTTTGTCAAGCTATGTCATGGGACCTAGAGGCTCAGGAAATGAGCAGGAAGACTTTGTTCTGGATGAAAAGGACTACTTCATGTAGCCTTTGACATACTTTGAAAGGGAGGATGGAATAAGGGAGAAACAGCATCACATTTAATGCCTGGCTTTACCATTTACCAGCTGCGCAACCATTTAAACACTTGAGCAACCATTTAAACACTTGACCCTTGGTTTTCTCAACTGTGCTGTAGAGGATAATCATTACTTCTTTAACCTACCCCTACAGAGATTTTGTAGGGAATAGGTGACATGTTGTATGGGAAAGCACATTGTGTATTGTAAAACTGCATGCAGTAATTATAACGATTTACTTTTATTGACCCTGTAGTGCATGCTAGATATTCTTCTCAGGGTTTCATATAGTACCTCATTAAATCCTCATGGCGAACTTTGGAAAAGGTACTATTATTATTTTCATTGTACATTTCAGTAACTTGAACAAGGTTACAGGACAAGTAGAATATGGCAGAGATGGAATTTGAACCCAAGCAATCAAATTCAAAAGACTATACTCTAAAGCAATGGCACTCAGGGAGTGATCCATCAGTGCCTGTGCACAACAAGGTAAGTGCAGAAATTGAGCACAAGTGTTTGAAAACTTATGTAGCTTTTTGATATTGTCTCAATGTCAATATGTGATCATTTTTTATAGTAATCTGTGTTAATTGTCATTTATGAAATATTGGTCCCCAATGGATTGAAAAGAATAAGAACTCATTTCATCACAGATGGTTCTAAAAGCATTGTTCTGAAACACTACACTATAAGGTTGTAATTGCTTTTGTTATTGGAATATCGTAAGCAACTTGTAAGACAGACTTGCTAAGAGAATTAGAAGCTTTATAAATAACTATATCTAATTGAATATTCTTATGAATATTATAAAGATAAACAATAATTTATTAAACTAATATCAGGTTTTTGAGATAAGTACTCCGGGTCTGGCCAAATTTCTCCACTTTCTTTCCCTCTTTTTCCTGCTCTGTACTTTAGATACAGTACTACCAGAATAGTAGTTTTTCTACAAAACAAATATTCTATAATATATAAATAGTATTGGGGGAGCACAGGGGAGTTTGATCTCTAGGAGAAAGAGACTTGCACTGGCCACAATCGCAAATATCCCCCAAATAAAAAAGGGGGGAAATGAACAACTGTTATTAGAAATTTTGTATCTAATCAATTATGGAATAAATGAAAAACATCTTTATTACACCTGAGATTTTATAGCAATGCTTAGAAATATATTGAAATTCCATTTTTCTCCATGAGACAGTCTCTAGGTCTGACTTGTTTAGAATAAATGTTTGATTCTTTTACTTTCACTGAAATCTTATATATCAAACTTATTTCATTTGCTCAAAGAATTGCCATTTTCTCTTCTGCATTTTTTTTCATTCAAATCCCACCTCAAAGGAAGAAATTCTGATAAAATAAGAAATTCCTAGAGATTATTTTAATATCTATTCTGGGTTACATATGAAACCCATTGTTCAAGGCTTGTGGAGCACTTACATAAAAACCAGTTTCAGTCAGAAATTGATCATAAGCATATGTTGTGCAAAGAATATAATATCCAATTTGGTGAGAAGAACAAATGAACATATAAGCTTGAATTAAAAATAAATATAAAATTTAAAAAGTAAGTTACATTTGGAACTTTTGGTCCAAGAATAAATGTCTCCATGAAAGATATAGAAAGGAGGTTGATTTTTTTTTTGAAACATTGGGATTTATTTATCTTTCTCTTCTAAAGATATATAGTTTCTTTTTAGCACAACAGTCAAGACAGCACCTTGGGCTCTCAGAGATGGTAAATTCTACTCTCAGTTGCTCCATTAACTCAATATATGACCTTGGAAGTTTCTCTAAATCCCTTGGTGCCTCAGTTTCCTTTTCTATCAAATACATATGTCTGAAATAACTAAATCACTTCACACTGCCTTTAAGGAAAAAATAAAACAGGAAAAGAGAAGAGAATAAAATATCTGAGATCAAAGAAAGTTGGCATCTAAATGCCACATATCAATTGAATTGTAACATGTATGAAACTTAAATGGGAGTAAATAACAGTAACAAAAATGAGTTGAATTTTAATATGTATTAAACTTAAATGGGAGTAAATAACAGTAACTTAAATGGGAGTAAGTAATGGTAACTATTATAGATTATTGTAAAGTACTTAGCAGGGGGCTCTGGCACATAGTAAGCCTCAGTAAACTTTAGATTTTACTCTTGTTTTTATTATCATCATTCCTATTATGATAAAAATCAAGAGTCAGGGTAGCAGAGTGTGAGTGTAGTGGGGAAGAGGATTTACTCTAGGAAGTAGAGCTCGTAGAACTGAAGGAGGAGCTAGAGGAGTTCAAGTTTGGAAAGGGAATTGGAGGATTGGAGAAAGGGTTGTCAATCAGTCAATCTATGAACCAAGGCCATCAATTCATCAAAACTAATATTGCCAGACCCAACAAATTAAAAAGTACAGGATGCTCAGTTCAATTAGAATTTTAAATAAATCCTTTTTTTTTTTTTTTGGATGACTATGTCCCTGCAGTGGAGGACTATGTCTTTGAAGATAAAATGCCACAATTAATTCTCTAACACATTCAGGATTGTCCTTACTAGGAGATAATAGATTATTACCAATATTTCACTGCTATAATTAACTCTTGCATTATTTGGGACATACTTATACAAAAATATTTATTGTTTATCTGAAATTACAATTTAAATAAATGTTTTATATTTTACCTGTTAATCTTAGACTATGAAAGGAAAGTTCTTAGGGATACTTATGGGAAGGTTATCTTCTCTGTCCTTGTCTCACCACTGTAGGTCCACAACCTGGCATTTAGTGGTAGGCCTGGAGCTGCTCTTGGTCAACAGTGTCAGAAGTTGGGAAGAAGAGCTGCATATCAAGCAGAAGAGAATGAGAAGAAACAGGAACCCACTTCTGCATCTGTCTATAGCAACATCTGACTATAACGACCTTCAAAAGATAATGGCTGTTGCTTCATTTCCAACCCTCCAAATCTCAAGCAAGTATATCTTTGGGCCAACTGTAACCTATAACTCTATAGGGAAGAGGTTTCTGAGAACTCTGTGTCACAGCTTAACCATACAAAGACAATACAAACCATCCCGATGATGATGATGGTTGGTAATAATGAAGAAAATAATATGAGTGTTTTCTCAAGGAAGGCTACTTCTTGATGGCAGTTCTGGGAGACATAAGAGAAGTTTTATTTTTACCCAAATGGTTGGTAAATAAATTACTGTGTGACATGACAGAGTTCAAGTTATATGATATAGTAGATTCACATTATGCCAAAAACTATAAGACTCCCAGACACAGCCCAGGAATTCATTTTGAGAGCTATCATAGGCTTCTGAATGTGCTACCATCTATGCTCTTAATTTAAACCTTAATTTGCTGTGTGGACGACAGACTACTCTGAAAACAACCCCAAATGCTTCAGTGCAGGACTATGTGTCGTGGATAAAGTAACAAAATTACATATTCAACCCATTATGGCCATCCTCTTGTATGGAAGATGTAGATTGTTACCAATATTTAACTCTTATAATTAACTTGAATAAATTTCCTTACAAAATAAATATGTACACTTGTAAATATTCCATTATAGTATCTTTCTTAGTGTAGATATCCTGGAGTAAAAGAAAAATATTTACAAAACAAGGTAACAATTTTTAAAGCAAAATATCTATTATCAAATTGTTCTCCAGATAGGTATTACCAATTACACACCCACCAGCCCAGCAGTGTGAAAATATCACATCTCCCACACCCCCATCCACACCCACGTGGAAAATTATTATTAAAAATTAATTTTTACCAACTTGAGAGGGAAATGGTCCTATTTTAATTTTTTCAGGGGTGGATTCATATGTTTACTAGATATGTATATGTATCCTTCTATGAGATACTTGTTAGGTTATTTCCCATTTCTGTGTTGTGGCATTAATTTCTTTTTCTTGTTAATAATGCTCCCGAAGTTTTATGTCAGTCTTTTCATTTGTTTATAGTATTTTATGGCAAAGGATTTTCTTAATTAAGTGGTTGTAGTCAAATCTGCTAGTTTTTATCTTTGTTTTCAGTTTGCAATGTCATGTATAGACATGCCTATCTACCACCGAAAGTATTTTAAAAAGCAATGTGTAGGTTTTCTACTTTTGAAGAATGTGCGTTTTCTACTTTTGAAGTATGTGCATTTTCTACCAAAGTCTTTAGTTTGTTTGATATGTGCAATGAAGAAAAATATCTAACAATACCTTAACTTTTCTCGAATAATATTCCAATTATCCTAATATCCTTTGTGACTTAAACTTCCTATTCTGACTTAAAAAGACTTTTATCATAAGTGCTCTACTTAATCATAGCCTTAGCACATAGTGTGAGTCCTAGAGTCAGACTACAAGGTAATTACTGTCACTTACAAGCTGTGTGACCTTAAGTGATTTAATTTAATCATCCTGTGACTAAGTTTTCTAATCTGTAAAATTGGAATAATGTGAGGATAAAATTATCATAAGGATTAGCAAGCTGAATTAACACGTGTAACGCTCATAGACGACTGCCTGGCACATAGTGAATACTCAGGAAATATTACTGGTTGTTGTGTAGCGAGGTGTATAATGAAACACTGGTACAATTTCAGATTTTGGGTTTTGAGGACCGGGCTTAGAGGGTCACCTTGGGGAGAATCTTGTAGAGTCCCACATCTACCCTCTGCCTCAATGAGATACGATCCTCCACTTTGATGAGATACTACCACTTGGAGAACTTGCTACATGTCAATCCCTGCTATGGAGAAAGTAGACTTTTATTCTAATGCAGTAGACTTGAAATCATTTGAATGTGAGAGAAGAGCTGGAGTCAGAAAGAGATAAAAAGAGGGCCTGAGACTATGCCTTAAATTGTTAATACATTTAAGGGATAGAAGAAAGAAAAGGAGAACCGTTAGAGAAGATAGAAAGAAATTGTTTCCTGGATCAAAAACAGTTCTAGACTGGACTGTGTCTCCCACCCCTTTAAATTCATGTGTTGAAGCTCTAGCCCTCAATGGGACTGTATTTGGAGATAAGACCTTTAAAGATGTAATTAAAGTTAAACGAGGTCATAAGAGTAGGGCCCTAATCCAATAAAGCCTGTGTTCTTATAAGAAGAGGAAGAGACTTCAAGGATGCCTGGAAAGGCCATGTGAGGACACAGCCAGGCAGGGGCCATCTGCAAGCCAAGAAGAGAGCCCTCAGGAGAAACCACACTTGCTAACACCTGGATCTTGGCTCTCCAACCTCCAGAATTGTAAGAAATAAATTTCTGTTGTTCTAGCCACCCAGTCTGTGGGATTTTGTTATGGCAGCCCTGGCAGACTAATACAGGATCCAAGAGAAGAGAGAGTTTGAAAAAGGTGGGAGTGATTGATTGTGAGAAGTGCTGCTGAAAACACAACAATAAAGTAAGCTGAGAACTTAAGTGTCTGTTGGATCAGGAAATAAGAAGTCATTGTTAATTTTGACAAGAACATTTTAATGGACTGATAGAGGCAGATTGCAGCGGATTGAAGACTAAAGAGCAGGATTCACATAGAAAATATGGCAATATTTCAAATCATCAAAATGACAATATGGCTGAGTAGGTGTTGTATAATGAATAAAGAACTTCATAATTAAATGCTTATTCACAACTTTTAGTCTGAACATCTTTTGCTGTAGGAGATCTTGCCAAATTGATTCCCTTCGTACTTCCCAGTCCAAATCTAAATTAGTCACTGCTATTACATATATGTTACCTTATCATTTTTAAATTGTAGTCTGTATCATAGTTACTTATACTTCTGCAGTTACTTAATTTTCTCTCTCACGAGGCAGTAAGCAATGTGAGAACAAGGATCATATTTGGTTTATTCCATTATCTATGGTTAGAACATAGTGGACATTTAATATGCATTAAATAAAACTAAAATTCATTCAACAATATGTCATTAAAATCTTTACATGTCAAATATATCATTTTACTGACTGGATTTTATGTATACATATAATTTACACCAGCCTTTCCTACTATAAATTATACTATCTGGAATTGTTTAGCCAGTTAAGGATTAAATTCTGCCATAAAATTTAACTTTTTTCTTTTTTCTCCAGAAAAACTGTTTTGACCCTGGGCTTTTTTTGCAAGTAGTTTTCTAATTTTCTAAATAATTTTTTGGCCTGTCATGGTAGCTCATGCCTACAATCCCAGCACTTTGTAAGGCAGAGGTGAGAGGATGGCTTGAGGCCAGGAGTTTGAGACCAGCCTGGACAACATAGTGAGACCTAACTCTATGTATTAAAAATACAAATAAAAACATTAGCAGGGCATGGTGGTGCATGTGAGCATGAGAGGTCGAGGCTGCAGTGAGCAGTGATTGCGCCACTGCACTCCAGCCTGTGCAACAGACTGAAACTCTGTCTCGAAAGAAAAAGAAAAAAAATTTTCATGGTAATTGCCTTATTCAAGTTTCCAGCTCTAGTTGTACATAGCATTCTCATTTTTAATCTGTGTTAAGTAATTATTTCATATTCTTAATTCTAACTTTGATGGCTTTTTTCCTTTAAAAAAACTTTATTGAAGTATAATTTACATATAATAAAATGCACCTATTAAGTTGTACAGTTTGATGAGCTTTCACAAATGCCACCACCATAAACAAGATATAGAACACTTCCATCACTCAGAGAAGTACACTCATGCCCCTTTGCAGACAATCACTTCTACCTCTGCCCAAGGCAACCACTGATATACTTTGTCAATTTAGATGAAGATCTCATATAAATTGAATCATATGGCACATATTCAGCAGAACATGGTGTCACAGGAATTCATCCATGTAGTTGTATGTATCAGTAGTTGATGCCTTTTTATTGCTGCATAGTATCTTTCCAATGAAACATGTTATTCTTTTCAAAGAATAAAAAAATTCTTTAGAAACAATTGCTTATCCATTCACAAGATGATAAATATTTAGGTTATCATCAGGTGCTTGAGTTTTCTATTGCTATTTTAACAAATAAACACAAACTTGATGGGATACAATGACACAAATTTATCATCTTATAGCTCTGGAGATAAAAAGTCCAAAATAAGTTTCATGGTACTAAAATCAAGATGTGGCAGGACTCCATTTCTTCTGGATGTTTAGAGGCAGTGTTTTCTTTCTTTTTCCAGCTTCTAGAGGTTCCCACATTCCTTGGCTCCTAGGCTCCTTTCATCTTCAAAGCCAACACATCTTTCTCATAGCTTCTTACCTCTGAGTTGACAATGTCTCTTTTTTGCTTGTAGGTAGCCTTGTGATTACATTGGGCTTACCCAGATCCAGATCATCTAGGATAATCTCTCTACCCAAGATCTTTAATGTAATCACACCTGCAAAGTCCCTTTTGGGAAGAAAGGTAATATATTCATAGTTTCTGGAGATTAGGCCTTTCCAGGCAAAGAGGTGGAAATCTTTGTGGGGCCATTTTTCTGCCTCCTACACAAGGTAAAGGATATTATGAGTGAAGCTGTGGTGAGCATGCATGAACAAGTCTCTTGCGAACATAGGTTTTTATTTCATTTAGTGGTGGACGTGCTGAGCTGGACAGTAAATATGTTTAGCTTTATGATAAACTGCCAAATAGTTTTCCAAAATGGTTGCTCCATGTTACATGCTCACTAACACTATTTGACATTTCATTGACTCCTTATCTTTTTCAATACTCAATATTGTCAAACTTTCAAATTTTAGCCATTTAGTGGGTAAGGAGTAGTGTCTCAACTGTGGTTTTAATTTGTATTTTCTTGATGACTAATATGTTGAGCATCTTTTCCCATGATAACTGATTACACATATATATTTTTGTGTGAAGTATGTGTTCAACATTTATGCCCATTTTCATTGTTTTTTGTTGTCTTGTTAAACTGTAAGAATGTGTGTGTGTGTGTGTGTGTGTGTGTGTGTGTGTAACAAGTGTTTTTTTAGATATATATTTTTTGAATATTGCCTCAAAGTCTTGGGCTTCTCTTTTTCTTAACTGAATATCTTTCTATGAGCAAAACTTTAAACATTTGGTGTAATTTTTCATTTTTTTCTATTATTGTGAGTATAGTGCGTAGCATACCATCATGATGATGATTTTTTCCTATCCTCCCACAATCTGTTTTGTATTTTAGCTTTTACATTTAGTCCTGTGATCCATTCTGAGTCAGTTTTTGTGTACGGCCTGATGTAAGGGTGAAGGCCCATTTCTTTTCCATAGTAATACCCAGTTGTTTCAGTACTATTTATTGAAATTACTGTATTTCTCTTATTGATATGCATTGGCAACTCTGTAGAAAATTAATTATATTATTGTACTTAGCATTTTAATAATATTTTAAATCCTTTTGTTAAGTATGTATTGCTTATATTTTCTCTTTATATGTTTCTTTTGACTGTCTTTCTAATACATACCTATTTAATAAACATGTCAAAATCAGCTGGATTTTTCACTATTTTTAAATCTTGGATTTATAAGTCAATTCTATAATTTTTCTCTCTTGCAATTATGCAAGGGATTATGGGAATGATTATAAACCTGTTATGAAAAATATTAGAATTTAATAAGAGAGAAATTGAAAGATAATATATAAAAGTCTATAATTGCCTATGTTCAAATAATCACCATCAGAATACAGAATATTAAAAAATGTATGTTGTTTAAAAAACAATGGAAAATGGTAAAATGGTTAGATATAAATTTTACAAGTATTGCATCAGACATAATTTAAAAAGCTATAAAGAAGTATAAACGAGGATTCAAATAACTGAAAAGCTATCCTATGCTTTTGAATAGGAAGATATAATTGCATCATTATGTCACTGTTCACTAAACTCATCTATATATTCAATGCAATCCTAATTAACAAACCCAGAGGATTTTGTTGTCATTTACATGCTTTTTCCCTTGTAGTTTTTAGATTTATATTTGATTTTTGTACCTATAGGAAACTAAACAAATTATATTAAATTCACCTTGAAAATAAATATGTAGAGGCTAGGACATTTTCTAATAATGGAGAAAATTAGAAAAATCTAATAATGGGGGCAGACAGTCATAGAATTTAAAAATATATTATCAAATAAAATAATTTTTAAAACCTTAGCACTAGAAATGAATACATATTTATAATGGCACCAGAAATAAGTTAGACCAAACAATAAAACAGAGTAAAGGAAAAAGAGAGACACACACGATTGGCTTTAGTTTATGGTAATGATGGAACTGTAAATTAGTAGGGAAGATAGGGATAATTCTATAAATCATATGAATAAAAGTAAAGATAAGTCATCATTCTTTAAAACAAGATAAATTTTTGATGGAACAAAGATTTAAAGCAAGCATAAAATTTCTAGAAAGAAAGCACTGTGTATTTATTTATAATACTGAAATGAGAAAGATCTTTCTAAATTAGACATGAAAACTAAACACCTTTACAAAGATTTGATAACATTGACTACATTAAAACAGACAAAAACTTACCATAAACAAAGTCAAAAGGCCCACAAGAAACTGGAAAAGAATTTTGCAATATATGCAACAGACACAAAACAAATTTTCAAAATTTTCAAAATGCATATATAAAATCTTGAAGAAAAATTTGCAAGAGCTATAAACAGTCAGTATAGAGAAAATATAATGAAATGTGCAATAAATGTCTGATGAGATATGGAACCCCACTCACAATTATATAAAATAATTAACTCTTTCACAAATTTATTGAGTATTTCTTCCATGTTGGGAAAACAGCCATTAACAAAATAAACCCAAATCTCAGTTCTAATGCTGCTTACATTCTAGTAAGCAAATAATAGACAATAAACAAGATAAATAAATACAATATAGTTTATTAGATGAGGACTGAGTGCTATGGAGAAAATAAAGCAGAGAAAGGAGAATGGAAGTTCTAAGGGGAGGGAGGAGTGCTGCAATTTTCTATATGATACCCAGGCATGACCTCCAATAAAGGTAACAATGGGGTACATTTCACAATTTCACACCTAATGGAAATGTGTGTGTGTGCTGCAAAATATATGTTCAAGAATGTTTATAGTATCATTATTTGTAACAGCAACACCTGGAAACAACCATATCTATCAAGTCTATCAATACTAGAATAAATAAATATTTTGGTATATTCACACAATGAAATCGCATGCAACAATAAATCTGAATGTGCTACAATTACAAGAGAACAATACGTTGGAATCTCAAGAACATATATGAAAGTGAGGAAAGTCATATTTCGGAGCCTTCACTGTGTGGCTCCATTTAGATCAAGGTTAAAACTAGGCAAAACTAAAAATAAGTTTAGAAGTTAGGATAGCAGTTACCTTTGAGTAGGAGAGAGAGTGTAATAATTACACTGTGCATGAGGATGTCTTTAGGATACTAAGAGTGTTCTATTTCTTGGCCTGAGTAATGGTCACTCAATTGTTTTCTCATGGGACGATTCATTGAGATGTGCAATTGCGATTTATGCACTTTTCTTTATGTCTGTTACATGTCAGTTTGAAAAAAAAATAAAAAGAGTGATTTAATTTTCTCTTTCTGGATGCCTAAGATTCTTTCATTATTCTTGATGTTTAAAAACTGAACCAGCCATTTTTATCTTTTCATTAACTTTTCCTGCTACTCAGTGAACACTTTGATCTGTATACTTGGGCCTTTCACAGGTCAGAGAAGCTTCTTCATGTTTTCCCTCTTTTCTTTAATAAGAAATATTACACTTCATTGGCTCTCTTGTCTCTGGTGTTCAATTTCTACCATATTCGTTCCTATTGTCTTTGTGTCTGAATATTTCTGCTGCACTTTAAGAGTAATTACCATTTGTCTTTCAAATTATTTATTTGATTTTCAGAATTATCAATTCACTTCTGAACTTTTTACTGCTAGTAATTTTCTTTCTGAAATTGCTTTTTAGTTTCCTAATATGGTAGTCATTGAGGCTGTTCACATGTTTTTAGTTTTGTTTTGTTTTGTTTTTTAGGTTGTAGAGAAGGTACTGTTCCCATTGAAATCAGTAACGGCCATGTGACCTGATTCGACTCATGAAATGTAAGTGGAAGATGAATGTAGACTTTATGTGCAGAGGCTTTAAGAGTTATGAGATAATTGTCATACTCTCGTTCATAATCTTTGTACCTCAGTGATTAGCAACACTCACTGTCATGGCTTCTTCATCATCCTGGGTCCTAGAGTGAAGTCCTAGAGCCCATTATCAACCCATGCTAAATATGTAGGATAAGCAAGAAATAAGATCTTCCTGCTTGAAGCCACTGATATTTTGGACTTTTTGTTACTGCAGCAACATCATGCCTATCCTGACTGATACATGGTATATAATCATTCCTAATATTTTCCTAATATTTGTAATTTATACAATTTCATTTGTTTGTTTACTATCATAATTATATAATTATACAATAGTTACTTATACAATTTTATCTGTTTACTGTCATAATTATTCCAAAAATTGTGACCAGTTTCTTCATATTAATTGCCATCATCTCTTTTCTTACAGCGTGGACTTTTTCATAGTCTCAATGGGATGTTTATCTAAAATGCATACATTCCTAAATGAAGAGTGCCCTTGTCTTCACTGTATATTGTGTTATTGTTAGAACTTTCAAACATGCTAAAGAAGCTGATAAGTCTAAGTTCACATCAATAATTACATTATTCAACAACCTGAGAGAAGTGAAGCCAGGTTGAGTGTAGTCCCAGTAGAGAGATGTTTTCTATGTTCTCTTTCTTTTGTGTTTAGTAAAGGTACTTCACCAGAGGTCAATTTTCTGTACCAATTTCTGTTTGGCTGGAGCAGATTCCAGCTGTGTCTGTGCTTGGTCTCCCACCTGATGCCACCACATCAAAGGGAAGCCCATATTACACTGGAAACAAGGCCCTGCTTCCCTGCTGAGTTTTGTGTTTTGTGACGTTCCCAAGCAAAATTCGAAATCTTCCTGTTTCAATTTTTGTAATGTGTATCATTAAAATAATACTCTCACATGTGAATAAATCAAATACTAAGATTAGCCTATCCTAATTTCTATACCTCCTACCCCCATACGTGTTTAAACCTGTAGTCCCACTCTCCAGGAGAAACCTCTTTTTTTTTATTGGTAATATAGGTGTTAATTTTTGATATTTTTAATATCTCAAATAAAGAAAAAGAAAGAAAGAAAGTAAAATTACTTGTTAAAAATCAGTTCAAATTAAAATTCACTATAATGGTTAAAACAGCTAACATGTATTGAATGATTATGCTCTAGGCACTGTGGAAAAACCTCTTTAACATGTTCCTGTTACCTCCAAAATACTAGATAATAAACTTACATCTCTGTAACTTTATTTAAACACTCCGGACAGGTATTGATTGATTGCCTACAATTTTTTTAAAAAGTTTTGCTAAGTAAACCTTTAACCCACTCCACTTCTCTTCTCAATGCTTAATAGAACCATTTCTTGCAATTCTTCAATTTGTTGTTAGATTATATTTAATATTTCAAATATTAGTGTGCTTACATTTGCTTCCACATTCCCTCTACCATTTCACTTCCCACTGTCTGTGTGCTATTCTTTTACATTTATACCAGTTTTTTTTGGTTAATATATTCATTTAGTTCTGCATCACCATCTAAGTTCTTACACAATTTTTCCATGAGTTAACCAAAGTTGAAAACCATTACGACATTATTACATTATTATGTTATTATGAATGTGTGCTGGTTACATTTCCTTTCGTATATGAATAATACCAAAACTCCTAAGCCACCTAGAAGAGAATGTTAGGAGCACCAAGGCAAAGACAAATTCTCTTATATTCCAACAATTGCTTCAAATCAATTGTTTACATGCAACTTATTTTTTTCCTGAAATTTCATATTGCCATTCCTTTTCTTTTGAATCACATGCTTTATCATACCTCCACTTTGTGCCATCCCCTCAATCACAGAGTCCCCTGCATGATATCTTCTTTTCTCTTCATTGGCTTCCCTCCCAGAGCCCAGCATTCTCCTATGGCACTCTAAAACGACCACCTTAAAGCCGGATGGACCACTGTCATCCTGAGATTCCCCTGTATTGCTCTGCTTCTTTGTCCCTGTGTCTTTGTATTTCTTGGTCTTCTCCCTCATTTTGCTAGAGTACACCCTCAGATAACTTTACCAAAATGTAAAGAGATTCGGGAGGTGTGGCTGCTTGTTTCATGATGTGGGACCTAGTTATCTTCTCCTCAACATCCTTTCTCCTTTTCTTACTAAGGAACAGAATTTGATTTTTTTTTTTCTTGGGCTGCAAAGTGCCCAAATAAAGATGCAACCTTGCAGCTAGGTATGTTCAATAATTTAAGGAGGCATTGTTGGGTGCAATTTCAGGGAACACTTCTTTGATGGGTTAAAATACCTGGTAAGCACTCCATAGACAAGCATGCCCCTACTTCTAACTGGAATGCAGACGTGATAAGAGGAACTCCAACAGCCATTTGAAACATGAGGTAATCTTGTGAACAGAAGCCATGCACTAAGGATAACAAAGAGAGGAGCCAGGCCCTAAGAAGTCTGGGAAGCTGATGACATCATAAAACTGCTATACTAGCCCTGTTACACTATATTGTACTTAAAACATAGCTGCCACTTACTTAAAAATATATTTTACAAGGGAAAGAGAAAAATTTATATGCAATTTAAGTAACTGTTATTTCTGATCTCAGTTGCTAGCTACTGAATGCAATTACATATTGAAAATGGTGATAAAATTTCTGGGCTCTTAAACATCAAAAAATACCTCAATTCTGCCCTCATGCTAACTATTTTTGTGATTACAGATTTCAAGGTTGAAAATTACTTTCCCTCTATGCTGTAGCCATTTCTCTGTTCTCTTCTAGCATTAATTGTTGCTGTCGAGAATCTGATGCAAGTTTGATTTTCATTTCTTTGTGGGAAATTGTTTTCTCCTCTTTAAAAAGTTTGGAATCTTTAAGATTTTCTTGATGTTTTAAAACTTTACAAGAATGTATCCAGATGTGGGTTTCGTTTTCATTTCCATTCTTTGTACAAGGCACTCAGTAATATACGACCTAAAGATTTATGTTCTGTAACTCAAAGAAAGTGTCTCCTATTATTTCTTGGATAATGTTCGCCCTTCCATTTTCTTTGTTCTGTATGTCTACTTGTCAGTTACTGGACCTCTGCACTTGTTTATTAGGTTCCATCCTTTCCTTTATGTTTTTGATTCTACTTTTATTTCTTTACATTCTGGAAGATTTCCTGTATATTTGAAGCAGCTTTCTTGACTTTTTAAAATTTTAGCAATTCTCTTTTTAATGTCTAACATCCCATTAAATGTTAGTAATTCTATTTTTAATGTCTAACATCCCATTCTTACATTATAGTAGTTACTTTTCATAGCATCCTATCTTAATTTTATGGAACACAATATCTTCTCAAATATCTGTGTGAATATTAATTAAAGGTATTATATTTTGGTGTTTATTGACATTAAAATATTTTCTACTCCTTGTTTACTCTGGGAAAACTTTTAAAAATCTTTGTTCTTAAATTTTTATATATGTCTTATAATCTTTGATGATTTTTACACGAATAGGACTAGGTAACCACGTGGGTATTTTCTGCATCTGTAAGGAGCTAATTTTCTCACTATGTCTCACCTTGTTTCTCCATGAGCAGAAGGTCCAGCCAGGAGGGTGGGAAGTGTGAGAATGGTATAGTGCACGCAGACATTGGGTCCCCAAATTACAGAATGAGGAGGGTCACCAACACCACACTTAAAAGACTTGATTTTTCTGGATGGCTACTTTAATTTTGGTATGGAAGAGATTTGACTCATGGTAAATATCAGACTGTCTTCACTCCACAACACGGATATGGGAGGGAGAAAAGGGTGCCAATAGGAGTAGTTATTTTGTTGCTCTCTTCTATCATACTCACTAACTATGGGGCAGAGTCTCTCTGGGATTCACTGCATCAGTTGGTTTCCCTCTTCTCTGCAGCCATCTTTGTACAATTGACCATTCCTTTCCTGTCTTTCAAAAATGTATTGAAAAATCTCATCCATCAAAATTTACTACCCAATCAGTTTTCTTCTTTTCTTCTCTATTATATATTTAATCCTTTTGTTTTTCATTCTTTTATTTTTGTGAACAGAAGTACATCATGTTGCCCTAGATTCTATATTCAAAGGAGCTGATTCATGCCAGTAAAACAGAATCCAAGTGGTATGTTCCCTGAGTTCTTTCTGTATCTCCAGCCCTCTCTTTTGGTCAATAAGCTTTCATTCTATGTGACACAGACTCAACAAATAGTTATTGATTTACTTCATTAAAATATTCAGAGTTAGACAAAGTTTTCGGCATGCCTCTACCCCAGGGTTTAATGTTGTCAGTCTGTCTGTCTCCCCATCTCTTGAATCAGTATTCTTTTTTGGCTTTACTCTTATGATGCCACTAGCAGCTCCAGGCTTACATCAATGCAGGATTAAGTCTAGAAGAAGAGTTCCCCAGAATACAAGCAAATTTGCCATTCTTAGTTTATTTGCATTCCTGTTACAATCTCTGTGGTGAGAGGATTATAATGTTCTCTGCAGTATAAAGGAACTGCATCTCTAAACCATTTCTATCAGCCAAAGGGATTCAATGCTCTGAGTGCCCACTCTAATACCAGGGGTGGTGTTGCTGACATTGCTAGTTTCATTGAAAATTCATTCTCCCTTTCTTCCCTTATAAATATAACTCTTGGATTTTAGTTGGCTTCATGGCTTCATTTCCCATCCTTCCTTAGAGCTAGATGTATGCTCATGGGTGTATTATTTTGATCCATAGCATGTAAGAAGTGTATATGCCATTTCAGGGAGGATGGCAGTGCAACAAAAGTGATGGAATTTTGATCTGGAATACCAAAGGGCTTATTGCCAGTCCTGGTCACTCATCTATCTTAATTTACATGAAAAATAAATTTCAATCTGTTTCAGCTGTTATCTTGGGTTTTCTGTAATTCACAGCTAATTATTTTTTTCTTTTTTCTTTTTCTTTCTTTTTTCTTTTTTTTTTTTTAGATGGTGTCTCGCTCTGTCACCCAGGCTGGAGTGCAGTGGTACCTTCTTGGCTCACTGCAACCTCCACCTCCTGGGTTCAAGTGATTCTCCTGCCTCAGCCTCCTGAGTAGCTGGGACTACAGGCATGTGCCACCACGCCTGACTAATTTTTTCTATTTTTAGTAGAGATGGGGTTTCACCGTGTTAGCCAGGATGTTCTCAATCTCCTGAACTCGTGATCCGCCCACCTCATCCTCCCAAAGTGCTGGGATTACAGGCGTGAGCCACCGCTCCTGGTCAGCTAACTTTTTTTTCAAGTAGAGATACTGTCAGTTCCATCTCAACCACATGGACATTGACAACTGACATAATTAGCTCACGAAAAAAAAAAATAGTAATAATCAGAAGTTCTAAATGTACTCCAAATGTTTGGGGCATTATTACTGGCCAAGTAAATGCAAAAGATGAGGATGCAATATACACAGATAAGGTCACAAATGGAGGATTCCTGGATGAACTTTTGTTGAAGCAGTTACCTTACAGTAGGAGGTATTGTGTGTTAGTCCTCACCGCCAGCATTTTTTTGACCCCATCTACATGCACTTAGTAGATAGTCCTTGATGTGTCTGCCTTAAGGAAACCATCCTTCTCTAGTTTTTAGTGCATATGTTGGCTTTCACCTATTTTAATACTGTTTGTCATTATAAATTGAATTTTAGCCCCTACCCTCACCCTTACCTGGAAGTCTATAAAACATTTTCTCATAAACTTTTGTAACACAATTCAATTATTAAAACCAATTATACTGTTTAAAATAAAAGCCTTTAGAAGGCTTGTCAGCTACTTTGATATATATCATATTTAAAGGAACTTCTTCCCTTTTTAGTTTCTTTAGAGTATAATTAGTTTCTCTAGAAAATGTCTGGATTTTTGGAAAAGGAAACTACAATTAATTTTTTTTAAAACCAATATCCCTATCCAGACAACCAAAATGAAAACTCCTCTCTAGCATTTGGATTTATCTTTTTAAAAGAAATGTGTTTCTTATATTATGATAAATCCTGAAATTTAAAATGTCCATTAAATAAGAAACACCTTATGAAGACAAACCTGAAAATAGACTGGGACTAGCAATTAAGAAAGCAGGAATTGACACCCAGCTATCTTGCTCACCACTATGTGACCATGAAAGAGTTATTGGTGGACTTGAGATGTTTCACAGCCACGTCCCTTTTTGTCATGGTAAGAATCAAGCTGTCCCAGTCATCTATCCCTATCCGTGTGCAAACCTCCATATTCCTCTGAGTTTCTTTTCTTCAAACCTCCAATCTTAGCTCTCTCTTCCACTTTAACTTTTTCCTATGAGATCTCTGATCTAAAGAAAATAAATTCTCCTACATGCTCAGTTTCCCCAAGCCTCTCTCTTCACCTTCTTCCTTCAGCCCTCCTCCACCCCTTCCATAACAATGCCACCTCCCTGCACACGTGCACATCTTCTCCCTCATTCCAAGTTTGTTCTTTGAGCTCATGGATACATGATTGGCTCCCTGATTCTCTCCTACCCACCCAGTCCCTCTATTAGGACTATTCTTTGTCCTTCCATCTTAACACTCAAGGTCCATAACTCTAATAGATATGCAATTGAAACTCATATTTTCAATGCAGGCCCTCCTTTGTTTCATAGAACTTACCTGGAACACATCATCTTTCAAAAACTCTAAATATCTTCCTATGCTAAAAACTAAAGAAGGAAATTATATCTGCATAAATTCATGCCATTAAATCTTTAAGGTTTCAAACTGCAAATAAGTTTGAATCCTTTCCAATGAATCTATCCCCTTCCTCCCAGTGTGTATATCACATCATAATAATTCAAGTCTTGAATCCCATGACTCCTCCATCTCCTTTAGGAGAAAATGAAGGCTGCAGTATAGGAACTAGACTTATTCTCTGCCCTTGACCCTACAGAGTCAGTTGCATCTGCAAACAACTTCCTCCTCTTCGTCCATCATAGAAGTAGTATCCACATTTCCACGTAAGGTGGCATCCTGGGTCCTGCTTCTTCCTGAATCCTTGAAGATTTGAATATATCAGTTATTATCCCCTCTAGTATTTCCAATATCTCCTTATATCCTGGTCTTTCTTGTGATTGTCTAAACATATTCAAGGCTCACCTATATTAGAACAAATAAACAAACTTCTCCTGACCCTGTGTGCTTATCTCTCTACTGTCTTTTCTCTCCTTCCACTGATACACTAATTTCTTTGAAGTGATGCCTGCACTCACTGTTGCCGCCTTCTTATTCTCCAGGTATCTTTAACTCACTGATCCATCCTTTCACCAAAACTGTTCTCACCAGGGTCATCAGTGGTCTCTGCTGTTAAATCCAGTTATTTATTTTTTTTTCTTTCTTGACTTCTGCAGCATTTGAAATGATAAATTATTTCCTCCTTCTTGAGACTCTGCTCCTCATGCCACTTGATACCATAATTTCACATTTTCTTATAATTCTCTTGCATCTATTGCTCAGATTTTTATAAAGACATCTCTCCTTTAATAGTTATACCTCTGATTTTGTAGCCCATGTTCCTGTCTTTATTTTTTTCTCTTCTAACTCTGAACTGTTGGTTTCTAACCATTTCAGGAATCCATTAAAAGCCAAGAATATGTCAGGAAAACAAACATATGTGATGATTTTTTTATAAAATGTCAGAGTTTTTATCAACTTTCTAAAAGTCTTCCATGGATCCCACTTCATGCATTCTCTCACATGTTCACATTCCCTGTCATGTTTTCAGGAACCACTCATATGCTATTTATTCACTATCACTGTCTCCAGCCATGACTGCCACCTTCCTACCTAGCTCTATTTGAATGTTCTCCCACATAGCTCGTCCTCGTTCTGTCCAAAATGAAACCCACCAGCTTCCTTCCTGTAAACTTGATTCCACCCTTACGACTGGAGCAAAAACTCCATAAGCCAAAGGATCTTCTCTATCTTTTATGTCTTTACTTCTAAACCCAGAGGAGCGCCTGGCACATGATAGGCACCCAATAAATTTTGGCTGAATGGAGGAATCAATGTGTCTTAGCTCAATAGATAGCTCTATTATTTAAGCACTTGACAAACTATAAACCTGAGTCTGCTTCCTTCCCCACAAGCCTGAGTCATTTTGTCTCTAGTTTCTTAAGTTCACTTTTTTTTTTCTGTAGTGCTATAATGGCCTCCTCACTCCCTCTGTCCTTACATCCTCTATTCCATGTGTTTTCAATATTGCTAGAGTAATCTTTCTAGAGTGCAAATATGTTTATGCCCCTTTCTTCTTAATTTTTTTCCAGAAATTCTGCATGGCTTTTCAGAAAGTTCAAATAGCATAGAACAGAGGTCTATAATGGTCTTGCTTGTGCTTTCCTTCCATCTATCCCTTGCTGCTTTCCCCTGATACAGATTCTATGCCTGACCTTGCCACAAGAACAACTAATCTTGCTTTCCTGAACCTGTCTTGTTCTCTTCAACTTCAGGCCATTGCTCATGGCTCTCTGCTTGGAATATTAAATGTGTCCGCCTCTCTCCAAGTCACTGCTCAGGACTCCTGCCATATGCCCTTTCCATGGCTGCTCCCTTCTCACTCTCCAGTCTGGAATAAAACTCTTTTCTAAATGCTTTCATGGTACCCTGTTCTCACCCTTATCCTAACACCTGTCACATTGTGATTTAATTGTTTATGGCAGTCACCTCACCTGATTCTCTACTAAAGGCTAACTTTCATCATTGCAAAAACTGTCTTATTTATGTTTGCTTCCCTTGTGTTTAGTACAGTGCTCAATAAATAGACACGGAGCCAATTAATCCCATCGCTATCAGCTTTTGTTCTCTATATGGTCCGGTTCTCCCAGATGAAATTTTCAATATTTTGGATTCATTTCATGCATTTCACTGTCACTTTCCAAATAAGCCTGGGTCATGGAAGATTTCCCTAATGCAGGAAATGAATAGAATAAATGTGTACATAGATTGTATGCCGTGGTAATTAAATCATTAGTGCTGAACAGTGGTATTGAGACTGGAGCATGTTAACATATGTTTTTATTCATTAGAAGCAATAAGTAAAGATGAAACCTAGTAATTATAGACTGTGAATACAAAGGAGTTCTCTGGGTGGTCTATCATAAGTCTTGAAGAAAGGAAAGCAAAAGGCAAACACCAGTATTTCTCCAGACTTCCTTAGCAAATATGATACTGGCATTCTGATACTCTGTGCTAATTTTAAGAATCAAACTGGTAGTATTTTTGTATGTGTAATGCCATTGTTTCAGGCATTCATTTTCAGTTTTGTTCACTTTTTTTTGTTCTCTCTTCAACTTCCCATCCTTATCTTTCTCTGCCTCCCAAGCCCTCCCCCTCACGACTCTGATATCCTCAGCCCAAGCGCTCACAGCCTCCCTCTACCATTCTCCTCCTCCAAGTTCTTTACCTCCTCCTGTCTTACCTTGTCCCACTCCACCAAATAATGCCAGATTCATGTGGTGAAATGTTTGTGTTACCAAATGTATTACATTTTTATTTCCACTGTTTGTTTTTTTTTAAATCATATATTGTGAACATATTTGTTATAAAATATCAATATTACTGGTGGTATTTTAGTAATGCATTAAAAAATTGGGTGATTTAAGATATACACCTCTATAGTGATGGAAATATTCTTGCCTCTATCCAGGGCATTCCTAAGTAATCAATAAATTAATATATTTAAAATAAAAGGAATTTGTTTGATACATCAGTTCCTTGTGGGTAAGTGGAAAATTTGTTATCAAACGACATACGTAAATGAGCAGTAAAGGAGCTCTGTTATATGTGGCATGGAAAAGCACTAGTAAGATATTCTCAGACTGCTCATAGACAAGAAAATCAAGAACAATATTTTCAATAGACATGAATAGGTGAGTTCAACGAACAACCTAAACCTAACCTAATCTTAACCATCCTCAACCTAATCCCACCAAAGAGATGAGAGAATGTTTTTCTTTTAAGTCACTGAAATATGGCTTCCTCTTTACAGCTGGAAAGACTATAACTATGTTTGCATATTCCAGTGGCTTCGAGGATCATCAGAGCTCAGGGCATGGAAAGACTGCAATGTAAACTCACTCATTCATTGCATAGGCAGTTTTCTTCTGGCCTCTTCAGTGACTTAACAAGTTCTGGCTCAATACAGTATAAATCACACATGACACCTCTTCTGAGACAGCAGTATCAGGTGTGAGTTGGGGTCCTCTAGTAGAGTTGTAAAGGGATCAGAAAGTTCTGAGCTGTGGGCCTGAACAGCTGGTTGGTGGTGGCAACAGCAGCTGTCATGAAGAAATGCCTTTCCCCCAATGTGCTTCCCTGGCTCTCCTGTCCCCTTTCTTGTCAATAGCCAGTCAACATGTATTGATTGTGCAGAGGCTAAGGGCTTATTCTTCTGTGCATGCTTATCCATCTGCCCCTTTTCTTTTGGCTTACATTGTCTCTCCAGGGTTTTATTTTGTTTTTATAAACATCTTTCTATCTGCCTGCTTCTTCTCACCATATGGCAATTCTGATATGTATTTTTTGTTGGGGGGAATGTGAGACAGAAGGAGAGGAGAAAGAGTCCCTAACAACACAAGATTTAGAATACTTATCATAAGAGTGGATGGTTTAATAAATACTGCTTTCTTCAGCATGATTTTAATCAGATGACTACTAAACTTCTTTTCAAAAAAAAAGACTAATATTCATAAAAACAAATGTTGTCTACAACCAATGTTTCTAACTCTTACCTGTCAACATTAGACAATTCAATCTGACTTCTTGCCTTCCTACTCCAATAAAACCATTTTTTCCAAGTCACAAATGACTTCCACATAAATCTAAAGAGCATTTTTCAATTCTCATCTTACTACACTCCTCAGCAGCATTCCAGACTCTTAATCATGCCTCTTTCTTGAAATATCACGTGGCTCTTATGACTTCATACTCTCCTAGATTTCCCCCTCTCTTTGTAACCACATCTCAAGCTCTTTCAACAGCTCCATTGTTTCATTTAAGCTGTAAACATTGGGATTGTCCAGAACTTTTCCCTCACTCATCTTATCATCTCTTCTCTACTTACTACTATCTGTACTTACTCTTCTCTACTTACTACTACCTCATCCAACTTTGTGGCATTAAATACAATCTATTTGCTTACAGTTCCCAAAGTTCTATCTCTAACTAAGATTTCTCTTTTTGAGCACCAGACTTTATATCTGACTGCCTTCTTGACTGCTCTACTTGGATTTAATCTGAATGAAGCTAAACTCTCAAAGAACCCCAACAACCTTTTCCTCACTCAGCCTGCTCATCTTGGGAACCCATCTCCTCACAGTTGTTCACATCAGAAATATAGGAGTCACTCTTGATTTATTTTCCTTCCATCAATTTCTAAATGAAATGCTTCTGTAGAAAATTGCTTTTACCTTCCAACTACATCACTAATTCACTTTTTTTGTTTTTTAACATTTTCCCTGTCACCGCTATAGTCTAAATACTGTCTTCTCCAGCATGGAATATTTCAGAAGTTTCCTAAGTCGTCTTTTCCATTCATGCCCTCCCAATTATTTTTTTTAATCTAGAAAACATCTATAATGAGCAGTAAAATGTTAAACCCTGAGGATGTCACTGTCTGGCTTATAATTCTTCAGAACCTTCCTACTGAACTTGTAATAAACTTCACTCTCCTAAACTTGCCTCCATGTTCCTCAGTGATCCAGACCTGCCGATTTCTTTGTTTTTATCTTGTGGCCCACACTCACTCAGCCCCAGCAGACTCCCCTGGCTATTCTCCCCATATGCTGTTTCCTCCATCTAGAAAGCTGTGCCCTCTATTCTTCATATCCAGGCTTCTTCTCATCCTCCAAGTGTCATCTTACATGTCAGTTTCCCAGAAGAACCTTCCTGACAATCCAATCTAAATTAGTTTGTCACTCACCTTTTTGTAGTCTCTATCATACTATTTTTCTTCATAGAGCCTATCACAGCTTGTGTTGTGTGTGTGTGTTTTAACAACCACACATGTCTAGTTTAAACAGTCATACAACTAGTGCCTAACAATTTACGTGGCAGCGAAAATGCTGCAGTCCCCACCATCATAATCATTAAAGATAGACTAGTGTTGTATTAACACGGATGATCTGTATACAGTATGGACAATAAGCATGCATAAGGTCACAGTAGAAGTTTGGATAACTGGTATCAGTCATAGGGTAGTTTGAGAATATAGTGAAAGCAAAGCAGAGAGGGAAAGTATAGAAGAAAAGGGAGGACTATGGTATGTGGGCAACCCTGGGGATCAAAGTGAAAATAAAGAAGATGCAGTAATTCACAGAAAATCAAACCCAAGGAATAAAAAACTAGATTCAGGCATGTTTTAATATACTGGAACATCTAGCCCAGTGTTTCAGGATGGATGTAAAACATCACTTCTGAAATAATGCCAACAATTCTGTTCAGTCTGTTTAATTAGCTTGTTAAATTCACGATATTCAGTTTAGATCATGGTAGATCTAAATTAGGGAATGCTCTGGAGGAAATACCATGAGTTGAAAAAAATCTCCTCTCTCCTGATAGGGATCTGCCTTAAGCTACTGAAGGTGCCAGGGCCCTGGAGGAATCCTCAATGTCTGTGGTAAATGTTTCGGTGGGCTAGGTAATACCCAATTCATATAGCCAAGCAGTTTGAAGATTGAGCCCAGCTCAGGTGGTGGACCCTACTTAGCCTAAACTTGTAATGGTCATCCCTCAAGATTTCACATTGAAGCCATGGAAATTGGCTAAAGGAGTAAGCATGTGACCTTATTTGGGCCAATCAAATGAAAGTAAAAAATTTGGAGGGATTCTGGGAAATGTTTCCTTATTAGCAGTTGAGAAACACAGGAAGGTATAATATTCTTCCCTCAGACTTTGTTGCATGCAGATGTGAGGTCAGAGACTGGTTACCACTTTAGGATAAAACCAGCACTCAGAGGAAGGGAGAGCCAAGGGAATTTCAGGGGAAAGAGACTCATCACCAGAAAGAGCAACCCTAAATCAGGCCTTCTTTAGACTCTCAGTTAGGAGGGCAGTGAATATTTTTGTAGGTTTAGCCAATTTAAGTTTGACGTTCTCCTATTTGCTATAGAAAGCATCTTAACTAATAAAATGTCCAAGAAATACATGTATGAGGAGGGAAAAAAAAAACACCAGGTAGGCTGTTTATAAAGGCAAATTTTGGAAGGTGGCAGGATGATCTGTTATCTCCCCACACTCCAGCCTTTGGGTTACAGTGGGGAGAAAGCTGCTGATAGTTTCCTGACCTCACTGGTTCAAGCTGTAGCAGAACTAGAATGGGCCAGGTAGTGACTATATTTCTCTCATGTTTGCTGAACAAGGACACTTTATTACCCTAACTTTCAGTGGACATTTTTAATTTTTCTAAAAGAAGAAAAAAATGCAAAAAAACCCACACATGTAAGTTTAACCACATTCAATAAGCATAGCACTTGTCATCAGATGATTGTAAGACATTGTAAAAATAATTCTAATGGCACTTATAATAAAAACAACAATAGAAATATCAACAATAATAGTAAACATTTAGATAGGCCTTACTATGTGCCGGACACCATTCTAAACACTCTCAATGTAATTAACTCCTTCAGTCTGCATATGAAGTAGGTATTACCAGTTTGTTAAAATTACTGATAAGGAAACCAAGACAGAGGAAGTTAAATGACTTGTCCACGGTCATACCTCCATTAAATGGAAGACCCTGTTTTCAAAATGACCATTGTATTCTAGAAGCTAGGGCTTTTAAGCAGTAACCAAGATTGTCAGTCATTGTGGGTATATAAATAGAAAGAGATGATGAAAAATTGATTTTGTGCTCAGGGAGCTCACAGTTTGGTGTGCTCTCTGTAAGCTCAGCCAGTAATAAGAATACTTGCTTCCATTTTTAAATACAGTAGAGACAATGTCTATATTATGTTATATCATACATTCCACAATATTTTTGTGACTGTTGGCAATTTCTTATTGATTGCTTTGTCAATATAATTTTATATTTATGCCACCCAAAACCACTTCTCATTTTCAAACTACATTAAAATAATAAAGGACATAAACTGCAATAAGCATTTCTAGGGGATTAAATATTTTCATCACTAATTTTACCCTATAAGAGCATGATACATGCTTCATTTAAAGTTTTAATTACCAACAAAATCTTATGTTTTATTATTCCAGAGACATATGAAGCAGTTTTATCACATGAGCCTTAAGTATCCTCTAAGAATCAGCAAAAAAGAGATTGTTTCCTAGGTCTACATAACTGATGGCTATATTATTATCCATAAAATCATTCAAGAAAACTTCATGTGTGGCAGTATGAGCATGTAGACTGTAAAATATCAAAAATTACTCTATTTCATATGCTAACAGGAATAGTCCATCATGCAGTTTAACCTGGGACATTAGATAGCTTTAAGTCTTTTAAGCCTAAGTGAAGAAAGGCATTGCATTAAAACTCCCCTCAAGCCTCCCTGCAGACACTTTGAACATACCATCCCTGTCATCTTGGAGAGTAGATGTAACTAGGTAACTTCCCCAGCTGCAGTAAACATTTATATATGTTGGTCTTCTGCTCCCAGAGGCTTCCCAAGCTGCTCTGTCAAATCTGTTAATGTGGAAGAATCAAGCCAAGAAGAAAGACTGCAAAGAACTGAGTGCAAATCAAAAATGAAGCAGAGAAGACAGGAGTAAGAACGAAAATGATTAAAGATCAATTGATCGTCATACATAGAAATGGAATTGTTCACATACAAGGACTTAGAAACAAAATTCTCCTTAAATGAGGAAAAATATACAAGTCATTTTGATAGGTCCTAGGAGAAGGGATTTTACATATTGATACTGCTTCTTTACAATACCATGCTTCCTTCCAGTGGTTAATATAACAGAAGTGCATATCTTGAAAGCTCAAAGAAGTTCTTGGAAGTATAGGAACATTTAACGCTAAGTTGTGATTTGTGGCGAGTACATTTGAAAAATATTAATTGATATTAATTTATTTGAAAAGTCTTGGTTTGGCTTAACAGCCTCTCTGCACAATTAGCATATCCAGTTTCTCTTACAAGGGAACAAACTTTGGAATCTTATCTGATTCCCCTCGTCTGACCCCTATACTCACCATCACTGGAAACTTTTTTTTGTTTTTTTTTTTTTTGAGACAGAGTCTCGCTCTGTCACCCAGGCTTCAGTGACATGATCTCAGCCCACTGCAACCTCCACCTCCCTGGTTCAATCAATTCCCCTGCCTCAGCCTCCCGATTAGCTGGGATTACAGGCACGTGCCACCACACCTGGCTAATTTTGTTGTATTTTTAGTAGAGACAGGTTTCACTATGTTGGCCAGACTGGTCTGAAACTCCTGACCTCAGACAATCCACCTGCCTTGGCCTCCCAAAATGCTGGGATTACAGGCGTGAGCCACCATGCCCAGCCCACTGGGAATATTTAAGTCCTATTTGTTGCAGTAAGAGCTTGTGTGTCAGACACAGAAGCTATCATTTTTTATCCTATCACTGTTAACTATGTGATAGTGCATAGGTTTAATTTCAAGAAGCATCAGTTTTATTACTTAAAAAATGCCTACCTCTTTATTTTCAGAGTGTTCCAGAGTCCCTGAAATAAATAGGTGAGAGCACATGGACATTTGGTAAGCCCTCAAAACACATTGTTATCATTTCTTCCTTCCCTCTTTTTCTTTTTTTCCCCAAATTCTGGAAACAATCCTGGATTTCATGTTTTAGAGTGGCAAACAGATGAAGAAAATGACATATTTTATAGTATTTTCCATTCAAGCATTGCAATTATTACTTTATATGTACTCTCATTTAATCACTGATGTGGTCTCGCTGTGTCCCCACCCAAATCTCATCATTGTGGCTCCCATAATCCCTACGTGTCATGGGAGGGACCTGGTGGGAGGTAATTGAATCATAGGGGCGGGTTTATCCTGTGCTGCTCTTGTGACAGTGAAGAAGTCTCACAAGATCTGATGCTTTTATAAAGGGCAGTTCCCCTGCACATGCTCTCTTGCCTGCTGCCTTTGCTCCTCCTTTGCTTTCCACCATGATTGTGAGGCCTCCCCAGCCAAGTGAACTATGAGTCCAGTAAACCTCTTTTTCTTTATAAATTATCCAGTCTTGAGTATTTCTTCATAGCAGTATGAAAATGGACTAATACAATCACTAAAATAGCCAGTAATGTAGTTATTGGTATCCCTATGTTACATACCAGAAAGTGAGGTTCAAAACATTCTACTAACTTGTCCTAGACCATTTATTTATCTAAAAATATTTGCTGAGTGTTTGCCATGTTCTAATCATTAAGCAGGGGCCATAGACACAAAGATGACTTTACTAAGGTTTCTGTCCTCTACAAGATCTCACTGTGGTAAAGGACGGGGGAACAGACAGTATTAATACACTGTATTAGAGGCCAAGGCCAGAAGAGGCAAAGCCCTCTGACTCATTTTGCTACACCAGCCTGACTCTTGTGTTCAATAATATTCTATCAATCTAACTCTTAGCTATTCATAGTGTAAGTGGGATCTTGCTTTTTCCCCTGGGACTCACCCCCTCTTCAGAGGTATATCTCTTTTTAGGGTAGTATATCTTCCCAGAGCACAATGCCACACCTTTACCTTCGCTACAACACATCACCTGGTTTCATCTTTTCCCCTAGATCCATCTACCCAATGTAAATATGCATCTAAAACTTTCTATGTATCAGGCTTTATGCGATGCTCTAAAGATAAAATATATACATGAGAATAAGTTTTTAATTGCTGTGCTTGACAAGTTTAGAATATTAAAAGGGAAGACTGTCATTGAACAGATAAGAAGAGGAAAATATCATAGATACTGAAATAGAGGTATGTAAGAGATGAAGTCACACAGACAAATAAAAAAGCTAATCTGTATTATCTGCTTTGTGTTACAGTGAGTTAAGGAAAAAGACCAACGGTTTTGTTGTAATATGTTGTGATTGAGTTGATTGTGGTACATGCCAGGGTCCTGTTCAGGTGGATATTTAGACCTTGAACTCAGGGAAAACATCTTGCTTAGAGATATACTTTTTAGAATATATATTGGTGTCACTTAAAGCTATGAAAAGGTGGATTGCCCAGAAAAGTTGAGGAAGAACAGGACAAAGATGAGCAAGGACAGAGAACAGGCCTTTGTGGGGGACACCCTCAACCACAATCAGAAGCTCGTCCACAGCCCCCAGTTTTGTAACAAAACCACATAACAGAAAAGGGTTGAATGAAGTCTATTCATGATACTGTTAAGAAAATTCACTGAATTGAAAATTTTTATTGTTTTTTTTTGTTTTGTTTTGTTTTTGTATTCCATTGTGTATATGTACCACATTTTCTTTCTTTTTTTTTTTTTAATTATACTTTAAGTTTTAGGGTACATGTGCACATTGTGCAGGTTAGTTACATATGTATACATGTGCCATGCTGGTGCGCTGCACCCACTAACTCGTCATCTAGCATTAGGTATATCTCCCAATGGTATCCCTGCCCCCTCCCCCCTCCCCCCTCCCCACCACAGTTCCCAGAGTGTGATATCCCCCTTCCTGTGTCCATGTGATCTCATTGTTCAATTCCCACCTATGAGTGAGAATATGCAGTGTTTGGTTTTTTGTTCTTGCGATAGTTGACTGAGAATGATGGTTTCCAATTTCATCCATGTCCCTACAAAGGACATGAACTCATCATTTTTTATGGCTGCATAGTATTCCATGGTGTATATGTGCCACATTTTCTTAATCCAGTCTATCATTGTTGGACATTTGGGTTGGTGCCAAGTCTTTGCTATTGTGAATAATGACGCAATAAACATACGTGTGCATGTGTCTTTATAGCAGCATGATTTATAGTCCTTTGGGTATATACCCAGTAATGGGATGGCTGGGTCAAATGGTATTTCTAGTTCTAGATCCCTGAGGAATCGCCACACTGACTTCCACAATGGTTGAACTAGTTTACAGTCCCACCAACAGTGTAAAAGTGTTCCTATTTCTCCACATCCTCTCCAGCACCTGTTGTTTCCTGACTTTTTAATGATTGCCATTCTAACTGGTGTGAGATGATATCTCATTGTGGTTTTGATTTGCATTTCTCTGATGGCCAGTGATGATGAGCATTTTTTCATGTGTTTTTTGGCTGCATAAATGTCTTCTTTTGAGAAGTGTCTGTTCATGTCCTTCGCCCACTTTTTGATGGGGTTGTTTGTTTTTTTCTTGTAAATTGGTTTGAGTTCATTGTAGATTCTGGATATTAGCCCTTTGTCAGATGAGTAGGTTGCGAAAATTTTCTCCCATTTTGTAGGTTGCCTGTTCACTCTGATGGTAGTTTCTTTTGCTGTGCAGAAGCTCTTTAGTTTAATTAGATCCCATTTGTCAATTTTGGCTTTTGTTGCCATTGCTTTTGGTGTTTTGGACATGAAGTCCTCGCCCATCCCTATGTCCTGAATGGTAATGCGTAGGTTTTCTTCTAGGGTTTTTATGGTTTTAGGTCTAACGTTTAAATCTTTAATCCATCTTGAATTGATTTTTGTATAAGGTGTAAGGAAGGGATCCAGTTTCAGCTTTCTACATATGGCTAGCCAGTTTTCCCAGCACCATTTATTAAATAGGGAATCCTTTCCCCATTGCTTGTTTTTCTCAGGTTTGTCAAAGATCAGATAGTTGTAGGTAAGCGGCGTTATTTCTGAGGGCTCTGTTCTGTTCCATTGATCTATATCTCTGTTTTGGTACCAGTACCATGCTGTTTTGGTTACTGTAGCCTTGTAGTATAGTTTGAAGTCAGGTAGTGTGATGCCTCCGGCTTTGTTCTTTTGGCTTAGGATTGACTTGGCAATGCGGGCTCTTTTTTGGTTCCATATGAACTTTAAAGTAGTTTTTTCCAATTCTGTGAAGAAAGTCATTGGTAGCTTGATGGGGATGGCATTGAATCTATAAATTACCTTGGGCAGTATGGCCATTTTCACGATATTGATTCTTCCTACCCATGAGCATGGAATGTTCTTCCATTTGTTTGTATCCTCTTTTATTTCCTTGAGCAGTGGTTTGTAGTTCTCCTTGAAGAGGTCCTTCACATCCCTTGTAAGTTGGATTCCTAGGTATTTTATTCTCTTTGAAGCAATTGTGAATGGGAGTTCACTCATGATTTGGCTCTCTGTTTGTCTGTTGTTGGTGTATAAGAATGCTTGTGATTTTTGTACATTGATTTTGTATCCTGAGACTTTGCTGAAGTTGCTTATCAGCTTAAGGAGATTTTGGGCTGAGACGATGGGGTTTTCTAGATAAACAATCATGTCGTCTGCAAAGAGGGACAATTTGACTTCCTCTTTTCCTAATTGAATACCCTTTATTTCCTTCTCCTGCCTGATTGCCCTGGCCAGAACTTCCAACACTATGTTGAATAGGAGCGGTGAGAGAGGGCATCCCTGTCTTGTGCCAGTTTTCAAAGGGAATGCTTCCAGTTTTTGCCCATTCAGTATGATATTGGCTGTGGGTTTGTCATAGATAGCTCTTATTATTTTGAAATACGTCCCATCAATACCTAATTTATTGAGAGTTTTTAGCATGAAGGGTTGTTGAATTTTGTCAATTGATAGACCACTAGCAAGACTAATAAAGAAAAAAAGAGAGAAGAATCAAATAGACACAATAAAAAATGATAAAGGGGATATCACCACCGATCCCACAGAAATACAAACTACCATCAGAGAATACTACAAACACCTCTACCCAAATAAACTAGAAAATCTAGAAGAAATGGATACATTCCTCGACACATACACTCTCCCAAGACTAAACCAGGAAGAAGTTGAATCTCTGAATAGACCAATAACAGGAGCTGAAATTGTGGCAATAATCAATAGTTTACCAACCAAAAAGAGTCCAGGACCAGATGGATTCACAGCCGAATTCTACCAGAGGTACAAGGAGGAACTGGTACCATTCCTTCTGAAACTATTCCAATCAATAGAAAAAGAGGGAATCCTCCCTAACTCATTTTATGAGGCCAGCATCATTCTGATACCAAAGCTGGCAGAGACACAACAAAAAAAGAGAATTTTGGACCAATATCCTTGATGAACATTGATGCAAAAATCCTCAATAAAATACTGGCAAACCGAATCCAGCAGCACATCAGAAAGCTTATCCACCATGATCAAGTGGGCTTCATCCCTGGGATGCAAGGCTGGTTCAATATATGCAAATCAATAAATGTAATCCAGCATATAAACAGAGCCAAAGACAAAAACCACATGATTATCTCAATAGATGCAGAAAAAGCCTTTTATTGTTTTTATTAAAACCAATGAGAAAGAAAAACAGACAAATGAAAAACTATGAATTCAAGACCTCAACTCATGTCTTAGCGCTCCATAAATGCTTTAGTTTATGAGTCAAATAGTGATATTTTAATCTCAAGATGAGATCTTCAAAAGCCTTATAAATATTATTAGCTGTATAGCTGTAACTGTTATCATTTTAGCACCTAACTCATACAATTAACCTTTTTTTCTTTCAAACCATCAGCATATTAAAATACTATAGTGATTACTGATTGGTTTAATTCTATTCTCAATCTGTTTTGAGTAAATGTGCTAATCTTAAAAGAAAAAAATGATGCCTTGTATTTCTTATCTTTCAGTAATTAAAACAAATAATCTAATAGTTACATTTTTGCTTCATAATTTGTTTTTTTTTTTAATTTGAAAACTTACCCCTAAGGGGAAAAAACATTCTTGCTTCAACCTTTTTACTAAGACCTAGCCTTCGAGAGAGAATTATAGGAAATAGGCCATTAGGTGTTTTGAAGATTGCTTAATGCAGCAGTACCCAGGGTCTTATGCTCAGATAGTAAGTACCCAGGGGTAGTATTATGGGGTGGGAGAAAGCATAGTTCATGGTAAAAATAGGTTTGGAATAGCCTTAAGTTAAACAGAGTACTGTAGGACTTCTCAGGGCCTTTAATGGGCTTGTGTTCATGTCAAATTCTTTAGAAAAAAACTGGCTTAAAAGTACTGATCAAAAGACCATAGAAGATAAAAGAAAAAAAAAAACATGGCAGAAACCAACTTGAGTGATGCAGTCAGATAAAATGAAAAGCAGAAATGAAATGAAAACCTTAGCCTGGGTGTGTAGCTAGAGAGAAAGAAGAAGGTGAAGGTCAATTTTACTGCATTACAAATAAAGCCTATGTCTGACTTTCAGGGAAATTGCTGTTGACTTTACCAAATGTCTCTTGGAGTCCACTTCCCCCTCTAAGTAGAGGGACCTAGTCTCTTTCCTGCCACTGCATCTCCAGTGCCTAGAACAGTGTCTGTCACAGAGAAAATGCTAAAACATTATTTATCAAATACAGCAAATAATAAATAAGTGACAGTTAAAGCATAATAACTAAAATTATATAATTTGGAGACTTCAATGGCTGGCCCACTTGTACAAATGAAGACTTCCAGGTGTTTCCTAATCCTGTCTCTATCCTGAGGGATTATACCTAAGGGGTTTTCCACAGGAAAAGTTTGCACAGCCTTGGCAACCTGCCACTGCACATGAAGGCACAGTCAAGAGTGGTTATTTGTGAGAAAACAGTAAGATTTGAAAAGAGGTTGACTGTCCTTTGCACAGTATATTTTTTGCTCATTAAATAATGTTAATTTTAAGCTTAACCCTAAAGCTTGGATTTTTATATTGATATTGCCTCACATTTATAAAATAGTTTTCAGTTCTCTTCCAAATTTATTAGCTCTATCAGTCATGAATAAAATGACAAAATAGCCCATTGCATAAAGAGGGAAAAAAAGCAAATCATATGAATGATTTTCCCAAGGTCACAGAATTATTTTACAGAAGACCCAAGATTAGAACCGAGGTCTTCCAACTTCTCTATTCATTGTAACACACAGAAGAGTGAACATTAATTCCATCTGGTTTGAGAAATCCCCTGACTTGCAGTGGAATGGAAACTTTTTTTAAAAAATAACCTCTATTTAAAAAGAAGTCTACATGACTAATTCTCTTAAAATAATAAAACAATAATAAGACCACATAAAAGTCATCTAAAAAGCCGGGTGAAGAGAAGATCAAAGATGCTTATGTAACGACAAGATAGAAGACAAGCTTCAGAATTCAAAGCTTTTGTGAGCTCTAATCATTTTGCTTGCATTCATAAAATCTTAAACATTTTCTCTCTACTTTTTGATGTATAATATTCAATCAATTGTAATGGAATATAAGTGGAGAGGGCTGGTAATGGCTCCTAAGCATGAAAGTGAAACCATGGCCCATGTGCAGCGCTGCCGCCCAGAGGGGAGAGGCAGCCTTTTCCTTCGTATCCGGATCTTTTTAGAAAAGAGATATGGCCTGCGACTGACTGGTGCCACTTTTATTCCTTTTCTTATAAGTTAATTGAAATAGAAGGGCTTTGTTTTTTCCTCTTTTCCACTCTAAAGTCAAAGGCACTGACTAGGTTCACTGCTGGGCTATAGATGTGTATGTTCTTTTTCAATAGAATTGTACATTTCCTTATAAATATATGTAATATATAATATATATGTAATAGATATTAAAGAGATGGGGGACCATTCTGTGACATCCTGGGCAATAGCATTTTCCCAGTTTATTGAGATTTTTGAATTGCAAGTGGGATTAAATCTTCATGACTGACTCACTTCTTATGCTACTGCACAAAAGTTGAGGGAGTTGACATTAAAACTCATGTGATTAAACAATTCATAAGTCTTTTAAAACTGTACATTTTGAATGAAAAGAATGCAAAAATATTCACAAGCTACTTAGCTAGTGAATTATGAGCTTTTAACAGAAAAAGAAAATAAAAGAAGGCTTTTTATTTTTTCAAAGAAGTGGTTGTATACAACCACTTTCTCAAGTTTTCTGGTATGTATTTATGAGATTAAATGTATAAAAGAATTACCCATGTGTGGTGGTCTTCAAACAGTTAAATAACAAGCTCCTGTTGAGAAAACATCTTGTAGCAACAAAAGAGCTTTTAATTCCAAATTTAATAAATGGAGGGAGGGGAGCTTTTGATGGTAAGAAATGGAAAAGACAGAAGAAAGAACATTTGAGGGATGGTGGAGGGTAAACAAAATAGCACTCAGCCTAGAAGGTATTCATTTTCTGTCCTTAATGTAAGGAAAACCATAAAAACACCTGCCATTGAAGATTCAGAAAATTTTCACAGAGAACATTGGGTTTTTATAAACAACAAAAAGAGTCACATCAAAATTTCCTTCCTTGAAACATTTATGTAACAGGAATTAGGAATACGAATCAAAATGGTTTTGTTGTGAATAGTTAAGGCAGAAAGTATCTGCATTTTGTATTACTGAGAAGATCCTGTAGAGAGTATATCCCTTTTGTCACAAAGGAAAGATTGGTTCATCATGTGCCATCATGGGTTCCAGGACTAGGACATTTAAATAAAGGCACATGCAGAACAAGGTTAGTGAACAAAGAGGACAAGAGCAGACATCCAGTCAGTTACCATGATGATAGAGGATGGTGATTGCCACCAAAAGTCATAATGAATGTTTTGCATATCACTTATAATTTCATATATATGTGTGGTATTCCCTAGCCAATATTCAGCTTATCTTGGTTAATCTCTTTTTGTGTCTTTTTTAAAGCTCCTAATTGAAAATGTTTTTGTCAAGATTTGTTAAAGAAAAAAGTATTCTATGAAACATTATGTTTATTAAAGAAAAATACATCCAGCCAACATTGTTATTTTCATCCTAGCCTGAGTGAAAAATCACATAAGCATATCACTTAGAGAATGATTTTTAAACAGTCTATTATTATTTGAATGACTTCACTCCAATCCAAAGCACACTGGGAACTGTAAAATGTTACAGACGCTATTTCATCATAAAGGCAGTGTGTTATGGGGGAAATCATTCTTAGCTGTGTGGGAGAAGTCATGACTCCCGACCCAGCCACTCATTGACCAACTATGTCGCAATGGGAAAATCACTTTTAATCTGATACTTTTCTTACCTGTAAAAAAAGAGAAGAGAATTATTCTATATGCTGGGACTAAAGAGAATAATGAGTGAAATAATGCATATGACTATTATTATTTTTGTTATTATCAGCATAAATAAAACTCATTTTATAGCACTTTGTAGTCTACAAGTTACTTTCAATTACTTTATTCTATTTAATTCTCACAGCAACTCTCTGAAACAGGTTTTATGATCTCCATTTTTCAGATGAGGAAATGGAGTCAAAGAGGTCAGCACCTGTGTGATATGATCAGGAAAATAAAGTGCCAGGACTAAAATTCTGATTTTCAGATGCCCTACATCGTGACCCACTACACCAAATCATTTCATTATAAATATTCTAGTTTCATACTACTTTACAGAGTCAACAAGGGACGTTAGGCGTTCCACATCTACCTGAATAATTCCAGCAATTGGGGTACCCTTTCCTCCTGAGGAAACCCATCTGTATGTCACTATTCTCATTTTTTAAAAGGTCTCCTTTCTCTTGATTCAAAATCCAACTCTTTGTAACTTCTGCTTATATTTTTCTATTTCTGTCTTCTAAGAATGTACAAAATAAATGAAATTCCTTTTCAACTGAATGACTTTTGAGTTACTCCAAACTTTTATCTCCTTTCTGGAAACTAATCCTTTCTAAAATACTTAGAGGATACACTTTCTAGTCTCCTCATCACGATGATTTTTTTTTAACTCTGGAAATATATTAGTTGTCAAAGGCATCTTTTTGTTGTGTCTAGTATAGTGCTTATAATATTGTGTTTGATTTTATGTTAATTTATCTATCTCTCCTATTAAATTATGTGCTTCTTCAAGGTGGAGAGGGGATCATAATATTTATTTTTTATTTGTTTCCCTGAGACCTAATATAAACCTTGGAACATAAAAAACCTTTAATATTGCATGTTAAATTAGTACACTAAAATATTAATTGAATTTAACCCTAAGCAGCATCCCCAAAATTGATACTTGATTATAGAAATTCAATTTATAGAGTGAAACAGGCCACAGTTCAACTTGATCATTTCTTTAGTCAAGGCTATGATGTAATAAAGGGCTCTTAATTTGCAGAAAGGAGGTAGACACTGTCCTCCAAAGCTAATGGTAGAATCTAAAAAGACTTCACAAGAGAAGTGACAGGCCGTTTTATCTGGAATTGGAAGAAAAATTATGCTTTTATGTAAAGCAAAAGCAGTAAGAGTTTAATTCTACAAAATACATTGGGACTATATTATGTAAAGTTTTGGAAATTGGAAAAAAATGGCTAGGACTTTACCTGCTAGACAATAGTGACAAGCAAAAATTGCTAAGCAGAAAAGTTATGTGATAATATTAATGATTTCAAATATGTCCCTGAAGCTGACAAACCCATTCTAAATGTTTTTCAGCTTTCCCAAATCGAGATGATGAGCACCTGAATAAGATTATTGACACTCTGAAAGGGGAGCAGAGGTGAAAGTCATGGACATGACAAAGAGGAGGGGGAAGTGGTGCTTTTGGGGTGCTACATGAAGTTTAAGGACATGCACCAAATAATGGAAGGACTTTACTCCATTAATTTATTCATTTAACAAATATTTATTAAATCTTTACTACAGATATGGTTCTGGTTCTTATGCAGCTTACAGTGTAGTGCAGGAAAGGGCACAATTTAAAAGGAATAAAAGTAAAGTGGGATCAGTTGTAAATTGGGCCAGCTTCACAGGCACTCGGCCAGTACAGTCACACAAGGCCATATGCTCAGAAGAGCCAAGCTCTTGGAGTTTAATATTCTGCAGTCATTGTCTTGAAATGTTTAATACTTTTATCTTTAAATCTGTGTTTTATAATTACCATCCAATGAGACAATGGAGCTTGTGTTGGAAGTTTGAAGCTTCAGCTTTCATGCAGTTCTGGCTTTCCCTTCCTCTCCCACCTCTCCAGGAAGGTTCTTAGCTGCCTGCTCTCTGCATCCTGGTGTCCCAGGCCCTGTCTGGCCTTCCCCTTCCTGCCCCAACCACTGCCACCCTCCAAGTAAGTGGCAATAGGTCTCAGTAGCAGAAGGAGGCCTGTCCTCTGCCATTGCCTCCAGAGGGCTCCTGGACATGAGCACAAGGACAGTTGAGTGGATGCACACCTAATGGCATCTTGAAGGCATGGGGGTGCTGGTGGGAGCAGCGGCAATCCGTGCCTCAGAGGGCAGTGCCCTGGCAAATTCGGTAGGTGACTTGGTGGGTGCCTCACATCTACCCTCTAGCAAGCATGTCCCAGAAGGGGGATTGTAATTTCCTGGGGGTGTCTTATCCACTGTGTATGGAGACGGTGGCCCATGGAAGGGAAGATTGATTTCCCCTGTGACAGTCAGGGCTTGAATTCTTGTTTTGCACAAGGATCTGCAGACAATATAGCAGGCCCTGATTATAAAACAGCTGAAGTTAGGGACAGTCTATAAGTACATAACCCAGTAGGGAGTGTGGAGGCCTGGTAGTTTCCCCAGACATTTAATCTGAGACTATATCTAAGAACCGGTAAGAGTTATCCAGGCAGAAAGGAGGATGAAGAAAGTTCCAGAAAGAAATAACATATGAAGGCCCAGGGTTGAATCGGAGCCCAGAAAGTGTTCCAGGAACTAAGAGAAGTTGAGTGTGATGGGAATGGAAATGGTGAGCAACATGGAGGCAAATGGCAAGTCACTGTTAGAGCGGAGGTCAGTAGCTCTGCCATACAACAAAAGGGCTTGGGACGATAGCTGGAGGAGTAGCAAAATTAAAGAGTGTTGTCTCCCAGTGTTTGCTATGTTTAGGATCCATCTTACCTACCCTGTGCCTGTCGAGTCCATTTTTGACATTTAAATAATGGTTGTTACAGTATTTTCTGTAATATGTCATGTGGCTGGAATGAGCCCGTCATCCTCCCATTGTCGAACTTGGATCCTGGATCCTTGTCACCTATGAATGTGATGAAAAGTGCCCTTTTTCCTCAGATTTCTGCAAGCTGCATATTTTGAAGAAAAGTGCTCATCATGAAATAAAACAATCACAAGTTTATCTTGTGCTTCATCGCCAGCCTCTACTGAGAGAAATACTGTAGTTATTTCACCCAAACTCTCCCTGGGAGATTGTGTTATGTAAAAGCTAAGTGAATGGACCTCAAGAGTGTACCAAAAAAATGTCTCCAAGTTGCAACAAAGCATATTTTTCAGAACTGACATAAAGTAGATTTTTTTCCTTAGTAAGGATTGTTTTTATCACATTGACATTTAGTTTATTAGAGTTAACTTTACAAGACCAGTTCCTAAAGAGCTTGTTACCTAAATCTGTTGCCATTGTATATAGATAAGATGAGAAAATGCTGAAAAAGTATGGTTTTTCCCTCAAAGATTATTCAAAATAAAATCACATCATCAGTTCTTTACCACCAGGAAGCGGCATAATTACCTCAGACTTTCAAGGAAACAGGTATGCCCAGCAATTGGTTTAATTTAGGCTTAGAACTGTTTTCTTCATCCAAATTGCTAGTTCATTTTCTCTATCCTTGATATACTTTTTAATGGAAAAGAATCTATTTCTACTATTGACTTGTAAGAGTATAATTGAAAAATAATTAGCAAGGCTTTTACAAATGAATACAGGGAAGAGAAAAAAAAAATATATATATATATGGTATATACTTCAAAAGTAGTTTCCAATAAATGCCACTAGTCTGGTATCCAATAAATGCCACAAAAAATTGGAAAAGAGAACTAACTTTTGTGGCACTTTTAACATGCACCAGACAAGTTAGATATGATTATTCCAACTTAATATTCACAGCATCCCAATGTTACCCAAAAGAAAATGAGACAGAAAGGGTTCAATAAACTTGCCCCATCTCACATGAGATTTACTGATAGAGCCAAGCCTTAAATTCAAGTGTATCATATTGTAAATTCCTTGTCTCTTCTGTCTCATCTTAAAACATTGAAAACTAAAATGGAGTAGAATTCTGTGATTGAAGTATAATTTGCAATAAGAAAGTCATGTTATTTATTTAGTCAATAAGAAAGACTTTAAATCAATGTATTTTTGCCTTTGTGTAATAATTATTTGCTGCATAATGCTTAACTAGCTTTATCAGTATCTATAATATGATTTGTTTAAATCATGTCTTTAACTTTTGTTTTAAGTTCAGGGCTACATGTGCAGGTTTGTTACATAGGTAAATTGCATGTCATGGGAGTTTGGTGTACAGATTATTTCGTCACCCAGGTAATAAGCATAGTGTCTGATAGGTAGTTTTTGTTGTTGTCGTTGTTTTGTTTTGTTTTATTTTGTTATTGAGATGGAATCTCACTTTGTTGCCAGGCTGGAATGTAGTGGTGCGATCTCGGCTCACTGCAACCTCCGCCTCCCAGGTTCAAGCGATTCTCCTGCCTCAGCCTCCCGAGCAGCTGGTAGTACAGGTGTGTGCTACCATGACCAGCTAATTTTTGTATTTTTAGTAGAGATGGGGTTTCACCATGTTGGCCAGGATGATCTCGATCTCTTGACCTTGTGATCTGCCTGCCTTGGCCTCCCAAAGTGCTGGGATTACAGGCGTGAGCCACCGCGCCCAGATGATACATAGTTTTTTTTATCTTTAATTTTCTCCCACCTTCCACCCTCAGTAGGCCCCAGTAACTGTTGTTCTCTCCTTTGGGTTCACATGTACTCGTGTTTAGCTCCCACTTACAAGTGAAAACATGTAGTATTTGGTTTTCTTTTTTTTTTTTTATTGTACTTTAAGTTTTAGGGTACATGTGCACATTGTGCAGGTTAGTTACATATGTATACATGTGCCATGCTGGTGCGCTGCACCCACTAACTCGTCATCTAGCATTAGGTATATCTCCCGATGCTATCCCTCCCCCCTCCCCCAACCCCACAACAGTCCTCAGAGTGTGATATTCCCCTTCCTGTGTCCATGTGATCTCATTGTTCAATTCCCACCTATGAGTGAGAATATGCAGTGTTTGGTTTTTTGTTCTTCTGATAGTTTACTGAGAATGATGATTTCCAATTTCATCCATGTCCCTACAAAGGACATGAACTCATCATTTTTTATGGCTGCATAGTATTCCATGGTGTATATGTGCCACTTTTCTTAATCCAGACTATCATTGTTGGACATTTGGGTTGGTTACAAGTCTTTGCTATTGTGAATAATGCCGCAATAAACATACGTGTGCATGTGTCTTTATAGCAGCATGATTTATAGTCCTTTGGGTATATACCCAGTAATGGGATGGCTGGGTCAAATGGTATTTCCAGTTCTAGATCCCTGAGGAATCGCCACACTGACTTCCACAATGGTTGAACTAGTTTACAGTCCCACCAACAGTGTAAAAGTGTTCCTATTTCTCCACATCCTTTCCAGCACCTGTTGTTTCCTGACTTTTTAATGATTGCCATTCCAACTGGTGTGAGATGGTATCTCATTGTGGTTTTGATTTGCATTTCTCTGATGGCCAGTGATGATGAGCATTTTTTCATGTGTTTTTTGGCTGCATAAATGTCTTCTTTTGAGAAGTGTCTGTTCATGTCCTTTGCCCACTTTTTGATGGGGTTGTTTGTTTTTTTCTTGTAAATTTGTTTGAGTTCATTGTAGATTCTGGATATTAGCCCTTTGTCAGATGAGTAGGTTGCGAAAATTTTCTCCCATTTTGTAGGTTGCCTGTTCACTCTGATGGTAGTTTCTTTTGCTGTGCAGAAGCTCTTTAGTTTAATTAGATCCCATTTGTCAATTTTGTCTTTTGTTGCCATTGCTTTTGGTGTTTTAGACATGAAGTCCTTGCCCATGCCTATGTCCTGAATGGTAATGCCTAGGTTTTCTTCTAGGGTTTTTATGGTTTTAGGTCTAACGTTTAAGTCTTTAATCCATCTTGAATTGATTTTTGTATAAGGTGTAAGGAAGGGATCCAGTTTCAGCTTTCTACATATGGCTAGCCAGTTTTCCCAGCACCATTTATTAAATAGGGAATCCTTTCCCCATTGCTTGTTTTTCTCAGGTTTGTCAAAGATCAGATAGTTGTAGACATGCGGCGTTATTTCTGAGGGCTCTGTTCTGTTCCATTGATCTATATCTCTGTTTTGGTACCAGTACCATGCTGTTTTGGTACCAGTACCATGCTGTTTTGGTTACTGTAGCCGTGTAGTATAGTTTGAAGTCAGGTAGTGTGATGCCTCCGGCTTTGTTCTTTTGGCTTAGGATTGACTTGGTGATGCGGGCTCTTTTTTGGTTCCATATGAAATTTAAAGTAGTTTTTTCCAAATCTGTGAAGAAAGTCATTGGTAGCTTGATGGGGATGGCATTGAATCTGTAAATTACCTTGGGCAGTATGGCCATTTTCACGATATTGATTCTTCCTACCCATGAGCATGGAATGTTCTTCCATTTGTTTGTATCCTCTTTTATTTCCTTGAGCAGTGGTTTGTAGTTCTCCTTGAAGAGGTCCTTCACATCCCTTGTAAGTTGGATTCCTAGGCATTTTATTCTCTTTGAAGCAATTGTGAATGGGAGTTCACTCATGATTTGGCTCTCTGTTTGTCTGTTGTTGGTGTATAAGAATGCTTGTGATTTTTGTACATTGATTTTGTATCCTGAGACTTTGCTGAAGTTGCTTATCAGCTTAAGGAGATTTTGGGCTGAGACAATGGGGTTTTCTAGATATACAATCATGTCATCTGCAAAGAGGGACAATTTGACTTCCTCTTTTCCTAATTGAATACCCTTTATTTCCTTCTCCTGCCTAATTGCCCTGGCCAGAACTTCCAACACTATGTTGAATAGGAGCAGTGAGAGAGGGCATCCCTGTCTTGTGCCAGTTTTCAAAGGGAATGCTTCCAGTTTTTGCCCATTCAGTATGATATTGGCTGTGGGTTTGTCATAGATAGCTCTTATTCTTTTGAGATACGTCCCATCAATACCTAATTTATTGAGAGTTTTTAGCATGAAGGGTTGTTGAATTTTGTCAAAGGCCTTTTCTGCATCTATTGAGAAAATCATGTGGTTTTGGTCTTTGGTTCTGTTTATATGCTGGATTACATTTATTGATTTGCGTATGTTGAATCAGCCTTGCATCTCAGGGATGAAGCCCACTTGATCATGGTGGATAAGCTTTTTGATGTGCTGCTGGATTTGGTTTGCCAGTATTTTATTGGGGATTTTTGCATCAATGTTCATCAAGGATATTGGTCTAAAATTCTCTTTTTTGGTTGTGTCCCTGCCAGGCTTTGGTATCAGGATGATGCTGGCCTCATAAAATGAGTTAGGGAGAATTCGCTCTTTTTCTATTGATTGGAATAGTTTCAGAAGGAATGTTACCAGCTCCTCCTTGTACCTCTGGTAGAATTCGGCTGTGGATCCATCTGGTCCTGGACTTTTTTTGGTTGGTATGCTATACTGATTATTGCCACAATTTCAGAGCCTGTTATTGATGTATTCAGAGATTCAACTTCTTCCTGGTTTAGTCTTGGGAAGGTGTATGTGTCGAGGAATGTATCCATTTCTTCTAGATTTTCTAGTTTATTTGGGTAGAGGTGTTTGTAGTATTCTCTGATGATAGTTTGTATTTCTGTGGGATTGGTGGTGATATCCTCTTTATCATTTTTTATTGCGTCTATTTGATTCTTCTCTCTTTTCTTCTTTATTACTCTTGCTAGTGGTCTATCAATTTTGTTGATCTTTTCAAAAAACCAGCTCCTAGATTCATTAATTTTTGAAGGGTTTTTTTTGTGTCTCTATTTCCTTCAGTTCTGCTCTGATTTTAGTTGTTTCTTGCCGTCTGCTAGCTTTCGAATGTGTTTGCTCTTGCTTTTCTAGTTCTTTTAATTGTGATGTTAGGGTGTCAATTTTGGATCTTTCCTGCTTTCTGTTGTGGGCATTTAGTGCTATAAATTTCCCTCTACACACTGCTTTGAATGCGTCCCAGAGATTCTGGTATGTTGTGTCTTTGTTCTCGTTGGTTTCAAAGAACATCTTTATTTCTGCCTTCATTTCGTTATGTACCCAGTAGTCATTCAGGAGCAGGTTGTTCAGTTTCCATGTAGTTGAGCGGTTTTGAGTGAGATTCTTAATCCTGAGTTCTAGTTTGATTGCACTGTGGTCTGAGAGATAGTTTGTTATAATTTGTGTTCTTTTACATTTGCTGAGGAGAGCTTTACTTCCCAGTATGTGGTCAATTTTGGAATAGGTGTGGTGTGGTGCTGAAAAAAATGTATATCCTCTTTATTTGGGGTGGAGAGTTCTGTAGATGTCTATTAGGTCCACTTGGTGCAGAGCTGAGTTCAATTCCTGGGTATCCTTGTTGACTTTCTGTCTCGTTGATCTGTCTAATGTTGACAGTGGGGTGTTAAAGTCTCCCATTATTAATGTGTGGGAGTCTAAGTCTCCTTGTAGGTCACTCAGGACTTGCTTTATGAATCTTGGTGCTCCTGTATTGGGTGCGTATATATTTAGGATAGTTAGCTCTTCTTGTTGAATTGATCCCTTTACCATTATGTAATGGCCTTCTTTGTCTCTTTTGATCTTTGTTGGTTTAAAGTCTGTTTTATCAGAGACTAGGATTGCATCCCCTGCCTTTTTTTGTTTTCCATTTGCTTGGTAGATCTTCCTCCATCCTTTTATTTTGAGCCTATGTGTGTCTCTGCACGTGAGATGGGTTTCCTGAATACAGCACACTGATGGGTCTTGACTCTTTATCCAATTTGCCAGTCTGTGTCTTTTAATTGGAGGATTTAGTCCATTTACATTTAAAGTTAATATTGTCATGTGTGAATTTGATCCTGTCATTATGATGTTAGCTGGTTATTTTGCTCGTTAGTTGATGCAGTTTCTTCCTAGTCTCCATGGTCTTTACATTTTGGCATGATTTTGCAGTGGCTGGTACCGGTTGTTCCTTTCCATGTTTAGTGCTTCCTTCAGGAGCTCTTGTAAGGCAGGCCTGGTGGTGACAAAATCTCTCAGCATTTGCTTGTCTGTAAAGGATTTTATTTCTCCTTCACTTATGAAGCTTAGTTTGGCTGGATATGAAATTCTGGGTTGAAAATTCTTTTCTTTAAGAATGTTGAATATTGGCCCCCACTCTCTTCTGGCTTGTAGGGTTTCTGCCGAGAGATCCGCTGTTAGTCTGATGGGCTTCCCTTTGAGGGTAACCCGACCTTTCTCTCTGGCTGCCCTTAACATTTTTTCCTTCATTTCAACTTTGGTGAATCTCACAATTATGTGTCTTGGAGTTGCTCTTCTCAAGGAGTATCTTTGTGGCGTTCTCTGTATTTCCTGAATCTGAACGTTGACCTGCTTTGCTAGATTGGGGAAGTTCTCCTGGATAATATCCTGCAGAGTGTTTTCCAACTTGGTTCCATTCTCCCCATCACTTTCAGGTACACCAATCAGACGTAGATTTGGTCTTTTCACATAGTCCCATATTTCTTGGAGGCTTTGCTCATTTCTTTTTATTCTTTCTTCTCTAGACTTCCCTTCTCACTTCATTTCATTCATTTCATCTTCCATTGCTGATACCTTTCTTCCAGTTGATCGCATCGGCTCCTGAGGCTTCTGCATTCTTCACGTAGTTCTCGAGCCTTGGTTTTCAGCTCCATCAGCTCCTTTAAGCACTTCTCTGTATTGGTTATTCTAGTTATACATTCTTCTCAATTTTTTTCAAAGTTTTCAACTTCTTTGCCTTTGGTTTGAATGCCCTCCCGTAGCTCAGAGTAATTTGATCGTCTGAAGCCTTCTTCTCTCAGCTCGTCAAAGTCATTCTCCATCCAGCTTTGTTCTGTTGCTGGTGAGGAACTGCGTTCCTTTGGAGGAGGGGAGGCCCTCTGCTTTTTAGAGTTTCCAGTTTTTCTGTTCTGTTTTTTCCCCATCTTTGTGGTTTTATCTACTTTTGGTCTTTGATGATGGTGATGTACAGATGGGTTTTTGGTGTGGATGTCCTTTCTGTTTGTTAGTTTTCCTTCTAACAGAGAGGACCCTCAGCTGCAGGTCTGTTGGAGTACCCTGCTGTGTGAGGTGTCAGTGTGCCCCTGCTGGGGGGTGCCTCCCAGTTAGGCTGCTCGGGGATCAGGGATCAGGGACCCACTTGAGGAGGCAGTCTGCCCGTTCTGAGATCTCCAGCTGCGTGCTGGGAGAACCACTGCTCTCTTCAAAGCTGTCAGACAGGGACATTTAAGTCTGCAGAGGTTCCTGCTGTCTTTTTGTTTGTCTGTGCCCTGCCCCCAGAGGTGGAGCCTACAGAGGCAGGCAGGCCTCCTTGAGCTGTGGTGGGCTCCACCCAGTTGGAGCTTCCTGGCTGCTTTGTTTACCTAATCAAGCCTGGGCAATGGCGGGCACCCCTCCCCCAGCCTCGCTGCCGCCTTGCAGTTTGATCTCAGACTGCTGTGCTAGCAATCAGCGAGACTCCGTGGGCGTAGGACCCTCCAAGCCAGGTGCGGGATATAATCTCGTGGTGCGCCGTTTTTTAAGCCCGTTGGAAAAGTGCAGTATTCGGGTGGGAGTGACCCGATTTTCCAGGTGCCGTCCGTCACCCCTTTCTTTGACTCAGAAAGGGAACTCCCTGACCCCTTGCGCTTCCCAAGTGAGGCAATGCCTCGCCCTGCTTTGGCTCGCAGACGGTGCGTGCACCCACTGACCTGCGCCCACTGTGTGGCACTCTCTAGTGAGATGAACCCGGTACCTCAGATGGAAATGCAGAAATCACCCGTCTTCTGCGTCGCTTACGCTGGGAGCTGTAGACCGGAGCTGTTCCTATTCGGCCATCTTGGCTCCTCCCTCTCAGTATTTGGTTTTCTGTTCCCGTGTTACTTTGCTTAGGATAATGACCTCCAGCTCCATCCATGTTGCTGCAAATGACATGATCTCATTTTTTATGGCTACATAGCATTCTATAGTGGATATGTACCACATTTTCTTTATCAAGTCTACCACCGATGGTCAATTAGGTAGATTTTATGTCTTTGCTATTTGAATAGTGCTGCAATGAATGTATGCATGCATGTGTCTTTAGGGTAGAAAGATTTATATTCTTTTGTGTATATATCCAATAATGGCATGCTGGGTCAAATGGTAATTCTGTTTTGAATTCCTTAAGAAATCACCAACTGTTTTCCACAATGTCTGAACTAATTTACATTCTCATCAGTAGTGCATAAACATTCCCTTTTCTTCACTACCTCACCAGCATCTGTTATTTGTTAACTTTTTAATAATAGCCATTCTGACTGGTGTGAGATGGTATCTCATTGTGGCTTTGATTTGCATTTCTCTAATGATTACTGATGCTGAACATTTTTTCATATGCTTGTTGGCTGCAGATACGTCTTTTAAAAAGAGGCTGTTCGTGTCCTTAGCCAACTTTTTCATGGGGTTATTTATTGCTTGTTAATTTGTTTAAGTTCCTTATAGATTCTGGATATTAGATCTTTGTCAGAAGCACAGTTTGCAAAATATCTTCTTCTGTTCTGTAGGTTATCTGTTTACTCTCTTGATAGTTTCTTTTGCTGTGCAGAAACTGGTTAGTTAAATTAGGTCCTATGTGTCAACTTTTGTTTTTGTTACCATTGCTTTTGGTGTCTTCATCATGAAGTCTTTGCCAGGGCCTATGTCCAGAATGGCACTTCCTAGGTTATCTTCCAGAGTTTTTATAGTTTTAAGTTTTACATTTAAGTCTTTAATCTATGATGAGTTGACTTTTGTATATGGTATAAGGAAGGGATTCCGTTTTAATCTTCTGCATATTGCTAGCCAGTTACGACAGCACCATTTATTAACGAGAAAGTCCTTTGCCCATTGCTTGCTTTTGTCACCTTTGAGGAAAATCAGATGGTTGTAGGTGTGTGGCATTATTTCTGGGTACTCTATTCTGTTCTATTAGTCTATATGCCTGTTGTTGTAACAGTACCATGTGGTTTTGGTTACTGTAGCTGTGTAGTATGATTTGAAGATGGGTAACTTGATGTCTCCAGCTTTGCTCTTTTTGCTTAGGATTACCTTGGCTACTTGGGCTCTTTTTTGCTTCCAAGTGAATTTTAAAATAGTTCTTTTCTAATTCTGTGAAGAATGTCATTGGTATTTTGATAAGAATAGCATTGAATCTGTAATTTGCTTTGGGCAGTATGGCCATTTTAACCATATCGATTCTTCCTAGCCACGAGCATGGAAAGTTTTTCCATTTGCTGTGGCATCTCTGATTTCTTTGAGCAGTGTTTTGTAATTCTCATTGTAGAACTCTTTCACCTTCCTGGTTAGCTGTATTTTTAGACATTTTATTCTTTTGGTGGCTATTGTGAATAAGATTGCATTCTTGATTTGGTTGTCAGCTTGGATGTTGTTGGTGTATAGGAATGCTGGCAATTGTTGTACATTGATTTGTATCCTGAAACTTTGCTGAAGTTGTTTATCAGATCACGGAACTTTTGGGTAGAGACTATGGGGTTTTCTAGGTATAGAATCATATAACCTGCAAACAGAGATAGTTTGACTTCCTCTCTTCCTATTTAAATGACTTTTATCTCTTCCTCTTACCTGGTTTCTCTGGCTAGGACTTCCAATTCTATGTTGGATAGGAGTGGTGCGAGTTTTGTCTTGTGCTAATTTTCAAGGGGAAAGCTTCCAGCCTTTTCCATTCAGTATGATGTTGGCCACTGGTTTATCATAGATGACACTTACTGTTTTGAGGTATATTCCTTCAATGCCTAGTTTGTTGAGGGTTTTTTACGTGAAGGGATGTTGGATTTTATTGAAAGCCTTTTCTGCATCTATGGAGATGATCATGTGGTTTTTGCTTTTTGTTCTCTTTATGTGATGAATCACATCTATTGTTTTGTGTATGATGAACCAACCTTGCATCCCAGTATAAAGCCTACTTTATTGTGATGGATTAGCTTTTCGATGTGTTGCTGGATTTGGTTTGCTAGTTTTTGTTGAGGATTTTTGCGTCTATGTTCATCAAAGATACTGGCCTGAAGTTTTCTTTTTTTATTGTGTTTGTGCCAGGTTTTGGAAACAGGATGATGCTGGCCTCATAGAATGAGTTAGGAAGGAGTGCCTCCTCCTGAGTTTTTGGAATAGTTTCAGTAAGAATGATACCACCTCTTCTTTATACATTGGGAGAATTCAGCTGTGAATTTGTCTGGTTCTGGACTTTTTCTAGTTGGTATGCTTTTTATTACTGATTCAATTTCAGAACTGATTATTGATCTCTTTAGGGATTCAATTTCTTCCTGGTTCAATGGAGGTCATATATTTCCAAGAATTTATCCATTTGTTCTAGATTTTCTAGCTTGTGTGCATAGAGGTGTCCATAGTAGCCTCTGACTTTTTTTTGTATCTCTGTGGGGTTGGTTACAATATCTCTTTTATCATTTTTTATTGTGTTTATTTGGATCTTTTCTTATTTTTTTCATATTAGTTTAACTAATGATCTGTCAGTCTTATTTATTCCGTGCAACAAACAACTCCTGAATTCATTGATCTTTTGTATGTTTTTTCACATCTTGTTTTTTGAGTTGTTGTTTTTTTTTTTTTTTTTTTTTTTTTTTTTAGTTGTCCTTTGATTTTGGTTATATCTTATCTTCTACTCACTTTGGGGTTGGTTTGCTCTTCTTTCTGTAGTTCCACTAGGTATGATGTTAGGTTGTAGATTTGAGATTTTTCTAACTTTTAATGTGGGCAGTTAGCACTATAAACTTCTGTCTTAACACTTTCTTAACTGTGTCCTAGAGATTTTGTTATGTTGTACCTTTGTTCTCGTTAGTTTCAAAGAATTTCTTCATTTCTGCCTTAATTTCATTGCTAACCCAAAAGTCATTCAAGAGCAAGTTGTTTACTTCGCATGTAATTCCATAGTTTTGAGCAATTTTCTTAGTGTTGATTTCTATTTTTATTGTGTTGTGATCTGAGAGTGTGGTGAGTATAATTTTTTTTGAATTTGCTAAGGATTGTTTTATGGCCAATTGTGGGGTCAATTTTAGAGTATGTGGCCTGTGCAGATGAAAAGAATGTATATTCTGTGGTTTTAGGTGGAGAGTTTTGTAGATGTCTTTAAGTCCATTTGGTCAAGTGTTGTGTTCAGGTCATAAATATCCTTGTAAGTTTTCTGCCTTGATAATATGTCTAATACTGTAAGTGGAGTGTTTAAGTCTTCTACTATATTATATGGTTATCTAAGTCTCTTTGTAGGTCTCTAAGAACTTTCTTTAGGAATCTGAGTGCTCCTATACTGGATGCATATATATTTAGGATAGTTAGGTCTTCTTGCAAATCGAACCCTTTACCATTATGTAATACCCTTTAATTTTTAAAATATCTTTGTTGGCTTAAAGTCTGTTTGGCTTAAAGCCTATTTTGTCTGAAATTAGTATACTAATCCTTGCTTTCTTCTGTTTTCCATTTGCTTGGTAGATTTTTCTTCATCCCTTTACTTTGAGCCTATGGGTGTCATTGCATGTGAGATGGGGTCTCTTGAAGATAGCATACCATTGGGTCTTGCTTCTTTATCTAACTCACCACTCTGCCTTTTGATTGGGGCATTTAGCCCATTTATATTCAAGGTTAATATTGATATGTGTAAATTTCATTCCTTCATCATGTTGTTAGTTGGTTACTATGCAGACTTAATTGTGTGGTTGCTTTACAGTGTTAATAGTCTATGTACTTAAGTGTGTTTTAAAAGTGGCTGGTAATGGTCTTTCCTTTCCATATTTAGCACTCTGTTCAGGACCTCTCATAAGGCAGTTCTGGTAGTAATGAATTCCCTTAGCATTTGCTTGTCTGAAAAGGACCTTATTTCTCCTTTATTTATGAAGCTTAGTTTAGCTGGATATGAAATTCTGGGTAGGAGTTTCTCTTCTTTAGGAATGCTGAATCAAGGCCCTCAATGTCTTCTGGTTTATAGGGCTTTTGCTGAAAGGTCCATGGTTAGACTGATGGGGTTCCCTTGGAAGGTGTCCTTCCCCTTCTCCCTAGCTGACTTTGGGAATCTGTTTACTATGTGTCTTGGAGATGGTCATCTTCTGTAGTACCTTGAAGGGGTTCTTTGCATTTCCTGAATTTGAATGTTGCCCTCTCTAGCGAGGTTGGGGAAATTCTCATGGACCATATCCTGAAATATGTTTCCAAGTTACTTGCTTTCTCTCCTTCTCTTTCATAAGTGCCAATAAGTCATAGATTTGGCCACTTTACATAATCCCGTATTGCTTAGAAATATTGCTTATTCTTTAATCTTCTTTCTTTATTTTTGTCCAGCTACATTATTTTGGAGAACTGGTCTTCAAGCTCTGACATTCTTTCCCCACCTTGGTCAACCATACCCATGCAGAACTATGGTAAAGATCACGTACCAAAAATCAGAACAATTTCCATTTACTGAATGCTGACCATCATATTATGTTCGACATTCATGAATATCCTCTGTTGTGGAAAGCAATAGTGCAGTTTGAAAAAAAAATCAATGCTGCTACCTGGGGGAAAGGCAAGTGAGATGGACTTGGAAAGGGAAAAGAGAAAGTGAACCCAGAGGTCCAAGGTCAAAGTATACCCTCCAACAGATCAGAGAAAAGATGAAAATATAGAATGAGTAAGGTTGTGTGAAATTTAATGAAGAAAGAAAGCAAAATTGCAGTAGCAATAGTATCACAAGAATAACCCATAAGTGTGAGTGTACCTGCATTCACCCTGAGATGCACACCAAACCCAAACTTCCCTTCTCCCAACTAAATAATCACAAGTTCTTTATCTGCCTCAAATTAGATGCTGAAGGATAGAGAAAAAAGCAAAGAAAAGTCTAAAGTTCAAAACATAATGCACAAAACATTTTATGACTGCTTACTACTTGCTGTATCCTGGTGATAAATAGAAGCAGTAGAAAGAAAATCACACTAGGAAAAGAGATCTGAGAGTTGAAAGGCAGCTTCCCAGAATCAAGCCAAGTATATGTTTTCATGTTATTTGTGTTGCATGCTTCCACTTTAAGTCATAGGTACTTGCATGTCAAAGGTACTCTGTAAGCACTAAGTGAATCAAACAGAATGAAAGGGGAGAGGGAAGATGAGATTCATTTAGAAGAAGAAATAAGAAGGCAATTTACTTTTGCATAGGTGGGAACATAGTTCAGGGCTCTTTACACTGGCTAAAAAGGAAGAAAAATAATAAAGAGAGAAGGGTTGCCAATCACACAAATGTAAATGTTCAAAGATATATGAGATTTGAGGTGGAAGATGTATGATCGCATGTGTGATTTCCTCAGTGACAGGAAATATCAGATTTATGAATATACTATGCTCCATTTTCATCTGTAAGAGGAATTTGAAAAGGAAATATTATTTTGGGTCATGACTTGTCTTCTGCATATAATAAAAATAGTTTGAAGACTTTAACTACATAACTAAAAAAAGTATAAAGGAATTTGATGTGTGCTGGGCAGAAGGTGGGGGGCACAAAAAGTAATATGTGGACACATTTAGTCACAGACAAATCCAAAATATAGGCATGAAAACTGTTTATTAATTCCTTGCTGCACGACAGAAGTGGCTTAATAAACTCTTTCCAGACCAAAGCATCTTTATCTGCAAAATGAGAGGATTAAATTAGGTTATCTCTAAGTTCATTTAAAATTGTTTTAAAACAATCTATGTAGATAAACAGAGTAGCAGTCTGCAATGTATTTAAAAGGAAATGGACTAGTCAAGTTGGCAAGATCTATGTGAAAGAATTATTGTTGTGCTATATGAAAAAAAAGATTCTGGCTTTTTAAATAAGACGAGTAATGACAAATTAATTTTCATGCAGGTTGAAAATGTGGCAGATGTGTATGGAGAATGAGAAAATTCCTGTTATAATAGAGATGACTTAAATTATGAGGATGGTAAAGAAGAGGAAATGTTTTCTGTCCTTTCAAGACGTCAAAGCTTAATTGAACATGTTTTTAAAAATGAAAATAAAAATCTCAGTGCAAAGAATACATTTACTTCTCTAGTAGAGACTATTAATTGCAGAATCGCAATACATACGATCTCCTTCTTCTTTGTTAACCAAGTCTCAATCACATTTGGTTAACAAATAAAATACTACACTCCCCGTCATCCCTTGTAGCGAAATGAGCTTATAAGTCTAAGTCCTGCCCAGTGAGATGTAAGCTTACTATTTTGTGACAGTCTTTCTGGGAAGGCTGCTTAAAGGGAGCCAATAAGTCAAGGAGAAAGGATAATCGTTTATCCTTCCCCACCTCTTCCTGCTACAACAGAAGGGATGGCTGGAGCTATAGCAGCCAATTTAGACTATAGATAAACTCAAAGAAGGAAGCTCCATGCTAAAAATGGAATATAGGAAGAAATAGACTGTATCACTGATAATGTCCTGGTGCCACCAGAATGATTTATCTTCAAACTTCTCTTTTAACTGAAAAAAAAAGTAAACTTCTGTCTTGATTAAGCCACTCTCATTTTCATTATTATTTCCTTCCCTGGTTATACACATTTAAAGCTTATTCCAACTGATTTAGTACTTGGAAGTAAGGTTCTTCAAGTATCAGAAACTAAAATGTGGCACTAAATATGTAATGGAAGCAGAGCTGCATAGGTGCATAGCAATGACTCAGATAACGAAAGCCGAAAATCTCATGATCTTTATAATAAATCTACAAAATATTTAGTCAAATCATCACCTGCTACACATTGGAAGCCAACCACATGCTGCCAAAGGCTACATATAGTATTAGGAGAAATGGTAAAATATTGGTATGGGTTGTCAGAAAAATCCTAGCATGACAAATTCAAGGTGGAACTAACTACCTGGCCAGTCTCAGAGTTGAAACGGAAAGACATGCACCTTTGCTAAGGAAGGTACTCTTTGCCTATAACCCACAATCTCAGTTGACTGAGAGTCTGGTAATTTGAAAACGTTCATGGTTGAAAAAGCCAACTGCCTATACCCCAAATTGAAACAGTTAAAAGAAGTGTCTGAAAATTCTAGCCTTAGCGATAAATGTGACTTTTGCCACACCATAAAAAAGTTGTGAGCCTGCTGGCAAAGATAATGCATTACTTCATATGTTCTCAATGCAGCAGACAGCAAGCTGAAAATTATTTAGATGCGCAGAGCACAGAGGTCTGTAAATAAAAGACCAGGGTCTTCAAGCTTAATAATTCCATTTACCCAAGGTCATTGGCTGTGTTTATTCACACTTGGAGATGACCAAAAAACAACTACGCTGAAAGTCTGTCATACTTTTTAGGGTATCTTATTGTCCAAAACTAATCCAGTGGGTCATGAACCCATACCAAAAGGAAGTGGCTTGCTACATACGTGCAGTCCTTAGTGAAGATATTTTCCTGAATGTCCATTTCAGATGTGGCCACAGAGGACAACAGAAAAGGAAGACCCTCCTGAAGAGCAAATCCAGGGGCCACGAAAGAAAATGAACAAGAGAATTTTTATTGAAGAGCAGAAACTGGGACTGCCAGATGGACCGACTAAAGAACTCACTTCACAACTAGGGCAGTGAGTCCTCACCATTTCTTCTCAGCAAGAGTTGGCTGCCATAAAATCAGAGAGGCTATTCTTGCCTTATGGTTAATAAAAGTATCTATAGGTAACTGAACCTTGAGGAGCCAAATTGAGGCCTGATGAAGGAGACTGTACATCATCCAGAGAGAATGAACTTGGAGCAGGATGTAAAGACTGCAGGGGAGAAATCAGGGTTTTTCTGCTGGAGGAAGAAGCAGAGGGTACATAGACATAAGGTATCCAAAGAAGCCCACTATAGAAGCTGGGACAGATTGCATACTTATTCTCAATTCTTCACTCCTTCCTATGCAGTAGAGCAGAGAAAATCGAGTATACCTGTGACTTGCTTTGACCAATGGAAAGTTAGAGGGGACAAGAGCACAGGCTTTAAACATGCCCATATGGGACTTCTGTGCCTACCATGAGAACATGCCCCATAATTGTTAATGCAGGGAGAATGAGGAGATGTGGTGCAGACTCTTAGCCAATCCCAAGAGCTGGGTTCAAGGGTAGCCAACACTCATCCTAGAGAAGTGTCCCCTCTGACCTGCAGACACATGGCCAAGAAAAATCAATGCATGTTGTTGTAAACCATTGCATTTCAAGGCTGTTTGTGATGCAGCATCCTGGCTAATAAACCAGCCAGGTCTATTCTAACAATTGTAGCTCAGAGTAAAGAATGTGGGCATCTCATCAGCAGACATGATCACTAAAAAGACAGAGAAAAGATACAATGAGAAAACTATAAGCAAACGCTTGGAAATCCAAAGAACCAAATAGAAGAAAGAAGAAAGATTAAGAAATTTCTAGAAACATCCTACAGTGGTCAGGAAGACTGAGACATTGAGCCTAGGGATAAAAATGGACAGGCAGATTCATAACATGCTTAAAAAGAAACAGCAAATGATTGAGAAGTTTTTTTTTAAAAGTGGAACTATTTCAAAAGTAAGAAATTAGTAAAGGGACAAAGTTGTTAATGCACCATAAACAAGTGATCAAAAGCAGAAAAAAAAAATGAACTGCTGTGGAAATGGACACAGTGTGATCCTATTTTTAGTGGACTACTTGAGTTTTTTAAAAAATTAGGAGGAAGGTAAAAGGTTCAGAAAATAGAAACAGAAGTGTAAATAATACTATGAAATGGGCCTAGCTGAAACAGCTGACTTTTCAAAAGAATACATTAAATGAAGAATACAGAATGAGATCCTTAAAAAAAGAAGTCAGGAAAGTATTACATAGAGTAATTGCAAAGGCCTTCTCTCCTTATAACACGGAAATTGATGGATTTGAGAATAAGGATATTAAAAAAGATCTTTAAGAGTCTACAGGAAATAGAAGAGCTAGGACAAAGCATGGATGTCATGTAGAATATTTTATGACAAACTGCTGACCTGAGCCAATAATTCTTGGGCTGGGGAAAAAAACTGTTTCTCTATAGATAGGTGGGTGGGGGTGAGGGTGGGGAGGGAAAATTGTAATGCCTACTTTCTAAATAGATTTCAAAGGAATGCGGGAGAACACAAAGAGAACTAGCTTGCATTGATTTTTTTTAATATTAGCATTTTGTTGATAAAACAGAAAGCAGGAAGAAAAATAATAAATCATGCATGTAGTAATAAAAAGTGTGGTAGGTGATTAACGTGTTAAGAGTCAAGGGAAGAACTCATCGGAAGAGTAAAAGAAGAGAACTGAAAAGCAAAGGGGGACAATCAACAAAATGTGAACATAAGTTTATACGAGGAATGCAATCATACAGGTACCAATAACTCAGTTGTAAGGAATAATTGAAATATGCACATACATAAAAAGTACACATACTTTGTATAACTTGGAAAACATTTGAGGATCAAATAAAATAATGTATTCGAAAATATTTATAAAAAGCCTGAAGTTTTCTACAGACAAATTAGTGGGTGCAATACTGAGCGCTACTCCTTGAAGGTGAACAACATAGAAATATTGTTCAGTGCAACTCAACAAATGTTTATTTAACGACTGCAATGTACTGAGCAAATTTTAGGCTCTGGTAAGACACATCAGTAATGAAGGCAAACATATGCATTAACTATATCAAGCAGGACAAAGGGCTCTAAAGAGAATGAATGCAGTTCTCCAAACAGAGATCTCTGCTGTCACTATTGAATATCTTGTAAACTCTCCAGAAACATGTGTATGTGCAAGCGTGTGTCTGTTTGTGCATATATATATATGTGTGTGTGTGTATATTTTAATGCTACACATTTGAAGATACCTTATTACACTATTCACGACTTTGTGATTTTCTCTTAACACAGCAATTTGGAGATTACCCCCTTTCAGAACATAGAGAGAGCTACTTCATTTCTCCTAATAGCATATTTTATTGCATGGTTGTGCCATAATTTATTGAATTACTGGCCTTTAATGAACAATTATGCCATTTCCAGTCCTTTCTTATTCATGTAATGCTTATTCATACTGTGCTTTATATATGGGCTAATATACCTGTTAACACAAATCTTGAGAAGTGAAATTTCTGTCACCCGGCAAGTGAATTTTTAATTTTGATACATAGTGCCAAATAGCCTTCAAAGTGAAACATTCACTTATATTCCCACCAACAGTGCACAAAATTGCTTTTGTCCTCAAACTTCCTGCCAATGCCATTTATTATCAAACCATTTGATCCTTGCAAGTACAGTAAGTAAGAAGCTATCTCATTGCTGTTTGAATTACAAACTACAAATCTCATTGTAGTTTAAAATGCAAACCATAATGGTCTTATTATGAGCAAATATGAGTAGCTTTTTACATATTTAAAAGTCTTTTGAGTTTCTCTTACTGTGAATTATCTGTCTATAATCTTGGCCTATTTTTAAAAAGTAATAAGTTAGAAGAAATGAGCCAATTTTCATATATCTTGGCAGGTTTTTCCAGTTTCTTATTTTCCATTCAAATTTATTTATGGTTGTTTTAAACCATTTTGAAATTTTGATCTTTTTTTAATTTTGAGATTATTGTAGATTTATTTGCAGTTTTAAGAAATACTACAGACAGAATTCCATATACCTTTCACCATTTTCCCTCACTGGTAACGTTTTGCATAACTACAGGACAATGTCACAAGTAGGAAGTTGACACTGACACAATGCATCTACCTTATTCAGATGTCAGATTTACATTCACTTGTGTGTGTGTTAGTTCTACACAATGTTGTCACAGTGCAATTTCCTGTGTGCACTACTGTGGTCGAGATACAGACTTGTGTTTCATCGCAAGGATTCCCTTGCTACCCTTTTCTATTCACAGTCCCTCCTTAAGCCCTGACAAGCACACATCTGTTCTCCATCTCTATAACTTGGTCACTTCAAAAATGAATGGAATCATGGAGTATGAATGGAATCATGGAATATGCAATATTCTGAGATTGGCTTTTTCCACTCAGTGTAATTGTCTTGCATTTGTAAAAAATTTGGCATTTCGAATTTTGGTACTATGCTATTTAGCTTAAGGTTCATACCAAACTTTAATTGTAGATTTAAACTTTTTCATTGTCTTTCGTTTGGTAGTTTCATGCAGTTTTCCCTAAAGTGGATCTTGTATAATTTTAATAAAATTACTCTTGCTTGCTTTTAGTTTTAATTTGTTTACCTATATTTTGCTTCCTGCCTTTATTGATTTTAGATGAATATCATAATAGCACCTGTGTCATTTTGTGGTCCAAATTGATGCTCTTTTAATGAGCAATTTTATCTCATTGATACTTACTGATATGGCAATTAGCTGTGGCATTTTATTTCAAGTTCTACTTTCTGTATTTAATGCTATTTATTTTTGCTATATTGTCTATATTTCTTGTATTTGCATGTTTTACTTTTATAATTTGGAAACCATATTGTCTTCTTCAGATTTTCTGGTAGTAACATATAATATACACATATGTATATATTTAAAGAAAGGACATGAGAAATGCAGATACAATTCTGCAAAAGAACAAATAGAAAAAAGGTAAGAACACATCAAAAATATTTAGTTGTAAAAGACATGAAAATTATAAGAAAACCTTTCTCTGAGAATTCAAAGAAATTTTTTAAAAAGTCTTCTGATACATATATATGTGTATATATATACATATATGTATATGCGTATGTATATATGTGTATACATACATGCATATATATGTGTGTATATACATATGTGTATATATACATGTGTGTAGTATATATACATGCATATATATGTATGTGTATACATACACATATCTATGTATATATGTATATGTATATGCAGGTATATATGTATATATAAATGTATATATACATATATACCTGCATATATATGTATATATATACACATATATACATGCATACATGTGTATATATATACACATATATATGTATCAGAAGACTTTAAAAAAATTTCTTTGAATTCTCAGAGAAGGGTTTTCTTATTTTCATGTCTTTTATGACTAAATATTTTTGATGTGTTCTTACCTTTTTTCTATTTGTTCTTTTGCAGAATTGTATCTGCATTTCTCATGTGCTTTCTTTCTGTTTGTCTTTGTTATTTTTGTTGTTTTTCCCCAGGCCAACTATGCATTAGAGGATAATGTTAGAAAGCACATCAGTGGAGTGAGTTAGATATTCAGGTAGCTTGCATTCAAATTTGTGTCTTGAAATGTTTCCCAACAAAAGACTGACCTAGAATTTGATTTTTCTCTGGGATAAACTTTCCATATTATGCAATCATGTTTGCCACCAGATTTTATGCAGTAACTTGGAGTTTATATTACTTTTGCATATCAAATAATCAACTGAAAGATTGCTTGCTAACATTTTCCCTCCCACTCAGCTAGAAGGATTGATGTATTGTTTTGTTTTGTTTTCTGCTTTTTCTGTTTGTTTGTTTGTTTGTTTTGCAAAGAGAGGTGTGTAGGCACTTTACTAGCTCCACCTTCCCTGACATTCTTTTCTGCCCAGCAAGGTTAGTGATGCCCCAGACTCTGACACAGCAGCTGAGTGCTTGCTGTTCCAAAGAGGCCGCTGACGACATTTCAGAAAGTGTAACTTACCTTTGGATAATTCTGCATGCTTTCTGTGAACATGGAGGCACACACCTCCTGCTGCTTTCCTCATTTTAACTAGATTTAAATTTCATAACACTTTTACAGCCCTCCAGGTTTTCATTTCTGCTTCTTTGTTCTCTGTTTTGGTTTTAAGTTGGTTTCAAAGAACGAGGCAGAAATGTCTTTACTCTGCCATCTTTAATTGGTTCCTGTACTCTTTAATACATTTTAAAATTAAAGCCAGAGAAAGAATAATTAAACTTCCATGCTGCAACCCATAGAAGTTCCAATTTCTTGTGTACACAGACTCTCTCTCTCTGCATTTTTAAGAAGTTCCATACACTTTTAGGAAGACTTACTGTCTTCTCCACCAACCTGAGACACGTACCCCTACAAGGGTACATGAAATTCCACTCAACATTCTGTGAGTTCACACCAAAGATTCATAAGGCTACACATTGTTCCTTCTATCATTTTCTAAAAGGGTTTTCTTCTCATATTTTCTTGTATGGTTATAAATAACATGTTTCTGTTCACAGTTTGTATTTAGAACATTTGCTAGGCATTTTGTTTTCAATCATAATCCTTAGAGCCTTGAAACAAACAAATCACATATACTGTATAGAATGATATCTGCTTGGTATTTCTGCCTTAGGAAATAACGTTCATTTTTGAGGCTTCATTTTAATGTACAGCAGAATTTAGTGATATCACAATCCCCTACACAGTTCTAGTAAAACTAAATGAAACAGTGTGAAGCTCCTAGCTTTATCTGAACTCCCATGTCTGAAATCTGTCCTTTGTTGGTGTTTAGTTTGCCTGGAATGTTTGTTTACCTACTGCCTGTTGACTAGCTTCCAAATCCTCTTGATGAGCTGATTTCATAACAGCTGAAAATAACATTGCATTCCTCACCTGTAACAGGTGGTCCCCAAGTGGCTGTCCATCTTCCCTTGTGGTCTCTGCTGTGAACTGTAAATCATGTCAAGAAACGACAACCCGTTAGATGACATGATCTACCATCACTGCGAGGAGCCACCAGTCACAACATGCACACACTTTATCCATCCTATGCGCAAATGATAAATTTGGTCAAAAGATTGCCATTTCATGTTCTGGAAAACATGAACTTATGTGAGCTTATACATAAAATATTTTAATCTATAATCTCACGTATATGTCATTATGTCATATTTCCCGGAATTCAGCTGCCAAAAATAACATTAAAGAAGTAGTTCATGTCAGGTAAGATGAGAATGCCCCATAAATACTGATTCTGAACCTCTAGCAGCCATACATATGTTAATTCATTATTCCACAAATATTTTGTGCACATATTCTGTGCCAAGCACTGTGCTAGGTCCGAAGGATACCAAAATTAATCATTACAAACTCAGAGTCCAAAGAAAAAGGCAGACTCACAAATAAACAGCTGTAAAAATGTGTGTTGCTCTATTTGGAGGTATTACGTAGACATTAGGGAGAGAGCATCTGTATTAGTCCATTTTCACACTGCTGATAAAGACATATCCGAGACTGGGCAATTTACAAAAGAAAGAGGTTTATTGGACTCACAGTGCCACATGGCTGAGGAGGCCTCACAATCATGGCAGAAGGTAAAAGGCAAGGAGAAGCAAGTCACATCTTAACATGAATAGCGGCAGGCAAAAAGAGCTTGTGCGGGGAACCTCCACCTTATAAAGCCATCAGATCTTGGGAGACTTATTCACTATCACGATAATAGCACAGGAAAGTCCTGCCCCCATGATTCAATTACCTACCACCAGGTCCCTCCCACAACTTGTGGGAATTCAAGGTAAGATTTGGGTGGGGACACAGCCAAACCACATCATTCTGCCCCAGCCCCTCCCAAATCTTATGTCCTCACATTTAAAAACCAGTCATGCCTTCCCAATGGTCCCCCTAAGTCTTAACTCATTTCAGCATTAACTCAAAAGTCCACAGTCCAAAGTCTTGTTCGAGACAAGGCAAGTTCCTTCCACCTATGAGCCTGTGAAATCAAAAGCAGGTTAGTTACTTCCTAGATACAGCAGTGGTACAAGCATTGGGTAAATACAGCCATTCCAATAGGGAGAAATTGGCCAAAACAAAGGGGCTACAGACCCCATGCAAATCTGAAATCCAGCAGGACAGTCAAATCTTAAAGCTCCAAAATGATCTCCTCTGATCCCATGTCTTGCATCCAGGTCAGGCTGATGCAAGATGTGGGTTCCCACGGTCTTGGGCAGCTCTGCCCCTGAGGCTGTGCAGGATGCAGCCTCCCCTCCCTGCTGGCTGCTTTCATGGGCTGCCACTGAGTGTTTGTGGCTTTTCCTGGTGCACAGTGCAAGCTGTCAGTGGATCTCCCACTCTGGGGTCTGGAGGATGGTGGCCCTCTTCTCATAGCTCCACGAGGTGGTGCCCCAGTAGGGACTCTGTGTGGGGGCTCCAACCCCACATTTACTTTCTGCATTGCCCTAGTAGAGGTTTTCCATGAGAGGCCTGCCCCTGCAGCAAACTTTTGCCTGGACATCCAGGCATTTCCATATGGCCTCTGAAATCTAGGCAGAGGTTCCCAAACCCCAATTCTTAACGTCTGTGCACCACCAGGCTCAACATCAGGTAAAAGCTGCCAAGGCTTGAGGCTTGCACCCTCTGCAGCCATGGCCTGAGCTCTACATTGACACCTTTCAGCCATGGCTGGAGCAGCTGGGACGCAAGACACCAAGTCCCTAGGCTGCACACAGCATGGAGACCCCAGATTCGACCCACTAAACCATTTTTCCTCCTAGACCTCCTGGCCTGTGATGGGAGGGGCTGCTGTGAAGACCTCTGACATGCCCTGGAGACATTTTCCCCATTGTCTTAGAGATTAACATTTGGCTACTTGTTACACAAATTTCTGCAGCTGGCTTGGATTTCTCCTCAGAAAATGGGATTTTCTTTTCTATCACATTGTCAGGCTGCAAATTTTCCAAACTTTTATTCTCTACTTCCCTTATAAAACTGAATGCCTTTAACAACACCCAAGTCACCTCTTGAATGCTTTGTTGCTTAAAAATTTTTTCTACCAGATATCCTAAATCATCTCTAGCAAGTTCAAAGTTCCACAAATCTCTAGGGCAGCAACAAAATGCTGCCAGTCTCTTTGCTAAAACATAACAAGAATCACCTTTGCTCCAGTTCCCAACAAGTTCCTCATTTCCATCTGAGACCAACTCAGCCTGGACTTTATTGTCCATATCATTATCAGCATTTTGGTCAAAGCCATTCAAGAAGTCTCTAGGAAGTTTCAAACTTTCCCACATTTTCCTATCTTCTGAGTCCTCCAAACGGTTCCATCCAATCTCTTCCTGTTACCCAGTTCCAAAGTCACTTCCACATTTTTGGGTATCTTTTCAGCAGTGCCACACTTCCCGTACCAATTCATTATATTAGCCCATTTTCACACTGCTGATAAAGACACACCTGAGACTCAGCAATTTACAAAAGAAAGAGGTATTGGACTTACAGTTGAACATGGCTGGGGAGGCCTCATAATCATGGCAGAAGGTGAAAGGCAAGAAGGAGCAAGTCACAATCTTACATGGAGGGGGTCAGGCAAAAAGATCTTGTGCAGGGAAACTCCACCTTATAAAGCCATCAGATCTTGTGAGACTTATTCACTATCATAAAAACAGCATGAGAAAGCCCTGCCCCCATGATTCAGTTACCTACCACCAGGTCACTCCCACAACATCTGGGAATTCAAGATGAGATTTGTGTGAGAACACAGCCAAACCCTATCAGCTTCATTCTGGGGTCAGGTGGTAGGGACAACACAAACACCAAGATAAGTTCCTTTGGAGATATGGCATGAGCTGAGGCTTATAGGATGAATAAGAAGTATGCTTGGTAAAGGAGTTCAGGCAGGAAGGCATTGGGGAGTGGCATTTCTTGGTAAAGGAGTTCAGGCAGGAACACATTGGGGAGTGGCATTTATTGTATAGGGGAAGGAGCAAAGGTATAGAGTTGAGAAGGAGGTTAGAACACGCAAGGAACTACCAGCAATACTATAGGAGTTTACTTAGTGATGCTGGGGCCAGTGAGATATGTGGAGCAGTAAGCAAAGGGCAAGGTTGAGGAGCACTCCAGGAACAGTGTGTAGGAAGCCAGGCTGGATCCTGTGGTCAGGAGCTTCTGAAGAGCTTGCTGTTGTGGATATTTGCTTGCACTTAAATAACTTTTGTATTAGTCTGTTTTCACACTACTGATAAAGACATACCCAACACTGGGTAATTTATAAAGAAAAAGAGGTTGAATGGACTCACAGGTCCACATGGCTGCGGGGGGCCTCACAATCATGGTGGAAGGTGGAAGCCATGTCTTACATGGTGGCAGACAAGAGAGAATGAGCGCCAAGCAAAAGGAGAAACCCCCTATAAAACCATCAGATTTCATGAGACTTTTTCACTACCATATGAACAGTATGGGGGACACCGCCCCCATGATTCAATTATCTCCCACCAGGTCCTTCCCACAATACATGGGAATTATGGGAGCTAAAATTCAAGATGATATTTGGGTGGGGACACAGACAAATTATATAATCTTTATTGAGGTTTAATTTACATCTTAAGATTCACTTAGGTGAACAATTCAATGATTACTATTAAATTGACAGAGTTGTACAATCCTTAACACAATACAGGTTTTAGAATATTTCCATCATTCCAGAATATCCCTCATACCCATTTATAGTCACTACTGACTCCTACCTCCAAGAACCAGGCAAATGCTCATCTGCTTTCTATGTCTATAGATTTGTCATTTCTGGACATTTCACATAAATGGAATCATAGAATATGTAGTCATTTGCATCTGGTTTGTTTAATCAGGCATCAGGTTTTTTAGATTTACCCATGCTGCAGTATGTATCCATAGCATATTTGTTTGTAATGTAAAATAGTATTCCATGGTATGGATATAACATCATTGGCTTATCTTTTCACCAATTGATGGGCATTCAGATTGTTTCTATTTTTTGGTTAATATGACTAATGCTGCCACAAGCATTCACATGCAAGTCTTTACACAGACATGTTTTCATTTCTCTTGGGTAGATATTTAGGGATAGAATTCTTGGGTCATATGGTAAATTTATGCTTATCTGCTGAAGAAATTGTCAAGCTATTGTGAAAAGCAGCTGCATGATTTTACAATCCCATCAACAACGTCTAGGGTTCTAGTTTCTCCTAAGGAGTTTTAACGAGACGCATAATATGGCTAGATTTGTGCTTTAGGTAAATCAATCTGGTAGCTACTAAAAATGAGACTGAAAATAATGAGCCTGTTTAGGAAGATGTTGCAATAGTCTAGCTGAGATCTCTACTACGATTCCCAACTAGACCATTGGAGGAGAAGATTATCTCAGAAGAAGAACAATGCTGCTGAATAAGAACAGGTGATTTGCTTCCATCAGTTGCTCAGCCTTGGGAACGTGACTCACGGTGGTGTGAGGACAAAGCAGGTACCTGTCCGCCAGCCAGATTAGCTGAGGAAAATACACTTCAGGTATGTAAGCTTATGCCTTCACATCTGAAATGTCCTGTACTAACATATACACCCTCAAACTTTCCAACACTTATACTATCACTGTGTCATTTTTTCCTGGTTCACCAACTGCATACTGGACACAGTGCTGCACATGCTATTGGGTATTTTTCCTACTTTAGAGATTATGTTCATTTGGTTCTAAGGATAATTGCAAGAATATTGTTGTGCTATAAGTAAATAAATGCTATGTATTTATAAGTTATCTGTGTTAAAATTATACTATTTCTATTGTTAGCACACACAGTATTAAGTCATGTGGCCCAAATCTCATATTTCATAGCATATTATGGTTTTATTAGGATACAGTAAATTAATATTTCAGTGAGAAAGTATTTGGAAGTACCCATAAGCCTTATCAACAGCTCATCCCAATGTTTCCCTTCAAACAGCCACGTGGAATTTGTGTAAATGAGTCTAAATGAATGATAAGGACAATATGATGTTTGAGTTAAAATATCTTTTGAAACCGAAAATGAGCAGCTAGCCAAAAAAAATCTGTCACTTTAAAAAGATCAGGTAAAAGTCTTAATTCTGCCATTGTGCAATGTATAGCATGTAACTAAGAACAATATCTAAGGACAACAAATATAAATATTGAAGGAAGTTGAGTAATATTTAATTAGATTATACTATATTTGGTCTAGGAATAATAAACCTGTAAAATTATCTACACTATGAAACTAAGCTCTGTATTATAACATATAAATGAGTTCTCTGATCTTTTAAAATATGTATTTCTAACAACCTTGTAAATGATTAATATTTCAAAATACTGCTACTACTTCTGCTACTACTAGTAATAACAACAATTTTGAATAGCCTTGAATGTCTTAAAAGTTGTAAAATATAATTTTATTCATGATGATTAAGTTCCATGTGAATAAGAGAAATAGAATGACTACAAATATTTAACCAAAAATAAAAGAACAGAGTGTTTGCCAAAAGAGACCAATTTACTTATTAAATAGAATGACCATACATTACAGTTTCCTGGAATGAAGCACTTTTATAACTATTGTCCTGATGGCCAATCCAGTTTAGCATTTTGTCCTTGATTGCTTTACCTTTTAACAAACTATTATTATCAATGTTATGATTATTGTTATCATTAATGAAAATAAGCCAGATGGACTTTTACAACCTCTACTTCATACTCCCAATCTTTGTTATAATCATGTCTAAGTAGCATGAGACAAATCCAGGGAATGCAGTTCTCACCTTAAATGGGAGTTAATCTTAAAGAAGACCAGCAGTAATAACCTATCTCTTCCCATTTCAGACTCAACATAACCAATACCTGCCTTTCAAGGAAAACTCATATGGGGCTCACTGATGAAACAAAGCGAGTTTGCAAAAAAAGATTCGACATAGTCAATTCTTTGTACTCTTCAGTGATGGTAGCTGCCTTAGTGGAAAATGTGGAAAATTACAGATTGGGGTAGGTGAATTGAAGATAAAATTATTTATTTTTGTTGTTATAAACACAAATTTTGATATAATATAGCATCATGTGTAAAATAATTTTCCTAACTAACTTAAGAAATATGTGGAACAGAAATATTTGAAATGTGGTGGTGTACAAGGAAGTGAGCTTGAAGAAAAGAGGGTCCCAAAAATTCATGTTTTACACCAAGAGAAATAAAACCATAGTAGTCACAATTTATGAATATTTTTACACTTGTATATATATACTTGTATATTTGTGTGTATATGTATTTGCAACTGAATTATAAACTTTAATGATTAAGCTGATTTGAAATAATTTTAGGAAATACTTTAGTATGGCAATACATACTTGGTCTTTTTGTTGCCCATAATCAATTAGATTTGAGAAATAATTAACCATTGAATAACCTCTTTGCAAATTTACTTAGTTATCCTAGCAAAGTATTAAATATTTTGTAAATGAGTCCTCACATTTCTGATTGTATGTTTTTCAAAATTGTTGGAAATCTTTAAACAAAATCCTGGAGCATCCAAATTTCAACTACTAAAGATTATAATTTTTGAGCACCCATATTTCAAATATGAAAGCTTTTGGCAAATTGCATTTATTGAAAATAAAGCTTTCATACAGGAAGATATTGATAGCTCTTAAAAAGCAAGGGATACATTGAATTGATTAGATGATAAGTGGGCAAATGGTATGGAGGATGTAATTTTGAAATTCTCTAAGAGCATATTGAAATGTATTAACTTTCAGGAAGAATTTTGATGAGCCCCTATTTTTGAGTAAATTTCTTTTTAAACTTGTATTACATTTTATTTTGTCTCTATTTTTGTTATTATTATTATACTTTAAAGTTCTGGGGTACATGTGCAGAATGTTCAGGTTTGTTACATAGGTATACATGTGCCGTAGTGGTTTGCTGCACCCATCAACCCATCATTTACATTAGGTATTTCTCCTAATGCTATCCCTCCCCTAGCCTCCCACCCACCAACAGGCCCAGGTGTGTGATATTTCCCTCCCTGTGTCCATGTGTTCTCATTGCTCAACTCCCACTTATGAGTGAGAACATGTGGTGTTTGGTTTTCTGTTCTTGTGATAATTTGCTGAGAATGACAGTGTCCAGCGTCATCCATGTTCCTGCAAAATACAGGAACTCATCCTTTTCTATGGCTGCATAGTATTCCATGGTGTATATTGCCACATTTTCTTTATCCAGTCTATCATTGATGGGCATTTGGGTTGCCTCCAAGTCTTTGCTATTGTGAACAGTGCTGCAATAAACATACATGTGCATGTGTCTTTATAGCAGCATGATTTATAATCCTTTGGGTAAATACCCAGTAATGGGATTGCTGGGTCAAATGGTATTTCCAGTTCTAGATCCTTGAGGAATCACCACACTGTTTTCCACAATGGTTGAACTAATTTATATTATGTACCATTATAGAATGAAAATGAAGTCAATGATTTGATGGTAAAGAGCTGCATATAATATGACTAATACTAAAATAATAAATAATTTTATAAGAACTGAGGTATAGGCCCACCAGCATAATCAATCTAAGTATAACTATTTCAAAAATTCTATTATTCTAATTATTCAACTATCTGCATTTACTATCAAAAATGCTTCAGCTTGAGAATAAATGATATGATCATCCCAGTTTTGATCAAGTAACTATTGGTGGACAATTTTGTGCAACTAGATCCTAAAATAATAAAAGCCTCTTTTCTTCATCATGATAGAAATAAAAATTCCTCTTTCCAAGTATCTCTTTATGCTCATCCTACAGGAAATTCAATTAAAGATATTATACAATACTGGATGTTAAGGCTCTCAATCAAATGTTGCCATTTATTTCATTAAATTGTCTTCGTAACAGGCTAATTAAATTATTGCCCAGTTTAGAATGTAATTTCTATAGCTTATACAACCAAACTTAATACCCTTAATAATTCAAAAACAGCTATATTTTTATACTTGAAAATTGTTTCTGTATGTTGAAGATTACAGATTTGCAAATGTTCTGGCAAGTGTGAGCCTCTTTGAAAGTAGATCATATCCTTAAATGAATAGCAAATAAATCACAGCCACAAAATTGCATATATTGCATTTTGCAACTGATAGCCTCTTAGCTGCTCAGACTGTTATTTAAATAAAATGAATAATTAGCGCAGAAAACTGAAGAGAAGGTCCTATTTTTATCTCTGTACTCAATAGAATGTTTTCAAGACAAAAATTTGTAAGGAGCATGCTTGCTCAATTTCTTTAACTTTAAATCAATGTTTACTCTCTGAGCACTTATATTGTAAATGTTAAGTGGAGGCTTAGAAACTGATAATACTAATAATAAAAATGAAAAATTGAGTAGGCTATCCAGTTATTTGCCAATGTTTAAAAGCTATTTGGCATATTATTGGCACAATTTAGCTGACATAACTCAGGTGCTTAATTTCATTAATTTCAAGATAGTCAAAACATTTGGCGTAGGAAGATTAAAGGAAAACTCAAAATATAAACAGAATTAAAATAACATCATAAAAATAGTAGTTGCCGAAATAATGAAAAAAGTGTTAATAGCAATAAATAAAGGCACACATCAATCAATATGAAAACATGCTATAAATGATGTGAACAAAAGATACAAGTTAAAGAGGCAAATAGTCAATAAATATGCGAAAAATTAAGCTCACAAATAAATAAATGCAAATTAAAGTATAAGCATAATGAAATTTTTGCTCTCCAAATTAACAAATAATTTATTATCCCATTTCTCTCTGTGGACAAGAATATGAAAAAGATATTCTGATAACCTCCTGGTGAGGCAGCAATTTAGTATAATTTTTTGAAAAGTAATTTAAGGCCAGGCGCGGTGGCTCATGCCTGTAATCCCAGCACTTTGGGAGGCCGAGGTGGGCGGATCACGAGGTCAGGAGATCGAGACCATCCTGGCTAACATGGTGAAACCCCGTCTGTACTAAAAATTAAAAAAAAAATTAGCCGTGCGTGGTGGCAGGTGCCTGTAGTCCCAGCTACTTGGGAGGCTGAGGCAGGAGGATGGCATGAACCTGGGAGGCGGAGCTTGCAGTGAACAGAGATCGCACTACTGCACCCCAACCTGGGTGACAGTGCAACACTCCATCTCAAAAAAAAAAAAAAAGAAAGAAAAGTAATTTAAAAATACATATTAATAAAGATATTATACAGTATCTTTGTATAATATATCTTTGACCATATGTCTATTTATTTTAAAAATCCATCCCTAACTAATTATCAGAAATGTGAACAAAGATTTATGCATAGTGATTTTACCACTTTTTAGTTATAAAAATAAATCCTGAGTATGACCTAAATGTACAGCAATAGAGTAATAGTTTAATTAAGATGTATTCATAGAATGTAAAAAGTATTCAATGATATGAAACTTCTTTATTTTTAAGTGAAAAATGATGGCAAAAATATACACCTCCAATGTATCTATGTCTGTGTCTATGTAAATATGTTCATCTATCAATGTATCTATAACCCTTTATGTTTACAAAATGAAAACTTAGAAGACTATATCTCAAAATGTCATTTCTTATTTGCATCACTGTTTTGACAATGAAAATGTATATTTCCTTTACAATTTGAGAGACATTTTACAAAAAAATTAGTCCAAATTTTGTTTAAAATGTTAAGAGCAGCATAAGTTTTGTAGAACTTTAAAGTAAGAAAGTAAATTAAGGTTTTTCATAAGATAGCAATTAACTAGTCATTTTAATCTAACCAGTAAATTTGAATTAATTTGCTGCTAATGGGTTTGCTTTAGTTGAAAAGTACATGGAGTCCTTGGACTCTTCAGGCTACTATAACAATATACCATAAACTGGGTAGTTTATACACAACAGAAATTTATTTCTCACAGGTCTGGAGGCTGAAAAATCCAAAAACAAGGCTCTGGAAGATTCTGTGTCTGATAAGGGCCCACTTTCTCATTCATAGATGGAGCCTTCTCACTGTGTCTTCACATGGTGAAAGGGATGAAGGTGCTCTCTTAGGCCGCATTTATAAGGACACTACTCTCATGACCTAATCCCATTTATGAGGGCTCTATCATCATGACCTAATTCGCTCCCAAAGACACCACCTCCTGATTCGATTATCTTCATGGTTAAGATTTCAACACATGAACTTGGAGGAACACAAACATTCAGATCATAGCATGGACTATTTGTTATTAGTATTATTATTATTTCTTAATTACAAGTTTAATTAAAGGAACCAATAGATAGGGAATACAGCCAAGTTTGTTTACAAGTATGAAGAACCATCAGTGCTACAATCACAAAAAATAATCTATGAAACCACTGTTGAAAATATTTTTATGTTATATTGTAAAAATCACTGAATTTATACCAGTGTTTATGGCAATATTTGCCCAATTTACAATCGGAATTATGTTGGTACTTTTTTATATGTCAAAGAGAATATAAAAGTCGCTTTGTTCTTATAAAATATAATTGGTAGATTAAATTTTAAGCTCACTGAAGTACAAATAAGCTATCTAGATAGTATAAAAAACTAGTTAGAAAACAATTTCAAACAAACTGTTGGTTTGAGTTTTTTTCTTCACAGTATATAAACATTTAAATAAAAAACTTTAAAATAAACTTCACACCCAGTTTTCTCATGTTTAAGAAAGTCAGTACAAAGTAGTAGTTAATAAAGCTGGATAAGAAGCAGATTACCTGGAACTAAGTTCTGCTCTAGCACTTATAAATTGTATTATTTAGGGCAAGTTATTTAACTTCTCTGTTCTTCAGTTTCCTCATCACCAAACTGGGAATAATAATTGTATCTACATTAAGGGATTATTTTAAAGATTCAAAGAGCTAATAAAATGTAAAGCCCATAAAAGAGTACCCAGGACACAGTAAGAGCTTCATCAATACTAACCTTAATTATTGTGCCCTCAGTCTACACTCATACTTTTCATAGCAAATCTTGAGTGAATAGTATTCACTTTTTTTTCATTCATTTCAGAAGCATTTGTTGAGTACCTAACAATATTTGTAATTTTGAAGGCAAATGTTGGATAAGCCCTGGTGGGGAAAAAAGACAAATGTAACCTATTCTGACCTCAGATAATGCATGGCTTCATGATAGAGAGAAGGATCCTATAAAAAAAAACAAACGAACCAAAAAAGTTTTGGAAGTACAGAAATGTACTGGCTGCAGAGGAGCAGGCAAGACATAGAATCTAGGCAGGGGCTTGGGATTAGGAAGGGCTGGTCTCTGGGAAAATCATTCATGCTCTGGGGTTCAAAGAATGCATTGAATTGTCTTGAAAAATAAAGTGAAATAGATATACGGGGGAAAAATAATCCACACAGGCACAGATGCAAAAGAGATTGTGATGCATTTGAGGAAATGGAAGAAAACTGATTTGGCTAAGTTCAGGATACAGGTGGGAAAGAGAATTGTGAAAATTGTGGCTGTATAGCTAAGGAGAGGTCAGATTATGAAGAGCCTTCAAGTAGAGTAAACATATAATTTATTGTTGTACCAAACTATCTTTGCAAGTGAGGGGGAGAATACTAATTATTTTACCCAGAACACAGGCATAAAACAAAAATCTCCATAGTGACTTGGAATGTATAGTACTTCTAGGCCATGATTACTTTCATCTATGCATCTATGTTCTCTCCATCTTTTTTTTTTCTTTTTTTGAGACAGAATCTTACTCTGTTGCCGAGGCTGGAGTGCAGTGGTAAGATCACAGCTGACTGCACCCTTGACCTTCTGGACTCAAGCAATTCTCCCACCTCAGCCTTGCAAGTAGCTGGGACTACAGGCACATGCCGCGACACCTAGATATGCATTTAATTTTTTGTAGATATGGGGAGTCACCATATTGCACAGGTTGTTCTTGAACCCCTGTGCTCAAGCGGTCCTCCTGTCTCGGCCTCCCAAAGTGCTGGTGTTACAGGCATGAGCTACAGTGCCCATTGGCATCATTTTACCTTTACCTTGGGTACATGTACGTGTTGCAATAAGGAAGCAGGGAGCACAGGGAGAGGAGAATCTCACAGGCAAGGGGGTTCTGGTACCAGATAAAGGCGATAGATACAAAGATAAGCCAAACCACAAATGCTTATTCAGCATTCTTCCTGAACTATCTTTCCTCCCCTGAAACTCCTTTTTCTTTGTTTTATTCTTGTGTCTTTGATTACTTTTTTCAATTTCCTCCATGGGGTTCTCTTTTTTAATATGAATTTTTTTCTTTGCTTATTTTCTTTTCTCTAACTATATATAGAGAGATATGAAGTTACCCTCCCTACATAACCATCCGTACAGTGTCAATTTCAAACTTATTTCAATGGTTCCTGAATGTTTCTCTTGGTACTGAAACCAGCCCAACTTCCTCACAGAACTGATATTTATAGTTTTTAGATAAACATAAAAATTGACTCAACCAATCTTAAAATGTAAAACTTAAATTTGCCTTATCTGAGTTCCTTTCTCAGGAAACCCACTCTCAGGCCTCCCAAATAATCCATAAGTATCTCTGAGTGACTTTTAGGTGCCCAGTAACTATAGCCTTTTTCACAAATCAGGGTCTCATATCTAATACTGGGTCCAGTAAGAGACTTTAAACTTCATCTTAGGCCCTCCAATATGACTATAATATTTGTATGTCACTAAAATATTGTGGTGTTAGGAAGGAAGAAGGACAAGAGAAAAATTCAAGGAAGGAACTTGAAAACATTTTTAAAGTTCTATGTAAGGAATTCCACAAAAACACCTTTTATATTTTTTTCCTGCAAGAATAAGAAAATCCAACGCAAAATTGCTTAAGCAATAAGCAAAATGTATTATTTCACATATTAGGAAGTCTAAAGGTTGAAAGGTTTGAGAGTTAGATAATTCAGTGGCATATTGACATCATCAGTGACCTAAGTGTTTTCTATCTTTATGACCTGTCATCCTCAGTGAATTGCTTTGCCTTTTATGGACCCAAGATGACTGTAAAATGTAGAGAGGCATAAATGCAGTCTTTCCTTCTATGGGTCTCCTTAATGGACTTTATCCAGATGGTTCCCAGCAGATGTCTCTTTTCAGCCTATTTACCGGAACTGTGTGACAAGACCAAGCCAACACTGTCAAGGAGAATGTTCTTGATCTGATTCTTTTAACCCATCTTTATTTACTTCTTGGAGCTAAAAATAATCCAGAGTGCAGGGACACGAGATACCTGAGCAAACCTGAGCTTCTATTAATAAAGAAGGTGAAAAATAGTGGTTTACAGGAAAACAGCAGTATCTGCTACATTCTACATTCATTCTAGGTTATAAAACAGTTCCTCACGACAGAGCCAGACAGGTGTAGAACCATACACGATCAAGATGCAGCAAATCAAAGAGCTGTGTGTCTAAGCATCTGAAATCCATCTTTGACAATGACTATATACATGATATGAAAAAAATTTTTAAAGGTTAAGTGATAGACTGATTTGAGTTGAATCTAAGCCGCTCTTCATATTAGTTGTTGTTCTATTCCTTCTTATGCTCCTCACTAAACCTCAGTTTCTTAATCTATAATCGGATAAAAATAGAAAAATAATGAGAGGAAAGTTCTCTGTGGTAACACTTACATGATTCTGTAGTAGTCTGACTGTTTGTGCCTTTACCTTATGACACTCTAAACTTAATAGACTTCCAACTCCCAGTCCCACATATAAGGAGCTTAGAAGCCACCACTCCATCGTAACAATAGGTAAAAAGCTGAACAAACTGAAAAGTCAACAATTCTTTTTAGATCCATAAAAGAGGTGAAGATCCAGGCAAACTAGTGGCTCCAAGATTAGAGAGACACACAGACAAATACAGAAAGGGGAGTCATGGCTTATCTAAACAGAGACTCACAAGTGGAAACCACTGCAGGAACTAGTGCCAGGGTAGAAAAACCTAAACTGTAATTGATGAATTGCTGGAGAATCAGCGTGGACAAGTCAGAGTTTACAGCTCCAGAAGGACCTAAGCATAAGGGAGACTCCATACTTTTGTGTCTTTTATCTCTAAGAACTTGACCCAGTAAATATTGGATAAAAATTTCTTTGTGCTTTCAGCAAAGTGAGGGGAAAATGAATCATTTTGAAGCATGCTAGAATACTCTCTTCTTAAAAAGGCCTCCCTGAAGAAAAACTAATTAACTAGACCCTAATTTCATAGGAGTATTATCATAGTCTAACTAACCTGGAGGAAAGGAGATACCCGACTTCAGCCAGGTCTATTATTCCACATGGCAGAAGGAAAATACCAATGTCCAGCCCACTGTAGCCATCCTGTCCCACCTAAAAGCAAAGAAAAAGCTGAGATATACTTATGAAGTACAGTCTGGAGGCATAGGATCCCTGAAAGACTTGGAACTAATCATGAGACTATGAACACTTCTCCTCCCACACCTTACCACCACATTATAAATACTTATTTACAAAAAGCTAGTTCCTTGAAAAGATCAATAAAATTGATAAGCCTGTAACCAGGCTAAGAAAAAAAGAGAGAGGACACAAGTTACTAAGTAAGAGAAATAAAAAAGGGTATATCACTATAGATCCCATGGACATTAAGAAGAGAATGAAAGGGCAGGTGTGGCGGCTCACACCTGTAATCCCAGCACTTTGGGAGCCTGAAGTGGGTGGATCATGAGGTCAAAAGATCAAGACCATCCTGGCCAACAAGGTGAAACCCCATCTCTACTAAAAATACAAAAATTAGCTGGGCATGGTGGCATGTGCCTGTAGTCCCAGCTACTTGGGAGGCTGAGGCAGGAGAATCGCTTGAACCCAGGAGGTAGAGTTTGCAGTGAGCTGAGATCACACCACTGCACTCCAGCCTGGTGACAGAGTGAGACTACAACTCAAAAATTAAAAAAAAAAAAGAGAGAATAAAATAATACTATGAATAGCTCTATCTCCACCAATTTGATAACCTAGAGGAACTAAACTAATTCCTTGAAAGACACAATCTGTGAAAACTCATGCAAGAAGAAATAAATAATCTGGATAGGGCTATACTTATTCAATAAATTGAATCAATAACACATAACCAGTCAAAACAGAAGGCATCAGGCCCAAATTTATTCCCTGGCAAACTCTACCAAACATTTAAGGAACAAATTGTATTAATTCTCTATAATCTCTTTCAGAGGATAGCAGAGTAAATGCTTCCTAACCCATTCTATTAAGCCACTATTACCCTAAGACTAAAATCAAACAAAAACATTATAAGAAAAGAAAACCACAAATAAAGATCTCTCATGGACATAGATGTAAAAATCCTCAACAATATATTAGCAAATTTAATCCAACAATGTATGAGAAGAATTATACACCATTAACAAATGGAATTTATTCCAAGTGTACAAGGTTGGTTCAACACTTGAAAATCAATTAATATAATCCAACACATCAACAGGATATAAAAAAAGATCATATTAATAGATGCAGAAAAGTCATTTGACAAAATTCAACATACATTTGTAATAAAAAAAAAACTCTCAGTAAACTAAGAAGGAAATGTTCTCAACTTGATAAAGAATAGCTACAAAAAATTTACAACTAATATCATACATAATGGTCAGCAACATTTCCAAAAAGGTAAAAAAAAACACAAAGATGTCTCCTTTCAGCACTCCTTTTCAGCATTATATTAGAAGTCCTATCTAATGTAATAAGACAAGAAAAATAAATATAAAATGTGTACAGATTGAGAAGAAATAAATAAAACTATCTTTCTTTGCAGATTACAGGAACATCTATGTAGGGTATCCAAAAGAATCAATTAAAAAAACTCTTGTAACTAATAAGGGATTAAAGCAAGTTTGCAGGATACATGGTTAATAGACAAAAGTCACTTGTCTTCCTGTATGCCAGCAGTGAACAAGTGGAATTTGAAATGTAAAACACAATACATCTACACTAGCACCCCCAAAATAAAGCTTGCAGGTATAAAGCTAACAAAATATGTACAAGATCTATCCAAATGTCGAGAAAATAAATCAAAGAACTAAATAAATGGAGAGAATTCCATGTTCATGGGTTGTACAATACAATGTTGTCAAGATGTCCGTTCTCCCCAGCTTGATCCATAGATTCAATGCAATTCCATTAAAAATCCTAGCAAGTTATGTTGGGGATATCAAGAAATGAATTCTAAAGTTTATATGGAGAGGCAAAAGATCCAGATAGCCAATATAATATTGAAGGAGAAGAACAAAGTTGGAGGACTAACACTACTTGACTTCAACACTTACTTTAAAGCTACAGTAATCAAAACAGTATGATACTGGCAAAAGAATAGACAAATAGATCAATGAAACAAAATAGAAAGCTCAGGAATAAGCCCACAAAAATATTGTCAGCTGATCCTGAGAAAGGAGAAAAAGGCAATACAATACAGAAAGAGTCTTTTCAACAAGGAGTGCTGAAAAAACTGGACATCCACATGCAAAACCATGAATCTAGACAGAGATTTTGCATTCTTCATAAAAACTAGCTCAAAATGAATGACAGACCTGAATGTAAAACTCAAAACTACAAAACTCCTTGAAGATAACATAGGGTAAAAAATAGATGGCTGTGGGTTTGGCTATGATCTTTTAGATACAACACCAAAGCTATGGTCCATAAAAGAAATAATTGATAAGCTGGACTTCATTAAAATTAAAAGCCTCTGCTCTCTAAACAGAAAGTGTCAAGAGAATTTGAACACAAGCCACAGAGGAAGAGAAAGTGTTTGTAGAACAAACATCTGACAAAGGATTTTATCCAAACTATTCAAAGAATTCTTAAATCACAACAATAAGGAAACAGCCTGATTTAAAAATTGGCAAAAGACCTTAACAGATGCCTCACCAAAGAAAATATACAGATGGTAAGTAAGCCTACCAAAACAGGTTTCACATCATATGTCACAAGGAAAATGCAAATAAAACAATAATTAGATATCACTGTATACCTATTAAAATAGCCAAAATCCAGAACACTGACACCACAAAACGCTGGGAAGGATATGGAACAACAGGAACTTTTATCCATTGATGAAAGGAATGCAAAATGGCACAGCCACTTTGGAAGACATTTCAGCAGTTTCTTATAAAACTATACATACTCTTACCATGCAATCCAGCAATCACTTTCTGTGGTATTTATCTAAAGGAGTTGAAAACTTATGTCCACACAAAAACCTGCACACAAGTGTTTGTAGCAGCTTTACTTGTAATTGCCAAAACTTGGAAGTAACCAAGACGCTTTTCAGTAGATGGATGGATTAATAATCTGTGGTACATTCAGCCAATGGAATATTCAGTGCTAAAAAGAAATGAGCTGCCAAATCATGGAAAGACATGAAGAAAGCTTAAATGCATATTACTAAATGAGAGAAGCCAAACTGAAAAGGCTGCATATCCAATGATATGACATTCTGAAAAAGGCAAACCTATGGAGACAATAAAAAATAAAATCAGTGGTTGCCTGGGGAGGGGGGCAGGAATGGAGCATAGAAGATAGTTAAACTACTCCCTATAATTCTATAGTGGTGGATACATGTCATTATACATTTGTCCAAACCTATACGCAAGGAGTGAACACTAAATTAAACTATGGACTTTGGGTGATAATGATGTGTCAATGTACGTTTATCAGTTGTCACAAATTTGATACTCTGGTGAGGGTTATTGATAATATGGGAGGCTATACATATGCAGGGGCAGGGGAAATACAGGAAATCTCTGTACTTACCTCTCAATTTTGCTGTGAACCTAAACTACTCTAAAAAATACAAAAAAAACCTCTTTCTAAAAAAAAAAAAAACTCTTTAAGTTGAGGAATGTATCTTCTTCATTGTGTCCCCGGTAGCTAGTACAGTGGCAGAATTGATGGCTTTTAAGTATAGCTAATGACTGAAGGAGCATGTTATAAAATATTTATTAAAGCCTGTTCTATAATATTTGGCAGGTAATAGACATTTAATAATTATTAGATCATAGCTGATGATTTGACTCTTGACAGAACTAATTGCTACTTACATTTAAATAATGCTAATTAGAATGACAGGCTGTTGGAAAGCATGCAGAAGAAACATATGGAAGTTAATAAACCTAGAGTCAAGGCCTGCCCTTCTCACAGTTATTCAACCCTAATAAATAGCTTTCTCTTGCTGACTCTCAGTTTCCTCACTTATAAAACGAGCACATTACCTACCTCATAACGCTGTTGTGATGTTGTGATGACTAAACGTTTCTTACAGTTACTAAGTGGCTCTATGATCACTTCAATAAAACTATGTGCCAAGTTTCTGCGTAATGATAGCCTGAGAATCCCCAAAAGTATTGGTTGCTTTCCGACCAGTCAATAATAGCTTACCAATTTATCTGGGATCTCATGTGACTTGCTTCGTCTGTTCCAATAAATTTAGCATAAATTCAATTTGTTCAAAACCCACTACTACTACTACTATCTAACATTTCTAGTATGGCTACTTTGTACTAGGTTCTTTTCTAAGTATTCCATGCATTCATTCATGGAAACACTTTTATTATTACATTTTGCAGTTGCTAAAACTGCATTTTACATAAGACAAAATTATTTTCCTGTGTTTATACAGTTTGTGAGAAGCAAAAGCAAGTTGTATACCCAAGTTTGCCTGATTCCAGAATCAGGTTAGTTATCCACCATATTATAACAACACTCAGGCAAAGTTTACATGTCTAGTTAATGTCAATAATGGTATAAACAGGAATTAGGTAATAGGCCATTTTTGGCTCTCTTAGTGAGATAGTAATTAAACATTTTAGCTGAAATTTCTCTTTACTATAACATACCACTTGATAAAGCATACATTAATTCTAGTCTGGTTTTGCTGTTGAGAAATTATCTACATTTACTACCTTATTATAACATATTATTCTTTTCATTTTAAAAATGGCCATTAGGTTTATCTTACTTATAATACAAAGTGTACTTTATTTATTTTTTAACTTTTATTTTAAATTTAGGGGTATATGTGCAGGATGTGCAGGTTTGTTACATAGGTAAACTTGTGTCATGGGTATTTGTTGTACAGATTATTTCATCACCCAGGTATTAAGACTTGTATTCATTAGTTATTTTTTCTGAGTGTATTTTAATAGAAAACTAAACACTAATGGAATCACTGAAGGTATCATAGGAAATGTAAAACCCTCAAGAGATGATTTAGAGTTTTCCATTTTCAGTTCATGGAAGGCAAGGTTTCCACTCAACAGAGAAAGTACAAAATGGCAGTCATCAGGACTAAAACATTACAACTGTAGAAGTTACACAATGTAAAGCTTCTGATATTATAGGCACAAATTACATCATGAAACCATTTCACTAGAGCACATTAGTAAACTCAGTTTCCAACGGGTTTCCCTTGGGGCCCTCACCGTATTGAAACAATCACTATCTTAAGAAGAAAAATGTGTTCATTTGTTCCCATGAACCAGCACCTAGCATACCTGTCTTCCACATCATAGGTATCCAATAAATGTTTCCTGAATAAGCAAATGAAGAATGAATGAATGAATGAGGAAATAGGGAATTCAAATTTCTTCCAGTCTTGAAAGGATTGATAGTCTATGTGGACAGAGCATAGATGTAAATAGATTTTTAAGAAAACAAGGTGCAGACATGAATATTTAAAGAACTTTCTAAGGACTACAACAATTGACAGAAACTATCTCAGAGATCTGTGGGGCAGGATGTAACTCCAAAGGCTTGCTATCCACTTATAACCTCTTCCACTGGCTAAGGGAGACAGTAGGGACACACTGCATAGAAACAGGAAGAAAGCAATAATTAATGTTTTTTAAAGAAAACCATTAATAGTTAATTAAGAATTAAGGGCCCATGGTCTCTGAGGTTGGAGTCATTTCAAAGTACTAGAAAAAATGAGCATAGGGAAGAAATCATATTCATAAGTACCTTGCTCTAATATTTCCAAATGTACATCAAGAGAAACTGTTGCAACTTGCTGACTTTAAAATTCTAGCCTTCTCTGGCTTCATGAAAAACTTGCTAGCCTCCTGCAAAGTTACAGTTCAATCTGCTTCACATTGGGTAAAACAATACCCAAGGTACAGAGGTGCTGAAAGGCTTAGTTATTGTTCTTAAGGGAGTTGACAATCTTGAATAAAAAGCACTCTTAGTGCAAAGTAGAATTGTAATCAGTGTCATTGTCATTTGAACCACATTGTTTGCAGTGTAACCAATTGTGAAACCAACATAAATTCAAAAACTAAATTAGAAAAACAGATGCTTCTTTTGTTTGGAGATTTTAGTCCCATCTAGCCATATTGTATATCATTTTCTTTGACTTACAACACATAGAAAGAAAAATCAGAGAGCATAATACAAAAATGCAGAAACATATTTAGCAAATTTGTGGATTTCATAAGTCATTTATAAACTTTGGATTTACAAACAATTTCAAAGGCTTTTGAAAATATTTATACACACAAGAATCTCTATAATACTACATATAATTATACCATGGCTTTTCCAAAGCATATTCCAGAGATAGACTTTCAGCAGAATATCAAGTTTCCTATTTGGGGTTTGTCTTGGAGACAGTGAACAATTTATTTTTCAGTCTCTGTCTCCACTGATGCTTGTGATTAAGATAAATACATTGGTGCAATGAGAGAAAAGAGATTTATCTTGTACATAATTTCTAAATTGACTTGTGACATTAGGAAGTCGATCTACCCAGAGTGGAATTTATTTCTTCAGTTCACTAAGTTCCAACTAATTTTTGTTTCTCCACAGTCTCAACTATTTTTTAAGGAAACTGAGAAGTTCACTTTTAATGTTTCTGAACTACCAGACTTCCTATGATTTAAAAAATAACAACTATAAATTTGCATGAAATCTTTGGCATTATATACTCAAGTATAGCTTCAATTCTGGGCCAATATACAATGCTGATTTGTGTAGGACAAATATCTAGAAAAATAGGTATTTTTGAAAAGAAGATAAATACTCTACCAATGCAAGTTCAAGATGAAATAAGAGCTACATGCACACACACACACACATAAACACACATCCATCTGCATCACATATCTCATAAGCACTAAGGGAAAAAAAACACACTTTTGTGTTTATGATGTTAATTTTAAGCAATCAAAAGTATAAGCAATAACATATGTTTTGCCAAGTTTACAGTACACCATTGTGGGTATAAGCATAGGGAGTTAAGCTTTGTTTTCAATAGGCTGAGGTGCTTGCATTTTGTTTATATCAACATTTTACTTCCAACAATTTTTTAAAAAGTCATCTTATTTGTAGTCCAAATAGTTCTTGGTAAAACACAAAATCTCTTAGTGAGTAGAGTAGGAGCAAATCGGGGCCACTAAAAATAAATTTCCTCTTTTTTGCAAATGAGACAAAAACTGTTGTGGGGGCAGTTAACAAGGTCTAGGAAACCTCAACCTGCTACCCCAAACCTTTTGTCTGACTACGTGGATAAGAACAGATGACAGGAGAGTGGGTGGCTTCCTGGAGAGAACTTGGGCTTTAACTCTTATTAACTGTATTTCCTAGTAGAGTAGCATCTGTGCATACTAGATGTGTAAGCTTCAACAAATGATCTTGCCCTGAGTCTGTTTTATTGTCTGTAATATGGGTAAAATAATATATTTTTATGAGATTAATTTAAGGATTTGATGGCACAATGCATGCAGAATCATTAGCATAGAACATATACTTGATATTTCTCAATTCTTCTTGATTTCCCCTTCCTGTCTTTCTTTCCTCATTTTCAAACATATCAAAATAAAACTGAAAAAGTATAAAGTATGTCACGGGAAAATTTAGAATAAAATATATTTTATTTTTTTCTCAACATTAGAAAGTTAGTCAACTAAAAAATGAGCAGCTATCATACCAATACATCGTTTAGTATAGGGTAGTCAGTTGACCCACACAGTAATATTAAGTAAATTCAGCTGTCTTTGAACAAAAGGAAAGAGTAAGCAAGCAAAAGAAAGAGAGAAAGAACAATTTAGTAATTACAGAGGATTCTTCCCACCATTCTAATAATGAATGGAGTATGAATCACCTAGCAAGCAAGAGATGGCAGACATGATTTGGCTTTCCATTCAATCATCACCCATCACTGAAAGATGCTTATTTTCATTACAATATGACACCTAAATTCATGCCAACTATTTCATCTGAAACTCAACCAAGAAAATGGCAATCTGTTCTAATGCTGAAGGAAAATACTGGTTTTCTAGTCTTCAACATGACCTTTCAGAGAGATTTTCAATGGACTTTTTAAATATACATATATATGATTTTCTTCACACCTCATAACTTTAGAGCTTAAATTCACATTTGTCACTCTACTGTACTAATATTTAAGTACATAACAGAATTTAACATTGTATTATCATTAAGGAGCATATTAGAAAGTTAAAATATTCTATAAAATATACTATATAAGCAATACATATGTTCAGATAATTTGTACTTTTGGTTATTAAAAAGAATTTTTAACAATAGGTCATCAAATTTTTGTAGTTGAAGAAATATTTTCAGATTTTGCGATTTAGAATTGAAATTTCAAAAGAACATAGACAGTAAAAGTAAATATTAGTGAAATATTGAACTAATTAGAGGGAAGCCAACTGAGATATTTCTAAAACAAACAAAAAAACTAAGTGTATTTACTACATTTGTAGGGTAATGGGGAAGCCAAATAATTTTCATGGGTTTCAGAATGAATGATCAAGGTGGAAAGCATAGAAAAATACTTGGGAACACCTGATAAGCAAAGAGTACCAGCCCCATACACACACTTACATGCACCATACACACTCACCTGTTACTCAAGTTTTCAGAAGTGAAGCCACCAAAAGATTAAAATAAATATTGGTGACAAAAGATAGGTGCTGCTGGAGTAGATCAAGGTTAATGGAGTTCCTTGAACTCTTTGGGATATCAAGACCAAAAATAAAAGCTTCCTTTGAAGTTTGTTATCTGGAGAATCAGACAGACTTCTTACTCTTCCCTGGTTCTAGGGACCATGTGACAATTTATGGCAAATGACATTAGATATTAATCTTTGATATTTAGTAGCATAGATCATAAGCCTTTTTCAAATCAGGTAGCTAGAATCATATTTTCAAAGTACAAGCCCTTAATTTCCATAAAAACTACAAAAGGTGGAGGAGGACATTTTATTGAGATTATTGTTAGCCAGCCACCCACACACATGGGATCCAAAGTATAGTGTTCTTTGCTTCACATTCAAATCTAAAATCCAGTGCATACTGAGCCCATAGTGAAATGTGGTTACATAGACCCAACAGACGAAAGGGAGGCAACAAAGGAGACTGAGAAGAAATGGCTAGGATTTTCAGAAACAAAATTAGGAGGCTGAGGTAATCACTTGTCTCTTCAGGGATCTGCTACTTCTTGAAGAGGATTTATGGGATGTTACAGGTTTCTGAGGCTTACCCTCTGTTGTCTATAACTGCTTATTCATGCAGGACAAGAGAAGAAGTTTAATAAGTACCCTCAGGGATGTAATACTGAAGGACTTTGGCCCTAGGTAAATAAAAACTCCACCATTTTGTTCATTTTAAGACTGGAATTCTGGTAGATAAGTCAGGTAATGTGCAGTGAAGAGCTATCTATATCCAGATATCATAGAACAGATTGAGGTGTCCTAGACCATGGCTCAAGATATTGCAATGATGGCATAAGATAGTTGGTCAAAGAATGAACAATACAAGAGCTGAATAAGCATAAAATAAAATGTAGGAGAAGAAAAGGAAGCCATCTTTAATACCAGTTATTATAAAGGACAAAGAATGTGAGTGAGAAAGATAGCTCCTTGTAATTCAGAAAAAGAAAGAAGCAAATCAGAAAAGAGGACATAATCAAAACTTGAGGTCAATCAGCATAATAATTTTAGGGTATGGGTAATCAACAGAGTAAACTTACAGTCTTATTAGATAAAGGTAAATATTTACTATGAATAATAAAGCACTTATGCCATGTGCCTCAAGCTTAGAATCCAGAATTGGAAGTGCATAACTTAATGGAAAAAGTCCACAGAAAGTATACAAAGCTAGATAGATCTGTATGTCCATGAAATATAAATTTGTGAGGAAATCCATGAATCAGAAAATGGCTGCAAGCTGGCAGAGTCTTATTGGAAGCAAAGAAAAGAAGGCATACAAGTAATATTTATTTATGTGGGACACTTAAAGCTTTTCAGCCAGAGAAAATGGAAAATGCATTACTGTCATATATCACAAAGCACATATAAAAGCAAAATATGGTAAAGATGGTGAGCTTTGGATATCCGGATTTATTAGTTATTTATTGCTCTGTAATGAGTTACCACAAACTTAGTGGCTTTAAAAAAACACCCATTTATTTGCTCAGGATTCTGTAGGTCAGAAATCTGGCACAGTGTTGGCATGTTCTCTGGTCAGGATGTCACAATGCCAAAATCAAGGTGTTAAACTCAATTGCCATTTGGACCCTGGGATAGAATCCACTTCCAAGATCATTCAGGTTTTTGGCCAAATTTAGCTCCTTGTGGTTTTAGGACTAGGGTCTCTGTTTTCCTTGTTGACTAACAGCCAGTGGCTGCTCTCAGCTCTTAGAAGCCATCTACATCCCATGCCACCTGCCACCTGGTTGCCTTCATCTTCAAACTAGCAACTGTGTTTTGCATCCATCTCCTGCTTTGAATCTCTGACTTACTAGTCTGTGAGCAGACAGAGAAAAATTTAGTTTTAAAGAGCTTGTGTAATTACATTAGGCCCACCCTATCTTAAGGTCAACTGTGCCAAAACTTAATAATGGGAGTAAAATCCATCATATTCAGAGTCCCAGGAACTAGGCAGGGAATGAACATGAGGGGGTGGGAAATCTCGAGGGCCATCTTAGAGTTCTGCCTACCACAGTGGACATCCGTCATGGGTCTTCCTCAGCAAAAGCAGAACAAATGATCACTGGTGACGTGATAAACTACTGACTTCTCCATAAGGCATGCGAGCCTCCCTCTGCTCTGCTCTGCTCTGTTGTAGTCCCTTGGGATACTATATCCCTCTCTCGTGCTGCCCTTAAGAGAAGCAGTACCAAACTGGAACATGTTTAGAGATAAAAAATGTTCTTGCAACTGTGTATAGAAGGAAAGCCTGAAGGGTCTGAGGGTGTTTAGTGTGTAGGATAGGGGTCATAGAGACAAAATTAATTATTTTATTGATTTAAAATATTTGCAGTGTTGCCACAAAGTAAATATTCACTGTGGGTCTTTAAGGTGTACAGTAACAATGAATAGGTGAAGGCAACAAGAAAGAATTCTAGTGAGAGACATAGAAGGAATTGTTATGAAAAAAATTATGGAAAATCCCTGGATATACCTAGCTACTTTATCAGATACTTTATTCTTTAGAATATAGGTAACTAGAAATTAAAGAATAAAATGAATTTATGATCAAATTGGTAAAAGAAACTCTAGGTTAAGCAAGTAAGCAGCCTTTTCCTCCCACTGCACGATTTCTCAAAGACTTTATTATGGTCCATAATTCTCAGAAGGAAAGATATGGCATGCAAAATGTTTCAGGTTAATAGAACATCAAACATATTTTTCATTTAGACACCTTTAGGACAGGTATTTTACAAACTTTGCTTGGTAAACTGCTGTGTGTTATGGGGAATTTTTGTATCAGAGAGTGGTTCAACATAACCACTGCAATCTCTTTTTCTATTTCAGGACACATTTGGGTACTTAGCTAGAGCTGAGCCATCTTTATTAATGTGAGCTGCATATCTACACGGCAGCCACAGAAAATGAGTGGTACCTATTTGAATGCCTATGGGACTTAACTGGATTATATATATTCTCACAGAAATTAGTTAGAAAACGGTGCTCAAAACTTTGCCTCCTCAAAGTATAAGTAACTGGATGAAAGATCACCTGAGCAAAATCAATTGTGAAAAACTTGTTCCAGATTCAACAAAAATTATTAACAATAGTATATTAGTTCATTCTCACACTGCTGATAATGACATACATGAGACTGGGTAATTTATAAAGAAAAAGAGGTTTAGCGGACTCACATTTCCACTTGGCTGGGGATGCCTCACACTCAGGGCAGAAGGCAAAAGGCACATCTCACATGGCCTCAGGGAAGTGAGAGAATGAGAGCCAAGCAAAAGGGGAAGCCCCTTATAAAATCATCACATGTCGTGGGACTTATTCACTACCACGAGAACAGTATGGGACAAACCACCCCCATGATTCAATCATCGCCCACCGGGGTCCCTCCCACAACACAAGGGAATTATGGGAGCTACAATGCAAGATGAGATTTGGGTGGGGACACAGCAAAACCATATCAAATAATGATGGAAATTAAGAAATTATTGTGATCTGCTATTCTCAGTAAATAATTCAGAAAAAATCTCAATCTTCATGATTTGTAAATAGTTGAAAGCTAGTGCACTTAATCAGCTTGGGAGTTGCATCTTGGCTGTTCTCATAAATCTCTTGTTGAGGAAGTTCATTGCTATAAAAATGTTAGAGGTTTTCCCTATTGCTTCTTTGAATACTAATCATTCCACCTTCCTTTTATATAACACTTTGACGAAATGAAGCTAAGACTATCCTGATATGGTGAAATATTTCTCATAGTAGATTCTCTGAGCTTCATTATAGAGAATGTTGCAGTCCAATAAATTCAGCCGGTTTCGTCATTTTAAAATTTTTATTAAAAAATCTTTAAGATAAAATAAAACTAACTCTTCTTAGCCTCAGTATACCAAAAAGCAGATATTAGTAGGAAAAAAAAATAAAAGGGAATACCTTCCGAAAGAATCTCACAATTCCTGAGCTGAAAAAAAGGCCTTCTATATTCCTAATTCCAGCTAAGCAGGTAAAAAAATCTAGTACTAAAGAGATAGCAAGGTATGACTGGAGCCCAGGCCATCTAACTCAGTCCAGGTCTCTTACATTAGGTTTTAGTTTTTGTAACTTTGTTCTATTATCTATACTCCTCATTATCTTTTATGTATGTGCGTGTGAGAAATATTGTACCATAAATATGATAAATTTATTTTGTAATTATCTGTCATTATATAATCAAATGTCAAATAGTCAAATATCCAAGGTAGACATATTTAGTTATAATATCATTTCTAGTAGCAAACCTTGAAATCTCTAATCATACGTTCTCCATATTTATTTCTCTTCACTGATGACTGATTTTTTTTTTACTACTGTCAACATCAAAATATATGGAAAATCCATTATTTCAAAAGAGCAATTTCAGACCAATTTTCAACAGAAAAGTACTCAAATAATAGGCTCTAATGTTCTTACATGAATACTGTATAAATGTGTCCGTCCCTGCAGAAGTTCTTATCATATCCTGCAAAATAGCAAAGCTATCAGTTACTTTCAGTAAAGAAACAATTTCCATTTTACTCTAGGCCTGTCTTTTGGGTTACATCAATGTCTGTAATTCACATTTCTAATTTTAAGTTAATAAAATTTGATATTCTTCCTGTTAATCACTGTAAGCATGGGGGAGGATCTGAAAAAAGGTGAGATGCGGAAGACATGTTTTAATAAGAAATTCCTAAATGGAACTTGATTTTGTAAAAAAGAACTTGACACAAATATAATATTCTTAAAAATAGAACATCTCAATCTGTCCAAAGACAGGTAATATCCATGTAAAAATTCTCATATTAACCCACCAATGTCCTTCAGCCTGTGTTGAGAAGCACCAACTCTCAGGTTGGGGGAATAGTTTATCCTCCCAGGTCCACTCAATTCTTGGCCTATAGGCTGAGATTGCCACCTAGGGAGCCAATTAGTGCCAAATATGTTGGTGGTTTTCTGATGTAGGAAAATCTCCCCTAAGAACTGGACTGAGAAGAGCCATCAAATGATAGTGACTTTCAGTCACTAATGATCTGGGATTTAAATAGAGACTTTTAATTGGGTTACCAAGCAACCTGCAAATATTTTGGTGATACCTGCTGAGTCAATTGGGTAGTTTGTAACCCACTCTTCTCTGATTATGTAATCTTTGATATGAGTACATTACATGTTATAAATGATCAGCATGGTTTTTTTTTTCTTTGTCATTAGCCAAGAAAATACATCACTGAGTCTTTTGTTCATTCCTTGCATTATGTTTCCATGTGTCCAAAAGAGGGTACACAGAGTAAAGAGTGGTTATAGGGAATAGAGAATAAGTATTCATTAAGCCATCTTCTTATGCCCCAGTCTTCTGCTAAGTAGAGTTAGACCTCGTGACATCAGAAAAGGCTACAAGCAATTGTTTTGTAAATCTTATTTCCACTTAATTAACAAAGCTGGAATTTCATGTCTGTTTCTTAGATCATTTTTTAAAACATAAGAAAGTGAAATGTGAGTGTATTGTTATATGGTTTTGTTTTACCAGAGTTTTACTTTCAAATAAAACTTTCAAGAAAAATAAATTCTGCCTCTCGTTGTTTCCAGATGCCTCTGTCAGTTGCTGTGGTCCAGCATATTCACTTTTTCCTGACTGCTCCTGTCATTTCCTTCTGTCTTTCTTGCTCAGCTGCCTCACATGGGTCTCAATCAGTTCCTTAAACTACAACCTTGAGTTGTCTTGCCCCCGTTTGGGGTGGGTATTATTTTTCCCAGTGCTACTGTTCTGCCCCTCTGGCTTTTAGGTAACATTTCACATTGGCTTTCAACCTTACACGTCTCCAGATACACAGTGGGCTCTTCAGAAATGCTGCCTTTTCCCTTTGACATGTGTGTGTGGTGTAACTTTCCCACTGTAGATGAAGCAGTGGCCAGACCTTTCCTTCTCCCAGCTTTTCTTCTATAGCCAGCTTTTCCTTTCTCACTCATTTGAACTCTTTGCTAGTAGGTATTCCTATGGGAAGGTGTACACTGATGGTCTGGCTTTGTGTTTCTTTGAGAGCATTCTCCTCTCCTTTGAGAACTTGTACCATGTGAGAAATAACATCAGTAGACCTAACTTTTCCATTCCTAGTTCTATTGCAAATGCAAGCAGTCGAGCAAATGATAACAAATCATAGTGCTGTTTCAAAGGTTGCATTCACAGGACACTTAGAGCTCTCGATTGCATTTCACAAATGAGGAAACCGAGGGCCCAACATGTTAAAAGGCTAGCAAATGTTACATAATTAGTAGAAAATGACTGGGAATTAAATCTTGTCTATAACTCCTAATCACATGTTTTGTACGGTACTTCATGGTGTCTCATTTGATCACTGTATTCCTGACCCAGTTTCACTTGTCACTATGTGTTCTAAACAGAAGTTAAAGTGGCAGCAGATTCGACATGTTTTATATGGAGAGATTTCATTCATAAAATACAAAATGAATGACAATATTATCAAGAAGGGAAATTGAAATAAAGAGAAAAAGTCATGTGAAACATATTTAGTTGTGAGTTGAAGCTCTAAATGCTTATACAAGAGGAAAGAATGTCCCATGTCATTTTATGTATCATATACCTGTGAACCACTGTCATCCTGCACACCAAAGTGTCAAAAATTAAGTGGGAAAAAATCATACACCTAACAAGATGTTCTTTCAAAGGATTATCCTATTAGGTTTGGGGTTGGAGAAACACCTTTCTGTTGTATCTCAACTTAGCACTGGGGCTTGGGAAGGTGTCTAGGGAAAGCCCACCTCTTCCTTACAAACTTTCCCAAATGTGAGTTTTATGTTGAATCCCTTATAAGATTACTTCCAAGTTCCTTTTGAGCTGAATGATCAGCTGGGTTCCCATTAAGAGCCTTGGCAAAGAGAATTCTTAAATGTGAGCTTGCCAAAGTATGAAATGTGATTTCTGATAGTTGTTTTTCCTTTTTCATTTTTTTCCTCCTCCTTACTCTTCTCTGACCAGCCTGAAAAGTGATACAAACCAGACTGGGAACTACATGCTTGCAACAGAGTAATACCCTAATTATCATCCTCTTAGTAAGGGCTGCTTTTGACAGGTGTCAACTAGATTTAAATGGTTGGCTGCTGGGTTCCTTTTCTTTCCCTTTTTTCTACACTGTCATTCCTTGAGGTAGGGTTAAATGCTGACATCCCTTTGTGCTTAACCAGAGATAACTATCAAAGCAATGTATAAATTACAGCTCCAGTTACTGATGCTTAGGAGGCTCATCCACCTCTAATGACAAGATATCCAATCAACCTGGGCTATAGTTTTGTGAACAGAGTTGTGAAGTTTGGTTAATGAAATCTCACATTTCACATGGTTCCTGACTGTATTTTTAGATACTCTTACAAGTAGGATATCCTAGTTAGTTATTCTATCTTTTTATCTCTTGTATGAATAAATTACAGAGTTCTGCTTCTTATCAAAGAAAGCATTCACTCATCATCTGGGAAACACAAAACACTTTTTAGACCATAAATTATTCCTAAAGAAAATCTTAGATGAGTTGGGTACTCCTTGTCGTGTATGTATATGTGTTTGTGAGAAAGAAAGAATGTCTGCTTGATGGCATTCATTCTAAATGATCATAGACAGACTACCCGATTGTCATCTTACCTGTCAGTCCTTAAAGCAAACTACCCTAGAATGCAAACAAGCAAGCCACCACCAAAAATATCCTTTCCAACTCCTTGACCAACCACTGTGAATGACTGAATACACCCAGTTCCTCCTATGGCATTTTCTTCCGGCTTACTGGCAGAGAATGTGATTTCGTGGTAGACTGGTAGACGGTTGGAAAATGACCCCTTATAATGATGGAATTTACATAAATAAATGCTGATAGCACAAAACAGATAATATGCTGTGGGTATCATCACAATAAGTTGTCTCCCACTGACACAGAGTCTAAGTTGGAAGCACACAATTATGCAAATCAAACTAATGCCAGTTGCTCATTACTGTCATGGTGGTAAAGACAAAAACATATCCTCCATAGACAGCTCAAGACTGGGCCACAAGCCAAAATGTTTGGTTTTGCTGACACAGTAACTGAGTCAACAAAAATAGGATATAATAGTAATACATCAGGGGAACCCACATCAGGGCAGACCTGAAGCTTAATGGACTGTGAATCCTATGTCTGTGCAGAGCACCCTTTCACTGGTATTGACCCATAATACGTCTGCTTCCACATTTGCCAATTATGTAGAAATAGATTACAGAAGCAAATTTTTTTAAGACCTGAAATGTCTGCAAGATATTCTATTAGCTTTTCCTAAAACAGATGATATGACATTTGTAAATACTAAAATAATGTCACATATCCCAGGCTAAAACACTTCCCAGAATATTTCAGAGTACCTGCTGCTGTTTGATCCAGGTTTGTCCTGAGTTCTCATTATGGCACTGAAGATGTTTTCAAACAATAGAATGCTCATTTGCCACATAGACATCTTTCCTATCTTTAAAAAAAATAGAATAGCTGTCACCAGGAGAATATTTAACCCTGAATATTTCACAGAACCTTGAAAACAAATATGGCCCTATTGTAGGTTAGTGAAGCAACAGGTGCTGACCGACCAATTTAATCCATTTCTCTTCTGAAAGACAGGGTAACATGTGGTGGATTGATATTATAAATGGTCCTGATGCTTCACCCTTCACGATATTCATGCCCTTTGCCACAAGATTTTGCTGCTCTTCTCATCAAGAAGTATCTTTCCTTGCCCCTTGGCTCTGAGTCTAGTCATGTGACTTGTCTTGGCCAATGGGATGGAAGCAATTTTGCCAGAAGCAAACGCATAGAAAAGCATCTGCACACTGCCAAGTCAGCTTATGCTATGAGGACACTGTCTAGGAAGAACATGCTTGGCCTTGCTTGCTGGAGAGCAGGAGACACATGGAAGAGAGCTAAGTTGTCCTACTAAGGCCGGCCTAGGCCAGCCAACAATGAGCCAGCCCCTGGACAGCTGAGTGAGCTCAAGTCAGAACCACCTAAATGAGTCCAGCCTACATCATCCACAGATTCAGGAACTAATAAATGCTGAATGCTTTAAGCCCTTGAGTTGTATATTGTTTGTTAAGCAGCATTATTGTGTTAACAGACAACTGGAGAGTTTTCACAAAGTTTTACAATATCAAAAAAATACAAGAAAAATATACTCTATAAATAATGCAAGAAAAGATTATTTAGTCACCAGATTTAAAATACAAACACAGGAAAAATGGAAATTAAATCACAATGAGACACCACGTCACACCTGCCAGGGAGAACTATAATCAAAGACAGACAATAACAAATGTTTGCAAGGATATGAAGAAATTGGAGCCTTTGTATGTTGCTGTTGGGAATATAAAATGGTGCAGCCAATTTGGAAAACCGTCAAACAGTTCCTCAAAATGTTAAACATAGCAATACTCCTCCTTGGTATTTACCCAAGAGAAAGGAAAACCTAGGTCCATGCAAAAACTTGCACAAATGTTCATGAGAGCATTACACAAATGGCCAAAAAGGAAACAATTCAAATACGGATCCACAGATGAATGAATAAACAAAATTTGGAATATCCATACAATAAAATATTACTCAGCAATAAAAAGGAATGAAGTACTGATATATGTGATGATATATGAGTCTTGAAAACATTATGCTGAATAAAAGTAGCCAGTCACCAAAGCCCATGTATTGCCTGACTCTATTTATACAAAATGCCCCAAACAGGCAATTCTATACATAAAGAAGACAGATTGATCATTGCAGAGGTGGAGGGCATGGGAATTAACTGCCAAAGAGTACAAGGGGTTTCTTTTCAGGTAATAAAAATGTAAACTTAGATCATAGTGATCATGGTGATGGTTACACAGCTCTGTGTTATGCTAAAACTCATTTAATTGTCAATAAGTGATTTTTATACTATGGGAATTATATTTCAGTCAAGCTGGTAAAAATTACATAAACACTTCAGCCTCATCTTCTGACCAAAACATGGCTTGTTCCTTGTTTTAGGCTCTCTTATATCTACCTTCTTGATTGGAAGCTTTATAGTGAAAACAGAACAAATCAAAAGTCTTAGTATTGCTTCTTTAGAATCACACACGTATTTGCTATATTTGACACATTTGAAAAGTGAAATAATGAAGAATTTTTGATGTTCTATAATAGACACTGATTTTTCACAGAACTCCAGCTCTGTCTTTCATTATAATGTTTTCTGTGATACTCATGCTCGGCTTGCTCTTAAAACTCATCTGTGAAAAAGAAAGGGCACTACTTGCCACATCTTAGGGTTTGCATATCAAGGCCAACTTCAGTGTGTAAACGACACTTGCACCAGGCATGCTTGGAGCTGTTCCCAATTTCGTGTTCACAGCCTCTCCTCCAGCAGCAGGTTTGAGGTTTAACTTGCCCAGTTGTGAGAACTGAGTAAATAGACAGCCCGCAGTGCTGTCATCTAAGTTACCTCTTCTGGAACCCCCACTCACTGCTCCCCGCCACAGCTTTTCTTCAGCTCTTCATGGTTTTTGCCTAAATTACCACATTTTCCGGACTAGCTCACTTGCTTCTGGTTTCACTCCCCTCGAGTCCACTCTCCTAATTGCCCCCAGAGTGATGGTTGTGAAGTGGGTATCCTGGCCATTTCATACCCTTACAAAAAACAATTCTAGTGGCTTCCAATCCGTCCAGATAAAAGAAAAAATTTCATAGTATAACTTGGAAGGCCTTTCATAATCCGACAGCCGCGGGAAATCTTGCCACTCCCTCCCCTTGGAGCTAATAAACATTTGCTGTTCTCTCTCGTGCCTTCAAATAAGTGCTCCCTTGTCTTTATGTGTGGTAGAGGAGAAGAAATTAAAATTACAAATAAATTAAATATATTGGGAGAGACAGAAATGGGGAGTTGCTGCTCAACAGGTATAAAGTTTCATTCATTCAAGATGAAAATGTTCTAGAAATCTGTACAACATTGAATTTAGCGTTAACAATACTGTACTGCACACTTAAAAAATTTAAGAGGGTGTATCTCATGTTATATATTTGTTACAATAGAATAGATGAATTTATAAATATTTATATAGATTTGGATATAGCTTTACTGACCTCTCTTCACTTGATAAGCCCCCTCATCCTCTTGCAGTCCTTTTAGCACCAACTCTGCCAGGAGGCCTTTCTAAATCTGAGATTTGTGTCCTCTCGTATTTTAAGCTACCGGATCAGAAACTACCTGTCCTAAACCCACCTGAGCAAAGCACCCTCGTCCATGTTGCCAGCAGTGCTCTATGTACATGTGTACACATCACACAGCATTGTCATTCCTGGGTTTTGTTTTATTTTTCTGTAAACTTTTTTCATAACCAATTGTTACCAGTCCATATAATGTCTTTCTTTTACTACTGTAATTCATTTTAATTAGTTAATTCCTGCATCCTCATTTTTTCCTGCCATTACCTCTCCCTATAGCCACCTGCTGTATAGCATTCTTTGGATTCATAAACATGTATGGATTCTTGATTGTGGATAAGACTGTGAAAATGTCTGTGTATTTTACACATAATTGCTATTCACCTGTCTCTCTGCTGCTGAATTGGAAGCTACTTGAGGAAGGGAAACCAGCCTTTTCCCAACCTGAACACCTTGCACAGTGTCTGATTCCCAGTAAGAGCTCAATAAATGAGTGTCAAATCCATGCATGACATGATACATTAATGAATTAAAAGCCCTACATTTTAGTTGAATTTCTAATAATCTTGGTGGGCTTTACAAGTTTTATATCTCTTGCTACAAATCTAACCATGAGAACTTGCAATAAGGGCTAAAAATTTTAAAATATGAGACCATTTGAATCTCAGCCTCTTTTGCTGCCCATGTCTTCCTTCTCTGGCATGTCCCTGAAGCACTCTGTCCCAACTGATACTAGTAGATATTTTAGACCATCTAGTGGACAGTAGCTTAAATGTTTGACAGATTTCTACTTCTTTCTCAAAATGGTTGCTGATTAATAACTGAAAGGATCAACCCCAGAGGGAACCTGAGGTTTCCTACCTGCCCAAAGCCAGCTTTCACATTCCCATTTTCCACCAGAGGACTGCAAAGATTTTTCCCTTGACTTTGAAACAACACTTGGTTTCACAGTCTGCTTGCCTGTGGTTTAGGAACCGAGCATGTCAGCACTCCTTTTTACTGCCTCAGTGCAGCAGCAAATGTGTTCTGTTCTCTCCTTTCAAAAGTGAAGATTGTATTTTAAAATCACTCTTGCCCCTAGGGAGCCACTCACTCCTAACTCCCTGACAGGCCATGAGGACCTCAAAATTAAGAAAGATGTCCAGAAATGTGAGTTTGTACAGAAAGGACTAGAAAACCATCCAGACATGTAACGGCTCGGTTGCGTGCCTGGCTTCTGTCAGGAGAAATGTGTGTCTGAATTTTCAGGCTCATAATAGACATGTACAGCTAACTGACTTTTATTTTGCCTCTGTCATATTGATCTATCAGTGAATCTATAACAGAAGATGGGAGCTTGGAAAAGTAAAAAGTAATAACCATTGAGATGGATAGCCTGAGCAAAAATGTAGTTTCATGGGGACACTTAGTGCAAAGAACTGTAGATTCATGTCAAGGGGGCATAAGTATCCCCTTCAAAGCCAACTGTTAAAAACACCTAGTGCACAGATGACCTGCCTTCAGAATACGATATGTTTCTGTATTGATTTTCAGAGTTTCAGAACAACAGGAAATAGCCAAATGAAAGTTTCTTTGCAGAGTACTAAAAGTAATTTACCTTCTGCCTTTGATTTCAGCTTCAGATTTTGTTTTATGGTTCAAAGTACAAGTGCTTATTTTAAAAAATTCATTTCTAACTTATGGTGGAAAGCAGCACCAGAGACCAAGGAAATGTGGAGCAAGAAATGAGCCATGAAATGAAACAAGGCAAAACCCCCCAAATTGCATTAATGGAGTTAGTGGTAAGTCGTTACACAATGAAGTTTGTCTTTTAAGCACAGGCCCACTGATTGGCAGGCAGGATTTTACCATTATCAGAATGAGGAGCCTACAAAATGCCCAAAACTGTGGCTTTGAAGTCATCTATATTTAGCTTCTGTAATTCCATCTTTTGTACCTCCCTTTGCATGAAAAATAAAGTGTCATATTCAAATAAAATTGGCCTTCCAGGACAGAAGAAAACACAGTTTACTTTCCAGTACAAATTGGTACCATTTGCACATGTTTGGTCTACAGTAAGTACTAAGCATGGGGCAATACTAATAATTTGTGAGTCTTGACTAGACCTCTTTTTTTAAAGAGATTATTCACTTTATATTCAAATAAATTTGGTTTATACAGTATATGATGATGCAAGGAAACAAGTTTCAGCTTATTCAATGCCCAAACTTGAAATTTATTTGTTTCCATTGTTTTCTTCATTTCGGGCTTTAAGAAGTTGCATTAAGCAGAGTTCTGGCAAGAAACAGAACTCAAAAGAAGCAATTAAAGAGTTTCAACAGAGGCACAAAGCATGGGCAGGGTTAAGGGAATTCAACCAAGGAGGGTGAAACAAGCATTCCTGAGGCTCCCAACCACCACCACGTCTGAAGTGAAGAGAGAAGGGAATGTTTAAAGAGTCCATGCAGCCTGAGTCTGAAGGGAAGGCCACCCAACAGGAGCTGGGGCCGATGGAAGAGGAGCTCAGACACTGCCAATCCATGAACCGAGGGAACAAACACCCCGACTTTTCTTTCTTCATGTCTTCTAGCTTCCTACCAGGGGCTCCTATTGGGTGAACCCCACTGAAAACCAGATAAAAAAAGCTTAGTTTCACAGTCTATTCATATCAGCCTGCTGAAACATACAGCCAAGGGAGAAAGCCCCAGAGTGATCTAGAAGGGCACATTAAAAAAACAAACAAAAACAAAACAAAACAAAACATTGCATCATAAGAGTATTTTATTCTAGATATATGCTCTATGCTCATAGAAATGGCAATATAATTGCAATTCTTCAATTTCAGCAGAAAAACAAAAATGCAGCTTTTTGCTGCACGTATGACATACCCTGACCAAGTTAAGAGAGAGATTCGGCTTTGGGAAGAACAAGGATGAAGTAAGTGGGAGAAACTGTTAAGATCTTCCGAAATAGAAGTTAAACGAAATTAAACAAAGCAGAACAAAAGCAATGGAAATCTGTTAACCTTTGCCTTCCACTTCTTAGCAAATACAACATTACAGCAAGCATAAATACTGTGAAAATATTCCCAGGAGCCATGGGAATAACTAACCTCTTCCTCACTCTCTGCTCAAAAAACTCTCCTAATCAGACTATTGAAATATGCCCCCTAGTTAATAAGAAAAACAACAGGAAACTGGGATTTGCTTTAAAGACATTTAATCATAGACTATATTTTAAAATATGCATTATATCCATAAAAAGAGTGATATCAGTATCATATGTTTGTCAAAACAAGGTTAAAATGTATATGAACTTTTGACTTTTTCCTTTCTAAATCACACCCTTGTAAGGAGCCCATTTTATTGTAAACATTTAAATCTGTTAGGTATTAGATATGAGCTCAGTTATTTTTGTTTTGTGTATTTTTTTATTCACAGATGTTTTTATTATGCTTTCTGCAATCAAATGATCTGGGTTAGAATTAGAGGATTAGAATGCCATTGGATCTTACTTTAAAAATACAAATTTATCTATTTTCATTAGGAACCTGACATTCTTATCCAGAAAATTTACATTCCATGCTGAATCCAGGTATTATGTAACACATATTGGTTGTATTTTTTTAAAAAAAGTAACAACTACTTCCCTACATAGATAAAATATCTATCCATTATCCACCTATCTATGAATCTAAATTTACAATCAATCAAGTGCAAAAAATAACCTAGCCTACTTACAGAGTTCTCTCTACAATTGCCAGTCACTGGAAAAATATTCACAATCCTTTAAGTCCATTAGGATGGTTGGTTCTCACTTCAGATAAAATGATAACTATGTTCTGCCCAAATTTGCTTTGCTTTCATTCTTTGCTTGCACTCTCAACAAAAACAACTTTTTAAAGCTTGAATATTTCACGAACAGTTTTGAATGGCTTCAATTGTTCTGTATTTTTAAAGTGCAGATAACTGTAGGAAAAATATATAGCTAAAGATGTCTCTCGAAGTATGTTGACACTCCAATTTCATTAGAACAGGATTAAAATGTATATTTACATGTTGTGTGTAAGGAAAATACCAGCTTTACAGTGGTAAGTATATATGTGAAGAACTCATTTCAGCATATGACTATACATACACCCACATACACATGCATAGACATAAACACAGACACACATATGCACACATATAAACATACACTTACACACATAAATGCACATATACATACATACATACATAGATATACACACATACACCTATATACATACTCATACATATCCAGCCATAAATACATACATAATACAAGTACACAAACACACATATACACACATACACATAGGCATACACACATATATACACACATACATACACACATATCACATGCATACAGATAAACACATGCACACATACACAAACACATACAAATGAACACATATACATACGGACATACACACACATATACACATACACATACATATACACACACACATCAACATCCATACTCATGCTGACCTGGGATAGGACTGTGAAGAAAAAGGATAGGATTTGAAATCAGAAAGTTGGCATTCAAACCTGATTCCACCTCTTCTTAATTATAATCTTAAACCTACACTACCTTTTACCCTATCAATTACTTCTCTAGCAACTCCCCTGAACCCTGTGCTCTCATCCATAACTTATATATTTGTAATTCCCTGAACTCTCTGTATAGGCATCTGCCATCACTCATTTGCTTCCTAAGTACCATTGCCTTAAGTTCGCTCATCACTTGATTTTGTTAACTTGTCTCTTGTTTCAAGTCTCAGCTAACTTGTCACCTTCTCTAGGTTCCCTTCTTGAATTTCTCCAAACTGAGTCAGATGACTGCCTCACTCTTATTCTCCTGTGGCCACTGTACATACCTCCTATATCACAGTGCTATCCCATTGTCTTTTGAATTTCTGTTACCTTGCATGTCTTCTCCACTGGATCAAAATTCTTTGGAGGACAGCACCTTTTTTGTTTACTTTCATATTTTCAGTACCTTATATGGCACATAGTTAGAATTTCAATGAGAGTTTTATGAATAAATGAATCTTGAACTCACTGAATTTAACTTTTGACTCCCAGCCTCACCAAATCTTTAGGTACTATCCTTCCATAAAGAAATGAGGGAACATAAAATTCCAAGTGTTTCAGAAACATGCTAAAGTAAACAACAGAAAGAGTGGAGCAGAAGTTAAACCCAAGGCTGTCTTACTTCAAAGACTGTACTGTGTCATGTTCCCTTTCCAGGTAGTTCTCCAAACCTCTGTTTATCAGAGAAATGGGGCTAAGAAAACTGCCCACCCTACAAGGCTGATAAAAGGAACCAGAGAAATCATGTTAGTTAATGATTTGGAACAGAGTAACAGAAAAGTCTAACTTTTTTATTTTACTTTTACGGAGGAAATATCTGTAAATAGCACAGAGAATAAGTGAATCCGAAGAGATTTCCTGGACACGTTTCCTTACCCCAACTTACACCAAGGGTTCTCTTTACCAAGCTCTATCCGGCCACCTTAGTCTCCCCCTAGCATGTGTGCTAAGCACAGATGCACTCCTAGAGTTTATATAAACCAGCACTGACAAGGAAAGTATAGAACCAGAATGAATAAAGAGTATGAGGCTCAGGAAGGCTGCTCATTCTATTTGTCTGCAAAATGCCATCAGCTTACAGTTTAAAGAGAGAACAACATAAGTAGAGCAAAGTTCAATTGCTCTCCAATTTAGCCCTAATTAACGAATTGAAAGCTGTTTGTATATAACCAAAGATACCTTTTGTTTTGTTGTTGTGGTTCAGCAATTGAGATGAGTAGTCCAAGTGATTAGTAACTACCAGAGAAGAAGGCAATTTGGGGACAAGTACATGCAATTTTAGTACTGTTTTATGGGGTAAATAATGAGTTTAGAAATGTTTTCACTATTTTAATAAGAAAAAAGAACTTTAACAAACATGGATTATTTGTAGCTATCCAAAGGCAATAAAATCCAAGGCAATCTATGGAAATTAGTCCCCCATTTTTGCAAGACAAACGTGTGAATCAATTGTATTTTCCAATGCTCTGTTGAGAGGAGGTATCTCAGAAAGGCAAAATGCATTACTTCATATTAGCAATGCCATTCCTACTGACAATTTAACTTTCAGTGGCTCTAACTCGAGTCCAAACACACGTTTTCCACAAGAGTCCCATGGGAACTTGCAATCACCTTTTCATACCCCTAAGTTGGTGCAGATCAGGAGCAAGCCCCCCTGGATGCTAAAGCAGGAGATCCTTCTCTCTCCTTCTTCCCCAACTGTCGTGTCTATAACTTACAAAATCAAAATGGAGTTTTTAGAAACAGGATGCTTGGACTGAAGACAGGAACGTGGGATGGGGCCCTGACAGGAGCAGGAATCACATGCAACTGGAGGGGTCAGCAATGAGGGCCAGGAGCTGTGTGCTTCCTTTCACACTGTCTATCCATCAGTAATTTTCACCTGGTGCTCAGTCATTTTCTATCTATTAAAACCAAATTCCCAGCCAGCTCAGAATGGGCTGGCCTTGAATATCCCTGTCTTTACTGAATTCTTTCTTTCTTAACTGACGCTTTGTGGTTGAACAGATGCATCCCAGATGTGCAAAAAATAGTTCACATTCACAGAGAATAAAGTCCTGGCTCATTAAAGGGAAGACAACATTCCATCCTGGCTTAGAATACCAAGATAGCATTTCCCAGAGTTGACAGCGAATTGGAAAATTTAACAAAAGCCATAGAAATACTTCCTGGGTCACCAAGAAAGTCATAACAAGAGAATACCATTGATATCCCACCCAGTTCCAAGGGCTTCCCTTGGCGCTTAGCCTCCTAGCCATCTCACACATACTCACCTTTCCTGACTCCTAGTTAGACCTCGTGTTGGTACCCATATACCTTTTTTTCTGGTTCAGAAAGGCTGGCCCCGAAAAGCAGTAGCAAAGCTCTAGCTCTGCGTGGTGGCAGGTGCCTGTAGTCCCAGCTACTCAGGAGGCTGAGGCAGGAGAATCGCTTGAACCTGGGAGGCGGAGGTTGCAGTGAGCCGAGATCGTGCCACTGCACTCCAGCCTGGGTGACAGAGCAAGACTCCATCTCAAAAATAAATAAATAAATAATAAAAAGATAAAAAAAGGAGGAAGGTGAAATGGGTGCATGCCTATCCTTCACTAGGAAAGCGATTATAGTGGTCTGGGAAAACAGAATGATGCTGAAGTTACTTGAGAAAGGAAGCACCACCATTTGCTGTGGCTGTAATCAAGTCTGTAAAGGCTGCAAAGGGTCTGAGCATGTTCCTCCAATTATCAAAAACCCATTCACAACTCAGGAACTCTCAAGAGGTTGCTCCCTTGTCTATTGCCACTTACAGACCATCTTGCTCAAAGTGATGCTAGAAGTGCTGGCAAAGAGAACATCTTCACTGGAGTGTCTTGGGAGAAAAATTTCTTTGCTGCACATTTCTTAATAAAATTCAATTATGTAAAATGAGGAGAGAGCTGACTAAAGAAGATAGAATGAAAAGGAAACATTGCACAAAGATATGTTTTTATTTGACCAACAGGCTTTATTTTGATTCCCCAATCTTCTGGAACTCAGACTTTCTCAGCAAACAATTGCACTGCCCACTGAGAGTAAACAGCAAACCTGCCAATATCACAATATACCCTGAGATGAACACGTGTGAGGGAAAGACTTCATATGCCAGACATAATCCTGATGGTTCCCAAATACACACTGGTTCCCAGATAAAGTCTGGTGACTGGCTAATGCTTTTCACTGTGATTAAAAGCAAATATTTTAAAAAATATTTAATGATTCATTATTATATTTTTCTGAGTGCTTAAGTCTATTGTCTCATTATTGTTTGTTTATTTGTAGTTTGGGAAAATTTTGTTGGGACAAGGTAACAAGATAGATCTCAGCTACAGCCAGAAGTCATAATGTTCAGACACACATTAATTCTGTGGACAATATGAGAAAATGGGAGCAACAATTACCCTATAATTAGGGTTGTGAATTGGGGAAGGGCAATGTCCAATATCACAGAGGGAGGGTTGAAAGAAACTAGAGATTTGACAGAAAGTGATCAAGCTCACAAACGTATCTATCATTGCCTCATTTTTTAATGTTTTAGGTGAATGAATTTGAGTTTCTGTGTTGAGCAATGACTTGAATATTTCATCTCACTCATGTAGCCCTTGTCACAAATTATTTTTCCTACTTTAGAATCTACTGGACTGCTATAAAATAAAACTCTAATGCTTGGAACAACAATAACAGAAACCAAAATTTTATGCTTTGTTCTTTTACAGGCCCCTTCAAACCCCAGGAACAGGTGCTTTAAGTTAGGCTGCCGAAGGCCAGTGGGGCCTGGCTTTATTATACTTTGGTAAATAATAGTCACTGTTGTCATCAGAGTTCTCTACACTTCCAGAAAATGTCACTAGCCACATGTCAGCAGGGTTCTTTGTCTAATTTCTACAGCTAAGGTGGCAAGAAGGTTATTAGAAGTAATAGCAAATTTAAAGTTTTATTAGCAGTAAACTGCAAAAGCTAATGGTGATGCCAACACTAGATAAAATCATTGTCACAGTTAATTCTGAACTCCTTATTTCAAGCTTAATAATAGGAAACTCAATGGAAAGGATATTACACGCCCCATATCACTCATGAGTGCCTCAGGCCTGAGTAACTTGTTATTTTGCTCATGAGTGAAATAAAATGCAGATTATACTGCCTGCTATCAGGGGCATTGTTTTAATTGAGGGTGTATGCATGGTGATGAGCGGGGCTCCGAGTAGGTTCTCATTTTTGTAAATGTTATGAGAATATTCTTCTCATTTGTAACTGTGACTCGGCACATCACCTTTCTATTACTTGTGGGTGTGTGTGTGTGCTTTTAGAGTTACCTTTGTTTCAGCTCCAGAGAAATGAAAGCAGCTGGGGAGACGGGAGGGTAGCATTTGGTGCTTCTCACCAGCATTTCTGCAAAAGTGCTTCTCCAGCATTCTAGCGCCTTTGTCTCCAATCCCTCAGTCTACAGAGGCAAACAATGGAATATTTGTGTTGCTCTGTTTGTCTCATTCCAATCCTGTATGCCAACACACACACACACACACACACACACACACACACACACACACACAAAGCCCTTCCACTCTGATATACACTCCCGGCCAGGAATAAATAATACAAGATGCACTCCTCTATGCTTTACATTTACTAAGAAAATAGGTGTTTCCGAGAATCAAGATCACATGGGATTTTGTGTTCTTTTTCTAAAGTATGTTGCTCTTTTTTTCAAACAAGTTGAAGCGATTTCTGATCCTATGCCACAAATCATCCAAATGGGCTGCCTTGAGAGCCACGCATGCATTCCTGCTTTAAGGGGAGCCTTCCATTCACTTGACACGGACTGTCTGTAATTATGCAGGGCTAACTTCAGGCTGCAGTGTGCGTGGAGACGACTATTTTGAAGCAGGTCCTATTCCCTTTGATTGAAGTTGAAATCCTAAGACTTCCACAGCCGAGATCATTTGTGCCTCTCTGAGTTTCAATATTCCCTTTGAAATATTTGTCTGATGATACACCGTATGGACAGAGCCTCCTATAGTTCAGTTTCTGAGCAATTATCACTCCATGGCAATTTGACTTCATGTAGCAGTGGAGAAATAAAATACTTAAGGCTGCTGCCAGCCTGCCTAACAAAGCTTTTGCATAAGTTAAAGACTCAGAAAGGGGTGGGAAACAGTAGTCAAACCTTTGCTTTATCTTTTAAGTTTGTAAAACATATAAAATCTGAGTTCAAAATCTTAGAGGTTGTGACAGACTTCTCCATTAGCAGGTGAAATTAGCCCCCAAATTATAATCTTGATTGATTCAATAATGTTCAACTAGTAGTGGAATGAGTTTTATTTTGAATAATTTCCTCACTCCTGTTTCTCTGCATCCTATTTCAGTTTGCAGTCTGTCCTTTAAATGGCATTTCCTTTTTGCCAAAGCACCAAGCTGTGAATTTATTGAGAAATGGGTGTGTTTACAATAAGACTATGCCATTACCAATAAGTCCCATTCATATCAGAAAAAATTAAACATTATATTCCTAAATTGTAAACAAACAGTCCTAAATTCCAGAGATTATTATTCCCAGAAAGGCAAAGTACAGAGCCAAGAGAATTTGTAAATATGTACAACTTTACAAGATTGATATGGACACCGATGCATGCTGCGCTCATCTCTGCTTATTTCTTATTCATACACATCATTCTTATGTTTGACAATGAACATGGTATTGTGGCACTTGAAATCCTTTTTTTATTAAAAAAACAGAAAGAATGTCAGCCAGTTAAACATGATATTAGGATTTCATCTTATTTTTTTGTTTTGTTTTGCAGCAAGAGAATTTAAAAGAACCATCAATCCTCTCTAAAAGGTACTTTTAATAAATTGGCATACCTAATTTTGCATGGATGCCATGATGTCTGGCCTGCTTCTATTTGGAGTCTCTTGGGATCTATACAGATTTTTAATAGTCATGAGAACTTGTCTTGTACTGTGGATTGTAGAATTGTCTTCTATTATAGTCAGCTATCCACTCTATTTAAGACAGAAGTTTCTTTTGCTGCTTTCTTGGAGTTGTTTGATGGTTTATTAATACATAAAAATCTGTTGGTAATTATAGGTTAACGTAATTAGCAAACATTTTAAACAATCTTTTTCTAGGAACAGTTTTTGTCACTTTTTCATGATTGTTTAAATATTATACCTTTAAACTCTGTAATAATTTCATCTAAGCAAAAGCCTTGATCTTTAAATCAATTGATGAACCTTAACTATCCATGATTTGTTTCAAAACTAAGTCCACACGGAGACTTCACTATGTCATGTGCCTCATCTAGTTATTAAATGTGTGATACACGTGCTTCTTAATGTGTGCATATTAGCTATTTTTAAATTATAATTTTACCATGAAGAAATGAATAAAACTTCCAAAAATGTCTGTCTCAGTGGAATGTACACTATCGTAGGGAGATATGTATATATATAGTATATTGGTTGGTGATAAGTGTTATGGAGAAAAATCAGGCAGAAAAGATAATGTTTAGGGAGAGCCTCTCTGAAAAGATGACATTTGCACAAAAGGCCCCAAAGGAAGTAAGGAAGCAAGCCATGCAGCTAGGGATGCCATGCAGCTAGCCATGTTCTAGGCAGAGGGAAAAGCAATTGTCAAAGCATTGAGACAGGGGCCTCCCTGGAACATGTGAAGAGTATCAGGGAAGCCAATGTGGCAGAGGCAGTGGGAGTAAGAAAAAGAGAACTGCAGTGGATGAGATCAGAGAAATGGTGATGGTAGAGAATGTGTGTGTGTTGGGGGGGGCATCCATTGAGTGGCTTCTACTGAGTCAGATGAACAGCTTTCAAAGGATCCTTAGCAGATAAGTGATGTGATCTGCCTTATGACTTAGAAAAGAAAACCCGAGCTACCCTGAGAATAGACCCTCGAGAGAAAAAGGGAAGGAAATAGACGAGTTAAGAAGCTGTTGAAATAATGCAGATGAGAGATGAGGAAGGTTTGTATTATCAGTAGAGATGGGATGGAGAAGTTACATTCTGGATATATTTAGAAGCTGGGGTAGATAGGATTTGCCAACAAATTGGATTAAAAATGTGAAAGAATGAAAGTCAAGGATAATTCCAAGTTTTTAATCTGACCAAATGGAAGGTCAGAATTGCCATTTATTAAATGGAGAAAAGTTTGGGAGAAGCAGATTTGGTGGAGGCAAGTGGATAAAGGTTTGAACATTTAAGGATGGGGTTGAGTAAGCAATTGCATCTAGGAGTCTCTATGTCAGGGAGACAGCTTTTGCTTCAAGATTTTGAGGCCATGAGAAGAAGAGAAGAAGTCCAAAGGCTGAGTTCTTAGACACTCATTGTTTAGAGTTCAGGGAGATAAGGAGAACCCAGCAAGCAAGACTAAGAAGAAATGATCCGTGAGGAAGGACTGGATTCAGGAGAGTGCTATGTCTCAGAAGCCAAGTGAAGAATTAAAGAAATGAAGCATGACAGTAAAACTTATACACTTATTTCTAAATAAAAATAATCTATTCATCCCAAAATAGCATGACATTTAATGTGTCGATGAATATATTTAAATTTAAAGAAACAGATTCTACTTTGAAATCTAAATTGAGTAGTATAATTGTTGATTAAAACACTCAAGAGATTATAGTCAAATCCCTACTTTATTTATTTTACAGTGCCATGAACATTCAAAAGTTTGACCCAATTCTGTTGAGATTCCAAAAATTATTTTCAAATTCTTTTGGTCTTTTTATAGTGTAATATGTATGAAATATCATGTTTGCTCTGGGGTACAGTATTGTTTTTAATGCTGGGCACTGTAAAAATTCTCAAATTTTAGAATTCCTAAGTATCTGCTTTTTGTTTGTTCTTGGTTTATATTTTCTGATGTCAAAGGTCTCATATTTGCATGCCTGTTCTAGGCATGGATTGTGGGAGTCTGAGCTTTAAAATAGTCCACAAGAATCATTTTGTGATTTGGGCTTTATCTACTGCCTGTAATTTTAGGCATCAATTTTGAAGTCATATCAGTAGCCTTACCACTTGAAGTACCACCAAGTAGGAGGCTAATTTTATCTAAGAAAAGTGTTTCTACTTCCTTTGTTTTTGGTTTTGGTGAAGACATAGAGGGGATAGGAGGATAAAGTAGAAAGAAGTGATTTGGCAACTATCCTATTAGTTTAAATCCCAATTAGACCTAACTGCATAATTCAGAACCCAAGTTGATTCTCCTAGCAGCTCCCCTTTAAGGGGCTCTGGGGCTGTCCCATCACAGAAGCCCTCCACTGAACTTCCTCCCCAGTTGCTCCCATGGGCACGTTGCCTTGTGTCAGAAGTCAGAGTATGTCTTCTTCCAGCTTGAGTTTCTAGCTTCTAAATATTTGTAGCAGACTTTAAGTGGCAGGATAAGTGGATAAATGAGGAATATATCACAGAGACTCACAAAACTGCTCAGGCCCAACTAGTGCCTATGTTATCAGCTCCTCCAATCTCTGTACTTTTCCTTTGCTAGAGACATCACACCCACAACTGCTTTTCAATGCCCTTGCCACAAGGCTCTGAGTTCCATGGGGACCCATGTCTTATACATTGTTATATTCCTGGTATCTGACACCATATCAGGCATACTAAGATACTTTTAAAATAAAGCATGAGAGGCCCAAACTACCTTGTTTAAAAAGGCAGAAAAAAATTGTAAAGAAGGATGACAAGGCGTGAATATTTTTCAAATCACAATCATAAAAATTTTTATAAATTGTTATTTATATATAGATTATATATAATCTATTTATATTAGATTAAATATAATCACAAATAAATTAATGAATGGATCTCATATAGTTTATTTTAAGTAGAATTCATAGTACGGAGGAGAAGTAAAATCACCAGATACAAAATTAACAGATGTTTTAGTAGCCCAAAGTGTGGAGTAGGAAGTATACGTTAGTCCATTCTCACACTGCTATAAAGATACTACCCGATACTGGGTAACTTATAAAGGAAAAAGGTTTAACTGACTCACAGTTCCACATGGCTAGGAAGGCCTCAGTTAACTTACAATCATGATGGAAGGTGAAGGGGAAGCAAACTTGAACTTTTCACATGGCAGCAGGAGAGAGTGCTAGCAAGAGCAGGGAAAACTGCCTTATAAAACCATCAGATCTTGTGGGAACTTACTCACTATCACGAGAACAGCAAAGGGGAAACTCTCCCTCTTAATCCAACCACTTCCCACCAGGGATCTCCCTACAACAACGAGGGATTACAATTCAAGATGAGATTTGGGTGGGGACACAAAGCCTAACCATTTAAGACATCTTAGAATTCTACCTACCTCAGTAATCTTGAGAGACAAATATCTGTTATTTTCACCTTTGAGGAAACTAAGATTTCAAAGATTTAGCTGACTTGCCCAAGGACATCTACCTGAGAAATGTTTCTTACTAGCAATGTCCCCAGGAGATATTCGGCAATGTTTGGAAACATTTTTGGTTGTCACAAATGGGAAGAAGCTGGAAAACTTTTACCTGGCCCAGGTTAAAATTCTATTAGCACGTAAGAAGAAAAGAAGATATCAAAAAAGAAGGAGAGAACATATCAAAGTTGCTTCATAATTAATATAAAGTCAGATGCTCCAGGAGGTGTCAAATAATTTGCCCATGATCTGATGATAGTCAACTTACTCACCATTACCTTGTTCTTGCCAGTAATGATGACTCACACTTTTCTTTATAGCCTAAATGAAAAAGAATAACATAAAGCAAGACTCAACAAACTAAGGGTCTTCTTGATACTAAGAATAAATTAGAAGTTCAAGTTCCCTATGAGATTTACAGGCTCCTTTAGAGAAAGTACATTATTAAGCACATGTCCTTCTAAGTGATCAGGATGTAAGTTTTCCTTGCAGTATAATGCTTTTAGGCTAAGAGGTAACAGAGTCCAGAGACTGAAGGGAGACACAGGATGAGAAAGGGAGGCAACTGATATGATGTGCTATACACAAATGTGTGACAGTCTCACCCTATGAAGGCTCACAGCTCTCCAGTTCCTTTTGATGACTGCCTGTGTGGCCAAAGTTTAAAATAGACTTAGTAAAAATGAGTGCTGTGCCACAGGAGGAGATGGAAGAGGATGAGAAAATTACGAAGTACAATGTAGACAGCTTAGCTAGGAAGATGATGTTGACATAGATGATAGATCAATCGATAGATAGATAGATAGATAGATATAAAAATGGAAAACAGGCCCTTTCCTCTTAGGCACTACATTCTCTGGGACCTTTTTCAAGACCATGTGAGGTCAGCATTACTAGCCCCATTAACAAATGAGAGACAAAGAATGCTAAATATCCTGATGTAGGCAGCAAAGCCCCTATTCCATCTGGCCCAGTTGCCTCTATAGGCTTACTTTGTATCACTCTCTTTCTCATTCATTCAGCTCCAGCCACACTGGCCACCCTGCTGTTCCTCAAATGTACCAGGCACATTTCCATGGGGCTTTACACTAACAGCTTCATCTGCCTGTGGTGCTCTTCCCTGAAGATCTACAGGGTTCATTGTTTTTCCTTAGGTGTCTTCAAATGTCACCAGTTCCTCTCTCCCTCTTGATATTCCTCTACTCCACTCCCTGCTTTACTTCTCTTTAAAACATTTCTCACCATCATATTCTACAACACCCATCTATTCCAATCCTGCCCCCAACAACAAAATAACCTGATGCAAGAGCTTGCATGTAGGCAACGTATTTTGCAAGTAATGCCAAGGAACAAAAATGGGAAAATGGGAAGAGTGAAAAGAGAACAAAAGCAAAGCTAATCTAGCAGTGCATTATCAAGTTGGTGACAAATGTGGGTAACTAGGGCTCAATATGATTAGGGTTCCTCTGAAAGTCCTGCATAACACATGTCAGAATTGTCTACCACAGTTACAGGCTTCTATCTCCTATTCTTTAAGGGTAATCCCATGGCTGTGTTAGGAAAGACTCAGAATGGCTGAGCAGGTTCCCATAAGTGTTCCACACAGAGGAACGCTAGGGCAAAAGTTGGAGTGAGGTGTTAGCTGGCCACACCTGCAATCAGCTAGTTGTGGTACCAATGTCTGGAATAAAATGGTCAACCAAGGGGTTGTGAGGTAGGATATAAGAGGTTCATGATAGAGTCCAGCTTTTGCAACACTGAGACTTCTCCCAGAGCCTTCAAGGCAGTGTGGCCAGTACTGATTTCTACAATAGACTCGATAAAGAAAAGCTATTTGGGAAAGGGAGTCCCTGCTACCACCAGGCCGTCACTGATATTAACCATCTTTTTTCCTCCACCAATGTCATTCTAAGTTTTCCCTATTCTTAGTCACCACTCCAGTTGGTCTAAACTGCTTTGTCTGGAGAGATGGCTCAAACCATCATCTACATGGGGTTAGAAACCTTTATTACTACACCACAGTCAGGTCATTGTCTTTACAATAGTCCGTTTTCTGTTATCATCTGGACAGCCCCAAGGAAGCTCCTGGTTTCTACACCTGCTCTTCCATGGTACCACCAAGCAGCACCACCACGAGTAGCAACCATAGCTCCTCATTCAAATCAGGCTCAGTTATCCCCACCAACGTGATGACTTCCTTCTGCTTTTGGGGCCACTTGCATGAGAAGCCCAAAATGGCCAACAATGGTCATAGTTCCAAGACTATGACTTATTCTGTCCTCTAGTGAAGTACCCTCCTGCCATGGTAGAAATCAGAACTCCTAATCCATCAGAGCCTAGATTGTAGGAATGAGAAGCACAGACATCACTAGTAAGTATGAGTGATAACCATGGGGCCAATCTTTTACTTCATGGTTTCTAACCCATGTATTCTAGCTTTGGGGAGGTCACAGCGCCATATGTTGGCCATTAATTTGGGGCATACACACATCCTGAGGAAAGCATTCCAAGCCTACACAGTGTAGTCCCTAAACTGGCACCTCGGCCAAGCCCCCAGTATACCTTCCCATCATTCTTTGAGGAAGCCACACCACTGTAGGTAAGACCCAGTACTTTTCACCATTGTATTCCAACATGTAGATTAGTACCTGGCATGTTCATCACTCTGAATATATGAATGAATTAATCAACCAATTATTCTCTTTAGATTAACCGAGACATTCAAAATCAAAAAACAAAGAGGTTGAAATTCATTATAAACTCGTACCTCACATTATTAAAGCTTGAGGAATGATCTCTTAGATACAAATGTAATTAGCTTCTATGATGTTGAAAAATAAAATTAGGAAAATTGAAAAATTCACACTTTCATAATGTATGTGGAATTAATCTATTAATATAAAAACCATACTTATTTAGCATACCAACAAATCATACACTTGGCAACATAGGGGTACAAATTCACTTATTTTTCTTTGTCCCGAACACTAATGAATTTCGTGTATGAAAAACTTCATTAAGACACATTATGTTTAAAAATAAATTGTCAAAACCCGACTCTACCAGATTAAATGTATGTTAAAACATTTAAGATGACATTTATTGCATCAATTTTTTAAATAATGCTTGAGAAAGCTGTTAACATAACTTCATAGCCCAAAACCTTCTTCTCTTTCCCTTTGTAGCATATTTCTCCGATAATGTATTTTGCCTACTGCTACCAAAGTACCAGAAAATAATGCCTAAAAGACCAAAATGAAGTGTTTCAGAATTAAGGAGAAAGTTGTAAATCTGTAATGTTTTAGACACATTTCAGTTTAGCGCTTGATAGATCATGTTGGGTTGGTTGCGAGAGGGATTTCAAGGGCTTGGGAAAATAAAGTCAGTATATGTGTAGTTTCATTTTTGAGAGAATCACTTTATTACTGATCACAGGACAGTTGTTGAGCTCTGACAGCTCTAAGTGCTGAAAACATTAGAGAAGGTCCATTTTTTTGTTTTTGCCCAATTATGAACTGTAACTTAGTGAGAGAAGCAATAGAATCTATTTACCTAACCTAATGGTAATGTTTCATTTTAACTAAAATGTCAACACATAGTGGTCTCTGCACATATTTCACCAGCATCTAAATTCCACCATGGGGTTCAAATTTTTTAAATGAAATCTTAGACCCTTGGTAGAAAAAGAGCCAAGGATTTATATATCAATGTAAAAATGGCCTATCTTAAAATATACTTATCACAAATATAAGAAATTCCTAAAATTTGGGGTTTTCTTCTATGGCTTTCTCAAAGGTCAGAATGCAATGTTTCTATTCAAATGAACAATTCAACTAGTTAACTAATACGAAGCCCCTTTTCTTATCTTCTGCTAACCTCTCACCTTTGAAATCAGTTATCTAACTTCAAGTGTTGCCTTCCCAATTAATGAAGTTACCTACACAATTTTCAAAATGTGACTCCATGTCTATGAGTTTGTTGTTAATATTACTGGAAAGACAATATAATGTGAAACAATAGCAAAAAGCAAAAATTGAAGGCACTAGCACCTTCTTTGTGGGACAGGAAAACTAACAAAACTTGGTGATTTATATTAACTCAGGACCACAATAATCTCATAAAATGGCTCTTTCTTGGATTTTGCAAGATGGTTTCATTATTTAGTGCACCAATCAAAAAGATAGCCAAGTTTTTAATCCAGGCCAATTGAAAGCAAACAATCAATGCAAGTAAGAAACTAGGAAAAAAGGAGAAATTCTGATGTCCAGCACATATATTAAACTTAATTATATTTTTGCATGATAAAGTAAATTTGCTCAGTGGAGTCTCAAAGTATGTTATTGTTATAAATTATTTTAAAGTTTTCAAAGATAACTTTCAAAATTAAAGTTATAAAAGATGACTCCCATTTTCTCATTTTCCTCTTCAGTGTTTAATGAGCATACATTTCTCAATTCATCCATTAAGAAATGTTTATGGTTTAAAAAGTTCATGTTGACTGCAAAAATGGTGATAGAAGAAAGCTCCGAGGATATTGCTATAAAGTTAATAAATCATCTTCACTCATCAACTGTCTTCAACCCGCACAAGTTATAAAGGATTATTTTGTTAGCACCACAGGGTACACAATTTAAATTTAGAGAATCAGCCCTAGCAGAATAAGTTTGAATTCTGGAAGCTCCTAGGTCCCCTTGCCTTTAAACATCATACGCTTCAGAGTCCTTACATTTTCAATTGACAGAGAAACAGAAAATCATTCTAACGTTTACCATAGCTTTTCCCTCTAAGGGCTTCTTGCAAAGAATTTGCATGTTGCAATTATACTTCAAATTAGAGATTTGAGTTTCCCTGCCTGGTCAATTATAAGACCCTTGGCCTTACCAGAGAATGAATACACGCTCTCAACTTTGCAAACGTCTGAGTCAACAGCTTGTTGGGCTTTGAAGAACCTCAGCCGTTTTTGCGGCTGGAGCTTTTTCTCCTTTTCGTGTTTCAGGACCACTGCTGGTTTTCATTCATCTTCATTCAGTGGGTTTCATGTGACATTTTGGGGCTGGAAACATAATGTGTCAGAAGATAGCTGCAGCTTCCTACTGCGTTAGTTATTGTTTCCTTTGTCAGAAGGTGAGTGAGCACAAACATTTTCCAATTGCTCTGATTTTCAGACAGGTTTAGATCTACTGAGCCATCACTGATGCACATGCCTATACCATTTAGAAACACTTGATACAGATTTCAGAAGAGATTTCTAAGTTCAGTTCTATACAAATAAATGTACTATCATTTATCCTTTTTCCAGAAGAGGCAGAGATTTCATATCCTCTCCTTGGTTTACCCCGATCAGTATAAAAGGAATAGATATGGTGCTTCAAAAACGTTTCTCATTTGGGTTCAAAAACAGCAGCTCACCTTTCTGCTGGAAGCAAAACATTATCATGATCAACAGAATCTGTCTGTTGGGATTCAGTTCTGCAATCCTTTCATGGATCAAATTCCCATCAGAATCAGAATTAAGTCCTAAGTGAAAACTTAAATTACATTATAATACTCAGCCTCATAAGTTCCACCAAGGCTTTGCCAAAGGCATTGAATGATTTATGATAAACTTCAGAACCTCAGTCCCCTCTTCCCAGGGTGTCTTCAATTAATTCTTTGAAGAACTTTACTCTTGATTCCTTGTTGAACTGAAGTAATAAGGGGTTTAAGGCCTTTATATTTTTCCTCAAACTTTTTCTTCTTAACTTAGAATATCTGCAAGTGAAATATAATTGATTGGATCTTTCTAAATGTGTCTTTTATAAAATTATGGTTAAATATTATCTTATTCCTGCAGAATTTATATGATTTTTAAGTATAAATCTCTATGTCATCTTAGTTATAAAAATCATATCATTAGAAATTGCTAAAATGCATTACACTTCAGCCTGAAGAGTAAGGTTCTTTTCAGTTAGAAAATAGCTCCCCAGGAAATTCCATGTTGGTCTGTATTTGATTCCCCGGCCACTTGGGATGCAAAGGCATGCCATTGACTGTAATAAGAATTGGATGTATGTCTATAGGTAGACTGTAAAATTTAAAAGTTTGATTTGTCTCCTCATATGGAGAAACTGAATCCTAGGAAAATTTAGAGACATTTCCTAGATCACACATTTCATTAAGGTTAGTGCGGGTTCTCTTTCTATTATGGGGTGTGGCATCAGAAAAATGTGGTTTTAAACACTGGGTCAACTAGTAATATGCCTTATATAAGTCATGGCATAGTCTACTTAGTGATGCCATGAATAACCCACTGAGCTTCATATTCTTAACTAGCATATTCTTAACTTATCTATATTCTAAGATAGCTGAGAAGATGAAAAAATATGTATATAAAAATTCTGGCCCCAACACGCATTAAATGATGGTAAAGATTATAATTGTTGATCTTTTTATGTAACTAACCTCCTAAAATTATCTTTCTGCCCTTTTCTCCCTGATTCATTCTTCACACAGCTTATGGATTAACTATCTATAGCACAGGTCTTAGTATGATTCTCTTTACTTTAAATATTCTCAATGGCTTCCTATCATCAATGAAATTATCTTAAAATTTCTCACCCTAAATTGCAAAGCCCTGCGTATCAGGCTGCAGCCCACCTTTCCAAAAATCATTTTAACTGTTTTTCTATAATTACGCTATTTTCCTGTCTAGCTAAATTGGTTTACATTCCACAGACAATTCTCCAAATTTTTAAAACCAAAATTCCATCTCCCCTATAAGCGCTTTATTTATTCTTCCAACCAGATGCAACATTTCCCACAGAAGTGGGGAAGAGAAAGGAAAAAGCACCTACTGAATGTATTTTCTGTGCAGAGTTCTTTCTTCTGTGCTGGGCACTTTAAATTTGTTATTTCATTAGTGCTTCTCTTATGACATGTTATCTTTTGTCATAACAAAAGACATGCTTGTTGTTGTCCATTAAAGCTGTCCATTAAGCGCAGAAATAATGTCTTAATCTCTAGCATAGAATATTTACAAGTAGAAGGACTTAGGGGGAAAATGCAAACTGAACACCTTAAATTATTGTCAATAAAAGCATTAGCCAGAATGAGGAGTTGAGGGGCATTTGAAGCAACTTGGAAAAACATGGCAGCTTATCTGGGGTAGAAAGGCCCTCTTTTATCCATCATAAATCATCATCAGGTTTATACTTTGTTAGCGAAAGGGGGCTGAAGTACAACATGTCATATAGTGTGTGGCAATTATAACAGGGCCTCACTCTTCTTTCTTCTTCCCAAGGCCTAATCAGTTACATAAAAAAAGAAAGAAGAGAGGAGACAAGAGAAGAAAAGAGAAGAGAAGAGAAGAGAAGAGAAGAGAAGAGAAGAGAAGAGAAGAGAAGAGAAGAGAAGAGAAAAGAAAGGAAAAGAAAAGAAAACAAAAGAAAGGAAATTACCACGAAACCAGTCCTGGAAAATGTAAAATGTTACTTGCATCATCATGTGAAAAAGCTCAAAAGATGGAAAAATATTTTCTAAGTACATTATTTGGACATAAGTATCTTCCAATATATTTTAGAGAATGGAAGATGTGGTGAGTTGAAAAGATGAGTTTACCATAGGAATTTAACTAGGTATCAGCTCTACATATGCTTTATGGTCACAAGTTGCCACTTATAAAACATTTATATACTCTTATGCATATCATATAACTGAACATGAATGTTAGCATGTAAGTATATGTATCTGATGAAAATGCCAGAGTTATAAAATCTTTTTAATGTTTTTTTAATCACAAAAATATCAAAATGCACCTTGGTTTTAGGGAATAATTTTCTATCACTGGTCCTGAGAACCTCTAAAATTATGGAACAATCGTTCCAGACTCTCAATACCATTAAGTTCAATGAACTATAAACTCCAGGGCAAAGAACACAGCTTTTTTGATCAACAATGTATACTTAACGTCCAAGCTTAATGACTGAAGAAAGTAAACTCCCTAAAAACATAGGTTTTTTTTTTAATGAATCAAAAGAAAAGGAAAAAGAAAAAGATATTTAGAAAGGACCCATAGTTTGTCATCTGAATGCAGCAGACATTTAAAATGGACTCTATCTTTTCAAGAATAGGAAATCTACTGACCCCTTTCAAGGGGTTCACCCACCTTTCATTGCCTCCCTCAGCAGAGGGGTTGCTGGATGCCATTACTCAAGGAAACAGTTTTGATTCCTTCCTGATCGCCTATTATCTCTCTTGTTTTATTGAACCAGGGTCTCTCTGCACCCTGGCAGAAGCTGGCAATTCATCAGGATACCATTTAGAGAATCACTGTGATGCTTAGTTTACAGTCCACGAGGCCACTACTGGGAGAATCTGTATCAATGTGTTTTATGCCTCTGAAATTTGGGCAGCAAAGGAAAAGTGCTTCAGTTATAAACATGCAATGTCCATAGTTCTCATCATCCTTCTGAACAAACAGAAGCTCCCCTTTTCTGAACCCAAATGGAGCAATCCAATTACAAAGTCATTAAACCCCGTTATAAGGTGGTTCATAGGAGTTCCTGTTTCCAGCAAAAGCCTTTTCTGTGTTCATCCAACATATATTCTGGCCTCTTGCACTCAGTTTACAAGGTTTCTAATTAAGCTCCAGAGAGGATGATATAGTTCACTGAACTGAGTCACTATGCTACAACTGGGAAAGAAGAGGCATTCCTATTTTATCAGAAAAATAAACACTTTAGTTTCATTTCCTCTGCCACACGTTATCTCTTTGTGCTGTCACAACATTTTTTATAGGTTTTTATTTCAAAGGATTACCTTGAGATTACTGTCAATGCAAGCCAGAGAGACATCCCCATACAGAATATAGGGGTAATATTTTTTCTCCTAAAACATCCTGCTACAGACAATATAATATCATATAATATCACCGAAATAATCTCCCCTATTAAGAGCAAAGAGACAGTTTTCAATAGTACTTTGGTCCAAAATTTGAGGAAAATAAAATGTTTATCAGTGACAAAAATACAATTTACCAGCTTGATTTTTAAGTCAAAAATTTAACCTTTTAAACGATTTCAGAAGCTCCGCTAATTTCTACTGTTCCTTGTAACATCTGTAGGCAAAATACAACATGCTGGGTCATAATTCATAGCTTGGCAAGAAAATGTTGCTTAAAAACATAAAGGTCCTTTTCTTTTTATGCAAGAGGAAAACATTTTAGTTATTATTCAACTCAAGTAAATGCTCATAACCATGGAATTAGATATTTCTGAAGGGTTCATTCCTGAGCTTTCTGGGTTGAATTAGGCTTTCTCAGAACTATACTTCATGTCACCCACATGTCTTAAGAACTGGTGCCTTCTGCTCAGCTGTGCATTTTTTTTGCAGACATGCCGGATATCTACGCAGTAAGTGCTCTGAAACTTCAAAGAGACACAGAGCATTCTGTGCTTTCTCTTCCCACCATTCCATGTAAACACCATGAATAACCAGACCATTTTTATGCCCAAAGGCCCTGATGGCTTGACTTTTTGGTCTGTTAATTGTTCACAATCACTCCTTGCCTGTATTGTGCTTGGTAGGACCACCTTTCTGCAGCCAAAATCCAGCCACTTACCACTGCATATACTTCCTACAGCGGAATAGATACTGACCAAAGCCTAGTAGAAACCTGCATGGCATCCTGTCTCTTAATACTTAATGCTACCATGCCCTCAGAGTATTCTTATTCAGAATCTAAACAAGCATGTATTCAGAGGCTACAATGTATCAGGCATTGGTGGTGTTAGCAGTCATAGTTCAGTGAATGGGAAGAAAGATAAAAATCCATGCCTCCCAGTGACTTTAAGTCCTGGTAGGGACAAATACAGAAGATAAGTAAATAAACAAGATAACTGTAGATAGTAATAGGCTCTGTAGGCAATACACCTCAGGATAATGTGATAGAGAATGACTTGGGGATAGGTAATACCCAGATGGGGAGCTGGAACACCGTCCAGGGCAGATGGCATTTGAACTGAAACCTGAAGGAAAAAAGAATCTGGATAGCCTCAACACCAGATCAAACAGGTTTTGAAACATAGAAAACAAGAACAAAGCCCCCAGTGGGTGAGAGGAACTGAAGAAGCCTAGTAGGATGGAAGTATAATGATACTCGTACACTGGAGAATATTGCTAAGCGCAAACAATTCTAAGCTTGTGAAAGTTCCTTGTGATTACTCTATATTTCTTTGAATCATATTGATGAAAAATTCTTTGTAATAATTCCCATCCAAATGTGACTTCTTGGGTGCAAACATAATTTTCACAACTTATTTAAAAGCCTATTTAACTTTGCCTATAGCATGCTTCACAGAAATAGTAACACCCATCTTACAGGACTTTCATGAAGACTACTATGTACGGCAGTCCTCACTTTTTTCCTGCTCAAAATCCTGTCTCCCTTTCCTTTTAAAAGAACACAGACTTTGTTCGTGACCATAATGTGTTCTCCTTAAAACTACATGCATGCATGCATTCCTACACATATACCCACAACCTCACCACTGCTTGCAGCTAGTGAGTTGGCAAGTATGGCACACGTAGCACAGAGATACTAATGAGATGTGAACAGAAGATAGATCTTAAACTCACCCATTGTATTTCCCTTTACTGTTCCCTGTCTGGAAAATGAATGTGATGCTAAAAGAAAGGCAGCCTTCTGTGACCCTGAGGTAGCTATGAGAAGTTGCATATTTGGAACAGTTGAATGGACAGCTTACAGGAGCTGTGTTCTACATAGCTACATAGCTGTATGTAGCCAAATGCAGAATTATATGTAAAGTGCCACAAAACAAATGTAAGGTAAATAGTAGTGTAAGGCCTTCATTATCATTTATATTACTGGTGTGTTTTAATGAAGCATTGAATTTATTTACAGAAAAGGATGCTAAGTTGAGATATTTTAAAGTCAAGCTATATAAGAATTTGAAGGGATATTTAATATAATATCTCCTTTCCCACCAGCCATCAATCTCAGCAAACTCACACAGGACCAGAAAACCAAACACTGCATGTTCTCACTCATAAGTGGGAGTTGAACAATGAGAACACATGGACACAGGGAAGGGAACATCACACAGCGGGGACCGTTGCAGGGTGTGGGGGCAAGGGGAGGGAAAGCATTAGGACAAATATCTAATGCATGTGGGGCTTAAAACCTAGATGACAGGTTCATAGGTGAAGCAAACCACTATAGCACAAGTATACCTATGTAACAAACCTGCACGTTCTGCATATGTATGCCAGAACTTAAAGTAAAATTTAAAAAATAAATAAATAAAAATAAAATAAATTAAAAAAAAATCTTTTTAAAAAGTAACACACCTAGTAGCTATTTACTTCCATAACTATTGTATTTTCTTGCCATACCAAAATATCTGGCATTGTAAGAATGCACAATTAAATATCATTCATTTACTGACCTAGTGTATTGCCAGCAAAGAACATGAAGACATATTCTGCTATTGTTTTTCTTTCTACCATTGATGGTGGCACCAGGCATTTCTCCTATATTCCAAATAAATAATAGAAAATACCTTTGCAGCCATATGAGCATTTGGAAATTATCCTAGCAATCTGGCAAGAGCAAGGAGGTTGACCCGGCCTGCAATGATAAGAACTTAGGGGCTCCTTGTGGCCTAAACTTGTAGCAGGACAATTCTGAGATCAACATTATCACTGTCAATGAGATAGAAGTCTTCTACACAAACAAATGTCTGCTGCTCAAAGGCCTAGTCAGTGTACACCATCTCCCATAAGAAACTTCCCACAGGAATCTTTAGTAAACAACTAAACAGCACTATCCACAATAAGCAGTTGTTATTTATTAATGACCTATTATTTCACCAAACTTATAGTATTAAAATTGTAATTAGTAGTTGCTATCCATTAAGTACCTATGAGCCTAGCACCATACAATACAGTATACATTGTCCTTAATCTTCATATTACTTAATAATATGATTAATAATCCCCAAAATATGTAAAATTAATTGAATTAGCATACATAGGAAAAATTCAAATGCATTTTAAAATTTCTTTATTAAAATAAGCTAGATAACTATGTGGTCAAAATGCTGTCATCTATTACCTACGTTGACTTATTGATGAATGTGTGTAGATACTTTGTCACTGGGTCACTTATGTCTTCAGGCTGCTTATCCATGTCTGCAGAATTTTGCACAGAGTTCTTCCAGGAACTGCCAGGCTTTCTCAGGATAAGATATATCAGATGCATTCAGTGTGATCAGACACATTGGGGTACATTTCTCCCAGAGGTGTACCTGCTGTTTGTAATGCTGCTCAGGATTTCTGCCTACAAACATGGGAATTCTGATAAATTCTATCTTACACAATTCCCATAAAAATATATGTTGTGGGATTATGGTTACACTTATACTTTTCAGGTATATTCCTAATAGGAGAGACCCACCATTTTGACTAGGCATCTACAAAAACTTAACTCTACCCCTGTCCCTTACAATTTTTCATGTTTAATGTTTAGAAGAGTTTTCAACAGACCATCTTCTAGCTCCAGGTATTTCACCTTTTCTCTGCCACTACCCAAGTATTTCTCTATTTCTTCAATTTTTTAAATTAAACTTTTTTTAAGTAAATCACAGATCCACATGCAATTGTAAGAAATAATATAGAGAGACCCATTTCTTCCATATGGCAACGTCTGGCAAAACTATTCTATAACATCGCAACCAGGATATTGATGTTGATACAGTCAAGATTCAAAGTACCACCATCACCACAAAGACCCCTTATGGTGTCCTTCTTCCCTCCTGCCAGACCCACTTCCCTCCTGCCCCCACCTCCTCCTTAACCCTGGCAACCACCAACATGTTCTCTATTTCTATGTTTTTATTTTTTCAAAGATTTTATATAAATGAAATCATATAATGTGCAACTTTTGGTGACTGCCTATTTTCAGTCACCTGAATTTTCTGGAGCTTCATCCAGGCTGCTGTGTATAGGAATAATTTGTTCCTTTTTATTACTGAGTAGTATTCCATGGTATGAAAATACCGCCCAACTATTTTTATTGCCAAACTCTGTAGTTCACATTCATATCACAACATGACCTCCACCCCAGCACCTTCATGACATGATGCCAAGTAAGTCAACTTAGTGGGCAAAAGGAATGTTCCTTACAGGTATCCAAATTCAGTTTAGCAATGACTGAATTATATTTGGAAGTTTTTAAACATTCCAAACTTCGTCTCCAACTCAACTTTCTCTTAGTAAAATGCAAAAGTTAATTAATTTTTAAAAGAAAGAAAAGAAAAAGAAAAAATTATGTTGCCACTCCAATCCTGCCTGATATGAAAGGAAGTATGGCCGAGGGGAATACAGCGTGGAAAGAGACAGTGGTCTCACACAATTATGGTTAAAATATTTTACATTTATAAATTGTATAGCAGTCTGTGCTCAGATGAATACATGGCTAGGGCCTCTTTTAGGAATCTTGAAAGAGGTCAGAGGAAGCATGGGACCTGGAGCATAGGGCTCTTTAGAATAAACCTGCTTCAACTTTCAAATTGCCTATGTGTTAACAGGATCTCTCTTGTTAACTGGAGAAGCTGCCATGCTTATCTCACCAGGCACAAAAATGCTTCCAGCCAAGTCTTCACAATTGCCCTGAACAGGTAAAATGAAAGATACCCACACTTGAGGCTGATGCCCCAGAATACAAATTATTAATGGGTACAAGACCTATTAATGACTTGAGTCTGTAGAGAGCACCCAGAAAAAGAAAGAGCTCTTGATGTCTCACATAAAAAGACGTTTTAATTATTGAACATTTAGTGGCAGGGGTGAGGGAAGGGGAGTGTGGGAGGGCCCAGGTGGAAAGCAGAAATTTTCCTCTACGACTCTCTAGCAACAACAACTGCCAATGACAACAGCAGCTATGTGTTGAACATTTGTTCTGTGCTAGTATTGTCAATTCATTTAAGTCATAAAACAATTCTTTGAGGCAAGTACTTTATTATGTCCATGTTTAAAAGTCAGACTTATTAAGGTATAATTTATTTATCCTTTTTACTGCAAGCCTCGAAATCAGGTAGTGTAATTTTGCTAGGTTTGTAATTCTTTCTCAAAATTATTGGTCAGTCTTGGCCTTTAGCTTTTCCATATAAAATGTTATATCATCTTATGAGTTTTACTAAAAAGCCTTCTGAAATTTTGACTATTGTTGCATTGAATCTTTGATGAATTTGGGAATAATTGATATCCTAAAAATATTGAATCTTCTTAACCATGAATATAGTATATGTCTCCATTTATTTGGGTCTTTAATTTGTCTCAGCAACATTTTGACATTTTTATCAAACAAATCTTACGGATACATTGTTAGATGTATATCTAAACCTCTCATGACTTTGATAATATTTAAATGATATTTCCAATTTTCAATTGTTTACTGCTAACAATTGATTTTTATATTGATTTATTTACTGTGACCTTGCTAACCTCATTTTATTAGTCCTAGTAGATATTTTTGTAAATTCCTTGAGATTTTCTTTAGAAAGAATTATCCTGTTTGTGAATAGAGACACATTCATTTACTTATTTTTGATCTGTATGTCATTTATTTATTTCTCTTGTTATAATGTACTTGGTATAACCTCCAGTGCAATGTTGGAAAGAAGTAGTGAGAGTAAACACCCTTACCTTATGCCTGACCTTGGGAGGAAGGTATTCTGTCTTTTACTGTTAAATCTAATATTAGCTGTGGACTTTTTGTAGATATCCTACATCAGATTGAGGGAGTTTCCTACTATTCCTAGTTTGCTGAGAGTTTTATAGTTGAAAACTATTTTCAATAGTTGCATAATTCATTGTTAACTAGAATATGGTCTATGTTGGTGAGTGTTTCATGTGTACATAAGAATTATGTGTTTCCTGCAACTGTTAGGTGGAGTGCTTTCTAAATGTTAAGTAGATTCATATTATCAAGTAGGTTAGTGTTATTAGAATCTGTTATCCAGGTCCTCTATATTCTTACTAAAATTTTGTCTACTGATTCCATCAGTCAATTAGATAGCAAAGTTAAAATATCCAACCATAATTGGGATATACCTATTTCTCTTTTATGTTTTATCAGATTTTTGCTTTCCATATTTTGAAGCACTGTTATGAAGTGCATACAAATTTACAAATTATTATTTTTTCTTGGTGAATTCACTTCTTTATGTTATATGTCTCTTTACTTCTGAAATTATTGATTAGCAATTACAATATATTTTTCACTCTTTTTCTTTCAACCCATCTATGTTGTTATATTTTAAAGTTTTGTTTTATAGACAGCATATGATGTATTTCTACTTTTTGATTCTATCTTAATACCTATGGTTTTTAATTGGGGTATTTTAACCCTTTATTATATTGTTATTTGTTTTATTTTTCCTTTGTCTAATCTGTTCTTTTTAGTTTTTCTCTGTTTTCTTCTGCTGTATTTTATTTTATGACTCCATCTTATTCCCACTTTGGTTTATTAGGTAAACATCTTTATTTTTTCAATTTTTTAATGATTACTGTACCGTTTAAATTATATTTTTAAAATTTATCCAGTCTATCTTCAAATGATATTTCTCCACTTTAGATACCATTAGAAACCCTGAAACAGTATACTTTTATTTCATCCAGTCCATTCTTTATGAAGTTGCTGTAATGCATTTCATATCTATATAAGTTATAAACCCCATATTGAATGGTGATATTTTTTCTTGTTTTTTATTTTTTTATTAAAACAGTTCAAAATTAAATCAAATTCTTTTGTATTTATCTTCATTTTTACCACTTTTAGAACTCTGTATGTCTTATGCAGATCAAAAGTTTCACCTAGTGTTATACTCTTGCTTGAAGAACTTACTTTGACAATGCTTATAGTACAGGTCTACAGGCAATGAGTCCTCTCAGATTTGTTTTGTATATTTTTTGTCTTTATTTTTATAAAGATATTTTTACTGGATAGCAAATTCTGAATTGGCAGGTTTTTCCCCTCCAAGTACTTTAAAGTTGTAACTCCATTGTATTTTAATTTGCATGATTTCTGCAAAAATATTTGCTATTGTTCTTAGTTTTGTTACCTTATGTATAATGTGTTTTGTTGTTTTTCCTTTTGACAGCCATAACATTTTCTCTTTGTTTTGGTTTGCAGTAGTGTAAGTGTAATGTGACTAGGTATATTCTATTTTCTCTATCTATCTATCTATCCATCATCAATTGATCAATTGATTGATCTATACTTATACTGCTTGGGATCACCTGGGCTTCTGGAATTGAAAATTTGTTGACTTTCATTATTTTAGAAAATTCTTACCTAGTCTCTTCAAAATTTATTCTGCCAAGTTTCTCTCTCTTCTTGTCTAGGACTCCAATTACACACATATTAGACTATTTGACATTGCTTCATAGCAGCTGGATGCACCATTATGTTTTCTTCTCTTTACGTTTCCATTGATATACCTTCTAGTCAACTGAGTCTATTCTCTGCTCTGTCCAGTTTGCTCATACACCCACTGAAGGAATTTTTTATTTGTGACATTTTTTTTTATTTTGACCCTTTGCACATGACACATACTTCATATAGTTTTCATCTCTGCTGAAATTACTCATTTGCTTATGTATGTATAACATCTATCCACGAAATCCTTTAAAATATTAAACATAGTTTATTTAACGTTTCTATCTGATAATGATGTCTGGATCATCTATAAATCTGGTTTTGCTGGCTACTTTATACCTTGACAGTGGGTTGTTTCTCCCTCAATATCTCTTTCTCTCTCTCTCTCTCTCTCTCTCCCCACCCCTGACCAATGAGTATGTGTGTATCTTGTAATTTTTGGTTTATTGCTGAACATTGTGTTTAAAATAATATAGACTGAGGTAAACAGTCTTTATCCTGGAAAATAGGCATGCCTTTTATTTTCTCATGCCATTCATATGCATGTCATGTTGGGAAGGTTTAGTCAGTCTAATCAGTTTTTGAGCTTGGCTTGTGTTTTGTTATTGCCATGGTAACCTTCATTCCAGCAATAACTTCCCATTCCACTGGCATTTCACTGTCGATACCTTGTGCTTAATTGGATTTTGTCGTAGGAGGATTTTCCCCTGTGTTCTTGCTCTATTCTCAATTTTTAACAGTCCTTGTATGCTTATGCCATTTAGGAGTATCTCTTTATACTATTGTTCTGTCTTAATTATTATTTTGCACATTGTTCAAGGTGTGATGGGTAAAGTGGGTAGTTTTCTATTATCTTGACCCAGCCTCACACTTACGTAAGTCCTGGGTGTCTAGACCTTGAGAATGGAGCTCTCTCAGTGTTCCTGCCCATCCTCATGGTAGCCAAATGTTTCCCTTATTTCTGTAGGAGGGTGGGGGAGCTGGGTGGGAGAGAATACTGTTATTTCCCCCTGTGCATTGTATCATCTCAAAATCCTGGGTCCTAGCAGTGTTTTTTCCTCTCTCTCAAGGAATATAGATTTTGTTTTCATTCCTCTTTTGGTTCCAATTTACCCCTGCCTATTTCTATTGGCAGGGGTTTTCTTAGCACTTCTGCAGTAGTACACTGCTATTGCTTATTACTCAGTACAAACCTTCTGGTTGGAACAGGCAGCTTTTGCTTCTATTCCTTCCTCCTTTCCTTTTCCTGGGACTGGAAGTAGTTGAGTTTTTAACTCCTCCTCCAGAAGCAAACTACTTTGCTTTTACCTTCTCCCACAGGCAGTAGTTCTTTGCCAGGGTGCTAGGAGAAGAAGGAGTTACCCGCCCCTTTTCTGGGATCAGAAAAAGGGGGACAACCAGTATTCATTTGAGAGAAATATGAAGATGCACCATTGAGGGTGTTCACTTAGTTTTCCTCCCCTTCCCTAAATACTTTCTGTGGGCACAAGTAGGGCCTGTAAATTTAAAAAATATTTAGAAAGTACAGACTTCACACATATCTGAAGTCCTGGGGATTCTACTCTATCATATTAACTTTACACTTGGCCTTTTAAAACGTGTTAAAAATTTTGGCTATTTTCTCCTTACTGGCTGTAATTGACAGTCACCTCTTTCTTTCATAATCTTCCAAAGGTGAAATGGTTTATTTGACTAATCTCTTTTTGGAGGGAGTTTCTCAGCCTTTGAAAATAAGATTCTGTGATTAGAAGCCTCGTCTCTTTATTTTTTATTTTTATTTTTTTTTGAGACGGAGTCTCACTCTGTCACCCAGGCTGGAATGCAGTGGCATGATCTCGGCTCACTGCAAGCTCCGCCTTCCAGGTTCATGCCATTCTCCTGCCTCAGCCTCCCAAGTAGCTGGGACTACAGGTGCCCGCCACCACGCCCAGCTACTTTTTTGTATTTTTAGTAGAGGCAGGGTTTCACCGTGTTAGCCAGGATGGTCCCGATCTCCTGACCTCGTGATCTGCCTGCCTTGGCCTCTCAAAGTGCTGGGAATACAGGCGTGAGCCACTGCGCCCAGCCGTCTCTTTAAAAGAGTAATGTTTTCATAGATTTTGTTGTTATTTTTGTTGGTAGAGTAAAATGACATTCTCTTGCAGCTTTCTACATTTTTAGCAAAAAGGGAGACAACCAGTATCATTTTATATGAGAAATATGAGACTTGGAGAGGCCAAGTAACTTGCCGTGTATCGTAATCTATTAAATGTTACGGCCAATATTTAAGCTCAGATTTTTCTGAAATAAAAGCCTATTGTCTTAAACATCACACTGTAATATATCTTGTGTAATCTTCTCATCAAAAGTACGTATTTGAGGTGTCTAATTAATTCTAGTCAGACCCAACTGTTTTCCTTTTTATTCCAAATGAGCACTGGAAGCAATGTTAAAACTATTCAACGAGTCAATATATTTTCTATCCTAAGTGCATCTAGAGTACAAGATTTTTTTTTTTCTTCAGGTGAGTATGCCTAGAAAATCTAAGCCCTTCTCTGATACCTCAGCCATTTTGGAAAGTAAATGCTCAGCACTTCTGCCATTATTAAATAGGCTTGGATAACTCTAAAAATTTCTACTAGCACTGCCTTGTAAAAATGCACAGGCAAGCCCAATGAGGACATCATGTGATCACAGGAGCTTGAGCTTAAAAAGAGAGGACAACTTTAGGGAAGAAGAATTCTGCATCAAGTTGGGGAAGGCAATGGAGAGGCAACTCGGAACAGATGGCACAACAGAAAGTAGCTTAGTAGGAACTGATATTGTTACCAGAGAAAGTATCAAAATCAAAGGCAGAGGCAAAGATAGAAGCTAGAGCACAGAGAATGGTCAAGAAAGGAGGACAGAATTAGGCTTTTGAAAGAGGTGGAAAAGTGGTTAGGAAGAGATCTACAAATATAAAATATATCCTTCTAGTCACCTGCAGAAGCCATCCTGGTAGTTAGGAACCTGTGAGAGTCTGATATGCAGCCAGATGGCCCTCACACCTTGGCCAGACATGTATTTATACAGTAAATTCTATCTCATAAACCACTTTCTCATGTTATCTTATTTGAAATGCATGGCAATCCTATGTAGCAGGGACAGAAGGTATTGTTAGTTCCATTTACCAGGTGAAAACCCTGAAACAGAATGTTCATAATTCATCAGATTTTCCAACCATACCTGCACTCATAGATCATGACATAAACAACAATGCTATTTTTTCATCAGTCTGATCATGCATATTTGTGTGTGTTTATTTACTTCCAAGGTGTCTACAGAGTTGCACACACTCTCTGAATGTTGCTAAGATATATAAATGTGGTTACTGTTAAAAATCACAAGAAATCCATTAATGATTCATTCCATTTAACAAATTACAATATGATAAAAGGGAAGAAATTTAAAAGGGAAGAATTCTCTCCAAAGTTCAAGCAACAAATTTTCATGTGATGTTGGGAAAAGCAAAATGTTTTACAGCTTTTAGAGGCATAAATCAAAACCTTCCCACTAACACTTACAACCATTTTGAGGTTTTATTAAAGAAAAAAAATATCTGAAAATTCATGACTTGGATGATGAATAGGACTAGAAAGAAAGAGGAAAGGCCTGCATGTGGTAAGTGGAAGGCATTGATGAATATTTGGAACATTCTTTTCTTAAGCCCCTCTATAAAGTATTTTCCTACATCATCTTTAAACTGCACAGATGGGTTCATGAATCTGGCTTCCTCACTATAGCAGGACATTCTTAAAGGCAGGGTCTGGACGGATTCACTTTTTATATCCTAAGTGCCCAGCAGAGTTCCTAAATGCAGTAAATGTTCAATAATATTTGGTGGATAAAAGAATGGTGCCATCACAAAACACACATATACACACAAGTACATATACTCACATAATAGTAGCACCCATACCATTCCATAAATGTATACAGTTTTATATATACCTAATCCATATGTATGTATATGCACACATATTTTCATCTATATAATGGGCTATATATCATTATAAAAATACAGAATCATATAGGTGTTGTTGCTATGTGAGTATGTGTATACTCATATAAAAGTATGTTTCATACACGCGTGTGTATATGTATACATATATGTATATAGTCATTTTATCTTTGAATTTTTCACATTATATTTTAATCTCAAATAAGCTTTAGTGAAAGTGAGTTATAACAATGAGAATAACTGATTTTAGTCTTGACTAATGAGAATCTCAATTAAAAATGTAAGTCTGAAGCATAGCATGTCAAATATACATATGTTTATATAATATAAATTATTTTGGAGGTCCCCGATACTTTTCATTACCTGATCACAATTACAGGTAATTGAAAGTTATTAGAAACTAAGCATAAAGCTGTGCACTCCCGACACCATAAGACCTCCAACCCACTGGTCAGCTAAAACCACTTTCTGATATACTCTGCACAATGACCCTGGTGGCTGTCAGCTCTTTCCTGCTTTCCTGCTTCCCTGGAACCTGACAGGACCCCAGTGATGATTTACCTATGTCATGTTATGTAGTCCACAGCTTGACTGAGGTCTTGTTCTGATTTACAGCGGAGTGTTGAACAAAGTCTGTCTGGAATAAACTGAATGCATTCAGGAAAATTTCCTTCTCGTTCATTCATTTATTTCCTCATTCTCAAACATTGAGCATCTGCAATGTTACAGATACTGCACTAAACATTGGGGTCACAAAAGTGAATGAAGCACAATCCTTGTCTAACTGCTGCTGAGGTTTCCACAGTGACATTTTCTTAAACCCCAACTTATACAGGGTGTTTTCAGAGTGGGATTGATTGTACATGTTCCAAACCCAAGTGATTTTGTTTAATAATTTTGACCATCAAAAATCCAGCTTGAAAAATGAACCAGAATACAAATATACAACATTTAATGACAGAGAAAAAATAAAGGCATACAGTTTTTTAAAGAAATATTTCATCCTTTGAAGAATACTGAGAAATCTGAGTTCAAAGGTGATGTGAGCATGCTTCAATCATGACTATACACAACAGAATCTGTACTCAGCTCAGTATTGGCTAGAGAAGTTCTCTTTCCCTCATTTAAGCCAAGACCAGAACTCCAAGGCTGAGGCTTGACATAGGTGTACTGTAAATGAAGTGTTAATGAGATGGAAATTCTCCAAGTTGCTTTTGAGTCTCACTCTATATCAATGTAGACCTGCCTAAAATATGTAAGAGCTGAGAATCCTTTTGAAATGATTCCAAACTCTTGAGTCTGAAAACTGAGCTGGGAATTCCTTTGTAACAGTTTTGTGGGTTATTTCGGCACTTTGGTTTATAATACTAGCTGGACCCCATCTGAAGTTCTAAAGCCCATAAAATAAGAATGAATGGACAATGTAAATAAGCCAAATTTGAGAAACTTCAGACCCTGCTTGGCTGAATGTTTCTGTTAATCTACCTTGTCTGTGCTGGTAGAACTGCCATTTTGCTATAACTCCTTTGTAAATAAGAAACTTTTCTTCTCATCAGGCAGGGGATCTTTCTCTTCAAAGGCTGTGATGTATTATACTATATTGAAATTAAATTGTTTGGATATGTTTTGCTGAATACTGATAAAACTATGATATAAAGCGTATTATCCTTAATCAAAGGTTACTTTTATTTGCAGATTTTAAAGGCAACAAAAATTTTTATTTGACAGGTTCTAATAGTTCTAGTTTGGCATACCTGCACATTTTTATTGTATCCTGGGAACAGGCATAAATCAACTGATTTCCCACAGACAAATAAAAGTGGTGGAGTAATATAGTTCCTGGAATTTAACACTTCACGGTCAGGAGGTCACATATGTTAAGTTGCTTATTTACACGCCTCTTAAAGATTAAGTCTGTGGGCAAGAGACATGAAGCAATGTGACTTACTATATCAATGAAGAATGTATTGTTCTTTTTCTTCGGGTAGATAAAATTAACAGTGTTGGAACAGCAGATCACACAAGAATGTCATCAGAAACATCAGCCATTTTTTCAAATGTGCTTGCTTGATGATTCTCTTTGTTATTACAATCATCAGTTTTAAACAATGAGATTTATTAAACATTTTTTTAAGTGGGGAAGAGAGAGTTAGTGTGTACCAATCATTGACATATTAGCTGGCATCTCGAAGCCTAAACTTGCAGTTAGGCCAATGTAGCCAGAATGGAGGTGAGGCAGCAACCCAGGTGCCTCCTCCGGCCCTCACTTTTGCTGCCAAAACTGATCTTACAGCCCACATATTACAGATGGTGACCGTAAACTGGAGAGATAGCCATTTGACCCACATTTAACTATGATACAAGATAAGCGATAGTTATTTTCACAGCTTTCCATATAAAGGATTTTGATGAGAACAAAGTTACATATAAACAAAGTTCATTTACGCAACACAACTGTATTGAGATCCCAGCATGTAACTAGTACTAAACACTTCTTATAAATTATTCCCTTTTCACATGCTCACCCATTTAAAATTTGACAGCATTCTTCAGATCAGTATATTAAGGCTTAGAAAAGTTTTGACTTGCTAAAGACACATAGTTAGAAATTAAATGAGTCAAGATTTGAATCCATATCTCCCTGCTCAGCATCTACACTTTTCTTCGCTGGAGAGTACATTAGAAGCCTAAGCTGATCATATTCCATTAAACCTCAAGTCATTTTGAGCCCAAGGCTTCAGTTTCTTCCTTTAGAAATATATCTCCCTTCAAATATACCTGGAATTTATAGGTGAAACACTGGCAAATTAATAAAGGAAATCACATCTAAGAAAGGCAGGCCAAGAGTGCTGGTAGGAACCGTAGAAGCAAGAAAACCCCTGCAGCTTTATCACAGTCCACATGCAGTTACTTATTGCAGCATTTAAAGCCTTAAACCCTTGTCCCTTACCTGGTGGCCTCACTGGATCCAGCAACAAGGAAGGAGGCTGGGCATGGTGGCTCACGGCTGCAATCCCAGCACTTTGGGAGGCCGAGGTAGGCGGATCATCTGAGGTCAGGAGTTCAAGACCAGCCTGGCCAACATGGTGAAACTCCATCTCTACTAAAAATACAAAAATTAGCTGGGCATGGTGGCACATGGCTGTAATTCCAGCTACTTGGGAGGCTGAGGCAGGAGAATCACTTGAACCCGGGTGGCACAGGTTGCAGTGAGCTGCGATCACACCATGGCACTCCAGACTGGGCAATAAAATGAGACTTCATCTCAAAAAAACAGCAACAAAAAAAAGCCAGCATGGTACGCCTGTAATCCCAGCACTTTGGGAGGCCTAGGCAGGCGGATCAGCTGAGGTCAGCAGTTCGAGACCAGCCTGGCCAACATGGCGAAACCCTGTCTCTACTAATGATACAAAAATTAGCCGAGCATGGTGGTGGCACGTGCCCATCATCCCAGCTACTGGGTTGGGAGGCTGAGATAGGAGAATCGCTTGAACCGAGGAGGCAGAGGTTGCAGTGAGCCGAGATCACGCCAAGGAAGGAGGTAGAAGGAAGGGTTTTCTTCCTTCCATATTAAGGAGGCCAACTGCATTGCCAGGACTCTCCTGGAGGCAAACTGAAAAATGAAGCTCTTTCTGTTTTTCTATGCAAATCGCAATGCTGAACTTTCTGAGACCTGGCATAATGCAGTCACATGTCTTGTTTTTGCATTCAGAATATTGTCTTTTCATAGTCTTTCAGAATATGTTAAGGAGGTTTCACTATATATCACAAATCATGGTTTAAATTTCAAAGCATTAGATAAAAATGACCTTACACTGCATTTGTAGATGTCACTCTCAAGCCATCCCAATGTAGTTTCCATGGGAACTAATGTACATCAAAGAAGAAAGAGAGAGAAAGAGAGACTGTAAGATCAAATTTTTAGTTCCTGCCTCCTCTTTTTTTGGGAAGACCAAAATGAGCCCCATGTTAAATGCTGTTGAAATTAGATACAGAATCTTATCTTCTACGTGAATGCAGCTTTTTGTTTTTTTCCTCCTAAGAAGGAGTACTACCTATATGGTCATGCACAATTTTTCCATAGAGTCCATCCATATAATTTATAAGTTCTATTTACAGCCTCAGAAGGCACATGTGCTTATTTAGGAAGAGAGTCAACATCATCCATTATTACTTTGTTTTCAAGTTGCTTTCAGAATTATTATTATTATTACAGAGATTTACAACTTGTTGAGAATCCACTCTATGGCAATCATGAGTGAAAGTGGTTCATGAATGAAAGTTTATAGTCACATAAGAACACATTCCTAGATTGTCCTCTATTGGTGTAGTGTCTTTCATAGTCATATGCCAGACAGTGTAACATGAGTAGCTGTTATTAGCTTCCCATCCAAAAAGAACAGTTACCAAACAGTATTGTTAAAAAGAGCATGTTACAGCTATTATTCTTTTTTCTTTTTTTTGAGACAGAGTCTTGCTCTGTCGCCCAGGCTACAGTGCGGTGGTGCCACCTCGGCTCACTGCAAGCTCCGCCTCCCGGGTTCAAGCGATTCTCCTGCCTCAGCCTCCTGAGTAGCTGGGACTACAGTCACGTGCCACCAGGCCTGGCTAATTTTTTGTATTTTTAGTAGAAATGGGGTTTCACAGAATTAGTCAGGATGCTCTCAATCTCCTGATCTTATGATCCACCCACCGCAGCCTTCCAAAGTGCTGGGATTACAGGAGTGAGCCACCGCGCCCAGCACAGCTATTATTCTTAAATCCAATGCCACATATCAAGGCCAACTTTATCTACCTGTGTCTCATAGGATTCACCTGGGTTATAAAATAAATTCAATACTTTAATCGGGGGGTGGTTGGAGAGAGACAATGATATATTATATTCTCAATTATAATTGAGAATGGCGATATAAAATGTATTTGTAGCCTGTAGATAATTAACTAGAAAAACAGGTGATCATGTGGTTTAAAATAACAATTAATTTAAGAACTTAAAATAAATGTTTTTAAAAAGATATATAATAGTATTATATGTCTTAATAATTATATTTATTAAATATAATAAATATTACTATTATACTATATTTACAATATTATATACTATTATATTTATATTTATAAATATGTTATATAATAGTTATATTTATATTATATATTTATATTTATATAATAATATATAAATATAAATATAATAACTATATTATAAATATAATAGTTATAAAGACAATATGACAAATAAATATTAACCATTTAATTTATATCAGTCACTACCCTAAGGATTGTTCTTTTATCTAATACATTTTATTCTAATAACTCTGTTAATTAGGAATTCATGTTCCCATCTAACAGATTAAGACATTGAAGGACAAGAAGGTCAAATAAAGGGCTGAAAAAAATCTCGTAACTTCTAAGTGAACCAGGCAGTTTCCAAAACCTGCCTTTTAGCTATTAAGCTATAAATATTTGAAAAAAGTATTTACATTGACAAATAACTATGAAGTTTTTAGAACTTATGAAGATCATGATGAAGAAAAAACTATTTGTAATATTATCAAATTGCTTATTCCTTTCTGAAGTCATTTATTCAATATCATTTATTTGCAGATAATAGGTACCAGGCATTGAGAAATTCAGAATAAATAAGAAAATGGAATAAACAAAGGGTTATAAAAAAATCTAGGATGGGTTATTCATTTTAAAAGAGAATGGGGCTTAGGTGAAAAAAAGCAAAAATATACACAAGGACTTGAACATTCTAACATAATGAGCAAGTCATACCCTGCCAGATGCACGAGAGTGGATGACAGGATGTGCTGGAAAGGAACATGGGAAGTACCTAAAATGAAAAGGACCTGAAATGCAATTCTAAAGATTTCGTCTAAAAGAAATGGCAAGTTGGCAGATAATTTTTAAATTCAAGTGTAAATAATCTGATAAGTATTTTAGAAAGCTGACTGGATGGTATAAAGAGGGTGCATTAGAGAAGGAAAATATGGGTGGCAGGGAGATCTATGAGGGTTTTGTGATGGGTTGAATGGTGTCCTCCCAGGAGATATGTTGAAGCCCTATTTTTGGTACCTGTGAATATGACTTCATTTGGAAATAGGATCTTTGCAGATGAAATCTAGTTAAGATGGGTTCATTAAGGTGGGCCCTAATTCAATATGACTGTTTTCCTTATAAAAAAAGGAAAAGACGGAGAAACGGGGAGAAGAATGCCACATAACAATGAAGGTAGAGAATGGGGTTACACAGCTACAGACCAGAGAACATGAAGGACTGTCACCAACACCACTGCTAAGAGAAGGGCACAGAACAGGTTCTCCCGCAGAGCCTTTAGAGGAAGCAAGACCCTGTCAACAGCTTTTCTGAGTTCTAGCCTTCAGAACTGTGAGAGAATAAATTTCAGCTTATGGTACTTTTTATATGACAGCCCAAGGAAACTAACACAAGTATTGGTGGAACACTTCTTCAACAAATAGCACTTGAATTAAGGCAGTGGCAGTAAAAATGGAGAGGAGGAGGTATGTGGTAGACCAGGGATATATTTGCTAAAGGACAAACGAAGTAATGAGACTTAGAAACAGAACGATGGAGCCACAAAGAATGCCTGAAATGGTAATAGGATACATGCTGGAATGTTGATGGGCCCCATTTCCACAAGCCTCCAAATCTGCTTCTAGATCCCATTCAAGCAAGGGAGGATTTGTTAAGAAGAAAGGCCCTTTGAGAGCACCAGTCCCTCCACCAGCCAGTCTAGTCCTAAGAGCTCTGAAGGCCAACCTTGGAGGTGGTTCAGGAGGGAAAATGCAGGACCCAGGATTTCAGTTGCCAAGCCAGAGAGCAGGGGACCCAGGAAAGAATATTGGCATTCATTTGATTTTTCCATCTTCTGATATAACCTTCAAATGTTAATAGTGTGTCGAAGAATTTATTGGAAATGAGAAACAAGAAAACAGTGAGTCTAACCTAGTCATTCTAGAATTGGGAGGTAATAGAAAAGAGAGAAATGGGAAAGTTGCTCAAATGCAAGTCCAGTGAATCAGAGAGAAAAGGCTCAAAGCAGCAGAACAAAGCTTCAATAAAGAGATATTGTGACTTGGAGAGATGGCCTTTTGTCCTTTGTTCTATTACCAGTCAGAGGATGGGGAGCACACCCGAGCCTGAGACAACAGCTCTGCTAAGTGCCCTTGAGAGGGCACGGTGGGGTCAGCACCAAAGTCAGACCACTAAAGAGAAAAAGAGAGAAAGACAGGATTGCAGAGGAGAAATGAGAATGGCAGAAAAAATAATTTTTTAAGCCAAAAGGAATCAGAGAAGAGCAGAAGTGCCTCTAGGATAAAGCGTAGCAGGCAGTTAGGGAAAAAGGGCTGTTAACTACCTTGAAGCTCTGACTACATTAGAAAGCCTCGCAAGACAGTCGTTGCTTGCACGGGCAGGTAGAGAACTTTTCCTGTCCATTGTTCTTCTGAATTATAAATCACTGACCTCTTTATGATTTCTAAAGGGAAAATGACTTCAAGCTTCTTAGAGTTCCCCTAAGGCATTCTCTATATTCAATATAATATGGGAAGCCCTGGGTTTGTCTTTGTATGTTTCATCTGCAGTGACCTGAAATCTTCATAACCCTCTTCCTTTCTCCACTTATCAACTAAGGGGTGGTTGGCAATAAGGATGGGTGGGAGAGAAAAAAAAACAGAATTTGAGGAGGAGAGCATTTAAACCATCAGACTGTGTGTTCTGTGACATCAAAGACTGGCAACATTCTAAAGGTAAATGTAACTATGCATCCCTTTGGGATTTTCAGATATCTTGTACAATCTATTTTATTCCTCTAAACATGGAGACTATAAAGCTGTGTGGAAATCAATAGTTTAATTCATTCATTCAACAAACAGGTGGTGAGTGCTCATCATAACAACCACATCATAATAGCTAACATGTTGAATGATTATCACACATCAACTACTATGCTAAGTGCTTTGCATGGTTTATGTCATTTAAGTATCACAAATAATACTATGAGATAGGTGCTCTTGTTATGTCCATTTGACAGATGAAGAAACTGAAGCCCAAGTCCCAGCCCTAAGATGAGGCAGAGCTATGTTAGAATTCAGGTAATATCACTCAGGAGGCCATGTATTAAACCTCTTTATAACGTATCCCTGTATCATATCTGCATTAGGCATAGAAGATTCAAGGGTTATAGGGTTTCAGAGAAGGGAAGGGCTGAAGGGAGTTAATTAGGACAGGCTTTAGGCAAAAGGTGATACATGACGTTAGCTTTGAAGAAGAGGCAGATTTGAGTCAGTAGAGCGTGAAATCAAAGGCTCCCAGGTAAGGAATGGGAAAGCATGTGAGTGTAGTCCAACGTCAACATAAGACAAAAGGCATTGTAATAATGAGGGGACAATTTCGACCAGAATGGTGGCCCTATGAGCAGTAAAAGAAGTCCGAGAAGATTGAGTTAGCCATTGGAGAGAAGTGTCTGACATGTTGGTGTTGGAAAATAGAAAATCTTGGTGGTTTTCTTAGTCTAAGCAGTGTTGAAGATAACAGCAGTGGTACACAGGATGAACTACACCTAATAGAAAGCCTGGCACCCAAGGATTTCAGCTAGGGTTTGTAGAGAGATAGAATTATGTGTTCTAAAGGAAAAGTGATAGGACTTGTTCTCTGTGACATATTGAAATAAAGTATATGAACTGATTATACCAACAATAACTAACTTTATTGAGCATATACTGTGTCCTATAGTGGTTTACATGTAATCATAGATTAATTATCATAATAGCACCACGATTTAGAATTAAACGAAGGCCCGTTCTAATCCTAGGATTTCTTTCGTTATCTATTGAAGATAATGAAAACAGTAATTCTTTAAATAATGTTGTGTTATGGGGGTATTATGATACCATTGACAGGAGTGAAATAGTTTGGAAGTTTAGGAGCAGAAAAGGACAATTTTGACTGAAGGCAAGGAAACCAATCAGGGGCAGTGTAACTCATTAGGTCATAATAATAACTATTGTTATTATTATTTATTTTGATTCGACTGTGAATCAAGATGTCCTGCAGATACCAAAATCAGTGGCTGCTCAAGTCCCTGATATAAAGTAGCCCGCCTTGACTACCCTTCTCTTTATAATTATAATTATTATTACAGCTAATTACTGCATGCTTATTATGTACCAATGTTCTAAACATTTCACATACCATAGCTCAGTTAAGATAGTAATAATTACAGTGTTCACTATTAAAATAATAAGAGTTTATATTTACAGTGCTGATAGTGTTCCAGGCACTGATATGTTTTTAAATAGATTAACTCATTTAATCATCACAAAACCCACATGAAGTAGATACTAATATTCTACCTTCACTTTACAGATGAGGACACTCTGGTCTAGAGAATTTAAGTAACTTAACCAAGATCACAAAACTAATGATTGGCAGTGTCAGGATTGAGCCCAGATTCTCTGGCTGTAGATTCTATTCTCTTAACAACTGCTCTACAAAATCATGAGCTTTGGGGTCAGGCAGGTCTGGGTTGCAATCCCAACCTTGTTAACTTACTACTAGTGAGAACTTCGGTATGCTCCTTTTTTGTGTCTAAGTCTCAGTTTTCCCATAAGCAAATTTCAAGATAAGATAACAATAGTACTTTTCATGCAATAATTCCTATGAGATTAAGCTCTCCTACCCTTCTCTGTACTTATCACATTGCTTCAAAACAGGAAGTCTTCGGTGTGTGTTTTACTAATGAATGAATAAATGAATAAAGCACTTATCATCCATGCTGCACAATTAACATTTTGTTGTATGCTACTTTATATTATTTAACTTTTCTCTGCATGTACACTTCTTGTCAATCCAGCTAGATTATATGCATCCTAGGACTAAACCACATGCTTTTTACTTTAATATGTACCCAGTTCTCTGAACAGTGATGTGCACATAGAAAGCTTCTCAATAACGATGACTCCCATGAATGAAGCATTTACTATGGCCTAGACATTGTGTTAAGTATTTAGTCTTCATAGCAACCCTAGATAGTAAGTACTAATGTTAATTCCAATTTACAGAATAGGAAACTATGCCTTAGTGAGCTAAAGTGATTTTCCAATGGCCACACCATTGGTCCATACAGAGTCAGATTAGATTGAGCTCTACTTATCTGCAGAAGTCCTGGGCTTGACCACCATGCTGTACTAGCTTGGTGTTAAAGCCCCGATTGATGGGTAATTTGACAAGAAGTCAGAGCCCATTATCACCTGCCTTTGGAAGGGAATTTCCTGCATCTGAAGCTCTTGTCTATTTGGCCCACTTGGCTCAACCACCTAGTTCACGGCTTTTCTGTAGATTTCTCCTCTTAGCACTCCCTCAACAGGCACAAACCACATATCCAAGTCAGGGATGCCATAAACAGTGGCTGCTGCTGTGGCTGGCCCACAGAGCATGGAAGCAGGAATACTCATGAGCCGCCTCTGTCATCTCAGTATATTATGGCTTCAGCATTCTCTTTGCTTAACAACCTCTGGCTGATCCACTGTGAAAATTGTGTGCAATAGTCTTCAAAATTTCTAATTTCATACCGGTGGTGAAGTAGCCTTGTGGCTGGTCAAAGAGAACACCTTTAAAGCTGACAGTGGAAAAAGCCTTGGCTCCTAACCTTCTGCAAAACTGTTTTTACTACTTCCTGCAAGCTGTTATTGGTGTCTTTATTTAGGCTGTATTTCTTCATTTCAGCGTCTATGTTTAGCAGTTATATAAAGGAGCGAAATGGGTTTAATGGCCTCAAGTGGCAAAGCAGTGACATGTGGTCCTTCTTGGAGCAACAAAAGGTCAAAAGACTGTGGAGGAGACTTCTTGTTTCCTGGTGACTAGGAGTCAAATTTTTTTTATCAGTCTGAGTCAAGGGGAAATGATGTTCCTTTGAAAGTCTCATCTTGTAGGTAGAGTGTAACAGAGTAGGGAGGTAGGGAAGGTTCCTTAAAGGGCCATGCAGATAATCTCATCTGTTGATTTGTCCTATTGTGGGTGACACAGACTCACATTCCCTTTCTGGAGAAGGGAGGGTTTTAATTAAAACTAAATAGATATCCACTGGGTCTGGGCATGTACATAATCTAGAAACTGTGGGCTTCTCAAGGCCTCTGCATTCAGCAACTCAAGAAGTCCTATGGGTACCAATTGATCCATCCTGGAATCACTCTCCTCTGCTTGCATGGGACTTGCCTTTCTGCCCTCCTTCCTTAGCACTCCCACCAGGCTAGGTATGAGCCCCGAGTAAGGAGCCCCGGTCTGATTCCAGCTTCTTTCTCTTATTGACTCTGTGATTTCAATAAGATACTTGACTTCACAAGTTCTATGTCTTCATCTGAAGACGGAGATTATAATGAAAATACAAACCTTATGGATTTATTGTGCAGAGTAAAAGGACAAAGTATACAAAATGCTTTGGATAATTGTTATCTAACATCAAAATTTAGGTTCACATACCTGATGCACAGTAAGCCAAACACTGACACATCAGCATAAATGTTTATTCAATTTGGCCAAAGTGAGAGGGCAGGAAAGACAGTCTCTAAAGTCTAACCTTCCTTTACACATAATTGGGGGCTTCTATGAGTCAGGTAGGTATACAGGAAATGGGATACCCCAAAGACCAAAGCTGTTTATGTCTCTTGGCCTGATCAAACTTCTGGATGCCATCAAGGTTTGTGTGACCTAAGATTCATTTTTCTTCTCCAAAAAAAATACAGTTTATCAATCTTGCAGGCCAGGGGTATAAGGATATGAAGTTACTAGTGACTACCTTCTACCAAAATGACTATGTGCAAGCAAGCACGCATGGAGGCAGAAAAAGGCAAGGAAAAGAGAAAACTAAGTAAAACAAACATCTTATGATTCTTATAATAAAGACTCAGTTACACAATAACATTGTGCACACTAAAATCCCAATGAATGGGTGCTGTTAGTATAGGCAGCTGGCATATTTTTCCCTAGACCAATCAGTCTTGTATTTCTGTTTCAAGGCAGCCTGCACAGATTCTCCGAAGCAATTCTCAGCTTATTCATAGTAGAATCAAAATAATCAGGTGAAAGAAAAATTTATTCATAAATTCTTAATCAAAGCTTCCGCCGTACCCACCCTGAAGCAGTATGAGCACTAAAACCATCCTATTTCTTTTTATTATACTTTAAGTTCTAGGGTACATGTGCACAACGTGCAGGTTTGTTACATATGTATACATGTGCCATGTTGGTGTGCTGCACCCATTAACTCGTCATTTACATTAGGTATATCTCCTAATGCTATCCCTCCCCCCTCCCCCCACCCCATGACAGGCCCCGGTGTGTGATGTTCCCCTTCCTGTGTCCAAGTGTTCTCATTGTTTAATTCTCACCTATAAGTGAGAACATGCGGTGTTTGGTTTTTTGTCCCTGTGATAGTTTGCTGAGAATGATGGTAAAACCATCTTATTTTTACCATCTATTAAATGGGACAAAAACTTCAATACTTCTACAGTTGTTGTATACAATTAAATAATCTTCTAAATCCGATTGTCCCTCCTTCTCTTCTTCTCCTTTGATAAACAACACACCTCTCTGCATAGAGCAACAGAACTTCCTTTTGATTCTGGCCCACAACTTCCTATGTACACCTCGTTTGTAAAGAAGCTTATCTAAAGTCAACCAGCAAATGATGGGCCCTCCAACTCTGATAGCCTGTCACCAGCCCTAAGCTGCCAGGCTTCCTTTGAGTCTCTGTCATTGGTGAGATATAGGGACGTGTGACCATTTTGCCATGGCTCTATGTTGCTGAACCAGGTGGGGGTGTGAGTGGCAGTGGGGCAAGTGGATCCTTTTGATCATTAGTTATTTTTGAGTATTGACTTTAATTTATAAAATTTCCCATCTTAATCTCTGCCCTAGTCTCTAAGCAGATCCCAGGTCATTGAGGAGAGTTCAGGTATGCCAGCATGTTTTGGTGTTTTTCCAATGCCAAAATAATATTTTGCCCCCTGAATTCACAAGTGTTTTAGATGGTCATCCAGTTTTTGTATTGACCCCTCCTAAAGAGGTAACAGTTATCCCTTGGTATCAATCAAGGCATGGTTCCAGGACCTCCCTTGGATACCAAAATCCATGGTTGCTCAAGTCCCCAACATAAAAAAGGTGTAGTATTTGCATATAACCTACAAACCTGTGTGTATATTTGCATATAACCTGTATGTAGGTTCTCCCCTTTCCTTTAAAGCATCTCTAGATTACTTTTAATACCTAATACAATGTAATTTCCATGTAAATATCTGTTACACTGTATTGTTTATGGAATAATGATAAGAAACAAGAAGTCTATACATGTTCATATAGATGCGAAATTTTTGAATATTTTCAAGCCATGGTTGTTTGAACCTGTCATGTGGAACCAAGGGATACAGAGGGCTGACTATATTTAAAAAAATGAAAGAATATTCTTTGACCACAGCAGGGGGCTACTGGCATTTGGGGATGGGGACAAAAATGTTAAATACTTTGCAATAAGAACATTAACACACAGTGAAAATTGTCATGTCAATGCTCCCTTCGTTGGGAAAACTGCAATTAGTTATACCTTTTCTCTCTCCTATTAGAGAAATCAACCAAGCCAAGCCTGAGTATCTCAGAATCAGCATCCTTCAAACTCAAATTTGAGTCTTGACTGCTCAACATCTATAAGCGTTAAGCACTTACTTTGTCATTCAATACTCATTTAATCTCCTAAAAGAATTGCAAGCTTCTTATTATTGCCCCTACTAGTGGAAAAAATAAAGCCAGAGAAAGCAAAGATTCTAACACTGAGCCCAGCACAAGTCTACCACCTTATGCTGTTTCTATGACATTAACTTTATAGCATGATCTGGATTGCTAAAAATGTTCAAGTTTGGGTCTTATAACAATAGAAAGAGAACTATATAAAACTACAGTAAGACTAAAAGTAACTAAAACATATTATAAAAATAAAAAACTGGAGTACCTCGATTATATACAAAAGCGCCTTTGAAAAATGTCTAGGTGAATTTTTGTCTATGTACCTATGTTGACATCACAAAATAACAACTTTCAATTCAAAACTCATTCCTTCTATATATTTTTCTCATATCTATTTTAATTAAAAGGCTTAACTTGAATATTAATCTTTCATGTCCTCCTTATCTATTTGACCCTCTGGAATACTGCTGAGTAATGTGGCATTCACAAGAATATTACTGTGTCCACTTATGTGATTTAAAATGTATTCTCAATAGCCGAAGTGTCCTCCTGACTCTTTGAAATTCAGCCATCCTGTGTTTCAGATGGCCTTTCACTTGGGCTTTTAAACCACTTTACAGACATCTCTTTATTCTCCTTTATTTTATAAATTGGGAAATAGATCAAATAGAAGTTAAGTGGCATACAGAGGTCAATGGCAGATTACTGGAAGACCCAGGGAAAGGTATCACCCTTGACTCACCTAGAGTTATCCCTCAGATAATTTAACATTTCTTCAGAAGACTGAGGTAGCCTCTGAATGTAGGAGGCAGACTAAAAGATTATTTTTTTTCATGAGGCTGCCTCAAGCAGATTCACAATTAATTGTGATTCAACTGGCATCTCCTTTCTTGCTGCCACAAAATATCTATATTGAAATCAGGTTGACTGTTCATCTTTTCTTTCTGTTACATCTGCTAGGGATCAATAGAGATAAAAATATTTGGAGCTTTGTGTTCAATCTAAGTTCCTGCATGCAGTTGCTTGATATAATGATTTTGTAAGGAAGCAAGTAACCAAAGTATTTTTGCAGTGTTTTTGATAAAGGACTGCTCTTTGCTGGTGTCCTCCTCTCCACTACTAATTGACAAAACATCTTGAGGAAAATATCCATATGTTTAAATTATCCTTAAAAGCTCTATTGGCATTAAAAAAAGACCTCCGTTTTGATAAAGATTCCGATAACTATTTGGCTTTTGCAAGTCCAGCTTTATGACTAGAAATTTCTAGATCAAGAGTCTGCAAACGATGGTCTAGAACCAAATCCAACTGCTGTCTGTTTTTGTAAGTAAGGTTTTATTCAAATACAGTCTTGCTTGCTCATTTAAATATTGTCTAGGCTGCTTTCATGCTACAATGGCATAGTCGAATAGCTGGGATAGAGACAATATGGCCCGCAAAGTCTAAAATATTTACAACTTCACTATTTACATAAAAATTTGTCAACAACTGTTCTACATTAAACAATATATCAGCCCTGGCAGATGTAACTGGTTACCTTGAGTATCTCATAGCATGTATGCAGTTTAATTTTCAAGTTCCCAAACAAAACTTTCCAAAAGCCATTTCTTAAGACCACACACTATAGAGTCAGATCCACCAAGTTTTGAATTATCTGAACAGAGCTTTGCAAATGTCAAACCAGTATAGTAGATGATGACGATTTTGCTGAAAGATCACTCCACTTTCATCAGGGGAAACAAGCTATTGGGAATATATTTGAGGACCTCAATTTTCCATACATTGCTCTAATTACTAGAGTGCTATAGATGCATATCTCTGATTTACAGTCCGCCAAGTCAAGATTTCTGAATTTCTTGGCATAAGTTTGGTAGTACAGTATTACTTTGATTATGGCTTCTTATATCTGGCATAAATATATTCCCTTTGTGCATATTCTTTTTAGATACAGTACAAAAAAAGTATGACTCTTCCTTTTTTCTCTCCTTTTACTTTAGGAAAAGCAGCTGTGAAGTCATAATTATGTTCACTTCCCACTGGCAACTGGCAAGCCCTTTATTTTTGTGCATTCGGAACTCACCAAGAATAAATAAAGTCCATTCCCTCCTTGAGGGGCTATTCTGCCATTCCATCTAGGATTTAAAAGTTTGCCAATTCCTAAAACATCTATTGTTATCAATAGTCTTGTGTCTTTCACAAAGCGGACTTTACAAAATAAGGTAAGGGGAAAAATGTCAAAAGCACATGAAAAAAATCATCTCTAAGAAAGAGCAACAAATCTGCTAGCTCTTAAGAACTTATAATTATCATTGCTGGTTAATTGGTATTATAGATTACCCAGTTCTGACATGTAATTTTCTAACACAAAGAGGTTTCTATCATGTTACATTGTGCTTTGCATTTAGGGACTTTTTATTTTATATTTACACACTAAAGAACTAAGGGCAGAAGTCTTGAAATATGCAAGGATTTAGATAATGAATTGCATCCTAAATTTAGAAAATATATCAGACAATACAGATGATTCATTGTAGAATTTGTAATTCCGGAAAGGCAAGTTTTGGGGACCATTGTTTATAAATAAGCTAACTTTTATTGGCTCAAATCTGGATAAGTACCAGAAGCATTAACGAACATTTCTTCAGCTGCACGTGGACCTTCAAAAAGTTCTAAAACAGGGTATGTTATTATGTTTTACAGGAAGATGTGTTTAATATTTGTAAGTCAATATGGATAATAACACTGATTTAAATGGACTGATAGATGCATTTGTCTTTTAATGTCTATTATAATAACAATTGCCAAAAGCCTATGAAAAATTCAACATTTACTTGTTGATTAGTCTGTTTTTGATTCATATATGCAATTAATTCTTAAGTGAAGTTTTTCAGAGGCACTAGCCTCTCCTTAAAAGGCAACCATGTTCATTTGAAAATGTGAACAGACTATAGATTTGAGATTCTGGCTTCATGCTTTGTCCTGGGAAGAAACCTTGGATTTGGAATTTAATGGCTTCCTGACTATCTGGACTGTGAAGAAATGCTTCTGAGGGGAGACAGATGTTTGTCTGAAACTCTATTGTTTAAAGAGCTGGACTTTGTCTGTAACAGCAGGTATGAAGATCAGAAAGAAAGATTGGGAGCCCAAATGAAGGCATTAGTACTTTGTAAACATAGACCTCATGCCTCAATCTGGGTGGATTGATGATAATGCTACAAAGAAAAATGCAGCAAAGGAAACTTAGGAATGAACCTAAAAGACACAGTGTCTTAGTAAACTAAAACGAAAGTAAAAGGAGACCTTCAAAGCCCACTGCTTCTTTTTTGAATATTATTCCTTAAAGGATACCACACACACCCAGGTGAACTCATGGAATTTGCATTCAATAATTGATAACTTTTTGACATTTATTTGAAGTTTCCTTCCAGGAAAAAATGGTTCAAGTAGCACTCTGGCATTATTTCATAATTAAGCAGCCTTTTGCATGTACCATATGCAACCACCAAATCTAAAGTCCTGTGTTATGTAGCCTTTCCAACCTTTCTAAATCTCAAGTTTTCAGTAAATTTAATGTTTTCTTTAGAGAAAAAGACAGTGAAAGACAGGCAGTGTCCATTTGAACATAGCAAATAGTCTGACCAGATGACGAGTCTACTGGCTCTTCTAGTAGCTGCTGCAACCAGCAACTTAGTGGGGGCAACATCCTCAGCCACGCCACGTGGGCTTTGCCTGAAGACAATAGATAACAGCCAAGAGGCAGACAAAGAAAACATGTGTAAAAACAATGGTAAATAAAGTAAATAAAATTAACAAATTAGATAAATGAATAAAAATAAAGAGCAAAAGCAAATGTCAAAATGCATCAATTCCCCATCCAAATTACATACCTCATGTAATTTTTGTAAACATTTTGTAAGATTTACCTTCTTGATTTATCAGCAATCATTCTGGTTTGCAATAAAATAATACCTGTAAGTGGTTTAATTGGAACTGCTGCCACTGCTTGAGATTTATGAATTGGAATATTACATGATAATCCACAGGATCACCTTGCTTTCCTATTGCTGAAGTTTCCCTCAATTCTTCCTTCCATTCATTCATTTATTCAACAAGCCTCCATTGAAGGTCTGCTATAATTCACATCGGGGTCCCCCTCCCTTAAGAATTGCAAATTATACATGCAAGAGAAAATATTGTTTTCACTTTTTAAAAATTATTTCATTTCTATTTTTAAAAAGAGATTGTTTTCAGACAGATGGGCTACCCTGTACATTTTTAACTTTGACAAGTACATTCTGCAATGTTTTGGGGGAGAACTGAGTTTATCCTTTTGTTAACTTCAAAAGGTCAGGTATGTGCCTCAAACCTCATTTGTTTCTATTACAAACATCTTAGGAATCCATAAAGTTATATAAACTTTCAAATACTCTGATATTTGATGAGCAAATCTATGTTCATTCTGTTCATAACCTTTATGACATACCAAACACCAACCATTTTATCTCCAAATTCCACAAATGAAGGGGTCATTATCACCCACCAAAAAGCGGTTTACAAAGATTTTAACAATGTATAAACAATCTTGCTTGAAATTAATGAACTCTTACAATCTTTCTGTCTTTTTTTAAAATTTTTGCCATTACTTGTTAAAGAAAGTGACCCTATTGGATAGTGTTTTCATGTAATAAATTTTCTGCGACTTTACTGTTTAGTCCTTGGAAGCATATTACTAAAAATCAAATTGGATTTTCTTCTGAAAGAAGGTTACAGAGTGTGACTTCATGAGTGGAAGTATGTTATGGCTAAAGACCCCATATTTCATGCTGTAATATAGCCAAGTTACATTGGTATATATATTCCTTGGCCGTTGAAACAGTGTTAAACAATATTTTTCTTTTGTTTAAGATACAGTTAGTTAAGCTGTCATTAAAAAATAAACAAATTGATAATCAGAAAAAAAAATCAGAGCAAAGCAAGCTGTCAAAGGTTGGCTGTAAATCCAGCACAAGGTAAAATGTGGCTATTTTAAAAAGGGCAACTTCTTCCTAAGATAACTGTTTTTTTTTTCTCTGCTTAAAATAGTCATTGAGGGATATTCAATTGGGACCAGAGAAAGGGGAAGCCAGAATCATTCATCAGGCACATACTTTGTGTCAGTTATAAACAGTACATTTCAAAATTAAGTATGAGAAACTCCAGGAGGAGATTAGACATGAGGAAACAAGCTCAGTAAAGCTAAGAATCTTGCCTATAGTCATCTGTGCAGTAAGAATACACTATGACTATTACAGCTAAAATATCTTTTTAAATGCCAGGTATTTTCTATTCTAATTCTTAAAACAAATTAGAGAACTGAGATTTAGAGTGGCCCCCTCCTCTGCCTAAAAGCACTCCAGATCTGGTCATTTAATCTCTTTGGTATGCCACTTGTCCCCAGGGAACCAAACTAACAAGTTTTTCTTCTGATGTGCTCTTTAGCAAAAATGTAGAGTCATCAGACATTAGTGTGTTTGTTGCCAGCTTCGTGTGTGTGTGTGTGTGTGTGTGTGTGTGTGTCCCTTTCTCCCCTGCACTTCCAACTGATTTAACTTTCCACTTGTAGGTGGGTGTAGCTCAGAGAAGATCAAGAAATATTGCACTCCCTCCACCCAATATTGTGGAACAAATTAAAATATGTTCAATAGTTGTGTACCTACAATAGGTAGGAGAGCTAGGGGCTGGGGATTCAAAGATGGCAAACACAATTTATGCTCCTAAGCAAATACACAAGCTCAGCAATGGGATAGACAGGATCAAGTAAGACTGCATGTGCTGTGCTATAATTTGGGCACAGATCACATCCTCTTAATGCACAAAGAAAGAAATAACTCCAACAATGAGAGGAGAATGGATGGGAGGGACTGAGGCAAACTTCCTGATGCCTGTAACATTTGAACTGATCTGGAAGGATGATTATAAAGGATTTTAATTGACAAAAACAATGGTGGAAGAGACTGCATGAGCCAGTGCAGGAACATTCTTACATTCTAATTATATTCTTATATTCGCATATTCTCACAGGACATTATCTTTACCAATGTTAAATGATTAAACTAGGTAATAAACAAGGCACACAGTGATCAAAAGAAAGGGGCTCTGGGGATGAACATTCTGCCTTTAATCACTAATGGTGTGGCCTAAACTGTGGGGATTAACAATGCTCTGTAATACCCCTAACTATGCAATGGGGATAAGAAGAACCTCTCCTCCACCTGGGCATTCTTTATTGTTGTCTTCATAAAGACTTAGGTGTATGGAAAATTGGGCCCAGTGACTGACATATGACAAAGCACTTGAAACATGATTCTATTTTTATCATTATTAGTTCTACCAATAATAATTATATATAATTAATAGAAATAATTCGTTTCCCCAAAATCAAGAAGACAGAATTTTAATATAAAATAAAGTTTTAAACTAAGGATATTTTTCTTCACTAGTAGAATTTTTGACTCAGCTGATGGCAAAAGGATTTAGGAAAATTAAGGAAATGTTCTAGCATACTCCAAATCACATGATGTAGTTGCCTACATATTCCAAAGCTTTCATTCTTTGCTCATTGGCATCCATATTTCCACAGAAAAGGTTTGCAAGCTCAGGGCATTATGCTAATGTCTAAGACATTCCATCACCATTAAGGGACTTTAAAATGATTCCTAGTGACAACAATATGGTTCTTTGTGTTATTAAGTAAATCATGGAATAATAAGAACAGGAAGAACACTATCTCGTTCACTAAATAAATGATCACTATCACTTAAGAGCTATTAAACCAAATTCTATCAGGTATTTTTTTAAAGATGTGTTCATTCTTTCTACTCACTTGCTAAATAAGAAAGAAGAAAAGCTCAAGAGTTTTTAAGCAGAAGCTCTGTTCTGCAGCTCACAGAATGGATTAACACCAGCTGGAAAAATCTGGGGAAAGTAGGCTAATCCTTGCTAAGCTGGTGGCCCTATCTAGCTGCTGCAGAAGCTGCAGCATCTGGGACTGGCTTTTACTCCCAACTGGCTTCACCCTTCCCCTATAACTCTTATCCTAATGTTATTCAAAGAGAATTCCATCATTTGCCCTGATATAAGCATCAGGCACACAGAGTCAACCCACAGACACTCCTGCCTATCCCTAGAAATTTTGAAAGTTCCAGTATCTGTTTAGCACTAGTAAATCATTTCCTGCTTGGTCAATCCATATTTTACTTTGTGTATACAGCCTCTACTTTTATCCAGTTATATTTAATTAATAAAAATAATTCCCGTCTTCCAACTATACCAAGGAAAATTTCTTCTTTATCACACCATTTTAGAACATTTATTTACAACATACAGAAATACAATTATATCTTTAAGTTAACAACTTGTAACTGAGATAAGAAGGCATTGCTTCTCTGAGTTTATTTTGTTAGAGCTGTTCTTTTTTTTTTAAAAGGAAGCTTCTGCTCAGAAAATGTGAAAGAAATAATCTATCTCAAGACCTTGCTGTTCTTGACCGTTCAAAAATTCTTTAAATAAAATATAATATGGAAGCTGTGCTCTGCATGTTGAGACCATTTCACTGTTGAGCCTTCCCAGCCAGAAAACAGGCTCAAAATAATTAGACTTGAACAAAACCACATTATTTACTTTTTGCTTTAATAAGGAGGTGATTATTAGAAGATGAACCATGACTACCAAGATAGCAGGTATAGATTCTTTTTAACAAAATTAATTTAGATTATATTCACTATCTTAAGATACTTATGCACATAAATCATATCTCTCTCTATGTATTTTTGCATGAAACATAGAGTATATGAAATAAAATGAATGCAATGAATAGAAATTTAATCATATATTTACCTGAATTATTAGATTATTCATAAATAGCTTATTAGAGGCAGTAAAAGTCAACAGAGAATGATTGCAATATGCAGATGTGATGTAAGTCTGTGATATTTTAGAAGAAATTTTCCTGTAAATCACACATGAAAGATGCAGCCACTCATGCTGGACAACTGCCTGGTGTTCCCCAGAAACATAGGGACAACCAAAGGGCACCTCAGTAAGTTTATACTGGACCATAGATAATAAACTCATAAACAAACACCAGATTTTTGTTCTGGAGAAAAAGATGAAAGCTTTTGAACAGTACTAGTCATCACCAAGGAAACTATGGTGGAGTAAAAAAATTTTAAGAAGATATCAACATTGCAGTAAATCAACCTAACCTGGAAATGTGTTTGGTGACAAACTGAATTTTCCTAGGTGTCGACAAACTAACTCTTTTAAGGCCCCACTAGGGGCCTTAAGTGATCTACTCCCCAATTCTTCCATAGATGCACAAAAATACTAACTGATCTATTCATTGTGTGTCTTTAGAAATGCAGACATTTAATGGGTTACGAAGCTTAACTGCTAGACACATTCATTAGATGTGAACAGTTAATATGTAGTCATTTCTGTTGGCTTCTAAATTATCCTCATCACTCTTTTGAGACATAGCAGCTCATCCTAGGCCAATGATATCAACCATGGCTGTACTGTGAACTGTAATCCAGTATCTTTCTCTCAACACCTCCTCTCTTCTCAGCTAAGATATTGAAGATGCTCTGCTTTTCCCTCTGACTTTCATCACTTAAAACTTTGTTGATTTCACCTGAGGAAAATTGACAAATATTTTTAATCATCTTTCACCTTTCTTTCTCACTTCCAACTCTTCTCCAATTGCCTGACTAAAATTTCTATTCCTTTTCCTGTTTTTTTTCCTACATATTTCAGAAATGGCCCTGATTTGAGCAGAAAATATTAAGAATAATGCTAATAAAAACACAGTCATGTTTTCAAATGTAATTTAAATATAATTTTAAAAAAGTTTTATGCTCAAACATTTCTAGAAATATCCTGAATTACATTTCGGAAGTTTTATAAACTATCTCAGCTATTTCTTTTCCTCTTCAAGTGAATATTTTATCATACATATTCAAAATAAATAAAATACTATGTTATTCAATTATTATGCTACCATACTACTGCTGTTTTAGTTCATTCAGCTATAACAAAATATGACAGACTGGGTGGCTTATAAAGAACAGAAATTTGTTTTACACAGTTCTGGAGGCTGGGAAGGTCAAGGTCAAGGCACTGGCAGATTTGGTGTCTGGTGAGGGTCCACTTTCTGGATCATACATAGTGCCTTCTCATTGTGTCCTCACATGGTCAAAGGGGTGAGGGGTCTCTCTTGAGCGGGTTTTATAAGAGCACTAATCTCATTCCTGAGGGCTCTGACCCCATGACCTAATTATCTCCCAAAGTAACCACCTTTTAATACCATCCCCTTGAGGGTTAGGATTTTAACATATGAATTTGGTGAGGACACAAACATTCAGACCATAGCAATTGCCTTTTTCTCATAACATATGAACTCTCAAACTATATTATATGGTAATTAGACTTTAGAAATTGTTTTAAAAATCTAACTACAATGTTCAAACAACTAATTCACTAGGAAACTTTTAGAAAATAACTGATTTCTAAGTTGGAGACGTACTATGTAACTGTATTAAGTCACAAAGCTCAAATTCAGTTTTTCTATTTGACTTCAGTGTCAAGATTCTTCACATTTTTGCTAGGCTACTTACTCTCCATGTTCAAGTTATCTCTAATGACTATATCAAAATAGAACACAGATGAAAGCAAAAATAGAAATTGAACCACAAACATGAAACAGGTAACAAACAGAAAATGTCTCTGAGAAATGCCTTATAATTCTAAAATAAATTTGGAACTAGATTTTTGCAGAATACTGCTTAAGAAATTAAATTGTAAAAAATAAGGGAATCATTTGAATAAGCCATTAATAAGATTAATGGAAAATAATTTATTCTCATTTTATCTCTAGATGCCATGTCCAGCCAAATAAATGAGACTGAACTTCATGGTTGTTGTTTTTACTTCATCCCGGTCAAAAGAAATGAAATTAAATATAAAAAGCAGATCACCAAATAAAGTCCAAATGAATTAAGCACTGCTCCTAGTATAACTCACAGTTAATATAAGTTGACTATCCACTCTGCAGACAACACTTTTCATCAACATTTTTCACCATACAGCTAGACCTCAACTAACAGTCAAGTGTCAAAAAAATGAATCACTTTAGAACCCATCTTAATAATGAGACAATTGACTTCTGGTACCCAATTTAGAACATCTACAAAAGGAGTGGTGAGCAGATTTCCACTGTGATGCAAAATCTTATTCATTGGGCATTGATAGCTGAGTGCTGTGTTAAGGATTCTGAAGTGGTAAATCACAAAGAATGCTGTCAACACACTTAGTAAATAGTTAACACAGGACTTCTCTAGTATTAAAATTCATAATAGTGGCCAGGTGCGGTGGCTCACACCTGTAATCCTAGCACTTTGGGAGGCCAAGGTGGGCAGATCATGAGGTCAGGAGATTGAGACCATCCTGACTAACATGGTGAAACCCTGTCTCTACTAGTCTCTACTAAAAATACAAAAAATTAGCCAGGCATGGTGGCGGGCGCCTGTAATCCCAGTTACTCGGGAGGCTAAGGCAGGAGAATGGCATGAACCTGGGAGGCAGAGCTTGCAGTGAGCCGAAATCGCCCCACTGCACACCAGCCTGGGTGACAGAGCGAGACTCTGTCTCAAAAAAAAAAAAAAAATTCATAATAGCAAATAAATGGCATTCACGTTATACCATCTCCTTTTTTGCTCATGGCAAGTAGTGTAATCCCTGCCAGAACATGGGAGGAGACAATGTAACACATGTGCCATTCATTTACTCAGAGGTATACAGTGTCTTTCCTTATGTGTTATCCAGTTTAGGCTGTCTGCACCCCTCTGTGCATTGTTTTTTGGCGACTGTTCCAATGTCACTAGGTAAGATGCTACCCCCTGTGATATAGCAAGACATATTTTGTGCCTAGAGTTACAAGGAAAACCTTTTTTTTTCCATAGAAACAAGACTAGGCATGACAAGTATATGTAGTTTTATTTGTTCAACAAATATTGAGATAATACGCTATGGCTAGTACTGATGTATATACTAACCACAGTGTATTATCTCAAAATTAGATATGTATACAAAGTTGACCCTTGAACAATGCGAAGGTTAGGGAGGCTGACCTACAGTACAGTCAAAAATCTGTGTATAATTTTTGACTCCCCCAAAACTTAACTGCTAATAGCCTACTGTTCCTTGGAAGCCTTGCTAATAACATAAACAGTCAATTAACACATATTTTGCATGTTATATGTATTATATACTACACTATTACATTAAAGTAAGCTAGAGGAAAAAATATTAAAATCACAAGACAATATATACTCACTATTTATAAAGTGGAAGTAGAGCATCATAAAGGTCTTTATTCTCATCACCCTCACACTGAGTAGGCTAAGGAGGTGGGAGGAAGAGGAGGAATTGGTCTTGCTGTCTCAGGGATGGCAGAGGCAAAAAAAAATCTGCATAGAAGCAGACCCCCTTTGTTCAAGCCCTTGTTGTTCAAGGGTCACCTGTACATCTAATTTTACCATGGTCTTTTTGATGATTTCAGGTTTAATATTGAAACTTTGGCTAAAATTCACCCACGGGAAAAATAGAAAGTATCATGGATTTTTATATAAAAGGAGTCCTGGCTGTACTATTTACAAAGCATGCTAACATATCACTTTTCTTCTCTGAGTCTTCATGTTTTCTGAATATCAAAGGTTTCAAACTTCAGAGAGCTGTACGGGACAAATCAAATAAGACATTAAAAACGCATTCTGGAGAGTAAAAATGCTAGCAAATACAGGTGTCTCAACTTACTTGTTACCTTCCATTTCTGTCCCCTACTCACATTGCTTTCTTTTCTGTAATTGTGTTTAAAGCTGTCCAAAGAGACTCTCCAAATGCTGGGCTCTCTGTCTGGAAGTTTCAAATGAGGCTTTTGGATGTGCATCTTTTTATCTGAGGGTAGGATTGGGGCAAGAAAGAAGGTGATTTAAGTGTACTGGTTGCCTGGGTGACAATTAACTGGGTATTGCTTTTAGGGAGTCATACAGAAAAATAGAAAAGACCAGTAAAAAATGCCATCCTAGTTTGAATGCTGGATGTAGTGAAGGGGGTTTTGATGAAGAAACTGTTGAGGAACAATTGAGATTAGAACCACTTGGAGAATTAAAATTTTAATAAGGAGGCATTACTTTAAAGTGAGGGGAGGGATTTATCCTAACTGATGCCTTGTTAAAAAGAATAACACAGAGTAAATAGTCCTAAGAACAATTGCAATCTTTGGAGTCTGTAATTTGTAATTGCTGCACATAATTTCAGTTAACAGGCCATGAGAGGAACAGTCACACATACCAAGAAAGGTACATACGGAGATAATTCCAATCAAAGTGAGCACAGCCTACGCATAAACAGGATGTAAGTACCGCAAGTCACCAAAACTACACTCAGGAGAAAGTGCTCGTTATTAACAGACTGTGGATTAGTTTCAATATCTACACCAGGGGTCATCAAATAGGCCCACAGGGTGGTCCTGGATTTGCAAACACAGCTGTTGTTGTTGTTGTTGTTGTTGTTGTTGTTGTTGTTGTTGTTGAGATGGAGTTTGGCTTTGGCTTTTGTTGCCCTGTTGTCCAGGCTGGAGTGTAATGGCCCGATCTTGGCTCACCACAACCTCTCCTTCCCAGGTTCAAGCGATTCTCCTGCCTCAGCCACCTGAGTAGCTGGGATTACAGGTGTGCACCACCATGCCAGGCTAATTTTGTATTTTTAGTAGAGACGGGGATTCTCCCTATTGGTCAGGCTGGTCTCAAACACCCAACCTCAGGCGATCCGCCCACCTCAGCCTCCCAAAGTGCTGGGATTACAGGTGTGAGCCACCACACCTGGCCGCAAGTAGAGTTTTACTGGAACACGGCCATGTCTCCTCATTTGCTATTGTCCGGTTGCTGCTTCCACACTACCAGGACAGGGCTCAGAAGTTGTGATAGAGATTGTGTGGCTGGAAAAGCCTAAAATATTCAATGTTCTGGCCCTTTGAAGAAAGTTAACTGAACCAATCTAGACTGTTACACTTACAGTGAAAATAATTAAGGATTAGGAGTTGGAAGGATAACTCAATAATTCCATTCAGTTGTGATGTGTATTGTCATTATTTCATTCAATCAGCAAATAACTGTGATGACATGTGCAAGGAAACATGGGAGATGCAAAAGTTTAGTAAAGCAGGTATCCTGCTATAGTGGAGAGAGCTCAGGACTCTGCAGACCTGGGCTTGAAACCCAACTTGAATGGATTAAGTGGCTTTGAAGGAGTTACTTGGACTCTCCTTAAACCTCAGTTTTCATGATCATTTCACATCATCATTTCATAATCACGATCATTTTCTATGGGCATATCTATTTAAAATCTGTCTATCAGATCCCCCAGTCAATATGGAGATTGCGGTAGGCACCAAGACAGGAAGGTGTGATTTAGGATCAACTGGATTTATAATTTTAAAAGAATTTATTTATATGACTGATGTTTTGTCTGGTGGAGCCTGAAGTAACTATGTAAAATATCCTTGTATTATTACTGCTTGTTTATGTTACTTATATAGTTATATTATTTCCCAATCAATTTCATCTTTTGTATTTTTATCTTCAAAAGTTTTGGGCTTTACGATCTCAAAACACATTTTCATCATTCACATATTAAAAAAGTGACTTTTTTCAGAGTTTTGCTATTGAAGCAGTGATACAAAACTGGTTGACTTTTTTTCTGGGGCAGAGGAGAGAGTCACCAAGTCAATTGAATTAATCATTTACCTCACCACTATATATACCAGACACAGATAAGACAAACTGACTTTTATAAAATCCCTGCAAACCCATCATTACAAACATTAACTGGGTCAATTTCACCTGAAGGCAGGATTACTCTTTCCTATACCAATTTCGGATTTCCCAGATTAACCCGTTTTTTGTTTTTTGTTTTGTTTTGTTTGTTTTGTTTTGTTTTTTTAAGAAGTGTGGCATTAGCAACATATTCAAAAGTCTAAATGCTTATAAGCTGCTTTGAAAAACACATTCAAAAGTAGAAACAAGGTTTTAGGGAAGCAAAGATAGGAAACATGAATGAGGGTTTAGTAAACATAGCATAAGACACTTGTTATCGAGGCAAAAGGATTAATTGAGCAGTAACATCATCAGCTATGGTTGGACAGAGGAGTGGAGATAACAGAAGTGCTATATCCCTGCACAAATAAGGAATCCATTTTCAGTTTAGACTCCAAGCAGGAAGATACTGCTGCTGCCTCTTGAAGTACTTCGTTCTTTTTCTCTGAAGCTTGAAAAGTCACTTTACCCAGGAGTGGGTGAATCTGGGGTGTTGTTTCTGTGCCTCTTCACGCAACTTGATTGGCATATAAAGATACTGCTATAGGTCTCTGGGTACTTCAGTTTCTATTGCCTAAAATATGCTTCCAAAATTAGAAAATATGAGCTTAACTCTCGTAAGAGCTGAAGAAGAGTTTACAACCTTAGAAGACATAGCTCTGTAATTCTGAAATAACTCAAAAACTATTTTAAAATTTCTTCTTCTCCAGTCTTCCTTCTTCCAACACATAACATTTTCCCAAGGGAAGGCTTGTAAAAGCTTCTCAACAGAGAAAACTCTTAGGAAAGAAATGGAAAATTATAGCCATATCAATGAAACCTAAAAATCAGGCAAAATACATAAAAGGGAAAGAGATGTTATTCCTCCAGATTTATACATTCACATCTTAACTGATGAAAGCTTCTCTGATAGAAGTGTGCCCTGACCCCCTGACATGACATAACCTCCACAGTCATTTTCTTCACAATCATTTCTTATATTCACCTGCTTTATTGTCTTCACAGCACTCTGTCACTATCTGAAATAGTTGTTCTGTTTGCACCGTTACCGACAATTCCTCATCCCCCATTTGAATGTAGACACTGAGATCAGAGCCTCTTCTCCATTTAGCTTAGTGTCTAGCACATACTAGACATTGAATAACATGTGGTGAATGAATGAGTGAATGAGATGTTCCATGGCAGAGTTCATCTCCCACCTCTGGTTGACATTCAGTCCCAGCAAGGATGTGCAGCTATCAAGAAGTAAGCACACACTCCGATATTACATCTTTGGGACATTCTTCTTCGGACTGTTGCAAAAAATTTCCTTGTAATGTATACAGAGAGCAATTGAAAACTCTGAAACTCTAATGCATTAGACAAATATAGATCTTTTAATGAATACTTTTATTTAATAACCAGAATAGCCCTTAGGTATTGTCTAATTCACAGCTCTTTATATATAGCAATGGAGAAATTAAAATTAAATGGCTTTTTTTTCCAAGGTCACAAGCTAGTCTTAGCTTTAGCCAGTATGAAATGCCACGTCTCTGAACTCCTAGCCTGGTGCTCATTTTACTGGAGCCAAGAAGATACCTTCATTGCTGGGCAAAGGAATGAACAATGATTGAGTACCTAACACGTTTCTAGGCACTTTGTTAACTGCTTGTGGTAGACAATGTGTGTTGCTGACCCAAGCACCATTTCTTCTTCCTTTCTTCCTTACAGAATCCCAAATTTTTAAAGTCAGCATCCCATCAGTAGCTCCAGAGTCAGATTCTGTCTAGTCTAAGTCAATTCATGCTTAGCAGGTCCCATTACAACAGCCACTGGTCCAGGGGTGGCCACGTAATTTAATTCGGTCCAATCGAATTGAAGGAACAGAAATGAGCCATGCCTGGAGGACATGATTCTCTTCCCACCTTCCCCTTTCCTCTGCTAGTTATAAACAGGGAGATCTACAGCCCAATGGCTGCTGGTAGCCATCTTGTGGCCATAAAGAGATTCATCTTTAGAATGAAATCACTGCTGAAGATAGTAATGTCTATATTTATATTAAGGGTCAGTAAACTCTGCAAAGAATCATATAGTAAATATTTTAGCATTGCCAATCTGATGGTCCTTGGTTCCTGCAGCAACTATTCGACTCAGACATTATAGTGCAAAAGTCACCAGAATGACATGGCTATGGTTCAGTAATATTTTGTTTTCAAAAAAAAAAGTCATCAGGCTGTTTAAATCATTGAACCCTTTTGACATCATTGAGCCACATATTTCATCATTCCTTGAGCTTATCCTGCACATTAACTCCCAATATTTGAGATGATCAATTTCCTTATGATTTAAACTGGCTTTAGTAAGAGAATTTTTAAATGTTATTACTAAAACCAAATCAATATAATTAATTCAGCATTTATATACATTATTACTCATAATATTCACAAAACTCCCATAAAGCTGATATTAGTAGACTCATTCTTAAGATAAGAAAATAGAACCAAAGTTTCAGAGTCTTTGAAAATACTGGTTCAAAAACCAGCATTTGAACCTAAATATGTCTAATCTTCTACTCTATGATGACCCAACTCCCAATTATCTATTCCTCAGCACTTAAAAGTGGAAGAACAGTAGCTGCTTCAGTAAAGTTCCAAACCCACCACCAGCTTATCAAACAGAAAATGATTTCATGCAGGGAAGTGTGCACTTAGAAAGTCTTTTGAAGGGCTGGAGGAATGGATGTCAGTGGACTGCCCTTGAATTTTTAGTTTCTAGGTCATACCATTATATGTGAAATCCAGAAGTCAGGCAGTGGCTACTGCTATCAGTTCCTACCACTGTAGCCACCATAGCCTCCTCACACCAATGGCTCCCCAGAATGTCATGTTGAACCACTATAAACTTCATAACTGTCAAATTTTACCTGTAGCTACAGCTGCATGAAAATGGCCTCTGCCTCACTTCTGATTTCCAAATCTCTTACAAGTGCATGTAAATGACTCCAGCTGCAAAGGAGTTTGGGAAGTATACTTTTTAACCTCTCCAATAGGAGGATCAAATGGAGATTGGTAAGACTTCTCTTCAGAAGATTGACTAAGGCTTCTTCCTAGAATGTCTGGCATGTGTATCTCCCATACCTGACAAAGAATGAGGGCTTCGAGACAGCTAAAAAATTTTGAACAAGCTTTAAAGGACTATTTTCTCATCCCCAGTCCCATCAGCTGAGCCAGAATAATGACTTCATAGTAATTTTTCCCTGTACCTTTGAGGGAAAGTAATGCATTCATTATTGGAATAAAAGTGGTTCATGTGTATAAATCTTGCCCTTGGCAAAATAAATTATCAAAGCTCATGCCAATGGGAGAGATGGCAGGTCCATGATGCTAAGAGCCAAGTTCCATAAAGTGATAGGGAAGCAGCTTTCTTTTATCCAAAAGAATTTATGTTTTGTGGCTCAGTGTTGGTGAGGTATTGATCTTCCAAATGAGACACTGTGGCCACTGTAAATAAATTCAATAGATGTGTAGTTGGCCTAAGAATATAACCTCAGTTATTTAAAACATGTGGCACTTGATGTAGATCACCTTCCAGTGGTCCTGTGTGGAAGAATGGAGCTTCCACCCAGTACAAAGAGTACTCTGGGACTCCATGCCTAAGCTCCTTAATTAGCATAGTACATGTTTGGGGGTAAATAACTCCACCTCTCTCAATCTTAATTTCCACAGCCCTGAAATTTGGACATGATAGTATGGGAGGATTCATGAGAAAATGTGTGTGGAATGATTTGAACTTCTTGAAGAATACATACTCAGGAATACTGCTATTTGTGATGAGATAGTGTCAGATGCATAAATTTGGGTTCTTTGAATTACTGGCATACAGGAAAACAGCAAATCTAGGTCAACAGAGACCTTTTTCTCAGACTGCCTTTACTATGAATAAAAGACAAAGGAACTTTTCTAACTTTCTCAGAAAAGTGTCAACTTCTATAATTATTTCAATAAATAATCTTCCTCCAGGAGGATATAATTTTAAGGTGTGTGCAGTGTCATTTTAAAGACAGGTTTGTAGGTCTCACTTTCTTTTATTTCCAAGTTATCCCCTGGCAACAAGGGCTGTTTATGTGGAGTATTAAACAAGCTTCAGGACTGTGCACAGAACTCACTCCTATTATATCTTATTTTAATCTGATATTACCAAACTTCCCATGAACTAAAAAAAAAATACCCATAAATTTTAAGTCCAGTGAGATTTCTGTTTTCTCTAAAAATTAGAGAGCTGAACTGTGTTTTGTGTGAGATCATCCAACAGTTTTTTAAAAAAATCTTACTTCAGAATCACATTGAAATCATTATGTCTTCTGGAAACCAGCTGATAGCCAAAACATTTATTTAAATTGTTTATAAAATGGGTGGGTGGTATTTCATAATAGTTATTGGTTTACTATGCATGACCTGTTGATCTACCTGTTGAAACCATTATTTTAAAATGTACTTCCCCCAAAAATGCTACTTCTGTATATTTGTTTTTATCAAATATAAATTTACCTAGCTCTTTTAAGACACAGATCTCACCCACTGAATTATGACTAACATGAATTTTGGAAATTGTCCTATTTTGATATGTCAGGAGAGAACGTTTTACTAGCAGGTTTCATTAGCCAAGGTGGACCAGTGGGTATTTTCTGACATTGCAAAAGCAGCTTCAAAGTGCCACTTTCTTTTCCAGGATGGGTCAAATAAAACAACTCTACTCCATTCTGTAAGAGATTCAGGCACAGAAAGGAGAAGATACTGGGCTGCTGACACATTTTCTATTCATAAATGCTTCTGTTTATAGTAGAAAATATGACATTCACCATGAGCTGACCAGCCATCAGTTCTGACATTTATCAGCATCACTTTAGAAACCCATGTGGAAAGGCAGAAAAGCAGAAGGGAACAGAAACTCACATGCCACTTGCAGCAGAATGCTTGTGCCATCCTGACTCCCCCTCTCTGAAAGCCTGACTGTGCACCATCCTCCTTGATAACAACTACCACCCACTGAGCAAGCCTGCGGTAGGTTATGTAGGTTCTAGGGGAAGGGGATACAAAGTTATGTTGGACACTTGGAAATGCTTAGAATCCAGTCGGGGAGCCAGCACAGGAAACAGTAACATCTGAATGCATAGCCAGCTACTGGCCCTCTACATGTATAGCCAGCTAATAATGTGTGTGTGTGCATGCACACACACATGACTAGAAGAGGCATTGTGCCTGGCAGTGAAATGACAGAGGAAAGGCATTTATTGTATGAGGGAAAAAAAAGTAGGGAAGTGGTATCTTAAGAGCAAAACATACAGTCTATTCCTTCCACTCCAAATAATTGAAGGCTTCTGAATGTGCATTCCAAATTTTGAGATTAAATGAATAAGGCCAACCTGCTGCTGATGGCCACAGTCAGAAAGGAGGGAAGAGACCACCCAACCCAGGACAGGAAGTGGAGCAGACTTCATCTGGAACTTGGGAATGCCTGCCTCCATGAAAAAAAGTGTAAGTGAGATTTCCCCCTTTTTGATCCATCTTCAACCACTTGATAAATTTTCACAAAATCAGTAATTTCCCAAAGTGGTTGTGATGGAGCAGGGTAGCTTCCTATTTGCAAGCATCGGGTTAAGTATCTATGTTTTAAAAGAATTAAACATGTTAATATAATACTGTGCCAATAGTGCTTACAAAACATGTGTGTGGGAGACACACTGCTGAGTTTCAGGAAATAAATATCCCTTAACACAACACATTGTAATCAAAGAAGCATATTCACAAAACGTTAAAACTTTTTGCCAACTTCATGTCAGCAAGCCCAGAGGGAGAGAACACGTATGCTCTTTTTCAATAGAGTATCACATTATAGACCCATTCAATAAGGTCTGTATGAGTTCATTTGTTTCCAGATAAAGATTTCTGTGTGTGGGGAGACCTAACAACAACAACAAAAAAAGGCTTCGTGGAGAACGGACAAATTAGTTGGTGTTTTAAAAGACAGAAGTATGCAGACAGTGAAAGAGGAATTTGGAGGAAATGTGTTGGGAAGGGTACCAGTAAATCTTAAACTGAGGGAAGAGCTCAGGCGAAACCTCCAGTGATCTTCACAACGCTCAGGAGAATGCTTATACATGATTTGCACACAAAATATTGAATTTGAAAAAATCTTATATTGAATTCCCAAGCCACTTGTAGAATGCAATGTGGCACACTAATGTGGTAGAAGGGACATAAAACAAACAAACAAACTCCCTACACAAATACCCATGGGAAAGGAAGAACAGCCTCACAGAACTTCAAAAAGAGAAAACAAAGAAAAAAAAATCTCATTTTCCAATGTATGCAAACATGTATTTTCTGAGCAAAGACAGGATTACAAGTAGGCAGAATATAAGATTTGAAAAGCAAAAGGAAAGGTTACATCTCCCCACCACCTACCACTCACAAACCAGTTCATCCACAGGCAAGCTGATACTGAGACTCTACAACTACATATTTATACTTTTGACTTAAATGTGGCCTTCTCTTGAACAGCAAATAATCCCGAGATTTACAAATTAAGCCACATGAGGCATTTACACATTAAAGAAATGAATTTTTAAGTCTTTCTTAAGATAGAGATTTTTGGGTTTGGAAGACAGAGAAAGAATGAGAGTACTTATGGGAAGATGGCATGGGTTAGGGGTTAGTAGCTTAATTCATAGATTAAAAGGAAGACCTTTATAGGAATCTGGTTGTATAGCTAGGAGCCAAACAGCCCCTTCCTGATCAAAAATGTTTTCATCTAGTCTTTTACAATAGAAATTTATTTATCTTGTTTTAAAGTATTCTTTATGTCATGCATGTAAATACCAATAAGGTATTTAAATATTCCCATATTGACAAGTATCACTTTGCTTCTAATCTTTTTTTTTTTTTTTTTGAGATAGGGTCTCACTATATTGCCCAGGCTGGTCTCGAACTTCTGGGCTCAAGCTATCCTCCCACTCCACTTCACCATCCTGAGTAGCTAGGATTATAGGCACAAGCCACCTCACCTGGATTTGCTTCCAATCATTTTCTATAAGCAAAATGTTACATGAAAATACTTGTATTTATATCTTTGTAATTTTGTGCAAGAATTTCTAAAAGAAAAAAATCTTAGAAATCCTAGAAAAATCCCAAGTCAAAAGGCACTTGTATATATAATTTTGAAAGGTCTTGTCATATTGCTCTCCATAGAAGATACACCAATGCATCTTCCTACCTGCAATGTATAGAACACCTGTGTCCCCATATTCTTTTTCCTTTTTTTTTTTTTTGAGACGAAGTCTTGTTCTTGTCACCCAGGCTAGAGTGCAGTGGCACGATCTTGGCTCACTACAACCTCCACCTCCCAGGCAGAGAATCAAGAGAATCAAGTGATTGTCCTGCCTCAGCCTCCCCAGTAGCTGGATTACAGGCACCTGCCACCACGACCGGCCAAATTTCGTATTTTTAGTAGACACAGGGTTTCACCATGTTGGTCAGGCTGGTCTCAAACTCCTGACCTCAGGTGATCTGCCTGCCTCAGCTCCAAAAGTGCTGGGATTTCAGGCATGAGCCACTGCACCTGGCCTGTGTCCCCATATTCTTGCCAACATAGTGTATTATCAAACTTGTTGATCTTTGCCAATCTGAAAAGCAAAAGTAGTATTCCCTTACAGTTTCAACTGCTTTTTACTTGATTTACAGTTTATCTGGGTAGAAAATTTAGGGATCATATTCTTTACAGGTTGTGGTTATTGCTTCAAAACACTCTAGCATTTTATATTAATGTAGAGCTAATAAGGATGACCTTATTTTTCTTCCCCTAGAAGGGTCTTTAACCTTTTGCCTGCTTGAGGAGTCCTTTATTATATTTCAAGTCCAGTAGTGTTAACAGAATATGTCCTTTAAATATATAGACTTAGGTCTCCTTTTATAAATAAGTCCTCTTGAATTATATTTTCAAATACATTTGAATCATCCACCACTTTTCTAAACTCTACAAGCTCATATTTCTTTCCATAGTCTTCTCATATCTTTCCTGAACTCTTACATGAATTTTTTGTGCTTTTATTTTATGAAAGCAGTTGCTTTAAGTCTTATTTTAATTTCATTGATACATTTAGGAAAAACTTTTATTGTTCTGTGAAAAACAGGTTTGTTTTCCAGAGATTATTCTGTAACTGCCATTTGGTTTTTATGTTCTCTTTAAAAATGACAATACATACTATGCTAGTTTTTGTTGTTTTTAAGAATATACCTTTTTCATTTGACTAAAAATCCTTGACCAGCTCTTTCCAGAAAATGTGGCAGGGGAACAGAGTCATGCTCAAGTCTAAAAAGACAGAATTATATATGTTATTTCAATTTTACTTCGCCCCAGTCTACCAAAATCAATTCTGCAGAGCTGCTCACAATGTGAAATTTCCTTATGTCCTCTACCTCACTGATACTCTACCTGCAAATGCAGCTCATCTGTGAACATGGCCCATGCAGATTTCCCTCTCTATTTCTCCTCAGAATCAGAGTCAGGGAATTTCCCACTAAGAGTCCCTAGACCTTGGTCCTGTTGTAAAGAAAAACGTGCTGTTTTGCAATAGGTTATGCCACTTAAGTTAGAAAGGAATGCTTTGCCAACATTTTCTGAGCTCTGAAGTTATGACCATTTTTTTCCAGTGTCTCTCTCCACTCACACCTGTTTCACCTTGACTGATTTGGGCTGCTCGCTTCTTATTTTGCAATTCAGAGATTTAAGTAGTCTGCTGGTTTCAACCAAAAATTTAACGTTTTTGCTTTTTATTTTTCTGGTTAGTTTTTAATAATAATTGAAAGAAAAAAATAAGAAATGGTCATTTTAATCAGCCACCATAAAACTAAATTTTTTAATGTTTCTTTAAGGGAATATTTTAACTATATTTTGTTTCTTGTATTGTAATTGGTCTATTTAGGTTATCTACTTTTCTTGAGTCAATGTTGGTAATTTACATTTTTCTAGAAACTATGCATTTCATCTGGATTCTAGATTTTTTAAAAATGTATATGCTATTTTACATATATTTCGTTACATGTATAATGATTACATATATGATAAAAATGATATATGTTATTCTTTTTATTTTTAAAAAGTTCTCTTTATCTGTAATTATATCCCCTTATCTTCTTTCTTCAAGTAACTTACAAAGTAGATTGGTACAGATTACCAGATACTTTTCAATGTTGTTTAATTCATAATTTTTTCTTTGCAAATTCTGATTTACTTGCATTTTACTTATTATTTTCCTTGATTTAGAATACAATACTTTATATTAAACTATGTTGTTTTCAATTAAGCATTTTGGGGATTGTGAAATTAACTCTGAATATTGCTTTTATTGTATCTCGGAGGGATTGATGGTTAATATTCTCACTGTTTGTTTTTAAAAAGTTTCTAACACCAATTTTGATTCTCTGTTTATTGTCACTGTTATGCATTTTTTTAATTTCTATGGTAAATGGATTTAATTGGCTATTAATTCATTGTTCTTTTCTAAATTTATGCATGTAGTTTAATGATATAGTCTAAATTATATCCATTTGGTATTTTGTTTTTAATTTCTTGAGATGATGATTAATGACTAATGTCTAGTAAATTATTTTAGATATTTCATTAATGTTAAAAATAATGTATATTCTTAGCTTAAGTAACATATTTCTATGTTTAGTAAATATATGTTGTTCATCATGTTTTAAAAATTTCCCGTATTCTTAGTTTCCAAGAAAAAAGCATTAAAGTGCCATAGAATATTAAAGAGCAATTAAAAGAATGAAGATCTCTTCATATGCTGGTAAGAAAAGTCTTCCATATGTTTAGTGTTAAACTAAGTTTGGAACATCTCCTACAAGTCTTTGCCCAAATATTCTCAGTGAAGCTTGCCTGGCCATCTTATTTAAAATTGCGGCACTCCTCACTACACACACAAACTTCTCACCCCTCTTCCTCTGCTGTGCAATTTCACCGCATTGCCATCTTCTAAGATGTTACATGATTTGATATGTGATGCATATTGCTCATCATCTGCTTTTCTCCACTAGAATGGAAACTTCACAAGCCCAGTAGTTTTTGCTTCCTTTGGTGACCAATGTATCTTGGTGCCTGTACATGTGGGTGCTCAGTAGTTACAGGTTGAAAATATTAGTATGTGCATTACGGTAATTCATGTAAAAACAAAACCACAAGCTACTTTGGAAACAAGTATATGCAAATGTATAGAAAAAGATCTGGCAGTACACTCACCAAATTATTAACAGTGTTTGATTTGAAGGTGTGACTGAAAAATCAAGGCAGCTATTACCTTTTATCAGATATCTTTCCATTACCTGCTAAATTTCATACTTAAAGAGTATTGTCTTTGTCATTGCAATGTTAAAATTTTTATTTGGAATAATAAACCATTCAGAAAACAGTTAAATATTTTGATAACAAAGAGTAATAGATGAGGACTATCCTTGACATACATGAAAATACACTGTAAGATTCCAATCATTCAATTAGAATGGTATTGATAAGAGAACAGACCTACAAATCATGGAACTAGACAGATATCTGATATAGATTACTTAGCATATGTAAGAAAGTACCACATAACAAAAGAGACCTTTCAAATCAGTGACAAATAGAAGGATATAGGAATAACTATTAGCTTTTGGAAAGACAGGGTAAAACAATGTAAATTTTCACTTTATGTATAAAAATATGAGTAGATTTGTGAACATGAAACATAGCACTCAGCACAGAAAACATCATAAATAAAATTTAAAGTCCAATATTGTCTTAGAAAAAATTTTGAACAAACATAAAGACATTAGGTTGAGATCCTTATTAAATTAAGGTCACTAATGAAAAACACTAAAACTCTAGTAAATAGACCAAGCTGTTAAGTATGTAGAACTGATTCAACTATAAACCACCAGTTTGTTTCTCTGATTTAATGGGACAAAAGGCACTTGCAGATGGTTACTTTATACAGAGTGACTCTATGAACAAAGTCTGTGGAATCCACAAACAGCACACTTGCAGAATTTTGAAAAAGCTTTGAGATTGTGGGAGTACTGCCCTTTACATAAACTGAGACTTCCCACATTTATTTTTATTGTAGTTTAAACACAATTCAAGGATGCTAGTTCAATGACAAATCTGCACGAAGTAAACTGGGACAAGAGATTATTCAATTGCCCAGAACAGGAAGAATTTATCTCTCTATCATCCCTGTCAATAATAATTAGCCCTTTCTGAAAAGGGTGTTGTAGATACACAGTCAAAATGATCCTTAAAGGGAGGATATAATTTGGCTTACAGAAATCCATTACCAACAAATAACTGCTTGTGGAGGAAATATACAACAAAGCACCACACTTGGAAGTGATAATCACAGTAAATAGCATCCCTAGCCTAGATTGGGTCTTATATAAGAAACTATCATATTGCCAATTAACAAGTATTTTCTCAGTGTGATGACACTTTGAAATGACTAAATACAAAATTGGGAGGAGAAAAGAAATTGCTTAGTCTCCTCCCTACCCCTCATCCCCCGCCTCCACAGCCCCCCAAACTACACAAGAGAAAACTCAATAATTCTGTAAGAATGATTTTCCTGGCTCAGTTTTATAAGAGACTTGGAAATAATACAACATCAGTTTATAAACCAGACAGGGCTTGGCCTGCTATGTCAACATAGAAAATCAATCCAGGAGTCCCAACCCTGCTTTGTGGCCTTTAGGGCTGCTTCAGAAATCAATTCCCGAGAAGGATAAAAGGTCACTGCCGTGGGGCTCAGGAACACATGCCTCAAATTGCCAGCTGCAGAGCTCAATTCCCCCAGGGACTTGGCAATTTTGGCTCTAAATGTGGATTCACAAGGGAGAGCCATCCTGACCAAGCACATATGCTCTTTTGAGGTAGTGGCCATTTTCATGCCGACATTTTTGAGGACCTATCATGGGTCAGGACTGAGCTGAGGCTTTCCATGCATTGCCTCACTGAATCTCCACAATAACTCCTGTATGAGTCCGTTTTCACACTTCTGTAAAGAACTGCCCAAAACCGGGTAATTTATAAAGGAAAGAGGTTTAATTGACTCACAGTTTTGCACAGCTGGAGAGGCTTCAGGAAACTTACAATCATGGCGGAAGGCGAAGAGGAAGCAAAGACTTTCTTCCCATGGTGGAAGAAAAGAGACAGCGTGAATGTCAGTGCAGGAAAAACTACCATTTATAAAACTATCAGATCTCATGAGAATTTGCTCACTATCACAAGAACAGCATGGGGAAACCATATCTATAACCCAATCACTTCCCACCAGGTGTCTCTCTAAATATCTGGGGATTACAATTCAAGAGGAGATGTGGGTGTTGACACAAACCCTAACCATATCAGCTCTTGAGTAGATGCTATCATTATCATCATCCCCCTTCACAGAAGGGCACAGAGGGACTTAGAGCATGTGGCTGGCCAAGGTACTAATCTACCCAGTGAAGTCAGACCTTTTAACCTTTTTCTGGTATGTTTGTATTCATTCACTGGGGCTGACTTAACAAAGTACCACAGATTGGGTGGCTTATTCAACAGAAATTTATTTTCTCACATTTTTAGAGGCTAGAAGTCCAAGATCAAGGTGGCGTCTTCTGAGACTTCTCTATCTGGCTTGTTTTTTTCCTTTGTCTTCATATGATCTTCCCTCTGTACCTGTCTGCTTCCTAATCTCTTCTTACAAGGACACCAGTCCTATTGGATTAGGGCCCACTTTAATGACCTCATTTAACATTCATTGCTTCCATAAAGGTCCTACATCCAAATGCAGTCACGTTCTATAGTACTGAGGGTTATCATTTTAACATATGAGTTGGGGGGAGCACAACTCAGTCCATCACATTCTCTATTATTGTAATTGTTCAGATCCATTTATCTCTTATAAACCAATGATCAAAACCTGTACATCCAACTCTCTGCCCATCCCATAAGAAATACCTGGTTGTGGCTGGAGAAAGAGCTACAATATACTGGCTGGTCTCACCTGGCATGTTCTTGACATTCAGGATAGGCGGAGTGACCCAGCAATCATATGGACACCATCCATTCCAGTGACACTCAAACTTCAGCGTGCATCAGAATCCCTGCAAGGCTTGCTAAGACACAGACTGCTGCGCCTACCTCAGAGTTCCTGATTCATCAAGCTTGAAGTAAGGCCTGAGATTTTTGCATTACTAACAAGTCTTCAGGTGATACCAATGCTGCTGATCTGGAGACTGCCTTTGAGAGCCACTATTCTATCTCTTTCCCAATCAACTGTCCTTTCTCACCTCCCTTTTAAATCTCCAGCACCTGCTCCCTCATGTTTACTCTCAATGCACAATCTTTTTTTCTCCTTCACTGACAGAAGTGAAACAATTAAAAGAGAATTTCCCCAGTCTCTCACTACTGCACCTGCTCACCCTCCCACAAGCACGTGTACTCACTGTGCTTTTCTTGCTGTTTTGAAAGGTGAATTGTCTGTGGTCTTTCTAGAGCCAATCTCTTCACATGTGCACCAGATTCCAAGACCTGCGGCCCACTCAAGGGCATCCTGCATGTCTTCTCCCATCTCTTACCTTGTCAACTCTTTCCACTTTTTGAGTCATCCTCCTCAGCACAAAAGATTGTTACTCACTTATCTTAAAAAGTAAAAGACTAAACCAACAAAAACAAGAAAAAACAGAAATAAAACCTTTTACTGGACCCTCTCTCCCTACCAGGTATGACTCCATTTCTCTTTGCCTTTGCAGAAAAACATTTAGAAAGGGGGTCTGTATTAATTCTATCCAGTTCCTCTCCTCTCATTCTCTCACAGACCCACTGAAATCAGGTCTTAACTCTCAACAAAATTGCTCTTACTGAGGTCTCAGATAAACTTCAGGTTGCTAAATCTCATGGCCCACATTTGGTCCTCTCACATTTTACCCCCCTTGACAGAGATGGCACCACTCCTTGATACTTCTATTTTTTTGGCTTGTAAGGCTTCCTAATTCACTGGTTGCTAGTCTCAGAACTTTGCGAATGACTTATCTTTTCTTATACCTCTTAGTCCTGGACTGACTTGCCCCAGATTGTAGCTTCTTTTTTTATCCACTCTCCTTCCTTTGGGGATCTCATCCAGTCTCCCTCTGTATGCCCTTTGTTGCCAAATTTACATCTCCAGCCCTGAATGCTCCTTTGCCTCAGACTCCAAAACTATATTCAAAGTCTCTCATTTAGATCATTCAAACTTTTCAAGAGTGACTCCTGATCTTCTCCCAAATATCTGAGCTGCTCAAAGCTTTCCATCTCAGTAGATGAAAAATTCACCCCTCTAGTGCTTAGGTCAAAAATCTTTGAGTCACCCTTGTTTCCTCTCTTTATTACTCCCACTGTACATCCGATTCACCAGGAAGTCTTCCTGTGTTTACCCTAAACATAATTCAGAGACCAATTACTCCTCACCACCTCCATGGCTATCACTTTCATCAGACTTGCTAGATTTTAGCAATCGTCTTATAACTGTTTTCCCATTCCCACCCTTGCCTCCTTCCATTCTATTGCCCACAAAGAAGTATAAGTGATCCTTTTGAAACATAAGTCAGATCATGGCATTTCTTTCCCAAAAAGAAATGCAAGTGTCTAAATTCTTCGCCTACCTCAGAGTAAAAGTCCAAGTTCTTATATGGCCTTTAAAGACCTCTGTGTACTCTCCTCCTCCCTCCGTTAGCTCTCTGATCTTCCCTTCTTCTTTTCTTCCTCATCCTACTCTGCTCCAGCCACGCAGTCTTTCTGGCTATTTCTTGAACATAGTAAACATGATCCCTCCTCTGAGCTTTGAGTTGTTTCCTTTGCCTGGGAAATTCCATCTGGAGACTTCCGGGCTTGCTCACCTATATAGGCAAGTCTGTACATGAGACCTGCTCTGACCACTCAATTTAAAATGGCAGCAAAATCCTTCCTGGCACCCCACCTTTAAAATGGCAACAAAAGCCTTCCTGGCACCTTTCCTTTCTAGCTTTGGACCTATTACATAATCTATGTATCTTTTGTGTTATCATCTGCCTTCCCCGCTAGTATGTAAACTCCACAAAGGTTGAGATTTTTGTTTGGTTCACTGATGTATCCCAAGAACATAATTCAGTATCTAACTTGCAGTGGAAACTCACCAAGTATTTATCAAATTATTTGATAAATGAATGTGATGATAAATGAATGTGACTGTAAAATGATACTTTATAGTCACTGGAGAAATCAGTCTCTGACATCCCCAGGAACAAAATCAACATTCTTTGGAATAGTCATTGATAAAGGGTTCATAACTTTTTGTGCCATGGACTTCTTTGGCAGTCTGTCGAAGCCTATGAACCCCTTCACAGATTAGTATTTTTAAATGTACAAAATAAAATCGATAAACTACAAATGTAGTAAATTATTTTATCAGAACATTTTTAAAATTATAAAACAAATTTGTAGCTAATAGTAATACACATACTTTGTTATCCATTAATTGACAACATCTGGTAGTGGTTCTAATAACGACCATAATTTTGAAGTACTGATGTCTATGAATGATATTTCAAGATGTCTGTAATAACTCTAATGTGATACGAATGTATCTGTAATTTCCATTGTGAACAAAGTCACTGGTACTGCTAATAGCACCATGGTTTCTTGCCTATATTCATAAATGAAGGAAATGTTAAATTTTAGCTAGTTAAAAAAAAAAAATGAAAATGAGGTTGTATTTTCTACAGATACTTAAATGAATGCTTTGGAAACACTTGTAAGGAGTAGAAATAAAAGCAGAAAGACTTTCCCCTTTCTTACTCCCCCAAAAGGTGCTACTGAATTGTTGCAGATAAGGAAATTGTAAGATAATTGAAAAAAATGATAAAAATCTGGAAGAATTCTGTACCAAGACTGTTTTTGCTTTTGCAAGTGTCTAAATTCTTGTTCTACTTTAATAGAATCAAATCTGGAAATTATCAGAGTGATGATGTACGTGGTTCATATAAAGCAGACAATGTGGAACTCCAAGTATCTGAACAATCAGATCAAAATACCCAGACTACATATCAAGAAAGCAGGCTGAGTGTGATGGTTCATGCCTGTTATCCCAGCACTTTGGGAGGCTGAGGCAGGAGGATTGCTTAGGAACTCAAGACCGGCCCAGGCAACACAGCAAGACCCGTCTCTACAATAAGAAATAAAAGAAAAAAGAAAGAAAAGAAAAGAACAGAAAAAGAAAGAGCTGGGCATGGTGTCACTTGCCTGTAATCCTAGCTACTAGGGAGGCTGAGGCAGGAGGATCCCTTTACCCCAGGAGTTTGAGGTTGTTGTGAGCTATGATTGTGCCAGTACACTTCAATCCAGGCAACAGAGCGAGACCCTATCTCTTAAAAAAAGAAAATAGAAAGCAGTGCCTCCATGTGCTTCAATGTGCATTTATGTATTTAAGATAAAATAAAATTTTTATGATGTATATTTATAATTTCCTATAATTTTTCACTCACAGTTTTGTGGTTTTCTCTTTCTTTTCTTTTCTTTCCCTTTCTTTTCCTTCCCTTTATTTTTCTTCTTCCTTTTTTTTAATTCACCAACTACCCACCTTCCCTAATTCGTAGGTTAGAAGGATTTCTCTACAGTTCTTTCTCTTTTTTCCAATCTCTTCTGGATGTTTCTTCGTCTCAAACTACACAGACATTGTGGAAATCAGTATCTTCATTTCAAGTCTAGGTGGGTCAAATTTGATTCTCTTGTATTTTCACTCTTAAAATAGCATCTTGAACTTTCATCTGTGATCCATCTATAAGGATCAAATGTAAGGACTTCAAGAGGGCATCTGCCCAATAATTTCTGTATACCCAGTACAGCAAACAGGGTGGTATTGTTGATGTGTACTCAGTGCATACAATAGTATAGTAGTGTTGTATATGCTTTGCAGAGAGTAGCGTTATTGTTGTATCAGCACATAGGACAGGACAGTTTTATTGCAACATAACCAAAACATAGGTTAAATGTTAACGTTGTTGTATACCCAGTGCATAGAACAACATAAAATTGTTGTTATATGTTCAATGCAAACCACAGAGTAGAATGCTCAATTTTTGTTGAATGACATAAATGAATTAAATGGACACAGCATCACCTACATGCCTCACCTACAAAGGCCTAACTTGTAATGGGATTACTATTGTTGTTTTAATAAATTAAGCAATGAATGTAGTTTCAAAAAGTACTTAGCTTTATTTTTCAACACAGTAAATATGAATATAACCCATATCAGTAAAAGTTGTTTGGGGTCTTCAATGACATCTTAAGACTATAAAGAGGTCCTGACACCAAAAGGGGGAGAAGCACCGCAATCTTGCATGCTCCTGGTTCCTGAGAGGTCCATATTGCAGTCTGCCATACTGTTGTATTTCCAGTACTTACATGGTGTTTTGGCAAAACCTGAGCATGTGTTGTCAAGTGGCTGATGAGGATGTGATTCTGAGAAAGGCACCACGAGATAAAAGATATGAATCTCAGCTGGGCGCGGTGGCCCACACCTATAATCCCAACACTTCAGGAGGCTGAGGCGGGCAGATCATGAGGTCAGGAGATCGAGACCATCCTGGCTAACACAGTGAAACCCCATCTCTACTAAAAATACAAAAAAAAAAAATAGCTGGGCATGGTGACAGGCACCTGTACTCCCAGCTACTGGGGAGGCTGAGGCAGGAGAATTGCTTGAACCCAGGAGGCAGAGGTTGCAGTGAGCCAAGATCATGCCACTGCACTCCAGACTGGGTGACAGAGTGAGACTCCAACTCAAAAAAAAAAAAAGACACGAATCTCTTTAACGTGAGTAAGGTTTAGATTTTTATCCTCGTAGAAGAAACAGCAACGCAGAGAATAGACAAATCTACCAAGGTCTCAATTCCTACAAGTTCCCCCAGCTGCTGAGTGTGAAGCCCCACGAGGTTCTTTGAAAAGTGTTCCTTTGCCAGTCTAAACTGTTCTGGGACTTCATTATAGCAACGCCTGCTCACCACAGGCAAGGAACCAGCAATCTGATGAAGGATTTATGGAAAATGTGGGTAAATCAGAGTTTTTGTTCCCATGTGAATGATTCCCCCAGCAGGCTTGAGCTTTAGAAGCTCTATAAATACTTACTAAGTAATTAATTGATTGACTAAAGAAATAAATGAAAAAAATAACAATAATTATAAATCGAGGAAATGTAAAATATGTATTATTGTGACAATGGATGAAAATATCCCAAAAGAGATCATTTGGTTGTGAGTTAGGTTTTAAAGTATACGCAATATTAGAAATGAATAATTGAAGATAGTTTCAATAATTTTGAAAACTACTGCCCAATGGTAAAAGATATAAAAGATTATGTAATTTACAAGGCAGATGTCCTATATCTCTTGAATTATTTTAGACTGGGACACAAAAAGCCCAGGCAGTCAAGATGATATTAAATGATTCAAAAATAGCATTATTTCAATTAAACAAATAAATGCCCACAAGACCTATACAACAAGCTGAAAAAGTTAGGTGCTTATCACATCAGGATTCTATACTACCTTCCTTTAGGAAAAAAATATTATTGAAATACTAAATTGTATTGAAACATTGTTTTTAAAAGAATTAGGCAATGCATGGAACATACTTTTGAGTCTTTTTCCCTGAGTTTCAAAACACAATTCAGTTATTGTTTCCTTTCCAAGAAGTCAAACAAATATTGTTATTTACAAACTAGGCAAATAGCATCAAGAGAAGAAAATATATTTCTTTTTACTTTTTCTGCCACTGAAGATCTACTAACACTAGCAGAGAAGACCATTAATACATACTAAGACCACATTCAATGCCCCATGATTTTTATTATTCTACATCAACTTAAACAGGGGAATTCTAATTCTTTTGACTATGCACTTCCTCTTTTTACATTTTCTTTTTTTTTTAATTAATGTTAAAACTTTCAGGGCTACAATATTGCAATCTATTCTTTCAAAGCACTATTTGCCTATTAAAAGAAATTCCACCAAGTTCAGACATTACCTTAGCAATACAGTAGGATATTTCTCTACTAATAAAAAAATCAACTCCTGCAGTTTTAACCAACACCTATGTGTAAATAGTCTTCTTATTTATATCACATTTACAACATTTCCGCTACTCAGTTAAGGTGCATAAGAGCAGAAACTGTGACTTCTCAGCACTAGGACCTAGCAGATAGTCATTGCCCGGTTCAAAATAAGTTCAACAACTGTTAAATGACAAGTTTAGATGGTGCCATCTGAATCCTCCATAAGCACTGCAAATTCAGCATTTCATTCTCCCATTCTTACTTATCTGTGTTGATTGCTTCACCACCTACCCATTTGTTAAGGTCAAAAATGTTGGCTTCATCAATGGCTGTACACTCTCCTCCCTTTGAAATTCTTACCCTATTATTTGCCTAGTCCTACAGATTCTCTGCAAATTCTCTATTACTACACAAATTTAGCTTTCATTATTACTCATCAAAATATTACTTTTGTCTCTTTCATTGTCACCAATAGAATGCCTTCTCTACCTTCTCCAACCTATTTCATTATAAAGCTAGTTGTGCTTGCTTTCTAAAAAGTGGATATGCTTTTGCTTTCCTCCCAGTTTCCCCTCTGTTTAGATTTTTAATGGCTCCCGATTTTCTGTATTATCTAAATGCTCAGCATGTCCTACTGGACTTCACTACTACCTTTAAATAACAGCTCCCGACCAGCTCTTGCCTAGACTCTCCTTGTGCCTTATATGACCAACAAATGTCTCTGTCTTAAGTTGGTTTCCCCAGAAGCAGATTCTGAGACAAAGATTTGAGTACCGGTGCTATATTATTTGGGAAATGATCCCGGGAAACAACAAATGTCTGGAGAGAGATAAAGAGAAGGAAAGAGAACCAATAATTTGTGCCTTGTCAAGCAGGTGTTAGAGGTAGGGCAACTGAGTTCAATCTCATTGGGGAGTCCTAAAAGATAATGAGGAACACTCTTCCTTATTATCCAACCCCAACCCCTCCTGCCTCCAAGGGCAAGGAAGGTAGAGTGTGTATTCTCCAATCCATTTGTCACTGGCCAAGAACTGCTACTGCATACATTCATCACTTACCATTTCCAGCCTGCCCAATAAACAGGAAGTCTCAGGTAGAGAGTTACAGGTGATTCTAGCAGAATGCCAGAATGACATGGGTAGGCATTGATGCAGGACTGATTTTATGCACATACCACACAGCCTCACGTATACACTATTGTTGTGCATAAACTGTTACTTGTGTAGGAACTCTCATTGTTGCTGTTCCAGTGAAATTCTACTCAATCTTTAATCCCAATGTCAAAAGTCACTCTGATTCCATTTCTGAGGAAGAATTAATGATTCCTCCTGTACTTCCATAATACTTCCTTGGAGATTAAGATTTCAACTTGTACTCATGGTTCCACCTTTGTATCACTATGCAATGCAGTAATCTCCATTTAACAAATCAGGAAACAGTCAGAAAGATCATGCCAGAAATTACATGATTCCTAAAAGTTGGAGTGTGGAACTCCAACCTAGCCCTCTAAAAAATCTACTTTGCCCAATAAATCAGATATCCTCAACCTGAACTGACTATGTATCTGCTATATTAAATAATTAAAGACCAACTGGCCTAAATAAATGCCCTGCTATTCAGAGAACCAGCACTGCAATGTGGGACAAATCTACCTGCCTTATAAGCAAGAAGTCCAGTTTCTCCTTCTTCAGGCTCTTCACTCCTCTGGACTGTTCATAATCATGAGTGTTTCATAAACCAAAACAAGAACCTTACAAACTTCCACACTCAAGCCTGCAAAGACCCAGTATCTCAAGTAAGCACTTCCATTGGGTCTTGTTGCAGCATGGTGGACAATGGAATGTGGCCCCACAGTCTATTAGTCAATATTGGTCTCCTGCTATGGTCATCTCACTGCTCTAGATGCTTTCCAGCTGTTCTTCAAGGAAGCACACTGAAGCAGTAAGTGCTTAGTCCTTTCAGTCTCCTACACAGTCAACTCAGGGTGTTCTTAGTTCCAGGCAGCAGGACAGAATGGTTCAAGCACCTGTCACTTCGTATGAGTAGTGCTCTTTTTCCTTCCCTTCTTTTGCTTCTTATCCCCATCTCTTGAGCCATCATGTCAATATCACACTGGTTGTTCTTTTTAACTCTATTTACAGGTATGAATCTCAGCCCACAAATTCAGGTGAGCAAGAAATCTACAGTCTTTACATTATAAAACTTTATTTTTTGTTGTAAGAGCCGCCTTTCTCGCATGAGTAGTGGGAAACTTAAACTCAGTCCCATTCATGATTTTCTGTCCCTTAGTGGGTTCTCAGAGAGTGCCTTGGGATTAAGGAGTGGGATCTCTCTTATCCTTAAGCATCTGTCCACACACAGACAGCTACTGAGACACCCTCTGTCTTTCTCCACACGGCCCCTCTGGCATGCTGGCTCACTCCTGCCAGGCACACTTGGGACATAAAACCTTTCTCTGAGTTTGTCCATGGAAACCACCTTCTCAAATACCCCATACAGTCATTTCCTCTCAGGGGTTTTCCACCACTCAACCTTACTTCTGTTGACTGAGGCCTTGGTCTCTACCACACAGGGACTTTTACAAACTATCTTGCTTTCTCCTTGCAAGTGGGGACACATCTCTCTAGTCTTACAGGCTTTAGTCCAGCTCTCCCTACTGCTTCTGGCCAAGATACTCTGTCCAGCCTGCCAATTCTCTCTTCTCTGTGGGGCTTTTAAAGGACAGATAAACTAACTAATAAAAAGCCAGAAATATTGGAATGCCATTTGTTCTTTCTGCTTTTTAACATCCCTTCCCTGAGTTGAATGAGAGGAAGAGAATCAGAGATTCAGGGAGAAAACAATTCTAGATTAATATTACAAATGATTTCTCCAGATATACCTAGAAACACAAAGAAATAATTATAGCCATTTCATCCCATTGGGGTTGTTAGCTCTGTCCTTCTTACTCTACTTAAGCTAATATCCTAAATCCTTGTGCACTAATATCCTCTTTATATCCCACTTCCTCTCCAAAATATATCCTCTTTCCCTGCTCCTATTCTTGTAGGAGTAATTCCAGAAGGCCCTGACCATCGCTCCCCTTTTAGGGAGGAATTGCTCCCTAAAAGTCCAAGGTGGTTTTCTGGCTACAAATGTATTCTCTAATGGGATAGTCTACATGAAACAACAGAAAACAAAATTAAATGTGTCAATTGATGTAACTTGATAAACCTTAATATCAACATATTTGCTACCAAAGGATGTGGAAAAAGGGGCAGGTGGAGATTAACCAGTGATTAGGAAACAAAATTCTGAGTCAGAACCTGGTCTTCTGTTTCAAACTTTATCCCTTCATCATAAAATACATGCATGTTTCTAGATAAAGCAACCCTTTACTCTTTTCCAAAAGGGGAAAAATATCTCTGTGAGTGTCTATTCCTAAATTCTAACAAGTGTCATCTTAGAAAACAAACAAAAAAAATTAGAAAATTGCTGAACAATCCTGCTAGCTGCTATTCAGTTATGAAGATCATAGTCATTCTGTTCGTGAGATACTCTAGAGATGTTATTCAGAGGCTGCTTAGGAGAAAAAAAAGAAAAATGTAAACTGTTAGATCTCAGTTAAATAACTGAGTTTATTGCAATTTAAGCTAATAGTTATTCAGTATTCAGTCAACTATTTGGTGCAAACAAATAAATATTCTTCCACTTGTTAGTCCCTAGGGGCTTTCTTAATCCTATCTGAATTTACTTTCTGTGAATTTCTGAGTAATCAGAAGTTATAGGTTGGATACATCTTGTGCTAGGGACACCCATGGTGTAACTGCTTCATTTTTTCTTTTCATTTCAAAGGAAATGGTCCATCCAAAGTGAAAATTGTTGTGTTTTTTTTTTTTTTTTTGGTGGTAGAGTATATTTTCCTCTTTGTTGGTGTTATTATTGTTGCTGTTGTTTTAATCAGATAGTTATTTCAAACAGAAGCAATCAAGTTCCTTTTTTCATTGCCATCTCCCTCTACCCCTCCTACTCAATCCATGCTGTTAAGAAAATATCCTTGTTAGTAATGTGATTCATCTATTTTGTGTGTATGCAGCTGAAGCAGCTGGGAAGACCATCATAAAGAAATCTTTTCAGATGGTCTATATAGAGCTAAACTATCATTAGCAGTATGACAATATCTCAAGGTTACAGGTATTTGCTGAGGTCTAACATGTCTTTTGAAGAAAAGAGGAAAAATTGATACTCATCAGGGATGAAGAAAGACAATACTTAGTTCGAAGCTCCACAATCTGAAAGTGTGCTATGCATCTCCATCTGGCCTTATAATTGCAGCTATATTCAACCTCTCCTCTTCTCATCCATGCATTAGATGGAGACAAGTCTTTGCTCTGCACATAAACAAAAAATGCACTCCCTCCTGCCCAAATAGCACGTAAAATTTCCACTGTGATAGACATGATCCTGTGTTTTCAGATGGATGACTACCATGTTCACATGCTACCACTCAATAACATGCTTTGGCTTACAGATTGAATTCTCTCACTCCATCGGGAGTAAAACTGTGAGGGAATGGGATACAGGACAATAAAGTATGACTACAGAAAAGACAAACAAGATAAAAAAAAAAGGGGGACACTATCTAGAGAAGTCAGATCAAAAACTAGAGTGAACAAAGTAGTATGAAGGTAGAAAATTGTCATGGACTTCTTCAAATCTGCACTGAAAATATTCACTCAAATGCTATTTGTAGTGTCTCCTTTCTATACAAAGGATAGATGGTAAACAGCAGTTGTTCCTCATGGTAACTAAAACAATTTACTGAAAACCAGCTGTCCAATTAAATATTGCATTAAATGAGTCACAGCCAAATAAATTACAAGGAAAGAGGGTGCTATGTTATGTTTTCTTCAATATGGTAGAAAATTTCCTGCTTTAAATCAAAGTCAATGCAGTTGAACGAACTATTATTATATCTTATTTATAGATATTCCTTCTTTCTCTTGCTTTGTCCAAGTGGAAAATTAGCTCTAAATGGAGGAAAACAGAGAGGAGATATTATGTTATCTTCCTCAGTACTTCTACTTTAGTTGAGAACAATCAGAGAAGAAATGATTGTTGAAATATAGTCAAATATTTCATGGGTAGTTTAAATTTGTCAAAAGTTGTAACTTATGATTTTCTGTTCAACTTTTCTCTAGCCCACATATCCAGAACTCATTATGACAGTATTAACTAACCAGACTTAAAGTTCCTAAATGCACTTAAATTTGAGAAGATAAGCAATTTGTCACAAAGGACACTACCAGGTAACTGAGGACACAACCTAGGTACACAAAAGCCAATCAAAACTAATTAATTTAAAAGTACAAGAGCCCTAGAAAAAAAAATAGTAGGTTTTGAAATGTAGGACTCTTTAAGTCAAACCTCTCACAATGGTAAAACCCCCTGAAGAAAGAATTTAGTCAAGTGATGTTTAGCTGTCATAACTGGTGTATAGTATGTGGGTGGGGGTAGGGGTATGTGTGTATAAGAGAAAGCATGAAAAAGTGGTATTTGAGTGCCTGTGATATGTTAGGGACTGAGGCTCCAGAACATAATGCTAAATAAGCCAGTAAGAAAGCACAGTTCAGTGGCAGAGAAGACTTCAACCCACTGTCAAGAGATCTGATGACCTTAGGCCTTGCAACCTTATTGACTTAAATAGCCACCCTCTCCTGTCCTTCCAAACACCTAAGCTGCTTGAAAATCCTAACCTAATGTTCTTACACATGGTTACTCTCCAACCCCATCCCTCCTTCACCTTAATTAATTCATTATTTCCTCCCATTAATTCTCTTTGCCTGACAAATTCTCCACTTGCCTTTTGGGACATAGCTTTAAAACGACAGTCTTTGGGAGGTCTTCCCTTGCCTTTCTAGGCAGGTGGGCCCTTCCTTCTCTGTGGTCTGGTTCAGTAGATATGAACATTCCTCTGTTTGATGGTCTTTTTCCCCCCTGGACCAGAAACTTCTAAAAGACAGAGATTATGATCTATTTATCTTAGCACCCCCAGCACATAGCACAGCTTCTGGAACAAAATACATAGTATCAGGAGTTTAGAGAATAAATCAATGACAGTAAGAACAAACTCCAAGCAAAATAAGTAATAACATCTCTCCAAATGCTGAGAGTTTTATAGAAAAAAAAATATAAAATCATGTGAAAATTCCTTGAGTATGTAAAACCCCAGGCAAACCTTTAACAGGCAAGTGTTTATTGTGCGCCAACATATACTAAGCACACAATGTGTGGTATTGGACAAAGCCAAGGTTATGTGGCTTGTGCTTCCTGTAAGTTTGTTAAAAGTCTTTCCATAAAATAAAATAATCCTGTCTCTTTCATTTTAAATATGTTTCCCAGGAGCCTTCAGGTTCCCTGGAATTTCTATTAATAATTCCATTTATCCCAGTAATACAATATGTGTCAAACATCACAGTGTCTATGAGAGATTAATAACCTAAGTTTTTCTTGACATGAGAGAAGATTGATGGGAAAAAAATCTCTGGAAAGAGATTTGATGCCAAATTAAGACTTCAAGGTGAATTGATAACAGCATTTTAAGAACTGGCGTGTTGTCCTATAAAGTTTCTTTTAGGTACCACATCCAGTTCATCAGGTGCCCTGGATTCAACTTTGTGTCTCCGGGGCCTCAGCACTTGAATTCTAATTGGGCTCCTGTACTCTTTCCTCATGTGGACAAAACCTGTCTTGCTTCCAACTCTTTAGGCTTTTAAATATGCTCCTTTTTCCTACGTTTGCTTATTCTTCTGTTAGTTGGGTTGTGAGATATACTTTTTTCTAACATACCTTCTAATTGCATTCCAGTTACTTTTCTCAGACTACTTTGAGTACATCTCCAGGGTAGGACCCTCTGCCCTCAGGATTTCTTTCACTCAATCAGGACCAGACAACTTGTGTAATGTAATATGTGGCATCATCCTAGTGTCCACAGCTTTGAACCCAGTGCCTGGCATGTCGTGGGCACACAATAAATATATAATAAATACATTAATTATGTATTTATAGCTTACATTGTTACTGTCACATTGGACCAGAGACAGTAGGACATTAATGAAATGGGGTTTTATTTCCAAGATAAGGAACATTAAAAAAAAGGAAAGCCAGAAATGAAGTACTAGAGCAAGTCAATAAGGTAGTGAGGAGCAAGAAAATGAAAAGAAAAAAAAAAAAAACAGTAAAGATGAGGTAGCGGTAGATTTGGGGGAAAGATAAAGAAGCTTAAGTTTCAGGTCCCCTCATTTGCACAGGCCCCTTCCAAGGCCCTGTGCCTAATTTTATGTTTAGGACTTAATATTTTATTTATTAAAGAGAATGCTACAAATTATATATTCTTAAAGCCTCACAAAAATGGGATCTTCCCCAGATAAAAGACAAAAATAGAAATAATTATGCATGTTGTCACTCAGCAAACATTTATCTAATATTAGATCCTTTTCAGGCCACTGGAGACCCAAGGTCAAATAAGAAAGTCTATCAAGCATATTATTTATTAACAATTTTATTCATATGTCATACTGGCATATTACTTTAAAATGTGCAAAGTACCCATACCTCATCAGCTGATCCTCACTAAAAATCAATGTCTGGATCTTCACCAAAATATAACTGAGAAGGTATTAGTCTCATTGTACAGATGAGGAACCTGAAGCATAGAAAGAAATCATTTAGACAGAATAATCCACCCCCCAGCCCCCTTAACATGCCCAGGCCCTAAGCCCCAAAACCCCAAAACCCATGAATGTTATCTTACATGGAAAAGGGGATTTTGCATATTTGATCAAGATTATGGACCTTGAGATGGGGAGATTATTCTGGATTTTCTAGGTGGGTCAATTCCAATCATGAGTTCCTAAAAGTGAAGAACATTTTCCAGCTAAGGAGGGTTAGAGAGATGAAATGGAGAGAAAAAGATGATCTACATAACAAATGTACTTCTTTAATGCATTGATAGAATTCTGAAAAAGAAAGGGAAACCCCTAAAATAAAATTAATGAATGAAGGTTCTTTAAAAACAAACAAACAAACTCTAGAACAGTGAGCTGAAACCAAACGCTGATTAGGAATGTTAAACCCAGAGTTACCCTTGGCATAAATGCAAGCCACAACGAAATCCAGAACAAACCTGAAACTCATCCACTGAGCCAGGATAGTTGAAGGAAAATAAGTGGACCCATATCTGTACTGCCCTACTAATATAGCCAAATACATTTCTAAAAAATACTTCTAAACATTTGTTTGAAGTTTTAGTGAAACTTCAAACAAAAACCAAGAGAACATCTTAAAAGCTGCCAGAGAAAAAAAGACAGATCTGTACAAAAGAAAAGAAACATAATTAGTGGAAAACTGATGTCTCAAAAGCCATAATGGGAAACAAAAGGCAGTTTAATGACATCTTCATGGTGCTGAAACATAACTCTCAACTCAGAACTGTGTACAACAAAATTATCCCTCAAGAGCAAAAAGAAAAATAAAGACATTTTTGACAAACAAAAATTGAGAGTTTATAAAAAAATAGAATTTCATTAAAATAACCCCTAAAAACTTCACAGTCCTTCAAGTGGCAGGAAAATGACTCCAGAAAGAAGATCCAAAACTGAAAGAGGATATAAGCAAAACTCTGGTAAGCATGTAACAAATCTTTAAAAAATTATGCTTATACTCAATTAAAATATGAATAATGTCCAGTTTATGTGATTGGAAAAAAAAGAGATCTACAATATTGAGAATTTTTCATCATATAAAGTAAGAAACTGTTGACTGAAATTAAAGTGTACTAAATTCTGTATTGTCTTACTCCATTTGGGCTATTATAACAAAAATACTATAAACTGGGTAGCTTATGAACAGAAATGTATTTCTCACTGTTCTGGAGGCTGGGAAGTCCATGATTAAGGCATAAACAGATGTGATGTCTGGTTAGGGCTTGCCTTCTCATAGATGGGGCCTTCTTGTGTCCTCCTATGGTGGAAGGGCAGAGAAGTTTCTTTGGACCTATTTTACAAGGGCACTACACCCGTTCATGAATGCTCTACTCTCCTGACTTAATCACACCCCAAAGCCCCCACTTCTTAATACTATCACTGTGGGGGTGAAGGTTTTAACATTTAAATTTTCAGAAAATGCAAACATTCAGATCATAGCACATATTATTCAAGTTGATATCAAGTTATTAACTTAAGATCTTTCAAGTTTTAGGTGTGCATGGTAAAACTTCAAAGGTTAGCCATAAAATAATAGAAAGGGGGTTTATAACTTCCAAATATGTGAGAGAAGAAATAAAATGAAAACAAGCAAAAAGAATCTATAAAAACAAAAGCGAGAAATACAAAAGAAGAAAACAGGAAATGGGGGGCAAAGAATAAGTGAACTGAAATGGCAGAAATAATTTAAAAGAAATACAGGGATTATCAGTTTGGATTTTTTAAAACTTTAAAAAATAATCCGCCCATAAACTATAGAGACATACCTAGCACATAAGGACACAAATAAGCAGAGTTAAAAAATACAAGTCATATACCAACCAAACGAGAGCTGGGGTAGCTATAGCAGTGTTTTTAAACACTCTTCTGGAGAACACATGGCTCAAAGAATAAATCAAATGGATTTTTAAAAATACATAGAACTGAGAGACAAGGAAAACATTACACATTAAATCTTCTGTGAAACAATAAAAGCAATATTTAGTGGAAATTTCTAGCATTGAATTATATCACCAGTGAGTGAAAATGAATTATTTAAGAGTCTAACTTTACAATTTGAGAGGGGAGGAGGAATAAAATAAAACCAAGGAAAGTAGATTGGATAGTATAATAAAGAGGAGAAATTTTAACGAACTAAAATAGAAAACAAAGATAACAGAGAATCAGCAAAGCCAAACCTGGTTATTTGAAGAAAAATAATAAACCAGACAAAACTTTGGAGACAGTTTAAAGAAAAAAGACAGGTGGAGAAGGCACAGATGAACAATATCACGAATGGGATAGGAACACAGCCGCCACGCGCAGGAAATTCTGCTGATGCTTTGCCGGCATCCACTACCAGCCACGGCCATGAGTGAGCCTCACAGTTTTACTCTCCTTTGTGTTACATGGCCCACTGTTACTTAGGTGAAGTCATGGGAATTCAATAAACTATTTAAGTTCTCTGTCGTAGGACTGAGAGAAAGAAGGAGAAGATGTTTGAGAATAAATATTTCGAGAATGAAACCAGTATGGCAGATAAGAAGTTGGATGCACACGGCCATGAAAATTCATTTCACCTAACTGCACAAGAACCCTAACTTGTGACCCTGCTCAGCCCTATTGTTTAGACAGAGGCCATGCTACTTCCTCCAGGAAGACTCCCTTAAGGACACCTACCAGTTAACTCCCCCACCCCCAGTTCTGACTTGGCCTCTTCCCTTTCTCCCGTCATGAAACCCAAATTGTTCCCTCCCACAGTATTTATGACATAAGGATTATAAACTGTCTTTCTAGTCACCTGTATCCCCCAGCAGATGGCCATTTCCATTAAGACTGTATTTTCGTCATCATTGTACTCTCCACAGTTGGCACCTGGCATATACTAGGTAGTCAGTAAATACGTGTCACATGACTATGTATGAACCCAAAAGTCAGAGATGGAAATGGCCACTACTTAATCCTGCAGCAAAAGAGCATTTCAGGGTGTGGTCAAGGAAAGATATGAGTTGCAAAAATATGTCATCAAATCCTTGCAGGGATGAATCTGAATCCAAGTACCTTGCTGAGTCTGAGGTCAATGTCAATAGAAGAGGAGAAAAGCACAAAGCTAAGTGCTAGATGGGAACTTGGGAGTCCGAATCTATCATCCTCATTGCCCAGTCGCTTGGGTCAAGGGTGATTTTAGAGGAACAGACACCCTCTGACCATCTGAAAAGCACAGTTCTATGAGCCCAGCATTGACAAGAGGCTGCATGATGGGTTTGATTTAAGATTTATTTGGTAGAGGATGCCCTTTTACCAGTTGACATACACACTATGAAACAGTATTTTTTCTTTACCTTAATGGTCTGTGCACAGAGAAGTTTCATGATGAAATAGGTTAATGGGTATAGAAACTCCTGAGGAAGCAAGCAGTAGCTTCTTTCCACCTCTTTTCATCCCACCTGTCTGAGACAGGCATTGTATAAAATTAGAGTATTTCTTTATGTGGAAAGCTCCCCTTTGCACAGGATATGTGAATCCAAATATTTTGAGCTATGCCCTGGAATGATTACATAAAATGCATAATTATAAAGGAATTTAATCTTCATGTAGCCAGGAAACATGGTACACATGCTTATGTCATTTTTTTTAAAGAGTATGTTCCAATCTTCGTAGTAAGTAAAATAAACTAATTCCTCCTCATTTTTCCAGGGCACCTTCTGCAGTCTGTAAGAAGCAGGCTTCCTAGCCAGAGACAGTGTAATTTGCGAGGTTAATTTGGTTGGGGCTGTAATGATATTTGTGCACTGAAAAATGCTATTTATATATCTGTGCAAGAAGGAAGTGGACAACACAGATGACATAGGGTTGACATGAAGCTGTCCTTTGCTGATGTGTACGAATGTTACATAAGTCCTTTCTCCTGAGAGTGGCAGCTTCCCAGTCAGTGTTGAAGACTCACTGTGTTTGTTGACATGGAATTACTGGATACTGAGATTCAACTCTTCTGGTTGTTGAAAATAATGGATTTCAATGGTAAATTCAATCTGACTTTTTCTTTTTATCCTCCTACTCTATTGATGCATTGGACCAAATGAATGGGTTATACTGATGCCTTATAAACACAGTATATATAAGTTTCAAAATAATGAAGGGCCTGGAGACTGCTTATTCTCAGTGCAGATGTAAAATAAGAGGGAATTAATTTGCCTTCTAATGTGAGACTCACTCTACTCCCTTCGTGCAGAGCAATGCAATGCAGATGGGAAAGGTGGTTTCAGAGAAGAGGAATTATTTGACCCAGATGGGAAGGGACACCTAAGAAGTCATAAGAAGACCTACAGCCTCTTCTGACTCTGATGCAGTAATGCCTCCTGCTGCTGGCCAAAAAGTGTAGTGTAGCTCTAACAAAAGCAAGGTCCAGACATTTTTTAGCTTTAAGTGTCTGGACTTAAAAAGCTGTGATTTTGCATTTCTGTTGCTGCCTTGTGCTACTATATGCTTGTACTATAAAGATAAAAATAACATGTCACAGAATCTCTGTAAATTGAACTGCACAGTGGCAGAAAGGTGGCTACTGGGACATAGGAAGAATAAATGATCTTAGTTTATTTATTAAAAATATGTACAGCCATGTGGAAAACTTACCTTTCTTTTTACCCCAGTGGGATTTTTCATCTAAGGTTCACTTGCTACATGAGAGAGGCACTTTAAACTTCATCTTTTATAAAACTCAGCTACTTCCCTCACATATTACCATTTTGAACATTTTTTTTGAGACAATAGATGGTGTTGACTTGTAATAAGACAACAGCTTTTGGCTCTGAACTAGACATTTTTTCCCCAATTTAAGCATCTTCTTGTTACCAGTGGCCTCCATCTCAAACATGCTCATTACCTTGAATGTACTGTGGCATGGAGTATATCACAATACCGAGATTACCTCTCTTTGCCGTTAAAAAAAAATTGCCTTCAGAAACCAGAATGATCAACAATTTCATATTTTAGCAACTCAGCACAAGGTGGTCCTGTCCCAGTGCCAAAATAAAAGCCTTGTAAAGCATTTAAGAAGTTTATTCTTCCCAAGACATAAAAACATAACCCACCTTAGCATTAATTTGAGTTGTGCATGCACAGTGAATGAAAGGTAGACCTCCCCTAAGTGAATAAATCTCTCTGAAAAGGAAGGGGTGGATGTTGGCTTGCCTAAATACATACACTGTACATAAAAATATAAAACATGCATGCATGCAGTTTTAGGCAGGTGTAAGTATAATTGAGTGGTGGCCAAGATTCTGAATAAGAGGTGTATGATGTGTAAAGAACATATGGTAACGTGTGAAAAATGTAAGCCTATATATGGAAGACCTGACCTATGTGTTTATGATGTGCTCAAAAAGTCATTTATTTCCATTTCAATAGCTTTTTTTATTGATAAGTCCCTTGTGACAAGGGTTTGCAAAAGGGAAGCTAAGTAATGAGTAAGTTCTATATTGAGTGAAACCTACTAAATTTCATCATAGGTGGATATATTGAGAGCCACTAATAAACTTTTAAATTTAGTATTAGTATTGCAAAGCTATTAACAGTATGTAACATCTTACCAATAAATTTATTCATCTTTCAAGATTTGGACCCAGTTTAGGTATAGTTTTATTTCCTATAGATTAAGTTACAAGTCATTTCAAACTGCAGCCCAAGTATCCACCCAGCCCATTCATTTCCTATGAGCATGTTGAGTCCTCATATCTATTGTGTCCATCCTCCTTAACAAGAACCTTAATTCATGCTTCTGAAAATCCATCAAGACAAGTTGTCTGCCATGTTGCATAATCGATCTGTGGTTGGAAGCCTGCTTATCACTATAATCTACATAGAGGATGCATGAAAGAGTTAAAGTACTAAATCAGTGAGCTAAACCCTGCCCCAAGGACAGAGGAGACATAAACGGTGAACCTAAAATAAGACCTAAAGAAAAGTGATTTAGAGGAATTGAGGAGAGCCCTTTAAACCGAAATCCATCCAAGAAAATTCTACTTTTGTTCTTATAATCAGAAAGAAATATTAATTCCACCTACTACAAGGAAGGCATCCAGAAACATTTACAAAATGCACAGGGGAGTTGGGATCCCCGAACATAAAATTTTATAGTAACAAAATGGGAAAGAAAAAAATAAGTAATAATACAAACTGAGTTGCTAAAGTGAAACTGCTAAGAAAAATTACAGATAGTGAAAAGGGAAGCTCTAGGCTAGAACCTTCAAAAATATCAATGTGGCATCAAACTAGGCAGAGAAGTATTCCACAAAGCAGAATGAGAAGGAAAATCCAAAGGAAACCCAGGAAAACATGTGGTCATGGATTCAAGGCAAGAAAATGTTTCAAGAGGAGAGGAGTCAAGGATCAAATGACACCCAAAAGTCATGGGCGACAAGGATGGAGAAGAGTTCACTGGACTTAGTAATAAGGGGAGCAAAGGAGGAAGATCCTGGAAAAAAACAGCAACAGAAAGGGAGGTGAAGAAGGGAAAACTGAGTAAAAATGTTCAGCTCTGAAGGAGAGTAAAGAGATACAGAGAGTTGGAGGAGAGTTCCATTATTTATTTGTTTGTTTGTCATTATAAGGATGGAAGAACCATAAGCAAGTTTTAGTGTTGATGTTTTGGAATCGGTAGAGATTAGAGAATGTTTATGTTAGAAAAGAATAGAAAAAGGAAACGGTGAGTTAGGGGTGTTCATAGTCATTAGTTTGGGGAACTGAGACAGTTCTCCTTCATGATTTCTGTTTTCTGTGTAGTGTAAAAGGCAAAGTCATTTCTCAAAAGTGGGGAAAGATGACAAGGTCAGAAGTCTGGGCAGACTAGAGAAGTCCTGAAATCACTGCTGAGGAGAGGGCGAGGGAGATGATTAGGGGAGGCTTAAAGGAACAGCTTAGCTGGGATGAACATCCACCAAGCCTGGACTAAATGAGATCATGTTTTCAAGTCTTCTAGCCTCATATTGGGCATAGAATGTGTGCCCAGTAAAGATGAGTCTCTGCTGTCACTTTTATCATTTGAAATCTTTGGACAAATTTGTTACATCTATAACATTAGACAAATTTTCAGACACAATAGCTCAGCAACAATTTTTTAAAATCTCTGTTGAATTACTCCCAATGTGAGCTTTGAGTATACCAGATTGAAGGAGAAAATGGTTTGTACAAAATTATTTTAAGAAGATAAATGGGAGAAAGGGTCTCCCATATTTACAGAAAACAATCACAATCATTTCCCAGCACTCTTATGAGATGTTAACAGATAGTCTGTTTCTGTTTCGAGCTTTTGTGCCCTCAGCAGCCCTGCTTCAATTTGTGTGTTCTCAGCCATCTGCCTCCTGTCTTTCTCCCATTACTACAGAAAAGGGCTAGAAAATTTCTATTTTGAAAAAGAAACATTTCTTTTATCTCATGTTTATATGTCATATTTATATAGCATATTTAATATCTCACATTTGTAGAATCATATTTATCAGTGCAAACTTAGCACTATTTGATTATCCCTGAAAACAATAATTAAGTTTAGTCAATAATCTTTTTAAGGGCCAGTGTGTTAACTGTCAAGACTGCCTAACAGAATTTGAAAGAAGGTACCCTAAGTGGCCTTTAGCAGTAATTACCTTGTCTTAGGCTGTGTCCTGAGAGCATAGGCACAAGGTGTTTTCCCATTACTCATTACTTACATTCCCCTATCGCATAACCATATCTCAGTCCCCTTTCACCTTCTGTTGTTTGTCTTTCTCTTTGACCCTTTTCATCAGTGCCAAAGGCTGAGCTGTATTGGCAGAGAAGTTTGTGACAGTCACAAAATAGCTCTCCAAAGGTTAAATAAAGTAACATGGCATAAGAACAGAAGAGGAAGAAAGAGTTATGTCATTGATCTTTCTGTTTTGCCATTTGTTAGGTACCATGTCATATTTTAAGGCTGGATAGAGTGTTTGATGAGGACTTTGATTTTTACTTAGAGTGAAATGAGATACCACTGAGTAGAGAAGCAACACTATTGCTGGCAGAGAATAGTGCCAGAGACAAGACTGTAAGCAAGAAGAACAGCAGCACTGCAATAATTCAGAGAGGGGATGCTGGCTTCACCCAGGGTGATGGTAGTAGAAATGGCAAGAAATGGTCTAATTCTGACATATTTTGAAAGTAAAGCCAAAAGGTTTTGTTGGTGGATTTAATGGGGGTATGAGAAAAAAAAAATAACATTGAAGGGTGAATGTATTTGGACCTGAGAGCTCAGCAATGGGGAGTTGCAATTCACTTAATAAAGAAAACACAGTGGGAGAAGCGCTTTTGCAAGGAAGATCAGGAGTTTGATTTGCAGCAGGTTCTGTTGAGACGGCCATTAGACAACCTAATGGAAAGTTGAGTTGGCAGCTGGATGGATATGTCACAGTTCAAGGGAGAAGTCCAGGCCCAGAATATAAATTTGAGAATAATGAGAAAATAAACAGTACTTAAAGCCATAAGACCAGATGAGTTTACACTGAAGTGAGTGCAACTAGAGAAGGGTTCTGGAGACTATACACTAGTGCATTTCAGCCTTTAAATATTGGGATGGTAATGAAGAATTAACAAAGGAGACTGAGAAGGAAATATTAGAAAAACAGGAGAAAACAAGAAGCTTGTGAGGAATTTAAGTAACTTACTAGTTAATGTAGTATTTGGGAACCAAGCTCAGCAGTCTGGCTACAGGATAGGGTAGTCAGTAGTCTATCTGAAATTAATAGAGATAGTTATACAAAGCAAGAGACAAATAGCTGTCCTTCAGATCAATGCAAGGGCTTTGCAGATTCTAAAAAAGCAAAGAGATTCTGAATTTTTCTCTAATAGATTAGTAATCTTAGCATCTATTTCTAATTAATTTCCTGATGAAGAACATAAATATGTGTGGGTACGAAATGGAGTTACTGGGTATTGGCACTGGCTTTGCCATAAATTTTTGTGAAAAAAATCCTAAAGGTGAGGAAGCACTATTTCTAAAAGAATAATGGTTTCTTTGCCAGATTGAACAAAGACAGACCCATTTTAGTAGCCACTGAAAGGTCTTTGTCTTTTTTTGTTTTTGTTTTGATTTTATTTTTGTACATTAAACATAGATCTCAAAAGCTGGATTTCTTTCCAAAATATCATATGGAGCACTTGCTTTGTATCATTTTGTCTGGGAGAGAGGAGAGGAAACTTCCAACTTCTTGTTTTTCATTATTGCTTCACTGACTCATCTAGTCTTCTTTGAAGAACAACAACAAAAAAAAGAACAGAACAAGAAAACAGCTGAAGCCATGCAAGAGGGAAAAAAAGGAAAAAGAAATCTATATTAATAAAAATAACCACATTCTGCCCAAGTGCTAAGCACTGGAATAATAAAATAAGCATAATTCCATTTCTGGTTGGTTGCTTTTTCCTCTTCTTAACTTGAACAAGTCATGAAATTATGTCATTAAGTGGGGATATCTGCCTCTTAAAAATAACTTGGAGATCATTTTACATGAGTGTGTTTACTGGACTACATCAAGAGATTTGTTGAAATTGCTTTCAAAGTGAAGACAAAATAATTTAGATTTATAAGAGTAAACAGAAATAAATTTTTTAATGGAAGGGAGAGGGGGCAGCATAATGTCTCCCAAGCCATCACCCAATCAGCTAAGCATGAAGAAACTGGGAATTCAAACTTTATGTTTTCTGAAAACAATGTTTAAATAAGCCATTTGAATATCCTCAAAGCATAAAAAAAAGTGTATCCTTTTTTTAAACCATGCCCCTGGGGACTTACATCTCGACTTTCTGATATGGAAATAAAAATAGGTAATCTGTGTTTTTAAAAGTTTATGAAATTATTTCATCTTTGTTACTATAAACACCTAAGATATTTATTCACTGATTCAGATGACAGTCATTTTCCTAGAATGACACTGAAATTTATTTGTGGCTATTGCTCGAGTAACATGCTCAATAACTCGGTAACACTTCATTTCTCTTGATGTGTAAAAAGTTTTCTTACCAGATGAGATCACCCTTTCAACTATTTTCTATTTGTGATAATCCCCAATGCCCTTTCAGTAAAAGTCCTTTCTTAAAATCCTACAATTATATTATAAATTTTTTATCAGATGATTCAACAGGAGGGCTTCTACAAGCCAGCCTGCAGAATGTGCTCAATAACCAGTGGATTGCACAGTTCATGGACCCCAGATTGCTTTCATGCCTAGAAGAAGAGTGCTCACCAGAGGAGTAATGTAGGTGAAATTCTCCCTTAAAGATTATCACATGGGGTTTATCCAGTTGTGGATTAATAGTATTCAACCAACATGGGCTTGATGTTGGGCAACATTTCAAAATGGAGATCTACCAGTAAATGAAATAGTCTCCCAAGGGAACTAATGAGAGTCTAATTGCTTTCCTCATTTAAAACAGGGCCAGACAAAGCCTTTCTGGAAAGAGCCATGATGTTATGCCAAGGTGATGGACGGCACAACTCATGAGGTCTCTTCCATCTGTAATTTTAAGACATGAAAAATAAAGAAACACATTAAAATTAATGCATTTTAGCACATATCCATCTATCACCCCCAAATAATTCATAGCTGAAAGAAAGAGACAAATAACAATTTTTGAAATCTATCACTAATCATAAGAAAGTACTACTCATCAGAAATACTCTTTTAAGAATAGCCACCATCTAACTCACGGCACCTTTGATTAATATTTGGGTGGACTGCCTGAAAGCCAACCTCACAGCTGGCATACCCTCCAAGACTCTATTTAATAACGTAGCTAGTGTTCGTTCAAAAGAAAATAAAAATCATTTCAGCTTTTCACAAGCTCTCTGCCACTGTGGTCATTTCACTTTTTGTTATCATAGCAATATTTCACACAAAACAAAACTCAGATGTTGTTGGATGTAAAATATGTTCAGTGGTTCTCTAAGTGTGGTCTAGCAACCCGAGGGTCCCAAGATGCTTTCAGTATGTCCATGAGGTCAAAACTATTTTCATAAAGACACTAAAACATTATTTGCATTTTCACCCTCATTCTCTAATAATAGGCTACATGATATATTCACAACTATCAGAGAACATATCTAGGTAGATAAAGATATTTATTAAAATACATATCTGTATGAGGCCTGAATTTCTTCATTTGTTTAACCAAAACAACAAATTGCAATAAATTAAATACAGAGGCATATATGAGAATCCGTTCTTTTCCTATTAAGCCAAACAGTAAAGACATTTGCAAAACTGTAAAAGAATACCACTGTGCTCACTTTTTCTGAAAACATATTTTTATTAAAATATGCTATTTAACATGTGATAGTTTATTATCTTAACAAAATAAAAGAGATATGTCTACATTTTAATTTTCAGTACAGTAAATGTCAATAGCTGTATCTCACAGAAAAATCTTCCGTTTTTTAATAATGTTGAAGAATATAATGAAGTTTTAAAACCAACAAGTTTAACAACCATTGACTTAGGAATTTTATAATTTTTAGATTGATTTTATATTATCTAGATAGTAAGTACTGTTATATGTCTGTTTCTCATTTTTTAAGCACAATTTTTAGAATTTTGTCTTTATTTAGCGGCTCCACGTTCTTACCTCCCAATCTTTCTTTAACTTAGTCAAATAGGGATTTTATTCCTCAAAATTCTCCCAAACTACTCTTACCAGGAAATCTATGACCTCCATTCTATCCATGTAGAGATCAATTCTCACTCCTAATCTTAATCACTCTACTAGTCAAGGATTGACCCCTCCTTCTTTATTTACTCATCCTCTAGTTCACCACAGCCTCGGGGTCTTTCTCCTGCCTCCTCCTCCTTCCAGAGCCATTTTATTTGCAGTACTGTCTCCCTTCTCTTTCTGACTGTGGTTTACTTTACATTGCTTCAGGGCTCAGTCTTTGGTCCACTTCTCTATTCTCTATCCTAGCTAAACCCAGGACCTCAACAACTATCTTCATTCAATAACTGTAAGTGTTTCTATTTCCAACCATTCTAAACTCTCAGCTCTACCACCTGCAAGACATTGTCATTTAAATATCTAAAAGGCATCTCAAATCTAAGATGCTTCCAAAAGAACTTTTTATTCTGCCCATCATCCAAATTTGCTCCCTCCTTTTCCCCACTTCATCAAATGACACCACAGCTTTCCCTAACGCTTAAGCCAAAAACCTAGATGTTACTGAGACATCTTCTCTTTCTGTTAGGCCCCACATTCGATTCATTAACAAGTTCTGTGGCCTCTACCTTAAGAATATATCCCAATCTAAAAATATCTTACCAACTCTATATTATTGTCATGCTCCAATCCACTTTTTTCTTTCCTGGACTACTCTAGTAGCCTCCTAACTCATTTCCTTCTCCTGCTTTTGCCATCTTACCATCTCAACTCCGTACCATATCCAGAGTAATCTACTCAAAATGTAAATCAAATACCATCAACCCATCTCCCAACTAAACCTGTAAGCTTGTTCTCCTGACAAGTGATTGGCCATTCCTGCATCCCTACCCTCATCTACAAATCTTCCCTCACTGAATCTGTTCTGTCTATGTTAGTCTAGTTGGTGTTCAGCAAGCATACCAATCTCACCCATCTTCAGGATTTTTATGCTTACTATCCTCTATGCCAATGCTCTGACCCTGGATCTTTGCATGGCTTGTTTTTCAAGATATTATATTAATATAATATTAATAGTTCATGTCTCAACTTATGTGCTATATCTTTGGGGAGTTCTCTATCTTCTCATCCTTCTTTATTTTCTTCACTATACTTATCACTATCTGAAAATGTATGTTTATTTATTTGTTTATTTACTGTTTATTCTGAGCCTTAAGAGGGCAGGGACTTTGGCTTCTTTGCTCTTTCCTTGGTCCAGGAACACAGCCAGAGTCTTAGTAGACATGTAATAAATGAGAATAATAATGATGATAGTCCTAATCCACATCTATTTCCTTCAGTAAGATAGATGCTGCTCACAATAAAACTGTTTTACTCATATTTTTATATGTAGCATTAAGTACTATACCTGAAATATAACATATACTAAATAAGTGATGAATGAAAGTAATGAGTTTAATAATTTAATGCTTAATGGTTTACAAAACACTTTTATATATCCCCAATACAGCTGATAATCAAAATAACCCTAAAAAATAGATAAAACTTCTCCCTACTTTTTATTTGTAAATACATTCCCTGTTTCACATAAATAGTTAGTTAGATGGTCTTCTTCTTTTTTTTATTTATTTATTTTTTTTGGAAACAAAGTTTTGCTCTTGTGCCTCACGCTGGAGTGCAGTGGCACAGTCTTGGCTCACTGCAACATCCACCTCCCAGGTTCAAGTGATTCTCCTGCCTCAGCCTCCCAAGTAGCTGGAATTATGGACGTGTGCCACCATGCCTAGCAAATTTTTTATTTTTAGTAGAGACGGGGTTTCACCATGTTGGCCAGGCTGGTCTCAAACTCCTGACCTCAGGTGATCCACCCACCTCGGCCTCCCAAAGTATTGGGATTACAGGCATGAGCCACTGTGTCCAGCCAGATAGTCTTCTTCTTAAGAGACTGGAAAACTAATTTTTCTAATACTAAATTTTATGCTCTTTTCTTTAGAAATAATGTAATAAATAAGCAGTTAAACTTCATACAAGTTTAAAAAGAAACAACTGGAGCTCAAAATGTATTTTTCTATTAATTATTCTACATTCTGGAATAATAATTTTTATACCAGTTGACTATATCTCTGGATGACTAAATAGTAATAATGAAATGGAGAATAGTGCCAAAATTGAGAAACTAAAATATATTTTAAACTTTACTAAATTTATAGTCACCACTCAGAGAGTGCAAGTGCTCTAACAGAGAAATGTGTTCTTTTCTATGAGATGTGGATTGCTTAAAATCTAGTTGAGCTAGAGCCTAGTTCCAAAAGAATTTGTTCCAAAAGCAACCAGGCATTTTTCAAGTCTATGCAGATTCCCTTTATGTATATATGGTTGGTGGAGGGGCAGTGTAAATATGGGGAGTGGTGATGATGAGCATACTGAATCTCTATACTCATCCCATCCCACTAATGCTTTGAACCCATTAATGTGTTAAATTTGAGCCTCAAAATGACCTACTGAGACAGTAGCTTTCTTGGATGAGATATGAAACATTCTTTGCCTGCTTTGATCATTGAAGATAGTCTTTTCAGAATCTGAAAAATTCATTCAGTTTATCTTATAAGATACATCTCTTAGGGGTAGCTTTGCCAATGATGAAATAATAGCATCATCCCTGTTGTGGGTTGGGGACATTTAGTCTTGCTTGTATCAAGGGAGGCATACATGGAAGATTTAGCAGCTATAACAAGAACCTTCTTGCCAACTGGGCATTTAGGAGAATATGGCCTGCAATTGAGCCAGAGGGACAGTGTTACCATGCTGAGTGTTTTACTATGATTTATGCATCTGTCTCCTCTCTGTCTCTCTCTCTCTCTTTTTTTTTTATGACTTCCCAAAAACTCAGGTTTTGTTCCAGTGTGTTCACTTTTTGGGAAATGTAGATAAGATTAAATTTCTTAGGCCCAGCTTCATGCAGGATGGATAGAATTCTGACTTGAGCTTTGCTGCAGCATTTATCCTTTGTACATGAGCTTAGGTGCCCTTAAGCATTTGGTACACTTAAAGTAAATCAAACAACAAGTAAATAATTTGAGCTCATCTGCCTGTTACTCAGACTCTTCAATAGGAAGTCCATGTTTTTTAACGTAAAAGCATTAGTGTTCAATGTTTAAATCTTTTGTGATATGTGTCTCCATGGCCTCAGAAACAGGATTTGAGGAGATTATGGAGGTCATGTGGTTTCCTTGATGTCTTCGGAGTGCCAAGGAAGAGAAAGGGAATCAGGATATTACTTTCCACGGTGTGGAACAAATTACATTTTTGTGCAACATTTTTATGAATTTTAATTCGAAAGTTATCTGCAAATCTAGCTTACCTCTTATAAACACGTTTTCAGAAGATAATTACTATTAGTAAGACTGCTGCAAAATACCAAGCAGAATCAGGAAGACAGGTATCTGACTTCAAAGCTATTCTTACTCCTCACTTCCCTTCCCCGAACTCTCAACTCCACCCAAAAGCAAGTCTCTTTTTAAACTCTGAGATTTCGTGCAAGTCTGGAGTCTGGCTCTGACCACAAGGCAGGAAATAGCTCATATGCAGCATCCAGAGAAGAAAGTTACAAGACAAAAAAAAAAGAAAGCCCACACATGCACACACACATTTCTTTTTTATCTGATACTTTACAAAGTTTATTTGGAAGAAAGGTTGAATTGCGCTTTTTGTTTGTTTTGTTTTAAAACTGCCTGTTCCCAAATGGCTGATGAGCATTGAGTTGAGATGAGGACAAGTTGGCTGTTAGCCTGAAGGCTCTTCCTTGTTGCACCCAAAGGGAATTGTAGAAAGATTTGGAATTCTTCAGATCTTTAGCTTAGAGACCATGGGTGGAGCCTACTTGCACAGCATTCAGCTGATGGTTGCTAATTAAATGCTTGCCCAGTAACTTCAACTGGCCAGACTATTTCACAGGAGAGGAAAAACACCCCATGAGGTAACTGCCAGGGAAAGAGGGATGTCTGGCAAAGCTTGCTAGAAACCAGAGGTGCTAGCTTGGAGTGTATTTCTCTCTGAAGAATAAGTGGTAGCCAACCTGGAATCTGGGTCAAATAAAGCATACTTTAAGTCCACCCATAGGAAAAGGACAGAATTGAGAGGAAAAAAGCTAAAATAGTTCTATTAAATTAACGAACGACAATTAAGTAAATAAAGTCAAACAGTTGTGATTTCTAACTTCATAGTTAACAGAAGTTTTCAAACCGATAAATTTAACTCCATTCTAGTTTAGATTGAGGTATGCATAAACACCACTTCTAATCCTTCCACAGTCTGGGACCTTGGCTGGGTCAGTTTCTATTTACACTGGAGTAATTATTAATAGCACCCTCTTCTACTCCCAAAAGAGTCCAAGTTTGGATGATAAATTTTATGTTCATGCTTTCCATGACCAATGCCTTGCAAGACTTCAGATGGTTTCTAGTGATATATTATAATGTGATAATTAGGGAGTCACTGACAAGCCTAGTAAGGCTAATTGTATCAAAACTTCTTAAAAACACAACCAGAGTGAAGAATCCAACAGTGCTTCAGCAATTAGTTGTAGTTAAGTACAAACCCAAAACAAATTAACTCTGTCATGAGATGCCAAAACAAGTTAATAAGTTATCTTAAATTGCACAAACTGAATTCTAATGTCCAGAGCCAAGGAACATATTGCTATCTCTTTTCGTGTTTCTGAATTGTGCCTCAAGAATAGTATTTCTTGCTAAGCATACGTTGCAAGAAGCACTAATAAACTGAAGCACGTGCAGAAAAACAACCACAAGGATGGAAACATTTTAGGAAACTATGGCCTAAGTGGTATAGTTGAAAGAGCTAACAAATGGTGCCCAAAAGGTAAGAAGGCTATCAAGTCCTGCTAGATGTCTTCAAATACTTAAACATCTGTTATATGAAGGAGAGAGCTGATTTATTCTGTAGATCTTCAGGTTAGATAATATGTTAAAGGTAAGCAAAAAAAAATCTATTCCGTACAAGGGAAAACTTTCTTACTAATAAAACCTTCCAAAAATGGAATGAAATATCTTTGGAGGCCATAAACATTGATAGAGGAGTTCAAGCACAAGCTAGATAATGTCTTGATAGGGATATACAATAAATTAATGTACCTCTTAGAAGCTAGAACTAAAGAATCCCAAACTCCTTTCAAATTCTGTATACTATCCTTCTAATGAAATGATGAGTAGGTAATTCAGAAAAATCTCTACCATGGCATTAATCACCATCACCATGTCTATATTTTGAAGAGTATTTGAATTGTTCACACTATCTCTAATTTATAGTAAATACAATAATATTAAGCAATTATTCTCTCTCAGTCTATCAGTTATCAGTACCATTGCCTAGATCTCAGGAGGTCATTAGAACTGTAGGTTCCTGAGCCAGCCCAGCCCAGATCTACTTAACCAAAATTTCTGGGAAGTTCCCAGGAAGTCACAGAAGATACATATTCTGGAATGGTTTACAATCTGAATCTGTCCACCCACTAGCACTTAGTACTCACTGGGAAACTTGGAAACACTCCAAAGTCATTTTTATATTTGGAAGCTAGAAACAGACAATGTTGTCTCAAACATTATTATTAATGTCCCTTGTTTTGAGATTGTACAGGATCCTTTAGGATGCATATGACAAAAACCTTACCAATAAACAAAAAATATTGGCTCAAATAACTCAAAAATTGAAATGAGGAGCTGAATTCAAGCATGATTCCAAGAGCATGCCGTCTTCGGGGTCCTGTTTCTTATTCCTTTCTTGTGTGCTTGTTTCACTCTGCTTGGCTCCTTTTTCCAACTGGCTCTCTTCATGTAGCCATAAGATGGCCACAGTAGTGGCCACCAGCATCCTTACAGCTCAAATACATGGATAAATAGTGCAGATGTTTGAGTAAGAGCTCAGAGAAATCCTGGGGAGGATTCTGATTGACCTGTATTGGATCACATGCCCACCCCTGGAGACACTGGGCTCGGGGTAGTAGTCCCATTGTGACCATGTGGGCTAGCAGAATTATTATAGAAGGATGACTGGGCAACTATATGCTCACTAAAACGGGTAATAAACTGAGCCAAAAAATGGAAGGAAACCACAATAATTTTCTATTTTATTCTGCAACAAGGTGGTCTTTTTCATGATAACACTTAATATCAACTGACCCCAGCTATGAGGTTACATTATAAATTTATAATCTCTGCCAGAAACTATCACAATGCATTATAAAAAAGCCATACCCTGTGAATATAATCCAGTTGGCTCCTATGGATTTGTATTATAAATATGTGACTGTACATTATATACAGCTCATCAGTATATTATACTACCTATTACCCTAGCTTGGAAAGTTCCTGATAGGAATGTCTCTTCATCTTGCACTATTCTGGGCTTTCCTCCAAGTGGCTCATTAATATGGTTGAGTTGCTGATCTAGATTAAAACGTTCTTTCCCTAAAAGACAACAATGAAAGTCCACAGACAATACAAATATCCAGGTATAAATCACACATAATTGAGGTGAAAAGGACTTTTTCTAACCCCTAAGGTTTGGGATTTGGCTTGCTGGTCTAAAGCCAACAGCAGCTGAGCACATAATTCTTTATTATAAAATCCTCAAAAACTAAGGTCAAGATTTAATTCAAATGAAATTATCACTTCTTAGAAGTTCAGTAGATTTTAGTAAACTCGCTTTCTTGATTTTCACATAACTGATTAATTCCCTTTTCAGTTGCTTTTCTAGTTCCCCCATGCCTGCCACCTTTTTATAAATTCCTTTGATAGGTTCATTAAGTTAACTGCTAGTTCTTGCCCTGAACATCTGGCTCTTAGGAGAACCCTGGTTAGCTTCTCCCCCAACAACTTAATTGGAGACAAGGGAATTCTGAGCTACTCTCATTTCAGGGACCTTTAAAAATCCCAAAGAAAGGAGATTTTAATAGGCTTAACTACCTGCTATCAAAGAGAAGTTAGATAATTCTGTCCCCCATAAGAGAAATATCACAAATGTGTTTCAACTTCTACACATCCACTCCAAAACTGAGTTGTCATTAACAAACTAGACAGTAGAAAGATACATATTTTCTGCAGTGGAAACCAGAAGTAAAGAGAAAAAGAGAAAGCGAAGGAAATTTTCAAAGTGAAGTAATGAATATTTTCAAGATAAATGCTCAAAAATGGAATATTTGGCAATACGAGTATCGTCAGCAGAAATAATTAGCTGGAGAATTTATACTCCTATATGCTGTATAATCAGAAAATCTTCCATTAGATTTTTATGGAATGCCTTACCATTATCACCTAAATAGAAAGTAATAACTGATCTCACTATATAACTTAATAAATGCTATTTATCCCTTTTATATCACTTAATGTATTTGCCAAACTATTACTCTTCCTAGTAATTGGTGTTGTTACAAAATCTTGGGGTTGCCAGGGGAAATGGTTTCCTGTGTATGTGGAACGAAATGCTAATATGTTTTCCCTGCTGCCACCTGCAGTTCCCAAGGGATTGGACTTCCAAAGAGAATTCTTTTATGCAGGTGGTGAATATTTTTTTCTTTAATTTATTTGGAAAGGGTCAAAGTCAAGGAGGGGGACTTTTTTTCATTGATCCATTTTCTGTATTTAATTATTTGACTCATGGCTGTGTAATTATCTTTTGGAGTGTTTAACATTAATGTCAAATGGTACTGTATTTCTAAGCCAAATGGAATTTTTATGGGGCCATACAATCCTTATTGGCTTTACTTTTTGTTTAATGGTCATGCTGTAGCAAACAGCAATGTGCGATATGAACAGTTAAACTATTCTCTTAATTATTGCATCTGGTTTACCATATCCTGCCCATCTAGTATGTTTTAATTGAAGGGCAGAAAAGATCTCTAGTTGATCATTGATGGTTTTAAATTGGCACATAATGATAATACTGAGTTCTGGAGGGAGTTCTTCCTAAATCTCAGCATATGTCTTTATGTTAAACAATTAAACCACATCTGGAAAGAGAAAGCAGATCAGTACATTCCTCAGTGGAATCTATGAGAAAACTGATTCAGTGGACTGAATACTTGTTACCAGACCTAGAGAGAGAAAGAGAGAGAGAGGAAGAAAGATAACCTTGAACTAAAGAGAATTTGCAGATTCTTTTAAAAAGGAACAGGTGTTTGAAGGAAAATTCCCACAATGAAATAAATAGTTTTATACTGGCAAGGGCATTTAGGCAATAATGAGGAGATTTCATGCATTTTATGCAAAAGTACCAGGGGGAATTTGTAACAGAAGAATATAAAGACCTTATTTCAAGAAAGTATATTATTATTAGGATTTGCCAAGTCCCATGTATAAGTTAGCTGAACAAGGACCCACTTAGCATTTAAAAGAGAATCTAGATTATGTTTAGAAAGGGTTAATGTGCTCTTCACATTGCCTGAGGCAAATCAAACTAAAAGTTACACTTCGGCACAAATTTCTAGGCGAGAGTTAAGGGGAATTTTATAGGCACAAAGTTGGTTCAGACCCCAGTCTCTTCCTCGGTAGACTACCACCAACTCTGTCTGTCACCCATCTCTAGTATCTCACCTGAAGTCTTCTAACACAAGTCACTGGATGCCAAAAGAGAAGTCTCCCTAAAATAGTCTTTTATCACATCACTTGCCTGCAGAAAATCATCAGTGGCTTCCCATCCCTTTTTTTTTTTGCCTTTAAGAAAAAGTCCAAATTAATGCATCTGACAGTTAAACTCTCCAAAATCTGCTTCAACACTATTTTCCAGGCTTATTTTTCCACTGTTCCCCACAGGAATCCTCTATTCTAGCCTAATCTGTTTATTTAGCTTTATTCCCCAAACGCCTTTTGTACTTTCCTCTTTTAGGGATATTTTCCTTCTCCAGAAGTCTTCTCTTCATTTATTTATTTATTTATTTATTTATTTATTTATTTTTCTTTTGAGACAGAGTCTCACTCTGTCACTCAGGCTGGAGTATAGTGGCACAATCTCGGCTCACTGCAACTTCCTCCTCGAGGCTCAAGCAATTCTCCTGCCTCAGCCTCCCGAGTAGCTGGGATTACAGGCATGTGCCACTACACCCAGCTAATTCTTTTATTTTTAGTAGAATCCAGGTTTCACCATGTTGGTCAGGCTGGTCTGAAACTCCTGACCTCAGTGATCCGCCCACCTTGGCCTTCCAAAGTGCTGGGATTACAGGCGTGAGCCACTGCACCTGGCCTTCTCTTCACTCTTAACTGATATATTTTCCAATTTTAAGGCCCAACTGAGATGGCATCTCTCTAACAAAAGGTTTCCAACAATTCCAGTTTGAAGTGACCATCCCTGCTTACCCAGAATACCCATGTTTGTTACATTCATTTCGTATTTCTTGATCTGTTTCCATTTTTTGTTTCATGTGCAGATGGCTTAAGTACCTAAATGGACTGCATACTTCATGCAGTCCAGAATTTTGTCTTGGATAGGGTTGTGTCCACTTTTCCACAACCACTCTGTATTCTTTCACATAATAGATATACTTTTTTAAGTAACTGACAGTTTCAAAAAGTTGCATTTACTCTTGAAATTAAAGCCCACTTCTGTGGTGAACAATAAATGTGAAATGTATTCTGTATTAGTTTGCTAGGGCTGCCGTAACAAAATACCATGGACTGGTGGTTTAAACAACAGAATTTTTTTTTCTTACCCTTCTGAAGGCTAGAAGTCCAACGCCAAGGTGTCCAAAGATTTGGTATCTTCTGAGGTCTCTCTCTTAGCTTGCATATGGCCATCTCCTTGCTGAGTCCTCACATGGCCTTTCCTTTCTGAACATACATCTATAGTGTCCCTCTCATCTATAGAGGGAGAGACAGACTTTTTCTTGAAGGCAAAAAAATTGGGCAGGGAAGGCCATTGATGATTTTCAGCCGACAAGTGATGTGATAAAAGCCTATTTTAGGGAGACTTCTCTTTTGGCATCTAGTGGCTTGTGTTAGAAGAATTCAGGTGAGATATTAATATCTTCTTTTTATAAGGACACCAATCATTGGATTAGAGCCCACCCCAATGGCTTCATTTTAACTTTATTACCTATTTAAAAGCCCTATCACCAAACATAGTCACATTCTGAGGTACTGAGGATTAGGGCTTCAATGGTGGTGGAGGAGGGGTGCATAATTCAGCTCATAACATAAACTATACAACGGTCTTAATTGTTTATTCTATTGTACCTTCTGCTGCATTTCCAAATAGTTGCACTTGTCAAAAGTTATGAGTAGAGAGACTAAATTTAATGGGCTCCAACACAAAATCAAAATTTATAGAATCTCCCCTTTGAATTATAAATCTAAACCTCTAGAATTTTCATTCTTTCCCCTTTTCTCCTCACTGGACTTATTTCCATGTTTTCTCAGACAACCATTGCTTTTATGCTTCCACTTCAATTCCCCAGTATCGAATCTTAGTTTTAGAAAATAAAGCAATGAAAATTAGAATGTAAACAGTCAACGTGTCAACAGTCCTTTAGTTGCAACCAACAGTAACCCAAACTCCACTTTTTTAAATACAAAGGGAAAGTTTTGACTCACATAACTTAAAAATAAAAATGACAGTGGAATCTAGAAGTTCCTGCGATGGCACTAGGGCCTGGTTTCTGTCTTTCCTTCTCACAGTTTTGCTTTCTTTCACGTGGCTGCATTCTCTGACATCACTCATCTTTTCATGAGAAAAACAAGGGGCTCTGATACCTTAGCATATGTCTCTCCATATTCAATACTAGTGAAAAAATGAGTCACCGTTTCCTGGAAACAATTCTCCCAGTCTGAAGAGTTTTTGTGTTTTTGTTTGTTTGTTTGTTTGTTTTACTATAACAGTTCAGGATATGCTCCCATTCCTAAACCAAGCCCTGCGGCAAAGTTGACAGGAAGTGTTAAGTGTCCAGACTTCGATCACACATGCTGGCCTCTCAATGTGGGTATGGAGCTCCCTCTAAGGCAGAAAGATTGAGAATGGAAAAAGAAATGATTCTCCAAAAGAAAATCAGCATTTTGTTAACAAAAGGAGGGGGAATAGAGACATGGCAGTCAAAACTTAGCAAAATCCCACAGCAACAGCAATGTATAAACTTAAGTCTACTATCCCCATTGATAATGGTGGTGAGATAGCCGCAGGGCAGCAAGAACTCATTAACTATCATGGCAAAGAACACTTTCAACAAAGGTCTTGCCTCGTATCCTGGAAATTATACCACACAGAAGTCAGCCATGTTTAACAGCCCCTGATTTGCCCCACATATAAGAACAAATTCACTTAACTTTCTGGTGCCCCAATTTTCTCAATGTCTCTCTAAAAGCCAGAGTCAGGATTAGGGCTGGAATTCAAGTTATTGAGGATGCCTAGTGAAAGGAAAAAGCAATTTGAAAATGGAAAGCCACATTCAAATTCTTATTAATAATTGTGTCTCTGCTGAGCACATGTAGAGGCAGATAATTAGAATCACATAAAGAGTGATCTCTAATTGGATCCAGATGTGAAGGAGTCAGCAGACATCCACTAAAGGGAAACTGTACAAAATAACAAAGAAACAAATGGAATTGCAATGCGGAAGTTTATGAAGAATGATGGGCTGAATGAGTATAAAGCCTTTCAGGCAGCTTTTAGTGACACACTTGAAGAAATTTATTGTTTCGTTGAGCATTATTACAGATCAGCATTGTCAAGAACCAATGGTGTTCCCTGAAGAAAGAATACAACATGGGACACAGGACTCTCAGAAAGGTAATTTTAAGGATTTTAACTGGGCCAGGCACAGTGGCTAATGCCTGTAATCCCAACACTTTGGAACGCCGAGGTGGGTGGATCACCTGAGGACAGCAGTTCTAGACCAGCCTGATGAACATGGAGAAATCCCTTCTCTACTAAGAATTCTAAATTAGCCGGGCATGGTGGCGCATGCCTGTAGTCACAGCTACTCAGGAGTATGAGGCAGGAGAATCGTTTGAACCTGGGAGACGGAGGTTGCAGTGAGCTGAGATCACACCACTGCACTCCAGCCTGGGGAACAAGAGTGAAACTTCATCTAAAAAAAAATATATATATAAAACATATATTTTTTTATCTGGTCTGGAGATTCCCCCCTTTTATTTATCAGCTGTGTTTAATTTGAATTCCATAGCATTAAAAACTGAATCCCATCATTTTTGATCTCCAGTTTATGCCTGCACTAAGTGGGGAGATTCTATAAACACTGCTAAAAGCTTACCTTGTCTCCATTTAATAGAGAAGATCTAACTCAATGTTTGTCTAATATAGTCCCAAACAAGTGTCCTCAATCCATATGTAACCATGGCCAGGTTTTACAAGGAGACAGCAGTCACATCAAAACTACCTACATATGGCATCAGAATCAAAAAATGCAAATACATATACTACTTGAGGCAAAAGGGAATTATATAGATCCTGTGGAGAATTTTAAATCTAAAATTTATCTTTTTCATGGTCATTCAATAGCCGTTTTGTGAGTAGGAGAAAGAACATTCTAAGTTTAGGAAAAAGTATATATATGTCAAGTCCCTGGTAAAGACTGTTTGAGTTTGAGGAACTGGAAAAACCTAGGGTGGCTGGATTGTAAAGAGAAAGGAGGGGAGTAAGAGACTTGGAATCAGACAAAAGCATAATTATGGAATTACAAATTACTTACAGATTTTTAGATTTCTGGCTTGAATAAGTAAACTGTAGTATAATTTTCTAAGGTAGAGATGAGTGGGAGAGAGAGAGAGAGACAGCACAGATTTTAGGAGAGAAAAGGGTTCTGTTTTAGACATGTCAAGTTTGAGATGTCTGTGAACTACCCAGCTGAAAATGTCAAGTAGAGTATGGAGGTCTGGAGATCAGGAAAGAACTCTCAGCTAAAAACATACATTTAGAAGTCATCAGTATAATGATGGCCTTAACATGCAGGGAAAGGAATGAAGTCATCACTGAGAGAGTGCATAGATAGAGAGAACAACAAGAGATGAGGGGCAATTACAAAGGAGGCTGGAAAGAAGCAGGCTTTGGGGTGATCCGAAGGGCAGAAAAATGGTGACAGAAGCCAAAAGAGAGGAAACAAAAAAGGAAGTTGAAAAAATGCTATCCCCATGATGACAAACATGAAGACAAAGAATTGTCCAATGGATTTAGTAACATGTCAATCACTGACTAGAGCAATTATGATGAAACAATAAACCCTACTTCAGTGAGTCAATGAGTAAATTGGATGTAAAGAAAAGAGAATAGTGATACTCTAAAATGCAAACTCCATAAGTGAGAGGGATTGTATGCTTGGTGCTTCTTTTGATTCTCCAGTGTCTAAAATATTTCCTGACACATAAATAAAGGAGGTGCCAAATGAATCATTGTTATTTGTTGAAAAAAAAGTTATAAATGTCAACTAAAGTATTCAGTTCAGTTGTGAGAATTTTCTGGCCAAATTAACCTTCTCATATGTTGGCATTGAGGCAGTTGATAGAAGAGTTCATCTCATGTTGGATTTTGCCAGGAGAATGACAGAGAAAGAGGATGGCAAGTGTATGTAGGATATTTTCAATGAGCAACCATAGCAATGCTCTATGGAAACTGGGCAGACTGAAAGGAGAAAGAAAATGGTAGGGGACAATAGATTACAAGTCTCAATGCTGTTGAAGAATCCTGGAATTGAGGGAAGTTGTATAAGGGATATGGAGAATGAAAGGTTTTATCAGAGAGTAGAGATTTTTTAAAGTCAACCTTTCAAAAGTGGTATATTTTTTCAGTTGTGGTCCTGGGTAGCTGAGGTGAGATCACATGTGATCAGATCAGACAGAGAATAGAGGGTATGAGGCAGTTTCTCTAGATGGATGTTCAAGTCATCCAGAATAATCACAGGATCTGGGAAAGAGAAAATTCTTTGGAGTCAAGGAATAAGGTCTTTGATAAATGAAATGAACAAGGGGTCAATAGATGAAAGTACTGGGCTGAGGAAGATGATAGCATGACTAAATGCCACGTATCTCAATGGAGTAAAGTGTACTTTGTGTGTGTGTGTGTGTGTGTGTGTGTTTGTGTATGTGAGAGAGAGAAAGCAATGACAATGGAGAGTACACAACTCACATATCCCAGAGATATGTGAGTAATAAGGAATAAAATTAGACTAGCCCTGAGGAGGCTACAGAGTAGTGGCCTCCAGAGAAATCCAGGCGTCAGAACAAAGAACAAAGAAAGGATGGTTTCAAGAATAGGTAGAGGATGAGAAGAGTTGAGCAAAGAGCAGGGGTCCCAGAGGGCAGAGTAGAAGGGTTCAGGAAAGAGGGACAAGCCAGGTGGCTGGGGCAGAATGGGATAGGAGTGCGATTCTGCTGACAATGAGGGGCCAGGGAGAACAGACACCTAGCAGGAACTAAGAGAATCAGGATGCATGGTGATATCAGAATCCCCTCTGAAAGGAAGTGTGAGCTGTGGTCCCAATTATTTTCATTCTAACTATGATATGAGTAAAATGCTGTGGGGGCTAGCGGGTTCTTCTGAGAAAGTTACATGCACTGGCATGACATTACAGGACAACAAAGTTTTTAAGTGTTTCTTTGGAGTAATGTTTTGGCAACACTTTCTGAAGTTTCGTTGCACCATTTCTGTAGGTAGAGAATCCAAGGTGGTTCTGTTCTGGATCAGGGCTTCTTCTGAGAACGCAATCAAGGCGCAGGTTAGGGATGTAGTCTTCTGAAGACCAGACTGAAGGAGGACCACTTCTGAGCTTATGCACTGGGTTATTGGCAGGTATCAGTTCCTTGCGGGCTGTTGGCCAGCTGCTTCAGTTCCTCACCATGTGGGCCTCTCCATAGGCCACCTGACGGTCCCAATAAATGGCAGATGATATCTCTCAGAGTGATCCAAGAGACAGAGACCAAGACAAAAGGCATCACCTTTTATAACCTAATCTTGGAAGTGACATGCCATTACTTCTATCATATTCTGTTGGTCATACAGACCAACTCCGGTACAATGTGGGAGGGGACCACACAAGGGCATGTGTACCAGGGTGCAGAAATTATTGGGGACTTTTCTGGAGGCCAGCTACCCTAGTATACCCTCTCTCTGGTCCTCAAGGATTAACATTTTTCCCTTGTGCAAAATATACTCACCAACTCTAAACCCCCCAAAATCTTATCCCATTATAATATCAGGCCAAAGTCTGGAATTTTCTCATCTAAATCAGACATAGGAAATAATGAGGCTTGACAGATTTAGTTCCCCCAAGTATCTTTCCCCTTATCTATAGATTTTAAACTTAAAAAATGGGGGGATTCTGCCCCCCAAACGCCTATTCCATAACAGGAAGACAAGAACAAGATAACTATGGTAGGCATTCCCATTCAAAAAGGGGGAAAATGAGAGACACACAGAAGTCACTAATCCATAGACATTCTGAAATCAGACAAGAACATATTAGAAGTTCCTTCATTAGGACTCAGTATTATCTGCCCAGGAATCATTCTCCATGGCTTTTGGTTCTGCTTTCAGAGCTCTTGGTTTAGCCGGACAATTTCCTGCTATTTCCCAGGTACAATGAAGCTCACAGACTAAAACAGTAGAGAATGAAAAAAAAAAATCCTTCTGATGAGTTTTCCTCTACTTCTCAGCCACCTCCCTTTCTTTATTTCCCTTCCCTTCCCCCCTACTGATATGTTACTATAGGTGCTTACTTTGTTTGGAGAAAAAAGTAAAACTGATGGAAGGAGCTTTGGAGTATTGTTTTAATTTTTTATCTCCTTATTTTCTGTGAAATCTTTTCTTGGATTAAGATTTAGCCTGAGACATTGCCTGACTCCCATGGTATAGAGAATGCCATAAAGACAAGAACATCTTCTAAGAGTCTAACAACCAGTGCTTTCCATCCTAACTTAGAATAACCCAAGAGCTCCCCCTACACGATGGGAGAATGGGTCCATTTGTCTGCTATAAGATAAAAAAATTCTCATTGGACAGCCTGAGATGAAGCAATCAAATGACAATTCATGAATACACCTCCACTGACTTGCATGGGCATTCTTTAGATAGTGCTTACCCAACACTACAGTTTCACACTTCCAGGACACATCATAATCTATTGTAAAAATAAACAAAAGTAACAAACAAAAACAATGTAACAAAAGAGAAAAGAAGGCAGAGATTATGTTACATCATCCAAAAGTAGTTGCTACTATCAGGGCCTCAGGCAAAATCACAGGGTCAGTCTTCATCAGATATATCAGAGAACTTTGATCTTCAAATAACTGTGATCCTTTCTCCTAAGTCTGGGCTCTTCTCCTCTGCTCATGAAAATAAGTTTTTCTTTCCTAGCCCTGAGTGTCCAAGCTTTCCCTCCCCTATGTCATTGCTTCAACCCATCCACTGATCTTTCTTAATTTGTCCCATATTTGTCACCTTCAATAGATTTCTTGGGCATATTTGTTTAATGTTTAATAAACTCATTCATCTAGTGAACACAATTTTGAATCACATCTTTCTCAAGCATTTAAACAACTATTACAAATTTAGTAAATAATTTATCTTGATTTTAACTGCTATCATGGTTGATTCTTTTCAATATTGCAAACATTTGAAATAACAAAGCATATACAAATATGAGTTATAAACTCAATTAATTATTTTAAATGTCAACATCAAAGGTCTAACTCATTTCTTAATTATTTCTTTACTTTTATTATTATACCTTTCTAGAGTAACTACTAATTTTCATTTATTTCCAGCATTGCAGGCCCCAAAATAAAAAGATTATCATCTTTGACCAGTCAAGTTAAGGTACTTTAATTATAGATGAATTCATTGTTGGCCAGGGCTGGATTTAGGTTGCTGTTCCCAAAGCAAATCAAACGCAGGCCACTGGTCACCCAATTTAGTTTGTTTTTATTAGTAAATCATATTTGCTACATATATCAATAAGAGTAGAAAGTTCACACACTTCACATAGGCTTTAGTTTCTTGCAACTTTGATACTCCACCTAAAATGATACATTTATAAGTCTTGTTTGGTGAACATTACATAACCTATCTTTTTCTGTTTTAATGAAATACTTATTTAGACTTGTCATTACGAAATAGTGACTTGATCTGTTAGAATAATCAAAAATGTATGTTTACCTTATAATATTCCTTGAAATTAGCAGGGCCACATTGAAATTTTATCTCCAAGAAATGAGGGATTGAATCTTTCAGTTCAGATCTTTTCTTGAAAATATTTGGTTAACATATTATCCAGCAACATACTGTTGATCTTCTTTCCCCTCTTTCTCTCTCTATATATGCTTTTTTTCTTTTGAAATCAATTTTTTAAATTGATGAAGAGTAAGATTTACTCTTTTCCATTCTTAGACTTCCAATACCCAAAAATTAGTTCATATTGCCCCTTTGTAGCCAACCTCTTCTCTGACTCCCAGGTCCCAGGAAATTGCTGCTCTGTTTTCTGATCCAGTATGCCACATAAAAGGACTAACACAGTATTTAGCTTTTGAATTCTGGCTTTTTCTCATACAACACAATGCACTAGAGCTCCATCCATGGCATTGCATCTATCAGTAATGTGTTCCTTTATATCACTCAGCAACATCCAATCTATGGAGGAACCATAGCTTGTTTATCCATTCACCAATTGAAAGACATGTGAATAGTCTCCAGTTTTGGTGATTTTGAATAAAACCACTATAATTGTTTTCATATGTTTTGTGTAAATTTAAATGTTCATTTTTCTTGGGTAAATACCTGACATTGGTCTTGATGTATCGCATGTCAGTTGTATGTTTAACTTTAGAAGAAACTGCTAAGCTATTTTCCAAACTGGCTATACTATCTGCATTCTCTCCAGCAATTTATGAGAGCTCCTGTTGCCTCAGAACTTTAGATAAGTAATAGTACACCTTTCTCATGTAATTTGCTTTTCCTAATGACTAATTACATTTAATATCTCTTCATGTGAACCTTTTTTTGATTTTAAGCTCCATTAAGACAAGGCTTCCATGTTAATGCTAAACACTGAATCTTCAGCACTTAGTGGTTTTCAATAAATACTTGTTGAATGCAGGAATGGCAGAAACATTACATTCAAGAAGAAGTTATGGAACCAGTCTTTAGTTCAGGTCTTTCTAGTGGAGGCTTCACAAAAATTGCAGAAATAAAATAATAGGAAATGAAAAGAATGCCTAAACTACAAAGGTTCCTTGCTTCAGGATAGATAGAGTAAGGGGGAAAAAGCAGAACCTCGAAACCAGGACATGGTCACTGCAACCACACAGAAGATTGGGATGGAGATGAGCAATCATACTCAGCAGTGTTAAGCTGCCAAAACAAGGAGGTGCACAGTGGCAACCAATCTTGCTTCAGCATACATAAATATAAATATAAACTCCTCAAGTCCAGTCCAATGCAAGTCTTCCTCCTCCTCCTCCTCTTTCATTTCCTCCTTCTTGTCTTTTTCACTATCATCCTAAACACTTATTGAACAATGATGATATATGCCAGCACTGCCCTATCAGTACTTTGCATAGAGTAAGTCACAGAGTCTTCACAACTCTAAAAGGTATGTACTATTATTTTCATTGTGCAAATAAATAATTAAAGCTTACACCATGCTGAATGTCATAGCTGACATTCACAACTGATTTCAAAACTGAATCTCAAAGTCTGCTCTGTCAAACTCTGAAGGCCATGCTACTCTACCTTATACAGCCATCTGCTCAGTGAGATCTCTTTGCTAGTCTCCATGATCATCTTTCATTCTACAGTAATTCACTTCTGGTTTTCCCATTTCCTTGCAAACAAGGATCCAAGGCCAGCCTACTGCACAGATCAATTAGGTAATGTGATTTCAAGGAGACTGGGAAGACCCAGATGTCCTAAATTCTCCCTGACCCAATGGTTGATAAATACTTCATTCTTTTCACTCAAGATTTGGATCTATGTTTAACTGCAAGGTTGCCAGAAAAAGGTAATATCGTAGGTGCTTATAAAGTTATTATAGGTGAAAAAGCCTGAGAGGAGGTTTTGATTATAGTAAGGGCAAAAGAAACATGAGAGCAATGAGTACTTGAGAGAAAAAAGATATAGGAGAAAAGATGCCAAATAGGAAGACTAGTGTCACCAACAACACAGAATCTGATATGCATTTAGTAAATAGATGAATACATAAAAGATAACCTTGAGGCACCTCTCGAATTTAGCCCACTGGGAACTCTAGTTCTTCTTGTGCTCACACTCTTTCTGGCAAAGTGACAGGCTAAGGAGCCTCCTTGCCGTCAGTACTTCCCTGCACCTTAATCAATTAGGGAACACTGACGAATGGTGATTCTCATCCAGTATGAAAGCTATAAAAGTAATTACCAGGTGATCCACTATTTGTATCATCTTTGATTCCACTGAGTTAAATATAGTGCTGTTCAAAGAGATCATCAAATGATTTTGAGTAGTTTGAGATACAGTGAAGTCCAACACATTTTTCCTCCAGCACTTTCCTGTTAGTTTTTGTGATCAAATATGCCAAAGTAAAACAAATTAGTGGAATTTGTTAAAACAGAGGGTTGAAAATACAGAATAACTAGCTGGATCAAGTCCTTCACCCATACCATTCCCAAGGGTTTAAGGATCAATCCAGCTCGCAGGAGGGGCAGACATGCAGTCTATACTGATGTGGAGACTGTGGTGATAGTGGGTCATGGCTGTGGGACCAGAAACCAAAACTGGAAAGCTTGGGCGTGAACTGGAGCCAAACTAGGCACACCCACATCTTTTACACCTTCTAACTCCTTCTACACTAGAATTCAGAAGTCACTCATCCAGGCCCTTTTCACAATATTATCCTTTCTGTATAATATTGACAGGGACAAATAGAATAACTAGGGAATAGTAATGCAATCAACCAAGAGCAGGAACTAGAGGGTGAAGTTTGAAGAAGAAAATGAGTTTTGCACATGTTTAATATGAATTTTTGGTTGAGTAGTCACATGAAGATGTCTAGTAGAGAAATTAGTGCAGAGATTTTTTAAAAAACTGATTGGGCCTGGACCTTTAGGAGTTATCAGCATATAAATTGTAATTAAAACCACTCTAGACCAGTTCTCTCTTACCTAGGAACTCATTACCCTTGCCGAATTCACCAAACAGTAGACCTGGTTATACTCCAGTCCTTGCATTGGATCCCTGATCTGTTTATGGTACGTCAGCTCCTCTATTGGTCCCTTATTACCTTATTTATTCTAAGACTGGGCACCTTGTTTTGCTCTTTCTGGTCCCTTCCTAACTTCTGCTAACTCTGCCCTATGTGGGATGACGACTAGTCTTTATACTTGTTTCTTGTATATTTGATCATCAATACAGTGTGGGCATTGTTTGACCCTTGCAGCTACAAAGAATTTTATTGATTATCATGCCTCATGTAAGCATCATATTGGCTATCTGGGCATCCTTGCTAGAGCTTCTTTTGAAGCCATCTCTAGGGCCTATAGCTGTCTGATCTCTGATTCTATGTTCACCAAGCTGCCACACCAGAAATATATTGGTTATCACATAAAGACCTAACTGATAATATCTCACCCAGCTATGATCATCATATAGCAAAGTACTAAGGTATTTTGTTTACACAGGCTCAGCTTCCCCCTGCTTATCCAGGCTGTTTTTTTTTTCTGCCTCTCTTTGTGACACTCAGCGCTTACTCCAATTCCCCTTCTCATTTCTTTTTATCTGACTCTGTCTCCTGCTTCTCCTATAACAGTAAAGTTGCTTCTCCTCCTTGTAGCATCTGATAAGCCCCCTTAGCTCTGTGATAGCCATCTACAACTTTAGGTTGGGATTACCAGGAAAAAAAACCTCATAGATGGAGACCTTCACGCTGGAGGTTTATTGGGAGCACTCTGTGGAACAACACTTGTAAGGAAGTAAACTAAGTAAGGCTGGCTGGGCTACCGCAGAGGAAGAAATTGAACTGCGAAGCTCTTATAACATTATAACAGGGACCTCAGCCAATCATACATGAGCTCTGAAGTTGGAATGGCACTTCTGAGTTATCCAAACTGGGGTAAAGGGCAAGGCCTGTGAGACGCATATCAACCAGTCATTGGATATAGGCTACTTCCAGGAAGAGGAAAACACCCTGGGCAAAGGAGGTCCTTTCAGCTAACAGCCATTTCAGGAAGAAGAACTCACCCATGAGTAAGGGCAGCTGGGGGAATGAGTGCTCACTATTGGAAAGAAATTTGGTGCAACACTACCTTTACCACATCTGCACTAATATAATGAATACAGCCTAAGTTATCCTTTGTTTCAAATAAATACAGATTCACTTCATATAAAAGATTTCCCTGACTCTCCTTCCTCCTCAAGTACTGCCCTACTCAAATATGTATGTGTATACATGGCAGCCATAATGATCACTGTATGCAGGAATAGGACCTACCAAGTGTAGTCCATGGATATAGAAATCAATAAGCTATTTAACTGTTATGGTTGTTTCATTCTAAGCCTTTCTAGTCTACTGGGAAAACCCAGCTGCTATTAACAGACTATAACAGATACATCAAATCTATTACAGATAATTTTAGTACAAAGTTAATATACTTTAATCTAAAAAAGAAACCTTCAAGGACCCCAAAAGTCCTTCTAGTAAACATGTTGATCCTTATGCATTAAAATTTTTAACTTTTTCAATATAAAAATGTTTATGTTCTCTATCCCACTTTTTGAGGAAGAAATAATCTTCCTCAAATTGACATTCTGGTTACCAAAAGATAAAAAGTACCAGGAAAAAAAAAAAGTACTAGGATTACTGTCAGGAAACCTAGGTTTGAGACCAAGCTAAACACAGTTATTAACTGTGTGATCTGACGCAAGTTAAAACCCATTTTGAACCTAAATTTTTATCATATGTAAAATGGTAATAATAATGAAATCTACTTCATAAAACTCACCAGAAAATTGAGCATCATTAATAATAACCAAAAGTAATATTGATTATAGCTTTCTAGTTATTCTGTGAATTGCATTACAAATATTTTCTGATTTTAAGCCTTATAAGGGCCTAAATAAGTATGTATTGTTATTATCTCTACTTTGAAGAAAAAGCAAAATGAAACTTGTGAAGATTAAGTAGCTTCCCCAAGGCCACAGAGCTAATGATCATCACTTCTGTGAAACTCCAAAGACCATGATTTAATTCTGTTTTGCATTCCTTTTGGAAAATATACCTGAAAGTGTTGTAAAGCCATGAAGCTCCATTTTAAATGTTACTTCATTTTGTCATTTGTTGTTGAACTTTTTATTGCTGGGCCTGTCTCTGAAGTGAGAAGGTTGTTTGTGCAGATTGCATCTGGTCAATCAAACTATTTGTATAACTCATCCCTGGAGCTGTGCCCTGGTAAGTGGGAGGAGATGGAGACAGAATTCTCTGGTACCTGAAAAGAATATGTACATTACATATTCTTTTACATTCTTATACATATGTATATTACATTTGCTGGCACTACATGACGGCAAAGTCATTCCCAAAGTCCAATAAACCAACTGCAAACAGAAGTTTTAGCATCTTAGTAATTCTTCCAAGATTGAGGGCATATCATGTGTTTTAAATACTTCTCAGTGATATATTTGTAGATTAGTGAACGTCCAATGATATTAAATTCTTAGTCCTTTTTGTAAATTCAGACAGGCTCCACTCTCTAAAGATACGTTGTTATTCCAGTGATGTAACAGGGTAAGATCAGCCTAGTTCCTTTCTTAATTACTCTATTTCACTGTGCCAAAAGAAAAAAAAAAACTGTTTCAAAATATATCAGAACTTGATCCAAAATATAAGCTATTCACCTGTAAAAATAGGGTTGAAAGGATTTTGGAGAAATGTAATTGCATTTTTTTAAGACACAAAAAAACTTTAATTGCTGACTTTATTTTTCCAAGGTCTCTGAGAACTCAAAAGAGGGGCTAAACAGATTCTGGACTTTATAAAAGAAATTAACTTCCCAGATTAATATATTGTTTGCCAAGTTTCAGTTTAGAGTGAATTTTTACAACCAAGTTATAAAACTCCTGAAAATACCATGGGGACTTAGAATGGAAAAGCTCAGAGAACTCCAATATATCTGATGATAACCTAAGAGCCAAAAGCACATGGTAAGATTGCTATCCCAAATGGTGAATAAGGGACAGAGTCAGTTCATATGGTAAAATAAATGATATATTTTATGGTGTTCATATATTTTGAAAGGCATGCCATAGGGTATTCTGTAAAACTTTATTTGGATCTGTGGGAGACTGAATGACTCATTGCTAGTAATGGGATACAGAGCTTTCTGCTTCAGGGCCACCAATACAAATCTTCCCTGGGAAGAAAGTGATATAAAATTGTTACAATGGATCAACTTTTGTTTAATCCCCTTCGCCATTTACCCCTGCACACCACACTCTCCATGCCTTCCACAGGCCTTCAGTCTTGGGGATAAAAGATGCATTGATAATTGAAGATAGAGATATTTTCAATAAAGTAAAAATTAATGCTTCTCATTTATTTCCTCACTAAATCAGTTAATAAATAATTTGGAAACTTTAATAAAGACCTTAGGAAACCAACGTCATATATCACAACCAATTAGCAAATATTCAATGGACCTCCTTAGCGCTTAAAAAAAACAGCATAAAATACAAGGACAGTGTTCATCTAATGAAACCTTATACAAAGAGTGAGGTGGAATGTTTTTCCATTTGTTTGTGTCCTCTCTGATTTCCTTGGGGAGTGGTTTGTAGTTCTCCTTGAAGAGGTCCTTCACTTCCCTTGTTAGCTGTATTCCTAGGTATTTTATTCTTTTTGTAGCAATTGTGAATGGGAGTTCATTCATGATTTGGCTCTCTGCTTGCTTGTTGTTGGTGTATAGAAATACTAGTGATTTTTGCACATGGATTTTCTAGCCTGAGACTTAGCTGAAGTTGCTTATCAGCTTAAGAAACTTTTGGCTGAGACAATGGGGTTTTCTAGATATAGGATTGTGTCATCTGCAAACAAAGAAAATTTGACTTCCTCTCTCCCTATTTGAATACGCTTTATTTCTTTCTGTTGCCTGATTGCTCTGGCCAGAACTTCCAATACTATGTTGAATAAGAGTGACAAGAGAGGGCATCCTTGTCTTGTGCCCGTTTTCAAGGGGAATGTTTCCAGGATTTGCCCATTCCGTATGATATTGGCTGTGAGTTTTTCATATGTGGCTCTTATTATTTTGAGGTATGTTCCTTCAATACCTAGTTTATTGAGAGTTTTTAACATGAAGGGATGTTGAATTTTATCTAAGGCCTTTTCTGCATCTATTGAAATAATCATGCAGTTTTTGTCTTAGTTCTGTTTATGTGATGAATTATATTTATTGATTTGTGTATGTTGAACCAAACTTGCATCCCAGGGATGAAGCTAACTTGATCGTGGCAGATAAACTTTTTGACATGTTGCTGAATTTGGTTTGCTAGTATGTTATTGAGGATTTTTGCATCAATGTTCGTCAGGGATATTGGCCTGAAGGTTTTTTTGTTGTTGTTGTATCTCTGCCAGGTTTTGGTATCAGTATGATACTGGCCTCTTAAAATGAGTTAGGAAGGAGTCCCTCTTTTTCAGTTTTTGGAATAGTTTCAGTAGAAATAGTACCAACTCTTCCACAACCTACAGAATAAGAGAAAAATTTTGCAATCTATCCATCCGACAAAGTTCTAATATCCAGAGTCTGCATGGAACTTGAACAAATTTACAAGAAAAAACAAACAACCCCATTAAAAAGTAGGCAAAGGACATGAACAGACACTTTTCAAAAGAAGCCATTCATGCAGCCAATAAACATATTTTAAAAAGCTCAACATCACTGATCATTAGAGAAATGCAAATCAAAACCACATGAGATACCATCTCAGGCCAATCAGTACGGTGATTTTTAAAAAGTCCAGAAACAACAGATGCTGGCAAGACTGCAGAGATAAAGGAACGCTTTTACACTGTTGGTGGGAGTGTGAATTAGTTCAACCATTGTGGAAGACAGCGTAGCCATTCCTCAAAGACCTAGAAGCAGAAATATCATTTGAGTCAGCAATCCCATTGCTGGGTATATACCCAGAGGAATCTAAACCATCTTATTATAAAGATACATGCATACATATGCTCATTGCAGCACTATTCGCAATAGCAAAGACAGGGAATCAACCCAAATGCCCATTAATGATAGACAAAGAAAATGTGATATGAATACACCATGAAATACTATGCAGCCATTAAAAAGGAACAAGATCATGCCCTTTGCAGGGACATGGATGGAGCTGGAAGCCATTTTCCTCAGCAAAATAACACAAGAATAGACAACCAAACACTGCATGTCCTCACTTATAACTGGGAGCTGAACTATGAGAACACATGGACACAGGGAGGGGACTACGCACACTGGGCCTGTCAGGGGTGAGGGGGAGCATCAGGAAGAACAGCGAATGGATGCTGGGCTTAACACCCGGGTGATGGGTTGATCTGTGCAGCAACCATCATAGCAGCACACGTTTACCTATGTAACAAACCTGCACATCCTGCACATGTACCCTAGAACTTAAGTTGAAGAAAAGAAAAAGAATGACGTAATAACCAAACTGAGTTTGTAAAAGCGGTAGGAACAAAGAAAATACATTCATTGGGCAGATTCTATGGATTGAGTATTTCTACTTACATAACATTGAATTCTCACCACGACCCTCTGAGATATAGGTATTTTGCTTACGTGTTGGCAGATAGAGAAACTGGAGCTTAAAGAGGCTGAGCTGCTCAGACCTCACAGATAGTAAGAGATAGGGCTGAGAATCAAACACAGATCTGTATTATTCTAAATCTTGTCTCTGTTTTCACCGTCAGTCCTTGAGGGCATGCTGAAGACATAAAATAATTGCAATATGCTCCCAGCTAACTAAAATAATTATGCCGCCAATGAATGTCCATGCTAGTTTTTCAAACACAGGTATTCTACACTTACAGGTCATCTCTCTACCAAAAATTTGAAGTGCTTTAGGAACCTGATTCTGGATGTTCCGTGGGAGCATACCCCCATAATGATCAAACTGTGCATCCTATTCTAGTAATGGAAATGCTTCAGCAGCAAATCTAGCAAAAGCGAAACCTGAAGAAAACCATTTTTAACACTCCCTCCTCTATATGATCAAATTTTCTTATTGAAAATCATAAACGTATACAGCCAGTAACTAATAAGTAAAGTTAAATGAAACTGAAACATCTGCAAAAAGTGCAATTTAGATAACTACTAATTTTTACCACTGATGCACATTTTATGTTTTTATTTGTTCTTTAGTATTAAAACAACTGATCATTTATAATTAAATCTTACAGATATTATTTTATCTCAATAAAATATTTTATATATGAACTAAAATTTGTACTCGCCAACCAAAAACTTTGTATTTAATGTTTCAAATTTTAAACATAGATTTAAAACTCAAAGTGGTCACATAAGATGATAGAATTGAAATAACTCAGATTCCAATTCTCCATTATCACATTTTCTCACTGTTTATTTCAAATCTACTGATTAAACACAGGAATATGTAGTACCATAGGGATTGGAGACACAAATAATGCCTGAAGAAAATTCAACATTCTAATCTCTAACAAGCTTCATCTCAAAACATATATAGTTAAGACCATATGTGTAATGGAACAAGCTGAATAACTGAGAGTTCTCCAAATTAACTTCCATGTAAAAAACAATGCTCATTAAAGGATAATAAAAATGTGCTAATTTGAAGCTTACATACATGTTATTAAAATTTACAATTATGATTGTTTAGAACTTAGACAAACACAAAGTTTTTGAGGAAGAATTATTCTGTTACCGACTTTGTTTAGAATTGCCAGCACATGGTTATAATGAAAACCACTCTACTTTTAGCAAGCTTTATTATTCTTTCCAAGTTCTCTCCAGGCCCTGCACCCAGGACAGATGGTGCTCACTGCCCCCACATTTAGTGTGCCACTAGCTCAGTTGCTTGTTCAATATTGACCTACCAAAAATATCTAGAATGGAATGACATCTCCTCTAAGGCAGGGGATAATTAACTTGTCCCCACAAAGTATAAATAATCTCTTTCTTCACAAAGTAAACATGTTTTTCTGACACTATCTGACATTTCCATCCAGTGTGCTTTTGAAACTGTATGCTCTTGTTTTTGTTTTTTATTTTTGTTTTTTTTGTTCAGACAGTCTCACTCTGTCACCCAGGCAGGAGTGCAGTGGTGCAATCTCGGCTCACTGCAACCTCCGCCTCCTGGGTTCAAGCGATTCTCATGCCTCAGCCTCCTGAGCAGCTGGGACTACAGACATGTGCCACCAAGCCAAGCTAATTTTTCTTTTTTTTTGTTTGTATTTTTTGGTAGAGATGGGGTTTCACCGTGTTGGCCAGGCTGGTCTCAAACTCCTGACCTTGAGTGATCTGCCTGCCTTGGGCCTCCCAAAGTGCTGGGATTACAGGTGTGAGCCACTGCACCCAGCCGGAAACTACATGCTCTTAACCACCACGCCCAAGAACAAATGATGGAAACAGGTGGCTGCTTTTTTTTTTTTTTTTGTCATCTTAGTGACATGCCCAAATTGCAACAGAGACAACATGCCTACATAACAGCATGAGTAGGATAATAAAGAGCAGCTGACATGCCAGCCATGGGATATAAGGACAGCTCAAGCAATTGTCCATCCAGGAAGGGCTGAGGAAAGTCCAAGCTTTTATGGTTATATTAACGTTTCACTTTAAGTAAGATTTATACCTCAATGTGAACATATTTGCTAGCTATTTTGCTGGAAATCATGCCCAGCACAATAAAAAGATAAGCGGTAACATGTAAGGTATGTTGTACAACCAACAAATGAACAAAGATTCTATTATCTGTAAAACATAGCCATGTGTCTATCACCAGGGTCAATACTGACCATGTCTGGAAGGTATAAAAAGGCAACAAAGATGGAATAGAAAAGTATAATACCAAATGAAAACCTATGATTAGACACAGGAAATTAACAATAGTTATTCAGAAAGGAAGCCCACTTACATTTGTGTAACACTGACTTTCTCACAGTTAGCTTTTATACCCCACACATGAATTGATTCCTGTTCTACAGCACATGAAAGCACACCTTTGTATATAACCTTGTCTAAAAAAATTATCTTACATAACATACTACCTGCAACACACACACACACACACACACACACACACACACATACACAGCAACAAAAAACAATGGGACTTAAAAAGTAGCTAGAGTCAGCCTAAAAAATTCTTCTCTGTAATAAATATTGCCTCTGTAGGTGATACTGTAACAATAACTTTTAAATTAAGCTAATTAGTCAGGACTTTCTAACTGCTCTTAGCTAAATATCTTAAAAGTTCTTTATTCTGGACATGGATTTTTATTTGGTTTCCATATCTTACTATGTTATCTGAATAGATTCCACTTAATCGTTTCTTTGAATGTTGCCTTCATCTTCACCTTCTTGCATTAACTGAAATCAGCCACCACTGGAGGATATTATTACCTCTGCAGTGCATCCAAGGGGGATTTATTTTTTCTACTTCACCCCACTTACCATTAAGTCTGTTTAAAAGGACCGTATATACTTCTTACTCTTAATTGCTTTTTCCAATGAACTATATTATTTTAACTTTTATTTTAAGTTCAGGGGCACATGTGCAGGTTTGTTGCATAGGTAAAATTGTGTCATGGGGGTTTGTTGTACAGATTATTTCATCAGCCAGGTATTAAGCCTAGTACCTACTAGTCATTTTTCCTGATCCTCACCCTCCTCCCACCCTCCAACAGGCCCCAGTGTGTGTTGTTCCCCTGTATGTGTCCATGCGTTCTCATCATTTAGCTTCCAGTTATAAGTGAGAACATGTAGTATTTGGTTTTCCATTCCTGTGTTAGTTTGCTAAGGATAATGGCCTCCAGCTTCATCCATGTCCCTGCAAAAAACATGATCTCATTCTTTTTTATGGTTGCATAGTATTCCATGGTGTATATATACCACATTTTCTTTATCCAGTCTATCATTGATGGGGATTTAGGTTGATTCCATGTCTTTGCTATTGTGAGTAGTGTTGCATGTGTCTTTATAATAGAATTATTTCTGTTTCTTTGGGTCCAATAAAGTATTTTTTATTGCTTTTTCCATTGCTTTTCATTGTTCTCCAGTGAGCTTTTGTCCATTGCTTTTTCTTTTGTTCTTCCACATCCCTAAAAATGCCCTGTTCCATTGAAACATTTGCCATTGGACTCTACTCCCGTGCCATGTTGCAGTCATCTACCATCCTTCTGGAGCCAGTCTTGTTGTGATCTTCTGCTGATTTTCTTGTCACTCTTTCTCCTTCCATGAGTACTGGAGCATCGGGCCTATTGTACTTCTCTCCACTGACTCTCTTGTCATCTTTGTCCAATAACCAGAAACTCAATGGAAATTCAATTCCTAGAAATTCCTTTACCTCCTCATCTCCAGTGACCTTGTCTTCTTCCTATATCAGGCCCACCACTCCGTGTTCATACCAGTAATAATTACATCTCCTCAAAAATGTCAATACTATGTTTATGCAATTATTTGACTCCACCAGAACCTTAAAAATATTGACCAAATCACCATGTCTCTGTATATTATCCTGTCATATTTTCACTTACTTCTTTACCCACTTGTATTCTATTCAACGGACCATCATTATATCTATTCTCTTACATATACCTGAGCTCCTCCACCTGTCTTTTATTCTGTTGTAATTACTTACCAAATTTATATTCCTGGTTAAATAGGACTCTCCATCTACTCTCTGCTTTTGTCCAGGTATCTGAAGAGGCAGAATCATATCACCATATATTTATGTTCACAAACTCAAAGCTTCAGCGCTGCTTAGCAATTCAACTGTATTGCTCTAATTAATTTACTCTCCTACTTCTGAGACAAATCATCCATACCTTCACTTTTATTCTCAAAATGCTAATATCCTCTATTCCCCTTGTCACTCTCAGCTGTTGATCTTGTTTCTCAGTTCAAGCAGCAACAAGAAAAATGAACCAATTCCTTAAAAGACACAATCTGCCAAAACTCAAGAAGAAATAGGTAATCCAAATAGGTCTATATCTATTTTAAAAACTGAATCAATATTTAATAATCTTTTAAAACAAAGTACTATTCACTGGTGAATTCTATCAAATATTTAAGGAAGAATTTTTTTTTTTTTTTTGAGATGGAGTCTCACTCTGTTGCCCAGGCTGCAGTGCAGTGGCACAATCTTGGCTCACTGCAACCTCCACCTCCCGGGTTCAAGCAATTCTCCTGTCTCAGCCTCCCGAGTAGCTGGGATTACAGGCGCATGCCACCATGCCCAGCTAATTTTTGTATTTTTAATTGAGACAGGGTTTCGCTATGTTGGTCAGGCTCATCTCAAACTCCTGACCTCAGGTGATCCACCTGCCTCAGCCTCCCAAAGTGCTGGGACTACAGGCATGAGACACTGAACCCAGCCTAAGGAAGAAATTATACCAATTCTCTGCAATCTCTTTCAGAAGGCAGAGGAAATACTCCCTAATTCATTATGTGAGGCTAACAATACCCTAATTCCAAAACAATGCAAAAACATTACAAGAAACTACAGACCAATATCTCTTATGAGCAGAAATGCAAAATTCTCAATAAAATATTAGCAAATTGAATACAACTATATATACAAGTAATTACACAGCATGAACTAGTGGGATTTATCCCATGTATGCAAGGCTGGGTCAACATTTGAAAATCAATTAATTTAATCCATCATATCAAGAGGCTAAAGAAAAAAATAACAGGATTGTATTAATAGATGCATAAGATAATTTGACAAAATCTAATGCCCACTCTTGATAATAACTGTCACTAAAGTAGGAATAGACGGGAAAGTTCTTAACTGAATAAAGAATATCTACAAAACAAATCTTACTGCTAATGTCATATGTGATAGTGAGAAACTCAAAGCTTTCCCACCAAGATAAAGAATAAGACAAGGGTGTACCCGCTCATCAGTGCTTTTACACTGAACTGTAAGTCCTAGCTAATAAGACAAGAAAAGGAAATAAAATGCAAATGCATATAGATTAAGAAAGAAGAAGTAATAAAACTTTATTTGTTCATAGATGACATACTCATTTATGTAGAAAATTCCAGAAAAATTAACAAAAAAACTGGAACTAATAAATGATTATAGCAGGATATCAGGATACAAGATTAATATACAAGAGTAAATTGCTTTTTTACAAATCAGCAATGAACAAGTGGAATTTGAGTTTAAAATCACAATACCATTTAAATTATCACTCAAAAATGAAATAGGTAGAAACCTAACAAAATACATATAAGATTTATAAGAGGAAAACTACAAAACTCTGATGAACAAGATCAAAGAAAAACTAAATAAATGGAAAAAAGTTATATTTATGGATAGGAAGACTAAATACTGTCAAGATGTCAGTTCTTTTCAATTTGATCTATAAATTCAATGCAATGCCAATTAAAGTCTCAGCAAGTTTTTTGGGGGGTATCAACAAACTGATCCTAAATTGTATATAGAGAGGCAAAAGACCCAAAATAGCCAACATAACATTGAAGAGGAATAAAGTTGGAGGATTGACCCTACTTGACTTCAAGACTTAATATATAGCTACAATAATCGAGACAGTGTGGTATTGGCAAAAGAATAAACAAATAGATCAATGGAATGGAATAGAGATCCCAGAAATAGACCAACAAAACTATAGTCAATTGATCACTGACAAAGGAACAAAGGCAATAAAAAGAAGAAAAGATAGTCTTTTAACAAATGATGCTAGAACAACTGAACATATATACACAAAAAATAAAAAGAATCTAGACACTGCCCTTCACAAAAACTAACTCAGAATGGATCACAAACCTAAGTGTAAAACGTGGGACTACAAAACTCCTAGAAGATAAGATAGAAAAAAAATCTAGATGACCTTAGGTTTGGTGATGACTTTTTAGAGACAGCACCAAAGGCATGATCCATGAAAGAAAGAATTGTTAAGCTGGACCTCATTAAAATTAAAAATTTCTGCTCTTTGAAAGACACTATCAAGAGAATGAAAACCCATAGTCTGGGAGAAAATATTTGTAAAGGACATATCTGATTAAGGACTGTTACACAAAATACACAAAGAACTCTTAAAATTCAACAATAAAAAAAATCCAATTTTTAAAATAGGCCTTAACAGACCTTAACAGACACCTCACCAAAGAAGACATGCAGATGACAAATAAGCATATGAAAACTCACTCCACATCATATGGCACAAGAAAAATGCAAATTAAAACAATGAGATACCACTGACACCTATTAGAATGGCTAAAACCCAAAACACTGACAACACCAAATGCCAAGGAGGATGTGGAACAACAGGAACCCTCATTCATTGTTTATTGCTTGTGGGAATGCAAAATGGCACAACCACTTTGGAAGACAATTGGCAGTTTCTTTTTTTTTTTTTTGAGACGGAGTCTTGCTCTGTTGCCCAGGCTGGAGTGCAGTGCACGATCTGGGCTCACTGCAAGCTCCGCCTCACGGGTCAATGCCATTCTCTTGCCTCAGCCTCCGGAGTAGCTGGGACTACAGGCGCCCACCACCATGCCCGGCTAATTTTTTTTTTTTTTTTTTTTTTTTGTATTTTTTTAGTAGAGACGAGGTTTCACCGTGTTAGCCAGGATGGTCTCAATCTCCTGACCTCGTGATCCACCAGCCTCGACCTCCCAAAGTGCTGGGATTACAGGCGTAAGCCACCGCGCCCGGCCACAAAACTACTCTTAGCATACGACTCACCAATTTCTTTCCATGGTATTCACCCAAATGAGTTGAAAACTTATGTCCACACAAAAGCCTGAACTTGGATATTTATAACAGGTTTATTCATTATTGTCAAAACTTGAAAGCAATCAAGATGTCCTTCAGTAGGTAAATGGAAAAATAAACATCCAGACAATGCAGCCACTATTGTGATACTGGAAGCCTTGTGATTAGATAAGATTATCAATGAGATGAGTGTAGATACAGAAGAAAAGAGGACAGAAGACTGAGTCCCAGGACACTCTAATATTTAGAAGTTATGAAGAGGAAGAGGCCTCTAGATTTCTAGTCTATATGCTCCCCTGAACATTCAATTTGTATATTGGACTCAATGCTAAAAAGAAATGAGGTAGCCGGGCACAGTGGCTCACGCCTGTAATCCCAGTAGTTTGGGAGGCCGAGGTGGGTGGATCACCTGAGGTCAGGAGTTCCAGACCAGCCTGGCCAACATGGTGAAACCTCATCTCTACTAAAAATACAAAAATTAGCCAAGTGGGTGGCAGGCGCCTGTAATCCCAGCTACTTGGGAGGCTGAGGCAGAAGAATGGCTTGAACCTGGAAGGTGGAGGTTGCAGTGAGCTGCGATCATGCCACTGCATTCCAGCCTGGGCGACAGGGCAAGACTCCGTCTCAAAAAAAAAAAAAAGAAAAAAAGAAAGAAATGAGCTATCATCCATGAAGAGACATGGAGAAAACTTAAATGCATATTACTAAGTGAAAGACGCCACTCTGAAAAGGCTATGCACTGCCTAACTTCAACTATATGATATTCCAGAAAAGGTATAAATATAGAGAGACAGTAAAAAAAAAAATCAGTGCTTGCCAGGGGTAAGGAGGGAGGAAGGATGAACAGGTGAAGCACAGAGGATTTTCAGGGCAGTGGAACTATCCTGTATAATACTATAATGGGCCGGGTGCAGTGGCTCACACATGCAATCCTAGCACTCTGGGAGGCCAAGAAGGGCAGCTCACTTGAGGTCAGGAGTTCGAGACCAGCCTGGCCAACATGGTGAAACCCCGTCTCTACTAAAAATACAAAAATTAGCCAGGCACTGTGGTGCGCACCTGTAATCCCAACTACTCAGGAGGCTGAGGCATGAGAATCACTTGAGCCCAGGAGGCAGAGGTTGCAGTGAGCCAAGATCATGCCACTGCACTCCAGCCTGGGGGAGAGAGCGAAACTCTGTCTCAAAGAAAAAAAAAATACTAAAATTATACCTATCCTTATACATTTGTCCAAACCCATAGAATGTACATACCAAGAGTGATTCCTAATGTAACTATGGACTCTGGGTGATAATGATGTGTCAACGTAGATTTATCAGTTGTAACAAATGTACCACTCTGGTGGGGGATGTTGCTAATGAGGAAGCCTGTGCAGGTTTGGAGGGCAGGGATATATAGGAAATCTCTATACCTTCTGCTCAATATTGTTGTGAACCTAAAACTGCTTTTTAAAAACAGTCTATTTTAAAAAAAGAAGCAACCAGAAAAAAACTTCTTCTGTCTCCCACCACCAAATCTATTGGACTACTTGCATCTTCATTCCTGTACTTTTCTTTCCATCATGGATGAAAGGCAAACCCCTACATGATAATATTACATTTTATCCCCACCTGCCTATTCAAGGACTTTGTTCCTAGAGTCTTTATTCATTTCTTGTCCACCATTAATTTCCCCTTTTCCAAATCATTTTCATATTGATAAAATTATGCATATCTGCCAACAGAAAATATAAGAAATTCTCTTAATCAAGCATCTTATTCAGCTATTGCTCCATTCACCTGATTCTTTTTAAAGAAAGCCCTTTAAAAATTTAACGATACCTAATGTAGATGACCGGCTGATAGGTGCAGCAACCCATTATGGCACGTGTATACCTATGTAACAAACCTGCACGTTCTGAATATGTATCCCAGAACTTAAAGTATAATAATAAAAATAAAAATAAAAATAAATTAACTATACTGTTTCTCAACCTCCTGTTTTCTCACAGAAGCACCAGTCAGGCTTTTGTCTCCACACATATATTGCCTTATATTGGTTGCTGATGACTCCATATTGCTAAATCAATGGTCAGTGCACTACTACAAATTTACTTGACCCCTCAGAAGAATGTGGAACAGGTGACCACTTTCTTTTTCTTGAAACTCTGTCTTTACTAGGCCTTTCCATACCCGACTCTTGGATTTCTCTCCTACCTCATTTGACCCTCCTTTCATTTTCCATTGCCTCTTCCTTTTCATGATGTCTAAATTTTAGAGTACCCTGGGACATGATCTTCTGTCCTCTTTTCTTCTGTATCTACACTTATCTCATAGATAATCTTATCTAATCACAAGACTTCCAGTATCACAATAGTGGCTACATTTATATCTCTAGCCTAAACTCTCCCCTGGACATTCAACTTGATGCATATATGACCTCTTCAACTGAATATTAAATTGGATCTCAAATGAAACTTATTGTTCCTTTATAACCTGTGGGTGGGCAGGAGGCTGGATGTATGTGTCTCTGCTTTGCTTTCTCAACAGATTTCTTCATTTCAGTAATTGGCACATCTTTGAAGCAGCTGTCCAGTGGTTCTTGGAGCCTCACTGCTAAACCGTCAGTAAGGTCAGTCAGCAACTTCTCAACATTTGCATCACAACCACCTTATTGCAAACCATCCTTTTTCTTCAGTATGTCCACTACAATAACATTCTCCTTGGTCTTGGCTCCTGCCACTAACCATCTATTCTCCACATAGAAGTCAGAGTTATCCTTTAAAATTTTAAATCAGAGCACATTACTTCCTTGTTCAACAATGTCCAATGGCTTTGCACACACTGATAAGTAAATCTAAAATTCTTACCATGATCTACAATGTGACCTGTCTCTGACTATCTTGTTAATAGAGTCTCCTACCATTTAACCCTCATTCACTCTACTTCCTCTCCATAGCATCCATGCACTTTCTCAAATAGGCCGAGACCATGTCCACATTTGGCCTTTGCATTTGCTATTCCATCTGCCTGGAATGCTCTTCCACTTCATCTTTCCAACAGCTTGGTTTGTGCCTCATTTAGGTCTCTGCTCAAATGTCATGTCATCGGTTTGATCTTTAGTAACCATTCTATTTGAAATAACATTCCTGTTATTCTCCACACCCTTATCCTGCTTTGCTTTTCAAAACAGTGGTTGTCGCCAACTAATATTTTACTGTGTATTAGGCAACATACGATAGAGGGCTATTTCATGAAGATAGACATTTGAATCCAGAGCGCATCAGAGAGCTTATCTAATTATCTTTATCCAATTACCTATGACCTAATAAGACAATTAGGGGCCAGGAACTACCATTAAACTCAAAACCCTGGAATTGTAAGGGGAATATCAAGGGCTATGGGCCTAGTTGCTAATGCTAAAGAATGTAGTATTGCAGCGATAATGGTGCATTAAGGTAGAAAAACGGTATTGAGGTAGCCAAAGAAGTTACCAAGCATTCCAAAAATGCCCAAACACCAAGACATAACAAAAGTTGTTCTGTACCTCCAACAATAGTCTAGGTTCTTGCTCTAATTTTCTTTAATTGTGTCAGGTCCACTTAACATTTGTTTCATTTTCTACTTACAGTACGATTCCTGTTTTTTCATTAGGACTTATATTTATCTTCACTTAGCCAAAGGCAGAAGTGGACCTAAGTTAACAGATAAAGTTTCTGTGAACCAGCAAATACAACTAAGTTAAGGAATGATGAGTTTTTCATTATCTATCCAGTTGTCTCTATCATCAGGCTGGCATGCCCTTAAAAATACCTTTCATAGGTTCATTTCTTGAGTGATTTTATAGTCAATTGTTTATACTTTCATCTGCTCCATTAACTTATAAACTCATCAATAGTAATCTCCCAAAGCCTACCACAATGCCTGGCTTGGTCATATCACATTTTTAAAAATTATTATTGTGTATGACTTTAGATATTCTGAATATGTGTTTCTCAGTGCTTACAGGGGATCCAGGCAGGTCTTTAGGATAAAAAAAATGTACATGTGATTAATGTTAGGGTTTTACCAACAATATCTACTAAATTTCAGTCAGATTTCACCATACCAATTATTTTAACAGAAAGAATTTAATGTAAAGATTGTTAATGGGTATTGAGGAAGTGAAAGGCAAATAGGAACACTAAGGTATCACAGAGATAGGAATTGCAGGAAACAACTCTCACTCCCAGGAAACAACTCTCACTCTCAGGAACAAAAGGAAGAGGTTGGAATTATTAAAACATAGAAGCTTACAGGAGAAAGTAAACAGGGTACGGACTCAGTCCTCTGAGGAGAGGCACTGGTACTAGGAAGAGATGAGACTTGTTCTGTGAGTATTAGAAAAACTGCAAATAGATGTCATCTGTGGCCACTGGAACGAACTGCTGCTGCCACTGTCAAGAAGCTGGATTCATAGTGATAGGACCAGGAACCAGCAGAAAGAAGTAAATCTCTCCAGTCTTCATCTATATATTTATTATAATCATAGAATTATTTGTTTACTATGTGTCCTCTTCATAAGTCTTTGAGCTCCATTACTGGTTGGTCTACCATTAAATGCCTAAAGTCTGTCAAAAGTAAGAAGGAATTCACAAATAAATGAATGACACCTATTGAATTAAGCAACTACTTGAAAATTGAAACTGTCAGGAGGCATGAAAAGGCTTCACCCTGAGAAGACAAGAGATGTAGGAAAAATCATTTGTCTGTTGGTCCATTGATAATTAATAATTCTGTGCAGTATATTTGGTAATAATTTTGTTATAGTAGATTTACACATTTCTTCTTTTTTTGTTGTTTTTGTTTTTGTTTTTTTGAGACAGAGTTTCGCTCTTAATGCCCAGGCTGGAGTGCAATGGCACCATCTTGGCTCACTGCAACCTCCGCCTCCCAGGTTTAAGCGATTATCCTGCATCAGCCTCCCAAGTAACTGGGATTACAGACATGTGCCACCACACCCGGCTAATTTTGTATTTTTACTAGAGATGGGGTTTCACCATGTTGACCAGGCTGGTCTGAAACTCCTGACCTCAGGCGATCCACCCACCTCGGCCTCCCAAAGTGCTGGGATTACAGGCATGAACCACCGTGCCCAGCCCAGATTTCTTTTCAACCTAGCAGCAAGTGTGTTTCCATAGTTTCTCAATTTTGTTTGATGTCTTCCTGTGAGCAGACAACCCTATTTTTTAAACTGGAAAATTCTATGAGAGCCAAAGCATATTGTTGTGTGCACGATATATTTTGAGTGTTTTCCTTCTAAGATTTATACATTTCATGAATGAGTTTTTTTTTTAGAGGAATCCTTCCCTGTTGTGATGGCCCAAGGGAATGCAAGTTAGACATCCTGGCTTATTTCTAACACCCCCATCTTAAAATTTCATTAAAGCCTTCTAACTGCCTCTCACAAAAATGTTTTATTTTTAGCCTCTTTATCTGACCTTCACATCTGTATCTTAATCACAACATTCTGAAATCAGATGGAATCCAAAGAGAACAACATTTTCTCCCCTATTTCATTGAACATTATTTCATGCAGAAGGATATGTTGGCATGGATGTGAATATAGCACCAAGGGCAGATGCCAATTAATGAATCATTTCTACAGGAAAAACGGGCCAACATATACACACATTGTGTCTTATTCTATATCACCTTCTCCTGTTGAGCCTAATTACATAAAAGGAACAGGAAATATTTGAGGCCACATAACACAATACAGTTGGAAAAAGTTGTCTTATTCAAAGACTATCTAAATATATAATACAGGAAGGCACTGGTGAGGTTCATAATAATGAAAGGAAAGGATGATTTAAAAGTAAATGACGCATATTTTTCAGCATATTTGATCATATTTCCAAATGACCCATTCTCCTGTTTTTTCCAAATGCTAGTTTCCTTGAATAAATCAATTCCATGTGATAAGCTTTAAAAAAGAGACCTGTGATATGTACAAAAGCATTAAACATAATTTGAAATTTAAATTGTGTTCCAAAGAAATTGTAGTGCATTAGATTGTGTTCAACATTTACTGCTGTTATTTAGTCCATTTACATAGAGCAATAAAAGACAGCTAAACCATTAAATTACATGACTTTCTCAAAATTGCTCTTCAATTATGATAAAATTAAGCTTTTGTGTCCTATTTATAAACATGGATAAATAACCAATACATTGCAGATACCATTGTACTACAACCCAGTTTAATTTTCAATAGTTTCCATGGGGCTTTGATCATTTACTGATATTAGCTGATAAATTTGTGTGTGTGTGTGTGTGTGTGCGCACACACACAATGTGTCTGTAAGCTTTGTTAAATTATCTTTAAGGATGAAGGAAACCATGTAATTCTTTGAAAATGCAAGGCATAGAATAGGACTTAACAACTGTCTTGAAGACAAATTGGCTTTGAGAAAATGAAAGTAAAATTAACTGCAAAGAAAATATAGGATAAAGGAATGATCAGGAAAGAGTACTGATTTTCCCAACTTGAAGCGTAGTTTTTAGAGTATTAATGAATTTGTGATTTATTAAAAATCTCAATTCTCATTGATTTTCACTGAATTTTTCAGCCACCTTTAAATCTTGAAAAGCCTAGAGTTCTTGTTCCAGGTGATGTTGTGCAATGAGAAAAGAGAGTTTTATGCAATTGCCCCCAGATGACTCCTTGGCTGATACTCCTGTATCTTTATGCTATATGAATTCACTAGATAAACAATGAGGTCTCCACTCCACTTGAGCTACAATCACATTTGGAATCATCCCTCTTAACTAAATTTCTTTCCTAACTTAAAAACTCAGAAAATAAGAATTGATAAAAATAAAATTGAATTATAATCTGTAAAATTTACCAAGATGAGTACAAGTCCAACAGAAAACAATAATGCTAATCATGAAAAATTTGTAAATTACTTCTTTCCTTCTCTTGATTTAGCTATTTTCCTTCTACTTCTACACAGCACACATCAGAGTAGAGTGTTGGCAAAGTTCTGGTGAAATTGCAAAGAGTATATAGCCAAGTGGGAGGATCTAAGCCAACAAGATTGCCTTGTGTTTAGCGAGGAATCCTGAGGTAATCCTGGCTAAAGCAAGTTTATGGCTTAGTGTATACAAATAAATGATGTAATGAGGTCTGTGATCATTACCAGTAAGACAAAAGTGCATTTTAATGTAGGATTCTCATCTCTGTGATAATTCTCGGCAAGCCTGTGATTTGAATCAAGAGTTCTGGCCCATGAGGAGATGTGCATCTGCTACATCTAACACAGGTCTGTTCATTACTCCATGCAAAGGCTGGCAAAGGGAAGAGAAGAACCTCAATTGAAGATTTGGACATCATCATCAACACCTGTTTCCAGTTGAAACCTGCTGAACCAATTCCTGTTTTCAAAACTAACTGAGAAAGTTAAGTTTTGCGGCAGATGAAAAAACACAAAGGGTCTCTCCTGCCAGAGGAGAAGTTGGGTAATATACCTCACAAAAAAAAAAATGTCATTTAAAGAGAAAAACAGTCATCTGCCAATATGGCAGACAGAGATTGCTGCCAAAATTCCAACAGTGCTCCAACTTCCAATCTGCTCCTTGACCAGAAGGGGGACACTACCCCTACTAACAAGATTGGTGAGCCTAGAGAAGCTGTCCATTACAGCACAAGGAAGCCAGGATATGGCAAAATAGAGGAAATATAGGTTCTCAGGCATGGTGCCAACTGTAAAGGAGGAGCAGAGCTGCTTCCGACTAAGGCTGAAGACACGTAAAGCACACAGACTTAACAACAGTGGTGACAAGATGTCCAGACAGGCAGTTTGATCACAGATCTCATCTGGCAGGTCTCCATTCTCTTCTGGCTTAGATACCAGATAAAGATCTTTGTTTCTCCTTCCTTCTTGTCTGATTTTGGGAAAGGTTTCCCCACTGCTGCCCCTCCATTATTTTGACTGACAATCCAAATTGTGTCTACAGGCACAATCAATGTTACTGTAGTCTTTGGACTAACTAACGACTGCCCTTTTAACCAGCCAACGACAGTTGCTGTACTAAGAAAGACAAAACCACCAACTTAGAGTCAGAGGTAATTTGTATTGTATTTTTACACAAATCGAGTTCTAATTTTTGCTACTACATGCAATAAATCACTAAATTTATCTTGTAGTTTGAGAGGCAGTACACTGAATGCAGTGGTTCTCAAACTTTGCTGTACACTTGGAATCATGGGGGAACTTTAAAAAGTACTGATGCCTCACTCCAAACTCAAACATGCTGATTTAATTGATCTAGGGTGTAATCTGGACATTAAGATTTGTAAAAACTCACCAAGTGATTTTATTGTGCAGGTAGATGTGGGAACCACTGTCATAGTGACTAAACGAATGAGTTCTGTAGCCTCCTTAGTTCAAAACTCAGCTTCACCATTTTCTAAGTGGATGACTTTGGAAAGATTAATTCACCAACTAATAGTAATGATTTCAGACAGTTACTTTGAGGATTTAATACAAGAGCATAGGAAAGTGCCTGGTACATAGCAAGTGCTCAATCAATGTGAGTTTTAAAATGAATCATTTATTAAAAATATGTATAAGTACTAATCCAAACAGACGAAAACTGTTTACATGATTTTCTTATTAATTTCTTAAATGAATTCCATTCATCTGATATATATTTACTAAATAATATGCATTATTTTTCTATATGCATTAGTTTTCTATGGCAGCCATACAAATGACCAAGCACTTAGTGGTTTAAAACAACACAAGGTGTGTTATGTTAGTTTTACAGGTCAGAAGTCTAATGCAGTCTCAGTCGGCTAAAGTCAAGGTGTTGTCAGCAAGTGTTCCTTTCTGGAGGCTTCAGGGTAGAATCTGTTTCTGTGCCTTTTTCAACCTCCCACATTCCTTGGCTTGTGATCTCCTTTCCCCTGGCTTTCATCCATCTTGTAAGCCAGCAGCATTTCATCTCTCTGACACTTTTCCATCGTCACATCTCTTGCTGACTAACCCCAGCTGGAAAAGTTTCTCCAACTTTAAAGACCCATGTGATTAGACTGGGCCCATCTGGATAAGAAAGGCTAATCTCCCCATCTCAAGGCCAGTAGTGTCAATCACAGCTGTTAAGTTCCTTGTGCCCTGTACACTAGCATTCATAGGTTCCAGGGATTCAGGGTGTGGACATCTTCAGGGAGCCATCATTCTTTCCATCACAGAATTACTGTGACCTTGTATCATATTTTAAAAATTTTTCTCTTGGATGAATAAAACTCTTCTACCCCTTAAAACTTAATATAAACTCCTCATTTTGCAAAATAACTTCAAGTATTATGGAAATTACAAAATTTGAACAAATTATGTCTATTCCTGGCACCCAGTAATTGATAATGTAGTTAGCAATTCACCAAATCATTCCCAGGTAGAGAAAATAGCAATTCTGTTTCTATTTTTTATTTTTTTTTTTATTTTTCTTTTTGAGACAGAGTCTCGCTCTGTCACCCAGGCTGAAGTGCAGTAGCACAATCTCAGGCCCACTGCAACCTCTGCCTCCCGGGTTCAAGTGATTCTCCTGCCTCAGCCTCCTGAGTAGCTGGGATTATAGGCGCGTGCCACCATGACTGGCTAATTTTTGTATTTTTAGTAGAGACGGGGTTTCACCATGTTGGCCAGGCTGGTCTTGAACTCCTGACCTCATGATCCGCCTGCCTCGGCCTCCCAAAGTGCTGGGATTACAGGCGTGAGCCACAGCGCCTAGCCCCTGTGTTAAATTTTTTAACTTTTCTATTATTTCCTAGGATTTAGCTACAAACCATATTACCCAACTTCCCCTAGAACTTTAGTAGGTTTTTAAAAGTTGCCAGATTCCCTTCCCACTGTAATGACATATTATTCCTGAATATTACAAACACCACGCCAAACCCCCACCTAAAAGCTATTTTAGCAAAAATAAGTAATAAGATCCCACCCGGCTTGATCTTGTTTCCTGACACTATTCATACCTCTCTAATAATCAATCCATCATTTCTCCGCAGTACCAATTGACCCTGAAAAGTCTGGGCAAGTTACCAGAAACCCGTGAGTCGGCCCACACATTGTGTAAGAGGTTGTGGGTATTACACCCTGGAAAGGCTTGCTGAGCAAATATCCTCCTTCCAGCCAATGCCTCATCTTGAAAATGTATAGTTGGATCTTTCTCCTGGGCATCAACATCTGCCCACCATGCTCACTCAGACAGGCTCGCTTGACCACACCACTGAGTTCAGGTTAGCCACACAACTACATCCTCAGCCCTTCTTTATCAAACACAGTTGTGGTTTATTACAATGGCTTACATTCTCCTTTCTCTTCCCTGAGTTTCTATCATCTTCTGTCTGCAAAGCAATTTATAACAGCCCATCTTCCCCCACTTGTGGAATGGAAGAAGTGGGGAGTCAGGGCCCATGTCTTATTGTGGTGGAGGGATAATGGGAAGATAAGACTAGATAGGACAGCAGGGCCAGATGACGGAAGGCTCTAGATTCTGGGCTGGGGATTTGGGTATGATTCATTAAGTGATAGGACACCACAATAGGCTCCTGGGTAGAGGAGTGACAAGAAGATAGTGGTATTTTCAAAAGGACTATCTGACAGTGCCATGTGTGATGACTTGGAAGCAGAGAGAAAACAGAAAAGAAGCCAGTTAGGAGACTATTCACAAAAACTCAAGTCCAAGGTGATAAGAACCTGTAAGGATGTGACAATGTACTTGAAGCAGGAGCAAGGATAAATTAAAGAGACTTCAGGAAGGGAAAACCTATAGGGCTTAGTGACTAATTTTATATGGGTGATAAATTTAAGAGAGACCGCAAAGATGACTTTAAAATGTAAGCCTAAGACACCAGGAAGATGGTGGTGCCTCTGACACAGTAAGGGGACTGGAAAAGTAATTGGATTTGAAAGTTTGGATGAGATGAACACTAATTACAGTGCTTGTGTTACTCCCTGATCAAAATCCATCAATAGCTTCTCATTGCATGTAGTATAAATTCCAAATGCTTAACATCACTTATAAGAGTCTGCCTTAAATAACCCTAACATCTCTATAATCTGATCTCTCAAAATTCTTCTAACAGTAAATATCTTTGAGTACATTGCATGAGCCAAATTATTGTCTGCCTGTATGGTTGGACCCATGTCTGGCCAAATGCAGAGCTCCATACTGTAATTATCCCAAGGAATGTGAGAATTCATACATGGATGCTGATTCTAAAGAAATGGTGGGAAAGCCTCTCTCTTTTTCTCTGGGACAGGAGCTGTAAAGGATGATGTAACTTGTGATTGCTAGTGGACAACCTGCCACCAAATAGAGGAAGTCTCTGAGAATGAGGCCAAGCAAAGGCAAATAGAACCAAGAGATGGACAGAGAGACAGAAACCTGAGGCCTCATATAAATCCTTGGATCCAGTCAGGCCTTACTGTCTCCACCTCTTAGATGTCCCACTTATATGGACTGAACAGTTCTCTTTTTTTAGCTTAGGCTTGGGCTCTGTCACTTTCAGCCCAGAGTCCTGATTCTTCTATTATCTCAAGGCTGCTCATCTGCAGGGAATGTTTTTCTCTATATCTTTGCCTGACTGATTCTCACTTATCTTTAGGGCTTAGCTTAAATAATGCTTTCTCAAAAAGCCATGTCACGAAGACCAAAGGGGACCAGATTAGGTCCCTTTTTGCTGTTCTCTCAAATTATCCTACTATTTTCCTTTATAGGTTATTCCTATAATTTGGAGTGATGTGCTTATATGCATTTATTTATTTAAGGTCTGTCTTCCTTAATGTTATAATACACATTACCCTCTGTACCCTCCTGAAGTCCCACTAGAATGATAATAATGAGACTTTTTGAAGACATAAGTCCAAATTAAAGAAAGCATGACAAAACATTAAAAGTTAGGAAGCAGATGGATGAGTAGCAACTGACCTGGTGCACCCAAGGCAACTGAATCCTGAGCCAGAAGGAGGAAAAGATGAGAAGCAGCTTGATCTACACCATGGAAGTCCCCAGAGACTCAGGAATCCTTGGCACCAATTGCCTCTGAATGTAGAAGGTAGAGCTAAAACCAAGTCAGATTAAGAATAGCTAGTACACGGAAAGCTATACAAATAAAAATATAAATTATGACTATGATTGTTATTGTTAATCCCAGGAAAAAATAAAAGTTGCACAGGGAAAGATAATAATAAAAGCAAAAACTTCTAACACATATTTAGTGCTTACTGGAAGACATGGATTGTTCTAATTCTTTATATTTATTAATTTTATATTAATTCAGTTATTAACTATAAATTATCACAACTCATTGTTGTAGATACTATGAGTATCTCATTCTACAGTTGAAGAAATTGAAACAGAGCTAGCTCCTAATAGTGAGTACTGTCTTTGGGATTTGAATCCAGGTTGTTGGACTCTAGAAGCTGTTCTCTTAACTATTACTCCATGTTACCTCTTAAAATAATCATAGTATGTTATCTATCTTTCACCGTAAGTAACATTTTTATAGTCAAACATAAACACTGCTTATTCATTTAATTCAAATTTTAAAATGATTCTTTAAAAAGAATAGGGAGAAGAGAGAATATGTATAGGTATAATGTGGTATACGTGAAAGGAAGCTAAATCTTCTTCATCTACCTTGGAAGCCAATAGCTAAGAACACACAAAAATAGAAAGAAAGAAAGAGCAACATAAGTATTATTTTTAGATATTTTTAAATAATGCCCAAAAATACCAGTTAAAAGAATTGAATGTGGTTCCACAAATAGGATATGACAGGATATGAGGTTTCCTTCAGGGAATGAATTTTACCAAGACTTTTAGAAATATTTCCCACTGTAAATTGTGTGCTTGGATAATTTTCATGTTTTAAGCCACTGCTGAAGGTTTTGGTTAGTATCACTAAGTTGGCATTTAAATGCATGGGTATGGGTTAACTCTCAGAGTGAGTAGAGAGGAAAGGTCCCTAGGACAGAGTTCTTTGGACCCCTACATGGCCCACAGATTGGAAGCCAAAGGAACAAGAGGAAGCAAAGAAGAAACAGGAAAAAACCAAAGAGAAAAATCAAAGGGCTCAAAGAAGTTCGATGACCTAGAAAGCAAAGATCAGGAGAGAGCATTGGGAAGGAGGGACCCATCAACAGGAACCAAAAGAAGGGAACAACAATGAGCACAGCGACTGAGCCAAAATTGCTCAAAGTTACAAGTGGAAGACCAGAGCATTTCAGCAGTGGGTAGGGAGCAAAGGCCACGTCGTGGGGAATTACGGAAGGAGCTGTTGGTAAGACATCAGATGGAGTAAGGACAAGTTACAGTTGTCAGTGTAGCAATGAATCCTAAAGAGGTCGTTCCTCTGGCATAGAACTCTCCACCTCAACAGCTGCCCAGCTGATGCGATTATTTCCTGAAGTATGCTGCCAAGGGAGAAGCTGCCCCTTTTAAAATAGGGCAGGAATGACAGGAAATCACTGGTAAGAACTTGTTGACAGGAGGAAAATGACATGGTTAGTTTCTGGTGGTGGCAGGGTGCCATTATCAGCCATGCCAAAGCAAAGAAATCATTATATCTAGAAAATAATATTTCCATGCCCACCACATAAATTCTAGCCAGATGTTGCCCTGAGGAACATGAGCTCCTTTGGCTTTGATGACAAGTACAGAGGAGCAAAGACCTCCTTTTCACTATTGATGAGCCCCGGTTGTTGGTTGCATGAATCAGGAGACAAGCTTTGGGTAGGATCACAGCCAGCCTGGTGTTAGACCTGAAGGTAAGTAAGAGGTCACTGTTTAATTTCAAGAAGAGCACCAAGCACATGCTGAAAAAGAGAGAAGCTACCTGGCAGCATTAAAGTGGAGCCTCTGGAATGCAATTGTGTTCTGGGGGCTGACTGATGAGATGGTGCTCAGTGCTCCAACCAACAAAGTATGTATGTGATGTGGGGAGCAGTAGATGAAAGTACCCCCACCCCAGCAGTCAGTTACCTACAGGTGGTATCTGCATGTTGTGCCCCTTTGAAATGTTATAGACACATGTCAGAGTGCTGACTTCTTGAAGTAGAAGTCAGAAGACTGCAAGTTGGCTTCCAGTTGTACATTGCTATGTAAGTTTCAATTATTCATTGAAGCTGCTGTTTTCTTCCTTTCACTGAGGTACAGTTTGAGAGAATGATCGTTCTTTAAATATATATTTTCTACATGTAGATAAGAGACTATCAAGATTTACATAAAATTAGCATAATTCCTGAGAGCTGCACAGCAAGTGAAAGATAGAGTATTTTGGATGGGTCATGTTTCCCTTCTTCCTATATTTTCATAGCACTCAGAAACAAAGCCAAAATATGCAAGCAAACACATGCACACACACACACAACATTTATGTGGGATTGAGACTAGAACTAAATTCACAAATTTAGTTGTAGTCTCTCCCCACTATGTTCTCACTACTTCAAGAGGGATAGTAGATAAGTGGAAGGGAGGAGGGGGTGGTCTGGGGAAAGAGTTGAACTCCCCAAGATATCCTGGAGTAAAGATCAAGGAGCACTTGCCCGCTCACCTCTCACACCCTTGTTCTCTTTCCATGCTGCACCAGAAGCAGAGAAAATCAAGGCATATCCATCCGTTCCAGTGCATCCTAGACTATAGATGACTTCAAGGGAACACCGCAGCAATGCAAAGAGAGATGCCAGGCTATGGGGTGGTTGCTCTGGGGCCTGTCTCCATCAATGTCCCACTCACCTGTACTTCTGAGAAATAAAAGCTACTAGTAGGCAAGAAAATATCTATGCTTTGGGAAGTGATGTCTGAGTGATACCAACTCCAGGCTTGAGTTCACTCTAGATGAGGCAGAAAGACTCTATGCTTTTAGGATTAAAAGAAGCACAGCATAGGAATGAAGCACTTTGGTAGTGGAGCCAGGGTGCTTGGATTAAATTGCAAGTGTGCACTTACTGGCTGTGTGACTTTAGGCAAGTTATTTAACCTCTCTGTGCCTCTGTTTCTTCAACTTGGAAATGACGTGAATGATCATATTTACCTCATAGGGTTCTTTTGTCAAAATTAAATGAGCTAATTAATTTAACTCAAGCCCTATAAATGTTAGCTATTATTATGTATGCTAATGAAGTTTCTGAACTTTATTATGCTCCTTTATTATGCTCCTTTGGGGCAGCGTTGTTTACAACATGGTCAGAAGAACACTGAAGCAAAATCATTCAGGAACTCTTAAAAATCCAAGGCAATTGCTCAATAGAGCACTGAACATATCAAAAAATGAATTATTAAAAATACAAGGAAAGCTGACTTTATAGTAAATGTATTAAAATTACTAGAAAAAATATAACAATATATTCTTCAAATGACTTGGGTTAAAAAGTAAATAAAAGTTTCCGTCTTGATTAAAGCTTTACTAAGAGATCTACAATGTAAAATAGGGCCTGTGTTATATATCAGGAGTGATTTTTCGTCTATTTTTAAAATCTGTCTAAAAGTGACTTTTAACATCTTAACATTCTGTGTATGTTAAAATGGTAACAGGGACCCTAAGAATCTGAAAGAAATCTGCCATTGAAGAAATGGTAAATAAATCTGAAAATTATTCACTTTAATAAATTGTTCCTAAGTCAAAAAAAAAAAAAAAAAAAATCCAAGGCAAATACATTTCAGACAAGTGTCTATCAGGGATAATTCTTTCATTCATTATGTTGTGAGAACCAGGATCCCCTTTGGAGTCACACATAAGGCTTCAGGCAGAGGAACTGGGAAAATCAGAGGAAGTGATAAAAGCAGTAGATGTGCAAAAATACATTCTTGAAATTTCAAATTTGAAACTTATTTTAAGTAAATTAGAATACTAACCACTAAAAATAATGTCATAGAGTATATTTTTAATATGGTATGTATATGCAAGAAAAAATGCATATTTACATTGTAAAAGTATATAGATACATACACACATACAACACACATACAATCTCATTTTGTAAAAAAGTAAGCCTTTGTATATATGTACAGAGAAAATTCCTTGAAGAATAAAACTCATAATGTTAGTGGTAGTTATCACTAGGCAGTGGGAATTGTGTAACTTGAGGGGCTGGGGTTCTGGTTTTCCTAAATGAATACATATTTTATGTGTAATTTTTAAAAAGCACCATAACTTCCTTTTCCTTAAGGCAAATAGCTAAAACCGAACTGGAATTCTAATTCAGTGACCTGAAGCCCTGAGAACAGAAGGGTTTGACCTCCGGGTGGGAGGCGATGACACAGCCCAGAGCTCTTTGCAGGGTGCCAGACCTTGGTCTGGGGGAACATCTCACAGTCAGGCCACCAGGGGAGAGCAGGAACTGAGGCTAAGTCTTCCCTAACCCAGGCAGCATTCGGTTAGGAAATCACAGACCCAGCTGTGAGAACCTGGAAGCACAGAGAAGAGGAAATGAAGCCGAAGCAGGCGGCTCTCACAAGAGATCTGGCCAGGGCCAGAACCAGAGGGTGCCCTGTCACTGCCAGAGTCCTGATCAGATGCTGCTCTCCTCTCCTCAGGGCTTGGAAGTTTCTAGAAAGCAGAGGTTAGCTCAGGGCCCCCACAATTCAAGTGGAGACTCAGGGTCCCGTATTATAGCAAAGATTCCTAAAGCATGTGTTAACTACCCTAAAGAGAGCCCAAATCGTTCCCAAACCTGAGATCCTTCCATTTTTCATATTCTATTTGTGAAATCATGACCTGCTGTCTCACAACTGTGAAATTTTATTTTCCTACTTTGTGCTTCTAAAGTTGATATAATTGAAGGAGTTGTCTCAGACCCAGTGTTTGGAATGTGTGTTCCATATTCTGTCCCCCAGACTACACTATCATCCTGTGCCATGCAGTTGTTTGGTAAAAGTCATTATGAATAAATAATGATATATGGGATGCTACTCTTTTACATAAAATTATATATATAATGCAGCTGATACTGGGGATGGAAAAACTTTTCACTGGTCCTATATCATAGCCTGTAAACCATGAGCATTGAATTAACCCAATAAAAGTGACAATTCTGACCCTGGGCTATACCCATTACTCTAAGGTTACAGTTTGCAAGCCAACTCAAATTGTCCTCAATGTAGTACTTTACTGAAATACTTATCATCTGGAAACCGTATGTAGTGCATATTCTTAATAAATAATAACACATTTTATTTTGGTTTACTGAAAATTAACAGGGCATTTGGGAAATTGCTGTTACTGTGGGAGACTGTTTCACATTTGCCTTGGCAGTATAATAGCTATCTAAGTGGAAAACAGGAGAGCCAATGGCTGTTGAGTGTGGGGTTTGTTTTTGTTTTTTTTTCCTCTGTTATTGGTATTCAGAGAAAGTCATGCAGCTGGTAACATTAATGACATCCCATATACTCAAAGAGATGAGAGAAGTCAAACAAAGTTGTAATGGGCATAACCATATGAAATTGTCATTCTGAGTTGATTAGTTTTGCATTTGGACACAGTAAATCTACTTCTTTGCACCTATATTCCAATCTATAGTCCAAATAGTCTGCAAAGTTTCAAGGCTTTTTAATAATTGCCTAAGACAGCTTTGTGAACATGCTGATCCAGAAGGCAAAAAGCAGAGAGCTTTGAGGGACCATTCCTATGGCAAGAGCCACTCTTGAGTTATGATTGTGTACTTTTCTCTGATAATCCTGATTTGTCACCATCCCACGTTTTAGAAGCATCTCCTATAAAGTTCTCCCACCTCCTAATGTAACAGTTAGGAGATCAGCCTCAAATAGACTGGTTTTTATTGGAGAAAAATACAGTAGTACAATTGGAGAGAGAAGGATAATGATGGATTCCAGGGAGGACGAGAGGGCTGAGACAGAAGACAGAAAAATGCAGACCTTTTTAGTGGTTTCCTTTAGTGCATTTTCTTCTCTTCCATGCAGGTCCTGCGGTGTAATCAGTGGGAGGTAACAAGGGCCATATTCCAAGCAAGCAATGCTTTCACTGGCTCTCAGGCCTGCTTCAGCTCTGCCAACCCTCTCGTCCCTTGCCCACCTCGTTTGCCAGCCCCCCTTTCTATGCCGAAATGCTACAAATGGTTTCATTTTCATAGTAACAGAAAAACATTCCAAACAAGTTTCCCTGTGTTTTTGTTGACCTTTGTTTTTCGTTTTAGTTTTAAATATACATTCTCATTCATTCCTTCCTATCAACTCCGTGGGTGTTTCGAGGTTTAAAACTGATATACTGAGAAGCCATAGAATTATTCTTATCTAATGATGCATTTTATATTTCCTGGATTTAGGAGAATTTGCTTTTTCTTATTTAATCCCTCTTTTTCCACATGGCTGATTCCTAAACATTAATGGTTCTACTCAAGCACACAACTTGGAAACCAGTGTGGCCCTTACTTTCTCTCATCTCCCTCACCTCCCTGCCACCCCACTATCATGCCTCCAAACTGACCCTCACATTTGTCACCCACAGTGATTGCCCTGGTCCTTATTCTTTTCCTCCTGGGCCATTATTCCCTCCTAAACAATCTGTCTGCCTTTAGTCTCCCTGCTTCAATGCACCCAACTATGCCACCAAAATAATCTTTCTAAAGTTCAAAAGAAAATCATATCCCAAGCCTACCTATGATCAATAAGTATATTTCCATTTTCGGCAGGGTTAGGTTCATACTTGTAAAGCAGGCAAGCAAGGCAGCTAAAGCAAGGGCTCCAGAGCCTACCTGTCTGAATTCAAATACCAGCTGGGCCAATTATAAGCAGAGTGACTTGGGGCTGCACCTTAGTTTCTCCATCTGTAAAATGGGTTACTTACATTGTAGGCTTATTAGAAGGATTGAGTTAATACTGGTAAATGGCATAGAACAGTGACTTATACATGGTGAGCATTATATGCCTTTTCCTATGTAAATAAAATAACTCCTCCATGTATGGTATTCAGCCCCCCTCTCTGCCTACTCTTCTACTTTTCTGCCTCAACTTCCATCACTTCTGACCACACTTCTCACTCCCTTCACCACATCCAGCCATCCACCACATATTTTTGCATATTATGTTCCTTCCACCCCAAATATCCTTATTATTTTTCCACCTTGGAATATTCTACACAACCGGTTATTTATCACACATGTCTTTACAGTAATGTATATCCCATTATTATATAATTTACTGCCCCCACTAAGCTTAAGAACTTTGAGTTTCAAGAACTACCTTGTGCTCATGTCTACTAACTATATCTAGACTAGTGTGCAAGCATTTATTAAGTATTCAAGAACTGATTGATGTTGGAAAGAAAGAAGGAAAGGAGGGAGGCACAGAAATAAAATAAGAGTTGCTAACAATTTTCTCTGTGCCAGACAAGGTACTAAATTATTTACGTGGCTTAATTCAATTCTAACTACAGCCCTATGAGGTTGATAGCATTATTATCCCCATTTTACCGATAAGAAAAAAAAATGCACAGAGTTGATATTGGTGACTCTTCAAATATCAACCTGACCCTAGCATCTGTGTATATAGACATCTCACAAAGCTGTCTCCCACTGGTCCCAAACATAGCACTCGATCTCCTTCTCTCCAACCAGCAGCCAACACAGACTCCAGGAGAGCCAGGGAGACAGAGTGGGAAAAATGCAGGCTGCCATGCCTGGGTTTGAATCCCAACTCTAAGTCCCTCTAACAGACTTCCCTTAAGCAAGTTACTTAACATCTCTGATGCTGTTTCCTTAACTGTAAAATATGCATAATGGTGCTCGCCTCCCACCAACTAGAATTATCTGAGGACACAGGTAAATAAAAGATGTAGAGCTATAGTTGCAGGACCATAGAAAATGAGGCAGTTATGATTTAGACTAGCTTGGGAAAGAAAGTTAATTCGTTATAATTTCCATTCTTGGTGGTTTTAAAGCACAGCCTTAATACTCTTTTGTAATACACCAGTTTGGTTTGGCTAAGTAAGACACTTCAAAGAATATGTTTTACACATGTTTGAAACAAAGGCATTAAGGAATGTGGCAGGGAGATAGGAATCTCCTGAAAGTGTAAGGAGCAAAGAAAATCTAATTCACCATTAAAGAAAGCACATAACACTTCCATTCATATCGCACAAATAAAATAAAACTCCTTCCAGAATCCAGGCACCAATGACATAGTGGTCCGGAATTTCATCTTAGGATTTGAGAAACAGGGACTTGAACAAGCTGAACAATTCTTTGACATGCATAGGTGTAGAAAACCTAAAGGAAACCTTGAAATCCAGAGGAAGAGTTGGAAGAGGTTCATGTCAATCTTAATTTAAGAAACCTAACCACATTTGTAACTGAAGAAGCCATGAACACACAAAATATGAAATTTTCTAAAATGGAACTTTGTTTGACGGGATTTAACCTTGTCTATTTTTCTTGTGGTCTTCTGACATTTTTGCAGTACATGATCAAAGACCACCCCAAGACTTTTTCTCCCCAAATTTAGAAACGATTATAAGAAGCAACTAATTTATGGCTGTAAAGACCAAGTACATGTTTCATATGGCATAATTAAAACTAGGTCAATGAGAGAAAAGAATGAGAGGCAGAGAGGTTGTCTAAATATTACACTGAAAAATGACAATCTACCTTCAAACAATTCTTCTACCATTTCTCTAGCCATGTCCTCCATTTTTGCATTTAAAGAATATTCAGTTTCCAAGATACCAGGTTTTCCAGCCATCTCCTAGGTTAGTGTGCCAAATGCTACAGATGGAGCTAAATAGATCTGTGGTAATTTACTATTCTCTACAGTCAAAGGGCAAATGTATCTCCTGCCTTTACTGTAGCCCTCTGGAGCATGCTCTGCACTTACTCTCTGGCGTGAGTTCCCTCTGATAACCAGGCAGGGCTCACTGGTAGGGTGCATATGCAGAAAACTCCAGGCTACAGATCAGAGAGGAGAATTCAGTCCAGGCCCAGCTGGGCATTCCAAATTGAGGGGGGAAAAAAGCAAAAATAATATCAACAACTGGGAGAAATGCCCTGATTCTGCAAGTTCAGGGTTTTCAAATCTTCTAGGAATTACATCCATATCTCTGATGTGCTCTGTGGTGGATGAGGCAAGGCAAAGTAGCAACTAAGGGAATAGGGGCCACAAGAAAAAGAAAAATAACTGAAGGAAATCATACAAACGTCTGATTCTGTTCCAGAAAGTCACTCTTGTGAAGCTCACGGGGCATTAAGAAGAATGGTTTGTGTGCTTCGTTTGAGTTGGCTCAGCTGCATGGGGGAAAGAGGAACTAATTGCATAAACTCTACCAAGTGTCTGGTAGCCTGACATGTTTTTCCCCTTGTCCTTCCCACACTCACCCCTTCCTACAGCCACAGTTTCAACCCCCACATCCTCTAATCTCCTTTTAGCTCCTTTCTGGAATGGAGAGTGACATTCATGCTGAATGTGTGACTACCTGGCAACAACATCCAAGCTTCGCTATAATTGATCATCTTCCAGTCAACACTTTGGGCCTTGGGCAAAGCTTGCCTGAGATGTGGCCCTGAATCCTGTCAGAGCAGTGTCACTGCTAACACCTAGGATAGACGCACCACCAGCAGACCGAATTCTCCAGCAGGCCATTTATCAGTTCCAACCATTTCTATAGCTGACAAGCAAAGAAAGACGTTTCTAAGTGACTGATTCAGTTATGCATGTCTTTCAACACTTTCTGTTTTGAATGGTCTGTTTTAGTAGGGTTTGTGGCACTTGATGGCCCTAAAACCACAAATGCCTGAAGTACTTTTCTTTGAAATAATTTAGGCATTTTCTTCCTAGCAAGCTGCAGAAAGTGCAATTACAAAACATGCCTAAGGGATAGATCTTCCTAGGCATATAAAAATAACAATTTCTCCACAAAAAATCATCTTTCCCACACACTCCATCCAGCCTTGGGAAACAGTGCTTCAGGCTGTTGTGATAGGAGGGTCTGAGGGACCTTATTCTTCCCAACTTGCTTACCCACCCTGAGAGTCCCCTCATAATACTTCAATTTGCTTCCTTTCCCCCATTTAGAATCCTTCCTGAGCTCTTAGGATCAAGATGATCCTCAGGATGCGGCTTCAGGAATCCGTGTGATGTGGACTAGGCCTGTCTCTCTCCATTGCCAGTAAGCTCTCCACATGGCTTTATTCCAGGGTCTTAAACTAACCAAGCCTGTCCTGCCACGGAGCCTTCTCACAGGTCATCACCATGCCTGGGCTGAACTTCCCTCCTCCCAACCCCTACCATCTTTGAACTTACCTTGGAGATCAAATAATCACTTTTAGCAGGCCTTTCCTGACTCCAAAATAAAGCAGACTCCTCCCTGAATTCTCCACAGGTAACTCTCTTTCTGCTCCAGTAGCTTTTGTCACACTTTACCTTCTTCCTCCAGAAAGAGACCCCTGAGTACAGGAACTGTGTCTGTTGCATTCGGTGCTGTACTTAGCACTTAGCTCAGTGCATGGCACCAAATAGGCCCTGTATTAGTCTCCTATGGCTTCCATAACAAAATATCATAGTCTGGGTGGCTTCAACAACAAGAACATATTTTCTCAGAGTTCTAGAGGCCAGAAGTCCAAGGTCAAGGTGCCATCAGGGTTGGTTTCTGGCAAGGCCTCTCTTCCTGCCTTGTGACTAGCCTTCTTCCTGAATCCTCCTGTGACCTTACCTCTGAGTATGCATGCAGGGGGAAGCGAGACAGAGAGCTCTCTGCTGTCTCTTTCTTTTCTTAAGAGGCCACCAACCCTATCAGATTAGGACCCCACTCTTTTTTTCTCTTTTTTTTTTTTTGAGACGGAGTCTCGCTCTGTTGCCCAGGCTGGAGTGCGTTGGCGTGATCTCGACTCACTGCAAGCTCCGACTCCCAGGTTCACACCATTCTCCTGCCTCAGCCTCCCAAGTAGGTGGGACTACAGGTGCCCGCCACCACGCCCATCTAACTTTTTGTATTTTTAGTAGAGACGGGGTTTCACTGTGTTAGCCAGGATGGTCTCGATCTCCTGACCTCGTGATCCACCCACCTCGGCCTCCCAAAGTGCTGGGATTACCAAAGAACCCCACTCTTATGACCTTTTTAACCTTAATTACCTCCCAAAAGGCTCTATCTCCAAGTATAGTCACATTGGGGTTAGAGCTTTAACATATGAATTTGGGCAGGGAATGGGGAAAGACACAATTCAGTCCACAATAGGCCCAGGATACATTATCAGTTGAGTAAATGGCTAAACGAATGAATGGTTTCTCATTCCAAGTTTTTTTCTTACTAAGGAGATTATTGGCTCGTTACGGCAGAAACCCTGTCTTTCTTCCCCCCAACACCCTCACAGAACCTGTCACATAGTGCATATTTAATACATATTAGCTGGATTGAGTTTGGGTTCAAACTTTAAGGCAAAGCTGCCCTGTGAGAATACAAGTATGTGCGAGTCCGTGTGTATATTTGTGTTTGTGGGTATTTTCATTACAAATAAAATGTAACTTAATGACTTCCTTATGATCATACAGGAAACTAATTCTAAACTTCTAGGCAGACAGCAAGTAAGCTCCAGCTTAAAGACCAGTTAAAGAACAGAAGCAAATGAGCTGCTTGCAAATTCTGGGCTGCTTAATTCCTTTCCCCCTTATAGTGACAGTGCTTTCTCTGTGAAGTAATTTTCTTTTGATAAAAGGAGATCAGGTCCCCTGACCCAAGAAAGAAATGAATTAGTGATTTCTCTGCCTGAGAGTTGACAAACAGCCCTTACATCTCTATTCCCTGGTCTCCAGCAGTGAAACAAATAGACTCTGAAAATAATCTTCTTCTTTTTTTTTTTTCTTTTTTTTAAGAGGTTGGGGAATGAGAAAATTCCTGTTGAGTTAGACTTCTGGAAAAGTCTTCAATTTGTTTTTCTTCATGAGGACATCAGTGGCCTGTTGTCCACACACACCTCATATGCAGAAGCTCAAATGTCATTTCCCCAGCCAGCAGTGCCAGACTGGCAGCAAAGTGAGTGCCTCGTCTCCAGAGGCCCACTCACTAGGCACCTTTCCTCTGCCACCTATGGTTGTCATCCACACTCAGTGCTCTCCAGGCCTCTGAGAGCTCTGCTCAGATTTGCTGCTTCCAACTCTAAACTGGCAGGTAGCTAGGCATCTTGAGAGGATATTTCCCTTTACTTAATCTGAATGTGCTTCTTTCTACCTTTACAGAAGAAGAAAGCAAGTGAAGGTTCTACCTTCTCCCTACCTCATCCCCTTCTTCAATGGGTCCTTTTCATAAGATTATGTTTCATGGATGGCATTAAGCAAGACTTCTAATCTGGTTGCTGCCAGTCTCAGAACTTTTAGATTCTTTCTGGTGAGTGCTTGTGTAGACTGACTCTTGCTTAGCTTGTTACTGATTTTTCTCAAGAAAATGTGCATCAAAGAATAGGAATTAGCATACATTTGTAGAATATCTGGCAGAATAAATTAATAATATAAGTTGTAATAATAACAATAATAAATAAATAAAAGGTCATGTAATGTGACCATTTTAATACAATAAAATACTTCCTAAGACTGTTTATGAAAAACACTGGGATCTACACAAATTTACAAAAGCATTCCACACACCACAAACCCCTGAAATATTACCCTTGACAAAAAAACCTGGAGCACAAATCGAAAGCTTATTATGTCACACTTCATGTCTCCGGATCTTACCTCTGATTCCCACTGTAGCTGCGGCAATCTGTGAGAATTCCTGTGACAAAGTGTCATCTCAAGTGCCTGCTGAGCGCCTGTAGCTTTATGCCATGGAATTTCCCATCTCTAAGAATGTTCCAGTGTCACTGTATAGAACACTGGTATTGTCCAGGTGTCTACTTGCCACATACCCATGTGCCACCCAAAAGAATAAGGCACTTAACATCCCCATCAGGTGACCTTTAATGGGGAATGGAAACCAGTGAGGAAGTGATTTCCCCTATCAATGGTTAGGTGGATAATTCTAAGAGACATTCTATTTGCTCCTCCAAAGGATCTAGCAGAATCAAACCCATGGTGCCCATGGACATAACCAACTGATACTATTCCCTCATATTGGCTTCCTCCTTCCCTCTTTCCCTCTCTCTTGCACCTCACTCCTGCTCCTGGACCAGGTTCTACTACTTACCAGGCAGGCATGTGACTTTGGTCAAGCTACTTAACTTCTGTATTCCTCAGTTGCATGATGGGTAAAATAAGGATAATACCAGCACCTACTCCATGGGATTTAATGAGTCGACACCTGCAAAGCCTTTATAAGTGTCAAGTACAATAATAAGAGCTCAACAAATATTAGCTAAAAGGAGAGGACATCCAAGTGAAAGCAAGGAACTATGAGGAACCACAGCAAGTAGGAACCTGTCATGTCAGTTACTTCCTGTGGATATAACCTAGGGTCTTGGTGGAAAACGGGGGACATGTGGCTGGCAATACAGCCAGGAGTTCATCAGGAACAGATCACAGAGGCTGTTGTAGGCTCTTATGCTAAGAAACTCACCCTTTCTCCTAAAGGCAATATAAAAGTGTTGACAATTTTGAGCAGGAAAGTGGTGTGATCAGATTTCTGGTTTCAAAAGATCATTCTGGAGGGTGTAAGGTGATGACTAGGGAGAAGTGAAATATATCATGATGATAAAATAGAGCCAAATTATATCCACGCACTAGGCGATGCAGCCGGGCCGGAAGGTTCAGTCCGTTTTCACCAGCTCTGCTCCTCCCAGTTGGTAGATTACCCTAAAGGAAAAAGTTGATGACGTTTTTGGGTTTTTTTTTCTCCAGTGCCATTTTTAAATGATGAAATTATGGCCTTGAGATATGTAGTAGTATTCCCTTAATACTGTGACAAATTACTACAAAGTCAGTGGCTTAAAACCACACCTATTTATTATTGTCTTGAAGTTTTGGAAGTCAGAGGTCTGAAATGGGTTTCACGGGGCTAAAATCACGGTGTTGGCAAGGCTTGCTCCTCCTGGAGACTCGACAGGAGATTCCACTCTTTGCCTTTTCCGGCCTCTCTAGGCCACTCCCACTCCATGGCTTGTGGCTCCTTCCGGCACCTACCAAGCCAGTAGCCTGACATCTTCAGACCTCTCTTTGACTCTTATTCTGACACCCACTCTCCTGCCTCCCTCTTCACTTCTAAGGACCCTTGTGAGCACACCTGGATAACCCGGGATGATCTCCCCATCTCAAGAGTCTTGACTTACTCACATCTGCAATGTCCCTTTAGCCATGTAAGGTAACCGTATTTACCAGATTCCAGGAATTAGGATGTAGACATTTGGAGAGGGTGACGTTGTTCTGCCTACCACAGGATGTGAACAATAGGTCAATGTTTCTGCTATTTTCTTTCAAGTGCCCCTGATGTCCATATTTGCCATCAGCTAATTCCACCCAAGCAGGCCCCACTATGTGTAAGGCTTGTAAAAGGGAGAGCAGGAGCCCCAGAATCAGTTCAAGGGAGTTTATGAAGACAGACAACTGGTCAGGCTGGGAGACAGAGTGTGGAGAGAGACATAAACTCGCTTCATTTCTCCCAAAGCCCTCTCTTCTAAGACTTTTACTGTTTAGGCAATTCCCATAAGATACCTACAACAACCCTTTCCATTTTGCAGATGGAAAAACTAATGCTGAGGGAATTCAAAGAACACACCCAAGGTCACAGCAATTCCCTAGCTGAGCAGGGCCATCAATGGCCCCATTTGTAACATCCCCAAAGCACATTTGCTCTTATCAGGGCTTAGTTCTTAAGTGTTTGAATTTATCCAGACCCTATAGTGATGCATTTAGAATACAGTCCCATATCAAAAAATATACAATTTTCACTTTAATTTAAAATGAGCTTAAAGTAACCACTATAATTATCTCCCTGGTATTTATGAGTCATTTAATAAAAACTTGTTAGACTCTCAATGGTCCTATCCCTCGCTCTGGGCCCCTCGCTCCCCCCGTCCATCTTTTCATGGCCGGCAAAGGTCTCAAAACAGATCAGATCATTGGAGCTAAAATACCTGGGGGGTTTAAAAAACACTTTAACATATCCGTATTTTTGCCAGAATATATTAATATACAAAATATGTGAGTTTTCTGAGACCTTAAACGGAGGCAGCTGATCTCCTCACTTTTTTATTTCCTTAAGTTGTTTTTCTTCCCGTTGCTCTCATCTCTAGCACAGAACATAAAGTTTTCCCAGCTACTATAAGCTAAGACAACTACTGAATCTACGTTCCCCTTATTGTGACATCCACAAATGCATCTTAATAAACCTGGGCACATCCCTGCCCCTGTTGCTACTTCTTTGATATCGGAGTAGAAGTTTTGCTGTGGAGCAAAATGTCTCAGTGTGAATCACCCCCTGAGGTGAAGCCAGTATTCAGAAGAATGACAGGGGCCATGGCAGATGCCGTTCTGTACATTTTGAGAGAAATCATGTCAATGCTACATCAATTAGGCTCTTGTTTCCATCATGCAGAGAACTAGGAGGTAAAGCAAATCAGCTAGCTTTCCAGAGTACGTTGTTCTTCTGAGAAGCTGTTCAAAGTTTTACTTTTTTGCTTTTTAGTTTGTTATAATGTTTGTCCAATTGGAAGGTGAGCTATAAGAACTCAGCTGAGTTGGAACAAATAAAGTGTCCTTTATGGCCCTCTCCTGGTTCTCTGTGGGGAGCTAGGACAGTGACAAGGTGATCAAATGTACTCGGTGCCAGAGAAAGGGCATGCTTAAGACTGAAAGGAATCTGTTGACAAAAGAGAAAAACACGTCAACCAATTTTTCTTTATAAAAAGAAGAGATAATTGATCTTTTTCCCACATCCCTTAGGGACCATATAGAAATAGACAAAAATTGTCATTTTGGGAGTGGAAAAAAAGACTACTTGAGTTTGCCAGAGGTCAGGGTCTGAGCATTATCCTTCCAGGAACCCTGAGTGCCTCAAAGGTTGCCAATGATCCATAAATGTTAGTTTAATGGGATTGAATTAAATTGTATTGAATTATAGATATTGAAAAAAGAGGCAGTTCTACATGGCAATGGCATTATTGAGATATAATCTGTTTGAGGATAATCTTATATGGCTGTTCCATATTGCATTCAAATTTTCAATTCTACCAGTGTTGAACTCTAAGAGATTATGGATTCTGAGAACCACAAATTCCACCCCAAGAAGAAGAAAGCAACCACTTACTCCAAATAAAAAAAAAAAAAACTAACCAGGGGGACCACCACCACCACAATATGCCTGATACCTCTCCTGCCTGCCCCATGAGGCTCTGTCTCCCAACAGCCTTCATGGGACTTTCAACCAAATATTTTGTAAATGCTTAAAGACTGCGAAAAAAATCAGAGAGATAGAGAACAATACAAACACACACATATACACACCAGTACCACCATATCATACAAAGATCGAAGAGCCAAAATTAAATTTTGTTTTCCTACCAGGATCCAAGTTTTATGATGTGCCAGTTTGACTGCATGACATTTTTCAGGCAGCACTCATCCTTGGGCCAAATACACTTTTGATGTCTCCTACTTTGGACCAACCACTTTTGATGTCTCCTACTTTGTAAGTCAGAAAATCAGGCAATAGCAAATTCATCAGGAAGATGACCTAAGTCTACTGAGTGCTTGCTGTGTAGAAGTGTTATTCTCTGCACTGTTGAAAAGTTATCAAAGAACTAGAGGAGAAATTATCTTCCATGTAGTATCACATGGTAGATGGAGCACTGGAATTGGGGCAAGAATATATGGGTCACCTTCCCTCATTATCAGATAGATCATCCTAGTCCATTTAATTTAACATTAATTCTGCCTCACTAAAATTACACTTAAAATTGTGATAAAGATCAAATTGCATGAGATACAATGTTTGAAAGCACATTGCAAACTGTAAAGTACACGTGAATGGCAGTGTTTTAGTATTTTTAAAATCCAATTAGGGAGACAACTCAAATGTACCACATTGTGAACATTTGGAGGGCTGGAATTGTGTCATATTCCCTGATATGTCTCCAGTGCATAACACAGTTTCTGGAACTTATAACTATTTGATTAAAAAATTGATGAGTATTTAATTAATAAGTGATGTGACAATAGTTACAAATAAAGTATTACAAGTATAATAGCATAAATAGTACAAATAAGTCATGAGGGCATGATCTCAAAGATAGCTCCTGAAGGGGACAAAGAAAATGGAAAGGAATAATGTGATGGGGGGAAGGAAGAAAAGGAAGTGCAGATGGAAAAATGGAGCAGAGAGATTTTAGAACAAATACAGCATGTGCTGGAGGTGGAAGAGGGACAGGCTTGCCTGGAGCAGAAAGGCTGACTTAGGAGTAACGAAAGATGAAGTTTTCAAAATCATAGAAATAGGAAAAAGGATAGTGTAGGGTTAGGTGATGGAGAGCCATAAATGCCAAAGTGAAGCATCCTCTGTTGTTGGTCGGACTGGACACATAGAGAAATAAACAGTGTATAATAAATATTTTATGAACCTCATAATCTAGCAGATGCAATTGGTCAAATAACTTACTAGTGATGAGGAGCTGGATACAAGCCCTAAGGAGGCGATTGAAACTAACTTAGTGTCATCCAGGTGGCCTTTCATGAAGGAGGTGGCTCCTGAGCAGTGTTTGAGCCATAATGCCACAGACTGAAGTTGGCACAGGGAGTGTGGATAGTGTGGAGTCAGGAAAGTCATGATGACTTTGGTTTTAAAAAGAAATATGGCTCTTGAGTAGGACAATTGTCCAACTTCTCCTTCACTCATCAAGCTTTACAAATTCATTCCACTTTAAATTCTTCCTCTGGGCTCCTACATCATATGGTAATACACTCACTTAGATGTTCCTTCCCTCTTTCACTGCTTACTTAAATATATTTTAGTCTTATCTCCTGCAAGCAGAAAATAAATGTTTAAGAGCCCTTTCCTTGCACTCTAAAGTCATGTCTGCCAAAAGCCTCTGCATTTAAGTCAGCAAGAAGAACCCACACATAACTCTCCAGTATACTAGACAGTAGGCCTCTCACTCCCATCTGTTTGCAGCAATGTCCCTGGACCCTCTGGCTGTCATTCTGAACCTGTTGCCACTTGGAGCCATCCCCATCTGGCCCCATCTCTTAGCTCTGACACATCTCCCCATCCTTTTCTCATCCTTTGGAGATCACACTTACATGTGGACTCTTAGCTCCTGACCTTCGGCTTCTGGCCCAGGACCCTTGTTATAATCCTTCTCCCCGCAGATACCCTGACTCTGGCTGTCCTGGGTGATTATCCACTCCCACCCACCAGCCTCACATGGCCCATCTTCTAGCCCTGATCTGCCAATGATCTAATATGCTAAAAGCATATTAGCCAGGACTTAACACAGCACCAGGACACAGAGCAGATTCTTAATAAGTATTTTACATAATTTAATGAATTAATTTAAAAAGATGTTTGGCGATATTTTTTTCTTCTGGCAGCTGTATAGGTTTCTATAGATTGAGGATATAATGCATGTCCACCAGCATTTTTGGGCATTGACAACACCCCATCCTTTAGTGAGACCCACCCTCCAAATTCAAAGAACATTTCGTTTGACCTCTGCAGAGACAGCTTCCTTTGAGGGGCCCATGTACCAAGGGCAAAACTATAGACACGTGAACTGCATCTTAAGCACGGCACATGGTGAGAACTCTGTGTAACTTCCCCGTAAGTTAGACATGTACTTATAATGAAAGGTTTGTGAGTTCAGAAAGCCCCGGGGTATTCGAAAAGACAATTCGGCTTCCTGTCTGGGAAGAAAATGACAGCTCCCCTCACTGGGATTAAGCTTCAGATGTTCAAGTGCAAAAAGAGAAAACTTCTGAGTAATGTATTGGACCCACTGCAGGAAATTTGGTGCCTCGTGAGCATTACCCTGTGGAATCAGATGTCTAATGTATTGACAGTGCACAGAGGTGTTGGGTATCATTTCAGGAAAGGACGATGCCTTTCTCGCTCCAGGCATCACCACAGAGGCTGTACCTACACCCGCTCATAGAAAGATGACAGCACAGCCAATCCACTCACCTTCCACGAACAAGTGTTGTTCCTAAAGATTTTCCAGGCTGCTCCCTTTCCTTCCAGTTCTACCTCCACCTGAGTCTCAGCCACCCTTACACCTCCATTACACAGCTGCAGCCACTTTCAAACTGGTTTCCCTACCCCAGAATTCACTCCTTTCAAATGTGTTCTCCTTGCACCCCAGAAAGTGATCTAAAACTCAAATTTACTTGGTGCTCCGCTAAAAATCTTTCAGTGGTTCCCTGTTGCCTGTAGAATAACAACCAGGCTCCTTCTCGCGGCATGAAGAGTTTTCTCTGAGCTGGCTTCTGCATACTTCCAGAGCCTTGTCTCCCCACCCACTCCCTACCCCACTTTTTGCCTTCTCCTTTTCATTCTAATGGTATTGAACTATGTTTAATTCCAACCACAGCATGATATTTGGAACCACCAAACTTGTGCTTATGCTATTTCCTCTGCCTGCAGCACTTTTCTACTCCTTTTTTGCTTGGATAACCCACTTTTTTCTTCAAGATTTAGCTCAGATCCTCCAGAAAAGGCCCTCTGACCCTGATCAGCCTTGGCTAGATGTCTTATTTCTCTGTGTCCCCTTCCACCCTGTAGTCCCTAGTATCTGAGCACTCTCCTGTTTCTATGCTTGTTTTCCCCCATTTCACAGGTAATTTCTATGCCATACACTGCTTTGAATCCCAGGAAGAACACTTAAATCAGAGCATAGCCTCATGAGTATAGGCAACCCCAAATAAGATCCTCCAAGTTACATGATTTCCAAGCTATTTGGCACCATAGTGACCCCTGAAAAAACATTTCTTGAATAAATGAATGTAAGTACATTTCCCAAGCATTTGCAGGCAACAAATAAAAAGACACAAAGCCTGAACAGATGTTGGATTTAGGTAAAGTGGAGTTAATAGCTAATACAAACAGGTAAATAAGGACAGCTAGGATTCTAAAATAAAATGAACCATAAGAAAAACTAGGGCAATACTTTGTAAGGAAGGATTTAGTGTTTTCAAATGACAAAGAACTACAAATTAAAATTCTTGAAAATAATAGTATAATCTTTAGGTTTCTGAAGAATAACTTCAGTGTCTTCTACAAACCTCTAGAATATTGATTTATTGTATTATTGACTGCTAAAGGGAGAACTGACCCTGGGGAATGATTTAATGATAGTCTCCAAAGAGTCTCAGAAGTATCACTTGTTCATGAAAATGGGAATTTGAAAAAGAAGAAGCTGTAGATATAAATTATGTAGTATTTGGGTGCTTTTAATGCTATGCTTCACAAAAGGCTAAGGTAATAAGAAGAGAACAGAGAAGCTTTTGATTAAATAACAAAGCTGGATCAATATTTAAGGGACTGTGTATTTATGAGTGTGGGCACCTAAAAGGGAGAGAGAGGACTAGAAAAATTTAAGGCTCAGCATTAACGAGGATTTAGTTCATTTTGTTCTGTAAAGGTCAGTGGTAAGAAAGACATGCAAGATCAGCCTCTCCTTTCCCCATACTGAAGCCACTCCTGAGTTCTAAATTGTCACTTCTGAGATCTGCATTAATTATCACAATAGACCCCCTGCCTCAGTCTCTTTGTTTTGTTATAACAAAATACCTAAGATTGGGTAATTTATAAAGAATAGAAATTTATTTCTCACAGTTCTAGAGTCTGGGAGTCTAAGATCAAGGCACCAGTGGGTTTGGTGTCTGATGAAAGCCCCTGGCTTCCAAGATGGTGACTTTTTGCTGCTCCTCCACAGTGGAGGAATGCTATGTCTTCACATGGCAGAAGGGACAGAGGGTAAAAGGAATGAACTCCCTCTGTCATGCCTTTTTATAAGGGCACCTAATCCCATTCATGACAGTGGAGCTCTCATAACTCAATCACCTCCTATAGGCCATACCTCTTAATACCATTGCATTGAGGATTAAGTTTCAACATGAATTTTGGTAAGGACAAAAACATTCAAACTGTAACAACCACTTCCTTAGAATCACCCTTTACTAGGATGAATTGTACCACCAGGCACTGAAGGGGATGTGAATAAATATGTAATTTACAGATTGGAAGATGCTTTGTCACCAGAAGAAGCCCATTTAGTGAAACAGATATAATATTCCAGGAACATTCAGGACTGTGTAAGGCAGAGCATAAAGAAGCCAAGCTGGTGGCACTCACTCTTTTTCTACACTGCACAACTCCTGATAGTCCCAGCAAAGCACAGGCAACAGTGGAAACCATTTTGAGTAAAAAGTCACCTGCCAGTATCCATTTTTACTTCAAATTCATACTTGGTCTGATAGAAGAAATCTCCTAGATATTGGCCACTTTGCCAGCTCAGAAGCATTCATAAACTTTAAGATACTAACAGACCGAGCATACCATCAGTGTGGAATCAAATAGTAAGCAGTAAATAAAATCTGGGTATTGTTATATGGGTTTCACACTGGGCCCTCTGTGATCTCTCACTGGGCCACTTTTTATCAGTTTGCAAATTCTGGAAGTTATATCAGAACCAGGAGTCCCAAACTCGAATGTCCTCAGCAGACAAGCATGTAGCTTAAATGAATGAAGCATAGATACCAGACAATATGGGAAAACAGGAGCTTTGCAGGACTGGAGAACAAATGACTAATCTAATATTAATTTTCAACTTTTATTTTAAAGAAAAATACTGACTCTGCAAAACCAAATACATCTGGAATCCGAATCCTCTTGCAAAACTCTGGTATGTGACAAGCTCTGTAGCAGATAATTCCTAAAGTCCCTTCTAACATCATGTCTCTCTTCACAAATTTACGCCAATATTATAGAACAGTAGCATCTAAAATGCTTCAAGGGTCTGGGACCTACACTGACTGCAGATATCACACATATCTGCTTGATCAATCCCACCAGAGGCAAAAAAAAAAAAAAAAAAAAAAGAGCGAGAGAGAGGTGACATTTTGGGCTCAACAATAAATGCAAGACAAATTCAACAAAAAAAAAATCCCTAAAGTGGAAAATCTGGTAACAGTATTCAGTACTTGCTATGGTGATGCTCAACTTAGTCAATCAAGAGAAATGCTTTGGGTACACATCCTAGTCTTCACTGGGAACTACCAGAAAATAGAAAGGTTTTAGAGACTGAACACCTTCTTGGAAAAAAATGCATCAGGCAAACTCCAAAGCCAAAGCAACATGACTGAAAATATAAACTCATATATTCATTTAATGAGCACATATCAATCACCTATTTGGTGCTATATATAAGGTGTTCTGAGATCATAGACAAAGAACAAATTATTATTTGTGAGGAAGTCTAGGAAAGCTTCACAGTGAAAAATGATCTTCAAAATGAGGCTTTAAGGATGGATGAATGTTTGATGGTCAGACAAGCAAGGCAAGACATCCCAAGTAGAGTGAACAACATCAAACTAATGCAAAGAAGTAAGGAAACACAAGATGTGTTTGGGAAACATAGCTATGACTAGACAGAGACAACAGTATAACTTGGAGAAAAGAACATGTAATGTGAATCGAATATAGCTGTGTGACCTTGGGCAATTCATTTCTTCTCTCTGAAAAATATGTTTCAAGAAAAAAATATAATGTGATATCTATTTTACAAGACTGTTGTGAGGATTTTTTATTTTTTAAATATTTTATCATTTTATTAGTAATAAAAATAATTCCAAATGGGATATGAAGAAAATGTATTCATTGAATTTGATGAGATTTCTAAAAACTCTAAATGAAGTTATGTTCACCCAATAAACAATAAAACATCAGCAGAACTATCATATACTGAGCAAAAAATCAGGCTGATGCGAAAAGCAACATGCAACATTAGAAAGACACAATATAAAGGAAGACAATCTGCTGACTATTAAAGACCATCTGAATATGAACTCTGTGCAATCAGCACACAACTGTCAAATCCAAACCACCCCAAGGTAAGTTTGGCTGATGTAGGCCAGAAGTCAATATGGAGGAAAAAATAAGTTCCTGAGTGCAAGAGAGCTGAACAGTGTTTTGGAGCATTTCCCTGGCTGGCACAAGCAGTATTAGAAAACCTTTTTGGCAAGGGAGAGAAATAAATACAAATGAAATGTAACCCTTTTAAGTTAGCAGACTGTCTCAAAAAGGATAACGGTATCAGTAAAGTAACAAGGGAATAACTTTAAAACATTATTTGTTGTGGGTTCAAAAGATATTCAGAATGGATTCATTTAAAGTTTTCACAATAGCTATGTCCAGGCATTTGGGCTTATAGGAAGAAAGCATAAAAGAGGACACTTTTTTCCCAAGGAGAATTTCTTTAAAACCAAGCACATTGCTAAATAGCAACATTATACTTGGTAAACAATAACTAGCAACAAAATAAGTTTAATGTTCTGCCCAAACCAGTCCCAGATGCTGTTTAATAACTAAGATACAAATTAATTTTGTTGTAACAAGCCTAGACCAATTCTATCAAACATAGTTAGATATCTAGTTCCATTTAACATTTTGAAAGTTTGAAAGCTCATTTGACAGCCAGTCAAGCCCCACTGTGAGGATTTTTTTTAAAAACCTATAGTGTACGATAGTGGACAGTGTAGAATAGTTTATAAATTAAGTTAATAAGTCTTGATAAATTTATTTTTGTTATTATTGGTATAAATAGTTGATGAATTTCAAAACAAAACAAAACTTTACAGTTGTCACTATAAGTTATATTCTAATCTTGTCCTACATTATTAATCATGTAGAGCAGTGATATCCAACCTTTCTGGCACCCAGAGACCACCGGACCTCCTTTTCTACAATCAAGCCAAACCAGTTCCTGTTGTTGGTGCCAAGATAGACTACAGCTGGAAATTCCCCAAATGACCAACAGATCACCTGGTGCCAACTGACTGACCACCAGGAAGAGCGACTATTGACTTTGGGCTTAAAAGTCATCTAATCCACACTGTTTCTCACTCCCCTGACTACCCTCCTCTGCCCTGAGGTTTTTTTGCCTTTATAATCTCCTATTCACTGACCCTGCCTGAGAGCATGATTTCTTTTTACACCAGGGGCTGCATCTCCCCAATCTGCAAATTGTTTCTTATGGAAAATGAAGCTTTCTCTTTTCCTTCCACAGATCTCATGGTCTTTTGTTACAAGGAACCTGTCTCAAGACAGTCATACTCTGTTAATTCACTATAACACTAAGAACCTCAATGGAGTTCAGGTCTATGAGAATGATTCATTCATAACATCTATCACCTTAAAATTTATTGACTAGGGCCTAAGGCACAACTGCCTTGCCCTGGGCTGAATTCTACCCTAGGGCAGAGTTTTCGGTGGCCTCGGTGTACTCTTAGTAGTATTTCTACTAAAAAGCCAACATAGAGGGCATAGACTCCAAGCCTTAGAGACTCAAACAAGAAACAACATTTGACCATTCCATGCCCTCCAAATCTATTGGATGCCACCAAACAAAGGCAAAAAAAAAAGCAGATTTCATAACACGAAAAACAATATATTCTCTATCTTTCAGCATTGTGAGGGAAGGTGTCTGGTCTGGAATCATTTCTCAGTATAATGCACACCCCAAAGCAGCTTAACACAGCGGTAAGCCTAGATGAAAGCATTCATGTCAATTACATGGAAATGTTCTTTCACCAAGATTGAGAAGCCACACTTGGGACATTCAGTCCTCTAGACAAAATGTATTTGAAATGGAAACTGAGAAAGCAAAGAGAAGCATTTGTTCCTTTCCAGGTGAGAGGCAAGAGAAAGTCTTGTGTAAGATAGCTGCTAGAAATCCAGGCTGTTCTCTTCAGAACTCTCGTTCTCAGATTTGCTAGGGTCTTTCCTTTGGTAGAAAGAGCTGATTGCACTTCTAAAGGCAGCTTGACCTTTGCCCCATCCCACTAGCTGAATGAAACCAAGAAAGACTGCTTGAATGCTTACACCCCTAAAGCGGATTTGTATTTATAAAGTAGCCAAAGCTGTACTTGGCAATGATTTCACAAACAGAGAGACAAATTCACAGGAGTGAGAATAACTCTCTCACAAACTTTACCATACTTTACACTTTGTTGGGAAGTCAGCAGAGAACTTCACACTTCATTGAAAATCCATTAAACAATTACCAGGTCATTAGCACAGACTTTGAAGTACTAGCTTTCAAACTCCCTTACTAAAGAAAGCTCTTTGCTAGACCTTCAGCTGCCTTTGCAAGTGTAGTCCTAAGGAGCTTTAACAGATAACCAAAACAGACAAACATTAAAAAAAAAAAAAAAAGTGTACTCACTGAAAAATAAAACAAAGCATCATGCATGAATCATTTAATGAATCAATTATATAACAGTATATGTTACATAATACTGTCATATGTATTACTGTCTCTCAATTGTATCTGGATAAGTAAAGTAGATAATCCGTAAATGTTGGTTGATTCAGGAATATGTTTCCCTAGACAATCACAAACAACTACTGAGTGACTACCAAGGCTTTACTGCTTTTGTGCCAACCACCCTCATTTGTATCTCTAGCCCAGATCTCTTCCTTGAACACCAAACTAGCATTTTCTACTATTCACTTGGCATCTCATCTGGATGTCTACTAAACCTCTCAAACACAATATGCTCAAAACTGAACTCTTGATCTTTACCGAAACCTGCTCTCCACCTCAGGTACTGGCAATTCCATTCTTCCAATAGCTGAAATCAGTGTTTTTTTTTTCTTTTCGTCTTTACTGAAGTATAAAAGACAGATGATAAACTGCACAAATCTAAAGTATGCAATTTGAGAAGTTTTGATATATGTATACATGTCAAGACAGTAAACATATCCATCATCTGCAAACATGAAACTTGTCCTTGAGTCCCGTTGTAATCTCTCCTTCCTCTCCCTCAACACTTTCTCCCATTTCTCTTACGAGGCAACCACTGATCTGCTTTTTCTCACTATAGATTAGTTTGCATTTTCTTGAGTTTTATATAAATACAATCATACAGTATGTACTTTTTCGTCTCTGGCTTCTTTCAATCAGTATTAATTTGAGATTTGTTCATGTATTTGCATTTATCACTAGTTCATAATTTTTCACAGCTGGGTAATATTCCATTGTATGGATATGCACAAATTTGCCTATCCTTCACTATTAATGGACATTTGTTTCCTCGTTTTCGCCATAAAATAGCTTCTATAAGTTTCTAAGAGGCTAGTAGACAGGAGTATGTTTAAATTTCCAAGAGACTGCCAAACTGCTTAGCAAATGGATTGTGCCTTTTGATAATACCACTAAGAGTATCTGAGAGCTCCAGTTTCTCCACATCCTCCCAAACACTTGGTGTTGTCAATTTTTTAAAAATTTTGGCTATTCTAATAAGTGTGTTGCAACCGTACCAGAGTTCAACTACTCTCTCCACCCATTTCTGCTTCCTCACTTCCCTACTGGTGCAGTTCCTGAGAGTGCTCCCCAATAAAGTTCTTGTATGCAAATCTCCATCTCAGGAACTGGTTCTAAGTATTCATTGTGGATTTAATTTGCATTTCCCTAATTAACAATGGTGTTGAGCATCTTTTCCTATGCTTATTTGTCATTTTTATATCCTTTGTGGGATGTTTGTTCAAATCTTTTGTGCACTTTTTTTTTTTTTTTGAGACAGTCTCGCTCTTGTTGCCCAGGCTGGAGTGCAGTGGTGTGATCTGCACCTCTGCCTCCCGGGTTCAAGCAATTCTCCTGCCGCAGCCTCCTGAGTAGCTGGGATTACAGGTGCCCGCCACCACGCCTGGCTAATTTTTGTAGTTTTGGTAGACACAGGGTTTCACCTTGTTGGCCAGGCTGGTCTCGAACTCCTGACCTCAAGTGATCTGCCTGCCTCAGCCTCCAAAAGTGCTGGGATTACAGGTGTAAGCCACTGCGCCCGGCCCATATTTTAATTTTGTTGTTTGAGTTTTTTATTATTGAGTTTTGAGACTGTTTATATATATTAGGGATACAAGTCTTTCATCAGATATGTGAGTTAGAAATACTTTCTTCCAGTACGTGGCTTGCTTTCTTCTTTTCTTTATATTGTTTTTTAAGAGCAGAACTTTTTAATGTTAATGAAGTTCAACTTATCAATTTGTTGTTTCATAAATCAAGCTTTTGGTGCTATATCTAAGAACTCTACCTAACCCAAGGTCACAGAGACTTCAGAGATTTTCTCCTAAGTTTGAAGTTTTACATTTAGGTCCAGAATCTATTTTGAGTTAATATCTGTATATGGTGCAAAGTATGCAAGGTATGAATCAAAGTCATTTTTTTTTCTTTTTCATTCTTCTTTTTTGTTGGCATATGGCTAGCCAATTTTTCTACACATTATTTCTTGAAAAGACTTTTCTCCACTGAATTGCTCTTGTGCCTTCATCAAAAATCACTTGTTCATATATTTGTGAGTCTATTTCTGAGCTCCCTATTCTGATCTGTTTCTCTATATTTATGCAATATAATACTGCCGTGATTACTATAGCTTTATAATAATTTGAAATCAAGTAGTGTTAGTTCACCATCTTCATTCTTGTTTTCAACTTTGGTTTTGTTTTGGCTAATCTAGGTCCCTTACATTTCCATATGAATTTTAAAGTCTGGTTGCCAATTTTTACAAAATAACCTACTGAAATTTTTATTTGAATTCCATTATTTGGACAACTGACATGTTAGAAATATTGAGTCTTCCAACACATGAATAAGGCATGTATCTCTACTTAGTTAAGTCCTTTTAAATTTCTCTCAGGAATAGTTTGTAGGATGGGCAAAAAGAAACAGCTTTTCCTCACCCATCACTAGGTTCATGGCTAAGGCCCTTAAAACAAAAGACACATTAAGAAGGTAAAAGCATACAAATTTACTTAATATAAGTTTTATATAACATAGGAGCTTTCAGAAATGAAGAATCAAAGAAAGAGGATTTTATGCTAAGTTTGATGAAGAAGTGGATAGCAGAGGAGAAATATTATTGGACAATGAGGGTGTGATCTAATAGTAATAAACTTGGGGGAACTTAGAAAGGCCAGTTTGTTCAGTCTTCTCTGTGTTTCCGTGTCTTCAGAGTAAGGATTTTTCTTTCCTCTTGAATGAAGACCTTATGACTTGCTTCAGGGGAGAAGAGCTGGAGAAGGTCAGAGAGTGATCCTCCTAGGTTTTATTACTTTCTGAAGTGACAAGATGCCATATTTGGGGGTAGCATTTCCTGGACGCCATTAGTAGTTTTCAATGTACAGGTTTTGCATAATTTTGTCAAATTTATTCCTAAAGGTTTCATATTTTTATCCTATTATAAACTATACCTTTTATTTTAGTCTCTGATTGTTTCTACTACACAGAAGCAAAATTAATTTTGTATACTGAGATAGTATCTTGTATACTGGCCAACAGGTTCTTAGTTATAGTAGTGTTTTTACTAGATCAAATTTCATCTGATTTTCTAGATAAATAATTATGTTGCCTTTGAAGTAAGTCAGTGTTACTTCTTCTCTTTCAATATAGCTGCCTTTTGTTTCTCTTTCTTACCTTAAATCGCTGGCCAGACTTCTAGTACAATGTGGAATGGAAGCAGTAATTGCAGTCATCTTTGTCTTCTTCCTGATTTTAAGGGAAAACATTCAGTCTCTCAGTTATGTATGATGCAACTGTAAGTTTTTGGTAAATGTCCTTTAACCGGGTTGCGGAAATTCCCTCCTATTCCTAGTTTGCTGAGAGTTTTTAAAAATCAGGAATTGATATTGGAACTTGTCAATGCTTTTTCTACATCTACTGAGATGATTATGTTTTCCTTTTTCGTTTGTTAATATAGGAAATTGCATTGATTCATTTTCTAATGTTAAATCAATGCTGCATGCCTCAAAGTAAACTCCACTTAGTAATGATGTGTTTGTTAGCCTATATATACTGTTGGACTCAATTTGATAAAAATCTGTTCAGAATTTTTGCACTTATATTCATCAAGAATATTGGTTTGCAGTTTTTCTTTCTGAAATGTCTTTTTCTGGTTTTGGTATCAAGATAATGCTGGCCTCATAAATTGAAAAGGAGAGACTCCTTTTCAATTTTCTGAAAGAGTTTGAGTAGAATTGATATTATTTCTTTATTAAAATGGTTTGTAGTATTCACTAGTGAGGCTATATCTCCTTGGACTTGTCTTTGTGGAAAAATTTTAAACTATGAAATCTATTTTTAAATTAATATAGGAATATTCAGATCATCTCTTTTTTCTGAGCAAGCTTTGTGTTCTTCAGGAATTTTGTCACTTTCATCTCAATTGTGGTGTTTATTATCATATAACTGGTCATAATATTTCTTTATTATATTTTTAATATCTGTGTAATCTGTAGCGATTACTTCTGTAATTTGTACATTGTAATTTGAGACTTCTCTTTTCTCTCTTATAAATTTGGGTAGAGGTTTATTAATTTTTTTTTTTTTTTTTTTTTCTTGAGATGGAGTCTCACTCTGTCACCCAGGCTGGAGTGCAGTAGTGCAATCTTGGCTCACTGCAACCTCCCACTCCCACTCGTGGGTTCAAGCGATTCTCCTGCCTCACCCTCCTGAGTAGCTGGGACTATAGGGGTGCACCACCATGTCTAACTAATTTTTTTGTATTTTTAGGAAAGACAGGGTTTTACCATGTTGGCCAGGCTGGTTCGAAACTCCTGACCTGAGGTGATCCACCCCCCTCCACCTCTCAAAGTGCTGGGATTATAGGTGTGAGCCACTGCACCCAGCTAGGCAGAGGTTTATTAATTTTATTGATTTTCTCTGAGTAACCACTTTTAGTTTCAGTGAATGTTTCTGTTTTCTATTTCTTTGGTTTCTGCTTTGATAATTCTTTTCTTTCATCTGCTTATTTTGAGTTTATTTTTTTCTTTTCTAATCCTTAAAGTGGGAGCTGAGATCATTGATTTGATACCATTCTTACTGTCTAATATGGGGATTTAGTGCTATAATTTCTATCAAAGTACCATTTAGTGGTACCCCAGAAATTCTGATATGCTGTGCTTTCATTTCATTTAGTTCAAACATTTTTTAATTTCTCTTTTGATTTCTTCTCTGGTCATTGGTTATTTAGAAGTATGTTATTAGTTTCCAAATATCTGTGGATTTTTGCAGATATTTTTGTTGTTAATTTCTAATTTAACTCAATTTTTGTCAGAAAGAAGTACTTTCTGTGACCTGACTCATTTTAAATTTATGGAACATTGTTTTATAGCATTACATATTATCTATCTTGGTAAAAATTCTGTGTGCAGTTAAAAAGGATGTATGATCTGCTCTTGTTGGAGAGAGTGATCTGTCAATGTCAACTAGGTCAAGTTGGTTGATAGTGTTGTTCAAACCTTCCACATTCTTACTGATTTTCTGTCTAACTTTTTATGATTTCTTAAGAGAACAATGTTGAAATAATTGAGAATTTATCTATTTCTCCTTGAAGTTCTATCAGCTGCTGCTTCATGTATTTTGAATCATTGTTATTAGGGGCATAAATATTTAGGATGATTATATTTTCTTGATAGACTGACACCTTTATCATTATGAAATGAATTTCGTAATGATATTATGAAGTAATATTTCAAGCACTGAAATCTACATTTTCTGAAACTACTATAGCTCCTCCAACTTTCTTTTGATTAGTGTTATTAAGGTATACCTTTTTTCCATTATTTTACTTTCAATTTACTTACGTCTTTATCCTTAAAGTTCATTTCTTGTAAGCAAAACATTGTGTCTCACATTTTTATGCAATCTGAAATTCTCTTCTTTTAATGGGGGGTCGTAGACCATTTACATTTAATATAATTATTGATATGACTAGATTTACATTTATCATCTTGAAATTCTTTTGTCCCCTTTGTCTGCTTGATTTGCCTTCATCTGTCTTAATTACTTTTTATGATTTTATCTTCTTGTTTTTGATTAACTATAATTGTTTGTCAACTTTAGTGGTTTGTTCAGCATTTTTAGTACATATATTAACTCATCACTGTCTACCTTCAAGTGATGTTATACAACTGTACATATTGTATAAAACTTTTAGTGAAAACAAAAATATAAATAAATAAAAATAAATAAATAAAACTTAGAGTAGCACATTACATGTCTATCCTCTTGGTATTTGTGCTATTGTCATATATTTTGTTTACTCATATGTTATAAACTCCACAATACATTGTTATGATTGTTGTTTAGATAACTCATTATCTTTTAAAGAAATTTAACTAATGAGAAAATGTCATATAGTTCATCATATAGTTGCCATCTTTGGTTCTCTTTATTTCTTCATGTCAATCCATGTTTCCATCTGATGTAACATTCCTTCTGCTTCAAGAAATTCTTTAACATTTCTTATAGTGCTATAGTGCAGGTCTGCTGGCAAAGAAGTCATTCAGAATCCTGTCACATGCTACTATATGAATGAAACTTGAGGACATTATGCTAAATAAAGTAATTTGAAAAGACAAATGTTATAAGACTTAACTTATGAGGTATCTAAAGTAGTCAAAGTCTTAGAAAGTAAAATGGTGTTTTTAGAGGCTAAGAAAAGGAGGAAATGGGGAATTGTTTTTCAACTGGTATAGAGTTTTAGTTTCGTAAGATGAAAAATTTCTAGAGATATGTTGCACAACAATATGAATATAATCAACACTACTGAACTGTACGCTTAAAATGATTAAAATGGCTAAATAATATTCTATTATACGTGTATAACATATTTTATTTACTCATCCATGTGTTATAGGATCCTTAGGATGTCGTTTTGCCAACCAGAAACCTCTGTGGCCCGTGGTACCTTTGCCTGAGTTTTGCTCGGGCCTGCTGGGCTCGTTCCACCCGCTCAGCGTGGCAGGCTGTGCTCAGCTCATGCCACTGGCCTGGATCCCATGCCTGCCAAGGGTGAGCCAGGTGCAGAGCAGTGAGGAGTGCATGAGCAGGCGAGCATGGAGTCCAGCCACTACACAAAGCCAGGCATGCTGGCTGCTGTGGTGGAGCAGCCAGCTCCAAGTGCCAGCATAGGCACTGACTGGCTCCATGCAATCCTGCAGCTGGATCAGATGCACCATAAGCAGCTTCCACTATAGGCACCTGTGTCTGGACGAGAGGAATGTGGTGATGCCCAGAAGCTTGGAGACACCAGAAACCGCAGAGCCCTAAAGGGGGTGTCACTACCCTGGCTTGGGGAGCCCCTAGGTCTGGCCTCCCAAAAGGCCGCAGCTCTTCTCTTGTTCTTGTTGCCCACAATGTGGCGAGTGGTAGGGGGAGGGGAGGCATGTTCAGCCCTGTTTGTGTTGTAGCTCTTTCAATCCTACCATTTGGTTTGTCCCAAGTTCTTGTCCCACATCCAGGAAGAATGAGGTAGGTCAACAACTGGAGGGCAAGCAAGGCAAAGAGGTGCTTTACTGAGCAACAATACAGCCTCAGGAGACCCAAAGTGGGTAGCTCCTTTCCACAGGCAGGTCATCCCAATGAATGCAGTGCTCAGTGGAGAGAAAAATCCAGAGTGGGTAGCTCCTATCTGCAGGCAGGTCATCCCAACATCTGCGAAGCCCTCAGGAGAAAGGAGACCTGGCATGGGTAACTTATGTCCATAGGCAGGTTGTCCTGACATCTTTCTGTGAGTCTGGATGAGTCCAGCATTTTTATGGGCTTAACAAGGGAGGAAGAGCCTGCTGATTGGTCCATGGGTGGCCATGGGTGGGCTGGAAAAAGCACTATAAGTTCTCACTCCCAGCAGGGGACTCCTCTCCGAACTGACATCCCCACCCCCATGCTTCAGGCTGCCCTGGCTTGAAGGCAGGGTGATATGGTTTGGCTGTGTCCTACCCAAATCTCAACTTAAATTAACTTAAATTGTATCACCCAGAATTCCCATGTTGTGGGAGGGACCCAGGGGAGGTAATTGAATCATGGGTGCCGGGAAATACCCATGCTATTCGAGTGATAGTGAATAAGTCTCATGAGATCTGATGGGTTTATCAGGGGTTTCTTCTTTTGCTTCTTCCTCTTTTTCCTTTTGCCACTGCCATGTAAGAAGTGCCTTTTTCCTCCCACCATGATTCTGAAGCTGCCCCAGCCATATGGAAATATAAGTTCAACTAAACCTCTTTTTCTTCCCAGTTTTGGGTATGTCTTTAACAGCAGCATGAAAACAAACTAATACATGAGGCTTCAGTGGGGACCCACCCCTTTCCACCCAGAAGCCTGTCTGCCTCTAGCTGATGGGCCTCTCTTCCATGCTTGTCAGCACCGAAAGTCTGGAGGGGGCTGGGGCAGCAGGAGGCTGGTGTGTCAGCACACCCCTGAGTGCACACACACTCAGCTGGGTCGTGACAGGACCCAGGCTCAGCCTCAACTTTGCTTCAAAGTCAGATCACATGAGGAGTGGAAAGAGGCCTGGCAGCAGGAGCAGGCACTTTCCAGCCTGCAGGGGTGGGGCAGGTTCCCCGCCCTGAGAGCACAGGAATGCCTGGGTCCACAGCTGCAGCTGCACCTGGGAGGGCAGGGCTCCCACCCTGCCAACTCAGCAGGAGGTGGGGTTCCCAACTGATCCTGGCCCCTAAGAGTGGAGAGATGCTGGGATCTGGAGCTGCAGCTGGGTAGCTGCAGCTGAGCCTGGGGAGCACAGAGCTCCCACCCTGCCAACTCAGAAGCGGGTGGGGCTCCCACCTGTTCCTGGCTCCTGCTGGCTCCATGGAGTGCGCAACCTGGGCCACACCTCCCCTGCTGCAGCTGGCATCTTCACAGTGGCTGCTACAGATGCACCACCACTGCCATCATGTGGGTAGACATTTGGGTTGCTTCTGCCTCTTGGCTATTGTGAATAATGCTGCAATAAACATGGGTATGTAAATATCTCTCTGAGATCCTGCTTTCAATTCTTTTGGATATATTCCAAAAAGTGGGTGTCTTAGTCCAGGCTGCTATAACAAAATACCATATACTGGTGGCTTAAACAACAAACATCTATTTCCCACGGTTCTGTAGACTGAGAGGTCCAAGATCAAGGTGTCAGTTGATTTGGTGTCTGGTGAAGGCCCTTTTTCTGATTTGCAGATGGCCACCTTCTTGCGTATTCTCACATGGTAGAGACAGAGGGTTCTTGTTTCTTCCTCTAATAAGACCAACAATCCCAGCACAGAGGCTCCATGCTCATGACCTCCTCTAAACCTAATTATTTCCCCAAGGTTCCACCTCCAAATACTATCATATTAGGAATTAGGAATTCAGTATATAAATTTTGGAGGAACACATTCAGTCCATACCAGTGGGATTGCTATATATCATAATTCTAATTTTTTAATCTAATTCTAATCTTCATATCATAATTCTATTTTTAACTTTTTGAGAAACTTTCATACTATTTTTCACAGTAGCTGCACTATTTTACATTCCAACGAAGAGTGCACAAGTGTATCAATTTCTTCACATTCTGGCCAATACTTGCTATTTTCCAATTTTTTATAGTGGTCATCCTAATGGATATGAGGTGATATCTTATTGTGGTTTTAATTTGCATTCCTCTGATGATTAACAATATGAAGCATCTTTTTATTTGCTTGTGGGGCATGTACATATCTTTTCTGGAGGAATATCTATTCAAGTCTTCTGGCTAATTTTTTATAAGTTCAACAGGAGATGTTTAATACAAAGAATCATTAACTATGATAAAAAGTAACTGTAACATATAAGGAACCTCTGCAAAGCACCCTAGAGCTGAGAACCTAGAAAAAGACAAACCTGAGAGGAATTCATACCTCTTGGGAAAACATGCGGTTCACCCACTGAATAGCAAAGAACTCGGATACTTTGGCCATCCTAGAGCCCACCTGAAATTTCTTCAACTGCAAGAATAGAGCCCAGCCTCTAGTGTGCATATAGATAGAGCAATCAGCAACCGATGTTGGGAGGTTTGGGGACCTGGGACCAGGCAGGAGCTGCAACCCTTGGGAACCTGTGGGTTGCAGAAGGCTACAGAATAAGTAGCAACTTAGTGTGTGACTTTCCATGCCAAGAGCAGTTGCACAGGCTTTGCAGAAGCTTGCAAAAGAAGGGATTCTGGCCGCCACCTGAGTGCAGGTGGGAGAGCAGGCAATTGACAACCAGGTTTTTGCCCAATTTTTAATCAGATTATTTGGAGTTTTGTTGTTGTAGAAGTTGTTTCTATATTCTGAATATTCACCTCTTTTCAGATAGATTATTTGTAAATATTTTCTTCAATTCTGTAGGCTGCCTTTTCACTCCGTTGATTGTTTCCTTTGATGTACAGAGGTTTTTAAGTGGTCTCATTTGTCTATTTTTGCTTCTTTTGACTATATTTTTAATGTCATATCCAAAAAATCATTGCCCAATTCAATGTCATCAAGTTTGTTCCCTGTGTTTTATAGTTTTAGTCTCTTACATTGAGATGGTTAATCCATTTGGGGTTAATTTTTATGTATGATTTCAGGTATGTGTTACGGCCTAAATTATGTCCCCCCAAAATTCATATTGTAAGCCCTAACCCCAGTGTGACTGCATTTAAGTGTATCACTTTCAGGAAGGTAATTAAGGTTAAATGAGATGATAGATGATAGGAGTGGGGCCTTAACCCAGTAGGACTGGTGCCCTTATAATAAATAAATAAAAAAATTAATTAATAAAGAGAGAGACACCAGGGATGTGAATGCACAGAGAAAAGGCCATATGAGGACATGGTGAAAAAGTGGCTATCTGCAAGCCAAAGAGAGGCCTGAGGAGAAACCAAACCTCACAACCCCTTGATTTTGGACTTCCACCTCCAGAACTGTGAGAAAATTAATTTCTACTGTTCAAGCCACCTAGTCTCTGGTATTTTGTTTTGGCAGCCACAGCAAGCTAATACAGTAAGGGTGAAACTACATTCTTTGCATGTGAATATCCAGTTTTCCCAGCACCATTTGTTGAAAAGGCTCTTCAGTTTCTGTATATATAAAACAAAAAAATAAAATCTTTATTTCACTTTCTTTTTTAAACAATATTTTCATTGGATACTTTAACTTAAATGCCTAAATTTTCTTTCAGTAATTTTAAAATGTTGTCCCACTGCTTTCTTATTTGTATTGTTCCTTTATTTTTCTGAGACGGGGCCTCTCTGTCACTCAGGCTGGAGTGCAGTGGCATGATCTCAGCTCACTGCAGCCTTGACTTCCTCGGCTCAAGTGATACTCCCACCTCAGCCTCCCTGGTAGCTGGGACTACAGGTGCATGCCACCACACCCAGCTAATTTTTTATTTTTTGAAGAGATGGGTTTCACCATGTTGCCCAGGCTTGTCTCAAACTCCTGGCCTAACATGATCTGCCTGCCTTGGCCTCCCAAAGTGCAGGGAATACAGGCATGCACCACTGTGCCCAGTCCTTGTATTGTTTCAATGAGCAATTCACTATCATTCCTATCTTTGTTCCTCTGTTCTTACCAGGTTTTTTTTCTCCTTTGCATGCATTATCTTATCTATTATTTTGAGCAATTTGATTATGATGTCTCTTGCTGAAGTTTACCTCATGTTTCTTGTACTTGAAATTTAATAAGCTTATCTTCGGGTTTATAGTTTTTATTATATATGGAAACTTTTTAACCATTTTCTTCCAATCTTTTTTCTTTCCCTTTCTCTTATGTACTTTGAAAACTCTAATTACATTTGAAATATGCCACTTAAAGTTGTCCCGTAGTTCACTGTATTAGTCCATTTTCACACTGCTTTAAAGAATACCACCTGAGACTTGGTAATTTATAAACAAAAGAGATTTACTTGACTCACAGTTCCGCATGGCCCGGGAGGCCTCAAAGAACTTACAATTATGGTGGAAGGCAGCAGGAGAGAGAGAAAAAGGAGAAGTGCCAGACACTTTTAATTAATCAGATTTTGTGAGAACTCATTCACTATCACGAGAATAGCAAGGCACAAGTCTGCTTCATGATTTAATCACCTCCCACCAGGCCACTCCCTCGACATGTGAGGATTACAATTCAACATGAAATTTGGGTGGGGACACAGAGCCAAACCATATCATTTACTGATGTTCTTTGCAGTTTTTACAGTTCTTTTTTTTCTGAGTATTTAATTTTGAACAGTTCCTTTGCTATAGCTTCAACTTCAGTCATCTTTCCATCTATAATATATAATTCATACATTTTCAGCAGAGAAAATTCTCTCCTAAGAAGGCAAAAATTGGCTCTTGAGATACAAAAACAAAATATTATATGGTACATGTGTGGTTATAAGTTTCATGGGGAATGGAGGAGATTAGAAAATAAACGTCCAAAAAGGCTGCTTGGAGGTAATAATAAAAAAGGTTGAAAGCCTGGTATAATCTGCTGTTAATATCATATAGTATATTTTTTATACTACTGTTTTATTTTTATTTTATTTTTTATTTTTGTGGATACACAGTAGGTGCATATATTTATGGGCTACATGAGACATTTTGATACAGGTGAACAATGCGTAATAATCACATCAGGATAAATGGAGTATCTATCACTTCAAGTATTTATCCTTTCTTTGTGTTAAAACAATCTAATTTTACTCTTTTAGTTATTTTTAAATGGACAATAAATTATTGTTGATGATAGTCACCCTGTTGTGCTATCAAATACTAGATCTTATTCATTCTAATTGTATTTTTGTATCCACTAACCATCCCCACATCCCCCACACCCCCACTGCCACTACCCTTCCCAGCCTCTGGTAACCATCATTCTACTCTCTCTCTCTCTCCAGGAGTTCAATTGTTTTAATTCTTAGCTCCCACAAATAAGTGAGAATATGCGAAGTTTGTCTTTCTGTGCCTGGCTTATTTCGTTTAACATAATACACTCCAGTTTCACCCATGCTGTTACAAATGACAGGCTCTTACTCTTTTTTATGGCTGAATACTACTCCTCTGTGTATATATACACCACATTTTCTTTATCCATTCCTCTGTTGATGGATAACTTAGATGGCTTCCAAATCTTGGCTATTGTGAATAATGCTGCAATAAATATGGGAGTGCAGATATCTCTTCAAAATACTGGTTTATTTGCTTTTGATATACCTAGCAGTGGAATTACTGGGTCATATTTTCAGTAATAGTCATATTACTGTTCTATTTTTCATTTTTTAAGGAACCTCCAGACTACTCTCCATAGTGGCTGTACTAATTTACATTTCCACCAACAGTGTATGAGGGTTCCCTTTCCCAAACATCCTTGCCAGTGTTTGTTATTGTCTGCCTTTTGGATAAAAGCCATTTTAACTAGGAGATTATATCCCAGTTGATGATGCAATGATAGTTTTTATTTGCATTTCTCTGATGACCAATGATGTTGAGCTCCTTTTCACATACCTGTTTGCCATGTGTTTGTCTTCTTTTGAAAAATGTCTATTCAGATCTTTTGCCCATTTTTAAATTGGATTATTTGACTTTTTCCTATTGAGTTGTTTGAGCTCTTTATATATTCTGGTTTTTAATCCCTTGACAAATAGATAGTTTGCAAATATTTCCCCCATTCTGTGGGTTGTCTCTTCATTTTTTTTATTGTTTTCTTTGCTGTACAGACATGCTTTAACTTGATGTGATCCCATTTGTCTATTTTTGCTTTGGTTGACGGAGCTTTTATGGTATTACTCAAGAAATCTTCACCCAGACCAATATCCTGAAGTTTCCCTAATGTTTTATTCCAATAGTTTCATAGTTTGAAATCTTAGATTTAACTCTTTAACCCACTTTGATTTGATTTTTGTACATAGTGAGAGATAGGAGTCTAGTTTCATTCTTCTGTATGTGAATATCCAGTTTTCCCGAACCCTTTATTGAAGATACTGTCCTTTAAGTATGTTCTTGGCACTTTTGCCAAAAATGAGTTAATTGTAGGTGTATGGATATATTTCTTGGTTCTCTAGTCTGTTCCATTGGTCTATATGTCCGTTTTTATGCCAGTGTCATGCTGTTTTGATTATAGCTCTGTAGTATAATTTAAAGTCAGGCAATGTGATTCCTCCAATTTTGTTCTTTTTTGTTAAGGATGGTTTTGACTACTTATGTTCTTTTGTGGTTCCATATAAATTTTAGGATTAATTTTTCTATTTCTATGAAGAATGTCATTGATATTTTGATAGGGATTGCATTGAATCTATAGATTGCTTTGCATAGTATGGACATTTCAACAATACTGATTTTTCAAACCCTCAAACGTGGAATGTCTTTTAATTTTTTGTGTCTTCTTTTATTTCTTGCATCAATGTTTTATAGTTTTTATTGTAGAGATTTTCACTTCTTTGGCTAATTCCTACGTATTTTATTTTACATGTAACCATTCTAAATGGGATTACTTTCTTGATTTCTTTTTCAGATTGTTTACTGTTGGCATGCAGAAACTACTGATGCTACTGATATGTGTATGTTGCTTTTGTATCCTGCAACTTTACTGAATTTGATCATCAGTTAGAATATTTTTTGGTGGAGTCTTTAAGTTTTTACAAATGTAAGATTATATCATCTGCAAACACGGCTAATTTGGCTTCTTCCTTTCCAATTTGGATGCCCTTTCTTTCTCTTGTCTGATTGCTCTAGCTAGGACTTCCAGTACCATGTTAAATTACATTAGTGAAAGTGGGCATCCTTATCTTGTTCCACATCTTAGAGGAAACTCTTTAAGTTTTCCATTCTTCAGTACAATACTAGCTGTGGGTCTATCATTTATGGCTCTTATTGGGTTGAGGTATGTTTCTTTTATGCCCAGTTTTTTGAGGGTTTTTATCATGAAGGGATGTAGAATTTTATCAAATGTCTTTTCAACATCAACTAAAATGATCATATGGTTTCTTTCCTTCGTTCTATTGATATGATGTATCATACTGATTGACGTGCATATGTTGAATCACCATGGCACCCCTGGGATAAATCCCACTTGATCATGATGAATAATCGTTTTAGTGCATTGATACATTCCATTTCCTAGTATTTTGTTGAGGATTTGTACATTAAGGTCCACCAGGGATATTGGCCTGTAGTTTTCTTTTTTTGATGTGTCTTTGTCTGCTTTTGGTATCAGGGCAATACTGGCCTCATGGAATGAATTTGGATGCCTCTATTTTTTCAGAATGGTTTCAATAGGATTGGTATTAGTTCCTCTTTAAATGTTTGGTAAAATTCAGCAGTGAAGCCATCAGGTCCTGGGATTTTCTTTTCTGGGAGACTTTTTATTATGGCTTCAATCTCATTACTTGTTATTGACCTGTTCAGGTTTTGGATTTTTCATGGTTCATTCTTCATAGGTTGGATGTGTCTAGGAATTTGTCCATCTCTTCTAGGTTTTCCAATTTATTGGCATATAGCTGCTCATAGTAGTCTCTAATGATTCTTAGAATTTCTGTGGTATCAGTTGTAATCTCCCCTTTTTTGTGTTTTTATTTATTTAGGTTTTCTCTCTTTTGTTCTCAGTCTGGTTTACGGTTTATCATTTTATCTTTTCAAAAAACAACTTTTCATTTCATTCATATTTTGTATTTTTTTGTTTCTATTTCATTAATTTCTGCTCCGATTTTTATTATTTCTTTTCTTCTACTAATTTTGGATTTGATTTGCTCTTGATTTTTTTAGTTCTTTAAGATGTACCTTTAGGTTGTTTATTTGAAGTTTTTTTTCTTTTGTGATGTAGGCACTTATTTATATAAACTTTCCTGTTAATACTGCTTTTGCTATATCCCATAGGTTTTAGTATATTTTATTTCTATGTTCATTTCTTTCAGGGAATTTTTAAATTTCCTTCTTAATTTCTTTTTTGACCCACTGGTCATTCAGGAGCATATTGTTTAATTTCCATGTGTTTGTATAGTTTCCAGAATTCCTCTTGCTATTGATTTCTAGCTTTATTCCATTGTGGCCAGATAAGTTACTTAATATAATTTTAATTTTCTTAAATTTGTTAAGACTTGTTTTGTGGCCTAACACATGATCTATCCTTCAGAATGATCCATGTACTGAGGAGAAGAATGTGTGTTCTGCAACCATTGGATACAATGTTTTGTAAATATCTATTAGGTCCATTTGGTCTACAGTGCAGAGTAAGTCTGATATTTCTTTGTTGATTTTCTGTCTGGATGATCGGTCCAATGCTGAAAGTGGGGTATTGGATTCTCCAGCTATTAATTGTGTTGGAATATATCTCTCTCTTTAGCTCTAATAATATTTGCTTTATATACCTGGTACTTCATTGTTGGATGCATATATATTTATAATTGTTATATCCTCTTATTGAATTGATCACTTTATCATTATATAATAAACTTCTTTGTCTTTTTTCAGTTTTTGTCTTGAAATCTGTTTTGTGTGATATAAGTTGAGCTACTCCTGTACATTTTTGTCTTTCATTTGCATAAAATATATTTTTCCATCTTTTTATTTTCAATCTACGCCCGTCTTTATAGGTGAAGTGTGCTTCCTGCAGGTGAAAGATCATTGTGTCTTGTTTTTTTCTTTTTTTTAAATTCCATTCAGACACTCTATGTTTTTTGACTAGATGGTTTCTTCCATTTACATTCAACGTATTATTGATAAGTAAGGACTCACTACTGCCATTTTTGTTATTTGTTTCCTGGTTGTTTTGTGGTCACCTCTTCCTTTTTTCGTTCCTTCCTGTCTTCCTTTTAGTGAAGGTGATTTTCTCTATGTTTTAATGTTTTGCTTTTTATTTTATGTGTATCTGTTGTATATTTTTTGATTCAAGATTACCATGAGGCTTGCAAATAAGATTTTATAACCTATTGCTTTAAGCTGATGGCATCTTAACCTTGATTGTATAAACAACGAACAAACCAGCAAAGAGAAAACTAATAAAAACTCTATACATTAACTTCATCCCCCTGCTTTTTAACTTTCTATTGCTTCTATTTACATTTTATTATACTGTCTTTACCTTGAAAAGTTGTTGTAGTTATTATTTTTGATAGGTTAATCATTTAGTCTTTCTACTCAAGATATGAGGAGTTTACACACCACAATAACAATATTATAATATTCTTTGTTTTTCTGTGTCATTACTATTACCAGTGAGTTTTTCACCTTCAGATGATTTCCTGTTGTTCATTAATGTTCTCTTTTGTTTCAGATTGAAGAACTTCCTTTAGCATTTCTTGTAGAACTGCTCTGGTATTGACAAAATCCTTCAGCTTTTGTTTGTCTGGGAAAGTCTTTGTTTTGTTTCTCCTTCATGTTTAAAGGATATTTTCACTGGATAGATTCTAGGATAGAAGTTTTTTCCTTTAGCACTGTAAATATGTTATGCCTCTCTCTCCTGGCCTGTACAGTTTCTGCTGAGAAGTTTACAGTCAGATGTATTGGAGCTCTTTTGTATATTATTTGTTACTTTTCTCTTGTGGCTTTTAGGATCATTTCTTTTTCCTTGACCTTTGGGAGTTTGATTATTAAATGTCTTGAGATAGTCTTATTTGGGTTAAATCTGCTTGGTGTTCTATACTCTTCTTGTACTTGAATATTGATATCTTTCTCTAGGCTTAGGAAGTTCTCTGCTCTATCCCCTTAAATAAACTTTGTATCCTTATCTCTCTCTCTCTCTCTCTCTACTTCCTCTTTAAGGCCAATAATTCTTAGATTTGCCCTTCTGAGGCATTTTCTAGATCTTATAGGCATGCTTCATTCTTTTTTATTATTTTTCATTTTGCCTCCTCTAACTGGGTATTTTCAAATAGCCTGTCTTCAAGTGCACTAATTCTTTATTCCGCTTGATCAATTCTGCTGTTAAGGGACTTCAGTATGTCAATTGCATTTTTCAACTCCAGAATTTCTACTTCATACTTTTTAATTATTTTAATCTCCTTGTTAAATTTTTCTGATGGGATTCTGAATTCCTTTTGCTGGGCTTCCTCAAAACAGCTATTTTGAATTTTCTGTCTGAAAAGTCACATATCTCTGTCTCTCTGGGATTGGCCACTGGTGCCTTATTTAGTTTGTTTGGTGAGGTCACATTTTCCTGGATGGTCCTGATGCTTGTAAATGTTCATCTGTGTCTGCACATTGAAGAGTTAGGAATTTATTGTAGTGTTTGCAAATCTGAGCTTATTTGTACCCATCCTTCTTGGGAGATTTTCAGGTTTTCAAAGGGTCTCACTCAGGTGTTGTGATATAAATCTTTGGTGACTGCAGCCATATCTGCATTAGGGGGCACCACAAGCCTAGTAATGCTGTGGCTCTTGCAGACTCATAGAGGTACTGCCTTGGTGGTCTTGGGTGAGATCCAGAATTCCTTGGGAATACGATGCAGAAATGTTGGTTCTCATCCTTTACTTTCTCTCAAACAAATGTAGTCTCTCTCTCTGTGCTGAGCTGCCTGGAGCTGGGGTAGGGGTAATACAAGCACTGCTGTGGCCACCAACACTGGAAGTGCACTGAATCAGACCCAAAGCCAAGAGAGCACTAAGTCTCACCTAAGGCCCACAGTGACCACTGCCTATCTATCATCAATGTTCACTCAAGGCCCAAGGGCTCTTCTGTTCGCTTGTGGTAAACGTTGCCAGGCCTGGGTCTCTCCTTTCAGAGCAGTGGGCGCCCCACTCCCCAGGGCAGGTCCAGAAATGCTGTCCAGGAGCCAACGCCTGGAATTAGGGACCCCCAAGAGCTTAGTACTCTATCCCACTGTGACAATGCTGGCACCCAAGCTATAAGACAAAGTCCCCTTTACTCTTCCCTCTCCTTTCCTCAAGAAAAAGGAGTCCTTCCCCATAGCCACCACATCTGGGAATGTGCTAGGTCACATCTGAAGCCAGCCCAGCTCTGAGTCTCAACCAAGGTCCACAATGAGTATAACCTGGCTACCACTGCTGATTATTGAGGACCTAAGGGCTTATCAGTCAGCAAGTGACAAGTTCTGCTGGGACTGGACCCTTCATTTCAAAGCAGCAGGTTCCCTTCTGGCTCAGGATGTGTCTAAAAATGACATCCAGGAGCAAGGTCCTAGAATGGGGGCCTCAGGACTCTCACAGGTGCCCTGTTCTACTGTGGTTTAGCTGGTATACAAGTTGCAAGACAAAAATCCTCTTTCCTCTCTCCTCTTCTCAAGCGGAATGAAGGAGTCTCTCCCAGAGCTGTGAGCTGCACCACCTGGGGTCAGGGGAGGGGTGAGGAAAGCACTCCCTTGGCCACCCATGCCGGTGTGTCACTAAGTCACATGTACTCTAAGTCCACTGGCTCCAAACCCAGCATGGAAACAAGACTTGCCCAGAAATTGCAGTCCTTTTGCTTTAGACTGCCTTTCAAGTTAATTTAGGACCCCAGGGTTCTTTAGCCCACAGTGGTGGGGCTTGCCAGAACTCAGGTTCCAACCTCTAGGATGGGCAATTCACCTCTCATTGAGGCTGGTCTAAATGCTTCCTTCATAGGCCCTGCTGAGTTCTGCTCCATGTTGCTTTCCATTGTGACAAGGCAGCACTGAGTTCCAATACAAAGTCCTACAATTACTGAATTTTCCCACCCCAAAACTCATAAATTTTCTCTCTATGCCATGCAGCTGCTGTCAGGGGGTGGGGAGGGGCAGCATAGGCAATTCAAGATTTTCTTTTCTATCTTCGTTAGTACCTCTTTCCTTAATATGATGTTACAACCAGGTACTGTGACTGCCCACCTTACTTTTGATTCTTATGAAGGTACTTTTTTGTGTGGATAGTTGTTCAATTTGCTATTCTTTTTGAAGTTATAATCACTGGAGGCTTCTATTCAGCCATTTAGCTCTGCTTCCTCCGGTCCCAAATACGTTCCATCGCTACATCAGATATATTTTTTTCTCTTGAACTTAGATTTGAGTCCATCTCATGACTTTTATGTGCTATTTTGCTCTTTGAATAATAGAAATGCAATTATAATAGATGTTTAAATGTCCTTGTCTGCAATTCTAATACCAGTGTCAGTTCCAAATGAGTTTTGATTGATTGAGTTTTCTTATTCAAAGTCATATTTTTCTGCCTCTTTTATGTCTGCTCATCTTTCAGCAATGCTAGATATTGTGATTTTACCTTTTTCAGTGCTAGACATTTTTATATTCCTATAAATATTCTCATACTTGGTTCTGCAATGCAGTTAATTTAGTTGAAATAATTTAATTTTTTCAGATCTTTCTTTTAAGATCTGTTAGGTGGGAGAAGAGTGGCATTTTGTTGAGAGCTAATTATTTTCTACTACTAAGACCCCTCTAAAGGCTCTAACCAATGTTCCATGAAATGCAAAGTTTTCCAGTCTGGCTATTTCTAGCTTTTTCTGAGCACTGGGTACTATTCCTTCTATTCTCTTTGAAAAGTCCTTTCCCTGGCCTCAGATAGTTTCCTCACATGCATATGCTAATTAGTACTGTGGTGGGTAATCAAGGGGAATCCTCTGTAATTATCCCCGGCTCTGCCTCTCTCTTTACAGCACTTTTCTTTGCACAGCTCTCTTGTCTGAATTACTTTCTCCTGCAAACTACCCACCTTAGTCTTCCTAGACTCTCAGCTCCATTTCAGCAAGGAGGCCAGAGTATCTGGATAAAAACTGACTGGAGATGGAAGAGAAAGAATAAGGAAGGGATAGGGAGAAGACCATGTAGGACATTGGAAGCCATTATAAGATTTTAACATTGAGTGGTATAAAAAGCTCTTAGCAAGTATTGAGAAGAGTAACTTCATCTGCCTTGAGATATGGTTTGACAAAAAGACTGAAGGGAATCAGAATTATATTCAGGGAGACCAACTGGGAACTGTTGGTAGGAGGTAATGGCGGCTCAGACAAAAATGGCATCAGTGAGGGTAGTGAGAAGCAGTCTAATTCTGGGTTTATTCTGAAGGTTGAGCTAACAGTATTGGCTGATGAATTTGATGTCAGTGATTTGCATGTTCAACGTAGAGTTTCACCTTGAGAGATACTGAAACCCATTCTTAACATGAACGTCGTGGCCATGCTTAACATGAAGAGCTATGAGTGAGTTATAAGGTTAGAAACACATCTTTCCAGAAAAATAAAAAATTGAAATCACAATTTAGAAAGTCCTTATGTATTCTTTTCTAATAGCTAAAGATATAGAGAGCCCAAGGTTTAACAATATCAATCTTTACAGGATTCCTGTAAAGGATTCAAATTTAATCTCAATAATAAGGTATCATTTTACCTAAAGCATAATACAGTAATTGAAATGCTAAATACAATTTTTTGTTGTTGTTTAGGGTGGGAGTGATTAAAAAAAACCTCAAAATTTGGCTTACACACCTATTCCTTTATCCTCCTTAACATGGCTATCACAGATCTTCAATTTTATAAAATCCCTGCTCCTTCTGGTGAAGGTGTCCCTTGGCTCTTATACCAGCTTTGCTATAAAATCAAGTCCATGTGTGGGAGGTCCAAATTCCATGCTACAGCTCTCCCTGAATCCTGAAAATGAACGAGCAATGCAATCCTTTCACTCCAGCTTCAGCTCACTTTCAATTTCTTGCAGCTGTTCCATTTGTAGGCAGTTTGGAAACCAAATATGCCTTAGCTAGGAGTGGAGGGTGAGATTCCTGCCTTTTTCCTTCCTGAATATGTACCTTATCTTTGTCTCAATTTTGAGGAAATCAAATATCATTAGATTTCCAAAAATATTTATCTTGGAGCTTTGGGAGAATTCCTAGTTAGTGAGAAAGTGCTATTTCAAAGAAGGCAGGGAATAAATCTCCTGATGATGTAGACATCCCAAGCAATTGCATTACTCTAGTTGCCAAAGGCAGACCCAGACCTTCCATGGCCTCCCTGTTTAGTTGGGGGCCTTTGGGAGAAGATCTTACTTGGCAGAATTCCAAGAGGAAGCCAATTAAAGTTCAGCGGGAGCATTAATGCCCTAATTTCAATAACCAATCAAATCAACACTCAATAGCCACACGAGAAGAGCTGGAGAAGTGCTGAATTAATATTTATTCCCATGAAATACATAAAGATGTTCTCACTCTTGAAGGAAAATTTGAAACCTGATCGATAGATGTGGGGGCCCAAACTTTTAGCTTAATTCCCCTACCACTACCCTGTGCTTGGTGGCTACCCAGAGAATAAGCAATTATGAGGTAGTTGGGACGGGAAACATCCAAACTCCAGTCTGCAGCTCCTACGCTGAAAATATCAAATGAGACTTCTCAGACCTAGAGAGGTGTTGAGATATTTTTCTATTTTCTTCTCCTTTGTCTGCTTATACTGCAGTGGGCTTTTTTCTGAATTTGCTGTTATGAGTAATTTAATGGCCTTTCCACCTATGACAGATTTTGGAAGCAAAATCCACAGGCCATATATAACACCAACCCTGGTTGCTACAGCCTGAAACTGAGCAATATGAATTGTTAAGTATTGGAGCTCTAAGTGTTTAGTTATGGTTAATTTATAACTAAACACACTAGTATTTAGTGGAACAAAAAGGTCATTAGTATCTTACTAGGAAGCAATTAAATTAACAGCTCAAAACCATTCATCAAATCACAAAACAGATGCTGAACTTTTCTATAGGAAATCAGATTCTACAATGCAGGAAAAAAACTAAATTCAAAACATAGCAAAACACATCCACCTCCCTCCCTCAGCTTCTTTCAAAACAAAAATCCACCTCTTTCATCTGCATCCAGAGTCCCAGAGTTCTTTACATTTTAGAGAGAGGCCCAGTCTGAGAAGAAAAAACTCACACACAAATTCAAAGTGCTTTATCTATTTTCTCTCTCAGCAACAATTAACACAGAAAATTTCTGTGACCACATGTGTGTATGCGTATCGGGGCAATATTCCCTACCACCAAGCAAGCAATCAATTTTGCAGCAGCTACCAAATGGGTGTCTTCCAATTCAATTCTGACACTGTCTTCCTGGAAAAAGTATCAAGTCTCACAGATTGGAGGCTCAGTCCCCAAGACTGCTCTCCCATCCAGTGTCAATCACAAGCCCCATGTTATTTTGCCTGTGCTTCTGACTGACCAGCTATAAATTGGAGTTCCCACATCCCCCTCCTCAAGTTTGATTAATTTGCTAGAGTGGCTCACAGAACTCAGGGAAGCACTGATGCTTACCAGTTTATTACAAACGATATTTCAAAGAATACAAATAAACAGCCAGATGAAGAGATATATGGGGAGAGGTCTGGAAGGGTCCTGAGTATAGCAGCCTCTGTTCCCATAGAGCTGGGTTGCTCCATCCTCCCAGTATATGGATGAGTTCTTGTTCACCTTCCTGCAAGCCTCCATGTGTTCAGCTATTTGGAAGCTCTCCAAAGCCATCCTTTTGGGTCTTTTTGTAGGCATGATTGATTAAACCATTGTCCATTGGCAATTGACATGGTTTGGAGCTGTGTCCCCACCCAAATCTCATGGTCAATTGTAATCCCCAATGTTGGGGGTGATTGGATTATGGGGGCAGTTTCTCATGAATGGTTTAGCACCATCCTCTTGAGGCTATCCTTGAGATACTGAGTGAGTTCTCATGAGATTTAGTTGTTTAAAAGTATAGCACCTATGCCCTCTGTTGCTCCTGCTCCTGCCATGTGAGACACCTCACTTCCCCTTTGCCTTCTGCTGTGACTGGAAGCTTCTTGAGGCCTCACAAGAGGGAGAAGCTGCTATGCTTCCTGTACAGCCTACAACCTCTTTTCTTTATAAATTACTCAATCTCAGGCATTTCTTTATAGCAATGCAAGAATGGCGTGATACAGTGATCAAGCTAACCTTCAGTCCCTCTCCCCTTCCCAGAGTTGTGGGGTGTGGATGAAAGTCCCAACCCTCTAATACCTCTAATCATATCTTGATCTTTCTTGTGACCAGCTTCAGAATGAAGCTACCTAAGGGCTGCCATGCAAAAATACATCACTTTGGAGATTCTAAGGATTTTAAGAGTTGTATGCCAGAAAATGGGGTCAAAGACCAAATATATATATTTCACAATATCACACCATACATCCTCTGAAACCTAGGCAGAGTTTCCCTAACTTCAATTCTTATCTTCTAAACACCCACAGGCCCAACAGAACATGGAAGCTGCCAAGGCTTGGGGCTTGCACCCTCTGAAGCCATGGCCCAAGCTGTACCTTGGCCCCTGTTAGTCATAGCTGGAATTGGAGTGGCTGAGATGCAGGGCACCATGTCCTGAGGCTACACAGAGCAGCAGGAGCCCTGATCCCAGCAGATGAAACCATTTATCCCTCCTAGGCCTCTGGGCCTGTGATGAGAGGGGCTGCCACTAAGGTCTCTGACATGCCCTAGAGACATTTTCCCCATTGCCCTGGCTATTAACATTCAGCTTCTCATTACTTATGCAAATTTCTGCAGCTGGCTTGAATGCCTCCCCAGATAATGGGGTTTTCTTTTCTACCACATGATCAGGCTGCAAATTTTCCAGACTTTTATGCTCTGCTTCCCTTTTAAACATAAATTTGAATTTCAGACAATCTCTTTGTCAACAGCATATGACTGTATGCTTTTAGCAGAAGCCAGGTCACTTTCTGAATGCTTTACTGCTTAGAAATTTCTTCTGTCTTATACCCTAAGTCATCTCTCTCAAGTTCAAAGTTCCACAGATCTCTAGGGCAGGGCAAAATGCTGCCAGTCTCTTTGCTAAAGCATAGCAAGGATGAGCTTTACTCCAGTTCCCAATAAGTTCCTCATCTCCATTTGAGTCTAGACTTCATTGTCCATATCACTATCAGCATTTTGGTCAAAACCATTCAACAAGTGTCTAAGAAATTCCAAACTTTCCAACATCTTCCTATCTTCTTTTGAGCCCTCCAAACCATTCCAAGCTCTGCCCATTACCCAGTTCCAAAGTCGATTCCACATTTTCAGGTATCTTTATAGCAATGCCCCACTTTTTTTGGTACCAATATTCTGTATTAGTCCATTTTTACACTGCTATAAAGAATTACCTGAGACTGGGTAATTTATAAATAGAAGAGGTTTAATTGACTCCCAGTTCTGTGTGGCTGGGGAGGCCTCAGGACACCTATAATCATGGCAGAAGGCAAAGGAGAAGCAAGCACCTTCTTCACAAGGAGGAAGGAGAGAAAGAAAGGGGCGGGGAAAATGCCACACTTTTAAGCCATCAGATTTCATGAGAACTCACTCACTCACTATCATGAGAACAGCATGGGGGAAACCGCCCCCATGATCTAATCACCTCCCACTAGCTCCCTCCCTTGACATGCTGGGATTACAATTCAAGATAAGATTTGGGTGGGGACACAGAGCCAAACCATATCACCCAGTTTCAACAATGGACAAATCAACCAGACAGAAAGTTAGTAGGGCAATACTGAAATTGAGCTTTACTTTAGACAAAATGAACCTAACAGATATACAGAAAACTTTTCATCCAACAGAAGTAGAATATACATTTTTCTCTAGTGCATATGAAACATTCTCCAGGATAGACCATATGGTAAGCCACACAATGAGTCTTAACAAATTTTAAGATTAAAATCATATCAAGTATTTTTTCCACCCACAATGGTATGAAACTAGATGGAATCAACAACAGGAGGAAATTTGGAAAATTCACAAATATGTGGAAATTAAACAACATGCTCTGAACAACCAATGAATCAAAGAAGAAATCAAAAGGGAAATTTAAAAATATCTTGAGACAAACAACAATGGAAATACAATATACCAAAACCTATGGGATGCAGCTTAAAAGCAGTTCTAAGAACAAAGTTTATGGCAATAAATGGCTATATTGAAAAAGAAGAAAGATCCCAAATAAATATCCTGATACTCTGCCTCAAGGAACTAGAAAAAGAACAAGTTAAACCCAAACTTAGTAGAAGGAAGAAAATAATAAATATCAGAACAGAAATAAATCAAATAGAGAATAGAAAAAACAATTAAAAATCAATGAAACTAAGAGTTACTTTTTTGTAAAAGTAAACAAAATCAACAGACCCTTAGTCAGGCGAAAGAGAGCGAGCAAGAGAGAAGACTCAAATACATACAATTAGAAATGAAAGTGGAAACATTACAACAGATGCCTAAGAAATGAAAAGATAATAAGGAACTATTATGAACAATTACATGTCAACAAATCTGATAACCTAAAGGAAGTGGATAAATTCCTAGTAAAATACAACCTAGCAAAGTTGAATCAGGAAGAGATAGAAAGCCTGAATGGACCAATAACACACAAAGAGATTAAAGTAGTACATTAAAACCTCCCAACAAAGAAAAGCCCAGGAACACATGACCTTACAGATGAATTCTGCCAAACTTTCAAAGAATAATTAATATTGACATTTCTTAAACTCTTCCAAAAACATAGAGCTGGAGGGAATACTTCCTAACACATTTACAAGACCACTGTCATTACAAATTTATGGCAAAGACACCACAAAGAAATAAAACTACAGGCCAAAATTTCTGATGAATATTGATGCAAAAATCCTCAATAAAATATCAGCCGAATTGAATTCAACTGCATGTCAAAAAAGCATACAAAAAAAAAAGCATACATTATCATCAAGTGGGTTTTATCTCTGGCAGGCAAGGCTGGTTTTACATGTGTAAATCAATCAGTACAATACATCACATTGACAGACTGGAAGACAACAACCACATAATCACATCAATTGATGCAGAAAAAGCATTGAACAAAGTTCAGCATCCTTTCTTTAGAAAAACTCTTAACAGTTTTAGTACAGAAGGAAAGTTTCTCAATATGATAAAAGCCATTTATAGAAAACCATGAGCTAACATCATAATCAATGGGGAGAAATTGAAAGCTTTTCCTCTATGTTCTGGTACAAGGCAAGTATGCCTGCTTTCACCACTTCTAGTCAACATAGTACAGGAAGTACTATCAAAGGAAATTAGACAAGAGAAATATAAAAATTATCCAGCTCAGAAAGAAAGAAGTAAAATTATTGCTATTTGTGGATGACATTATCATGTATGTAAAAACTTTCAAAGACTCAAAACAAAAAACTGTTAGATCTAATAAATGAATTCAGTAAAGCTGTAGAATATAAAATCAACATACAGGCCAGGTACAGTGGCTCATGCTTGTAATCCCAGCATGAGGCGGGTGGATCACTTCAGGTTAGGAGTTTGAGACCAGCTGGCCAACATGGCAAAATCTTGTCTCTACTAAAAATACAAAAATTAGCCAGGCATGGTGGCTCGTGCCTGTAGTCCCAGCTGCTCAGGAGGCTGAGGCATGAGAATGGCTTGAGCCTGGGAAGCGGGGGTTGCAGTGAGCTGAGATGGCACCACTGAACTCCATCCTGGGTGACTAAGCAAGACTCAATCTTAAATTATTAAATAAAAGCAACATACAAAAATCTGTGGCATTTCTAGACACAAAAAATAGCCTAGCCAAAAGAGAAATTGAGAAAACAATCCCATTTACAATAGCAACAACAACAAACAAAACTTAGGAATAAATTTAACCAGGAAGGTGAAAGACCCGTATACTAAAAACTACAAAACATAGAGGAAAAAATTGAAGAGGACACAAATAAATAAAAAGATAGTCCATGTTCATGCATCAGAAGGATTAATATTGTTAAAATGTCCATACTGCCTAAACCAATATATATGTTCAATGTAATCCTTATCAAAATCCCAATGGCATTTTTCACAGAAATAGAAAAAAACAATCCTGAAATTTATGTGAAACTACAAGTGATCCCGAATAGTCAAAGCAATTCTGGGGAAAAAAAGTTTGGGGCATCAAACTTCCTGATTTAAAATTATATTACAAAACTATAGTAATAAAAACAGTATGGTATGGGAGGAAAAACAGACGCATAGAGAAGTGGAACAGTATAGAGGGACTAGAAACACATCCAAACATATATGGCCAATGAATTTTTGACAAGAATACCAGAAAGACATGATGAAAAAAGAATAGTCTCTTCAATAAATGGTGCTGGGAAAGAATGAAACTGGACTCTTATCTTAACAACATATACAAAAATTAACTCAAAATGGATAAAATACCTAAATATAAGACCTGAAACCATGCAATTCCTGGAAGGAAACATAGGGGGAAAATTCTTTTACATGGGCCTTGGCAATAATTTCTTGGATGTCATACCAAAACCTCAGGCTACACAAGCAAAAATAAATAAATGGGACTATATCAAGCTAAAAAGTTTTCGCACAGCAAAGGAAATAGTAAACAAAATGAAATGGCATCCTACAGGCTGGGAAAAAAATATTTGCAAATGATCTATGAGATAAAGGGTTAATATCCAAGATTTATAAAGAACTTATATAAGTCAATAGCAAGAAAACCTATAACCTTATTAAAAATGAGCAAAGGACCTGAATAGTAATTTCTCCAAAGATGACATAAAATGGTCAAAGGTATAAGAAAAAATGCTCAACATCACTAGTCATCAGGGAAACGCAAATCAAAATCACTATGAGATACCCCCTCATACCTGTTAGGATAATTATTATCAAAAAGACAAAAGATAACAAGTGTTGGCAAAGGCAGAAGAAAGGAAACTCTCGTATATTGTTGGTGGGAATGTAGATTGGTGCGGCCATTATGGAAGACAATATGGAGGCTCCTAAAGAAATTAAAAATAGAGCTGCCACATAACCCAGCAATCCCTTTTCTGTGTATACACCCAAAGGCAATAAAATCACCACCTAGTAAAGCCTCTGCATTCTATTCCCATGTTCATTGTAGCATTATTTACAATAGTCAAGATATGGAAAAAAATCTGGTGTCTGTCAATGAACAAATGGATAAAAAAGCAATAGTGAGCATGTGTATATATAGACATGTGTGTATATGTATTTATTATTCTGCCTTCACAAAGGGGGTAGATCTTGCCATTTGCCTCAAAGTGGATGGACCCGGAGGCATTATGCTAAGTGAAATAAGCTAGACACAAAAAGAAAAGTATTACATGATCTCACTTATATGTAGAATCTTAAAAAAAATAAAAGGTCAAACATATAGAGATAGAGAATAAAAGCAGCGCTTACCAGGATCAGGGTTAGGAGGAGGAAATGGAGATATATAGGTCAAAGAATACAGAGTAGCAAATATGTAGGATGAACAAGTTGAATATCAAATATATCTAACATACAATATGAGAACTATAGTTAATAATAATGAATTGTATTCAGAATTTTTGCTGAATGAATGGACTATAACTGCGCATGCCACAGGGCAAAAAAAAAAAAAAATGAGTAACTATGTAAGATGATGAATTTGTCCCACTGTAGTAACCATTTTAACATATATGTATATGTGTGTGTATATGTGTATTTATCTTAGATCATGTTGTTTACTTTAAATATATACAATAAAATTTATTTTTTAAAAAAGAAATCAACAGAACAATTCCCAAGACTTACTCATAAGTCATCCTCCTCTTTCCCCTGCAACCCACCAACAGCATTTCCTCATGAAGAGTGTGCTGTTCTTTGGCAGACAATGTTTAAGTAGTAAGATTATTGTCAGACCATAAAACAGTATGTTCAAATTATGTGACATGAAATGCAATATTGCTGAGGTGGTATTTGTGCCTCTCTAAAAATAACCTTCAAATTTAAATTACATTTGATAGAAAGTTTTAAAAATGTTTATTGAATATCTGCCATGTACTTGGAATGTAATATGACTAATAATGTATACATTATTATACATTATTACATATTATGTATATGACTATTAATAGTATATGTTATTATAAAGACTAATAAAACATATGGCATATTAAAATGGTCACAGGCTTTGGACCTAGAAAGACTGGATTCTGGTCTTGACATTGTCATTTATTAGTCAATTGTCTTTGGGAAATTAGTTTAATTCACCTAAGCCTCAGCAGCTTCATATGTTCAGTGAAAATTATACGTAACACATGGAGTTGTTTTAAAGATCAAATGGGAAAATGATACATCAGCAAGAATTGGAGAGCACATTCAGATTAAGATAATTTGAGGAGAGTTGAACAAAAAGACTCTTCATAAAAGTGGGAGCAAGGTTTAAGGAGACCACACAGGGCAATGGAATACCCTGTGACCAGTATTAGTGGGCCTCCCTATAGGTGGTGGGCAGGGAGATGGAGGCAGTTACCAGAACTTTGGAGTACAGAGGACAATACGAAAACGGTAGCCTGACAGAAGCTAAGACTTTTTATGGATGTCACAGTGAGCTTATAGTGAGCCTTTCCTCCCTTTCTCAATCCTCTACCAGAGTTCCCCATGGCTGAACTCAAGGTCACCCACTGAAAGAACAAAAATGGCTTATTTCTCTAAGTGCAGAAAGCAGGACAGAGAAGGCTGGGAAAAGGATCTAGGAGGCAGAGTAGATGACAACTACCCTAAATTGCTTAAATATCTAGGGTACATAACTGTATAAATGATCCTAATAATAATAAGTGTTTGCTACGTATGAACTTTGCTAAGCAGTATGTATGCACTTTATCATTTAATCCTATAATAAAGATATAATTATTATGTCTAAACTATATATTACCTGAGGCAATGCACTATTAAATAACTTTGAAAAGCTAAATCAAGTAGGAATTCACACCCAAATCTGACTCCAGAGTTTACACCTACTATGATGTACTATCTCCCACTTAATAGATAAATACTGATTAATTGATGCTGTTAAGATTTCCCATAGCTTTAATCTGTATTCTTAATCTCATGCAGCCACTGGCTTTCCTTGCAATTCATCTCAAGTTCATCAACTTCAGGTCTGGGCGGTCCTTCACTCTCCTGGATAAATAAAGCGACAATTAAATCAAACCAGTTATACTGAGAATCTCTTTAAAAATTCAGTATAAGAAGATAAGACTCAAGTTATTGTTACAAGCATATTATTGCATCATGACTATCATATCCCCCACTTTGCTATTATCTCAACATGACAGTGGACAAGGAACCTAGTCCCTCAACTCGTTTCCTCACAAGTAAATTGGCAAAACTGGGGAAGGAGGGCAAACTGGGTGAGAGGATCTTGACAGTCTCCACTGTACAATTACATAAATTTATTATGTTTTACAAGGTATGAAATGCTCATGATGTATCTATATTCATTTAGTGATTTGTTGTAATGGGGCTTCCTCTCTCAATGTGTTCAGAGTAGAGTTCGACATTGATTAGATTATGACTGATATTTTTTCTAGTATAACACTTTCACCAAGATAAACCTATCCCAATATTCATAGTACACATCAGAAATAAAGGAGAAACTCAAAGATGAAAAGGCAGTATATCAAATGAGAACAGTTAACTTTCACTGAGTATTTACTATATTCCAAACATTGTACTAAATATTGAGCAGGTTTTAAGTAATTTAGTAAATCAATAATTAAGAGTTAGGAATGTCACCCCAATTTTTAATAACTGGCTAACGTTGGGAGACAATTTTCCATGGATCTCTAGCATTTCTTCATGTCTTGTGAACAGTGGCACAATCGATTCTTATCTTTCCAAGTATGTTTTGTAATATTGGATGATAGAGATAGTGACTGTTCTGGAATAGAGGTCAGGTTTGCATACTACTCATTATAAAATATTCAAATTCTTTAAGCTCAAAGTTCCTAAGCTGTGACACAGACTCGCTTTCTGTACATATAACATCAAGTTGGGCAATCCCACATCACTTCCATGAGACTGATGGATTGAGGGAGAGAACAAAGGGAACTGATACAAACTTGATGCTCATTCTGCTGGCTATGCTGTGAAAACAAAGTCCTTTGTTTCTGATCCAAGAGTCTCATGTTTTCTGCCAGCATGCATGAAACTATGGCCAGTTAACTTAACTTGCAATTAGGGTAAAAGACCCTCCACAATTATTGACAGCGATGTGACCTTGAACAATTCATTTTACTCCTGGTTATTTATTTTTGAATTTTAAAAAATTTTCCAAATGCACATTTCTTCAAGTGTCTATATATAAGCAATTGATAGAAACAAACAAATGAAGTTTGTATTTGTAATGAAAGCATGAGATGGGGGTACAGTAGGAATAGCAAATATGTATTGGACACCCATTCCGTACCAAGTCCTGGTCTAGGGGAGGAAGGAGATAGAAAATAAACAATTAACAAATGAACACTTAATATAAAATGAAGTAGTGATAAATGTCAAGAAGATAAAACAAGCAGAGACAGATAGAGTGGCAGGGGTTGCTGTTTTTGATAGGATTGTCAAGAAAGGACTCTTTTGGATTCCACATATGAGATTGTGCACTTCTATGGCCATACCTCCCAAACACGCTTGATTTCATCTGAGATTACACAGTATTTGTCTTCTTGTGCCTGGCTTATTTCACTTTGCGTAATGTCTTCCAAATACATCCATGTTATTGCAAATGACAGAGTTTTTCCCCTTTTAAAGACTGAATCATATTTAGTTGTGCACATATACCACATTTTCTGTATCCATCCATCTGAAGATGATGGACACCTAGGTTGCTTCCATATCTTTTGTAAATACTACTTTAATGAACACAGGCGTGCAGATATCTCTTCAGCATACCAATTTTATTTCCTTTGGATATATACCCAGATGTGGGATTACTGGATTATATCATTTTTCTATTTTTAGTTTTCTAAGGAGCCTCCATATTGTTTTGCATAAGTGACTACATTAATTTACATTTCCACCATAAAAGTAGAACGTAGAATGATGGTTACCAGACTCTGGAGGAGAGGGTAAGATGGGGAAAGGGGAGATATTAATCAAAGGGTACAAAATTTCAGTTAGGCTAGAAATATGCTTTAATGATCAATTGCACAGAATGCTAACTATAATACATAATAACGCATTGTATACTTAAAAATTGCTAAAGAGTAGATTTTAAATGTTTTCATGAAATGATAAACATGTGAGGTGATAGATTGGTCAATTAGCCCATTTTAATCATTCCACATTGCAAATTATATCAAAACATCACATTGTACCTCACAAATTATATAATTATTATTTGTCAATTAAAAAATTTAAATAAAATAAAGAAAAGAAAGACTCTTGGAGGAAATTGTATTTGAGTAGAAACCTGATGGAAGGACAGGGCCATGTGACTATCTGAGATAAGATTATTCCAGGCTAGGGAATGGGAGTAGGTTCTAGCATCCTAAGATGGAAATAAGCTTAGCTTATTATAATATTGTCCTGAGGATTCATGTCATCATCATTGGCAGGCAGCCAGTGCTCCTGAAACATTCAAATATTACCTTTCCACTACACACATGTACATCCTAAATCTCCTAATATTTTACTTGTTTTTCTCTATGCCTACAATATATTCAGGGAATAGATAGATATAATACTCCCATAATTTCATGTTTCAAATACCATCTTTAATTTTTGGCAGTTTTATCTATGGTAGAAATCTAATTATAAGTCTTGATCTTCCTTCCTACTTTTCTTTAGAATTAATCTAAATGACAGTTCTCTAACAAAGTGGTAGAAAGTGAAAAATGAGAAGAAAGGGTGTTGCTTTAAGTTTATTATTTGTACTTTAGAAACTGGCTTTCGTCTCAACTTCCAGAAACTTAAATGACAATGTGTTTTTACTGTTAAATCAATTTAGCAGACTTAAGAATTTAGTTTTGATAAGCTGGGAATCTATTTAAAGCTCATAAATCTAAATGTATTTATTCTTGGAGAAAAAAATTAAGAGCGGCTTTTAGTATCTAATGGCAAATCTTTGGCGTACCTAAAAAATCAACAAAGCCATTTGGAAAAAAGATATCTATACATAAGATATTTTTGATTGACTGAGGACAAATGATTAAAATATGTAGCAATTAATGTTTTTGTTTTTGTTTTGTTTTCTTTTGTTTGAGACAGAGTCTTGCTCTGTCGCCCAGGCTGGAGTGCAGTGGTGCCATCTCAGCTCACTGCAAGCTCCGCCTCCCGGGTTCAAGGGATTCTCCTGCCTCAGCCTCCTGAGTAGCTGGGATTACAGGAAAGCGCCACCACGCCTAGCTAAATTTTTTGTATTTTTAGTAGAGACGGAGTTTCACCATGTTGGCCAGGATGGTCTCAATCTCCTGACCTCATGATCCGCCCACCTCAGCCTCCCAAAGTGCTGGGATTACAGGTGTGAGCCACTGCGCCCGGCCAATTAATGTTCTTAAAAAACATGTGGGCTAAAAGAATGAAAAAAGGAAAGTCTCAGTAAGTCCTGTAAAAAATATTTGGAAAAATCACCGGAGACATGTAGCTCATATTCAGTGCCGTTGGAGTCATCCCTTCATGTGCAATGTTAGGGTTCTTAGTAACATAATAAATTAGATATTGTTGTATTTAGGTCAAAATAGCAAACATAATGATTTATGTAGCTAACATTCCTTTTTGGAGAGTAGATCAGAAGCTAAGCTTAAAAATCTCAGCATTTTAGTCATTAAGAAAATGTATGTGTTTAAAGAAACACATTAGTCTTTTAAATGACTGGTTCAAAATAACCTAAATATCATTATCACTCAGACTTTGTTTTCTATTATATTGTGTGTATTAAGGCTCCTTGAAGGCAGCTTTCTGCAGGGAGGAAGAATACAAACTTCATCAAGCACTAGTCAGAATTTCTTAGTCATTTTGAAGAGAAGAAACCTTGTAAAACAGAAATGTTCTAGACTGCAAAGCACTAGCACTACTGAGAGTTTGGTTACTGGACTATCACCCAGCAGTATGGTCATTAATCTCACTCCAGTAGTTTTGAAACAGTCGGTGACAGCGTCCAAGATATTCTGTTTTGCCATTCCCTGAAATTATCAGGAGCTCATTTTATATTTCTGAGTACAAGAAGCTAACTGCATAATGGTATTAAAAGCTCACCATTAAAAGTTCCACAGTTAGGGGCCATGGTTTTTATCTATATTTCTATTGATTTGTAAGCAATGTTGAGAAACAGTACAGTGCAGTAATGAAGAGAGACTCTGGAGCCAAATCCTGGCACTACTAGATGGACAAGTTAACTTCTCTTTGTCTTAGCTTCCTCATCCAAAAAGTGAGGATAATGACTGAAACAACATCAAGGGCTATTTTGAAATATAAACGAGTTAAGTTGTAAATGAGTTATTTTGAAATATAAATAAGTTAATATAAATGAGTTATAATGTGAAGGCTTAGACTAGTGTCTTATATACTGTAAGCCTTCTATGAACGTTACTACTATCTGTGGTAGACTGAAAAAATATCTTCCAAAGACATCAAATCCTAATCCTTGGAACCTTTGAACATTACTTTATATGCAAAAGATAAGATTAAGGGTTTTGAGATGGAGAGAATATCTTGGATTATCAAGATGAGACCTAAATTCACTCAAATGTGTCCTTAAAAAGAGAGGCAGAGGGAGAGTTCACATAGACAGACGAGGAGAAGTCAAACATAGAAGAAGAGAAGGCAATGTGACCATTGAGGCAAAGATTGGAGAGAGAGGGCCACAACTCAAGGTATACCAGCAGCCACCAGAAGGTGGAAGAGGGAAGGAATGCACTTTCTTCAGATCCTCCAGAAGGAGCTTGACCCAGCAACATCTCAATTTCAGCTCAGTGAAACTGATTTCAGACTTCTGGCCTCTAGAAAGGCAAGAGAACACATTGCTGTTGTTTTAAGCCACCAAGTTTGTGATAATTTGTTACGGCAGCCATAGAAAACTATTCATAATTAAGAATATAGTAAATTAAATTGTTTGTACAACCCTTCACCTCTCCTTGTATCCATGATTTTTGCTGTGTGACTTTGCAGTTTTCCCCACTAGAAGCAGAAGATACATCTCCATCCTATTGACATGACTTGTATTGCCAATAAAATGCTGAGGCGGGAGAATCACTTGAACCCAGGAGTTCAAGGTTGCAGTGAGCTAAGATTGCACTACCCTGGATGACAGAGCAAGACCCTGTCTCTAAAAAACAAACAAGCAATTAAAAAGAGTAAAGGAGACAGTATATCAGTCAGCTCCAAGCCTAGAGAAGCATCCCATTTTTTCACTTTCCTCCCTTGCTCTTCTGCTATAACTGTGAGATAGACATGTCTCAGACAGTCCATGTATTAATCAGTTTTCACCCTGTTATAAAAAGCTGCCCAAGACTGGGTAATTTATAAAGGAAAGAGGTTGAATTGACTCACAGTTCAGCATGGCTGGGGAGGCCTCAGGAAACTTACAATCATGGCAGAAGGCGAAGGGGAAGCAAGGAACCTTTTTCACAAGGCAGCAGGAAGGGGAATGAACACAGGAGGAACTATCAAACACTTATAAAACTATCAGATCTTGTGAGAACTCACTGACATGAGAACAGTATGGGGGAAACCACCCCCATGATCCAATTACCTCCACCTGCTCTCTCCCTTGACATGTGGGAATTAGGGGGTTATAATTCAAGATGAGATTTGGGTGGAGACACAAAACCTAACCATATAGTCCACTAATAGCAGAAGTATGTAGGAACACAGGGCAGATGTGGAGTGACCCAGGACCTACAGCCAAAGTTAGGCAAGACACACATGAGTGAAAATAATGATTTTGAAATCGTTATTTGGCAATAACGGGCTATTGCAATTATTATTATGGTATTAAATGTAACATATTAAAGACACAAAGATACTGAGGTTTTGCTAATATCTGCCAACCCCCAAGACATCTTACAGTGGGTTACAGTGGGGCTATGTCACTCAAATAAAAATGTTATGCATAATCTAAGCCAGCCATGTCACACACACACACACACACACACACACACACACACACACACACACAAATAGGATGAATAGGAATAAATCCATCCATTGCTATGACTTGGAAAGTGGTGCAAATGGTTTATCAATTGCCAACCTCATTTACCAAAGCCAACTCTGGAGAAAAATTATTAAATTATTAAATACCAGCATGACAAAATTTCGTGAGAAAGAAGATATGATAACTTCAGATTTTCTTGTTAGAAAGATATTAGTATAGTGGCTGTAATGGTTAGCTTTATGTCAGCTTGGCTAGGCTACAGTACCTAGTTATTTAATCAAGCAATAATGTCAGTGTTGCTGGCTCACGCCTATAATCCCAGCACTTTGGGAGGCCAAAGCAGGTGGATCACAAGGTCAGGAGTTCAAGACCAGCCTGGCCAATACGATGAAACCCCGTCTCTACTAAAAATACAAAAATTAGCTGGACTTGGTGGTGTGCGCCTGTAGTCCCAGCTGCTCAGGTGGCTGAGGCAGGAGAATCACTTGAACCCAGGAGGCCGAGGTTGCAGTGAGCTGGGATCACGCCACTGTACTCCAGTCTGGTGACAGAGCAAGACTCTGTCTCAAAAAAAAAAAAAAAAAAAAAAAAGAAAGAAAAAGAAAAAAGAAGGTATTTTGTAGATGTGATTAACATTTACAATCAGTTGACTTTAAATAAATATAGATTTCCCTGTTAAACATTAAAACAATGCTACCATTCTGCGTTTTCTATATAGTATATTATCCAACTATAAGAAAATTCTGTCATCTCTACCTTGAAAATAGTATATACGTAGACTCTCAGAGTCAGAATGAATCTTAAAGGTTTGCCTGTCCACCTTCCCATCTCACTCTTGGATCCCTTCCATAACAGCATTGACTGGTGTTTAACAAGAGTCTCCTTGAATGAAGTTAGTGACGAGAAACACTCTCTCAGCACAGGCCAATCATTCTGCTCTCAGGTCAATTATAATTTAAAATTCCAAGATGCCTTTTTCCAATTTCTACCCATTTTTTAGTTCTACCTCTGGTAGTCAAAAGAACAAGTTAAATCACTCTTTCAACATGACTGTCATTACAATATTTATTATGCCAAACCTTCCCATCTCTCTGCTACTTGTTTTTTTCTCCAGGCTTAAGATCTCCAATTTATTTAAGTTATTTTCCATTTATTTCACACATGTACGTTCTCTTCTCAATAAGACTCTTTTCATCTTGAAGAATGGTTCATATTCTATACTTTCATGTATTCATAACAAATGCCTAACCTGATTAAGAGAATAGACATTTCACTATTTACACGTTAATTGTATAAGGCACCATAACAAGCCAGAAAAAGGTCACTGAGGAGCAAATGTGGATGCTAGGCAGAGGTTGTGGGGGCAAATAAAAGCTTAGTTTTGCTTTAAAACGAATGCAGATGTTTGGTATTTTTTTCATTCTACATGAAGGCAAGCTGCAGAACAGGATGTTCAGCTACTGAGCATACTAAAACTCATCCTAAAACATCACTTATTCAAATGAATCAAGCTGAAGTCATACTCCTCTGGAAAATAAGTTACCATCTTCCTCTTGTCCTCAAACTAACAGAGATATATTCTTATTTGACCTGAATTATGAAAGATCAGTAAGACAAAAGCATCTTGAAAGCTATCCTTCCCTAATCTTCAACTAAAGCAGAGTAAAACATCCCATAATTATATAATATGAAGCCCTTCCTTCATAGAGCACAAAAGAATCCCCCAATCCTTAAAAGATGGTGCTCTATTTCATTTCTAACAGATTTTTCCAGAAGATGGACACAAATCTCTTGGAAAAGAACATAGAAATACAAGTAAATATACTCCTGCTAGGAATTTCTCTTTGAAATCAAATATTTTGAGATTCATGAACACTAATATAAAGACTTCACTGACTACAGCCAACTTACCTGGACCCTCAATCCACTAGAATACTTCAAAACGCCTCTTTTATTAGAAAGGAGGAATAAGAGAACAGTTAAATAATGTCTGATATTTCTATATTATACAATTTTGAAACCAATAAATATGATGTATATGGATTCTGGTTCCAATGGTACAAACGTCTAATAGTATTATACAAACATATCTGAAAAGATTTCAGAAAAGAAGGGGGTTTAAAATCCAAAACACTAAAAAAAAATTAATAGTAATTCTATTGCCAAAATCTGGAATGAATTTTACTAATTGTGAGGAAAACAGGACTAGATTTAAAGGAATAATCACTGGAACACATATGCTCCGATACCGATTAGCTTGCCTTCCTGTAAGTAAATAAAAAGATTCTTCAACTTCATTTCTGTAACACACTCACAAGCACACACACATACTCACACTTTTGGTTGAACAGATAAATGAAGCTCATTTGCTGGGATGATGGCACATTCGGTTTTAGATAAGTTCAGGGTCTGCTGAGTTGAGATGTCCAGTAGCCAATTGCATATTTTGAGTAAAGACTTGAGCTTTTTCAGTATATAGAAGGTATTTCAAATAATGGGAGATGATAAACTTGCCCAGGGAAAGCTAGAAGAAAAGAGATTCTAGGGCAGAACCACAAAGTGAAGGAAGAGAGGCTCACTCACAAAAGAACTGGGAAAGGGTGATCAAAGAGGCAGAAGAAAAGCCAAGTACTAGAAGCCAAAAGGAGAGGATGTTTAAAGAGGGAGAAAACAATCAGCAGGTCAAGTGCTCTAAGAGGTCAAGTCAGGTACAAACTAAAATATCCCTAGAGTTCATTGGTGAGAAGAGGGTCATTAATGGCCTTAGATAGATATTTTCAATGGGTTTATGGGGACTGAAGCATATAACAGTGGTTTAAGAAGTAAGTGGGAGGTGAGGAAGTATAAACGCAGAGTAAGGACATCTCTTTCCAGAAGATATAATGAATAATGCAATGAATAATCCTTATATATCAATCTTTCACAGCTTAAAATGTCGTTAGAATTCATCCTTAGAATTTCTGGGTTGAAAGATACACATGTTTACAAAACCTTTGATAAAAATGCCAAATTGCCCTCACTTTTGTTAACTTCTAAGACAATTTGCAAGTTTGCCCTGCAACCATCAATTTAACTCAATCTTTTCCACTTCTTACATCTATATCACAATCTTATCGCTGCAATATTCAGAAAGGATGACTTTTGGGTATTGCAAGAGCATGAAGCATTGGAGAAAATTTGAGGTACTTCATTTATTTCTTCAGTAAATATTTACTGAGAACCTAATATATGCTAGTGTGACAGAGTATTTTGGTAAACACAAAGAACTAGCTCTTCTAGTGGATGAGAAAAATATTTGACCCATAATTATTGATATAGTTATACTATTTCATTTGTGCTTAGTGTTATAAAGAAAACATTATGACAGGAGCTTAATCTTGTCTAGGAGCCAGGAAATGCTGAGTGAAAACAAAAGATGTGTAAGAGTTGGGGTATCTGGGGTGCTGGGGTATCTGCAGTCATTTCAACCTAGTTGCCTCCTCTTTTATTGCACTCTCTTCAGTCTATCAGAAGAAGAACTGGAAACTACATTCCCAGAATCCTTTTCTCTTTATGGTCTGAGTTTAGAGTCTCACAATAAATAAAAGACAGAAAGGAAGAGAAGAAAGTGTTATTCTCCAGTGACAGTTGCAGACTCCTGGTCAGACTGCAGAGGGAAAGTTTGCAGAGGATTTGGGGTGAGGGCCTGCAAATCATTTGCTTCAGTACTACAGGCAGCTGCAAGGGTTGGTAGCAACTTTTTAGAAGTTAATGCTAAAGGCTGAGCTCAGTCAGACTGAACCCCCAGCTCTCCCAGCAGCTGCATAAGCCTTTGATGCCCTATAGGGGAGGAAATGTTTCAGGAAGAAAGAATAAACTGTTAGAAGGCCCTGAAGTGGGAAGACACTTGGCCATGTTTGGAAGAGCCACTATGGCTGGGGCACAGTGAGTAAGGAAGGGGGAAGCCCAGTCAGATTGTTCAGAAAACAATGGAAACCTTAGCGTGCTATCCAAAAAGAACGCTAGTAACTCAAACAAATACAACTTTAAAAGATGCATGATAATAAGGAATTTAGGCTAGCTCTTCTTTAACCAGAAAATTGTATCAAGCAGAAAATCCTATTTTCCAAACGTTGAGTTTGTAATGGATGCATTACTGCCAAATTCATATTATTTTTCTCATCATTTAATAATTTGTAGATTTTGAAGATCACATTAAGAGGTCCTCAAGACAGTTAATAACTCCTTAAAGGTATTTTGTGACTTCCTTCAGTTCATGTTCAGTCTTCCTCTCTCTAATCAATCCATTAACAAATATTTATTGAGCAGTTTCTTTGACCAAAGCACGAGTTAGACACTGTGGGATTACAGCTGATATAGGATGAGGCAAAAATCATCAAATAGTTTAAAACCAACATAGCAGGGTGTTCAGTTCATATCTCTAGTTTAAAGAATGCCTTGTTCAATAATTTATATGTCCATTAAATTTGAATTAATAAGAACGCGCAAGTGTTGGGTTTTTACCACATGCTAGGTCCTCAGCCTGACGTAGCCCCACTCCCTTTGCTTATAGAGCTCCTAAGCATTCTTCAAGATGCAACTCAACTGTCACATGTAAAATCTTCCCTGACACCCACACCCCAGGCTGTTGAATCTCCCTCCTCTATACTCACAAAGCCATCTGTACTTACCTGTACTACAGTGCTTAGCACATTTTCTTGTAATTACATGTTTACACTATAAGTTTCTATCCAATAGAAGCAGAACAGTATTCCTCACTGTGTCCTCACTGCCGATAATGTTGCCTAACAGAAACTTAATAAATGTTTTCATCAATTAATTAATTTGGTGAACAAATTCCAGACATACCTGGCAGGAATATACTCCCTTACAAAGATAACATGTCATTTTGTTTGACCATGGACTTTTCTTTCCAGGAAGGCTTATCTGATTTCTTTTCTCTTGAGGATTTTAGCATTTTCTGTTTCAGTCAGATCTCCTGAATTATTTTGTTGTCTTCATGGGAGCTCCGTCCTTTTGCTTATTAACTGCCATCTTGTATATCTGGCCCATGATTGACAGCAACTGGAATCTATGAGCAGAAAATCAATAATGCAAGGCCTTCAGACAGTCTATGGATGCTCTTGAAGAAGCTGGTTTCTTGGTCTCAGTGGCAGTAACTGATCAGAAAATGTAAAACTAGCGAGCCATGAATAGAAACAATGTACAGTCAGCCGCACTGTTTCTTTGCATGAGAGGGTTTTTATATTGGTTTCCCGTGTTTAAATTCTGTGATGTTTCTCAAACCCTGGAGGGGGATGAAAACACGAATATACAGAAAAGAAAGAAGGAAAGGGAGAACTGAGTGAAAATTGTGAAGTGTGCAGATTTGTATTCATTTGTTTTCTCATTGCCACACTAACCTTCACCAGTCCTTAAGCTTTAGGGATCCTAAATGTAAATTTGTTCTTTAACATAACATTTTCCTTGTTCAAGTATAAGTGACACTCCAGTAGACATGAAAGATTCGAGACTTATTACTTGCAAGTTAGCATTTTACTGCTAATGTAGTCTGCCACCCTTTACCTCCTAGTTTTATGGTTGTCTAATTATAGCCCGCAGGCCTATGGTGGTCCTTTGCTACTTCAACTGGAATGTAGCTCCAGTGAATTCTCCCCATTAGGACCTCCCACTGAGTTATTGATTATTAAGGTAATGCAGTTTCAGGGTGCATATCTTTAACATAGAAATGTAAAACAACGAATGGCTTGCAATTGGATGATTTTTAAAAAGAAGAAAAAAGAAACTTCCTTAATGGAGAGTCCTCTATGCTATTTAGGTTACTGTTAATTTAAAATATTTTAAGACAAAGCACTTTCCCTGTCAAGCGATTCTGTGAACAGCATTATTATTATTATTATTATTATTATTATTATTATTATTACTATTACTATTTTAAATCTTTAAGTAAATGCAGTTGATGTAGAAAAAAGCTGGCAATTTACATCTAAGAAATAAAGAAGAAGAGAAGATGGAAGGAATAAAGGAAGGAAGGAGGAGGGGAGGAGAATGGAGGGAGGAAGAGACGGAGGGAAAGGAAGGAGCCACACTTGTCAAATTCAACAGACATTTTTTAAGTAGAGAAAGTACAAAGAGAGCCCCTTCATAAGCAAAAAAAAAAAAAAAAAAAAAGGTCAGGTGGCAACCTTCCTATTAATAAAGCATTCTGATTTTGGACATCTGATCTAGGCAGTAGGAAACAAAAGAGAAAGGAAGCTGAAGCCTCTTCATTATTTAGATGGAAAAAATATGACTCTGGGTTATAACGGAACAATCCTTCATGGCAAGCCTCCATGGGAGCCCACACGCAAGATAAATATCAGCAAATGGCATGCAGGAAATGGAGTTTGTTAGATAAATTGTCTGTAGGTGAGGCTTCCGTGATAGAGCATTCCCTTTTCTCCGCTCACGGAAGACACTTTCATTTGTAGAGCCGCTCTTCAGCGCTGATGCCCACCATTAAAGTTACAGGAGCAGCAACGACAAGAAAGCACTGGTAGGTGAGTAATAAGGAAAAGAGGATGAATTGGGTGGGTGCCCCCCAAATCTGAGCTTAAATGCCCAAACCAGACACCTTATTTTAGGTGAATTCAAGAATCAGAGGCTGATAAATTCACTTGACTCTCGGAGAGGAAATAGAATCATCAATCACGTCTTTAACCACAAAATCTATGGAAAACAGACCCAACAGCGGGTCTCAGAGGTGATCATGATTAGTTTTTGAGGATTCAGGAATCCTACTGTCTTCAAATTCCTGAGAAAGATAAATGCCGTTTGCTTGAGAGTTACATAATGTATTACCCAAAAGCATGCTGAAAAATACAAAATGCCATTTAATGTTAGGTCATATCAATTCATTGTTGTATTTTCTTTCTTGATGAAAGCAGTGCCAATTTGCACATTTAAAAGCAAAAGCTAAATCGAACCCTCAGAGGCTGTCTGCCATTTATGTAACGATTTGGGTGGAGGCATTTGAATCCTAAATGGTCCAAAGAGGGCCAATTATCATTCGATGGGTATCATAAGCATTACTATTATTCATTAGCCAGGTTCATCTGCAGATCTTAAAAATCTTTGCCAAACAAGTACCATTAACCAGGCCCCTCTGGATGGGATCTCCAGAGAAGGTCGCAAGGCATAGAAAGGTTAAGAGATGCAGGTTCAGATTTAGAATTAAGCTGGGGATCAGGGATGTGCATCAAACAAAGCCACTGACCAAATAGATTCTGCTTTGTCTCAGAAGTCCAGTACCCAAGAGACCCTTGAAAGCAAATAAGGTACTAACAGCCATTAATTAACGTAAGGGTGGGTCCTAGTTTAATGGGAAGGTGTTGACTTTTTTATTAGCAGAAGGACTGTTTTTAATTGGATTTGATAATAACACCTCCTGAGCCATATAAACACCAGAACAGTTCTTAGACTATAAATTTAAAATTCCAGACTTGAGTTGCCAAGGAGAAAGGACATTAATAATGCTCTCTTCCCTAAAGGGAAAGGCTAGGCTAAAATAAAAGGGAATCTGGAAGAGGCTAGCCTTGGAGGAGGTGGTAACAGAGTAGGGACCTGGGGTTAGGGGTAATTTCTTTGGTGGTTCTCTGGAGTCACAGCCAGTACCATCCCCTCCCCCATCTGCTGCAGGTCAGACTCACACTTCTGATGAGTTGCAAATGTTTTATAAAGCTTTTTTTTATTCCTTTTAGGATAGGTTTCCTGTCCCATTAAAAAAAAAATCCCCACAAACTTTCAGCTCTCTTTTAAGCAAACTGCTGTCTGTATGCTGTAATTACGTTTCATTTTTTTGCATTGACTCCACCGGATGGAGGGTGCCATAAATCATATGAACAAATGTTCAAGCTAAAATCCTCTCTGTGAGCACCATAATTTAAGTGAATTCATTCTCAGTTCATCTCTTGGAGACATGATCTCATAGCATCTGTTCTGCACAAAGATAGCCATCTTCATTACCTGGGAAAATAGCAATGAGTTTATCCCAGATCACTTTGGATAGGCTCTTTCTTTATTCATTCATGCATTCAAATATTTATTGTTTTCATATTATGCAAAAGGCATATATATATGTGTGTGTGTGTATATATGTATGTATACATACATACATACGTACATGTCATGAAGGAATTTTTTAAATGTGCATTAGTTGTAATTGTTTTGTTTTCCTGAGAAACCACTCCGCTTCATGTGTTGAACACTTACTTAGTTGGTGATACATAAGCAAATTTCTCTGCACCTTCTCCAGCCTGCATTTACCACCCAGCAGTGCAGAGAGGAATTTTGGCAATGACCTCAAAGCGGGGCTCTTCCTTATAATTCCTTTGCTGGGTAGAATTTCATGAGAGCAACAGCAGATGTGTGACCCGGTTTACAAGAAGATTCATTTGATGGTTTTCTTTTGCCCTATTTTGATTGGTTTGCATCTTGAGCATTATCTTAAGATGAAAAATAGACTGCATATTGATGCAGCTTGAAATTTCAAAAGCAGCGGGGCTTATTTAGTCTTAGACAGTTTAAACATACTTGAACACCACTGCAGTACGACACCAACTTAGTAACACAACTGTTACTACCTACTACTTACCAAGGCTCAGTTTGTACTATTTGGTCAGCATGCTGTTGTTATTAATTATTTTAACTAATGTGAACTGAAACACCATAACATACTCTGGTTCACCACAGGCCCCACTACTCCCTATTTATTATCCTACCTCTTCTCCTCTTCACCCTCATAACCTAGACTGAGACAGGTCTCCTTTTGTTAAAATCATAGGACAGTGACAGGAGCATTTTACCAAGTACAAGAGTGGTATGCAGATCAGATCTTCATTCGAGAAGACTAGTTAATAGACTGAAATAGACTAAATAAGGAACATCAAAGGCTGGAATGAAAAGCTGGTGAGGTTATAATGTTGGGCTGAAATCAAGATAAATTTTAATAGGGATAAATGTGAAGTCCTAAATAAGACCCAAAACTATACAACTACTAGAAGCAAACATAAGGGAAACACTTCAGGACATTGGTCTAGGCAAAGATTTTATGGATAAGACCTGAAACGCATTGGTGACCAAAACAGAAATAGACAAATGAGACTATATTAAACTAAAAAGCTTCTGCACAACAAAGGACACAACAGAGTGAAGGCCTGTGAATGGAAGAAAATATGTGCAAACTATTCATCTGACAAGGGGCTAATATCCAGAAAATACAAGGGACTCAAACAACTCACTAGCAAAAAAAACAAGTAATCCCATTAAAAAGTGGGCAAAGGACATGAATAGACATTTCTCAAAAGAAAACATACAAATGCTTAACAGGTATATGAAAAAAATGCTCAACATCACTCATCATCAGAGAAATACAAACTAAAACCACAATGAGACATTATCTTACCCTAGTTAAAAAGGCTGTTATTAAAAAGACAAAAAATAACATGTTGGCAAGGATGCAGAAAAAAAGGAAACCCTACTACACTGTCATGTTTATTCCAGCACTGTTCACAATAGCAAAGATATGGAATCTACCTGTTTCCATCAGTGGACAAATAGATTTAAAAAAATGTAGTATATATGCACAATGGAATACTATTCAGCCATAAAAAGGAATGAAATCATCATTTGCAGCAACACAGATGGAACTGGAGGTCATTGCAGTAAGTGAAATTAGCTAGGCACAGAAAGAAATATCACATGCTGTTCCTCATATGTGGGAGCTAGAAATGTTGATTTCATTGAGGTAGAGAATAGAATGATGGTTACCAGAGGCTAGGAAGGGTGTGTTGGGGGTGGGGAGGGAAGGGATAAAGAAAGATTGGTTAATGAGTGCAAGCATACAGTTTAGGTAGAAGGAATAAGTTCTAGTATTTGATAGCAGAATAGGGGGACTATAGTTAACAACAGCGTACAGTGTATTTCAGAATAGCTAAAAGAGAGGACTGGAAATGTTCCCAACACATAGAAATGATAAATACTCGAGGTTATGAATATCCTAAATACCCTAACTCAATCATTACACATTCTGTGCATGTAACAAAATATCATATATATCCTGCAAAATATCACATATATCCCATAAATATGTATAAAATTATGTATCAATAAAAAAATTAAAAATGTGAAGTCTAGGCTGGGCACAGTGGCTCACACCTCTAATCCCAGCACTTTGGGAGGCCAAGGTGGGTGGATCATTTGAGGTCAGGAGTTCGAGACTAGCCTGGCCAACATGGTGAAACCCCGCCTCTACTAAAAATACAAAAATTAGCTGGACATGGTGGCGGGTGCCTGTAGTCCCAGCTACCAGGAGGCTGAGGCAGGAGAATCATTTGAACCCAGGAGGCAGAGGTCGCAGTGAGCCGAGATTGTGCCACTGCACTCCAGCCTGGGCAACAAAGTGATACTCCATGTAAAAAAATAAAATAAAATAAAACAAAAAATTGAAGTCCTTCTCTTATGCTCAATAGACCAGCTGCATAAATATAGAATGAAGGAGGGATGGGAGGGATGGTTTAATAATAATCATGCATGGATTTTAAAATACATAGGCTTTTTAGTTGACAGTAAGCTCAACATGAATCAGTAGTATAAGATGTGGCTACAAATTTTTTTTTTTTTTAGTAATTTGAAGTGGCAACTCAGAGTGTGGAATCCAGATCAAGAGAATGATGAGTCTGTGTGCTGTATTGTTTAAACTTTAAGAGAGACATTAACCAACTGGATCTCACCTGAGAAGTGATCTGATTGGAAGACAGAATTTTAAACCATTTCTTGTAACAGCTGAAGAAACAAGAACTACTACCCTAATAAGGAAAAGACTTAATATATGATTGATTTTCTCAAATATTTCAAAGACTTTTTTTAGAAAGAATCATTTTATTCTCTACTGATCAAGAAAAAGAAGTCATATTCAGTCTATCAGATCCATGAAGAAGTTCATACTTAGTTTTTTCTTTGTCTTTATTTAACTCAAATTCAGTGTGGATATTTATGATAATCTGTTTCCTTTATAGATGATCTGTTTGTTGCTCAAGTTGACAAATACTATAACTAAGTCATCCTGCTTTCTGCTTGCAGGACAGGCATAAACTGTGGGATATGACTGATCCACAGTACTACATGTGTAGGAAAGTTGTGCAAAAAAGCTGGAAAGGTCGGTGGGGCTAAGAGGTCAGAGTGCCTGAAATGTGGATCTTTCAGGCTGAATTTTATTTTGTAGACAATGCAAACAACTAAGGAGAAACATGATGCACATTGCAATAGTCAGAAGCTGGAGGGGCTTTATTAGGCAACATGGTTGGAGAATGTCAGCTCAGCACACCAAAGGACTGATGCAGGAGGCATTTCCAGGCAGACTAAACCAAGAATTCAGTCTGGGTATACACATACACACACACACACACCATCCCAACCCTAACCCAGCATTCCCATGTCACACTGTGAAGGGGGTAAGCAAACAACAATAATGATACAGAGCCTGAGATGGTAAATAAAATACTCAATGTGAGTAAACTGCTGCTTACTAACCATCTCATGCCACCAGATTACCATTTAGGCTGAGGCCTTAACAAGTTCATTTGCCTTTACCTATACCAGAACCATTACCTTAACTGCTCAACAAACCCATTGTTAGATGGGCACATCGCTAGGGAGTGGAGAAGCAGTCCATGAAATGGAATGACTAGGTCTCTGCAGCCCAAAACTCTAACTTGGTTAAGTTTCTCGGGCATGGATTGAAATATATACTTTTATATTTGAGATCATGTAGCCATAGAATGAACCAATGCAGATGGTGAAAGTGGCACTGTTACCAAAACTTGCTCTACCTCGACCTTGGGCATGCATATACAATATATTTACTTAGCACATTTTCTCCGTTTATTAGGATGAGAACAATTCACATGTCCACTACTATTTCCTCAGCAAAAGTATAAAACGCTATAGATCATAGGTGGGTTATTTTCACTCTTTTCTGCTTTCCAGACTTGATGAGTGAGGAGGGCCCTCTCATCCGTCCATGTTTCTTAATAACCAGTGTTGCGCATCGTGTGCTGTGCTTCACCCTAAAGCTGCTCTGGGTGGTGGTGACGATGGTGAAATTTAAGACATTCAGAGCAAATACTTACACAACATAGGTTATTATGACTACAATTGCTATGATTTTTATGATTCCTGATCCTACAGTAATCCAGGGGGTAGTTAATCACTCCCTTGGTGAAAACTGTTTACCCATAAACACTTTCATGAAGGCTGAGTAGCAATTACGGTAATGGTTCTGGTATAGGTAAAGGCAAATGACCTCGTTAAGGCCTTGGCCTAAATGGTACCCTGGTGGCCTGAGAATGTTAGTAAGCAGCAGTTTACTCGCACTGAATATTTTGTTTACCGTATCTCAAGCCCTCTATCATTATTGTTGTTTGCTTACCACCCTTCACAGTGTGACATGGGAATGCTGGGTTAGGGCTGGGATGGTGTGTCTGTGTGTGTGTGTGTGTGTGTGTGTGTGTGCGCGTGCCCAGAGGTTTTCAACTGCTGGCTAGGAGTCTGCACATCTTGAACTGCAAGTTTAGGTACTCGGGTGACAGTCATCTCCTTTATTCTCAGGAATTAGTGGCGTTAATCTTGGTTTAACCACACTCAAATCCTGTAATCACTCATCCACTGATTTGTTTCAGCCAATGTCATAAATCCATCTAAATCCTTTACCTATGGAGAGAGAGAGAAAACCCTGAAAAGAATTATTCACTTGACTAGCCTGCTGGTGCTGTCATAAAACACTACTTAATTATTACTAACACTGCAACATTTAATGGATTTCCATTATAGGACTTCTAATCCTTTACTCTCTGTGGGTGGTAGACTCTTTGAAGAGAGCACAGCATCTTCTAAGATGCCCAGGGTTGTTATTATTCATGGCCAACAAAGTGGCCATGACCACACAGGGTCCAGCCTATACGGCCTTTGCTTCAGATTGTTCAGCACTGGCCAGAGCCGAGTCCAAGCCAAGATTTACTTAGTGGAGTACAAAATCTTACTGATTCTTTAAAGAGCACAACAGGCCATCCACATAGCCTTATACCAATTGAGAAAGAGGGAGAATGAGAAGAATGAAAAAACACGATGTTTTACATATAGGTATTCCTTTAAAAGTGAAAGGGCCAGGATGTTGGCCAAGCACCCTGTCTCTATGCACCTGGTCCTTCCCTTCCTATTTCGGCAGTTTTCTAGAGGACAGCCTTCTGATTTTTGTTTTATTCTTGCCAATTTCCTAGTTCACAGGTGTGATGAAGAAAGGTTCTTTTTCCTCTATAGGGCTGGAATCTTAAATGATATAATATGGACTCACCAGAAATTAGTAATTAAACCAATTCTAGTCTACATGATGGTTCAACCCACATAACTGTACAACCCACTGAATGTAAAACAAAAACAAGTTTTCAATGATGCCTTTTCTACCTCTAGCCTCACCTCTAGGCTACCTCTAGGCCCAGGTTATGCTTCTCACTACTCCACATAAGGTAGAACTTAGCCTGGCAGAGGAAGATGGGTGGAAAGGAGCTCTGGGTTGACCTAATTTGGTCAGAGGAAGGACAGTGATTCTGCCCATAGGTTCTAGCAGGTGTAACAACAATGGCATGGATGGCAGTGTGTGTGCATGCACTGGTGCATACATGTATACTTCATCAGCTCACCCAAAGTGAAAGCCACTGAGGTCAGTCTATTGCAGGGCTGGCTGGGTTTGGTCATGGTTCTTACAGGTAATGGTCAGACTGTCCTGTGCTGGAGTGTGGGTGCCTGAGCAGCCCACCAGTTTTCTCAGTCTTTCCCTAAAACCAATATCACTCTTACAATTCAATCATAGCATTTGCTCCAAAGCCATATTCCCGTATTTTAACAGCTTGTTTCATCTTTGTTATGACTGAGGACTTACAAAGGCTTCATCTAATTTAGGAAACAATCTGGTGACCAAAAAGAATTTTCTCAGAGACTCCACCAGCACAACTTCGCAATGCCATAAATCTTCAAAGAGCCAACAAATTTAAATGAAAAAAAGCTCATGTTTTCAATTAAGATTCAGATTTTGTTTTACGTCACTATTTAGGCATCAAAACAGGAGTAGCTGACCAAAACCATCTCAACATCATACAAAAGAGGAAAGAGGCAACAAAGACTCCAGAAGTACTGTGTCTGGTCCAGATGGCACACTTTGAGTCTAAAAATTCAGTAACAAATCTGCAGGGTTGTTGGTGTGTATGTGTTGTTTCATTTTTAATATCCCACACAGGTGGCTTGATTTGTCTATCCACAGAAGGATTACAACCAGCAAGTTGGAAGGAATTAGCCTCCAATTAAACTTCCATGCCACCTGCCTGGCAGCTTCTAGAACTAGACAGGGGCAGGTCATAGGTTCAAAGAAACTTGAGATTTGCAGGAACTATAGGAGGAGAGAAATGGAGCTCCTGTTCCCTCCTCTAGCCCTAAATGTTCTCAGCTAGATTAGGCACTCCCAGCACACAGGAGGCCCAACTTGCCTTTCCTATTTTCTAGGATGCTATTGTTTGCTTAATCCTCCCCTTGGGCTATCTAATCCTCACTTAACCACAAGTTAAGGACATTGCACCCACTTGGAACGCAGAGGAAACCAAGGCACAGAGCACTTAATACAGTGCAGGGTAGTCAGCGACCAATCAACGGCATTTAAAAAGGGTCACTTTATAGCAGAAAAAAAGACCACAGAAGGAAAGGATGGAAAGGAAGTCCATGAATAAGCTTATGTATGTATGTTTTTTCTTTAGAAAACAGAATTAGGAAGCAAGAAGTTTTTTTTTTTTAACTTTGGGAGTCAAGAAAAAAAATATATACAGCCTTGCTGCCTGACCAGTATGAACAGTGCTATTGAGGAAAGTGTATGCAAAGTGTTTCCTGAATGGCTCACTTCACAAGACCCAGCACACTCAGGTAACAGCTGATGTCCTGGCATCAAGCACCAGGGCCAGAACATGGCAGGAAGCAGATGGTGTCATATTTCCTGGGTCTCACTGTCCAGTTGAGTTCAGCACCTGTCAAGTACAAAATGAAACGTCTCTCTTTTCACAGAGCACCACACACATGGCAACCTGGGGTAGCAGCCATGGCAGTAACAGGAGTTCAGGAGAAAGAAGCTTCTGAGGCACTGGGGCATTCTGACTGAAGACAAGGAGGGCACAGGGCAGAACTGGCAGCAGGAGGTCATTCTCTCTTTTCATCCATTTAACAGACAGAGCAGAGTGGTTAGCAAGTCAGATGCTGAGAGAGCCAGTGGAAATTCAGTCACAGCAAAAAAAAAAAAAAAAAGTTAAACAGCTAAGCAAATTCTTGAGTGACCAGATGGACAGTCAGGTCACAGGTCATCAAATCAGTCACGCAATGCCACATAAAGTAGCAGGCTGGCACTAACAGGGAAGATCCACCTGGCAGGCTGGCAGACAGGCCTGCAGGGCATGGCACAGCTATCTAAGAAGAGTCTGAGAAGGGAGACAATGAGAAATGGGGGTCCCCTCAAAACCAAACCCTCTTAACCTGGTCAAGCTCCCCACATTAGCATCATTCCTTTGGGTTAGACTAATGTCTGCAAAGCAAAAATACATAACATCCTAAGTTACATCATGAACATTTATTTACTGATCAGTAGCTCAGTAAATACAGATATTATGTGTGTGTTTGCTCATCAGTATGCTCTACACAGAGAATTAGTTAGCCATCCTTGGCGGTGAGCAAGATCCTGGGGACCTATTAAGAGACCCATATATGTTGATGGGTATAGAGAAAGGGGAAGGAATAAAGCTCTCAGAGCTGCAGGCAGGAAGGTGGAAAAGAAGCCTAGGTGTGCAGAGGACAATAAAAGACCCTTAAGGGAGCTGTGGGTTGGGGCTTAAGGGAGTACTTGGGAATAAATCTTACCAGCTGGGGACACCATGGTAGAGAGGAAAACGTCTGAACGTCAGAGTTAGGCAAATCAGGTTTTTAAATTTACCAGGTTTGTAGCCTTAGGCAAGAGATTCCACTTTTCTGGGTATCAGTGTTTCCATTTGTAAAATGAGAACTGTCTCTACCTTGAGGAGTTGCGTGACATGTACTCACAGGTGAAAGGTACTCAGAGGATGACAGTAATTATTACTTGAAATTTAGCCTAAGGCGAGCCCTAACCTATAGAGCCCAAACTAGCTAGTTCAGGACACTTTCTGTTGCAAATGCTAGAAAGTCAACTGAAGTCCCTTAGCAGAACAAGAGAATGAGTTGGCTCATTTGTGAGGAGGTCCAGGGTTGCAGCTGGCTTTAGATGAGTCCAAGTCCATAGGCTCCACTGATCACCAGGGCTGTCCCCTTTTCTGCATTTTTTGGCTCTACCTTCTTTAGGTGTCAATGTTTTCCTGTTCCAAAACTATTGGCTTCTTTAATGTGACCAAAGAAGATGGTGGCCCAGCTTGCATTGTCCTTACTACCTAGTGTGTGGGCCATTTCTGAGCAGTGCATCTTCACCCTGCAGACCATCTTGCTACTAGAGACTCAGGGATAGGTCTGGGCATGTGCAGGCCCTGCAAGTCAAGCTGTAGCTTTTCTCTACCCACCCCTTTCCTGACTTTCTCTTTAGTATGTTAACCTAGTCAGTGTGGATATCAGGGAACTCATGATTCTGAAGACTTGCCCCAAGTTTGTGTCATGTGGACGAAGCACTCATACCTTGGAGAACTTGTGTCAGCTCCAGTCTGGGACCATGGTTCACAGGGGCTGTGCTCTTGCTCACTGGTACCTCCAGACGCAGTGCTGCACCTCTTTATTCCAGAACACAGGGCCTCTGGTCTACTTGTTTTTCTGCTTTCCTACATGCTCTCCTTTCCTTCTGCCCAAAGACTCCCAGTTGCTGGAAATCTAGAATCGGTGTGTTACTGTCTCCTTTATTTGTGCCACATTTCCTTTACTAAAGCCCCACTCTCCTCCCAGAGTGTGGTCATTACATCTATAGGTACCTACAGCCTCATATGTCCAATGTCCACTACCTTGAAAGCTTTAGAATCCGAGACATCTGTGGCCTATCCTCTGTGGTAGGAGCATGGTGGAGCCATGTTATTTGTATGTCAAAGATCATCTGCTTGTTAGTTAAAAAAAAATAGGGGAAACATTGGCCCCTCTCTTTAAAAGCTCTCCTCCTCCATGATCCCCTAGAGTAATTAAGAGATACCAAAGCAATATTTAGGACCGTAGAGAAAAAGAAGGACTACTAGCAAGGACTGGGTAACTTCCTCAAACTCTAGTTGCTATTCTTTCCCCTTTTTCTTGTACAAGGCAGATGAGAGTCATGAGAGGAATTAATGCTTAACAACTTGAATAACTAATTATCTGCTAATGAGTCCCCATTAGGCTCTTACTGAAGTGGGTGTCATCTGTAAATGCAGTGTTTTCTGGAGGCTTGAAGGCCTCTAACGGTACATCATAAATATTCTTTGAGAAATTAAAGACAAAGTAGCAGCCGGGCGCAGTGGCTCATGCCTGTAATCCCAGCACTTTGGGAGGCCGAGGCGGGCAGATCACGAGGTCAGGAGATCAAGACCATCCTGGCTAACACGGTGAAACCCCATCTCTACTAAAAATACAAAAACAAAAATTAGCAGGGCGTGGTGGCGGGGGCCTGTAGTCCCAGCTACTCGGGAGGCTAAGGCAGAAGAATGGCGTGAACCCAGAAGGCGGAGCTTGCAGTGAGCTGAGATCACGCCACTGCACTCCAGCCTGGGCAACAGAGTGAGACTCTGTCTCAAAAAAAAAAAAAAAGAAAAAAAAAGACGAAGTAGCACTGATCTCTTTTTGGCTTCCTGAGGACTCTCCAGTCACTGTGAGTCCCCAAGGCTTAGAAGGTCTTCTTGACTAAAATAGGAAGAGCCTGGACTTCAGACTACCCACTGAGTCTATACTCTGCTTCAGTGTTAGTCCCAGATATACACCATCTGAGATGACAATTAAGGGGAGAATTCACATGATGTAAAACAAAGAACCGTGGATTGTGAGAGAAAACACCTAAGTCTTAAGTTTTTGCTTATCCAACAAGAGTTGGGGGGAGTTGGGCAAGGCACATACCTTACCTGCACCACAGGGTTCTCATCTACATAATTAGAACATTAGAACAAATCATGGCCTTGATGAGCTAATTTTGTCATTGTGGAAATGAACACATACACAAACATTACAGTGCAACAGGGGTTTACACGAGGTGCTGTGTCAGCCCAAAATGGGGCTAATAACTGAACGGCTACAAGCTTCCAGGACAAAAATACCATGTCTTCTTTATATCTCTCCCCAGTACAAACAACCTGGCACATAGCATGGGCTTAAAAATACAAATTGTATGGATGGATAGATGGATAGTTGGATGTGTGGATGGAAAAATGAATAGCTAGGTGAGGAAATAGATGGAGGTGTATGGATGGATAGTGATATGGTTTGCCTGTGTCCCTACCCAAATCTCATCTTGAACTGTAGCTCCCATAATCCCCATGTGTCTTGGGAGGGACCCAGTGGGAAGTAACTGAATCATGGTAGGGAGGTTTTCCTGTACTGTTCTCATGACAGTGAATAAGTGTCATGTGATCTGATGGTTTTATACAGGGGAGTTCCCCTGCACGTGCTTTCTTGCCTGCCGCCATGTAAGACATGTCTTTACTCCTCCTACACCTTCTGCCATGATACCGAGGCCTCCCCAGCCATGTGGAACTATGAGTCCATTAAACCTTTTATTCTTTATAAATTATCCAGTCACAGATATTTCTTCATAGCAGTATGAAAATTGACTAATACAGATAGGTAGAAAGATGAATGGCTGGGCGAATGGATATGAATGATTAAGGGAAGATATCCAGATAATTGAGTACAACTAAGGATTATGCGGACCAGAGAGAACTGAGGGTAAGACTGAAGCCAGTGAGAGTGAATTGTGTGCATAAATAGCAAAATTTTGCCACAGTAAACCTACTGGTATAACAAACCTTACAGTGAAAGGCTTTGTATAAATGTTTTCCTGTTATATTAAGTCCAGGAACAGGTTCATATTTTTTCTTTTGCCTCATGGCCACATTCCTCTTTAAATGTTCTAAAATATGAGGTGAGTACATTCAAGGCCATCCTGTCAAGCACAATGTAACTTTGAATGGAGTCCATTTCAATAGCCTCTCTTTATGCAGTTCATTTAAAAATAAAAACCAATTCATCAGGTAGGCTTTGAAAAAGGGACTGGGCTTTGAGTCAAGGTACCCAGCCTACACTGCATTCATTTATTCACTCATTTATTAATTATTTCAACAAATAAGAAGTATTTGCTCTGTTGTGTGCCAGGCATTGTGTTAGAGAATGTTGGGATAGGAGAGAAAGTAATGATAGGCAAGACACACTCAGATCCTTCCTCTGGCCCCTTCTCCACTGTCAGTTCACAGTGCACATTTCCACCCCCATTGTCCTATCCCTGGCTTTTCCCAGAGAGATGGAAGGTAGAAAGAAATGTGATTAACCACCTCAATTCTCATTCCTTACTTCTGAGAGGCATTTCCCTCACCTGTGCTTTTTAAATACACACACACACACACACACACACACACACACACACACACACACACACAGAGCTAGGCTTCTTCCAGATCTGTTCCAGTCCCTATTACCTTTCCTCCCCTCCCACAGTCAGGAGAGTTCACGTGCCTTAATTATGTAGCCCCCTGGCAGACACTAGCTCAGCACGATGCTGAGCAAGTTAATGTTCCTGGGCATTGCTACCCTCCCACTTCTTGCGCAACGACTTTTCTTCCAGGTGAACTGAAGGGATTGGCTCTTAATGTGCAGTTTCCCTGAAATCCCATGCCAATGCAGGTCTTTATTGTGCCACACTGTACCCGCAGTAACTAGCTCGAAACACAAGTTTATGGATTCTGAATCTAATGATGAACCAGACTATACAATCTTTCAGAATTTACCAGAGACTCGACCCTAACAAAAGTAGAGCAGAAGTTAAGAATATCCTAATATCCAAAAGCTCAGAGGATTTCTTCTAAAGCTGTGCTGTTTACCCTCTTAATACTGTTGGCGATTCAAAATCAATGTAATACAAGCGTTCACCAGAAACATACCAAATGCCCAACAGGATAGAAATCGGGTCTGTGACACCTTCACTAATAAGGGATGACAGTGAACAAGCAATAAAACAGGCTCCGCAACTTTCAGACACTCTCGCCACTAATGTGCATGGCATTCCCTTCTTGGAGATGGTGCTACCTTATTAGCATGAGAGAATCAAAAGACAGTAAAGATCATTCCAAAGCATTCTTCCAGGTGAGTAACCTAGAATAACACCACTCATCTGAGAATTAAAACAGAGTTGACAAGGTCTTACAGGGATATTTCAACCAGGATTTTAATCACTGATACGTGCCAGCAAGATTAGCCTTAGGAATAGTGGGGAGTAGATATCCTCGGTGTGAGATCCAAAATATCTATTCATTTGCTTGTGGCCCCCTCTAACTTTCTTCCTATCTTTGAATGAGCAAGGTTCACATTAAAAACCGAACACTTCAAGACTTGAGCCTTTGCAGTGGCATTCCATCAGCCTGAAATGCTTTTCCTCCAGAAATCCCATAACCAGCCCGTCCTTTGTTCAAATCTCACGTCCTCACTGAGGCCTTCCCCAGTTACCCTCTATAAAAGAGGCTGTCCTCAGTGACAGCCTGTCACCCTTCCTCTGTTTTCCCTGTCTTCATAGGGCTTATCAGCCTCCTCTTAGCTAGTGGTTTATTATCTGTCTTCCCAACTGAAGGAAAATTTCAAGAAGGCAGGTGTTTTTCCATACTGTCCATCACTATTCCCAGAGAACAGACAGTGGTTGGGATATAGTGTATGTTCAATAAATATTTGTGGAATGACTGAATAGGTGTCTTAGCAGGAATTAGCTCATTGGTTCACTTTCCTCTGCAAAAGAATATCAAAGTAGGAGATGAGAAATCTAATACCAACTCTGCCATTAATTAGCTGTGTGATTCTGACAAAGTAGATAAATTTTTCTTGGTCTCATTGTTTCTCTCTAAATGATGAAGACAGTGAGTGATGAGAAAGAAACTCATCTTTTCCACTCATCAAGTTTCCATGAGAAAGAATCTTTCCTCTAATGCTCTTGATCTCCTGCCGCAACCCCTCAGGTGGCAGATTGACTTGGGTGATCAGTGAGGTGGGCAGGACTGCTCAGCACCTTCTCCCTCACTATGTACAGGGCTGGGCTGCTCTGTTTAAAGCATCAGTAACCTTTGTGATTATGTCTGGGGCCCTCCTGGGGAGAAGTAAGGGTTGTAGTGGCCCAGTTGCCTGTGGCTGGTGGCTGAGTCAGTTTCATTTTGGGTTCAGCATTAGCAAACCTATTGTGCCTCATGCCTATACTGCTTTCCCCAACCCATCCTTTATCAGAAATAAAATGATATTCTGATTTCCATCTGCCTACTCTTTTTTAAAAAATCTTTTAACCAGTTCTAAAATGATTCAGGACTCTGGTGAGGAAAAGAGATATTACGTATTGACCCATTTACATAACAAAAAAGGGATATTGTCAAAGTCTTTTGCATGACACCAGGTATAAATAAATATGTACATCCTGATTTTTTTCTATTTTATAAATATAAAGTATTGATATATGTTTCTCATTGTGACCATATATATGAGTGCTCTCTTTCTTCCAAGAAGTATAAATGTACAGTGTAAAGCATATATGGACCCAGAGGAAATTTCATGTTCTCCACCCTCTGAACAGTAGATAATAGGGCATGGTGCAAAGAAGCGGGGAAGACAGAGCGCACCGAGGAGTGTGTGCCTGATAGGGGTTAATAAAGGCTCAAGAAGCCATCCCAGGGGAAATTTCTGTCAGTAGAGAGTGAGACAGAGAGATTTTAAGTCCAAACAAGTGATTGGTGATAAGTAATTGAAAAAATTTCATGCGAAATAAATAGATGATACAGGCTTCCTGGAATTCATCTGTGGAAATTAATTCTATAGGGAAAAAAAGAGTATTTTTCTCAGTACAGCTGTAAAAAGTGAAACCAGAAAAGCCGAGGCAATGCTACAGCGGTATAACTGTCCACAACCAACCTGACTTAATTAATATATAATACTTTGGAAAAGGTGCCTTAGAAATTAAGGCAGAATGGATTGTTAGTTCCCATTTAGTCAAAAGTTTCTGCCATTTTCCAACTCTGACTCTTTCTCTTTTCTTTTTTCTTTTTTTTTTTTTGAGATGGAGTCTCACTCTGTCGCCCAGCCTGGAGTGCAGTGGTGCAAGCTCTGCTCACTGCAAGCTCTGCCTCCCGGGTTCATGCCATTCTCCTTCCTCAGCCCCCCGAGTAGCTGGGACTACAGGTGCCCACCACCACACCCGGCTAATTTTTTGTATTTTTAGTAGAGACGGGGTTTCCCCGTGTTAGCCAGGATGGTCTCTATCTCCCGACCTCATGATCTGCCCGCCTCAGCCTCCCAAAGTGCTGGGATTACAGGCGTGAGCCACCGCGCCTGGCGCAACTCTGCCTCTTTCATAAACAGTTTGCAAATGTGTCTTTTATTCCTTTTTCTGTATTGTAATTGCCAATGACAGAGCCAAACCCAGAACAGGTAAATCAGGATCCCCAGGGGTAGGTCTTCCACTGCTGTCTGTCTTAAAAGCCCCTCAGGTGACTCTAATGTGTTGCCAAGGTTGCAGAACGCTGGCCTAGATTACCCAGTACTATAAAATAAGCAGGAGAAGAGTGAAATAATTACCATAATTACAACATAAACATAATCCTACCAGACCTACACAGGTTTAGTCTTGATCAAAGAAAGACATAAAAACTAGAATTTGGATACCAAATTATATACTACTTTTACATACATTTTTCCATGTAAAGCTCAACATAACCCTATAAAGAAAGTAGGTTTTTCTTGTTTGTGTGTGCATTTTTAAAAATTATATTTCCCATTTAGAGATCAGTAACTGAGGCTCCGAATTATTCAATGACTTGCTCAAGGTCGCATGGCTAGGAAGTAGCAGAGTACTCCCAGCTCTGAACCCGTGCTTTTTCAGCCATGTGCAGACCATGGAAAAATGTTCTTTTCATGGCCCAGTTCACCATCCTAAAGAAGCTCAGTTATTGGCCTCTTTCTATGAGTCTCTGTAAGCAAGGTTGGTGGTCAACATTTTTTATTGTTCACTGTTAAGTCTCAATACAAATGAGCAATGATGTGTTGAGAAATTGAAAATCAATGCCACTGATTAAGAAACTGTCCTCTAATTTGCCTGCTTGGCATTCAGCTTTAAAAGATGCATGAGGGAAAAATCTGTATCTGGCTTGATTGCTTATGAAGAAAATCCCTTCAAGTGTGGACATTTCTTTGAGCTGTCAATAAAATAATGTTAGTATTTACTACACTTTCATTGTACTAAGGATGCAAACTCTTAATAGTAACTCTACATCAGATAGGTACTGTTCTTACACTGATTTTAAAGGTAAGGAAATAACACATAGAAAGGTGAGGTAACTACTTACCATAGGTCCTCTTATTTACTAATATTTAGCATCAAGTTAAGGAGAAAGCCAGTCAGCTATGCTTTCCTCCACCTCTTTCCCAAAGGTATCTTGTAAACCAATGCCTATCAAATATCTCCATACTCCTAGCAAAAGGAAAAACCCATTCCTATCAGTATTCAAGTATTTTTTTAATGTTTCATAACTTTGATAATTGGCAAAAGTCATGCCCCCAATTGCCCACAGTTGCCACTTGTGCTGGTTGAGAGCCTTCTCTGATCTCATTGAAGCCTTGGATGATGCCACATTTCCTGCAGGTTCTGTTGCTGCAATATGGATCCACCTCCCAGCTAACCATTATCATACTATACTGTACTGGGCATGTTTCTTCTCCCACTACCTGTAAACTTCATGAGGGAGGCAACATGCTTCTCATCTCTTTACTCTAATGCCTCTTTTCATGCCTTTGTGGAGATAGGAAAGAAATATATTCAAATCAAAAAATGAATATAAAACCTAGATAACAAGACATTAAGTTGAGGACTTTGAAACTAATTCTGTAATCGAATTCCTTTCATGACAAGACAGTCTACTGTATAAAAATATGTTCTTATAGTCATTAAATAAATTTGGGTTGGAGAACTTTGTAATTAATCAGGGACAACCTCTAAACATGAAAAAAATGAAGGGTCTTACAAAATAATTCTACTAATAATTTCAGGAGTTTTTAGTAATAATCTGGAGAGGAAACAAAGAAAATCACAGAAATCAAAGAAAATCAAACTAATCAACTTTTAAAGTATTTCCTTCCAATGTTAATTCAAATCTAGTTCCCCCCAACCTCAAACCCCACTCCTTCTTGTGGCTTAAAAAAAGTAAAGAGTTTGGGGTTGTATAAATATTTCCAGTGCTTTCAAAACTAAGAACCAAGGACATACATTTTAGGCAATAAACCCCCAAAAATACTATAGACAGAGGGAAAGAAAGTGGAGGAAGGAAAAGCTAGGAAAGGGAAAAAGAAATTGAGAGGGAACTAGAAAACAGGAAAAGAAAAAACAAGGTAAGAGGATTTCTGGAGAGATCTGTACCAGAGCAAGGGGATGGAGCAAGGAGATAAAATGTCACATATCTTAACCCCTTAAGTATCTCCATTCTTGGCAACCCCTTCTACAGAATTCTAAACTCAGTGCCATTTCTTCTGCTATCCAACCTGATGGGTGAGCATTTCCCTTCTCATCATATAAGAATATATCCTATCCTTTCCAGTTTTCTGAGCTTTTCGGCCCCCAACCCCAGGAGTCTGTCTGGAACTTACTCATTGCTATCTACAGATCATTCTTTCCCCATAACCCACCCTATTTAATGGAGAATTTTCTTGTAAAACAGAGACCTAAGTTGTACTGTGAGAAATTTAAGATAGCTGCGTAACTGATTTTTCTTAAAGAAAGTGTAGCCTGAACTCTCTGTATTTCAGAAAGCTTTTGGAGCTTCAGGTAAAATTTGGTCAAAGGCTAAATCTGGTGCCCTGGATAGAGGTCTGCATTCCCATCAAATCAATGAAAGGAACAAGAATGTTCCTTTCATTGTGCTGCAATGAGTTTGGTTGGAGATCAAGACTAGCTACATAATTTGTGAGGCCTAAGACACAATGAAAATGCAGGAGCCCTTGTCCAAAAATTAATAAGAATTTCATGCTGTTGTTGGCAGAGCATTAAACACGGCGTGGGCTCTTCTAAGTATGATGTCCTGAACAACGAACTGCACAGGTCACATGCCCTTGAAGCTGATCTGTAGAAAGCTTTATCTGGTGGAGGCAACCGGGAGTGCAAGTGGGAAGAATGCAGAGGTAGCTAGTGTGGTCTGGTAATGAGTGACTGGTTCAAAGTGTAGACAAGTCACAAGCTGCTGCTGTGACTGAGTTGAAGTGTTATTAAAGATAGAAGAGTGTAGACGTGAAAGATGAAGAGAAGAAAGAAATAAGATTAACAATGTGACTTTATACTTTATCTGCCAACATTCAGTCATGAGTCATGCCCAGAAGCTGTGAGTGTCAATTCTTATTTATTAACATCTCTTTCTTTTAATCAAAATTGATAACAGCCACAATTGTTGAGCTCACTCAGCAATAAGAGCTTCCCTAAATACTAGTAGGTGTACTGCATGAATGATGGTGTGAAAAAGCGTTAGAGACTCCAAAGCAAAACAAAACATCATGGATATCTGAAGGTTTCTCTGGCTTTCAATTAAGCATATTTCACTTCTAGTTTAGCCTAATAATTGAGAAAAAGAAACAACATGCCTTATAATGCCTGCCTTGCCTACCTTAGAGGCCATTGTAAGGATCTCTCATAAATAAAGAATACACTAGGATGTGATAAACTGTAACCTCCATACAACAAAAGGCAGTGCTGTCCAGCAGAGGAAGACCTGAAGCCAGAATGCACAGACCTGAAGATACTACCAACCCAATAATATACTACCAACTCAATGATTTACTACCTGTGACCTTGAAACAACTCTGAGCTCCTCTGAGCCTCACTTTCCTCTCCTGTAAAATAGAGATAATACCCTCCTATTTAACTCAAGGTGGGATAATGTGTATTAAGATTTTATTAAACTGTAAAGTGTTGCACAAATTTAAGGCATTATCATAAAAAGAACTTGGCACTACCAAGGTCACCTTGGAAGCTAAAGAAAAAGCTCTGAAGCCATAAAACTACAATCTCTCAGAGATTAACAAAAGGTGATGAAGTTGTATTTCAGCCTTATTTAAGGAAAGATCATGATTGCAGAGGTAAGTGGTGTTCGTGTTTATCTCTTTGTTTTTGATCGGATGGTCATCTACATTCTGTCAGCCCTAGCACCTGCAAAAGAAGTAAACCATACTTCTGGTTTCATTTGAAAGCCAGCCAACCAGGATTTTCTCCCATGGTGCCTCATAAAGCCTAGTCTTTCTCAAGCAGAGCAAGCAAAATTTTCCTGCTCCCTGGGAAATAAACTGGGTTGTAATCCCAGAATCGTTTCCTGGGAAATATACTGAGTTGCAATCATGTTGTTAGACATGACATTTACCCTCAAGAAAGTCTTAAGGCCTCTCTACACCTCCCCACCTTCTTCCCACCACCCATTCCCTCTACCCTCAATCTCCCATTAACCTTCCCTCCACACCCATACCCTACCATTCATGAACAAGGAACAGTTATAATATGAACCGAGAACAAAATGGACCACCATGTAAAGGGCTTGAAATTTAATGGGAAGAATGAAGAAACTGAAAATCAACAGAAGTGATACAGTAAGATATGTATAGAACTGATTTCTGCTTTCTATGAAGAGCCCACTAAAGGAATGATGAGGTTACCTGTTTATCTCCAGTTGTAGCCTTAGGTAAGAAAGGTCAGAAAGTTATTAACAGCCACCTAATTTACTGGGTAAGAAACTGGGACAAAATTTGGCAACAAAGTCTTTGTTATAAATCTAATGTGTGCATTTTTCCTGAAGTGGCATCTGGTTGTGTATCTTTAAGGACATGGTTAGACGTGTGGATTTAAGTCCTGGTTATCATCTTTTGGAGAAATAAGACTAATGATCACTGGCAGAATGCTGGTTCCACCTGAAAAGGTTATTTCAAGTGTAAATTCTAGACCTTTTAAGTAACAAAATGATACCAACTACCAGATCTGTTTCTGTTGCCTTTGGAATTACAGGCTGTTAGGATTGCTGGTCAAACCTCAAAGAAGGTGGAGTTGAAATTTGAGAGTCACTGATGAGGCAGCCCTGAAATTTCATTAACAATCAATAAAGCCTGTCATCGCACAGCTGCAGAGAAAATGCACTCTTACAATTGAACATCTACTATTGGTAGGAAAGACCAGGGTTAGCAGCAATCAAACTCCTGTTCAGTACTTCTTCCTCAGCAACCCCACACAGAGGTAATCATTGTTACCTCTGTACTCCTATACCTTACACATAGGGTTATCTTGTGTGTTCACTCCACATTGTCATTATTTGTTTACATGACTAGATGCTGATTACAGATTCTTCAAGGGCAAGGACTGGATCTTGTTCACTATTGTGTCTACAATGCCATACCGGACACACAGTAGATCTTAAAAACATTAAGTGAGAGAAAGCTGAGGAGTTTGGTAGACTGCTTTAAAGAAGTGTAGATACCAAATTATAGCTCATTTGCCATCCCCATGTCACTTAAAGAACCTAGGCATGTCATGGTTAGTCCTGGATACCATATTTTAGAGCATTTGGGAAATTAGAGTGTGTTCACTGTTGGAGATAGGATGGGTGGTAGCAGAGTGGGGAAATGCTTGGCAGAATCTGGAAACCATGTCAAATGGAAGAACTGGGAATGATTAATTTGACTGAAAGAAGGCAAAGGAAAGACATGGTTACTCTCTTCAGATATTTGAAAAGCTCTCAAGTGGAAAAGGTAGTTAGATTTGTTCTGTATTACCCCAGAGGGCAAATTAAGGTCAATGATTAAAAAGTAAAAGGAAGCAGATTTTAGCTCACCAAAAGAAAGAGTATTCTAAAAAACCAACAAACGACAACAACAAAACAAACAACAAAAAACTCCAACAGAATGCAACAATAGTGGAAAAACAGTGACCTCTGTCTTTGAAGTGATGAAAGCAAATGGCATAAGCCTCTAGAATCCCTTCCAACGTAGAGTTTCTAATTCTCCACGTACACCAGCAATATAAGCTTTTTTCCTAGACACTGTCTTCAATAGGTAGGAGGGCAGAGGAGATAGCATGGAGCTCCTTAAGATGGAAGAGAGAGGGAGAGGAGAAAGTCCCTGAAAGGCAAGAGGAGATGGGTAGTTCTGAAGACAAATTTTCTTGCTACAGTTTTGGCTAATGCCTCTTCTAGTCAAAGAAAGCAGCTAACTGCAATAAGTAGGGTAATGTTTAAAAAAATTAATAATAAGCAAAATTATTTGGCATGTGGGGGAAAGCCACATCTTTTTGAAAGTTGTTACAGTACTTAAAAGATCTGCAATCACACATCTGTTTTCTTGTTTGGTTTACGGTTGAAGGAATGGGAACAGAAGACTCCATGAAATTGAATGACACTTCACATTGATAAGCATTTCTGAAACAATATGGTAGCAATTTGAGGAATACATTACATTCTCAAGCTGCATAAAGAAAGAGCAAAGAATATAACCTTTAATGCTTAATTTTAATAGATAATCTTACTTGTTACAAATACAGCATTTCACAATGAAAGCCTGTGCTTCAGTTCAGTAATACGATAAGACATGGCTTGTAAAAATGAGAATTGAGTTTAACTATGCTTGTGTTTTATTTTTCATTTATCATTGTGAATTGCTTCTAAATAAGATTGTCTTACTTTATTAATTTGCATAATTACTGAAAAATACCATGTGATTCCAAATAACAAGCTTCTGAGAATATCATCTCAGATTTACTGTGACATTATTCTGAAAGTGACAAAACTTGATACACAATTAAGAGTAAAAGTGTATAAGCTCATTTTGTTGCCTTTGAGTCTTCAAAATATAAAGAGGTTATGTGGATTATACAATGAATTTTTGTGCTCAGATGCTGAACAGCTTGAAAGCCAAAAACAACTGGTAAGTATGATAATATTGTAAAGTAACAATAAGCCTGGTTTTGACAGATAGGAGCCAGGTGGAGTTTTTTGTTTTTGTTTTTTTAATTGAATCAAGACTCTTGAAGAAAGATGAGACAAGTCTCCAATGAAAATCTAAAAATACTTGTTCAAATGTATTTGTATTTTTTGAATAGCACCCTTTCAAATTAGCTTGACAGTCTCTGGTCCCAGTCAGAAAATCCTGATGCCCTGTTTGAGTTCAACCAGTCAGCAAGTACAAACATTTCACTCAGCTGGATCTTCAAAAACGTGGGCGAGGTGGAAAACATGGATATGGATAAAAAGCTGCAAGCCGTATATTCACTATCACACATTGTTTAAAGAGCCAAGTAGTAAATGCTCCTCTTTAGGTGGAGGCTGCTCAAATACAACAAGGCTCACTGATAAAATAAATCCCGTGGCCTGTCTTGGGCAAGCTGATGAACAGGGCCCCTGACTGTCTTCCCTAACATCCCAGGGATAGCAGCAGAACAAAAGCAGAGACAAAAGCCACACCTCTTTCTCCTGCCTCCCACATCCTCCTCTTAATCATTTGAAACTGAAAGTTTGGTAACGGCAGTCCTGCCTAAAATATTGCTTGTTTACTTAAGATGACATTCCAGAAGCTGAAAAGTGGTAATTACAATCCTGCTCTCCTTTCTTTCGAGTCATGACTTCAGTAAATTTGTGACTTTCATGAGAAAGGAACATCGTGGCTGAAGAATGATATATAAAATAAAAACCTTTGTATCCTATGCAGAATCTTGGCAGGAGAATTGTATTTTTTCTAGTAATTAACTGGGTGACACTGATTCTCTTAAAAGGTCTCAGTATTGTTTCACGCACTCCAGCCTTCAGTCTCCAACCAGATGAAGAATCTTATTTGTCTGTTGTTGGGTCAAAAGATGTTCCCCACAGCTGTTGGGAATCTTATTGCCTGGGTAAAATAACAGGGCATATTTCACAGGAACTGTTCATGTGGGCTGTGAGCTTGTTGTGAGGCACAAGGCCAACAGCTGGATGGAAATGGCAGGTTCTGGGCCAGCTGAAACTCTCTGCTTTCAAGTTTTGCGTGTTGTGCACATACACATAAACACACACACACAGACACACACACACTTACACGACCAGCCTGGGAATGTTAAACAACTCCAGATTTATTTTTTAATATGAACGAAAATGTCTAGTGTGACCTAGAGGATTGGCAGAACCAGGCAAGCCTACTCTCTCACCACAGGCTGGAGGCGTCTGGGCCAGGCCTAAGAAGTGGCTGCAGACCATGGAGATGAAGGGTTTGTGAGGGCAGGCTCATCTCCTCAGCAGGGTGATGCAGAAAGGAAGGAAAAATAATGCAAAGCAACTTAGCCATCATAGCATCTGAATGATTATCTAGCCAAACTCATACTTTTTAAGAAAAGGAAACTGAAGCCCAAAGTACACAGTGAACCAAAAGGAACCATTTCCTAATTAGGTCCCGGTTAAGGCCTTCAGAGAGTCTAGTAAACTCTAAAAGGATTGTGGTGTCCACCAGTATGTCATTCAGTACAAAACATTAAACAGTCTAATGAGGTAGTATAACACTGATTTTTTCCCACTAGGGTTAACTTAAAATATGTTTTTGGAAGTATTTCATGTCACATGCTTTCAGAAATAGTTTCTCCTATCATTAGACACCCCCTAGTGTGCTGGTGCTCCGAGTCTACGCTTATCTTGCCTATTGAGAATCCAGCTTTTCTTCTGACCCCAGGGCTGAGCAATTTCCACACCCTTGTAACCTTCCTCATCCTCTATCCTTGAGTGATGGACTGCCTGGACTGGCAGGTTCTGGCAGGTTCCCCTTTCCAGTCTGCATCCAGGGGCAGGGAGGAGAGGGAGGGAGAGCGCCTTCACATTAGCCATGCCAGGTAGCTGCTCAGCCTCCTCTAGAAAGTGCCAGGGAGGACAATACATTCTCTCCTAGGATGGTCTGTTCCGTTTCCAGACAATAGCTCTGATTCTTAGAAAGTTCTTTCCTGGGTTAATTTGGAGTGGTCTTGCTATAGCCTCCACTTCATAACATTGGGCTTTGAGGCCCATGGACAGAACTTTACATTCATCTTACTGAATTGTGTTTGTTATTAAAACCACAAAGATATTTGTAGATCTTGTCTACCATATTACCATCCTTCCCTATTTATTTATTTATTTAAGACAGGGTCTTTCTCTGTTGTCCAAGCAGGAATGCAGTGGTGTCATTATAGCTCACTGCAGCCTTGAGGCTCAAGTGATCCTCCCACCCCAGCCTCCCAAGTAGCTGGAACTACAGGCATGCACCACTACATCTGGCTAATTTTAATAAAATTTTTGAAGAGATGAGATTTTGCTATATTGCCCAGACTGGTCTCTGGCCTCAAGTGATCCTCCAACCTCAGCCTCCCAAATTGCTAGGTTTACAGGCATGAGCCACCGTGCCTGGCCTTCGCAATGTTAATTCAGCACCAGTATAATAATCATCTCTTCATTATCATCATATATGTCACTGACAAAAAGGTAGGAAAACATAAAACAGTAAGAAATATACATGCTTGTTGCTTTAAACATTTTTAAGTAAACATTGATCTATTAATCACCTGCCTTAGAGTAAATTTTTCTGTAAGTTGCAAATATATCTATTACAATACCTTATTCAGAGGCTCAGATGTGCTGTCCCGCTAAGATGTAAGCTCAGTGTCTAGTACAGTGCCTGGCCCATAGAATATGTCTCATAAATGACTATGAACCACTAGTATTCTCTTAGGGATCCTGTGCTGGTTACTAGTGATCACTATTTCTTTGTCTACTAAGTACATAAAATCTATTATCTTCAGAGTCTATTCTAAAAGTTTCCCATAACACCCACTTATCTATAGTTTTAGAGTATTAATACTTTTTTCTCCCTCAAAAATTGCAACTGTATTTGCCCCCATTTGCTGGTTCTTATTGTACACATGGTGTCTTAGTTAACTACTAATAATATTTCAGCTATTTAATGTGTAGTCTGTCTTAGGGTACCAAGATTTCATTTATAAAGTCAAGAGAATGTAAATTCATTTAGAACAGTCAATTCTGCTCATTTAAATGAATATTTCCAAAGCCTATTCTGTGCTAGGCTCTGTATTGACACTAGGGATATAAAAGCCAATTTGATATAATCCCTGCCTTCACAAGGCTTCTAGTCCAGGGAGGAAAAATCAGAAGGTTTCAACACAATGTATGAAACATATTGGAGACATCCAGAGAGGGTAAGGGGTGACAGCCAAATATTAAGAGGAAATAATACATGGACGTAAGCTTGAGGGATCAACAGAAATTCACTGCACCAAAAAGCAAGAGGAATGCATTTTGAGGGGAAAAACAGAATGAACAAAAAGCACAGAGGTGTGAATTTGCATGAAATGTGCAGAGGCTAGAATGTTCTAGAGTAAAGCATGTTTTAAGTTCAGAGCCACGGGAGATGATGCTGGAGAGCTGGAGCGTTGGCCACAGAAGGCCTTGCTCACCATGGGAAATAGTGTGGACTTATTGGAGATAAATGGAGAGATGTTAGAGGCAGAACCATTGTGCACTATGTGATGATGGATTTATTATAAAAAAGTAGAGCCAATACAATTGCAGGAGTCGCTGGGGAAGTGAGCATCCAGGCAGAAGTAGGAGGAACAGAAAGATCATCCACCAAGCACAGTCATTCACCAAAGTGGGATTTCAGGGGGGAGGTTTAAGGGGTTATCTAAGGAAGCAGGGCTTCTTTGATGTGACTGCTTCAGGGAGTCACCCTCAAATGACTGGTTGTGGTCCTAGGGCAGCTGTTGGTCCAGGGATCAGTTGGGAAGAGTTGCTGAAGGGAAAGGGGAGGGAGAGTGACGACAGCCTGGAACCTGTTGGCACCTTTAATTCTGTCTGCCTCTGCATCTAACTACAAAGACTCTCAATGAACAATGGCTGCTGCTTCACTTCTGCCTTCCAAGTCCACAGTCTTGTACACATTCCTCTCTTGCCAACTCTAACTCATTACATACAGAGAAGGAGACTCTAAATAAGTGTAGGTTAGTCTAACAGTATAAACTTCCACAGTCAAGAAGAGGGGAAACAGAGATGCATCCAAAATATTCCAGAAGAAAGGCCCAGGGAGAAAGACACTGCTGGTACAACACTACTCACAACTCTCCAGCAAAGCCAGGAATGCTACAGGATTCTTGACGCTTTCTGCACCATGAAAAACCTCTGATGACTTGCTCAAGCCTCAAAGGGATAAAGTTAACTGATTGGCCAAGCCATGGTCACCCGCCTGTGCTAGCTGCCAGAGAGAAGAGGAGAGGAAATATCTGCTTCACTTTGGCTTCCATAGAGGGAGACAGGGTTCTTCATTCCTTCTATTTAGGAATTTTCCCTTCAAATAGGAAGGTCGTTTGGATGCTGCAGAAGAATGACAGTGAAGACAAATATCCATAGTCCCTGGTCAGATTTAAATATTAGAAAAGAAACAATCTCACAAGTGCATAGAGGATAGATTTTGCTAAGGCTCTCTCTCCCAATATGTATGAGGGTAGGTTGAAGTAAGAATGCATCTTCACATTTCAACAGCTTAAAAAACAAGAAGGTTCTTCTTTTCTATGTAATAGTCTAGAGTGAGTATTAGAGATGACAGTGAAACTCAGGGACCCAGTCTGTGTCATCTTCAACATGTGGCTTCTAAGGTCATGCTGCATGTTCAAATCCCAGGAAGCCAAAGAGAAAATAAAGGAACAGTATGTGTGAAGGGGTTTCATAGGCCAGTCTAAAAAATAGCACATACCACTTCTATAGATGTTCCGCTGGAGAGCGCTTGATCACATGGCCTCACTTAATAGCAAAGGGGGCTGGAAAATGTGGCCTGGCTATGTGCTCCCAAGAGAAGAGAATGGATTTTGGTGGTCAGTTATTGGTTTCTGCCATGTAGTCTATCCATGTGGTTCAGAATTCAAATCCATCTGAGTAGACTTATCTAATCCAGGTCGCCAAATTTTATGTAATGGGACAGATAAATATTTTGGGCTTCAAAGCCAGATAGTCTCTGTAACAACTATTCACATCTGCTCTTGTACTGCAAAGGCAGCCATAGACAATGTGCTTAAAAAAAAAGGCAGGGGGGTAGAGGGCTGTGTTCTAATAAAACTTTATTTATAAAAATAAGAGGCTGAGGATGGTGGCTCACGCCTATAATCCCAGCACTTTGGGAGGTCAAGACAGATGGATCTCTTGAGCCTAGGAGTTGGAGACTAGCCTGGGCAACATGGCGAAACCCCGTCTCTACAAAAAATGCAAATACTAGCTGGGCATGTCGGCACACACCTGTGGTCCCAGCTACTCAGGAGGCTGAGGCGAGAGGATCGATTGAGCCCAGGAGGTTGAGGCTGTAGTGAGCTGTGATTGTGCCTCTGCACTCCAGCCTAGGCAACAGAGTGAGATCCTGTCTCAAAAATAAAACAAAAACAAAAATAGCAGAAGAAAGGATTTGGCCTGCAAGTAATAGTTTGCTGACCCCTGATATCAGTTCTACTGTGAATATTGCTCTCCTTTAGAGAGATGGAGCCAAAGTAAAAACTGATGAGCTTTGCTTTCCCTTTGTCATTCATCAACACTTTACCTTTTACCCAACCTCTTCCTCCTCTTCTGTTCTTTATCTTTGCATTTCCTCATTTCTCTTCAACTTTTTTTTTTTTTTTTTTTTGGTCTCAAGCTGGGTTATTCCACCATTCCTTTTCCCTACTCATGTTTATTCTCCATGGACCATGGTTCTGTTCATTTCAATGATCAAACAATCCTTTCTGCATAGCAATTGATTCACACTTGCCTTTCTTTTGCCTCCTTAGCTAAGCAAGGTATCACATGTCTCTTTCCCTTCAGCTGCAAAGATGAAGCCAGAGGCCCTTTTTTGCCATAGTCACAACACCTTCCACAAAGGCCAACTGGACTCATTACTATGACTCTGATCTACGGACAAGAGCCATGTATTTGGTACAAGGTCACAAGGAGACAGTTCTCCATGGTTCTCTTCTGTTTCTTCATTGGCAGCCTTTTGTTTCAGACTAACTTTCCAAGGATATTTTTGTAGTGATGTCTCCTTGAGGACAAAGGTTGGGTAGGTTTGCTTGCAACCCACTCTTAGGATTAAAGTTTCTTAAGCTCAGTGTGCTTCTCCTGTAGCACAATCCACAGCGTAGACAGGTGTCTGTCTCTTAGCCCTTGTCACATGGCACTGTGGGCAATGGGGCTTGGAAACTGGCATAAATGATAATTATTTGGTTACTGCTATGGCTGTAAGTAATAAACTGTTTTTTGGCATCTTCATTCTTCTGCCAGCATCCATGAATCGGTGGCAGGCTAACTTGATAGCTTGTGGGCAGGGTGAAAGCTCAGAGCCTTCACCGTTCTTGGCACACTGTACCTCCACCAAAATAAAAAAAAAAAAACTTTTTTACTGAGTAGTAAGTCATCTCTGGAAATTAAACTATGGCATATCAGAACATGAAACTTTATAGAGCTATGCAAGGTTTTCTTTAAAGGGAGTGGTTAATTAAGGTTGTGACTCCACTCCTTTCTAGCCTCTCAAGAATGTAATTGGTTTGTTGTTGTTGTTGTTGTTGTTGTTGTTGTTGTTTTTGAGATGGAGTCTCACTCTGTCGCCCAGGCTGGAGTGCAGTGGTGTGATCTTGGCTCACTGCAAGCTCCGCCTCCTGGGCTCACGCCATTCTCCTGCCTCAGCCTCCGGAATAGCTGGGACTACAGGTGGCCGCCACCACGCCCGGATAATTTTTTGTATTTTTAGTGGAGACGGGGTTTCACCGTGTTAGCCAGGATGGTCTCGATCTCCTGACCTTGTGATCCGCCCGCCTCGGCCTCCCAAAGTGCTGGGATTACAGGCGTGAGCCACCACGCCTGGCCTCAAGAATGTAATTGTTAAGGGTGATCTAACAGAGATAACTTTCAATTCCCTCTACTTTAAATAAAAAGTAAATTATTTCCAAATTCAATGCTCTATTGTAAGTAACAATTTACTTACAATATCCCTCTCAATCACAACTCCAAAGTCAAAAACTGATACAGAATACGTTTGGTCAATTGGGTTCAGCTTTGAACAGGCATTGCACTAACAGAAAGAGAATTCTGTTTGTCCTAAAAGCAATAAGATGTGGACAAGATGAAGCAACTCAGACCCCCTTCAGCTGATCTGTTGATGGATACTAACCTACTATCCATGTAAAGAACTACTGTGTTTAGCACTAGGATAGAAAGTAGGGGAAAATGATGCAGGGAATTCTATCAAGGAACTGATGACTAGAGAAACAAAAAGCACCTAATATCAGGAAGTGGAATCAACCCAAAGTCCTGTAAGTTTTACTTGAATTCACTCGTGAGTATGTGAAGGAGAGAGGGCTGGTGGGATTTGGAGAGATATTTTGACACTAGATGAAGACAGATTAGAGCTACCTGGGGTTAAAGGCCAAGTGTGCTGAAGGAACTGAGTTTTGAAGCAATGTTCACAGGGCAATGGAAAGACATACATTTTAAAGGGAAAGCTGATGGCATTTCAGGCAGTTCCATCCTTGATCGGTGGCACAAAGGTGAAAATGAAAAAAAGAAGCAATACAGTCTACAGAAAGACAACTAGGTGGAGGGAAAGGTGACCTGGCCTAAGCCCAGCTCTGTCAGTAACTAGCCATGGGATCCAGCCTATCTCAACCTGTCTTTAGATGAAAATAAGGGATGAATGATATGGTCTTTCAAAAAAGGTGTTGGGGGGGCCGTAATTATGTATTTTTTTCGGGGGGGAAGAAGCAAGTTAACATGACAAACCACAGTGTTAATATAGAGTTATAATGACAATTAGACTGGGAAGATGGGCTGAGCAATTGGCAGTAGGTGAAGATACTTTTATCGGATTTAAGGATAAATAGGAAGTCACTGCTGGTCCTTGAGCAAAAATGACAAGATTAAAATATCTGTGAAATAATTTTTGTTTAAATTGCTCAAGAGAACTTTTGAAATAACTATATTCAATCGCAAATTGTTTTTTCAAGGGACTTGTCAAAGTGACATTTTCATCTACCCAAATAAGGGTGATGATAATTAAAATATCAACTAAATTGTTTCTCTGTTAACTGTTGAATGATTGGGAGTATTAATTGCCTGGATGGTAGAAAAGAAATGTTTGAGACATGAAGTTAATAATAGATGAATCTTTTGTATTATTTTGTATATATAGGGCCTTTTTTTTTTTTGATCTGTGAGAGTGTTGTTGCTTGCTACAGACTTCTTCATAGGAACTGGTTCGCATTGCTCTGATTATGGTTCACAAGCCAAAATTTAACCCTATATTAAAGTTTACATGTGTATAGCCATATAGAAAACTAACTGCGTTTTCTCCTTCTATTCTGTTGTCTCATTTTCAGCCTTGTATCTTATCACAGATGAGTACCTCCAGGAGGATATCAGTAACTTCGGGAGACGTTCTCGTTTCTCTTACTGTCATGAGCCAGCTTGTCTGGGGGTCTAGAAGCACAATGTGACATGGTACCCTTTGACAGCTTATCTAATGCCTTGGATAGAACCAGAAAGGGCTAGTAACGGCCCTTTGTTTGACCCCCGGTCAAACAGCATCTTACTTTTCACATTAAACTTTATTTCTTATCCTATTTTCGAGATGATGATAATCAACATAGGCTTTTCCATATTTGAGACAAATATCTGAATACTCATTTGAGGACACAGGAAAAGAAGGTTAAAGAGAAGGTTTAAAGAAAGGGTTTCCATGTGCAGGTAAGTGAGGATTGTTCCAGTAGCAAAGATATTTGTAAGCCTCCTATCAAAAGAAACTTCCTCCAACCTCTCAAAGCTCATATTCAAATTGTTTACTTAAAAGAAAATATAAATAGCTCTAATTTCAGATTGCCCGCATGTTCTTTCCAAGGATATAGAGCTCAATTTAGTGTAAATTATAGATTAAAAGTTGCTTCAAAGCTGCTGATATCTGGTGGGATATTCTGGACTAGAGATTTATCCTTAACAATGATTATTTGTTAAATCAAAATGGCAACTCGGATTTTTCTGCAGCCTAAATTGCATACATAGTTTGGAAGATTAGGAGGAGATGGTGAGTACGATCAAAGGAAGTGAGGAAAACAAAGCAACAGATATCATTGTCGACATTTTCCCTCCAAAAACAGGTAAGATTTTTCTTCATTTCCCTCAGGCCCAACTCAGCCCCTAAAGTGAGCCATTTGAAAAGCTACAGGTGGAGCTAATATTCTCCTCAAGGTAACATTCTGAGTAACAGATTTTTCTATTGGAAAAACACATTTTACTTTTTACCAATCTGAAAACTTGGTCTGATATAAGAAGTGGGTGGGATTAGTTTTCTATTTTTTCCTTCATAACGTTTTCTGGTTAGGCCTTCCTTCTGGCCATTTCATCTCTTCTTTACAGAGCAATGCGATTTTTGTTTTATCATCCTATAGGTAAAACATAAACACAACTAGAAACAAAAATAGCTTTTGGGAATGGAAAACAGGTAAGCCTGAGTGGCTTAGATTCAGAATGACACACAGATTCTTCCTTTTAACGGCCCTTAGTGTCTGGGAAGTGATCAGCCCTGGGTGAATAGAATTAAGACAATAGGATAATGAAGTCTCGAAACCATTCCTTCCAAAAAATGTATTAAGTCACTATTAAGAGCGTGGCACTTTATGCACATTCTCAGTTACCCCCAAGAGAAGGTAGCATTATGCTCTCATTTTATAGTTGTAGAAGTCTCAGAGAAGTTAAATAATTTGCATCAGAGCTTTCATCCATTCTTTTAGCAAATATTGAGGACATGCAATGTATTGAAGATTATAATGGCTTCAGGTATGCAACAATGAACAAAGAGTTAAAACCCATGACCTCATGGAATGTGCATTCTGGAGAGGGAGACAGATAATAAAGAAATATACTTATAATGAGACTGAAAAAGACTATAAAGTAAGAGAAAACAGGAAAGGGGTCTGGGAAGTAATAGGATTATAGAATTGCGGACACAATGGTCACTGAAAGCCTCTTTCAGAAGTTGCCATATTGCAGAGACACCCCCCCACCCAAAAAAATACAAAAATAAAAAAAATACAGCATGCTGACATCTGTGGGAAAAGACAGATCAACAAGTGGAAAGGCCCAGAGTCAGAGAGTCCTTGCCTTGTTTGAGGAATAGCAAGACGGCCATGTGATGGAGAGGAATGAGGAAGGAGGAGGATAATTATAGATGTAGCATTGCAGCCAGAGCCTTGACCATGTGGGACTTTGAATGCCATGGAGAGAGCTTGGGATTTTATTTTATATGGCATGAAGCCTTTGGAGGGTTTTGAACAAAATTATAATTATGGTCTGAATGAGTATCACAAAATTGATATGTTGAAATTTAATCCCTAATGCAACAATATTAAGCAAGGTGGCCTTTGGGAGGTGATCAGGTCATGAGTGCTCCAACCTCATGAATGGATTAATGCTCTCTTAAAAGGGGTGGAGGGAACTAGCTAGGCCCCCTTTTGCCCTTCTGTCCTTTATGCCATGTGAGGACACAGTGTTCATGCCCTCTGGAGGATGCAGCAACAAGGCACCACCTCGGAAGTAGAGACTAGTCCCTAACCAGACATCAAATGCTGGCACCTTGATCTTGGACTTCCAGCCTCCAAAACTATGAGAAATAAATTTCCGTTTTTTTCATAAATTACCCAGTCTCAGGTATTTTGTTACAGGAGCACAAATAAACTAAGACAATGATATAATATTTACATAACTTAAAAAAATCATCATGACTTTCATGTGGAAAATAGACTGATAAGAGAGGGGAATGGAGGTAGAGCCTAAGCAGAGAGTACTGCAGTATTGCATGTAAGAAATGCTCACCACTCTGATGAGGGTAGCTGTGGAAGATGTGGTGAGACAACATTGAGTGCTGGGCATAGACTGAAGTAGATCTTACAGTATTTAATGACAGACTTGATAATGATTGTAGGTGGAACTGAGAGAAAGAGGTAATTCGATGATAAAAACCAGGTTTCTGGATTAGCTGGATGTGTAAAGGTACAGTTTACAGCTATGAGGTTCATTGGAGGTAAGGGTTCAAGAATTTGCTTTGAGGATTTGTTAAATTTAAGTTTTCCATTAAATATATCAGTAAAAATGTCAACCAAGGAGTTGGTGTTCAGCAAAGAAGGCTGGGCTAGAGATAAAAATCTGGGAGACCTCTATGAGATTGGGTGTGAGGGTAGAGCAAAGAAAGAAAAGAAGAGGAGGCCTGAAGAACAGAAGAGGAGGACTACTTCCTGGGACACTCTAAAATCTAGAACTAGGAAGAGGATGTGGACCCACAAAAGAGACTGAGCAGAAGAAATTTGGAGGTAGGACGAAAATGGATAGAATATATAGGTTCTAAAAACTAAGTAAATAAAATGTTCCCAGAACAGTGGTAACCAACCCTGTTAATTAATACTGACAAATGTGATAAGATGAGTACTGGGAACTGGCCATTAGATTTGGCACCATGGAAGTCAATGGAGCCATGATCTAGAATTGACAAGGTTGGTTTCCCATGGAGTGTTAGGAATGAGACCTGATTGGAAAAGGTTCAAGAAAAAGTGAGATGCCTGAATCCAAACAACCATTTTGAATCCAGACAACCATTTTGAGTGTCTGAATCCAGACAACCATTTTGAGTTTTGCCATAAAAGGGAAAGGAGATGAGAGAGAAAAGGGATCAGAACCAGAAGGGATTATAAAGTCAAGGGAGAGTTGACTCATTTCTAGGATCAGAGGTCTATGCAAATGGGGGATCCCAGTGTTAATGAGAGTCTATGTTTTTTTTTTGTTTTTTTGTTTTTTTGTTTTGTTGTCTTGCTCTTTCGCCCAGGCTGGAGTGCAGTGGCACAATCTCAGCTCACTGCAACCTCAGCCTCCCGGGTTCAAGCAATTCTTGTGCCTCAGCCTCCTGAGTAGCTGGGACTACAGGTGTGTGCCACCGTGCTAGGCTAATTTTTTTATTTTTAGTAGAGACAGGGTTTCACCATATTGGCCAGGCTGGTCTTGAACTCCTGACCTTGAGATCCACCTGTCTCAACCTCCCAAAGTGCTGGGATTACAGGCGTGAGCCACTGCGCCTGACCTATGTTGGTTTTAAGCTACAACTTTTCAGTCCAAATCCACCCTTCTCAACTCTGCTTTTTAAATTCTGAGGACTAAGACTCTACAAACATATTTTTCTGTTTCTGACTGGCTCTCTGTAATTTCTGCCATTAGGGAACTCTAGGAAGAGTCTGGGAGACTGGAATAAAGGGAAATGTCCATGCTCCTTCCTGTTTCCATAATTCCCATCAGTAGCTCCCCAGCAATGCTTCTTCATGCTGATAATAGTGGCTCCTGCGAGCAGCAGTTGGTTCCAATTTCTGTGGTTATTTCTTTCCTCTACTGCTAAAACCATCAGCATTGGCCCCCTTACCAATATCCAAACCATCAAGGTGGCACTCTCTTCTCTGTATTCTGAGTCCCGGCTTTGCAGGCTCCTCCTCTGAGCCCCCGAGGCACTGGAATCAGCACAGCACAGCAGTCCCCATCTTCAGAAGTCTCCATGAAGGCCCCTCTTACAAGCTTCTAGGTTCAAAAACCCCCAACCTCTTCCCTGGGTTCTCCTAGCCCTTGGGGTTACAGTTGCTTCCTGTGGTTTTGTTTTCTCAGTGTTCCCTTTTAGTCTTTCCATCTTTCAATAATTATTTAACAGCTTTCCTAAAATAAATTCTATCTATCAAAATAACTTAATGGTCATGTTTTCTTGACTGAACACCGACATGGAGTCAGAATCAGGATTTCAATCCAGGACTGCTAAGGATCAAAGCCCACACCCTCCTCGTGAGGCCGTGCTGTGTATCCTGCAAAACTGTCTAACTTTGAGCCTTTCAAAAACGTTGTAATAAAAGTATAAATGAGGACTTACTCTCCATAAAACTAAAGAGTCTTTTTGATACATGTACTGATAGTATTTTGGTCTCTTTTCTTGCCCCTGTCTTCCACCACCTCCCCTTACCCCCACCTGAACTTTTTTGATCTCCAAACCTTCTATTAAAATGTCATTTCCTCCTAGTGTTTGCTTTCTCTGGCCACACTTCTCTTACTGTCCCCATCGTTCTTGGCAATTCAGGTCCTTGATTCTATACCCCAGGCTCCGTGATTGGCCTGCTGGGTGGAGAGGGCTGGTGTCCTTCTCAATTTAGGAAACCCGCACCCTGATCTGCAATTCACATTGCTGGCAAAGAGCACAAGACTGGGTGTTGGAAGCTTACCATCAAATCCTGCTCTGCAGTAGATTCAGTCACATGTGGAATTAACACCATTCTTCTGGCCTCAGTTTCCTCAGCTGTAAAGTGAGGAGGTCATAGGAGATTATCTCTGGGACCCTTCTAGCATCAACATGTTGCTAGATCAAAATCCTTAAATACATGAGGCTTCCATAATTCTTCCTCTGTTTCAGCTCTCTTCTTGATCCTGGGCTTTACAGCTAATGGACTGTTAGTCGATCTCCTAAAATAATATAAAATTCTATTGAATTGGTAACAGTTCTTTGATTTGCCCTAAAGCTTCTGCAGCCCTTAGAAACCTCGCAATCTATTTTTTTTTTTCATTCCTACCTTGGCTCCTTTACGAGAAGTCTTTAAATTGTATCTTTAGCTGACTGAACTCTAATTACTTTCCTTCTTTTCTTCATCGTCACTTAACCTTCTTCACTCTTGGTTTCTCTTTTTAACTCATCCAGTGCTCTTCTTTAAAGAACCACTCTTTTTCTTCCTTGATTTTATACTCACCCCCACACACATTACAGAGGTCTCTTCAAAGACCTAGAGAATGTGGTTGTTAATTCATGTAGTGCTACTGAGATTTCCTTTAAAAAAAAAAAAAAAAAAAAAGCCTAATGAGGCCTTCTGCGAATGCATGTGAGGCAGCTAAAAAGTGCCCAGACCAAAAGCCAGAAGAAAGGGATCAAAATTCCAGCTCCTTCACTTATTAAGTAGCTGCAAGGTCCTGAGAAAATGGCTTACCATTCTTGAACTAGAGTTTTTTGAAGATACAATATCACCATAGTCATTTATTCAAGCAACATGTGTGAGATAACATTATATGAAAAGGTATTCGGTAGGCCCTCTGTAATATTAGTTAAAATCTTCATCCTCTCCTTAACATGTTACTTTGCTTGTGCTCTTATATGTCACGTAATCTCTGACCTCCATTTCTTTGTAAACGATGTTCCTTTCTGTTTCATTTCACCATGCTTTCTGTCTTCTCCCCCTCCTTAGTTCTCCCTCCTCCCCTTCTTCCACAATTTTGCACCCCAATACTCATTCCTTTTTTTTCTTTTTTATTTTCCTTGAGACAGAGTCTTGCGTTGTCACCCAGGCTGGAGCACAGTGGAGCAATCACGGCTCACTGCAGCCTTGAACCCCCAAGTTCAACCCATCCTCGCCCCTCAGCCTCTTGAGTAGCTGGGACCATAGGCACGTGCCACTACACCTGGCTAATTTTTTTTAACTTTTTGTAGAGCTGGGGTTCTCACTGTGTTGCCGAGGTTAGTCTCAAATTCCTGGCCTCAAGCAATCCTCCAACCTCAGCCTCCCAAAGCGCTGGGATTACAGGCCTGAGCTAGGGCACTCGGCCTCAATTCTGCTCTTTAAGAATCAACATATCTCTGGAAATGTATTCCCTTTGTCCTCCCATCCTCAGCAGGCAAAGTGGCTCCCCTCTGATTCTCTCCCAGCTCTTAAGAGATGCCTGTTCTTCCTATCTCTGTGTCTGACACTATTCACACAGTATTGCAATTGTTGGTTTACTCATTAGTCAACTCATTTCCTTGTGGGCATACACTGATTTATCTTTGTGTCCTCAAAAATCTAGCATAGCACATATTAGACCATCAATAAATGCTAAATAAAGAAAATAAATATTTCTCCTGAGTTCATAATTTTAGCCTCAGTATTTTGTTTCCTTCTTCTTTAAGGATTCTTTTTCAGCACTCAGGACCAAAACTTTAGGGGCCTTCTTGAGAAACTCAGCCAAGAAAGAAACAGCAAGGAAGAATATGTATCACTGCATCTCATTAAGTAGAAAATATCCTAAGGGGAATATAACAGAGAAATAACTGTATTATAAAAGCAAAGAGGAGACCTCAAAAGAAGCTTTTCTTATTATTGTTATTATAATTAATGGAAAGAAATTTGGCAGGATCCACCAATTTTAAGGGACAAGGGATGTCGTGGGAGCACTATTAGCAGTGGAGCCTCACCTCTGTTTCCATCATACTGTTCAGCCAGTCTGTAAAAGTACATCAAATATACATAGGCATCATAGAGATGGGGAACCAACTCGCAGTTAATGAATTCTGAAGGAAAACCTGGAAGTGTGATAAAAGGGTAGTAGATTTAATCTTGAAATCCAGAGAGGGAGCAGTATGTCTTTCTTTTTCTCTTTTACATAGAAGATAGAACATTCCCAAATCTCTGAATTTTCGGTTATTCTCCTTTAGTGATTAAAAAACAATCACTTTATTCAGAAGGCATTTTCAACTATGTGCACACACGTATGTACCAGGTACTCTCAGAACCACTGTGTAAGAGGTCTTCATGCTGGGCCGAAGATACAACTTTGCTGTGGGCTGGAAAGAGAAACAAAATCAAGTACGAGAAGAACCCAGGCGGATTCACACACACCACAAAACTATCCCACGTGGTCAGCAAGCCTGTCGGCTGCCCTGAGAAGTTTTGCAGCATATGAAAGCTGTCCCATGTCCCAGATGAAGGATGGCAAGTCTTGCCCAGTATGGCCAGGTTATACAAAATAGACCCAGTGAAAGGAAAATGTCATTGAAATCTACTTCAGGCATAAATTGAAATGCTTGTGTCTTGACCGGCCAGAAGGTATTTTACTTTGAGAGGTCTCACACCAGCCTTTGCAGCCTCTCCACACCACCCCATGCTCCAGCCCCCACTGACTTCATGCCATTCTCTCAACACACCTGACCCATCCAGGATTCTGATTCGCTGGCCTAGTTTGTCTTTTCCCACTTTCTTTCTCTACCTCCAATATCAGTTTCCACTGATTCCCTCAGGCTCTCATAAAATTCTCAACACAATCACCATGTTGTTTACCATATTTATGGAAATTACATGTTTACGAGCTTGCCTCACCCACTAGGCATAGACATCTTAAAATAGTAATCATGATGTTTCATTTTGGTAACTTGGCTCTTAGCACATTTAATGAAACATAGTAGGGTTTCATTAAATGTTTACCGAATAAATGAATTTTACTTAGTTATACTTTGTTTCTTCAAATACAAAATGTAGAGCTGGAACTCTATTGTCTACAAAGCAGTGTGGCTCTGATATGCTAGAATTCTGCAAAATTATTTCAATAGTCATGGAGACAAAGAATTTAGGGTTTATAGACCAAAAAGACACAAATATTTACTGAATACAAGCTGTTTAACTGATAAAATAGGACCACTGCTTGCCTCTGTTCCACAGTTCTGCTTCTTGAGACATTCCATGAGGGAATTTTCTCTGGGAACTCCTGACTTCACTCAGGATTGCATCTCTCTCATGGGATATCTCAACCAAAAACTAACGTGCAGCTGGCTGCTCCTTAGAAAACAGTAGACACAAGTGGGTCCTGGCATGTGAAATCTGGCCTGGTTAGGTATGTGGCCCAGACCCCTAAGCCATGTCAGCATCATGGTATCGCAGTGCTATGTGAATGGGTAGTACAGACAGAATTGAGGGCCAGGTCAGAAAAGGACTTTGATGTCAAACAAAAAAAGTAAGTACTCAAAAGCTGCACACCTTGAGTCTGGGAATGCAACCACTATTTTACATTATTTCAAATAATTAGCAAAATGAAAGTGGGACAACCAAGGACTATGTGTTTTTCCAATTGCAGTTGTGAAAACTATGATCCGTATCACCTGGAAAATGTCCCATTTATAGAAATAGAAGAGCTCATCTGCAAAAATTTCATTAGCTTTGCCTGAATATGAAGGGAAATTTAGCAGGATTCCTCATAGTGTGAGCTGTGTCCCCGCTGTATCCAGAGAGTCTGGATCTAATTTAAGCCCACCAACTGTTTACAGTGTGGCTTTGGTCAAACTCTACAGTCTCTAAGTCTCATCTGTAAAAGGGGGACAATAATTATACTTCTCTCATTAGGATGTTTATGAAGAGTGCAGCAAATAATGTAAGTCAAGTTCATAGTCCAGCATCGATAGTCTCAGACATTGTAGGCATTCAATAAATGGTATCTATATTTTAGCATGATATTTTCTTGCCCAATCCTCTTGTCTTAAACATAAGCAATCTGAGGAACAGAAAGTCCAGAAAGTTGCCCAAGCTCACACAACTCATAATTCATAATGACATAGCTGGAGCTAGATCTCTAGTCCAGGCTATCCCACGTGGTCAGCAGAGTTCTTTATATTGCAGGAAAGTCCTGCACTTCCATCAGCAAGTCAACTCCAAGAATCAATTTTTACATGCTTTGGAAGCACACTACCCAATGACACACAGAAAGGTAAAGAGATGGGCCACACACCATCTGTCCTCTAGACTCCCTTGAGGAAACACTGCCATTTAAAGGGGATAGCCCTGCATTTCTAGTCCCTTGTCTGCCACTGGGAAAGGCTCGTGATCTTGTACAAGCCACTTAAATTCTCTGAACCTCAACTTCCTCGACTATGAAATGAAAATAATGATGCATGCCTGCTCTCACCATCCCCAAAGGTTTAATAAATATTGTGGTGGGCTGCTAATGGCCCCAAAATACCAGGTTGTGATCCTAGAAGCTGTAAATGTTACTGTATTTGTCCATTTTCATACTGCTGTAAAGAACTGTCTGAAACTGGGTAATTTATAAAGAAAAGAGGTTTAATTGACTCACAGTTCAGCATGGCTGAAAACTTACAGTCATGGTGGAAAGTGAAAGGGAAGCAAGGCACCTTCTTCACAAGGCAGCAGGAAGAAGAAGTGCTGAGCAAAGGGGGAAGAGCCCCTTATAAAACCATCAGATCTCATGAGAACTCACCATCACTGCAACAGCATAGGGGAAACCACCCCCATGATCTAATTACCTCCACCTGGTCTCTCCCTTGACATGTGGAGATTATGGGGATTATAATTTGAGATGAAATTTAGGTGGGGACACAAAACCTAACTATATCAGTTATCTTATGTGAAGAAATGTTTTTTAAAGATGTGATTAAATTAAGAATCTTGAGATATGATGATATGAAGATTATTCTAGATTACCTGGGCGGGCCCTGAATGCAATCACATGTATCCTTCTAAGCAGAAGGCACTGGGAGATTAGACACACACAGAGAAAAGTGGGTGATGTTAAGAGGAAGGGCAGAGAGGTTTGAAAATGCTGGCCTTGAGTGGTGCAACCACCAGCCAAGGAACAATGACGGCCACCAAAAACCAAAAAAGACAAGGAACAGATTCTCCCCGATGGCCTTCAGAAGGAACACAGTCCCGCTGATGTCCTGATTTCAACCTACTTATACTGGTTTACAATATTTACACTCTCCGAAGTTTGAATAGAAATGTTACAGTCACCTCTACATATCTAGCATGCACAAAATTGAAGCCCTGATATTTTTGAATGAACCTGACACACAATTGTGCATAAGAATCATCTGGGAAGCTGCTCAAAGGACAGATCCCTATGTCCCATCCTGCAAGAGATGTTGCTTCAGTAGCTGGAATGGAGCCCCTGGAATCAGCACCCAGAGTGAATCTGGATACAGCAGGGACACAGCCCATACTATGTGGAATCCTTCTAAATTTCCCCTCATATTCAGGAAAAGCTAATGAAATTTTTGCAGATAGGCTCTTCTATTTCCATAAATGGGACATTTTCCAGGTGATATGGATCATAATTTTCACAACTGCAAATGGAAAAACATATAGTCCTTGGTTGTCCCATTTTCAATTTGCTAATTATTTGAAATAATGTAAAATAGTGGTTGCATTCCCAGACTCAAGGTGTGCAGCTTTTGAGTACTTACTTTTTATGTACTTAGGCACTTATGCCAATTAATGCCTCATGGTTAAAGTTTTAGACTGACTGACTGACTTACTACAGAGATCAGTAAGGAAGAGGTGTGAGAGACACAGGATAAGGGAAGCAAGACAATTATCTGGAAAGAGTCACAGAACTCAGAAGTTTCCCAAACTCAAATTTTAAAGAAACCTTCCCTCTCACAGTACGATGCATTTAGGACAACACCCCTCTTGGAAAAAGAAAAGGAATCTTTGTGTTGGGGGCCTCATTCAAACCTTTTGTGAATTTATCAGCCCTTCAGCCATACTTAAGGAATGATGGCTTGTATTAGAGCAAGCTAGAGGGGTAGAAGTTTTGGAGTCTTTCAGAAACACAGCCATTCCTGAAAGGGATCAGGACTCCAACATTTAGGGTACTGAGGAAAGAAAGGAAAGGGGGTAAGAAAAGGGTGAATACAATGACTTTTTTACTTTACAATTGTGCCTAAGATCCTGGAGGCTGCCTGTGAGCCACTAATCCTTTGTTGCCTTCGGAGATCCATTCTGGGATGATATCAGTGGAAGAAAAGTTCATGCTTCTTTGTGCTAGACCTGGAGGCACACAGATGAATCAAAAGCAGTGACTGTATATGCAGATGTTTATAGCAATATTTATTCATTCTAGCCAAGAGGTGGAAATGACCCAGAGGATCACCAACAGACAAATGAATAAACAATATGTGGCATATCCAAACCATCGAATGTTATTAGGCTGTAAGAAGGAACGAAGTACTGATACATGCTAAAATATAAACCTTGAAAACATGCTAAGTAAAAGAAGCCAGTCATAAAACATGAAATACTATACGATTCCATTCATATGAACGTCCAGAATATGGAAATCTAGGGAGACAGAAAATAGATTAGCGGTTGCTTAGGGATGGGGTGGGGGATAGAAGGGTGATAGCTAAGCATATGGGGCTTCTTTTTGAGGTGATGAAAATGTTCTAAAATTGACTGTGGTGATGGTTGTCTATATCTGTGAAGATAATAAAAATCATTGAATTTTATGCTTTAAATGTGTGAGTTGTATGGTATGTAAATTATATATTAATAAAGTGATCTTTTAAAAAAAGAAACAAACCATTGCTGTCTTCAGGGAGCTCATGTGGGCTCCCCATCCTAGAGGTATTGGTTATTGGTATAAAAAATCATTTTCAAAAAGTCAGCTTTTTATGACTTTTGGATGCCATTGTATCTACACAAACACTTGGGTGAGTTCGTCTATCTCTGTTATTTCACAGGAACAATTCAGCTTGCTCTTTGGCAAATACTAGAATATGAAGAAGATAGATTTTCTGACACTTCAATCCTAACATGTCCAGAAATGAACTCATTATGTCCCCCTGGGCACCCATTCCTCCTCCTTTATTCTTTGCCTGCCACCGATGCAGCTGCCAAGCAGAAGCTAGACATCATCCTGGATTCCGTCCTCACTCTCTCTGCCCTCATCCAAGCAATTGCTGAGTCCCATCAAGCATTTCTGGTAACCACCCAGCCAGCCAGTGAACTTCTGCTCATCCTTTCTGCCACTGCCAATGCTCCAGGTGAGACCACTGGCATCACCTATCTAGACTATTTGAAAGCTCCCCAGCTGGTTTTACCTGCTCCCATCCATTCCCCCACAGCAGCTAAAACACAAACTGGACCATTTCGCCTTCTTGCTTGCTTCCCTTCAATTGCCCTCAGAGTTAAGTCTGATCATTTGAATGTGTTTTACAAGGCTCCTCCTGTAGCTTCACTCTTCACTTATCATTGCAGAACCCACCTTATATTTCCCATGGCCCTCACTTCCGCCTTCCTCACTGTCCTTGAGTTTGTCAAGTGTTCCATGCTTTCTCTAGCTTTGAGGCCTTCCCAGATGCTCTTCACTTTGGAATATGCATGGCTCCCCACAGCTTCTACCCTTTCAACCCCTACATTCTAGTGTGACTAACTACAAGTTGTCTTTCTCTCAGCTTCATGTTATTTTTTTCCTCCACACCTTCTCAGAACCTCCTTCTCACTCCTGCCCCATGCTAAGTAAGATGGCTCTGTTATGTTACTAAAAGTATTTGAACACTTAATACACAGTATACTTGATTGTTCATGTGTCTGTCCTTACCAGTAATATGTGATTCAAGGCAAGGAATTAATTTGCTTTACTCTTCATTGTTTCTTCAGAGTCTAACAAGAGCCTTGCATATAGTAGGCACTCAACAAACACATGGTGTTATCAAGTCTTTTTTTTTTTTTTTTTTTTTAAGAGACAGGGTCTCGCTATGGTGCCAAGGCTGGTCTCAAACTCCTGGGCTCAAGCAATCCTCCCACCTCAGCCTCCCAAAGTCCTGGGATTATAGGAGCGAGCCACTGCATCCAGCCTGACTCTTAACCAAGGTAGTCTGGTTTCTGTCTATACGAAGCTATGAAATCAAAAAAAATGCAGAAGGTCTATTATCATTGACTGTGTTCATAATCACCACTAATACAGTGACTTGATAACAGAGACAAAGGACTTTGTATAGAGGGAACCAGTCTATTTCATTTCATTTTAAATTATATGTATGTAATTATAAGCCTCACACAAAATGTGTATTCTGAATGTACTCAATTTAATTTCAATTTTACAACAAAAGCATCCAGGGTTGTTAAATAATCCCATAGAGTTTTTGCCTTGATAATAACATCAAGACTGAGTAGCAAACTGCAAGGAAGAAAAAAATAACCCTCACTGATTTCTTTTATGTCCATTTTTTAAAATTCAAGACTAACCGACACCAAGGGGCAACACATTAACATTTTTTGGTAGACAATAAGGGATCTTTCATGGATACAGGACTGAGTTACTTATTACTGTATTGAATTTCCAAGCACATTGCTCCTTGGTGATTTCTAGCTCTTAATGTGTTGACTTTCTGCTTGGGCCACAGCTTACAGAATTCCACTTCACATAGCACCATACAAGGTTTACCCTTATTTTATGTAATTCTACATTCTATAATATTTCCAATGAGGGGATGAACAAGGCTGTGTGCCCCTTTTTGTCAGATCATATCTCCTATCCAGTGGATTCTTCAGAAAGAAAAAAAGCATATGGTAACATCCAGTCTTTATGAAATCTATGCTAAATGTTGATGATAAAGCACATTTTCTGAATACTTGCCACCCTCGTCTTTGACATGGCTAGCAGGCAGGTGATCTAAGGGGAAAGTCAACTTTGTGTGTCAGATAGATGTCTGGGTTCAAATTCTGACTCTGTCCCTTATTAGTTGCTTGAACTTGGATAGGTTAATGCTCTGAGTCTCAGTGTCCCTGTTTCCAAAATGACTATAATGATAGGTACCAAATATGGCTCTATAATCATTTTAAAACTTAGCCTAGTGATAATATCTACCAAGAGTGAGAATCTAGTGTCATTTATTAAAAGTTATCCATATAATCTTCCAACCACTCAAATATGAGAAAATTAAATGGATTAAGATGTGTAACAGACATGGAATTTAAAAGGTACGGAATAGCTTTCCTGCCTTTCACTCTCTTTCCCCAGAAAGAGTGCAGTCTTAGAGTGAAAAAGCCAAGTTCCCTAACACTACAGATGCAAATGAACACCAGTGCCTGACACATTAAATGCCAGTCCAAAGTGTTGTCCTACATCTGACAAAGTACGGGTGGGAATAGGATCATTCAGATAAGATTTGGCTCATTTTTAGCAAAAGTTGACACAGCCAGGCCTTGTAAGCAGCTGCCATATTCAAAGGAAAATTTACAAGATGAAGAAAATAAACCTTAGGAAATCACTTGAAAGTATTCAATGTTTGTAAAATACAGTTACTGAAACCACTCAGAGAGGTGATTTTTAAGTGAACTACGTATATCATACCAACACTTAAATATATTATTTTCAGCCCTCAAATTTTTAAAATCCAAAATAAAATTTGCCTTTGTTTTGAAATTATCCAGACATAAATTGTGGTGAAGCAAAAGAAAAGCAGTAAGACAGTTTTATATTCATCTTTGTAATGCGGCTTCAAACCTTAAAATTGAGTTACCATGTTAAAACATTTTGAGTTGGAGAGTTTTTAAATTCAGTGGCTACATTCCTTGGCATTTAAGCTTAGTATGATTGCTAAGGCTTAATTCTTGTCAATGCCTATCTTATTTCTCATTTTTTGTCCTGGGTTTTATCTGTGGAGTTAAACATTCATCTATTAGAATTTTTTTCTCAAGTCCTGGCAATTCAAACCATTGCTTTAAAGAAATCATCAATGGTGTTGAATTTCCCTTTCAATGAATATGAATGAATATGTTCCATCTTCTGTTCCATTTATTGTTCCTTCAATGAATATGTCTCATCTTTTGCAAATATTTAATCCTTCTTTTAATGTTAAAAATTCTGGTCATGTAAAAAAGACAAATCAACCAGAGTCTCCCACTGATAAAGAAGGAATGATAGACATAGAATATTTCCATTTTGCAATTATAACGGGAAAAAAAAGAAAAATGAATGGATCTAGGCAATAGTCCTTGATTACTAAATTGGGAATGTATACAGATGGACCAGCCTGACAGTGCCTAAACCCACTGATCAGTCTTAACATCATCACCTAGAGAGAGGCAGGGAGATTGTAGATGCATCCTGATGTGATGCAATAGAATGCTCACCACACAACCTATGGAGGGTTCCTGCCAAACATTCTGATTTGACCACTTTTAGATCTCTAGTTTACAGGAAATAAAGATTGGTGGTGAATGAAAAGCAGGGAAATATGTTATGTGACATTATAGGATTCAAGCAGCACAATCAAGAGTATGAATAGTTTTGCAGGGCAAATGACCCAGTTTCATTAACACAAGCTTGTCCAACCCACAGCTGGCAGGCCACATGTGGCCCAGGATGGCCTTGCATGCAGCCCAACATAAATTTGTAAACTTTCTTAAACTATTAAGAGGTCTCTTTTTTTGCAATTTTTTTTTTTTTAGCTCATCAGCTGTCATTAGTGTTAGTGTATTTTATGTGTGGCCCAAGACAATTCTTCTTCTTCCAATGTGACCAGGGGAAGCCAAAAGATTGGACACCCCTACTTTAACCTAAAAATTGGAATGTCAAAAAAGAAGTGGGGTTACATTTGAAATTACTCAAGCAGTATAAACTATATGCAATTGTTGCTTTAGTGGGCCATTTGGACTCTGGTTTAAACAAATGACAAAATCAAGGAAATTTGAGTATCGACTGAATATTTAATGATATTAAGATATTGTGTTTTAGGTGCGATAATGGTATTTTATGTTATGCAATAGAAAAGTGACTTACCTTTTAGAGCTATGTACATTGAAGTATTTTCATATGAAATGACATGATGTCTAGAATTTGTCTCAAAATAATCCAAAAGGTCTTGGGGGAACAAGAAGGGTATAGATGAAACAAGTTTGTCTCTTTTTTGGTGATTCTTGAAGCCAGAGGGTGGGTGTATGACAGTGCATTGTACTCTTCTTCCCTCTGCTCTCCTATGTGTTGGAAATGTTCCATAATAAAAATAAATGAAAGATTAAAAAGAGGCCAGTATCTAGGAAATGTTTTGTCAGTTACTCTGTCTCTCTAACAAGGCAAACCAGGTCTCCATATCCAAATAAACATTCATATAATTATACCTATACTATATTATTTGGCATATACATTGTGTATATATATATATATAGTATGTGTGTGTATATTTATATATTTATATAATCACTAAGATGAAACTATAGCCCTATACACTTATAGAACTATTTCTTATTCTCTAATGCTCCCCTCCAATACTTCACTATATTCCATAAAGAGATAAATGGGTCATACATGAGATGTCAAAAGAAATTGCCTTCCTTTGCAATCATTTCCAACTTCCACTCAGTACAAAAATCCAAGTGAGTGCTAAAAGGGAAATGTCTTGTGACAAGGTCAGGCAAGACAGATGAGAAATATGGCTTGTGATGAAAAACTAACAGGTGCATGTTTTATTGGCATGATAAATGTGGAAAAACCAGATGTGGAATCCCATATAACATCAAACTAAACGTTTTAAAGTATATCTTTCCCTAAAGAAGCTTCCTTTTTTTTGTGGCTCCCATTCTTGTCATTCTGACTGCAACTTCTGCAAGTCTCTTAGGGACTAAGACAAAAGAGTTGTGGAGATTCTCTTTTTACAGGAAATTTATGGAATCCTGCGCCAGGACCCTGTTTCAAGTTAGCAAACCTTTTTGTTTGTTGTTGGGGGGAGAGAACAAGGTCAGACACCACCCTAGGGTTCTCTGCAGGGCTGCGAGTGTGTGTGAGCTAACCAGCAAGTGCAGAGCTAGAGCAGAGAAAACTGGCTCCACCCTCACAACAGTCCTGGAAGAAACAATGTAAGCAAGTTTGGGGGCTTTATTTTTTTATTTGCTTGTTTGTTTTTGCCATGCATTCTTGTTCTCATTTCCAGGAAAGCCCAAGTAACATGAAGAATCAACTAAATTTCCACTTTACAATGTATATGTATTTCAAAACAACATGTTGTACATGATAAACATATACAATTTGTATTTAATTTTAAAAGTTAATTTTTTTAAAAAATCAGCTAAATGTATGAAGTGGCTCTTAGTTTTTTCTGCAAAGTACAGAGTTATGAATAGAATATGTTCTAGCAAACAATGTATTCTAGCAATACATTGCTTTTGTCCCCAGTTCCTAGCAGAGTGCCTGGGACGTGCCACTCAATAAAGGATAGAATCGATGAACTCAGGATGCAGGGGGAATGGCTGTTAGGCCATTCCTATGGATAAATTGACAGGAAAATGTGTTAGGGATCCCTGCCCCAGATGCTCAGACTCCAGCCTTTTACAACTTACAACCAGATGCTCAACAAGTCTACGCAATTACACTCTGGTATAATTCTTCCTCTCCTCACACCTGGAGGATAAAATTTCATTGGCCCCTGTGATAGTTAATTTTATGTGTCAACTTGGCTAGGCCATGGTACCCAGTTGTTTGGACAATGGAAAAACACCAGTCTAGATATTACTGTGAAGGCATTTTTAATATGAGAGTAATATTTAAAGCAGTAGGCTTGGAGTAAAGCAGACTACTCTCTGTCATGTGGATGGGCCCATCTCATCAGTTGAAGGCCTCAACAGGCAAAAGACTGAGGTTCCCTAAGGAAAATGGAATTCTGCCTCCAGTCTGCCTTTGAACTCACGTCTTCCCTGGGTCTCAGCCTGCCAGCCCACCCTGCAGATTTTAGACTTGCCAGTCTCCACCATCACATGAGCCAATTCTTTAAAGTAAATCTCTCTTTCTCTCTCCCTGTCTCCCTACACAGACACACACACACACACACACACACACACACACACACCCTCTTGGTTCTATTCTGTTTCTCAGGAGAACCCCAACTGGTCTCCTACCTCCAGGCCTCTTCCCTATTCTTCCTATCTACTCCATTATCCACACAACCCAGAGTGATTGTGTATCTAAATGCAATCTGATAGCACTGTTGCCTCACACCGTACCTACCTGTCATCCTCCACCAGCTCCACAGGTCACACTAACCTTCCCCATGTAAACTAAGTCTAAGTCTCATTCCTTTTCCTGGGGCCCCTCAACAGGCCCTACATGAATCAAGTTCAATGCTCATCACCCAGGATTGTAGAACTATAATTGTTTACTTGAATGCCCCTCTTCTTGCCACATATCCCTATGGTACAAATGATCCCTGCAGACAGGTTTACAAGAAAAACTGGGCGGGATTACTTAAATACATGCTTAGAGTTTTCTTTAACAAATGAGTGCAGCCCAAATGCCTCCAGTGTTGAGAATATTAGATTGCTATCTTGAAGAAAAAATTAAGCTGACTGTAGTAATATTGGGGAAATCCTGCAGTATTAAAATTTTAAAAGATCCTGCTAGGACTCATTTTTGTCAAGACCCACCATAAAGTATGCTCAAGCTTGTATATTTTTGCATTTGTCAGTACTGCTAGATAGTAAATTAACCTGATGCTCAAAGCAGCTCATCAAGACACTTGAGACTTGATGCTGTCTTGGCATGTATAGACCAGGTCCATGTATAGTCATATGTCAGGCAGAGACAGGCTTGCCCTCCACCAAAAAGGTGGAGACTCCAGGCACAGCCTTTCCCTGAAGCTGGGCAGAGCTCAACAGAGAGAGCAGGCCCCACATTAGCCTAATTATGGACAATGGGAAGACAGAAAAGATTGGGACTAGCCAGCACAATATTGTCAATACTCTCCTATATAATAAAACTTAAAATCTCCAGAATCTTCTTTATTTATTTATTTTTTTTTTTTTTTTTGAGACTGAGTCTCGCTCTGTCACCCAGGCTAGGGTGAAATGGCCCGATCTCGGCTCACTGCAACCTCTGCCTCCCAGGTTCAAACGATTCTCCTGCCTCAGCCTCCTGAGTAGCTGGGATTACAGGTGCACGCCACCATGCCTGGCTAATTTTTGTATTTTCAGTAGAGACGGGGTTTCACCATGTTGGCCTGCATGGTCTTGAACTCCTGACCTCGTGACCCACCCGCCTCGGCCTCCCAAAGTGCTGGGATTACAAGCATGAGCCACTGCAACCGGCCAAAATCTCCAGAATCTTCTAACACTAATCCTTTCTACAAATTGCCATGGAGAAACTGTAGCAGGCTAGTTAACTACTAAAATACGCTTAACACATTACTGTTTATTACAGAATAAAGCCCCATAGTTCTCAGCCTAATACTCAAGACTGTGCACTTTCTTTTCTCACTAGAACCATCCAGTTTTATTTCCTCACCCATGATTCTATCCCTTCTTCAAGATCTGTCTCTTCTCCATGAAGCTCTTTAATTTCAGACAGTATTGCTCTTGTCTTGTCTCTGAAAATCTATTGTACTTACATGAAAAAGAGCACATAATTACACACTGTCAAGTAGTGTTTAACTGATCAATGATTTAAGTGTGTATGCATGTCTTAAATAACATCTAAATCAGAAACTCTTTGAGGGCAAGGGCAATCTAGTATTAAGAACACCAAATTAAGAATTAGCCTAGACCAGCTCTGTGACTTAACTTGTGCTGTACCCTTGAGCAATTGATTTGAAACCTATTTTAGTCATGTGGAAATACCATGCATATCCTAAAGACCTCTCAGAGTTGTTGAGGATCAGAATAATAATTTTTTTCTTTTTCTTTTTCTTTTTTTTTTTTTTGAGATACAGTCTCACTCTGTCAACCAGGCTGAAGTGCGGTGGTGTAATCTCTGCTCACTGCAACCTCCAGCTCCCAGGTTCAAGCGATTCTCCTGCCTCAGCTTCCCAAGTAGCTGGAACTACAGGCACCCACCACTACACCCAGCTAATTTTTGTATTTTTAGTAGAGATAGGGTTTCACCATATTGGTCAGGCTGGTCTCAAACTCCTGACCTTGTGATCTGCCCACCTCGGCCTCGCAAAGTGCTGGGATTACAGGCATGAGCCACTGCACCCAACCCAGAACAATTTTTAAGTGCTAAAGTACTTTACTAATCAAAAAATATTGTGTACTTTTGTGAGATATCAGTATTAGCCAAATATAGATTGCTTGTTATGTGTGTGTATATACATATATATATATATAGCTAATACTAATATATCTCATATATGTACATACATGTACACATAGGTATTGCAGCCTGACAATGCAATAGAACAGAAAATCCCATTTTCTGAGCAGAAATTCAAGCCATTTCTCCCATTTAGAATGGCTGTATTTACTCAATGCCTGTACCCCCATTGTATCTAGTAAGTAACTAACTTGCTTTTGATTTTACAGGCTGAGAGGCAGAAGGGACTTGCCTTGTCTCAGATAAGATGTTGGACTGTGGACTGTTGAGTTAACACTGAAATAAGTTCAGACTTTGTGGGACTCTTGGGAAAGCATGACTGATTTTGAAATGTGAGGATATGAGATTTGGGAGGGGCCAGGGGGGGAATGATATGGTTTGGTTGTGTCCCTACCCAAATCTCATCTTGAATTGTAACTCCCACAATTCCCATGTGCTGTGGGAGGATCCCAATGGGAGGTGATTGAATTATGGGGGTGGCTCTTTCCTGCGCTGTTCTTATGATAGTCTCATAAGATCTGATGAGTCTCATAAGATCTGATGGTTTTAAAAATGGGAGGTTCCCTGCACAAGCTCTCTCTTTGCCTGCTGCCATCCATGTAAGATGTGACTTGCTCCTCCTTGCCTTCCTCCGTGATTGTGAGGCTTCCCCAGGCACGTGGAACTATAAGTCCATTAAACCTCTTTATTTTGTAAATTGTCCAGTCTCAAGTATGTCTTTTTCAGCAGGGTGAAAATGGACTAATACAGGTATATAAATATGTAGATGACATAGATAATCATACATACATATGAATATATAAATATTTTATATAGTACATACATATATACATATACTCATATATACATATTCTTATATTAAATGTTATAATTACTATACAGCAAACTATCTGAAATCTAATGTTTGAAATTAGCCACATGTTGTTTTCTATTTTTTTCAGCTTAATAGCTGTAGAACATCATCATCAACTTCAAGTCAAAGGCTAACATTTTACCTGACAGAGAAAGTTCTTGATCAAGGTTTGATTAATAAAGGAATCCAATGAAAACAGTTTAGTTATCTGCAATGTTCTGAAACCATAAACATGAAAGACAAGCTGGTAAATTCTAAACCACCTTGCAGACTCTCTAAAGTGCCATGGTCTCATTATTGAAGAAACTAAAAACATGTACCACTTGACACTAAAGAAATCCAACATCACTGTTAGAAATAAGAGAATTGAAATTGTTAATGCTCTCACTTCCTTGAGAGAACAATGACAGATTATGTGTTACATTCAAAACGGAAAATTATATCAATAGGCCAGGATGTCCTTTGGGAGAATGGCTGACAAAGCATAGTGTCAACATGCTTTCATCTCCAGACTCAGATTAAAGGTCAATAGCATACAAGATGTGTTCAGTGTGGTATATGACAATGGGACTGGAGGCTGCCACAGATGAGACATATAGCTTTTTCAACAATCTCATCAGAATCCCCTTTGTGCCATAATTCACATCAAATATAAAGTTGGAGATGGCAGCAACGTGGCCCTAGAGTCACACAGTCTGATTTCATTTAAGTCACTGCAACTAGAAATGAGACCCATTGTCCTCAATATATGCAGAAAGATAGATGAGTAAGAAGGACCTCAAACAGTTCTAAAGGGCAAGCTGGGGGAAAGCAGAAGTCCTATGTCTCCTGCACAAGAAGAACTCCCAGTAAAACAAGTACCTACTGTTTGATGAGTAATGGGGCTAACTACTGGGAATAAGAATAATTCAGATACAGTATAACTTATGCCTCAGAGAAGATCTCAGTCTAGAAGGCAGGACAGAAATATTTACCAAATCATTTCTATTAAACATGCTAAGTGTCAGATAGAGATAGGGGGTCCCAGCAATACAGAAGGTTGAATTAAGTCACTTAGCAGTAGTGATGATAGGGGCACTGTCTTGGACTGGCCAAGAGTGAATCAGCAACAGGAACTTCAAGCTCTTCAAGGAATGGCTGCTGCCAAGATCTCCATGAGCCCCCCTAGTGGGAAACAAACATCAGAAAGCTGTAGACTTTTATAACCATCTGGTTACTTATGGAGTTTACATTTAAATTTAGTGAGTATCTCCTGAGTGCCAAGTACCAGGCTGGCCATGTTCATTAATATTTGTTTATCTTTTCTGGCTCACAGACTCAACTGCCAGTGTTATACATTAGTCAAGAGGATGAATTGTAAATAAATAACTAGGTAAAATAAATGATTATGGTATAATATAGCTGATTTGATATTCACATCAAGACTCAGGAGATGAGAATTATTAGCTCCATTCTATAGATGAGAAAATTGTGCCCCAGTGGGTAAGTGATTGCCCAAAGTCTGTTGGGCTAATAGCAGAGACAGAACATCATTCAGCAGATTTCCTGGCTCAAGTTCAGAATGCTTTCACTGAAAGTACCCTGATCCTCAGCAAACATTTCAGCAACTTCTGTGTCTTCTTGCCACTTTGTACTATCAGTGTCTTAGCTTCAGCTGTGATAACAAAGCACCATAGACTGAGTGGCTTAAACAACAGAAACTAATTTTCTCATAGTTCAGCAGGCTGAGAAATCTAAGATCAAGGTTCTGGCTGATTTCTTCCTGGTGAGGACTGTTTTCCTGGCTTATAAACAGTAGCCTTTTCATTGTGTCCTCAAGTGGTGGAGAAAGACTAGAGAGATGTGTCTCTCTTTCTCTTCTTCTAAGGCCAGGGTACTACTGCATTACAGCCCCACTCTTAGAACTTCATTTAACCTCGGTTACCTTCTAAAGACCCTGTTTCCAGATATGGTCACATTAGGGTTGAGGAATTCAACATACAAATTTGGGAGTAGCGGATGGGGACACAATTCAGTCTGTAGCAATTGGCTCCTTGGGAACTATTAAGCCCCTTAAAACCATCTTCACTTCCCAGGGACAGACTTTTTTCTTCAAATCTGGCTTTCAACCCTTTTCCCATCAAAGTTACTCTCTCGGGACTATTCCCTCATGTTTCTCTATTCATAAAGCCCACCCTTGGAATACCATCTTCTAAAACTATTTTTGCATGGTAAGCTGAGTAGGTCTATTTTTCTCCTTTCCCACTTGAGAACCCAATATACTTATGATCAAGGAAAAAATAACAACTAAAGGTGGGAGGCCATGAGGAGATGAGAAATTTTGCAAATTTGCAAATATTCTGTAAGCTGGAAGCTTTTATTTATTATTTATTTATTTATTTATTTATTTATTTATTTATTTTGACAGAGTTTTGCTCTTGTTGCCCAGGCTGGAGTGCAATGGTGTGATCTCAGCTAACTGCAACCTCCACCTCCCAGGTTCAGGTGATTCTCCTGCCTCAGCCTCCAGAGTAGCTGGGATTATAGGCATGCACCACCACACCTGGCTAATTTTTATATTTTTAGTAGAGATGGGGTTTCACCATGTTGGTCAGGCTGGTCTTGAACTCCTGACCTCAAGTGATCTACCCACCTCAGCCTCCCAAAGTGCTGGGATTACAAGAGTGAGCCAGCATGCCTGGCAAGCTGTAAGCTTTAAAATAAAGCCACAGCCTCCTTGATGTGAGAGGCACAGCAACCAAGGAGGCAGATGATCTGCCCAGCAGAATCCTCATGTGGTGCAAGGCACAAAGAGGGCTATTAAGAGGGAGGGTAGGAGTGAGAAGAGGGGAAGAGAAGAGGGAGCTAATTTGGAATGGAGCTACCTCTGACCTCACTTTTTCATCCACGTATACAGAATGAGTCAAAGCCACAGATTTCATCCAGTCATAACAAAACTGTAGGCCACTCTCTAAATAAATTGAGCAAATTATCTGAGAAGACTTATGTTGGCTGATGTGAGTTTTTGTGTCTCAGATAAAATTATTGGACATCTTGACACTCATGCTTAGTTTACAGTGTAGTCTGCCAGGTGGCAATCCCTGACCACATATTCAGAACTCCCAGGCAGCTTCTCTGTAGCCTCATTCTTTAATACAAATAGAAAGGCAAGACATTTGAGAAAAGCCAGAAATATGAAGGAGAGCTACCAAGATAATAGAAATAGGAAGAAGAGAAAAACAGAGTCAGCAGAGATAATTTAGGACCTTCAAGGAAGTTTCTCAATACTTTAATTTTTACCGCAGTGATTTGGTATCATAATTGTGTTAGTCTGAGCTGCTACAACAGAATACCATAAACTGGGTGACTGAAATGACAAACAAGTAATGTGATTTCAGAAAGAGAGAACTACATAAAGAAAACAAAGCACAGTGTTTGGGGACACTTGGGTTTTTGTCTTACCAACTGTGAGATTTCCTATACCTTTTTCATTAATTTCTAAAATGTTTTATGTTGGCAATCATAGTTTTAGTTTCCAAAAGCTCCTTCTTATTCTTTTTTCAAGAATACCTGTTTTTGGCTGGGCGCAGTGACTCACGCCTGTAATCCCAGCACTTTGGGAGGCCGAGGCGGGCGGATCCCGAGGTCAGGAGATCAAGACCATCCTGGCTAACACGGTGAAACCCCGTCTCTACTAAAAATACAAAAAAATTAGCTGGGCACGGTGGCGGGCGCCTGTAGTCCCAGCTACTCGGGAGGCTGAGGCAGGAGAATGGCGTGAACCCGGGAGGTGGAGCTTGCAGTGAGCGAAGATTGCACCACTGCACTCCACCCTGGGCAACAGAGTGAGATTCCGTCCCAAAAAAAAAAAAAAAAAAAAAAAAAAAAAAAAAAGGAGAGACAGCGAGGGCTTGCTTTCTCTCTCTCTGTTCCCTAACGCATGAGGATATAAGAAGTCAACCATCTACAAACCCGGGAGAGGGCCCTCATCAGAGCCCAGCCATGACGGTACCCTAAGCTTGAACTTTCAGCCTCCAGAATTAGAAATTTAAGAATTCTAAAAATAGATAGGCTGGCCTAAAAGCAACCCATGGGGTATGAGTAGAGAAAAGTACATTGATTAAAGGAACAACAATTAGACTGATACCAGGCTTTTCATCAGCAACATTGGATTCTGAGCAACAGTAAAGTGGGAAGACATTTTTGCCATTGAGCAGTAGCACATCAGAGTGAAAAACGTGAGCACTGACTCTGCAGCCAGCTGCCCGTGCTCAAATCTGGTTCCTACTTAATAGCCATGTGACCTTGAACAAATAACTTCTTTTTGCCTTAGTTTCCTTCTCTATAAAAGGGAGATTTTAATAACCCCTACTTCAATGTTGCTATTAGAACTAAATGGATTATTTTCATAAAAACACTTAAAACAGAAAATGTTGCAAAGTAAGTCCTACCTAAGTCATTGCTAAATAAATAAAAAACATTCCAGGACATAAGAGGTTTACTTCACTTGTACCCTTTCTTAGGAAATTACTTTAGGATGTATATGAGTCAAAGTAGTGATTTTGTTAGGATGCTTTTGGTAACGGGGAGCAGAATACCCAAGACAAGCTGACATAAAAAGAAGTAAGCCGATTCATTACTTTGCATAATGGTCGGGTTCGGGGAGTAGGCTAGAATTGTGGCGCAATGCAATCAGAGTTCCAGCTGTGCTCCTCAGTGGTTCTCTCAGTCAGTCTTCCCTGGATGTCTCCTCGAGTTGGCTTCTCTCCTGGTTATAAGATGCCTGTGATAAGCATTGGTGGCTACATGATACTTCAGTAACAGCCGGGGGAGGAGTATGACTTGCTTTAAACATTGTCCTAAAGTCATAGGCTTTCCACTGAGTAGGCCACCCTCATGTCCAGGGGGATGCACAGCCTGATTGGGTTAGACCTTTGAAGAGAGTTGGGGACATAGTCCCTAACAATGCCCTCAAATCTGACACCAATTGCAAGTTTGTGAGATTTTCAAGACTACCCTCAGTTTCAATAATTCTCTAGAAGGTCTCACAGAATTAGAGGAAAGCTGTTATATTCATGATTATTACAGGAAAAAGATATAGATTAAAATTAGCCACAGGAAAAGTCCAAGAGAGCTCCAGACTTAGAGCTCACAGTCATTCTCTTCCCATGGAGGCACCGACAGTGTTAACTCCTCTGGCCATGATATGTGACAATACACACAGAGTATTGCCAACCAGGAAAGCTCACCCAAGCCTTTGGTGTCCAGAGATTTTACTGGGGCTCTATCCAACACTGCCTGCATGGCTGAACATTAATTTCCAATCTTTTTAGAGGTCAGGCTGATCTTCAGTCTCTTCACAGGTTGGAACCGATATTAAGTGGCTTAAAGCCCCTTTCATAAATCACATTGCTAGACTGGCTGTCCAGTGGACAAACCCCCCATGCAAACCAAGACACTCCAATCAGGCAGGACATTCCAGGACCTAGAGATTGCTCCCCAGTGGCCAAGCACAAATGTCTTTGGATAAGGTTACTTCTTCACTCCACAACCTTGGTAGAGAACACTGCGAAGAGACTAAGAGGGACAGGATTATTTAGATTGATTTAAACCAATCGGGACCAACTACAGAAACTGGGATTGAAGTCAGTCCCTCTCAAACTGCATGGCTGCCACCCAATGGGGGTGAAGAGGATAAATATGTGAGCAACAATCACAATGACTAATAAGAGAGCAACAATCACAATGACTAATAAGAGAGCAAACCAAGGAGGGAGACGTGGAATCCAGTAAATGGTGCATCCAAGACAGGAGGGCAATGAAGGCAAGATTCAGGATAATGACTTTACAGCAGTGAAGCATGAAGTCCAGCCTGTAGCAAGGAGGTGGATGGTTTTAGAAGCACCAGAGATGAGAAAAAGGGAATGAGATTATTTCTAGAATAGGTAGGGGATCTGAAACATTGGAAGAACTTAGAAGATGAACACAGAGTGTAAGAGCAGAAACTCTGAAAAGGACAAAAAATTTTACAACAAAGGGCTGAAATCATAGCAAAGTGCTGCATTATTCAGCAGTGAATAAATATGTGGACATCATAACATAAATGCCACCAACTGACCTTCAACATTCAGAATCTTCCTTTCCATATATTCAACATGAGATTAATGTTTGACTATAGGACAGAATGCAAATGTTATCAACTTCAATAATGTAAAAAAGTACAGGATTCAGGTGAAAGAGAGAGATGGATATAGAAAGGTATGGAGTCACTAATATCTTTATCTTATGAAGTAGAAAGTCAAGAAAAATTATCTATAATTAGCGGAATAAGAAATAGAGTTTTGAAGGTAACCAACAGAGGAACTAAAGAGTGATATATTTATTCAGAGGAAGTGATGAATAGAGATGGGAATTTAGGTAAGCTAAATATGTAATCATGATAGCAAGAAGCCAATAGGAAATGTCTAAATTAGATACAATATCAAGAAACAATAACCATAAATTTGAAGACATAGGGGTTATTGCTAGAAAACAAACATTGAAAGCATCAAAAGTGGCATCCCAGATAGTGACCATGTAATTTAATATCTCAACTATGATACTTTGGAGTAAAATAATAGCAATAATAATTTACAGTAGGACAAACAAATCAGGATGCCCAGGATGTGTGACCTCCCTAGTTAAAAAGGAATATATATATATTTGAGACAGAGTCTTGCTTCTTTGCCCAGGCTGGAATGCAGTGGTGCAATCTCGGCTCACTGCAACTTCCACCTCCCGGGTTCAAACAGTTCTGCTGCCTCAGACTCCCAGGTAGCTAGGATTACAGGCACGTGCCAGCATGCCCTGCTAATTTTTGTATTAAAAAGGAATATTTTTAAGAGCTCTTTCTTTAGTAAAACCAACAGGACTGTCCTGAGAAACCATGGCAAAGGGGTGTTGGGGACTTTCTCAGCATTCAATATTTTTAACAATAGATATATAAATGCATAGTTTTTTGTATTTCAATAAATAGAAAAATTATTTTAGAAAATAAAAGCAGATGTAGGCCAAGGTGTTAAGGGCTCACTGTGACATCTCCTCCAAAATCTTAGCATTTTAAGAGAGATGCGGTATCTTAAATAGTAGCCATGCTATCTCCAAGTTGAGCTTTAGCTCACAAAATAAACATGACATAAATGTTCACCCATCAATCTTATTCAAAAATAGAAAGAACATTATTTTCATAATTTAAAAATATAAGTATGTTATACCTGAAAAAACTTATGAGAAAGTTTTTGAGATGAAATCCTGGATATTGGAAAAAATTCTTGCTTAGACTAAGGTTTGCTCATTTGCCTCTACTTTTAGATGCACTCTCTTTGGAAAGTTTGCAAATCCCCAAGTGAATGGATTGGAAATGCCTGTGGCAAGATGTTAGAGACAAATTTTAAAATGGGAGAGGAGAATAGGTAATATTCTGTGCACCTGCAGATCCCCCCATCAAGTTTCGTCCTCTAGCTGTTCTGCAGTTCACAATTGATGCCCTCTGTTCCAATGTGAACACAAATAGAGGTCACCCTTTCTGGAATGCCCCACTTACTGAATTTTCCAATTGCTGCTGGACTCCCTGTGAATGGTATAACCACCCAGCCACAAAGCTCTGGGTTACTAACAAAGCAGCAGAATTTCCTTTGCCAGTATGACAGGGAACCTGAATCATAAGGAAAATCTTTCTTTGGGGAAGTGATATGAAAATCAAGACTCCAGGGTGTGGTGTGGAAAGGACTCAGCAGCCTGGGAAGAAGGCACCAGAGACCTGGCATCAGGTCAGCAACTAGGAAGGGCACCCTAGGAAAACCAGGAGCTGACCAGAACACAGAGCCCACTTCTGCTGGGACCTTTCTGTTCCATGTGGGTGGTCACCTTCTCCAATGGAGTCAGTGTTTCCAGCTCGTTACTCCTCTCCCTGTCTGTTTCTCTCTCACCCTCCATCTATCTGCCACCATCTCTCATTTCTGCTCTGCTCCAAGTGCAAGCCTTAGTGTGGATAGACTTTTCCATGTGGTAGAAAATATGCTTGAAAGCAACCCTGGGATTATAATCTTTTAATGTCATAACCTTAGCCAAGGGTACTCACTACCAGTGTTGTTTATAAATCCTTGGGGAAAGATAGCTCAAGTTAGGTAATATGCCCACTTCTTGGGCTGATAACCAAGGTCAGGAGACTTAAGTACTATGATTGATCCTGGTTTTGGGGTAATGGAGCTTGCTACCAGAAAAAGTAGGTTACACCGATACTGCTGTGAGACCAGCAGCCACACCAATTTGAGCATATGTGAAGGCTCTACCATCTTTACATTTAGTTTTGTGTTCCATATTTCATGATATCCATACTCCAACATACAAGTTCAAACAGAAATCAGTTTGAAATAGCTAGATTTATGTTTTCCAAATTTATTGAGGTTGTATGTGTTTAAGGTATACAACGCAATGCTTTGATATAAATATATATTGTGAAAGGATTACCATAATCAAGTTAGTTAATATATTCGTTACCTCACATGGTTACTTTAAATGTACAATGCAGTATTATTAATTATAGTTACCATGTTGTATATTAGATCCCCACTTACGTATTTTATAACTGAAAGTTTGTACCCTTTGACCAACATCTCAATTTCACCACTTCTCAGCCTCTAGCAACTACCATTCTACTCTCTGTTTCTGCGAGTTCAACATTTTTAGATTCCACATATAAGTCATATCATACAGTATTTGTCTTTCTCCTGTCTGACTTATTTCACTTAGCATAATGCCCTCAATATTCATCCATGTTGTCACAAATGGCAGGATTTCCTTCTTTATATGGCTGAATAATACTCCACTGTGTGCATGGATAGGTATGTGTGTGTGTATATACCACATTTTCTTCATTCTTTCATCCATCCTTGGACACTGAGGCTGTTTCCATCTGCTGGTTATTGTGAATAATGCTGCAGTGAACATGGGAGTGCAGATATCTCTTCTGGAATACGTCAAGATATGCATTTCGTTTCCTTTGGATATATACTCAGAAGTGAAATTGCTGGATCATATGGTAAATCTATTTTTAATTTTTTGAAGAATATTCATACTGTTTTTCATAATGGATTTACCAATTTACATTCCCACAAACAATATACAAGAGTTCCCTCTTTTCCACATCCCTGCCAATACTTATTTCTTGTCTTTTTGATAATAGCAATCCTAACAGATGTCAGGTGATACCTCCTTGTGGTTTTGATGTCCATTTCCCTGATAATTAGTAACGTTGAGCACATTTGCACGTACCTGTTGACCATTTGTATGCCTTCTTCAGAAAAAATATCTATTCAGGTCCTTTGCCTATTTGTAATCTGATTATTTGATTTTTTTCTACCAAGCTGTATGAGTCCCTGATACGTTTTGGACAGTAATCTCTAATCAGATACATGATTTGCAAATAATTTCTCCCATTCTGTAGACTGCCTTTTTCATTTTGTTGATTATTTACTTGCTGTGCAAAAGCTTTTTAGTTCAATATAATCCCACTTATTTATTTCTGCTTTTGTAGCCTGAGTTTTTGGTGTGACATCCAAAAAAATCATTGCCAAAGCCAATGTCAAGGAGTCTTCCCCTATGTTTTCTTCTAGGAGTTTCATGGTTTCAAGTGTTATATTTAGGCCTTTTGCCCATTTTGAGTTGATTTTTGTGTGTGGGGTAAGATAAGGGTCCAATTTCATTCTTTTGCATGTGGATATCTAATTTTACCTTCACCATTTATTAAATAGATCATCCTTTTCCCCATTGTGTCTTTTTTGGTGTTCTTGTCAAAAATTAGTTGACCATATATGTTTGGATTTATTTCCAGAGTCTCTATTCTGTTCCACTGGTCTATATGCCCATTTTTATGTCAGTACCATAGATTTTAAAAGGTAGAATTTACTACAGGAATCCTCAGTCTATAGAGTAATTGGAAGAAAGCACCCCCAGCAACTAACTGCATATATTTCAGAAAGATTGACTCAATCTCAATATGAACTATGACTTGTAGGGGTAGATCTCTACCCTTGGTCCAATCACCTGTGTGCAAGGGATCACAGCCTGAGCAAGGCAGCAAAGAAGTACAGAGGTGAAGGGTCTGAAGCCAGAATGGCTCATGGTCATTCAGAATTTTTAAAGTGTTTTCAGTGACCGACAAGAAACTTCTGATTTCATAAAGCAGTTCAACCCATTATTTGTCAATTCTCTTGTTAGAGCTTTAGAGCTAATTCTGTCCTGACTGACCTGAGTAGCTTGGATTGAGCACTGGGTTTCTTGCATACTACTTCTGATTCCACCACTACAGCCACCAGTTTGGGGGTCTATGACCTTTGACAAGTTTCTGAATTTCTATGAGACTCAGTTTCCTCAACTAGAAAACAATATCATAATAGTACCTCTGTCATAGTGTTGTTGTGATGATCAGATGAGATGCACTAACTTAAGCACTCAGTTTAGTGCTGAACACAACATGTTCAAGAAATCACTATTAGTATTTTAATCAGTATTTATTATAATAGATTAAGCTGAGATATGCCTTTTTTGAATTTCTACCTACTGAACCATAAGTCTACTCTCTGTAACGATACAGACTAGGCCTGCTTCTTCTGCACAAAAGCCCTTCAAAAAATTAAAACCAGATATCTTCTCTGTTTATAATATCTGCCTGATGCAGGAAATATGGAAGTTAAGAAAGCAGTCTTGGTCTAGTGGCTTGAGGTCCAATCTTCAATAAGTCATTCACCAGTTATGGGTCCTTAGACAAGTTCTTACTTTCTTCAAATTCAGATTTCTCATCTGGGGACTGAAAATAATTATATATACTTCATAATGTTATTATAAGAGTAACATGAGATAATGCCAGCAGTGTTACATTATTGGAGAGTCCCTTAATAGATAATAAATATTTTTTTCTATTTTTGCCAGGAGAAAAAGAGCCATGGCTTAGTGCTTGGTTGTGGTGGACAGTGATCATTGGATGCATTATGAACCTGATGAAGACAGAAGCAGAGAGCATCAGAATTCTCTTACCTGCAAAATTTACCTATCCTTTGTCTATTCATTCAAGGCTCTGCTCTCTTCTGAAAACATTCTAATGATGGCTGGTTAGTTTAATATGTTTTAACTCCAATTAATATGGCTGCATTTTAACCAGGACATGTATAATGGTAGCTATTACCAGGGTTGGAGCAGGATATTGGAGGAAATAAGAGAGCAGAAGCCTTGGGGCAGACAGAAACAATCACATAACCAACCAGTAGTTCATAAATTAGTGGTTTTCAAACTTTAATGTGTATCAGAGTCACCTGGTTTAGTAGGGCTGGGCAGGATCATCCTCAGGTGATTATGATGGAACCTAAAATTTGAAAGCCAGTGTTGTAGGTTAGTGGTTCTCAACTTTAGTTGTCTATTGGAGTCACCTGTGAAGTTTTAAAACCTGGTAGCCCTGGCCTTATCCACATTGATACTTTCAGTTGGTCTAAGGTGGGATCTAAGCATAAATACGTTTTTAAGTTCCCCCCGAGATTCTGATGTTCAGCCAAATTTGAAAATCACTGATGGGTGTCTTTCTGCAGCTAACTAGGCCAGGATGAGTGATAGGTGGAGAAGAAGATATGCAGTCCTCCAACAGCCTCCCAGATAGCTGGATCCACCTGTCAAAGTCAAACTCCCTTTAGAAAGAATGTTCCACCTCTCTGGGGTAAGTGGCATATTTACAGCCATTTCCTCTGTTCATTGTCAGGCCTGAGACATTGCTGAGTGCTATGGAATAGGTGTCATGCTTCTCTCCAGGTGGGTAAAAATGATTCTGAAATATAATTTTCAGAGTACATGAGGCAGAATGTATTATGTGTGTATAAATTAGTAGTCGCAACAATAATAATGAGGCTTCAGAAAGCACTTACTAAAAATGGTTTGATTTTCAAAGAGGCCAAAATAGTTTAATTTAAGGGTATATTACCACTCAAGTGTAGGGATCTGTTCATGTGGCTTTTATTGATGATAATTGTAGTTTAAACTCTTATTCAGTAGGTGTGGTAATCAAATACTACATTTAAAAGATGACTTAAATACTGGCCCACATATAGGTTGGTCAACATTTTCTTTCCAAGGGTTATTCCCCTGCCATTTAAACGCTAAAGAACTAAAGTCAACTCATTTCAGATTTTTCTAAATCCAAGTCAAAAAGGTTTGCACTTTGTCCTTTATTCCACTTCTTACATTTCTAAGACAGATGAAACAATGATTTTGTTTTGTTTTGTTTTGTTTGTTTATTTATTAAATGTACTATGTTACCTAGATCCTTAAGGACACAAGAAACAATTCTCAAGGTATTGTAAGTGTTATGAATAAGGTGGGAGCAGAACTTCAGGTATTTTTATGATAACAAGATACGAAGTTGGGTAGCCAGGCCTCATAAAAGACTCATAAAAAGCAGAACGAGTTGGCATTGTCGTCAGAGAAAGCATAAAGGAGCTGGCCCTGGTAAGCCAGGAGAGTTTGGGACCAGGTGGTTACTCAGGATCCAGAACCGCTCTAGAAATTGGGTAGTCTCCCCAGGCCTCATTCTGAATGTGGTCATGTGCTTGGAAGCCTCATTGGGCTAGAAAAGTGGGACTGTCCATCCTAGAGATATATGTGGACTGGATGGAAAATCCATGCCAAAGCAAGGCTGTCTTAGGAATCAGCTTCACTCTTCAGCTCCCTCTTTCTCATGGGTCTCTTCTTTCTCTTTTGTCTCCTCTATTGTCCTCTCTGAACTGACTTGCCAACCCAACCAAAAGTAGACTGGTCTGATGGTCTGATTGGTTTGACTAATATTACTGTTGGTATTGGGCTGAGAACTTCACACCAGGGATCTCATGAATCTGCAGATAGGATCCCTGGCTCACTTTTGTCCCTGCATGAAGAATGTACCAGCCCTACTTCCTGAAGCAGAAGGCTGTTAAGGAGATAGTTGCATCTAGAAGGAGAAGTTGGGTACAGCAGGCACCACGTTTGACACACCCTTAAAATCATGAACATTCTTTTACTAATCCTACTACTACTAACCTACTACAAATCCCACTACTACTAACAGCACTCTATTCTGTACATGTTTATAGTTTCTTATTAGTCATGTTCACTACTGCCTCTTTGGCCTACCTGCCTTTTTATCTGTAAGTATTTCATATTTCCTTTCTTGTCAATTGATTTTTTTTTTCATATTTACAGTTCAAACTCTTAACCAAGATCTGGTTGGTCTAGCTTGTCATTATAGACCCTACTTGGCAAAGATCTCTTGTAAGGCTACACTTTAAGTTACTAGTCAACCAATCAATGTGCCCCTTTGGGTCAGGTGTCCTCCCCAATCCAATCAATTGTATCGAAGGTGGGGTACGTTGTCACACAGTCGCCTGTGTGTACCTTAAGATTTCTCATTTTGCTGGCACTATATAGAAGGAACACTCATAAGGCAGCTATAGTAGTCAGCGCTCTTATTTGTGGATCATAGATATACCTAGTTTAAGTTTAGAAAAAGTTTTCATAAAAGATATTAGATAGCTTTCAGAATCTCAGGCAGAACCAAGAAACCCAGGCTTGGATGATATGCCATCAAGACCAGAGCAGCCTAAAAAAAATTTCCAATCACTGAGGACTGTTCTAGAGAAACACCATTGCTGCCAAACCTCCTGCTTGACACCTGGGCCACTTGGTGCTAGCTCCAGAAATTCTACTTTAACTTCCCTAAAGGACCAGATACCTTCATTCCTGGTTTACCTGGTGATCAGGTCTCATGTCCAGCATCTGTTGTCTCATAAGAACTCAATTACTCTTCTAAGTCTCATAAGAAAGCATCTGCAATGGATTGCAAAGCATCTGTAGAGTCATATGTTGAGACTCTAGTCCCAAGGATTAGATGATTTTTTTTATTATACTTTAAGTTTTAGGGTACATGTGCACAACGTGCAGGTTTGTTACATATGTATACATGTGCCATGTTGGTGTGCTGCACCCATTAACTCGTCATTTAACATGAGGTGTATTTCCTAATGCTACCCCTCCCCCCTCCCCCAACCCCACAACAGGCCCTGGTGTGTGATGTTCCCCTTCCTGTGTCCATGTGTTCTCATTGTTCAAGTCCCACCTATGAGTGAGAACATGCGGTGTTTGGTTTTTTTGTCCTTGTGATAGTTTGCTGAGTGTGATGGTTTCCAGCTTCATCCATGTCCCTACAAAGGAAATGAACTCATCATTTTTTATGGCTGCATAGAATTCCATGGTGTATATATGCCACATTTTCTTAATCCAGTCTATCATTTTTGGACATTTAGGTTGGTTTCAAGTCTTTGCTATTGGGAATAGTGCCACAATAAACTTACATGTGCATGTGTCTTTAGAGCAGCATGATTTGTAATCCTTTGGGGATATACCCAGTAATGGGATGGCTGGGTCAAATGGTATTTCCAGTTCTAGATCCCTGAGGAATTGCCACACTGACTTCCACAATGGTTGAACTAGTTTACAGTCCCACCAACAGTGTAAAAGTGTTCCTATTTCTCCACATCCTCTCCAACACCTGTAGTTTCCTGACTTTTTAATGATCCCCATTCTAACTGGTGTGAGATGGTATCTTATTGTGGTTTTGATTTGCATTTCTCTGATGGCCAGTGATGACGAGCATTTTTTCTTGTGTCTTTTGACTGCATAAATGTCTTCTTTTGAGAAGTGTCTGTTCATATCCTTCGCCCACTTGTTGATGGGGTTGTTTGTTTTTTTCATGTAAATTTGTTTGAGTTCATTGTAGATTCTGGATATTAGCCCTTTGTCAGATGAGTAGTTGCTAAAATTTTCTCCCATTCTGTAGGTTGCCTGTTCGCTCTGATGGTAGTTCCTTTTGCTGTGCAGAAGCTCTTCAGTTTAATTAGATCCCATTTGTCAATTTTGGCTTTTGTTGCCATTGCTTTTGGTGTTTTAGACATGAAGTCCTTGCCCATGCCTATGTCCTGAATGGTATTGCCTAGGTTTTCTTCCAGGGTTTTTATGGTTTTAGGTCTAACATTTAAGTCTTTAATTCATCTTGAATTAATTTTTGCATAAGGTGTAAGGAAGAGATCCAGTTTCAGCTTTCTACATATGGCTAGCCAGTTTTCCCAGCACCATTTATTAAATAGGGAATCCTTTCCCCATTTCTTGTTTTTGTCAGGTTTGTCAAAGATCAGATAGTTGTAGACATGCGGCATTATTTCTGAGGACTCTGTTCTCTTCCATTGGTCTATATCTCGGTTTTGGTACCAGTACCTTGCTGTTTGGGTTACTGTAGCCTTGTAGTATAATTTGAAGTCAGGTAGAGTGATGCCTCCAGCCTTGTTCTTTTGGCTTAGGATTGACTTGGCGATTCGGGCTCTTTTTTGGTTCCATATGAACTTTAAAGTAGTTTTTTCCAATTCTGTGAAGAAAGTCATTGGTATCTTGATGGGGATGGCACTGAATCTATAAATTACCTTGGGCAGTAGGGCCTTTTTCATGATATTGATTCTTCCTACCCATGAGCATGGAATGTTCTTCCATTTGTTTGTATCCTCTTTTATTTCATTGAGCAGTAGTTTGTAGTTCTCCTTGAAGAGGTCCTTCACATCCCTTGTAAGTTGGATTCCTAGGTATTTTATTCTCTTTGAAGCAATTGTGAATGGGAGTTTACTCATGATTTGACTCTGTGTTTGTCTTTTATTGGTGTATAAGAATGCTTGTGATTTTTGCACATTGATTTTGTATCCTGAGACTTTGCTGAAGTTGCCTATCAGCTTAAGGAGATTTTGGGCTGAGATGATGGGGTTTTCTAGATATACAATCATGTCATCTGCAAACAGGGACAATTTGACTTCCTCTTTTCCTAATTGAATGCCCTTTATTTCCTTCTCCTGCCTGATTGCCCTGGCCAGAACTTCCAACACTATGTTGAATAGGAGTGGTGAGAGAGGGCATCCCTGTCTTGTGCCAGTTTTCAAAGGGAATGCTTCCAGTTTTTGCCCATTCAGTATGATATTGGCTGTGGGTTTGTTATAGCTAGCTCTTATTATTTTGAGATACGTCCCATCAATACCTAATTTATTGAGAGTTTTTAGCATGAAGGGTTGTTAAATTTTGTCAAAGGCCTTTTCTGCATCTATTGAGATAATCATGTGGTTTTTGTCGTTGGTTCTGTTTATATGCTGGATTACGTTTATTGATTTGCATATGTTGAACCAGCCTTGCATCCCAGGGATGAAGCCCACTTGATCATGGTGGATAAGCTTTTGGATGTGCTGCTGGATTTGGTTTGCCAGTATTTTATTGAGGATTTTTGCATTGATGTTCATCATGGATATTGGTCTAAAATTCTCTTTTTTTGTTGTGTCTCTGCTGGGCTTTGGTATCAGGATGATGCTGGCCTCATAAAATGAGTTAGGGAGGATTCCCTCTTTTTCTATTGATTGGAATAGTTTCAGAAGGAATGGTACCAGCTCCTCCTTGTACCTCTGGTAGAATTTGGCTGTGAATCCATCTGGTCCTGTACTTTTTTTGGTTGGTAAGCTATTAATTATTGCCTCAATTTCAGAGCCTGTTATTGGTCTATTCAGAGATTCAACTTCCTGGCTTAGTCTTGGGAGGGTGTATGTGTCGAGGAATTTATCCATTTCTTCTAGATTTTCCAGTTTATTTGCATAGAGGTGTTTGTAGTATTCTCTGATGGTAGTTTGTATTTCTGTGGGATCAGTGGTGATATCCGCTTTATCATTTTTTATTCCATCTATTTGATTCTTCTCTCTTTTCTTCTTTATTAGTCTTTCTAGTGGTCTATCAATGTTGTTGATCTTAAAAAACCAGCTCCTGGATTCCTTGATTTTTTGAAGGGTTTTTTGTATCTCTATTTCCTACAGTTCTGCTCTGATCTTAGTTATTTCTTGCCTTCTGCTAGCTTTTGAATGTGTTTGCTTTGCTTCTCTAATTCTTTTAATTGTGATGTTAGGGTGTCAATTTTAGATCTTTCCTGCTTTCTCTTGTGGGCATTTAGTGCTATAAATTTCCCTCTACACACTGCTTTGAATGTGTCCCAGAGATTCTGGTATGTTGTGTCTTTGTTCTCATTGGTTTCAAAGAACATCTTTATTTCTGCCTTCATTTCGTTATGTACCCAGTAGTCATTCAGGAGCAGGTTGTTCAGTTTCCATGAAGTTGAGCGGTTTTGAGTGAGTTTCTTAATCCTGAGCTCTAGTTTGATTGCACTGTGGTCTAAGAGACAGTTTGTTATAATTTCTGTTCTTTTACATTTGCTGAGGAGTGCTTTACTTGCAAGTATGTGGTCAATTTTGGAATAGGTGTGGTGTGGTGCTGAAAAGAATGTATATTCTGTTGATTTGGGGTGGAGGGTTCTGTAGATGTCTATTATGTCTGCTTGGTGCAGAGCTGAGTTCAATTCCTGGATATCCTTGTTAACTTTCAGTCTCGTTGATCTGTCTAATGCTGACAGTGGGGTGTTAAAGTCTCCCATTATTATTGTGTGGGAGTCTAAGTCTCTTTGTAGGTCTCTAAGGACTTGCTTTATGAATCTGGGTGCTCCTGTATTGGGTGCATATATATTTAGGATGGTTAGCTCTTCTTGTTGAATTGATCCCTTTACCATTATGTAATGGCCTTCTTTGTCTCTTTTGATATTTGTTGCTTTAAAGTCTGTTTTATCAGAGACTAGGATTGCAACCCCTGCCTCTTTTTGTTTTCCATTTGCTTGGTAGATCTTCCTCCATCCCTTTATTTTGAGCCTATGTGTGTCTCTGCACATGAGATGGGTTTCCTGAATACAGCACACTGATGGGTCTTGACTCTTTATCCAATTTGCCAGTCTGTGTCTTTTAATTGGAGAATTTAGCCCATTTACATTTAAGGTTAATATTGTTATTTGTGAATTTGATCCTGTCATTATGATGTTAGCTGGTTATTTTGCTCGTTAGTTGATGCAGTTTCTTCCTTGCCTCGATGGTCTTTACAATTTGGCATGTTTTTGCAGTGGCTGGTACTGGTTGTTCCTTTCCACGTTTAGTGCTTCCTTCAGGAGCTCTTGTAGGGCAGGCCTGGTGGTGAAAAAATCTCTCACCTTTTGTTTGTCTGTAAAGTATTTTATTTCTCCTTCACTTATGAAGCTTAGTTTGGCTGGATATTAAAATCTGGGTTGAAAATTCTTTTCTTTAAGAATGTCGAATATTGGCCCCCACTCTCTTCTGGCTTGTAGAGTTTCTGCCAAGAGATCAGCTGTTAGTCTGATGGGCTTCCCTTTCTCTCTGGCTGCCCTTAACATTTTTTCCTTCATTTCAACTTTTGTGAATCTGACAATTATGTGTCTTGGAGTTGCTCTTCTCAAGGAGTATCTTTGTGACGTTCTCTGTATTTCCCAAATTTGAATGTTGGCCTGCCTTGCTAGATTGGGGAAGTTCTCCTGGATAATATCCTGCAGAGTGTTTTCCAGCTTGGTTCCATTCTCCCCGTCACTTTCAGGTACACCAATCAGACGTAGATTTGGTCTTTTCACATAGTCCCATATTTCTTGGAGGCTTTGTTCATTTCTTTTTATTCTTTTTTCTCTAAACTTCTCTTCTCACTTCATTTCATTCATTTGATCTTCCATCAGTGATACCCTTTCTTCCAGTTGATTGAATCGGCTACTGAGGCTTGTGCATTCGTCACGTAGTTCTCGTGCCATGGTTTTCAGCTCCATCAGGTCCTTTAAGGACTTCTCTGCATTGGTTATTCTCGTTAGCCATTCGTCTAATTTTTTTTCAAGATTTTTAACTTCTTTGCCATGGGTTCGAACTTCCTCCTTTAGCTCGGGGTAGTTTGATCGTCTGAAGCCTTCTTCTCTCAACTCGTCAAAGTCATTCTCCGTCCAGCTTTATTCCGTTGCAGTTGAGGAGCTGCGTTCCTCAGTTGGAAATGCAGCGTCTTCTGCGTCGCTCACGCTGGGAGCTGTAGACTGGAGCTGTTCCTATTCGGCCATCTTGGCTCCTCCCTCGGATTAGATGGCATTGATGGCATTTGGAGAAGGGGCCTTTGGGAAGTAATTAGGGCATGAGAGTGGAGCCCTTCTGAATGGGATTCATGCCCTTAGAAGAAGAGACCAGAGAGCTAGCTAGTTATCTTTCTGCCATGTGAGGACATAGCAAGAAGATGGCTACCTTTAAACCAGAGAGAGGACCCTCACCAAGACGGTGTGGACACCCTGATCTTATATTTCCAACCTCCAAACTTTGAGAAATAAATGTTTGTTGTTTAAACCACCCTGTAGGTGGTATTATAGTAGCCTGAACTGATTAACATGGCATCTATTCGGCAGAAATTAGATCATGTGTAAAATTTTAGCTACAAAGGATTTGGGGAAATGTGAAGTTTGTTTTCTAGCCCTTGTGGTTTATGAATCAAGCTAGGCAACCGTTCAAAATGGGTTCTGAAAGGACCAAAATAAAGACTGTCACAGGGGAATTCTGAGATTTTAACATTCCCATGTCTCTCATGCAGTCTTTAAAGAACACTGTGAAGAATGCCATATATGGGTAAACAGTTGTCCTTATTTGGGTAATACGGAGGTACCCTCTTGCTGGTTTTTTTTCTAAAAAAATGTGGGCTCTCTCAATCAGCCAAGTTAAACTTCTGGTTCACCTATTTCTTTCTACATCCTTTTGCTGAAATCTTTCTTCCATTCTTGGAAATCTCTCCTATTCTTCACCACAAATATGCATGCAACCCCAAATTCCAAGAGCCAGCTTATACCTCACTGACTTCAAGGTGCCTGCCTTCCCTAAGTCATGCTATCATATTGTGATCACATCTTCAGTGCAAAACTGTCTTCCCCCTCAAGGAGTGTGATACGGTTTGGCTCTGTGTTCCCACTCAAATCTCACACTGAATTGCAATTCCTTCCCAGTGTTGGGGGAGGGATGAGGTGGGAGGTGATTTGATCATGGGGCAGATTTCCCCCTTGCTGTTCTCACGATAGTGAGTGAGTTCTCAGGAGATCTGGTTGTTTAAAAGTGTGTAGCACTTCCCCTTTAGCTCTCTCTCATGCTCCACTACATAAAGATGTGCCTGTTTTCCCTTCGCCTTCTGACATGATTGTAAGTTTCCTGAGGCCTCCTCAGCCACACTTCCTGTACAGCCTGTGGAACTATAAGTCAATCAAATTTGTTTTCTTCATAAATTACCCAGTCTCAGGTAGTTCTTTATAGCAATGTGTGAACAAACTAATGCAGAGTGATATTGGATTTTTGAGAATTTGCCCTCCTTCACATACATGTTGTATTGTTTTTGCTATCACTCCCACAATGGAGTGGCATGTAGTACTCATAGAATATAGATACTTAGCAAATAAATACGGCTGATTTTAACTGAAGCAAGGAAGAGAAATCTCTTCTGTAACTAATAGGAAATTAGAAGGTTTCCACTGACCTGAAATCAAATCATTCAGTCCAAATAGAAATCTTCCATATGTCTTAGAAACCTGGGGAAATGGGCTTATTATTTATAAATTTGCAGTATTTCACAAATGCACAGTAAATTTCAGCTTATAATTAAACAATCATAAGAGAATTTCTTCACCAATATATTTGTTCACTCTTTAACATTTGTACTTGACCTCCCTACCTCTTACAGCAAATTTATATGTTTAAATAATTTAATTTTAAAATTAAATAATAAATAGCAGAAAAATTCTTTGAAGGATTTACCTGTACTCAGTGTCTAATTCCTCTCCTCCAATCATTAGTCAAGTTAGTTGGAGGAATGCGGCTGCCTTTTCATCAAGTTCCTGATAACATTCAGGTCTATGAAAGGGAAGGGGTGTGTAGGGGGATGAGAAGCCGGTGTGGGGAAGGCAGCAGGATACAGCTATTTATGAGCCTGGGCACACTTGGAAAACAGTCTCATGCATGACCTTACAGCCAACACTCTTATGGGGAGCACTTATGACACTCATCAGTGTCTCATTTATGACAGTACCACTGAGGAATATCAGTACGTTCAACTCTTTCATCAAACTCTTTCCATCAAACTGTTAAACTGAAGGTATGTTCAAACCTTTCATCAAACTGCAGAAGAAAAACCATATGTATGGAGAAATAAGTGACTAAATTCAACTAAAGTAAGTACAATGAAGACATAGACAACACCATCTATTAATGTATTCTGTCCATGGCACCTAGTATAAAAACATGTATTAGGTGATCAGTGCATATTGATTGGGTCATGAATATAAAATTCATTGTTTCCATTCAGAAATTGGAAAACATTCTCCATAAACGCGGATGAACAGTAGAAAGTCATCCAACATGATCCCATTCATGCATCTCTCATGCATATGCATCCTCACTAACTCTTTCTGCTGTCATTGCTAACCTGGGACCCCCACTCCCACCCCTCCTTCTCCAAGCCAGACGCACCTGCTACCCTGGGCACTCACTGCTGCTGCCATGTCTTGCTGTGTAATGCCATTGTCAACCTCCCTGCCTGGTGTGCGTGCCATTCTCCTTCACCGGAGGAAGGAATGTTTAATTATTTTTAATCAGTGGACATGGCATCTTGCTAGACAGCGACACTTGGGGGATCCAACACCATCTGCCTTCCACCAGGCGCCAGCTGCTCTGGTAGATGTCGGTAGAACACCTTAGGACATAGCCTTCTGCTGCCAGGTGCCTACAAGCGGCTGCCACTCGGCACCATCTCCAACATGAGCTGCCACTTGGGCTCATTCCCTGTCATGGTTTGCCTCTCATCCCTGCACTCTTTCAGGCAGGTTCTCCACAGCCCCAGCTCCCAGAACATTTCCCAAACAACCCAGTAGCCTGCCAGTAATCATAGGGTCCAAACATAAATGTTACCCTAACCCAAATGGCCACGGATCTTTCCATCACCATTAGTCAACCTAATGGATCTGCTGACTTCAGTCCCACAGAGAACGGCCACTGACTTCACAGCAGGCAGACCCATGGAGAGCAAGGGTCAGCCAGCTACTGAGCATTTAAAACAGTGGGGAAGGAAAAGGGGAGGGAAATGCCTCTCAGATAAATCACCGGAGCTGTCTGGGGTGAGCAGTGCCCGTGGTAAGTGAGCTCCTGCAAGTTCCTGTCACAGACCTGTCCCTTCCACCTCCTACCCTTAAGGCAGTTCCTGCAGCTCTCACAGCTGTGCCCACACTTTCACTCCTGCAAAGAACGTCTCATTGGCTTCAATTGCTTTAGCGGCTCAGCGTGGTCCCTGTCGGGAGCACTTGTCACCTCCTTCCCAAGCAGCCCGCTTGACACCCAACCTAATTCCTACTTGGTGAACCAAGCCCCCAAGGTTCCTTTCACCCCCACCCCTGCCCCCCATTTTGTGAAGAGCCAAATTCAGCAGCTCCAATCTCAGCTTTATTTTCATGCAAAGTGAAAGAGCTCAGCCACCCGGCACTGGCTGAAGGGTAGATAAAAGCCCCAGCTGTGCCTGCTCTGGGAGTCACTTTCACCTCCAGCAGGAAAGCAAACTGTTTTTGTGCCTGAGGGAAATTATGGAGCCTCACACTTTCATCCAGAGACGGACAAAGGGGAGGTCAGGTGCTGCATCTGCCAGAAATGGGGACGTGTGAAATGTGATTAACCCAAGGAGAAGCCACACAGAGCCCGGCTGGGGCCTCTCCTGTCCCTGTGTGTTTCCCAGTGTCAGAAGCAGGCAGAAGAGTAAACAAAAGCATTAAATAAATATTTTTCCGTTTAACCCATGTGTTAATACAGATTTTTACAACCTCGACAGCACTGACTGAATCAATAGTTGCAAGTATTAGCCTGAATAATGAAGGAAGTAGTGTACATCTGTTGATTTCTCTGCATTTGTGAAAAGAAGGGGGGTGGGGGGGTGAGGAGGGGAAGAGATTCCAGAATGAGCGTGTAATCACATTGTACCCTGCCTGTCCGCAGCACAGCTAAGCCTATCGGGCCCATCAGATGAACTCGCTAATGCTATTTCTCAGGCTAAATACAAACCGCTGGTGCCTGTAGAATTAAACTCATCAATAGCTAAGCTCTCCTGCATTTACAGGAAGACACAAATAAAATTCCTACTGATATGCCCATCAGAGTGGGAAGTTATCTGTCTCTTTCGAACAGACTTTCTGTAAGAGCTCTGTGTGGTAAATGAAGCTACCAGTACATTTGTCTCTTTGTCAAAATAAATAATGCCAATTTCATTTTTGAACAGTGTGCTTGGGCTGTATTCATTATTGTGTTAGGGTTTTGTTTCCGCCAAAACAGCCCTCCCCAGCCCTGCTGCTTGGACAACTTGTCTCTGATTAGGGATGTGTGCTGAAAACGGAAACTGTTTGAAATTAACTAGAGACGTATTAAATAATCACAAAAGAAATTCCGGTAAAAAATAGAGTCAGTTATCAAAAGATTAACACGGTTCTTTGTTCCGTTTTTTTTTTTTTTTTTAGACAGGGAGGGGAAGCAATTTTCAAGACAGACACCAATGCTTTAAAAGGATTTTTCAGAGGTGAATTACTTAATCCTTCGTGACTAAGGAAATCTTTGTGTGCACTACAGAGGATGGGAGCAAAGCAGGAAAAAATGTACAATATTGAAAAGTGAAAATATAATATTTGGCACACTGCAAACATATAAGTTAGAAGGCCTGTGAGGTGTTTGATACCTGCATCAAATCTTGATTCCTCTCCTATAGGAAGAAGAGGCAGATATTTTCTCGAATATTCCTAAAGGATTAACATAATCAGCTATTGAGTGCCACTGCAGCTACTTCACAAAAATGTAGTTAAGGCGGCACTTATCTGGCAGTGGGAAACTCAGCTCTGAGAGAAGGCACTTCATATATTAAGGCTTTAAATGGTATTTTTTAGGGCACTCTTCACTAAGCAAGAGCTGCTCTGGAGGTTGAGAGGGGTGTAGCATCCACAGGGCTATTCAGCTCAGTGGAGCCAGGCATAGGAGAATCTCCCTGTGCCTGCACAGGGCTACCAGAGAAGGCTGAGAAGCAGTTCACCTCCAAGGAAGTTCCCATCTGATTCTGTGGAGGGAGGGACTGGTTGAAAGGCACAGAACCCAGACTTCCAGAAAAGCCAGCTCAAAATAGGATTAACCTTTGTTAAAGGAGGGCTGTGAATTGCTAATACCCTTTAAAACCTGGATGTGCCCATGTCTCTGGGGAAACTTCTCCTGATGAGGTAAGCCAAATTGTTCCTGATCAATATCTTCTTTTTCTGTATGACTTAACTCCAGCCACGGAGATTTTAAGGGGCCTTTGCACCAGCCAGAGCTCTCTCAAGCAGGTGAATCAATTGGGTTGCTTTAGTACAGAAGGCTGAAAGGGCTAGTCCCCATGAGAAGGTCAAGTTAGTCTCTCAGGTGGGCTGATGGGCCACAATGGGGCAGAGACAGGAAAATCAGAGGACTTGGGCTGAGCCAGGTAGGTTTGGAGTGGAGAGAAGCATGTCCTTAGGAACAGAGATTTGTACTTGAACTAGCTTTAAAAGTTTGACTACTTTCCTTCTACTCATTTTATGAGCAATATATATTCTGAGTGATCATCATACATATTCTGTAATTTTTCACTTAGAAAAATAGCTTTTGCATTTCATACAGCTTCTAATTCCAAAATTAGTTCAACATCTAGCAGTGAATGTAGAAATATATACCCCTTTTGGAGACATACTTAGGGCTGGTATTGATTTATGCTGTACCATGATTTTAGTCTTATGGGATAATCACCTTGTCAAGGCTATATTTATTGTTGTGGCTATTAAATCACATTAATTCCTTGGCGATTACATGAGATAAAGCATCCACAAACTGCAGCAGTGACAGAATTCAGTTTTTCTCCCTAAATAAACTCAATACAAAGATAGCCATGTCCTAGTTTTTCAATGGCATTCCAACTTTTTTTTTTTTTTGCATATCTTACTGAGCATTAGAGTTGCAGCTTGTGCTTTGCCACAGATTTGAACTCTGGTGTAAAAGCCCCTTGAGGGAGAAGAAGAATCATGGAGACAAGTGCTAATGGCAACACCGCACAGAAGCAAATTGCCTATCAAATAGGACAACTTAGTGTCACAGAAACATTTGCAGGGGAGAAAAAAGGAGGAAGCAGAAATGATTCAATACTGGCTGCCCTTGATTAGGTTGCTTTCAGTAAATTTGTATGGAAATGTAAATTATCTCTAGTACATGAGGAGTTTACAATAACATTGTCTAGACCTAACTTTTCTTAAAACTCCCATGGTGGTGAGAAAATTAGGGTCGTGCTGTGAAGGAGTTTCTTACATTGGAATATGCATGGATAAGATTCTTTTGAAAATGGGCATGATGAAGCCCATGCCAGATTCACCCTGGATACAAAAGCTGATGTCAATGTTTGGTAGACCCAATGTGGGCTAGCCAGTGCCCCTGCAGACCCTCCAGAATTTGATGCCTCCCCTGAGGGGCAAGTCCTTCCTTGTTTCTACTCATGATCCAGCCTTATCATACTTAGAAACATACCTAAGAATACTGGCATCTGACAAAAACACATCTAGGTGAAGGTTGCCCACTCTGGGATCTTTTGAAAAGATTCTGCTTGTTTCGTATTTTTAATAAAGGGTCAGATAGGACTTCATCCAAACTTATTTGCCTTTTCTTCCTTGCATTTGATTCTGGTTATTAATTTGGGGCAGGTTTTTTAGCTTGATTGAAGCCGATGTCTGTGACCAAAAGTCTTGCTTGTATGCCTCTCATGTACTTCATTTTTATGAATCCCAAATACCTTTTATCTGCAACCCATACCTTAGAAGGAGTCCCCAGACCAATGAGGAAAGAGAGAATAATGAGGAACAGGAACTGTGCACAAAGCTTGCTCTAGGCTCTGTTATTGGTTCATTTTGGACCAGTGAACTGGATCATACTTAATGATGCAGTAAGTTTGGACTCCAGTAGAAATGATAATAAATGACTTTTAAAATGTAGATGCCTCCACCATAAGAACAGATTAAAACAGTCCCAGAAATTGAAAAAAAAAAAAAAACTCTTTGGCCCATCATGGGTTTTGTAAGAAAATGAATAGCTGGTACCTCATGCAGCCAGTTCCTATTTAATTGGTTTCTGTTTTTGTATTTCTTTACTTTTCTTTACATTTCTTTTCTTTTAAAAAGAACCATGGTACACCTGAACTGTGGGATATGTGCTTTTGTTCTGCCTTCTGATATATCCAGCGAAGAGGCAGAACCAGCCTTGAAGAGCTCTGCGTCTCCCTGAATGCACCTATCTTGATAGTAAACTGCTTTTCCTTCAGCACCACCCAACATACCCATTTCCACCTCCCCTTTAATCTGCTTTGCCCAGACATTTCCTCCAGGTTACCTCTCCACTTCCAGCTATCACTCCTTCAGGCTTTCAATACACACTTTTACAGTTGTCCTAACTCCAGGGACTTTTCTTCCCTCTTTAATTTTACAATAGATGTGTTACTGAGCTGTCTATCTGAATAGAAAAACCCTAAAACAGATTTCCCCACCAGCATGCTTCATAGAGTGGATGTAGCTTTTTATACTTATTATTCTCACCTACATAGTCATATTAGGAAATAGATTAAAATAAATTTCCCCATGTGTTGTACTTGGGCCTGGTCTGCTCCAAAACCCCTTCTAAATTATTGACTTTAGAGAAGGTAGAAGATGTTTGTTCATTTCTCTGTCTTCCCTGCCTGCTCATTCTCCCCTCTCTTTAAAACCTGACCCTCTCATTTTCCCCTAACCTTTCTCTTCCGTGGTCTCTTGGGGGTGATATGGTCCTTCCCCTACTTAATAATCTTTTCCCCCTGTGGCCAAAAGCAGATCGTAATGCACTGCTCTGGCAGACTGTATCTCTTAATCTTTCTCTCACCTAGTTTTACATTTTCTCTTGGTACTCAAGTTTTCCAGGAATTCCATGAAACTTTCATTCAAGCTGTTCAAGTGTATATTCCTCCAGTCTGCCAAAAGGCCCTCTCTAGGTGGGTTTTCCCCAAGTCTCCAAGTACTTTTGCTAATGAAGCTGCTGAACGAGAGCTAATTTATCACTGTGTTATCACTATATTAGGGCATAAGAGAGCCATACCTGGAATGAATTATGGATCCATCCAGTGTCCCATGCATCCTGTACATCAAGGTAAGCAAATGCTGCATTGTGTTAACTGTCAGCCTCTGAAACAGCTGACATTTGTTATTTTAATTAATAGTTTACTTTGCTGAAATAAGCTTCTGTGAGAAGCTATGACTTTTTATTAAATCTTCACTGCAGCATTGTTTTCCCCAGATTGGGAGACAAAAGCTAATTTTCAAAACTGCTTTATCCTGCAAGGTCACAGTCAACAGCTTGTGTGCACATGTCAGGGAAACATCTGCTTCTGTGCCACAGATATAAGTAAAATTTGCTTTATTTTGAAATTTAAATTTACTTTTACTTGGGGAAAAATGATGAGTTAGTCATTAAAGAGCTATTAAGTGATGTTGATTAGGAAAGACTTTTTAACCAGTCATTTTGTCTCACAACCAATGCTGAAATTTCTCCAACCTCAGCATTCTGCTTAGACATCACAGGGAACTGTGGTCACTGGCACATCTGGATCTGGACCAACTTGTCTTTTCATTAATGTAAATCATTATGATGTAATTACTCAGCCTGCAATGTAGAGATCATTGATTTCTTTTGCCCAGTAGCAGTACTTTTAAGTCACTGATGACAAAGGGAACTTTCAGGACAATCCAAACTATACAAATTAGCTCCAGTTCAAGAAAGGCAAACTTATTTAAAAGGTTCCAACACTAAATTTCATCCTAAGATTTTCTCTTTGCTTGGAATAAATTAAGCAAGGAAAGTTGATTCCTTCATGTTGCTTTAATTACTTTTGGTAATGTATTTTACTCATCAAATTTCTAAGACAATAACACTTTAGTGTTCTTTCCCCAAATGGACTTGTGTTTTGTCCCTACCATGGTCCCATATCATGTCCCAACTCTCAGGGGAGTCAGTCACTTTTCTGAGAATGCCATTAACTCCTTTGGAGAGAGATACCCTAATATAAGCAGGCTCATAGTCTTTTGATTTTTTAGGATCTTGTTTCTCTGAGCCCAGAGATGTCCTCAAACACTGCCTTTCAGAAAAGCAGATTGCTATCTGGATGATGACATCCGTATGTGTAGCAGCCCTGTGGCTATTAGTTTCTTACATTTTGTGATGGATTTTACGATTGACCCAGATTCTTTATCCCTCCCAGCATCTAAAGCCCTGCCTTAGCCTCATTGTGGGAAGGGCACTTCTCCATTTCCAACTTTGGGCTCAGTAATAGGATTTGTTTTGACAAATGACATGTAGGTAAAAGTGGCAATGAGCCAGTTCCAAGCTAAGCCTCTAAATATTCTGCTGTTTCTGCTTTCCCCTTTGCATGTCTACCATGACCATGAGAAATTCATGCCTAGCCAGCCCATGGATGCCAGAAGGATGAGAGAGATTGGAAAAGAGCTATTCCAGCTGAGCCCTGCCTAAATCCACAGAACTCCAGCCAAATCATGGTGATATGAGCTATAAAAATTGATCGTTGTTTTATGCCAATATGAGCTATAGAAATTGTTCTTTTATGCCACTGAGTTTTGGGGTGGTTTGTTAGGCAGCAATAGCTGACTGTTACATATGTGTTATTTTTATTACAGCTCTATCAAAGTACAATAAACTGTGCATATTTAAAGTATACAGTTAAGTTTTGACACAGCAAAACACTCATGAAATCATCCCTACAATCAAGATACTGAACATACCCATCACTACCAGGCACTTCTTCCTAACCTTTTCTAATTGCCTGCTTCTGCCTTTCTTTCCTTTCCTGGCCCCCCTCCACTCCCAGGCAATGTACTCTTTAGAATGTATTTTGCATTTCTTTATTTGTTTTCAGCCCACATCTAGCAGTTTTCACGTGGACTATTCTCTACCATCCTGAGTTCACATGTAAGTACTGTGTTCAGATTTAGTATGTACTACCTTGAAAGACCACGGGGCCCATTGTGCAGGAAATCCTTGGTAGGAAGAAAAATAGGTAACCCAAGAGCATAGATTTTGGAATGACACAAGCCTATTTTGGATTCTAGCTCTGATATTTCATTGTTCTGTGACTTTGAGCAAACAGGTTTGAGCCCCAGTTTGCTCAAATTTTGAAAAGGGTGAGAAATATTCCTATCCTCATGGGTTATTCTGAGGGTTAAATGAGATAATATATGAAAAGTGCTTAGCATAGTAACTGGTACATAGCATAATCTCAACAAACAGTAGCTGCTATTATTAGCTTTATCTCATCAGAATAGCTGTCACTTAATGTACACAGTAGAGAAAAAAGAAGCAACCTGACTGTGCCTGGCACACAGCAGTCACTCAGTAAATGTTGAAATGAATTTTTTCAACATTTATTTCTTTGGCTGCAATGGGACATTCATTTGTAAAATGAGAGGCCCATTATATTAAGCCAAAGTTGGCTCTTTTTTTAAAATAAGCTTATTCTACACTTTTATACCTAATATTGTCTACAACCCCCAGACCATCTGTGAGGAGTGCATATAGAAGTAGTAACAATTGCCTTGGGAAAAGGGGTCTCCTGTACCAGACTGACAGCTGTTGTCTGTTCTCCATGGGATTCTAAAGTTTAGGGTCACTCAGAGATTTTCTCAGAATCTCAGCTTTTCCTCACTCTTCTTCCAATTTCACCTTCTTTGCAAAGAGTAATACTACTACTACTACTACTAATAATAATAGACAAATAAAGGGTCACATTTGTGCTTTATATAGGGCCTGCCCAATGAAGCAGGAAACAATTGGACAAGCACAGATTTGGTTCCATATATCCCCCTTCTTCTCTGTCCTTCTGCCACAGTGAATCCCCAGGGACTCTGCAGTCCTCCTCCAGGTGGCCTCCCCCTAACTCCCATGGAGGTCATCTCTAATACCCAACATCCCACATCCAGCCTGGGCCCTCTGGGAGACTGTTGCTGTCACCTGCTGAGTCTGCTGTGTGGCTCAGATCCTGACACCTTGCTTTGATAGCTCATTTTTCTGACTATGACCCCCAGGACTCCTCCTAAGCAATTATCCTCTGGCTCCACCAGCCACAGTTAGGGGGTGGATGCTCTCACTTCCACCTGGTATCTCAGACCCAGGCCCTGAGAGGGAGTCAGGCCTCTCTCAGGCAAAAGGTTGGGATAGAAACAATGACTGCCCTCAACAGTCAGGCACGACACACTACTCCCCAGATACACATGGACCCCACCTGGGGGTCTGGATGGCTGCTGTGCCACCTCACCACAGAGGCAGGGTTCCACCAAGGGTGTTCCTTCCATTGTTAACCCCTTCCTTGGCCAGTTACTAAGTCACAGATCCCATCTTTCTATAACTCTGCTTTTGTGACACTGGGGACTGGGACTCTAAAAACTACATTTCTCACTTGTCAGCTGATACCCTGCAAGCTTCCATCAATGGGAATTTTTAGAGGGATAGTGTTTGAGGCTGAATTGTGTCCCCTCAAAATTCATATGTTGAAGCGCTAATGCCCAGTACCTTAGATTGTGACTCTAATAGGGCCTTTAAAGAGGTGACTAAGTTAAAATGAGGCCATTAGGCTGGGCCCTAATCCAATCTGCCTGGCATCCTTGTAAGAAGAGGAAATCTGGACACACAGAGAGACAGCAGGGGCACACTTCTGCCCATGGAGGGAGGACACTGTGAGGACACTTTGGGAGGCATCTATCTATCTATAAGCCACAGCCAGAGGCCTCAGGAGACAGTAAACCTGCCTATACCTTGATCTTAGACTTCCTGCCGCCAGAACTGTGGGAAATAAATGTCTGTGGTGGAAGCCCCCCAGTCTGTGGTTGCTTTTTGTTGCTGTTGTGATGGCAGCTGGAGCAGACTGACACAGAGACTGGCAGACAGAAGCAGAAGAGACTCACTCTCTCCAAGGCACTTGCTCTTCCGGTAAGCAGCACCCTGCACCCAACAGCAGCAGGTGTTCAGGTTCCAGCTCTCCCACTGGCACTCCCAAGACCAGTCTCACCCTGTCTCTCTGAGGGAGAGGCACCCTGTCCTCCCAGGCTGAGTCCCCACAGACCCCTCTTCTAAGCTTCCAGTCCAATTTCCTCTTTGTCCTCCCAGCCCCAAGGATGCAAGCCTTTTCCTGCAGTTGTTACCTGTGTTTGCTTTTACCATCCTTCCACACTCCCAGACTTCTGCCTCCTGAACTCACCACCCCTGCTGACCCTCAACCCCTCACTCCCGGTGTTTGCTTAACCAGCACTGGTTTGACAACACCATCAAAAGTTAGAGTTGCTGAAACAAGAGCCCTGAATGGGGAAGATATTTGCTATGAGCAGGGTGATACTAGTTTTCTATTGCTGTGGTAACAAATACCACACACTTAGTGGTTTAAAACAATACAGATTTATTATCTTACCATTCTGTAGGATGGAAATCTGACACAGGTCTCTGGACTAAAATCAAGGTATCGGCAGGGCTGCATTCCCTTCTGGAGGCTCTAGGAGGGGAATTTTATTTCCTTGCCTTTTCCAGCTCCTAGGTGCTGCTCCCTTCCTCCATCTTGGAATCTCTCTCTCTCAGTGAGGTTATATGCAGCCTGAAAAGGTTCTCTGTAAGGATTTGTGTGATTTGATTGGGCCCACCTATATAATCCAGAATAATCTCACCTCAGATCCTCAACTTTAAGGTTATTTGCAAATCCCTTTGCCATGTAAGGTAACTTATTCACAGGTTCCTAGGATTAGGGCGTGCACACCTTTGCAGGGCATTGTTCTGTCTACCTAGGTCTTTCTAGATTCCACCCAATCTTCCTCCTTTCTTACTTGACATAACTCCCCACCTCTAACCACAAGTGAGTGTTTTTGCTCAAACTCTCAGAAGCCTGTTTACATGCCTTGACCTTGATGGGGCAATGGAAACAGAATCCCTGAGATCTAGTGCCTGGTTGTGAAATTATCTTTGTGGTGACTTTATGCCAGTTCATGTACCTCTCTTGAGGCTCAATTTTCTTAACTATAATATGGAAAAGTTGATACTAAAAACACAACCTAGATCTAAAGTAATAGGATTGCAGGAAAACGGTATGACAGACACTCTAATTATCCTAAGGGAGGAGAGTTAGGGAGCAAGGTAGGCTGGCTGATTGCTGGGGCACTGGCGAGGATGTATGGATGTCAGCACTGTATTCACCCCTCTCACCCAAGACGCAGACCAAGGGCTTTCTGCTCAAGTTTCTTCCCAGCCTATTCTGATTGGCCTCTGAGTAGAGCAGAAACACCACTCACACTGTTCCTGCAGTGTGGGTACAAGGCCCCTTTTCTTGCAGGGTTGTGTGCAGTTTCCAATGGCTATAGAAAAACTTCTAGGACAGAAGTCCTTTTCTTGGGGCTTATGAGTTACATTGAAGACCAACATCAGAGACCATATTTGCAAGGGAAGGACTCAGAGAAAAGGAGAGAGAGTGGAGTAGGGGAGAATCAGCTAGTTAGCCAAATTTTCTCCAAATGTTTATTATTATTATTTTGGTAGAAAAACAATGAGAACATAACTAACTGTATGTGGTTCAAAACTAAATACCACTTTTTCTTTACTTAGAGACCTGGTGGTTTCTCTGGGCATTTTGAAGAACTGTTTAGCCATGAAATTTGATGAGGCAATTCAAAAGAATGTCAGTGTCACTCCACATCGTTGACTTACCTGGTTGGAGACTGGGCCTTGCAGCCCTCACAGCTGCTCATGCCCACTGGAAGGCACCTTGGCAGAAAGTTCTTTGCAGTTTATGTTCCTGTAACCTGAATCTAAAAAGATTCAGGTAGACAGAACAATGCCCTGCAAAGGTGTGCACGCCCTAATCCTAGGAACCTGTGAATAAGTTACCTTACATGGCAAAGGGATTTGCAAATAACCTTAAGGTTGAGGATCTGAGGTGAGATTATTCTGGATTATATAGGCGGGCCCAATCAAATCACACAAATCCTTACAGAGAACCTTTTCAGGCTGCATATAACCTCCCTGAGAGAGAGAGAGAGATTCCAAGATGGAGGAAGGGAGCAGCGCCTAGGAGCTGGAAAAGGCAAGGAAATAAAATGAATGTGTATGGATGTGGAGACAGTAAGTACTGGAAGAAAAAGAAAAACATGTTTTTCTCCCTGATCTATGATAGGTTTTGCACATATTTTCTATTTTTTAGGGATTTGTATTTTTTAGTGTCAGGCTTCATTTCAGAAGGCATTGGGGTTTGCTCTGTGATGATTTATTTGTGTGGAAGAGGGAAGTTATTGGTTTTTCCTCATTTATATGTAGGGCCCCTTACAGGGAAATATTTTTAGGAACATTTTTATTTCTCTTCATATTTTTTCCAGTTGCGGTGTGTTTGCTTGCTTTTGGGGTTGACTGCCTATATCCCTTTTCTGTGTAAAGTTAGAAAACAAATAATTAAACAATAGAAGACGTCATGGTACCTATGCATTTGTAGGTGTCATTGTGTTTGTAGGTATCATCTAGTTAATAATGCAGGTGTTCTGAGCCTCTTTCTGAGATGGTGTGGCTTTCATGGGTGGTGAGGCTGAAAAGTAATGCGGAGAGGCCCTGCAGTCCTTTCTGTACTCTTCTACCCATGTACATTCATGGATGAACTGTACTGTTGACAGATCTGATTTTTTTCCTGCCACAGTCAGCTCCATTATCCTGCCTCAGGCTTGAACCTGCAGCAGCTGAATCTTGTATTTGCTCTGCCTGAGGCCTTAACCTGCTGCTCTTCCCTTCATCCTTTATTTGTTCCTTCCTTGTGCCACCTGTTTGTCTCTTCTGGCACTATAAGAAGGCATTCCCTCCATCTCCTTATTCCACCCCTAGTGGTTTAAAAAAAAATCCCATGTGGCTTTCTTTCACCTTTTGTGTGCTGGAATCTGCCCCAGCAGCTATCAAGATGAGTTTTCTTCAGACATGTGAATTGCAAAGCTGATTTCCATTTGTTCTAAGCAAACAGACCTCACTACCAAGTGTCAGAAAGGCACACAGGCACTCTGTGCACACTTAAAAGAAACATTAACAAACAAGAATGGTAATGGGTCCAACATCAATGACACCAAAAGCCAAAGACCCTAGTAAAATCTTTTTTAAGTAGAGACTCAAAGCAGAGCTCTTATTGAGACCAAAAAATACTATCCTGACACTTTCTAAGAGTACAGCTCCCCACATCTCTCATTCTAGAAGTGTATTAGTCAGTTTTCACACTGCTATAAAGAAATACCCAAGATTGGGTGATTTATAAAGGAAAGAGATTTAATTGACTCTCAGTTCCACATGGCTGGGGAGGCCTCAGGAAACTTACAATCATAGCAGAAGGTGAAGGGAAAGCAAAGACCTTCTTCACATGGTGGCAGGAGAGAGACAGTGTGTGAGACTGCAAGAAAAATCACTATTTATAAAACCATCAGCTGTTGTGAGAATTCACTCCCTATCACGAGAACAACATGGGGGAAACTGCTCTCACAGTCTAATCACTTCCCACCAGGCCTCTCCCTCACCACCTGGGGATTACAATTCAAGATGAGATTTGGGTGGGGACACAAAGCCTAACCATACAAGAAGTGCATTGTGTAATCTGGTAACCACTGGCCACATGAGGCTATGAAGCACTTGAAATGTGGCCAGTCCAAGTTGAAATGTGATGTAATTGTAAAAAACACACCAGATTTTGAAAACTTAGTATGGAAACAGATGAATGTGAAAAATCTCACTGATAATTTTTTCACATTGATGACATGTGAGATGAAAATATTCTGGATATATTGGGTTAAGTAGAATACGTTATTTAAAAATAATTGGGCATGTCTCTTTTTACTTCTCTTTTTACTTATTTTCCATACAACTAGTAATAGAAAATTTAAAATTACATAGCTTATATTTCTATATTTCTGTTGGACACTGCTGTCCTAGAACTTGATTAAAGAATGATGCTTGGGATTTCCGTTTTTCCACCCCTCTGGAATGGAATTCTGAAAGACTAAAATTGACAGATATATTACTATTGTTTAGGTTCTTTTCAAAATATTTGACATGACATTAGGTCACCAGAAGGAGAGTTTTGTACAATTTAGACACATATTATTTTAAATGGATTTGGTTAACATCTTTTAAAAAGGCTGCCTTCAATTTTATGTACTGGGTTTTTTTCTTAATAAAGCCTGGTTTCTTTTATTTATATACTGCCTCTTCATCCAACAAACTCAATCTGTTTTGAGATTAGTTCAACCTTTATGAGGTGCTCCCAGTTTGTACAAGGATTTATAAAATAATATGACTCCTACCCTCAAGAAGAATATACTTCTAATGAACAAAAACGGGCAGTCAAACTTCCTCTGGTTATGGAATTTTAATAGACCAAGTTGTAAATTGAAAAGAAGAACGGGCTGTGATACAGGTTACATTTTCATCATGTTTCATATATTTTTGAGAGTAATTTTTGCAATACAGTTTAACCAAAAGGAACAGTACAACTTCACTGCTGAGGATGAAACCCTGTTGTTGGTACAAATCACAGATTTGTGAGGCCCCAAAAGTTATTTTTCAGGGTTTGAAAAATACTAATAGTGGACATTTATATAGCACAATATCTAACATAGTTAGATATTGCTAACTGCTTTGCATTTGAGAATTTGCATAATACTCGAGAATCCTAGGAGACAGAAACAATATTTATACTCATTTTACAGAAGGGCAAATTGAGCTATACAGTAGTTGAATAAATTGTCCAAGGTCATCCAGCCAATCAGCAGAGGGACAAATAATCAATACAAGCATTCTGACTGCAAGACTGGGCTTCAAATCTCCCCACCGCACTATATCATTGCCATAATATAGATGATTCATGATGACAACTCACCCTGGTTTTGTCTGCTAAATTTTGAAGGCCCCCTGAAATTTGAAGGACAATCTCATTTTCACCTTTATTTTTTCTCACCATATCATTTACCAGAAATGAATACATGGCAAAATGATTCACTTTGGTTTCACCCTGTTTTCCTTTGCCTCAGCACTGTTACTAAAATAACTAAAGCAGAAGAGACAAGTGGTATGAAAAGATGTAGCCTAGATAACCAATACAGTATCTAGAAGTCTCTGTACTTTCTTTCTTTGCAGCTCTGAACACAAGCCAAATCTTACCCTCGTTCATGGATTTGTATAGAAAATCCATTTGCATACCAGAAGAGAGAATGGGGCTTTTAATGATCTTAATGGAAACTAGAAATATATTGCTTTCCTGATAACTTGTCATTTTGCATGTTCATCTTCCTGGCACCAGAATACAAGCATGTAAACCTGTGAACTGCTGCCTATCATTAGAGAAACTGATGTGACATTCCCAGCTCTTGCAGCCTATTCCCATATCCGATTTTTGTGCTGCTACATGCTGGTTTGATTTTACATTTTTCTCCTGGATTTAAGTTCTTAAAAGCTAATTTCCATTGTCAGCCCATAATAATTCGTACAACGCTCAACACAAAAGCACATTATTTAGAAATTACACTCCCCACTTGATCCAGGGATTCTTTCCAAACAAACCTCTGAGCTACCTTGCAAAATCTTTAGCAATATTCTTGGAACCTTCTGACATTATTTTTAATTAAGGTTTACATGTTAATATTGAACAATAAAATGAAGATGGCATAATAACACAGAAAAATTAGAACCAAAGTAATTAGCAGCAATGATACTTGTTCATTGAATTGTATCATTGCACATATGTGTCCTTGCCAATTTATAATTTTTTTCAAGTTATTAATTATAACTTCTGAAGCAGTATATTTAAAATACCTCAGGAACCATCTCCTAAACATCCCTAGATTTAATGAAAAGCTAGTGAATATTGCATTAAATAGCAGCAGAGATGCCTCCCAACCTTAGAGAAATTAGCTGATCTCTAATTTCTCTTGTCTGTGGACAAGCAACTATTGTTTCTCACATTTTTCCTAAAGTTCATTACCAATAATATAACTTTGCTTTGTTTACATATTCCTTACAACTCAGGTGGAAATTTTTTCTTTTCTCTAGTTTGCTTTTTTCTTGAAGAAGAAAACAATATGAATATCTTTTATGGTTGAAATTGATTAGGACAAAACCTCACAGATATATTAAAAATAGAAAAGTTATTTATTTAATAAAAATGTGTTAGCAAGTGGGGGAAAAAATGCAAGGTGTGTGACAGAAATAAAAATTACTTTACACATGTCCTTCAAAAAAAGTTTAATACATAGTCAGGTCACATTACTGCACATCAAATTCTCTAGGTCTCTGGCTGCCAGTAGCAATTATCTGTAAAAGAACATGTTTTCCCCGGTGACTCGCTATCGGGAATTTTTGAGTATACCTAAGCATAGCCTTGAGCAGAACTCCTACGGGGCATATTTGGAATACAGGATTTCATTTGGATGCAATATCAAGGTTTCAGTGCAATATGTCTATCTATATATTTTTACATCTGTTTTAACATATTGATGTGTTTATCTGTTGGCTTTAATTACATGATATAAGTATATATAAATGTAAATAGTACTCGAGCTTCCACTCAAGTTTAGTTATGAGGTATACAAATATATTTCCCTAGATGCCTGCATGATTTTATATTATAATGATGTCTCCTGAATTTTCATGATTACTTTGCTAAAAAGGTGTTGAATATTTGCAGATTGCTGAGGCACCAGGTCTCATTCTATTTGACCAGGTCATATTTCATTAGTTTCCAATGACCAGTGGGGTCCCAACTAGTAAAATCTTTTGTGTCCATCCCAACCTTAGACTGGTTAATCATGAGGTCACCTTTTAAAGGCAATTTAAGCATAAGCCCAAATTTTTCAAATATTTTTGTGCCTTTTTGCAGAGAAACCAAGAATGGGAAGAATAAATGTTTTCAATTGATGACCATTAAAGATTCCTAAAGTAAGTTCAAATACTCAAAGGTTATACTGTAATATGTCTGTCCTAGGAATTTCAGGCATTGATCGAGTATGCTATGGTTTGGATCGGGATGCCCCAACAGTGATATGGTAGTTCCCCAAAATTTGAGGCCCCAAAAGATATTTTTCAGAATTTGAAAAATACTAATAGTGAACATTTATATAACCCTCATTATATGCTAGATATTACCAAATATTACAGTGTTTCCCTAATATACAGAAATCAAATGTTGGAGTGCCTACTGGGTTAGGATTTAGAAAGGAGCAAAAAGATGTCATTGGCTCTGACAATAGGCAGGCAAATAAAAAGAAAGAAAGGCTTTATTTAAAAATTAAATTCAATAATCAGCTCACCTCTTTGCAAGCTTTTGAATAGTACATAGCAAGCCCTTCTTTACATTTGAGGAACGGAGCTAGCCAAAATGAAATAATTCACTTTTGTGTCCATTTTCACAAAGAGAATGTATGTCCCTTCCCTTTGAGTCCCCACCAGCTCACTCGATGTGGCTTAAAGCAACCATAATCCTACAAGAGCAGTGATAAATATGTTGTCAGGTTAGTGAAGCACTTGCTTTATAAATGAACCACTGATGAGTCCCTAACATTGGCTAGTGTGCTCAGGGTGAACAGGCAAGGTGGCAGGCAAGGTGAACAATGTTGCTCTAATATTTGAAGTTGGGCCACATACGCACCCAATTTAGTTGATGGGAGATTTTTAAAGGATCTGATTTATCCCTTCTTCAACATGGGGCCTACCTGAGGGGTTCAGGTGATTTCTTCTCTAAGAAAATAGTTTAGAAGGTGAGTTTCCTGCAAGTCTGCATTAGTTGGGGAAATCTGGAGAACATCAGTTTTTACCCTAATACATTAGGTTTAATGTTTGCAAGGGCCATGTAAACCATTTGGTATTTTTATAGAGCCATATGCACTTTTATTACTGCAAAGGACAACAGTGTTACCGTCATGAGAAATAAAATTATTTGCAGGCCTTTGCAGTTTGGGCAATCCAGTGATACTGCATTTTAACTTCTGTGACTACAAAATGTAAATGAAGTTGCAACGGCAGAAATTTTCATCTTTTCTACTTGTAGTAATTCTCACAGAATCATGAATGCTTTTCTTTCTCTTTTCTGGATCTCTCCAAATAGATCCCATTTATCTGATTGGATTTCTGTCCCATCTTTCTACATATTACAGCTAATTAGTACCCCCTGATGAGAAACAGTCCACTGATGGAAAAAGCAGTTAGATAAGATCTGCATTAACAAATGTAGTTCATTTAATATCATTTGTGCTGCTGCATTATTAATAATACATAATTACCCTGCACAGGCTGGAAGGGGAGAATAAAACTGTTCTTTAATTTCTTGGCCTTTGCAGAGAAACAGTATATTAGAGAGAGTAAAACAGTATTGGACTATTGGTTGCCATCCATCATAGAGCTTTATGTGTCACACAATTTTATTAATTTGGGGTCTGGCTAGAATTTCTATATTTCAACACAAATCACAGATTACCCAGAGACAACCATTTTGTGGAATTTTGAAAAGGCCAGCTTTTTATTTCAGAATGTTAAATTGGGAAGCCCAAATGGATGACTATCAGAAAGTTGAGATTTTCAGCCTGTTATTGAAAATATTTCACTGCAGTAGATGATGAATGTCATTTTGGTTGGCACCTAATGCTCACAAAATTTGATTTAACACAATGGATCAATCTGACTTTATTCTCCCCATTCTCCTGAATCAGGGTGTGCTGGATTAGAAACGGATTCTGGCAAAATGCCTGTGTTAAAATAATAAAACAAGCAGTGACAGCAGCATGAGAAGACCAGCCGATATTGACTGAATACCTGCTTTATGCCAAGTTTTATGTTAAACCCTTTCCATGTATTCATTCTCATGACAATCCTATGATGGGGGTTACTATTTTTATTCTAGAGGTCATCCAAGTCTGACAAGACCTCACAGGCTGTTTTGAAAGGAAAATCTGTAGAAAAGAGGCTATGATCCCTGCATTTTTCTCTGCTCTGCTTTCTGGCTATCAAAATCAAGACTCTTGAATGTGGGTTGCCAAGTGGGCAGTATAAATGCATACAGAGCTGCCCTAATTGGGTTTCTTTGCACAGGTGAGGCCAGCTGGGATGCAGGCCCAGGAGCTGGCTCAGAAAACTGCGGATCCCCTGATCCCAGGTCTCATACCCAAAGGAAGAGAAAGTTGGGGAAAGGTCAAATGGAGGGCTGAACATTGGAGGCATGCTTATTTTCTCTCATTAAAGCCATTGTATTTCATTCATCAGCCCATTCACTTATTCAGCAAACCCTTAGCCCTACTATACCAAACATTTGAAAAAATAAGAATTCAAAAGAAGGATTTGAAATTTAAAATGGGGAATAAGGATACTTTTGTTGTCATCATAGAGCTCACATGCCTCTTGCAAAGATACGCTCAAAGATAAATTACTATAATTTGGTGTGCTGTAGGAACAATGTGGGCACAAAGAAGGGAATGTTCAACCCTGCCCAAGTGGGTCACAGAAGGTTTGACAGAGACCAGAAACTGATTCTTGCAGAATGAGTGCTGTTTTCCTTGTAGACTAGTAGGAACTTGTTTTCTCCCCGGTAATATTGTTGTTATTGTTTTAAACAACAAACTACAAATTCTGCACTACCTAATAGTTGAGTGCAGGAAATTCTGTTGCTCATTAGCACATGGCGTCCTTCTTCTTAAGGTTATGCTATCAACATTTCAATATTCCTTCAAAATGCTTTTAAACCAGAGACATGATGGAATGGTTAGGGTATATGCCAATAATCAATGATGAGGCGAGAAGAAAGATGGTTAGGATGTAGGTTGATAATAGGATTTAGATATAACTCATAGAATATCAGTGTAGGACCTTTATTTATAGTGGATTTTTTCCAAGCAAGCTTACAGGTATGTCACAGTCTTGAAATACAAATGATTGTGTTTGTTTCTCTCAAAGATTTTAATGTTTACAAAGTGTAGGACAGAATAAAAGTTCTCTGAAAGTTAAATAACATCTGCACTGTCATAGCAATTAATTCAGGTCTTAGTGCATCAAGTCATTTTATTCATCTGCAATTTCCTGTATCATCCATTTCCCCTGCTAAAAAGTGGGCAGCCAGCTCCCTTTCCAAGCTTAAGACACTGCCACAGTCTCTCTCCGGCATTGCAAAGAGACAGCCATAGTGTGTTATAGTGTGTTGGAGACTGTCGAGTATGCATCAAAACTCATTTTTTCTTCCTCTTGGATGGACAGATAGACTCCATTTCCCGCTCTTCCCTGAAGTGAAACAGGGCACATGTCTGAATTCTAGCCAAAGAAATGTGAGCAGCAGTGGTGTCCTCAGTCCATATAACTCTGCTGGTCACCCTTCATTCCCTTTACTTCTCCTCTGCCTAGAAGTAAAGTGGAGAACTCTGAGGATCTGCAGGATAGCAGAGGCTCAATATGGAAGGAGCCTGGGGCCCCAAGTCACTGCTTCCAGAGAACACCAAACCAAGAACACCTTTCTTTCATTGTTGCATAAACAAAAAAGCAAATTTCCAGGGTGAAATTTTAGCATTTTTGCTGTGTCAGTTGACCTCCTCTAAGACTTATAAGCTCCTCCTTTAGATAAACAAAATCTGGAGTATCTGAAGGGTGTGTAAGGCAGAAGTCATGTGAGGTCTGCACACAGCACACTGCTACCTACAGTGTTGGGGGAGTGGCATTGAGCACCATTATCATGCAAGGTGGAGGTGGGTGCCAATAATCACCACTATCATGCAAGGCTAGGGTGGGTGAGGGCAGAAGCCACTCTTATGTGGGGTAGTGGGTGGAGTATTGACCACTGCTCTCACATAGGGTGAGGGAGGGCATTGAACACCACTACCATGCAGGGTGACTTGAGCTTTCTGTTTAAGCATCACTTCCTCTTGCAAGCTTCCCTAATCCCGCTGTCCAGGTTGAGCGTCTTGCATACGCTTCCTTAGACCACTGTACTTTTCCTCTGTGGCACTTAACACACGTAATTAAATGATTGATTTTTTTGTTGAATGACTCTCTTCATCCCTATAATATAGGCCTTCCTAGGACTAGGACTCCTTCATTCATTGTTGCATCCCCCTGGTCCAGAATTATGTCTGATATATCTGTATCAGTCTCGGTGCTTATCAAATATCCCTTCACTGACTAGCTCTCACCTTTGAAGTTTTTATTCCATCTTAGTCTTTCACTCTCCTAGTAGACAAGAGATTGCAATTTTAGGAGGTTATAATCAATTACCTGTAAACCCCTTTCTAATTGGAAGAGATTAGGATTTTAAGTCTTCATTCCCAATAAATATCCCCTTGTACAGCCATAGGAAACAAAGACACACACATACATTTGCCATCACCATAGAAGCATACAGATATATATCTTAGAAAAAATTTCACCCGACACCCCCCAAGAGCCATCTCCCTACCCCTGGGCAGCCATAGACACCTAGAGACAGAAACACACCTCCAAAGACACATCCCTCCACTATTGACACACACCTAAATACACATATACATGCTAAGAATCATTTAACATCTGCCATTTTGGTGACATTTATTCTATGCTTTCTTACCTCATCCAATAAAAGAAATGCATAAATCCCAAATTAAAATAACATTCTCACCTCTGTTATCTATTCCATTTTTGGAGTTGCTTTCCTTAAATCAGTGTCCTCTGTGGGAAGAAGTACATGGAGCACAGAGGGGAAAACAAATGTTTCTCCCAAAGTCTTCCATCATCCTATCATTTACATTGCAAATGTTATCAAAAATGCAAATATATGTGACATATCTAATCGCTTCTAGATCTTATGCTATGATAAACATTGGCTTGGTTAAATTGTATTTCTAAGAATAAAAGAGCTGAAGGTTTTGTTATTGTTGTTCTCTATATTTAGAGGTGCTTAGAGAAGACTACAATAATATTGTTTTTAAAAGTTACCCATCCAAACTAATATGTTCGTCATTCAAGGGATGCTGTATTTTGAGTTAAAAAACATGATAGGCAATGTCTCAAGTCAATCCACAATATGTGGAGATTATCTGAAAATATTTAGCCCTATGCTGGGAAATGAATAGGAAGATATACAAAAAATAACAATAATAATAAATAAGGCACCATGAAGTACCGTGAGGGAGACCTCAAAACATTTAATCACTTCTGGTTTTCTTTTTCCATCTGCAAGTTTACAGACATGGCCTCCCCACCTCTGAGTAGCAATTATTGCTCCTTTCACTTCCCTGATTACCCCCTGATGCCCAGTCCACAGAAAGAATAATATTTTTCAGAGTATGGTCAATCACTTTCAGATGCTGAGGAGGCAGCTCCTGGCAACATGAGGAGGACCAGCAGCTAATTCAGCCTGGTCTCTTTGCCCCAGACATCGCCTCTTTTTTTCAATGAGTTCTCATCCATGCATATCATAAAGGTGCTAGGATGTGGGCCAGAGCCAGCCTGAATAGGAGGTGAAGCAAATCATACTGTTGTTCTTTTCACCATCACTGCAAATCTGCACACACCCACATGTTCATTTTTTTATGTAGGGAGACCAGGCTTTGGGGAGTATTTAGCACAGCACTCAAGCAGGTGGCATGTGGAAGACAGGAAAAGGCCCCCACCGTTTTGGTTGTTAGAGGTTGACGATCTAAAAGACTCAGTACTTTATTTGAGCATCAATTCCTGGAGCCACTTTCTCCCTACCTTCTGTCTTTCTCCATCACTTCCCCAAAATCTTCTAATTGTACCCTTCAGTGGGCCTGGGAAAATAAATATTTAGGGCAATGGCAATGCCAAGATAAAGTTGTCTCCAAACACTCAAGGAAAAACCGGTGTATTAGTCTGTTCTCATGCTGCTAATAAAGACATACCCAAGACTGTGTAATTTATTTTTTAAAAAGGAGGTTTAATGGACTCACAGTTCCATATGGCTGGGGAAGCCTCACAATCAAGGCAGAAGGCAAAAAAGGAGCAAAGGCACATCATACATGGCAGCACCCAAGAAAGCGTGTGCAGGGCAACTCCCCTTTATAAAACCATCAGATCTCATGAGACTTCTTCACTATCAGGAGAACAGCACAGGAAAGACCTGCCCCCATGATTCAATTACCTCCCACTGGGTCCCTCCCATGACACATAGGAATTATGGGAGCTACAATTCAAGATGAGATCTAGGTAGGGACACAGCCAAACCATATCCACCAGCTCTTCATTAACAGAACTTTTATGAGCTCTGAGGAAAGCCATAAATCCTTTCTCCTAAGAAAAATGCACATTTTAACACACAAGCATAATTTTGAATGAAACATCAGAATTTTCTTTTTATTCTTGCTTAACTGTTCAGTGGACTCCAGAACCCAAAGCCCTGTCATCTCTGTCAGCCTTCTGCAACAATCAAGCTGGCAGTCACACCACATGGAAAAGGATGGGCCTCAGAGCTAGAGGCCTGGATCTGCTGCCTACCGGCTCCATGACATTAATTTGCTTAACTTCCCTAAGCACTTCATTCCTTCATTCTATACATGAAGATAAAAATACCCATCACATACAGCTGATGTTAGTTTTACAAGAACATGCCTTTCTCACCACTATGTCTCTTGTACCTTATAAAATGCCTGGGACATAGAAGAGGCTCAATAAATGATCCTGCCTGACTGAACAAATGTAAGCCTCTTAGTACAGTTCCTGACTCCAAATAGGTACTCACATTATTTTCCATGTTTTTGTCACAGAGCAGGAAATAAACTAAGTTTCCCAAATGTTTCATAAGTGTAACACTCATTCCTCTTTGATCAGCTCCTCTAGGGCATGTTCCCAAGTGGTAATCCAGCAGCAGGTGGAAAGAGGGTATCAGAAAAGATTCTTAAATGTCAGTTTTAGAGGGATACTTAAAAAAAAACCTTTCATATATATATTTACATCTCCCATATATCCTGTTGTTTTGTGACTTTCCCTCATTTGATTAATGGTATTTATCCACTTAATGGTCATTGTTTCAGCATCATTTCAAAGCTGACTTTTGTTTGGAGTTGACAGGCTGGAGACAGATTTGAGAATCAAATTTATAGGGAGAGATAAAGCGATCTTAATTCTGTTAAGATTCCATTAACAAACAAACAGAGTCAGACATGATCAACTGGAAACAGAGTCTTACTCAAGGGAGGCACTTTCCAGAAAGAGGGTGAAGAGGAGAGCTTGTCCTATCTGGTCACTGCAGAAAGGAAAATGAGAGACAGAGTAGAAGCTGGCCCTGGGAGAGGCATGGCAGCAGGCTCACATCTGGGAAGGGAAAGATATGACAGTGGATTGAGGGGAAAGCTGAATTCAGGAAGAGAAGGGGCTTTTGTTCCATTTTCAAGGGTGGTTCCAGCCAGCCACCTGGACAGCTACAGACAGGTAGACAAAGCATGAATGCGAGTTGGCACTCCTGGCTTCCCTAGGCTCCCCAGTGGCCTGGGAACAATAAAGTAACAACTGTGACAAGGGCTTATTTTGTACCCAACAGTGTCCTAATTTCTTTACATAGTAAGTCATTTAATTTTCACAAGAAACCTATGAGAGAGTTACTATGATAACCCTTGTTTTGCATATGAGAAAATATAGGCATAGAGAGGTAATATAACCTTTACAAGTGCCACAACAGATTTTCTAATTTTCTACTAGCTAGTACTGACCAAGCATGTACCCTGTGCTTACCAGGCACAGTTCTAAGAACTTCACATGTATTAATTAACTCATATAAACCTCACAAGGATCTTCTCTGTAAGGCAGGTGCTGTTATTAACCCCATTTTACTGATGAGCTAACAGAGGCACAGGTATGGTAAGCGGTTTGTCTGCGGTCACTTAGCCGGTAAGCAGCAGAGTTGGACATCAAACTCAGAAAAATTGGCTCCACAGTCTATACTCTTAAGTTTTTTTCAATTTCTGTGATAGAATATCTACAATTTAGCTGAAAATCTGGCTGGGGATTGAACAAGTCCATAGTGAAACTGAGGCCAAGAGGTGCAGGCTGGGCCTCCAAAGCTGAGGCCCAGGGGAGTCAGAGCCAGACCTTAGAGGATCCACAGGGCTGGTGTGAAAAGAAGTGGGTCCAAGTCAGCTAGGGAGATGACTAAGGTCTGTGGGAATCTTACCCATGCAGGAGAACAGGCACCGAGTTGCATCAGCCACAAACTTCAGCCTAGACGGCAGCAGAAGGTGGGACAAGAACGACCACTCCCCCACCCTCCCCTCACCACCACAGTGGGGACCAGCCCAAGGACCAACAGGAGTTCAGCAGGTCCAACCCCAATCCTTACCCTACCTCAATTCCACAAGGTTACATATTAATACATTACCCAGTGCCATGTGGAAAAAACAGAAAAGGGAGAAAGCAAATCCTGAGCATTCACCCCTATTTAGACAGAGTTCAAAAACAGACCATTTAAACCAGCAAAAACTGAGATACTGCGGGCTAGGAAGTTTAAAATAAAGCTCTTTTTATCTGAACACACTGGATGGGATGGTTGTGAGGAAGATTAGATAAGTAACTAGAAATAAAGAAACGACATATTCTTAGAACACCTGAGTGTTGTGTGAATACAATTACGTGTGAGCTTACAACTCCAAAGGACTCCAAGAGCCTGTCTAATGAAACACCTGCAGTATATTTATTAACAGTTAGGGTGAGGAAATGGGAAACATACTGATCAAACTTGTGGTTGATGCAAAGCTGAGAGTTATAGTAAATACATTAGACGGCAGAATGAGAATCTGTAAAGCTAGCCGCTGGCTGGCCCCATGAGCTGTGTATAAGCAGAACAAATTTAATCTGGATAGTTGACCAAACTAAGGCACAAAAAGCTAATTGAACAAGAACAGTAGCTGAAAAAGGGTGTTCCTATATTTGAAAGATTGCCCTATGGAAGATGGATTAGCTTATGGAGCCCGAGGGTAGAAGAATAATAACCATTTCTTGAGCCTTTACTGTGTGCCAGGCATCTATACCACCTCATTTAATGCTAGGAAGCTTGCAGTATTATTTCTATTCATTCAAACAAGGAAACTGGCGTTCAAAGCCCAAGATCAGAAAGCTAGCAGGTGGAAGAACCATGAGTTAAACTAAGTTTGGCTCAAAGCGGCCTCCATATTTGGGTAATAAAGTCTGGCCCAAAGTGGCCTCTGTATGGTCGTGAACTGTAACCTAGCTTGATACGTAAACAAAATGTCACTGAACCTAGGAGCATATCCTTGGAAGCAAGCTCGTCAGTCTCAGCCAATCATAGCAGCCCAAACCTCAGCAAATCTGGGACTGAAGGTGGCTAATTTATGCCCAAATAAGGGAAGAATCAGGTAACAGGTAATCCTTGTATGTCATGTTCTGCTTTCTGGTTATAAACATAGCTCACCACAGTGGAGGTGGGGCATTCTGAACCATCTTCATTTGGAATGCTGCCCATCTTTAGAAACTTTTTCTTGCACAAATAAACTGTATTAAATTTAACTGTCTTAGTTTTTTCTCTGACATGTATTTCAAACTCACGTCTGTCTGACTTCAGAAGCCCAGGGTTCTCACACTGTAGTACTCATTTGCCTCCCCATCATAAGCCAGTTGTCTTAAGGGGAAACCATGCTAATAGAACCCTCCTCCGAAAGAGCTCATCTTCCAGTATCAGAGACAGAAGTGTGGACAACTCCAGGACGGGGTGGTAGAAATACAAGAAATCATATGCCATCAGCAAAACTCTTTGCTAATTCTAAGGCTTTATGGTTCTATCTCCGAAAATTTGAAGAAACCATGGTCTCTTTATTAGGTGGTTTTTTGCCTTAGTAAAGTACAACCCCAAATCTCGGTGCCTTACCACAACAAACCTTTCTTTCTCACTCTGAGTCTGAGGGCCTGCCGTGTCTTAGCTGTGGCATGGCTCCAGGTCATCTTTCCGGCTGGCTTCACCTTTCTTATTCTGAGGGCAAGTTCAGCGAGCAGCCCCTACCTGGGCAAGTTGTTCACACATGAGGGCAAGAGATGTGAAGCACATTTAAAGCCTCTGTTCAGGTGTGAACACTGAGTTTGCTCACACTCTGCTCTCTGGCTCTGTGCCTACTAAAGAGCCTGCATTTGAACTGTGACAGATTTCAACTATCCCCTGTAAGAGAAGAACATCAGTTCTTCAGAATTCCCCATTGCCCCATGGACAGTGCTACAATATGCCATGGAGATTTTATTTCCTTTTACTTGTTTATTTTGTTTTGCTTCTGTTTTACCTTCAAAAGAAACTATCAGAGGCAAGGGCAACCCCAGACCAATCTGAAATAAAGGGGCAAGTGGAATGAAAAGAATGAAAGATTCCAAATCCCCCATAGCTTCCATACTAAGACAAAAGGGTGTAATTATGTGATTTTTGTCTTTAGCTATGGATGCTTATTATTTATTTCTTAAAACTTTAGATGCATCCCTCATATATAAGCCTCAGGGCACATTTACAACCACTGTTGGAAAAAAAAAAGCTTAAGAAAACTATATTATCTATTTATTCCAGGAAAGATTTACTTCATTTATGTATTTGTTTATTTATTTATTTACTTGATTTATACAGCTGGGTCCAGCATAAGCCCCTGGGCATGCTCACATCAATTAAAACCATGAATAGAAGCAGAATGCTGAATACAAACAAAATCAACAATTAATGGACTATCCCCAACTGTAAAGCGCATTGGTAGAACCTTCAAATCATTCCTCCCCACTAGCCCCCTTGGGCAGAAGGATGGGTTAACAGATGGTTAAACACTGTTAAGAGAAGAGAATACGACATTAGTACTAAGGATGGAGGATGGTAGAATGACAGTACACAAAATCCATTGGATAATTCTTCAGTAGAGTTACAGGTTGAACTCATAGACTTGAGGCTGGAGTTGGATGTAGCCGTGATCTGGCAGGGATTAGCAGTGATGGAGGGAGGAGAGGCTAAGAATTATTGAGTACAGGTAGGACATTAAGTAAAATCATGTGCATAGTAACACCCCATCCTCTGGACTTACTGGGAGGCTTGCCAATGTGAGTGATCTGGTTTGGATTATTATTTTACTATAAGCACAATCCAGTTCTTGACCAACCCACAATTTGGCTTTCCTTGAATCACATGGTACTGCACCCAAGCACTCAAGTCAGCTGCTAACTTTGTGTGATACCATCAGATGGGGGTTCAGATAAGGCAGGCAATTTTTATTCTTTGTATTGTGTATTCATGAATATTTGTAATATGAGATTAAGAAAAATCCTTTGACTTTTTTGTTATTGTTGAGGTATAATGTATATACAGTAAATGCAAAAATCTTAAGTAATAGTTCAATAAATGTGTACTTATAAATCATGTACTCACCACCAAGATCAAGATATAGAACATTTCCAGCATCACCAAAACCTCCCTTATATCCTTTCATAATCATTATTCCAGTCCTAGACATAATCACTATTCTGACTTCTGAAGTTAGTCTTGCCAATTCTTGAACTTCATATAAATGTTATACACCATGCATTCTTTTGTACTTGGCATATTTTTATTGCTATGTAATATTCCATTATATGAATATACTATAGTGTATCCATTCAATTGTTACTAGAGTTTTGGGATGTTTCCTAATGTACTTGTTTTTATTATGAATAGAACTACTATAAACATTATGTACATGTCTGAGTATTTAACTAAGAATAGAATTGTTGAGTCATGAGATAGGTGTACTTTTTTTTTTTTTTTTCACTCTGTTGCCCAGGCTGGAATGCAATGGCACAATCTTGGCTCCCTGCAACCTCCACCTCCCAGGTTCAAGCAATTCTTGTGCCTCAGCCTCCCGAGTACCTGGGATTACATACATGCACCACCATGCCCAGCTAATTTTTGTATTTTTAGCAGAGAGGGGGTTTCGCCATGTTGGCCAGGCTGCTCTCGAACTCCTGGCCTCATGTGATCTGCCCATCTTGGCCTCCCTAAGTGCCAGGATTACAGGTGTGAGCCACCATGCCCAACCAAGATAGGCGTACATTTTGCTTAGATATATATTGCCAAATATTTTTAGTAAGTGGTGGTACCAATATATACTCTTTTCTCCATATCCTTTTCAACACTTGGTATTGTTGATCTGTTTAACTGTAGCAATTGTGGTATATAGCAGCATCTTCATTGTAGTTTTGATTTGCATTTTTCAGATGTGTCCACATTTTTATAGTCCTGTTGGCCTTTTTGAAATTCTCTTTTGTGAAGTGCCTATTTGAGTATCTTGCCCATCTCTTCATCAGATTGTCTTTCCTTTTTTGTGTTTTCTTTATTTTATTTTATTTTTTTGTATTTGTAGGAGTTTATACCATGGATACAAGTCCTAGTTTAGCATATGCATTGTCAATTTCTTCTCTTTGTGACCCACACTTTCACTCCCTTTATGGTGTTTTTATTAGCAGTTTTCCATTTTATCAAAGTGCAATTTATTAATCTTTTGTTTTTATGATTAGTGCGTTTCATGTCTTCTTTAAGAAACCATTGCCTATCTCAAGGTTGTGAGATTCTCCTGTATTTTCTTCTAGAAAGTTTACTGCTTTACCTTTCAAGTTTAGGTCTATCCATCTCAAATCTATTACGTTTCCATGTTGATATCCAATTGTACCATTTACAGAAGACACACCTTTGCCCCCGCTGAATTGCAGTGGTGCTTTTGTTGTAGATCAGGTGGCCATATATGTACAGGTATGTTTCTGGATTCTTTATTCAATTTCATTGGCCTATTTGTCCACCCTTGCATGGATAACACCACGCTCAAAGTCTTGATACCTGTTAGTGTAACTTAAACTCCACTAATTTTAGTATGTATACATGATTATCTTTCTGCGCCTTTGTTGATTTTTTTGTCTCTACATCTGACTTTTGTCTCATGCTATCACTAAAGCTTAACTATTTCTCTTCAATGACTATTCTCTGTGTGTGTGTTATGTAAGGGGGTCCCTAGTGCCACATAGTACAGATATAAACAGGGTTTATTTGGAAAGACTTAGAAGCAGATAAGTAGCAGGGTGTATGCTGCCCCCTGCATCTCATTATTCCATAACATGGGCTGGGTATAGGTATTTTAAAACCTATAAAAATTTAAAACCTATAAAAATTTCAGCAAAAAGGGCCTGTCTCAGCCAGCAGGCTGGACTTGCTCCCAGGAGCACAGGGCAAAGAGAGCAAGTGATACGGTTTGGCTCTGTGTCACCACCCAAATCTCATCTCAAATTGTAATCCCTAAGAGTTGAGGGAGAGACCTGGTGGGAGGAGATTAGATCATGGGGTCAGTTTCCCCCATGCCGTTCTCATGATGGTGAGGAAGTTCTCACGAGATTGGATGGTTTAAAAGTGTCAGTTTCCCCTGTTCGCTCTCTCTCTCTGCTGCCACCTTATGAAGACGTGCCTTGCTTCCCCTTAGTCTTCCACCATAATTGTATGTAATTGCCCCATACCATGGTACTTACTTATAGGCTTGCCTGGGGGAGCTAGAGAACACCTGGCTTCTCTAAGATCTCTAGAAAGTAAGAAAGGAACTTCGGGCTCAGAAACATTGCTAAGGAGCACATGGATCAGGGTCAAGGTCTCCATTTTGAGTACCCAGACAGCAGCTCTGCTTTCCTGGGCCACTGACATCAACCAAAGGCCTTGTTGCTGCACAATTTGCACCAGCTGTCTGTTAAGCCACGAAAAGGAGAAGGGAAGTGTGTTCCTGGACCTTTTAGATTTGTCTGTCATAATGCCCCACTCCCTACATTCATTTTTAATTAAATTAAGTTATTGTACCAACATTGCTTAAATGCCTACTACACCTTCCAAGCCTTCCAGACACAAATTTAGACAATATGGTCACTGCCATGAAGGAGTTCACATTCTCATCAGCAACCACAGTAAACAGTAATCTAAATATGACAAGAAACCGGTGCACAGAAAAAACTACCAGACCTCACCCATCCTTCAAAGTACAGCTTAAAACTCAATTCCTCTAAGAGTTCATATGTATTTATGATTCATATATTTGTAAGAATAATAAAAGTGAATAGTTTTAAAAATTACTTGTTGCATTTTATGTCTGCTATTTTTAAAAGCAGATGTATCTATTATTACAACATTTAGAAACACTCTAAAAATCTAGTAAGCAAGGAATAGTTAAATAAATTGTAGTAAATTAATGAGATAGAATATTAATGTAACATTAAAAGTGACCATTAAAAAGACCAAGTAGAAAAATTAAAAAGTGACCCAAATTTGTGTGCATGCAGAAATACTAATATTTATGGACAAAACATGATGGAAATACAAAACACATTGCAGCAATAACATTTTGCCAAAACAGAATTGTGTTCTCTTGAAATTTCCTGTAATATTATTGTTTTATAATAAACCTAAATCTAGAAGAAAAAATAAAAGTCAGCTTCCCTTATTTCTTTTTCTTTTTCATATATATCTCCATTGTACATTTGTAGACTAATTTATAGACTAATTTATACATGAGATAAGCATTCTTTTATACTTGTGTGTACATGTGTATGTTTGTATGTCAATTGTCTTCTATATTGAAAATAGTCCCTATCAAAATGGACAAGAGCAATCCAGCTCAGAATAAGTAGCAAAGGGATTCATCCTGGAGCCTTGGACATAGGCACTGAAAATTCTTTATTTTTGCGATTGTGATTTTCATTTCATTATTCTTTTGAATACACCCACAATAGGGGCAAATGTCAAAAGCACATTAGCTAGCCTGTAGTGAGGACCTCCCAGCCAGACTAGAGCTCTGGCTCTCCTGCTTGTGTAGCCAGAAGCTCGGCTCTGGGTATACTGTGAGAGGAGAGGATTGGCTGCTGCCAAATCCTGGAATTCCTCCCCTGGGGTAGGAGTGCCACTGGGGTGACCGTCTTGCCCTTTCTCTCACTTTCTAACTCCCCACCATGTGTATGGCAGAGGCACCTGACAGTTATAACTGCAGCATATTCTGGAGATGACTTTATGGTCTAAAAAGAGTGTTGGTTTGGAGTTCCAAGTTAAGGAATCCGGGAGTGGCCCACCTGAAGATTTATTTTTTATACATGAAGACCTTCAAACCCCTGGCCCATTCCTTGGAATATAGGCCATATAGGGGATCAAGGCCCTTTGTTTTAGGTTAAATGGAAGTTGCTAGGTGAGGGTGTTAAGTGAAAATACTATATAAACTGCATGGTTTTTACAAACGATAATTGTCTTCCTGTCCAGCCCATGGCCACTGAACTCCTATATGTAAGTCCCCCCAGTAAATCCTATGTCTTGAATGCTAGCTCTGGATCTTTTCTTCAGCTTCTCATATATGATCACCTCCCTACCGGAGTCAACAGAGATCTGATACAGCACCATGAGAGGTCTCTAATGGGCAGGTGAATTGCAGGATCTGGGCATGCCTAGCTCACTTTCCCTCTCTCTGTCCTTCCTTGTAGTACCTTTTGTGTTGTTATTGTTAGAGATATGGTCTTGTTACGTTACCCAGGCTGGATTCAAACTCCACCTGTAACTTGCAGTGTCTTTACAGGATCAGGCTTTGTCTCTGTGAAGTCAGTCTTGCCCAGACTAGCACTACTGGGGGAATAAAAGTGTGTAAATCTGTTATGTGAGATGAGGCAAGTTTGTCTGCCCACAGATAGATGCCACAGTTTTCAGTATTAGCCTTATCAGTAAAACAGTGATGTTCTCATTTCCCATCTCTTATTCTTTTGCCTTATTTGGGGGTATTCTCAGAGCTTATGCAGGGAAGGCAGATGCTTCCTTATTGGGCCACATTGAGTCCTCTCTCAAGTCAGTTTCTCTGGGAAGCTGACTCTGAGACAGAGACTGAAGTATAAGATTATTAAGGAAGACTTAGAATATCACTGGTGCAGAATAGAAGGAAGCAGGTTTGGGCAGAGAGGGAGGACCTGGGCAGTCAGAAAAAAGCCTTCAGCCAGCTTCCTGAGGAGCTCTGGGCCTCTAATGGTCCTTCAGAGTCATCCTGAGTTGAGAGTTATACCTTTATAGCTACCTCATGAACAAGTTATTGGATACTCGGGACTAGCGTGAAGGGTGACCTTAAGTAAGACAGTTCCCTTTACCTGAGGACACTTCACAGAGAGGGCTGGACCCAAAGGCTTTCTATTGGCAACTCTCCGAGAAACTGGAGGAGGGCCTGGTTTGGGCACAGCCCACTACGAACCCCAATAGATTCCATGGCTGGAGTTTCTCTCAACTAGCCTAGAGTTTGGAAAATTCCTTTATTTGTGAGGACATGCAAAAAGATTTTCAAGATCATGTGCCATATGTGTGTGTGTGTGTATGTTCATTAAATTCTTTCTGAATATACATGGATACATATGCACGAACACAATCTACCCCTATATCTTAGAACCATGTTATGAGTTGGCAGAAATTAAATTTGAATGAGGTCCTCAAACTTCCACTGACAGAATGTAGTACATTAAGTCATTCATTTGTTCCATGAGCTTTTGTTGAGTGACTTCTAGGCATTATGTATGGGAATACATAGGTGTACACATTGTTCCTGCTTTCACCAAGGGTTCAGGCTCACAGCTGAAAAATTTGCCCTGAATGAAGTCTTCTCAAAGCCCCAAATTATAATACATTATTCTCCTGCTCTATGTTCCCATGTGTGATGTACTTCTTCACCCTAAGTTAATAGCTGGTACTTCTCAAATCATCTGTCCTTTCAATCACTGCTATTGGAGACCATATCTGCTTTATTTGCCACTCTATCCCCAGTGCCTTACAGTGTAGGTTAGTAATTAATAGTAGGTGATTAATAATAACATACCTTACATAGTAGGTGATTAATGAAACATATTGAAACAATAAATGAATAAACAAATATAATATATCAAACATGACAGATCAAAATGCATGTGGGTTCATTCTGAGAAACTCAGAAAGGCTTCACAAAAGAGAGACAAATGTTCAAGGATATTTGCAGCGAGAGAAGAGCACTCAAGGAGCACAATTATGCAAAGGTCTGGTAAGTTTAGTGATCAGTTTTTAATTCAGTGTGGTAGAAGCATAAGGTGATGAGGCTGAAGATATAGGTTAGGGTCATGAGCTACACAAATTAAACATTTTAGGGGAGAAAGCTAGGGAGTCAAATGCATGAAACCATGGTCAGAGTCAGAGCCAGGACAGTAAAATACAAAAAGACAGGAAAAGCACAGGGCAGACCAGCTAATGCTTCAGGCTGCATTCCACAGGAACAAAGCAAGCCTCTGAGTACAGTAGGCACTGGTTTAGAGCAAAGGGTAGAATGACAATCTTGAAGAAACCAAAACAGAAATCCCCGGCCCTCATGCTCCATAGCAGCATCCAAACACCTTGCCAAGTCAGGACTCCAACCTGGGCAAAGACCAGCCATTATCCTCATGAAGAGTCCTCTTGCATACGTAGCAGAAAATATTTTTTTTCTTCAGTTGATCCTGACTTATTTTCTAAATAAACATGAGCAAAATCAAGAGGTGCTGAGCCAGAAGTTTTGAAGGCAGCCAGGTAACACAAGGACCTGACATGATCCAACCTCTGCACACGCAGATTCAGCAGAAAGCAAGAAGCAGGCCGGTCACAAAGTGCCCTGAGAGAGTTCTCTGCAGCAGGAACCAAAGAAAAATCAAATGGCTGCGGCTCACCATTAACAAGACTCACTGGATGCTCAGGACTAGGGGAGTCCAAAAATCTGAGAGGCCATCATTATTAGCCAAGCACACAGGATAAAGGTCTGGGAAAAAGAAGAGGAAGGCAAAGGACAGAAGTTGGAATGGTGCTTCTCTGAGTGAATGTGCAAAAGCATACATTTTCTAGCCAAACAGTCAGCCATGGATATTCAAAGTTGAACCTTATTTTCCAAAAGCATTTGGATAAATAACTGCCAGATTATAATCCATTAGGTTTGGAATAAATAGTGTTAAAATATTTTTAAGATTGCATTACATACTTGTATATATCGTAAAGATCAAGATACAATTAAGTCCACTTACCATAATTGGCTAAATACAAAACAAAACAAAAAACTAGCAAAGCTGTGGTCCTTGACCATCAACTTCTAAATGTAATCTTTAAAATGCATTTTCACTTTTATTTTTAGAAACTTCCATCAATTCCTAGCTCTAGGCTTTCTGAAGCTTCTTACAGATCTGGGCTTCCTGTCTCCTCTTTGCTTATATGCCCTAGCTTTTTTGAGAATGATACTTGTATTTTTTTTTTTTTTTGCAAGTCAGAGTCTCACTCTGTCACATGCAGTGGCATGATCTTGCCTCACTGCAAGCTCCACCTCCCAGGTTCAAGCGATTCTCAAACCTCAACCTCCTGAGTAGCTGGGATTACAGGGGTGCACTATCATACCCAGCTAATTTTTTGTATTTTTTGTAGAAACAGGGTTTCATCATGTTGGCCAGGCTGGTCTTGAACTCCTGACCTCAAGTGATCTGCCTGCCTCAGCTTCCCAAGGCCGGGCATGGTGGCTCACACCTGTATTTAATATTTTTAATGTAAATTTATTTGAGCCTCCATTTTCATTTAACTCACAATATGGTTCAATATTCTTAGGGTTCAGTATTTTTGAAGTCATTCCCAATGAAGTGGCATGGGGTGGTGCAGGTTTTCAAACATTTTAGCAAAATTCATTTTAAAAGTTAAATCATACATTATTGCCATATGTGTAAAACAGAACACAAACTCAGCTGAACGTGGGCTTGGATGGTGAGGAATGGGGTGCAACAAGGATCACCTCGGAATTCTCAAATGATTGTTTAGAAGTCACTGATGTGTTAGAGAGAGGCCTGGACCAAAAATTAGAAAAACTTGGCTGTCGTCATGGCTGTGTCACTGAGAAAGCTTAACCAGTCATCTAGCACCCCTGAGCCTCAGTCTTCCCTGTGTGAATTAACATAAGTAGAATAAATAATTTGGAATGCTCAGTCTAACTAAATAAATCTTAGTTATCCTGAGAATATAAGTTTTATTTACTTGAATAAACTGTGCCTCTTTGACTAAAAAGCTGTACATGTCCTTTGAAAATCTGAATTTATCAGGCATTTTCTGTTCTCTTATTCATCCTGAGTTTCATTACGTCTCCCTTTGCTTACTCTCCAAGATCATTTGAAACTGCATAGTTAGAATCCCATTCTTGAATGTTTTCCATTTCTCTTAAACTTTCTTCCCTTTCAGAATTTTGCTGTAAAATTATGCCTCTCTGCTCTCCTCTCCTGTTAAAATACCAGCCCTCTTGAAGTCGAGGGGACACATCTGACAAGGTCCAGCCTCCTCACTCTTGGTTGTCACTTCAAGATGACATGGTGTGGACACTTTTCCCCCCAGGTTTCAATCACTTCTACTTCATCAACCAATTTCCACTTGCAGTTCAGAATTAGGGCCAGACTAATAGTTTCCTCATTCCCTTTCTCTACTCTCTGGGAGGAAAAATTATCAGAAATTGTGGCCTCCTTAGTCATGTGGGCAGTGAAGTCAAAGCCCATAATCTCTTGGGGCTTAAATTGTCTCACTGACCACCCCTTATCAGTTGAATGGGAATGAGAATAGACCAGTTTCTAGCTTCTGAATTCTCATCAGGACAAACCCATTAAAAGTATTAACATATAGAGTGGGTCTTGTAGGAACCACTCAGCTGCTGTCCTCTTTCTTTTGAGGATGGACCAATAGGGGCTTTTGGGCTGTGTGGTCCACAGGCCAGCCTGTCTTCACTCAGCATCTCTTGTGCAACCGCACAATGCCTAGTGCATTCTTTCTCTTAAACACAAGTGGACAGGGACTAATACATCTATGACAGTTAGGAGAGATCCACAGGTACAAAAGATGACTATGACTCCCAAGTTCGTCATTATTTTTTATTTCTGATCAACTTCTCATAGTTCCAAGTGGGATCCACTTAGATGTCCCAAATCACTTCAAATAGACCATATCCAAAATCAATATTATCTTCTTTTTCTTTCCCAAATTCTCATTAATATTGCTCCTATTGTCCTGGCTTCCCAGGCTGGAAAATTTGGAGACACCCAAGACTTTTCTCTCCTCCATGACCTTCCAGTTAAAACTCATTTGGTAACTGGTAATAGATCATGAGAAAGTCTACCCAATTTAAAGAACCCTTTTTATTATTATTATTATTATTATTATTATTATTATTATTATTATTAGAGATGGGTCTTGCTCTGTCACCTGGGCTGGAGTGCAGTGACACAATGATAGCTGACTGCAACCTAGAACTCCTGGGTTCAAGTAATCCTCCTGCCTCAGCCTCCCAAGCAGTTAGGACCACAGGCATGCATCACTACAGCCAGCTAGTTTCTCTTTTTTTTTGTAAGGATGGGAGTCTCCCTATGTTGCCCGGGCTTATTTTTTATTTAAACAAACGTGCCAAGCAAAGTGAAAGCTAGGGAAGGTTTGGAGAAATTGTGTGCATTTGACTGCTTATTTAACTTATGAGTTCAAGCAAAATCTGAGGGTTAAGGAATTTTAATTACAGAAGTTGCACGATAAAATGGTTTCTCAGAGAAACATTTTTGAGTGCTCATTTGTTAATTGGTTTTTCTTTCTATGCCAAATGCATTAAGAATTTGTCATATTTTAAATGCAATATAATTAGGTATAAATTCAAGAGAAAAGTAGACATTATGGAAGTTTTGACCCCAGTTTTCTTAGGAATTATTATTACTAATTATTTTTCTCCAAATTTATATTCACAACATCTTGTGCAAAGCCACAAGGGCTGCCTGGCATCTGGTCCAATTGAGGCTAATAATGAAAATAGCGTAAGAACTGGAATCCAAGCTAAGCTTTGTGATGCTCACATATATCTGTGCAAACCTCCTGCCATATCTTTCCAATGGAATGCTGAATTATTCTAAATTTCACACTGTGAGAGGTATATAAAATAAAGAAGATAAAAAAAAATCAACCCCAGAGCAGCAGATGAAGATCACTGTAGAGAAAGAAACCATATAATGGGGCCAGGCATTTTGCTTACTGCCTGGCATCACTGGGTAAAGCTTTGAAAGGACAAAGCCTCCTTTGGTTACTAAGCCCAAATTCAGATACAGACCCACGCACTCGATGGGAGGCAATGAAGATTGGCTGGAATAAACAGGTGTCCAAGGGTTGAGTCAAATGTGGACTTCCTTTCGTGAGAATATGGGAACAAGAACAGGGATCATTTGGAGTATCAGAAACCTGATGGAATTCTAATTGCTGAGCTCAAACTAAGATTAGAACTAGCAAAATTACTTTTGTGGCTTAAAGGGGGGGTGTCTTTAGGACCTATCAGAGCCAGACCCCATACGACTGGGTAGATTGTGTTTTAACCTCAGAACTATGCCTCTGCACCCAACAGACATTTTTATGCCAGATGAAATCTTTAAGAAATAGCTCCATTTATATGGCCTTAATTTGTTTTGATGTTATCTGTAAGGAAAATTATTGGTGGGTTTTTTTTCTTTTTGAGATTCATTGGTGCTTTCCTCAGTCATCGTGGCTATTTGAAGGCAAAATTGAAAACGGCAGTATTTGTTCTTTAAAACCTTAGAAATGATCTCAAATTCAACAACCAGTGTTTTTTTTTTTTCTCAGCAGTAACTACATTCCTCTGAGATAGCAAACCATCCCATTAGAAGAAATGAATAACTTGTTTGTATATTAAATCTGTTTTTATTAGAATAGGGGTTAGTGTGGACATTCATTTAGGTGACTCTGTGGAATAACTTAAGAAAATGTATTATCTAACAGAAGAGGCCAGACTTTCGATAAAGAAGATCAGGTCTTTGGTTCTGGATGTTTGGTCTTGTTTTCTTGTTTGGCGGTTTTGGGGAGTTTTGCTCTCTTTTATTTTATTTTGTCCTCCAGATGAAAGTGGGGATAGATGCTGTTGGTGCTCTGCCCACATCCCCTTTACTGAGCAGGACACAATCCCAAGCTGCCATGACTGTTGTCTACCAATGATTCACAGCTGCCACTCTCTCCAGAGAATTGTCTTTAGCAGACAAGGGTCCCCTCACCAAAGAGATTACCCTCACCACAAGATCCCCCACTCTGGGGGAGCCCACAGACAATGACTTTCCTTGAGCAAGGGGATTTGAAATGCTCAACGCAGGGCAAATCTGTGGTGAGACTGATGCTCCAAAGGTCGCTATAATCAGGCCAAGGTTAGACTTGGCTCTTTCCCTTTCCTCTTCCTGCTTCCTTACTCTCTCAGGTTTTTCGTTTGTTCTGTTTGGTTTTATTTTTCAGAATAGCAAGCTCTCAATCAATCAAGGGTTACATGACCTATGTCACAAGCTCTGCTTCTTGGAGACTCAAGACTGGTAGTGTTTCCTTCTCTGTCTTGTCATAGATTTCATAATCTGTATAATGTAGGCAAATCATTTAGTGACAATGAGGACATTAAATCACATTATTAACTATTTAAGGGGGCTTCCTGATATGTTGACTCACTGGCTTAGGTCCTGTGGGAAATCACCATAAGAAGTGATTCTAGCCCACATGGTGGTAAAATTTGGTTGGCAAAATATATAACAAGGTATAAACAAGTAAAACTAACATTTAAATCGTTGAAGATAACACTAGCTATATCAAGACAGTACATGATTAATCACAAAATGAATTATGAAGATAATTGCTACAGCAATTCTTTCCACCAGAAGTCAGTGAATTTGCTTCTATTTCTTACTGACTGTAATGGGCAACAGTTGCTTGATCTCTCTGGGCCTCCATTTTATCAGTAAGATGATGGTTAATGTCTAAAAAATCCCAGAGGTCTTTCCCAGTTTTGAACTGCTTTGGCCATGTGAGTGTCTGCCTGGGGCTGGTGTAGCTTTAGGGAGGAAGTCAATGTTGAAATAGCTGATTTGAGAAAATACATTCCAGATAAAGGGAAAATGTGCAAAAGAGCAAAAGTGAGGAAGCAAATTCACTAGGATGGTTGTCATTAGAGTACCTTGGTAGAGCATCTTGGGAGATGGAACTGTAGTGAACGTCAGATGATAAAAGTGTTTAATGCCAGATGATAAAAGTGTTTAATGCCAAGGTTCAGAAATATAGACCTTATCCTGTGGAATAAAATGCAATTTCATTGGCATGGGAAGGATGGCACCTAAGCTTTTTTCCTGTTCTGGGCCCTGACTATGTTTTCTGTAATCCCGAGGGTGCCTGCAGGCACTCTGTGCAGTCATATGAACTATCTGCAGTTTCTGGAAAACACTAAGGCCTACCATACCACAAGGCCTTTGCATATGCCACACATTTGCCAAAAACACAGTCCGCTTCATTGCTCTTTATTAATCTTTCTCATTTCTCAAGACTCCGTGTAACCATCATGTCCTATATGAATCCCTCCCTCTACCCATTCCCACTAGGCAGAGCTGTTTACTTCCTCCTCCTCAGCACTTCCCTAGCACCTTGTCTATAGTCAATACAACACACCTACCACAGTGTATTGTAATCATAGATTCACATCCTTTCTCCCCTCATTAGGAGGTCATGCATTCCTTGAGGACAAGACCTGGGTCCTAATCATTTTATCCAGTCTACCACTGCACCCACTTTTTCCTATCCCAAACATTTACCAGTCCTAGCACAGTCTCTGACAAATAGCAGGTAGTCAGTGATCTCCATAGGATGAGTGAATTAGGACTGCATTGTATCTTGTGTGATCCCTAGGCACTTCGGACTTCATGGGCTACTTTCTCTATATAGAGAATTAAAATGGTATTTTATGATTGCATTAGTATAAAGATAAATATATTAATATTACATATTAAAACTTTTTTACTCAAAGGTTCATTTTTTCCTTTTGATTTTAAAATAAAACACTTTCATGTGCCCTGAAAGTACTTTGGATCCTAAACACTGTGCCTACTGAGCCTAATGAATAAGCCAACCCTGGAATGAATGACCAACTATATTCATCAACGGAAGTCTTCTAAAAGATATTTACCTTTACTTACGTAAGCTGATTAAGGTTTATTTCATCTATTATGAGTAAGATATAAAATGTTTGATTATGTATTTCTTTGGCTTTTTTTCTACAACAGAAGTTATTTTTTAATCCATAAGTACCATCGTAGGAAATTTAATAGAAATGTTCATGTAAAACACTATCCAGTCCATTTTTGAATAACGATTTTAAATGGGTGGTCAAAATTATCACTAGGAGGACACCCTACTGTTCTTTGAATAGAATAAGAGAAACATATTAAAAATCTAAAGGAAAAAATTAATTTTAGAGTATAACATAAGGAATGATGATTTCAAACAGCACTGTATATTATTAGCTCATAACTACTATCTACAAAATGTCATGAAAATTAGATTTCAGATAGTAGATGAGGTTTGTCTCAGTGAAAAAAAGGTTTTAATAAATATTAAGCACGGAAGTATTTGGGGATGATGAAGATTCGGTAATTAAGCATTAAACATGCAGTGATCCATTTGACACCAAAGAATTAAGGACACAAAAAATTGCTTAGCTAAATGCAACTGCCAAGAGGGTTGAACTCACTATTTTTGTGCTCTAAAGAATGACAATTCATCTAGTAGCAAATCTTTCTTCACCGTTTATGAGTTGTTAGAAATACTGCATATTAGGATTAAATAGGATTTTAGAGACACGGATTCTTAGAAATGAAGCAGGTTCTTAGCGATCCATTTCCTTTTCTATATAGAATTAATGTCTCCAGCATCCCAGGAAAATGTTAAGTAGAGATGGCTACAATATTCTCAATAGATGAGAAACTCACCATCTCACAAAGCAGGCTGTTCTGCTGCCGTATAATTCTAACTTTGTTGTTTAAATCCTGTTCATGTCAAGAAGAAAATATACTCCTCTCCCCATCCCCTCAAAAAAGTACACAAAGATTAACTTACATAATACTTTGGAGGAATAATAGGTAAAACAGGATTGATTCAGTTTCTAGATTAGCAAACTATATCCTTAGGCACTGAAACACTTTTTTTCCCCCATCATAAGCAGTTTTTGATAAGCATCTTTCAGGTAATATGGGATAGTAGACAGAGGGGAGGGTTTTCAATCAGAGAAGTCCGAGTTTGAATCCTGGCTCAGAGGTTTATTAGCATCTGCATGACCTTAAAAAGTGGCTTAAGCTCTCAAAATCTCATATTTCTTATTTCCTAAACCTTAAGGGTTGAGAGGATTAGACATAATGTATGTAAAGTACCTGGCACAGTTCTTGCTACAAAGTAAATACTCAGTACATGCTAGCTACAAATAGTTTGTCTCTTTAAATGTGCTGACCTTATTTTGACATTTTAATGATTCTGGGGTGATAATTCTGAGTATCAATGATTGTATAGCACTTTGAAATGGGTCACAGTGTTTATCACCACCTTAAAAGTGTCCAAAGCCTGCTTTCTCTAGTTCCATGGGTTGTTTTTAAATTTTTCTTCTTTATCCCTCCTTGTTGTCATATAATTGAGTTACAGCCTCTCACTCCCTTTCTTAGCCTTTTCTCATTTAGTCTTTTCTGGTCTTGGAAACAAACTCTAGTTAGCTTTGTGTTTAATTGAAATAAGTGTCCATAGGTTCTTCACAGAGAGTCTGAGATCTTCTTCAAAATGAAGTATTCCCATTTAGGAGCCTAGGTTTTTGTGCACGTATTCTATGGCATGCATGTTGACTACGAGGAGGTTTTGCCTTCCCTGCAAGCTTCCAGACGGCTGTAATTGTCAGATGCCTAGTGATATAGTTTGGATGTCCTCCCTAGAGCTCATGTTGAAACGTAATCCCCAGTGTGGAAAGTCGGGCCTGGCGGTAGGTGGTTGGATCATGGGGACGGATTTCTCGTGAGTGATTTAGCTGTCCTCGCAATAGTGAGTTCTCGTGAGACCTGGTTGTTTAAAAGTGTGTGGCATCTTCCCCGTCTCTCTCTTACTCCCGCTCTCCCCACGTGATGTACCGGCTCCCCTTAGGCTTCCTCTGTGATTGTGGGCTTTTGGAGGCCTCACCAGAAGCTGAGCAGATGCCTGGCGCCGTGCCTCCTATACAGCCTGCACAACAGTGAGCCAATGACTGTTTTCTTTGTAAATTACCCAGTATCAAGTATTTCTTTATAGCAATGCAAGAATGGCGTAATGCAGCTGGCCTTTAGATAAGGACAGAAAATAGGTGGATGGGAAGGTGACAGAGTTAAATCCCTGTTTCTGATCTGTAAAATGGGACAAAAATTTTTGGCCTATTTCACAACTGAACAGACATGAAAGATATGTTTAATATGAACAGACATATTAAACAGATAGACATGAAAGATATGAAAAACAGACATGAAAGCTCCCTATAAGTCCAACCTATCAATACTATTATATATTTTGCACACTCTTTAAAAAATGGATGATGAATATATTTGCAGTTTTATCTGGTAGAGTACAAAATATGTTTGCTTTCAGTTATATGACTCCTTTTCATGAGATCTGTATTATTACGGATTTTTCTGACACCCAGAGTGCTGTGCACAGATCTCATTTGTGAACCTTGATCCTAAATTGTGTTGTGACTTATTACTGTGGTGCTCAAAGTGTTTTCAGCAATGCCATGACTAACTTCTTTACTAGTGGGTAAAAATACAATAACTTTGCTTATTTTTTATTTTACTAAGTCTAACAACATTTCACTTACTGATTCTACTAAGTTAAAAAAAAATCAATATAAAGTCATCCCCTGATTAGATTTGTCCTTCATTTTTTAATGATACATATGTGATACATGCATGTGAGGGTCCCAGCAAAGAAATAAAACTTGGACTTCCATCCTATTGTTGGAATACTCAAGTTTAATAAAGTGTGAATATTCCTGTGCTTAGAAAAACACATATTTGGTCCAAGTAGTTTCATGTTGCTACATGGCAGATTACTTCAAAACTTAGCAGCTTAAAACAACAAACATTTATGATTTCAAAGTCTTTGTGGGTCAGGAATTTAACTAGGTGCGGCTTAATGGGTGCCTCTGGCACAGGTGCAGCTGGGGCTGGAGAATCTGCTTCCAAAACTAGTCACGTGGCTGTTGGCAAAACATAGAAGATCCACTTCCAAGCTCAGCTCACACATGCAGTTTCTCACCTGTGGGCCTCTCCTTAGGCTGCCTGGGTGTCCTCAGGGCACAGCAGCTGGTGATGAGAGACACAGAAAAGGGGCTGGGAGCTGGTGAGAAATATACCAGAAAAGAGCGCTCAAGACAAAAGCCATGGTTTTTTGTAACTAAATATCAGAAGTGGCGTCTATCATTTTCGTTCTAGTCTATTTGTTAGAAGGGAATTGCATTCAAGGGAGGATAGGGATTGAATAAAGGCATGAGTACCAGGAGACAGGGATCATTGAGGGATACTTTAGAAGTTGCCTAACAGTAGGGTTAGATGTCCAGGTTTGCAATTACTAAATTTTTCTTTATCCTCATAGCTGGGATATAATATACCTTTTTTTTTTTTTTAGCTTCACTAATGATCTTTCCATAGAACTATGAATTAGGTGCCTAAAGTATTTATCACATAAATATCCTGGTTATGCTAATACTAAAAACACTGGAACAAACACGATCTTTTGTGGCATGTAACCTCTGTGGCACATCTAAAGTTCCAGTGGACTTATCTGTGGGCATCTGACTCTATGGAGGGAGCAGGCCCCATGAGCCCCTGCAGAGCAGTGACAGAAGAGGGAACTAACACCCATGATCCTAAGAAGGGGAGGGCCCTGTCCTAGACATGCTTACATGGATTATCCTAATCTTCACCAAACCCACCAGGAAGGCCCTCTCCCCCTGAATTTATAGATGAAGAAAGTGAATTTAAGTAACTAACTCATGGCCACATAGGTGGAAGATGGCAGCAGAATCAGGATTGGTTTTCCAAGGTTATGGGGGGGTCCAAAGCCCATGCCATGACCACTGGCATACCATGCTGCATCCATGCCTTATGTCATTGTGTGGGGGCCTTAGTTTTTCCAAAGAAATATTTAATGAACAAATATCACATTCTGGAAAGTTGAAGGAAATTGGATGTGCAACCAATTTCTAAAAGTTTTGTGAATCAAAATAATAACAATAAATTTGTGTGTACACGTTATGGGCTAAATTATATCACCCAAAATTCTTATGTTGACACCTAACCCCTAGAACCTCAGATTGTGACCAGACATGGGGATAGGGTCCTAAAAGAGGTGATTAAGTTAAATGATGCCCTTAAGGTGAGCTCTAATTTGATATGACTGGTGTCCTTATAAAAAGAGAAAATTTGGGCCAGGCACGGTGGCTCACACCTGTAACCCCAGCACTTTGGGAGGCCGAGGCAGGCAGATCACCTGAGGTCAGGAGTTCAAGAGCAGCCTGGCCAACATGGTTAAACCCGGTTTCTACTAAAATACAAAAATTAGCTGGGCATAGTGGCGCCCGCCTGTAATCCCAGCTACTTGGGAGACTGAGGCAGGAGAATCACTTGAACCCAGGAGGCGGAGGTTGCAGTGAGCTGAGATCACACTATTGCACTTCAGCCTGGGTGACAGAGCAAGACTCCATCTCAAAAAACAAAAAAAGAGAAAATTTGGATACACAAAGAGACAGTAGGGATACATACACAGAGAGGAAAGACCCCGTGAAGACACAGCCAGAAGGCAGCTATCTACGAGACAAGGAAAGAAGCTTCAGGAAAATCTAAATCTGCCAACACCTTGATTTTGGAATTACAGCCTCCAGAACATAAATTTCTGGGCTGGGTGTAGTGGTTCACGCCTATAATCCCAACACTTTGTGAGGCGGAGGTGGGCAGATAGCTTGAGCCCATAAGTTCAAGTCCAACCTAGGCAACATGGTGAGACCCTGTCTTTACAAAAACTACAAAAAATTAGCCAGGTGTGGTGGTGTGTGCCTGTAGTCCCAGCTACCCAGGAGGCTGAGGTGGGAGGATCAACTGAGCCCACATGGTAGAGGCTACGGTGAGCCATGATCTCAGCACTGCCCTCCAGCCTGCGTGACAGAGTAAGGCCCTGTCTCAAAAAAAAAAAAAAAAGAAAAAAAAGAAAAAAGGAAATAAATATCTGTTGTTTAAGTCCCCCAGTCTATGGTTTTCTGTTATGGCAGCCCAGCGAACACACATGAACATTCATATACATGTACATATATGGAATAACATAGAAGCATATGTCTATATATATGTTATAGATATAAATATATATGCATATGTGTATGTCAGAATCCCTTAAGACAAAACAAAATTTTTTACTAAATGTTAACAATATTTTCTACACTGGGAGTTTGTGTTAGGTTAGCTAATAGGTATTATGCTTGATTTCTTCACCTGTCATTTTTCAAGAACTTGTGAGGCTCTCTGGTGTTAGGATATGAGCAAAGAGAATTAGACTCACACTCAGACAAACTGGCTTTAAGTCTTGGCCCTGTCATTTATTTTCAGCTATATGACCTTGGGCAATATGCTTAGGCTTCCTAAGCCTGTGCTTCCTTATTTTTTGACTTTAGCTAACATTTCTTGAGTACCTACTACAGGCCAGACTGCAACTGATCTCTTTTGCATAAATCATCTCAATTTGCAAAGTGTGATAACAATGCCACCTAGCAGGGTTGCTGTGATGATCAAGTGGGCTGATACTTATGCAAGGGCTCTATAAAATGCACGGACTCATACAAATACGAAGGTGTGTCATTTTTCTGTTTTCCACATCAGTGCTTCCGAAGGATAAAACTGTAATTTTGACCTTAGAAACAACTGTTCATCTACTTTTTCTCCAGTTAAATGATCCAGAGGTAATCTAAGAGTTGTACCAATCTTCCCCAGGTTCAGCTTTAAACCTATCACTCCTCTGCTTAATAAACAAACAAACTTCAAAATTTGAATAATATCCAACATATTTGTGTGATGTATAAATTTAAGGTTTTCAACAATCCAGCCTCAACCTAACTTTCCAACTTTATGTCTTATTACATATTCTGCATCAGGTTTTCAACACGATGAAATAACTCCTATTCAAACTCAGAACATTGCTTCCTTATATCCTGTGCTAAGGATTCCTGTCTCTAGTCTTTGCAACTGATGATACATATGGAGCATTTAGCAAATAGGCTGGAATATAGTATTGTTACTGGGGGTCCTTGCTCCCAGAGCTCCCAAGATGGTGGCGGGCCACTTCCAAAATGGCAGCGGGCCACTTCCAAGATGGTGGCAAGCCTCGTGTTCTCTGACCTGGGGTTCTTGGCCTCATGGATTCCAAGGAATGGAATCTTGGGCCATGCGGTGAGTGTTACAGTTCTATTACAAGCCGTGGGTCACGGAAGAGAACTGTGGAACTCAGTGACTAGTGTTCAGCTCCATTAGGATGAACCCAGGCACTTAGCCATGCAGGAACAATGGCAACCCTTTAGCCCGATCGGGAGCGGCAATGGGTGCCTCGCTGGATCAGTAGCACAGCGCACACCCTGCCGGATCCAGAGGGATGGAAGTCAGTGACGGGTCTGGGACGGTGGCAAACAGCAATGGTGGACGGCAAGCAAAAGCTCTGCTCGAGCTGTAACAAACACGGACCAGAAGAGTGCAGTTGCAAGATTTAATAGAGTGAAATAGAGTGAAAACAGAGCTCCCATACAAAGGGAGGGGACCCAAAGGGGGCTGCCGTTGCCGGCTCGAATGCCTGGGTTTATATCCCGATCCTTGTCCCTACCACTGTGCTCTCAGGCAATAGATGATTGGCTATTTCTCTACCTCCTGTTTTTGCCTAATTAGCATTTTAGTGAGCTCTCTGATTGGTTGGGTGTGAGCTAAGTTGCAAGCCCCATGTTTAAAGGTGGATGCGGTCACCTTCCCAACTAGGCTTAGGGATTTTTAGTCGGCCTAGGAAATCCAGCTAGTCCTATCTCTCAGTATGTCCTCAATACTGGTAGCTGCTATCATTTTTACTACTATTACCATCATTATCATCACTGTCAGTCCTTCTAATCCTATTGAAATATTTCTCCCATGACAAAACTTATAAGTTACAGATGATTTCACCCTCCTCCCCATGTCTATAGCTTTATATTCTAACCTTTAGGGGGAAATTTTAGTCTTTTTCTATGATACATTGAAGTTACATATACTCAACAAATAAACATTTATTTATTAAGCACCTACTTGGTGGTAGAACCCGTGTTAGAAAGGATACCCTGGACAAGATTTGTCTTCCCTAAGGGAATTTGCACTCTAGTGGGGGAAACAGACAGGTAATCAGGCATCACCATGCCTCACCTGGATTGTAGAGACACCTCTGAACTAGCCTCTCTGCTTCTACCCTCGCATCTTAGCACAGCAGATGAATGCACCTTTTAAAATATGCATCTGATTGTGTCCCATTTTTCTGCTAAAAATTGTGCCATGAGTCCCTAATTTACTCAACCGTTTATCTGGCCCTTCAAAACTCTCCTTCTGACGTGGTCTCCTCCTATTCTCCTTGATGGTTATGTCCCAGCCATACTGGCCGGCCGGCTGTCCCTCCACATTGCCAGGCTTATGCTCTCCCTTCACACTCATTGCTCCCTCTGCCTGGAATGCTCTTCCTTGGATATCTGCTTGTCTAACTCCCTCACCTCTTTTAAGTCCCAGTTCAAATAGTGCCCTTTCAATGAAGCCCTACCTTAATCACACAATTTAACTTGGCTACTCAGCCACTTTCAACTATCCCTGCTCTATTTCTTCTTGTTGTTGGTTGTCCCCTTCTAAGAACTATATAATTTACTAATTATGTTAATTGTTAATTGTTAATTGTTGGGCTCTCCCCTCTAGCTCTATGAGGGCAAGGAGCCGGAATATATTTTGTTGTTAACTAATGTATCTTATGGACCTAAAAGAGTGCAATGAAGCAAAGTTGAGGCTCAATTTTTAGCTTCCTAATTTTTGTAGCCTCAAAGTACCTGTTATAGGGACTTTGTGAGAATGTAAGCTCAAAATGACTGATTGACAAGTGGAGCTCCAGATTGTGAAGCTAGGAGGTGTTGAATAAATAATTGTTATTGAATCACTTTCAGTCTCCTTAACCGTATTTCTAGTGTTTTCAGGGGGTTTCATTGTTCTAGGATTCATTTTTATGTTTTCACATTTCTAGTAGAATGTATTTCAAACAGATTGCGTGCGTGTGTGTGTGTGTGTGTGTGTGTGTGTGTGTGTCTGACCTTTCAGGACTTCAGGTATTACCTTGTGACCATTGAAGTTCTAAGGAAAAGTTTTGCTTTTAAGTTTTATGAAAGTCATCAAAGTACACATTCACCTCACATTTTTCAGGACTCTTTTTTTTGTATATGAGGCATTAACATACATAGTGGCCGTTTGTTGTTGGTCAAACAACATGTATCTAAAAACATATTAGAGAGGCAACACCAATTCAACTTAGCAAATAATTAATGAACATTGACAATGTGAAATATTTTTTACAGGTTTTACAAAACGCTACAGGTTTTTCCAAACGCTTCTGCTCTAAAGTTGTGTTTAACCTCCTGGGTGAGAGAAACATATGGACAACACACTGTAATATAAAACAAATATAAGAACCAGAAGAAAGACACAAAGTAGTGTAGGGTGAATCAGCGAACTGTGCACATCTGAAAAGAAACATTCATCTTTCTGTACTCTTCACGAAAACCCCTGCCCTAGGCAAGCTCTCTCCATAAACAAGTTAACAACCGATTAACCAGAAATTCTATTAACCAGAATGCCTTGCTCCTCAAACTTGTCCTCTAACAAAGGATTTAGTGTTCTTTCATTCTTTTGTGTATCTATGCTATGTTTGAGTAGTATGAAAGGCATTGTAAGAATTAACTGAAGCTAGACTTTAAAGCTGATCACAGTTATTCAGTAACTTGAGTCCCCCTCCTCTGCTCCCCTCCCCCACCTTGATGGATTTAGACAGGGGCTGCTCTGAGTTCCTTTGTGAGCATGTAAGCTCAGAATGACTGATTGACAAGTGAAGCTTTTTCCTTTTCTGGGGGAAAAGAAATTTCCAGGGTCATGCTCCTTGTATTTGCAAAGAGCTCTAAAAGCTCCAGAGAGTGAAAAGAGTCAAAATTGACTTCTTGCTGATGATCACAAACTTCATGACAGGGAAAAGGGAAAAAAAAGGGGGGGAGAGATTGAGGCTGTGATGCAGAATGTCAGGATAACTACCAAGGAGGATGATTTCAAAACAGGCCTCTAGACAAATAGGAAGTTAGATACTCAACTAGAAACTACAGGCATTAGAGGACAGAAGCTGAAGAACTTCAACCCCAATCAAGATAGTGTCTGCAATAGCAGGCTGTCAGGAAAGAAGGGTGACAGTCTGCTGTGCATGGCTTTCTTTAAGGAAGACACAATGCCCATTAGAGTTTCCATAGACTTGCCATTCCTTCAATATTAAACTGTGTACATCCTGGTGCTTGTTTCAGTTGTTCTAGGGGGAAAAAAGCTATATTTCTACTACCCATATTCATATGCCTATAAAGTATATCTATCTGTATTCTAATACTCATCTTGATTTATTCATAAAGGCCTGCAAAATGGATGCTCTAGTGAGGAAATGTTTTAGCTCTTCATATCTCTTCTGTGGTCATTTTCAAAACTGAATGACTAAAAAGGTGGGAGTTTCAAGCTCCATTCACTTTGGGAGCAAAAAAAAAAAAAGAGTTCTATATACTTCAGGTCCTCATTTCTAACAACAAAGTCTGGGATTTTGAAGAGGGGTATTTTTATCCTCAGGAAATAATCTTCTTTAGAAAAAAAAATCTGAAAAAAAACCTAGTTATACACGTATGTGTTTAAGCCTTTATATTGAGAAGGGAGATTATTAGCATAGTGGTTTGAGAAAATAAGTAGGATTCCTGTTTAATGAAACCCATTTTCATTACTGCTTGATTTCGTGACTAGATAGCCAAGGGCAGTAAGGGAACAGAAGCTGGTGCTGAGTGGGGCTGTTTCCAAGTCTGAGAGAAATGAGCTGATTACTCAGAAGTCACAAGGAAGCAAAGTGAGAAGCTGGTAGAGTTATGTACAAGGACACACGGACCTCAAAAGTTATAAAAAGAGACTCTGAGAGGGCAACATGAAAAAGGGATCTATTCCAACAGGTTTCAACCATATATCTGACATCTGGAATGCTTTTCTGACCCGAGCTGCTGATTCAGTTTCAGGTGCATTGCCCTTTCCATAATTTTACCACTAATAAATATGGTTTGCTCACCAGTGAGAATAAAAACCTTATAGCTTTCATGCTATAAGATTCCTAGGAATTCATTTCACCTTGGAAAATCTCTAGTTTTACAATCAGAGTTCAGAAATTAAAAAAAACTATGTGTTTGTTTAGCTTTGCACAAAGAAAGTACCAAATGCATAGGAATCATGAATTGTTAATGAGAATGTAAATAGGCATGAAAAAGGAAAATTTCATTTATTAGTGCACATTTAGGGAATAGCCTTTATCCAGGGATGCAAAGCATGAGTGTAAGATTTGGTTCATCTCTCAAGAAAAACAGTTCACATCATCACAGCCCTGTCTAACCAACTACAAAATGTAGAGTAAATACACACCTCACATTTGACAGAGGTATATTAAATGATTTAATTCAATCATTGATGTAAAGGGCATTGAGTTATTTGAATAAATAAGATCATACAAGTGGGAAGTATCATAAACTTTCACTTCCATATATCACTTATGATCCCCCAATCGTCAAACAAGATCTGTACAGAAGTGGTTTCCCCATAAATCATTTTCTGAACATAAAGTTAAAAATCCCAAATGCCCTGGAAAACGTAAAGAATATCTACGCTATATAATTAGTTGAGAATGGAGTTGTGCTAGTCACTCCTCCAGAACCAACACTGTCATCCAGCCTCTGAAAACATTCAATCAAGTCATCCTATTGTTTACAAATCAGATGCAAACCAAAATACTGCAAGGTTTGCCTGTTCTTCAAATAGCTACACTTCTGGCATTATTTCACAGCAAACTGGAAATACAGAGATTTGAGAGTTTTCCCTGTTGTTGCTAATCTTCCCACTCCAAATTATGCTGCTGCTTCTGTATTTTCTGCTACATTTGCTCTTTTGCAGGTGGAGCTGACAATTCGAGGTCACACTGGGTCGTCAATGGCAAGCTGACAGTAGGACATGGCTGTTTGAGCTAAGTTACTAATAAGTGAACCCATGGAGTGCTATTTCATTAGCGGATATATCATTAAAAGCATCACCTCCATGACTTACTCATTGTTCTTTGCCCAGCCTGGCCCCTGCCTTGAAGCCTTAAAAATAAAGAAACCATGCTAGCTTAGTGAAGGGCTGGGACCAGCTAATTAGTGGCCCCCTTCCTGCATACTCTCTTTTCTCTATAGCACAGAGAAAGAACACCTCCTTCCCTACCCACAACTATAGTTATGAATAGATTTGTTTCAGGAAAAGGGAAGGAAGAGTATAGGAGACAATGGTCAAACCCAGGAAAATAAAATCAGAAATCTAGGGAGACAGCATCCTGGGTCCAGGGGCTCAGGACTCAGTGACTATAATGTTGGTATTTTTTGGTTTGTGTATACAAGCTGTCATTGAAGTCAAGCAGCCCAGGATATAAGCCCTGTCTTCACCACTTGCTAGCTCTGTGAACTCGGGCAAATTACTTGCTTTCTCTGACCCTCACTTTCCACATTTTTAAAATGGAGATAATAAAAACTTCTATCTCAAATAAGATAATAGATAAAGTACTTAGCACAAATGTAAACATCTATCTCAAATAAGGTAATAAATAAAGTACTTAGCAAAAATGCTTAACTATTGCCATTAACTTCAAAGTTTGGCATCAACATCTCTAAAATGGCTCAAATATTTCTTGCTCTGGATGTCTATTGAGATATTCTAAATTTCTCATCCCCTAATGACATCATTGTCAGCCTGAGTTCAGTTCCCAAACTTTGTGCTCTCTAAAGACTTATTTTTCACAGCACTGATTAATCTGTGTTATCTCCTTTTCAGGACTCTAAAACACTTGAGAACAGACACAGCTGTAAACAAAGTCACAAATTTTTCAATATGGCTTACTAAGAATGTTATCTATGGCCACAGAACTGAGCCAAGACAGTTGGACATGGTGTGACATAGAAAGTAGACCTGAGAAGCTCTTCATTTATTTATTCAACACACACTTGAGAATTTACTATATACCATGCACTGGAGATAGAGTGGTGAGCAAGATATAGATTTGTTATCATTGTAATAAATGCTTATAGTGAGTCATAGTCTTGAGGCGAAGAGAAGTTTTCCTTAGGAAATGATATGTTAGGAAGCTATCGCTGCAATTAATATTCCATAATAAACCAGGCCTAAACTATCCCAAAACATAGTAACTTTCAACAGCGAGCATTTCTTACTTCCTTCACAGGTCTGTGGGCTGTTGGGGCAAGTTCTGCTTTGGACTCTGGGTTGGTTGGACGTGGCTACAGGTTTCAGGTCAGGTGCATGTTCACTCTGTGTATCTCATTCTGGGGCCTAGGGTGAAGGAGCAACAAATACCTAGGATTTGCCCTCCTCATAATGAGCAGAGGAGCCCAAGTAGTCAAATACCATTTCACAAGCACATTTAAGGTCTTTATTCACATCATATGCCCTAATATTTCAATGACTTCAAGCAAGTCATATAACCAAGCCTAACATCAATGAGATGGGAAGTATACCCCACCTACTCTAGTTCTCTGCAAAGTTCCATAGCAAAGGGAGTAAGTGAATAACAGCAAAAAGTAATCTAATATACCTCAAGTGACAATTGCACAAAAAACTTAAAGTGTAAACAAACATTAGCAACGTAGAGGAGAATTCAGCAGGACTAACATGATGGAACTAACTGTTCCATCAATTTAGACGATTGGCAATTATTTCCAGATACTACTTTATATGTCACATCTTTAAGATACTATTAATAGCCAATAACTCTCTAGCCCCCCTGCCATGTTCCTTGAAGGGTTGAATAATACAACCCAATAGTTATATGGAGTGTGTTGGGGAACATTTTTTTCTATTTCTAAGGAGAATTCTTTGAGCCCTAAAGAACTAGATAAGACAATATGAATACACATTACAAATCGTAGCACTTATTCTCCTTAATTGAAATGTATGAGTACTGAGGAACAAGGGTAAAAGTAGGATTTGTCTATCTATCATTGTGACAAATGGGCAGTTTATCGCTTTGCATTTGCTCAGCAGTGCAGGAAAAGGGTGTAAGTTCAGAAAAATCTATTTCCCACAGAGCAATTATCAATTTTAATATTAAATTTTAAAATGATTTTTAATTTATCAACTGGTCCCGTAATTCAGGGTTGGAACTGTCAGATCTCTGCCTTGCATATTAGGCTAATGATGGGTCATATCCAAAGTCCATAGATAATGAACATTTTGTAAATCTGTAATACAGTTCTGTTTTTTTCTCGTTGTAAATTAATTGATCTTTTTGCCATTAGGGAGACCATCAATTGCTCTACTTTTCTCTCTTCCTCTTTCACTTCTTTTTGGTTCAAATTCAAAGCAAATCATTCCAAAATAAAACCCAATTTTAATTAAAGCTACCCTAGTCCCTGGAAAGGTAGCATTCTCTTGCTTCACCCGGACTTTGAAAGTTTCCTGCTTTCACGCAGTGTTGAAAAAGCAATAAAACAGAGGTGAGTGGCTTTAAAATGAGAGGTCAAAAATTGGCCTCCTTTTGCACCCCACTCTCTTGGCAGTGGAACCTTCCTCTTGTCTACAGTTCAGACTCCGAGACAAAATTTGCATTTGGTAAAACCACAGACCTAAGTCAACTTGTACTCACCAAATCTCACACATAAGAAGCTAAGGCTACCACCGAGACCAGAGCCCTCTGCTTGGCTCTGATTTGATATGCGAGATTCAAATGTGTTTGAGGAAGTCCAATATTAAAAGGCATCAGTGTGCATTTTAATTAACAACACTTAATTTTCCCTCAATGCTTATGAATTGTCCTATTCAGTCTAAGATAATACTCTCCTAGTCAGATCAAAGGTGGTACTTTCCTATCCAGGTCTAAGATGTTGTTTGCTATCCAGCTCTAAGAGAACATATACAATAAAATGATTGATACTCTCTTTACTAATCAGGTAAAATTACTGAGAAATCAATATACCATATTAATTCCTAGCCTTCCACATAACTTCTGAAAATCCAAATATGCCATGATTTCCTTTTTTTTCCTACCTTTCAGAATTGATCTAATGTCTCTAAAAGCCTATCACACAGTGAAGAACTGAACAAAGTGATTAGTAGATTACCGTCAAGATTAATGAATACAAAGATAAGCTCCTTGTACCAACTATCTTTGGCAAAAATATTTTTATCATTTTTTATGGAAATAAGAACAACCCTCTATACAATAAATAGTATAATTTTCTCCTCAACTTAATGCAACACGATAGACCTAAAGTTCTGTGAAAGTACACGCAGCATCTGCTTTAGTCAATTCACCATCCCAGGCACCTTGCACAATATCTAGCACATGTGAGGCATCGAAATATTACATGAATGATTAGATAAATACTTAAGTATATAAACATATAAATGGACAGATAAATGACTTTTAAGCCAGCCCAAGACTGTTTGATAACACAAAATAACCCAAATCAGAAGAAAGAAAAGAAAACCTGGTTATTTGTAAAAGGTGTGATATTTTCCCCCAAAAGATAAAAAATCCAAGGTCAGTTTTTGCCCCCAGGGAAAGAAAAGACCAATGCCAGCATCCCAGCAGTCACCGGAAGTTCCCCAGTGTATGCAGACCTGATGGAGGAGAGAAAATTGAGGTGAGAAAATAGATTTCATTTTTGAGTTTTAGAGTAGTTGTTATAAGTAATAGGGAAGAAATAATTATTTTTTAAATGATAAGCACTACCTGGTCAATGTAACAATCTTCTATTTAAATGTAACTTTGTAAAATGTGGCTATTTGATGGGTACATAGTTCTACCATGCTGGATGTCTTAGGTCAGGAAGTACAAAAAACAATCACAATAACCAAAACACGTCAGGCAATAAGTTACTGGTTGTCATTGTCATTTACCTAAGAGCATAGTGGGAGGACATCTCTGCTCTTTTCAGACAATAACAATTCTTTTAAAGAGAGGATTTTTATTCCCTTTGGGCAAAACGAAGACTAAAGATTTTTTTACATCAAGACTTTTGGTGGCATGTTTTAGTTTGAGATTTTTGTTTCCCTTTTTGAGAACTTTCAACCTCTTCAACCACAGAAAAACAAATAACCAAGAGATAACATCACAAACAGGAATCTAGCAGCCCTGGAAATTGGAATCTGGCCTTCTCGTCCTCAGCACAAAATTCAGATCTCCAGATATATTCCAGACCCTGCCTTTTAACTGACTCTTTGTCATCTACCCTTCTCATCCCCACATCTTCCCAGCCCACAATTTCATTGTAGCACCTCGTGCACAGAACTCTTTCAAAAAGGAACAGGGAAAAACACCTCTAGCTGTACTCTTTACAGCTCTGCATTCCTTTGCATCAATTAAAACAAACTGCTACAGGAGACTGGAGCACTCAGCAGTCTCCTTGCTCAGCCAACCTGAAGAAATCAGAGAGGAGTCCCAACAAAAAAAGGCAGAATAGGTTTAGCAGATAAATAGACTGGACGCATTTTCCCTTGAAACCTTCTGGGGCTCATTTACCACAATCTTAGTCTCCAATAAAGAATTGACTTCAGGCTTTGTAAAGCATGATGCCCCTTAAACACCAGACAATTGTGCTTATTTAACATGGAAGAAGAATTGTCTCTAAAAACCCACCTGAGGGTTGCAATAATATTCCACTATCTATGTCAGAGCCAAAGATCTGAAAACAGACCTTCATTCCAGACAGAGGCTCTGATAATTGAGTGTAAAGTGGCTTTGGAAATAGATACTAATCCTTGAGTTTAAAAAGTCCAGTGCAACTAAAGATGGACAGGAGAACCAAGGACTGATGGAAGCCGCCACATGACATTGTTCAAGGGGCCTACACACCCTGATAAATAAGAAGTAGAGGTTTTTGTGCATTTCTTGAAATAACTCAATTGTGTATGTGTGTGTGTGTATATATATTTGAGTGTGTACAGTCCTCATGATGTGAGCATGGAGAGGCCGTGGTTCTCATGCTGGTACCTAGGCAGGTGTCCATAATAGTTTAACTGGTTTAGGCTTTGAGGGTGCCCTGGCCAGACATCCTACTATGTTCACCTATGAAATGAACATTTCAAATTCATATATACACACACATACACAATTATTTCTTTTTCTGTGTGTACATATGTATATATGCATGTCTTGGTCTGTTTTGTGCTACTGTAACAGAATACCTGAGACTGGGGAATTTACAAAAAGCAGAGATTTATTTCTTACAGTTCTGGAGGCTTGGAAGTCCAAGGTTTGGGGGCTCACAACTGGTACAGACCTTCTTGCTGCTTCATCGTATGGTGGAAGGTGGAAAGGCAAGAGGGTAGGGAGGGGGAGGAGGCCAAACATCCTTTTATGAGAAACCCACTCCTGCCATAACTAACCCACTCTCACAAAAATGGCATTAATCCATTCATGAGGGCAGAACCCTCATGACTTAATCACCTCTTAAAAGTCTCACCTCTCAACAGTGTTGCACTGGGGATTAAGTTTTCAATACATGAACTTTAGGGGACACATTCAAACTATAGCAATCCATATTTATCATTTTCCCCATTCTCAACCCCTAAGACTTATCATTCTTAAGGAGTTAGCTTAACAGCAAGATCAAGTTTGTTTCCTTTGTGTTCAACAGCTTCATGTAAGCCCGTAAAAGGACAAATCAGTCAACCATCCAAACTAACAGCATTTCATCAGTCCTACTTTGCCCTTAATAATTCATCCCTCTTATGTTTACTCTAATACCTGTGCAACATAAATATGCATGACATGTGGCTGTGTATGTTCAAGCACTTTCATGGATAGACTAACAGCAGGAGACTTTTGACCTTGGTCTGAATGGGAAAAAGTTACTGCGATGACTAATGACAGAATTGACAGCTTCATACTTTAAAGAGGAAAGAGGAGAAAAACATTCCCGAAAGAGAATTTCTTAACAGCAATTTAGATTTCTGTCTAAGAGGTGCTCTTTGTAAATTACATTTGAAAATAGATACTTTTTCTGTACCAGGTTTAACAAGGATAATACCTATCCTGTTGCCAAAAACCTTACAGGGATATTGTAAGAAATAATAAAAGAATGTCTGTGGAGCCTTTGAGCTACTTGGAATAAATATGCTAACAAATATAAAGGCTTCTTATTAACTCTAGTAAATATTCTGTCAGGAAAAAAAAAGCCACAAATAAAAGTGAGATTTGGGTAAAATCTACTAACTCCTAATCCAATTCTTCTGGATGCTTCAATTACTTTTTTTCTGACTCCCTTAAATTTGTAAAGAGTATATTAGATATTTAGCATCTTACCTTCTCACTGTTTAGAGGTTTTTCAATATCTTGGCAAATAATACCGAGTATTACAAGGACCAATTTAGTTAGGATCCATAGATGGCTGGCAACTCTGCTTCACTGCAATCAAGAAATAGTAAAAGCATTAAGATTGAGACTTTGTTGTTGGCTTTGTTGTGCATCATATGCTTTCAATCTCAAAGGGATTTTTCCAGATGTTTCAGCCTGTTTTCCTGATGCATTCAAACTGTTCTGTCTTCTGAGTTCATTTGCCCTAAAATATACAAACCCAAACATCAGGCTGAATTGAACTCAATCATCCTTCTTTGCCATTTTTAAATGAAGCATTCTGTTCTGTCATCAGGTGAAAGGGAGAACAATACCTTCAAGATCTCATTTGCAGATATAATATTATGAGAATCTTGGCACAGATTTATGTATCAGCTTGTAATGGCACAATTAGGATCTTTAGCTGCACAGGGAAACATAGGCCAAAAGGCATTTTTCATTCTTTGAACAAGCATCAACCAAACTTGGAAGGCTGTTGAAGTTAAAGAAGCAAGACTTCCAGTTGCATTAATAAGTTTTACCTAGTGATGCTTTTCCTGGGCCCAGAAAATGACAGACCCAGGAAATGACATTTGTCCCAGCAGGGATTCCAAAACTGTGCTGCAGGTATTACTTATGTTGGTAGGGTCACCATTAACACACCAGATGTGCAGAGAAAGGGGAGCTTCGTTATTTTCTACAAGTGATAAAATCTTTCTCACAAGCTTCCACCCTGCTGGGTGGCTGATGGGAGTAAAGGGTGGGGAGCAACAGGCTTTAACTTTAAATTTGCCTATTGATGATGTTTCAGCTCCTCTGGGTTACATAGCCTCTTTGGGATAATTTTTTAGTCAACTCACAGTTCACTCCCTAATGGAACTGTTTCTCCTTTCTCCTCTTCTTTCACTAAATGATGTTTGAGTGCAGGGGATAAGTTACAGTCTTCATGATTGGGGATGGAGAGGCCCTTGGTCTCATGCTGGTACCTAGGCAGTTGTCTATGTTAGGCTGACTGGTCTAGGCTTTGAAGGTGCCCTAGCTGGACATCCTACTGTGTTCACCTTTGAAATGAACAGCTGTAATTAATGAAGTTCTTGGAGAACCAGGCCATCTCCCTTGGAGAATGACTCCAAAATTGGGTCTCAATACTCAAACTTGAAGCTGCATTGAAGTCTGTGACCTCCATTTGGTAACCTCCCAAATTTTTTTCTAGATTAGAGCTCAGAACATGTCATTTCCTTACATCTTTCTTTTCTCTTTCTACCATCGCACATGACAGAGGGCACAATCTTTCTATTTTCTCTTCCTTCATAACTAGGGCTTCCCTTTCATTGTCTTAATCAGCTCAGGCTGGCACAAGAAATTACCATACATTGGGTGGCTTAGACAACAAACATTTGTTTCTCATGGTTCTGGAGGCTGTAAAGTCCAAGATCAAAGAGCCAGCATTTCGATTCCTAGTGAGGGCCTCTTCCTGGAGTTTGCAGATGGCTCTCTTCTCATTGTAACTCACATGGCAAAGACAGAGAAATAGAATGGAAGGAGGCTCCTTTCTAGCTCTCCCTAGGAGGGCACTAATCCTTTCATGAGGATTCCACCCTCATGTCCTAATTACCTTCCAAAAACCCCATCTCCAAAGGGCATCACACTGGGGATCAGAGTTTCAATAGAATGAATTTTGGAGGAACACAAACATTCCATCCATAGCAACAATAGTTTGGATTTCTTTGCCCTGGGTGTTGCATCCCCCAGCCCACACCTTCCCAGACGTCATATGATTCATGCTCAGCCTTAGAGGTAAAAAGTTTCAAGAGAATAAGATTTAAGGGGTAATAAAATACGTAGCACAGTATTTTCAAAATTTTATCCCTATTACAAAGCACCAAAATAAAAGCCTTTTTAAAAAGTACAAAGTTAAAAAATCAGCAGTGTGTCTGTGTGTGTGAGAGAGCATGTGTACATGCATGTGCATGGTTTTCTATGTCTATACATGTGTACACATGAAGTAGAGACCTGTAAAGACTCACAAGGAGTACAGTCTTCTCAGTCTATGAGGGCAAGACCCTTTTGAATCATTCCACATTTCACAATGTCAAAACTTACAGAGTACTTCATCACCTGCCATAGGTAATGGTGCCTTGAAAATAGACATGAACTGTCAGACCAGAACACACTCCCCTCTAGGAACCTGAGTATTTCCTCCAGGAGGTATCAGGGAAATGTCAAATCATTGGAGACTGCCTTTCCAACCCCAGCTGGCCTCAGCCCAGGATAAAATACATGTTTCCTGAGAACACTTCATAATTTAGACTCCACAACAGAGGTCCCTTCTGGATTTTCCACACAGAGTATTTATTCTGCTCTCCCCAGACTTCCTCATGGAGAACAGACATACTACCTCTACTACAGTCTATGGATTAAGCTGATGTTTAGACAATCTTTTGTTTTCCCTCTGGAATAAAGTAAGTCTGTGTTTCTCTCCCAAATGGTATCCCAGAAGTTATTCTTAAGTAGACTCAATCTTAGGAAGAAACTGAGTAAGTAAAGAGGAAGTCGAGTAAACGAAATTTCCTACAGAAAATTCCATCTGCTAAATAATTATTTGTCATAAACTCTGGAGGAGTAAATTGACCTAACATGGTACTCATCACACCTCACTTATAACCAGTCTCTTTTTATAGCCAAGGATACAGTCTGATGGCAACTTTTAGTTACTCACATATTATTTATGAGTTTTATCCATATAAAATTTGCTGGTAATCTGCTCTCCCCACAGTTTTTTTTTTTATTGCTGACAATTGAAAGAGGAGTGTAATTGAATTCACTTTATAATACATTGCTTTTTTTGTCAAGGAATATATAATTATAAACAAGTTGACTTATTCAAAACTTGGTTTGAATATCCTAGGTTGAAATTATCCTTCTAACTAGTATTGTGCAAAAAGCCTACATTTGGAAAGTTAGGCAGATCTGGATTCAAATTTGGCCTCACTACAAGCTATTTTAGAGGAAGTTGCCTTCTGTCTAATTTGGTCATCTATAAAATGAAATAATATTCTTACAGTAATTAGGAGGACTAAATGACATCAAGCCTGAAATACCTAAAACCATTCTTGGTAAATTCAGAATACTTTTTTTTTCCTCTTCCACCCTGGAAACCAAGTCTAACAGTACATTATTAGCAGTTTTACATGTACAAAATGTAGGGAGGAGAGAAACCAAGGTCAGATAAATCTGCATACAGTTTCCACTGCATGATCATGTTTCTGCTGAGCCTTGGACTCTGTCGGAGGCACCTAAGTATTAAACATAATAAATACCATAGCATAATAATCAACCTAACGGGGATGCTGAGTGGTCAAGAAAGAACAGTATCCTCCAGGTTTGGACCCAGAGGGGAAAGCTCCCACAACACGGGTCCTCTGCGCGGCCAGCCTTGAGACATCACTGACAGACATGTCCCTTTGCTCAATATGCCTTGGGAATGGGCCAGATACAGAGCACTGAGCTAAATAAGAGAGACGTGGCAATGAACAAGACAGGCAATGAACAAGACGTGGCAATGAGCAAGGGCTCATTGTCTGTTTGGGGAACCAGAAGGTAAACCCGCAATTCAAATTTGGTATAGTAACGGCTAGCTGAGAAGGAAGTACTGAGTGCCATGATGAAGAATTTCTCAGAGGAAGTAGTATCCAAGCTGTGACCTGAAGAATATGAATGATCCTAAGGCTACCAATGCCGATACATACCCAAGGAAATCAGCTACTTTGTTTTCCATATAACTTGACTCAAAATTTCTGCTCTTGTCATAGTCTCTCTCTCTCTTATTTTTATGCTGAGTATAATCTTATCTTTAGTCCACAACCAGTTTGTTTACTTTCCCAATGTTTCTCAGATACATATAAAATTAGTTACTAACAGCTATTTTGTTGAATTCCCTAGAAGTCACAGGATCCTGAATCAGTTGCACATTCATGTAAGTGTAGGCTGTAGGAATTGCTCTTATAGTGAAGTAATGTCATGTTAACAAAGCATGTACTAGTTTTTTTTTTTAGTGTGTTCAAAGTTAATATTTGATAATACCCAGTTCAATGGATTCAGATGACAGGTTTCAAAATGCAATTTTAAAATGGCTAAAAATATATACACCTTTATCTCGTAAAGCTCATATAATTTGTACTTGTGTAAATAAACTAGGAACATGTTTGTTTACCTGGAATCTTTTTTGATGTCACTTACAGATACCTAACTCAAATTAGCTTAAACTGAATCAAAGAGAATTTATCAAATTATCAGATATGGGTGGATCTAGGTCTTCAAACATTACATTGGTGCTCCTTCTCTCTCTCTCCCTTCCTCCCTCCCTTCCTTCATTTATCTCTTGGTTCTGCTTTCTCTTTGCGCATTATGGCAAAAATAATCCCCACAACTCAACTCAAAACATATGTTAGATTTAGTTATGACAGAGAGAAGTCAGGGCTTCTTTACTAACAAATTCTGCAGAACTCCTGAAGATGCCTCTAATGGGCTAAATTTGAGTCATGTGACCATTTATGAACAATCACAAGAGCAGAGAGGGGGTGCCCTAGTTGGCCAGATTGAGTCACATGCCTGCCATCATGGCAGGGGAGACACCTGCTTATAGCCAACATCTTCAACAGGTTGGAAAGGACAATTGCTGAAAGAAAAAGATATTAGGAAGACAACATAACAGCTATTCATTATAACATAAAATGATCAACTGTGATACCTTTTTTTAGCTAGGCCAGGAGAGCATTTCAGTGTGTGAGGCCTTATTGCTAGTTCACCTTGCAATAGTGTCACCTCTGCTAAAGAATGAGTGAGAATTATCTACAGACCCTGCATGTATTTACAATCATATTCCAGCTCAAAGGGAATGAGCCTCTCAAAAGTTAAACTTAAGCCCCAGGCTCAGACTGAAATAAGAGTTTTTAACGGGAAAATCAGAGAAATTTCCCCTGGGATGAAATATCTGTGAAACACATATGAACATCCAAAAGAGGTAAAGTCAAGTTAGGTCTTCATACTTCACACTTAATACTTCAAATATGGGAACTTCTTAACTGGTCACAAAAACATCCAGATAACAAGGCCTAGAAGGGGACATTTCATTTTAAGGGAATTGTGGGGCAATCAAAAAGTTCCAAACTGTGCAATAGAGATTTACAAAATATAAATGCAGTGAAAGTTAGGGAAGTATGGATTATTTAGTGGACAGAAAAAGAGAAAATGATTTCTTAATTTTCTCTTTGATTCCCCCAGAACCATGTAACAGCTTAATTGCAAAGAGATGCTTTAAGCAACCATCAAAAAACATTAAACTGCTCTGTGATAGGAATTGTGCTAGGGGCTGAAGACAGGACAATAAATGAGGCATGGTCTTGGCCTCAAGGAAGTCACAGTTTTATGGGGAAAAAAATCCCCTTCAGCAGACAATTAAAATATAATATTCTACAATAAATGTCTATAGAAGATTCTATTAGAACATATAATAATTTAAGAAGTCACACCTGCAACTCTGCCAATAGATATACTCCTCTATATTGCCTGAAATTCCACCATTAGAAGTTGGTCTATCTGAGTTGGAAGATATCTTTTTAAAATTTCAAATAGCTCTGATGTGAATACCATCTTAATCAGGATTGTTAGTTTTTCTTACTTGGTGTGAATTGATCAATCTGATCGTTTCCCCTCTGAAGCACCTCCAATCAGTAAACTCAGGAAATGGTGGTGTCTTGGGGCTTGAGGAGCAAGGGTAATAGAAGAAGAGAACATTGGATCTGCGGGATTGGGGAACCCCCAAAGCCAGACTTCCTCTAAGAGACCAATTAAGACTCAGGTCAGCCCAGCATAGCTGCTTCCTCCTTCAATGCACTGATGCACTGTGTATCAGGACATTGAACAACACTCAATCCTATAGAATGGACAAATAAGTCACTGATTTGATTACTTGGCTGACGATGCACTCATCAGGAAGAACTGAATAAACTCTCCAAATGCACATCTTCTGTCTCCCCTGCCAAGGTGACCAGGCATTTGGGTCTTCAAGATCTGGAGGGAAGTTGCTAGGTAGAAACAAACCCAGGCAGACAATCACTAATCAAGCCTATGCACACCCACTGAGACAATTTAGCTGAATTTATCTGGGTTTGTATAGAAAGGCCAGGATCTATACTGGGAAGAACTTGAATCCGTAGGGCCTGTGAACGGGATGAGATGTGCAGATTCTGAGAGAGTTGCAGGAATCTTAAATCACATCTGAGAAGACTTTATAGGCCTGGGCAAGGACAACAAGAGTGAGGCACCGCGGACTGGGGATGAGGTCCTCCTCATATCTTATGGATCTGTGTAAACCCCAGGATTTCCATCTAACAACATGAAGAAAGGGAAGGGAGTCATGTACAGTGAGTGTAGAAGACATCCCCCCAATCTTCATGGATACGCCTACATTGATAGAGCAATGTAGCAGTACTTGTACCCTGGATAGTGTGGAAGAGTCCATTGCCTATTACAGAACTAGCTAGAAGTTATCTTTTCAGTAGGAGAAAGTGCAAGATCAAAAGAGAAGATACTTAGAGGAAGGCCGAACACACACGGTAGTTAATTCCCTATAGTTTGTTGTAAAACAATATCAAGTGTTTAGAAATGGTCATTTGACCTAATATGGCCAATGATGGGAGGCATGCTGAAAATTTCTGGGAAAGGATTCCTCACTCCTAAGAAAGAGATATTAAAAAAAGAGGTGGTCCTTCTTCCTCTGGACATCGTATGTCTAGATGGGACTGCCAGAACTGCTACAGCCATATCGCTATCAGCCCAAGGAGGCAGCCAAAACATGAAGAGGCATAGCTAAGAGATTGGCTGCGAAGTGGAGCTGGAACCCTGGTGTAGCCCACACAGAGCCATCACTTCTTGTTACATAAGTTTCAATATTGCTTAAGCCAGTGTTCTGTGACTTGCTGCCAAGACCATTTGCTATACAAAGTACAACTGTTTTGGTGTGTTCTTTCCACACTAGCCACAGTTGGTGCATTAAGCTTCAACCAGAACAGTGGATCAATACATTGTGTAATGGCCCCTCTTTTCCCCAGTCCTACCTATTTTCTATCGTATACCAAAGTGCTGTCACCCCCAAACAACCCCGCCAGACTGTATCTTTGCTTAAACACCTCTACAGGCTTCCGATTTCCCATAGGGGCAACTGTCTTCCATGGCAGACAAGGCCCTTATGCATTGAGCTTCACCTGCGATCCTGTCATCTCCCGCCACTCCATGCCCTGTACCTGGAACATGAGCCATTCTGGCCTTCCCTCTGTTTCCCAACACAGTAGCTGTTTGTGTCTCTTGGACCATTTGTGGAAGCATTGTGCTGTCTAAAATGCCCTTTCTCATCTATTCTATCTGCACAGAAAAGTAGACTTTTCCATCTATACTTGTCTCTGGGAAGCTGTTCCCTGACTTCTCTTTTCTGTGTGTTTCTTAGCGTTTGTGTCATATCATCTAGGACCTTTTTAAATATCTGTTTATATGCACCAGTCCTCCCCATTAGCCTGTGCACCTATGATGGTTAATTTTATGTGTCAACTTGACTGGGCTAAGGAATGCCCAGGTGGCTGGTAAAACATCATTTCTGGGTATCTCTGTGAGGGTGTTTCTGGGATAGATGAGCATTTCAATTAGTGGACTGAGTAAAGAAGATCTGCCCTCACCAATGTGGTCAGGCATCATCTAGACCACTGAGGGCCCTGACAGAACAAAAAGGCAGAGGGAAGACAAATTCGTTTCCCATTTGGCTCAGACATCCCTCTTCTACCCTCAGCATCTATGCTCCTGGTTCTTGGGCCTCTGGACTTGGACCAGGACTTACTTACGTCATTGGTTTACCTGGTTCTCCAGCTTGCAGATGGCAGATAGTGGGAATTCTTGGCCTCTACGATTAAGTGAGCCAATTCCATAAGTCGAACAAATTGATCACTTTTGATGGATGACAGATATAGATAGATAGATAGATAGATAGATAGATAGATAGATAGATAGATAGATAGACAGACAGAGATAGATATATCCCATTGGTTCTGTTTCTCTGGAGGACATTTACTAATACAGTGCCTCTTGAGACCACCTCTGTAGCCTCAGTTCTGGACTCATCCGTAATAGGAACTTAGTGTTCCTGGAACAAATAAACAAACGAATGAATAAATGAGTACAATCCAGGATTTCAGAAAGTCAGAAACAAATTCTATAACATCTGGAGTCCTTCTGCGAAGTGAGCAACTACTTCCCACACCTCTTGAGGGTATCACAGCTAACCAGTCCACTAATACTTTCAACCCACACAGTGATTTGTTCCGCCACCTTAAGCTATATTCCTGATTACTGCTAATCTAAAGAGCAGGATCACTCTGGTGGGCATGACATTTTTCTACTATGTTTTAAGTGTGAATGCTGACTTCCGGCCACAACAGAGTTATTTGCAATGTTTGCTTAACACAAGTGTGACATCGTGTTAAGAAGTCTAATTCAGAAGCATGTTATGTAATAATACCAAAACAATTATCTTATCTATTTTTAATTAACTGGCTCCTACATATATTTATTTATTGATCAGACACAAAGCACATATACATATTTTTAATATGAAGCATTTCCGAAGAAGAAAAATGTTGGTAGGAATTAAAATTTTGTCCTATTTTTACATAAAGTGGTATAAATAGTAACATTTATGCATGTAAGTATGAATGTATGTTAAAAGAGAGAAAATAAATCTGTATGGAAATATATAATAGGGAAGAACACAGATTAATGTATCCAGGCATTATATTGATGCAATTTTTATCAACGGGTTCGCATCAACTGCTTGCCAATAGGACACAAACCATGGCATCCCAGGTCTGCAAAGCCACACTGGTCGCCAGCAGTTTGAAAAGTTGGCTGTAAATGAAGGTTTTCTAAGTGGCTGCTTATGATGCCATGTTGGTGGCATTAGTGCCTGGGAAATACGAAGAGCTAAATGCTTCCTCTATTTCATTTTCTAAATTTCATAGCCTGATGGCAGTAGGCCTGCAGGCACTGTATTCTGAAAGGATTATTGCACTTCCTGAGAAGTTAAAGTCACTCAGCTTTTGCCCCCATGGCTTGGGACACCAACCGAGACATACTGCAATCACACAGCTGCAATAGACTGTCTCTCGTGGCTTACTGCTTAATGATATTCCAAACATTAGATCTCCCTTCTATTATGTAGCCTCTTTGCCACCAACTCCCTTTTGCTTCTTTTAAGCCTTTTTTCATTTTTGTATTTACCTTATTTATCTTACCTTCACACTTCCGTGACCTGATTACCCTTAGACATAATCATCTCCGGTTTTCCTTTATGTATCAGTGGCTGCCGCTTGATATTATGGTGTTATTTTAATATCATAATGGAAAATGATAAAGGCCAATCAATTACTTTGTATTATCCATTTTGTTCCATTGGGATTGATTTTCCTCTATGTAATCATGTTTGCAGCCATAAAAACAAAGATTAAAAAGGGTTTTCTCTCTATTTTTCATATTCAAAAGAGTCATATTAGTAACTCTGCTTCATAATGTTGCCGCTAAGAGAGCTAAAGCTCATCTAGAGAAACGGAGTCCCTGGGAGGTGGCTTGAGTGATGGACAGGACCCAGGGCTAGTTCTAGGACACTGGCCCACGCCTCAAGTATTTATTTTCCCTGCTGTTCTCTGGAAAAAATCTGGCATTACATTTATGATTTAATAAATGGCAATCCTGTGTCGGCTGCACATTTTTGCACATCAGAAGAGGTTCCCACATTGTCACTTTGCCTTCTCCTCACCAGATAAACTGCTGAAACTCTCCCACGTCAAATAACCTAGAAATGTACCGATAATGAATCTTTCCCAGTGCGGCTGTGCCATTCACTCACTTAAACTTCAGCTGCCTGCTGAGGCTCTCGGTCCTTGAGAATAAATATACATTAGATGCAAGCAGGGTACATACAAACGCCAAGAAATAATACAAAGCAGGGTGAACAGCTTGCAGGAGGAACCTGCGGAAGACTCCAGTCTCTCTACAGCAGGGAGAGTCTCTGAGTGGGGAATCAGCTTCAAAGAGATGAGCTACGGAGACTAAGTCCTCTAATCACTAGCTTTACATGCACTGAGATTGACAAGCTGGTGGGCAGCCCCAAATGGCAGCCCTAGGCATGATAGAGAACTTAGCTTCTCCACAGCCCAGCTCGGCTGCCAGAACTGTGCTCCCTGCAACTCCCATGGCCAAATGGGTAGACGAACTGTTTGTCTTTTGTTTGGTGTAAAAACCCATAGAGAAATCCAGCTTGTATGCAAGCTCTGCAATGCTAGGGTTTTATCTGACCTCACTTTTATTGCTCAAATGCTCCAGACTCTCTTTCCCTTCCTCTTGCTCAGCGATTGACCCTTTTCCTTGAAATAAGCAAATAGCATGTATTAAAAATCATTTCAGGCTATGGGGTCCTGGAGCCAGGGATGAGGATCAGAGTGTGTGACATCACACTCTGATGTCAGAGTGTGTTGACACCAACATTCTCCTGCAGTATGCAGACACATAAGGATGCTGGTGGAATTTCAGAGATTGTCTCCTGGAGCTGCTGTGTCCCCTGTGCAGCAATCTGGAGGCTCCCTGGTGCCTGGGTTCACCTGGGGAGCTCTGCTACCACTGGCCCCTGGTTCTCCCCTCTAGAGGCTCATGAGATTCAGTTCTCAGGGTCCTTGGCTCTGGAAATTGCTGCTTCTGTCAGTTACTACAGCTTAGACTCAGTGTACGTTAGGGTGTGTTAGGACATGGCATGAATATTATTTGCTCCTGTTCTTATGAAAATGTGTATAACTGAAAGGAGTTACCTTTACCTGTGTGTTTGGAAGGTGCTTCACAAAACTGTTCTGCCCAGCTCCCTCCCTATAGATTCTGAGTTACACTTACCACTTCCCAATTCTAGAGACTTTCTCTTTTGCAGCTGCCTCATCTAGGGGAGTCCCCCAGGGGCCACACTGTTGCCTGACAAGCAAATGAAGCCAGGAGGAAGCAAGAAAGGCCGCCACAAAGCCATCCCCTCTCGCAACAAAGCCCTAAGCTCCTGCTTGCTCATTTGATTAAAACAAAGTCTCCAACTGCCTCCCACAGCACCCTCCCTTGGAGAGTTCATGCTCAGAGCCACCGAGTAATTTTTATTGTATAACAAACAGTTGCTTAAATAGGTTGTCTGCAAATGGTCATTATATCCGCCTCCCCCTCCACCTGCCACAAATCTCCCATGGTGGGGGGCAGGCCCTGGCAGCTGTCCCCCTGCCCACCCACCCCTCAGCAGCCCTCATAAATAAGCTCCAGTATCAGCAGGACCAAGAGAGACCTGCAGTGGTAGGAGGGGCTGGACAACCTGGAACTTTGAAGGAAGAATTCCAAATGCTCTGTGGCACACTTAGCACTTTGAGAGAAGGGAGGCTGTGGGAACAGAGTCAGATTTCTTCTGCAGGGAAATTACTCAAATAGGTTTTAAAATTTATAGTCCGTGTTGTGATAATAAATAAAAATAAAATATACTCCCCCCAACTCAGAGTTTCTTTGGCTGCAGAAGTCCTCTGGGGTTGGCTCCCTCTACTGCTATGCTGTTTAGACAGAAAACTGGAGAGTAGTTTTCCCTGAAGCTGCTCCAAGGCTCCGGCTTCTATTCCCAGTTGAATTTGCATTCCACCGGCTTGATTCCTCCTAAAAGGCACCTTCCTTCTCTGCAGACTAGCGCTGACCACCCTGACCCCCTCCACACCTCCTGTTCACTCCCACTATGATTCCTTCTTTCCTTTGGTTTCTGTCCTGCTTGGCCAGAGAAGCCCCTCCCAAATCACGAGCAGCTTCACTAAGCCATTGACAGCACACACTGATGTCTAATAACAAAGCATTGCTCAACGATCCTCACCCTATCTACCCTGTTGGTCCCAACTCCAGTGCCACTGCCCCCCATTCCGGCTCACATCTGTCTGCTGCATAACCCAGAGAGGTGACATGCAGAATTAAATTTAAACATTCAAAATCTAGGGTTCCAATTGTGGGTGCAGTTACATAATTACAACACTTACCATATAATAGAATAACATTGTTTAGGGTAAGATTTTGGAGTTGCACTAATGGATGCTTTTTTCTGTTTTCTGTAAACAGTCTTGATATATTGAAGAGGAGACATTGTCAGTAATCACAGTACTTCTCAATGCATCTCGTGAATTGTGTCCAAATGTAAGAAAAGCAGACTAGTTTTGAAATATCAACATCTGCCCTAATTTACTTGCTTCTGCATTATGGTTCTAATTGCACTCAATATAACCTATTGTTGTTGGATCCCCTCGGGGTCTTGGAAAAACTAGCAAAAACAACGTGGAATAGATTCCATGTGTGAAATCTACAGGCAATTTTTTTCCTTCGCCTTTTATTAAGTTAGAATTTATAACACTCCATGGCCCATATGAAAAGCATTTCAACTGATATCGGTGAAATTATCTCCTAAAACTAATCTCTCACATAAAAATTGAACTGGATGAACTTTTCTTGTAAGCAGCTGACAGGTGAGGAATCTTCAGTGAGATAACTTCAGTTTTGGAATATTCTTACATTAAACATATCCTTTGGGCAAATAATTCAAGTCATTTATAAAAAGCATTTTAAAGGTGCATGTATCTGAAATCTTTTTTGCACCTACATTAAATTTCATGTAATCTAAATCAATGACCATTTGCAGGGCCCCTTTTCTAGGGCACAGCATTATACATATTCTGGGGTTATTTGCCACATCCTTATTATTTTATTCTTATGACAACACCCCAAGAGTATTCTTTTTAGAATATTTTAGAATATTCTTGGGGTGTTGTCATAAGAATAAAATAATAAGGATATCTCTGTAGGAACAAAAGCAGGTCTATTTCTCAAAACATATTTATCACTGGGGGGAAAATGACATACAATTATCTTCCTTAATAAGAATTAATGTCTGTATTAAGCACCTTATGCATTATCTGTTTTGACCTGCATAACAACGTTTTAAGTCTCATGACCCCCATTTTACAGATAAGGAAACTGAAAAGGTTAAGAATCATACTCAGCTGATACGTGGCAGAGGCAGAATTAAACAGAGGTTAGTCCACCTATCACAGAAGCATTATTACAACAGGAAGACCTAAAATTGGCTTTTGTTGTTGAAGACGGTTTTCAATGCAGGCAGAATTTAGTGACTGTAGAAGAGCTGATGTTTGAATATTGTTAGAGAAGACCCCAGAGGAAAAAGTTGGGTCTGCAAGGAAAGTAAACTTTTATGACCGTGTTGTTTCAGAAGACTTGGCAGCACTAGTTACTCTCACAACTGCATGTATTGCTCTGTTACTTAATCAGTATTATACAGTGCCACTTAATCCTTTTTATGGCTTAGCTTGTCTTGTAATGTCGTTGTACTGCTGATAAACCCATTCACAGGAATAATGTACCTTTAAAAAATCGACACCAGGCTCTGTTTTTAATGTAAGGACATGTCTATGTGGAAGTTTATTATGTCCCAGCATTTATGACAACACTGACATTAAAAACAGGGTTACCCGGTAAAGACTTAGGAAACATGAAACCATTTTTAAAACAACTAGTTATTACACTGTCCTCTGAGATTCTGATTACAGGGCATGAATCCTCTTGAACCATGGGTTAAAAGTACCCAGATCTAATTTTTATCATAATATATGTATTAAGTATGTAACAGCTAAAACCACAGTAAAAAATTTAAAAAGTAAAAAAGAGCACCTCAGTCCTGAAAACTTACACAGGTTTCTTTTTTCGACTCGTAAAGACAATATTTATGATAACCTTTTTTGTAAAAGCTTTTTCAGTCAAATATCCATTCAGCTAGCAGTTTTAATTTTGCTAAAATAAGCATGCTGAAATGGAAGAATTTTTAACATCACATCGGAGTGACAGCATCAGTCTGCTTCCTTTGAGAATCAATTAGCAGCCAAACAACTATACAGACTCTGTAATGACACAAGTCTGTGGTATTTCCCCAAATTACCTGGAGCAAGGTAAATGGCATGAGAGCTTTGGTCACCAGGGAAAGCATGAAAGGATATACCACACAAGCATGAAGTTATTTAGGAAAAATCTGCAGGAAAAAAAAAAAAAGTGTCTAAGGCTACACGGCAGCTGTTTCAAATAATAAAATATCATTTGCATCTCTGCAGAGGGTTTTAGTTTTTTCAGCTGGTTGTGTCCCACACATTTTTTCCTGAACTTGCTGCTCATTGTTTTCAGCTTAGCCAGTTACAATTAAACCATCAAGTAGGTACACTTGTTTGTTTCGGGTGTATAAGAGACAGTAAAGCTTCATTTCAAATAGAGATACCCAAGAGGAAAGGGTTAGAAAGTGCTGTGCAAAGCTGTGAAACACTGACTAGCAATTTAAACTGGAATCAGGCAATTCAATGTGAATAGGGAAAAAAAACAAAAACAAAAACCAAAAAACAAGCCCTCACATACACAGTGTGTGTGAAGGGGCTGAGGATGGCAGAAAAGGTTTTATTTTTAGAAGTCTTTGCTAAATTCTTTATAAGCATCTCAATCTTTGTTAAAAAGAAACAGCAGATACGCACATTTCCTTAGGGGAGCATTTTTTTTTTTCATATAAAATTTTAGTAGTTGGCTGCCTACAGTGAGGCTTTTTGTAACAGAATATACAAATTGTATTTTTTATGGTTCCTTATTTATAGTGAAACAACCATTTTAATAAAATGATTCACTTAGATTATTTTATTGCTTTTCATTACGGATCTTCATATTTCTTCATTTGTTCTCATCTTTCTCCTGGCTAAAATTAAAATATTTGACTCTGCAATTAATCACAAATGAATTTGATTTTGGAGTATTTTATTCTTTCCAAAAGATTTGCTAAAATATCTTTCTACAAATGTAGAAATCAAAATCAATACAAATCATTTGGCTGCTCGTAGAAGTCACTCCTGAGCTGAGTTAAACGTTACTTAGAGCAAACATCTAGCATTTATTTATGGGGCAGGGGAAAAGGCAAAGTAAACTTAGTATGAGAAAGAACAAACTGTCCTCTGTTTTTTCAAATTATACGCACAATATTGATACCTACCAAATGCAATTTTTTTTTCCACAATGGTACAGTGTTTTGTTTTGTTTTGTTTTGTTTTGTTGGAGGGACAGAGGTGGCTGTTGTTTTGTATTTAAAAATCATAATCTAAAGTCTATTCTACAAATGGCTTTTTCATGTGGAATGTGCCATAGTTTATCTTAAATCATGAAGAAGAAATATTGTATTCAACAATGTGACTACTGTTAAAGAAAATTCTCAGGATTGTGCATCTGGATTCCAGTAAATCCAGTTTAAAGCAATAGGGCTTGCATTTGTGGAGATGAGTATGGTAAAATGTATCGCATTATATGAATGCCTTTTACATGCCTCTTAGAAACCAAAGGGCATTTAGACAGCCAATTGGACATTTATGGTTCCCCAAAATAGATTGTATCAATACAAGGTAATGATTTCTCACCTTATTTCAATATGATCTAAATCAATGTTAAACAGAACTGATAGTATTAATGCAAAATTAATCTAAAATTTTAAATTAGGGATTTCATTTAAACACTGGAAAATCCAAGAGCAGTCTCTTTGTTTTGAATTTATCTTATTGCCAAAATATTCCATACATTGCTTTGACAATATTCAGTGCACCTAGAGATTTATAGATAAAATGAGAAATTTCAATTGGAAAATATGTGTAAAGATAAATGCTGCTTTTATTATTAATTCATATTCTCACAGAATGTTGCAGCTTAAAATGTAAAACTATGCACACACAAACACACACACACACACACACACACACACACAGGCCTCTCCTCTACTTAATTTCCTGAGTTAATGTTCCTTCTCGGAAAATATATACTTTGAATAAGATGAATTAAATATGTTGGTTAAATTTTAGAATGCAATAAAATGATTACATTAAAAATGACCATATTTAAGGGAAAAATAGCTAAGTTGGGCTAATTTATTATTATTACTCATTGCATTTAAAGAAACTTGGACTAGAGATCAAAGTGCATTTTGATTTGTTTGAAAATTGTAAATGACCCATTCCCAGTTCTCCAACCCCATAAAGTTAGAATGCAGTCTGTGAGTACTCTCTGCTCTAATCAAGAAGGAAGGGGCTTCAGCTTCAAATGTCAATGCTGTAAACATGTTAAATCTGGAAAATATTTTCTAAGCAAGCAACCATGTGTAAAATTTACCGAACTTGTCATGAAAGGGCTGCAGCTGCAAACCTGCAAACTTCTCACTTCCATGAAGACTCCAGATGCTGAGACAGGGAAGAGAGGTTTCAGCTTGGCTCCCCAGCTGTTGCACCTTAGAGCTTTGCATGCCGCCATCTTCTCAGCGTTTCACCAGGTAAGGAAGCAGTGGCCATTTAATACCAAGAAAGAAAATCTTGGGCTTACTTCAGAAGGTGCTCCATGTAATTTATTATAACACCAACCCAAACATTCAATAGTAAATTAAGGTTTGTAATCTGTCCAGCTGCCTTGCTAAAACAAGTTAGTTTAACAAAAGCTTCCAAAATACAGAGGGAAAATATAGGCTAATGATAAAAGTAAGCAATCGTCATATGCTACTGCCAAAGAGGATTCCCATTAAATTACGCTTATGCATCATTTTATGAAAACTTTTTACAAACCATGTTTGCTGCTTATAGCTAAAAACATCTTGGGATAAATTTGAAACTTTGCTTTACTACAGAAATATAAAATCTACTAGATATCATCATAAACAAAGAAAATTTGATGAATTTTTAAAAATTACTAACACTACTTTTAACACCACTAACATTATACATGATATTTACAATAGGCAATCTTCTTTTATAATGTGAAGTGTTTTTAAAATGAAATCTGCACCTAAATGCCAATATCCTCTCCTTCTGCCTTCTCACTTTATGACACTAACATAGGATCTCATTCACCAAGCCAATTGAAATTTTAATAAAAGAAAGCGGGAGTTTCTAATAAACTCCTGCAGTGAGCTGATAATACTAAACATCTTTAGCAGCATGGTGTTTTTTTATTATTATTTTAGCTGTATATTAATATGCTAGTATTTGTAAACTCCCCAGTGCCACTAGATTTATTTCAGAAGCCATCACTACATTCTTCTATTGTAAAAAGTTTATCTGACAAAGAAAAATTCTCTTTTGATGGTTCTCCACCCAACAGCTATTTGACAGGAAAATATACAACTGACAAATATATCGTGACTACGCATCTAGTCCTGAAAGAGCTCTAGCGACTGATTTCACTTATCGTGGTGCCAGTTCTAGGCTAGCCAGGAAAACCAGCATAATCCACAAAGGCAATAGAAGCATGATTTGGGCTTTTGTTGGGGATTTAGCACAACATACTGACCTATCCCTCTCACCATTATACCTCCTTGCTAGCTTTACCTTCTATTCCATCCCCTCAACACCCCTACCCTCTAGATCCCCACCCCAACTTTCCAACTAGAGGATCACCACTCCTCCCTAACAATAGGGACTGTGGCTGCATAGCTTTCATTTAAAAATAATACACAAGAATCCATGTTCACGATGTAGTTTGGAGTGTGCAATTCAAATAAACCCATAGGGGATATTCTTCTGTGGCCCTGGGTATGATGTGGGACTGCCACTGTCACTCGTCAATGAACTTCAACATACATTGTGTGTAATAAGCCTTAACATTTAGACAGTGTTTGTTATGCAGCAGGTGCTGTTCTAGGCACTTACACATGTGAAATGACTTGATCCTTGCTACAGCTCTGTGTGGCAGACACTATTATTATCCCCACTTTACGTATACTAAAACTATGATTCAGGAAAGTAACTTGCCAATGTCATACAGCTAGGAATGGCTGTACCGGATGCAAACTCAAGTTATCTAGCCAGAGTTGGGCTATTCATCACTCTGCCTCTGTAAACGTCGTTACATTAAGACTGAAACTGTCTGAGCAACTAGTCTTCATTGGGGCTGCTCCTCTGGAGGACACCCATTCCACTGCTTCTTCACCGCTTATGCTCTGAGTAAGCAGGACCCCTCAGGTTTTCTTAATCTTAAATTCAGCAAGCAAAGAAAACAAATTCTGTCATCTTTCATCCATACTACACCTTCAGTGTAATTTGGCAAAACGGTCAAGAAACATTTTTGTTGGTATTCTTGACACAAAGTTGAAAGGAAGGCAGGAACAACTCAAGCTGTGCTGGCCCTTCCGAAACTTTGTGAGATTTAGGACAAAGTTCAAAAGATGCTTGACTTGACAAGTAGGGGATTCTGACACACAACTTTTTAAAAGCACCCTTTCTCCCAGGCAGACAGAGCCAGGATACAAGGCTTGGTGAAAACACTGCCATTTGCAGTAAGCATCCTACAGATATATCACTATAACCATGATGAACCCTGTGGTCAGACCTGGAGAGCCCTGATGGCAAGAGTGCACATTTTAGGAAAGGAGAACTTTGCTTCTTCCAGAGCCCAGATACTGAATCAGTTCAACAAGGCAATGGCAGCAGCCAGGGCTGAAGTTGGGAGACAGTTTAAGCAGATGTACAAAAATGCATCAACACTGAAGAAAAAAATCACAAATTTACTTTATTCTCCAAATTTCCCATCTTCATCCTAAGTCCAAGTGTTGGTTTTGAGTAGGCAGCCATACAGGGCAGTACCATGCCATATCTCGAATTGCAGCTTAGATGTGCTGACATTAGATTACTATCCAATATAGCTCACAATATTCAGTCACATATTGTCCACTGGTGTTTGGGAACTGCTTTCGATAGGCAGACCACTAGAAGCTATAGGCACATTTGAGAAAAAAAAAAAAAAAGTAGCATTTGGTGATAGAAATACCATATATCTTTGTTTAGAAGTAGTGGCTTCTATTAAATTTAATTACTTCCCCTGTGGCTTTAAATCAAGGGCAGCTTCTGTTAAATTTAATTACTTTCCCCTGCGGTTTACATGGCAAAGGTGTCATTACTACTTTCGGAGTGCTTCTGGCCAAAGTGAAAGCTTGGATATGATTTGCTCCATTATACCAAAGCCTTCCTTCATAATTTTACCTTTTCCCTCTATCCAATAACACATTTATATGGACATTTTATTCATGAAACCTGCCCTCAGTATCTTAAAAATTATTCAGTTAGTAGCATGTGATTGACAGTTGAAATCTGAAGAAAAAAAGCAATGTTGATAAATTTCAACACAAAGATACTCTGGATTTATTTCACAGTTTCACTGTACAGATGTTTATGTAGCACACCAGCACTTTAAAGGTATTATTATGCATATTCTACATAAAGGTGCACTTTCTTAAATTTTCTGAATGAGGTAGTTTATTATCACTTTTATTTTATTAGTTCCGTGCCAAGCTAACAATTTTTACTACTAATTATGTTGACACCAATTCCAATGGCTCTTCTGCCCCCAACTGTCAAAGTTCACATTTAAGTGTAGCTACCTAACAACGTTGCCCTTTATTGATTTGTCATTGGAATATATTCACAGAAGTGAATTCCTAAAAGTTTGCTTCTCTCAAGATGAAATGGATCTTCATTAACATTCTGAAAATGAAATGCAGCTTCATAAAAAAAAAAAGGCAGCTTTCAGACCATTTTAGAATTTCAGAGGAATTTTGCATTATCTTTCCCATGATTCTATGCTGATGTCAGGCTGTATTTCAACTGAAATGACAATGAAATCATTTCAATTCCATGCAATGTGCAAAAAAACAGTCAATTTTTCACTTGGCAAGCTGAAGTCTAAAGTAATTAAGCACTGCTGTGTGGGAGGCAGCTTCCTGCTCTGAAGTCAGCCTGAGATAATTACCATATTAAAGTCAAAACATCATGTGCCGTGCTGATAGATAGATGGATGGAGAGATTGGGCATCTATTAAATGATCCATTTTGTTATGCTTCCTGGGAAATGTGCCATTGATGCCAATTAAGAAATATATATTCCAAGTGAGTATTTCTAAGTGGAAAAACTTCTATCTGGTAAATTGAATTTATTATTTACTGATCATGAAGTACTTAAAGTCATAAAATCTAGATAGAGAGCAACCTATGAGGAGAATTACATGCTCTGTCTTGGTTTACAAACCCCTCATTACCTAATTGCCATGTTAGCATAAAGTTCTTCATAACATTTCTAGCCAAGGTACTAAGTTATTTCTGTCATGAAAACTCTAGTTGGAATAATAATGTGATATTGCAGATAAAATGTAAACATTCAGAAATTTCAAAGTCACAAACAGGTGAAGTGAAAAAAATTATTTTTTATGTTTAAAGGAAAGGTAAATAAAATATACTTCAAAGAATCTTTCTTAGATATGAAAAAGGAAATAATCCTCCAAATATCGAAGTTGGATAAGTAATTTAACAACACAGTTTGGTTCAATGCACTGCGGCAAGATGAAGTTGTGTTAAAAAAATTCCTAGCAACATCATTTATTAAAAGTTAATAATTTATTAATATTCTTTTTCTAGTCACCAAACATATGGTATTATTTAGGCTTTTATAAAGATAGCTGGTTAGGAATAAACTAATGAAACAATCTGGTCTGTGATTTAAGTAGAACAGTTTATTTTAGCATAAATATTAGTGAAAAAATAACATATTGGCTTCGTGAAAGAAGAGGGCATCTCCAAGTCAGGTTGGTTTTTTTTGTTTTTTTTTTTTGTTTTTTTTTTTGACTGAAGAAGAATAGGCACCCCTATGTCTGCAGTGAAGCTTATGTTTGATTTTCTCTAACTATTTTCTGTGGGATTTATTCACCACTATTTCCACTAACTTACTGATACCATAAAAGATGGGGAACTAAGTAATATCTCTTTAAAATCAGAGACAAGAGCTTCTGAGGATCAAAACTAATATTTTTATGTTGACAAAAAAAGTAGATTTTAAAATACAAAAATCTTCACTTATAAAGATTAAATATAATTAGTTTCTCAAGGAGGTAATCTAGAGAATCAATAGGCTGCCTTAATATCATATTCCATCCATGCCCTCTGGCACATCACTTGATCCAGGGTCCCAGTGGGTCAGGCAGTCATTTGAGCCTGGCTGGCATTGCTAAATTCCAGATTGTCCTGACAGACAGTCTCAGTCAGGCCTTTGGTTGTGTGTATGTTTCAAGAGAAATCACAAAATGAGTGCAATTTTAAATTACCTTGTGTGGGAGAAAAGGGAAAATAGCGCTTGTCTCTGTGACCTGGGATTGAACAGAGACGTTCACTATCCGACTTACTGTGATCCCTTTTCCATTTCTAGCAACACCATTTTCTAGTAGATGGACAGAGAAATAGAGAAAAAGTAATCATAATGGAGAGTAGGAAGGAAGAAATATTTTCTTTGATATGCTGTATGATATAGATACAGATACACACACATGCACGCGCACACACACACATACACACAGTAAAAGCTTTCCATTTTAAGCCCAAGGGAAAACCATCTAAACTAGTTAAAAATGGAAATTAATACTTTTGGTTTATTTTGTTCTTCACAGGAGTTAATACTTCCTAGTGGTGGACCACGAAATTTTATTTTGGTCCTACTTGCTTAATATTTTCAAAAATGAAAATATACTGCTTTCATAGTTGGAAAAATAAACTCCAACTTTAAAGCATTTATAAAAATTCAGTAAGAAATATTTAGTCATTTTATAATATATTCCCAAACAAAATGAAGATGGGAGGCCTTGGGGCGGGGAAGACTGCTTTGTAATGGCTGGTCCTGATTAGAAAAGAGAAGGAGGCATGCAAAAAAGTCTCATCAGTGGTAGCCAGCCTTCCGGAGTGTGAAGCCAGCCCAGACCATCTGAAGAGGGCTAATAATCTCAACTCCGTGGTGTATTTGGTCACTTGTGTTCCATTCTGTAGACAAAAATCAGCAACTGGATTTAGAATCGACTACACGGTAGGAATTTGGTTTGATGACTGGAGCTCTGGTCTGGGAGCAAGAAGATCTAGTTTTCTGTTTCTGCCTGTGTCACTGACTTACTTCGTGAATTGGTACAGTTTAGAATTTCATTATTTCCTTTTTCTCCATCTGTAAAATGGAGGCAGTAATATGCCCAGCAGGACCCTTTAGCAAAGCAGAAGAATTAGCAAATAGTCGGAGAAGACTACTGTACATTCAGAGCATGATTACTTTGGGGAGAATTTCAGTTCTTCATTGTGAATGTTACTATCATTTTCAGCTGCCCAAATCCAGGTGCCATTTAGAGAATTCAACTTCAAACATTGCATTTATTTTCTGCCCTGTAAATGTCCATGGTTTTGAGGGTTTTCTCACTATATTAACTGCAACAGTGAAATTAGATTGTTCAGCCTCAGTTTATAGTCCATTTCATTCTTTAATTCCTGTGTTCAGAGATGATGAGTTTTGGTTTGCACTCACAGTGTTTCAGAAAAATAACATAAAATGGGCTTTCCTTTGAAACATTTAAACTTCATAAAAAATCTGGCTTTACCTATTGCACTGGAATATTGTGGATATAAACAGCATAATAATATATGTGAAAACTGTTTAAGCTTTTCTACGAGCCTCCCCAACTCTCATCCCCACCCCCAACACATTTTGTATAACTAAAACTGACTTTAAGTTACCTGCCAATGTCTATTTTGATATATTTTGATTACGCATTGGAGAGCACATTTTTAAGACAGTTCTCCTAACATGCCAAGAAATGAAATAGATTAATTTTATCTCAAACTCCTAAATCAAATAAACAAGACATCAATGCATGTAACCTTTCATTCACACTTCATCCACCACCTCATTCTTTACTCTCTTGCAATTCACCCATGGTAATCTTCCTTCTCTCAACAAATGTCATATTCAGTAACTCAATCATACATCTTAATCAAAAGCAATAAGTGTAGCACCCGACATGAAAGAACACCTACATAAACATAGTCTTTTGTGCCTTCAAGTCTCTCTCATACTGACACCGTTAACACAAGACAGCACTTCTCATCACTGGAAACACACCCCTGAATTTATTAAGTGCTCAACACTTTTTCTGGAAATGTTGGAACGACAGCTAGCAGCGGTGTCATCTGATTTTAAAGCAGACTGGCACTATAAAAGTTTAGATTTCAGAATTAAGAGGAGATAAGAGAGTGCTTCTTTTATTACTAAAATATTCCCCCCAAGTTACTAGACCAATTACCTGACCCTTAAATATTATTTTTATGTGTAATTTGTCTAATTACTCCTGGCAACTAAGGCAATAAAATGGACTCTCTTCTATCTTCAAATTTCAAACCAAGGCAAAGAAACTAGATTTTCTGATGGGATGTGCTAATGGATCTTTATCCAATGGAGTTTCCTGTCATTTTCAACAATGTCATCATCACCTTGGAGAGTTTGATCACTTTCACCATGTGCCTGGCTAGAGTAAGAAATACAACCATTCTCTTCTCTCTTATATTTTTACAACTTCATTTGCTTCCTAATATTGTACTAATATTACCCTGGTTTGACCTTAATATTTAAGAGGGTACTGATAGAGGAATGAAGACTAACATTTCTTGAGCCCCTAGTACAAAGCAGACACATTGCTAGATGCCTTCACATAGTTTATGTCAATTAATTCTCACAACTCTGTTAGACCAGTATTATTTGTCTCCATTTTTACAATGAAGAAAACTGAGACTCAGAGTTAAGCAAGCTACATCACAAACTAGAAAATGAGAGTGCCAGGCTGAATTATGTATAGTGGGCTCTCAGTAAATATTTGTTAACGAACATAATGAATACATATCTAAATATGCTCTACTCGATGCCAGGCTGAGATTCTCTAAGTATAGGATTTAGAAGAACAGGATTTTAAACTCTAAGCTGCTCAGGACTATGTGTTTTAGTTTCAGCCCACACTCTCACACCAAATTATCTTCCATAAGCTAAAAGTTGGATACTATTTACCCCCATTGTACAGATGAGGAAATTGAGATTAAGAGAAATTATGTTCATATAGCTAGTAAATGTCAGTACCAGTGTCATACTTAGACTACCTCTTAGACTCATATGTGAAAACGTATGAGGAAAAATAGACAGAATACCATTAAACAATAACTCTACCATTGGAAAGAAAAGTAATGTTTGAAATGACTTTGTATAATTTTTTCTAGTCTGTGTCTCTCATGGTGGTGACTATTGACTTGAGCATACATACTGAATGCAAGGCCAGACGATTGGGGTTCCAGTCCTGGATGTGCCACTTATTACCCCGACTCAGTTTTCTTCTATAAGAAATGGGGATTAAATGATCTACCTTCATTTTGGCTTACCAATGAATTTCTTGCAACAGTACCTGGAATATAGCAAGTCCTCAACAAGTATTTGATGAAGAAATAAATGAGATGATACCTCACAGGCAGTTACATAAAAGTGCTTGATATGTGTGAAGTTCTGAGTAGATTTGAGGAATGGTAACTGTAATTCTCTAGGCTCTGAGAATTACACCTCCACCCCCATTTATAGAAAGAAGCTGCCTTTTTAAGTTGCTTAACGCTGTACATTTGTGTAATTTATCTATTAATAGTTCATTTGGGTTGATTTTACACTAGTCCTTGCTACACTTTAATAGGGGTCAGCAAATTTTTTCTGTAAAGGGCCAGACAAATATTTCAGTCTTGTGGTTCATACAGTCTCTGTCAAAACTACTGAAGTCTGCTGTTGTTGCACAAAATTAGCCAGACAATACGTAAGTGAATGAGCTTTGCTGTGTGCCAGCAAAACTTTACAAATGGCGGGCAGATCTTGCCCACAGGCTGCATAGTTTTCCAAGACCTGATCTAGTATGCAAATGACCACCAGAGACTGGCATATCTTCATAGTCATTATGTTATTTCAAGTGCTTTGTACATAGTAACTGCATGATGCTACTTTGCTGAACTGAAAGAATTTTTTTAGTTGTGCTAGGTGCTATACTATGCATCCTAGAGAACAGAAAGCAAAAGAAGATGGTGGCCTCAATAGCGTACCCGTTTGAGAACAGTTTACCAAGCAACACACCCAGGAGGGCTAATTGGTCCACTGTGGTCTGTTGATAGTGCTAACACCTGGCAATAGAAAGTGTTATAACAGAATATTCCTTCTGGCTTTGTGGGCACATTCCTTAATGTACAGCATATTTAAGTTTCTGCCATAATGAAGTATGAGCTATAATATCACACCAATGACAAAATGAAAAGAAAGATACATGAGTGATCCTTGTCAAGTCAATTATATCAAGAAAAGCTTTTATCAGGAGCTGGTTTTCAAGAGACAGCAAAACAGTAGAGGTGGAGAGAAAAAAAAAGGCATCCCAGGTGGGATGAAAAACACATACAAAGCCATGGAACAAAGCAAATAAAAGACAAGTTGATTAGCTCACATGAAACAATCATGTTAGTGAATAACAAGAAACAATATCAAAGATTTGCACAAAACCTTGTTCACTTAGTCTGTCCTTTTGTTGTACAAATTATTAACTAGAGAACAGGAATTGTAGTGTGACCAAAAGTTCTCAAAAATGATTCCCATGGAAAGATATGATTTGAGGAAATGACTCTAACTATGTACCTCTGCCAGAAATGAATTTTATTATGCAACAGGTAGTAGATTAATAGCAATGAATGAGTTAAACTCATAAAGAACATTCATGTTGTTAAACAATAGCTTTAGCCAACCAAAATTACTTAAGTAAAATTATGGGTAAGGAGAGGAATAGCCCAAGTATAAGACCCAAGCACAACAAGGATTTCCTAGACCTGCCAGCAATGCTGAATTACTTGTCTTCTGTAGTCCACACTGGCCGGTCCCATGGCTTTCCCTTGTACAGTCTTGAACTGACAGTACTTGCAACAGGCAACATCTATCAAAATGCAGCTGGCTTCAGTAGGCAGGTAAAGTTCAGTAGCCAAATCTCTTTTCTTATTTTTCCTTTCATTGAAAGAAAAGTTCATTTTACAGCAAATGGGAAAATAGCAAACCCACATGCTGCCTACTTGGAAAAGCCTCCTGTTTGCACTGGGGTTAGAGTTTTGCCCTTTCCTCATGAAAAGATATTCTCACTGCTGGGAATACTCAAATGTCTCTCAGTTCAAGGTAATACATAGGGCTCAGAGATGGGGACTCTCTTTACCATTCATCCCTGAAAAACCAGTGTTATTTAGGGTAGGAGGTGGGAAGAGACCTTGGTTCACAAATTCATTTAAGAATTTATTAGTTAAAAGAGAACTTTGGTTCCTGGGGACTGCCTTATGAAATACACCTTTCGTTTTTCTAGCAACCCAAGTTGGCTGTATTTCTAGTTTTGTGGAGTCTCTGACTTTGGCTAATTCAAACGATAAAATGAAGACAGGCTGTATCTGTTGAAATTAAAATCCAAAAACAAAGCAAAGAAACAAAAACAAATGGACGATAGCAAGCCATAGAATTTTATATGGCAATGAATTATCTCCAAGATTCTCTGTGCTGCCATAATCTACCACAAATACTGCAGCTTTAAAAACCAAAATAACCCATTATCTAGAAGGCTTGAACAAGTAGATTGAAAACACTTCTCAGACTGGCATTAATTACAATTAGTAAATTGCTTCATTTCTTCAAAAACACCACCCTTTTACTGGAAGTCTGTGATGGAATTTCTTTTTGATGGGAAACAGAGAAGCAAGTGCTTCAACTGGGCAAGGGCATTGGGTCTCTCATCTCTTATACAAGATCTGCAGCGTGCATTCTTGAAGACAGAGTGACATCTAAAGGGATTTTGAAATAGCCAGGGCTGCTATATGGCAGCCAAACTGACAAAGTCAAGGACATGTCATATTTTGGAAAACTGATGAGTTTTCAGGTTTCCTGTGCTTGATTGTCCCAAGTAACCATGAAAAGAGGATCAAATTCCGATTTTAATGACATGCCTCAGGGTGCCCTCAGGACAACTGCCATTTTTATCTTAGATCCTGCAGGTCCTCAGTGAACAAAAGGGGGGAAAATCAGCTTTGAATAGATTCCTTATGCTCTTGTCAAAAGTAATCCAACTCTGAATATCTATATCCCAAAATATCATCATGCGGGCAGCTTTTATTAACCTGAAGAATTAATAGAGCAGAATATTTAAAATGGGGTTTCAGTTATTGATTCTCCAATTAGATCTTGTGTTCCCTAGGTGCTGTGTATAATAATGGTTTTTGCTCAGCCTCCTGCACCCGCTAGCTCGCTCTTGCTCTCTCTCTTTCTCTCGGTGTCTCTCCGTTTCTCATAAGCATGCATGCTTTGAATACACATGTGGTGCATAATGACCAGATTTGGGAGGCAAGGCTGCATTTGTGGATTCTGATTATGCTTTTGAAAAATATCCTCAGTCCCCAAATTTAGTCTTTTCCAAGCTTATAATCCCCATTCTCTTTCATTCTGCACAAAATAATTTTTATTTTGGAGTTGACTATCATAATATGTGGCAGCTTAGCCAGAGAGCAGGGCCTGTGTGCTTGTTAACAGCACCCTGATGTTAACAATGAACTAATTACTTTTACTACTGATGTGCTCTGGGGCATTATTTTCTTTCTGTACGCTTTCCTACTGAACTATTGTCATTACTCAATCAGAGAGGACTGAGGAAAGCAAAAGCGAAAAAAAAGAAAAAAAGCAAACGCATTTTCCTCCACAGGGCTGAAGCCAGAGTCCCATATCCTAGGTCTTGTTTTTCTCCGTTTTCTTTAATTGTGCATTCCTTGGGAGGTGGGTATCCTTCTGATGCATTTTTACTTATTTATGAAAAATAGTATAAAATCATGAAAGCCTCCTGGGATACTCTATCACATTTATAACCATGATGCCCCAGTGAACTGCTTAAGCACGGATCAGCTGCAGACCGAGAAGTTAACTCTTTCTTCTTTACAGAAGCTGAGTCAAAGTGGTAAAACAGTTTGTGGTGTATTCCCTTTTCAGTAAAAGCGCCTCTGGAAAAGAGAGGTATGCACATTTCTCCATTTGCACAATAGTATTTCTAGTTTTATCAGAGTTGGGGGGCACGAAAGGGAGGGGAGCAATAAGAAAGGACCACATTAGCCCAGAGAAAGCTATGATAAAAGAACATTTACGGTGGGATATCATTTGCAGCAAAAGTGTTATTTTGCCTGGAGATAGAATTTGTTCACGCAACTGATTTTCTTTGATTGTTTTCATATAAAACACCCACCCTAGAACCATTCACACATCTACTCAAACAACAATATTTCACTTTCATGTCAAAAGAAGTTGGCATAGAAAATTCAGAACAAAACACGGAACCTGAGGCATTGAAACGATAAATAATGACAGGACCTTTCAGCTAGTCTTAATAAAGGAGATTAAAGCAACATGTAACATAAGATGTATGTTAATAAAACAAGTGGTGAAAAATAATGAATTGACTCCCCTAATAATAGACACATATCTTTACATTTCCATTAGTCTTTTGCCCATGCTGTCTTTTTTTTCAACACTTACAAATATATTATAACCATAGAAAAATGTTGATTATCAAGCCAGAGTGTTCTTGAAAATATGACTATCTGGGTTGCTGTTTTAAAATAAGTTATCTTTCTCATACAGCAACTTTTCATTGAAAGCTGCTCAATCAGAGCAAGAATCAATCATTGTATGTTCAGATGCTGCTCAGTTTCCCAGAGCTGTCAGTGCCCACAATCTGCCTCAGAGGGCTGGAATTCTGATAAGAAATGAGAAATGTAAAGGCCAGAAATAATAATAATCATCATCATCTTTATTAGTTCACCAGGGTTTAGGACCAGAAAGAAATCGGCTTCCTATTATTAATGCAGTTTGAACTTCATTGCTAAAATATTTCTTTAAGTGTGAGTCAGATACTCATTTTGATTCTTTTGTTCCTCCAATAGTTGTTTTCACACCAAGATGTTGCACGTTTAGCTGTTTTTCCTATAGAAGAGAAACTATGCTAATAGAATAGGTCTTTGTTCCTGGTGTTTCTTTCCGCGAGTTGACAACAGCAACGTGAAAAGAAACAGTAGAAGTGGGGAAGCAGAGGGATGGCATCCTTCGGCTAGTATGCTGTATTCTCTTCACCATACCACTTGTAAGTCTGGTTTAGTTCTTGTTCTGGTGTAAAACTGTAATTTTATGTTGCAATATCAGAATTTTATGAAGTTGTTTCTTTTTTTTAAAAGTAAACATCTTGAAGGTAGGACTTATAAATGAACACAGCAGTAAGCAATGAAAATTGTATCAGAATAAATCTAACAAGGATTATGCTAAACTATAATATTTAGGCATCTTGCAATAGGTTTAGCTAGAATCATAAAAGCAAAATGTGGTCAGTGCATAGATCTAGTGAAAGAACAAAAACCCTGAACTATCTCAAAATTTAAAAGAAAACCATTACTAAAAATATGTTGACTTTGCATTTTTAAGAGGTAAAAAGCCTATGATTAGAAAGCAGACAATTTAAGGATTCTATAGTATATTTCAGCAAGAGAGGGAGAGGGAGACAGGAGTGAGAGCAAGAGTATTTGGGAGGGTGAGGCTTTCAATTCTTCCCAAATTACAATTTTATTATTTAGCCAGACCTCTGTGGATTTTTGCCTCTGTTGAATAGTTGATAGACCTGATTTAGACGTAAATTTTTTCACTTGGTAACAAGTAAATTAGGTTTGGTCAATGCAAAAATATTTGAATATTTTTTTTAAAGATTTTCTCAGGAGTTTCTTTACAAGTGTTTGTGAATTATTCAGCCTCAAGTCTGGACTTTCTATTTATGAAATAGAGGCTTTTGTTAATATTAAAATAATCAATAATCTAAAATATTCCCATGTATCACATATAATAATTTTTAAATTGTTTGTGATTCAGGAAAAATTGGTGTAGAGCCCAAAATTAAGAGAAGAGCTAAGTAATTATCTAAATAGGCTTAGATCTGTGAGCCTTACATGGCCAAGAGCAGTGTCCTATGCACTATTTTCTCCTCAATAGGATAATGGTTGTTAATAATGAGTAAAAGATAGTATACAAGGAGGGTGTTTTGAACAATCTGAAATCAGTTTAAGTTCTCACAAAAGGAATGATCCAGACATTGATCAATTCCATGCCAGCCATTCCCACATATTCATCTACATCCTGAAGAGAAATATGAGATGTAATTACAATGTTGGCTGAGCTTAGCTGAAACTGTTGCTATCGGGAATAGCCAACAACTTCCACTCCTTATTGTACAAAACCCTCAACCCCTAAAAGGAGGGTGTCTTTTTCTAGTTCTCATTTTAACTTGAAAAATCACATCTCAGGAAACTTAATATTGCTTTTTAAGTGTAAGAACAATTAAGATGATATATAATATATTCAGCTCATAACAAAGTTATCATTGAGACAGCTTCCAAGATATGAAAATATATCTCGTAAAGCTTAAACTTGGTTTTGTCAGAAAACCAGTATTAAAAATAGCAAGCTGATTATGTAACTTCCGGGAGGGGAAAGTGAGGCATTTGCAAACAAATGAATGAAGGAAAAAAATAAATCTAAATACCATTTTCATGAATTTATAAAGAAATGAGTTACACCAGAATAAAAGTCTAAGTTTCTAGCTAATGAGTAATCAAAAATAAAATAAAATAAAATAAGCTTTTTTAAAAAAATTAGTGAAGCATGCAAGTTATTGATAAATACTGTACTTGGAATTCCCTAGCACCTTCTCCTGAAGAATCACTCTGGACTACTTTATTTCTTGTCATGGTATTGAATTAATAAGAGCCATTTTCCTTGGCACAGTTTTATAGAATAACGAAGCTGAAGAATATATTTAATTCTCCCAATTATCTTAACATCAAGTCGGCCCTTTAATTCTCTTCTTTCTTTTTTAGACCTCAAAGCACCACTTAGCATATAAAACACAGTAGGTGTTTTCTAAGTGCCAATTAAATAAGGAAACAGTTTAATAACTAACTGTGTAAGCAAAGGTATGCTTAAAAAAAGAGTTCTCGAAGCACATTTCAAACTTATGTTTTAATTGTTATTTTAAATATAGACACCACTAGCTGTCAGAAGATGATCCTGGATTGGCCAATGTGTTTATTTTCAATACTAGCTGACCATTACCATGTGACAGGTGTACAGATTCAAGGACAAATATAACACAGCTCTAGCCCTCAAGAAAGTCACAGTCTAGTGGAGTATGAGACAAAGTTTCTACAATTATTAAATGGGTGATAAATGTAAAAATAGAAACAGCCCCAGGATAGTAGCTCCAAGGAAGAGTATCAGCAGGATGGGGTGGGAAGCAATTCAGAGGCAACTTCCAGGAAAAGGTCATCCAGGCAAAGAGGGAAGGGGAAGGATATAGAAAGTGATTCCAGGAAGAGAGGGGTGTGTCGGGGACCCCCAAGACTACCTCCAGATTTGATGTTTTACCACAAGGACTTACAGGACTTACCATATATTCACAGCTATGATTCATTACAGTGCCAGGACACAAAGCAAAATCAGCAAAGGGAAGAGCCACATGAGGCAAAGTCCAGGAGAAATCACAACAAACTTCTAAGAGTCCACTCTCAACTAAGTCACACAGGACTTGCTTAATTAAAACGAGTTGTGAAGACACATGAATAGTTGCCAACCAGGGAAGCTTGTTAGGTACTCCAGGATTTTTACTGGGGGGCTAGTCACATAGGCATCTTTTCCTAACATGTACCAAAATTCCCAACTCTCAGAAGGAGAACAAGTGTTTAGCATAAACCATATTTTAGCACAGTGTAGTCATTCTTACCAGTCCTAGGAATGGTTGGAACTGAAAACCTTCTGACATCCAAGTTTTCAGATCATAGCCAAGGGACAATCTTGTAAGCAGGACTTTCAAAAGACAGCAGTTAGGCCTGCTATGTCAACTCTTTTCTGCATAAGGGTTAACATGAATAACCTCGAATAAGCAAAACACAGCTAGAGGCATGATAGGTAGGATGACCTTATTTTCCAAACTGGCACACTTGAGAGCAAAAGGAGGATCAATTAACTATTATGCCAGGATGAGAGGTGTAAACCAGAAATGTCCAGGGTATGAACATATGGCTGTGGTAAAATATGAGACAACAGTTTGGTGCTGCTGGTGTTTGGTGTTGCATGAGTTGGGTAAGGCTCAGGAGCTGGTTGAGGCTAGATGATGGAAGGCTTTGCATTTAAGAAGTTTGGGCTTTATACATGGATGGTGAAGAGCTCATGAACAGTTTTAAATAGGAAAGAGACAAGGTCAACAGTTATCTGGAAAATCTAATATTTTCCATTGATGAGGATCTCAGAAAGGAAACTGCTTCTCTGCTCCCATCATGTACCATGGCCATATAATGTTGTGATAAAGAGCATAGACCAAAACTCCTACATTCTCATCCTAGCCCTGTCACCTACTAGCTATGTGACTTTGGAAAAGTTCATCTCCTGTGCTTCAATTTTCTAATTTCTAAACATGAGTAATAATAGCAGCTTCATGGGATTTTATGTAAAAATTAGATGTGCTATCCATATTTTATTGAATCAAAGGCACTATCAGCTATAAGATATATCAGAAAAAAGAAAAAGACTACCAATAAAATTATGACTCAGTGCTTTCTCATGACTTAACATTTTCATTTTGGCTATGATTTAGTCATGGCTTTTCTCCTATATTACTATGATACATACATAAAAAGCAAAATATAAATGAAATTAATCAGTTATTGCTTTGAAATAAAATATTAAATTATGATCATTCTTCCTATAACATTTGCTTCACTAATGTTAAATGTTGCTGTCTTTTCTTGCCATTCTTAATATACATTCTTGTATGGTTTCAGTGCTTAATCATAATGTAGTTATTTTACAATATCTTATTACTTAAATGATGACAGTATAAACAGCCATAACCAGCTTTATGCATCCACAGGCAATGATGACTATGCCATGACTTCTGCCTGGCTGACAACAATGATAAGATGTCATATTTTATAGGACATATTCCATTTTCAGAGATGTTAAAATATAAAAACAAATGTGCATTTTCAAATAAATGAGAATAGAATAAGAAGTAGATTTAATGTGAACCTAATGAAGAGAGAGCCTCATGGCCTCTCAATTGCATAGGCCCTTTCCAAAGCCCTGTGAGTAGTAGTATACTCACAGTCATGCAGTTGTGAAAATTTCTATTTTAAGAAGCTAGAAAAATAAGAGCAAATTAAACTAAAAGTAAGAAGAAATAATACAATAAGAAAAAAAAAATCAGGGAATTAGAAAGTAGATAAACCACAGGGAGAAAACAACAAAGTCAATCACTGGTTCTTTGAAAAGATTTACAAAAAGACTGATTTTAAAAATGAAAGAAAATGCAAATCACTAATATTGAGCATGAAAAATGGAATATCACTCAACAAATATTTTAGAAGATAATGAGGGGATACTATGAGTAACTTTAGCCACCATGGAAAAAGTCCTTGAAAGATACAACTTACCAAAACTGACATAGAAATAAATAGAAAGTGTATGTAGCCCTATATCTACATGATAGACAGAATCTAACAATTATCTAACAATTATCCCCACCTCCCACTATTCATGCCTTTAAGAAATTCCCTCCCCTTGAGAGTAGGTGGGACCTGTGACTTTCTTTAATAATAATATAAGGCAGTGATGGGATGTCACTTTCATGATTATGTTACACATGATTGTAACCTCCTTCTTGCTAGCAGACCCTCTCTATAGACCCTCTCCTTTGCTGGCTCTGATGAAGTTGCCCTGTAGAGATGTTCACATGAGAGGGGACTGAAGGCACCTCCAGCCAACAGTCAGCAGGGAAAAGAGTCCCATATTCCCAAAGGGTACTGGATCCCATCAATAACCAGGTGAGCTTGGAAGCTAATCTTTCCCCAGTTGAGCCATAGATACGACTCCAGTCCTGACCAACACCTCAATTGCACCCTTGTGAAAGACCTTGAAGCAGAGGACTCAGCTAAGCCATGCCTGGATTCTTGACTCACAGAAAGAGTAAGATAATAAATATGTGTTAAGTTGCTAAATTTGTGGTAATTAGTTACACTGAAGAAGGTAAATAATAAAACCTATTTTTTATTTAATTTGCAATACAAAATGTTCTCACAAATAAAATTTCAGGCCCAGAAGACTTCAGTGGTTAATTCCATCAAACAATCAAGGAAAAAATAATACTAATCCCACAAAAAATGTATTTCAGAATGCAGAGAAGAAAGGACTACTTTGCAACTGATTTCATAAGGCAGCATAATATTGAACTCAAGATCTGGCAAAGATATTACAAGAGAAAAAAACACAGATCAATATCATTCCTGAAGATGGATACAAATAATATATTTAAAATATATTAGCAAATAGAATCCAGAAATATATAAAAAGAAAAATATATCATTACCAAATGAGTTTATCCCAGGAATGCAAAGTTCAGTCAACATTAGAAAATCTATCAATGTAATTCACCGCATTAACAGAGCAAATGACAAAAAAAGTCTCCATAGAAACAGAAAAAAAAAACTTGACAGTATCTGTCCATGATAAAAACTCTCATCAAGTTAGAAATAAAAGGAAGTTCCCTCACCCTGATAAAGGCATCTGTATAAAACATATAGCTAATATCATATTTAATGCTTAAAGGCTGAAATTGGAAGCAAGTTAAACATTACTGTTCTCACTACTTTTCAACATTCTATTGGACATCTTAACAAGTACAATAAAAAAAGATAAATACATAAAAGATGTAAGTATTGAAAAAATAGTAAAACTGAGATTATTCACAGATGGTATGATTGCGTACATAGAGAACCACATGGAATCTGCAAAAAATAACCGATACGTGAACTTAGGTTACAAAATACAAGGTCAATATTTAAAAATCAATTTTATTTCTATGCATTAGCAATGAACAATCGGAGCATGAAATTTTAAAATAAAATTTCCAGAAGTTTCAAAAACTGTCACATACTTAAAAAAATTTGATGAAAATGTGCAAGAGCTCAACAAAAATATTATAAAACACAACTGAGAAAAATTAAAGACAAATAAGTGGAAAGACATGCCACATATATGAATCATAAAACTCAGTAGTATTATAATGCCCCTTCTTTCCAAATTTGTCTATATCTTCAACACAATCTCTATCAAAATTTCAGCAAGGATTTTTTAAACAATTGAAAGTTAATTCTAAACCTTATATAAAATGCAACAGACAAAGAATAGCCTAAACAATTTGAAAAAGAATAAGTCGAAGGACTTACACTACTTGATTTTAAGACTTATTGTAAACCAAAATAATCAAGACAATATGGTACTGGCATAGGATGTCAAATCAATGAAAAAAATGAGTCAATAAATAGACCCTGATATATAAGGAAAATGGATTGTTTTTTAAAACCACAGCACTGAGTTAATGGAAAAAAGGCTTTTTTTGTTGTTTGTTTGTTTAACAAACAGCGCTGCAACAACTAAATATCTGCATGGAAAAATAATAATAAACCTTAATGCTGTTTCACTCCATATACAAATAATTCTAAATGTACCATATACTTAAATAAAAAACTCAGAACTATGAAGTTTCTAAAAGGAAATATGGCACACAAGAAACTGTCTTTGCGAGCTTGGGGTAGGCAAAAATTCTTTGGACAGGACAGAAAAAGCTTAACAATGATAAAAAGAAAAAACTGATGAATTGGGCTTCATCAAAAATAACATTTTCAGCCAGGCGCTGTGGCTCATGCCTGTAATCCCAGCATTTGGGAGGCCGAAGCGAGCAGATCACAAGGTCAGGAGATCCAGACCATCCTGACCAGCATGGTGAGACCCCGCCTTTACTAAAAATACAAAAATTAGCAGGGCGTGGTGGCGCACGCCTGTAGTCCCAGCTACTCAGGAGGCTGAGGCAGGAGAATTGCTTGAACCCGGGAGGTGGAGGCTACAGTGAGCCGAGATCCCACCACTGCACTCCAGCCTGGGCGACAGAGAGACTCTGTCTCAAAAAAAAAATATTCTGTTTATCAAAAGACACCATTATGAAACCGAATAGGCAAACCCCAGACTGGGAAAAATTTTGGAACACGTATATTTTAAAAAGGCATATAACTGGAATACATTTTTTAAATTCCTACAATTTGAGACTAAAAATACAAACAACCAAATAAAGAGCAAAGACGTAACCACTTCAAAAAAAAAAGATAAACAAATGACTAGTAAGGACATGTCAGTGCTCACGGTCAAACCCATAATATGGTACCAAATTAAACCCATAATCTGGTACCAATTCACACCCGCTACGATGGATAAAATTTAGGAGATTAAAAACACAAATGTTAATGAGGAGGTAGAGCAACTAGAACTATTCTCACACTGGTGGTAATGTAAAATCTCACAACCACTTGGAAGAACTTCATTGCAGTTTCTTGTAAAGTTAAATACACATTTACCCTGCACACCTGGAATTCGATCCTGGGTATTTATCCAGAGAAAATGAAAATCATCCACAAAAACACTGTATTGGGCTGTTAATAGGCCAAAACCTGGCAACAACTTAAATGTTCATCAACAAAACAATGGGTAAATAAATTGTATTATATTTATAAAATGGAATGTTTCTTAGTAATAAAAAACAGTGAAGCACAGATCCAAGTAACAACATAAATGAATTTCAAAAATATTAAGATGAGCAAAAGAATCCTGGCCCAAAAATGTACTGCATGTTTTCATTCACATGGATTCAAATGACTGGTAAAGTTAATCTATGGAGACAAAAAGTGGTGACCGAATTCCAGCATGGGGGTAGGAATCGATTAAGATGCATGAGAGAATTTTCAGGGTAGTGGAAATTTTTTGTTTTTTTTAGTGAGTGTAATGTTTATAAGGTTGAAAAATATCGTTAGAATGCATCAAATGAATATATAAGATGCATGTGTTTCACTGTATGTTAATTATATACCAATTAAAAAATTTAATTTTAATTAATTTAAAAAATTGCAATCCAACAAACATGTATTAAAAATCTACTATTTAGAAAGTACTGTGTCATACTGTGAAATGCCACATTATTTAAATTGGAAGAAGGCCAGATAGATCCACACGTTTAGCCAGGTAGCCCCATGTCTGCCAGTGTTGGTTAGTTACAGAGGTTTTAATAAAACTATTAAATATATATTCACAACTAGTGCGCAATTAGTACACATTTTTGCTTTTAAAACTCAGTGGAAACACAACAGCAACAATGAGACTTCTTCCTACAGAATAAATGTAAACATCTGCTAAAACATTAGGTCTTTGAAATGCAAAGCCAGTGCATTCAAGCAGGTAGAAGGTATCAGAAGGAAATACAAGGTGATTCAATAGAAGGAGGATAAGGTTAATCACAAAAAGGCCCTTTGTCTAGGATACCCTGTGACCCCTCCTAGCCATAAAGTGACTGACTTTATAATTGTTGTCACTCATTGCTCCCAGCAAGTGTTCCATCCCAAAGACCATGACCTTATCCAATTAGCACTCACTTTGCAAGTAAAATAGTGGGAGAACCTATTCAACATACTTTCAAAACACTGTGCTGGGTCATCTCATTTGATTTTCACTGATTCAGTTATTGCAATGAGGGAGAAAAAACTCTTTTTGGACTAATGTGGCATTGATTAAGTTATCCTCATCAGTTTTGATGTGTATTTTTGTGGATTTTTTGCTATTTATAGGTTTAAATATTTTGTTTTAAAATGGAATTAGTTAATTTAACTATTTTTTGAGATCAAACCTAGAATGATCATTATCAGACTATCTTTGCATTTGTTAAAGCATCTTTGCCACAAGTCATTCACCCTTCTAGAGGCTTCCTGTGGTGAAGAAAATATTGTACACCATTTTATAACCTACCTGGGAAACCATGGAGATATACCACTTGGTGCACAGTAAGGTGTTCAAAAAACACTTGTTGAATGAATGAATGAACAAATGTTATGGCCATAAACAGCCAACATTTCATAATGTCTTGCTCCAAATGGTTCAAAATAGCATTATGAAAGCACAGCTCAAAACAGTGTTATAATTATATAGGATCATGGGCATTGAGGTCAGTCTCTAAAGTCTGAGTCTTGGATTCTATCATTATTATTTTTGAGATTTTGGGCAAATTTCTTAATTTTTCTAAGCCTCAGTCTTGTCATTTATTAAACAGGGATAAAACTATTTGCACCTGATATAATTATAGTAAAAATAATGTGCACAAAGCATTTGGCAGCTGACCTGTAAAAATCTCTCAAGTACTTGTTGCTATTATTTTTAGTTTTTTTCATAATTTTAAATTGTATTATTGTTATTGTATAATAGCTAAGAACACAAACTCTGGAGCTAGACCTCTGCTCTTTAGTTTTCACATAAAGATGACAATGATGATAGTATCTATTGCATAGGGTTGTTATGAGAATCAAATAAGTTAACAGATGATGTGCCTAGAATAACAAACACAGCATGAGGCTTAATTGTTCATGTTGGTGGTAGTAATGTTAAAAGATATCCAACTGGGTAAATGTGATTTTAGTGTTACATGGGTTTGAATCTCAGCTCTGCCCCTTACTTAGTATGTGATCTTGTATAAGTTAATTAACCATTCTGTGCCTCAGTTTCCTCATCTCCAAAGAGAAATAATAGCACTCATCGCATGAAGTTATAGTTAGGATCCAGTGAAAGAATATGTGTATAGCACTTAGATTAGCACCCAGGACACAGTGAGTATGTAATGAATGTTAACTATTATTGTTGCCATGGTGTGGTTATCATCATCATCTCTGCCAAAGGAATTCATATTTATAGCCTGAAAATATTGACAGATAAAAGCCCTGTTTATAATGAACACATAGGGAAGATTCTCAAATTGCATTCCTTTAGTTCAAAAACGTAATGCTTCCCTGTTTCAAGGTCCTAATTTTCTGAACTTCTCTTTCATTTTCCTATCCATCTAGATAGTTCAAAATCTCCCACCATCAAAGGCAACCCTTCCTCATTAGCTTTGGAGGCCATTTTCTCACGAATTTAGTTATTCCTTTAAAACTAAAAATATAATAATTGCAAATCCTGTCCCATGAAGATTAAAATATGTGAGTTCTGTTCCCGAAATTGCCAGTAAATTGGATTCCTTGGTGAAATCATCATTTCTCTGAGTTGTACACATTCTTCCTCAAAAAATATGTCCACAAGCTAACTTGCAAACTTATACACACTTAATATACAGAAACCAACTTGGAATACTGAACAAATATTCTACATTGGTTGTAATTGTCACCACTAAAATTCCAGGAAACCCCATCAAAGATGTAGCTGTAGCTGATCCTCAGCATTACTGGTCAAAGCTGGTCATTGAGAATCCACGCCCCCTTAACATTCTGCCCAGTGTGTAAGTGTTGTTCAGTAGCCACAGAAAAAAATATAATTAAAAGATACCAAAGCTGAGCTAGAAGAGATATTAGAGGTCGTCTGGATTAATTCCTTATAAGAACAGAAAATAAGAATAAGAAATGCTAAATAACTTTCCCAAGGCCATAAATTTATTTGAGCAAATTTAGCAGTCAAATAATGGAAATAATAAGAATATCTTACATGTAAAAGACTTTTTTATTTTTTTCTGAATATTTTCTTTTTTTTCTTTTTTTTTTTTTTTTTTTTTTTTTTTTGAGACAGAGTCTCGCTTTGCCACCCAGGCTGGAGTGCAGTGGCGCGATCTCAGCTCACTGCAAGCTCCGCCTCCCGGGTTCACGCCATTCTCCTACCTCAGCCTCCCGAGTAGCTGAGTAGCTGGGACTACAGGCGCCCACCACCGCACCCGGCTAATTTTTTGTATTTTTGGTAGAGACGGGGTTTCATCGTGTTAGCCAGGATGGTCTGGATCTCCTGACCTCGTGATCCGCCCGCCTCGGCCTGCCAAAGTGCTGGGATTACAGGCGTGAGCCACCGCACCCGGCCTATGTAAAAGCCTTTTATAGTTTAGAGCGCACTTTCAGACCTATTATCTTATTTGATTCCCGTGGCAACTTAATAAGGTAGAAAGAGAGTAAGCATCATCATCTACATTTTACAGGTAAGGAAATAGGCTTGGATAGGTGAAATGATTTGACCAAGTTAACACAGTTTGTATGCGGCAGAGTAGAAATCAGAAACCACTTCCCTCCAGATTCTCATGCCCTACTTTTCTCCTGCAGTTATATTATCAAGTCATCTAACAGTAAAAAAGTTATTTTTCAAGTGTATGGCTTTATTGCTTGCTCTGTGGTAAGAAGAATGTAGACTATTTCCTATGCATTTTTCTAGTATTGTAGAGACATAAGGATCTGTGAGAGCCTTTATCTATTCCATCCTCCAGCATCAAAGCGGGATTTCACATAAATCATATAGGGCAGACCAGGCATCTATTTGAAGATAAGATATTTTTCAAAATTCCAAGAAATGTGGCTTTAGCCAACCTCATCCACGATGTATTTTAAATATTAACCAGATTGGCAAGTCTTTTGTGTTTTACCTGTCCTTCATGGAATTAATAGGAAACTAAGATTTCTTTTATTAATTTAGAATAATTCTACTATTCTAAAAGTGATGATTATGTTTAGTATCACTATGTACTTTATTTAAAATATCAAAAATAATTTAGTGGCTTAAATACCTCTAAAAGGCCCTGATTAACATAATCCTGTTAGTGAAACTCATCTCCCAGACTACCATGATTGGTTTAACAACAGGCACATAATCCAGTTTGGGCTAATGGGTCAACAGGAGATGGTGTCTAGAGATTCTGGAAAAGGAGACACATTTTCACTTCCTGATGGATATGAATGAAAAGGCATATTGCCTCAGGAGATGTTCAAAGCCATTTCAAGTCGGCCAGCTTTGGGCTAAAGTCAATATTGGAAGTTAGGGGGATAAACAAAATGAAATAGGTGTTTGGTGAAATGGTTGATCCACTGTATACACTTTGTTTAGTACATTCTACTTATTCCCTTTTAACTTACTTGAGCCAATAAATGCCTTTAACTTTTTAGCCATTTTGATACTAAGTTCCAGGTATGCAGTGCCTGCCATTTGTGTGTGTGTATATGTGGGTGTATTTAGCAAGCAGTGAGTTCTGGCCCTTTCATGAAGCAGAGAAGAGAATGAGGCCTCTTCTCCGGCCACAGAGACCACTGACATGTGGCAATGCCAAGCAATATATCCTGTGACCTGCCTAGAAAGAGATAGACAGTGATACACTGGCAGGACCCAAGGGGAAATGGGACTGTTGCCCACCTTTCTAAGGGGTAGTCTCCCTTCACTTGCCCCACAGTCCTGTAACATAAAACACACAGAAAACCCCAGCTGTGATCCCAAGACCTTTAGGAGCTGGTAGACTAGGCTACCAAAACCTGACCTAAAGCCAGAAAAACCTCTGCTGCACATACTCATCAGCCATTGTTGCCTACAGAAGAGATGTGCCTGCAAGTTGAATATTCCTTTACAGCAATGGGAAGGCCACTATCATCCAGAGACAACCTCTCCCTGGCAATGCTACTCACCCGAATATCTGCTGACTCTAGCTCCAGCCACACTCCAGTCCTTAACCACAAGAAGGGAAATTATGATGCTCAGAGTGACCAGCTGACTGGTCCTGAGTCAGAGCTTTAGGATCATAGTCTCAGAGGCTACAGACAGTTATAAAAAACAAATCTGGGCAATTTAGCTAGCTTCTTACCCTATTCTAAGCCCCTTTCTTCTTTCCTTATGTATCAGTAACCCAAGAAACTTCTGTCATCAAGTTGGGCGTGGCAAGAAATGTGCTTTTCATTATCTGTTGCCCACATTTACTCTTGTTTCCAGGTCTTTATTAGTCAGACTCCTATGACCCATGTTCAGGAAAACCCAGGCTTTGCCTTGATCCTAGCTAGCTGCTGCCAGTATTATTTACCTTGCCTGATGAGTCCTGCACTCTTACTGTCCTGATGCCAACTTATGGAAGTTCTGTTCAGCAATAAATCTGAAGAGTTGGCCCCATACTGCAAATATGATTATACAAATAATACGGAATCTCAGTTTTATGTTCTCATCTCTCTCCAAACCCAAGGTCAGGTGTTCCAACCAGTATATGGACACCAACTGAAGGCAGGAGTTCATCAAGCTTTGCATTTACCCCAAAGGGATCACAGTGTGTTTCCTAAAGAGTGGGTTGTTCTGCTTTTGCCATGAAAACCCCAGTTATTAATGTGAACATTATCTGTCTGAGCATTTCACCAGCTTCTGATGACCCACCAGCTCTAAGGGGATATATAATGTCTACAAAATGAGACACCAAGGGCACCTACAAATTCATCTGTATCTAGTGATGAATAAAAGGTGACCTTTCTAGTTTACCAACATACAGCTCTCACTGAACATCTCATCTAATCACTCAACCCAAGGAGACATGGCCTAATTTGATGAAATGCCAACATGCTATGTCTAGCTGGTATCCCGTGAGCCAGAGCCTTTATGAACTACCTGAGGCCACCACCTCTAGGTTAACTCTAAGATATGGGTACAGTCATATATCACATAATGGCATTCAGTCAATGGCAGAGCACATATAGGACAGTGATCCCATAACATAATAACGGAGCTGAAAATTTTCTATTGCCTGGTGATGGAATGTCATAGCACAATGTATTTCCTCTTCTATGTTTGAATATGTATAGATACACAAGTACCATTGTGTTACTATTGTCTAGAGTATGCTGTACAGGTTTGTAGCCTAAGAGCAACTGGCCTGGGGGCAATAGGCTATACCATTAGCCTAGTTGTATAGCAGGCTATACCATCTACGTTTGTGTACACTACATATAGGGTATATCACAAGTACACTACATCTATGATGGGCACACAATAATGAAATCCCCTAGCCATGCATTTCTCAGAATATATCTCCATCTTTTAGTGACACATGACTGGATTTGAAAATCCTGAGGTGGAGACCTGGAACAGAATCTGCCCACCAAAAAGTCTGGGGAGGGGGTTTTGCCTAAGGTATCATCAGCTTTAGTGAAAGTGACCTCAGGGCAATAAAAAAACATCCCATCACTGCAGAGTTCACAGGTCACTGTCTTCCATCCACTTATTCTCCATTGTTTTGTACATTTTTCTCCAATAATTTTATGTTTGCTGGTTTGGATCATAAACCATTGCTACATCCTAGGGGAGAAAGATCATATTTGTTTTTATCCCTCCAAATCCCATGTTGCTTCTTAGTTTCTCCCGTTGTAGGCTATTAGACGCAGAAGGTGAGATTGTCCTGGAATTCCAGGGGAGAGGGAGAGGTCATTTTTTTTTTTTTTTAGCACTTTTCCATTTCACAAGTATCAAGTACTCCAAAAGAATAAATAAAGGCCCTGTTTTGGAAACCAAAATATGAGAGGGACTTCATCTACTTCATCTTCACATACCTGCCCAGCCACCCTTGTTTAACAAAGATTTTCTGCTTTCATGGACTGTCATGCTACAGAATATTCAACTGCAGCTCCTAGAATGTTTCCAACCTTATATTAGGTTGGTGCAAAAGTAATTGTGGTTTTTGCCATTAAAAGTAATGGCATTAAAAAAAAAACTGGTTAAAATTCTCCAAGTTTTGATATACCTGTATATTGCTCACCATCCTCTAACAATTAACTAATTAACCAGAGAACTGAAGAATAACTCCATTTCCACATTCCCACAGACAGCAAACCTGGGCCACATCCTTGGTTTATATAACTTACTACACTTCTCAAACCACAACATTCCCTGTAACAGCAACTATGGCTTACAGCCATATGACCTTCTCTGTCTTATATTACATACAATAAGAAAAAACATGTCCTTAGAATGACCTCTAGGAAACTCATGGGTAAGCTGAGGAATAAAATTATCCTTTAACAGAAGTTTCTGAGTGGGAGGTTTCATGAAAGATAGTCTGGCTTTCCTCTAAGCCCATACATAGCCTTGAGCCTCAAAAGAAGCAGGAGAAGGATATGCGTAGTTTTCCATCAATGCTTTTGGTCTTCCAAGTACAGTATTCTTTTTCCCCCAAAACATTCCCTCATAATCTGCTCACCAAGAAAACTGAATTACTAAGGAAAGGAAGTGCTAGATTCATGCAGATTTCATGACCAGCTTTAATACTTGGTCCGTTAGAAAGAGCATAGCCCAGAGAGCTAGACTTAGAAATTTGACTTGCATTTTCACATACTTTATCAGGTCTTATTCTGAGTAAACCAGGGAAACCCCAGCCCACTGATACTTGAAAGCTAGCTCGGTACCTTTAATAATGACACTATTTTGCCTCTTATTTGCCCTAAACATGTTCTATCTTATTTCTATAATATATGAAAGACAGTCACAACTGTTATTCAGTGTGTTCCCTAAAATTGAAAACCTAGTTGCAGTCTAATTTTTAAGTGTTTTCACCAGGGTTATGTATTTCATAACTGATGGTGCCCAGTTGGAAAGGTAGCTTTCTCTTTAGGGAAAGCTTCTCGATTTGGGGCTTGAATCAACTTACTGCATACCAGTTCATAAGATCCATGGCTACTTCTCCAGTAGAAACGACATGGACGCTCAGAGGAGCAGAATACATATCAAATGTGGATACATTTATGATTTAAGGCATTGGCAATGAAAGATATATAAATAATTGTATTATTATACATTTATTTTGAATGAGTCATAAATTCTCTTCCTCACTTTGAGCCCAGAGCAGCCTGGTACTAACCAATAAGTAAGTAAGTAAATAAGTAAATAAATAAATCAGAGACTCTTCTTTCCCTTCTTCCTAGAAGTTTCTAGCAAATAACATACTTGCTGATGTTTTGGAGAGCTCAGTTATTAGGAAGAATTCTTAGGAGGAGATGTGGGCTATAATACCAAAATATTTATTGATAGTTTCCATAATATTTCCACAAGAAATAATATCACATGTTCAAAAATAAAACTGGAATGTCCTGCTATTTTAGTTGACCAGACTCAAATCGTTATGGGACATTTACTGTATGGCATTTTTTATGCCGCAGAAAGAAGGACCATACTGTTTCTACTCTGAAGAGAATTTCAAATCTGATCAGGAAAATAGTAAATTTCTACAAGATAGAATACGGCAAATGTTTAAAAAGAGGGAGTCACATCCATTTGGAAATCAACATAGAAGGTGTTAGGCTTTATGGAGATGGAGATTTCAAATCAAGACTTGAGAAATTAGGTAAGAATTCCAAAATAAGTGCTCTGGGAGGATTTAAATAAATCAGTGAGGAGTAAGTACATTCATTCATTCATTAATTTATTAACAACTGAACTAATACATTCCTGAATGAGAGGATAATACACTGTTGTTCAATATGTGCTGTTTAGTTTCTAAGGATGTTGCCCTCAATAAGAACACTTGGTATTAACCTCTGACAAAGTACCACTATAACTCTGAAGCCATGTATTAGTGGTTTAAATTAAGAAACAGCTGTGATATTAAAATTAAGACACTTTTGAATAAAGCAACAAGCCATATCATAGACTTCCCAGAAACAGAGGGCATTTCACATATTTCAGTGAATACAGGAGTAGAATTCTATATATTTATTAATTTGATATGCATTCAATAGATATCGACTGTTTACTTAATATTGTACTAATTACTATGAAGATATAAAATAAAGTATGGAAATAGTTACTTCCCGATGGGTTGCCCAATATTTAATAGGTGAAATAAGGCACGTGAAAATACAATAGGAGAACATTTCTGGACAAAATAGGACAAACTGAGAAATGCAAAGGCTACCTATGGTTTTGCTCTCCCAGGGGTCTCGAAGTATATCATAATTATCTGGCAGAGTATTATTCTATAAACCAAGAGTACCTGAGACGGGTCTCAATTAATTTAGAATGTTTATTTTACCAAGGTTAAGAACGTGCCTGTGACACAGTCTCAGGAGGTCCTGATGACATGTGCCCAAGGTGGTCAGGACACAACTTGGTTTTATACACTTTAGGGAGACATGAGACATCAATCAATATATGTAAGGTGTACATTGATTCAGTCCAGAAAGGTGGGACAACTTGAAGAGGGGAGGGGGCTTCCAGGTCACAGGTAGATAAAAGACAAACAGTTGCATTCTTCTGAGTTTCTGATTCTTTCACTGAATACACGATTTACAGGAATAGCCACTTATGCCTTCGTCTGGCTTAGTGAAACAATAGGGCAAAGGAAGCAATCAGACAGGCATTTGTCATGTGAGCAAAGGGATGACTTTGAGTTCCATCTGTTCTTTATCCACAGGAATTTCATTTTGGTCAAATTACAAAGAAAGTATGTAGCTTTTTTATTCTGGTAGCTATCTTTTTTTTTTTTTTTTTTTTCTGAGACAGAGTCTCACTCTGTTGCCAGGCTGGAATGCAGTGGCGCAATCTTGGCTCAGTGCAACCTCCGCCTCCTGGGTTCAAGCGATTCTCCTGCCTCAGCCTCCCGAGTGGCTGGGACTACAAGCGCGTGCCACCACACCCAGCTAATTTTTGCATTTTTAGTAGACAGGGTTTCACCATGTTGGCCAGGATGGTCTCGATCTCTTGACCTCGAATCTACCCACCTCAGCCTCCCAAAGTGCTAGGATTATAGGCATGAGCCACTGTGCCCAGCTATCTTTTCTAGGAATAGAATGGGAAGCAGATTTGCCCTAAGCAGTTCCCAGCTTGACTATTCCCTTTGGCTTAGTGATTTGGGGGTCCTGAGAATTATTTTCCTTTCATAATTCTTATAAGCATTTTACATGTGGATGCAAAGACACTAAGTGATCCACATAAAACCATGTGAGTTGAGTTTTCTCTATGGTATATTGCTGGCAATATCAGTAGGCCCAGAGTTCGAAGGCCTCAAGATTATAAGTACTTGGTAGAATATCATTATTACTAATTTATTTATTTATTATGAGCCTATACAAAGTTTAGGTTAAAGTGAAGGAGATGTTCTATAAAGAGACTGAAGATACAGAGGAATCTGTGCTTCATTTGATAGGATACAGTGCAAAATTTGGGGTGGTAGAAGAAGAAGAAAAGCTGAAAAGTATATTAGAAACTTCAGGTGCCCAGACACAAATGCTGGAGAATAATAGCTGTGGGTGTGTGTGGGTTACAGAGGATCTGGGCAGCCCCGCTGCATCTCTTGGCCACAGAGAACAGTCAAGTCTTTCTGTATCCCCCAAGATGGGTTCATAAATCAACTAAAAAGAAAAGAATTATCCCAAAGTTTATTACAAAGATATGCCAGAAGAGAAAGCAGAAAAGGTGGTAAACTCAGAGACCATATGGAAACATGGGGGTCTGGCCACTTGGTGAACATCAGCGTGGAGTGATGACGGTGCCTGAAGACCTGCTCCAACATGGACAGACACCAGCAAATGGCCAATGAACTTTCCAGATGATACCAGGAAACTATAGAGATCCCTTGGATTTTTGATGTCACTATGAGGTGAGAAGTAAAGAACAGCAAATCATGATCAACTAAGTTTAAATTTGAAATGGCTGAGCTAACATGAAGTAACTGTGATCATCTAGAATTAACTAGGAAATTCTCCGTCATACATACAGTATAGAAAACCTGACATAGAAGCTATGTTCCATATAGAAAAATAAAGCTATGCTTTATGGCTACCTGATATTGTGGACTGAAAATATCACAGCTGCTATAGATTATAGAGTGCTATGGGAAGTTTGTTGTTGTTGTTGTTTTGAGACGGAGTTTCGCTCTATCGCCCAGGCTGGAGTGCAATGGCGCTATCTCTGCTCACCGCAACCTCTGCCTCCCGGGTTCAAGTGATTTTCCTGCCTCAGCCTCCCCCATAGCTGGGATTACAGGCATGTGCCACCACGCCTGGCTAATTTTTTTGTATTTTTAGTAGAGACAGGGTTTCTCCATGTTGGTCAGGCTGGTCTCAAACTCCCTACCTCAGGTGATCCACCCGCCTCGGCCTCCCAAAGTGCTGGGATTACAGGCATGAGTCACCACTCCCAGCCAGGAAGCATTTAAGCAGAAGAATATCATAAACAGATCTGTGGACCATGAGGATGTGTATGGGAGGCAGAGAGGAAATAGACGGCAGAAGCAAGCAAGATGGCAGCCTATGCTGGCCTAGCTCAGTGCTCCTCAAATTTTAATGGACAGATGAATCATGTGTGGGCCTTGTTAAAAGGCGAAGTCTGATTTGTCCTGAGGGTGAGAGAGTCATTGAAATTCTAGCCAACACCGAAGTGAGGCTTATGCTCTAGTCCATGGAGCATGTTTTAAGTAGCAAGGGTCTAGGTGGCAGGTGACTTAGCCTGAACTTGGCAGTAACAATGGAAAAGGAGGGAAGACACAGCTGAAAAGCATCAGGAAGCAAAAATGACAAGACTTAGTGACTGCTTGGAATAAGAGAAAATATTCACGATGACACCAAGATTTTTAGGCTTGGACAACTAAGAGTATCATGGTGCTGTTAACTGAGTCCTCAGAAATAAAGATTATGCAGAAATACCACAAAAGCCCTTACACATATTGATTTCTACCAGGTTGGAGAAAAACACCCCTACTGTGTAAGGTTGCCTTTTTCTTTTCTCTCTCTCTCTTTGCCCACTCAAGCAGAGTTCTTGGTAGACAATTGACTGCCTATTTTTCAGCCCTTTGGTATTCCTGCTTAGCATACAGGCCCCCTCACCACAGGAAGAAATTTGAGATTGGGATCCATTCCTCCTTGCATAGGAGGTTTTGGCTGCTTTGTTTTCATTGCACATTGTTAATGATTTGTCCCTGAACAAACTGAAAATATGCCATTAGAGAGATTAACAGATATGGAACTCCAAAGAACCTAAAAGTACTTCAGTGCAGCTTGAGAATTATAGTGAGTTGTTCCCAAAGTAAAAAGAAAACTATGTCAAACAGGTGTTTTAAGATTCCCCAAGTTAATAGTCCAGAGAGGGCCCTGGGACCCAGCAACAGTCTTCACTTGCTGTGTGAATTTGGCTCCCAGTCAGAGAGAGAGAGAGTGATAAAGAGATCAGGAGAGGCCTCTGCTTCTGCTGATGCCCCAGAGTCATCATTACAGGTGAAGCAGCAAGTCAAGAATGGTCCATGCAGTTGCCAAAAACCATTTATGGAGATGAACTATGGGAAATGGCCATGCAATTTCATTTCTCATTTCAGATTCTTATTGAAGTGAGACCAGATTAGACTCAAGCCCCTGTCTGTACTGCCTGTGTGTGTGTTGGGGGAGGGAGGTGTGATGGGAGAAGGAAGGGGGAATGCCTGGTATTGTGCTTCTGTGAACTGGTTTCCTTAATGCATGAAGGTAACACTTAGAACAGTTCATAGCTTCCCCAGGAAACCATTCTAAGTGGGCCACGTGCCCAGTGGTTTCTATCCCAGTTAAGTAAATAAATGAAATATGCTAATTAGCACCCTATTAGCTCACAGCAGGGAGTAATCCATGGCATTTTGATTGGAAAGAATTCTGTCATCCAAAAGGCTGGTCTGTAACAGAAGGCAAACTGGCCCAATTTCCTCCCTCCCTTCCTCATGGCAGTTGTCCAAATGTCTCAGAAGCAGACCTCACAACTGTGTGCAATTCTGAGGGTGTCACTTCACTCCATGAAAGCATCTCCTGGCCTCCACTGAATCTGGCACCATGCTGCACTCTAAGCATGGATTTATACAATTTAGAAATATGGACCTGAGCTCAAAAACACTGAGCAGGTTGGGGAGGATCTTTGACGGGGGAGAGGCAGTTCTTATTTCTTTCATTATGAGAATATCCCTACTTTTATTCTCTTGCCCTCCCAGACTCCAATCTGGAACGTATTTCTTTAACTCAGGTATGCAGGCATGCTGCCATGGAGTGGTTCAGTTGAAGCAGTCTTCTTATTAAATGGTAGAGCTTTGGGGTTTTAGTTGGGGAAAGGCCAGCTCATTTAGGTTCACCTCTTTCTATTTTTATTGTTTCAGCTGCAGGGAAATCCTATTTAGCTCCTGTTTCCCTAGTACTATTTCAATGCTAGATTTACATCTTGCCTCTCCTGTAGTACTTCGCAGAAGGAAGGGATTGGGGGGCAGTACAGATACTGAAGAAAAAAGCTCAAGACAAGAACAGCATGTTTTCCAATCTGCTCTTTTAAAACATCTACTTTCTAAGAGCTTTGGGGTTTTAAAGGAATTAGACATTATGACACATCTGTCAGGTTGCCACAGAATTTGTCAAAAATCCCTGTAAGAGTGGGACTTATACAATGAAGCTTAGTTATATCGTGGATAGGCTTGTAACACATTTTCTGTTCTTTATACCTAAAGTTACAGGGATCACCTGTGTATTTGCTGGTGGCTGTCTAATAAAAGATGTGGGTGTGGAGGAAATAGATTTTTAATCATCTGAATGTTATAGAGGTAAGTTTCCAATGAGTTTTCTTTCTCATGTTTGGTTTTCCCTTCGCATGATGACCTACTAAAACCAAATAGATTTTGAATGCCTATGGCAATGCCTCGTGAAAGCACTGGTTCTCTGCATGCTCACTTGTTCCCTTTCCAGTAAAAAATCAATTAATATTAAAGTTAAAATATATCAATAGAACGTATTGGTTGTAAGTACATCACTTTTTCTTGCATCCTAGTTTTGCCTTTTTTTTTTTTTTTTTTTAGTTTCTTCTTAGGTATGAAGAGAATCTATTATCTTGATTAGATATAAATTCAAAACAAATGTTGAATACCGGCTGTTGTATTCTCAACATTTTAGAATTCAACTTTAAATGAAATCTTCAAAAAAGCAAGTCCAAGAAAAACCTCATAGTAATATTTGTGTCTCATTCACTACCATCACCAAATGATATTGATTGCAGTACCTGAAGAAATCATTAGGCACCATATGACACTGATGTCTATTTAGAGTGTTTTTTATTCTGTATTGGAAAATAAAGCACATTACCTAAATGATTCAAATGGCAAGAAAAAAATTTATCCCTAAAAGCCATCTGTGAATTAGCATATGGGCTTCTGGAACCCAACATCTTGATTCTATATGTGAGTCAGGAGGAAAAAAAACAACAAAAAAAGAATGAAAGGAAGAAAATGGGATCCTGTCTCTAAATATAAAACAAGAAATGCTTTTATTCAATCAAGGAGATTTCAAAGAAAGTATTTATGAGAATGAAGTAGTCAGCTGGACCTCACAGAGGCTTCACCCAGGGCTGATCCCAAGAACAGTCACAAAACTTTAAGTTAGCCAAGACCCAGACTCTGCTGATGGAAAAATATGTTCCTGCATCCTTGCTCTGTAAATCCAGGCATGTTCTATATGCAATCTAGGCTTTTTAGTTTTGGCAGATCTACCTACCTTGAACTGGAAAACAGTTCAGTGAAGCATGAAAGAAAGAAAGAAAGAAAGAAAGAAAGAAAGAAAGAAAGAAAGAAAGAAAGAAAGAAAGAAAGAAAGAATATGAATCAAAGGCAAGAAACCTAGCTGTAGTGGCAGCCACTGCCATTACTAGGTAAGTGTTAGTGAGTCTTAAAAGACTCCTGCCTTTGTCCCTTCAGCCCAGCTCCCAGTCAAGTTGGCAAAGTATAACTTTGCTGCTTAGGAAAAGGCATCATGTCCCTCTTGCATTTATCAGATACTGTATATCTGCCTTGAATATATAAACTAATACAAACCAAAAAAGTCAGGTGGACAGAGGAATGAGGCCTAAATGCTTTTACGTACTTTGAGTTGCTGGGGAATGTTTTTCCTGTATATTCACATGTTCCAAATATCTGTCTTACTTTGAGCCTGGATTTCTGAAGTAAACACGTACAACCTAGCAGTGGGAACAAAAGACAGAAATAACTCTCTGTTGACACTTTTAATTAGATGTGGTTGCAGGGCCACTCAAGATGACAATTAGCCCCACTGCAACTACTATTGACGGATTACAAGCAAACACTGCCTGCTACCTGGTAATTCTACCTGTTAATTACTTGGAAAGATTCAGTTACTCAACAACTGACCTGAATGTTTTTGTGAATTGGAGGACCTGTTAGAGAGGGGTGGGGGACAACTTTAAAAAAAACCACATAGTGAAGTTGACAGTCAGGAACTGCTGAAATTTTATCAAAAATATTCTCGCAGCATAATGAAGCTTTCCAGGGAGTCAATCTCCCCAGACATTTGCCTTTGCCAACAGTTACAACAATGAGGAAAACTTTAATAGTGTTGTGGCAATTATTATTTTAATGCTGACTATGAAAACACGCACTGAGCTGTTTGCAGTCTCTGCCAAGTGGCAAGTGCACAGTGAATTTCAGCTAAGAGAAGACTTTGGACTTCAGCCCTAAAGTGATACTTAGAAGGGGCATGTGTGTCTTTCTGGATGGAAGAGAGAAGACAAGGAAGTCTGGGGCTGGGAGAAGCAGGGAAGCAAGGAAGATACCAAGAAACAGATGAGGAAACACTTAGACGAGCCCACGCTTTTGCTTGATTTTCTCCTACTTCTTCTCAGTCATCCCAGTGGGATAGCATCAAGTGAAGTCCCGGGGCCTCTCCAGTGATAATAGCAGACATCAGTGCCAGTGCGGGCTCTGGCTGGGAAACAACTGACCGCTGAGGAATGCCTGTCGATGGAGGAGCAGCATTAGAGGGAGGTATCTAGCTGAGGGATTCAGATGGTGAACCAATTGCCAGAGGTCACACAAGTCACTGCTCAAGGTCAGAGTAATTAGTTTGCTCATTCAGTTGTCATTTGCTGAGTGTCCATTATGTGCTACATGCTGAAGATGCATGGCTTCCATAGGTGATTCAACCACAATCAAAGCTGCAATGGGATTCATTCACAGGAAGGAGAAAAAAAGCACAGTTTCTTGTCTCCATGAAGCTCACAGTCCTATAAATAATAACAGTCTTTTATTCTTACTTTGTACTTGGACAAAAGCTACTTTGTTATATCCCCATTACACCCCATATAAGGTAAGACTTATTATCCTATACATTTATGGATGAGGAAAATAAGCCTTGACCTTGCTGAAACTCATACAGCTAGTAAGCAGCAGCACCAAAACTTAAGCTTAAGTTTCTTGATCCCCAGCTATCTAAAACCATGGTCCCTAATACCTGGGCTTTAGCTCACTTACGAGTTTTGATGCAGCACAACTCAACTGAAGTCAGTGCCTGAGATCTCTGAGCCTCTATTTAAGAGCTATTTCCACTCAGACTACATGCAGACCTGCTACAACAAAGGTTCGTGAAGAGACACATAATATAAATACACTTAAAGCTGCAAAGTCATTCATTAACAGAAGTGTAGATTGGGTAGTTGACAATCTGAACTACAGAATTTTTTAAAGCATAGTCTTACCACTTTCAAGAGCACTTTTGAGCTAGTTTCAATGTTTACATATTGAGATTATCTGATGAAATTGTATTTTGCCCAATATGTTTATCATGGAATTATTTATAATGGCAAAAAATTTCAAGATAACCTAACTTATTAATATTAGAGAAATGATGAGGAAAACATGGTGCCTCTCTAGAGATAGTATTATGTAGTCATTAAAAGTAATTATCAATAGTTATATGGCCAGATACAGTGGCTCATGCCTATAATCCCAAGACTTTGGTGGGAGGCCAAGGCAGGAGGATCACTTTAGGCCAGTCGAAGACCAGCCCGGAAAATATAACAAGACCCTGTCTCTAAAAAAATATATATATATAATTAACCTGGCATGGTGGCATGCACCTGTAGTCCTAGCTATATGGGAAGCTGAGATGGGGGTATTGCTTGAGCCCAGGATTTGAAGGCTGCAGTGAGCTATGATGGCACCACTGCACTCCAGCCTGGATGACAGAGTGAGACCCTGTCTTCAAGAAAAAAAACTTTTTTAAGTTATGCAGTATAGAAATCGCTCACTCCTCTAGACTGCTTACTATGCACCAGATACTCTTCTAAACATTTTATAAACTCATTAATCCTCACAATAACCCAATGTACTATTATCATTTCCAGTTTAAATAGAAAAATTAAGCACAAAGAAAATGACAGACCAAAAATCACACAGAAAGAGAAGAGGCAGGGTTCAAACCCAAGTAAGCTAACTGCATGATTTGCATTTTCAGTCATTCCACTATATCCACTATACTGCATCTCCACCATTCAGTGAAAAACATAGGAGACAAGTTTATGTACATTTTGATTGGACCTATCAAGCACAAGCATCTCTACAGCAGAGGGCTAAAATGGAAGTAAATAAACAGAAGAGTATTAATGCTGGTTATATTAGCTTCTTGTTGCTGGGTGACTAAGTTATCCCCAACACTCGGCGATTTGAAACAACAAGCATTTATTATCTCACTGTTTCTCCATGCTAAGAATTTGGGAGTAGCTTAGCTGGGTAGTTCTGGCTCAAGGTCTTCCATGAAGATTGCAGTCAAGCTATTGGGTAGGGCTGCAGTCATGTGAGAGCTGGACTGGGGCTCTTGGATCTGCTTCTAAGAAGGCTCATGCATATGGCTGGTGGCAGTGGGGGCTCAGTTTCTTGTTGTCTATTGCCAGGAAGCACAATTCCTTGCTAAATGGGCCCCTACATAGGCTTCTTAGGTGTCCTCACAAAGTGGCAGCTGGCTTCCTCCAGAGTGAGTGAACCAAGAACAAGGAGGAAGCCACAGTGTTTGCTGTGACCCAGGCTAGAAAGTCATACATTCTCACTTCTACCACATTCTATTTGTTGGGATCAAGTCACTAAGTACAGCTCTTACTCAAAGGGAGGAGAATTAGCTTTCTTCTTTGGAAAGAAAGATTATCAAGTAATTTATGGATGTTTTTAAATCACCATAGTAGCTGGGGGATGTGGCTCATGCCTGTAATCCCAGCAATTTGGAAGGCCAAGGTGGGAAGATTGCTTGAGGTCAGGAGTTCAAAACCAGTCTGGGCAACATAGCAAGACCTCATCTCTGAAAGATGAGCCAAGCATGGTGTTGCATGCCTGTAGTCCCAGCTACTTGGGAGGCTGAGGTGGGAGGATTTGTTGAGCACAGGAGGTTGAGGCTGCAGTGAGCCATGATCACACCACTGCACTCCAGCCTGGGTGACAGAGTGAGACCCTGTCTCTGCAAAAAATTTTTTTTAATTTTTAAATTGTTTCAACTACCCTGATATAAAAATAAAAACAAAACTTAAAAAAAAAAGTTTTTTAAACTACCAGAGTAATCATATTAAGATTATGAGAGTGTAGGTAATTTTTTCTTTATTAGTTAAATTTCTGTATTTTTATGACTAAAAACTTGAATAAACAAACTTGTATTTAATATTTAAATAGTTATAAACATGTCTGCAATTACATTCAATGCACTCAGCAATACATACATACATACATACACACATACAATTTCTCCAAAGCTCAAATTCAACTCTATCAAATATTCCTCTGGTCTTTATCACATCTTCTGAAAATGACAGTTCATCCTCAAATGTCTAAGAGGAAGGAATATTTTAAAAAGCAAGCCTAAAAAGTACACGCCTCTCTTCTGCTCCCCCAAGTATTCTGATGTCTGCCTATCAGCGCAGGCAGACCTCCTCATAAGCCTAGATGCCCTTAGAATTGTGTAAAGTTGCACAAAAACCCCGTGCCTCTAGCTTTTTCAAGGACACTGCCTATTATGTCTCTCAATGTCTTCTATAGGATGCACTGCCATGAAAAACTTGCTCCCTTACAGAATTGATGTGCGTGTTCATCCCCGAGTTAAAAAGCTTCCTGAATTTCCTTTCTTTGTCCTTGCTGCAAGGAAGCTCACAGTAATATACTGCCTTTTGCAGTGAATACAGGCCTTTTTTGTTTTTCACATGATCCTGTTTTTACAATATTGTAACCTTATTTTACATAAGTCCTTTACTCAAAAAGTCCTTTTTGGAAAGAAACAGGTAGGAACAATAGATACTGTTTTAGTGCTTATCATGTGCTAAACACTAGCAATTTGGTTCCCCAGTGAAAAAAGAATTTTTATTTTCTTTTTAAGCATTTGGAGTGCCATTTGGGAGTGGTTGAGAGTTTTCAGTTTCTCTAGATGGAGACCTTTGGGACATAATTTTGGGAGCAGGGAGTTGATATTATTATCAGGAAAGTTTACTATTACTACTGTAAAGCTAAAAGCTAGTTCCTATCCATAGTTGTCTAGAGGGAAAAAAAAACCTGTGAAGTCACTCCAAGTCCTAATGATGATGCTATAGATCAAGATATTGTTGTATTTGTTACAATATAAACTAAAGCTAGCTTTAACTATGCTATATCCTTGCTTATGTAAAGAAATTTTTTTTGAAAATACAGATTTAGACAGAAATTTGGCGCCCACATACAGAATTAGTTAAGTTGCAGAAAACCTACATTTTGAGCAATGTACTCTCAACTTTCATGATTGTCTTGTCAGGACAATAGAGTTCAGACTGTACCTCTGGGTGGGTTAGGAGCATCCCCTGAAGAAAATAAGTTTCCACTGTCAGTCATGCTCAGACAGGAAACACCATGGCCTTGGACAGCGGCAAGGGAGGATCCCCACCAATCTCACATGCTGTGGACTGAGAAACTCGGGGTATCTGACAAGGGGAAGCACTGTGGGAGCCAGAGATTCCCATGAGAAGTGGGACCTCCGCTGCTTGGCAGCCCATAGAGAGCAAAGCAAGGACTTTCAAATGGGGATCAGAGCCTATAAACCCTAAAAGGAATCACTGTTGACAGTCGTATATATAATCATTTTTGCTTGTTCACTGAACACTTTGAGGACTTTCTCTCAGTTAAGTAGTATGATTTTCATATACACCTCTAACCTGTTTGATACCTGCCACAGCACTGACACATTATATTTCTATTTTTCTCTAAAATATTTTTCTCAAAATAAAAAAAAAATTAAGAAGGTAAGTATTTCTATATGGCCATCCCATATAGTCTATACACTCCCACTTGGATAAATACAGGAGAGCTGGCAGGGCAGACCAGACCACTGACTTGTGGCTAATGAGCATCAGAGTCAGATGCTGGAAACACTCTGAAAGAGCTGAGTGCGTTCTGTAGTCTTCACCCCTCTGTGCATTCTCTTTCTGCCATTTATTTCTGGCAAATAGTTTTAATGCATAATGGCTGACAAGGGTAAACAAATGAAGTGTTCAACTTGCCACAAAGAATGAGAATTATGCTAACTCTTCAAATGCAAGTTTTCTGGCTGTTCAAGGATACAATAAAGCAAGCCAAGGGTAAAGATCAGCAGTCACTTAGGTATTGGTTGGTCTTTCATAAATATCACTTCATAAATATCACTGCAGAGTGGAAGGATAAACCAATATTCTTGTAAGTGGGATCTACAAGAAACCATGGCCAGAGGTATATCATTGTCTGTCTGCCCTCAAATCCTTTAGAGTGCTAATTTGTAGGAATACAGCCACTCTGTACTAAATGGACTACATGTGTATCATTTCATTTAATACTCATAACAACCCTATCATGTTGCAGATTGGGAAACCAGAAGCCCAGAAAGTTTAGGGGAAAATGCTGCCCATAGTCTCATAGCTAAGAAATTATCACAGAGCCAGTGTTTGACCCAGACAATCTGACTCTAGAGCCAATGTGCTTAACCATTATGCAATATTGCCTTCAGCTCTCTGCAGTGTTATTTTCTTATCGTCCTCTGCATTCAATTAAATTTTATTAAATTAGACTCTTAGCTGTTTTGAGTCAGGCGAGGGAGTGGTAATTGTAAGGGAGTACTCTAGGTCCCCGCCTAGAGTAGAGTTGCAAATGAGAAAAGCCTTGTAAGATGAGAAATTGCCAATGGCCCACCCCTAATATCCATTTTCCCCACCTCCTCAATGATAGGAGCACCTATAACCATGTGCCTAGCTAATACATATCTCAGTTTCCTTTGCAGACAGGTGTGGTCATATGATGAAGTTTTGGTCAACAAGATGTATGCAAAAGAATCCTTATGTGCACAAGGGCTCACTCATCTTCAATCCTTCCTCCTTCCTACCATTTAGAACTTGGATAAGATGGCATGAGCTCTAAGGCTATCATGGACCATTAAATGACCTTAATACTGGAAGCCACATACTTAGGATGGTGGAGCAGAAAAACAGAAACCAGGACTCTGATGATAGTATGAAATGGTATCATCGGGTCAACCTTGGAAGTCCTACCTCCTTTTACATGAGCAAGAAATACACTTGTATTTTGTTTAAGCCAGTGTTGTTTTGGGGTTTTATGTTACATGCAGCCAGGGACTACCTAGGCCTGTTATTCAAGGTTGTATTGGTTTTTTAATCATCCAAAAGCATCTGGCTAAGGAGAGGAGTGAGGGCTGAAATGCAGCCAGCATTCTCTTCAACAAACTGTGGACTCTGACATGGGGCTGAGTCCACTCAGAAAGAGAGGACATCATTTTCTAATTCATTTAAAGGCCTAGTCTGTTCATGAAGTCATGGCCCTATTTGGAAGGATCACCTGTTGGTGATTGACACAAAGGCACTATATGGGCTAGCTGGAGCTTTATTTTAATTCAAGTCCAGAGAAGTGAGCTATACAATAGCAAGAGGTTACACAAGACATTTGGAGCAGCAGAAATTGTTCAGTGGAATAATGACTACCCGGTTAACACGTAGAACTTAAAACTACTTTCTCTGGGCCAGGTATGGTGGCTCATGCCTGTAATCCCAGCACTTTGGGAGGCCGAGGCAGGTAGATCACTTGAGGTCAGGTGTTCGAGACCCCTGCCCAACATGGTGAAACCCCATCCCTACTAAAAATACAAAAATTAGCCAGGTGTGGTGGCACATGCCTGGAATCCCAGCTACTTGGGAGGCTGAGGCAGGAGAATCTCTTGAACCCAGGAGGCAGAAGTTGCAGTGAGCTGAGATGGCGCCACTGCACTCCAGCCTGGGTGACAGAATGAGACGCCATCTTAAAAAACTAAAAAATTAAAAATGAAAAAAAGCTGCTTTCTCTGATGTTCCCCAAAGTAGTTTGGAGACTAGTGGCTATCTACTCAAAGGAAAAGAAGTCATCATATGAAAAAGACATTTGCACATGCGTGTTTATAGCAGCACAATTCGCAATTGCAAATATGTGAAACCAACCTAAATGCCCATCAAGCAACAAGTGGATAAAGAAAATGTGGTATATATACACCATGGAATACTACTCAGCCATATAAAGAATGAAATAATGTCATTCGCAGCATCCGGGATGGAGTTGCAGACCATTATTCTAAGTAACTCAGGAATGGAAAAACCGAATATTGTATGTCCTCACTTACAAGTGGGAGCTAAGCTATGAGGATGCAAAGGCATAAGAATAATATAATAGATTTGGGGGATTTGGGGTAAGGAGGAGAGGGGGGTGAGAGATAAAAGACTACATACTGGGTACAGTGTACACTGCTCAGGTGACAGGTACATCAAAATCTCAGAAATCACCACTAAAAAACTTATCCATGTAACCAAAAATCACCTGTTCCCCCAAAACTACCAAAATAAAATAAACAAACAAAATCTTGGAGAAAGGGGATCCAATAGAAAATTGGACTTTCTATAATCAGTAGGATAAGGGCTTAGAATAATGTAAATATTAATATGAAAAAGTGACTTTTTAAATCATAAACTGTTGTGCATTCCTTATCTCATTTAATCCTCAAAACTACATTATAATTAGGTATTATTGTTTCAGTTCTACAGAAGAGAAAGCAGTCTGAGAGCAAATAAATAAATTGTTCAAGTTCACAGCTAATAAGTGGCAAAGCCAGGATTCTCGCCAGGTCTGACTCCTAAAGTTGAGCGCTGAACCACTACTCTGTATTTCAGTCTAGTGCCTCCTAAGTGATCACATGTCCAAATTAGTGAAATCCTAAACTTGACTGAGCTTATGGAAATTTGAAAACACCCCATAATGGGCCCAGATGATGTGTCAGAGTCCCTTTGTTTAGAAGAAGGAAGTTGCCTTACTTCCCCAGTTATTTCTGTTTTGGAGGAGAGGTGTGCTCCACAGATGTGTGAAGTGGCTGGGATTCCCACTCAGCGTGACACAAGCCCTCCCAGCTTCAAGAAGTCAGACCTAGACCTCTCTGTGGAAAGGGCAAGTCCTCTTTAATGAAATTTCTCCTCTGGAGGTACGGCTTCCCTCTGGTGCTCAACTCAAGTTCATCTTGGGATCACCCTACCCTAAGTTATTTTAAGGCAGTATTAATGTTTTATGACCTATTTCTTAGTTTCCTTTGGAAAAAAAATTACAGCCCAGGCATTCTGCCTCTGACACTGCAAACAGCTGATGTGTGATTTGGAAAAGTATATTTTATTGTGAGTGGGAAGATATGCAAGAAATAGGAAATGATTTCTGTTAGAGTAATATCTGTTTCTTGTTCTCCCTCTTACCCCAGTGCCCACACCCCCATCTCTGCACATACACACCTTGGCCGTGGTAGCAGAGCTCTGCACTGACATTTCCTATATAAGATTTGCCCTAGAGAGACAAAGAGTTGTTTTTGAGCAATTTTTTGCTTCTAAAAGTTGACTCAAGATCGTTTCAGGGATATGCCCTTGGATTCTCTTCTTTTTGGAGGTCTCTGTGGGTCCTCCCCAGCCTCAGATGTGCACGTGTGTGTGCGTGCATGTGTGCAACCATATAAAAGAATATATATTTCTTCTTCCACATAAAAGCTGATGCTTAATAAAAGGAATACTAATAAAATTGCCCTAGCACCCTGGTGAGGTCAGTAATGCCTGCTTTTGCTAAGAAGAAAAATAGAAGAAAAAAAAAAGAGAGAGAAAGAGAAAGAGCCAAGTTATAGAGTGGCCGTGGTGTAAGGGAGGGACAGGAGCTCGTCTCCCACTGCGTGACTCCTGAATCCATCCACTCCTGGTGGAGCTCTATTCCCATCTGACCCCACACACAGCGAACCAGACATAGCCTAGGCCTGTTCCTGAAACCACTTCTCTCACAACATTTAGGAGAGAGTAAAACATTTTCTGTAAAGCAATTGCTGCGACTTGTCCTAAAACTGAAAACAGATAAACAATTTTAAAAAAATGAAAATAGTTTAACAAAACAAATCCTGAAAACTTACCTACTCCACCCAAGGGTCGAGACTTGTAGCTGCTGAGTACAATAGCTGACCACAGTGAAAACGGAGAGGACAATTACACCTTCAAAAGGTGTTTATACAGCAGAAATATGACATCATTTCAAATTGCATATTTGGCGAATTTGTACAAATTTCCACAGACTAATTTTAAAAATATATTCTAAAGAAAATTATTTGTCCCGTGTTAGAAGAAAACACTCTGGGGAGGCAAGGACTGCCTGTCCTAAGTCCCAAATGCTTAGGGCCCTTTTCTATGTTAATAATTGTTCAGTGATAGCTTTATGCTAATGCTAATCACATTATGTCTTTTTTTTTTTTTTAAACAATCTCACTCTGTCACCCAGGCTGGAGTGCAGTGGTGCCATCTTGGCTCACTGCAACCTCCGCCTCCTGAGTTTAAGCAATTCTCAGGCCTCAGCCTCCCAAGTAACTGGGATTACAGGCACACACCACCACGCCATGCTAATTTTTGTATTTTTAGTAGAGACAGGGTTTCACCATGTTGTCCAGGTTGGTATCGAACTCCTGACTTCAAATGATCCATCTACCTCAGCCGCCGAAAGTGCTGGGGTAACAGGCATGAGCTACCACACTCAGCTAACGCTAATCACATTATGTCTTATTTCATTTACTCAGTGCATATCTATAATGTAGGTGCTATCATTATTCCCATTTAAGGGATGAAGTAACTGAGACATAGAAACTTTAAGTAACTCATTCAAGTCCACATCGATTTAAACCAGACCTGTCCAGAACTAGCACTCACGTTTTGAAATCCCAACCATGTGCTCCAGGAGGCTTTGTCTGTATTTGTTTGCCAGGAGATGGTAAGGGGAAGGTAGAGTATCGGGAAATGTGTCAGAGAAAGGACTAAAATTGTAAGAGGGCCTCTTGTGACACCACATTCTGTGTACATCAATAGAGGAGAATATAATTTTCATGGTGCATTTAGTAGTTTAAAAACTGCACATATCCTTTGTAATAACCTTATAATAAACCACTGCACATTTTTCCCACAGACCAAAGTGATAAAATTATAAGCTTATGAATGATCACAAACAACTTGTAGATTCCTACTGAGCAAAGCATCATAATGTTCAATAAATGGAAGCTATTACATTGCTGTTCTTGTTCATATTATGGAGACATAGCATCACAATGTCTTCGAGCAAAAGTGGTTTCACAGCCCTTTTCTTACCAAACTACATAATAACCTCAGGGCTATTCCTAAATTAATGTATTACTTCATTCAGTCACTGAGTGCCTTTGCTGGACCAAACACTACAGTGGTTCCCCCTTAACAACAGGGCATATATTCCAAGACCCCCAGTGGCTGCTGAAACTACAGATAGTACCAAATCCTACCTATACAGTACGAGGTTTTTTCCTATGCATATACACCTATGAGGAAGTTTAATGTGTAAATTAGGCACAGTGCTCTTACACTTTGGGGCCATTATTAAGTGAAATAACTGTTCCTTGACCATAAGCACTATGTTGCTGCTACAGTCCATCTAACAGCCTAGATGGCCGCTAAGTGACTGGTAGACAGGCAGTATATACAGCATGGACGTGCTGGGCAAAAGGATACACTCTAGGGAGCACAAAATGGAATGGTATGTGATTTCTTCACACTACATAGAAAGGCACACAATTTAAAACTAACAAATTCCTTATTTCTGGAAATTTCCACTTAATACTTTTGGACACCAGTTGACCGTGGGTAACTGAAACCACAGAAAGCAAAACCTCGAATAAGGGGGCACTACTGTATTCTATTCACTGGAAATACTGCCAGTGAAGGAAACAAAGTCCTACATTCTAGAAGAAGAATTAGGCTTTAAATAAATAACAAGTGTGTGTTTGTGTATGTAGAAAAATAACGCTGATTAAGGGCTAGAGAGTGATGATTGCCAGTGCTAATTTAGACAGGGTAGTCCAGGAAGACCTCCCTGAGGAGGTGACATTTGAGCAGAACCTCATAGTATAGCTATATGGGGAGATCAATATTCTGGCATGAGGAACAACAGGTACAAAAGTCTTGAGGTGGGATCTTGAGTTCTTTGACATGGGAAACAGCAAAGAGGCCTGTGGCATTGGAACATAGCCAATAAGATAGAGAATGAGAGGAGACTGGAGAGCAGGCAGGGTCACATCGCGTAGGGTCACGTAGGCCCTGGGATGTGAGGGCCTGATGGTTTATTCTAGTGAGATGGGAAGCCACTGGAGGGCACTGAGCAGGAGAATGTCATTTATTATCTGGCATGTTTTAAAGAATCACTCTGTCTACTGTGCCAAAAACACACCATAATACCTAATGATCCTAATGATAGGTGACAGCCACTCAGGGGTTTGGAGATAACTGCAGTACTAAACGCTAACTGCAGTAATTGCTGGTGTCTCCACCTTCAATACCCACAGACATTGAGGCAAGGTAATTTGAACCTATCCCTAAGGGAAAAAATCTTAAGATGGGGCTGTATACATTGAGGAGAAATATGAACTTAAATCAGGAATATGAGCTGAAAAATTATGCATGCATCTATTGATGCCATCATGGAATAAAGTAAGACAATTCGGTTCTGGAGGAAGGCAACCAGGGCACCTCTAGGAATCCCAAATGCTTACCTTCCCTTCACGATGGACAAGGAGATGCTGACCAAGTAACAGCATTACAGGGGTGTTCCAACTGCAGGGTGAGCTAGTGTTTATTGATTTGCTTTAGACTAGTCAAGAGAGAAGAGGGAACTAGGAAGGGCTCATAGAAAAACAAGAAAGCTGAGGTGATAGAAAGCAAAATGGACCCACAGGAAATTAACTAAAAGAGAACTAAATTGCAGGCCTCCTAGGTGCCAGGAACTGTGTAAATGTAGTCTTGTTTAACTGGAACAACAACCCTGTGAAGAAAATGAAGCTCAAATATGTCCAATAACCAGCCCAAGGTCAGGCAATTGATGAGTGGCAGAGCAGACATTTAAGCCCAGACCTTTTTCTTTTTCTCCAAAGCTTGTGCTTTTTTATGCAACATTGAGTTGTGCTGATAGTGTTGGCACAGTGACAGAGAGAAAATTGTCCTAAATAAATGTGAAAATAAATCTTGGGCTATTCATTACCCAAGCTTTACAAGCAAACCATCATCCCTGTGGCAGGGTTGAGCTGCACTAGAGAAATCTCAGTGTACAAATAGGAAGCATCATTCCAGTTTATGGTGCCCTTACCTGCCAGATTATAGAGGTGGGATCTGGAGGAGAAAGTCTCCCCCGAAACAGTCTTACCTGGAACTGAAAAAATAATAAGGGAAACAGAATTCCAGCAAACAGGAAAAGGCCTCTCAGATTGAGTGAGCTATTTTATTCAGGAAACATTATGCATTAATTTTAACCAATTCTCATTTAATCTCCATCTGGTTTGGAATTTTAAGAGAACCTAAATTACACAATATTTTAAAAATATAGTTAGCTGACTGAGTCCACTGCATGTGACAGTGTGGATCATCATTGTCACAGGTGAATATATTTTTATGCCTTCATCCAAATACTTACTGAGCATCAATTATGTGCCAGGCACTTCAGTAATTGGTCAAAGAAACTTCTAAATCCTGTTGGTGTTCTTCCTGAAACAATCAAGTCCTCCTGATACATCTCTGATTCTTAATAACAAATACCTGATGGAATGCTTCCCAATTAAATTATATATAAAACCAATTGCCTTTGGAATTTGGATATTTACATTAGATGAAAAAATATGATATACAGATGATTGCCCTTCATTTTTCAGTAGTCTTGCATCTTGTTCTCATTCTCTTAAGTCTGGTTATTATTAAGGAAAGAGAATTCTCAGCACACTATAGCATATTAATTTCCATTGGCCAAATGTCAACTAGAACGAGTATTTCTTATGTGTGGTTGGCATGTGCATGTGTGGAGGTTGTTAAAGTTTCCTGATGTGTTCTGAAACTCAGATGGGCCTGGGTGTGGAGAGATGAGAACCCCATCATGAACCAGGGCTTCCCATCTGGCTGGTCATCTTGTTACACCATCATCTCTGGAATTAACATTTGGAGGCCCTCCAAGGGAACATTCTCTGTGGCAAGTTCCCAACTGAGCTTCAAGTTACACTTCTGGAGTTATATGGGACAGAAGAGAGTGTTATCTCAAAGGCCATCCCTGTGTTGTTAGGCCAGGGTATGCTTCCTTTCTGGAGTTCTGCACATCAGACACTAATCCTGCCTGCCAGACAAAGATTAATCCAGGCAGAGGTGGCCAAACTGACAACCTAGGTGACACTATATGAGCTAGGGGTCTCCCTTGGGCAGATGGATATGGAGAACTTTGCAACAAAAAGCACCACAGAGCCTGTGGTAAGCTATAATATATTAAAAGATGAAATGACAGTATTGAATTTTAGGGCAGGAAGGAGGCTATGTCCACCGTTCATTTTACAGAGGACAAAATAGCCATCTAGAAAAAGTAGATGCTGTAACTAAAGATATTTCACTGCTAACTTGCAAAGCCAGGCCTGGTCCCCATGACTAGAATCCCAGCCCCAGCTGTACATGGAGAGCCACAGTAGGCACCGCCCTGTTGCTGTGTTTTCTAGAGCTATATTCTCAATGGGATAAAAAGGAGCTCCCTCTAAAGTGTTAACTCATAACATATTCAGGCCTCCCCATAGGAGATTATCTCTCCCTACCTTTTTTAAAGTAAGTAATCTCAAACTTATAGAAAAGTTGTGCCTATAGTAGCAAGAACTGTTTTCCTTAAACTATTTATGAGTAAGTTGCTAGCATGACATCCTAAACCCCTAAATGCTTTGATGTGTATGTATCATAAACAATGATAATTCTCCCATATTATAAAAAATCTATTTCTCTTATATTATCTACTGTCAAAATTAGGAAATTAACACTTATACATTACTACCATCTAATCCACAGATCACATTCAGGTTTCCTCATTTTCCCAAAAATGTTCCAGTCCAGAATCACACAATGCTTTTAGTTGTCATAGTCTCAGAATGGTTTCTCCATGTTCTCTTGACTTTCATGACCTTGACATATTTGAAGATTACAGGACAGCTTTTGGGGAATGTAACTGAGTTTATCTTTGTTTGATGTTTCCCCATGATTAGAGTTAGCTTTTTGTACTTTTGGCAAAAATATTACAGAAGTGATGCTATGTGTGCCTCATTGCATCCTACCGGCAGCACATGATTTGGATTTTTTCCATTTCTAATATTAACATTGATCACTTAACTAAGGTGGTTTCTGCCAGGTTTCTTCACTGGATAGTAACTTTTTTTTTCCTTTTGCAATTAACATATATTTTGTGGGTAATATTTTTAGCCTATGTAGCCATCCTATTCTTCATCAAATTTTCAATTTATTTATTCAATTATTTATATGAATATGAGTACATTGATTCTTATTTTATTCAAAAGGTTCTAATCTGTTACCATTGTTGTCTTTTTTACGTTCATGGGGAAACACCTTCCTGCAGGATTCTGTGTCTTTTTGGCATGTTCTCGTCATTCTTTGAGTGCTTCGTTGCTTTCCAGAACAAGATTGTGCAGGCTCACCTTGTAATTGCCCTGGCCCATCTGCGGAACCAACCAAACATGTGGATGTTGGTTGTACTAACTGCTAGGAGTTTGTCACTGATCTCAGGCACTCTAAGCCTACAAAGCTAGAAAATAAACATTCACACCCACACACACACACACACACACCCCAAACTCATATTTCTCTATGTATTGAAAATCATGAATTCAAACTGATAACTCCATTTCTAATACAACACTAAAGCGTTGTTCTTTTTTTCTCATTTCCATACATGGAAGTACCTTCTCCAACAGTGAAAAATCTGACCCACATTATTCCTAACATATTTCCTTACTTGGTCCATCTCTATGGCTGTCCCACTGTCTCCTCACCTGGACACTTTCCTCGGTGGCAGCCTTTCTTGCCTCACTTAGGCTCCAACACTCCATGCTGGGCCCTGACTCTCCTGTGTAGACACCTTCCTCCCCTTGTTAGAGAGACCATGGAGGCTCCCCTCACTGTACCTGGAAAACACCACTCTGCTTGGTCCCTGCTAAAATCTTTGTGAAGAATTGTTCAGGAAGTAGAGAAAAGGAGAAAGATGAAGAAAAAAACGATAAAATTCTCTTCTCTCTTTTGTCTATGTGGTCAACTCCTAGACCCCTTAAGCTTCATCATTACTCTCAGGGCCTCCATGGTCTGCCATCACTTTCTCCTCACCTATGAAATGGCGTGAATCACACTGCATAATGGTCATCTGTGCATGCATTGTCCCTAGCCCTAAGCTACTTTAGGCAGCTGTTGTAGCCTCTTTATCTTTCATAGCTAGGGTCCAGCATAGTGCTTACCATGGAGTAGGGATCCAATATATATTTATTGAATAGAGATTACATAAATGAATGGATGATCATTTAAGTTATAACCACCTCCTCATCCCATAGATGCATTTTCCTTTTAACTAGTGTCTCTTAATGATTAAATGTTTTCTAGAGCTAAATGGATAAATATTGCTGTAATTTGGACGTTTGTACCCCCAAATTTTATGTTGAGATTGGATCCCCACCATTGGAGGTGGGGCCTAATGGGGGGTGTTTGAGTCCTAGAGGTGGATCCCTCATGAATGGCTTGGTGCTGTCCTCCTGTTAATGAGTGAGTTCTTGCTCTATTAGTTCCCGAGAGAGCTAGTTGTTATAAAGAGCCTGGTACCTCCCATGTCTCTCTTGCTTCCTCTCTCACCATGTGATCTCTGCACATGCCAGCTCCCCTTCCCCTTCCCCGTCCACCATGAGTGGAAACATCCTGAGTCCCTCACCAGAAGCAAATGCCAGTGCCATGCTTCTTGTACAGCCTGCCAAACCATGAGCCAAAATGTATTAGTCCTTTCTCACACTGCTGTAAAGAACTTCCCTGAGACTAGGTAATTTATAAACAAAGGAGGTTTAATTGACTCACAGTTCTGCATGGCTGGAGAGGCCTCAGGAAACTTATAATCATGGCAGAAGGCAAAGGGGAAGCAGACACCTTCTTCACAAGGCGACAGGAGAGAGAAGAGCCAAGGAGGAACATCTAAACACTTATAAAGCCATCATATCTCATGGAAACTCACTCACTATTAAGAGAACAGCATGCGGAAACTGATCCAATCACCCCCCTCCCTTGACATCCCTTGACAAGGGATTACAGGTCCCTCCCTTGACTCATGGGGATTACAAATTGAGATGAGATTTGGGTAAGTACATAAGTACACAGAGCCAAACCATATCACCAAATAAGCCCCCTTTCTTTATAATTGACCAGCCTCAGGTATTCCTATATAGCAACACAAACAGACTGACAGAAAATTAGTACCAAGGAGTGGGGCACTGCTATAAAGATACTTGAAAATGTGGAAGCAGCTTCAGAACTGGATAATGGGCAGAGGTTAGAAGAGTCTGGAGGGCACAAAAGAAGAAAAATAAGCAAGGAAAAATCTGGAACTTCTTAGAGATTAGTTGCGTGGTTGTGACCAAAATGCTGATAGAAATATAGACAGCAAAGTCCAAACTGATGAAATCTCAAGTGGAAATGAGGAACTTACTCGGAACTGGAGCAAAGGTCACCCTTGTTGCCATAGCAAAGGACTTAGCTGCATTGTGTTCATGCCCTAGGGCCAAACTTAAGAGTGATGACCTAGAGTATCTAAGGGAAGAAATCTCTAAGCAGCAAAGCTTCAAGAAGGGGCATGGCTGCTTTTAACAGCTATGGTCATATACAGCAGCAAAGGAATGACCTAAAGTGGAACTTATAATTAAAAAGGAAGCAGAGCATAAACATTTGGAAAATATGTAGCCTGGCCATGTGGTAGAGAAGGAAGGAGCATTTCAAGAATAATTCAAGGGCACTACAGAGCAACCACTCACTAGAGGGATTTGTACCACTAAAAGGTAGCCAGGTGCTAATAGTCAAGACAACGGGAAAGAGGAAATACCCAAAGGTATTTCAGAAATTTTCAAGGCTACTCCTCCCATCACAGGCCCAGAGGCCCAGGAAAACAGAATAATTTCCTAGGGTGCAGCTGTTCTGCTCCATCTCAGGGGGCTGCTCCCTGCATCCCTCCCTCAGTTTGCAGCTGTGGGTCAAAGGGCCACAAGTATTGATCTGGCCACTGCCCTGAGGGCACTAGCCATAAGCCTTGGTGGCTTTCACATAGTATTAAGTGTGTAGGTGCACAGAATGCAAGAATGGTGGCAGCTTGGCAGCTTGCATCTAGATTTCAGAGAATGTATCAGAAAGCCTGGGCACCCAGGCAGAAGCCTGCCACAGGGGTGGAGCCACTGCAGAGAGCCTCGACTAGGGTAGTACTGAGGGGAAATGTAGAGTTGGATCCCCCTGTACAGAGTCCCCACCAGAGCACTGCCTAGTAGACCTGTGAAAATAGGGCCACAACCCTCCAGACACCAGAATTATAGAGCCACCAGCAGTGTGCAACTTCAATCTGGAAAAGCTGCAGACACTGGACTCCAACCCATAAGAGCAGCCATGTAGGCTACACTCAGCAAAGTCATGGAGGTAGGGCTGCTAGAGCCCCTGGGGGCATACTCTTCACACCAGTGCACTCAGGATATGAGACATGGAGTCAAAGATTATTTTGGGGCTTTAAGATTTAATATCTACCCTGCTGGATTTCAAACTTACGTGGAACCTGTTACCCCTTTCTCTTGGCCAATTTTTCCCTTTTGGAATGGGAATGTTTACCCAATGCTTGTACAACCATTGTATCTTGGAAGTAAATAATTTGTTTTTGATTTTACAGTCTCCCAGCTGTAAGGAATTTATCTTGACTCTCAGATAAGATTTGGGACATTGGACTTTTGAGTTGATGCTGGAACAAGTTAAGACTTTTGGAGACTATTGGGATGAAACGATTGTATTTTGCAACGTAAGAAGAACATGAAGTTTGAGGGGTAAAGGGTGGAATGCTATGGTTTGGATACTTATCCCCCCAAACCTCAATCTGAAAGTTGATCCTCAATATTAGAGATGGGACCTAATGGGAAGTGTTTAGGTCATGAGGGTGGATCCCTCAATAATGGCTTGGTGCTGTCATAGTGGTAATGAGTTCTCACTCTATTAGTTCCCACAAGAGCTGGTTGTTAAAAAGAGTGTGGCACTCTTTTCCCCACGTTCTTGTTTTCCTCCCTCACTCTGTGACCTTTGCACACGCTAACTCCCTTTCACCTTCCTCCATGAGTGGAAGCAACCTGAGACCTTCACCAGAAGCAAATGTTGATGCTGTGCTTCTTGTACAGCCTGCAACACCTTAAGCCAAATTAACTCCTTCTCTTTATCAATTACTCAGCCTCAGGTATTCATTTATAGCAACACAAATGGACTAAGACAAATATCTACTGTGGTATTGTATAAGTAGATAGATGGTAGGAGTGATATCTTTATACAGGGATTGGGGTCAAATCAATCAGTCAGAAGGGATCTGTCTGCTTTTCCTTCTTGAGGGGTTACCCATGTAATAAAAACATTAAGTGTTTGTAATGCTTGAGGCACACGCATTGTAAACACCTACAAGGTGCTCTGGCACATTACATGTATTCTTTTCCTTTCCACTTATACATGGGTTATCTGACCTTCCAAGCCTAGGTCAGCCCTCATGTCATACATGAATCTTTGCTCAATAATTCTAGTCTGCACAAACTCCTCTGGAGTTCTCTGAACTCTTCTGGAGCTCTCTGGATTTCAATAGCACTTATAGTTAGTTCCACAAAGCCAGTCCTAAATTGTATTTAAATTATCTCAAAATAGACTATAAATCTACTGAAAACAGTAGCAGGCCTCTTACCTCCTTTTACCACTGTTATCTCCAACAGTGTCTAGAAAAATATTAAGTGCCTAATAAGTATTTGATTGACTCAATGACTGATTAATATCTGGTAAGTAGCAATAGAAGTTTTAGTAGTCAGTATCCCTGAACCTATTGTTTTAATAAATACTCAGAAAAAATATTCCTTTATAGAAACTAAAATGGCTATAGAGAACCATCTATTACAAGAGTAAACCTGTGAATTCTCAGAGAACCAGATAGTACTCTAAAAAGAACATACGTGTAAAAGACATATCTGACTGTCTGACTGTTATCCAAATAGACAAATAACTCTTAAAACTCAACAATAAGGAAATGAACAATCTAATTAAAATTTTGACAAAATATCTGGACGGACACCCCACCAAAGATGATATACAGATGGCTAGTATTGAAAAGATACTCAACATTGTATGTTATTAGGGAATTTCAAATTAAAACAAGGAAGTATCACTACACACCTACTAGAATGGCTAACATCCAAAAACACTGACAATACCAAATGCTGGTGAAGATGTTGAAAAACAAGAACTCTCTTTCATTGATAGTGGAAATGAAAAATGGTACAGACATTTTAGAAAATACTTTGGCAGTTTCTTATAAAACCAAACATACTGTCAGCATAAGATCCAGCAATCTCACTCCTTGATATTTACCCAAAAGATTTAAAAATTTATGTCTACACCAAAACCTGCAAATGAATGTTTATAGCAGCTTTATTCATAATAGCTGAAACTTGGAAGTAAGATGTCTTTCAATAAGTAAATGTATAAACAAACTGTGGTACAGCCATATAATGTGTTTTACCCATACTACCCTGGGTGAGGATGGTGAGTCCAGACACAGACCAAGAGGGAGGAATTGGAAAGGGTTTTATAGTCTGTTACACTCACAGTTCCCTGGGGGAGAATACAGCATGCTATGCAGGGTCATTCAGGGAAGCACTGGGGCCACTCACAAGACGGAAGGAAAGAGGGGAACTATGAGCAAGCGCCTTGACCATGATTTCAGCAGGAAAGAATGGGCAAGTCACGGTAAGCAAGTTTAGGATTGAGTAGTTCAAATAATTTCCATAAGCTCTTGGGCATAGAGGCTGTGCCTGGTTGTCTATAGCCTGGCCTGGGAGGGGTTTGAGTGACTCAATGCATGAGAGCCTAAAAAGGGAGACAGTTAGGAATGTGTATTTAATGGGCCACTCAAGAATGGAAACTGACTGCCTCTAGCTAGAGCTCAAAACTGGGTCAATTCAATTTAAAAAAAAAAAACAAAAAACTATATTACACAATGAAATTTTATTCAGTGTGAAAAAGAAATGAGCTATCAAGCTACATAAAGACAAGTAGGAATCTTAAATGCATATTGTTTAGTGAAAGAAGCCAATCTGAAAAGGCTGCACACCATATGATTTCAACTATATGACGTTCTAGGAAAGGCAAAGCGATGGAGACAGGAAAAAGGTCAGTGGTTACCAGAGGACCAGTGGGGAAGGAGGGATGAATACATGAAGCACAGGGGATCTTCAGGGCAGTGAACCCATTCTACATGATACTATAATGGTGGATACATGTGATCATACATTTGTCAAAACCCATAAAATGTATGACACCCTTAGAATGTACAAAGGATGCACCATCCATAGAATGTGCAACTCTAATGTAAACTATGGATTTTGGTTTACTATGATGTGTCAATGTTGATTCATCAATTGTAACAAAAGTACCACACTGATATAGGATGTTGATTGAGGGGGAGGCTGTGTATGGGAGGAGGTACCAGGTATGTGGGAACTCTGCACTTTCTTCTCAGTTTTGCTGTGAATCTAAAACTGCTCTAAAAAATAAAATCTACTAATTAAAAAATAAAATAACACAATGTAAATCATTTAGAAACAAAGCTAAAGGAGAGCTTTCCTCTGGAAATCAAGAAAGATTGGTGACAATTATGAAGCCATTATGCAATAAAAAGGAATAATTAAAGGGATGATGAAACCCCATTATTATTAAAAGACAGTCTAGAAAAAGGAGTTATATTCATAGAACAATTACTGAAGGGATACTACATGCTAGCCACCACAAGACACATTTAAATAATGAGATATTATCTCACTTAATCACATTTAATCCTTACCTATTACTCATAAAAATGTGTAATTAACCCATTTGAAAATGAAGAAGCTGAGGTTCAAAGATGATAGGTGGCTTGCCCAGTTTGACTAATTCAAGGTGGCTTGCCCAGTTTGATTAATTCAAGTAAGCGGAGTTGTCTCTATAGAAGATGGTTCTTATTTATCGTGGAATCTTCTCAGAGTTTAGTATACTGCTTGCTCAGAATCTTCTCTCAGAAGACTCTATGATAAATAAGAACCATCTTCTATAGAGAAAGAATTGACAACTTCAAGAGAAGGTGGTCATCTACACCACATCATTCAGGGCATAGGGAATGGAGGGGTGCATGAAAAAATTAACTTTACTTGGAAGGATCCAAAAAGGAAGCAGCATTAGAGCTAGGCCTTGAAAGATGAGTACAATTTCCAATAAACATAAAATGTGGGAAAGGGTGGGTAGTAACAATGGCAAAAGCAAAGAGTTGTAGAGAGCAGGGAGACCAGAATGGGTGAAGTATGGCTCTCAAAGAGGGATGTGGCATAAAAGAGGACAGAGGAGCATCCCAGGGCCATGGAGGTCATGCCAAGGTGTGTGGACTTGACTTGGAAAGCAATGGAGAGCCACTGGATCTTTCGAGGAAGAATGTTACACAATTCAGTCTATATTTTTGGAATATCATTTTGTGTCGATGTGGGAATGCCAGTTACAGAGAACCAGGGCTGCAGACAAAGAGATCCTAGTTAAGCAATGGTAATACAGTGAACCAAATAAAGCAGAAGCAGAGCAGTGTTTGAGGAAGGATATTTATGTTCCATGAAGTAACCAGCTGGAAGTATTAAGGGTTCATTGAGTTAGAAAAAATGTAGTATATTCTTCTAATTGCTTCAGAGTAAAGTAGCTTTTATCTAAAATGTTTGTCTAAATGTCACCTTCTCAATAAGGTCACTCCTAACCACCCTATTTAAAATTCCAATTTCACTCCAGACTCCTGATCCCCTTAGCCTTCCTTTTTCTTTTTTTTTTTTCACAAAATCTATCAACATAACTAGTAACATTCTACATAATTTACTTTATCATTTTTTATTGTCTGTCTACCCCCACTGGAATATAAGCTTCATAAGGAAAGACACCTTTCGTATGTTCACTGAGTATCCCAAACACCTTGAGTACTGCCTAACACATAGTAGATGGACAAGAAATATTGTTGAGTGAGTTAATGAACACAGGCATACACTGGCATAATCCTAGCAGTGCTTCAAGCTAGGCAAAGATATGGTATAAACTACAGACAATTTCAAGGATACTTAAAATCCATTTTCTTTTTATTTATTTATTTTTATTATACTTTAAGTTCTAGGGTACGTGTGCACAATGTGCAGGTTTGTTACATATGTATACATGGGCCATGTTGGTGCGCTGCACCCATTAACTCATCATTTACATTAGGTACATCTCCTAATGCTTTTCCTCCCCTCTTCCCCCAGCCCACAACAGGCCCCGGTGTGTGATGTTCCCCTTCCTGTGTCCAAGTGTTCTCATTGTTCAATTCCCACCTGTGAGTGAGAACATGCGGTGTTTCATTTTTTGTCCTTGCAATAGTTTGCTGAGAATGATGGTTTCCATCTTCATCCATGTCCCTACAAAGGACATGAACTCATCCTTTTTTATGGCTGCATAGTATGCCATGGTGTATATGTGCCACATTTTCTTAATCCAGTCTATCTTTGATGGACATTTGGGTTGGTTCCAAGTCTTTGCTATTGGGAATAATGCTGCAATAAACCTACGTGTGCATGTGCCTTTATAGCAGCATGTTTTCTAATCCTTTGGGTATATACCCAGTAATGGGATGGCTGGGTCAAATAGTATTTCTAGTTGTAGATCCTTAAGGAATCGCCACACTGTCTTCCACAATGGTTGAACTAGTTTACAGTCCCACCAACAGTGTGAAAGCGTTCCTATTTCTCCACATCCTCTCCAGCACCTGTTGTTTCCTGACTTTTTATGATCGCCATTCTAACTGGTGTGAGATGGTATCTCATTGTGGTTTTGATTTGCATTCCTCTGATGGCCAGTGATGATGAGCATTTTTTCATGTGTCTGTTGGCTGCATAAATATCTTCTTTTGAGAAGTGTCTGTTCATATCCTTCGCCCACTTGTTGATGGGGTTGTTTGTTTTTTTCTTGTAAATTTGTTTGAGTTCTTTGTAGATTCTGGATATTAGCCCTTTGTCAGATGAGTAGATTGCAAAAATTTTCTCCCATTCTGTAGGTTGCCTGTTCACTCTGATGGTAGTTTCTTTTGCTGTGCAGAAGCTCTTTAGTTTCATTAGATCCCATTTGTCAATTTTGGCTTTTGTTGCCATTGCTTTTTGTGTTTTAGACATGAAGTCCTTGCCCATGCCTATGTCCCGAATGGTATTGCCTAGGTTTTCTTCCAGGGTTTTTATGGTTTTAGGTCTAACATTTAAGTCTTTAATCCATCTTGAATTAATTTTTGTATAAGGTGTAAGGAAGGGATCCAGTTTCAGCTTTCTACATGTGACTAGCCAGTTTTCCCAGCACCATTTATTAAATAGGGAATCCTTTCCCCATTTCTTGTTTTTGTCAGGTTTGTCAAAGATCAGATGGTTGTAGATGTGTCGTATTATTTCTGAGGGCTCTGTTCTGTTCCATTGGTCTATATCTCTGTTTTGGTACCACTACCATGCTGTTTTGGTTACTGTAGCCTTGTAGTATAGTTTGAAATCAGGTAGCATGATGCCTCCGGCTTTCTTCTTTTGGCTTAGGATTGTCTTGGAAATGCAGGCTCTTTTTTGGTTCCATATGAACTTTAAAGCAGTTTTTTCCAATTCTGTGAAGAAAGTCATTGGTAGCTTGATGGGGATGGCATTGAATCTATTAAAATCTATTTTCTATAAAAACATTTGTATATGTTCCTAAGGATAAATAATTATGAAAGGGTTTACAGGATTAGTAAATAGTATAGAACTCCTGTCCAGGAGACCATATTTTTTACATGTACTAAAATCTTCTATTATACTCAGTATACTTGTAGATTGGGCAAAAGACTGGTAATGAGAGGGATGCTTTAGGTGTGACAATTGAGTCGTAGTAAGCCCATGTCATGATTTGATGCACCACAACAGATTTTTGTTTGTTTGTCTGCCTGTTTGTTTGTTTTGAGATGGAGTCTCACTCTGTTGCCCAGACTGCAGTGCAGTGGTGCAATCTTTGTTCACTCTAACCTCTGCGTCCCGGGTTCAAGCGATTCTCCTGCCTCAGCCTCCCAAGTAGCTAGGATTCCAGGTACCTGCCACTACACCCAGCTAATTTTTGTATTTTTAGTAGATATAGGGTTTCACCATGTTGGCCAGGCTGGTCTCGAACTCCTTATCTCAAATGATCCACCTGCCTCGGCCTCCCAAACTGCTGGGATTACAGGCATGAGCACTGTGCCCGAACCACCATGACAGATTTTTTTAAATGTATTTTATCTTAATTAGTCTTTGTAATCGTTTGTCAGCACTGTAATATGTTGTTATTTTCATTTAGCATATCAGGAAACTAAGATTAAGAGAGGCAACTGGCTTCTCCAGGGACACAGTTTGAAGAAGTCCACCTGATTTCAATGCCTTACGTTTCTCACTGCAGCCAAGGAAATTGTAACAGTAACAAGGAAACAAAGAAGACTTTATTAAGCCTTTACTCTGGACAAGACACTGTGCTACTCACTTTACAACAACGCTATAAGATGGTTAATATCAGTTTACCCATTTTACGGATAAAGAAACCTAGCACAGAGAGTTGATATAAACTGCTCAAAATCACATGTCTAGCAAGTTCTAAAACTGGGACTCAGACCTGTGCCTAATGAACTCTAAAGCCCAGGCTCATAACCACTACACCATATTGCCAAGTGGGAAACAATGATATTGCCAGATGGAACAGGCTGAGGTTTTGCTGATTTGGGGGAAGGGGAATTAGTAAAAGATAGGTTTTCACAAGGCAAGTGCAAAGAGATAACTATTCAGCAAATTAATGCAGTAGTTTAAAGGGTAGTTTGAGCAGATGCCATGTGGAAGTTACCAGAGAAAACATCAGTTCTTTAAGCCAAATGGTATTTTGAGAGCATGAAGATAATGTAATTATAAGATTTTTAACCATAAAAACAAATCCATATACATAAACACTTAGCTAGAAGGAGAATAGGGCATAGCTGGGTATATTACATTAAACACGTCTTTTACTAATTAATAAGATATTGGTCATACTGAAATTACAAGTACTCAAATGCAGTGATTATATTGGGATTTGATGTATAATTACTGATGTTTATATTTACCCAGAAATACAAATCTTCCCAATCACTTCTCCCAGTGAAGGCTTCTGTGAGGACAAGGCAGGAGCAGAGAATGTCTCATGCCTAATGGTCCAGGGCACCCCTCCAACCCAGAAAATAGAGCCAGGAACTGTGCGAGAAATGGAAGTCAGAGGGGAGCTGAAGATAAGTTACTGAAATGAGACTGCCATGGCAGAGATCAACAGCTGCCTACAACAGATGCTGTGCTTTTCACAAAAGCCATCTTTTCTTCTTACTTTTGTCTGCACGTTAGAATGTAAGGACTCCAAAGGGACAGGTGGTAAAGAGAAATAACTTGGGCTTTCACCAAGAACTTCAACATATATGAAATACCTTACTAGTCTATGAATAATTCGAAGGCTGTGAGTAGAACCAATCCATCTTTGTTACCCCAGCTCCCAATATGGGCCTAACAAGTTGCTCAGCAAATGTCTGTTGACCAAAGAATGACTGGTCTCATTATCAACAGATCTGTGCTGTTTCTTTTACTTTAGGGTGTGGCTTGTGCACAACAAGAGATAAAGACAACCTAGAATATCTATTTAAATCATATAACATTTGTAACTACTTATATGTAGCCTGGGGGACCTTTCCTGCCATATTAGGAGATGATTAAAAGAAGCAAATTTCACTCATCTGACCAGGAGATTGACCTAAGTGAACTAGGTTCCAGTGTCCCATATCATATACTTAGCCAGTGCTAATGTGTGTTTGTGCATGGCAATGTTGAAAGAATGTGAAACATTTTCACATTATGGGAACTAGAAGCACAGAGAGAGATAAACTTCCTCCAGCTGAAGAACAGAGAGTAATCTTTTCTGTTAAACAGTGAGAAGCACTCAGTCTCCCATACGATCCAGCCTGCTTATTTTGAGGAATGGAATGAACAAATGTTTTTCTCATTCTACTGCATTTATTTCACCAGCAGGCAACAACATCTCTGCTACTACCCTTCTGAATGCCATGCTCAGATGGAAGTTTTTGCCTCACTGTACAGTTTAAAAATATCTTACAATTAGAAGTAGAAATAAACTAAAAACAATGTTGAGCAGAGAAATACTTGACAGAATGGAATCCAACAAATATATTTGGTAGCTTACATTTTGCTAGTTATGTGGAAGTCAATCTTGGTAAAATTATAAGTTAAAGGTACTGTCAACTAGCACATATGTGATACATCTTTGGTACTCCGTAAATATTTGTTGAATTAATTAATCTTAGCTTTCACAGTGTGGTACCAGATGGGAAGATTCAACATCATTGTCAAAATGTCCTCAACTCTCTGCTCACCTGGCTGTGTCACACCACGCTTTGCTGAGTCTCCTCTTTCCTCTCCCCGCAGTCTCCTTCGCTGGCATTTTCTTCCCCTATCCTCTCAAAGAGGTGGTATCCCCAGCTGACTCAGCATAGCTTCTTGTTCTTCTTACTTCATACGTTTCACGTGAGCACACTAATCCTGTCTAATTGGCCTTAACTACAGCCCACATGGTAATGATGCACACATCTCCATCCCCAGCCAGACCCCTGCCCTGAGCTTCAACTCTGGAAAATTTCCTGTGTCCACCCAACATCCCCTTTTTGTCCTGCCTGCTGCGCTTCCCCAGGCTCTCATCAGTTCTCTCTGGGACTACTGCAAAGTCTCTTGTCCTCCACCTCCAGCCTCGCCCTTCTCAAATCAACCCTACCCAGGCTTTTAAACCCAAATTAAACCAGACTAGTCACTCACTTCATGGCTTTTAAAGCTCTGTCACCCCACCTCTGCCTGTGGGAACAAGTTCTACCTCTTTAGGGTGGCATGCAAGCATCTCCATGATCTGTCTCTGCCTACTTCTCTACACCCACCCCCACTCTTTATCTTCCACTTTAGCCACTGGAAATTCAAACTGCTTGATGTTCCACACACTACATGCTCTTTCAGGCTTCCCAGACTTTGTCATCACTGTTCCTCTAAGCCCTACTGCCTTTTTAAACACTTGGTTCCAGTGGCCTCTCCTCCAGGAATCCCTTCATGATCTCTTCCCCTATTTCCTGGTGACTGGGTCAGGTATCGCTTGTCGTGGGCCACCTTAATACATTTCTATTACTGAACTTACCACACTGCATTAGAATTATCTAGTAACAATTCTTCCCCCTCCAACAAAATCTGCATAGAAGAGGAATAAGGCTATATTTTATTCAGCTTTGGGTTTTCAGCCCATAACATGGTGTCTGGCACAGAGGGTAAACAAAACAAGTATTTGTTGAATAAAACTGAACTGATGGTTGCAGATGTGTGCATTAATTAGCATCTCAACAATCTCTGAGCGCACAGCTACTCAGAGCACAATCAATTATTCCAGTTCCTAAATCCCCCTGGGGGAGAAGCTTACCCCACTCCATGCCATTCAGAGGCATGATTGCTTAACTGATATTGCCAAATTGGGTCACAAATAATGAGAAAAGTTCCATTTCCCTCAGCTGTGAAGGTTTTGAGGCACACAAAATGACACTAAAGCCTAGCCACTTGGACTACGCATTTAGGATTGTGGCACCTGTCAGTATGAATGTGTTGCCTAATTAAGTATTCTTTGGATAACAGTGTCACAGGCCAGGAGAACCAGTCTGCCAGGTAGATCTCCCCTTAACCTCACTGGAATTTCCTATTCTTTGTCTTTACACTGTGAGCAGAAACAAATTGCCAATTTTGTTGATGCAAGCACGTTCTCAAACAACTTGAAACTACTCCCAAACACCAACAGCCATGTGAGAAAGAGATGAAACGCAGTTTGTGGAAAGTAAATTCTTGATTATGTTGGAATTAAAGGGTACATACTTTGCTGCACTTTCAAGAACTACAGGTAAGAGACACAACAGTGTTTTACTCCTATGTCAAACAAAAAGCTGGCAATTTACTGTGCAAAATAAACAGATGGAGAAAAATAGAAAGGTGGTATCTCTGCTTTTTAACTATATTCCTCAAGGGTCGTCACAAAGAGAGAAGTAATAATTATAGCAACGGAGTGAGTGTTCTCTTGCCCCTTGGAAAGCTTTATAGACTGGTTGTTTACTGCTAACTTTTGTGAAAGACTAGTTTAAGTATATTAAAGCTTTATGGCCTGAGTGGGAGCCATTACGTATGGAAACTGACCTGACCATTACTTATAAGCAGGTCAGAGACTGGGATTCAAGAAATAACGATGTTACCATTGCAAAGACAGAGAACAAAACTCAACTGCAGAGAAGACTGAGAAATGTAGTCTTCTACATTTGAAATATTACAAATATTCTTCTATACTTCAAATATTCCAAATGTAGTTTTCATGGATATTTGCTGAGCACAAACTACTTTTACTATGCCCTCCTTCACCTAGAACATGATAGGCTTGATAAACTGTTTCTAGGAGAGGCAGAATAGAAAAGCATATTAGTTTTAAAATCTGGGCTTTGGAGTGAGGTTATCCAGGTTTGAAAGCTAGCTACACTACTTACAAGCTAAGTATACTTAGCCAATTTACCTAATCTCATTGTCCGTCAGTCTTCTTCCTGTAAAATGGGCATAATTGGCATAATAGTACTACCTATCCCATAAGCTTGCTCTGAGGAGTACGTGTGTTATAAGTTTTTATTACATGTGTTTCTAGAGCATGATTCCAGAAGAAATGGGCCATTCCATTCATAATAGATAATTTACAAATATTAAAACAAAAAAATTGGGGAGGGAAACGTGTTGCCAAACACCAAGGGATTGGCTTAGATCTGGTTGCTTGCTGCAAAGAAAGCCAATCACAGAGATGGCAAGTATTGCCAGGGATCAAAGGCTTTATTACAGATGATGTCAGCTGAGAGATGGGAGACAAGTCTAAGCTAACTAAAATAAAGGGTTTACATAGTGGGGAGTTACGAAGGGGTAAGCAAGGGGAGTTGGTCAACAGGCAGCAGGTGTGTCTCATTGTCCAGATGCCATGATCTGAGATGTTTCAGTTTCTCGATACTTTCTGGGAGGCCTGATGGTCAGGTTCCTGAGAAAGGAACTTAGATAAAACAAATGTCTGTTACTCAAACTTCAGTTCTAAGGAAAAATTGGGCTTGTTTCAAACATATGAAATGTTCTGAAAATGTTACTGATCTCAGTCCTGAGTAATTATGTGTCTTGGTACTTAATAAAATTTATATTAAAGAATGGAGAAAGCTGGCTGTGTAGTGGCTGAAATGAGAAGAAAAAGTCATAATTTATGTCATCATTGTCAGTCATCTCATTTATAAGAGGGAGTCAGGTCACCCTGCTCCTCAAAGCTGGGACTATGTTGTTTCTATGGAGCTTTGTTCACCCCTTATCAAGTGAGAGATCCTCCATATTTGTGGCAAAATCTCACCATAAAAATGAGGAAAAGGATGCAGGTAACATCTAATCCTAAATATCATCCTGAGTGGAGAAAAAAAAAAAAAGCGAGAGACTTTATTGAAAAAGCTTTTTTTTTGGTAAAAATTTTTTAATTTGAGGTAAAATCCACACAGTATAGAATTAACCATTTTAAAGTGCACAATTCAGCAGCATTTAATGCATTTGAAATGTTGTGCAATCACCACTTCTATTTACTTTTAAAACATTTTCACATCCCCAAAGGTAACCCCAGCAAGCAGTCAGTCCCCATTTCCTCCTCCCCTAGAAACTGGTAACCAACAATCTGCTTACTATCCCTATGGATTTACTGAATCTGGATATTTCATATAAAAGGAATCATACCATATGTGCCCTCTTGTGTCTAGCTTCTTTCACTTGACATAATGTTTTCAGCTTCTTCCATGTTGTAGCACTTGTTCCTTTTTATAGCTGAATGATATTCCATTGTAAAGTCTTACCACATTTTGTTTATCCATTCCTCAGGAGAGGGACAAAGTTGTTTCCACATATTGGCTATTGTCAATGCTGATGCTATGAACCTTCATTTATGTGGTTTTTTTTATTTTTATAGATTTAGAGGATATAAGTGCAGTTTTGTTACATGGATATATTTTAGTGTAGCCATCACCCAAATAGTATACATTATACACATTAAGTAATTTCTCATCCCTCACTCCCCTCCACTTCAGCCCCTTCCAAGTCTCCAATGTCAATTATTCCACTCAAGTGTTTGCCTGAATACATGTTTTCAATTATTTTAGGTAGGAGTAGAATTACTGGGTCATAGGGTAATTTTTATATTTAACTTTTGGGGGAACTGCCAAACTGTTTTCCACAGAAGCTACACCATTTTACGTTCCCACTAGCAATGTCCAGGTGTTCTAATTTCTCCCCATCCTTGCTAATACTAGTTATTTTCCATATGTTTTTATTGTAACCATATTAGTGGGTGTGAAGTAGTAACTCACTATGGTTTGGATTTGCATTTCCCTAATGATTAATGATGATGGGTGTCTTTTCAAGCACTTGTTGAACATTTGCGTAACTTCTTTGGAGAAATGTCTATTCAAGTCCTTTGCCCATTTTTTTTAAATGAGTTTTGTCTTTTGTTATGGAGTTATAAGAGTTCTTTATATATTCTGAATACTATGCCCTTATCAGGTATGTAATTTGCAAGTATTTTCCTCCTTTCTACAAGTTTTCATTTTCTTGATAGTGTTCTGTGATGCACAAAGGTTTTTATTGTGATGAAGTCTATCTAATTCATCTACTTTTTCTTTTGTTGCTGGAGTCAGTGGTATCATATTTGAAGCCTTTTGAAAAATCAGTCTCTTAAAGTTTGACTGTTTCATTCACAGACTAATTGAAAAGAAAATCTAATTTGTTAGCCAAGACACTGAAAAAATATAGAAGTCTTACATTCTCTTCGCTCATCTTTGATTAAGAATTTACTAAAATTAGTTCCTAATTTGTAATATATTTCCAAAAAATATATCTGTTGTTAAAATATCTTAACAAGTATGAAAAATATGCAGAGTCCAATAACATATCATTAAAGTATTCATAAGTATCATGGCCTAGAATGGCAACAATAGTATAGAAAGGATCCAGAATTTAATTAGAAAATATAGAAAATAAACAGTAAACTGTTGGCAGTTATACCCTGGTTGGGGGTGTTACAGACTGATCCCTATTCAAATCAGCTGAAGCAATTAGATAAAAATGTATCTTGAACTTATGAGGTGGGAGTTGCAAAATAAACCCCATCTGAAGGATGTAGCTTGGAGTCCTTCTTTTTATAGCAACTATTTAAAAGTGCTTCAAGTGTCCGTATTTGAGATAGAACCACTCTGAACATGCACAGCCCAGATTCCACATCTGAGATGATAAAATTGTTCCCTTAGTGAGTATCTTTCCAAATCCAGGATGGTTTCAAATTAATTATAAAGATGATAAGGTATTAATATTTTTGTGTCAAGTTCAGGAATGGGTTTTTAATCATTGATACAATTTGTGTATATTCAGTATTTAAACTATTTGTAATGATTTAGGATTGGCATGTTGGAGACTGACAGATTAGCCTGGTGATTCCAATTTAAAATATGTAATTGAGTCGTGATTTAAAGTTGAAGGTGTAAGATTTTGACTAAGTTTGTAAACAGAATTAGATAATTTCAGAGAACTAGATTTACTATGTTTATAAATTTAATAATTTATTAGACTTAAATGACTTATTTAAATTCTCAAGACAGTTTTGCTCATTAGAGACATGAACTTGTCACACTGGTCAATTACCTGAAAAGCTTAAAAAGAAAACTGAATATATTACATTTACGGTTGCAGTTTCAAATTCCCACATTCATAAATGAGACTGATTGTTTAAAGAGAAATTAGTTAAGTTGATCAAACATTTAATCAATTGCTCCTCAAAGTTATGATGCTTAATTCTTAAAAAATGTAAGTTTTCAACAATAATAATACTTACAAATCAAACTTTAATATTTAGGGAAAACTACAGGGTTTTAACTTTAAAAATCCAATACCACGATAATTTAAATTACAGGTAACTCTGATTGTGCAATGCACCGAAGTTATGCGAGGTGCCCATGTGTCATAATGCCCATTCAAATTACACAATCAAGGATAAGTAGTAGTCCTAGGATAAGAGAAATGAATTAGTGAGCAATGGTCAACACAAGATAAAGTGAGTGTGGGCAATTCTGCACAATTTAGGTAAAGGCTTATTTATTTATTTATTTAAATGGGGAAGGTAGCCTCTTTCCACACAGTTACAAAAAGGAAAAACATCTTTAGAGTAAGGTATTGTTCCCTGGGTTCTCCTAGTGGAGAAATGTAATTGCTGCAACCAATATGTGTCTCTGAAACATGGCGGACCAGACTAAATCTCAGAGAAAGACAAGGTCTTGACATTCAGGATGCTGAGCTCAACATCCTTTTAAACTGCTTGCATATGACTTTGTGGTTTTCAAATGAAAAACCTGCAACATTTTAAAAACCTTAAGGAGTGAATAACTGATATGTTTCTCTAGTGGAAAATGAAGGCATTCGATGGCATAGAGGCCTGTGTTTGGACTCAGATAGCTTGGGTTCAAATCCGAGCTCAGCCACCTATTAAAAGAATGACTTTGTACAAGTCACTGCCCTCAAAGAAAGTTCAACTGTAAGTAGAAGGTAATAACTATCTCTTATGGTTGTAAAATATTGTAAAGTGTTTAGCACCATGATAAACACATAAGAACCATTCAGCAGGTTACTATTGCAGTCACTGTATTGTTAGGAGTAGGAAATTTCTGCAAAAGGACATGAGTCTACCATTCACATGGCTGCAGATTTTTTCTGTCTTCAGCCTTTGGCTAAGAAATACACTTTACTGTTTTACATTAAGTTCATGATTTTCATACACTTAGAGCAAGTTGTCTCTTTAAGAATCAAGAATGATACTGTCATCTGTTAAAAATTTGAAGAAAGAACATGAATGCTGAAGGCTTTTATTAAAATGTTGCTAGATATGAAATAACATTCTTCTCATTGAATGGTCATAAATTGAGAAATATGAAGAAAACCAGCTTGCACAGCTGTGAACATCTAGTTATTGTAAACCAAATTTTTGCTTTTGAAAACTTCATTCATACATGAAGCAACTATGAAATTATTGAGACGTGATAGTTTGAGAAGCTTAGGCATGAATTTATTATTTTTTCAATTGATCTTTTAGTACTTCACTGTTGTTTAATTCTCATGCATTGGTCACATCAGTCATTTCAAAGCATTAATAAAATGAACATGGTCACCTTTGTTTATTGTTAGATAAATTTGGGAGAGTGGAGATGACTATATGGATCGTGTCCTCAAAGACCTCTGAGGCCACCTTGGGAAGTTAAGTCTTCTGGAAAAACATCACATGATTCACCTTCACCTACCTAAGTTTCCATGAAGACAGTCCTCTTATAAGAAAATTACTCTGCTAAATAAATGTTTATTATAAAAAACTTGAAACTGTGTGTAGAGACAAATAATATTTTTCAAAACAATGTATTCTGTATGGTTTCAGTAAGTACAATTTTTACTATACTCATAAAGACTTGGGGTTTCAGTTTTTAGTTAATTAAGAAATATTTTAAAGAAATTAGTATTTCAGTTTTTAATCAGAGTAAGGGAGAGGTAGGACTATCATGAATAAAGAAATTCTATACAAATATGGACCAGCTGTTCCTTATCTCCACTGGGAGAAAAAAATAAATAAATTAGGAAAGAAAGCCCTCAAATGTGCAGAAGGACATTTAGATACTGAGAATGACTGAAGAAGGTTATGAAACCTCTATACCTGGAAGTCTTTCAAAGGACAATCCATACCTACCTGGGGTGACCAGGTCCTCCTGCACCAGACGCTATCTCAAAGCCCCAATTAATCTAAATATTCTATTTTTGACAGATGTACTCTTGGGGCTTCTATGACAGGAAACTGAAATTTACAGTTGAGGAGTGCACCTTTGATTGTTAAGTACTAAAACTAAAACTAACTTGCCAATACCAAGTTAGCCTGACCCAGGATGTGGACTTTGATCTCAAAATGGTTGAATCCCGAAAATACTGTCACTGTCTTTAGAAAAAAAACCCCAAGAACTGGAGACAGCTTTTTAAGTAGTATAATTAATGTGGAAGCATCTTTCACAGATTTCATGGCACAATCTTCCATGAACCTGAGAGGGAAGATTTCATCACACCCAGCAACTGGGAGGGTTTTTCCTTACATTCCTATTTATCCAGTTTAAAAAAACAAAAAAACAAAAAACAAAAAACAAAAACAAACAAAAAATACTTAAAACTAACTAAAGCACATTTAGGGCTCAAAAATTGTAGTACTTAAGAGGATTTATTTAAATCTCTCAAATAACAGCTTGAAAACAAATCCTGTTAAATGCTCCATTTCGCTATTCTTGTCAAAAATTTTTGCTTGGCCCTTTCCCTTTTATTAAACTCTGTAGCTATCCATTATGTTGCAAAATAACGTGTATGGTTGTTAGCAATAACCTGTAGCCATCGGCATTTCTGAAAGCAGTTAGAAAGCAAAGCCTTGAGATTTGCCAACATGGTAAAGCTGGATTATGAAGATACGATTCATCAGAGAAAAGAAACTGAGAGAATTTTTTTGAAATGCTATGAACACACCCCTTCTTCTTCAGATCTTTTCCCCCATTAGCATCACCTGCAAGAATTATTTGCTCTATGAGTGGGTGCCAATACCAAGTTTTAAACTGAATATACACTGCAAAAGCTGATGGGCTTCACTTGTCCCAGAGGCAGGAAAAGTCAGCCAGGTCTTATTTGCAAGAAGACTCAAGGATTCAGAAAAGCTTTCGAACTGCTGAAACTGACATCTGACTGCCAGGGCTAAGATCCCTAAAATGTCCAGGAGGAAGGCCTCCCACATGCTCCAAGCACGGTAACTGGGTGGACACTGTACAAGATGGAGATGATGCTGATGGTCTGATGAGGGAAACAGGCCATCCTAAGAAGGTGAGGTCAAACACTTAACCCAGGGACGCAGTTGGCGGAGGGGCAATTACAGGAGACAATGACTTTGAGTACCTCTCAGTTTGGTGACACTCAGATTACCTTCAAAGGAAAATGCTTATAAAAAATATTAAGTCTTAGGGAAGAGTCAATCTACTAGAGATGAAAAAGGAAGAAAGCAAGAGAGAAAAGAGAGCATTTTCCCACTTCCATGTGGAGACCGCTGGAGCAAGACTGAAGAACAACTGGAACTAAGCCACTTGGAAGTAGCAACAGATAATACCACACATACCTGGGAGCAGCATGGCTTTTGCTGAAAGTGACAGAGCAGAAATGCAAGGTGAGATATGTGGAAAGCTGCTGAGCCAAAGGACTTGATGAGAGACCATAGGATACTTCTTTACTTGATAGGAAGGGTTTTGGGGAATTAGGAATCCATTGATTTCGCTAAGCCAAAGATTATTGCTTTTCACCAATATCATGATCCTGTTGTGGCTGCAGATAAGGATCCCAGAAGAAAGCAAGTGTAATGAAATACTAAATAATCTAAGCACCACAAGGCTTGGTCCCGGCTGCATACTTTCTTGTCAAGGGAGGTGCCCTCTGACATGATTTCTCCCAACCTTCTCTTTATCTGCCCCTGACAAGAATCCCCACAGCCTCCCTGCTGTTGATGTCCCTTCAGACAGCACTGGGGCAGCATCCTGGCCAGATGGTTCAAGCCTGGCTGGCTCCCACAGTGGCCTAGAGATCCAAAAGAAATTCATAGAACCCTGCTAGGCTAAACAGTGCTATGGCCACTGGCGATATTTCCATCCCCGCTCTTCCTTCCATTTCATGCCAATTCCTGTTTCCCTTACTCAAATCAGCAAGTCTGCTTCATATGCAGATATCTACCTGTACAGAAGAAGCCAGTCTATCCTTTTATTAGCCACCCTTACACATGTAAAAGGCTGTCTTAGCTCTCCTCTCACTTGATCTGGTGTGTGGGGGCAGGTAGGCGTCCCAAGAATGTGCTGTCCACTAAGCGAATAACTTCCCTAATTATTCCCCTTGACTTCCTTATGTAAATGGAGAGGATAATAGCAGGGATAGTTCTGCCACCTCTTAAGTAGGTCCTGCAAGGATTTTTGGAGGTTCTCTTCAGAAGAGAAGGATTACTGTCTTCATTTCGAAAGATTTATTTGCAAATCTGAGACAAAGAAACGGTTCAATTCAACATCCTGTTACATCCAGTAAACACCTTACTAGAGGGGATGTTAGATGGCGCAGCAAAAATGCTTGCTAATCAAAGAAGCAGTTTCAGAATCTTTCTTAAGACAATATCACTGCCATTCTACTGGTATAAAAATATAATAGCAATATTATTTTTATTCTCATTCTATAGGTAACAAAAATGAGGCTACAAAAGGTTAAGCAGCTTGCCCAAGATCACACAACTAATAAGGGATGACAACAAACTTCTAACCCAGCTCTCTCTTGAATATACTGTAATAACATTATATGGTGGTCAAAGGTGTTGAGATAGTTGTGATTTAATAGACTGTCACGAGTATCTCCTATTGTTTTCCCTTAAAGTGAATATTTTATCTAATTAAATCAATATCCATGTGTTGACCTGCCTGAATATTTTACACTGCTAAAAACTAAACTTTATAGTCGTAGCATCTCAAATAGATATTAAATGGACATTGACTTAAACATATGGCTAAACCCTCTATATCTACAAGATCGATTATTTGTAAGTGGACTCTTCATATTCTAATTCTCTAACAGACTTCGTAAAATTGAGAATCCATTCTCTGTTGTGTGAGGAGAGCAGAGTCTGTAAGTATGATAGTCTTATATCAATATCTACTACTTGAGACTGTCTCATATTGTACATTCTCTAATAAACAGCAGGCCAATTACAGACCAATTAGGTAATGTGGAAAAGTCATTAGTGAAACTAAATCTAGCATATCTGGACTTCCAAGCAAACACCATGCAAGGGAAACAAAAAATCAATCTGACTCAGCTTTACTCTAAAGATGTTACAATTCCAGCTATGAATTGCATCATGTCCAGTACAACACATCATTCTAAATACTGGTGAATTTTAACATTCTGTCTAGGAATATCCCTGAATAATGACACATAGATTTCATAAACCTTTATAGGGCAGCCAGCTTTTAATTTTGTCCTACGTATATTCCAATTAAAAGTCAAATGCCAACTGGATGCATCCAGAGAAAATCCTGTGTTCAACAACAAAAGCGTCAGCTGTGAGCTAAGGCAGTAAAGATTATATGGTGGTCAAAGGTGCTGAGTTAGTTGCTATTTCATGCCAAAATGAAGACAAAATCCCTGCGCTTAGGTGACTGGGAAGTTTGGGTACAGGTGGGGAAATACAAAGAAGAGTCAAGGACACTTTGGGAGTACTCAGGATGGAATAAATTTACTCTTCTCAAAGCAGAGGAATGAATACATAGTTTACTTAAACGAATGGGATTTGAGGCTTGTATAGATTGTCAGTAACCTGACTGAAAGAATTAATTAGCACATCTAAATTGGATCAATCATTTCAAAACAAAGAAAGAGAAGAGTCACAGAAGGAATGCACAGGTGGTGTTCATCAAACATTGTTGGAAGACAGGATACCCTGCCAGGCCAACATGCATATAATAATTTTGACAGGTTATACAGTAAGGACAACACAGCAACTGTAAGGTCCCACAATTAAACATCTGAATCATATATAAATTTCCTTGTTCTGATTTTATTCTTATCAAGAAATATTCTAATATTTAGCTTCTTATGGAACTTTTCTATAGGAAGAAACTTCACCTGTCCAGTACGTGTTCAGTATTTTTGTAAATTAATAAATTAAAATTTCAGGTTTTATGAATAAGTTTTATATCACTTATGGCTCTCTGGAAAAAAGTGATTAAAATTAACTTTGACTAATGTAATCAAAGGAGAAGCTATTAGAGGAACAAATAGTTGCAAGACTAGAGAGTCCAGTCCTAGAAACAGGCAGGAACCAAAGCAACTCCAGAGACCAGAAGCTGGAAATACTAAAGTTGTCTTAGAGCTGGAGCAACCTGGACAGGGAACAGCCTCTAGGCTGCTTGACTTCCATACATCTCACCTTTCATTGTGCCATATGCACAAAATCTAAATCCCAGAAGAGAATATCCGCTTGGCCAAGCTTATTCACATAAATGCTCCCGGACCTAACAGAGTAATGAAAGTATATGGAAGGAGGAGCCTCTTCATCTGTAGTAGAAGAGCAGGTACCAGAATTCACTGTGCCACCAAGACAACACAAAATAAGACACAGCTATTTCCTCCTCTCAAAAAAATCAGTGCTGGCGGGAAGGAAGAAGAGATGTTTGACAGCCAGAACCCAAATGGCCACCACACATTCCCATGAGTGTTTTAATGGGACTCAAGAGTCCAAAGTCTGGTTACATTTGGGGCAAAGACAAATTTAAATTCTTAAGGCTCCAAGGGTGAGGGGCAGAGTCTGACCCAAGGCAAATTCACAAAAACAAATGTCACTTTATGAGTTTTGGAATGAAGAGCTTTTATAGGTCATACAGTCTTACTCCATCTCGACCTCCCCATCGATTACTGGTATTCTATTACACATCATGTCTGAAAAAGATTGCTTGACCTGATAGTTTCCAAACTTGATTTCATATCAGAATCACCTAAGAACGTCAAACAATACAACTCCCAGATTTCCAGTGCTGCAAGGAATTCTGCGGTGGGCTTAGGGATCTATACATTTATACAACCTCCCCAAGTCACTGTGATACAGCCCATTCTACCTTACAACTATTCTGAATATTAGAAATTTCTTCCTTCTATTGACCCCAAAAGATACTAAACTGTAGATTAACACCCATTAGTACATATTTTAATTCTTGGGACTAAAATGAATAATGACTCTTCCTTCTTCTCCCAGCAGCGTTCAGAAATTTGAAAGCAACTATTCTGTCCCATTACATACTTCATTTTCAAGACACCTCCAGGCCAGTTATTCCAAGCTTTTCCAATCTTTCCCATTATGCCAAGATTTTAAGTCTTTTTACCTTCCAGGTTACCCTTCTCTAATGCTCTTCAATTTCACTCTATTACTCTTAGATATTTCAAGTGATCTGTGATCAGTTCAAATATTATAATTTCTCTTTTGCAAGCTAAGATCACATAGCTTGTGGGTGGCTATATCTCACATGGCCCATTAACAAAGGTCTCTCAATTATTTTTGTTAAACAAGCATTATTACCAAGCTAGTCCCCTGCCCAAGTCCCCTTTCTCTAATTCTGTATTGTTATAGCTTGTTCAATTTTAATTTGGACTCACACACATGACCTTACAGTCAACTCAAAAAACTTGTTTACTTAGGTTCTGCTTATCCTTCCTGTCTGTCAATCTTTATCTATACTACTAATTTTGTCCTCTAAATCAAAGTGACTGCAGAATTTCTACCCATGAGGGTCTTTGACAGTGGGCAGCAATCTACCTGGAGACAGGTTCTTAAAGAAGCATTTGCCAAACATATTAACAAGACTGAGAAAATTTCTGATGGAAGCTAATGAAATGTGGGGGATAGTTCTGCCAATTCATCTCTTGATGTTTCCATGCGTCAAATATTTGATATTCATCCCAGTCTCATCAGCAAATTTGAAAATCACACCTTTCATATTTTCAAGCAAACTATTGACAGAATGTTACACAGAACATGTTTGAAGATAGCAATATGTTTATTATCTGATATGCAACCAGATTAATACTGATTAATTAATCAGAAATGCTTGGATATTGTTGTTCAACTTGTTATTACACTACCAAATTTTACCTCCATACAGCCTTTGTATTTCTTCAATTCAAGCTTATCATGATACAGCTGGCAAAAGTAAAAATAAAAATAATATAGTTCTAAGATCTTCCTGTAAAATAGCTTTGGCAAAGAAAAAAATAGATTAATATGTCTTGTTTTCAGTAAATCCATCCAGTCATTCAATGGCTATCCTACAATTTTGCCTGGAATTGACATCAATTTCCAGAGTTTACCTTTGAGTTTAGTATATTGAAAACTCCATGACAGCAGGGAACCATAATTGTCTTGTGTCCTGAGAGTCCTGCAACAGTGCCTGGCACCCCGAGGGCACTCAATAAATGTTACAATGAATGAATCTTTGGTTCAATAAACGTACTTTTTCCATTTTTGAAAAATCAAACTGGCATTTATCTCAGTCTTTTGATTCCTCTATGATTTCTCAAGAAGTTCTCTGCCTAAGATGTGGCAAAACGGTATCCAGTTATGGGAAGGATCAGTCTTGAATAGACCCTGGGGCAATAATAGTGGAGTCCTATCCCTGCCAACCAGTGAGTTCATAGCTCCCACATCCTGTGATCTGTAACAAATTTTGTGTCCTGAATATCTAAAGGAGCTCTTACCTTTAGCCCCTTATTCTAACACTGACCATATATGTTGGAATATGTGCTAGTATACACCTGACTACCCTTGCATCTAATTTCTTTTAACCTGAGTGATAAATAATCTAGGCATATAATTTTTCACTGGAACTAAGCCCTGGCATGAATCCCTGCTGCTAGAGGTAGTGAACTCTTCTTTTTATTGCCAACCAGAGATTAAATTTTGCTTGTAATATTCCTGTTACTAACTTTATGCAGTAATATGACCTATCAGTTACATACTGTTGCCATGCCCTGCTCTACCAATTCACAGGGCCTCTTGGCACCACCAGAGTCTGAATGGAATTAGAATTTGCTATCTCCTTTGTATTGGGGGGCCTTCAATGTCCATCTGATTTCTCCACATGTGGGAGTAGATTTCTGGTAAGCTCTCATGTATTCTGTTTAGTTTCCGTAGCTCCTATTTTGCCAGTCTCTCTCTGGATTCCTAGCATGTCCCCTGTTCATGGGAAGAGTAGTCTCCAGAGTATAAGACATCTGTGCTAGGAGACCCAACATCATTTCAACTGTCTAGGTCTTCTCAGAATCTCTGTCATCCTGGGCTCTATTTTCCTTGTATAATTTCAGTTCTAGTCTATGTGGTTTGAAGATTAGTTTCCTTGACAGTTAACAGAAGCAAAAACAATTGAGGAATTCTGTTTTTTTTTTTCTTTTCTATTGATATACAACATCAGTTCTTAACATGTAAAATACACTTCCGTATTTTGTGTTTTAATCTGGTTGGCATGTCACGCAAACACTGGAATGGCCCAAACTAAAATACTGCCACCATATGCTGGTGACAATGTGCAGCAGCTAGAACTTAAACACTGCTGGCGGGAGTATAATAATGGTACAACCACTTTCGAAAACTGGCAGTTTCTTATAAACATGTGTCTATCCTGTTACCTAGAAATTCCTCTTCTAAATAGTTACCCAAAAGAAATAAAATCATATGCCAACAAGAAGGTTCATAGCAGCCTTATTCATAGTAGCCAAAACAGGGAAAAAACTGAATGTCTATCAACAGGAGAATAGATTAAAAACAAAAAACAACTGTGGAATAGTCATACAATAGGTTGCTATTTAGCAATAACAAAAAGAATGAATTATTGATATAAGCAACAACTGGATAAATCTTAAAAAACATTAATGTTGAGCAAAAATCCCCATATAGTTTATTATTCCATTTATATAAAGTCCAGAAAAAGGCAGAACAAATCTAGGTGTTAAAAATCAGAACAGTAATTGCCATGGGGTTGGAGATTGCCTACAAAGGAGCACAAGGGACTCTCTAAATCTTGAGTGAGTTGTGTTATATGTGTGTTCACATTGTCCACATTCATTGAATTGTACACTGGCAATTTATGGAATGAATGGTGACTGTGATTTACAAAAGAATAAACTGAGTTGAATAAAGGTTCCAGGAGAATCCATGGTCAGTGTTTAACACCGGTCAAAATACTTAGATATTTTGCATATATGTATACATGCATACAAACCCCAGTGACCGAGATGGGGCAGGGGAGAGAGGGAGACAGAGAATAGGAAAAGGGAAAGTAGAAAGTGGAGTGCTATGGTTTGAATATGTCCCCTCCAGAATTCATGTAGAAACCTAATCCCCATTGTAATGGTATTAAAATGTGTTACTTTTGCGAGATGATTAAGTCATGAGGGCTTTCCCCTCATCATGAATGGATTAGTGCCTTATAAAAGGGCTAGGGGCAACCAGCCTAGGCCTCTTTTTGTTTTTTTCTCCCCATCCCCTCCCAAGGATGCAACAACAAGGCGCCATCTTGGAAGCAGACAGCAGCCCTCACGAGACACCAAACTTGCTGGTGCCTTGATCTTAGCCTTCTGCCTCCAGAACTGTAAAAAAAAAAAAAAAAATGAATTTCTCTTCTTTACAAATTACCCAGTATGTGGTATTTTGTTATAGCAGCGTGAACAAGCTAAAACATGAAACTGGAAAGTAGGGATAATTCTTTGGGGGAAGTTCTGCTATAAAGAGATTCCAAAAAATGGAGCATGAAGGAAAGGCAGAGGCAAAATTGGCTCAAGTTTTTATAAAGCCATGAGATATTTAAGCATTTTTGTACCATGAGGATTATTCAGAAAAGAAGGAACGTATGAAGATGCAGGAAAAAGAGGGCACACATGTGGAAGTGATGTCTTTGTGAAGGTGAGAAGGGGAGAATCCAGTGTACAAAAAAGGGCTCTTCTGAGAGGCCCTTGAACAACCAGCCTGTTTCTTTAAAACACCCCAAATTCAAAGAGATGGTGTGCTTAAAATGTTTATTGCGGTATATATTCAGTTAAGAAACTAATTATTATTGGCAGCTGCTCTTCCTTTCTCTTTCCCTTGATTACACAAATTACATCCCATGGGTGATTGCACAACAACTTACACTCCAAGCACGCACAGAAAGCAAACTTTGTACTAGGGAAGGATGATGAATGTGCATTAAGGGATTGTCACAAAAGATTTTAGAAACTGATAACTTTAATAGTTATTCTCAAAAGAAAAGTACAGCAAAAAGTGGAAATGTAAAAAACTTCTTGGTCCAATCGAGGTTCAGGGCTGAGTAAAAGTTACAGTAGACTAACTGTTAATCATCCTTTCCTCATTTTGAACTGATTGAAAGCTCCAACTCTTACATAAGTGCTACAAATATCCTAAACTGCCTGTGATTTTCCTAAGCCTCACTGGTTTAGAATTAATATCACTAAAGCTCCATTCTCACCACATACAGGACTATCTCACAAAAAAAGCCTGTGTTCACCATCGACAAATACCCACAGCTTGAGATTAATAGTCAGGATTTAGGAGGGCAGGAACCTTCCATAAAAACCACATGTGAAGGCCAAAGTGGATTTTTAATATTGGGGACAACAAGCATTAACTAATTTTTCCTACTGGAGTGCACTGTCCTTTAGTCTCTATTTTTGCTCCTAATTGTTCCTGCAGGTAGTAGGTTAACATGTAACGTACTTACAGAAGGAAGCAATTGAACATGGCATAGATACTGAAAGAAAGGGCTCAATAAAAGAGCAGCATGTGCTCTAATCTGGCCTTTTACAACATCCACTATCAAAGAGCTTTGGGGGTTTAAGGGGATTAGATACCATAACCCATCTGTCAGGTCATTATGGAAGGAAACACTCCTGCTGTTTTCAAGGGAAGATGCCCTACTGTATATTATTATCATTAAGCATTTACAGAGTACTGTAGGCTTGCAAAGCACTTTGAAAGCATTTTTATTTGTTGTTCCTCATAAAATGCTGTCAACTCTAAGAATTATCTACAAATGAAGAAACTGAGGTTCAGGAAGATGGTGACAAATGTTTCAGTCACCCAGGGAGTGGCAGGAGCTATGAGGAGTACTTGGATCCTTCAGAAGAGGGAATACCTTCTATCTCCTACCTAAAAACATGCCAAAGGTGTGTGCTTGTGTGTGTGTGTGTGTGTGTGTGTGTGTGTGTGTGTGTGTAAGGCCTAAACCAATTCTCTTGGGTTTTCCTGCAATCTTATACATTATTCCATAACGAGCACTTATGAGTTATTTTCTGTAGACACAGGATGTATCTTAACAGCAGTCGTACGTCATGATTGACACCGTTCCATATGGGAGGAGAAGCAGGATGCATTCAAGCATGTGGATGTGTAAAGATGGACTGACATATCGCAGCTATCATTTACAAAACTGGAGATCCCAAATCTAAAGCATAATGAGGCAAAAATGAAATACTACATGCCCATTCATCCGTGTTGCTTGTAATTTGCTAGAAATAATTTAACATTCCAGTAAATTCTAAGCAAGTGACTTAGTATACAGGGCAAAAGATAAAGATGTCTACTGGAAAACAGCAAAGCTATCTAATATGGGCTCCCAGGAGGGGAGCTCTAACACTCACAATAACATGGCTGCAGTTACCTGATATCGTTTCTTTTTCTGAGATTCTCCCTTCTATTTAGAACAGAATTATGGGAGTTATTTTTGTGAGTCTTACAATTGAGGGGATTATCATTTTCTTTTAAAAGGGAATTAATCTCCATTAAAATAAGGAACAAATAGCACTGATACATTTAGACATTAAAGGGAGACATTGCCTCAATTGTTTAAATATACTGATCAAACTGGATGACTTAATTAAATGGCTATGTTTTGTATCTTTTAAAGTTGTTGTGTCTTGAAGAAAATGGAGAAAAACCATTTTTCATACTATTTTTTAATCATGAGTTGGTAAAAATGATTACTGATATTCACTTATTTATTCTATACTGAGCATCATCTATATGCTAGACACAATCTCTTTCCCAAGGAGTTCACAGCCTGATAAAAGAGATAAGATATATTCACATATAACTATATTACAATATATGGGGTGATGGTTCCATAGCGAATTATAGGTAAATTACCCTGGAGCTTGAGGGAAGGTCCAGTGCTTGAGAGGATTATCATCTCATTCACGGAAGCTGGGGTCAGGTAAGAAAGGAGGGGGAACATGGGAAGGCTTTACAGGACAGATTTCAACCAAGGTGCTTCTCCAAGGTTGTGTAGGGATTGGGCAAACAGGAAAGGAGAAAATGAGACATTCCTGGTAAAGGCACAGGGGCAAAGAAGCAGCTGGTAGGGGAGCTCAAACAGTATCTGGTAGTAGTTCACAGTTACTACATGCTTAAGCTAAGTCATACATAACTAGATGTAAAATGAAGGAGGAGAGAAGGCGAAAGCAGACCAATTCGTGCCATGGTTCCCAAATCTGGCTAATCCAAGAGATCCTGAATCCTGGAGATTCTGGTTTTGGCTTCATAGATTCAAAGCCCTTCTACCCTAGCCTGTGAATCTATGTAGCTGTAATTATCCAGCTACTTGCAATCCTCTGTCATTCAACTTATCACTTCATTTCATACCCAGTGCCCTACCTCTGGTCCTTCTTATCTCTCACCTGGATGATTGCAGTAGCTTCCTGCCTTGCTTTCTTATTACTGCTAGAATCATGTTTCTATAATAAAATGTATTTCTTCACTGCCCTACTTCAAAGCCATTAATGGCTCCATGTTGCATAACAAAGTACATGGTATACTAGGTTAGTCAAAATCTGGGCAAAACCTACCATTCCCCCGGCACAAATGCACACATACACGCATACTCTCTAAACATTCCCTAAAACCCATTCAGCCTCCGTCGGGATGCTTTGTGCTCCTCTTGTCTCCCAGCAGAAATATTAATAACATTTAGCATTTCATTCCTGGGAATCCATCCTAAGGAAATAATCTAAAATGTTAAAATATCTCTCTTTAGCCTCATCTCTTGTGATTTCCCACCTCACTCTAGCTCCAGTTGTAAGAAAGTACTGGGCGTTCTCATTGCCTCTGGGCCCCTTTGCAAAGGGTGTTCCCTCTGCCTGATGGCTTCCTGCTGGTAGATTTTTTCCTTCTTGCTTTTTTTTTCTGTATTTCAGCCTTAAAAGTATCAGTTAAAACATCCGTACTCTGTTGAATCTTCTCCATTCTGCTAAGCATTTAGCTATTCCCTTCACCAGTTTTCCACAGCACCTTGAACACATCTCCACTATCACGCTAATCACATTGAATTATAATGGCTTAGAAGTCCATCCCTCTCTAAACCACAAGAGCCAGGAGAACAAGAAGCATTTCTTGTCTATCCCCGTGCTTTATCGCTAGCATTGAGCCCTCCAACATTTGTGAACAGTTCAAATGAAAATTATGAAAGCTTCAACCAGGAGTGTTTGGAAGTCTATAGCAGAGGTAGAATTTATAGGGATTGTTAAACGTGTATGGAATAACGAAGAGAGGTGTCAAAGGCAAGGTCAAGCCCAGGTGGTGGTGAGGATGATCTTGACAAAAGAAATCAGACAACGCAGGATGAGAAAGTGGTTTAAAAAAGAACATTGACAAATTCAGCCTGGGACTTGAAAAAAACAAGGCAAAAAAGACCTCCGAGTTCTAGGTATGGAAGAACCATGGCCTGTTCATTCACTCTCTCTCTATCTCCTTTATCATCTCCCTCTGGCTTTCCTAGAGTTGGAGGAGTGGGGAAGGAGTGTCTAGAGAAAGAGATGAAATATTTTCACACAGACAGCGCTCCTTATAGTTCTCTATTGACTATTCCTGGCCTCTTACACGCCATCTGTAGGTCCAAATGTTAACTTTTTTGCAGGGTCTATTTGTGGGTATTTCACAGCCTTCTCAGCTTCCATGAGATGTATGGATCAGCTCATTCATCCCTCCTATAGGCTAGGAAGTCTGGATATTTCCAGCTTTACCTATGATTCTTCTTCCTTTAGCTCTTATGCTATTGAGATGCAGTGTGGGTAGCTGTTAGTCACTGTATGACTACATAAGAATCAATAGAAGTGTAACCAGTTTATTGAAAGGGCTGAACATAATGAGTACAAACAGGAAGCAGCTGTATTTCCCTCTTACCACTGCCTTTCAATATGTCAGATTCCCCTTGCCTATATACCTTAATGATATTTCAGGCAGCTCCCATAGCTTTCCAGTCATTTTAAACAACAACAACAACAACAAAAAGCAGTCTCATTTCAGTAATTATGAGTCATTTCTAGGTAGTAAAAGGCTCTGGTAAATTTTGACATTCTAATCGCATATCTCATTCAAAGCTTCTCCCCTCTCCCTAAGACAAGCTCAGTCCCCACCTGATTCCAAGCTCCTGCAGTGGAGAGGCTGGGCATGGTCTGTTCTTTTACTCTCTCTGTGTCTCCTTCACCATCTCCCTCTGGCTTTCCTAGTCAGACCAGAAGGGAAGAAGATTCTAGAGAAAGAGACAAAATATTTTCACTTAGACAGTGCTCCTTATATTTCTCTATTGACTATTCTTGGCCTCTTACACGGCATCTGTAAATCCAAATGTTAATTTTTTGCAGGGTCTATTTGTGGGTACTTCACAGCCCCTAACTCCCTGATGTGGGCACTCTCTGGCTAACCTCCTGTGATCCGCATATTCTCTCTCTCTCACTTGCACGTGCACTTGCGCGCGCGCGCGCGCGCGCGCGCACACACACACACACACACACACACACACACACACACACACGAGTCCTATCAAGGCGGCTGGAGCCTGGTTACTTCCAACACTTGCTCCATGGAAACTATGTATCTGTGTGACGCTACATGATGGGAGGATGGGCTTGTCTAACTGCTGCCCCTTCTCCCAGCACAGGTGGCTCCATAAGCCCCATAAAATCTTGATGAGTTTCCCAACACTCAATAATGAACGGCCTTTTCTTTGTCTAGGAAAGATCAGCCTTGTTAAAATAGAATGAAAAGAGAGGAAAATGAAACAGTCAGTGCTCAGTTCTGAGTTTTAAAGTACATTTATGAAACTGATAGCAGAGACAAAAGTGTGAAAGCAAAAGCTTTTACTTGCAAGAACTAGGTTATTTTGCAAGAAAGAATTGTTTTGTTGTTTTTTTAATTTAAAAAGTGTGGTTTGGAGAATTAAGCAAGGAATAAAAAGGCAGAGCACTGAAGGAGCTCGGGGCATAAGGTTTATGCCATAAACACTAATGAGAAAGCCCAAAAGAGAGCCAGGCTACTGCACTCCAGCAGAGATAAAGATTAAGAGGACTGGAAGAGGGAAAAGACAGTAATGGAGGAGAATGTGATGAGGGTGGGAAGTCAGCGAGGCCCTTGCTGGGGACCCACGCCTGGAAGAAAAACATGGTATACCCAGAAACTGCCCAGCCTTTGCCAGAGCAAAAGCTATATGTCAGCATCAAGCACCAGAGTGGCTCAGGGAACTATCTCATTGTCCAAAGTCCATTCTGAGAGCAGCCAATGAACCACTGCATATGACTTGTGCTGAGAAATTACATCAGCTTTACTTTTCATCACCATCCAGGGAGAACTTACTATCCACTGCAGTCTACTTACCACTTGGTATAAGCTCCAACTGAATCACCATTTGTGAACAATCCACCCTTTCTCCCTGACCCTTTAGTGGCTCAGAACACGTGAAAGTTCCCAACAGTGCCCTGGAATCTTAGCATGGTAGTATTACTGTGGGAAGAGAGGTCCCCAGCTCCTAGCTCCTATACATGTGTTGCACTATATAGATTGCTCTCGCCCAATACCTTTAGCAGCCCCCATGCCAAAACACTACCATTATATACTGGTTTTCTTAGGATAAGGTCCAAACATACCATAAAACAACCCAAGACTTACCTAGAAGACAAGCATGACAACAATAATAGAAATAAAACCTGGCAATTTGAAAAATGCAGAATAAGGCAAAGCAAGTTTCTATTCTACTTACGAGTAGATACAAGTTAATCATACCAGTCACCTAACCCTTTCCTCAACTTGAACATGTGGGAAAATGGGCTTTCCAGCGTAGCTGGGCTTTAAACCAATTTCTTCCTTAGCATCATATATTAAAAGCAGTATAACAATAATACTTTGCTGTCTTCCAGAAACTTAATTATGTAAAATAGGTCCCTTGCCTTATCCAAAGAAAACCAAGGAGAATATGTGGAAGAGATATGGCTATGAGGAATACCAAAGTCAAATAAACATGAGTATTTAGAGATGCTATATATTGAATTTGGTAACATTGAATTTTCAAAATTAAATACCTAAAATTTACCAGAAAACATCCATAGTGCATTTTCCATTTTCCTAGATATTCACAGGCAAGCATTTCAGTCAGCCTTAGAGAAATTTTCCAGAAAGTCCTAAAATGTGTTTGTATTGACCATTTCAGAACCTGTCAATGCTGACCTCAACAATTCCAAGTCACAACTCCTCCCTCCTATTGCTTTCCATATCAAGAGGCAGCATGGGTAGAAAACCTTAATGTTCAGTTAATTTATTACAGTCCTTGGAGGAGTGACTACAAACAGTTCACATACTCTATTCATGCCTATAGCTGCAAAGTACCTTTGTCGGCTACAAGGTATTACTCAATAAAACACTGTTTTCTCTGATTTTCAACATTTTAATAAATATTTACTAAAAATCTACTTTGGTGTGCTAGGAGTTGAAGATACAAAGATAAATGAGAAATAATCCTTGCCTTTAGGGAGTTCAAAATCTCTTTTATTTAGTGTGTTTATATGGTGGCTTATTCTTTTTTTTCTATTCAATTTATCTAGATAAATGGGGCGTGTATGTTGAACTTTGTATTCATACTCTATGTTGCTGTGTCGCTGTGTTTGAGGGCAAATCCCATTCTCTCTTCCTCTCTTTGTAGCTCTCCATATGAATGCCAGAAGTCTATTTCTTTTTCTGATTATCTCCCTCCCTTTACTTCAAACTTACTCCCTTCATTCTCTCTTCTTTAAAGAGTTAAGTGGGAATATATTTTATTTGTTAGAGTTGTTAGATTTTTGTGTTCCCCGATCTTAAATTTTAATTTTTGCACTTCAAATTTTTCCATATTATTTACTTATGTAGCCCTTATGTAGTTTTTTTCCATGTACATGTCAGTAGAACTTGACAGAAAAACAAGTTCTCAATCTCCTGAACTAACTACTCGCAGGTAAGATATATAAGATACATATACATAAACTCACACATAATGGAAGGATAATTATATTCATCACTCACTTTTACTCATTGATATCAAAAGTCTCATTATGATTTTCATTAGGATTTGACTTGATTTCTTTTATGCTCATAGTATGTGGGCCGGGAAAATACAATTTAAGAGCAATAATAAACAGAGAAATAGGAGGGCCAGGCATGGTGGCTCATGCCTGTAATCCCAACACTTCGGGAGGCCGAGGAGGGCAGATCACGAGGTCAGGAGATTGAGACCATCCTGCCTAACACGGTGAAACCCCGTCTCCACTAAAAATACAAAAAATTAGCCGGGCATGGTGGTACACACCTGTAATCCTAGCTACTCCGGAGGCTCAGGTAGGAGAATCGCTTGAACCCTGGAGGCAGAGGTTGCAGTGAGCCGAAATCGTGCCACTGCACTCCAACCTGGGCAACAGAGTGAGACTCCGTCTCAAAAACAAAAAAAGAAAGAAAGAAAGAAGAGAAAGAGGAAATACCTCTAAAAGAAATCAGGAAATGGACAGATTATAAGCAAGAAGAAAAATTCTGTGATACCTAGAATACCACATGTCAACAAACTTGGCTCAGTCAACATTTTACTTTATTTCATAATCCCATATAATTAACTCCCCAGTGTAAAATAAAAATCAAGTTTTACAAATATATTAATCACACCCTTTTCTAAAGCACTACTATTCTAAAATCAGTTGGATTATTTACTTTATTCATTCTTATTTTGGGGCTTTTTATTATTAAGCCTTAGCCTTTGTCAAACTTAGCTCAAAGTACTGAGTGATAAATATTATCAACTGATTTTTCCTGAAATCTTTGCCTCCTTCCAATCTACTTCATGAAATTTATGAATCCACAGCTGTAGATTGCTACAGCTCCCTGTCTCTAACCTGCACAACATGTCTGAGTTCTCTCTGTGGGACCTATGATCCTTTGTTCTGACGGCTGCCTTCTCTCTATGCTATGTGGTCGGAGAAAGTTTTGAAGATCTTTTGGTCGCGTTTCTGCATTTGGAGCTTAAATTGAAAGTCAACTGCACCACTTGCACTGCTACCCAGAGCATCTGTGTAGCTCAAACATCCCCTGCCCTCTGCGAATCCCCATAACAGTCCTTACTGACTTCAGGCTCAACTCTCACAGTGGGCCATGAGTAATTTAGTTCGGTTGAAACTTAGGCAATATATACTCTGTGCTAGACAATCTGATAGGTGTCTGGAGACACAAAATGGAAAGACAGGAACCTTCTTTTGATTAAGTAGTGCACAATTTCATAAGAGGGCAAAACGTGAATAATCACAAGAAAGTTTTAATGCAACATTAGAAATCAGGATTATATAGCCTTGACATAAAAGACTGAGGTACTTTTTAATGGGGACAGTAGTGGCAGGTGGGGACTTTTGACAGATTTCAGGTCAGAGGAATAGTATTTCACAAAAGGAAAAGCAAGGAAATAAACAGTAGAGCTTCTTCTGAGAGTCTGCATGGGGTATACGGAGTACATGCTATGGATAAGTAAAGAGCGGCTCAAAGAGTTTATGTAAAAGGCTGAAGACAGCAGCACTAGTATTCGAAGCAGAATTAGTACATAGGTCTATCTGACTCCAGAATTCATGTTCTCTACATTACTGCCTCAGAATAGACGTCATTTACTGTCTGTGTTATACAGACAGTATGTGATGCTTGCTTAATTCCTTGTTTGGTACCTGTGCTTCCCATATGTTCAATCTAATTTAAACTGGCTTCCTTCCCACTCATTGAAACTGCCCTTATGAAGGTGACACACAGCCTCATGTTGACTAATCCACCTCTCTTATCTTACCCAACTTCTACATAGCTTTCAACTCCTTGCAACAATTTCTCCCTTCATCCCTGTGAATCCACAAACCCCTGACCTCTGACCTCTGACCTCAGTGGCTGTTCTTTTTCAGTCTCCCTACTACCTTCTCATCCCTTCACCACCTCCAGCACAGAAATACCTAGTCATGGCTGTGCATCTTTCTTCTCTCTACTTCCCCCCCGCCCCCCCCAAATTAGCTCATTTCAACATCATGGTCTTAAATGTCTCTAACCTTGAATATCCAAATGGCAGAGGAGTGGCTAAAAATGTAAACTCTGGATCCAGGCTTCCTGGATTCTAATCCCCAATCCACTGATTATAAACACTTAAGTTAGGTGCTTAACCCCTCTGTGCCTCAGATCTCTTACCTAAAAATGGAAAAGACAATGGTAGCTATCTTTATACACAGCTACCTTCCCTACAGCTTCACTTAGATATCAAATTTAATGTGTCCTAAACTGAATTCTGTATTCTCATCCCTTCATAAGCCTGTTCCTCCCCACGTAAATAAATATCATCATAAACTCAGATACTCAAGTCAAAACATTTAAGCACATCCTCTAGTCTTTCCCTTTATTGACTCCCAACAGCAGCAAGTCTCAACTGCTGATACGTATGTATCCTCCAAAATATGTTTCAAACCTCTCCAGTTTTCTTCATCTCCTCTTTCCCACTCTAACCCTAATACCATCATCTCTTACTTAGACAACTTTAGTGGCCAACAAACTGACCTTATATTCACACTTGCCACCCTACAATCTATTTTCCATATAGAAGTAAGAATTATCTTCTTCAAGGGAATAGCAGATCACATCTCTCCTCTGCTAAAAACCTTCCAGTGGCTTCCCACTGAACTTAACATCCAGACTCTACACCATGACCTAAAACGCCCCATGTAAATAGCTCCTTCCTTTCCATCCTCTCTGTACCACCCTCCCTGACTCCTCACACAGCAGTCACAATGGCCAATTTCTGTTCCTTAAACATGCCATCTTGTGTCACTCCAGGACTCTTGAGCTTCCATGGAATGTTCTTCCACTGGCAAAGATATATTTGATTGCTAGTACTTACAGAAGCGCCTGGCACATAGTATGTGCTCAGTATGTATCTGTTTAACAAATTGATGGATTTACAGTTCTTTAAAGTTAAGATTTCATTCATTTAATTTCTATTTTAAATTACTAGGGGTGCTCTCTGTGTAAAGGAACCCTGAAGTGAAATATTTTTAAATGTGTAGAATCATTCTTAAGTTACAATTTTAAAAATAGGATTTTTGCCATTTTTATATAGGCAATTGTAATTGGCTCCTTATATAGGATAGATAGATAGATAGATGATAGATAGATAGATAGATAAACAGATAAGACAGAGACAGAAAGGTATCTATTTCTACATATATACAAATGATCTAAGAACATGCTTTTTTATGAAAAAAAAAGGTGGCTCACTGAATACATAAAACTTGTTATAGTCTGAGATAACAATGTTAAATATAAAATTGGACCAAGGATCTAGAAATAATTACTACTTTTTCAAGCCTTGGTACAAAAAGATAAGAGTAGTACCACACCACAAGGGTTCACAAGGCAAATGCCTTCTTTTGGCATTGACATTCCTAACACATGCCTGTCAACATTCTGAACAGCAAGCTATAGAAATCATACAAATGTTTATACAGAATTTTTTAAATCCACAAGCTCTTGCCTATAAAGACTTCTAAAAATAAATATTTTAACAACAAATCATTTATGTGCATTTTTTCTGAATTTTTCTTAATTTACAATCACATAAAAATAACTTTACTGAAAGCACAGAACTGTTGCATTTATTTGTAGCCATTACCTTTTTTTTTCTTTTTCTTCCCCTATCCTGGTAAATGCTTCCCACTCCCAAGGCTGAAAAGTACCTGAAGATCTGTAAATCATGACTTTAATAAGTATAATAAATCATTTGTTACAGTTATTTTTAAGACTTGACCTTATCGAGTTTTAACTGATATGTTTTGCAGGTACTCCTGCTGTTATATGGAAGCAATATAAGTTTAATATTTAGTTACTGCAACCTAAGGACACTTTGTTTTACTGAAGTATGAAAACTGTGAGTGGAAACGGTGTCCCTAAAATAATTAAGGCAAGACTTTAAGCCACAAAATACAGCAAAGTTTCTAATTAAGGTTAATCTTTGAAAGTTCAAAATTTAGTGATGAAATCTTCAGGCTTCCATTTTATGGTCAAATGTCAGTTGTTTATATTCAAACAACTGCCATTACATTTAACAGTACTAAAATCTTAAAGAAAATTTCCAGACATACCAGTTCTCTTAAAGTTGGATATATACTGTCTTAAAACAAAATTTAAAATCCACCATTTACACATTTAAAACTATTGCAATTTTTCCTAACCTTATTAGCACAGATGGAGAAACTGTATCCTGTTGAAAGCCATTTGTGACAGGAAAAGCAATGTCAATTTTTAGACACTCATAAATGTGCACCATAAGTGAAATCATAATGAAGTAACATATTGTGCATATGAAATACCTAAAGACAAAAAGATGATCTCTATAGAATGCATCATCAACTGCCATAACCCTAACTAATCACTGCACTTCATCCATCAAGTTCAGAAGCAGATGAAGTAATAGATTCCTAAGTAACACATGTACATGACCCTACTGCTTGCAATGTAAAATGGCCACTTCAATATATTTTGTTACGTGTGCTTATGTTGCTCTCTCTTGGTGGAAAAGCTGTACTGTTCAAATTGATTACCACTGATTTTTTAAAACTTTTTTAAAGGCTTTCATGTTAAGAGAACCAGTTTGTTTTGATACAGTATTTTCAATGCCATTTGCACAAATTAAAATGCTAATTGCTAACCTTAGAACAGCTAGAACTACTTTAAATAATTCCGAGTTTCTAAATTGATGTGAATTAAAAGCTGGTTGGAGCACACACTAAAATGTTTTCATTTATGGACTCCCAGGAGATTTCATCTTGTAATAAACAAAGTACCAAACAAAATGAAGAGCAAGAGGGTACTAACTCTGTAAGAATTCAGCTGTGAAAACCTGATTCACTGAAAGAAGGTGAAAATATTGGTAGAGTCTCCTAAGTGCTCCATGCATTTATATATTTGCAGAAACAAACTATGATTCATTTTTTTAAAAGTTACTGGATAAACATAAGTGTTAGTAGAAGTCCAAACATGTAACAGAAAAAAAAAATTTTGTGATAACCAATTTTAAGATGAGAACCAGTGGCATGCTGTAGCCGGCTGGTGCCGGTTTGTGAGAGCTGACTGTGCACATATCTTCCCAACTCCATGTTTAGTGGCATAATTTTGACAGTTGAAATCTGTCATGGTGGGAGTTTTTACATTACAGAAATTTTCAGTCATTGTAAGTAAGGGTTTTGTCTTTCTTTTTGTACTTGTTTCTTTTTTTTAATTTTATTTTTTGGAGGACTGGTTGTTATTTACCAGCATACCACTAGAAATGCCAAAGAACATGCCAAAAAGAAAATCTTTCTCCCTTTGGCTAATGACATTTAAAAATGTTTCTTAATTGCAAAGGATATAAATGCCAAATAAAGGGCTTCTCAGAGGAAGTCCCTCCTTTTAGTACACTGATAAATCAAACAATATATAGCATTTTATGGTCAGAATAGAAACTATTCACAATGACTATTTCCTCTCTTGCAAATCAAGAGTCTTTTCAGAGAGTGGCACGGCAGTTGAATTTCTAACCAGTTCTCTACAGTAGTCAAAAACAGCTGAGTAACCTTTGGAAAATTGTTCACTTATCAAAACACTACACTCAACCAAAGTGAAAAAATGTTTTGTATGCTGCTGTATTTTAAATATGAGACTGGTAACATAGATGTTCAATAGCATGAATGAAGATGTCAAAAATGGAAGCAAAAAGTCTGGCAAAGACTTGAAAATGATGCTTCATAAGCCAAGCCCCTCGTGTGCTCACTGGGTTACCCTCACCTTTAGAAGAAGGCAAGACTTGGGAACGTTTTAGGGTCTTCCTTTCACTTGGGAGATTTACCCATAAGTTCAGAGAAACAACTTCAGAAAACAACTGTTAGGGCATTTAAAATCTTAGAGAAGCACCTCCTATCTAGAAAACATGAGAGTTTAACTTCTGAAGCATCACGGTCTTCTGCAGCTCACATATGTGAACAGCATGGAAATAAACTCGTAATGCACGGTCTGGTAGCTTGCGCTTGCATTAGGTACAGCGCACTGTGTGGGGAGGATTATCAAGGGAAGGTTTGATTGACTATTACTCCAGTTCTGTCTATGCCCCCAGGACCCACTTGAAGACATTATACTTCAAGGTGACTATTCTGTTGAAGAGAACATAATATTAATTAATTAATGATTACATATAAATAATGGAAAAAGACTAATTGAGCGATAGTTCAGCTAAATAGCCCCAACAATGTCACCAGCAGTGACGGTACTGCTGAGCAACTGATAAACAGTACCAGCCATGGAGGGCAGAAACAGAGCCTTTTAAATTCATCTTTTCATGTATTTCCTTATAATGAAAGCAAATAACAAAAGCATGTTTTAGGCAAAAAGGTGTTAAAGAAAATATAATCATTGAACAGCAAGTGTTATTTGTTTACACAAACACTAAAACCTCAGAATAAAAAGATAGCTCATGATGTAGGATTGTTTCCAATTATTGGCAGAAGGACAGAAAGATCATCATATCAGTAACAAAGAACAATCATGCTGCAAAGAACAATCAATGGAAATGCAATTTTCAATGTTACAAATCATTAAGCTGAAGATATATGAGTATCAGTTTCAAATATAACATGTAATCAGAATCTGCTGTAAAACCAGATAAAAAATAACTTTGAAAAACTGTACTAAATCAACGAGTTATTTATTTACTAAAATAAAAATCTGACTTCTGGGTACAGTCATTCTGAAGGCTCTATCGTAGGGAATGAAAATGAGACTTCATCTCTTAACTTTAGAAATACAAAAATCTTCATAACAATCTTATGGGGACTATAATTATCATCCCCATTTCACAGATAAGCAAAATGAGAAACAAGGTATTAAGCAACTTATACAAGGTCAGCCCATTAGTAAGTGGTGCAGCTGGGATGTAAACTCTGGCAGTTTAGCTCCTGAGTCCAGCCTCTTAGCGACTACATTACACACCTCTCATCTGGATAAAACATAAAACTGTAGAAAATCCAGGAGTCCTTTCTAAAGAGAGAGGTTTTAGCTGGGTTTTGGAGGTACGTTGTCTTTTTTTTTCTTTTTGCCTCTTTCTACTATATGCCCTTATTTATAACCTAAAATATTAGATATGAAATTCTGCCTTCTGTTAAGCAAATGACCCATTATGCCTGATGTCCATAAGGGCCATTCCATCTGGAAACCAGAGCTAGTCCCTTAATTGTTCCATGCTAATAGTTAATAGAACATTTGATAGAATTCCTTACATATACCTTTGTTATTTAGCCTTATGACATTTCATTAGAATTATTTAGATGACTTTTTCCTGTACTAGAATTTGAACTCATGGAAAGTGAGGATGTTATTAATAATTTGTTTCTCTGTTATCTAGCATAGCAATTGACACACAGCTGACACTCAACATACATTTGTTAAATAGAAATTACATGCCACAAAGAAAGAAAGCCTGAAAGAAACAACCTTAGCCTGCATATTAAACGCACAGATAATTGCCTGTTTTACACTAAATGAACTTTTTAACAACAATGAAAAAAATTTTTGGACAACTTTCCTGACCTCTATCCTTTATTCCTCATGTAAAATAGGTCAAAAAGTCTGAACGATCCTTTCTCAGACATGTCTCCTGAATCTGGATCATCACCATGCCACCCGGGGTAGGCTCTGGTCCTAACCGGCCTGGACTCTGAGCAACGGTGTCCTGACTGCTCTCCTGACAACTGTCACTCCCAGGCCCGGCCACTCGCCGTCTCAGCGCCCCCTCGCGGCCCTTCTCTACCCACCTCGGGACTTCCCAGGCCTCCTGGCTGCGCCGCAGACCCTCCCCGTCCCAGATCCCGCCAGGGCCCACTCGGGCTCCAGCCGCTGCCTGGGACAGCCAAAGGCCGGCCCGGGCGGTTCTTCCCCAGGTGGTCCGGGGCGTCCCGGGCCGCACTGGCCTGGCCCATGGGCCCCGAAGAAGGCGCTCACCCAAGGACCACTGTCCGAGCGGCTTCCCCCGGCCCGGCCTGGTGCCGCGTCCCCACCAGCCCGGGGTGGCAGGTTCTACTCGGGAAGCCTGTTTTATGTCTTCTTTCACGCCCATATCACACCGACAAGGGTGAAGCTGTGGAACTTATACCTCGGCTGGGCCCCGCCGCCAACTCCTAGGGCACGGGAACTGCGCACAGGCCGGGGTTCCGCGAGGGGCGGAGCTTCCCGCTCTGCCCTCGGGCAGGTGAGCCGGAGCCTGGCACGTGGGCCTGGGTGTCCTGACAGCCCTGGCCCCCGCCGCCTCTGTACCAGGGAGAGCGCCTGGAAGGCGCCGCTGCCTCTCTCTCCCTACGTGCCCACCTGCCTCTAGGAACTGGTGAGTTACTTCAGTTCTATGTGAGTCTCCAGTGCCACAATTTAGTGTGTACACCAAACGGTGTTATTGAATAGATGAAGATGATTACCACCTGGTAATGAGTTTCCTTAGTCCCGTTCTTATAGAACCTGAAACTCAACGCTAACCACCCCCCCCCCCCGACTTAGAATCACAAACTAGATAGAATCTTTCTGACAATCGGGTGAGTTGGGTTTAATATGCAATGAGGAAATTATACTTTACTCCAAAAACTAGTGCTTGTTATTTTCCTCACAACAAAACTCTCAGATAGACAAAGTTGGCAACCCTATTCCACTCAGCTAGTCGATAAAAGAACCAGGATGGAACTATGATGGGAACCCACATCTTCAGCTTCCTATTGCAGTGTATGTTCTATTACATATGAAAAAGAGACAATAAAGTAGAGGATAAGTAGGACGCTAAAGAAGTAAGGAAAGGAGAGAATCCAGTGTTTGTAAGGAGCTTTGTTTTATTTTCCCAAAGCTTGGAGATTACTTGGCAAAGTGTGATGGTGCTACACAGCCCGTAAGAAATTTGTAATCACCCATCTAACAAGTACCTAGGCTGGATCTGCAAACTGCGTGGAAATTTCTAGCACGTGTGGGAAGAAGCATGATCAACATTTCTTAGACCATTTCAGGTCCGGAAGTGGCCCTCTTGCAGTTTAGCAGGACATATATTCTCAAGAGATTCTGAGTAGCCACAGAACTTACAGAAGTTGTCATTATTTACCTACTGCTCAGAAAAACAGGACACTGTCTGTGGGCCAATTTGCTAAGAAAAAAATTTAAATAATATGTAAATAAATGTAAATAATGTAGAAGCACAATCTGCCTTTGCTTTTTCTTATAAATATAAGAAAATATTTTCATTAAAATAACCAAAAAATAGACAAGATTTACCCAGCACCTTTAGAATGAAAGTAACGTGGCAGTGCTTCACTGGGAAAAAGTGAAGCTGAATGAGATGAAATTTAGAAACTGAGAAATGGTCAGGAAAAAACAAGAATTCAAAAAGCAAATAGAAGTATTATTTGACTGAAAAACCTGAGGCTAAAATATGAAATCAAGCTAATTTCTGAGGTATCTACTTATTCTTTGTTTCAAGACAAGTCTGACTCCAGTTTGGGGAGAGTCAAACAGAATGGAATTAGCTAAATTTGCTTATTTTTAAAACTCCCCTCAATTTCTCCCCCAAATTTGAGTTTCCCTTTGTACTTCTCCCATTATGATGTAGAAGATTTACTAAACAAATATCAATTTGGACTAAAATGATATTAGGTTTTGATGATCTACCTATTTTTAGCCTAAGGACTAAGTGGTTTTCTGAATTCACATTTTCATCGTTTTAATGAAAATGAGGCAATATGCTGAAATGGTATTTTCTTAGATTGTATTAAGGTTTATATACCTAGATTTTTCACATACACTGTGTCATATACTTTTCCTCTAAATCCAATATATTATGAACACACAGGTAACGTTTTTACTGCTAACAGCATGCTGTAGGTTTAAAAAAATTATTGTTTCTTGACCTTTTACAAGTTATTCTAACACTAACAGCAGCATAGCTATAACAGGACAGAACTTGACTAAATATATTAATATAGAGTTTTATTATCCTTGATAATTTTTCTCACTGCAGTGTCTAGTTAATACTTAAAGGGTTTTTGTATGTTTGCACCCATTCTTAGAGAGGACAAGAGTTTGAATTTGCATATTCTCACCGTATGTTTCTATTACAATATCAAAGATTGAAGGCTGCCTTAATAAAACATTTCAAAAACAATGAGAGTCCATTGCTGTGCAATAGTCAAAACACTACTCAGTCTAAAAAATCTTAGTATTTTTGATAACCGTATAAAATAGCACAATTTAGGTCACTAAGTGCCATCAGCATATACTCCCTAAATATACCAAATAGTGGTATATTTATTGCATTTTTAAAGAAGGAGGTTAATTTAGCAGTATTTCACATGGAACCATACAGAATGGAGTATGATAAAATTTCTTAAGGCCTAACATGTTGCTTAAAGAAAACTTAGACACAGAAAAAATATCTGACTTGATAAATGCTGTCTCTCACAAATATGACAAACTCTGAATAAATTCCAGCTTTGAAGGAAGGAAGCCAGCCACAAACAGGCCTTTTTGTTTTGTGTAAGAAGATACTTGCAGATGGCCAGCAAGTGTTTCTAGATATATCCTGTTATTATGCAAAGTTCTCATCTGCTGATGGATGACTTTAGACTATTAAAGATGAACTTTTATCATATATGACCCAATAAATAATTAATATCTATTCATAAAGGCTTGGATCACATTCTGACCACACTCTCAAGCATTTTGCATTACTTCACATGTCGTGATTATGTTGCAAATATCTAATATAATGCATGTTTATCATTAGGGTTATTTACCTCTGGCCATCCTTCCTGGCCTCAAGCCATCCCTCTTGAAACCCTGGTTCAAATATTCCCCTGGAAATGACCAAATTCTCAAGTGACAAGTGCAAGTAAATTTCTTGCACCAGATTTGTCAGTGTTCATATTTATACCACCAGTCTATATTTGATAAATATATGATTAAATGCTTTGATTACTTTATTAGTGAATGAATTTGTGTATTTTGGTGTTTTCCAAAGTGTGCTCAATAGAAGTCTAGTCCCGGGAGATGCGCTGCAATAAAAGATACCATGGTGAAATTAGTTTGGGAACTGATGCATGTTGCTGTCCCTTTCTGGAAAATGTCAGTGCATCTGAGGATACTAAAGACTCTTGGAAGTACTGAAAGTAGAGAAACACCTTCCAATTTGTATACCGTTTCCCAATTTGCCTGACCATGGCGATGGGTATCGTTGTCACTATGCTGTGTACATACCTGATGAATAACCATTAAAAGATAACTCTCTTCCAGTTAAAGATTATGTTATGCTCTACAAAAGAACCAAATGCTTATTTTGTTTTTAAGGTACTATATAGTTTTCTAACACTTGAAATTATTCCAAGATTATTTTTATAATTTAAAAAAGATTTTCATTCAATTAAAAATGAAATTATATATATAATTAAAATTATTTGATAAAATAGGGAGATAGCAAACTACCCACATTGGCCTCATCTTTAGGAGTCATTGAAAGAAATCAATTCAACTTTCAAAGCCTTTATAGAATATTTTAACTTTATAAAAATAATGAATTTTTAAGAATATATTTTTAAGAGTCAACCATTATACCATTTGGTTGTCAGTTCCAAAAAGCAAGGCATACATGCATTAACATCCCGATTTCCTAAATTTTTATCCAAAGTGCATCTTTTTTTAAAGAAAACTATTCTAGATACTTTATGCATAATTATCCTAAAGAACAATGGCATAAATGGCAATATATGCTTATTTTTGAGGCTTAGTATTCTAAGTTTTAACAATGAGATTATAAATTACTGAAAAAAATGAACTTCATAGCGGAGATGCTGACATAATTGTAATCAGATAGTAATAGTTTTGCTATAATCCATGATGCTAGATACAAAAATGTCATTTCTAAATTTTAGAAGTCGGCCTACTAGCTAACTATGAGAGTTGACACCAATTATGTTGACTTGACCTGACTTTAATAGCAGGTAAAGTTATCCCCATAGTGCTATTGCTGTCTGTACACAGTAAAAATTACTGTAAAAATATATCTCTTCACTCTGAAACCTTAATTGGGAGCCAATGTCTTCTATAACAAAAACCGTGTGTGTGTGTGTGTGTGTGTGTGTGTGTGTGTGTGTGTAAAACAGAAATAAGCATTTGATGACATATTGTAGCTTTCTTAGGTTAAACTTTTTTATTATAGTAATGTATCAGAGTAATTGAAATAACTTCACCATACAGATATCACATGCTGGAGCATGACAATGCAACGCTAATTGCACACTGTATTGACATTTCAAGCATATTTTCTGTAACAACATTTGCATTCATATACAGGTAGTAAAGCACACGGGGATAATGTGAGTCATGATTCATGTTAGCAAATGTATTGCTTTCAAGCTAATCCTCATACCCAGAATCTGCAGCAAAACCATTAATATTCAGATGTTGTAGCATGTACAGTAGTTATTGTATGAACTGAATAGCTCAGGACCAAGAATTGCTGTTAGCCTTTGAAAGAGAAATATCAGTGTTATTTCATTACTTTTGTAAGGTAAGCCTTATTACTAATTTAGGAACTATTGGTCCATTGATTGTACCTGTAGATAATACAGCGCAGTTAATGTAGAATGTGTAACTTGAGTAATTTTCCCTAATATACGATACATCCCTTTATGACGAGGTCCAAAAAGCACCAAAAAATGGCAGCAATCTCAAAGTGTGCAGTAAATTTTAATATACCAATTTTGGTTGCAAGACTTATTTGTAGCCATATATCTTGCTTTATATGTATCCAGACAATAAACGCTTTTTTAGGCATAGAGGCTTCAACCTGGTTCTTAAAAATAATCTCAGCAGACAAACTGAACTTGATGCAACAACATATTTTATGTTTTATTATTGCTGAGGCAAAATCACACCACCATAAAATGCAAGGAAAACCAATGTTTAAAAGGCAGAATTTCTCTTTTCTTGAGGCTTTGTTAATACAAAGGTCAAAATTTCACCTTTGAACTAAAAAAGAAATAAAGAATAGGCAGTGTAAGTAACAAAATTGTCATCATGAATATATTTCTAAATTTTTATTTATTTATAAGTCAACATTAGCCCAAAATATTTAGATAACTAATACGGCCCTTGAAAACTTAAATTTCTTAAAGAGAAAAGCAAATTTTCAAAAAATCATCAGGTCACAAGAACACAATTAATTGTACAGTTATACATTTTATTTAACCCCTATGACCATGTAAACTAAGACTCAAAGTTTAAATTAGCATTACAGAACAGAAAAGGAAAGTTTTCTGTCACTCTTGAGGTATTTACTATTTTTTAAAGAATACACATTTAAGAATGAATCAATGTTTTTTAGAAAATCAAATAATGGCATTTCTGCAGCTATCAATTTTTTGATACTTTTGAAAAAGTCAAGTAATGTATATGCTTAAATCTAAAGAAATTTTTTAACTATTAGTACTTTGACATGCTAAAGAAGAACGTATTTGGATTATTAAAACATCTGAAATTTCAAGTTAGATACAAAATTCCATACTCATATATTTTACAAATTAAAAAGACAGTTAAAATGAAATCTTTTTATTGATGTCTAGAAGCTACTATTATCTAGTTGGGTATAACTATTAGATGAAAAGAAGTTTAGGTTTCTTCATTTGGGTTTGGTTTGGTTTTAGTTTTAGGGAGAAAGAAATAGTTGAAACTGTTTGTATATTTAGAAATAATTTTGACCTATGATAAAATTTGTATAGATCTTTGCATCTTACCGACAACCAAGGACATTCAACTATGTTCTAGGCAGAGTTACCATTGCCATTTCCATATTTGATCCTGTTACAACTTCATTTTTACATATTTAAGGTAAATGCAATGCTACTAAAATAAAAATTTGTTGCTAGTAAAATTAATCAAAATATGAATAACAATAGTTTCTTCAATAGATTATATAGAGCAAATGGTAACTAATCTATAATGATGGATTAGTCAAGTGAAAACTAGTTTGCAGTCTCAGACTACGTTTGTAAGTGATGATTTAAAATAAAAAAGGTTGTTTCTTAGACATTTCTAGAAATTATTCAAATATTGCATAGTTCTAGAAAGCATTCCAATCTTAGATTTACTGAATGAGCAGGGATATGTTTTTCTATAGCAGAATGAAAATATGCTTTCATTGTAAGTAAACCCAGTTCCCCTATTAAAAACCTCTGGTAAGATTAAGTAGCTTTTGGAGTTTTCAAATAAAGCTATTTTCTCTCCTAGAAAAGGGAGTCACACCTGTACAATCACTTATGCTTATATGTTTTAACCTATGAATAAAAATTTATAATAAAAACTTGGGAATATTTTATACCTCTAAATCATTTCCATGGCCTCCCAACACTTCCATGGTTTATTGTTGTGTCTTCTCTTAGTTGCTCATTAGGGAATAGCACTACAGCAGACACAGTCCATAGCATACCAGGTAGTATATATAAATAATGAACACAAGGCTTTTATTCACAACTTCATCATATCAAACTACATCAGTCTAAATAGGCAAATGAAGGCAATAAAATTGTAACGCTCAAAATAAGGCCAGACATAAGTAGCTAGAGAAATGAAATTTATTTGTTGAAATCAATTTGTGGGGTACTTTCATACATTTAAATTTACTCAGTTTTTAAATTGTGTGTGTGTGTGTGTGTGTGTTTTCTGTGAGGAGTGTTTCTCCTAGTGATGGGCATTCTTATTTTTTGTTTTAAATACAAATTTTGCTCTGGTACAAAAGTTGCAAAGCACACACTCCAGCAAATTAAGTAATTATTTGTGATTTAAGATAATGCAAATGAGTGGCCGAGAAACTGGGCTGTTATCATATATCAGACACTTATATATATATTTTTGTGGCCAAATCATGAATTTAAAAGAAAAATGAACTCCATGAAAAGACTTATTACTTGTTGATCATCTTTATGGTGATTCTGTAATATCCCAATTTTTGCATTATTTTTTCTAAAAAAAAATCCATAGCATATTTAAGAATTCACAAAATGGAGTCATAAACAGTGTAGTCACTGTAATTTCCTTCATTCTGATACCCTTATTCTCTTCTTCCACAAATAGCAAATTCTTCTTTGGGATGCATGCAGAGAGGAAAAGTATCTACCAAATGTGGATGTTAGGTAGCCATAAAAAATCAAGTAGCTAGCAATAATTTGGGAAATAAACAAATCATTTCAGCCTAAAAAAGGCTCAGAAGATGGCTTGAAAAGCAAAATACATCTAACTTATAACTTTAGGTTGCCAATTCTTCAGGCTGTGAATTAAACCAGGCCAATTTGCCCCTCTCAGTTCTCCTGCTTTGGGGCCACTTCTTGAAATAACTTTCAGAATAGTAAAAGGAGGTAAAACATTCATGAATTTCGAAAATAATTAGCAGCTAAAAGAAAATAAAACTGTTGGGAGAAGAAGTTTAAATAAATTCTAAGAAGTGATGGCTGCACTGATGATTTCAATGTCAAAGTAGTACGGCTTATATTTTTATGGAAAACTGAAAGCTCACTCTTGGTTTTAAAAACTGTATTCAAGAAAAGGAAGTAAACTGCTATGAAACTTATGCATAACAACTTTGGACAAGAACACTTCGTTCTCTGTTTTGATTTTTTAAAAACCCTCAAGGGTACACTGATGACTTGTAATATGTGATAATTGAAATCTTCTATTCACAATCCTTTAACTGTTTCTGTGGTGCAATGAGAAACTACTGTATTAGAATTTGCAATATAAGTTGATTTCAACCTTGAGAGATTTATAAAAATAAGTTTGTCTCATTATCCTGTAACACTAAAATGAGTGAAATGTGTCAACTCTTCTACTTCTGCGAAACAGGAGAAATTGTATTTAACCACATGTTAAACCCATCAAAGATATACTTTCCAAATAAAAATGAGTGGTATAAGACATAAAAGCCATATAGAAAGATTTTGTTACCATCATTTTCTGTTCCTTTATGTGATTATGAAAAGTAAAAATGAAAGCTAGTTTACATTTTATTTTTAACCCATTGGATTGTCTTCCATTTTATTTATTTATTTTTATCTTCTTTTTATTTATTTATTTATTTTATTTTATTATTATTTTTTTTTTTTGAGACAGAGTTTCACTCTTGTCACCCAGGCTAGAATGCAATGGCACAATCTCGGCTCACTGCAACCTCCGCCTCCCAGGTTCAAGTGATTCTCCTGTCTCAGCCGCCCAAGTAGCTGGGATTACAAGCACTTACCATCACGCCCAGCTAATTTTTGTATTTTTAGTAGAGATGGGGTTTCACCATGTTGGCCAGGCTAGTCTCAAACTCCTGACCAGCGGTGATCCACTCACCTCGGCCTCCCAAAGTGCTGGAATTACAGGCGTGAGCCACCGCGCCCAGCCTGTCTTTCATGTTAGATCATAATATGATCTCACCAGATCCTTACTGAAAATGTACCTTATTACAAGTAGCTAAATTTCCACATAGAGGAATAAAAAGATTGGAGAATCAGGTTATGACTTTTCTAGCACTTTACAGTGTGCTATAGTAATGATAAACCCGTTTTAAACTTCTTAATCTTATCATCAAGCAACACCAGGCTTCTAAATCTTTTTGTTTCATTTAAAATGGCTACTATATATGAGAATTTTTAAGGTATTATACTAAACCCTTTTTCAGGTCAAAAGGCATGTTATCTAGAAAATAATTTAACACTGTAATTGGATCTTCAAGATCAATTTGTTTTATATACTCTGCAGCAAAAATAACATTTCTAGTAGGAAGGAATTAATTATAAACCTAGCAGATTCTAGACATTCACATATTTGTGTAAACAATTTTAACATGGTTTATTACGTTTCCAGAAAGGTTAAGTCTTATATTCCATTTTCTGCTAATTCTTCTTTCATATATCATTTAATATAATAAATATATGTTATTAGGGTGCATATGTGCATATATTTTCACACATATATATGTCTTATATACATAAAACAGCACTTAATGGTCATGTTCTTTGCATGTTCAACTTCAGAGGAAAAAAATGAATTGCTGTTATGTATAACCAATGGCGATCTTCCCTTCTGTTTCACAGATGGCCATATCTGGATGTAAACAAAACATTGGAGCGAGTCATTCCAGGTGAATTGTACTTCAAGTTGTAGGTTGGTGTTCTCAAGAAGAATTGGGTGCTCCCTGGTAGTAAATACCTAAAAATGATGGTTAACAAATTAGATTTTTACAAGCAAATTATAACTAACTCACTAAAGGGTTATGTGGTTAGCAATTTACGTAGTCTATATGAGAAATGTTACTGTAACAAAAATGCAATTCATATAAAAAGATTTCCTCCTCCAGACTGTAGGAAAGGAGAGAAGAGCTAAATATAGATGCAATATATGATGTTAGCATCCCAAGACATCCCATAAAGAGCCACTGTACTCAAATACTGTGAAACTGTTTATGTGGCTAATGTTAATTTAGAATTCATTATCAGTCCTTGTAAGTAATATGTGGAGCCAGTCAAATATTTCTTTAAAACACGTGATTTGAGAATTTGACTAGCCACATTAACAGTAATTGTTTGTTTCAAGGGAGGCGGAACCACTGATTATAATTTAATAATAGATCATTAACGTATTATTACTATAGGTAACCTAATAGAAAAAGTTAAAGATTAACATTCCTAATTAGAATATAAATTTTATATTCTTTGACCATAGAGTGCTCATGATTACAGAATATCAAAAACAATCAGCCAGGCGCAGTGGCTCACGCCTGTAATCCCAGCACTTTGGGAGGCTGAGGCAGGCGGGTCATCTGAGGTTGGGAGTTCAAGACCAGCCTGACCAATGTGGAGAAACCCCATCTCTACTAAAAATACAAAATTAGCCAGGCATGGTGGCAGATGCCTGTAATCCCAGCCACTTGGGAGGCTGAGGCCAGGGAATCACTTGAACTCAGGGGCAGAGGTTGCGGTGAGCTGAGATCGCGCCATTGCACTCCAGCCTGGGGGACAAGAGTGAGACTTCATCTCAAAAAAAAAAAAAATCATGATTACGGGTTGCATGTAACCCTTGCAGCCAAATGTATTTCAAAATATGTGATTTTTTTTTCAGATTTTAGAAAGACAATATGGTGATTTATATATATTATATAGTATACATATTTATATACATTTATATATACTATATTATATAGTAATATTTATATTACTCACTGCAACCTCTGCCTCCAGGTTCAAGCGATTCTCTTGCCTCAGCCTCTCAAGTGGCTGGGATTACAGGCATGTGCTACCACGCCCAGCTAATTTTTTTCTTTGTATTTTTAATAGAGACGGGTTTCACCGTGTTAGCCAGGATGGTCTCAAATGAGTTATGTTTTGTTTTCAACTTTTCAAAGCTTTGGAAATTAGACATTGCAAGTGAAAGATTGTGCACCTGTAGAATCTGTTTTCCTGTGAAAAATCTTGACTAGCATTAGGCCAGTCCAATCTATATGTCTAGAGAGAAATGGTCAAGGAAATCCACATAAACAAATGCAAACAACACTATTCAAAGTGTAAGTCCTAGTAATGATGAGGAGGAAATGCTATAAAATCAGGATAAAGATACTTATGAGGAATTTCCAAGAGCAGAAGCAGCAATATACAGAGATTCGTAATTAGTCTTGGGAAATAAACAGTGGGACGGTATCAAATCGTTTATTTTCTTCACTTGACATTAGAATTCTCCAGGGATAGGCCGGGCGCGGTGGCTCACGCCTGTAATCCCAGCACTTTGGGAGGCCGAGACGGGCGGATCACGAGGTCAGGAGATCGAGACCATCCTGGCTAACATGGTGAAACCCTGTCTCTACTAAAAATACAAAAAAAATTAGCCGGTTGTGGTGGCGAGTGCCTGTAGTCCCAGCTACTCCAGAGGCTGAGGCAGGAGAATGGCATGAACCCGGGAGGCAGAGCTTGCAGTGAGCCGAGATCGTGCCACTGCACTTGAGCCTGGGCGACAGAGCAAGACTCCATCTCAAAAAAAAAAAAAAAAAAAAAGGAAAATAGAATTCTCCAGGGATAGTACCATATTCCCACAGATACATGAAAAACGGAGGGCCAAGGGCACAATTAGCTGTCTATTCTATGTTAAATAATATTGATAACTATGATAATTCTATGTCAATGGAAAATTATAGTTGTGTTATATGAATTATGTAGAAAGAAATGCATTATAATCAAACTATACGCAGCATTCAGATTAAAATAGCAGAACTTTCTATAATATCCATAAACATTTTGTCATGAATTATCTAATAATATCTTCTAAACCTATTACCTAATATCACAAACTATAAATAATTACTCAAATCATTAAGTTAATAGAACAGTAAAATAACATAAAACAAACCAAATTAAATCAATATTGTATAACAGGTGATGAATAATGAAACAAGTGATTTCTCACATCACAGATTATATAAATTATTTTCTTAAGATCACTCGGTTACTTTATATGGATTAATTATTATGTCAACAATTGGTGGGGTCATGATGATTGATCCAGTATTCTCTGCCATGAAAAGGCTATCCTTCCTATCTAGGGCAAAGTTGCAAAAGAAAACGAGGTGTTTTATCAAAATCCACTATTCCATAGTAGTTGAGAGTTATTCTACCTTCTACTGAAAATACATTCTGATTGTACTGATAATTACACAGTAAACAGTAACGTCTACCAACTTTCTTTCAAAGAATTTCCAAGTAATAGTTACTATTGACATTTCAGTAACATTTACATATTCTTTTGAGATAAAGATCACTAGTTGGCACATGAAAAAATAAAAGCACAAAGTCCAGGATCACAAATAACTTACACTATTTTACTGAACAAATATTTAAATAGTGTTTTCTATGTGCCCAGCACTATTCGAATTGCTTTACAGATATCAACTCATTTAGTTCTCATAACAATTCTATATGGCAGATATTACTGTTAGCTCCATTTTACAGATAAATAAACTTCATGAAGCATACAGGGGTCAAATGCCTTGCTCAGGGTCTCCTACCTAGTAAGTGGCAGAGCCAGGATTCAAATCCATACAGGCTAGCTCCAGCAGCAGAGCTCCTAGCAACCATACTATATTGTCATGACAATTCTACATAATTATCATTGTATACTAATTTCAGTTTTAAAACTAATGGGTACAATTATTATACTCATTTTTTCAGAAATATGAAGTATAAAATAATCTAGAAAGTAGAAAGATATTATATATGCCGCAAACCTAAACTTTTTCATAGAAGCAGAAAAAGATGAAACTTTTTATTAAGACTTGAAAAGAAGTTCGGCATGAACTAAAAAAAGCATATAAAATTACATTGGAAGAAACACTTTTCTTCCCTAATGCAAGTGCTGTGGGATTTTAAAGTGTTGCAGGGAAATACAATGGATTATTTGCCTTAATATTCCATTAATATGTCTTGGGAAATCCAACACTAGCTAAACATCTAAGATTGTTTTTGAAATGTTCCTTGCAATGAAGTTAAACAATTTGATTTTTTTAAAGCAGGAAGACTATCTCATGGAAGTGGGTTTACGGATTAAAGAATTTGTGTAAAGCACTAAAAAATGGGAAAAGTTTACAGCTTACCTATTTTTCTAGCTTATTCTTTACATATGAAAATGGCTAACTCATTGCTAACTCGTGCCAAGGAGAAATACCTCAGACTACCCTATTTGTTTCATAGCCTCACTCCTCATCCTCCTCATCCCTAAGGCAGTTGTGCACATCTTTACATAACCATTATATTAAGTACAAACATAGAGCCTGCATTTATGTAATTCCTGATTGATGTAGAATTAGTTTGTCTTTTATATACCAATTTATTGCTGACCAGGAGGATCTCTGGAACATGACGCATTTCAAGACTGATAGAAATTAACCTTGAAAACATAAGCTACACCCACCTTCCTTTTCCTCTTCCTGGAGTTAAGACCAGGACCCCTGATTTCCCCAGAATAATTTTAGGACCTGGTTTGGAAAACTCAGGATAAATAAAGCTCATCAGAATATCTGTCCTGTCTTTTTAAAATATTTATATTATAGTGAAATACATAACATGAGTGTACTATTAAATAGTGTTTTTCTTACCATTTTTAATTGTACAATTCAGTGCATTAAGTACATTCACAATGTGTGTAACCATCACCATTAATTTCAGAACTTTTCATCATCTCAAACAGAAAACTCTTTACCCTTGAAGTACTAACGCCCCATTTTCCCTTCCTTCCTACCCCAGTAATATCTATTCTATTTTCTGTCTCTATGAGTTTGCATATTATACATGCCTCATATAAATGGAATCACAAGATTTGTCCATTTGTGTTTGGCTGTGTAACTTAGCATGTTTTCAAAGGTCATCCATATTGTAGCCTGTATCAGAATTTCAGTCCATACTGTGGCTGAATAATATTCTATTATATGTGTATACCATATTGTATCTCTTCAACTGTTGATGGGCATGGGTTGTTTCCATCTCTTGGCTATTGTCTTATAAATAATGCTTCTGTGAACATTGGTATACAAGTATCTGTTTGAGTCTTTGTTTTTCATTCTTTTGAGTAAACACCTCGGGGTAGAATTGCTGGTTCATATGGTAATTCTATATTTAATTTTTTAGAAACTCTCAAACTGCTTTCTACAACTGCCACACAGTTTTAGATTTTTACCAGCAATGCATGAGAAATCCAACTTCTCCACATCCACATCCTTGCCAACACTTACTACTTTGTACTTTTTTGATAGTAGCAATTCTAGTGGATGTGCACTAAATCCTGTGGTTTTAACTTCAATTTTTTGGGGGGAAAAGCCCCAGTTTCAAATTCTACCTTTGCCAAATCTAAATCCAATATGGATTTGGATAAGCCTCACTTTTCTCAGCTGTAAAAAATTCCAATAGTTTCTGCCATGCATAGCTCACAGAGTATGGAGCCAATGAAATAGCGTACATGAATGAAATATTATTTATAATTTATATATTATGAACACTGGCCTCAATAACAAGAATCTCTCTGTTCTTAGATAGATATATCCAAGTGTCTTAACCTAAGGACATAAATAATACCATATATTTAAGTAGTCTTTTTTTAAACCTTTAAATTATAAAGTATAAGGTATTTTAAAAAGTACATAAAACATAAATGTTCCATTGAATGAGTATTATAAAGTTGTGTCATTATCACCCATGTTAAGTAACTGAACATTCCTAGCATCCCAGAGCCCTGGATTACAGTACCCTCCCTCCTCATAAAGTTAACCACTATTCTGACCTTTATGGTAATTACTTCCTTGTTTACTACCCAATTATACATTCCTTAAACACCATAATTTAGTTTTGCCTGTTTTTGATTTTTCAATAAATGGACACAATATATATTCCTTTGTATCTGGCTTATTTTGCTTAACTTTATGTTTGAAACTAACCCATCTTGCTATATGTGTAGGTGCAGTTTGTTCATTTTCAATGTTGTATAATATTCCATTGTATGAATACTAGAAAAAATGTGCCCATTCTTTCATGGACATTTGGGTTGTTTCCAATTTTTAGCTATTATGAGTAAATGCTACTGTAATCATTCTAATAAGGGTCTTATGCACATGTGCACACATCTCTGCTGAGAATTTACAGGGAGAGTAGCTGTAAAAGGGTAGGCTTTAGATGTAACACCAAACTGTAAAAGGTACCAACTTTCACTTTACAAGCAGGGTAAGAGAGTTCCTATTACTCTATGTTCTCATCAACACTTGTGATGGATATGCAGTGATTCTGACATTTTGCATTTCCCTGATTATTAGCTTAAACACTTTTTCAAATGTTTATTGGTCCTCGTTTTTCAATTATCTTCCCCATTTTTCTATTGTGTGGTCTGCTTTTTTCTTTGAAATTGGTAGGAGTTATTATATAATCTTGTAAGAATTTTTTACAGATTATATGGGTTGCAAACACTTCCTTCCATCCTGTGGCTTGCTTTTCCACCTCTTAATGGGGTCTTCTGATGAACATATGTTTTTAATTTTAATATAATCTTTTCACTTGTTATTAAAATTTTTTGGTTCTATTAATCTTTGCATACCTCAAGGTCATGAAAATATTCCCCTGTATTATCTTCTGAAATCTTTATGCAGTTTTACCTTTCACATCTACATACTAATTTCATCTGGAAATGGTTTTCATTTATGGTGTAGGTAAAGTTAAGTTTCTTTTTTATTATTTGGAAATACAATTGTCCTAGAACCATTGTTTAAACAAACTTCCTTTTCCTATTTGTCATAAATCAGGTGTACACCACTTTTGTCATAAATCAAGTCTCCAGGTAGGCCTGGGTTGGTTTATGGTTTTTCTGAATGGTTCCAATGGTCTATTTGTCTATCCTTTTTGCCAATATTATACTATCTTAAATTACTTTAGCTTTATTGTAAGTCTTGAGACACTGTAGTTACTAAATCCTATGATGTTATATTGCTCTATTTCAAGATTGTCTTACTTATTCTTGGTCCTTTGCTTTTGTGTATAGTGATAGAACAAACTTTGGTCAAATTCTTCTCCCCGCCAAAAATAAAAAATAAACATTTGTTGAGATTTATAGTAGAATTACATTGAATTTACAGATGTAGGAAATTATTTGAGAAGAACTGACATATCAATAATATTGAGTGCAATGATGAATAAGACATACTTTTCCATTTTTTACATTTTCCTGCATAAAGGTCATATACATTTCTTGCGACATTTATTCCTAAGTATTAGATATTCTTTCATGCTTTTGAAAAAATATTTAAAATTTTATATCTCAGATATTTGTTGTTGATAAAGAAAAGTGTAATTGATTTTCCTATATTGACTTTGATTTATATGATTTCATCAAAATTGTTAAATTCACTTTATAATTTATCATAGATTTATTTACATTTGTATGAATACAATCATATCCACTTACTGAGTTTAGTTCTTTCTTTCAAACCTAATGCCTTTTATTTCTTTTGTCTCATTAAACTAGCTAAGACCGCTAATACAATGCTGGATAGAAGTGGTGATCACAGACAGTCTTGTTACTCATTTGAAAGGGAAAGCCTTCAGTGTCTCAACACTAGGTATGTTTGTTGTAAGTTTTTCTTAGTTATCCTCATCAAACTGGAAAATTTATCTTTTCTGTCTAGCTACTAAGCACTTTTTAAAGCATGAATGCATATTGAATTCTATCAAGATTTTTATCTCTATCTTTTGAAATTACCTTTTATGCTATTACTGTAGCAAATTACACTCATCACTTTTTAAAGTTATTCCATCCTTACATTGAGGCAATAGGCAGAAGTTGGTCATGATATATTATCCTATTTAAACTTTCTGGGTTCATCTTCCTAATATTTGGTTTAGGAGTTTTGCATCTATGTTTAGGAGTGCAATTGAACTGTTATTTTCCTTTGCCATAATGTCTTGGTCAGGTTTTGGTATCAAAAGTATGGTAGTCTAGAACAAGTTGAAGAGTGTTCGCTCCTTTGCTGTTCTCTGGGTGGGTCTGATAGAATTGGCCAGTGATGCCATCTACAGCTGGAGTTATCTTTGTGGAAGGGCTCTTAATAATTGATTTAATTTTTTCAGTAGTTATGACTATTTAGGACTTTCTATTTCTTCTTTTGTTTGGTAGTATGTGTTTTTCTAGGAATTTGTTAACACCAATGAAATTACTACATTTACCAGCATGAAATTGTTCGTAACATTTCCTTATCAAGTTGTAAATATTTGTAGAATCTGTAGTAACGTCTCCCTTTTCCTTCTTGATATTAGCTATTTCTCCATTTTATATTCTTTATCAGTCTCACCCGGTATTTACCAATTTTATTAGTATTTTCTAAAATCTGCTTTTGGCTGTGTTTATCTTCTTTCTTCTATGTTTGTTTCATTATGTCATTAATTTCTTCTATTTTTATTATTTTTTTCTGTATTCTTTGGGCTTATTTAAATGTTATTTTGTTACCTCTAAAAATGGTTGCTTAGATTTAATGTTTGCCTTTCCTTTTTCCTAATATATTCATTTAAATCTATAAATATCCCTATATTACTGATTTAGCCATATTCTACAAGTTTCATTTCTAATATTTTTGTTATCACTTAGTTCAAAATCTTTTCTTATGTCCATTATAATCTCTTATTTGATTCGTGGATTATTTAAAAGTATACTTTTTGACTATATTTTTCTATTGTTTTCCAGCTTAAAGGCATTTGGTCAGAAAAAGTTCTCTGTATAATTTCAATCTTCTGAAATTCTGTGAAATTTGGGTTTGTTTTTTTTTTTATTCCACTATATGGTTGATTTTCTAAAATTTCCCATCGTGCCTGGTGTACTGAATTCTAAAGTTAATACATTTACTTCTATATATGACAGTTAAGTCTGTTAATTTTGTTGTTAAAAAATTTATATCTTTACTGAGTTTTTTCTGAGAAATGATTATTAAATCTTCCTCTATGGTTGTAAATTTATTTCCTTTTTGTTTCTGTCAACTTTTGCTTTGCAAACCATCCCGAGCACTGTTACTCCTAGGAATCTAGAGTGTTGACAACAGCCAGCATCTTTGGCAGGCCCTGAACTCCTATTTTATCCCCTAGGCCCACACAACTGTCAAAAGCACTGCTCAGCACTAACAAATACTCACTAACAGGTACTGGGTTAGCAAGTACTTTCGAGTAAATGTGATATTTTGTACAGCTTTTCTAGTTATCATCAGAGGCAGGATTTATCCAAATATTTAATGTTCTATTACCAAAAGCAGAAGTGCTAACTTGGTGGTTTTTAAAATGTTTTTTAGCTATGGAACCCCTTGTGAAATGAGCTTATATGAAAGCTCAGTACATGAAAGGTAGAAACCCAAAAATGTCTTTTCCTTTGGTATGCATATTATTATTTTTTTCTGAGAGTGCAAAGTTGAAGGCCACTCTCTTCCATGTGATAGATGCCATATACTCTTTAAATCCTCTTAAGAAATATCCTGTAGATCTTTGGTAAAGATAAACCTGGTCCCCAAACCTGTCTGCTGTTAGCTCTATTTTCTATCTGTTTTAATTTTATAAATAAATTAACCAAATATGAATCACCTCATAAATTATTTAGGTATACTTCATAAGTTATTTCTATCAGGTACATTTACATTTATTTATAAATGCTATAAATATATATTCATGTTTATATTACCAAGTATACTTCATAAATAAAATGTGTCAATCTATTAATAAATATTAAGTGACTTCTACATTTAAGTAAAATGCTAAAGAGTCCGTTTCTTACCTATGAGGAAAAGAAATATGGCCACTTTTTACATATTGTTAAATTAATGTGACATTGACTTGAGTTTTAATAGCTAGATATTAGGGAGAAATGTTTACTTCTCTTCACTCCTTGTGTTCCAATGTAGAAGAATTTCCACTACTGTGAACTTCCTGGCCTCTTACCAGAACCAAATTATCTGATTTGAGGATTTAAAAGAAGGAAACAGGCATGCTTGGCTCAGCCTCTGTCTTTCTGGCTCTGCCTTTCTGCAGTGAGGATGCATCTTTTCTTGCTCACCTGCCAATGCTAAAAGAAGACTTTATGGGCTAGTGACATGGAAGGTTTGTGTTGATTCTGATCTGCCTTTGACTGGATGGATAAGTTGAATTCCATAATTCAGTATTAGAAAACTCACTTGGCTCACAGCTACACCATGTCCCCTAATGTAACTTTTATCAGCAATAGCACTATAGAGTAACAAAGTAACAGATGATGACCATATGTCTGACTCTAGTATTTCTCTATCAAATGGTTCTGAGCTTGGGCAGGAATGAAAATGTATTTACTGACATCTCAAAATGATTATAATCACAATACTGGGCCATCCTGACCATTTATCAGAAGTCCAGAAGTCAAGATTCCGTGGTCGGAAATCTCTTTTGACCACCAGCAGAAGAAAATAAAAAAGTCTGAAGCAACTGTAAAACATACCTTTTTCCTCCAACGTAACCAAGAAGACTCGTCCTACTTTGTGTACCCACAAAAGCTACAAGATCCATCAACAGAAATTAGTTTATGAAATCTAGAATTGTGGGAATGACATTAAAGAGTCTCAGTGAATTACTTCTTAGATTGAAATTTAAGATTTTCCTGACCATGCTCCCAGAGTATCACCCCTTAACAAGAAGGCTCTTCATTTATATGGTATGATGTCCAAAAAATGGCTATCATTCTTTTAAATCATATAAAAGTATTAATGAAAGTATTAAAAGTTTTATTTCAATAATTTGCTTCAGTGAAACCATTAAAACTGTAGAATATAACTTTGATATTTAAATATTTTAAATATTAATGGTTACCTTTACCACTGCTATTATTGTGATCAACCAGCTTCTATTTGTAGAAGAGTTAAAAGAGGTTAAATGTCTTGCAATGCAATGACATAAATGTCATGCAACACTACAATGACAGAATCTAAGACAAACAAAAATTTAAAATATTTCTCTTAATACTTTCTATTAAAAATATTCTGAGCCATTCTGCTGTTACAGGACACATTTGTAATAAAGTTCATTTTATTATACTCCCCAAGTTTTTTAAACAAACAGATCAATTTCTAGGTGTTTTTAACAAAAGAAAATCCGAGCTATCGTGGTTCCATTTTCCTCATTGTTTATTCAACTATTCACTGACTTTTTGAGTATCACTTAGTGTTTCAAAGTCATGGCTTAATTTCTTCTATCCTGAATAGTACTACAACTTACAAATATTAAAACTTAGATTCAATGCCATCCGCATCAAGCTACCAATGACTTTCCTCACAGAATTGGAAAAAACTACTTTAAAGTTCATATGGAACCAAAAAGAGCCCGCATCGCCAAGTCAATCCTAAGCCAAAAGAACAAAGCTGGAGGCATCACGCTACCTGACTTCAAACTATACTACAAGGCTACAGTAACCAAAACAGCATGGTACTGGTACCAAAACAGAGATATAGATCAATGGAACAGAACAGAGCCCTCAGAAATAATGCCGCATATCTACAACTATCCGATCTTTGAGAAACCTGAGAAAAATAAGCAATGGGGAAAGGATTCCCTATTTAATAAATGGTGCTGGGAAAACTGGCTAGCCATATGTAGAAAGCTGAAACTGGATCCCTTCCTTACACCTTATACAAAAATTAATTCAAGATGGATTAAAGACTTAAATGTTAGACCTAAAACCATAAAAACCCTAGAAGAAAACCTAGGCAATACCATTCAGGACATAGGCATGGGCAAGGACTTCATGTCTAAAACACCAAAAGCAATGGCAAAAAAAGCCAAAATTGACAAATGGAATCTAATTAAACTAAAGAGCTTCTGCAGAGCAAAAGAAACTACCATCAGAGTGAACAGGCAACCTACAAAATGGGAGAAAATTTTCGCAACCTACTCATCTGACAAAGGGCTAATATCCAGAATCTACAATGAACTCAAACAAATTTACAAGAAAAAAACAACCCCATCAAAAAGTGGGCAAAGGACATGAACAGACACTTCTCAAAAGAAGACATTTATGCAGCCAAAAAACACATGAAAAAATGCTCACCATCACTGGCCATCAGAGAAATACAAATCAAAACCACAATGAGATACCATCTCACACCAGTTAGAATGGCCATCAGTAAAAAGTCAGGAAATAACAGGTGCTGGAGAGGATGTGGAGAAATAGGAACACTTTTACACTGTTGGTGGGACTGTAAACTAGTTCAACCATTGTGGAAGTCAGTGTGGCGATTCCTCAGGGATCTAGACCTAGAAATACCATTTGACCCAGCCATCCCATTACTGGGTATATACCCAAAGGACTATAAATCATGCTGCTATAAAGACACATGCACACGTATGTTTATTGCGGCACTATTCACAATAGCAAAGACTTGGAACCAACCCAAATGTCCAACAATGATAGACTGGATTAAGAAAATGTGGCACATATACACCATGGAATACTATGCAGCCATAAAAAAGGATGAGTTCATGTCCTTTGTAGGGACATGGATGAAATTGGAAATCATCATTCTCAGTAAACTATCACAAGAACAAAAAACCAAACACCGCATATTCTCACTCATAGGTGGGAAATGAACAATGAGAACACATGGACACAGGAAGGGGAACATCACACTCTGGGAACTGTTGTGGGGTGGGGGGAGGGGGGAGGGATAGCATTAGGAGATACACCTAATGGTAAATGACGAGTTAATGGGTGCAACACACCAGCATGGCACATGTATACATATGTAACTAACCTGCACATTGTGCACATTTACCCTAAAACTTAAAGTATAATAATAATAAAATAAAAATAATAATAATAATAATTAAATAAAACAATAAAAATATAATTACCTGTAATCTCACTTTCTGTCAAAAAAAAAATACTAAAACTAAAGTTATATTATTCATCTCTATTTCTAATGAGAACTACAGTTGTCTTGAGAAATGCTAAAAGGTACTTTCTTTACTCTGTGTTTCTGCAGCTTAAAAACAATATTGCTTTTCATGCTTTTTGGAAAACTATTTTAACTGGATATTTATGAAACTCATTTTTCAAATAGAACTTGACAAAACTTTACCTCCTACATATTTGGTAATGAAAGGAATAGCAGAGGCAAATTGAACAATAAAAATGAAACCAAAGGTATCTTCCCAACTGTATAGTAGGCTCAAGGGTAAATGTTGAAATATCTCTATTGGAGAACAGAAGTTAAATATATTACCACATTTTTGGATGCTCTTGCTCTGGACTTTTGAAAGTGAAGGTATATAAGTCAAATAACTTCATTTCCAAGTATGTTTTATCACCTTTAGGTTCGTGATTGCTGTCCTTGTTCAGTCCCTTAAAGGTAAATACTGTACTAATTAAAAATATTTTGCAGATAATAGCATGTATGAACTTTCAGTCTTTAGCTTTTTCTCTAGTCACATAAACAAAAAAACACTGTCAATTTCAAACTGTGTTTTAGCATTACTTTACATAAAACTCTCAAGGGTTAGAGAATGTGAACAAGTACCTGGAATTACCCCAGTCAGGACCAATGCCTGAAAGTGATCCTCTTTTGTCAGTTGCATATTTGTAAACCACTAGCAGGCACTGTTTACAAAGCTCCACTAGGCGCTGGCAACACTGGAGCTGCAAAGGAGTCACCACCTCCGGGCTTTTATTGAATATACTCTCCCAAGAGGATCTGTTGGCATGGAAACAGACATGATCTCATGTTGGCTGTTAAAAATGACAACCAGCTATATATCACTTCCCTAGCAACAAACCAATAAGGGAAATAGAAATGGTCTCATACATTTGCAATAACTATGAATGGTTTAAAGATATATAATAAATACAAATCAGGAAATTAATCTTTATATTAAAGAAATACAACATCAAATACATATACTATTTGTCCGTGTGTGTGTTTGTGCATGTGGGTGTGTGTTTGTATGTGAGAGAGAGAGTGTGTCTCACTATGTTGCCCAGACTGGAGTACAGTGGCTATTCACAGGCACAATCATGATGCACTACAGCCTCGAACTCCTGGCCTCAAGTGATCCTCCCTCATTTTAGCCTTGAAGTAGCTGGGACTACAGGCATGTGCCACCATGCCCAGCACTATTAGTCCTTAAAGCTTTTAAAGCTGCCAACTTTGGATGGCTAATAGGATAGTCTTCCAACACCTCTTAAAAAATGGAGTTACTCTATATTAAGGTATTTGTAAAATACTGAGCTAATTTCTCAAAAATTAAGTATTCTTGGAATTTAGGCTTTCTCGGAATCTGTATTTACCTTAAGAATGAATGATCCCTTGAAATGACTAAAAAGTTGCTGAAACAATTGTTGACCTCTCTTCACTAGGAGAATTTAGGTTAATACCTTATTGTGACCATCCCTTTCAAAACACTTTCAGACATAACTATATCCATGATATTCCTAGAGCACAGGTTCTGTGTGCTAGAAGTAATGCTATCTTAACAAGTACTACCCTACTGCAATCCCAGAAGCAGTATGCCTTCTCCTTCATTGAACTCAGCTTATTCCAAAGCAGGTAATGGTGCATACTTCCTTGGTAAACTTCAATTTTGTGTGGGGGGTGTGTGTGTATGTGTGTGTGTGTTAACAATTCCTAAGTTTACCATCATGGCATCATGGTTTATATCAGGAAACACCTCACTACTCCACCAGTAGGGAGGGAGGGAGAGAGAGAGAGAGAGAGGGAGAGAGAGAGAGAGATTTATTCCTCAGACTTATTCCTTGAAACTCTTCAAGCCTCCAGGGGAAATTTTGGTTTGAGACTTGGTAATGATTCACATCTCATTTTGCATAAACCAATTCACATAACCCTCAGAGAGAAAAGCACAGGAAAAAGTATTCAGGACAATATTTTCCTGGAAGTAAACTTACCAATGGGAAACACAAAGACTCCACTTTCAACCTTCTGTGGATATTTGATATATTTTGAATTCTTAAAAAAATGCCTTAGAAATAGAAATGTATTTTTTCTAGAAAAGCTACTGTTTATTTTTTCAGAGAAATGTGGCCCCAAATAGACAGCATGCCATCAATGAATGACAGGTTTTCTTAAAGGGAGTAAGACTGAAATGAGTTAATTGAAAGAAACAAATTTTCTTCAGTGTTCTGAAATGTTCAGGACTAAATATAATAGGCTTTTAAAATACTGGTGTTTTTTCCAAACACTGCATGTTCTCACTCATAGGTGGGAATTGAACAATGAGAACACATGGACACAGGAAGGGGAACATCGCACTCTGGGGACTGTTGTGGGGTGGGGGGAGGGGGGAGGGATAGCATTGGGAGATATACCTAATGCTAAATGACGAGTTAATGGGTGCAGCACACCAGCATGGCACATGTATACATGTGTAACTAACCTGCACATTGTGCACATGTACCCTAAAACTTAAAGTATAATAATAATAAAATAAAATAAAATACTGGGGTTTTTTAATTGGCAAAGGAATGAAAATTATTTTTATTTAAGAAACAGTAATTCGACGGTTAAATTAACTGTAAAAACAAAATTTAAATTATTGCTAAATGGAAGAAAAACTAGATATGACACATACGTGTTTATCAAGATTTATAGATGTAGATAGAGATATAAATCTACTTACCTAATTTGATTTTAAAAAGCTGGAAAAATTAATTAGGGAATATGTTTATAATTAGTATACTTTGATTTAGCAGACCCTATAAAATTTCATATACATGTGAATATATACAAAAAAAATCCTGTGTTTTGACTGTCTGCCTGGCACTTTTCTTTCTGCTGGGATTTTGGGTATGTCTATAAAAGTCTACCTCCATCACCACCCTCTACTCTTAACTTGGATATATTTATTTCTTCATACTCTGGAGCTATTTGATCAGATCAACTATCAGATCACTCATATTATGGTAATTTTTCTTTAGAGGTAGGGAAAGAACAAATAAAATGGAAGAAAGTTAAAAGGGCTTCTTCTGTAACACTCTAATCTGATGTAACTTCTTGAATAATATGTGAGTTATAATATGGCCAGCTTTGGCTTCTCACTCTCTCATTCTCCCTTAAATATTTAAAATAAATATATGAATCAAGGTCCTATACATATTTAGTTCTGGTGTGTATATTTACCACTACTAGCCAAGAGTAAATTCTACTCTATATATTAATCCATATTTAGGTGTCAGCATACCAAAATACTCAAGAAAATGAAAGCAACCTGCTTCATCTGGCCCTAGGGCAGTGGGTGCCCCCTCTACACAAAGGAAAACTGAGTACAGAACTGTATCCCCTACTCCTACCTGCCACCTGGCATAGCTGAGTAGTTGTGAAATGCCTCTATAATACTACAGTATTTCAACTTTCAACACTAGCAACACAAAGTTTTTTTAAAAGGTGAAGGGAGGTAAAAATAGTTAAAATACCAGTGCTTTTATCAAAGAACCCCAGGTCTCATCTACCTGCTTTTTGAACCTAAATTCCAAGGAAATAGGGTCACCAAAATCCATGAATTCAAAAGGAAAAATTAAATGATTAAAAAGTTCTTTCTGGCTCTCCCTAATCCTCACAGCAATATAAAAGGAAAACACTTTAAATGACTTTTTTAAGTAATATCACATTAAGACAGAATACTGAATATCTCTGGCAACAAAGGAGAGTTATTCATGAAATCCAGAGACTTAGAAATCCTCACATTATCCAGTAATCCAATAATTTTCACCCACTTTCTCATCAAAACATTTCATAAAGCAGTTATCTAAAGAGTGAAACTGATTCATTCCTTTCTCTACTGGTACAAGTCCTGACTGAGTAGCCCAAAGTTAAGTAGCAGAAAGGAGAAAGGAAAAGTTGTGGTAGGGGTCCCTAGAATTGGCCCAGGGGTTTTACTGGATGCATCAAACAGAAAACACCCTTGTCCTTCTCTTTTCCTCTTCCAGGCTGCTGAAGTTTATACATACCAACACAGTAATCACCAACAGAAAGATTAATGACCTAAAAAGTATAACAACACATCCAATTGAAAGTGATATGAAAACAGGGAGATTCACATCATTTTAAGTAGTCTATATATTATGCATACCTTTTCAAGTAGGCATAATCCAGCCTAGAAATAGACTACGCCTTAGAATATTCCTTAAAATTTCTTCTTGCCCTAAGATTCTAAAAGAAAAGCTTTTACATGACAAACCCCAACAGGAAAATACTTTGGCTGGGGAATCCAGGCCAGATTCTCTTCTTTAGGGTTTACATATTGGATTTTGAGTGGAGATGGGGCTTTCCCAAACCATGCATTCCTTCTCCCATATGACCCTGGCTCCTCTCTTGGCTTTACCTCACAAACTCCTATTCTTCCTTTAACTCTCACCTGAAATGCCACTTCCCATAGCCACCATTCTCCAGCTCTCAGGCCTAAGTTTGAGTCCCATAGAACCTCAGACTTCCTCTATCCCAGTAAAACATGGTAGATAATTTTATTTATGGAAATTCCAAGAGCTATTTCCCTAAAGTAAACATATTCCAAATGTGGGCATCATAACATTCCCAGGAGGCTGCATGTGATAAAACTGTTACTGGGCATGGGCATCAGCAGACTGGTAGAGGAAAAGAGAGGAACAAGGGTGTTTTCTGTTTGATACATCAGCAAAACCCCTTGGCCAACTCTAGGGAAACCTACCACAAAGATCTACATTACTCTGGTGTTTCTGGAGGTAGACAGGGGATGGTTTACTTACTTTGTTTTATTATTGGGAATGTTGACAGGCAAAGGCAAGAATCAAGGCCTTGGATTCTTGGATATAATCAAACACTTGGATTATATTTTTCTAAGATTTTACACGTAACTGTGAAAGAAAGTTGAACCTTATATTAAAATCATTCCTTAAAAACTGAGAAGAGTAGATTTTCACCATGACCATTAGGCCTTCGGACCAAAGGTTAAAGGAGTATACATTGAGAAGGCATGATTCAAAGGATAAAGAAGAACTATTCTGGGTCCAAACTGAGAATCAAACACACACAGTACTATGTGACTTCACTAAATTGAGGAAGCCTAAAAAACTCATTAATGCAAAATAAAATCCGATATTAAACTCACCTCTTTAAACTACTAAATTGAAAGAAGTAGATGAGATTGGAGTCAAATCGGTCTCAAAACTACTCCTGCCTCACCTGCACAGGCATAGTAGGCTAGGGATTTGGCTAATGCTATGGACTTGCAGTAAAACAAGCTTGGCAACCATTGGCAAATCTGCTTTGGGGAATGTCAATGAAGCAAAGAGTTAAGAGCTTGGGCTTCTGACTCAGATTACCTGGATTTAAATACAGGCTCATACAGTTACTATGGGAAATTGAGTAAATTATATACTCTGTTTATGCTTCAATTCCTCATCTGTAAATGACGGTAATAATTTACTCAAAATACTTTTTGTGGAGATTATACAAATATTTAATATGTAAAACAATGTCAGACATTTAGTAAACCTTCAATAAATACTACTTACTATCCCTATGATTACTAGTACTAATAGATACCACCAGAGAAACTGGCAGGCAGTATTGTGCCAAGGATAGGAGAAAAGGATTCTGAATCAAGTTAAAGTATGTTAGCAAAATAGTTCAGGAAAGAGGAACCCTAGAAGCAAGGAAGCACCACTTCATGGGTATCTTTAGGGTCTGGTGTTGGAGATTATCTATGGACTCAGAGCCACAGCATTGATTTCACTAACAGATTTTCTCATTGCTCTCCATGGTAGAGAGTATCTGGGATTCATATATAGCATCAAGCCAATGGATCAACCAACAGAAAAAAAACATTTCCATTATAAATTCAGATTGGGAGAACTTTTACAGGGAGCCATCAACTAAGGGGCTGTGGAGTTCAAATGTTTCACTTAGGTCTCTGTAGAAATAATAGCCCAAATTATTCTCAGATTTCAACACACCCAGAGCGCCTTATTAATTCTCCCTGTTGGTTAATGGCAGCTAAAAAAAAATGGTAAAAAGACTGAGTCTCCAAATGATATGAATGATTCTGTATCACATGGCTAGAATATTTAAATGGAGAATATTCTGAGATCATTTCAGAATAGAACAGTCTGTTAAGGTTTTACAGAAGAGGTAGGTATAGTATGGGGCTTTACATTAGATTCAAATAATACAGAGGGTACAGAAGTTTGGGGTGGCAGAAAGCCATCTAATCAGATATTAAATGACATCAACAGTTCAGAGGAAGAAAACGACAAATTTTTAAGAGATCTGAAAAACAATGAGTTTTTTCTGGAGCACAATTCAAGTAGGAGAGTAATGAGAAGGAAGACTGGGGAAATAAGAAGAAAACAGCATATTAGATAGCCTTGTATCTGTAGATAAGAAGTTTAAACTTAAATTATAAAGGAGGAAAATCACTACAGATTTTAGGAAATGATTCTGACAGTAAGAAGGATATGAGAAACAAAAAACTGGAAACAAAAATGCCTAGAAATCTATTCATTTCACTTAGCTGTCTTACCAAAAAAAGGCTCTCTTTGTCTAAAATCCTGTCATACTTTATCTGTATCTCTTTTATAATGATGTATTAGTCCATTCTCGCACTGCTAAAAAAGACATACCCAAGACTGGGTAATTTACAAAGGAAAGAGGTTTAATTGACTCATAGTTCAGCATGGCTGGGGAAGCCTCAAGAAACTTACAATCATGGCAGAAGGGGAAGCAAACATGTCCTTCTTCACATGGCGGCAGCAAGGAGAAGTGCCAAGTAAAAGGGGGAAAAGCCCCTTATAAAATCAACAGATCCCATAAGAATTCACTCACTATCAAGAGAACAGCAGCATGGGGGTAACCATCCCCATGATTCAATTACCTCCCACCAGGTCCCTCCCATGACACGTGGGGATTATGGGAACTACAATTCAAGATGAGGTTTGGGTGGGGACACAGAGAAACCATATCAAATGATTTGCTTTGTATATATCATACTTTATCTGCTAGAGACATCAGAGTTTATAGGTTAAGAGCATAAACTCTGGAGTCAAGGCTAAATGAGTTCAAATCCCAGTTCCACTAGGTCCTTAGCACCTATCTGTGCCTCAGTTTCCTTATCTATAAAATAGAGATAATATAAAACCTGACTCAAATTGATGTTATGAGGATTAAATCACTTAACACATGTAAAGTGATTAGAACAATGCATCTCACACAATAAGTAATATGGTTAGTTATTATCTGTGTCAGATTCAACACTGTACCTCCAAAAATATTAGCACAAAAGTAAGTACTTGATGATTGTTGAAAGTATGAATGGAAACAAGCTAGTTTAGCCATGTGGGAATGTGACAGAAAAATAATAGGATTTGGCAAATGACTGAATAAAGACAGTGAGGGAAAAGGAAGATGCAGATGCCCCTGTGATATCCAACTTGTATGACTGAGAGAATAATAATAGGATTAAGGGAAGCCAAGAAAGGAAGCCATTTCCGAATAAAAGGACATGGAATGTTTGGTTTTAGATATCTTGAGGCTAAAATGACAATGAGTCACAGCAGCTTTAGCAGCACTAGGATTCTGGGGAGGAGGAGAAGTGTAGCCATAATTTTAGAAGGCGACTGCAGAAGAACTTCAAGGATATTGGTTTGTATTTTCTTTAATTAGGACTACCTTCTCTCCACCGAATTCAAATTAATTAGGTGGTGTTGTGTTCATATTCATCATCTTATCTAAATCAGCTTAATTGATATAAATTATAGTTGAGTACTAAACATTACATGCAGTAAAAGAAATCCATATTTTAAAAGATCATTCAAGCATTTTATTAGGATATCTCTATAACTAAATAGTAAAATATTAAAAATGACGATAATAAAAGATGACTTAGAGCTTACCCTGAATCACAGAAACAGTTCCACAGCCCTTGGCCACGACTCCAGAGTAAGCGATTAAAAACCCGGTTGAAAATCCGATATAAATTTACTTCTTCAACATCAGGCACCTTCCAGATGCGTGGAAGAACTGTACGAATACTTGTTTTCACTATGTCCAAAACCTAGTGGAAAAACCAAAGTACTTACAATCTAGGAATGTATATCTGTGTCTAAAATTCAAAGATGTAGCTTGAGCTCAGGAGTTCCAGACCAGCCTGGGCAATATAGTGAGAACCTGTCTCTACAAAACTGTTTTAAAAATTAGCCTGGCATTATGGCCCACATCTGTAGTCCCAGCTACCTGGGAGGGTGGCTAAGATGTGAAGACTGCTTGAGCTCAAGTAGTCAAGGATGCAGTAAGCCATGATCAAAAGTAAAAGAAATAAAAATAAAATTCAAAAAGGAACACACACACATGAACAATAGCATAGAACAAAAAGTCTAGAAATAGGCCCATGCATTTATGAAACTTCAGTATATGACAGAGGCAATAACTTAGACCAGTGGAATAAGAAGAGACTGTTCAATATGTAGAGATTTCAAAATTATAATCTTTATGGATTAGATGAAGAAAAGATAAAGCTGAATCCTTCATTAAATTAAAAAGAATCAACTCTAGAGGGGTTAAGGTCATACATGTTAATAAAAATAAACTATTCTGTATCTTAGTGGAAAGCATAGGTGAGTATTTTTTGGACCATGGGCTAGAAAAATACTACTTAAGTCACAAAAAGCTATGGACCATAAAAGATTAATAGATTTTGATTATATAAAAATTAAGAACTTCTGGTCATTAAATATACCTTAAGGAAAATAAAAGATAAACTTACAAACTGCAAAAATATATTCAAAACATATATATCCAGCAAAACATTAGTATCAGGAATATATAAAGAATGTTTACCAAAATTTTTAATAGAAAAAAAGGACAAAACATTACAAACAGGCATTTCAGAAAAAAGGAAATAAATATGCCCAATAAACATAAAGAACAAAAATTAAGGCTATAATAAGATATCCATGTAGCTGACAAAAATTAAAAGTCTGACAATATCAAGTGCTAGAGAGGATATGGAATCTACTGGGTCTCTTAAGACATTGCTAGTGTGAGTACAGATCGGTGCACAAACGGGAAAACAGTTTGGAGTTTGGTATTATCTCCTAAAGTTGAAAATTAATATCACTATGGCCCAGCAGTTTCATTCCTGAAATTATTTCTCATAGGTAAAAATAGGAGGCAGCATGTACAAGAACATTCATAGCAGCTGTTAACAATTGTAAACACCTAGGAACAATCGAACTCTTCAACAACAGGAGATTCAGTAAATAAACAGTGGATACTCACCCCCTCTGGACTACTGTGCAGTATTAATACAGTAGTCAAAATGAATCAAATATAACACACAAGATAGAACATCTTCATAATAAATGGTAAGGTAAAAAATGTACTAGAGACTATATATACCATGATACCACCCTTTTTTTTGAGGCAAGGTCTCGCTCTGTCACCCAGGCTGGAGTGCAGGGGCATGATCTCGGCTTACTGTAGCCTCAACCTCTTAGGATCAAGCTATCCTCCCATCTCAGCCTCCTGAGGAGGTGGGACAAGAGGCACACACCACCATGCCCGGCTAATTTTTATATTTTGTTGTAGAGACAGGGTTTCACCACATTGCCCAGGCTGGTCTTGAACTCCTGAGCTCAAGCGATCTGCCCACCATGGTCACCCAAAATGCTGAGATTACAGGCATGCGTCATCACCCCTGGCCATGATACGCTTGTAATAGAAGTAAAAACAATTAAGTTTTAAAAACACATGGGGAATACACATAAACATTATATATACACATATATATGAATATATATGTGTATATATATGAATATATATGTATATATGAATATATATACGAATATATATGAATATATATGTATATATGAATATATATACGAATATATATGAATATATATGTATATATGAATATATATACGAATATATATGAATATATATACGAATATATATGAATATATATACGAATATATATGAACATATATATGAACATATATATGAACATATATATGAACATATGAATGAACATATATGAACATATATATGAACATATGAATGAACATATATATGAACATATGAATGAACATATATATGAACATATATATGAACATATGAATGAACATATATATGAACATATGAACATATATATGAACATATAAATGAACATATGAATGAACATATATATGAACATATATATGAACATATGAATGAACATATATATGAACATATGAATGAACATATATATGAACATATGAACATATATATGAACATATATATGAACATATGAACATATATATGTGAACACATATATATGAGCGCATATGTGAACATATATATGAGCGCATATGTGAACATATATATGAACGCATATGTGAACATATATATGAACGCATATGTGAACATATATATGAACACATATATGAGTATATATATGAATATATATAAAGAAAAGAGCAAAAAGAGAGAAAGAGAAAGAAGGAAAAAGAAAAAAGAAAGAAAAAGAGAAAGAAAGAAAGAAAGAAAGAAAAGAATAAAAGAAAGAAAGAGAAAAAAGAGAGGGGAGGGGAGGGGAGAGGAGAGGAGAGGAGAGATGAGATTAGTGAACACTGAGTTCAAGAATATAATAACTACCTGGGAAATGGGGAGCCAGGGGGATGGAAGGGAATCATTTGGTTATATACGTTATTTCCAAGAACCTAGCTTTTGATTTGCGTGTTGGGTTCACAGGTGGTATAATAAACTTAAAAACACTAAATAATACTAAATAAAAGCAGGCCATGCACAAACCAATCATGAAAGAGTATAATGAAATAAGGACTATGATTAATCTGGACCACTGAAATCCTAGAGGTCCTAAAAAATTTGTAAACCCCAAAAAACTGTTTTGTCTAATTCACATGTACTTGATACTTATGCAATGTAGGTATTTCCAACAAAATTCTTTTGTAAAAAAACAAAAAGAAAAAAAAATGAACACCAAATACTAATATTCTGATCTCCATTCATCAAAGTGGATTTTTCACTTTTTGTTTTATCTAGCTCTATAATTATGGCAACTGCCTATACAAATGAAAGTGGAAGATGAAAAGGGAAAAAGACTTTCAAACATAAAGACTAAAGACATTTCTCTCAACAGACATAAACATGAAGAATTGGAAGCAGATGAAAGAATGATTTCTCTTTAAAACAGCAATATTTAAAGAAATGATGTTTGTTATCTCTGATCAAGGCAAATTTAAACATTTGTTTAAAAATAAATTTAGTAAAAAGCTTTCAAGGTGATATTTATAGAAGACTAGGAACTACAGCTTCTCACAGGGAACTGTGTGAGCAGCAGCATTCCTTCCTTTCCTGTTCCAGCTTCCTGCACTGTGATGGGGGCAGTAATACAAATCCTACTGTAGGTCAGGGTGTGTCCTAGGGGAAGGGGCAGGGGATGAGGAGGGAAAACACAATCTGTAATAAAGTAGTGTGTGAAAAACCTCATGAAAAGGCTCATTACAGGTAACAAATGCTTCATTATAAAGAGGAATATCTTAAAACTTCACAACAATATTGAAATATGAGTATCAAGGCATTAATTCATGCCTTTTAGTTTTTACAATTTTAATTTAAGCTATTAGTTTAACTCTTTATATTTTTTAGTGTAGAAAGCAGTGCTCATGACTAATGTGATATAAGAATCAACACTAACTGTAAATGATAAATTTAAATCATTTTTCTTCTCACTTTTCCTTTCTACTTTCTGTCAATATATTAGTAAGTAATAATAGGCCAAAAGTCATAATGCAGAAAGGAAAGAATAAAAAAGTAGCCAAGATAACCCATGTATTAGTCTCAAGGATAAATATGAGTTATATAAAAATAACTGAAATTGAAAAATGTTATTGATACTGGCAATTTTAACGTTACCTTAAGTTCATCAGTTTTCACATTATATTATAAAATGATTATTCAACTTTAAAATGATAAAGGATTTGAGACCATGGAGTATTCATTCATTTCTTTTTAAATACACTTCAAGGGCAACTAACATGTATCATCCGCCTGCTCTATGCAAAACACTGTGCTAGGCACATTACTTAGAGGAGATTCTTTTGACCACTACTCTGCATATATTTTCTTAATTTAGAGGGAATTTTAATAGCATGACAGTACCATATTCTAGCCCATACATGACTAAAAGCAGCACCTTCAGAATGGAGCCGGGGAGTTAGGGATGGGGAATGCTTCTGCTCCATTCCTAATGTTTTCTTCAATATGGAGATGGAAAAATCTGCAGGCATCATGGCACCCCATCAGGCACCTCTACCTAAGAAGCAATTTCCCAGATTGGTGAGACTGACATGGTCTGGGCAAACTAGGCACATTCTCCTTCCTGTCCAGAGCAAACCACTGGGAACACGCATTCCTCTTTGCTTCTCTTTGCTTTCAGTTTTCAAGGAGCCTCCGCAAGAAGGCAAGCTTTGGTCCTCGGAGACCCACCCCTATAATTTGGAGGGCATGGAACAACAGACTGAGGGAACAGGAACCCAAATCCTTCAACTCTCCTCTGAGTCTTCACATAAGCTCCTTCCTCTGCCTGAAACAGTCTTCTCCTATCTCTTCATCTGATAAACTTCTATGTTTCACTTCAAATGCCACTTCTAAGGAAAACTTTACCTGCCACTGAACTATTGTTTGATATCTTAATGCCCAGTTCTTCCTTTATTAGCAAGCACCTTATTTTATTTTAATTTCCTGTTTAATTAATGGAGACTGTTATGCATATAAAGGGAGTAAACTGTGCCCATCTTGATAATAAAGTTACCAGGTCCCCAAGGCTTAAGACAAGGTCTATCATTTAGTAGGTTCCTGTCTTAGTAAGTCATTCCTTGCAAGAAAGTCACACCTATGTAGACAAGGTAAAAAATCATTGAGAGAACTTACCATGTGCCAAGCACTGTTCTAAGCACTTTTACATATATTAACTCATTTAGTCCTCAAAACAAAAACATGAGGTAGATACTATTGGTCCACAGTCCCTTTCCAAAAATCTCAAGCTTAGATTCCATAATCATACATATTATTAATTCTGCAGGAAAAAAATGTAAATATTCAAACCAAGAGATAGACAAAATCAATACATAACTTCTTGTCAGGTCATTGTCACCAAATGAATTCAGGTAGGTTAGGTTTTGCTGCCTAGGGGTTATGAAAATTTTTTTGGTCGTGAAAACATTTTGGATCCCCATTTTATGGATGAGAAAACTCAGGCACAAAGCAGATAAGTAACTTGCCCAAGATTACCCAGCTCATTGTATCCAGACCTACGCTCTTAACTACATCCAGCACTGCCTCACAATTTAGATTTTCCAGATGCCAGCAGCAAAAGCCTAGAGAGAACCCCATTATCTCTTCTTAGATTCAGATTCATTTCTAGTCAAATGGTATTTGGGAGGAGAGTGGGATCACTGTGTAAAAACAAGGTTGCCTAGGCACCCCCTCCTTTATGGCCACGGAGTAAGGAATAGTTTGTTTAGAAGGCTATACAGATGGGGAGACAATGACTGTACTTTTAGCCAAATACTCACTTAATAATTTTAAGAAAGCACAGACCAGGCAGGCAAGAAATCAGACTGGAATGAGATAAATTAGTGCTAGTTCTACCTGTGATGCTTTTTTGGATTTCTGGTCCTTTGGGGATTGAAGAAATTGGATGGAAGATGAATAATTCGTGAAACACAAAAATAAATGATCAGCAAGGTGCCCTTGTGTTATCTGTGGGCTTACGTGAGGCTAATTTATAGAATATAGGTATCCATTTCCTTACATTATGACTTTTAAAAGCATCCCAATCCAACATTAAGCTCTCCAAGGGAAAAAACAAATGGGAGATTCAGTCAATGACAACATTAATAAAATGAAAAGATTTGTCTTTTCCATGTGAAATATAGCACATTTGAAGGCATAAAGCACACAGACAAATTCATATTTTGCAAAAGCATACAGATGTTGAATGACAAACTGCTCCATATGGCCGAACAGTTGGTCCTAAATTAAAATAATGGCACGAGGTGAAGGCGGTTTAGAAATAACATTAAAATCACTACATGCTGTACTAATGATGCATGCAGCAGCGATGGCTATAGGGTAAAGGCATCTTTGCTGATGCAAAACGAACAGCTCTGAACAGCATCTATGTCAGCCTGAATAAAACAGAGACGGAAAATAGTATCATCAAAATGCATGCAGAAGCAGCCACAGTAGGTATTAAAAATAAATTGCTATTTAGAGAAGTAATACTTGATAAACAAGGACCTCTTAGCACCCTAAAATAAATGCAAATACAGTACAACCTTAATGTCATTAGTTATTTCTCTTCATCCTCCACTCTTAGTTTATGTTTAGGTATCACATCAGATAATAAGCTTTTCAGCAAATCTGGCATTCTTTGCAGCCCACCAACATGACTATATTTTCATACTTCATATATATTCCTCACAAACTATATAAAGCAACTGCATTCTTGGCAGAAAGCTAAATTATGCAAGTATGGAGTTACCACAACATGACATTAAATAAGATTAACTATTTCCATTTTCACCTGGTGAGGGTTCTTTTCAGGATTTAATTCCCATACCCTTGATCTTTACATTTTACATCCATTAAGGAAAATTTGAAGGCAAATAATTTTTTTTTAATTTCCAAGAACAGAAAAAAGGAAAGCATGTGAAAGACTCTGTGTGTATGTCATTCTAATCTTGGAGCTTTACAACAGGCTAATAACCACAAATGCCTCAATCCTGGAACAGGAAAAGTGGTATATATATTTCCATAATGGTCTCTAAATGGAATTAAGATACTTAAATAAGAGTCTTGTGCTTCCATACCTTGAATAGTGCCTGGGGCATGGTAGTCCCTCAATAAATATCTGTTGAATGCATGATTAAGTGAGCAAATAAATGAATGAGTAAACAACTCTCAAAATCCCTAACAGTGTCTAGCATATTATTTGTATAAAATTGGCAATCAATAAATGTTTGTTAAATTAAAATGTATCACGCACAGCCTTTGTGGCAGCCATGGAGATGTGCCACTTAAATTAACATGTTTCAAAGAATGCAGTTAGCTGATGGCTTCCCCACTGGGGATCCACTGCAATATTCAAACCATGCTTACACTCTCCCAAGATAGTTCCCAGCCAAGGATGAAGCATGGCTGGGATACGAGTGAAGAGCTATTTCTGCTCACTGTGATCCCTTCAACAGCCAGTCTTTGTTCTGGGCTCCCCATCAGCCTGACCACAACTTTCTCAGAGATCCACTAAAGTCTGAGGTTCTTCCTACCCAGTCCTCCTCCCTTGCATTCACTGGAGTCAGACCTGCATTGTAGCCCTAAGGCTCTTCCTGCCTACTTGCGCTCTCTCTCCCCATTATCTTCCTTGGGTGTTTTCCATTAAAAAAAAAAAAAAAAAAAACTTTCACTGTTAATTCCACCTTAGTGTCTGCCTCCCAGAAGATTAAGCTGGTAAAGCTTTCAATGATTATTGACTGACATCACAGCCAAAAGAAGGATGGATCTGATTAACATGCATCTAATGTAAATTAGTTAAGTCCTTAGCTTTCTAAACAGATACATTTTTGTAATATCTAATTCTGCACTCCACAGGTGACCTACATTTCCAGGTTTCTTTTAGTTTCTTGGATGCAGTTTCTAGCTTTATAAGACAATAGCACAAGTTTCTAACTGATAGCCAAATAAATGATCAATATGTTATAGGCCAACAGACAATTTTTATACATCATTTTTATATATTCTATACAAAAGAATACCCCATATGAAGAATTCTTAGTAAAATAAAATACATCAGAGAAACAGTCTGACATGGGGAACCTTAGTACAAAAGAAAAAATTTCAGCCTGCAACCCTTCTAAGGCTAGAGTACATTCCCTTATGATGTCTCACTTAAGCACAAGGACCCTTCAATACTTAATGTTGTAAACCTCAAAGAAGTTCTGAGAAGTCACCTGTCCAAGGTAAAGGCCATAGGCAATACTGAACTCAAGTCCATACTGTCTCATGAGATGTCTACTACAATGTCATGTAATGAAAAGAGGTCTAGTAACTCTTTCTATTACATGCTTTTGCCTCTCTAATTTCACCATATAAAGCATTTTTTCAACGCACTTTGACTCATTATTATATTAGCTCTTATATTGTCAGGCAAAAAAAAATAATTCAGTCAGTCACTGTCTGATCACTTTACCTCTGATTTTATCAGAAATAAACTTCAGGTAGGGAAGAGGTGGAGAAAAAAATTATATATTAAATATATGTATATAAATAAATCAGCTAAACACATTTAAATTTGTTCCAATGATTACTTCCAAAATTACCTCTATATTTTTCTCTTATTCCTGTCTGGGGTAAATTTTAAGTATTTCACATAATTAATTCTAATGCTACTTACTAAGTAGAAAAAATTTTTTTTAAAAAATCCCAATGAGAATATGTTTACATTAGAGTTCAATACCTCTGTTGCTGGCTGGTTTGCACTGCTGGCTGGCTTGATGATTTGTATTCATGATGTGTATATTTGTTAGGCTTCTTTTTGTGAATATAGATAAAAGAACCTACAAATTTTGGCAGGGTTAACTTTATAAAAATGGAAAGTTTTATAAAACTTTATAGTAAAGTTTTAATATAAAGCTCCTTATATTAAAGTAGTTACTCATGGGTAAGGGGTCTTAAATTACCTGAATAAGGGGAAGAATGTCATCACAGAATGAATGCTGCTGAAAGCTGTCCTCTGCTTATTTTCCCAGATGTGCCTCACCTTTCACTATATATCTGAGAAATTTGAGACTGTTTTGGGAAGGCCTCTTAAAGAACAAAACTGTTGAAGGAAGAAAAGGAGCCCCAATAATCATGAGACTAGCAAGAAAAATTGCTACAAACAAGTTGCACCTGTTTAAATCCTGGGCTTCCACTTCTTTCACAGCCTAGGAGTAGCATTCCTCAGCGACTTTCAGGGCTCCATAAAATTGGGCATCTTTGCAAGATAAACTTGCTGTAGTTAAGACCAGCCCTTTCTGTTCTTTTAAGAGCCAAAATTCAATATATGAATTTTTCTGCGAAAAAAATAGAATTGTCTATAGAATTGTCTATTAAATTGTCTATGTAGAAGAATGACAGTAAACGTTTGGGTAGTGCAAACTGTGGGACTTTAACAAGCTTTTCCTGAAGACTGAATACATCGTTACACAAATACATCGCAAGCACAAAGGAAACACAATACTTTTGATTTATACCAAAGGAAGAAGCAGCGAAGCAGCAGCAAAGGAGCTCAAAAAAAAAGAGTAGCAGGGTATAAAAATTGTAATAAAGCTCCTCCCCTCACATTAGTGCTTCCACTCCCTCCACATAACGGTGTATGATTAATACTTAAAGGTGGTTGTACATCTGAGAACTGGAAGAAGAGATTACATAAAAATAGTTCACACCAAATATTCTTAGAATAAATCAGTATCAAAGAAGTAGATATACTGGTATATGTACTCATTAGTAAATTTATAAACAAGCATTTATTTTTCCTCTAAATGTAGAAAGTCAACTGAGCATAATAACCCTAAAACATATGAAATTGTTTCTTCCAATTCACAAATATTATTAGTCACACATGTCATTTAATCATCCCATCAATGTTTAACAGGCCTTCTCACATCACATGTAAAAAACAGAATAGCACTGTCTTATTATTGCTGTTCAAATAAACATCACTAACTAGTAAGGAAAGAAGACTACAGAAAGAAGCAGCTAGCTTGCTACTGAGTCTAGAATTAAAAGAGTCTAGAATGGAATCAACTTAACAAAAATTGATAGAAAGCCTCCTGCAGTTAACTACAAAATGAGACCCATCCTCTTGGCTTTTTAGAGGGATGGAAAAAATTATCCATAAATTTCTCAAGGGAGATCATAAGATAGCTGAATACAAAGTGCCATGAAGATTCAAGTAGAGAAAGATATCTGGTTGTAGGGGACTCCAGATGCTTTGTGAAGGAGATGGAGCTGGACCTTCAAAATATGTGGTGTGTGAGATTGTAAAGAAGGGATTCTAGTCAGCAAGGACAGCCGAAGCAAGGTCCTGGGGTCAGGGAGAGACACTCTCTGCCTCTTTCCCTTATTCCTACCTCAACACAAAACAAACGCACAGCACCATTACTTCACAAGCCCTTTCCATGGAGATGCCTTATCACTGTGATGAATGCTTATGTACAAAAATCTTTTACACGTTCAGGCAATTATTCTGTAGGATGGAATGCTGGAAGTGGTTTTGCTGACTCATAACATTATGAACATGTCATTTTAATAGATACTACAAATTACTTTTCTAAAGACTTGTACCAATGTACTATCTTTCTGTCTAATAGCATAGCAAAGGCCCTTTTACCCATACTATTTCCATCACTGGATATTATGTGTCTTACTAATTTTTGCTCATATGATGTTTTTTACTTGTTTTTTCCTCTTCATTAGTAAGGTCAAGGATCTATTTACATGTTAAATGGCTATCTGAAATCCATAAGTTGTCTTTTCATGGTCTTTCTATATGCTTTGCCATTTTATTTGTCAACATTTATAGGCAAGTTTCTTTTGTTGATTGATTTGCAGAAGGTATTGGTTCACTAGTGTTACTTGTCATTTTATGTGCTACACTTATCTGTCTTCCTCAAACTCCTCCTCTATCCCCCACCCAATTGCCCTCTCAACTTCTGCCTTTTAAGATATCTTTTACCTTTCATAAGATTTTATGTAATCAAATCTGCTGATCTTTTCCTAAGATTATAAACTTATCCTTCTGTATTTTCTTTTAAATTTTTAATATTTTCTTTTTTACATAGAAAGCTGCAATTATATGAAGTTTGTTTTTATATAGTGAGAATTAAGGCTCCAACTTAGTTTTCTTACAAATAGATAATTGCTTCAGTACCACTTAGTGGAAAAATCATCTTTTCTCTATTGGTTTGAAATACCACATTTATCCTGTATTATTAATATCGTACTCTCTACTTTTTTAAATTAGCAACTTACCTACACTTCTCTCTCTTCTAGATTACAAAAATTATATGGACTTAAGGAAATTCAGGGTTCCAATTCTAATAAAAATTCCATATTTCCATTAATCGAAGCCAAAGTCAGCGACTTGAAAACATATTCAGGGCTTCTCATGTGTTTTGCAATCTGCCTCTGTCACCAGCTTTACTACACCCTCCTCAACAGTGTACTCTACGTGGCACATGGCAGGACACTAAGCAAATATTTGCTGAATGAGTTAATGTGCAACAGTGAGTTCAGCTTACTCAGATAAAAGTATATAATTTAAGAGTCATCATGTAATCAGCATCAAGTTTCAGCTTATTCATGACAATTCCTAGAAAGGGCAAGTGATAGTTTGTATTACTGAAGGAATTCGACAACTTCACTCCACTACTAAAATAGTCTATCTCCCAGAAAACAATGTTACAGTGCAGTTGATGGGCCCTTCATGGTGCTGGCCACTCCACTCTTCCACTCTCCAAGACAACCATTATGTACCTTATACTCTCTCCCCAAATCTCCAGAAGCCCTCCCCACCAGAAGAAAACTTTCCCATCTTCCCACCACATTCCCATGCACCTGCCTTCCCCCCTGTTAGAATAAATGCTCTTGATTAGGAAAACCCTCCCCCTCTCACAGCTTACTTACTCAAGAACTTTTTAACACCTCTCTTTCCTGGGCCATTCCTCTCTTCTAAATCATTCTCATCATCATACAAACTGAAAACATCTTCATCTTAAAAAAAAACAAAAACCTTCTTGTTGGCCCACATTTCTCTCCATCTACCACCACCACATTTCCCTTTCCCCTCTATAGCAAAATTCCTTGAAAAAGTGCCTGTAGTAACTGTGGTGTTTTGCTTTCCACTTTTCTTCTTCTTGTACATATTCCAAGTTTTACTCCCCACCACCCCTCTAAATTTATGATTGGGGTCATCGCTAACATCCACATTGCCAAAAATTACAGTCAGTTCTTAGTGCTCAGCTTACAACCTCTGTCAGCAATATGTGACACAATTGATTACTCTGTCCTTAAAATAATTTCTTTTCTTGGCTTCAAGGACACCCAGTTCTCATGGTTTTTTCACATTTTACTGGCTGCTCCTTCTCAGTCCCCTTTGATAGATTCTCCCCATCTCTCTGATTTCTACATGTAGGAGTGGCTCAGGCCTCAGTCCTTGAAACTCGAGGTAGTTTCATCTAGTTGACACCTTAAATATCTTAGAGACTCCTAAATTTTTGTTCACCATACACAATCTTAGCCCTAAACTCAAAACTCTTATACAACTACACACTCAACATTTTCACTTGGATGTCCAATCAATATATCAACATCAACATGGTCAAAATAAAAATAAAATGAAACAACAGAAACAGCAAAACCCTCCCCCTCTTTCTCCAGCATCCATCCATTCAGTTACCACCCTAGCTAAGCACCCATTAGCTCTTGCCTCGGTTACCCTAAAAACCTTCTAGCTGGTCCCTATTTCTATTCTGCCAAATTCCCACTCCCCCGGTTCTATTCTTCACAAGTAGTTCTCATGATTCTCTTAAATTCTAACAGGCTATGTAACTTCTTTACTCAAAATTTCCCGTGGTTCCTCATCAACTGAAATAAAACCCAGTATCTTTCCATAGCCTACAAAGTTGTGACCTAGGTCCTCCCTATCTGTCCAACCTTATCTCTTACCAAGACCCCATCACTCACCATTTTCCAGCTAAAACAGACTATCCTATAAATATATAAATAAAATGGTGCCTTGCTCTGCTTCATATACCCATCAAACTAATTTCTACCTCAGCATCTCTGTATTTGTTCTTCCCTCTGCCTGAAACATTGTCTCTGAAGATATCTGTATAGCATGATTCTCATTTAAGTCTCTGCTCAAATACTACCTTCCCTCTATTTTTTTATCTCAATTTATTTTTCTTCATAGTACTTAGTACAGTCATCCCTCTCCACCTGTGAGGACTGGCGTCAGGACCCCCACTCCCAGATAGCAAAATCCATGGATGCTCAAGTCCATGATATAAAATGGTGGAATATTTGCATATAACCTATGCACATCCACCTGTATATTTTAAATCATCTCTAGATTACTTATAATTACTTATAATATCTAATACAATGTAAATTTTATGTAAATAGTTGTTACACTGTTGTATTGTTTAGGGATAATGACAAGGGAAAAAAAGTCTGTATATGTTCAGTACAGACACAGCCATCCTTTTTTTTCCAAACACGTTCAATCCCTGGTTGGTTGCATCCATGGATGCGAAACCCACAGACATAGAAGGCTGACTGTACTACCTTACATTCTATTATGCATTTATTTATTATCAGACATCTTAACTAGAATGTAAGTTCTATGAAAGCATGGATTTTTAAAAATTCACTTTTGTATCCTCAGAACCTAGAAGAGTGCCTGACACATAATAGATACTTAATAAGTGTTTGTTGAAGAAATGAGTAAACAAATGAGCAAATATACAGTCTGTCTATGAATTTGGCTTAATGATCCTAGCTTAATACATAATCCAAGAGGGAAAAAACTTGTTTTGAGCATTACTCACTTTTCGTTGTTTTACAGAGTCCAATTTTATGAGCCAATATGAAGCCACTTTGGTTTTATGATACTTCCAGTTATCAATGATCTGTTTGGAAGGAGGAACATTAAGAAATTTACAGGTTGAAACCCATTTTTTAAATTAATTTGTGTAATGAAAGCACTATAATATACTTGCAACAAATAATGCCAACTTTCATAAAAACACATGTGCAAAGATTTCTAATACAAATTAAAGAAACCATCTACATCCAAAGCTTTCTATTCTAGTTGTATTAAGAATACAATCTCTGTGGCCCACACCTGTAATTCCAGCACTTTGGGAGGCTGAGGCAGGCAGATCACTTGAGGCCAGGAGTTCAAGACCAGCCTGGCCAATATGGCAAAACCCTGTCTCTAAGAAAAATGTAAAAATTAGCTGGGTGTGGTAGTGCATGCCTGTAATCCCAGCTATTTGGGTGGCTGAGGCACAAGAATCACTTGAATCCAGGAGGTGGAGGTTGCAGTGAGCTGAGATTATACCACTGCACTCCAGCCTGGGCAACAGAATGAGACTCTGTCTCAAAAACAAAAAACAATCTCCAATGAATGAAAGTCAAATGTCTTCAGGCACATAAGATTTGGCAAGAAATCCAAGAAATAGATTTTTCATTTGTATTTTAGAGGCTGATTTATCATTCATAGTAATAAAATATTGAATAATGCATTAGAAGGCAGCCTATATGAGAATTCTACTACTTTGTTTTATTTTTGTGCAAGTCTGCAAAACTTCTGAATATATAGTCTTGTAATATATACTGTAGTAAACAGATTAAAATATTTACCACATGTAGTGAACACACAATAAACAATTTGATGTCTGCTATAAATATTCATTATATTTTATTAATTATATAAGCCTATATACATTCTTTATAGAACAATCATGATAGTCAGAAATATTAGTTTTACTCTTTGATTGTTTAATTTTCTTCTACCTGATTCAAAAAGATGGGATATAACTAATATCTCTAAGAAATATATAAAATAAAGTGCTACAAAGTCATTGGCTATATATAGAAAATTTTATCAAATAAGATGACATAGGTAAATAAAAGCACATCTAGTATAATACTTAACATCCAATGCTTTCTTTCATTTCCTTTAATGTAACTAAGTAGCACCTAGCTTGCAAACAAGTTACCATTTTCACTTTTTAAAAATATATATAACAACAAAATATATAATAATTGGGGGCTTTGCTTATGACTGTGTCATCAGTACATAATATAAATTCTAGTTATGGGTGTTTTTTAGCAAGAAAGTCTCTTTTATTGTTGTTTGTTTGCTTTTTGTTTCTACACACTTACTTCAGACAGGTCTAAAGTATATGCTAAAAAACGAAAATGCCAAGTGCATGGCTGTAGTTTTTATCCTATAACTGGCCACTAGATGGTGCCCTCTCCTCTGGGAAAAAAAAACATATATTTTATATACATAATTTATAAAATTATATCTGTAAAAAAAAAAATGGCCCAAAATATATTTTTATATATTTATAAATATACATATGGCCCCCAAAAAACAAGGTTCTATTACTGAAGGAACGAAAAGGATGTTTGAATGAAGAAATGTAACCTTGCATGAAGAAATGCGCTTTCACAAAAATTATCTGAAATAACTTGGACCCTCTTTCTAAATTAGGAGTAAGTCACTGGTTTTAATGTGAATTTTAGGACCCTCTGACATTTTAGAATGTTCCACTGGGTGGTGCACATGTGTGTGTAACAAGAAAAACACACAGCTCAGCATAAGTCATTTCAAAAATCTGACCCCAAAAATGTGACATTCAAGGTGTCACATTCAAATATTCTTGACATTTTATGCCACAGCCCCACATTTTTCATCATACCCCATTCCATATTAGTTCTTTCTAAATCTTTATAGAAGCAGGTTTAACATGATATTTGATTAATCATTAAGAACAATAATTATTTAACACTAATTATTCTGACTTGATGAAGCAGACTTATCATTAAAATAGCACTATATACTAAAAGATACTTTGTACTGCTGATTATAATCTGATCTCACTGTCCATGAATTGTAACAATTAAAATAAACCCCTGTATTTTCTAAAGCTAGTAGAGGTTGAAAAGAACATCAATTAAATTTACTATGTCACTGAGCATAATGCCTTCAGGAAATAAATTTTAATATTTTAAGAAGAATAAAAAGGTACCAGCTCCTTGGCATTTTAGATACATCACATACTCACATCTTCTATCAGAAGTTCTGATTCTGCATCTGACTTTCCTGGAAACCGGATCTTCATGTCTTTGAGAACAAATAAGGTCTGACTTGTTAGATCATCTTCTTGTTCTTTTGTTTTCAGTTGCCGCAAAGACTCACTCTTAAATTTGAAAGAATACAGATATTTGGAGGGGGTCTTATTTCATTGTGCCAGTATAATCTGAAAGATATTTCTAGGTAAAAATGATGCACTTTTAACTGAAAACAATAACAATGAAAAAGGAAGAAAATTTTCTTTTACACTTGTGAATTCTTTGGATTAAATGGATATGAATCCCAAGAGTGTCTTTCACACTTCCACAAGGTTATACTTATTTAGCTCAAAGTACTAAAATAAAAATATAAATACTTAAAAAGGACTTCCTGGTCAGTTTCATTTGCTACATATACCTTAGGCAATTTTTCTTGATTAGAAAAAAAAATTCATTGTTACCAAGTGAAATTCACTCACTTATATTTCCTGACTTCCCTTTGGAAACATGATCCATATTAAATAAACAAATTAAATAAATCCTTAGTCTATGTGAAGGTAGTCGGAGCTATCTATTTGAGCATCTAAAAGTAAGCCTTCTTACAAACTAAATTCACTACTTTCTAAATATCAAATCTCTGGGATTCATGCTAACAAGGGAATACTATATGTTAATTTAACATACAGAACACATTATAAATAACATTGTACTTAAGTGCTCTAAGGAGAATTTATCATTTTTTAACCTATTAATCAACTGTCCCATTAAGTAAAATTTTCCAAATTTCCTCAAATTTAAAGATAGACTGCATAATACACTGCAAAACCATACATTTCCTCAGGTAATTTTCAGTAATATTATCCTACTATATCAGCAAATAGAAAATAAAATAATGCTATTCTCAGTGCTCATCTTTGAGTTCTGTGATAGAGTGAAGTCTGCACTTTTTAAGAGTCATACTAAATTGTAGGCTAAGGTAGGTGAATAATCCAAATTTCAAGAGGTCATGAGTTGAATTATGGAAAGGATCTGAGGTTCAGTCTGTCCTCCTCTCATCTGATCCCCTTTGCCTGAGTACAGAGCTCCCTGTAATCTTGAAAGAGCAAAACAGATGACCTACCACTTGAGAGTTGGTAGAGCAGGCATCATTACTGTGAGGCAGATGCCTCATGTAGGAGGAAGCACGGTTTAAGGAATGTGACCGAGATGCAGAAGTTGGCCGTGACACAGATATCATTTGTTGAGCAGAAAATGGGCGGGTGTCCCCACTGGAAGGTGATTGAGCAGAGATGGACCGAGGGCAGCTGACTGAACGTCTTATGGAGCCTATCAGTGATGGAGAAGAGGGATACTACAGTAGCAGTATTAATACAAGTTTTTCACTGTATGAAGTCTATATAAACTAAAGATTATAGCAGCTAGTAGTAAAGTAGCAATAAATGTCAAAGCATAGGCATCATCATGAGAATATGAGTTTGGAATACACTTTTCAACAACAGTGAACTTGTTGCAGAAGAACCCCTGTAATGTATAAAAAATGGCCCTTGTGGGAATAATACTATCAACAATCCTTCAATGTTATATCCTGAAAACATGAGCTAAGAGAACCAGAAGAAAGGAAAATTAACATTTATGGAGCATATTCTATAAGCCAGGCATTGTGCTAAGTGCTACACTTATATCTTAGTCCTCATGGAAACCCTCTGAAGTAGGGATCTCCATTGCCCAGAGGCTTAGAGAAAGAACTTTTTCAAGGTCATACAGCAAGGAAGTGGTCAAGATCAGGTTTCAATCCTGACCCTATCTAATTCCAGTGTCTTCCCTTTTTCTATAATACCATGATGCTATCCACTATCCCTTGAGATTTGACTGGTCACTCACAAGAATCTGTGTATAGGTTAGAGATTGAACATTTTACAGCAAGATTCATAGGGAGGGCTGGAAAGGCATACAGGCTAAATAGGTTAAGTTATAGAATTTAGAAGCCATGAGAAAAAAAACAGTAATAAAACAAAAGAAAAATATGCAGATTATCCTAACGGAGTTTAAATACAGAATTGGTTATTATAAAGAGTAGTACTGAACAGAGAGTATTTTAAGTCACAAGAGTAAATAATTTTTTAAGTAGGTTAAATTCCTATAGAAAAAGACAAGTGAAGAAAAAAATGTATGGATCTATAGGGTTGTTATCAGAACAAATATCTAAGAGAAACTATAAAATATCTTCCCCAATGCATACTAAGAACACCTAATAAAGAAAACCAACTGTTCCAGATAAATTTTGACTCCTGACACAGGGAAATAGATCATCACTCAATACTATCAATATTTTTATTGTTTTTCAGTTCCTATGGTCTATATATCCTCTGTTCTGTATTCTTTCTCTGCTTGAGGAATATATCTTCATTAAATAATTTGGTAAAATTCACATGAAGCCAGGTTGAATACCCAAATATTTCTCTTCATTAGCTGTTGAAAAAAAATTTAAACCTTTATAAAGGGAATAGACATAAGCCTTATATTTAGGGATGTACTTCTAAATTAAATTTTGGAGAGTACAAAAAGGTATACTTATTTAAGCTATAAAAGATTAAAAAAAACTTCTCTTTGTTCCAATGATTAACTTCCTTGTGAACCTGAAACTGTCACCACTTTTCAAAATGACACTGCTTCTATATTTCTAGAGAAGGGCTATGTGAGGAACATACCACTGGTCAATCTTTTTTTTTTTTTTAACAAAGAACTGCACATATTTAATGTGCGCCGAGAGCAAACTTATACTAAGAAAATACCCAAGGCATGTGCTAGTAACTGCACTGTAGTCCTACTCTCTTTGAGGGGTTATGGTAATGGTTTGGTTGTATATAACCTGATCACTGGGCAGAAGGAAAATATCCTTTGTCTTGAATCATCACAGATTACTTTTTTTTTTCCTTTTTTTTTTTTTTTTTTTGCCTACACATGCTAGAAATTCAGATAGAAAAACTAAGTAGCTAGACATGCCAATGATGTTTGGGTAGGTTCACAAAAAATCTTTGTAACTTGCATATCCCTTTGAAGCTGAAATAAGTTTGAATTTTTCAAACTATATACAAGACAAAGTGTTACACATAATCTGGATTTTGTCCTTGATCATCAGCACTACTCTGAAGACAAAACTCAAGTAGGATTTCTGGCTGAAATGTTCCTTAATGTAAGATTAAAGAAAGAATAAACACAAAGTGAAAGACTTGTTACAATTCCTCGTGAATATAAAAATAAAATATAACTAATAAAAAAGACATGTAATTAAATTAGGCTAGATTTCAAATGAAAATTCATACTTAAAAACATTTTAAAAATCTGTATATTTTAGTGCACTATTGTCTGATATCAATTTGTTAACCTATTGGTCTAAGAACAAAGAACAATCTCAGAGCTATAACAATGTTAGCAAATTTTACTCCAACCTGTCCTCATCCCCCATCAGTTCATGCCATTAGGGAGGTACACATCAGCTAACAGGAAAGGGAATTAAAAACTGACCAAATTTGGGCATAAAAACCTCAGCTTCTAAAACCAACACAGAGCCATACTTACACAAAGACACACTGAAAGTATTTAAGGAATCCTTCAGAAAAAAGGAAGCAAATGATGAAATAGCTTACAAACTGTGTAACAGGTGCTCAATAAACATTTCTTAAATGAATAAGTAAATAAATAAATAAATGAAATGGAACACAATACATTAATTCCCCTCCAAAGACATAAACCCTGGAAGATATGAAGTAGTAGCACATTTCTTTAGAGAATAATGTATAAACAAAGACCATTCCTCTAAAAGCTTCATCTATTGGTTCTTTATTCCTCATGCATTTTGCCGTAAGTGTTTAAGGCCAGTTTTAAAATATCCACATTATCAGGGAAGTTAACATATTAAATACATTGCTGACGGTAAAAAGGGCTCACAATTGTGTTCACTGCATTATTGAGCTGGTTCCTTTAGTGGAACCCTAGGACAGTGGAGCACGAGGCAAATAGAAATATGAGAGACAAGTGTTCAGAAAAGTCCTGGACTGGAGGCAGCATCAGGAAGGGGTTTTCCAACTGAATCTAGGCAAACAGCAATCCCACACTGGACATTTGGGGATGAAAGAAAAATCACAGACACAATATTGCACATTTGGAATTGAAGAACAAACGAAAGAAGAGCCAAAGGAAGAGAGAGAGAATGTAAAAAGAAATACAGACAGAAGGAGAGAAAAGGAAGCAGAAACGGAAGGAGATGGAACAGCTGGTTGGCTGCTCTCCTAAGTAGTTCCTATGCATCATAAGCCCTGACTTAAGTACTCACCCGTGATGAAAATGGGAGGGAACAAAACTCCAACTATTTCACAATTATGTAACTTACAGATACATTCAAGTCAAATGCCTAGGGATATACATACTTTTTGAAAAATATATAATAAGTGATAGTATAAAACAAAGTGGGTGAAGGAAGTAGAGAGGCAGAAATTGAATGAGAGAGAATATATTGGCTTAAGAGACACATAATCATCAGATCAGCCATGAGGCACATTTTACAAAACCCAGGCAAAAATCTGGCACCTAACAAAAACGATGAAATATAGAATAGATCCTTAATCCAGCCCTTTCGTTTTCTATTTGCAGATCTTGAAAGGGCTTAATTAAGGGATGTGCCCGAGTCTGGTTAGGGAAGGAAGTGGGATGGAATCCAGGTCTCCTCACACACAACAGGGTTCATTTGGCCCAAGGACCTTTTACTGAGTTTAATAATTTCAGTTCCATAATTCTTTATATAACATCTAAATTAGAAGAAATTGACTTACTGGGTTGTTGAATTAATTTGTAGTGGTTGGAGGGTTTAAGATTATATGTAACTTGCTTTTCTCTTTTCTTATTTTGGTACTCTTCTTTTTCATTTTCGTCAGATTCTGAAGAGCTGCTGCTACTATCATAACTGCTGTCACTGCTGCAGTACTTTGGTCTTTTCATTATCTCAGTACTCTCAGGCATAGAACACAGAGGCTAAAAAAGATGGAAATGTGTTATTTTGTTAGAATTCTTAAAAAAGGTTTATTGATATGATTAGTTACTATTTTTAATTTCCCCCTATGCTTGCTGCTTTTTACTGAAGGTTGAGAATCCCCCCAAATACTATTGCTGCCATGCTGCTTAGCCTACAGTGCTATGCATTGATTGTTGTTTCTGCAAAATATTCTTTCTTAAATGATATAGTCATGATGAGGAATATGTTGTTCCTACATGATTGGAATAAAGGGCCAGAGTATCCATAAACAAAGAATAACAAAATAAAGGGAAAATATTTGAGATAAAAATATAAAAATAAGAAATATAATCAGCTTTTTTCATTCCATAAGAGATTACTCATCAAGACTCAGAGATCTACCTTTGTCTTATCATTAACGTTCAGAGTTACTCAATAAATGTGTATGCATGTGCACGTGCAAGTGCATCTGTGTGTGTATGTGTGTGGTGTGTGTGTGTCTGTGTTTGTGTGTGTGAGGGGGTGGGAGGAGAAAGAGAGACAAAAAGGATAAAGAGAATAAGAATACTAAAACATTGCCTGTGAGCCTATCCATTCAGACAATGTGCAGGAAGAAGTTAGGTATCCCTTACAAGACTAACTGGCTGTGGATATTTATAAAAATAAAATTTTTAGTTAACTGTCCATTTTCCAAACTGCTCAAGAACAACTGATGTCTTTTCTCAGAGTATTCCTAACTCTGGCACGTAGCTTCTGGCCATAATAGAGTGACATAACTTTTCATTGCCCATGCTACATTTTAAAAATTAATAATATAATATGAAGATCAGTATGGGTAAATTTTCATGGAGGAAGGATAAATTTCTCTAATAGAGAATGGAAGATCTGTAAAGACTGAAAATGCCATGCTGTTACGTGTTACCATCCCTATTAGAATCACTTGTTTCTAGTCCTCCCAATCAATGTGTTTCCAATGATGCCAGCTGAAGGAATGGAAGGAAAGGGACGTGGGACAGCTTCACATCAGAAAGAATGTGCATAACCAAGAACAAGACAGTTTTATAACTCAGTCATTCTAAGAGACTATTTATTACACACACCATATGCCTCCTATTCCTGATGGGAGAGGTTCCTTCAGTTGTATACTAGTTGCTTGTTTTCTGTTAAATCAAACAAAAATGTTTTGATGTTAGCATACACTATAATGAAATCCTTGGATAGCATGGGGATTTCACTGAAAGAAGGTATACCCTCTAGTGTAACAGTGTAGAATAAAAATAAAGACAGAAATAGCATTTCATGAAGTGCCTGGAATACAGAGTGAGCCAAAAAGCATGATCTTCTTAAATTTACAGTCTTTGCAAAGGATGAAAAATAACCAAAGCAGGAAAGTAGTTTAATTCACTAAGGTACCAACTTGTGTTTAAAAGCATGTGCTCCTTCTGATGGTCTAATATTTACTAAGTACTGACAATGTTCAAAGAGATATGCATAAAAACATTTACCAGTAACACAATCATCAAACATTTTGACAATCTTGGGGAATATGAATTCTAGAGGAAGGTTGTTTCCTCAGAAGTTTAGCATACCCAGAAGAAAGAGTGGCACAATCAGGCTTGCTAGTAGTGCCTTCCTTCATGTAGCAAACAGCTTTAAGTGTTCTTAAAGAGCTTGACTACATAATGAGTTATTCGACCCTATAAAGAATCACAAGGGGAAACGTACAGCTGAGCCTTTGTGTCTTATATGCACTTGGGACTTTTTGACCAACACACTGTTCAAGCAATAATTAACTAGCAGTCACAGCAACATAAACTCTAAATAGTGTCTTAACTACAAAATGGAATTTGTAAACTGGCATTGAGTTATGGCACAACCATACTACTTATTTTTTATGTCCAATTTTATTATGAAGTAGGCTATATATAAAAAATGTATAAATATATGAAGAATAAACACCCACATGCCTATCACCCAGCTTAATAAAAAGAACATTGCTAATATTTTACTGCAATTACTTTTGCACCAACCTAATACTTCATGTGATATTTATTATTTATGTAGCTAATGTTTCTTAGATTCTCAAATTGGTGGAAAGCTATTATTTCTCCTACTACAAGTACCAGTTTTATTTAACTTTGATTATCTCCAATTATTCTTCTACCAGTAAAGACACTGGAAATCAATGTTGGGTGTGTGATACCATCCCTCTAAAAAGGAACGGCTGTTTTGAAGTTTTGCTCACTTTGAACCCTTGGTAAACAACATAAAATTAAAAGTTATAAAGATTCTTCTACTTCAGACTGATTATGCAGACTTCAACAACTTTGAAATATAGCTGGCTTTAACAACTACAGGAAATATCTAGTTCATTTCAACAAATACATTGTTAGTTTCCACTACTTGCCTAGAATGAAAGGGACTGAACAAATCAGACAAAGTGAATTCTTCTTCCTCCCAAGAGGTTATAGTTTTGTTTGGATGACAAGCCTTATATAAATGAAACCCAGGAAAATATAAGACAATATAAAGCTGTCTCAAGGCTTCTGCATTTGCCATTCTGCCAGAAACATTGTGCCTCCAGGATATCTCATGTCTGGTTTGCTGAATAGCAATAATTAATATACAAAGCTTAGAAACTTCCCAGTGTTTCCCAAAGTGATGCCATGACTCATGCAAGTATTCACTTTTACAGATACTCTAAAATATATTTCTTCCAAAGGAAGTATCAATGACATATTCTACAATGCCTCAATATAGAGCACATAATTCAGAACAGTCTCTGATATCCAAGATCTCCACCAGATAAGTATCTTATCTCTTAACCAGGCTCACCTGTATCATTTCACTATCCAAGAACCTTCCACTTGAGTCATACCAAACTTTTCATGTTTCTACAACATCCTATACAGTATCATAACTCCATATCTTTGCCTTTAATGTTCCGTCTACCCTAAATGTTCTTCCACCTCTCTCTCTCTTTTTTTTTTTTTTTTTTTTTTTTTGTGAGACAGAGTCTTGCTCTGTCGCCAAGCCAGAGTGCAGTGGCGCGATCTTGGCTCATTGCAACCTCTGCCTCCCACGTTCAAGCAATTCTCCTGCTTCAGCCTCCCGAGTAGCTGGGACTACAGGCGCATGCCACCACACCCAGCTAATTTTTGTATTTTTAGTAGAGACGGGGTTTCACCATGTTGGCCAGGATTGTCTCAATCTCTTGACCTCGTGATCCGCCTGCCTTGGCCTCCCAAAGTGCTGGGATTAGAGGCGTGAGCCACCGTGCTCTGCCTCTTCCACCTCTCTTAATGCTTAGAGCACTACTCATTTTTCAAGATCCAGTTCTAATAGCACTACCTTTCTGAAGCCATCCACATGCTACCAATCCCTTTCTTCTCTATGGGGCTGTAGCACTTTACACTCCCTTTATTATAGTACTTGCCACATTACTCCCTGGTTTTTTATTTACCTGTCTGCTCTTCTACTAGCCAATGAGGTTCTTATGCATATATTTAACAAATTGAACTAATGGATTTTGAGAACCTACTGTGTGTCACACACTGGCTAGGTTCTAAGAATACAAAGATGAAAATCTACTTGCTACCCTCAGGAACTTGCAACCTCATACTGAGGCAAACATGCAAATAATTACTTGTCACAACTGCTCTATAAAAGTGTTATTTATGGAACAGCAGGAGAAAGAAAGAAGGGAAGGTCTAAGCCTAACTGGGGAAATGAGGGAAGGTTTCACACAAGCAACAGCGGTTCAGCTGAAATAGGAAGGAGCCTCAAACAACAAGTCAATGACTTTTTTTTTTAGTAGGAAGACATTTCAGAAGCATGGAAAAGCATGAAAATACGATAGAACAAAGCTGGAGGCATCACACTACCTGACTTCAAACTATACTACAAGGCTACAGTAACCAAAACAGCATGGTACTGGTACCAAAACAGAGATATAGACCAATGGAACAGAACAGAGCCCTCAGAAATAATGCCGCAGGTCTACAACTATCTGATCTTTGACAAACCTGACAAAAACAAGAAATGGGGAAAGGATTCCCTATTTAATAAATGGTGCTGGGAAAACTAGCTAGCCATATGTAGAAAGCTGAAACTGGACCCCTTCCTTACACCTTATACTAAAATTAATTCAAGATGGATTAAAGATTTAAATGTTAGACCTAAAACCATAAAAACCCTAGAAGAAAACCTAGGCAATACCATTCAGGACATAGGCATGGGCAAGGACTTCATGTCTAAAACACCAAAAGCAATGGCAACAAAAGCCAAAATTGACAAATGGGATCTAATTAAACTAAAGAGCTTCTGCACAGCAAAAGAAACTACTATCAGAGTGAACAGGCAACCTACAGAATGGGAGAAAATTTTTGCAATCTACTCATCTGACAAAGGGCTAATATCCAGAATCTACAATGAACTCAAACAAATTTACAAGAAAAAAAAACAACTCCATCAACAAGTGGGCAAAGGATATGAACAGACACTTCTCAAAAGAAGACATTTATGCAGTCAAAAGACACATGAAAAAATGCTCATCATCACTGACCATCAGAGAAATGCAAATCAAAACCACAATGAGATACCATCTCACACCAGTTAGAATGGCCATCAGTAAAAAGTCAGGAAATAACAGGTGCTGGAGAGGATGTGGAGAAATAGGAACACTTTTACACTGTTGGTGGGACTGTAAACTAGTTCAACCATTGTGGAAGTCAGTGTGGCGATTCCTCAGGGATCTAGAACTAGAAATACCATTTGACCCAGCCATCCCATTACTGGGTATATCCCCAAAGGATTATAAATCATGCTGCTATAAAGACACATGCACACATATGTTTATTGCAGCACTATTCACAATAGCAAAGACTTGGAACCAACCCAAATGTTCAACAATGATAGACTGGATTAAGAAAATGTGGCACATATACACCATGGAATACTATGCAGCCATAAAAAAGGATGAGTTCATGTCCTTTGTAGGGACATGGATGAAGCTGGAAACCATCATCCTCAGCAAACTATTGCAAGGACAAAAAACCAAACACCGCATGTTCTCACTCATAGGTGGGAATTGAACAATGAGAACACATGGACACAGGAAGGGGAACATCACACACTGGTGCCTGTTGTGGAGTGGGGGAGGGGGGAGGGATAGCATTAGGAGAAATACCTAATAGTAAATGACGAGTTAATGGGTGCAGCACACCAACATGGCACATGTATACATATGTAACAAACCTGCACGTTGTGCACATGTACCCTAAAACTTAAAGTATAATTTTAAAAAAAAGAAAATATGATAGAAGACAAAGTGGCTAAGGACAAAGAGATAGCATAGTAATTCTGAAATATAAATGGAATAGAATGAAAAAAAAATCCAAGATTTTTCTAATTTAACTCTTTCCTACTCTACTAGCAAGAACTTTGACATATATCAGAAGAACAGCACTGGATGCAGTGGCTCATGCCTATAATCCCAGCACTTTGGTAGGCCAAGGCAGGAGGATCGCCTGAAACCAGGGGTTCAAGACCAGCCTTGGCAACACAGTGAGACACCATCTCTTTAAAAAAAAGAAGAATTTTTTTTTAATTAGCCAGGCATGGTGGCATGTGCCTGTAATCCCAGCTACTCAGGAGGCTGAGGCAGGAGGATCACTTGAGCCCAGGAGTGTGAGGCTACAGTGAGGTATGAACATACCACTGGACTTTAACCTGGATGAGAGTGAGACCCTGTTATCAAAAAAAAAAAAAAAAAGGAGAACATGTAGATGTCATCTACATGACAGCTTTCTACTTATTTCTAGGAATTACACCTATTTTAACTAAAACAAAATCAATGTTGTTAGGTCAGCAAAAGACAGGGCTTCTAATTAGGGTCTCTAGAGTTCATGATTTGCCTTATTTATAATGTTACCCATTTATTTGATAATTATCTGTCTAGAGGTATGAGGCAAACTTAATACTTAGTTTAGAATAAGAGTACTAGCTCTTGGGTCCCTTTTGGCCCTGACTCATGGTCTTTTCACTGTCATCAGGAAAATAACCAAAATGACGAATGAAACTAATAAAACAAAACAAACTCCTGAGTGTAAGGTATCATCATCTTCCAAACTTTACCTGCACTGGGCACACAGTCCCTGTGGTTCCTTTTTTAAAGCAGCACCAGTCTTTCTTATAGTGAGAAGTATCAAGGGCTAGTAGCATCTACTTTGATAAGTAAGGAAGGTAGAGATATACTGCACCTTTGGTCCTCGAGTCTTGGTAGTTTTTCCCATCAACTTTTCATCATCAATTTCACATTGCTCCAGAAGATCCAAAATATCTTCTTCCTTCAAAAAATATTCTAATTAAAATTACAACCACTAATGGACTCTAGAATTTTTCCAAGTTGATTAATCTCCACAAAATAATGCAGAGCAAGGATTCCTGAAATTATTTAGTGAAGATTGCTCAGAAAAAAGGAGAAATATTAAAGGGTCACAGCAAATTCTCTTGAAACTTTCACTAAAATCTGGCATTATAATTAATACATAGCCAAAATCTATTCTGTATTAATTATCCTAAACAAATGTATCTTTATAGTACAGTATAGTATTAAAATCTTAGAGTATAATACTTCAATAAATTAGCCCATTGGACACTAAAATTTCTGGAAAGTTCATGCTGTTTTCCAGATTTCAAGTTTATGAATCATTTCTATACAGATTAGTGCAAAATGATATTAAACCTCCAGACAGAAAACTGATAATTGGACTAACAGTTTCACTTAGAAACATTCTAATGTGAGTATTTGCTGACTGGGCACTATTTAATGAAACTCTTTCAAAATTTTAATGATTGCACAAAGTATTTTTAGAACTTTATAAAGGTTTTCATTCTATAGTCATCAAAGGTAGCAAAAAGCCACAAGTGCCCTAACACCTTTCCTGCGTTCTACTAGAGTCATATTCTGAATCAAAAGGAAATTTTGTAAAAGCATATACCCCAGTGGATATTAGGCAAGCCAGGACAATACGAGTATAATAGCTACACTGAAAGAGGTATAATCAACTGTATCATTTAGTTATTTAAGAAAGGATTCTAGAAAAGGTTTTTGAAGAAACTAGAAATCTCACTGTGCAGTAGAAATGTGTAAAGTAAGTTACTCTTTGTCCCAATCTAAGGAAATTTAGCTATTGAAATCCCAAAATACTCTTATTATACATTTTTTATTAAATAATAATCTTACAATGAATTCCATGGATAGCAGTACAATATAGCCAAAAAGAAACTCAAGGAGTTCTGCTTCTGTTTAGGAGAAATATAACAGATAATACTTTCATCATAACAGCCAGAAAAGGCCAGATAAACTAAACAATCATATTTTCTAAAACATCAGAAAGCTTTACTTTAGGTAAAAAGTAATGTAAAGAAACTAAATTCCAAAGAGGAACAAGTTCTTCCTAGGTGAGCAGAGATGAGTGGCCATTTTCTTCTTTGGGGTCATCTGTCATGTCTGGACATATGTAGGCAGAGATCAAGTCTAAAATAGAGAGCTCCTACTAGGATAAAAAGAATCTTCTTGAAATGCTCCCTTTTAGAATCCTGAGCTACTATATTGAGAGGTCTGACTACCCTGCTGAGAGACTGTGTAGGGAGAAAGAGATACCAGCCAGCTCCCAGATGTTTCAGCTATCTTATCTGACACACCAGACATGTGAGTGAAGCTACCCTGGATTTCTAGCCCCAGTTGGGCATTCAGATACATGCTACTATATGATTCACCCCAGGAAAGACAAGCGGAAGAACCACTCAGCTGTGCCCAGCCACGATTGCAGAGTAATGAGCAAATAAATGAAGTGGTTTGTTATGCTATAATAGAAAACTGCTAGACCTTTTACTATGGTGTACAGATTAGAGTGTGTGTGTGTGTGTGTGTGTGTGTGTGTGTGTTTCATTTACTTCCTCTCATATGCTAGATCTACATAGCATCAAGAAAAAGTATTATGTAATGTTTGTTATAATCCAAAAAATAAAAACGCTACAAACCACTAGGTTAATTCCATGGGTTTCTTTATCCAGTTACATATACACATCTATGTAAGAAGATACGTTATTATAATATATTGATATTACAACATAATATCACAATTCTCTACTCCATAATTTTTCTTGGTAGATATCTTATGAAGTAAGTTGGTTCATCATGAAATGTTACCAACTGTTAAAATAGAAAGCTTGGGGAAAGCATATCTTAAAAGTAAAATGTTTTTATATGTCGGACCAAGGTGGCTTGTCTGTAAAGACATATTGTTTAGCTTTATTCTTTTTTCTCTATATAAACATTCATTCTCTTACCTTCATCCTTTTCAAAGGATTATTCAACTCTCGCTGGAATGAAGCTGCTCTTCCTGAAAGGAAGGTCTGAAAGGCAACAGCTAACAAATTTTCATACTTTTCAAGTAATGCTTTATCTTCAGGAGGATAAATTCGTCTACAACAAAATCAGATAAACCAATTTTTTAAAAAGAAGCTGTCGTAGCTCAATAGTTAACATCAACTCCATAGACAATCCTTGACCATCTATTCTATACCAGTCACATTGCCAGGTATAAGCATTTCTATACTGATTAGTGCAAAATGATATTAAATATTAAACCTCCAGACAGAAAACTGATAACTGGCCTAATAGATTCACTTAGTAACTTTCTAATGTGAGTATTTGCTGACTGGGCACTAATTAATAAAATTCTTTCAAAACTTTAATGATTGCACAAGAGTATTTTTAGAACTTTATGAAGGTTTTCAGTCTATTCATTAATAGTGGCACAAATCCACAAACAAAGTTTATCTAGAGAATTAGCATTAAACAATGCAGTTCCAGAAGGTACAGTATAAGGGTTTAGTTGGGGGGAAATGGTTGGGGAAGAATGGTGATTGGGCAAATTGGAGAAATACTGAACTTTATAGGAGAGTGTTCAGGTAATAAGGGATACTGCAGGAGTGTTTTTACTTAGTGTGGTTACTGAAGTATACAAAAATGTAAGCAGTGGTTCTGATGATCTCTTTTGTAGTGGTGGAATTTGCCTCTCTAGTAGAGAGAAGTGGGTAGAGGTAGAGTGGGAGGAATGTGTTCTTATCACTACTGTTGATGGTGTTAAGGCCATGAAAGAACATCTTACCATGAGTGCAAGAACGCCCTCACACATTCCTTTATCCTGCTCAGGCAATGTCAAAAGTTGGAAAGTGGGCAATCTGTCCAAGAACACAATGAGCTGGGTGGGGTGGGGGGGTTTGAATCTGTCAAGGGTGATATTGTGGAAGGGTTCCAGTTTAACACAGCCCACATCCCTCTCCACTGTCTCATACCTAACTCCTTCAAACATTTTCATTATTTGCCTAGTTCCTGAAAAAGTACAGTAACCACCATGGATTGGCAGGAAGAATACCAAGAGACCTGAATTCTGACTTTTTTTAAAAGACCACATTATAACTAAATACAGTCACAGGATAACAGCAGGTTAAAAAGACCTCCTACAACCACCCAGAGGCTGGCTAGCAGGAGCGCTGTCAAGGCTGAACCATCTCCCTGCTGACTACCTTTCTTTCTGAAAGACAGTAAGCAAAAAGCACTTGCTTGGAATGAAAGAAAAATGCTTAAAATAAGCACACAAGATTAAAACATGAAGAATCATTGCTTTGATACTTCATTTTTTCAATCTATACAAAAATAGCAGCACAGTTACCTATAATTCCCCATATGTCGATTTTCATGTTCTTCTCGTGAGATCTGCTTTCGTACTTGAGCGAGTCTCTCTTTCTGGAAATGAGAAAAATTTTACAAATAAAATCCAACAAGTGAATTATGCAATTTAAATTGTGGGTACTTTCTTAAAACTTTCATACCAACTCTTCTTTCCGCCTCTCCAACTGGTGTCTCTGCTGTTCCCAGTCTGAGGAGCCTGGTAAGAGCCTTTTAATTGAATTTTGACCATAGAGCCTCCTTTGAGCCTCAGCTTTTTGTTTGGCCAAGTTTCTTCTTTTGTCACTGGTCCTAAAATATAAAACATAAGACCATATTCTAGAACTCGAACAAGTTCTGATCTTATCCCTGTGAGGAGAATTTGCAGAACAGGAGACATAGTGAAGCTCAGAATCAATGTTTATTAAACTTATATATTCACTTACATTATATTCATCTAACCATACCTCAAATATGGCACTCTGACAATAGATATGGTAAACAGAAATTCTGAAGATACAGAGACAAAATGGAAATAGTGCATGTTTTAGAGGATCAGAGAGACCTAGTTTCACATTTTGCCCCAACAATTTACCACTATACAATCTTGGGCTGGTCAATTAACTGCCTAGTTTGGATATAGTTTCCCCGTCTAAAATGTCAGCAATACTGTTTCCTCCTTGAGTTCTTATAAGATTAATTTGTGGTAACATTAATAGGTACTTAATATGTAATGGTTCTCTTCTCCTTCTTCAACCCAATTCCATTTATACTGACCACTCTTTAATACATTTTCATTTCTGACCGAAATCTCAGCCTAACAATCATCATTTATTTGAAAACATCTGCATAGTCCTTCCCATTTTTTACTCAATTATGAAAATTTACTTATAACTCTCTGATTTTTAAGGAAAAGTCCTGTTTTGGGATTATTTTCCTCTAAACCACTTTCTCTCTCTTCCCTGCCACGTAGCTGGTGAAATAACACAAGCCTGAGGATTTTTCTCTCCAACCCCTTCAACTTAAACTCTACCATACCATCATTGAAAGACCTAGCAGGAACAGGGTGTACTCCAAGAAAAAAGGAAAAGCAAGGCCAATTCTGACCCCACCTTTAGAAGAAACAAACAAACAAACAAACAACAAAAACAAAACAGAAAGTTCTATCCTTAAGCTTACATTTCCATGCTTCTATTGTCATTAGGCTGGTAGGGCCCAGATAAGAGTGTAAACCAAAGGAAAGGCGACAAGAAGGCCATTTGGCTAGCTTCTAGTGCAGAGGTAAGAGAAGTGCTTATGTTTACATATTGCCTCATTTAATTCATCATGAGATTGCATGAAGAATATGAGTCGAAGGCCCTAAACAATAAAGAGAGTTCTTTTGCCTCAAGTATGTACCATCACAACTTGACCTTGCAGGAATGTTAGGAAACTGATCCATTCTCTTTCATGACAACATTCAGGCTTGAGTAGCAAGAGGTCAACAGGTGGTCAGGTAAAAGGAATAATTTGAGAAAATAAATAAATGCATCCAGAAAACTGCAAGTCATTCAGGATTACTGGAGCTCTGGGTGAATGCAAGAAACTCAGCTTCTCACATGGACTTGAATACTAGGTTATTGAGCCTCAAATTTAACTTTACACAATGAAGGAGAACATAAATTTTTAAAAGAGGGCATAATTATATTTGTATATGTTAAAGATTATGCTCTTGGCAGTATATACAGTGGCTTAGAAGTAGATGAGAAAAGAAGCAGAAAGTTAAGATGAGATGCTATTTCATTAACAAATATAAAGTATGAGGGCTTGGAACAGGGGAGCAACAAAGGGATTAGAGAAAAAAGGTAAGTTTAGAGTAATATTTTGGAGGAAGAATGGATATGCTCTGGTGACTAATTCAATATGAAGAATAAGAAAGAGAGATGAACTTGTGATGACACCAAGAGTTCTGATTTTAGTGAGTCCACTGGCATTTTCAATGATGAATACAAATTTGGCTCTGAGTTTCCCCTAATTAAGGGTAAAGGAAATGCCATGGTTTAGGTAACTCTTTAACTTTTGAATTTTTTCATTTTATTATATCTAGAGCAATCATTTTATCATTCTATCATATACCAATGAATATATTATCATACATCCATTTAAAATGGATAAAATTTGTCCATTTTATCTAGAATGATCATTTCTATATAGCATTCAGTTTAAAAGAAAAAGAAGACAGGAAAAGAAAATAGAAATGAAAAGAGGAATAGAGAGGAACAAAGACTAAACAATCCACAAGAGAAAAAAAATAGAGGAAGCAAAAAAAGGGAATGAAAAACTAAGAGGAGATGAAAATAAAGAAAGATGAGATGATATGATGAGTATTCTATGAAAAAAATAAACACAGATCTATATGAATATCTACAGCAAACAAAACACTCATAGACAAAGATACTTATACACAAACAGTTTGAACACACACAAAGAAGAATAACAAAAATAAGCACATAGAAGTTCCTTCAGACACATTAAGAAACAAAGAAAATCCAACTACCCTGAGACATTGTTTTGTATAAAGGAACGTTCCCACTTTCTGGCCCTTAGGAATATTGTCATTCTAAAAACTATTTGCATTTCTATGAATATTCACAGGCATAAATCAGCACTAATGACTCTCAGTACTTACACCACAGGCCAGAATAAAAATTTAACCAAAGACCAAAAAGATCACCATTCATTTAGCATTTAATTAGCATTTTCCATTCAACTGTATCCATATACTGACCTAAGCAATTTAGTTTACCACTTTCTTGAGTCTTTTCCACTACTTATTACCTTATAATTCCATCCAAGGGATTTCTCTGATCACTTGCTTCACGTGCTGTATACTCCAGGAATGTGGAACCACTAGAAGTTCTATGAGCTTGTTTTGCTCTGTCTCACTTCCTCATCTTTCTACAAGTAGTTGAATGGAATGCCCTCCCCATACCATTGTCTTCCAACCCAAATTTTATTTAGTACTCTCTATTTGTTAATTCCAGATATGGCCCTGGGGATACAAAAAGAACCAGACAGGGCCATTACCCTCGAGGAGCTGACCAAATAAAGGAAGTGGGAGCAATGGCATATAAACAAAAACACAGGGTATGATGAGTACTATTTGAAATGTGGGGGGAAGTATGATGATAGCACAAAGGAGTTAGTAAACCATTCTGTCTCAGCAAAGGCTTCAAATAGAATGTCAAACTTGAGCTAGGTTTTACGAATGTGCCGACAAAATATGTGGTATTCGTATACATACAACAGAATGTTATTCCGCCTTAAAAAGGAGGAAATTCTGACACATGATGCAACATTGAAGAACTTGAAAACATTATCCCAGTTACTTTAAGCCAGTAACAAAGGGACAAATACATATGATTCCACTCTTATGAGATACTGAGAGTAGGACACTCAAATTCATAGAGACACAAAATATAGTGATGGTTTCCAGGGACTGGGGAGAGGGAGGAATGAGGAATTAGTGTTTAATGGGTACACAGTTTCACTTTTGCAGGATTAGACTTCCAGAGATGGATGGTGGTGATAGTTGCACAACAATGTGAAGTACTTGATGTCACTGAATTATACACTTAAAAATGGTTAAAATGGTAAATATTATGTTAAGGGTATTTTACCACAATTTAAAAAAGTCAGTTGGCATTCACCAAAAAGACAAAGGTGAACAAATATTAAATGAGAACAAGTGCAAAGCTACAGAAATTTGAAACTGTACCACAAAAGAGTTCTTAGAAAAGTCATTTCCAAGGCAAAGGAAAAAGAACAAGAAATGATGAGGTTGGAAAGAGATGTAAGGGCCAGCTCAAAAAGTGCCTTGTATATAATATAAAGATCAAAAAGTGCCTTGTACATAATTCTAAGGAGTTTAAACTTTATCAGACAATGTGGAAACAATCTGATCAGAGTATCAGAGCTTATAAATCTCTTCTGATACTGGCATCCCTCAGGGTTCTGTCGCTGCCCTTCTTCTCAAAACATACAGTCCAACTGTGTGATCTCATCCATTAGATTCAAGGGCAATCTATATATGAATATCAATCAAATAGATACCTCTATCTCCTGGGGCCCTGTATATCAAATTTTCCAGTTAACATTGTCTCAAAGCATCCCAAAATTAGCATGTTTAAAACTGAATCATCTTTCTTTTTCTATCTTCCCCCATTACTTTTCTAAGCCTCTTTCTCACCTATAATCTTCATCCCAATGAATGGCACATCATCAGACAAGTCATCCAACCCAGAAGCCTAGGAATCATAGGAGGCACTGAATTCCCAGTACCTATTGCAGTGGTAGTGGACTCGGAATAAATGGTTGTTGAATGATTTGCAGAATGACAGAATGGAAGATGCAAAATGGGATGGAGGTTAGTGCTGGAAGCAGGAAGGAAACCAATAAAATAGCCCAGGAGAAAGATAAGAAGTTTTCAGCCTTGGAGAGGAGATGGAGAAATAAAGTGATAGTCAGAAATTTGACAGGATTCAGTCGATTCATAATAAAGTCAAGTATAACTCCCAGCTTTCTAGCCTGGACTTTCATGTGAATCGTTTTGCCATTAACTTTGGCAAAGCAAACTGGATAATTACCATTGTATTGTACTTATCTATGAGCATATATATTTCCCTTTTAACAACTGAGCTACTTAAGGTGGGGAAATTTTATTCACTTTTGTATCTCTAGCTTCTAGCAAATCATAGGCTCTTTAAAAATGTCCAGTAGGCTGGGCACAGTGGCTTACACCTGTAATCTCAGCACTTTGGGAGGCCGAGGCGGTGGATCACCTGAGGTCAGGAGTTCAAGACCAGCCTGCTCAACATGGCGAAACCCCGTCTCTACTAAAAATACAAAAATTAGCCGGGAGTGCTGGCAGGTGCCTGTAATCCCAGCTACTCGGGAGGCTGAGACAGGAGAATCGCTTGAACCTGGGAGATGGAGGTTGCAGTGAACCAAGAGCGCGCCACTGCACTCCAGTCTCTTTTGGGACTCTGTCTCAAAAAAAAAAAAAAAATCCAGTAAATACATATGAGTGATTAGGTTTAACCTTTGTGGGTTGGAGGTATTTGATATTGTTAGCAGAGAAAAAAATAATAAACCCAGGAGGAACATGATCGAAGGAGAAAATAATTCAACTTGGGCAATATTGAATTTAAGTGTTAACAGAACACTATCCATCCATTCATTCATTTATTTATTTACTTGCTCACTCACTCACTACATGTTTATTGAGTATCTATCGGACCAGGGCATCCAGGGTACATGGTCAGCAGAGAGCTGCAAATGCTGGACTAGAGCTCCAGAGTGGGTCAAAGCTAGCGAGAGGCACTCCAATCCATATTGCTACATACATGTCAGACTCAAAAATGATGCCACAAAAGGGAGTAAGACTGACACAGAAGAAAAGAGGGCTGAGGCAAGAACACAGTGAGAAAATGATGGGTAGGGAGCAGAGTGTAAGAGAAATCATAAGAGAAGACTAAGGAATGCTCAAAGTTAAGTAAACTCAGAGACTAGTGTCAGAGAAGGCCAGTGAGGCTAAATGTTCAATGGTAGGGTAGCATTAAATGCTCATGCTGCAAGCCTGTAGCCCATGAGTTAGTTGTAAATAAGGGACAGACAGGCAATTTAACTTAATTTAATTTAATCTAATTAACAAGTATTTCAGACCCAAGGATTCATGGGATTGTGAATGTCTTTTCTAGGTTCTATTTTAATGATTGTAATAGAATACTTATGGAGGAAAAAGATTCTTCTTATTAACCCAGTAAAACCATCACAGAATGATTGGATTTTCCTTTTATTAGAGAAAAAAGAACTTTTACTTGTTCTACATATAACCCTTTTTATATTTTCTTGTCTCTGAGGACCCCAAGCCTAATGTTTTAAAAAATTATTTGAATCTGTACTCAAATTGCATTCTGTCATCCAAGTAAAAAAAAAGGATCAATTCTGATGCCCTCCATGTGAGATTCTGTTTTCACAGCAGTTGTGATGGAATATCCTGAACAATTTATATTCTTCTGAATTTCCTTGAGACTAAAAGCATATGTTTACAAATTGAACCTGAAGGTCATACTGTAAGCAAAGCACTGTACTAAGCACTGTGAAGCATGTAAAAGTATGTACTCTTCAACTTCAAGGAGCTTAAATCTAATTGAAAAGAAAAACCAGCTGTGCCCAGGTAAAACACCACAGAGGATAAGAGAGTAAACAAAGTGATAAGCCATATACTATGCAGACAAAAGTTCCTTCTAGAGCTCCAAGAAAGGAAAGATTCATTTTGGTCAAAAGGAAGACTTCATAATAAAAGATGGGATTTGAGTCACAAGCAATAAGGAAAGGCATTCAGAGTAGAGAACAGAATAAATAATCAGTGAGAATGGGCAAGCTATGTGGGAAAAATAATGAGGCAATCAGCCTAACTAAAACAGTTTGGGTTGGAGAGAAACAGGAAATAAGATAGAACAGCTAAGGTTAAGTTATATTAGAAGCTTAGGCTACATGTTGGTAAACAGAATTCTATTTAGGTTCTTGAGCAGAAAGATAACATAATGAAAGTAAGATCATTCCCAATAGTCTGATTAAAATTAATGTTAAGTAGGGGATTTCTAGATTCACAGAACAATTCGTTCTGTCCAAAATTAAAGCACTCCATAAGAAAATTAATTCTATTTAATAAATAGACAAGAATTTTCCCAGTGTTCTTAGTTCCTGCTTAAGATACTGTGATGTGCCCAGTGAAACTCAAGTCTAACACATGCACCCATGGAGCTCTCCACCCAGCTGGAGGAAGAAGGCACTTCTGAAGCATAAGCCTCATTAGCATATGCTCTAAATGTTAAGAACTGTGCTAAATTCTCTGTGGAACAACACTAAGAAAGATAAAGAAAATGAATTTCTACTTTCCCTTAGTTTTAAGTCTAGAAATTTCTGACTGCTTAAACTATACATACCTCACTTTTAAAAACACCAGAACACCCACAGATAATGTCCTGAATTGATACCATAAATGGCAACGTCAAAAGACATGCACACACAACAAAAAAACTAAACACAAGGCTTATTTAAATAATAATAGTAAACTTTCATGCAAAAAACATGTATAGGCATATTGTTTGGAAACATCTTAAATTTAAAAATTGCTTGGAAGCATACCATAACTCTGCTAGAACTCTTGAATGACAATTAAATAAATTGAAATCATAAAATCACTGAGCTTAAATCACCTCAGAGGCCCTTTAATCCAATACTCTAAGCTCTGTTGGAAAATTTCTAATGACAGGTAACTCACTATTTCAGGAAGTGTTTCAGTCAAACATCTAAAAAATTCATTTTGTAATGAGCCAAAAGCTTTTCCCACATAACAGCATTTCAAATATTTGAATCCCATGATCATGTACACTGCAACCAGCCCTACATCCCTACCAGCCAAGTTTTTTCTCAAATTTTACTTGCCTCTCTAAATGGAAAAGTTAACTCTCACTAAACAACTGCCTCTCTTTTTTATTTACATGGGGAGCATGATGTAATGGGAAGACCTCTGGAGAGAAAGTTAGGAAATCCATGTTTGAGTTTTTTTTTTAATTTCCTGAATGAACTCTTTGTGCTTTAGTTTCTTCTTATAAGATGAGGAAGATAATCTAGAGGGTCTCTTAAAGTATTTACCAATTTAATCTTGTACTCTATATTAAATAATTATACCTACATTGAAATTTAACCTCATTTACTGCAGGTACAGACTGTTGCCTGGGAAGCAGGAAAAGCAGTATACAGGAGTAGGGGGGACAGATTTTTTTTTTTAACTATATGAGTTTAAAGAATAGATGGAATCAAGAAATGAAAAATACAAAATGGATGGAACCAAGAAATGAAAAATACAAAATGGATGGAATCAAGAAATGAAAATTATAAAATATAAAAATAAATATACTATTCTGAAAAGCCAATTTTATGTACAAATGATTAATCTATGTCAAATGTGGAGATAAATGTCCAAAAGATAGAGAGAGTATTTTACCTTATGTTTAGTAGCTTCAACGCATTTAGCAGCACTCCCCTTTTTACATCATAGTCTATTTTCTGATCAGTTCCAAAGCTTGGGGCTCGGTTAATCTGAAATTTACAAAGAAGACAATATTGGAAGGTAAATAAATATTCAATACATATTTGTTAATCCAATGTGGGATCTCTAGCCAGTAGAACAACTCTACATTAAACCTCAAAGCTTTACATGGCAGATGGCCCAGTTGTTATTGCCACATCTCCATTCTGCATCACCCTAGGTCAACAAATTGCAAGGGATTGACTATTAGCACCATCTCCTTCCCAAGGCTGCCTTAGTTTAGGAGCTTTACTGTCAGTATAGGCTGGCCTCTCCCTCCATTCCACTCTCTCCACTACCCCATGCAATTTAGGTTTTTTAAGTTTAGGAAAGTTAAAAGTGATTTAGCCTAACAAAAAGGAAATAGTGATATTCATCATGTTACCAACACAGTAATAATTATATCAACACAATAATAATTATATACATCTATATATTTAAAATATGGAAACTATCAGTGCTCCCTTTTCACTGCCTCAGATCTTCAGGAATTCATTAAGATGAAAAATAAAAGAGCTGGAGTGTTTGTTTTTGTCTTTGTTGAGTCTTGTTACTATTGTCATTGTTATAAAAATATAACTGGAATAGCTGATGTTTAAGAAAATTTCTTAATCAGTTAAATCGGTTGGTTAGAACACTGCTGAGTTCAACACAACAGCTTAGCTTCTTGACCACCAACTAATCCCTTAGGCTATCTCAAACATATGTATATATGCTACTAGTCACAGTTATACACATCTGTCACCACAAGAGACAAAACAATTGAAAGCATTCATTCCACAACTTGCACCTGAAGAAATATCACATTATAATCAAGAAATTACCCAGGAATACAACATCTTTAATTAGAAATGTGTCACAGGTTCACCGCAGAAAAATAAGTAAAACTAAGGAAAACAAATAACAAAAGATACCTGTAATCCCACTACTTAACACTTAGTGTCGTGTTAACCGTTTGGTAGATAGTATTCCAGATATTTTCTATGTATACATATTTAAAATATTCATTTTACCTTCCAAATGCATGTCTATACTAACCATACTTTATTTTACATTCCAAGCTTTTCTCTTAATAATGTATCATGAAAATCTTTCATCATGCCATCATTTTGATGGATGCATGGTACTCCTTTTATAGAGATATGCCATGTTGTATTTTGATTCCTTTGTTGATTTCTGATTTAAAAGGTGGTGGACACATTCCTTTATTTGTGATATAGTCTCAAGGAGAAGGAAATAGCTTGAAAACGGCAATAACATCCATTTATTATAGGTCAATTTGAGAAAGGGAGTTTATTAATCTATTACGAAAGCTCTAAGCATTTCCCTTTGCAAGTGCAAAGAAAGGGTAAAGTAATATATTTTATGGGAGAAAAGTTTCAACCATACTGATTCAAATTTCTGGAGTTTATAATACAACTAATGACAGTGTTGCCACTATATGTGACATGGTTATAAACTAAACCAGACATTAAAGAACTGATGAGTCAGTGGTCCATTGGCATGTTATCTGTCTTTGTAGAATTCCTCAGAGTTTCCATTCCAAATTTCAGTGTGGAATTGTGCCAGGCATATCCCTCCTCCAGGATGGTACTGAGGTCTTGGTATAAAGCCATCTCAGATCTCAATCTCTCTCTCTCTCCTTACCTATTTCAAATTTTTCCCTCTACTATAAGATAAATTGGTCTATGAAGAGGTATACCCACACAAGATAAACTATTAATAATATGTGGAAAGGCAGGAAACCTTTTTCAATTTAGGTTTTCATTCAGGGTTGTTCTTGTTTTTTTTTTTTTAAGTTTTATGAGAAAGGTAAAGAAAAAAAATAAAAGAAAAACCACAAATGGCTGACAGAAGAAACTAAAAATTAGTGTTCCACCCAGCCAAAATTCTCCTCTATAATGAGATGATTTATTTGGTTCTCATTTCCTACCCCAATTCTAAAACAGACAAAACATAGATGTTAAAGTCTCAAAATTCAACAGCTTGTAAATGCATTAAGAAATGAAAATTATTATAAAATATATATTAGTAAACACTATTTTCAACTGTCCTAAAAAGTTTTATCAAAACAATCACTTTTTCCACAAATTAAAGTATCCATAATAGCTTCTGTGCTCCTAAGTTAGTGCTGTTCCCTCTGCACCACAGCCTTTCCCCACCCCTACTTTATCTCTCTCAGCCCCCAGCCCCTACCCCAACCTTCTGTAGCCCTACAATCTTTGCTCAGGTGTTTCTTCTGTAAAGATTCTTTTTAACTCTCCGATACACACAGGTACACAGAGATATTAATCATGCTATTGTTTTTGTCATTTCCCTTTTACCTACTAGTACTTATAACTATTACCATAAAATGCACATCTGAATAATGGCTACACCAGGGCAAGTATTCTGTCTTCTTATATTCCCACCACCTAACACAATGACTATAACTTAGTAGGTTCCTGTTTAATTTAAGAGTACTTAAAACTATTGGTGGTATCTTCATACTCCACCAAAGTTCCATGTTTTTCCTAAAAAAATGTTTTCTACTTATGAAAATTTGTGCAATTCTGCCACTAGCAATCAGTCCCTGAAATTATTCTGGTTAACTAAAAGTTATCACATACCCAGAAGCACCTTCTACCTTATTCCACTTGATGGCGCCAAAAGGTTTTTAACAATGTATATTAGCCCCACCAAAATATCAGCAGGGAGCAAAACACAAGGCAAGATTGAAGATTCTTTTAACTGTTTTAATATAACAAATGTTCATTATTCACAGCTCTTGGTTATTGTGGAGTGTTTTAATGGTTCTGATTGATCTAGAAACAACGAAGGAAAGAGTAAAGAATGAAGAAACATTCATGCAAACAATGGTTATTTTGAATCTTTTAAAATCCAGAATTCAACCATTCAGTCAATTCTGATTTAGCAAGCTAATGGAAAGCTCTAGTGAAGCAAATGTTTCTTCTAAAAAGGTAACTAAGATATCTATAAAGTCATTATTTCCTACTATCCTCCTTATGCATGTGCCTTCACTTTTTCCCCACTCCATCAATGACAAAAGAAAAGTAACAGGGGCAGAAGACAATATAGCTAAGAACAGGAAAGGACTGCTGCAGAAAAAGTAAGAAATCTAAAGAAAACTTCAGGCCTTAGCAAGATGAAGGGTCCATAGTGCATAGTCAAGTGTTTTCATATCCAAGGAACGGAGGAAGCAAAGGATAAGTAAAACTTCCTCACATTTATCTTATCTCTAAGACCCAGGCTGGAGCAAAATATGAACATCCAACAGAGAGAACTGCATTTCCTTGGAGACACAATACATGTTACTGTTTAAAGTAGATGTGACCACACATAGGCGCGCGCACACACACACACACACACAATCTTTGGCCCTCAAATTAGAAAAGTGTCATTTCTTTGAAATGTATTTTTAGTATCATCTCACCTACCACTCATTTAATTTGCTTATGCAAACCTTGATATTACACACACAACTTCTAACTTATAAATCACTAACAAAAAGAGAGATACTTGATTTAAAATGAAAGGTAGTGGTTGACTACATCTTCTACAGCTGTATGTTCCTGATTACGTTTCCAAAACATGATATTTAAGCGGCCACGAGAAGGTGTGTAAACCCAGATCAAGGAGCTTAAAGGGAACTGCTGGATGGGATCTTCTGGACCACGTGACTTCTAAGGTTTCTTCTGGGTAATATAAATATAACTAGCAGGAAAAAATATAAAAATTGTCAACAGAGATAATTTTTACTTTCTCCTTTTTACTATTCTGTATGTGTTACATGACCTTTTATCATCCAAGAAAAATAATGGTAACTCTCACCCTACCAGGGACTGGCAGCAAACCTGAAGGCATACAGTTGACAGTCTCCCTGAGGGAAGCCCCAGGTATATAACATGGCCTTAAAGGAGAAATTTACCACCTGGGGTATCGAATACTGAATACTGATTAATGAACCAATTGGAGCCTCTCGGAGAGTCTGAAGGGGAGACACACTGAAGGCAAGATCCTGAAGCCCAGGCACTCACAGAGAGGAGAGACACTATCCAGAACTCATGATGTGGTAGAAGCCAGGAGGCTGAGAAAATAGTAGAGCAAGTAAGCAACAAAACAGTAAAAGCACCTCCACACTTCAATCCCAAATACCTGGCCTAGAAACTCAGCTGATGCTAATTTGGGAAAAGTAATATCAAACACTGTGATTCATTCTTAGAACTGTTCTAGTCCCTGAATTTTTATCCTCTTCTTCCCACTTATTCCATTCAGCCTTCATTCTGGACAGTTAATGGGACAACTGTGTTAAGTACACATTTTTAAAGCATTTATTTTAATACGTAAGGACAGTGATAACTCTTCTTTTTTCTTAAAGAATGCCTTACCTCCAGAAGCCATGGCTTTAGTTTTCTATCCAACAAAATATCAAATCCCAGGACTTCAAAGCAGACACTTTCGCTTCCTGGAGGTTGACCAGGTCTACACATTCGATAGGCATGCAGGACATGAGGTTCTGCTACAATCAGGGTCTTTACCACCAATTCCTATAAGATTGTGATAAAAGAAGTGAAAATGCCTTTGTATCTCATTTCATATGTGCAAATATAACCGGGGCCCACAAACTGGCAGCCTGGCCAAGTTTACAAAGCTCTGTGGCATCTAGCCCCTGCCACTGCTCTGACTTCATTCTTCACTCTTACCCCTGCCCACTGCACTCCTCACACTTGCTTTGGGTTCCTCAAGTAAGTGACACTTCTTCCTATCTTAAGTCCTTTGAGTTAGCTGTTCCCTCTTGTGGAATAATCTTTCCCCTATATTCCCAAGTCTGGCTCTTAGACATTCAGAGAGGCCTTCCTAACCCTCAAGTTAAAAGCAGCCACCCTTCATTTCTTACTGCACCACTACACACAGCATATAACAAGCTGATATTTTTCTTTTTACATTAGAGAAGGGTCCTTGTCTGACTTATTTATAACACCATTCCCAGTGCCTACAATAGTAGCTGGCATTTAGTAGATATTCAAGTAAATCTACTACTTTGTAAACAAGTAAAACAAAGCTGATAAATGTGGTTTCTATATGTTAAAAACAAGTAAGGTAGGAGCATACGCTAGCCCCATCCAGAAGAGATGAGGGTGACAGGAAGGAAAAATTCCAAGGAGAGTAAATTATTTCACAAACACCAGTAGAGAAACTCCACTTAGATAAAGGCTGAAAGGGCTGGAAGACAAAATCTTGAGAGTTGAGTTTCTTTATTCAGTGATGATTTTGTAGTGTATAAGTTTTATCTGAGAAGACTGTTACCAATTAAAAGACTGGCTCTCAATATTTTCTGAGAGAAAACACATAATACTACTAGGGTGAGTTATTAACCCTAATTTTTAAAAAGTTGTTTTACTGAAGTTTCAGAATAAGCTGTAGGAGAAAAGCTGTCTCATTTATTTTTGCTCAGAAGACACTGTCATTTTAACTCCCTCTCTACAGGTATAGGCAATAGAAAAAGACAGTTAAGAACCTGGCTCTAAAATAGGCTTCTTATGTTTCTTCCTGGCTTTGTAACTTGTTAGCTGTGCAACCTCAGTCATGTTGCTTAAACTTTGTGTGTCTCATTTTTCCTAAATATAATCTGCAAAAGGTTAATGTAAGAAAAAAATGAGATTCCATGTAAGACTCTTAGCATAGAGCCCAGAGTACTATTATTGTTACTGTTACTCTATCATTCCTCTAGAATTCCACCTTATATATCAGGTTAGACTCAAATATTCCACTACCTGGTGGAACAATATTTATTCTATGGGTGATAAAAGGGAAGACAGAAGTTAACCTCACTGTTACCCAGAACCACAATCCAGTTTATATTTGGGAATAAGTATCAGATGTCCCATGAGAGGCTGTTTTCAAAAAATTTTGTTCAAGGTTAACAAATTCATGACAGCACCATAGCATATAAAATAAAAGACAAAAAGCCACTTTATATAAATCTTCACCAATATTACTGAAACCACTTGAGAGCAGAAAAAGTTAAAACTTTGACTGATAAGTATCTGTATGGAACAGTACGGGCTGAGAGAGGGGGTGGGGACTGATTATTAATCAACAGACCCTGAATTACAAATCTGTGTTTTTGCTACGTAGAAAATAACCTGCTTTTAGATTGTAAAGGCAAGTTTTCAGTAGATGTGAAAATGAGGAGTCATATAAACAAACACAAATGAAATTCCACTACTGTTTTTGAGAATTTACAACATAATATCACTGCTTTAAAACGTGATTTGTAGATTTATACCTTAGGTATACAAAAAGCAGTAAGGATAGTTTTTTTTTTAATGATTATACTCATTTTTAATCTCCATGGCTTGATTTTCTACTGATTTTTATTATTGACCAGAACAAAAGTACAGAGCTCTGTTCTTCACGGAAGGTATTGATGAATGCTGCTTTTCATATATTGATAGTTACCTTTTAGAGAAATTGCCCGGGTTATTAAAAATAAGTTATAAATTAAATTCAGGGAATTTGTAAACTAAGACATCAAGATAAAAATTTACTGCATAATTGCTTTCTCCACCTCGTCCTGTCATTCTCTTTTTATATTATCCCATTGATTCACCTTAAACAGTTATCTATATAAAGTATACCAATTCTTAATAAAGACAGCCAATTTTCAAATAATTACATAAATGCAGACAGGTGTTTGACAAGATAATTAAAATAAAAGTACTTGAAAAGCTAGATTTATTAACTGATTGTTTATAGATGATTAATATGCATTCTAACTAACATAGCCAAGAATGATGCAAAATTTACCCACCTATAGACAAGACCATGAAATGTGTCAGAGATTAATAGGCCCACATTGGCTATGTTTGGGTCATATCTAAAAATTATACTTAACGTTCTAACAGAAAGTTAATTTCCATATCCTCTCATTAGTATTAGTCTTGCTCGTTTACCTTCTCTTAATTCAATTGTGTAGGAAAAAACACCACTTAAAACCAATACACGTAAAGCTAATGACCCTCATTATTCTCCCTGATTCTCTCTATACATGCCTCACCAAAGCAGCCCAACAGGTTTTCACAGACATGTCCCCAAAGAGCCAAATCCAAATGAGGGTTACAAATGTGTACAGAAAAAAAAGAATGCCAGAGGGTATATAAAACTTTCTTGGTCCCACTGAGCAATAGACCAATGCATTGGAATTATCATCAGATGGAAGATAGTATGATCTTCCATCAATGAACTATGGTCCAAAATTAATGAATTTTACCATTTTGATGCTTCTGACTCACTATGATAGTAAACTGTCATTAGAATGGTTTTTGGAATGTCCACAAAATTAGCCTTGAGAAAATAATTGCATAAACAAATAAATGCAGCATTGTTATGATCCAATTTCTCATTTACATGCATTCCATCTCTCAGGAAGCTCTAACTGAAAGTTAACAAATTGGTGGATATCTGACCAAATCCAGATGACATTTTTGTTAGAGTCCCAACATTTTTAAAATTTTTGAGTCCATTGCCAACATTTAAAATCATTTATGTCATTTACATATAATTTATCAACAAATTAGAAGAATGAGCCCCACTGGGCCTAAAATATCACTGGCACCAATAAGCTGCTGCTGAGTGGTGGCTACCTCCTTCAGACCTCTCCTGACTTTCAAATTATCACAGTTCCCAGAACATCCTAGTTTCTTCTATCCAGAGACCACTTCACTCCTTCTTACTTGTCTGACACCTAAGGACCTTTGGATTTATGGCCTGTGATATATAGAAAGTAAGATAAAAATGTCAACAAACAGAATAAACAAAGGATAGAGTCATGTGCCACATAACAGCATTTTGGTGTACAATGCATAGCATATTCAACAGAGGTCACATAAGATTATAATACTGTATTTTAGTGTACCTTTTCTATGTTTAGATATACAATCTTTACCATTGTATTACAATCGCCTACACTATTCAGTACGGTAATTTTTTTTTTTTTTTGAGACCAAAATCTTGCTCTGTTGCCCAGGCTGGAGTGTAGTGGCACAATCTTGGCTCACTGCAACCTACACCTCCTGGGTTCAAGCAATTCTTCTGCCTCAGCCCCGAGTAGCTGGGATTACAGGAGCGCGCCACCACATCCGGCTAATTTTTTATATTTTTGGTAAAGACAGGGTTTCACCATGTTGGCCAGGCTGGTCTCGAACTCCTGACCTCAAGTGATCCACCTGCCTCAGCCTCCCAAAGTGGTGGAATTACAGGCGTGAGCCACTGTGCCCGGCCTAGTACAGTAATGTTTTGTACAGGTTTGTAGACTAGGAGCCACAGGCTATACCATATACAGGCTATATGATAGCCTAGGTGTGTAGTGGGCTATTCCTGTTCTAGGCTTGTGTAAGTACAATCTGTGATGTCTGCACAATGACAAAATCACCCAAGGATGCATTTCTCAGAATGCATCGCTGTTGTTAGGCAGCGTGTGGCTGTGTAATGATCTGATTTTTTTCTCTCTGGTCCTCTCAATTATAGGGAACCAAGTTCAATCAACTCTTAATGAACTTTCATGGCCTGACAATGCTTCAAATTATTGCTGAGGAAAGACTGTTATAATTGTGGAATGGCATAATCTTACTGAAATATCACTCCAAAACTTAGCAACATCATGTTGATTTGCTTGAAGGAATTCTGTAAACCATTTGATGGAACGTTTGCTGCCTTTGTTCTCAGTTTCATCCCGTTCAAAATGCTCATTATGCTTGTTCACGGAGTAGTTTGTCAGATGCATGTATAACTGGGTCTGTAACAAGTAAGAACCAAAGTTGTTACCACCTATGACATCCTAGAACTGCGAAGTTTCAGAGGAAAAAAAGACACTCAAAGACTAAAGAAAGTTTTAAAGTTTAAACTACATAGATGAACAATCTCATGATTATTTAGATAATATCCCAATTAAATGGAATGGCACACTTCCCTTAAAAGGGTTGAGAATGTAGTCATCTACAGAGTTACTTTACATATTATTCGAAATATATCTACCATTAAAAAGTATCAAATTAATAAGAATATAGAGTAATTAAAATGTGAAACTACATATTGCTAAGCAAGAAAAATGATCTGAGTTTGTTCTTGTTAATTTGTTTGTTTTCAATGTTTTTGGCTCTGAGAGTTTTCACTCAAATCTGTTTTGGGAAAGGAATTTTCTGAGAGAGCATTCTATGGCTTTTCAAAGAAAAATAAAAAATGAAAACTCACGTAAGTAACATAAGCCGAGAGGCAGGACTACCAAACACAACCTCTGCACACCCATACTGACTGAGAGGCCCCTTTAGCTCGGTACCACAGTGCACTTAGAGTCAGCAGACAGAATGCACCACATAATACTGTGCAGGTGTACAGTACCGTATCGTCCTCCATACTGGAGTTCTATGTTTTTGTCTCTTTATGATCTTACATTTGTTGATACTATTTTCCTTAAATAAACTTGAAAAAGAATCCAAAATTTAAAACTCCTCATAATTGTCAATTAATATATATCTAATGGCTTTTTATCAAGCTAGCACAAGCATTCATAAAAATCTATCTTTAATTCCTACCCTCCTCATGATCCTAAAGATTACTTGAGAGAGCAATGTTACATCACAATTAAAATATACTTCATTCACATTATTATTATTTTGATTTGTTAATAGCCAACTATATTCATGTCATATTTTATTTTTGCTGCAGTTCCTTAGGCCTATGGTATTGAAATTTTTGAAGCAAGAAGGCAGAAATGATAATTTGAGGTACATGTTGTTTATTAATCCATGTGCCTACCACTGATTAAGAATTTATTTTTTTCATTCATTAAACAATATTTAAGGAACACCTATCTGCAGCAATCTCCGCTGGGCACTGCGGATACAAAGTCAACAAAATAAACAACAGTCTCTATCCTTATGAAACAGGAAAAGTTTTAAATTAAATGATACTTAAAAGAAAAAGCATAAATCTTATGCTTACCTAATTTTAAGTGCTTAATTTAAAGAAAAAGGAAATTAATCAAGCTGAAGCATTTCCTGGTTTCCAAAATACAAATTTTCTTTAACTTTTAAAAAAGAGGTTTGGAAAATAATTTTGTAAGGAAGTCTTTACTTGGCATGACTTTCTTAAAATTAATAACACTAATAAAAACACTAGTATTCTAGTGAAAAATTAAGTAAGGGAACTTTGCATTTTTCTTAAACAGTATCTTTGTAAATGGATTGGAAATTCCACAACTTCACATTTACCTTGACAAAAATAGACATCTAAGCAGTTCACTGCCAGTTAGTCATTTGCAAGAAATAGAAGCGAAAGCAGCTATGAACCATATAGCAATCTGCAAGGAGTGAAAATAATATAACCATAGCCCACCCTGTTTTTCAGCGTGTAGGCTTGATATAATAAATTGGTGTACACAAAATTTTTCAAGGATTGGCCAACCACTACATTGGTAGCAAAAACAAATGTTTATTATATTTCAATGTTTGAAATTCTGTCTTATAATCTCCTTATATGTAGTTTATGAACATTTAATTCTTATAGAAATAATACAGCTCAATATAAAATACATGCTCACTATTTTAAAAATTTGAAATAGGAAGAAGGAAAAAATATGTAGTAAGCTGCCGTCCAGAAACACCCAATGAGAGCACTTTGGTTTAATTCTTCCAGTCTTTTTTCTAAACTTACCTTTTACATAACCGTGGTCTCACTTTACAGACACTTCTGTATTTCACTTTTTAATATTTTCATATCTCAACCTAGAAATTCAATCATGAAATTCTAGAGATATATGAGTGATACTGACACTGCAGTATGAGAACATCCTTTTTCTATATATGTAAAAACCAAAGCCTGGAGCTTACGTGATTGAAGAGCACATAGCAAAATGAGACCTAGAGGCCACATTTCCTTTCTCTCAATCTCTCTTTGAGATTAATCCCACTGGACTTAAGATAATTATATACACATAGGACATTAGAATAAAGCACTTTATCATCCAAAAGAGCTTCCAAGTCTTATTCTTTCCAATACTATAAAAAGATCACTCCCACCTTACATATATATAATCCACTCTTACCCATGCCAATTATTTAAATTATAATCTATGTATTGACAAGTCTCAAATTATGTTTGTAGCTCAGAAATGTCTTCTGAACTTCAAACTTATACTGTACAACCAAATGCCTACAGAACAGATACATTTGGAGGTCACATAGGCCTTTAAACTGAATACATCCGCTTTCCACAAAACCTTTAATAGTTCCTGTATTCCCTTATCACAATGAGTAATACACCATCCATCAGATGTCAGAAACCTGAGTTTTATTCTTGATTTCCCTTTCCCTTGATCTCATTCCACAAATCCAACCTGTGACCATATTATATCAATGTTAACCATGTTATCTTAAATATATCTCAAATCCATGCTCTTATTCTTGGTCCAGACCCACTGCTACTATTTCAATTTAAGTCCTTTTTCCTTCCATATATGGTCAGACTAGAATACAACTTTACATATTATTCAAAATATATGTAACTTCTTGTCTCTCTTACTCTAATCATTCCCATCCATCTCCACCCCCATCTCACATTCCAGACCAGGGGACCATTCCTTCTTTCATTTGTGTAAAACCTTTCAATCCTTCCTTTTATCTTAAGTTAAATTCTAAAATCCTAGACAAGGCCTACAAAGCCTTAAGAGATCTGGTTTCTAGGACTCACCATCCTCATCTGTGAACAGCCACTCCTTCTTATTCTATACTTTAGCCAAACTGACCTTGTCTGCTTTCTCCAGACATGCCATACTCTGTCTTACCTCTGAGCCATTCTTTTGCCTGGAGCTCCATCCAACACTACCCTATGCCTGAACCTGGCTAACTCCTCATTATTCAGATTTCAATTTATACAACACTCCCTCTCTAACCTTTATCTCCAACTGGGCTATGTGCCCCTGCTATGCACTGCCACAGCACCCTCAGTTTCTTAAACCATCACACTTACCATCAGATATTATAATTGCTTATTTTATTTTCTGCCTCCCCACTAGACTGTTGCTTCTGTGAAGTCAAGCACTGTATCTGTCTGGTCATTGTTTTTCCAAAACTAGCACAGTGCCCAGAATGTAGTAGAGTTCAAACATTACTTGGTGATTGGCTTTATCTAGACCATATAACCTTTAATAATGTTTCTTTCTTTTAACTTCTTTTCCTATGAAAAGTTTGACAGTTTCCTTATTCTTCCTTTGCCAGGTTTACAACATTTTTCATTTTATTGAACATAGTACCATTTATGATCAGCCATTATTTAATGTTGAAAAAATGACCGCACTTAATGGAGTTAATTGTGTGCATAATATTAGGGGAAAACAATAACCAGGTATTTGACAAATTGGGAAACAATTAATTGTAATTTTAACTATAGTTAGGTAATTCCAAAAATAGGTTTAGAGGTTAACTAAAGTTTAAGTATGCATAATAAATTATAATTTAACTTTCATAAGCTACAAATTATAGTAATTATTTTCATGATAAATTATAGCTAGAACTTTTATAAATATGTTATGGCTGCACAAAAAAAGTCTTAATGAAAACATATCTACACAAAGCTCCATTTAATAGGCTTTAAAATGCACACTGAAACTGCTCATTTGTCTCAACTTCACATTGGTCAATGTAAGTTGACAGCCTTCCTTCTCTTTTATTGCAACAGAAATTAATAACTACTTTCTGATAACTTTTGCTTTTTCCTTTTCATATACTTTCTCCCACATTCAACATGTTCACACCCTACATGTTATACAAAGCCTGCTCAAATGCCACCTCCTCCATGAGAAGCTGAACACAAACTGTCTCAACACAGCTCCAAAACACTTAATCTGTACTTCTCCATTGCATGTTAGTATTATTTATAATATAGTCATTTCTATACAGGACCACTGCACACAGATGTTTGCTTTGAAATCCAGCCTTGTGCTCACAGCATCCAGAGAGGGTAATTTTTCCCAATTAGCCTTCAATTAGCAGATGCCTTTATTTTCTAATGTCCACAAAGCTGCCTGTAAGTTAAAAGCAATCTTATTTATGTACACAATTCTTCCAGACCACAAAAACCTGAGAGGAGCAACTTTCATTCATACAATCTATATGCCTAATGGATGCTTTAAAAAGTATATGTTGACAAATGAATGAAAAGATAAGCTCTGTCTGGTATCACTTACCAAATTGGACTCATTAGGTGGAATGTACTTCTCTGTACCCATTCGCACAAGCCCATCATGGTAGAGAAATATTTTTAGTGGATCACACGATGTAACCAGAATATAAATTCGTAAGTCAAACTTGTAACCTTCCATTAGGAAAGGCTTTTCAATGTATTCTTGAACAATCAAATGATCCTGAGATGGAAGTTTGTCACCATTTCTTATCAAAGAAATCCTATGTTTAAAGAAAAAAATTAAAAGAATGATTTGACATAGAGCAAGGTGTTTAAAAAGTTATAGATATACTCAAATGGAAAATAGTGGAGTAAGGGACTCCAAAAGTCTGTCCCTCCACAAAAGCAATGAAGAGCAAAAGAAATTATAGGAATCAACTTTTTGTAACCCCAGAAACTAAGCAAAGGCTTGCAGCAAATGGAATACTTAACTAAGAAAAAAACAGCTGGATCTGTGTCAAAGAGCTTTGTAACATTTTAAGTTAATCTAGTCTCGCCATCCACTCCCAGCTCAGCAGCAGCCTTGAAGAGCCTCATTTTCAATACCAGTACGGTCCTGGAGGGGGTAGAATGGGCTATTCTTACGGTTAGTTGTTTTGACCTGTCTGGTGGCTTCCTGGAGGACCTCAAAGGGCTTGCTTTTAGCTTGCCTAACTTGGAACTTTACCAGTGCTGAGGCAACTACTTTCAGAGATAATTGTTGGAAACATTTAAAGGCAAATGTATTAGTCACTACTATCTAGGTTGTCTAGGGCAACAGTTGGGCAGACAATAGACCAATTAAAAAGACTGGGAGGAAGGGCTGAGCAATGAGAATCTTTGAAACTTTGAAAAGCTCTGACATATTCCTGGGAATCTAGACGACCAGTTACATGCCCAAGGTTAGAAGCATGCTCAAGAAAGACCCGAGAAGGCCCTAAGCTGTCCCCTCTGGCTAACCATCAGACTCTGTACAAGCAGGAAGTTAAGGCTAAGGCAGAGTTGTAAATTATTTGTTTGCATGTTAAAGGCATGTCCCAACAATCATGCACACACAGCCATCTACAAAAATTGGGAGCTTTTTTGTTGTTTGTTTTGTTCTGTTTAAGGAAATCTCTGTCCAATTATTAGCTGACCACTGAGCTAACAGAACAGGAACTTCAGTGGCCATACACAGCAAAGAACACAGACTACAACTACTACAATGAGCTGCAACAACAAATTGCGTAGAGGGGGAGAGTCTAATTTCTAGAATTGCTATAGTATAATACTGAAAATGTTCGGATTTCAACAAAATATTATGAGGCATGCAAAGGAAAAAGAAAGTATAGCCCAAATACAGGGAAACTATCAATTAATAGAAACAGTTGCGAGGAAGCCCAGACATTGGGTTTACTGGATAATCAACTATTTAAAATTTGTTCAAAGAGCTAACAGAAACCATGTACAAAGAACTGAAAGAAACTATGAGAACAGTGTCTCACTAAATAAGGAATATGAATAGTGATAGAAAATTGGGAAAAAATAAAGGAACCAAACAGAAATTTTGGAGTTGAGAAGTATAATAACTGAGATAAAAAAATTCACTAAAGGATATAAACAGTATACTTGACAAGGCATAAAGAGAATCAGAAAACTTGAGGATAAGCCAACTGACATTATCTAGTCTGAGGAACAGAAAGAAAAAAGAAGAAAAATGAACAGAGCCTATAAAATCTGTGAAATACCATTAAGTACAGCAACACACACATAACAGGAGTCTCAGAAGGAGAGAAGACAAAGAAAAAAAATCCAAAGAATATTTGAAGAAATACTGGCAGAAAACTTCCCAATTTGATAAAAACATTAATCTACACATCCAAGAAGCTCAATTACCTCCAAGTAGGATAAACTCAAAGAGATCCATATCAAGATACATTATATACATTATAATCAAATTGTCAAAGAACACCAGAAAGGTGACTACTCAGGTAAATATAAAAGTTCTGGCCGGGCACAGTGGCTTACACCTGTAATCCCAGCACTTTGGGAGGCCAACATGTGTAGATCACCTGAAGTCAGGAGTTCGAGATCAGCCTGGCCAACATGGAGAAAACCCCATCTCTACTAAAACTACAAAAGTTAGCCAGGCATGGTGGCATACGCCTGTAATCCCAGCTGCTCGGGAGGCTGGGGAAGGAGAGTCACTTGAACCTGGGAGGCAGAGGTTGCCGTGAGCCAAGATCATGCCACTGCACTCCAGCCTGGGTGACTGAGTGACAGAGCGAGACTCCGTCTTAAAAAACAAAAAAGTCTCTCTTACTGTAGTTTCAGTTTTTAACTCCTCATTTTTCCTAATGAATTAAAAGACAACTGCATAAAACAATAGTTATAAATCTATGCTGATGGACACAGAAGGTGCAGAGATATAATTTGTGACAATAACAACATAAAGGGAGTAAATCTATGTAGGAACAAAGTTTTTATACACTACTGAAACTAAGTTGGTAGTAATATAGACTGGATTATTATAAATTAAGACGATAATGGTAATTCCAGGGCAATCATTTTTTAAAACTCAACAATATATAGTAAAAGAAATGACAAGGGAATTAAAATGGTACAGAAGAAAATATCTATTTAACACAAAAGAGGACAATATAGAGAAATTGAGGAACAAAAGCTACAAGACACATAAATCAAGTGGCAAAATGGCCTAAGTAAATATTTCTTTTTCAATAATTACATTAAATGTAAATAGATTAACTCTCCAATAAAAGGCAGAGCTTGGCAGAATGAATTTTTAAAAAACATGGTCCACCAATATGCTGTCTACAAGAGACACCCTTTAAAGTCAAAGACTCAAATAGATTCAAAATGAAAGGATGGAAAAGATATTGCAATAAAACAGTAACCTGGAGTGGCAAAATTGTTACAAGAGACAAAGAATCATATTATATAATGATTTTTTAAAAGTCAATGCCTCAAAAATATGTAACAATTGGAAACATTTATGTGCCTAATAACGGAGTTCCAAAATACATGAAGCAAACACTGGTAGAATTGAAGGGAGAAATACTTCAACAATAACAGTTGGGTTCTTCAATAGTCCACTTTCAATAATGGACAAAATAACAAAACACATTAGCAAGGAAACAGATACAATTCAATAGATGAGAGAGGTGTTCTTTACGTAGGTACTACTGCATTACATGAGATAAACCATGGGAACACATAATGCCCTTTCAGTTATCTGCTTTTCCAGCTATTTGTTTATATTGCCATCAAAATAAATTAAAAGATTATGTATGTTTTAATATCAAATATAAGTATATAAATATAGATATTTAATATTAAATTTTTAACATTAAAATTGAGAAAAATGTGAAAATCAATTCTTTACCATCAGAAACATTCCTTTAATGCTAACACAGAGACAGCCAACTCAGCATTAAGCAATTGGTATACAATTCCCACTAATACTATTAGTTTAAAATTACCAAACCACATTTGCAAATAATGTATGATTGGATTATTAAGTTATGATTAAAAGTCAAAAGAAAAATTTTGAACAATAATTTACCTGGTAGCTATATTTCCAAATATCTTTTTTCCTATAGCATTTTAAATTAAAATGACTCATGTATTTTTTTTTGACAGAGTCTTGCACTGTCGCCCAGGCTGGAGTGCAGTGGCTCGATCTTGGCTCACTGCAAGCTCTGCCTCCCAGGTTCACACCATTCTCCTGCCTCAGCCTCCTGAGTAGCTGGGACTGCAGGCGCCCGCCACCATGCCCGGCTAATTTTTTGTATTTTTAGTAGAGACGGGGCTTCACTGTGTTAGCCAGGATGGTCTCGATCTCCTGTCCTCGTGATCCGCCCGCCTCGGCCTCCCAAAGTGCTGGGATTATAGGTGTGAGCCACCACGCCCGGCCAAGTGTATTTTATTAAAAGCAGCCTCAGCCACATTTTCTTTGAAAAAGTACATTGCAGAAAACTAACATAAGTAAGCAAAAGGAAACAAGAGTATTACTTGCACATTCTTTTTTAATAGTAAATACATAAACCAGTAACAGTCATTTATTTTCATTATTAAGTATTATGTACCGTGTATAATTGTACATGCTATACTTTTATATGATTGGCAGTGCAATATTACTTACACATTCTATTCTCAGTTAACATGTCCAGCTCTTGGAACTTCAGTTTAAAATGTGTTCTACTCATTTTTAATCCAATTACCATGGCTACATAAAGAAAAAACTTATTTAAAGGCAAAGAAGATATGTATTTTCCTTCAAGATTTCTAGCTATGAAAAGAATAACTCCCTTTTCATTTCTTTCTCCAAGTCAGTTTTAGCTCTACTGTAGCAACTGATTTTACTCTCCAAGCCTATTGAAATTATTATAAATGTGAGTTTTATGTTTTAGAAAAAAACAGAGAATAGCTTTTTCCCCTTATATTTTGTTATCTCCTTTCAAAGCCTCACAACCTGCTGATTAAATTTTTAATTGAATTACTGAAGCCTGTGGGAGAGTTTAAAAGAATAGAGATCATTAAATATTTGGTTCCAAAACTACAATAGTTAGAAACCTATTTCGTTATTTTTTCATATTGGTACTCACGCATGAGTAATTATGCACATTTATTCTCCCCACTCCCAAATTTTTTTTTATTTTTATATATTCCAAATAAAAGCAAACCTACCCATGACCCATTGCACCATTAGCTGGTTTCACTATAAAAGTTTTCTGCTTCCGTTTTTTCTTCAATTCTTTCACATAATTTTGGAATTGAGTATATTCAGCAGGAAAGATCCAAGTTCGAGGAACAAAGGTATAATCCAGAGGCCGAGACTTGATCATTCTGTAAATTGGACATAATAGGAAAAATAATTTCTATTCAAACTAGCATATATTTTCTTTCTCTGGGCTACTGATATTTGCCACAAAGATTTAAATTTTCTCCATTCCTTCATTTACTTATTCATTGATTTCATTCATTCAACAAATGTCTACTGAGCACCTATTAAGTGTTAGACACTATTCTGGACTATGGATTCATCAGTGAAAAAAAAAAACAACCTTGCCCTAATATGTACTAATTTACATATTAGTACATCAAAAACATTTTTTTTAGAGTACACACTCTGTGCTAGGTACTGGAGATAGTAAGATAAATTAGTATCATCTCTGCTCCCAAGGAATATATACATAGGCTATTAATATTAAACAGTGTGATAGGTACACTAAAGGCATATAAGGCAAGGTAACATGTAGGAGTCAATAACTCTGCCTCAGGGATGGGAGTAGGGAGTAGGGAATTATTCAGGCAAATACTATTTATGTTGCTTCTTTACAAATTATCACACATAGGGAACAGTTTTTGATTACCTTTTATACTACCATTTTTTAGAGTCAGAAAGTTTACTAAATCTCTGTGAATTGTCTTCTTTTTTTAAAAAATTATCAGTTTATCACTCAACTTTCTTAAGTTAAGAAAAAGGCAAAAAACCCTAGTCAACAGGAATATAAACTGCCTAAAAATTTTTCAGTTTATTAAGTAAAAGACCGGGGTACTTATTATCAGCTTTTCCATGAAAGTAGATTGTTACTCTAAATATTGGTTGCAGAGATAAATATCTGTGCATGTGTATCCCTGGGTGAGCATATATACATGTGTCTTTGAGTAAGTGTGTGCATACATGTACCTAGTACAATCCCTGGCACATATTAAATGCTCAATCACCAATATGAAGACACACACAAACACACACACACACACACACACACACACACAGCTTATAATGCAACAAATTAGTTCCTGCAAAATTTGACTGAAAATAAACAAGTATCTCTTAAATGACATATACAGATAACCTCTTACATTTAAATGAAAAACTCTGTTACTAAAGAGGCAACAAGTTGCAGTAAAGAGGCCTGAGATTCTGGAGACTGATTCTGATCCACCTCTGCTATTAACAATTTGCTTGAGCTTGTGCAAGATATTCATTTCTCTGACCCTCATTTACCTCCTCTGCAAAATGGAAGACTGGAACCAGAGACCTTCTAAGACCTCTCTAGCTCCAAAATTCTATCACTCTCATCTAAATATCATTTCAAATCAATGTAACCTTGTGAAAGATAGCACTACAGTAGTTATGGTATAAATTTTGAACAGGTCTTCTCCATTACAAGAAAATAAAGATTACTTGGTCATATTTCTTGCTAAGAAATCCTTCCTACAGATCTCCCCCATTCCTGGAAAATGGTTGATCCTCTGGAAAATAAAAAGGTAAATATTAATATTCTCAGCGAATTAATTATATTCATGTATACGACAATACAATTCTATCCATCCTTTGAGTTTTATGTTTTAATAAACTGCCAATTATTAATCTAAAAGATTTAATGTTAAATGACCTACAGTGAATTTGTAGAATTAAAGAGTATGGTAATCAGAGAATAAAACTGCAAAATTTTAAAGAAAACACAAAAGAATATCTACATAGATAGTAAAGTTATAATTTTCTAGGTTGAATAGTGATAATTCAATATCCAAATTACTTTTGTTATTCTAGATTCACTATATTCACAGACATAAGCACTGGCAAAAATGACTTATTTGTTCACTACAGTCAATTTTATATTACCTTCTAAACTAATAAATGAATAAGGTCTATACAAACTGTCAACTCTCTAGAATTCCTTATATTTGGCTTTTTAGTTTGAGGTCTATTTTCTTCTGAATATAAGTTTGTATTATGTTCTAAAAATAAAAGAATGAAACCAGATTACATATAGCTGACATCACAAGTATTTCTGCATCCTGGTCTCCCTATGCAATCTACTCTACATCTTTAAAGCACCATCTTAGGAAGAGGTGTTTTTTTTGTTTTGTTTTTTTTTTTGGTGGTTGTTGTTTGTTTTTTGAGATGGAGTCTCGCTGTCACCAAGCTGTAGTGCAGTGGCCCAATCTCAGCTCACTGTAGCCTCCACCTCCCGGGTTTAAGCAATTCTCCTGCCTCAGCCTCCTGAGTAGCTGGGACTACAGGCGTGTGCCACCATACCCAGCTAATTTTTGTATTTTTAGTAGAGATGGGGTTTCACTATGTTGGCCAGGGAAGGTCTCAATCTCTTGACCTCGTGATCCACCCGCCTTGGCCTCCCAAAATGCTGGGATTACAGGTGTCAGCCACCACGCCCAACCAGAAGAGGTTTTTTCTATTGATTCTTCCCTAAAGATAGAAAGAGGTTAAAACTTAAGTCTGCAAAAGATGCAGGCTTCATGCAAAGAGCCAATACAACTGGATAGCAACAAAACAGGCTATTCAGGTGAGTAAGAGCTGAAATGTAATAAGGCAACATATTAAGAACCTATCTAAAAAAGTTATGTGGAATCCATATAACTTTCCTCATACCACTAACTGGTCATGATTAATTTCCTACCTGATAATTTTGCAGCTCTGAAATTTTCTCCTGCTGAACAGCAGAATCACACCATATAAGATTACTTGTTTCATCCTCATCTGGAGTTTTCATAAATCCCATTTCATCTATTACTAAACGAACTGCAAGTAAACAGTTAAGTTAAACCAAAATTAAAATACTTCTGAAATATATTCATTGCAGAAACATTTTTCTATCTAAACTTTAGTTCATAGTATTTCATTTGAAAAATATTAGTTACAGCCTAACCTTATTTTTAGTTACAACAGTTTTATCTAGGGCCAAATTATTCTCAGTAGTAACTGAGAACTGTTTTTCGGTTGCACCCAAAAATCCTTCCTTTCGATCTTCTCAGGTTTAACAGGTACACAAAACTGCCAAAGGGTTTAGTGATTATTTATGGCACAAGGAAAACACACACAGCTGAGACAATACGTCTACTCAGGAAAATGTACTTTTTATAGCTTTTTTTATGACCTTCGGTTAGGTACAAAAGACCAAAAGTAAAAATATCCCCTGATCATCACACCTATGCCATACTTTCCACCTCCCTAGTTCAAATTATTTTTAGTACTTAAAGTCAACTCATCTATGTTTACTTAGGACGTGAAATAATGAAGCAATATTCACAGGAGAGATTTGGTTTTGGTTCTCCACTGCTCCCAACCCTCTAATCCTACTGAAAACGTTTATGCTCAGAGGAACGTTTCCTTTTTAGTACAAACTATTCATGTGTTCCTCTCCAATCTAGATTTTACAATTAACATATTGGCATTTTTCTTCCACTGAATTTCAAGTGTGGAATAAAGATAAGCAGAAGACTTCAGGTAATTTTTGGCTTCCAACAGAATCCTGAGTCTTAACAGAATGGTGTAGTCCCAGGTGACAGTGTACAATCCCAAGAGTTGGGGAAAGGAATATTCCTCTCTCATCTGTCACAGACCACCATGCAGCTTTGGCATCCTGAGGACTCAGCAGCTGCTGTGCCACCTACAGCTCATGTAGAGAGCAAGGGCAATAGCAACACAGACTATTCCTTACCTGGCTCACAAGCAGAAAACAATAACAAATTCAGAAGAGCATGTCAGGAGCACAACTGTTCCTGAGTATATGAGAGACACTGCCTGCAGCATCTCAAAGATACCTGGGAAGACTTTAGTGAGATAAATGGAACTCCTGGCAGTTACGTTTAGAAGGAACGTAGGCTGGGCACGGTGGCTCACGCCTGTAATCCCAGCACTTTGGGAGTCCAAGGTGGGCGGATAACGAGGTCAGGAGATAGAGACCATCCTGGCTAACACAGTGAAACCCCGTCCCTACTAAAAATACAAAAAATTAGCCAGGTGTGGTGGCGGGCGCCTGTAGTCCCAGCTACTCGCGAAACTGAGGCAGGAGAATGGCGTGAACCCGGGAGACGGAGCTTGCAGTGAGCCGAGATTGCGCCACTGCACTCCAGCCTGGGCGACAGAAACTCCGCCTCAAAAAAAAAAAAAGAAGAAGGAATGTAATGTGTTACTTAAATTTGGGTATTTATGTATACACAAACCCATGAGGCTAGGAACATTCAGGTTATATATGAACATTGGAAAGATCCATTTTTTCTTTACATTCATAAATTCAAATTTGTCAGGTCAGTCACATATAAACCTATCTTATTATGAAATTCACAGCTTGAAGAGCTGACAAAATTAAACTTCAAAGAAAAATACAATGCCAAGTCCCTTTTTTCAGCTAAGCTGTCTAATCATATTAAGTGTTTGAACTGAAATTTTAGAAATCAGTTGGGATCTTTTTAAGGATATCATCTTCTACCACACAGAAAAAGAATCCTTCTAATATGTTAGAAATTTTATAGAAGGCATTTAAAAATCCATTATATAAAAGATAAGTTATCTCTTTGGATTTCTACATTGTTTTTAACACCAAATCAGTTTTTCCAGCAATTATGAGAATCCCATGATTGCTTCTAAGGAAACCTACCAATTTCAAACTTTGTCCCGGCAACATTTGCTGTAATGGTTCCCTTCTTTTTCTTCTTTCTGACTTTCCTTTTCATTGTGCTTTGATAAGGTAATTCTGTATTCAAATCCAGGGGAGAGGGTCCCTGAATAACTTTAAAAAAATGTAAAATAATCAGATAACACTGAAAACAAAAATCTATACCAGACAACACAAATACCACCCCCACCCCACACCAAGGTAAAATTACAAATCCTGGTACTTTAAAAAGTCCCCAATTAATTTTTAATACTTTAAAAATATTAACAGTAATGATGTATAACACCTCCATATTTTGTAACATAGTTAAGTCAATTTCCCTACCTCCTTCTTGAGGCAGAGATGGCATTATTGCCTGTGCTGATTAGCAAGCAGTGTGTGCTGCTGTACCAAGCTCTCAGGAAATCTGGAAATTCCACATTAGTCTAAGTAGGATATGGCCCCAAATCACTGAAAGTTCTTATCATATTATCTTGGTGGAATCCTCAGATTTCAGGATACCAAAGTTATGGGATAACAAGGTACCTGCAGTGATTTTAAAACAAGGTCATTTAGAAAAAACTTTTTTGAATTTTTTTTCATATATGCCAAGACTATTCTTTTTAAAAGTCAAGGTGAAAGTTAATGTGTTCAATCAACAAATAATTGTAAATCGGTTTATTAAACCTTACGCAAAATGCCAAGTGATGCTTTCCTATCCTGAAAGAATGCATAGTCTAGGGGAAGAAGTTTTATTAAGTCACGTGTCACATGTATATTCAATAAATAATATACTATACACAAACAATAACAGCAATAACAATATTCACTACTATTTATTGAACACTTATTATCTTAGGCATTTATATTATACCATTTAATCTTTCAACAAACCTGTAAGGTAGAAGCTTTTATCCCCATCTTACAGATAAGTTGAGCTTAGAAAGGACAAATTATTTTGTGTATCTTTACAAAGAAAATTACAACACAGAGATTAAAATGAAGATTCTTCTAATGTCAATGCCAGAGTGTCTTATTTAGAAACCCACACAACCTTCAACCCAATGCCTGAAACACTGCTTTTAATATGAGACAGTGAAAAGTGCCAGGCAGGGTAGAGGTCACATGTTGACAGAATGCAGAGAAGTGATTCCTATATAAAGGATTATGGGGGACAACTTAATAAAGTAAACCACATCTTGAATTGTGCCTTAAAAAATGAGAACAGTTTTGAAGGACAGAAAATGGGTGGGGTCATTATTATGATGATTTTATTCAGGCACACAGAGGAATGCAACAATCAATGAATTAATTTGATCTGGCTACATCTCAACATGGCCTATAGTACACTTTGCTTGTATTTTCATTGTAAATATATGAACGTAGGCATTTATGCCCTAACAATACCATATTGTTCAGTCTGTACTATCAACTTTCTAATTTCTCCTTATTGTAAGAATCCTTCAGTTCTTGTAAAATATCTATAAACACAATGAAAAATAAAACCTATTATGATAAGCAAAGGTATAATATCAACACCTTTATTAGATTGTCAAGTTTATCAGAAATTCAGAAACATCCAACATTCAGCTACATAAAACGTGAGTCCTATATCACTCCAAATATTCATTATTATTAATGTTTCAATATTAAAGAAAATTTAGGGTTTTATTTGTTCTCAGGTATCATTTTTACTAAAATGATTGTCTAGTATAATTCAATATCAAAACGGGGAACTTTTATTTATTACAGACCAACTGTAGGTAGGCATTTTATTAAGCATTTTAAATATTTTATTTCATTAACAAACTTTAAATTTAGGTATCATTTCTCCCTATTTTCCAGAAAAAGAAACTAAGGCTAGATAAGTTAAACAAATCAAGGTAACATGGCTTAGAAATAGAAAACTTAGACTTTAAACCCAATTCTAATTATTCTATTCATTAAGCTCCCCTATTTTCAGACCCCATGCTAACATAATATATAGACATATGAGAAGTTTCCAACCCTACTGCAGTACATGCCGCAAGATATGGCCATATTCTGGGAATTTGCAATACTTCAAACAGTGAATTCACAGTAAAACATCTCTAAACTGATCTCAGCTCCCAATGCCAAGCTGGAAACAGACTGGATCACTTCTCAGAATAAAAGAAAGGAGTAGTGTAAAGTTTAGTTCAGTTTCTTTCTGGAGGCTCTCTGAAACCTCAGGGAAGTAACTATTTGAGTTTACAAGTTTTTTGTCCAACATCTTGTTACTGGAGTAAACAAAGATCCCCTTTACAGTAACAGAATACTTATTACATTGAAAGTAGGTGACAAAGTCAACAAGACTTTAAAAACAAGCTTCACCTAACTATACTAGATTCTAAAAACAAATTTGTTAGTTTTTGACTTAAATAATAAGTCAAATGGCTGATTTGTACAGAGTTCAAAACAAGAACTTTTATCCCTTCCCCAAGGCATACAGGAATTTAAAGTTCTTAAAATTATACTATGCATATATGCGCTTTACTTAATTCCATTTATGCCTTAGTCAAAGTGCTTTAACAAACTCAAGGACTTCATTCAACCATGGCAATTCTAATCAGCTTTATTCTAAGCAAGAGATTTGAGATGACGGATTTATCCCACCACTCATTTGAAACCATAGTTACCTACTTTCCAAAAGCAGAAAACATGTTTCAGTTACCTCTGAAATGCTTTAAGCCAATGGCTTCTCAACCTTGGCTGCAAAGCAGAATTGCCTGAATGAGGAGCTTTTGAAAATCCTGCTGTCCAGGCCACACCCCAGAACTAAGTGGGGCCCAACCATCAGCATTTCTAAAGCTCTTCATGTGATTCCAGTGCAGCTAAGGTTGAGAACCTCTACTGTAAGCACACGATGACAATGCAACAAATAATAGCTAATTATAACAACACATGAAATTATAAGAAAAAAAGTAAAAGAAAACTCATAACTTTTTTAAAAAGACCAAATAGGTAAAAATTACCCACAAAAATCCTGTTTTCCTATCTAGTTCAAAAAAAAAAAAAACCAGAAAAAAATTTGACGGTGAGCACAAAATGATTTTTAAGATAAAGAAACAGAATTTATTTACAAAAGGAATCAATTTTCCAAAATTTCAAGCAAATGTTAACCTTGAACATAGAACTGTCAAGCACCAATAGATACACGAAATTGAAACAAAACCAAAATAATTCCAGTACATTTGTGCTAGAGTACCATTTCTTCCCTATTCTTCCGTTGAGCTTCTACCACACTTAAATTCCACATAAAATACCACTTTTTCCTGAAAGCTTTCTCTGATTATATCTGAAGAAATTCATTTCTCCCTCTTTTGGGCTATCACAGGCCTTATTTTTACCCTTATCATAATCACCTGCCAAAAAGATGGTTTTCTTCTATCTTGTTCACTCCTCCATTCCCAGGTCCTAGAATAGTGCCTGACCATAGTGTTCAATAAGCACTTGTTAATGTGTGCTATGGTTTGAATATTTGTGTCCCTCCAAAATTCATGTTGAAACATAGTCCCCAATGAAACAGTATGATGAGGTAGGACCTTTAGAAGGTGATTGGGTCCTGAGGGCTCCTTCCTCATGAATGGGAAGGACTTTATAATCAAGGCTTCACACAACCTTTCCATCCCTTCCACCATGAGAACACAGCATCCATCTCCTTCAGAAGGTGCAGCAACAAAGTACCATCTTAAAAGCAGAAACAGCAGCCCTCACCGTCAATAAACCTGCCACCACCTTGATGTGGACTTCCCAGCCTTCAGAAATTTGAGAAATAAATTTCTATTGTTTATAAGTTATCCAATTTGTGGCGTTTTGTTATAGCAGCACACACGGGCTAAGACACTGAGTTAATAAATCGGTTAATTAGCCAGGCACCATGGCTCATGCCTATAAATAATCCCAATACTTTGGGAGGCCTAGGCAGGAGGATCACTTGAGACCAGGAGTTTGAGACCAGCCTGAGCAACATCTCCACAAAAATTTAAAAATTAGCCAGGCATGGTGGTGCCTGCCTGTAGTCCCAGATACCTGGGTGGCTAAGAAGGAATGATAGCTTGAGCTAGGGAGGTCAAGGCTGCAGTGAGCTGTGTTCATGCCACTGCACTACAGCCTGGCAGCAGAGCGTGTCTTAAAAAACAAACAACCAATCAATTCATGAGAGCTGAGAGAAAAGAGAAATAGTCATCAAGCTCTGAGAAGCAAATACATGTAATTTACAATATATTACTTTTCACTTTAAAAAAATTTTATTTATGTATTTTGTTTTATTCATTTATATTGTTTTTTAGAGACAATCATAGCTCACCGTAATCTTGAACTCTTGGGCTCCACAATCCTCCTGCTTCAACCTCCCAAGTAGCTGGGACTACAGGTGTACACCACCACAACAGGCTTTTATTATTATTTTTATTTATTTATTTATGTATTTATTTATTTATTATTTTAGAGATGGGGTCTCACTATGTTGACCAGGCTGGTCTCAAACTCCTAGCCTCAAGTTATCCTTTCGCCTCAGCCTTCCAAAGTGCTGAGATTACAGGCATGAGCTACTGCACCTAGCCCACTTTTTTTTTTTTTTTTTGACACGAAGTTTTGCTCTTACTGCCCAGGCTGGAGTGCAATGGCACAATCTTGGCTCACTGCAACCTCCGCCTCCCGGGTTCAAGTGATTCGCCTGCCTCAGCCTCCCAAGTAGCTGGGATTACAGGCATGCGCCACCACACCTGGCTAATTGTTTTGTATTTTTAGTAGAGACGAGGTTTCTCCATGTTGGTCAGGCTGGTCTCGAACTCCCGACCTCAGGTGATCCGCCTACCTCGGCCTCCCAAAGTGCTGCGATTGCAGGCGTGAGCCACTGTGCCCAGCCCTAACCCACATTTTTAAGTGGAAAAAGCAAAGTACATAGAAGTTTACATATTACACTGCCACTTGAGCAAACCAACAGAGGAATATATGGAACATATCCACTGAGCAGTTGTGGCCTGCTATGGCTAGGGGTGGGGCTAAGGGAGACTTACTTGTACTTACCTTTAGTACTCTGTATATGTATTACCTGTTCAAAAAAGTAAAATATATGTGATAAAATTTTGTATCAATATAATCATGTTGATAACCAAAATCATCAAACTGTGTTCTCCATTTAAGTGAAAATACCTTTATTTCATTTAAATGAAAGTATAATATGGTAGAAAGAGCACTGAACAAGGAGTCAAATCAAATTCCTATCCTTTAATTTTCCACTTAGCAGATATAAATTCTTAGGCTGCAAAAGTAAAAGATTTATTCTTTCCACCCCTAAAGTCTAAAATGGCAACCAATGAAGATAACATTGCTGATATATTTTATGGCAAAAGATGAAGACAAACTTCTTTTATGTAAAAGAAGGAAACACAAAGAAAACTCAGACCTTCTCCAGCAACCCTCAATCCATACCCCAGTAAACATAATATATGAGGTCTTTGTACATTAATTTTTAGCTCACCCAAAGATTACTAAAATAATCAAACAAAAAGTCAAGAGGATCCAAAAATAGGGTTAAGTTAAAAATATGTAAAATAATATTAAATAAAAACATAATAAGAGCTGTTTTGTTGTGACAAGAGGAAGGAGAAAAGAACCAGTACAAACCAGTATCTACTTTCACATAACTTTATTTAGTCCACCCAACAAATACCCAGTACCTTTTATTCCCATTTTATATATGGGAAAATGTAGGCTCCAAGGTTAAGAAACTTGCACAAAGTCACACATCTAATAGGTTGAAGTGGTTTGTGGCTTCTACCTATTAGAAGAAGTATGGGAAGGAAACCCATATTCCTTCCCACTTTTTGTGCTACCTTCAAAATTCAGCCTTTAAATATAACATATTGAAGATTTCGCAAAGATGCTTGATTTTGTTCGACTGAATCTACGTTAAAAGCTGGAGCCCAAGGACATAGTGAGAAGGCAGTCCTCTGAAAGCCAGGAAGATAGCCCTCACCAGGAACCTAATTGTCTTGAGCCTTTTTTATCTTAGACTTCCCAGCCTCCAGAACTGTGAGAAATAAATATCTATTGTTTAAGCTACCTAGTCTATTATACTTTATTATAGCAGCCTGAGCAGACTAAGACATTGAGTCCAGTCTGCCCCTGGCTTCACAGAGTAGATAATTAAACTCTATCCTGAGCTTGCTATGGATTGTAACAATGATAATGAGGAAGAGCAAGAAGACAACAAAGAGGAAGAGAAGGATGGGGTTGATATCATCACTTATGTAAAACATCCTATGTGCCAGGCACTTTTTGAGGTTTATACATATAAAACTCTGACCTTCAAAACCCTAAAAGATAGATTATTATCCTCATTGATAATCGTTTAAAGAAAAGAGATATAATGAACAATGATATTGAAAAACAAGTTATAAGAAAATTTTAAAGTAACAATTTTGCAAATATGTCTCAAGATAATCTTCTCCAGATCCCTAAATTGTAATTATCGGATGAAAGACATTTCTACTATCACTTCCAAAAAAAAGAGAAAAATAACAAATGTAACAAAAAATATATCCAAGTAAGCTTTTACTTTGAGGCAAAAACACTCTCCACACACATTAACATTATTTGCAGAGAGGTCATTACAATTAACAGTCAGAAATCTATTACTTCCTAAAAATTATAAAAATAAGGCAGTTGTATATGCAAAAAGTAGTATTTCCAAATATCAGGTCATGAATGAAATTTTGTCCATTTTTGTATTATTAATTTCATTAAATTTCAGCACTTGGTTCCCAAACCAAATTTGATATATGCTTTCTCTTATATGAAATCATGCTTTTTCTCATATGAAAGAGAATAAAAGTAAATGAAACATGCCACTTTTAAACATCAAAATTTAAAATGCTTATTTGTTTTGAATATTATTCAGATTGGATTTAATGTCAGTTCTACATTAGTGTTTCTTAAATTGTAATGTGCACACCTGGGACTACTGTTCAAGTTCAGATTCTGACTCATTAGGTCTGAGGTAGAGCCTGAGAGTCTGCATTTCTGACAAGCTCCTAGGTATGCTGGTTCACAGACCACACTTTGAGTAGCAAGGCTCTGGATGACCACAATGTTTATCATTATGCAGATACAAATTTTTGAACTTAAAGCCCTTCTTTAAAACATGTAAAACTTAGGAAATTATAACATGATTGAAAAATTCATGTAGGTGATTGTGAAATTATATATTAATGTCTAAAGAGTTCCATGAGTCAAAAAATAAAATAGGTTTGGAAATGCTGAACTTGAGCATCAGTATCATCTGCAAACTTCTTAGAAATGCATATTCTCAGGCCCAACCCCAGAACTTCTGAATCAGAAATATAGAGGTGAGGCCCATCAATTAACAAGTCCTCCAAGTGAATCTGATGCAGGCTAAAGCTCTGAGAACCACTGCACTAGAAGGCCAACAGCTGGTGGCCAGGGCAGATCCAGGAAAGTGGGAGAACACCACTGCTGGAGTCTATTCCCTCCTATTGGTCTTTTGAAGCACAGCAATGTGGGTGACTTAGAAATCACCTGGCCAAGTAATGACTGGAGGAGAAAGCATTTGCCCAGCAGGACTCTCACTTTTTTTTCATAATCTGCTTTGGAAAGCATCTGGAAAAGAAGAAGTTTGCTACAAAAGATCTCACTTGCTACTGCCAACAGCTCTGGTAAGTGGGATGAAGTTTGCTAATCTAGACAGTTTACCCCCCTTGTTTGACCCCAAACCAGCTACCGATGCTCACTAACCAACACACTCATTTTGTAGAAAAGAAATCCACCAAAAATAATTAAACTTATAAGGATTAACAACAACCACAAAGATTAATAATACAACCTCTATGGATAGTAAAAAAATTGTAGAGGGAAGGGAAAGGAGGAATGCAAATCAACACCAACAAGGGAGTGAAGACACTGCAATACACTCATACAATGAAAATACTATACATCAGTGATACATGCTGCATCACAAAATGAAGATTTAAAACAGCTGATGAATACATACAGTATATTATTTACATAAAGTTTAAAATTATACAAAATAATATATTTCTTATAAATTATGAAATAAGCATATAAAGAAATACATAGGAATGATAAACACCAAGTCTGATACCCCTTGAGAGGAAGGATGATGCAATAGGCAGTTCTACAGAGAGTGAGCACCTGTGTTCTTATGCAAAGAATGTAATTCTTAATATAAAGAATAAATACGCAATTATCATGGTTTAGGCATTTGAAATAAGAGGTAGAAATGAAATAACCACAATACTTTTGCTTGAATCATTATGTGTCTTTTTGTAAGTATTGTGATATAAATCATACTGCTGAAACTTAGGTCTGATCCTGACTCATAAGCAATGTGAAGTCACTGAAGGACTCTAAGAGGAGTAATATAATCCAGATTTATTTTTGATAGATTACACTGGCAGTTATTGTGGGGGCAGTAGTGGAGACAATCTTAAGAGGATATTACAAAAGTCCAAGAGAGAGAAGATAAGAGCTTGATTACAGATAAAAGCAACAGACATAAGGAGACAGAATTCTGCTATTGCAGTATTAGCAGAATAGCAGCAGGACTTGGTGACTGATAAGGAAAATGTAATCCTGGATGATTTTGCAGATTTCTAGCTTAAAGAATTGGGTAGAAGATGGCACAATTCATCAAGAGAAGGCTTGCAGACAGAAGAGCCAGTTTGAGGGGTGAGATTATTTCAGCTTTGTATTTGCAATAAGGGTGGATGAAAATAAACAGAAAATAAGACAATAGAATTAGTGGAGATAAGAGATAAGGGAATCCTCTACTTTTATAGGTAAAATGGTGTTAATTAAACACAAAGGTCCCTTCCAAAGCATAACTGCTCCTATTTCTGTCCTTTCTGCCAAGAAAGGACAATAGGTTTCAAAATGCACAGCTGCATGACTGGTATACAAATGACATCACCCAAACAACTCTCATAACAATAAAACATTGCCACCACTCATTGTGTGTACAAATTGAAAGGGTATTTAGAGAAGCTACTTACTCCTTGAACATAGTAACTTTTGTCTCCCTTTCCCTGGCTGGGCCCATTACCCAAAGCTGGATCTGTCCTGTGTTCTAGACCTGAAAGAACCATTTGATCAACTACTTCTAAAAACCTGATAACAGCCAAGTATGATATTATGTAAGAATAAACACAAGAACTATTTATTCATTCTAGTAACAATCTTGACCTTGAGCAACAGTAACTCCCACTAATGCACTTAATACTTATTTATTGTTCCAATTGGCTGTAGCCTATTCCCAGAGCCTGGAACATAGGAGTTAAACTGCTGAGCTACCATATCAGGGAAATATAGTTCTCTGGAAGGTTTTTTTGAATTTAAAATAAAAAAATTTCAACTGTGCTAATTTCTAGAATCAAACAAATTTGTCACAATTTTCAAATCCCTCTAAATTAAATTTAATCCCATAAAAATTAAGCCATGGTCCAAGAATTATGCAAAGTTGGGAAAAGCCATATGGAAAAAGGCAAATGTATAGTATGTGTAATTAGAGCAACCACACAAATGTCTACAAAACTCTGTGGCCTGTCTAGTCTTTGGAATTTAGCCTATTATGACATGAAAAAGCAGGAACTGATAAACGGGTAATGATAACACAGCATACCTTCAAGGCATTTTCTCTTATTAATATTTGTATTTCCAGTACCGAGGATAATGAAAAAGGAGAAAATCTTACTCAATAAGTGGTGAATTAAATAAAGTTCAAAGCAAATAACAGCTATAACTCGGTTACTAAGGTGACAGAAGACAAGGTTATTTCATAACATATTCATCAAGCACTTAAGTAGAATCAAAAGCCTCTTTGGGCATATTTCTCCTACAACATAATATTTCAGTTTTAAGTAGTTCTCCAGTAGCCTAAAACTCTTATTTGCTCCCTATGAATAATATGTGACGTAATCAGTTAACTTTTGCATATCTCACTCACATTTGTCAATCCATTTACCTCTCCCATTTCCTGACCCTGCAAAGAACTATACCAAACCTAAGAGAGTTGAACTTCATATCCCCAAAACACCCAACCTGTGCTTGACTATGCAAAGACTTCTCTTGTTCTGAGCTGTGGAGTTGAAACTTAGGGTCTGTTGTACTTAAGTCTCCTGAGATTTCAATAACTTTGATCACAAGGTTTAAAAGAGAGGGACTAGGGGAAGCAGAGAATTTCTAAAATAGTCAGTTCATTCTTTGCCAAAAAATGCACAATAGCTATCAAAATGTGCAGCTGCTTAGCTGGTGAACAAATGACATCACCCAAATGTCATCTGATGCCAGCATTTATAGTTTTTAGTGTCCAAAACTTAACTCTTTAACTTTCCCTGAAAACTTGATATTCCTCTTATGTTCCATATCTTGGTAAAGGGTATCACTAATAGCCAAACATCTAAGAGATAGATACATCAGAATCATCTTTAACTTTTCCTTTGACCTCTTACTTTGACACTTTTTCAATGCACACCTTATTGCCCTTCTTGCCAATTTTACGGTTTGTATTAGTTTACTATTTATATTTCCATCTACTTTTATGTCTTAAATCTTAAATATGTAACATTCACTGAATTCTTAAATAAACCTCCTATGGCATCCATATTACTTAAAAATTTAACAAGTAACAAAGACAACTAGCTCCTTACCTAACAGCCATTCACTAGTTCTTCCTTACTAATAAAACACCTATTCCATTGTTATTATTAGTGGTAGCATTGTGCCTACTAAGTAACTACATTTCCCAGACTTCCTTACAGGTATACGTGGCCTGGCCAGTGAAGTGTAAGCAGAAGTTGTTGAGCAGGACTTCCTAGTAAAACACCTCTAAAGGGAAGTAGACAATCAGTGGACACTCATTTGCTTCTCTTCCTTCCAACCTGGAATGCAAACGTGATGGCAGGAGTTGTAGCAATCCAGTGTGACATTGGTTGTGCTCCATTAGTTTTGGACCACCTAGCTCCAGAGAAAGTAAACCTCCATCTTGTTTAAGCCAATGTTATTTGAAATTTCTGTCACCAACAGCTAAATGCATCTCCTAATGGACAACGCTTCTCTAATAAAAATTATTATTTTGGTTTCTAAAAAACATACATAGCCTAAACACAAAGTCAATGGCACAATGACTTTGGACATTTATCATTTTTGCCATAGCCTGCTTTTACCTATTTTCTTGTAACCATAATCTGAATTTCCTCCAGTGAAGCACTACTTCCTCATTCTCAAAGCATAAGCTTTAGGTGGAGTTGATGCCAATCCCAGCTCCAAGGATGCGTACATGACTTAGAACTAAACAATCATGGGATCCCATCCTCTTGACCATGGAATTGGTTCAGAGATGAACACAGGATCCAACTAATGCCAGTGAGAATCAGGCTCAGTACTCATTTTCAGAATCTGGAAGAAGACAGGTTCTTTTGTGAGCTGTGTTTGAACCTGAGAGGATACACTACCTGCAGTTGCTGGTCCCCATCCTTCCTCTACACACAGCCTGTGGATGAAGTCAACATGAAGGAGGCAGAGCAGAAAGAGAGATAACAGATTCCTAAACTTTTCAGTAATACAAACTAAAAAAAAAAAAATTCATGTTTTTTGCTTAAACCAGGTTCCTATCCAAAACAAATAAGGAACTTAGATTCCATTTTTTATTTTAAAATAAAGAAAATTACTTCAAAATTTCCTTGCATAAAATGCCACAACTCACGTGAAATAAGAGCAGGTTTCCTTACATGTTTCCTCCATGAGACAACTGGCTGCTAGGTAGCAGCTTTTAAAGTGTCTTTTAATTTACATATTCTCCAATCTCAAACACACAGCCTGGAACACATGAGCTAAACTGCTGAGCTACTATATCAGGGGAATACAGTTCTCTAGAGGTTTTTTAATTTAAAATAATAAAACTGCAATTGTACTAATTTCTACAATCAGGCAGAATTTGTCACAGTTTTCAAATCCCACTAAATTAAATTAAATCCCAGAAAAATTAAGTTATGGTACAAGAATCATGCAAGTTTAGAAAATCCATATGGAAAAAAGCAAATGTACAGGCCTAGTTCATAAAATGTTCTGTATACCTTCCCTCAGTTGTGTGTATAACCAAAGATTTTAAGGAGGGAAGGAATAATAAGGTTATTTTGCTTTTAGATTATTAAACTAGCTACAGAGTTAATTTCTTTGGAAAGAAACAAAATACTAATAGACTTTACGTGAAGGCCCTCTCCAAAGAAAACTAATTAAATTCAACTATATTTTAATAACTTTAGCTCACTTTAAAATAAGAATCTTTTCCAAACCCCACTCCAAATCTTTGAAAACAGTGTATCTATCTGGCACCACAATCTTTGCCATGAAACCAGTCCTTTTATAGAAATGCAGAGGAAAAGAACTATTTTTGTCCTTCATTCTAACAAACAATCATGGAATGCAGAATAGAATTGGTGCCTGAAGTTAACCATTGCACAATAATATAATCTCTATAGATACTCTCAAATGTCCAAATTTGTTTTTTCACTCATTCTTTCTTCTCTTGACCTCTACCTTCCCTTCTCACAGAGTAAACACTGTAGAAATGTATCACCAATCTGTTTAAACTTTAATTATTGTTTCATTATTTTATTCTATATCTTGTTAAGGCAGTAAACTTGTTTTTAATGCTCATCATCTTATTGGGTGTTCCAGCAAGAAAAAAAGTATGCCTCCTGGCTTCAACGTATACATTTTTCTTTCAGAGAAGTTCAGAGCTTTTCTTTCAGAGAAGTTCAGAGCTTTGCAGCTTTCAGAGCTTCACAGCTCCAAAATTACCTGAAATCTAATAATTCATCTAAAACATACTGACACTGATCATATCAATGAGAGATACATTCAAGAATGACAGTTGACCCTAGGTATTGATAAAATTATACATGTAACCATATACCCACAGCATGCATCTTAGTTTTATAAATTGAATATTATACTAAATCAACAAAGCTGATTTTCAGTTGTGCCTCATGGGATTTAAATTTACTATTTTTTAATCCTACCTAGTATTCAAAATTATCCATATATGCAAGTCTTACTAGAAAAAAAATGTGCATTCTTTAGAACAATCTTAATCAATGGACCACAAAATTGTTATCTATTTCTGCCTTGAACTGGCTTTGGTGAGCATGCCACGTTGCTGGAACTCATAGATTATTCTGAAAGAGGTCATCAATCTCTCCCCAGTCAATCTATTTTTTTTTAAAATAGACTTGCTTATATTAAGAACATTAAAAAGATGAATCTTACAACAATATTGATGTGGTTTGGTTCTGTGTTCCCACCCAAATCTCATCTCAAATTTTAATCCCCATAATCCCCACGTGTCAAGGGAGGGACCTGGTGGGAGGTGACTGTATCATGGGGGCAGTTTCTCCACACTTGTTCTTGTGATAGTGAGTGAGTTCTCACGAAATCTGATGGTTTTATAAGTGTTTAGAAGTTCCTCCTTTGTTCTTCTGTCTCTTCTGCCACCTTGCGAAGAAGGTGCCTGCTTCCCCTGCCACCATGATTGCAAGTTTCCCGAGGCCTCCCAAGCCATGCAGAACTGTGAGTCAGTTAAACCTCCTTTGTTTATAAATTACCCAGTCTTGGGTAGTATCCTTACAGCAGTGTGAAAATACGCTAAAACTTGGTATTATAATACTTGGTATGCAACTTTAAATGCTCTCTGTAACTACAGTATTGTTTTTTGCCTTATTTGATTATTTAAATATTTCATTTGAATATCTTCTTTAAACAACTAAAATATAAGCTTCTTGAAGGGAATATACAGTGTATACATTCTGCATTCTCTACAGCGCAGGCATTGTGCTCTGCATTTATAAGTCCCCAATTATTATTTATTTAAATTATTAAATATTTCAAACTCTTCTTTCTCATCAGCAGATCTGACTTCTACATCATGCACATCCCCAAAGATCTAGAGTCTGACAACTGAAACTTTCCACCTGCTAATCAGTAGGTAGTAATTGGTGAGAATGCTAACATCATTTAGGAAGCTCAAAATGATGTCTATGGCAAATCAAGATTTGCTATCACATAATTAAGATTATGAATAAAGGTAAATTCATTGTGATGATTACTGTTATGTGTCAACTTGGCTAGGCCACAGTACTCAGATATTTGTTCAAATACCAGTCTGGATGTTGCTTTGAAGATACTTTGTAGACGAAATTAACATTTAAATCAGTAAACTTTGACAAAAGCAGATGACTCTCCATAAATAATGTGGGTACGCCTCATTCAATCAGTTAAGAGAATGCAGACTGAAGACCCACATGAAAGAGAGGATTCTGCCTCACACCATCTTTTGGCTCAAGCTGCAACATCAGTTCTTCCCTGGGTCTCCAGGCTGCTAGACTACTCTGCAGATTTTTGACTTGCCAGCCTCTACAGTTGCATGAGCCAATTCCTCTCTCCCTCCCTCCTCCTTCCCTCTGTCTCTCTGTCTCTCTATCTCCCCCCAACCCCTCTCCATATATATAATTGATTCTGTTTCTATGAATAACCCCGACTAATACATTCATTATTCCATAGGATCAGCTACATTTCATGAAACTATAAACCTGATTTAAAATACTCTATGAGGCAAGAAGGTTCTGGAGGAAATGATATACCAACCTAAATATAACCACGGCCTAAACTAAGCATGCCAGATCATTATGAAAAGAAGGAAATGGATGAAGACAGTTGTATAAAGAATAATTTACAGTATTTAGAATAGAAGTAAGGAAATGGGTAGAAAATAGAGATTGTCCATAATCACCATCATATTTCTTTGGTTCTATCCATACTGTTTTTTTAACATTTAAAAACCTATAAAATTGTGATTATCTTATAATCACTGTCAAGTGGTTAGTCCTGACACCATTATCACTGCTGTACATACACATCAAAATTTGCAGAATCCATGTCAGAAGCTGAAAGAAAAACCCAGAAAATAGTGAAACACCCTTTTAAGAAATGTGGCATCAACTCTTGATGGCCAGAGAATGATGTTGTGTGGAAAAACATAGACAATGAGGGCTGAATCAAGAAGAGATTCAGAGGAGTCTGTCTTCCAATGTGAAGAAGTTTACAGAATGCCTTAATGAATTTATTTTACTTAAATTTTCCCTCTTTTGTATGGATGAAAGTAATGCAATATTTTTTAAACTACCTTTAAAGGGTTCTTTCAACATGTATAAAATAAAATGGTACTTACTACTAAGAAAGCACTGTTGCATAGTTGAATTTGAAGAGGTTTTTTTAAGTAAATAAAATAATGGTGTGTCTTATAACAAACAGGATCTTAGATGTGATTTTTAAAAAAGAAGTTAATTGGCTATCAAAATTTCTGGAGTGCAACAAAATTTCTAAGGACAACAACAACCACCTTTTGCCAACTATGCCAACAGTTCTCAAACTTGAATGTGCACAAGAATTTCCTGGAGAATATTACTAGACCCCATCTCCAACTTCTGGTTCAAGGCAGCACAATTCATTCAGACCTCATCTTTGGTCAGGGCTGAGAATCTTCATGTGCTTTGACTGGGAAGGATTAGCTCAGGGGGAAAGGGCTGAACCTGCAGAAGGAGGACACAGTGTCTGCAGCTGCACTGTGGTAGGGGATGCAGTGACTGACTCAGGAATGAGCTAATTCCAAATCCAGTTCTAATATCAACAATCTGCATGGTAACTGCACAAGGCACTAAGGTTCCCAATTATTAACCTGAAAAAAGAGAAAGTGGAACTAAGACCCCTTTTCACTCTAAAATTCTAAAATTTTTGGCCCCGTAAAAATAGTATAATTTAGTTGTTCATAATCTAGATAGGTTTTCTAACTCAAGCCCTCACTCAAAATATAACTTTTAACATTCCAGTTAAAACTGGATCCAAAATGGCAAAATTTCCAAAACGCTGGAATGAGGAGTTCAGCAATTCTTCTCAAAAAACAAAGATAAAACAGCAAAAAAAAAGAGTCAAGAATAATAATTTCATGACTCTTGAAAATGACGAAAGGCATACAAGAAAGGAAGACACTTTTATTCAAGAAAAACTATTGAACCTGGGGTAAGAACAGTCGGGATGGCATTTTAACCTGCAGCCGTTCCCACACACCACCACCCTCCAGCTCCATTGGTGCAGTAGTTCTACCACAGTTGGCAAGGTATGAAAACCAGCAACTTTGCTGTGGGAGGAGACTGACTTAATTTGGAGCAAAGTGTGAAATGCACCATACCCATGGGCTTATAAAAACAATAACAAACTCAGTGGCAAATAATAGTGGATGGCCAATATCACAGCTGCCTGTTGTTGTGATACTGGGCCATAATATTATTGGACAAAAAACAAATGGAGTCATGAGTACCAGCTCTCCATCTCACCTAATCCAAAAATGAGGTTGCCTGCCATCTTTTCTGCTCTCCTTATTCATAACCTCAATTACTGACCCACCAAGAAGATAAGAACTGTACAATGGGAAACAAAGGCAAAGAAATTATATCTAAATTCATGTTTTGAGTAGACACATTACTTTGGCTAACTAGAAGTATATTTACCTTCTGATTCTCACTTGGGTTCCAGTTAGATGAAACTAAAACAGCTAAATTCCAAGCTGAAGAGATTTAATTACAAAGCATAATAGAAAAAAATATATGTGTTGGAAGACTCAAAGTCACCTAGGATACTGACCTGGAAAACTGTCATTTCTCTTGGTCTCTTTTAACATTGAGACTAGGAAACTGAGGTATCTTTCTCAGCTCATGAGTTCCTTGTTATTATTCCTACATGGAGTACTCATCTTATACTGTCAAGGAAAAATGAGAAGCCGACTTCATGATCTAAATCTGTATTATTGTCAAATAGAATTTTCCTTCACCAAAGGTGGTGGTAACTTTTAAGGATATCAATAATAAGCATTAAAGTTGTCTAGAGAAGTCTCCCTTCAATATAAAGTTGAAATAAATTCCATGTTCTCAGAATGAGAACATTCTTACTTATCACAATGGGAAATAAGAAAACTATACACAAAACTGTAATTTTCCCTTGAATACAGAAATTTCTTCTGAACATAGTAGGTACTCCATAAGTATTTCTCAAATGAAATTAATAGTTTTAAATAATAGCTGCAAAAAACTACTCAATTTCATTTACAGTTATTTTCTCAAACATGATATTATTAGCAATGTGTCAAGAACACCATCTGATGATATTCAATGTCAGTATTTTGTGGTTACATTACTTTTCTCAAGTTTACTTTTGGTAAAGTGACCATGTAGGTAATAGAGTAATTTGGTAAAAAAAAAAATTCAGATTTCCAGAGAGAATACAGGTAGACTAGAATAGGCTACTCATGATGGACAATGGTAAGTTTCTCAGTTTACTCTCTCAATTATATTGATTCCAATCAGTGTTACATTACTAAACTTAAAATGTTATTTACAACTAATATCTCATATATCATAAAATTAGATATCACTTTTGTATATATAAATCATCACTTTAAGAAGAACTCACTGACTTTAATATTATTAAATTACAAAACTGAGTAGAATAAATTACTCAAGTCAAACTCAAAGCAATTTATTAGTCTCCTTCTTTGAAGGTGGCCTATAATGTTTGTCTCTCTAGACCATCACTAAAGGGGAACACTCTGGAAAACAATTAGAAAGTATAACAAAAGTCTAAATTATACAAAGTGTTTATGCTTTTGATTTGTTAATTCCACTTAGGAATCAATCCTGATAAAATTGTCTAAAATGTTGAAGCACATTTGTGAAGAAGAATGTATGTCAAGCCATTATTAATAATACCTGTAACTGAAAACAACCTAAAAGTATCCAATAATGAAATTACATAAATTATGATATAGCCAAACAATGGATAATTAAATGGTCATTAAAATTGAAAATGAAGATCTTTCACTGGTATGGGAAGATGTAATTATTTGAACAAGGATAAGAATGATTCATAATAAATGAAATGATATGTATTTTACCATGAAAGAATGAATGATAAAGTTGAAGATTTGCTTTAATTTACTAAGCCTAAACAAATATGCCTAAATTAGGATATTATATTCACTGTCTACCTGCTTCACATGTCACAATTTGTTTTTTGAAAATTCAGGATGTTTTAAAGCAATGATGAAAAGAATCAATTATGAATCATACACCAGGATAAATTTTACTATACATTATTGATAAATCTTAAAATAATCTATAGGATTGGCTACTTCCAAAAGACCCTGATTCCTAATTAGTACACAAGGATTATGATTGTGAATTACATTTTGTGTTTATTTTAGTACTTAGAATATTTGCTAAACTACCTCTGAGGTTAACACTTCCAGAGTAAATAAAAATGTAAACTAACTGATTCCAGATTCCAGGAATTCAAGCCAAGACTGAGATCATTATGTGAAAATAGCTAGCAGTGAAGTTACAGTACAGGTTATATTTGTATGAGGTGCTATTCACACCCAAATGAGAGAAAATTAGGAACATACAGTACACACTGAATTCATTTAAAATATTTTCCCCTTAGAAATGAACAGAAAGAAAGCACACAGACAAAATCCTAGAATCTTTTTTCCTAATCAGTGTGGAAGCAGTTGGTTTTTCAAGTTCTGATTTCAATTTGGACACGTCAGGTTTGAGATATCAACAGCATGTCCAAGTAGAAAGTCCAAGAAGTACTTGAAAATTAAAAGATAATTGCTAATTAAGAAAATAAGATGTAGTTTTTCTCCTGTCTACCTTTTAATTGAGGGTGTTATCCAAGAGCTCTTAGTTTGAGGCCCCCAGAAATAAACCTTGATATGAGGATTCAAATAAAAGTAGTTTATTTTGGGAAGTGCTAGAAATACTGGCAGGGGAGCAGGGAAGCAAGACAGAGTAGGAAAAGCAGCCAATAAAGGGTGTATGATAATGACAGCTTCATGGTGGGTGGCAAGAGCTTAATCCCCTAGGAAAGTCTGGGAACCAGTGTAAAACACACAGCTTCAGAGTTAACCCAACTAGGGTCAACCAGCAGTTGAAGGCTGCTGTGGGTGTGAGGGTGAGTACTAATTCCATGGCAATTCCTGCTCTTCTGGGAGGGGGAAGGGAATGTAGGGAGGACGCCTGGAAAAGCAAAGGCCTGCAGACTCAAGGCTCCCAGAAGAGTTCTTGAAAGCCTTCAAGCAAAGAAATGCAGATACTAACACACAGTTGGAAACACAGCATAATGAAGTAAGATACAAGGGATATGGGCAGGACATTGAAGGCATCTACTCAACACTTATCCCTAAATTATATTATTTGTGCCCAAGACTTCAACTATCATTTACCTGATGATAGATCCATTGAGATGTGGCCTTTAAATTCAGCCAACACAGCCTGCCATGGTCCAACTATTATATAAACACATATTAAGTATTAGCACTGATTCTTAGCAAGGCCTAAGATCTAGTTTCTATGTGGAGGATTTAGGAATTAAAATCTGTTTGGTGGATGTAATTAAATGCTTTGATAAGGCACAGCAAGTACACTATAGTTGATTATATTGTTCATCTGTTGTACTTGCATAGTAGGTATTCCATATTTACTCAGTTTTTTTGGAGTGATTTTGATAGAGTTGTTGGAGAATGATCCATACATGGTTCACATCCCCAGGATGCCACTCAGTTTCCTACTGCTGGAATCTTTCACTCACGGTTAACTCTACTGCACTTGCTGGAGTTTGCTAGCCTCTTGGTTCTGTACTCCATCATTGATCACTTTTGAACCCAGTAGTTTTGCAGGTCATTCAGACTTACCTTCTAGTTCTTGGCACATAATTCTTGGTTCTCCTTGCTTCTAACGTTTTGATGCCTCTGTTATTGCTAGTAATAAACTCCCCACTTCAGTCTCCCTGTCCTGTAAAAACAGTCCTAGCCATCTTAATAATAGAATGTAAGACAAAGAAGAATATTGGGAAGAAGGGATTTAGATCATCTATCTCCAGTTCCTAACTGTTTTCAGAGCCTAGGGCCAAAGATTTTTCATATTGATTTATTTAAATACTTAATTTTTAAGAGCAGTTATAAATTCACAGAAAAATTAAGAGGAAGGTACAGAGATTTCCTCTGTACCCCTCCCTGCCACATACACACATACCCTCCCCCATTATCAACATCCACCACCAGAGTGATACATTTTTAACAACTGACAAACCTACATTGATATATCATAATTACTGACATAGTTTACATAGGGTTTACATTGGGGTTCACTCAGTGTTGTACATTCTATGGGTTTGGACCAATGTATCCATCATTACAATATCCAAAAGATTATCTTCAGTGCCTTAAACATTATCTGTACTCTGTCTGTTCATCCTTCCCCATTCCCTCCCAACCCCTGGCAACCACTGATCTTTTTCCTATCTCCACAGTTTTGTCTTTTCTAGAATGTCATATGGTTGGAATCATACAATATGTAGCCTTATCAGATTGGCTTCTTTCACACAGTAATATGCATTTAAGGTTCCATGTCTTTCTATGACTTAATAGCTCATTTCTTTTCAGTGCTAGATAATATTCCGTTGTCTGGATATATCCATTCATCTGCTGACGTACATCTTGGTTGCTTCCAGGTTTTGGCAATTATGAATAAAGCTGCTATAAACATCCATATGCAGGTCTGGGGTAGACATTAAGTTTTCAACTCCTCTGGGTAAATACCAAGGAATGTGATAGCTGGATCACATGGTATGAACTGCTAAACTGTCTTCCAAAGTATCTGTGCCATTTTTCATTCCTGCCAGCAATGAATGAGAGCTCTTCTTTCTCCGTATCCTCATCAGTACTTGGTGTTGTGAGTGTTTTGGATTTTGGCCATTCCAAGACGTACGTAGTGGCATCTCATTCTTGTTTTAACTTTCATTTCCCTAATGACATAGATGCGGAGCTCTTTTTATATGCTTATTGCCATCTCTATATATCTTCTTTAGTGAGATATCTGTTAAGGTCTTTGGCCCATTGTTTGAGTTGTTTGTTTTCTTATTGTTGAGTTTTAAGAGTTCTTTGTATATTCTGGATAATAGTCCTTTGTCAGATGTGTCTTTTGCAAATATTTTCTCCCAGTATATGACCTGTCTTCTCATTCTCTTGACTCTGTTTTTCACAGAATGTAAGTTTTTAATTTTAATGAAGTCCAGCTTATCAATAATTTCTTTCATGGATCATGCCTTTGGTGTTATAGTTAAAATGTCATTGCCATACCCAAGATCATCTAAGTTTTCTCCTACATTATTTTCTAGGAGTTTTATACTTTTGCATTGTACATTTAGCTATTTGGTCTGCTTTGAGTTAATTTTTGTGAAGAGTGTAAAGCCTGTGTATAAATTCATCTTTTTGCATGTGATGTCTAGTTGTTCCAGCATGATTTGTTGAAAAGATATGTTTGCTCCATTGTATTGCCTTTGCATCATTGTCAAAGATCAGCTCATTATATTTATGTGGTTCTATTTCCAAGCTCTCTATTTTGTCCTATTGATCTATTTGTCTATTCTTTTGCCAATACCATACTGTTTCAATTGTTGTAGTTTTATAGTAAGTCTTAAAGTTGGGTAGTGTCTGTCCTCCAACTTTGTTCTTCTCCTTCGATATTGTGTTGGCTCTTCTGGGTCTCTTGCCTTTCCATAAAAATTTTAGAATCAGTTTGTCAATATCCACAAAACAAATTGCTGAAATTTTGGGAATGCAATGAATCTATAGATCAAGTTGAGAATAATGGAGATCTTGACAATGTTGAGCCTTCCTATAACTGAACTTGGAATATATCTCCATTTATTTAGTTCTTTGATTTTGCTCATCAGAGTTTTTGTAGTTTTCCTTATATAGATCTTATACATATTCTGTATGACTTCATTTACACGAGGTTAAAAAGCAGGCAAGACTAAATCTAAAGTGAAAAAGTTAGAATAAAGGTTACCTCTGGGCAGGATGAGGGATAATTATTTGGGAAGAGTCATGAGGGAGACTTCTGGGGTGCTGGAAATGTTCTCTATCTTGACCAGGGTTATGCTTATACAAGCATATGCCTAAGTAAAAATCCATCAGGCTGGATCCTGAAGATTTTTGCGGTTCACTCTATATATGTTTTACCTCAAATTTTTTTACTAACTCATTTACATTTAAGAGCATAGGTATCCTACAAATGTTTTAATAATTGAATAGGTCAAAAGAAAAAACACAAAAGAAAAAGCAAATAAACAGGCATTTCACCTAAACAAAGCTGATGTAGCAATTTATAAATCCATTTCATGGGCACGGGAAAAATGTTATTTGAATGCATACTAAGTATTACGAACACATATATCTATGAAAAAATGAATGCTTTTTCAGTGCCATTATAGAAGCTGTCATTGAAAACTAGGAAGCAAACCAAAGACTACGACAAAATTAGTAAATTCTTATTTAAGTGCAAAGTAAATGAATGGGTTATATATTAAAATAAATCATTCTTTAAAATGTTCTTTTTAAAGCCATTATTATGAAAAAATCATATTGAAAAATAATCACAATACATTTTCTAAGCCCAAAATCCAAAACGATAACAATTAACAAAAAGTATACCAGCAGACTACTAAATGTATCTACTTAATACAATGAAAAATATGGATCTTGTTAATAAACATAAGGTATTGTCTTCATGCCATTAAGCCTAACAAATTTGGGTGTCAAGTGAATTATAATATGGCAGACGCTATTTGTTGGTTAATGTTCACTTTTTGGTACCATACAGAAAACATATTAGACATGATCTACTACATAATATCAATACATCCCTGCTAAAATTAGTATCGTTACATGTTTTTATCTTTGTCAAATTGACCTATTTATCTTTGAAGTATTTATCTTTGTCAAATTGACCTATTATACCTACCCATAAGTCATTATCTAAGGTTTAAATTTTCAATCTAAAAATTTTTTTAAGTTTACAATCTCTATTCTGGAGGCCAATTCCATAATTCACTGAAATAGTTACATATGTAACTTAGCTCCTGATGATAAAAAATAACCATTTTCCTCTGTAATAAGCAGTGCTCTCTCTTTTTATCTCAACCATATGCTAATTCATTACTTGACAGAATAACAAGGCACACATTTTCTGCATGATATGAAAAGTGCTCTGCACAGTGCCTATTACATAGTGAGCATTATAAAAATGCTAGCTATACATTAGTTGATATTTATTCAAGGGAACAAGACATGTATCAAATATCTACCATGTTACATACATTGCACTATAGGCTTTACAACCAGGCATTTCAATATAGACTGCACAAAAGGAGCTTTAAGAAATACTGATACCTGGCTCCCAGCCCCAAACTTTCTAAGCTAATGGGTCTGGAGTGCAGCCTTGACACAGGGATTTGTTAAAGCTCCTCAAGTGATTTAAATTTGCAGTCAAGTTCGAGACCCACTGTTTAAACAGATGTGTGATTTCATTTACTCCTCACATATTGCTTTATTAGTTCTATTTTACAGATGAGAAAACTGAGACTCAAAGGGGTTTAGGAACTTGTCAAAGACTTAGACAGATCTGTTTGATTCTCAGAACCTTTGTAAACAGATGTGTTATTTCATTTAGTCCTCACAGATTGCTTTATTAGCTCTATTTTACAGATGAGAAAACTGAGACTCAAAGGGGTTTGGTAACTTGTCAAAGACTTAAGACAGGTCTGTTTGATTCTCAAAACCTTTGTGCCATAGCATGTCGCTTTTTGAATGGCAAATATGCCAGTCATCAGTCTGTTTCCAACCATCTTGAAACCGTGCTGAAAAAGAGCCAATTAGTTACTTTGCAAATCTGCATATTTCAAAGGGGCCTCCCCATATATTCTAATGTTCTTTTTAGTACAGATGTAGTAAAAACGTAGTATTCTAATGTACTTTCTACTACAGATTTTTGTTTCTGTTTCATATTTAAATACAGACCATAACCTCTAGAGGATCATGAAATCAATTTGGTGAGTCTCAATAAGCATTTTATTTGAAATAATAGAATAGAATACATGAGAATATTACAGTGCCAGAGTGCACAGCATGTAGTAAGAAATGTATTAACTCTAAGTACTGTGTCCTGAAATTTTGTCTCTCTCTGTGTGTGTGTGTGTGTGTGTGTGTGTGTGTGTGTGTGTGTGTCTGTGTGTGTACTATGTCAAGAAGTAAATTGTATTTCTTACCATGGATTGCAACCAAAGTAAGTCTGAAAGATATTCGAACTAGAGATTAAAATCACAAGATAAAAAGACAATCCAGAAATGTTATTCATTTTCTAACTTACATATACTTACTTGTGTTTTTATCTTATCTTGGATTGTCTTCCTTCTGTAGCCATCATCAACCCAGCCTAGCTCTCCCCTCCCTTCCTTCTCTACAAGGTAGAATTAACTGTCCTTCAGTGTATTACCAATCTTAAAAACTCATTATATCATATATTTTAAAGTGTTTGCTTCAAATTTTTTATTGGAAAGGGCAGTGTCTCTCATTCTGAGCAAAACAAACAAAACAGAGAGTTTGATACAAAATGGAGTTTAGTTTTTTTCACTAGGTACAGCAACTCTTCAGTATTCATGAAATTTTTGTGATATGAAATATAAATTATTAATAATGAACTGCATCTTTCATCTTTTTAAATAATTGCAAATTCCCACTAGAGTTACTTTAATAGCTGAGTGATCCATGCCTAGTCCCAACAATACTCTTCTCTGCAAAGATGACATCAAAGGAGAAGGAAGACAAACTTTGAAAGTAGCTTTACTGGATTAGCCAATGTTTTATACCAGCCTATTCTCTTACCCATTTCAATACTAAATAGACTGTTCCATTTCCTGTTTCCCTACTTGCTCTTAATTCCACAGACATTATTGAACACTGAAATAAAATACACTAAATCAGTTGTGGCTTGTTTCCATTTCATGAATGGTAATGGAAAAAAATTTTTACAAAAAAAAAATGTTAATCAAAAGGAAACAACCACTGATTCTCTCTTAACATTAACTTAACTCCATCAAACCCTTTTTATTACCTATGTTCGTCTATATTAAGCCATTTTATTGTGTCTTTCCCATTTCTTAATTTTATTGAAATACCGGGACTTTTGATTATTCAAAAAATATTTATTTAAAAATAAATAGTATATATACATATATAGCTTTGATACCTTATATTGCTGATGAGGCAAAAGTTCTGTATTATCACAGTGATCTGAATAATTAAGACACTTGATATCATCGACTGCATCTAGTAAATACTAGTCAGTATGTAAACAATATATAAATTTCAGTAACACAGAACTAAAATTTACTTAGCATTAGAAGAAAGTAATTTAAAATTAGAGTAGGATAGAAATGAGAATTAAACTTTGGAGAATTCCGGAGACCATATACACTGCTCCATAAAATCTATTTTAGGAATCCAGGTGAAACAATTCAGCCAGTCTTTCTGGAATGTTAACCTTCAATATTTCTAGTTACAAGTTTATGCAATCTTAAAACATGGAGGAAAAAAAAAATCACATACCTTTTTTTTGTTTCAAATTGTGGGCCTAAATCAAATGACTTTATGATGTTTTACTTTATGCAGCCTGACTTAACACTATGGGCCCAGCTATTAGAGTCAAAAGCCAGCCATGAGTTGACTGGCAGACATCTCTAATTCATCTCAGGAAGAGACAGGCTGCAGCATCCACAATTCTGATGATGTCCAAAGTAGGTAAAGAATTGGTCATATGCCAAGTATTTCCCCTTGGAACACAAACAGAAGGGCTGGAGGTGGAAAAAACTCATAGCATGCTACTATTTAAATTTAAATTTAAATTTAGCTCTTTTGGGCTAGAAAATGGGGTGTAGTGGGGGTAGTGTAAAAGCAATAATTTGGAAAGTCATATTGTGACTGCAAGATCCGACAATGTAGGTATGGTTTTAGAATAGAACAATGTTTTCCTTATTTGTTTAATGTTATTAACAAGAGTTATGTGACTATTTCATCTAAATATTTAGTTTGTACTTTGAGTATAATTATCTCCGGGTAGCCTATAACAAAACAATGAATTTCCTATTTTCCTCATTTTAGTCCATTAGGTTTTTTTAATAAGAATTTCTTTTAATTTTCAATTTTTGTAGGTACATAGTAGACATATATATTTATGGGATAAAAATTAGGTTTTATATATCATCTATCTCACCTACCAAATGTAAAGCTAAACATCATAGAGTTAAAATAATAACTCATCCATTATGGAATCTAAGGCAGCTGCTGAGGTAGACCATCAGGATAAAAATGATGCAGACACCAGTCAGGAAGGGAGATTGAGTTACAAATGTGCCCGAGGGAATATATGAACTGATGAAGCTTTTCTTTCTCAGCTTCCCAATCCTTTTTAGCTAGCTCCTCACAAACAGATGAGAAACCACTAATTAGAGGAAACAGCCTAACCAAGGGACCCTTAACCAGAACCCTATCCAAAGCTCAAATGAGACAGATAAATTATAGTCAGTTAAAAAAAAGAATTATTCATTTTAATCATCCTCTAGAATGGCATACTGGAGATTTTACATATTGAAAAGAATGATCTTTGTCAAACATCATAGTCATCTAGTTTTTCTATGAAAAACTACAAATCTCAACCATGAAAGGATGATTTAAAATAGGTGGCAAAAATTATTAATATTTTAATATCTTTGTAACTGATTTTTATAACTCATTTATTAAAAATTAGTTTAAATCAGAATTATATCAGAAGGCTTTCAAAAAAGGAAGAGGTACTTTGGCACTTGGAAAAGGAGAAGTAAATGAGAATGATAGCAGAGCATATAGTTAAAACCCTGAAATTCTAGTCTAGCAATGATTAAAATGGAAATGTCTAACATAAAAGACATTTGACTGTTATTATCAAATTAGTTGCTTACAATTTCAAAATAGTTATGGAGCGTGAGATAAATAAACTTGACTCTGAACTGATTCTTAATTTATTCATTAATTCAACACATATTAAAAGTACCTAAAAGCCTGAAAAGCTTATGACCATGACTCCTCCCCACTGAATTAGTTTGGACAGGAAGGATCTAGGCCCTTCTCTTGTGAGCTCTCAGAAGCAGAGAGGAGACCATGCTTAGCTTCAGCAGCCCGCAAATGTAATCACCCAACGTTACACAAACAACCAGTTCACGAAGACCATGGTATTGCATTAAGTAAAGTTTAATTAACGGGAGGCCAGCCACACAGAAGACAGAGCTATCACTCAAATCAGTCTCTCTGAAGCCTCAGAGATTAGGGTTTTTCAAGAATAGTTTAGTAGGCAAGGGGCTAGGGAATGAGGAATGTTGACTGACTGGGGATGAAATCATAGCGGTGTGGAAAATGTTCCTTGTGTGCTGAGTCTGCCTCCGGGTGGAGGCCACAGGACCAGTTGAGTCAGGAGTCGAGGGTCCAGGTGGAGTCACCCAACAGTCAGAAATGCAGAAGTCTGAAAAACATCTCAAAAGGCCAATCTTAGGTTCTAGAGTAGGGATTTTAGAGAAATAATTGGGTAAGTCACAAATCTTTTAATATCCGGATCAATGGCTGGTTGTTGTTTAACTACACCTACATTTTAGCACAATGCAGGCCCCTCTCATAATCCTAACCTTGCAGTCTTTCATTAGTTTTAAAAAGACAGTTTAATTTGGGAAAGAACTATTATCATCCTTGCTTTAAGGTTAAACTATAAACTAAATTCCATCCAAAATTAGCTTGGCCTACACCTAGGAATGATCAAAGATAGCTTGGAAGTTAGAAGCAAAATGGAGTCAACTATGTCAGAGTTCTCTTACTCTCATAATTTTGCAAAGGGGCTTCACAAACACCACAGTGAATCTAAGTACTCTTGGGGTAATCCCGAGAAGGCTTTTGATGGTGCGAAAAATGTATGGGGCTTGCAGGACTTGCTTATGGCAAATTTTCAAAGGATTACTAATGAAAACAAAATCAACTCTAAAAAAGACTCGAAAGATTTTTTAAAATCAAATACGCATCATGTTCTTCTGATAGCTGACTTTAAAAGACCACTAAGGTATCAAGCCAATCTTCTGGAATGCTTGTGCAATTACTACAAATTAATTTTACACTTCTGTTCAACTAAAACATATATGTAAAGGCTAGGGCTTAATTCATCTTTTAGTGAGTGAGAATTTACCAAATCCCAACAATCTTGTCTTCTCTTTCCCTTAACAGAATTCACTGTCAAAAGAATATTCTAGAGGAAAAATTTTGGTCTGAAGAAAAAAAAAATTACACTTCCCTCTAGTAAAAATGGAGGTGGTAGTCTTGCCTATTATATTTGTGCATAAGACTGCTGGCTGAGACAGGCATTTGGAGCCACATTCTCCAAATGTGGCTGAAGCACAGAGGCACAATCATAGCTCACTGCCGCCTTGAACTCCTGGGCTCAAGGAATCCTCCCACCTCAACTTCCCAAGTAGCTGGGACTACAGGCGCACACCACCATGGGCCTGGCTAATTTTTAATTTTTTTCTGTAGAAACAGGATCTTGCCATCTTGGCCAGGCTTTTCTCTTTCAAGTGCTGAAAGAAAGTAACTGTTAATCCCATTTCCTGTATCTGGCCAAACCATCATTCAGGAATGAGGAGTGAAAAAAGACATTCTGGACAAAGGAAAACTAAGAAAATTTGATACTACCAGATGTCCCATGAAAGAATGGCTTCAGGAAGCTCTCTTAACACAAAGAAAATGATAAATCTGAGATCTTCAGAAAGGAAAGAATAATAACAGAATTGGGAAAAATACAAGTACACATAACAGACTATTGCTAACATACAATTCTTTAATAATATTTTATGGAAAAAGCAACCATCTCTTCTGTTACTCAAAGTATGTATGGGAAATACTTAAAACAATTATAATTAAAAAGAAGAGAGGGTAAAAGGACCTAAATGGAAGTAAAGTTTTCTATACTTAATTCAAAGTTGAAAAATGTAAAAAAGTAAGCTATGATAAACTAAGTATGTATAAAGTAATACCAGGGGAACCACTAAGAAAAATAGTAATACCTAGGCCAACCACTAAGAAAACTATACGAAGCTATATGTTTCAAAAACTTATAAATAAATAAAAATGCAGCTCTAAAAAATATCCAAGTAATCCACAGAAAGGCAAGAAAAAGAAATAGAAAAATGAGAAAGAAAGGAAATAAAAAATGAGGAAAAAAGCAGACTTGATATATCAACAACTACACACATAAATGGTACAGACACATCATTTAAAAGAGAGATTGGCACAGTAAATTTTAAAATGCAACCCAACTATACATATCTATAAAAACTTCTTTTCACACATAATGACATATATAGATTGAAAATAAAACTATGGAAAAAGATATATCATGCAAGTATTTATTTTTAAAAAGCAGAAGTGGCTATAACAATATCAGATAAAATAAATTTCAAAGCAAAAAAAAATCACTAGAGCCAAGGAGGGCTACTGCAAAATTATAAAAAGCTCAATCCACCAAGAAGATATAACAATAATAAGTGTATATCCACCAAACAAGATGGCTTCAAAATACACAAGGCAAAAACTAATAGATCTGAAAAGCTTAAAAATCAACAAAGGTAGGCCAGGTGCCGTGGCTCATGCCTGTAATCCCGGCACTTTGGGAGGCCGAGGCGGGCAGATCATGAGGTCAGGAGATCGAGACCATCCTGGCTAACACGGTGAAACCCCGTCTCCACTGAAAAATAGCAAAAAAATTAGCCAGGCATGGTGGCGGGCGCCTGTAGTCCCCGCTACTCAGGAGGCTGAGGCAGGAGAATGGTGTGAACCCGGGGGCGGAGCTTTCAGTGAGCCAAGATCGCACCACTGCACTCCAGCCTGGGCGACAGAGCGAGACTCTGTCACAAAAAAAAAAAAAAAATCAACGAAGTTAGCTGGGGATTTCAATACCCCATTCTCAGCAATTAATAGATTACTAAATTAAAAATCAGCAAGGATACAGGAAAACTGAACAATACCATCAACCAGTAGGCTATGATTGACATTAGACATTCTACTCAAGAATTTCTCAAGTGCCCATACAGCACTCACCAAGATGCACCATATCACAGCTCATAAAACATGTCTTAGCATATTTAAAAGAATTTAAACCATACAGAGTATGTTATCTGACTAGATTGAATTAAACTAGAAACCAATAACAGAAACAGCAGCAAAATCTTCAAACACTTGGAATTAAACAATACATTTCTAAATAGTCCATGAATCATATTTTTTTGAAACCACATAGAACTGAGTAAAAGTGAAAAGAAAACATAACAGAATCTGTCAAATGCAGCTAAAGCCAGGCTGAGAAGGAAATTTAGACACCTAAATGCTTACATTAGAAAAGAGAAACACTCTCAAATTAATAATCTAAGTTCCTATTTCAAGAAATTGCAAGAGGGAGAAAAAAAATCCAAAGTAGACAGAAAAAAAACTTATATAAATATAAGAAATCAATGAAACTGAAAACAGGAAAACAACAGTGAAAATAAATGAAACAAAAAAGAGTCTTCAGTAGCTTTTCTATACACCAATATTGTTCTAGCTGATAGCTAAATCAACAACACAATCCCATTTACAATAGCCACACACAAAAAAAATGATATGTACAAATATATCTAGCAAAAGAACTGAAAGATCGCTACAGGGAGAACTATGAAACACTGCTGAAAGAAATCGGAGATAACACAAAAATGGAAAAATATTCCATGCCCTTGGATTGAAAGAATCAGAATCATTTAAATGGCCACACTGCCCAAAGTAACTTGTAGATTCAATGCTATTCCTATCAAAATACCAATGTTATTTTTCACAGAAGTAGAAAAAAACTATTTGAAAATTCATATAGAACCAAAAAAGAGCCCTGATAGCCCAAACAATCCTAAGCAAAAAGGACAAAGCTGGAGGCATCACATTACCAGACTTCAAACTGTACAAGGCTGCAGTAAACAAAATAGCATGGTAATGGTAGAAAAACAAATACAAAGACCAATGGAACAGAACAGAGAACACAGAAATAAAGCCGCATAGCGACACCTCTCTGATCTTTGACAAAGTCGACAAAAATAAGCAATAAGGGGCCAGGCAATAAGGGCTCACACCTGTAATCCCAGCAGTTTGGGAGGCAAAAGCAGGTGGAGCAGTTGAGGTCAGGAGTTCGAGACTAGTCTGGGCAACATGGTGAAACCCCATCTCTACTAAAAATACAAAACGTAACTGGGCATGGTGGCGCACACTGTAGTCCCAGCTACTCGAGAGGCTGAGGCATGAGAATCCCTTGAACCCAGGAGGCGGAGGCTGCAGTGAGCCGAGATCACGCCACTGCACTCCAGACTGGTGACAGAACGAGACTCTGTCTCAAAAACAAATAAATAAATAAATAAGCAATAAGAAAAAGACTGTCTATTCAATAAATGACACTGGAATAACTGGCTAGCCACATGCAGAAGCAAGAAACTGGACAAACTACCTCTCACCACAAGCAAAAATTAACTCAAGATGGATTAAAGATTTAAATGTAACCCCTCAAACTATAAAAATCCTAGAAGAAAACCTAGGAAATACCCTTCCTAGCAAACACTGGCTTTGACAAAGAGTTTATGGCTAAGTGCCCAAATGCAACTGCAACAATAACAAAAATTGACAAGTGGGATCTCATCAAACTAAAGAGCTTTTGTACAGCAAAAGAAACTATCAACAGAGTAAACAGACAACCTACAGAATGGGAGAAAATATTTGCAAACCATGTATCTGACAAAGCTATAATATCCAGAATCTGAAAGGAACTTAAATAGCTGAAAAATCAAAAAACAAATAATTTTGTTAAAAAATGGGCAAAAGGCTGAGTGCAGTGGCTCACACCTGTGATCTTGCAATTTGGAAGGCCGACGCAGGAAGAGAGCTGGAGCCCAGAGTTTGAGACCGGCCAGGGCAATATAATGAGACTTCATCTCTACAAACTATAAACAAAATTAGCTGAGTATGGTGGTGTGCACCTTTAGTCCTAGCTACTCAGGAGGCTGAGATAGAAGGACTGCTTCAGCCCAGGAGGTCAAGGCTACAGTGAGCCAAGATTGTGCCACTACACTCCACCCTGGGTGACAGAGTGAGACCCTGTTTCAAAAAAAAAATGGGCAAAAGACATGAACAGACACTTCTCAAAAGAAGATGGACAAGTGGCCAACAAACATGAAAAAATGCTCAACATCACTAATCATCAGAGAAATGCAAATCAAAACCACAATGAGATACCATCTCGCATCAGTCAGAATGGCAACTAACAAAAAGTCAAAAACCAACAGATGCCAGCAAGGCTGCAGAGAAAAGAGAACACTTATACACTGCTGGTGGGAATGTGAATTAGTTCAGTCACTGTGGAAGGCAGTTTGGAGATTTCTCAAAATAACTTAAAACAGAACTACCATTCATCCCAGCAATCCCATTACTGGATATATATCCAAAAGAAAATAAGTTGTTCTACCAAAAAGATACATGCACTTGTATAATATGTTCACTGCAGCACTATTCACAATAGCAAAGACATGAAATCAACCGAGGTGCCCATCAACAGTGGACTGGATAAATACAATGTGGTACATATACACATGGAATGCTATGCAGCCATAAAAAGAATGAGATTATATCTTTTGCAGCAACATGGATGCAGCTGGAGGCCATTATCCTAAGCAAATTAACACAGGAACAGGAAACCAAATACTGCATGTTCTCACTTATAAGTGGCAGCTAAACATGGGGTACTCACAGACATAAAGATGGCAACAGTAGACTCTGGGGACTACTAGAGAGGGGAGAGAGGGAGGGGGACGTGGGCTGAAAAACTACTGATTGGGTACTATGCTCACTAAATGGGTTATGGGACTATCCATATTCCAAACCTCAGCATCATGCAATATACCCAGGTAACAAAACTGCATATGTACCCCTTGTATCCAAAATAAAATAAAATAAAATAAAGTCTTCTAAAAGAATGTATAAAATTGATAAACATCTAGCAAAACTGACAAGGATTTTGTATTAGTCATGGTTCTCCAGAGGAACAGAACTAGTAGGATATATGACTACATATATAAGGGAGTTTATTAGGGAGAATTGGCTCACAGGATTACAAGACAAAGTCCCACAATAGGCCGCCTGTAAGCTGGGGAAGACAGAAGCTGGTAGTGGCTCAGTCTGAGTCCGAAAGCTTCAAACCAGGGAAGCCGACAGTATAGCCTTCAGTCTGTGGCCAGAGGCCCAAAAACCCCTGGCAATTCCCTGGTGCAAGTCCCAGAGTCCAAAGGCCAAAGAACCTGCAGTTTGAGGTCCAAAGGGCAGGAGAAGCAGAAGGAAGCATCCAAGGCTGGAGAAAGAAGGCAGCCAGAAGGCTCAGCAAGCAAAGCTTATCCCACCTTCTTCTGGCTGCTTTGTTCTAGCCACACTGGCACAATGAGGGTGGGTCTTCCTCTACCAGTCCACTGACTCAAATGTCAATCTCCTCTGGCAGTACCCTCACAGACACCCCTAGAAATAATACTTTACCAGCTATCTAGGCATCCTTCAATCCAACCAAGTTGACACCTAATATTAACCATCACAGATTTTTTAAAAGATAAGACTCAAGTCACCAACATCAAAAATGAAACAAAGACGGGGGACGATTGCTTGAGCCCAGGAGTTCGAGACCAACCTGGGCAACATAGCAAGGCCTGTCTCTTAAAAATAAATAAATAAATAAATAAACAAAAATTTTAAAAAACCTATCTCAACAGAATCTAAAGACAATAAAAGGATAATAAGGGAAAATTATGAATAACTTTACTGTTATGAATTCAACAACTTAGCAAAACTAATCAATTTCTTAAAAAAACACAAACTGCCCAATCTCAGGCAAGATAAAACAGATCACCTAAATAGTTCTATAACTACTAAAGAAATAATTCTGATTTTGTCATTAAATATCCTGAAAAAGAAATGTCCAGACCAAGGTGGTTTTATTATGGGATTTTGCCAAACACTCAATGAAGAATTAACACCATTTTTAAACAAACTCTTTCAGAAAATAGAAGAAGAAACACTTTCCAACTCATTTTATGAGATCAATAGTACTCTGACAACCAAAACCAAAGAAGCACCAGAAAAAGAAACTACAGACCAATATATTTCATTCACTTAGATGCAAAAATCCTTAAAATTTTGCAAACTGAATCTAACAATATTTGTGGATATATTGTGTGTGTACCTAATGTGTGTATATGTATAATGTGTGTGTATGTATAATATATGTATAAGTATGTGCTGTCATGACAAAGTGAGATTTATTTCATGTATGCAAGGCTGATTCAATATTCAAAAATAAATCAATGTAACCTACCATATCAATAAGCTAAGAAAGAAAAATCATACATCCATATCAATTGATACTAAAAAAAGTATTTGATGTAATCCAACATTCATTCAGGATAAAATGTCTCAGCATACTAAGGACAGAGAGAAACTTTCTTGACCCCGTAAAGAGCAGGTACAAAAAACCTACATAATTAGCATTACATTTAATAGTGAAAGACTGATTTCCTTCTATGATTAAGAAGAAGGCAGCCAGGCATGGTGGCTCACGCCTGTAATCCCAGCTCTTTGGGAGGCCGAGGCCGGTGTATCACCTGAGGTCAGGAGTTCGAGACCAGCCTGACCAATAATTGTGAAATCCCCTACTAAAAACACAAAATTGGCCAGGAGTGGTGGCATGCACCTGTGTCCCAGCTACTCAAGAGGCTGAGACAGCAGAATTGCTTGAATCCGGGAGGCAGAGGTTGCAGGGAGCCAAGATCGTGCCACTGCACACTATCCTGGGCAACAAAGCAAGACTCCATCTCAAAAAAAAAGAAGAAGAAGAAGAAGGCAAGGATGTCCACTCTCACCACTTTTATTGAACATAGTACAGGAAGTTCCAGCCATTGCAATAAAGCAAGAAAAATGAAGACATATGGATTGGAAAGAAATAAAACTGTCTCTATTTTCTGATGACATGATTGTCTACATTTAAAAAAAACCCTCAAAGTGAAGAACACAAGATCAACACACAAAAATCAATTGCATTTCTATATCTTGACAATGAAGAAATGGAAATGAAAATTTAAAACATAGGTATAATTTTCCAAAGAAAATTTAAAACACAGGTATAATTTTCCAAAGAAAATTTAAAATATAGGTATAAATCTAAGATAACATGTGCAAGATTTACATAATTAAAATTATAATTTGTGCAGGAAGGTTTACATGGAAAAAAAAAAGAAAAAACAAAAAAAAATTAAAAAAATATAAAATCCTGATGAAAGAAATCAATGAAGACTTAAACACCTGGGGACATGCCATGTCCATGGATTGAAAGAAGCAACGCAGTGATGATGGCAATTCTCCCTAAATCAACGTATAGGTTTAACACAATTTCAATTAACATTTGGTTAAGTTACAACAACAAAATTCTACATTAGATAGATTTTTTTAAAGTGGCTCTTCCACAGAGACAAATTCCATTGAAATTAATTTCAATTTGTAAAATAATTATGGCATGTATCATCATTACATAGTCTCAAGAATACTACTGTGGACTTTAAATAAGGAGGAAAGGAATTAGTAAACAGCAATTTGAAACAATTCTAACGATTTTTTTTAAAACTGCTAATAACAACAAATGCTACACAAGCAACAAAAGCAAAAATAAACAAATGGGTCTAAATCAACTTTAAACTTTTTGTGCACCAAGGGACACAATCAACAGAGTGAAAAGGCAATGTACAAAATGAGAAAATGTTTGCAAAACATATTATCTGACAAGGAGTTGATACCTAGAATATATAAAGAACTACAACTCAACAAGAAAAAATCAAATAACCCTATTTGTTTATTTATTCTATAATTTCAACTTTTATTTTAGATTCAGGGGGTACATGTACAGGTTTGTCACCTGAGTATATTGCATGATGCTGAGGTTTGGGGTATAATTGATTCCATCACACAGGTAGTGAGCATAGTACCCAATTGGTAGTTTTTCAGCCCACATTCTTCACCCTCCTACCTCCATATAGTAATCCCCAGAGTCTATTGTTGTCATCTTTACGTCCATGAGTACCCAATGTTTAGCTGCCACTTATAAGTGAGAACATGCAGTATTTGGTTACCTGTTCCTGCGTTAATTTGCTTAAGATAATGGCCTCCAGCTGCATCCATGTTGCTGCAAAAGATATCTCATTCTTTTTATGGCTGCGTAGCATTCTATGGTGTATATGTACCACATTTTATTTATCCAATCCACCGCTGATGGCACCTCGGTTGATTTCATGTCTTTGCTATTGTGAATAGTGCTGCAATGAACATATTATACAAGTACATGTATCTTTTTGGTAGAACAACTTATTTTCTTTTGGATATATATCCAGTAATGGGATTGCTGGGTCGAATAGTAGTTCTGTTTTAAGTTATTTGAGAAATCTCTGAACTGCTTTCCACAGTGACTGAACTAATTTACATTCTCACCAGTAGTGTATAAGCGTTCTCTTTTCTCTGCAGCCTTGCTGGCATCTGTTGGTTTTTGACTTTTCGTTAGTTGCCATTCTGACTGATGCGAGATGGTATCTCATTGTGGTTTTGATTTGCATGTCTCTGGTGATTAGTGATGTTGAGCACTTTGTCATATTTGTTAGCCAGTTGTCCATCTTCTTTTGAGAAGTGTCTGTTCGTGTCTTTGGCCACCTTTTTTTTTTTAAGATGGAGTCTCGCCCTGTCTCCAAGCTGGGGTGCGGTGGCACGATCTCAGCTCACTGCAGTCTCCGTCTCCCGGATTCAAGCTATTCTCCTGCCTCAGCCTCCCAAGTAGCTGGAACTAGAGGCGTGCACCCACCACGCCCAGCTAATTTTTGTATTTTTAGTAGAGACGGGGTTTCACCATGTTGGCCAGGATGGTCTCAGTCTCCTGACTTTGTGATCCGCCCTCCTCGGCCCTCCAAAGTGCTGGGATTACAGGCATGAGCCACCACGCCTGGCCTTTTGCCCACCTTTTAATGGTGTTGTTTTTTGTTTGTTCAACTGTTTAAGTTCTTTAGATTCTGGATATTAGACCTTTGTCACATACATAGTTTGCAGGCATTTTCTCCCATTCTGTAGGTTGTCTGTCTACTCTGCTGTTAGTTTATTTTGCCGTACAGAAGCTCTTTACTTTGGCTAGGTCCCACCTATAAATTTTTTTGCTGCAATTGCTTTTGGGGACTTAGCCATAAATCCTTCATCAAGGCAATGTTGGGAAGGGTATTTCCTAGGTTTTCTTATAGGATTTTTATAGTTTGAGGACTTATATTTAAATCTTTAAAACAGCTAGTTTTTCTACACGGTGAGGGGTAGGTGTCCAGTTTCATTTTTCTGCATATGGCTAGCCAGTTATCCCAGTATCTTTTATTGAACAGGGAAACAGGAAGTCTTTTCCATATTAGTTTTGTCAACTTTGTTAACCATGTGGCTTTATTTCTGGATTCTCTATTCTATTTCCCTGGTCTATGTGTCTGTTTTTGTACCAGTACTATGGCTATTTTGTTTACTACAGCCTTACAGTATATAGTTTGAAGTCAGGTATTGTGATGCCTCCAGCTTTGTTCTTTTTGCTTAGGATTGCTTTAGCTATGCAGGGTCTTTTTTGGTTCCCTATGAATTTTCAAATAGTTTTTGTTTTGTTTTGTTTTTTTAGTTCTGTGAAAAATGACTTTGGTAGCTTGATAAGTATAGCACTGAATCTGTAGACTGCTTTGGGCAGTATGGCCATTTTAACAATATTGATTAATCCAATCCATGAGCATGGAATGTTTTTTTCGTACTCTCTGATTTCTTTCAGCAGTGTCTTGTAGCTGTCCTTGCAGAGATCTTTCACCTCCTTGATTAGATGTATTCTTAGGCTTTGGTTGTTGTTGTTATTATTGATGTTGGGGATTTTTTTTTGTGGCTACTGTAAGTGGGATTGCATTCTTGATTTGGCTCTTAGCTTGAATGCTATTGGTGTATAGAAATGTTACTGGTTTTTGTGCATTGGTCTTTTATCCTGAAACTGTATAACAGCTGTTTATAAGTTCCAGGGGCTTTTTGGCAGAGTCTTTAGGGTTTTCTAGGTATTGGATCGTATCAATAAGGAGAGATGATTTGACTTCTTATTTGGATGCCTTTTTTTTTTTTTTTTTTTGAGACGGAGTCTCGCTCTGTCGCCCAGGCCGGACTGCGGACTGCAGTGGCGCAATCTCGGCTCACTGCAAGCTCCGCTTCCTGGGTTCACGCCATTCTCCTGCCTCAGCCTCCTGAGTAGCTGGGACTACAGGCGCCCGCCACTGCGCCCGGCTAATTTTTTGTATTTTTAGTAGAGATGGGGTTTCACCTTGTTAGCCAGGATGGTCTCGATCTCCTGACCTCATGATCCACCCGCCTCGGCCTCCCAAAGTGCTGGGATTACAGGCGTGAGCCACCGCGCCCGGCCTGGATGCCTTTTATTTCTTTCTCTTGCCTGATTGCTCTGGCTAGGACTTCCAATAACCCTATTTAAAAATGGGCTAATGCCTTGAATAGAAAGAGGATATACAAATGACCAATAAGCAAATGAAAAGATGTCCAATGTTACTAATCATAAGAGAAATACAAATCAAATCTGTAACAAATATCATATTGCACCCATTAAGACAGCTACAATCAAAATATCACAAAATAAGTGGCAAGGTTGAGGAGAAATTGTAACACCTGTGCACTGTTGGTGTGATAGTAAAATGGTGCAACTCCTATGGAAAACAATATGGAGGTTCCTCAAAAATTAAAAATAGAACTACCATATACTCCAGCAATTTCACTTCAGGGTATAATCTGAAAAAAATTAACAGCACAGTCTTGAAGAGGTATTTGCATGCCCATGTTCATAGAAGCAGTGTTCACAACAGCCAACAGGTGGAAGCAACACAACTGTCCATGGATGATGAATGGATAAACAAATGTGGTACATACTTATAACGGAATAGTATTCAGCTTTAAAAACTAAGGAAATTCTGACATATCCTACAACATGGATGAACTTGGAGGACATTATATTAAGTGAAATAAGCCAGTTACAAAAGACAAGTATGTATGATTCCGCTTGTATGAGGTATCTAAAGTGGTCAAATTCATAGAAACATAAAGTAGAATAGTGGTTACCAGGGGCAGAGGGTGAAGCTAGGGGGAGGTGGGTGAAAAGCAGAGTTGTTTAATGAGTATAGAGTTTGAGGTTTACCAGATGAAAATGTTCTGAAGGTCGTTTCACAATAATGTGAACTGTATACCTCTGCACTGTACATTTAAAAATGTTTAAGATGTTTTTATCACAGTAAAAAAAATTATACAGCCAGGCATGGTGGTTCACACCTGTAATCCCTGCATTTTGGGATGCTAAGGCTGGTGGACCACTTGAGCTCAGGAGTTTGAGACCAGCTTGGGCAATATGGCAAAACCCTGTCTTTACGAAAAATATAAAAATTAGTTGGGCACGGTGGTACACCTGTAGTCCCAGCTACTCAGGGGGCTGAGGTGGGAGGATCGCTTGAGCCCAGGAATTTAAGGCTGCAGTGAACCATTATCACACCACTGCACTCCAGCCTAGGTGACAGAGGGAGACCTTGTCTCAAAAAAGAAAATATATATATATTAAAAATAATGCTACAAAATATTCACTGGAAGAAAAATTTGCCTTTGTGGAATGCCTACAATCACCCAAATAATTATATAAATACTAAGATGTTCACACTCTTGAACTATATTATCAGGTAATTTTACTTGGAGATCTAAATCACTCTATTTATAGATATTGCTGAGTGTATTTGCTTAATTTTATTCCCAGTAGAAGCTACACTTGAGGACCTTCACACATCCTATGTTTATATTATTCTAAGTCCTTGTAGGTTCTAAAAACAAAATTCACAGATACTCTCTTAAGCACAATATGGAAGTATATGCCCTACTAGAATGAAAAACCATATTCACTTTTAATCCTAAGTCAAGGATGAAAATAGGTCTTGATGCATATTATATACTCAAGATAAATGTTTAAAAAAGAAAATGCCTCTTATTCTGAAATGTCAACCCCATAACATATGTAGCAGTAAATGTTTCTTTCTGCCAAAAATGCTCATTTGGCACTGATTTTTGACAAGGCTTTTTGCACATATATATATACAGCTCACTTAATTTTGAGAAGCACTGATCCCTCCCTTTCAAATTTTCCTTACTATTTGTCTATTTCCCTATCATTATTGTGGCAAGTTCCAGAAACAACTTGTTTATATTTTCCAAAAAAATAATGGGTTGAAAAGTATATCTATTAACTAAGGGGGAAGCTGATGTAAACTGGAAATAGGCATCACAGATTAGTTTAAAAAAAATTCAGTTAACTTGAGAAGATACTTTTTCCTCAAATACTCTAAAGAAAAAAAAAACAAAAGGACTAATAAACCAATAAAGGTTGTCCTCTTATTTACATATGACAGCAAATACTAGCATCTACTGTCAAAATTAGTATCTAAAACAGGCAGCTATAGACCAATTTCAAATCTCATTATGCTTCTGCATGCTAATTCTGCCTTGCTTTTTCTCTCTAGCTCCATTTTTCACATTGTAAAAATGGTGGAAATAATATCTGCTAATCTTTAAAATTCTAGATTTAAGAGATGCTAAAAAAAATTGTCATCTTGGATGTGATCAAACCTAAACATAAATGAAAATGCCCCCATCTGGTTTCATAAATATTAAACTGGTTATAGAAAGTATTCAAGTTCTTTTTTTTTTTTTTTTTTTTGGAAATGTTTAGTTTCTAGCTTTTCTCTCCAAAAAACAACTAGCATGTATTTGTTAGTTAACTGCAGACTGACTGGTTCCAAATATAGACTAAGATGTGTGCTAAAATTACTGTCCTGATTTTCAGCAATCATTATGAATATCACACATGGTCGTAGATTTTATTTGTTAAGTACTTTGAAAAAATAGATTTTTCAATAATAGTAATGACAAAATACACATGAAAATTTTCCCATCAAATGCAATAATTCAAATTAAACCCAAAGATGCTAACTTTTTCTACCAACACTTTACATTATGACATAGTGTTAAGACCACATCAATTAAAGAAGATTTTACACAATAAAGTTTAAGTGGAGTCATTTCACTTACAAAACAAAAATAGTCCTACCTTACATGAGAGATATATCTAAGCATCCTGAAAATTCCAATCCAACAAATAGCATTGAAATGATCTTGAAGCTGCTGCCTAGATTACTGCTGAGCCACCTTCCAAATCTAAAAATGCTCAATTTACTTTAAAAAGTCAACTTCACTACATATACACTAATGGAAGAGGGAGGAAAATGTTTATAAAAACAGCTACTGCCATACCGTTGAATTAGACATGGCGCCAGCTCACACTCTGCAAAATAGGGGGTAAGAGAGATGAAAATTTTCTAAATAATCCTTTGTCAACTATACTGTTCCATTACACATAACTAAGCAGAAAGACAAAAATAACACCAAGTTAGAAAGCTCAGGTGCTACAGCACAATTTAGAAAGAGCAAGCAATGTGGATGGTTCAATATGCCCAGTGGACCAACAATCTCACCAATTTCAAAAGAAAGGATCAGAGACCTTTGGGTCAGCCACAGAGAAGACCCAGTGAATGCTGGAGTACTTAACTCTACACCTTCAAAGGAAACATAAGCCAACTAGTTGCTTGCAAATAAAAGGTGAAAGAAAAAGGGGGAAAATTTACTTATCACTCACCATCCCAGAGCCAAAACAATTCCAATATCTTGGCTCTGTCAACTACTGTGTGTACTATGGACAGAAGTGTGTTAACAGATAAATGTCAAATAGGAAATAACAGAAATAAAGATTAGTGGAGAATACTCAAGCTTATTTAAGTTTAACTTTTCTACTTTAACTTAACTCCAGGAAAAATATTTGCTAAGCTCACTTCAACTTTGACAGATAATGCCTGAGAGAAATGGAGATAGATTTACCACCTTCTAAGAGCTTACAAACTTTTCAATAATAGGTTTCAACTAAGCACAGGACAAATTCTGCCTAAAATACTCTGCCTATGTTAATGTCCAGCTTCTATCAGAAATCCTCTTTCAGGACCTGAAAAGTGGGGTGGGAATCCTCTTTTTGGTTTATAATGTGATGCTTTTGTTTTCATTGTTTCAAGTCTCTCAAGACTGATGGCATAGTATAAGAACCTGCCTCTCTGCTCCCTAGTTGTGCCCTCAGGCACATTCATCTGCCTTGGCTCTGCTTCCACTGGCTCTCATAGACACTTAATGGCCTGCCTACCTCAATGGATTCCCAGCCTTGAAAGAGAGTGGAGGTAGGACAGTGAGGAAGCTCAGGTGAGAACCTGGAGGAGCAAGTCAGGAGCCCAAAGGACCCGTCCAACACTGGGCCCCTGCCCTTCTCATTGCAAGAAGGTAGTGCCAAGTATCCCTACAATGAATAGAGGAAACTGAAGCACAGTCTCTCTCCTGCATGAGGGGAATTTCCTCTGGTGGAAGGATACTGGGAACAAGGGGAGGGGGAGCATCTGAATGCTGAGAAGAGATGTTGGGAACTTTATGCATCTGACAATCACTGTTCTCAAAGGTCATCTCTGGCAAATGTACAGGGGAGGCAGGAGAGGTCTTTAATGTCTGTCAACTGTCCCTCCCTTACACCTTATACCTTGTGCCCAGGACTTCTGCTCAGACCTAAGCAGAGGTCCCAAATTCCTGCTCTCACCTTTGTGAATTCCCCAAATTAGAGTGCAAAAGTGAGCTCACAGCTGTGCCTTGCAATATCAGGACCCTGAAGCTGGAGACCTGGGAATCTGATATAAGAGGATAGAATAAACTGAAATTTGAAGGAGATAGATATGTGTGTTGTGGGTGAGGGAATGCAGAGGTTTACAGCTGAAGTCCACAAATACAACACTGGAACCAGAAAGTAGTCTATCACATATTCTCCTTCTCTGACTATCAACTCTTACTCACTCTCACCAAGCCTGTTCTCCAACTTAGTATCTTCTCTCCTCAGTAACACCAACTGCCTGCCTTTCTCCCAGTCTCCATGATTTAATCAGTCTTTAGTCTAATCAAAAGAAGTTGCTTGAAAGACTATAATCTGAGGAGCCACAGACAAGATTGGGTGTTATGAATTATTAATATGCAAATATTCTATAATCAACATGTAAGTATTCCAAATTGAACACTGGGAATTGATACAGTTTGGATATGGGTCCCTATCCAAATCTCATGTTGAATTTTATTCCCCAGTGTTGGAGGTGGGGGTGGGAAATATTTGAATCCTGGGGACATATCCATCATGAATGGCTTAATGCATCCCTTTGGCGGTAAGTGAGCGCTCACTCTGAGTTCTCACAAGATCTGGTCACTTAAAGTGTGTGGCACCACCCCCTCACTCTCTCTCTTGCTCCTGCTTTCTGCTATGTGACGTGCCTGCTCCCCCTTCCCCTTCAACATGATTGGACGCTTCCTAAGGCCTCCCCAGAAGCAGATGCTGCCATGCTTCCAGTACAGCCTGCAGAACTGTGAGCCAATTACACCTCTTTTCTTATAAATTACCTAGTTTCAGGTATTTATTTATAGCAATGCAAGAATGGCCTAATATAAGAACTCAGTAGTTTCAAAACTTGCTTAAAATAGTGCAACTTCAAGACCTCATACCCTTTAACCCAGAAATTTTATTTCTGAGACTCTATGCAAAGGAACTAATATTCAAAATACAAAAAAAAGCATACGCACAAAGATGTTCATCACAGTGCTATTATTATCATCAATAATTGTTTATTATGATGTCATCAATAGTGACAATGAGGAACAATTAGGCAATGATAATACATCTACCAAATGGAAAATTATGTAGTCATTTTTAAGCCTGCTATTAGGCATTTTAAACCTAGTATTAAGCCAGTTGTAATTAAATGAAAACTAAAGTTATAGAATTTTAAATTTAAAAATAATATAAAAGTAATATAGATACCATAATTAAAACTACGCATGAAAAAAGTGGAAAGAAACATGTCAAAAATGAATAGTGATTGTCTTTAGTTGGTCAAATTATGAGGGTGTTTTTTTCCTTTTTATATTCTTAAACTTTCCAAATTGTTCATAATTATCTAATGGGGGCCGGAGCTAAAAGGCAAATTCCTTTGGAAGAGGAAAAATTGTACTTGCACAGAAAACTTTTTCTCAGTTTAGTTGACAATCCTTTTAGTACCCAGGAAACAGACCATTTCCTGGAAGGGGACTCGGGGCAACAGATATGGAGAATGTAAGAAAGAGAAATGATTAACAGATCAGAAACAGATCTCACTGTCTGACATTCAAGTTTCTTCATGATCTTTCACCATGTATCCAAACAGTAGATGAGCACTTCTTAGCTGAACCTTTATGTGGCTTTCTCTTTGCCTATCAGAATCCTTCCAGTCTCTGAGACTGATTTAATTCACTTCAACCCATGAAGACTTTCCTGATCCTCTGATCATCCAAGGCTCTACTATTTCTCTTTTCTCTTAAGGTACCGCTATAGCAGTAGGTCTGCACCACCCTTTTCTGGTATTAAGCCAATTCTAAGTTATTTGTTAATTACTCACGTGTAAGTAAAATTTCCCCTGCTAGACTTTAAGTTCCTTGAAGTGGGGAATTTAGATGGTTTGCAGACTGTAGTCATTGGACAGAGGAGAGAGAGCAGTTCTAAAGCCAAGTTGGTATTATATTCATACTCTCAGTGATGTCATCTAAGTAAAATGTGCTGTCTCTGTTTTAAAATGTTGCTGCTGACCATCCATCACCAGGACATGCACTTTCCTTTTTTTTTTTTTAACAGCAGTGGTATTGTATTTTTGCTTATTCATTCATGCCAGTTCTGCTGTCCCCCTTAGGATTAAACAGATTGGATTACAAGATGCCTTGCCAAGGTTCAGGATATAGGTTATAGCCATGTAAAGAACAAAATGAAATGACTTTTAGGAATCAAACTCAAGACTCTTCACAAGACCCCACTTCTCATACTCTTGTTTGAACAACAAATATAAATTTGTGCCTCCATTTTATGTCCTTATTTAGGCAGTGGACTTTATCAATACCCCCGTTAACTTGAAAAAGAATTCTCCAATGCAAATGGTTCAATACTTTAGAAATGACATACTAAGATGACTCTGTTCCTGCCTACCATCAATACTATGTGAGTATTTAGAGATAATGAGCATCTGTACTATAGCAACCTGCCTCTTGAGACATAAACAAGAGATGCATTTCTTAAGAAAAAATCTGTAAGTCGCTAATGAAAGCAAGTCAAAGGACCCATCAACGGGCGAAGAAAGACCTAGCATCCATTATTTTTACAGAAGGAGCATAGAAGGTCAATATAATTGTTGACTCTTAACGGCAGGGTAACAACAAACTAATTCAGTTTCCCACTATATAAGAACTACATTTTACTACAACACTCATATTTCTAAACTGACTAAGAGTCAAGGCTTGTCCAAATTCCATGGCTTACTGAGTGGTCTTGAACCTTCTCTGAATTTTGTTCCTTAGTCTGTAAAATGGAGTTATCACCTGTTATGCAATATCACAGAGTTGTAATGAATCAAGTAACATTATCTTAGTATGGGTTCACCTGTCACCCTATTGTGGGGTGCAGTTCAGTCGCACACCTCATGAACTAAGTAACTATTATTACTGTAAATGTCTCCCTAACATTTAAGACAGAAAAAGATTTCCAGAGTTCTTCTTACGTTTTTAATCGACTTCTCCAACACTTGAGCATCCACCAAATATCACTGCCAAAAATGTGCTGAACATCTCCTGTTATGACCTCACTCTCCTATGTAGTGTTGTTCACATATTTTTTGCCATAAGCTTTCTAAGAAAATAGATTATTTTTCACATGATTCAAAGCATCTTTCTTTCATATTGAAGGAGCAATAATTCCTTATGCAGAAAGTTTACAGGTTGTTGTTGCTGTTGTTTGAGATTACTCCTCAATTAATTAATTCTATGTTTAATATCTAATAGAGCATATATATGTACACTTGGACACACTCCATTAATACAGTGGAAAATCCATGGACTATAGAGTCAGGAAAACCTATATTCGAATTCCTGTTCTGTGACCTTGAGAATGTAATTTAACTTCCCTGCTCCTCAGTTTCCACATTTGGTTCTGGATTATGATGATTTAATAAAATACGATATATAAAAGTAAGTGCCTAGGCTATGAAGGTATTATTTCCTACCTCTCCTAAATCTTTTCTTTCTATGCCAGGATCAATCAAACCCACCCAGAATACAAGGCAACTTTCATAGGGTATCTTTTACATCAGTCGAGGGAACGCTGCGATGTGATATAAGTGGATGATGGCATGAGTCAGGCATCCAACAGAGCAAGATGTGGAGAAAGTGAGAGGTACCTACAAGGGCCCTAGACTTCACTCGCATGTGCGAAAAGGGCATTTTGATACCCTTTCAAGAATGCCCCGCATACTCGCGGAGGCTTATACCACGATGTGGGAAAACGACGGAATTACAGAATAAACCAGCAGGGAGCCTCCTCGTTCACCCAACCCGACCCCGCCCGCCCGAGTCTCCCATCTGGAGCCTAAAAACTGAGCTGAGATCACAGCAACTGACCCCGTCCCCTCCGCCCTCTCCCTCCCCCATTCTGCCCAAACCTCTCAGGGCACGAATGGTGCTGAATCATTTGCACGAACGCAGCAGCTCCCCGTTCCGCGGCTCCCAGCGGGGACGGTGTCCCCAGAGCAGTGACAGTCCGGGGATGGGGGCCCGGAAAGAGGGCCAGGGCGGAGCCTTTGGGGACGTGGGGACATGGAAGGGGGTCGGGGGAGGATGGCGGCAGCAGGTACTCACCCGGGTGAGGAAAGCCCAGCCCGGGTCCTCGCGTCCCCGCTGCAAGCGGTCCCCCAGGTGCTCCCGCGCCTCGCAGCTTCCCCGTGGGCGGCCGCCCCGACTCGGCAGCCTGCACTGGTGGTCCGGTGCTCTCCTCCGCCCGCCCACCGCCCGTGGCAGCCACGGCTCGGGACTCCGGTGCTCGACGCGGAGTGCCTGGAACAGCTGTCGCTGCCCAAGCGGGTGGCGGCTACCGACGGGCCAGACCATTCGCCTGCTGCGGCCGGGGGTGCACGACGTGCCGAGAGGCGCGGGCGCCGGGGGCGGCGACGGTTGGGAGGAACAAAGGACTCGGGGAATCCTCTGCCCCCTCGGAGTCAGGAGGTCCTGGGGACAGGAGGGATCAACGGAGGGGCCGCTGCCTCTTCTGGGGGTTTACTGAAGACACTGCTCGAGCTTTCCCGGGCCACACACACCCCCCCCCCGTTTGCCTTGGTCCCGCTCGGGGCTCCTTTAGAACGCGGCAAACAGAGGACTTAGCAACGCGAGCGCCTGGGCGGCGCCCCTCCTCAGAGATGCGAGAGGCGCTGGCCTGAGCGCCTCCGGCCACCTCCTTCTACCTCCGGGCCCTAGGCGCCCGATCCACCTGCCTATCTGACCACAGACATCTTCCCACAAAACAGTGGAGCTTTTTGAATCTTTGAAGAGAGTCTTCAGATCTTTTATCTAAGCATCTTTGTGAAGCAAAGAATAAACGGGTATCTGAGGCCAGCTCGAAAGTTAGGAAATAAAATCAGGTGGGGCCCCATCCCGTAGATGCTGAGGGACAGCTCTGACCTAGAGTTCCTGCTAAGCAAATGTTGAACCACGGCAGTTGTAAAAAAATGTAGATTTAGGAAGCCATTTCGAGATAAAGATTTACAGAAGATTGTTGCAGAAATTAAAGAATATTCGAGGTTCATTGTTCACCATTTTAGAGTTGCGTGTCTTGAAAACGGGAAGGCAATCATGTCTTCTCATAAAATGAATTGTATAGAACTGGAAGAAGTCCTAACACATGAATTCCTTAGACTTTTGTGGTCCCTGCTTCTGTCACGCTGGGTTCACACAGGTTCATTTCAGAGCATGGTGAAGATCAGGACAAGTGTACAGTTTTCCCTGTAGAAAAAAAGAAAAGATAGAACAGAATTGGCAACTACCTATAAAATGTGATTAAAGGTAGGAAAAAAAAAGGCCCTCCAAGTGCATCCCAAAAAATATAAAATTTCACAATTTAAAGTTTTGTCCTTCGTTGAGTAAATCAACATAAATTCAGCACTTTCTATAGACCACTGTGCTGAGAATAGTCTCATTTTCATTTCTTCATTTATTCTTCTAAAAACTCCTGTGAGATTGGTAACCTGCAATAGACCTCCATACAGCCTTGCCAGCATTGGGAACTGATCTGGTCAGTGAGGGCATCTTCTCATAAAGGACACTGGTGAGAAACTGGGCTCAGGGTTTGTCGTGCTGGGTTAGTCTCACGATCATAAGCGGCAGAGCAGACATTGCCACCTGGAGTTTTTGACTTGTTCCTTTCCCCTAGAATGCCTCTGAGAACGATATACATTAAACCGTGTCACATCTGTGATTGCAACTTGAATGTGAGTCTGTTTATCCTTCCTTTGTGAGAAGGGGTTTTAGAATGGAGAGGGGGCAGTTAGGTGTCCAGGGTAGGCATCACCCTGAGGCAAGAAGAGTGATCAGAAAGAAGAAGCTGGACTTCACCCAGAACTAGCCGAACATCAGCGTCACAATACACTGTCAAGGTCACATGAGGTTGAAGAGGAATTCTCCACTGCCTTCTTGTTAATCATCTTTACATCATTATTTTCACTGTATTACACTTTACACTATGCATGCACTATTACTACATTACATGTTATCATTCTTCCATTCCTAGGAAGGGGCAAGAATTTTTCAATAAACCTATTATCATGGGTCCTCATATACCTTATCAAAAAAAATGTTAAGTAACAGAGGTATTAGCAACACTTAACGTCACCTCAAGAAAGCTTTTTGAGAAATCAGGAATAAAATTAAATTGTTTCTGTATGATATGATATTGTTACTATGTTAATGGTTGTTGTAAAGATTCACACGTCAGCAGCAGCAAAACAGAAATCCCCAAAGTTGCATGTTGCCGAGGAGCAGGAGCATTGGGTCCCCAGTGGCCAGACTGGCCTCAGGCTCAGAAATGTGTGATTCTTCTCTCCATGTGCAGTTGTTTCACTTTCAAAGGCAACAACAGGAACAGAACACATGTAGATGAGGCGTCTTCTGAGTTAGTGCTTTATGTCAGATGTTAGATGATAGGGATATAGAAAGGAATTTAGAGCCTTATGATTTGTGGTGCGGATGGGCCAGTGACATCTGCAGCAATCTGTTTGTATAAGTTGACACTCTTGGAACATATGTTTCTGAATGAAGAAAGGGGAATTTTTGTGCTGGCAGCCTTGGGAAATTGTCAAAAGAAGTGGAAGGAATGGTGTGATGCCTGCATTCCCTGCTTTCCTCAGAGTCCTCAAATGGTTTTGAGCCTGCTGTGTAAAGAACTTAGGGCCAGAAGCTAAATAATCATCTTCCCCACAAATGACTTTGTGAAATTTAAGTTCTAAGAAGTACTACTTTAGGCCTGGTGACAAATGACAGCATGGAGCTGGCAAGAGAGCCATTCTCTCACCCAACCTGAAATAGACCTCCATACAGCCTTGCCAGCGATAGGAACTGATCTGCCCAGTGAGGGTATATTCTCATAAAGAACACTGGTGGCCGATACAAGGTCAAGGTAACTTAAGTAGGAGCCCAGAGCAGTAAAGCAGGAGTGGTATTATTCCTGAGCACCTGAAAGACACTGCTGAGGATTTCTTGCTGCAAATGATGGAGACTAGGGAGGCACTGCAGGGTCAAGGGAATCATTATTAAACTCAAGATGATTGTTAAACCTTATTTAGGCACCGATATTAACATGAACTCATTTGTATTCACAAACTAGCATGATCTGGGAACATTCCAATATTACTTTTTAAATGATACTAATAAGAAGAGAGCTAGAGAGAAAGAGAATACTTAATGCCTTTGATAAAACTGCATTGTGAGCCACAAAATGTTAAATCTTGATGCAAGATATTCCAGTACCTGCTATGTGTTGGTCTCTTACCAAAGCATGTGGTGACATTAACCTCTCAACTTATTCTTGCTGAAGAGAGTGCTTAATTGTGTTGTTTCTCTTTGCGTTTAGCTAACACTTATTAAATCATTAGTGTTTGAGTAACTAGTATTATGTGAAGTAAGTACTATTATCACTCCCATTTTATAAATGAAGAAACTGAGAATTACAAGGGTGTATTAATTTGTCAAAGGTAGCACAATTGGAAAGAGACAAAGCTGGATTTCAAACACTAACCAATACATGACGTGAATATCAGCATACTTTTACTGTCTCCTGCTATAGAGAACATGTACATTGCATGTTTCTCTGCAGCAGAATCTATTTTTTATTTATTATTAAAAACCTGTTTTCAACTCTCATTTCTAAGAGGAAATGAGTCATTTCCCACAGAAGATTTAAACATTGGATACCCTTTTCTAGGTTTCTGTGCTCAGAAAAGAGACCCTGAATTTAAGAATAAGAAGTGAACCTTGTAACATAAACTTGACCAGTGATGCCTAAAATTCTTGCTGCAAAATTATGATTGCAGGAACTCCTGCATGAGACTCTGGAAACTAGATTCCTATGAAGTTCTGTAGGTGGTTCTAATGTACAGCCAAGTTTGACCAGACCATACTGGACAAAAACAATATGGGGCCTACAAAAAATAACATTCAGGCTTCTAGACTTAACCCCTTAATCCCACCTTTTATTAAGAAGGAAATAAGAGGCTGTTATTTAAAACCTACATTATGTAATTTTACATTTATCATATAAAATGTATTTATTAAAGGGTTTAGAATTTTTCTCAGTGTTGTTTTTGTCATTCTCAACAAATCTTCAAAAAGCCCCAAATTTAAAATGATACTCATTCAAAATTACTTTTATATATAGATATTGGACTTTAAGCCCTTTTTAATTATTATACGGCATTTTATATAAGACAAAAAGTCATATTGCATTAGACTTTTGTTTTAATTTTTGGAGAATTTACATGACAGTAAGTCATTTCATCCAAGAAGATAATAAGCTTTTCTAGTTTATGTTTTTTCATTTCCCAATCATATTTTTATAATTTTGCTTATATATGTTCTGTAACTTTCTTACCAAAGTTGTACCAAATTTTTTATAGCACTTGTATTCTGAATGAAATGTTCTTTCCATTTCCTTTTGTAGGGTCTTCTACCAGAACAGAGAGATGATGCTTTCTGTAATTTATTTTGTATTCATTCAGTGCACCAAATTATCTTATTACTTGTTTTTTCATGAGTCCCTTGGATTTTCCAAGAAAACAGGCATATCAGCAATATCAAGAACTTTGTTTCTGGCTGGGCACAATGGCTTATGCCAGTAATCCCAACACTTCGGAAGGCCAGCGTGAAAGGAACACTTGACCCCAGGAATTTGAGACCAGCCTGGGCAACATAAGGAGATCTGTCTCTATAAAAAATAAGAAATTAGCTGTGCGTGGTGGCACCAGCCTACAGTCCCAGCTACTCAGGAGGCCAATGTGGGAAGATCCCTTAGTCCAGGAGTTCAAGGCTGCAGTGAGCCTTGATCACGCCACTGGCTCCACTCCGAGCAACAGAGTGAGACTGTTTATAAAATATATAAAAATGTATATTTGTTATAATTTATACCAGTTATTTTATTTATATTTGTTAGAATCACTAATGTAAGTGATTGTGGTGATGCCTGATTCCAGATTTTAAGTGAAAGATTTAATTTTTGTGATTTGGGATGATGTTCGCTATTGGGCTTTCCTTTATTATAAAAGAAATTTTTTCTGATTCTATTTTGCTTAAAGTCACTTGACTTTTATCTGATGCCTTTCCACAACTTATTGATAATGGTTGGGCTTTTTCCCTTTAATTTTTAATGTAATCAATATGTAGCTAGACTTCCTGATATTGAACCGCCTTTTCATTCCTCTAATAAAGCCTATTTTTTCACACCATGTTATTCACGTGATTCATTCCTCTATTGTATTCTCTGTTATTTAAACATTTGGCAGCTATATTCAGAAATGAAATCAGCCTGTACTTTTAATTGTTGTTTTACTCCTTCTTAGGCTTTGGTACTCAAGTTAGTCTGGCTTCATGAAATTAACTGGGGAACTTTCCATTTTTTTCTAAGACTTACAATAGTTTAAATAATATTGGAATTATCCGTTCTTTAATAGTTAGATTAAAAATTCAGCTGTGAATTCATCTGCCTGTGGCCTTCTTCAATAGCAGATCATTAATCACTTCTCCAATCTCTTCTGTAATAATTGGTCTATTCAAGTTTTTCACTTCTTCTGTGTCAGTTGTGATCATGTATATTTTCCTAGGAAAGTATTCACTTCTTCTAGGTTTTATTTTCCTAATGTGTTGCTAGGATCATCTTTAGTATTTACTTAGAATTCTTTTAATCTCTTTCCTACTTTCACACAATTGATCATGTCTAATTATGATCTTATTATCTTTTCCTTAGCAGGTTCACATGATGTTTATTTTATTTGTCTTTTTAAAGAAGCAATCTTTGAATTTATCATTCTTTTCTACCATTTTATCTATTTTAATAATTTCACTGTTGATACCTCTTCAGAGTTTCTTTTGTTTTCTTTTTGCTATTGTTGTTGTTCTTACATGGACTCATTACTTACTTAATGCCTTTGTACTCACCTTTCTGCTTCCATAATTAAAGGCAACACATTTTCCTCTGAGTTCAGTTTTTGCTGTGTCCCATTATTTTTAGAGTGTTTGATTTGTCAATGTTTCTGGACATTTCTATATTATTTAATTTCCTCTGTCATACAAGGTTTGTCTTATTATGTGCTTCTTTATTTCCAATTTATTTTACTGAACTGTGGTGAGAGGATGTAACCTGTAAGCTTTCTACTTCTTTGAATTTGGTTTTCCTTTCAGCTAAGCACATGATTTGTTTTGTAAAAGTTTTAGGGAACTATGAAATATATGTGTATATATGTGTGTGTGTGTGTGTGTGTGTGGGTGGGGGTGTGTATATATATGTGTGTGCGTGTGTATGTGTGTATTCAAAGAATAAAATGTACTATATTAATATGTGCTCATGCCTGTAATCCCAACACTTTGAGAGGACAAGGCAGGAGCATCCCTTGAGGCCAGGAGTTCAAAACTAACCTAAGCAACAAAGTGAGACCCTGTTTCGACAAAAAAATTGGCACACCTGTAGTCCCAGCTGCTAGGGAGGCTGAGGTGGAAGGATCACTTGAGCCCAGAAGTTCGAGATTACAGTGAACGATGATTGCACCACTGCATTCAATCCAGGTGAAAGAGTGAGACCCTATCTCAAAAAGAAAGTGCCATAGTCTGAAAGTTTATGTTCCCACAAAATTCATATGTTGAAACCTAATTATCAATGTGATTTTATTAGAAGGTGGGGCCATTGGAAGACAATTAGGTCATGAGGGCAGAGCCCTCATGAATGAAATTAATGCCTTATAAAAGAGGCCCCAGCCAGCTACCCTGCCCTGCCCATCATGTGAGGACACCAGGGAGAAAGCGTCATATATGAACCAGAAAGCAGGCCTTCACCAGACACTAAATCTGCTGGCACCTTGATCTTGAACTTTACAGCCCCAGAACTGTGTCTATGGTATTTTGTTATAGCAGCCTGAATGGACTATGACAATGTTTAACATGTTAAGTTTAATAATTGTATTACTCACTTACTCTATGTTGTCTCCATAGCTTTTCTTTTTTGTCAAAATCATTTCATTTCTGGGAGAGATACACTGAAAAATCCAGAACAATTATTTTTATCATGTTCTTTAATTTCCTTTTTCTAATTTAAATAAAATGTCCCCTTGCAGTCCTAAAAGTTTGGCTTGTTTATTTAGTTTTTTTTATTTTGTTTGCTAAAAACAGAACATATAATCAATTTGATAATATCTTTCCTTATATTTCTTAGTGCTTTAACCTTCTATTCTGCATTGTTTGCTGTTAAAATTGCCTCTGTTCATACTTTTCTGTGCTTTTTCATTGTCTGGTTTGGTTCTTCTTTTATCTTCAGGCTCTTTTATTACTGTATTTTAGGTATGCATTTTTCAAAAAACATAAATCTACTTTTTAAATAAAGTCTTTTTTTAATAAGAGAGTGTCAGTCCAATCACATTTTGTGAAATGCCTGATATGTGTAAGTTTATTCTTCCCATCTTACTTTGTACTTATTTATTTTATCATGTTGTTTTCCCTTTTACATTTTTTTATGATTGCCAGTCTGATCAAGTTTCATTAATTCCCCTTTCTACTCATTTATCTGCAAGCTTGCTGGGATTTTTCCTTTTCATAAATTGTTATCTTCCCTTCCCTTGCTCTTATAATAAGATAGTACTACAAGACCATCATATGAAAGAAAGATATTATTTTCCTAATAGTTGTATTAGTCCGTTTTTATACTGCTATACAGTTTTCATACTGCTATAGAGAACTGCCCAAGACTGGGTAATTTACAAAGGAAAGAGTTTTAATTGACGCACAGTTCAGCATGGCTGGGGAGGCCTCAGGAAACTTACAATCATTGCAGAAGGGGAAGCAAAAACGTCCTTCTTCACATGGCAGCAGCAAGGAAAAGTGCTGAGGGAAGGCGGGGGGAAAGCCCCTTACAAAACCATCAGATCTCATGAGAACTCACCCACTATCATGAGAAGAGCGTGGAGGTAACCGCCCCGATGATTCAGTTACCTCCCATGACTCATGGAAATTATGGGAACTACAAGATGAGATTTGGGTGGGGACACAAAGCCAAACCATATTACAGGTCCTATATTTCCCCTCTTTCCTCCATTTGAATAAGACAAGTCTTGTAAAATATTTTCACTTTCTTCCTTTTTCAGCATTCTTTCTCTCCTATCCTTCAGCTCTGCTTCTCTCTTCATCATGTTCCATCTCTAAAGATTTCTATTCTGGTCTATTTACTGTTTAGTTCAGGCCTTTTCTTATGGATTTTCCTGTGATGAAGTACTAAGTAATAAACTCTTTCTTGTGTATCTATGAATATTTTTATTTTATGTTGAGAAGTGAATGATATCCTGTCCAGGTACTGAATCCTTTGGTTAGGGTCCAATTCTTAAACTATAGATTCTAGTTAATTTTTGTTTCTAGCTTCCATTATTACAAATGTGAAATCTGATCAAGTCTAATACTTTCTCATTATAGATAATTTGTTCTTACTGCTTGAAACTTGTGAGTTTTTCCCTATATCTTTAACATTCAAGAATTTTACCACAAGGGCCAGGTGTGATAGCTAACACCTGTACACTCAACATTTTGGGAGGCCTAGGTGGGAGGATCACTTGAGGCCAGGAGTTCAAGACTAGCCTGGGCAACATAGTGAGACCCTGTCTCTAAAAAGAGAGAGAGGGAGAGACAGAGAAGAATTTCACCACACTTAGGTCTTAAACTAGGGAATTTTCTTCTGGTTATTTTAAATTATTGTCTTTTGAAATTTAAAACATGCTATCATTTCTTTTTGAGGTTCATGCTCTTTTGCCTTATGCTTTGAAGTATTTCTCAGACCTTGATCTTTCAGACCTTTAGTTGAGATTTCTATAGAGACTATCTTGTCCTTCAGTTCTTTTCGTGAATTTTTTATTTGGGAAGCCATGTTTTCAGTTTCAGAAAGAATTATTTATGCTACTCTTTAATCACAATTCAAGTTGTCACTATCCCCTTTAACTCTAACAGTTCTTTGTTTGCTCTGATTACTGCCTCTGAGCCATTGGACAGGTTATTTTTCTACATCAGTTCATTGGAGCTCAGATGCTTAATGACAATAATCTCACCGACAGTGAAAGATAAAGCCCTCTCCACCTACAGTTGAAAGCAGAGAGGCCACCAGACCCTGCTCCAGGTCTTGAAGGAAACTCTCCTACTCTCAAGTCTCCTGGTACTCTCAGAGCCTCAGAAACAGGAAGATCCAGTCTTCCTGCACAGTTCTTTCTTGGCCTTGTGTAGAAGGTATGGAGATCTGAGCCAACATTGTCTTCTATCCAAAGATCTACAGATCTCTAACCACCGAGCATTCCCTAGGCTCCAGTGCTCTTTGTCCTCACTAAGTCCCTGATATTGTTCTTTGCCCATCCTTTGGGAGACAAAGCACTGGACTAGGTTTCCTCTGCTAGAACCCCAACAGAACCTGAGAACTCACTTCTACCCAGTTGCACATGGAAGCCAGCTGCCACTAGACTTCTGAGAGACAGACACCTTAGAGCTGAGGATGAAGGGAGCTGTGTTTGTGTCAAGATATGACCCTATCTCCCTTAGGTCTAACTGTGTTTTTCTATAACTCAAATTAACTTTTATTTGAATCTCCCACTCCGCCAGGCCATGAAGATTTAGTCTCAGTCAATTCAAAATCTTCCCATATTTACCCTGGATCGTGGTTCTATGGTTCTTACATGATGGATGCTGAGATGTAGAGGCAGAAGTAGACATCTAATCTGCATCATCTATTTTACTACCTACATAGAGCCAGGCTGTCTGTATTAGTTATTATTGCATGTTGTATGCTCTAACACCTATTTTCATCTTATAAAAAAGATACATAAAGAACAATGAAGCTAGCATTTACAGAGCTCTAGGTAGTCCATGCTTTGAAGATAAGTTTGGGCTTGTCTGGAAGATTAATGTCTGCCAAGAATATATCTGAATAAGAGTCTGAGGAGTTTCCCAGTAAAAAAGAATTCATTCTAAGGGAGAAAAGGGCAGGCACACAAATTTGTTTCAATAACCATGACTTTGCGCCAGAAGGGAGGGATGATTCAAATAGAGCTGGATATCTATTGCTCACAATGTCCTCCAACCCAGCTCCCAGGCTTAAGTCCTGGGAAGACGTTAGTCCGGCAACACGAAAGAGCCTGTTTTATTGGAAACTCAGTAAGACACGGAAAGCACAAAACACCTGGGAACTCCGTGACAAAGATGGGTGAGCTTTTTGTTTAATTTTTGGGTTGTTGCTGTTTATTTGTTCTAATTTCAGCTGTTCTCATTTCTGTGAGCAGTAACTTATCATTGACATTAGCAGTACCCGCAAACTAGGGGAGAAGTGGCACAGGAGGCAGCAGCAGACTCTGATTTCCTGGAATCTCAAGCAGAGGGGAAACTTATCATCCTCCATGGTGACTGAGCGTCCTGAGTTGAGCAACTCCCCACCAGCCCCATTCCTCTCCCTGAAATAACTAGAGAACATGCTAAGTGGAACTCAAGGAATCTCAGAAGATACAGAAAGAACCAAGGTTAACTACTTGTTGTTACTGTGTCTCCATTTACCTCCAACAGCTGAAGTTTGAGGAAACATAATTTTATAATCAAAATCTGACCATGAAGGAAACTGGGTTCCATAACAAATCAATAATTGGACCAAGGATTAAACTAATTCATCTAGCGCATAACCCATAATGTTATTTATGGAAGGAAAGACTCAAATCACAAACAAAGCACATGAAAAAGGCAAACCCTTAAATATTTGTTCTACTGATTACGGCTCTATGATTTTTATGGTACAATGTAAGGACTACACACTTGTTAGCCCCTCAGGAAAGAGTGATCTTTGGTCTTCTGCATGACTCCCATACTCAGCTGATATGATCTGAAAAAGGAACATGGCTCTTCTTATCCATTGCAATCTTCACTTCTTCAGTCTTTCAGTGATGTGGCTTAAAGCTTTCTGTTTGTTGCTCCCAGCAATGGATACCTTCTTTTTATAACTGTAATTTGCAAGTCTGATTATTTTAAGAGTGAGACTAAAATTTCTGGTTGATAATTACAGTAAGTCAATGTGTGTTAATAAAAGGACTCAGTACATCAAATTTATCTTCATAAAAAAAGTAAGCAATTAAACCTAAATCACCCACAGAAGCTACGGGCTTGGTAGATTATTATAGTAAAATAGCTAAGAATGATAGTTACTTTTTTTACTGAGCTTTCCGTAAGCACAATACTCTGAACAAAATACTTCATTTAATTCTCATTAGAAGATCATATTACATCCATCTTATAGATAAGGGAAGTGAAATTTTCAATTTATCAAACAACTTCCTCAGGTTACAAAGCAAAGTGAGATTCAAAACTCAATTTGTCTAAATCCAGTTGTTTCTGATTTCTGGTCTCTCTTCCTTGTTAAGGAAGAGAAACCAGTATAGTTCATTACATCTGTGGACTCAAGTATCCCAGACATACAATATTTCATCCTCAGGCCAATTTCTTAGGAAAATCATTCCATTTGCCAAGAAAACAATACAACATTAAACTTGCTAACATTTTGGTTCGCTCTCAGATTCCAAGATAATTTCCTTAGAAGCATAGGGAATGAAATCCTGACTCACAATAAATAATCCTATCAAATGTAATTCTGTACTACCTTTGACCTTGCTCTTTTGCCTTTAGTCACTGCCAAGACTAATATAGATCTCATAATATTCTCAGGGCATAGAGAACAATCACTGAAATTCATCTAATTATGAAAAGAAAAAGAAGTATTTTTACAATATACAGAGCATTTGTTTTCCAAAATCTAAGCTGTCTCTTTTCCTTAAAGTATCATATAATAGTCCACATGATAATTTTGCATTTTCAGTGTGTAAAATAGTTACCCTAGTATTATTCGCTACCTTCCCTTATTACTCACTGCCAAAACAAGAGATTAGCATTTTACACATTCATTATTACCTAAATATTCAAGAATAAAACCAAGAAATAAAGCATAAAAATTAATAATTTAATTAGTAAGTGTTCTTTATTTGGTGTTTATTTGTCTGTAATTCCAACAATAACATTGCCTTTCATATAACAAATACCAAATAAATATTTGTTGAGTGAATGAATGAATGAATGAATGAAATCTGGATTACAACAAATTGAAATTTGTAGGCCTACTGCAAAATTGTTTTGTCTTACCGGCCCAGAATCCATTCAAATGACTCCAGTTATATAACAACTATCTTGGTGTGTTGCCTACTCTCCATTGTGTCCTCCTGAAACATACTGTCTTCCTGAAACCAAGGGATAAGCATGAGGACTAAGCTGGTTATCAGAAATACTCCCAAGACTTTAAATCTGGAGTACCTGGGAGAGCTGGAATTCATTTTTTTTAGTCGAGATACCCTAACAAGATAGTTAAGTAATCCTTGTTGACTAGACCCTTGAAAGTACCCTGGTTCTTGTGTAATTTTTAACCTTTTTCTGTTTATTGTTTGTTTCTTTTTTAGAGACAGGTCTCACTGTATTGCTCAGACTGGAGTGCAATGGCATAATCACAGTTCAGGGTAACCTCAAACCCCTAGGCTCAAGCGATCCTCCCACCTCAGCTTCCCCAGTATCTAAGACTATAGGCACATGCCACCGTGTCTAGCTAATTGTTTTTTAATGTTTTTACAGAGATGGGATCTTGCTATGTTGACCAGGATGTTCTCAAACTCCCAGCCTCAAGGGATCCTCCCATCTCAGCCTCTCATAATGCAGAGATTACAAGTGTGAGCCACAGCTCCTGGCCTGAACCTCTTTCTTTCGCTTACCTGTGGGTTCAGTTAGTGCCCCAATATCAACATAAGGGTCTTTTTTGCTTACATTATCCAGAACTGATTTCTATCACTTAAAACCGAAGAATGAAAAATTTCAGTTTCCTTTTAAGATATTTGATACAAAGTTAGTGTGATAAGGATTATCACACTAATCCTAAAAACAAGGAAAAAGATGATTAATCTATAAAAGCATAACCTGCCCCGAGCATTTTAGAAAGCTGCAATCACTAGGAAGCTGAATTAATTAACCTGAATTCCAAAGTGAGACAGATTCCTTCAGAAAGAGACAGAGCACATGAACCTTTAGACCTCTGGCAAAGTATGGGAAAAACCGGTGGTCATCATGTAAGTAGGTAACAAAAAAATTGTCTAAAATAAATATAAAATAAAATTAAGCCATATATAGGACAGCATGTGAGTTTGCGATAATTGAGCTTCTCAGAAACAAAGAGAGACTTCACTCGCACTTGGACTTTTTTTCACAGCCCACTGCAGCTCACAAAAAGACTGAGGTCTGAAAGGCTCATCTCACTGGCTCCAGTGTGAAGGAAGTGATTGGTGACTGTTAGGGGATGGGCACAAGACCTGACTTGCTTTTGGTTCCTTTCCTTCTATGAAGCAAATACCTTAAATAACTGGGAAAGGAGCAGCAAACCTTCTTTCCTACAACCAAAGGCCCATTTCACGGGGAAAGAATAGAACCAAAATGCATTTCCCTCTTAGGGGGAGGCAAGAAACCATCTTGGGCCCTGTGTCTTACACCCCTACTAATCAGAAGTCTGCTGGCAGTGGGGGAGAGGCAGGATACTCCTGCACAAAACCAATCCCAGAACAAGACAGTTTCATTGCCACTTGGAGGCTGTGCAAGAATAGTGAGAAAGTGCCACCCTGGAGGCCTAGCTGCACAAGGCCTGACTAAGAATGAAGCTGGAACAGGACAACAGGGAGCCCCTCCCTGGAACAGCATTATACCGTTGAGGAAGGGGAAGCAAGAGTGTAGGGAGTGATTCCCTCTGCAGCACAGGTGTGCAGAAATGACTGAAAGCTGAGAGAGGAGCAAAAACAATGAAAGAAACCCTTCAACACCCTGTTTTCTATCCCAGGGAGTACAAGGTAGTAGTAGCCCAACTACTAAAGGAATTTGAAGCCTGTGGTGCACTGAAAGCAACAAATGAAAGACAATACCCAAATCCAACTCAACACCTAACTAGATTGACCCAGCTCCACACTAATGGCCTGACAGAAGAAGAGGCATGAACATATGCAGGAGTTAATACTGTTTACCTTCCTCTTTACTGTTGTACACATAATGATCCAACATTCAATCAAAAGTTATAACACTGAGGCTGGGCACCATGACTCATACCTATAATCCCAGCACTTTGGGAGGTCAAGGCAGGAAGACCGCCTGAACCCAGTAGTTAGAGACCAGCCTGGGCAACATAGGGAGACCTTGTCTCTAAAAAAAATTTAAAAAATTAGCCAGGTGTGGTAGCACATGCCTGTGGTCCCAGCTACTCTGAAAGCTGAAGTGGGAGGATCACTTGAGCCTGGGAGGTTGAGACTGCAGTGAGAAATGACCATGCCACTGCACTCCAGCCCAAGTGACAGAGCAAGATGCTGTCTCAAAAAAAAAAATTACAAAACTAAAAAGAAAGAAAAAATAACCTACTGTGAAGATAGAAAGCAATTCTCAGAACCAAGTTTAGAGATGACCTAGATATTGTAACTACCAGATGAAATCTTTAAAATAATTATGATTCATGTGCTAAAAGACCAAACATGTAAAGTATACAACATGCAAGAATCAATGAGAAATTTCATCAGAGAAATAAATCAAGAGCCTTCTACATTTTTGAGGAAATTATATTGCTAAACAAACTGTGAGCTCTAACTAAAACAGCATTTAACCATTTGAGATTTAAAACAAACTGTAAGGCCCCAAATTTGCACCAGAAAGAAATGGGCATTGCTATTTTCAATAGTGCTGCAATGAACACTCACATGCATGTGTCTGTATGGTAGAATGATTCATATACCTTTGGGTATATACCCAGTAATGGGGTTGCTGAGTTGAATGGTAGTTCTGTTTCTAGCTATTTAAGAAATCACCACACTGCTTTCTACAAGGGTTGAGTTAATATACACTCCCACCAACAGTGTATAAGTGTTCCCTTTTCTCCGCAACTTGAATGTCCAACAATGACAGACTGGGTAAAGAAAATGTACATATACGCCATGGAATACTATGCAGCCATGAAAAAGAGTGAGATCATGTCTTTTACAAGAACATGGATGGAGCCAGAGGCCATTATTCTTAGCAAACTAACATAGGAACAGAAAACCAAATACCATATGTTCTCATAAAGTGGAAGCTAAATGACAAAAACTCATGGACAAAGAGGAAAAAACAGACACCGGGGCCTACTTGAGGGTGGAGGGTGGGAGGAGGGAGAGGATCAGAAAAAATAACTGCTGAGTAGTAGGCTTAGTACCTGGGTGATGAAATAATCCGTACAACAAACCTCTGTGACATAAGTTTACCTATATGACAAACCTGCACATGTACCCCTGAACCTAAAATAAAAATTAAAAAAGGAAAGAAAAGACTGAGCTGTGAACACTGGGCAGGGCCTTTCCAGAAGGATTTGCTAATGGGTTAGATATGGGATATGAAAAGAGAGGAGTTAAGCTACTAATTCATCCTAATTGGAAGTATCCAATTTTATTAACTGAACTGTAGAAGCCTACTGGAGAAGGTTGTTGGGAGTGGGAGAAATAAACAGTTCCATTTTAGACATGTTAAGCTTAAGTTGTTTATTGGACATCCAAGTAGAGCTGTCAAGTATAAAGTTGAATGTATGAGTCTGGAATTTCAGAGAGATATCTGGGCTGGAGAAATAAAATTGGGAATTAAAAACTTACAGATGGATTTGAAGCCATGAATCTAGCTGAGGGCACTATAAGAGTGGATGTATATAGAAACAGAAAAGGTTCAAAGACTAAGCCTCAGGGAATTCCAAACTTAAGAGGTTGGGAAGAAGAAGAGAACAAAACAAAGGAGACCCATCTGCTATCCCTAGACTAGACACACCTGATTATAGAGTGGTCATATAGTCCTGACAGACTGGCAGCTGTCAATGAGTCTTATTTGATGGGTCATCTTAAAAACCTGGAAATATAGACTTTTAAAAATAATGAGCAATCATAATATTGTTTTATTTGTGCCAGGTTTTTGAGCTAATTTTTTTTTGCCAAACTGAAAATTTAATATGAGAATTATGTCATTTTCTGTTAGTAGAGTATTTTTAAATGTATATAGTGGTTAGTTTTTAAAATAATTTGCCTTGAGCCAAACATACCATTATATAAATCTATGAATGTAACAAGTGAGATAAAAAGAGTATAAATAACAAGTTTTGCAGTATTTACAATTGTATAGGAACTACTGCCAAATGGTTCTAAAGAAAATAAATTTGCAGTTATAATGAAACTATAAATTCTGCATACTGGTGAGGACTTTAATGTTTTTCAAAGTTTTGTATATTTTCAATACAAATTATGACTGCATCTTTTCATAATTTGTGAAGTATGAGGTGCCTTCATGTAATAATCATGTTTTCTAACTTTTGTATTTGATGTTTTGACATCTGGGGCCTTGCTGACCCTAGAAAGGCAGCCTCTCCCAGGGATAGCTAATTCCTAGATGGCATGCAGCTCACCTGCCTGCACATCTCTCATGTAAGAACCAGGCAATCCTCACCTACCCCCTGTAACAGTATCTTATGCCCAGTACCACTATTCACCTACCCTAGTCAACCCAGATTCAAGTAACAGACAACTAAGTACAGCGCTATGCCCCAGAGACTGTGGAAATAATTTAAACTAGCCAATCCTAAACTTACTAACCAACCATGGTACTTCCCCATATAGCCCTGTGTGGTGAGACAGCCATTCCTCCTATGTCTAGGGACCTGTGAGTGTAAACTTCTTCCTTCATGACCATCATTTCTGTGTCTTTGTGTCTTACCATACCTGATTAAAATAAATCCTGAGTACCTGATTTCTGTGTCTTTGTGTCTTACCATTGATTAAAATAAATCCTGGGTACCTGATTAAAATACTGTGAATGTCACCTCACAGTAGGAGGTTTTACTAGAACAATACCAAATTTTTTAAATGTCCAGCTCAGAAACGGCAAAAATCCCTCAATTCAAGTTTTTCTTACTGTCTGTCTGGCTTCTTACTTTAATGAACAAATGATACAGTCGTCTCTGATTTGCTGTAGGGAGCACTAATTAGGAGAATAAAGCCTTCCATTTTCACCATGTACCAAAGGCCTAAAGATTTAAGGTTTAAGGACACAAATGTTTTTCCCTTTTTTTCTGAACTTTTTTTTTTTTTAGACAGAGTCTCGCTCTGTTGCCCAGGCTGGAGTGCAGTGGGCGATCTCGGCTCACTGAAGCCTCCGCCTCCCAGATTCAAGCGATTCTCCTGCCTCAGCCTCCCGAGTATCTGGGACTGCAGGCGCATGCCACCACACCCTGCTCATTTTTGTATTTTTAGTAGAGACAGGGTTTCACCATGTTGGCCAGGATGGTCTTGATCTCCTGACCTCGTGATCCACCCACCTCAGCCTCCCAAAGTGCTGGGATTACAGGCATGAGCCACTGCACCTGACCTCTGAATAATTTTTTAATTCATCTTGGAGATGATTCAGATCTTGCTCTAGTTCTACTGTATTTTCTAGTATTTCTTTTCTGACAATTCTAAGAAGCCATTTTATTTTTACCCCTCCTATATAAACATATATATTTATATATATATATATCTCAAATTAATGCAAATTGAGACATTATTGAATTGCTCCTCTGACATCATTTTACTGAAGTCATTAATGGGGAGATTAATGATATCTTTCTTCAGAGAATGGAATAAAGAGAGCTTTTGCCCTTAGCTCATCTCTTGTGAGATGAGATTACAGGCAGCTTAAATTTTTGGCTTTTATAAATGGTTTTTTGTTGTTGTTTTGTTTGTTTGTTTTATTTTTGAGATGGTGTTTCCCTCTTGTTGCCCAGGCTGGAGTGCAATGGCGCTATCTCGGCTCACCGCAAACTCCATCTCCTGGGTTCAAGCGATTCTCCTGCCTCAGCCTCCCAAGTAGCTGAGATTACAGGCATGCACCACCACACCCGGCTAATTTTGTATTTTTAGTAGAGACGTGGTTTCTCCATGTTGGTGAGGCTGGTCTTGAACTCCCGACCTCAGGTAATCCACCTGCCTCAGCCTCCGAAAGTGCTGGGATTACAGGTGTGAACCACCGCACCCAGCTAATAAGTGGGGTTTTTTTGTGTGTGGTGACAGGACGTACAGGCAATTCTTTCTTTCATGTGTTTGCCTTCTGGCATCACTCGCAAGAGCACTTAGCCCCAAGGTTGTTAGAAAAGATACTCCAAATCCCCCCAAAGGACATAGGACCAGTCTGGTATAGCCTTCCAGGGCTCTGTCCATATCTTTTCCATTTCAAAGTCACTAAAGCCATGCAGTACCTTTCCATAGCTGGGGATGTCCCTGAGTGTTTTTGGGATGCCATTCTGTGAGGAGTCAGAATTAAGAAACTGTGCTGTTTTTCAGGGTGGTTTTGGTTGAGAGCTTTATAAAGTGATAGCTCATAATTAACATTAATCAATATTAATAATAATATCAATGTTCATATCATTTAGAAGTTTAGAAAGAGATTAACTGAAGTTAGCCAAGGAGTGTGTGCTATTATTTATACTGGGCTCTCCTATGAAAGCAGAATAAAATTTATCACATTCATTTTTATTTTATTAAGTTGGTGCAAAAGTAAGTGCAATTTTTGCATTACTTTTAATGACAAAAACCGAGATTACTTTTGCACGAACCTAATATTTTACTATTATTTTTATAATAAATTCAAATATATTAATACTTAAAATTTTAAATTGTATGCATTTAATGAATTACATTAAAATAAAATGTATTATTTTAAGAATTTTCTGCCACATGGTTGAGGTTTTCTATGGGGAGGATGCTATCTAATGACTCTTTGGAGCATTAAGAAAATGTATATTACAATTACCTACTTCTTTTTCCAATGAAGAGATTGATTTTGTAGAAATGATAATTGTCATCAGTTTCTAACCAGTTCAGATTCGGGACTTGGAACAGTGGTGGTCTCAACAAGTTTGTCATTTTGGATATTAAGACAGTAATTATGGAATGGATCATAGCTCCTCCCTCTGCTGTATGAGTATTATTATCATATGATATCATGTTATGCTCTATGAACCAATACTGAAAGACAGAAATTTCAGGTGGCTGAACCAGATTAAGAGTAAGCAAGAATAGGTTGTTGAGGAGGCACAAACATCATGAATGAACAATGGAAGCATGGCTGCAGACACTCCAGTCTTACAAACTGGGATATCTGCCTATAGAGGTGTAGAATCAGCTGGGAGAATAGTCTGAGCTTGTTGACTTGGGGGATTAAATCCTTCTTTTCATCTAATTGTTGCTTGGCCCTCAAGGAGTTGTTTTTGTGATTCCTTTTTAAGTTTGTCCTCTTTTGCCAGCTTATGTTTCTATCACTGTCTGAAATTAAACATATCATATTAGTGTAAAGGTTATATCTTGCCTACAGAGTCTGTCAATCAAGTCCACATTCCGCTGGAATGGTAACTGGGTTGCCATGGGCCCAAGTGCATTACACTGGACCCTTGAACATGTGCTGCAGCACCCCAGGAGAGGTCACACTCCTTCCACTTTCTCCTTCCTTTCCTGTTTCCCTTCTCCACCTCCCACCTGGTGGAGGGGGCAGGGTGGCACAGAAGCAAGAGCCTAGGAAAGTTTTATGAAGCCCACACAGATAAACTACAGATTGCTTGCTAGTTTGCAAATTTAAAATTTTCTGCTGCAAATCAGGACTTCACCACCAATTGCAGCATTCCGAAAGTGCTGGGATTACAGGATCATTGCCTGACTAGGTCCAGAGACACATAACACCACTTAGTAATAGCAATAATAATGATAGTTGGTATTATTATTGCTCTAGGCACAGCACTATCTCATTCAGTTCTCCTAACAACCTTATGAGGTAAGTACTATTATCTTCCCCATTTTACAGATTTAAAAAACTGGTTGAGAGGGATGACCCAAAATGACACAGTGTGTGGCAGGGCTCAGATTCAAACCAAGGTCCACGTAGCCTCTATACCCTACTTCTGCACAAGGAAAATGGTCCTGTATTTCCTAAAAGTCATCCACAAAATTTACCTCCCCCTCTTTATGCCTACACTCTAGCTTATACCAACTATCCTAATTGTACACTGCCAGAGCCTTCTGTACTTCTCTCTCAAAACACCCATCACACATTTGATATTTGCCTCCCCTCAGCTCTGAGGGGGACAGGACCATGTCTGCCTTGCTCCCCATTCTATCTCTCAGGCCTAGTGGTTAGTAGTCAGTTAATAGAAGTTTTAAAAATATTTCAAAATTCTCATAATTTCAGAATTTCCACTTTAACATACAGGAAAACATTTGATGCTTACACCTTCTGTAATGAATTCTGTATTTTAAAAGGTACATTCTTCATGACTTGAATATGAGAAAACAAGAAATTGGACTCCCTATGCATAAAATCCTTCTTATAACACGTACATTTGTAGAGTCACAGAATATGACCATTAGGAACCTATCCAGTTCAATTCTCTCATTTTACAGGCTGGGACTCAAAGAATTATGTAACTAAAACAAAGTCACATAGTTAAGCATAACAGAGCTGAAATCAAAAGCCTGACTTCTAGATTAGTGAACTTCTGAAGTCCACCTGTCATTTAATTAGTTGACAGCTTTCTATTTCTAGAAATATAAATTCAATGTTTTTGTGATTGTGGGCAGTAGAGGTTCAGGAAAATTAATATAGTGTGTACATTTAGAGAACTTGGAAGACTAAAAAAATACCAGAATAATATTGGCTGAGTCATTAGGTGCATATAATATATTCAACATCAAAGGATAGTGTAGAAAGGACCAGGTGCTTGGTGGGAGTGTTAGGAATAAATCAACAAAGGAAACATGGCTTTCTTTGTAAATAGACAATTTCTTTTTCTGCCAATTGTTTTGTATTTACCTTCCCTGTTTCTTTAGCAGTGTGACCATCCTTTCACTATGTTATATACTTTGAAGTCTTTCATACACAACCAGGACACATGATGTGGGAACAGACTCCCTGGTTTGTCCGGCAACTAAATAGGAGCCTCATTGGTACTTTTACCAACACAAACACTCCACTGCCTGTGTTCCAAGGGCAGAGAAAGCCACAACACTCACAGAGAGTGTGCATTTTAAAAAATGTATTTGAGAATCCCCCACTTTTAATCACAATGCATTCCCTCAAAAAGCGAAAAATGTCTGAATGTATGAAACTCAAGACATGTATGTTATAGAATTGTAATGGTTTCTGTATCCAGATAATTCAAACTTAATTATAATCACACTTTAAAATCTACCTTTAAGGATATGTTTTATCATTTTTATATGTTTTAAAATTTTGTTATTTACTCTTGCAGTTACTAAAGTGTACCCCAGGCTAACAGACAAAATGGGCTCCCTGTGGCTAATTTGCTAAAAGTTAAAATAGAATCAGGTGGCCATGGCTGGGTCAAGGAGTGGTCACAAAATCTATGTTCTGGGAAACACGTTGTAAAAGTGTCAGAGGACCTGTTTATCTATGGTCGAGCCAAACCAGTTCTTGTCACTGCCAAGATAAATTGCCACAGGACCTCTCCTGCCCCCAGCAGTTGAAAGAAACATTTGACAGAGACTCCTGGTTTGGGGCTTGGAAACCATTCAATCAGGGCTTGGCTATTTCGATCAATCAGAATTGAACAAGTTTGAATCCTTCATTTGTGTAAGTGAACCTGATTGACAACCCAGGCAAGAATTTTCCTATTTAAGCCAGACCCTCCCTTTGTTCCTCAGAAAGTACACTCTAACTTGTACAGGAGGCTGTGCCTCCCCAATCCGAAGATTTTTTTTAATATATAGGAAATAAAGCTGTCCTTTTTTCCTCTGTAGATCTCATAGTCTTTTGTTAACACAGTTGATTGGCATTGTACCAGGCATTTTATTTCATGTATTAGGCTGATCTGCTATGATGAAGAGACTCAAAAATTCAGTGCTTAAAAAAAAAAGAAATTTGTGCTCTCTCATGTAACTGTCTGGAGTGTAAACCAAAAAGCATCTGAGACAGGCCTCAATCAATTTAAAAGTTTATTTTGTCAAGGTTAAGGATGTGCCTGGGAGATAGGTCTGTGCCTTTCTCCAAAGATGATTTTGAGGGATTCAATATTTAATGAGGAAAGGTTGGCTGGAGGGGAAAGTGGAAGGGTGTGGAAATCCACATATTGCAAGAGAGCAGGAGCAGGTAGGGGAGTAGTCAATCATGTATTCATGCGGTGCTCAGTAAACTGGCACTTTACATAAGACGAACATACAAGGTGAACATAAGGTAGCTACCTGTGGAGATATTTAACCTCTTATCTGTAGCTATCTGATTAGGAACAAAAAGAAAGGCAGCTCCTTGCTTGACTCAGCTTTTAGCTTAACTTTTTCCTTTTGACATAGTGAATTAGATTCCCCAGTTTTATTTTCCTTTCACATTTCTTCCCCCTTTTCTTTTAAAAATCTTTTGGAGAAAAAATTTTAGAAGAAAATGAGTCTCTGGTCTTGGGTTTTGTCTGATCTCTTGTGGCTAGGACAGTTTATTTCCAGACAGATAAGTCTCACATTGTTAGTAAAGCTCATTTTTAGCAGATTGTGAAGTCTCACATCCCACAAAGAAAAAAACAGGAAAGGAAAACAGAAAGAAAACAAACAACAACAACAAAAAGTCCCAGAAAACAGATATAGGCCATATTACTCTAAAGTCCATACATCTGTAGGTAGATATGAAAGTGGCTTACATATATGAATAGGTTACTGTTCTTTTCTTCTGAAGTTTAAGTTGTCTAGCTTCTGTGTTTCAAATCAGGAAAAATGGGGGGAAAGAAAAAGAAAGAAAGAAAGAAAGAAAAAATTGAAAACATTATTTTGGAGACTAGTGGCCAGGAAAAATTTAAGGATTTGGTCCAAATTGTACAAAATAATAAAAATTAAAAAAGATTGGACAAGGTTAGAATCTAATAACAGGTTGTATTAGTCCATTTTCATGCTGCTGATAAAGAGATACCCGAGGCTGGGAAGAAAAAGAGGTTTAATTGAATTTACAGTTCCGCATGGCTGGGGAGGCCTCAGAATCATGGTGGGAGGAGAAAGGCACTTCTTACATGGTGGCGGCAAGAAAAAATGATGAACATGCAAAAGCGGAAACCCCTGATAAAACCATCAGATCTGGTGAGACTTGTTCACTACCATGAGAACAGTACGGGGGAAACTGCCCCCATGATTCAAATTACCTCCCACCGGGTCCCTCCCATAACTTGTGGGAATTATGGGAGTACAGTTCAACATGAGATTTGGGTGGGGACACAGAGTCAAACCATATCACAGGTGTACTATGGTTTATTTTGAAACATACATTTTCTCTCTCCAATTCCCCAATTTTATTAATGACAAAATCATAGTAGGACCAATTTATTTGTAAAATAAATTTTAGTCCTATTATACTTGGCTTGATTATTTGCATAAAATGCAGCAAGAACCATCATTTGCCACATAGTCTCTCTCTCTCTCTCTCTCTCTCCCTTTTCAAATTGGCTTTGCTGGAAACTTTTTCATAAGAAACTTTATATGAGACCTTTTTAAAAGCCTCAAGCCCAACCAAGGATTTATCTGTGTCTGCAGATACTTATGAATTGGGTGAATTCCCTTCTTTTTGAGCTCCCAAGAAAACTTGGAGTTCCTAGGCCTGTCAGAATATGACATTGTTTACTTAATGTGGATCAGGACCCTGTAAAGGACAAGGTATGGGGCCAGTTTTTCTAAAGTGTTTTTTATCAGCTCTACAGGTCAGCCTCATTTTTTCAAGACAGTCTGAAAATGTCACTCCAGTCAAAGTGTGGCAAAATAACCAGTGTCTCCAATTTTGCCCTATTGTATATATATAAAAAGATTCCTATTGATTTTATGCAAAGAAGTATATTGTCATAAATTGCAAATACTCACAAAACAGTTTCCAAATTTGGGAGGAATTAAACTGAGGGAAAAAATTATATTTCAAATTTTTCTCATAAGAGTAGACTACTCAATCGTTAAAAGCTGTAAATAGCTTTAAAAAGAGAAAGTTTTCTTGACTATGGAAAACAAAACAAAAACAATCAGCAAATGTTTTCAACCAAAAAATTATAGAATATTATTTCAGTCTTCTGTTAGTTCAGTTCATGAAATTATCTCCTGTTTTGTTCAGTGTTGGATCAACAATCCTCACAAATACATCAGCTCTCCATGAGAGTCCTGGAAGTTTTTGTCTCTATTCCAATGACACAATCTCTAAAATTATTGGAAACCTGTATTTAAGAGTCCTCAGAATTCTGTAGCTGATTATAAACCACCCTATAAAAGGACCAAAGTAAAATAACAATTGTGGATAAAAAACGTTTTACAACAGCCATGGCTAAAGACACAATTTACAAGGAAATTTGTTTACATCTGTGGCATACAGCAACATTACATAATAATTATAATTACTACTAATATTATCTTAAGACATATCAGAATCACAGGACTCTCACACAATTTTGGAACACATATTAGTCATACATTTATATAAATGTATATCTCTCATTTTATGTATCCAGTATGCATGGAAACTTATTTTCCAGTTTGACTTTTCCCTTTTGATTTTTATACAGCTCAATGCATCTTAATAGTCTGGCAATACTTCAGTTGGCCATCAATCCATAATAATAATAGCTAATAACAAAAATAATAGCTACCACTTATTCACTGCTTATAGTTATGTGGGCAATTACTATTAGGGTGTTGTTAATGGAATTTCTTAAGCATTCTGTGATTCCGAACTAAAGTATCACATCAGAGCTTATAGTCATAGCCAATCCAAAATTTTACTACCAACTTTCTATGCAATTTTCTTGTCTATTAACAAAACCACTGTTGATGTTTAACCCCAAAATGTGTCATCATTCCTTCTGAGTGGATGTGCAAAATCTAGACTAATTCTGAGTACTTGGGCTACTGAACCTGGAGTTGGATGAAGGCTCAAACTCAAAGATATCTAGTAAGGAAATAAAGACAGAATAAGAGCTACCCAATGTTGCAAACCAGAACTGGCACTGTGACAAGATGAAATAAAAGGTTTTTAACTTTCTTATAGAAGCATTTTTCAGAATATCCATTTTGAAGAAACACTATAGCCATCCATGCTCTCTTCCTCATAAGGCCTATCCATCCCAGAAATACAACATTAACAAATCACAGTGGATGGCATACTGGCCTATCTTTAATATATCCCCAAGTCTTGTAAGTACCTTAGAGGGTCTCTAAAATTTGTCCCTGATGACAGTGTGTAACTTCCCTACCAGTCCTATGTTGGGAGTATTATTATCAGCTCAATTTTGCAGATGTGGAAATAGAGGCTCAACAAGAAAAAATAACTTGTCCAAGGGCACAAATCTAGGAAGTAGCAACCAGGGCTTAAACTTAAGGCTACATCTCTAAAACACTGAACTATACTTGCCCAGCTGCATGAAGCTCAAAATTTGGTAATCATCAGAGTACTCGTCATTCAGCCTTCTCTCCCAGTCAGGCACCAAGTCCTCTTTTTTTTTTTTTTGAGGTGAAGTCTCTCTATCCCCCAGGCTGGAGTGCAGTGGCCATGATCTTGGCTCGCTGCAACCTCCACCTCCCGAATTCAAGCGATTCTCCTGCCTCAGCCTCCTGAGTAGCTGGGATTACAGGTGCGTGCCACCATGCCTAGCTAATTTTTTGTATTTTTAGTGGAGTTGGGGTTTCACCATATTGGTCAGACTGGTCTTGAACTCCTGACTTCGTGATCCGCCTGCTTCGGAGGATATCTTTTTATCTCTATATCCTTTTTATCTCTATAATAGTTTTCCATTTGTTCTCACTTCTGTATTACTATTGCTCATAAGTTAGTTCAAGAGCTTTTCATTTTTTTCCAAGATTACTCTAATTCTAATAATTACCTAATCTTGCCTTAGATTTGGTCCCACTTCTATTCCATCCTCTATATTATTGTCCAAGTGGTTTTGTTCTAATAACACAAATCTGATCTTACCTCCTTGATGCTTAAAGCCTTCACTGGCGCTCCATGGCCTCTAAATTGATTTTAGACTCTTTGTTTGATATAACAGACCCTTGAAAATTTGCTCTTGCTTAGCTCTTAGTCTCATCAATCTCACCACCAGCTCCTCTACCCAATGTACAGCCCCCATTTGGAAGAGGGTCACATCTCCCATCACCAAGCAGCTCTGGTCATGGACTTCCAAAGAATTCTCTATCTCTGTGATTAATTATCCAAAAATTTACTTTTAAAGTACAAAGTCTTTCTCAACTACATTTAGGTAGCTGTGAATATTTGTGTTTCTGTAAGTTTTTTCAAAGGCAATGATGAAATATATGGAGATGCCTTTTTTCTGTAACTCTCCAAATATACCCTGCTATGAGTGACTGGGAGTTCTATTTTCTCTTTCTGCGTGAAGTGGGTAGTGGTTTTTTAGATTGCCCTGACTTTTGGTAGGACGAAGCATTTCCAAAATAAGCGCTATACAAAAAGTTTTTTCTTGCTCCTTAGAAGTCATTTATTTCACCGTGTGGAATTGTCAAATGTCAAACCATGACTGTGTGACTTGATATAATACATTAAACGTAATCAAAATAGTTGCTGTCCCTCCCTTTTAGGGCCATCCTTTGTGCCCTATTGATGGCAGGCTTAGCTACATGACTTGCTGTGACCAGAAATAGAGTAGAAGGGATGATGCCAACTTTCAGCAGAAGTTTTATGAGCCCTCATATGATCTTAACAATTTCACAGTTGCAGCAATGGCTACGTACAGGCTTCCTTTTCACCCTGACTACAAGAGAATGAGATATGGTCCAGAATTTTACTCAATTTGAAACTAACATGGAATGAGAGTAGGAAAGAAACCTTTGCTTCTTTCTTGTTAGGCCACAAAGATTTTGGAATTGTTTGTAACTCCAGTATATCTAGCAAAAACAGACTGATGGAATTGGGGCTTCGATATTTCCCTGCTCCATATTCCACTATGTAGATTATTTATTCACACATTCTCATCTGTAATCATTTAAGCATCTTTGGTTGGCTTTCAAATGCACTATAATGAAGTCTTAGCACATATCTTCAAAATTCAAAGGGGGAACATTGACTCTCCGAAGTCTCAGGTTTGAAGGGGATCGTAATGGCATTTGCCCAGTTCCCTATATAGCACTTGCATATTCTACATGATTTCCATGACGAACTTCTGCTTAAACAGCTCTGGTAGTGAGAAACTCACTCCCTTCCCAGGAAAAGTCATATCATTTGAGGCAGCTTGACTTGTTAGAAAACTCATCCTTACATTTAGCCCAGAGGCAAGCAGACAAAGGGAGGGGGGAGAGAAGCATATGGCCATTGCTGGATATGGATAAGAATATTTGTATGATGCCACAAAACCACTTCAATGGCTTTTGCCAGCATTAAATGATCATTTCATAATCTCAACCATTCTTAGGACTTCTCACCTTTTACTTCTCTTTCTAAAGAGATAAATTTGTTTTTCCCTTAATTTCATATAGTCAGTTCTAACTCTATGGCCATATGCTTCTGTCTCCTCTCCCTTTGTTTGCTCGCCTCTGGGATAATCATTTCTGGAGAATTTGAATGTTTGTCATACATCATGATTTAAATTCCTCATCACCATAATGGTTGCTTTCATCCAAAAGCAATTGCAGTTCACATCGTCCCTCTTAATGTGTGTATTCAGGACCAATCAGAGTAATAGAAGTATGCTTTGATACCTGGTGGAGAGAATAGACAGCCTATCATTTCCCTTTTTCTGGACTCTGTATTTCTGTTAATTCAAACTAAAACCATATCAACTTCTTTGACAATTACATCACATTATGGGAGAGAGGGTTTTTTCCTAAAGTAAAATTTAAATTTTAGAAAGGGAAATAGAAACAGAGTTGTAAATATTAATAAGACTATAATACTGGATATGGATGAGAATATTTGCATTATGCCATAAACCACTTGAATGGCTTTTGCTAACATTAAATGATCATTTCATAATCTCAACTATTCTTAGGACTTCTCACCTTTTACTTCTTTTTCTAAATAACCTTTATCAACATATTCTCCTTAGAGAGGTATACACCTCCTTGCATTCTAACTAAAAAACATCTACTTTCTATGGTATTTCCTAATTTCCCTATATAATTACTTTTTTCTTTTTTTGTTTTCCTATAGCACTTTTAGATACATCTATTAAACCCACTTACCACACTGTATCGTAGTTATTTACATATATATATATGTATATATAAAGTCACCTTTATCTTGGACTTCTAGACTCCAGAAATGTGAGAAAATAAATTTCTGTTGCTTTAGCCATGCAATCTATGGTATTTTGTTATGGCAGCCCTGCTGACTAATACGAGGACCTAGAGAATGTCAAGAAGTAGTAGCAAGGACCAAACATGTGCACCCTAAGGCAAGCAATCAGTAACACAAAACTCCAGACTCACCGGAAAACTCCAGGGTCAGTAGAGACCACTGGAAAAAAAACAGAAACCTAAAATTTTGGAATAAGACTCCTTATTCCAAAGGGATAGGGAATCAAAGCAATTTACATACAGGGAGTGGGGGCTTAGGGAACCAAAGCAATTTACATACAGGGAGTGGGGGCTTAGGGAACTAAAGCAATTTACATACAGGGAGTGGCGGTTTAGGGAACCAAGCCTCTTATTCCAAAGGGATAGGGAAACAAGCCTCTTTGTTCCAAAGAGATAGGGAACCAAAGCAATTTACATACAGGGAGTGGGGGCTTAGGGAACCAAAGCAATTTAAGTACAGGGAGTGGGGGCTTTACTTAATTGTAAACATTTATAGACTACTTTTTACATGCCAGAGACTTAATGTATAGCAGTCTGAAATTTATAGTCACAATACAGACAAGCAGTAAAGTCATAATTATTTCTATGTAAGTGAACTTAACTTGCTCATCATCTCCCCATTTATGCTCTGCAGAGAAAAGCACGTCCAGTATTATAACACATAGGTTCCCTGCCATGTGAAGTGTGGGCTATTACAGTGGGAAAGGCCAGATGGAAGCAACTAGAACTGTCTCTACCAGGGGAAATAGTAAACCGAAAGCAACACCATATCCCTGGAGGGATTGCAGAGATTAGTGCCATGATCAAGCAGTTGAAGGATGCAGGGATGGTAATTCCTCCCACGTATTCATTCAACTAACTTATTTGGCCTGTGCAGAAGATAATTGGAACATGGAGAATGACAGTGAATTGTAAGGTTAACCAGATGGTGACTGCAGTTGCAACTGTTGTATTAAGTTGGTGCAAAAGTAATTGTGGCTTTTGCCATTAAAAGTAATGGCCGTCAGGAGTGGTGGCTCACACCTGTAATCCCAGCACTTTGGGAGGCTGAGGCGGGCAGATCACCTGCAGTCAGGCTTTGGAGACCAGCCTGGCCAACATGGTGAAACCCCGTCTCTACTAAAAATACAAAAATTAGGCTGGGCGTGGTGGCTCACACCTGTAATCCCAGCACTTTTGGAGGCTGAGGTGGGAGGATCACCTGATGTCAGGAGTTCAAGACCAGCCTGGCCAACATGGTGAAACCCCGTCTCTACTAAAAATACAAAAATTAGCTGGGCGTGATGGTGGGCACCTGTAATCCCAGCTACCAGGAGGCTGAGGCAGGAGAGTCACTTGAACCTGGGAGGCAGAGGTGGCAGTGAGCAGAGATTGTGCACTCCAGCCTGGGTGACAGAGCAAGACTCTGTCTCAAAAATAAAATAAAATAAAATAAATAAAACTAATGGCAAAAACCACAATTAAAAGTAATGGGAAAAACCACAGTTCCTTTTGCACCAACTGAATACCAGGTGTGGTTTTACAGCATGAATGAATTAACACATACCCTGGTACCTGGTGGTACCTGGTAGTACCTGGTATGCAGGTATTCATCTGGCAAATGCCTTTTTCTCTATTCTTGTCATTAACATCCACTAGAAGCAGTTTTCTTTCAGCTGGCAAGGCCAGTAACACACCTTCACTGTCCTACCTCAGGGATTTCTCAACTCTCCAGCCCTATGCATAATTTACTTTGCAGGGATGTTGATTGCCCTTCCCTTCCAAAAGATATCACATTGGTCCATTACATTGATGGCATTATGCTGATTGGACTTAGTGAGCAAGAAGTAGCAACTCCTCTATTGGTAAGATAGTTATTTGCTAGCAAGTGGGGAATAATCTGACAAATATTCAGGGACCTTCTAATTTGGGGAGCTCCAGTGGTGTGGGACATGTCAAGACATCTCTTCTAAGATGAAGAATAAGTTCTTGTATCTAGCCCCTCCTACAACCCAAAAAAGGGGCACAATGCCTAGTGGGCCTCTTTGGATTTTAGAGACAACATTGTGATGGTTAATACTGAGCGTCAACGTGATTGGATTGAAGGATATGAAGTATTGATCTTGTATATGTCTGTGAGGGTGTTGCCAAAGGAGATTAACATTTGAGTCAGTGGGCTGGGAAAGCCCTTAATCTGGGTGGGCGCAATCTAATCAGCTGCCAGCACAGCTAGAATATAAGCAGGCAGAAAAAAGTGAAAAGAGAGACTGGCCTAGCCTCCCAGCCTACATATTTCTCCTGTGCTGGATGCTTCCTGCCCTTGAACATTGGACTCCAAGTTCTTCAGTTCTGGAACTTGGACTGGTTATCCTTGCTCCTCAGCCTGCATACAGTCTATTGTGGGACCTTGTGATCATGTGAGTTAATACTTAATAAATTCCCCTTTATATATATGTCTATTCCATTAGTTCTGCCCCCTAGAGAACCCTGACTAATACAAACATGTTCCTCATTTCGGTGTGTTACTCTGGCCCATTTACCATGTGACTTGAAAAGCTGCTCATTTTGAGTGGGTCCCAACACAGAAGATCAAAATAGGTCCAGGTCACTGTGCAAGCCTCAGGGAAACTTAGGCTGTATGATCCAGCAGATCCAATGGTGCTTGAAGTGTCAGATAGTGATGCAGTTTGGAGCATTCAGTAGATCACTACAGGTAAATTTCAATGCAGACCCTTAGGATTTTGGAAAAATTCCTGCCATCCTTCACAAATAACTAATTTACTTTTGAGAAACAGCTCTTGGCCTGTTACTAGGCCTTAGTAGAGACTGAATACTTAACTATGGGTCACCAAATTACTGTGCAGCCTGAGCTGTCCATCATGAACTGAGTTAACACCAAGCCGTATTTGGGCATACACAGTAGTACTCCATCATCAAATGGAAGTTATGTATATGTGATGAGGCCCAAGATTGCCCTGAAGGCACAAGTAAGTTATATGAAGAAGAGTCCTAAATACCCATTGTCTCCACTCCTGCTACATTGTCTTCTCTCTCCCAACCTGCACTACAACCTCACAGGGAGGTCCTTATGACTAGATGACACAGAAAAGGTGCAAACCTGGTTTAGAGATGGTTCTTCGGGATATGCAGGCACCACCCCAAAGTGGACAGTGACAGCACTACAGCTCCTTTCTGGTACATACCTAAAGGGCAGTGGTGAAAGGAACTCTTGGGCAGAACATCAAGCAATGTACCTTGTTTTCACTTTGCTTGGAAGAAGAAATGGCCAGACATGTGATTATATACTGATTCATGGGCTTTTGCCAATGGTTGATTGAATAGGCCGAAACTTTGAAGAAACATAAGTGGAAAGTTATTGACAAGAAAACTTGAGAAAGAAGTATATGGGTAGACTTCTCTAAATGGACAAAAAACATGAAGATATTTGCATTAGTCTTTCCTCACTCTGCTAATAAAGACATACTTGAGACTGGGTAATTTATAAATGAAAGAGGTTTAATTGACTCACAATTCCACATGGCTGGGAAGTCCTCACAATCATGGCAGAAGACTAATGAGGAGCAAAGTCACGTCTTACATGGCAGCAGGTAAGAGAGCGTGTGCAGGGGAGCGCCCCTTTATAAAACCATCAGATCTTGTGAAACTTATTCACTATTACGAGAACAGCATGGGAGAAACCCACCCCCATGATTCAATTACCTCCCACCAGGTCCCTCCCACGGCAGTTGGGGATTATTACAATTCAAGGTGAGATTTCGGTTGGGACAGGAAGCGAAGCCATATCATTTGGCCCCTCCCAAATCTCATGTCCCTTTCACATTTCAAAATACAATCATGCCTTCCCAACAGTCCTCCAAAGTCTTAACTCATTTCAATATTAACTCAAAAGTCCACAGTCCAAAGTCTCGTCTGAGACAAGGCAAGTTCTTTCTGCCTATGAGCCTGTAAAATCAAAAGCAAGTTAGTTACTTCCCAGATACAATGAGGATACAGGCATTGGCTAAATATATCTGTTCCAAATGGGAGAAATTGGCCAAAACAAAGGGGCTGCAGGTCTCATGCAAGTCTGTAATCCAATAGGGCAGTCATTAAACCTTGAAGTTCCAAAATTATCTCCTTTTGACTCCATGTCTCACATTCAGGTCATGCTGATACAAGAGGTGGATTCCCATGGCCTTAAGCAGCTCTACTCCTGTGGCTTTGCAAGGTACACCCCAGCTTCTGGCTGCTTTCACAGACTGGCATTAAGTGCCTGTGGCTTTTCCTGGTGCACTGTGCAAGCTGCCAATGGATGTACCACTCTGGGGTCTGAAGGACAGTGACCCTTTTCTCACAGCTCCACTAGGCAGTACCCCAGTGGGGATTCTGAGTAGGGGCTCCAACCCTACATTTCCCTTCTGCATTGCCCTAGCGGAGGTTCTCCATGAGGGCCCTACCCCTTCTGCTTGGATGGACATCCAGGTATTTCCACACATCCTCTGAAATCTAGGCAGAGGTTCCCAAACCTCAATTCTTGACTTCTGTGTACCCACAGGCTCAACACCAGGTGGAAGCTGACAAGGGTTGGGGCTTGCACCCTCTGAAGCCACAGGCTGAGCTGTACCTTGCTCCCTTTTGGTCAAGGCTGTAGCTAAAGCAGCTGGGACGCAGGGCACCATGTCCTGAGGCTGCATAGGGCAGGGCAGCCCTGAGCTGGGCCCAATAAAACACTTTTCCTTCCTAGGCCTTTGGGCCTGTAATGGGAGGGGCTACCATGAGGACCTCTGGCATGCCCTGGAGATATCTTCCACATTGTCTTGGAAATTAACATACAAATGTTTGCAGCTGGCTTGAATTTCTTCTCAGAAAATGAGTTTTTCCTTTCTATTGCATCATCAGGCTGCAAATTTTTCAAACTTTTATGCTCTGCTTCCTCTTGAATGTTTTGCCACTTAGAAATTTCTTCTACCAGATACCCTAAATCATATCTCTCAAATTCAAAATTCCACAGATCTCTAGGAAGATCCAAACTTTTCCACATTTTTCTGTCATCTTTTGAGCCCTCCAAACTGTTCCAACATCTGCTTGTTACCCAGCTCTAAAGCTGCTTCCACATTTTTGGGTATCTTTACAGCAGCATCCCACTTTACCTATACCAACTTACTATATTAGTCTCTTCATATGCTGCTAATAAAGATATACCCAAGACTGGGTAATTTATAAAAGAAAGAGGTTAATGGACTCACAGTTCCACATGAATGGGGAGGCCTCACAATCATGGTGGAAGGTGAATGAGGAGCAAAGTCACATCTCACATGGCAGCAGGCAAGAGAGCATTTGCAGGGGAACTCCCCTTTATAAAACCATGAGATCTTGTGAAACTTACTTACTATCATAAGAACAGCACAGGAAAAACCCACCCCCATGATTCAATTAACTCCCACTGAGTCCATCCCATGACAAATGGGGATTATTACAATTCAAGGTGGGATTTCGGTGGGGACTAAAAGCCAAACCATATCAATATTTGTGTCCATGTGAGTGCTAATCCAAGTGTTACTCAGCAGTGGAGAAGATGGAGTGGAGAAGATGACATGTCAGTCTCTTTCTCCAGCCACTACTGTCATTGCCCAATCGATTCATGAACAAAATAGCTATTGTGGCACAGATGGAGGTCATGCATGGACTCAGCAACATGGGCTTCCACCCACAAAGACTACTTGGCTGCAGCCACTGCTGAGTGCCCAATATGCCAGCATCAGGTACCAACACTGAGTCACTGATATGGCACCATTCTCCCATGGTAATCAGCCAGCTACCTGGTGGCAAGTTGATTCAATTGGACCACTTTCATCATAGAAGAGGCAGTAGTTTGTTCTTACTGAAATCGATATGTACTCTGGATACAGTTTTGCCTTTCCTGGATGCAGTGCTTCTCTCAAGACTACCATCCATCCATTCATTCATCTATGTACTTATAGAATGACCTATCAACCATCATGGTATTGCACACAGAATTTCTTCTCATCAAAGAACCCACTTCATAGCAAAAGTAGTACAATAATGGGTCCATGCTCACAGAATTCGCTGGTCTTAACCATATTCCCCAACATCCTCAACAGCTGGTTTGACAGAACTGTGAGATGGCCTTTTGAAGACGCAGTTACAGCACCAGCTAGGTGGCAATGCCTTGCAGGGATGGATCAAGGTTCTCCAGAAGGTTGTGTATGCTCTGAATCAGTGTCCAATACATGGTGCTGCTTCTCCTGTAGCCAGGATTTAAGGTCCAGGAATCAAGGAGTGGAAATGGAAGTAGCATCAATCTCTATTACTCCTAATGACTCATTAGCAGAATTTTAGCTTTCTGTTCTTGTAATCTTATGCTCTGCTAGCCTGGTGGTCTTAGTTCCTAAGGCAGAAATGCTTTTACCAAGAGACAAAACAATGATTCCACTGAGCTGGAAGGTAAGACTGCCACCTGGATATTTTGGACTCCTCATGCCTCTGAATCAACAAGCAAAGAAGGGATTATCTCTGCTGTCTGGGATGATTGATTCTAACTACCAAGGGGAAATTGTACTGCTAATCCACAAAGAAGGTAAGGAAGACTATGTCTGGGACACAGGAGGTATCTTAGAGCATCTCTTAGTATTATTATGTCCTGTGATTCATGTCAATTGAAAATTACCACAGCCCAATTCAGGCAGAACTATGAATGGCCTGGACCCTTCAGGAATGAAGATTTGGATCACTACAGGTAAAGAACCACAACTGCCTGAGGTGCTGGCAAAGGGAATACAGAATGAGTAGTGGAGGAAGGTAGTTATATATGCCAAAACTATGACCACATATAATTGTCATGAGTATTCCTCATTTTTGTATGAATATGTGTGTGCATCTGTTTTCCTCTACCACTTATTCCTTTCTCATGTAATACAGATGTATTAACTTACTGTCTTAATATTTCAGTATTCTTAATTTTACATCATAGTGTTTAAGTTATGGGATACCAAGGAGAAGAGCAAACACCACTCAAGGATTTTACCTCCCCTTCTGGGGAAGGGGTCAGTGCATTTTCAATTGCACTCAGGATAGTTGCATCATGCTAGGTGGTATTCTGGCCTTGTTATTGACTTTATTTGGAGATAAAGTATGATTTAAGGAGATGTGTATGGGTGCCAAACTGACAACTGGTGGATTGTGGTGATTAATTTTAAAGTCAACTTGGCTTGGACTCAGGGTGCCCAGGTATTTGGTTAAACATTGTTCTGAGTGTATCTGTGAAAGGATGTTTCTGGGTGAGATTAGCATTTAAATCAATAGACTGAGTAAAGCAGATTGCCCTCCCCAATTTGGGTGGACCTCATCTAATCCATTGGAGGTCTGTATAGAACAAAAGGAGGAGTAAGGGAGAATTTACTCTCACTGCCTGTCTGCTTGAGCTGGAACACTGGTCTTCTGCCTTTAGACTTGGACTTATACCATTAGCTTTCCTAGTTCTCGGGCCTTCAGACTAGAGCTGTACTGACTTTCTGGGGTTCCTAACTTGCAAACAGCAGATCATGGGACTTGGCCTCAATAATCACATGAACCCATTACATACACACACACACACACACACACACACACACACACATAGACACACACACACACACACACCATTGGTTTTGTATCTCTGGAGAACTGTGACTAATACAAAAATTGAGGGTAATTTCTCATTCACTTCAGGATATGAATTGACTCATTTTCATGTTCAAACCCCCTCAGTCTCTCCATCCTTCTCAAGGATTTTCTTCTCATTTTTCTCCCTTCAATAGTGTCTGGACACAGCAGAAAAATCCTGAATCTACCAAATTATAGTTATGTGACCTTAAATTTTCTGTACCTCATTGTCTCATCTTTAAAATAGAGATAATAATACTACCAACTTTATAGGTTGCTAGCAGAATTAAATGACATAAAGCATGTGAATGCTTAGATCAGGTCCTAGCATACAATAAATGCTCAATATATATTAGCCATCATCGTCATAGTAGAAGAGAGGCTTGCAAACAGTAGGTCATGAGACTTCTCAGCCTCCATAAAGGGAGGAGGCCCAGGGGGCTTCTGGCTTTTAAAAACAATGCTGGTCCTTACTTGCTTCTCCCACTGAGGATGTAGCTTGTTCTTTGGTGTCTGGGAATAAGTGGGACTGGGTGATTACTCCAGGCATCACCTTGGCTCTCATGGGCTGGCTGATGATTTGAGGCTTAGTTGAATCCTTCGTCTGGTTCCCTGTTTCAGGTCTTCTACCTGTAACTTTTATTACAGGGTTTCCTTGCCTCCTCCTATAGTGATTCCTCGGTAAATACACTGACTTTTAATTACCATCTATTTTCTGTATTATTTTTCCAGAGGGGCTAATATCACCTTCTTATTCTGCCCTATTCAACATTTATCTTTTATACTATCTATGCTCTAAGTCCTAAAGCCTCTGGTTTTAGTGGTCCAAACCAAATCTTTTTAGAAATTAAAACAACACAACTTTTCTCTTAAGCCCTAGGCTTTGCAAATCAAAAACTCTTTAGTTTCATGCTGTGATGCCTGCTGGCTAGGATTTCTAGTACTATGTTGAATAGAAGTGGTGAGATTAGGCATCCTTTTCTTTTTCCAGTTCTCAGAGGGAATGCTTTCAACTTTTCCCCATTCAGTATTATGTTGGCTGTGTGTTTATCATAGATGGCTTTTATTACATTGAGGTATGTTCCTTGTATGTTGATTTTGCTGAGGGTTTTAATCATAAAGGGATGCAGGATTTTTTTAAAAATGCTTTTTCTGCATCATGTGATTTTGTTTTTAATTCTGTTTATGTGGTGTATCACATTTATTGACTTCTGGATGTTAAACCATCCTTGCATCCTGGTATGAAACCCACTTGATCATGATGGATTATCTTTTTGATATGCTGTTGGATTCAGTTAGCTAGTATTTTGTTGAGGATTTTTGCATCTGTGTTCATCATGGATATTGGTCTGTAGTTTTCTTTTTTTTGTTATGTCCTTTCCTGTTTGATATTAGGGTGATACTGGCTTCGTAGACTGATTTAGAGGAGGATTCCCTCTTTTTCTGTCATGTGTAATAGTGTCAATAGGATTGGTAGCAATTCATCTTTGAATATCTGGCAGAATTCAGCTGTGATTCCATCTGGTCCTGGACTTCTTTTGTTGGTATTTTTTTTTACCATTTTAATTTCGCTGCTTGCTGTTGGTCTGTTCAGGGTTTCTAATTCTTCCTAATTTAAGTTAGGAGGGTTCTATCTTTCCAGGAATTTATCAGTCTCCTCTAGGTTTTCTGGTTTGTGCATGTAAAGGTGTTCATAATAACCTTGAATGATCTTTTGTATTTCTGTGGTGTCAGTTGTAATATCTCCTGTTTTGTTTCTAATTGAGCTTATTTGGATCTTCTTTTCTGGTTAATCTTGCTAATGGTCTATTGATTTTATTTATCTTTTGGAAGAACTAACATTTTGTTTCATTTATCTTTTCTATATTTTATTTTAATTTCATTTAGTTCTGCTCTAATCTTGGTTATTTCCTTTCTTCTGCTGGGTCTGGGTTTGGTTTTTTCTTGTTTCTCTAGTTGCTTGAGGTGTGACCTTAGATTGTCCATTTGTGCTCTTTCAGACTTTTTGATGTAGGCATTTAAGGCTATGAACTTTCCTCTTAGCACTGCCTTTGCTGTATCCCAGAGGTTTTGATAGGTTGTGTCACTATTATCATTCAGTTCAAAGAATTTTTAAATTTCCCTCTTGATTTCATTGTTAAACCAAAGATCATTCAGGATTAGGTTATTTAATTTCCATGTATTTGCATGGTTTTGAAGGTTCCTTTTGAAGATTCCTATGATTTTTGAAAGAAATCATAGGCAACACGAGCAAATGGAAACACATCCCATGCTCATGGATGGGTAGAATTAATATTGTGAAAACGACCATGCTGCCAAAAACAGTCTACAGATTCAATGCAATTCCCATCAAAATACCACCATCATTTTTCACAGAACTAGAAAAAACTATCCTAAAATTCATATGGAACCAAAAAAGAGCCTGCATAGCCAAAGCAAGACTAAGCAATATAATTAAATGGATTCCATTTAATCCCCTGGAATAAAAGTGTATTCCCAGTTTTATTCCACGTGGTCTGAGATAGTACTTAATATAATTTCAATTTTCTTAAATTACTTAGACTTGTTTTGTTGCCTATCATATGGTCTGTCCTTGTTTTTTCATATTACCAGAATTGTTTTTCTGGTTCCTTCTCATTTGGGTAGGCTATGTCAGAAGGAAGATCTGGAGCGCAAGGCTGCTGTTTAGATTCTTTTGTCCCACAGGGTGTTCTCTTGATGTAGCACTCTCCCCCTTTTCCTAGGGATGTGCCTTCCTGAAAGCTGAGCTGTAGCGATTGTTATTTCTTTTCTGGATCTAGCCACCCAGCAGGGCTACCAGGCTACAGGCTGGTATTGAGGGTTGTCTGCACCAGTGATGTGATATAAACCGTCTTCAGGTCTCTCAGCAATGGATAGCAGCACCTGTTCTGGTGGAAGTGACAGGGGGTGAAATGGACTCCGTGAGGGTCCTTAGTTTTGGTTGTTTAATGCACTATTTTTGTGCTGTTTGGCCTCCAGCCAGGAGGTGGCACTTTCAAGAGAGCATTAGCTGTGGCAGTACAGGAAGGATCAGGTGGTGAGTGGAGCCCTAGAACTTCCAAGAGAATATGCCCTTTGTCTTCAGCTACCAGGGTGAGTAGAAAAGGGCCATCAAGTGGCAGAAGGGTTAGGCATGTCTGAGCTCAGATTCTCCTTGGGCAGAGCTCGCTGTGGCTGCTGCGGGGGATGGGGATGTGGTTTCCAGGCAATGGAGTTATGTTCCCAGGAGGATTATGGCTGCCTCTACTGTGTCATGCAGGTTGTCACAGAAGTGGGGGAAAGGTCTCACCCAGCTCCCACACAACCAGAAAGGCCAGTCTCACTCCCATCGTCTCCCTCAAACAGCACTGAGTCTGTTTCCAGGCAGTGAGTGAGCAGGGCTGAGAACTTGCCCCAGGCTACCAGCCTCCCAGCTGAGAAAGCAAGCAGGGCTTTTGCACCTCCTTGCCTGTTGAGTCTGCAACCAGATTCACACCCTCCCCCAAATTCTGGCTGGGAAACTTCGCGTCCAGTTGTAATTGTTACAAAGTTCACCTGGAAGTTTCTTTCTCCCTGTGGTCCTATGCCAGTGCCTCTGGCAGCCCTCCCCAAGGACTCCTGTGAGAAAAGTCAGAAATGGCTTTGCTGGGGACCCAGAGAACCAACAGGGCTTTTCCCGCTGCTTCCTCTACCCCTGTGTTTCGCTAGGCTCTCTAAATTGACTCAGCTCCAGGTAAGGTCAAATCCTTCTACTGTGATCTAGACCTTCAGTTTTTCCAGTGAGGGTGTGTGTTTGGGAATGGACAATTCCTCTTTTCTCATATTCACATCTTGGGCACTCGGTATTTGGGCTGTCTTCAGATCGTGCAGGAGCAATCCACTTCCTTCAGAGGGTCTGTGGATTTTCTCAGCTTTCCAGGTATATTCCTGCAGTAGTTCTGAAGCAAAAGTTCACAATGTGAGTCTCCATACACTGCTCTGTCTGTCTGACTTGGAGCTGCAATTTAGTCCTGCCTCCATTTTCCCCTCATGTTTTTTAGCCCAGGCCAAAATCTATTCCTCAGGGACTTAGATTGCTTCTGAATTCCGTAGGGCATTACTATGTTCTATTTCATTGATGACACCATGCTGATTGGCCTAGTAAGCAACAATTAGAAATTTGTTAAATAAATGACTGTCGGGCATTAGGAAATAAATCCATACAAATTCAGAGAGCTGACATCTTAGTGAAATTTCTAATTTTCCAATTATCTGGGACATGTTAAGCTATTTCTTCCAAGGTTAAGGACAAGTTGTACATGGCCTCTCTCACTACAAGGAAAGAAGCATAAAAATTTGTAGACCTCTTTGGATTTGGGAGGTAATAGATATTCTCATTTGACTGTGCTATTGCAGCCCATTTACTGAGTAAATGTAAAAGTTGCCAATTTTGAGTAGGGTGCAGATGAAATGAAAGCCCTGGAAATGACTAGGTTGCCATGCAAACTGCTCTACCACTTAGGTCATGTTACCCAGAAGATATGATGGTGTTTATAGTGCATGTAACAGACAGGGATGCTGTATGGAGCCTTTGATAGGTGCCTATAAGTGAATGAAAATGCAATAATTAAGATTTGGAGTACAGCTATGCCACTCTCTGCATGTAACTATGCTTCTTTCAAAACACAGCTTCTGGTTTGCTGCTAGGTCCTAGTATAAACTGAACACTCATTTTGCATGGGCCATAAAGTAACATGCAACCTGAGTGCTCATCATGAATGGATTGTTTTCTAATCTACAGGTCATAGCATTTGATGTGCACAATATCATCCCATCACAAAATAGAAATGGTATATATGAGACTGGCCTTGAAAAGGTCCTGAGGATATAAGTAAGTTGCATGAGCAAATATTCCAGATAACCATGACTCCTATTCTTGCTACATTTCCTCCTTCCTCTTATGGGGCATTCCCTATAGCCAGTTAAAATAGAAGGAAAAAGTTTGATTTATATATGGTACTCCATGCTGCACTGATACTACACCAAAGTGGACAGCTGCAGCATTATAGTCTCACTCAGGACTGGCCTTGAAGGAAAATCCTTCCAATGAGAAGAACTTTAACAAACATATCTGGTTACTCATTTTGCCTGGAATAAGTGATGGTCAGAGGTACAAATGTATAGTAAGTCATGGGCAGTGACTAATGGTTTAGCCAGACGGTCAGAGAATTGCTAAGAACACAATTGGAAAACTGGTGACAAAGAGGTCTAGAGAAAAGGTATTCGGATAGCTTCTCTAAAAGTGAAGATATTTGTGTCCCAGGTGAATATTCATCAAGGAACAAACTCAGAAGAAAAAGTTCTTCACAATCAAGTGGACATGATGACAAATTATGTGTCTATCAGTTGCCCTTTCTCCCTAGCTAGCCACCTCATCCTTGCTTAATGCAATCATGACAAAATGTCCAAGGCAGCAAGAATGGAGGTTATGTATTTACTTGGCAACACAAACTTCTAATCACAAAAACTAAGTGCCCAACCTACCAAAAGCAAAGACTAACACTGAGCCCTCAACAAGGTACCATTATTCACAGGAGTCCAAGAGACTCCTGGTTGATAATATTGCCTACTTTCATTATGGAAGATGGAGCATTTTGTTCTCACAATAATAGACACTTATTCTAAATACAGATTTGCCTTCCCTCCCTACAGTGGTTCTGCCAAAGCTACTATCTATGAACTTATAAAATGTCTTATTCACCTTGATCATTTTCCACACAGCATTGCATCTCAGCAAAGAGCTCATTTTATAGCAAATAGAGTGAAGTAAATAGAGTACAAGGATTCACTAGTGTTACCATGTACTCCATCACCTGAAGTTATCTGGCCTGATAAAATGATGGATTAGCCTTTTGGAGTTAGCCTTAAAGTCCCAGCTAGATGGCAACAACTTGACAAGTTGGGGTTATGTCCTATAGGATGCAGTGTACAATGTAAACACACAAATGAATGTGACCAATATGTGCTCTTTTTCCCATTTTCAAGAATTTACAGGTCTGGGAATCAATGGATTGAAATGTGAATGATTCTTTTTAATATTACCTCTAATTTGGGCTAGGATTTGGATAAATGAGGCACTCATCTGGGGTGCAAAATTTAAGAGAGTATCAAAAAAGTTAATAATCAAGACAAATTATATTTTAATGGAATATTTTTAAAAATAAAAACTAACACAAAAATCATGATGAAAATATACAAAAATTTTAAATAATAGCAGGCTGTTGTATGTTTGCCTATGACTCTGCTATTTTGCAAGGGAAAAAGTCACTTCCAATCAGCCAGTTTCTAGGCCCATGCAGCCATCCCATCTCACTCCAGGCATCTATGAGAGCTGACAATGCCATGCAAACAGATTAGGTAAATCAGGGCTACACATATAGTCATGCTTTTTCATTGTATAGCTTTTGTTTATTTGTTTCGAAATATGGGTAATATTTTGACAAGTATATATACGGGTGCATATTTTTCCTTTTTCTGCAGGCACTGTCCTTTGTGATCCATTATGAAAATTTTTACTTCCTGTCTCCATCTCCATGGCTTTGGGCTCTGCTATTCTGGAGTTTTTAGTTCCCAAGTGTGGTATATTTCTATCAGGGGACACAGCAGTAGTTCCATTAAATTAGAAATTGAAATTTCTGCATGTCTACTTGGGGATCCTATGCCTGTGAATCAACAAAGAAAAGAGCTAATGTATTCTGAGGTATTGATTCTAACTACCAAGGGGACATGTGGTTGCTCCTATACAGTGGGATAAGGAGGAGGATGTCTGAAATTCAGGTGATCACTGGAAGCAACTCATAACATTTTCATGTACTGTGATAAAAGTCACAGGAAAGAACTATTGTTATGCTACAACTTGGATGACCCTCAACATTATGCTAATTAAAAGAAGTCAAACGCAAAATATCATATATTGTATAATTTCATTTACATGAAATGTCCACAGAAGGCAAATCTACAGAGTCAGGAAGTAAATTAATAGTTGCCTAGCTCTAAAGGTAGGAATGGGGATTGTTTCCATAGGGACATGAAGAAGTCTTTTTGGGATGATGGAAATTTTCTATAACTGAATTCCAATGATAGTTAAACAATTCTGCAAATTTACTAAAAATTATTGAATTGTACACTTAAAATGAATGAATGTTATGGCATGTGAATTATATCTCAACAAAGCTGTTTTAAATAAGCCAATGGAAAACTGCAACAACTCAAGGTAGGCAGGGCTGCTACTGTCCAAAATTTGGACAGCAGGATTTTTTTTAAGCTGCCAGTTTTGTGTTCTAAAGTTCGAGTGAACCATCAAAGAAGGAAACAGTTGCAGGGTTTGTAGAGGGCAAATGTGTAACAGAAGAAGATAATTATAGATAGCAGCTACAACTACGTGAGCAGTTGTAGAAATGAACACAATAATACTTATGAATATTTCTTCATTATATTGATGTGAATATCTTTGTGTATATATTAACCAGTCTTTCCCCTCTCCCATTTCCCTATTGTCTAACATAAGATATATTAATAATAGCTAGGTAGATATCTCAGAATTTAAGTTATAGGATATCAAAGGTGCATGTAATTCACCTAGAAGAGAATAAATATATTCCAAAATGTATAAAAGGAATTTGTATCTTTTTAGAGAGAGTAGCTGTGTGGTTTGGACTACATAAGGGATGCTTGTACCATGCCAGATGGAAGCCTGATTTTGCAGTTTTCTTTACTTGGCCACTAAGCATTAAGAAGTGTATATGGATGCCAAGTTGAAAGGGGATGAGCAGTGGTGGCTTTTTACTGTTTGAGCTTAGCTAAATTGGATCTGTGATTCACATAATTCTTTTTCCTATGTTGTCCCAGGTTAGGCTTGGCCAGAAGAAAAATTTGTGCAAAATTTGGGCAGCAGAATTTTTTTAAGCTGACATTTTTGTGTTTTAAAATTTGGTGTAGGGTGTAGGGTGCCAGACACTGTGACAGCTCACACTTGTTACTGATCTTCTAGTTAAACTTGGTGTGGAGTGCCACCAGGACCTATAGCTTTTTCAGCTCACTCCAGATCTCAGTGTCCTAGGACAGGTATATGTAAAGTTCCATGGCAATGAGCACTAGATTCTCCAGCAGGTTTGTCACACCATTGAGGTTCCAGTTGTCCTCATAGGTTCCACTTTATTTTGATGGATTCCATCACTGCAGTTTGAATTTGCCCTTGTTCTCTCTCAGTTCTCATCCAGCACTCTTCACCTGCCAGCCTAGCTAACCTACAGCAACTTTAGGCTCAGCTCCAGGTGCAAGGCCACACAGATTTTAAGACTAGCTCCCACACTTGTGTAAGGTCTAATCCCTATAATAAACACTTTATTCTATATAACTCATAGTGACTTTTATTCTCAGAATGAACATTTGATACAGAAGCTAGGCAACAATGCTGGCAAGAGGTAACCAACATTTTAATCTAGTATTCATTTTACATCTTACACTATGCTAAGTATTTTGAATGACTAACCCCATTTTAATCTCTGCAGAAATATCACAAGGTAAGCACTATTTTCCCCCACTTTACTGATGAGGGAAATGAGGGTTAGAAAGTTTTGGAAAAAAAATGCAGAGCATCTTATCCAGCATAAGGACTGACTCTGAAAGCAGTGTCTGTACCTTTGTCTCCAGCACTCCAGCTCTGTTCCTGTGCTTTACCCATCTGCGCATTTCTGACTTCATTTTCGCCTGTTAGTAGATTCCAACTACTTCTGAAATTTACAACTAGATGCAGTCCATGATTATGTGTTTTAGAAGGCTTACTTTGTCATAGAATACTCAACCTAGCTAGCCTTTCAGGTACCATTACTAAGCTTCTTTTGGTCATGGCTCATGTGCTACTCCATTGTAATATGTCTGTTAGATGTAGACAAAAATCTAGTCTTAGCAAAATATATGTTTAAGGATATAGGCCAGGACCAGTGGCTCATGCCTGTATTCCGAACACTTTGGGATGCCGAGGCGGGGGATCACCTGAGGTCAGGAGTTCGAGACAAGCCTGATAAAGATGATCAAATTTTGTATTTTCATCTCTGCTGAAAATACAAAATTAGCTGGGCATGGTGGTGCATGCCTGTAATCCCAGCTACTTGGGAGGCTGAGGCAGGAGAATCACTTCAGCCCGGGAGGCGGAGGTTGTGGTGAGCCAAGATCACACCATTGCACTCCAGCCTGGGCAACAGGAGCGAAACTCTGTCTCAAAAAAAAAAAAAAAAAAAAAAAAAAAGAGTGTGTATGAACTAAAATCACATGAACCAAACCTAACTATCTTTATGTTTTATGCTGTTACTGATTCTATACTGAGAAAATTATGCATAATAATCATGTCCTTATTTAATCAGGTCCCCCAGGAATATCCCCATGCTTTTTCTAAAGGTGCCCTTCCTAAAAACATAGCACGTCCCTTTTATTGAATTATAACATTTCAGATATGTTGGCATTTCATACTTTTCCTTGCCTTGATATTTCTAGAGAAAAATGATGAATTTTGAATTTATTCAGATCTTCTTATTTGAAGCTCAGGGATTATTTTTCTATTTTTTTGCAATTATTTGGGCCAAATTTTTATTCTCCAAAAATAAAAATTGAATTTCTTGATGCCTTTAGAAGAACATGACAAACTATATATGTAAGTCACTCACTTGCTCTGTCAGTTTATTTCTCTAAAACTGGAAACAAAAATAGAATTAGAAATCAGAAATTAGACCTAGCATTTCAAAGCAATCACAAAATTTCCCTCCCACCAGATTTTTCTTATAAATATTGAATGTTTTTAATTGAAGAAGACTCTTGACCTTGTTGAGCCCAAGGAATATATAAATTTTAGTTCCTTTTAGAAACTTTATTTTTCATGATTATATCAACAATTTTGACAGTATTATGAAAATGCAAGTTGTCATAAATTAGCTAATGTGATAGTGTAGTGAGAGTTTCAAATGCATTTGTCCTAGTTGCCTTTAACCAGTATCTCTCCAGTCTAACTAAAACCAAAAAAATAAAAACTGTTTTGACCTTTTAATTATTCTCAGAACCTAGTTTCAGCGGCCGCAGTGGCTCACTCCTGGAATCCCAGCACTTTGGGAGGCTGAGGCAGGCAGATCATGAGGTCAAGAGATCGAGATCATCCTGGCCAACATAGTAAAACCTCATCTCTACTAGAAATACAAAAATTAGCTGGATGTGGTGGCATGCAACTGTAGTCCCAGCTACTCCAGAGGCTGAGGCAGGAGAATTGCTTGAACCCAGGAGGTGGAGGTTGCAGTGAGCCAAGATCGTGCCACTGCACTCCACCCTGGCGACAGACCAAGACTCTGTCTCATTCTGTGTCCCAGGCTGGAACGCAGTGGCACAATCATGGCTCACTGCAGCTTCAACTTCCTGAACTCAAGCAATCCTCCCACCTCAGCCTCCCAAGTAGTTGGGAACACAGGCGTGTGCCGTGATGCCCGGTTATTTTTTAAACATTTTTTTTTTTTTTTTGTAGAGACAGGGTTTTCCTCTGTTGCCCAGCTTGGTCTCAAACTTCTGGTCTCAGGTGATCCTCCTGCCTTGGCCTACCAAAGTTCTGGGATTACATGTATGAGCCACCGTGTCCAACCCAGAATATCATTCTTCAATCTTCTTCTCTATGGGGCACCAAAGGCCAAATTCAATTTCAGCTGAATGTACAGCTGAAATGAAGGCTGTGGACTTTGAAGTTTATTTTACAGCTAGTGAGAAAAAAACTAATGAAGTAATGAAGCAAAGGAGTGACATAATATGCTTACACATTTTTTATCTTTAAGGAATCTCATACTATTTTCCACAGTGTTATACTAATTTATACTACCACCAGTTGTGTCAAAGTGTTCCTTTTTCACCACATCCATGCAAATATCTATTTTTTTTTTTTTTTACTTTTTAATTATAGCCATTCTTGCAGGAGTAAAGTGGTATCTCATTGTGGTTTTAATTTGCATTTCCCTGATGATTAGTGATGTTGAGCAATTTCTCATATGTTTGTTGGCTGTTTGTATGACTTCTTTTGCAAATTGTCCATTCATGTCCTTTGCCCAATTTTTGATGAGATTATTTTTTTCTTGCTAATTATGACAGGTTATTTCTTGATATAATATCTACTAACATTCTGACAGTATTTATCAAAGCAAAGTGAAGTTTTTTGTTTGTTTTTTTTTTTTTGAGATGGAGTCTCATTCTGGAGTGCAGTGGCATGATCTTGGCTCACTGCAACCTCCCCTTCCCATGCTCAAGCGATTCTCCTGCCTCAGCCTCCTGAGTAGCTGGGATTATAGGCACGCACCACCATGCCCGGCTAATTTTTGTATTTTTAGTAGAGACAGGATTTCACCATGTTGGTCAGGCTGGTTTTGAATTCCTGACCTTGTGATTCCACCTGCCTTGGCCTCCCAAAGTGGCAAAGTTAAGTTTTAACGGGATCACAATACAATTAGTGAGAAAGGAGTCAGTAGAATTCTATAGGCATGAGAACTTAATTTTACTGGACAAATAATATATATCAGAGGTTAGGTATAGGTCTTTGGTAGGCTTATAGTCTTCTAAAAAATTACTGTTTACTGTTTCTTGGTTCTGTTCTATTTGTTGGGTGCAGTATTAGTTTGGATCCAGTCCCCCGCTGAGGAAATATTAGTCAATGGAAAAGACATGACTTCAGTTGTTAGAACTAGTGTTGCCTCCTTTAAAGCAATCAGAAAGCAGGGTGAAAACTCTGTATTATCTAAGGAGTGCACCAGATGGGAATGAAAGAAAGAGAGAGAGAAAAGGGAGGAAAGGAGGAACAGAGAGAAGGAAGGAGAGAGAGGATAGAGAGACAGAGAGATGAATGTATGTGTGTGTGAAAGAAATAGATAGAAAGAGAGAGGAACTTTAGTCTGGGGACAGAGTTTGAGAGTGAGACATTAATTTGAAGTGGAGCATGTACTGAGATATCTCTTCAAATTTCTTCTAGACAAATGTTTCAGGGAACTTGTGCCAGGTTTTTGGGTGTAAGGAACAAAGACCCTAAAAGACCTGGCCTGTACACTACAGGCAATTATATGTCTAACCTCTCACCTGAGCTTCAGACTCATATATATAGTTGTCTCCTTGATATCAATACTTGGACCTTTAATAGTCACCTCCAAACTTAATATGTCCAAAACCAAACTCTTGATTTCCACTGTCCTCAATTCCCACTAAACTTGCTCCCTCATGCATTTCTACCTTAGTAAATGTCAAATTTCCTTCTTTAAGTTGCTTTAGGTAAAAGACTATGTGTTCTTCTCTTTCTTTCAGATTGGACAACCAATTCATGAGCAAATCCTACAAACTCTATTTTCATAAGTTATCTCAAATTCCACCCCTTTTCACCACTTCCACTCTTACTTCCCTGTTGTAATATACAATTATATCTCCCTGGATGATTACAAAATCTTCTTGATTGTGTTCCATGCTTCCATTCTGATCTTCCTACAGAATCTTCTACATCTAGTGGCCAGAGATATTTTTTAAAATATGCAAAAGATCATGTTTATCTTCTGCCAAATCTTCTTATTTCACTTAGAATAAAATTCAAATTCTTGCCGTCCTTCACAACACTCTACATAATCTGCACTGTCTCCACACAAATACCTTTTGGATCTCATTCAAACCCTCCCTTACCTACTCTTTCACACTGGTTTCATTCATTTATTCATTCACTTAGGAATCATCCTTGACTCTTCTGTTACTTTCATATTCCACATATGAACCATCAGGAAAATACTTTCACCTCTACCATCAAACATAGTCATGAATTGCTTAATGGCAAGTTATGTTCTGAGAAGTGTGTATCGTTAGGTGATTTTTGTCATTGTGCAAACATCATAGAATATACTTACACAAACCTAGGTGGTATAGCCTGCTGCACACGTAGGCTGTATGGTATACCCTATTGCTCCTAGGCTCCAAACCCATACAGCAAGTTACTGTACTGAATACTGCACACAGTTATAATATATTAGTTAGTATTTGTGTATTTAAACATATGTAAATGTAGAAAAGGTACAGTCAAAATATATACAGCATAAAAGATAAAAAAATGGTACACTCATATAAGGTACTTATGAATAGAGCTTACAGGACTGGAATTTGCTCTGAGTAAGTCAGTGGGTAAGCAGTAAATGAATGTGAAGGCCTAGACATTGCACACTACGGTAGATTTTATAAACTCTGTACACAGGCTACACTAAATTTATTGAAAATGTTTTTCTTTCTTCAATAATAAATTAACATTTTAGCTTACTGTAACTTTTTTACATTATAAACTTTTTACTTTATAAACTTTTAAATTTTTTTAACTTTTTGACTTCTATAGTAGCGTAGCTTAAAACACAGACACATTGTACAGCTGTACAAAATATATTCTTTATTTCTTATTCTATAAGCTTTTCGTATTTTAAATGTTATTTTTTTTTACTTTTTAAACATTTTTGTTAATAATTGATACACAACACACACATTAGCCTAGGCCTACACAGGGTCAGGATCATCAAGACGTCACTAGGTGATAGGAATTTTTCAGCTCCACTATAATCTTATGGGACCACCATTGTGTGTACACAGCCCATCATTGACCAAAATATCATGATGCAGCATGTAACTGTATGTCCAAAATTTAATGACTCTGAAAAGCAACATTTAAACATATACTACATTTCCCTATATACTTTTTTACTCAATTCCATTGATTTCCTATTTAATTCTTGTTATTTCACTCTGTTATAATAGTTTTGGTTTTAAAATATAGTTTAATATCAGATAAAACTAGTGCTCTTTCATTACTTTTTTCTGTTTTAGAATTTCCCTGGCTATTCTCTCTTATCTATGCATTAGGATTGGGGTGGGGTAAAGGTGACAGGTAAATCACTGAACTATATGATAGCTGTGGCATTTGAAAGGTATGGGAACAAGAGTAATTATAAGGATTGTAGAGTTTTTTTATAAGGATGCAGGTTTTTGCATACTCTTAGTCTTAAAGTGGAAAAAGACAAGCTCAAGTCTTTTAACTATTAACTCCACATTTTTGTGACTCAGCAATAATGTTATTAAACGATTCTTATCTCCTGTAGGTTGTATGAAAATTAGACTCAGAATCTTTTTATAAGAGTTCCCCATGTTATGACAAAGACAGAATTGCCAAACCGTTCTAGGTCTCCAGTGTCACAGAAGGCCCTAGTAGAAAAAGGAAGGAATCCTTAGACCTGTAGGAAAGACTGAAACTAATATCACTAGAATACCCTAAACAGCAGACCAGATCCCTGCCTCTTATGAGAAGAGAGTAGCCTCCCTTTAGCTAAAAATCTTTACAAGAGACTGACATGAGGCACACGCTTCAAAGATAATGTTTGTTGTCTTTAAGATCTACCTTTTTCACCCCAATTACCTTGAATGGGGAAATGTAGTACCTTCTTTAGGGGGAAATACAACTGCTCTTCATTATTTGTGGACTCTGTATTTGCAAATCCACCTACTCACTAGAATTTATTGGTAGCCCCAAAATCAATATTCACAGCACTTTTGTGGTCATTCAAGGTTATACATAGAGCTGCAAAAAACTCAAGTCACCATCATGCACATTCCCAGCTGAGGCTGAACAAGACTACATTCTGCTTACTTGTTTCAGCCCTCATACTGTAAACATGTGTTTTTTCTGGTCCATTTAATGCCATATTTTTCTCATTTTTCTGCCTTTTGTCAGCGATTTTGGTTTTTGAAAAATAAGTGTCCAAAATTTTGCTTTTTAAAATGGCCCCCAGACAAACTTATGAAATGTTATCTAATGCTCCTAAGCACAAGAAGGATGTGATGTGCCTTATGGAGAGAAGCATCATATGTGTTAGGTAAGCTTCATTCAGCCATATGAATGTACAGCCATATGAATAGTACTATTGGCTGTGAGTTCAATGTTAATGCATCCACAATGTATATTAAATAAGGTGTCTTTAAACAAAAATATACATAAAACATTGTTATATGTTGATCAGTTGAGAAAGATGTTGTGACCAGAGGCTCACAGAAACCTAACACTGTTATTTACCCTAGGAGCAATGGTCCAGTATTTATTAATTTAATGACTTTATAGAACATAACTACTGCAAATAATGAGTCAAATGCACCTTCTACTTAAAAGGAATTTTAGGAGCTGACTATGAAGTGCTTGTAGGAACTAGGGAACACTTGTGGGAGTAGACTGGTGGTGTTAGTGGGAAGGGGACCAATAGGGGAAATTTTATTGATGTCGGAACATCTTCCCATGCCTTATGATTTAATATTCCAGCAAGGACTGTCAAAGCCAGTCCTACTATGGTTTTAAGATAACATCTTGAAGCTTAGACATGATGATGCCTACATAAATGAGATGGGAATATTAGAAATGCTTTGGAATAGTATTAAAGAGTCAGAAGCCTCTGCATGTTGAAATTTTGCTAGATTTTTAATGTGAGACTGGAGAATCCATCACCTGATTCTATTTCCTGGGAGGGCCAGAGGACATTTTCTTTATTAAGGCAATGAGGAATCCATGAGTGAGGGAACTCAATAGTTTACAGTTGACGGTAGGAGATGCTGCCATGGAACTAATTTTACTACTTGTTGGTAGAAGAGTTTCTGAATGCCAGAGGCCAGGTGGTGGCACTTATACATCAGAGACAACGTGGATGTAAACAATGGATAGAAAGGCCAGAATAACAGTAGGGGTGCTCTAACTCATGGGGACCATTTCCAATGGCTAGTAGATTACTGTGTCCCAAGAAGTCAGGCAGATCGATAGCCAACTAAAGTTGTTACTTGACTTGGACTATATCCAACATAGCTGCTGCAATGCAAAATAGTAGTCCTTCAGCTATTTTATATTTATGTCAGTTCACACACTGAGTCCATTGATTGAAGAGAAGCGAAGCCCCCTTAAGGAAATATCCTGCAACAAAACCACAAGTATATATGATAAACATTCCTTTGATTGTTCCTCATAGAGTCTGGCCATTTATCAAGGCAACTGTGCGATAGGAAAAGAGGTAATACCCAGATTTTTTTAGAACTCTTAGACATGGGATGTGAGTTGATTTCTAGTTAAGGGAACCAAAAATTACATTATAGTCCTCTTTAGAATGGTGGGCTTATAAAAACTAGGTAATAAATGGAGTTCTGGTCCAAGTCTGGCCTACATTGTGTTCAATGGGTCAATGACTTTCCCTGTGGTTAGTTCTCTATTCCTCACATATATACTAGGGATAGATATACTCAATAGGAGGCAGAAGCCTCACATGGGTTCTCTGATTTGTGGAGTAAAAGCTGTTGTAATGGGAAAGACTAGGCAGAAGCCCTTAAAAATGTCTTCCCTTGCATATAGCATGCAAGATATTAAATCAGAGCATCTATATCCCAGGAGGAATTGCAGAGAATAATACCACCATCAGAGATTTAAAGGATACAGGGCACAGAGGTGGTACTTTTCATCATACCCCCGGTTCAGTATGCCTATTTCACCTCTGTAAAAATGAGATGGATTTTAACATATGCTGTGGACTACTATAAATTTAACTAGATGGTAGCCCTAATCCCAGATGCTGTACTGTAATCAACACAGCCTCTGTAGCTACTGAACTGGTGAATGGGAACTTTTCTATCCATAAAAGTGATGAGGAACAAAAACAGCATTTACATGGTAAGGACAGCATTATGCACTCACTATCTTGGCCCATGTCTTTGTCTGTGTCTGATGCTATAATAAAATACCACAGACTGGGTAATTTTTAAATAATATAAATTTATTTTTCATAATTCTGGAGCGTGGGAAGTCCAAGGTCAAGGTACTGACAGGCTCTGTGGCTGGTAAAAACCACTCTCTGCTTTTAAATGGCACCTTGTTGCTGTGTCCTCACATGATGAAAGGGGGAAGGGCAAAAAAGGGCCTAGCTAGTTCCCTCCAGCCCTGTTATAAGGCACTAGATCTCCTCCTGAAGGCCCTATCTCTTAATACTGTTATACTGGGGATTAAATATCCACATGAATTTTTAAGGAAATACAAATATTCAAACCATAGCAACCCCAAACTATGTTAATTTTTCTATTCTGTCAAAATGCAGTTCTTTGGGACCGCAACATTTTGGCATTTTTGGGGATCTAGTGATAGTCTCATCCTTTTTTGGATCATGACTAGGCTGGTAAAGTCTTTGCCTAAATTATTGTGTATCTCATTTTGAAGCTACAAGGGTTGGATTTGTTTATATAGTCAATTTTTTTCTAATTTGTTGATTTGTTTTTCTTTTTTTTTTTTTTTTTTTTTTTTTTTTTTAGGCTTTATGGGGCACATTCAGCTCCTCTCACATATTCTTCTTTGTTTTATTTATAATTTTTTTTTTTACAATTCTTTTTTTTTTTTTTTTTTTTTTTTTTTTTATTATACTCTAAGTTTTAGGGTACATGTGCACATTGTGCAGGTTAGTTACATATGTATACATGTGCCATGCTGGTGCACTGCACCCACTAATGTGTCATCTAGCATTAGGTATATCTCCCAATGCTATCCCTCCCCCCTCCCCCGACCCCACCACAGTCCCCAGAGTGTGATATTCCCCTTCCTGTGTCCATGTGATCTCATTGTTCAATTCCCACCTATGAGTGAGAATATGCGGTGTTTGGTTTTTTGTTCTTGCGATAGTTTACTGAGAATGATGGTTTCCAATTTCATCCATGCCCCTACAAAGGATATGAACTCATCATTTTTTATGGCTGCATAGTATTCCATGGTGTATATGTGCCACATTTTCTTAATCCAGTCTATCATTGTTGGGCATTTGGGTTGGTTCCAAGTCTTTGCTATTGTGAATAGTGCTGCAATAAACATACGTGTGCATGTGTCTTTATAGCAGCATGATTTATACTCATTTGGGTATATACCCAGTAATGGGATGGCTGGGTCAAATGGTATTTCTAGTTCTAGATCCCTGAGGAATCGCCACACTGACTTCCACAATGGTTGAACTAGTTTACAGTCCCACCAACAGTGTAAAAGTGTTCCTATTTCTCCGCATCCTCTCCAGCACCTGTTGTTTCCTGACTTTTTAATGATTGCCATTCTAACTGGTGTGAGATGATATCTCATAGTGGTTTTGATTTGCATTTCTCTGATGGCCAGTGATGATGAGCATTTCTTCATGTGTTTTTTGGCTGCATAAATGTCTTCTTTTGAGAAGTGTCTGTTCATGTCCTTCGCCCACTTTTTGATGGGGTTGTTTGTTTTTTTCTTGTAAATTTGTTTGAGTTCATTGTAGATTCTGGATATTAGCCCTTTGTCAGATGAGTAGGTTGCAAAAATTTTCTCCCATGTTGTAGGTTGCCTGTTCACTCTGATGGTAGTTTCTTTTGCTGTGCAGAAGCTCTTTAGTTTAATTAGATCCCATTTGTCAATTTTGTCTTTTGTTGCCATTGCTTTTGGTGTTTTGGACATGAAGTCCTTGCCCACGCCTATGTCCTGAATGGTAATGCCTAGGTTTTCTTCTAGGGTTTTTATGGTTTTAGGTTTAACGTTTAAATCTTTAATCCATCTTGAATTGATTTTTGTATAAGGTGTAAGGAAGGGATCCAGTTTCAGCTTTCTACATATGGCTAGCCAGTTTTCCCAGCACCATTTATTAAATAGGGAATCCTTTCCCCATTGCTTGTTTTTCTCAGGTTTGTCAAAGATCAGATAGTTGTAGATATGCGGCATTATTTCTGAGGGCTCTGTTCTGTTCCATTGATCTATATCTCTGTTTTGGTACCAGTACCATGCTGTTTTGGTTACTGTAGCCTTGTAGTATAGTTTGAAGTCAGGTAGTGTGATGCCTCCAGCTTTGTTCTTTTGGCTTAGGATTGACTTGGCAATGCGGGCTCTTTTTTGGTTCCATATGAACTTTAAAGTAGTTTTTTCCAATTCTGTGAAGAAAGTCATTGGTAGCTTGATGGGGATGGCATTGAATCTGTAAATTACCTTGGGCAGTATGGCCATTTTCACGATATTGATTCTTCCTACCCATGAGCATGGAATGTTCTTCCATTTGTTTGTATCCTCTTTTATTTCCTTGAGCAGTGGTTTGTAGTTCTCCTTGAAGAGGTCCTTCACATCCCTTGTAAGTTGGATTCCTAGGTATTTTATTCTCTTTGAAGCAATTGTGAATGGGAGTTCACCCATGATTTGGCTCTCTGTTTGTCTGTTGTTGGTGTATAAGAATGCTTGTGATTTTTGTACATTGATTTTGTATCCTGAGACTTTGCTGAAGTTGCTTATCAGCTTAAGGAGATTTTGGGCTGAGACGATGGGGTTTTCTAGATAAACAATCATGTCGTCTGCAAACAGGGACAATTTGACTTCCTCTTTTCCTAATTGAATACCCTTTATTTCCTTCTCCTGCCTGATTGCCCTGGCCAGAACTTCCAACACTATGTTGAATAGGAGCGGTGAGAGAGGGCATCCCTGTCTTGTGCCGGTTTTCAAAGGGAATGCTTCCAGTTTTTGCCCATTCAGTATGATATTGGCTGTGGGTTTGTCATAGATAGCTCTTATTATTTTGAAATACGTCCCATCAATACCTAATTTATTGAGAGTTTTTAGCATGAAGGGTTGTTGAATTTTGTCAAAGGCTTTTTCTGCATCTATTGAGATAATCATGTGGTTTTTGTCTTTGGCTCTGTTTATATGCTGGATTACATTTATTGATTTGCGTATATTGAACCAGCCTTGCATCCCAGGGATGAAGCCCACTTGATCATGGTGGATAAGCTTTTTGATGTGCTGCTGGATTCGGTTTGCCAGTATTTTATTGAGGATTTTTGCATCAATGTTCATCAAGGATATTGGTCTAAAATTCTCTTTTTTGGTTGTGTCTCTGCCCGGCTTTGGTATCAGTATGATGCTGGCCTCATAAAATGAGTTAGGGAGGATTCCCTCTTTTTCTATTGATTGGAATAGTTTCAGAAGGAATGGTACCAGTTCCTCCTTGTACCTCTGGTAGAATTCGGCTGTGAATCCATCTGGTCCTGGACTCTTTTTGGTTGGTAAACTATTGATTATTGCCACAATTTCAGAGCCTGTTATTGGTCGATTCAGAGATTCAACTTCTTCCTGGTTTAGTCTTGGGAGAGTGTATGTGTCGAGGAATGTATCCATTTCTTCTAGATTTTCTAGTTTATTTGCGTAGAGGTGTTTGTAGTATTCTCTGATGGTAGTTTGTATTTCTGTGGGATCGGTGGTGATATCCCCTTTATCATTTTTTATTGTGTCTATTTGATTCTTCTCTCTTTTTTTCTTTATTAGTCTTGCTAGCGGTCTATCAATTTTGTTGATCCTTTCAAAAAACCAGCTCCTGGATTCATTGATTTTTTGAAGGGTTTTTTGTGTCTCTATTTCCTTCAGTTCTGCTCTGATTTTAGTTATTTCTTGCCTTCTGCTAGCTTTTGAATGTGTTTGCTCTTGCTTTTCTAGTTCTTTTAATTGTGATGTTAGGGTGTCAATTTTGGATCTTTCCTGCTTTCTCTTGTAGGCATTTAGTGCTATAAATTTCCCTCTACACACTGCTTTGAGTGCGTCCCAGAGATTCTGGTATGTGGTGTCTTTGTTCTCGTTGGTTTCAAAGAACATCTTTATTTCTGCCTTCATTTCATTATGTACCCAGTAGTCATTCAGGAGCAGGTTGTTCAGTTTCCATGTAGTTGAGCGGCTTTGAGTGAGATTCTTAATCCTGAGTTCTAGTTTGATTGCACTGTGGTCTGAGAGATAGTTTGTTATAATTTCTGTTCTTTTACATTTGCTGAGGAGAGCTTTACTTCCAACTATGTGGTCAATTTTGGAATAGGTGTGGTGTGGTGCTGAAAAAAATGTATATTCTGTTGATTTGGGGTGGAGAGTTCTGTAGATGTCTATTAGGTCTGCTTGGTGCAGAGCTGAGTTCAATTCCTGGGTATCCTTGTTGACTTTCTGTCTCGTTGATCTGTCTAATGTTGACAGTGGGGTGTTAAAGTCTCCCATTATTAATGTGTGGGAGTCTAAGTCTCTTTGTAGGTCACTCAGGACTTGCTTTATGAATCTGGGTGCTCCTGTATTGGGTGCATAAATATTTAGGATAGTTAGCTCCTCTTGTTGAATTGATCCCTTTACCATTATGTAATGGCCTTCTTTGTCTCTTTTGATCTTTGTTGGTTTAAAGTCTGTTTTATCAGAGACTAAGATTGCAACCCCTGCCTTTTTTTGTTTTCCATTGGCTTGGTAGATCTTCCTCCATCCTTTTATTTTGAGCCTATGTGTGTCTCTGCACGTGAGATGGGTTTCCTGAATATAGCACACTGATGGGTCTTGACTCTTTATCCAACTTGCCAGTCTGTGTCTTTTAATTGCAGAATTTAGTCCATTTATATTTAAAGTTAATATTGTTATGTGTGAATTTGATCCTGTCATTATGATGTTAGCTGGTGATTTTGCTCATTAGTTGATGCAGTTTCTTCCTAGTCTCGATGGTCTTTACATTTTGGCATGATTTTGCAGCGGCTGGTACCGGTTGTTCCTTTCCATGTTTAGCGCTTCCTTCAGGAGCTCTTTTAGGGCAGGCCTGGTGGTGACAAAATCTCTCAACATTTGCTTGTCTATAAAGTATTTTATTTCTCCTTCACTTATGAAGCTTAGTTTGGCTGGATATGAAATTCTGGGTTGAAAATTCTTTTCTTTAAGAATGTTGAATATTGGCCCCCACTCTCTTCTGGCTTGTAGGGTTTCTGCCGAGAGATCCGCTGTTAGTCTGATGGGCTTTCCTTTGAGGGTAACCCGACCTTTCTCTCTGGCTGCCCTTAACATTTTTTCCTTCATTTCAACTTTGGTGAATCTGACAATTATGTGTCTTGGAGTTGCTCTTCTCGAGGAGTATCTTTGTGGCGTTCTCTGTATTTCCTGAATCTGAACGTTGGCCTGCCTTGCTAGATTGGGGAAGTTCTCCTGGATAATATCCTGCAGAGTGTTTTCCAACTTGGTTCCATTCTCCACATCACTTTCAGGTACACCAATCAGACGTAGATTTGGTCTTTTCACATAGTCCCATATTTCTTGGAGGCTTTGCTCATTTCTTTTTATTCTTTTTTCTCTAAACTTCCCTTCTCGCTTCATTTCATTCATTTCATCTTCCATTGCTGATACCCTTTCTTCCAGTTGATCGCATCGGCTCCTGAGGCTTCTGCATTCTTCACGTAGTTCTCGAGCCTTGGTTTTCAGCTCCATCAGCTCCTTTAAGCACTTCTCTGTATTGGTTATTCTAGTTATACATTCTTCTAAATTTTTTTCAAAGTTTTCAACTTCTTTGCCTTTGGTTTGAATGTCCTCCCGTAGCTCAGAGTAATTTGATCGTCTGAAGCCTTCTTCTCTCAGCTCGTCAAAATCATTCTCCATCCAGCTTTGTTCTGTTGCTGGTGAGGAACTGCGTTCCTTTGGAGGAGGAGAGGCGCTCTGCGTTTTAGAGTTTCCAGTTTTTCTGTTCTGTTTTTTCCCCATCTTTGTGGTTTTATCTACTTTTGGTCTTTGATGATGGTGATGTACAGATGGGTTTTCGGTGTAGATGTCCTTTCTGGTTGTTAGTTTTCCTTCTAACAGACAGGACCCTCAGCTGCAGGTCTGTTGGAATACCCTGCCGTGTGAGGTGTCAGTGTGCCTCTGCTGGGGGGTGCCTCCCAGTTAGGCTGCTCGGGGGTCAGGAGTCAGGGACCCACTTGAGGAGGCAGTCTGCCCGTTCTCAGATCTCCAGCTGCGTGCTGGGAGAACCACTGGTGTCTTCAAAGCTGTCAGACAGGGACACTTAAGTCTGCAGAGGTTACTGCTGTCTTTTTGTTTGTCTGTGCCCTGCCCCCAGAGGTGGAGCCTACAGAGGCAGGCAGGCCTCCTTGAGCTGTGGTGGGCTCCACCCAGTTCGAGCTTCCCGGCTGCTTTGTTTACCTAAGCAAGCCTGGGCAATGGCGGGCGCCCCTCCCCCAGCCTCGTTGCCGCCTTGCAGTTTGATCTCAGACTGCTGTGCTAGCAATCAGCGAGATTCCGTGGGCGTAGGACCCTCCGAGCCAGGTGTGGGATATAGTCTCGTGGTGCGCCGTTTCTTAAGCCGGTCTGAAAAGCGCAATATTCGGGTGGGAGTGACCCGATTTTCCAGGTGCGTCCGTCACCCCTTTCTTTGACTCGGAAAGGGAACTCCCTGACCCCTTGCGCTTCCCAGGTGAGGCAATGCCTCGCCCTGCTTCGGCTCGCGCACGGTGCGCACACACACTGGCCTGCGCCCACTGTCTGGCACTCCCTAGTGAGATGAACCCGGTACCTCAGATGGAAATGCAGAAATCACCGTCTTCTGCGTCGCTCACGCTGGGAGCTGTAGACCGGAGCTGTTCCTATTCGGCCATCTTGGCTCCTCCCCTACAATTCTTCCACTGTGAGAGTTACCCAAAGCTCGGCGTCTGTGATGGTCTACCGGGCCTCCGAGGCGATCGAGCAGCATCAGTCTTCAGCCGCTAAGCCGAGAAGGAGTCTGTCAGAGAGCCTTGGGCCAGAGTTCCACAGGCTCTGGGAGTGGCTGCCAGGTGAGTTGAACAGTCCAATTTCCAGTGGGGTCCCGCACAGATGGGACACAGCTTAGGAGGAATCCTGGGCTGCAGGCATTCCTTGGCCTGGTGGTCAGATTTCTGGCACTTGTAGAGAGCTCCTGGGGGAGGAGTTTCTGGAGGAACGCCTGGCCGCTGCAGTTCAGGCGTTTGGAAGTTCTTGTGTGCTGGAGATGTGGCGGATTTGAAATTGGTGAGATGTTTCTTGGGCTGGTCGGTCTGAAGACCTGAGGTCGTAGGTTGATCTTTCTCACGGAGCAAAGAGCAGGAGGACGGGGGATTGATCTCCCAAGGGAGGTCCCCCGATCTGAGTCACGGCACCAAATTTCACGCGCGTCCATGTGAAGAGACCACCCTGATTTGTTTTTCTATGTTATATTTATTAACTCATTATTTTTGCTTTCCACCTTTTTATAATACATTGATAGAAATAGGATGTCAAATTGTTCTCCAAGTGAATCATACAAATTAATCCTCTCTTCCATACAATATAAAAATACCTTTTAACACATATATTAACAAGTCTTAGATAAAGTGTTATCATTCTTTATGGTAGTTATGAATCAGATATGTAGAGAATCTTATCCTATTATTATTTTATTTTGCATGTATAAATCTGAATTTCTTTTCAAGTATTTTTTGGCTGTTTTGGGGTTGACTGCTAATTTTCTTTACCACTTTTCATCTTACTTGTAAATAAGATTTGTAGGTGTTATTTATATTTAAATAATATTAGATCTTTGACTAATCTTTTGTAATTTTTTGGCTGGCTTTTCTTTTTCCTTCCTTTTTTTTTTTTTTTCTTTTTGCCACATAGGCATATATATGCTTTTTTATTTTATGGTTTCCAGTTTTGTGTTACACTTTTAGAAAATTTTTCTCTACTCTATCATTATAAAAAATTTACTTATGTTTTCTTACAACACTTCCAGGATTTTACTTATTGCATGTATATCTGTAATACTTTTGGAATTAATTTTGGTACAAGAAATGAAACAATCATCTAACTTTTTTCTTACTGGTTAGCTAGTATAATATGTATTTCACAGGCCTTATGAATATTAGTAACAAGACTAGTTAAATCTAATAGTCTAATCAACAGGGAGACTATAGCTGCTTTTTTATTCTTTTGGCTGTATAGTGAAGCAGACTTGTTTTGGAAACAAGAAGGCTCTTAGAGATGAACTTTTAATCTCAGAAAAACTGATAATTTACTTAAAAATTAAAGAAAAGAATACCACATTTTTTGTATTAGCTGATCTATTTTCAGTTTTTCCAGTTGAATTTTTTTCTTTCAATTTTATCACATACTTATTTTCTTATTTACAGGAAGAAAAAACAATTGCTTTATACAGGTTGCCAAATTGTTATCCAAATGTATTATACAAATAGAGGGGAAAGGAGGAATAGTACAGTTCACATTTAGAGTACCTACTTTGTGTTATAAAATATGTAAGACTCTATGTTGTCCACAAAGAATAGACACTATTGTTAAGGAGACAGGATTGATAAGACCGGATGATGGAAAGAGCAACATGGGGGAAAATATCTAAGGATATCTAAGGAAGGGTGATTTTCTAAGGAAGCATGTGTCATTCTATGCTATCATCAATGTAGAATTTGAAATATGGAAGACAAATGTTTACTGTGTATTATTTAGGATTGTGTTCAGTAGCTGAAAATAACATGAAACCTAACCAACAGAAGCTTAAAAGGGGATTATGTATTTCAGAGATTCAACAATGTCATCAAAAACTAGGCTTCTCTATCTTTCTGATCTCCTATGTGGAGAAAGTGGTTTTGTCCTTGTATCCAGGCAAAAAAAAAAAAAAAAAAAAAAAAGTGGAAAGATAGGTAGGAAGGAGAAGTACCTACACCAGAAAATTGAAAATTTTTAAATAAATCCTTAGCTTACATCTTCTTGCTCAAATTGATCACATATTCACCCTGAGCTGTAAGGGAGCCATGGAAGCAACACTTTTTAAAAACAATATAAACCCAAACAAAACTGTGCTTTTGTTGGTAAGAAGGAAGAGAAAAAATGGACTTTGGGAACGCAACTGGCAGTGTCTTTAGTCTTGAGCTTTTAAAATTCATTGTTTACCCTGGTACTGAGTTATTTTTAGAACACAAATCACTCATTCCTCTGTAGAATCCTTCAATAGCTCCCTTTCACCGTCAGGATAAAATAAAAACACATTAGGATAGGTACAAGCCCCCTTTAATCCAGTTATTTTCTACTTCAGCATCTACATCTTTTCCCATTTCCCCATAACGATCCTCCCATATTGGAGTATTTACATTTCCCTGATTGACGTGACCACACTCACATTTCACTGCCTCTGTATAGGCTCAAATGCATGTTCTGCTTCACATGTTTGTCCCCATCTCTCAAGCCCTCTGGCCAACTTCCACTTCCACTTCAATGCTCAAGTGTAGCAATCCTTTTTCTGAGCAGTTTTTCCCAAAGTCAGAGTTAAATACCCTCCTTCTCAGTGATTTCACAAAAACCATTGTATACTTATAACACTGTGCATTAGAAACACACACTGCATTAGATAGAGTTTGCTTATCTGCCTCTTCTCTTAGACTGAACTGGCAGATCACACAAGCTCAGGAAATGTAGCTAAATGAATGAATGAGGTCAACTCTATCACATGATGCTTCTAGTAACATTATCTTAAAAATATAGAAAGCAAATATTGGGAAAATTACAAAGAAAAATCAACAAATCCATCATCCTGTAGTGGGAGATTTTATTACCCTCCATCAGTATTTGCTAGATTAAGTATCCAAAAATCAGTAAGCTTATACAACACTTGAACATGATTAACAAATTTAACTTAATAGACATATATGAAACACAACGAAATAACTGCAGAACACACATTCTTTTCATTCATGCTGACTTGTGACAGGTATAAGATTTGACCATTTAACTTGGTCATAGAGCATGTCTAAACAAATTGGAAGAATGAGATAACACAGGAAATGTACTCTGACAACAGCGCAACAATGGTAGAAATTAATAACAAAATCTAACTAAAAAATCTCTTACAGCTGTAGGTTTTCATTAGGAATATGATACATTTTGAGTTAACTTTTGTATTTTGCATGAGGTATGGATCAAAGTTCTTTTTAAAAGATGGATATCCACTGTTACAGCAGTTTGTTTCAAAGATATTCCTTTCTTCACTCAAAATGTACCTTTGAACCTTTTGCACCTTTGTCAAGAATCAACTGAAAGTATACGTATGGGTCTATTTCTGACTACATGTCTGTCTTTACACCAAAATCATACTATCTTAATTAGTGAAGCTTTATCATAAGTCTTTAAATCAGGCAGTGTATATGTTACAACTTGCTTTTTCTTTTTCAGAGTTGTGTTAGCTATTCTTTCTAAATCCTTTGCACTTCCATGTGAATGTTAGAATCAGCTTGTCAATGAAAAAAAAAAGGTGATGTAATTTTGCTTGGGAATCCATTGAATCTGTAGATAAATTTTAGGAGGAAGTGACATCATAACAAAATTGAGTCTTCTGATGCATGAACATGGCTTATCACTTCATTAACTTAGCTCTTCCTTAACTTTTTTTTTTTTTTTTTTGAGACGGAGTCTCACTCTGTCGCCAGGCTGGAGTGCAATGGCGCGATCTCGGCTCACTGCAACCTCCCCCTCCAGGGTTCAAGCAATTCTCCTGCCTCAGCCTCCTGAGTAACTGGGATTACAGGCATGTGCCACCATGCCCAACTAATTTTTGTATTTTTAGTAGAGATGGGGTTTCACCATGTTGGCCAGGCTGGCCTCAAACTCCTGACCTCAGGTGATCCACCCACCTTGGCCTCTCAAAGTTCTGGGATTACAGGCATGAGGCACCACGCCACCGTGTTAACTTCTCACAGCAATATTTTATAGTTTTACGTTTACAGGTCTTGAACCTCTTTTGTCACATTTATTCCTAAGTATTTAATATACTTGATGCTACTGTAAGTTGAACTTTAAAAATTTTAATGCACAGACTAGAACTTTCAGTAAAATGTTAAATAGAAGTGGTGAAAGCAATCACTCTTATCATGTTTCTGATCTCAGGAAGAAAGAATTTGATGTTTCAACACTTGTTAGCCTAAGGGTTTAGGTAGATGTCATACATTTGGATGAAGAAGTTCCCTTCTATTCCTAGATGAAAGTTGTTTTAAAATCAGAAATGAAATTGGATTTTGTGAAATGATTTTCTGCATCTATTGGGATGATTATGATTTCAACATTTTACTCTGTTAATATGGTAAATTATAATACACTGATTGCTTTTCAAATGTTAAGATAATCTTGCATTTCTGATATAAGCCCCACTTGGCAATGATGTATTATCCCTTTTATATGTTATTGGATTTAATGTGTTACCATTTCATTTAGAATTTTTGCATGTATGCTAGTAATTGATACTGGTTTGTAGATTTCTTTTTTTTTTTTTTTTTTTTTTTTGTGACAGAGTCTCACTTGTCGCCCAGACTGGAGTCCAATGGCGCGATCTTGGCTCACTGCAACCTCCGCCTCCCGGGTTCAAGTGATTCTCCTGCCTCAGCCTCCTGAGTTGTTGGGATTACAGGTGCCTGCCACCATGCCTGGCTAATTTTTTTTTTTTTTTTGTATTTTAGTAGAGATGGGGTTTCGCCATGTCGGCCAGGCTGGTCTTGAACTCCTGACCTCAGGTGATCCACCTGCCTTCTCCTCCCAAAGTGTTGGGATTACAGGCGTCAGCCACTGTGCCCAGCCTGTAGATTTCTTTCTTGTAACATCTTTGTCTGGTGTTGGTAACAGAGTAATGTTGGTGCCATAGCATAAGTTAAGATGTATATCCCCATCTTTAATTTTGGGGAAGACTTTGTGTAGAATTGGTATTATTTTATTCTTAAATATTTGGTAGAATTCACTAGTGAAGCCATCTGTACTTGGAGTTTGTGCCCTAGTGCTAAGCAAAAATTTGTTAGATATGACAGCAAAATCATGATCCAAAAAAGAAAAAAAATGATAAATTGAATTTCGTTAAAATTAAGAACTTCTGTTCTTTGACGGACAGTATTAGTAGAATGAAAGATAAACCACAGATTAAATGAATATGTTTGCAAATAACATCTGATAAAATAACTGTATTCAGAATAAAGAACTCTCAAAATGCAATAATAAAAATAGAGAACCCAATAAAAGTGGGCAAAATGTTTGAATAGATATTTCACCAAAAAAAGATGCATGGATGGCAAGTAGGCACAGAAAAAGATGCTCAAGATTACTATCATTAGCTAAATGTAAATTATTACCATAATAGAATACTATTACACATTTGTTAGAATATCTAAAATTAAAAATTAAAAGGATTGATCATACTAAAGTACTGGTGAGAGTGTGGAACAATTAGAACCCTCATACTGTTGGGAATGTAAAATGTTAGACTATCTTAGAAAAACAGCTTGGCAATTTCTTTAAAAATTAAACATATATGTCTCATATGATCCAGCCATTCTACTCCTAGGATTCACCCAAGTTAAATGAAAGCATAAAATCGTACAAAGACCTGTATACGAATACTCACAGTAGCTTTACTGTAATAGCCAAAATTGGAAATATTGTAAATATTGATCAGCAGGTGAATGTGTACACATAGCCATACAATGAAATACTACTCAACAATAAAAACCAGTGAACTCTTGATATGTGAAACAACATGGATTAATCTAAAAATAATTATGCAGAGTGAAAGAAGCCATACCAAATAAGAATACATACTGCTTGAGCCCATCATTTAAATTCAATGAAATGCAAGCTAAACTATAGTGACAGAAAGCAGGCACATCATTGACTAGGACTTGGTGGGCAAGGAGGGGCATGAGGGAAAGATTACAAAGGAGCAAGAGGAAACTTTTTAAGGTGATGAATATATTCATTATTGTAATTGTACTGATGGTTTTGTGTGTACATAAATTTTAAAAATTATTGCACACTTAAATATGTCAACTATCTTTAATAAAGCTGATAAAATATTAAATACTTCAGAAATACTAGAAAGGAAATAAAAAGTCTAACCATATGTGATGGTTTATTTCAGGTGTCAACTCGACTGAACTGGGGGATGCTTCTGGATGTGTCTGTGAGGGTGTTTCCAGAAGAGATTAACCTGTGAGTCAGTGGACTGACAGAAGAAGACCCACTCTCAATGTGGGCAGGCACCGTACGATCAGTTGGGGGCCTAGGGATGAGAAAAAACAGGGGAAAAAAGAGGTGATTGGTGATTCTCTCTATCTCCCTCCCTCTTCTCTCTTTCCCTCCATCCCTTTCTCCTCCCCCGACACTCCTTTCCTGGAGCAGGATACTTGTTCTCCTTCTGCCTTTGGACACAAGACTCCAAGTTTTTCAGCTTTTGGACTCAGCAACTTGCACCAGAGGTTTCCCAGGGCTCTGGTGCCTGACTGGGAAGCTGGACTGTCAGCTTCCCTGGTTCTGGGGTTCCTGAACATGGACTGAGCCACTACTGGATTCTCTTCTCCTTGGTGATACCATGAGCCAATTTCCCTTAATAAATCCCCTTCCATATATCCTACTGGTTCTGTTTCTCTTAGAGAACACTGATTAATACACCATGAATGGGGAGAAGATAATTGCCACATATACAGGCTAGAAAAAGTTAGGATTTAGCAAATATGCAGAGCCCCTAGGAATCAGTAAGAAAAATGTTAACAACTCAATACAGAAGTGGATAAAAGTAATGGAGAGAAATGTCACATAAGTGGCTCTCAAACATATAAAATTTTATACACATTTTTTTCAGCACACAAATTAAAACCACTTTTCAGATTGGTTAAACTAGACTTTTGGAAACACTGGTTTTACTGGTTATTGTTCTGGAATGAGACAGATCTGGGTTGAAATGAAGTATATATGGTTCTTGATTTCCTAGGTATAAAAATTTGGGCAAGTTATATTACCTGTATCTGTCTGATCTTCATTTTGTGAAATGGGAATATAACAGGTCTTTAGATATATTACTTCATATAATTCACAAAACAGTCAATTGTTGTGCGAATTATGTGAAGTAATATATTTAAAGGGTTTTAGTGCAGAGCCTGGTAGATAAGATAAGCTTTTGTAAATTTTAGTTACAATTACAATTGTTGGTGGTGAGGTTGTGATTTTGTAGCCCAGAGGTCAGCTGGGGCCATTCAGCTACTTAACTCTACAAAAAGTTGATTCCAATCCCAATTACATGGATTTTATATCCAAAACTTTCCCCATGATTTTATACACACCTCTTATAGGTTTATATTTACATATACAGGTCATATATTTTCTGAGACTCTCTGGTTTTCTGATTTCCTGTCTGTCAAGAGTTTTTGGTCTTTGTTCGATAATATCTTACAGCTATTCATTTCTCTGTCATAATTTTAAGTCAAAGGTGAAAATGCCCTTTATACTTTATCATTTCCTTCAGAGTAACCACAAAGATGGGCCGTTGCTTGTAGCAAAACTTTAATTGAAGATTTGGGGGCTACCTTAAGTGATACATAGGAAACAACTCAGAATCAATTGTTAGATCCTTTATCTGCAATAGCTGCTCCTGACTCCTTCAATCTTACTAATTTTCCCTTTCTATCTCCCTTCTTTCCAGATTACTCTTAATTTTGAATTCTCCTTTAATTAAACAGACCATTTCAGCTCTCTAGCCACTCCTACACTTGCATAGTTACTGATAAAACAAATGGCTTTTATTTAGCAAGAGTCATTGTTTCTTAGAGAATACATGTGGTTATAAGTAGTATATAATAAAATGTTTGGAAATAAAAAAGTAAAAATCACCTTAATGTTCTGCAGTGGTTCTGCCATATCCAACAGATAGTATTTAAATAGCAACTTCAACTTATAGGTCAGAAAAACTAAGAAATTATATTTGAATTCATTCTCTTTAATTAGACCCTGAATAATTATTTAACATAATTTTTAAAAGAAATTAAACTTGAGTTTCCTTCTTTATCCTTTCTGTGTTTCCAAATAATCATGAGTTATAGTGGTAAGACCCTCTAACACATCTGTGTGAAGTTCAGTGAAACACTGGCTTGGGAATCTAGAGCCTTGGTTTCAGTCCTGTTTTTTTCTCAGACGATTTAACAAATCCACTTAACCTAACTCTCTGTTTTCTCTATTTTCAAAATGGAGTGGAGAGCATTCATTTTCTACTGCTGCTGTAACAAATTACTATAAAGTTTGTGGCTTAAAACAACACAAAATCGTCTTATAGTTCAGAAGGTTAGAAGCCTAACACAGGTCTCACTGGGCTAAAATCAAGATGTGAGAAGGGTTGTGTTCCTTTCTGGAGACTAGAGGAGAATTGGTTTCCCTGTTCTTTCTACCTCCTAGAGGCTGCCCATATTCCACAATTATTGGCCCCCTTCCTCCATCTTCAAAGCCAGCAATGGCATTGAGTGCTTCTTACAGCTCATCACTCTTACTTCCTCTTCAGCCTCTCTCTTCCACTTTTAAGGACCTTTGTGATTACAGTGGGTGCACAGGGATAGTCCAGGATAATCTCCCTATTTTCACATGAACTAATTAGAAAAAATTTAATTTTCCTTTTTCATGCAAGGTACCATATTCACAAACTGTAGGAATTAGGACATGGACATCTTTGGGAGAGGCATAATTCTGCCTACCACATCAGGTTGACAGAATATTTCTAGTATGTTTAATCCAAAATGTCTACGACTTCATAATAAAGCTCACCACATGTTTTTTAGGGGGAAAGGGATACTCCAAACAGCTCTACTGAGAAGAAATATTTTCTTTACTAACACTGTTAAATAAATCCTCTGTAGTGGACATTGTTGTGTGTATTTTTTGTTTATGTTTATTTTTTTTTCCTAAGTGTTCAACTTCTACTCCATCTTCTTTGGTAATGAAAAATTTCTGCTCTACCACTGATGAGTCCCATGGGACTGCTAATCATTTGCCTTGCTCTGGGTAAGAAGCAGAAATGTAAACCAAGGTAGGCCAATTGAACTGTTTCCTTAAAAAGTGAATTGTGGAAAAAGGAACAAAACTGAATAGCCTTTGTTTTTGTTTGCATTCCGTTGGCTACATTAGGGGAAAATGTCAGGCAGCAACTGCTATTTCAACTCTTTGGAGCTGCCTAGTTCCTGAGTGTGCCAAGCCTGGTTCTTTAGTTTTTGCATTCCCTTCTATATGCAGCTATATATTCGTCCAATAAATTTGTTTTGCTTATATTAGTTAGAGTCCATTTCTAGCATTCAGTCAGTCAAATTAATATTCCTCTTTCTTTCTTGACTTTTATGACTGTTTCCTTGTTCTCTCCGAACTTGTCTGATCACTACAGGCTCCTACTATACCAGACTCCATTTCTTCTCTGTTCCATAGCTATCTATTCTTAGCTGCCTTTTTTCTCTATATTTTCTATTTCATTCATAGTTGTGGTTTTGACTCTCATCTTTATACTAAATTCACAACTCATGTATATTTTTAAATTTACTTTTATTTCAATAAGTTTGCAGGGAGCAGGTGGTGTTTGGTTGCATGAATAAGTTCTTTAGTGGTGATTTCTGAGATTTTGGTGCATCCATCACCCGAGCAGTGTACACTGTACGAAATGTGTAGTGTTTTTTTGTTTTGTTTTGTTTTTGTTTTTTTGAGACGGAGTCTCACTCTGTTGCCAGGCTGGAATGCTGTGGCACGATCTTGGCTCACTGAAACCTCCGACTCCCTGGTTCAAGCTATTCTCCTGCTTCAGCTTCCTGAGTAGCTGGGATTACAGGCACATGCCACCACGCCCGGCCAATTTTTGTATTTTTAGTAGAGATGGAGTTTCACTATGTTGGCCAGGATGGTCTTGATCTCCTGACCTCGTGATCCGCCCACCTTGGCCTCCCAAAGTGCTGGGATGACAGGCATGAGCCACCATGCCCAGCCCCCAATGTGTAGTCTTTTATCCCTCACCCTCTCCCACCCTTTCCCCCTACTCCCCAAAGTCCAATGTATCATTCTTATGCATTTGTGTCCTCATGGCTTAGCTCCCACTTATGAGTGAGAACAAATGATGTTTGGTTTTCTATTCCTGAGTTACTTCACTTGGAATAATAGTCTCCAATTCCATCCAGGTTGCTGCAAATGCCATTATTTCATTCCTTTTTATGGCTGAGTAGTATTTCATGGTATATATATCCCACATTTTCTTTATCCACTTGTTGATTGATGCGCTTCTGGGGTGATTCCATAGTTTTGCAATTGTAAATTGTGCTGCTATAAACATGCAAGTGCAAGTATCTTTTTCATATAATTATTTCTTTTCCTCTGGGTAGATACCTAGTAGTGGAATTGTTGGATCAAACAGTAGATCTACTTTTAGTTCTTGAAGGAATCTCCACACTGTTTTCCATAGTGGTTGTTTTAGTTTACATTCCCACCAATAGTGTAAAAGTGTTCCCTTTCACCATATCCATGCCAACATCTATTTCTTTTTATTTTTTGATTATGGCCATTCTTGCAGGAGGGGTAAGGTGGTATTGCATTGTGGTTTTGATTTGCATTTCCCTGGTAATTAGTGATGTTGAGCATTTTTACATATGCTTGTTGGCCATTTGTATATATTCTTTTGAGAATTGTCTATTCACGTCCTTTGCCCACTTTTTGATGGGGTTGTTTTTTCTTTCTGATTTGTTAGAATTCTTCATAGATTCTGGGTATTAGTCCTTTGTTGGATGTATAGATTGTGAAGACTTTGTCTGTTAACTATGCCGATTATTTCTTTTGCTGAGCCAACTGAATTATACAACCCCTTTTAAAAAAATCCTTTTTACTAACCTTATTATGACTTACATAGAACATTTACAACATGCTTAGACTTTCTGTTTTGTCCTAAATATCCCTTTTTCTTGAACAACCCATTTTATTGTAGGACAAAAATTTACCAAACAGGATTCTTTCTAGTATAAAATGACTTTCCTTTTTACCTTTCTATCAAAAGCACCTCTCTATATTTTTAACCTTTTTACATTTCTTATTTTTTGGTTCCTTTTATCTTGTTTTATACATAACCCTTAAATAAGCTTTCAGTTAGACAAATACATTTACCTTTTCATAAGAACATTAAAAATTTTTTTCCTATAATTTTTAATTGGAAATTACCCAGATACTTAATATTTATTAATAACATTAGATCCTAAATTATATAACATGTTTGTTTACAGGCATTTGTTTATTCCATTACATTTACCTGATCGATTGATTTATTAAATAATTTACCTAGATTATTTACAAAAACTGTGATAGTCATTCTTTATTTCCCTGTTAACTATTTTTATAGCTGTGAATTTTAGGTGCTTACTTAAGTAAGAAACTTAAGGTTAAATATAAGGGTATTTTTACCAATAACTTGGGATTTAGCTGTTTTCATTAAACCAAGAATATTCCATGTCTTACTTGTCGAAAATTATACAAGCAAAGATCATTTTGTCTTGAGCTGGATTTTATAGTTTTATAACCCTTATGGCTTATAGTATTCTGCCAAAGTAAGCACAAAACCACTTGATCAAAAATGCTATAGTTTTATAACCCTTATGGCTTATAGAATTCTGCAGGAGTGAGCACAAAACCAGTAGATCAAAAATGCTAACAATTTTTAAGACATCTCTAATATTATTTTACCAATAATTTTAAAGCCAGATTATTTTATTAAAAATTTTACTTAAATCACATTAACTTGAAAAAGCATTTGACTAGTCTTTTCTTTTGATTATCCGATTTAAGTGCTTTTATATTTTAGCCAATTAGCTAGAGCTGTTTTATATATTTTTAGTACTGAAACATTGTGTACACAACACAAATACATAGACATATTTGTGCATGCTAATAGAAATACATCTTATAGATTCATAAGACCTTTTTTCTTTTTTTTTTTTTTTCCTATCTTAGGCTTTTAAATTCTTGATAACCTGTTTCACTATTCAGGCAGTTGTCAGCTAAGTGGCCTTAAATTTGCATATTAAAGGAAACAACTCTTAGGGGAAAATCAGATAGCAAAATTTACATCTCAAGGTACTGAGAGAGAAAGTCTGGTGTGCTAGAGGGAAGTTAAAACAGATTTAATTGCCAATTAAACAAAAAATTATAGAAATTATAAGGACCTTTTAAATACACACACATACACACACACACACACACACACACACACACACACACACACACACAAAGACCCTATAGCTTTTACTTCAGAACTTTAGCCATGAGATAAATACAAATTCCTTGGGTTGCCAAAAAAAAAAAAAAAAAAAAACACCTCTTAGACCCAAACAGTGTTTATCTCAGTGGAAAAGTAACAGCAGATTTAAAGTAGGAAAAAACGAAAATAGAAAAAAAAGAGAACTTAGGAACTCTGTCGTTTGCAGGTCGATCTTAAGGCTTTTTTTCCTTAATGTAAATGTGCACAAAGACCATATTACTTCCATTTTACACAAACTCTGGCAAGTAGAGGCACCACAAAACCTAGAGTGCTTGAAGGGAGGCTATTCTCCTTGTTTTCTCCTCATTCTTAGATTATTTGTTTCCCACACTTTTTATTTTATTTTATTTTAAAGGAGGAATTGAGCTGTGGCCTAGGGCTTTTGTGGAGTGGATTGAAGTGTTTGCTGCTTGCGAGCAGGACTCTACAGTGAGTCGTTGCCACTGTCTTATGTGTCTCAGTTTTTCTCTCTGGAGATCTAAGCCCCTCCAGATGGGCTCAAAGTATGGAGTGATCAGCTCCTATATGTGCTTCCTGGACAAGCCTTTTTAAAACTAATTTTGTTGGGGGTTCCCTGTAGGGCTGCCGCACCCCAGACACTCCCATGAGGCCCCTGGCCACCCAGGGGTGCTTTTCAGGTGGGAGGAGCAAATACCCTTTCTCTTTGGAGCTGAAGAAACGCAGTCTCTCATTTACCTATGAAAACAACAATTCAGTTCCTCACTCAAATGTGCACCAGGCCAAATTGAGATTAATTTTGGGAGAAAAGCAATGGAGAAGACTCTTTGAATGCTAGAATTAAATTAGGATCGGAGCTAGAATTAGGATCCTTAAACAGCAACTTCCTAGGAGAAAAAAAAACCAGCTCAGAATAGATCAAGGACCCTCAACCAAAGGGAGGTGCGGGCTCAGGAGGACACATGAGCTCCACCAGAGGAGAAGCTCAAAGTCAGGGAGGCTTCAGTGGGCCCCTGCTGGTACCTTAGCACTGAGTTTGGGCAACTCCTGTGGGGTCCTGAGTCTTCTCTGAGGCCCAACATGTTTGGGTGCCAAAATATTGTTAACAAAAAGTCAAACTGTACAATATTTTGAAGAGATTTATTCTGAGCCAAATATGAGTGACCATGGCCCATGACACAGCCCTCAGGAGGCCCTGAGAACATATGACCCACAACTCATGTATTTATCTAACTTTATATTTTCCTGCTGTTCATCATCCCCATATAGAAGTCCCACTACCAACTCGAACTCAGTATGACCCAAGTTACACGTCTCTCACTAATTTAAAAAACAGTTTTTTTCCCTTTTATTCCTGATCTCATTATCCACTCACTCAGGATAGAAAATTGATTGAGAGCTCTAAGTTTTTCTTTTCACTATATTGGGCATCTGCCGTTTTTGTCTACTCCATATGATGGTTTCTTCTAGAAAATTATACTTATCTCATTTCATGTCAACCATGGGGTCCTCTCTTCATAGGAATGTGAATGTTACCCATACAGAACCAATATGTGTAATATACAGGTTGGATCCCTAATCCAAAAATCAAAAATGCTCCAAAAGCCAAACTTTTTGAGCACCAACATGATGCCATGAGTGGAAAATCCCATACCTGACCTCATGTGACAGGTTGAAGTCAAAATGCAGTTAAAAACTTTGTTTCATGCACAAAATGATTTAAAATATTGTGTAAAATTACCTTCAGGATGTGTATAAGGAATACATGAAATGTAAATGAATTTTGTGTTTGCACTTGGATCCCATCCTCAAGATGTCTCATTATGTATATGCAAATAATCCAGAATCCAAAATCTGGAAACATTTTTGGTCTTAAGCATTTTGGATAAGGGATATTCACTTAACTTTATACTACACAGATGCTGGGAAAGAAAAGGCATTATTGTTTAGATTGTTAAGATGGGAGGATGTAAACTTGTCATGTGGAGAGAGCCTGTTTGGCAGAATACAGTCAAATATATGAACAGAATAAGGATTAATATGTAGAGATATCCATCCTTGGATCTATCTAATCCTAAAACCATGTCCAACCTAAATTTTCTAGTTCTGTGACCTAGTAAGTTCTGCTTATTTTTTCTTATGCTAGTTTGAATTGGGCTTCTATCACTTGTATTATGCTAAGGAGTCTTAACACTTAACAAATTCTATAGATCTTAACATTCAAGTATCTGACATGGATCCTTTCTTTTTTCTTCCACTGATATACTGTTGAATGATTTCCTGTCATTCTTCTACTACAATAGTCATCTTGCTGCCAATCTATTGTTTCTCCAACATATCCATCACATTACTATTAAAGATACCTTATTAATAAAATGTGGGATTATATTACTTCTCTCTTTAAATATCTTCAAGTTCTCTATTGCATAATAAACAAGCCTATATTTCTTAAGTGGCATTTAAGGTTTCCCCAAATAAATACAATCTGATCTGAACCTACTATTTATTCATTTATTCACTCATTCAGCAAATATTTATTGAGTACCTACTATATACGAGGCATAATGCTAGATATAGCAGATACAGTGATGACAAAATCAAAATTCCTCCATACATAGCTTACATTCCAGTGGGAAAGTCGCAACTCTTACTACATCTTTCCATAACATCGGGTCTAGTATGACCTGGGGATAATTTCCATGGAAACCTCTGCTCAAGCTGTTCTTAGTTCTCAATGATCTTCCCCATCTGTCAAACATCAAAATTCAATGCTAAATTATCTATGATTTAATGGCACTTACTTTTATGTTTCCTGAGTAGTTGTTTACATTTATGCTATAGTACAAATTTATCTTATATAATTACTGATTTATTTATTCATCTTGCCTTACACAAAAACTTCTTGAGGACAAGGAATTGATTTTGTTCATTTTTGTCCCTTTCATAATACTTTGCATATAATACAAACTCATTATTATTCTATTTGTTGTAATCAAATTTGTTGAATGATTTTGTTGAAACATAAACATGAGGAAATAGAATGTTATTGAGGACTGGGGGACACAGTTATAGTTACTGAGTGCCTATCACATAACAAAAGTTATCCTAGGTGTTTTTCATAGACTATATGATTTAATTCATATAACTTCACACCACAGGAAACTAAGTCAAGGGAAATGAAATAATTTAGATATTTCGTAGATATTTCGTCGTAGATACTGGCCAAACCAGAACATGAACCCAGATATTTCTGACTAAAATGCTCAAAGCTTTTCTACTTCACTACATAACATTCTATTTTGTCACTATCAATCCTATAAATGTATTAATAATTTTAATTTTGTGGACCAGATTTTCCCCTTTTCACCTTGATCAAAGATAATGTGATTATAAAGGCTGAGATTTTGTGAAAGCTTTTGTGCCATGTTTGATTTCAAAAATCAGCAAACATTTTGTAAATTTGGGTGTTATTTTTGTCTTACAGGTACATGTCAAAAAATGCATAACACTGAAATAACAGAGATTTAGGCATAGTTTTGATAAATACACTAGTATAATTAGAATATCCCAAACATAAACTTTTCTGAAAGAGAGAATTTCATATTAAGAAAAAAAGTTGGTTTTGTGGCCCCTCGTCCTACTATATATATATATATATATATATATATATATATTTTTTTTTTTTTTTTCCTTAAAGCTTTCAGTTTGTATCCCAGTCCCTCTGTGAAACACAGAAGCTATAATTCCACTTTGGCACTAGGTCATTTTTGTTAATATTTTGGTTACTCAACCAGAGTCAATTGTTTTAGTTTCCCTATCTGTAAAGGAATATCCAAAAAGATGAATACTGAAACTCAGATAAAAAAAAATTCATCATTGAACAAAAGGATTAGAATTACGCCCAACAAGAAAACTTTGTACTGTATTAGAATGATTTAAAACAATTATCATATTTGTAATTTATTGGCCATAAAATTACTTCCTCATTTTGGAAATATTACTTTGCTGTTTGCCTGGTATTTAATGTGGTATCTTTTGGTTTGGTATATACCATACAATAATAAAATATTAGACAACATGGATGATTAATTATCATTCAAAAAAATTGTAATTCTATGATGGTTAAATTCTCACTTGCATTTATTTCATGTAAAATATGATATAAAAACAAAATTAGCTTACCCCTGCTCTGGTTTAAGGAAGATTATACTTTAAAAGTATAGTTTGCTAAATAGTTTTTAACTAGTTAACATCCACGATCATTTATTTGTAATTACATACAAGTTGTTTTTCATTATTGGTCACTCTAAGATAAACAAGTACTTCTGACATACATTGTTTTGAGGGTGCTTTACTTTAAAAGGACTTGGAATCAAGTTGGCAATATAAGTAGAAACTACAAAATAAATTCGAATAAAAATTTACTAACTTTCTCCCCTTTTCTCACTCCTGAGTAAAGAGGTGGCTCTAGACAGAAGAGTGCCAAGGTTCTTTGTTCATAAACCTTAGTTTTCTTATCTGCAGAATACGGATTTAAAAACCTAATCTTAATGAGGATTAGATTATGTTTGTTTCAGAGTGAGAGCATATAATCTAGAGCTCTGCCTCTTACCACTTGAGTGACCTTGGCCAACTTACTTCACTTCTTTGAACCTTTGTTCTACTCATTTGTAAAATGGGGCTAACATAGTTATCTGGCTTATGTAGGTTTGCAGCTACCACTGGTATAATTTTCCCTTTTACACAGCGCTACATGTTCTCAGATTAGCAAAAATATTATATGGAAGGGGACTCAAAATCTTTTCTCTGAATGAGTCCCTTCTTACTGCATCTGCTTTCCTAGGGAAACAAAATTACACAGTTCCATCTCTGTTTGTGTCTAGGGTACAGCAGTCATTCGTGGCAAAGGATAGAAATTGCCCCATGAAACCTCCAATTATTCATGAATAACTGGACAGTTGAAATTTCTGCCCCCTCCAGAATGTTAAAAAACCAGTTCATAAAACATAGTCTTCTAGATGCTACATAAACAATGAATTCCTATAGAAAACTCTTCTAATAATGAAAAACAACTTGTTTGTAATTACAAATAAATGATTGTGCATGTTAACTAATTAAAAACTATTTACCAAACTATACTTTTAAAGTATAATCTTCCTTAAAGCAGAGCAAAAGCAAGCTAATATAAGAAGCAGAAAAAAGTGGTATACAGAAAAAAGAAAAATAGCAAGAAATTTAAATTGCTGATCACTTTTTCTCTATCATTAACAACTTATTTCCTTAACCAATAATAAAGTTAAATTGAGAAAGAAGGGGAGACAATTTGTAAAGCTGATTTTTTGCTTTACTTATTAGTTTTTCAGGTATAGTTATATTGTATCCATTTTCGTAATAGCTCTCAATTGTCTCCTTTGTAAATTAATGATTTACTAAGTAGATGGCTGCCCTCTTATTAGAGACCTAGAATTCAAAATTATGTTAAAGTGCCAAATTATGCACACAACCACTTTTATTATTAAAGAGGATTTATTTAAAAAGGTATACATTTAAAACTCATCCCAATGACAGTAGTATGAATATTCTGATACCAGAAAGATTCCCTCTAGAATACATAATATCAAAAGTTGTCTTTAATTTGGTATATATGTGGTTCAGTGCTATTCATTGAACTTTCTATGTATGTGGGGCAAAATATTACATCCACAACACAGAACCAAACGTGGTGATGACACTGTTGTGACACTGTTGCATGCTGACACAAAACCTCACAGCATCTAGTCCAAATCTTTGCTTCACTATTTTTATTTTATTTGAATTAACTGAAACCCAGAAAACAATATAATACATTTCCTTGGGACGTATACTCACTATGCGTCTATCTCTTCAACTCAATGGGATTTCAAATGGAGAGAAAGCAATTTACCACAACATCCACAAGTTTTTGTCAACATTATAGACAAAGGATCAGACTTTGGAGCCCAATTGCCAGGGTTCAAATCCTGCTTCCACCAGATAATAGCTGTGTAACCTTGGGTAAGTCACTTCTTTGTGCCTTAATTTGCTCCTAAAATGATGACAGTAAAACCACATCTCTCATAGGGTTCTTATGAGGAGCAAATGAGTTACTGCTTGTATAGAAGTTGTAATGCAGTATACATTACTAATAGAATTGGCAATAATAGGAAGTGTACTAAGAATCTTTTTATCGCTCCATCTTTTGTCAGTAATGAAAAATTTTTTAAAAGTCTGAGAAATTTCAAGTCAACAGGTATTCATAAAACACCTACTATGCCTGGTGCCTTGGGAACATAGAATAAATTGGGAAGTTACAGTCTATTTTGAATTTGGAATAAATGGAAAACACAGAGCAAAGTTCAATGGAACATGCAACAACAAAAATGCTAGAGTGCCACATAATTTACCTAAGTAAAGCTAACAGCAAAATCAAGTACTCTAAGATTTATATTAATAAAAACGCAACTAACAATTGGTAATGTATTTATTTTCAGATCTACACAGAAGTTGCTAAATACAATGCTGTACATCAACAGAAGTTCTGCAGAAATAGTAAAATTTTCCTTTATCTCCACCTGGGAAGTCTGAAAACATCATAGGGCTTGTGACTGGGGCCTAATAACCCCGAGGACAACGTGGTGGGCTGAGCGAATACCTCAATGTGCGAGAGAACGAAAAGCTCGAACCACGACCGTGCCTAGGGACCAGGCTTTTCCTGTGGCCGATGCGGGGCAGATGCAGACCCAGAGGCCACCCTTGCGCGCGATCTCCAACCCGACGGTGCGGCTCCTCTCGGACCTGGAGCTGTGGGGAGAAGGCAGCCTTTTAGTGAGGAGCCGCCGCGTGGCGGGACGCAAGGAAAACCACCCGAGCCGCTGAACAGTATTCCGCGACTGCACTCCAGGGCACCGGGACCGCCAGGGTGAGGAGGGACTCTGCGTTCTGCAAAGCTAGCGGTTCCCACTCCACCTCCCACTATCTCAGCGATGGGCACGCGAGCGCCAGCCCGGGCGACCGCGGGGGAAGAAGCGGTCCACGCCACCTCAGGCCCCCGCCCCAGGCTCTGCCAGCTGGGGGTCCACCGCCCGCCCCCGGGGTCCCGGGCCTGCGCGTCACTTCCGGCGCGCGCGCCCGCCTGCGAAGATACAGTCGGGCCAGGGCCTGGCCTGGGCGCGCGGCTGCCCGGGGGCGCGCAGAGAGGGCGGACCGCGCGAAGGGGGAGTGTCTGCCCGCCGCCGCCACTGCTGCTGCCACCGCCGTCGCCGCCGCCGCCGCCGCCGCCGCTGCTGCTGCCGGTGCTAAGGAGTTCGCTGGAGCCCTTTCCTCAGACCCGGCCCGGTCTTCGCGCCCGGACTCCTGGCGCCAGCGCTAGGCGCACTCACCGCTCTGACGGGTGCAGACGCGGGAGTTGTCCCAGACTGTGGAGTGGCGGGCACGGCCCCAGCCCCCCTTCCCTTCCCTGACCCCTTCTTGCCATCGCCCCAGACATGGGGAACGCGGCGACCGCCAAGAAAGGCAGCGAGGTGGAGAGCGGTGAGTTGAAGGCCGGGTCTGGGTATCCGCTGGGCGGGCCGGCGCGGGGCACCGAGCGCCCTCCGGGTCGCAGCTTCTGAGGCCGCGGGCACGGGCCAGGCCTAGCAGCGGCCGCCGGGAGTCGTTCTGGGGGGCCGGGAGACCAGCTGCCTTTCTCCTCCATTCCGACCCCCCAGCTCCGCGTTGAGAGCTGAACGCGAAGGGCCGGATGTGGGGATCCTGGGAAGAGCGTTCCCTGGGATTCCCTTTCTCACTCTAGCGAGGAGGACTTGCACACGTTCTGGAACACTTCCCCAAATATGGTCCGAGGAAAGAAGTCCCTAGTGCCATCCCACCCCTGCTTTCCCCCCTCGCCGACTCTTTGGGAGCTACAGGTAGTGCTGTGGGTAAGGTTGGCTCTTCTCCCTCCATCACTTGGGTCCGACCCAACCTTATCACAAGGCGGGGGCTGCTAGTCTGGCTCTACGCAAGTGAGGCTAATCCTGAGTGGACAACCCTGCCTTAGAGATCCTTCATCTCTTCAGATTAGGAATGGAAAACATAATGAGACCCAACAGCAACTTTATCCATTAGAGAAAAAAGCCAGGCAGGTTTGCCTTTTCTCTAGACATTCAAGGATCTGCTACCAATGCCTGTAAAACTTAAAGGTCATTCGGAGTTGAAGTGCTTCCAGAACACGGTTAATTTCTTCTGAGAGCGGAAGGTGCGGGTACTCCACACTTTACATCAAACAGTAAAAAATCATGAAAATGGAATTTCTGTATGGCGATAAGGTGTGTGTGTGTCTGTGTGTTTGTGTGTGCATGTATACACATGCATATATATGTGTGTATATATGTGTCAGAATGGTTGTGAAATAAAAGTTGGTTTGCCTTTGTAAAGTTCATATATTTTTATAATTCAGAATGTCCAAATAACAGATGGTATTTGTTATATCACCAGGAGTGAATGACATGTTAGCACTTAAAGTGGGCCTGGTGATTTTAGTTTGTGTAAATATTACTTGTAATGTTTTCATGGTTGTAACATAAGAATTAGGCTAATTTTATAACTTTGCATGAAGAAAATAGCTTTTTTCTGTATTAATAAAGTAGAATTCATTTAGAAGGATTTAGTCATTCATTTTGTTTAACATAAATATATCAGATTATGTGGTTTATGTTTCATCAGTAAGGTTTTGGTATTCATTTTCAGGAGCTTCAGAAAAGTTTGATGAGCTATTATATAAGCCAAGAACACACAGCATGTTATACGGAGATTTAAAGAAGCCAATGTAGAGGTAGAATGTATGTTATTTTATTATTATTTTTTGAGATGGAGTTTCGTTCTTGTCGCCCAGGCTGGAGTGCAATGGTGCAATCTTGGCTCACTGCAACCTCTGCCTCCCAGGTTCAAGGGATTCTCCTGCCTCAGCCTCCTGAGTAGCTGGGATTACAGGTGCCCACCACCACACCCGGCTAATTTTTGTATTTTTAGTAGAGACAGAGTTTCACCATGTTGGTCAGGCTGGTCTCGAACTCCTGACCTCAGGTAATCCACCCACCTCGGCCTCCCAAAGTGCTGGGATTACAGGCGTGAGCTACCGTGCGTGACCTATGTTGTCTTTTTAAAATTGCACAAATATAGTAACTAACTGTGCAGGAAGTATAAAGAATGCAAAAAGTATAAAGAATTATTTTTACCTGATATGTTGTCATTTTTTGTGTTAATTTAAAGCTCTATTAACTTAAAACATGCTAATTGTGTTACAAAAGAGTGTGCTTGGAGAATGATTATATTAGTAGTTTTCATTAGCAAGTGCTGACCTGTATAATGTTTATATTTTGGATAATGATAATAGACTCTTCTGTGACCTGTATATTTTTTATTAAGTTACCAAAACAATTCTCCCTTAGTATTAATTTGCAACTCATAGCTGTGAAATAACCTTGGAATATTTACTGAAAACAGAATGGAAACTTTAAATGTTTATCTGAACATATTTAAATTATTTCTATGGATAAATTCTTTTCTATGTTTTAAGTGTTAATGACAATCTAGTTCTTAAGTATGTTAGTCAGCTTTTTGTGTAACTTTATTTATGGAAACTGAAGGTCATTATAGTAGTTTAAAAAGCTGTTGTGAAGTGACCAAAAAAAATAGCATGTTATGTGTCATAGGGAAAATTATTTGAAATGTCACGTGTTGATTAATGTTTGTAATTTCATTTGGAGCAGTGTTATCAGGTATATGTTGCTGTTCTGTAGTGAACAAAGAAATTGTATTTTAAACTTAATGAAAGAACTCATCATTACGTACCTAAATGTTCTGTGTATTTTTTAAAGAATTATTCTTGAAAATTTGTTTTTCAAAACTTTTAGAAATATATGATGTTAGAGATCAGCCTGTACAATCATTCCCTTTCAAAGATCCTGACCTCCGAAGAAGCTGGAGTTGAGATCATACTGTTAGTAATAACAGAGTAAGGAATAGAGTCTGATGCCTGGACTCCATTCAGCATCAATAAATAATCAGTTAATATGTTTATTTTCAAAATATTCACCAAATGTTTTAGTTTCAATTAAAGACTATAAGTAAAAGCTGAAAAATGTTACTGTCTAATGGGAAAGAAAATATGTATATATAAGAGTTACCTGAAAGGCAAAAATACAAGTGCTAACATTATGGAAAGTGGAATTAGAACTCTGAAAATTGCTGTATGAAAATGTTTGATTTGAAAAGTTGATTAAAAATATCAAGTCAGTTAAGATTTCAGGTTCAGTTAGCACCAAGCTTCAGAAAGGCAGGTGATTCCAGAGCTTATTTCTAAAAATATTCCAGAAGAATGAAGTTAGGCATAAAGATAATTTAGAAGGGTCTTGGTTAACTTTAACTATCTGGTGCCTGTATTGTACTCTACTGAACCTTTTCCCTCTATTAGAATTAACATTTTCTGGGGTAAGACCTAAAAGCTAGGTGAGATTCCATCTTCATCTCCACAGGTTTTGGAGATAACATTAACTTAGGTACCTGTTGTTCTGCTGTAGTGAATTAGGAAATTGTATTGATGTATCTCAAAACTTAATGAAAGAATAACTGGTACTATTACATACCTAACTGCTCTGTGTGTGTTTTTAAAATTACTCTTGAAGATATATTCCTTTTAAAATTTGGGCGTAGTTATTTAAACGTCAGCTAATACAGAGAAACATAAACTTTTAGAAATATGATAAAATTCTCAGAGAAGTTTTAAACTCTTGTCAGTTAAGTTTGTTTTACTTATCCAGTCTCTTCCTTTTACACCAGCCCCAGTCACCAACACACCAAAAAAACACGCTACTTCTTTTAACCTGGGAGGGGTTTTTATTTATTTCATTTTAAAAAAATACTATACCTCCAGGTTGCCTATGGGGCTTTGTGTTATACATTCATTGCAAAAATGTTGAGGCCCATGGGTGAAAAGTGTTGGTAGAGGTTTGAATGTAGATTCTTTCATGACTGCAAGTCGTAAAGTTACCATGTGACCTAGTGTTCGCATATGATCTTTGAATGTTTTCCAGAGTATCTCTCTGTCCTGTGGATTTGAAAGTCAGTAGGAATTAATCAAAGAAAGCCACCAGTAGACTAGGTTCAACAAAAATGCAAGTTTCTTAACAACTAACATTTTTTGAGGACTAATACGTGCCAGGTTCTCTAATGCTTTCCGTGTATAAACTTTTACTTACTCTTTTAAACTGTAAAGCACTTGAGTTATTCCTTCATTTATGGATGAGGAAATGAAGGCTCAGAGAGCCTAAGTGACTTGCTTAAGGTTGCATAGCTAGTAAGTCAAGAAGCAACATTTAAGTTGAGGCAACTGTAACCTCAGAACCTGAAATTCTAACCACTTTGCTGAACAGCCTCTGTATCCAATAGAATAGCCGATGCTAAGACACACAGAATAGCTTAGACAATTATAGCACATTTCAGTTTTCAAACATGACTTTATTTGGTATATTAAAATCTTAAGTGAAAAAGATTATTTTTTTCTTGTACCATTCTCTGGATTTTTATCATCATTATCTTTTCAGATTCAATATAGTAGAATTTCAAATTAAACCACATAAAACTAATTTTATGTACTTAAAGCCTTAATTACTACAGTACTTATATTTATTTTTTCCCATTTGTAAATGTATACTTTTCCCTTCTTGCCCAATAGTTGATAAAAAAAATTATTATTTGAACTTGTATTACCATTTTAAAAGTATTGGCAAATTCTCATTTCACCATGATTAGAGTAGCGCTGTCCAGTCAAACATTCTGTGATAATGGAAGTGATCTCCACCTATGCTGTCCACTGTAGTAGCTACTAGCCACATGTCTGTTGAGCACTGGAAATGTGACTAGTACCACTGAGAAACTGAATCTTTAACTTACATGTGGCTAATTAGTGTTTGGTATATTGGACAACACAGGTTTAGAACATAGTTGTTTTTGCATTTAATAGAAATGCCAACCCATCTTTCTGTCATCTTGGTTATTTGTGGATCCTTACAAGTGAGTGTAGATGAACGGAATGCTGGATTTATTTTTTCTCATTTAAGAATTAACTTATTTCCTCAGAATAAGCATTTATAAACTTAGTGAGCAAATTATTATAGTTCAATAATTTGTGTTTAATTTATTAACTACAAAGTTAAATTATTTTTGGGGCTGTACTAGAAATAAAATTTTGTGATTTTTAGTAATCTCAGTGAATATCTTCTATTGAAAAATTTCTGTAGATTTAAATGCAATATAGTGATTTCTTATACCTTACTTAGGTCTTTACACCTTTCAATTATCAAAGGAAAATCAGTAGCAGATATTTGTTCCAATTCTGTAGAATGCAGAGGTACTGGGGAAGTCTTTCTTGGGTGTAAGACAAAAAAATCAAAGCAATCAGTTATGCAATTTTGATGATAAATACATATGATCTCATCGAGTTCCATGATTCTGTGATTCTGTTTGTGCAGATTGTGTACTGTATCAAATTATCTCATGTTCAGGAACCATTTTTCTTATTCTCCTCCTCTTATTCTCCTCAGTGTCCTTCACTTAGGCTGTAGACAGATTGTTGCTTTTTCATTGCCAGCAGCAGGATAATTAGAGGCATGAAAGCCAGCTTAGAAAAGTAAGCCATGGCTGAGTGACAGAAGCAGCACGTGAGAAGGTCCTAGATAAGCCAGGATAGCTATTAAGATCCTGTCAGATAATTAATAGTTGACCATAATTCATTTTGACATTCCATTAAATTAATTTTTAAAAATTAGTACAACTTATGAAGTTCTATATCTAGGTGATAAATGTTTGTATACGTGGGTGATCAAATTTCCTCAGATTAATAAATCCTAAATTCTTAGTGAATAACATTGTGTTAAATAGAAAAGTGTGAAATTTATGAAAGGTAAATATGCTTAGGTCACTATCATTTTGGGTATTTAATCTTACTTTTAAATGTATTCCTTCAAGAATGTCCTGTATAGTTCTTTGTTCATTGCTTCATTCATTCCTTTATTCAGTACACATAATTGAGCTCCTAAAATGTGACAGACTCTACACAAGACTATGGGAATAAAGATTGAATAGGACAGAGTACCTGCTCAGGGTGCCCATATTCCAGAAGGGGGAAGATAGACATGTCAGCAAACACATGAAACCTGCCACAAATCCTTTCATTAAAGTTCAGCTGGGGAACCAAGGGAAAGAATGGTCATTTCCACTGGGATGGGGAGGAAGAGGTTCAAAAAGGACTTCAAAGAGGAGTTGAACCATGACTTGAGCATTGAAAATGATAAATGTTCATCAGATGGATTATAGGAGGAAGGGTGTTCTGAGTAGACCGAGCATTGATAAGTGAAGATGCAGAGGAGTGAAACCATGTAACATATTCAGGATAAGGAAGTAAGTTGCCCATTATGATTAAATGATGGAATGTGGGGTTGGTGATAGGAAGAGGGGACATTGTATAATGATAGATGAAACTGAAGAAATGGACAGAGGGCCACATAATGGAGAGAGTTTGAATTTTATCTTTTAGACACTAGGGAGCCATCGTGCACTTGGAAATAAGAGAGAAACATGATACAATTTGGGTTTAAAAGAGGTTACTTTGGTGGTGATGTGAAGATAAATCATTATGGAGCAAGTGGAATAGAGGCAAGATCAATTATAAGACTCCTATGATAATTTGGGTGAGGGATTTTGAGGGTCTGAACCAAGGTGGTAGAGGTTGGGATGGAGAAAAGGATCTGAAATGGGAGAAATTTGAAAAATTGAGCAGAATGTATTGTACTGATTGCATGTGGGAAATGAGGAAAAGGAGGATTGGGGATGACACGTTAAGTTTAAGCTTCAATGCCATGGTAGATGGGTTGTAACGCCAGTAATAGAGTCAGGAAATGAATACAGAGGGCAGGAGTACATTGGGGGTTGGGGTGGGGACTTACTGAACTCGGGATACCCGTGGCATTTCTGATAAATGATAGCTGATTGGTTATTGTATGTGTGGATTGTCTTTTATCTCCCAGCCATGGGGGAAAATGCCCTTGGATGGTCAAGGGACCTTTTCTACATTTTATCCTCATTTTACTCTTTTCAAAGACAACTGTTTAGAAACTATGGAAACTATAACATCTGGCATAACTTACATAAGTTAAGAATTCTATATACTAAAAGTTTAGCCTTTTTGTTTTGAAAAGAGGAAAGCCAAAGTACTGATGAGAACAATGTAACTTTTAAGGAAACAAAGTAATTTAAAATCATAAAATATTACTTTTATAATTTAAGTGTGCATCCTCTAAGCTATTCGGTTTTGTAGTTATACAGGATAGTGGAAAGAACATGTAAAATATAGCACCAACATCTATTATGTACTGAGTAAATGTCAGTTTTATTCCCCTGGAGTCCTTTAACATAGATGTTTAAAAGTTCAGATGTAATTTAGTAGTAAAATCATAAACTTGAGAGTAAGAAAAATCTAAATTGTCTTTTTTCTAATACATTCTAATATCTCACTTTGGACAAATGTTTTAAAATCTCCAAGTGACGGTATAAAATCAAGAGGGATGGATTGGATAATGACACTGTGATCTCTTCTTCCAGCTTTATAATCCAATGCTTCTATTATATTTATTAAAAGAAAAAATACACAGGAAGCAGCAAGATGAGGGAATAAATCATAAAAAGTGCTCACAAAATGTGTGGGCAGAGAAGTGGCAAATGATCCTCAATTGAGCAAATAAATATATGGTAATGTATTTAGGGAAAACTTTTGATCTACATTTAAGGAATGATAGTAAAGGACAGGAGTGCCCTTGTCAGGCAGGGAGGGCTGGGCTGTGCATCCCTCTGCTTGCGCTGCAGGGAAATGTCTCAGTGACTTTTCCTGAGGAGGTTCCTGGCCTCAGTCGTCTCCAGGAAGCCCTCTCAGGATCGGTGGCCACCTCTCACTTCTGGAGCCCTGCAGACCCCACAGTGCAGTCCTGGTGGCCTGGCTGTAACACCCAACTCAGCCCAGACCATATACACCACCAGCATCTCCTCAATGACCATTAATATCCAGGATGGACCTGACTTTCAAGACCAACAGTGAGACGCCAGTGCTTGTGGATTTCCACGCACAGTGGTGTGGACCCTGCAAGATCCTGGGGCTGAGGTTAGAGAAGATGGTGGTCAAGCAGCATAGGAAAGTGCTGATGGCCAAGGTGTATATTGATGACCACACAGACCTCGCCATTGAGTATGAGGTGTTGGTGGTGCCCACTGTGCTGGCCATGAAGAATGGGGATGTGGTGGACAAGTTTGTGGGCATCAAAGATGAGGATCAGCTGGAGGCCTTCCTGAAGAAGCTGATTGGCTGACAAGCAAGGACAAGTCCTGGTTCCCTTGCCCCCATGGGACCCCAGTAGAACTTGGCCCTTCCTGCTGCCTCCCTCCTGTCTGGCCCCTGGGGCCCAGGCTCCAGCCATGAGTGCTTCTGAGCTGGCGGACTGCCCAGGGGCCATCAGAAGATGGTGCTGCTGCTGATCCGGGGACTGCCTTCTTCCCTCCCACATGCCTTTCGTCCCCTCCCTCTAGGGCCTGTGGCAGTTCTCTCAAGATGCATAGAGAGAGCCCAGGCCAGCCCACAGCACTCCTGGTCAGGCAGCCACACCTTGGTCCTCATCTCTGGTCCCTTCCGATCTGAAGCCTCGTGCCTGGCTCTTCTGCCACCTGCATTTCTCTTTCTTGCTGCTGTTTTGTAAAAAGAAAAAGAAAAAAGAAGCCCAAACTAGTGAGAATAATTTATAACTCTCTCGGTTTTTGTAGGTCTGTAATAAAGAACTTAGTCATCCCACCTCCTACTGTGAAGAGCAGACCCTGGGTCCCACACTCAAATCCCCTGTAGTTGCCCATCCTCACCCCTCAGGGAGCCCCCTCCCAGCTAGCCTCCCGGGCAGGGGGCACAGAAAATGAGTGGTGGGCTGGGGAGCCCTGGAGAGCCTTGACTCTGTAAGGCTCGAGGCACCTCCTTTGCCCCTTAACTGGCCTGTTGGTCCTCTGAGCAGGGGGCTTAACTGTGAACAAATCAGACAATAAAGCAAGGGTCTGCACCTAAAAAGACAAATTTATGAATCACTGTACTGATCTTTGAAGATATTTTCATGTTCTACTACAAGTAAAGGAGCCATCAAAATGTTCGCCATCAGGGCAGAGTCTTGGAAATAAAACATGAAACATTCTATTCTTATGTGAAACCATTAATGTGCTATGTGTAGTTGTGGTGTTTTGTGTATAGCAGAACCAGAGAAAGTTTAGATCAGGGCAGCTAACAGGAGTAAGAGCATGGGAAGTCTATTCTGTGTGAATAAACTGTATATATACATATTTCATTTAATCTAGAAAAATTAAAGTTACATGATTAAAGTGTATAAAATCAAGTGGCATAGACAGAAAATCTGGGATTGCTCACCTAAACTTGAAACACTAGAACTCATGGACTATTCTTCCAAACTTATAAAAGCTAGCTGTAGAACAAGTAAAATGAATTATCGTAAAACCTTGATATAGACTGGGCTTAGACAATAAATGTATTTAACTGATTAGTCATTTATGTTTAAAGGTGAAACATGTGTTTACAAATTCAGGTAGTATTTTTAGCAATTTCAAAAGCTAGATAATGCTTTTTTACTCTTTAAAATAATTTTTTATTTTTATTTATTTATTTTGAAACAGAGTTTTACTGTGTTGCCCAGGCTGGACTCAAACTCCTGGGCTCAGGCAGTCCTGCGTAGCTGGGACTGCAGGTGTGTACCATCGAGGCTTGTTTTTTTACTCTTGATAGGTTTTATAATCTCTCTAGCCCCCAGCACTTTCCAAAAGAATCATCAGTATTTATAAGATAAGTCTTCTTCTTGCTAATACTAAGGTTTACTACTATTATGCAAATAAATTGTTTCCCCGATATGGTGGTATAGCTTAAATTGCTTTTAGTGGATTTCTTTATTTTAATTGGCTATAATTAATTTATTCATTTAGTTCATTTTTATTCCCTAGCCAGTGAAATAGGGAGTAAAGAGTTGTCTTCATGTAGCTTATAGTCTGGTAAAAGATTTAGACAAGTAAAAGCACAATTATGAGAATGTTGTAGGAAGTGGATTATAGGACGTGTTTTTTTGTAATGTGAATTAGATTCAGTAATGCTATGTATCTATGCAGAAAATTTTCCGAATCAAATTCGGGATTCTTATAAGTTAAATTGATACACTAGCATAATTGGTATTAGTTCTGCCTTCGAAAATCCAATGTAGATGCCATATTTTTTATCTGGCCTGATGTAACAAGGTATAAAGTCCCAGGCTCTATGGCCATAGTTTAATGTTATATTCACTGTTGTCTTCTATTCATATGTTAACTTTTCAGGGACATCTGAAACTTGTTTTGTTGTAAGATAACTGTGGAATCTAAACCTTTAGGTCTCTGACAAGCCTGTTTTCTCGATCTGGACTTTGTCCTTAGAAAATTAAAGAGACTATTCTTGTGATCATATTAGTTTAGAGTCCTGTTTAGTAAAATGAATATTCCATTTCTATACTGTATTCTTCTTAAGTAGATGACCATATAGCATCAGCAGGCCATTGTTATATGTGAGCCACAAACTTGAGAGAACATGTTGGTATAGATATTACTTCTTTTACAGGGGCTAGCTCTACTGGTAACTTAGCTCTTTCAATCTTAGCTCAGCTCCCTCTGAGTAGGAGCCATGACAGGTTAAACTGTGGAAGAATATGAGCCTCACTTTAGGCTGTAGTCTTTAGGTCATGAATAAGCCATAGTTCAATTCATAGAATGACAGGCAAAACATTCACTTATTTGTCTTTCATTCATTCTTAATCAGTACTTATTGAGCGCCTACTTTAAACCAGGCACTATGCTAGTCTGTAGATGCAAATAAAAATAAGACTTGGTTCCTGTCCTTAAATTGGGAGACAGATACAGATATTTATAGTAAGGCATACAATGATACATAGGTGCCTGAGATTAATACTAGGGTGAAAATGTAGCATAGGAGTTTATAGAGGAGTAGTATAGAATTTCTGAGATCATCTTGGGAAATAGACTGAAACTGACTGAAATGGAAACTTCCTTTGAGTCCATTTTGGAAATATTTACATCTATAATTGTAGCACTTGTACTACATTGCTTTTTCAACTCTTATACCCACTACAGTGTGATCTGGCAAAGCAGTGTCTATGTTGTTTAGTGTTTTAATCTCTGGAATGTGGCACAGTTCTTGGCTCATGTCATGGTGGAAGCTAAAATCATGGATAGTTAAATGGATCAAAAATTCAAACCTCCTGTAGAAGCGTACATCCTCCTCCCTTTCCTCCATTGGCAGGAACTTTGTCAGTAATGTATTGACTATTTGGGGATAATAGTTGATTAATGTGATAAGAGGGTACCTCTTTCCCCCCTTTTTATGGTATATAGTAACTTCTTTGACATTTACATATCAAAATTATATCACAGTTGGTATGGGGAGATTGGTCTCAGGCAGGTAGGAAGAAGACACTGGACTAGGAAAAACTAGAGTATTATGCTCCCAACCTTTTGAAAAATTTGTTATTCAAGGCATGTATCATTCAACTGTGCCACTGTGTTTCTCATCCTTGTTGCTGTCATTTACCAGTCTCTTGCTTACTTCTTATTCATCAAATATTTTGGCATCTGGCCCACAATGTTTCTCTATACTCTAAGCTCTGCATTCATCCTGGATGGTTTCAAATTCTATGTTAATGACTCATCTATCATCACTGCACCTCTGTTCTTTGACCATGTTATCTCCTATTCCCCTTTTGTTCATTCAGATGTCTAGTCTTGCCAAAGACCTTGTAATATTCATTAACTGCTCAAGAATCACCAATGTGTGTGATTCTTTGATCACAATTTCCTCTCCTTTTTGCTTGCTTTTTAAATATTCCCATTATGATCATTCTTCATCAGAACCTCTCATCCATTTATCCATCAGTCCTCTCACTTTCATTTTTTCTTCTTAACCATTCTAGATTACTTGGTCCCAAAATTCCTTTGCACATCTGCCTCTTTATCAAATCTCTCTAACAAAAATGTAACTCATGATAAACTCAGCTATGTGCTTTCTCAGTGCTTTCAGTCAAGAGCTAAGCACTGCTAGAGAAAGCTGCACAGAAGAACACTAGAAATTTACTATCATCAACCTCAAATGAGCTGTCAACATGACTTTACAGTTTTACCACATTTCTCTGATCAACTCTGTCTCTCATTCTTCACAAGTTCTATTTCATTTCTCTCTCTTTATACCTCTGACTTCTCCATTATCTCTCTCATTCTAAGTCATGATATTATGTCATATTTTACAAGGAAAATAAAAGCTATCAGACAGGAACCCCTTTAACTTCTTCCTATTAAATGTTCACACCTACTGTATTTTAACTTGACCATCTTATTCTGTTATAATAGAGGAGTTGTCTGTTATATTTATCTATTGTTCCATCATGCAGGACTCCTAAATTTAGCAGCTTAAAGAGTGACAACATTTATTTTACTTATGAAAGTAAGTAATTTGGGCAGAGCTCAGCTATGCACTCTATATGACATCAGCTATCTTAGCTCTGCTAATAAATCACTGCTATGGTTTATGGGGACTAGAAACACATGAAGCCTTGCTCATTTACATGTTTCCCTGTTGATGCTGGCTGTACAGGTAATTTGAACCTTACCTGGGACTGTCAGCTGAAGCACCTACACATGACCTCTACATGTGGCTTGGGCCCCATATCATGTGGCTAAGTTCCAAGAAGGAGGGAGAGAGCCAGGTATAAGCTGTATCACCTTTTATGACCTAGCCTCCAAAGTCAAGCAGTGTCACTTCAGCTGCATTCTGTTTGTTAAGTGAGTCACTTAAATGAGTCTGTATCAAGGGAAGTTGAATTAGATTCTGCACTTTGATGGAAGGAGTTAGAAAAATTTGGGGACATGTAGAAATCACATTGTACATCTTTCTCTGCAAGCCCAATCACTCCACTATTACTTTGGATCCCAACCCCTCCTGCTTTCCCAGGAGTCTTTGTATTCTTATCTTTTATATGTATAATAATATGTCTTCTCATTTATTTAAAAAACGTGTACCCCTTTTCCCTTCACTTTCAGTTTTCTCTTTGACCCTACTTTCTCTTTCCCTTTCTCATCGCTCACCTACTAAAGTGAACTGGCCTGTGATTTACAGTATGTGTGATCAAATCAGTTGACTTTGGTGCCCAGGCAGGTAATTTTAATGTGTCTTGGGTAAAACCTGAGACGAGAAGAAAGAAGAAAGAGAAAAATGTTCTTTTTCTGCTCTTGCTGTATTATAGTTACTTACAATCAGGTTACAGAGAACTTAATCAGCTTTTAGAATATAACATGTTTGAATGTTGTGGTCTGCATATTAATATTTAAGTATTAACTTGAAGTTATATGAAGTATGTAACAACATAAAAAATGTCAAACTGGGTTACATGCACAACCTGGTTTAATATATAAGAACCTAATTTCTAAATACCTTTAGAATCTTTGACCTAACAATTTCTTGGTTCTTTATGATTAGATTTAACTTTCTTGTTTTTTTGGTTTTTGTTGTTGTTGTTGTTTTGAGACAGGGTCTTGCTGTGTTGCCCAGGCTGGAGTGCAGTGGTGTGATCATGAGTCCCTGCAACTGCTGCCTCCTGATCTCAGGTGATCCCTCCCGCCTTAGCCTCCTGAGTAGCTGGGACTACAGGTGTGTGCCGCCCTGCCTGGCTAATTTTCGTATTTTTGGTAGAGATGGGGTTTTGCCATGTTGCCCGGCCTGGTCTTGAACTCCTGGGTTCAAGCGATCCACCCACCTCAGCCTTCCAAAGTGCTGGGATTACAGGCGTAAGCCACCACAACCTTCTTGTTCTATTACTCACACAAGTTTAGCATGAGAAATAAACACGTTAATGACTTCTTATCTTTAATCTTTATTGTACTCAGGGGCATCAGTGACCCAAAAATCTTCAAATGTTTTTTCGCAGTGATATCTGTAACAATAACAGTGGGAGCCATAGTGGAGGTAGAGTGGGCAGAAGGAAACTTTTTTGGTTTTTGTTATGATTGGTTTTTGTCGTAATCTACTTTATAATATTCTGTGTAGTAGAATTGAGAAACTATGTTACAGTAGTACTATTTTCAAGTAAAAATTTAATTGAAGTATACCATACATTTCAAAAGTATTCAAATCCTAATTTATAGGCTAATGAATTTGATAAAGTGAACACCCATGTGAATTTTCACCCATACCAAGAAATAGAATATTACTGAAACCCCAGAAACTTCCCTCCTGCCTGTACCCAATCATTGCTAGATTTAAAATGTGGAATACTGCATCATGTTTTCCTTTGTGACTGCCTTCTTTCACTTATGTATTTGTGACACTTATCCATGTTTTTGTCATAGCAGTGATTTATTAATTTTCACAGATATATATCATTGTATAAGTATAGCAAAACATATTTTTTCTATGGTTGATGTAAATTTGGGTTGTTTCCAGTTTGGAGCTCTTATAAATAATGCTTTGAACACACTTGTACATGATTTTTGGTAAATATATGTATGTTTTGGTGAATATGTATTTGATGAATATGTGTTATGTATACACTCATACATACATGCATATATACATGCATATGTGTCTTTGTGTGTGCGTGAGAGAGAATGATGTTGAATTAATTGCTGGATTTCTGGGTCACAGATCATGTGGTTCTGGTAAATACCACCAAATAAATTTTCAGATTGGTTGAACCTGTTTCTAACCAGCAGTGCTTAGGGTTTTAGTCGCTCCACATCCTTCCCAAACTTGATGTTTTTCATATTTCTAATTATACCTATTCTGGTAAACATTTCCTGGTTATAATTTGTACATCCCTTATGACTGATAGTGTTGATCACTTTTTCATGTTGGTATTGGTCATTTGGATATCCTCTTTTTATAAAATGTTTTTTTTTTTTTCAGGTATTTCCCCATCCCTTTTTTTGTGGTATTCTGTTGTATTTTTCAAAAAAATTGATTTGTAGAGTTATTTAACATGGGTACAGGATTTTCCCCCCAGACGTATGTACTACAAATGTCTTCTTCCGTTTCATAGCTTGCCTTTTCACTTTCTTAACGATGTCTCCTTCATACTGTTTAATAATTTTCAAACGTACAAATAATTTACAAATCATTTCCTTTATGATTTGTGTTTTGTTTGGCCTTCCTCGGTCTTCTTTAAGAAGTTCTCACTACCCTAGGGTCATAGATATTTTCCTATGTTAGGTTTAGAAGCTTTCTTTTGCCTTTCATATTTAGAACTACAGTCTGTCTGGAATCAAGTGTGTGCATCTCTCTCTCTCTCTCTCTCTCTGTGTATGCGCTTCTGTGTGTGTGTGGTGAGGTAGGAGTCATTTGTTAATATCAGTATTTATTTGACACATCACCATTTAAAAGGAAAAAGAAATTGTCCCTTCCCCAAAGCACTGTAATGACATCTTTGTTATCAAAGGCTGAATATATCTGGTTTCCTTCTTTTCTGTTCCATTGGTTTTGTCTATTTTAGTGTCAGTACAAAACTGCATGAATTCATATAACTTTATAATAGAAGTCATCATAATCAGTAGTATAAATCCTAAAACTTCATATTTTACAAAAATTTTGAATATTCTTTATTTTTAAATCAGCTTGTCAATTTTCACATACATAATTATATACACGAACCTTATAGGAATCTTGAGATTGCATTGAATATATAGTAGTTTGAGAAGAATTTTCATCTTTATGATATTGAATTTTTAAGTCCATTTATTTAGATCTACTTTAACTTCTTTTAGTAATCTTTGTAATATTCTGTAACTTCTTTTAGTAGTGCTTTGTAATATGCTGTTTAAATTTTAAATATAATTTTAAAAATTACATTTATTCTTAGTTTCACATGCTTTTTTGTTACTATAAAGGGTATCAGTGTCAAAGTTTTATCTTCTAATTTTTCATTGTGAGTATATAAGCATAGGGTTAGAAATTTTATGCTGACCTATCTAGTGATCTTGCTAATTTTATTAACTGTAAGTTATTTATAGATACATTTAGATTTTACATATACACAAATCACTTTTTTGCTTAATTTTGACAGTGTAAGTTTTTTCCTTTTAGTCCTTATACATTTTTTTTGCCTTATTGCACTGATTAGGACTTGCAATACAGTAGTACATAGAAATCATGATAACAGCCACACTTGTCATATTCCTGGTGTCACTGGAAAGCTTTCAATATTTTGGAACCAGGCAGAAAATTTTTAAGATATCCTGTTATCTGTTTAAGGAAGGTTTCTTCTATTCCTGGTTTGCTAATTATTTTTCCTTTGAGAATGGGTATTTAATTTTATCAAATGTTATTTCTGCGTCTGTGAGTTTTGAATCTTAAATTAATATTGCATACCTGGAATAAACCCATTCTGGTTGCAATATATTGTCCATTTCATATCCTTTTTTAATGTAATAGTGAATTTGGTTTGCTAAAATGTCTCAGTGTGTTTTCTTTTTATCATTATTCCATTGTTTTTTCTTTGACTAATGGCTACATTGGTTAGTTTTCAAATATTTGGGGGTTTTTAGCTTAGTTTCACTGTGTTCAGAGAACATGTTTGGAATGATTTCAGTTCTTTGAAGTTTGTTGATACTTGCCTTATGGGTCACCTTTATAGCCATATACAGTAGTCATTTGTAAATGTTCCAATGACTTTTGAAGAGACTGTCTATTCTGCTTTCGTTGCCTACATGTACTCTCTCTCACACACACATACACATACACACACTAAGACAATTAATTCACACTGAATTCAAGGTATTCTGTATCATGTTATATTTCTTTAGAGAGGACTTATTTTACTTCTGGTGTGATTCAATATTATTTTTACTAATTGCAGTCATGTGGTATGTAACAACATTTCAGTCAAAAACATACTGAATATACAATCATGGTTCCAAAAATTATACTACTTCATTTTTAATGTACTTTTTATATGTTTAGATACACAAATACCATTGTATTACAACTGCCTACAGAATTCAGTTAGTAACATGCAGTATAGGATTGTAGCCTAGGAGCAATAGGCTATCCATATAGCTTAGATATGTAGTAAGCTATACGATCTAGGTTTATGTAAGTGCACTCTATGATGTTCGTACAGTGACGAGATTGCCTAATGACACATTTCTCAGAATGTATCCCTGGCATTAAGTGACACATGACTGTATTTAACACTCCATCATGCATTATTATTATTGTTCAGGGCCCTCAATATTTATATTTATCCCATATTTGCTGTTTTTTTTTTTTTTGCGCTTATTCCTTCATGCATTCTCTGGTCTAAGTTACTTGTGCCATAAATAAGTCTTGTGTAAAGGTGTCCTAGTGATGAATTATGTCAGTTTTTATTTATCTGGATTTGTGTATTTTTTACCTTCACTTTTTCAGGATATATTTTATAAGTATGGAATTTTAGGTTGAGAATTACTTTCTTTGAACACTTTGAAGATGTTTCATCATGTTTTGTTTTCCATTGTTTTGTTGAGAAATCAGCTGTTAGTCTCAGTGTTGCTTTATGAAGGTAGTATATCTTTTTTTTTCTTTGGTTGCTTTGAGATTTTCTCTTTGCCTTTGGTTTTCAGCAGTTTCACAATATGCCTAGGTGATTTTATTCCCCCTACTTTCTGTTTGCAACTTTTTAGAATCATGGCTCAAAATGTTTCATTTATTTAAGACAGTTTTCAATAAGCATATCTTAATATGTTGCCTCTATCCCGTCTTTTCTTTCCTATTCTTCTGAGATACCAATTACATGTATATGTAAAATTTCTGATATATAATTTCAATTATTATATTTTTAATCTCTAGATTTTCCAGTTGATTTTTGAGTTTCTACTTGTAAATTTTTCTACTCATTTATATTTTTGTACAAATTAATCATAGCTATATTAAAGTTCATGTCTGAATTTACAATTTTTATTACCAGTGTGTTTTTCTATGGTATGTTTGTTCTCTTATTTTTGGTTATTTGGTCTTATCTTTTGGCATGCCTAGGAATCTTTAATTGAATGTATTTTGTATCATGTTATATTTCTTAAGAGAGGACTTATTTTGGCTGATGGTTAGAGTTGGGTCAGATTGTGTTGATCCATCAACAATTAAGATGACTTGTTGGCTGTTCTCAGTCTTTGTGAGGCTTGGTCTATTTCCTATTCTTACTCCTATCGATGGAGCCTTTCAGTGGTTTTGACTGAAGGCCTGGTGGTGTTTATCAGGGCCCTACCTCATGCTAGCCCTGAACTTCAATTTTTCTTTCCTCACTGTGAGATTACTGAAATATTTGCTTAGTTTTCTAATCTCCTAAAAAGGTGCTTCTCACTATCTGTTCTTTAGTGTCATGCCTTAGGTATCTTAAACATCTGAATGCTTCAAGAAGAAAAAGTAGTACAGAATGTTGGGATTTTTATTTCTGGTTTCTTGGCCCTAAAGTCTCTGAATTCCATTTTTTTCCCTTGTCAGCCAAGTGTAATGTTGAATATTTGAGCCTTAGCTTTTTGCATGTCCTTTCTACCAATTGAGGAAATGCCCTGAGGGCAAAAGCTGTAAAGAATCTTGATCTCTAATCATTTCCCATCTTTTCAGGACCTTGGTGTTCCTCAAAACCTGCTGACTCCTTTGCTAATACTTTCAAACAACTCTTACCCCATTTCTACCAATATTTATGTTATTTTAACAAGAGTTTTTTTTATATATCACTTTATTGAAGCAGAAATCCCTTGATAGTATTTTTTCTTTTTGTAAATCTGTGCAATGAATCATAGTATAAAGTGTGCACATTTTTAAGCTTATAGATTGAAGAGGGTTTACAAATGAATTCCTCATATAATCGTGACTAGATCAATATATGCAAATTAACAGCATTCTAGAAGGTTCCCTTGTCCCTCCAGAGTCAATAAGCATGCTTCCCTCAGATGTAACCACTATTCTTATTTCTGTCACCATATATTAGTTTCGCCTGTTTTTGAGCTTTACTTAAGTAGAATAACAATTATACTGTTTTATATCTGGGATTTTAATTTCAACATTGTTTGCAAAATTTAGTCCTGTTGCTGAAGGTAGGGTTCTTTACTTTTTGTTAATGTATAGTGTTCCATGGTGTGAATACACAATTTATTTTTTCTTTCTACATTTGATGGTAATTGGGTTGTTTTCCAGTTTGGGACTATTATGACTAGAACTTCTGTGAACATTGTTGACCATTTTTGTGCATTTTCATACACACCTATACTCATTTCTGTTAGGTATATACCTATAAATGGAATACTGTCATAAAGTATATGTATCTGTAGATACATTAGTAGATAGTATCTACATTAGTAGATACTATCAAACTGTTTTCGAAAGAGGTTATACCAATTTGCACTCACAGTAGCAGTGTAGGAGAGTTTCCATTGCCCCACATCTTCACCATCCTTGGTATTGACAGGTATTGTTTTGTTTTAGCCATTTTGGTGTGTGTATTAATAAGGGTTCTCCAGAGAAACAGAACCAATAGGAGGGGTGTGTGTGGGGAGAAAGATTATTTCTATAATAAATCTCCTCTTACATACATATATACTTATTATGGAAATTGACTCATGATTATGGAGGCTGATAAGTCATATAATCAAGTTGGGGAACCAGGAAACCTGGTGCTGTAACTTAGTCTAAGTCCAAAGACCTGAGGAAAGGGGAGAGAAAATGGTTTAAGTCCTGGGCTGAGTCTGAAGACCAAAGAACCAGGAGCACTGACGTCCAATAGCAGGAGAAGGTAGATATTCCAGTCTTAAAAGAAAAGAAAAAACAAAAACAAAAACAAAACGTGCGAATTTGCCCTTTCTCCACCTTTTTGTTATATTCAGGCCCTCAATACATTGGATAATGCTCATCCACATTATTAAGGTCGGTCTTCTTTATTCAGCCTGCTGATTCAAATGCTAATCTCTTACAGAAACATTCTCACAAACACGCCCAGAAATAATGTTTACCAGCTATCTGGGCATCCCTTAGTCTAGTCAAGTTGACACATAAAATTAACCACCATAGTGGGTGTATATCAGGATATAATTATGCTTTTAATTTTTGTTTCCCTGATGATTAATCATGTTGAACACGTTTTTATATGCTTATTGGGTTATTCAGATATCCTTTTTTAGATGTAATGCCTATTACCTTAAATTAAATCTTTTGCCTATTTTTCTACTGGGAAAAGAAAATAGGAGTTATTATTTTGCAGAAATGTTATACGTACGCATAGTTTATGAATATAAATAAAAATATTTTCTCCAAGTCTATGGGTTGCATTTTATTCTCTTAGTTATATATTTTGATGAACACAGCTTTTAATCTCAATATACTGAGAGTACTAACTTTTTACATAGCCCATTTTGTTTCCCTTTTAACAAATCTTTGCCTACTCCAAGTTCATGAAGATAGTTTCTTTTGTTCTTCTAAAAGACCTATTATCTTTGTCACATTTAGGTCTGCTTGCATGTCTCAGAGCAGTAGAAAGCAATATTATCAGTTGTGAGGAAGAATTATGGGAAAAGTGTTGGAAGTTTGGTAAAGAGGAGAAGGTATAAAAGTCATCTAGAAGAGTGGGAGATTGGATGGACTAGGGGAGTACAATATGATTGCCAGATAACAGTAAATATACTCTTGAGGTTTCTGGTTATGAACTTCAAATCATAAAAAGTTAAGAGTAGTTTGTTTTTCTCCAGTCTTACCCAGCTGCACAAGTGCAGGCACAGTGTAGGTATAGAGATTTCACCAGGGTTCTGGTTTTGCCAAGCAAGTATAGACAAAACGAGAGAGAGGCAAGTGGCTGAAAATGTATGCTGGAAGTGATTATAATGCTCGGCTTTGGAATTTGTGCATTTTAAGGAGGAAAAAAGATAATATTTGGGGTATCAAGGATCCTGAAAAGGATTAGAGATCCTGGTAAGGTTTAAAGATTGTTGAAGTTGAGATCTTAAAAGAGAGTGAGCTAAAAAGATAGAACATGGTTAGAGAGAAAGGGTAGAATGAAATGGGCTAAGGGTATGATCTTTGGAGTCAATGGCTAAGACAGGGTAGGGTGGGAATGTACATATTAAATGAATTTAGATATTGTATTAGAAAGGTTAGAGGATATACATATTCGATGAATGTGTATATCTTCAATTAACTACAAATAATCCAATTTTATTTGTAGTGTTAAGTATAGTAAGAAATATAAGTACAATACCTGTTTAAAAATTTTACAAAATATTTTAGCAAAGTACTTTTTAAAACTTTAATTTTTAACTTAATGTAATTTTCAGGTAAAAGGATAATATATTCAGTGCATTTTAATGGCATGAGTTTTTAATTAATGTTGTATAGTCGAAGACATAGTAGTATGTTAGTTTATATATTTTCTAGAATAACATATTTCAGTTTAAATATGTATTTATTTTTGAATTTAAAATATTCATGTTTGAATGGTTAAATGAGAATGTACCCTTATTTCTGTGGAAATATAGCTTTTATTAACAGCAAATATAAATATATCTAATTGAGAAAGTAATTGAATTGTTCCCCCCCCTTTTTTAATTAAATGAATATCCTTTGAGAATTTAGGAGCTAGCTACTTAGGGGACCAGAAGCTACTTACCTGGGCACTTAATATTATTAACCTGGTATATGGATCACATTGACATCCAGAAAGTAAAAAATATTCTCAAAGAAGCAATAATAGACATAACAGAGGATTTGTATCATAATTCACGCAGTTACTTTCAGATTTTTCTCTTTTGCAAAATAGAAATAGTTTCTAGTTGTGAGGTTTAGAAATCCTATGTAATGTATTACTCTTGGTACCGAGAAGATGCTCAATAAATAGTAGCTATTGTTTTTAAGGGAAATCCTTAAGCATGGTCTATATAGATTAGGCTCATTTTAACAAGTTATTTGAATTGTCAGTCTGTGGACAACTAGAAACAACAAATTCATCCACTGGGAGTAATTTTATATTAGATTGTAGGGAACTTTATATTTGTCCATTTTCACACTGCTGTAAAGATACGAGACTGGGTAATTAATAAAGGAAAGAGGTTTTATTGACTCACAGTTCCACATGGCCAGAGAGGCCTCAGGAAACTTACATTCATGGTAGAAGGGAAAGCAGACATCTTCTTCACAAGGTGACAGGAGAGAGTGTGAGCACATGAAGGAAGAACTGTCAAACACTTATAAAACTGTCAGATCTCGTGAGAACTCAGTCACTGTTATGAGAACAGCATGGGGAAAACCTCTCCCATGATCCAATCACTTCCCACTGGGTCCCTCCCTCAACACGTGGGGATTATGGCAATACAATTCAAGACAAGATTTGAGTGGGGACACAGCCAGACCATATCAAATATATTTATATTCATATCCTCAGGATCATCAAGAATAAAAAGATATAAAAGTGAATGGGGACATTTTAGAAAGTTATTCACCAAAACTTTAATAATTATAAAAAGTGGCTTTTATCTCAGAATAACCCTATGTAGTAAGAATACTGAGGCTTAGAGAAGATAAGATCACACATTTAATGGCAGAATTTTGAATGATGCAAACTCCATCAGTCTGATTCTAGGCCCTCTGCTCATAAGCACCATATTATACCATTTCCCTAACACAGTGAGGAAAATTTTCTTTTAAAAATTATGTACTTAAAACTCATCAAATCTGAAGGACCTTAGAAGATCTATCTACCTACCTATCAAGTTTGTAGAGTATTACATAGCTTTTTCTATGTGTCAGGCACTGTTATCAATCCTATAACAACTCATTTAATCTTTACAACTCTTTGAGGTGGGAACCATGATTGTTCTTATTTTATACAAGAGGTAACTGAGGCATAGATTAAGTAACTTGTCCAAAGCCACACAGTTAAAAAGTAGGCAAGCTAGGACTTGAACCCAAACAGTGACTCTAGAGTGTTGTTAACCGTGCCATATTGACTGCCTTTCTAAAAATTTGTGAAGTTTTTACTTCATTTAGTTTTCTCCTTATTATAATCTTTTCAATGATAAGAAACTCATTACGCTGTAAGGCTATGTGCCAGTCAGAGTTACACCAGAGAAACAGAACCAGTAGGATATATCGGAAGAGATATATTGCAAGAAATTGACTTATTGATTGTGGTGGCTGGCTAGGTAAGTCTAAAATCTATAGGGCAATCTGCAATGAAGGGCAAGCTGGACCTCTCAATCACAGGCTGAAGCTGTACTTTACAGGCTGAGTTTCTTCTTCTGGGAAGCTTCAGTTCTGCTCTTAAGGGCTTTCAACTGATTGAGTCAGATCCACCCAAATTATCTATGGTAATCTCCTTTACTTGAAGTAAACTGACTGTGGACTTTAGTCACATCTACAAAATACCTTCACAGCAACACCTAGATCAGTGTTGAATAACTAACGACTATACCCTAGCCAAGTTGACACATAAAAATGTCCTGTAGGCATATTTTTTCCTTAAGCCCTGACAGGTTTGGGGGTTGGTGGTTCATTTTCCCAAGCCAGAAATGGAACTTCCTACTTTCTTTTTAACTTACATTTATTACTCATTCTTATCACCTCCTCATCTCCCATTACCACAGCCAAAAAAGATTTCAGGTGTTTTTCAATAGAAGGCATATATAACCTTTAAAGCAAAATTATAAATACAAGAGCCTTGAAATCAAAGGCAAGAAGATGGTTGAACCAATAAACCGATGTTGAAGCTAGTTACTGTATTTGAGCATAAAATTTAGCACTACATGGTGAGGATACAGTATAAAGCCACTTTCCTAGTGCCAAATTGTAACAGGAATTTAATCTATCTAAATACAGGGAGCAGTGATTTACATAATAAATGAGATAATTATTATTTAATAAAGATTTAGAGAATTCTCTAGATTCCTGTGTTCAAGAAGGAGGGCCTCAAAGCTGCCTGCAGTTATATTTTTATGATAATTATTTATTACTATCTCATGACTTAAAAATTTTCTTAACAAGTAAAATAACTACCTTTTAAAAAATACTGTAAGACCCTTTGCTATGACCTCAGATAATTTAAAGTGATGTCTCACAGACCTTTATTTAGACTGAAAGGCTTATAAAAATTTTGTGTGTGCCTGTAATCCCAGCACTTTGGGAGGCCGAGGTGGGCAGATCACGAGGTCAGGAGTTCAAGACCAGCCTGGCCAATGTGGTGAAACCCCATCTCTACTAAAAAAAAAAAAAAATACAAAACTACAAAAATTAGCTGGGCGTGGTGTTGGGCACCTGTAGTCCCAGCTGCTTGGGAGGCTAAGGTAGGAGAATCGCTTGAATCTGGGAGGCGGAGGTTGTAGTCAACCGAGATTGCGCCACTGCACTCCAGCCTAGGCGACAGAGCGAGACTCCATCTCAAAAAAAATAAAAAATGAAAACAAAAATGCAAAAAGAGAATCTTGTGTGTGGCTCACGTTACTCTAAATTAGACAGTTGGGGTTTTTAGAAATCTTAAGGACTTGTCCCATAGCAGTCTTATGTGAGGCCCAAGGTAGAGAAAGCCCTCTCCAAAGGGAATGTGGATGTGGCTTTTTGTCTCTTGGAATATATTAGAATTTGATAATATGAGAAACCCACAGAGTTTTAAAAGAAATTGTATTAATGTTGATTGAAAGGGTCAGAGATAATTAATAAGGAAAAAAGTGTACGGGCCCTCACCTACTGTGGAAAGGAAGCAGGCTGAAAAGCTACTCACCTCTTCACATAGGCCATTTCATGTGAAAGAATGATTGAGAGAGGGCAGCCAAGAAGCCAGAGAGTACAGCTAAGAGACAAGGAGAACTACTCTCAGGACTAATCAAGGAATGAGTGACATGTGCCCAACTGGACTTTAGAATTGCTATTGATGAGGGAGTGTTTATACCTCTTGTTTTCCCTCTTTTTGAATGGGAGTATCCATTGCAATTTCTATTCCTATCTCACCATCGTGTATTGGGCAGATAACTTGTCTCTTTAGTTCACAAGTCTTTAGATTAAGAGAAACTAAGTATGAGGAGTTGCACTCAGGAAACTGGATCTGAGAGGCCTCATCTATACCTGCATTTGATTTAGATTACATCCTGGACCTTAGGATAAGGCTTCTTGGGGTCTTGGAAGGAGTAAAGTATATTTTGAAAATGGAGGAGTATTCTGTGACAAAGTGAAGATGGCTACAAATTCTTAACCACCCTTTTCATCTAGAAGCATAGCATATTTCTTCATTCCACTGAATCTGGGCTGGGTTTCTCATTGCTTTAACCAGTATAATATGGTGGATGTGATGCTAGATCCGTTACAGGGTTGAGGCTCTGTCCTCTTTTAAGCGAACTGCTATGCAAGAAGTCTGACTATTCTGAGACCAACATGCTGTTCAAAGCCCAACTAGCCACTTAGAGAGAAAGAGACAGAGAGATGGGGTGTGGGGGTGGGGGGTAGAGAAAGAAAGAGAGAGATTGGTAGCACTAGATAAGGTGAATTATTTCATGGGCCTTTTAGTCAGCCCAGCCTTCAGCTGAAGACAGATGAGAGAGTGACTCAGCAAACAGTGTGAAGTGAGCCAGCAGACCTATGACCTCATTTGGGCTGTTCCAGCTTCTCGCAGCTGTTGAGCCACCCAGCTTAGACCCCAGACATTGTGGTATAGAGATGAACAGTTCCTACTGTGTGTTGCCCAAATTCTTGACCCAGAAAATTGTGAGCAAAATATGGTGATTGTTTGAAAACTAAGTTTGTTACATAACACAGATAACTGAAACACAAGTAGAAAAATTCTATCACCTGCCCAACCTCACAGAGCCAGTAAGAACTAGTGTTCTCCCCTTCCCTTTTATTTTTAGTTGACACATAATAATTGTACATATTTATAGGATACAGAGTAATATTTTGATACATATGTAATGTGTAATGATCAAATCAGGGTAATTAGTATTTCCTTACCATAAACATTTATCATTTCTTTGTGTTAGGAACATTTAAATCCTCTCTTGTACTTGAAAATGTACAGTAAATTATTGTAAATTATAGTCACCATACAGTGCTATGGAGCACTAGACCTTACTTTTCCTATCTAGCTGTGATTTTTTATCAGTTAACCTCTCTCTAATCTGTAGTAACCCACAATTATCTAATTCTCTTCCCAACTTTTAATAACCACAATTCTCCTATCTACTTGTATGAGCTCCACTTTTAAAAGCTCCCTCATATGGGTGAGAACATATGGTATTTTTCTTTCTGTACCTGACTGATTTCACTTAACATAACATCCTCTAGGCTCATCCATGTTGCCACAAATAACAGGATTTCATTCTTTGTTATGTCTAAATAGTAGGTCATTGTTTATATACATATATATACACTTTCTTTTTCTGTTAATCTGTTGATAGATGTTTAGGTTGATTCCATATCTTGATTATTGTGAATAGTGCTGCAATAAACATGGGGTGCAGATGTCTCTTCAATATACTGATTTCCTTCCGTTTGCATTAATAGCCAGCATTGGGATTGCTGGATTATATCTTCTATTTTTAGTTTTTTGAGGAAGCTTCCATACTGTTCCATAATGGCTGTACTAATTTACATTCTCACTAAAAGTATATGAGAGTTCCCTTTCTCTGCATCCAAAAAGACTATTGTCTTTTTAACAATAGTCATTCAAACCGAGGTGAGATGGCTTTCATTTGCATCTCCCTCATGATTAGTGATGTTGAGCATTTTTTCATATACCTGTGGCCATTTGTATGTAGAACCAATGCTTTTAATCACATGTCAAACTGCCTATGTCCCAGTCCTTTCCAGAGAGCCCTCTGGAACCCTTTTTCTATTGTAAACAAATTTATTTAAACCTACAGGTTTTCCATGGAATAGAAGTTTATTCCTCAGTACCTTGCATCTACTAGTTGGGCAGTTATGGTGAGCATATCTTTTTGACTTAATTCTAGAGTAATTATATAATTGGAGATAAAGCTGGGAACCATTCTTTACTTAAAAAGTCTCAAGTGGGACTCTCCTTGGAGTGTTCTCTAAAAACAAAACAAAAAAAATCGTTTTCTTAAAGGCATTTAGTTAGCAGAGCACAGCTGACTGAAAATTTCTTAAATACAATTCAGGATAGTTTGTATAAATAACCAAAAGGTAAATAACCAATGTAGTCCTCATGAGACATTAAAATTTTTTTTCAACTGAATCTCTCACTGCACTGTTAATTGGAAGTCTTCTTTCTTGACCATTCTCTAGAACAGAATACAACTGCGGTCACTCCTCTCTTCTGGATGTTTTTTTCTGGACCATCCAATTCATTTCCACCCCCTTGTTATGGAGAGAAACTTTCCTCTTTCATGGAAAAGTCATTCTGACATCGAGGCACCACGACTTTTGACCTAGAGTAAGCATATCAAACTATTTTTCTCAACTCAATAATTTACAGAAAAATATTAAGAAGGTGAAAATTTTCCATTCATCATTACCTACATGTAAGAAAAAAAGAAAAGAAGAAAAATCTACCAGAATCCTAGCATTTACAGATAACCACTGTTAGCATTTATTTATTTATTTATTTATTTATTTATTTATTTATTTATTTATTTACTGAGACAGGGTCTCCTTCTGTCACCCAGGCTGGAGTGCAGTGGTACGATCACAGCTCACTGCAACCTCCACCTCCCGGATTCAAGTGATTCTCCTGCCTCAGCCTCTTGAGTAGCTGGGATTACAGGTGCACGCCACCACAGCCCAGCTAATTTTTGTTCTTTTTAGGAGAGATGGGATTTTGACGTATTGGTCAGGCTGATCTCGAACTCCTGACCTCAGGAGATCCACCTGCCTGGGCCTCCCAAAGTGCTGGGATTATAGGTGTAAGCCACTACACCCAGCTTGTTAGCATTTTTTGAATACTGTTGGCTTTCTATATCCACAGATTCAAACAATCAAGGATTCAACCAGCCATGAATCAAAAATGTTGAATCAACAAAACAATAATAAAAAATAAAGTAGAAATAATAATAACTATTTACATTACAGTATAATAGGTATTATAAGTAATCTAGAGATTATTTAAAGTATACAGGAAGATGTGCATAGGCTATATACAAATACTATGCCATTTGACATAAGGGACTTGAGCATTCATGTATTTTGATATCCAGAGGCGCCCTGGAACCAATCTCCCATGGATACCAAGGGGTGATTGTATATCCTGTTTAAAAGTATATGGGTGAGTTTCCTCCTAGTCAACATAGTGTTGGAAGTCCTGGCCAGAACAATCAGGCAAGAGAAAGATAAAAGGCATTCAAATAGGAAGAGGGGAAGTCACATTATCCCTGTTTGCAGATGACATGATTCTATATCTAGAAAACTCCATAGTCTGCCCAGAAGCTCCCTGATCTGATACACAACTTCAACGAAGTTTCAGGATACAAATAAATATACAAAAGTCAGTAGCATTGCTATACACTAACAGCACCCAAGCTGAGAGCCGAATCAGGAATATAATCTCATTCCCAATTCCCACAAAAAAGGTTAAAATAGCTAGGAATACAGCTAACCAAGGTCAAAGAGCTCTACAATGAAAATTACAGAACACTGCTGAAAGAAATCAGAGATGACACAGACAAGTGGAAGAGCACTCCATGCTCTTAGATAGGAAGAATCAATATGGTTAAAATGGCCATACTGCCTAAAGCAATTTACAGATTCAATGCTATTTCTATCAAACTACCAATTACATTCTTCACAGAACTAGAAAATACTATTCTACCATTCATATGAAACCAAAAAAGAGCCCAAATAGCCAAGGCAATCCTAAGCAAAAAGAACAAAGCTGGAAGAATCACATTGCCTGACTTCAAACTGTACTATAAGGCTACAGTAACCAAAACAGCATAGTACTGGTATAAAAACAGACACATGGACCAATGGAACAGAATAGAGAGCCCAGAAATGAAGCCACACACCCAGGAGGAGGGAGAGGTTCAGAAGAGAAAGATAAAAAGGAAAACAAATGAACAAACAAAAAAACCAAACCTGTTGAGTAGTATGCTTAGTACCTGGGTGACAAAATAATCTGTACACCACACCCCCAAGTCACAAGTTTACCTATATAACAAACCTACAGATATGCCCCCGAACCTAAAATAAAAGTTAAAATATATTTTAAAACATATATAAAATGGATATATGTGTCAGTTTTAACCAACTGATGTTTGACAAGGCTGATTAAACAAGCAATGGAGAAAGGACTCCCTGTTCAATAAATGGTTCTGGGATAATTGGCTAGCTGTATGCAGAAGACTGAAACTGGACCCCTTCCTTATACCATATGCAAAAATCAACCCAAAATGAATTAAAGACCTAAATGGAGAACCTAAAACTGTAAAGCCCATGGAAGATAACCTAGGAAATACCATTTTGGACATAAGAACGGGCAAAAATTTCATAACGAAAATGGCACAAGCAATTTCAACAATAGCAAAAGTTGACAGATGGGACCTGTTTAAAGAGCTTTTGCATAGCAAAAGAAACTATCAACAGAATAAACAAACAACCTACAAAAATATTTTCAAACTATGCATCTGACTAATGTATAGTTAGTCTGGGTCTAATATCCAGAATCTACAGGGAACTTAAACAAATGTACAAACAAAAAGCAAACAGCCCTATTAAAATGTGCACAATGGACATGAGCAGACACTTTTCAAAAGAAGACATACATGCGGCCAACAAACATGAAAAAAATGCTCAATATGACTAATCATTAGAGAAATGCAAATCAAAACCACAAGATACCATCTCACACCAGTCAGAATGGCTATTATTAAAGAGTAAAAAAATAACATGCTGACAAGCTTGCAGAGAAAAGGGAGCACTTACACAGCTGGTGGAGTGTAAATTAGTTCAACCATTGTGGAAAGCAGTGTGGAAATTCCTCAAAGATCTAAAAACAGACCTACCATTGGACCCAGCAATCCCACCAGGTATATATCCTGAGGAATAGAAATCATTCTACCATAAAGACACATTCACTTGTTTATTCATTGCAGCACTATTCACAATAGCACAGACATGGAGTCAACCTAAATGTCCATCAATGGTAGACTGGATAAAGAAAATGTACATATACACCATGGAATACTATGCAGTCATGAAAAAGAGTGAGATCCTGTCCTTTGCGGGAACATGGGTGGAACTGGAGGCCATTAACTCTAGTAAACTAACAAAGGAGCAGAAAACCAACTATCACATGTTCTCACTTATAAGTGGGAGCTAAATAATGAAAACACATGGACAGAAAGATGGGAACAATAGACACTAGGATATACTTGAGGGTGGAAGGCGGGAGGAGGGACAGGTTCAGAAGAAAAAGAAGAAAAGAAAAAGAAAAACTATTGGGTATACCTGGGTGATGAAAAAATCTGTATGCCAAACCCCTGAGTCACAAGTTTCCCTATATAACCAACTTGCACATGTACCCCTGAACCTAAAATAAAAATTAAAATACTAAAAAAAAGTGAGTTTTAACAAATTGAGATTATAATAATAATATAGTGCTTATTGTATACCAGACACCATTATAAGTGCTTTAATCTGTTTATTTAATCCACCCGAAGACCCTCCAATAAGGAGTGTACTTTTATTAACCTCATTTGCAGATGAGAAACTGATGCCCATAGTTGTTAAGTAATGTGCCCAAGATCACATAACTGGGATTCACATTCAGATAGTCTTGATTTAAGAACCTGCCCTAGTAACCATTATTCTAACCTGCTATCCATATTATATATTCTGACAAAATTTGCTTTTTTCATTTTTGAATTTTTCTTTGCATTTGGATAATCTTCTGTAAGGAATTTGTCGTACAGTCAGTATGTTAAATGTATTAAAAAATAAGTGTATGGAACTAATTTTTTATTTCCCCAATTCAAGGGTAACCATTCTCTCTACTTTGACAGGATTGATTACATTTGCCTCTTTTATAAATGTAATCACACAACATGTACTCAATAAGTACTCTTTTGTCCCTGGTTTCTTTTTGCCTGACAATTTGTTTGTGGGATTCATTCCTCTTGTTAGGTATAGTTGGAAATTGTTCATTTTCTTTGCTGTATAATGTTCCATTGTGTGAATATGTCACAGTTTAAATGTTCTACTATTGATGGGATGTGATGTTTCCTTTTTGGGCCTACTGTAAATAATGCTACTATAAACATTCCAGTACACACATTTTGGCGAACATATGTATGCATTTCTATTGAGTATATATATCTAGGAGTAGGCATTCAGCTTTAGTAGATACTGTCAAATATTTTTCTAAAATGGTTGTATGAATTTGCACTACTAGCATTGCATGAGGGTTCTCATTATTTCACATTCTCATCAACTTTTGGTTTTTCCTTTCACTTTTGCTTTAGCCATTCTGATGAATGTTAGAGTAGCATTTTTATGACTATATAGTGTTCTATTATATGCATATGTACTGTCTTTTATAGACGGGAGTCCCTATTGTTGTGCATTTAGATTGTTTCCAATCTTTCTTTGAAAAAATACAAACAGTATTTACACTAATAGGTTTGTAGACGTACTTTAAGTCTTGTGATAGATGTTCCCATACACGATTGAAAAATAACAAGTGTGTTTCCCTGAAACATTATGAAAATGAGTTACAATTTTTGCAACTTCATCCAGTTACTAAGCAAAAGATAGCCTCTCATATTTTTACTTTAAATTTTTTTTATTTCCAGAGAAAGTTGAGCATTATGTTTATTGCTAATTTTTATATTGGTAATTTGTATATATTTAATAAATCACCTAGTCTCATTTTATGCTCATATTTCTATTGAAGTATATGTGAATATCTTAGACCCTTTTATTAACCCTTTTCTGATTATATATGTTATAAACTTTCCTTATTTGTCTTTCAATTTTATAAAAAATTAACTTTTTATATAGTCAAGTATATGTTTTATGGCTTTTGCCTTTGGTATCATGCTTTAAAAGGCCTACTCATACTTTCAGCTTTTTCATTCTGCTCTGTTCTTCCCCAAAGTGCATGTGTATGTGTATGTGTGCATATATACATGTATGTCTATTCAGATTTTCCCATAAAAACATGATACAGATAGCCCTCCATATCCTTGGATTCAAACAACCAAGAGAATTCAACCAGCCATGTATCAAAAATATTAAAACAACAAAACAGTAAAAGATAACAATACAACAATATGAAATAATACAAATAAAAAACAATACAGTATAACAACTATTTACATAGCATTTACAGTGTATTAGGTATTATAAATAATCTAGAGATGATTTAAAGTATATGGGAAGATGTGCATAGGCTATATGTGTGACAGTGTATGTATGTTTACATATATATATATGTAAGTATATATATATACTTGAGTTTTTCCCATAATGTTCAATTTCCTCTGGAAAGAAAATGTAAACTTGCTTCCTCTATGCTGTATCATCATCTTATTCTCAAATTCCCTTCAAAACCAAACTTTTTAATTAGTAGGGTAACACACTGCTTCCATTTTCTTACTTTGTGTTTACGCCTCAAATCCTCTGAGGCTGATATCTATTCCTTCCTGCCGTGGCAAAAGTCATCAATAATTTGTTGTGAGTTTTTTCCCTTACTCTATAGTAGAGTTTCCCTAATCTATAGTGTTTTCCCCAAGTGACTTATTCACTAATTACTTCATGTTCTGTCAGTTCCAATTACTTTCTATCTTTGTGACAACATATATCTCTTCTGTGCTCTGAGTGTAATTTTTGCTGGATATGAACCCTGCAAAGTCAAATTGGGGAAATTATCGTTTCCTGAATCTGCACTTCCTATTTTGGTGAAAATGATGCACCTCTTTAGTCATATAAGCCAGAATTTTGGGTGTCATCTTAGATTCTTTAATTTTCCTTGTCTTCTACCTCTCCTTGTTGACTGAGTCTTAGGAATTTGTCCCTTCATTTCTAATTTCACTGATTCTAGCTTAGTTCAGGTCTTTATCACCCTTTTTGAGGATATCTACAACAGTTTCTTAGCCATTCTCCCTGCCTTCAATTTCCCTAGTCGATCTTCCAAATCTAATCTAACTCCCTGCTTAAAATTATCTTTATGGTGCTCCATTGCATATAAGATAAAATCTATTCTTAGCCTGACATATAAGATGATTTGGCCCCTTTATCTTGTTTCATTTTTTCCCTATCACTTCTTAAAGTACTTTTTAAGGCACAATAAGACTTTGTTATTACTATGATTGCACCAACATTGCTACTGACTTCAACACCCAAAATTTTTGTATACAGAAGCGTGCCCCAAACACAAAATGAGTCTTTCTGTACTGCTAGCTAATGTTTACTAAGATCTTACAAATTACTTCTTTTATTAGTTTGGAAAAAATATGGGGTTAGTTCAATGCTAAATCAAAATTGTTCCTCTCTTTTCTGCTTAAGATAATCTATAGTAATACCTTATATTAGTATGGATTATTAAAGATTTACTGTACATAATCCTTCCATTATTTGATTTTATAGAAACATCTCAAAGGAATTAACCCAAGGGTAAAATACTACCCATACATAATTTCCAACATTTTGATCAGATTCTACTGGGTAAGTATATGTATATTTTAAGCTATAATTCCTATAATCTGTGCAACAAACCCCCGTGACACAAGTTTACCTATATTACAAACCTGCACATGTACCCCTGAACTTAAAAGTTAAAAAAAAAAGTATATGTCCATGCCATAGAAGACAAAGAAACACCGTAGAAATTTTCTAGGTTAAAGGCAGAGTAAAAGACATAACAACTAAATGCAAGACCTGATATATATATATGACTGCAAAAGCATCTCTACTGACCCCAGAGAATGGTGTGGCAACTATTGTTTACAATTTTTATTTAGTATTTATTTCTAATATAAGATTGGGAAAATAGCATCAAAATACAGCTGCTTAGTAGTCAAGAAGACTAATTATGTCCCTGGAAATAATTACAACTGTGTACTTCACCTTCAGGCCAGAGTTTACTTATTATATTAATAAGAAACCAATACTGCAATTGAGTCTTGTGAGCCTAACTCAAAGACACAAGATTAAATGATTAGTTTTACAGAATGAGAATATAGTGATGCAGTAATGTATATCCATTGGTGACATTGCCATTAGCATTGGAGGCAAGTGTCCATTTCATAATAGATGGTGTCCTAAGTTGGACTGCTTCTTTTTTTTTTTTTTTTTTTTTGTTTGATACGGAATCTCACTCTGTCTCCCAGGCCGGAGTGCAGTGGTGCAATCTCAGCTCACTGCAACCTCCACTTCCTGGGTTCAAGCAATTCTGCTGCCTCAGCCTCCCAAGTAGCTAGGATTACAGGCATGCACCACAACACCTGGCTGATTTTTGTATTTCTTTTCAGTAGAGATGGGATTTCACCATGTTGGCCAGGCTGGTCTCGAACTCCTGACCACAAGTGATCCACCTGCCTCGGCCTCCCAAAGTGCTAGGATTACAGGCGTGAGCCAACATACCTGGCCGTACTTTTTAACTATGTCTTGCCTCATTTGGTTCCTGGCTAAATCTGGCTTTTCAGTCTTCTCATCCATTCCATATGTACTCAATCTAATAAATTCATTTTCTGCTTAAATTGACTAGCATCAATTTTTAATTTACATTTTTGCAACTGACAACCCAGACTAGTACAGGTCCTAAAGGGGACTCTAATTCACATGTCCTCCCAAGAAAGGCAGGTAGCAAGGTATCTTATTTGTATGTGTCTGATAGGGCTCCCAAGAAACCAGTGGAAGGTACTCTTAGGATTGATAGTTAAAGTCTTAGGCACAGTAATCAAGGAACCTAAGACCGAGTGACAGAGGAATGTTTTTACATGGGAGAACTCTGAGATACAGTGTTAGAAATTCCCTAAGGAGGTTAGTAGGAAATATTTTCCAAGAATAAAACTGACAGAGGATTAATATCCAGAATAAAGAGCATTTTATAAGTCAACATAAAGAGACTAAAAATGAAATAGAAAAACATAGCAAAGGATATAAATGGATAAATTACTAAATATGAAATTTAGATGATCAATTAACATATGAAAATATTTTATTTCACTAGTGATCAGTGAAATATGATTTAAAATGAGGTACCTTTTTTAATTCACCAGATTAGCAAAGATGAACAAGTCACGTAGTATCACATATGACAAGCATGTCAAATGTAAATTGGGATAGCCATTCCTGAGACAATTTGGTTGTATCAGTTAAAATGAAAATGGGCATAAACTGTGACCCAGGAATTCCACTGTTAAGTATCTTCTGAGTAGAAACACTTATACATGTTCAAAAGGAAGTATGTATCAAAAAAAGACATACTGGTGAGGATGCAAAGGCATGGGAGCCCTCAGACATTGCTGGTGGAAATATAAAATGGTACAGGTGCTTTGGAAACAGTTTTTCAGTTTCTTAAAATGTTAAGCATCAGATTGCCATACCCAGCAATGTGCACTTCTAGAAAAATAGCCAAGAGAGCTAAAAACACTCCTCCACACAATAATTTGTACTTGAATATTCATAGCATCATTATTCTTAGTTGCTATACAGTGGCAACAATTGGTGAGTAAAGAGAATATTGTTTATCCATACAATTCAATACTATTCAACAATAAAAAAGAACAAGGAATCAATACATGCTGCAACATGATAAACCGCAAAAACATGCTAATGAAAGAGGTGAGACACAAAAGACCACACATTGTGTGATTTCATTTATATGAAAAGGAAAGGCAAATCTGTAGATACAGAAAGTAGACTGATGCTTGCTCAGGGATAGGGGTGAGAATGGAAAATGACCACAAATGGGACTGAGGCTCCTTTTTTGGGATGATGAGAAAAATGATACAGTATTAAATTATGGCAACCATTTCACAACTTATTAAAAATCACCGAATTTTACATTTAAAACTGGCGAAATTTGTGGTACATAAGTTATCTCAAGAAAACTGTTAAAATGATTAATAGCTAGGGACTTTATAAACATTACTGTAACCTGGGATGGTAGACCAACACTTGTAGGAAGGATAGCTGGAAGAAATCAGGCATGTCATGTTAGGAGAAACAAAATGGAAACAGAAAGAAACAGACATGAACATGATGTCCATTATTGAATTATTTGTAATACTGGAAACTAGAAATAACCTAAAAGCCCATCAGTAAAGAAACAGGTAAAATATAGTACATTTGAAAAAAGTAATTTTCAAAATATGTAGAGCATGATACCATCCAGGCAAATTAGAAAAGTAAAGCTGTATATGTTTTCCACATAAACATGTATGTAAAAGTATAAAAAAGACATTTGAAGGTTATAAGCAATTTCAGAACAGTGGTTGTTTCTAAGGGCAGAGAAGGAGAATCAGGATGTGGATAGTAATCAGGAGGGCCTTTAGTGTTATTTGTAGTGTTCTTTTTTTTTTATTTTTACAAATGTATGGTGTAACATGAATTTTATTACATGTATGTAATTTATAGTGATGAAGTTAGGGTATTTAGAGTGTCAGTCACCCAAGTACAATATACTTTTGCTTACTTACCCTATTCTGCTATCAAACATTGAATATATTCCATTTTACTGTATGGTTGTACCCTTTAATTCACTTCTCTTCAGCCTCACCGTCCCCCTCCCTGCTCCGTCCTAGTCAGCCTTCCCAGTCTCTGCTATCTATCTTTCCATTCTCTTCCTTCATGGGATCAAATATTTTAGCTCCCACATATAAATGAGAACATGTGATATTTGTCTTTTTGTGTCTGGCTTATTTCAGTTTAAATAATGACCTCCAGTTCTAGCCATATTGCTGCAAATGACAAGATTTCATTTTTTTATGGCCAAGTAATATTGCATTCTGCATATATGCCACATATTCTTTATCCATTTATAAACTGGTGAACATTTAGTTTGATTCCATATCTTTGCTATTGCGAATAGTGCTGCAGTAAACACACAAGTGCAGATATTCTTTGATACACTGTCTTCTTTTCCTTTGGGTAGATACTCAGTAGTGGGATTGCTGGATCATATGATAGTTCTGATTTTAGGTTTTCGAGAAATCTCCATACCATTTTCCATAGTGGCAGTACTAATTTACATTCTTACAAAAATGTATAAGAATTCCCTTTTCTCCACATCCTTGCCAATATCTGCTACTTTTTTTTTTTTTAATGATAGCCATTCTGACTGGAGTAAGGTGTTACCTAGTTAAGGTTTTGATTTGAATTTCTCTGATGATTAGTGATGTTGAGCATTTTTCATAAACCTGTTGGCTGTCTTCTTTTGCAAAATGTCTACTCATGTCATTTACCTGCTTTTTAATGGGATTATGTTTTTCCTATTAAGTTTTTTGAGTTTCTTGTATATGCTGGATATTAGTCCCCTGTTGCATGAGTAGCATGCAGGTATTTTCTCCTATTGAAAAGGTTGTCTCTTCACCCTGTTGATTATTTTTTTTTTCTGTGCAGAAGCTTTTTAGTTTAATTAAGTTTCATTTGTCTATTGGTGTTTTTGTTGCCTGTATTTTTGAGGTCTTAGTTGTAAATTCTTTGCCTAGGCCAGGTGCGGTGGCTCACGCCTATAATCTCAGCACTTTGGGAGGCCAAGGTGGGCAGATCACCTGAGGTTGGGAGTTCAAGACCAGCCTGACCAACATGGAGAAACCCTTTCTCTACTAAAAATATAAAATTAGCTGGGCGTGGTGGTGCATGCCTGTAATCCTAGCTACTTGAGAGGCTGAGGCAGGACAATCTCTTGAACCCAGGAGGTGGAGGTTGTGGTGAGCCGAGATCGTGCCATTGCACTCCAGCCTGGGCAACAAGAGAGAAAAAACTCTTGTCTCAAAAAAAAAAAAAAAAAAAAAAAAAAAAAAAAATTCTTTGCCTAGAGCAATGTCCAGGAGAGTTTTTCCTAGGTTTTCTTCTAGTATTTTTATAATTTGTGGTCTTACATAGTCTGTAATCCATTTTGAGTTGATGTTTCTATGTGGGGAGAAATAGGGTTCTAGTTTCATTCTGCATGTGGCTATTCAGTTTTCCCAGGACCATTTATTGAAGAGAGTGTCTTTTCCCCAGTGGAAGCTCTTGTCAGGTTTGTCAAAGATCAATTGGCTGTAAATATGTGGCTTTATTTCTAGGTTCTCTATTTAGTTCCATTATGTGTCTTTTTTTATACCAATACTGTGCTGTTTGGGTTATTATAGCCTTCTAATATACTTTGAAATCAGGTAATGTGATGCCTCCAGCTTCGTTCTTTTTGCTCAGAGTTGCTTTGGCTATTTGGGCTCCTTTTAGGTTGCACATGAATTTTAGAATTATTTTTTCTAATTCTGTGAAGAATGATGTTAGTATTTTGATATGATTATGTTGAGTCTGTAGATTGCTTTGGGAAGTATGGTCATTTTTAACAGTACTAATTCTAATTCATGAGCATGGACTTTTTTCATCTTCAATTTCTTTTATTTGTGCTTTATAGTTTTAAATGCAGAGCTCTTTCACCTTCTTGGATAAATTTATTCCTAGGTATTCTTTTTGTAGCTATTTTAAATATGATTGGCTTTATTTCTTTCTCAGCTAGATCATTATTGGTGTATAGAAATGCTACTGATTTCTGTATGTTGATTTTGTCTCCTGCAACTCTACTGAATTCATCCATCAAATCAGGGAGTTTTTGGTGAAGTCTTTGGTTTTTCTAGGTATAAGATCATATCATCAGCAAAGAGGGACAATTTGACTTCCTCTTCTCCAATTTCGATGCCTTTTATTTCTTTCTCTTGCCTGTTTCCTCTGGCTAGGACTTCCTGCACTGTGTCGAATAATAGTAGTTAAAGTGGGCATCCTGGTCTTGTTCTATTTCTTAGAGGAAAGGTTTTCAACTTTTCCCCATTTAGTATGTTGTTAGCTGTGGGTTTGGCATGTATGGCCTTTATTATTTTGAGATATGTTCCTTTTATGCCTAGTTTGTTGAGTTTTGTTATGAAGGGATGTTGAGTTTTTTTTTTCAGATGTCTTTTCTGCATCCATTGAGATAATAATGATTTTTTCTGTTGATGTGGTGCATCCCATTTATTGATTTGCATATGTTGAACCATTCTTGCATTCCCGGAATGAATCCCACTTGATTGTAGCTTATTATCTTTTTGATGTGCTATTGGATTTGGTTTAGTAGTATTTTGTTGAGGATTTTTGTGTCTGTTCAGCAGGGATGTTGACCTGTAGTTTTCTTTTTTTGTTCTTTGTCAGGTTTTGGTATCAGATTGGTGCTGACCTTGTAGAATGAGTTAGGGAGAATTCCTTCCTCTTTGATCTTTTGGAATAGCTTCAGGAAGATTGGTATTAGTTATCCTTAGTACATTTGGTAGAATTCGGCTGTAAATCCATCCAGCCTTTGTCTTTTCTTTATTGAGATACTTTTTATTACTGATTCAATCTCTCTGCTTGTTATTGAACTATTCAGATTTTCTATTTCTTCCTGATTTCATGTTAGTAAGTTGTATGTTTCCAGGAATTTATCCATTTTCTCTAGCTTTTCCAGTTTGTCAGCATTTAGTTGTTCATAATAGTCTCTGATGATCTTTTGTATTTTTGTGATATCAGTTGTAATGTCTGCTTTTTCATTTCTGATTTTATTTGCATCTTCGCTTTTCTTGGTTAGTATAGCTAGCAGTTTATCAATTTTGTTTGTCTTTTCAAAGAACTAAACTTTTGTTGATCGTTTATGTTGTTTTTAAAGCCTCTATTTCATTTAATTCTGCTCTGACTTTGTTTCTTTTCTTCAGCTAATTTGGAGTTTAATTTGTTCTTGCTTTTCTATTTTCTTGAAGTATATTGTTATATGTTAATTTGTAATCTTTCTACTTTTTTGATAATGAGCATTTATTGCTGCAAAACTTCCCATGATGACTGTGCTCCCAAAATGGCACCTTGCTGCAGCTGTTCATGCTTAGGTGGAGTGAGTGAGCCAGCATGAATTCCTTGTCTGATGCAATGCCTTCACACAATCTCCAAGTCACCAACCATGCTAGTTTCAGCATTCCTGTTGGTAAAGGAGTTCTACTGAGGTTTAGTTCACAGCAGTCCATGGTAGAGATGTGAACTGCTAAAGTTCTGTCACTTATGCTGTCCCTGTAATATGGAGCCCTTCTAGGCTCCCACCCAATCTTGACCAAGCGGGCCACTTGCTTCCTTTTCCTTCTGTGCCTCAAATGTTCCCTGTGTGTTCTCCATTGTACTCTAGTGTTCTTTCCTAGATGTTCTATTTATAGTATGATTATCTATTCATAATTGTGGTTCTTCTTTCTGGAGAGAGCAGGTGTCTCACATCTCTAGTCAGCCATCTTGTACCAAAATCCCATTATTTGTAATTTTCTAAATAGATAATAGATAATATATTCAAAATGTATACATTTTAACATTACAGACAGAAATATGGACTTGAAGCAAATATTCCAAAATATCAATAATAGTATTTCTGGGTGCTGGGAATAAGAGTGACAAAAGAAAAAATCTAAGAAACAAATATAAAACAGCCATCATTCTCTTTGGTTACCTAATATAAAGCTTAAAGTGAAGAAGAAAGCCTGGAAAATGGCATTGCAGACCTGAGAACAGCAGAAAGAGTGAAATAACAGCTCCCCACCAAGGACACTGACCTTTGAAACACAGCATCAGTGACTACAGTAGGAAAACCTAGGACTCTGCTTGGAAACAGAGGGGACTTAAGGATCACTTATAATAATATTTACTTCTTCAGTTGAGGAAGGTGGGAAGTCATTTCTGTTGTTACCTAGCAGCTCTTAGAGATGAGTTTATATACCAAAAGTAGTTGACATATGTATCAAAAGTAGGATAATCTAAGAAATACTCTTGTTTTTGGAATATATATTTAATGAGTTTCAGTTGCAAGAAGCAGAGACCCTATTCAAACTGATTGAAACAGAAAGGAAATAATTTTTTAAGGTAACTTCAAAGTTCAAGTGGTGAAACAGCATTTAGGCATTGCAGTATCCAGGACCTCAAATGATGTCATTAGATTTATATATTTTTCTCCCTCTTTCTGTGTTTGTCTCTCTGCCTCTGCCATGTCTTTCTCTGTCTTACAGTATGAATATGATTTTTTTCATTGTTCAGAAGCTGGAGCTGGAAGTGACTGAAATACTTCTGAGAAACCTTATTTCCATGACCATGCTTGTCATCAGAAATACATATTCAAATATCATAGAAGAGCATCTAGTGGGGAGAACTTTATTTTTATCCAAAACTTTAAGAACAAGGAGTCCAGGAAATATATTTTATAGCTTTCCAACCTGTCCAACTATTAAAGAAGGAGAATGGAAGGGACATTGAATGAACCAATTTACAATATCCAGCATGGTCCACTCTTTTGGCTGTTCATCACCTATTTATACCCTTCTACTGATGCTTTCAAAGAATGGCAATTACACTATTCTACAGCTAACTTAATGCTACTGTCCTTCATATAAATGAAAACACTCAACTTCTACCCAAAAAGAGAGATCTAAAAATCCATCAGCCCGTATATCAATTTCTAGATGATATTCACTCATATCATTTAGCCATAATATCACCTTGACTTTCCACAGCCCTAGTACTAAATTATAAAGTTAATGACCACGCCTTATGTAAAATTCCTGGGGAAAGGCAAGAAGGAAATTGATGTGTTTATATGTACACACATACATAGGCACACATATAGCATAGCAAGGTGGCATTTATGAGTAGCTGCTATAGTCCTTGTTCTGTTTGAAAGTTGCTATAAATTTCCCACTGCAGCATATAAGTGTAGAAGGGATTCTTTTTCAGGGTAGTAGTTTAGACCATCATTCTTGAATCATTGAGACCTTGGTAGTGTTTCCTATATTGGAATACTGAAGTCTTCTCTGTTTTTATACTCAATATGCAAATTACAAGAAAGTACCCCACCTCCATCTATAACACAACTTTATGTCTCAGTAATAACCAGGATTAATCACTCAAACAGAAGTAACTTTCCTTTTCGGCCTGTATTTTTCAGTGAAATGTGACCAGAATGCCCAGCTGGCACTCTAAACTTCTGGTTCAAGGGATTAATTGTTACAGGTACTCCCCATACTTGAAGAGTACTTCTAAATTCATATTTCTTGAAGAGTACTTCCAAGGGTATTAAAATGTCTCAACTGTTAAAGAGTCCAAAGTTACAGAGACAAGAAGTAGAAAATTTTCAAATGGGTAACTTATCATACTATAGTTCATTAATTTTGACATACATACTTTTGTCTCACATTTTAGTGTATTCGAAATTAGGATGCTTCCTAAAATGATGACATCAGTCAGGCAATTCTTGTGATGTGCTTGTTATTGTCTATACATGCACAAACATGAAAATGCGTATCAGCAGGTTGGAAGAAAATATAGGAGATGGTAGTAGAGCGCCTCAAAAAATACTGTATCAATATTTTTGATATAAAGAACAATAATTGTGTAAAAACACACAATAATGACTGTGCATCAAAAAATAGTCTGGAAGAGTCAGACTATGAATATGAAAGCATTTTAGGAATTTCTTAACAAGTTTAAAATTTTTTTCACTTCATATGTTTACAAGAGTGATATTAAAAAGTTATGTCTAAATAAATCAAAAATAGTTCTCTCTTAATAGGGAAAAAATTTATAACTGACAAAGTATCTCATAGTTTAATTGCTGTACATTTTTCTTTTTTTTCTTAGTGGTACATGATATAATGGTGATTTTTATAATTGATAGTCATAGATTCAGTGAAATAGGGTGGTGATATCTACCACTCCCACCTCCACCTTCTGGTTCCCAGATACTTGTTTTTTATGGTTGAAGAAACACCAGGTAATGGTCCCTGAGAAGTTTCTTTTGTGTATGAGCTACAAGATTTCAAGACTTTTCAAATCTTGATCTTAGGTAATTTTTGAAGTAACAATAATCACTAATAGTTTGTCTTTAATGTTCTTGTACTAGCTATCACGAGTTTTATGTATCTTTGTTATTGTTACTATTTTGTGTCAATTGCCAAGAGACTTAAACATCTTTTCTAACATGTTCATATTCTCTTGATTAATTACATTATGAAACAACATGCCTATTCATTATTTTTATTTGGAATTTTTCCTTTTTTCATGATTTAGTGTATTTGTTACAAAAAATAACTTGAATTCACTTTTCTATATAGGAACATTTTTATTGATTTTATGTCTCCTCTTTATAATCTCTTTCATATTTCATTATGTTTCTTCTAAATTTATCTTGTTTTTTTAATACATAAATTTGAAGATGAAAAAGGAGGTACTCCTCATATACATTCATGTATTATACATATATATTCATATACATATATATGTACACATTCAAATCACAAGTCTGTCATTTTTAACTTTTTAATTGAAAAATCCCCAAACTTCTTGCCAATCGTAGCTAAAACTGTACATTACCCCTAAACTTTCCCTTATTCAGATCTCTAAAATGCCTGGTGCCACTCCATTAGCACCTGACATAATGGAAAGTGTGAAGAAGGGGAAGTTGGAGAGAAAAGAGACAGCAATCTCAACCAATTGCTATTAAAATATCTTACTTTTGCAAGTCTTACAAAAGCATGTGTCCTTGTGAACACAATGCTAGAATCTCTCCCAGGGTATTAGAAGGGTTGCCTGCACTTGAGAGGTCCTGAAATTTAATCTCTGTTAGCTTCACAGTAAACCTGCTGTGGCCCTCAGATTTCAGTTCTCTTTGTGAGAGAAGCCCTCTCCTCTGGCTGGCAATTTATGATTCCCTTGCACACACTCTCTTTTCTGGGGTCTATAGGACATAAATGTATTTTCCCTGCTATTCCAAGTTGAGCCCCCTCTCAACATAATTCTTTTCACTCTGCCACTGAGCAGAGGTGGTTTTATCTACCATTTAGTACCTTTACATTTTGTACATTTGGTGAGTCCCCCCAAAACAGTCCCTAACTCTTATAAATCCTAGCAGATAGGGTACATGTTAAGTCTCTGAGTGGTTTCCTTGAAGCCCCTCAGTTGATTTGAGGTAAGGGTGACCTCCTGCCCTGAATGTGTTGCATACCTCATAACTGCTCCAAAACAATTCTCTCCAGCACTCTTCAGCCTCTCCCTCTGATGTAAATTGGCTAATGTTGGCAGATCTGGCTTTAAAATCTAGTTTCTGTGGGTGGTTTTATTTTTCATTTGGGAAGGCTGGTCACCTGATAGAAAAATAAAAATAACCATGTTAAGACAAATTGGTGTTTTAGCTGTCTGCTTAATTGCTTTTGGCCTTCAGTTTTCTCTTTGAAATCTTATACTCAATTGAGCAAATGTTTCTCAGTTGAGGGTTTATGTGTTCTAAGTCCTGTGATAGGTACCAGGAATGCAGAGATAAACAGATCCATTGTAAACAGTCAAATGTAATAGAAGAATCATATGGCTAATCTGCCATATATTAAGTCATAGTGTCTAAATTGCATTAAACCAGCTCAATATAAGAACAACTGTTTTCTTAAAAGTTATATGAGATTTTATAAAAGATTTTACCTTGCCATTATATAGTAATTATGATTGAACTTACCAAATTAAATGTAATGTGACGTTTACTAGTATTTTTCCATTAAATTGTTAGTGAATTAAAAGGACGTTTTGGAATTATATGGGGGATCTTTGGAAGACTTAATTTTTTCATGGGTTGTATAAATAGATTTATGAGAGGGAAAATGGATATTAGTTTCTGATATGGTAGTTTATGTGAGAATTTTATAGTTTGATTTGTATAAATAAAATAATGTTATTGCATATTTCTGGTACATTACACTTTTATTTGTATAATAACCTAAACTTGTGTTTATCTTATATTGCTAAAATTTAAGGTAATGACAATAAAAGATTTTTCTGGTATGTATGTGAAGCCTAAATGGCCCCATTCTGCCACCTTCTGGCTGACTCCGTAGCTTATAATATTGTGAGGTAAGTGTCATCTAACCGTTCTGCCATGGTTGGCAGCAGACCATATATTTGGGGCCTGGGTGATTTAAAACAGGGTCAGTTTAAGCAATAATGTAGTTCTAGTGCCTCAGGCTCACCTTTATTTCATAGTTCTAAAATGTGTTAGAATTTATTGGAATAGAATACCACATAGTGATGTATGAGATTGTTTCTCCCAGGGTATGGAGTTGTAGTTAATTTTGACTTTTCTGCAATACTAAAGTTTCTTCAGATATTACTTGATAATTAAAACTGTATCAACATGGTAAGCTATTTATCAGAATCATCATAAGAAAGTTACTTGGAGAGTGATATAGAAATGAAAGTTACTGAAATCAGCACCAATTCCTTATAGAGAAACTAATGGGTTCAGTAATCACTTACTAGAGTTCTAAAATAAAAGGAGAAACCATATGTACAACAACAAAGTACTAACAAAATCTTAGTAATTTAAACCTCTAGTTTTGTGACACTTCTATATATTGCCATTTATTAAAAAAAAGAATTTGGGAAGGCTTAAAACTTTTGGAAATGTAATTCATTTAAAATTGGTTTGATAAACTTTTTGGAGAGGGATAGAGAAAATAAAGTAGAACGCTATAAAATGTTGCAATTTGTGACCTTTTGCAGCACACTTAACCTCTTTGTCACTCTGGAAAATGGGATAATAATATCCAATATAAAGGTAGATTGTTGTGAGGAATAAATGCTTTATTTACTTCATGTGAAACACTTAGAATGATATCTGACATATAATAAGTTAGCATTGTTATAGTCAATCTTACAACATTTAGAATATGTTACATAGTCTAATATAAATGGATTCCAAAATATTCTAGGCAGTAAGCTTTGTATTTTCTTAACATTTTTACACTCAATAATATTAAATTAAAAGAGAGAAATTGAAGACTGGAAATGCATAGCTCCCTAAAGTAGTGTAGAAATATATGTGATATATTGGGGCCTAATAAAGGGCCTTTATTTCTGTCTGTGACTCATCTTTTAGATACCTAAAGCTATCTCATAAAAAAGCTATGGTATCTTGAAGAAATTAATCAATTTAAAAACATTTATTGAGTGTATACTGTGTGATCATCAGTGTGTTAGATTCTGGTAAGAAATGATATGAGAAACTCACAAAAAGAAGTATAAACATGCAATTACTACAATGTGGTCAGTACAGTAACGTGGGTGTTAATATATTTTAGGAACTAGAAGAGAAGAAATAACATTGAACTACACTTTGATTAACAAGTAGGAATTAGCTAGGAGAAAGTCGTCTTACATAAATGGAACTTCTATGCATGATTTTTGACTACTGGTTTACCTGAAGTTTCTTACATTTTGTATTAGTATAACTTTACAGCCTTTCATATCCAGAATGCTTTTACACACATTATCTGAAGAGTGAGGTTTTCAGGTTATTATCTGAATGGTGAAAATTGGGTTTCTATCGTAGTAATTATGGGTGAAGGGGAAATATGTGTTTTTTAAAACTGGACATTTGTAATGTTGCTGTCTGAGCCTATAGCCCCCTACCTTCACCTCTTTATGCTGTGGAGTCAGGCAACTACACTAGCAGTCAAATGCCTGAGGTTCGCAGTTTGCCCTATCAGTGCTCTTGAGGGTTCTCATGTGAGTGAAAGGAGTGACTATCCCATGCCCTGCACCATTTCTGTGGTGGTAGTGGTGGTTGAGGGAAGAAGTTTCATCTTCACATTTCAGGTATTTAGAAAGCCCATCTGGAGATTTAGTTATGGGACTACCTGGCTATAGTCTTGGCTAGGGCGTTAGTAGATCAATGAAATTTTCTCATCAACACGAAGGGCTCTAAGTGTTAAAGGGAGACAGTGCCCACATCAACCATGACTAGGAGTTTCACATGTCCATATTTCATACATTTTAGTACTCTGGAAATAGAATCCCACTTTCCTCATCCCCATCACCTTATTACATTTAAGTCTTGTGTTAATTTTCTATTATTGCTATAACTAAATAGTGGCTTAAATAGTGGCTTAAAATAACACCCATTTATTATCTCACTGTTCTGTAGGTCAGAATTCTGGCAGGCTCTTATCTGGAGTTTCTGGGGAAGAATTTACTTCCAAGCTGATCCATACTTCTGGCAGAATCCAGTACCTTATGGTTATAGGACTAGGGTCTCTGTTTCTTGGTTGACTGTCATCTAGGGGGCTCCCTTAGCTCTTAGAGCCCTCTCTCTGGTGCTTCTACATAGGCTGTAATATCTCAGAGCCAGTAATGGTGTGCTGATCATTCTCACACGTGAAATTTCATGACATGTTGCCATGGCTCTCTTCTGCTCCTAGCTGGACAAGGTTCTCTGCTTTCAAGAGCAAATTTTTTTAGATCGGGCCCACCTAAGTAATCCAGAGGAATCTATTTAGTCACTAATTAGTAGCCTTAATTACATCCGCAGAGTCCAGTTAGGCATATATTGAAACATATCCACAGTTTCCAGGCAGTAGATGGAATTAATAGGGGGAGCATTCTGCTTATCAGAAATCCATCGGGAGTTTAGAAAGAAGAGGAAGTACAGAGAGCCTACGACCTTTGGTATGCATTTCAAGACTCAGTCACAATTAAGAGGAGGATCTACTTAATAGTTAAAGAAAATTTAAACCATCTTTCTTCCCTAATACAACCAGAAGTATAAACTAGTTGTTAACAGATATGCATATGATTAAAATAAAATTTAGAAGGCAGTGATGTGTTTCAGACTCATATTCAGCTATCTTTTTGAAATCTCCATTTGTATGTCTAGTAAGCATCTCAAATTTAATATGTCCAATAGAATTTTTTATTACAACACCCCTCCAGCCCCTTCCTTCAGAAATGGGATAGTTCCCTTGACCCCTTCGCGGGACTCACAAAGGGATTGACTTGTTTACTCAGCTCGCAGCTCTCATCCCCTCACGGGACGGGGAGCATGCAGGTGAGTGGGTACAGGGACTGGGACAAGTGCTTCTGGGCATCCGCAGGAGTAGAATCCTGTGCAGTCCAGTGGAAGCTTCCTGGGGGGTGGGGGGGAGGGGAGGGGAACCTGTGACCTCCGGAGTCCTAGAGGGCATGTGTTACAGTGTGCTCATTTAGCTTTGCCATCCACAGACAACTTAAGTGTTTAACAGATCAGTGGAGGGTCAGGGTGACAGCCTTTTGCACCCGCCCTCTTGGTACCCGAGTACTTGTCTGGCATCCAGGAAGAATAAGGTCATATGAATGAATTGAAGGGTGGTGAATGTGGAGGATTTTACTGAGCAGTAGAAGTGGCTCTTGGCAGGATGGGGAGCTGGAAAGCGGATGGAGTGGGAAGGTGGTCTTCTCCTGGAGTTCAGCCGTCCCCTGTGGAACTCTTCTGCGAAGTCCTGCTGTCAAGCTGTTCCTCTGAAGTCAAGCTGCTTCTCTTTGATGTCCTTCTGCTGCCTCTCTTCTCTCCTCTGCCACTCTGCCACTCTGCTGGTGGGGCTTGGGGTTTTTATGGGTACAGGATGGGGAGGTGGGGACAGCCAACATGGTTTTGGAAAAGGCAAATTTGGGCAGGAAAACAGGAATGCATGTTCTCACTTTGGACTGCAGGTCCAGGCTTGAGAGTGTGGCCCTCGTTGGGGTCTGCCCTCTTCTACCCAGTATTTCCCCGCCTCCTGTCTATATCACTTCCTCACCCTTCCCCAGCTTAATAATAACTGGCATCACTACTTATTCACATGCTCAAGCCAAAAAAAGTAGGAATTATCTTTTATTACTTTTATTAATTTTCTGGGTTCAATGAATCATCAAATCTCCTTGTTTTTCAAAAATATATATGAAATCTGTCTGTTTTTCTTTCCCACCACAACCTCAGTTCAGGTATCCATCATCTCTTGCCTGGACTTTTGCAGTAGTCCTTAACTATTTTTCATGTTTCCATTCTTACCTTCCACCTACACAGAAGATTCCTGAATCCATTCTCTTCCTAGTAGTCATACTCTTTTTGCCTTATTCCTCTATCTGGGTCTTTAATTCCCAGCTTCATCTGCATGGCATACTCTTCTTCCATCTTTCTGTAAGTTCCTCTTTTCTTTGTACTTCAGGTCTTGACAGCTGTGTATGTTACCTGAAACACATTATAGAAAATGTACATTTGTACATGAGATGAAGATAAATAGGGAGGAAGACCAAAGAGTAGAATTATCTGCTAAGTTGAACAATTACAAAATAGTAATCTATCAAATAAAATCTTAAAATAGCTGTATGTAATTTAAGCTTATCATTAATAAGCATCCTAATTTTCCCCTGCTCCTTAAAATTACCTATACGACATTGAGCTAAAGCATTTCTTTGTTGGAAAGAAAAAAAATTGAAAACAAAAATGCTTGTGTATTCAGCTCTGCAGGAGGGATATTCAACTGTATCAGTATTAAAAATCTATCTTTCCAGAAAAGAAGTATGAAGTTAATTTACCTGCTGGTATTACTAATAGTTTAATTAGGTAAACAGCATGAGTTCAAAACAATTAATCATCTGCCATAAAAGTCTAATTATTCCTGGCACATTACTGAGCTATTTTTACTGTGTGAGATAAATATGAATTTTGCGGGTTTTTTTTCTTTTTCTTATATTTGATAGCTATAGACAATAAATTTAGTTCTTATTTTCTGTTGGACTCTGACTTTTGAAATGTTATTTTGCTAACACATTCAATTGACTATATTTACTGTTTTCCTAACTTGATTACTACTTTATTTTACTTCTAGTGAATATATTTTATGTTTTGAAGAAAATATAATATTTCCTATACTTAAATCATAAAATTATTTTAAGGATAAATATGTACTTAGTGGGAATTTTTTGTTTAAAGTAAGCCAATTTGCCAAATTTTACATTGTGTAAAAAATAAAGAGGCTTTGCTCAGGATTCCTCAGATTCCAGTCTATTCTTTGTTAGAATTATTTCTTTTCTTTTTTTTTCTTTTTTTTTTTTTTTTTTGAGACAGAGTTTCACTCTTGTCACCCAGGCTGGAGTGCAATGGTGTGATCTCGGCTCACTGCAACCTTCACCTCCCAGGTCCAAGCAATTCTCCTGCCTCAGCTTCCTGAGTAGCTGGAATTACAGGCGCCCACCACCACGCCCAGCTAATTTTTGTCTTTTTAGTGGAGACTGGGTTCCACCATGTTGGTTAGAATTATTTCTTTAATGTATGTACCTTAGCTGCAAAAAAGCAAAATTAAAAAAAAAAGATGTTTTAGCATACAAGATTTTTAGACAGTATAGGACACATAGAACTGACAGCTTTCATGTTGAAGAACAATATTGTCTTGATTTCACTGGAATTGTTCATTTGGGTCTATAGCATTCTGTCCAAATTGCAGAAATTGATTGTTATGGCATACCCACGATTTTCATGCTCATATGTTATAACAGAATAGTTTTTAAAAATCTTGTTTGAACAGTTTGGTTGTTTGCATGCTTCCAGTGTTTAGACTTTTAAAAAACGATTTGAAAAAATATGATATTGAAGTGTACTTTGATTTTCTTTAATTTAAATAAATAATAGTCATATATTTATTAATCAGATGTATTAATGTAATACAGTTTACAAAGAAATTTTATGTATATTCTCTTAGTTGAGCCATACACAAAACTAGTGATATAGTCAGGGAAGTTATTAATGATCTCGTTCAGCAGAAGAGGAAACCAAAGATTATAGAGGTAACTGATTAGTTTAAAAAGTGGCATATCTGTCAGCATTATGTGTGTTCCTATTGCCCAGTTTTGCCCATGTAATTTTCTGTGATTATGGAAATGTTTGATGTTGGCACTGTCTACACATGTAGCCATTTAGCTACATGTGGCTGTTGAGCACTTGAAATCATGGCTCATGTGACTGAGGAACTAAATTTTTAATTTTATTTAATTTTAATTTACGTAACCATGTGTCACTAGTGACTATAATATTGGACAGTGTACCCTAGACTCAAACATATGAATAAAAGCAATTTGAATTCCTGGAAGAAAAATTAGAGAATACTTACCTTTCAATGTACAGCATATGTTTTGAGCAATTGAATATTCTTACATTAGAATTGTGAGATTAAATAAATTTCCATATCTCTTTTTATGTTGAATAGTAAGATCATTGTTTTTGCATATTGTATTAACTTACTGCTTAATATTCAGCACAATTATAAACTTTTTTAGTTTACTATACTTTGAGATATATATTACTATTATAATTTTAGGTATTCTGGTGAGTTCAAGGATAAAAAACATGGAGTGTAATTGTGAAAATTTGTTTATGTATTTGAAAATATATCAGTTTGCCAAGAGTGAATCAATTTCATATTAATAATGACACCATACTTGATAGTAGTAATCATGAAATTTTGTATAAAAATTACATTTTTTAAAGAAATGTATGCATGTAACTTTTTGTCTCATAAAGTACTGTGACAAAAGTACTACAACTTTACTGTGGATTTACTCAGAAAAATGTATGTCAATTTCACACTGAGATTAAGGTGAAGCATGTTGAAAGTAAAACTTTTATCTTTTACATTTTTTATTTCTAAATCTATTATTAAATTATTAAAATCAGAAGTGATGAGATTAGCTTCTAGTTCCAATTAAGATGGAGTAAGTAAATGCACATCACTCTATTCCTCCCACTGATTATGCCTAAAAAAGATTCTGAACAGAATACATAAAGTAGCTGTAGAAAGACTTTGAAAAGTAAATATAGCAGGAAGATTGGAAAGGGAAATCAAAACTTGAAAAGAGACAAATACAGTAGTGAATTTCCTGCTTTTAGCAATTTCTTCCTACATCCTCCAGCTTAGACTCAAGGCAGTCAGAATTCCAGAACTGTACAGTGGATTCAGACAGAAAATGCTGTGGCTCACGCCTGTAATCCCAGCACTTTGGGAGGCCCAGGCAGGCAGATCACGAGGTCAGGAGATGGAGACCATCCTGGCTAACAGGGTGAAACCCCATCTCTACTAAAAATACAAACAATTAGCTGGGTGTGGTGGCGGGCACCTGTAGTCCCAGCTGCTGGGGAGGCTGATGGCATGAACCTGGGAGGCGGAGCTTGCAGTGAGCCAAGATCGTGCCATTGCACTCCAGCCTAGGCAACAGAGCGAGACTCCGTCTCAAAAAAAAAAAAAAAAAAAAAAAAAGAGAAACTCTCTTTCTCTAATGAGAGACCCTGTAAGGAAATCCCTGGTGACAAGGAAAAAAATCAATGAAATTCCATTTGTTTGTTTGTTTTCTGGTCCTGCTTTGAGACAAGATATACTCCTAAAACTGCACTCCTGTGTCAGTGGCAGTAGCAACAATGACCAAACAAGTACCTCAAATTATGAGAAAGAATGGAGACAACCCAGAAAAGAGTCAGTGAATTAGAACAGAAGATCAGGAGAAATTGTCTATTGTAAACAACAGGAAAACATTTGTTTAATAAAGGGAAAAGAGCCTTAAGAATCTGTAAAACAATATAAAAATGTCTAACCCTACAGGTCTTTGAAATCACAGTAGAAGAGGAAAGAGATTGCTGCAGAAATTTCTAAAAAAATTGAATATGTAATGGCTGAAAACTTCTCAAATTTCGCAACTGACATAAATTTACAGATTGAAGAAGCTTAGTGAATGCCAAGAAAACAACATCCAAAGATATAACCAAATTACTGGAAACCAAAGAGATAATTCATCAACAGCAATGCTGCTTTAAAAGAAATGCTAAGGAAAGTTATTTAAACAGAAAATAAGTGATACCAGAGAGAAACTTGGAACTTCATGAAGGAAAGGAAAGCAACAAAAATAATAAATATCTGGATAAATATAATAAATTGTTTTTTCTCCTCTTAAGTTCATTAAGATATGTATAATGGTAGAAATAAAAAGTTAACAATATTGTCTGTTGGGGTTTCCAATGTGTATAGGTCGGAAACAACTAATAATATGAAGGAGAAGACTTTAAAGAGAACCAAATGTCTGTAAGGTTTATAAGTTACCCATGAAGTGATAAAATTTTAATTCTAGCTGGGTGCGGTGGCTCACGCCTGTAAACCCAGCATTTTGGGAGGCTGAGGCAGGGGGATCACCTGAGGTCAGGAGTTTGAGAACAGCCTCACCAACATGGAGAGACCTCCCTCTCTACTAAAAATACAAAATTAGGTAGTCGTGGTGGCGCGTGCCTGAAATCCCAGCTACTCAGGAGAATCGGTTGAACCTGGGAGGCAGGGGTTGCAATGAGCCGAGATGGCACCACTGCACTCCAGCCTGGGCAATAAGAGCAAAACTCCATCTCAAAAAAAAAAAAATTAATTCTAAGTAGACTTTGAAAAATGAAGTACATATACTGAAATCTCTAGAACAACATCAAAAAAAGGGAAAAAAGCAACTCTGCAAATTTGCAGATGTTCAAGTAATTCAAAAGAAGGCAGAGAATGAGAAATGGAAGTGAAAAACAGAGAGAAGAGACTCCATTTTCAGCAGTGACATGTAAAGAACCTAGAATCTACCACTAGCATTCTTACAAGATAAAGCTAAAAAATTGAGAATCAGTGTTTTGTTGTTTTCTTCCCCCCATCAGAGAACTGAGATTGCAGGGCAACCACTAGCCTGAAATCTGGAGAGAAAAGCAAATCCAGAGACTCATGGCCGAGATCTGCTTACTTAGAGCCAAAGCCACTGGAGCCATAAATTGGTGGGAACATTTAAATGATAGTTTTGACAAACTGCTGGAGGCTGAGTGTGGACTAACATGGGAGTGTGACACCTCTGGGAGCAGCAGTCTTAGGGAGGCCCCCACACTTTCATGGGTTTTGCTTCTATGTATTTTATCAGGTACTTCATATTCTGATGAAGATCCTGGAAAAGGTCCCCTCGTAGTTCTTGCAGAGAGAGGGAGGGTAATCATTATGAAATATACCCAGAGTATTCTCCAACAAAGGTCTACTCTGTAGGGGAAAATATATTATTAGACCCCTATCCTGGTTTGGGGAGGGCATTTCTCCCACTTCAGCTCACTCTAGCCTTCCTGTGTCGGTTTCAGTGGGGGAAAATGTATACCACTGGAGAAAAGCCCATGAAGGTCACAGCTCAGAGAAAATAGGCAAAGTAAAAAATAAAGGTTTAATCCTAAAATTATAGACTGTATTTCATTCCCCATACCTTACTACCATACCAACAGAGCTCTGGTATAATAACAATGCATTTCAGCTGGAAGAGTTGCAAGAATGGACTCTTTTTCTGAGGAATAGTACTGAGATAAGCTCAAAGTCAATGGATGAGACAAACATAAGGATACTAGAGGAACTTGAAGTTTCTGACATCTATAGCAAACATTAAACACAGCTTACCTCCTGGCCAGATTAACAAATCCACATCATATGTTTACCTTTGTTCTTATTACTCAATGCAACATGGTGAACTTTCAACAAAAAAAATTAGAAGGCACACCTAAAGGCAAGAAAAAACAGTCTGTAGAGATAAAGCAGGAATCAGAACCAGACTCAGATGTTACAGATATGCGAATTATCAGCTAAGGAATATAAAAAAACCATGATTAATATGTTAAGGGCCATAATGGAAAAAATAGACATCATGTAAGAGCACAGGAGATACATAAAGCAGAGAGACACTAAGAAAAGATCAAAAGGAAATGCTAGGCATAAAAAACACTATAACAGAAATGAAGAATGCCATTGATAGGCTTATCAATAGAATGGGCACTGCTGGGGAAAGAATCAGTGAGGCAAAAATAGGTCAATAGGAACTCCCTAAAGTGAAATATAAAGAGAAAAAATAATGAGAAAACAAAAACAGAGCATCCAAGAATGGTGGGACATTTTAAAAAGGTATATGATTTATCTATCATTGGAATACCAGAAGAAGAAGGAAGAAAAAAGAAGAAATATGTGAAGTAATAATGGCCAAGAATGTTACAAAATCAATGACAGACTTTAAAATATAGATCCAGGAACCTCAGAAAATATCAAGCAGAATGAATGATAAAGTAAGTAAACCGTGCACATTATATTTAAAAACTGCAGAAAACCAAAAACTAAGAGAAAATCTTGGAAGAAGCAAGAGCTTGGAGGGGAAAATAAAAACTTACCTATAGAAGAACAGAATAAGAATTATGGCAGACTTCTCATCACCATGCAAGCAAGAAAAGAGTAGAGTAAAATATTTTAAAAGTTGAAAGAAAAAAAATACCAACTGACCTATAATTATATATCTGTGAAATTAACCTTCAAAACTGAAGGACAAATAAAATAAATACCTTCTCAAACAAATACTAAGGTTATTCATTGCCAACAGACCTGAAACTCAGATCTACATAAAGAAAGGAAAATAATGATAAAAGGAAAAAAATGAAGGTAAAATAAGGATCTTTTATTTTTCTTATTCCTCATTGATCTAAAAGAAACTGTATAAAGTAACAGTAGGAACAACATGCTGGGTGATAATGAAACAGGAAGTTTTCCCTGATGCCTTCGTGGTGGTGGGGGAATTGGAGTGCTGGTGCTGGAGCTAGTTGGCGGCTTTGGTCAGCTTCACTTGGCTTTACTCTGCTTCACTTGGCTTTACTCGGCTTCACTCGCTCAGATCTGCTGCCCTCTACCCCTTGCGGGAGGGGGAGCACAGCTGAGCCAGTGCAGGAGCCAAGACGAGTGCTTCTGGGCACTGCCAGGAGCCAAACTCCATGCGGGCCATGGCAACACCTAGTGAGGGAGTACCTGCAACCCCTCAAAGCCCCAGAAGTAATGTTACAGTCAGTACTCTTTTAGCTTTGCCATCCATGGATGGCTTAAGTGTTTAACAGTTCAGTGGACCCTTTGCCTGTTCACAAGTTCAGAGAGTGTGATAGCCTTGTGTATCCTGAGCTCTTGTCCTGCGTACAGGAAAGATTAGGTTGCATGAATGAATTGAAGGACAGTAAGTGTGGGGGATTTTATTGCTGATGGAAGTGGCTCTCAGCGGGAAAGGGAGCTGGAAAGAGGATGGAGTGGGAAAGTAGTCTCCCCTTGAAGTCTCTCTGGCTAGACTCTTCTCCAAAGTCCCACTGTCAAGCCATTCCTCTGAAGTCAAGCTGCTTCTCTCCAACGTTCAGCTGCTGTTTCTCCTCTCCATGTTTGGCTGCTTCTCCTTCTCTGCCAGCTGGGTCAGGGGTTTTTATGGGTATAGGATTTGGGGCAGGGCAGGCCATGGGTGGTTTTGGAAAAGGCAACATTCAAGTGAGAAAACAGGAATGTATGTTCTCACTTTGGGCCGTGCTTCCAGGCTTGAGGATGGGGCCTTCGCTGGGGACCCTGCCCTTTTCTGCCTAGAATTTTTCTGCCTCCTGTTCCTACCAATAATACCATATGGATAAGGGAAATGAATGACTGCAATGTTAAAAGAGATAGGAGAAAGTATTTGGGAATACTCTATTACAAAGTACCTGTACTGCAAAGAAAACAGTGTAGTGTTATTTGAAGGTGGACTTAGATTAGTTAAAAATGAATACTGCAAACTGCGGGACAACTAAAAAGGATTCTAAAGAGAGATATAAGTGAAATGTTAAGAGATAAGATTAAATAGAATCATAAAATGTTCATTTAAAACCAGAAGAAGAAGAAAAATAGGACGGGGAAGAAAGAATAAAGTCAACAGTTAGAAACAGTTACAAACAAGGTGGAATATAACTATGTCAGTAGTCACTTTAAATGTGAATGGTGTAAACATCCATTAAAAGACAGTTCAGAGTGGATAAAAAACGAAACTTAGTTTAGAAAAGCAAGACTTCCTCCCATCTCTTATGACATGGCAGTTATTCATTTTCCTTGTCCATATTGAAATTATCACCCAGTATGTTGTTACTATTGTTACTTTAAACAGTTTCCTTTAGATCAGTGGGGAATATGAAAAATAAAAGATTCTTATTTTACTTTCATCTTTTCTTTTATGATTTTTTAAGGCAAGCTATGCATTGTCTGTAAGAAACTCACTTTAAATATAAAGAATAGGTAAGGTAAAAAGGAGCGAGATGGAGAAAGATATACCATATAATCACTAACCAAAAGGAAGCTGAAGTAGCTGTATACATTTCAGAGAAAACAAACTTCAGAGCAATAAACATCAGGGATTTAAAAAGGTTGGGGGAGCATTACATACGTATTTGGCAGTCAATTCTCCAAAAAGTCTTATCAATCCTAAATATATGAACTTAACAACAAAGTATCAAAATACTTGAAGCAAAAGCTGACAGAAGTGAAATGAAAAACAGCCAACTCCACTATTATAGTTGAAGACTTCAACACTCTTCTTTCAATAATTGATATAGATTAAGCAGGCAGAAAATCAGTGTAAGTAGGTAATTGACCTGAGCAGTACTATCAATTTGATGTAATTAGCATTCATTAAATGCTCCATTTAACAAGAGCAAAATATACATTTTTTTCTTCAGCTTATAGGAGCATTTACCAAGATAGACCACATTCTTGGCCATAAACCACATTTAACAAATCTTTTAAGATAGTAATCATGCAAAGTATGTTCTTAGACTACAGTGGAATTAAACTAGAAATCAGTAACAGGAAGAAAGCTGGAAATTAGTTAAAGAACATATTTCTAAATAACACATGGGTCAAAGAAGCCTCCAGAGAAATTTTAAAATATTTTAAGCTAAATGATAATCAGAGTACAGTTTATCAATTTTTTTTTGCAATTTAGTAAAGGCAGTGCTTAGGGGAAATTTATAGCCTTAAATGCAGGTTCTAGAAAAGAAGAAAGATCTAAAATCAGTAATAAAAAGTTCTACCTTAGAAAACTAGAGAAAGAAGAGCAATTTAAGCCCAATGCAAGCAAAAGAAAAGAAATAATAAAAATTAGAGCAGAAATCATTGAAATGGAAAACAATAAATTCAACAAAACTAAAAGTTATTTGAAAAAAATAAATAAAATTGATAAAATTCTAGCCAGGATAAGGAAGAATAAAAGAAGATAGAAATTACCAATATCAGAAATGAAAGATGGATCTTCTTCACTGAAGCATCCATGGGCATTAAAAAGATAATAAAGGAATACTATGAAAAACTTTATGCCCCAAAATTTGATAAATGAAATGGACCAATTCCTACAAACTATCAAAACTTACACAAGTGTAAATAAATCTGAATGCTTCTATAGCTTTTAAAAATTGAATCGATTATTTAAAAATTATAATTAATAATTTTCAGAAAAAGAAAGAATCAGGACCAGATGAATTCACTGGTGAAATATACAAAATAAAAATCAGTTCTAAGATAACAAACAACCCTATTAAAAAGTAGGCAAAAATCTGAATAGCCATCTTATTAAAGATATAGATGTCAAATAAGTATATGAAAAGATATTCAATATTATTTGTCAAATTGCAAATTAAAAACAATGAGATACCACTGTACACTTACTAGAACGGCCAAAACCACACACACACACACACACACACACACACTCACTCTGACTGCCGATTGGTGACAAAGATGCAGAGCAACATAAACTCTTTTTCGTTGCTGGTGGTAATGAAAATGGCACAACCACTTTGGAAGACAGTTTGGCAATTTCTTGAAAAATTAAATATAGTTTTACCACACAATCCAGCAATCACACTTGTAGGTATTTAACCGATTTAAAAACAATATCCACACAAAAACCTGCACATGAAAACTGCACATTATAGCTTCCTTCATAATTGCCAAAAACTGGGAGCAACCAAAATGTCCTTCAGTAGGTGAATGGATAAACTGTGATATATCCATTGACATGGCTAGGCTTTGTGTCACCACCCAAATCTCATCATGAATTGTAATCCCCATAATCGCCATGTGTCAAAGAAGAAACCAGGTGGAGGTAATTGAATCATGGAGGTGTTTTCCTCCATGCTGTACTCATGATAGTGAGTTTTCACAAAATCTGATCTTTTTATAAGGGGCTCTTCCCCTTTTTGCTTGGCACTTCTTCCTGCCACCTTGTGAAGAAGGTGCCTTGGTTCCTCTTCACCTTCTGGGGTGATTGTAAGTTTCCCGAGGCCTACCCAGCCATGCTGACCTGTGAGTCAATCAAACCCCTTTCCTTTATAAATTACCCAGCCTCAAACAGTTCCTTATAGCAGCATGAAAACAGACTAATACATCCATATGATCAAATATTATTGAATTATATAAAAGAGCTATAAAGCCGTAAAAAGACATGGATAAATTTTAAATACATATTACTAAGTGATAAAAACACTGAAAAGTCTGTATACTTTATAATTGCAATTATATGACATTCTGGAAAAGGCAAAACTCACCAGTGGTAAAAAATATCATTAGGTGCCAAGGTTCAGGGAAACACAAGGGATTAATTAGGGTTGTGAAATTATTGGATACATGGCATTATGCATTTGTCCAAATCCACAGCACTTACAGCACAAAGAACAAGTCTTAATGTACGCAAACTTTAAAAAAACTCATTTAGAAGGTTGATGGATCTGAGGATGGAATGCAGGAGGTGAAAAAATAATATAACTGTAGTACAAATGTATGAAACAACCTACTGAAGCAAATGGAGTTGAAATGTGTTGACTTAAGTTACCTTGAAAATAAGTGGAGTCCGTAAGACTGGAGGCAAAAGAGTACTGTAGTCTAGTTGATAAAGTTATTTTCCATGGGAATAAAGTTGTTAACCTACCTACCAGGTTAACAATTCTGATATTTCTATATGTATATACTGAAATTGAACAAGTAAATAAGTTGATGGTGGATGGTGGGAGCCAGGTTTCTCTCTATTTGAGTAGGATTTACAGATAAGCAAGGGGAGGCAGCTAGAAGAAATCATGTAGTAATGCATTAGAGTTGGAAACCAGAATGAACTCATGCTTTGCTTATAGACACAGTTACATATGGAAATACTTATCGATAAGGGAATAGGCAAATGTTAGTATACACGTATATTTCCTTGCTCTCAGAAAAGAGGGCCTAGAAGCAACAACACCCCAGTAGATGAATGTACCCACTTGCCAGATCTTGATTTCTAAGACCATTCTCCAGTAAAAGGAACTAAGGCTCCTTGGAGAAATGGATGATTCTAAAAGGGCTGGGGCAGGAAATACACAAAGTGAGCATGGGGCATCTTGCAGTGCTAGAAAGTAAGGATGTGCTCAAACACATACACAGGTGTACACACATGCACACATACACAGTGATGGAGGTATATCAAAGGGACATAGGAGGAAGTTGATGGAGCTTCCCATGGTCAAAATGGAATAATTTGACCAACAAAATAAATAATGTAATGTTGTATAAATGCTACAGGCATTAAAAGAGTAATGTGTACATTAGAAACAACTTTATTACACAAAGTTGACAACTTAGTTGAAATAGACCATTTCTTGAAAGATGCAAACTACTAATATTCATTCGAGATGAAATTGATAACTCAGTAATACTCTGTTTATTGAAGACATTGTATTAGTATTTGTAATCTTCAAAAAAAATCAAAAACAAAAACGAAAAACAAAACACTGTCCCAGATAGTTCTGGGAAATTCTACAAAACATTTAAAGAAGAAATGATACCAATTCTCACAGTTTCTTCTGGAAAAATATAAGACAGAATACTTCTCAACTTATTTTGTGAAGCCAATCTTAACCTGCTACCAAAATCATGCAAAGATGGCACATGAAAATAAAACTACCAAGCAATGTATCTTTATGAACACAAACAGAAAAATCCTCAGTAAAATATTAGTAAGTTGAATCCAGCAATATATACAAGGAATATTACACCAAGACCAAAAGGGGTTCATTCTGATAATTCAAAGCTGGTTCAATATTTGAAAATTAATCTGTGCAACCCACCATATTAGTAGACTAAAAGGTAAAAACCACATGATTTTATCAACAAATGCTGAAAACACATTAGGTAAAATTCAGCATCCTCCTAAGATAACTCTTCACTAACCCAGGAAAAAAAAAGGAAACTTTGTTATCTCAATAAGGGGCATCTACAAAACAGTGTCTACAGCTAACATTTTAGTAGTTAATGATGAAAAACTGAATGCTTTCTTCCTAAGACTTGGAATAAGGCAAGAATGTTCATTGTCACCACCTTGTTCAACATTGCACTGTAATTCTTGACCAATGCAATAAGGCAAGACAAATAAATAAAAGGCATACAGATTAGAAATAAATAGTTCCTGTTGAAAGACGACATGACTGCCTACATAGAAAATTGCAAGAAATCTATAAAAAGAAAGTCTCCTAAAACTGAGTTTAGCAACAATAATATATAAAAATAATATATAGTAGCAATGCACAATGTATTAGTTTGGTACAAAAGTAATAGAGGTTTTTGCCATTGAAAGTAATGGTGAAAACCACAATTACTGTGTACCCATCTAATAAAACATTTTTAAAGAACTGTTTACAATAGCTCCAATTTTTAAAATACTTAGGTATAAATCTAACAAAATTATGTGCAAGATCTGTGTGTTGAAAACTGTAAAACACTGATGAAAGAAATTCAAAAGACCCAAGTAAATGAAGAGACATGCTATGATTATGGATTGAAAGACTCAATATGGTTAAGATGTCATTTCTTCCAATAAGCATAATCCAAATAAAATCCCAGCAAGATTATATTTGTAGACATAGATAAACTGATCTTAAAATTTATATGGAAAGGTGAAGAAACTGTAGTAGCCAAAACAACTTCGAAAAAAAGGAAAAAGGGCCGGGCACTGTGGCTTACGCCTGTAATCCCAACACTTTGGGAGGCTGAGGTGGGCGGATCACGAGGTCAGGAGATTGAGACCATCCTGGCTAACACGGTGAAACTTTGTCTCTACTAAAAATAATTAAAAAATTAGTTGGGTGTGGTGGCATGCATCTGTAGTCCCAGCTACTTGGGAGGCTGAGGCAGGAGAATAGCTTGAACCCAGGAGGCGGAGGTTGCAGTGAGTCGAAATGACACCACTGCACTCCAGCCTGGGCGACAGACTGAGACTCCGTCTCAAGAAAAAAAGGAAAAAAAAATAGAAGATTTACACTATCAGATTTCAGACTTACTAGAAAGCTATGGTAATCAAGACAGTATAGTATTGGTGAAAGAATTGACACATATATAGGTCAGTGAAAGAGAATAGAGAGTCCAGAAATAGACTCACACAAATATGGTCAATTGATTTTTGACAAAGGTGCAAATGCAATTCAACAGTAAATGGATATATAAATTGTGGTAATTCCATACAATAGAATTTAGCCATATAAATGAGTGAATATTAAGATACACAACATAGATAAATCACAATTGCCATACTATACTAAATGAAAGAAGCCAATCTGAAAATGTTGCATAGTCTATAAGTCCACTTATATATAACATTCTGGAAAAAGCAACACTATTACCCTAAAACCTTTATTTGAATAGCAGGAGTTATAGTCATGTCATTTGTCCTCTACATGGAGCACATACATCATTTACACATTAAATATGTTTTCATGTTTTTCTTTTATTTAACCTTTAAACTCTAAAGTACATAGTTCTGCTTGGCCCCAAGATGATTGTAAGAAACATGGACAATGAAATTTTATGGCTATAGGTGACCGTCTTAATTAAAACCTTCTCATAGCAGATTTTCAGACCTGGGACAATATATCCAAGAATGAATCTTACCCACCACTATTTTTTCACCCCAACTTCTTCACTCTTATTTGGAAAATAACTGCATTTAAAAATAAAATGTTTACTTCATGTGGTAATCAGTGTCTTGCAGTACAAGAAACCCTGATCTAGGAGTTTGAAGACCTAGGTGACTTTGGGCAAGTCACTTAATGTTTATTTTTTTGCATCTTAAAATAAGGATAATAATACCTGTGCTGCTTACTTTATTTGTAAGGATCTCAGGTGCATTACAGTAATTTCACAATGGTTTTACAGAGTAAATCACTTTATATGTGGTAAAGTGCTTGGTAAATGTGTCATCACTATTATTAAATAAAAGAAACCAATATTTTGTGGTATTTTGTGGCAATTAAAGCTGGTTCAACTCTGAAAATTTCTATAATTTTAAAAATTAATGCAGAATGAAGGAGGAATAAAATCAACCTCATGAAGTTGATTACTCTCTAGTTTTAAAATCTTATTTAACTACAAGATAAGCTATTCTGGTAAATTCTCGGTGCATGGCGAGACATTTAGTGCGAATTAAAGTTGTGGAAACACCGCTAGGAAGAATAACAAGCAATATACTTCTTAAAGTTAATTGCAGTTATGAAGGAATTCATAGTTTTAGTTAAAACTGCAGTTGTTTCTTTCTAGCAGTAGATGCCAGTAGAGTTCTTCTTTTTATTTTTATTTCTTAATCAAAAATCAAATATCCGAAGTACTTCTATAGCAATAGCTTCCTGGTCACATTACCACATATAGAAACATTGCTTTAAATATTAAATATTCTATTTTCTGGAAGGACTTGATAACAAATTGAAACAATTTTATTTTTAAAACAGTGCAGATTTAAAATACGGTGTTTTCAAGATACTCATCTAGTGAAGTTTACTCTTTTTGCTTTAGTAATTTTGTTTTAAAGCTTATGCATTGTTTTAAATAAAGTAATCTTAGTGTTCTAGTTAGGAATCTGCAACTTCTGTACTTGAGCAACATTGAATATAAATAAAAAATCTGGCTAGATGTGTTAAAAATGAATACGGTCCAGCTGAAATGTTACGATTAGTTTGTGTATTTGGCAATGGAATACCATGAGTGTAATACTTTGGGGAGGTTAATATGTCAGAGAGGTGAATGATTAAAGGGGGTAATTGGAAGCGGGGAAAACAAGAAGTTAAGAAGTCCACATTGGCACTGAGTAAAAATGTAATTCAAAGAATGAATAAAATTTAGTAACAAATAGAAAAAAGGAGAAGTTCAATGATAACAGTTCTATTACTCTTGTCTCTATATATGAGCAACTTGGTGCTTCTTGGATTATCTATAAATATGGTCCCATCATAAATAAAATTCAAACATTTTCAAGTATTCGGTGATTCTACTTAGACCTTTAAATTGTTAAAAATGAGTGAATACTTTTTTCTTTTAACATGTTTATTGAGTATGTAATACATGCATTTCATTTATGAATTCAAGTAACTCACAATTTAGGGTCATATAAATTCATAAACAGTACCTTTTAACATAATATTATGAGGTCAGTGAAAACAAAGCAGCAAAGTTTGTTTTCCTAGGAAGTATGTGGCAGACTTCACTGAAGAGGTGACATTTGAACTAAGCCTTGAAGATGATTAGAATTTCCTTCAGTAGAGCAAATCAAGGGAATTCAGTAATTTTATCCACTTCTTCCCTTACAGAATCAGTCCATGCTCTGTAGATATTTGTTGAAGACTACAGACATTTAATAAGTGTCTGTTTTGTGTAAGGCACTACCAGATGTTAAGAAACAAATTATTGTTATGCACACATAATATTTATACATAAAGCTACAAATTTAAGAATTTTGTCATATAGATGCTGTTGCATATTTGTTTAGATTGATAAAAATTTTATTACACAAAACAAAGTATACAGAAATGAGCTGTTACATGGCAAAATTCATTGGTCAGTGTTTTGTTAACTGTTATTCACACATAATATTTATACATAAAGCTATAAATTTAAGTTTATCTTATAGATACTGTTACATACTTGTTTAGATTGATATGAATTCCATTACACAAAGTATACACAAATGAACTGTTAAATGGCAAAATTCACTAATCAGTGTTTTCTTATTGGCCTTTTATGTAGTCCTAATTTGATTACATTATTGTTCCTATTTATTTTACTTATCAGTATTGTTTCTATTTTTTATGTTTGTCAAACAGTTGGCAGTAAATCTGAAGTAAGATTTTTTTAGATAGATTGTTTTAGATAGACCTTTTTCTTTCTTTCCTTTCCTTCCCTTCCCTCCCCTCCCCTCTGCTTCCAAAGAGAACCACGGAAATTTCTTATCCTTTAGTGTCAAAAAAACAAGTACTCAAAATTTTTGTTAAATGCCACAGGTTACTTTCTTTCCTGAAAATTGACAAGGCAAGTTTTACTTACTTTTAATCAAAAGAGATGTTTTGGCCAGGCGCGGTGGCTCACACTTGTAATCCCAGCACTTTGGGAGGCCAAGGCGGGCGTATCGCTTGAGGCCAGGAGTTTGAGACAACTCCTGACCTGGCCAACATGGAGAAACCCCATCTCTACTGAAAATACAAAAATTAGCCGGGCATGGTGGTGCGCGCCTATAATCCCAGCTACTCGGATGTCTGAGGGGCGAGAATCGCTTGAACCTAGGAGCGGAGGTCGCAGTGAGCAGAGGTCGCACCACTGCACTCCAATCTGGGAGACAGAGTGAAACAACGTTTAAAAAAAAATAGAGAGGTGTTTCTAAGTGAGATCACTAAATCAGGGGTTTAGGTAAGTAGTAGTCTTCAGTGGTAAGGTTTTAAAATTAACATGTCTCAGCCAACTAGAAGGAACTTTTTTCTCTCAATTGAAATTTCTTGCTATGGTGGATTTTATATAATTTAAATCTTGTATTTTGTTCTTTTCAAATTTTAGAATGTTTTAAAATGTACCCCTGGTAATAGACATATGTCAGCAGATTATAAGTTTGATAAGCAATACTGACATACTAAGTGTATGTAGTTCCTGTATGTATTAGGCCTAAATCAATGAATTAGAAACATTCAATTTTTTAAAGTGCTATTTCACATTGTTTTATTTATACGTGTTATAAATTTGTTTTGCAAGAGTTTTTTCATACCCATTTCATACTAGTTTTTTTTTATGAAAAGTTAGCTGCTTATAAGGATTCATAAAATCTGTATATTAGTTGATTTCCTAGAAAAAATACAACCTGTCTTTAGCATGTTGTGTTTGGAGGACAGCTTGGCCTTCAGTTGTTTGCATAGACTTGTCATACATGTTTAACTAGTTTTCTTTTTAAAGAATGTTTAGCCTACTATATATATAAAGCTTTATATTTAATGCTCTCATTAGCCTATATATTAATATTAAAACACCCAAACATAAAGCCTTTTAGGCAGATATTGCAAGTTTTTAAAATCCTCAACTCTAGCTGAAAAGTGTTTTGCTAAGAAAAGCTCAGTAATGTGCTGTTTTATATTAACAGGAAACAGAACAGCAGTAGTGGTTTGAATACCCTGCAAACAGGAAGTTTGACACATGCATAGCTCTTAGCTTCTGTGTAAGAAGTTGTGAGCTCCTTCTGGAAACATTTGCAGTTACATTAAGTAAAGTGTAAATGCACATGAATGGCAGCTTATAGAGAACCACCTTGTAACCAGTATACAGGTACAACTACAGCTCTTCAGAAATTGGAAGGTTTTGCTAGCCGGTTATTTCATAGACACTCTAAAGGTACTGCACATGATCAGAAAACAGCTCTGGAAAATGACAGCCTTCATTTCTCTGAACATACTGCCTTATGGGACAGATCAAGTAAGTTTTGTTTTTTAAATGATACATTATAACTAGCAACTAAAATGGTAATTGGAGTTTTACAATCAAACATAAAGAACCCTCTTTTGTTTGTTGTTTTCTGATTTTCACAAGGACATTTTGCAAGATGAAGTTGAAAGAATTCCATAAAAACTTGATTATAAGTTGAGCTGAATCATTCAGCTTTCATCATTGTATGGTTTTATTTTTGACTAAGTTCAATATCAGTGACAAGATTTTCTATAAAATTCTTACATCATTTCTAATGTACTTTTTTTTGTTGTTCTTACATAAAAATGAAATACTTAAGTTTCAGAAACAACCATCTGTTTACTTCTTAAAATGTCTTGTATTTATAAGCTTTAAACTTTGAAAGGGGCAACAAGACTCTTGAATTTATAATTACATTTCTATTGTGTTTGCCATGGTTTTATTTTTAAATGCATGTGAGAAAGTTATTTCAGTTTTACAAACAGGAATTTCTAAAATAAAACATAATTATTCTATCTAAATTCTTACACTTATAACATTATGGATATCAAAAACTTTATAATTATATTTTATGTTATTTATACATATGACTCAAATGCAGGAAAAGTTGGTTATGCATGAATCACATTCTTTCAGGCATGTTAAAATGTTTGAACTTGCAGCTTTGCTAAAATGGTGCTGGGGAACCATTTTTGGTGCCATACACTCTAAAAGATAAATTGCACATATAAACAATACTAGTGCCGCCATTCTACATCTCACCTTGGACCCTCCTCAAGGTATTTCTGTGACTCCAATTAGAGGAACAATAGAATTACCCTTGAAACTTTTGCCCTCTTTGGTGTGTTTGTTTGATCATCAAATAGCACTAGCGTTTGACTCTTTCTGTTTATGTATTTGGTAGCAGTTAAGGAAGAAAACTCAGCTTAACAACCACAACAGCAAAATCAAGAATGGCTTACAAAATTTACTCCTAGGTTTATACAGCACCTTGACAGTGTTATAGAAGCTTATTTGAATTAATTTTTTACTAAATCAGAAATTTTTTTACATTCTTCAAACTATTTTTGGGAGATTGAGGAAGAACATGTATTTGTGCATTTTTTCCACTTAAAAGGTTTTGGGTTATTTATAGTCTTTACTGTATAGCAAGTTGATGGATGAGGAATATGAATATATATCTTCAAGTTAATGAACTGTTGAATATTAAAATAGTGGTATAATATTAAACTTTACCATGTAACAAAAGCTTGTTAATTATTGTCCTTGCCCTATTCTTTTAAATTGCAGTCTTTTAAATCCTTTTGGAAATTATTTTTATGCATTTCAAGTATGTTTTAATTTAAAGTTAAATGAGGAATTAAGACAGAATTGAATTAATTTCTGTTTCATTAATACCTGCTCTTCATATAGTGGGTGTTTAGTAAAAGTGTCTCAAATAAATGAATGTTAGGGGTTTTTAATAATTAAAAGTTATGTTTGAACTAGACTTTCACCACTTTTTAAATGTATGGGATCTGTGATGCTTTCTAAAACATATTTTAAAATCTAGTAATGGAAAATAGTATCATGAGCCATGATTTCTATTGGATAAAATGCTGTTTTGTTTTTTTTTTATTGTGAAGTCAAAACAAATAGGATTCTTGTACACAAATAAAATTAGGAGCAAACCATGTAGCGCTGCAAATAATATGCATGATGTAAGAAATACTTAAAGAGTAACTGAATGTTCATTAATTAAGCATTCCTCTACTTGACTCTCCTTTTTATATCCCTGAATACCATAATAGAGATAATAATTTTATGTCTAAGGATGAGTATGGTAGCATGAAGCTATAATTTCCTATTATGAAATGTATTATTGTAGAGGAGAAAACACTGATAGAGCTGAAATAGAGGAATCCGATCATTTCAAAATTCCAAGGTTTATTTTTGTGGTGAAAACACAATTTTTATTTATTTGGCGAATGAGTTATAGAAGGAGTTCTGACTGTACAAAGTTTCATATGAACCACATTCTTCAAAGCTACTTAAAGCAGTTTACTTGCATGACTCATTTGACAAGGGAATGTAATGTCTCCTGATGATAAACACTGAATATGTTTGTTCCTAAAGTGTTTTTATAATGAAATAAACTAAGCATAGAAACTACATCAATTTACAAAAAAAATTCATAAACCTTTGTATAAAGATCAGTTACCAATTTAGGAGACATGAAATGCAGCATGCTTCAATCCAAGTTTCTTTCGTGTCCAGTGACATTATGTATAGGAAGAAACACAGAACAAAGGCCACATAGTGGTCTCAGGTGTTTCATCTTTTACTATTAAACTAAGTAACAGAAATTCCTGTTTGATTAAATAAATATGTAACAGCTAATTGCATGCACATATAAATACATGAAGTTCAAAGAAAAGCATGGAGGAATTCTGCTTTTTGTTCCAACTCAGAATGAATGAGAGCATTGACATGCGTTAAGTTCTCTTTCTAGCAAATTTATTATAGTTAGCTTTTTAATCTTCCTTTGATCATAAATGTGTAGAGTTATACAATGCTGACTTAATGAAGGTCTAACTACAGTATTTTAAGAAGCAAATAGGTCAATACCATCAAATACTTTTTCTTTCCCTTTTCCTATGAATTGACAGGCTATTTCTCTTGTAAATACAAATCCATTTTAGTAAATCTTAGATTTAAATATATTAAACAAATGAGCAGTTTTGATTATGGATGTCCTCTAGCAAAATCATAAAGTGGTTACAGTAGACCACTTCAGTCAGTTTTACCTTTGCAAATTTTATACAATCTCTCAGACAGTTTACCTCCTATTTGTTAGCCCATTGAATCTGTATCATTTTAACTTCTCAGCTAAAAGACTTTCCACCTTTGTCTTTTTATCAGCTTTTTCCACTTGAAACTATTCCATAAGCTTCTTGATAATAGTCAATTTCTACTCATTTGGTAAAACTTTTTTGAGTATTTACTATATCATAGTAAGTAAGCAAGTTTCCAGGAAAAATAAGATCTAGTTCTTACCCCCAAAAAGAAGAGCAAACATAATATAATATTCAAGGCATAATGAAATAGTTGCTTTAAAATGTCTAAGCTTACTGTGGAAGCTAAGTGTAAGAAAAAAGTTGTTACTAAAGAGAAAATGGGGGACTTCAAAAATATTAAAGAATGAATAGAATTTTGAGACCTAGAGAAGAAGGTTATTTTAAGAAAATAACATACACAAGTATTTGAAAATATGAACATTTAGAACTTACTTAAAAGGTTTAGTAAGATACTGTCTAGAAAATTAGGTTCTGGATTTAAACTTTAAAAGTTTTCTATTAGACATCCAGAATTTTGTACTACGCTGTATTAGTGGGGAGCCAATGCAGTTTTTTAAAGTGGAAAATAATATAATGCAACCTTTGTTAAAAGAGCCTAAAGATTTTAACTAGCATAATACAGGATAAGTTAACTTACTTTACTACAGAGAAATGTGTATAGCTACTATACATCTTCCGTTTTTGCTGGGCATTTAATTAGAACTAACGCTTTTGACGTGACAGTCAGCATGGCAATGAATAGTCAGATAATGGATTCCTTTTACAACAGTGCTTGTTCAAGTTGCTGCTTCTGTCTGGAATTCTCTTTCTTCACTTCTACCAGTGGTGAGATTTGCCCATACTTTAGGCATCCTCTCAGGTATCATCTCTGTAACAAAACCACCAATGTATCCTATTCATCTATCCTTCATCCTTCTTAGAGTCTGTGCTCTTCCTTATGTTCTTATATCATCTTATACTTAACTTTTATTGTGGTTTATTTATAGTATTTATATGGTATAGTTTGTATACTATATATATTATAGTTTATAATATTTAAAATGCATTACTATTAATCCTTATGTATCTGTCTCTCATGTTTGATTTTGAACTCCTTGAAGGCAAATAACTTGTCAGTTTATTTCAGTATTACTAGCATAATTTTCAATAAATCTTGAGTTATTTGTTAAATTAACATTAAACATCACTGCAGTATTACACAAATGAGCTTCTTACTAATTTGTGCTATTGTGATCTTTGCAATTTATTTTAAAAGCCCATGGCCATTAACCAAAAGCAGTCAAATGCTGACCTGGCTCTAGTAAATACCAATTTTCAGTGTTACCTGTGTATTTTTATCATGATTTCCAATAAAAATTTAAGTAACAAGCAGACTTTATAGTAAAACTAAAATAGTTGGGATATTAAATGATGTTGAAATCAGGAAATCATTCCATGAGCCATTTAGCAATGCAAGTACTATATCAACTGTACTAACATAACGAGAAGCTTTTACTTGCTTGTGCTTTGCAAAAATAGCCATATGACAGAGTTAGAAGACAGCTTGCTACTCAAAGTGTGGTCCCTGTCCAGCATTATTAGCATCTCCTGGGAGCTTGTTAGGAGGAAGAATCCCAGGTCCCACCTAGACCTACTTAGTCAGAATCAGCATTTTAACAAGATTTCCCAGCTGATTTATATGCACATTAAGGTGTGAGAAGCACTTTTTCCCTAATAACATTTTAATATGATTTCCAAATGTATATCTTCACTGGAGAAAATTTTGAAACTACAGGAAAAAACAAAAAGGTAAAAAAAAGTATACATAATTCTGCCAAAAGGTAATGACTGTTAATTTTTGTATATATACTCTATTTTGTGTATAGACACACAAATTTCTACCAGCTCCAATTTTTTTTTTTTAAACAGAGTCTTACCGTGTCACCCAGGCTGGAGTGCAGTGGTGGGATTTCGACTCGCTGCAGCCTCTGCCTCCCAGGCTCAAGCGATCCTCCCATCTCAGTTTCCCAAGTAGCTGGGACTATAGGCATGTGCCACCATACCCGGCTAATTTTTTGTATTTTTGGTAGAGGTGGAGTTTCACCATGTTGCCCAGGTCGATCTTGAACTCCTGAACTCAAGTGATCTGCCTGCCTTGGCCTCCCAAAGTGCTGGGAATACAGGCCTGAGCCACTGCACCCAGCCCAGCTCCAGAATTTGGATCTTTCAAAACATAATGTTTAGTTAACATTTTTCTTTATAAAGAGTTGTTCTACAATACTATTTTGTATTAAATCATAAGGATATACTATAATTTATTTAACCAATCATTGGCCATCTAGGCTGTTTTTAATGTTTTGCTATTAAAAAATGCCATGATAAACATCTTTATAACTAAATATTTGTACATATTTAGGATTATTTTTATATTTTATAGGATTAATTTGAAGAAGTTATGACCATTTTAAGGCTTTTGCATTAAATTAATTGAATCCCAGATAAACATGCATATCTTTTTGGAGTTAATTATTATAATAATTATTTTTTCATAGATTATAGCACTTGAGAATGTGTGAAAATAATTATATAGCTACTATCCTTAATGATATTTTTAAAAACAAATTTAAGGCCAGGTGTGGTGGCTCACGCCTGTAATCCCAGCACTTTGGGAGGCTGAGGTGGGCAGATCCCTTGCAGTCAGGAGTTCAACAACAGCCTGGCCAACATGGTGAAACCCTGTCTCTACTAAAAATGCAAAAATTAGCCAGGCTCCATCTACAGGTGTGGTGGCGCACACCTGTAATCCCAGCTACTTGGGAGGCTGAGGCAGGAGAATCACTAGACCCCAGGAAGCAGAGGCTGCAGTGAGGTGAGATTGCACCACTGCAGTCCAGCCTGGGTGACAGAGTGAGACTCTATCTCAAAATAAATTAAAATAAAATAAAATAAAGAAAACACATTTAACATTGTAAAATTTATTCTCAAAACAGTATATTGATATTTTTAAAAATTAAAAATATAATGGCCCATTATACTTCCTTCTGTTACAACTACCAGGGTCATGGTAAGAACATTATATGTTTGTCCCCTCCAAATCTCATGTTGGAATGTGATCCCCAGTGTTGGAGGTGGGGCCTAATGGGAGGCGTTTGGGTCATGGGGGAGGATCTCTCATGAATGGCTTGGTGTCCTCCCAATGGGTAATGAGCTGGTTCTTGCTTTATTAGTTCATGCAATAACTGGTTGTTTTTTTAAAACAAACATGGCACTTCCCCCTCTCTCTTGCTCCCTCTCTTTGCCTGTGACATGCCTGCTCCCTCTTTGCCTTCTGCCATCATTGAAAGCTTCCTGAGGCCCTCATCAGAAGCAGATGTTGGCAGTATGCTTCTTCTACAGTCTGCAGAACCATGAGCCAAAATAAATCTCTTTATAAATTATTCTGCCTTAGGTATTTCTTTATAGTAATGCCAAAATAGACCAGTCCATAACAAAAATCTGAATGTGAAAAATATGGATTTGAGAATTTAACTCCATTCTTAATAAGTTGACACTGGAAAGTTTATTTCTTCCTCCCTCCCCCTCAGCTTTATTAAGGTATACTTGACAAATAAAATTGCGTATATTTATAATGTACAACATGATGGTTCAATATAAGTATACATTGTGAAATGACTAAAACAAATGAATATCCACCTCACATAGTTACTTTTTCATGGCAAAAAATTTAAGATTGAATCTCTTAGCAATTTTCATGTAGTCATACCTCAGAGATACTGCAGGTCCAGTTCCAGACCACCACAATACAACTAAAGTCACAGTAAAGCAAGTCACACATTTTTTGGTTTCCCAGTGCATTTAAGTTATGTTTACTCTATAGTCTATTCAGTGTGCAATAACATTATATCTTTTTAAAAGTACATATCTTAATTTGAAATTATTTTATTGCTAAAAAAATACTAATGATCATCTCAGCTTTCAGCATTTCCCAATTTTTTTGCTGGTGGAGGGTCTTGCATTGATGTTTGCCTGCTGATTGATCAAGGTGATGGTCGCTGAAGGTTGGGATGGCAGTGGCAATTTCTTAAAATAAGACAACAAAGTGACACACTTGACTGACTCTTATTTTCATAAAAGATTTCTCTGTAGCATGTGATGTTTTTGGTAGCATTTTACCCACAGTAGAACTTCTTTTAAAATTGGAGTCAGTTCTCTCAAACCTTGTTACTGCTTTACCAACTAAGTTGATGTAATATTCTAAATTCTCAGGTGTCATTTCAATAATCTTCACAGCATCTTCACCAGAAATAGATTCCATCTCAAGAAACTACTTTCTTTGCTCATCTGCAAGAAGCAACTCCTCACTCGTTATAGTTTTATCAGGAGATTGCAGCAATAGAGTCACATCTCCAGGCTCCACTTTTAATTCTAATTATCTTGTAATTTTTTACCACATCTGCAGTGACTTTCTCCACTGAAATTTTAAACCGCTCAAACGCATCTATGAGAGTTGGAAACAACTTCTTCCAAACTCCTGTTGATGTTGATATTCTGACCTCCTCCCATAAATCACAATGTTCTTACGGCATCTGGAATGGTAACTCCTTTTCAGAAGGTTTTCAATTTACTTTGCCCAGATCCATCAGAGGAATCACTATCTGTGACACCTTTAGCCTTATAAAATATATTTCTTAAATAATAAGACCTGATCCATGCCTGCAGAATGGATGTTGTGTTATCAGGCATGAAAACAACGTTCATCTCCTTGTACATCGAGCTCTTGGGTGATCAGGTGCATTGTCAATTAGCACTAATATTTTAAAAGGAATCTTTTTCTGAGTGGTTCCCAATGGTGGGCTTAAAATAGTAAACAATGCTGCAAACAGATATGGTGTCATCTAGCCTTTCACATTCCATTTATAGAGTACAGGTAGAGTAGATTTAGCATAGTTTTTGAGGGCACTAAGAGTTTCTAAATGGTAAATGAATATTGGCTTCAATTTGAAGTCACCAGATGTATTAGCCCCTAGCGAGAGTCAGCCTGTCCTTTGAAGCTTTGAAGCCAGGCATTGCCTTCTCTCTAGCTAGGAAAGTTCTAGATGGCATCTTCTTCCAATAGAGCACTGTTAATTCTGCATTGAAAATCTGTTGTTTAGTCTAGCCACCTTCATCAATTATTTTAGCTAGATCTTCTGGATAACCTGGTGCAGCTTCTCCATTAGCACTTGCTGCTTCACCTTGTACTTTTATGTTATAGAAAGGGCTTCTTTCCTTTAAACCTCATGAACCAACCTCTGCTAGCTTCAGACTTCTGCAACTTCCTCACCACTCTTAGCCTTTATAGAATTGAAGAGTGTCAAGGCCTTGTTCTTAATTAGGCTTTGGCTTAAGGAAATGCTATGACTGGTTTGATCTTTCCAGACCACACAACTTTCTCTATATCAACAATAAGGCTGTTTTGCCTTCTTATCATTAGTGTGTTCACTGGAGCAGCACTTTTAGTTTCCTTCAGTAACTTTTTTCTTTTGCATTCTCAGCTTGGCTGTATGGTGCAAGAGGCCTAGCTTTTGGCCTGTCTCAGCTTTCAACATACCATCCTTACTAAGCTTAATCATTTCTAGCTTTTGATTTGAAGTGAGAGATGTGCAATTCTTCCTTTCGTCTGAACACTAAGAGGCCATTGTAAGGCTATTGATCGGCGTAATTTCAGTATTGCTGTGTCTTAGGGAATAGGAAGGCCCAAGGAGAGGGAGAGAAATGGGGGACTAGCTGGTGAGTGGAGCAGTCAGAGCACACACAACCCTTATCAATTAAGCTCACCATTTTATTTGGGTGCAGTTTGTGGTGCCCTAAAACAGTTAAAATAGTAACATCTGAACACAGATCGCCATAACAGATATAATAATAATGAAAAAGGAAATATTGTGAAAATTATTAAAATGTGACACAGAGACATGAAGTGAGCACATGCTGTAAGAAAAATGGCACCAACAGATTTGCTTGACACAAGGTTGCCCCAACCCTCAATTTGTGAAAAGTGCAATATCTGCTGAGTGCAATAAAGCAACACACAATAAAATGAGGGGTGTGCCTGTATTAATGCATTATTATTAACTGCAGTTACCATTCTATACGATGAATCTCCAGGACTTATTCATCCTGTCTAAGTGAAATTTTGTACCCTTTAGCCAACATCTCCTAAATCTTCCTTCCCTGAACCCTCCCATCCTTCAGCCCCTGACAACCAGCATTCTATTCTCTACTTCTGCGATTTTGATGTTTTTAGGTTCCACATGTGTGACATTATGCAATATTTGTGTTTCTGTGTCTGCCTTATTTCACTTAATATAATGTCTTCCAGGTTCATTCACTCTATCACAAATGAAAGAATTTCCTTCTTTCTTAAGGTTGATAGTGTATTCCAGTGTGTAGAATACCATACGTCGATGCCATATCTTGTGAATAATGCTGTAATGAACATGGGAGTACAGATATCTAGATATCTCTTAGACATACTGATTTCTTTCTTTTGATACATACTTAGAAGCTGGATCATATGATAGTTCATTTTTAATTTTTTGAGGATCCTTCATATCATTTTCCATAATGGCTGTACTAATGTATATTCTCACCAACAGTGTGCAAGGGTTCTGTTTTCTCCAGGTCTTAACCAGTGCTTGTTATCTTTTGTCTTTTTTATAATAGCCATTCTAACAGATGTGAGGTAGTAGCTCATTGTGATTTTAATTTTCATTACCCTCATGAGTAGTGATGTTGAGCATTTTTCATATACCCATTGACCATTTTTATGTCTGCTTTTGAGAAATGCCTATTCAAGTCACCTGCCCATTTTTTAAATTGGGTATTTGTTTTCTTGCTATTGAGTTGTTTGAGTTCCTTATATATTTTCAATATGAACTCCTTATTAGATATGTGGTTTGCAAGTATTTTCTCTCATTCTGTAGGTTGTCTCTTCACTCTGTCGACTGTTTTCTTTTTGCACAAAAGCTTTTAGTTTGATGCAATGAACAAACCAATAAGGAATATGAAGACTCTTAATCAGTAATCAAAAAAACCCCAAACAAAATAAAACCTAGTAGTATTTCATGGCTTCACTGGTGAATTTCTATCATTTAACAAAGAATTAATGCCAGTCCTTCTCAAACTCTCCCAAAATAACTGAAGAAGGGGAAATACTTCCAAGCTCATTTACCAGGGCAGCATTGCTCTGATACCAAAGCCAGACAAGGATACTGCAAAAGAAAATTATAGGCCAATATCCCTGATGAACATAGATGCAAAAATTCTCAACAAAATACTAGCAAATTAAATTCAACAGCACATTAAAGGATGATACACCACAATCGAGGATGGTTCAACATACACAAATCAACATATGTGATACACTATTAACAGAATGAAGGGTAAAAGTTATATATAATCATCTCAGTAGATGCAGAGAAAGCATTTGAGAAACTTTAACATTCTTTTATGATGGAAACTTTTTAGTTATGGAAGTGCTGTACTTCAACATAATAAAGGCTACATAGGATAAGCCCTCAGCTAACATCTTAATAGCGGTGAAAAGATGAAAGCTTTTCCTGTAAGATCATGAACAAGGGAAAGGATGCCCACTGTTAAAACTTCTACTCAATATGATACTGGAAGTCCTATCCAGAGCATTTAGGCAATAAATAAATAAATAAATAGCATCTAAATTGGAAAGGAAGAAGTAAAATCTTTTACATGTGCAAATGATATTATCTTGTATATTAAAGACCCTGAAGACTCTACCAAAAAAACTGTTAAAACTAACAAATTCAATAAAGATGCAGCATAAAAAATTAAAATGCATAAATCAATAGTGTTTCTGCATACTAACAATGAACTATGGAAAAAAGAAATCAAGAAAGCACTTCTTTTTACAATATCACAAAAAATGCATAGGAATAACTTTAACCAAAGCAGTGAAAGATTTGTACACTGGAAACTGTAAGGCATTTATGAAAAAGTGAAGAAAACACAGTGAATGGAGATATCTAATGTTTATGGATCTGAAGAATAAATGTTGTTAAAATGCTTCTAGTATCCAAAGCGATCTACAGATTAAATGCCATCTCTTCCAAAGTTTCAATGACAGGTTTCGCAAAAATAGGAAAAACAATCCTAAAACTTGTATAGAAACACAAAAGACCCTAATATCCTAAGCAATCTTGAACGAAAACTTTTTCCACTGTTAAAAATTGGTCAGTGAGTAATAGCAGATGATCTGAGAGACAAAGAACTTTGAAAATAAGATGTCATTCAGAAAGAAGTAATAAGTTGAACAGGAAGAATGATATGTGTCTGAGAGATTGAATATTACTTTCATGTCCTGAAACCATGGTTGCTTTCAGCTTTGGTGTTTCATTATTGTTATTTAACAAGTATGGCTCACTTGAGAGACAAATAAGTTGTCATCTTTTAAATATTCAGTTTAATCACCGGCACACTTATCTATTCAAATTAGCAAGAATTCCAAGGAGGTCTTTTCTTAGAGTCTTCGTTCAGCTGCTTCAAGTATTGCTATACTCCTAGGAGTTTACTCATTCCAAGGAGACTAATTTGCTCTCCAAAAGTTAGTTGAAGAAAGAGATGGAGATTTTTATTTTTTGGAGACAGGGTCTTGCTATGTTGCCCAGGCTGGAGAGTAGTGGTGTGATCATGGCTCACTGCAGCCTTGTTCTCCTGGGCTCAAGCTATTTTCCCACCTCAGCCTCCCAAGTAGCTGGGAATATAGATGCATGCCACTGTGCCAGGCTAATTTTTTTTAAGTTTATTTTTTGTAGAGATGAGATCTTGCTGTGTTGCCCGGGCTGTTCTTGAACTCCTGGGGTCAAGCAATCTCCTGTATTGGCCTCCTAAAGTGCTGGGATCACAAGCATGAACATATAAGCTAGTGATATCACTTTTAGCCACTGTTGATTTTACCACTGCTACATTGTTTCGTGATTTAAAAGTGGCCCCAACAAATTTTATGTACCTTGTCTTGTTGATGTGATGCCACTGATCCTTGCGGAGACCTCAGTGGTTCTTAATGACAGGATGATTCACTCTTCAGTATTATGTTCATTCAAAGGTTATGTCAAAGGATTTCATTTCCTTAATTTATACTCATATGCTTAGTCATCTTGGCTTCCTTGCCAAGTTGGATGTGTGAGAAGGTACTTTCAGCCCATCCCCACACTGTACCAAAATTAGCCTTTCTTTCTTGAAATCTAGTCCAGGGATAGAAAACCAGTGGTCTGTGAGCCAGATGCAACTTGCAGATATGTTTTGTTTAGTTCTCATGGTATTTTTAAAAATAGTTGAATTTTATATCATTATATAAAAATATAAAATACCGTGATTTTAAATCAAGAGATTCATATAAATATCTGGACTTTCATATTCTTGAACCATTGGAGAAACTGATTTCAGTGACCTCTTATTCTCTCAGGAGAAAAAATGGGTTGCACTGAATAATTGTCCTCTTTAATCAGATATACACTATCTGATTTGCTCCAGCATTCACTATTTCTGTTGCTTTACCTGCCTGGCCTCTGTAGTCACTTGGATTTAGCCTACAATGTCTCTACTTTTCAGCCTGAATCACCAACCCAGATTATCATTTCCCCTTTGATAAAGCCTCCTTAAGCATATATTCCTACTTGTAAGCCACAGACCTATCACTAAAATCTATGAAAGAGATTTTTGTAATTCTGAACCTTGAGGAGGATGGAGTCTAGGAGTTGATCCCTTTCAGAATTCCTGTTTCATTTTTTTATGCAGATCTATTTACCTTCTTTACTTTAATTATCTCTGTTTACCACAGAGTATTGAGAAGGCATGGCCCTTATGAAGCCTCAAAAGATTTTGTTAGATCATTCCCCTGAGGTAATGGATGCCTACCAGCCTTACATTTGCATAATTAAATTGTCCACTGAAATGATTCTTCCCACAGCAAAGATCTATTTCAAGCCAACTGTTTCCTCCTCGGTAGAGAAGCATTTGACAACTTTTTTTTTAATTGAGGTATGTTTTCATAACCATATAAATCACTCATTATAAGTGTATAATTCAGTATTAATTAGTAAATTTAAGGATTTGCGCAACCATCAGCACAAATCAGTTTTAGAACATTTAATCACCCACAAAGTTCATTTGTTACCCATATCCAGTCAATCCCCACTCTCACCTCAATCTCAGATAAACACTGATCTGCTTTCTGTCTCTATAGATTTTCATTTCTGGATGTTTTATATAAATTGAATTATATAATATGTTATCTTTTACTTTTGGCTTCTTTCACTAGAATAATATTTTTTAGGTTCATCCATGTTATAGAATATATTAATAATTGGTTCCGATTTATTGTTGAATTATACTATGTTGTATGGATATAATACATTTTGTTTATCCATTCTGCAGTTGATGCACATGAGAATTGGTTTGTTTTTGGCCATTTGGATAATGTTGCTATAAATATTTGAAAAGAAGTCTGTGTGGACATATGTTTTTATTTCTCTTGGGTAGATATCTAGAAGTAGAATTTCTAGGTCATATGGTAAATTTATGTTTTAAAGAAATTGCCAAATTGTTTCCCAAAGTGGTGGTACCATTTTATGTTTTCACCAGTAAGGTAAGAGGGTTCCAGTTTTTTCACATGCTCATCAATGCTTGGTATCATCAGTCTTTCTTTCTTTTTTTTTTTTCCCCTCCTGAAACAAAGTCTCACTCTGTCACCCAGGCTGGAGTGCAGTGGCGCAAGTGATTCTCCTGTCTCAGTCTTGAGTAGCTGGCATTACAGGCATGCGCCATCACTCCCGGCTAATCTTTGTGTTTTTAGTAGACATGGGGTTTTACTATGTTGGCCAGGCTGGGCTTGAGCTCCTGACCTCAAGTGATCCGCCCGCCTCAGCCTCCCAAGTGCTGAGATTACAGGCATGAGCCACTGCACCCGTCTTATCAGTCATTTTGATTATGGCCATTATGTGAGTGTGAATCCGTTGTTCACAGTTGTTTCACTTTGTATTTTCCTAATAACTTTATGATGTTGAGCATATTTTCAAGTTTTTATAACCCATTTGTGTATGTACTTTGGAGAAATGTATTTTCAAATCTTTTGCCCACTTTCAAAATTGAGTCGTTTTTCTTCTTATTATCAATTCTCAATAATTCTTTGTATATTCTGAACTAAGTTCTTTTCCAAAAATATAAATATCAAATATTTCCTTCTAGTCTGTCTTATGTTGTCATTTTTAAAAATGATGTATTTGAAGAGCAAAATTTGTAATTTTAGTGAAGTCCAATTTATCGTTTTTTCCTTTTTGGATTGTACTTTTGGTACCAGATCTTAAGAAATTTGTATCTAACGCAAGGTAATGAAGATTTTCAATCTGTACTTCCTTCTAAAAGTCTATTTTTTGAGTTAATTTTTATATATGTTGTGAAGTATGAATTGAAGTTCTTTTTTCAACATGTAGATCCATTTTTTACTGCACTACTTGTTAAAAAGAATTTCCTTTCTCTATTTAATTATCTTGGCATCTTTCTCAAAAATCAGTTGACCATAAATGAAAGGGTTCACTTCTGAATTCTCAATTCTGTCCCAGTGAACTACATGTCTGTCCTCATTCCTATACTACACTGTCTTGATTACTAAAACTTTAAGGTAAGTTTTGAAATCACATAGTGTAAGTCCTCCAACTTTGTTCTTCTTTTATCAAAATTGTTTTGTCTATTTTGGGGTCCTTTGCATTTTCATATAAATTTCTGGATCAATTTGTCAGTTTCTAAAGAAAAGCTTTATTAGATTTTCATAGAGATTATATATTGAGTTCATAGATTAACTTGTAGAGAATTGTTATTTTAACAATTTTGAGTCTTGGAATCCATGAACATGAAATGTCTCTCCATTTATTTACATATTCTTTAATTTCTTTAGCGTTCCAGTCTTGTAAAAATGATTTCTAAGTGTTTTATTTCTGTTGATATTATTGTGAATGGATAAGTCTTAATTTCACATTTGGATTGTTTGTTGCTAGTATATACAAATGTTATTGATTTTTATATTGATCTTATATCATCCTATGATGTTGCTAAACTCATTTTTTAGTTCTAGTAGTTTCTTTATAGATTCCTTATAATTTTCTACATATAGAATAATTTCATCTGCAAATAAAGACAGTTTTATTTCTTCTTTATCCTTTAATATCTATTTTCTTGCCTCATTGCACTGGCTAGATTTCCCAGTACAAAGATGCATAGAAGTGGTGAATGCCTTATGCCCTATCTTAAGGGGAAAGCGTTCCATCTTTCATCATTAAATATGACATAAGTATAGAGTTTCCCCTGCCCCACATGTCCTTTATCAGTTTGAGGAAGTTCCTTTCTAGTCCTCGTTGTTGAGAGGTTTTCTCATGGCTGTTGGATTTTGTGGAGTGCTTCTTCTGCATATATTGAGATGATTATTTGGTTTTATACTTTATTAATATAACATAGTTCGTTAATTGATTTTCAATGTTGAACCAACCTTACCTTTCATGGAATAAATCCCACATGGTCATTGTGTATGATCCTCTGTATATACTGCTAGATTAAGTTTGCTGGCATTTTGATAAAAGGTTTTTGCATCAATGTTTGCAATGGATATTGGTCTGTGGTTTTCGTTTGATCTTTGCCTAACTTTGGTATTAGGCCTCTTAGAATGAGTTGGGAAGTGTTCCTGCCACTTCTGAATTCTGAAAGAGTTTGTGTAGGGTTGGTATTATCTTTGAATGTTTCATATAATTAACCAGTGAAGCCATCTCGACTTGAGCTTTTCTTTGTGGGAAAAATTTTAATTACTAATTCAATATTTGTGTTACAGGTTTATTTACATTTTCTATTTCTTTTTTAGTTAGTGTTGGTAATTTGTGCCTAAGAGTTTTTCCATTTCATCTGTTGTCTTATATGATTGGGATAAGGTTGTTTATAGTATTCCTTTATAATCCTTTTAATTTATCTAGCATCAGTGGTGATATCATAGTTTCATTACTGATTTCTGTAATTAATATCTTCTGTTTTCTTTTTGTTCATTTTGTTTTGATATTTGGTCAGTCTAGTGAAAGTTTTATCATAAGACTTTTGGTTTAATTCATTTTTCTCTACTGCTTTTCTATATATTTTACTGAATATATTATATATAATATAATACTATAATATATAATAATATATACAAAGCTTAAGTTACTGATTTGGAACTTTTCTATTTTACTCTAAATGGTTAAAGCTATGAATTTTTTTTCTAAACCTGCTTTATCTACCTCCAATAAATGTAGATATGCTGTAGTTTATTTTCATTTACCTCAAAATATTTTCTAATTTCCCTTGGAATTTGTTTGTGATTTAATATCTAAATATTTAGAGATTTCTAAAATTTCTTTCTGTTTTTATTTATAACTTAATTCTGCTGTGATTATAGAATATATTTTGAAAGCTTTGGCAAACCCTTCAAATTAATTGAGACATTATATTTTCTAGCATTTGCTTAATATGTAGAATATCCATGTGTGCTTGATAAGAATGTGTATTCTGCTGATGTTAAATTCTGTATTTTATAAATGTCAAGATTTTTTTGATGGTGTTATTTAAGTTGTTTGTCTCTTTTCCAATTTCCTGTCTAGTTTTTCCATCAATTATTGAGAGAGAAGTATGGAAATTTCCAACTATTAGTATTAAATATTTTTCTCCTTTCAATTCTGTCCGTTTTTATTTTAGTACTGTGGGGGCTCTTCTGTTCAATGCATATGCATTTCTAATTGTCACATTTTTCAGATGTATTGGCCTTTTATAATTATGAATGTCCCTTTTGTCTCATAATTTTTCTAGACTTAAAGTCTATTTTGTCTAATATTGATATAGGCATTCCAGCTGTCTTATGGTTACTGTTTGCATGATGAATCTTGTTTTCCTGTTTTTACTTTAGCCTATTTATATCTATGAATCTAAAATGTGTCTCTTATAGATGTTATATAGTTTGATCTTGATTTTTATCCAATCTGATAATTTCTGCCTTTTGATTTGTGTTTCTTCCATTCATAGTTAATGTCACTATTGATATGGTTGGATTTGTAGCTTCCATTTTACTGTTTTCTGTCTCATAGTTTTTGTTGTTCCTCTTTTCCCTTTCTACCACCTTCTTTTCTATTACGTATGTTTTAATTATTTGGTTTTGATTTTTAAAAATAAAATTTAAAAGGCATTTTCTTAATATTTCTTTAGAGATTATAATACACAAGATTATAATTTATCTTATCATAGTTTACTTCAGGATAGTACTGACTTAATTCTAGTGGAATAGAACTGCTTTGATCCAATATAGCTTCATTTCTTTTCCAAATTTGTGTTTTTTCACATATATTTATATATTTTATAAACCCAGCAACATAATGTTGTAATTATTGCCTCATACAACTTTAAGTCTCTTAAAGAAATTAAGAGAGAACAGAAAAAATGTGTATTTATATAGCCTTTTATTTATATATTTACCATTTTTAGTGCTCTTCATTTCTTTCTGTCAATTTGAGCTGTTGTCTAGTATTATTTCCTCTCAGCTTTAAGGACTTAGGTATTTCTGCTTACAACAAATATCCTCCGTTGTTTCTCTGGGAATCTTTCATTTCACCTTTATTTTTGGAGGATAATTTTCCTGGATAGAGAAATGTTGGTGGATGGGTTTGCTTTCTTGTTTCTTTTAGCACTTCATTTCTCTGCCTTCTGGCCCTACTTATTTCTAATGAGAAGTCATTAATCATATTTTTCCCCTGGACGTGATTCATCATTTTTCTCTTGCTGCTTTCATGACTTTTCTCCTTACCTTTCAACAATTTGACTATGATATGTCTCAGTGTGGATCTTTTGGGTTTTATTCTAGTTGGCATTGGCTGAGCTTCTTGGATCCATAGGTTACTGTTTTCCATCAAATTGGGACATTTTCAGCCATTATTCCTTCAAATGTTTTTTCATCACCCTTTGTCTCTCTCCTTTTTTTCTAATTCCCATGAGATATATGTTGGTTCCCTTGATATCCCATAAGTTTCTCAGGCTCTGTCCACTTTTCTCCTGTCTTTTTCTGTGTTCTTCCGACTGGATGATTTCCATTGATCTATCTTCCAGTTCACTGATTTGATCTTTTGCTCTTTTAAATCTGCTGTTGGGCTTACTATACTGAGTTTTAAAATTTTGGTTATTATACTTTTCAAATCTGCACTTTTTATTTTTAAATAGTTTTTCTTTCTATATTGAAAGTTTCTATATGTTGTTCATTACTGTCGTGTTTTCCTTTAGGTATTTAACACAATTTTCTTTTAATTATTTTCATATATGTATAATAGCTATTTTAAAGTCTTTAAAGCCTTTGTCTGCTAAATTCTACACCTGGGCCCATTCAGGGACATTTTTTATTGACTGCTTTTTTTCCTCATTGTGGATCACACAAGTTTTTGTCAAAAATGTGTTTTTTAAAATAACATGTGGTAGTAGCTCTGGGTTTTGATTATTTTTTCCCTGAGGGTTGGTTTTGTTTATTTTTTTATTAAAAACTTCCTTTGTCTTAATCTATGGAATCTGTATCCCTCATGATATGTGACTACTGATTTCTCTGCTTAGTTTTTTCTTCTTATTCTAATTTTTATTTTTTAACCTGGTTTCCTAGGGATTGCCCTGTGTCTCTGTAGCTTAATTGTTATTTAATGATTGATCAGAGGTTGTACTCAAACACTGGGACCAGCCAGTGCTGATGGAACTGTGTGCAAATTGAGGAGCACATGCAGTATTTAGGCAGTTCGGAAGTCTGTACCAGCTTTAACTTTCCACTGGGCCCTCTTTCGTGTCCTTTGTGCTTGTCATTACCTCCTAGTCAGATTGCATAGCAAGGTGGGCAGACTGGGTGGCCTGGTGAACTTACGTAGCCTCTGTCTGTCTCATCTTCATTTACCCCATGCTATGTTTCTTGCTATACCACCAATGTGTTGCTTAGCCCTACCAAGGCCATAGCCTTAGACTGTTAATTTCTTTCAGCTTGCTTTTTTCGTTGACAATATCACTAATGAGTTTTTTGGCCTCCACTTCAAATCAAATCAGCCCCCTCTCATGTCAGCCCCTTCCAGAAGTGAAGCTGCTAGTTTTCATGACCAGCCCTACCCTGGTAGAAGTACTCTCCTGACTGAGCTATAAAGGAGTGGGAGCAGCCCCAGGCAAGAACATCTCTGACTCCCACTGTTTTTAGGCAGAGTTCAGTGGTTCGTCACAAATAAATGTTTCTTAATTTGTTGTTTATGACTGCTCGATTTCCAGAGCCATGAAATCATTGTTTTTGATAATTCTGTTCAGCTTCATAGTTGTTTCTTAGGAAGATTTCCTGACTTACTTCCACATCACCAAAAGTCCTGCCTCACATGGCAACTGTTAAAATGGCAAGTTCACGTGCTGAAGTTCTACTTAACAAGGAACCATTCTATAGATTCTTTGTACCATTTTGGTACAAATTTTGGATCTCTGGTAATCAAAACAATCTGTTCACCATGCTACCCAGTCAGCCCACCTTGCTATACAATCTGTCATCTTAGTCCTGTTTCATGTGAGGAATTTTACATTTCTGCAATAATTGCCAGTAACTTTTTTGTGTATTATTTTCTTTTGAATACCACATGGATGGCATCTGACACTGTTTGTAATGCTGAATTTAATGGAAGTTTACAAATAAGTTATTCTATGATTCTCCTTTAAAAATGCAGATATACATATATGTATATAATATTATTCTCTTCCATAACACAGAATGTTTAAATGGTTAACATTTGTGCTGCAGTATAGCTTTCTGGCTCATGAAAAATGAAAGCTATCAGCGATCTCGGCAATAAGATTCATCGCCAATAGTCACTAGCAACAGCACACAGCATTTTAATATCAGTGAGGTCCACAGCTAGCAGTAAGAGCTGGTGTAATTGAAAGACGTTTAGGTGCAATCATTCTGCTGTTTGCTCCTTGCCAGGTTCAACATGGGATTGTGTGAGTATTTGAAGAAAACAGCAATTTTTTCATATCTTTGAAAGATGTAAAAAGCGTAGATTAGTGCTTAAATTTAAGAAATCTGGTAATTTATAATCATGTGGCTCTAAAATAAAAAGGTATTTTATTTGTCTGGTGGATTAAAGCTTTAGAAAAGCTACGCCTTGGATACAAGTGAACCGATAATTCTGGTCTAATGTTGCCGTGGTAACAACTCATGCTGATATAATTGAGAACATCTTATACATCCTGGTTCGAACATTTTCTCCCTGCCATTTTGAGTTGTTCTAGTGGTATATGAAGGAGGCTGGGATAACTAGCTTGAAAGAAATTCAGTCTAGTTATAGACATCTTTGGCATTAATCTGATGTTTACTAGTGATATCTCATGCTAGGCAGTTATGCTTTGCTTCTAGGGGCTTCTCTTTTTAAAACAAAAGAAAGCTCTTTTCGTTTTCTGTGTGCTGCATGCTCCAGTGTGTGTGTTTACACCATCGGTTCTTCTCCCTCTAGAGATTAGCATAACTCCCTTTGCTGTTGGATTGTTATTTTGAGCAATATGTTTTGGAAAGGTTGGTTTTCATCATGAGTGGTAAGTATGCTCTCTGAGACTCTGCAGCTGTTTATTTAAAAAATATATTTATAAGAGGAAAAAATATTTTTAAAGGGACAGTTATAAAGCCACAGCTACTGTGAATTATATTTTGTGGTGACGCTTTTGTACTTAGGCATTATAGTAAATTGCCTTCAAAAACCAGTAAGAACTGTAAACAATTAATGGCACTATTAATAATCAATACCAATAATCAGTTTCTAATTTTCTTTATGGTTCGATTTATTGTATTTGTTGGGCACTGTTATTAATTGTGTTATAAATTAGTAAGTAGACTAACCATAAGAGAGGATTTTCTTTTAGTATCTGATCCTGAAGATAATTAGTTTAACTTTCCTTTGATTAGCTTTGTCATTCCTAATGCTAATTTTTATTAGATTATTTTTATTAGATTTTTTAAATAGTAATTTTGAAAATAAGATGCTGCCAGAATTTTGTTGATGTCTTGGTTGCTTTTACCTACAATTTATTGAGAAATAAGGATTTAATGATGAAATAATTAGAGCATTTTGGTTTTGTAGGGTTTGTTAAAATTTTTAATAAACAGTTTTTGGGGGAAATAATTTTTTAGAATAAGTACACTTGTGACAACTAGTCTTTTTTGTTATAATGTGATTTATTTTTTCTAAATATTTCCAAAACTGTTTTTTTGAAAAAATATACTACAGTATGTACTGCAGTTTATCATAGGGTAAAAGCTGTCACTTCAAGCCAAACCTGCAGCTAAAAATAGATATCCTGTTGTTAGAGTGAAAAACATTTGCTTAGAGCATAATTCATTAGCATCTTTTGCTTAAATAAGATGCTTGGAAGTTAACCTTTGATTCAGATATTTTTAAGAGAAGTAGAATATGGTTTCTCTGATAACATAACAGTCCTATAATTTGCATTTATAAGATTTGGAATTGGAATTTAGAAACTGAAAGGTGGATTTTTGCTGTATAATGATAGAATTCAAAATTGACGAACCTTTTCTTTCATAACTGGAGATCACCTCATTATAACCAATAAATATTCTTTATCCTGCTACAGTACAATATAAACCTCTTAAACACTGTTATATATTTGTTTATAGAATAATATTAGATATTAAAGGGACATTTTAACATGCAAAATACTAAGAATTAACTGGATTGTTATTTTCCTGTTACTGAAATAGATCTGTTTTAAATAATCTGCTGTTTTAAATTTGAACGAATATTACAAAAACAACTTAACATTCCTTAGGATTTCTATGGATATCAAACTGAATATACCTGGTTGTCATACATATATTTATTTGAATCAGGCCAATGCATATTTTCTCTTTGAAAATTTGGCATATAATCTAGAATCTTTAGGTAACCACCATGGTGTTCTGGAGGTTTTACAACAGGATGGATTGGATTTAGCTGAAGGAAAATGTTATTGCTTCACTATTGCTTTATTTTTCTTTAAAAAGCTATGCATTGTAGATAGCATTTGATATATTTGATCATATTGGCTTTCCCTTCTAGCCATTTTATACCACAAATAATCATAGTAATCACAACTAGGTGTTCTGACTTTGTCGAGAATGCCCAATTTCAACTGATTTTAATCATGTCATAAATGGTTAAGTGTCCTAGCCATTTCAACTTGGAAAATTACAAGAGAAGTGTGGTTTTATTTGTAAAAATAAGCAAATGCTAGGCCTTTTAATCTAAGTCTGTAACTACACATGTGATATTTATGTGTACATGGTACTTTTCTCGTTATAAGACTATTCCTTTTATCCTTTGCCAATTAAATGTTGGTTTTCTCTGAGAATCTATCTTTTGGCCTTCTTTTGATGCTACATTTTCTCCAAAAAATCTCATCCATGCCTACATCTTCAGTCATTACCTGAACGTTCAGTTCAAAAGTGGATTTTCTTTTATCATCCCTAAATCTGCTCCATTTTCATTGACTCTGATATCTGTTAATGATCTCACTGCCCATACAGGAAGTGAAAACAGAAACCTTGGTCATTTCTAACTTGTTTCTTACCCTCAGACATGTACTCAGTCATTAAGTTCTATTGATTCTACATCAAAAATCACTCAATATTCTCCAGTCTTACTGACACTGGGATGGCTTCTAGATCTCTTCTCAATCCTATTATAATAACTGCATTACTGGTCTCCCAGCTTCCAGTTTTATATCCTTCCAGGCCATTTTCCACACTGAAAATTTTAAAATGCAAATATGCCCATTTTTTAAACTAACATGAAAACTTTCAGTTACTCCCTATTGCCTTTAAAATAAAAGTTAAACTCCTTATTAGGTCACATGCAATCAATGACTTACCTTTTTGGTTTTGTTTGCAAAATCTCTCTCACAAATTTTGATCTAGCCATACTATATTACATATAATTCCTTGCTACCTTTCCATATTTATAGTCTTTATCATAAAAATTTAGAGAACCAGTCATTACCTCCGACACTGACCCTGTGGAATTAGGTGATTTCTCTGTACTCCCAAAGCAAACTTACAAACTACAACAATTATTGTATTATATTGAAATTATAAATTTGTATGTCACTTTCTAATCTCTAAATGTTGAACTCAAGTCAAGGACAGTGCCTTATTCATTGTATGTTTCTAGTAGTCACCCCAGTACCCCAAACACAGCAAGGTACCCAATAAATACTTATAGAATTAATGATAAACTAAATATAATTCATTTTTACATACTTGAACAGTTCCCTTACATTGCCAGTGAAAAATACCAGTGTGGGTTTTGACTTTTTTTGGTTCAGAAAAATACAATAACCATAGTATTTACTTGTTCCTTTATCAACTTTGTAGGATGAAGTCATATAAAATGCTTAAGAAACTAAATTGTACCAGTCAGTACCTTTATCTTTCTAGTATTTAAAAAATTGGTTATATGTGAAAAGAGCCTTCACTTTCTAAATGTTTTTCTTACTCATAACTCTTTTTGTGAAGTTTTTGCCCTTGTTAAGCAAACAAGGTCTATAAAGAAATACTAAAGGAACTTCTCTGAAAATCAGTCAAACTATTGTAAGGCCCTTATGTTTAGAGGTTGTAGCAACTCACTCAAATAAGCTTAAGCAGAAGAAGATACAGGTATTATTGGGATGCAGAGGATGTCATGGAGCTCAAAGGCAAAAGTAGAGTTGAGCTGTTCCAAAGAGTAGAATTGATTTGGAAAGCTGACTGGAATCATAACAGTACCTTTCTCAGTTTTTCTCTCTGAGATCACATGACGTCTTTACTTTTTTCCTTGTATTTGCTTTATTATCCTCACTGTGTAGCGAATAGGTTTCTCTGATGCTTGTGCAAAATGGAGCTTAGTCATCTGAAAGCTTCAAAGTTTATGTGCTCTCCTAGTTCATGTGCTTTTTGATGTAACTAGCATCATTATATCAAAATCCTGGGTGAGAATCCTGGCCCAGCTGTAGTTGAGGGCAAATCTCTGAAGAAGAAGGCATGAATCTGCTATGAATTACAGCACCATACAGACTTGAATACCAACACTTCATTAATTTCCCTTTCTAGATTCTGACTGAAAATACTGTGAGAAAAAAAATTGGGAAAGCAGTACATCATTTCTGAAATTAAAGATGGTTATTTGCCCAAATATGTACAGGATTTTGATGATCAGACTCCAAAGTCTAATTAACAGTTTTAACTTGAGTAGCTTTTCTTTATGGAAAAGAAAGAAATAATAGTTTCACCCTCACTAACTGGGAGGGATGAGGAAAATAAGTGGAAGATCCAACACTGCTCATTACTTTCATTCTAAAACAGCTATAGTGGGACAACCAAGAATGTATTAGGCCTTTTCAAGTTGAAAAGTGGCCTCTCTTTAAATATAGAAGGCTCTTTCCTGACATAGAAGGCATCACTACCAGCAAGGAATCCTATAGTCCTGGCCACATTCCCATTTATGAAGGTCACTGGATTACTTACCTGATAATGTAAATATGTGTACGCTAAATGATGTGAAGAGTTTAGTCTAACAGCATCTAAACAGGAAATGAGAAGGGCCAAAGAAAAACCACTTACCTTATTTGGGGCATTTGTAAAGTTTTGAAAAGCTTGTAATTGTTCTTGAATGAATAAAAAAGAAAAGCAACAATGTGGAACCTATAAAAGAGGTTATACACCATAAAACGATAAAGTTACAGTCTCCAAGAGGTAGAGAATGAACTTATATTTAGAAAATATTTGTGCAGGAGAGTATAAACACAAAAAATTATAGATGCCATCTGTGTTAATTCTTAAAATTTCAAGTGAGCATGGAGTTAGTGAACTAAGACATGAAACAAAGATAAAACAAGAACCTAGAATGAAAAGATTACTGGCTGAGAGGCAGGAATGGAAAAGAAGCATAATGTTGTGATAGGAAAAAGTTGTAAGAAATAAACCTGGCATTTTTAGAATATAAAGCTGCATTAGAGGCAATAAAAACCAGAATAATCATTGCAGAAAAGTAAATTAATAATGTGAAGATCTCTCCAGATAGACCCTAATAGAATGTAGAGGAAATGGACAAGATAAAAATTATAAGATGGAAAGTATGTTAAATAAAAGCAGGACAAGAAATTATAAAAGAAAATAAAAGGACATTTTACAAATTGAATGGATAGCATTCCACAGAACAGAGCAGATATGATTTATAGAACAGAAAAGCAGTAATCAAAAATATGATTCAGGAAAACTTGTTAGTTGAAGAAAAACTTGAATCTTTAAATTGAAAGACCTCATTTTGTTTTGACAAGATTAACAAAGATGCCAATGCCTAAATACATCCTGGTGAGCATTTGGAATTTCCAGCATAAAAAAATGAAATCCATAAACATTCTGATGTCTTTGCATCTTACAATCTAACATGAAGCTTGTCCTATAAAGAAAAAAATGCAAAATTGGAGACTAGATAACTTAAAAATCTTTTGAGGGCAGAAATTATTTAAGATCAACAGCACCTTGAAATGCTGAATAAACTGTAACAAGTGCCCCTTTAAATGAATACCTGAATTTACCCTTTAAGTGAATTCTAATTTAATTAAAATTAAATAAATTCCCAAAGTGCAAAAATTGAAGTGGTAAATGAGAACCAGAGCTGTAAGGGGAAGCATACTTCAACTGCCCTGAGGACATTTTTAGACCTTGGTGGGGCTTTCGTTTAAAATGGCCTAACAGAGATGGATGATAGGTTGTTTAATGCATACAGTTTAGGATTTCTTAGCCCCCTGTATAAAGCCAGGATCCTGCAAGGATCATAACCTCAGTGAAAGCATAGATGAGAAAATAAAACCTCTCCACTGACAAAAGGAGAAAATAAGGAAGCTTGTGTTTCTTGGCTTGGGTTCCTGGGAACAGGGGAGGGATGTGTGTGCATGTGTAGGATGCCTCTCCTGAGAATTTTTAATCAAGTGCCTCCTCTCAAGCAGGTTTCAGTTTTTAATCTGTATTAATTGTGTGGTCTAGGAACAACCAATAAAACACATTATCAGAAGAGTTGTAGGCTTGTAACATATACTCTACACCAGCTAATACAAAATCCTATACTGGGACACATTCTCAGACCAAGACCTGCAGGTTTCTCGCAGATAAAGCCCCAATGAACTTTGTGTTCACAATCCAAAAACAAAATACACACACACTTACACACATACTGCAAATGATATTTAGATACAACAGGATTAGAACCTGCCAATAATGTCACTAGACATAGTAAAATTATCACATATGACTACTATATTAAATTAGTGACATAAAAATAAATATGAGGAAAAAATGTATGTAATTCTAACAGAGCCTTAAAATATACAAAACAAAATTGACCTATGTAGGAGAAATTTTATAGATATAGATAGAGAATTCTTACCCAGTAATTGAAGAATACATAGGAATATGTAGAACACTTACAAAATTAATAATATGACTAAATGTATTCAACAAATTTCAAATGATTGATATACAGGCTACAGTATATCAATTCTTAATTACTTAACTACCACAAGGCAATTAAGTTCAATCAGTAATAAAAAGCTTTAAAAAAATCACACAAATGTATACATTTGGAGATTTAAACATTTTAAATAACTTACCAAATAATTAACTCGTAAATTTAAGGTGTAACTATGTATCAGAACTTGTGGGGTGCAGCAAAAGTGGATATAGAGTTAAATTTTAAGTGCTCAAATTAGGAAAAAGAAAGACATTCATGATATAAGAAAACAAGTTTAAAAAGCCACATGGTTAATCAAAAGAAGAAAGAAACTGATAAAGACGAGCAAAGATCAGTGGGTGGAATAGAAAATAAAGATACATGAGAATCAAAGGTTAGTTTATGGGAAAATATTTTAAAGTACTAAATAGAACTATACCTGTTTTAAAAATTGAATCACAGAATCTTTATGCAGAACTTAACAAAATTAGGACTGGAGAGTTTTACATACAAGTTTTAGGAAACCTTCAAAGAACAAAAACTTCAATCTTGTATGGAATTTTCCAGAGCATTGAAAAAGAGAAAATACTCTTAAATGCATTTACTGATTCTAGAATAGTTTTACAAGTCAAGTATAGGAAAAGAAAATTAGATACATTTTCTCTGAAGTTGGGAATAGGAAAAGGATGTCCACTGCCATTGTTTCTGTACATCATTGTACTGTTAGTCATAACCTGAGCAGTAAAACAAGAAAAACGTGGAGAGAACCAAATTGTCATTATTCACAAATGATTTGTGATTGGTTACATAGAAGACTCAAGTGAATCTACCAATGTGATTTCAGAATTGATAACAGAATCTGGCAAGATTGCCAGATATTAAAAAAATCAATATATAAACATCGACTATGTTCTATACATCAGCAACAAACAAAAAAGGTAATTTTTAAAAATCTCCCTTTTACAATAGCAACCAAAGTGCTAAAGAACCTAGGTATAAATCTAATAAAAGTGTAATAAGACCTTTAAGGGAAAAAGTATAAAATTCTACCGAGGGATATTTACCTAATCTTTAACAATCAGACATGATTTTTTATACTCATTAGATTAGCAAAAAATGGAAAGTCCAACATTAACAAATTTTGTTGAGGATATAGAGCATCAAGGATATGGTGGGACAATAAATTGATGCTACCATTTACTGAGTCATTTGTTACTGCCGAAGTTGATACTGTGCATTCCTTATCATCTAGGAATCCATTCTTAACTCCATATTGTCGGGAAACAAGACAAAATATTTGAATTCAGGCCTTTCTGGAAAATCCTTGACATATGATTGTAGTAGATATAATACTGCTACAGGAAAAAGCCTCATTGAACAATTAAGGAAGTAAAATATACTTCAAGGAGCATTTCAAAGATTGCCTGGGTCATTAGTTTTATGACTATAAATTTACTTTGAGTTTTCATTACAAAATTATGTAGGAAACATCACGAGTCAAACATGGCATGGATGGCCTACAAAATCCATAGCATCCCCAGATGGAGAGCTGTTGGGAGAGAAGGCATGTACATATGATTAGTTGTGAATGAATACACTGTGTGAATTCATAGTGTATCCATCTATCCATGTAGATGCTAGTCAAATAAGTTAATGTATTTCTTTCTAGAATGATTATTTAAATATATGTCTCATTAAAAGTGTTTATATTTTTCCATATAAAACTATAGTAAAAATTTTTATTTTTCACAGTTCAGTGAGTCAGTCAATTATGCTGTTCACTTGTAACTAAGACTTGATGAAAAATTAACAAGTAATAAAACACAGAGAGGAAAGAAGAGTAAAATAAATTTTGTAATAGGAAGTGTAACTTTCATTGCCTATTAAACTTCCAAATACTCATATATATGTGGCTTTAGTCTTTATAGAAAGACTAATTAATCATCTTAGAAATCAAAGGTAGGCATAGTCCAATCCAATAAACTGTACAATTACAACTGAAGTATTAAAGTTGTTTTTTATACTCGCTATCATTTTTAAGGTTATAGTGAATTTAGTTTGAATCAGTATGTTTAATATGATGAGGCAAGTGCCCCTTCAGCAAAGTGAACACAATTATTCTTCAGTTTCAAAGGACAGAAGATGATAATTTATTAACATATTTCCAGAGAAGAGTTTTGGTTGGTTAAAAAAAAAGGATATCCAAAGAATTTCTTGTAATCCTTATATAATACATTTTTGGTATGTATGTTCAATTGTTTTATCATTCTATTTCTATGTGCAGTACAGTAGTGAACATGTATAGATGGGTAACTTCTTGTAGGTATGTTATTTTATGTGTTATTTAATCTCTGTTTATTCTTTTTGATCAAGCACGCAAATCATCAGATGCATCTGGTAGGAAAACCCCTTTTTTTACAGAATAATTCTGTTACTTTGATTATCGTAAGCTAAATTTTTATGAGATATTTTGTGGCAATTAGAATATTTTGTGTTGAGTTTTTACAATTCTGTTTACTGAAAATATTTTTAGTGTGTGTGTATGTGGGGAGGGGGAGAGTATTTTTAGAAATACCAAATAAAGCTCTAAAGAGGTAGATATTTGAATAGGGGTGGAAGAAGATGGACTAATGCATTCCCCTAGATTTACACTTTCCAGAGATTTTTCTGCTGTTATTTAATGATAGAACTTGGTATTTTCATAGGTAACTTACCTTAGTTTCCATCCTCTTTTGTTCTTTCTGGCATGCACTAAATAATTCTTAAATAGAATAATGCTTTTATTAAGGTAAAAGAGGGAGATGAAACTAATGACAAAGTAGAAGGAGCATGAATTATTATCTTTTCAGTAACAAATTTTTAAACTGTTATTACAAAAATGACACTATTAAAAACATTATTGCTTGTGGTTCCTAATATTTTATCTTTCTCTAATAGAAAATTTTTAATAGCCCTGTTCCTTATTCCCTACAAAAATAGCCATCAACATCTAACATATTGAGACGTCTAATCCTCATCATCCCTCATTATTTTATCCTATTCCCCTCTCCCTTAGCAAAAGATCTTGCCTTCTGGTTCCCGGAAGAAATAGAATCTAGCAACTGTGAACTAACTCAGTTTACTTCTGTTTCTACCCATGCGTTGAAAAGCATCACTATGCCAAAAAATGCCTCCCTGATTCGGCATCTGCTTGCCTGTGCACTTCATCTCCCACTGATGTTTTACATGTCCCCGATGCTGCAGTTATTACAAGTCAGTTGCTGTTTCCTGGATAAACCATGCTCTTCTTCCATGCCATTTATGTAAGATCGTCTCAGCCTAGGAGGTCTTTTTCCCCAACTTTATCTGCCAGAGGAATTCTTATCTTTCAAGATTCAGCACAAATGCTGTATTCTCTATTATGCCTTACCTTACTGTCCAAGAATTTCCCCCTCCCAGCTCTCACAGCACCTTATAATTGCCTTTGTTGTAGTCTTTGTCCCATTCCATTATGATGATTCATGTAAGCTTCTCATTTCCTTAACAGTGGAAATATGTTTATTCTTTGTAGTATTCAGAGTCTAGCTCAGAATCTGACACCACTAAATGGTGCTCAATAAATACTGTTGAAAAGATTGTTAAACCAGCACTGAGGAAGTGGAATGACTGAAAAATACTAAAGTTTTTCAAAAGGAAGAAACCAGGTGTTATAATGCGTAATGTCTTTCCTACAGTAGATTTTGACTGAATAACAGAACTCCAGAGATGGTATTGCAATAGTTACAGGATATGTATGTCAATATTTGCTTCTTAATATTGTTATGAGGACTATTGTTGTGAGAACTTAAAGTTTTTGTTAGTTGTTGTTTTAAGGAAAATAAGAAGGTTATTGATTTTGGCACTAAACAATAGTTACTTATTTCTTTACCATTTAATTTGAAGATAACTTATTTGAATACATACAATCAAATAATTGAATTTCTACATTAACATTTTATTTCTGTATATAGTATTCTGAAAAAATGCGTATTGGTGACTTCATGCTAATATGTTATTCATATAATTTAATCATTTTCTAATTTATTTTTTGGACACAAGCTTGCTCCTCTTCAGAAATATCTGGTAGGCAATTACTTTTTAATAAAACAAATATTACCTTTAAAATTTTTTATTTATTGTTTGCAAGTTTTTATTTTCCTTATAAAGTTATATATTTTTAAGTATATCAAGTTAATGAAATATTTTCATTGATGAAGGAAATAGTTTGTTTAGTTTTGTTGGGTTTTATCTATATAAATGATTTATATTGTAATTTCTTGTGTGGTATTTTAGAAAGAATAACTGTAGCACCATGAAACAGTAGATGTACAAAGTAGTAGAAGAAAGATTAATACAGTAAAAGAAAGATAAATAAGTAGAAGAAAGATTTATAAACTCTTAATACAAAATATGAATGATATTCTTTTAAGAATTGGATAATGGTATACTGTGACTAACAACATACTCTTTTTATCATAAGCAGTAACCTAGTTTATCTTACACAGCAGTCAAAAATATCTAATAAATACATTTGTTAAATGTTAATAGTGAAACATTCTTATAGTGGAATTACCTGAATTATATGGGATGAAGTTATGCTGTGCCTGAATTTTCAGTCAGTTTTCCTAATGTTTAAAATAAACTTTAAAATCTGATTTTTAAACTATGTTCTATGTATAAATACATTGAAAAATTTGAGGGGGGATAAGAAGTAAGTTGTGTTTTTATGAACTTGTGAAAATGCATAAAAATTGTCTCTCTTTTTTTTTTCATCTCTTGAATGTGGGTGAATGTTCCTGCAAACAAATCTTGGGTGAACATGTAGATTCCTTTGGTATGCTCATTTCCTTTAGAATGCAATGTGATAGACTATTTAAATCATACAAACAGAAAAAATATATAATTGAAAATGTATACTTTTGGGAATAAATTAATTTTTTGTGTGTCCTCTTTTTTGTAGTATCTACTTTGTTCAATTATTTACCAGTAGAGAATAAAATGTGTTTCAGAAAAATCATTCTTTGAAGGATTTTTTTCTTAAGAAGAGTTACTAATCACTGTTAGATGCTTTGGAGATAGGTACCTATGGTCACACAGCTAGGAAGTATTAGAGCTAATATTCTAACTCAGATGTTCCAAGCTCTGAAACCATCATAATAATTTAAGTGGTTAAATGTAGATATGGCTTATATATTAGAACACAATAAGTAAACTAAATAATTGAGAACTTCAAACTATATGCTTTATAGGGAATTCTGGGTTGAATGTGGAGCAGTATTTGAATCTGGCTGTCTCTGTCACATCTTATTTTATTAATTATCTGCCAACACTTTATTTCAGTGGATAGAAATTTTTTAAATAACCAGAGAAGAGAAAGGCATTTAGAAGTTACATCCACCAATATCTAAACATAATAAAATTCAAAGCAAATGCATGTGGTTCTAGATTGCTTATTGTTTTAGGGTTACACATAATCCAATATATTGTGAAATATTTTATTTTTGGTAGATTTGTTATTAAAAGATGTATATTTTGATTAACTTATATTTTTACAAATAATTATGTTTATCTTTGCATCTACATAGTACACATAAAAACTAGAGATTTCATATGTGTAGATATTTTTATATGAAAAAAAATGTTTCAGGAACAGGTTTTCCTCATAGAACTATTTAATAACATCATACTTAGTGCCCATCCTTTAATGTACTCGAAAAGAAAATCCCTTTATATTTTGAAGTAATTCACAAAATATAATAATATATTTGATTAATACTCATTTCTGATAATTTTCACATAAGACCTTTATAAAAACTTTTCCCTACTTTTACAGTATTATTTGACAGTAAACTCAGGAATATTGATGAGTACAGAGAGTATTTTAAAGAATTTCTTGCATATTCTATTAGTGAATAAAATTAAATAATGCCGGAAATTTTTCTTTTAGCTTATCACCAGGCAGGGAAAAGGAATTTTTTTCAACTTACCATCTTTGACAAATACTGTCAGTCCTTCCTTTGATCAGTTACTTTTTTCTTAACTCCAGATCCACTTAGCATAAAGTGACAGGAGAAGCTGAAACAGGATGTTAAAGTTGTTTTTTTTACCTTCCCTTACTCTTTTCTTTGTCTCTAAATTATTTATACTCATATAGGCATCTGGAGAGTTTATATTGCAACTTGATGTGCAAGTTCTATAAATAAAAGATAACTAAAAATATTTTTCAGAAGAAACAAGGGGTATATTTTGGGAATCACAAGTTGTTTTTTCTTAAATGCCACAGTGCATGTTGCAATAAATTATGTTTTTAATTTAATTTATAGCCATCATGTCCAAGTGAATGCCATGTGCAGATATGTCTGCTCCATGCAAAAAAAGAAAATCTTACCTATAAAATTACTCTTTTTCTGTTGTAACTAGCACATTCATTTTTAGAAGCAAGGATGACTTGAACCATCCTAAATTCCAAGAAAAAATAACAATTTGGCCGGACACAGTGGCTCACACCTCTAATCCTAGCACTTTGGGAGGCTGAGCCAGAAAGTTCACTTGAGCTCAAAAGTTCAGGACAAGCCTGGGCAGCACAGTTAGACCCTCATCTCTACAAAAAGTAAGAAAATTAGCCAGACTTGGTGGTGCACATCTGTAGTCCCAGCTACTCAGGAGGCTGAGGCAGACGGATTGCTTGAGCCTAGTAGTCTGAGGCTCTAGTGGACTGTGATCATGACACTGCACTCCAGCCTGAGTGACAGAGCAAGACCCAGTCTTAAAAAAAGTAATAGAAAGAAAAGAGAAAATGTAAGAATTTGCCACCCTTAATCCACCCCTCAGGAAGAATTAGATTATATTTGGATGATTAGGTAAAATTCTTTGATTCATTGTTTTAGTGCATGAGATTTTCCTACAATGGGAAAATTCTAAGTTTAAAAATTCTTTTTCTCAGTTTTTCTAAAAAAGGCATTCTGAGAGTATTTTACAGTAAAATACAAAGGACAGTTTATAGAAAGTACTAAAATAATGTCTTCAGAGATTCATACTCTAATGTTACTTAAAAACTAATGTCTGCTCTTGGTGCCTGTCATCATCATTTTGAAATCTCAAAACATTTAAAATGCCAAAAGCCTTTTTGGTTAGTAACAGTATTTTCCCAAAGGTATGACATTGGTATGACATTTATAAAGGAGGAAAAATAAAGTATGTTTTAAAATAGGTACCTATCTCACTTCAATACTACTGTATCATTGAGAATCTTAAAGAATTTGTGAGCCCTTCACTAGTATAGTCAGGTTTTATTCTTATACCTAAAGATATGAACAACAATACATTTTGTTAATGCTATTTTATCTCTTTGGAATATTTTTCCTATTTGTTTTTAAACATCTGAAGTTGTTTTCTAAGATAGCTTTTGAAAATGGGGAAAGTTTTAACTGGTTCATCATTTAATTTACAAATTTAAAACTTCAAACCATAGCTCTATAAAATAATGTGGCTATTTTATACCCACATTATTAATCAATATACAAACACTTGGTTTTGAATTGCTTTACTTTAGTGCATTTTAAATTGGGTATTCAGACATTTAGTTTATGCTGCAAATTTAGAATGAGATTGTTAAACTGGATTTTTTGTTGTCGATGTTTTGTTCTGTTTTTAAGTCTTTGTTGGTGTCCTTTATGTGCTAGTCTTTGCTTTTATTTTTTCCCTTTGCCATTAGTAAAGAGAACACAAATCTAATACATAACATAAATCCTTACACCTGAAAACAGCTCTTTATCAAGATCAACTATTTTTGAAATTCCACGAATCAGTAGGTTAATGTTCTCCACATGTTTTCAATTCTTGTATCTAAAGGCTCCGTTAATATTACTGATGGCCTTTTTACAGTCACTATTTTGTCCTAAATTAATTTCTGACTTTCTTACATTACTTTCTAGTATGTTTTCAGGAACAGAATTTTTGTTATGACATTTGAAATTATCAAAGTGGTTTCTTTATAGAACAATATTAGAGAATCTTAGAGATTTGAGAAGGTTCTTAGAGATACTAAATAGCTCTTTAATGTATCATGGTGATAAATATACATTTTATCACAATAGATGACATGTCTTTTTTTAAGTGAGAAAACCATATGCAATATAAATATTCTTATACAGAATATAAATATTCTTACAAGATAAATTTGTTTTTATATGTATATTTTCAGTGAAAGAGTTTCTAGCCAAAGCCAAAGAAGACTTTTTGAAAAAATGGGAGAATCCAACTCAGGTAAGGAATATTTAGATTTTTCTAAAATTAAAAATCTTGTATTAATAAAATCAGGATTCTTGCCTAAGAAATTTATTACTTTAGAAATTTTAATTTTCATGTGGTGTTAGTAAACAGAAGCTTAAAATGGGAATTTTGCCATAGTTATACTTTGATGTATTAATTAATAATCTTAATGTATGCCTAAATTGCAGGAAATAATTTCCAGTATAATACCTAATTATAAATTTGATACTGATTCCAGTTGCTATAAAATCTTAATATTTTCAAATATATTAATTTTGAATTATGCCTTTGATAGCATACTTATAATTTTTATTAATTACAAAAATAAGAGTCCTTACGTACAGTTTAAAATTCTCAGTCATAGAGAATTTGGCTATCAACAACATCCCTGATACACAGGCATCTTTTTTATCATCATTTTGATGGGTTATGTTCTATATAATTAAAGTATTTTAGATCTTAACTAGGATCTAAAAACTGTATATAAAAAACCATCTATACTTTACAAAAATAATATTTTTGGAGTTATAAATAATGAATGAATTTTAATAGTAAATTAAATTTTGTTATACTTCAAGTTCTGGGTTGCATGTGCAGAATGTGCAGGTTTGTTACATAGGTATAAATATGCCATGGTGGTTGCTGCATCCATCAACCCGTCATCTACATTAGGTATTTCTCCTAATGCTATCCCTCCCCTAGCCCCCCACCCCGCGACAGGCCCCGGTGTGTGATGTTCCCCTCCCTGTGTCCATGTGTTCTCATTGTTCAACTCCCACTTATGAGTGAGAACATAAAGACCAAAAAAAAAAAAAAAAAGAGGTCGTTATTTGAAAAAGATACTTGCACACGCATGCTTATAGTAGCACAATTCACAATTGCAAAATAGTGGAACCAATGCAAATGCCCATCAATCAACGAATGGATAAAGAAACTGTGATATATATATATATATATATATATATGTATGATGGAGTACTATGCAGCCATAAAAAAGAATGAATTAACACATTTGCAGTGACCTAGATGAGATTGGAGACTATTATTCAAAGTGAAGTGAAAGTAACTCAGGAATGGAAAACCAAACATCATATGTTCTCACTGATATGTGGGAGCTAAGCTATGAGGACACAAAGGCATAAGAATGATATAATGGACTTTTGGCACTTGGTGGGGGAGAATGGGAGGGAGGCAAGGGATAAAAGACTACAAATATGGTGCAGTGTATACTGCTCAAGTAATGGATGCACCAAAATTTCACAAATCATCATTAAAGAGCTTACTCATGTAACCAAATACCACCTGTACCCCAATAACTTATGGAAAATAAAAGAAAAATAAAAGATATTATAACCAAAAAAATTAAATTTTGAAAGTCTTTTCTGCCTAGCTCAAAAGTTTTTATTTCAAGTATTTTCTCACTAAAGAATTCTAAGTAAATGTTTCTTAAAGATGCCATTACTATCAAGATTTAGAGTATGACCTATAAGTTAAAACATAGCCACAAAGATTAAACATTGTGATTACAAAATGTTAGACATTGTGTAACATGAAACAATAAGAGAGGTAAGGAAGATAACATATTTTTATAATACAAAGAAAAGCAATGAAAAAAGCATAAAGAGCAGAAACACATATTCTGTTGTCTATTAATAAAGTTTGTTTTCATTATTTGGTTGGTACTATGGTAAACATTTTAATCCATCCATGTTGATAAAACCTAAGATTAAATATTAATTAAATTAATTCAGTCAGAATTATAAGAGCTTTCTGTGTTGATAAAAAAATCTTATGACTACTTAAAATTATTTTAAATTTTAAGCTGTGAAATCAAACTATGATGAAAACAAGCTATAAGTAAAACAGAATTGCCTGCTGTCTGTAATGATCCAACAGAAAGCTAAAATGGGTCTCAAAAGGCAAGGTTTGATTTGCAATACAGATAAAATCCAACTACAGTGAACTGTAATACCTATACAAATTCCTCACTGGACAAAGAATCATACTGCATCACATTTTTTCAAGCTAAACACTACATACTGGGCCTTCAGAATATTTTTCTGATATTTTCATGGAGTTCTTTGCAATGAAACCTATTAAACAAATGGGTCAGCAATTACTACTTCTTGCCATTTAACACATAATTTGTCCCTAATAATTTTCATTTTGTTGTGGCAGGAACAAATTTAATAGATTGATGCCTCCAATTATTTGCTTCTGTGCTGTAGTCAAAGCCAAACAAAGATGTTTCCTTATAACAAAACATCTATTCAAGAAAAAAAGAGTCTGATTATTGTTCTGGGATTCTGGCTTTTGGTTCTTTGTAGAATGAGGAACTCTTCTTTCCTTATTGTTGTTGTTTTAGATAATACTGTGTTTTTATAATATAAAGAGAGAAAGCCACTAGGCTCTCTCATGCTGCTACTATCTAGTTCTATAAGCTTATATAAAGACAGAAATGAAGCAAGACTGATTTCTTCACAGGTAACTTTAGTGAAAGAGCTCTGATCCCTCAGTTTATCTATTCATTACAGTTATTTGCAAGTGCATTAAGTCTGTATGGCTTCTATGACTCTTTGTCAGTATGCCTCTGGTCAGTTTGTAATTATTAAAATATGAAACTAATTTATTGGAAGTTCAGTAGTAAGATTAAAGTCCAATACTAGGAATGCATACTGGAATATAATCTTTAATATTTCAGCTGAGGCTCTTATTTCCTCCTATTACTATTATGCTCTGTTTTCCAATACATTCTCTCCTCAGATATTAAATACTTTCTTATTCAAAGGGAAAAATAGAACCAATAAACTGGAATCTCAATAGCTTTTTTGTATTGCATTTAAATGGATAGTTATAAATGGGATTATCCATTATGATTATGTATTATTAAAGCATTTATAATTCCCATAGTGTTTTTACGAGAATTTTAAATTTTATTTATGTATTTACATATAGAATAATGCCGGACTTGAAGATTTTGAAAGGAAAAAAACCCTTGGAACAGGTTCATTTGGAAGAGTCATGTTGGTAAAACACAAAGCCACTGAACAGTATTATGCCATGAAGATCTTAGATAAGCAGAAGGTGAGTGTATTTGTTGTTATTTACCTTCAGGGTAAACTTTAGTTTTATCAGCTAGACTATTAAACAGATTCAGTATAATGACTTACCATTGACAGCTTCAAATAATTTTATTATTAAATTTAATTTTTATTGTAACTAAATTTTTATTGTAACTATATTATACATAGTTAGTATACAGTCAGCCCTTCCATATCTATGGGTTCCACGTCCATGGATTTAACCAATCACAGATTGAAGATATTTGGGAAAAAAATTACATCTATACCTAACATGTACAGACTTTTGTTTCTTGTTATTATTCCCTAAACAATACAGTGTAACAACTATTTACATAGCATTTACAATATATCAGGTATTATAAGTAATCTAGAGATGATTTAAAGTATATGGACAGTGTGTATAGGCTTTATGCAAAGCCTCTGTCATTTTATATAAGGGACTTGAGCACCTGGGCATTTTGGTTTCTGCTGTAGGTCCTGGAACCAACCCCCAGGGATACTGATGGACAACTATAATTTATTGTGACAATTATGGACTAATTTGTTTTGTAACTATTACAGAAGTTAAAATGTGTACAGTAGTGATCCAACCACTTCATGTTACAAATTTTGAAAACCTGAGGCCCAAAGATTTGAAATCATCTCAAGTCAGAAAGTTAGTTAAATAAAAGGCCTAGATTAAAACACAAATCTGACTCCTACTCAATTTATTTGCTCAATATTATCAGTATACTCCTAATTTTATATATTAATACCTGGCTGGTATCTTTAATTACTTTTGTTATTTATATTTAACTTCTTGACTTCTGTGACTATCCTCACATTGACCATTAGACTCCAGCAAGAAAGAATGCCACCTTCTAATGATTTACACATATACAAGAAAATTATTTATATGTCTTGCTAAAGTCACCACTTCTTAAATTCAAAATAGAATCACATATGGAATAGAATCACAGTCTTCGTGAAGTCAAGATAAATTACTTTCCCCTTCTATTAAATAGAAAATCTAGAGGAAGCTTAAGTCTAAATGACCTAGGATACAAAGATAGTTTTTGTTATAAAGATAGTTTTTTCCCCAATATTTTGTGTGTCCTCTTCTATGGCAATATAAAATAAATTTTTAGAATTTATACCTATATTTATTTAGATATTATAAAATGAAAATTGTTCATTTTTACTCACTATTTTTCAGTTATGGACTTTCTCTTCATTTTTAATTTTCTTATTCATCTTCTGAAGTATTTAAAATCACTATCTACTTATTGCAGAGATTTGAGCCAGCTTTTATAGAGGACTTTAAGTCATTAGGACCTTAGTATTTTCACATTCATTTTTAAATTACCTTAAGTAATTATATATTTATTTAAGCATAATTGACATAACTAATTTTTAAAGTAATTTCTTATGAGTTTGTTTCTTATTCCTACTTAGCTCTCACTTCTTAATTGAAACCATAATTGACCTTCCTAAGACCAAGTTTTAAATCCTCTATTAGGTTTTCATTTGAATCCTATTATTAAAAGTAATGGCAAAAACCGCAATTACTTATGCACCAACCTAAAAGTTGGTAATTGTTATTATCTTCCTTATCCAATTCTAACAATTTTGCTTATCCAAGTTTATTACTATATGGAAAACATTTTTTTAAATGATAACTTTTTAATTTTGCTTAAATACATTAAGAGATATTTATCTCTCAATTACAGGTTGTTAAACTGAAGCAAATAGAGCATACTTTGAATGAGAAAAGAATATTACAGGCAGTGAATTTTCCTTTCCTTGTTCGACTGGAGTATGCTTTTAAGGTAAATTTTAGTAATATCTAAATAAGATATTTTCAACCTAAATTTTTTTTAAGATGAAACTATAAATGGATTCTAAACCAGATGATAAGCCTGAAGAATATGAATAAACAAAACGAATACCTCTAGAGTTTGTGTAATTAAATCCTATTGTGCTTATAACTTAGGTAACGTTTGAAAAGGTTTTGATTCTCCCTGGGGAAATTGTTCAAAGGTGATACTCATGAGATGGTATTACAAAAAGAAATATTTCAATTTATCAAAAACCATAGGGATATCTTAATAACAATTCTTATGCAAATTCATACACCCAACACATTTTCTACTTTGATTAAGCCCTTTTTGCCACTATCTCATCTTCTTTTACTTAGTAATTTGAGTTCTAGTCTTTTCACTTATACAAAGCAAAATTTTTGTTCCACTATTCAAATGTCTGAAAAATTGTACCACATTTATTATTTAAATTGGTCACTTTTGAGCTCTTTGGAATGATACTGGCATCTCTCTGCAATATTGAATCATATGAAACATTTTAATCTTTTTTCTCCTTTATTCTTTAAATTAAATGAAGACCTATGTATTTAAAATATTAAAACCATTAATCTTTTATACATAAAATGTAAATATTCTTATTAACTTTTTAAATTGTTTTTTACCTTTGTTATTCTTTTGCATATATTATAACGTTACTTCATTGCCTGAGTATTTAATTGTTTGAGAACTAGATGTTCTCTGCAAGAAAAGGAAGAGCAAAAGTCCCAGACTAGTTTGTGGCAAAAATAACTAGGAGGGGAAAAATATGAGTGTCTCTGTATAGAAAAGCTAGAGCATGTTCCATTTATTCTTTATTTCTCAAGGTTATTAATCTGTCAGAGAGATTTTAAATTTTTCTAATTCAGCATTATATAATATTAAAATAATTTTGACCTAAGTTGAATAATTGTATTTCCTTTTTATTTGTTCATAGGATAATTCTAATTTATACATGGTTATGGAATATGTCCCTGGGGGTGAAATGTTTTCACATCTAAGAAGAATTGGAAGGTTCAGGTAACTAATGGTTTTGCTTTCTTCAAATCTTTATATGCTTGTGTTGTTTAACCAGATTTTTAAGTTGATGCCAATGCCAAAAACTTATTTTGTTTGATTAATATTTTGGCCATATGAAGCATTAGGTGGAAACAAAGAGGCCACATCATACACAAGTTTTAATATAAAGAATATAAAAATTTAATATAAAAAAAGGACTTTGAAGCCAATTTAAATGTTATACTACTGCTAGATATTGTGAGGGTCCACTACTTGAAGAGTTTTCAGAAAATGGAAAAATTAATTGAATTTTAAAATATCAATATTTATTAAACAAAGATTAATAATACAACTCCAGGACAGAGGATTGTTTTAAGGATGAAGATGGAAAATAAATATATAGAGAAATAATAATAATAGTATTATGGTAATAAGATTATAAAAGTTTGTTTTTCACAAATTTAATTCTCCTTAAAGTTCTTGCTAAGTTTAGTTTTTAAAATATACACATAATTTAACGGGAGTTTGTACCTCATCAGGTTATGACTAATAAGATCTCAGAGTTATTAAAATAGGTTATAGAATCTGATGGTTTTACCTGTACTTAATAGTTTATAAGCTTCTACCGTTCATTAATAATCACTAATAGAATAAAGCTAAAATAAAAAACAGGTACAGCTTCATTCAGTATAGTGTGTTGAAGTCAAAATAAAAATGTAGAGACAAATCTCTAAATTCAACATTTTATTGAGGAAGCAAGAATTGCAGTTTGAGGCATATACACAGACTAGGTGGTCTTCAATGTGTCTAGAAAACAAAGAAAAGGTTGGAGGTTTTATAAAAAGAAATTTTATGTTTATTTGTTTTGAAACAAAGTTTACTAGCACTAGTTAAGTTTTGGGGAGCTGGCAAGCTCTGATTGGTGAGTGATGGTGGTGGGTCAGACTCGTCTAAGAGTCGCAGTAGGTTGTCTCAGTAGCTGTTAGAGAAAACTGGTTTCAGGTTACAATAGGCAGTTTCAGCAACTAGACTTGTGGAAAATATAATTTTTTTGTTTGTTTTTGGTTTTTTTTTTGAGACTGAGTCTCCCTCTGTTGCCCAGGCTGGAGTACAGCGGCACCATTTCGACTTACTGCAACCTCTGCCTCCTGGGTTCCAGTGATTCTCTTGCCTCAGCCACCCGAGTAGCTGGGACTAGAGGTGTCCGCCACCACATCCGGCTAATTTTTCTATTTTTGGTAGACACAGGTTTTCACCGTGTTGGCCAGGCTGGTCTCGAACTCCTGATCTCAAGTGATCCACCCTCCTTGGCCTCCCAAAGTGCTGGGATTACAGGTGTGAGCTACCACACCTGGCCTTAATTCTTGGAGCAGGTGCTGTGTGCCCTGAGTGCGTTATTCCCTGGCCCCTCGACTCTGATTTAGTTAGGTATGATGAGAATGACTAATTTGTATAATCAGCTTTCACATTTTTCCCTTTTGATCAAGATCTTTCTCTGAAAGCATTGCTTGTCAACCATCTTGAAGTTAGGCTTAATTATTCCTTGGTGCTCGGATGGACTTGTTCTGGTTGTCTCTGTCCCACATATGAGAGAAGTTATCTGTTGGGGGGTGTCTATGTAGGGACCTGGGCCACATTCAAGTAACGAGGAGGCCAGAAGGAAAATTTTTCTCAAAGTAGATTTTTGTCTGGAGTCCAGCCAGCATCGAGTTCCCACTTATCACTTCCATAGGTATTAGCAGTCATCTTTAAGTGTTGGGCTAACGTTATTCTGTTGGGACAGCTGCCTTTACAAAGATTAGATAGGCACTAAGAACAAAGCTTACAAATGATAGTACAAAAAAATTAACAATATAGTAAAATGTATTTGTGCAGTGCTTTTGAACTAAAGCCCAGGCCTAAGGGCAAAAAACTAAAGAAATCAAAGGACCAGGGGAAACTGGTGAGACCTGCTATAGCCATTGACTAACATTTTATGACTGGGTTGAACTAAAGCAGAGAATGCCAAACTTTGCAAGAGGGACCACCAGCACAAATTAAACAAAAAATTGTGTTAAGGATATTGTCGATGTTGTGACTAGATGAACTGAAAGAATTTCTTAAGTCAGGCTTTGTCAATGGCTTTAGCAGGTCTCACCAGTACCTATAGCAGTTACTGATTGTGAATTTTAAATTACAATATTATTTGGTTAAGTGAAAAAGCAGGCATTAAGAGGGGTAAGAGTTTCATTACAATATGGAGTCTTGTTCTAGTGTTTTGAGAAAAGCTGTTCACACCATGGAAAACATCAACTTTCTTGGCTTTGTTTACAGTGTAAATGTCTCTGGCTATGGCTTTGGGCAGTTTGATGAACTTTCTGTGTGGCCCATACATCAGGCATGAGACTTGTTTCTTAAAATTTATATAGTTTCAGCTAACAGGACTTCAGGAACAGAGCGGTTCTCATTTTAGTAATTTTATGGAAGAAAGTTCGATTGGAGGAACCTAGAAGAATTTAGGACCTTGTCTAGTCTATAGGTAGATAACAAGACTCAAAAATAATGTACAGACTTACAGTCTAATAACAGGTATATTATAGTTATTCTTTAGAAAAAACTTTTTTCTCTACATTGATTACATAGGAATCTTGGATTTAAAAACCTCTTGAGGCAAGGAAGCCGAACCAAGGCAGTCTTAGATTTTCCTTACAGTCTTGAGGTTCCTGGTCCTGCCAGGAAGTAACAGTTTTTATTTACTCATTGTAATGCTGAGAAACCCTTGAAGTCAGGCATTTTATGCACTTTTTAAATACGATAGTTCAGTTAGAGCCTTAGTAATATAATCAGTGTTTTCATATTCTGCTATAAAGAGAGAGCAGATTTTTACTGGACCTGTGCAAATAGTCATATTCCCATAAAAGTACTTACAACTAATTTTTGAATTAAGGAGAAAAAAAGCAAATGCTTTTATCTTTTTTTACAAAAATATACTTTACCAAATTGCTATAAATTATAAATAGCTAAAGAGATAAGTTTTTTTAAATCTGGAAACCAAAATATTTAAGAACTAACAATGTAACAATGTTTTAAATGAAAGTTATGAAAACATTATTTTTATCAATTATTTAATTTCATGTAATTTTTGTTCTGCTTGATCTTAATTAGTATTTTCATATACTCATCTTTTTTTATTAGGGTTCTGGAAATTTTTATTTAGTCTATTGATCTTAAAGTTATTAAAAACCTGTATTTAAGGGTACTTGTTGGGGTCTTTTCTATGAATCTGATTGTAAATAATTTTGAGAATTCAAAATATTAACTCTGGATGACAAAAATCTAGAATAGCCATGGGTAAAAATCTGATGAAAGTTTACAATTAACAAGTAAAATTAGTTATTTCTATTTTATCTAGCATTTTAAGACAATAACCAGAATTATGAATAACGTTAATTTCTCTGAATTTATATAATTTTTGAAACATTCATATGAACAACATAGCCATAAATGCAACTAAAAGATCTAGTATCACATCATTTATACAATCTCTTATATAATTTAAAAATAAATCTAATTATTTAATACGTCTACAAGATGAGATCTGTGTCTTCAAATGTTTTCCAAGGGCCCAGCTGGAAAATCCCAAAGCTAATTCTAGATTAAGAACATTTAATTTAGGATTTGATTTTTGGGAAGTTTGTTAAACATCTTAAAAGACTTAAAACCCTTGGTCAAAACGGAGTAACAGGTCACTGTAAAATAATAGTCATTTATTTAACCAGAGTGATAATCAAAAGACATCAGATGTAATACAGAAAGTTATATGAATGTGAAAACTTTTATTATTTTTAAAGCTCAGTTTTTCTGAGTAATGAAAAACCTGATAAAGACAACATAGGATATTATCTTGATAAAATATAAAATCTAGTTTTTTAGACAAATCACCAAAATGGTAAAGAAAAATCTTCTGCAGTATGCTCATTATTTCTTTTTCCCATTTAGAGCTTTCCATTAAAAAAATTACCAATCATCTGAAAGTTGATTGAGTACTTGAATTTAATCAGACACAGGAAGAATGTGTCCAGGGTTATTGAGTGTACACTGTGTTATAGAAAAATATGAACAAGAAGAGGACTATCTTGAGCAGGGAAATACATGGCTCTCAGTAACAGCATGAGAAATTTCCTGGTTACATGAAATAATACAGACATACCAAGAAGAGCCAAGAATACAGATTCAAATTATACTGAAAGAAAACTTCGTTTTTCTAGGCCTTTAAGATAAACGTTTCTGCATCAGGCCATAACAAAGTTCAAACTGAAAAAAAAAAAAAAGTTCTAGGAGTTGAGGAAAAAGGTTGAAGGAGGGAGTTATCAACCCAGCCAAGCAAAAAGATATACCTTTCAAGAAAGAGAAGGGGATGTATGACCTTCAAATCATGTGTAGTGTGACACAGCAAAAGCCGAACTTCTGAAATATAAATTTCAAAAGGAAAACTTTACCTCAAGAAATGGAATTACTATTTTTAATGAAGAGGACAGCATTTCAAACCTAAAACTAGGGAAATTAATTAGATCTCAGGAAGAAATGTGGCAGAAATAGAAATTGCACTTTGGAAGATGGCTGTCAAAGAAACAGATTTTATAATTAAAAATCACAACCTTTTGCAGTATTATTGAGAGCAGATCAATACTTCAAGAAAGTTTTGTTTAAATATAGAGAGCAAGATTCTGGTCCTTTGTCAGTGCACCCTTGACACCAATCATTAATTTTTAGAAAAATATGTAAACAATTTTCCTTTCCAATTTCTTTCCCTAACTATTTACACATAAAACTTTTTTCATAAGGTCCATCCTTTCATTTTTCCAAACCCCCAGTCTTAATCTTATAATTTTTCTTTTCTTCTTCCTCCGTTTTTGGAACAGCCAATCATTTTACTTTAGGAAAAATATTTACCACCTAATATACTTTTCATACAACATATTTTTTTCTTACATTCATATTTTGACTACTAGACCTCAATATACTTAAACTTTTTATAGAACTTAAGAACCCAATAAGGGATTTATATTTATTTAGCAATTTGTTTTAGTTTTTAAACTTATTTGTTATGGCCCAGACATCTAATAAGTATCTTATTATTTAATTTAATATAACATAACTGTAAGACTTTAAATTACATGAGACATTGATTTATAAATGTTTATTTAATTAACATTCACCTAATTTATTCATTTTTATTAATTATCCCTGGATTACTTATGAAAATTGAGATATTAGGCAGAGTCGTTATTTTAAGTTATTTTTATTAGCCAATTTTATAGCCTGTTAATATCAAATGTTTACCTAAATAAGAACTTAAAGTTAGATACATGAATATTCTTTCAATAACTCAGAAGATACACGTTTATTAAATCAGTAATATTAAATCTTATTTATCAAATAATAGCATATACAAAGATCATTTTGTTTTAGTCTGGGTTTATAGCTTCATGACCTTAAGAAATTTATCAGAGGCAAATATAAAACTCTCTGACCAGGAAATCTAGGCAAAAATCTGTGTTGACAATTTTGAAGACATTTCTCATTTTATTTTGTTAGTAACTTTTTAGTATAGTTAAGTCTTGTTGAATTGAACCCTTGATCTTTATGTAATGCCCTTCTTTGTCTTTCCTGATCATTTAAGTTCTGTTTTATTGTATGTAAGAATAGACTCCTATTCTTTTTTGTTTTCCATTTCCATGGTAGTTCTTTCTCCATCCCTTTACTTTGAGCTTGTGAGTGTCCTTATAGGTGAGATGGGTCTCTTGAAGATAGCAGACAGTTGGGACTTTTCTTTTTATCCAGCTGCCTTTTAAGTGGGTCATTTAGACCATTTACATTCAGGGTTAGTAGTGATATGTGAGATTTTGATCCTGTTATTATGTTACCAGCTGATTGCTTTGCAGACTTGATTGTGTAATTGCTTTATATTGTCTGTGGGCTATGAGCTTAAGTGTGTTTTTGTGGTAGCAGATATTGATCTTTCATTTCCATGTTTAGGACTCCCTTAAGGACCACTTGTAAGGCTGATCTGGTGATAATGAAATTCCTTTAGTGTTTGCTTGGTGTCTGAGAAAGATTTTATTTCTCCTTCACTTGTGCAGCTTAATTTAGTGGGATATTAAATTCTTAGATGGAATTTTTTTTCTTTGAGGATGCTGAAAATAGGCCCCCATCTCTTTTGGATTGTAAGGTATAAGCTGAGAGGTCCCCTGCTGATGCACCTGATGGAATTCCCTCTGTAAGTGACCTGACATTTCTCTGAAGCTGCCTTCAAGTTAAATGTGGTATATATACACCATGGAATAGTATGCATCCATAAAAAGAATGAAATCATGTCCTTTGCAGCAACATAGAAGCTGCTGGAGGTCATTATCCTAAGTGAATTAACACAGGAACAAAAATCCAAATACTTCATGTTTTTACTTTTAAGTGGGAGCTAAACGTTGAGTGTACGTGGACATAAAGATGGAAACAGTAGACACTAGGGACTACTAGAGAGGAGAGGGAGGGAGGAGAATATGGGCTGAAAAATTACCCAGTGGGTGCTATGCTCACCACCTGGATGATAGGAACATTCATACCCCAAACCTCAGGATCATCCAATATGCCCATGTAGCAAACCTGCACATGTACTCTCTGAATCTAAAATATAAATTTTAAAAAATAAATAATTAAAAAACCAATTAATTTATCAAAGATGTACTTAAGTCATGTGAACTAAAATATTTTATATAAGCACCCATTTATCCAAATAGAATTCTTTAAGGGATTTCTAGACAACTATGTCAGATATTATTATATAGACACAGCATACAATATATGTACATATGCATAAAAGCATCTAAACACCTATACTAATGTATAAATAAAAATATTACAGCTTTTATTTTAGAACTTTAATCATGAGATAGTAAAACAATAAGCACATCAGTTTATAAAAAGAGTTAGATCCAAATTATTTTTCTAACAAAATGGGATGAGGCTAAACTTTAAGCTTTTTTTAATAGGTAATATTATGAAGTATGTGAACTAAATTATAGGTAGAGTAGTTTGAGTCAGTTAGCAATATACTGGAATAGACAAAGAACTGTTAACTGAGAAAATGTGAATGAATTATGTGAGGAGACCCAAATGATAGGAGTTATTCTAATTAGGTCTGTACAATATTTTCTTGTCTCAATTCTTTGTCCCTGAAGGTAAGATTGTTGCCATTTCTTTTAGTATAGGGACAGTGTCCTTTACATTGGAATTTTATCTTAAAAACAAAACAGCATGAAAATCACAATGATTTTCTTTTTTATCTGATGATTTTCAAGTGTTTTTAATTAAATAATATGCCAAAATAGCTGAGGATTTTTGGGAAAAAAGAGTTTAGTCTAGATTAGGATAAAGAAGAGGAATTGTAAACGTGGAGGGAAAAGCTCCAGAAGGGAACTTGTCTCCGCTAGCTTTGAGACAGTATTTTGTAACAAGGCAATCTCTGAGTCCTGAAATTTTTATTAGCCTTAAGATATCAGTTGAGATATGAGTCTTATTTGGAGTATATGATTTTGTCACCATGGTCTTTTAGTTTTGTTGTAAGAACAACAGACTGTTTGAATGATTCCTATAACGTTTGAACATGTTACCAGCTGGAGTCTCAGAAAATATCTTGGCATGCCTTCAAACTTTGAGAGCCTATTTTTAACTAAATGTATTTAGGTGATTCGGTTTAATGCCAAATACGTAAGAGCCAACTAAACACAGGTGCTGAATACACAAGGCCAAATAAACACAAGCACCAACAGAAAATAAAGTATGTCCTTACCAGGAAGAACAATAAGCCTTCTCCAAATGAAGGGGAAAGTCTCCTCATCCAAACCTCAAAACTGAGGTCTAAACCTTACACCTGAAGTCAACAGGGGGAAAATAACCCTCCCCAACAGGAGATCAGTTAACCAGGAGGCAAAAGACGCCTCTCAAACAGGAGTGGGAAAGAGAAAGACCCCTTCCCAGCCAAATCCCAAATAAAACAGAACTCAACCAAAATTAAGAGTTTAGTCCAAAAGAGACTCACTAAGGGGAAAAGAGGGGACTCCCCAGAAGCAGCGGGACTGAAAGGGCTCCAATGGGGGTACTTCATGCTGTAGTTCCCAGGGCCAGTGATTCTCCCTGAAGTATGTCAGCTTTAGGATCCCACTTCTGACACCAAGTATATCAAAGTCAAAATAAAAATATAGAGATGAATCTCTAGATTTGATATTTTATTTGGGAAGCAAGAATTACAATGCAAGGTATCCACACAGACCAGGTGGTCTTTGGTGTGACTGAAGAATAAAAAGAAGGTTGAAAGTTTTATAAAAAGGAGAAGTTTTACGTTTTGGGACAAAGTTCATTGGCACTAGCAAAGTTTTGGGGAGCTGGCAAGCTGTGATTGGTGAGTGATGGTGGTGGGTTCAAACTAGTCTTAGAGTCACAGCAGGTTGTTTCAGTAGCTATTAGATAAAACTGGCTTCAGGTTACAGCAGGAAGCTTTAGCAGCTAGGCATGTGGAAAATTTAATTCTTGGAGCAGGTGCTGGGTGCTCTGAGTGCTTTATTGCCCTGGCCCATCAACTCTGATTTAGTTGGGTATGACAAAAATGACCCAACTTACACAATTAACTTTCATAATTAAATACTGGCATAACTAAAACACAAGTATGAACTGAAACAGGACTGATGATGGTAATTTGATTCATAAAATGATGGTGGCAGACTCAGAATATCACAAGATGATATCAAGTAATGAGCAAACATTGGAGTCATTTTAATTACCCGAGGCCTAAGCCAAGATTCATTTATTGACTTACTATGCACAGGGCAACTAATATAATTAATATAGTGTCAGGCACTGTGCAAAGTAGCTTCTGCTTATCTTTGAGAATTTTCTTTCCTCTCCTATCGTCCTCTCTCTCCTACTGCCCCTTGTTCAAGCAGAATCCTCATATTGCCTTATGGTTATTTAAAGTTTACACTAAAGTACCACACCTGAACCTGTTCTCAAAAAAGTTTTTGTTAACTTTATATAATTGGTAACTTCTTTTCTTTGCAACTCCTCACAGTCTTAGTACTCTTTGATATTGACTCTTTAATACTTGACTTGGTACTAAAAGGATAGCAAGTTGATTGAAGGAATTCACACTGAGACACTTGCCTTATCTCATCTTTCACAAGTACTACATATACACTTGAACAATTGCCAGTGTCCATCTTAGAAGTTTTGAGGCAATAGGAATATGAGTTATTGTTTAGCATGGCTTTAATCAGAATCAAATGAGGCATTATAATTCTCTACTTAAAGCTGTCTGGACTTAAAACTGCTACAGCATTAGCCCTTACCATTGTCTTCCTACATTCAATTAAATATTAAGTAGAAATACCCAATAACACTTTGCACTTGGAACATTTTACTTTCACCTTTCAAGAATTCGATTATAGGTTGAGCACAGTGGCTCATGTAAGCCTGTAATCCCAGGACTTTTGGAGGCTCAGGCAGGTGGATCACTTGAGCTCAGGAATTCAAAACCAGCCTGGGCAACATGGCAAACCAAACCCTCCACACACACACACATACAAATACAAAAAATTAGCTGGGCATGGTGGTGTGCAACTGTAGTCCCAGCTACTCGGTAGACTGAGGTGGGAAGATTGCATGAGCCCAAGAGTTTGAGGCTGCAGTGATCATGCTACAGCACTCCAGCCTGGTGACAGAGTAAGAAAAAAAAAGAATTTTATTATAGATCTATGTAATGTATGTGTTCCTCCAATTAAACACCAGCATATGGAAATTAATATTTTATAAGTAAAAAGTAATCATATTAATGACATTTTACATTTACAGATGCATGTAAACGTGCATTTTATGTTTACAGATGCATGGATAAAGTAAGAGGGGACCTCCCAGGTCAGATGTTTCCCAGTTTAAGCATAAATGTTGCAATGACCAGAATGATTATTTTAATCTCTGCTTACAATGTTCTCCTCATTCCTTGTCATTTGGCATACAATGTGGATTGACAGTGTTGGGATGAAGCTGAAACTGGAAGGGTATTATAAAATTTTGCTCCCCAAAAGCATTTTTCTTTACATATGCATTCTTTCAACAAATATTTACTGAGCACTTGGGAAATGCAGTGACAAGCAAAAAAAGGCAGCACATAAAGTCTTTTGTTGGAATTTGTATTTCTCTTGCTACCAGATCAAATTCATACCAACCATCTTGAGGGAAATCCTATTCATAGTTAAGGTTGTTCACTGAGGAAACAAATCTGAAAGTCATTGTTATTTATCAGGCAGATTAGTAGAATTCAAGTAATACATTAGAAGATAAATTAGAAACTCAGAAAATTGGTACATCCTTTTGGATTTTTCAGATTCTGACATCAAAATTACACTGATCTATTAATCTAATATATACATAAAAGAACTAGCTGGGTGCGGTGGCTGACTCCTGTAATCCCAGCACTTTGGGAGGCTGAGGCGGGTGGATCATTTGAGGTCAGGTATTCGAGACCAGCCTGGCCAACATGGTGAAACCCCGTCTCTACTGAAAATACAAAAATTAGCCGGGCATGGTGGTGGGCGCTTGTAATCCCAGCTACTCAGGAAGCTGAGGCAGAAGAATCGCTTGAACCCAGGAGGCGGAGTTTGCAGTGAGCCAAGATTGTGCCACTGCACTCCAGCCTGGGCAACAGAGCAAGACTGTGTCTCAAAAAAAAAAAAAAAGAACTGTACGTATTTACACTAACATAGAGATTATACTTATGTCTGTGAATCTATGTAAACAAGCATAGTAAAAGATTTGGAAATTCTGATGCCAAGATTGTATCTATGGTTTCTGAATAGGTTTATGAGTATTCATTATTCTTCATCAATATTTTATGATATTTTTCCATAACGAGCGTATGTCATTTTTGTAACAGGAACTATTACAAAATGGGTAAAATGGCATTAATCTGCAGATAAATGCAGCTAAAGAGCTTCTACATAGGGAAATTCTATAAACACTTGAAATTTGTGAGAAAAGTAGATGGAGCCTGTTAACTATAGCAGTGGCCCCGATAGACACTCCATTTGGCACATTTGCTTTCCAATTATTCTCAAGATCAGACATAATTAGAAAGACATCAATATATTTAAATATGGGCAATAATGATTCACAATGAGCTAACTATTTTAGGTTTATATTTTTCCTCAACATATGCTTCCCCATAAATTTATCAGAGCGTTATTTGAACAAAATATAGAGATTTAATAAATATTTGAAAAGTAACAAGGTTCTTTACATACTTTTTAAAAAAATACTTTTTGTTCCCAAAGTACCTCTACTTCATATTAGTTTTTATGCATAATCTACTAATTAGAATGTATTAACTCATTTTTACAGAAAATCAATGGTTTTATTTCTTTGCAGTGAGCCCCATGCACGGTTCTATGCAGCTCAGATAGTGCTAACATTCGAGTACCTCCATTCACTAGACCTCATCTACAGAGATCTAAAACCTGAAAATCTCTTAATTGACCATCAAGGCTATATCCAGGTATGACTTTAACACATTATGTGTACTGTATATGAGAAAATACTAGGCAAGACATTGTATGTATGTAACCCCAACTTGGAATTTTTTTTGAAGAAGACACTTTCTCCTAATAGTTTAAGTAGAGCTCAGAGTTTTGCTGCTATTACAGAGAAGCAAAAATCCTGTTATGAAAGGAACTTGTTTATATCTCCATTAATCTATAGTTGTGAACTGAGTATAGCCTCTTGCATAAGGAGATATTAATAGCTAAATCTATGAGCAGTTATTAGTGCCAGGCATATTCCACTTGTTTTACATGTATTATTTCTTTAATCCTGATAAACCTATGAAGTGGAAATACCATTGTTATCTTCATTTTAAGATTAACAAAACTAAGACATAGCAAGGTCATTTAGCCAATAAATGGTAGAGTCAGAATTTGAACCTAGGCAGTCTGATCCCAGAGTCCATGCCCTTTACGACTACAATATAACTGCCAAAGAATCCCTGACTACCAATACTGAACTCGTAGCAACGTTTTCTTTCCACTTCTACTACTAATAAAGTGGGAGCATTTCTTTTTACACAATTATTGATAGATTCTCCCATTGACGTTTTTACACTTCTGATGGTGCAACTAATGGCAGAGGACACATTGGGGTAAGGCAGACATTTAGCATTGTTTCATTTTTATTAATGCTATTTATTTTTACCTTTTATTTTCACTTTTTTATTCCTTGGGTCTAGGATCTTATAATAATGACTGAAAAGAGTTTTGTTGTTATTAATTTGTTCCTTTTCTTTGAGTTGAGGAAGGATTTCCAACTTGGATTGTTTAAACTTTCATTCACTAGATATTCATGAATGAATTTCAATTACGTGGACTTAATTTTTTTTCCATTTCTTTCATAGTTTCAATTTGAATTTTAAACTTTCAACGTAGGTGCAATAAATACATTTATTGTGAGGTAATACATTTTCACTAGTATTCTTTTTTTCTTTTATAGGTCACAGACTTTGGGTTTGCCAAAAGAGTTAAAGGCAGAACTTGGACATTATGTGGAACTCCAGAGTATTTGGCTCCAGAAATAATTCTCAGCAAGGTATATTCATAATATCAACACATAAGAAGTAGAAATATGAGACATGCATCCCTATGGACTTTTGTAAAAACAGTTTATTGATCTAATTTTACATTTTTAATTTGATCTAAGTTATGAATTTAAATCTATTTGTGCATGATTACTAAAGAATTATTATTTAGCATCTACCACTAATCCTGTAACCTCTGTCAATTTTAACTCTGGGTCTTAGAGATATAATATGAATAAATATGACCTCTAGATCCATGTTTTGCAACCAAAAACATAGTCTTTTCTTAATTATTCCTAGTAACGGAAGGGTAGAGAAGACTTGCTCTGGATTATACCAAGAGGTAAATCTAGAGATGATATGTACTAGTTGTCCATTCTTTCTTTGTTTCAAATTTACCAGTTAAATAAAAGGAATGTATGAGAAGTGTTTTTAAATTTTAAATAGGACTATTAACAGCAATTGAATAGTTTTAGTCTTATTGAAGGCAGCTCTGCTTTTCTAAATAGTGAAACGTGGTGAGAGAAACTGTACCTATATCCAAAAGAATGGTTAACTTTTCCTCTGCCATCACTTGGTGGAGAAATCTAGAAAGGAGAACCTAACAATAACCAGGCACAAATAGGAGAGAGGAAAAGGAAGGGGATAAGACACATGCTTCACTGGTTCCCAAATGGAATCATTGAAATATGGCTAACTTATAGAAGTGTTAAAATAAAAGATTTCTTTCAACTTTTCTCTCATTATCTTTCATAATTTAAATAATATGTAACTTCTTGATATTTTATAATCTAAATATCATTGTAGTTAACACATTTCTTTAAATACAGTTAACAAATAATGGGACAACAAAATGAGCACTAAAACTTTTACAAATGTGTATATATTGTAAAAGTAATACTCATTATACAAAATTTAGAAAATACAGAAAAACATAAACAAACAACCAAAAAAAAACCTATATGTAATCCCACCAACCTAGACGCAGCCTTTTTAAAAACATTCATATATGTATGTACATATATGTATATATGTGTATATGTGTATATATATACACCACATATATGTGTATATATGTGTATATATATACACATATGTGTGGTGTGTGTGTATATATGTATATGTGTATATATACATATATATTCATATATATGTGTATACGCATATATGTATATATGTATATGTGTATATATACATATATGCGTATATATACACATATATACGCATATGTATGCATATATATATGCGTATATATGCATATATGTATATATATGCGTATATATGCATATATGTATATATATGCATATATATATATATATACACACACATTTTAGCTTTATTTTAGCTTTCATTTTAGGTTCAGGGATACATGTGAAGGTTGGTTACAGACGTAAACTCATGTCATGGGGGTTTGTTATACAGATTATTTCATCACTCAGGAATTAAGCCCAGTACCCATAGTTATCTTTTCTTATCCTCTCCCTCCTCCCTACCTCCACCCTCAAGTAGAATCCAGTATCTGTTTTTTCCTTCTTTGTCTTCATAAATTCTCATCATTTAGCTCCCACTTACAAGTGAAAACATGTGGTATTTGGTTTTCTGTTCTGCATTAGTTTGCTGAGGATGATAGCCTCCAGCTCCATCCATGTTCATGCAAAAGACATGATCTCATTCCTTTTTATAGCTGCATAGTATTCCGTAGTGTATATGTACCACATTTTCTTTGTCTAGTCTACAATTGGTGGACATGTAGGTTGATTCCATGTCTTTGCTTTTGTGAATAGTGCCACAATGAATAAACAAATGCATGTGTCTTTATGATGAAATGATTTATAATCCTCTGGGTGTATACCCAGTAGTGGGATTGCTGGGTCGAATGGTAGTTCTGCTTTTAGCTCTTTGAGGAATCTCCATACTGCTTTCCACAATGGTTGAACTAATTTACACTCCTACCAACAGTGTCTAAGTGTTCACTTTTCTCTGCAACCTTGCCAGCATCTGTTATTTTTTGACTATTTGTTTATTTATTTATTTATTTATTTATTTTCTGGAGATGGAGTCTTGCTCTGTCGCCCAGGCTGCAGTGCAGTGGCGTGATCTCGGTTCACTACAACCTCTGCCTCCTGAGTTCAAGCGATTCTCGTGCTTCAGGCTCCCAAGTAGCTGGGACTACCGGCATGCACTACAACACCTGGTTAATTTTTGTATTTTTTAGTAGAGACAGGGTTTCACCATATTGGTCAGGCTGGTCTTGAACTCCCGACCTCAAGTGGTGCACCCTCCTTGGCCTCTCAAAGTGCTGGGATTACAGGGGTGAGCCACTATGCCCTTCCATTTTTTTACTTTTTAGTAATAGCCATTCTGACTGGTGTGGAATGGTATCTCATTGTGGTTTTGACTTGCTTGCATTTCTCTAATGATCGGTGATATTGAGCATTTTTTCATATCTTTGTTGGCCGCATGTATGTCTTGTTTTAGAAAGTGTCAGTTCATGTCCTTTGCCCACCTTTTCATGGGGTTGTTTGTTTCTTGTAAATTTGTTTAAGTTCCTCATAGATGCTGGATATTAGACCTTTGGCAGATGCATATGGTTTGCAAATATTTTCTCCCATTCTGTAGGTTGTCTGTTTACCGTTGATAGTTTCTTTTGCTGTGCAGAATCTCTTCAGTTTAATTAGATCCCACTTGACAGTGTTTGCTTTTGTTGGAATTGCTTTTGGTGTCTTTGTCATGAAACCTTTGTCCATTCTTATGTCCAGGGTGGCATTGCCTAGGTTGTCTTTCAAGGTTTTTATACTCCGGGGTTTTGCATTTAGGTCTTTAATCCATTTTGAGTTGATTTTTGTATATGGTATAAGGAAGGGATCTATCTTCAGTCTTTTGCATGTGGCTAGCCAGTTATCCCAGCACCATTTATTGAGTAGGGAAACTTTTCCCCATTGCTTGGTTTTGTCAGCTTTGTCAAAGATCGGGTGGTCGTAGGTGTATGGACTTATTTCTGGGTTGTCATAGTTGAAATCATAGTAAATATATATAGTCTTGTCTCTGACTTTTTTCACTTTTATAATAACAAGCATGCAAACATCATTCTAATGGCTTGTTTGTAAATGTACCATAAAATATGTAGCCACTCTTCTATCGTTGAGTGTTCAGGTTTTATTTTTGATTTTTTTATTATTATAAATAACTATGATAAACATCCTTATACATAAAAGTTTTTTCCTTATTTTACATTATTTCCTTAGCATATATTCCCAGAAGTAGAATTACTGGGTCAAGGAATAGGAACATTTTTAAGGCTTTTGATACATATTGCCAAATTGCTTTCCAAAGTTATTATGCCATTTTACACTTCTACCATTAGTGTATTATAGTGCCTATTTCATAACACTATCACTGGGTATACTCATTTTTAAAATATTTACTGATTTCATAGGCAATAAATTGTATCTCATTGTTTTAATTCTCATGTTTTTTATTTATTTTTCAAATGGTTAATAGCCATTTGGTATTTCTTTATGTGTCTGTAAATTATTAGTTCATTTCCTTGGCCCATTTATCTATTGTAATTTAACATTTTTCTTATTGATGTGTTTTGATTTCTATACCTTGGGTATTAACTTGTGTCTGACATATTTACTATAAACATTAGCACACAATTTAAACATATGAATCAAAAAGTTAAAGAGAGTTAATGCCTATTTCTATTAAAAAACAAAGTGCTATTCCTGTTATACCACTCCTTCCCTTAAAAAGATATACACAGTATCAGGAAAAAAAAGAGAAAAAGAAAATCTCTATAGCGCTAAAGTATTATATTTTTGCTAGAATTTTGAAAACTAAGTAGTTTGTAAAGCTAAAATTTTGACAAAAGGGTGGAATGTGGTGAGTCGTGATGGTAGAGGGTACCTCTGAGGGCAGAGCAATAGATCTGGGTAGAATTCAGCTTATTTCTCTTCATGACAGGTTTTTGGGGTTGTTAAAAAATCTCTTGTGTCAGTTGATACTGACCATAGTTAATAAACTATATTAGCATGTTAATATGAAGATGTTATTCTTATTTATTTTCTTATGAATACTTACAAATTTTAATTTTAGTAAGCTTAATATGAAAAAAACAAACATAACCTGTGATTTTTACATTTGGTTTGCAAAGCACTTTTTACACACGTTACTCCCTTTCATTTGATACAGTCCTCACAAAACTCTGTGAATTCATTTTTTTCCTGCATATCTTTTAGATATAGGAAGCAAGACAGTAGATAGCAGAAGTAAAGTATACCTAAATATTTACATGAATTGAATTTTACATTAAACTTTTTGCTTTCACAAAATCCTATGAAGCAGATGGGATTATCCCTAGCACATTCACCCTCCTAACTCCAAAAATATAGAGTATTTTGAAGTCAACTTCATTATTTACTATGTAGTCCAGTTTCTATTATTTTCTTTGAAAACTTTTGATCTTTCTAGGCATGCTGTGGAAAATCTGTTTCATAAGATTATGGACCTAGAGTGGGCCTTAAGAAGTAATGTGGTCTAACTGCCTTCCTGTTATTGAGCAAGAACTAAATTATACCAGTGAAATAAAGAAAATTTCATTGTCTATAATATTCTTAATAATTTTAGGAAGAAGATTTAATACTCTTTCCTAATATCCAATTTCAGTATCTGGAAATCCTCTCCTTTGTTTAATTTAAATCTGACCTGATACATTTGGTTCATTTTTAAATTCTGTCCTGAATAGCTGCTCAGCAATTGCTTTAAAAAAATTTTTATATGCTTCCAGATCATTTTGAAATTATCTTTGACTTCATTCTCTTTTGAGTAACTTAAGTAACAATTGACATTGGTGTTGGTTTATCTCAGGGCTACAATAAGGCAGTGGATTGGTGGGCATTAGGAGTGCTAATCTATGAAATGGCAGCTGGCTATCCCCCATTCTTTGCAGACCAACCAATTCAGATTTATGAAAAGATTGTTTCTGGAAAGGTAAGTAAAACATTTTATTATTCCTCTCTTATTACTGTATATGAATTTTAAGCTTCATGAATTGAAACTATATTGTGTCATAATTATTATTCTACATTGGGAAAAATATAGAAAAATCTACAGTTGCTGCTCTTACTATCATAAGAATTGAATCATTTCAGTCTCTTAAGAAAAAAAGGGCAGTTTTATAAAGAAATTAACAAAACAGTAAAGCAATTTCTGTATTTAGTATTTTTATCACAAAGAACAGGATCATAGCCATAATTCTCGATATTCCTTCAAATAAATAAAAATAGTTTATTATTTCATGTGTCTATCTTCATGGAGAAAAGTTTTAGGGGCTGTTTTATATGCCCTTCCATTTTCAGGAGAGACTTCTTGTTTTAATTATGTCCAATACTATAACATTGGAAGTAAAAGTAAATATAAAATGAATAAGCCTTTTTCAGATGGAAATTTATAGAATTGATTTTAACAGAATTGTTCATATAGATTGTGATTATACTTGTCATTGGTTTTTAGCAAACATGGAAATAACATTAATTTTTCTTCAACATGAGTAGACTTACTGTGTTGTAGTATTTTACATTTTGTAAATTTCTTCATAAACCTTCCTTCTTTTGCACTTATAACCTCTAATTTGCTTTCAAGAGTGTTTTGTTTAGGGTCAGTCATTTGCTGTTGCCTTAGCTCAGACCTCGGATCTTTTTTTAAAAGACCATTGTCAATTCAATAGAAATGAGCTTGAATTTCCTACCATGCAGCAATGAAAGAATAGGCTTTTAAACATTCCCAGAAGGAGACCTTCTATACATTAATGACAAAATATATGGGAAGGGATATTTTGCTTATTTTCCCTTCTTTCTATTTCTACATGTGGTACTGCTTTGTCTTTTCTTTTCTTTCCCACATAGTCCCATTTAGAATATGATCAGGAAATAGAGCATCAATCTTTATCACATTAGCCTGAGATGTTATAGAGTTGAGGTTTTTTTGTTTTATTTTTTATTTGTTTGCTTTGTATTTTGTGACCTTCTTAGGCAGAGATAAGCCGGAAGGAGATAGTAGAGGGAAGGTCTTTATTTCTTTGTATCTCAGCCATATTCAAGCTCTACATTTAGTGTGAAAGCTTACCCTTGGCATCTATCAACTTACAATTTCCATTGTTAACTATTCACAAGGTACCCTGAATGTCTCTAATGTGGTAATTTATTTTTTTTGCCAACACTCAAATTTAAATCATAGATGCTGCACAGCTGGGCTGTAGCAACAAGACATTTGCCAATAGAATTAGTCTATCCAATCACCTAGAACATACATTTCAGCACAGTATTGTTCCCTATCTCATAGTACATATGCACTCTACCTGGGTCATGAGATTTTCCCTTGTATTTTGCCACGTTTTATGTAGAAAGTTTTATTTATTATCAGTATTCACAAATTAGGAGACTGACTAAAGAATTTATACTCCAACTATGTCAAAGGTAAAAAAATAAATACCTCTTACAGATAAATAAACCTAGCTAGGTGTTGAATGCTGTGCACTGATAAAGGCAATACAGAAAAGCAGAATGCAGTACTTATTTAAACAAGTATCAGTATCACTGCTGTTCTTCTTACATTTGTAGATCTCTGGCTTCAGACTTCTTATCTTTGTAATTGTTTTCTCCCAGCAGAACTTTTGATATGAACAAAACAAAACTTTGAGAAAAATTAACAGACAAGGCAGTGATTTATTTTTGAAGAATTTGAGAAGTGTAGACTCTCAAGAGGACTAAAGGTCATATGAAGAATGATGAGAGAACCAAAATACATTAAAATCACAAATGGAAGAAGAATATTTTACTAATACAAAAACTAAGAATGTAAATGTTATAATAATTGTTTCAAATCATTTAATTGACAGTAATTATAAAGTTCTTGAATCTTTACTATATTACTTTTATTTATATTCATATAAGAAATCCAATTTTCTAACAAGGATACTGTCATAACTAAATTTACATTTATTAAGAAAAACTGCTTTAGTTAAAATTAATGTGTCTTCATTTTTATGCATTGGCCTCGATTTGCCAATCATTCTCTATTGGTTAAATTTTATATTCAGCTGTTTATGAATATATATTCATTTTATATCAAACTTTAAAATTTTGTATCTAATAATCAGCATATATTCTAAAATCATAACAGTCTAAATCCTGGGCACCTTAGAAGAATGACACCAGAAAACCTTATTATATCACAATATTCTGTTTTCCCCTTCATTTATTTAGAAATATGACAGGATATTTGGTGTACTTTTGTTTTTTAACTAAAAGTACCAGATTATCTCTCCCCATGTGGGATATAAAATTATCCCCATCTCTTACTCCCTTTACTCATCTAAAGTAGAAGTCATGAAAGTGGAATTTTTGCCATTAAAAGGCTCTGTATTATGTGAAGTTAGATTGTATTAACCATTTCCCAATAAATCATCTGTTTCAAAACTCAAATTCAAACTAGAATGTGTCTCTATTCACATTGCAAAAATATTATTGTCTCTCTGGTTAGTGGCTAAAAGCCAAATTGGAAACTAACTAGTTTTTTAAATTTTTTAAATTGTGCAAATTATTAAAAATCCAATTTGGTCTTATATTTGTGGATCCTTATATTTATATTTGCATTTGAACTTTTAATGGTTTTAATGATATATCATTTAAGAATATGCTTTTCATTCAGAATTGTTTTTGTTGATTTTAGAAGCATATTATTTTATGAAACAGCATCTTATATTGATTATATCCACCATTCTGAAGTCACGTTATAAAGATTATAGGTATCAATGACTTATCAAAGTTAAATTTATTAATTAAGTGATAAATTCACTAAAGTACATATATATGAATATTAGATTGTAAAATACTTTCTCTATTACAATATTTTAACTCAAGCTGGTATTTTTAAATGCACACAAAGATGATCAATCAACTTGTTAGATTCTCTCCTACACATATTTTGCCTTTAAAAAAACAGAGGAGGTGGTATTTAAATGTCACATTATTCATGCAATGTTAAGGTTTGAGTCTACAAATTCATAGTTGAAAGAAAAGATTTATGATTCCTGCATTAACTATGCCTCATCCTAACAATACATATGCTGAGTTTCTGTATGTAGTCTTTAAATTTCATGTCTCAGTGTCATGTACTCCATGACAAGAATCAGTTATGGTCTCTATAGCACCTTTGTCTGGCTGCGTTACCCATGGAAATATAGAAAGTTTATATTGCAGTCAAAAATTATACTTGCAAATAAGGTACTCAAGTAACAGCTACTATGGAAACCATAACTTTAGAGCCCTTGGCTTATGTAATTTAAAAAAATTCTTAGCTTCAACATATCTAATGTAAATATTGTTCCACTCCTAATGAGTAACAATATATAAGGAGACATGCAACATAGAGAAGTATAAACATAAGTATATACTGAATGATCAAAGAGTTGGTTAATTTTTCCTGAAGGGAAATTCAATATTTACATGAAGGGTAATTGATTATCAGCCCAATTGCTATTCCTTTCTGTCTCAGGAGTCCCCAAGACTGTCTCCAGGTTTGATGATTCACCAGGAGGACTCAACAAGATTCAGCATACAGTGGTACTTGAGGCTAAGATTTATTACAACAAAAGGGTACAAAGTGAAGATAGCAAAAGTCCAGAAGACACCAGGCACAAGCTTTCAAGAGTCCTCTCCCAGGGCATTCACAAGGGATGCACATAATTCCTTCAGCAACAAGCTGTGACAAGCGTGAAATTTTATCTACCAGCAACACTCATTAAATACTCAATGCCCAAAGTTTTCATTGGGGGTTGGTCACATATGCACCCTCTGCCTAGCACATGCCAAAATCCCAGCCTCCCAGAACAAAAGTAGTTGTTCAGAATAAACTATGTTGTTTGTACCAACAGTGTAGGCACAGTGAGCCACTCTAATCCTTTAGGGAAAGTTTCATGTTGGTATAAGGGCACTGGTACTATTCAAGTTGCCAGACATCTCTCAAGGGCCAAACTTGTAAGCAGTTCTTTCTAAGGGTAGCAGTCTCAGGCCTACTATGTTAAGTCTTTTCTACACACATTCGGTTTCCTAAATAACATACACATATGCAGATATTCCACTATACTTTTTCTAAGATACTATTGTTAATGCTTTTGGGGAAATTACAATGTCATTTACTATTTTGCTATGGCCATAGTTAAAGAGACTTAGAAGTATTCAGAAATCATTTTCATAAAACACAAAAGCAGTTTTACTCTTTTCATAAAACCCAGGGCCAGTTTTAAACACTTCACTGTGGCTATTTAAAATTCTTATTAATACCTTCTTTCTGACAGCTCTTGTGGTCCTATGAGCAAATAATTGCAAAACTGGCTTCTTATGTGAGAGCAGGGGGAGGGAGAATGGGGTGGATCATAATCCTCTGCAACCTTGTAGACTCATTATATCTACCACTGTTTCTGCATAGGTAAGGGAACAGATTAGAGAGCCCACAGATGCAGTACCAATATTTATAAATATTTTTAATGTCTTAGCTCTTTCTTTTCACATATAGAATCCAGGCTGATTAAAGATGCCCAGGTCTTATGAGGTAGTGTGGAACTCGGCACCATATCTATAACATGCCTAGCGTATGAAAAGTTATTATGCCTGTTGAAAAATTGTCTAATGTGTATGTTCATTTTTGATCAATCAATTCTTTACTGGGATTGCAGATATTTTGAGAACTTACTGTACCTAATTTATAAATAATTTGTTAAAATTTATCTCAACATGCTCGTAGCCAGTAGTTAGTAGATTATTGCTTCTTGGCTGTATATAAACCCTTTTGAGTCATGTAAGCCTAATAATTTTATCCTGATTCATAAAAGATAATGTTACTAGTTAAATGATCATTTCTCCTGCCAATAATTGCAGAATAGCAGTAAGATTTTTCCCTCCTTTCGAATATCAACTTTGTAATTTCTGTGATTAAGCTTAGTGTAAACAAATTTGATTTGGCTTTATTTTATTTCATTTTCTTCTTATTCATTTTTATTTTTTACTTTTTTGAGATGGAATCTTGCTCTGTTGACCAGGCTGAAGTGCAGTGGCACAATCTTGGCCCGCTGCAGCCTCTGCCTCCTGGGTTCAAGTGATTCTCCTGCCTCAGCCTCCTGAGTAGCTGGGACTACAGGCATGTGCCACCACGCCCGGCTAATTTTTGTGTTTTTAGTAGGGACAGGGTTTCACCATGTTGGCCAGGCTGGTTTTGAAATCCTGACCTCAAGTGATCCACCTGTCTTGGCGTCTCAAATTACTGGGAGTAGTAATTTGAAGTCAGTAAACTAGATAGTGAGTTTAAATCACTCAGTATGGATACCATGAACAACATGAATGGATTTACTTTTTGGTTGTAACTTCATCTTGAACTTTTAGAAGATAATAGTTATTTCTAAAACTCAAATGTACAAGACTTTATAATCAGTGCTGAAAGCAGAAAAAATATTCTGTTGAGTTTGCTCAATTCAGAGTGAATTTTATAGTTCGTTTAACATATTACATAATGTAATTTGACAGTAGTTTAGGATATCAGCCATATTGACAATGGTGTCTTTATAAAACAAATTTATAGTAAGACATTTTCTCCCTCACTTTATCAAACTTAGGACCTTAAGAAAAGATGAAAGTGTTTATTCTATAAATTAACAGGTGGAGCCTGAGACAAGATGAAAGGAGGAACTTCCTATACTTTCCCAATGACTTTTCTAGCACAGACTGTCCTTGGCGCATCTGTAAAAATAATGATAGATATGGCTGTCTTCTACGTTCTTTCTTTAATTCAAAAATTCAGTTTCAGATCATTAAAATAGTATTCTAATGGGAAGGCTTAAAAAATAAAAACTGTGTTGAATTAATGTCTACAGAATACTAGGCATAATACAAGGCAGTTTCATGTTAAGTCACATAATTTCTTTTCATACCTGCCAGATGAGATATACTCTCATTGTTTTATAAATGAGGAAACTGAGACTCAGAAAAGTTTTCCCTAGATTGCAGAGCATGTATGTAAGTAGAGTTGGGATTGGAACCCAGGAATTCTTTCTACTAAAGAAATAGCTTGGTAGAATTTTTTAGGTGGCAAGGATGTTCACTTTTATTTCATTTAACTCTCTAGTCCTATATGTAGGTAAATCAAAACTCAGAATTACCCAAAGACAAAAGGTAGTTTGTGGCAAAGCAGGAAATAGAAGAATCTAGTTCAGTGATTCATTTGTTATTCCTTCACTTGGCTTCAGTGACTTTGTATCACTAATCATTCCCTCTCAATCTCCTTGGCTTGATCCCCTTCTCTTCTTTCTATGCACTTCCTCAATGGGTGGTTTCATCCAGTCTCATGACTCAGGACAATTCCCAAACTCATTTTTCCAGTCCATACCTGATTCCCAAATTCCATACTCTTGTATCTAGTTTCTAACTTGAAATCTTCACTTGGATATCTGATACCTCAAATTCAACCTGTCTAAAACTGACAAGTTTTTGTCCTCTTTCCTACACTCCACCCACCCCCCTCCACGAAGCCTTCCCCATCTAAACTGATGGCAACTCCACCCTTTCAGTTGGTCAGGCCAAGACACCTTCGAGTCCTCACTTCATATCTAATGCACAGGGAAACCATTTTTGCTTTGTCTTTAGAATTTACAGAATTCAGCCACTTCTTACCACATCCACTGCTGTCACTCTTAAGTGAGTCACTAGAGTGGTTCCTTAAAAATGTTAAATAATATCCTATTATTCTTTTCAAAACCTTGCAAGGATTCCCCGTTTTCTTCAGAGTAAAAGTCGAAGACCTTACTATGCAAAGTTTCATGAAAAAGATAGGATAACATTGTTAAAGGATCACTCGGTTGCTAAGTTTTAATTGTCTTCCTCACTAGAATGTAAACTCCATGAAGGCAGAAATCTTCATCTTATTTTGTTTACTTATATAATCCAAGCACAAATTCCTGAGATATATTAGTAAGCACATAGTACTTGCTTAATTCAAGCATAACACATAGTAGAGGTTCAATCAATATTTGTTGAATTTCAATTCATGCATTCATTAAATATTTATGAAGCTCCTAGTATGTGCCAGACCAGTTCTACATGCTGGATACAGCAAGTCAGTTGTGGTCTCTGCCTTCATGAAGCTTTCATGAAGTGTACTCTATCTTTGGTATCTCTCCAGAGACATACTGACTCAAGAGGCCTTCTGTGGATTCAAAACTTTTTTTAAGTATCACAAGTGATTCTGATAAACACCATGTGTTGAGAGCTTGTTTTGTGTATCTGTACCTCACTGGGGAATTAGATTTATTCTCAAGAAAATATAATTAGAAAAATCAGAAGTAATATGGTCTCTAATGGTTGGAAAACAATCCTAAACAATAAATAATATTGAAGAAAAAATATTAAAGAAAACACGTTGGGAAGTGTATATATCACAAACACCTCTTTTATGTTGTACAAACACCTCTTCCATGTTAAATGATGCCAGTTTCCCATAACCTTATCTCTCAGACCTAATGGCTTAATGATTTTAGACTTTCTCTTTTCAATATCTGACTCTTTACATTTACTTTCACATTATTTGCCTATCTTGGACTGGCAGAAAGCTCATAGGTATATGTCAGGAAGATTAGGTTATTTTCCCAATAATTCTACTAACGGAGTTGGTAGCCTCACAGGAGCTCAGATTCCTTATCTTTAAAATGAGAGTTTAGACTCAATTAAACTAAGCTCCCTCTAGCTCCAATATTAGAAGATTCTCATTTCACTTTCTATAGTAGTTATAATTGATAATGATAAAAGTAATACCCTTTTGATATAGTTTTAAAGGAAAAATTAGATAGTCGCTCTTCCCATCATAGAAATCTTTAGTGTCTCCAGGTTGATGTATTACAAATAAAGGTTGTACACTTAAAACAATTTTGTTGAAGTTATTTTCTGTTTTTCACTAATTCCAGTTTGATAAATCAACATGACTCTTTGAAAAGTTCAGTCAACAAGGAAATTACATTTCAGGTTAAATTTCAGAATAATCATGGGAAAAAATACTTTCACAATGACTTTCATTATTTCTCCCCCAAAATACTTTAAATATGTGATGGATTCCCATTATTAACATGAACCACTATGAGAGTGTGGGCTACCTATGAGAATCTCTGGGGAAGAGGGTGTGATATGGAGGTGAGGAGGATATGTCTATGATTTGAAAAGGTTCCCAAATCGTTCTGATATCTGCTGTCACAACCCACCACCACTCCACTGTCACACACACACACACACACACACACACACACACGTTCAAGACCATCACTTTATTTGCATTCCAAAATAAAGAATTACATTATTTAGATGATTTTATTTTTCATGCATTCCACTGCATATTACCTGAATTCCAAAGATAATTTATATGTAGTACATTACTGTCTGCCATCTGAATGTAATGAAAGAGATAACTGGTACATTACCATGGAACAGTTCACACAAATTTAATCTTAAATATAGATGTACTTCAAATAAATTATTTCTTTGGAATCTAAATAAAGTTTAGATTTATCACTGGAAAAATCTGAGCTAATATACCCACTGGAAAAATGTCATGTTATTTTTAAAGTAGACAGTGTGCCTTTTGAAAACCCCTTATTCTCTAGTTATTACTTCATCTAGGTAAATGAGGAAATGTGCAGCAAAATATTTTTAAGAAAATTTCAGTCTTTTAGAAGGTTCCTGATAATGACTATTTTTAGGTTATTGAATCATGGAAGGAGAATAGATAATTAAAAATAAGTACCCTGAAGTCAGTGTACCCAGTTTGGAATTACACCTTTACTATTTATTAGCTCTGTAATCTTAGGCAAAATAATTTCTGTAGGTCTCAATTGCTTCACCCCTACCTATGAAATTTGGATAATAATCATACCTATGTTTTGGATTTTATGAGCCAGTACAGAAAGTGTTTAGCATAATGCCTAGCTTCTAGTAAACCACTGTGTCAAGAATAAAACTAGAGAAGGTAGAAGTTCACATATCTTATTATTTTAGAACATAAAACTGCTCATAATCTAGGATAATAAAGGGCCTTGCAAAAATGAGATTTTGAGTTGCTAATTTATATGAGTTGAGCCTAAATCCTGGTCATTTATTAACTATTAACCCTTTAAATAGTCTTTAGTTGTTGATAGAATATTAGTTTTCCTCTGGTATGATAATGATTTCAATTTACAGTACTGTATTATTTACATTTAAAATGTTATGATCTTTTACTAGCATAGAAAATAAAACCTCTGCATAAAGTAGTGAACAGAGTTGAGAATAGTGCTTTTCAAGCTTTTATGTACATATGAATCCCTTGGAGATAAAAGCTCAGATTTTCAGGCCCAATGCCCCCATCATCTGAGGCAAGCCACAGGAATCTACATTTTTATCCTTTTGTCTCCCAGTTTATTCTGATGTGCATGGGTCCTAGGACCAGATTTTGAAAAAATTTACTTATAGACTAGCACAAAAGTGGCAGTCAAAAGCTATGGTTATGAATTTAACTTTACTATAAAACCTATCTTTGCATGCATGATTTAACTTCTACTTTGAGAACATGAGAATGTATGTCAAGTAGGTTGAGCTTTTAGAAAGTCAGAATATAAATTAAGGAGTCTATATATTTGAAGACAGTGTAATAAAGAGCAAAATTCATGAAGCTACAAATCATGACTAGATTACTGGTCCCAACTCTGCCACTTTATGGCCTGATGACTGGGGAAGCTATACCCAGTAACATTGCTGAATCTTAGTTTCTCCATCTTTAAATTGGAGTTAATACCATATTCACTGAATTTGTCCTATCCAACTAGAATGTAAGTTCCATGAAATCAGAGACTTGCCAGGTTTTGCTCACTGCTATATATCCAGCACCTAAAATAGTGCCTGGCATATAGTAGGTATTCAATAAATAATTGTAAAATGGATGAACTACAGTATTTGAAATAGTCTAATAAATACTGAGAATAAAAATGGCACAATACCTTCCCTCAGAAGCTCAGAGCCTGGGGGAGACAGAAATATGCACAAATACTATAGCATAGTTGAATAAATAAATGTATTATAAAGAGCAACTGAGGTAATGTAATGATGCACTATGTAAGTTATGAAGTGATGGTAGTACTTGTAGTGGTAGCACTTGTAGAGAAACAAAATAAGAATGCAGAGAGTTTGGGGATGCGCCTCTTAACCCTTTAAAGTGTTTTCTACAAAGTGCTATGATCAATTTGTAGTTGAGGCTGTAATAATCCAGATATGTATACACATACATGTGTGCATACATATGTATGTATGACAGGGAAGAGGGTAATGAAAGGGATTGAACACAAGCTGGAAAGGATAGTGGAGAGGTGGTAGTGATGACAAAAAAGAATAAGGAGGCATAGATGCAGCTATTCCTTCATCCTTTGGTGGTACCCATTTTAATTTTTTAGGTACCCATATCAATGAAACAGTAATAACCAGAAGTTAGATTGGTATAGAGGAGAAGAATGTGTTTAAACAAAACAAAATGAAAAATAGACTTAGGTCTCCTATAAATGTTACTTTAACCTTATCGATTGCCAAAAATCTTCACTTATTTGGGGGTTTTCCATTTATTTTTAAGGCCAGAGGCCAGTCTAGTAATTGTAAAGTCTTCACAATTTAGTAGGTAGAAAAATGCTTTTAAACCAATCTAAATCATTTTTATACTGTTGCATAATAGGAGAATTATTTTTAAAAGCCAACTTCTGATAAATGAAAAATGTTTTCCTATACTGTGAAAGGCAGTGTGGGTTTTTACAACCATTTTTAGACTTCCTTTTTGATAGATCTCTTTTCAAAATGTACATACTGATTTCCTTCATATGCTGGTTCTTCTATTTATATTACAAAGTTAAATTTATGTATCTTTGAGACACAGGTTTGTAATGTATGATCCAAAGAGATTGCTCTTAAAGATAGGTGAACTTTCTGATATTTTGCAAAAGTTCTGTAGGTGTGCACATTTTTCTGGAGACTGCTCCATGTTCTTAAAGACATCATAACCAAAGCAAGGCCCTAAGAGAACAGGTTTAGTTCATTCACCCAAGTAATTCTCTTCTTTATGGCTACTGTGGGGACTGTAACATGTAGTTAAAAGTATGTGAAGGTCATCGCTCCATATTTTTGTTTATATAATGGCTTGTTGCCTTGAAAAAAAAACTTTATGAAATCAAAACAGAAATATCATGAGTCTTAGAATGTGTGTTTTACCAAATGGTGTGTTTGTGTAGGTCCGATTCCCATCCCACTTCAGTTCAGATCTCAAGGACCTTCTACGGAACCTGCTGCAGGTGGATTTGACCAAGAGATTTGGAAATCTAAAGAATGGTGTCAGTGATATAAAAACTCACAAGTGGTTTGCCACGACAGATTGGATTGCTATTTACCAGAGGAAGGTGAGACTTTCTTTTTTAATTTAAAAGCTTTTTTAAAGTTGGTGTTTAAATTATATGTGGTGGAGATATTTTCAACTTAACACATAGTTTTAATTTTTTTACCTTTTGAATTAATCTTGTGCAGGATCTAAAGTACTTTACAGCCCATAACTTAAAAATGAGTTTCCCCCTAGAATTTTTTTTTTTTTTTTTTGAGGTGGAGTCTCACTCTGTAGTCCACGCTGGAGTGCAGTGGCACAATCTCTGCTCACTGCAACCTCCGCCACCTCAGTTCAAGTGATTCTCCTGCTTCAGCCTCTCGAGTAGCTGGGACTATGGGTGCATGCCATCACATCTGGATGATTTTTTTGTATTTTTAGTAGAGACAGGGTTTCACTATGTTGGCTAGGCTGGTCTTGAACTCCTGACCTCAAGTGATCTGCCCACCTCGGCCTCCCAAAGAGCTGGGATTACAGGCATGAGTCATCACACCTGGCCTTACCTAGCTTAAAAAGAAAGCATATATGCTATTTTGACCATCAACCTGAAATGTTTCCTTTGTTAAATTTTTCCTATCTATGCTTGTTACGCTTCACAAAACTGTGGAAATTATATATTAGACAATGTCCTAAGGGTTTTCAAAACTGATGTGAAGCCACATTAGGAAGATATATAAATAAATGTAGTTGCCCATCCAGAATTGGCATGTGCCAGATATATAATAACATTAAATTGCTAGTTTCATTCCTTGTTAGTCTTCATTTTCACCTTCTTGTGGCATATTGGTCTCTCTTTAGAGATACAGCTTTCCTTTATCCATTTGAAAGCTAATTTGAACATAATTCATACAAATTAGGGGTTTTAATTCATGCATTTTTGGAAGGTCAAAGCAAATTATCTGAAGTTACTACTTTTTTCCTTTTAACAATTATTTATTCACGTAAGATTTTTTCCAAATAGTTATCAGGTCCCTGCTTGTATGTTAGGTATTCTGCAAGGTGCTGAGAATACAATGATGAGCAAAACCAACCTTTATTCCTGCCCATATGAAGCTTATACTTCCAGGGGACAGGGAGATTAGTCAGATGGTCGTATAAATAAATGTAAAAGTACTATACTGTGAGAAATGTGGAAATTCAGAATAACTTTGCACCTGAGTTTTTGAGATTTGTTTTGTTTGGTCTTTTGTTTGACTCTTTGCTCGCTAAAGGGATTCTTAGAGTTAGAAATTCAGGCAACTTGAAGACTTGAATATAAGTATAGATCAAGTTAATCGCTGGCATTATTATACCACCATAATAAAATAGAGAAGAAACCCCAGCTAAACTGTAGCATATTTAAAAGAAACTAGTATTTTGTTTTGTTTTGTTTTTTGCTACACAAGTTGCCAGTATGACAGTTGTGGTAACAGTACTATATTAATTGATAGCAGTTATCATTTCACTTTTGTAATAATTTGAGACATTTAAGAAAAGATTTTGCTGCACTGAATTACCTTTATCTCTCATTTTGCTTCTTACATGCTTAAAGATGATTTGCATGAATAAAGTGTTTTCATTTTGAATATATTTAATTTTTTTCTTCTTTTTTTTCATAAAACCAAAACTTCTAATGTTTTAGAGACATGTCATCTTTAATAATGCTGTGCAACTACATGATTGAGTTTCCTTAAGGAAAAAAAAATTTAATGCTCTAATTAAGTATTAAAAGCACAGTTTTTCTAATTTATATATTTTACAAATGATTACAGTAACAAGCTGGGTGCCCTGGCTCACACCTGAAATCCTAACACTTTGGGAGGCCAAGGTGGGTGGATTGCTTGAGTCTCACTCAAGAGTTTGAGACCAGCCTGGCAAACATGGCAAAACCCCGTCTCTACAAAAAATACAAAAATTATCTGGGTATGATGGCTCATCCCTGTAATCCGAGCTACTTGGGAGACTGAGGCAGGAAGATCACTTGAGCCTGGGAGATTGGGGCTACGGTGAGCTGTGATTATGCCACTGCACTCCAGCCTGGGTGACAGAACAAGACCCCGTCTCAAAGAAATAAATAAATAAATAAAGATTACAAAAACAAAACAATTAAAGAATTTTAAAATGCAGCAAAAAGAACATATAGCCAGACCAAAACAATGTGAATGCAATACAGCCTATCTCACAAGAGGGATCCAGAAACTCTCTGTTAAGTTCATGAATCATGGCTGTCAGCATTATTATCGCAAATAGATATGTTATATAGTCAATAACAAGATTGATAGCACTTTAAAATAGATTTAGATCTCATAAAAAACTTTATTTTTTATATTTTTTCTAAATTTGCTAACACCAATGCAATACTGTATAATTAATAAAAGCAACTCCCTATAACTTCTCTTTTCAGTCTTCAAAATAATCCTGTGAAATAAGTGATACCATTTTCCCCATTTTACTGATGTGGAAATCAGCTCAGAGAGGTTAATTAATTTAAACATAATCATGCAGCTGCTAAATAATACCTATATTTGATCCCAGGTTCTTCAGATTCTCAATTCCAGGTCACATTATCCCTTTAAAGTCCTTTTGACATGATTCTTAAAATGAAACTCCAAACCACTAAACAATAAATTGTTTCACAAGATTTTCATGAATTTTACGTGTATCATCTTCTTAACTTTTATGCTTTGAGCATTTTGGGAGTAGGAAGACTCTGTCTCAAAAGGCAGCAAAAAAAGAGAATGAACTGTGGTGTTAGGTAGACATTGATCTGAATCCCTGATCAACCAATCATTAGCAGTATGATCATGAACAAACGATTTAACCTCTCTAAAGCATCAGTTTTATCACCCTTAAAATTTGAATTTGGATAGAGAATACAAAAGGAAGAGCAGTTTGGTGAGAAAGATTAGATGGATTGGCCCAGGCTCCATTTTCCTTTCTGGTTGAGATATGTTTCATATACTTATAACCAGGTAATTTATTAAGCAAATGAATTTGAAATTATCATAATTCCACCATCCAAATAGAACCTAGTATTTGATATATGTCTTTTTACTTTTTTTTTCCCTGTGCCCTTCATCACTGCAGTTCAGTCCTATGATCTCAGTAGCCAATTAAAATCTACCTCCTCCAACCCTGCACTTTACCATTTCCTTCAGTCTCTTATCTCACAGTTGCTACATACTACATAATTACATCTGAGTGACTTACTGCCATATTATACAATTGTTTTAAAACAGGCCAGGTGCAGTGGCTCACACCTGTAATCCCATCAATTTAGGAGTCCACAGTGGGAAGATCACTTGAGCCAAGAGTTCAAGACTAGATGGGCAACATAGTGAGACATCATCTCTTCAGAAAATAAAAAAGAATTAGCCAGGTGTGGTAACACACACTTGGTCCCAGCTACCCTGGAGGCTGAGGCAGGAGGATCACTTAAGCCCAAGAGGTCAAGGCTGCAGTGAGCCATGATCATGCCACTGCACTCCAGCCTGGGCTACAGAGCTGAGACCCTGTCTCTGAAAGAAGAAAAAAACCCTACTCCACAATAAGTGTATCTATCGAACTTCTATTTTCTTTTAGTGCTTTCTGAACTCTAACTTATTTTTTGTTGTTGTAATTAACCAGTTGTCCCCTCCATATTTATTGAATAATTCTTATTTGGCCTCTTATTTGAAATTCTACCTTTACTAATATTAAATTAATATATACATCTGTCTATTTCTGAACTTTTTAAATTTTTATTGCTGCATACTATTTTTATATATTCATGAAGTACATGTTATATTTTAATATATGCGTAGTATGTGTAGTGATCAAAGCTGGGTATTTAGCATATCCACTACCTTGATCGTTTATTGTTTCTTTGTGTTGGGAACATTTCAAATTTTCTGTTCCAGTTACTTTGAAATATATAATATATTGTTGTGAAATATACAATATAACCAGCCTGCTGTGCTATGAAATGCTAGAACTTATTCCTTCTGTCTAACTGTATGTTTGTTCTCAGTACCTTAGTTCTCTTCATCCCTTCCCCCACACACACACATCCTTCTCAGCCTCTGGTAGCTGTCATTCTATACGTTACCTCTAAGAGATCAACTTTTTTAGGTTCCACATGTAAGTAAGAACATGTGATATTGTCTTTCTGTGCCTGGCTGATTTCACTTTACAGAATGATCTGTTTCTATCCATGTTGCTACAAATGACAAGATTTCATTCTTTTTTTTACAGCCAAATAGTATTCCTATATATATTACATTTTCTGTACCCATTCATGTGTTGAAGGACACTTAGGTTGATTCCATATCTTTGCTATTATGCATAGTGCTGCAATAAACATGAGGATTCAGGTATTGCATTGATATACTGATTTCCTTTGGATTAATGGAATTGCTAAATTGTATGATAGTTCTATTTTTAGATTTTTGAAAAATCTCTGTACTATTTTCCATAGTAGCTGTACTAACTTACATTTTTACCAACAGTGTATAAGAATTCCCTTTTCTCCACATCCCCTCCAGCACTTGGTGTTTTTTGCCTTTTTGATAATAGCCATTCCACCTGGGTACGATGATATCTCACTGTGGTTTTGATTTGCATTTCCCTGATGATTAATGGTGTTGAGCATTTTTTCATGTACCTGTTGGCCATTGTAAATCTGGTTTTGAGAAATGTGTACACATATCCTTTACCCATTTTAATTAGATTGTTTATTTTTGGCTACTGAATTATTGGAGTTCCTTGTATATTCTGCATATTAGTCCCTTCTTGGATGAATAGTTTGCAAATATTTTTTTCTCCCATTCAACAGGTTGTCTCTTTACTCTTTTGAATGTCTCCTTTGCTCTGCAAAAGCTTTTAATTTAATATAGCCCAATGTGCCTATTTTTGTTTTTGTTGCTTGTACTTTTCAGGACTTAGCCATAAAATCTTTTTTGTTTGTTTATTAGGTTTTTTTTTTTTTTGAGTTGGAGTTTCGCTCTTGTTGCCCAGGCTAGAGTGCAACGGTACAATCTCGGCTCGCTGCACCCTCCACCTCCCAGGTTCAAGTGATTCTTCTGCCTCAGCCTCCTGAGTAGCTGGGATTACAGGTGCCCACAACCACACCCAGCTAATTTTTGTATTTTTAGTAAAGACAGAGTTTCACCATGTTGGTCAGGCTGGTCTCGAACTCCTGACCTGCCTCAGCCTCCCAAAGTGCTGGGATTACAGGCGTGAGCCACCATGCCCCACCCATAAAATCTTTGACTAGACCAATGTTCTAGAGCATTTCCCGTATGTTTTCTTCTAGTATTGTTATGGTTTGGGGCCTTATTTTTAAGTACTTAATTCATTTTGAGTGATTTGGGGATATGGTGAGAGAGAGGGATCTAGTTTCAGTCTTCTGCATATGGATATCCAGTTTTTCCGCACCATGTATTGAAGAGAGTGTCCTTTCCCCACTGTATGTTCTTGATGCCTTTGTCAAAAATCACTTAGGTGTAATATGTGGATTTATTTATGGGTTCTCTATTCTGTTCCATGGGTCTCTGTGTCTGTTTTTATACCACTACCATGCTGTTTTAGTTACTATAGCTTTATAGTATATTTTGAAGTCAGGTAGTGTGATGCCTCCAGCATTGCTCTTTTTGCTCTGGATTCCTTTGGCTATTCAGGCTCTTTTGTGGTTCCATACAAATTTTAGGATTTTTTTTTCTATTTCTGTGAAGACTATCATTGGTATTTTGATAGGAATTGCATTGAATCTGTAAATTTATTTGCATAGTTGATCATTTTAATATATTTATTTTTCTGATTCATGACCATGACCATGGGATGTCTTTCCATTTGTTTCTGTCCTTTTTAATTTCTTTCATCAGTGTTTTGTAGTTTTTCTTGTAGAGGTCTTTCACCTTCTTGGTCAAATTTATTCCTAGGTATTTTATTTATTTTTTTGTAGCTATTATAAATGGAATTATATTACTGATTTCTTTCTTAGCTTGATCATTATTGGTGTATCGAAATGTCACTGATTTTTTATGTTCATTTTGTATTCTGCACCTTTACTTATTTTTTTATGAGTTCTAAGAATATTCTGGTGGAGTCTATATGTAAGATTATGTCATCTGAAAGGAGGGGCATTGTATTTAGATGCCTTGCATTTAGATGCCTTGTATTTCTTTCTCTTCCCTGATTAATCTGGCTAGGACTTCCATTACTATGTTGAATAGGAGTGGTGAAAGTGGACATCCTTGTCTTGGTCCAATTCTTAGAGGAAAGGCTTTCAACTTTTCCTCATTCAGTATGTTAGCTGTGAGTTTGTCATATATGACCTTTATTATGTTGAGTAATGCCTCTTCTATGCCTAATTTGTTGAGAGTTTTTGTCAGGAGGGGATGTTGGCTTTTATCTAATGCTTTTTTCTGCATCTATTGAGATGATCATATGATTTTTGTTGTTCATTCTACTAAAGTGATGTATCGTGTTAATTGATTTGCATATATTGACCCATCCTTGCATCCCTGGGATAAATCCCACTTGATCATGTTGTATTATATATTTGTTGTGTTGTTGGATTTTTGTTAGCTAGTGTTTTGTTAAAAATTTTTGTGTCTGTATTTCTCAGAGATGTTGGTCTGTAGTGTTCTTTTTTTGTTGTGTGCTTGTCTGGTTTTGTATCAGAGTACTGCTGGCCTCGTAGAATAAGTTAGGAAGAATTCTCTCTTCTTTAATTTTTTGGAATAGTTTGAGATGAATTGATGCTAGTTCTTCTTTATAAGGTTGATAGAATTGAGCAGTAAAGCCATGCAGCCCTGGGCTTTTCTTTAATGTTTGATGGGAATCTTTTTATTACATATTCAATCTGTTCCCCATTATTGGTCTGTTCAGATTTTCTGTTTCTATCTGGTTCAGTCTTTGTAGGTTGTATGTGTCCAAGAATTTATCTATTTCCTCTAGGTTTTCCAGTTAGTTAGCATATAGTTGTTCATGATAGTCTCCAGTGATCTCCTGTATTTCTGTGGTGTCAGTTGTAAAATATTTTTCTTTTCTGATTTTGTTAACTTGGATCTTCTCTCTTTTTTTCTTGGTTAGTCTAGCTAGCAGTTTATCAATTTTGGTTATTTTTTTAAAAAAAAAACCTTTCATTTTTATGATCCTTTGTATGTTTTTTCTCTATTTCATTTAGTTGTGCTCTGATTTTTATTATTTCTTTCCTTCTACTAATTTTGTTTGGTTTGTTCTTGCTTTTCTAGTTCCTTGAGGTACGTTATTAGGTTATTTGAAATCTTTATACTTTTTGGTGTTTATTGCTATAAACCTCCCCTTAGCACTGCTTTTCTTATATTCCATAGGTTTTGGTATATTGTGTTTTCATTTTTCTTTGCTTTAAGATTGTTTTTATTTCTTTCTTAATTTCTTCATTAGCCCAATAGTCATTCGGGAGCATATTGTTTCATTTCCATCTATTTGTACAGTTTCCAAAGTGCTTCTTGTTACTGATTTCTAGTTTTTCCCATCAGGATCTGAGAAAATCTTGATATGATTTCAAGTTTTTAAAATTTGTTGAGACTTGTTTTGTGGCCTAATATAAATGGTCTATCCTGGAGAATGTTCCATGTGCTTATTAGAAGAATGTGTATTCTGCAACTATTGGATAAAATGTTGTGTAAATGTCTCCTAGGTACATTTTGTCTACAGTGCAGTTTATGTCCAATTTTTTTGGTTGATTCTCTCTCTCAATAATCTGTACAATGCTGAGAATGGAGTGTTGAAGTCCTGAACTATTATTGTATTGGAGTCTGTCTCTCTCTTTAGATCTAATAATATTTGCTTTCTATATCTGTGTGCTCTAGTATTGGATGCATATATATCCGTTATATCCTTTTGCTGAATTCATCCCTTTATCATTATATTATGACCTTCTTTGTCTCATTTTACTGTTTTGACTTAAAGTTTCCTTTATCTGATATAAATTTAGATACTCCTGCTTGTTTTTGTTTTCCATTTGTATGAAATCTTTTTCTGTCTCTTCACTTTCAGTCTATCTGTGTGTTTACAGGTGAAGTGAGGTTTTTTGTAAGCAGCATATAGTTAGATCATGTTATGTTTATATATTCAGACAGTCCATATCTTTTAAGTAGATATCTGATTTATTTACATTTAAAGTTATTATTGATAGGTGAGGACTTATTCCTATCATTTAAAAATTGTTTTCTGGTTGCTTTGTATATCCTTCATTCCTTTCTTTCTCTCTAATTGTTTATCATTATAGTTTGGTGGTTTTCTGTAATGGTAATATTTGAGTCCTTTCTCTTTCTCATTTATGTGTCTGCCCTACCAGTGACTTTTATACTTTCTTGTTTTCATGATGGTAAATATCATTGTTTCACTTCCAGATGTAGGACTACCTTAAGCATTTCCTGTAGGGCTGCTGTAATAGTGGTAATTCCCTCAGTTTTTGCTTATCTGGGAAAGACTTTTTTTCTCCTTCATTTTTGAAGAAAGGTTTCTTGGTTAGTCTAGTAGTTTATCGTTGGTGGCAGGGTTTGTTTTTTTCCTTTTAGCACTGTGAATATATCATCCAATTCTCTCCTGGCCTGCAGGGTCTCCCCTGAGAAATCCACGTTAGTCTGATGGAGGTTCCCTTATATGTGACTTGATGCTTTTCTCTTGCTGTTTTTAGATGTCTGTCTTGTCTTTGACTTTTGACAGTTTCAGTAAAGTGTGTCTTGGAAAAGACCTTTTTGGATTGTATCTATTTGATGTTTGAGCTTCCTGTATCTGGATTTCTAAATCTCTTAAAAGAACTAGGAAGTTTTCAACTATTATTAAATTAAATGAGTTTTTCTATGTCATTACCCATCACTTTACCTTCTGGAAAACCCCAAATTTGAATATTTCGTTGCTTTAAGGTGTCCCCTATGTCATGTATGCTTTGTTCATTAATTTTTATTTTTTATTCTTTTTTGGTGGGTCTGTCTGAATTATTTCAGAAGACCTGTCCTCAATTCTTCTCCCTGATATAGTCTATTGACAAAGCTCTCAGTTGTATTTTTCATTTCATTCATTGAATTCTTCAGTTCTGGGATGGATCTGTTTGGTTGTTTTTTTTTGTTTTTTTGTTTTTTTTGAAATGGTGTCTCGCTCTGTCGCCCAGGCAAGAGTGCAGTGGCGTGATCTCAACTCACTGCAAGCTCCACCTCCTGGGTTCACGCCATTCTCCTGCCTCAGCCTCCTGAGTAGCTGGGACGACAGGCACCCGCCACCATGCCCCGGCTAATTTTTTGTATTTTTAGTAGAGACAGGGTTTCACCATGTTAGCCAGGATGGTCTCGATCTCCTGACCTCATGATCCACCCACCTTGGCCTCCCAAAGTGCTGGGATTACAAGCGTGAGCCACCATGCCCGGCCTGTTTGGTTCTTTTTTATGCTATCTCTCTGTTGAATTTCTCACTCATATCCTGAATTGTTTTCCTGATGTCTTTGTATTGTTTGTCTGTGTTCTCTTATATCTCACTGAGCTTCTTTAATATCATTAGTTTGAATTCTTTTTCAGACATTTCATCATTTTTTGTTTAATTGGAATCTGTTGGTGGAGAATTATGTTCTTTTGGAGGTGTCATGTTTCTTTGCTTTTTCATGTTTCTTGTATACTTACATTGACATCTCCACATCTGGTGTAACAGTCATTTCCTCCAGTTTTTAGGATTGGCTTTTGTAGGGTAAGACTTTTTTCTGTGGATGTATTATCATGTTGGTTTGTTGGGCAGTTTAGCTTTTATTCTGGGTGCATGCAGTAGTGTAGTCTCTATGATTTCTTCAGCTGTAATTAGCCTCAGTGGGTGTCTGCGATTTCCTCAGTGGCTTAGGCCGCATTATTGGTGTAGCCTGTGGTGAGGCTTTGCTGGGGACAGGGACACCAGGCATCCTGATCCTCAGGCCCCAGTGGTGGTAGCAGCAGGCCAAGCATACCTGCCCCTGGTGGCCATACACTGGCATCAATTTTAGCAGGTCTGCAAGGGCCAATTCTTAGGCCTCTATGTGGCTTGCTCAGGTACCAGCAGTGGCAGTGGTAGGCTGAGCATATGGATGAGACCTTAGTCTCCTGTGCAGCATGTGTGGCATAAGCGATTGTAATAGTGATGGCAGGCCAACCCTCAGGCTCCCAGGCAGTACACACTGCTGCTAGTGATGGTAGCAACAGATTGGGCAAGCCAGACCCTAAACCCTCAGGTGGCATATGTGGGTAAGCGCCAGCAGTGGTAGTGGTGGCAGACTGGGCAGGCCCAGCCTCAGGCCAGTAGTGGGTGGGGCAGGGCAATCCCCAGGCCCTCAGATGGCATGCTTGAGCATTGGGGTTGCAGTGCCAGGCAGTGCAGGCATTTACTCAGGCCCCTCAATGGTGCACGTGGGCACAGGCTGTGTTGGACCAAGTGAGGCAATCCCCAGACCCTCAAACAATGTGTTTGAGTGCAGGCAGTCAGTGGTTTGGGTCTGTTGTTAGACCCCCTGATGGTGCAGTGCATGCCAGAAGCAGCAAGCAGGGTGGATGGATCCCCAAGCCTCCAGACAGTGCACTCAATCACTGTGGGAGGTGCCACCAGGCAGGGAAGGCCTGTCCCCAGGCTCCTCTGTTGTACCTGTGGGTGCAGGCTGTGGTGAACAGGGCAGTCTTTGGGCCACTGGACAGCATATTTTGATGCCAGTGGCTGATAGCCTGAGTCTTTCGTCATGCTTCTTGATCATATGTATGTGTACCCAGAGTGATAGACAGAGGGGGGCACTCCCCAGGCCTCCCAGGTGGTGTGCTAGGGCACTAGGAGGGGTGGCACTTAAAGGGACAGGCCTGTCCTCAGGCCCCTATTGGTGCACACAGATACAGACTCTGGTAGGCAGGGAAGGACTATTCCTAGGCCCCTGGATAAAATACTTGAGAGGTGGTAGGCAGAGTGAGTCTGTCCTCATGCCCCCAAATAGCATCCAGTTGGGCCAGTTCCCAGGTCCACTGAAGGTGCTGCAAGTACCTGGCAGTCCTGTTGTGGGGGCTGGGCATTGCTATCAGTGGCAGTGGCCCCAGGCAGGAGGCCCTCAGACTCTGGGGAGTGTATGCTTTGGCTTCCGGCCCCAGAAACAGCCTTCCCTAGTGTGCTGCCCTGCTTGTTCTTTGGAGTATAAGACACTGTGTGGGCTCGAGTGCTGGGGACCCAGCCGCACCATTGGGTCCAGCCAGCACTGTACCACTGGAACCCCTTTGATAGACATGGGGCACTGTCAGTTGGGCTCCAGGTGTATAGAGATGCATACTCTCTAATGGTAGTTGGCTTCTCAAAATGGCACTGTGCTTCAGCTTCTTGGGTCCTGGGGGTGGGTGTGGGACCTGGAACAAACTCCCTCTCTGGAACAATGCTATTGTGTGAACTCCAGGCAGGTCCCTATACTTGTCTCAGAATTCACGAGGGTTGTGGGGATCTTACATGGCTAGGATTGCAAGAGTCTGTGGTGGAAATGTGGACCACTGGGGATCTCTCAGTTACCCTTTCCCCATACTGGAGAACCTCTTGTGGCTGCCAGCTGGTCCCAGCTAGGCCAGCTGCTTCACTTCCTTTTGCTTATCTGCCTCAGATGTTCCCTGTCACTTCCCTGCTAAATTTCAGTGTTCTCTCTTAGAGGCTTTATTCAACATGTGATTATCTACTCACTGTTTTGGTCCTTCTTTGTGGAGGAGAGTTCTGAGTCAGCCATCTTGAAGCCCTGACCTTTATTTTTTAGGAGTTCTTTTTGTCTGTTCTTGTACTGTATATGTCACTGCTTTATGTAGCTTTAAAATATTTTAATATTAGATGGGTCCAGTTTCTTCACCCTTGTTTACCCTTTCCAAATGTTCTGTTCTCTTGCCCCATATGCATTATTTTAGAGTCAAGTTAGGTAATTTATATTTCCTAGAAAATCATCCTTATCTCCTGTATGTTTTCTCTTCCTTTTTTGATTAGACTTGCCAATGGTTTGTGGGTTTTTTGTTTTTTTTTTTGGTCTCTCTAAAGATTTATTGAATTTGGGGATTAACAGTAAAGTTGCATATTAGGAGAGAACCTGAATCTTGAGAATTTACCATTATGAACATGTTGCTTCTGCATTTACTCAAATATCTTTCGTCATTCAGTAAAGTTTTAGAGAACCCCCCTTCCTCCATATAGGAAGGAATTTATGTCTTAAAATTATTGCTTAAATTTATATTTTGGTTGCTATTATTAATGTGTTTGCTTTCCCGTTATAGTAGGATATGGGCAAAACATCATTTTTATGTTTATATTATAATTGACCATGTTACTAAATTCTGTTATTGATTTCCACATTTTTCAGTGATTCCTTTGGATTTTTATTGACAATCATAGGAGATTGGCATATCATTTTGTCTGTTCCTTTTCAGTATTTACATCTCATTTCCATTTTTGTTTTAGTACATATATTAGAATGTCTAAAACAATATTTTAATGCAGTAGGGCCCTTGAGCTTTCTTGTCTTGTTCCTGCTTTGAATGGAAGTGCCCAAGAATATACTTTCAGGGATCATTTCTATAATTTGTTGCCTTTCATGTTTTACCACCAAATATAAAGTTGGCCATTTGGCTGAGATAGGTATTCTTTATGAGGTTAACAAAACATTGTTGATTTCTAATACACTGTATTTTATCTTTTTTGACATGTTAGTGTGATGAATTATATGAGGGAGACATCCTCACTTTCCTGGAATGAATACCATTAATCATGGGGTATTAACATTTTAATATTTGCCTGAAATCTATTTGCCAAAATTTTATTTAGGGTTTTTACTTCTGTAGTCATAAGTTTTATTAGTCTACAGTTTCTGTTTTTTTGAAGTTGGGATTATATGGGATTCATAAAATGAGTTTAGAAAGTTTCCAGGCTTTTATTCTGCAGAAAATTTAGGAACATAGAGTCATCTTATATCTATTCCTTATAAATTTTAACAGACTAATTCTTGGGTATTGGTCTCTTCAAGTTTTTACTTTTTGACTCAATTTAAGAAATTTATATTTCCAATAAAATCATCCATTTCCCTTTCTAATTATCATTGCTTATATTATCTTTATTGTTGTATTTATTGTTAATTAATGCTATTTCGAGGTATATTCTTTAGATTGCCTTGAGGCTTGTCAACTTTATTAGTATGCTAAAGATTTATGGTGTATTTGAATCTTTTCATATTTATATTTAGAAATAAAATCTTCTGCCAAATAGCAGTCATTTACTTATCTATTCCTATTATGTGTTTAATTTTTAATAATTATTCCTAAAAGGGGATAGAACAGGAAGGCCACTACTCATTTAAAGTGTATGTGCTTTTCAGAGGGCTTGACTTATCCCAGGTAGTAAACAGGTAACCTACCAACAAGTGGCACACTGTAACATACAGATTGTAGTAATGGACAAATTGATTGACAGCCAAATCTTGAATTATCAATGAAACAGATGTAAGGATCCATGGACAATTTACAAATAAAAATAGCAGAGTACTTTAACCATTTGTTTTAATATCTTCTCAAGTATTATAACTATGCACAGCAGTGCAAAAATCATAGTAAATATGAATAGTTTTAATTGTCTTCTTTATTCTCTGATGCATCTCCAAATGATCAAGGAAAAAAAAAGGCAGAAGAAAGAAGTAGCCTGAACAACTCAAACTGTACAATCATTTTCTACACATGATTGCCCCAATAGGTTTGTTATTCTAAATTGCTGGCTGGCTAGACGTGAAGCAACTGTCTGCTTAGCTCATTCTTCTGGGTAGTGCAAAACAGCAGTCCCCAAAGCAGGGCGTGCAAGGCAACCAGCTCTCAAACAAAAAGATAATATTAGAAGTCCCATTCCTACTTATTTTTACCTTATTCTTTTTCAATACCTTATTTGTGTGTGTATCTTATAATAGTATAGTCATACATCTAAATAAATTGTAAGTAAATAACTATATATATGTTGATTATGTGTACTAGAAAATGTTTTAATGAAAGGGATATAAATTAAAAACCCTTGGAGAGCTCTGGGCCAGAAGTGGAGAATCATGAATATGAAACCTGCTTTAGCCGCTTATCAGTCATGTGAATTTGGTCAATCGACTCTTTTATAATCTGTAAAATGGGAGTAAGAACACCAGTCCTTCCTTCCTCACAGTGTTGTACTGAGAACAGAATAAAGCAACTGTAATTGTTTGTAAATTCTATAAAGGCTGTGCAGATTATGATTTTTTTTTTTTAGCTTTTAAAATCTTTTCCTCAAATGTATTCAGTACCCACATTTAATCTTTATAGAAGACCATATTCGAAGTAGTGGGAAGACATTTTACTTTTAGGATCAAAGGAGAAAAATGTTTAAGGTTTAACAATTCTCTAATTCTAAAAGAGTTATATTTCTTTCCAAACTCTCAGAAAGTTTTGATGGCCAGATATTTTAAACAAAATAAACTTGGGAATTAAAAAAGGAAAGCAATTAAAAGTAAGTCTGAGATTTAGCTGTAACTTGAGGAGAAAAGAATTTTTACAAGAGGGATAGGAAAAGATAAGGTCTTAAAAACAAGGAACTAAAAATTAAGACTGAAGTTTTGTAACCTTAGGAGCCAGGATTTTGATGCCAACAGTTAATTATCCCAGAAATTTCTTTTTTTTTTTATTATTATACTTTACGTTTTAGGGTACATGTGCACAATGTGCAGGTTAGTTACATATGTATACATGTGCCATGCTGGTGCGCTGCACCCACTAACTCGTCATCTAGCATTAGGTATATCTCCCAATGCTATCCCTCCCCCCTCCCCCCACCCCGTAACAGTCCCCAGAGTATGATGTTCCCCTTCCTGTGTCCATGTGTTCTCATTGTTCAGTTCCCACCTATGAGTGAGAATATGCAGTGTTTGGTTTTTTGTTCTTGCGATAGTTTACTGAGAATGATGATTTCCAATTTCATCCATGTCCCTACGAAGGACATGAACTCATCATTTTTTATGGCTGCATAGTATTCCATGGTGTATATGTGCCACATTTTCTTAATTCAGTCTATCTTTGTTGGACATTTGGGTTGGTTCCAAGTCTTTGCTATTGTGAATAATGCCGCAATAAACATACGTGTGCATGTGTCTTTATAGCAGCATGATTTATAGTCCTTTGGGTATATACCCAGTAATGGGATGGCTGGGTCAAATGGTATTTCTAGTTCTAGATCCCTGAGGAATCGCCACACTGACTTCCACAATGGTTGAACTAGTTTACAGTCCCACCAACAGTGTAAAAGTGTTCCTATTTCTCCACATCCTCTCCAGCACCTGTTATTTCCTGACTTTTTAATGTTTGCCATTCTAACTGGTGTGAGATGATATCTCATTGTGGTTTTGATTTGCATTTCTCTGATGGCCAGTGATGGTGAGCATTTTTTCATGTGTTTTTTGGCTGCATAAATGTCTTCTTTTGAGAAGTGTCTGTTCATGTCCTTTGCCCACTTTTTGATGGGGTTGTTTATTTTTTTCTTGTAAATTTGTTTGAGTTCATTGTAGATTCTGGATATTAGCCCTTTGTCAGATGAGTAGGTTGCAAGAATTTTCTCCCATTTTGTAGGTTGCCTGTTCACTCTGATGGTAGTTTCTTTTGATGTGCAGAAGCTCTTTAGTTTAATTAGATCCCATTTGTCAATTTTGGCTTTTGTTGCCATTGCTTTTGGTGTTTTAGACATGAAGTCCTTGCCCATGCCTATGTCCTGAATGGTAATGCCTAGGTTTTCTTCTAGGGTTTTTATGGTTTTAGGTCTAACGTTTAAGTCTTTAACCCATCTTGAATTGATTTTTGTATAAGGTGTAAGGAAGGGATCCAGTTTCAGCTTTCCACATATGGCTAGCCAGTTTTCCCAGCACCATTTATTAAATAGGGAATCCTTTCCCCATTGCTTGTTTTTCTCAGGTTTGTCAAAGATCAGATAGTTGTAGATATGTGGCATTATTTCTGAGGGCTCTGTTCTGTTCCATTGATCTATATCTCTGTTTTGGTACCAGTAACATGCTGTGTTGGTTACTGTAGCCATGTAGTATAGTTTGAAGTCAGGTAGTGAGATGCCTCCAGCTTTGTTCTTTTGGCTTAGGATTGATTTGGCGATGCGGGCTCTTTTTTGGTTCCATATGAACTTTAAAGTAGTTTTTCCAATTCTGTGAAGAAAGTCATTGGTAGCTTGATGGGGATGGCATTGAATCTATAAATTACCTTGGGCAGTATGGCCATTTTCATGATACTGATTCTTCCTACCCATGAGCATGGAATGTTCTTCCATTTGTTTGTATCTTCTTTTATTTCCTTGAGCAGTGGTTTGTAGTTCTCCTTGAAGAGGTCCTTCACATCCCTTGTAAGTTGGATTCCTAGGTATTTTATTCTCTTTGAAGCAATTGTGAATGGGAGTTCACTCATGATTTGGCTCTCTGTTTGTCTGTTGTTGGTGTATAAGAATGCCTGTGATTTTTGTACATTGATTTTGTATCCTGAGACTTTGCTGAAGTTGCTTATCAGCTTAAGGAGATTTTGGGCTGAGACAATGGGGTTTTCTAGATATACAATCATGTCTGCAAACAGGGACAATTTGACTTCCTCTTTTCCTAATTGAATACCCTTTATTTCCTTCTCCTGCCTAATTGCCCTGGCCAGAACTTCCAACACTATGTTGAATAGGAGTGGTGAGAGAGGGCATCCCTGTCTTGTGCCAGTTTTCAAAGGGAATGCTTCCAGTTTTTGCCCATTCAGTATGATATTGGCTGTGGGTTTGTCATAGATAGCTCTTATTATTTTGAAATACGTCCCATCAATACCTAATTTATTGAGAGTTTTTAGCGTGTTGAATTTTGTCAAAGGCCTTTTCTGCATCTATTGAGATAATCATGTGGTTTTTTCTTTGGTTCTGTTTATATGCTGGATTACATTTATTGATTTCCATATATTGAACCAGCCTTGCATCCCAGGGATGAAGCCCACTTGATCATGGTGGATAAGCTTTTGGATGTGCTGCTGGATTTGGTTTGCCAGTATTTTATTGAGGATTTTTGCATCAATGTTCATCAAGGATATTGGACTAAAATTCTCTTTTTTGGTTGTGTCTCTGCCTGGCTTTGGTATCAGGATGATGCTGGCCTCATAAAATGAGTTAGGGAGGATTCCCTCTTTTTCTATTGATTGGAATAGTTTCAGAAGGAATGGTACCAATTCATCCTTGTACCTCTGGTAGAATTCGGCTGTGAATCCATCTGGTCCTGGACTCTTTTTGGTTGGTAAGCTATTGATTATTGCCACAATTTCAGATCCTGTTATTGGTCTATTCAGAGATTCAACTTCTTCCTGGTTTAGTCTTCAGAGAGTGTATGTGTCGAGGAATTTATCCATTTCTTCTAGATTTTCTAGTTTATTTGCGTAGAGGTGTTTGTAGTATTCTCTGATGGTAGTTTGTATTTCTGTGGGATTGGTGGTGATATCCCCTTTATCATTTTTTATTGCGTCTATTTGATTCTTCTCTCTTTTTTCTTTATTAGTCTTGCTAGCAGTCTATCAATTTTGTTGATCCTTTCAAAAAACCAGCTCCTGGATTCATTAATTTTTTGAAGGGTTTTTTGTGTCTCTATTTCCTTCAGTTCTGCTCTGATTTTAGTTATTTCTTGCCTTCTGCTAGCTTTTGAATGTGTTTGCTCTTGCTTTTCTAGTTCTTTTAATTGTGATGTTAGGGTGTCAATTTTGGATCTTTCCTGCTTTCTCTTGTGGGCATTTAGTGCCATAAATTTCCCTCCACACACTGCTTTGAATGTGTCCCAGAGATTCTGGTATGTTGTGTGTTTGCTCTCGTTGGTTTCAAAGAACATCTTTATTTCTGCCTTCATTTCGTTATGTACCCAGTAGTCATTCAGGAGCAGGTTGTTCAGTTTCCATGTAGTTGAGCGGTTTTGAGTGAGATTCTTAATCCTGAGTTCTAGTTTGATTGCACTGTGGTCTGAGAGATAGTTTGTTATAATTTCTGTTCTTTTACATTTGCTGAGGAGAGCTTTACTTCCAACTCTGTGGTCAATATTGGAATAGGTGTGGTGTGGTGCTGAAAAAAATGTATATTCTGTTGATTTGGGGTAGAGAGTTCTGTAGATGTCTATTAGGTCCACTTGGTGCAGAGCTGAGTTCAATTCCTTGTTGACTTTCTGTCTCATTGATCTGTCTAATGTTGACAGTGGGGTGTTAAAGTCTCCCATTATTAATGTGTGGGAGTCTAAGTCTTTTTGTAGGTCACTCAGGACTTGCTTTATGAATCTGGGTGCTCCTGTATTGGGTGCATATATATTTAGGATAGTTAGCTCTTCTTGTTGAATTGATCCCTTTACCATTATGTAATGGCCTTTTTTGACTCTTTTGATCTTTGTTGGTTTAAAGTCTGTTTTATCAGAGACTAGGATTGCAACCCCTGCCTTTTTTTGTTTTCCATTTGCTTGGTAGATCTTCCTCCATCCTTTTATTTTGAGCCTATGTGTGTCTCTGCATGTGAGATGGGTTTCCTGAATACAGCATACTGATGGGTCTTGACTCTTTATCCAATTTGCCAAGTCTGTGTCTTTTAATTGGAGAATTTAGTCCATTTACATTTAAAGTTAATATTGTTATGTGTGAATTTGATCCTGTCATTATGATGTTAGCTTGTTATTTTGCTCGTTAGTTGATGCAGTTTCTTCATAGTCTCGATGGTCTTTACATTTTGGCATGATTTTGCAGCAACTGGTACCGGTTGTTCCTTTCCATGTTTAGCACTTCCTTCAGGAGCTCTTTTAGGGCAGGCCTGGTGGTGACAAAGTCTCTCAACATTTGCTTGTCTGTAAAGTATTTTATTTCTCCTTCACTTATGAAGCTTAGTTTGGCTGGATATGAGATTCTGGGTTGAAAATTCTCTTCTTTAAGAATGTTGAATATTGGCACCCACTCTCTTCTGGCTTGTAGAGTTTCTGCCGAGAGATCCGCTGTTAGTCTGATGGGCTTCCCTTTGAGGGTAACCTGACCTTTCTCTCTGGCTGCCCTTAACATTTTTTCCTTCATTTCAACTTTGGTGAATCTGACAATTATGTGTCTTGGAGTTGCTCTTCTCGAGGAGTATCTTTGTGGCGTTCTCTGTATTTCCTGAATCTGAATGTTGGCCTGCCTTGCTAGATTGGGGAAGTTCTCCTGGATAATATCCTGCAGAGTGTTTTCCAACTTGGTTCCATTCTCCCCATCACTTTCAGGTACACCAATCAGACGTAGATTTGGTCTTTTCACATAGTCCCATATTTCTTGGAGGCTTTGCTCGTTTCTTTTTATTCTTTTTTCTCTAAACTTCCCTTCTCGCTTCATTTCATTCATTTCATCTTCCATTGCTGATACCCTTTCTTCCAGTTGATCGCATCGGCTCCTGAGGCTTCTGCATTCTTCACGTAGTTCTCGAGCCTTGGTTTTCAGCTCCATCAGCTCCTTTAAGCACTTCTCTGTATTGGTTATTCTAGTTATACATTCTTCTAAATTTTTTTCAAAGTTTTCAACTTCTTTGCCTTTGGTTTGAATGTCCTCCCGTAGCTCAGAGTAATTTGATCGTCTGAAGCCTTCTTCTCTCAGCTCGTCAAAGTCATTCTCCGTCCAGCTTTGTTCCGTTGCTGGTGAGGAACTGCGTTCCTTTGGAGGAGGAGAGGCGCTCTGCTTTTTAGAGTTTCCAGTTTTTCTGCTCTGTTTTTTCCCCATCTTTGTGGTTTTATCTACTTTTGGTCTTTGATGATGGTGATGTACAGATGGGTTTTTGGTGTGGATGTCCTTTCTGTTTGTTAGTTTTCCTTCTAACAGACAGGACCCTCAGCTGCAGGTCTGTTGGAGTACCTGGCCCTATGAGGTGTCAGTGTTCCCCTGCTGGGGGGTGCCTCCCAGTTAGGCTGCTCAGGGGTCAGGGGTCAGGGACCCACTTGAGGAAGCAGTCTGCCCGTTCTCAGATCTCCAGCTGTGTGCTGGGAGAACCACTGCTCTCTTCAAAGCTGTCAGACAGGGACATTTAAGTCTGCAGAGGTTACTGCTGTCTTTTTGTTTGTCTGTGCCCTGCCCCCAGAGGTGGAGCTTACAGAGGCAGGCAGGCCTCCTTGAGCTGTGGTGGGCTCCACCCAGTTCGAGCTTCCCAGCTGCTTTGTTTACCTAAGCAAGCCTGGGCAATGGCGGGCGCCCCTCCCCCAGCCTCACTGCCACCTTGCAGTTTGATCTCAGACTGCTGTGCTAGCAATCAGCGAGACTCCGTGGGCGTAGGTCCCTCCAAGCCAGGTGCAGGATATAATCTCCTGGTGCGCCGTTTTTTAAGCCCGTGGGAAAAGCGCAGTATTCGGGTGGGAGTGACCTGATTTTCCAGGTGCCGTCTGTCACCCCTTTCTTTGACTAGGAAAGGGAACTCCCTGACCCCTTGCGCTTCCTGAGTGAGGCAATGCCTTGCCCTGCTTCGGCTCGCACACGGTGCGTGCACCCACTGACCTGCGCCCACTGTCTGGCACTCCCTAGTGAGATGAACCTGGTACCTCAGATGGAAATGCAGAAATCACCCGTCTTCTGTGTCCCTCACGCTGGGAGCTGTAGACCGTACCTGTTCCTATTCGGCCATCTTGGCTTCTCCTCTTATCCCAGAAATTTCTTAAGTATTTTGTTGACCTGCATACTTCCTTGAATCAAAATGTTGAGGTTAATAGCTAACCTACTGCTTGCTGCTTCTTCTAGCACTATTATATTTTAGGAACCTAATGGCATCTAAGGATTTCACCGTGTAATAACAGTGGGAATTTATTTTTCTTGGTGTTTGGAAACTCTCAGGAATTTTTTTTTCCTTTTTCTTATTTTTCTCTCCCTCTCAATTATAGGTTGAAGCTCCATTCATACCAAAGTTTAGAGGCTCTGGAGATACCAGCAACTTTGATGACTATGAAGAAGAAGATATCCGTGTCTCTATAACAGAAAAATGTGCAAAAGAATTTGGTGAATTTTAAAGAGGAACAAGATGACATCTGAGCTCACACTCAGTGTTTGCACTCTGTTGAGAGATAAGGTAGAGCTGAGACCGTCCTTGTTGAAGCAGTTACCTAGTTCCTTCATTCCAACGACTGAGTGAGGTCTTTATTGCCATCATCCCGTGTGCGCACTCTGCATCCACCTATGTAACAAGGCACCGCTAAGCAAGCATTGTCTGTGCCATAACACAGTACTAGACCACTTTCTTACTTCTCTTTGGGTTGTCTTTCTCCTCTCCTATATCCATTTCTTCCTTTTCCAATTTCATTGGTTTTCTCTAAACAGTGCTCCATTTTATTTTGTTGGTGTTTCAGATGGGCAGTGTTATGGCTACGTGATATTTGAAGGGAAGGATAAGTGTTGCTTTCAGTAGTTATTGCCAATATTGTTGTTGGTCAATGGCTTGAAGATAAACTTTCTAATAATTATTATTTCTTTGAGTAGCTCAGACTTGGTTTTGCCAAAACTCTTGGTAATTTTTGAAGATAGACTGTCTTATCACCAAGGAAATTTATACAAATTAAGACTAACTTTCTTGGAATTCACTATTCTGGCAATAAATTTTGGTAGACTAATACAGTACAGCTAGACCCAGAAATTTGGAAGGCTGTAGATCAGAGGTTCTAGTTCCCTTTCCCTCCTTTTATATCCTCCTCTCCTTGAGTAATGAAGTGACCAGCCTGTGTAGTGTGACAAACGTGTCTCATTCAGCAGGAAAAACTAATGATATGGATCATCACCCAGATTCTCTCACTTGGTACCAGCATTTCTGTAGGTATTAGAGAAGAGTTCTAAGTTTTCTAAACCTTAACTGTTCCTTAAGGATTTTAGCCAGTATTTTAATAGAACATGATTAATGAAAGTGACAAATTTTAAATTTTCTCTAATAGTCCTCATCATAAACTTTTTAAAGGAAAATAAGCAAACTAAAAAGAACATTGGTTTAGATAAATACTTATACTTTGCAAAGTCAAAAATGGCTTGATTTTTGGAAACAATATAGAGGTATTCATATTTAAATGAGGGTTTACATTTGTTTTGTTTTGTAACCGTTAAAAAGAAGTTGTTTCCAGCTAATTATTGTGGTGTACTATATTTGTGAGCCTAGGGTAGGGGCACTGCTGCAACTTCTGCTTTCATCCCATGCCTCATCAATGAGGAAAGGGAACAAAGTGTATAAAACTGCCACAATTGTATTTTAATTTTGAGGTATGATATTTTCAGATATTTCATAATTTCTAACCTCTGTTCTCTCAGTAAACAGAATGTCTGATCGATCATGCAGATACAATGTTGGTATTTGAGAGGTTAGTTTTTTTCCTACACTTTTTTTTGCCAACTGACTTAACAACATTGCTGTCAGGTGGAAATTTCAAGCACTTTTGCACATTTAGTTCAGTGTTTGTTGAGAATCCATGGCTTAACCCACTTGTTTTGCTATTTTTTTCTTTGCTTTTAATTTTCCCCATCTGATTTTATCTCTGCGTTTCAGTGACCTACCTTAAAACAACACACGAGAAGAGTTAAACTGGGTTCATTTTAATGATCAATTTACCTGCATATAAAATTTATTTTTAATCAAGCTGATCTTAATGTATATAATCATTCTATTTGCTTTATTATCGGTGCAGGTAGGTCATTAACACCACTTCTTTTCATCTGTACCACACCCTGGTGAAACCTTTGAAGACATAAAAAAAACCTGTCTGAGATGTTCTTTCTACCAATCTATATGTCTTTCGGTTATCAAGTGTTTCTGCATGGTAATGTCATGTAAATGCTGATATTGATTTCACTGGTCCATCTATATTTAAAACGTGCAAGAAAAAAATAAAATACTCTGCTCTAGCAAGTTTTGTGTAACAAAGGCATATCGTCATGTTAATAAATTTAAAACATCATTCGTATAAAATATTTTAATTTTCTTGTATTTCATTTAGACCCAAGAACATGCTGACCAATGTGTTCTATATGTAAACTACAAATTCTATGGTAGCTTTGTTGTATATTATTGTAAAATTATTTTAATAAGTCATGGGGATGACAATTTGATTATTACAATTTAGTTTTCAGTAATCAAAAAGATTTCTATGAATTCTAAAAAATATTTTTTTCTATGAAATTACTAGTGCCCAGCTGTAGAATCTACCTTAGGTAGATGATCCCTAGACATACGTTGGTTTTGAGGGCTATTCAGCCATTCCATTTTACTCTCTATTTAAAGGCCGTGAGCAAGCTTGTCATGAGCAAATATGTCAAGGGAGTCAATTTCTGACCAATCAAGTACACTAAATTAGAATATTTTTAAAGTATGTAACATTCCCAGTTTCAGCCACAATTTAGCCAAGAATAAGATAAAAACTTGAATAAGAAGTAAGTAGCATAAATCAGTATTTAACCTAAAATTACATATTTGAAACAGAAGATATTATGTTATGCTCAGTAAATAATTAAGAGATGGCATTGTGTAAGAAGGAGCCCTAGACTGAAAGTCAAGACATCTGAATTTCAGGCTGGAAAACTATCAGTATGATCTCAGCCTCAGTTCTCTTGTCTGTAAAATGGAAGAACTGGATTAGGCAGTTTGTAAGATTCCTCCTAACTTTCACAGTCGATGACAAGATTGTCTTTTTATCTGATATTTTGAAGGGTATATTGCTTTGAAGTAAGTCTCAATAAGGCAATATATTTTAGGGCATCTTTCTTCTTATCTCTGACAGTGTTCTTAAAATTATTTGAATATCATAAGAGCCTTGGTGTCTGTCCTAATTCCTTTCTCACTCACCGATGCTGAATACCCAGTTGAATCAAACTGTCAACCTACCAAAAACGATATTGTGGCTTATGGGTATTGCTGTCTCATTCTTGGTATATTCTTGTGTTAACTGCCCATTGGCCTGAAAATACTCATTGTAAGCCTGAAAAAAAAAATCTTTCCCACTGTTTTTTCTGCTTGTTGTAAGAATCAAATGAAATAATGTATGTGAAAGCACCTTGTAAACTGTAACCTATCAATGTAAAATGTTAAGGTGTGTTGTTATTTCATTAATTACTTCTTTGTTTAGAATGGAATTTCCTATGCACTACTGTAGCTAGGAAATGCTGAAAACAACTGTGTTTTTTAATTAATCAATAACTGCAAAATTAAAGTACCTTCAATGGATAAGACAATTGATTGAGTCGTGAATTCTACTTGGTGCCCTCATCTCCTGATTTATTTTCCGCTGATACAAGAGATGCTTATAGATTCCTAGTTTTTATGTGTTTGGGTTGATTTCTGGGTGGTGGGAGCAGAGCACATTGGGGAGGAATATATCCGCCAGTCTACTCACACTGGATGTTTACTAAGAAACTGCTAGATTCATTTAATAGTTTCTCAAAAGTGTTTCTACTTCTTTCTCATTTCTCATATTGGTTCAGATTACTGCTAACATAATGTTCTAAATATTCATATTTAAAGGATTTGATTCTTCAAGAGCACTCATCCTTCTATTGTAACAATGAAATATTAATTTCTAATTTTTTCTTCAGGAGTGTTTTTGAGCTTCACATTACCTCTTTTCATTTTAGACAGGTTAATTAGTGTGTATTTCCATAGTTGTCTTTTACCTCAAGAAATAATCATTTCTTTAGGTAATTATTTTAATGGCTTGCCATTTTGTATGATTGTTCTTGCAAACATTTCTATTTATGCATTTTATAACATGGAGCTTACTATTTTTATACCAGTGCTCGCTTCATTTTATCATTATCAGGGCTTAATATAAATGCAGTTTTCTCATTTCCTTGTAAAACTAATTACAAAAATCTAGGTATGTCTTTACTGAAGAACTATCATCATTTGAAATCTATTTAGCTGTAAATTTTCTCTTGTGCACAAATACTGGATGTGAAGTTAAGTACTTTTCATTTAAGCTTTCCTGAAGATTTTCCATATGCTTATTTAATAGCCTTTATGCCTGTTGTTATGACCTGGATTGTGAACTGTGAACAAAATTCATACTGAAATTCTAACCACTAGTACCTCAGCATGTGATTGTTTTAGGAGGTAAGGCCTTTGAAGAGGTAATTAAAGTAAAATGAGGTCATATGGGAAGACTTCATCCAAGATGACTGATGTCCTCATAAGAAGCACACAGACAAAGGGAGGACCACGTAAAGACATAGGAAGAAGATGACCATCTATAGGGCAAGGACAGAGGCCTCCAAAGAAGCTGACTTTGCCAACATCTTGACTTGGGACTTCTAGACTCAAGAATTGTGAAAAATAAATTTCAGTTGTTTAAGCTGCCCAGTCTGTGATACTTCATCATGGCAGCCATAACAAACTATAATACACCCGCTGAGCTAAGTATTCTCATGGTGAAAGACTTGCATTGATTTCCCTTCATATGCTTTATACGTGGGCAAAACTGAATTTACCACAGGCAAAAAAAAAAATCAGTGTGGTCACAAACCTCAGTGCACCTGCTATCTTGTTTCTATTCTTCCTGGAATACAAGCAGGAAGTAGGAAACAGTAGCCACTGAGATACTGGGAGTAAGGGAAGGCATGAGTAACTCAAACCACTACTACTTCCAGGTCAGACTTACCCATGGAAGGATAGCCCTTCTCTCAAAGCAGTGCTAATATAACATAAAATTAAGCACACCAGATTCATTGAGTTTACAGTCTCTGCTCATCTTTTAGTGGTGATACTAACAATGAAATGGCCAAAAGGAAAGTGGGAGTGCAAATAAAGGGTTAATGAGAATACCCCAGCTGGTTCTTCCTCTCCTGATTATCAGAGGTTAGTAATGCTCACAGCAAATGATGACCTTAATGTATTAGTTTTCTACTGCTGCTCTAACAAGTCTCCACAAACTTAGTAGCTTAAAACAACATAAATTTATTTTCTTACAGTTCAGGAGTTCTAACAACCAAAATAAGCCACACTGGGTTAAAATCAGGGTGTTGGCAAGCATGCATTTCTTTCTGTAGGCTCTAGGGAAGAAGCCATTTCCACATCTCTTCCACCTTCTAGAGGCCACCTGCTTTCCTTGACTCATGATGCCATTCCTCCATCTTCAAAGCCAGAAACATTGGGCCAAGTCCTTCTCATGCCGCATCACTCTCCGCATCACTCTCACTTTCTCTTCTGCCTCCCTGTTTCACTTTTAAAGACCCTTGTGATAATATTAGACCCACCTCAGTAATCCAAGTTAATCTCCCTATTTTATCTATTTATTATTTTTAAAAATTTATTTTTTATTTCAATAGGTTTTTGGGGAACAGGTGGTGTTTAGTTACACGAATAAGTTCTTTAGTGGTGATTTCTGAGATTTTGGTGCCCTCATCACCCAAGCGGTGTACACTGTACCCAGTGTGTAGTCTTTTATCCCTCACACCCCTCCCACCCTTTTCCCCGAGTCCCCAAAATCTATTGTATCACTCTTATGCCTTTGTGTCCTCATAGCTTAGCTCCCAATTGTGAATGAGAACATATGATGTTTGGTTTTCTATTCCTGAGTTACTTCACTTAGAATAATAGTCTCCAATCCCATACAGGTTGCTGCAAATGCCATTAATTCATTCTTTTTTATGGCTGAGCAGTATTCCATGGTGTATATAAACCACATTTTCTTTATCTACTCATTCATTTTTGGGCATTTGGGCTGGTTCTGTGTTTTTGCAATTGCGAATTGTGCTGCTGTAAACATGCATGTGCAAGTATCTTTTTCATATGACTTCTTTTCCTCTGGGTAGATACCCAGGAATGGGATTGCTGGATCAAATGGTAGATCTACTTTGAGTTCTTTAAGGAATCTCCGCACTGTTTTTCATAGTGGTTGTACTAGTTTACATTCCCACCAACAGTGTAAAAGTGTTCCCTTTTCACCGCATCCACGCCAACATCTATTTTTTTTTTTCCATTATGGCCATTCTTGCAGGAGTGAGGTGGCATTGCATTGTGGTTTTGATTTGATTTCCCTGATAATTAATGATGTTGAGCATTTTTCCATATGCTTGTTGGCCATTTGTACATATTCTTTTGAATGTGTCCTTAGGCTACTTTTTGGTGGGATTTTGTTTTGTTTTGTTTTGTTTTGAGACAGAGTCTCGCTCTGTCTCCCAGGCTGGAGTACAATGGCGCGATCTTGGCTCACTGCAACCTCTGCCTTCTAGGTTCAAGTGATTTTTCTGCTTCAGCCTCCCAAGTAGCTGGGATTACAGGCATGCACCAGCACGCCCGGCTAATTTTTTGTATTTTTAGTAGAGACGGGATTTCACCATATTGGCCAGGCTAGTCTTGAACTCCTGACCTCAAGTGATCCACCTGCCTCAGCCTCCCAAAGTGCTGGGATTACAGGCGTGAGCCACCATGGCTGGCTGGGATTGTTTGTTTTTTACTTGCTGATTTGAGTTCTTTGTAGATTCTGGATATTAGTCCTTTGTCGGATGTATAGATTATGAAGATTTTCTCCCACTCTGTGGGCTGCCTGTTAACTCTGCTGATTATTTCCTTTGCTGTGCAGAAGCTTTTTAGTTTAATTAAGTCCCATCTACTTATCTTTGTTTTTGTTACATTTGCTTTTGGGTTCTTGGTCATGAAGTCTTTGCCTACGCCAGTGTCTAGAAGAGTTTTACCGATGTTATCTTCTGGAATCTTTATGGTTTCAAGTCTTAGATTTAAGTCTTTGATCCATCTTGAATTGATTTTTGTATAAGGTGAGAGATGAGGATCCAGTTTCATTCTTCTACATGTGGCTTGTCAATTATCCCAGCACCATTTGTTAAATAGGGTGTCTTTCTCTCACTTTATGTTTTTGTTTTGCTTTGTCGAAGATCAGTTGGGTGTAAATGCTTGGCTTTATTTCTGCGTTCTCTATTCTCTTCCCTTGGTCTATGTGCTTATTTTTATACCACTACCATGTTGGTACTGGTTTTATAAACTTCTTAATAATAATATGACTGGTACTGATTTTTTTTTAATCTGAAGTATATTTGTTTGGCTCTCTATTCGTCATGACCTCTGTAACAAAATTATTCTATTAATACATTTTCTCAGTTGAAATACCAAGAATGGTTTTTATTTTCCTGACTGGACAACCAATTGACATTTCCAGTGTTACCACTCCCTTCTACGTTGTACTGAATAATCCTAGCCATCACTCTATGAAAAGAAACAACAATGGTAAAATGAAGACCATTCCAAATGAAAGAGAATATTTACTACCAATAGATTCTCATTAAGGAATTCCAAAATTGTGCTTTAGGAAAATGGTCCCACAAAGAAGAAACAGCCTCAGGGAAATCTGAAGGAAAGAAATAAAAAAAGAGAAACAAACCCCCCAAATAAACATCATTAGGAATAAGAATTTAGCTACAGAATAGCTTGTAAAACTTAGAAGAGAATTGTGGTCAGGTTAAAACTTTAAAAACACAAACCCATCCTTTCCTCCCTCCACTCTCCCTCCCCAAACACGCTGATACAATGATAGAGCATGTTTTAAAATATCTTTAATGACATACATTGCACTCAGAACAAGATAAACGTCTCCAGACACCAGACGCAGAATGGAAATGGTGTTAAGTGGTGGCTGAAGCCACAGACACTAATATACAGAAAAGGCTTTTATTATAGTGAGATAATTTCAGCAAATGCAAAATAAAAAGATTAAAGAAAATTCAGAGATGGTAATGGATATTGAAAACAAAGATGATCCACAGTTAGTATAAGAAGCTAATAAATACAATAGAAAAATTATTCAAATATATCATACAGAAAGTTCATCTCCAAAATGAAAGAAGAACTAAATTTACATGCTGAAAGAACACCTGTTTTTCAGGAAAAATTGACATACTGCTTTCAACACCAAACCATATTCTGGTGAAGGTTTTGCATTTTAACAATTAAAATATTATGCATAAAAATCAACCCCCAAGACTGGGGGTGGGGGTGGGGAGGGAACCAGGCTGGCCTCAGAAGTCTCCACAATAATATTCCATGCCAAAAGATAATTACATAATGGCTATAAAGTTCTAGGGAAAAGAAAGTATAAGCCAAGAATATTATACCCAGCCAAGTTGCATTTAATTTAAAGGCACAAAGCAGACACCTTTAAATATCAAAAAGAAAAATTATAGAAAACCAAATGAAGAATGTAGTAATATAGAAGCAGTGATGTAAAGCTTGTGGTAAACTCTGAATCTGTCTTAATGTAGTTCTAATTATAAGCACCTATGATGATTACAATCATAGAACTGAATGTAAATGTTTTAAACCTTGGCAAACTTAGAATAATATAACTAACAAAGTTGGAAGGTAGAGAAAGAAAGAAGTGAGAGAAGGTAGAAAACTTCTAACATCCATACATTTTATAGCAGGATGTCAATTAATGGAGTCTAAAATTGAAGTGGATTAAATAAGATAATAACTCTAACCTCTCAATTTTTTCTTTATGGTTTTGTAATTTTTTTGTGAGGAAGGAACATATATAAACAGTTTTCATTTTCCCTTCAACTTCTTTTCCTTGCGTTAAATTTATTTTCATTTCAGTTTTTTCTAGTGAATTAGATTTTGTAATATAGACAAAATTAAACTGAACACTTTATATTAAAAAGTATAAGCCAGGCGCCAGTGGCTCACGCCTGTAATCCCAGCAGGTTGGGAAGCCAAGGCGGGTGGATCACAAGGCCAAGAGATCGAGACCATCCTGGCCAACACTGTGAAACCCTGTCTCTACTAAAAATACAAAAATTAGCTGGGCTTGGTGGTGTGCACCTGTAGTCCCAGCTACTCAAGAGGCTGAGGCAGGAGAATCACTTGTACCTGGGAAGTGGATGTTGCAGTGAGCTGAGACCACGCCACTGCACTCCAGCCTGGGCAACAGTGTGAGACTCTGTCTCAAAAAAAAAAAGTATAATACAATTTTATAAAATCAGTGCTATCTGGAAGAGCAGCAGTGGCGACCGGAGTGGTAGGAGCAGCAATTTATCCGTGTGCAGCCCCAAACTGGAAAGAAGATGCTAATTAAAGTGAAGACACTAACTGGAAAGGAGACTGAGATTGATATTGAACCTACAGACAAGGTGGAGTGAATCAAGGAGCATGTGGAGGAGAAAGAGGGAATCCCTCCACAACAGCAGAGGCTCATCTACAGTGGCAAACATGAATGATGAGAAGACAGCAGCTGATTACAAGATTTTAGGTGGTTCAGTCCTTCACCTGGTGTTGGCTCTGAGAGGAGGAGGTGGTCTTAGGCAGTGATGGACCCTCCATTTTACCTCCCTACCCTGTCGCTCGTAATGAGGCATCATATATCCTCTCACTCTCTGGGACACCAGAGCCACTGCCCCCTCCCTTGGATGCCCAGTAATGTATGTCTACTGGTGGGAGACTGTGAGGACACCAGGATTCAGTATTCCTGGCCCAGAGGGCCCTTGCTGACTATTGGATGTTAGTTTGGAGTCCTGTGTGCTTCTCTCTCTTATGGCTGTGTCCCTGGTTGTCAATAAAATATTTCCTGGCCTCCTGGAAAAAAAAAAAAAATTAGTGCTATCTAGTTAGGTACCTCTCTACCTCTCTACCCTTCTGTCTCAATATGTGCACCGAGAATAGTGTAATAATGTTATCAATGGTATGAGATTTGAGGTTATTTCCTAATTCTTCCCTTATACCTTGTTGAGTTGTTTGCATTCTTTGTAATGATAAAGTAATTAATCAAAGATAAAAATAAACACGCCCAATAACAGAGCATTGATTTAATACATTTTTTTTAGATCATCAATCTTGTAAGAGTCCTACTCTTAACAAGCCATTTTCACCAGAGTTCAGTCTTAAGAAATCTTGATTCTTTAATTTCTTTTTTTTTTTTTTTTTTTTTTTTTGAGACAGAGTCTCGCTCTGTCACCCAGGCTGGAGTGCAGTGGTACAATTTCGGCTCACTGCAACCTCGTACTCCCAGGATCAATTGATTCTCCTGCCTCAGCCTCCCAAGTAGCTGGGATTACAGGCATATGCCAACACTCCTGGCTAATTTTTTTGTATTTTTAATAGAGATGGGGTTTCACCATGTTGGCCAGGCTGGTTTCGAACTCCTGACCTCAGGTGATCCATCCTCCTCAGCGTCCCTAAATGCTAAGGTTGCAAGCGTGAGCCACCGCACCCAGCCTGATCCTTTAATTTCAAGATGGAAAATGTGATACTACATCATCAATATGCTTTTGTGCAAGCCACCAGATGTCACTAAAATGGCTTCTCTAGCATTATTATTGCCATGAAGAAATGTTTCCTCTCATTCTTCATATCTCAAACTCGTGAGAACCCTTTCTTTTAACAGCCAGACCACCGTCATGTGAGGGAAAAAAAAAACCCTCTTATCTTCACTGCCAATTTCTTCACCACAATATGCTAAAAACACGTAATCAACACAACCAACTTTTTATTAAAGTTTTTACTATTTTTTAAATAGTGAGTCAAAGTCAGGAAGCACATGGCTGAGTTGGACTGTTTTCTGTCAATAAATCATGTGGTTAATTGGACATCCAAAAAAAAGCCTCTTTTATTCAAGTAGCAATGTCCTTCTTTGTCACTTACTTATCTGTTGATAACCTTATTCCTGTTTATACCATGGTTCAGAAAATAATCACTAACCAAACAGAAGTTTTTTTCCATGTGATAAAAAGCTGCTGAGTGTTTTTCCTTCATATATCACCAGCTCCTAAAATCCAATTCAGAATCTACTCATCAGCCATCTTACCTAGCTTTAAGGTAAAAATACATTGCTCTAGATTATATGCCACTGATAAGCTTTTTCTAATTTTGCTTTCCCTCCATAGATATCACTTGTCAGTTATTTGGGACTGGTTTTACAGATTTCCTAATAATAGTGTGTCCAGTACTGATTTTTGCTAAGGAGTTAGACTTTGAATCGTGCTTTTGTACTTCTGGAATTGATAGTGATCAAACACACTCTCCCTAGCAAGTGGCGGACCACACAATGAAAAGTCGTTTTTGCAAAAACAGAACAGCAGCTGACTCTCATAACCAGGAAGGCTGAGGAGGGACTTCTGTCCAATAAGATCTAAAAGATCAGAAGATATAATCAGAACTCTGCCTTTCTCTCTCCACCTCTGGGCCATGCTTTCCTCAGAATTGACTTCATCCTCAATAAGCACTCTCCATGGGGCAGAAAATGAAACCACCAGCTACTCCAGACTCACACTTTCAAAAGAGTTTTGGTCCCAGTTAAAGGAGAAGGAAGTCTCCTGCACTATATCAAGCCCGAAAAGGGACTCTGATTGTCCAGCCTGGGTCAGAGCCTGCTTCTGTGGCTGGACAAAGAGAAATACATGATTGAAAGCCTCATCAGAATTATGTGCATTGGGAGAGGGGTAGTCCTCCAAAGAAAGATGTGCTGGTCAGACAAGAAAATAGCCGATGTTCACTAAAATCTCTTCTTCACCTTTAAAAATAAAACCCAACAATTTTGTATAGAAAATAATTATTTTAAAATAAAATAATTATTTCCTGTTGTTTTGGGAAAACTTTATGGGTTGATGAGGGTGATAGATGTAACATTTCACTGATACCATACCACTTGTTAAGAAATTATCCTAATAAACAACATGATGGATGAGAAGCAAATAATTGCCCAATCCTACAAGATCTTGCTCTCAAATATTTATGACTTTTTCCTCCTCCTCCCACTTTTATTTTTCTACCACTTGTGAGAAATCATGAAACTCAAAGATTTGTTTCTCCTAATACATAGATTCAAAATTAATATTCTCAATAGAATCAGCTTCACAATTTAGGATTTAAAAATTATTATGAGTTAAAAGTATCAATTTCATTATATTCATCACCACTTTTATCTTTTAATAAAAATTTTGAAGACTTTTTAACAATAAGACATTTAACAATAACGTAATTAATGTGAAATATTATTCAAAACAAACTATACTTTGTTAAGTGAATGTTATTTTAGGGAAAATGACTAAACACTTGTGGGACATTATGGCAGTTCTAAACTTGTTTGCAGATTCTTTGACATTCCTCCTATTGAGAAGAGGGGACATTTCTCCTATTTTCCCTCCCTTTGAACGTGTGCTTACCTTGTTGACTTACTTCTAACCCATATAGTGCAGGAGAAGCAATAGTGTGACTTATAAAAGCTGGGTCATAAAAGAATAATACAGCTTCAACCTTGTTTACTGAGATACTCTAATTCGGAGATCTGAGTCACCATACAAGAAGTTCAACTATCGTGCTTACGTCAGCAGCACATATACTAAAACTGAAAGAAGTTCAACTATCGTGAAGCACAATGCTGTGAGAAAGCCCAGGCCAAACGTAGAAGCCGTACATAGTATTCACAGCAGTAGTATCTTCATGTGAAATCTGAACCAATGGCCAGCATATGTAAAGATTCCTCCAGATGATACCAGCCCCATCCGTTGAGTCACCCCCAGTGGTCAGTGATCCCAGCTGAGGCCTCAGGCATCCTGGGGCAGAGATAAGCCATTTCTTTTGTTACCTGTTTAAATTTGCGATCCATGAAATTTCTAAACATCAAAAACTGATTGTTTTAAGAGGCTAAAGTTTAGAGTAATTTGCTAGGCAGCAATAGATAAGTGGAACAGATATGCCGAACTGTTAAGCATGTAATGGGTAAAATGACAGTAAAATTCTGTTGTGTACACATCAGCTGGGCAAAAACTGAACAGCCTAATGATATAACTATAGCAAAGACGTGGAGCAATCAAAAAAAGCTCTCATACGCTGCATTGGAAATGTAAATTGGTCAACCATTTTAAAAGGAAAACTTGGCAAAATCTAGTATTAATAACATTGCCTAAGCACATGTCCTGTGACCACATGTTTCACTTATAGAAATATAGCCTAGGAAAACTCATTTGTCTACTAGGAGATAGGTATTTAAAATGTTCTTTGCAAAATTATTTGTAGTAGCAAAAAATTGGAAGCAATCTAAGTAGCCATGGAAATGAAAATGAATAAATAAGTAGAGGTAAATTTACATGATTAAATTATATACAGGTGAGAAAATAATGAATTAGACCTACAAACATCAATATGGATAAACTTCAGAAGTATAATGCTGAATGGAAAAAAGATAATTGCAGAAAATTTTCTAAATATACAGTTTATGTAAAGTTTGATTTCTTATGAAATAAGACTATTATTATTACTATAATATTTAAGGATATACATATATGTAGCAGCATAGTGGTTAATTAATTGCAAAGATTATGAAGCCAAACTAACTGGGTTCAAATTGTACATGAACACCAACTGTGTGTCTGTGGAAGAGTTACTTAATCTCTATGGACTCTTCTCACCAGCAAAATGGACCAGCCTAACCAACGTGGTGAAACTCCGTCTCTACTAAAACCACAAAAATTAGCTGGGCCTGGGGGTGGATGCCTGTAATCCCAGCTACTCAGGAGGCTGAGACAGGAGAATCACTTGAACCCGGGAGGCGGAGGTTGCAGTGAGCCGATATCGCACCATTGCACTCCAGCCTGGGCGAAGAGAGTGAACTCCGTCTCAAAAAAAAAAAAAGGGAATAATAATAATAATAATAATTATACCTATCTTATAGAAGATATAAGAAGTTAGCATTTTTAAAGCTCTTGCAAGAGTGCCTGGAACATTAAAGTGCTCCTTTGGCTAATATTGTAAATTGAAAAATTAAAAGAAGTGCATGGAAATGATAAACACCAAATGAAGGGTAATGGTTACCTATAGGGTGGAGAAAAGAAAAGAAATGGAGATGAAACTCAGGAGCTGGGGGCACAGGAATTATCCTGTGTATTATTCTATTTTATTTTATTATTAGTGCTTCCTTTCTTAACCCGGATGACACATATAAGGATGTTAATTGTATTTGTGTACATTTCTGTGTACCTTAAATATTTCATAATAATTATTGAAAACAACAAGGACTATGAGATTTCTGGGAAAATCTTAACCAAATGATCATATTAAATCTAAAAAATGACACTTCTGGACTGAGACAATGTGGAAATGCTTCTATCAATAAATAAAAACATAGAAATGCTGGGCAAAACAGAACAACAGCTCAAATGCTCAGAAATTTTCAAAAAAAAAATAAAGAAAATTTCCAGGTGCTATAAGTGAAAGGGGTACTCAAAGCCATGGTGCAAGCCAAAGCTGATACTCTTGTGGTTCATGGAGATAGTGAAGTGGCTAGAAGCTCTAGGAACTGGCCATTGGAGTTTTATTGCCCACTAGGTCAAAAGATGTTGCCTTAGGCACACACAAAAAGAGTAACGGTGATGGATACTTGTGCATTAAACTTGCAGTCTAAAAACTGAATATCAATGAAAAGGGTACTAGAAGTATCCAACCTTCATCCTTGGCCAATGGCAGAAAAGAAGTTTGTCATTTGGTGGTAAAGGTAGGGAAAAAAAAAAAAAAAGTTCGAGAAATCACATCTCCAAGCCTGGAACTTACAGAAATATGGGATCAAATGTACAGTGTGAGACTTCAAGCAGAGCAATTGATATAGACACTTGTCTGGCTAGTTAAACCCCTTTGTCAGATACAAATGCAAATTCTTATGATGGTCATGCTTTCATAACCCAATATTTCGCCTGAAAAAATAAACCTAAAAACTGATGTTAAAAAACTTGCAAATCACATAAGGAAATCAACTATCATAAGGGAAAGTTGGCAAATATAAAAAAAAAAAAAAGGAAATCAGCACTCCAAAAATTTGAGGAAATAAAACAAAAAACAAAGTAATTTATCTTACTAAATTTTTAAAGGATGGAAGACTGGGAAAAGAACCAAATGGAAATTCTAGAAACAAAACATAACCATTGGGAAGTAAAACAGAAGACTATTGCGTAGCTACCTATACACAAATGAAGACAGATCTTGCAAACTGGAAAGAAATGAATAAACAACTCAAATGCAGCATAGAGAGGTTAAAAGTGTGTAAAATATAATAGTTTAAGAGACTTGTAGGATAAAATACTTTCTAGTCCTGCTGTTATGTTTTCACCTGAATTTCTTGTCCTTGAACTCCTGTTTCAAACCCACTATTTCTTACATTCTACATCTTTCACATATTTATATTGGTTGTTTTCCTCCAATCTCCAAGCAACTGTGTGAAAAGTTACCTCTCTCATTTTTTTTACATTGTTTCACCTTCTATTCACTTGCCTTTCCTTGATTCAGATTCCTAATATGGTTTTATTTGCCATTTACATTTTTTCTACTAATTGTTTATGTTCTTTGTTCTAATTTGTGTTTGGGTTGTCTTTCGCAAGAGCTATTTTATGTATACCAGAGAGTAATCTTTTGTAGTACATATTGCAACATTTTTTCCAGAATATTATTTATTTTTAAATTTTGTTAGTGGAGCATTTTGCTTCATAAATTTTAAATTTATGGTTTAAGACAGATCTAGTGGTGATGAATGCTTTTAGCTTTTGTTTATCTGCAAAAGCCTTTATTTTTCCGTCATTTCTGAAGAACAGGTTTGCCAGGTAAAGAATTCTTGGTTGGCAGGTTTTTTCCTCAACACTTTGAATATATCATCTTATTCTCTTCTGGCCTGCAAGATTTCTGCTGAGGAATCCCATAATAATTGAACTAGGGCTCCCTTGTATGTAGTATGTTTCTTTTCTCTTGCTGCATTCAGAATTCTTTCTTTGTCTTTGAATTTTGATAGTTTGATTAATCTCTCACTGAACTCTTCCTTGCGTTGAATTGATGGTACATAAGGAGAACTCATTTTTTTTAACACTAGAAACATTTTGTTTTGTATTACAAGCAGAACAATGGTTCCTCAAATATGCCCATGTCCTAATCCTTGAAATCTGTGAATATATTGCTTTACATGGCAAAAAGGAATTTGCATATGTGATTAAAGTTAGGAAATTTTATTTTATAATTTCAAAATTTATTTTATAATTTCAACATTTATTTTAGATTAAGGAATATGCACGTAGGTTTGTTACATGGCTATATCGTGTAATGCTGAGGTTTAGGGGTGAATGATCCCATCACTCAGGTAGTGAGCACTGTACCCAATAGGTACTTTTTCATCCCTTGCTCTTCTCCTCTCCTCCCTCTAGTAGTCCCCAGTGTGTATTGTTCCCATATTTATGTCACGTTTACCCAGTGCTTAGCTCCCGCTTATAAGTGTGAACATGCCATATTTGGTTTTCTTCTCCTGTCTTAATTCACTTAGGATAATAGCCTGATTATGAAATTTTAGATGGGGAGATTATCCTGGATTTTCCAGGTAGGCCCAGTTGAATCCTATGAGTTCTTAATAACAGAGAACCTTTCCAGGCTATGGTCAGAGATAGATGTGATGCTGGAAGAAGATATAGAGAAATTCTGTGTTTGTTGGTTTTCAAGATGGAGGAAGGGGACCATAAAACAAAGAGAGCAGGTGGTCTCTAACAGCTGGAAAGGGCAAATAAACGAATTCCTCCCTAGAGCCTCCAAAAAGAACCAGTCCTACTGACACCTTGCTTTTAGCCCAATGAGACCCATGGCAGATTTATGCCTTAAGAACTATAGTAGATCTGTGTTGTTTTAGGCCACTAAGTCTGTAGTAGTTCTTATAGTAGCAGCTGTGTACTAGCTGCAGTCTGAGAGAAGCGGAGTTATGATATTGACATGTAGCCCTGCCGTAAAAAAATATTTCCACACTTAAAATTGCATAAATTTATTTTTGGTTCTCAACCTTTTAGAATCAACCTACATATAATGTAAAATAAGACTAAAATATGGTTACAGAACAGAAGATAAACATTAATGATCCAAATGACAGAAATTACAAGGTGGAAGACGTAACAGATGGAAGAGGGCCTCTGTCTTACAAAATTAGAGCTCAGAGACATCACTGAACGTTAATAGAACAAGAAAGAGATATTTAAGTAGGTATGAAGTTACACAAAGGTATCCACAAAAGAACTAAAGATATTGGTGTTGACTATTAAAAATAATTAGGATGAAGAAGGAGAGGGGGACTTGGGGATATAAGATAATATCTAGAAAGGAAAAATCAGCAAATAGCAATATGAATGTAATTGAGTCACAAAGTTTATTTCACATTTCACTCAGGGCAGAGAAAATGTAGCTCCTTTACTTTATCCCTTATCAGTCTGGCTTTTCTCCCAAGCCCCCACCAGCTGGCTAAGGGAGGAAATAATTAGTGTTTATACTATTCATTTTCAAGCATAATCCAGTCTGATAAATCAAGCATCTTCTTAGAAAATAGTCTCTCAGAGAACACCTCTTCCACCTGACTCTTCAACTAAGATGACATGTTTGCAGGTAGGGAGAGGGCAGGGTTTATCTGTATATCCTCATTGCATGGGGGAAAAGGGGCCTTGCCTTGTGCTGGACTTTGGGAGTGACTGGCCAGCATCTGCAGCTGTTTGGCATAAGACCCATGTATGCCCTGCATTTTTCATTTCCTTTGTTAAGCTCTTCCACATGCCAGGCACTATGCTAGGCACTGGTCTAAGTCATTGCACTTTCCCATAAGTTATCCCAGTCTGCTTCAGGCCCCTTGAGTTCCCCTTCCTCTCAGCTTACAGCATGTTTTGTCCACACTAGACATTTGGCTGACCACTGCAGTGGTTCTCAGGTACAATGGCTCTGAGCACATGAATGTACTGTCATCTGTTGTGAGACAGCAGTTGGTATTTAGTTACTAATAACTAAAACACCAAAGATCCTCATTGATTTATTGTGATTTAACATTAAAGCAGATTTGAGTAATCCCTTTAACAGCATTTTCCTAGTTACTTGCATTCTAGTACAACACACTTTCCTGCATGGGCAAAAAAAGAATGATAGCTATGGCCCCACAAATACCCAGGGGAGTGTATCACACATGAGATCACCATCATTGTGTGCGTGATTGTAGATATGTGTGGAATTGCTGACGTGCTTTTTTGAGACAGCTCCTGTATTATCACATTGCCTTTTCCTCACTGTCTGTGTCACATCAGGTAGTGTGAACCTGGCAGGCAGGGGCTGGGTCTTAGGCCTCTTTGGATCAACCTGCAGTTTCTTCACATAATATATAGTGACTGATTGCCCAAATGTTGGGCTGAGAATACTCTGAACCCATTGGCCCAATAAGGTTATAAGTGGGTGGGTAATATTAGCTGTTGATTCTGGTACACAAACCCCAAAATTTGATTTTTACAACTGTATCAGCAGTAGCAAAAATGGAACAAGCATGGACTTTAAGATAGCATCTCCCTAGAACCATATCTTGGCTCTATCATCTACTGGTTGTGTAAAATTGAGCTAGTGACTTAGCCTCTCTGATCCCCACTCTCCTCATTTGTAAAATGGAGATTAAAAATGCTAATACAATTAAAATACATTTAGAAAGGAAAACCATCTAGAACATGTCTTGGTTCATAGTAGGTATCCAGTGGACATTCATTCTTTTCTCTTTCCCTCAAGGAAGACAGGTAGATAATATGCTCAGGGACACAGGGAAGATAAAACTTCAAAATCAAAAATGTGGCGTTTAGTAACTATGTACGTCCAGGATCTGGTTTTTCTTTTCTGCACCTGGCATCTGCCCTACAGTTGGACAGACTGAGTGCCTGGGGGAGCACCCTTGAGGCTGATCTTCGGCCCAGCTCTTCTAGTCGGTCTACAGGCTTTGCTGGCTGGGCTCCCTGTGAAGACAAGTGCCCCTTTATGCCTGTTCCTTCCATTTTTAGACGGATGACTAATCCTGTCTCCGTCTGAGAGAGCAATGCTGTGTAAACTGTGGTCCTTGCCCAGATCTATGACTGTATTGCAGAATCCTGCAAGGTTCACAGGGTGCTGGCACTTCCTGAGATGGCATCACCATGGGATTAAAAGCCTGACCTGGAGTGGCCTTCCCCTGTGCACTCTACACAGGAGGCTTCATACCTGGACAGGAACACCTGGGAACACCAAGGAAACACGGAGGAAATAAGCAAAGCCAAATTCCACTCCTGTTAACCCTTTTATCCCTTCTGAAAAATCCCCTTATATGAAACATTAGCCAAGGGTTGTTATTTTGTCTGGGTTATGGGGAAAATCATGTTATTCTAGAAAGGAAATGAAGTGGCATCTCTTGGCAGCCAATTTTGAATTCTGCATTTGAAATCACTCGAAGCACTTCTGCGGCTGGTGGAATATAGCAACTTGTTCAAAGAGAGGAACGAGAAACTCATCAAAGAATTACACCTCCTTGGGGGTAATTTTGATCATAAACAGGACAGATGCCATCTGTCTAGTATGACTTCATTCATTCACTTGTTCATTCAGAAACATTACTAGGCATGTCCATTGTGAGGGCCCTGTGCTAAGTACTCCTAATACAAAGACGCTAAGACACAAAGATGGGAGACATGCATGTGAACAAAAAATTAAAGTCACATGAGATGGGTGCAATAAAAACTCATAATCAAAACACAGTGATAGCCTGGAGAAAGGGCTGTGGAAGTTGCATCAAGGAAAGAGTCAGGGAACAGTTCACAAAGAGCTGGCCTTTTGTTTAAGGATGAGTAGGTCTCCATGCATATCAATGAGGAAGGGCATACCAGTCAGAGAGAACAGCAAGTGTTCTCTTATACCCTTATGTATAGGGAGCTGCAACTAATGTTCTGTAATACTGGAACACCAGATAGCAATGAGAAAGTGGTAAGAAATTAGGTTGGAGGGTAATGCAGAGTCATATCATAAGAGGCGTGGAATGCCATACTAAGGACTTTGGACTTCATCCTGTACATTGTTGGAAACCACTGAAGGATGTTAAGTAGAGGAGAGACATGATGTGATCTGAGCTGCCTTTTAGAGATTAGGTTGTTTTATGAACTGAATGTGTTCCCCAAAAATTCATAGGTTGAAATTGAATCCCCAATGTGATGGTATTTGGAGGTGGGTCCTTTGGGAGGTGATTAGGTCATGAGAGTGGAGCCCTCATAAATGGGACCATTGCCCTTATAATAAGAGGCTTGAGAGCTAACTGGCTTTCCTTCTGCCATGTGAAAATAGTAATAGTCATGTCTTCAAGTCTGTAACCTGGAAGAGACCCCTCACCAGAATCTGACTGTGAGGACACTCTGATCTCAGATGTCCAGCCTCTAGAACTGTGAGAAATAAATGTCTTGTTTATAAGCCACCCAGTCTACAGTGTCTTATTATAGCAGCTGAAGCTGACTGACTAAGGCAGGCTGAAATCAGAAAGAAGAATGGATCCTAACAGATGAATTAAAAGAGAGTTGTTATAATCCAGTAAAGAGGTAATCAAGGCCCTAGGTAATGTGCAAAGAAGGGAATGGATTGCAGGAGTTGGAGACCATTGGATTAGCAAGCAAGAGACTCTCAGGTTTTAGGCTTGAGCAGCAGGTTTGTATAGGGAGATAATAAGTCAGTGTGGCTGTCCAGCATGTAGTTGGAGATGTTGTTCTCAGCTTATCATAGAGGTCTGGCTGGACTGATAGGCTTACAAGTCATTGTGCACACTACATTATCCTTAGACATAATGTGATCATTTCCAAGGGGAGCAAAAAGAGCAGAGGTTACAAATGGACAACCCAAGGCCAAATACAGCAGCAGATATGTTTGGTTTGGCCTGCATAATGCCTTGAAATATTTAAATTCATTGCCAACATTTAAAAGTTGGGGGACATATTAAAGAAAATCTAAAGTTTTAGCTCTTCCAAAAAAATCAGATCTGGCAATGCTGGGCCCACATTCTCACATAGCAAAAATGAGCATCCAGTTCAACACTTGTGTTTCCCTATCCAGCTTCACTCACTTACACTGCCTGTTGGCCCCTGTAGGTCTGAGTTTGCAAAGAGAGGGCTACAGAAGAACAATAATAAAGAGGCTTTAGCAATAGAAGGCCCCCCACAAAAATGTCCATGGCCAAATCCCCAGAATCTGTGAATAGCTTATGAGGCACGGCAAAGAGCAAATGAAGACAGCAGATGAGATTAAGGCTGCTCATCAGCTGACCTTAAAACAGGGAGAGTATTCTGGCTTCCCCAAGTAGGCCCAATATCATCACAAAAATCTTTAAGGAGGACTTGGCCCGGATGTTGCTGGCTTTGAAGATGGAAGAATAGAAGAACCTTAAAAATGAAAAAGGGAGGAAGAAAAGCAGGTAGAGAAAGAGTTGTGAGTACAGAAGCGCAGTCAGAGCAGTGCGATGCAAGAAAGACTTGGCCAGCCATTACGGGTTTTGAAGATGGAAGAGGACCACGAACTGAGAATGTGGGCAGCCTCTAGAAGCTGGGAAAGGGAAGGAAACATTCTCCTCTAGAGGCTCCAGAAGGAATGCAGCCCAGCCAACACCTAGATTTTAGCCCAGTCAGCCCTGGATGGAACTTCTAACCTACCAAATTATAAGATAGCAACTTTGTGTGACTTCAAGCCACTAAGTTTGAGGTAGTTTAGCAACCCTAGAAAACTAATGCATGGCTGGTGGGAAAGCAGAAGCCAGGGGAAGAGATTGACAAAAAACCAGAAAGAGAGGAGAGAACCAGGAATGCAGTTAGAGAATCAAGACATGGCCCATTTTCAAGAATGAGATACCATCAAATGACACTGAGATGTCAAGTCCAGTTATGATGGCAAATGATGAACTGTATCAATGATCAAACCTAGAGGCACATCAGAATCACCCAAGGACATTGTCAGAAAGACCAATTCCCAGGTTCACTGCAGGCTACTGCTCTAGACTCTGATATACAGCCAGTGAGATGGGCTGGTGTTTTATTAGCTAAATGAGCACTTCACACTGTTGACTTAATAATGCCCACTTTTAAGGCTCCTTGTGGCCTTTTAACAGAAGAAAACCCATTTAAAATTTAATAGCACATTCTATTAAAGCCATTTATCTGAACTTTTTGTCCTTATGTAGATAATAAACTCCTTGCAGGTTGTAGGCGCTTGCTAAATATTTGTTGAATAGATAAATGAATGTAACCATTCAAGGACTCTATTGTTTTCTAAAGCTAGCAGAATGAGCAGAGATCTTTTCTCTCGTAAGCTCCTATAAATTAAACAATTCAAGCTATTTAATGCACGTTCACTTGTTACATGGATGGGGTTCTAATTTTCTACTTAAAGACTGCAATCCTCTGCTCCTTGCCAGCTCATCAGAACCAGCCAGGATTAATTCCCAGAGGAGCTCTTGGACCAGATAACAGAGCACCTCCTTTCACAGTCCCACTCCTGAAATGGTCTTTAATAATAATATGCTAGCCCATATAAAATGAAATCCATCTCTATCCTAATCCTGGGTGTTGCAGAGCATATTCCCAGTTCAACACCTAAAGATCTAACATTAGAGACTGGCCTCTGATACTTGCTGAGCTAAAAGAAGCAGTCTTGTGGTCAAGGGGAGAAGGCTGAGGCACAATAGCCATCCTCCTTGGAGGCTTGGCCTACTTATAAACGTCAAAACATGACATCATGTGGGCCCCGGACATGCTAGATGATGAAAGCCTGATCTACTTTGCCACATGGGAAAAGTTGCCAAGGCTAAGGAGAATCTGTGCTGTGCTGCCACAGTCCCACTGCAAGAGAAGAATTCCAAATAGTCTGTGAATAGAAGGCTAGAATTCCAAGCCACACTTTTAGCAAAAGGAAGCCCCATGAACTGAGATCCAGAGGGTAGAGTCTGGGAAAATGAGGGACATCCTGCCTTCTATGAGGAAGGGGGGCTCAACGACTGCGTGGATTGAATGAGTGGGTGAAAGGGAGAGCTATATGCGTTCATGTCAGTGATGTCAGAGAAAACTGTAACAACGGTGAAAGAGTCGAGACAGAAACCAGGTGGCAGTGGGTTAAGAATATGCTTCAGAAAGTCTCAGACAAGATGGGAAAGTAGGTCAGGGTGCTAGGAAGAAATGCCATAATGAAGGAAGATTTCTGTTTTGTTTGTTTAGTTGAATACTTGGTTTTTATTTTTAGGATTAGAGACTTGAGCAAATATATTATCTGAGAAAGGGAGAGTCTTAAAACATAGGAAATAAAATGAAAGCAACAAAGATGAAGGTAAGGTGAAGAGATGGGATCAACACTAGTCATAGATGGGGTTAGTCAATAACTAGTTATTGAGCACTTACTGTGTGCCAGACACAGTCTTAAGTCTGGGAATAAACAACACAGACAGACATAGTCCTTTCCTAGTGACATTTACAGTCCAGATAAAGTATATTTCCAGTCCTCTTTAGTTGCAAGTAAAATAAACTCTACCAGCTTAAGAGAAAAGGAGAACTGACCAACCCATGTAACTGAAAAAACTCAGGAAACACTGCCTCTGAAGACTCAGCAAAATGTCCTCAGGACTCTCTCTCTCCCTCTGTCTCCCTGTCCCTCTGTCTCTTCTCTACATCTTCTCTCTCCCCTTCCCGCTTCTTTCCTCTCTCTCGGCTTCACTTTCCTCTCTATTGACTTCATTCTCAGGCAGTCTGCATCCATGTGGTAGAAAAATGGTGCTCACTATGTCCATCATTATATGGTCCTTAAGGCCCACTGTTTCAGTAAAATAAGTAGCCTGCCTTTCAATGGCTCTGTCAAGACTGGGTGGACTCTGGTTGACCCAGGCTTATGTATGTATCTCTTCTGACCCAAAAACTCTGCCCAGGGGGAAACAGTGTCTTGATTGGCCCTGAATGGTCACATGTCCACCTCTGGGGCAGGGGAGGAGTGGGGTCTATGCCAACTCAACCACATGGGCTGAGAACAGAAGAGGGTGGTTCCAAATGGCAGTTTGGGCTTCTTGGCCAGAGAAGGGACACCAGAAAGGCAGAAAGAATATGAGTCTACTAAAGAAGGATTGCTCTTGAACAGAAAGAAGTGCCTCTTATCTCCTCAGACTAGAGGGGAGGAGGGAAGGGCTGGTGCCAAAGTAGACAACTTTGAAGATGCAGGCATGACAATGAGCCCTAGCACACTGGGTTTCTCCACAGAAGTGGAGGCCGGTGCCTGTGCAGAGAGGGTGGGAGTGGAGGTCAGTTGGGAGACTGGTGGGAAAGAGTTAAGGTTTAGAAGAGCAGCAGAGGGAATAGGAGAAGGAGCTGATAGTGACAAAAAGATTGTTACGAGTTAACTGACTTTGAAAACCATGAATTTGTCATAGCCATAATCTGCGCAATTGTACAATTTTCTCCACAGGCTCAGTCCTGAATAATGATAGCTATGGCCATTTGTGTAGAAAGGGCACAGTGGGGAGCCCAATCTTCCTACCCATTCTGGAGCAATTAGGCTATCAGGCAGATCCCCAGGAGTTGTATTTGTACAAGGGCTCTCAAGCCTCCCAAGAGAAAAGATGAAGAGGAACAGCAGGTGAGCTCTGTGACACAGGGTTGAGGTGACATGACCCACCACATCTCAGGAAACCCCCCACTGTAGACAGGAAACTCATTGAGTGGCCTCACATTGCCCAGTGCTCGGACTATTCTGGTCCCTGGCACATTAGAGATGACGACTGTGCAAGCTGCACCTTTGGCTGGCGCCTGGCAAATGCTTCATGGCCCTGTCCCTTGTGCTTTTCTCCCTGTTAGCTTTCAACTGTCTTTTGTGATGTTCCTACTGAATATAGGGCACATTAAATTTGACATCTCATTTAGCCCTCTCATCACATTGATAAGATGGGTCTTATTAGCCTAATTTTGCAGAAGAGGACATTGAAGCCCACGATGCTGATAAACTTGCCCAAGGTGACACAGCTAGCAAGGAGAGGGGCTGAGGTGTGTGTAAAGACAGGCCTTTGTCTGTCACTTCCCCTCCTGCTTCCCATAACTGGAACATCCTAGAACGGTGTTCTAGAATGAACAGCATTCCCTAAATTGGGATCCAAATATTCCTGGAGGTCCTCAAAAATATCTTCAAGGTTTGTGAGAATGTTTTCCTCCTTTAAAGAGCCTGTAGTTGAGTTCCAGAGACCTTATCCTGGAGAACAGTGCTTGCCTGTGGGGAGATGCCCACACTCAGCCCTGAGCAGGTGTGCACAGGAGCTTCAGGCATGAGTGCTGAGCTTGCTGTGGTGTGGATCACAAAGGACAGGGGCCACCCTGGCTAATGGCAGCATTACCTTTGCCAGGGGTGGGCTGGGGAGCCAGGAGAAGCATGCAGGCTGCCAAGTGGAGAATGTCAAGGACAATCATGGTTACGGCAGAAAAAAAACCATGATTGGCCCTAAAAAAGCAAGGTTGAGAGGTCTCAGAATTTTAGTATAACACTCAAGAGGCTCAGACCAAATACCATTACAAGCATTACCCACTCCTCTACTTGTCCCCAGGACTAGGACTACCTGGAAAAATGAGAATTAACCAGGGCTGAGAAAAATATTATGTTTAAAAACAATTTATACTTTTAAAAAATCTTATTTTCTCTTAGCAAAAGCCCCTCTGGAAGGTATTATTAAGCCTATTTTATGGGAGCAGAAACTGAGCTCAGAGCAGTAAGTTTACACAGCAATCTAGTAGCAGCCACAGAAATCAATCTTAGGACCTCCCAGTTCAGGACGTTATCACTGAGCCCACTCAAAGCACATTTCCCAGCAGAACTGGAGAGATCAGTGTGGAGGTCAGTTGCTGTCTTCTTGAGTTATCTAGTTAATATACTTCCATATCAACGTGCCATTTTCCCCTTCTGTAAACAGAGTGAGTCAACAGATGCCTTACAAAGGAATATTTGCTGGTGAAAAGTAGTAGAGTAGGGCAAAGGGCTCAATGTCTCTCATTCAGATGATGGGAAATTTTCTCTGACCGCCCCACCACCAGGTGAGGCCCTCCCTTAAATAAAGCCAAATATATCATTTGCTTTCATTGCCAAGGTAAACACAGGTCAGGCACATGGATTTTGGCTTTTGTAACAAAGGAGGGAAAATGGGACTTTGGAAAGCACTAAATGTGTTCAGCAGAAGCCCCACAATGCAGGTGCCCATCATTCAGTCCTTCCCACTGCTCTTTGTTTTCTAGACAACACTCCTCAGTGCCTGTCTGAGAAAGAGGTGGTGAACCAACCAGCAGCCCTTAGGCCAGAGTCACCTGGCTGATGTGATTTGTTTGATCTCCACAGTTGGTTTTTTGTTTTGTTTTTTTTTTCCCCAATATTTAACATTTGGAAATCTTAATGTCAATATTTAACATCTGGGAAAGATCATTAAAAAATCAGATTTTCTACTCAATTTAACAACAAAACAACAACCTGATTTAAAAAATGGGCAAAGGACATGAATAGACATTTCTCCAAAGAAGATATGCCGACAAGCCCATGAAAATATGCTCAACATCACTAATCATTAGGGAAATATTAATCAAAACCACAATGAGATACCACTTTACACCCATGAAGATGGCTACTATATAAAATAAACAAACCAAACAGAAAATAACAAGTATTGCTGAGGACCTGGAGAAACTAGAACCCTTGTACATTGCTGGTGAGAATGTAAAATGGTGCAGCCCTTGTGAAAAACAGCATGATATTTCCATCAAAAAATTAAAAATATAATTACATATGATACAATAATTTCACTTCTGAGTATGTACTCAAAATAATTGAAAGCAGGTATTTATACACCCAGGCTCATAGCAGCATTATTCGTAATAGCCAAAAGATGTAAGCAACACAAGTGTCCACTGACAGATAAATGGATAGACAAAATATGATACATGCATACAATGGATATTATCCAGCCTTAAAAAAGAAGAAAATTCTGATACATGTCACATCGTGGATGAACCTTGAAGACATTATACCAAATGAAATGAGCCAATTATAAGAGGCAAATCTTATGTGATTCCACTTCTATGAGGTGAAAATCATAGAGACAGAAAGTGGAATGGTGTTTGCTGTGGGGTAGGAGGGGAGCATGAAGAGTTGTTGTTTAGTGGTCTCGGAGTTTCAGTTTGGGAAGACGAAAAAGTTCTGGAGGTGGATGGTGGTGATGGTTGCACAATAATGTGAAATGTATACTTAAAAATGGTGAAAATGGTAAATTTTATGTGGCGTATATTTTATAATAATAAATAATTGACTTTCCCTTTTTTTTCTTGAAAAAGATAGAATAGGACTATGCAGTGACATTGGGTTTGACAATGTTGTTTCCATGACAACAAAGGAGGCATATGAACAAGGGCTCACATGAGCCCACATCTAAGCAGTAGATTACTATGTTATCCAAGAATAGATTACAATTCCACCCATAAGCAGTCAAATCCCAGAAGGATTAAAAGGACCTGTGCAGGCCAGAGACAGTGGCTCGTGCCTGTAATCCCAGCACTTTGGGAGGCCAAGGTAGGTGGATCACCTGAGCTCAGGAGTTCAACATGGAGAACACCATCTCTACTAAAATACAAAAATTAGCCAGGTATTGTGACACACGCCTGTAATCCCAGCTACTCCGGAGGCTGAGGCAGGAGAATCACTTGAACCTGGGAGGCAGAGGTTGCAGTGAGCTGAGATCGTGCCACTGCACTGCAGCCTGGGCGACAGAGTGAGACTCTGCCAAAAAAAGGAAAAAGAAAAGACCTGTGCAGTAAAGGGGAATACACATGACAAAGCTTGAGACTTCAATGTTATTTCTGGGGATGTGGGCTCCCCCACAAGGCTCAGAGGACTGGTAACTGGCCGGGTGCACACCTGGACCACACTGTATATCCTTGCATCCATGCGGTACATCATAACATCTGGATCACAGGTATAGCACACAGATATAGACAGGTAAGACCTCATATTTTCTGAGCAGGGAACACCCTCCTCCATGGGGGTGCTTTGTTTGGGCCTCGCTGCTCAGGTAGAACTCCACTTATCATACATGCTATGTCTCACTTGGGACCCAGGTCACCTGGAGAGCCAGAAATTCCTCCAACCAGAGCAAGAAACCCAGGAGCTGGCTGAGATCTCCCTGAAACACAGAGGTGGGCCTCACAGCAACAGGGCCAGGAGCCCACTGCAGCAGTGCTCGCAGGGGCATATTGCAGGAGCGGTCTTGGACTAAGCAGGACACGTCAGTTACCAAGAACGGTGTCTGAAAGAAGCATCAGATAAAAGAATAGGAGACAAACAGGCAAGGGATATGGAAGAAGGTAAAAGGATAAGGAAGAAGGAAGAAGTCTATTAGTTGGAATAGAGTTACTAAATGGGAAGAACTAATGAAATGATAAATTGGAGGGAGAAGATAAGAGTTAAACTAGAGGAAGTAGAGTCCAAATGAGGTGCTGGGGTTCCTATGGCTGCTTCTACGTGGACCTCAGAATCACAGAGCACCAGCCTGAGTATCCTGCCATCCGTGGGTGTGGGGTGCTTCCTCTCCCTGGGCCAGAGATGTCCCTAACAAGGGGGCGAATTCCAGACACATCACAGATTCCACTCTGAAATACACTTAGGAAATTCAGTTATCTGAAAACCTCTCAGACAATATCCATTTCACTAATATCATAAAATGACTTCTTCACAAGCAAAGTTAAAAATAGTAGAATTAAAAAGACAATTACAGAAAAGTTGGACAAGTTGTGCAAATAGAAAATTATTCCGAAGGTCTTGTCAAACCAATATTTGCTAAGGAGCTAATCCTAACGTTTAGTAGGTGCTGGCCATTCAGAACCTTGAAGGTTTCAGTGATTATGGCAGTGGAAGAATTTCAGACTGAAGGCTGAATTTGTCCACAAACTGACTTCCTTCTACCCCTGAGCTGATTTCTTATGGCTAACTATTAATTAATAGAATATGTGGTAATAATGTGCTGGCATGTCATATAAATCTTCATATATTCATCATTTGACTTTATTATTGTGGGCCTCCTGCGACGAAGATTCATTTCCAGTTAGGCAGTTTTTCCACAGTCTTTGCTATCCTTAGCCCATTTGCAGGAAGTTGTATAATATGTTTTTGTGATGTTACTACAAACAAGTATATTGACAGGCACCTAAGCATCTTATTAATTATAAGCCTAGACTACAGAAGTTTCATAATTTTATTTCTTTCATTTAATGTGCATTTCACTGAATGGAAAAGTTAAAGAAATAAAAAACATTATGTGTTAAAATTAGTTGAGAAAGAAAACTCAGTCGATGCATTTTTTAAGTTAACTTTAATGAAGTGCTAATGCCTTGAAACGTAAAGCCAGAACCAGAAATTCTGTTATGGCCCACAGGATACATGCAATAGGAAGAGTTGTGTCCCAAAAGTTGAATAACGCCTCATCCCAAACTTAGGACTCCCCCAAATACTGAGCTGCTTCATTTACCTAATCAACAAATACCTAAGGAAACATTAGATGGTTCCTGGATAAATCAACATAGAAAGATATCAGTGAAAGCCAGAAAATGAGTACCGATTGGGCCAGGCGCGGTGGCTCACGCCTGTAAAGCACTTTGGGAGACGGAGGTGGGTGGATCACCCGAGGTCAGGAGTTCGAGACCAGCCTGGCCAACATGGTGAAACCCTGCCTCTACTAAAAATACAAAAACAGCTGGGCATGGTGGTGCGTGCTTGTAATCCCAGCTACTCGGGAGGAGAATCACTTGAACCTGGATTCAAGTGAGGCGAGGTCGCGCCACTGCACTCCAGCCTGGGCGACAGAGTGAGACTCTGTCTAAAAAAAATAAAAGAAAGAAACAAAATGAGTACTGATTAGACAGCTAATATGTGCAGGGATTCCCAAGGCTCTGAGGATAGTGGGGTGGAGATGAGGAGGAAGGATGGTGGGCAGGAGGAGTGAGTCAGGGATGGAGCTGACTCCACAATGGACAGAGATGAAGCAAGGAGTTCTCTTGTGTCCAAAGTTATCTGGTGCAGCCAGTGGCTGAGCCTACTGTGCTCATCACTCACGTCCTCACTTCTCTAGTTTTAGGAAGCTCTGTTGCTTGGAAACGCACATAAAATGTGAAGTGGGAGTCTTGCAAACCAACCCACTATGCCCTGTTTTTATTACCTTTACAGCTTTTCAAGGTGAAAGTCTACATTTAGCCTCATCTTTTGCTTTCTCTGGGAAATTCTAGACAACTGCAGAGAAGCTGTAAAGCTGCTCTTGCCTCAGTGGGACCCTGTGCTTTCATACTCTGACCTACAGGAAGTCTGCAGTCCAGAGCCTGCATCTTCTTTAGGACAGTGAATAATCTGGGAGCCATTTATGAAGCGTGCATGACTATTATTCCCTTTATCGTCTCTTAAATTCCACAGTAGAACCTCGGATATGGGAACTTTTTTAAGAAATAGAGGTGTGTATATATATATATATATATATATATATATATATATATATATATAGTAATGACGGGTAGCTATTTCTAGACCAGTCTATCTGCTGTTGTGGGAACCTTCCCTAAAAAAAAAGACAGGATCTGTCGACATCTTTCATCTCTCCCCTCCCTTTTATCCCTTCTAGTGAAAAATGCTGCTGCGGTAAAACTCCCTTTGCATCAATCTTAAGCTTCAAAAGCCATCTTGCTAATGCAAGATGCTGGCATTTTTCTGTGACAAGAAAATGAACAATTTGCTAATTTTTTAAGTGAATGAAAGCATTTCCTCACATTTCTTCAGAAATAGCAAAAACAAGAAGAGAGTTTTAGGAAAAACACTGAAAACATTGCCAATATGTAGACATCTATATTTACCAGCAAGAGGGCATTTGACCCTTTTTTCACACCACTGCATATGTGGATTCATGACCTTGTTCCTGCTTTCTATTTGCTATCTCTCACACATCAGATCATAAACCATCACTCCACCCAAACCATGCTGGAAAGTTTCTCTAATTCTATAAAGCATACGATAGGTGGCTGCTCAATTAAAGGAATAGGATCTAGGCAGGCGTTTCCAAACTTTTGGCTTCCTTGGGCCACAGTGGAAGAAAAATTGTCTTGGGCCACACGTAAAATACACTAACACTAATGATAGCTGATGAGCTAAGAAAACAAATTGCAAAAAATATAACATTTTAAGAAAGTTTACAAATGTGTGCTGGGCCACATTCAAAGCTGTCCTGGGCTGCATGTGGCCCACAGGCTGCAGGTTGGACAAGCTTGGTCTAGAGTAGGAAGATCTAGACCTGAGAGCTGCATACTGATTCCCTGTATAGCCCTGAGCAATGTTATTGACATGAAGTAAGCCTGCTTTCTCATCTGTAAAATGGGGCTAGCAGTAGAACCTTCTTCAGTTTCTGCCCCTGTAAAAAAGAAATAACATTACACGACTCACTGGGTTAGTGGGAAGATGAAATGAAATGAAAGGGCATGCAATGTGTGAAGCACAGAGTGCGCTATGCAGCAGACACTTAATCAATGGTAGTTACAAGGATAATAAAAACATAAAGATGGTGTCTAGAAAATGCTGTTCAGCTTAGGCTCTGATATCACACTAACACAGCGAGAAGAGCTCTTCTCTGGCCCAAGTGCACAGAGTCTCTTGACAAATGCTGAGAAGCTCTTGCTGTAGTTAGTCTAAACTAAATTTATTTCACTCAAACTACTCATTAGTTATCTCTATTCCTGAATGCCCTATAGGCACAATGTATTCAAATTAGGCATCTTAACTTTTGTTCACCTCATGTGGACCTTGCCCTTCTTTCTATATTCATTTAATGTTACCAATCCCTCCTGCAAACAAGCAACTTCAGAGCGCCCTATGGCCTCCCTAACTCTCCCTCCTGAACCATGAACCATTCCACCTCCTGAATGTGCCCTAAAGCCATCATCCTCACCACTCCTTGACCACTACTGCCTTATATCAGGACTCTCTTCTTCTCTCTCCTGCACTATTGCAATAGCTTCTTAGTGGTTCTTTCTCTCTAATCTCTTTGCCTTCTGCACCACCTCCTTCCATACACTCTTACTGCAGTGATCATTCTAAAAAGCAACTTGGTCATGTTACTACCGTGACTAAGCCCCTGCAATCCCTCCCTATCAAGAAAATAATTATCTACAAACTCTTGGGCAAGTGTACAGGCTCCACATGCTCTAGCCCTTCCTTCCCATGCCAACCTCACCCCTACCAACGTCACCCCCACCAACCTCACCCCCACCAATCTTTCCTGGTTGCCTACATGTCAATAATGGGAAACTGTTTGTAATCCCAAGAATACTGTGGTAGCCAGACTCCAAGATGGCCCTAGTGATCCCTGCTCCTGGAGTTCACCCTTTTTGTGGTCCTCTCCCACCTCCATATTGTACCAGGGTTGGTCTGTATGACCAACAGCATGGCAGAAGTGAGGATATGTCAGTTCTGAGATTAGGTTATAAATAACTGTGGCTTCTGTCTTTGATTCTTTCTCTTCAATTACTCACTCTCTGGGAAGCCAAATGCCATGCTGTGTCCTATAAGCAACTTTATGGAGAGGCCCATGTGGTGAGGCACTGAAGCCTTCTGCAGCAGTCACATGAGTGAGCTTAGATACTGCTTCTTCAGCCCCTTCAGATGACTGCAGCCCCAGCCAACAACTTGGCTGCAATCTCATGATTGACCATAGGGCAGGATCAGATGGTTAAGATTGATGACCCTCAGAAATGATGAACTCTTAAACATTTATTGTTTTAAGCTGCTAAGTTTGGGCAGTAATCTGTGACCTAGCAATAGACAATGAATGCAAATCTCATCTTCATTTACACTTCATTTTTTTCGTGTATTCCTTTAAGAATGGTACCATTCACTGCACCATGCAAGCCTCAGCTGAGCAGCCACTTGCTCTACAAAACTACCTTGCTTCTCCTCAATATCCTCTCTGATCTGTCATTTTTGTTTACATAGCATCTAATATTTACCTCAACTGTAGCACTTGTCACATTGTCTTGTGATGGAGTAATGCCGCCCACCCACCCCCCTACCCCCACCAAAATATCCACATGCTAATCCCCAAACCTGTGAATGGTAAAGTTCCTTTAAGTGACAAAAGGGAATTTGTAGATGTGATTAAGTTAAGGATCTTGAATTTATTGCACAGCAGTGTGGCTATGGTTAATAGTCATAAGTTGTATATTTCAAAATTGCTAAAAGAATGGATTTTAAATGTTCTCATTACACAAAAAGAATAAGCACAGTCATCCACACACACAATGTTTCAGCCCACGATGGATGACTGTGGTCCCATAAGATTATAATACTGTATTTTTACTATACCTTTTCTATGTTTACATATGTTTAGACATATAAATACCTAGCTTGTGTTACAACTGCCTGCAATATTCAGTACAGTAACCAGCTGAACAGGTTTGTAGCCTAGGAGCAATAGGCCATACCATTTCTCAGAATGTATCCCACTTGTTAAGCAATGCATGATTATGTGTGAAATGATGGATATGTTAATTAGCTTGATACAATCATTCCACAATGTATACATATATCAAAACATCACATTGTACCTCAGAAATATAGATAATTATTTTCTGTCAATTAAAATATAGATCATGAAAATATATTAAATATAAATAAATATATTAAAAAATATATAGCTATATACATTTAAGTCAAAGATCTTGAGTGACCCAGGAGGAGTCAGAGTGAGAGTGGAAGGCCAGTGAGGATGGAAGCAGAGATTGAAGAGATGTCCTTTAATGATGGAGGAAGGGCTATGAGCCAAGAATACAGGCAGCCTCTAGAAGCTGAAAAGGACAAGAAAACAGATGCTCCCATAATGCTTCCGTAAGGGACAGACTCCTGACACCTTGATTTTTAGCAGAATAAGATCCATTTTGGACTTCTAACTTCCAGAACTGTAAGAGAATAAATATGCATTGTTTTAAGCCACTAAGCTTGTGGTAATTTGTCACAGCAGCAATAGGAAACTAATGCACCCTGTAATTGTTTGCTTACCCTCCTTCCCCTCACATACACACTAGACTGTTCGCTCCTGAGAGACTGTCACATCTCTCTGTTCATTCCCAGCACCTAAAGCAATGCCTGGCATATATCAACATGCCAAAGTGCTCAATAAAAATGTGTCTTTTTGTCAAATAAATGAACTATTTAAATCCTTCAGGCTATAGTTTAAATATTTTATTTATTATACAATCAAATGTAATGGCTTCCTTCAAGCAAATTTTTTTCCCTGGTGAAATAATTAGTTTCCTGTGATCCAGACAGACCCAGAATTCCTGCCTAGGGAAAAAAAATATCAAAGGCATATCCTTGGAGCAAGAAAGAATGTTGGAGGTCATCCCCTGGGTGTGACTGAGTAGATTATTTCTAGAGTAAGTCTATTTCCTTGAGTGCAAAGTTTAAAAGAGACATAAAAATGTGCACAGAGTCCAGTAAAGAAATTCAAATATAGGTAAAGGGCTGGGTTCTAGACGGTGGCATCTGATCTTACGGAGGGTACAACCACTCTGCCCCTAAAAAAGCTGTGAGACCCTGGGAAAGCCACTTATTCTCAGTTCCTTCACCTGTATAATGAAGTGGTTGATTAAGATTCATTCAGTAATTCATTCCACAAAGTTATTGAACATCTACTACCTACCAGGTACAGTTCTAGATTTCGGGAGCACAACTTTAAACAAAACTCCCTGCCTGGTGGATTCTACAGGGGAAGTTAGACAATAAATAAAATAAATAAGAAAGATATACAGTATGTTACATGGTGACAATGTTATGGAGAACAGTAAAACAGGGAAAGGGGTAGTGGATATGAGAGTGGAGGTGGGTGAGGAATTCAGTTTTCAGTAGGCTCTCAGGAAGGTATCACTGAGAAGGTAAAGTTTGAATAAAGTCTAGGGAAGATGAAGAAACATCCAGATAACAGGGGAAGGTTTTCTAGGAGTGGAAATAGCAAGTGTGAAGGCCCTGAGGTAGGAGCATGTCTCGTGTGCTTGGATGCTCAAGGAATGGCAAGGAGGCCAATGTGGCAGCAACAGAAGTGAGCAGGAGATAAGATCAGGAGCGGTTTTAGGGAGGGATCAGTTACTATAGACCAGCTCTGTCCAATGGAAATATAATTCAAGCCACAAACATGAACCAGATATGTAACTTTTAATTTTCTAGTAGCCACAGTAAAAAAGTAAAAAGAAACAAGTAAAATTGATTTTAATAATATATTTTATTTATCCAATGTACCAAAAATATTATAATTTCCATGTATAATTACTATGAAAATTATTAATGAGATATTTTACATTCTTACTTATTTTACATTATTTCAAACTAAGTTTTCAAAGTCCGGTGTGTATTTTGCATCTCAATTCCAACTGGCCCCATCTCATGTGCTCTATAGCCACATGTGGCCTGTTGTGACTGCCTTGGACAGCATTACTGTAGAGCTTGATGGGCTTTTGTAAGGCCTTTCAAAGTTTTTTTGCCTTGGAGGAAACACAAAGCAATCAGAGGGTTTTGAGCAGAGTAGCAACATGATCTAACTTGTTTTCTTTTTTTTGAGATGGAGTCTCGCTCTGTCGCCCAGGCTGGAGTGCAGTGGCGCGATCTCGGCTCACTGCAAGCTCCGCCTCCCGGGTTCACGCCATTCTCCTGCCTCAGCCTCCTGAGTAGCTGGGACTACTCAGGAGTCCCAGCCACACGCCCGGCTAATTTTTTTGTATTTTTAGTAGAGACGGGGTTTCACCGTGTTAGCCAGGATGGTCTCGATCTCCTGACCTCGTGATCCGCCCGCCTCGGCCTCCCAAAGTGCTGGGATTACAGGCGTGAGCCACCGCGCCCGGCCCTAACTTGTATTTTAAAAGGACCGTGTTGGTTGCTGTGTTGAGATAGACTACAGGGACAAGGGAAGAAGCAGGGAGACAAGATGGGAGGCTCCAGTAGTCATGCAGGCAAGAAGTGGTAGTGGTCCCACCTTCATTGCAACAGTGGAGGTGGGACAAGTGGTGGAACTCAGAACACATTTCAAAGGTGGAGCCAACAGGGTCTCCTGACTGACTGAATAGATCATGAGAGGAAGTGGGGTGTTGAGAATGAAGCCAGTGGGAAAAAACATTATGAAGCGTTTCTCAGGTTTTAATCACTTGGTCACAACATTTAAATTTTCCAAGCCCATATATACTTCTCTGCAAAATGCAGAGGCAAGAACGTGCCAGGTCTGTTCCAGGAAGGACAAGGAAGCCAGCATAGTTGCAGAGGAGCAAGCAAGGAGCAAAGTGGTAGGAGACAGGGTCAGAAAGGTGATGGGAAGGTGTTTATAAAGGGATTATGTTGCTCTTTCTACAAATTCAGAGTATACAGGGGATAATGAGTAAAGTCACCCACAAACGAAGCCTGTGCCACTGGGCTGTGGTTAAGAACTCAGCCTCAGACTCTTCCGGGTCATGTAAAAGATAAACAAACCCAGATGTTAGTTAAAACAGTGAAAACTGATTTTGTTCAGTAGCTACCGACAACAAGGGAAAGGGCTGAGCTCCATTCAGATTTGCACAGAGGTGACTGGGTGTTTTTAAAGGAGAATGAGAGAGTAGGAGAGGCGTGAGCGGAGGCTCAGTGGAATCAGGGAAGTGAAAAATTACAAAAGGTTGGTCAATGCAAATACAGTTAAGCCAACTGTGAATGCTTGCTGGCAGTTATTGAAGTTAGGCTGCTATCCTCCCACAGAGACTGAGACAGAGGCCCTAACCTTCCTGAGGATTATATTTCAAAGGAATGGCTTTCAAGTCCTTGAGAAAGACACTCCTGAGTTGCAGGAGATGCATACACATCTGGAAGGGACAGAGGAAAGATTCACAATTGTCAGCCCTTTTTAGTAAATGCTGCAAGAAAGGGAGGTTAGGGACTGAACTCTTCCGGAGAGGAACTCAAAAAGTGTTTGAGTCTTCCCAGAGACAAGGCTCAGGCTGCTAAAAGCCATGCTAAAGTATGGCTAAGTCTCTCAAGAGAGGGTGAATAACGTGTTTGTGCCCAGAGTTTTTGCAGTTCTCAGCCAAAATGATCCATTTCTATGGGGGTTTTTTCTTCTTTTTATTTCAAAAATTCAGTTTAACTAATATATATTGAAAACATAGACAATTTGTAAAACAGAGTCTTTTGATTTGCTCCAAAATGAGAAAGTTGTACAGAGGTAAATCTGCTGTGAAAGTAATAAAGCTTAAGCTTTAGAATCCTCATTTTTACAGACCTCTTCTGAGGGCCTTTGTACTTAATTTTATATTCATACATTGATTTTTTTTTCCTTAAAGAGGCTATGTCCAAGTTAGATAAGCCTTAAGACCAACACAACCCCCTACTTAGGAAAAGCTTTCCACCTTAGACCTAGCCTAGGAATAAAAACAACTGACGGGTAAAAGTAGGGGAGAGGCTGGGACACACCTGTCTGTTAAGCATTCCTGGCCAGGGCCTGTCATTTACATAGCAGGAAAAGCAGCCAACACCTACCCAGCTGCTGCTCTTTAGAAAGGTGAAGTTAAACAAAGAGGACTATCCAGAAGATTTATATGTTTGCCCTTCCCAACCTGGTTAGTTATAAAATCAGGTGTGCTGCTTTTTTTAAAAAAGTAGATTTTATTTTTTTAGAGCAGTTTTAGGTTTGCAACAAAACTGAGCAGAAGGTAGAGATTTCTCATATATTCCCAGTGCTGACACAGGCATTTTCAACATCCCCCAATTTTAACATCTTCACCACAGTGGTACATTTGTTACAATTGACGAAACTATATTGACACAGTATTATCACCCAAAGACTATAGTTTGCATTAGGGTTCACTTTGTGTTGTACATTCTCTGAGTCTGAACAAATTCATAATGACCTGTATCCACCATTATAGTATCATATAGAATAGTTTTACTGCTCTAAAAATCCTCTGTGCTCCACCTATTCATCTCCCTTTTCCTCTTAAGCCCTGGCAACCACTGATCATTTTACTGTCTCAGTAGTTCTACCTTTTTCGGGATCTCAGATACTTGGAACCCTACAGTATGTAGCCTTTTCAGACTGGCTTCTTTCGCTTAATAATATACATGTAAGTTTCCTCCATGTCTTTTCATGATGTGATAGCTCATTTCTTTTTAGTGCTGAATAATATTCCCTTGTCTGGATGTACCACAGTTTATTTATCCATTCACCTACCGAAGGACATCTCAGTTGCTTCCAAGTGTTAGCAATTTTGAATAAAGCTGCCATAAACATCCATATGCGTGTTTATGTGTAGACATAATACCAAAAGAGCATGATTGCTGGATTATATAGTAAGAGAATGTTTATTTTGTAAGAAACTACAAAACTATCTTCCAAAGTGGCTGTATAATTTGCATTCCCACCAGCAATGAATGAGAGTTGCTGTTGCTCCACATCCTTACCACCAATTGGTGTTGTCAGTGTTCCAGATTTGGACCAGTCTAATATGTATGTAGTGGTACTTCATTGTTGCTTTAATTTGCATTGCCCTGATGACATATGATATGGAACATCTCTTCATATGCTTATTTGCCATGTGCATATCTTCTTTAGTAAGGTGTCTGTTAAGATCTTTGGCCCATTTTTTTAATTGGGTTGTTTGTTTTCTTATTGCTGAGTTTTAAGAGGTTTTCTTTTGTTTTTTGTTTTTTGTTTTTTTTGTATTTTGGAAAACAGTCCATTATCAGAAGTGTCTTTTGCAAATATTTTCTCCCAGTCTTTGGATTATCTTCTCATTATCTTGACATTGTCTTTTGTAAAGCAGAAGTTTTTTAATTTTAGTGAAGTCTGGTTTATCAATTATTTCTTTCATGGATTATGTCTTTGGTGTTGTATCTAAAGAGTCATCACTATACCCATACTCATCTAGATTTTCTCCTGTCTCATTACATTCTAGGAGTGTTACAGTTTTACATTTTACATTTAGGTCTGCGATCCATTTTGAGTTAATTTCTGTGAAGAAAGTAAGGGTCGTGTCTTACTCATTTTTTGTGTGTATGTGATGTCCAGTTGTTCTGGGATCATTTGTTGAAGACTCTTTGTTCCATTGTATTGCCTTTGCTCCTTTGACATACACTATCTGCAGGGTTTATCTCTGAGCTCTCTATTCTGTTCCACTGATCTATTTGTCTATTCTTTTACCAATACCACACTGTCTAGATGACTATAGCTTTATATTAACTATTGAAGTCAGATAGTGTCAGTCCTCCAACTTTATTCTTCTTCAATGTTGTGTTGGCACTTCTGGGTCTTTTGTCTCTGCAGATGAACTTTAGAATCAACCTGTTAATCTCCACAAAATGGCTCGCTGGGATTTTAATTTTGATTACACTGAATCTATAGATCAAGTTGGCAACAGCTGACATCTTGACAACATTGAATCTTCCCATCCACGAACACGTAGTATTTTTCCATTTGTTTAGTTCCTCTTTGATATCTTTCATTAAAGTTTTTCAGTGTTTCTCACATGGATCTTGTATTTATTTTGGTAGATTTATACATATTTTATTTTGGGGAAATACTTTTTTTTATTTCAAATTTCATTTGTTCATTGCTGGTTGTCATGGATTGAATATATTATGAAGAGAAATTTAATCCCCATTGCAACAGTGCTGAGAGGTGGGATCTATAAGAGGTGATTAGGACATGAAGGGCTCTGTTCTAATGAATGGATTCATGCTTCTTGTGGGTTAGGGTTCCTAATAAAACAATGAATTTGGCTCCCCTCCCCTCCCTTTCCCTCCGCCTCCCTCCTTCCCTCCCACCTCCTCTTCCTTCCCTCCCCCCTGCCCTCTCCTTCCTTTTCCTTCTATATACATGCTCTCTTGCCCTTCTGCCTTCAACCGTGGGATGACACAACATGAAGGACCTCACCAGATGTAAGCCCCTCAACCTTGGACTTCTCAGCCTCCAGAACTGTAAGAAATAAATTTCTGTTCTTTATAAATTACCTAGTCTTGGGTATTCTGTTGTAGAAGCATAAAACAGACTAAGACACTGGTATATTGGAGAACAATTGACTTTTGTATATTAACCTAGTATTCCTCAACCTTCCTATAATTACTTATTAGCTCCAGGAGACTTTTCTGCCAATTTTTTTCAGGTTTTCTTCATAGACAATCATGTCATCTGCAAACAAAGACAGTTTTGTTATTTCCCTCCCAATCTGTAGCTTTTATTTCTTTTTTCTTTCTTGCTGTATTATCTAGAATTTTTCATCTGCTCTTCAGAAGCAGTGGAGAGAGGAAACATTTTGCCTTGCTCCTGGTTTTATGGGAAAGCTTCAAGTTTCTCATCATTAAGTATGATGTTAACTGTAGGGTGTTTGGGTTTTTTTTGTTTTTGTTTTTGTTTTTTTCAGATATTCTTTATCAAGTTGAGGAAATTTCCCTCTATTCCTAGTTTACTTAGAATTGGGTATTTCCCTTCTTCCAGGTCAGTTAGGCGTTGGTAAAACCCCTGAAGTTTAGGCTCTGGCTAAGCAGTTCCTCCTAAGAGCAGACCACGTTCAGAAGAACAGAGTGTTCTGGTGTATTTTTAAATAGTTCTTTTCCCCTTCCCCTGGCAGAAGCATGACAGGATTTTTCTCCAATATTCACTGTGGGGGTGTGGTAGAGCTTCTAAAGGTAAAACACAAAAATGTGGGGGTCTCCTAATGACTGAGTCCCCCTGGAGTTTTTGACTTGCCCACACTCAGCCTCCAGCAATTCATCAATTACAGTTAAGATTTTCCTACATGGGCACCGGTTGCTGCAGAGGTTACTACTCATGGTTTCCTGCTCACAGAGTTGTGATTCTCTGTATTCCCCTGTTGGTCTCTCCAATTTGGGGGACAGCAGTTTGCCCTATAATCTAACCTCTCTTAGAGATCTAAAAAGAGTTGTTGCAGAGTCTTACCCTCTCACCCAGGCTGGAGTGCAGTGGCACTATCATGGCTCACTGTAACTTCCAACTCCTGGGCTCAAGTGATCCTTCCACTTCAGCCTCCGAAGTTGCTGTGACTACAGGTGTGCGCCACCATACCAGGCTAATTTTTGTATTTTTTTGTAGAGATGGGGTTTCACCATGTTTCCCAGGCTTGTCTTGAACTCCTGGGCTCAAGTGATTGGAACCGCCTCAACCTCCCCAAGTGCTGGGATTACAGATGAGAGTCGCTGTGCCTGGTTTATTCAGCTTTTTACTTGTTGTTAGGGCTGAGTGACAACTTCCAAGCTTCTTACATGCCAGACTGGAACTGAAAGTTGGTGTGTTACTTTTTTAAAGTATAAATTCTGGGCCTTACCCCAGACCTACTGATTCAGTCTCAAGGGGTAGAGCCCAGGATCTTTATCTTAAGAAATCCTCACCAGTGGGCACCCATGTATTATGGCTTCTGAAGCATAATTTTATAAGAATGAAACATAACTCTGGAAACTCCTGTGAGAAGAGTAGCCTTGGCCCCAGAAACAAGGTAGAAGGGTTCCTAAGCTGTTCATTATTAAGAGAGACACCCAATCAGGGATTTATAATTTGGTAGCTCTTCATCTACTCTCAAAGGTGCACCCAATAAAATGAAGGCCCAGCACCAATATCCCAAGACCAGGCACAGGCAAGAGGAGATGGACACCAAGGTGCTGCCCTAGGTTCAAGGATGTTGTTGTTTTCCTCACCCAGGAGGAGGACCTGCATCAGAGCAGTGGGAAACTTTTCTTTCTAGACTTCCAGTTTCCACACCTGGCACGATTCTGGCTGGACCACAAGAAAGAGCTAAGGAGAGAGAGCCCAAGAATACCTGCTTATGTGACAGCTGCAGTTTAGAGGAGTGAGGTAATTAGCTTAGGATCATCCAACCAGTAGGTAGGTAGATGTGAGATGATGCAAAAGAAGATATCAGCAGGAGTGACCCTCTGTCCCTATTGCATGAAATAAGTATGCTTTGCTGTAGAAAAGAAGGAAACCAAACAAATCATTAGTACCAATCTGGAAATGGAAAGAAAGGGCATCCCCATGACACCACTGGCTCCCTGGACTGATACCTTCCAAGGTCAACCCCACATCTCTTCCTCCTACTCTTGTGAACCAATAAATTATCTTTTTTGCTTAAAGTAGTATATGAGTTGGGTTGCTATACCTTGAAGCCAGAATGTTCTAGTAAAAGTATTCCGTATGTATTAAAAAGAATGGTTGGTCCTGATTCAAGGCCAGCAGTTTGCTGAAGCTGTTGGTTTCAAGCAGGAGACTAAATAATTGTCTTTTCATGGTCTGTTGGCCATCTTATAACTTTGGAAATGTAATGTCCAATTCATTAGAAATAAACATCTGGAAAAAAAAATGGACAAATATACTGATATAGAAAATGATCACAATAATTATTAAATGAAAAAGGTCAAATTACGCAATAGTGTTTTTGGTAGTATTCTATTTGTGTATACAGTGTGTTTTGTGTGATTTTTATGTTGCCTTATTTTATTTCATCTTATTTTGTTTTTAGTAAATGACTAGAGAACAACTGGAAGAATACTTAACACACTGCTGGCAGGAGATGGGATTGGGAAATCCCCCAATTCTGAACCATTTACTGATGATGAGCATGTATTACTTTCATAATAAAATACTAAATTAAAAAAGGAAAGAGAAGAAAGTTAGTCACTGAATGTACCAGATACTTGCCTGCCCCCAACTTCCTGGTTTCCTTGTTAGGGAGAAAAGATAGTTAGAGATAGCAAACAGAACAGGTTCCATGGTTAAGCCAACCAAAACTATATTGACTGAGTCAGTAATTCAGTGAGATATGGACAGACTTAAGTATGTACAACTGAGAGAGTTTGCATCACAGGGAATTAAATGCCCAAAGTCTAACCAGTCAATAAAAATACAAAAAGGGTTAAAAAAGCAATCATTCATGTTGAATCCTCACAGTCTAGGGGTGAGGAGTGCAGAATCCTACTCAAGGTACTGAATGGAGACTTGGCATCAACTGTCTAGAATTTAGAGGGAGGCTTAGCAGGTGCTCAGAATGTGCAGCATCACCACTTCCAGTTATGTGGGCTGCAGAAAAGCCCCATTAAACAGTCACTTAAAAGGGAGATATTAAAGGAGAGGAGTGCCTGGAGAGGAAGCAAAGAGGGGTTTAGCAAGTCAATGTAAGTTAAGAAGGCTAATCCAGGCCGGGCGCAGTGGTTCACGCCTGTAATCCCAGCACTTTGGGAGACCAAGGCCGGTGGATCACCTGAGGTCTGGAGTTTGAGACCAGCCTGGCCAACATGGTGAAACCCCACCTGTACTAAAAATACAAAAAATTAGCCGGGTGTGGTGGCAGGCGCTTGTAATCTCAGCTACCTGGGAGGCTGAGGCAGGAGAATCGTTTGAACCTAGGGAGCAGTGAGCCAAAATCACACCATTGCATTCCAGCCTGGGCAACAAGAGTGAAACTCCATCTCAAAGAAAAAAAAAAGAAGGCTAATCCAGAGGCAGAAGCCCACCCCAAATGGCAATGGAATGGATTCCAAGGGGATAGTTTTGATGAATTATGTTACATTATTTAAAGATTCAGAGTAAAGGATGCCTCAGGACTTTGTAAATCATTAGAGAGGCAACAAGAAAGTGTGTATCTTTCCACTGATTCACATGACACCAACTTCCAGGAATTAATAAAAGAAAGTTTAAATATCTTGGTAATAACTCACAAATTTCACACACACAAAAAAAGGCATGTAGCAAACAATCAGAGATGAGTTGATTTTCTTAGAACTAATGTACCAGAGGGAATATGAGGAGAAAGGGACTGCGTCAGAGGCAGAATCAGGTACTATTTTCAGAAAACAGAAGCCTTGGACACAAACCAAAGGGCAGGCAATGTGTATGCAATCGGCACTGAGACCAAGTCCCAAATCAATCTCTCTAGTAACAGCTGCACACACAGATAGCAAATCATTATCTTACCGTCTAAGGATCTAAGATAAATATTGCGCGACAACATAGCTCTTCCGCAAAGAAAACTTGTACCAACAGGTGCCTTGCCTCTGAGTTCAGACTCTCTTTCTATCCTCTCTGTTGATCTGCAGACTGTAGTGACAAAGTCGTCCCCAACCCAGGAAGCCTACTTGCCATACTAATCACATCTGAACATGCTCAACTGTTTGGAAACTCTCCTATCCTAGCAGCTAGAGGTAGAGGCAGAACTTGAGCACAAGTCTTCATCTGACTTCAAATTTGGCTTTTTTTTTTGTCTTCTAAACTAGGATCTATTTCAACCCAGACCATGCATCCATCCACATCCATCTAACCAGGAAACTCTCAGGCACTGTGCTTGGTGGTGAAGAGACAGAGTCAATAAGACATTATAGAAACAGATGCGAGTGTAATGCTGCCATTATAATTACAGGGCCATGGACTTATTGCTTCACTTTCTAAGCCTCAGTTTCCTCAGCTTAAAATTGTAGCTGAAGATAGGTACTTTTGACAGTTGTATTGGGGATTAGAAATAATGTAAGTAAATTCCCTGGAATGCTCAATAAGTAACACATTACTATTATGAAAGACTACTAGAGGAGGAGACCTAACTGAAGGTTTTGGTGTAGTGCAATTAGTGCCACGACATAAGAAAGCATGGGATGTTACAGAAGAAGGGAAGGTTTCTAAATCAATATTTAGCGAAGGTGTAAAATGAAGTTCCAGAATTTGAAGGATGAGTAGGATTTGGCTAAACGGGGAGGGGAGGAAGAGCATTTCTGGCCAAGAGAAAGCAACGTGTACTAAGGCATGGAGGTGTGAAGTGCCATTACGTGTGGTTTTGGAAGATCCATACAAATGGAAATAAAGAATGGGTTTAAAGGTTTGGATGGATGTGACACTAGAGGGATGGTGAGGGGCCAGAACATGAAAAGCCTTGTGTGGTAAGCAAATGCCAGTGTCACAGAAGCTTCCTATGTATGCCCCACAATCTGTATAGCCTGCCTCCTCAGGCAAACCACCCTGCTAAATTATGTGTTTATCCTTCCTTTGCTTTAATTTACATAGTTGCCTAAGAGTTTTTGTTTGCTTGTTTTAACGTGGATAAAAAATAAGTTGTATAGAATAATTTATCTGCAACCATTCATATTAGCATGTGTTTGTTCTCTATTAATCTGTAATTTAGCAAATTGTATCCATTTGATTTTCTAAAGTTAGACCGTCCTGTGTTCCGAGAGTAAACTCAATTTGTTTAAATAATGTATTTAATCATAATATGTTATCTTCTGTGCATTGCTGGATTACATTTTTATACTTTTTTGCAGAGTTTTGCTTCTACATTCATGAGTGAAGTTGGTTTGTCATTTTTTACCTCTTGTATCATCCTTCTATAGTGTGCTATATATAATACATATTTTTTCCATGGAATGAGGCCATTATATTTTTTATTGGGGTGTTTTTCCTTGTTTCAAGTTTTTGAAAGCGTGCCTTACATTGGAATTATGTTTTTTAGGTGTTTATTAATAGTCACCTATAAAGTCATCTGGGCCAGGTCTTTGTGTAAGATTTTAAAGTTGGTGAACCAATTTCTTTAAGGACTTTACAATGACTCTGAATTTCTATTTCTTCCCGAGTTTGTTTTGGTAACTTACTTTTTTTTCTAATAATTTGACCATTTTGTCTAAATCTTCAAATGTGATACCAAGTTGTTTGTACTAGTTTACCATTTTTTTACTTCTCTGAATTTTTTTAATTCCTAACATTTTTGTTGTCATCTTTGTCTTCTTCTTCCTCCTCTTCCTCCTTCCTCTTTCTCCTTTCTTTTAGTTCAACCAGGCCAGATCAATGAATTTTACTCACTTCTTCAAAAACCTTAATTTTGGCATTGTTGATCTTTTTTATTTTATACTTTTTTCTATTACATTAATTTCTAGGCTTATCCTTATTATTTTCTTTCTTCTGCTCTCTTTAAATTAATTCTATTTTGTAAAATAATTTCTCATGAATGCTTAGCTCAGCAATATTCAGCCTTTCTCAGTTTCTAGTATAAGCATTTATGACTTAAAATTCCCTCCAAGCCTCTTTTAACCATTTGTTTTAGTGAAGTTGGTAAAGTGGATTTTATTATTGTTTGATCCTAAACATTTTCTATTTTGCATTATGATTTACTCCTTGATTGATGAGTTATTCAAAAGTTTCTGAATTTTCTAAATTTTTAAAACATAACCTTTTAGCTAAAGATATCTTTATTAATTGAATTGTGGTCAAAAATATAATGTGTTTAAGATGAGTTTCTTAAAAGTGGTTGAGACTTGATTTATAGCCTAATTCATGATAAATTATTGTAGTGTTTCTTGCATAACCAAAACTAATTTGTATACCTTAATTTGGAGTGTAGAAATATATATGTTCAGTAGATTAGCTTTCTGTATTGCTTAAATTAATCATATCCTTAATGCTTTAGTTCCATTTTACCTATCAATTATTGAGATATATATATTTAATGACTCACAATAGTGGAGAATTCAACAGTATCTCCTTGTAAGTATGTCAAATTCCCCTTTATCTTATTGAAGTTAGGTTATCAAGTTTTAAACTTTAGAATTTTTTCCACCTGGGGAGTTAAACCTCTTATCATTATTAAATAATCTCTTTTGTCTATCATAAGGTTTTTTTGCCATAAAATCTATTTTACATTTTATATATATAGACATTCCAACTCTTTTTTCTTAATATTTGCTTAAAATATATTTTTCTATTCTTTTACTTTCAACTATTCTTTCTCAATGTCTTAGGTATGTCTCTTATAGAAAGCACAAACATAGATTTTGTTTCTTTTATCCAATAGATTTTGTTTTTTTTAATCCAATCTCACAGCTTCCCTTTCAACTGGGTTTATTTCATTGATAAATTTACTCCTGTCATCAGTTTTTTAACTTTCTATTTTTTCTGGCTTTCCTGTTTCTTTTTTCTCCTTCTTGCCTCTTTTCAATTGATTAAATTAATTTTTTCTTTTTTTTTTCGAAATGGAGTTTCTCTCTTGTCGTCCAGGCTAGGGTGCAATGGCGTGATCTTGACTCATTGCAACCTCCGCCCCCTGGATTCAAACAATTCTCCTGTTTCAGCCTCCCGAGTAACTGGGACTAGAGGCACGCCCGTCACCATAATACCCGGCTAACTTTTTTTGTATTTTTAATAGAGATGCGGCTTCACAATGTTGGCCAGGCTGGTCTTGAACTCTTGACCTCAGGTGATCCGCCCACCTTGGCCTCTCAAAGTGCTGGGACTACGGGTGTGAGACACCGCGCCGCCCGGCAGATTAAATTTCTTAAGTCCCAACTTTCCCCCTCTAGTTTTGAAGGTATAGGCTTTACTTCTCTTCTGTTAAGCAGTTCCTTTGAAATCAGAACATGGATACTTAAACCTAACAAACTCTACATTTACAATCTTTATAATCTTCCCAAATATGCAAAGAGCTAAGAATGTTTTAATGCCTATCAGCACTTCCACTTTACCAGCTATTATTTCTGAACCCCACAAGTTACGCTTCATTATTTATTTATATGGTTTTCACCAGCAGTATGTTTACCCAACAGTTTGTCTTTTACTTTACTCAGTGTGTTTTTTGTATCTCAGACTTTCCTTTTCAGATCATTTTCCTTCTGCTTGAAGACATGCTAAGAAGTTCCATTATTAAGAGTTTTTTAATGTTAAACTTTTTAAGTGTTTATCTAAACAGCCTCTATTTCATCCCCATGTTGAAAAATAGTTGTGGCAGAGAAAGTCAGTATTACTGAATATCCATGTGATTATATTTCCCACTCTCCCTTGCAGTTAGTTTGGGACCTTGTGACTTATTCTGGCCAATGAACTATGACTAGAAGTGATAGGTTTCACTACTAGACAAAGACAGCTGGGACCTGTGCTCCTGCGCATCCCCTTTCCCTTCTGCAGTGATCTCACATGTCCCTACAGCCCTGGATGTTGGAGTTACAGAGGGCAGCACTCTCTCAGCCTGAGTCCCTAGTAATGGTGTGAGCAGAGCTCCATACAACCCATGCTGGATGTGTAACTTGAAATGTTTCAGAGTTAATTGTTGATTGATGTGAGAGGCCACAGAGGTTTCAGAGTTAATTTTTTACCAAAGCATAATGTAACATATTGTGACCAATAATTTTAATGGGTAAATAATTCTATTTGAGAGTTACTCTCTCAATACATTAAAAATATTTTCCCACAATCTTCTGTCTTCTTATGTTTTTGTTGCTGAGAAGTCAACTATCTAATTTCCATTCCTTTATTGGTAATTTTATTTTCTCTTCAGTTAATTTTAATGTCATCTTTGTCTTTGGCATTCTGAAGTTTTCTAACAATGTGTTTGGGGTGTGTGTGTGCATGTGTGTGTGTGTGTGTGTGTGTGTGTCTCTGTGTGTGTGTCTCAATTTATCTGTCTTACTAGGAATCTTTTGGGGTTTTGGAATTTGAGGTTATCTTTCATCAATTCTAAGAATGTCTCATTCATTGTCTCTTCAGTTATTGCCTCATCCTCTCCTCTGTTATTGCCTCTTAAAAAACTTTGGTTACAGACATTGAAGCGTTTCACTCTATCCTCCAAGTCCCTCAGCCTCTCTGTCATATTTTCCAGCTTCTGTCTCCTTGTGCTGCATTCTGTGTAAGGTCTTCCAGTCTATAATTGCCACTCTCTAATTCTCTCTTCGGCTGTGGTCTTGTCTACTGTTAATTCTTCCACTGAGTTTTTAATTCCAATCTGTTTATTTTTTATTTATAAGTTCTATTTTGTTCTTTTTCAGATATGATAGACATTTTTATGGTCTTTTTCTTCTTCCTTGCATTTATATTTCTATTATATATTTTACTTTTAAATTTATCCTTGCATTTAAAAGATTTATATATTTTATTACTCATGTTAAGTTCTTCAGAGTAGGAGAAGTCCCCTCTCTATATTTTTACTTGTATTTTTATTATTTCAGATTGTTTATACCTTGGGATATAAGGAACATATCCCTCGGTCCTTCCCTGTCCCTAGATGCCTGATTCCTTTAGGATACCCACTATTTTAAGTAAACCAATATCACCTTATATTTGCTGTTTAATATATCTTTCCCTTGTCAGTGAGCTTGTCTTCAACTGGTCATCCTTCTACAAAAAACTTCATTATTTTAATTCAGAAGGTTTATGATTCTTTCTAATGCTCAGAGACCTGCCCCTCTTTCCATATTTCTAGACTGCTGCTGTATTTTGGAGAATGTCCAAAAGTTTGACCTTTGGATAAAGGGATGAGGCTGTACAAATTTTGCTTCTTAATACCATCTGCCTAGGAATAAAAACCTCTAGATAGGAAGAAATAAAGGAAGGAAGAAAAGAAGACAACTTTTGGAAAAATCTGTAAATCTAAGAGGGCATGGAATACAGGACATATCCTGTATTCCAGTGATGACTTTTCAATGACTAGCGGTGGTTTCCACAGAGAATTCGGTTTCCTTATCCATACTTTGCTATAAATCTTGGCATATCAACTACCTAAAATTATCATGCATTTCTAACCGATTTATAGCTAATAATATATGTCACTCCAATTCTTATAGTAAGTATAGGTATCACCCATTTTGTAAACTTTCTAAACTAAATCATCTCAGTAATGTTCATTTATTACATATGATAAAACAGATCCCACACTGAGGAAGAAGAAAAGAAAGAAGAAGAAGAAGGAGGGGAAGGAGGGGAAGGAGAAGAAGGAGAAGAAGTCAGAAGAAGAAGAAGGAGGAGGAGGAAGAGGAGGAGGAGGAAGAAGAGGAAGAAGAAGAAGAAGAAGAGGAAGAAGAAGCAGCAGCAATAACCCTGGACTTGTTTTAAAGTATACACTTGGCCCTTCCCCACATGTAGTGTGATGACTAACAGCCCAAGTGTGAACCTCAGGTGTCCCAATGTTCTCAAGGATGTCAACCTTAGCAATATTTGCAGGTTTAAAATTTAAAGCATATGGATCTATCCTCAATATCAGCACATAAAACTTACTTTAGTCACTTATCAAACTTTCTACTGTCCAGCACATACCAAATCTTGATTGAGAGAGCTAACATTTATAAAACATTGTTGACTGAAATGCAGTTTATCTGTATTAGTTTCCTAAGGCTGCTGTAATAAAGTACCACAAACTGGGTGGCTTAAAACAACAGAAATTTATTCTCTCCCAGTCTGAAGGCCAGAATTCTGAAATAAAGGGGCTGGCAGGGCAGCACTCCCTCTGAAGCTTCTCGAGGAAGATCTCTCCTTGCCTCTTCCAGCTTCTTGTAGCCCCTGGTCTTCCTTTCCTTGTGGCAGCACAACTTCAATTCCTGCTTCTGTCTTCCCTCTGTGTCTCTCTGTCTTCACATGGCATTCTTTTATTTATCTCTCCTTTTTTACAAGGACACCAGTCTTGCTGGATTAGTGTCCACCCTACTCCAATATGGACTAATTTTAACTAATTACATATGTTATGACTCTATTTCCAAATAAGGTCACGTTCTGAGGTTCTGGGGGTTATATCTTTTTGAGGAAAATGATTCAATCCATTAACACTATCTGTTCTTCCAGAGATATTTTATCTTCCAAATAAGCCTGGATCCTACTGTCTTAGAAATACAGGAATTGACTTTCTCTGGGCTGTGTTTTGATGCCATGTTTTCACCTTTTACCAAGCAGAGCAAGAAGAAATGACTTAATGAATGGAACTATTGAATTCACTAAATAAAATTCACTAAGAATCATGCCTAATTTGATTTTTTTTTAGAAGTAAGTGTTAAATTTTTCCCCCTGAATAACTGTTAGGTTTTCTTTTAGAGTCAATGAGAATCATATATCTAATTACACGTTTCTTCTTGATTTGGTTGTCAGGAAGCTTAAACATCTCACTGTAAGTTAATTTTAATAACTTTGTAGGATGCTACAGCTACATATCTTCATTTTTTTCTTCTCCTCTTGTGTTGGTATTTTCTTTCTGATGTTAGTTTTTTAAATTGCTTTTTATATTATTACAATTCCCTCCCAATGCTTTGTGGAAAAAAGTGGGTAATAAGTAGGAAAAAAAAAAAGTATGAATCTCTTCCTGAGTCTCTTCCTCATTCATAGCAAATTTTCCTCCTGACCCAGCTCATCCATCACTGAGTGACTAACCAAACATTATAAGCCATCAACATTAGTGCTCCAGCTTACATTATAAGTGGATGATTCAAACACTACTCAGGTAAACAGAGGGAAAAGCAGGAAAATCACTCCCTTTATTCTTAAGCAAATCAACTAGATCTCATCGACTTCCTTCAAAGAGTTTAGGTAGTTTTTTTTTTTAATCTAGAAAAAAAAAATCACAGAACCCATGCAACAGTAAAAATAAGAGAAATCTAGAAAAGCAGAGGAATCAAATGAGAAGAAATTAAATAACTGAAAATCACATTAAAAGTACCAAGGAAGAGAATTTAAACGGCAGAAAATTGGACATGAAGAGGAAGCTATTGAAGAAAATAATCACATGGAATTTGGTGGAAAATGACATGGAATGAAGGTGATCAGAAAGAAGATGAAAGTTGTAGACCATGGACAATGGAGAACTAAAACATGAGTGACTTTTATCTTTGAAGATGTGAATGAGCAAATGGAAATGAAAAATTACACAATAGAAGAATGTTATGAACTAAAGTAAGTTTTCAAATTGAATTTTGAAAAGGCTCACCATATTCCAATCAAATTTAATAAAAGCTTTCTTTCTAGAACTTTAAGGACTAAAAGAAATAGAATCCTATAGTCATCTAGGCAGAAGGAAAAAGGTCATCTTCATAAACAAAGGAATCAGGCATATTCTAAGCAATGTTAAATGTTAGAAGAAAATGGAGCAATGGCTAACAAACATAGGAAGAAAAAACATTCCATATCTGTTGCAGGAAGTCAGGGACCCTGAATGAAGGGACCAGCTGAAGCCATGGCAGAAGAACATAAACTGTGAAGATTTCATGGACATTTATTCATTCTCCAAATTAATACTTTTATAATTTCTTATGCCTGTCTTTACTGCAATCGCTGAACATAAATTGTGAAGATTTCTTGGACATTTATCACTTCCCCAGTCAATACTCTTATAATTTCCTAGGCCTGTCTTTATTTTAATCTCTTAATGCTGTCATCTTCGTAAACTGAGGATGTATGTCGCCTCAGGATCCTGTGATGATTGCGTTATCTGCACAAATTGTTTGTAGAGCATGTGTGTTTGAACAATATGAAATCTGGGCATCCAAAAGGACCAGCATGGCTGCGATTTTCAGGGAACAAGGGAGATAACCACTGGGCCTGACTGCCTGCTGGGCCAGACAGAACAGAGTCATATTTCTCTTCTTACAAAAGTGAATAGGAGAAATATGTCTGAATTCTTTCTCTCAGCAAGGAACAGCTCTGAGAAAGAGAATGCATTCCTAGGGGGAGGTCTCTAAAATGGCCACTCTGGGAGTGTCTGTCTTATACAGTTGTAGATAAGGGATGAAATAAGCCCCGGTCTCCTGCAGTGCCCTCAGGCTTATTAGGATTAGGAAATTCCTGCCTAGTAAATTTTAGTCAGACCAGTTGTCTGCTCTCAAAACTTGTCTCCTGATAAGATGTTATCAATGACAATGCGTGCCCAGTGGGACATGAAACTTCATCAGCAATTCTAATTTCTCCCTGGTCCTGTGATCTCACTCTGCCCCCATTTGCCTTGTGATATTTTATTGCCCTTGAAGCATGTGATCTCTGTGACCCATACTCTATTTGTACCCCGCTCCCCTTTTGAAATCCATAATAAAAACTTGCTGGTTTTTTGGCTTGGGGGCATCACGGAACCTGATGACCTGTGATGTAACCCCCGGACACCCAGCTTTAAAATTTCTCTCTTTTGTGCTCTTTCCCTTTATTTCTTAGACCGGCCGACACTTAGGGAAAATAGAAAAGAACCTACATTGAAATATTGGGGGCTGGTTCCCCCGATACTTATCTGGTCTAACCACCTTCATGTGTAATCATGACAGAAATAAATTCTCAAATATGCAAGAATTCAAGAAAAATAGCATTTATGCACCTCTGAAAAATCTGTCAGGAAAAAAAATTAAGACAATAAACAGATAAGTAACCATAAAATAAAATTCATGAATGAGAAAGTCATGATGTACAAAAGGTTAAGCCGTGAGCTTTAAGTCTACTACACATATTTAAGTAATTGGCATTTTAAGTCATAAAATTAAATATAGTTGTTTTAATACTAAAAAAATACATAATATAAATCATAATATTTTGATGACAATAGACTGGAACAAGAATCATATTTGCTTTCCAAACTAAGAGGTGGGAAGAGAAAAGAGAGAAGTTAAGTAGACTGATTTCATCATTTCATCATCATTGCATTTCTAAAGTTAATTGAAAAATAAAAATGTAAGCATATTATTTAAAACAGACTTTACAACTCCCCAATTGCTAGAGTGTGGCAGGTAGCCTTCTTAAACAGCTCCCAATTGTCCCCACTTCCTGGCATTCATGCCTTTGTGTTAGTCTAGACCTAATGACTTGCCCTTACCAAAAAGAATGTGGCAAAAGTGATAGGATTTCCCTTCTGAAGTTGGGCTATAGAAGGCTAGGACTTCTGTCTTGCTTACACTCTTACTCTGACTTTTCCCCACATATCACTTGTTTTGATAAAGCCAGCTGCCATGTTGTGAGCTACCCTATGGAGAAGCCCATGTGACAAAAACTGAGGACTTCAGTTGAGCAGCCCATAAGGAACCAAATCCTGCCTCCAACCATATAGGTAAGAAAGCAGATCCTCCCCAAATCTAGCCTTCAGGAGAGAAGAGCCCTGTCCATTACCTTGATTGCAGCCGTGTGAGAGACCCTGAAGCAGAGGATTCAACTAAGCCACACCAGGACTCCTGACCCACAGAAAGTGTGAGATAATAAGTGTGTGTTGTTAGAAGCTGCTAAGTTTTGGGGTAGTTTGTTACACAGCAATAAATAACTAATGACAAATATTTTCCTTGACCAGACTAGCTCTTCTCCTCTAAGCCCTCTTCTTGGTAAGGTATCAGTCTTGGCCTATAAAGACTTGTACAAAAACTAACATACTTTCTTTTTTTTTTTTTTTTAAGAACTTTCTCTCCTCCACCATTTCAAGGCCACATCACTAGGTTGACATTAGCTCCTTTTAAAGTGCCTCACTAAGAAAGCTCAAGAATGCCAAATAACTTACTATTTGTTTGAGCCAACACCTGGCAGTATGCCCTGACCACCCTTTCTTAGAACATTTACTAAAAAGGGCTTGCAACTGTGACTCCTTCCTCTGTCTCTTTGAGATGTACATGTATCTCCTACAACTCAGGGGTGTCTTTCTCAAGGACCCAAAAGCCATTTATTTGAAATACAATCAAGAAGAATAGGGCCCCTGTCTCCCAGTCTGTAGGAAGATAGAATCCTAGTGTTTGTAACTATCACCTACCAGAAACAGCTGGCGTTACCACTTTGTGATGTGAACCCTTTGTTATGTTTCACTTCTCTGACTCTCCTGAGCCCTCATTCACCCCCGTCCTACTCCTATTTTAGTTGGTCATCTCTATACAAATCAGAGTTCAGTTCATGCTGGATGCTTATCTCTATTCTCTGATTACTCTATTGTAGATTGTCTCTATTACTTACTGATTAAAGTCTGTCCTTGCCACTTTAGAGTCCAGCTTTGTTAATCTTTGATACTAAAATATAGAGGAAGATAAAAATAAAACCAAGACAAAACAAAAGCAAAGAAAGTACAGATTGTAAAGCCAAAGAGAAAAAAAGAACAATGTGAATTCAAAAAATAAACACATGATCGAGATAAGGTTAAACATATCTAATTCAAATAATTTCAAGTGGGATAGAATAAGCTATTAAAAAGCTTGGAACAAAGCTTTTTAATACATGGAACAAAGAAAGTCACTTTGTAATGGCAAATGACACAGCTCACAATAAATAAATTATTAGTATAAATGCTTATGTATCAAATAACAGCATTAAAATACATAAAGCAAAACTTCAAGAAATAAGAAAACAACAAGATAAATGTTAGGAGGCTTTAACAAATTTCTTTTTATTCTTGAATAATCAAGAAAAATTAGATATTATATGGAAGATGTGAATAACAATTATCGAAAAGATTGATGCAATAATATCTGTTATGTAATAGAAGCTCAACAAATTTTTATTTATTATTTAACCTGAGAGCCTGCAAAGAAAAAATACTCATATTTTAGGTACTCACACGATATGGTTTGGATGTGTTTCCCTGCCCAAATCTCATGTTGAATTATAATCCTCAATGTTGGAAGTGGGGCCTGGTGATAGGTGATTGAATCATGGGAGTGGATTTCTCTTTAATAGTTTTACATCATCCCCTTGGTACTGTCCTCACAATAGTGAATGAGTCCTGGTGAGATCTAGCTGTTTAAAAGTGTGGCACCCACTCTCTCTTGCTTCTGCTCTGGCGATGTGAGGTGCCTGCTGCTCCTTCGCCTTCTGCTGTGATTTTACTTCCAGAGGCATCCCCAGAAGCCAAGCAGATGCCAGCATCATGCTTTGCTTCCAAAAAGCCTGCAGAACCATGGGCCAATTAAACCTCTTTCCTTTATAAATTACTCAGTCTCAGGTATTTCTTTACAGCAATGAAAGAATGGATTAATACCTCATGTAACATTTACAAAAAGAAGTCACAAGCACAGGATAAAAATTTAGACAATATATATCATTTAACAGGGATTATTTTAGGAATGGGTTTATTGGGAATTTTCACTTTCTATTTTAAGTTTCTGATTGCTTTAATTTTTTTTATCATACAGTGTATTTTCACAATAAATAAAAATAATCTTTAAATAATGTTATACCCCCTTTTCTCTTTAGAATTTCCCTCAATATTACTAAATCATTCCATTTGCTTTCTTTCTTTTCTTTTTTTATTTTTTTGAGTTGGAGTCTCGCTCTGTCGCCCAGGCTGGAGTGCAATGGCATGATCCCAGCTCACTGTAACCTCTACCTCCTGGGTTCAAGTAATTCTCCTGCCTCAGCCTCCTGAGTAGCTGGGATTACAGGTGCCTGCCACCACGCCCGGCTAATTTTTGTATTTTAGTAGAGACAGGGTTTCACCACATTGGCCAGGCTGTTCTCGAACTCCTGGCCTCAAGTGATCTGCCTGCCTCAGTCTCCTAAAGTGCTGGGATTACAGGCATGAGCCACTGCGCCTGGCCTCTTTCTTTTCTTATAGGAAGAAACTATGCCACTTTTCTTCCAAAGATCAACAATCAATAGTTCCTTCTTCTCTAGGAAAATATTACATCAGTTACACCCTCTGTTCTGAATTTTCACATTTCTGCATCTAGTGGCTTCTTCACTTCACTGTACAAACACAGTTGTCTGCTATCCCCAATCTTAGAGCATCCTTCCACATTAAGGACCAAACCTTCTCCTGCCCTTCTTTGCCAAAATTCCCCATTTGCCAAATTTCTCAAAATTTCTCCATTTCCAGAATTTTAAGTCTACCTCAGTCTGTGTTCTAGAATATACTTTATTGAATCATCATTGTTTCTGGGCCTTTGTGCTTAGAGTAATTACCAGCTTGCCCCAATCCTCAACTGCATCAAAAGGGCTAAGTCCATCAAAAAGGTCAAGAGCAGAGGTAGAGAGGACTACTCACTCTGAACAAGTCAGCCTGCTCCTGACAGGAGTGATGAATAAGCGTTGGCCTAGGAACTGAGTCCTCCTCTCCCCAGGCCTTCAACATTCCATCAACGTGGATCAAGAGTCCACCTGATTCTCAGCTCCATCCAGAGTCAGGGAACTCAAACATTCATCAATACCCCCCACACTCACAACCTCTTCACCATTTTATTTCTTGCCTTCTCTGGGACTGATTTCATTATACCCTTTATCCCTGTTTATGTGAGTCACCACAAGAAGTCCTAGACTACTAGGTCATCCCCCAAGTCCCATTCCTATAAGGCCCTGAACATACTTTAATGTATCTCCATCTTCCGTCCCTCCCAAACCCCTGAAACTCTTCCAATATGCCCTATAGAATTCTTGATTTCTTTTCCACATCCACACCATCACTTTTCGTTGCTACCACTCTAGTTCAAGCCACTAATATTTCTTGCCTGGATTACTACAATAGCATCTTGCCTAGTCTGCTTCCACCATTGCCTGTTAAGATTTATCCTTGATAGAGCAGCCAGAATAATCCTTTAAACCTATGCCTGACCATGTCACTCTTCCGCTCTGAACTCTCCAACAGCTGCCCATTTCATTCAGAGTGAAAGCTGAAATTTCTTGCAATGCCCACAAGCCCTACATTATTTGTTTCCAGCCCCGGGGTTTTCCTGTCCTCCTTCTACTTGACCCCTGCCCATATCCAACCACACTGGCATCCTTGCTATTTCTTTTCTCAGAAATCCACAAGGCCATTCTCTTACCAACTCCAGATCTTTCCTTGATTATCACCTTCTCAATGAAGTTTACCCTGATCATTATATTTAACATTTCAACCCACACCCTCTCCTGCACTCCCAACTGCCTTTATCCTCCTTTTATTTTTCACAGCATTTATAACTTTCTAATAGAGAATTTACTTATTTTGTTTATGTTTATTATTTATCATCTGCCTCTCCCACATTACAATATTAACTCCAAAAGGGCAATAAACTTTTTCTGTTTCATATATTGATGTATCTCAAGTACCCAGAATGAGTAGGGACTCCAGAGATGTTTATTGACTGAAGGAATAAATAGCTCTCCATCTTGTCAATCTTAATGATCCCTTTTCATAACAAATATGAAACAATATGCTTTTTACCATTGTGAAGTAGAAGCCATAAGCTACCTACCTATGTAATTTTCTAAAATTAAAGCAATACCTTAACTATAATATAAAGTACAAAATAAAGTAATTTACCATAAAATATTGCATGATCCACCAGGCGCGGTGGCTCACACCTGTAATCCCAGCACTTTGGGAGGCCAAGGCAGGTGATTTGCCTGAGGTCAGGAGTTCAAGACCAGCCTGGCCAACATGGTGAAACCCCGTCTCTACTCAAAATACAAAAATTAGGTGGGCGTGGTGGCAGGCACCCATAATCCCAGCTACTCGGGAGGCTGAGGCAGGAGAACTGCTGAACTCAGGAGGCAGAGGTTGCAGTGAGCTGAGATAGCGTTATTGCACTCCAGCCTGGATGACAAGAGTGAGACTTCGTCTCAAAAAAAAAAAAAATAATAATAATAATAATAAAACTGCATGATCCAACATGCAACTGCTCAAGCATCCCTAAGCTAAAAGACACAATAAAGTAGTCAGATACTTGTTCCATATGCAGAATCACCATGAAAGAGACAGCCACAAAATGAACTGTATTGGTGATTCAAATTCCATAAATGATATTGCCATCCAATTTACAACATTCCAGGAAAATTTGATATAACTTAAAACTGTGTGGAAAACAATTTATGTTTATATATAAAATAGATTCTAGGCTCAGATAATTATAAACAGATTTTTCACCTACATAAATGAGCTGAGCAGTGGGACAACTAAGTCACACAGGATGCAGGACAATTCTTCGCTCTGCGCGACTGTCCTGGTCAATGGAAGATGTCTAGAATCTTTGACCCCACCAACTATATTCCAGTAGTGCCCCACTCCCTCATATGGTTTGGCTCTGTGTCTCCAACCAAATCTCATCTCAAATTGTAATCTCCATGTGTCAAGGGAGGCAGGTGATTGGATCATGCAGGCAGTTTCCCCCAGGCTCTTCTCATGATAGTGAGTGAGTTCTCATGAGATCTTATGGTTTTATAACTTTGGAAGTTCCTCCTTCACAGCACTTCTCTCTTTCCTGCCATGTTGTGAAGAGAGTGCCTGCTTCCCCTACCTCCATGATTGTAAGTTTCCTGAGGCCTCCCCAGCCATGTGGAACTGTGAGTCGATTAAACCTTTTTATAAATTACTCAGTCTTGGGTATTTCTTTATAGCAGTGTGAAAACGCACTAATACACTCCCCAATCACTGGGACAAGCAAAATCACTCTGGTAAATTTCAAAAAAAAAACCCTGGAAGCAGTTCAATCCCAATAGTTTCTTGATCTATAAATCCAGAGGCCTCTTTTCTGTTGTCATTGGCTACCTCTCTAGAGCATATGACCTGTTAAGAAGCTGCTCCTCATCTCTCCATCCTCCCTTGCACCCCATGTTACTACACCCCTGCAGCTTTCCTTTCCTCCTTAACCAATTCCTGCCTGGTATTATTATCTGACTTCCCACCTCCCCATGCCCATGCCTGCTGTCCTCCCTTTTTCCTCTTCACATGCTCTTCAACTTCCTCTCCTAAGTAATTGACTCTCAAAGTCCCATTTCTACATGAAAAATCCAAATCCACATTTCCAACTTCCACTTGGTCATTCACACAGATAAACCCTTAAGTTATGCATGTCCAAAATCAAACTGCAGGCCCCTCGGGAACATTGTGGGCTCAGTTCTAGACCACTGCAATAAAGCAAGTCACACACATTTTTTTGTTTCCCAGTGCATATAAATGTTTACACTATATTGTAGTATATTCAGTATGCAATGGCATTATATCTTTTAAAAAGTGCATATCTTAATTTAAAAATACTTTATTGCTTAAAAAATGCTAACGATCTTAAAGCCTTTAGCAAGTTGTAATCTGTTTGCTGGTGGAGGGTCTTGCTTCAATGTTGATGGCTGGTAACTCATTAGGGTAGTCGGTTGCTGATGGTTGGCGTGGCTGTGGCAATTTCTTAAGATAACAGTAAAGTTTGCCACATCAATTGACTCTTCCCTTAATGAAAGATTTCCCTGTAGCATGTGATGCTACTGAACAGCATTTTAACCACAGTAAAACTTCTTTCAGAATTGCAGTCAATCCTCTAAAACCCTGATGCTGCTTTATCAGCTATGTTTATGAAATATTCTAAATTCTCTGTTGTCACTTGAACAATGTTCATAGCATATTCACCAGGAATAGTTTCCATCTCAAGAAACCACTTTATTTGCTCAATCATAAGAAGCACCTCCTCATCCATTCAAGTTTGATCATGAGATTGCAGCAATTCAGTCATATCTTCATGCACCACTTCCAATTCTATTTCTCTTGCTATTTCTATCACATCTGCAGGGACTTCATCCACTGAAGTCTTGAACCCCTCAAAGTTATCCATGAGGCTTGGAATCAGCTTCTTCCAAACTCATGTTAATGTTATATTTTGACCTCCTCTCATGAATTATGAACGTTCTTAATGGCATATAAGATGATGAATCCTTTCCAGAAGGCTTTCAATTATGATGCCCAGCTCCATCAGAGGAATCATTATCTATGGATGCTATAGACTTATAAAAAGGATTTCTTAAATAATAAGAATTGAGAGTCAGATTTGCTGCTTGATCCATGGGCTACAGAATGGATGTTTTACTAGCTGGCATGAAAACAACATTCATCTTCTTGTACATCTCCATCAGAGTTCTTGGCTGAACAGGTGTATTGTCAATGAGCACTAATATTTTGAAAGGAATCTTTTTTTGTGAGTAGTAGTTCTCAACAGTAGGCTTAAAATTTTCAGAAAATCATGTTGTAAACAGATATGCTGTCACCCAGGCCTTTTTGTCTCATCTATAAAGCACAAGTAAAGTCAATTTAGCATAATTCTTGAGGGCCCTAGAATTTTCATAATGGTAAATGAAAATTGGCTTCAACTTAAGATCACTGGGTGCATTAGCCCCTAATAAGCCTGTCCTTTGAAGCTTTGAAGTTAGGCTTTGACTTTTCTCTGGCTAGAAAAATCTTACATGGCATCTTCTTCCAATAGAAGGCTATTAAGTCTACATTGATAAACTGCTGATTATTGTAGCCACCTCCATCTACCTTTGCTAGATCTTCCGGATAACGTGTTACAGCTTCTCCATCAGCACTTGCTTCTTCACCTTGTACTTCATTGTTATGCTTCTTTTCTTAAACCTCGTTTAAGAAATCAAACTCTGCTAGCTTCAAACTTTTCTACAGTTTCCTTACCTCTCCACCCTTGAGTTAGGGCCTTGCTCTGGATTAGGCTTTGGCTTAAAGGAATGTTGGGGCTGGTTTGATCCTCTATGCAGACCGCTAAAACTTTCTCCATATCAGGAATAAGACTGTTTCACTTTCTTATCATTCAGGTATGCGTTAGAACAGCATTTTTAATTTCCTTCAAGAACTTTTTGTTTGCATTCACAATTTGGCTAACTGTTTGGCACCGGACGTCTAACTTTTGCTTATCTGGATTTCTGACATGCCTTCCTCACTAAGTTTATCATTTCTAGCTTTTGATTTGAAGTGAGAGAAGTATGACTCTTCCTTTCACTTGAACACTTAGAGGCCATGGTAAGGATATTAATTGGCCGAATTTCAATATTGTTGTGTCTCAGGGAATAGGGAGGAGCAGGAGAGGGAGAGAGGAGGGGAACAGCTGGTAAGTGGAGCAGTCAGAACACACACAACATTTATAGATTAATGGGCATGGTCTGTGGCACCCTAAAACAATTACAATCGTAACATCAAAGATCAGTGATCACAGATCACCACAACAGATACAATAAAAATGAAAAACTTTCAAATATTATGAGAATGCCCAAAATGTGACACAGAGACATGAAGTGAGCACATACTGCTGGAAAAATTGCACTAATAGACTTGTTCAACACAGGGTTACCAAAAACTGTCAATTTGTAAAATAAACAACAACAACAACAACAAAAACACATTGTCTGTGAACTGCAATAAAGCAAAGCACAATAAAATGAGGAAAGCCAGTGGTCATCTTCCTCCAAAACCTGTTTTTCCATCAGTTGTATCTATTTATGAAAATGACAACATCATCTACTTAATCTAGAAATAACAACCAATTTGATTCTTTTTCTTCCTTCCCCACATCCAATTGATTGTACTCTGTTTTCCCTATCTCATATGGCAACATAGTTGCCTTTCTGTCAATGTAGTTCAAGCTATCATTGCCAGTAGCTTAGAGTATTGTCACAGCCTCCTAACTGGTACTTCCACTCCAATTTATTTTTTGATACTAACACAAAGAGAATTTCTGCAGATAATAATAGTAAATAACATTAATTGCCTAGCATATGCCCAGCACTATACTATGTGCTTCCTGTCTCTTTTTAATAGGCACAGCCACATGATAAAGTCAGAACTTTTTTTTTTTTAATTTTACAGATGAGGCAAAAGAGGTTTGGGGAGGTTAAAGAACTTACCTAAGGTAACAGAGATAGCTCAGAAGTGACAACACCAGGAATCCAAGGTTTATCTGGCTTCTAAAAACCCTGTTTGTTTTTGCTTTCTTTGCTACTAGCCTGTTTGCAATCTTCAATGTCTATCCCTATCCCATCTGCCTTTTCCTTCTCCTTCCATTCTTCCAACCCATGAGTCCTTCTTTTGGTTTTACTTATTCCCTTAAATATTTACTTGTTTGTCATTTCAAGGAAGTCCGTCACAGCAGGCTCCTCTTCTTCTGCCGTGTCCACATCTGTCCTGATCCCTCTTTCTCTCCACTCTCTCTTCCCAGCTGCTAAGAGAGGCTGGAGAAAGAAACGAATAGACAGGATGGCTCCAACAACCTCTGCAGATGCAGATACACAAAAATCCCTGCATTGAGCCGAGATCGCGCTACTGCACTCCAGCCTGGGCGACAGAGCAAGACCCCGTCTCAAAAAACAAACAAACAAACAAACAAACAAAAAACTCCCTGCATCTTTAGCTTTTCTCTGACTAACTCTCAGAGTTGCTTTACGGTTCTTATATAATGAATCAATCAAGTACAAAGTGCTTTGTAAAGAGAGCTATAAAGCACCCTGCATGTGTAAGGTGCAACTAACTACTCACCCTCCTTTTACATGCTCAGGGCTTCAACTGAGTTATTCTGTGAGCAAGAATATTCTGTGTGCATCCAAGCAGAGAATGGCACATCTGTGTTCAAGGTGAAGGAAGAATAGAACCCTAAATAATATGAAGTTGGCCGAGAAAATCTCTACTTAACATTACTGCCAGAGTCCAGCTTAAAACTTCATTGGGGTTGTCATAAGCGAGTAAGACAGGAAGAAAATGGCATTAACCTAAAAAAACCTCACTTTAAAAATCTCTCTAGGAGGGTTCCCCTCCCCCCATCTTCCTGGAAGTTTTAAGTTTTTGCAAATATCCTCCCTTGTCCTGCCCAGATCTTGTCCCTTCTAGTACTGGCCTTCCCCATTCCTGGGGGCCCCCGCCCCTCCGACCCCCGCCGACCGGCGCTGGACTACAACTCCCGGCGTGCCGCGCGCGTCCGGCCGGCTGCACCGGGGCTTTGCGCGTGGCGGCCGCCGAGCTCCGCGCGGGGCAAACCTCCCGGCGCGGCCATGCGGGGAGGTAAGTGATCTGCCTGTGCGCCCAGGGCGTGGGAAGGCGCCCGCCCTCTCCTCTCTCCAGGATGAAAGGAAACGAAGAATGCCGCAATGAAAACCGCTCTGCCCTCCCAAAAACACATCTTGGCCGTGTGTCCGGTGCTCCTGCAGCTCGTTGCACCCACGGACGTGGGCTCTCACTGTGGAGTGGAGTGGGGGCAGAAGCGTGCCCTGCCCCACGGAGAGCCCCGGCTCGCCTGGGGCTGCTGGCAGTGCTCGGGGAGCGGGACGGGGTGGTGGCACGACTCGGCGGGGACCCCGAGAACGCCACACCTCCACCCTCCACTTTCCAAAGACCGGCTTCCCCGGGGAGCCCCCACACTAAACGCCAGCGAACTGCCTCTCCGTGAAAGTCTTAGCCAGAAACTTTCCCCGCTTTGTCGCCAGTGCCACAGAGAGTCGTGTGGCTCTGGGCCGGCGCTGCTGGTCCAAGAGGCAGCCTGGCGTCTTCTGCCCCTACCGTCCCCTTCTCAGGCCAGTTCTCACTTGCCCCTGAGACGCCATTCCCGGCTCGGTGAGGTCGGCCCTGCCCTCGGGCGACTTCAGGCTGGCTGCACCGGGGGTCGGATCCCGGGAGGCAGGGCCGGCGGCTCCTTTGGGACCGCGCTGGCTCCCTAGGCGAGTCCTTTCTGCCTGGGGGACGAATGCTGATCTAGAAAAGAAGCCAATCAAAGTCAACAGCTTCCCGCCCTTCCTAACCGCCTCCCCTCTCCCTATCTGAGCGCATTCCCAAGTGGGTCGACAGTTCTGCTCCAGAATACTGACACCAAAGTTATTTCAGCATATAATTTGGAGATTTCAGGATCTCTAAAGTTATTTCAGCATATCCCATAATGTGCTGGATCGGAAGGTCTTGTTTGGTTGCCTCTCCCCCTCACCCCCACACACCACATACACACACACCCCCACATACGTACCACACCCACACACAAAGTACACCACATAGTGCACACATCACACTCACATACTTTATGCTACATACTACACACACAACTTTTTATCAGCAGAGGATTGATGGCAAACAGTTTGTTGGAGGGAGTGTGTGAGTACTAGTGTATATATATATATATATATTTATTTATTTATTTATTTATATTCACAAGTGTCAGTTTACTACCAAAGTTAGAAACTAGCTGGTAAGTGAAACCTGTTGTCATAATTTAGAGTGTCTTTGTGGCTCACTTTTTATAAAACGGGATTAACTTCCTACAACACTTTCTGAAACTTTACTCTTGTGTAACAGGCAAACTTTTGATCACAGCAGGCCAGATGGGAGGGGATGTCCCTTTGTATATGCAGGAAGAGATGCTTGGAAAAACTTCACAGAATCCTTTCTCCTGTGGCTGTGTCTAAGGAAGAGCTGGGTGTAACTACAGTTTCTTTGCCTTTTCCCCGTCAAGAGTGGAGAGCTGAACATGCTTTTGTTCTGAGCAGCACTGTCAGGACAACCCCAGCTCCCCAAGACACAGAACTCCCAGTCCAACTCGCTTCCAATTTGGATTTACTGGGAGAATAGTTCAGGAATTTCAGATCAAGTCCAAAAGCGTTAAGGAATCTGTTAGTGAAAGAGCTCTTTATCTACATAAAAGTCCATCATTTTGAGATCAGCACTGGTGAAAGATCCACATGCCTGACCCATGCTCAAAAAATACTGCTCAAAAATATTTAATTGGTTCCTAGATTACTATTGTTTGCCTTTTCAAGGGAGCAATGGCAAATATTTGAAATCTTTCTTGGCACTGATCTTCAAGGAAGTCAAAAATTTCTAATATAATTCCTGGAATAAGTAAAGAACAAATTTTTTGACCTTGAAATTCAGGTTCCAAATTTAGATCAAAGGTAATCTCCTAATGTCCTAAAAGATTATTTTTAAAAAGGGAAGCAGGCAGCTTTTTCCTCAGATTCTACCTGAATTCTACAGGATATTACAGCAAGTGATAACTTTTTCCAGGATCTTTCTGGGGAACCTGTGTTCTGTGCCCTGTCTTGAGTGGTTTTGTTGACCATCTTGACCTAAAAGTGTCCAAATGTTGATTGATGTTTATTTCAATGAAGAGGCAACCATGTATGTTTTCTGTGTATGTGCAGAACATTAATGGGATGAGATTATTCTCCTGGAAAAGTGGTTTAAGCCAAGCAAGGGAACTGTGAGAATGACCAGGGTAACTTAAACAAAAGATCTTGCCCAGCCTCTCTGCTCCACCTCCCAGTTTTCTGATTTGGTATTTAGGATGATGGCGGGAGAGACTATGAATTTTGGGGTGGGCATAATGTCTTTCTATTCATATGTAACTAATATAGTACCGGGTACTCATAGATTGTAAGTGTTGGTTAAATTTCTTGAATTATGCTTTTTGTCCAACTGGGATAAACAGTTAAAATTAAACCTCCCAGAACTAATTGTTTTCGTTTTGTAGAATAAGGTTTTGTTTGTTTCAGTTTGAATTTTTGCTGGCTTCATTTGGCAGGATAAATGCCAAAATAAAAGAATGTGGGCGTTTTCAGGAGATCTGGTCATCTATTTTGCATCCTTTCCGAAATATGTTACTTCCTGCATAATGAAGTAAAAGGATTTGCTGCTGGGCAGTGCTTTCCTTATTCTCACAAAGAGATTACTTAAAAGCCAGCCCTGGGAACTTTGTCCATGAATCTCTATTAGGAAAAAAAGAGTAACATGGGACTGCAGCTTCCGAGTGTTCTCTGGTTATAGCCCATAAGCACTGGCTTCTCACTCTTATTTTTCCCTCTGGGGAGAAAAGGAAATAGTTTGAAACATGACATTCATGCTCAGAACAACAGCTAAGACCTATCATGCAGCAACAATGAAGGGGAGGGAGAAAATAAGAAGCTATTGAGACAGCTTGTTTTTCTTTGTACAAGACAGGTGCAGGGAGAATTCTGCAGGTTTTGGACTCCTTACTCATTTCTTGCACTAATTGTGCTGAAGGTAGTTAGCAAAAGTGAACAGGCACACTGTAGCTTTAAAAAGTCAGCCATGAACCAGAAGGCAGTTGGTGCAGCTTGTGTGTGATTCCTAACGTCATGTTGGCTGAGAGCCAGCCTGGTTTTATTTCACTGTGTCAAATTGTACCTCCTTATTGAATTCCTTTGCCAGCCTACTTTGTGAAAGAAAACATTGGGGTTTCTTTGGCTGTTCTTGATAAGCCTATAAAAAATGATATTTTTTAGTTGCTTATAGGTAGGTTTTCTTTTTACTCTTCCACAGAAAAGAAAATAATAGTAATAATAATAAGACAATGTAGTGTGGTGTTGCAGAGTATCATTGTGAGTGTTTTGTTTTGTTTTCTGAGATGCTTAGAAAATGGTGAATGTGTAACAGTTTCCAACTGAAGTGAAATCATATTCTGTTAGCATGGAGCAGCAGCACTATCTTCCTGTCTACTCTCTAACGGTGTGTGAATGTATGCTAATATCTATATATATATATTAAATGTTGGATTTCTCTATCAATGATCTAAGTGGTTTGCAGCTGGAAGTTTGTGTGTATGTGTGTGTTTCAGGAGTGAAAATTATCCCACACTTACAGTGTTATTTGTTAATCATCTACTTCTCTAACAGTGATAAAATCTTGCGAATATACTAAATGATGCACTTGCCATGTCAGAGTAATCCCTAGAGAAGGAGTGCCGAAGTATAAAGTGATTTGAGTGGAAATGTATTTAATTTATGGCTTCAGCTGAATAAGAGCAAACACGTTTCGGGACTGTTTCTTCCTTTTTTTTTTTTTTTTTTCTTAAAGCAGTTTTGTTCGTAGCTTTTTCATTTTGCTAATTGCATATTAATTGTGGAAGGCTTTTAATTTTCCACAGCCCTCATCCTACTAAACAAAAAGACAGAGTGATGGATGCTACAATATCTCCTTAAATGTTTTGATGATTTTTCATAAATCTAATGAGTTACCTACTCTTTCTTACACATACACACACACACACACACACACACACACACACACACCAGCACCACCTTTCTGTGCTAAGGGCTATCTGGCATTTTTTGTGAGCTTCCTGCTTTACCACAGCATGGCCATCTCACAGACGGGTTTTTGAGGCTTTCGTTGAGAATGTGAGGTAGGGGAATACTTGCTGACAAAAGCTTTAAGTGTCCTTCTGCATTGCAATGAAAAAATCTAGGAGCAAGGGGGAGTGGACAAAAAAAAAACCAAACACAATAAGAAAAAACAAATCAAAGCCCATAATGGGAGGGGGGCAGGAAAAGGGGGATTGTTTTTCTCTACTTTGACTCATTTATGAGTTGCAGTGTCTTAAGTGAGAGCTAGGCACCCAGAAGAAGCTGTGCCAGTTCACACAGCACTTGTTTTCAACGAGGATTCAATTTCATTTGCAAATGCTTATTGTCAAGGCAGGGAGTGCCAGTACAGATGAAAGCACCCCAATCCGTCTCCTCCAGTTCTTTAGGTTTAATCACATCTCTCCAATCGCCGAGGGAACTGGAGATTTAAACAAACATACGTGAACTGGTGTGAAGCTGTAAAAGGGACCATTATGTTTCCGATTCAGAATATATATTCTTCTCTCACTTTCTAAGAATTAAACACAAGCTTTTCTCCCTTATTGATTAGTTGCTGAAGTAAAGGAACCCTGCAGCCTTCCCATGCTATCTGTTGACATGGAAAACAAGGAAAATGGCTCTGTCGGTGTAAAAAAGTAAGTGAAGCTGGCTTCTGAGTTCTGCTTCTGCAAACAACAGAGGGACTTAGTTTCTATTTTCGTACTTCTTGCTTATCTACTACAATACACAGTTTGGGGGTCGCCTTGGTTTGTCTACACTGGCCAGCAGCCTCCCTTCTCCCCCCTACCCCAGTTACCTTTTTCTGTATTGCATTTCTAAGACAGAGATGACTCAGACATCAAAATATATATGAAAGGTTTGTGTATCAGGCTTTGGAACAAGGATGGTTGAGGATTTCAGCCCTGCATTCTGTATATTGAAACAAAAACTCCAAGCAGAGACTCTTCCATAGACAACACAGAATGGGGGCAGAAAATAGAGTTCAAATTTTTTTTTTGAAATACAATCACCTCTAACTCTGAAAACTAAGAGCTATAGTGCAGGAAGGGAAAAAGCTTCAGTAAGAATATAGTTTAACAACTCCTCCGTCCTAATTTTATGAACTGTTTAATGAATGTGAAACATTTCTGTGCATACATGGTGTTTATTTTAAAGTCTGTTCTCACATTTGAAACTTGTGTTTATATGTGTCATGTAAGAGTTATATATTTGATTATTTTAAATGGGAAAATTCAATTGCACATGTAACATAATATTTTGATATTTATGAGTATATGAAAAATGTATATTCTCACTTAGGAGTTATAGCAAAGCAATAAGTACTTTGATTACAAGGAGAAAGTGAGTTCCAAGAGGGAGTTATCTGTTTCATTTCTTTCCATATCATTTAGTTTAAAATTGCCGTCAACTTGAGCTTTGGAGGAAACTAATTAAATATAATCCATAGAAGCTGTGATATCTAAATGAGGAAACAGTGTGCTATATGTTTATGAATAGAAGGTATATTTTGCTTCACAGCAAAGTTACATTAAAACTAACTTAATAAAATCTGTTTTTTAAAGTTCTCGGGTAATTTATATATCAGTGCCATACTGCCATGCTGATTACCATCCCTAAAGTTTGGGGTAGGTAGGTGGAGGAGAAATGAAAGAAACAGATGCTGTTTTATGTGTGAGTTAGATCAGTGTTATCCAACAGTACTTTCAACAATGATGGAAATGTTCTGTATTTGTGCTGTCTAAAATGGTAGCCACTAGCCACATGTGGCTACGAAGAATATGAAATGTGACTAGTTTAAGTAAGAAACTGAACTTTTAATTTTACTTAATTGTAATTAGTTTTAAAATTAGCAGCTTTACTGAAGTATAATCCTTGCATAATAAATTGCATGTGTGTAAAGTAAGTTTTGATATTTTTATCCCCTCTTGAAACTACTGCCACAATTAAGATGACAAATATTTCCATCACTTCCAAAATTTCCTTACGACCTTTTGTAATCTCTCCCTCCTGTCCTTTTCTGCCCCCATATCCCCTGGCAACCACTGTTATGCTGTCATTATAAATTAGTTTGCTTCTTCTAGAATTTTATATAAATGAATGTGTATACATCCCCCGCCCCCACACACACACATATAGTTTCTGTCACTCAGCATAATTAATTTGGGATTTATCCATGTTATTGTGTATATCAATATATCATTACTTTTTAATTACTGAGTAATATTTCACTGTTTGGATCTACAACAATTTGTTTACTACCATCCAAATGATGATAGACATTTGAATTGTTTCTGTTTCTTAGGTATTATAAATAAAGCTGCTTTGATCATTTGCGTGCAGGTCTCTGTGTGGACATATGCTTTCATTTCTCTTTCATAATTACTTAGGAATGGAATTGGTTGGGCTCTATGGTGGGTGTCTGTTTAACTTTTTAAGAAACTGCCAAACTGTTTTCTAAACTGGTTGTCCCATTTTCATTTTCACTAGCAGTGTGTGGCATGTTCCAGTTGTTCCACATGCTCATGAGCTTAGTGTGATCAATCACTTTCATATTAGACATTATATCAGGTGTTTTATGTTTTCAGTTTTATTTCCCTAATGACTAATGATGTTGAGCATCTTTTCCTGTGCTTATTTGCCATTCATGTATCTTCCTAGATGAAGTATTGTTCAAATCTTTTGCCCATATTTGTATCGGGTTTTTTCATATTTATTGTATAGAGAGTTTTTATATATTATGAATATGTCCTTTATCATATATATTATTTGAAAATATTTTCTTTAAGTGTGTGACCTATCATTTCATTCTCTCCATAGCATCTTTCAAAGTATCAAAGTTTTTAAATTTTAATGAAGTCTAGTTTATCAATTTTTTTCTTTTATGGATAGTGCTTTTGGTGTCATATTTAAGAAATCTTGGCCTAATGCAAGGTTACAATTATTGTCTCCTCTGTTTTCTTTTAGAAGTTTCACAATTTTAGGTTTCAGGGTTTAGGACTATGGTTTTTGAGTTAATTTTTGTTTGTAGTGTGAGATAAGGGTTTGAAGGGTTGAAGTGCTTTGTGTGGTGGTGGTAGTGGTGCTATGGATATCCAATCTTTCCACCTCTGTTCAAACACTTCTGCAACTTTGCTGAAAAATAATTGATCACATATGTGCAGGCTTATTTCTGGGCTCTCTATTGTATTCCATTGATCTTTTTGCATATATTTATGCCAATATAACACTGTTTTGATAAATATAACTTGAAATCAGGTAGTGTTAGCAATCCAACTTTGTTTTTTTCAAGGTTGTTTTGCCTCTGTACATTTCCATATGAATTTTAGAATTAGCTTGTCAGTTTCCACCAAATTTTTTTTTGAAAATCTGTTGACATTTTGACTGGCATTGCATTGAATTATATATCAATTTGAAGAGAGTTGGTATTTTAACAATATTGTGTCTTCCAACAAATGAACACAGTATTTTTCTCCATTTGCTTATGTCTTCTTTAATTTCTCTCAGCAATGTTGTGTAGTTTTCACTGTGAAGATCTTGCACCTTTTTGCCAGTTGCATCCCTAATATTTCATGTTTTGGATGCTATTTTAAGTGGTATTGCTTTTTTAATTTGAATTTTCAATTATCTTAACATATACAAATACAATTGATTTTTTATATTGATGTTATATGCCACAACCTTGCTAAACTCACTTATTACTTCTAGTAGCTTTTTAGTAGATTACACCACATTTTGTAACATAGACAATTATGTCTTGTGAATAAAGACAGTTTTAATTCTTCCTTCCCAGTCTGAATGCCTTGTATTTCTTTCTCCTTTATTACACTGAGTAGAACCTTCAGTGAAAAGTTGAAAAAAGTGGTGAGCTGGGTATGGTGGCTAACACCTGTAATCCCAGTACTTTGGGAGGCCAAAGTGGGCAGATCACTTGAGATCAAGAGTTCGAGACTAGTCTGGCCAACATGTGAAACCCCATCTCTACTAAAAATACCAAAAAAAAAAAAAAAAAAAGAGAGAGAGAGAGAGAAATTAGCCAGGTGTGGTGTTACATGCCTGTAATCCCAGCTACTCAGGAGGCTGAGGCAGGAGAATCCCTTGAACTGGGGAAGCAGAGGTTGAAATGAGCCAAGATTGTGCCACTGCACTCCAGCCTGGGTGACAGTGAGACTCCGTCTCAAAATAATAATAATAATAATAATAATAAAATAAAATAAGAAAAAGTAAAGAAAAAGTGAAAACAGGCATCTTTTTGTTCCTCATCTTTTTCATATCTATGTTCTTCTGTATATATGTGTCTTTTTTTCTGTATACTTTTAGATATTCTCTTTATCATTGGTGTCTTAAGCAATTTGGTTATGAGACTTGGTGTGGTTTCCTTCATGTTTCTTGTGCTTTGTGTTTGTTTGGTTTCTAAGATCTGTGCCTGGGCCTAGTTTTCATCAAGTTTGGAAAATTGTCAACCATTCGTTTTCAAATACTTTTGGTCTCTCTCCCTTTGTCTTTGGGGACTCCAATTTTATGTGGATTTGACCACTTGATATTGTCCCATAATTCATTGATGATTGGTTCATTTTAAAAGTCATTTTCTCTGTGTTTCGTTTTTGATAGCTTCTATTGCTTTGCATTCGTGTTCACTAATCTTTTCTTTTAAAATGTTGAATCTGCTGTCAATTCCACCAATGCATTTTTCATTTCAGACAATGTAGCTTTCATCTCTAGCAGTTCAATGTGGATCTTTTTAAGAGTATCTTCCATGGCACAACTTAACATATCCAATCCTTCCTCTAGCTTCTTGAACATATAGAATATGGCCTTAATAACTCTCTCAATCTCCTTGTCCCATATTATTTGTATTGTTTCTCAGTCAGTTTCAATTAACTGAATTTTCTTGCGTGGTCATATTTTTCTGCATCTTTGGATGCCTGGTAATTTTTGGTTGAATGACAGACATTGTGAATTTTACCTTGTTGGGTGCTGGCTGTTTTTGTATTTCTGTAAATATGCTTGATCTTTGCCCTGGGATGCTATTAAGTCACTAGAAATAGTTTGATCCTTTTAAGTCTTGCCTTTAAGTTTTATTAGGAACAGAGCCGCATTTAGACTGAGGGTATTTTTTCCCCTTTTACTGTGATAAGACCCTTTTTTATATTTTAAGACCCTTTTTTATGCTCCTGAATTGAGATTTTCATCTCTGGCAGGTGAAAAAGGCACTATATCCATCCCTGCATCGTCTCCAAGACTCATTCCCTCTAAACCTTCAAGGTTTGTTCCCCTGCCTCAGGTAGTTTCCTCATATGCAGGTGCTGATCAGGACTCTGCCAAACACTTGAAGGGAACCCTCTGCAGACCTCCAGAGTTCTCTTTTTTTGTAGCTCTCTCCTCTTCAGGACTGACCTTTGCACAGCCTAAAAGCCTTCTTCAGGCAGTGAGTGGAATGGCTTACCCATCTCTCAAGGATTACTGTCCCAATGACCAATGTCTTGTGTACCATTGCCTCATATATTTCATCTTTTTTATTAAATTATTGTTTTAGTTAGAAGAGTAAATATTGCCCCCATTACTCCATCTTGACTGGAAGTAGAAGTTCCATTTAATTTATATAGCCACAGGTTCCTAGTGGCTAGCACTGGACAGGGCAGAGTTAGATTATAATGCAGACTCCAGAAAGGGATAACATGTAGTCTTAAGGCTATGTTGTGGAGGGGGCTGCCCCTATACATTGTAGGATGTTTCTCAGCATCCCCACCTTCTACCAATGATATGCCAGCATTACCCCTCTCCAGCCTTGACAATCAAAAATGTCTCCAGACATTGCCAAATGTTCCCTGAGGGGAAAAATTTTCCTCAATTGAGAACCACAGGCTAACTCTTACCTGAGTAATGTGTGACAGGGTTGCTTCTGGGCATCAGAAAGAAGTTTACATATTTGTACTGGTTATTTCTTCTTAAAACTCTTTAAAGATCATGGAATTTTAAATATTCCAATTTGAAGCTTCTGCTTTCTTTCTTTATATATCATAGAAGAGAAGGGCAGAGAAGAAGAGAGGTAAAATATTAACATTTTGGAGAATCTGGGCAAAAAGCATACGGGATTTTTGTACTATTCTTGCAACTTTTCTGTAAATCTGAAAATTTTTTAATTAAAAAAAAGCCAGTTTATTAATTGAGAAAGAAAATTTTTCTTCCTTTAGGAAAGAAGCAACTCCTAACCCAAATTTGGAGACCAGGGGGAATTAAGCATGACATTGCAATGGCAAGTCTCAAGTTAAGAACACTTGGGTTTGACCTTGCTTTTGTTTCTTAAATAGTAGAATAATATTGAATAAATAAATCTCTTAATTTCTCTCTGCGTCAGTTCTCTTAAATATAAAATATAGAGTTGTTGTGAGGAATCAAAAGGAAACAGTTATAAATTACAGAGTGAAACAGCAGTGATAAACTATATATATTGCAAACTTTTTTTCAAGTAAGTAAACAGAAGCTCAGAGAAGTGAATACTTAAAAATGACATGAGAAAGTGGCAAACCTGAAGTTTGAACCTGGCTCTTCTGACTCCAAGATAACTCTTTTTTCTTCATACAATTTTTGTTTTATAACTATCCTCACTCAGTCCCATAAACTGGAATGAGTTTGGTTTTAAGGAGTCTTGAGGCAGGCTTATTTCAAGGCTGGATCCTGGTTCTTGTGTCGTTGCTGCAAGAGGAGGAAAAGGATAATTGAGACACATATGTCAGGTCTTCTCATTTCAAATTTGTTGACCTAAATGACTGTGATAAATGCTACCTTGAGAATTTTAAACAAATGTCATGCTGGACTCCTCTCCTCAAATTCATTTATTCCTTCTAAAGTCTCCCAGCCTTGACCCACAAAATTCTTAGATCTCTGATGTGGACCCTTGTTCAGATCTCTGTTATTCTGTATATTATGGGTCAATATGATTTTGGCATGACAATCACCAAGGCCTAGATTCTACTTGAACACATTCTGAAATGGAAGAGTAAGTGAACCTTATATTTAATTTTATATTCAGAGTCTTCAATAGTAATAACCAATAAATAAGAAAAGCACAAACAGAAAAATACCAGAGAAAAATGTCCAAAACATGAGCAAACATTTCACAGAAGAGGAAATATATATGGCCAATTAACATATGAAGAGGTGTGTAGTACCATTAGTGACCAAGAAAATGCAAGTAAAGATTATAATGACGTACCCATTCACTTGGCAAAAAATTTAAAATGCGGCAATTCTAATCATTAGTGAGATATGGATAGGATATAATGCTAGTAGGAATATTAACTGATAGGGCAGCTTTGCAGAAGGGTTTGGTATTTTTTCTAGTGTTAAACAATCAAATATTTTATAAATTAACAATTCAATTTCTGGATATATGTATCAGTCAGTGCTGTCCAACAGAAATAAAATCTGAGCCGCATATGTAATTTTCAGTTTTCTAGTGGTCATATTTAAATAGGTAAAATAAATTTTAATAATATATTTTATTTAACTCATTATATCACTTAAACATGTAATCAACATGACATCATCAATGAAATATTTTACATTTTTGTGCTAAATTTCCTAAATCTGTTGTGTACTTTACACTTATAGTAGGGGGGTTCAAACTTTCAGCTTCTCTGGGCCACATTGGAAGAAGAATTGTCTTTGGCCACAGATGAAATACACTACTACTAACAATAGCTGATGAGAAAAAAAAAAATCTCATAATGTTTTAAGAAACTTCAGGAATTTGTGTTGGGCCACAGTCAAAGCCATCCTGGGCTGCATGGAACCCGTGAGCCACAGGTTGGACAAGCTTGACTTACAGGATCTCTCATTTTGGACATAAAATTTTCATTGGGCATATTTAATCTGCATTTGTATTTCCTAAAATCTACAGTTCAAAAGGTAGGATCACATACCCAAATAATTCCAAACATATTTAAAAGTTTTCCGATAACTGAATTATGTAAGAAATTATTTTCTTGTAATATTTACATCCACATTGACAACTGATTTGTCTTGATTCAACTTGGAAGCAAAAGCATATTGATTTCAAAACTATGTCTGTTCAAGTTAAATCAATTTGCTAACACATGTCAATATTACCAACATTGAATTCAAAGGGGTTTTGCATAAATTGATAAGCAACAATAAGCTTATCAATTTCAATAAATCTGCAAATTTTCTTGAAGTTTATTCATGTTAGAAAATGTATGAAATTATTATTGTATATTGTATTGCACTCTGAAAAGTTGCAATTTTAGCCTAAAATTTTGTTCCTCTTTAGCTAGGTCACAAGTCAGCTTTTCATTTCCTTGGAACTTCAAATTTAGCTGTTTCATATGCAGTGTGATATCAAAGTTATTCAGTCGTTTTTGTCTTTAATTTTTGAATATTTGGCCAGGCACAGTGGCCCATGCCTGTAATCCCAGCACTTTGGGAGGCCGAGGCAGGCAGATCACTTGAGGTCAGGAGTTCGAGAAAAGCCTGGCCAACATGGTGAAATCCCATCTCTACTAAAAATACAAAAATTATCCAGGCATGGTAGTGGGCACCTGCAATCCCAGCTACTTGGGAGGCTGAGGCAGGAGAATCGCTTGAACCCAGGAGGCAGAGGTTACATTGAGCTGAGATCGTGCCACTGCACTCCAGCCTGGGCAACAGAGTGAGACTGTCTAAAAAAAAAAAAAAAAAAGAAAAGAAAAGAAAAGAAAAAGAAAAAAAAATTAATATTTGACAAGCATTCCTTCTGTTTCAGTAAAATCTTGAACAGTACAGCAAATCTTTGTAAATCTTTTCCATTACTTAATCAACGTGCATTGGCAAAGAACACAGATTATTACATTCACTGTCTTCTATTTCTTTTAACAGTTCCATTAACTGGGATTGATCCATAGCATTTGCAAATATATGCTGAACAATTCAACAGTAGTATCTGTAACACTTTTCAAGAGTCTGCTTCAGAAAACGGAACATAGATACCATACAGTGGAATGAAGCAGTAAGAAAACACTGGTCTTTTTGTTTTAAAATTACAACAAATTCCAATTCTTAAAATTCAGATCTTTTTAAAAACTAGCATTGCTGAAGCACCATCCATCTGGATAGAATTTAATTTTTGTATATCTAGCTAAAATTCTTTGACAGAGATAAAAGATTTGAAAATATCTAAACCATGAATTTAGTTTTTCAAATTGTAAATAGACATTTCTTTATGAATTAGGAAGTCTTTTGAGATACAACATACCTCAGGCATTGATTAGGCAGTATCTTTATGTTGTACTTTCATCTATAAATAAAGTTTTAATGGCTTTTACATTTTGAATCAGTTGGTCTTAGGTTTTGTTAGAAAGACCTTGTATTCTTCAGGCAATTGTTTGGTGGCTTGATAGGAAAATCTTTTACTTTTTGTGACATACCTCTCTAGTCTTTTCTGATAATATTCTAGCAAAACTTCTATAACTGAAACAACCATATGTCCATTGAAAAATTGTTTTTTTTGTCTATGTAAAGATCCAAGCCATTTATAGCTAAGCAAAATTATAAGCTCAGATTCTGTTTTAAATCATATTATCTTTACCTTTTTTTACACAACAAACAGCATTTTTTTCTCTTGCTATGTTCCAACAAATTGCAATTGCTATTCATCATGAAATTTCCAACATACCTTCTTTCGGTCCCTTTTTTCTTTATTGTGTGTTACTAGTTTCTGCATCTCCTCTCAATTCTGCTCTTTTTAGATTTTAAAATTTTTCTATGCTTATTTTTAACTAAAAATATTTAATTATATAATAATTAAGATAATAACAAAAATGTCAATTTAATTTCCAATTACAATATACAAAGGGATCCTCATAACTCCTGCTGTCCATAAGCGTTCAACAAACATATTACAGTGTTACCTGGGTGAATAGGAAAAAATTAATTTGAACTGAATCAATCTCTGACACAAATCAAACGGGGGATGTACTACCAGAGAGGACACATGAACCTGCCATGAGAACTTCAACAATAGTACCCTATAGGATGGAACAGTTCAAGTAAAATGTAGGCAAAACAAAACAATGGAATTGTGTTTAACATAAACATATTTTATACCACTTCAAGTTTTTACATTGAAACTAAATTAAATTTAAAACTTAGTTCCTCAATCAAACTTCAAATGCTCAGTGGACACATGGTACTAGCTGCTACCATATTGAAAAGCACAGTTATGTACCCAAAATAAATTCTTGCATCAGGGGAAATGTTATATGAACATAAGATTGAGGTTGATGATTAACTCAGGTGGGGAGAGCATGAATGGGGAGCTCTGAATCATATAGATAGACATGATTATTATTAAGATTCCAGATTTTATTTTACCTAGTAGGTTCATGAGTATTTATTTCATTATTAAAAATAGCTACCTAAATAACTAAGATGGAGCCATCTGAATAGTTGATATATCCTTTTTGACAGTTTTTGTGCACATACTCTATGTATCCACATGTATACATAACACAAGAATATATACATATATTCACATGCATTAAAGAATGTACATATATATGGGAGCATACACAAAAATGTATACATATATTCAAAGCACACATACAAATAAGCTTTTATTGAACAAATGGGATCATAGTATTCTCTTTTTTGTGGATTTCAGATGCACAGATTTGGGATGAATTATAAACTTTGGTACGTGACACACTCTTATCATTGATCTGTGTTTGGCCATGTTAGATTCATGTTAGAATTTTGACTAAATTTTTTTAAATCCATGTATTTAAGATGTATGTGCATATATATTCAAATCATGAGAATTCAATTTTTTTTCCCCATTTGCTTAGTCTTTCTCACTCCCTTTTTCAGATGAAAAATGTCTTTTTCCCCCTATTTCATTTTATCCTGGGATGGGAGAAGGAACTGATGTTCCCACATGACAGATGCATGTAGTAAGTTCCTTTTCAACAGGAAGCAGTTTATTTCCCTACCACCACCATGCCCCCGAGCCCCTCAGTGGAGAACTACTGCAGTAGAAAGTTCCCAGTGATGAAGTTTAGCAAGGACTTTCAAAGCAAGCCATTTCTTATTAATGCCACTTCTTTTCTTGCACATGTGTCTTCACCATATTCCTCTGCCTTTGTGTTCAGTGTGTTGTTTCATTTTGAAGCAAAGGCATAAAAAAAATTTTGGAACTAACATTCCTTTCATAATTAGTAATGTGATGCTTTTTTTTCTTGGTAATGAATGTTGTAAGGTTTTGAACTAACTAAAATAATTACTTTTGAAATAGCCCTCTCTGAAACCTAACTGTATACCTGTTAAGCTATGTATTATGTTAAAGAAATTACTATTTTTGCTCATGTGAATTAGAGGATTAGAAAGTGAATGACAGAAGTAAAATATTAAGGTAGACTTAGAAATTATTATGGTATTGCTAGAGTTTCAAAACTCTGACTTTATTGTAGAATTAAAAGAACTTGTATAAAACATTGTAGAAAAGAGAACTTTTCATATAACAATAATAAAACAATGGCTACTATTACTTAGCTCATTAAAAAAAGTCCAACCGTGCATACATGTACAGCAATCTACAGATCAGTCAGGTCTCCATCTCCTTGGGAAGCAGTCACATCTAGAAATGAATAAAAAACCTCACAGGGTACTTGATTGTTTGCCTGGAAGCCTGGTCTGGCTTCTCATGAAAAAAAGGAATGGGAAACCGATTGAAGTAACTATGTGCATGATCACTGACTTCAGCATTTGTTTATTTACTCCTAAGCCTGTCCTCTTGTAGTATAGAGCATAAATAATTATCAAGCCTCAGATGTATCTTCTTTGAAAACAATGAGGGGATTTTATTTAGCTTGCTAGGTAGTTTCTGGGTGATCTCTCCATCAGGCCCAGTCTTGTCTGTTCTGTCCACTCTTCCCTGTCCCCACAGCCTCACTGCCCTCACCCTACCTGAATGCAGTGATGTGTGTGATGGTTCCTGGAATGCTCTTCTTCCCAAAAAAACAGCAATGTGGAAAGGGGTGGGAGGGGGCGTGGCAGTGATCATGATGGTAAGATGTTGTATCCTAAAAGCCAGGGAAACTATTAGCTCCCAAGACATTGTAAGTGGCTAATTATTAAATATCTCTTAACAGTCTGTCAGAAAATGAAAAGAAAGAAACAAACTGAGCCAATAATTCAAACCTGAAAAGTGACCTTTCTAGCCAGGATCTGATGTTGTAAACCGTTTTCCAGATACGTATGATAAGTTAGAGTGTGCTATGGTTCTTCTTTTCCTTCCTTCCTTCCTTCCCTCCCTCCGTCCCTCCTTCTGTCCCTCCCTCCCTCCCTCTCTCTCTTTCTCTCCTTCTCTCTTTCTTTCTCTTTCTTTCTCTCTCTTTGTTTTTCTTTCCTTCCTTCTTTCTTTTTCTTCTCTTTCTTTTTTAATGTGGTAAGAACATTTACTATGAGTTCTACACTCAACAGATTTTTTAAGTGTACGATACAGTATTATTATCTGTAGGCACAATGTTGTACAGCATATCGCTAAAACGTATCCATCTTCCAGGCAGAAATTTTATACCTGTTGATTATCAACTCCCCCTTTCCCCCTTCCTTTAGACTCTGCCAACCACCATTCTATTCTTTGCTTCTATGAGTTTATTTTAGATACCTCATATAAGTGGAATCATGCAATATTTGTCCTTCTTTGACTTGGTTATTTCACTTAGCACAATGTTCTCAAGGTTCATCCATTTTGTTGAAAATGTCAGGATTTCTTTCTTTTTTAAGGTTAAATAATATCTCATTGTATGTATATACAGCATGTCTTTTTTGCGGTGGGTCTCCCTATGTTGCCTAGGCTGGTCTCAAATTCCTGGTTCAAGGGATCCTCCCATTTCAGCCTCCCAAGTAGTTGGAATTATTGGCATGAGCCACCAAGCCCATCTAGTACATTTTATTTTTAAAATTCATTAATCTGTCAACGGACATTTCAGTTGTTTCCATATCTTGGTGAATAGCATTGCTGTGAATATGGGAGTACTAATATCTCTTTGAGTTCCTGATTTCAATTCCTTTGGATAAATACTCTGAAGTGGGATTGCTATGTCACATAGTAGTTCTATCTTTAATTTCTTGAGGAATCTACAGTTCCATAGCAGCTTCCCCATTCTGCATTTCTACCATTTCTACCATAGTATACAAAGGTTATGATTTATTCACATCCTTGCCAACATTTGTCATTGTTGTTTTGGTAATAGTATCCTAAGAGGTATGAGATGATATCTCATTGTGGCATTGATTTGCATTTCCTTGATGATTGGTGATTTTGAACCTCTTTTCATATATATACATATTGGCTATTTGTGTGTCTTCTTTTCAGAGATATCTATTATGTCCTTCGACCATTTTTTCAATTGAGTTATTAGTTTTTTTGCTATAGAATTGTAAGCATTCCTTATATATTTTAGAAAGTAACCTCTTATCAGATATATAGTTTGCAAGTATTTTCTCTCATTCCATAGGTTTCCTTTTTACTCTATTGAATATTTCCCTGGCTGTATAGAAGCTTTTTAGTTTTATTTAGCCCTGCTTGTTTATTTTTGCTTTTGTTGCCTATGCTTTTTGGTGTCATATCCATGAAACTATTGCCAAAACTAATGTCTTGAAGCTTTCCCTCTGTGATTTCTTCTAGAAATTTTACAGTTTCAAGTCTTATGTTTAAGTCTTTAATCCATCTTGAGTTGATATTTTGTGTATGGTAAAAGATAATCCAGTTTTATTCTTTTGCATGTGGATATCCAGTTTTCCCAACACCATTAGTTGAAGAGACTCATCTTTCTCCATTTTGTGTTCTTGGCATTCCAGTCAAAGATCATTTGACCACATATCCATGGATGTATTTCTGGGCTCTCTCTTCTGTTCCATTGATCTATATGTCAGTCTTTATGCCATTGCCATACTGTTTAAATTACTGTTACTTTGTAATATATTTTGAAATCAGGAAGTGTGTTGCCTCCAACACTGTTCTTTTTCAAATTGTTTTGGCTATTCAAGATCTTTTCTGGTTCAATATGAATATTAGAATTTTTTTTCTATTTCTATAAAAATATCATTAGGATTTTGATGGGGATTGCATTGAATCTGTGGATTGCTTTGGGTCATATGGAAATTATAACAATATTAAATCTTCCATCCATGAACTTGAGATGTCTTTGCATTTGTTTGTGTCTTCTTTAATTACTTTCATCAATGTTTCATAGTTTTTAGTATGTATGTCTTTCACTTCCTTAGTTAAGACTATTCCTAAGTATGACGTTATTGTAAATGGGATTGTTTTCCTAATTTCCTTTGCAGATAGTTCATTATCATTGTATAGAAATGCAACTGATTTTTCTATGTTGATTTTTGTATCCTGCAACTTTGCTGAATTTGTTTATTCATTCTCACAGGTTTTTTTGTGGAATCTTTAGGGTTTTCTCTATATAAGATCATATCATCTGTAAATGTAAGGACAGTTTTACTTTTTCCTTTTCAATTTGGAGGCTATTTATTTCTTTGTCTTGCCTAATTGCTCTGGCTAGGATTTCCAGTCCTGTGTTGAATAGAAGTGGCAAGAATGGGCATCCTTGCCTCGTTCCTGATCTTAATGGAAAAGTTTTCAGTTTTTCACCTTTGAGTATGATGTTAGCTATGGTCTTTTCATAGATAGCCTTTATTAGGTTAAGGTAATTTCCCTCTATCCCTACTTTGTTGAGATTTTTTTTTTATCATGAAAGGATTTTGAATTTTATCAAACACTTTTTTTATCTTAGACGATCGTGTGATTTTTATCCTTCATTCTGTAAATGTGATATGTCACATTAATTGATTTTCATATGTTGAACCGTCCTAGGAATAAATCCCACTAGGTCATGGTGAATGATCTTTTTAACATACTGTTGAATTCGGTTTGCTGGTATTTTGTTGAGGATTTTTACATCTATGTTCAATCAGGGATATTGGCCTATAATTTTCTTTTCTTGTGTGTCTTTATCTGGCTTGGTATGAGGGTAATACTGACCTCATAAAAAAAGTTCAGAAATGTTCCCTCCTCTTCAATTATTTGGAAAAGTTTGAGGATTGGCATTAATTCTTCCTTAAATGTTTGGTAAAATTCTCCATGAAGCCATCTAATCCTGGGCTTTTCTTGTATGGAAGATTTTATACTACTGATTTAATCTCCTTACTAGACAGGTCTGCTTGGATTTTCTATTTCTTCATAATTCAGTCTGGTGGGTTGTATGCTTCTAGGGACCTATTTCTTCTAGACTATCCAGTTGGTAGACCTGTAACTATTTATGGTAGTCTGTATGACCTTTTTTACTTCTGTAGCATCAGTTGTAATGTCTTTTTCATTTCTGCTTTTATTTATTTGAGTCTTCACTCTCTTTTCTCTTAGCCTAGCTAAAGGTTTGTCAGTTTTGTTTATCTTTTCAAAAGCCCAAGTCTGAGTTGATTTTATCTTACTGTTTTTCTATTCTCTATTTTACTCCTTTGTCCAATTTCTTAAGGTAGAAAGTTAGGTTGTTTTATATCTTTCTTTTTTTAATGTAGGTATTTGTGACTATAAACTTCCCTCTTAATACTGCTTCTGTTTCATTTCATAAGTTTTGATATGTTGTGTTTTTGTTTTTATTTGTCTCAAGATACTTTCCACTTTCACTTTTGATTTATTTGACCTATTGGTTATTCAAAAATGTGTTGTTTAATTTCTATGTATTTGTGAATTTTTCAGTTTTCCTGCTGCCATTGATTTCTAGTTTCATTCAATCAAAAAAGATATTTGGTATAATTTCATTATTTTTATATTTGTTAAAAATTGTTTTGTAACCTAATATGTGATCTATCCTGGATAATGTTCCATGTATGCTTGAAAAGAAATGTATATTCTGCAGTTGTTAGGTTGAATGTTCCTTATATGTCTGTTAGGTTCACTTGGTCTACAGTGTTGTTCAAGTTCACTGTTTCTTTGTTGAATGGTTTCTTGAATATTGATAATATACGGGAATTAATAGTGATACTTGTAAATGGCACTATTTTATTTTTCTTACTGAAACTAAAATTCATTCCTTGATATGTTATAGTTATCTGTTCATTCTGATATATGGTCTCATGATAAATAAGTCTTTGATTATTCCCTTCAATTAAATGATAATGGATTAAGAATTGAGTCTGTTTATTATTTTGAGTTATACTGATTTTTCCATTGCAAATAACTGCCTTGAAGTGTACATTTCAAGAGTAAAGTGTATAAAACTATACAGTCAGTTAAACATATTAAAACATCGTATTTTAAATATGAAAACAAAAGGAGTTTCAATCATTGCCAGCAGAATTCACAGACATTGACTATATATCTTTTATACATTGTCAGCCCTCAAGGACTGCTGTTTCTTATATAGTTTCTTTCTTGCTATTGAGATCCCTACAGAAGGAAAACCAAGTTTCTCTAAGCAGTGAAGCCATACCCAAATCCTTTGGAACAGAGACCATTGTGCTGTGGCTCAGAGCAGGGAGGAAAAGTTCTTCAGGTAGTCTTTAGACTGTTGTGTTTAGTATTAATGATTAGGATAAGAAATGTTTATGTTTGTGTTTGGCATGAATTGTATCTGATAGTAAACAAAAAGTATTCATTGAGTCTGCTTGAAAGGAGTGTTCTTGGCCAGGTGCAGTGGCTCACACCTGTAATCCCAGCACTTTGGGAGGCCACGGCAGGTGGATCTGAGGTCAGAAGTCAAGACCACCCTGGCCAACATGGCGAAACCCCATCTCTACTAAAAATACAAAAAATACAAAAAATTAGTCAGGCATGGTGGCATGCTGTAGCTGTAGTCCCAGCTACTTGGGAGACTGAGGCAGGAGAATCGCTTGAACCCAGGAGGCAGAGGCTGCAATGAGCTGAGATCCCTCCACTTCGCTCCAGCCTGGGTGACAGGAAAAGAAAAAAAAAAAAAAAAAGGAGCATTGTTATTTACACTAGAGGATTTTATTTGTACTAGAATGTACAGATAGAAAGAGGAAAAGGAAAGGAGGCTGTTTGTAAGATCCTTTGTTTTCAGAAAGATGGGTTGGGAAGACATTCCAGGCAGAGGTATGCCAAGGACAGAATGCTGTATGATTTCAGAGGAAAACCATTTGCCTGAGGGAAGATACCTATACGGAGGAAAGAAATTTTGCAGGAAGATGTTCCATCTGTCTGGAGTGCCTGCTCCTAGTCTTACTGGTGACCCAGGGCTCCAAAGCCTTTCATCCACACACCTAGCACAGCCTGACTCACATTGCCATGTTGACTTTCCATCCTTCTTTCAACCATCTATTTCCCCCTTTCCTTAACCACTTTTTGGAATAGAGCAGGAAACAAACATCATGACCTTCTTCATCCCACAACTGACCCGAGATTATCGTCTTCATTAGACTATGAGTTTCCAATGCTTATTAAGTGCCTGGCTCATAGTAGACAGGTTAAAATTAATTAAGGAGAAATTAAACTGGTTTCTTTATAATGAGCAGGACTAATCCCTGGAAGTTGAACAGAAAGGGTTTGACTGACATAAGCAAAGCCACGGGTATGGGAAAGTCTAGGATGTTGCCCAGTTAGGTTTGAATCAAGCATCTGAACTCTAAGCTAAAGAATTTGGAATATATAGAAGGTTTGATGAATTATTTGCCTTTTCAATGCTTTCATCATTTTGATGTGATGCAGCTAAGTCAGTCAACTCTTATTTATCTGAATATTTAAAAATGAAAAATGTTCTGTCCAGAATCTTTGAATCATCCTTTCTCTTTTTGGGCCTGCCATTTAGCCAGATCCCTGCTTGTTAGCATGAAGGGAGAGGGAGAAAGGAACGGAAATAACGCTAATGCTCATTTAGTTGCTTCATCCTCAGGTTTGTCATAGGCAAAGAGATCAATATTAATTTATTAGAATCAGAATTAAATTGCTTTTAGCCAGAGGCTGTTTTAAGACATGAGCAAAGAATAGGTTAATTTCATTTTGAAAATAAGTTATAAATATCTAGGCAGCACAAAGTTAGAGTGCACTGCTCAGTGTAAAAATAAGTAACAGAATTAGCCTTATAAAAAAAGTAATGTGGCAAATATATCATCATAATATGTTAACCAGTGTCTAAAGTAACTTGCTCTGAACTTTGAAGTGGAAATACAATTGATGAATATAATGGAGTTGTGATATTACATGTGGATTGCATTTACCCAGAGTATCCTTTTGGCCTGAACAACTCTCAGCATCCATAATGTCATAAATACCATAAAATGTACAGATGCTAGATTTAGAAAAACAGTTTCAACTATTTTCTGCCTGCCTTCTTACAAAGGGAAATGGAGACTTTTGCTGCCAGAACTTAAAATTATGATGTGCCAACATGAAAACCTCATCATAAAGGCTCAATTGATCTGCTTGTATCTGCCAAATTTGTTATTATTGCATTTCTGTCCCCGTGGTTGTGTCTCTTTAACGCTCATTAAAAATCAGGTGATTGTTTAATTAGGGTATAATCATTTCCTAGTGTGAATTATTCACCCATGATATAATTTTTATCAATACTTGATGTACCTAACCATATGCACAAGGACTAAAAGGTGACTGGGCTAAATGGAAACATTGATAATTTGATTAAGTGCTGAGATTTCTTGCTAATTTTTAATAATAAAGCTATATATAAATATATATATTAAAGATTCTGTGCCTGGAAAATGCTCATACATTTATCATATTAACATGTATTATATTCTAAGAAACATTTTGCTATGACGTTAGTGAATAATAAATATCAAATGAAAGGGGCACTTTTGTATTTGCCATTTCATTTTATCAATGCAAAATTAGCAGCCACAATGGAACCACCACCTGTCAGGTATTTTAAACAGTGACATTTAAATTCCCTCTGGAATTTGATATGCATAGGTCATAAGAAAAGATGTGGCGAGAATGGACCATTTATAAGGAAATAACTAAAGCTAAGTGTCTCAATTTGGACAAAATATCAGTCCTTGGGGAGACATATTGTATTCCTAGCAGAGAATGGTGCTGCTTAAATCTATCCTCCAGTATCTTCCCATGTCAAATGTTATCTGGCTTTGGCCCTCTGGCTCCTGCCCCGCACACCCTTCCACTTGGCTTACGCTTGTTATGTTATTTTGGATCATCACCAGCTTTCTCCTTAAAACTGTTGCTGAAACCACTGGAAGAGCCCAGTGAAATCATCCATCGTGCATTAACACGAGCAACCTAGAAGTGATGGTTTATGCCCGTGGAGACGTGCCTCTGCAAGCCATCCCCACTCTGGGGCCCCGCTCAGAGAGTGTTGAGGGCAATAAATGCCTTTTTAAACTGCCATTGAAAATCTTCAAGTGTTCTAGGCAGGCGGAACTAACCAGCCCTCCCTTACGTAAATACGTCCTCAACAGCACTTTGTTCACCCCTCGATTCGAATATTCCTCAGAGCTAGCTGTTTCCACATCTGGTTTCCCTCACCAGATTGCCGGCTCCTTGAGGGCAGGGACTATGCATTCCCTGTCCTTGTAACCCTGCATCTAGCATAATACTGAGAAGACAGGCTTTTAATAAATATCTGTTGTGTCAATGAATAAGTATAGTGGAAAAAAAGCAGAGACTTGGAGGCAAGCATATCCGGAATCCAATCCTAGCTTTATCTACCATGCTATTTGGGGTGTGTTTCTTAACCTTTCTGAGCCTTCGTTTCCCAAAAGCAGGTTACAGTAGCCAGTTCACAAAGAGGTGGGAGGCTGATACTGAGTAACGTGTGAAAAACAGATTTTAAGTTGTAAGTGCTCTCTGGTTGTTAGTCCATTGTAATACTTTGCTGTGTATCAACTGTGCACCAGTCAGACTGTGCTAGGTGCTGGTGCTACAAAGATGAAGATAGGTTTTTCTTCTCAGGATATCGATAGTCTAATGTGATTTTTTTCCTGGTTATTTTGGCTTTGGGGGGATATCAGGCTTTTAAACTTAGGTAGATCAATCATTAAATGTATTGGTTGGTTTCTAACCCCTTGTTTCTTCTGGGTGAATTCCCTTACCCTCCATATGAAAGAGTGCCCCGTTCCACGTTGCTGCTATTCATGGTACACTGCCAGCAGTTTTACAAGTCTTTCTTCTCTGTGGCATTGCTATACTCAAGAATATTTCAAAATTATGGAAGTCATGATGTTATATCCCACTAGAATAAAAATCAGGAAAGCCTCCCATCTTAAAATTACAATGTAGCTTATTTTGTTATTACAATTGAATATTCTTTTTAAAATGTTTTATTTTAGGTTTGGGGGTACATGTGAAGGTCTGATAACTATTCTTGGTGAGGAAAGGCGACTAACTGAAGTCAACCACAGGGAGATTGAATTCAGATGTTTTCTGGGGGCACTTAAAAGTGTGTTCGATGGGACTCTGTGTTCACTACCAGAAGTGAGCTAATTAGAAAACTGAAAAGATTTGTTGGAACAATGAACTCCTTTCTGAACATTCTTCAAGGACACCTTAAGAGAGAGGGAAGGAAAATGGTAGCTTGAAGAGGGTCCTCAGTGCCAGTTGCTGATTGCTTATGTTGCTAGTGTATGGAAAATTCCAGCACATAGATAATTTTTTTTAAAATTTACTATTGATTTAAAAACACATAGTTAATATTTAGTAACATTAGGGTGAAAAATAGTTTTCTTCTCGATGTATATTGCCTGTTAAATGGTAGGAAGATTGTGTGTGTGCATGTGTGCATATGGGTATGTGTGTATACAGGCATGCAGTGGTTATAGATTCACCATCTTTAAGCCCAAAAGAGAAGACATTTAGAGTATTGGCTTTAGGTGTTTTTAAATTAGGTGCTGTTGAGAAATTAACGATCACATGTGCCATCGATCAGTGACTCCCTTTAACTAGTACAGAAGTTGGTTTGGTTTTCTTAAATCAAATATTTTAGGTTCCTGCTATGGGCAAAACATTATGCTGGGGGATGAGGTGGCTGGATCCTTGACTCTTAGACCTTTAAAGACCTTCAGAAATCTCTCCAAATCTAGCCAATTTTGTTTCCACTAAAAGTAACCTGGATGTTTTCAACTTCCACTAAATATTGAACCTCTCAAGCTTAGTTCTAGGCCCAGCTCTCTTCTCCTCCTCTCTCAAGATTTCAGTTACTGTCTAAATGCCTCTGTCTCCCACAGGTGTACCTAGCCCACTCTTCTGCTTTGTGCTGTAGACTTATAGCCCACATTAAATCTCCACTTGGATATAGACAGTACACCAAATTTAGCATGTTTAGCTGGATGGATGTTACCACCATCCATCCAATTCCATGACACTTCTACTCCCTCCATTCTCTATGTCTGGTCTAGCACTAAGTTACACTGATTTTATTCATTAACTCTCTTTTAAATCCACACACTCCTCTTGTTTTTCACATACACCACCCTAGTCTACGCATGATCTCTGGGTTGCATGACTGCAATAGACTTCTCACTGGCTTCTTCCCCACTGGCTCCTCTCCAGCATCCTCTTTTTCAAAATGTGAATCTGATCAGGTCACCCCCTTTACATAGGACCATTCAACAGCTCCTCATTGCTCTTAGCAAAAATCCAGAATCCTCAGTGTGGCCTCCAAGACCTGCATGGCTCCCTTGGCTGTATGTGTTTCTGTCACAGGGCCTGGAATATTCTTCATGTGACTTCTTCATACAGTTAATTTCTGGCTGTCTTTTAGATCGTACCTGAAAAGAAACTCCCACGGGAAAGCTTCCCCTATCCCTTTAACTATCATAGTAAATGATGCTTGTCCTTCTTAGCATTTAGCATAACTTGCCGCTGTACATTTACTTGTATGATTATTGATCAGTGTCTACTCCCCACAGGACTGTAAGGCCCGTAAGAATAAGGGTGGTGTCTGTTTTGCTCTCCAGTGTATTCCTAGTTGGAGAGAGGAGAGGCTTTGTCCTGAGGGACCTCCAAAGCAAAGTTAGGCTATGTGATTGGATGTACACTCTGGGAAAATCATCTTGGATGAGGTATAGAGAAAGCCAGACAAATACTCCCAACGCAGAAATGAGGCAGAGTCCCAGTAACTGCAGGTCATTACCAGTCTTTCTTTATTCTACTTCTCCTTTCCCTCCTCTCTGAATCCAATGAGGAGCATTACCCATAGACCCACTCAGACAAATGCTTGATTGTTATCTTGTCATCTGTTTATTTATTTGAACAATATGGGTTAAGTTCCTAAGTACACACTTGATACTAGGAATAATAAAATGAGAAGTGGTCCGGGCTCAAATGCATTTCTCCAACCTGCATCTCCCACTCTAGTGGGAGAGACTGTTCAATAAACAGAGGGTATAATTCAGTGTGGAAGGTGCTACAATGGGAGTTTGAATGAAGTTCTAGAAGTCAAAGGAGGTTATGACTAAAACACACCCTTGGAAGAGCCAGAAAAAATGCTTCAAAGAGGAGGTAGTTTTGTATTGGTAGAAATGGTAGAGTTTTGTCCAATAGAGACAGGTGTGGGGGCATTGTAAGTGGCTGGGACAGAATGTGCAGAGGCTCAGATCTATGAAAGGACTTGGCCTATTGTGGAAGGGCTTTATCCCTAGATGTGTGGGGATGGGGCTAGGGAAGGTGTTAGGAAGACAGGAAGAGAGAGCGGTATGTTGAGGTCATATCGTAAAAGGCCAGGTGTTCTGAACTCAGAAGTATGAATATCATACTCTGGGCTGCCAGCAGTCACTGGACCACTCTCAATGTCTCTGGATTAAAAACCAGAGGAAATAATTTACATTAAATGTCAAATGGTTTATTAGCAGTGACTAAGCCAGTGAGAGTAATCATCATCTGAACCCAAAAAACATGAAAGGCCTGTCCCAGAAGACCCATTTGTGAGCCTGGCCACACCCTTGTGCAGGCACTGCCATGACAACTGTCTGGATTTGTGTTTTGCAGTTCCATGGAAAATGGGAGACCACCTGATCCTGCAGACTGGGCCGTGATGGATGTCGTCAATTATTTCCGAACCGTGGGATTTGAGGAGCAAGCTAGTGCTTTTCAGGAACAGGTAACTTGGTCTAGAGAAACACGTGATGAACATGTGATGAACCCACAGTTACCTCCCTTCCCAACAGTGGGCAGAAGGGAGTGAGGAGGAAGAGGACCAAAGAGCAGGGAGGAATCAGTGAGGCTCTGAGAAACTGAGGGGAAGGAGAATGGATGTACCAGGTGAATTATCCCTTTGTGCAAGGGGAAAACTCAAAGCCGGAGACAGTGGCAGCTGTGGAGAAGAAGGCTAAAGCTCATTTACATCTGTGTCCTCTGAAAGACTGATCATACTCAAGGGTGGAGTGAATCAGCCCTACCTTCAATGAAAACACACTAGAAAGCAGGAAACAGAAAAGAAAGGAAAAGCAGGGACAAACCTGACTGAGAGACATACACCACCTCCTACTACTGGCCTCAGCACCCAATGGACTATTAAGCCCTTTGCAGTTTGCTTTCTGGGTGCTTAGCAAGGTAGAGTGGAAAAAGCACAGGATTGATAGTCGAATCCTGGTTCTTCTATCTCTATGTGACCCTAGGCACGTTACTATGTCTCTCTGAGTCTTGGTTTCATATCTATAACATCAGACTGTCAATAACTTTATAGGGATGTTGTTGTGAGGATTAGTGGACAATATACACACAGTGCCTATGATAGGTTCTGGCATAGTGTTGATACTCAAAAAATGGGATTTCCTTTTCCTCAGGTCCAGGGATGGTATTAGAAAGAGGGAGAAAGTGGCAGGAGTCCATCCCAATTGTCTAGGTGATTCATAGCTCCATGTTGCAGGCTGTGCTAGGTTTGCAGGGTTGGTCTTCAAGGGGCTTTGACCTGAGGAGGCAAGTGGGGGCAACACAGTGTGGTTCACACCAGGCCAGTTCTGTGGGTAAACACAGAGTTCCTATTTCTCTACCAACGAAGGCTGCAGTTTTCTAAGCATTACATTTTCTTTTCTAATATCATAATATTGTAGGGAGAATTAAAAACTGAAAAATGTGTCTGGCTGCTTGTTCCATATCCCTTCAGCCATTGTTCATTCTCTCAAACTATTAGCTGTATGGCCTGAGTTTGGATAAGGTAAACTTTTCTAAAATTGCACACGCCAATTTCTAGATTTCCTTCAACCTATATTTACTTCAGACTTGATCTTTGTACATAAGTATTTTTTTCCTAATTTGGAAAACTTGCTAAAATAGCAGCTTAAATTTCTTCATACCTACCAGAAGAGCTAAAATGAGAAAGGTTGATAATATTAAACATTCACGAGGATGTGGAGCAACTGGAACTCTTTTGTTGTTGGTGAGACTGTGAAATCAACATTCAGACATCTACCCCTTGATGCAGCAGTTTTACTCCTGGGTATTTACCCAAGGGAAATGAAAACACATGTCTGTAAAAAGATTTGTACAAAATTGTTCTTACTAGCTTTATCACAATGGTCAAAAATTTGAAGCCTAGGTGTACATCAATAGGAGAATGAATACACAAACCGTGATATATTCATACAGTGGAATACTCCACAGTAATAAAAAGGAATGAACTACTGTTATGTGCAGCCATTTGCATGAGTCTCAAAAACATATTACTGATTGAGAGAAACCTTACATAACTGAGTTCATACTGAATGGTTCCATTTAGATAAGGTTTCAGAACAGGAAAATCAATCAGTGGTAAAAAAACAATCAGAACAGGGGTTGCCTCTGGCTGCGTGGGGGTGGAAAACGACTGGGAAGGAGTATGAGGGAAATTTCTGGGTGATGGTAACATTCTGTATCTTGATACAGGCTTGGGTTACAGGTATGCATGGGTCACTGCTTGCTAATACACAGGCATATGCAAATGATTCAGGTTTGTGCATTACAGAACATACACATTTTACTTCAAAAAGAAAAGAACTATGAAAAACACCTAAACAGTGGTATAAAAACAGAAGTGTTTAGGGTAAAGTATACTGATATATACAAGTCAATTTAAAATGCATCAAACATATGCATTGGCAATTAAATAGAAGGGTGACTATGTGGACATATATGTGGTAAAGCAAGTACAGGAAATGTTAATTGTAGCATCTAGGTGTTCAGAATATGGGTATTTACTATAAAACTCTGATGAGTTTTCTTTATGTTTGAAAAACTTTTATGAATTGTGATGGAAAAAACTGCTCAGGTTGGAAAGTGGAAGGCCGCTGATCAGCTGGAACATATTTTATTTTGTTTTTCACTGGTACAATGTCCATTTGTGTCACAGCAATTGAATAGCACTCTTCTAAAATTAAATGTAGATAATATTGTAAATGGTTAACAAAAAAATACTTAGCTAAAAGGTCTCTTGGCCAGATTCCCAGCTGACCAAAAGCCCTTTGCAGGTTGAGCTTTTGCTCAGACTCCTTGGAGGCAGACATCCCAGACTGGGGGCACACGATGGTCTCTGGACCTTCCAGGTTCTGTGACTTACCTCAGAAATGGGACTGCCAGCTCTGAGCCTGGCCCACGAGCAGGCACTTTCTCCCATGGATGATCTCATTCTGTCCCAATGGACACTGGGAACCATAATGGGAATAAACTCTTCTAAAGCATTTCATTCAGAAATCCTTCAAGGGAGAAGTGAGCATCGTCTTGCTACTATGTTCAACCTGCCAACTCGGAAGCCTGAGAAATGAATTCTCAAAGGATCAGAGTTTTGCAAGCATGGTCCAGAAGCTTGAGTTTCTTCATTCTCATGGAAGGGTGATTGGGTCAGGGAAGAGTCTGCCTTGAATTTGTCTCTGGCAGTGATTCAAATATCGTTTCTCCTTTTCCCATTAAAGGACTGGAGGGCAGGGAGGGAATCACTGGCCAGGCTTAGGATGGTAAGATAAGTCGCTGCTGTGATATTCATGAGGACTGAGGATTGGATCCTCTACCATGTTAACCTGCCTCTTCCATCATCACACTACAGAGGGCATCAGCATTTTACCTCTGGAGTCTTCCTGGCAATGAACCTAGTTGGTTAGCACCCACTCATCATCCTGATTAGAAAATGCAGGCCTTCTCCAGCCCAAGCACATGGCCCTTCCAAGGTACATGCAGGTACATGCAAGGTCACAGCGCTGAGAAACAATTAGAACAACTGCCTCCTTAAACTCTCCTCAGGAAAGCTTTGCCCTTCCACTTGACAGAAGCAGGACAGGGATGGAGAGCATCCCCTAAACCACTTTTGAAAAGGGCAAGTCCAGAAAGGGCAGCACGGTTGCCAGTGATGTGGGGAGCTTATTGTTTCATGGCTATTATGAGCTGAATGTTTATGTGCCCCCAAAACTCTTATGTTGAAAACCTAACCCACAGTGAGGATATTAGGAGGTGGGATCTTTGGGAGGTAATTAGGTTTAGATGAGGTCATGAGGATGGAACCCCCATGATGAGATCAATGCTCTTATAAGAAGAGAACAAGACACCAGAGAGCTTACTCTCAGGTGTAAGGATACAGCAAGAAGACAGCCTTCTACAAGCCAGCAGGAGAGCCCTCACCAAGAACCCAACCATGCTGGCACCCTGGTCTTGGACCTCCAGCTTCTAGAACTGTGAGAAATATCTGTTGTTTATGCTGCCCAATCTATGGTATCTTGTCCTAGCAGCCTGAACTGACTAAAATACTGGTATTGATGGCAAACATGTCCACCATCAGATGGCCTGACTTCCAGGACAGTATCTATCTTTGTGGTGTGGTCTCATAGCACAGTATTGGAAACTGTATGGCTGTGGCAACTAGACTTGGATGTGGCTTTCTAGCAGCGTGACCTCTTGGAAGATGTCAGGCCATTGAGCAAGATTTATCAGAGGGCAAGATTTGTCCTGTGTTCCTGTGGTATGGAGAAGCAGCTGGATTAAGGTGGTGGTGTTTGCCTAACCTCCTTTTCCCTGTGCAGGCACCCCACTGCCACAGAACAATGATCTCCATTAAGTTTTCATCTGCTGCAATTATCTTCATCAAATTCTCTTCTGGCAATCCTCTTTTGAGTCTTCTGTGTTAGTAGCAATTACAAGTCAAAAGAATCATCAAGAATGAAGGCCTAAGTCCCTGCCTAGCCCATCACAAATAACCCAGTGTCAATAGCACGTATGTTTTGGACAGTGATGTCGCTACTCCTTGGGTTGGCATGTGGTCTGTGTCATCAGGGTTGCAGTTGCTCACCATGTAGGGAGTCTGGCGTACTGCACTCATTCAGCTAGCAATCCAAAGGGTTCACTGGCCTATGAGAGCAGGAGGCAGTGGGAGCCCTGGAGAAGGTAGTGATTACAGCCTTGTCAGTACCACCTCTCTTTCCCACAGACACTGTGGTGTGGGGGCTATTTTCCCAAGCACCTTCTAGCAGACAAACATTTTAGGCTGTGGTGAAGGGAATGAGTGAAAGTCATGACTTCTGATATGTTTTCTTCCAGTTTTCTCATGGTTAGTGGATGGTCCTGGAGAATTTGCCTTTCTAGGACTCAGATTTCTATAAAGTTAATACTGAGTTAAACAAACAGAATACTGCTCAAGCTCCTGCTTTAAGAGTCAAAATATGTAATCTTAAAACTGGTCCTCAAGAAGTATGCTTTCAGTGCACAACACGGCACAAAACCACTTGAGACGCAGTTGAACTTTTGTGAATAGATATTTTGTTTTTAATGGCACTTGTCCATGGGTATGGCCTGCTTAGCTTTCAAGAGTCAAAGGTACCTCAAGAATTTTACTTTGCTAAGAGCTTTGGTTTTTAAGACACTATTTTGACTAATCTTGTTCAAAAGCATCCTTCCCTTCCTCACAGAGAACATTTAGGATAAAGTTTGCTTTGTCAGACTCTGAAGGCTAAATGAGCAGCATTCTCTGTTGTAAAGCCAACTGTGGGCAGTGCTTTTAGTTGCCATTTAAGGAACTGTGGCAATCTAGTACAGTAACTTCACCACTCAAATTGGACCCTAATTGCAAGTCACAAAGACAGCTCTGCCTGTTGTGGTGTAGTCACTTCATTTCTATGTCTTTGTCTGTTTGACTCACATACTTAGAATATATAAGAAGAAGATGGAAGACAGATCTGCCATTCAATCAATGTCATATAGTTCATATTTTTCAGATTTCTCAAACTTACAAGCAACATTCATGGTTTTATTTCTAGAACAATATGTATCTCTGAGATAATCATGACAAAATAATATGCAACTCAAGGTGACAAATTAATTTTACTCTCTTATCTCTTCATTTTTCTCAAACCACATGAATAAGAATAGTATCTTTACTCTGAAATGCCCAACTGGTTGCTTAAGTCATTCATTTGAAATGCAAAGATTGACATCTCTTTACAGATGACTTATTGCTAACTTTGGATAAGTTTCTGAAGTCACTGGCTTAATAAAAAATAAATAAAATTTCTTATGGCTACATATTGCCAAGTAATACTAACTACCTCAAAATGGAATTGTAGGGTGGGGATGCCAATCAGAGCAACCCTGAGCATAGTGTTCTAATCACGGCCAAATCGAATTCACTTGTAGTGATTCTAGATGGAGATTTCTAATTAGAACAGGGACAAATCCAGGTTCTGTGGAGCCTAAAGTTTATGCAATTCTAACAGCCCTCCTTGGTAAAAAAAAAAAAAAAAAAAAAAAAAAAAAATTATGGATACAAACTTGTTAAGGTGAAACTTAAACATCATTAGCTTTCATGGCAAATCTGGCTTTGAATTAGACCAATTAAAACCTCACAAATTGAGAATAACTTGATTTACTTCATCAGCATCTAATAATACCAAGTATTGAAAATATTTGAGGTGCTTTGATGCCTGATAATTTTTAACAATTGAAGGTTACTGAAATGCTTAAAATATTTTGTAGCATAATGAACAGGGGAAGTGGCAACTCAATCTCTGCTGATGTGTCCTTTCAACCCATGAAAATTTAGAAAAGAGGTGAAATCTCAAATAAGTGGGTAATGCTAGCAATAAGAAAGCAGCCAAGAAAATTGAAAACTGATAAGGAAAAAACTTGTTGAAGTTTTTAAACTTTTATTTTAGATTCATGGGTACAGGTGCAGGTTTGTTATATAGGTAAATTGTGTGTCACGGGGGTTTGAGGTACAGATTATTTCATCACCCAAGTAATAAGCATAGTATCCAATAGGCAGTTTTTCAGTCTACCCTCCTCCCACCCTCCACCCTCAAGTAGGCCCCAGTGTCTATTGTTCCTTTCTTCATGTCCGTATGTGCTCAATGATTAGCTCCCACTTATGAGAACATAAGGTATTTGGTTTTCTGTTCCTGCATTAGTTCGCATAGGATAATGACCTCCAGCTCCATCCATGTTGCTGCACAGGACATGATCTTATTCTTTTTTAATGGCTATGTAGTATTCCATGGTGTATATGTGCCATATTTTCTTTATCCAGTCTACTGTTGATAGGCACTTAGGTTGATTTCATATCTTTCCTATTGCAAATAGTACTGCAGTGAACATACAGGTGCATGTGTCTTTATGGTAGAACAACTTACATTCTTTTGGGAATATACCCAGTAATGGGATTGCCAGGTTGAATGGTAGTTCTGTATTAAGTTCTTTGAGAAATCACCAAACTTCTCTCCACAATGGCTGAACTAATTTACATTCCCACCACTACTGCTGTATAAGTATTCCCTTTTCTAAGCAACCTCACCAGCATCTGTTTTTATTATTTTTTAATAAAAGCCATTCTAACTAGTGCAAGATGGTGTCTCGTTGTTTTGATTTGCATTTCTCTAATGATCAACGATGTTGAGCATTTTTTCATATGCTTATTAGACATATTTATGACTTCTTTTGTGACGTGTCTGTTCATGTCCTTTGCCCAATATGTAATGGGTTGTTTGTTTTCTTGCTTGTTGATTTAAGTTTCTTATAGATTCTGAATATTAAACCTTTGTTGGACTCATAGTTTACAAATATTTTCTCCCATTTTGTAGGTTGTTTGTTTGCCCTGTTGATAGTTATTTTGCTATGCAGAAACTCTTTAGTTTAATTAGGTCCTATCTGTCAATTTTTGTTTTTGTTGCAATTGCTTTTGGCGTCTTTATCATGAAATCTTTGCCAGGGCGTATGTCCAGAATGGTATTTCCTAGTTTATCTTCCAGGATTTTTATACTTTTAGGCTTTACATTTAAGTCTCTAAACTATCTTGAATTGATTTTTATATATGGTGTAAGTAATGGGTCCAGTTTCAATCTTCTGCATATGGCTAGCCAGTTCTCCCAGCACCATTTGTTGAATAGGAAGTCCTTTCCCCATCACTTGTTTTTGTCAACTTTGTCAAAGCTCAGATGGTTATAGATGTACAGCTTTATTTCTGTACTCTCTAGTCTGTTACATTGGTCTATGTGTACCATGCTATTTTGGTTACTGTAGCCTTGTAGTGCAGTTTGAAGTCAGGCAATGTGATTCCTCCAGCTTCTTTTTGCTTAGGATTCCCTTCGCTGTTTGGGCTCTTTTTTGGTTCCATATGAATGTTAGAATAGTTTTCTCCAGTTCTGTGAAGAATGTCATTGGTGGTTTTATAGAAATAGCATTGAATCTGTAAATTGTTTTGGGCAGTATGGCCATTTTAATGATATCGATTATTTTTATCCAAGAGCATGGAATGTTGTTCCATTTGTTTGTGTCATCTCTGATTTCTTTCAGTAGTGTTTTGTAGTTCTCATTGTAAAGATCTTTCACCTCCCCGGTTAGCTGTATCTCTAGGTATTTTATTCTTTTTGTGGCAATTGTGAATGGGATTGCATTCCTGATTTGGCTGTCAGCTTAGGTGCTATCAGTGTATGGGTGTTGTTAGGAATGCTACTGATTTTTGCACATTGATTTTGTATACTGAAACTTTGTTGAAGTTGTTTATCAGCTCAAGGCAGCTTCTGGTCAGAGACTATGGGGTTTTCTAGGTATAGAATCATATCATCTGCAAACAAGAATAGTTTGAGTTCCTTTCTTCTTATTTGGATTCTTATTATTTTGAGGTATTTAACTTTGATGCCTAGTTTGTTAAGGATTTTTAACATGAAGGGATGTTGAATTTTATTGAAAGCCTTCTCTGCATCTATTGAGATGACCTTGTGGCTTGGGGTTTTGGGTCCGTTTATGTGATGAATCACATATATTGATCTGCATATGTTGAACCAACCTTGCTTCCCGGGGATAAAGCCTACTTGATTGTGGGAGATTAGCTTTTTGATATGCTGCTGGATTCAGTTTGCTAGTATTTTGTTGAGGATTTTTGCATCAATGTTCATCAAGGATATTGGCCTGAAGTTTTCTTTTTTTGTTGTATCTCTGCCAGGTTCTGGTATCAAAATGATTTTGGCCTCATAGAATGAGTTAAGGAGGAGTCCCTCCTCCTAAATTTTTGGGAATAGTTTCAGTAGGAATGGTACCAGCTCTTCTTTATAAATCTGGTAGAATTCAGCTGTAAATCCATCTGGTCCTGGGCTGCTTCTGGTTGGTAGGCTTTTTATTCCTGATTCAATTTCAGAACTCATTATTGGTTTGTTTAGGGCTTCAGTTTCTTCCTTGTTCAATCTTGGGAGGCTGTGTTTCCAGGAATTTATCCATTTCAACTAGGTTTTCTAGTTTGTATGCATACAGGTGTTTGTAATAGTCTCTGAGGGTTTTTTAAAAAATATTTCTATGGGGTTGATGGTAATGTCCCCTTTGTCATTTCTGATCGTATTTATTTGGATATTCATTCCTTTCTTCTTTATTAGTCTAGCTAATGGTCTATATATGTCATTTATTCTTTCAAAGGACCAACCCCTCGATTTGTTCATCTTTTATATGGTTTTTCATGTCTCAGTTTCATTCGGTTCAGCTCAGATTTTAGTTATTTCTTGTCTTCTGGTAGCCTTGGGGTTGGTTTGCTCTTGTTTTTCTAGTTCCTCTATGTGTAATGTTAGGTTGGTTAATTTGAGATCTTTATAACTTTTTGATGTGGGCACTTAGCAGTATAAACTTTCCTCTTAACACTGCTTTAGCTGTGTCCCAGAGATTCTGGTATGTTGTATTTTTGTTCTCAGTAGTTTCACATAATTTCTTGATTTCTCCTTTAATCTCTTTGTTTACCCAAAACTCATTCAGGAGCAGGTTAATTTCCTGTACAGTTTTGAGTGACCTTCCTCTTACTGATATATATTTTTATTGTGCTGTGGTTTGAGAGTACAGTTGGTATAATTTCCCTTTTTTTTAATTTTCTGAGAATTGTTTTATGCTAATTGTGTGGTCGATTTTAGAGTATATCGCATGTGCAGATGAGAAGAATATATATTCTGCCATCTTAGAGGTGGAGAGTTCTGTAGATGTCTTTTAGATCCATTTAGTCAAGTGTTAAGTTCAAGTCCCGAATATCTTAGTTGTCTGCCTTGATGGTCTGTCTAAACTGGTAGTAGGATGTTGAAGTCTCCCACTATTATTTTGTAGTCATCTAAGTCACTTCTTAGGTCTCTAAGAACTCATCTTATGAATCTGGGTGCTCCTGTTTTGGGTGCATATATACTTAGGATAGTTACATCTTCTTGTTGAATTGAGCCCTTTACCATTGTGTAATGCACTTGTCTTTTTTTTAAAATCGTTGTTGGTTTAAAGTCTGTTTTGTCTGAAATTAGAATAGCAAACCCTGCTTTTTTTCTGTTTTCCATTTGTTAGGTTGATTTTTCATCATCCCTTTACTTTGAGCCTGTGCGTGTCATTACATGTAAGATGGGCCTCTTGAGGGCAGCATACAGTTGGGTCTTGCTTCTTTATCCAACTTGCCACTCTGTGACTTTTAATTGAGACATTTACTCTGTTTCCATTCAAGGTTACTATTGATATGTATGGATTTGATTCTGTCATTGTATTGTTAGGGGGTTATTAGGCAGACTTGATTGTGTAGTTGACTTATAGTGTCAGTGGGTCTATGTACTTAAGTGTGTTTTTGTGGCAGTCAGTAATGGCCTTTCCTCTCCTTATTTAGCACTCCCTTAAGGACTTCTCGAAAGGCAGGTCTAGTGGTAACTAATTCCCTTAGCATTTGCTTGTCTGAAAAGGATCTTATTTCTCCTTCACTTAGGAAACTTAGTTTGGCTGGATATGAAATTCTTAGTTGTAATTTCTTTTCTTTAAGAATGCTGAGTGTAGGCCCCCAATATCTTCTGGCTTGCAGGGTTTCTGCTGAAAAGTCTGCTGTTAGCCTGATGGGGTTCCATTTGTAGGTGACTTGCCCCTTGTCTTTATCTGCCTTTTACATTTTTAATTTCATTTCAACCTTGGTGAATCTGATGACTATGTGTCTAGGGGATGGTCATTTTGTATAGTATCTCACAAGGGCTGTCTGCATGTCCTGAATTTCACTGTTGCCCTCTCTAGCAAGGTTGGGGAAACTTTCACGGACAATATCCTCAAATGTATTTTCGAAGTTGCTTGCTTTCTTGCCCTCTCTTTCAGGGACACCAGTGAGTTGTAGATTTGGTCTCTTTACATAATCCCATATTTCTTAACAGTTTTGTTCATTCTTTTTAAATTTTTTTCTTTATTTTTGTCTGACTGAGTTATTTGAGAGAGCCAGTGTATTGGTCCATTTTCACGCTGCTGATAAAGACATGTAAATTGCTAAGACTGGGCAGTTTACAAAAGAAAAGGTTTAACTGGACTTACAGTCCCACATGGCTGGGGAGGGAGGCCTCACAATCATGGCAGAAGGCAACCAGGAGCAAGTCACATCTTATGTGGATGGCAGCAGGCAAAAAGAGAGAGAGCTTTTGAGGGGAACTCCTCTTTTTAAAACCATCAGATCTCCTGAGACTTATTCACTATCATGAGAAGAGCATGATAAAGACCTGCCCTCATGATTCAATTACCTCCCACCGGGTCCCTCCAACAACATGTGGGAATTCAAGATGAGATTTGGGTGGGGACACAGCCAAACCATATCACTGCACCCCTGGCCCCTCCCAAATCTCACATCCTCACATTTCAAAACCATTCATGCCTTCCCAACAGTACCCCAAAGTCTTAACTCATTTCAGCATTAACTCAAAAGTCCACAGTCCAAAGTCTCATCCAAGACAAGGCAAGTCTCTTCTACCTATGCGCCTGTAAAATCAAAAGCAGTTAGTTACTTCCTAGATACAGTGGGGGTACAGGCATTATGTAAATACAGCCATTCCAAATGGGAGAAATTGGCCAAAACAAAGGGGCTACAGGCCCCCAAGCAAGTTCAAAATCCAGCAGGGCAGTCAAATCTTTAAGCTCCAAAATGATCTCCTTTGACTCCATGTCTCAAATCCAGGTCATGCTGATGCAAGAAGTGGGTTCCCATGGTCTTGGACAGCTCTGCCCCTGTGGCTATGCAGGGTACAGCCTCCCTCCTGGCTGCTTTCATGGGCTGGTATTGAGTGTCTGCGGCTTTTCTGGGTGCACGGTGCAAGCTGTCAGTGGATCTACCATTCTGGGGTCTGGAGGATGGTGGCCCTCTTCTCTCAGCTCCACTAGGTGGTGCCTCAGTAGGGACTCTATATGGGAGCTCCCACCCCACATTTCCCTCCACACTGCCCTAGCAGAGATTCTCCATGAAAGCCCCACCCTTGCAGCAAACTTCTGCCTGGACATCCAGGCATTTCCATACATCTTCTGAAATCTAGGCAGAGATTCCCAAACCTCAATTCTTGACTTCTCTGCACTCGCAGGTTCAACACCACATGGAAGCTGCCAAAGCTTGAGGCTTGCACCCTCTGAAGCCACGACCCAAGCTCTACATTGGTCCCTTTCAGCCATGGCTGGAGTGGCTGGGACACAGGGCACCAGTCCCTATGCTGCACATAGCATGAGGACCCTGGGTCTGGCCCACAAAACCATCTTTTCCTCCTAGGCCCTCCTGTGATGGCAGGAGCTGCCATGAAGACCTCTGACATGCCCTGGAGACATTTTCCCCATTGTCTTAGGGATTAACATTTGGCTGTTCATTACTTATGCAGATTTCTGCAACTGGCTTGAGTCTGTCCTCAGAAAATGGGATTTTCATTTCTATCACATTGTCAGGGTGCAAATTTTCTGAACTTTTTTGCTCTGTTTCCCTTATAAAACTGAATGCCTTTAACAACACCCAAATCACCTCTTGAAGGCTTTGCTACTTAGAAATTTCTTTTACCAGATACCCTAAATCATCTCTCTCAAGTTCAAAGTTCCACAAATCTCTAGGGCAGGGGCAAAATGCCACCAGTCTCTTTGCTAAAATATAACAAGAGTCACCTTTGCTCTAGTTCCCAACAAGTTCCTCATCTCCATCTGAGACCACCTCAGCCTATACCTTATTGTTCATATCACTATCAGCATTTTTGTCAAAGTCATTCAACAAGTCTCTAGGAAGTTTCAAACTTTCCCACATTTTCCTGTCTTCTTCTGAGCCCTCCAACCTCTGCCTGTTACCCAGTTTCAAAGTCACTTCCACATTTTTGTGTATCTTTTCAGCAATGCCCCACTCTACTGGTACCAACTTACTGTAGTAGTCTATTTCACACTGCTGATAAAGACATATCCAAGACTGGGCAATGTACCAAAGAAAAGAGGTTTAATTGGACTTACAGTTCCACATGGCTGGGGAGGCCTCACAACCATGGAGGAAGGCAAGGAGGAGCAAGTCACATCTTATGTGGATGGCAGCAGGCAAAAAGAGAGAGAGCTGGTACAGGGGAACTCATCTCTCTTTTTTTTTTTTTTTTTTTTTTTAAGATGGAGTCTCACTCTGTCACCCAGGCTGGAGTGCAATGGCGTGCTCTCAGCTCACTCCAACCTCTGCCTCCCGGGTTCAAGTGATTCCCCTGCCTCAGCTTCCTCAGTAACTAGGATTACATGTGCCTTCCATCATACCCAGCTAATTTTTGTATTTTTAGTAGAGACAGGGTTTCACCACATTAGCCAGGCTGGTCTCAAACTCCTGACCTCAGGTGAGCCACCTGCCTCGGCCTCCCAAAGTGCTGGGATTACAGGCATGAGTCACCGTGCCCGGCTGGGAACTCCTCTTTTTAAAACCATTAGATCTCCTGAGACTTATTCACTATCCTGAGAACAGCATGGGAAAGACCTGCCCCCATGATTAGATTACCTCCCACTGGGCCCCTCCCACAACATGTGGGAATTCAAGACGAGATCTGGGTGGGATCACAGCCAAACCATATCAGCCAGTCTTCAAGCTCTGAGAATCTTTCCTCAGCTTGATCTATTCTGCTGAGATTGTATTATGAAACTCTTGAAGTAAGTTTTTCAGCTCTGCCAGATCAGTTTGATTCTTCTTAAAATGACCATTTCATCTTTCAGCTCCCATATATACCTTAGATTCCTTGGATTTTGCTTTAACTTTCTCTTGAACCTCAATGATCTTCATGCCTATCTATATTCTGACTTATATGTCTGTCATTTCAGCCATTTCAGTCTGGTTAAGAACAATTATTGGGGAACTAGTACAGTCATTTGGAGATAAGAAGACACTCTGACTTTTTGAGTTGCCAGAGTTATTGCACTAGGTTTTTTTGTTTTGTTTTGTTTTTTGTTTTTTGTGTTTTTTATTTTTTTATTTTTTCATCTCTGTGGGCTCATTCTTCTTCAGTCTTTGAAATTGCTGTCCTTTGGATGTGTTTTTTTTGCCTTTATCTTCTTTAATGCCCTTCAGGCTTTGATTGTGGTATAAGGTGATTGGCTTCATTTCTGCAAGATTTTAGGGGGACAAGGCTCAGCTTGGCACTTCTGGGCTGCATGCTGTAACTCTAGGGGGTTGGTACCGGGCCACAGCTTTGTTCTCTGGCCCCTTGTGGTTAGCAACCTGCTTTACTGGAGGGGTCGAGGTATTCCCTGTCTGCTGGCCACAACACTCCAATGGGGGTTGCTGGCCACAGAGTTTCACTGGGGCAGTGGCAACGGGATCTGTGCTTGCTCATGCATGCCAGCAGCCACAGCAGCATGTCAGGGTGCACACACATCAGCTGGGGAGGAACTTTCTCTCCAAGTTGAGGAGTGAGTGGGAGGCAGGCCAGTAAGGGAGAAGCAGCAACTGGAGAGTCATGTAGGCAAGAGAGTTCTCTTCTAAGAGAGGAGACATCCAGACTTACTCACATCCAGGAAAGTAGCTAAAAGAATTGGATAGATTAAAATTGAAATAAATTGAGGAAAGTTAAGTGAAGCAAACTCCCTGAGGTTATAGAAAGGGATGAGATCAAAAGAATACGGAGGAGCAAGGATGTGGAGAAATTTCTTTGTACATTGCTGGTAGAACTATAAAATGGTGCATCTGTTGTGGAAAATAATTTGGTAGATTCTCAAAAACTTAAGCATAGCTTTACTGTAGGACCCAGCAATTCCACCCAAAAGAATTGAAAAGAGGGAATTAAACAGATACTTGTACTTGTGCTGTGGTTATTACAGCATTGTTCACAATAACCAAAGGTGGAAATATCCCGAGTGTCCATGAACAGATGAATTGATTTTTAAAATGTGCTGTATACATATAATGGAATATTATTCAACCATAAAAAGGAATGAAGTTCTGATATGTGCTACGACATGGATAAACATTGAAAACATGTTAAATGAAATAAGCCAGACAAATATTGCATAATTCCACTTACATGAAATATCTAAAATAGGCAAATTCATAGAGATACAACATAGATTAAAAGTTACCAGAGGTTTGGGGGAGTAGGGAGTTATTAAGTAATGTGTGGATAATTTCTTTTTGAGATGGTGGAAGTGTTTTTAAAATAGATAGTGGCAATAATTGCATAACACTATAAATGTAATCAATGTGACCATATACTTAAAAATGGTCAAAATGGCATATTTCATGTTATATGAATTTTATCCCAATAAAGTTTTTAAAATGTAATGCCAGCCATAATATATGTCATGATTCAATTTGGTAAATAAAATATTCAAGTATTTTATTTTAAAAAATATTAAGTAATTAGCACCAAGCAAGACAGGGTTCTCTTCCTCTGAGTTGGGAGCATAGGTGAAGTTGTGTACAGATATAAATAAGATTGTCCTTATGTGATGGTTAATGTATCATCTTGACTGGGCTAAGAGATGCCCAGATGGCTGGTAAAGCATTATTTCTGGGGGTGTCTGTGGGAGTGTTGGTGAAGGAGAGTAGTATTTGAATCAGTAGGCTGGATAAAGAAGATGGCCCTAACTGATGTGGGTGAACATCACCTCATCCCATGATGGCCCTAATAGAACAAAAATATGGAGAAACGGTAAATCACTCTGTTTGACCTGAGACAGCCATCATCTCCTGCCCTTGGAAATCAGAGCTTCTGGTTCTCAGGCCTTCAGACTCTGACTGGACTTATATCATCAGCCCCACCTCACCCTCCCATTCTCAGTCTTTCAGACTTGGACTGAATTATACCACTAGCTTTCCTGTTTTCCCAGCATGCAGGTTGGTCATATCTAACCAGTATCTCATTGGTTCTGTTTCTCTGGAGAACCCTAACTAATACACTTTGTCTTCATGGACATTAAGGGAGTTCCTTACAGCCTCTATTTCCTTTGCTAAACAAGAGTCAAGCTCCTCTGCTTGGGGTAGATGGGGATTGGTAGAGATTTAATAAGGAACTGGAGGACAGCAGTGAAGGTTAAGAATGGCCACCAAGGGGAATGGGAGAGGGCAATGACCAAGGATAACAAAAGAACAGTTGAGGTATTCTACTGGCCAGCTGAGATTGGTACACTGCAAATGTGATGTGTTTCATCTTCATGGTTCCTTGATTTTTTTCCCCAGCTGCACTAGGTAGAGGAGTTAGAGAAGCTGGATTGCTGGACTCATCCTGGATGGGGGGTTTGTGGGATGGACACTGCAAAAAGCTAATGGCTTAAGAGGGCTACTTTATAGAGGGCTAATAAAAGAATAGCTCCCTGGTCAATCATTGGGTTCAGACTTGGTATGAAAGAGGAGTCAGAAAGGGACTGATAACCCTGGAGAAAGTGGAGTTGACATAAAAAAAATGGGTTTAATGAGAATGAGGAGTGAGAGACAGATCAGGATATTGGGCTTTCAGTGTTGCAGAGATAGGACTCTTTTGGTTGATGACATGATAAGAAGAGGTTGTAAAAGGAAGGGGAAATTGTAGAAATGGTTGGTGTATTAAAGTAGACCAACAGATATTACCAGTAGTATATAATGGCTTAATTATAGTAGAATTTTATTTCTTGCTCATACAGATAGTCCAAGGTAGCTGGTGGGGATTTTCTGCTTCACTGTCATTCAAAGACCCAGGTGAAGGAGGCCTTGTTATCAGTTAAATAGCTTTCAAGATAATCTGGGCATTGACATAAGTTAGCATAAGGAAAAAGAATAAGAAGACTGTGCAGGTAGTTTTATGGGCCTGAGAGACGCATGCATCATCCCTTCCCATCTCATTGGCCAGAGCTTAGTCACATGGCCACACTAAGTTTCAAAGAAGCCTGGGAAATCTGTAGTTGCGTATCCTGCAAAAAGAGCAACCAGCACCTCCCTTTTTAAAAGCATTTGTTGTTTTGATGCTGCTGCTTAGTTTAGTTCTTAAGTCCAAAGATAAATTTTGAAAAGGCTAACATTGAAAGACCCTTCACAGAATTACAAGAAACTATTTTAAAATTCAGATGGAAGAACAACATCAAAAAAAGCTCATATAGCCAAAACAATCCTAAGCAAAAAGAACAAAGTTGGAGGCATCATGCTACCAGACTTAAAACTATACTGTAAGGCCACAGTAACCAAAACAGCATGGTATTGGTATAAAAACAGACACCTAGACCAATAGAACAGAATGGAGAACTCAGAAATAAGACCACACATCTACAATCATCTGATCTTTGACAAACCTGACAAAAACAAGCAATGGGGAAAAGATTCTCTATTTAATAAATGGTGCTGGGAGAACTGGCTAGCCACATGCAGAAAACTGAAACTAGACCCCTTCCTTACACCTTATACAAAATTAACTCAAGATGGATTAAAACCTTAAATGTAAAACCCCAAACTATAAAAACCCTAGAAGAAAATCTAGGCAATACTATTCAGGACATAGGCATGGACAAAGATTTCATGACGAAAACATCAAAAGCAATTGCAACAAAAGCAAAAATTGACAAATGGGATCTAATTAAACAAAAGAGCTTCTGTACCGCAAAAGAAACTATCATCAGAGTGAACAGGTAACCTATAGCGTGGGAGAAAAATTTTGCAATCTCTCCATCTGACAAAGGTCTAATATCCAGAATCTACAAGGAATTTAAACAAATTTACAAGAAAAAAACAAACAACCCCATTAAAAACTGGGCAAAGGACATGAAAAAACACTTCTCAGAAGAAGACATTAGTGCAGCCAAGAAACATGAAAAAAACTCAACATCACAGATTATTAGGTAAATGCAAATCAAAACCACAATGAGATACCATCTTACACCAGTCAGAATGGCAATTATTAAACAGTCAAGAAACAACAGATGCTGGCAAGGTTGTGGAGAAATAGGAATGCTTTTACACTGTTGGTGTGAATGTAAATTAGTTCAACCATTTTGGAAGACAGTGTGGCAATTCCTCAAAGATCTAGAATCAGGAATACCATTTGATTCAGCAGTCCCATTACTGGGTATATACCCAAAGGAATATAAATCATTCTATCATGAAGATACATGCACATGTCTGTTCATTGCAGCACTATTCACAATAGCAAAGACATGGAATTAACCCAAATGCCCATCAATGATAGACTGGATAAAGAAAACGTGGTACATAGACACCATGGAATGCTGTGAAGCCCTGAAAAGGAATGAGACCATGTCATTTGCAGGGACATGGATGGAGCTGGAAGCCATTATCCTCAGCAAACTAATGCAAGAACAGAAAACCAAACACTGCATGTTCTTACTTGTAAGTGGGAGCTGAAGAATGAGAACACATCGACACAGGGAGGGGAACAACACACACTGGGGCCTGTCAGGGGTGGGTTGGGGAGAAGGAGAGCATTAGGAAAAATAGCTAATGCATGCTGGGCTTAATACCTAGGTGATAGGTTGATAGTGCAACAAACCACCATGGCACACATTTACCTATGTAACAAACCTGCACATCCTGCACATGTACTTAAAATAAAATTTAAATTTAAATTAAAAAAAATTTTTAATCAGCTGAAGAAGACTTATTTGACAATATATGGGAGGTCTTCAATTCTAGTTATATTTTGTAAATCTACTATTTTGAAAAGCCTGCCTAGTTTCATCTCTATGACCCAGTTTTCTCATTTGATAAAATGGGCCTTATGTATTTTCCTTCATCAGAAATGTGTTTCAGGTTTTTGTTTTTTGTTTTTTTGGCTTTTTTTTTTTTGTAATACAGACCCTTTATCACCTACCTTGTGCCAGCAGAAAATATTAAATAGCACTAGGAAATACTCATGAAGTCACTGAAAGCATTAGCCCTTACAGTGAGCCAAAATGGATTTTGTGTCCGATTTAAGTGCAAAAGCCATTTTGCTTGTGACTGTTACTTCAACAAATGAAATACTTTTGAGCCACACAAACAGCTTCTCTCTGAATAAGCTGCTCAGTGTTGATTTTTAAATAAGGTGAAGCCTCCCCACAGTGTATATTATCCACTCTAAATTTCCCACCAATAGGAAGGCAAGGCAAGCACAGCCATCAGCTGAGAGTCATTGGCTGAGAATGTTGAGCTCATAGTCACTCCACCCACAAGGAGCTGCTGACAGAAGGTGGGCGGGAGTGGAGGCATGTGAAGGATCCATACAACAAAGAGGAACTTCTCTCCAGAAGATACTTCATCCCAAGAGCCTTGTGATAGTATTCAAAAGGGCTTGGTGTAAACTTGAATAGTTCACCATCTTCCTTTCCAACCTTATATGGAAATTCTTCCAAAAATAAACCCTGTCTTGGTGGGGAAAGGCTGTTTAAAGAAACATGGTGAATTACTACAAAGTACTAGGTGTGCCTCAAAATGCTTCCTCCCCTGATATTAAGAAGGCTTATCACCAGTTGGCTCTGCAGGTACACCCAGACAAGAACCCAGGGAACAAAGAGGCATCTGAGGAGAAATTCAAACAAGTAGCAAGAGGCCTATGAGGTCTTGTCTGATGCCAGGAAATGAAATGAGTATGACAAGTCCAGAAGGAACCGAACCAAAAGGGAAACAGAGGAGATGGCAGAGACAAAAAACATTTGGAGGAGGAACTATGCATTCTCAGGATTCTCAGGTGATGATTTTTCCCTTGGCCTTGTGGGTAAAGCCAGGAGATTCCACTCCTCCATCTTTGATGTGGCTCCCATATTGGACACAGGATTTTCCACTTTTTTATCTCTGGGCTCCAGAGCAAGTACCTCTACCTCTGAGACATTTGAACCCTTTGTAAGCAGCAGACTGAGAAACTTCAGACTGGTCACCATTTGTAGCCAGACAGTAAATGGCAAGAGAGTTGTTACAAAGAAAGTGCTAGAAGATGTGAGGGGGAAGAATGAAGCAGAAAAAGACTGTTTCATGAGATTCCTCCACATCATTGGTAAGAAGTTGCTGCTGTGTTCTTTAACAGGGAGATTTTCATATGAGGCTGGGGTGTTCTGATGCTTATGAAAGACTGAATTGGTGTTTGAGAATGTTTTGAACTAGGATGGACAGAGGTCAGCTTAGTTCAAACCTCTCATTTCACAGAGGAGGGGAATGTGCCAGATGTTGTGTAAGAACCTAGTAAGTAGCAGGCAGAGCATCCATCCCCAGTCTTCTGATTCTAAATTGAGCCTTCTTTCCCTTATGCACCATCTGGGACAGTAGAGGCCACCACCACAAATATGGCCTTCCCAGTCAGCGCAGAGCCCGACCTTCATAAATTCCATTGACTTCTCTTCAATGTGTTTTTCCTGCCCTACCTTGCAATTGCCTAGTTGCCTGTCTTGATGGCTACTCTTTGTCTCTTCCTAGGCTCTTTTCTCTTTGCTACTTCTGTTCCCACCTATTCTTTCTTCCTATACATTTCCCATGGACCATATCACAAATAGCTTCAATTCAGAGTTACCTAGTATAGATTAATGCTGGCAGAGAGAATGAGTGAAAAGTAAATGGGTTGAGATCTTTATATGCTTTTAAAATTTATACATATTTTTTAATTTAAATTTTTTAGAGATAGGGTCTCACTATGTTGCCCAGGCTGGCCTTGAATTCCTGGGCTCAAGCAATCCTCCCACCTCAGCCTCTCAAGTAGCTGGGACTACAGGCATGTACCACCATACTCAGCTTTTATATGCTTTTTTCAATAACTAGCATTTATTGAGTGATCAGTGCATGTCAGGAATTCTACTTCACAAAAGTTACCTCAATAATACTTGCAGCAGTGAAACACAGTAGTTACTTTCCCCCATCACATAGATAAGAAAATGAGGCTTAGAAAAATTCAGTAATGTGCCCCAGGCCCCACTAATAAGCAATAAAGTAGTGTCTTAGTCTAAAGCACATGCTTAGCTAGTGAGCTATAATATCTATGAATCCTACTCATTTATTTTTAAATCTAGATTCTTGCCCTCATTGGAAATTTAAACCTATCATCTCGGAACTTTACTTCCATGCATGAGTACTTGCTGGAACTTAATAAGTATGTAAACATTGTTTATTGCCCAACGGGAACCTGAAGGTTAATTTTACATAAAGACACAATCAATGTCAAAGTTTTACTGACACTAACAAATGATTATCAGTTAACACACAATTCCCAAGATGTGAAATATCTTTTTGTTTTGGACTTCATCATGATGTACATGCAAAATCTTGGTTTTGTTTTGTTTAGCTGGAATTGGTCACACTCCAATCACTTCATTTATATTAATACACAGACTGGGATCCAGAGGAGTTGTTCCTTACGGAAAGTTACTGATAGAGTCTGCAAGAACCTGTCTTCCAGTTTCCAGTCCCAAGCTCATTGTAGCACAGCATGCTGTTGGTAGAATTTGGATTTCACTTGCATCCCATGGACGTTATGTATCAAATTATTAGCTTTCTTAATCAAGGAACTTTCCTGTGTGTACAATTTTTATGAAACGAATGTTTTATGTAGTCTTTGAACTCTTTAATCTCAGTAAATTTTCTGAGCCTAAATAGGAACATGCCTACATCTTCCTGGCAAAGGGGAGCACACTGGCAGAAAGGAAGCAGAAGGTGGATTTGGAATCAGAACACATCCCATTTCTTTCGAAGCCTATCCATTTCCACTTAGTAGTCATTGAGAACCTCCTACATGTCAGGCACTGTGTGCGGTGCTTTGCATCCAGCATTTCTAATCCCTAAAGTCCTTTACTGGTTTATTTCCATCTTAAGGTGAGGAAATTGAGACTCAGGGCAGTTAAGTCCCCTACCCAGGGTCACATAGCAGTTTGGGGAGACAGGATTCAGATTGCGGTTTGCCTGACTGTAAGCTTCATTTCCATTATTCTCTATTCCACTGTCATTCCTTTGAGCTGCTCTAGTCAGGGTTTAAGAGGAATGTTTGGTTGTATGTATGAATTAACTATATTTATTTCAACATTTCTAAAATGAGGATTTCCAGATGGAGCTTTCTTTTACCAACCCTGGTCTGAGGTGAACTGCAGTGTGTCTACTGAACAAAGGGAAAATCAGATTGGAGCATGAAACATGATTTTTCCATTTTGTCTTAAGTAAAATCCAAATTTCAGCATTTTTCACAGGCATACTTGGCTTTTGACAGAAATGCTGAGTTGTCAAAGGACTTTTTGCCAGCAAAGATTTTTTAAAAATTCACTTTGAGTTAGTCGAGGAAGTTTTCTTGGTGTATAGAAATGAAAGCAGTGTCATCTCTTCCTGATGCCTGTTTAAAACATGTAGTAAGTGAAGTGTGAGCACACAACAGCCGAGGAAAGATGGAGGGTAGGAGGGCTTTACCGTTCAGTAAAACATTCCGAGCCTGTGTGCAAGACACAGCGTGAGCTTTAAGGTTACATCTAATTTGGTCTCTGACCTCACAGTGTCTTCAGCACGGCTACTGTGGTTTCCAGGGGCCAGAGGCTCCTCTCCCAACTCTCAGACATGCAGGTTTCACTAATCAGCAATCTCTAGGATTACTACTTGCCTAAATAAGAAGCAAAGTACTTTAGGATTATTGAGTCAATTCCTGTGTCCTTAAGGAATTTTCTGCTCTTTGTACTATGAATCAGCTGCTTTTTAATGTTATAGTCTCTCACAAATTAATATGAGACATTTTGTGTTCTGGTAGCTGACAGAATAAAGATTTCCCAAACTCAAAACCACCATAGACCAGGTAGAAGTAATTCCTTGTTCTGCTCTGGTTCATATTAGGTGGTTGACAAGTAAAATGAGGACCTGGTCCTGTCGAGAATGATGGAAGGGATAATGACAAGTGATTGTATAACTCATAGCTCAGGGAGCATTTGCAAGAGCGGTTTCTCACAGAATCTTGTCAGAAACCCCGCCAAGGAGGAAAGAGAAGAGAAGGGACTTGCCTAAGGTCACAAAGTGGGTGTTTCTTCAGCCGCCTAGCCTGCTGCTAATTCTCCCACACTCTCAGGAACTCAAAGCACATTTCCTTCCCAGCCTGGCAAGCAAGGCACATGAGAGTTGGAGGAGCCGCCCTGGGGATGGTGTGGGAGGGAGTCCGTTTTACGTAGTTGCAGCTACACACGGTGTCCCCATGTCTGTCGGTCAGTGGAGGAGGTAGGTACAGAAGTATGTGGTTATAACCATGCACAGAAATGTCGTGACTCACCGACCATGCACAGCTGGTTTAACTCTTGAATCCAAGTCACCTAGGAACCAGCTCAGGTTCTTAAGAGACGTAAGGTCCCCATAGCAAACAATAACAAAAATAATGTGGCATTCAGCATTCTTCTCAGTGCTTCCTTTCCAAAAGTTTCAAACCACTTTGTATATTTGGGATCCCCATCTCTTTTGTGAGAAGCCTGTTTTTATTTCACCCCAAAGCTTTGTAGTCTCTCCAGAATACCTGGAGTGCAGTGTACCTGACTCTGTGCCTAAGGGTGCAGGGAATGGACTCTGAGCAGAACAGGGAAGGGATTTTCAGCTGGCAGGGCCCTACCCCTCACTACCTTATTTGGAAGTTTGAGGATCCATTGAGAGGGAGTGTGGTAGGGGAACTTATCTTGGAGAGGTTGATTTTTGGGTTGAGGCAGGATGGTTCCCCCTTTAAAGGGCAGGAAAGTCTCCCAGAGGTTGAGTCATTTTTCTAATGCCCAATGTTGCAATTGTGAGGACTCCAGGAAACCTAAGACTCTAGTCCCCATCGGACCATCTAAAAAACATATATTTAAGTATCAGGAGAAGCAGAGGGGGATTATAAAAAGAACATTGGCTTTGGCTGCAGGTATATGAGAGTTCAAATTCTATGCACCCCTTTCCTAACTTCTTGATCTTAGAGGGTGAACTTCTTGCTTGATCCTTCGCTTGCCTGTAAAATAGAAATGATCATCTCTGCCTGTTCTAATTTACAGAGTTGTTTTAGAAATTAAGTTCATGGAAAATTCTGCATAAACTTTAATAGACTTTATAAATGGAAAGTGTCATTATTCTTTTCAGAAGCAGCATCTTTGATCCTTAAGGGTACATGCAGTAAGCTTGCGATCTGTTTTTTAAGATGTGATGTTTGTGATAGGATCTTGAAAGCAAGATCAGCTATAGATTGTGTTTAATGCCAAAGTATAGCTAAAAGCTGTAAGATAAAAATAGAGGATTGCATTTTTTCCATTTTGGCACTACTACAAATGTAATGTTTTTAGCTTGGGCACAAGTGGTGTGACTTTTACCTCTGAACTTCCTTTTGTCTTCATTATCCTTGAGCTTTTGGACTCACATGTTGGCTTTACCTTCTGCTTCCATTATAGGAAATTGATGGAAAATCCCTGCTATTGATGACAAGAAATGATGTGTTGACAGGACTTCAGTTAAAATTGGGGCCTGCTCTGAAAATCTACGAATATCATGTAAAACCTCTGCAGACAAAGCATTTAAAGAACAACTCTTCATAGTACAGTCAAATTGGGGTCTTCGACCTCAAAAAATACATAATGACATAATTTAGTTTCATGTAATGAAACTTTGTAAACAGAATACATACATGTGTATATGTAAAGAATTTCAATCAAATGAAACGTTATCCTATTGGATAGACTAGGCAATTCATCAGCTCACCTGAAATCAGCCAGGAGGAGCAAGGACAAGATGCGCACAGGGTGGTTTTCCTCATGGATTTTGTCAAATAGATGATCTTTGACACGATTAGACACTCCTCCCCACAAAGGCTTTGAAATCATAAGGATTTTCCTCATCTCTTTATAGCTTTCCCAAAATCTTTTAAAAAAGAATTTAATTAAATGACAGTCTTTTGGTTACAGACTTAGGATGAGTAAAAACAAGAAAATTTGGGGAGGGGGAGAAAGAAGAAAGGGATTGCTGTCTCCCTTGAATTCCTCTGTTCCTTAGAGCTTGTGTTACTTGGACGGAATTGCCAACACCCTTTTTTATAGAGGGTTCTCCACTTGACCTTATTAAGGTTTTATTGGGATATGCTGCAGTGTTTGAAATGAACATGCATCATGGCCCCTTCAGGAGCAGAATCATAGCTCTGAAAAGAGAAGCTCCGTTGTGTACTGAGGATATCCATCCATATTCAGCTAGCTTTCAAATGGGGTAACGATATTTTCTGCATAGATTTTCTTTTAAATTGGTTCTTTGTTTCTGAAGAAAGAATTTTTTTTAACTTCATGGTTTTATTTATAATAATTTGTTTCTGAAGAAATTTGCCGAGAGTTACAGGTCAAAAAGCCTTGTTACTAGTACAGAATATTTTTATATATATTCCTTCATGATGGTGTAATTTTTTTTAATTGTCCTATGCTTTGTTCGGTTCCTGGGTTAAGTACTTGTTTTTAAGAGCTTGGAAAAAGTGGGCTTGCTACATCTCTGTTCAAAGAGACATTTGTTCAATCTCTGTGTGTCAACGCCTTGTTGAATTGGTGCTTTGTGGTTGCAATAAAGCATTGCTTCAGTTTATTGCCAGTGTATCTTTGATCTTTTCTGTTTGGTTGCTTCTTCAGTTGGGATTAAGGATTAAGGTCTCCTGGAAACCAGGGAAAGAAAATTAAGCATTTTTTGGGGAAAAAACTTTAGAGGTAGAAATTATACAAATCTATGTGTGGATTTATCTTCTTTTTAAAGTGAATCATTCGAGTAGATCTCATTTCTTCTCTCATCCCCAATTTTAGGTATTATTTTAGCCAAAGATTTTTTTGTTTGCTGTAGGCCAGTGGGGGTCATGATTTTTTTGAAATTCTAATAATAAAAGCTATTGACTTTCTCTGCAGACAAAAGCTCACATTTCCACATACAAAACTTGCAGAGAGTTGGTGGACTCATAATTTCCCTCTTCCTCCTCCTCAAGTTAAGAGTTCCTATTTTAGAGAATATCATAATTCAGTCCCCTGTGGAGATAATTTCTTGAAAGAACAGAAAGTCTGAAGATGACAGTGAAAAAAAACACAGGAAGTGGTATAGATAGTAGGTGGGTTTAAAAATGCATTCCAAATTAATTCAATTATAGAGCGTACGGAGTATCTGAAATTTAAGTAATGCTTTGTTTTCACTGTAACTGGGAAAAGTGGTTACAAAAGAGACTTTTTTTTAAATCTCCAAGTTCCCACAGTCTACCTAAGACAGAAAACGCAAGTAAAAGGCAAAATATATAGTTAAGTGTTGTGAGGAGTGATGGAGACAAAAGGTGACAACTGCAGCTGCTGGAGACCTGGATAGGAAAGAAGGGATTCCTGGATCAAGCAGAAGGAAGATGGAATGAGGATCTTGATGAAAACCTCTGTGAAGGAGTGTCCTGCTGTAAAATCTGATGATGTTTGACCCGTCTCTACCTCAAAGGGATAGTATGAGGTATTTCTGAGCCCTAACTTTTGTGCACCCACCTGATACCTTCTGTAGTCGTTTGGAATAGGTTTGGTTGTGAGTGATGGAAACTGTCTCTCCCACCCCCACCAATTAATAAACTAGATAGACACCTACTTCCCTCTCATGGAAATGTCCAGATAGGGGGACCAGAGGTGGTGTGGCCCTACATGATGGTAGGAACACAGTTTCCGCCTATGTTTTTTTTCCACCATGCATGACATCCATTCCCAGAATCATTTCATAAATAGATGCTGCTTCTTTGCCATCATCATTTGAATTCCAACCAGTGGGGAGAAGAAAGGGGAAAGGAACAGACCTTCCTTTAAGGATACTTCCAAGAAGTTGTTCATACTACTTCCTTTCATATCTTGTGGACTGGAAGTCAATCACATTACTTGAAATATTTCATGTTTTTATTGGAAACCATGAGCCCAATCAAAACTCAAAGTTCCATTATTCTGTAGATAAAGGAAAGTGGATATTGAGGGACAACTTGCTGTTACCGATGTCAGCTGACCACTAAACACTCATAGCAAATGACACTAAAAGGGTTTCTTTGGTGGTATTTTTCTTGAGATTTGAACTCGCGTTCAACTAAGTCAACTAAACCTCAGATTTGGACTGCTCTAGGAGTACTTGGGGGTGAGGGGAATTGAAAAGCAAACAGAAAAGTATAAAATCATCCCTCAGTCTCTGATAAGAGCTTTCAGGCAAAATTAGCAATTTAAAGATAATCTGCCTCTCCTACAGTCAGCATAAAGGCCTAGGACAGGCAGGCCTGCACACCTTGGCAATAGCTCAAGGTGATTTCATCTTCCTCTGTTTAGGGGAAAACCAATGTGATCAAAATAGGCCAAAAAGAGAGGCTGGAAGTACTTGAAATTCAGCAGGTAGGCAGCCTTTGTCTCCAGACAGCTGTAAAAACCAGAAACGTCTGATTTCTTTTCAGATCACACTGGATTTCTATTCATGTGATCTAGATCTGCAATGAGTAGCAGACACATGTGCTGTGAGGGGAAGCACTTCATGGCTGTGATGTGCCCATAATGGTGAAGGTTTATATGAGAATTGGCTAATGTTGAATTTGATTATTCTCAACCAGAGAAGCAGACAGGATATCAGAATCAGAAGGAATTTAAGAAAGTAATTGCTACTCCCCGCCGCCCCCACATTTGAACCTCTGATTCAGACTCTGCAGAGGAGATTGAATGAATTGATTTAAAGGTGAGGTCACAAACTGGCCACTTTTCAGTGGAATCTAAGCCAACATGTTTTACTTTGGCCAATGCAGTATGTGTGTGTTTTAAAAACCACATTTACACACTTCTAGTGAGGCTGAAAACTCCAATTTGTTACTCTTCCATTCCCTAATTTCTTAAAACCAGCAACTTCACACTTAAGTTAATGGGCCTCTGAAGGCAATTGAGACATCAGTTTTAGACACCCCCCCGCCAAACACACACCCAACCCGATCTAAAACAAAAAACAGAAAAACAGTGAGTTCATTCAGGAATTGAAAATTGCAAATAGATTCAACTGAAAAGAAAACAAGCTAGCATATCACATTAGAATGTGCAGCAGATTTGAGCATCATTTTTTATACCTAGTGGGCCTGATGAATATGAGGAAAAAAAGGCCAATTGGTAGCAGTCTTTTCTTTCTGTCCTCAACAAATATCCTACGTGAATACAGGGTGGTTTTTTTGTTTGTTTGTTTTTGTTGTTGTTTGTTTGTTTGAGACGGAATCTCCCTCTGTTGCCCAGGCTGGAGTGCAGTGGCACGATCTCAGCTCACTGTAACCTCCGCCTCCCGGGTTCAAGCAATTCTCTGCCTCAGCCTCCCGAGTAGCTGGGATTACAGGCACCCGCTACCACACCCGGCTGATTTTTGTATTTTTATTAGAGACAGGGTTTTACCATGTTGGCCAGGCTGGTCTTGAATTCCTGACCTCGTGATCCACCTGCCTCGGCCTCCCAAAGTGCTGGGATTATAGGCGTGAGCCACCGCACCGGCCAAATACAGGTTTTTGTCCCTCTGAGATTAGCATCTGCAGTCAGGGACACACACTGTCCTTCAGTTGCATTAGTGAAATATATCTTTGGGGGAATTTAATTTGCAAAAGTCTAATGACCCACAGTTGCCCAGCCACTCCCATATTTGGAAGCCAAATGCAAAAAGGACTTACTGGTGGTGATTCATCTGTCTTTGACAGTCCTTGTAAATGGGATCTGCAGGGGTCAGGTCTGGGCCCAGAGCCATTAAGTGTTTTTTGGAATGATTTGGAAGATGAAGTTAAATGTTCAAAGAGCTGACTGCTGCAGGACAGATATGCCTCTTAGGAGAAAACTTGTTAATTCTGCTTCTAAACCAGGAACAGAAGCCACAGGAAGGAGAGAGCGAGCAATGGATGCATTAATGAACAGCTCGTTAGTTTCATGCTGTAGCTCCATGGGAAATTAAGGAGTCTGGGTACCATTTCTAGCCAGTCATGGCAGTACTATACAGCAAGAAGATTAAAATGATCACATCCAAGTTCATTTGGTGAGTGTGGCTGTCTTACATCTTAGAATCCCTTGGAGGTGGTGAACCCCAAGGAAGAATTGTGTCTAGCCTAGCACTGGAGCATAATAATGGAGGATCTTGTGGCTAAAGCAAGTTGATGTCCCTGCACTTCAGTTAAGTCAGAGTGTTCCTGTCCACAACTGTCTTCAGGGAGAAATCAAGAAAGCTGGGGATGCCAGGCCATTTCCAAATAGAAACTGTGCCCCTCTTCCACAGGACAAGTACACGAGCCAAACTACCACCTTTTTTAAAGAAGTGGGAAAAGGGTAAGTAAAGGTGTAAATAATACTGAACATACTCGTTACCTGCAGAGGATGCCTCACTCAACCAGATAAAGGGAAATATGCTGCAAAATGTTTGATGTTATTACCCAGGCACCATCCATGGGGCATCTTTGGTCAGAGGGGTTAGAGGCCTTAAGCTTCCAGCAAAGTGAGATAAAGCAACCAAGGAAAGTTTTGCCATGAGGGCCTCCAGCTCTGTCACTGGATATCTGTGGCAAAGTTTTCCAAATTAAATGTCTTCTTTCTGAATCAAAGGCAGCAGAAGCATTCAGCAGAAGCATTCAGCAAATTGTGTTTCATAGCCTTTTTCAATGATTACATTCTATTTTTATGTGCTGGGGAATATGTGATTTGGGAATAATACTATAGAATTCATCAGATTATAAGCACATTTTGAGTGAAAGTCAGTAAAACTCCAAGCCACCAGCAGTTTCTGCCTATAATAATTAGTGTTTGGGATAGTATTCTGTCTGCTATACCTGAACCCAACGACACCAGTTGAGATACACAGTAGGTAGTGGGTGAAGTCACTGAGGTTGCACCAGATAGACTTGAGCTTGAATCCAGTCCCGACATTTACTTGACATGGGAACTTGGGTAAGTCCTATGGCTCCTCTTAGCCTCAGGAACTTCATCTATTCTCTAGTGCAGATGCAGAAACAGAGTGGAGCAGCACCAGCCTAGCAGTGCCCAAAAGAAACAGAATGTGAGCCATTTATATAAATTAAAATTTTCCAGTAGTCACATTTGGAAAGGTGACCCAGGAAAAAATAATTTAAATAATATAATTTTAAGCCAATTTATCCAAATATTATAGTTTTAATATATAATCAATGCAAAAATTATTGATCATATATTTTATAAAATCTTTTCATTTGCCTTTGAAATCCAGTGTGTATTTCATACTTACTGCACACCTCAATTAGGACAATGTAGCTCAAGTGTATCATTCAGGGTTAGTTTTAGTTGATAAAAACAACAGTGACTTAAGATAGAAATTCTCTATGATGCATATGAGTTGAAGGTGAGCAGTTCAGGGATGGCAGGGCTGCTACATAATGATTGGGTCTCATTCCTCTTGTGTGGCTCCACCATCCTCAACACATAGTTCCCTATGTAGTCCAACGTGGCTGCTTGGGCTTCAGCTATCACAACTGCATTCCAGCCAAGAAAAAGAGATAAAGAAGGACACCTCATATGAGAAACTGTGCTTATCTCTTTCCCTGACATCCCTTTAACAAGAACTTAGTCATTTGGTGATACCTAGCTGTAGCGGAGGTTGGAACTGTAGTCTTTATTTCAGGAAGCCAAGTATCCAGATAAACAAGGACAGGAGGGTGGATACTTTGGAGAAGCCGGCAGTTCTTCTATAGTACCAGTCTCATAAGGTGATGGAGGACTGAATGAGAGTACACTGTACAGTTGTTTGTATTACATTAAAAGTGCATTAAAATATAGTTTTATTACTATGATCTCATTCCATTTCAAGCTCAGTACTGTCACAGAATTAATGTATGCTGAACCTAAATACTGCTGATTGGATGCATCCTAATACCGCTAAAAAACAAAATTATTTTTATAGGTGGATGAAAATGGATATTGGGTGGTTCTAGATGCTTTGTTTTCAAAAGGCCACATAAACAAAAAAACAAAAACAAAAAAAAAAAAACAAAAAACTTGCATCATTTAAGCTCCCTGAAAAATTGTTATGTTGAGTTAAGGGAAATGTGCTAAGCAAAATGCATATACATTTTTATTGGTCCCCAAAGACTTAGAGAAGTTGGTTTGAGGCATTGGTGAATTCCAAATGGATCCTGTCCCCAATCCAAAATGAGTGTTCAATGACATTCAAAATGGTTTTGTGAGACTAATGAAAGGGAGGTCCTGATACTGTTGTGATTTAAATGAAGGTATATGTGGGTCATAAACAAACAGAAAAAAATTTTAATAAAATTGAAAAAACCTGAGTGGAGCTGCATTCATTAATTTGAGCCAATTAGGTTGACACTAGTCTGCTAAATTGTCTATTTGGGCAAATTTCTATTAAGAATTTTTAATACTAAGGTGACTTCTTGCCACCAGAATGTCTACAGGTTATTAATCAGCCTTCCGTATGGTGTGTATACAGAATGCAAAGTAAGTTAACATTGGCCTAATCCACACATAGTTAAAAAGGAAAACTGTGGAGCTATGCATCCACAGTGGTGGATGCAGGGAATCCTGGACTAGGGGTCAGAAGACCTGGGTTCTGGTCCCAGATCTCCCGTTAACATATCCACAAGACTTTGTACAAGTCTTAACCTCTCTTGCTTCAGTTGCTACTAAAATAAACATGTCCAATTAGAGGTTTATTTCAGCACTCAATTTCTATGATTTTCTAAAAATGCAATGATCTGAGTTATATGTGTCACTGGCCCCCTCCACCATTCAATTAAAACTCACAGCACTGTCACATTCTACAACGTCATTTCCCTTTCATAAATGTTCTAAAGTTTTGGTCTGATTATGGTTCTCTCTGTGAAGTAAGCTGGAACAGCTGTTTTATCTTGAGAATTGTCAAGTTGGCTGATTGCATAACCCTATAGCTTTAAGTTTAAATCACTCTCACTGTGTTCCATGGTAGAAGCATCCCCCAGGAATAGGCCCTCTACACAATCAGATCTTAGAGTTCAGGGGGTAGGGGAAGCACAGATTTCCTTGGTAGATCACTGGGAGTGATAGCAAGTGGGACCATTCTTATTTCTACATCTTGGTTACCAGATCCACATGTTCTACCTATTGGGGACATAACACAATACAAGAGCCAAGTATTTAGGGAATGCACTGCATCCTGGAGGACAGTAACCCATCATCACAGGGTATTATCTCCAAGCTGACATCTCAGTTGTGCCTTTAAGAGATTATTCCATCGCTCTCTCAGGCCAGCAGCTTTGGGATAGTAAAGTATGTGATAGGACTATATGATCACTTACAGCTTGCCTTTACTTTAAAGAGGGTCTCTTTGTCCCTTGGTCTGAGTGACGTTATGTGGAATTCTGTAAGCCCTTGGATAGTGGTGCTGACTGAGACCCTGCGGGCAGGAAAGACAAAGCCGTATCCAAAATATGTATCCATTTTAGTCAGGATTAATCACTAACCTTTTCAAAGTAAAAGGGGCCCAATGTGTTTAACTTGCTGCCAAGTAGGTGCCATATCAAGGTCTCCCTCATTATTGGTCTCTACTGCTGGAAGTTTGGATATTTGTTAGCAACCGTTAATATTAGTAATGGAAAGCCAGATCCCTGGCTTTTGGGCCCGTGTATGTCCTCTACCTCTGCCACCATGGCTATTCATGAGTTCCTTGTACCAGCGCTGGGATTGCCAATGACAAAGGCCGACTGACATCCACTGGCAAAATCAATCTGTCTGCTTGATTGTTTAGTGTCTCATCCATGGTTGATGCTCTTCGGTGGACATTAAGATGCAAAGCAAAAATCTTCACATTTCATGTCCACCCACACAGGTCCCTTTACAAGCTCCTTTCCTCTGACCAATCTCCTAATCTTTCTCATTCCAAGTGTCTAACCAACCAACCAAGCCAATTGCCACTGCCCACAAGTTTGTATATATTATTACCTAGAAACACATTACACACAAAGTAGATGATTCTTTGGTGTATTTCCTAAAACTGTATTCATTGGGAGGATTTTCCTTCACCACTGTCATAAGAACCACCTTCTCCTTAATGGCCATAGTGTGAGAGGCACTGGAGAAACAGCAGTGGGTAACATGGGGATCTGGGCCACCTGCTCATGTGCCTTTCTTGTGCCCTCTAGCCCTACCTCTACCTACTCCTGGCTCTCTCATTTCCATATTGCTATGGATTGCTGCTGGGCCTGCCAGACCCTAATACTTGGTGGGTTTGATAGAAACCAGCTTATGATGAGCAGCTCTGGCCACAAAATCTGTTGAAGTTCCATGGTCAGACTTTAGTGTTTACTAAAACCCAGTAACACACCAGGAGCTATTTTTCAAATGGTGAATGATTCCCTGCTACCGATAGCACAGCCTTACTCCAGAACCCTGGGAGTTTATGTTGTAAATTTCCCATTGGGTCTTGGCAGATATATGTAAAACATATATTTGGTCTTCACCCAACTTCCTGGCATACAACTCCTCAAATCCTTAGAATCTCTAAAACGATGTCTTTTTGTATGCTAATAATTGACTGATGGCAAGCAGTCCCTAGGTAGCTTCAGGATGAGGTCTGGTCACTGGAAAGACTGAGGTTTGATTAGAGGGTTTGGACTTTCAGTCCACTCTCAACCACTGGGAAAGAGAAAGGGACTGAAGGTTAAGTTGATCACCAATGGCCAATGACGTAATCAATCAATCCTATGTAGTGGGGCCTCCATAAAAACCCAAAAGGGCATGGTTCGAAAAGCTTTCAAATAGCTGAACCTATGGAGGCTCTTAGAGGATGGTGCACCTGGGGGTTGGAGGGAGCATGGAAACTCTGTGCCTCTTCCCCCATACCTAACCGTATGCATCTTTTCATCTGAACCCTTTGTAATATCCTTTATAATAGATTGCTGAATGTAAGTAGGTGTTTCCCTGAGTTTCAGGAGCTGCTCTAGCAAATTAATCTAACCCAAGGAGGGGTGTGTGTGGGATCCCTGATTTATAGCCAGTTGGTCAGAAGCACAGGTAAAACAACCTGGAGCTTGAGATTGGTGTCTGAAAGCTGCATGGAGTGGGGCGGTGGTGGCAGTCTTGGGCATTAATTCCTTAACCTGTGGGATCTGATGCTATCTCTAGGTAGATAGAGTAAGAATAGAATGGAATTAGAGGATACTTAAAGGGTGCCTGCTGCAGAATTGATTGCTTGCTTGTTGGTGGAGAGAAATCCCCAAACATTTGGTCACAGAAGTGTTCTATGTTGATTGTTATTGTTGACTGAGAGAATAAATACTTGTGAGTGTGTTTTTGTCCATTCACGGACCCACACAGCATCTTCCCCAATCAGAGACATCTCTAATAGCATAGAATTTGCTGATTCACGTGGTTCAAGCAGAAGGAATATTTGTATCCAGTCTGGACCTACTCCAGTGCCTTTTACTTCTCTGGGCCCCACACAAAGTTGGAAGCCTTCCTTGCCACCCAGTAAATGTGTTGGAGCAGTATTACCATGTGTGGAATATGAGTCTTCCAAAACCAAAGAGAATACCAAGCACTGTGCTTTCTTCCTAGTGGTAGAAAACTTGAGATGCAATAATGTGTCCTTTATTTGGGAAGGGATGTCCTATAATACCCTCATCAAACTTTTCCTATAAAGGGTCAAAGGGTAAAAAATTTTAGGCTTTGTGTACCAAATAGTCTTTGTTTCAACTACTAACTTTGCCATTATAACATGAAAACAGTCATAGGCAATATATAAGCAAATGTGCATGGCTGTATTCCAATAAAACTTTATTTACAAAAACAAGTGGTGGGACAGATTTCACCAATCCTTGTCCTAGACCACCAGACTGCTAAAAATGTCACTAATGTGGTGGGCCTTTGATGGGTTTATCTACCATTCTCCAGAGTACAAGTGTCACTTCTTGGTCATTCAGTCCAATTAACATAGTCTCATGGGTATAATGGACCAATTTAATGTCCCAGGGAATGTCCTGATGATCGTGGTCCCATATACAAAGGCTAGAAAATTTAATGTCATCCTGGGGCAAGACCATAAATGTATGCAACTGTCCATCCATGTGAATGGAAACTGCTTCTCTTCTTGCTTCTTGATTTGAAAATTAGATGGGCTTTATCCAGCACCCATGTATAATCTTCCAGCTTTTATATATATTAGCTGGGCCTTTGCCACTCTTTTGGCCTGTGGTCTCCTTCTTTCCTTAACAAGCCCAGCATATGTCTAGCTGGTGTACGATGTGACTTACCCTATTTATAGATCTGGTGGTCAGGAGGTGGGGATATATCACAAGGAGGCATGTGTTTCCTTGTAGGCAGAAGCTTCTGCATTGTCTTCAAGCAAGAGGGGCAGTGCTAGCTTTTAACAAGGAGAAATAGGCCAGTTCTGCAGGCACAGAGAATTCAGGTAAAGCTGAGGATTCAAGATTTCAAGTGCATCAATCTGGACCCTGACCTTAGTGTGACAGACCTGTCAAGGGTGGAGAATTCAATTTTCCTTGGAGCTCTGCTATTCTAATAATTAAGACCTGGGTCTCCTAAGCTTTTTCTGCCATCTAGATGTATACTGTCTTTATATGTTGCCAAGGAGGCCCTCTTGCTTTCATGCTCACTTTATATTAGTTATTAATCATCCTCAATTTTTCATTGCCTTTCTTTACTAATGGTCCCCAGTGACACCCATTCAAATTCCATAGTGCTTATAATAACCGTTTCCCCCACACCTCTCAAGCATTTGAGATTTTGCCCCTGCCAATGTATTCCTTTCTCCAGTATCTTATCCCAATTCACCTCTGCAGACGGTTTTAACAATTGTGTGATTACAGTATTACAAAGGCTCATTGCTAGTGAGCCAGCGGGTGATCCAGCTCCAAAATCCCATTTTCGAGTCTCCTTCCTGGAACTCTTAGTATCACAGGTCAGCATCCCCATGAAAAATACAGTAAGACCCTGAGATTGTCATGCAGAAGGCACCAGAGCATCTTTAACAGGAGCTTTATCCCCCATTTTGTGGCCATAGAGAAAACATTACCATATACTGAGGATAGCAGGGCAAAGGGTGGAATGAGCCTGAGTCCTGATGCCATGACTGAATTAGCCATCCCATCCTGGGATAGCCTACTTCTTAAACTTCTGAAGCAAGCATGATGTCCTTTCTGTTTAAGACACTCTTAGGTATTCAGTTACTTGCAGCCAAAGGCATTCTAGCTCTAATCTCAGTTAATGCTTCACTACCCTGTGCTGTGAGGTAGGGGTTATTATTATTCCCATTTCATAAACAAGAGAGCTTAAGCTTAGAGATTACTTGCTCGAGATCACACAACTAGAAATTGGTGGAGCCCAGTCTAAACCTTAGTACTATCTGCATCCAAAGTCCGTGCTCTTTACCCTTTTATAAAAATCTATGTGACAAGTGATCAAACCAGGAGGGGTATGGCACCATCCCCCAGATCTGAAGGGAAGAGGAGCTTATGTATAGCTAAGATCCACATACACCAGAAGAGCTGCCCTTAAACAGCTCACTGACCTCTTACTTTGTGTATTGGGTTGAATGGGTCTCAAAACAGAGACCATGCCTTCACTGTCAGAACCTGCAAATGTGACCTTACGTGGAAAAAAGATCTTTGCAGATGTCATTAAGGATCTTGAGGATCTTGTCTTAAGGTTATCCAGGTGGGCCCCAAATCTAGTGACCAGTGTCCTTATAAGAGTCATACAGGGAAAACCTGCCAGACAGAAAAAGGAGGAAGCAATGCGGCCATGGAGGCAGAGACTAGAGTGATGCAGCTGTGAGTCAAGGAACCCCTGAAGGCATGAGAGGCTGGAAGAGGCAGAAACAGAATCTCCCCTGGAGTCTTTGGAAGTAGCACCCGGCCCACACCTTGATTTTGGACTCTGGCCTCCAGAACTATGAGGGAATAAATCTCTATTGTTTTACACCACCAAGTTTATGGTAATTTGTTATGGCAGCCTCAGGAAACTAATACTACGTTTATTTCTTTCTTATGTAAAGGTGAGCAGTATACTTTCTAAGTTTGATTGAATATATTCCTCATGTGGCAAATTTCTGTTGGAATCCTTTATACTTTAAAGATAATGTGTGAACTACTTCCTTAGCAGAGGTAGAGGCACCTGTAGAGACATGAATGAGCATTTTTCTGGGAAGAAGGTCCATAGCCATCATATTCTCAATAGGGTCTTGATAGGCTCCACAAAACTAAGAATTTCTGAGAGGGAGCCTGGGCAAATGGAAGAATGACAGGTAGCTAAGCTCTAAGAGAAACAAGTGCTAAGACTGTGAAACATACAGAGAATAAGTTTCAAGTATGCGGAAGCCGGAAGGTCCTGTGTGTGTCTGGTTAGAAGGCTTCAAGTCAATCTCTTTGGGAAAGAAGCTTTGCCTTCCTCATGAGTTCAGACAAGAAAGCAGAACTCGTAAAGGTCTAGCAAAGGCGACTGCAAAGGGCCAACTCCACACAGCTCAGAGTCCGGAGGAAAGGAAACGCTCCTTCTGGACAAAGTATAAAGAGGTTAGGAAAATTTCAAATTTCTCTAGTTAAAATCTGCCGGTATTGAAGAAGGTAAATTCTGTTACAATGACAAATCAATAAAATGCTGCCTCAAAAGACTTATTACGCTTCTATATTGGGGTAGAAAAAAGAAAGGGAAAACATTGGTGTCTAAAAATAAGGAATGGTATGAACTTAAGTCTGACTCTAAAAAGGAAAAGGAAAAGGAAGGAGATATATTTTCTGAGTCTATCACTATGAAAATTATGAGATGAAATTTAAAGAATATGAAACAAACCTCAGGCAGAATCTTGGCTACCAAAACCACAAGCCCCACATGACAGCCTGCTCCATTGAATGCCATGGAAACTGCCTCCCCGGCAGCACGTGGGCTTGGAACTACTTGCACGATTCCTCCATGAAAGTACTTGAGATAGGGTTGGGGTAAGCAGAGAGAGTGAGTGAGGAGACAGAAGAGTGTTGTAAGGGCAGCTCTGCTTCCCAGAGAACTGGAACTGAATCCCTGGAGGCTTCCTAGCAAAATCATGAAGTGTTTTTAAAACAAATTGCCTCACAAGTGTTTACAGTTCAGTTCTGCCTGCCTGTCTGCCGAACTGAAAGGAACAGGTGAAACCCAAAGCTGGTTTTCAGCCCCATCGTTCACAATTCTAAGAAGGAAACATCCTTCACAAAACAGGAACTTTGTCCTTGAAAATTTCACATACTACAGGCTTTCCTGCCACATACCTGGGATATAACATCCAATAGCTCATTTGCAATCTATTGCAGTAAATGTGCTAAGAGCTAAGGAGAAGCAAAATGCACATATGTATAAATGGGCCACAATTTCTAAGGATTCTGCTCTAACATGGGTTTCTTCTCTGAAGCAAATACAGTGTTTCTAAAACTTACAAGAATAAGAGAACATCAAGTAAGAAAGGCCTAATTAAGTCGGGGTTTTTGTTTTGTTTTGTCTTGTTTTGTTTTTGAAAAGTCATGTTAGACTCTTTCCTCTTGGAACAGAATTGACAAATTAGCACAGGAATAAAATGTACCAGTCATTTGACCATGTAAGTTACATAATGTAGAAGCACATTTTGTGACGTGAGTATTCAATGTAGCACAACACTTTCCTCATCAAATTATTTCATTGTTCTTATCCCACGTTATTTTCCAAGCAGGCGCTTGCTTGTGAATGGCCTCCAACATCTTGTAGGGTTTGCTGCTCTGAACACCTCCCATCTCTTGCCTGACCCGGAGGCCAATGACAGCTTTTCTATGTGGGCCTAATAACAAACGAAAAGAAGACAGGACATTTATTACATTCAACACACACGTATATTGAAATTTCTGTGTCAGGCCAAATACTACCATAGCACTTTACAAGCATTAACCCATTTAATCCTCAAAAGACCTATAAGGTAGGTTCTCTTTTCACCTCCATTTTACAGATGAAGAAACTTGTCTTATATTTACTGAGAGGTGGAGCCAGGATTTAAATGAGTGTGCAATTAACCACTATACCATGCAACCTTAAGTAGCAGTATCATAAAGGTGAATGAAGCCGTATTAACAAATAATACTAAGGGCTCATATGAAAGCAATTCTTAAAAATGGAGATTTGATTTTATTTTTTAAATGAAGATTTTTTAAAATGGAAAAGGTTACCCAGAATGTTAACGTGGACAAGTTTTCATCATGGGTTTCTAAAGCTGTAATTTGTGAAGCTTTATTACATGTATACAATGGTAGTGTTAGTCAATTGATATAATCAGCCCTCAAATCTGTAAACATCTTTAAATCATCAACTATATTTGTTTCTCTGGCTATAAAAGGAATAATTGTTCATATTTGGAAGATTCAGAAAAGTACATGGTGAAAAATGAAAATCACTCATAATCTCATCATCCAGAAATTGTCATTGCTGATATTTTCACATCTATACTCTCTAGTCTTCTTTCTAAATGTACATCCACCCATCTGTATATTGGCTTAACATTTATTAAATGTGACGTTTTGTGCACATAAGGGATGCATTATTCAAAGAAAATTTCTACTCTTTTTCAGTACCCTCATATGTACTAAATATTCTCTAAGGATTGAAAAAGTTTAAAATCAAACATTAAGATCACAGAAGTACTATCAGAGTGGAAATAAATAATCAATGATACATATGCTAGAGCATTCTTAAAATCAAATATTCAGTCAAATGAAGTAACAATGGTGATATTTTTCAATATAATTTTATTTCATTTTCTGCATTACTTAGAAGCATCAGTAGGATGAAAACAATATTTGTTTCTTAAACCTGTGCACAAATTAATTGATGTGACACACTCATTAATTCATGATTATTTTCTTAATGAATTGATTCTAAAGCTTCTCCAAGATAGGAAGGCATAAGATAACCAAAAAGAAATATTGATTTATAACTGTTCTAATACTGCTCAGCATTTTTAAAGTAAATTATAGCCATAAAGCCTGTTATAATTACTAATAAGGTAATCCACAGAATGCCTTGCTGAGCTAGGTGTAGAAGAAATAAACTGTTTCATATTGGAGGAAAGTGAACACTATAAATCAATATACTAGTGTGAAATTTTGCATGGCTACATGCTATCATCTCCAGCATCACAAATGACTTAAGGAATTCCTCAGCTGAGAGTGGACTCCTATTGGTGGCCACAATGTCACAGTCTTGAAGACAACTTCCTCTTGACTGTACCAGTAATTTTTCCATATGGATTGTCTAATGGCAGCAAGACCTGTAGAAAAACCACATGGTAATTTAAAGGACATTAAAATAGCCCTCTCCTCCTTTCTATGACTCAATATTAAAAACAAAAACAACAACTTACTAAACAGGAAAATGTGTATGTCCTCCACTAAAGTTACTTCAAGCATGGTAATGCCTTATTATTCTGGCAATAGTTGAGAGATGAGTCAATTTCCTAGAAAATTTAAAAGCTTTTGAAAAATGTTAATCATTGAGATATAAATGTTTCTAAGATGCATTCCATATCCCTGCTTTGTAAATGCAGTGTATTGAACACAATTGACCTTTCCTTGGTGACTCACCTCATCCATGAGTCATTGTCCAATGCTGTAAGATCACCATGGCCTCAGAAGTGTCTGAGGTCTGCAGGGCTGTTCACTCAATTCTAAATGGCTCCAGATAGCGGTGCTTTTAGAGTTCTTCCACCCTCCCACCCTGTCATTTGTCACTTCTCTGCTAGTGTTAATGTGTCCAACTTCCTGTTTCTCATGTGTTATGTTCACTTTGTACACATCTGCTGGGTGAGAGTCCAAGAGTGGCTCCAGACATCCTCAAAGTACAGACGCAAGGACAGCTTGTTCAGCCACTCAGGTGCCTTTATGTAGAGCCCTGACCCAAAGGAACTTAGGCCTTCCTGACTCCAAGTCCCCAGCTGGGCTCCATGAGGGAGCTGCAAGTCTGACTTCCTAGAGGGAAGAACCCTGTGGGCGCAGCCCCCCAGCATGCTGGGATTAGTGCAGACCTGAGGTGTCGGGGGCCCTCAGGAGCCCTCCTCTCTCTGCCTGGGGTCCTGAGCTAAGCACTGCTTGAGCCATGACACCTGATCCTTTTTTCTATGTAGGGTCCATTTGTTTTGCCTCTGGTGGACTTGGCCAGGATTACTTTCAGGTCGCTCTCCTGCCCGTTAGAAGGCTTTAAAAAGGCTTCAGATTCTAATTAATGGCATTCTGGTAGCCATGTCCTTTCCTTCCTCTAAAGTAAATACTGCTGCCTCTCCTTGTGGCTGGATGTACAGCATGTGGGACCAAGGTAAGGGCAGCTCTGCTTCCCAGAGAACTGGAACTGAATCCCTGGAGGTTTTCAGAATCTAGATCACCTTTGCCAGGCACCTAAGCATGACCTTTGTTTCCAGATGCGACTCCCGAGCCTCCACCTGCAGCTGATGGTGGTCAAAGCCTGCTAGAGGCCACTCACATTACTTGCAAAACAGAAAGGAGGTACCTGGCCCGAAGGATTGTGAGGCTTCTGGGCCATCAGGTGCAGAATGTGGGACCTTTAACCCCTTCATTATCCCTTATCCGCCAAAGGATATGAGTCTATGGGAGCAGAGCCATGCTAATAGATGGCTCCTTCCCTATCTTACTCCCCAACACATACTAAAAGAAGTTACTCGAAACAATGTTTTCTAGTTAATAGGAATGTGTGGGGAGCTGGAGCAAATTGAGAAATCTTATTTTGAATGTGGTCCAAGAGGGAAGAATGGTTCTGATCTCCCAAGAACTGACCACACCAACCCACCAGTCAGTACTTCAGGCTGTCTAGTCAGACACACTGAGTGGTTTAACATTCTGCCATGGCTTAAAAAAAAAAAACAAAAAAACAAAAAAACAGGAGAAGTGTTTCTCCAAGACAAAGGGTTGTTTTCAAAAAATTAATTTCCACATCTTACCTCTGTAATTGCAATTAGAAACATAAATACTCTTCCATGTTTTCCTGTGTGTATTTTATGCCACTGAATTGACTAGTTAATCAAAAGGTAGGAATGATGGAAGAAAGTGAAAATAGAATCTTTTTTTCTCCTCATTGCCTCATGATGGAAGAATAATGAAGCTGTGTCCTTGCATGGCACTTTCAGAGAAGCAGATCTCAAAGCTGTTTCCTTGGGCACACTCTGTTCCTTCTCTGTCTTTCTCTCTTGGACTTCCAACCTTCTATAATCACTCATCCACTTCGAAGGCACTCCAACCTCAGGCATTGAAAGGCCCAGAATTGAAGAGGGCTGTAATCACTGGCAACTATAAATATTCCCCAAAGCAACAGTTGCTTAAGAGTTTTATTCAGTGACATTATCATCCCAGGCTCATAAAGGGGCAAAAGGGGGTGGGACAGAGATGTGCTTTAAATATATTTAAAGTTCTCTTACCTCTTACCTCTTCCTTGTTGATCAGACCCATTTTGGACATGTCTATGTTGAAGTAGTGAATGTTTGGCAGGCTGATTTCCATATCTTCTATCTGGAAACCACAGTGGTATGCATCACATTAGGAGCTGCGAGCCTCCATCTCCGTCACTCCAGCTACCCTCACCTCCCCTAACCTCGCACCCATTACTCAGGTTCTCTCTCTGACTTGGAGACACCCTCTGATGTTCCTCCACTGCCCGACACTGTTCTCTCCTGCTAGTTCTGTGATTAGATGGTGGGTCTGCTCTTCTCCCCTCAGTGTACAAAATCTGTTTCTCTGAAAAGAAAGGGCTCCTCGGGTCAGAAACCTGGGAGACCTCTTCAACATCCAACTGGCCTCCAGGTACTGGTCAGTCAACCTTCTAAATTCCTCCTCATTCCACTCCTTCCTTTCCAGGCCTGTATCTAACATTTATAGGCCCTGCAGTAAGAGTATAATTGGAGACCCACATACCAAAGGTATAAAAACTTTAAAGTTCTATTAATCAAGCCAAAATTTTTTTAAGTGAAATATGTTCTACTCTTCTAACTTGACAAATATACCCTTCATAACAACCTGGAAGGCCAAGCATTAATTTAAAATTCTCTAACTGTGATTGCAATTAGAAACATAAATACTCTTTCATGTTTTCCTGTGTGTATTTTATGCCACTGAATTGACTAGTTAATCAAAAGGTAGGAATGATGGAAGAAAGTGAAAATAGAATCTTTTTTTCTCCTCATTGCCTGGCATGGAGTACCATGCCAGGGCATGGCAGCATGGGAAGAGCCAGCCCCTCGCCCCTGGCCCATCCCACCTTCTCTCTTGGACTCACAGGGGTAGACACTCCAGCTTGCATGTCAAGTGCCATCCATACCTCCTGCAAACATCTGCCCCTTTGCCTACTCTCAGGCCTAAGGGTGAACACCAATAGCATGATTCGCCCTCTGGAAGACAGATCTCGAGAAGAGATTTGCCCACGTTCCCGAAGTAGTCTCAGGGCTATTTGGACAGGAAATTCTGGGGAATGCATGGGCCTCTGCAGAGTATGTTGCTGTGGCCCCACTGATTCTTCACCTAGTGGAGGGAGGCACAGCCAGAGGAAGGCCTGAAGGGGGCCTGTAGAATGCTGAGCCATGGCCAGAGTCCCTCTTGTCCAGGTCTAAGAGTGATACTCCTCCTCTCCAGCCCCACCATGGCCCAGACTCTCTTTACAAGATTCTGAAATAGATCCCAACATGTCTCCTTGCCTATGGTCCATCAACCTTTTCATTCATCACATTTCTGTCAGCGTGTTTTTTCTAGAGTACAAATCTGAAACAAAACATCCAGCTTAAACCCCTTGGTGGCTCCCAGAAGCCTTCAGGATAAGGTACAGACTCTATAAATAAGCCTAAAAAGGCCCTCTTGACTGGCTCCTGTGGTTCCTGCCTCATTTCCAGGCACATGGAATGACTATAATTCATTCATATATATTCAGTCACACGTGGTAGACCCTCAACAGTAAACGACTGTATCATGCTATCTCTTGTCTCCATACCTACCCTGCTCCCTCACCCTTGAGAGTAAACTCAGATAACCTCTAGACTCAAACACCCTTCCCTCTAGAAAACCTGGCGGAACCCATCTCCTTTACCTGAGTTAGGTGCTTTGCTCTGTACTTTCATAATACTCTTTTCTCTATTGTATTGTTCATTTACTTATTTTGTTCATTCACTGAATGATGAGCTCTTTGAGGGTAGTGACTATCTAATTTATCTTTGTATCCTTCGTATGCTGCCAGAGACATAATCACCATTCAATGAATGAATGAATGAATGAATGGGTGGGGACGTGGGTAGATGGACAGATGGATGGATGGATGGATGGATGAAATCTCTCTACATCTATCTTTCATTGTCTGGTTCTTCTGAAACACAGAACCTTTGTCTAATTACCCCTCTCCCTCAAGGCATTCAAGTGTCCTGACTATGAGGCTTAAATCAGTGGCAGGTTGAAGGGACTCAAAGAATTTTCAACAAAACTCAAGGACTACAACAGGGGCCTGTGTTTTCAGGTTAGACAGATTTTTCCATTTTTGCTCTCTTTTCACTTGCTATAACAAGCTTTTGAACAACAACAGATGTCATTTTTCATGTGTCTTCCACTTTCTTATTTTAACTCTCAACTCTTTCTCAGAGCTGACAGAAGACACACGTTCTCCCAGTCCTCAGAATGGCAACTGACAGAACTTACCGCAGGAACTCGGCTCAGGGAGAGCACCTGGATATCACAGAGGGTCTTCTGCACAGAGGTCAAGTATTCACCTTTGTCATAGGGCCCAGCAGATTTCTCCATGACAAGGTCCCGAATGGTGTCCCTAAAACACAAAGAAGGTCACTGAGGATACTGAAAGGAATTTTAGTAATGTGTTAGGAAGCTAAGAAGCAGTGACCTGTCTGTCCCCCAGAAAACAATGTTATTGATGTTTTTAGAAGATATTAGTATCTTGCAATGCCAAAAACAAAACACCTCACTTCCCATTCCCCTACACACACACACACACACACACACACACACACACACACACACACACACACATACACCATTCAACAAACATATTGAGCATCACTAGACTGTCTTCATAGTTTGGCACCAGGGCCCAGTGGGCATTTTAGGGTAAATTTCCCGTCATGTTTGAAGAACCTAAGAAGAAGACTCCCAAGTATTCTCACCATCTTGCTGCTCTGCTTGGCTGGCTCATTGAATTGTTACATTTGGGGGTTTGCTCTGTGCCAGACTCTGTGTTTTTTAGGTTAGACAGATTTTTCTGTGCTAAGCATTTTATGTGATGATGTCATTGAATTCTCTCAATATAGCTGAAGTAGGTACTATTATTATCCCCAATTAGAGAAGAAGAACCTGAGCTTAAAAGTTACATGATATGCTCTAAGTCCCTCTCTTTAGAAGGAGGCCCAGCCTACAGTACTATCCTGCCTCTGGCATGTTCAATTTCAAGCTCTTTTCAACATAAATACATCAGGCTGCTGCCCATGGAGAGCACTTGAAATAAAAGGGAAAGAAGACTGAGGTAACGTTCTCATCATGCATTTAAAAACCTATCACATAATAAAAGAAGCAGAGAAAAACTACACTAGTGGGAGGGACAGCTGTGGGAGTGGGTGGTGGGGGAAGGGTATGCATGCAGATTCTAGCTTATGGTAGGGTAGAAATTTCTAAAAGAGCTTTAGCAAAGGAATGAGATACCTAATCAAAAAGCAAGTTCTGAAAGTTCAGAGGCCTAATTACTCCCTGTCAGGATATAACAATAATCATACCTTTATATTGTGAGTTGTCAGAATCAAAATGGAGTCACTTGTGTCAGATGCTAATGAAATAAATAAATAAAGCCAGGAAGCTGAGGGAGGGCCCTCAGGCACAGATGCCTGTAAGAACTATTGCAAAGACTCTCTGAAGGGCTCTTATGTACATATGCCTGTAACAACAATTTTGCAAAGGACTTTTCAAACAGTGGCTCGTGACGTGAGTCACAAGGACAGCTAGCCAGATGTACAAGAACATTTGCCTGCCACAGTCTTCACTAATGAGCTGGCGTCAATTCCTGCGATAGCCACTATAACCAGTGTTCTCTTTGTCTGAAAACAAATTACATACACTTTTTCCTTTTGCTTTTAAAAGCTTCCCCTTGCTTCAACCTCTTAGGATATGCCTATGGTTCCTGCAGCCCACAAATTTGCAGATTCCGTGTTTTCCTAAATAAATTCATTATCTTTGTAGAATCTCTCTCTGTTATTTCAGTTAACAATATTTTTAAGGCATTTATAACTTATAAAATGCTTTTGTGAACATCATATCATTTTGAGTTTAGCCTAGATTGACCAATTATCCCAGTTTGCCTGGAACCAAGAGGTTTCCTGAGACATGGGACTTTCAGTGTTAAAACCAGGAAGTCCGTGACAAACTACAACAAGTTGGTCACCCTCGTTTAGCCCTCTCTGCATCACTATGAGGTAGTAAGGCCAGATATTCTCTTCATTTGATGCCGTGTTTCTTCAACTGTGGTCCCTGGTCCAGTGGCATCATCTGCATCCCCTGGGAGTTTGCAAGAAATGCATGTTCTTGGGCCCCACCTCAGTCCTACAGAATCAGAATCTCTGGGGATGGGCCCAGCAAGCTTCATTTTCTGGTTCTGTGTGATTCTGATGCACATGCATGTTTGAGAACCACCAATTTAATAAATTGAATAAACAGAAGGGATTTCTGAATAGTGGGAAGTTGAGTTGAATGGCCTCTAAGTTTCTCTTTTACATCTAAGATTCTATGAAGTCTGGGCCCCTGGGACAAGAGTAGACACTACATGCACGTGTTCATACCAGGTAGCCTTGAAGTCCACATCCCTGCACTGGTGGTAGCGCCACTTGCAGTACACTTGGGTGGCAAAGCATCAGTCCTTCACCTCAGGGAGGGTAGTGAACTGGTCCTTGATGAAACCTTCAAATCCAGACTGTGTTGTTTTCAAGACCTTGAGGTCTTTGATTCCAGAATGAATGACTTGGGGTCCTGTTTCAAGTAGAAAGTCAAGAGTGGCTGAGGTCATAAACAGTGTCTTGTTGCTGATACCTAGCACAGAGGATCCTGGTCATTAAAACATGACACATTCTGTACAAAAACTACATCACCGCCCGTGTTTTCTGTCATCCTATTTCCTCTGAAGTCCAAGTGAAGAGGATGGTGTGCCTTTGCTTCCATCTGGATTCCAAGACTCCCTGCCCTGTCTTGCCCTCGAAAATCTGAAGGTCTAAGAATAACCTCCATTCCGTATTGAAGGCCACAGAAATGAATACATTCCTCTCAACTACAAGCGGGAGTGTCTTCTTGGCCAACTCACCTTATGTATTTTGAGCTCCATCTCCTCCAACAGGTGATCATGCTGAAATGTGTTAATACGGCCCTTAAGAGCCATTCCTCTACCTGCTACTGTGACCCCTTTACTGGGGGTAGTCCTCATGCTGATCATCTACAGTAGCTGATGATCCCAATCTCCAGTAAGCCCTGATGGCATCCCAGCATCCCAGTTCCCTTACGGTTATCAGCTCAGCAAAACCAGGCAACTTCATAAATGGGTAGCAGCGTGGGCCTGGCTGAGCCTAAATAAGACAGGGAAGATGGAGTTGGTGACTCACAAGGGATAGATCTGCCTAAGTTGATATCTATAAAGGCTTTTGTTTTTTCTGCTGAAGGAGAAGGGACGAACTTGGTTCATGGGTACCTGGGGGGAGAGAAGGGAGAGTTGAAAACAATGGAGGGAATGATATGGCTCTCCTTCTGTCTCTGCTGTGCTTTCATAAGGTAATGGGGCAGGTGGAAGGGTGACAGGCATCATCTAAAAAAGAACAATATTAACATCACTATGACTTTATTTGTCTGCACAGGCTGGCAAGGATTGGGGACATTCCGGGAGCACTTGGCAAACCCTAATAGCAAAGTGCCATGGCACGATTATTAAGATCACCTCTTTTCAGTCTCTTTGTTAGTTCCAACCAATATCTATGCTTCTTGGACTGTTCAGTCTAAAAATCAAGGGCCAGAGATGTCAGGTATCACCACACACATGGTCTTAGTTGAAGAACAAGAATATAACTCATGATCCTCAATTAAAATCCAAGGAAGCTCTTAAAAATCCAATGGTTTACATCACCTATGTGGTTTCTATTGCTACAGTTAACTCAGGAGCTGTGGAGTTTCAAAAGTAGGTAAATAAAGTCTGTATTTCTGTTTTTCCATGCTTCAGTATACTCCTATCAGAGAGAACAATAGCCAGTGGTTAGTGGTAGATCTGCTGATTAAATATGTCCTGATTAAAGAAGATATTCTGTGCAGAGTGTCCCAGGATAATGCGGTGAAACTGGAAATGATCCTTGTTTAACTTTCCGAAGTACTTACTGGAAGCTACATCTGAAGAAGGAGCAAGAGAAAGATACCAACAATGCCTTAAAGCCTTCAGCTGGCTGGGTTTATCAGATTCTAAATGTATGAAGTCATGATCTCACAAAATCAGCATTGCTACATGCAGTGAGTGGAAGCCTCAAACCCAGCAGAACTACAGAAACAATCAATAAGTATCTGTTGAATGAATGAATGAATGAGTTTAGCAAGATTGATTCATGTCAAGGAATAAGCATTGCACAATTTAGTATCTTTCTTTTCTAGACAGTTCAGCCCCATCAGTCTTTACCATTTCCCTTTCTGGTCCCCTCCAACTCACACATAGTGTGGCAGGGGGTGAAAGGAAGGGTGTTAACCTTGGCTAAGAACCTCCTCTCTGTAGACATGACTTTGGTTGCTGCAGTTTTCAGTCTTTATCTTACTTAGTTCTCAACACTCTATAAAGCAGTTATTTTAATGTAGGTGACTTTTAATCATTTGCCCATAGTCACATGGCTAGAAACTGTCACAGGTGGAATTTAAACTCAGCACCACATTATGAGATCCCATGCTTTTCTTCCTGCTTTTTGGATCACTTCCCATCTATGCAATGGTTCCTCCTTCCTTTGACCCTTTCCCCATTTGTGTTCTATACGTGGCCTTTCCAGGAGACAAGGTTGCCACCTTCTATTCACAGCGTGCTTTAAGGACCTCAGATAGAGCCCCCTGCCTGAAAAATACCATCTCCATTGGTCAGAAACAGAGATTGAATAATCATTTTTAGAGTTGGCTCCTATGTATCTAAAAACCTTTGTATTCCTTAAACATTTCCTATTGAAATGCAAATAAATATCCCTTAAAGAAGTGACTCCTTAAGCCTTTGTAAGGTACTATGATAATCTACTTCCCATGGTAAGCCTTTCTAGAAAACAAAATCCTATAGAAATGAAACATGGGTTTGCAATCAGGAGTGGGGTTAAAATGAGTAGCAGAAACCCTTGCAGGAGAATGAAAAGAAGGTGAAAAAGAACCAAAGACAAACTTTATCTACATTGTTTTCTTCCTATTCATCTGGCCTTGACTGCTGGCATCCATGTAAGCCAGTCAAACTTTGGCTCCTCCAAAGGTGTTAACCATAAAAGGATTCCTGGATGCAATGTTGCATAGTGGTTGAATCTACAGCTTTGAGACTCAGATTCCTAGAACTCAAATCCCAGTGCTCTCCCTGCATCCTCAACCCCCATTTTTATGAGCTCTATGCTCCTGAGGGAATTATTTAACCCCTCTCTACCTTGATTTTGTCATCTGTAAAATGGAGACGATAATCATACATATTTCCTAGAGTTGCCACATGTCTAAGAGGATGCACATAAAGAACTTAGTAGAATTGCTGACCTACGAAAGTGCTCTACAAATGTGATGATGATGATTTTGCCATAATTGACTTTTTCCCAATGACTTCAACAACTTATAAATATTTCCCATGTTTCACAAAGTCTTACTGGGTTCTGAAAACTACTTCTAATGTGCCGTCCTATCCATCTCCAGCCCTGGGATAAGATTTATTGACCTTAAGCGAATGTCAGTCCTACTAGGCCACTTTGAAATGATCTGCTTTCTCACTGGAATCTAAAAACGGAGACAGCAGTTGTATTTTTAAAATGTGTCTTGGCATCAGTTTCACACAGAATAAAATGTCTCATGTTCCCCAAGACAATTAACTATTGCCACAGTTTTGGCAGAACACACACCATCTACTCTGGTGCTCTCATCATTCTATTAAAAACAACAACAACAACAACAAAAACTATTCTCTGAATGTTAAAAGAATTTTTCCCTGGCACACATTAGACATGCTGGATGAAATCAGAGAGCTTATTTTATCTTCTCTGTTGGCGGTGCCCCAGCTTTCTGAACATTGGTAAGAACCTGAGGCTTTCAAAATCATGGGCCCATCAACTAAAAATATGATGCCTAACACACTCTAAAAAAGATTCCCATTTAGACCAACAAGAAGTAATTCAAAAACTGTCCTTTTCTAGGTTACACCCCATGAAATCACTTAATCAGCTTTGTTTTGTTTTGTTTTTCTGCCTTGGTTATGGAGTAATGCAAAAGAAAGATTTTTCACATTTCACTTTGCTAGAACATAATCTTTTCCAGCTTTTAGTGTCCTCCTACACACTTAGCAGATTGTGGCTTATCTCTCAGAGAATCATACATCCTACCCTTTAGCTATCTAAGGGAAAGAAACTCACTGCGAATTAATAGAAAATAAGCCCAATTCCTTACCTACGCATCAGGTGTCACAAAGCACAAAGCTTTATTGAGCCAAGAAAAAGATCTTGTCATAAGAGGATAATTGCTTCCACATTTAACACCTCCAAAAAGGACACAAATAGCTGAAAGGCAGATATTTTAAAACCATATTAAATCATTCTAGTAGAAAATCTCAAACTTGTAAAGTGCCAGAAAAAGTAAAGATCAATTAAATATTTGCCTTGGAGAGTCCATTTAGCTCATGCAGGAAGAGCGAAAGCTCCCTCTGCGCAACTGTGGATGGAAAGAGATGACATCATCCAGATGGTAGGAAATTAACTGGGCTTTTGTACAACCAGGTGATGACCAAGAACATTTTAAAAGACCACGAATCTGCCAAGAACTTTTCTTACAGAGGAACCGAAGAGCACTTTAGTCTTGATATCAAAACGACATAAACAGACTTCTTGGCAGTAGCCATCTCTGTCCTGGATCTCCCACTTCTCCCATTTCACTTCTTCCATCTGCCCATCTTGTCACCTCTTAAATCTGTTCTCCTCCAGGTCGGATTTCATCAGTTGCCTTCCTTACAACCATCCCCCTACCCTCACTACCCTTCATGTCAATAGAAATATAGGAAGTATTTTTCACTATCAGAAGACACAATCTAGTATTTGAGGCCTCTTCTCCATCTTCCATTCCTCTATTTAGCTATGCTTTAGCTGAATTTCATAATTAGTGTCAAATGGGAGAAATTTGATGCTGAAGAAATTGTGAGTTATAATTCAAATAGTGCAGAGGTTTGGGGGTCAGTTTAGTTCAAATTAGTGACTCAATCATACCAATGACTTACAGCTCCGTTAAGCTTGTAGTTTCTCACTGATACTTGATAGAAAGAGTTCTGAAGATTCAATGCCATATGATACCTAAACCAACAGCCTGCTTCATACACATAGGGCCTAGTTCTCCTCTCAGGGCTTGAGAAGTCACAAACATAAAACCAGCCCTCATTCCTTTGGGCAAACAAATTTCTTTCTCTCTTCCAGATTCTCCTGTGGAATCAGTAGGCTTTGAAACAACTAAAATACAGCCTAGTGATGTAGCTGTAAAAGATCCACTAGGAAGAAACAGTGTAATGGGAGTTTTAGAGCAATTCCCAGGGGTTAAAGTGGTGCTTGAGGTTCAGCAGCATTTCTAGAAATGTTTGTTCATTTGCTAAGTAAGAATGAATATAGTCCATCGGGAGAAACTCAGTCACACCTCCTCCTGGGAAGAGTCCTTTTGGGAGTGGCGTGACTGAACGTGTGAATAAGCACATGTGTTTGAGGGGGCAAAAGTCTTACCATTCTAGCCGGTCCCCCACCAAAGGCACTACTCAGGTGTTTGTAACAATAGCCTTCCCCATGTGAATTTGTGAGTGGTGTGTGTATAATATAATTACTATTTTCTTTAGTTAAGCCTTTACAAGGGCATTTCTTATGACAATGATTGTAACATTCTCTCACATTACGATTCCTACAGTTTCAGCTCTTGGATAATAAGCAAATAAAGAATTAAACTTTGCTACCAAAAGAGCATACATCCCTACTCTCCAAAGAGGGACAGAGTAGAAATGTCATCTTCATATACACAACACTGAAAGATACACACACCCATAAACATGTGCACACACATACCTGTATACACTTAAGGCAACAGATATCTCTTCTGCTACCCCAATCCCTGCCAGCCCTGCATGAAATCAGAGGGGGAGTTGGGGGCTGGACTCTAGATGAGTCAAGCTGGAGCTTCTGGGAACACTGCCACAATGATCTCAATACCCTGAAGCTTTGCAGCTTTCTGCAGAAAGAAAAAGTTTTAACCTGATTATGGTGGCTAGTTTTTCCACTCAGCTGCAGCCAGGTGATTAGAATTCAAGCTGATAGCAACTCTTGGTCATTCCTGGAAAGAACAGGATATAAAGAGAAGTCCGTTTTCTTTTCATGATCAGCACAGCCCTATACTTGGCCACTTGACTTCCACCTCCCTGGCTCTGCTAAAAGTATTCTGGGAAGTCACCAATGACGCCTATTTACTGACTACATAGTTTCTCATCAGTCCTCTCGGAACCCCAACTTCTTAACTCTCCTATGGCAGAGGCTAAATCTACTTGCTCTTCCTCCTGGCACTCAGCTAGATGACATTTCACAGTGTCCCTTGCAGTGAGGTGTGACTATGTGACTGAGCTCTCTCCAGAAGAAATGATCCATGCTGTTTCCAGGCCGGGAGCTTACGCTTCAAGGACTTTGCCCCTCTAAGCTCTTTCTTTGGTTGTCTGGTATGAGGGTCTACTTTCAAGGTGACACCAAAAAGTAAGGATTACAAATATAAAGTTGCCATCAACCTGGGTTCCTGAAGAACTTCATGGAGCACAGCATCCCCCTGACCCCCCTAGCCCCCCACACAGACACTGAACTGGACTTCTGCAAAAAGAAGTAAACTTCTAGTGCTGAGCCACTGCACATGGGCCTATTTTTTATGCATCTTTGTTCCCCAGTAATTCAGAAATCCCTAATTTCTTGAAATGTCTTTTTCTTCTGCTTCCATGACACTATCATCCCTCGTCTTCCTTCTATCTCTCTAAACATTCTTCTGTCTCAGTTTTTAAACTGCCCAACCCTTACAGTGGGGAATTTTTCCCAGGCCATCTCCTCTTTCAAACTCTTCTCACTTTGTGTGTTTTTCTGGAATGGTCCTTCTTCCCTGTGGCTTTACCTAACACCAATCTGCTGTAGCTTCACCTACCACCAATCTGCTGATGGGCCCCAAATCTATCTCCATCACATAGTCCCACATTCACCAGCTTCCCACCTGAAAACTTCCCCTTGTGTGTAATCTCCTTAGTCAGTTGCCCAGTCCTCCCAGATTAGGGTCAATTTTAACTCCTCTTTCTCTCCAATCTTCCATCTCTAATCAACCACTAAGACCTATTGATTACACTTCAAAAATGTCTCACATAATGCTTCCCACAACCTCTCAGTCTCTCCAGCTCTATTTCTACTGCTTTAGTTTAGACCCCATCACTTCATCTTTGCAAGTCTCCAAATGTCTCACTACTGCCTGTTTCTTTAATCTGTCACCATACCTTGTTCAGAGTTTCTGAACAAAAACATGCACATAGTAATCTGACCATTAGAGGCTTTCTCTGGTTCTCTGTTGTCATTCTAAACAATAACTATAGCTATTAGTTAAGGAGAGCTTAGTGTGCCAAGTACTATGCTAAGTACTATGCTAAATGCCTTAATAAAATAAATTAGCATTTATCTCCTTTGTTTCTCTGGATAGTTGTTGAAGTGGGCACTGGTATCCTTGTTTTACAAATTAAAACCCACCAGTGTAGTATAAGTAACCTTGCTCTTAATCACAAAGTTATTAAGTAGTGGAGCTCAAATTCAAATGATTCATTCTGACCTCAAGGCCTCTTGCTTAACCACTGTGCAAAACTGCCTTCATCTTATACTAAACTTGTGTATAACACATGAGGCCCTTCAGATTCCAGCCCAAACCACCAACTTATTTATCTTCATCTCCCTTCTTACATTCTAGAAATCAGACCCACTGAATTTGTTACTGTCCCCCAAATGCTTTGCCCTTTCCACAGTTAAATAAATTACTTCCCCGGCATAGTCTTCAGCATGAAGCAAGTGCTCAAAATATTTTACTTCCCCTCTTTCACTCCTCATGGACTGTACTCATATGTATCCTGTTTCTTCTGCGTGTAATTCCCTTTCCTCCTTTAATGCGCAGCATATTCTGAATCATTTTTCAAAAGTCAAATGGAATATTTTTTCCTCCTTTGTCAAGCCTTCCAGACAGACTGCTCTGGAAAGAGTTTCTTCACTTCTCAGTTCCCATAGCATGCCTTTTATCCCTTCATCATAGTCTCTAGCCTCTCATACTGCAGTCAATCTGTCTCACTAGGGTCAGGGAGCATCTTATTCCCCTCTTTACCTACAGCCCTTTGCATACATAATAGGGCCTCGAAATCTAGTTGTTGAATGAATAGTATATGAATGAATGACATAAGCACTTTTCATAAATGCTCTCATTGTTAATTAGCTCTCTTGAGGCCTAATCCTAGCTGCTGTTGTTATTTTACATTATTGAAAAATGTAAAAAATGTAAAAAAGCATCCCAAACGTCACTGAAAAGCAGTTTTAAGTTATGCTGATCTATACAGTAGCCACTAAGCCACATGTGGCTATTAAGCACTTGAATTATGGCTAGCATAACTTGAGATAAGCTACACATATAAAATACAGAATTTTAAAGACAATTTTGTAAAAAGAATGTAAAATACTTCATTAGTAATTTTTATACTTATTACATACTGAAATATTTTTGATGTTATTTAAATAAAATATATTATTAAAATTAATTTCCCTAATTTCTTTTTGCTTTTCTAATGTGGTTATGAAAAAAATTTTAAATTATATATATGGCTTGCATTATATTTCAGTTGGGCAGAGCTGATTTCGAGTTTCTAGTTTTATGAGGGTAGTTAATGAGGCTTGGGTAGGATAACATTGAGTCAGGAAACTTTTCTTTCTCCTCCAAAGCCACATATCTAAGACAAGAAGGAAGGAAGAAAGAAAAGAAGGAAGAAGGGAGGGAGGGAGGAAGAGAAAGGAGAGGGAAAGAAGGAAGGAACCAGAGAGACAGAAAGGAAGGAAGGAAGGGCTAAGGAAAGGAGGGAAGGAAAGAAAGAAGTTAGTTCCAATTTAACTTAACAAATAGCTCAGAAAGCTAATATAGCATATGACTACACATCTGGGTGATAAAGATCATCTTTTTAACCAAATACAACAGCTATTTAGTCTCTTTTATATAACATTAACTTTATAACTGTTTATCAAACGTTGAGAAGGCCCTAGTTATGTATAGACTTTAATTCACATAGTGGAAAATATTTAAAAATAGCTAATACACTAGAACTTTCTAAGGAGGGCATTATCCAAAAGAACTCAGAATGAGAAGGGATCTTATATTTTATTAACCTTATAATAAATCTGATATTCATTAGATGCCACTTCAAATTCCTACTAAGGAGGAAGGGAAGGGAAGGGAAGGGAAGGGAAGGCAACAGCAAAGAAGAAAAGGGAAGAGTAAAGGAGGGGAGGGAAAGAAAATAGAAAAATTTTAGAGTCCACCCTTTCATTTTATAACAATCAGTAAAGTTTATTTTTTTACTGGGATAAAGACATTATTACCAGCTTTGTCTCCATGGTTCTTAGAGGTCCTCTAGCCTAACTCTTAGCCAATTATTGAACTCTGCTCTGACAAGCTCAACAAATCTGTGGAATACAAGCTGTGGAAATTTTAATATTTGCTAAGTTCAGTTATCAGTACTAATAACACCTATGATATAATTATGTTTCATAATTAATTTGGAAATTTCTTAGGAAATAGAATTATATAATTGCCATTGCTATCTTAAATGAGATGCATTTTATAGGAATTACAATATTAGTGGTTTTATTACACAAAATAAAATTTCAGGAAAACTTGACTATTATTTAGTAAATATTTCCTATGAAGGTTACTATAATTGTAACATGATGTGGCACAAAAAATATTGGTCAGAAAATCCAGAGATTTGCGTTCTTTTCAGGCTGGGCCTTTTTTTATTTTGCCTTACCTCAAAATCTGGTAATAAAAATGATTTGCCTGACTCAATCCCCAGGGTTGTTGCAAAATGAATTATTTCATTTTTATATTTTTAAGACAAAAAGTAGATAATTCTTTAATATAATTCAAAGTCACAATATTCATTTCTATCTCAGATTTAAAAGCCTTAAAAAGTCTCTACAGTTTTCCTCCATGTTAGTAAACAGCATTGTTTAGAAGAAATGAAGAAAAAAGAAAACAAAGCCACCCTGAAGTTGCTACTATATAATCAAAGCATGAAAAATAGTTTCTTACCACTTCTCAGCTGTTCAACTTCACAGAAGTGTGTTCCAGTGGGAGTGTGAATAAATGCATGGACATGCTTAACTCCATTCTGAAAATTAGGGAAACAAATTATTTCCAGGAAAATTTCAGTTCATGCCATAAAGCCAATTTCTTTAATTAAACTGAGAGCACAAATAAGTGAGTTAACCTTTCCAAGATGCTTCCAAGGGATTTCTTCCATGTAGACTTGAGCTCGGATTACATGGTTAAAAGAAGAAAGAAAATGCTCACAAATATTCACACCAAAGGCTTCTATGCTTTTGATTTGTAAAAAGAAACAAAATGCTTCAAAGCAGAAATAATTGTCCCATTTAAAAATAATTTATAAATACTGTTAAATGAAACGATGGGAGGTCATTGCTTTGGACTAAGCTCCTGCATTAGACCCCAACAGACCAGACCAAAATGGAGTCACTTATGCTAAATTCCACATAATCAAATTGAAGCTTTAAGGAAGCAGATAGATACCAAAACAGACCAGTTTTTCCTGAAAACAGGAGATTCCAGTCTATCTGAGTCAGTGCGATAAGGAAGTCCCCTCTGCTTTAACTCTTACTAAAAAAGTAATCTGAAACCCGATGTTAACCAATCAGTTTTTTTTTCCATTGTTCTGTTTCTTGTTCCCACCTTACAAAACCCAATGCCCAGTGGAAGCTCTTACTCTTTTTTGTAGAACAGAAGCTGCCCCAATGGTAAATAAAAACCAATTCACTCTATAACTAAACTTGTTGTAATTTTGTCTTTTGATATTACTCATGATGTTCTCTTTCCTGATGAATTGCTTTTTAGAACTAGACAAGCAGAGAATAGAGTCTACCTCAAGAGAAAAAGGTGTTTATCTCACTTTTTTATTAGAGCTCCCAAATGAAGTTAATAATCACCATCACCAGGTGAGACTCTCGTTTTTAAAAGAAACCCATTTTGCAGGAGAGGATGTGTCAGTGGATGAGCAAAAAATAACTTAACATTCAGATTCTTCTCACAGTGCGTTCAGTCATCACTTGTATCAACCACAGCACACCACAACACTCTAAACTCTATGAGGCTTCCCATTTTCCCAAGGAAAAATGTTAATGAAGGGCCACCTCACTCCTTACCTTGCATACAGTCCTTCTATTGATCCCAGCTCTCCACCCCCATAATGCAGCTTCCATATTAATCCCTAGGTAATATTTTATGGTCTTAGCACAGTCTGGAAATTATTAATGGCTTTGCCTATAATTAAAGTGAAGTATTTGTACAGGCTTCCCCAGTATAGTTCTGTTTTATACCTGTTGGCCCAGAATAATTACGAATAGCATCCTATTTTGAGCTCAAAAGTGTCCTGGTTTGGATAAGAAGCTATACAATCACTCTATCCATAATGAATGACTTTAAGTAGTTTTTAACATTCAGGTCCATTCTTCACTTTTCTGCAAACTCCTACACAGTACAGGAAATACAAGAATCTGTTGTACCTGGCCCTTGTCCATATCACAGCACAGGTCTACTTTCAAACGATTTTTTTAAAGAATGCAGTACCTTTTTCCATAGCCCCATCTATGTTTGCTGGGTCATTCTGATTAGCAAGAGAAAGGTTCAGGGTAAAAATAGGAGTTGCAGAAATTATATTGCAATGTTTGTTCATTTAATGAATTATGGGTATGGATTTCATGAGAAAACATGAGAAAAGAAGCTTTCCAGTCTACATTTCTTGTCTTTTTAGACTTCATGGCAAGTAAAAAAAAAAAAAAATCAGCTTGAATTGCCCAGAAATCTGGGTGACCCAGCATAGCTTCACTCACACTTAAAGAAACCATAAGTGGGGTCGGGCACGGTGGCTCATGCCTGTAATCCCAGCACTTTGGGACGCCGAGGCAGGTGGATCACAAGGTCAGGAGATTGAGACCATCTTGGCCAACATGGTGAAACCCCATCTCTACTAAAAATGCAAAAAAAAAAAAAAAATTAGCTGGGCATGGTGGCAGGCGCCTGTAGTCCCAGTTACTTGGGAGGCTGAGACAGGAGAATCACTTGAACCCAGGAGGCGGAGGTTGCAGTGAGCCGAGATCACGCCACTGCACTCCAGCCTAGTGACAGAGCGAGACTCTGTCTCAAAAAAAAAAAGAAAAAAGAAACCAGAGCTGGAAATGCTAAAATATCAGTTCTATCAGATCTAAGTCTCTCTTGAAAAGTCCTAATAACCACTGTATATGAACAGTAAGTGGTAATAGAGTTGGGAAAGTTAGAATGGCATTAAAATTTGGAAAATAGATTTCAACAATAAAAATAAATGTATCTCATACTCAAGATATTCTTCTGTATTAATAACAAGAAGTGAAATGATATTTTCTTCTATAAATGCACACCATTCTAAAAAAATAAAAACTAAATGGTAAGACTCAAAGAAATGCATGACAAAAATGTGTAAAATTCTATTCTGAAATTCTTTCAGGACCTTGATTTTCCTTTGATTCTAATTAGAGATAACATGTATTTTGTCCAATAAGATTCTCTGCCTAAAAGATTGCAGTGAGATAAGAGCCAAGGAAACAAAGATGTGAGGTTTGTGTGTTTGTTTGCTTTTCTGCAAAGTTTTCTTCAATCCTGAGACCTTTAGGCTAGAAAAGAACATTTTTTTAAAAAATGGCTTAAATGTAAAAATAGATTAAAATGCAAAGGGAACTGGAAATAAGCAAGTAACACTTCATGCTGTTTTATGGCAAATTCTGCATCAAGATAGGCGGCATCTAAGAAGAATGACACATACTTCTTTAAACTTTGCCAAGACATGAACTGTGTTCTTGATGGTGTCTGTAGGGATGATGTCTGAATTATCTCCATGCAGGTAATCTTTTTTGGAACTTAGAGTAAGTTGCACTGAAGTTGCCACCTCTTTAATGCTGTGATATTTTCCATCTCACTGAATATGGAGAACTTTTACCATTTCCTTCCCATAGCCAGTTCGGACAAACTCCACCTCATCATTCTGCAATGAAAACACAGGCATCTTATTGAAGAAGGCTCAATGAAAGCCAAAAGTTAGGTGAAATTTACTTAAACCTTCATTATATCATACAATTGTAAAAGATGAGATTCAGAGTATATATGGAAGCAATATCACATTCTACTTTTGAAGAAGAATGAGAACTTGTATAGGAAAAAGAGAATCCCATGCAGCAAATGAAAATATATCAGATTGTTCTGAAGACTGACAGGTACAGGGCTTTTTTGATAATAATAATAAATACATTAATAGGACCTCCTGGGTCAAAACTGTACTGTTTTATTTAATCCCCACTAACCTAATCCTTGTAATAGCACTGTAAAATCTTTATAATCCCAGTGTAAAATGGGAATTAATATTCCCATTTATGGAGGGAGGAGGTGAGTTTCAAAGATATTAAGTGATTTGCCCTAGTTCATACGGCTAGTAAAGGACAGAGCCAGGATTTGCACTCAAGTCTATTGACTCTAAATTGTAGAATGGCCAGTAGGTGAACTGCTTTTCTTCTATAAAATATCTTCACTATGTTACCTGGAAATAATTGCATGCCCTTTTTATAGAGAGTGACATTCTGGAGAAAATGCCCTGTGATCAATAGAAACAATTTGAAAATTGCCTTTTCTACTTGCTGCCGGGAAGAACAGTAATTAGTGACAGGGTCCAGATTACCTTCAGGAGTGCAGAGCCAAGGCTGTCTGGCTGCAGGAAGAGCTATGCTTTTAGTGAAGAGACACTTAATAAAAGCCTAGTGATTGATTCATTACTACCCTTGTCTGAAGCTGGAGCCTTGGCTAGTGAACACATTCATCTCCACTGGTAGAATCCATAAGATTTGTCCCTGGGCTTTACTGGTGTTTGAGGAAAGAGGCAGGAGGGAGCAGAAGAACAGAAAAACCTTATTTTATTTAGCACAGAAATTGAACATTAAAATGATAATGAAAGAAGGTGACAAAAATAAAAGTAAATGAAAAACAGCATGCAGTGAGAGTCTGGGTAGGAGACAAAGAAGGAACCTCATCTGCAAATCACACTTAGGATGTTCAGGTGTACTAAGGGCTGCCTAAATATCTATTTGAATAAAAAATCACCAGACCCTCTGAGGGGAATTTAAGAATACTAGCCAAAGTCAGAAAGTACTGCTGTTCTTAAAGTAGGGGGTGGGAGGCTGCCTCCAATCTTGGAGATAGAGCTGGGCAGGGCAGGCTATTGTTGGTCATTGAACATGCCCTCGGGGGTTGAGATATCTGAATTCAGTTCTTTCTTGTGAGAGGTTAAGGAAAACTCTTGGAGAGGCCTCTGAAAAGCCTCTGGCCCAACATTTGGGGACTCATGCTGAAGAAAAGGGTCAATAAGAAAACCAAAGGAGCAGACTCAAGGGATCTCAGTAAGAACTACAAGACTGTCGGGGAAAGAGAAACTGTTGTGTGGTAGTGGCTTTGGGATTAAACGAAGTTCAAATTCAACCCTGCCACTTAAAGCTTTGTGGCTTGCAACAAGTAATTTAATGTTTCTGAGCCTCAGTTTCCCCATTTGTGCAAATGGAAAGAAGCACCTCTACCTTGTAGGGCTGCTGGTGAATGTCAAAGGCCTGGCTTAGTTCCCAGCAGCTAGTGGTACACTGAGGTTAATCCCAGCAATAGAGGCCAGGCCTGGCTGTGGAAGCAGCAGCAGCAGAGGTAGCAGAGGGGACTGTGATTAAGGGCGCCAGTTTTCAGAGTGAACAGCACTGGGAGCAGTAACAGGTGGAAGACTCTGGTGTATATTGAGCCACAAGGGACTCTACCTGAAGGAGGAAGGCATTTGGCTGGGTTGGGGCCCTTGAGTGGTATGGGCTGGAGTCTGGAATGAAAGGTCTCTGAGATCATCCATCATCCCCAACATGTACCAGGACTCGACAAATGTTACTCCTTAGCTTCATCCCTGCCCCTATATATTCAAGAAACAGTAGTTTAGCCTATGAAGACAAGTGGTACCTACATGGTACATAGAAAGATTAAATGATAGCCACCCTTCTTATCCCCATTCCTGTTCAGCTCACCAGCATAATATCTGGCCACACGTCATTGCAAACTCTGCTTTAGCTATGCTGATCTAATCACGGCTGCCCAGGTGTTACATGCTTTTTCTGTGTGTTGGCCTTTGGATTTGCTATTCCGTCTTTCTTGAACACTTTCTCCTCCTTACTACCCAACTACCAACCTCTTTGCCTGCCTAGCTTCTTCTAGATACCCTTCAGGTCTCAGATGCCACTTCTCCCAGGGTCCACCCCAGCCCTTCAAGTCTGGAATAGCTGCCCCTTTTAGGTGCTCTCAAAATATTTGTTATTGCCTTATCAGAATATTTATCAAATTGTATTGCACCTGCCTCTTTATGTGTCTGATTCATTCAAAAACAGTAAACTATGAAAGCAGGAACAAGTTTGATCTTGGTCACCATGGCAACCTCAGCACTCAGCACAATGCCTGGAACATAAGTAGGTGCTTAATAAATGTGTCATGAATGAATGGATGGTGCCACCACCACCTCCACTGCTTGTGTGATGACACAGCATAGTTAATGAAAACACACAAAGGATTTCAATACAGGAAGAGCCACTTCAGCTCAGACCCCAATTAGGAAGTCCTTTTCCGGGGAAAGTGGGGCAAGGAATTTATGCCCAATGATCACCACAGCCTGGAGATCACAGGCACAGCTGACCAAAGAACAAAAAGCCGAGGAAGGGCAGAATTGAGTATAGAGTCGGTAAGGCAGCACAAAGTGTTCATATGGCTAATAAGACAGCCTTCCAGTGCAGCACAGCCATCCCAGACTGGAGATCATGCAAGACATGTGCGGGACAGGTCGGCGCTCCTTTGCAGGACCCTGACTGGACTAAGCAGAGTTGGCCCTTGAGCAAAGTTTGAGTAATCAAGTTTACTGGCAATGAGTCTGTATGAAGGGAACCAATCATCTGATCCTGGAGCAGGTGGAACAAGCCTGGCATGGGACACCCAAAAGCATCCCTGCACCCAAAGAGCAGATAATGGCCTGGACCATAACCGAGGCTGTTCTCCCCCAGTTCTCTAATCAGATAAATCAGAAGTAGGTGTCAGAGCCCCATTGTGTAGAATGTAGGGAATGGTGCAGAGATCTCATACGGTAAAATACAAAGGGTGCTCTCTTCTGGAGAGTGGGCAGGTGGCTGAAAGGACAGGCTTTGGGCTCTGCAGTCAGGCAGCCCAGGCGGAATCCTTGTTCTGCCACATATTAGCTCTGAACAGAGGCAAATTTCTCCATCTATAAAATGGGAATAATAGTAGTGTCCATCTCTGAGGATTGATGTGAGGATGAGAAAAAATATAAAGAACTTAGAAAAGTGTTTTACCAATAATCAGCACTCGATTAATCAGCACTTATTAGCCATAATTATCATTGATAAATAATAATCACTCGTCAAATTTTGCATTAAAGGATAAAGTTACTGACAGAGATAAATACCTAGAATGCACACCAATCGAGAGCTGGAGTGGTCAAATCAAAGGGCTGCTGCTATGATAAGGCCTACTTCTGCCTGCCTACCCTCAGGTACATTGGCCTTCTTTAAATGTTCATGATTACTGACACTCACCCCTTTGGTTGTCCTTCCTCAGGCTTGTATGGTTTGAGAAGTTATAAAAGTGAATCGATTTCTTAGAATAATACTCTGGAAAAAATATTAGCAGGAATAATTTCATTCTTTCTCTTTGTTTCTTTGTTGTTTCTTTCCCTTTCTTTCTTTCTTTTTTCTTTTCTTTCTTTCTTTCTTTCTTTTTTTTCAGGGTCTTGCTCTGTCACCCAAGCCAGAGTGCAGTAGCATAATCACAGCTCACTGCAGCCTCAACCTCCAGGACTTGAGTGATCCTCTCACATCAGCCTCCCAAGAAGCTGGAACTACAGGTGTACACCACCGTATCTGGCTAACTTTTGTAGTTTTTTTTTAGAGATGGGATTTCACTATGTTGCTTAGGCTGGTCTCAAACTCCTGGGCTCAAGCGATCCTCCCACCTTGGCCTCCCAAAGTGCTGGAATTATAGGCGTGAGCCACCATGCCCAGCCAGGAATAAATCTTTACCTGGCTCTACATAAGAAAAATCCCCTTTCTACACATGTCTTAAAATGTAAAGGGATTACTTGTCTGCAAGTAATGTTGGGGAGAGCTCTCAGGGATTTTAAATGACTCATGTATTTTCACTTCTGCAATAAGATAGTAAGTGTTCTCTTATTTTCAGGCCATAATGAAAGTGATATAGATGTCACTACAGGTCTAGGGGTTCTTACCTTAGAGTCTTTTAGCCTCCAGAAGTCTCAGTGGATGGATTTGGGTTGGAACTGTGTACTCCATGAAGTTGTAACTAAAAGTTTATTTGTTTAGGGGAGGGGAGAGGTGAATCTTTCTGGGGAGAGCATTCGTAGAATTTCATTAGATTCCAAAAGGCCTCATGACTTATAAAAGTTTAAGAACCATTGCTCTGTGTAATTGGTGTCCAAATTGTTAGGATCACTTTGATCAAACTGACTTTGCCACGGTCTGACAACTAGCCACGAGGCGGCAGGAGGGAGAAGACTTGGTCATTTCAGTGTACAACTGCAATGGAACAGTATTGTAAAAGTGAAGGCTCTAATGTCTGATTGCCTGAGTTTAATTTCTGCCTCCACCACCTGCTAGCTGTATGGCCCTAGGCAAGTTACTTAATTTTTTTTGTTCCCTCCCCTTTGGATCTGTAAAATATGGTAATGACAGCAGCTGTTTCCCACAATTGTCATGAGGTTGAAAGTGACTTGCACATGGTGTCAGTAAATGTTAGCTCTTATTATTATCTGACCTGCCAATTTGACCAAAAAAAAAAAAAAAAAAGGATACTTCAAATCAGTTCCATCAGTAAGTGGTAGGGAGACATCCTTGTTTATCTCTTTCTTTTTTTCATTTTTAGAAACAGGATCTCACTATGTTGCCCAGGCTGGAGCATAGTGGTTATTCACAGGCGTGATCCCACTACTGATCAGTACAGGAGTTTCATCTCTTTTTGATAAAGAAGACTGAGGATCCCACACAGGTGCACACTGTTTTGTGCTATAGATGTACAACTAATAAAACAAATCCTTGTCAATACTAATTGTATTTTACATGAATCCTAGCTGCTTATACACATTGAGGGCAAATCGTTATATAAAGCTAATATTCTTCTCCACCCATGGGCCATACTTTTTAGCTCTGTGAGTATTTATGCATGCTTCCTTTTAATAATAGCACTCACATATTTGTACTTACATGCACCAGGTACCAAATGAATTTCTCCATTTTCTAGTTAAACACTGAGGCAGAAAGAAGTACATTTCTCTGGCCAAACTACCAAGATTTGACTTCAAGTCTCTGTGATTTTAACCACCAATCAACACTCTTACCCTCAGCCTAGAATGCCCTCTCTCCACAGAGCATGGTTCATTCCACATTGGACCTTCTCCATAAAACTTTCCCAATGCCCCCAAGAGGAAATGACACCTCTTGCCTTTGAACTTCCAGTGCACTTTAGGTGAAGAGTTACTAGCTGCTGAGGTCACTCTTTATTATTCTCATGTGTGTACATGTCTTAGTATTCCCAATATCAATGTCTTGAAGGCCAGATTGAGTCATCTTTATATTTGCCCATAGCACTTGACAGTGCTTTGAAAATTGTCATAAATTATTTGTCCAAGAAACAAGCTTCCTCATTTTGCAGATTAGTTCAGAAAATTTAGGTCATTTTTATTTTGGCAGGAAAAACATAGTTTTCAGCTCTAAGTCACTCATCAATGGAGCCTCAGGTTCATATTTTCAAGTTACAGGATGAGGTGGAGGGGTATAAGGAGATTCAGCCTATATCAGTACATATTTTCCTACAAGAACTCTTATAGGGAAAAGAAATAAGGTTGATTTTTGTGGCTTGTGAGCTCAAAATCATTCTCAGAAAATAAAAATCCTTGTGAAACTACCCATGGGCCTCTATATTATTAAATATTAGCAGAGGTAGTAATATTATAACACAGTTTCCAACTACCTAAACCTTTGGCACATATTCATTTATTTTTTACACAGAACTGCCTCATTTTAGAGGCTTCTTTTAGCTATAGTCTTATGTTTTTGATTCTAGCATGTCATTCTTCAACATCAAATTTCTCTACTCTGCTGGCAAAGGCAGGTATTAAAGGTTATTGTTGTGTTTAATTTTAGCTTTTCCCAATACTTACATATGAATTTTCATTTGGTGTATGTGTATGTTCACCAAATGTGTGTTTATGTATGTAGTTTTAATTAGAGAAAAATGACTGGAAAATATTAGGAAAGATAAGGGGAAACTTATAAATATAAATTTTAAAATGACTAGAATTTTCTCTCAAGTCTTAGAAGAGCTTCTAAAGCATCATCTCTCTTCTATATAATAGAGAGAAATACAAAAATACTAGCTATGTAGGACCCATCACATATAGATAAATATCAATTCAGTTGCAGTGTGCCATGATAGAAGGAAAAATTATTCATGGTGACAGCCTCTTTTGTCTTTGGAATGTGGTAGAGAAGTTCTTCCAATTATTTTCCCAGGTTTCTCCTTTGCCTGCTATTTTTTGGGCATTCACGAACAAAAAGACTTCAGAGAAAAATGCTGAGCTAACATGAGAAAAATGAGCACTCATGTGGACAATCTTAATATCACTTTGGTAGATTTTAACAATACACAATAATGATAAGAACAATAATGGTGGCTAATCTTAGTGACAGCTGGTATCTTTTTGATTGCCTAGGATCTACTAAATGTTGATGGGAAAATACTGATATCCAGTAGGGAAAGGCATGTTGCTTTAACCTGCAGAGTGGCCTATTATTGCTATCATGGGGGAAGATATATGTTATGTTCAAAGAGTGACTCTAAAGGGATTTGTCAAGCAGATGTTTCAAAAACAGTATAACAACTCATCTGCATAACTATGGCAGAAACGGTAACCTGTTACCTAACAAAGACTCCATTTACAGGAGTCTTCTTTTCATTCTTTCACCTACTACCAAGAAAGAGAAACTCATCGCTAATTGCCAGGAGAAATACTAATTTTCTTGCCAGCCTTTCCACAGCATCAACAGGCTTAGGGCACTGAACCTGGAACAAGGCCCACAGGAGCTTCTAGGATTAGGGGCAGAAGATCCCACAATAAAGAATTGATGGAGACCACCAAAAACGCAGCTGAAAGAACATTTTGCTGAAATTCATACATTGAAAGATGTCTGTTTCCTAATGTATGTCTTGAAAATAAAATAGCAACAACCATTTATTAAGAGTTTGATATGTCAAGAAATTAGCATATATTATTTCCTCTACTTCTTGACAAGCCCTGTAAAATATGTATTATTATCCAACTTTGACCAAAAAAGACAGTAGGGTTAGGTAATATCCCAAGGTCACATAGTTACTAGGTGACAGAGACAGGATGAGAGCTCAGCCCATGTGCCCCTAGACGACATGTTCTTTCCCACTACATCATAGGCCCTACACCCACTTTGATGGCTGGCTCCTGCGTTCATTAGGGAAAGAAAGGAAGCATTTATTCTGATTCCAGCAAAGCAGGGAATTGGCCATGCTGCTGTAGAAAGTTGCATTTCTATACCACTTAACCATTTTTAAAATTTCCACCCTCTGGGATCGATATTACCTTATCTACCTCACAAGCACCCTGTGATTTGGTAGAGAGACTCTATTTGAAAATAAACTAGCCCAGAGAGGTCAGGCACAGTGGTTCACTCCTGTAATCCCAGCACTTTGGGAGGCCAAGGCGGGTAGATCACTTGAGGCCAGGAGACCAGCCTGGCCAACGTGGCAAAACCCCGTCTCTACTAAAAACACAAAAATTGGCTGGGCATGGTGGCACACACCTGTAGTCCCAACTACTCAGGAGGCTGAGGCAGGAGAATCGCTTGAACCCAGGAGCTGGAGGTTGCAGTGGGCCGAGATTGCGCCACTGCACTCCAGCCTGGCAACAAAACGAGACTGTCTCAAATAAAAAAAAAAAAAAAAATTAGCCAGATGTGGTGGCGCATGCCTGTAATCCCAGCTACTTGGGAGGCTGAGGCAGGAGAATCACTTGAACCCAGGAGGTGGATGTTGCAGTGAGCCGAGATAGCACCATTGCTCTCCAGCCTGGCCAACAGAGAGAGACTCTATCTCCAAAAAAAAAAAAAAAAGGAAGAAAGAAACTAGCCCAGAGATGTTAAGTGAGCTACCCAAAGTCACACAGATGACAGGCAGACTGATACAGTGGAAAAAGTCCTGCTGAGATGGAAAAGACACTGTGCTAGGCAGAACTTACCCCACACCAAGAGCTGCCCCTGCACAAACCATCCCTTTTTCTAGCACTTCAGTCATTTTTTTTTTTTTAGTTACAGAGGATCCTGAACTCAGATGAATTCTGTGTTTATGGTGGGAAGGTTTAAGCTGTGAAACAGGAGGAAAATCTTAGGGTGGTTGCCCCTTTGGCTTCATGCCTTCAACAACATGGCACTCATTTGAGTGGAACACAGACTTTTATCTGATAAAGAGCATTGAAAACACAAATAACATGGGCTTGAGGTCATTTAAAACCTCACCAAAGGACTGATTCCAGTCTATCTGCAAGGAAAAGAAAGTTACTTTGTCATGGAAGGAAAGGAAACAAGTGAGAAGGAACCAGCATTTATGAGAGTCAGTTATGTGACAGGGACTGTGCACATAGCCTCTCACTGAATCCTGAGAGCACTCTATGAAGGTAGAAATCATAAGCCCCACCCTTAGAAAAGGAAGCTGAAGCTCAACATGGTTGATTATTTGATGGAAACCACGTGGCGAGTGAGAGGCAGCCATGGACCCCAGGTCTGGCTGATTCTTCTTACTATGCTTAGCTGCCTCTCTGACTTATAAACATTGTATTAAAATTCTTTCTAATGGGATTTTTACCTACTATATACCCACTTTTATATATCTTCTGATTAAATTCATTCTAAGTTCCATATAACCCCAAAATAGATGTCTCTGAAAACTTTTTCTTGTTTTTTTCCCCAACTCAATTACAGCAGGATCTGAAAACTTTTTCATTCAATCAATATATTCACTTGTATTTATTTAGCTCCTTCTAGGTGACAAGCACTGTGGTATGTGCTGGAGATGCAACAGTAAACAAGCCAAGCACTGTTTTGCCTTCATAGACTAGAATAAACTTCTTCTGTAAAGAATCAGAAGTTAATTTGTATGCTTTTTAGGTTGTGGGGTCTCTGTTGCAACTAAACTCTGCCATTGTAGCATAAAAGCATCTATAAGTAATACATAAATGAATGGGTGTGGATGTATTCCAATAAAACTTTACAAAAATAGGCACAGGAGTTTTCTGACCCCTGCTCTCTAGAGGAAGACTCAGAAAGGTAAGCAAGTAATTAACAACACATTGTGATAATTACTCTAATTGAGAAAATAGTGAGATCTGGGAATATATTGGAGGGACACCTAAGTCAGATTGGGAGAGATCAAGGATGGCTTCCAGGAAGAATTGGCATCCTCAAAGCAACCTGAAGGATGAGTAGGAATTAACCAAACGTAATTTTCTGGTCCTCTTCCACTTACTGTATTTATGTTTTCCTTTAACTGCATTTCTCGGTAACAATTCTTTTAATCTTCAAATTCTTTAATCTATAAATACTTGAATCATTTGCTTGTCTCATTCCTTTTCATCAAAATAATTCAAGTCCTCTCCCCATCCTCCCACAACAAGTACATCAGCTTTTTCCTTCAGTATGTCAACTTCTAGATTTTACTCAATCCATCAACAGTCTTCTAAAAATCTGAACAAAAATAAGCTGAACTTTAACAGATAAATTTTATGGTGTGTAAATAATACTTCAAAAAGCTATTGGAAATAAATAAATAAAGCCAGCATCCTGACTCCCAGGAGTCCTCAAAGGACAACTGAACTTTGATGAAGCCAGTAGAGACCAGGTTCTTGAGAAACCCAACTTTATCTCAACCCTCAAAAATCCTCACAGAATGTGAACTCATAGCCAAAAATCAAAAGTACATACAATAGCAAGGTATTATAACAAAGAGCTTCAGAAATAACAAATAGCAAAGTCTGACCTGCAAAGACTTCAGGTATTTGAATAAGATACAAAAATATAAAATAATATATTTAATATTTTTACAGAAATAAAAGAAAAGATTGGGTGTACGAGCAAGAAACAAGACCATAAGAAAGACCAAGCGAATTTGAAAAAAAAAAATAGAACTTGTAAAAATGCATTAATAAGTGGATTAAGAAACACATTAAACATAACTCAAAAAAAGAATTAAAATATATGTAAGTATAGTTTGTCAATGTACAAATAAAAAGTAAGATTTTTCAAGAAAATATTTTTTAAAAGAATTAGTTATTTGGAAGAGATAGATTAGGTAACAGATTAATGCTGCCAAAGAGCGAATTAGAGAACTGGAAGACAGATCTAAATAAATAATCATAAGGATTAATGCAGACATACAAGGAGCTAGAATATATGAACAACACATAAAATGTACTAGAAAGATATAATAAAGAGAATGTGGAAAAGGCACTATTTGAAGAGCTCAAGACTGAGATTTTCCAGAATAATTGGGTGACTACAAAACTTCAATCATGAAATTAAAAGCCCATTACCTAGAAAGAATTCTTACTTGTACACTATATAGTACTTGGCCAAGTTACAATGAAGGCGTTTTCTACTGTTTTTAGAGGCAATCAGGTTATGAAGGAACTATGGCACTTACATAACATTATATTTCTTGGGCTTCAAAAGCAGATAATATTATGAAAAACATTCTGCACAGTTTGCATTTTCCTCACTCACCAAATTCATAGGTTTTTTTCCAAATTACTTCACTGTTTTTAGTAAAAACTGAAACAGACTGGACTCTAGGTTTTAGGTAATGTTGAAATCCCTGGAGATCTTCAGTGTCTGGTACAATATTAGACACAGTAGTGATGGCATAAGAAAGGTTGTTGACTGACAACCAGCATGATCAGGTTAGCAATAATGGGAGATAAGGAAGTTTATTGAAAGTGACATCTGAAAGAAACCAACCTAACAGTGTCTTCCCAGACCTTGAAATAAAATTGGATTTAGCAAATATCATTCTAATACAGATGTCCCCCAACCACCTTACAGGAAAAGCTCAGGTTGTAGTAAGAATAATCTTAGCTAACATTTATGAATCACTTACTATTACCAGGCACTGTGCTAAGTGTAATAAGGAGAAGAAAAAAGGAATGATTTTAAATCCTACTCAACAAACTGTCTTTAGCCCTACATAACTGAAAACAATTTGCTTACATTCTCTAAATGCATCAGTGAATCCTACTGGTATGTTTCTATTATTAGTTGTAATACCAAAAAGTCTCACAGGTAAATAAATAAGTAAATAAATAAAATTATTTTGGCCTGGTGCAGTGGCTCACACCAGTAATCCCAGCACTTTGGGAAGCTGAGGCGGGTAGATCATCTGAGGTCAGGAATTTGAGACCAGCCTGGCCAAAGGTGAAACCCCATCTCTACTAAAAATACAAAAATTAGCCGGGCCTGGTGGTGGGCACCTGTAATCCCAGCTACCCAGGAGGCTGAGGTGGGAGAACCACTTGAACGTGGGAGGTGGAGGTTGCAGTGAGCTGAGATTGCACCACCGCACTCCAGCCTGGGCGACACAGCAAGACTCTGTGTTTACTTTAACAGAGAAGAGTAATCTCTCTCTCTCTCTCTCTCTCTCTCTCTCTCTCTCTCTCTCTCTCTCTCAGTATACATACATACATACATACATACATATATATATATATTTGAGACAATCTCACTCTGTCACCCAGGCAAAAGTGCAGTGGTACCATCATGGCTCACTGCAGCCTCCACTTCCTGGGCTCAAGCAATCCTCCCACCTCAGCCTCCTGAACAGCTGGGACTACAGGCATGTGCCACTATGCCCGACTAATTTTTTTTTTATTGTTTGTAGAGATACATTCTTGCTATGTTGCCCCGGCTGGTCTTGAACTCCCAGGCTCAAGCAATCCTCCTGCCTTAGCCTCCCAAAGTTTTGGGATTACAGGCATAAGCCACTGCGTCCAGCTGATAATTTTTAAAAAAACTTTTAAAAATTGACAAAAAGGTTGGGGTTGTTGAAATCCTTTTTTCTGAACACAGGAAGAAAATATATAAAACAAAATGAGAACAGGCACAGTGGTTCATGCCTGTAATCCCAGCACTTTGGGAGGCCGAGGTGGATGGATTCCCAGGCCGAGGTGGGTACACTCCAGCCTGGGCAACAAGAGCAAAACTTCATCTCAAAATAATAATAATAATAATACCAATGGAGGAATGGGTAAGAAAAATATTTCTTCATTTAACCTGCAGAAAGCTGTGAATCTACCAAATACAGCATAGTCTTGGCCTCAGGGCAGTGAGTTTCAAACTTTAGGGTACACCAGCATCACCAATAAGCTTATTAAAAATATAGATTCTTGAGCCCAACTGGAAGAATTCTGATGTAGCAGGTTTGGAATAAGTCCTAGAATTCTGCCTTTTTTGCAGGCACCACAGGTAATTGGGCAGGTGGTACAGAGTCCTCCTCCCAAAACTCTGTCTTAGGATAGAGACACAAGCCTTCCCCTTTTCTATGAATCCTGAGAATTGTGAACAGTTCTAGTGCAACCACAGAGGTAATCTGATTTACAAGGGTTCAGTTTGGTCTGGATCCTCTGATCTGGAACTATTATAGTTATCATTGTGATTATCAGAGAGACAGATTAGGGGCAGCATTATTTCCAGGCATGATGTAAACTGCTATTTATTATGATGGCAGCTTTAATAATTGATGCAAAAGTATGCATTAAAGAAATTATTTTCATATGTCTATCTACTCCTTCCCTGATTCACAAAGAAATTGGTCTCACCTTTTTATAGTTGTTATGGTAGTGGGCCATTTTATTTTGGTTTTCTACTTCAGATTCAGCTTCGAGAATGAGAAAGCATAGTTTGGGCAAAATAGATGTTTGTAACATTTTTTATTAACCTGAAGAGTGGGTGATCAATATGTTTACCTATTGCATAGCAGCCTGAAGCACCACATTGAGTGGCTAAAACCAGGAAGATGGAGAGAATATGTAAACATCTTTGGTAAAATACAGTTAAATTTACTGTTACTTTGAAGCAACCCTTTGAAGTATCCCTTAGCAACTGGTTCCTTAAGACAGAGATTATTAAGTGACAGATCCTAATTATTACTAAGACATAAGGTTTTATCATTTCTGTTTAATGTACGAACCACCTGCATTTGCTCTCATTCATTGAGTCAAACAGGAGAAGACATGAAATATATTTAACATCTACTTATTAAAATGAAGTCCCCCTGCCCAATGAATTTCATACAACAATGTTCACTCCAAAGAGTGAACTATCTTTCCCTATTTTTCTGCAGAACTTTTTGATGACTTTGCAAACCAGTCAACAATTCAGCACAAAGGCATCCAGAGTCACGCTGGCATGTTGTGACAGAATCGCACAATTACATGGGATCCATCCCACTCTGAAAATGCCCCGAACAGCGAACAGCACAGGTAAATCAAATCAAACGTCAGAGCCAGCACAGCCTGAGAGCGCCTTGAAACTCAGACTCCACAATCTATGGGGAAAGTGTCCTGCTGTGGCATGAAATAAATGAAACAGAAAATGATGGCAAGACTGCTAAGAACATCCTTTGCTTTGCTCTTCCTTGGCCTCTTTGGGGTGCTGGGGGCAGCAACAATTTCATGCAGAAATGAAGAAGGGAAAGCTGTGGACTGGTAGGTAAATGAAATGGAAGGACTGCTGCATGCAAACAGCCTCGGTACAGAGTTGGCCTGGCTCACTGCGAAGTTCCTAAGGGGAATGTCCATTCTCTTTCCTCCCTTTACAAATAAAGGAAGTTAAAGTGTGCAAATCGGCCAAACTCCCAGGCAGGGGTAGGCTTCTGAGTGACGGAGTTTCCCCCTGAAAAAGAGCTGAGCAGCCCCTCTTGGGCCTGATTCACTGTTCTCAGCGGGGCAAGGCTGGTAGCCACAGAAGTGGGATTGAGCTGACAGCTTCTGTGAGCTGGCAATTTCTTTTAATTACATCATGGCTTTTCCTAACAGAACACTTCCAACATCCTTTGAAAGACTGACAGAGTAAAGAAGGCAGATTATTTTTTTCTGAAAATGGAGCATGTGCTGCTCCTTATGAGAAAGAGAAGGGGGACCTGGTCACACACAGCACTGTTTGCCTAACATCGGTTTGTTTGGAAGCAGAGGCAGCTGTTGCCATGATTGGTACGTAGGCCACTGGCCTGTTGTACAGTGTCAAAGACATTAAATGCTGTGTTGCATTATAGTCATGGGTTCTCCTAAAGCTTTAACTACTTTTTCACCCTTTAATTGGGATATTTAGGTTTGCCATAATGGTTGGTGTCAAGCTTTTTGTGTAAACTTCAGGCTACAGAACACAGATATACTCAAGGCAGTAGTCAGTCTTTCCTCAGTTACTGAGCTCAACAGAGGTCTGTGTGGAGTTTTGAAAATATAAATATGAACGAAACATGGTTCCTACCCTCAAGGACCTCACAGTTATGTGGTAAGGGCATAGGTGGAACACTGGGGAACAGAGAGCCCAGAAAACTTCTCTAAGGATGTAATTTTTGAGCTAAGTTTTAAGAACAATTAAGAAGTAGCTGGAAAAAGAAGGGATGTGCAAGAGCATCTCAGGCCAATGAAGGAGCAATGAGGAGGTAGAGAGGCAAGAAGCAACATGGAAATTTGGGAGTTGCAAAGTAGTTTGGTATTGCTGGAACTTCAGGAGAATACAGGAAGATGACCGGAGGTGAGGTTAGAGAGGTGGGGACAGCCAAGGGGTCTGTGTGCTGAGCTACAAGGTTTGAACTTGACATTGAAAGGGAGCTATTGGAGGACTTCACGCAGGGGTGTGAATGGTCAGATTTGCACTTTAGGAAACCCATTGGCAGTACTATGAGGGCTGGATGGATGGGGAGCAGCCTAGAATCACTGAGACCAGGAGCACTTTTGCAGCATTACAGGTGAGAAGAGGTGTAGACCTGAGTTAAAGAAGCGGTCATGGAAATAGAAAGAAGGACATGCTGAGAAGACTTGGTGATGGATGGGCTGCAGCCAGTAGGAGAAAGGGAGATGTTAAGAAATAATTTTAGGTTGGCCAGGCGTGGTGGCTCACGCCTGTAAGCCCAGCACTTTAGGAGGCCTAGGCAGACAGATCACCTGAGGTCAGGAGTTCAAGACCAGCCTGACCAACATGGAGAAACCCCATCTTTACTAAAAATACAAAATTAGCCAGGCATGGTGACGCATGCCTGTAATCCCAGCTACATGGGAGGCTGAGGCAGGAGAATTGCTTGAACCCAGGAGGCGGAGGTTGTGGTGAACCAAGATCGTGCCATTGCACTCCAGCCTGAATAACAAGAATGAGACTCCGTCTCAAAAAAAAACAAAAAACAAAACAAGAAAGAAAAAGAAAGAAATAATTTTAGGCTTCTGCTTCTGAGACTGCATGAATATGTTCCCTAATAGTGTGGGATGAGCAGATTTGGAGCAAAATATTATAAATTTGGTTTCAAAAATACGGAGTTGGGGGTTAATGGGACATCTTTGAGTTTAGGTTTCTCTGGACCTCAGCAGAAAGGTCTGGGCTAGAAACAGACTGAGGACTCTTGAGTACATAATTAGAGACAGTCACCCAGGAAAAATGTTTAAAAGTACTAGCTCTCAACTGGTGTGCCACGGCACACTGATAGTTCACAAACCCTTCACTGGTGGGCCACCAAATTGTGATTGATATGGAAAATCATTTTTGCCACAAGTGAATGGACATATTACTTAGCAATGTCTGTTAGAGAGAATATAAGCAACTTGTTGCCAAGCTGCTAACATTTATTGAGAAAGGTAAGGAAAGAGACCATCAAGTCAGCACCAAAGAATAATTTCATGTTTCCTGCCACATGTGAGGACCTGACCCTGTAAGAAAGCATAAGCAGGGCAGGAAAGAGTTCACTTAAATTAAGTATAAGACCGAAGGGGACCAAGTGAAGAGTGTGCAGCTTTTACGGGTTTGTGACACTGTTGTATGGTAATAGTGTATATATTATAATGTTTGGTGCACTGTGAGTGTTTAGGGGTTAATGGTGGGGTTCATGCTATTAGAAAGTATTTGGCTAGATCAGTGGTTCTCAACCGAGGGTAATTTTGCCCTCAGAGGATTTTTGATAATGTCTGGAGATAATTTTGATTGTCACAACTTGGCAGTGCTACTGGCATCTAATAGGTAGAGGGCAGGGATCTTACAATGCACAGGACAGCTCCCACAACAAAGAATGATCGGCTGAAAATGTGAATAGAGCACACTGAGAAACGCTGAGCTAGGTAATCCAATAATGCCTTAATGCTGTCTTGGCTGAGCTACCTCTCCTCCCTGTGAGATATCCAAGGGAGATATACAAATGGAAAACAACAGTAAAGGAAGGAAAGGGCCTACTTAATTACTTGGTTTTAGCCCTGAATCTTCAAGGCAGAGTATTCGGATAAACTGAGCTGAGGAATGCAGCTTATGACAGGGGCTCAAAGTACCTTCCACCTCTCCTGAAGCCCAAACCCAAATCTCATATCCAGTCAGCCAACTGCATGGTCTGGGCCTTGGCCTTCTCTCCACTGTAGCCACATGGATCATGGAAGCAACAGAAAGAGCCACTCTCAATGTATATGGACTTCCACTTCAGGGACTCCACCCACCAGTATAACCAAGGTCTTAGAACATATCCAATCAGATTTTTATTTTCTTCTCTGGGGAGGAGCAAAGATAAGAGTGAAGAAAGAGGCAAAGAGCTTGAGCAAATCCCTTTCCTTAGAGGCCTTCCATGAAACAGAAATGAGAGATATATTAAAGTGTGTAATACAGTTACTGCCACAGGAAAACAGTCAATAAATGTTAGTAATTCATAATCATTTTGTCTGTTAGGTTTACTTTTTATAAGTTACCTAAAAGACAAAACAAGGAAAGTGGAGAGACTGGGTTAGAGTACCTGTACCTAGACTCTACAACTAGAAGCTGGAGGAAGAGTGAGCAACTAATGAATGACACCAAGAGTGTTTTGGGAAGGACATTACAACAGCTATATGAAGCATATGCCTCTAAGGTATGTTATATAGTTAATTGTTCACTTGAATAATATAAAATGCATAAAACTGAATCCAAAGCCTTCACCAGAGTTTTCTGTTCACCCACCCAACCCCCAATCCTAGCACCTTGAAGTGAGCTAGCTCAGGACCAGCTCAAGACAACTATCTGAGTCAATCTGACTAAGACCTGAGGAAACATGTCATCATACTCTACAGCAATGCCAAATTTACTTGGCACCATGTCCAGTGGTGTCACTAGGCAAGGTGTGAATTAATTGTATATTGAAGTCTTCTGGCTGCCAAAATGTCTGTCAGTTTGCTTATTCATCTAATAGAAATAGGGAGAGGAGCCTCTGCTGTTACAGGGCAATACAGAACTGTGATTAACATGCTATGAGTTATGGATTGTTTATATCATGGTGTTGATCAGTGGTGGTGAGCTCAGTAAAGGGTTCTACTTGATCTTCCTTTTCATTAATTGTTTTCAAAATGATATGTTGAAAACTAGGACTCTAGTTCAAGGCCCTAGAACTAACTTGTCTGGATGGAGATTATCCCTGCTATATCTGGACTTTATCAGGCAATGAGCTAATCAGCCAAAGAGACACAGGTAAGTAGGCCTGCTGGCTTATTATGGGCATGCTCCCAATATTCTAGGCATCATCTGTTGCTTAGTTTCAAGATACTGCTTTCCAACCAGGAGTGGCAAGTAAAATCAAGCCATGATTAACATCCAATTATACTCATGTATGCATTTCCTAACAATAACTTATAGACAAGTAAATATATAACATGACTCTGCTCCTATAATATGCTGGACTGTATGCTGGGCCTTTACATATGTCAAGTAATTTAATGCCCACAACAATCCTGTTTTAGCCTCTGGCACTGCACATGTGTATCTGAGTATTTACTCAAAATACACACGGAACTGTCATGGTGTGTGGTAATATTCATGTTATTTACCTGCCATTAAGACTAGCCTTCAGAGCCAAGCTACAAAGTTAAAGCTTATCTGTAGGCTATTTGAGAACATGTGATGTGCCAAGCACTTTTCTAGATGCTTTTCAAAATTATTTGTCTCAACAAACCTGCTTTGAATAAACAGACGACAGCTGACCCTTGAACCATGCTGGGGTAGGGGTGCCGGCCCTCATGCCGTCAAAAATTTATGTACAACTTTTGACTTCCTAAAAATTTATCTACTAACAGCCTATTGGATGCCTTACTGATAACATCAGTTTGACTGGATGCCTTACTGATAACATCAATAGTCGAATAACATGTAATTTTTATGTTATATATCTTATATACTATATTCTTACAATAAAGTAAGCTAGAGAAAGGAAAATGTTATTAAGAGAATCATTAAGGAAGAGAGAATATATTCACTCTTCATTAAGTGGAAATGGATCATCATAAGTGTCTTCATCCTTGTCATCTTCCTGTTGAGTCAGCTGAGCAGAAGGAAGAAGGGGAAGGGCTGGTCTTGCTATCTCGGGGGTGGCAGAGATGGGAGAGGTGGGGAAGGTGGAAGGGGAAGCAAGAGAGGCAGGCATACTCAGTGTAACTTTCACATGAAAATACATAATGAATTCTATCTATTTGCTTTTTCATTTCTCCAAAAATGTTTCTATACAGTAGTAATCATTTTTTCACCATTTGCTTTAGTTTCAGTGCCCGTATCACAGAAGGGTTCATGTTGTAAAAGAAGTTAAAAGCAATCTTTATATTTTTTTCTTTTGAGACAGGATCTCATTCGACACCCAGGCTGCAGTGCAGTGGCACCATAAGAGCTATCTGTTGCCTCGACCTCCCAGGCCCAGGTGACCCTCCCACCTCAGCCTCTGGAGTAGCTGGGACTACAGGCATGCACCACCATGCCTGGCTAATTTTTTTTTTTTTTTTTTTTGGCGGAGGGGGTGGGTAAAGATAGGGTTTCATGATGTTACCCAGGCTAGTCTCAAACTCCTGGACTCAAGCAATCCACCCATATTGGCCTCTGAAGTGCTGGGATTATACACATGAGACACTGCACCCAGCCTAAAAGCAGCCTTGAATGATCAGACTGCGTCTAATATTGATCTGTGTTCTTGCACCACCTCTTCTATGTCTTCTTGCTCATCATCTGGCTCTGGTTCCATTGAGTTATGTTCTGTTAATTTCTCTAGTGTGGTGTCTATTAGCTTTTGAATTTCTCCAGGAATCATATCTTGAAATCCATCACCCCCAACCTTTCTTGCCATATCCACAATCTCTTTCATGACTTTCTTGATTGACTCTGTCATAAATCCTGTGAAGTCATGCTCAACATCTGAACACAGATTTTTCCAGCAGGAATGTATTGTTTTGGGCTTGATGGCTTTCATGGCTTTTCCTATAACAGAAATGGCATCTTCAACGCTGTAATCCTTTCATGTGTTCTATCATGTGTTCCATAGCACTGACAATCCTTTCCAGAGAGCATCATATGTAATGAGTCTTAAAGGTTCTTATGAACCTGATTTAGAGGCTGAATCAGAGACATTATGTTTGGGGGCAGGTGGACAACTTTGACACCTTTGGTGTTGAACTCATGGGACTTTTAGTGCCCGGTGGCACTATCCAATACCAAAAGAACTTTAAAAGGCAGTTCCTTACTGGCAAGGTACCTTCTAACTTTAGAGACAAAGCATCACTGGAACCAATTTAGAAAAAGGGTTTTGTTGCCCAGGCCTTCTTATTGTACAACTGGCAGCTGGTATGTATCTTTTCCCTTCAAGGCTCAAGAGTTAGCAGCTTTATAGATAGGTGTAGTCCTGATTATCAACCCAACTGCATTTGCACAAAACAGTACAGTTAGTCTGTCCCTTCCTGCCTTAAATCCTGATGCTTGCTTCTCTTTCTTACCAATAAGTGTCCTTTGTGGCACTTTTTTCCAGAATAAGGAATTTTCATCTGCATTAAAAACCTGCTCAGGAAGAAATTATTTCCCCTCAATGATTTTCTTGATGGCATCTGGGAATTCATCTGCTGCCTCTTGGTCAGCAAAAGCTGCTTCTCCTGTTATCTTAATTTTTTTTTTTTTAGGCCAAACCTCTTTCTAAAATTGTCAAACCATCCTTTGCTGGTATTAAATTCTCCAGCTTTAGATGATCTACCTTCCTTCTGCTTTGTCATATAGTGACTTCACTTTTTCTCCAATCATATTAGAGTCTATAGTATTCCTTTCTTATAGCAATCTTGCACCCATATAAAAGCTGCATTTTAATTTTAAGTATGAGCTATAAAAGTATTTTGTAAAAAGTGCAAGGTTTTCATGCCTACTGGCATAGCTGCAGTGAGGGCTTCACAAATTTCCTTTTCTTTTTTCACAATGGCTCTTATGCTGGATTCACTTAACTTGAAATGGCAGGCAACTGAAGCTGCAGACCTCAATCCGCAGTACATATCAAGCAATTCAACATCTTCTTATAATGTCATGACTTGTCTTTGCTTGTTAGAAGCATTTCCAGCATCAGCAGTGGCACTCAGTATAGGTCCTACGGTTTTATTCAAGGTTTCTGATATTGCCCCAAACATGATGAAAAATATGCAAGAGCTGTGAGAGATCACTTTTGACTACAGTATGCAATTTACTGGAGAGAACTGCTCACGTGGAGGTTGTTAGTGTCATGTGGCATTTTCAGCAGATATTCACAAGACTTGAGCTCACCTCAATGGTGACAAAAGGTGGCTATAAAATTATTACAGTAGTACAGTATTACTACAGTTAATTTAATGCAGTTATGACTTAGTACTGCATATTTATGTTTGTTTATATTTCTTGACTGTGAATGGCACCATGTTTGGTCTATGTTTGTATATGTAAATTTTGATGAATTTTAACTTTTTATAATAGATTTGTGCATAGTTTAGGGCAGCAAATGAAAAAATAGACTAGTATCTACATATATTGTATGCATTCATAATGTATCTAACTTTTTCTTAATTTTTAAAAATATTTCTAGGCTATGTGGTTCATCTGTGAGTTTTTTTTTTCAAATTGTCAAAAATCTCCCCCTAAATTTTCCAACATATGTTTTTAAAGGCCTGCATACATATAGACCCATGCAGTTCAAACCCAAGGGCCAACCGTATTATATAAAATGAAAACGCCTGCAGCTGCTTCTGCTTTCCAGGTTGGGGATGGGGACCAGAAGCATATCTATTAGTGGGAAAATAATGCCTACATTGTTCCTTTCCACATCAACGAGACTGCTAGGGGAGGAAGAAGGAAAGAGCAACATTGTAAAGCCTCTATCATTTGCCTTAGTTGGAGTAGATAGGCCTTCACTTGCCGGAATACAATAATGATCTTTGAAGGTGCAAAGGTAGCCCCACACCCTAGCAGGGAGACACAGTTAAACTGCTCTGCTAAACAAAAAAGGGACAGAAAGAAGCCAGGGATTAAAAAGCATAAGAAACATGGAGAAAGACTGGGGTAAGGCCTTATGGTGATGTAAAACCATTCAATATTTCTTACCTTTAGTAAAACCTGCCACATGCAATGTCTTGAGTGATTGGTTCTGGGGGGAAAATGACAGGAAAGGGACTGATTTCCATGCCTGATTGGCATAGAGCCAAAAGAAGAGAGCAACAGCAGTTGGTGATATCCAGGTATGACTCAGTGTTCTTTGGAAGCTGGAATTATGTGCCAGAAGTGACTGTGAGAATATTACTCCTCCACCCCCTGACCTGGAATTGAACCTCTGACAGAGAGTGAAATGCAAGATTAGACCAACTGGTTTAAATCTCAAATGTGAAGGTGACCAAGGCCAATAGCTGGGTTACATTTGGAATTGTTTCCCTTCTCTTGCCTTTACAAATAAGAATCTTCCGTGTACCTTCATAAACATTTATCAAACTATATTGCCTGCACTTGTGTGACTATATTTTCTGCTAGACAGGGGGCAGAGACTGTACCCCTCTTGTTCAACACTCAATAGTCAAAACAATACTGAACATATGTGTTAAAGGAATAAAGCTATTCAAAGGCACATGCCTACATCTACCTACTCTTAAGTCCATGATCTTTTCCCTTTATCAATAGCCTCTCTTCCAACTAAGGCTACAATCCACTTAACCTCAGCTGGCAGTTACACTCAGTTAGAACAATAAACTTCATTTATCATAAAAAATAAATTCCTCACTGGATCATCCCAGAATTCCTCCATGTTGTACCCCAAAGGCACACAAATGGCCTCCTTACCACATTCAATGCAGGTTCACAGAGTAACTAACTCTTCAGAGTTCTCCAAATGATGATATGAATGCCATTCAGTAGCTATGATCAATTATGGAAAATGAAGGTAAGAAAACAGCTTACTTTTCGGGGCATTCCTAAGCACAGTAGACAAGAATGCTCCAACAGACTATGTTGTGCATTGAAAAAAAAATTTTATCACATCATATAATTAAGCAACTGTGAGAGGCTTCTTCATTGAATTTGTTTTCTAAGAAAAAAGCAAGGGCCTTTTTTAAGGACATAGGTTATCCTTTCCTGCTTTTAATTATGTCACTCAGATTTTTTTAATATTGACATTATTGGCTTCAATTAAAGTTGTATCATCACACAAATTAAATGGAACCACCTAGAACAAATATTAGCAAGTTTCTAAAACATGAAAAATAGATACTATCGAAATAATAGCTTTATTTTGGCTCTAAGATTTGGCTGTTTGAAAATTGACTCATATTTGGCCTTACCAGAGGAAATCCAATATCACACAGTAAATTTCACCACTTTTTTTAAGCAGGAAAATATCAAGTTGGAAAGGTGAAGTGACACTGAAAAATGGATTGCAGAAAAATCCTCTCATAATGGGAGGAAGGGAGAGCAGATAATGAGGGATCCTGATTAAACACAACGCTACTACCCAGCAGTGAAGTGAAGCACAAAGTGTGCAGAGAAAATCAGATCCTGACAGCCAGTTCTGCACTGTGCCTATAATATCAATGGAAAAAACCTCAGATGTAATCCTTGGTTGGTTGTTCCTACTTCATTTCCTGAACAAATAATTCAGTACTCCTTTATTATACACTGGTTGCTTAATCAGAAACTTGGTTCCAAAACAACCAAGAGAAATAGGAACATTGCCCTCACACACAGATCACAATGCACAGGGCTCCTGTCACATGAGTAAAAATCATGCACAGTTAAAAATGGACTTTCTTTCCCCTGTCTTTCATGTCACAGGCTTCATATTGATGGGGAAGCTGCCTATTAGGGGAATAGATGACTTCTCATGTGTATTAATGAAAGCAATGTATTGCAGGCTGGGTAGCTGGTAGAAATGTTGTGGGCGTTTGTAAGTGGAAGATTTACGCCATTATAACCCTAATATATTCCTGCAGAGTAACAACACAGCCTATCTAATATACAATGATGGAGTCCCTAAACCTGTGAATTACAGCAGAAAGTATGGACACACCAAAGGTATGACAAAGATTCTTGGTTTCTCTTTCCTACTGGAAATCAACAATTTCTTAAATATTTCATCTTGAGTATCCTTATATTCCATACTAAATAGATAGCCTTTCTTCTTAATAGTTTATTTGAGTTATTGAAATGTATGACTTCTATATCACTGGTTATAATATAATTATATGATTTGACTTGGCAATCTCATTTTTAGAAATCCCATTTTATTTCTTAACATATTTTAAAATATTTGCTTTGCAGCAGCAGGAATCCAGGTACTGATACTGAGGACACACACACACACCAGCAATTTTATATATATATATATATATATGCACATGAATATGTATATATGTATATGTGCATGTAGTATATATGTACAAACACATTTTAGTCAGATTTATTGAAGTATGATTTATAGAGAGTAAAACGAGCTCTTCTTAACATACAGTTCCCTTGGAAATATACATTTTTGAAAAAGTATTTTAAATAGCTTTTTATATTAATTTTTATCATGTTATTTACATTATCACATATAATTTTTATTATCCTTTCACAATTTTTTTATTTCTAAACTTTGCATATGTGTTTGTGAACTACAGAAAAATTCAAAATACAGGTAAACAAAAAAATCTATAATCCTAATGCCCATTAGATAAACCATATTTAATCCTTTCTACTTTTTCTAAAATACATATTTTAAAACATTTTTACAAAACTACTGTAATGACTATTTTTCAACCTTTTTTCAATTTCATATATCATAAATAACTTTCCATGGCAACAAGTATTCAGAAGATTCCAAATTCAAATGCCTTCAAGGGAGCAGGCAAATGATGTCAGCAAGTGAAAGGAGGCAGTTACTATTCAACTTGCCTGATACGGACACAATTTTCCAGGAGATGTTGAAAATTAATATTTGTGGAAAAACTCCCCAGTTTTTAAATGTTGGCACTAAATTCAAAGTTTAAAAAATACTCTGCAAGCGCAATAAAATGTATCCACAGGCTGGATTTGGCTCAGAGGATGTCAGTTTGCAGCCTCTGATTTAGAATATAGTTTGTAATGGCTGACAAAGGTCATGAACTTTGAAAGCTTTTTATTTAGCAAAGTTGCTCTCCTGAATACCCTATTTACTGGGAACCCAACAATTTTCATAACATGCTACATTCTTCAACCTCTCCTCCAACAATCTCCCACACTATTCCTGCTCTACCCTGCTAACTGCCACAAGGCTTTGGGGAAATGGCTCTAAAGAAGTAGGGCACAATATCAAGTGGAGGGGTTCTCTTGGCCAACAGATGCCCTAATATCCTATGGCATTTGTACCAGGAGGATAGGATTCCAGCAAATTGGCACACTCATCTGCACAGAGGATAACTCTTGAAGGTTATCCAGTTCTGTTACACACAGAACTTTCAATATTTTCCACCTTGACACAGGTATTGATTCTATTTCCACCCAAAGAACAACAGTATGCTTTCTTAAAATAGGCACTTTGAAAAAAAAATAACTAGAAGGCATTTGGTTTTTAATCTAACACTTAGGCAAACACGAGTGAATCTTATGTTTGCATAGTCATATGCAAACTGGAAAGTCTAGCTATCATACCAAACCTACCATGATAAATTTCTAAACACAAAAATAGTCAGATGTCTGTTTTACAAAGTTCTTTTTGGTATGTCACAAAATGATAAAAATCTTTCTATTTTCTTCCTTATTGGCTTTCAAGTTGTTTATTTTGCTCTAGAGATTTTTACAAACGTAATTAACTAGGATGCTTTAGCACAGCTTCCTTTTTGTCTCTTTGCTTCTTTTATTGGGCTTGTAGAAATAGTGACTCTTCTGCCAATAAATGGGCAGCAGTTTTTTATAACAAATTATTGTGAGTACATTTCTTCATTTGATATTTTCTCTTTCAACTCTGTTTTTTAGTCAGCTTTTGAAAAGAGCCTAGCTGCTTAGCAGTGAAGACACTATCTAAATCTTGCTAGGTGACTGTATAGTTTAACAAGGTCCAATTCCAATTTAGCAAATTTGCATTCTGCCAAAACAAATTTTCCTTGTGATTTCAAAATGAAATTCCTCTTAACTCTTCACAGGATGGCTACCTTGGTTCCCTTTTCGTGGTGGCTTTTTATCAGTAATCAGGCAATGTGATATGTGCCAGAATTGTATTTGAAATCTTTGAAAAATAAGCATGATCCTTGTGATTATTAGCCTAATAAAACACTAGTCTGAAGCATAAATGGGCTTAAATGTTGCCACTGTGAACCCTATTATAAAAGAAGCTTTGTTTTTCTGATTTATCTTTGTTAAATGTGTCTTTGGTAGGTTTACTGCTGTGGAACAGAGTTCAAGGGTTCTGGCTGATTCATTCCATCCCTCAGTTTCCTCCAATTCCGGAAGAAGGCTATGATTATCCACCCACAGGGAGACGAAATGGACAAAGTGGCATCTGCATAACTTTCAAGTACAACCAGTATGAGGCAATAGGTAAAACTAAAGTATGTGAGAAAAAAAACGATAACTATGTTGAAGAAATGATTTGGAAATATATTCATAAATGTGTCACTTCATTTGTTAATCTATTCATAGACCCTCTGATACCTAGATTCTAATACTGGCTTTGCCATGGTGAGGTCTTGGGCAGGCTCGCTTACTGGGCTTTGGCTCTTAATCTACCAGTGCAGTTGTTGAACTTGATCAGGGCAGTAGTTTCAAATGTATTCAGGGGCCTGGTAGATAACATATATGAGTGAAACAGACATGTTACATGGGAAGTGAGGATAGTGATGAACTGGGGTGTTGACTCACCTAGCTTCCCTTAAAGCCTCAGTTCCATCATACTGTGGCTCTACAGGAATACAAGCCTAATGATTACAGATCTCCTTATTTCTCATGAAGTACCAGAAACCTAGGGTGTGTGTGTGTGTGTGTGTGTGTGTGTGTGTGTGTGTGTGTGTGTGTGTGTGTGTGTCAGAGAGAGAGAGAGAGAGAGAGAAACTGATTTCCAAATATGAGTTCAATCTTAATTTTGTTTTTGAAGTTTTCCAGGCCACATGTTCCTTGTAGGCCACAAACATGACACCTCTGAGCCAGATAATCTCCTTTTAAGATTTCAAGCTCAGCGAAAAATTCTTAGATTTGGCAAACTGTGGTGGGAAAGGAGAAGTAGGGACAGGTTGGTAGCTAAATAGTAGTGAAAAGCAACTTGCCTATAGAAACAGGAGATTTAGAAAATGTTTCTCATCAAATTTCCATCTTATGGCAAGGATCACTGAGCTCCTCACCCAAGTCAAGCTCTAGTCTCACTAGTTGAAATCATGTAATGATGCCGAATATCACAGAGATTAGGCATGCACACTGAGGAGATGATGATTCTTAAAGCTTTTTGGTACATGGAGTTCTCAACTTTTGTATATGTATATGTACATTTAGAAGAAAAAATATATGGTCTCCAAGGCCAAATTACCTGGGTTCGAATATCAATTTCATCAATTACAAACTTCATAATCTTGGGTGTGTGATGTAAATTCTCAGTTAATTCATCTATAAAGTAAAGATAATGATAACAACAGAATTTGCCTGATAACATGTTTGCTGTGAGGATTAAATGAATAAACCCATGTAAAACTTGTAGGACCATGTCTGGAAACTAGGAAGTGCTTAACAGGTGTTAGTTATTTAAACAAAAAGTTATTTGAAGGCTATTGGTTTAAAGAAAGAAATGCCTTTGTTTTTGTGTTGTTTTGTTTTTAAATCCACAAAAAGATCTATAATAACAGCAGGTATTTCCATTTGTGTCTTAATTCTCAACTTTTCTTTACTGTTTCTTGATTCAGATTCTCAGCTCTTGGTCTGCAACCCCAACGTCTATAGCTGCTCCATCCCAGCCACCTTTCACCAGGAGCTCATTCACATGCCCCAGCTGTGCACCAGGGCCAGCTCATCAGAGATTCCTGGCAGGCTCCTCACCACACTTCAGTCGGCCCAGGGACAAAAATTCCTCCATTTTGCAAAGTCGGATTCTTTTCTTGACGGTATGAAAGACCATCATCAAACAACATGCTGTATAATTCTGCTGTTGAACTGACTAGGGATAGCTTAGAGAAATATTTTGAGTATTCAGAGAAAGAGAGATGAAAAAAGGGAGCAAAAGAAAAGGAAAAAGGAAAGTCACGGATCAGTTCAAACATCAGCCGGCTATATGAGTCAACCACAAAAGTATCTCACAACCATCCAGCCACGGGCCAGTGAAAACTCAGTCTCCATCCTCTGCTTGGCAAGGGGCCATAGCCATCTCCATTTCTTCCATTCCCTGAGTGGTTATTTTAAGCCTTCTTTACTCTCAAGCCCTTTACACTACTCTGCACCCTCACTCATGGCTTCCTTTTTTCCTTCATAAATAGAACAATGTTCACTAGGGAGAAACCACTTCTATATGCTACCCCCCCCCCACCCCTCCAACAATCTTATCTGTTCTCCTTCCTTTTTGCAGGGTTTCTCCCACCCCCAAAGAAGTGATGCACCCCCTATGCTCTGAAACCTATCTCAGCCTCAGCATACCTTGATTTGTCCACCTGATCTGTTCTCTGTGTTCCATTTCAGTTCTCCCACTCCCCAGGCTACTTTCTCATAACATACAAACATGCCTAAAAACCCTCCCTCAACTCTAAAGCATCTATAGCTCTATTTTTCCTTTTCTTTCAGATTTATTTTTTTAAAACTCATCAGGGCCTTCACTTGCTCAATGTTCCTTCACTGCAGTCTTGCTTCTGTCTGTAGACACTTGAATCTCTCCCCAGTCACCAATGGCTGTCTTAGATGACCTCACTGTCTTCCTTGCTTATTTGCTTCCTTCCTTTATACGTTGAATAAAATTTACTGAATGCCTACTACTAGCCAAGCCCTGTGTTAGGCACTAGAGATCTTAAACTTGACAGGACAGAGACAGTCTCTGCAGAATGTGGCACTGTTGAAATTCTTTCCTTTTTGAAACTCTCACCTTCACTGATTTTGGGGAACACGCAGTCCCCTGGTCTTTCTCCCACTTCTAAGTTTCTTCTGCCAGGTCCTTTTCCTCTGACTACTCTTTAGGTGACTGGGTTGCCATGTGGCCCCTACCCTTCCTTATCTCATTCTACATACCCATGCTGGGCAATTCCAGCAAGCCCTCCAATGATTCTCAAGTCTTGATCTCTACCCCAGACCTCTATACTGACTGATGTATTTAACAGCAAGTGAGACATTTCTACTTGAAGGTGGTACAGCCACATCAAGTTCAACATGCCAAACTCACTGCGTCATCATCCCCTACAAATCTACTTTTTCTTGTATTCTGCATAGTTACCCAGTCACTCCCCATCTCTTCTTTTTCTGACCCTTCTATCAAACCATCAAATTCAGTCAGTTCCAGATCCTTAATAACACTCACATGTATTGTATCTTCTCCAAACTCTTTGCCACTGCCATGGGTCACACCTGTGTTTATTGACACAGTTATTATGACAGCCTTATGTTTTTCCTTTCTTCTTTCTAACCTGTCCTTCCCAATTCATCCTGCCCATTGCCTCTCAACTGATATTTATGATCATAAACCAGTTTCTATTAATTCTTTACTAACATTCCTTTAAAAACTCTCCACTGATTTCAGGAAAATCCAAACACTTTGGCATGATTTACAAAGTTCCCTAGAAACTGGCCCTAATTCCTTCTCTAGACTAATTTTTTCCAAAGGTCTTTCCAGGACAAAGACATATATTGCTTCATTCGTTTTATAGAACAGAAGATGTTTGCAAACACCAACATCATCATAGTAATGATGATAATAACTTACATTTGCACATCACTTTAGCATTTACAAAATGTTTTCTCATCCACTATCTCAATTATGTTGTTATTATTGTGCTCGTGACATCCACATATCAGGGGTGAAAGATGATTTCCATTCCAGAGTATATTTTCAGGGACTAATCTAAGTGTAAATACCAACCTCACTATCTTTCTCCTCCTAAACCCTAGACATCTTTGCAGCCTGGATGGCTCAACGGCTGAAGACACACTTGTTAACAGAAACCTGGCAGCGAAAAAGACAAGAGCTTCCTTCAAACTGCTCCCTTCCTTACCATGTCTACAATATAAAAGCAATTAAATTATCACGACACTCTTATTTCAGTTCTTATCAAGATCATGCCAAGTGGTGTATTTCCCAAAAGGGCACCAAAAATCGCTGGACATGTATTGGAGACCTAAATCGGAGTCCACACCAAGCCTTCAGAAGTGGAGGATTCATTTGTACCCAGAATTGGCAAATTTACCAAGCATTTCAAGGATTAGTATTATACTATGAAAGCTGTAAGTAAACTTGGTGAAAGGACACAGGTACTATCATTGAAAACCTTGACAATGGGTCTTCTTCCATTACACCTTCTTTATATTTTAAAGGCCTGTGAATATACTTATAACCTGCATATCACAAAATAAAACATTTTTCTCTCATGTTTACCATTTAATCTTCTATTTAATGGTAATTTATTTACTTTGCACTATATATCATAGACATAAACCATTATACACAACTGAGAATAGAAGAAATAAAAAGAAAAATATTTTTCCACATTAGTCAACTCCAATTGTTTATGGATTGACTGGCCACCTAGTAGATTACATTTCCTCTCCTTCACAAAGACTTCCCTGACTCTCTTCCCCACCCTTTTTTGAAGAAAAGCAAATAACTCTCTCTGCGTATTCTTCCATACTATTTGATCATATTGCTCCTAAAGTTCTTTCTCACTGGTTTATGGTTAAGACTTATTTGTCATTCTTTCAGCTACTACTTACTAATTGGATGATCTTGAGCCATTCACTTGGATTCTCTGAACCTTGTTTTTTTTAATCTATGAAAGGGAGATAATAGCTAGGTATGTTCAAGTACCTAGCACAGAGCCCGGCACATAGATGACACTTAAAAATAATGGTGGCATTTGAGTTTGAATTCCAGCAAAAAAAAAAACAAATAAGTTTCAGAAATGAGTGATATTTTACAAGAAGAATGTTAAAGTCACATTAGGAGAAAAAAAACTGCATAAGTGTGACTCATCAACTTGAAGGAAATAAAGAAGTGTAACATAATGAAACCAGAATCAAATGCAATAGTCTTTTTTTTTTTTAATAATAGAGATGAGGTCTTGCTTTGTTGCCCAGGCTGGTCTTGAACTGGGCTCAAGCAATCCTCCCACGTTGGCTTCCCAAAGTGCTGGGATTACAGGAATGAGCCACTGCACCCAGCCAAATGCAATAATCTTAATTTCAATGTGTTTCTTTTTCTGGCATTCTTATCACTACTTGTAACTGTTATATAAATGGATAATAATAAACTTGTGTTAAGTACTAATTGCTTAATAATATTTGACATATGTGTTGTTCACAATTTCAAGCAGCTTACAACCTAGAAAAAGTAATCACAACAATAATAAAGCTAGCGCTTACTGAACACTTACTATGTAATAAGTATTCAACTCATAGTAATTCAGGATTCATTACAATTTTTTTTTTTTTTTTTTTTGAGACAGAGTCTCGCTCTGTTGCCCAGGCTGGAGTGCGGTGATGCGATCTCGGCTCACTGCAAGCTCTGCCTCCAGGGTTCACGCCATTCTCCTGCCTCAGCCTCCCGAGTAGCTGGGAATACAGGTGCCTGCCACCACGCCTGGCTAATTTTTTGTATTTTTAGTAGAGACGGGGTTTCACTGTGTTAGCCAGGATCGTCTCAATCTCCTGACCTCACGATCCACCCGCCTCGGCCTCCCAAAGTGCTGGGATTACAGGCGTGAGCCACCGCGCCCGGCCGATTAATTACATTTTTATTTAATCTTCATAACAATTCTATGTAGTAGGAACTGTTATTATCCCCATTTTACTGACAAGGAAATTGAGGCCTACAGAGTTTTAGGAACTTGCCTAGTATCATAGAGGTCCATCTTACCTCTGAGGCTATCGATCTTAATATCTCAATACCAACCAAAATTCATGGCACTAGTTCAATGACAAACAGAGAAAAAACTAACTTGGTTTTCCTGTCAGGAGCAAGCATAAACTATGTTGTATGCTATCTAGCTAACTAACATTCTTGCAAATATAAAGAGGCCTGAAAAAAATTATTTGGCCTCTGAGAGAGCATCTGAGGCCAAAAAAGCATAAGTAATCCAAATAATATAAGAGAAAAATTTTAAAGTACAAGATCCTGACTTTAAAAGTAAAGAGGGCCAAAACTTGATCCAATGGTAAATAGAGAGATGAATGAAAAGGCAAAAAAAAAAAAGCAAAAGTGAAGAAATTCTATTGGACTGAAAATACATAATAGGTAGGAGCCTTCTCCCCTGAATCTGAAGGAGAGGAGAATCATAATTAGATTCGTGTAATTAAGAGTGTAGGAGTATAACAAAGAAAAAGAACATGCTGGCCCACTGGAGACACACATTACGGATGTGCTGAAGGGGAAATAGGAAGTGGCCAGACTCTCCTTGAGGAAGAAAAAAATGCTGGAAAGGAATTGAACAGTCCTGGTAGCTCAAGAATACCTAATACTTACCGTGGTAGGGGTGTTGGTATATTTTGGTGATGGTAACTCCTTGTTGTAGAACCTAAAGGCAACCACAGTAAACCAAAGAGGGCTAATCTTTCTCAGGCATATGCCCAGGACGGCTACCCAGTCATGCTGATACCTGCAGGGAGACTGAGGAACTATCTTTGGGAATAATATCATTGGAGGGAAACTGATATATTTTAGAAAACGGGATAATTTTATTGATTCCCTTTAGGAAAAACGAGGAGAATATGGGAGATATTAATGAATGAAATTTAAGTTCTAAATCATGATTTTAAATACCGGAATGAAATTAACCAGGCATGGTGGTGAGTGCCTGTAGTCCTAGCTACTCAGGAGGCTGAGGTAGGAGGATCCTTTGAGCCGAGGTGTTTGAGGTTACAGTGAGCTATGATCACACCACTGCACTCCAGCTTAGGCAACAGAGCAAGACCTTGTCTCAAAACAGAAACAAAAACAAACCCCCTCCAAAACTAGAATGACGTATTTCACTTAATGTAATGTCCTCCAGGCTTATACATGCTGTTGCACATGACAGGATCTCATCCCTTTTTATAGCTGAATAGTATTCCACTGTGTATATATACCACATTTTCTTTATCCATTCTTCCATTAATGGGCATTTAGGTTGATTCCACATCTTGGCTATTGTGAATAGTACTGCAATAAACATGGGAGTGTAGATGTCTCTTTGATATTCTAATTTCATTTTCTTTGGATATATACCTAGTAGTGGGGTTGCTGAATCATACAGTAGAGCTACTTTTAATTTTTTGAGAAACTTCCATACTGTTTTCCATAATAGCTGTACTGATTTACATTCCCACCAACAGTGTGTAAGAGTTTCCCTTTCTCCTCATCATCACCAGCATTCATTATTTTTTGTCTTTTTGATAATAGCCATTTTAACTGGGGTAAGATGATATCACTGGGTGCGGTGGCTCACACCTGTAATCCCAGCACTTTGGGAGGCTGAGGCGGGCAGATCACCTGAGGTCAGGAGTTCGAGACCAGCCTAATGAACATGGAGAAACCCTGTCTCTACTAAAAATACAAAATTAGGTGGGTATGGTGGCTCATGCCTGTAATCCTATCTACTCAGGAGGCTGAGGCAGGAGAATTGCTTGAACCTGGGAGACGGAGGTTGTGGTGAGCCAAGATTGTGCCATTGCACTCCAGCCTGGGCAACAAGAGCGAAACTCCATCTCAAAAAAAAAAAAACACACACAAAAAAAAAAACAGGATGATATCTCATTGTGGTTTTGATTTGCATTTTTCTGATGGTTAGTGACTGATATGGTTTGGCCATATCCCCACTCAAATCTTGAATTGTAGCTCCTATAATTCCCATGTGTTGTGGGAGGGATCCAGTGAGAGGTAACATAATCATGAGGGTGGGTCTTTCCCATGCTGTTCTAATGATAGTGAATAAGTCTTAAGAGATCTGATGGTTTTATAAATGGCAGTTCCCCTGCACACGCTGTCTTGCCTGCTGCCAGGTGAGACATGACTTTGCTCGTCCTTTGCCTTCCACCATCATTATGAGGCCTCGCCAGCCAAGTGGAACTGTGAGTCCGTTAAACCTCTTTTTCTTTATAAGTTGCCCAGTCTCTGGTATGTCTTTATGAGCAGCATGAGAACAGACTAACACAATGACATTGAGCATTTTTTCATGTACCTGGTGGCCCTCTGTATGTCTTCTTTGGAGAAAAGACTACTCAAGTCTTTTGCCCATTTTTAAATCAGATTATGTTTTTTACTAATGAGTTGAATTCCTTATAAATACTGGATATTAATCCCTTGTCAGGTGTATAATTCACAAATATTTTCTCCTATTCTGCAGGCTGTCTGTTCACTTTACTGATTTGTTTCCTTTGCTATAAAGAAGCTTTTTGGTTTGATGTAGTCCCAATTGTTTATTTTTGTTTCTGTTGCTCATGCTTTTGAGGCCTAGTGTAAAAACATCCCTGCCCAGACTGATGTTGTGTAGTGTTTCTCCTGAATTTTCTTCTAGTAATTTCATAGTTTTGGGCCTTACATTTGAATCTTTAATTTATTTTGAGTTGATTTTTATATAGTAAGAAATAGGGGTCAAATTTCATTCTTTTGCATGTTGATATTCAGTCTTCCAAGTGAAATAAGCTAGGCACATTAAGACAAATACTACACAATCTCACTCATACATGAAATCTAAAAAACTTGATCTCATAGAAGTTGACAGTAGAATAGTGGTTACCAGAGACTGGGAAGAATGTGGGAATGGAGGAGATGGGAAGAGGTTGGTCAATGGGAACAATGTTACAGTTAGGAGGAGTAAGTTCTGGTGTTCTGTTTGTGGAGTAGAATGACTATAGCTAATAAAAATGCATTGTATATTTCAAATAGCTAGAAGAGAGGATTTTGAATGCTCTCACAGTAAAGAAATGATAAATGTTTAAGGTGATGAATATGCTGATTACCATGATTTGATCATTACACAATGTATACATGTATCAAAACATCACGCTGTACCCCATGAATATGTACAATTATTATGTGTCAATTAAATAAATAAATAATTTGATTATATTCACACACAAAAAAATATTGTAATGAAAGACAAGTCTAAGATGAGAGTGTATCTTACAAAAAAGTATAAGATTGTGTTTGGCTGGAAACTACTTAATGTGATTGTGGAGAAAGTAAAATAAAAACAGAAATAAACAGAGTAGAGAATGGCAGTTCTAATGTGGAAATGCCAAACCATTTCTGCTCTGCCCTCACACCCTCCTTAGAAAAATAATTTTCCACAGTCTGTTGGTATTCAACAACCCTTTTCTCTCCAGCTCCAAATGACTGGACCAAGAGTGGTTTGTGACACCAAAGAAAGTAAATCATAGGCCAAGCCAAGGCAATCAGATGTGGGAGAGAGTTTAAAGTAGAGGTACCAAGACTGAGCTTCCAGGATTGGACACTTGATCTGAAGGTCATGTGCATTGGAGATAAAATTGTTGTTTTCTGCTATATGCATGCCACAGCAGAAAATGTGGGGCTGCAGAAGCTGGAGAATGGTGCAGACACACTGCAAGAAGCACAGGAGAACAGAAAGAATGAAATCAATCCCCAACTGTCCAGATGTCAATTGAGTTCCTTGCAGAGCTGAACTAGTCTCTTTGGCTATATAGTCTATGACATACCCCTATAGTCTCTCATTAAATGCCCCTATTTTAAGTTCAAGTTAGTCTCAGTAGGTTCCTGTTTTCTGCAAGCAAACAATTCTTGTCTAAGTCATATAGAAACAAGAATGATATTGTGATTGCAGATCCAAATCATTTCAATTGAAATAATCATTAAGACATAGGTCATAAACAATTCTCATAGTCTCATAATCTCAGATGTTTTACAGACTGACACAGAACATGAGTTATAAAAGAAGTAAACTTGCGATTGTAGCATAGGATGGAGAACATGCTTTCATAGGAAGCAACAGAAAGAACTTGGTGGGAACGAATAAGAAAGAGCAATGATGGGGCTTTAAATATTCAGACATTTACTAAGGATTTCATTCAGCTAGTATAATTCTTGATTAACTTTGGCTTCACTGACAATGCCATCTTCAAAAGAGATGAAATAACTAGAGGAACTTCCACTCTGAACCTAAGTCTTACAGACAAGGAGAGGTTTGTTGGTGAAATGAAACTAATGGGCTGGGCACAGCGGCTCATGCCTGTAATCCCAGCACTTTGGGAGGCTGAGGCAGTGGATCATTTGAGCCCAGGAGGTCAAGACCAGCCAGGGAAACATGGCGAAATCCATGTTTACCAAAAACAAACAAACAAACAAAACAACAAAAATTAGCCAGGCATGGTAGCGTGCGCCTGTAGTCCCAGCTACTAGAGGGGCTGAGGTAGGAGGATCACCTGAGCCCTGGGAGGTGATCAAGGCTAGAGTGAGCAATATACCACTACACTCCAGCCTGAGCAACGAATGAGACCCTGTCTCAAAAAGAAAGAAAGAAAGAAAGAAAGAAAGAAAGAAAGAAAGAAAGAAAGAAAGAAAGAGAAAAGAAAAGAAAAGAAAAGAAAAGAAAAGAAAAGAAAAGAAAAGAAAAGAAAAGAAAAGAAAAAATGATGTCCTAGGAGAAAACTGTCCCTGGATGATCAGCAGGGAAAGAAAAACTGAATACAGTTGAAGTTTTAAAAGTCTGAGATTGAACTACAGAAGAAAATGTGATTCAGTGGCAAAAGACTCTTGAAGGAAATGACGCTCAAGAGATTAAAATGAAATTCTATGTTATTTCTCCATAAGGAGGAAAGGGAGGAAGAATCTAGAGAAAGCAATGTAACTACATAGCCTACCTTCTCACAAACTCATATATATACAACCTAACTATGTACATATTATGGAAAAAAGAGATCAATGAACAAGGAAAAATAAAAGAATGGCATCAACTTATACATAGAGTTATATGCAGGCTAACACCTCAATGCTACCGATTGTAAAAAAAAAAAAGTGCTAAAGTTAAAAAAATGGTTTATATTTATGTGTGGATCAGGATTACAATGGAGCTAATAGTAGTTTATGAATACCAAAAAAAAATCTTTGTCTCTTTTATTTCTTTCTTCTCAGTAAAGGTGAATGGCATTTGTCTTGGTTTTGTGTGTGTTGCTATAACAAAATACTTGAGGCTGGATAATTTATAAAGAAAAGAGTTTTTGTTTAGATCATGGCTCTGAAGGCAGGGAAGTTCTAGGGCATGACCCTGGATTCTGGAGAGCCAAAGTTAGGAGTGACAGGGTATCTGGTGGAAGAAATTTCTAAGCAGTAAAGCACTCAAGAAGTGGCGGGGGTATTTTAATAGCTTACATTCAGTTATGGCAGCAAAAGATTGACCTTCAAGTGAAATTTGAAACAGAGGGTAAGTAAAAGAGAAACAGAGGGTAAAAATTTGGAAAATTTGTTGCCTAGCCATATGTTAGAGAATGAAAGAGTATTTTCAGGAGAGAAATCTGAGGATGTATCTGAACAACCATTTACTAAAGAGATCAGTATGGCTAAAAGGGAGCTTGTGTTGGTCTATTTTCTGCAGATATAACAGAATATCACAGATTGAGTAATTTATAAAGAAAAGATATTTATTTGGCTCATGATTCTGCAGGCTAGGAAGTCCACAATCTAGGGGCCACACTGGGTGAGGGCCTTCTTGCCACATCAAAACATGGCAAAAAGCATTACATGATGTGAGAGGGCCATAGAGCACAAGACAGAGAAAAAGGGAGTCAAACTCCTGCAATAACTAAGCTGCTCTTGTGATAATAGCATTAATCCAATTATGAAGGCAGAGCCCTCATGATGTAATCACCTCTTAAAGGTCCCACTTCTTAATATCATCACAATGACAATTAAATGTCAACATGAGGTTTGGAGAAGATATTCAAACTATAACAGATCCCAAGCACTTTTTCCAATTGAATCCATTAAACATACTCTTTACCAGGCATTGTAATGAACAGAAGGAAGAAGGAACGAAACAGATAGTTCGTGCTCTTATAGATCTTTTACTTGACTCTGTCCATAGCCCTCTTCCAAAAACATTTAAATGATTTTTGTGAGTGTTTGGAAAATACACTTATTAAATTTGTATATGACATGCAGATAAGAAAAATAACAGATCCAGCAGATGATGAAATTGGCATCCCAAGGGATCTTGAAAGGCTAGCATATGGATTAAGTCAAATAATATTAAGTATAATAAGAATAAATGTTAAGATTCTTCCCTTTAAACAAAACAAAATAAAACACAATGTTCACCACAGATATATAGGTTGAAGGGAAATATAGTTTAGCAACAGATGATGTAGAAAATTATCCAAAGGTTTTGGCAGAAAACTCAACATGACTAAACAGTGTAATTGGCTGAAAAAAGAAAAAAATACAATTTTTAATTGTATGAACAAAACATATCCTAGAAAGGGTGAGGAAATAGGCTGACTGTATCCTGTATTTGTGGTCTAGGTGCCACCCTTATGAGTAATACAGGTGATGTGTAAAAGAAATTAGCCAGAATGGGGACAGCTCCTGAGATTGCAGAAGGAACAGCAGAAAGAAATGGAATTATTTATCCCTGAACAGTCTCATTAGGGATAGCATAGGTGTCTTCAAATATATAAGGCTGTTCTGTGCCAGAGGGTCTACACTAGTTCTATATGATGCCTAGAAGCAGAGCTAAGAAAAAGGAATAAAAAGTCAAGTGAGCCAGATTCAGCTCAAATTAAGTGCAAACTATATTGTCCAAATCTCTTGCCACGGCCTATGAGCTCCACAGGATCTTCCCTGGGCTCTCTCTGTAGCTACATCTCTACTTCTCACCTACCCACTCGCTACACTTCATCCATTGTCCTTATTCCTATTCCTCAAACTCACCAAATCCAATCCCACCTCAAAGTCATGCACTTGTTCTCACTGTCTAAAAAACTTTTCTTCCAGATGTGCTCAGAGCTGGCCTCTTCTCATCATCAAGGCCCTCGATATCAAAGAAATTGTTTATGCGAGGCCTTTCCTGGTCACCCTATTTAAATTAGTATCTCCAATCACTTTCCAACACAACTCAGTACTTTATTTTATTTTAGCATTTACCACTATATAATATTATCTTTATGAGGGGATATGGATTTTAGAGTCTTGCTCACTATTGAATCCCCAGTCCCTAGTGTAATGCCTGAAACATAGTTGTTTAGTAAATATTGGTTGAAAGAATGAATATAAACGACAGCAATATCTCCCAAGATAAATGTTTGAGTGCAGACTAAAAGCTCATTGGGAGGGTTGTGTAGAGGGGATTCATGCATAAATTGAGGACAATCTTAAAGTCTTTTTCAGTACTGAAATTCTATGATTAAGTACTAAATTGTGAAACACATTATAATTATACTATCAGTTCAGAGAGATATGGTTAATAAAACCCAGAACAGTCAAGAAGCCTTTAATGAAGAGGTGGAAATTGAGGGCTCTTCAAGGATGGGTACAATTTGGACAGCTGGAATGGGAGGGAAAGGATTTCTAGAAGGAAGGACTGGCGTGAGCAAAGTCTCAGAGGCAGACCTAAGTACCATACAAGGAGAAGACTGTAATGAGCTAGGCTTGACAAGAGGAGAGAATGTGGATTGGGAAATTGAGAAAAATGAGATAGACAGGTAGAGTGGGGCTGCAATGCAGGTAGGACCTCAAAACCAAGCAATGAATTAAACTCAGTGAGCAAACTGAAAATTCTTGAGGAGATAGATGAACACCATGATTTCATGCCTAAATTAATAATATCTATAGTTATTTCCATAATAAGAACCTAATATATAGTAGGTGCTCAATAAATATTTGCTTATTTATCATAAAATGATCATATTATTGAACATCGGCAGGCTATCTGCAAGCCTGCGTAAGAATGAAAATGAATTTGCATATACTCTGTCAGTCAGATTCCTTTGTCATCAGTGTCCTGCAGGTAGCTGGCTCATCATGTTCAGGTGGAAAAGATGTCCTCTACTGTAAATAGACAGCATCTGTGACCTATGACTATGACCCTATTAGAATCACGCTCCATACAGACCAGTTGCTATAACCTGATATACGAGGGAGTGCCATATTGAGATTTAAATGTCTTATCCATCTCACCAGCACTTACATAAATGTCGTCTTTTCCAATTAATCACTTTAAAATTGAATGCAGCCAAATGAATGTAGTTCTTTTGAGTTAATCACTTTAAAAGCCCATACCCTAGTCTCATTTTTTTCCACCCTTTCTGACAGTTCTCTTTAGAAAAGGCTTTCAGAAGCCCCATACCAGCCAAACAAGAAAAATGTCTCATCACTCTGTAGGCAGGGTGTTGCCACGTAACTCTTGCCATGTAACTCTCTGCCAAACACCCTTTAAAGCATCCACTCAACTCCTTGCCTTAAGCAGTGATGATTAGAGATCAACATCCAGGCTTTCCCTAGCCCCACTACACTCTCTCTTCCTTGTTAACTGGCCTCTCTTTTCTTCTCTTTCCACATGCCCGATTTATTTCTAATATTGCTTGATTGTTTTCCCGTTGTTTCCCCATATTTTTTGCAAAGCTCTTTGAAGGAAATGTTAAATATATTAGTGTTATTTGAATCAATTAAATATGACATCCCATGAGAACCCAGTTGGATTTGGGTGGTAGCAGAGTACAAGATAACAGCTCTGGAATCACACAGCGTGGGTGAAAACCTAGCTTTGTCAACCTTGAGCAATTACCAGCTGTGTGACCTTGAACAAATTACTTAACCTCTCTAAGCCAGTTTCTAAACTGAAAAACAAGAATGTTAATAATAGGCATTAAGGCAATCTATGTAAAACAGTTCAGTGCCTAGCACATAAAAACTTTATCTTCCATTTTTAACTGGCAGGACAACAATAAATATTAACTATATTAATTAATCATATTAATTCCGAAGTTGAGGGAAAGCAAATGCTCTGTCTGTACCACATTCTAACAAGTACTCAATTCCATGAAGAAATCAGTCTAAGAGACTGGTAGAAATAAAGGAACTGAGAGTGCTATTTATTGAAATTGTTCCCTTTCTCCATGGTGATAGTGTTTTCTCAATAACAGACAAATAGATAAAAAACAATCTTTTTCTTACTTTATCTCATACTTGACGAATGAAGAGGAAATAAATAGAAGAAATCTTCTCAAGGAAGAGGAAGCTACAAACACAAGCCCGAATGCCTTATAAACATCCATGAAGTTCTTTGCAAATGCTGTCAGTATGAACAAAAGTTTCTGCTATAACATTAACAAGCAGATTAAAGGGTGCTGCTGTTATTATTATTATTATTATTATTATTATTATTATTATTATTATTGAGTCTTGTTCAGTCGCCCAGGCTGGAGTGCAGTGGTTGCGATCTCGGCTCACTGTAAGGTCCGCCTCCCGGGTTCACGCCATTCTCCCGCCTCAGCCTCCTGGGTAGCTGGGACTACAGGCGCCTGCCACTAGGCCTGGCTAATTTTTTTGTATTTTTAGTAGAGACGGGGTTTCACCGTGTTAGCCAGGATGGTCTCGATCTCCTGACCTCGTGATCCGCCCATCTCGGCCTCCCAAAGTGCTGGGATTACAGGCGTGAACCACCGCACCTGGCCAGGTGCTGCTGTAATTATTTACAGAGCAAACACACATGACACCACGTGAATAGGGTTTTAGAATTTTAAATTACAGTCCTGGCACTTTACAGCCTCAGACAATTTTCTTAAATCCTCAAAGCCTTGATTTCCTCATCTGTAAAATGGAGAAAATTAAGAAAAATAATATATATAAGGTTCTTACACAAGATAAACAGGCAGTATTATAATGCATCCCTACCCTCTTAGGGCAATGTTCGCTGAATAAAATTGTGTGTTCTGATCAGGGTTTCTAGGCTGCAACATCTGAAGTGTACATGGTGCTTTAGTACAAATGAAGACTTTGTATCTGGGTATTAGGCAGTCAAGTGTTCAATAAATATTTGGTCATTTGTTTTGGCTTTAATGGAAGTACTTTGTGTATGCAATCGCTAGTCCAGGATCTTCTTCATTACCTTTGTAGATAGGGAAGCCACCAGTTTGCTAGGTCTGCAGTATCCTAATCTAATCCCAAGATCCTATCTCTTCCATTCACCACTGTTTTTATTCATTTCCTGTAATATCAGGAAGTTTCTGGTGGTTTGGCAGGAAAGCTAGCCACAGAAGACAATCTTTTCAATATACCTGGACTGTCTTAAGCTTCCCCTATGTTCGAATTATCACTGTATGGCTGAGAGGTGTTTAAAGCAGAATTGAAGGAGGCTGAGGCGGGCAGATCACGAGGTCAGGAGATCGAGGCCATCCTGGCTAACACAGTGAAACCTCGTCTCTACTAAAAAATACAAAAAATTAGCTGGACGTGGTGGTGGGCACCTGTAGTCCCACCTACTCAGGAGGCTGAGGCAGGAGAACGGCATGAACCCGGAGGCAGAGCTTGCAGTGAGCCGAGACCGCAACACTGCACTCCAGCCTGGGCAACAGAACAAGACTCCATCTCAAAAAAAAAAAAAAAAAAAAAAAAAAACAGAATTGAAGGAGAGGTATAATTTAAATGGTTATCCTAAATAATAGATTGATATCAATGTCATATATCTACAACCTTCTGGAAAGGGGACTGCTTCCTTTTGTTTTCATTTTGGGTGAAAAGATTGCTGATTCATGAGTGGGCTGTGAGCTCTGACTTTAGAGATAGAGCTGGTCTCGGCCACTCTGGATCAGCCAAATGATGAGCGAGAGGTAAGGGGCAAAGGAAGAAAATGGCAATCCCACACTTTGATGTATGAGCCAGGGAGGTAGTTTTTCCTCCCAGAGGTGTTAGACAAAGATTTTAACAATGGGACAATTTGTCTCTGGGGTAGCTGGTCCTAGAGAGCAGGAAAAGGAGCTATAAAAATCCAGCTACTTTTGCCACAGGCAAAATAATTTGTCCCCACCATCAGAAAAACAAAAACAAAACACTGGTCAGATTTCATGACTAATTTACTGTAATATCCAGTAGCTCACGACCATATGCAGATAAGGGTTTAACCAGTCTCCTGATGACTCAGGTCTACACACCTCTGTGAGATGGAGCAGTGTCTGGTGACCAAGGAGAGACTGGTACATGCTGCAAGCCAGTTGTTTCCCTATATCCAAAAAGTCAGACTTGCAGCCAACCTCAGTCCATTCCTCGGCCCAGTAGGAACGGAGGCAGGCCAGTCCAACCATCTTCCCATCAGGGCTCTGCAAAAAGACACCCGAGTGGCTGAACAAGTTGTCCCTGTGTCTGTGTCTGCACTTTAGGAATGGCTGCAGCTGCTCTTTGGTCTTCACTCAGCAGGTTTATACAGAGTGAAGGCAACATATAAGAAGCAGGAAGTCTTAAGCCAAGGCAGGAGGATGGTTTGAGCCCAGGAGTTTAAGATCAGCCTGGGCAACATAGTGAGACCTTGTCTCTACAAAAAAAAAACCAAAAAATTTTAAACCAGCTGGGTATGGTGGTGCATGCCTGTAGTTCCAGTTACTTGGGAGGTTAAGGCAGGACTGGAGTCCAGGTCATTGAGGCTACAGTGAGCCATGATCACGCCATTGTACTCCCATCTTGGGCGACAAAGCACAGTTCTGTCTCAAAAAAAAAAAAAAAAAAAAAAAACAGAAAAAGAAAAAGCAGCAGGATGCCTTGGCAAACAATGACAACAGCAGAGAAGTGACAAATGACAGGGTGGAAAGACAGAAGAACTCTTAACAGCACAGCTGTCTGGAGCCATTTAACATTGGGTGAACGGCCCTGTGGACCTTAGTGGCTCCTGAGGGCATGGCAGTATTACAGAATTGAACAATGATTGATGTTCAAAGTGAGTCATCGAGAAAAGGTCAAATTGTGTTCCGAATATTTCATTTAAGAAGGCAACATACTACGTAAAACATTTTGGAAAAATCACTTTCTAAAATAAAATTTTTAAATTGGCATTTAAGTTTAGGTTATAATATGTTGACAATTAATAGTACCACCACTTAATATATTAGATAGACTACATTATTAAAAATCCCCATCCAGAAAGAATTGATTTTTACTTATATGTTCTTATTGATATATAAGTATATTATACACACATATATACATTCACACATGCACACATGGCCACACAGTGTGTATTTTTTAATCGAATCTCACCACTGGTTATTTTATTAAATAGATCTCATATCTTCCTACTTCTTCCAGGACTTGACACCATTATTTATCTCCTCCCACTTCTTCGGCCACTTGCTCTTTATTAGATCTTTCTCTTTACCACATAAACATGTTCAAGGCTCTCCCACCTTGAAAAGAAAACAAACAAAAAACCTGCCTGGGTTCTATAGCACCACACCCTATCCTAGAACTGACCTATACCTCTCTTTCCCTTCACAATCAAACTTGTAGGAAAAGCTCTCAATCTTGTGGCCACCTCTCCAATGACTCTTGTCTTGCTAATTTCCAGTGCTTTAAAAAAAGAAAAAAAAAGATTTGTTTGTATCCTTTGCCCATTGGCCTGTGTCCCTTTCTTAAGCCAGACTCTCCTCCACATCCCTGAGATTCTGCTTTACCTTATTTTATTTCTTCCTCTGACTTACCTGGGTCTCCTTTCAAGTTTCTCTTTCTCTGTCTGAACTCTAAATGTCAATACTTCTCTAGGTTTTATCTTTGGATCTCTTCTCACTTGAAATATTTTCCCTGGGCAATCTTATCCACTATCATGATGGCACCCATATTATATTTCTGACAAAGTTCTCACTGGGGGTGTGTGTGTCTGCATGCACATGCATGTGGATGTGAAAAACCGTGTAGTAAATACCTCCACCTAGATGACACTGAAAACATACCATATCCATGACTCCTATCTGCTCATCAGAACAGCCCCTCCTTGAGTTTCCCTTTCTGGGAACCATTAATCCAGTAACCCTGCTTTGGAGACATATGGACTTTTTTTTTCATTCATTCATTCATTCATTCATCCAAACAATCACCACCACCGCTTGATTGTGCCTCGTTAACATCTCAAATCTATTCCCTCCAGCTTGCCTCCTATGTGCTGCTTTATCTGTGTTTTGAATCAGGAAATGTCTTTAGTCTCCACCTTCATGCATCAGTTCTCTTTGATTCCTGGACGTTTTGCCTCTGCTTCTTTGCTCCTCTTTGGTATTTGAGACTTGGTTACCCAGCTCTCCCAATCTGCCTCACTACCACTCTTTTGGAACTCTGGAAGATTTACTCTCACTCACAGTCTAGGCCACAAGGCCTGGTCCTGGTGTACAGTCCAAGGACCACTTCTCCTCTATTCTTACCAATGCCCCTCCCTCAATAAGGACAAGAGAAACAGGAAAATTTCTCCCAACTGAGGACAGCCCCCTACAAACCATCACTCAACCATAAATAATTATTAGTCTATATTGGAAGTGTTGGTTCTTTTGTTGGCCTCTGCCTTATGCTCTAAAGCTTTTGTCTATTGGCTTTAATATCCAGATCATCTATGAGTCTGCTTCTATTGCCTGCCTTTTCTCTTTATTACTGGCCACATTTTATTGCCTTGTCCCATATCTACTAGTTTTTTATTATGTGTCAGACATAGGGTATAAAAAAATGTGAAGATTCCAAATGCTATCTTCTACAGAGAGGGTTCTCCCTTTCCTCTGTTAGGCAGAGAGGGTAAGGAGTTGGTCCTTTTGATTACATGAGAAATTGATACAACGAGAAACTGTGTTGAGTGTGAGCTGCATTTTTATTAAGACTTTCTCTACCTCTAATTTGCTCCTATTCTAGAGCATGTTCCTTCTGGGCTTGTGATTGTGAGCCCTGGAGTCTTCATCTCCTCAGCCCTGAAAGACTGCAGGAGATCCAGCTCTGTCCTTCAGAAGTTCCAGCCTAGATCTTTAGCCCTCTGTCCCTCATAGCTTCAATACTTGGCAAATGTCTTAAGAAAAAACTGGAGGTGTATGTAAGGGAAGGTCTCCAGGGGACCTGTTTCCTAAGCATCACAAGACAATGAGAGATAGATTTCACTCTTTTAAAAGTTCTTGCCCTAGTTTCATATCCCTCTGTGCAGTACCAGAATTCAGCAAATATGTTACGGGAAAATCAGTCATGTGTTTGAGTTGCCTTCTTCCTATTTGTCACGTCATCCCTTTATAACTGTCAAGAACTTTACTGGTTTTTCTTTGTCCCAGCAGAGATTCTCTGTGTAGGCAAATCCTTCAACCCACACTCAGGATTGGCATATATCTGGTGAAAAAATATAAGATAGTGTCAGCTCACTTTGGCAAGGATTCTACTCTATCTGGAATTTTGGTTCATCTAATCCACATGCTTCCACAGAAACTTGATGCCTTTAAAACATAATTTTTTTTTTTTTTGAGACTGAGTCTCACTCTGTCGCCCAGGCTGGAGTGCAGTGGCACTATCTCGGCTCACTGCAAGCTCCGCCTCCCGGGTTCACGCCATTCTCCTGCCTCAGCCTCCCGAGTAGCTGGGACTACATTTATCCAGGTTACCCCAAGTTGTTGCACTGAGAGTGTTGGCCTTCCATGGACTTCTACATTTTACCCAGAAGTGAAAGTCTCATACTCACACTTTAAAAAAAAAATCCCTTGTTATTCCTATCTCAATATTTTGTGCATAATACACAATAACTTGTCATGCGAGTTTTTAATTAATGAATAAAGAGATAATTGCCCCCAGTGAGATAGTAATATTTTACTATGAATTTAATGCTCACCGATAAACAAAATACCTTCAGTTCAAGAAAGAATGTGGGCCGGGCATGGTGGCTCACACCTGTAATCCCAGCACTTTGGGAGGCCAAGGTAGGTGGATCACTTGAGGTCAGGAGTTGGCCTGGCCAGCATGGTGAAACCCTGTCTCTACTAAAAATACAAAAAAATGAGGCAGGCGTGGTGGTGCATGCCTGTAATTTCAGCTACTCAGGAGGCTGAGGCAGAAGAATCGCTTGAACCCAGGCGGCAGAGGTTGCAGTGAGCTGAGATCGAGCCACTGCACTCCAGCCTGGTTGAGAGGGAGACTCACCTCAAAAAACAAAAAGAAAAAAAATGTGGTCCATATTCAATATTCATTTAATTCTTACAATACCTCTTATGTAGGAGTTCCGATAATGATCAGAAGGCTAGAGATAGCTACTATTTACTAAGTACTTATTATGTGCCAAGCACCATGCTAAGTATATATAAAAACTCATTTACATATATTTACATATATTAATTCATTTAAACCCTACAGTAAGCTGGAAGATAGGTATTTCTGTCTTCATTTTCACGAGGAAATCAAGGCTGGGAAAGGTTAAATGACTTGTCTAAGTGCTCAAAGCTGATTAATGGAAGAGCTGGGATTCAAACACAGTATGTCTAGTTCCCAGTCTAGATATTTTTCACTGTACTTCAGCTTTTTGTCAGGTATGATACCACAGTTGTCCTGTAGGATTTAATTAAAATACCTGGAATTCCCCAACTTATACCTTTCCTAAGTACTCCAAAAATATAAAATATAATTATGAAGGAGCTATCCCAAGATGATACTGAAAACACTTACAAGTGGGCAGATGGACTTGGTTGCCTCTTAACGGTAGAAATAGTTTTGCCTTATTTACCTGACATTACATTGCGTGGTCTCAGATTTGGATAGCAATAATAATTTTTAAGATGGATGATTATTTAGGATTAGGGATATGTCTGTAGCCATAGTATCGAGTAACCCTGAACCTCACAGGAATTAAACTTATTACTTGGAATTCATTAGCACCTCACTCTTAACCTCTGAGTTAACTAGCCACAGATCAAATAGATCAAATTGCACTTTATAATGGAATAATATATTATTAAAAATGAAAGCCATTCCATTTGTTTATTAAAAATTCATTACTTAAAAAAAAGGCCTAATGTCACATGTTAAATTATTTGTTGTCATTTGGAAAAAGAGAAAGATTTACTTAAAAAGAACGAGTCAGCCATTTTAGATCCTGAGTGAATAAAATGCATGTTTCTTTGGTGCCAACTAGATTTCCCCTTATTCATCTATTTCTCTTAAAATGCTTGTAGAAATATTTTGATGCAATGCTTCCATTCAGGGTACAAAGGAGATGAAAGAAAAATACTCTGGCAGAGTATTTAATCAGGTATATTATTAGATAAGGATAGCTTTAGTTAAAGCAGCATCTACAGATTAGAATTCCTTCTTTTTAAAATGTTCATGGAAAATAAGTGATATAAACTTCTCTTCACCAAATAAGAATTTTAGGAAATAAAAGATTATCAAAAGAGTCCTGGATTCTTTATTATTTCTGCCTGTAAGCTATTATTATTCTGTAAGTGGGGAAATTACTATAAACTGTCATACTTTCAGAAAGAATTGTCTTCACCTAAACACCTCCTTTATGTGTATAATTATAATATCTCTTATATATGTGTGTATATATATCTTACATATATATAAATATGTGGATTTAGCTACATACACACATATATACATATGTACACATAGGGTATATATGTACTATATATGCCTCTATAGCTTATATATGTCTGAATGTATATGAGCTAAGCTAGGTCTTTTGTGTAAATTATTATATAGACATTTCTTGATATTTCAAGATGCTTCCAAATCCATTTTATAATTTCCTCATCATAAAAGTGTGAGATGTTTATAAGAGAAGAAATCATGGTACAAAGAGTTAAGTTAAACGTTCTGTCCGAGATCACAGAGCAGAAGCCAGATGAGAGCCCGGTTGCCCGATGCTCCCTGTTGACGATGCTGCCACCCTCGCTTGATAGGCTTTGCTCCAGCTGAGTCTGAGAAGGACACCATGTCCCCATTTCAATTTCCTTGAATCAATTCACTCAAACAAAAGGTCACTTTAGACAGAAATCCAGTTTGACTGATTTCTCTCACTGTATTGACTAGTTTAAATAAAATGAGCAAATCAGTGTCTTTATTTCTGTGTCACACAGACATAGCCCATATACTAACCAGGTGCTGTAACACCAGCCTCCACGACACATTTAAAACCCTGTCTTCTGAATTAAATACCTTTCTCTCAAATTAGAAAGTGACTAAAAGGCAGGACAGAAAAAAAAAAAAAAAGATAGCTGATGACCCCTTCCTAAGCAAACATTTTTCAAATACAAAGGCTAAAAAAAAAAAGCTGTGTTTAAAAATTGCAACCACCAGGGAGCAAATGTATCGATCGTGTCATTATTTTTTTCCTCCTCGTTGCTAGGATGTGGTCTATATTAAAAGACAGTTGTTGCCTTGGTGAAAATCTTCCCGGAGCAAAGTGATAGTGCTCCCCCTGCTGACCAAGAAGTCCAGGATATTGTTTTCTTGTTTTGCTTTGTTTTGCTTTTTTTCAGTTTAAAACAAAATGAAAAGGGCAATTAGACATCTTTAGCAAATAACTTTGGGCTTTACCTGCAAAACTGTATTGCATTGCAAGAATATCAGAAACTTACTGAAATGATGCCTGAAATGTTCTTTCCTGCTACATATGAGACAAAAAGCAAATTCTGACCATGTGCCACTGCTTGAGGTTGTCTTTGTTTCTTCTCTCTCTCCTGCTCTTTTTTTTTTTTTTTTTTAAGAGTCTTGCTCTGTCGCCCAGGCTGGAGTACAGTAGCATGGTAGCATGATCTCGGCTTACTGCAACCTCAGTCTCCCGGGTTCAAGCAATTCTCCTGCCTCAGCCTCCCAAGTAGCTGGAACTACAGGTGTGCACCACCAGGCCCAGCTAATTTTTGTATTTTTAGTAGAGGCAGGGTTTCACCACGTTGGCCAGGCTTGTCTTGAACTCCTCACCTCAAGTCATCCACCCACCTTAGCCTCCCAAAGTGCTGAGATTACAGGCATGAGCCACCGCGCCCAGCCTGTTTTTTCTAACTCAGGGTGGGCCTGGTGACTCAGATCCTTCTCACCTTACTAATTATTTTGGGATGCCACTGAATTTTTGTAAAGGCCCAGGACAGGAAATTGCTTATAATATTAACTAGTGACTTTTACTAAGCACTAGTTACTTGTAATGAAGGAAAAGGAGAAAGAGAGAGAATTCCACAGAGGTCTTAAGTGTCTTGCACCTCAGGTTTTATTGAATGCATCTAACATTAAAGCTGAGAAGTGGTAGGAGTGGCCTGGTCAGCTTGTGGTGGGGCAGGTGAGCCCCACCGAATGTGAGGTGCCTGCAATTTATCCAGTTAGCTATTAGCAGAGGGAGTAGAGTTCAGGAGAAAGACTGGGGCATGGAGTTACCAATTTTTAAGTCATCAACCTATATGTTACAGTTGAAATCATGAGTATGCATGAGATCATCCTAAGAAAGAATGTAGAAAATGAAAAGACGATTGAGCATAGAAACTTGGGGAACATCACCAGCACTTGAAGAATAGGCAGAAGAGGAACCATTAATGGAAAAGTGAAACAGAAAGCTTAGAGATTTTGGAGAAAAACTAAGAGAAATTATTATTGGATTGAAGTCAAAGGAGAAGAAAATTTCAAGAAAGAAGTCAACAGTGTTAAAAACCAAAGACATGCCAAGAAGGATGAGAACTTCAAGAAACCACTGGCTTTGTTAAGAGGACCCTGGTCACCCCAAGAGAGTTTCAGTATGGTAGTGTGAAAATTGGGTGAAAGCCCAATTTTAGTGGCTCTTTAAATGATAAATGAGAAAGTGAAAGTAATGAGGACAAACGACACAATGAAGACATTTGGCAATAATCAAGAGAAGCAAGGTAGCACCCCGATGAGAGACTGACTGACTTGAACATGTTTGAAGGTTAATGAGGAAGAGCCAATGAAGAGGGAGAGACAAACAAGAGAAGAAATTATTGGTTCTACCAGATTCAAGAGAAGCTGGGAGGGAGGAAAGGAACAAGAGCACTAATTGAGTTTGGAAAAGAGTAAGAATACATTTTCTTCTTGGACAACTAGGAAGTAGGAAAGGAGGTACACGTGACTTTTGAATGGTGGAGGATGATTTTAGGAAGATAGCATGGAGATGAGGGCAAAGAGAGACAAAGATTGCATGCTACAGCAGTTGTTATTGAAGGAAAGGAAGATCAAACCAACTAAAAATGTGTAAAAGCTTCTCGAGGCAGTATAAAGGGAACAGTAAAACAAGAAATATAAAACTAAAAGAGATGAACATTGGTGTGGTTGAGCACTTTTCTCCAGCAGCAACAGGTAAACCAAAGGTGAGAGAAAAAAAAAACTAGTAATTGGGTAGATTCAGAGTTATAGATTGCCATGGCCAATGGAGCAGACAAAAGAGCAGTATCCTGGTGAGATGGCAGCAGTGAATGTTTGGCTGTGGCATACAGGAGGAACATGAAAGGAAATAAAGTCATCATGGAGAGAAAGGATGGGCTGAAGGGGGAAGGGTGAGGTTGACAGTTTTTGACACTAAGATGGGATCCAGAGAACAGAGAGGCTGAAGGGACTGAAATGCTGATTCAATGGGAGACTGAAAGAGCTGAAGTCTGGAAGGGGTTTTGAGAATTCAGGATGGCTAGGAAGGCCTATAGGTTGCTGAAGGGGATGTTCAGGAGCACTCTGAGGCAGAGTGAATAAAGAGCCTGATGCCCTAACCCTTGTAGAATGTGGGAAGATGAACCTAAATATCAGGTTACAATGACTGTAAGAGGGGAATAGGCTCCAATTTTTTAAGCCCCTACTATGTACCTGGCATACTGTGGGAGTAATCGGCACATTAACTCATTCAATTCTCATTTATTTGTTGCCCCCACGTGAGAAGTCAGTATTATTCCCATTTTACAGAAGATGAAACTGAAGCTCAGAAAGATTAAGTTATTCTTTTCCCAAGGTCACTCAGCTAGTAAATGACAAAGGTAGAATGATAATGTTCCCCAGGCTGTAAGCTCCATACTGTGTAGTTCAGTCTTGTGTCCTTAGCAGCAAACAATGCCAAGCACATTTTAGGAGCCTAAAAAATTTTTCAAGAAAGAAAGGGAAGAAGGAAGAAAAATAAATCATAAATTATTGACAAAAAAAATGAATAGAGGAAGGAAGGAAGGACTTGACAGCCCACATGCTTTCTTCTATATTCCCTTGCCTTCTCAAAATATATGGTCTAACAGGATGGCAAAATTTAATTACCAGCTGTAAAACATGAAGAAGTCCTCCAATTGCTCCCTTCTTCTTCCCCCACCATTCACATAGATTTTATTTTTAAATCAGAGCCTAAGCTAAATTAAGATTTCTACATCAAGCCTTCCTGGTTATCTTCTATCTGTCCTAAATTGTCATATGGAGCACGTAAATAAAACAATCTGTTCTTCTCTAACATGGACCTTTCCAGAAACTATCACAACTACCAGTTTCATGCCAATCCTCCCTCTGCTTCCACTAAAGTAATGCAAATGCATCTAGATGTCTCTGAGGACAGAAACAATTGATATGAAAGAAAATTCAGCTGGATTTTGCTGGTCAAAAGCTGAAGTGAGAACAAGAAATGTTTTGTGTCTTTGCAGACTCCCAGGGAAGTGCTTTCTCACCACAGTCGCTGGAAGGGAGAACATTTTCACAAGTCTCTATTTTTGCTAAATATTTTTAAGAGTGTAATGTTATAATAAGAGAAAACTTAGCACTTGTGTACAGGCTCTTGGAATATTTTCAAGGACCCTCGTCAACCAAACCTAGCCTCATGACACTCACTGCTGCAAAGTGTTGTTAAGCCTGTGACTGGCAGGGAGCTGGCGTGAGACCCTCTAAGTAGGTTGGAGGCAGGCAGACAATAGTCTCAAGTTCATGAGAACAGAGATCAGACCTCCAAGGGGAAGGAGGAAGTACAAAGTGAAACTCTTTGGCAATCTTCATCTAGCAAATCAGGCAGTTTTCGGAGGTCTTCTGTAGAGTACTATGTTGATGGCATGTGTAGGCTGTTCTGGGAATTCAGAGGTGAGAAGTTGAAGGACAGTGGGGACACACTGCCCCTCCATCCAGCACAGCTCCACTCTTACTTGTTTTATAAACTAGATATCCAAATAAGGTTTCTTTTAAGCAAAGATCATGCTAATTAAACAAAACAAACAAACAAAAAAAACACAGATAAGCTCCAACGTTCTTTCTAGTTCTAAAAATATGCTATGATCATAATTCTATGAAGCAGCTACCCTAAAGGTGGAACGCTGATATTTGCCATGGTTTAAGGAGATCCATAAAGATCTGTTTGTTCAAAAATCTATCCTGTAAAATTCTAGATGGAGGATTGAAGAAGGGAAGGTGGCTAGGAGAGACCCAGAGTGCTCTTGGGATGAAGGGGGTCTGTCAAGTGATCCTGAGGGAACTCAAGGAGTCAAAGGGCAGTGTGGGGGGCCCTGAGGGCCTGTAAAGGAGAAGGGCCTTGAACAAGACTATGGAGTGCTTAGGAAAATTCCACACTGCAACTAAAACTGGCCCTAAACCCAGAGTAGGCAAAAAGCTAGGATTCTTTCTGGTATCAAGGGAAACATAATTAAGGAAACACAGGTGATAATCCTTCCTAGAATTGACAGAGCTATTCCTCAAGGTCTGAATACTGGGTTTGTGTCAAACTAACAAGCTTGGCTAATGAGAGGGAATTAGCATCTATAATAAGACAAGGTGAAATAAATGTTTAAGAACTTTGGAAATGGATGGGAAGTAGAAGGATAAATGAAAATAGATCCTTGTCTATTCTAAGCCTGAGGAAGAGATAAGACAGTGATACTCAAATCCATGGTCAATAAAGAAAAGGTGATGTTCTACACATATTTGTAATATTTTATGTAGCTAGGATTCATTTTTAGTTTATGGCTAATAACACCTAAGGACAGTTGCTATTAGTAGAAAAGTATAAATGGGAGGCAATCTATACATTCACTAGGCTATTTCTTTTGACTCTTGAAAATCTTCATCCTCCCACAGCAGCCTGCATGTAGTAAGTGTTCAACAGATGTATGTTGAATGAACAAATAATGAAAGATTTTTGTGAGTATCAAGCCATGGGATAGAGTCTCTTGGCGGTGGGTGGTGGGGGAAGGTGGATCCTTGGGAGCTCTCATCTCAGTGTTAGTGGAAGATCTTCAACACTATTACAGATTTTAAGACTCTAATGATACCTGTGTGGAAAGGTGCCATAAGGAATCTCTGCAAATTAAAAAATATGCTAAACCTCTTACAGTATATATAGAAACAGCAGTCTGCTGTCAGGGACTAGTTTGGGGAGTAATAATGTTAAAGTTTTCCAAGCATTAATTACAAAAAATAAAGTGAATTCAGTATGATAGCAATGCAGTGCAGTCGAGTGCATTTAATATAATTCTAGGAAAACACAAACAGTGCAATGTAAATAAAGATTTTTCTGGAAAGTAGGACTGGTGCGAAAGCTGGTGTAAGTTTCACACCAGCTGTGTGACTGGTGTGAGTTTCTATATATAAAAGTAAAGAAAGCATCTTTTAACATTGTTTCTTGTCAACAGATCTTCCTAGTTGAAATCGTGTGAACCTACATTAATAGTCAGGAACAAACTGCTCTTTTCCATCTAAATGTCCTAAATTCATTCTACATGTCACAATTTCGTAACATGGGATGTTTTTAAAAACACATAATATTAATTAGAATCATGATTGTATTTCTATTCCCAAATCTGATCACTTGTTTTTTAAATAAAAATCTCCTTGATGACTACTATTCAGCCAATGGTTCAATTTCTAGAAAGGATTCCCTACTTTGTGTTCAACTTTTTTACTATATGGTAACTCATTATTAATAACAAACCTTAATCATGACAAATACCCCTGGAAATTAGTAACAAATTCTCAGTTCATGAGGGCATGCATATTCCAGAATAAATGATGGGGTGATTATAAAATCAAAATCCAGGCCGGGCACAGTGGCTCACGTCTGTAATCCCAGCACTTTGGGAGGCTAAGCCGGGTGGATTACCTGAGGTCAGGAGTTCCAGACTAGCCTGGCCAACATGGGGAAACCCCAGCTCTACTAAAAATACAAAACTTAGCCCCAGGCGTGGTGCCAGGCACCTGTAATCCCAGCTACTCAGGAGGCTAAGGCAGGAGAATCGCTTGAACTCAGGAGGCAGAGGTTGCAGTGAGCCGAGATCGTGCCATTGCACTCCAGCCTGGGTGACAGCAAGACTCTGTCTAAAAAAAAAAAAAAAAAAATCAAAATCCAGTCTTCTAGACATCCACTCTATTTTCACCCTTGCCGTCTTTAATTCCATTATTAGCACTACAGCCTATTTAAAAAAAAATGAGAACGTTTCACTTCTTTACTCAAAACTGCACAATACCTAAAATGCCAAATCTTTATAGAGTCTCTTAGATCCTGTCTGGCCTCATCTTCTATGACTCTACCCCATGTGTACTGCATAGCATAGCTGGAGTAGAGTACATATTTTCTAGTCAGGATCTTTGCAAGTGCTATTAACTGTGCATGGAACATTCTTCTTCCATATATCCCCATGGTTTGCTCTCCGACTCCTCAACAATTTCACTCAAATATTTCACCTCTTAGGTAAGGGATTTCCTGCCACTCTATCTAACACTATAGTATTACTCCCCATTATGGACATTACCTCTCCCCTTTCTCTGTTTTATTTTTTCTCCTTAGCACTTATCACCATCTTACATAATATATATTTTATTTCAGTATCTTTGTCAGTCCTCCCAACTAGAAAATAAGCTATATGAGGGCAGGGTGTTTCTATTTTGTTCTCTGCAGTAAAAGAGTGCCTGGTTCCTAAACAGGTACAAATATTTGTTGAATGAATTGAATGAAGCCAAATAGCACCAACTGCCTGAACCAAAAATAAATAGGAAAAAGTGAAAAAATATGTAACAAATTCATTAAGCTTTACTACTTTGTACCAACTACTTTTTAAAAAAAATTATACTTTAAGTTTTAGGGTACATGTGCACAACATGCTGGTTAGTTACATATGTATACATGTGCCACGTTGGTGTGCTGCACCCATTAACTTGTCATTTAACATTAGGTATATCTCCTAACGCTATCCCTCCCCCCTCCCCCCACCCCACAACAGGCCCTGGTGTGTGATGTTCCCCTTACTGTGTCCATGTGTTCTCATTGTTCAATTCCCACCTATGAGTGAGAACATGCGGTGTTTGTTTTTCGTCCTTGGGATAGTTTGCTGAGAATGATGGTTTCCAGCTTCATCCATGTCCCTACAAAGGACATGAACTCACCATTTTTTACGGCTGCATAGTATTCCATGGTGTATATGTGCCACATTTTCTTAATCCAGTCTATCATTGTTGGACATTTGGGTTGGTTCCAAGTCTTTGCTATTGTGAATAGTGCCGCTATAAACATACGTGTGCATGTGTCTTTATAGCAGCATGATTTATAATCCTTTGGGTATATACCCAGTAATGGGATTGCTGGGTCAAATGGTATTTCTAGTTCTAGATCCCTGAGGAATTGCCACACTGACTTCCACAATGGTTGAACTAGTTTACAGTCCCACCAACAGTGTAAAAGTGTTCCTATTTCTCCACATCCTCTCCAGCACCTGTTGTTTCCTGACTTTTTAATGATCACCATTCTAACTGGTGTGAGATGGTATCTCATTGTGGTTTTGATTTGCATTTCTCTGATGGCCAGTGATGACAAGCATTTTTTCATGTGTTTTTTGGCTGCATAAATGTCTTCTTTTGAGAAGTGTCTGTTCATATCCTTCGCCCACTTTTTGATGGGGTTGTTTGGTATTTTTTCTTGTAAATTTGTTTGAGTTCATTGTAGATTCTGGATATTAGCCCTTTGTCAGAAGAGTAGATTGCAAAAATTTTCTCCCATTCTGTAGGTTGCCTGCTCATTCTGACGGTAGTTTCTTTTGCTGTGCAGAAGCTCTTTAGTTTAATTAGATCCCATTTGTCAATTTTGGCTTTGGTTGCCATTGCTTTTGGTGTTTTAGACATGAAGTCCTTGCCCATGCCTTTTTTTTTTTTTTTTTAAACAGGGTCTCTCTCTGTTACCCAGGTAAGAGTGCACTGACATGATCATAGCTCACTGTAGCCTTGAATTGCTGGGCTCAAGCAATCTTCTCACCTCAGCCTCCCGAGAAGCTAGGGCTACAGGAACATGCCACTGTGCCTTAGTAATGTTTTAGTTTTGTAGAGACGAGTTCTCACTATGTTGCCCAGGCTAGTCTCAAACTCCTGGCCTCAAGTGGTCCTCCTGCCTTGGCCTCCCAAAGTGCTAGGAATGCAAGCATGAGCCACCACACCTGGCCAACCAATTGCTTTTGATAAAATTAAAACACTTATATAAATCACATCCTCTGATTCGTGGATTTTTTCATTTATCCAAAGGTTTCTATCTTCTATCCCACAAAACCTCCCAAAGATGATGTAGTAAATAGCAAAAGCAGTGCTTTGCTTTTCATCCACTGTGTCTATTCCTCAACACCAACTTAAAGGTACAGTAAGAGAGATTAGGAGTAAGAGCAAAAAATACAGATAATGTCAAATTGGGCAAACAATCTCAGAAAAAAAGACATTTTGTCTTATCAATGGAAATTATCAAGTGTGGGCACAACACGAATTTTCTTTAAAGAGACAACCTATCTGGTTTCAGCTGCTGAAGCTACTGAATTACAATGGATATACATATATATAGATACATAAGTATGTACACAGATACACGTATATATACACACTCAAGGACTAGAAGATAATTCTCATTACACAAGGAGGCAGTGTTGTGCAGAAAAACCAAAGATTCTACTTCCTTAGCTAAGTCACAGACATGAATCATCACCATCAACCCAAAACCACTAAAGAAAAAAAACAGCATAATTTTCCGTATGACTATTGGTACAACTTCTCCAAAATTATCTTCTCAATGAAAGTTGATGTTGCAAGAAACCCAACACAGATGCATTTATAAAACCCCACTGGAAGGTATTCTGTGTGAATATGCACTAAGAATGCAATCTTGCTTCAGGTCAAGATTTTGCCTTCTGTAGGAACTTCCATAAGATTTTCTTTGCAAAAGCTTTTAAGAAGGTAACTTTAAATGTAAAAAAAGTGATGGTTTCTTATCACCATTTAAATTCTACAACTTTTGGGTGGCTGGCAAGATGGCCGAATAGTAACAGCTCCTGTCTGCAGCTCCCAGCAAGATCAATGCAGAAGGTGGGTGATTTCTGCATTTCCAACTGAAGTACCTGGCTCATCTCATTGGGACTGGTTAGACAGCGGATGTAGCCCATGGAGGGCGTGCCAAGGCAGGGTGGGGCATTACCTCACCCAGGAAGCATAAAGGTTGGGGGAACTCCCTCCCCTAGCCAAGGGAAGCCATGAGGGACTGTGCCATGAGGGATGGTGCACTCCAGCCCAGTTAGTATTATTTTCCCATGGTCTTCACAACCCACAGACCAGGAGATCCCCTTGGGGCCTATGCCACCAGGGCCCTGGGTTTCAAGCACAAAACTGGGCGGCTGTTTGGGCAGACACCAAGCTAGCTGCAGGAGTAGTTTTTCATACCCCAGTGGTGCCTGGAACGCCAGCAAGACAGAACCGTTCGCTCCCCTGGAAAGGGGGCTGAGGCCAGGGAGCCAACTGGTCTAGCTCAGCAGATCCCACCCCCATGGAGCCCAGCAAGCTAAGATCCACTAGCTTGAAATTCTCACTGCCAGCACAGCAGTCTGAAGTCAATCTGGGATGCTTGAGCTTGGCAGGCAGAGAAGCATCTGCCATTACTGAGGCTTGAGTAGGCAGTTTTCCCCTCACAGTGTAAACAAAGCCACCAGGAAGTTTGAACTGGGTGGAGCCCACTGCAGCTGGGCAAAGCCACTATAGTCATACTGTCTCTCTAGATTCCTCCTCTCTGGGCAGGGCATCTCTGAAAGAAAGGCAGCAGCCCCAGTCAGGGTCTTATAGATAAAACTCCCATCTCCCTGGGACAGAGCACCTGGGGGAAGGGGCAGCTGTGGGTGCAGCTTCAGCAGACTTAAACCTTCCTGCCTGCTGGTTCTGAAGACAGAAGCAGATCTCCCAGCACAGTGCTTGCGCTCTGCTAAGGGACATACTGCCTCCTCAAGTGGGTCCCTGGCCCCTGTGCCTCCTGACAGGGAGACACCTCCCAGCATTGGGTTGACAGACACCTCATACAGGAGAGCTCTGGCTGGCATCTGGCAGGTGCCCCTCTGGGACGAAGCTTCTAGAGGAAGGAACAGGCAGCAATCTTTGCTGTTCTGCAGCCTCCACTGGTGATACTCAGGCACACAGGGTCTGGAGTGGACCTCCAGCAAACTCTAGCAGACCTGCAGCAGAGGGGCCTGACTGTTAGAAGGAAAACTAACAAACAGAAAGGAATAGCATCAACATCAACAAAAAGGACGTCCACACATAAACCCCATCCAAAGGTCGCCAATATCAAAGACCAAAGGTAGATAAATCCATAAATATGAGGAAAAACCAGTACAAAAAGGCTGAAAATTCCAAAAACCAGAACACCTCTTCTCCAAAGGATCACAACTCCTCATCAGCAAGGGAACAAACCTGGACAGAGAGTGAGTTTGACGAATTCACAGAAGTAGGCTTCAGAAGGTGGGTAATAACAAACTCCTCCGAGCTAAAGGAGCATGTTCTAACCCAATGCAAGGAAGTTAAGACCCTTGAAAAAAGGTTAGAGGAATTGCTAACTAGAATAACCAGTTTAGAGAAGAACATAAATGACCTGATGGAGCTGAAAAACACAGCACGAGAACTTAGTGAAGCATACACAAGTATCAACAGCTGAATCAATCAAGCAGAAGAAAGGATATCAGAGATTGAAGATCAACTTAATGAAATAAAGCGTGAAGACAAGATTAGAGAAGAAAGAATGAAAAGGAATGAAAAAAGCCTCCAAGAAATATAGGACTATGTGAAAAGACCAAATCTACATTTGATTGGTGTACCTGAAAGTGATGAGGAGAATGGAACCAAGTTGGAAAACACTCTTCAGGATATTATCCAGGAGAACTTCCCCAACCTAGAAAGACAGGCCAACATTCAAATTCAGGAAATACAGAGAACATCACAAATATACTCCTCGAGAAGCGCAACCCCAATACACATAATCATCAGATTCACCAAGGTTGAAATGAAGGAAAAAATGTTAAGGGCAGCCAGAGAGAGAGGTCGGGTTACCCACAAAGGGAAGCCCATCAGACTAACAGCGGGTCTCTGCAGAAACCCTACAAGCCAGAAGAGAGTGGGGGCCGATATTCAACATTCTTAAAGAAAAGAATTTTCAACCCAGAATTCATATCCAGCCAAACTAAGCTTCATAAGTGAAGAAGAAATAAAATCCTTTACAGACAAGCAAATGCTGAGAGAGTTTGTCACCACCAGGCCTGCCTTACAAGAGCTCCTGAAGGAAGCACTAAACATGGAAAGGAAAAACCAGTACCAGCCACTGCAAAAACATACCAAATTGTAAAGACCATCAACACTATGAAGAAACCGCATCAACTAACAGGCAAGATAACGAGCTAGCATCATAATGACAGGATCAAATTCACACATAACAATATTAACCTTAAATATAAATGTCCCAATTAAAAGACACAGACTGGCAAATGGGATAAAGAGTCAAGACCCATTGGCGTGCTGTATTCAGGAGATCCATCTCATGTGCAAAGACACACATAGGCTCAAAATAAAGGGATGGAGAAACATTAACCAAGCAAATGGAAAGCAAAAAAAAGCAGGGGTTGCAATCCTACTCTCTGATAAAAAAGATTTTAAACCAACAAAGATCAAAAAAGATAAAGAAGGGCACTGCATAATGGTAAAGGGATCAACACAACAAGAAGAGCTAGGTATTCTAAATATATAAATGTATATAGATACCCAATACAGGAGCACCCAGATTCATAAAGCAAGTTCTTAGAGGCCTACAAACAGACTTAGACTCCCACACAATAATAGTGGGAGACTGTTAACACCCCATTGTCAATATTAGACAGATCAACAGGACAGAAAATTAACAAAGGTATTCAGGACCTGAACTCAGCTCTGAACTAAGTGGACCTAATAGACATCTACAGAACTCTACACCCCAAAGCAACAGTATATACATTCTTCTCAGCACCACATCACACATATTCTAAAATTGACCATATAATTGGAAGTAAAACACTCCTCAGCAAATGCAAAAGAATGGAAATCATAACAATTTCTAAGAACACAGTGCAATAAAATTAGCACTCAGCATTCAGAAACTCACTCAAAACTGCACAACTACATGGAAACTGAACAACCTGCTCCTGAATGACTACTGGGTAAATAACAAAATTAAGGCAGAAATAAATAAGCTCTTTGAAACCAATGAGAACAAAGACACAACATACCAGAATCTCTGGGACACAGCTAAAGCAGTGTTTAGAGGGAAATTTATAGCACTAAATGCCCACAAGAGAAAGCAGGAAAGATCTAAAATCGACATCCTAACATCACAATTAAAAGAACTAGAGAAGCAAGAGCAAACAAATGCAAAAGCTAGCAGAAGACAAGAAATAACTAAGATCAGAGCAGAACTGAAGGAGATAGAGACACGAAAACCCCTTCAAAGAAACAATGAATCCAGGAGCTGGTTTTTTGAAAAGATGAACAAAATAGATAGACCACTAGCCAGACTAATAAAGAAGAAAAGAGAGAAGAATCAAATAGACATAATAAAAAATGATAAAGGGGAAATCACCACTGATCCCACAGAAATACAAAATACCCTTAGAGAATAAACACCACTATGCAAATAAACTAGAAAATCTAGAAGAAACTGATAAATTCCTGGACACATACACCCTCCCAAGACTAAACCAGGAAGAAGTCGAATCCCTGAATAGACCAATAACAAGTTCTGAAATTAAGGCAGTAATTAATAGCCTACTAACCAAAAAAAGCCCAGGACCAGATGGATTCACAGCTGAATTCTACTAGAGGTAAAAAGAGGAGCTGATACCATTCCTTCTGAAACTATTCCAAACAATAGAAAAAGAGGGAATCCTCTCTAACTCATTTTATGAGGCTAGCATCATCCTGATACCAAAACCTGGCAGAGACACAACACAAAAAGAAAATTTCAGGCCAATATCCCTGATGAATATCGATGCTAAAATCCTCAATAAAATACTGGCAAACTGAATCCAACAGCACATCAAAAAGCTTATTTGCCATGATCAAGTTGGCTTCATCCCTGGGATGCAAGACTGATTCAACATACACAAATCAATAAACATAATCCATCACACAAACACAACCAATGACAAAAACCACATGATTATCTCAATAGATGCAGAAAAGGCCTTTGATAAAATTCAACACCTCTTCATGTTACAATCTCTCAATAAACTAGATATTGATGGAACATATCTCAAAATAATAAGAGCTATTTATGACAAACCCACAGCCAATATCGTACTGAATGAGCAAAAGCTGGAAGCATTCCCTTTGAAAACCGGCACAAGACAAGGATGTCCTCTCTCACCACTCCTACTAGACATAGTATTCGAAGTTCTGGCCAGAGCAATCACGTAAGAGAAAGAAATAAAGGGTATTCAAATAGGAAGAGATAAAGTCAAATTGTCTCTGTTTGCAGATGACATTACTGTATATTTAGAAAACCCCATCATCTCAGCCCAAAATCTCCTTAAGCTGATAAGCAACTTCAGCAAAGTCTCAGGATACAAAATCAATGTGCAAAAATCACAAGCATTCCTATACACAAATAATAGACAAACAGAGAGCCAAATCATGAGTGAACTCCCATTCACAATTGCTACAAAGATAACAAAATACCTAGGAATACAACTTACAAGGGATGCAAGGACCTTTTTAAGGAGAACTACAAACTACTGCTCAAAGAAATAAGAGAGAACACAGACAAATGGAAAAACATTCCATGCTCATGGATAGGAAGAAGCAATAATGTGAAAATGGCCATACTGCCCAAAGTAATTTATAGATTCAGTGCTATCCTCATCAAGCTACCATTAACTTTCTTCACAGAATTAGAAAAAAAAACTACTTTAAATTTCATATGGAGCCAAAAGAGAGCCCGTATAGCCAAGACAATCCTAAGCGAAAAGAACAAAGCTGGAGGCATCACACTACCTGACTTCAAACTCTACTAATTGTCTACAGTAACCAGAACAGCATGGTACTGGTACCAAAACAGATATATAGACCAATGGAACAGAAGAGAGGCCTCAGATATAATACCACACATCTACAACCATCTGATCTTTGACAAACCTGACAAAAACAAGCAACGGGGAAAGGATTCCCTATTTAATAAATGGTGTTGGGAAAACTGGCTAGCCATATTCAAAAAACTGAAACTAGACCCCTTCCTTACACCTTAAAGAAAAATTAACTCAAGATGGATTAAAGACTTAAATGTAAGATCTAAAACCATAAAAACCCTAGAAGAAAACCTAGCCAATACCATTCAGGACATAGGCATGGGCAAAGACTTCATGGCTAAAACACCAAAAGCAATGGCAACAAAAGTCAAAATTGACAAATGGAATCTAATTAAACCAAAGAGCTTCTGCACAGCAAAAGAAACAATCATCAGAGTAAACAGGCAACCTACAGAATGGGAGAAAATTTTTGCAATCTATCCATCTGACAAAGGGCTAATATCCAGAATCTACAAAGAACTTAAACAAATTTACAAGAAAAAAAAATAACACCATCAAAAAGTGGGCAAAGAGTATCAACAGACACTTCTCAAAAGAAGACATTTATGCAGCCAACAAACATATGAAAAAAGCTCATCATCACTGGTCATTAGAGAAATGCAAATCAAAGCCACAATGAGATACCATCTCACGTCAGTTAGAATGGCAGTCATTAAAAAGACTATAGCAAAAAAAAAAAAAAAAAAGTCAGGAAACAACAGATGCTGGAGAGGATGTGGAGAAATAGGAACACTTTTACGCTGTTGGTGGGAGTGTAAATTAGCTCAACCATTGTGGAAGACAGTGTGGCAATTCCTCAAGGATCTAGAACCAGAAATACTATTTGACCCAGCAATCCCATTACTGGGTATATACCCAAAGGATTATAAATTACTATAAAGACACATGTTTATTGCAGTACTGTTCACAATAGCAAAGACTTGGAACCAACCCAAATGCCCACCAATGATATACTGGATAAAGAAAATGTGGCACATATATACCATGGAATATTACGCAGCCATAAACAAGGATGAGTTCGTGTCCTTTGCAAGGACATGGATGAAGCTGGAAACCATCATTCTCAGCAAACTAACACAGGAATGGAAAACCAAATACTGCATGTTCTCACTCATAAGTCGGAGTTGAACAATGAGAACACATGGACACATGGAGGGGAACATCACACACCAGGGCCTGTCAGGGGCTGGGGGGCTAGGGGAGGGATAGCATTAGGAGAAATACCTAATGTAGATGACGGGTTGATGGGTGCAGCGCACCACCATGGCATGTGTATACCTTTGTAACTAACCTGCACATTGTGCACATGTATCCCAGAACTTCAAAGTATAATTTAAAAAAAAACACATTTACCATATGACCTAGCAGTTTCACTCCTACCTGTCTACCACAAAGAAATAAAAATGTATGTCTACAAAAATAAATCTACAACTTTTGAAATGTTAAACTTGTTTCAGCAGTAATTCAAGTCTTTACTTCATTTAAATGGAATCTGCAGGTGTCCAGGGCTTTGCCCACTGTGAGTACCCAGTATCTTCCTTCTGGAATTCTATCAATATCTGATTAACTCACCCTTAGACATAAAGGTATTGACAACGTGTGCCAGGGAGATTAGAGTTACAACTCAACAAACTCAGAAATCAGCTGGAGTAATGAGTTGTGCTTGCAAAATTAACTCTGAATTATTACTACTAGGTATATTTTCTGCATAGAACATTAATAACAAGCTGGCTTTCTTCTGCTATTAGCTTTCTCCCAAACCCACTTACTCTCTTCTCAGATGGTGGGTGCTCCCCAAAGTAAAGTCATTTTAAATGCCATCTGCCTAAAACAGATCAAAATTAGAAGGGAAAATTTGCTACAGGACAATAATGCAATGCATCCCAAGTCCAAACAAGCTACTGGTTCAAAGTTTTGAATAATTAGCACCACAGTCCTACTATTTATGACACCAAAAACTGATTGCTAATAGAATTATATCTTTTTTGAAGATAGATGATATTTCTCTTGGTGTACTCCTAAAGCCTAATCCAGGAGGCTGGGTGACCCAATGAGTTGCATTTTCACAAATTAGTTTCTGGAGAACAGGAGTGTGTGCAGAGCTCTCCCTAGACTCTTATAAGTATATCCAAAGATCCCTCTTCCAACTGTTACACATCATTTCTTTTTCAATTCTCCCCTCTATATCAAATCAATGTTGACATATATTTGAATTTGATGAAAAGTAGATTGCAGGAAACTTTTCAGATATCAGGGTAACCCGAGCATGCTTTGTTATTAAAAGCAGAATCTTTTTAATTGAAAACTCAAGATACTTCAAAGTTCATTGAAGTTAGATATAATTTTTTTCTATTATACACAAATAAGATAGCTTTAACCATATGCTCTTGCCTAATGTTGGGGTTCAAAAAAAATACCCCAAAGTGAAGGCCTAAGAAGCAGCCTCAGAGCAAAGTCTCTCTCTGACCTTCTCCTGCCCTCCTGTCTCTCACCCCTCATCCTCCCCCTAGTCAAGCCTAGTCTAGAAACTAGAATCCAGGGCTGGGTGCAGTGGCCCATGCGTGTAATCCCAGCACTTTGGGAGGCCGAGGCAGGCGGATCTCTTGAGGTCAGGAGTTTGAGACCAGCCTGGCCAACATGGTGAAACCCCATCTCTACTAAAAATACAAAAGTTAGCCAGGCATGGTGGCGGGAGCTTGTAATCCCAGCTATGTGGGAAGCTGAGGAGTAGAACTGCTTGAACCCAGGAGGCAGAGGGTGCAGTGAACCCAGATGGTGCCACTGCAATCCAGCCTGAGCGACAGAGCAAGACTCCATCTCAAAAAAAAAAAAAAAAAAACTAGAACACTTATATGTTAGGCACTGTACTAAGTATTTTACATATGTTCTTTAATTCTCACAATTCTTTGAGATCAACACAATTATTATTTCCATTTGAAAGATAAAGTAATTAAGGAACAAAGAGATTAAGCAATGACACCAGGTAGTAAGTGGCAGAGCTAGGACTCAAACCCAGTTCTACCTGATTCCAAACTCACATTCTTAACTACTCACAAGATATGACTTTAAGTGACATATGTGAACAATAATAGGAATGAAGAAGTAAAACCAATGCAGGACACATTGTGAAGGAGGAATCCATGAAGTTTAGCAACTGTTTCAGTGTATCAGAGAAAGGGGAGGAGTCAGAGATTACTAAGGTTTGAGGGGTGAGTAACTTGAAGAAGTGACACTGTTCAAAGAAACAGGGAGGTCAGAAAGAGCCCAGCCTCGGAGAGGAAGATGAATTCATACTTAGACAACACTCATTTCTAAGCAGGGAAATAGTGTATGGAGAAGAGAGCTACCAATTTCATGTTAGTTTATGCCACTCGGCCACCCAGATTCTCCAAACCCCATGTAGAGACTGGACTAGAACTCCTGGTTCTTGTCTTCCTGAACAGATTTTTCTAACCTCTTCTACTATTTGAACAATCAGCCCAATTTTAAAAGTTAAGTCAGAAGGAAAAATTAAAGAGAGTGATTAAAAAAGGGGTGGCCTTTTTTCTCCAGGAGTTTCTGGTCTGTGTTTAATTCTAAAGCAACCAACACGTGTCTCTGCACAACAGCCAGCAGCATTTTGGCACAAGATATTCATGGATTGTCATAATAGGCAATGCTAACCAACTTAGCAGAAATAAGAATTTAACACCTTTATGAAAACTACTGCTTCCTCTACACCCACCGTGATCACCAAAGTTTTTTCTGAGAAAAAAAACTCATGATTTGTGATTAGAACGTCAGGTTTCTGCCATTAATTAGTTGTGTGACCTAAGCAAGTAACTTGATTTTTCTGTACTCATGTAATTCCCTCCTCTATTAACTTGAGTGGGTTGACTATATTCAATTTAACTCAGATTTAACTAACATTTACTCAGCCAATGCTAGGATTCTTTCCAACACTTTATATTCCATTATTCAAAATGGTAGAAAGAAGGGGCAAAAGGTCTTGAGCCTAAATAGATGAGAGCTGAAAGCAGTGCTATAGTTCATTTCATGCAATTCTCTTAGTTTATAAACCAAGAAAGTGAGGCCCAGAATCTTGACTCACTGTGGATAAAAAGCTAGTTAGCAACCAAGTCCAATCTAGAACTGAGCCCTGATTTGCCTTCTTGGGCTTTTCCCGCTACACCACAGTGTCCTTTCTACCCAGCTAGTTTAGGAATGTTTGTCTTAGATCAACTCAGAATGAGTTACAAAAGGAAAAAACACAAAGCCTGGCTGATCTGAGAGAGATTTATGTGTTGGATTTAAGTTCTTATAAAATAAAATCCCGTAACACTTCAACTGCAACATAAAGTATTAGGCTATGTTACATGCTCTTTATAGCACAGTATAATGGCTAAAGCCTAAGGCAGAACTTCTGTTCTTACTGCCATAGACACAGCCTAACTTCCAAAAGGTTATTCTGAAGTTGTGAATCCTGAGACAACAAAAAAGAGGTGATGGTGCCCCCCCAACCTGGGTAGCTCACTTGGCCAAGTCTGCATTTGGTGCCCACTTTGACTTTGCCACTGGAGGATCAAAGGAGGAAAAAGATGCTCAGAACTAGGTAGAGAGGAAAGAAGGGGGGTGAGAGAGGGTGCCAGCCAAGCCCTTCAGCAGCATTGCAGATCTCCATCTCTAATTCCCCATCTCTTTACTTCTGGTTCTAAGAAACATACAGAAATAGAGGAACAGCCAACACAAAATTCAAAAACAGAAACTATAGTGAGAGTTGGCATGGCACTGCCGTAGGAGCTTCTGCCATAGGCAGAAGTACACACTGCCTACCCCAAGAGCTGGCTCTGCTCACAACTTCCTTGCTGAGCTGTGACGTTTAATAAGACCCCCTGGTCAATGCCTTAGGTTCCTTAGACACCGGCATTAAATGAACACAGAAAGACTAATAAATAGAACTAATTCATTGTTTTTATAAATAAGAGTCTTTTTACCTTCTAAATAGGAGTAAAAATGAAAAAGATAAATTTAACCACATTCGGCCAGGCACGGTGGCTCATGCCTGTAATTCCAGCACTTTGGGAGGCCAAGGCGGGCAAATCACCTGAGGTTGGGAGTTCAAGACCAGCCTGACCAACATGGAGAAACTCCATGTCTACTAAAATACAAAAGTAGCCGGGCATGGTGGCACATGCCTGTAATCCCAGCTACTCGGGATGCTAAGGCAAAAGAATTGCTTGAACCCGGGAGGCGGAGGTTGTGGTGAGTGGAGATCGCGCCATTGCACTCCAGCCTGGGCAACAAGAGCAAAACTCTGTCTCCAAAAACAACAACAATGACAACAACAACAAAAATTTAACCACATTCTTCCTTTGAGGTAAAACCATCTGGACCATCAAATAACTGCCCACTCTGAACACAAAGGAGCATATCTCCTCTGACACTTGCATGTCAAGTCTTTCTAGGGCCCTTTTCTAATTGATAGGCTTTATTATATTCACAATCCTACATCTGATGTACATAATACACCTCTTATTCTAAAATGAATATTTTTAAATCACAGTAGTGTTCATTCATTTATTTATATATCAGCAAATATTTATTGAGTATCACTTACATGCCAGGCACTGTTCTAAGTGCTAGGAATAGAGCAGTGAACAAAATAAACAAAAATCCTGTGCTCATGGAGCTCACTTTCTAGTTCAAATCTCTCCCTCTTTATTTTCAAAGTGCTCAATTTCATAAATGCTTGTTAGCCCAGGCGCCGTGGCTCACGCCTGTAATCCCAGCACTTTGAGAGGCCGAGGCGGGCAGACCACCTGAGGTTGGGAGTTCGAGACCAGCCTGACCAACATGGAGAAATCCTGTCTCTACTAAAAATAAAAAATTAGCTGGGCTTGGTGGCATGCGCCTTTAATCCCAGCTACTTGGGAGGCTGAGGCAGGAGAATCGCTTGAACCTGGGAGGTAGAGGTTGCGGTGAGCTGAGATCGCTCCACTGTACTCCAGCCTGGGTAACAAGAGCAAAACTCCATCTCAAAAATAAATAAATAAATAAATAAATGCTTGTTGAATGAATAATAAATAACATTTGGGATAATCTGTGAGAATCAGACAAATTATACAGATTGTCTGTGAGCCATATAAAATCTAAGACAAAATGTATGAATTTAATTAATCCTTGAATTTTTACCTCCATTTCCTGTCAAGTCTCTTTTTCATTTTTGCCAGCCTGCTGTAAAATAAAATAAATTCCTAGGAAGTATTTCTTCCAAGGCACAGAGTATAAAATATCAACAAGGCCGGTCACAGTGGCTCACGCCTGTAATCCCAGCACTTTGGGAGGCCAAGGCGGGCAGATCACAAGGTCAGGAGTTTCAGACCAGCCTGGCTAACATGGTGAAATCCTGTCTCTACTAAAGATACAAAAATTAGCTGGGCGTGGTGGTGGGCACCTGTAATCCCAGCTACTCAGGAGGCTGAGGCAGGAGAATTGTTTGAACCCGGGAAGCGGAGGTTGCAGTGAGCCAAGATCACACCATTGCACTCCAGCCTGGGTGACAGGGCGAGACTCTGTCAAAAAAAAAAAAAAAAAAAAAAAAAAAGGCCAACAAAAGAGAAAAAGGCATTTATAAACAGAAAAAAGAGAGACAGCCTGGTAGTGATCACCTTCATTCAGTGAAGTCCTACATTTAGAGACCTTGTCCTCTATGCCAAGCATCAAATTTTTAAAGACCCAATAAAGTAGCATTTCAAAAACCAACACTAAACGAATTAATAACCTGGCTGAACACTTACTTCAAGGAGGTTCAGAGCTGACCCTCTAGAGCATGGCCTTGGGGTTCCATGTTGGTTTACGTTCATCTGGACCCGGTGTAGTACTGCTGACTTCCAGTCAGTTGCAACTTCATTTTCATAGTGTCCTGGGTGGTGCAGCCTGAGGAGGGGTGGGTCAGGCAAATAGGTGTTTCATAATGCAGTCAGGTACAGAGCAAATCCTTTGCCTCTGGGAAGTAAAGTTAAAAGGATAAGAGATTATGAGAGAAATCCACTATAGCACCAAGGAATGGTAACAAATGTGGAAATGTGGACATCAAAGCCTGGGTAATTAGTAAAGCAAATCTCCAAAGAAAAAAATGGATGAAGTCATCTTTCACATTCCCCTTCTAAGCCGACTGGATGAAAGAATAAAGGGATTTATTATTTTATCAGGAAATCAAAAAAAGAGAGAGAGAGAAAAGAAATATCAGAATGACACAAGCATTTGCTAGCAAAAATAATGCTAAATTCATCTCAAGGTAGCTTCCACTTAGAAGGCAAACCTATAATAAAAGGAATGAAATAGGCTTTCTTTGCCACCACTCAAGCAAACTACCATTTATATTACTACTAGCTACATTCATATCCAAAGAAAACAGATGAAGTCAAACACAAGTTTTCAAATACTACCAAGGATATACAGGTAAAAAGAAATCATAGGCTGGGAGCGGTAGCTTGCACCTGTAATCCCAGAACATTGGGAGGCCAAGGTGAGAGGATCGACTTGAACCCAGGAGTTTGAGACCAGCCTGGGTAACGCTGGGAAACCCAGCCCTTTAAAGAAAAAAAAAATTTAGCCAGGCATGGTGGCATGTGCCTGTAGTCCCATCTACTCAGGAGGAGGCTGAGGCAGAAGGATTGCTTGAGCCCAGGGGTCAAGGCTGCAGTAAGCCATTATCAAACCACTCCACTCCAACCTGGGTGACAGAGTGAGACCTCATCTCACAAAAGAAATCACAGCAAGTAAACTACAAACATGAACAAGAATACAAAGTGGTCCTATAGGGTCCAGAATATAAGTTACCTCCATCATGAGGATAGTGGTAAGAGGTAGGTCCAAATCTCGATTCCCGTCTTTGGTTATCTTCTCAAGCAGTCCCCTGTAAGAGGGATAACTTCACTGCTTAGTAATGACAAAGCAGTTCTCTGTTTATTAGAGGAATCCCAATACTGTAAAAATGAGCAATAGCTCTAAGATGCATATTAAAATAACATTCAAGACCATTGTGACTTTTGTGAAATGGCCTCTAACACAACATGCAGCTGAAACATCATGTATCAGTATGGCTTGGGAAGGGGAAATGGATGGGGGAACGGGGGTGCAGGTGTATGAGGAGAGGAGGCATAAGTGCCCCTTTTTTAGTATTTTATTGTTGTCGTTCACTAATTCTAATTGTTTGCTTTTGAATACTTAAAAATATTTTAAGGGTATTGATTCCACCTTCTCTTTCAAATTTTCAATTATCTCTCCAACTTCCTTTACTGGCTTTCCCTTCCTTTCAGCGCGTTTATTCTCCCTGTTTACCTCAGTCTTCTCTGTACAGCAAAGTTCCAAGTTTCTGTAGCAGAGAAATAAATTAGCTAAGGAGAGGGAAAGAGATGTGATCAGGATTAGAGGAAGAACCATTTTAGCTTCCTTGGTCCCTGATTCTATCAGAACATCTATGTAATCTGGTGAAAATTATTGCAGAATGTGGCAGTCGTGGAGGCTTAGGAAAGAAACTCCACCATTATAAATTCCAGCCAAGAAACATGTGAAAACATTCAGTCATTTATTGCACCCACATACAATCCACCATCTGGATTCACATTACATAAAAGCATGCAGAAAGCTTTGCATGCCAGAAGTCGAAGGTGTGCATGAAAAAGTTGACTAAATAACCCCTAGCCAGTGACTGAAAAGCCAGTGTTGAAGATGGACAGGCTGTGTGATGGGAAGTGTGGCTTCCAATAGCTCTTTCAGATGATTTGGAAAATGCATGACTATTGTTCATCTTCAGATACAAGCATCATCATTGCTGATATTACAGTGACTAAAAGAGCTACTATGTACCCAGGAAAGCAACCCAATATATGAAGTAGTAAATTTATACTCTCCATCTGTGGGTAAAATATAAGACAAAACATAAAAACAAAATGATTATAAAGAATGATAATAAAGATATGTTGAAAGGCACCATTATTTTTATTACTAAGCTACTGAGGTATTGTGAATTGTTAACTTGCTTTATTTTCTTTCCTTGTGCCTTTTCATTTTTGTTCTATCTTCAACCTGAACCTCCCATCCCCCAACATTCAAGCACATAGATAATTATGTGTTTATGGCCTCTGAGTAGCTTTGTGGCAGGATGGGAAGCAGAAGAGGGCTGCAAGTCTTTTTCATTCTTCTTCCAAAGTCTTGGGATAACATGGGTGTTTTTGTGAAGGAGATGTTTCTATACTAAACATAAAAAAGTGTCATGATCAGAAATATAAAATTAAAAGGACTTTCACAAGTAGAGATTCTTCCTGTTTCAGGTTGGTGGCTAAGGGAGAAGAGAAGGAGAGTGAAGAAGGTCTACAGGTTCTGAGAGCAAAGCAAATGTGAGCCCATTTCTTGCCAGCACACAGGTTCAGCACCAAGACCCAGAGAGAGAAAGGCTGCCTGCTTTGTCTATGCTGATAGGAGTACAACAACCTTAGTACAAATTTTCCAGCAATTTTCAGCAGATAAAAGTAAGCTGATCATTCTCCCAGGTGATATATAAATTAAGGTACTTAGCTTAGAAGCAAACTGCACCTGACTTGAGCAGAATTTGTTACCTCAAGCAAACATGGAATTTACTGGAAGATTATGGAGAAGTTCAGGAAATCAAAGGCAATCTGGGAACACCTAGCTTCAGAAAGTGAAATCACTTTGGTAACCTGGATAACCAAAAGTGCAGCACCATCCCCTCGGGGTGCTGATACCAGATGGATCAAATCTATCTGGTATCCTTGAGTCCTATCCTTGAGTCACCGCTCACAAAATTTAAATTTCTGAAGGAGTTGGAGGACCCTTTCTTACATCCCTTTCCCAACCTTCAGCCAAGGAGGGTAAAACAATTTATTTCATAGTTATAGGACACTGTAGGCATTGGGGGTGGGTAAGTCCCCAAAAGAAAATCAGGTGCTATTACAAAAAAAAAAAGAATGGATGCTGGGTAGGCATAAAAACATATGCTCACTGCAAACGGCCACTTTAGAGATATAAAAATCTCATATATTTAATTACTTTTAAATACATTGCTTATGTGTGATAATCAATTGGAAGAAGTTGGAGTTCAATTTGTCTGAACACTAAATTCATTGTGTCATTCCTGCTTCTAACTACTTATTGGCTCACCATTACCTCCAGTAAAGCTCCAAATTCCTTCATATTCTTCTAGTCTCTCCTAGTCAACCCTTTTCAACTTTAATTCTCTTCCTTGCCTGCACCTATATCCCCATAATATTAAGGGATTTGCATTTCCTTGAACACATTATCCTGTATCATATCTATGACTCTTTACACATGCTGTTCTCTCTGTTTCGAATCTCCCTCCCTATTCCTTGTCTTCCTGGAGAACTTACTCAATCCAAACACCTCCTCCTTAGGGAAACTTCCAGGGTACCCTTTTCTCCCTAACACTGTTTCCCCCACCACTTTTTTTCTTCATCTCAGTTTCCCCACTGTATATCTTGCACATGCCTCTATTTTTTATTTTACTGTGTTGTAATTATTTGTTTATATGTTTGTCTCCCCTACAAGTCTGTGAGCTTTTAGGGACAGGTTCTGAAAAAAAGAGTGTTAAGTGAGTGAAAGAACTAATGAACTTTCCAATCAGACACTGTCTTAGACCATTTGGGTTACTATAAAGGAATATCTGAGGCTGGGTAATTTATTTTATTTTATTTACTTATTTTTGAGACAGAGTCTGGCTCTGTTGCCCTGGCTGGAATGCAGTGATCTTGGCTCACTGCAACCTCCACCCCCCAGGTTCAAGCCATCTTCCTGCCTCAGCCTCCTGAGTAGCTGGGACTACAGGCATCCACCACCACACTCAGCTAATTTTTGTATTTTTAGCAGAGACAGGGTTTCACCAGGTTGGCCAGGCTGGTCTCAAACTCCTGACCTCAAGTCATCTGCCCACCTCAGCCTCTCAAAGTGTTGGCATTATAGGCGTGAGCCATTGCACCCGGCCTGGGTAATTTATTTTAAAAAGAAGTTGATTTGCCTCACGGTTCTGCAGGTTGTACAAGAAGCATGGTGATGGTGTCTCTTTCTGGTGAGGGCTTCAGCTTGTTTCCACTCATAGTAGAAGGTGAAGGGGAGCCAGCTGTGCAGAGATCACATGTTGAGAGAAGCAAGAAAGGAAGCAAGAGAGAGGAAAGGGAGAGGCCATGTTCAACAACCAGCTCTCCTGGAAACTAAGGGAGTGAGGACTCATTCATTACCATGAAGATAGCACCAAGCCATTCATAAGGGATCAATCTCAATGACCCAAACACCTCCCAACAGGCCCCACCTCCAACCCTGAGAATCAAACTTCAACCAGAGGTTTGAAGGAGTCAGATAAACCAAGTTATAGCAGATACCAACATTCCCCAAGGGCCCACTTTGCCTGGAATCATACATAGCAGGTGTAATAAGGAAGAATGTTTACTAAAGCAGTAGTTCACTGCCAGGGGTAGGCAGATCGTCAGTGGGGAGGGACACATGGTTTCATTAAAATTTCCAAATATTCACTCTCCTTAATCCCCATGTTCACTTGCAAGCAAAATGTACCATTATGCCTCTGCCTCCCTTATTTGCCCATATTGTTTCTGTAAATTTTTATCTATCTTCATTTCAGATCTATAGTGATAAAACCTATACTCCAAAATATTATATGTTTAATTACTAATGAAATACTTGGTTTTATATAGTGAATCATTTCATAGCATAGCCCCTAAGAATATGGGCTCAGGAACCAGATGGCCTGGGTGTGGATACTGGCTCTGGTTGCATGACTCCACAAGGTATTTAACCTCTCTGTGCCTCAGATACCTAATCTATAAAAATGAGGCCGATAATAGTACCCAACCCATTAGATTGGTGAAAGGATTAAATCAGTAATAGATGGAAAGCACAGAGAACATTGTTTGACTTTAAAAATAGCTAAATAAATGCTAGCTGCCATTATTATTCCAATAAAATGTACTCCCTACCATAGTATCACAATTTTTTAATCATTTCAATAATCCAGCAAATGAGAAGTATAATAACAGAATGTATGTAAGCAGGAGTTTTATTTGTTGCCACCATAGTAGGATCCAAGTTCTTTAGTGAAGTAATTTTCAGGACATAAGAAACAATTCAAAACCACTGCAATAGAGAATGACCCTTAAGGAATCAATAAATGAATGAGGGAAATAGGATAAAGAGAACACCCATCTACCCAGCAACATTTCAACATACCTTTTTGTGCAAGAGGTTAGTAAGGGGGAAATAATTAAATATGATTCAAAAGAGGTTACCTAATCTGAAGTAACGAGAGAGGAAGGGAACTGCCCTTTAGTTTGGGAGGAAAGCAGCAGTTAAAAGAGTCTCGGCTGGGAGCAATGGCTTACGCCTGTAATCCCAGCACGCTGGGATGTTGAGGTGGGCAGATCATTTGAGCTTGGGAGTTCAAGACCAGCCTGGCCAACATGGCAAAACCCTGTCTCTATGGGGAAAAAAAATTAGCAGGGCATGGTGGCATGCACTTGTAGTCCTGACTACTCCACTGAGGTGGGAGGATTGCTTGAGTTTGCAAGGTCAAGGCCGCACTGAGCTGAGATCACACCACTGTACTCCAGCCTGGGCAACACAGCGAGACTCCATCTTCCCCACCCACTTCCCCACAAAAAAAAAGAGTCTTGAACTTTGTGAAAAACAATTTTGCCCCACATAGCTTGGGGAATTAGAACTAATTAATGAGTCCACTTACTTCATGAATTATTATTTATGTTCTCAGTCAGTCTTATTTCTTGGGATCAGAACTACAAGGTTTACTAATCAGATATATGACAGAGAGTCCCATCTCATTTATAATAGTCCCCCCCTTATATTGGGGATACGTTCCAAGACCCCCAGTGAATGCCTGAAACTGCAGATAGTACCAAACCCTATATATACTGGTTTTTTAAATTCATATATAACTTTGGTAAAGTTTAATTATAAATTAGGCACAGTAAGAGACTAACAACAATAACTAATAAGATAGAACAATTATAACAATATATTATAATAAAAGTAATGAAAATGTGGTCTCCCTCTCTCTCAAAATATCTTATGCTGTATTCACCCATTTTCAGACCATGGTTGACTTCAGGTAAATGAAAGTGTAGAAAGCAAAATCACAGATAAGAGAAGACTACTGTCCTCAGAAACTGACTTCTGTTAAAGAAAATTTAAATAATTTGTCCTTTCACCACTAGGTCTGTAAGTCCAGTTGAAATTGGGGCCATACAAAACTCACTGTCCTGGTTTTCTAGGCATGCTGGTCACTCTGATGTTTAATAACGAGATATGTTATAGTTATTCAGGAGTTTCCAACTTTATTTCTATGGGAAGATGCTTAGAAATCCAAACTTATTCTGTAGTTTTTGCTTATTACAAGTTGACTAAGGACATTGTATTTTATGGTAGTCATGAAAATAAGCCCTGGCACTAAAGTCTATGGTCAAAGATAAAGTGATCTTAGAACCAAGCCTTTAAACTACTGAGATCACTGAAATACTTTGCCCTCCTTCTTAATCTCATACGGTTAGCTTTTGTTGGGATATGTATTAATGAGTAAACTAATACTGACTACAAAAAAAAAACCCTCTGTTTTAGCATTTAAAATGTTTTAAATCTTCATTTATGTTTAAAACAGGATATTTCTCTGTTGCCCAGGCTGGAGTGTAGTGGTGTGATCATAGCTCACTGCAGCCTCAAACTCAAGCGATTCTCCTGCCTCAACCTCCTGAGTAGCTAGGACCACAGGTGTAAACCACCACACCCAGCTAAAAAAAGTTTTGTTTTGGTAGACACAGGGTCTCGCTATATTGTGGTAGACACAGCCTCACTTGAAGCTGGTCTTGCACTCTCAGCCTCAAGTGATCCTCCTGCCTTGGCCTCCCAAAGTGCTGTGATCGCAGGTGTGAGCCACTGCACCTGGCCTATTTCAGCAAATTTGGAACAATACATGGGGAAAGACACATGTTACCTTGGAAAATGTTATGGGTCAAATGGAATTTGAAATCTGAAGGCTTTTAAGATGACCATAAAGCAGTAATAATGAATGCTCTTTGTTTTTAGTGTAGCTAAAATCTCTCCCTAAAACTTCACCTCTACTATACAAATGGGTCAGAAACTCCCTCAATTTCCACAAACTGAAACGTATACATCTACATAAAATTGTACCAACCCTTTCCTGCTTTCCTTTTTCCCTAAGGCCAGTTTCTCCTGCTGTGCTCTGGATTCCACCCCACCTGTCTTCTCTCTTGCATGTTCAATTCCTGCTCCTCCTGGCCCCCCATACTGGATCCTTCCTATCAGCTTTCAAACATATTCAGTTCCATAAAGATACTCCCTAACCCCACTTCCTCCTTTTGCTGCCACCCTATCTCTGTCCTCCCCTCCACAGACAAACATAAAGAGTGTGTCTACTCTCTGCCTTCTTTTTCTCACTACACTTTTTTTTTTTTATTTATTTTTATTTTTGAGACAGAGTCTTGCTCTGCCACCGAGGCTGGAGTGCAGTGGTGTGATCTCAGTTCACTGTAATCTCTGCCTCCAGGATTCAAGCAGTTCTCCTGCCTCAGCCTCCCAAGTAGCTGCAATTACAGGCATGCACCACCACTGCAATTACAGGCGTGTGCCACCACACCCGGCTTATTTTTGTATTTTTAGTAGAGACGGGGTTTCACCATGTTGGCCAGGCTCATCTCAAACTTCTGACCTCGTGATCCATCCTCCTTGGCCTCCCAAAGTGCTGGGATTACAGGCGTGAGCCACCGCGCCTGGCCCACATTTCTTTTTAAACTCACTTTGATCTAACTTCCATTTCCACTTGCCTGAACTGACTGTCACTAAGATGGCCACATGGTCTCCAGGTTGTTAAATCCCATGGATATTTAGTCCTCAGCTTACCTGACCTTTCAGCACCCTCCTTGATTACCTTCTACCATTCTTTCTTAGTTTCTTTTGCCAACTTTTCCTCCTCTCTTCAGCCTTTAATTGTTGGAATTCCTTAATACTAGACCTACTGTTCTTCTTACTCTATGCCCTCCTTAGGGAGTTATATGCCTATTGATGCTCTTGATAATTATCTATACACCAATAACTCCTACAGTTATACCTCTAGCTCAGACTTCTTGGAGCTCCAGGCTACATGTCCAAGTGCCTATTTATAATTTTAGTTATATGTTCAAAAGGTACCTCACACGTGAAATGTGCAAAATCAAATTCAGGGCTTCCCTTCTATCCTAAAAACTTAATCCTCTTGACTTTTCCCTATCTCACCATCCTTCCATTTTCTCGTTCAGAAATGGGGGATCATCATTGACTCTCTTCTCCCACATTTAATAATTCAGGATGGTAAACTGTTCTCTTCCCATGTTTTCAGAATTGCCATCAAAGCTCCAAAGCTGAAGACAATATACATCAAGGAACCCCCATCATTTAAAGAGAACCAGTGGGCTACTGAGAGGCAACAGAACTGGCGTTCCTCCTCCAAGCATCAGTCTCCCATCCTTTCCTCCTCCCTACTGCGTTATCTACATATTATGTGTTGTACGTAGACTAGAGGAACACATGGGAGTCACTGGGGACAAGTAATGTGGCTCTTCTTCTCCCTCAAAGCCAAGTTAAAGAACCCAGTAAAATTACTTGTAAGGACTAGATATACCCATAAGAAGGAGACAAAAGCGTCTCATTGTTGGGTTGGACATCTATGTAGGCAGTGGAGTTGCTAATCTGCTCTCAGCACTAACCTGAACAGGAGAAAAACAAGTATTGGAGAACAAAAAGAAGTGGCACCAGTTGAGATGCTACTTGGATTGGAGCAAGATGCTTGGATTTTCCAGAAGACACTGAAGAAGAAAGCCAAGCTTGAAGTTAATTGCTGGTACCTGCCCAAGGGGGCTGTGCACCAAGTGATGGGACCCCAACACCAAGAGGCTAGGGAGCACATTGCTAAGGAAGGTGTCAGAAGAGGTGGCCTGTCCCGCATAAGGGAACTGTGCAGAGGCCCTTGTATGGCTTCCTGAAGAATGCCTCATCAGAGGCAGCATGGGGATGCCTACCAAACCAAGTATATCAACAGCAGCTCACATTAAGTGGGAGACATTTGTGACTTGTCCCCAGTCCTCCACTCAGCTCCACAGGCCAGGGAACAAAGCAAAACCTATTTATAATAGAGAAAAGTAAGAGCACAGACCATCTGCCAACTCCACTTCCAAGGATGCCCCTCAGTCCTTGACACATGATTGGACTGGAAGGACACTGAGGGAAGGGTGAGGGAAAGGTTTAAGTTGGACATATAAGATTGGACTAGGTCAGACTGGACTTTTAATAACAGAAAGTAATATGGAAGCTACAATAATCTGCTGAAGATTTTAAGGAATTTGAAGGGAAATATTATCAGCACATTTGAAGATTGTGGTCAGCAACAAAAGTAGAATCTTTTTATGTTTAAACTCCACTGAGTTCAGTCCCTTCAATCACTTGGTTACACAATCAATCACAGAGATACCTCTCTAATAGTACTATTGGTCCTCCCCATACTACAGCTAGAGTGCTTTTTCAGACACAGATCTGACCATGTCATGCCCCTACTTAAACCCTTTTAATGGTATACCATTAACATACCTAGGATAAAGATCTCAGTCCTTCCACTACCCCAAAGCTCTGCTTACAGACTCATGGATCTGCCTCCACTCTCTCTGTACTCCATCCACATTGGTTTCTCAGGGCCTCAGGCATACCAAATTGAGCCTTCATATATGCTGTTCCACCTGCCAAAACATCCTTTCCTACTCCTCCCATCCTATCCAGTCCATTCGATTTCAGCTCATAAATCACTTTCTCAGGAAAGTCTTCCCTGAACTAAGCAGGTGTTTCCTTATTATAGACTCTGAAGACACAGCAGTCTCCTTCATAATACCAATTATAATAATATCTTTATATAATCATTTTTCAGATGTCTGTCTTTTCCAGCAGTCTGAAGTAAGACTCCAAGTGTTGTTACTTACCTTTATATTCCTGGTAAATAGCACATGAGCCATCAATGAGAATGCACACAAGAAATATTTGATGAATAAATACATAAGTGAAATTACATGCATTTACTCAAAGTTATGAGTAGGTCTCCAACTGAGGCATCACTGATCTTCTCTTATCCTGAGTATCAGCAACAAATGAGGTAGGGCCTTCCCTCAGCTCAAACACGAGGCAGGTCCACCTTAGTGTTTGTTTTCTTTGGGAAATCTTCTGATTATAATAATAAACACTAATAATTGGAGGTATTTAGTGAGAGCATATGAGTGCTAGATAGATTATGCTAAGAGCTTTTCTGTGCATTGTTGATCTCATCTATTCCTCACAACAACCCCATAGGCTAGGTGATTTTATTATCTACATTTTTACAGAAGAAAGAAACAGGGGCCTAGAGAAGTTAAGGGACTTGCCCAAGATCACACAGCTACTGAGGATGAGCTGGTACTGGAACCCAAATCTGGCTGACTCTAAAACCTGTGTTCTTAACCATTATAAAACACAGCTTCCAAAACACAGGGATCTCTCTTTACTTAAGATCACAGCACTTACTCAGCATTTACTGGTAGAGACAATCTTCTGACTTCTACAGCACTGTTCTTTTCCAATGCCATTCAATGCCTGGATTGAGATCTAAGATTTAATGTTTGTATATTTTGGTTCTTCATTAGATGCTAAGTTCTTTGCAGAGAGGGGTCTTTACTGTGCTGTGCATCTTTGGTTTCCTTATAAGGTCCATTTCTGGTTTGAGTGCTCAAAAATATTTATAGTATGAATCAATATATGAGTACCAGAACAATCTCACTTAATAGTTTATATGGATGAAATATGCTATATTCATTAAACACAATTCCAGGTTTAGGGAGATTTCTATTTTTAATGAAGATGCCTGTGGATCAATACTGTGACTCCTATTTTAATATGGAATATAATAATTAAATGTGCCCATGGAAATGATTACACACTGTATCTCCTTATCTGGAACAACAAACCTTATGACCTCTTTATGTTAAATGTTGGTTTCACAACAAATGCAGAAATGTTCACGTTAGATTTGAGACAGAATATAAAATAGATGGTATATTTTATCAGATATGTAAAGTATGTTAGGTTACATCTTCACTTTGTAGAAGGCTAGAAGGCACAGTTTTCTGGCAGTTCAATGTAACTCAAATTGGTAACCTCCTTTTATCAGCTCAAATATTAAACCTTCCTGTGAATGATTTGAATGTAAAATCTTACTCAGGTATTTGAAAACTATTTTATTCCTGAGAAGGAAACCTGGAAGAAAAATCAATAATTTTTCTGGCCTCTGAACAACAATATTGTAATTGTGCCAACCAAATAATTTCCAATTTATTACTTCCCCACAGGAAATCAAAGATAATTTTCCCACTTTTTATAATTGGAAACCCCTGAAGTAAATCTCCCTAGTTTAATCACAGAAATAGGAAATGATAGATCAAATATATAATTTTTATTAAATTCATTTTGCCAAAACTATATCAAGCTCTACTGTCTCTACAATAAAAAATCAAAATCATTAAATGAAAAACAAATATTGCTCTTACATTCACTGCTCCAAACTTCATGCATCTGTCTCTTTTAAAGGATCCATATGGCCCAGAGCTCAGCTTTCTTCCTTAACAGAATTAAGAAAATGAGTTATATGCACATGTATGGGGATGTATTCATTTAATAATTTAAATAATACGGATCTAAAATATGCCACATGATTAGTTTAAAAAGCAGTGATTAAAAATTACAATTTGTAGTTTAATCTGGGTACTATTTTTAATCTCTTTGAATTTCCATTTTCCCACTGGAAAATGATGATAATTCCTGTCTTGCATCTATTTTATAGGAATTTTAGAAAGATTGAGAAGATAAATTAGAAACACTTGGAGAATCTCTAATGTTAGATGTATCAAATTCTTGGTATCTTTTTTATTTTTATTTTTCTGTTTTACACAGAACTCAGTCCCAATTCTGGATATCTTTACATAGCTTTGGCTTTAGTTCACATAATTCTATAGAGGAAGATAAGAGAGATACATGGTCCTTTCTATTACAGCTCTTTGCAGAATTTCTCAAGACATGGCAACAACCACAGCAAGACATATTTATGATTCTTGATTATCACAAAAAGCAAAATGAAATAAAATAACAAGCATGAAAGAAGACTGCTAACTTTGTGTTTAGCCCAAAATTTATTCTAGAAATGTTAACTTCACCACGAACTATTCACCTTCAGTCTTGAGTGTATTTCAAAAGCATGATTTAAATTTTTTATATTCTGGTTTCCACTGACAAACTCTGCATTTTGACAAGTTTTGATGAAGCCTATTCATTCTAGACAATTTATGCACACCTAACTTGAATAGTTGATTTTGACTTTATCCCCTTGAGTTCCTAGACCTGCCCTGATTAAATTTTAAAATATAATTACAGGTAGCACATTGAGTCAGTCAGTTAGTCAGAGAGATCTGAGCTCTGTGAATACCTACTTCCTGCAGCACATTGCATTAAGTGCTCTGGAGGAGGATGGGGGTGGATGGGAACAGTCACCCATAAAATGATTTAAGGATTATTATTAAAACAACATATCACCAAGAACAAAGTATTTCAGCAGAAACTCTATACATGAAAGTACAAGGAATGAAGGGTAAAGAAAGCACCAACCCTGCTTTAATTGCCAGTCCTATATATTTAGCAAATGCATTTTGTGATTGTTAACAGGTTTGCAAGCACTCCAACAAAACAAATTAAACAATTGTTGGTCTACCTACAAATAGGCAGCCTGAGTTGATGTAAGGCAGTTCTTTAAGTTCCTTTACCTGGTAATATGTCAAGGGCTTTCTTAAGTGAAGAATCAGGAAGAGACTTTTTAAATAATTTTTTTATTTTGGAATAATTTTACATTTACAGAAAAGTTGCAAAAATAAACAAAGAATTCCTATACACTCTCACTCAGTTTCCCCTAATGTTAACATCTTATATGGCCAAAGTACATTTTTCAACACTAAGAATCAACATTGGTACATTACTATTAGATAAACTTTGGACTTTATTCTGATTTCATCCATTTTCTACTACTGTTTTTGGGTTGTTTTTTTTCTGTTCCAGGATTTAATCTAGGATACCACATTGCATTTGGGAGGAAAAGACTCTAATGTCTTATTGCTGAGATTTAAAAATCAGCTATTTCTGAACAATGCAGCTAATCAGTGTTAGATATTAATATGAGCAGGAATAAATATGAATAACAGTCCAAGAGCCACCTGGGCATACCATAGTGTCAGATTTTTAACTAACTTCAGGGAAAATTAACATGATTTTGTAATCAGTCATTAATGTCTACTTTATTTAGTTAAAGGTGCTGATTATATCAAGCTCTACCACCATTGCTAGAGTAGTGGGAACTAGTGTGAACACCTAGATTTTCCTACATAAGTACATGAAAAGAGGCTGATTTGGTTATGAAATCTGCCCATTAGGAAGGCTTAACACAGACACCACAGAAACAAAGCCCTAAATGGTCAGCTTACGGATATCGGAAGATAATAATAGATCAAGACCATTGAGCATGCATCAAGGTCACCTGGAGGCTTTATTAAAATCCAGATTTATAAGTCCCATCCCCAGAGCCTGATTCCTTAGAGCCCAGGCATCTGCATTTCTAGCAAATTCCCAGGTGATGCCGATGCTGCTGATCCAAGGACTACACTTTGAGGATCACTATTCTAGAACTTCCCTAAGTTAACCTTCATGGATAATTGACTGAAAGAGAAATAAAGCCATTTTTCTTACAACGTATAATCATGGGTCCCTGAATTGATATGTTGCCTACCAGTTAGATCAGGGATCTGTTAAATCTCATTCCAAATCTGTGCAAGGAGTAAATGAGAAAACAAAACAAATATATTAGTTTCTCACAATAGTTTTACCAGTCTGTCTTCCTTTTAGGTAATGCAATCATATTTAAAATAATAAAATACCATTTTTAACAACAATAAAATAACTATAGTTTAAAATCAATCACAAATGTTTGGACCAAAACAAAGCTTCTGATTGATAAACAGAAATTAGTGGGGATAAGGGATGTAAGACACATCTTCTTCAATAATGCTTCTCAAACTTTAATGTGTTTATGAACCACCTGGGGATCTTTCAGTTGGTCTGGGGATAAGCCCCAAGATTTTGCATTTCTCCTAAAATTCCAGATGATGCCATTACTGTTCGTCCACGGATCATACTTAAAACAGCTCTATAGGGCTTTGGCAAGATTTTAGCAAGTGCAAGATCTTCTAGCACCTAGTGATGTCTGGAAATTTCTACCATGTCTCAGTTATGGGCATTATTTAATGCCTTTGACCAAGGCAGATTTTGGGATATGCTGGTCTCTATCCTGAACTCTAGGCTTTAGAATAAAAAAGGAACAATTTTAGGGAAACTAAGTCAACAAAATCTCCCTGGAGTGTACTGGAATATAATAGAAACTTTTAGAACCTAATCACTTACTGAGAAGTCCTTTATATAATCCCTACTTCTTCACTCTAGTATCAGTCTAGTAACAGTAACATAGGGAAAAAAAATAGGAAAAGTCATCCAATTCTGTATTCTGACGGTATCACCACTGTTAATGCTGATCCCATACACATCTTCAGTTCCTCAGACTGCTCTTCCTCTCCTTACCTTTCCCTTTGCCAAGGAAGCCCTCTTGGCTCTTGTGATTGGAATTCCAAGAAAGCTATTAAATTTCATTATTCCCCTTAAATGAAGCTTAACTTTTTTCCAATTTTTTTGTTGAGTCAAAGATCCACATTTTATAGGACCTTATCACTGTTGGAGTATAAAGAGATAAGGGATGAGGAGCCTTTTTACTTTATTTCATCTGTTTGCCTTACAGGAAAAAAAAAAAACTTCAGAAAAAAATGAAAAAGTTTATTGATTGCCTCAAGGATAAGAGAAGAGGCCTTGAGAAAACATTATTTTCTATAGTGGGCCAGGAAAAAAGAAAAACCTTGGCCAGAAACAACAAACGGTATATAAACTTTGACTCTCCCAAGATGCTGCCCTAGGATCTATCATACAGTGAGATGGTGGCTTCCATCCTGCACAACTGAGTAGAGTGGAAGGACCACCACAAAACATTCCTCAGATTGCCTCCCTAAACAATCTCCCAGAATATATTAAGGCTTTATGTAAGGTTGCTCTTGTTAACTAATGGGTAGTAATGGAAAAGTAAGTATCCCAATTTTCAGGGATCCACACATGAAAGAAGATAATTGAGAGATGGCCTAGCCTGAAAAATAGCCCTGGAAAGTTTACATCAACAAGAGGCCCTTACCACCCCAAACTCCTCAGTCCCTTAAATTCCTACCTCCACATCCTGCATTGCAGAGAACCACTATCAGTGACCTGGAGCCAAGAAAGCCCTTATTCAAGTGAAAATCTCTATGCAACCTAGGGATTAAGTAAGAAAAGCTGTATCCATCACTGTTAGCTTGACAATTTACCAGCACTTCCAGACTTCCCTGATAAAATTAGTAGTAATTTTTTAATGTGATTTCTTGAAACTATATAATGAACGTGTCAACTTTTAGAAGATACATAAAACTCTGCGAACCAATATTTTCCAAATAACCAATGAATGCACGTTGTTATAAAACTATGCATGGGTAAAAGGTCCATTCAAAATGCAAGATAGACCAATAGATTTTAATGTAATAGAACAGGGAAAGCTCATTGACATTATTTCATATTCCACATTGCAACTAACATCTAAGAAACTTACCACTTCTCACATTTTGATGCAGTATCAAAGAAGAATATTCACAATTATCTGAAAAAGCTCTTAAATACTCCTCCTTTGTCCTACCACATACTTGTTTGAAGTCAGAGTTTCTTCATATACTTCAACCAAAGTGGTATATCACAACAGATTAAATGCAGAGGCAGATATAAATCCAGCTATCTTCTATTAATTATAAAAGAGACTTGAAGAGATATTTTTAATGTTATTTTTCTCATTTTTTTATTTTGGAAAATATAGTCATTTTCTTTGTTTACAGAGGGCAGAAAAAAATTGAAAAAGAAAATACAGTAATTTTCACAAAGTATATACATTTTATAATGGTTTTATTTGATTATATTTAAATAAATGCATATTTAATTTTTTCTCAGTTTTAAGGTCTACATGGCAAATATTAACAGATATAACCCACACAAACAAAAGCTCTTTGGGTGTCCTCAATAATTTTTAATAATGTGCGGAGGTTATAAGACAAAAAATTTGAGGACTACTAGACTAAGCTAAGGACTATGCTTTATTACCTTGTGTTTTAAATATTTGTGTCTCTGGACTGGATAATCTAATCACTACACATAGGTGAATTTCTGTGGAAAATATATAACTGAACTACCAAAAAGGAACTTACAAATATACCTACTCTGGCTCTTTGAAGAAGGCACTAGGAAGTTGTAATTCTAAATTTGTTCTTGATTATACAACAAGATGGCAGTTAAATAACCTCTTTTTTGCACTTGCTAGTGTACTGGAATTCCTCAGGGGCAGGGAGTGGTGTCTTTTTGACTGCTACATCCAGAGGACAAGAATGACTGAAATATTTGCTTAATGAATAAATCAACAAAATAAATACTTAGACACCAAAAAGCCATTCCAGATTGATATTTAAATTATATTTATGGTTGATCTATAGTCCTATAGTCAGAAACACCAGCCAGAGGCACCATACACATTCCAAAGATATAAATAGAAGCTCCTTTGATGGACTCATACAACCAGAAATTCTTTTAAGAGATGATATTTTAGTGAAACTGCAATGTGATTGTTGCCCTGCTCTTTCTCTGCTCAGAAATTTGGATCAACTGAGAAGACTCGTGTGGAACTATGCACTTTCTGGAAATATTAACAGGCATAAAAATTCCCATTTATCTAAATGGCTCACCTTGTTGGTAGCAATCAAGCTACCTGGAAAATATTTGGAGGATTGTCCTTGCATCCTTTACCATCATGGCCAAGTTTAGGGTCTCCTGAAAAAAGTAAAACGCCTGAAGGAAATGATTGGAAACTATACCAAAGACATAATATGAAGACCTGTTGGTTTGCTAATATAATTTTGGTTTCTAAAAAGCCAGCACATGTATTATGTCTGTTTCATAGCATGGAGTATATAGAGATAACTGTATTCAGCATACAATTATTTCCCAGGTTTTCAATATCTGAATAGCACTCCAATTCAGCTTTGGGTGGGAGGTTGTGTGACTCCAATGCCTCCTCATAAAACTGTATTAATTCTACTCTTGTTGACTTCACTTTTTTTGTTTGTTTGTTTTTTTGAGACAGAATCTCACTTTATCAGCCAGGCTGGAGTGCAAGGCACGATCTAGGCTCACTGCAACCTCTGCCTCCTGGGTTCAAGCAATTCTGGTGCCTCAGACTCCCGATTAGCTGGGATTACAGCCATGTGCCACCATGCCCAGCTAATTTTTGTATTTTTAGTAGAGATGGGGTTTCACTATGCTGGCCAAGCATGAACCACCATGCCCAGCCAACTTTAACTTCTTAAATTGTATATATTGAAGGTTATATATGCACCTTGATGATTTAATATACATATATAGTGAAATAACCACCATAATCAAGCTAATTAACATATCCATCACCTCACACAGCTACTTTTTTATCCCCCTACATTAAGAATGCTTCTACCTTCTTGGCCAGGCAGGTGACTCACACCTGTAATCCCAGCACTTAGGGAGGCCCAGACAGGAGGATCAGGTGGTCAAGAGTTCGAGACCAGCCTGGCCAATATGGTGAAACCCCATTTCTACTAAAAAATACAAAAATGAGCCGGACATGGTGGCATATGCCTGTAATCTCAGCTACTAGGGAGGCTGAAGTAGGAGAATCACTTGAACCCGGGAGGCGGAGGTTGTGGTGAGCCAAGATCGAGCCACTGCACTCCAGCCTGGGTGACAGAGCGAGACTCCATCTCAAAAAAAAAAAAAAAAGGAAAAAAGAATGCTTCTACCTTCTTAGTCAATTACAAGTTTACAGTACAGCATTTTTACTTATAGTCATCATGCTATAATTAGATCTTTGGAACTTATTCATCTCATAATGGAGAATCCATATCCTTGCTCAAAATATCCCCATTTTTCTCTCCCCTCAACCTCTACTACTCAACCACCAGTCTACTTGCTGCTTCTATGAATTTGACTTTTTTGAGTCCATACAGAAGTAAAATCATACAATATTTGTCTTTCTGTATCTGGCTTATTTTACTCAGCATAATGTGCTCCAGGTCAATCCATGTTGTCCCAAAGGGCAGGGTCTCCTTCTTTTTAAGGCTGAATAATATTCCATTGAATGTATATAACACATTTTGTTTGTCAATTCATCCATCGACGGACATTTAGGTTGTTCCAAAATCTTGGCTATTGTGAATAATGCTGCAATAAATGAGAGTGTGGTTATCTCTTTAAGATCCAGATTTCAGTTCCTTTGGATAAACACCCAGAAGTAGAATTACTGGATAATATGGTAGTTTCATTTTTAATTTTTTGAGAAATCTCCATACTGTTTTCCATAATGGCTATACCAGTTTTCTTCCCACCAACAGCGTAACAGTGTTCCCTTTTCTCCACATCCTCGCCAATACTTGTTACCTTTTGTTTTAATAATAGTGTATAATATTAGTATAATATAATAGTGTATATAGTAAATATAGTATAATATAATAATAGTGTATAATAGGTGTAAGGTGATATCTCATTGTGGTTTTGATTGCATTTCCTTAATGATTAGTGATGCTGAGCACCTTTTCATATGCCTGGTGGCCATCTGTATGTCTTTTTTAGGAAAACATCTTTTCAGATAGTTTTCCTGCTTTTTAGTCAGATTATAACAGTCCCCTCTTACCTGAAGGGGATACCTTCCAAGACTTCCACTTGATAGCTGAAACTGCAGATGGTATCCAACCCTATATACACTATGCCAATCCATTTAATAACCGAAATGGCTATTTCATCAGGCAGGGCAGGATGGCATGATATTTCATCATACTACTCAAAATGGTGCAAAATTTAAAACTTATAAATTGTTTATGGCTGAGCGCAGTGGCTCGCGCCTGTAATCCCAGCACTTTGGGAGGCCGAGGTGGGTGGATCACGAAGTCAGGAGTTCGAGACCAGCCTGGCCAACATGGTGAAACCCTATCTCTACTAAAAATATAAAAATTAGCCAGTTGTGGTGGCACATGCCTGTAATCCCAGCTACTTGGGAGGCTGAGGCAGGAGAATCGCTTGAACCTGGGAGGCAGAGCTTGCAGTGAGCTGAGATCACGCCACTGCACTCCAGCCTGGGTGAAAGAGAGAGACTCTGTTTTATAAAATAAATTGTTTATTTCCAGAATTTTCCATTTAATATTTTGGACTGTAGTTGACTGAGGGCAACTTAAGGAAACTGTGGCTAACAGGGGACTACTGTATTTGGTTTTTTGCTATTGAATTGTATGAGTTCCTTATATATTTTGGATATTTACCCCTTATCAAATAATATGATTTGCAAATATTTTCTCCCATTCCATTGGTTGCTTTTTTTGTTGATTGTTTTTCCTTTGCTGTGCAGAAGTTTTTGGTTTGAAATAGTCCCATTTAGTTATTTTTGCTTTTATTACCTGTGTTTTGGTATCATATCCAGAAAACTATTGTCAAGATCAACGTCAAGGAGCTTTTTCTCTAGGTTTTCTTCTGGAACCTTTATAGTTTCAGGTCTTATGTTTAATTCTGTAATCCATTTTGAGTTGGTTTTTGTGTATTGTGTAAGAAGAAGGTCCAATTTCATTCTTTTGCATGTGGATTGTCAGTTTTCCCAACACTGTTTATTGAAGAGACTATCTTTTCTCCATTGCATATTCTTGGCACCCTTGTTGAAGATTAGTTGACCCTAGGGTTTCTTTCTGGGCTCTCTATTCTGTTTTATCAGTCTATGTGTCTATTTCAAAGGAGAGCTGACATTGTGAGAATCTAATTGACACTATGAATCCCTGTAATAACATTTCAACATACTTCCTGGGTCAGTAAATCCTGAGAAACAAACCTTGTTAGTCATTAAGATAACTTAAATAATACAATAAACAAAAAAAAGAACTCTCAGAACTTCTTAGGATAAGTGGTTTAAATGCCAACAATAGCTCTTGGGTACTACTGAAGCATCCACAGATGAGAGGTTAGTTCTATAATAGTTCTGTTATTCCCACCAGTAGAGTGTAGGGCATAATTCAAGTCAGGAAGCTTTAATTTACTTTATGTTTGTCAAAGGCCTATACAACATTGTAAATAAAAAATGTGCCAACAACCAAATTGGTTATTCCTTATTCTGATGCAATGGATTCATATTTTGTGCCTTCGGAATGGGTTTCTGTGATGTAAAAAGCTTAAGTCATACTGTAAAATAATAGGTCAAATTTTCTGAAGAGAATCTTGATTTGGATCACTGAACTCACCTGGTGCCTAAGAGTTGTATTCCAGCGTGCCCCAAATGTCAGAATCAAAACAAATAGGCAAAAATTGTATTAAGTATTAAAAGTAAGTGCTTTATTTTAAAATAACATATACTCTATTGGAAGTGGGCCTGGAAAATAATGGGCAATGAAAGAATTGGTGAGAGAAAGTGAACGGCTGAAATGAACCTCGTAAAGCACTCTACAGTGACCTCTATTCTTGTGTTTCATCTTCTTCTAAAATTGTACACTACTTAATGGCAAACATGATGCCTTTTTCTTCCACACTAGTTAGAACAGTCTCTGACACCAATAAATGGTAAAAATAGCTAGCTAGCATTTATTGAGTGTGTCTGGTTCTTTAATATACATCTTTACTCCTCTCTATACATCCTATGTGGCAGTATAATTAGCCCCAGTTTACAGACAAATTGAGACCCACAGACATTTTATGATTTAACTGAGATTTTATAGCATCTAAGTGATTGAGCCAAGATCTGAACACAACCCACCCTATTCATTTACAGAGTAGCATTTAATACATATTTGTTGAATTAATCAATGTTTTTGTGACTTAAGAATAAGGACTTATTCTGATTATAGAAATCCTTTCATTCAACTCATACAATTGTTATTATAAATACGGCATGAAGAAAAAAAAAGGAAGTCTAAGTTAAGGAGTTAATGATCTCATTTGTATGGTGCTTCTAAATAAATTTAACACTGTTATCTAAATCTATTTCAAAACTATTTTGTATTCTTATGAGAAAAGGAAATATTATATGTAGGGAGATAAAACGTTACAGTTAGAAGAGACTTTCAAAATATTTTCTCAGTCTGTATTTCCAGGATGGAGATTTACTTATTCCCCTTCTTCTTCTTCTCCCCCTCCTCTTGTTCTTTTATTTATTTATTTATTTATTTATTTATTTATTTATTTATTTTTAAGACAGGGTCCTTCTGTCACCCAGGCTGGAGTGCAGTGATGCAATCACAGCTCACTGCAACCTTGAATTCCTGGGCTTAAGCTATTCTCCCACCTTGGCCTATCAAAGTGTTGGGATTACAGGCATGAGCCACAGCCCCAGGACTACTCTTCCTTTTTGACTTGATTACCCCCCTTTAAATAAACTATATATGAAATTTTATGGTTTTGGGGTTTTTTTTGTTTTGTTTTGTTTTTTGAGATGGAGTCTCACTCTGTCACCCAGGCTGGAGTACAATGGCACCATCTCAGCTCACTGCAACCTCCGCCTCCCAGGTTCAAGCAATTCTCCTGTCTCAGCCTCCTGAGTAGTTGGGATTACAGGCAACTGTCACCACATCCAGCGAATTTTTCTATTTTTAGTAGAGATGGGGTTTCACCATGTTGGCCAGGCTGGTCTCGAACTCCTGACCTCAAGTGATCCACCCACCTCAGCCTCCCAAAGTGCTGGGATTACAGGCATGAGCCACCATGTCCAGATAAATTTTATGATTTACTGCAGCCAAATCTATATGTCAGTGATTTTAAAACTCAATGCTATTTTTTTCCTTTTTTTGTATTATATAACTTAAATCCAATTTTGGATCTAAACATAATGATTTTAAGTTTTTTAACAACAATTTTCAATTTGTGATCTAATAGCAGGTTTGGATGGAGCTTGTGTTCTGGAAGACACAGTTTTGATGCTTTTAATATCCTGCTGTTGTTAAATAGAATTTGAATGGGTGAAAAATGAAATGTGGACAAAAACATATTGGATTCTCAAAACACGAAATATAGATATTGGTACATAAAATTTGAAATTAAGGCAGATTCTGGAAAACTGACTCCTAACAGTAAATCAAAAGGGATTTCTTGTTGCTATTTGGAAAGCATTTTCATAAAATTAGAATGAAGAATACAGCAAATTTAACCACTAGGAAAACACTTTCTTCACTTGCCTTCCATGACATTCTACTCTCTTGATTTTCTCTTCTCCTTCTCCTTTGCTGGGTCCTCCTTTTCTTTCCATCTCTTCATGCAGGACTCCTCCAGGGTTCAGTCCTTGATCTTCTTTTTTCAGTTTTCTATCTACACTCATTCTAATGGTTTGAAATACTACCTATGTGCCAATTACTTCCAAAGTTTGATCTTTAGCCCACACCTCTCTGTCCTGCTGCAGAATCATACATCCCAACTGACTAGTTGACACCACCAATCAGATCACTAAAAAGTATCTCAAACTTAACATTTCCAAAACTGAAATCTTGATCTTACCTCTCAGATTTGTTCCATCTGAACTTTCCCGCATTTCACCTGATGGTAACTCCATCCTTTGAATCACTCAGGTCGAAAGTCTTGGAGTCATCCTTGACTCTTTCATGTCCTCCCTTCAGTTCCATCAGTAACTTTACCTTCCAGAGGAATCACTTCTCAACCACCTACACAAGACTTACCCTGGTTCAGGCCACTATCATTTCTTCCCTTCTTCCACACACCCTGCCCCTGCATAGGCTCTTCTCAAAAGAAGATTCTGAATGACGCTTTTACTTTATTTTTATTTATTTTTTTGAGAGGGTCTCACCCTCTCACCCAGGCTGGAATGCAGTGGCACCAACATGGCTCATTGCAACCTAGCCTTCCAGGCTCAATGGATCCTACTGCCTCAGCCTCCTGAGTAGCTGGGACCACAGATGTACACCATGCCCAAACAGATATATATATTTTTTTACTTTTTGTAGACATGGGGTCTCACAGTGTTGCCAAAGCTGGTCTTGAACTCCCAGGCTCAAGCAATCCTCCTGCCTTGGCCTCCCAAAGTGCTAAAATTACAGGCATGGGCCACTGCACCAGCCTGATACTTTTAAGATGTTAAGATCATACCATTCTTTTCCTCAAAATTCTATAAGAGATCTTCATCTCACATAAAATAAAAGCCAAAGTCCTTACAAAACTCTACACCACCTGTCCAATCTCAACACTTCTTGCCTTTCCTGGCTTGCTACTGACTAGGAGCATTGGAGCTGGCTGTTTGCTTTGCCAGGACAGCTTTTCTCCTTGATAACCAGCTTTTCTCAGATTAACAGCTCTTCCCTCAGATAACTAGTTTAGCCCATTACCTCCTTCAAACCTTGGCTCAATGTAACGTTTTCAATGAAGCCTACTCTGAGAATCCTATTTAAAATTGCAACGTACTTTGGGAGTCCAGGGCGGACAGATCACCTGAAATCAAGAGTACAAGACCAGCCTGGCCAACATGGTGAAACTCCATCTCTGCAAAAATACAAAAATTAGCCGGGCATGGTGGCACGTGTTTGTAGTCCCAGCTACTCAGGAGGAGGAGTTTGCAGTGATCGGAGATCGTGCCACTGCACTCCAGCCTGGGCATTAAAGCAAGGCTCCGTCTCAAAAAGATGAATGTCTCTTCATCTTCTTTTATCCTGTTCTATTTTTTTTCCATACCATGTCTTACTCTGTAGCTCACCATAATTTATTTGTATGCTCATTTTAGGTTTCCCTCAAGTAAAACGTAAACTAATCCAGGCACGGTTTTTGTTGTTGTTCCATTATTTTGAGGGCTGGGCACATAGATGCGCAAGGAGTGCCCAAACTCATCATCTCACTCTTTATACAGCTGGGCAAACTGCCTAAAGTTTCCTCAAGCCTCAGCTTTACTATTTTCTTGAATGGCTAAAACTCACAAAACACATCTAGCGTCAAAAACTTTGCGACCCCGGAAGTAAAAGGTTAAGGAAGGGGGTCACAGGAGAAGGCTATTTCCGTTTCCGTACGGAAGCAAAGGAGCCAAGACCATGGCGAAAGCCGGGGATAAGAGCAGCAGCAGCGGGAAGAAAAGTCTAAAACGGAAAGCCGCTGCCGAAGAACTTCAGGAGGCTGCAGGCGCTGGGGATGGGGCGACGGAAAACGGGGTCCAACCCCCGAAAGCGGCTGCCTTTCCGCCAGGCTTTAGCATTTCGGAGATTAAAAACAAACAGCGGCGACACTTAATGTTCACGCGGTGGAAACAGCAGCAGCGGAAGGTACGCGAGAGGCGGGGGCTGCCGGGCGCTTGCGCGTTGTTCCTGACGCTTAGGGCGGTCGCGGGGCGCACATCTGTGGTTGTCTGCTGGTCTCAAAAGTGTTCTCTGTGGCTCCGTGGGAAGGGTGGCGTCGCGGCCCACGTGTTCTGGTCCCCTCGCCCTAGTTTGGAGACTCTAGGTTCAGCCTTTTGCCTGAGCGTCAAGGTGGAAGATTATCTTGATAGGCTCTTTCCTGGGACGCTAGATTCACAAGGAAAGCTGTAAGGCCAGTTGGCTTAGTAGTGAAAACTACGCCCTCCTGGCCCAGAAGGCAAAAGTCTCAGCCCTTTGGTCCGTCTAGGTAGCGTTGGTTAATTTGCAGAATCTGAAATGGAGGCAATACGTAATAAATCCAAAATACTGCTTCTCTGATTCCTGCAGGAGCTCCTTACCGAAATTAGTACTGTAAAGTTTCTGGTAATTGTATTTGTTCTTTTCAGCTTTATCCTTATACGTTTCTGGTAGGTAAACAAACTGAAACGTAAAGAGGTTTAAACGACTTGTCAAGGTCGCAGTGCTCATTTCTGGTTAAATTGCAATTGGAAGAAAACGTTTGCTTATTCTTGCACATCGTAGAAGTTCACACAATATTATTATTATGTGTCTGCCTCCTCTTACTGGCCCTTCTGAGGCCCGGGACTGGTTCTTACTCATGTTCAGTGTCAAGGTGCTGTTTCAATACATACAAGGGGCGTTTAACTCATTCTGGTATGCACGTATTGGGGAGGGATGTCCTGGAAGACTTATTGGAGCTATGATTTCTAATCTGAAACCTGGTGGATTGAGGATCAGTAGGTGCTGGGGAAAAAAGAATATTTTTTATTTTGTCAAGCATTCTATCTAGAAATCTCCAGAAGAATATATAGATTGACAATACAAATACAGATAATCTTAAGCCACCTTGCAAGCTCTTACTAAATTTTAGAAGTATATTTTGATTATAAAATATGTGAATAACTGGTGATGGTTTTATGGAAAACAACCTGAAAACTCAGCTCCCATTCCTATTTTTAGTGCTTTTCAAGAGAAGCAAGCAGCATAACCATGGTCGTCTTTAGGATGCCACCAGTTAGGCAAAACAAAACACAGTGGAAACCATCACATACTTTAATTAATTTGAGGCTTTATGGAAAAAGGTTAAGCTACTCAAATTTTAAATGTTCAAACTTGCCAGTTTAGATTTTTTTAAAGGAGCAGGTCTTTGTTAAAGAAATCTTATTGATTGGCCAGCTCATTTGGCTTACAGTAATTTAGGTAGAAAACTCCACGTCCAGATGCTTATTTCAATAGATTACAAAGACCGCCCAGTTCGAGTATTCATAGCATTAGTAATTTGTAGTTTCAGTATGTGTTTGTGATATAACTGGTTGTTTCTCAGTATTGTTCTCTTTTTTTTTAACCCTTTAGGAAAAGTTGGCAGCTAAGAAAAAACTTAAAAAAGAAAGAGAGGCTCTTGGCGATAAGGTAAATAAAATTTTTAGCTGTTTGCTTTCTATCTTATATTAGGGAATCCCTCCTGATATTTAAGTTGAATTACTTTCTTTTAAAATTTATTATTACGTATTTCAGATGTATGAAGAAATACAAAAGTAATATAATAAACCTCTTTGTATCATTTACCCAGCTTAAGAAATAATGCATTAGCAAAGAATGTTGGAAGCCCCTCGTCTGCTTCATAATTGCTTTTCCCTCCGAAGATAACCACTCGTGAAATTTTTGATTATTTTTTCCATGCACTTCTTTTACCTTTACTGTGTATGTTTGTGTACCTATACGGTAACACAGTGGTGGTATTTTGCATATAACTTTGTGTTTCAGAGGTCAACACCTCTCCCTGACTTTGGGAATGGGGAAGCTCCCCCAGGTTAGGCCTGGAGCTTGGCTCTTGTCATGTGAAGCAAAGATTTTTGGTCAGGCAAGGCTGGGGAAAGGCAGGACAGATCCTCTTCTGGAGTAGGGTGATAAGGGTGTGTTAAGCTTTAGAGCTGGTACAGAGGATATGAACCTGTGAAAAGTGAGAATGGGGAGTGGGAGGACGGTGAGGATTATGGCAGAGAAAAGAGCAGATAATGCATCAAGAAAGAATTTGGCTGTATTTGTGGTACTCATAAGAAGTGAAATCTTTATTGAAAAAATTTTTTAAACTACTAAATGCTCATACATTATTGCATAGCTAAGTTATTTTTATTTTCAGTGTATTTATAGTTACTCCTAGGTTGTGATTTATTTTTGCAAAATTTTGAAAACATTCATGTCTCCGCCTCCCATTCAAGTAAGTTACCAAATAAGGGTGTTTGAGGAAGGGAAAAAAATGTAAAGACAGTATACAAACTAAACACTCTACTATTTCATACATTCTTTGAATAGTATTAGGTTAAACCATAGAAAATTGTCAATAGTAGACTGTTTTGACCTGCAGTATCCTAGTATGTCAAGCATGTTAGTCTCTTTTTAATTCTTTTGTAATCAGTCTATTACAGCAAATTAATGTTATGATCACCATTTGAAAACACCACCATTCTTGTTTTTTGAGATGAAAGATAACTTCTTAAAATTGCCTCCTTTAAAAAATGCTTAAAATGTAATATTTGTTTCATAGAGTAATAAATGCTAGTTTCAGTTTGTATTTTCTTCATAGCTCTGCTAGTGTACATATATTTTGAATTAGTTTTAATGTACTCTTACAATTCTGTGTTCTACTTCTTAGCAATTCATTTACACCATTTCTTGGTCTAAGCTGAGTATGCATGATTGCTGATCCTAACAGTATTCCATAATGTTGATGTACTGTAGTATGTTTAGTCATTACCTTGTTGAACATTTGCCCTGTTTGCTGTTTATTTGCATTATAAATAGGGATACTATGTATTTCTTCGTTCAAATTTCTCCCCCATTTACATTCCTGAACATAAATACCCCAAAGTAAAATTACTAGGTCAATGGATAACAACTAGACTTTTGTTAAATATTTCTGAGTAGCTTCCTGAAAGTATTGGAACAAAGTCATGTACGGATGTCGCTTTGTTATTTTTTTCTTTTATTTTTCTCCTGTTTGATGTGTTTCCCCCTAGTAGATAACTATCTTGATCTCTATTTCTTCTCCTTGTTACTTCTGCACAGTTTTAAGCCTTTTCATTCAGTGTTGGCCATTCTTCTAGTATGTGTGTGTCTCTGCCCAGATTGTTTAAAAAAAAAAAAAAGCCTCTTATTCAATATTGTTATTAGAATTGATGTAGCAATAGAAGTGGATTGATATGAGGAACAGATTGAGTTTGGGGTTATTTGTAGCTTTCTGTTATTTTTCTCCAACAGTAATATAATTAATGTAAAATCCTTCTAAAATGTAATCCCTTCTCTTTTACTTAGGCTCCACCAAAGCCTGTACCCAAGACCATTGACAACCAGCGAGTGTATGATGAAACCACAGTAGACCCTAATGATGAAGAGGTAATGTTAGAAGTCTTAAATTAGTTTGAATGATCACATATAATTGATAAATTATATGTTTTTTTGTTGATATTTAAAGTGCTGGCTGGCCAAGTTGCATAATGGACTGATTCAGCTAAAATGTTGGCATATTATCTTATTATTTGGTGAAGACTATTTCATAATTGAATTTCCCAATAATGCTATAGAAAAATTCTATAAAAATTCTAGGTAAACTTTTACATTTGTCATATAATCCCTGAATGGTATTTTGGAGGGTTTTGTTTTTGTTTTTGTTTTTGATTTTGTTGAGACAGAGTCTTGCTCTGTCGCCCATGCTGGAGTGCAGTGGTGTGATCTCGGCTCACTGCACCCTCTGCCTCCCAGGTTCAAGCAATTCTTCTGCCTCAGCCTCCTGAGTAGATGGGATTACAGGCACCTGCCACCACGCCTGGCTAATTTTTGTATTTTTAGTAGAGATGGGGTTTCACCACGTTGGCCAGGCTGGTCTCGAACTCCTGATCACAGGTGATCCGCCCGCTTTGGCCTCCAAAAGTGCTGGGATTACAGGCATGAGCCACTGCGCCTGGCCTGGTGGTTTTAAAAGAATTCCTTGTACTATCGACTTTTGTAGTATTTGTTAGACATTTTGATACCTAAGAATAACATTTGATGCTATTTTTTGTATTCTCATAAATCTTAGTTTCAAGATAATCTTTCACTTTGCATATTCTCCTTAGATAGTTGGCAACAGTGCAGAAAAAGAAGCAAGATTTTAAAACTATATTTTTAAAAGTTTTGTAAAGGAAATTTGGTTTCGAATGTCTGTTTGCTTTGAAACAGTGCTGCTATCAACATTCTTTCTCATATCTCCTGGTATAGTCATACACTGATTTCTGTCATTCTTTCAGCAAATGTTTATGGATTTGCCTGCATCGTATTGGGATCTGTTTTAGGGATTTGAGATCCATCAGTACACAGAATAGTCACACACATACACATACACACACACAACTTCTACCCACCCAGAGCTTACATTCTAGGAAGGGAGACAAACAGTAAACATAATGAAATAAATAAGTTAGACATATGTTAGCCAGTGATAGCTTACTAAAGGAAAATAGGATAAAGGAGATTCAGGACTACCTGGAGTAGAGAGGGTTTGCAATTTTATGTAAGTAAGGTGTTTGTGTGTGTATGCATTTTAATTTATTTTGACATTATTTCAGACTTAATAGAAAAGTAGGAATTTGTACATACCCTTCACCCAGACTTCCTAAATATTCCCTCTTAAATAAGAGTAAGTGGCAGACATGGCGCCCCTTTATTCCTATATATCTCATTTTGTTTTTTATGAGCACAGTTAGCAAAATCAGACATTGATATTGGTATTCAATATTATCTGTTCTATAGATCTTACTCAGATGTCACTAGCTGTTCCAATAATGTCCTTTTTAGCAAAAAAAAAAAAGTCCCAGGTCATACATTCCATTGTAATTACTCTTTAACTTCCTTAAATTTAGAACAATTCCTCAGTCATTTGCTTTTTGTGACATTGAGATTTTTTGAATAGTATAGACCAGATATTCTATAGAATGTACCTTAATATGAGTTCGCCTGGGGTTTCCTCTGATTATATTCAGTTTATGTACTTTTGACAGAAATACAGGTTGAGTGTCCCTTGCCTGAAATGCTTGGGACCAGAAGTCTTTTTTTTTTTTTTTTCTCCGAGGTGGAGACTTGCTCTGTTACCCAGGCTGGAGTGCAGTGGCATGATCTCGGCTCACTGCAACCTCTGCCTCCCAGGTTCAAGCGATTCTCCTGCCTCAGCCTCCCAAGTAGCTAGGATTACAGGCACCCAGCTAATTTTTGTATTTTTAGTAGAGACAGGGTTTCACCATGTTGGCCAGGTTGGTCTCAAACTCCTGAACTCATGATCCACCTGCCTCAGCCTCCTAAAGTGCTGGGATTACGGGCGTGAGCCACCGCACTTAGCCAGACCAGAAGTCTTTTTGGATTCCGGGCTTTGGAATATTTGTGATAGATAATGAGGTATCTTGATGATTGGACCCAAGTCTGAACACAGCATTTATTTATGTTTCATATACATCTTATACACATAGCCTAAAGGTAACTTTTTTATTTTTGGAGATGGAGTCTCGCTCTGTTGCCCAGGCTGGAGTGCAGTGGCACAATCTCTGCTCACTGCAACCTCCACTTCCCTGGTTCAAGCAATTCTGCTGCCTCTGGAATAGCTGGGACTACAGGCTCACACTGCCACACCCAGCTAATTTTTTGTATTTTAGTAGAGATGGGGTTTCACCATGTTGCCCAGGCTGGTCTTGAACCCCTGAGCTCAGGCGATCCTCCCACCTTGGCCTCCCAAAGTGTTAGGATTACAGGCATGAGCCACCCCACCTGGCGTAAAGGTAACTTTTATACAATATTTTTAATGATTTTGTGCATGACACAAACTTTTGACTGTGACCCCATCACATGAGGTGAGGTGTGGAATTCCCCACTTGTGGCGCCATGTTGGTGCTTTATCAAAAAGTTTTGAATTTGGGAATATTTCAGGTTTTGGGTGTTTTTGGATTAGGGAGGCTAACCTGTGCCATGAATATTATGTTAAGTCCTTTTTCAGTACTTCTTACCAAGAGTCACCTGATAATTTTCTCATACTGGTTATGTTTACCTTGATCACTTGGTTAAGGTGGTGCCTGCCAGGTTTCTCCACTCTGAATTTACTGTTTTTCCCTTTGTATGATAATTAGTAAGTATTTGGGGAGGAGATAACTTGAATGTTACTCCTCAACTTAACACTCATTGTAAATCATTTTTTCCAGTTTGATAAGTGAGAAATTGTATATCACTGTAGTTTTAATTTGCAGTTCTCATTTTGAATGAGGTTGAACATCTTTTCATATTTTTTTCCCCTTGATTGATTGATTGTGTCTCTTGCCCATTTGTCTACTGGGTAGTGATTTTATATAGGAAAGTCAGGGTAGGCTTTATTGAGAAATTGACCTTTTAGCAAAGACTTGAAGGATGTGAGGAAATTAGCCATCTTTGGGCAAAAAGAGCCCCAGAATGAGAGAACACCCAGTGCACAAGCTCCAAGGCAGGAGTGTATCGAATATGCTTTTTAAGAATAACAAGGAGGCCATTGTGACTGAAATCAAGCAAGGGAGAGAATTGTAGAAGAGGTCCTAGGAAAGTATGATGAAGAAGAAAGACCAGATCAGTGACTTTGTTGGCCGGTATGAGGACTTTGGTTTTATACTTAGTGAAATGAAGAGCCACTGGGTGGGTTAGAATAGAAGAATGACGTGGCCGGGCACAGTAGCTCACGCCTGTAATCCCAGCACTTTGGGAGGCCGAGACGGGTGGATCACGAAGTTAGGAGATTGAGACCATCCTGGCTAACGTGGTGAAACCCCATCTCTACTAAAAATACAAAAAAATTAGCCAGGTGTGGTGGCGGGCACCTGTAGTCCCAGCTACTCGGGAGGCTGAAGCAGGAGAATGGCGTGAACCCGGGAGGCGGAGCTTGCAGTGAGCCGAGATCGCGCCACTGCACTCCAGCATGGGCGACAGAGCGAGACTCCGTCTCAAAAAAAAAAAAAAAAAAAAAAGAATAGGAAAATGATGTGATCAGACTTAATTTTTAGAAGTAGTTGGCTGCTTTACTGAGAATGTAGCTGGAGAGGTAAGTAGAGAAAGGAAGCTACTAAACAAATCCAGGAAAGAAATGATGGGCTTTCATCATGACCTGGGCCAGGGTAGTTACAATGAAAGTGGTGAGAATTGATCTGATTCTAAATATTTTTTCCCCTGGGTATATTTTGAAATCAGAGCTGCTTCAATTTCCTGACAAATTGGATGCAGAATATGAGATAAATAGAGGATTCAGAGATGGTATTAAGGTTTTAGACTGAGCAAATTAGAAGGATGAAATGGTCATTGACTAGATGTGGAAGACTGAGTGAAGGAGATTTAAGGGGAAATCAAGAGTTCAGTTTTGCATATATTATGTTTGAGATGACTCAAGAGTTTTTAGAAGAGATGTCAAGCAGGTAGTTGGGATGTGAGCTTGGAATTCAGGAAAGAGGTCTTGAGATAAATTTGGGGGTAACAGGCATATCAAGGGTGTGTGTACATAAAGGTTTCCCTAGAATGTTTACCTACAGTAGGATAATTTTGAGTCATGGAATGTGTAAATGTTTAACTTTACATAATTGTACCAAAATATTTTTCAAAGTAGTGGTTGTATCATTTTATACTTTTGTGGTACAAGAGTAGTGTTCCTGCTCATCCACATTCTAACCAACTCATGGTATGTTCAGACTAATGATAAAAGGCTGTCTCATTGTGGTTTGAATTTGTATTTCCTTGTTTTCTAATGTTGAGCATCATTTAATATAAGTTGTTTTCTTTAGAGATAAGCCAGTTCATGTCTTTTGCCCAGTTTTCTATCATGTAGTATATTTTACGCATTTGTGGAACTTCTCTATATAATTTGGATACCAATTCTTCATACATATTAAAGAAATCTTCCAATTCATGAATTCTCTTTTTATTTTCTATGGTGTCTTTTGAGGACCAGGACCAGAAGTTCTTGATGTAGTTGAGTTTTTGAAAAATTAGCACTTAAAGCTTTTTATGTAATATTTAAGAAACTTTTCTCTTTCCTGTGATCATAAGTTCTTCTTTCCTTCTAAAATAATTAAAGAGTTGCCTCTCGTATTTATTTGCTTGATTGTCAGGAATTGTTTTCTGTTTGGTGTGAGAATGGAAACCAGTTACTTTCCTTCCTGTCTCCCCAACCTGTCCTTTTGCATATATATATTTTGAATTAGTTTTAATGTACTCTTACAATTCTGTGTTCTACTTCTTAACAGTTCATTTATATATAACCAGTTTATCCAGTACTGGTTATATATAACCAGTAGTTATATTTTTGGAGTAGTGCAGCCTTTCCCCACAATGAATTGTAATGCCATGATATATATCAAATATCTATATATGCTTGGTCTTTTTCTGGGCTATTTGCTTCGTCAGTTTGTCACTGCATCATTAGTTAATTATTTAGCTTCATAATAAGGCTTCATATCTATAAGGGCAAAATGCTTCTTTCACTCCTGCCCCTAAATCCCCTCTCTTCAGATGTGTTTTGGCTTTTCCTAGGCCTTTGCTCCTCCATATAAATTATAAATGGCACTAAATCAGATCAATTTGGGGATACGTATGTATGTATATAATATATATTTACTTAGGTCTCCTTTAAATAGTGAAATGTATTTCATGTATTTCGTAATTCTCTTCATGGAAGTTGACACATAAATCTTGCTAGAGCTATTCCTGGATATCTTACAGTTTTTGTTGGTGTAAACTGCATGTCTTTGAAAATTGTTTTGTTAGCCAATTTATAAAAATGCAATGGATTTTTGAATAGTGATGTTCTAACCAGTAGCCTACCTAAATTCATTTCTAATTTGTTGGGATATCGTTTTCATTTTTCTGTTTAGATAACCATTTCTGCAAATGACAGTTTTCTTATTTTGACCCATTTTTCTCCCATTTTTGTGCCTTCTAGAACTTCTAGCCTAATGTCAAATAAATAGAAAAATCAACAGTGCCATCTTTGCCACGTTCCTGATTTTCAAAAGAATACTTCCAATGAGTCAACATTAATATTTGTGTCACTAGAGATAGATTATTATGAGTTAAGGGTTAAGTAAATTTTACTTATTCTTATGATTTTGTTTTGTTTTGTTTGTCATGAATGAATGTAGAATGTTATTAGATGTTTTCTTTGCAAATATTGAGGTGATTATGTGGCTTTTCTCTTACTGCATTAAACATCATAACCAAATTGGATTTATTAATTCTTTGCTTAGAATTAATTATATCTGTGTTCATGAGTGAGACTACAGTAATGTCCACTTTTCGTTCCTAATATTATTTTATTTTGGCTTTTTCTCTTTTTTAAATCAGTTTTTACCAAGATATCTATTCTCTTAGTCTTTTCTGAGTACTTTCTTCTTTGATCCTGTTGAATCTTTGTTTTCTAATTCATTTATATCTCCTTTTATCTTTATTATTTTCTTCTGCTTCCTTTGAGTTTATTCTGTATTTATTGATTTGCTCAATATATATTTTTTCTAATATGAGCAGGTATAGCCATAAAACTCTTTCAGACTACCACTTTTGGTATATTCCACAAATTTTAAAAGGTACTACTTTCATTAATGTTTAAATCTGAGTGTCTCTCAATGGAAGATTTGTCTTCTCGTAATTTCATTAGTTTTTTTTGGTTCTTTTTTTGTTTGTTTGTTTTGTTTTTTTTGTGGTTATTGTTTTTACTAACCAAGTTGATGAGGGAAATGAAAGTAGTTCAAGAGTAAACACATCTCAGTTTCTGCCCTGAAGTGATTTCTGACAATTTTATTCAGTTTTGTACTTGTATTTTACACAGGAGAAATCCACTCATCCATTCTCTTCACGTGTCCATTAATGTCAGTCCTTCCTAGTCTGTCTTTAAAGCCCCTATCAGCTAGATACTCAGTGTCCAACAGTCCTGCTGATGCTACTTTTAGAATTCTGGCCCAGTAGAGTATTTCTTTGATGTAAAATTATTCCTCTTCTCTGTTCTCAGGTCGCTTATGATGAAGCTACAGATGAATTTGCTTCTTACTTCAACAAACAGACTTCTCCCAAGATTCTCATCACAACATCAGATAGACCTCATGGGGTAAACACATTGATTAATTTAGTTCTTGAATTCTTAATTTTCTTATTACTTCTATTTAAAGTACTCTGTTCAGAAGAGTTAAACCATTAGTTAATTGCCTTAAAGAATGCCTGTGACTAAGTAAATAAAACGTAGCTCTGGTAATATGATGTAGGTTTACTAAACATGATTCTTCAAGATAGGATTTCTCAACCTCAACATTGTTAACATTTTAGCTGGAGAATTCTTTGTTATGGTGAGCTATCCTGTTCATTACAGGATGTTTAGCAGCTTCCCTGGCCTCTATGCTTTAGGTGCCAGTAGCAACCACACACCACTACCACTACCATCAGTCATAACCATCAAAAATGTCTCCAGACATTGCCAAATGTGTCCTCTGATGGAGCAGAATCGCCCCTAATTGAGAACCACTGCTTTAGGATGATCAGCCTTTGATAAAAGAGGACACACTGTTCGAGTTTCATGCTTTCCTCAATGTTGCTTTCTATTAATCATAATAATTATTATTTCTTTCCTTATGAATATGTACCACATAAGATTTTTATTCTTTTTTGAAAACTATTCAAAATTTTTGTTATTTTGTTTTGCAGAGAACAGTACGACTCTGTGAACAGCTCTCCACAGTTATACCAAACTCACATGTTTATTACAGAAGAGGACTGGCTCTGAAAAAAATTATTCCACAGTGCATCGCAAGAGATTTCACAGACCTGATTGTTATTAATGAAGATCGTAAAACCCCAAGTATCCTTTTTTTTTTTAAGGAGGTTTTCCTGTCCTCTCCCTCACCCCCCTTAAAAATATATTTAAAAGAATAAGGAAATATTGCCTATAACTTTCAGAAAATAATTTTTTTATCAGAAAATTGTATCTCTTTCCAAGAGTCTATAAACTGATTTTTCCTTTGTATTCACCAAACATTTATCAGGCACATGCTACAGCCAAGAGATTGTTGTAACTCTTAGTAAAAGATGCAGAGCTAAAACAAGAGACAACCAGGAAATTCATAGGTGGAGTAAATGGATATGTAAACTGACAAAATATAGTGTGGATGGTACAATTAAATAGAGAAATGCAGGATATAGTGGGGACCCTGTGACTGGTACAAAGTCTGCCCTGGGAGGAAAGACTTCCCATAGAAAGAGATGCTGAAGCTGGATCTAGATGGATGAGGGTGAAGGAGGGGAATAAGGCAGAGAAAAGCGCTCAGTGCAGAGGGACTACCATTTGGAAAGAGAGGAAGGAAAGGGCTGACCTAGTTGGGGATCTGCATATGGTTTGTTGTGGCTAGATTTTACATTGCCAGAGGTGGTATCACAGGATTAAGTTTTTGAGGTAGAGACTTGGGCCCATGTTATGTGTGTGTTCCAGTCTAAAACTTTTTCTGTGAGTCTCAGACCTGAGATGAATGTGTCACCTGAACCCAAGGTATTTCTTCCTGTTGAGATAAGAGATTTGATAAAGGATATCTAGGTTTGTTATTATTGTTGCTGTTTTATTTATTTATTTATTGAATGATGGCTATGAGTTCAGTAACCTTAAAGATGACCAATTGAATGAGTCATCTTTATGATTTTTAATTTCATTAAAATAAAATTATAAAGAATTTACAAAATAGGGACAAGACTTTCTGTGCTGCCAGAATAACATTTTATTTCTAATATCAGTGAACACTCTATTAGTGGTTTAAAAGGCTGTTTTTAAAAAATCTAACTTTTATGACTTTAATTGTTATCAATATAACTTACTTTATCCACTTGTACTAGTAGCTTTCCAGAAACTACTATAACAAGCTTTGTAATGTGTTTTGTTGGCCATATTATAATTTGGCTTAACTGGATTAATGTACCAAAATATCTAAAATCTCTTGAATACTTAACTACTCCAGAAAAAAATTATTTTTAAGGTAGTTGCTGCCTCTTTTTCTTTTTTTAAACTGCCTCCACAAAGTGGCAAGGTCTGTTTTCCTCTTTTTATTTTTGGCAGTTAAAAAACAACTGTCATCACTTTGAGGCCACTAGTAACTCTGCTAAGAAGCAGGCATTCATCAATTCAATAAATGTTCTATCCCTGTTTTATCCAGGGTGTTTTATATAGTCACACAAATTTCACTTATACCATCTATTGCCTTTAAAAAGTTTACATTTTCTGGCCGGATGCGGTGGCTCACACCTGTAGTCCCAGCACTTTGGGAGGCCTAGGCCAGCAGATTGCTTGAGGTCAGGAGTTTGAGACCAGCCTAGCCAACACAGCAAAATCCCATCTCTACTAAAAATACAAAAATTAGTTGGGCGTGTTGGTGCATGCCTGTAATCCCACCTACTTGGGAGGCTGATGCACTAGAATTACTTGAACCCGGGAGGCAAAGGTTGCCATGAGCAGAGATGGTGCCACTGCACTCCAGCCTGGGTGACAGGGCAAGACTCTGTCAAAAAAAAAAAAATGGTGATTATCCTAGAGACTTAGCATGGGTTCAGGAATAAAAATCACAACTCCTAATGGTGACACATGGGGGGAAAGTTGAAAAAACAGGATTTAGCCTGTGGGAAAGTAGATTCTAGGAACATGGCGTCTTTCTAAAGACCATTGGAGGGGCTACTGTGTGGAAGAGTAGTGCTGAATGGTGAAAGTTAAAGGGATATACTTTTTTGACTTATTCTAAAATAGAATTTCATCAGCTGTCTAAACTGTAGAAACCTAGTAGTGGCTTTGAGTCAGGGCAGCTGTGATATCAAATACAGATTCCATTATTTTCTAGTTTTGTGATTTTAGTCACGTTTCTTAGCCACTCAATTTCCTCGTTTTTTAAATGTGGGAAATAATACCTATCTTTAGAGTTCCCACAAAGATCACATTAAATGTATTATGTTTATAAAGCATAGTGTCTGGCACATGGTAGGCATTTTAGTAAACGTGGTATAGTGAGAAGCATGTAAACTTTATCTGTACAGACCTACATCCTCTATTCATTATTTCTAAATGGGGAACTACTGTTATTTGAGGTAGGGTAATTATTTGTGCTACACTCTTGGCAGCTTCCAAGATGGTTTGCATTCCTGGCCTTTGGATTCTAAATGCCAGTAACACCTCAGTCATACTGACAAACAAAATGCCTCTGTACATTTCCAAATGTGAGCAGCTGTCAGCAGGGGGCTTAAGCTAGGTGCAGTCCCACCGTGGTTGAGATCTGCAGTTGCCTTAGTCTGATTTACTTAGGCTAATTTACTTGACCCTCTTCAGCCTCTTTTCCTCATTACTGAAATAGGCATGATGACTCCTGTTTTATGTGATTTGTGTTAGGGATTAGCAGTAATGTAAATAAAGCCTCTTGCACAATGCAGGTACATGGGAAAAGAAGTTATTTAGAAACTGGTAAGTTTGGGTTTTGTACTTGGCTTTTGACACAGACCACAATTTAGTGGGAATGTTCTAGAAAGGATTTAAGCCTTGATTTGGGCGTTGGAAGAAATGACTTTTATATCTCCTAGACCCCTTAATAAATACTTTTGGCTGTATTTCATGAAGTTTAGCCTGTGGTGAATCTTTTAAAATGATAGAATTCAAACGTTTGCTGATAATCTGATGCATGGTAGGCACTACTATCAAAAAAAAAAAAAAAAAAAAGATCTGCCTGCAGTCCCAGCACTTTGGGAGGCTAAGGCAGGTGGATCGCTTGAGACCAGCCTGGGCAACATGGCAAAACCCTTTCTCTACAAAAATTAGCTGGGCATGATGCCTGTAGTCCCATTTACTTGGGAGGTTGAGGTGGGAGGATTGCTTGAGCCCGAGAGGTTGAGGCTGCAGTGACCCATGGTCGTGCCATTGCACTTCAGCCTGGGCTGCTGAGTGAGACCGTCTCAAAAAAAAAAAACAAAAGAAAAAAATTCCCATCCCTACCTAAGTTTTAACAGATTAGTTGGGAAGAAAGGTGTTTTCCTAACTCAAAAAGTGATGAGTGCTGTGGTAGCAGAACTGAGAAGATTTAGATCTTAATTCTGACTACATAAAAAGGTGACATTTGAAGTAGACCATAATAGATGAGTAAAACGTTGCAGGTATTCAAAATAGCAGAAGCAAAAAATGCATGCTAGGATTCACATATATAGTACATAAGACTGTGAGTACCTACCAGTTAGGAAACAGGCTTGATGTGGGCATAGGGTAAATAGGTTGAAAAGGTAATTTGTGGCCACATTATGAGTCTGATACTAATGTCTTTTTTCTGTAGATGAGTCTGTGATGAGAGTAGTATGAAATTAGCTACAGCTGTCAAGACTGTGAAGGTATCTAGTTTGTTTTTCACTTAGCATGTGAGAAACTATGGTACAGATATAATGAAACAGCTGAGTCCCATAGCTGGTTACTTATAGAACCAAGGCCTAAGTCCAGACTTGATTTTACAATCTGCATTAGGAGATGTACTTGAGATGGTGAGAAAAAGGTCAGACCAACCACAATACTACCTTAATAATCTAGGTGGAAAATCTTGAGGACCTCACTAAGACAGTAAGGGTAAAGAGGATGCTAAGTGAGAACTTCTGAAGGTAAAAGCAGTTAAGATTTGGTGGGAGAGGGAGAAGCTGAAGATACCATAGCTTCTAATCTGGAGGAATGAGTGTTGATGCCATTGTAAAAAGATGGCAACATCTGCTTTGAAAGATACATATTAAATGCAGATAGACTTGAAACCATCTGATTCTGGCCTATTTAAGTTGTTGAATCAGATGAAATGTGTTTGAAAATTTCTCCTAAACTAGAAAAGCATAATACAAAGTGAAAGCCCTGTCCATTGTCATTAATATGCCTGCTTGTAATGCCATTAAGCAATAGCCAAGAATTACTCATGAAAAGTAAAGGTGTTTCAAGTGAAGGTCAGATTGTGCCACAAACTTGAAGAATATTATATAGGTAGCAACCTTAGTTTGCAGCACCCAGGACTTCTAGAGTCCTTGGGCTGCTAGTCCTGCTGGTTGTAGGTAGGTGATCTCACATTTCATTTGTAGTTTAGCATGTCTAGCATAATTCTCAGTTCATGGGAAATGACAGTCAGTGAATGGCTATTAATTGGTTTGTTGATTATAATTTGGGGTACAGTAATCCTAAGTAAGGGGTGATCTCTTGCAAAATACTAATAACCTTAATTTCATAGAGGAAAGTTTAGGAGTCTGGTCTCATGGGATGTTATTCAAAGTTGACAGCATATCGTGACCATACAAATGTATAAAAGTGACATTTTGGGGTTATACATCTTTAGAACGTGGAGGTAAACTCATACTCTATTTGCAGTGTTACATGATTATAGAATCACATCCTATTTTACTCCTAAGAGTAGTGGTCAATTAAATAGCTTTTTTTCACCTACTTTAGTTTAGGGTACCTTAAGATACCCTATTGAGCGTGATTAACTATTATATTGTAAAAAGAGAAAAAAAGGACTACTCTAGGTTAGTCTATATTCTTGAAAGATTTTGACTGATTTTGAGCTTTTGATATGGTAGGAAAATGTCACTTCAGAGGAATATGTACATCTGCCTATTCACTTGGGTACAGATTTTAGGGGCCTTTGGATGTAGAGGACCAGTTATTTAAACAATTAGATTTAGATTACAGAGTTCAATGTGTTTTTCTTAACTTTTATGAACAGATGGACTTATTTTGAGTCACTTGCCAAATGGCCCAACTGCTCATTTTAAAATGAGCAGTGTTCGTCTTCGTAAAGAAATTAAGGTAAGTTTTATACATTTCTTTGATTGGCATTGATCTCTTCACAATATTTATTTGATCAATAGATGCTGTATCTTATAGCTCTAATTTATTTTAATAATGGCATTTGTTCTCCTGATTAGAGCAGTTTTTAATCTATCAATTCTCTTGGGAGACTGTGGTTAAGTTACAGCCGGCAGGCAATAGTCTTCATTACTATGAAGCACGTTGATTTTCTAATAGGATTTTTTTGTTGTTGCATTCAGTGCATATTAAAATAATTTTAGATACATCTTATTTCATGGGTTTGATAAGCCATCTGTGGTAGTTTGTCACTAAAAAATACATTTTGCAAATTTGTCATGTAAATTTTGATACTTGAAATTGCATTGGGACGTATTGCCAATTAGCTTAGCCCATTGTGATATTTATTTTTCATTATTTTTCTAGAGAAGAGGCAAGGACCCCACAGAACACATACCTGAAATAATTCTGAATAATTTTACAACACGGCTGGGTCATTCAATTGGACGTATGTTTGCATCTCTCTTTCCTCATAATCCTCAATTTATCGGAAGGCAGGTTGCCACATTCCACAATCAACGGGATTACATATTCTTCAGATTTCACAGGTGAGGAAGGTAAACTCATTGAACTTTGATTTCAATTATGAAATATATTTTCAACATGAACTAATTTTCCAACATATTGTAGCAAGTATCATACAAGATAAAATGAATTATCTTTTGAACCCTGTCATAATGTTAAACAATAGCTCATTCAGACTAATTTAACTCTTTTTGTCTTTGAAGATACATATTCAGGAGTGAAAAGAAAGTGGGAATTCAGGAACTTGGACCACGTTTTACCTTAAAATTAAGGTCTCTTCAGAAAGGAACCTTTGATTCTAAATATGGAGAGTATGAATGGGTCCATAAGGTATGTGCTTATTGTTTAAAAAGACTAAGTCATTTTTAAAGTATGGGATAAGAGGGTGGGAGGAGAGAGAGCATCAGGAATAGCTAATGGATGCTGGGCTTAATACCTAGGTGATGAAATGATCTGTGCAGCAAACCACTATAGCACGTTTACCTATGTAACAAACCTGTACATCCTGCACATATACCCTTGAACTAAAAAAAAAAAAAAAAAAGATACAATATCTGGGTCTGGTGATTAACCTTGGCTCATCTGAAGTATAAACATTAGTGGTTCTCAAAGCGAGACCAGCACCATTACCTAGGAACCTATTAGGAATGAAAATTCTTTGGCCCACAGACCTACTCGATCAGCAATTTAGGGGGTGGGACCCAGCAGCAATCTGCTTATAAGCCTGTGTTATATGTGACTCTACTACATGTTTCTTGAGAACTATTGATAAGTTTTCTTAGAAGTTTGGAGATCATCATCTTAAATCATAAATGAAAACTTTTTTGTTGTTGTTGTTTTGTTTTTTTTGAGATGAGTCTCAGCTTTGTTGCCCAGGCTGGAGTGCAGGGGCGCCATCTCGACTCACTGCAACCTCCACCTCCCGGGTTCAAGCTATTCTCCTGCCTCAGCCTCCCGAGTAGCTGGGATTACAAGTGTGCACCACCACACCGGCTAATCTTTTCTATTTTTAGTAGAGAAGGGGTTTCCCCGTGTTAGCCAGGATGGTCTTGATCTCCTGACCTCATGATCTGCCTGCCTCAGCCTCCCAAAGTGCTGGGATTACAGGTGTGAGCCACCGTGCATGGCCTAAAACATCCTTTTCTATCTAGTATAAGCAGTACTTCACTTAGTAACATTTTACTTTAAAATCACACACACACAGTAACTGCCAACATCTTTTATATTAGACCGAAGACTGACTATTCGGGGTCTCGCACAAACCCGGTTTTTCAGCACTAGTGTTACTTATGAAGATCTAGGGACGTTAACTTTTACTGTCTTACCTGAATTGTTAATTATATTTTTGTTTTGTTTTCTTCCTCCACTCCCTTGCTTTCCACTTTCAGCCCCGGGAAATGGATACAAGTAGAAGAAAATTCCATTTATAAAGTACTGAGAGAATGATATTGGATTTTGCTGAACAGGCCTATCTTGAACTTTGGTAAATTATTTTTGACAGAATACTCTTTTCAAAATGGCATTTGCTGATTTCATAAACCTTTCACGTCTGGACGAATTACCAAATGCCATGAATTGCCACTGTGTGTTTATGTAGAAAATACAAATAAAAGTTATTTTGATGGCTTAGGTTTCCTTAAACTTAGTTCTCTTGTTTTTGGGTAACTGTGAATAATTAAGTTGGAATCAAGATTCAGATTAACTTTCCTATTTGCATAGAACACATGAGAGGAATAAAATGGTTGGTAAATATTGGCTAACCCTTGATTTTTATACCAGATTAACCTTGGATTCCCAGTGTCTGGCACAGTTTTAATAGCTTAAATGGAGGCCAGGTTTCTGGATGTTTTAACATTCTCTTAAGCCTTCAGAAGGGTAAAAAATTTAAAGCAAAATGATCTACCAGGGTTTAAAGCAAAGTTGCAAATTACTGAAGCTAATCTTTGCTTCCTGATTTTGAGGTTTTTGGTTTTTTGTGCCCACGTTGTGGGGAGCTCTTTTTTACCTCATTACATGGTGCTGTAGTACTCCATTCAGGCACTGAAACAAAGTTAACCCTATAAGTAACTCATGGATGGAAACCCGTAGAACTTAACAGCCTCCTCCTGACCTTAAAAGAATAAAGGTTCACAGTTTACCTTTAATTCCCTAGCAGTCTTGCCAGATGTATGGCATAAAGTCATGTGAGAAGAGTAGGTGGAAAAAACTGTACAAACTTAACCCCTTCAGGTGTTCAGAACAGATTAATATACCATGTATTTAATACCAATAATAATGCAAAATAAAAGTTTCATACTAAGTTTTATTGTATGCTGCTGCCAGTGTATATAAAACAATTACCCTTGTGAAATAGAAATTCATGAAAATTCAGAGAGGTAGATGTTAAGGACTGACGAAAGTAGAAGTTTGTATATTATGGCACATGTGTTACAGGGATAAGCTTTTGTACAGGCTTCAAATGTAGCTCTCTTGAATATTCACTGGATCATAAGGAGTGGTTTGGGAAACCTAAGATGGGGAAAAAAAAAAAAAGGTGAGTTAGGGTAAAGTATCAAAGAACATAGTTTTTAATTTTTTTCATGAATAACTTAAAAGAAGCAGGATGGGAAATGCCTATGGTCCAGTAACAGTAAAATCTTTCCCTTAATTTTCACAACCACTCTGATGTATAAGTCATTCCTGTTTTATAAACAGACTTACAGATTAACTTGCTAAGATTACTGCCAAAATACATTCTGTATATAATAAAAAAGGTTAATAAAACTCTCTTAAATCAAAAATCCAAACATCCTTAGAAAAATGAGCAAGACTATATTTAGCAGGGCAGTTTGGCAGTATCTAGTGAAGTAAAGGATGCAACCACACTTCTAGTTACCTAGATAAACCCAGACATAGAGAAACATGTACAAGGATACTGACTGTATTAGTATTTTAACAGCAAAGAACTGAAACAGCCTAAATATAACTCCGTAGGAGAATGGATAAACGAAGGTTTCTACATATGATGGAATACAAAGCTATTATAAGTTATGCCTTAAAAAATAAGTTATGTTTTCAAACCATAATATTTCAGTTTAATAGAGTATAAACTAAAAGATTTAAAAAATGAAAACATTAAATTGAAAAACAGTGTACTAAAAAATTAAAACATGAGCATACTAACTTTAGGATTAGTTATTGATATGGAAAGGTACAAAAGTGTTAATCTGAGATAGTCTGTGACAAAAATGTTGAAAAGGCATAAACAGAATGCTGTGAAAAATGTTTAATCTCACCTAAAATAGTGACAGAAAAGACTAAGGTTTGTTAGGACTCAAGGAAAAAACATTCTCATGTTTCTAGTGGAAGGCCAAAGTATTATATTGGCAGGGGATATCAAGTACAACGTTGTAAAAATGTTAAACGTTCACTCCTTTTTACTTCTAGAAACTTAATAGAGGTACTAAGTATATATAGATGTTCACCAAAATCTTCACCTCACTGTAACCTCAAATTTTGGAAACTTAAATATTCAGTGAAGTATAATTCCATCATAGTTTAGTACAACCATTAAATATCTTGTTTACAAAGAGTATTTAATGAAATAAATTCATTTAAAAAAGGCAGAATGAAAAACGGCGAATACTGTCAATAAGCCTGTCGTCTTATCTGCATTTTTTTGTGCATACATGTTCTACTGATTAACAGTTTTTAATCCTGTGTTATTCTATTTTGTTTTGTGTAAAAGAGGAAAAATTTCAAAAGCTGGAATCTCAAAAAAAATAGTAAAATTTCCTCTTAAAAGGAAATACAGGGCCGGGCACGGTGGCTCACGCCTGTAATCTCAGCATTTTGGGAGGCTGAGGTGGGCAGATCACCTGAGGTCAGGCGTTCGAGAAACGCTGTCTCTACCAAAAATACAAAAAGTAGCCGGGCGTGGTGGTGTGCACCTGTAATCCCAGCTACTCAGGAAGCTGAGGCAGGAGCACTTGAACCTTGGAGGCAGAGGTTGCAGTGAGCCGAGACTGCGCCACTGCACTCCAGTGATAAAACTGTATTTATATACATAACTCCAATGTAGATTCTTTACATTCATGCCACTCAGTGTAGGTCCAGTACTGTCAGCATCAGTGTAGGTGGGCAGTTGTAAGAAATGCAAGTTCTAGGGACTCACCTCAGACCTTCTGAATTAGAATTTGCATTTTAACAAAGTGATTTGCATATATTCAAGCTTGAGAAGCAATGCTTTGATGCCCAATTATTATTCTCCTAGCCCAAACTGCTGCAAATCTTAATATCCACAAAGCTGTTTTCTTATACTGCTGGGATTAATAGACATTATTTTACCTTCTGGGTTCTTACCCCCAGCCATATTTTTAAACTTGAGCAATTCATTTAAACACTTATCTGTAGATTCCTATGAAGTAAAACTATTAACAGCTGCCCAGTATTTTATTCAAATGAAAATAAACCACTGTAAAGTGAATACAAGAACTGAGGTTAAAAAAACAATCATTAATAAACCATAAAAATATGAAACTTCCAAAAACTACCATGAAGAATTAAATGAATAGTACCAGAAACAAAGGATATTATAATAAACTGTTAAATATGAAAGTGAATTACTTCTTCATGTGCATTTTTGTGCACATGACACCTGTTTTCAAAGGGCTTTTTTTCCCCCTGGTATTTCAAAAAACTTAAACATCTTAACCAATCATTGTATTTACTGGAAACATGTACTTATACAGACTTCCTGGACACTCCCAGGTCTAGGAAGCTTAATTAAGGAGGGCACAACTATGTAACAAGGTATTTTAGGAAGCAGCTTCCTGGACTTTGGAGAAGTCAGAAAGTTAGTAAGGGGTGTGTGCCATATACAAAATCTTTTTTAAAAAAGTACTATTAGTTTAAGTTTGCTTCTCATAGGTCAATACTAATGAGTACATTCCCTAACTAAAGTACTAAGAATTTATAAAAGGCAGCACCCTTCAGTTACATTTTAAATGATCCAAAACGTTTTTGGTCACATCTCTTAGATTAACATACATTTTGTACACATGACATTTGATCTGGAAGGCACAAATTAATGTACTGAAGCATGCTTTAATAAAGCCAACAGGGTCTTTAGTTTTTAATTCTCTGAAATTCAGTCCACTGTCTGTTTGCCACCAAGAACTTATATACTGCATTTCCTTCATGTTTTATCTTTAATCTAACAAATGAGAACAAAATATAAAGTCTGTTCTACCTCAGTCCAAACGCCTCTACCACACTGGCTTACTCAATTACATCTGACTTTCTCTTGCATTTCCAATTCCCAATCTTTGCTATACTGCTCTACAGCTGGGTTCAGTTAGAGCAATAACATCAAGAGTTAATCCAAATCAGTTGGTAGTACTTTAAGTTATCCCCATAAACATTGCAGATTTTTTAAAAACTGTCTAAATATTTGCCAGGTACACAAAAACAAAACTAGTACTTGGGGACTCCATTAGGCCAATGCTCTAAAAAGTAACACATGGCTTGTTACGGCAGTGGGATTTTGTAGTAACTCTCCTATACCCTCTTTATGGTTATTAAATCCTCTACTTAACCTTCTTTATGGTAAAATAGAAACGATTAGCCTTCATGGCTACTAAGTCAGCAAGTTTCATGAATCCTCACTTTCCTTGCAAAACAGAAAAATACTGGAAATGGAGGGCCAAAGGAAAGGGCATGGGATGATCTTTTAAGTGCTGCAAAGAAAGAGAAGACTAGTTATTCCTACAGTGTGGGTTTTTGTTTTAAATTTAAGGAAACTTACCTTTGAAAGATTCATTTTACTACAAAAAGGAACAGACTTTCTGGGGTCTGAAGGGATTTGTACTTGAAGATACTCCAGTCAGCAGAGGGTCATGTTGAGCATTCTGCAGACAGAACTGTTTCAAGTCTGCAGCTGCCTGGGAAACCTATACATAACAAAGAGGGGGGGAAGTGCCAGATGGTGAGAACATTTTAATGAAGGTTTTCTCAATCTTTGGAAATATTGTACTTACAATAAAACAGTACTTCTCTTGCTTCAAAAGAAGATACTATATAATAATTGAAGACTTAAGTCAAATAGTGAGCTCTTTTTTTTTTTTTTTTTTTTTTTGAGACGGAGTCTCACTCTGTTGCCAGGCTGGAGTACAGTGGTGCGATCTCGGCTCACTGCAACCTCCGCCTCGGTTCAAGCGATTCTCCTGCCTCAGCCTCCTGAGTAGCTGGGACTACAGGCGCACGTCACCACGCCCAGCTAGTTTTTCTATTTTTAGTAGAGACGGGGTTTCACCGTGTTGGCCAGGATGGTCTCTCTCTCTTGACCTCGTGATCCGCCCACCTCGGCCTCCCAAAGTGCTGAGATTACAGGTGTGAGCCACCACGCCCAGCCTAGTGAGCTCTTAATACTTAAAACTAGTGCTTGCAAATAAGACTGATTTAATTAAGTATGTTTTCTTTTGCTTGGTTACTAGAAGCATCAGATGACTGAGTACAAACAGTAGAATTATGTTGATTTTTGCAAAGCGTAGCACATCTTGCTTATTAATAATAGGCTGTTCAAGTGCAAACCTGAGGGTACTTAACATCTTATTAAAAACATTAAGGGTTAAACAAAAAGCAATAACATTCTAGCAAACTATTACTTTGTCTTGAAAGCAGTATTACTGGAAAAATGCTACTGTGAATGAACATAATGTGGGATAACTAGCACATAATTTAGAAAAGCCAACACTAAGAATGCATTCAGTATACTGATCCTCAAATTTATCAGACCCTTATACTGTCTTGCATTTAAACTAAAACAAATTAAAAGAGGCATGCATTCATTCACTTAGACATCTACTATTTCTATATATTCTGCTAAGGTGATGTAGGATATAAACAAAATAACCATAAAGCCATTGAAGTTCCTTAAGTCCTGTTTGGGTGGCTCTGTATATGTATATTAACACTTAAATCATATTTAAGGCAATAGTTTCTTAAAGGCAGGCTGCTCAGAAAAACTGTTAAATTGAAGTTTGCTAGCAGCCTTTCAGTCACGTGACACTGGGCAGAAATCTGTCACTGTCTAGTTTAATAACATTAACGGACCCGTTCAGACGTGGAACATGAATGACTAAAACATGCCCCAAATGCATCTAATATCTGAAGTCTTGAACTGAGATTTAAAAAGTGGGAGAAATACTCATTTATTTTATTCTCAGTCTTTATCCGCAAGGAGGCTGGGAGCAGGTGTCCAGTCCATCCAGCTGGATATGTGGCCTCAGGGAATTAATAGCATCACAAATGCTCTCTATACCAAGAACCCCTGCAGATTACAGCTGTACCTCCAACCTAATAATTCTTCATCCTAAGATGAATCTAAACGCTTATCGAATCTATTTGTGTGTTTTGCTTATACAGCAGTCCAGAGTAATGAGTTCCATAGGTTTATTAGCTCCTATGTAAAAGAAGTATTTTTACAAATGACTACACCCCCTCATCCCCCGCCTTCCAAAAGAAGTGTAGCTAAAGTAGGGGAACAATGGTGTCATTTTTCACCAAATATTGTAATAGTGTTTAGTGTTTTCATTCATATTAACCAGCAGGAAGCATAAAGAGTACCTGTTAATTTTCTGTTTAAAGTGTAGGTGGGGTCCAATGTAACTCGCTTTCACAATTTTCAAGCACCACTATGTGCCGCATATACTTACAGGCACTAAGAATACATAAGAACAGCCAGAGCCCTGTTGTTATGGAGCTAACAGTTCAGAGAAAATGACAGACAAGGTGCTCTGTAGTAAAATGAATAATCTTTTAGATGGTGACTGGGTGCCCACCTAAGGGAAGGTGTCTGAGGTGACATTGAAGCTGAGATCTCAATGACAAGAGATCCAGCCAAATAACCATCAGTGAGAAACAGCATTCCAAACAGTGAGGAAAGCTGAGACAAAGACTCTAAAACTGGAACAAGCTGCTAGCCCCTAAGGCACTGTAACAATCACCATCCAGGAGGTTGAAACCCTGTAATCCTGGCCTATTAGTGCCCCTTCTCACTCTCAAAAATGTCCTGACCTACCTATGACAGTTTGTCAAGCACTTATGGTAAGTTCTATCAATTGTACTCACACATAAAGGTTAAAAGTAAGATTGTGCTAGTTTAAAAATCTCACAAAAAAATCACCTAGCCCAGTCATTGATAAAACAGATACACAACGTTAAACCACATTTAGCAACATGTCTAAAGAAAAGCTCATTAAAAAGTACAAAAGGGGATGCTCCCCTTCTTGCTACAGCCTTAACATCAGGCAATAACTCCAAAACCAAATCATGTCTGGTGCCTTTAATGATCCCGACCAGAACCAGAAGTCTACTGAAGATTTAGGTAGGATCAGTTTTGGGGAATTAGGGGAGCAGCAGCTAGGGTTTTCAAAGTAAAGCTCTTGGAGTATTTTAGCCTGAGAACCTCATGTCATTTTCTTTGGAGACTAAAGATGTACAATTTATTGCTTTCACTATCCCACCCCCATTTTTTTTTCTTGGTCCATCCTATCTATGATAAAGGCACACCTGAATGACATTTAATGGTTACGAAATAAATGATTTCGAGTTTCAGAGCCAAATCCAGCCAAGACTGACTAGAAACCACTGTGATGAGGTAAGAATTGGGAGAGTAGAGAAATGGATTCCAAACTGCAGTGAGGTCTACAGCATTTCAAGGACTGGACGTGAGGGGGATCCCACACCAAGACGAATGAGAATTCCCTTCCCTTCTGAGTTGACCACAACTGAGTAAGCTAGGTCCCTGACATTTCTAGTTAACAAAACTAAATGGGAGACTCTCTCTCAGGAGGATCCTGCACCAAGACGAATGAGAATTTCCCTTCCCTTCTGAGGTGACCACAACTGAGTAAGCTAGGTCTCTGACACTTCTAGTTAAGAAAGCTTAGAGACCCTCTCAGTTCACAAAACATTTCGGCAAGTAATAAAGACTAGCCTGATGAGTATAAAATCAAATCATCTTAGGAACTGGCTGCTTTTAACAGGGCACATGATTTACATTCTTGTTTCTTTTTTTAACTGCAGAAGTGTTTCACATGTAGCCTGACCTATTGTACCAGAAAGAAGCCAATCCATTTAGGACTGTAAAAATCAGGAAATACTTAGAACAGCACTTGAATGTCAAGTTATTCTATCAACACAGACAAAAGGCTTTTTCTCCCAAAGTACCCCAAGACAAGGCCAATACTAACCAGACGCCAAAATAAGACCAATAATTACCCACAATAATCATTTTCTCCGGCATGCGGACCAGTCGATATCCCCAAGGTCAAATATGAGCAAACTGTGCCATAGGTATGAAATGCACGCTTTGTTCGAGGTTGTACGGGGCACTGACCGGAACTTTACACTCCAGGATCGTTTCGAAAAATGCTTATTCAATCCACAGTTTAAGTTATGCAATAATTCGCTTAAAAGTATGTGTTCAACGGACAAGAGAAGTTGAAGGTAAGAATTTAATACTAAAGGAAGTAGGTTTGGGAAAGATCAAATGGGAGAAAAGTCTGCTCTGAATCAAAAGTCGGAAAATACCCTGTCCGATGAGAAACAGGAGGCTGGCAAAGTGGGAAAGGAAGGGTGCGGACAGCGCGCGGAGGCGCAGCTGTTGGTGAGACCAGCCGAGAAGGCTGCCAAGGGAGGTAGAGACGGAGGAGGACCGGAATGTCGGCCACGGTTCAACCCAGGGGCCAGCCCGCCTCGGAAAGTCCTGGGGCGGAAGGGCGAACTAATCGTCCCCCTAAAACACAGCGTAGACCCACGCGGCGCCTGCTCTAAAGCTGGCCGCTCCCCGATCGCCGCCGCTGAGCGCGCGTCCTCTCCAGGGGAAGCGAGGGCCGGCGCGTGTCCCGCCCGCCCCCGCCAGCTGGGCCGCCGGATCCCACCCGCCGCCGCCGCCTTCCTCCCGCCTCGGCCGCCCGCCCCCGCTCACTTTTACGCGGTTGAGTCCGGCCTCCAGCCGGAGCTGTTGAACCACTTTCTTCATAGCGGCGACGCTGGAGGAGCCAGACATGGTGCACGCGACGGCCGGGCCGATTCGTGGGTCGGTGGGTCGTGGGCCGTGGGTCGGCGGGGCCAGACAACTCAGCGGCGCGCGGCGGGGGCGGGGCTCCGAACTTTGTCTCTAAGTTTCCGGTTCTGTGCTCAGCGGCTCCACCCTCGGTGCGCATGCGCGCCTTGCCAGCCCTCTGTTCCAGCTCCACACCCGGCCCCGAGCGCGAGCCTGGAGGAGGGGGAGGAGAAGGGGCGGAGCAGTCGGTGGGCGCGGCGGCTGCTGGAGGCTAGCGCGACCCGACTCTTAAGTTTTCTTTTCCTCTCCAGAGGGGCCGATTAGGGAGAGGTAAGGAGAGAGCTTACCGTTAGCCGCGAAGAACTAAGAGGGGGTCTGAAGAGGACCAGGGAGGGAAGGCAGAGCTTGTGGGAGTTTCTAAAAGGCCCGGCGGCGGGTGACCAGGAGGTCTCAGTTTTCCTCCCAGTTTGTGGGAAGGGTTGAGGGAAGTGAGGGGAGATACTGGGTGAGGCGTAGGAGCTACTGTGCACCCGGCGTGAGTCACCCGCACACCCCCGCCCCGTACAGGCGTGTCTCTCTGTGACCCGAGTTTGGCCAACAGGCATTTTCAGTTCCACCCCCAACCCCCAGCCCCGCTGACCCGAGGCGGAGAGCAGGCGCGGAGGTCGCTGTCGCGTACCCAGCGGAGCCGGGCGGGCGGGGAGCAGGGGCGCTGATTCGCTGGAGAAGGGATCTTCTCGAGGTTTGACTTTACTGGCTTCTTAGCTCTTGAATCGGTTTTTCTGAAGGAGATTGTGAAGAAGCCAAGGTGCTGGCTGAAGATTACACCTGTCTGCTCGGTTACCCATTTACTCTGGAGAATTAATGCTTATTGTACTTTTTAAAATAAAACTTATTTTTGTGTTTCCGGAAAGTTTGCTCTTTAGTATTTCCGTTGTAATTTATTACCTCCTGCTTGAAATTGAGTACCAAAGGAGTTTTTAGGAGAGAGGGTAGGGTCTAACCAAACAAAATAGGCTCAGCCAGTAGGTCTTTCTTTCATCCACGGAAATATGTGTGTTATGTCACAGCACTAAGGGCAGATGTTTCCTATTTCTTTTCGGGTAGTCAATCTCCGAATGCGCTGATGTTTTCCATTAATGTTAATAATTTTATCATTAATGGATTTCAAATTTTTTATTAGGGAAGCATGTGTAATTGCACTGGTCAACAAAATCTAATTTATTTACTCAACAGTTTATATCAGTTCGCAAAAATGTACATCGTAAGTTTAGCATTTTACTTAATTCATACGGATGTAATGATTGGGGTTAAAACCAGGGTTTGAATTCTGGCTCTGCTACTTACGGTATTCTTGGGCAAGCCACTTAAGTTACTGAGGCTTTATTTCCTTATTTCAAAGTAAATTATACAGCTTCGTAGAGTTGTTTTTCGGAATGAAATGACATTATATGTAAAAAGAATGTGAAAGCTATCTCAATAAATATTGTCTTTTCCCAAAAGGTATTGTAATTATTTCACCTTTGGTGCTTTGTTGACTGTATAATGCTAAAACGTCATTCATACTTTACAGATTTGTAAGATTAAACACAAGTATCTATTCAAAGAATGATCTGTTTTACAGTAGTTGTAAAATATATCACTGAACTCTTAGAACCGTGGTATGTTAATGCTGGAAGAGATTTTAGGGAATATATGGTCCAATAATTACTTCTGTGAGGGAGACTGTTGAGGAATAAGCAGTGTTTTAGGCCGAAACAGTTTCAGAAAAAAAAAAAATTGTTGCTTTTTTATTAACTGCTGCATTGGGAAACCACAGACTGGAGTGCTGTCTCAAACACCAGGTGTTATTTTTTTGTAGCGTGTGTTTAAAGATTCTATTTAGGATACAAAAGAAAAATAAAACATTGAGGCCTGGTATGGTGGCTCACGCCTGTAATCCCAGCACTTTAGCAGGCTGAGGCGAGCAGATCACGAGGTCAAGAGATCGAGACCATCCTGGCCAACGTGGGGAAACCGTCTCTACTAAAAAATACAAAAATTAGCTGGGCGTGGTGGTGCGCGCCACCCAGGAGTCCCAGCTGCCCAGGAGGCTTGATGCAGGAGATTCGCTTGAACCTGGGAGGCAGAGGTTGCAGTGAGCCGAGATGGCACCACTGCACTCCAGCCTGGCGACAGAGTGAGACTCCGTCTCAAAAAAAAAAAAACAAAACCATTGAGATAACTTTAAGTTCAGTTGCATCTGAAGTGATTACCAGTAAATATAGTTTATGAACTATCTGTATCTCTTAAACTTTTGTTTAGATGTTCTTTGACCTTCCACAATGATCTAAGACATTTCAAACATGTTACCAACTGTACAGACATAGATGCTCACTGTTCAGTTGGTTGAAGACTGGCCTGTTGTCACCAAGAGGATTCTTTTAGCAATAAATGCCAAGAAAAGACCACCAAGTAATCTGTCACTTTATGTTTTGTCAGCAGAGCACTGTCAATTTAAATTTACCTGAGATCTTCACCGTATTCAATTAATTAGTACCCTAAGTTCTTTAGTTCACTAGGTCTAAATTCAGAATTTGAATAAATAAGAGTCACATGCTGTACTTTGTACTTTAACTAAAAGCTGAATCTCTTCAAAGGGGGATTTCACAATTCTGACTTCTTTCTCAAAGAATGAGCTTATTCTGTTTTTATAATGGCTAAGGAAATTGAAGTTTGGAGAAAAAAATATATACAATAGCTACAAATAAAATACTTAGGAATTAACCAAGGAAGTTAAAGATCTGTACAAAGAAAACCATAAAACACTGATGCAAGAAATTGAAGAGGACACAAAAAAAATGGGAAGATACTCCATGTTCATGTATTGGAAGATTCAATATAGTTAAAATGTCTCTAATACCCAAAGCAATCTACAGATTCAGTGCAATCTCTATCAAAATACCAATGACATTCTTCACAGAAGTATTAAAAACAATCCTAAAACTTATACAGAACCATAAAAGACCCAGAGTCACCAAAGTTACCCTGAGCCAAAAGAATAAAAATGGAGGAATCATGTTACCTGACCTCAAATTATACAACAGAGCTATAGTAACCAAAACAGCATGGTACTGGCATAAAAAAAAAAAAAACATAGACCAGTAGAACAGAATAGAGAACCCAGAAACAAATTCATTCACCTACAGTGAACTCGTTTTTTACGAAGGTGCCAAGAACATACATTGGAGAAAGGACAGTCCCTCCAATAAATGGTGCTGGGAAAACTGAATATCCGTATTAGAAGAATGAAGCTAGATGTCTCTCTCCTCGTATACCAAAATCAAATCAAAATGGGTTAAAGACTTAAATCTAAGACCTCAAACTATGAAACGTCTATAAGAAAACATTGGAGTTGGGGCATGGTGGCTTACACCTGTAATCCCAGCACTTTGGGAGGCCGAGGCAGGTGGATCACCTGAGGTCAGGAGTTTCAGGCCAGCCTGGCCAACATATAGTGAAATCCTGTCTCTACTAAGAATACAAAAATTAGCTGGGCGTAGTGGCACATGCCTGTAGTCGCAGCTACTTGGGAAGCTGAGGCAGGAGAATCACTTGAATCCGGGAGGCAGAGATTGCAGTAAGCGGAGATCACGCCATTGCACTCCAGCCGGGGTGACAGAGTGAGACCCATCTCTCAAAAAAAGAAAAGAAAACAGTGCAGAAACTTTCCAGGACATTGGATTGGGTAAAGATTTTTTGAATAATGCCCTACAAGCACAGGCAACCAAAGCAAAAATGAACGAATGGGATTACATCAAGTTAAAAACCTGCACAGGGCCAGGCACGGTGGCTTACGCTTGTAATCCCAGCACTTTGGGAGGCTGAAGCAGGTAGATTTCTCGAACCCAGGAGTTGTATAACAGCCTGGGCAACATGGCAAAGTCAAAACCCCATCTTGACAAAAATACAAAAAGCTGGACATGGTGGCATGTACCTGTGGTCCCAGCTACTTGGGAACCTGCAGAGGTCAAGGCTGCAGTGAGCTGTGATCATGCCACTGCACTCCAGCATGGGCAACAGAGAAGCCCTGTCTCAAAAAATAAAAATAAAAACCTGCATTACAAAGGAAATAATCAGCAAAGTGAAGAGACAACTCACAGAATGGGAAGAAATATTTGCAAACTATCCATCTGATAAAGGATTTATAACCAGAATATATAAGGAGCTCAACTATATAGGAAAAAAATCTAATAACCCGCTTTAAAAATGGGCAAAAAAGCTGAGTAAACATTTTTCAAAAGAAGACTTACAAATGGCAAACAGGTATATGAAAAGGTATTCAACATCACCGATCATCAGGAGAAATGCAAATCAAAACTACAATGAGATATCATCTCTCCCCAATTAAAGTGGCTTTTATGCAAAAGATAGACAATAACAAATGCTGGTGAGGATGTGGAGAAAAGGGAACTCTTGTACACTGTTGGTGAGAATGTAAATTAGTACCACCACTATGGAGACCAACTTGGAGGTTCCTCAGAAAAAACTAAAAATAGAGCTTCAGTATGTCCCAGGAATCCCACTGCTAGCTATAGACCCAAAAGAAAAGAAACCAGTATATCGAGGTATCAGCACTCCCTTGTTTACTGCAGCACTATTCACAATAGCCAAGATTTAAAAGCAACCTAAGTGTCTATCAACAGATGAATGAATGAGTAAAGAAAATGTGGTACAAATAAACAATGGAGTACCGTTCCGCCATAAAAAAGAATGAGATCATCTCATTTGCAACAACATGGATAGAACTGGATGTCATTATGTTAAGTGAAAAAGCCAGACACAGAAACACAAACCTCACATGTTCTCACTTATTTGGCAGTAAAAATTGAAACAGTTGAACTCATGGAGATAGTAGAATGATGGTTACCAGAGGCTGGGAAGGGTAGTGGGGTGGGGACTGGGGATGGTTAATGGGTACAGAAATATAAGTTAGATAAAGTGAATAAAATCTAGTATTTGATAGCACAAAAGGGTGATTATAGCCAACAATAATTTATTATACATTTTAAAATAAGAGTATAATTGGATTTTTTGTAAAACAAACAATAAATGCTTGAGGTCATGTATACCCTATTTACCCTGATGTGCTTTTCACACATTGTATGCCTGTATCAAAATATTTCATGTACCCATAAATATATACACCTACTACATGCCCACAAAAATTACAAAGTAAAAGAAACCTAACTCTATAATTCCTTTTCCAACATAGATTCTGATTCTATATCATTCTGTTACTCTCTGGGAGACCCTCCCCCTCCCTAAAATGTCCTTATATATCCTGAGAACTTTTCAACTCAAGACAAGTATGCCATTTTGTCAACACTAGGACGTGTCTAGAAAACAAACCTCATTCCTCAATTGGCTCTAGAAGTCTAACTACTATAAATGTTTGTGGATTCTGGAGTGCCCTCTTGTCAACACTAGGACGTGTCTAGAAAACAAACCTCATTCCTCCATTGGTTCTAGAAGTCTAACTACTATAAATGTTTGTGGATTCTGGAGTGCCCTCAGGCATTTCAGGCTTTTTTTTTTTTTTTCTTTCTTTCTTTTTTTTTTTTTTTTTTTGAGACAGAGTTTTGCTCTTGTTGCCCAGGCTAGAGTGCAATGGCGTGATCTCGGCTCACTGCAACCTCTGCCTCCTGGGTTCAAGCAAGTCTCCTGCCTCAGCCTCCCCAGTAGCTAGGATTATAGGCATGGGCCACCATGCCCGGCCAATTTTGTATTTTTATCAGAGGTGGGGTTTCACCATAGTTGGTCAGGCTGGTCTCAAACTCCCGACCTCAGGGGATCCACCCGCCTCGGCCTCCCAAAGTGCTGGGATTATAGGCGTGAGCCACCGCGCCTGGCCTCATTTCAGGCATTTTAATCTGTTTACCTAAGACAGGTTAACCTTTAAATTGATGAGAATTTTATTTACAGCTTAACCAGGAACCAGATAAAGCAGAACTCCCAGGACATATACATAATCTGAATTTATCCTGATCAGATAGACTTCACGCCTTGGTGATTTAAGAATCAGGAATTATGTCAAAAAATACTCCCATCATCTGTCATAAAGTTAACTGTATTCTGATTTTTTTATTCCAGAATGTAAATTTCCCTTTCACTTGTTGCATTCCTTGAGCAATCAAGTAATCAAAACATTTTAGAGCTGCAAAGGATCTTGAAGAGTTCAAGTCACTTACCACTAAGAAACTCACACTCAGACCAACGAATGGTTGTATAGGTTATAAGGGACTAGAAATCTGCTTTTCTGGCTCCCAATCAATGTGATTACCTTGTGTGAGATTCTACTTTATTGGTATATTTAAACATAGCCCATGTCAGCATTTAGGATTTTCTAAAGTACATTGAGCAATCTTTGTATGCCATATTATCAAATCAGACAGGAAATAAAAATTACGAGAATCCTTATTTCTAGACACAGAATAAGTATCAGAATTTCTTAAGCTTGATTTTCAGCTCTGCTACTGACACTGAAAATCATTTTGGAAAAGTGCAGAGAAAACATGATGGGTAGCTATTTTGAAAGGAAGGACCAGATCAGAGATGGCAGATAGGTGATACATCTACCAACAGTTACTCCTTCTCAAACCCATAGTTTACTGTGATAATTCATTTCTGTACTGTTTCCTACTGAGATGTAGCCTTGGGATCCTACTTAGTAATTCACTTTTAGATAGTCAGTACCAGTTGATGGGAATTAGCATGCAAGATAAAATTGATTTTCCATTCCTGGCAGTAGAGTTGTGAAGCAAAATTATGTAGTAAATGAAAGATTAGACAGGAACTTCATAGTCACTTTATTTTTGGTTATTGAGATATCAGTCTCCTTTCATTTGAATTGTTGGCATCATTTTGTTCATTAGCTAATTAGTAATAGGTAAAAAATGTGAAAATCCCACATGTTATATGTTAGGATTTAGTATATGATTTGGTTAGGATCAACTACAAATTCTAAGCATGCCTAAAGTTTTTTTGGTTTTGTTTTGTTTTGTTTTTTGTTACAGAGTTTCGCTCTTGTTGCCCAGGCTAGAGTGCAATGGCACAATCTCGGCTCGGCGCAATCTCGGCTCTCCGCACCCTCCGTCTCCCGGGTTCAGGCAATTCTTCTGCCTCAGTCTCCGGAGTAGCTGGGATTACAGGCATGGGCCACCATGCCCAGCTAATTTTGTATTTTTAGTAGAGATGGGGTTTCTCCATGTTGGTCAGGCTGGTCTCAAACTCCCGACCACAGGTGATCTGCCTGCCTCGGCCTCCCAAAGTGTTGGGATTACAGGCGTGAGCCACAGTGCCAGCCATGCATGCCTAAAGTTTTAATTAGCCTCTCATGGTTTCAATAGCAAAGGCTTACTCAAGTTAGCACAAGCAATGAGGAGATTATTGTAAAGAGCAACATAGAGCAGCAGTGGAGGCACATATCCCTTGTAAATCCCAAAGCAGAAACTGTCACGCTAATAGGTCAAACTGGAAGTAGATCCAAGGCTAGAGACCAGCCCCAAGAATTCTTGATTCCTCTCTAGTGCTTAGTTATAAATATGAATCAGCTATGTTACTTCCTCAGTTTGCTTCTCACTACCAGTTAACCTAGTCATTTTCTCCGTTCTTTATCTTTTTCTATCTCTTTATAAATAAGTATAGCTTTCCCATAACATGGGCTTGCCTCATGGCTATGATACTAACTGATGACTTCTCTTTTCTATATTCTATTTTTTTTTTTTTTTTTGAGACGGAGTCTCACTCTGTCACCCAGGCTGGAGTGCAGTGGCACGATCTCGGCTCACTGCAACGTCCACCTCCCTGGTTCAAGCAATTCCCCTGCCTCACCCTCTTGAGTAGCTGGGATTACAGGCACACACCACCACACCTGGCTCATTTTTTTTGTATTTTTAATAGAGACGGGGTTTCACCATGTTGGCCAGACTGGTCTCAAACTCCTGACCTCAGGCAATCCGCCCCTCTCGGCCTCCCAAAGTGCTGGGATTATAGGCACAAGCCACCACGCCCGGCTCTCTTTTCTATATTCTTATTAGTAATGTCTACTGATGCTTGTATCTTGAGCTCTTTTCCCAGGTCTAATCCCCAAGGGCTCATCTTTTTACATCAGAACATTTTGTTTGTTTCTAGCCAGCCCAGGATTTGGTCTCCAGCATTGGTCTCATCAGAAATGATAAAGGGAGTTCTTAAAATCCCAAACATGGCTTCTTTGCCATTACTTTAGAAGGGATACTATAGGTTGAGTATTCCTTATCCAAAAGGTTTGGGATAATCTGAAATGTTTCAGATTTCAGATTTTTTCAAATTTTGGGATATTTGCATTATATCGGTTAAACAATCCTAATCCAAATCCAAAATGCTCCAATGAGCATTTCTTTGGAGCATCATGTCAGCATTCAAATAGTTTCAGATTTTTGAGCATTGCAGATTTCAGATTTTAAAATTACGGATACTCAACCTGTATAGTGGGGTCCTGTATAGGTTTACCTCAGGACAACAATAAAGCAGGTCTTGACTGATCTATCTTGAGTTTGTTTAATTAAAGATTTGTTCTGGGACGGGCACAGTGGTGGCTGATGCCTGTAATCCCAGCACTTTGGGAGGCCGAGACGGGCGAATCACTTGAGGTCAGTGGTTTGAGACCAGCCTGGCCAACATGGTGAAAACCTGTCTCTATTAAAAATACAAAAATTAACTGGAAGTGGAGGCACACGCCTGTAATCTCAGCTACTTGGGAGGCTGAGGCAGGAGAATCGCTTGAACCTGGGAGGCAGAGGCTGCAGTGAGCCAAGACTGCGCTACTGCACTCCAGCCTGGGCAACACAGGGAGACTCTGTCTCAAAAAAAAAGAAAAAAAATTGTTCTGAATTAAAATATCACATTTTAATATGTAACAAATTAAAACTTTTAGCCTACTAATTTGCATACCAGTGAATCAATGAATGCCCATATGCTATAATTATTATAGATTATTAACTAATTCTTATCTAATAATGAAGTGACCATATATGTATCTGAGTCATCTTTCACTTAGGTTCATAATAGAGGCTAATATTAATACAATGGCATACAGAGTTTTTGGATAGATATATAAATACTTTCTTAAAGTACTAATGTGTACTTAAGACATGGTCAAAATGGCAAATCACATTCTAAGTTTTAATTATTGTAAGAAATATGGAAAGTAATGTGTAAAACTAATTTAAGGAGACTGTATATTTCAGGAAATAATCTTTTAATTTTGATACTATTAAAACAATTAGTGGTACTTGTTAGGGTTTTGTAGAGCTGTAATCAGTTCCAGATCAGAGGAATTTTAAGTTTTGTTGGATTTAAATCCTTATTTTAACATAAATCAAGGAAGAGCAATGCTTTGAAATCTAGAAGAGCTTCAGCTCTTGTGTTGGTATGATTAATGTATCCTTAAGAATTATCCTGCTTTGATAATTCCTGTTAGAGTAATAATTCAGCTACCTTATTTTTTAGTTTTTCTTATATACATTATATATTTTTAATTGTATCATACATTCTTGTAAACTGCCATAAATCCTGAGGAAAAACACTGGAAATAATACACAAATGAAGCCTGATTTATTTAAAGACTGGCATTTTCACCTGGAATGATTGTTCACGTTTTTTATTATTGAGGCATCAAAGCCCAGGAAGAAATGTATATGATATAACAGTTTTCATCATTCTATAGCCATTTTAACTAGCCAAGAGGCTAACTAAAACTTTAGGCATGCTTAGAATTTGTAGTTGATACTAACCAAGTATCATAAATTCTGCCTTTCTACTTCCAAATGTGTATTTCTACTTCATGTAAAATGCTATATATTTAACCTTAATTTTTGACCAAGAAAAGATGAATTATTTAGAATAGTAAAATATGTCCTGGTCACAAGTCCATTATAATGTAATTTGTCATGTTACTTAGTTGTATAGATTTATGCTCATTTTATTACACAGTCCTATTTACTAGTAATATGTCCTTTTGAGTTAGAATAATAAAGATTGTATATATGTCTAAGTTTTCATTTGTAGTTTATTTAATGCTTTTGTGTTTTCCTTTTTATTTCTTGAACAAATCAGAGACCAGAAATGAGTGGAATGCTATCTTAAGCCAAAAAAAACTATTATAATTTTTATTTAGTACTACTTAAATGAAGAAAGATAAAAAAAGAAACAAAATTCCAATTGATAATTATCCCATTCAGACATTAGTGAATATGTCACTCAATCCAAGTCGACCTTCCTCATCAGAGGTAAGAAAATCTTTTTATACTAAAATATAAGAAAGACCTGCTTATCACTGTTTTTGAAAAGTTTTATAAAAGCAAAAACATAGATTATATAAAGTATTAGATATTGACTCCACCATGATCCCAACTTCATGTATCCCATTGCCTGATTACACTTCTCGTGTCTCTAGCTCACTTCCTCTATCCCAAGCATATTGGGATCCCCAATGCATTGATCCTATCACCTTTTTCACTGTTTCTCAATTGTATGATTGAGGTTGGTACCCTCCATATCTAGCTTAAGTTCCATAGAGCAGTCATGATCACTCCTTTGCACATATTTTTGACTCCTTGCCCCTCTCTCACTTCATTGTGCTGCTTGGCAAAACAACAAACATGGTTAATGCATTTCTCCACCTATTCTGTACCTACACCTGAGCAGCTGAACATGGCTAGAGAAAAAAAATGTATACCATCGTAAGTACCATTCTCACTTTAAATTCATGACCATGAATTTCAAGTGGAATCTTTTTCTGGTGGGCAGTCTTACTATCTGCCACTCATTAATTCAGTCTTTCACTCTTCTAAACAAGTATGTCATACCATCTCAGACCCCCAATACCTTCTCTCTATTTTCTCTTAAACCAACTGCGGTCAAGATTTCACCTCCATTATTCCACCAAAACTATTCTCATTAAATTCACCTTTCATTACTAAATCTGTTGGTTAATTCTTATCCTAAACATTCTTGATCTATGTGTGCACAACAGTTGACACCATTAATCACTTTCTCTTCCTTGACATAGGCTTCGCTAGGCTTCTAGCATACATATTATGTTTGTTTTCTTCTTACCTCCCTGGTTGTTCATTCTCAGTCATCTTTACTGGGCCTTCATCTTCCTCCTGACCTCTTAATTTTGGCATACATCAGGGTTCAGCTCTTTGTTCTCTTCTCTACCTGCGCTCATTCCTTGGTGATCTCATCTAGTCTAACAGATTTAAATACCAACTTTATGCCAAGGATTTCCAAATTTATAGCCTCATCTCAGTCCTCTTTCCCAAATTCCAGATTCACGTAGGCCTATATTCAACTGACTAACTGACATCGCCACTTGGATGGCCAATAGATATCTCATCTTAATATGTCTGAAACTGGATTTTTTTCCCTTCCCTAAAACTTGCACTACCCATGACTTTTGCCATCTCAGGTGATGTCAAATCTATCCTTTAAGTATCTGAGGCCAAATGCCTTGGAGTTATACTTGATTCTTCTTGCATACTTGAGTCTTCTACTTGACTCTTCTTTCAAACTCCACTTCCAATAGATTGACTCTGACTCTTCTACTTGACTCTTAAACTCCACTTCCAAGGGATTGACTCCAGCTTTTAAATATATACAAAATCTGACTACTTTTTAATAACCTTTACTGCTAGCACGTGAGTCACCATTGTCTCAGACTGTAATTATTCCAGTAGCTTCATAACAAGTTCTCTTTTCTTGCCTCTTATAGTCTGTTCTAGCTATGATTCCCATCACTCAACTAATTAAGTAAAGCATTATGTATATCCTGATATAATGCAATATAAAATACAGGACACCACTTATGAAATATTATTGCCGCAAGTAGTAACCTGTGTCCCTTGAAGGCTATATAGTTAACTGTTTACAGGAGATAAGAGGTTGGAGAAACAAGTTAAATGACACCTTAGAGATAATGAAGTATATTCAGAATGTAGAACATTCTATAAGACAACTGACCCAATATCTTTTAAAAAGTCAATGCCATGTTAAAAATAAAAAGCAAAAAAATAGGTTTGGGAACTCTTCAAGATGAAAGTTTTAAAAAACGTAACAACCAAATGCATTGTGTGATCCTTGTTTGAATTCCAGATTAAGAAAATATTTCGAGGACAATTGGGAAAATTTAAATATGGACTGGATATTAATTGACATTAAGGAATTTTAATTTTTTTAGATGTGAAAATGAAATTGTGATTATGTTACAGAGGTCCTTATTTTTAGAATATGGATGCCAAATAATTTAGGGATATAGTGTCATGATGTCCTGTTTACTTTGAATATTTTATTCAGAGGGAGAGAATTACTCTTTTTATTTATATGTATGTTTAAAATTTTTCATATTAAATAAAAATATATGTCAGATCTTAATGTTTCTCTTAAAACCATGCATTAGCTTCCCATTTTGTAGGTGAAAATGGCCCAGAAGGTGCTGTATGTTTCCCCTCTACCTCCTTATTTTTCTGAACTTATCTTCTACCCTCTCCCCTACTCTCTCTGCTTCAATCATACTGGCATGCTCTCACCTTAATACCTTTATTTTATCTCTTTCTGGAACTCTTTCCCTCTAGATCTTCACTTGGCTAATTCCTTCTTTTCCCTTAGGTCTTTACTCAGATCTCACCTTTTCCATGAGACCTACCCTGACTATTTAAAACTGAAAACTTCTCCATCCCATATCTTCCCATTCTTCTTTACCCTGCCCTACTTATTATTTTTTCCTAGCAATTACCACTTTATAATATAGTATGTTACCTATTAGTGTTTTATGTTTATTGTTTTTTAATTTTTAAAAAATTTTAAAAATTGTACTTCTTAGAAGTCAGTATTTATTGTTTGTTGGCTATATTTCTCACAGAGCCAGGACTAGTCTGAGGCAAATGAGGTACTTGCCACAGATGAAAAATTTAAGGGGCTACCAAAAAATTTTTTTAGTAAAATTAATGCAAAAAAAATCCATGATGAACAAGATATCCATATTTTAAATAGAGACAGGATCCAACAGTGCCATCTCTAATCATTTTGAAACTTGGGACAAAAGAAAAAGTATGTGCCATACCTTGTAATGTATTTTTAAAATAGCTAATGGTTTTAATGAAAATGTTATTGATGAGTAGCTTCCATTAAAGTCAGGAAGGTAAGATTATAATAAATTAGCGTTTGAGTGTAAATAGAATATTTAACCTTAAAATAATATTGTCAGATTTAATATGTACTTTAAAATTTTTCAGTATTTTTTCAACTACTTTGTTGTTCTGGAAAAAAGCCATTAAAATGTCTTTTTTAAGAAGCATATATATAAATATTTAGTTCAAGAAACAGTTTCCTCCTGTAAAATATTAATACATTTATATAAAGATAAGGTCATATTTACTTCAAATTTCTTAAGGTTTTGCAAATATTTAATAGTATAGCTAGGGGTTAATCTTTTAAGTGCTCTAGTGTTCAAAATGCAACGTATAGAAAACTTCACTGTCAGATCTATACAGACATTTTAAATTGTTAGTTAATAATCATCATCAAAAGCATAGAAGTAATTTTCTTGATTTATAAAAACAACTTGAAGAAAACCTTATGCTCAGGAACTATTTTTATCTCCTATGAAATTACTAATATTAACAGTAGGTCATATTCAAACTTTTAAAGGTTTCTCAGATATTTAATATTGCATTCGAGAATATTCATTTAAATGCTTTGACTTTTAATATGCAGGGAGTATCAAACTTAATTTGACTAAAAGATAAGACTATATTTGCAATCATTGTTTCTGTTGTGGTTATATAAATATTCTTCTAAATAGAAGGATTCTAATCAAGGTCATAACAAAACATCAGTGGAAAAGTGGATAGTTACATAGAAGCATAGACATGCCCAATGTAAGAACAATCATTCCTTTCTCATTGGTCAGGAATAGGTTCTTCCTGGAATTCTGGGGAATAAGTACATTCCCCAAACCACAGTATTAAACTTTTTGCAGGTGCTGAGGGCTAGCAATCATCAGAACTGTAATAGGGAGAAAATATACAAAGGATAAAGATTCCACAGGGGATCACCCCAATGGAACTGAGTAGGTGGGGAGTGAGGTGAGGTAAAGTTGATGTTAAGAAAACTAGTCTTGGTGCCCTAGGATTCTTACTGCAGGCCACAGAAAAAAACACCATATGCCAAAGATGTTGAGCTAATCTCATAGCCACATCTATAACATTGTTGCCAAGGGAAAATGTACTCCAAGTGCCAAGTGGCCAACTTAAGAACAAATTTTTAGTTCATTTTGGTTTTTGTTTGTTCAGAGGGATGTATGTATTCCATGTTTTTTTTCTATTGTGTTTATTAAACTTAATTCTATAGGACATCAATTGATTTTTTTTTTCACTTTAAAAATATTTTAACCGATGTTCTTCTCAATTTATTCAGTTGGTGGAACTTCATGTTTTTTATGTCCCTGAAGGATCATGGAACTATAAGCTAAATACCATTTCAACAGAAGTTGTTAACAAATTCATTTCAGCTGGATTTCTAAGGCAAGTGTTGTGTAGTCATGTAACAATATGCCTGAAAGAAGAATCTGTTTTCTTCAGAGAAAAATGCTTTTTGGAAATTTAAAAACTATAAGTGAAAAATATTTTGTCCACGTGATAGATCCATTTCCTGACTTAATGAATACTATCAATATATAGTGCTATGTAACAATTGAATCAGTTCTGTAGGAATAGCTCACTTGGCCATAATACTACCACCCAGAAAACAGTATATAACCTGTGTATTATTATGGTTATACACAAAGTGAATTAAGAGAGAAGTTATCTAAAATTAAAAATCTGCTAAACTACTCAGGAGGCTAAGGTGGGAGGATTTCTTTGAGGCCCAGAAGTCAAGGCTGCAGTGAGCCATGATTGCAGCACTGCACTCTAGTCTGGGCAACAGAGTGAGACTCTGCCAAAAACAAAAAAGAGAGAGAGAAAGAGGGAAAAAGAAAGAGGGAGAGAGAAGAAGGAAGGAAGGAAGGAAAGAAGAACGGAAGGAAGGGAGGGAGGGAGGGAAAACTGCTGATCTGAGAATAGCAGTTAAAGCAATATATCTACAACGCCTCTTTCTCTGACCTGTTTAAAAATATAAACAAAGAACATGTGTTTATATGTATGTAGATGTGTATTTTCAAATTCACAAAAAGACACATAATACCATGTGATCTGACTGCCTGTTGTTACTCCTTACGCATACCTCTCTTTCTAATCTTCATCATCTCTTTCTTCAACCACATCAGCCTCCTTTCTGTTCTGGAACACATAGCCCTACCTCAGGACCCTTGTACTTTCTGTTCCTTTTGTCTAGAATGAGTTTTCTGCCCTAACCATATGCTCTCCCATCTCCTTCAGGTCTTTACTCACATATTACCTTTTTCTGTGGATATTCTCTAATCACTGTATTTTAAATCATTCATACAGTCCCTTTCTCCCTTCCCTGCCTTATTTTTCTCTGTGGTACTTAGTAGTGTCTTATGAATTACATTTTTTTACTTATTTACTTCATTAATTTTTCTATCCCACCACTAGATTATATGTAAAGTCCATGAGGGCAGAGATTTTTATTTTGTTGACTGCCATATTCACATCCCTTGGAACAATGTCTGACACATAGTAGATGCTCAATAAATATGTGTTGATTGAATGAATTACCTAATATTTCTCATAAGGTCCCAGAAAAACAAGAACTCAGATGATAGCGTAAGTGATGGCTTTAAATTTTAGATATTCAGGAGCAAAGTATCCCTAATAAGCAAAGATGTGGACTCTGACAATGTTAGATTATTTAAAAAATTTTTAAGCACTAGCTACTCCTGCCAAACTTCCAAAATAAATATCTGTGGCTAAATCATTCATTGGTATATGTATAAAAGTACATCTATTCCACAGCAAATTTTAACAATAAAATTTGGAAGTAAATTAGCAAAGAGACAGTTGTTTTCCTTTTCAGTACAAAACATTTATAAACAGTGTTTATTTGCATAATTTTAAAGGCAGACTTTTAATTATTTATTTTAAGAGCTATTTATGGAAGACCTACAAAATGCCGGCAATGTGGAAACATAATATGTTAAGCTATATCTGACACATTAAATCAACCTTTGTGTTTGAGATAGCTGACTAAAGTTATTGAATCATTAGTATATCCAAAATCTATTTCATTTTATATTATAAGGCAATTTTATAATATTTCAGAGTATCTCCTCAACTTACTTTACGAGCCCTGAGGGAGCGTCTTGGTGAGTTCCTGGGTGAAGATGCTATTGCAGAAAAATTTTTATTTCTGAAATGCATTGGAAATAATTTAGCTGTGGTAAGTTTTCTTTTTTTTTCTTTCTGATTGAGAAAGACCATACCTTCTCAAATTACATTTCTTAAATGCTTATCAACTCAGCTCCTTAAGATATTATTAGATATGTAATCTCAATCAAAATGAAATGGAAATATCATTAAACATACAGATCAACAAAGATAAGTTGCATAGGCATGTTATTGGGCATGAAAATGATGGGTTTTGTGTGTGAATTTCCTTGCAAAGCAAAGAAATACCAATTTAAAATGTGATCATATAAGTTCTTGAATTTAAATGAAAGTTTTTAAGTGTTTTAAACAGGTACTTGAGTTCTGGGAAAAAATGGGGTTCTCATCACTTGTGCCACAACTAGACTCATTTGATGTGAAAATGATATGGCTCCAACATATTTTTTTGGTGTCAACTTTTTTTTTTTTTTTCCGAGACGGAGTCTTGCTCTGTCACCCTGGCTAGAGTGCTGTAGTGTGATCTTGGCTCACTGCAACCTCCACCCCTCAGGTTCAAGCAATTCTCCTGCCTCCCGAGTAGCTGGGATTACAGGCATGCGACACCACGCCCGGCTAAGTTTTGTATTTTTAGTAGAGACAGAGTTTCACCATGTTGGCCAGACTGGTCTCAAATTCCTGACTTCAGGTGATCTCCCTGCCTCAGCCTCCCAAAGTCCTGGGATTACAAGCATGAGCCACCTTGCCTGACTGGTGTCAACTATTATTTACTGAACACTCCTATTTGTAGTTTCTATGACTTAGTGGGCAGGATACTCTAAGTAGAGAGTATTCCTAGCTTAAGTTTCAAATCTAACAAGCCATCAGATCTCAAAGGTTCTGGTCTCTCATATCTACATAAATTTTATTTCCTTAATCAAGATTTTCTATATTTAAACTCTTTAAAATGCAGCATATTCTTATTTCACTCTCATTAACAGATTATATCATTATTATGTGTTTATGTGAATATTTGCTTAACATCTAACTCTACCATTAGATTATAGGTCCTTGTGGGGAGGGACTTCATTTTATTCATCATTGTATTTATAACCAGTGCCTAACAAGGTGCTTTGCACTAGAGGTGTTTAAATGTTCACTGAACAAATTAAAACATGAATGATAATGGAAAAAATAGGCATTTTCTTCCAAAGTACTACTATAATTTGCTGTGTGAGATTCTTGGGATCGGTAGTTAAATTTGAAGAGGTTTTGGTTATCAGAGTTCTATTTGGTACAACTTTTGGCATATTAATATTAATTTACTGATCATTAAGTCAGCTTTCCTCAAGCAGGCAAGAAAATGAACAACTCTCATAATTTTTTGTTCTTTTCATGGTATGTAAATGTACAAAATATCAGTCATAGAATCCCAGATTGGAAGGGACTTTCTAAGTAATTTAGGTCAATTTCTAAAATCCTTCTAATATTTTATTATTTTAAACAGATATTTATTAATGTTTTTCTATATACAAAACTAGAAAAAGAACTAGATATAGATCTTGCCCTCAAAGAGTGCTCAGTGTAGTGATGAAGATTAAAATATATAAAATAAATAAATAAAATATCATATTTTATATATTCAAAAGAAAAGGAGATTACTTCCAGCAGGGGAAGAGGGTAAGTAGAAAACTTTGAGAAAGAAGCAATATTTCAATTTGGATCCTAAAAGAAAAATATTTGTTCTTGCAAAGATGAAAGGTGAGAAAAGCTTTCTGAGCAGAGAAAATAGGTTAAGCACAGAAGTAGAAATGCAGACAACTCAGAAATAATAAATGGTACATTTTTTTAATGGAGCATTGACTACATGAAAGGAAATAGTGGAGAGCAAGTTGTAAAGTCGTTTGTTGAAGGTCTTCAATGCCAGATTAGTAGTTTGGATTTTTTCATGAAACCATGAGTTTTTGACTAAGAGTGACATGATTAGAGCCTTCAGTAAAATTAATTGGGCCTCACTGAGAAGGATGGATTGAAGTGAGGAGGCAGGAATTTCAGTAAGAAAGTTTTACAGTGGTTCAGGCAAGAGATAATAAGGGCCTAAGGAACAAGCTGCCTCTCAAATTTTATCTATGACCATTTTCTCCTTGGTTTCATACTTCAGCTAAAAAAATCTTCCTTTGGTTCTCAAATATGGCAGACTCATTTCTGATTTTTGGTCCTTGCACTTGCCTAGAAATCACTTCTCCCTGATTTTCACATAGCTGGCTGTTTCTTTTCATAATTCAGGACTTAGCTCAAGTATTATCTTTTCTAACAGGCCTTCCCTGACCTTTCTTCAAGTTACTCTTTATTACATCACTCTGTTTTCTTTTCATAAAACATGTATCACCATCCTAAATTGAGTTTATTTATTTATTTAATATCTGGTTTCCCAAGTAGAATATAACCTCCATGAAAGCAGAGATTTTGCCTTATTTATCATTGTATCCATACCATGTAGAACACTGCCTGACAGATAGTATGCCCTCAGTATTTGTGTTTTGTTTTGTTTTGTTTTGTTTTTGAGACAGAGTCTCCCTCTGTTGCCCAGGCTGGAGTGCAGTGGTGCACTCTCAGCTCACTGCAGCCTCCACCTCCCAGGTTCAAGCGATTCTCCTGCCTCAGCCTCCCGAGTAGCTGGGGGAGCCACCACACCTGGCTAATTTTTATATTTTTAGTAGAGATGGGGTTTCACCATGTTGGCCAGGCTGGCCTCGAACTCCTGACCTCAAGTAATCTGCCCAACTTGGCCTCCCGAAGTGCTGAGATTACAGGCGTGAGTCACCACGCCCAGTCCCCCAATATTTGTTAAATAAATAGATAAATAACAAATGAACTCTATGGGTTGAATATGTAGGAAATAAAATAAAGTTTACTAAGTTGGACTTTGGGGTCAGATGACCTGGTTTTGAATCCCAACTTGGAAATTTCCTAGGTATACAATCTTTACTAAGTGTAAAGCACTTAAAATAGTGCCAGGGACATAGTAAGTCCATTTAAGTGATAGGCATAGTTATTATTAATAAATGAATAGAATTTCTATTATGTTTGATACAGTGAATAAAAGTAACATTATATTCTACATTTCTAGAATCTAGCCATAGCTTTTAAATTTGATTTTTATATTTGCCACAAATACATGCCTTCTGCAAAAAAAGTAGAGGTAAAAATAATTGAAAAAAATGTAGCAAAAGCTTTAATTTTTTTCTCACTACTTATTTCTAGGTGAAGGAAAAGCAAGAATCAGAACTGAAACTCAAATCATTTGCTCCTCCATATGTATGTAATGTGACATTTTAAACTTATGCTAATTTTTAACTTAGAGCACTGCTTTTAATTGCAAACTAACTTTTAAAATTTCCTATATGTTTTAGGCTCTTCAACCAGAATTATATTTGCTTCCTGTAATGGACCATTTAGGAAATGTTTATTCACCATCAACAGTTATTTTAGATGAGCGGCAGACTAATAATGGTGTTAATGAGGCTGATGGAACAATCCACAGACCAATTAGTGTAACTTTGTTCAAGGAGGAACTTGGAAGAGATCCCAGTTTGTTAGAAAACACTTTGAAAGAGCTTCCTAACAAGAATCAGGAAGAAGGTGATTTTAAACTGGAATGGGAAAAAGAAAGAGGCTATTATAGTACATTTTAGCAGTCAAGTCTGTAAGCAAACCCTGAGCAAACCTAGCCTTACAAATATAGGCAGTTTAAAAAGAAAGCTACAATTCCACTTGGGGATTTCTAAAAAAATATTTTTGCCAGATGGGAGGAAAAGAAAACAATTTAAGTACTATGTTAAAATAAAAACAAAATCAAAATAGTTACAGCACTTAAATGAACATTACCACCTTTACTTCTTTTTTAATAAAATAGTTTTAGATAAAAGTAAAGCTACAGGGGAAGAGAAAGGAAAGGTGACTGCATAAAACTTTGGTATTACTCAGAGACCAGAGGGATCAGGAAAACAGTATCAAACCAAGACAGACAACAACAACAAAAAAACTTTAATGTTGGGGAACATACGTATTTCAGAGAATTTTAAATTTTTTATCTGATTACACCTATCAATTTACTAATAATTACTAATAACTCAATTCTTCAAAAGTGATAGGGGCCAGGAGTGGTGGCTTATATCTGTAATAAGCATTTTAGGAGGCCAAGGTGGGTGGATCATTTGAGCCCAGGAGTTTGAGACCAGCTTGGGCAACATGGCAAGACCCTGTCTCTACGAAAAAACACAAAAGTTAGCCAGGTCTGGTGGCACATGCCTGTAGTCCCAGCTACTCAGGAGACTGAAGCAGGAGGATTGCTTGAGCCAGGGACGGGGAGGTTGCAGTGAGCTGAGATGGCACCATCACCCTCCAGTCTGGGTGACAGAGCGAGACTTTGTCTCAAAAAAAAAAAAAAAAAAAAAGATAGGTAATTTAAAATGTTTAAATAAAAATTAAACTCATAAATACATAAATAAAGCTAACTACAGTCTAAGAATCAATAGGAAAAAAAGATAGGTAATTTAAAATGTTTAAATAAAAATTAAACTCACTGAGCATCTAACGGGTGTCAAGTAATAAACAGTAAATATTAAATGCACCTAAGATGAAAGCAGGTACTAACTTTGGAACATTGTTGGGTTTAGAATAAATTTAGAATACAAGAAATGTAACTGATTAAGAACTACTATATTCTACAGCTTTAATAGATGTTGTCTTTAGTCAACATCTGGGGGATGCATTTCATTTGTAAATGTTTAGTATATCTGCTTTTCCTTCACAGTTTATTTTTTAATGTAATATGGTAAAAAAGTTAAAAGTTAAACTAATTTTTTTCCTATTGATTCTTAGACTGTAGTCAGCTTTATTTATATGCTTTAAATGAGAGGCCAGTGTGTGTTCATTTTTAAAAGTTCTAGAAACATCAGTAAGTATTAGGAAGAAAATAAGTATAAAGTATACTTTTACTAATAAATGTAAAGAAGAAAATAAAGACTGACAATAATTTTACTACTCAGAGATTACTACTACTTAGAATTCTGATGTATATTCTTCCAGTTATTATTTTTTAGTTCTTATATATAAAATATATTTTTACTTTTCAGAAATGAAGACACATACAGACTCTTAAAGCCTCTTATATTAAAATATAAACATTTCATATTAATAAATATAGATCTGTGTCATTATAGAATTCCCTGTGTCATAATTTACTTCCCCAACCCTTTATTAATGTTTTTGCTATCATGTATAGTGCAATGAGCAACATTTTTTTTTCTTTTTGAGATGGAGTCTCGCTCTGTTGCCCAGGCTGGAGTGCAGTGGCACAATCTCGGCTCACTGCAGCCTCTGCCTCCCAGGTTCAAGCAAATCTCCTGCCTCAGCCTCCCTAAGTACCTGGGACTACAGGTGCACACCACCATGTCCAGCTAATTTTTGTATTTTTAGTAGAGGCAGGGTTTCACCATGTTGGCCAGGGTGGTCTCGAACTCCTGACCTCAGGTAATCCACCCACCTTGGCCTCTCAAAGTGCTAGGATTACAGGCGTGAGCCACCGCTCCAGGCCAGAGCAACATTTTTCTAAATGCAGTTTCATGCATTTGTCCTATTATTATTTTTAGAAATTTAACTGCTGTTTCTAAGGTAACAACCTTATAAACCTTGTATGTTTTTCTCTGGTCACACTTCTTCCTTCTCCAGTAGAGATAACTACTACTTTGATATTTGTGGTAATTGTTTTCTTGCTTTACTTTTGCCTTCTGTATTTTGAAGCTCTGTTATTAGGTGCATGCACATTTAGGATTATTATGTCTTCTTGATAAACTGACCCCTATATCATGTAATGTTTCTCTTTATTGCTGGTAGTAGTACTTATTTTGAATTATTTTCTTAACTTTAATTTGTGGTTTGTCTTTTTACTCTATGATTCTTTTGATCATAGGAATTCCTTGTAGTTTCACAACTGAGATATATATCCCTGATAATATAGTTTAGTTATGTCTGTTTTGAATTTTATTTATGTATATCATTTTGGACTCACTTCTCTTACTCAACATTGTAAGAGTCAACCATACCTATTTATTTTCATTGTTGTGCTATTCCATTTTATACTCACACAATTTATTTACATTACAATTTATTTGTCTATTCTATGGCTGATGGACATTTGGTTTGTTTGCAGCTTGGGACTATTACAAATATCCTGTTATGTACATTTTTGTACACAAGTCCTAAATGTGCATGTGCAAGAGAATTGGCATTGTTCATTGTTCATGTTCACGTACATGTTCAACTTCACTAAACAACATCCATGTGTTTTCCAAAGCGGTAGTACCCAGCAGCAATGTCTAGAAGTTCCTGTTGAACCATAATCTTGCCATTATGTCATATATTTTCTGTCTCCTTGTTTCTCTGCTCCACATTTTGGAAAAAATAAAGAGTGAGGTAGTATAGATTTCCTCCAAATGCATTTCCAGTTATCCCAAAATATCATTCATTCCCTCCCCACTGATTTCAAATGGCACCTTTACCACACTATATATATATTTTTTCATATATATATTCTTATACATACATGACCACTTTCAGACTTTATCCATTTTCTGAACTAGTACTGACATTAATATTTTTTATATATCTGGCAGGGTGATTTCCCATTCAATATTATTATTCTTTATTGTGAGGTTCAAAATTGGATATCATATGTGAAACTGCTTTGTATCTGTAAATCACCACACAAACAAATATAAGTAATTCTTTTCGATAGTTTTGGTTTGAACTTTTATTTCCTCTGTGGTTTGTCATTTTGTTGGAAAGAAATCCAGTTTTTAAAAATTTTTATAAATATTATAAAATCTTTTTAGGACAAGGATTTATTGCTACTTACTCAGAGTCAAACACAGTGCCTAGACCACAGTCCTGAATAAATATTTGTTGAAAATTAATAACTGTCTTAACATCAATGAGTAAATAATATATAATCAATTACTGTGTTCTTAGTAACTGTAATGGTACAAAAATGATAACAGATGCTATCCCTTCTGAAACGTGACATTTTAGAGAATAAATTTATAATAAATAATAAAGTTTGGGAAGAATGCAGGTAATATGCCTTTTTTTTTTTTTTTTTTTTTTTTGAGACGGAGTCTCGCTCTGTTGCCAGGCTGCAGTGCAGTGGTGCGATCTCGGCTCACTGCAACCTCCGCCTCCCGGGTTTCAGCAATTCTCCTCAGCCTTCCGATAGCTGGAATTACAGGTGCCTGCCACCACACCCAGCTAATTTTTGTATGTTTAGCAGAGATGGACTCCTGACCTCAGGTGATCCACCCGCCTCGGCCTCCCAAAGTGTAGGGATTACAGGCATGAGTGACTGCGCCCGGCTGAAGCCTAAACTCTTTTTTTTTTTTTTTGGAGACCGAGTCTCGCTCTGTCACCCAGGCTGGAGTGCAGTGGCACAATCTCGCCTCACTGCAACTTCCGCCTCCTGGGTTCAGGCAATTCTCCTGCCTCAGCCTCCCGAGTAGCTGGGACTACAGGCACACGCAGCCATGCCCGGCTAATTTTTTTGTGTTTTAGTAGAGACGGGGTTTCACCGTGTTGCCCAGGCCAGTCTCAAACTCCTGAGCTCAGGCAATCCGCCCGCCTGGGACAGGCAGTCCACCCACCTCGGCCTCCCAAAGTGCTAGGATTGCAGTCATGAGCCACCGCGCCTGGCCGAGCCTAAGATTCTTAAGGTAGCATAGAGAACTCTTCAAATCCAGGGCTACAGTGTATGGCCATGCAGATTGTTTAGTACCTATCTCCAGAAGGCCTCCTTCTCAGAGATCGTGATATGAATGAAGCTTTCAGGATTTACTTAATGGTGGGGTTAGTTCAGTAATTTTTATCTATTATTATTAGTAGTAATACTACTATTTAATAGCATGAGGTTAGGAAAGGGAGGGAGAGAAGTACTATGAACTGGTACTTCTGGAGAGGTAGGTAGCGACTTGAACTACAAGAGCCTTGCTTGCAAAGCTGAAGAGTTTAGTAGGTAATGGGAAGCAATCTGAAGTTTTTAACTTGGCATGATTGGATTTTAGTTCTAGAAAAACAGCTTAGGTGACAAGATGGAAAATAGACTTAGGGACTAGGAAAATGGCAATGGGATATAAATCAGAACTTAAAGTCAAGAAACTTCTCAGGATTGGACAGTGTGCCAGGTACTTTACATGCATTATGCCATTTTAGAGATAAGGAAAGAGAAGTTAGAGAAATAACTTAACTGAAGTCATACATGTTATGGCCATGCCAGGACTTGAGCTCTTTTGTGTTTGACTAAAGCCCATGCTTTATAACACTGCGCTAGAATCATACTGATCTTTTCATTATGGATAAAAATGCTTCACACATTATTAGTATTCTGCTCCTTGTACATACCGTATTCTTTGCTTAAATTCCTCCTACTCCCTTATTTGTCACCAAACAGCTCATAGTTCAAAACTTAGTTTCACAGTTATCACTCCCTTTTCTGTGACTCTATCATATTTTAAACATATATTTGTTGGAGTTCTCAAAACACTGAGTTCTACATTATTGTTTCTTTTTATGGGTGGGTAGGGAGAGTTGTAGTTTACTATTAGCTTTTACACAGCTGGTACGTCCATTTTTTATTCATTTTGCATTATATAGATCTTTTAGACAATCTGTTTTTTTGTTTTGTTTTGCCTTGTTTTGTTTGAGACAGGGTCTCTCTCCAGACCAGGCTGGAGAGCAGTGGCACAATCTCGGCTCACTGCAGTGTCTGCCTCCTGGATTCAAGCTATTCTCCTGCCCCAGCCTCCCGAGTAGCTGGGATTACAGGCACGTGCCACCACACCTGGCTAATTTTTATATTTTTAGTAGAGACAGGGTTTTACCATGTTGGCCAGGCTGATCTTGAACTTCTGACCTCAAGTGATCCACCCGCCTCGGCCTCCCAAAGTCCTGGGATTACAGACATGAGCCGCCATACCCAGCCTCTGTTTGTTGTTCTTAAGTGACAATTTCAATACCAGGTGGGAAATAAATTGTAGCAGCCAAACAAAAATCAGTATGGGCTCCAGGTTGCACAATAGTTTGGCAAGTCTTTTTTTTTTTTTTTTTTTTTGAGACAGGGTCTTGCTCTGATGCCCAGGCTGGAGAACAGCAGGGTGATCATGGCTCACTACAGCCTCAACCTTCCAGGATCAAGACATCCTCCCACCCTAGTCTCCCAAGTAGCTGGGAACACAGGCATGCACCACCATGCCTGGCTAATTTATTTTATTTTTCTAGAGATATTGCCCAGGCTGGTCTTGAACTACTGGGCTCAAGCTATCCTCCTGCCCAGCCTCCCACAGTGCTGGGTTTACAGGCATAAGCCACCATGCCCAGCAACAACTCTTGTAAAATGACTTTTCAAATATTAATTTGGCTCACTTATTCTTTTATGAATTAAAAAAATTGATTTCTCCAAGGGAAAAAAATCTGAATTAATACTGCCAGGTTCGTGTATCTTTTGTTTATATAGACCATGTGGAACATTAGTGTTAATATTTCAAAGATGGATTGTTTAGTTTTCCTATATTGAGAAATTTTGTTAAAATGAAGGGAGATTTTATCAATGAAAATGTATGTGAAATAAAAAATGACATTTTATGTTCTGTATTTATACCAGCATTTTCCAGAGAAGGTTCCTCAGAGCACTGTTTCAAAAACTGCTTTGGCAAACGGTTTGTAAAGACAATTAAGGCCGAACGCAGTGGCTTATGCCTGTAATTTCAGCACTTTGGGAGGCCAAGGTGGGCATATCACCTGAGGTCAGGAGTTCAAGACAAGCCTTGCCAACCTGGTGAAACCCTGTCTATACTAAAAATACAAAAATTCGCTGGGCGTGGTAGCACATGCCTGTAATCCCAGCTACTTGGGAGGCTGAGGCAGGAGAATCGCTTGAACCTGGGAGGCAGAGGCTACAGTGAACTGAGATTGCACCACTGCACTCCAGCCTGGGCGACAGAGCAAGTCTCTATCTCAAAAAAAAAAAATTATATTTCAGGAAACCCCCAACTTACCTACCCCGCTCTTGCAGATTTAGTTGTACATGGAGACAAACCCTTTAATAGGAGTGAATGTGTGTGTAGGGGGTTGTGTTGCTGTTTGATGTTGCTTAATTCAACATTTCCCAAGCTGAATTAACCAAATAATTTTCTTTTCACATAAACAAATATTTCATGAAATTCACTTTGGAAACTATTGACTTATATCTATATAGGAAAGTTCATGGGGATTCTGAAATCTACGATAAGATTATAGTGTACATGTATAAAAACAAACGTTTATTTTACTATTTTCCTAACATTCTGAACTTTATTTGCTGTGGATGACCATCAACATCAGCTGGGGGAAAAGCCACTGCAGAAAAAAGCCAAATTGCAAAAAATCAAATTGGAAATTCTGAGTTGCCAGGATCATTGGAAGATTCAAATAATGATTGCTTTGGCACTAAAAAAAGGTAATTAGTATAGATGCTGATTCCACATGCCATAATCTAAACAATAAGAAAAAGAGTAAGATATTCAGAGTATTGTTATAAAGACTTCTACTTAAAGATATGAGTGAAATTAGTGATATTTTAATTAAAATTACCTTGATTCAGATCTTTACTGTTTTTTGCTAACATTCCTCTCCAAGATAATAAGGGATAATTCATAACTTAAATTTATTTCTATTGTAGTACTTTTATCATTGGGACAACTTGATGACAGAAAAATTTCTGTCTTTGTTTCCCTTCATTAGAACTAATTATCCTGCCTCTCTTAAGTTCTTGGTTATAGGTAAACTAATCAATATGCTTGATTTTCACACTGGTATCATTTTATTCAAAATTATAGTACTTAGACGAGTTTTACACAGTCTTTTGAAATTAAGGGTTCTTATAAACAGTTATTCACAAAAGAACAATAAACAAATATGTTTCTAAAATTTCAAGTAATTTTATCTTGCTATAGATATTGAACTAGAATTTAGCTATAATATAATAAAATATGATTTTATTACTCATACTAAATGTAGCTTTACATGGATTACTAATGAGTCTGAAAGAACATATGATAATGGTCTCAGGCTGACTTTGAAAATTTTCAATATTTGTGTTTACAGAGCATCAAATAAAATACATAAAATATGAAAAGCTAATATTCATGGGATCATGTTTTAATGACTTTCAAACCTGTCATTTCCTTTAAGTCAGTGTCTTTGGGAAAATGAAGATGATACAGCTATCAGTAGAAGACAGGACAATCAGGTACTATTTAAAATTTTTTGTTTAAACATGGTATTGCAACATCATAATATTTTTACTAAGATTAAACTGAAACTGCAGATTAAAATGTCTAAGTTTTCCAGAAACATACTTCTAATATCAATATAATCAATAGTAGTCCAATTTTTCTGTTTTTATAAATAAGGTAACAATATGCCCAAATGAGAAGGGGGAAAAGTTATCCACCAACACCTTTTTGGATTATCTTCTCAAATTTTATTACTAGTTTTAAAGGTACATCAAACTATACTTAACTAGCAGCTTTCATAGCTAATTTGTAATTTAATATACTAATACCTGTACTTGATTAACTTGTCTCTTTAGAACAGAATTATATAGTGTGTTAAGAAGCAGTATAGTAGTAAATTGTTTATGTTATAGTTACTAGCTGTGTGACCTTGGATATGTTACCCAATTTGAATTGCACTGGTTTAAACGAGTTAATGAACACTATTCACATTACCAGTTTATTCTCAAGAAATGATGGAAAGACTAGGAGAATTTTGCACATATTTGCAGGATGAATTTAGGACAGTCTTAAGAATGATAACAATACTAATTTAAATAATAGCTATCCATGAGTATCAACTACCAGGCATTATTCTAAGTATTTTACACATACTGACTCATTTAATCCCCATAAAGGAAACTCCATGAGGTAGGTTATGGTTATCATTCCCCTTTTACAGATGAGGAAACTGAGGCACAGAGAGGTTCCATGGCTTTCCCAGGTGATATTATATAGTTAGTAAGTACTAGAGCTGGGCTTAGATCCTAAATAGTGTAGACTGGCTTCAGAGTTCAGTCTTAACCATTTTAATAACTACCTACCTAAATAATACTACTAATAACATAGCAAAAACCAGTTAGATAGCATTTACTGAGCCAATCACTATTCTAAATGCTTTATGTATGTTAATTCATTTAATTCAACAACTATTTGTGGAGGTACTATTATCTCTATTTTCAGATGAGAAAACGAAAACACAGAAAGTTACATTAATTCTTCCACGGTTATGTCTTTCATACCCATTGGACAAAATTCCAACCATAGTTAATAAATCACAAACTTCAAATGAGTCTTTAATTGTGCCAACAAATATACTACATTTTCTTGGTCCATTACTATTCTTCTAGACAACTCTGTCATACCTTCTCCTCAGACAATCAAGACCTCCTTTCTCTTGCATTCTCAGTGATAATTTTTGTTAAATAGAGGTAATTTGAAGAGAACCACGAATCTCAAAATTTTATGTACAGAATGAGGTTGTGGTTGTGGTTCAGTTGAGATCCTCAGATACCCACCTCCTACACCATTTGTTAAGACTTTATTTTTCCTATTGCATTATTCAAAACTCAGTTGACTCTATAAGATCTAGGACAACTTCTAGCTTCCCTTTCTGCTCAATGATTTTTTTTAATCCTTACGCCAATACCACATTATCTTCATTACTGAGGCTTTATAAGTAGTTATTGTTATCAGATAGCGTAAGATTTCCAAGTCAATTTTTTTTCAAGATCATTTTGGTGATTCTAGATTCTTTGTGTTTTCATATACGTTTTAGAATCAGCTTGTCAATTTCTTACCAAAAGACTACTGGAATTTTGAGTGAAATCACCGTGAATCTGTCAATCAATTTGGGAGGAAAACTTATATCCTAACTATACTTAATCTTCTAATCTGTGAACACAATATATTTCTCTATTTATGTCACTAGTTTCTTTCAGCAGTGTCTGTGGTTTTAGTGTATTGCTCTTATATCTTAATATTACATTTATTTTTAGATATTTGGTATTTTTGAAGCTTCTATAGAATGGTATTTTAAAATTTTTATTTTCTAATTGTTGCTAGTTTATAGAAATGTAATTGATTTTTATACATTGAACTCATCTATTGAGATTTTGCTAAATTCAATTAGTTCTATCAGGTTTTTTTTTTGTAGATTCTTTAGGACTTTCTACGTACATATTCATGTCATCTGTGAATAACAATAGTTTTACTCTTTCTTTCTATTTTTGTTATGAATTAAGTGTTTTTTCCTCCAGCTTCCTGAGTGTGAGAAGTTGTAATGGCAATAATAATGATGGCTTCTTGCTTTCAGCGTAGTTCTGGTGATGGCCTCAACAATGGTAATTTCACTAATGGAAACATCATTTTAGGAGACCAGACCTAGAACCTGCTCCTCCAGTCTTTCTGATACACTTAATTTCCTTTATTACATTTCTTCCTGCTTAAACCTGCACTGAACTGATTCAGTATTTGGTACAGAAAGTGTGACATGGGCCAAAAACTTTTACAAATGAGAATCTCAGACTGGTTATTGCAAAAGAACTGCAATATTTTGTTAATTCATGCTAGTAGAAACTTAGAAAAATATTATTGGAAATAGATTCAGAGCAGGAATGAAAGAATATAACTTTAAATTGGCTCAAGTTTAATAATATGGATACACTTATCAGAGATTCTGGATTTAATGTGCTAGCTCCAGCAACTGTGAGTGGTAAAAAACATTTTGCTAAATTGAGTGAGGCTGACAGAAACCTGGACAATATGGTGGTTCATACTGAGTAAATTTAGAATGCCAAGAATTTCTTGTTAAAAAGTAGAGCAAGAAATCCGAAGACTTGGGGATATAAAAATGTTAAGAGGAGATTTATATCCACTTTTTTTTCTTTTGAGACGGAGTCTCGCTCTGTCGCCCAGGCTGGAGTGCAGTGGCGCTATGTCCGCTCACTGCAAGCTCCGCCCCCCGGGTGCATGCCATTCTCCTGCCTCAGCCTCCCGAGTAGTTGGGACTACAGGTGCCCGCCACCACGCCCGGCTAATTTTTTTGTATTTTTAGTACAGACGGTGTTTCACCGTGTTAGCCAGGATGGTCTTGATCTCCTGACCTCGTGATCCGCCCGCCTCGGCCTCCCAAAGTGCTGGGATTACAGGCATGAGCCACCGCACCCGGCCCACTTAATTCTTTAACCAGACATTGGGGAAATATATTGGAAAGGCAACCCCAGAATTCTTTTAAAAAACCTTATAGTGGCTGTTTTGTGTCACATGGAATGAAGATAGGACTATACTTGATTTGTTTTTTCTTTTTTCTTTTTTTTTTTTTTTTGAGATGAAGTCTCACTCTGTTGCCTAGGCTAGAGTGCAGTGACACCATCTCAGCTCACTGCAACCTCTGCCACCCAGGTTCAAGCGATTCTCCTGCCTCAGCCTTCCGAGTAGCTGGGATTATAGGCACCTGCCACCGCGCCCAGCTAATTTTTGTAGTTTTAGTAGAGACAGAGTTTCACCATCTTGGCCAGGCTGGTCTTGGACTCCTGACCTCGTGATCCACCTGCATCGGCCTCCCAAAGTGCTGAAATTACAGGCGTGAGCCACCACGCCCGGCCTACTTGATTTCTTTAGAGATGACAGTATCCCCGAAGAAGCCAATTTACAGCATTTTACTATATAAGAGAAAACAGTACCAGAGTGATCATAAGGATGTATGATTAAGAAATCCTTGACAATAGTTAATTGCCAAGGTGTCCCTAAGACTAATCATGATGTTCCTGAGACTGAAGTGGATAAGCTATTGGATAAGCTTTGGATAGCTTACTGAAGCTACCAGTAAGCTATTGGTCTGTAAAACCAAAAATTATTTTTAGTCTTCACAAATAGACGTCTACCTTGAATAACCACATGAAGATTCACATCCCCTTATTAAATTACGAGACCTTAGCCAGTTTACATACCCAGAACTTATTGAGTGAAGGGGAGGCCAGGTATCCTTGAGGAAAAACCCTGTCACTCAGCCACAAATATGGACTAAATTTCCTTACCTTCCTAAATTTCCTTTACCTTCCTTAAGGGGATGAGAGGTTGTTTACCCAGATGACTACAATGGAGAAAGGGAGGTACCCATACTTTTCAGGATTCATGGCAATGGCTTTGATGTGATTCTGATCGTTGGGGACCTGAATAACTCTGTGTTCCACCAATAGGGTGGAGGTTTAGAGGGGTCAGATAATAAGTGAAGTTTTAGCTAAATCAGTCTTCTGGTGTGCTGAATGGCTTTGCAAATTCTCCCTGTAGCCATTCCCTTAATTCATGAATGTATACTTTGAAGGACTTACTCAGCAAATGGCAGAATCCTCATACTGCCTCCCTGATGCTTGCAGCATGGGCAATAAGGAATGTTATAGTAGAGAGGGCCAAGTGAAATATGATGGAATGGCCTATTCATTACCAAAATAGTAAACCAAAGCATTACCAACCTCCTGGACAAATTGTGGGTTTTGTGCCATGATCAAAACTTGAAAATGGCAGAAAAGGTTATTCCTGTCATAGCCACATTCAACTCACCTAGTTGGTCTGTGGAGAAGATTAATGGGCCTTAGTGTCAAGTGGTGACAATTGTAGCTGCTACTCCTTACATCCTCTCTTTATTAGAACAAATTATTACAGCCTGATGCTCCTATTATGCCATTCTTAATCTGGAAAATGCTTTTTTCTTCATCCCAATTAGCAGAGAAAACCAAAAGTAGCAAATAGGAATAGCAGTAGACCTTCACTGTTTTGCCTAAGGGCTGTGTCAATTCTGGCTCCTTGTCGTAATCTAGTTTATAGGCAACTTGACCATATCATGATCCCCTTGGACCTGATAAACAGGAAATACCAAATAATCTAGATACCTTAGGTAAGACATATGTTTCTTAGGGGGTAGGAGATAAGCTGCAAGAAAATTTAGGAGTCTATCAATTCAGAGAAATTTCAGGGAGCTCCATGGTCTGCGACATGTTGAGGTATCCCCTTGCCCCAGCTACTATTGAGAATGAAACAAAGCACTTTGTGGACCTTTTTTGGAATTTGTAGAGAGATTTACTGCATTAGGATGTGCTGCTCTATTTTTTATTTAAACCAACTGAATCAGAAGCCTGCCAACTTTGAGTGGGACTTAAACAAGAGAAGGCTTGTAAGGTGATCCCAGAGGGATTGCAAGCAATGCTGCCACTTGTGGGGTTATTGGTTTTGGTTTTGGTTTTGCTTTGAGACAGGGTCTCATTCTGTTGCCCAGGCTGGAATGCAGTGCAGTGTTCACAGCTCACTGCAGCCTTGACCTCCCAGACTCAATCCATCCTCCCACCTTAGCCTCCTGAGTAGCTGAGACTACAGACACATGCCACCACACCCAGGTAATTTTTGTATTTTTTTGTAGAGTTGGGGTTTCTCCATGTTGCCCAGGCTGGTCTCCAACTCCTGGACTCAAGCAATCGGCCCTCCTCAGCCTCCCAAAGTGTTGGGATTATAGGCATGAGCCACTGCACCCAGCTCACTAGTGTTTTAATGTCTGTCCAGATTATCCAGTGATGCTTGATGTATAGTAGATTGGAATGCTGAATGGAGTCTGTACAAGCCCTGGTAGGAGAATCACGGCTCTAAGCCCTTGGGTTTGGGAGCAAAGGCATACCATCTTCAGCAAATAATTGTTGTTATATTGTTGCTGGATACTTTTATTGTTTCCAAATTTTACCTATTATAAACAGCACACACAAACAAGAGAGGAATATATACTTATGTGTAGAATTGCTGGAAAATGTCTATCTATAACTTAAATAATGCCAAAATGTATTCCAAAATGATTATACAAATTTACGCTCCCGCTAGGAATCCAAGACATTTCCTGTTACTCTACATCCTCAATAATACATACTGTCTTCACACTTTAAAATGTTTTCCACTCTGGTGGATGCTCAATGCTATTTAACTGCAGTTTGAATTTTTTAATTTCCCTGGTTACCCTTATATTTTATGGACCCCATTTTGATAACCATTTTTTGGGGGGGTTACCTGTTTTAAGTATTTCTATTGGGTTGTCTGCCATTTATTTCTGGTTAGTAGGAGTTTTTAATATGCTCTGGAAGATAGTCCTTTGATGTTTATGTGTGTTGCAAATATCTTCCTCTACTTTGTGGCTTGTCTGTGGTTTACCTTGCTGAATACATCAAGTATTCCATATTCTTAATTTTTTCCACATTCTCTATGTCTCGGACTGAGAATGGTATGTTAGAATCTCCTTTTATTACTGTGTTGCTATTTATGCTTACACCTCCTGTGGTTTCTGCTTTATGTGTTTCTATATGTTATTTGGCACAAAGTTGTTCTTATGTGAATATTATTACTTTTGCATTATGAAGTGTCTTTCTTCGGCTCATTTAATGCCTTTTTGGCCTGAATTCTTCCTTACTGCATGTCAAAATACTCTGCTTTCTTTTTGTTTGCATTTATTTGATATATTCCCATTCTCGACTCCCCTCCTTTTTATCTGCCTTTCTGAGTCACTTTGTTTTAGATGTATCTCTTATGTACAGCCTAGAGCTGGGTTTTGCTTTGTAAGCTAGTCTGAAAGTCTTTTTTATTTAGTTAGATGAGTCATGTCCATTTATATAATTGATATGACTGATATGTTTAGTCTCAGATTTGTCATTTTATTTTATATTTACTGTGTGTCTTCTACTATTTATTTGGGTTTTTTTCGTCTTGGTATTTAGAAAGATTTTTATTTTTGTTCTAATATTTATCTTTATAGTAATACACTTAAGCTAGTATTTTCGGCCCCTCTTTTTTCCTTTTTTAAAAATTTGTCCTTCTGCTTTTGATTTGCTACCTCTAAAATTATGCTCTGACTCCTCCTTGTTATATTTGAGGCAATCAAAAAACTTGTTCTACTTTCACTTTTTTCCCTCCCTTTTCTTGTCGTTTATTTTCAGTTGTGTTATTTCTACTTTGTCAAACAATATAAATTTTTTGTACTGTTCACGTAGTCTTATACCCTCACTTTTGTTTTAGTCTCAGAGTTATAATTAAATATGTTCAACACTTAACTGCCAATTATTTTGCAAAAGATTTTTCAATGATTTCTTGGTTAGATGAAGCTCAGCCTATACTAGGAAAAGATCCTGAGCACAATATTCCCTTAGTTCTTGCACATTTAAAACTCTCTGTAGAGCAAGGATGGGCAGACTAAGGTCTGCACCATGCTTAGTAAGGCCTGTGAGCTAGGAATGTGTTTTATGTTTTTAAAGAGTTGAAAAAAAGAGGAATATATGACAGAAACCAGATGTGGCCCAGACATATTTATTTACTCTCTGGCCCTTTACAGAAAAACTGTGCTAATTCCTGCTCTAGAGCCTTCATACTTTACTACTTGAAGGATAGCTTGACTGGCTATAAAATCCTTGGCTTATTTCCCTTGAGTTTCTTGTAAACGTTGCACTACTGATGTCTTGCTTTATATGTTACTATTTAGAAGTGTGATGCCAACTTGATTTTCTTTGTAAACTGACTTGAGTATTTTTGCCTGGAAGGTCAGAGAATTCCTTTAATGTGTAATAGTTTTAGCAGGTTATATCTCAGTTGAGAATTGTAGGTCAGATTTTTCTAGGTACACAGTGGGCCCTTTCAATATGAAAATCAGAAATCAGAAATTGTTTTATTTCAAGGATGTTTTCTAAAATTATAATTTTAAATAGATCTGTTTCATTGTTTTGTTTTGTTTTTCTTTCAGGGGCAACAATTAGTCTTATCTTAGATCTTCTTTACCTTTATATCTGCCACTTTCATTCTGATCCATTTTACTCTTTTCATTATGTTTCACTTTCTTGGCTCCTTTTATTTCTATTCTATGTTTTTCTTACTATATTTTTGGTCATATATGTTCCATCTTGGAACACCTGCTAATTTATTCATTTCTGAGAGAATTTCTTTTTCTTTATTTCTTGAGTTTGGCCAATTTTCATTTCACACCTTCCTATTTTCCATTTTTATTACAAATTTTAAAAATTTCTGTTTTATAGTGTTCATTAATATCTGCAAATGCTTAGTTAATTATATTTAATCTATGTTGGGAGCATTGGTAAGTTTTTCTCTGCTTCATGGCGTGTTTGTTTTGATTTTACTGCTCAGTTTTGAGGTTTTCTTCATAAGTAACTGCATGAGTGCTAGATTATTTTATAGATGTTCATGTTTATTTGCGTTGGATTTTTCCATTATCAGTAATAACAGGTGTTCTTACAGAGGAACAGGGAGTGTTGTTTTGGTGGCTTACTGTGTTTCTTAAATCAGGAGCACCCTCTTCTGCTGCTGTAGTGAAATGCAGGTTTTTGAGTTTTTTTTGTTTGTTTGTTTTTTTGTTGTTGTTGTTTTATTTTCATTTTTCTTGAGATGGAGTCTCGCTCTCTTGCCCAGGCCTGACTGCAATGGCACGATCTCAGCTCCCTGCAACCTCCATCTCCCAGGTTCAAGCAATTCTCCTGCCTCCCGAGTAGCTGGGATTACAGGCGTGCGACACCACACCCGACTAAGTTTTGTATTTTTAGTAGAGACGGGGTTTCACCATGTTGGCCGGGCTGGTCTTGAACTCCTGACCTCAGGTGATCCACCCGCCTTGGCCTCCCAAGAAATGCAGTTATTTATGTTTCTTTTTTTAAGTAAATGGGGCCTTTTGGGGAAATGGGTATGTTTTCTTTGGATTCTTTTCCACTAGCTTAGTTCAGTGGAGCTCTTGCCTTGGCCATTTTCTTCTTTTTTCTTACCAAACTGGCTCCCAAGGACATCTCTCCCTTTCAAAGCATTTTCTTCTCTCCCAGAAGCTATGTCTTACCATGATTACTGCCTCTGACTCCCTGTGTTTTTCAAATCCTTTCTTTTGAATTCCTCATAGAATCTACCAGGTTTTTTTTCTTTGCTCTATTTTTCCACTTCAGGTAGAGCCCTCTCTTTCCAGGCTAACTCGTGATTGGTGTTTGCTATTATTTATGTACAGTGCTGACACATAGTCCATATCTGACTCTCTGCTCAGATGTGGGCTCCTGACCACACTCTGATCTAGTAGTCTTTATTTCCTCACTTACATGTAAAGGATTCTGTGCCCAAATTATGTTGTAGGCATAAATTTGGGTGGTTTTACTTGGCTTCTTTTTATGGTAGTTTGGAAGATTTGTGGAGCAATTCTAATTTAGGTGGCTGCCATTATCCTGTGGGAACTCAACTTTATAACATAACAAAATAAATAAGCTAGAAAAATAATACAGTACTCTGCCCTTTATCTGTCGTTCCAAGACCCCCTGTGGATGCCTGAAAACACAGATAGAACTCAACCCTATATATACTATATATACTGTGTTTTTTCCTGTACATATATACCTATGACAAAGTTTAATTTATAAAGTAGGCACAGTAAACAATAACAAAAACAATAATAATAAAATAGAACAATTATAACAATATACTATAATAAAAGTTATGTGAATGTGGCCTCTCTCTCTCTAAAAGTATCTTATTGTACTGTACCGTGGGTAACTGAAAGCACAGAAAGTGAAGCTACAGATAACGGGGACTAACTGTAAGACAAACAAAATAGAAGTGAGAGCTTGATGAAGATAAAAGTGAAAACTAATGAGGTACCGAAGCATAATTGAAAACAATTCAAGATCGATAAAGTGATAGTGGGAGAAACATCAACATGGTAAGGCTTGAGGTAATTCATCAAAAAGGGTAGATATTAGTCTGTTCTCACACTGCTATAAAAAATACCTGAGACTGGGTAATTTATAAAGAAAAGAGGTTTAATTGGCTCACGGTTCTGCAGGCTGTACAGGAAGCATGGCATCATCTGCTTCTGGGGAGGCCTCAGGGAGCTTTCAATCACGGTGGAAGGCAAAGGGGGAGCAAGGCTGGAGCAGGAGGAAGGAGTGGGGGAGATGCCACACACTTTTTAAATGATCAGATCTCACAAGAACAAACTCACTATCAGGGGAACAGTATCAATGGGGAAATCTGCCCCCATGATACAATCACCTCCCACCAGGCCCCACTTCCAACACTTAGGGATTACAATTCAACATGATATTTGGATGGGGACACAGATCCAAATCATATCAGGTAGAAACACAAAAATTAGGAAAGATGAAGGCAACAGAAACACAAACACAGAGGAGATAAGATATATTAGAATAAAATGTAAAATTATCTGCTAAAATTTTGACATGTGACAGAACTACCAATTTTCTAAGCAAATATAATCAAAATTGACTCAAGATGAAAAAAATATTAATAGGCATCTTAGAAAATATTTAAAGTTATCATAACAGGTAACTGAGACCAGAAATCTTGGAAGGAAATCATGTTTAGAAAGAAAAATAACAGATTTTTTTTAAATTTTAAGTTTGAAGTACTTGTTTATAATGTCCAAGTAATAGAATACAGAGACCAGAACATGGGAGAGAATCTGCAGCTATAAATACAAAATTTGGAGTTCATCACCACTAAGTAAAAAGAATGCATTTCTGGTTTGCATTATCAAATACCTACGGGCAAGTGAAAAAAGAATGTGACAGTGTAGCCGATCTTACTCATTTTCACGTTTGCTTACAGACAGCTGAAAAAGAGTACATCACCCTACCAGATCACCCTTCACTTCCTTGTCAACCTGTTCTTTCTTCAGGAATAACTGATATATCTTTATTACAAACTGAAAGTAAGTATAGTGCAATCGTAAGTACAGATGATTCTGTGAGGTAAAGTAAATAATGTTAATGGGGAGTTACTGTTTAATGGGTATAGAGTTTCAGTTTGAGAAGATAAATAAGTTCTGGAGATGGGTGGTGGTGATGGTTTCACAACAGTGTGAATGTTGTGCCACTGAACTGTACCATTTAAAAATATTTTAAATGGTACAGTTTGTTATGTAATATGTTCTACAACAATAAAAAAGTTAAATTATAGGAATTTTATTTTTATTTTATTTTTTTTAGACAGAGTCTGACTCTGTTGTCCAGGCTAGAGTGCAGTGGCGTGATCTCAGCTCACTGCAACCTCCGCCTCTCGGGTTCAAGCGATTCTCCAGCCTCAGCCTCCCGAGTAGCTGGGATTACAGGCGTGCACCACCACACCTGGCTAATTTTTGCATTTTTAGTAGAGACGGGATTTCACCATGTTGGCCAGGGTGGTCTCAAACTCCTGGCCTCAAGTGATCCACCCATCTCGGCCTCCCAAAGTGCTGGGATTACAGGTGTGAGCCACAGCACCTGGCCCAGGGATTTTATATTTATTACTACATATGTTTAGTCACCAACATTATTTCATTTTAAAATATATATTCTGGCCAAGCATGGTGGCTCATGCCTGTAATCCCACACTTTGGGAGGCTGAGGTGGGTGGATCACAAGGTCAGGAGTTCGAGACCAGCCTGGCCAACATGGTGAAACCCCATCTCTACTAAAAATACAAAAAAATACAAAAAAATTAGGCGTGGTGGCAGCTGCCTATAGTCCTAGCTACTTAGAAGGCTGAGGCAGGAGAATCGCTTGAACCCAGGAGACAGAGGTTGGAGTGAGCCAGTATTGCACCACTACACTCCAGCCTGAGCAACAGAGTGAGACTCCATCTCAAAAAAATATATATATATTTATATATCATATATATATCATATATATATAATCCTAAAATATACATTTTCTATGTACGATTTAAGTACAATAATTTTGAATCCCAGATAAATTTACCAAAAGAGTTAAACCAAAGAATATCAGCATAACTGCTTGAGCTTTACCTAGTTTCTACACATATATGAAATGCAGAAAAAACACACTATTTTATAAATCTCCTTATATATCACTCTTGGAAACTGAAATGACTCCTTTGCATTTTCCACATGGTAAATGCTATACTGTAGCAAGAAAAACAGTTTGGGATAAAATTTATTCTTGCTGCTTTAGACATTTTTAAGTTTTACACTCCATATTTTAGGATATGAGCCATCTTTCAGCTTTGAGACATTGATGAATATGAGTTATAATCTCTTTAGGAGAGAAGATTATCAAACAAATGAAACAAGTAAAGGAAGAAAGAAGGTATCTGGAAAGAAATAGAGAAGAACTAGTAAAAACGGTTGAAAAGCTATTTGAACAAAGCAAATTAAAACGATATCATGGTAAAGTTTATTACATACCTTTTATCACTATAAAGAAAACTTAAGTTTTACAGAATTGATCCTTTTAGAATAAATAATAAAGTTATAATTAATATTTACTGTTTTACTATTTTAGTTTAAGTGGTACATGATTAAGTTCAATATAGAAAACATGAAATTATTATGCAACTCTACTTTATAGAATAAATGCTTTACATAGGGTTTAAAATTAAAACTCAAATATTTTCATAACTGAAACTCATTAACTTGTTTATTAATTCTTCTATTCATTTATCAAATGCCTATTGAATCTGGCCACTATTCTAGGGGCTTAGGAGACACTATTAAGACAGACACAATCTTGTCCCTGCCCACATAGATCTTACAGTCCAGTGGGGAAATGATAAGCAAGTTAAGCATCAATGATACATCCTTGCCAGCGCAGTGGTTCATGCCTGTAATCCCAGAACTTTGGGAGGCCGAGGCAGGCGGATCATTTGAGGTCAGGAGTTCGAGACCAGCCTGGCCAACATGGCGAAACTCCGTCTCTACTAAAAATACAAAAATTAGCCTAGCCAGGTGTGGTGGTGGGCACCTGTAGCCCCAGTGACTGCAGAGGCTAAGGCAGGAGAATGGCTTGAACCCAGAGGCGGAAGTTGCAGTGAGCTGAGATTGTGCCACTGCACTCCAGCATGGGTGACAAAGCAAGACTCTGCCTCAAAAAAAAAAAAAAAAAAAAAAACTTGATGAAAACTATGATAAAGGAATTACAAAGTTCTATGGATAGGAATACAAAGGGAGAACGCCTAAATTAGATGGAAGAGATCAAGAGAGGCTTCCAGGAAAAGTGTTGGATATGCTAGGATCTGAAGTACACTCTTGGTTCTAGGTCTTCGGGCATGCTTTTCCCTCTGCCATCTACTTCTCCTCTTACCTTGAGGTACCCTCTTCCCAGTTTACCTGCCTATTTCCTATTAGTCAGTCAAGATCACCTTATATATCACTTACTGTAGAAGCCTACTTTGAGTCCCTTGGTCTCTTCTGTACTTAATTTTTTGATATGTGTGTGTGTGTGCCTTGCTTTTAAAAGTGAATGAATGAGGGAAGTTAAGTAAGTTTTCTTGCAGTACAATTAGAAACAGTGTTGTTAGGACTGGTGGACTGATGAGGCAGGATGAAGACAGTACATGATGGTGGCTTGAGAGTTGCTAAATTATTTGAGAGGCCTCCGTTTTGGGTTGTGTTGAGGATTATAAGGATAAAAGGTATCTATGGAATTAAGTGGTTTTATGATTCTCAATTTACAGCAAAATTGTTTCAGCACTAGAACTGATTGAAGGTTATAGACAATGTCAGGAGATACTTCTCAAGATTCTGCTTTACAATGTGTTATCCTGAAAGTGGTGGCAATGAGTCAGCCTTGTTGTAATGTTAAAAAAGCAATTTTATCAGACAGATTTGAACAATGGACTGAAAATCACAGGACCAGGATTGTAACACCAGATCTATCTTTTACTTAGACAAGTTACTTCCCCTCTTTGTGCCTCACCCTTTCTGTTTATGAAATGGGAATGATCCATCACTTCCTATTTCAACAGGAATATTTCAAGATAAAAGGTATGTATTGGCCATAAAATATTTATTGAGCCTACTATGTGCCGGGCACTGTTTTAAATGCTGGGGATACAGCAGTGAACAAGACAGACATGGCCATGCCCATAAGGAGCTTGCTTCCCTATGGGAAGAGACAGACAATAAACAAGTAAGACAATATCAGCTTTGATCAGAGCTGAGAATTCAATTAAAAAGAGCATAGTAAAGAGTGATGAGGCAGGGAAGAGATGCTTTAGGTAGAATTTTCAGAGAAAGTATCTCTGAGAAGATTAAGATTTGATTAATAGGGAGGCAGGCACAAAGGGAACACTAAATATCAAGGTCAAGAAATAAGAATGACATTGTGGCATTAAGGGCCTGAAATACGACCAGTGCTGCTGAAACACTACGTAAGAAGGAATGCAGAGGGGGATAAAATCAGAAAGGTCAGCAAGGAATAAATGGGCCAAATCAAAGATTTTGGATTTTATTCTAAGCAAGGTAGGAAGCCACTAGAGGATTTTGAGCTAGGGATTTATATGATTTTAAAAAATATTTTAGAAAGATCAGAATGACTGCTGTATAGAATACCCTGTACAGGGGCAAGAATGAAAGCAGACAGACCAGTTAGAAAGAGAATGCAGACTTCTTGGTAAAAGATGACATTGACTAAGGATGTAGCATTGAAGAAGGTGGAATATGCTAGATGCTAGAAGTATTTTGGCAGTAATACCGGTAGAAGTTGCTAAGGGATTGGATAATAGAGCATGAGATAAATATCCAAAATCTTGAGCTAAAGTTCCATGTAGCTATATAATTTTAATTAAATCACCTTATAAAGTAGAATTTTTAAATTTGAGATTTTTGTTTCTATGATAATCTAAAAGAAAGAAACTAAACAAATTCTGGTATACTGGCATATAGTTTGTGTTCCTATTAAGTTTGTATTTAGAATCTCATTGGTATCAATGCAATTTGTTAAACTGGTAGTGTTTAATTTCTAATGATTAATTTTGGATCAGTTTTCCATAATCATGGGAAAAAGTAACATACATATATTACTTTTATAGTTATATATGTTATATGTATATATGTTATAGTTTTATATATGTTATAGATTACTATATATAACAAGTATATATATTGCTTTTATAATATATATTACTATTCAATGTATTACTTTTAGATATATTACTTTTATAGTAATGTATATTACTATAAAATATATATATATTACTATATTTCTATACAAGTTCTCTTATAATCCAAAAAACATTTCTTCCTCAGGTCTAATGACCTCAGTATATAAAAAAAGGAGAAGAGGAGAGAAAGAGGAAAATGGTTTAAATTGACATTAGCTCTAGGATCCTTTCCAGGATGAAAAGTTGAATCCTTTAATACTCAAACGAAGGCCTTTCCTTTTTTTTTTTTTTTTTTTTTTTTTTTTTTTATAGCCTACAATGGTTGGAAGAAAAAATACTTGGAAACAAAGAAAGTCACAGCATCAATGGAGGAGGTTTTAACAAAACTTCGAGAAGATTTGGAACTCTACTATAAAAAACTGCTCATGCAACTTGAAGCCAGGGAGATCAAGATGAGACCAAAGAATCTGGCAAACATCACAGACTCCAAGGTATTACTAAATGTATCCCCCTTCCGTTAGAGAAGTTCTGTTCAAAACACATGCTTTATAAGTGCTAGTAGTATCACAAGATGCATTAGGCTAACTTTGACTTAAACTTGCTTAAAACAATAAAAAAACTCATGACCTTATGTAATAGGAGGAGCATTGCTGAGGAGATACAGTCAGCAGCTTAATGTTGCCTTTAAGGGGTCTGATATTTTCTTCCTATTATTTTCAGTGTTAATTTCATTGTAAGACTGCTTCTAATAGTAGCAATAGAGTGGTCAAGGGCAAGTAGGGCTTTATATCCCCAAACAGGGAGAAACCTCTCTCTGAATCATGGAATATATAAATCTTTCCCTTTATCCTAGGTAAGGGATCAACTAGGCCTACCCCTGGATGAGAAATAGTTGCCAAGGAATGCTATATGCTGACTGACTTACAGACTAATTAGGATTTACCTCTGTACCTGGGACAGGGTCCATTTCCTGACTCTATGGGAAAGAGGCAAATACCTGATGAAGTAGGGCAGGGGACAAACAGTGTCTGCTATAGTCCTGTTATTTGGTGGTGGTGGCGGGAGGGCTTATAACACCCAGGAATTTAAAGAAATTATGAAATTTTGATCAGTTCTTTTTTTTGAGACAGCCTTGAATCAGAGACATGAAGTTTATTTTATTATTAATTCCACCATATAATTAAATAACAGACAAAAAAATTCAAGAGGGCATTTAACAATTTGATTTGGGTTGGATCAATCCCACTTATCCAAAAGTAATTTTAAAATATGTTAACTATGATTAAAAGTAAGGATTTAACTTTAGACAAGATGAAATATTAAAAGTTTATTATTTTAAATAAATTTAATATAAAGTCCAAATAGGCTCAAGTAATGGTTTGTCCATAGTAGTTGGTACTTTTTTTTTTAGCATAGCTTATACTTTATCTTACTGTTTAATCAGTTCAATATAAGAATTTTTTCACAAAGCCAGTTTAAAACTCTTAAATAACTTCTTTAGCGAGGACCACTATAACTCATAAACTTTTCTGGACAAAAACCAAAAAGTCTTCTTATTTTAAATAGGTTTTCTTGTATTAAATTAGTTTTTGCATATAAAATATAGTATCATATTATTAAGTATTTTAAAATAATTCTAATCTTATTCAGCTGATAAAGCATTATGACAATTTTAAAGTCTTGCTAATAACTAAGATATTATTCCTTTCATAGTAATAGTTGTTGGTTTTTACGATGCTAATTTAATGGTAACTTTAGAGAAAGTGTTCCCTAAAATGCAAGAAATCAACAGAAACAAATAGTAATTTCTCCAAAGCAATTTAGTTTACTTTACGGAATAGGTTATTTTCATGATTTACTCTTTTGATCTTTATCATTTCATAGTTTATGTTCACAAGGCAGTTAAAAATAAAAATGTTTATATGTTATACTAAATAAATATCTATCTATCCACACAGAATTACCTAATAATCCAGATCACTGAGGTACAGCATGCAATTGACCAGCTTAAGAGAAAACTAGATACTGACAAAATGAAACTCATAGTAGAAGTTAAGGTAATTTACATTTTTCCTAATCAGATTATTATAACATTTATCTTGAAATAAAATATTTTGGTGTTTTAACTTTGGGTGTCAATAATATAAGGGTAGCCAGGATTGACTGTATTAAAATTGTTACCTTAACAGTAAAGAGCATAGGTGAAAAAAAAAATGCAGGAAGAAAAACTAAACCTGTGAAAAGATACATGATATAATAAAGCCAAAGTAAAATTTAGTAAAATTTTACTAGGAAGAATTAAAGGAAAAGGAACCTGTGAGTCAATATATTCTCAAAAAAAATTTTAAGTAGTTTTCCTGTATTAGAATTATTAAGTCTGATAAACCACTGAGCTCTCCTCTGAACTGACATTTAATTTTTTATGGGTAATCGTTTCATTTTTTCTGGTTATTTTCATATGTATTCTATTATTTAAATATGAATAATGTGTCTTCTACTAGATGTTAAGTTTCCTTCCTGGCAGAGACTATGCCTTAGTTAACTTTGTTTCTCCCATGGGACCTTTTGTATAGCAGATGCTTAGTAGAGGCTTCTGGGCATGCTCTATTTGGTGAGAATTGTGTACAACTAATTACATCATAGAAATTATCTGTGAAGTACATATGTATTAAAAAGCTTTTTTGTTGAACAGAAAACAGAAGATTATACATTTTCATACAAGTACCCACAGCAAGGCAGGAAAATGAGAACGATAATTATATGAATGCTCTCATTTCTTTATCAGAAACAGCTTTATGACACAGAATAATGACTGCATTCTAGAATTAGCTCTTTTTAAAAAAATTTTAAAAAGAAAAAAGAAAATCAGTACTGTCCTCGGTTTCAGATAAAAATAAAAATAAATAAAATTTAAAAATAAAAAAATAGAATTAGCACTGTCCAACAGAACTTATGTGATGATAGAAATGTTCTATGCCTGCACTGTCAGATTGGTACCCACTAGCCACCTATTGATATTGAGCACTTGAAATGTAGTTTGTGTGACTGAGGAACTGAATTTTAAATTTTATTTAATTTTAGTTAATTTAAGTTTAGTAGTTACATATGGCAACTGGCTTCTACTATACTGGACAGTGCAGTTCTAGATTCTTTTTACAAGCAGCATTCTCGAGGCTAAATAAGCCCTGGTTTGGCACTGAGAAGCTTAAAACTTAAAATAGAAAAGGAAAAGAGCAGAGGATAATTTTTAACAAAATATCAGTTAAATATGCACTCAAAAAATAATTTGTTCAATGAAGGAAAACTGTCTATTCAATATATGGAGATAAAGCCAATATGTAAACTTGTACACTTAATAATTGGGTAGGTAGGAAGGAGTAATAAAAATGCCCCCAGAGGCTTGGATTATGACTCCCCTCATGCTGTTTTCTTCTGGAAAGCATGCACATTACTTGTAATCTTTGTATATTTTAACATTACAAATGTCACTCATGGTTTGAACTCAAATTAGAATTGTTCATACAAAAACAGTAAGGACAAGTGGAATAAGAGGAAAAAAAGAGAACAAAGTTTTCAGCTTATAGGCTGGGGGGAAAAAATCCTGTATTTAACCATAGTGCCTGATTGACACATAACAGACATTATTTAAGAAGTTTTATTGATTTCTGAATGATCTCCCCAAAACAGCACTACCTATAAGATTCAGAACTAAGGGACAAAAAAAACCCAGCCTGAGTCTCTTGCAACCATATTTATTCAAGATAGTATAGCATAAGTAGTGCTTCTCAAAGTTTAATATATCATCTGAGGATCCTGTTTAAAAATGCAGGATCTGACTCAGTAGGTCTGGGTGCAGCCTGAGATTCTTCCTACCTAACAAGCTCCCAACTGATGCTAATGCTGCTGTCCACAGACAACACTTGGAATAGTAAGGGCTCTGGTACCAGGTGGTTTGAATTTGAATCCTGGCTGTACCCACTTCACTTACTAGTTTTTTATCTTGAGCAAGTTACTTAGCCTCTAAAGGTCTCCATTTCAACTGTAAAATGGGGATAAATACTAGTATCTGATTCTGTAAAATTTTTGAAAAAAAAATAAGAGACTAATACACTTAGAAGAGTGCTTGCCACAGAGTAAACACTATATTTCTGAAATATCTATTCCGTTCCTAAGGGCTAGGAATTAAGGGTTTTTTTTGTATTTTGTTTTCTTGTTGTTTTCACTATTTTCTTTACACATTGAGAACAACAGGTTTTGAAGTTTAAGCAAAACATAAAATTCTTTCTCACTCTAGTTTTTAGAACAGTTCAATTGTATTGTCCCTATCTACTCATAAACAAGGTTACCTTATAGCATATCTCACCAGTAGATAAGCATGCTTATTAAACAGCATTCATAATCTACACATTTACTGTAGTAATCCAGTGGGAGTTGAAAGCACTGAAGCCAAATGAGAGAAGACAGTTAAAGCGGTTACAAAAACCCTGTTTACATGACAACTATGATGTACTTTTAGAAGGGTATGATGAAGTTCATTTTTGAAAAGTAATTCTTTTTATAGATGAGAAAACAAGCAGTTTCAGATTTACGAACATTGAAAACTGAACTGGCACAGAAAAAAAAAATAATACATCTCTACAATCTCAATTAGGTATGTTAATTTAAAACTTTTATTTGTAAAAAAATTTAAATATGTATTTGAACAGATTTGTTTAACCATTATTCTCCTTGGCAATGTTTTATAAAAAGCACAAGGTTTCTCTTTCTCCACTTTCCATGTGGGTATTACAAAATGTTTCAGGAAATATTAGATGTAATATAAAGCAAAATGATGAATGGTTATTTTTAACATTCCAAGTCCTTTACATATTATTTTACAGTGCTAATTTTATAATTTTCATTTTAATAATTTAATAATAAAATTCAATAATAATTTATTTAACAATTTAAGAGCTAATATAACTAAAATCTATTTGCAAAGAATAAATGTATATTAATGAATACTAATATATTTGCATGAAAATACAGACTTCATTTAACTTAATTTGTTCATTATATCTTAATTAAAAGAAATCTGGAAATATAAAAGAATGGGGGTATTGAAGTTGCATTCTGAGCTATGATAGAGATAAGCATCTAAGAATTTAAATTTTTTAATTCATTTATTTTAGAAATATGAAGACAACAGTGATCCAACATATACTATGAAAATGGTTTTTACTCTGTCACAAACAATTGTGTAAATAGGAAATGTAATATTCTCATAACAGATGGTTCAATCATCATGTATTCCAATTTACAGGGGCAAAATGTGCAGGGAAGCCAGGATTTATGTAAATCTAGAGTTCAAAGATACAGATTTTTAATCTGTAATTAGGAACTAATAAGGGCAGCACAATGTTGTTCTTAATTCCCTGGAGAAAGAAAACAGACTTTATTACATTTAGAAAACTTATTTGTATAAAATTGATCTTTTAGAAAGAGAACTAGTTGAGAAGCTAATCAGTGTCTTTAGATCATTAAAAGCACAATGCAGCTCATGCCTGTAATCCCAGCTCTTTAGGAAGCCAAGGCAGGAGGAGTGCTTGAGCCCAGGAGTTGGAGACCCATCTGGACAACATAGCGAGACCCTGTCTCTACAAAAAATAAAAATAAAAAAGATACATTGCAGATGTAGAAAGAAAAATTTAACCATGTAAGCAAGCTAGCCAAGAAATAAATTATATATGTCCATAAATGAAGAAATGAATAATTAGAAGTGTGACAGTGAACAGAATCAAGTTCAACTGCAAGTTATTCCTATTATTAAAAATTTTACAAATGAGCCTCATAAAAATAATGTAGTTGGAAAATATTAGGTAGTTCTAACTTACCAATTCAAAATATTACTGTTACATTCTTCTATTTTGTGAATACATTTAATCTTCTGGATTCTTTTTAATTCTCACTCACTGTCCAAAGATTTAGTTCAAGTACCTCAGAGAACATAAATACTATATGGAGTCAGGAAGCAGAAAAATTATTTTCATCAGTTTGATGAACCTAAAGGGGAGACACTACATTGTAGGTTTTAAATTTAAGATTTATTGGAGGGTTGGGGGAAAAGTATAGCACAAACTGCTTTTCAAAGACTAGGTTTTTAAAAACTCTAAGCAAACAATTTCCACTTCAGATTATACATATTTTAAAAATCAGCATTGATTCGTGAGCATATATTTTACTATAATGAAGGGAAATATGGCATAATAAAATTCTGAAAGCAATTTTTCCCAATTAAATTATAGTGTTGAAACATCTAATAGAGGAATATTTAATAGGTAAGTTGACTTGCTTCTTGCCTTTATGTTCCTGGATACTGAGGACATTCGTGTGTATTTTTCAAATTCAAACAATCAAAACATTTATTTATTCTTTTTTTTTAGTATACGGATAACAAAAGTATATAGCAACATAATAAAAATGCAAGAAACTAGATCTGTTGATACAGATCATCTTTCTAACTCTTAATGGTTTGACAAAAGATGTTCATCTCTGTAACAGCTTTGGCTTTAAGACTTCCCACATTTCTTCAGTTTGCTGTTTGGCTACAGCATCTCCAGAGTAGTCAAGACAGTTTGCATTCCACATGCCAATGCCCCGTAAGCGATAGTTTTGTATATATGTTGCCTTTAAAGAAATACTCTGAGGGTTATCATACCATACTTGATGAAAGTGGCCAGCAGGATCCTATATAAATAAATTAAAATGGAGATTTTAAAGTATTTAGTACAATTCAGCACCACAGGAAAGGGAAAAATAAAAGAAGTATACAGTACAGTAAGAGGGAAAAAAGTTTCCTAAATCCAATTATTCAAAAAGGATACAATGAAATAAAAATTTTAGGGCATAACACTTTCCTATTCTATAATTCCATGGTTCTATATTTGATACAAATGGTCCCTGACTTACAATGGTTCAACTTACAATTTTTAGACTTTACGATGGATTTATCAGGGTATTTCGTTCATTTTCAACTTATCATATGTTTATGGGTTTATTAGGACACAATACAATCATAAATCAAGGAACATCTGTACTTTCTAGGTATTATTGCTTATGGCACTTTTAACAATGGCAAAGATTACAGAAACGAGCCTCCTAATAGATTCTACTTGAGCTCCTTTTCATGTCCTAAGATTCTTTCCTTGCCCTTAGCCAGTGATTATTAGCCAAGGCGTACATCTGAATCACTTGCGGAGCTTTTAAAATACAGATTCCTGGGTCCCACACCACATGAAACCTATTGAATCAGAATTCTCCAGGGTTAATGCTAGGGCATATATTTGTTTTGTGTTTTAATGTTTCATTAGATAATGCTGGTATGCAACCAAAGTTAAGGGGAATCAATGCTCTGGTCCTCTAAAACCAGCTTATGTGCTTTTTTGTATTCTCTGTAGTTGCTAGAAGTGTGCCTGGCTAGGAGGTCTACAGAAGATTTTGTTTATGATGAATCAGCCAAGTCAAAAGGTAATGGCAATGGAGGAGAAAAGTACATCCTTTTCTAGGTCTTACAGATACATTCTCAGAGTCTGTTAGGTCTGCACTTTATTGGTGACTTAACATACACCTGATTATGAGCCATAAATTAGATTCTGGTCTTATGTTCACCTTCCACCCTAAAAAGTCCTTCTGCCCAGAATCAACTACCTCTATCTAGTACTAACACAGTCTCTCTCAGGCAGCACATGAGCTATTGGATAAGAGACAAAGGAAAAGGGAAAGGAGCAGATCTAGGACAAAGTGCAAAGGAAGGTGAAAAAGATAGGAGATAAAAAATAGAAAGACCTGTGACTAAAAATAATTTACTTATTTTTATATACATCTAGGAAACTCCTTAAAGGCATTTCTGAATTAATGCCAGTAATATTTACAGCAGCACTCCTGGAATTAGAATAGTCTCTTAAGATGACCACTTTGGGGCCGGGCACGGTGTCTCAGGCCTGTAATACCAGCACTTTGGGAGGCCGAGGCAGGCAGATCATGAGGTCGAGAGATCGAGACCATCCTAGCCAACATGGTGAAACCCCATCTTTACTAAAATACAAAAAAATTAGCTGGGCTTGGTGGTGCATGCCTGTAGTCCCAGCTACTCTCGAGGCTGAGGCAGGAGAATTGCTTGAACCCAGGAGACGGAGGTTGCAGTAAGCTGAGATCACGCCACTGCACTCCAGCCTGGAGACAGAGCAAGACTCCGTCTCAAAAAAAAAAAAAAAAAAGACCACTTTGAAGGAAAATAATTCACCTGGTAAATGAATACACTGCGGCATATTTAAATATGGTAGACTAATTGTAATCAAGCATATCTCAGTCTGTATCTTATATTCCATTCTTTAACATTTTTAGAACTAGACAAAGCCATGCATGCCCTAGTAATAGTTGTGATTCATTATTAAAAGGCAACTTGTAGAACTTGTACTTAAATATGACAGATTATTGAAGATTCAGGGGCAAACCCAAAGACATATACCTTTGAATTTTGCCATCATTCTAGCTAGTACTTTGAGCCTTTTTGATATTATTAAGAAATTCAAATGTCTCAAAATTGTAAAGGAACAAAGGGCAAAAACTAAGCACATGTAAGACTAATTTATGCATGGTTAAGGCATATTTGCTTTCCAGAATATTGAGTCCAAGATGAGCTGCTATTGCTGAAACAGCCCAATAGAGTGATTCTCTTCAAATAAGACAGAAACTTGATTCATGTTGCTACAGAATTTTGCAATTAATAAAAAAGAGGGGGCCAGGCGCGATGGCTTACGCCTGTAATCCCAGCATTTTGGGAGGCCAAGATGGGTGAATCACCTGAGGTCAGGAGTTCAAGACCAGCCTGGCCAACATGGTGAAACCCTGCCTCTACTACAAATACAAAAATTAGCTGGGTGTGGTGATGCATGCCTGTAATCCCAGCTACTCAGGACGCTGAGGCAGGAGAATTGCTTGAACCTGGGAGGCGGAGGGCGCAGTCAGCCGAGATCGTGCCACTGCACTCCAGCCTGGGCGAAAAGAACAAAACTCCATCTCAAAAAAAAAAAAAAAAAAAAGAAAAAAAAAAAAAGAAGGAGGCTGGGCGCGGTGGCTCACACCTATAATCCCAGCCCTTTGGGAGGCCGAGATGGGCAGATCATGAGGTCAGGAGATCGAGACCATCCTGGCTAACACAGTGAAACCCCGTCTCTATTAAAAAAATACAAAAAAATTAGCCAGGCTTGGTGGCGGGCACCTGTAGTCCCAGCTACTTGGGAGGCTAAGGCAGGAGAATGGCGTGAACCCGGGAGGCGGAGCTTGCAGTGAGCCAAGATCGCGCCACTGCACACCAGCGTGGGCGACATAGTGAGACTCCATCTCAAAAAAAAAAAAAAGAGGAAGGAAACAGTTATAACTAGATTTTTTTCTAAAGTGGCATTAAATGGCCTTCAATGCGCACCAAAATGTTTCCTGAATTCTGAGACCTAAAGAATGTGTTTCTTCATAGAAACAGAGTAAAAAGGTGGTTACCAGAGGCTGGGGGTGGGAAGAATAGATATTTCAAGACACAAATTTTCAATTAGGAACAATAAATACAAGAAATCTACTGTATCCCGTGGTAACTATAGTTAATAACAATGTATTATGTTGAAAATTCCTAAGAGAATGGATTTTAAGTGTTCTTACCATTTAAAAAATGGTATGTGAGGTAATACATATGTTAAATAACTTGATTTAGCCATTTCACAATGTATAGATATATCAAAACATCATCTTCTACACCATAAATACAGATAATTTTTGCCTGCCATTAAACTTTTTTTTTTTTTTGAGACGGAGTCTCGCTCTGTCGCCCAGGCTGGAGTGCAGTGGCGGGATCTCGGCTCACTGCAAGCTCCGCCTCCCGGGTTCACGCCATTCTCCTGCCTCAGCCTCCCAAGTAGCTGGGACTACAGGCGCCCGCCACTACGCCCGGCTAATTTTTTTTGTATTTTTAGTAGAGACGGGGTTTCACCGTTTTAGCCGGGATGGTCTCGATCTCCTGACCTCGTGATCCGCCCGCCTCAGCCTCCCAAAGTGCTGGGATTACAGGCGTGAGCCACCGCGCCCGGCCACTTTTTTTTAATTAAAAAAAAAAAAGAGGCCAAGTGCAGTGGCTCACACCTGTAATCCCAGCATTTTGGGAGGCCAAGGTGGGAGAATCACTTGAGGCCAGGAGTTCAAGACCAGCCTGGGCAATATAGAAAGACCCCGTCTCTACAAAAAGTAAAAAAATCAGCCTGGCATGATGGCACACGCCTATGGTCCTAGCTACTTGGTAGGCTGAGGCAGGAGGATTGCTTGAGCCCAAGAGGTCAAGGCTGCAGTGAGCCATGATTGTGCCACTGCACTCCATCCTGGGTGACAGAGCAAAACCTCGTCTAAAAAAAAAGAAGAATGTGTTCCTGCATTTTCACATTCATTAAGGAAAAAACAAGCCACAGATTACTAAGGTCAGGATTACAAAGAAACAGTATATGGTAGTATATACTGTCCTAAGATTCTATGTTACATATTTTTAAATTACAGGCATACCTCATTTTATTGTACTTTGCTTTATTGTGCTTTGCAGACATTAAATTTTTTGCAAATTGAAGGTTTATGGCAACTCTATTGAACAAGTCTACTGGTGCCATTTTTCCAACAGCAAGTGCTCATTTTGTGTCTGTGTCACATTTTGGCAATTCTTAAAATATTCCAAACTTTTTCATTATTATTATTATATCTGTTATGATGATCTGCAATCAGTGGTCTTTGATGCTACTATTGTAATTGTTTGTGGGCACCATGAACTGCCCATATAAGACTTAATAACAATATTTGGCTAGGCGCGGTAGCTCACGCCTGTAATGCCAACACTTTGGAAGGCCGAGATGGGAGGATCACTTGAAGTCAGGAGTTTCAAACCAGCCTGGCCAACATGGTGAAACCACATCTCTACTAAAAATACAAAAAATTAGCCGGGCATGGTAGGGCATCCCTATAACCCCAGATATTTGGGAGGCTAAGGCACGAGACTCACTTACACCTAGGAGGCAGAGGTTGCAGTGAACTGAGATTGTGCCACTGCACTCCAGCCTGGGTGACGGAGCGATACTCCATCTCAGAAAAAAAAGACTTAATAACGATATTGAAATTAGACTAATAACCTTACAATGGGAATTTTGCAATGAATAAAAAAGAGGAAGAAAATAGTTATAATTAGATTGTTTTCTGAAGTGACATTAAATGGCCTTCAAGGCTCACCAAAATGTTTCCTGAATTCTAAGAGCTTAAACAATGTGTTGGCCAGGTGCAGTGGCCCATGCGTGTAATCCCAGGCCTTTGGGAGGCCAAGGTAGGCGGATCACTTGAGGTCAGGAGTTTGAGACCAGACTGGCCTACATAGTGAAACCCCATCTCTACTAAAAATATAAAAATTAGCCCGGCATAGTGGCGGGCACCTGTAATCCCACCTATGGGGGAAGCTGAGGAGTAGAATTGCTTGAACCCAGGAGGCAGAGGGTGCAGTGAACCCAGAGGGCGCCACTGCACTACAGCCTGGGCGACAGAGCAAGACTCTGTCTCAAAAAAAAAAAAAAAAAGAAAGAAAGAAAGAAAGAAAGAAAGAAAGAAAGGAAAGAAAGAAAGAAAGAGAAACTAGAATCCCTCTTCCCTAAAATGGGTCATAGAAACTAGAGCCTCTTTTCCCCAAAACCAGCCATAAAGTCTAAAAATGTTACTCTAACCTTTCCCACCACCACCTTTCTGTGTAATAGCTGGCCATAAAGAAATTAAGACCCTCATTCCAGAGAGGTCCTACCCCATACCCATGAGAAGAAATCCTTCACAGAGAGGCCAAGAAAAATCTGAACAGACAGTCCTTGCTGAGTTTTCCCACTCAGTCTGTTTGCATTAGCTCATGCCCTTTATTCTGATCACAGTTCTACATAGCTGTCCATACTTCGTTGAACCTAAGCACAAAAATGGACAGTTTTTCCTGTATCTTTGGGTTTTCATTCTGAAACCTCCCATGTCGGGTAAAATTATGATCAAACACATTTTAAAAGGCAGAGACCCCTTTCTTCAAATAAATCTTATATTGGAAGAAGATGATGCCATTTAAGACTTTGCTAGCTAGACAGGAGAAGTCAATACCTGGCTTTAAAGCTCAAAGTACAGGCTGATTCTCTTGTTAGGGACTAATGAGGGTGGTAACTTTAAGTTGAAGCCAGTGTTCATTTACCATTCCAAAAATCCTATGGCACTTAAGAATTATGCTAAATTGACTCTGCCTGTGATCTATAAATGGAATAACAAAGCCTGGCTCACAGCACATCTGTTTACTGAATATCTTAAGCCCACTGCTGAGATGTACTAAGAAAAAAAAGAGATTTCTTTCAAAATATTACTGCTCATTGACAATGCACTTGGTCACCCAAGAGCTCTGATGGAGAACACAAGATGAATGTTATTTTCATGCCTGCTAACACAACATCCATTCTGCAGCCCATGGAACAAGGAGTAATTTCAACTTTTAACTCTTATTAATTAAGAAATAGATTTTGTAAGGCTGTAGCAGCCAAAGACAGTAACTCCTTTCATGGATCTGGCCAAAGTAAACTGAAAGCTTTTTGGAAAGGATTCACCATTCTAGATGCCATTAAGAACATTCATGATTCATGCATGGGAGGAGGTCAAAATATCAACATTAACAGGAGTTTGGAAGAAGTGGGTTACAACCCTCATGGATGACATTGAGGGGTTCAAGACTTCAGTGAAGGAAGTAACTGCAGAGGTAGTGGAAACAGCAAGAGAATTAGAATTGGAGGTGAATCCTAAATATGTGACTCAATTGCTACAATCTCGTGATAAAATTTGAATAGATGAGGAGCTACTTCTTATGAATACGCAAAGAAAGTAGTTTCTTGAGAATGGAATCTATTCCTGGTAAAATGCTGTGAACATTGTTCAAATAACAGCAAAGGATTTAGAATATTCTATAAACTTATTAATAAAGCAGCAGCAGAGTTTGATGGGGTTGACTCCAATTTTGAAAGAAGTTCTACTGTGGGTAAAATGCAATCAAATAGCATCACGTTTTACACAGAAATCTTTCGTGAAAGGAAGAGTCAATTGACGTGGCAAACTTCACTGTTGTCTTATTTTAAGAAATTGCCATAGCCACCCCAACCTTCAGCAACCACCACCCTGATCAGTCAGCAGCCATCAATGACAAGGCAAGACACTCTTCCAGCAAGCAGGTTATAACTTGATAAAGGCTCAGATGATCGTTATCATTTTTTTAGCAATAAAGTATTTTTAAATTAAGGTATGTACTTTTTTTAGACATAATGCTATTACACACTTAACAGACTACAGTATAGTATAAACATAACTTTTATATGCACAGGGAAACAAAAAATTCATGTCACTTGCTTTATTGCTATATTTACTTTATTGTGGTGGTCTAGAACTGACTCTGCAATATCTCTAAGGTATGCCTGTATATGTAATTGGTTACCATAACTTTTAACAAACCATATCCATGAAACAGTTTCTAAGAACTGCATGTTTCTAAGAATGCTGTGAAACAAGATTATATGTCAAACAATTAAACTACCTTATGTATTACAGCACTTCTCAAACCCATTAATATAATTGTTGTTACAAATCTCCAAGAGGGGCGTACAGTATATAGTGTTTTTCTAAATATATTTGGCCATGGCACACGTGTGTATATTTTGCACACATGTGCATCTGTGTGTGTAATATTAACAGTTCCCAGGACAGACTAATATAAACACTGTTTAGGAAAGATAAGATTACAATACACTCTAGTTTCACTAATAGGTATATACTTTCAGTTCCAAAGTTTAGAAAGCTCTACACTAAAGCTCTCTGTGGAGGCATACACATGTATATCAATTATAATTTATGACATGTAGTGTGTTTGCAGTCATTTTTTTATAAATGGGTACCAGACCATTAATTAAGCATATAAATCCTTGCTGAACTTCACTTATATCATTTTAGTACTCCTTTTAAAGTAACATAATCTGAAATAAATTCAAAGAGGATTTGTACTTAGATTTTTGAGCTGTGGAAGAGCCTTTATAATGCTAAAGGTAAATTATGAAAACTGTAACTTTTCTTTGCCATTTTGGTATAGCAATTCCTATTAAACACTACTTGACAGAATTGCTAATCACTTAGTGTATTTCTTCAGGTTTCCTTTATGTAATATTTTTGTAAGTTTTGACATTGCTTTATAATTTAATTATAAAATAAATTGAAAATGATAGTTTTTCCATTGTAAAGTCGATTATGACACCTCTTCTGTTCTCAGCCTCATTCCTCCCTATGTAAGTCTCATCAGAATCTGTAGGCCACTTTGAAATGGAGGCTTTCAGAGATAGTAACTTATTTTGGCCCAAAACCCATTCAAAATCAACAGTCATCCTAACATAATTGTCAACTGTTACAGAAATCCTGTTTGTGATATGCACATTTTTATGGCATCATCTAAATGACAAGTGGCCCAAGCAGAGTAGATTCACCATTAGCAAAACTCCAATTGCTCGCCAGGGAACTAAAGTTCCTGATTACAGATTCAAAGACAAGTTTACTCATGTAAATAGCAGTCTGCATGTTATGCCCTAAAAGAAAACTGATAGAAATTCTTGATATCAAACATCTAATTATGAAAATAATTACAAAAACTAATAGAATAAATGCTCATAACTTACGAAAAGTCTTACTTTATAGTTATAATAAGGAGCCCGCTGATCTTTATCCCATAGGTTTCCAGAAATAGAACTATTTATTTGCTTCATGATCGTTTTGTAGGGCACCTGACGTCCTGCAGCGTCACTACAAGGAGCCCCCCGGAAAGGGACTTTTGCAATGGTACAAACATGATCCTAGAAATGCAAAAGTGCTCATGTTATATATTATCAATTATGCAATTCTTAAAAGCCAAACCAAAAATATATAAATTATTTAGAAATAAAACATATACCATAGAAAACCTGACTATACAGAAAAAAGGTTAAAATAAATTTCATTATTAAATGAAAATGTATGATAATCATAAGCTTTCATAGAAGTAAAAATAAATAATTTTTATCTCAAACTATATTTCAGAGATTCTAAAGTTTATATATTTCTAATGAAAACAGAGAGACTCTAAAAAATATAATAGATAATAAAAATTATGTAACAAATGACTGTTCCTACCTCAGACAGATTCAGGCAGGTATAATCATAACCATACCAAGGAACACCCATTACAAGTTTCTTAGGATTAATGCTCATCTTGATGTAGTCATTATATCCTAGTCAAGCAGGAGAGAAAAAGCATATTTGTTTCTCTTCATATGTCAATGTGTTCATACAAGCTATGCAACCGTTCAGAATCTGTTTGTAAAAACAAGTACATTTATAAAAAACACTAATATTGTTTAATATGTTATAAAACATCCCTTAAGAACCATAAATTCTATATCTTGCTTTCTAAACCATTTCTCTTTGAATAGGAGAAAACATTCAAAACAATTAAGATCATACTGAAATAAAATATTCACAAAATCTAATTCTAGGAAGAATGACACATTTCAGGAAAGTATGCTAATTATATCTATTAATTCTAAGATATGATATACTTGATACTCTAGATTCTAAAGTTTCAAAAAAGTTTTATAAATCTTAACTTTCTAGCAGTGATGGTCTCAGAGTTTCTTAGAAAGTACAAGTGTTCCATGTTTTGCAAATATTCTGTAAGTAAGCTGGGGATAAGAAATGTGTCATCTATAGTGGGAGGAAACAAAGAGAAAAATGAACAAATCCCTGGAACTATCAGTCCTTTTCTTGCCCAATGCTGCAAAACATGTTTTTCCACCAAGACATATTCACAGATTACCTAGAATGTTCAGCTAAAAAACTTTATTACTTTTTAGAGCCTTTAATGTTATTATGTACTATTAAATAACCAAAAATGGGGTGGGGTATGTATCAGTTCCCAAACATATTGGTTTATTTAGTTTGGTTGTTGATTTATTTATGATACAAAGTATCCCTATGTTGCTCAGGCTGGCTTGAACTTCGGCCTCATGTGATCTTCCCACCTCAGCCTCCCAAGGCTTGAACCTTTTATTGATAGAACATAATTATAATGTCTTGCCTGAAACACAGTTTGGGAACCCTCAATTAATAATTACTTCGTAATTTTAACAGAATAAGTTATTTTTCAACTTTAAATAGGTATGTGGCTAGGCACAATGGCTCATGCCTGTAATTGAAGCTCTCTGGGAGGCTGAGGTGGGAGGATCACTTGCGGCCAGCCTGGGCAACATAGTATGACTCCATCTCCTTAAAAAAAAAATCTTTTTTAAATTAGCTGGGCATGGTGGTGCATGCCTGTATACCCAGCTACTCAGGGGGCTGAGGTTGGGGGATCACTTAAGCCCAGGAGGTCGAGGTTACAGTGGGCTATCATAGTGCCACTGCACTCCAGCCTGGGCAACAAAGCAAGACTCTGTCTCAGAAAAAGAAAAAAATGAAAATATTAGCTGGGCATGGTGGCATGCACCCGTAGTCCCAGCTACTCAGGAGGCTAAGGCTGAGCTTGTGAGGTTGAGGCTGCAGTGAGCCCTGATCGTGCCACTGCACTCCAGCCTGGGTGATGGAGTGAGACCCTGCTCAAAAAAATAAAAATTAAAAAAAAAAACAAAAGAACAAGCAATCTTTTATTTAGTTGACTGATGGAATACAAACCAATCCAAACTTTGAAGAGGATAATGCAAAGCCTACATCAAATGAATGACAGGTCAAAAGTACTCAAATTCTAATAGGAATATAATTTTTAATTTATCACAGATACTAAAAGAAGTTAATGCCTATCCTATTAATCATGCAATGAAGGTGCCCAACCATATCTATCTTTGCTATTATTTAACACTGGTTATTTCAACAAAAATATCCTGTCAAATTCTAGATAAGCATGTGATTTCATGACAAGAATATCAGACCAGAAATGAGAATACCTGATTAAGCCCCAACTATATAATACTTAATAGTTATGCAATCATGAGCAGTTAATTCTTTTTATCTCATCTAGAAATATACCTATACCACAAGATTGTTGGAAGAATTAAGTGAAAATCAAAACTTTAAAACTTTTTGTAAACTTTAAAGCTTTCAATTAAGTGATTTTTACATGTTTGAAGCAAGCCTTACAATTGAAAAACGTATACATATAACTTAGAAATACTAAAAACATCTTAATATTTTAATTTATAGAATATTATTAATATTATTAATAAATGACCATGTTTAGAGTCTTACCAGTTAATGTCTGATTATAGGGAGCATTGGCTGCTGCAATACATTCTGACCAGATCTGACTTTGTTCATCATAAGACATCACAAAGAGGAAGTCACAAGCATCTGCGATTCCAGTATAATTATAGCATCTTCTGTCTATGTTCTTTGGAGACCAAGCTACATCAAAGGTTACCTGTGGAAAAAAATCTTACTATTTTATGTAATATGATCACGTGTGCATATTACGTCAGATTTTTAAAATTATATATATTTTTTACCTTATACTACACAAGGAAAAGGAACTGCTTACAGTATATGAATGTAGGGTTTGACACACATAGAACTTGAACCATTCTAAGAAATATTTTTTGCTTACACTTGACTGAGTCAGACATATATTTGGACATACAATGACCAGGAGCAAGACACTATATAGAAGATGGCCTTCAAACTCAAAATGTCTTCAAACGCTAGGCTGGTACCTCAGCTGATTAAAAGAAGCAGGTATAATGACAACAGGGTATGGTGATGCCCCTGAGCAACTAGAGAGTAAAGGCACACTAAAAGAATTCAAATACAAAAGTTTTTAAAATATTGTGCAGGTTAAATATGTCACCTGTTGGCACAACCTGACTGGGTTGGGAGTTTCAGCCTGATTCACAATCACCTTATATGGTAGATTTGGCCCAATATTACAGTTAAGACAATAGTGGTGTCTTACGGCCTACAGGTATAGATTAATCAAGTCAAAATGTTGAATAAATCATTTAAATGATCTTATTTTACGGAAATATTCAAATAAATGTTGAGTATTATCTTTCTTTTTTGGGGGGGATGGAGTCTTGCTCTGTCACCCAGGGTGGAGTGCAGTGGCGCAATCTCAGCTCACTGCAACCTCTGCCTCCTGGGTTCAAGTGATTCTCCTGCCTCAGCCTCCCACATAGCTGGGATTACAGGCATGCGCCACCACGCCCAGCTAATTTTTTTGTATTTTTAGTAGAGACAGGGTTTTGCCATGTTGCCCAGGCTGGTCTCAAACTCCTGACCTCAGCTGATCTGCCGATCTCAGCCTCCCAAAGTGCTTACAGGCGTGAGCCACCACACCCAGCCTTATCTTTCATTTTGAATAGTGAGCCAGCCTTCAACAAGAATGTGTCTCTTTATGTTTATTGCCTTAACCAAATATTAATTAGCCTTATTTTATACATGTACAAATGTTCTAAAACTTCATTAAAGGTTGTTTTCCCCCCTTAATTAGGCACTCAATAAACACTGATTATTTTAAAAACTGAGATACTTTAGGTAACATTTTTATACTTTGAACAATTTATTCTAGCAAAACTCTTTTTAGGACTTCTTCAAAGTTCCCTTTATAATTCCGTGAATATTAGCACTTTATAATTATAAGCTTTGCTCAGTAGTTTTCCAACAAAATAAGTTATGAAATAAAATTATTACATATTTGTTCCTATTTTATCACTGCCTCTTATTACAAAATGAGAGGTATATTATAGTAATAGAGAAAAATAAATGACTACCTCTAAGCAAGTAAATTTCCAATCCATTTTGTAAGAGTGTTTTCACCAGGATTTTCTCTCACAGTTAATCTCATATTTTTGAGATGGTACTATTATTATATTAGACAAGAAAGCAAAAGACTTGGGTGCTAGTGTCAGCTATCTTATAGTTAGGTCTGTATCACTGCTAAGTCAATTAAAGCATCTGAATTTTTCCCATCTATAAAAATGAGGGTGTAGAAAGAACTCTTCAAGGCATTTATTTGTAGCTCTTTAATTCTGTGACCACAATTCTGTAAACCAAAGTTATTATCTTATTCCCAAAACTCATTCCCCCCTCTAGATTATCTAGTCATTTTTTGTTGGTTACCAGTTTAAAAACCTTGGGGCCATTTTCTGATTCTTTCTTCCCTTACTTCCAAAATCTAACCTCACGTCTCCCTTTGGGTGGCATCTCACAGTTGTTCTGCCCCTTCCTTTCCATTAATTAATTCATTTAATATGTATTTATTGTACACCTGCTGATTTAGGATTATGTCATCATCCAAATCCAAACTAAATCCCTTGATACTGTATTGTTCAGTTAGCAGTCCTTACTCATCTTCCTTTCTCATCTAGTTTTACATACTCCTACAGAATAGTTTCCCCAAACACTATTTTACACACATAACCCATTACACACAGAATAAAATGCACAGTCCTCAGCCTGACATTCTGGATCTTCCACAATCTGGCCTACCTTTGCAACTGTCCCTCCCACTAATTCACCTAACATGAACTTGACATGTAGCCCAAATTGTTCTCCTCACCTCTCAAGAGACAGAAAGAGATATTCCTACTGCAAGGATTTTGCTCAATCTCTTCCTCTCTGCTCTTTCACTACAGCTTAATCAGGATTGTCAAATAGGTTGTTTCCCATATATTCCACACATCAATTCTAACCTATTAGTAATCACTATCTAGAGAATGAAGGAAAAGTTTCTGAGGCCAAAATGTGTGAGGAGGAGAAGGGGTATTGTGGCCTGTATGCCAGGTATTTGCTGTTCTTAATCTACATTGTACTCTCCTGACAAGTTGAATTCCATACTGACAGATCTTCCCTATTTGCATAAAACCACAGAAATGTCAGTCGTCATATTGCTTATTATTTTACCAGTAATTCTCAAATTATTTTACCTGTAATTTTCAAATTCATGATGACCAACTCTACCAGAATCACCTAGGACACTTGGCAAAAATACAGTTCTCTAAGCTCTATCCCAGACCTACTGAGTCAATCTCAGTGATATGGTTTGGATCTGTGTCCCCGCCCAAATCTCATGTTGAATCGTAATCCCCAATGTTGGAGGTAGGGCCTGGTAGGAGGTAACTGGATTACAGGGGCAGATTTCCCCCTCCAGTGCTGTTCTCGTGATAGAGTTCTCACAAGATCTGATTGTTTAAAAGTGTGTGGCACCTCCCCACCCTCTCTCTTTCTCCTTCTCTGGCTGTTTGAAGTGCTGATCCCGCTTTGCCTTCCACCATGACTGTAAGTTTTCCTGAGGCCTCCCAAAAGCCAAGCAGATGTCAGCATTATGCTTCCTGTATAGCCTGCAGAACCGTGAGCCAATTAAACCTATTGTCTTTATAAATTACCCAGTCTCAGGTATTTCTTTATAGCAATGTGAGAACAAACTAATACACTCAGGATATTTTAAACAAGCACTCTCAGGTAATTCTGAGACAGGTTTAGGAATCACTGGTTTATAATACTCATAATGCTCTATACTGGAATACATTTTTAAGCATTCTGTTAGATATCAAGGAGCTGCACCCCGTCTTCAAAAAAACTCATTGTCTAGCCTATTACTTCTTAACTATAATCACCAATGAAACTTTTTTAAAATTGGGGGCTCTGGGATTACCCAAAACCTTTTGAAAAATCATTTCTGGGAGTGAGTTCACAGTGTGCATGTGTGTGGAAAAGTAAACACATGCTTACTTTTCCTTAAGACCTATGGTTATCTTGATATGTGGCCAAGTTTGAGGATCACTGATCTGGGTTCACATTATCCTCTGTTACCCATCTGTTGTCTGGCAAGATAGCTTGTGTTGTTACCTTCTGCTCTAATCATGTTCATTATGGCAGTGGGGAAGCACACTGCCTATTGTTATAGCTGTCACAGTTCTGTGTAGTTAGTCCTTTAAGCTTTACTGGGCCTTGGGTGCAAGTAATTCAGAGACTGTAGAGCAAGTGATACACTTCCCCAGAACTACCTCTACTCCTGGGTTGTTTCTGTCCTGCATTGGTAAAAGCTGGTTAGGCGCCCCCCTTGATTTTTGTTCTCCCATTGCCTAACACTTCTAACTGTGCTACAAGGCAAGTAGTGGGGGTAATCCCAGTGTTGTATTTTGCTGTGAATAGAGAATAGATTTAGGGCTTTAAAATTCCTTAAATAAGAACACCAAAGGCTCCAGAAAAATTTTTTAGGAAATAAGTGCTGAAACTCTTTCCCATTGCATTACTATAAAACAAAGATTATATTAGTTATACCCTCATGAGTATATTCTGATATGGAAAATATGAGGTTTCCAAAAAATAAATGAGTTTTTACCTGTGATCCCTCAATTTCACGATGGAAAGAGTCTGTAGTTTCTTTGACTAAAGCAGTTAATGCATCATATTCAGGTGATAAACAATTAACTTCTTGCTCTATATCTATATTAATTCCATCCATATATTGTGTTTTGGCCAAATTAAGTTTTTGAGCTATCCAGGATGCTCTGAAAGCAGGATCAATGATATCCTTTAAGGATACATCTCCTGTGGAAGAAGTATATATCTTTTGAACATGTATGCAAAAACATTTCATTATTTTGGAAGACTAAGCCCTTAACTGAAGTTTTCCAATGGAGAAAGAATATACCAAAGTAACAGAAAGCCATTACTCATGAATCTCCAAAATAACCATTATAAATCATTAGTAAAATTGTTCTGAAGTTAGAAACAGAAATTGTGGACTATGATTAAGTAAAGGTCATAAGGCTAATTTGGCAGTTAACATTTTGCTCAAAACCATACAGTGGTTTAATTCTTTTAAAAAGATCTGTGTTTGTGAAATGAATTACACAGTATCTAAGATTAATTATAGGATCCTAACAAAAACAGATAAACATAAAAGGACTTTTTTGGAAAGTCGGGACTATAGCAAGTGATACAGATAAATTTCCCAATTGCTGCACACATAGATCTGGAAACAACATACCTTTAAGTACTACTCTGGCTCCTTTTGAATGAGCGTAGCACATAAGTTCTGAGTCATATTTTCCAAATGTTGCCACAGTTGTAATCTGTGACCAATCATAAGATTTCCAAGTTTTCTGTCCAACATCAAACACAAAGACCTGCCAGAACAAAGATGAGCACCATCATTTAAACCAAGAATATTATGCTGACCGTCCAAAATACCGTTCATCAAACATCACCATACACCAAACACTATGGTGGCAGTGAGAGTACAAGTGCATAAGACATAGGGGTCCCAAGATAATTGGTGGCAGGGGTAATTAGCCAGGCTGGGAAAGAGGGGAAGGATGGGCCAGGAAGGAAGAGTGGCAAGTGCCAAGGCCTGGAGGCAGAGACAACATGGTGGTTGCGTAACTAAATATTTAGTATGGCCGACGTCTAGAATTTGGGGAGAGAGCATTAGTGAAGGACCAGAGAGTAGTAGGCATGGATTAAATCATGAAAGGCCTCATAAGCTCTGTTGAGAAGTTAGTACTACCTTGTTTATCCTGAGGTAAAGGGAGAGAATAAAAGCATTTTTAAAAGGGGAAGGTATGCATTTTAGAAAAATATTTTCAGCTGCAGTGGGAAAAGGATTAAAGAGACACCAAAACTGGAGGCAGAATACAGAAACTGTTGGAGGAATCCAAGTAAGAGATGATGGTGACCTCAACTAAAATTGTGGAGCAGTGGCGTTAAGTGAACAGATCTGGAAGATCCTAAGGAGGCAAAATTGACAGGACTTTGTGACTAATCGAATGAGTAATCAAAGGAGAGAAGTCTGATAATACTCAAGTTTCTGGCTACTGCAGATGGAGCCATAAATACATTTACTGTTTTTTGTTTGTTTGGTGAAGCTAGCTTCTTAGAATAGTACCTAGGTCAAATTCTAAGGCACCTGATGTTGTGTTTCTCTGATATTTTCTTCCCACAGTTAATTCAAGAAGCACAGAAGCCTCACTGATTATTTTTATTTTATTCCAAGGCATTAATTCATTGATTTGGCAAATATTTATTGAATTTCCAATAAGGTACAAGGAGAGTATTTTGCTAGGCTCTAAGGAGATAAAGATTAATGAGAGAGACCAGGTCCAGTAAGGAGTTAACTACTTAATTACAATGGTATTAAGGACTGTAGGGGTTACAGGGGGCCACGCCAGCATATAAAGGGGACCTGCTAGCCAGATGGTGCACGAAAACTTTTCTGAGGACTACACACTTTCGGAGTGGGCTGAAATCAGCAGAATGATGGAAGAGATATACCTATGGACAAAAGATTGCATTCTCAACTGAGGGAAGGGAAAGCCCAAAGGTCGCTACACCTCAGGAGAATTCTGAGATTCTGGAACTGAAAAAGGTCAATGTAGGTAGAGCACAGAAATCCTGCAAGTATGTGGAACTGGATAAAACCTTTAAAGTCGGTAGTGGAAAGATTAAGTAGGACTTCCAAGACCACTGAAGATGTTGTATTTTATCTTGGGATCAGTGGGAATCAATTAGAGTTTTAATTCAGGGGATATGCATTACAAAAGAGATCACTGGGTCCTTGTGAGGGGAATGAATGAGGGAGAGACAGTGGGGATAGCAGCTGTAAAAGTTAAACCAGGCATTTCTTAATTTTTTTTAATTTTTTTTAACTTTTCAGAATTAATTATGCATAACTCATTTTTTCTGCTAAGCAATTGCCTACTGAAATAATAAAAATTCATAATGTGAAATTAAGTGGCCCATTGTTTTCTGACTCATATTTCTATCAAAACTTCTATTTTAGTTCTGATAATTAAGATTCTATTTGTTTAAAAAATACTAAGAGCCTGTGATATAACAGATATCCTTAAAAAAAAAAAAAGCTGGGTGAACTAATTGAAAATATAAGGGGAAAATGCCATGTAGTCTAGTTTTTGTGTTTGAAAAACATAGAAAACGCCAGTAGAGAAAAAGACCATTTACCATGAAGATACAAATAAGCATAATTTTGCTTCTTTGAATAGTTGGTTTTCAAAGTGCCCACAGATATTGCCTAACCCACTAAGTATTGGGTACTACAGTAAATCTTTCAGGTTTTTTTTTTTTCTCTTTTTTGAGACATAGTCTTGCTCTGTCGCCCAGGCTGGAGTGCAGTGGCGTGATCTTGGCTAACTGCAACCTTCCGCCTCCCGCTCCGCCTCCCAGGTTCAAGCGGTTCTCCTGCCTCAGCCTCCCAAGTAGTTCGGATTACATGTGCCCGCCACCACGCCCAGCTAATTTTTGTATTTTTAGTAGAGACGGGGTTTCACCATGTTGGCCAGGCTGTTCTCGAATTCCTGACCTCAAGTGATCCACCCACCTTGGCCTCACAAAGTGCTTCTCAATCTCAAAAAGAGATTGAGAAAATTAAGAAATGTCTGGTTGAACTTTTACAGCTACTGTCCCCACTGCCTCTACCACCGCGCTGGGCCTCAGATTGTATAAAACATTTTAATTGGGAGGCCATTATGCTGAAACAGCTCCAACTGCCTTGGATTTCCTGCTTAAGCAAACTCCAGCCCAAGGTCAACAGTGAAAGGAAACTTAAGCTTAACCTATCAGAAACTGCCAACTAACCTCTAACTAGTAATTTTCCACCAAGTCATAGCTAAATAAGGCAAACAGTCATAGCCAACCAAGTAATTATTTTCCTTTGCTTCCCTGTTCGGCCTATAAAAGCCCATGCTACTAAAGCAGACCTCTCTGAACCCCTTCTGGTTTAAGTACTGCCGATTCATAAGTTGTTCTTTGCTCAAATAAAAAAGGTTATCCTACTTTGTCTGAAGTCTTTCTTTTAATAAGATGTTAGGTTTCCACACTAGGCAGGTTCTCCATAAACACTTTCACCATTTTTATTTCTTCTCCTAAGTCATGTATATATACTTTTTTACTGGCATCTAAGTGTTCTGCCTCAGATTAATGTACTAGATTAAGAACTAGGAATCATGCCTATTTCTACAAAAGAATCGTTCTTTGAATTAAGCCTTTGGACCTTCCTGATGTCATCCAATTCCTGCTTTCAGTCATCGAAGTGGGCAGTCAGGTGGTTTTAATATTGCTCCAGAAGGTGTTTGATTAAAGTTGCCAGAAGCCTTACAAATTGTTATGTAGATAGAAGGAAAATGTACTGAAAGCTATTTTTTTTACCACTCTTCATGGGTGGTTTTGAGGTACTTTAAAGGAAAGGGCTAGCAGGTATAGAAAACTAAAGGTAAGCAAAATACTCTGCATTCTAATGTACTGTTGGAGTGCTGAGATTCTTTCAAACGAAATCCTCGTTCCTTGGAAACATAAATGGATTATCCTACCTTGTTTGCTTTTTACACCCAGAGTGCTTCCGCAGAGGCACAGCAGGGGAATGAAAGGAGCTTGCCTTAGGAGGCAGATCTGGTTTGAACTCTCGCCTGCCTACGCAGGCACTTACAGGCTGTGAGGCCTGAGGAGTTACTCAACTTCTCTGAGCCCGAGCTTCCTCATCTATAAATTGAAGGATCCGTAAACAGGAAGGCCCTCATCGAGTGGTCAAAGCTGGTTTCGGCGCCCACGGCACCTCTCCTTAGGGCTCCGTTCTACCCTAACTTCTCTTCGTGCCCTGAAGCCCAGACCTAGAGGAGCAGAGGAAGGCGCTGACCTCGAAATCTGGATGGTGGCGAATCGGGCGGCAGAGCTCAGGCTCCGGGCATGGGCAGTCGGTCCCGGCCGCGAGCCGCAGCGCCAGCAGCGCCAGCAGCGCCAGCAGCGCTAGACCCGGGACGCCGCTCGGCGGGCTAGAGACGAGGCGCCAGCGTCGAAGCTGCGGCCGGGACATAGCAGCAGGTCTAGCGGGCCGGAGTGGGTTCCTACCGCCTGGGTGGGCGGGGCCTGCTGCGCGTCGGGGCAGGAAGGGGCGGGGAGAGTCGGGAAGGGCGGGGAGGGGCGGGAGGGGCGGGGCTCCGGGGCGGGCGTGGGAGGTCGGGCTTCGAGCGTCCCCGGGCGCTACAGGTGGGTGAAGTTAAGTGGCTGCTGGAGCGTCTCGGGGGACAGCCAGTGTCTGCGGCGCCGAGAGGGCCGTTCGTGGACTCAAATGGGTATCACCCCTACCGTTTATAGTCCTCCCAATAGTCTGCATCTCGTTTTGTCGTGGCTGGTCGTGTACTCCTTGTGGAGTCTGAAGGTACAAGGGGATCCCCAAAATGGAGAAGTGGGTGTCTTTGGAAGGGCCTACTGAGTAACATGGTTGGAGTGGCCAAAAGACTTTGTTTTTCTTTTGCTACTCAAAAGAAAGCTGGAATACCAAAAATTTTTACTTACGGATATCAGGTCTTAGTTAAGATCGTGGTTTGAATTCAAGCATCTAATTTTGCCTACTCTCCTGTTAAAAATCAAGTTTAACAACCTAAACACAAGGACAAAGAGATAACAGCAACAAAATGTTGGAAGCTGGAGAGCACAAGTATGAGTATGAGAGGTAAATCGGAAAAGGGGGAGATTAGTCAAAGGCTGCTCAAGGACTCTGATCGCTAGATCCTTTTTCCAGCTTCATGTCTCTGGGCAGCTGCCCCTCTTTCCCACCACGGGCTCCCACCCCGGCTGAATTCCCTGAAGGGGATAAATTCTCTGCTGAGTGGGTATTCCACCTAAAACGGAGAATAAGTGGCTTTATGCCTACTGAAAACTGAAACCCCTCGCTATCTGATTAACCTAAGAGGCTGAGCAAAGATACTGACATCGGGTTTTCTGGACAAATCATACACCCAGATCACCCTACAGTGAAATTCAAAGTTAAAAGCACCAGCTATCTACTTGGAGCTTCCTCTCTTTGTACTTTTTAATTTTTACTTTTAATCATGGACAGCAACCAAAAAAATCCAATAATGTAGAAAGAAGGGACCCAAACAACAGACAAAGGAATATGGAGGAAGCAGATGCTGCAGGGAGAACACTTTTAAAAATTCTCATAATAGCCCCAGAAAAATAAGAGAAGATGAAGCCACAACAGGGTGCAATAAAAGGGGTAGGGGATTTTTAAAAGTTAATAGAAATAAGAAAGAAGTGAAAAAACTATTAGTAGAAGATAACACTGAGGAATGTAGAGCAAAAACTCTGAAAGATAAGAAAATTGGAAAACGCAGTACAGAGGGGATGAAATAAATAATTCTTAAAGGTGCTTGAGAAGCAGCGTAGTACAAATAAGAAGAAATAAGTAATTTGGGCTGGGCACAGTGGTTCATGCTTGTAATCCCGGCACTGTGGGAGGCCGAGGTGGGCAGATCACTTGAGCTCAGGAGTTTGAGACCAGCCTGGCCAACATTGTGAAACCCCATCTCTACTAAAAATACAAAAATTATCTGGGCATGGTGGCAGACACCTGTAATCCCAGCTACTCGGAAGGCTGAGGCAGGAGAATCGCTTGAACCTGGGAGGTGGAGGTTGCAGAGATCACACCACTGCACTCCAGCCTCAGCAACAGAGTGAGACTCTGTCTCCAAAAAAAAAAAAAAAAAAGAAAAGAAAAGAAATAAGTAATTATCAAGGCTCCAGGACTGAAGAACACGCGTTTTCAGAATGAAAAGCTAGGCCAGGCACTGTGGCTCACACCTGCAATTGCATAACTTTGGCAGGCCAAGGCAGGAGGATTACTTGAGGGCAGGAGTTTGAGACCAGCCTGGGGAACATAGACCCTGTCTCTACAAAAAATAAAAAGCAAAAAATTAGCCCTGTGTGCCAGTGCGGTGGTAAAAGCTTGTAGTCCCAGCTGCTCGGGAGGCTGAGATGAGAGGATTGCTTGAAGCCGGGAGGTTGAGGCTGAAGTGAACTATGATCATGCCACTGCACTCCAGCCTGGGTGACAAAACAAGATCCTGTCTCAAAAAAAAAAAAAGTACAATTGAACCTCCATAACCAGAGGTTCCACATCCATGGTTTTAACCAATGTCAGATAACAGTATTTAAAAATAACAAATAATACAGCAATTTAAAAATGCAAATAAAAATACGGCAAGAGCACTGTCAACATAGCATTACATCGTATTATTATAATTAATCTAGAGATTATTTGAAGTACAGGAGGATGTGCATAGATTATGCCATTTTATATAAGGGACTTGAGCATCCATGGATTTTGGTATCTGGGAGTCCTGGAACCAATCCCTCATGATACTGAAATGTAACTATGTTTTTAACATGAATGGTTGCACTGAATCAAGTTTTCAAGGAAAAGAGCCTTCTGACTCATAGAATCAGACTGTATTCTGTGACACAGAAGAAAACACATATCTACCTGTGTTAGGGATCCCTAAGATCACCTCCAGGTTCAGTGATGCACTAAAAGAACTCATAGGACTCAGTTGTACTCACAGTTAAGATTTATTACAGCAGAAGAATATGAAGCAAAAGAGCAAAGGGAAAAAGTGCACAGGAAGAAGACAGGAGGAGGCCAAGCACAAGCATCACGTTGTAACATGTGTGAAGGGCTGTCTGCCATGGAAGCTCATTAGAGACTCAGGGAACAGCAGGAACACTCCCAAATCCACCTACAGGCCAACCTTCAGGAAGCAGGCCTTTCTAAAGATCGCAGTCTTAGGCCTGTTACGGTAACTCTTTTCTGCATACTAACCAAATGAGGAATTCCTACATATTTGTATTGAATTTTATATTGGTGCTGTACATTCTATGGGCTTTGACAAATGTATAATGATGTGTATCCAGCATTATAGTATCATACAGAATAGTTTCACTGCCCTCAAAATTATCTGTGCTCTACCTATTCATTCCTCTCTCCTTGCTAACCACTGGCATCCACAGATTTTTACACTGTCTCCATAGTTTTGCCTTTTCCAGAATGTCACATAGTTGGAATCTTACAGTATATAGCTTTTCAGATTGGCTTCCTTCACTTAGTAATACGCATTTATGGTTCCTCCATGTCCCTTCATGGCTTGATTGCTCATTTCTTTTTAGCACTGAATAATACTTCATTGTTGGGACGTACTACAGTTAATCCAATCCTGCAGCATCTGCTTCCTCCATATTCCTTTGTCTGTTGTTTGGGTCCCTTCCTTCTACATTATTGGATTTTCTTGGTTGCTGTCCATGATTAAAAGTAAAAATTAAAAAGTACAAAGAGAGGAAGCTCCAAGTAGATAGCTGGTGCTTTTAACTTTGAATTTCACTGTAGGGTGATCTGGGTGTATGATTTGTCCAGAAAACCACTGATGTATCTATTCACCTACTGAATGGATTTTGTGTTATCACTTTTTTGAATTTCACTGTAGGGTGATCTGGGTGTATGATTTGTCCAGAAAAACCCCTGATGTCAATATCCATTCACCTACTGAAGGACATCTTGGTTGCTTTCAAGTTTTGAAAATTATGAATAAAGCTGCTATAAACATTCATGTGCAAGTTTTGTGTTATCACTTTTTTTTTCCAGACAGGGTCTCTGTCACCCAGGCTAGAGTGCAGTGACTTGATCAAGCTCACAGCAGCCTCCATCTCCTGGGGTCCAGCAATCCTCGCACCTCAGCCTCCTGAGTAGCTAGGACTACAGGTACATGCCATCATGCCTGGCTTTTATGTATTTATTTATTTATTTTAGTAGAGGTGAGGTTTTGCTATGTTGCTCAGGCTGGTCTGGAACTCCTGTGCTCAAGGAGTCCTTCTGTCTTGGCCTTCCAATGTTCTGGAATTACAGGCATGAGCCACTGCGTCCAACCCTGTGTTATAACATTTTTAAGCCAAGGAGAAATGTTTGTTTTTGACAACTTAACCATATCTAATTAAATGTTTTATTAAAACCATTCACGTGGGCCGGGTGTGGTGGCTCACACCTGTAATCCCAGCACTTTGGGAGGCAGAGGCGGGTGGATCACAAGGTCAGGAGTTCGTGACCAGCCTGGCCAATATGGGGAAACCCCGTCTCTACTAAAAATACAAAAATTAGCTGGGTGTGGTGGTGCATGCCTGTAATCCCAGCTGCTTGGGAGGCTGATGCAGGAGAATTGCTTGAACCCGGGAGGCAGAGGTTGCTGTGAGCCCAGATCGTGCCACTGCACTCCAGCCTGAGTGACAAAGTGAGACTCTGTCAAAAAAAAAAAAAAAAATTCACAATTCTAACACTGTACGTCCATCTAGTTGATCCATTGATTCATGGTAGCATGCCATAGAGCAAATAACAAATATACAATAGCTACATAAAATATAAAAAATTTAGGAATAAATATAATGTGCAAGAATGTAAGACCTCTACATAGAAAAGTATATATTTAATAAAGTATAAAACATTATTGAAATGTTAGAAGATGTAAGCAAATAAAACATGAAATATTTGTTGGGGGAGGAGGATTGTTGTTTTGTTTCATTTTTCTTTTTTCTGTTTAGTTTTGGTGGAATTTGATAAGCTGATTCTAAAATATATAAGAAAATATAAAAATAGTTGTGACATTGCTCAAGAACAAGGTGGGAAGTCTTCTACATATTCTCAAGACTTAAAAAGATTAAGTAATAAATTCCACTCACTATTGGTGCAAGCATAAACAAATGAACCAATGGCACAGAGTTGAGAACTCACAAAAGATCCATGTGTATACACTTGATTAATGACAAAGGAATCACTGCAGAGCAGCAGAAAAAAGATAATGTTGTGACAACTGGATATTAATATGGAAAAAACCTGAAACTTGACCTCTACCTCACACCATATACAAACAACTCTAGGTGATTTCTAGACTTAAATGTAAAAGGCAAAACAACAAAGTTATCAGAAAATAATATAGAGAATATTTCATGATCTCTAGAGAATAAACCCTTACATGAAGCCCGAAAAGTATTAACTACAAAGGGAAAAAATCAATACATTTGGCTACTCAATATTTAAGAACTGTTTATCAAAAAACACAAGAGAGTAAAAAGCCACAGTATGGAACAAGGTATTATTTGTAAAATATATAACCAACAATGGACTGGTGTGAAGAATATATAAAGAACTCATATAAATTCAAAGAAAAAAGTAATCTAGAGGAAAATGGCTAGGAAATCAGAACACTTTACAAAAGAGGATATCTGTATGTTCAATAAACATATGAAAAGATGCTTAATCTTGGTAACCAGGGAAATGTGAACTAAAACCACAATTAGATACCACTACATACTCATTGGAATGGCTAAAATTAAAAAGACTGGTAATACCAGCTATTGACAAGGATGTGAAACAACAGAAACTTTATACATGGCTGATGGTAGAGTATAAAATAATCATTTTGAAAAATAGTTTGGCATTATTTACTGAACTTTAAGATACACATCCTCTACGAACCAGCAGCTCTGCTTCATGGAAATGAATGAATGTATGTGCTCCACATAGAAACATGGTATCCCTTAAATGCAGAAAAGGCATTAGATAAAATTCAGTATTGGTTCACCAAAAAAATTCTTAGTAAATTGAGAATAGAAGGAACAATAGAAAAAGAACCCAAATCATTTTGTAAACATCATACTCAATGGGGATATCATAATAGCATTCCCCTTAAAATCAAGAACAAGTAAAGGTGCTCATTATCACCACTTCTAATCAGTATTGTACTTACCAGTGAACACAAGTGAAAGAAAGAAAAGGCATAAACATTGAAAAGAAAGAAATAGTCATTATTCACCAAAGATAAAAATAACTACATAGAAAACCTAAAAGATAAAAGAATCCTTAATAAATTACTAGATGTAAGAGTTTAGCAAGGTCGCTATATATTAAGTCAACCTAAATCAATTGCACTACAAACCGAAATAAAATTAATATTAAAAAGATACTATTTATAATAGCTAAATATATGTGGAACTTAGGGACAAATATGACATGTCTATCTGTGCAAATGTTTATGGAGAAAATCCTAAAACTTACTGAAAGACGTTAAAGAAGACCTAAGTACATTTTTAAACATTTATTTATAATTTTTTTTTTAATTTTTCTTTTCTGAGAGAAATGGGAAGAAAACCTTTGGAAGGTTTTAAGCAGGGAAGTAGCTTAGTCTGATTTACATTTTTAAAAGATCATTCTGACTGGTGTATGAAAGATGATTACAGAGAGGCTTGTGGAAGAGACCAGATAAGCTATTGGAGTGCAGGTGCAGGGCTAATATTTAGCTGGCAAATACTGGTACTGTGGCCTGGATTCTTTATGGCCAACATTTGCTGACTGGATGCAGTTGGTTGGCACCATGCTGTGCCATTAGCAGTTGTTAAATATTTTGATTATTTCTCAGCGTTCCCATGAGATTTCAAGGTGGCTCAAACCAGGCTGGCAGCAGTTGTCATCTGGATATGTTGGCTGATAAAGGATATCTTCTGTAGGAACAGGTGGGAAGACTCGCTGATGTGGTAGATGTGGGGGTTGGAGGAAAGAATAATCAAAGAAAGCAATGATGTTGTCTGTCTTCTCCACTAGCCTGTGCACTGCTTGAGAGCAGAGATGATCCCGGTGCAGTTTTATCCCCAGCACCTATCCCTCTACCTGCCACTAAGAGGGTAAAAACATTCCTGCTGAATGAAATTGCTACATGGGGACATGAGTGCAGATGTAGAGGTGTCAGTGTGGTCTAAGAGTGAGCACTATAAGATAAGAAAAAACAAGCAAGAATCAAGCCCTTTATATGTAGTCTAAATAGGACCAAGATCTCAGATGACCATCCCAGTAGGAGTCGGGTAGAAAGTTAGTGGAATTTTTATTTTGTTTTGTAGAGATGGAGGTCTCACTATGTTTCCCAGGCTGGTCTCAAATTCCTCCTGGCCTCAAGCAATCCTCCATCCTCATCCTCCCAAAGCACTAGATGTGAGCCACTGCAGCTGGCCAATTAGTGGCATTTGACCAAGGAAAAGTTTGAGGATGAAAAGCACTGGGACCTCAGACAGGAGCTGTGAGAGATTCAGTCCCCTGGGACAGTGGGTTACAGGGGTCAGGAAGCCCAACTCCTGAGGAACAATTCAGAAAATTAATTTCAGAAATAATGGCTTAAGGAATGGAAAATAGTATCAGGAATGCTAACAAAGTGGGTCAGAGTGAAAAAAGTGGCAATGCTGACCTGATAATGGAGGAGCCACACTGGCTGATAATGGAGGAGCAACACTGGCTGAATCCTATGCCTAAGTGTTCATGACATCAAGACCTTCTTATGCACCTTGCCTAGGAAGGATTTCTTCCACTGCCTAGGACAGAACTGAGCATAACGCATGAGATTTAAGGAAGCCCAGCTGCTGGGGTAGATAGAGGCTCAGGGAGTGAGGAAAGCCAGGTGGCCTTTTCACCTATCAGCTGTCTCCTCATCCCAGGAGCCTGCAAGAACCGAGACGGTGATTTATAACCACTTGCTTAGTATCCCCCAGACTCAACACAGTGCTTGGCACACAATAAGTGCTTAATAAGTTTTTACTTTTTGTAAAATTTAAAGATTTTTGAAATTCAAAATTTATTGGGTTTGGCACATTTAAGGTCATTCTTTTCCAAATCTCAAAATGGGATGTTAGAAAACCTTAAAATTGATGGGACGACATTATTTTCACATTACCAAATATCCAGTTAAATATGTTTTGTGATTTCCCAGTAAAAAACAAAATAAATTAAAGACAAAATAAATTTAAATAAAGTTAGCTCAGAGGTCCAAACTCATGGATTACAAATTCACGTGGAGCATTGCGTTTTCCTACCGGAATGTGATGTGTGAGCACCGATGTTTCCACCAGATCCTCCGGCTTGTGGATTACTCCATTCATCAACACCAGTGGATCCTAGAAGAAAAGAACATTTTGAAAGTGACTTTGTGTCTTTGGGGATGCTCTTCTTTAAACATCAGTAGGAATAAACATTCTCTTTATGGCTATAAAGGAAATTAAACACCACAGACCCCAGAAAATAATAACAATTAAAATACTAATTACAACATGAGTTTACATTTATTTTAACACCCCCCAAACACCAATAAAAATTTAAAAGATGTAAATTCTCTTCCCAGAACCAATTATCAAAACAAAGATTTCACTTTAGCTCTCTTAGGAGAAGATAATACTTAAGCTAACTAGAAACAAGAATGAATTAATATATTTCTACTTTTGGTAGATTTGAAAAGTGTAGTTTGAAATACAGTTTCTGAGAGAAAACTGGATTTATTTTCCTCATTCTGGAGTCTTCTTTGTGGTTGTTGGTATCACCATTCTTTCATATTCTTAAGCTCAGTGCCTAGAGAGAATTTTGGGTTTTGTTTTGTTTAACTTTTTCCTCTCCATTACCTGCTATGATGCTAATTCAAATCCTTCTTAGTTGGTAGTAATGGCCATGTAAGGCAGGGATGATTCTCAACCCTGTTTTACAGATAATCAAGCTAAGCACACAGGATGACTGCCCAAGAAGCAAGTGACCGCAATGGTGAAGCTGGGCCTCCACCCTGCCGTCTGGCTGACTTCAAGGCCTGCACAGCCTCTTAAGCCGCATCCTGCTTGCTGCCTCCAAGCTTTCCTGACTGCAGCCTTTTCTCCAGTCACTTTTGATAGAGGAGTTAAGAAGAAATTACTTAGGCAGATAGTGAGGGTATGGAAGTCCTCGGTAAGGTTTTCCTTTTAATGAAAAGCAGCCCCAAATCATTTTCCTTTCTAACAAACAGCAGCCTGTAAAATCAAGCTGCAGACATAGATGCCGGCAGTTGTGCCAATCATGTTCAGAATGGTGGCTCCCTTCTCCCTTCTCTGCCAGCCATATGTACAGTAAGGAGCAGACAACATGGCTCGGGCCAAGGGTAAAGTTGATTTGCATAATAAGATTAGGGTGGGGCCCACCAGCCTTCCCCTGCACTATGTAAACATCACGCCTGACTGAACCAATCTGTGAGCCCTATGTAAATCAGACAATGCCTTCTCAAGCCTGACTATAAAATCCTGTGAGTCCACTGCCAGCCAGTCTTTCCTCTGGGAAGCCCCTCTCTCTCCCTAGAGAGAGCTGGTTTCCTTTCTCCTTTCTTTTTCTTTTGCATATTAAACTTCCACTCCTAAACTCCTCATGTGTGTCCCTATCCTAAATTTTCTTGGTGCGAGACAATGAACCATGGGTATTCACCCCACACAACGTAGCCTCTTCACTTTCTTCTTAAATTTACCCAGACTGACCTTTCTAATTCCCTGAGGCCACTTCTCATTTTCCTGCTTCAGAACCAGCAGGAACTCCTGAGTGAAGTCCGAATTCCTCTGCCGGACTTTTACCATTTCTCTGTGATCTGGCCTAATGTGGACAAGTCTGTATTTCCGCGCTGCAGGCCCTTCTCTGCAGCGGGGTGGTCAGCACTTGGCCTCCTTTGTGTCTCAAGCTGCGAGGCTCCCTCCCCCTTCAGCCTCTTGGCTTCACTCTAGTTTCAGTCTTCTGTGCTTTATCGTTTCTCATGCTGCACTCAGGCGCCTCCCTACAACTTCAGAGACTTAACTGACCTCTAAATTCTTTTATATGTGTCAGTCTTAGCTCCCCCAAAAGAGGCTCAGAGCCTATACAGCAGTCGTTCTTAAAATGTAGTCCCTGACCTGAAGCATCAGTGTCACCTACGTGCCAGTTAGATGCACATCTTGGTCTTCACCCCAGATGTTCTGAATGAAGAATACTCTCAAACCTGAGCATGCATTAGAATTTCCTGAAGGGCTTGCCAAACCCAGATGACGGGGCCCACCCTTACAGTCTCTGATACAGTAGGACCAGAGTGAGGCCAGAAAAATTTGCATTTCTAAAAGGTTTCCAGGCAATGCTGATGCAGCTAATCTAGGGACCACACTCTGAGAACCCCTGCTATAGAACTTAGCAGGAAGCTTGCCTCAGTTTAATTAGAACAGAATATTTCAGTGGTTTTCCATCCAAAATCTGATTTCTGTTTCAAAGATTGATTATAGACTGCTGGGATGACACCTCAGGTTTGAATCTAGGTGGAATTCCCACATATTGAAATGTTTTTAGAGGCTGGGTGGTGTAAGTATTCTAATGCAGGTGTCAGCTGGGGGCAGACAGATTAAAAGTACAATGTAAAATGTAGAGCAGTGGACTCTGTTCCAAGTATGTAACATCCTTTTACTGATTTCATTCTCAAAACAACCTATGAGGCAGTTTCCATTATTATCATTTCTGGTTTACAAACGAACAGGCACCAGAGCTTAAATAAAAGAAGATTTCATATGGGTAGTAAGGTTAGAGCTAGGATTTGAACTGTGGCAATGTAGCTCCAAAGTCCATGAATTTGTTTTTTGTTTTTTGGGGGTTTTTTTGGTTTTTTGTTTTTTTGAGATGGAGTTTCATTCTTGTCACCCAGGCTGGAGTGCAGTGGTGCAATCTCGGCTCACTGCAACCTCCACCTCCCCAGTTCAAGTGATTCTCCTACCTCAGCCTCCTGAGTAGCTGGGATTACAGGCACCCTCCGCCACACCCGGGTAATTTTTGTATTTTTCATAGAGACAGGGTTTCACTATGTTGGCCAGGCTGGTCTCGAACTCCTGACCTTGAGTGATCCACCCACCTTGGCCTCCCACAGTGCTGGGATTACAGGTGTGAGCCACCACACCCAGCCAAAGTCCATGATCTTAACAGCTGTGGCATGCAGTCTCAATTTGCTAGCTACAAGAGCAAGGCTTAAGCTGCTGAGGTGCCTGGGAGCCCCAATCCTCCCTGCCTTTGAGCAAGTAACTTGTCAGCTTAGATGGAGGTGCACAGCATCCCAGGGCCATTTTCAGTAACCACAGTAGCTCTTGGTAGATGGTGATGCAGGATCTTTGCTCCTTAGCTTAGCTAAAACCTGGGTTCTTGTCCCATGACCAGGAAAAATTAGGTAGTGGACACGTTAAAAGGTGAGAGAGCAGAATTTATTAAAAGAAAGCTGTCAGCGGCCAGGTGCATTGGCCCACGCCTATAATCCCAGTACTTTGGAAAGCTGAGGTAGGCAGATCACTTGAGGTCAGGAATTCGAAACTAGCCTGACCAACATGTTGAAACCCCGTCTCTACTAAAAATACAAAAATTAGGCATGGTGGCACACACCTGTAATCCCAGCTACTCAGGAGGCTGAGGCAGGAGAATCACTTGAACCCAGGAGGCAGAGGTTGCAATGAGCCAAGACTGCGCCACTGCACTCCAGCCTGAGTGACAGAGTGAGACTCCATCTGAAAAAAAAAAAAAAAAAAAAAAAGGAAAGAAAGCTCTGAACAAAAAAGAGGGCATCCTGCAAACAGGCTTCCACCTCACAGATTGAATACCAGACCACCAGACCACCAGACCACCACACATGAGCTGAAGAGTCCAGGCTCCTCTCCACTGCACAAGGCACACATTCCTGGGAGCTCCACCCCACTCTTCCAGTGCACAGGTGGGCCCCCAGTCCATTGTGGGCATGCCCAGACAAGGCCCTGGGCAGATTCCCTCATCTGCACAAAAGCATCTGACATAAACACTTGTGAGGTGGGTTGGAGATTCTCCAGGTACCCTTCCTTAGCTGCCTCCTGCATCTATCAGTGGTAATTTATGTTAGATAACATGCCTATGCCTACAGTCTGTTTTACTAAGATGGAGAAAACGGTTACCATTAGGGTGACTCTGGTAATTACTGCTTCCCCTGAGCTAACATGCCTTAATGCTTTCTGTGCATTAATGTCACCACTCTGACACAACCTAACACTCTGTCAGCAGCATGAGCCAGGATGGCTTCCAGAATCTCCATGGGCTGTCCTCACCACACCTTTGAATAGCAGCTCTCAAAGTCTCACCTTACATCCATCTTTCCCTCCCTATAAAAAGTGCTTTTCAGCCTTTGCTTGGGTCTTCCAGTATAACAAGCTCACCATGTCACTAAGCAGTCAAGCCTATTTTAAGGGAACTAATAATTACACAATAGCTTTTTTACCTTGAGCTGGAAATTGTCTACAGTAACTCGAATTGGTCTTGACTCAACCTCTTGGGGACCCTGAGAACAACTATGATCCTCTTTCCACATGGTACTCTTTCTGTATTTGATGATAAACAGCCAATATTGCCTCCTCCTTTGCTTCCCAAATCTTTCCTTCCCTAGGCTACATAAATCAATTTCCATCTGTTGTCGCTGATATAACATAATTTCCTTTTCACCATCCCATCCTCAACCATCCCACCCACATCCCTTTTAGATGAGCTCAGAGGATCTGGTGCAAAGATAATCTGTACAGTGCAGGTCAGGCATGATCTGGTCCATGCAGCATACAGCAGAATTGCTGCCTCGTATTAGCTGACATGCTTTAATGCTTTCTGGGCATTAATGATTTCTTAGCTTTCTGGGCAGCCATACTCCTGTTGGCTCATTATAAATTCATAATCAATGAAGCCCCTTGCTATGTCAAGTTGACAAGAAGTATTGTTCAACCAGATCTCTTTCAATTTACCTTTTACCCATGCAGCAAACTTGTTTAAGAAATGACTGTACATTCATCCCTTGAAATTATGTCTTATTTCAACGAGTCCATCCTGAATGCAAAGACTCAGAGACGATGTGTCTTTGTGTACTCCAATTAGGGAAGTTTAGAAAACAAGCTGACAACCTGTAAACATAACACTTCGAAATGGCTTTTGTTGGCATGGATGACCACTGAAAATGTATCCACTTAGCAGCTGCCAAATAATGGAAACTAACACAGACTGAGACTGCCCTGGCGGCCAGGCCTTCTTGCTGGTATGCCAGGATTGGCTGAAGTGAGAAGCCACTGGAATCCTCTTGACAGGCTATATGTAGCTCATCTTTATGACTTTTTGCCACAGTTCACACACTGGGAGGACAGTCACAATATTTCATTTGGTGTCTATATTAGTTTACTAGGACTGCCACAACAAAGTACTACAAACTTGGTGTCTTATAAAACAGAAATGTATTGTCTCACAGTTTTGGAGGCCAGAAATCCAAAATCAAGGTGCTGGCAGAGTTGGTTCCTTCTGAGGGCTATGAGAGAAGGATCCATTCCATGCCTCTTCTCTTTGGCTTGTAGGCGGTCATCTTCATGTTCAGTTGGTATCTTCCCTGTATATGTGTCTGTCTCCAAATTTTCCTTCTATAAGGATACCAGTCACATTGGAATAGAACCCACCCTAATGACTTCATTTTAATTTGATAAAGAGCATATCTCCAGCCGGGCACAGTGGCTGATGCCTGTAATCCCAGCACTTTGGGAGGCCAAGGCAGGCGGATCATGAGGTCAGGAGTTCAAGACCAGCCTGGCCAACGTGGTGAAATCCTGTCTCTACTAAAAATACAAAAATTAGCTGGGCGTGGTGGCACGTGTCTGTAATCCCAGCTACTCAGGAGGCTGAGTCAGGAGAATTGCTTGAACCTGAGAGGTGGAGGTTGCAGTGAGCCAAGATTGTACCATTGCACTCCAGCCTGGGCAACAAGAGCAAGACTCCATCTCAAAGAAAAAAAAAAAATACCATATCTCCAAATAAGGTGATGTTCTCAGGTACTACAGGTTAGGACTTCAAGATATGAATTTGGAGGGGGACAGGGGACACACGATTCAACCCATAAGAGTATCCATGCACCAGCCACCTTGGAATGTCAGTTTCTTCCACAGGGCTCAAGACTCTGGGGAGTCAGGAACAGGACTGTCCTGTATTCTGGTTGATTTTAAAATATTAGAATTTTGCTTTAATTGCCATATAGACTATGATGATAGTGAAGTTGATGGTGATGCCAACTGTGGTGAGGACAGTCATGGTAGTGGCAATTAAGAACTGCATTTCAGTAATGTGCACAATAGTATAATGATGGCCTAAAAGAACTGCCAGGCTTCAATGTGCTCCACATGTTTCTGCAGCCAGAAACATATATCCTCATAAGGCAGGGGTTAGGTCAATTAATCAGACTTAATTTTACAGAGAGATAACATGTCTGCAAATAACATTTCTGGTTCTTAGTGTATTGATCTTTATCATCCTACAATTCCATTGGTATTGGTACTGCACTTTCAGTACCTTTAATTTCGGACAGAATCAAAATACTTGAATTATACTCCAGGTCAAGTCTTTAACAGCTATATGGCCCTAGGAAAATTACCTTACCTCACTGGTTATTGAAAAGAGGAAAGATAGAAAGAAATTGGTGTTCTAGATTATGCATTCATTTCTGGATTCAGTTTGCATAAGTCAGTCCTTCTGAGGCTCACAACTTGGGGTAACTGAGGAAGTCAAGGTAATGCAAGGTCAGGTCCAGGGCAGTAGTCATTGCAATCTTGCCCGCTGTGCCCCTACCTGACATTGCACCTAAGTCTCAAGTGGGATTTTTATAGACTGCAAAATCTAAGACAACTTATACACCCATTTCACTACAGGGAGTCCACAGATGTATCTGTTTCCTGTAAACTAGTGGCACACATTCTTCCCTCAACTACTCAGGAGAAATCTTGTCAGCGCATGAAATGTGTTGTATAAATTCAGTGATAAACTGGTGAAGGACCCCGCTATATTCACCAAAAGAACGTTGCTCAGGAAAGTTAACTTGCTCTCTTAGCATAAAAGTAGGCATTTGAGATATTGGCAACTCAAGGAACAAGAGTGACATTTCCCTTAATATCTGTTGCTATTAATGATATAATAATGATCACAAACAATATTATTAATAATTAAAAATGTCATTTTTTCATCCATACCAAAGAGATTTTTTGTTATTTGGTTCTCATTAATTAGATATATAATTTAAATGGGCCCTATTTCCCATCCTCTTAAATCTGTGAATAACCACCATATGGTAAGGTACTTACCTTGCAAGGATGAACAACTGGACTTTATCAAATAAACCTGGGCCAAATGATGCAAATCATGCTGTATATGGTTCCAATACTGGGTTTTGCTCAGTTCCTCTGCTTTCCAAAAGGAGTCTACCTGCCTTCAGAGTCCTTCATGTGATCATTATACTGGAAAAACCCAGGCAGCTAGGGTCTGGAGTGGACCCTCAGCAAACCACAGCAGACCTACAGAAGTGGCCAGACTGTTAAAAGATAAACAGAAAACAACAACAACAAAACCCCACAAAAACCTCATCCAAAGGTCATCAATCTCAAAGACTGAAGGTAGATAAGCCCACAAAGTTGAGAAAGAATCGATGCAAAAATACTGAAAACTCAAAAAGCCAGAGTGCCCCTTTTCCTCCAAATGACCACAACACCTCTCCAGCAAGGGCTCAGAACTAGGCTGAGGCTGAGATGAATGAAATGACAGAAGTAAGCTTCAGAAGGCGGGTAACAACAAACTTCACTGAGCTAAAGAGGCATGTTGTAACCCAATGCAAAGAAGGTAAGAATCATGATAATACATGAGCTGAGAGCCAAAATAGCCAGTTTAGAGAGGAATATAGCTGAACTCTTAGAGCTGAAAAAGACACCAACTTCACAATGCAATCTAATGTATTCATAGCAGAATAGACTAAGCAGGTGAAAGAATCTCACAGCTTGAAGCCTATCTTTCCGAAATAAGACAGGCAGACAATAATAGCAAAAAAAGAATGAAAAGGAATGAACAAAACCTTTGAGAAATATGATATTATGTAAAGAGACTGAATCTATGATTGATTGGGGTACCTGAAAGACATGGGGAGAATAACCAAATTGGAATACTTAAGGATATTATCCAGGAGAACTTCCTCAACCTACCAAGACAGGCCAACATTCAAATTCAGGAAATTCAGAGAACCCCAGTAAGATATTCCACAAGAAGATCATCCCCAACACACATAATTACCAGACTCTCCAAGGTCAAAATGAAAGAAAAAAATGTTTAAGGGTAGCCAGAGGGAAAGACCAGGTCACCTACAAAGGGAACCCCATCAGACTAACAGTGGATCTCTCGGCAGAAACTCTACAAGCCAGAAGAGGTAGGGAGAGAATATCCAACATTTTTAAAGAAAAGAATTTCCAACCCAGAATTTCATATCTGGCCAAACTAAGCTTCATAAGCAAAGGAGAATGCTGAGGGAATTTGTTACCACCAGGCCTGCCTTGCAAGAGCTCCTGAAGAAAGCAGTAAATATGGAAAGGAAAAACTATTACAGCCACTACAAAAACACACTGAAGTACACAGACCAGTGATACTATGAAGCAACCACATAAACAAGTCTGCCAAATAGCTAGCATCATGATGATAGAATCAAATCCACACATAGCAATACTAATCTTAAGTGTAAATGGGCTAAATGCCCTCAATTAAAAGAGAGTGGCAAGTTGGATAAAGAACCAAGACCCATTGGTATGCTACCCTCAAGAGACCTATCTCACATGCAAAGACACATATAGGCTCAAAATAGTTGGAGGAAAATTTACCACACAAATGGAAAACAGAAGAAGCAGGGGTTGCAGTCCTAGTTTCTGACAAAGAGATTTTAAACCAACAAAGATAAAAAAAGACAAGAGCATCATATAATGGCAAAGAGTTCAATGTAACAAGAAGAGCTAATTATCCTAAATATATATGCACCCAATACAGGAGCACCCAGATTCATAAAGCAGGTTCTTAGAGACCTTCAAAGAGACTTGGATTCCCACACAATAATAGTGGGAAACTTTAACACCCTACTGAAAATATTAGACAGACCATTGAGACAGAAAATTAACAAAGACATTCAGGACTTGAACCCAGCTCTGGATCAAGTGGACCTGGTATATATCTATAGCACTCTCCACCCAGAGACAACAGAATATACATTCTTCTCATTGCCACACAGCACTTACTCTAAAACTGATCACATAATCAGAAGTAAAACACTCCTCAGCAAATGCAAAACAACTGAAATCATAACAGTCTCTCTGGTCTGAGAGACTGAGTTCTCACAATCAAATGAGAACTTATGGAAACTGAACAACCTGCTTCTGAATGACTCTTGGGTAAATAATGAAATTAAGGCAGAAATCAAGACATTCTTTGAAACTAATGAGAACAAAGATACAACATAGCAGAATGTGTGGGACACAGCTAAAGCAGGGTAAAGAGGGAAATTTATTGCACTAAATGCCCATATCAAAAAGCTAGACAGATTTCGGCCAGGCTTGGTGGCTCACGCCTGTAATCCCAGCACTTTGGGAGGCCGAGGCAGGCAGATCACAAGGTCAGGAGTTCGAGACCAGCCTGGCCATTATGGTGAAACCCTGTCTCTACTAAAAATACAAAAATTAGCCAGGCATGGTGGCAGGCACCTGTAGTCCCAGCTACTCGGGAGGCTGAGGCAGGAGATAAGCTTGAACCCAGGAGGCAGAGGTTGCAGTTAGCTGAGATTGTGCCACTGCACTCCAGCCTAAGCAACAGAGCAAGACTGTCTCAAAAAAATGCTAGACAGATTTTAAGTTAACAACCTAACATCACAACTAAAAGAACAAGAAAACCAAGAGCAAACAAACCCCAAAGCTAGCAGAAGACAAGAAATAACAAAGATTAGAGGTGAACTGAAGGAGATAGAGACATGAAAAACCCTTCAAAAAATACATGAATCCATTAGTTTTTGAAAAAAAAAAATGAAATACATAGACCACTAGCTAGACTAGTAAATAAGAAAAGGCAGGAGATTCAAGTCAACACAATCAGAAATGATAAAGGAGATATCACCACTGGCCCTACAAAAATACAGCCATCAGAGTTGTTTTTATAAACACTTCTATGCACATAAACTAGAAAATCTAGAAGAAATGAATAAATTGCTGGAGACATACACCCTCCCGAGACTGAATCATGAAGAAATCAAATCCCCAGATAGACCAATAATGAGTTCTGAAATTGAGGCAGTAATAAATAGCCTATCAGCCCCCAAAAAAGCCCAGGACCAGACGGATTTATACCTGAATTCTACCAGAGGTACAAAGAAGAGCTGGTGCCATTTCTACTGAAACTATTCCAAAAAAATAGCAAACAAGGAACTCCTCCCTAACTTATTCTATGAGGCCAGCATCATCCTGATACCAAAACCTGGCAGAGATACAACAAAAAAGAAAACTTCAGGCTAATAACCTTGATGAACATCAATGCAATAGTCTTCAACAAAATACTGACAAATCAAATCCAGCAGCGCATCAAAAAGCTTAAGCAGGCCGGGTGTGGTGGCTCATATCTGTAATCCTAGCATTTTGGGAAGCCAAATCGGGTGGATCATTTGAGGCCAGGAGTTCAAGACCAGTCAGGCCAATACAGCAAAACCCTGTCTCTACTAAAAATACAAAAAAAAAAAAAAAAAAAAAACAATAGCTGGGTGTGGTGGCATGTGCCTGTAGTCCCAGCTAATCAGAAGGTGAGGCATGAGAATCACTTGCTTCTGAAAGGCAGAGGTAGCAGTGAGCCTAGATTGTGCCACTGCACTCCAGCCTGCGGGACAGAGTGAGACACTGTCTCAGTGGTGGCACACTCCTGTAATCCCAGCTACTCAAGAGGCTGAGACAGGATAATCATTTGAACCCAGGAGGCAGAGGTTACAGTGAGCCAAGATTGCGCCACTGCACTCCAGCCTGGGTGATAGAATGAGACCCGGTCTTAAAAAAAAAAAAAAAAAAAAAGCTTATCCACCATAATTAAGGAGCTTTCATCCTCAGGATGCAAGGTTGGTTCAACATATGCAAATCAATAAATGTGATTTATCACATGAATAGACCTAAAGACAAAACCCACATGATTATCTCAATAGATGCAGAAAAGGACTTGATAAAATTCAACATCCCTTCATGTTAACAACTCTCAATGAACTCAGTATTAAAAAAACATACCTCAAAATAATAAGAGCTATATATGAGAAACCCACAGCCAATATCATACTGAATGGGCAAAAGCTAGAAGTATTCTCCTTGAAAACTGACACAAGACAAGGATGACCTCTCTCACCACTCTTATTCAACATAGTACTGGAAATTCTGGCCAGGGCAATCAGGCAAGAGAAAGAAAGAAAGAAAGGCTATTCAAATAAGGAGAGAGGAAGCCAAACTATCTTTGTTTACAAATGAAATGATCCTATATCTAGAAATCCCCATTTTCTCAGCCCCAAAACTTCTTAAGCTGATAAGCAACTTCAGCAAAGTCTCAGGATGCAAAATCAATGTGCAAAAATTGCTAGCATTCCTGTATGCAAACAACAGGCAAGTGGAGAACCAAATCATGAATGAACTCCCATTCACAATTGCCACAAAAAGAATAAAATACCTAGGAATACAGCTAACAAGGGAAGTAAAGGACCCCTTCAAGGAGAACTACAAACCACTGCTCAAAGAAATCAGAGATGATACAAACAAATGGAAAAACATACCATGCTCATGGATAGGAAAAATCAATATTGTGAAAATGCCCATATACTGCCCAAAGCAATTTATATATTCAATGCTTTAATAAAACTACCATTGACATTCTTCACAGAATTAGAAACAACTATTTAAAAATTTATATGGAACCAAAAAAAAGCCCGAATAGCCAAGACAATCCTAAGCAAAAAGAACACAGCTGGAGGCATCATAGTACCCAACTTCAAACTATACTACCAAGGCTACAGTAGCCAAAACAACATGGCACTGGTACAAGAACAGACATATAGACCAGTGGAACAGAATAAAGAATCCAGAAATAAGGTTACACACCTATAGCCATCTAATTTTCAACAAACTTGACAAAAACAAGCAATGGGGAAAGGATTCCCTATTTAATAAATGGTGCTGGAAGAACGGGGTAGCCATATGCAGAAAATTGAAACTGGACCTCTTCTTTACACCATACACAAAAATCAACTCAAGATGGATTAAAGACTTAAATGTAAAACTCCAAACTATAAAAACCTTAGAACAACCCTAGAACAAAATCTAGGCAATACCATTCAGGACATAGGCATGGGCAAAGATTTCATCATGAAGACTCCACAAGCAATTGCAACAAAAGCAAAAATCAACAAACGAGATCCAGTTAAACTAAAGAGCTTCTGCACAGCAAAAGAAACTATCATCAGAGTGAACAGACAACCTACAGAATGGGAGAAAATTTTTGCAATTTATCCATCTGACAAAGGTATACAAGGAACTTAAATAAATTAACAACAACAACAAAAAAATTAAAAAGTGGGCAAAGGACATGAACAGATGCTTCTCAAAAGAAGACATATATGTGCCCAACAAACATATGAAAAGAAGCTCAACATCACTGATCATTGGGGAAATGCAAATCCAAACCACAATGAGATACCAGTCAGAATGGCTATTATTAAAAAGTCAAAAAACAACAGATGCTGGCAAGGTTGTGGAAAAAAAAGGAACGCTTTTACACTGTTGGTGGGAGTGTAAATTAGTTCAACCATTGTGGAAGACAGTGTGGCAATTCTTCAGAGACCTAGAGGCAGAAATACCATTTGACCCAGCAATCCCATTACTGGGTATATACCCAAAGGAATATAAATCATTCTATTATAAAGACACATGCATGCATATGTTAATTGCAGCAGTATTCACAACAGCAAAGAAATGGAATCAACCTAAATGCCCATCAATGATAGACTAGATAAAGAAAATATGGTACATATACACAATGGAATACTATGCAGCCATAAAAAATGAGATTATGTCCTTTGCAGGGACTTGGATAGAGCTGAAAACCATTATCCTCAGCAAACTAATGCGGGGACAGAAAGCCAAATACCACATGTTCTCACTTATAAGTAAGAGCTGAATGATGAGAACACAAGGACACATTGTGGGAAACAACACACACTGGGGCCTGTCGGAGGGTGGAGAAGATAAAAGGGAGAATATCAGAAAGAATAGTTAATGAATGCTCGGCTTGATACCTAGGTGATGGGATGATGTGTGCAGCAAACCGCCATGGCACACGTTTACCTATGTAATAAACCTGCACATCCTGCACATGTAGCCCTGAACTTAAAGTTTAAAAAAAAGGCAACAAAAAACCTTTCCTAAAGATTTGATCTTACATCAAGTAAACCCCAATTATTTTTGAGGAGTGCGTCTTCCTTCAAAATAACAGATTATACTCTCAAAGCTTTAAAAATAAAACACCCACACTCATACACACAAACTGTGTCAGAGAAACATTTCCAGACTGTTAGTGGCACTTCTGTAAATTCTGTGAAAAGATTTTGTGTCCTATTATATTCTTGAAAAATATTTTGGTTTTTTAGGATTCAAAAAATGAAAGGTTTCAAAAGCAAAGACAGTAGCAAAAGCGGCAGCAGGTCAGTGACACCTCGAGCTCTGACACAGCAGCAGCAGCTGCCACCTCAACAGCAGCCTCCATGGCCACGAACTTGTGTTATGTGAAACATAATTTTCCATATAAAATTATATTTAATATTTAAAAATAATAGAGACATGATAGGGAATATTAGAATCCAATTTTTCTACTTGAATTTTTCTTTTTCATTATAGAGCCCCATGTTATGGTTGAGCATGAGAAAAATGGTTTCATATTAACAGTCCCTGATTACAGCATTGAACTTTATGATGAAAAACCATGCAAGGTCCTCCTTCCTGTACTACTTTAGTCCAAATAACCATCACCTCTCTTTGGGCTGGCTGTAATAGCCTTCTATTTGAACCTCTTATTCCCTCAAAGCAGCCAGAAGTATCTTTCAAAATCATAAATCAAATCTTACCACTTTCCAGGTGGGTGTGGTTGTGCACCCCTGTAGTCTCAGCTACTGAGGAGTCTGAGGCAGGAGACTCATTTGAACCTTGGAGTTCTAGTCCAGCCTGGGCAACATAGAGAGACCTCATCTCAAAAAATTGAAACAAATAACAAAAACAGAAACGAAAAATGAAAAAAAAATCTTACCACTTTCCATCACATTCCAAATTAAATACAGAGTCCTTACCGTGGCCTCTAATGCTCTTAAACTCTGGCAGGTCTGGTGTCTGGTGAGGGTCCAGTTTCTGCTCCCAAATGGCACCTTTGTGCCACATCCTCACATGGCAGAAGGCTGAAGGGCAAAGAGGGTTCAAACCATGTGTGAAGGCTATTCTTTAAGGGCTTTAATCCCATCCATGAGGGAGCAGTCCTCATGACCGGATCACCTCCTAAAGACCCCACCTCTTAATAGGATTGCTTTGGAGATTAAGTTCCAACATGAATCTTGGAGAGGACACTTTCCAATCATAATAATGAGGAAAAATGAATACTTTAGTAACAATTTCTTTGGGCCACAGACACAAATCAACCGATTTGACCACGTTTTTCCAATGAAATGACAACCTTAAATTGATCATTTGTGATGTCAGGTAGTCATTTTGGGATATTTATTTCTTGCAATAACCTTTTGATGGAGTTATTATGACTCCCATTTTACAAACGATACAACTGAAGCCTAAACAGGCAAAATGACTTTTTCATAGTCACACAGCTAATAGCGGTAGAGCTGAAAATGAAAATCTCCTGATCCTTGATGTTCTACCATCCCGGGTCCTACTTTAATTGGGAAATGGCAACCTCATTCAGCTCAGTGAAGGCTGGGTCACTTGCTAGGTTACAACTTCAGTGATCAGGGCACTTCAGTGGCTCTTCAGAGTTCATTTGTATATAAGTGAAGCTCTCCCTTTTGTAGACTTCTCTCTGTGTAAGTACAAACCAACCAGAGGCATGGCTATTGCTTTCCTGTCACTTAGGAATGAAATTAATGACTCCTTTATGTCCCATGCCAGGCAATCATCTCAATAGTTTGTGCAAGCTTAGCTTATCTACACAATATCAAACAGGCAATCACAGTTCTCCCATGATGCCAGGCAAAACAGAACTTTGTTTCTCCTACATAAAAGAGCACAACATCACAGGTTTAAAACCTCTCACCCTCAGTTTCATCTCACTATTATTGTGTTAAACATGCTTAATGAAAAATCTGGGCTGGGTTCTTTTCTGTCTTCCCACAATGAAAGTCACAGGAATGGAAACTCGGTTCCAAATGTTTCCATGTGGAAATGAAGTTGAGAGAAAGCAGTCTCATAAGTATGTGTTAAGTGCCTGTGGAAGCAGAGTCTCATGTTAGACGCAGTGACATTCAGGAACAAATCAGAACACATATTCTTGGCCTCCTGAGCTATCATTGTTGTTTGAAGAATGGAGCATTTACCATCTAATAAAAAAGTGAAAGCCTAACACACAAAATCAATTTTAAGACAAAGGCTAGGACTTCTCAATTTAGAAGAGGAGATACTTGAATTTTTCTCACACATCATCCCTCACCAGGGCTCCTGAGTAGAACATCTCAGACAACGTAGGACATAATTTGAAAAGTACTGATCAAATCAGTACAGCACTGATTAAAGAGCAGGTATTGAGTGCCACGCCCATTGGGTGTTGATCCAGGGAAGAAGCTGGGAGCCCTAGTCTTGGAACCCACCTGAGGATAGCCTAGAATGTCGTTCATGTACATAGTCTTCAACCTTTTTTTGCAAGGGCTGAGGTCCCTGGTCTTGTTCACAATCATCCTGCTGTACTTTTGGTCTTCTTGGATGGCATATCTGGTGGGCAAACTCCAAAACTGCCAACTGCAAACAAGAGAGAGAACAATCCCTCTGTCATCTGGCCATCCTACCCCGCAGCTGAGGGGAGTGTCAGCGAACCTGGAGCACCTCCCGCAGTTCACAGACTAGTTATGTTTTCTTGATGGTCACATGCAGCATGTGGAGGATACTACAGAATATGTTGATGATGGTTTTCAACATCTTTTCAGAAGCATAAAATTTCCAGCCTTCCGTGGTATGTTTAAATTTCACAGGGTCAGAGAGGTGGGCTGCCATCATAGCGGTTTGGGGGCCAGAAACATTTATATTTATTAATTTGAGGAGATCAAATCTAGAAGCAAGATTATGGGAAATGCTAACATTTTTCAAACAAAAGCGTTCGAAAGAAAATATGAGAAAACATCCTTAGTGTTTGAGAATTGTTTTTTAGTTTACTCTAGCAGTCTGTTTATTCTTTCATCCTATAAATATGTAGCAAGTATCTGCCTTGTGTTAAGTCCTGTAATGTGCTAAACGTTGGGATCACTTTCAAAGAGCTGGATGAGGTTTCCATGATGTCATACCACCTTGAAGATTTTCCAGGCCATTTAAGGCCTTCACTTACTGTAATTTCTCCCCAATTCCCCTCCACTCCATTTCTGAAAAAATACAAGCCTTTGGGAAATCCACCAGACCTGGGCAGAAGCCTAATTACCCTTTTGGAGACTCCCCAGGGGCTCCAGTGGTCCTCATTGTTTTGATCTCAGCCTCCTGACCTGGTTTAGAAGCAAACCTGGAGTTGCATGGGGTAGCATTTTATCATCTGCAGGTAGAGATCTGGCTAGTTGCTTGCATATGAGAAAAAGAGAACTGAGAGAGCCAATTTCAAATTGAGTTGGCAGAAACCAGTGTGCAGGAAGAACTATTCTGGCAGTTTTTAAATGACTTCCAAAGTATTTTGCATTTGAGAGAGCAACTAAACTGGTAAAAGAAACACTTGGATTGCACGGAATTGACTCAAGTGTAAAATAATATGGCTAATTTTCTCTTTTGATTTGGGATGATTGATGGAGTTGTGTGGAGGAGTGTGGGCAGAGAGAGCGTCTTTCTCTCCTTTCCCTGCCCTCCCACCAGTTCCACCTTACAGGACCTCTCTGGGCTCCCTTTAGGAATGCTATATAGACTTAGCTCTCCCTGCAAACTTGGGGGCGAGTCTCCTCCAGTGTTAACTCTGAAAAATTCAGGAGAGCATGAGTGTTTTAAGACCACAGGCTTTCTGATGTGTGACTCAGATCTGTGTTTAAAAGAGTCCATAACCCTAGAAGATTCTGATCATGATGGAAGAAGAATTTGCACTGTTCTCACTGATTAGACATGGAAAATCATTAGTTTCGCTTCTAGGGAAGAATTTAAACAATTGACAAAGCTATAGATTTTGCAGTCACAGCAGGGAGAAAGTGGAGGAAAAACATTTAAACAAGCAAAATTATTGATAAGAAATGGGCCCCTGTCTGGTTTCTATAACTTAGTTCTTCTGACTCATAGATGTTATAAAAAGCATCCTGCCTGAGTCAGAAATTTATTTTGGAGATATTACAGCTGCTCCCTTCCTGTTGAAAGGCATTTGTGAAAAAACTGTATATGACTAAAGACTTATATCAGCATTAGAAATGGTCGAGGCTAGGTGTACCCGTTATACTAGCACTTTGGGAGACCAAGGTGGATCACCTGAGGCCAGGAGTTCAAGACCAGCATGGGCAACATGGCAAAACCTCGTCTCTACAAACAAACACCCCAAAAAAGAAAAATTAGCCAGGCATAGTAGCACACACCTGTAGTCTCAGCTGCTCAAGAGTGAGGTGAGAAATTCACTTGAGCCCGGGAGATCAAGGCTGCAGTGAGCCATGATGGTACCACTGGGCAACAGAGTAAGACCCTGTCAAAAAAAAAGGAAGGAAGGAAGGAAGGAAAGGGAAAAATGGTCCAGAAGAAAGGTGAAAGTACAAAACAGAAGTGTGGGCCCTCTGGCTATTATCAATACTCAGAAAACTGCCTGTTCAAGAATTAGGCCAATTCCTGTTATATATCCAAGAGCTTGAACTATAGTCAATGGATGTTCTATATTTGTTTAGAATGATTGGTTGAGTGAGGAATTTCTTAAGAATAAGATTTGTTTATGCTCCCAGGGCTTGACAAGCCCCATTTTCATCTCAGGTCTCTAAACAAATTTTAAATGTAGACATAAACAATGGACAATTCATTATAGTATGCTCCATTATAGTACTTGATACACAGGTAGATAAATCCTGTTCTAAGGAGCAGACAAACAGACGAGGAAAGTTAAAACATACAGCTCTAGGAATTGTACTTTACTTAAGCCTCAATTTAGACAAATTAGACTATGTTAGTTCAGTTAGGAACAATAATATATTCTCATCACATGTGAATCTTCTGTAAGCTGTTTTGAAATAGAAGGTTAATAAAAGCTTAGAGGCCTAAGCATTCAATTCTGTTCTGGGATTTTCAACACTTACTATTTTTACTGGAACCCTTCATATGGGGTTTTCTTAAGACATTTTGGTGGTAGTAGAGGTGGTGAAATTAAGGCAAAAAAGAAAAACAAGTTGCTATTTCATTATAGGGGTGGGGACAGAACAAGGCTGAAGGGGCAGGGACCAGGGGTGAGGAAATGGGGCAGACAATGACCACTCATTGAGAACATTTTGGTTAAAAAAATGCCAATAATAGCACACAAATGGAGTAGGTGGGTAGTGTGACTCGGGGAACTCTGTGTGTTGAAGGTTTGACTTAAAACTATGCCCAACAGGAAGAGCATGGGGCTGGGGCTGGGGCAGGTTTGGGGGTTGGGAGGCAGAGGCGTTGTGGGGAAACACTGAAGGCTGAAGATGTCTGGAAGAGGGTGATTCCCGAGGAAATGAAGTCATGAGATGCAGGGCACGGGTGGAAGCTTTAATCCTGTGATCAGGGAAAAGGAGCAGCTTGTGGGGAAAGGCTTGGTCTTAGAGGCTGGGAACCCAGCACAGGCCTGCACTGTTTGCCCAACAGATCACCCAAAACGCACTTGGACTCAACTCAAGTGTCTTCCCTTCTGAAGCTCTGTGCCCTTAGAATCCAGTTTGGACCAGGTACGGCAGCTCACACCTGTAATCCTAGCACTTTGGGAGGCAGAGGCAGGTAGATTGCTTGAGCCCTGGAGTTCAAGACCAGCCTGGGCAACATGGCGAAACCCCATCTCTACAAAAAATACTAAAAATTAGCCAGGTGTGCTGGCATGTAGTCCCAGCTACTCAGGAGGCTAAGGTGGGAGGGTCACCTGAGTCTGGGGTGGTTGAGGCAGCAGTGAGCCATGATCATGCCACTGCACTTCAGCCTGGGTGAAAGAGCAAGACCCTATCTCAAAAAAAAGTCAATTTATGCCACATAGATCTGATCATAAGCTTTTGTCCTTAAGTACTTCATTGCTGTTGTTTGTTTGTTTGTTTTGAGACGGAATCTCACTCTGTCGCCAGGCTGGAGTGCAGTGGCACAATCTCGGCTCACTGCAGCCTCCACCTCCCAGGTTCAAGCAATTCTCCTGCCTCAGCCTCCCAAGTAACTGGGACTACAGGCACATGTCACCACGCCCAGCTAATTTTTGTATTTTTAGTAGAGACGGGGTTTCACCATGTTGGCCAGGATGGTCTCAATCTCCTGGCCTCATGATCCGCCCGCCTCGGCCTCCCAAAGTGCTGGGATTAGGGGTGTGAGCCACCGTGCCCAGCCCATTGTTTTTAAATTACAAAGTCTACACCGGTGAGCTAGCATGTGAAGCCCAGTTCTGTTTCTCACCATTTTCCTCTAACCAATCCTACCCACTATGCTCTGGCCTCCCAGTGGTTTCAGAGTATGGTCCCTGGACTAGCAACATGAGTATCACCTGAGAACTTGTTTAAAATGCAAAGTTTCAGGCCCTACTTTAGATTTAATGAATCAGACACTCTGGAGGAGGGATCCAGCAATCTGCTTCTTAACAAGGCTTCCAGGGCCTTCAGGTGCAGGCTCAAGTTTGAGAACCACTGGGCAGGTTCTGCTGAACTACTGGCTCTTCCCTACGCTCCACTGTATGACATCTCCATGCCTTTGCGCATGCTGTTCTCTCTGACCAAAAGTCTTTTCTCCCTTCCATTCCTGTTTTTTAAAAGTTAAATCAAGGATTATTCCCTCTATAATTCCTTTCCTGTTCAGCTCTTTCTTTCCTGATTATGGTGACTGCTACTGTCACCCTTGCATCCACGGAAACGAGTGAAAATGTCTATCATTCATAGGCCATGCTTTGTTGTCCTCATGGTTTATGTGTCTGCTTCCTCAAAAGACAGCAAGCTCCCCAAGGTAGTGACCATATTTGTCCTGGCACAGTGCTGGGGCTCAGAAAATGTTTGTTGCGTTGACATGTTACTGAAAAGCAAAGTGCAGAGAGGGGAGGGAAGAAAAGGGAAAGTGAAGAGTGTGCAAACGATCAACAACTACCACAATTAGAAAAGCTGGCACTGATTGAGTTCTATCTGTGTGATAGGTTCTGTGCTAATGCTTCGCAGGGACTGTGTCATTTAATCTTCCCAACAATTCTGTAGGTTTGATTATCCTCAATTAACAAGAGATGGAAATTAAGGCATAGAGAAGTTATAGAATGTACCCAAGTTGCCCCTTGGTGTACATAGTAGAGCCAAGATTCACACACACAGTTTTCCTCCAGGGTCTATGCTTTTTTTTGTTTTTCTGTTTTTTTGCTTTTTGAGGCAGGGTCTCACTCTGTAGCCCAGGCTAGAGTGCATTGCATGATCATGGTTCACTGCAGCCTCGACCTCCTGAGCTCAAGTAATCCTCTTGTCTCAGTTTCCCAAGCAGGTAGGACCACAGGTGCCACCACACCTGGCTAATCTTTAAATTATTTGCAGAGAAGGGGTCTCACTTTGCTGCCCAGGCTGATCTCAAACTCCTGGCCTCAAGTGATCCTCCTGCCTCTGTCTCCCAAAGTGGTGGTGTTATATGAGATAGAAAGAAATTATTTAGGTAGACAGTTAGGGTAAAGTGAGTCCCAGCAGAAGACTTTCCTTCTAACAAAAAGTAGCTCAGAAATAGCTCCCTTTCTAACCTCATGCAGTTCAAAGAAATCACTTCTAACAAAGAACAGCCCGAAAGATCAGGCTGTAAAAACACAGATAAACAACTCAGGCTCAGGAGATGGGGAGTCTCCTAGGTAATCACCAAACTTCACACTTATACAATGGACCCCAGTAAAAACAGTGGGCCTTAATAAGCACATTCCTTTCCTTTTAGGCACACTAAGATAGGGAAGCTAAAAGTGGACTGGGGGGAGATGCCAGCAGCTGCAGGAAGATGTCTGGGAACAGACACAGAAATTCTCCCTCCCAGATAAGCAAAACAAAGCAGCACAAAGCAGCGCAGACTAAGAGTCTGTCTACATGATCAAGGAGTGAGGTGAGAGCTGATAGAAAACTCTACTCTATGCACATAGCACACCTGGTTCCAACTAAATCTTTGGGCCTCAGTAAGATAAGACACCCCCTCCTCACTAGCCCATTTATAAAAACCCTGACATTTTTACTACAACTTGGCAACCCACTCAGGATCCCTCTCTGTGACAGAGAGCTGTTCTTTCCTTTTGCCTATTAAACTCCTGCTCCAGTCTCACTCTGTGTATGTGTGTCTGCGACTTCAATTTCCTTGGCCATGAGACCAACAACCTTGGTATTTACCCCAGACAATGAGGCTACTTCATTTGGGGGGCCCGTCCAGGATTTGAAGGTGAAATCATTGGAAGAGTGAGTAAAGGAGTGGACTCTCTACTTTCATTTCCGAGGCTTCTCGTCCCCAGTTTTTATTCTCTCAAAGAACTATAAAAAAATCGGGCATCTGTCAGCTAATTAATGAGTCACAAGGGCTAGCCGCTAATCTTAAAGACTCAGATGTGAAGCTTGCTGGGGAGGACTTAGTCAATCCTCCAGTGCCCTCAGGGTGCTGGGAACGTTGGCTCTGTCCAAACCAGTTTCCTTTCACTTTGCCATCACATGGGGCTGGAATAGGTCCTGGGGCAACTGAGGATTTCTGGCCAGGGCTACACCCTGGTGTTGTCCAAAGGCTCCTGGACTGACACCAGCCTCCGACTGCCTGACTGGGTGTCGGCCACAAGATTGCCAAGCTTTCCTATTGCAAATCTTATTTTCCTCCTTTCCTTTCCGAGGTCACCATGTCTCCCATCCCCTCTCTGTACACAATGCTGCGGGAATTTTTATAGCCCAGAGAAATAATTCAGTTAGGCAGGCTTAGCAACCACCTTGGCAACCAGAAATGCAGGTCAAGGGGATTGCTGTTTTTGTGACTTTCTACCGACAGGGGGATTTCGTGATCCAGATCTGAAAGACTATTTAACTCCTAATGATAGCACTTCCTGGGGTTGGGTAGAAGGTTATCTCCCCACCAATGAACATCCCTCTCTCCACCTAGGCTGTTTCTTTTCCCATGTGAAGAACCAGCACTACCCAGCCGGACTGCATAGTCCCTCTATGAGGCGAATTAACTTTCTCCTGCTAGGAGGCATGCTGTAGGAATGGCCTGCCACATGTCAGACTTCCCTCTCTGTCCATACGGAGGCCAAGTTACTGCCTGGTATTTCAAAGCTTGCAGCGTCACCTAGTGGAATAGGAATCCTTTCCATCGGCAACCTCGTCTGCCCTTTGCCAAAAGCCTCTAGCTTTCCACTTTTTCTCCCTTTTACATCCCTCTAAAAGAGATCAAACCTTATGTACCTCTGAGAGTGGGAGAACTCTGCTTTCAGCAGTGAGGAAAAAAATGTCCTCCAAAACCAAATTTTTGTCTCAATACTCTCTCCATTAGCAGAAAGGCTGCCATTTGACCCTTACATTCTCTTGAGACACCTATTCTGCTTGCAACTAGTATTTCGTCTAAATAGAAAGGGGATTTTATGTTTGGAAGTTAACTGGAACCACCATCTAAACATAAATTCTCTAGTCTGGTCCATAATAGCAGAGTATAAAGCTCAGCCCAGTACACTCCCTCCATTAAGGGGCCTTGCTTAAATGCAACTGTTACATAATCTCTCCTGATACCCATTCATCAAGGAGTCACACAGATCACACAAGTCTGAGAGGTCAAAGGGCAATTATCAGGCAAAGGACTAAGGTCACATGGGTAAGCGTGACTATCCCCATTACTTAGCTCCTCTGGGACCATGGTTTGAAGGTCACACCTGCAACCATGGGGAGGCACACACTGTGCTGGGACCCAGGGACCAAGGAGAGAGAACAGTCAGGGGGACACTCCCACTGTCATCCCCTCCACCCTGGGTCACACCAAAAAGAACAAGGAGACTGAGGGATGCCTCTCCTCTTGTCTCTTTTCCAGGATGGGTAGCAAGTCATTTTGGCTTGCACTCTGCTGGAGTACATTTTGAACTCCTTTGACACCCAAACTCTGAAGAAAAAGTGGCTCATTTTCTGTTGCACAAGGGTGTGGCCTTCTTACCCTCTCAGGAATGAACAGACCTGGCCAGCTAAAGGGAACCTTAACTTTAATCTTATCCAGCAATTAGATCTCTTCTGTAGATGGAAGAGCAAATGGTCCAAGGTTCTCTATGTGCAGGCTTCCTTTGCCCTGCGAGACAACCCAGACCTTTGCAAGCATTGCAAAACCAACTCAGCCCTCTTAGCAATCATATCAGACAGGTCTGTGGAGAGTAGTTCCCCTAAGTCAGAAGAGCAAGTTTTGGAGGAACCATTAGAGGCAGCTTCTAAGTGCCCCAGTCCTTCCAGTCCCCTTTGTCCAGGGCCCCCTCCAGCTGCACCATCAGCTCCTCCAGCTCCACCATCTCCAAAGCTCCCCACTGCCCAGACTTCACTCCTACCCCTACAAGAAATGCCAGATGGAAGGGGCACCATTAAGGTACTTATTCCCTTCTCATTGCAGGACCTTAGGCAGATAAATGGGCTGATTTCTTGATAACCCTAATAGATATATAGAGGCCTTCCAAAATTTAACTTAAGTGTTTTACCTCACATGGAGGGATGTTGTGCTGTTGTTTCTCAGCCAAACCCTCACTGCAGCTGAAAAGCAGACAGCTCTGCAAGCAGCAGAAAAGTTCGGAGATGAACAACATGTTCCCTATAGTGACCAAAAAGGAAAAGGGGAGATAAGGAAGGTGAGGAAATAACAGAAAAAAACAATCTCAATAGGGAGAGAGGCTATACCTCTTGACAATCCTGACTGGAATCCCTGTGACCCCATAGATGAATGGAAAAGGAAATACTTTTTAATGTGCATATCAGAGGGCCTAAGAAGGACTAGGACCAAACCTCTTAATTACTCTAAACTGTCCTTATTGAATCAGAAACCAGATAAAAATCTCCCTACCTTTTTGGAAAGGCTGAGAGAAGCTTTAATAAAACACACCTCCCTGTCTTCCAATTCAACAAAAAACAGGTTCATCACTCAGGCAGCCCCTGATATCAAAAGGAAGTTGCTGAAACAGGCCATGTCTAAAAATCTTTCTAGTTTTTCTCACTCTCAAGTTGAAACTTTGCAGTATGTAAATGACACTCTCCTCTGTGCCCCATTCAAGGATGTCTCAGGAAGGCACTAAGACTCTTCTCAATTTCTTAGCTAAAAGGGAGTATAGGGTCTCAAAATCTAAAGCTCAGCTCTGTCAAACTTCAGTAAAGTACCTAGGCCTAATCTTATCAGAAGTGTGGGGGATCGGTCAGGGTGGTGAAAAAACTATAGGGAAAGGACACAAACCTTCTGAAAGGTCGGAAGTTTCTGCAGAGCCCCAGGGAAGAATGGCTGAAGACAGCTGTTCTATAACCCTAAGGCAGAGGGCAAGGAGTAGGTACAAGGGAGTGTGGGGGAATTTATCTTAAACCGGTTTGTTTACTTATGTTGACCAGGAACTGACCTTGGATCATCCCCATGCAACATTCCCTGAAAGGGGAACAATAAATGTTAATTACCTGCAGGTTGTGTTGGCTCCAGGTTTTCGGCATTGTGCCTGCACTGAATAAAAGCAAACAGCTCCAGCTTCTCGGGACTGCTGTCTGGCCACTGGAGCCAGGCAGTCACCTAGCTGCTCTTACACTGCATACCTGTGTCTGAGTACTCATTTCACCCATCGGCCAAGGTCTGTGGGACAGACACAGCACAGAAGGAACCAGAGTACCAGGTGAGGAAAGGATTAACCCCGTTTCCTTTAAGAGTTAAGAAAATTATTGGGCATTACTGAATTTTGCAAAATGTGGGCATTACTGAATTTTGCAAAATGTGGGCACCAGGGTATGGTGAAATAGCTCATCCTTTATACCAACTCTTAAAAGAAACTCAAGCAGCTCCCTAACTTGGGAACCTAAAACACAAAAGCCTTAAACCAGCTAAAGCAAGCCTTGCTTAAAGCACCAGTTCTCAGCCTTCCCATAGGGAAGGTATTTAATCTTTATGTATATTGGAAAGGAAGAAAATAGCCCTGGGAGTTTTGACTAAGACTGGAGGTCCAGCTCTACAGCCAATGGGTTAACAATGGGGAATAACTTAACTGTTTAGCTCCACGCAATATAACAAGACTACTGTCCTCTAAGGAAAGTCTGGCTAACAGACAATTGCCTCCTCAAATATCAAGCTTTGCTGCTAAAGGGATCTGCAGTCCAGTTGAAAACCTGCCACTTCCTGAGCCCAGCCACTTTCTCCCAGAGAAAACTGGAGAACCTAAACATGATTGTGAACAAGTAGTGGTGCAAACTGGGGGAAAAATGGTAAGAATCACTGTTTATCTTCACTGTAAAGTTTTATTTGTGAAAAAGGATTTTCCTAAAGAGCACTCAGCTTAATTCAAAGTGGATATCAAACCTATGGGTATATTTTAAAGGCCTTTATGTTTTTCTCTTTATAGATCTTGTTTTCCTGGAAAAGGTCTTTTTTTCTCAGTCAACTGAGAAAACTGTGACTTACCACTCTTGGTGCATGCATGAAAGACCCTAGAATGACTTCTGGTAGCCTGGGACTCCTTGGGAAAACAGAAAAGGTGCCACAAATCCCATTTTGGGAAAAATCTGTTTTCCTCATGGAACACCTGGAATTAAAGGTGAATAAGTAGTTCTCAAAATCTATCTTTGTCTTCCAGCTTTGCTTGTTTATTAGGCCCTGGAAACTGTATTCCTAGCCCTGTTCTTAAAGGGTCTCACCAGGAGGCTAATAATCCAATTGGGAAATTAGCAAATGAAAAATTTTAGAACCACTGGATCTTTTTCTGTTTGTCTGTGTGGTTATATATGTGTTATGTGTGTAATGTCTATTTGAAAAGAGCTCCAATTAATTGGACTAAGAAAAATAAGCACTTAAATAAAGTATTTTTAAAGAAAAAGTAAAAGCTGTGGTACCTTTCAGTTCACACAACTTTAATCTTCAAAAATAAAAACAGTCTTAGAAACTATTGGTAAAATACAAATGTCTTCAGGATGTAAAAATGTGATCTAAATTATGCAGGTCAGATACTAGGTTTGATAAATGTTTTAAGGTTGTAACTGCTTTTTTAGCCTTTAAATATTGTCTACTTGCCTGCTTCACAATTGGTAAGGCCTGGGAACATATGGAAGTAACCATGCCCCTAATGATGCTGAAAGCAGTCAAACTTTATCTGCATCTAGCACATAATTAAAACAACCTACCAGGTTTTACATCAAAGTTAAAAATTGCTAAGTGTTACCATTATGACATGTAATGAGACTAGTGAACATGGATTTGCATGCAAGGTGTGTAAAAAAACAGTAAAAGCTGTTTTTAATTAAAGATAAGAAGGCATGAAAATGTACATTTTGCCTAGCCATAAAGGATTGTCTTAAATAAAATAAAGCAGAAGGTTTAAGCAAATTGTAAAAAGATTGTAAAAACTAATCTTGCAAAGGAAACTCTGTGTATGAACATATTAACTAATTTCAAAGGGGTATTATATAGTTTTATAAATTAAGGATTAAAATGCAAGCACAGGGTTTTCTTAAAATGCTGATCTACTCTTTAGCAAAATTTGTAGAGGGTCATAAAAGGTTTGTGTAAATCTCACCTCATGGTCAAACTGGTTAAGATTGAATAGGATTGTCTATAAAGTTTCATTAAAAATCAGGGTTAACATTAATAGCAAACAAATGCAAGGGTGAAATTTAACATTCTCTCTTGAATAGGATTTTCATGTAATAGAAAGGGCTGATGAATGGTTTTTGCTTTTTCAAATTTTTGACTCATAATTTTGGCAAAACAAAAAACTTACAGTAATCTAATATCAAGTGTTTTAAATTTTGAACATATTTAACAGGCTTCCCAAAATCAAACTTTAGTTTCAAGGTTGTCTTTCCTAGCCCCTAGCTTTTTGTTCTGCACAGGGCTCCTAGAACATCCAGAAGAGAGGTAAATAGGATTATTTAACTTGTTTAGGTACATGGAATTGCCAAAATGATGTCTAATACTCTTCAGGTTATATTTTAGGGAATAATATTAACATATGTTCCAAAACTGTATGGAATGTCTAAGGTACTAGTGTCTGAATAATACGCGCTATTAATCACAATTAAGGTTGTTATGTTAGGTTATTGTAAGCCACAGAAACAACCAAATTTGTCAATCATGTTCTTGACTGTAACCACCCTGGACATTTTGTCATTTACAAACAATTGTTGTCTTGTTTGAATCTTTTTCTTAAAAAAAATAGTTTCTAATCAGCTGTGGAACTTACATAGGTGCTCTTAAATGCAGGTTTTTGATTAAAAAATGTATAGGACTCATACAAAGCTGAAATGTTTATGAATAACAAGCAGATCAAGAGTTAATGGAATGGGCTGAACTAATAGAAAACTAAAGCAATATTCTTGATTTATGCTTGTAACACTGGTGATCCTTATTTTGTTTTTCAGAGTCAAGGAAATTTTCTTAAAAGCCTTTAAGAACTAAGTAAACTATACTCCTGTAAACAATGTTTGGAGCATGTTTGTTTCTCTCTGCCTAGTTCTTCTAGAATTTGGAAACTAGTTATAAGTATTCTTGAATTACAACTATATAGTTATTTGCATCAGTGCAACAAGAATCCATTTTCTTTTGCAACAAAACACAATTGGAAAAACTGATTGTTTTACCAAGGCTTTGACTTCAAGGCTTTGACTTGCAGAGCCAATGAAAGCCCTTTGGGAAAACTGGCTGCATACCTTGTCTACACAGTCTCTGTACAGTGTTCCTGACCTGTGGTGCGTAAAGAATGTCACTTTCTAACAGGCCCGGAAACCCCATGCTCCTGGAACCTCAAGAAGAAAGAAGTTTATCCAACTCACAGGTATTTGAGGGTACAAACTCATGGCTGGGCTTGGCTTCAAAAAGTCCTATCCAAGATTCCTTGTGGAACAGAGTTCTATCAAAACCAATCAAAATACACAGAGGTAATTATTCTTGCTGTACTTTTTGCAGATAATCAGGCCAAGTATAGGACTAAAGTTTATTCTGCAACCAGCTCAGTCCTATCATAAGTTGTTTTTCATAAAAATGAGAACTGGAGAGAGAAATTATGTTCCACACTTACTGTACATCTGTGATATAGTTTGGCTCTATGTCCCCACCCAAATCTCATCTTGAATTGTACTCCCAGAATTGTGGGAAGGACCCAGTGGGAGATAATTGAATCATGGGGGCAGTTTCACCCATACTGTTCTCATGGTAGATAAGTCTCATGAGATCTGATGGTTTGATAAAGGGAAACCTGTTTTGCTTAGCTCTCATTTCTCTCTTGCCACCACCATGTAAGACATGCCTTTTGCCTTCCACCATGATTGTGAGGCCTTCCTATCCAAGTGGAACTGTAAGTCCATTAAACCTCCTTCTTTTGTAAATTGCCCAGTCTCAGGTATGTCTTTATCAGCAGCGTGAAAATGGACTAATACAATCTGTCATTGACTTCTAGTCTCATTAGTTGTTTGTAAGTTCTTGCCAACATTTTAAACTAATCATGCTTATTCCTGTAAACCAATCATCAATCTCCAGCTGTGGCTCAAAGGAGACAGAAAGGAATGGGTAATATAAAAATCTGGAACAATGTGCTAGTTCTGGGCACTTATGCTGCAAATCCTGCCAGGTAACCTATAACCCCAAGGTTTCCTTTTCTGGCGGGGACAGTAAGACCAAGGGAGCTAAACAAAGCCAAGCCCCATACACCCAGTTACAACAGCACAACCCATCTAAATGGCTCACAGATATCAAACAAACTCTGTTGTCATGGTTATGGCCTATAGTGCCTCACTAATAATGGTAGTCTTATATATATTTGGACCCTATATTCTAAACCTCCTTGTAAAGTTTCTCTTCTCACCTAGAAACCATCAAGCTTCAGATGGTGCTGCAAATGGAGCCAAAAAGGAAACCACCCTTCTACCAGGGACCCTTAGATCGACCCCAGGAGGAGCCCTAGATGCTGTTCCCGTACCACGCCCTCTCCAGCGGGAAGTAGCCAGAAGAAGTTGTTGCCCAATTCCCCCTAACAGCAGTTAGGGATTCCATTCCTGAGGGGGAAATATGTTATACAAGACAGACAGAATTTATTTAGGTAGACAGTTAGGGTAAAGCGAGTCCCCAGCAGAAACTTTTCTTCTAACAAAAAGCAGCTCAGAAATAGCTCTCTTTCTAACCTCATGCAGTTCAAAGAAATCACTTCTCTTCTAACAAAGAACAGCTTGAAAGATCAGGCTGTAAAAACAAACAACTCGGGCACAGAAGGACAGGGGGAGTCCCCTGGGTAATCACCAAACTTCACACTCCTACAATGGACCCCAGTAAAAACCGTGGGCCTTAATAAGCACATTCCTTTCCCTTTAAGCACACTAAGATAGAGAAACTAAAAGCGGATTGTGGGGAGATGCCTGCAGCTGCAGGAAGATGTCTGGGAACAGACACAGAAACTCTCCCTCCCAGATAAGCAAAACAAAGCAGCACAAAGCAGCAAGGACTGAGTCTGCCTATGTGATCAAGGAAATGAGGTAAGAACTGATAGAAAACTCTGCTCTATGCACATAGGACACCTGGTCCCAACTAAATCTTCAGGCCTTAGGAAGATAAGACACTCCCTCTTTTTTTTCTTTTTTTTTTTTAAGAGAGAGTTGCTCTGTCGCCAGGCTGGAGTGCAGTGGCATGATCTTGGCTCACTGCAACCTCCGCCTCCCAGGTTCAAGCAATTCTCCTGCCTCAGCCTTCCGAGTAGCTGGGACTACAGGTACGCACCACCACACCCAGCTAATTTTTGTATTTTTAGTAGAGACAGGGTTTCACCATGTTGGCCAGGATGGTCTCGATCTCTTGACCTCGTGATCTGCCCGCCTCAGCCTCCCAAAGTGCTAAGATTACAGGTGTGAGCCACCGTACCTGGCCAACCCTGACATTTTTACTAAAACTTGACAACCTGCTCTGGACCCCTCTCTGTGACAGAGAGCTGTTCTTTCCTTTTGCCTATTAAACTCCTGCTCCAATCTCACTCTGTGTGTGTGTCTGTGACCTCAATTTCCTTGACTGTGAGACCAAGGACCCTGGTATTTACCCCAGACAATGAGGCTCCTTCAGTGAGATTAGAGGCATGAGCTACCACATAGCCGGAGTCTACATACTCTTAACCCTCTGGTCTAAGAGAGGAGGCAGCTTTGGAGCCATTATCAATATTCACGAGTTCGACAAACATTGCCTCAGCAACTCCACCTTGCCAGACTGAGAATACAAATAGAAATGCAGAAAGGGTCAGATGCAATGACAGCTGCTTATATTCCTGTTCTCAAGGAGGGCACATTTTATCAGGAAAAAGAGATCTGTAATCAATAAATATGATTCCTCTAAGAATGTTAACCAAAGATTGTTCAAAGTGCTACTCAGAGCCAGCAGCAACCAGCATGGATTTGCTTTGCTAAGGATGATGTTGGATTTGGATATTGAAAGAGTAGCATAAGCTCACAAAGCAGAGAAAGGAGGGAGGGAGGAAGATAAGATTCAGGGCAGAAGGAAATGCAGAAATGACTTAAAGGAAGCCTTACCATCTTGGCAAGTCTGGCAAAGAATGACTTATCTCATGAGGCTGGATTGAGACATGTTTACCAGACACTCTGGATCGACTCACTCAACATCTGTTCCCAGTGTTCTGCCTGTTCTACAGATCTAGAAATAAAGCCACGTTTCCAGAATTCCTTGAAGCTATGGTTCTGGATGTGATTCTGCCAAACAGATCTACTTTGGAAGGCCTACCAGTCTGTGGTATGCAGTGGCAGAACAGTTATTTAAATTATCACTTGTAGGCCAGGCATGGTGGTTCATGCCTGTAATCCCAGCACTTTGGGAGGCCGAGGAGGGTGGATCACCTGAGGTCAGGAATTTGAGACCAGCCTGGCCAACATGCTGAAACCCCGTCTCTACTAAAAATACAAAAATTAGCCAGGAGTGGTTGCAGATGCCTGTAATCCCAGCTACTCAGGAGGCTGAGGCAGGAGAATCTCTCGAACCCAGGAGCCAGAAGTTGCAGTGAGCCAAGATCGCACCATTGCACTCCAGCCTGGGCAAGAAGAGTGAAAATCCATCTCAAAATAAATACATTGTCACTTGTAGTCACCTGGGAGAAAAAGTATCCATGGAAATCAAAACGCTGGAAGGCCAAGTGGCTATGGTAATAAATCTTCATGGCAAGAGTGAATAATTCAAAGATAGTGGGGTTGGCTAGCTTCTTGAATTCTTATGAACATAAAGAAAGAAAAACATAAGCATGGAGTGACCTGTAGCATCCCAGATCTGGTACCAAATTCTGTGTCAATTAGGATTAGGCACAGCAGCAAGGGACAGATACTCAGAATAACAGTGGCTTGACCAAGTTATGGAAACACCAGGGGTTCAGTCTAGGTACTGACGCACAGAAAGCCAATCACTGAGACAATAAGTATTGCCAAGGAAGAAGGCTTTAATCGGGTGCTGCAGCCAAGTTATGAGAGCTCAGTCTCAAATCCATCTCCCTGACTGACTAAATCTAGGGGCTTACATAGCAGGGAAGATATGTAACAATGTTTAAGAAAACAGGAACTAGGGAGGGGCAAGGAGGCATCTGGTGTCAGTTCTCTTGATACTTTTTTGAGAGGCCTGAAGGTCCTTTCCTGAGGAGGGAACTCAGATAAAACAAATGCAAATTTCAAGCTAGGGGCCATTTCTATGTTTATCCCAAAACAACTGTTTATGGAACTGTTGGGCCCATTTCATTTCTCACAGAAAGTTCCAGAGGTAGGTACTCAGGCTGTGGCAGTTCTGCTCCATAGTACCTTCCAGCTTGCTGCCTCTCCTTCCCTTGGGTGTGATCCTCATGTTCATAGTCCAAGATGGTAGCCATCATGTCTGTATTCCAGGCTATAGGATGGAGAAGGCAGCAAACAAAAAGGGAGGGCAAAGGACATGTGTTTCCTCCCTCCTGAAAAAGTTCTTGGAAACTCTCACATGATACTTCTGTTTACATTCCACTGTACAGAACTTTGTCACCTGGCCACATCTAACTGCAAAAGAGAGGACATGTAATCAGCAATCACTATTTTAATCAGGAAGATGAAGAGAATGTAAAATTGGGAGGCAATCATAGGATGCATGGTAGAGAGTATCAGAGGAGGTAGCTGGGATGATGGGCACCAGATGGGAAAGGACTTGATATGACAAGCCAAGGTGTTTGGACTTTATCCTACTGGCAATGAAGAATCATCAGATAGGTTTAAAGAGCAGAGAGATATAAACTGAGCTGTTCCACTGCCATCTCTCTGACAGCTATATGAAAGGGTTCTGGCGCAGTAATACCAAACCCCAGAGACCTGTTAGAAAGCAGTTACCCCAAAATGACAGTTTCTTCAATAAATGGTGCTGGGGAAGCTGGATATCCACATGCAGAAGAATGAAACTAGACACCTATTTCTCACCATATACAAAAATCAACTCAAAATGGAATGAAGATGTAAACGGAAGACCTAAAACTATAAAACTACTAGAGTACAACATAGGAGAAATGCTTCATGACATTGGTCTGGGCAAGAATTTTTTGGAAAAAACCTCGAAAGCACAGGCAACAAAAGCAAAAATAGACAAATGGGATTACATTAAACTGTAAAGCTTATGCACAGCAAAGGAAACCATCAACAAAGAGGCAACCTACAAAATTGGAAAAAAATGTCTGCAAACTATGCACTGGTGTAATGGGTTAATATTCAGAATATGTAAGAAATTCAATTCTAGCACTTTGGGAGGCCGAGGTGGGTGGATCACCTGAGGTTAGGAGATCGAGACCAGCCTGCCCAATGTGGTGAAAACCCGTCTCTACTAAAAATGCAAAAACTAGGTGGGTATGGTGGTGGGCACCTGTAATCCCAGCTACTTGGGAGGCTGAGGTAGGAGAATTGCTTGAACCCAGGAGACAGAGGTTGCAGTGAGCCAAGATCACACCACTGCACTCCAGCCTGGGTGAAAAGAGTGAGACTTCATCTCAAAAAAAAAAAAGAAAGAAAAAAGAAACAGAATATGTAAGAAATTCAAACAACTCAATAGCAAAAGAAAAAAAAAAGCCCATATAATCCAATCGAAAATGGGAATAAGACCTGAGTAGACATTTCTCAAAAGAAGACATACATACATATATATATATATATATATGTATATGAAAAAATGCTCAACATCAGTAATCATTAGGGAAATGCAAATGAAAACCACAATGAGATATCACTGCACCCCAGTTAGAATGGCAAAAAAAAAAAAAAAGACAAAAAATAACAATTACTGTTGAGGATGTGAAGAAAGGGGAACTCATATGCTGTTGGTGGGAATGTAAATTAGCATAGACACTATGGAAAACAATACGGAAGTTCCTCAAAAAATTAAAAATAGGACTGCTGTATGATTCAGCAATTCCACTACTGGATATATATCCAAAGGAATGGAAATCAATAAGTCAAAAGAGATATTGGCACTCCCATGTTCACTGCAACACTATAGTAAGGGCTTAGCACAATAGCCAAGAGATGAAATCAAGCTAAGTATCCATCAGTGCATGAATGGATAAAGAAAATGTGAGATATATATATATATATCTCCATATATATGCAATACTATTCAGTCATAAATAGGGACAAAATCCTGTCATTTGCAACAGCGAGGATGAACCTGGAGGACATCATGTTAAGTGAAATAAGCCAAGCACAGAAAGACAAATGATCTCACTCACATGTGGAATCTATAAAAGCTGATCTCATAGAAGCAGAGGGTAGAACAATGGTGACCAAAGGCTCCGGAGGGGATGTTACAGTTAGATAGGAAAACTAATTTCTCGTATTCTGTACATAGTAGGGTGACTATAGCTAATAACAATAATAACTGCTTTGTACATTGCAAGATACCTAGGAAACACCTTTAAAGTTATCACAAAAAAATGATAAAGGCTTGAAGTGATGGACAACTATTCTGATTTGATCATTACATAATATATACATGTATTGAAACATTACACTGTACCCACAGACATGTATACTTATTATCAATTATAAATAAAAATTTTTAATGGAAACAAGAAAGCAGTTGCCCTAGTCCAGGTGAGAAGTGATGAGAGCCTGAAATAGGGCAGTGACAATGGGATGGAAACAAGAGAATGGAAGGGTGAGATATGCTAGGGTAGGAGGGGACAGACTTTGGTGACTATTAGACAATGGAGGTGAAAGAAGAGTGTGGAGTTTAGGCTGACACCAGGGTTTTTGGCTGGAGCAGTTTGGTAAATGACACTGCTACTAACCAAAATAAAGGAATCAGAGAGTGAAGAAGGCTGCTGATAGCAAGCAGAATGTGATTAGTTTGATTTGGAATATTTTCAGTTTAAAGTGCTTGTTGTGTGGAAGATGTTTGGCGAGCAGAGAAATACATGTGTCTGGAGCACTGAAGAGAAGTCAGGGCTGGAGGTACCAATTCAGGAGGTGTGCGACTCTAAGTGACAGCTGCAGCCACAAGTTTGAGATGGCCTGACCTAGAAAAGAATGAGGGAACAGAGTCAAGGATGAAGCCTACGGAAGCACCAATGTTGTGTGAGTCTTCTGCAGAGTCCTTTCTGATGGAAGGTCCTTTAAGAAGCGCAGTTCAAGAAATCTGAGGCTGCAAATGCATGCTGTTTCCCCAGACATCCAGGACCTGGATCAGTTTTCCATTTCAAGACAAGATAAAACTGCTAAAGGGTTTTTCTTTCCCTGGTTGAAATACTTTAACACCAACTAATTTCAAGTTTGGAAAGAAAGTCATGTTTAAGATTGAAGTTGTTATTTCTACTCTGTAATACAGTAGAGCCTGTGCCCAGAAAACCTCCTGCCTGTCTCATCATCCAGGGAGCTTCCTTGTGTTTATTCTACCAGGCCTGCGGGCAGGACAATGTCAGCAGGTTGAGATATGAGCTACACGTTGCAGGCATTGACAGATCAGGAGAGCTCTCCTACAAACTGCATGCCCTTCTTAATTGCTTTTAAGCATGGGAAGATGAATGTTGTCCTAGTATCTGCTTCAGTTCTAGAAAAGGTTAAAAAAAGTTGTTTGTATATAGTACTCCTTTCATTTCAATTGATTCTTATTGTGCTTCCCCTCAACTCATTTAAGTTGTTGGCTAGTACAACCCACCTTCAAAGCACTGCTTTTTTGAAATTCAATGATTATAATTTGGAAGAGACTTTAGACCAAAGAGTATGATATCAAAATTCTCAGTTCTTTGGGTGGTCACTAGCAGAGTGCCTTCAACAGACAAAAATCCAAGTAAAAAGACCTTCAATTATAATACCTAGAAAGTACAGTAAAATTCAACGGAAACAAAAACAATCTCATCTAAAATTAAAGTAAATGGTAGTATACCTGTCTAAATTAGAAAGTGTGGTTGCAGGATTAGTATAAGATCCCAGAATTAGTATGAATTCAGCCAAATATCTAACATTTCTCACCTCAATGTTCTTGATACTGTTCACTGATACTCAGCATCATGGCCCTAAAATGTTAAGACTAGGTCCCATCAAATAAAGATTCAATTATAATCACTGGGTTGTAGTGACTAAGCCAGGCAAATGGGCAAAATGCAAGTTGGTAACAATATTTTCATTTTGGAAAAATGAAAAATTAAGGAAAATATGACAAAATATTCTATAAGGTGAATTTCTTTTTTAAGAGCCTTTGTTCTGAGATCATGTCCATTTCTTGTGGTCTACATGTCTTTCTTTTGTAAAAAGAGTAGTGCCAGTAAATGGCAGGTTCCTAATAATTTCATTCGACAAACCAAAAGCTGGCATACCATTGCCAATTCCTAAAGTTGTTTTGGAATTTTACTTGGTGAAATGTTAAAGTCTGAGAATGTCCCTGGAGTAATGGCTCCCTGCTGCTGATCATACTGGCTGATGAAGTAGATACTCTACAGGAACTTACTAGAAATGGTTGATCCGCAGGGAATGAAAGGCTTACACAGGGCTCTTGTTTGTTTCCTCCCTCTGTTACCAAAATGTTAACCATTTTAATTTACCTTTAAAATTGTGATTAAAAAATACATGTATTTAAAATAAGTCACTTACATGTACAAAGTCAAACCAGAACACCCCTGCCCAGCAGCATGCCCAAAAGGGGAGTCTCTCAGGCTTTGCACACACGCTTCTCACAAATGCCCCAGTGCAGGCTTTGGTTTAGGGTTCCATGTGCTAAGAATACAGCATCAAAGGCTTTTCTGCTGGGAAGGAAAGGAAGAGACTTGTAATGTCTATATAGCTCCCAAAGACAAAAAGACTCTAGGTTGATTAGAACAAGCTTCAAATCAGAACTTGGGTTTTCTGCCTTCAAAAATCAAAGAAAATTTTAAAAATTGCTTTTGAAGATTCAAAAAGAAACAATGCGGCCGGGCACAGTGGCTCATGCCTGTAATTCCGGCATTTTGGGAAGCCGGGGCGGGCAGGTCGCTTGAGGTCAGGAGTTTGAGACCAGCCTGGCTAACATGGCGAAACCCTGTCTCTACTAAAAATAGAAACATTATTAGCTGGGCGTTGTGGTGGGCGCCTGTAGTCCCAGCTACTTCGGAGGCTGAGGCAGGAGAATCGCTTGAACCCGGGAGAAGGAGTTTGCACCTAGCCGAGATCGGAGATCATGCTCCTGCACTCCAGCCTGAGCAACAAAGCAAGACTCCATCTCAAAAAAACAAAAACAAAAAACAAAACAAAACAGAAAAAAACAAGACAGAAAGAATGCCCCTTTGTAAAGGTTTTTTTAAATTCACAGAGACTTGATAGCATCACCATTGTGTTTGTTATTTCCCAGAAGCCAGCAGGGAACGTTCTCTGCTCCTGGAGCTGGTAAAAATACAGGAAGTAGCCAAGGGCATTATAATCATTAGTCACTGAGATACAAACCTTCAGTTCTGTTACCCAGGGAACCTAAAGTGCTGCTTGGTGTAGGTGGGAGATGATTAATCTCTCCGTGCACGATAAAAAGACAGAGCTGCCACCCGGAATTAGTCTGTTTATGTAGAATGAGGACAGCCCCAAGAGTAGATGGGATTTAAAAATAGTAACAATTCTCCCCCAACCCCAAATACACCATTTCTGAATGTTGTAGAACATTCAGGAAACAAGAATCATTCATAATTCTACCCCTAGAAGTTACCAATGTTAACATTTTGATTAATACTGTAAACAGAAAAATCAAAGTCTGTAAAATATCTGAAAGAGAGGCTTAGTCAAGCCAGTATGAGTAACCTCCGCCCCCGGAAAACAACCCAAGAAGCCTTGAGTAAGTGGTCCCGAGGCAGCCGCATGTGTTTGGTTTTATACATTTCAGGAGGGCAGGAGTTACAGGCGAAGACAGAAATCAATACAGGGCACATATACATTAGTTCAGCAGAAAAGGCAGGCTATCTTGAAGTAGGGGGCTTACAGAGGTAAGCAGGGGTTTTATAGATGATAGGCAGATTCAGAGATTTTTAAAATTTGCATTAGAGGAGTAAGGCTCTAAAACTTGGAGTCAGCAGAAAGGACTGATTTTTAATTTTTATTTATTTATTTATTTATTTATTTATTTATTTATTTATGACAGAGTCTTGCTCTGTTGCCGGGCTGGAGTGCAGTAGCGCAATCTCGGCTCACTCCAACCTCCGCCTCCCGGATTCAAGTAATTCTCCTGCCTCGGCCTCCCAGACAGCTGGGACTACAGGCGCTTGCCACCATGCCCAGCTAATTTTTGTATTTTTAGTACAGACGGGGTTTCACCATGTTGGCCAGGATGGTCTCAATCTCTTGACCTCATGATCCGTCCGCCTCGGCCTCCCAAAGTGCTGGGATTACAGGCGTGAACCACAGCTCCCGGCCGAAAGAACTGATTTTTTAAATACACGTTATTTGAATTTTTCACAACTACATATTATTATGTATTATCTCCCTCCCTCCCTTCCGTCCTTCCTTTTTTGCAAAACCAATGCAATCACTCTTGGGGTCTCGGGGGCAATGGGATCACGTCAGGCTCAGGCGCTCCCCTGGGCGCACGCTGGGTGAACAAGCCGCCTCCGGGCGAGGGTGGAGCTCCAGCGGGGAGGCTCTGGGCGCAGGAGGCTTACCAAGAGGAGTCCGCGGCAGCCCGGGCCTGCCCCGCGGGCTGCTCTGGGCTACTGGGATCTCACCCCGCGCTCGGCGAGGCGGGCCCGCGGCGCCCTCTGCAGGGAAGCGGGTGGCGCACGCATGCTGGGCGCTCCAGTATTTGTGGCGGGGTGGGCTTCTGGTTAGGGTAACATCTGCATCTCCGCTTCACAGCGTACAAGGTGCCTTCCACTTTGCGCTGGCTCTCCCGCGACCCTGGGATGCCTTCTGTCCTCCACCGGAGAGGACGCTGAGAATCGCCGTTCCTGGCGAAGGGCTAGAACTCACCAGCGCCCGGCTCCATAGCGCCCTCTGCCGGGGCCGAGGGGCGGGGCACGCGGGCGGCCGAGCGGGCGGGCAGGGAGGGCCTCAGATCCCCCTATCCCCGCGGGAGGGGCTGCCAGCCTGGGTCAGCCACGCGTGGCTTCCTGAGACTGGGTTATGGCTATTTCCCACCTCCTTGCCTCTCCCTCCTTATTTCCCTCCACCTGTGTGTGTGTGTGTGTGTGTGTGTTTCTAAAGCAAAAACAATTTTTTTTTCTATTCTCCAAAGTAATGCGTATTCATTATAAAAAAATTTTTTTGGGGGGGTAGAAAACACAGCATAAAAAAGAAAATGAAATACCTTTAATCTCATCATTCAGAGATAAACACATGTTTAGGGTATTTTCTCCTAGTGTCTTTTTCTATACACAATTATATATCATGGTAAGTATATATTTAAACCAACCAGGCAATGCTGTCGAGGAGTCAGGCCCCGTGTCGAACTGGCGCCGTTGAAGAGAACACAGAACGGCCAAATGGCAGGGAGTAGGGGCTCCCTGGCCTTAAAAACGGGGCCTTGCTGCTTCTTGGTTTGATAAACTGCTCTGGTTCCCAAGAAAGCTTGTCTTTTCCTCCTCAGCTGTTGGCTGGGGGTAAGTAGGTGGCGGTGGTCAGTGGGTCCCGGGAGGAAGAAAACTTGGTCTCAAAGTTCACTTTCATAACTAGAAGGCTCGGGCCGGACGCGGTGGCTCACGCCTGTAATCTCAGCACTTTGGGAAGCCGAGGGGGGCAGATCACTTGAGGTCAGTAGTTCAAGACCAGCCTGGCCAACATGGTGAAACCCCGTCTTTACTAAAAATACGAAAAATTATCTGGGCATGATGGTGGGCGCCTGTAATCCCAGCTACTCGGGAGGCTGAGGCAGGAGAATCGCTTGAACCTGGGAGGCGGAGGCTGCAGTGAGCTGAGATCGTGCCATCACACTCCAGTCTGGGCAACAAGAGTGAAACAACGTCTCAAAATAGGAAAATAAAAAACTAGAATGCTCAGAGAGTATTTCATCATATGATGGAACTTCAGCCCCCATCCCAACCCCTGGACCCATGCTTCTTCCTGCTGAGTTTCACTGACTACATGCCTCCCTCCTAGGCTGTGAGTTCCCGACTGGGGGAACAGTCTGGGCCTTTGCACCTTTTTCCTTCACCTGGCAGAGTGCTGAAGTCTCTTTGGTCACTGTCTTTGTCTTTTTTTTCCTCCACACAAACACTCTTTCATATAGTCATGTTTCTGATTTGCCAATGTCACCCCAGATAAGCACACAAGCTAAATGAAAACAATGTGTTTGCTTTGCACATGCAGTGTCAAAACAATGCACCCCCATTCCTTCCAGCTAGATTGGGCCCCCTAAGTGACACTCTTCCTTATGGAAATTCTGAACCTGCCCCTCTCTGCAGGATGTGGTTAGAGTTTGGATTACAGTCATTGATTTGGGAGTGGTGTATCTACTTCACTGTTTACATGTAGCATCCTAGGCTCTGCTTCTATCTCTCTCTCGCTCTCTCTCTTTCTCTCTTTCTCTTTCTCTCTCTCTCTCTTTCTCTCTCTCTCTCTCTCCCCTTCTTTTCTCCCTGTCTGGTCATCTGCAGCCTGATAGAGGCTGAGGCAGAGAGAAGAGCCTGTAGGAAAAAAACCATCTTTGGTGGTGATGATGATGTGGTGTGTGGAGATACAAAGTCAAATTCTCCAATGTTTCTATCCCCATGAAATGAAGTCTCTAGTGAGATCAACATTGCTCAGCAATGCTTAGTAGAGTATATTTTCCTGTGTGGAAGCATGAGGAAGGGGTGCATTCCCCTTCTGCTTGGTAAAAATAAAGGCATCAGGAAGTATTGGGTTGGTGTAAACGTAATTGCAGTTTTTGCCATTAAAAGTAGTGACCAAAACCGCAATTAATTTTACACCAACCTAATACAAGCCAGCACCTGGGTGACACTGGTAAGACTGGTGGACCATGCCTGGTCTGGCCAGTTTGCGTTTTTAATAGAGTCAGCGAGTGGGGTAGAAAGTCTGCAGTATTCAGTTAAAGGCCCAAGTTCTTCTTAGTCTGCTTATTAGCTATGTGCTTCTGAGTAAATTACCTAACCTCGCTTAAGCTTAGTTTGCTCATCCCAAAAGGAAATAAAAATATTACCTGACAGTTATGTTTCCTGATTGCTGTGGGATTCAAATGAGCTAGAAGGAGGGAAGTTGTTGTCTTGAAGCAGCATTAGTAGATTTTCTAAACTTGGTAGCATTACACCTCCTTACATTTGATTCTCCCAAGCCTGCTGGGTAGCTTGATGGAGGAAACATGACAGAACTTGACTGCACGTAGTGGCAGTAACTCACACTTGCCCAGATTTTGAACTGGAATCATCTTTATTGCAGTTGAAAAACTAGGCTTAGAGAGTTTGAACAACTTGCCCAAAGGAACATATCTTGGCCATGAAAGGGCCAGTACCAGAATGTAGCACCTAAGACTTTTAGATGGTACTTCCACCATCTCCAGTAGAAGATGGGAAAGGAGTGTTCCTTGGGATTGCCCAGGGCATGACTGTCCCCTTGCAAGGGACACAGAGAAATGGGTGGAAGATGTCAGATTCTTAAGTGTTCACTAGTGGGAGGGTGAGCCCATTATTCTCTATGCACTTAGAATCTTTTTCTCTTTAATAATGTTCTTCACATGCCATAACAAAGCTGAATATGCACTTAGAAGTCTTCTGAAAATTTTATAGAGTGAAATTTCAAAATAGACAACTTAATAGGCTGCTTTAATGTTAAATGAGTCACTTAAGATACAAGTTTTCTCTACATTTCTCAGAACTGGTGGGATGATTATCTCTATCAGGGACTGTTTAGAGAGAGATACTCTGACCTGAACCGCTGTAACTATTAATTGACCAGTTTGATGCGCAACACTTTCTGGTGCAGCTTTATTTACCAGTTTCAAAGACTAAGCTCTGAGCTGAGTGGGGACACAGAAGCAGCTGGGTACTTATACTTGACCCCATAGAAGATGGTTATCTAATTCTGACCTGGCTAAGCAACCAGTATGAATTTTTCCATTAAGTCACATAGTTTACATCCTGCCTTGTTCTTTTTTTGGGGGGTGGGGGGTGGGGGGGCGGTGGTTTCCCTCTTGTTGCCCAGGCTGGAGGGCAATGGCGCAATCTCGGCTCACCACAACCTCCGCCTCCCAGGTTCAAGCAATTCTCCTGCCTCAGCCTCCTGAGTAGCTGGGATTACAGGCACCCACCACTACACCTGGCTAAGTTTTTATTTTTAGCAGAGACAGGGTTTCTCCATGTTGGTCAGGCTGATCTCAAACTCCCGACCTCAGGTGATCTGCCTGCCTTGGCCTCCCAAAGAGTTGGGATTACAGGCGTGAGCCACCGTGCCCAGCCACATCTTGCCTTATTCTTATTTGTGCATTTTTTGGCTGTTTAAAAAGTATACACTCAAACATAAGAGAATTGCAACCCTCTTGTTACCCTAATTTGGCCATGTTATCCTAAAGGGCAAGGGCAGAGTCACCCCTTCTAGGATCAAACTGGACTGCAAGGACACCTATCCTCTGCCCCCACCCCCCCACACCCAAATTTCTCTTGGGATACACAATGAGTAAAGAAAGATAGGCCCTCCAAGCTTGAAAATAAGAAGCAGGAACATTTAGAGATGACTTTTGAGGACAGGATAAGGTGAAATACCTCACCTAAAGTCAGAACTTTCACATTAGGATTTATTCGTCTCTTTTGCCCAGGTGCAGAGGATGATAAACAGCTTTCTCACTGCCCGTGCTAAGTGCTCATTGTGTTCAGGGGTGAGTCTTGCAGTCTGTGGCTCCTGTGACTGTGAGCACTGCTCAAGGACCAGTTTGGACACCCAGCCACCGGGAATAGAGCTCAAGCCACCATGCAGTTAATCGCTGTAGCTGAACCAATGTGTCCAGACAAAATGAACTATCTAAGATGATGTTCATGTGCACACAGGCACACACCATGCTGTCCCTGAGGGATAACCCTTTTGCTGTAGGCTTCTTTGAGAACCCCTTTTCCGAGCTACCTTTCTCACTGCAGTTGGTGACAGTGGGGGCACAAGGACATCATGCACATGATCCTGTCCTCAGGGAGAGAAGAAAATGAGGCTCCTAGAGCAAGCCCCGCCAAACTGAGCCAGTGCTAGCTCCGTTTACCCAGATATTAAGTTAAGCCAATTATATAGTACAATAATTCATCTTTTGAAAATTCACTCTCAGCCTTTGGGGAGCTGTGAATAGGATTTCTGCAAAGGTTGTTGTTTAAGGAGAGAGCCTTCTTCTCTCCAGTACATATGAGCAGAGCAAAAGATAGGTAGGGCCTGGAGGCAGCATTTTCAGAGCTTCTACTATCTCTCCTGCCATCAGCACTACTGCCCCCATTCCCCTCACTTTCCTTTGTAGTTTATTAGGGAAAAAAGGGGTTTCTCAGAAGGTGGACGTACATGCACAGGCAGCTTCCAGAAAGTACTCAATGCAACCCTAATATTCTGATTTGGGGTACCTCATTTCTGACCACCCTCCCCCAGCCAGGGTCAGGCAGCAATGGGTTAAGCTAACTATTTTCTGCAGGAATTCCAGGAGAAACGCTTTAGACAACTCCTTCCAAACCTCAATGAGAAGAATATCCTGTGACTTCAATGCGGAAGTGATCAATTTCAACCTGCAGGTAAAAAGCTGCTATGGTTTGAATGTGTCCGCTAAAAGTTTTGTGTTGGAAACCTAATCCCTCTGTTCTCATAAATTGATTAATGGTGGCTCCGCTCTCATGAATGAATGGATGTCACCATCGTGGCTTTTTTTGTGAAAGCAAGCTGTGGCTTTCTTGCTCTCTTGCCATGTCATGCCCTCTGCTATGTTATGATGCCGCAGGAAGGTCCTCACGGATGCCAGTGCCATACTCTTGGACTTCCCAGTTTCCAGAACTGTGAGCTAAATATACTTTCTTTCCTTCATAAATTACCCAGTCTGTGGTATTCTGTTATAGCAACAGAAAACGGACTAAAACAAGAGCCATCCAGTTTGGAGAAAGCCAACACCAGCAATCCATCAGTAGCCTGTGATCCAGGGATATGCGGGATGTAGAGTTACTTCATTGCCATTACCATGGTCTCTGAGGTGGTGAGTTCTGAGCTCCTACAGCACTGCTGCAGTGGGTCATTTCTGTTTCTTGTTTTTTGTTTTTATTTAGTGGGTCATTTCTTGATAGCAGTCTTGCATCTCAGGTGAGTGTTTTTTTCCTCCAGTCCTCACATGGCGATGTTTATGTGCACAGCACACATCCTCCATGCTAATAGTTAAACCATACCTATCTCTCTCAAAAAAACACAACAACAACAACAACGAATAAACTGCAATCGTGTGGGAATAACAGTAAGGATACGATTGAATTGGGCCTAAATTACGTTAGAAAAACAATGCATTCACAAGCATTAATACTGTATCGTAGTTAATTTCCTGCCACATAGCTGTGGGTGAGAACCACTGGCCTGGTCCATGGGATTGGGTTTCTGCTCAGATGCTGTGAGGACTAGAACCTGAACATCACCTGAATTCCTGACCACTTCCATTGCCAACTCCATCTCCTGGTGGAATGAACCCTTTGCCTTGTATTTCCAAATGCAGGTTGGCATCCTACACTGCAGATTGGGTGGGCCACATTGCCAATGCACTTTCAGCCATTTGTTACAGACCTCAAAGCAAATGCAATGAAAATTTCATATTTCAAAGTCCATTTAACTTATAATTAAAGAGCTTCACCTAACCTCCAATTGGAAGTGATTAATTTGGAATGTAATGGCATCCTAAATGACAAATATTAAGCCAATAATCTAATTCTATAAACACCTTCCAAACAATAAATATGTTCAATTAAAATGATACGTTCATGGAAAGATGTTGGTATTAGGTAGAACCTATCTGTGTGAAAGGACATTTTTAAGGACAAAATATGTAAAATCTCATTGCAAGTTGACATTAACCAATTAAGATTTGCAATTAATTTTGATGGTAGAGAAAAGTAACTTTAAAACTGATTACTGCTATTTTGTTATGAATTTCATCAATAAGAAAATTGTGGAAATTTGTTTTCTCTCTTATTATGTAAGTAACTACATTAATATTCTCGATTTTACCTCTCGGTTAGCAAAGCTTAAAATATTTATTATCTGGCTCTTGAGAGAAAAAGCTTGCTAACCCAGCTGTAGTCTAATGTATCCTATGTACCTGGAACTGTGTCTAACATATAGTAGACACTCTGTCAACATTTATTGTATGACTCTGTTCTGAAATAAATAATAAAAGAGACTAAACATTAGGAATCAGAATGCTTCTTTAACAATTTTAAGTAAATGATATTCTTCTTGTAACAATTTTTCAAGAGGTCTAGAGTTGTAATCTAAACACTGTCAGTGGCACTAGGGTTCACTTTATATATTTTATTATTTTAAGACATAATCAGTTGGACATAAATCATAAATAACAGCTTTTCAGAAAAACAAGCCAAGTATGTTTAATGTATACATTGAGCATAAAACATATTCCAGTTTCATAAACTTTAAAATGTTAAAATATTCACACACACACACACATATATATATATATATTAGTGTGTGTATATGTATGTATGTATATACATGAACAAAAAATTAGGAAGTCAGATGATATTTCACATGTTCCCTGCAGTTTGGGAATAACCTTTAAGTCCAGGTAAAATAACTATCCCCGAGTCATCTAAGGACAGGAGCTGCAGTGTCAGGAGAATAAGAGTTTGTCTTGTCTCTTATCTAAGCCAAGGAAGAGGCTGTATATTCGATGTGATCGGAGTCCCCTCCACTTCCCAGAACTTGGCTGGGGAGGACGTACTTATTAATAAATAAGTATATTATATATTATGTTAGAAATGATCATTACAATAGGAAAAAAGATAAAGCAGAGAAAGGTAAAGGGATATCAGGAATGTCAGGGGTCGGGGGGTTGGTTTGCAATTTGAAGTAGGGTGGTCAGGATAGGCCTCATTGAAAAGTAGTAAAGACTTGAAGTAGAAAAAATATAAATGGCTAGTGAAAATGTGAAAAAAAATCTTCAAGTTCAGTAGTAAAAGAAAAAAAAAGACAAGAAGAACAAGAGAATATTTTATTTATAAAACCAGCAAAGGTAACAGCATAAAAAATACCCAATAGTTCTATCGTGTAGTGCTAGTGGAAATGTGAATTAATAAACATTCTTTCTGAGGATCATTTGACAAAACATAACAAAAGCCTTAAAAATATGCGTATTTCTTGGTTTAACAATTCCAATTTCAGGAATTTATCCTAATCAAATAAATAAGCAAGTATGCAAAGATATATTCTTTAAAAATCTTTATTGTCTAACTAGGAAAAATTAAACAATTATTAACCATTCATGCAGTGGCCCACCAAGCAACAACTAATAATGATGTAGATCTATATGTATTGACCTAAAAGATCCCCACTAAACATGTGTGTGTGTGTGTGTGCGTGTGTGTGTGTGTGAGAAACCCCCTGGAAACTCTCTGGATACTTGCAGGGTGATTTGCCTATATTTTTAAAGTTTTCTTCATGGAATATGGAAATACCATGGGTCGAAAGCAAATGCCATTTGGGGATAAGACTGCCATGCAAAGGACCTTGGACTTCCTGCAGGAGAGAAGAGGGTCATTGCTAGGAGACTCCCCTCATGGTGTCCATGAACATGGAGCCCTGACACCATGTTGTTTCTGAAAATGAGCCAACGTTGACATGGTCCTGGCCCACTGGGTGTTGTTCACTCTGTTGATTACTTTTGGAAATTACTTTAGGTAAATGCCATGCTTGACAGTTGGTTTTTAATTTTAAACACAAGCTGCCATTGATTTGCTTTGATTATTCCACGATTTCAATCACTTTCCCAAAACTTTGTCTTCCTTAATTTTCCTGTATCAACCAGATGAAGGTGTTCACAGAGGGATACTCAGAACAGTGTATTAACAATAGCTCTGTCTACGAGTTGGCCGTTAGACACACTTATAAGGGATGCTGATGTTCCAGGGAAGGATCCTGTGCTAACTGATAGGTGCCAAGCGTTCTGGTTTTCACTCTGCCTTACTGGGCCTCTCAAGTTCACAAGTGTTCTCAGAACAAATCCTTCAAGAGCCAATCCTTCAAGATGGATCCCAAGTACCTAACTGGGCCAAAATTTTAAAGAGAGCCAAGTGGCCAGGCCATTTGCTGACTAGAACTCATATACTCGGAGTTTCCCTGGAAACCCCCAACCTCAGTTTAACAGTGGGGCTTTCAGAGCTCACCTAAAGCAGCCAATCAGAGCTCATCTGAAAGAACCAATTAGGGCTCAGTTCTAACCACTAATCAGAATGCAGCTGCATCAACCAAACAGAACTAAGCAAATTTAAAGCCTTCATTTTCATAAAATGGACCTGATTGGCAACCTGAGCATGAACTTTTACTATAAAACCAGGATCCTCCCTTTGTTCTCTGGAAAGTAACTGGTTTACACAGAAAGTTTGTGAACTGTTCCTGAATGAAGTCTTTCTTCCAAATTTCTTTTCAGAGAACTTTTGTTCACAGATCCATGCCAGGGCAGCTATGCTTTTATTCGATTCACCCAATGGGGCACATGCCAGCTAAATTAGGCCCCTCCCCCGAAATCTAGCCCAAGATAATGAAATGTGGAGATTAACTTAAAATTAATTATGGGGCGGGGGCAGGTGTGGTGGCTCACACCTGTAATCCCAGCACTTTGTGGGATCCCAAAGGAGCCCAAGGCAAGCAGATTGCTTGAGCCCAGGAGCTTGAGACCAGCTTGAGCAACATAGTGAAACCCCCTCTCTACAAAGAATTTTTAAAAATTAGTTGGGCATAGTGGTTTGCGCCAGTGATCCCACTGGGGTGGTCCCAGGAAGCTGAGGTGGGAGGATCTCTTGAACCTGGGCTGGTTGAGGTTGCAGTGAGCCAAGATGGCACCACTGCACTACAGCTTGAGTGACAGAATGAGACCATGTCTCAAAACTAAAAATAAAATTAATTATGGGGGTAAAGATATCATCATATCAAACAGTAAACTCCATGAAAAGACTGAAATCAACCTGCTCCCCTGGCAAAACTCTAAATGACAGGCAGGAATAGTGGCGCGGTTTGTATTTTGTGAGCTCTGTCCTTTCTACTTCAAAAAGGATTTCCAGTGACAATAGATATGACTTAAAATACCAAAAGGATCAATATTCTAGAGAGTTGGCACATGAAATAGAGAGGGCTGACTTAAGAGGGCTGATTCTCGCTCCCTAATTAGTCCACACCCTTTGAGTGGGCCAATAGAATACAGCAAAGGTGATGGAATGGACGTGGTTATGTATGTGATGGACATGTCCATGATTGCCTGCACGGGATTGCATACATGAGATGGTAGGATGTGTCTTGTTGGAGTCTCTTGTTGCTGGCTTTGGCAAAGGAAGCAGAAATGCATGGACCACCTCTGTGGACATAGTCAAGTGGCAAGGAATTGCAGGTGACCTCTAGGATCTGAGGGCAGCTCCCCCACCCCGCCCCACAGCATAGCTAGAAATAAACTGAAGCCCTCCATTCTACAGCTGCAAAGAACCGAATTTTGCAAACAACCTAGGTGAGCTTGGAAGCAGGGTCTTTCCCACGGAGCCTCAGTGGAGACCACAGCCTGGGCTGACATCTTGATTGAAGCCTTGTGAGATCCCCCCAAGCAGGGGACCCAGGTAAGCTGTGTACAGGCTGCTGACCCACAGGAACTGTGAAATAATAATGTGTTACTATAAGCCTCCAAGTTTGTGGTAACTTGTTAATGTTGCAATAGAAAAGGAATATAGTGAGCTATGGGGAAATGAAAGCTCCAGAAAAGGTATAGGTGCATTGAGATAAACAGATGGTTAATTAAGTCAACATCACTGTGCTATAGGGAAACACAGTTTTGATTTTATCTTGGGGTCTTTGACTTTCTTCTCTGTGTTCACATAGCATTTTTTAACATGCTACTTCTCACATGGTAACTATTTTAGTGTCTGTTTCACCAAACTAAGTTTCTTAATAATAGCAACCTTAGCATGGAAAAGAGGATGGAATTTAATGACAACAAAAAAAATATTCCTATAAGTACTACTAGAAAATAAGTTGCTTTGGCTTAATGGAACTAAAGTGTTTTCCCTTTAAATATTCTTTCTGGGTCCACTCGTAGAGCTGTGAAGTCCATTACGAAAGCCTACGTACCTGCGGCTATTGAGGCCTTGAAATGTGGCTGGTCTGAACTGAGATGTGCTGTAAGTATAAAATATACACTGGATTTCAAAGATTGAGTATGAAAAAAATGTAAAATCAGTTGGTAATTTTACATTGATTATAGTTTGAAATGATAATAGTTTAGATAGATTGGGTTAGATAAAACCTATTATTAAAATGAATTCCACCTGTTTAATTTTACCTTTTTTAACATGGCTCATAAAAAGTGGAAACTTACCTATGTTGACAGTGTTGCGTGTCTAACAACAGGTGATCTAAATGGTCGGGTCCTGGCTGAGCCACAACTACAGTCACTTGGGCATTGGGACCCAGCATTTTCCATGGCAGGTCACCATCATGCCAGAAGAGCTGTTTCTGAAGCGAAGAAGCATCAATTCAATACAAATCCAGCAACAGCTGTCCATTCAACATCCCAACCTACATTTTTCTCTCTCAACCTTACATATGTTCTACCATGGTTTAGGTGGATACCAGAGTCCTGATCTTTCAGGTGTATTTCTGATCTTAAATATCAATTTTGCCCTATCATTCTGATGAAATACACATCTGATGAAATTTTTGAATAAGAACATATATGCTTACTTTTCTATGTCGTAGAGCATATTGGGTTTTTAATAATCTATAAATGAGTTAATTCTATTTTTTCTCTCTTTTTAGCTCCAGGCATTTTTTTAAAGTTTTAATTTTAAAAAGGCACAGAGAAACCTAGATTTTGGAGGCCCAATTCATATTGCATTTCTTGCAGAAAGCCTTTTTATACTAGTATAACCAGGAGATATTACACTCAAGCTGCTGTGAACAATTAACTTTCTGGCAGGTTACACATGACCATTATCACCGTCCTCTAAGGACCATAATGTCAAAAACAGTGGACTTCGGCCGCCAGCAGAAACTTGTTCTAGATATAACAGCTGCCCAGCACTACCGATTATGAGACACACCAATCAGAGCGTGGTTACTAAACAGCTGGGTACTGCTGGTGGTCTCTCCCCAGGCTCTCCAGGGAGCACTACAGGACTTCCCCACAGGCCCACATTCACCCAACATGGCCTTGAGCTGCCGAGGGACACCACCAATGATGGCAGTACAGACTCATCATTAGGAGTTTGCCAGGGGCCAGTTTTAGTTCTTCTCTTCCTAGGATAATTCACCCATTATCTAGAACTAACCTGATTAAAATAATGCTAGTGCCTCTGTCCATTTTCTTGATATTAATAATGGTAGGGATGAATAAACCTTCATGTCAATTAAATGTAGAAAACAGAAATGAATTCTTCCTGAGGTCCAGCTTAGTCATGTGTATGACAGTAAAAGATTTGCCTTCTAATAAGGGCAATATATTGAGTCCTACAATGTATCTCAACTCTGAAACTAATTTTCAATTAGGATATACTTCCCAATTTCCTGAAAAGCATGCATATGTCAGAAAGGTTCCCAGTATAAAAGTGTATTTTCCCAGATGGCTCATGATGGACCACATGCTCAGCTTGGAGAGAAAGAGGAAATTTACAAAAGCATAAAACGTGGTTCTGTTTTTCTCAGGGACCTTAGTTAAGGCAGAAAAATAAACTCATACAGCAACTGCAAATGAAAGAACTTCGTACCCACACACCCAAACACCAGGATTGGTGCATTAGTCTCCTAAGAGCCCTTCTTGCCCCCAGATCTGTTTCCCTTAGGTCATTCTCAGAACTGCCAAGTGAATTATTATTTAAAGTGTGAGTCATCTTTTTACTCCTCTGTATTACATCCTTCAGTGTTTCCAGGAAATGCCTTCAGGATAATGCCCAAGCTCCCCTTGAGGGATCAGATTCCAGACTATCTTGCTGGTCTGGTGTCTGGTCCCCTGCTTTGCCTTTTATGCTACCCAAAACCCCACTGTGAGTGGTGCCCTGGACATATCCCTCCTGGTTCACTCCTACTTATCCTTTAAGATACAGCTCAGGACACAAAACCATCCTCCCACTCTCATGAGGTACTGAGGAGTTCCCCTCTGCTGCACTCTCTCCAGGGAGATATCCACTCAAGATACAATCAATTACCTGGGTGTCTCCTTTTATACTGAGTTCATGAGGGCTCGGGACACAGCAGGTACTCAATAAATATTGGTTAAATTAACTTAGGAAATGCAGAGGAACCCTCCTTAAAGTTACTAATGACCACAATACTGCCAGCGTTTTTCTATATATTGTTTTCTTTATAACATTTGAACTTCCTTGGAATTCTCTCCTTCCTAAGGGTGGCTTTTTTTTTTTTTTTTTTGAGACAGGGTCTTGCTCTGTCACCCAGGCTGGAGTGCAGCGGTGCTATCACCACTGCACTGCAGCGTCAACCTGACCTCCTGGGCTCAAGTGATCCCCGCTTCAGCCTTCTGAGTAACTGGGACTACAAGCACACCACCATGCCTAGTTAATTTTTGTATTTTTTATAGAGGGAGGGTTTCACTATGTTGCCCAGGCTTGTCTCAAACTCCTGGGCTCAAGCAATCCACCTGCCTCCGCCTCCCAAAGTGCTGGGATTACAGACAAGAACCACCATGCCTGGCCTTGATATCTTCTTGATATTGACTCTCAACTCTCTGTCTCTTCACTCCATAAAAGAGCCTTTTCTTCCATATTTGCCTTTTCTTTTTTCTTTTTCTTTTCTCTTTTTTCTTTCTGAAGTAGAGACAGGGTCTCACTCTGTTGGCCAGGCTGGAGTGCAGTGGTGTGATCATAGCTCACTGCTGCCTTGAACTCCTGGGCTCAAGCAAACTTTCTGCCTCAGTTTCCCAAGTAGCTGGGACTATATGCATGTGCCACCATACCTGCACATTTGATTTTTGAATGCCAGTGATACCCAAGTCTCTACCTTCTGCTTCTCATTCTACCATCTGTCTCTTTTTTGTGACCTCATGTATGCCCCTAGCTTCAACAGCCACTTATGTATTGGCTCTCAGATCTCAATATCTATCCCAGACCTCTCTGTTGAGCTCCAAACTTATATATCCAATTGCCAACAGTAGGCATTCACATGGGTAGGCACTGCATACCTACCTGAGGAACCCTAATAAAAACCCAAGTTCATCCACACGAACTTGAATGGCTCAGAGACCCTTAAATTCAATATGTCCAGAACAATTCATTATCCCTGTGTCAGGGGTCCCTAAGATCACCCTTAAGCTTGATGAACTCACATGAACTAGAAAGACTCACAGGACTCAGAAAAGCTGTTATACTTATGGTCATGATTTATTACCGCAAAAGGTTACAGATTAAAATCAGCAAAGGGGCAGGCACCTGAGCAAAGTCTTGGAAAAAGCAAGCACAAACTTCCAGGTATCCTCTCCCAGTGGAGTCACAGCAATATGTGACAATACATGTGAAGTGTTGCCACAGAAGTTCACCCAAGACTTGGTGCTCAGGATTTTTATTGTTTTTATTGGGGGTCATCAGGTAGGTATGCAGTGCCTACCCAGGTGACTGATCTCAGCTACTCAGACTCCAGCCCACAGGCAAAAAAGGCATTCACCATAAATCACATTGTTAGGATAAACTTACCTAGTCACACCGGTACAGCATGGCCCGAGGCCTCAGGCATGCAAAATCACTCTTAGCAGGCAGAATGTGTAAGACTCAGAGGTCATTTTCCAGTCCTGAAGACAGACCTTTGCTGGGTTAACACACAGGCAACCCAGGTCTGCTGACTAGACTATTTCCTGCTCAATCCCCTAAAGCTGTTCTTCTGTAAGCCCTTTCATCCACCGCTATCTGAGCCAGAGATTGTTTTACTTAACACCGACATCCAATCAGAGTCTACCTGTAGGAACATGCATTCCTCTCAATCACTTCTTGCTTGGATTACTGCAACCTGGTATCATCTCCACTTTGCTTTCTTTTCAGCAGTTCTCCATATGGAATTAGAATTGTGATAAATGCTATGACAGAAGGATATGCAGTTAAAGCATTTGTAATAAATGCTTTAATAGAGGTATACTCACAATGCTATGACAAGGAGAGAGAGGGAACACTCTGGGTCACAGTTGTGCTTGACCAAGCACATCACTAAGCCTTCAGGGTAAGTTCAAAACTTCTTGAATCTGAGACCCTTTTAACCTGGCTCCTCTCTACCCCTCCCACTGTTCTCCCACACCACTTTGTTCTTACAAAGCTATTTGTAATTTCCCTGGAGGTCATTTGGTTTCATACCTCTGATCTTGTATGTTCTGTTCCCTCTTCAATACTTAACTCAAGCATCCTCTCTGACCTCCTATTCCGCAGGCTAAACATGCTTCTCCCCCTCTTCCCTGCCTCAGAGCCCTCCAAAACCTTTATTGGAGCACTTACTCAGGTGCCTTAAGTGGCCCATTGGCTTGTTTGCCGCAGTAGTTTGTTAGTTTCTGAGGGCAATGGCCAAGTCACCTTCCATGTTAGAATCCCAGCACCTAGCATAGCAATCCTAATAAGTACTCAATAAACATTTGCTGAATGAATAAAAGGGAGAAAGTTCAATTCTGAGAGCAGAGTTGTGACTGCCTCCCCACAGAGTCAGAAAAAGCTTTATAGATGTAAGAACCATTTAAGTTGATATTGAAGGAAAATAAAATTTCATCAATTTTTTATTTGCACATAACCAAAATTGTATTGAAAAACACCAAAATAGGAGATCACTGCTGCATACCTTACAAAATCAAACACACTTACTTATCTTGGTAGATGAACCAGAATTACTGAACTTATGATAAGCCTTTCTGGGACATAACAAATTCAGGATGTTGTGTGGATCATTAGTGTTGCTTTCTTTTAAATGAACACTCTTCTGTGAGCTTGGTGTTTCATCCTGTAGGCTGGCACAACACTGTTGAAGAACCTACACAAAGATCCACTGTCTGAGTGTAACTGCCAAATGGGTTCATTTTGCCCACTGCCTATATAGAACCAATTTATCAAGACAGAGGCACTGCAACACAGAAAGAGTTTAATTCACACAGAGGCAGCTGAACAGGATACTGGAGTCTTATTTTTACTCAAATCAGCATCCCTGAAAATTTGGAGGCTAGGGTTTTTCAAGGATGGTTTGGCAGGCAAGGGAATGGGTGCTGCTGATTGGTTGGGGGTGCAATCAGAGGGGTGTGCAGAATTTGCTTCTTGGTGGGGCCACAGGACTGGTTGGCAGGTCCAAGTGGAGCCATGGTAGTCAGAAATACAAAAGCCTGAAAAGACATCTCAGAAGACCAATCTTAGGTTCTACAATAGTGATGTTATCTGCAGGAGTAATTGGGGGAAGTTGCAAATCTTGTGACCTCCAGAATAATGGCTTGTAATTGTTTAGGTCTACCCCTTAGCAGAGTTCGTGCTCCTCTCATCCACCTAGCCTGGTGGTCTTTCATTTGCTTTACAAAGGTGGTTTAGTTTTGGGGAAGGGCTGTTATCATTTAAACTATAAATTTCTCCCAAAGTTAGCTTGGCCCAAGCCCAGGAATGACTAAGGCAGTCCGGAGGTTCAAGGCAAGATGGGAGTTGGTTAGATCAGATAGATCCCTTTCACTGTCATTGTTTTTTAATTGTTATGATTTTTGCAAAGATGGTTTCATGGGCATGGCTGAAAAACATGGTAATCTTGTGGCAACTAGGACATGTTATATCCACAAAGTAAGAATTTGAACTTTTCACTGGCCATTTCTTTTCTTTTCCTTTTCCAAGGATGGATGCAGTAAATCTCTAGCCAAAGGCCATGTTGATCATTTCTCAAGCTCAGTCCGTCCAGACCTGTCGGGCAACACCCCTAGTCAGCGGCATGCAATCAGGCACTTGCAAGTTCATCAGATTCAGTAGAAAATATGCTACAAAATGATTCCTGGTGTTCACATGTCCTCTTCACCATGTGTTAGCTATGTGGCGCTGGGCAAGTTTACCTTTCTTTGCATCAGTTTTCTCATCTATAAAGTGAGTATAACAGTAGCTTCTGCACAGAGAGTTGTTGGGAAAAGTCAAAGAAATGGCTTATTAAGGCTTAGTATGGTGCCTGCCACAGCAAGGGCTTGATGTATTTTTGATGGTTGTTTTTAATTTTTAAAGTTTCTGTCCCTCAAATAATAATGTTACAGATGTATAGAATCAGGAAAGCTGGCATGGAATTTTGAGAGGCTATCAGCAGTCAGCATATGTTAAGTGGAGGGACAAAAGGTGATCTTTTTCATCAGCTCTGCTTTAACACAAATACATATATCCCTAAAAACCATGTTTTGCAGAATTACAGTAAAAATCACAAGACCTATGGGGAAAATGGAGTTAGGTGCACAGCATTAAAAAATTTCATCAGGGCTGGGCATGGTGGCTCACGCCTGTAATCCCAGCACTTTGGGAGGCCGAGGTGGGTGAATCACGAGATCAGGAGATCAAGACCATCCTGGATAACACGGTGAAACCCTGTCTCTACTAAAAATACAAAAAAATAGCCAGGTGTGATGGTGGGCACCTGTAGTCCCAGTACTAGGGAGGCTAAGGCAGGAGAATGGCATGAACCCAGGAGGCGGAGCTTTCAGTAAGCCAAGATCACGCCACTGCACTCTGGCCTGGGTGACAGAGCGAGACTCCATCTCAAAAAAAAAAAGTCATCCCTGACTCATTAAAAAATATCCTAATAAAAAATGGTAGCAGAGTTTTATACATGTTAAGTGGTTAAGAAATGCATAAACAATACCATAAACATGATACTTTACCTTGAAAAAAACTGGAAGTTAGCTTGTGGAAGTAGGGGTTGGAAGGGTTGCAGCTTGTATGTTGTGAAGTGGTAGAAGGAGAGTTGTCTGAAATCCCAGGGGAAAATTATAATGTCAGATAGGGATGAGTATTGTTTATAACATATGTGGGAAACTGAGATAGATGGTAGTGTTAGTGGTGGTGAATATCCAAATTACCGATGGGTCTGCAGCAACCTAAATTCTTGCTTCTTCAGAAGAAAGAACTCGACAGAGGGGCTTAAGGCAGAAAAAGAGACTGAGGCAAGTTTCAGAGCAGGAGTGGAAGTGTATTAAAAAGCTTTAGAGCAGGAAAGAAAGGAAAGTACACATGGAAGGACACAAGCAGGCGACTTGAAGGATAAGTGCGACATTTGACCTTTTGACTTGGGGTTGAATATGCTGGCATACTTCCGGGGTCTTGCATCCCTTTTCCCATAATTCTTCCCTGAGGGTGGGCTCCTTGCATGCACAGTGCCCTCCTTGTGCTTGGGAGGTGAGCATGCACAGTGTGTTTAGGAAGTTGTAGCATGCTCACCTGAGGCTTTCTTCCCTCTTCTAGTGAAATGCCCCCGGGAGGCCATACTCCACCATTTTGTCTCTTCATGCATATGTTCAAGCTCACTCACCCAATTCCTGAGATTTTATTGGAAGCTGATTACCAATTTCAAGTGTTTTTAATCTGTTTGGGAAATTGCCTCTCCCTGGTGCCTGCAATCAATTATCATGTTAGTATGACAACTGTGAACCATCAGGAAATTGCCTCTCCTAGGCCTGGCTGCCAATGATCATTTTTAGAGAGGCAGTGTGATAACTGCCATACCATTATCTGATGGTTGCCTGACCATCCTGGTGGGTGGTGGGGGAGCCCTCTCCTGCCCTGCTCATGCCTACCTATCTACTGTAACAGTAGACATTTGAGATGTATATTTGTTTTGTGTGTTACTGTTTAGTTTGGATCAGCTGGGCACAGTTTTCTGCATTCACTTAGTGTTTCTCACTAACAGAATCACACATAAGCAAACACAAATTTTGCATTATGCTCAAATTGTTCCCTAATATGTCAACTGCATTGAGACAAACTTGTCCTTTTTTACATGGTGTTTATGAGTGTTATAGGAAAGCTGACTATATTAGGTTAGACCACAACTTGATTCCATCTTTTAGAAACTATACCTGAGGCATGAATTAAAGGAAGAAGCTTTGTAGGGATTAGGGTTTGTGAACCCAAAAATATCTGAGATAGGTATCAATTTAGAAAGTTTATTTTGCCAAAGTTAAGGACAGGCCCATGACATAGCTTCAGGAGGTCCTGATGACATGTGCCCAAAGTGGTCTGGGTGTGACTTGCTTTTACACTTTTTAAGAAGACATAATACATTCAATCAATACCTGTAAGATGTACATTGGTTCAATCTGGAAAGGTGGGACAACTTGAAGCAGTGGCTTCCAGGTTAGAGGTAGATTTAAAAATTTTCTGATTGGCAATTTGTTGAATGAGTTAGTTTATTTTATTCTATTTTATTTTATTTTTGAGACGGAGTCTCTCTGTCACCCAGGCTGGAGTGCAATGGCGCGATCTCAGCTCACTGCAACGTCCGCCTCCTGGGTTCAAGCGATTCTCCTGCCTCAGCCTCCTGAGTAGCTGAGATTACAGGCACGCAACACCATGCCCAGCTAATTTTTGTATTTTTTTTAGTAGAGATGGAGTTTCACCATGTTGGTCAGGCTGGTCTCAAACTCCTGACATCGTGATCCACCCACCTCAGCCTCCCGAAGTGCTAGGATTACAGGCGTGAGCCACCACGCCTAGCCTGAATGAGTTATTATCTAAAGACTTGGAATCAGTACAAAGAAATGTATGGGTTATGATGATAAGCGGCTGTGGAAACCAAAGTTTTATCATAGAGCCTCCAGGTAACAGCCTTCAGGGAGCATAGGTTGTAAATGTCTCTTATAAGACTTAAGGTCTGTGTTGATATTAATGCTGGTTAACTTTTCCTGAATTCCAAGAGGAAGGAGGGTATAATCAGGCATGTCTCACCCTTCCTTCCCATCGTGGCCTGAACTAGTTTTTCAGGTTAACTTTGGAATGCCCTTGGCTGAGAGAAGGGACCCAAATAGTTGGGGGGCCTTAGGATTTTATTTTGGGTTTACAGGTTCAACAATCAAAACTCAAGTCAGAGTTATGCTTACTTGGACAGGGCTTCCATTATACACAGGGTGATCATTTGTCCCAATTTCCACTGTGGTACAGGCCTAATCATGAATAGCTCCCCATTTCACTATCAAAAGTTTGAGTCAACAGGAATGTGCACCTCCAGATTTTGGGAAACCACACCACAAGCAACTGTGTCTCTGATGTACACCCCTTTCTGGCCCTCACTGCCAAGGCCAGAACCTGCCTCTGAGATTTACCATAGTCTTTTCGTTCCTTATCAAAGAATTTCAATTAAAAGCATTTATGAGGCCAGGCGTGGCAGCACATGCCTGTAATCCCAGCACTTTGGGAGGCTGAGGCAGGCAGATCACTTGAGGTCAGGAGTTTGAGACCAGCCTTGCCAACATGGAGAAACCCTGTATCTACTAAAAATACAAAAATTAGCTGGGCATGGTGGTGCATGCATGAAATCCCAGTTACTTGGGAGGCTGAGGCAGAAGAATTGCTTGAACACCGGAGGCAGAGGTTGCAGTAAGCTGAGATCACGCCGCTGCACTCCAGCCTGGGCAACAGAGTAAGACTCTGTCTCAACAACAACAAAAAGCATTTATGAGTTGTTTCCTCAGATATTTGCCCTTGATAAAAATGAAGACAAGTGCTTTGGAAATAAAAAGGCAATGTGATTTTTAAAATTCCAGTTAAAATTTTTCATGGTTTAAGATCAAAATAGCTTCTTTAGAACATATGTACCAAGGCTTTGTGTGGCTAGTTGTTGGATTTCTAGTTTTCTTTGGGGCATTAACACAGAATCTGAAAAACTATTTGTTTGGAAAAGTTTAATTTCACTGAGATCTAATTTATAGAGATTTTCCTTATTTATTTATTTTTTATTTATTTATTTTTGAGACGAAGTCTTGCTCTTGTCCCCCAGGCTGGAGTACAATGGCGTGATCTAGGCTCACTGCAACCTACCCCTCCCGGGTTCAAGCAATTCTTCTGCCTCAGCCTCCCGAGTTGCTGGGATTACAGGCGCCTGCCACCACGCCCGGCTAATTTTTGTATTTTTAGTAGAGATGGGGTTTCACCATGTTGGCCAGGCTGGTTTCAAACTCCTGACCTCAGGTGATCTGCCTGCATTGGTCTCTCAAAGTGTTGGGATTACAGCCGTGAGCCACCACACCCAGCCTTCCTTATTATTTAATACCTCTTTGCTTAAAAGGAATAACATTACAAAACCAAATCAACTAGTTATTAAGGTAAAAGATTTTCAAGATAAAAGAAACTAAAAGTGGCTAGAAATTAAATTGATATTCCACAAAAGCTTTATACTATTGGGTGACTATTTGAAAATTGCATTTCGTTGAGCCTCTTCACTAATTAAAAATGTGAAATACAAGTTTAGTTTGAAATAATAGTTCTGGGCTGAGAATTACAGAAGAAAAAAATCTCAAGGTAGGGTAAATAAATTACAGCATGTTTTAGTCAAGTAAAAACTATACTTACAGGTTAACAAAACCAGCCATAGTAGTCATGGCTAAGCACTAGCAGTCTAATCCTAGGGAACTCAGCTGTCTGATCCTATGCCTGGCTGGGATGAACAATTGACCACCTCGGTTTAGACATCATACATAATAGAAAATTGGATCCAAAAGCCAGAATGGAGGGTAGGTTCTTGTTATCAGTTTTAGGGTTCTAGGGAATATGCAAATGTTTACTTTTTTCTAATGAGTACACTGGGCTGGGGTATGGTTTGGTTTAATAGAACACTGTAAAAAGGAATGAAACTGTCATGACAGACCAGAAACAAGAAAATCTATCTAAATGCAGATGCAACAGAGAAACTAGAAAATATCCAGCTGCCCTACATCAGCCGTTTTCCTTCTAAAACTGAGTAAAAATATTCCTGTTAATTCTACTACTTTATTTTTCATGATAAAATGTCTGCAAAAGGTGACTGAACCTTTTGGACAAAATGAAGTATTTCTGGTCACTGTGACTGTAGCTACAGTTGGGACACGGCACACAAACTGCCAAGAGTGAACAAAATGGCAGGGCAGAAAAATACAGGCTGGCCAGAGGCGGTGGCTCACGTCTGTAATCCCAACCCTTTGGGAGGCCAAGGGGGGCGGATCACTTGAGCCTGGGAGTTCGAGACCAGCCTGTCCAACATGGTGAGACCCCATCTCTATAAAAAATACAAAAAACTAGCCAGGTGTAGTGGCGCACATCTGTAGTCCCAGCTACTTGGAAGCCTGTGGTAGGACTGCCTGAGCCCGGGAGAGCAAGGCTGCAGTGAGGCAAGATGGCACCACTGCACTCCAGCCTGGGTGACACTGTCACACACACACACACACAAATTGCAGGTGATCTAGACATATCTTCAGATTACTCAATGGCCTTTAGAGTATCATAAACTACTAAATTAGCTATTTCAATGAAATCCTTAGTATCTTAATTGCAGAAAGGTAGTGGTCCAACCCTGAATAGATCTGCCATGGTAACCAATCACAAAAAAATGAGGCCAAGTCTTGAACATGGACCAAATGATCACTACTTTTGATGTAGATTATAGGTGGCAGCTAATGGGTGAATAATTTCACTTAGAAAGCCCTACAAGCAGGCACTGCAGCAGTGTGGGAAAAGGTGGAAATTTAGCAAACCTAAGATATGGGTTAAAGTCTGGTCTTATCACTTAACAGCAGTTATGTGACCTTGGGTTCATTATTTAACACTTGAGTCTGTTATCAACTCTAAAAATAGGAAGGTTAAGATTCCCTGACAGTTGAAAAATAAAAGTGTTCTGTGCACTGTAAGATACTTTAATAACTAAATGAGTAAAACTACCATTTGAACATTCAGAAACTTGTATTATAAAAAGGTTAGAAAGTGTGAGGAGCTTTAAAATACATTCCTTCCAAAAATTAAGAATATTTGCTTTAATAATCAGCAATAAACCCCTTGCAGAGTAATATGCATGGACGAAATACCTAGCATCAACTACATTTGATAGCAGATTGTAAGTGCTCACCAAATAGCTACATGTTCTATACCTCCCAGTCTTGTTTGCAGTGAGGCTGTAGGTGGAAGGCATGTCTCTTTCAGGTCTGGCCCTTAAAAATATCCTACACCATCTGCTAGTCTGCTCGCTCTGATTTGGCGATGTTGGAGACCATGCGTCCAGATGGCATAGCTAAAAATGGAGGATTGCCCAGTTGACACTGGACATTTCATGAGCATAAATTTTATTACGCCACACCGACTTAATGTTTAATTGCAGCATAACCTACTCTATCATGATACTCTATATGCAAGGAATTGAGATAGGGTTGGAAGTACACATGCATAGATTCATGACAAGGTTCTTACCCTCTTGAGAAAGAGGAGTTTTAGGATTCTAACCCCAAACTTATAGTCCATTCATTCCAGTAAAAAAATGTGTTGTTTCATCAGTGTATTTCTCATCAACAAATATTATGTGCTGTTAAGCATTATACTAGGTACATGTATTTCTGAAGCTCAAATATATGAATGAGGTGGATCTTTATCAGGAGCTTCATATGTCACTGACATTACAGTACTTCCTGAGCTCTCAGGAATCCATTATTTGTAAATGTTCAAAAAAACCTCAACCAGTCATTTGATTTCATATAAATCAAATAATTTAATCAATATCCACCCACTCTAATTTACATCCAGCTTGAAAAACACTGTATTTAGAAAAAGGATTAGAGTGAGCAATTTCATTATCCTTATCTGCATGGACCAAGTCTTTGGGAATGCTTTTTCTACTAGATAATAATACACGCTCTTGAGGAGAGAAAATCCTACACTGCTTTGCAGGTCAACATTTTGATTGTAGAAAACAAAATCTAGCAAACAATCATCTGTTACATAGTACTTCACAAAGGAAATAATGCTAAGACTTATAAATGGAAGCCTAGCCACGTTACTGTTAAAAAACAAATGTGGCCTGGAGCAGACCCATCAGTCCATGTTTTATGAACAGACTGAATGTGTCCGTAGCATCCACCATTGTTTATTACAATGTAGGTTTAATAGTTGGCCTTCCACTCAGCTCAGATTCCTAATAGCAGGCAGCGTGCTTATCTGTCTTCATATCACCAAGGATTGGAAAGCAGTAGTAAGCCTTGACATACAGCAGGTACTTAATAAATGCTTACCAAAAGACTGAAAAAGGACAAAAATAGGGAAAAGTATATTTACTAGACTTCCATAATCCATACTTACTTTAAATTCAATCTAGAAATAACATGACTCATATTAGGCAATATACTTTGAAGATCTGTACAACATAGTAATCACAGCAGGGTCTTGCTAACTCACAAATTTAGCATACATGCTGCAAAAACCTCTCTCCTGGAGTCCCAAGGGCTTTCAAATGTTCCACCAGGGGCAGTCAAGACTAGATTCACGGTGCTCTCTTCATCATGCGCACAAAATGTGTTTTCCCATAACACCATATTATCACAAGTCTATGAACAATTCTGGTTAGCTAAGGTAGGCAGTATAGAACTCTTTACAAATAACAGTATTTCAATTATGCCATGTAAGTAAACAATTTGCTGTGAACTGTCCTGTGTATCTAATCATTTAATACATTGCTTCTATAAGAAAATACTATTTGTTAAATTTTAGTCATAATTTCATTGTTTCTCATCATAGACTGCAGATGCAAACATTTAATGGTGAACAAAATGTTTATCTCAATTTTTCTTTGACATTTTTATGCTTTGAAAATTCAGAATGGATAAAAACAAATGAAGTACAAAATATTTCAGATTTACATAGTGATAAACAAGAAAGCACTTATCAGGAGGACTTACAAATGGAAGTACACTCTAGAACCATCATCTATCATGGCTAAATGTGAGATTAGCACAGCTGTATTATTTGTACATTGCAAACACCTAGAAAGAGATGGGAAACAAAATCCCAGGAGTTTTGTGTGTGGAGTCCTGGGTTTTCCAACAGACATCATTCCAGCATTCTGAGATTAGGGTGATTGGGGATCATTCTGGAGTTGGAATGTTCAACAAAAGTGATGTTGTTAGGTAAAATGTACAACTTCTGGATCTATGCAGACATTGAAGGTGCAATGAGTCTGGCTTTTACTCTGCTGTTTCTTTCACACTTTAGATTTTAAAAGTACGTCTCAAGGAATCTTTCTTTCCAATTTGAGAACTCAACTCACTTTAAAATGGAAACACGCAACAAAAAACAGATGCTGCTTTCTAGAACTCCATTGTCATGAAATATAATATTTGCTAAAATAAGAGATTTACTTTAAAAATTAGAGTGCTTATTTCTTGCAAAGTACACCATGGAAAACCCTCGGGGGAAAATTGTTGCCAAATGTATCCATTAACTGTATTTAAAATTTCTGATTGCCTTTTTGACCATGTTATTGCTAAATAGCAAAACAAACAAAAACAAAAACAACAAAAATCCTATATCCCAGCTAGATTTCTTCCTTTAGCATATGGTAGTGTCTTCGATATTTTGTACAATGTGTAGTATTTTAAATAGTAAAGAAGTGACCATGCATCAAGCTGAAGGTAGTGACTAATGCTCAAGAGCTAGCTCTTTAAAACTATAAATATGGTTACTATGAGTATATCCACTAATGTCTCATAAGACACTCTTAATGATATCCTATCAGCCCTGAAAAAATGGCTGCTGCTATGCAACTCCAAAGAGTTACATAGTTACGTATAGTGAATGGACAACACAAATAGGTGGGTTTTTTTTGTTTTTTAATAATATGAATTTAAAATAGCCACAAACAGGGTGAGTGCATGTAAGCGGCTGAACTGCCAGTACAGGGGAAGGTAAATGGGCCTAAACTATGATACCTAGCAAGGGTTGGATCTGTGCAGGCTTCTATGTACAGAGACAAGCAGGGTTAGGCACTTAAAGCTTTTTGATGAAAATCCTGGGAAAGAGCTGAGCCTACATTTATTATTATTACTATCAAAACAACAACATACTTTTCATGAAGAAACATGCAATCAGAAACATTACAGAGACTGAAGAGAGCTTAAGAGTTTTCTGAAAATGAAATGACATGTTTTTCCAGAGTATCATCTCAATTATAAAATTTGATGGTTTTATATTATCATATTTCTTCAGTGGTAAATACCTCATTAAAAAATTATTAAAAAATTATTGACAATACAAAGCCCTAGTTAGTATACAGATATTACTATACTGGTACCCATCTTGTAAGGAAAATATCACCATCTAGATATCTTAAATATCTTCTATCATCCAATATCTTAAACCAATTTCTTAAATTGTTTTATTCAAAGGTACTTTTGTCGTCTTGCCCCTATTCTTCTATCATCAATAGTCCTTTTAAAAATTATAATATTCTACATATACAAAATAAAAATCTAATGTCATAAAAATCTCAAAAATGTAATGTTAGTAGTGTTGATTATCTAAAGAACTCAGCTTCATGGAATACCTTTCAATATTTATTGCCCAGATGTATTAAAGAGAATTCTTAAATGTAATGCATCAATGGTCCTAATACATCTGTAAACAGAATACCACTAAAAAAATTTTACTGGCATGAAATACTATACTTATGGTTGTGTGAAACTTTTAAATCTTAAAGCCTCTTAACATAATCATGTGTATCTATGTACAAAACATACATAAATTTCACTTTATTTAAAACATATGAAAGAGGTAATTTCAAACCACACTAAACATAATAAATATAGAACTCGCTTTGTTAAAAATCTACAGTATACATTCAAGTAAAGGCTAAACTTCCAATGCCAACTATATTTGAGACAAAATTAAACATTTACAATAATCAGTTTCCTAAAAGTGCTATTTTTAATACCTATAAGAGGAAACTCAGTCTAGTGCTTTTGTTTCCATCCAAACATCTATACATTCCTTTATTCACAGAACCAGATGCTTCTGTTACTAAAAATACATATCCAAAGCTTTTATATCCTTTTAAATAGATTTAAGATTTCAACTCTTTGGGGGAAGACAGGGAAGTCCAAACAAACAACTCAGACCATCTTAAGTTATTAGAGATAACTGACTTTATGACACACCCTGTTTCAACTTAGATGTGAAACTTGATGAACACATTAATGAAAAAAATTCCAGTCCACATGTCTAAGGTAAGTCATCTTTTTCTACATGAGAATTTGTGTAGCTCAAGGAGCATCCACTATAGCAACCTTCCTGTGATCCAGGTCTTGATGCCACACTCCATTTTTGATTTGTACATTCTCCTCCAACCTGATTTGGTTTAATTTCTTCAGCAGTTATATTCAGTACATTGATTGAACTGTTGGGAAAAGAAAGGCAGATCTTAGTGACTATCCTCTCCTTCTTTTGTACTTTAACCTCATAATGTGGCACTCTTCAAAAAAAATAAGTTCCTTTTAATTCTAAAAATCTAGGCCAAAAATATAATTTAAAATTTTACTTGGAAAAAAAAAACGGCTGGGAGCAGTAGCTCACACTTGTAATCCTAGCACTTTGGGAGGCTGAGGCAGCCGAACTGCTTGAGCCCAGGAATTCAGGACTAGCCTGAGTAACATGGTGAAACCCTGTCTCTACAAAAAATTAGCTGGGAGTAGTAGTGCATGCCTAGTTTAATCATTTGTACAAGGGATTCTGATGACCAAATTACTATAAATTTATTTACCAATACTTATAGTAATTCGGTCATCAGAATCCCTGTACAAATGATCAAACTAAGTTTTTTAGGTAACTTACGCACAAGTCTCCTTGCCTGGAATCTAAGGCACAGCCTTTATATAAAATTCCATTCTACAGTGAAGGAACAATGAGGATGTTGTAGAAATTAGCTACAAATACTCCTAATTATTTTGTTGCAATATTAATATAAACCGAGATCCAAAATGCTTCAGGAGCAAGAGAACCAAGTTTATCAAATAATTTAAAATGTGAAGAACCAAGTCAGGCTGCACAGCTTCTCTATTAGTTATAAAACTTTTTTCTGTTTGTTTTATTCTTAGAGGCTAGTTAACAATGAATACCTTGAATTTCTTTAAGCTCCAAAATTGTTTCTATGCCACGGATGTTGTTTAGTGGAGCACTCAGAAACAAAAAAAGCATGTTTATATTTGTTTACATATATTTTTATTTTTATAGTCTGTCACTAAATGTTTTTAAGTGCTTTACATACATTAACATTTAACTTGCAACACCCTATGATTTAGGTACTAAATGCTGAACTTTATTAAACATAAAACAATGTCTTCAAGAAATGTTTATGTCAAATATTTCACAACTAAAAATGATGTAAAAAGCTAAATATTTAAAATATATAAAAACAATTGAGACAACTATGTTATGCTATCTCTTAGATATAAAATGCATTATTTGTGAATGGTGGCTAGAATTTGTGTCTATATCTATACAGATAGTTCTGACTGGTCAAATTTAGAAGTTTGAATAACATTCTATGTAAGAAAATACTATAAGCTTACACATTATCTTTTGATTGTAAAATAAATAAACTTTCACTTCCCATATTCAACTCATCTACTGGTCTAACTTCAAAATAGATCCCAAATCCAAGCATTTCTTCCTTCATATTATGACCCTAGTCCAATTACCATTGTCTTTCGTTTCCACTCCAATAGTGCCTCCTAACTGGATTTCCTGGTTTATATTACAGACTCCTACAATCTGTTTTCAATATTATAAAACAGTAATCTTTTTAAAACTTAAGACTTTTTTTCACTCTCTTGCTTAAAACTAGTGTTTTTTCTATTCCCCTTAGAACAATATTTGACCTGCAAATGCACACTAAAATATTCTGTAAATGAAATCCCAGATGTGTTGGGGCTGGGGTGGAGAGAGCAAGCAGAGTGGGATTATATATGAACAATATTGATCAGAGTTAATAATTGCTGAACCTGAGTCATAGGTACACGTGGGTTCACGATCTTATCCTCTCTGTATATTTGAACTTTTACATCTCTCCATCCTCATCTCACACCTCTAGGTCTTGGTCACCATTGCAAATGTATGAGGTGTGTCCCACCCTCAGGGTTCCTACACTTGGCTAGAGTGCTCTTACCTAGCTCTTTTTCATCCCCTCTAACATTTACTTGGAGTCCTAATCCCCCCACCTCTTAAAAGTCAACTACAACTTATAGTGTGTTCTCCTCCTTCTTTTAAAAGCTTCCTTTCTTGTTTTAAACTCCATCTATTTCATAATTCTTGGCCCAAGGGCCAGCTGGCTTCTTCGACACTTAGTTCCACTCCAGTCTCTAACACAGGCCGAGTTTGCTTCAGCTCTGACTGTTTTCCAAGGCCATTATCTCCTACTTTTAATTAAGAGCAAAGAGATTACCACCATACTTTCCAACTTACCCCTCTGATCTTTTCTATTCCTCTCTGTCTTACTAGGAATGTTCTACCTGCTTCCTCTTCTTCGTTTAAAACTAATCTTGGAATTGGCACTGAAGCAGAGTATTGATCTTATCTTAGAAAATGATATAATAACTTGAGATACAGGAAAACACCAAAATGTAGCAATTAAGAGCAACATATGGGTTTCCCAGGGTGGAGAGCCATGTTTTTTTACACTGTCATCCTTGGGCACAAATCTTTTTCACTCAACAGGAACAGGCTTTTCTCAGTTCTTTGCCCTTCAACAACAATAAAATGGGCATGCCGGAAAAAAGTGTTAAGATATGTACTCTACAAAAACTGTCAAAACAATATCCTTCCATTTAATACAATTAAAGTGCTTAAAATATTAACTCCTATAATTAAGACTACATTCTAAATTGTATCTTAAATGTGAAATAAAAAGACACACATCATATGATTTACCTCCAAGAAGACAACAGATCTACCTGTTCACTAGTGTATTTCCAGCATCTAGCACAGTGTCTATATATACTGGACACTCAATATTTGTAGAATGAATAAATCATCTACTAAATTCCTCTCCAAAATCTCTATTGTTGCTAATACTACAGACATGCCACCTTTCCCTTAGCAGTGCAACTTTAGCAATTTTTAGAAACACGTGAAAAGATCACCTATAGACAAATACCTATGTTCAGATATGCAGGAACGTGTCTGGCAAAAGTCTGAAGTGGAAGGTGAAGCAGGAAGAGATTTAGTAAGTTTAGACATGCAAACTGGAGACCCATTAGACACACTGTGAGGCTTCTTTTGCGGCTGCCTCGAGTGCACTATAAGATTGTCCCAATCAGAACCTGTTGTAAAACAAGTAAGAGAAAAAGGCAGTACATATGGTGAGGCATTAAATATAGTGAAGGTAAATCATCAGGATGATTCATCTGCGGTTCTGAGTGAGGAAAGAGATGGAACAAATTCAAATTAATTATCATTAATCTTGCTTATCTTTGTTGCATAGTCCACCCATGTTTAAAAGGATCTTTTTTTTTTTTGAGATGGAGTCTTGCTCTGTCACCCAGGCTGGAGTGCAGTGATGCGATCTTGCCTCACTGCAAGCTCCACCTCCTGGGTTCACGCCATTCTCCTTCCTCAGCCTCCCGAGTAGCTGGGACTACAGGGGCCCGCCACCATGCCTGGCTAATTTTTTTGTATTTTTAGTACAGACGGGGTTTCACTGTGTTAGCCAGGATGGTCTCGATCTCCTGACTTCGTGATCCACCTGCCTCGGCCTCCCAAAGTGCTGGGATTACAGGCGTGAGCCACCGTGCCCAGCCAAAAGGATCTAGTTTTAAAAATATTTCTAGGCTGGGTGGGGTGGCTCACACCTGTAATCCTAGCACTTTGGGAAGGTGAGGCGGAATGACTGCTTAAGCCAGGAGTTTGAGACCAGCCTGGGTAGTATAGCGAGGGCTTGTCTCTACAAAAAAGTTTTTAAAATTATCTGGGTATGGTGGTGTGTGCCTATAGTCTCAGCTACTCAGGAGGCTGAGGCAAGGAGGATTGCCTGAGCCCAGGACGCTGAGGCTGCAGAGAGCCGAGATGCACTCCAGCCTGGGTGACAGAGCAAGACTACATCTTGAAAAAAGAAATTCTCAATGTAAATTTTCAAAAACTTCGCATTATTACAAACTCACAACAAAAGTTACTTTGGGCATGCACAGTCCCCCTCTCATCCTCACTTTCACTACAGTAAATAAAATATTAAAGTTGATTTTTAGGCCAGGCGCAGTGGCTCATGCCTAATCCCAGCACTTTGGGAGGCTGAGATGGGTGGATCACCTGAGGTCAGGAGTTCAAGAACAGCCTGGCCAATATGGTAAAAACCCGTCTCTACTAAAAATACAAAAATTAGCCAGGCGTGGTGGCACATGCCTGTAATCCCAGCTACTCAGGAGGCTGAGACAAGATAATCGCGTGAAGCTGGGAGGCAGAGGTTGCAGTCAGCCAAGGTCACGTCACTGCACTCCAACCTGGGCGACAGAGCAAGACTCCGTCTCAAAAACAAACAAAAAAAAGTTGACTTTTAGTTATAATTAGAGAGCTCTAATTGGTGATTTCCAAAGTTTTGTATTAATAATATGTAGTATTTTGTAATATGTAAATAATTTTATTTATATGCATGTTCAAATTAAAGAGTTTATAAAGTACTCACTTCCTGAGAAGGCACTGAAAAGTTTCACATTTTCTGAGTTCTGGTGGTCAAAGGTAGTCATATTTAGAAACTGCTGCTTTAACCAACTGGCTCTTTCTTCTTCAAATGCCTTTCTCTACCATAAACAGCCAAAGAAATAATGATCAATATTTCAACATCCACACAGTTGCCATTTCACATGATTGCTCTAGCTATCTTTGTTTGCTCTCTGGCTATCTATTCGTACTTCTTATGTCAAATGAGTTAACCTAAAAAACTAAAAATAATTTCAGCACTCGTCTGTAATCCCAGTATTTTGGGAGGCTGAGGGTTGGTGGAGCACTTGAACTGAGGAGTTCCAAACCAGCCTAGGCAACACGGCAAAACCCTGTCTCTACACGAAATACAAACATCAGCTGGGCATGGTGGCACAGGACTACAGTCTCAGCTACTTTGGAGGCTGAGGAGGGAGGATGGCTAGAGGCTGGGAAGTTGACGCTGAAGTGAGCCGAGATAGCACCACTGCACTCTAGCCTAGGTGACACGGCAAGACCGTATCTCCAAAAAAAAAAAAAAAAAAAAAAAAAAAGCCGGGCGCAGTGGCTCATGCCTGTAATCCCAGCACTTTGGGAGGACAAGGTGGGCGGATCACAAGGTCAGGAGTTTGAGACCAGTCTGGCCAACATGGTGAAACCCCATCTCTACTAAAAATACAAAATTTAGCCGGGCATGGTGGCGTGCGCCTGTAGTCCCAGCTACTCAGGAGGCTGAGGCAGGAGAATCACATGAACCCAGGAGGCAGGGGTTGCAGTGAGCTGAGATCGCACCCCTGCACTCCTGCCTGGGCAACAAAGCAAGGCTCCATCTCAAAAAGCAAAACACGGCCGGGCACGGTGGCTCACGCCTGTAATCCCAGCACTTCGGGAGGCCAAGGCGGGTGGATCACGAGGTCAGGAGATCGAGACCATCCTGGCTAACATGGTGAAACCCCGTCTCTACTAAAAATACAAAACAAAAAAAATTAGCCGGGTGTGGTGGCGGGTGCCTGTAGTCCCAGCTACTCAGGAGGCTGAGGCAGGAGAATGGCATGAACCCAGGAGGCAGAGCCTGCAGTGAGCCAAGATCACGCCACTGCACTCTAGCCTGGGCAACAGAGTGAGACTCCATCTCAAAAAAAAACAAAAACAAAAAAACTAAGAAAAATTTCACTTACGAAAAAATTATGTTTAAAAAATAGAAATTCATCTGTTTCACCTAATAAACCAACCATCACTGTCTTCATATCAATTTTAAGTTCAAATAAACAATGCAAAAAATGGAACAGAATATTAGCATAACTTTTGAACATACAAAACATTATAAAGTTACAAACAAAAGAAAAATAATCTATATTGTAAATTAGTCACTTGAAAAACAGGACCTATGACTTCATCAAGCATTTCTCTCATCCTCTAGCCATCTACCAGTACTGGTAGCCACCACCACTAAACCACAAGAGGGCATAGGCAAATTATGTCAAACCTCCCCCTTCTGAATAGCTGATGAATCCTAAACTAAATTCTCCATCAGCCCTCAGGTCTTGCATGCCTCCCTCCCATCCCTCACTATGCCCACTGTCCCAGTGACCAGACGGAGAAAAATTCTCTTGCAGGGAAAGGCACCTGGCAACTGGGAGCAATATGCAAAGTAGCAAGAGTAATTACTCTCTTGGAGTAATGTGGGGAATAAGGGCTTGGAAACAGGTAGGAGACAATGCTGGTCAAGTGTTGTTCCCTGAAGATAGCTACTGATGAAACAGACGTTCACACTGTGAACTGAGGAAATCCACGTCAGCTACTGAAAACAAGCAACACACAGTCTTTCATTCATAAATATTGATACAGAATCACGCATCACCAAACATTGAGAAAACTAATATAGAAAAAAGGTCAAGATAAATAGAAAACTGACCATGGATAAGAGATAATTCAACAGATGAAAGAAATCTTTTTTAAAAATGTAACAAATATTATCAGATTAATAAACATCTGTAAAATACCATCATGCTATATAAAGAAAAGCAAAAATTAAGGACATTAGAAAAATTTAAAGATAAATTCTGAAGCAAAGACTCAGTGGCTAAAGCAAATAATAAAACTGACCCTGAAAGGCCAGTTTCGTGATCTCTAAGATAAAGGTAAGAGAATATCCCAGAATTGAGAACAAAAGTCAACCTGTAGATATATATTCAGAAGGCCAAATGTGTGTCTAACAAAAGTTCCAGAACACAGAGAAGTCAAAGAAGGAAAAAATAAAGAAGAAAATTTCCCTAAATTAAAGAAATACAGAATCTTTAGGATGAAAGGAACTCTCTAGAAGTATCCTGGTAAAATTTCCAAACTTTAAGAAAATACCAAAGCTTCCACAGAGGGAGATAGAAAACAAAACACAGTTATCTACAAAGTAACACAGGTATATTACAATCAGGCTTCTCATCAGTAAAACTAAACACTAGGAGAAATGGAATAATTCAAAGTTTTGAAGGAAAAAAAACTGGAATCTAAATTCTATACACAGCCAAACCAATCAAGTATGAATATATTTTTGACTATTCCAGAATTCAGAATGTTTACAGCTCATGCACTATTTATAAAAAAAAAATTACTCAAGAATTAGTAATTACTCAATTACTAATATAGCGAATTGAACAGAAACCCAAGAAAGACAGTAACATGAGATATGAGCAACATGGCAGCTGAAATCTGATTCAGGAAATCACAAAGGAAGCTACAGAGAAAAAGAATTCACTAGATAGTGATATATCTCTCTGGGTGGCAAAGTCTTAATAATACAGAATATTTTCTGTGTCCAAACATATTTGGTTATAGAATAACATTTACATAATTGTAGTATTATCAATTTTCTTTCCTGGTTTTCCAACTTTTAAGTCTCAAGTTTAGACAAAGTACTTATACCTGGATTGTATTAGAGGACAAACTATGAATGTGATAACAATGAAAAATAATATCACAAAAATTGCAAAGTAGTACAGCAAGAGAGGTAGAACAAGAGTAACAACAAGAAAGTCCTCAGCTTTCACTGCAGGGATGAACTGATACTGACTGAAGTTGAACAAACATGAAATGGAAGCTTTTTATTATTTCCTTAAAGCAAAAAAAAGGCAAGCAGACGAACAAGAGGAACAATATTATGAAGACATGAGATGTGAATGAGGAAGGGTGTAGGTAGGAGGTACAATAAGGACACAGAATTCCTTATCTTTCATAGCAGGGAATCAATGAACTGATAAACAAGAAAACTTGAAATACATTAAAAGTTAAAATAGTACTTCCTAGAAGAATTTCCAACAGATACTTTTTAACAGCAGTTACCTCTAAGGAATGAAACTGAGGATGAGAAAGGAGGATACTTTCTTACTTTGTAGCTTTTTTTAATGAGTTTTGTTGATTTTTTTTTTTTAACCTTATTCAGACATTACTGCTACAATTTTTGAAGGGGGAATATGTAGATGACACATTGCTAAGTAAAAAAAGCAAGCTGTAGAGCGTATATATAACAATGATGGACTGGGGAGAAGAGAACTTAATTTTTTATTATACTTCCTTTTTAAACAGCAAATATAGTCTTGGTTGCACTGTCTTCTGACACCACACCTACTGACCGTGGATGAATGATGGATACCCAAAAGAGATTTCTTGTGTAAAACACTTAGCAGGAGAAAGCCAATCTGAAAGCAGTAATAAATGCTTATAGCGTTTTTTTTTCTTAAGTTCAATTCTCAAATCTGGTAAGGGGAAATGATCCCATTCTATATGCTCAGCCTCCCTCTCATTTCAAATTATTTGTGAGATCACCAGTAAATATTTTAGAAAATAAGTAAATAGCAAGAAAAAAAGGAGACCTTAGAAGCATTCTACTGAGGCCCACCCACCCCCAGTATTTTCAAAAGCACTACAATTGTTTAAAATACCTCCAATCCCAGGCGAATAGCGGCTTCTGTAAAGCTTCGTCTCTCCCTCTCAAAATTCTTTTTCTGCTCTTTAAAAAGGGACCATTCTTCTTTGAGACGTTCCTTTTCTTCCAACAAATAACAGTCTCGTAATAGTGAAGTGGTATCATCATCATATGCAGTAGCGAGCTGCTGCTATTAAAATTTAAAACATAGTAAGTTCCTGAGGGACCTTGCGACACTCCAACGAGTTGAAATGAAAGCAAGGGAAGGCCAGTCAAACTTCAGGGCAGGAATAGAAATTATTAAGAATCAAAAAGTCAAATGAGAATTCTCATTTCCCGAAACCTACTACCCCAACTAGCAAAGTATGGACTATTTAAGGAGTGGTACACAATGTATCTGTTAGCAGGGAACACAGACTAGAAATCTGTCAAATACCAGGGCCTTATGAAATAAAGGAATACAAATCTGGTAAGGTTCAGCACAATTCTGGCTTTTCATGGAGAACAGCTTTAAAAGGTAATTCATATTCACCTGTAAAAGCTGTTGCTGAGTTTTAATCATTTCTTTACACTGCTGAATTTCTAACTCGAGTTTTTCAGTTTCTTGTTCATGGTCTTGTCGTGAGATTACATCTTCATCATTAAAACCTTCCAGGTGTACCTTTGAAACTAAGACAAAATCAGTAAGTTGACATAGGTCTTATAGCCACCACTTAGTTTACAGTGTTTTGCACATATCTTTAAAACAAGGGCTCTCAGAACTTTTATCTTTCTAGAATTTTATAGGTTTTCTAAAAAGTAGTTACGTCCTTTGACTTTTTAAAATTTCATAAGCTATAACAAAATTAAATTTATATTATTTTAACATTATAAAAAATGTTTAAGCAAAGCAACTACAGGAGTTCATGACGACAATTACACATTTGTGCAATTTTAAGACTAAATGATATGCTTACAAACAGAGCTCTATTGCCAACAATTTGTAATCCATATTTATTCATGATTATGTCCTAATTAAAAACAGACAAAATGGCCATATTCAGAGAAGAGAAAAATAAAATCATGTTTTTGTTGACACTGCTTCAAAGATCAATGAAGTGTCACAAATCTTGCTCTCAAATATTAAATTCAACAAATACGAAGTCCAAACATACTTGCTATTTGATAATAAACAGCATTGACTCAAATGAACAAAATCTCATGTAGATTCATTTTGGTGCTGTAATAATAATTTTGCTGATTGCTCTTTACTAATACTTAACACAATGGCACTGAGTTCATATTTTGACAATTTAAATTTTTCTTTAAATAGGCTTCATTTACTGAGCAGAAATCTTCATTTTCCTAGTTTAAAAGCATTCAAACTTTACCAAGCAGAAAATATTAAGAATATATTCATCAATGTAGAGCTATGTATAAGGATAATAGTTAAGTGAAAAAAGCACACTAAAGAAAAATATAGGTAATATTCAATTTTTAAAATTTAAAAAAAAGTAAGTATCTTTCAAATCCATAGAGGAAAGTATAGAAAAATATGCACCAAACTGTTAAGTGTTATATGTATGGAATAGAGACCAGGATATTCTACTTTATATACTTCCAAATTAATATTTTGCATTAAACATCTATTATTTTAAAAATAATTTTAAGTGAATTACTAGGAACATAGTAATCTGCAAGCATCTAGAAATAAGCAAAATGTTCCTATCTATACTACGATAAATATTTCTTGATTTTTGAGAGTCAGTAAAAGAGACTCAGTTTTCTCTTTTTGGGGGGGAACAGGTGGTGTTTGGTTACATGAATAAGATCTTTAGTGGTGATTTCTGAGATTTTGGTGCACCCATCACCCAAGCAGTGTACACTACACCCAATGTGTAGTCTTTTATCCCAACTCAGTTATCTTTATTTGATTGTATACTGCATCCAGAGCAGATGGATCCATGATGTCCTCTTTTCAAACATTCACTCTGAGACCAAAGTGTATTTTTCTCAGTGAGGTTCAAACCTCACATCTAAATGTATGTAAAATGTCGGCTGTGCACAGTGGCTCACACGTGTAATCCAGACACTCTGGGGAGGCCAAGGCAGGTGAATCACTTGAGGCCAGGAGTTCAAGATAAGCCTGGCCAACACAGCAAAACCCCATCTCTACTAAAAACACACCAAAAAATTAGCTGGCTATGATGTGCGCCTATAGTCCTAGCTGCTCAGCAGGCTGAGGCAGGAGAAATAACTTGAACCTGGGAGGCGGAGGTTACAGTGAGCCGAGATGGCACCACTACACTCTAGCCTGGGTGACCGAGCAAGGTTCTGTCTCAAAAAGTAAAATAAAATAAAATAAAATGAAAAAATAAATGTATGCAAAATCTTGCTTTCAAACCACCAAACTGAAGTATAGTACTTTAGCTCTGAGCCTATAATGCGGCTTTCTAAGTGACTAAAAATCAACACCTTACCAAATGTCACAACTCACTTTACATGCATAGAAGCAGTGGTTACCTTGGTTATCAAGCTTTTCTACATGACTTTTCAAAATTCTCCACTGTTTTCTGATGCTGTTTGTAAGCTGCTCTCTCACAGTTTCACAGGAAAGGTCCCACATACTCTCTCTGCTTAGTTCCCCGGCATCTTCTTCAACATCGGAAATAACCTACAAGCGGAGAGAGATGAAGAGGAAAGGCTAGTACCTTACAATGGCTTTAGATGCTCAGGCAAGTAGTCTTCAGTTTGATTACCAGAGGAAGCCACATCAAAATCATTTCTGTGCTGTGTCTTATGCATATATGGCCCAGTATTTAAATGTCTTGAGAAAAAAAATGAGACTCCTAAATTCAGCTCTCTCTAAACCTGAATTTGAATCCAAATACAGTTAATGACAAGAGTCATGAAGCTGTCTGAGAAGGAGATATCACTACCTGTCTAATGTGTTGGATGTTTTCACGTTATTTAACCCTCAGCTCATTACAATGTGGGAAAACCGAGGTTTAGAGAAGCAGCATTACAACTAAGAGGCAGAACTGATATTTGACATTAGATCAACTTGTTTCTAATCCTAGGCTGCTTAAAGAAATGCACTTGTGAAATAATCTCTGAAGTATTTAATAAAAGCAACTGTTAATTCTATTTTCCTCATATACTTTTTTATATAACGGGAGATACTTTTCTTTGTATTCTGCCAAACATGAAATCATAAAGAAGTAGCAAACTTTACTGATATATGATCACACAGAATCAAAGCAGGATAAAGAACATGGGGAAACAATACTAAAAGGGATATATGTCATAATAACCCACATCTACATAAAGTAGTTCTAATTTGTCATTAATATTCAGGAAGGCAGAGAGATATACTTCACTAATTTGAACAATAAAAATCTTGCTGGGGAAAAAAGAAAGATAAAAGATGAAAAGAAAGAAGGGCTGATTCGACTGCTCGCACATGGAGATCAGCAGGATGAGGGAGCAACTGAGTCTGAAGAACTCTATCAGTAGTTGAGGTCAGCAATGGGCTAGCAGAGGTCAGGGTCTCTGAGGCGGAGCAGACAGGGGAATGGCCCAGGATCCGGCTCATGGTGATTCTAGCCCCTGCCAATACTCAAAAGCTACTTGCCAGTAACTCTTCCAAGGAAGCACAGCTTCTCTTCTGAACATTTTAAAGCCTATTAGAATACTACCAATCTGTTAGAAAAATTATTGGCCGGGCGCGGTGGCTCATGCCTGTATGTAATCCCAGCACTTTGGGAGGCAGAGGTGGGTGGATCATGAGGTCAAGAGATCGAAACCATCCTGTCCAACATGGTGAAACCCTGTCTCTACTAAAAATACAAAAATTAGTTGGGCGTGGTGGTGCATGCCTGTACTTCCAGCTACTCAGGAGGCTGAGGCAGGAGAATCACTTGAACCCGGGAGGCAGAGGTTGCAGTGAGCTGAGATGTCACCACAGCACTCTAGCCTGGCGACAGAGTGAGACTCCATCTCAAAAAAAAAAAAAAGAAAGAAAAATGAATAATTATTGCACATTTCTCAGATTGAACAGAACTCTCTAACCACAAAATGAAAATAAAAAATTCGGCTGGGCACAGTGGCTCATGTCTGTAATCCCAACACTTTGTGAGGCCAAGGTGGGATGACTGTTTAAGCCCAGGAGTTCGAGACCAGCCTGGGCAACAAGACCCTGCCTCTAAAAAACCAAAAAACAAAACAACAAACTCATTTTACCTGAATTTTCGGTATATGTTTTACAAGTAAGTAGGTCAAATAATAAATGAAATGTGGATGCTACCTAGGCATTCCAACATTACATCTTATTTCTCTTGCTATAATGCTTCAAAAATCTTTCCCTACAAAAATTAAAGAGAAAAGGGAGCTAGAAAAATGGATCTTTTAAAACTAGAATATATATTTAAGAGGTCATTGTTCATCCACTTAAACATGTGAATTATGAAGAATTATACAGGATACTACCCACTGGCTGAGTAATGGGGGTGAGGAGGGTTTAATCACTGAAGAAAGATCTCCCTGACTTACCACATACTTTTGCTAACTGAAATCTGATGATGAGACGTTAAGGTTGGACCAAAAACTGAAGATGCTGCAGTAGTAATGGACACTATGCTAACCTTGAAGAAGTATTAGTGAATGCTAAGAACTGACTAGAAGTGACAGAGTTTGAGATAAGAGGTTAACTACATATAAGAGGTCAAGCAGGCCTCAAAATGGAGAATGTAAAAGATATTCGGGAATTTGAGACCAGCCTGACCAACATGGAGAAACCCCGTCTCTACTAAAAATACAAAATTGGCCGTGGGTGGTGGTGCATGCCTGTAATCCCAGCTACTCTGGAGGCTGAGGCAGGAGAATTGCTTGAACCCGAGAGGCAGAGATTGCAGTGAGGTGAGATGGTGCCACTGGACTCCAGCCTGGGCAACAAGAGCAAAACTCTCTCTCAAAAAGGCCAGACGCAGTGGCTGACGCCTGTAATCCTAGCACTTTGGGAGGCTGAGGCAGGCGGATCACGAGGTCAGGAGATTGAGACCATCCTGGCTAACATGGTAAAACCCCGTCTCTACTAAAATACAAAAAAAAAAAAAAAAAAAAAATTAGCCGGGCATGGTGGCGGCTGCCTATAGTCCCAGCTACTCAGGAGGTTGAGGCAGAGGAATCACTTGAACTCGGGAGGCAGAGGTTGCAGCGAGTCGAGATTGTGCCACTGCGCTCCAGCCTGGCAACAGAGCAAGACTCCGTCTCTTAAAAAAAAAAAAAAAAAAAAAATTTAGGTAATTTTTTTTTTTAAATGTTAAGGAGAAAAAAAGGTAAGTGCTGGGATGGGCTTATCAGCTGGACTGATTTGTGATACCACAAAATAAATAATCCTCAAATACAGGTTTAAAAAACAAGTTCTGGTATCTTGCTGTTAACTAGCATTTTCCATCAACATTATTTTCAGATTTTTATCACTAATGTGAACTTGCTGAAACCTACGATTTTAACTTATACGTAAAGCAATTAAGTAAAATGAACTTTTCACCATTATGTGATTTTTTTTTCAGATCTCTGCATATATTACTCCCATTCTCTGGAATGCTTTCTCCATGTTTTTTTTTTTAACCTCAAAAATACTTATTTTCTAAGAAGCAGTGAAAATGTCACTTTCTCTGTGATGCCTTGATTGCCATAACTATTCTGTTCTGCACATTGTACCACCTTATTACAGCACCTAACACATGTAATAATCACTTCTCCACGTCTGTCTTTCCCAAAAAGAGCTTCTTGAGGGAAAAAGTCAAAATCTTTTTAGCCTTTCCTTTCCAGAGACTAGAACATAAAGAACACCCAATAAATTTATATTTGTTTCCCAAAGTTAACAGAAGTTTCACTCTGTGAAAAGTAGAGTACATAATACTAAAACAACTGAAAGGATATTTGACATAGTGGTTATGATTGTGAGCTCTGGAGTGAGAAACTTGGATTCAAATCCTAGCACTGTCATGTGTGATACTGGGCTACTAAATATTATGCCTTAGTTTCCTTATCTATAAAATGGGGATATTTATAGTATCTAAATCATCAAATTATAATATATGAAATAATCTCATATGTTATGAGGAATATTATAAAATGAGACAATGCTTATAAAGCACTTCTTAACAGTGCTTGACATGTATTAATTCCCCGGAAAATCATCTCCAGCATTTTTCAGGAAATGTCTGAAAACACATAGGAACAGTCTTTTCAGTTGTCACAGTAATTGAAAGTAGCATAGCAGTTGAGTGTCCTATTCAAAATACCAATAGTGTCCCCATTGAGAATGCCTACCACATATTTTAATTATTCTTATTAGCAATCTGAAGACTGTATTAGAGAGGAAAGAGCCACTTACAGTTCCTGTACTATCATCTACTCTTTCTCTAGGTTTCTTCTTTTGGGGAGAAAGAAGAGAAATCATTTCCTTTTTCATTTGTTGAAGAACCTTCTTAAGTTCTGCATTTTCCATTAGGATTTGTTTCTGACGATATTCATAATCATTCAAGAGAATTTTATACATTTCATCTTCATTCCTGAGAAAGAAACTGTCAGTATGAAAATGCAGGATAGAAGGAAGTCTGATTACATTTATCAATTTAAACTGGACTTTACCTGGCTTCAGTTTTACCAGTCCTCCAGGAGCCTCTTTTTCCATCAGCTCTCCCGACATAATTCAAAATGTCCATAGCTACAAACATGAACACATAAAATTAATTCTTACCATACATGCTTAAGCATCTAAAACTCTAATGCATTCTATACACGTAAGTGGTGAAAGTGAACCTGGTATATAGGTTAGGATTTGGGCTTAAACAGCCTAATTTTCGAGTTTCTAGTTCCACCACTTGTAAGCAATGAGATCTCGGCACATTATTTAACTGCTTAGCCTGTTTCTTCTTGGACACTGGGAATAACAAAAGTATCTACCAAAGAGTTGTTGAGAAGACAAAGAAATAACTATTAAAGCACCCAACACAGTAGAGTGAACACAGTATCTGGCGCACAGTAAGTACTTAATAAATGTTACCTTATCATTATTAATTTCATTATCAGGGTTGCCTGATAATGGCCCACAGGCTGGCTGCCTGATTTTGTAAATAAAGCTTTATGGGAACACAGCCACATCTACTTGTTTATATACTGCCTATGGCTACTTTTCTTGTTACAATGGCAGAGATAAGTAGGTGCAACAAATAAGTTGTAGATCCCATAAAGCTGAAAATGTTTACTATATGGATCTATACAGAAAAAGTTTGCCATGTCCTGTTAACATTAACATCATCATTTTCATCAAAGGAGTCAAAGCCCCTGATAGTAGTAATATCTTCTGCTGCAGGTGGACATGGAAACATTTGGCGTAAAAAGGAAAAAGAGTAAATTATTATAATCTTAGAGTTAATAAAATCATTATGAAACTGTCACTTCCGATTGGACCAGGAAACAGCCAGACCGCTATAATGGAAGAGCTCTGTTTCCAGAACTAAATCCTTAATAAACTTCTCTGTGTTACACTTTATACTTTCAGCATTTCATCCTGCTTTTTAATTTTTTTCCTTCATGAATGAATATGAGGCTAACTAAACTTAAAAACCAATGATTCTCCAAATGAGTAAGATTAACTCAGGATACCTAAAGATTTCCAATCTTAACGGCGCATTACTGAATCTTCATTTCTATTTTTCAACAATTTAAAAAATAAAGTATTCAGATACCTCCAACAGCTCTGCTGCAGAATGACAGTGATGTAGTCAACACTAAACTGCTTGCTGACAGCAGGCAGAGTCTACCACATGACAGCCTGAAACGTACGCTCATCGCCTGTTTTTCAAATCTAAGGTAAGACAGTTTAGGGGTGTCACGGTATAATGTATGTTAGAGGACTACCTATAGTCACTAGGAAACCACTCTTCAATAAATAAATACACACACTTCTTGTGCCTCGTATTTATACCAGGCCAGCAAAACTGTATTGTAAAGCTCTACTTTCGTGTTTCTTTGCTTTTTAATTTACACTATCTACTTGAAATTATCCACATATTTGGATGAAATGGCTTAAAGTTTTGAAAAAGACTACTATTAGGAAAAAAGTATACCTTAGACACACACACGCCTAACTTTTATAGTCCATCCTTTTGACTAGCTGCTCCAAAAATGTACAGCTAAACTTATTTAAAGGAACTCAAACTGACATGAACGATTTGGTCTGATGAAAAATTTTATGAGGTTTACTCTAAAATACTTCTTTTGATACTCAGAAACTGACACTGATTTTTAATATTATCAGTTCTTTGCTATGGAAAATTAGAATGTCCTCTGGCTTAGTTTTCCTCTATGGATTAATTCTACACTGGTCATGTTAAAAAATACATGCAATTAAATAAAGCAAGGCAGAATGACTTACTTTCCACTAACCAGTTGTCTACATTTTTTATATAAACAAACACCACTGAAAATCAATTGTATAAAGCATGAAAATAACATTTCGTGAGTTACTGTGTTCAATCCTTTTACAATTATTTCTAAGCATAGTATTAGCTTATTTATTCTCTTAGCTGATCTTTGCCAGCTGTTTACCTATTTTCTTATCTTTCTTGTTCATAACAAGTTGATGTAGACGTTCCTTCAGTTTATTATATTCACGCTCTTTTCTCTTCATATCATGATTATACTGAGTAGCTCGACTTGCAATGATATTTTGTAATTTTTGCACCTGAAAAAGGCATTTGCTATTATAAGCCCAGTAACGATTCACAAATTTGAAAGAGAAAAATCCTAAAATTCATCTCCCCATATAGGTTTTAAAATCCTAGGATGATTCTTCCTTATTTGTAACCAGTAGAAACCACTTTTTTAAATATTATATGAATCACATAAAGTTTTTTTAATTCTGAAATTTCCAGAAGCGCTAATTTTCTAAATTATCTCCTATACCTTTTACCTTACATATAGACTCTGATCATTTAAAAACCAGATATTCTTATGGAAGTATTAAAACGATTAAAACTTCATCTGAGATAAACAGAATTCATCTGATCATTTTTAGTGAACTCCTTGTATTACTGACTTACAATCACTTATACTTTTTATTAATCTGTGACAAAGTGAATTAAGCCTGTGACACATGGCAGCAGGTAAGCAGGCTCGTTTTTCTAATTAAAAACAATTCTCGAGTAAGAGTAAGTCCAAACAGCAGAATAATCCAGTCCAAATATTTGCTGAGTATCTACTAGGTGCCAGACACTGCTGTTCAAAATTTAGATCTATTATAGTTTCTCAGGCAACTCCTGACAGAGTATGTCCTATTCTTTTATAAAGCCATTCCCAGTCCCTGCTAGGGATCAACATGATTAACTTAATCCCTACCGAAGATGAGCTGTATTCAAACCGTTTAAATATAATCAACAGATCTAGTCAAAATTGTCTGTGAACTCAAGGAAACACGTACAAGCAACCTTACAGTTTAAATACTAATTACCTACTACTTACTAAATATACTACTAAATAAACAAATATGGTAAAACAAATCTATCTAAACCACTCCAGGGCGCTTTAAAGAAATACACTCCTCAGAAGTCTTTAATTGTAGTTAAAACAACATATAAAACACTGAAACTAAGTATTATATTTTTATAGTTATTACATGGTCAGGGGTCATACTTTAGAGCAATAAAAACATAATAGTTTCTTTCTACACAAATTAAAAAATATATTTTGAAATGCATTAGTGCTATAGGTCCAAGTAACCACTAAAGTAGAAATTAGAATTCTGCTAAGTAACCACTAAAGCAGAAATCAGAATTGTATCTTTTGTGTCAGAAATTAGATTTTTAATGTGAACTGCTTCTGTGCCCATTTAATGAAGAAACTGGTTGACTAGACGAACAATGTCAATATTTAAGACAGTGCATGCAAGAAGGGGCACCTCAGCTATCACGTACAGGTACAGCAGAGAATAAAAGATCTGCATTTAAAGCACTCTTGTGCCTAAGAAAAAGTGACAGTGAACATGAGTCCAGGAAGGGCAGTCCAGGACACTGGCTGTTACCAGCTATGAACTAATATCTAAGCCAAATGGATCCACTGGGGGCGGGGTCTGTAGTGGAGAGGGTTCCTGAGCTTCCAGTTAAATACTATTACACAAAGGTCCACCATATCAATTTGGGGAAAGATGAATAAATGGTTCTTTCTTTTTTCAAGTAAAGTGGCTCTTATGGTCATCTCATATTACAAAGAAAACAAAAATTCACTTAAACTTCATCTGCAATAACTGACAACTCACCTCATCTTTCTCATTCTTTAGTAGCTGATGCAAATTCCTGTTCTTACATTGTAACTGTCTGTCTCTTTCCTGAAGCCCAATCATTTCCCTCCTGGAGGTTTCCAGTTGTTCCTAAAACATTTATAAGCAATTTTGCTTAAAATTAATAAAGGATTTAGAATAACTGAATCCTTAAAATATCAGTAACAAGAAGTTATACATCCTAGTGTTTATTAGTCAAAATCAAATGTTAGTGGCACATGAAATGTTTATTTAAAGGAATTATTACAAAGCACACTATAAAATAACATTTAAACTTACACATCAAATTTTAATCTACATATCAAATTTTGTACACATATACAAAAGTGCTTCAAAATGGATCCCTGGAAAGAGCATCACTCCATGATGCTGCCCCTGAATATTTTTAAAGTTTATTTTTAATACTTTTTAACACTTCTATACCACACTTTTGAAGATCTCCTCAAGTACAGCAATGTCATCATCCTTCGAGAGTATACTTGGCTTTGAAAAAGAAGCAAAAGTGATTTGGAGCTAAGTCTGAAGAAAAAGATGGGTGACCAAGCAAAGTGGCAACACATCAAGTCACAGAAATGGGACTTCTGTGTGACACCACTTCTCCCTGCAAGTGGTAAAGTCTCTGAAGGTACTTCCCAGAGCGGAATGGCAGCAAAGCCAGAATTAGTATGAAACAAGATGCTCCTTTTCAACTTATCGCATCTGAGGAACTGTGCCGAGTTCTGCATGAGGCCACCCATATGGAATATTTTTAAAATTGTACTAATATTTTTATAAAATTCAAAAGCCAATCAAATTATGTCTTAACCGACCATAAATAATAACTTGCACAATTTCTGTAAGAACAGATCTCAAGAAGGTACAGAAAATGTAGGAGTATAACCTGGATAACTCTAAGGTTGTCAGTTTTTGGCAACCTTTTTTTTTGAATGTGTAAAACTTACTACTAGGGTAGATCAGTTGGCATGACATAACTTACAGGCACTAGGCCAGGTGATATGTAGCATATATGTCAAATCAGAAATTCACTCAGCATGATTATCAACACTTTACCTGAACTCAGCACCACCCCTGAACATCTGCACACACCCCTCCTTCCTTTCTTAGTGAATCACATCGCCATCCTCAGTAACTCAAGGCAGAAACCTGAATGGGGTCTTGAATCCATGACCCCTAGTCTCCAAATTCAATTTTTCATAAAATCCTACCCATTCTACTTCTTAAGTGTTCGTCAGATCTCAATCTTACTTACTATTCCCATTAGCACTACCTTAGTTCAAGTCCAAAACCTCAGCAAAGGGTCGCTAACAGGCATCTTTATCACCAGGGCTTTCTGAGCCCCCTAACTCCATCCCAAATACAAGTCTGCAATTCCCCTATAATTTCTCCACCCCACTGCCAGAATATTTACACATTGTCTTCCTCCTGTTTACAACTCCTCAGTGCTTCCCTGTTTTTGTACAATTCCTTTTACACCATCAGGAGATGAGGCTCCAGCCTTACCTCATACCACTCTTCATACCATCACATACCCATCGCAGCCCCAACAGAGATATTTGTGGTTCCTCTAAAGTGCAGTGATCTCTTATGCTGCTACGCATTTACACAAGTCATATACTCTGCCTAGAATGACATTTCCAAACACTAGCAAATTTCTACTCATTCTTCCAATCTCAGATCAGGTGTTACCTCTCCATGAAGCCTTCCCTTGCGTCCTACCCCAAGAACAATTAATGAAGCAAACAGTTATGTTTCAATATGTCTCCCTTCCCTGGACTGCAATCTCCTCGTGACCTAGGACTGGGGTTTCACTCATCTTTGAAACTCAGTGCCTAGCATATACTCAATAAATTTTGTTCAACAAGTTGGATTAATCATATGCTAGATCTAGAAACTTTTCCAGATAGATTGGCAACTTTCCCCACTGAATACACATTTCTGTCCATAGTTGACCCAAAATAACAAGATTCTGGCCCAGGTCAAATCCCATATTAGAAGACATCCTGAAGAAACAGTCTCTGCTCTGGGTAGTCCTAATAAATGGGACCACTCCTTGAAGTAAAGGCTCAATAGCCTCAGATCACCAACATATCATAATGATTTACTAGCTACTTATAAGACATGTGGCCAAGGGTTACAACTCTGCATCAGCCCAGTACTTAATAAGACCTTCCATAGGTCTCTCTGATCTGGATTAAAGTAGCATCCATAACTCATAACCTTTTCACAAGCCTAGGGGGCACCAAATACCCTCTCCAATCTACCACAGTTCCCCAGTCAGCCAAGACACATAGCTGGATCATCTTTATCCCTTAGGAATATAAGATGCACAAAAGCCTAAAAACATTATTAAGAGAAAACACACTTTTATCATTGTGTATGAACCAAGAAGACAACATAAGACAGCATTATCAATGACAGGATGGTAGGCACAGGTGCTCGTAAAGAGCAAAGATGTCTCTAAACCAATCCCCAAGTGTTTCTAGTGTTCCCATGTAGGCCAACTCTATGCCACATCATTACAGCACATTTCCTGCTAGGGGGTTTTTAAATATTCTATAGACAGGTCCTATTATTCCCTCACAGAGCTCAAAGATTCAAGATTCTGAGTGGGTTTTTTTTATTGTTTTCTTAGATGGCGTGGGGTGGGGGAGGATGTACACAAAGAAAAATAAGGAAAAGTAAACGGGCATGGACCAACAGATGAAAAACTAAAAGAAAGCTGATCATCTGACAGTATGCAAATGCAAAGGCTTTGATTTTCACAAATAACAAAACCCAATATAGAATTGTATATTTAGGAAAAAATTTGACTTGGATTGATTTATATTATACCCTTAATAATATACAACTATAAGTCCCAACCACCCCACGATTTTGAACACCTTGTTCCCTTCTCCTTGGATAAACATTTTAAAAATAAAAATGAAAACATAAAAGGAAGAAAAAGAAAGAAATCAAAATAGAAACCAGCATCAAATATTCTACATTTTAAAGTTAGTAGGTTCAATGGTCCTGTGAAAAATACTTCCTTTTTTTTTTTAAGAGAAAAGCAAGTTTACTAAAGCATTTTTCTATAGTCTTTTCCAGAGACCCAGGGCTTCTAAGGGAAGTTATCTAGTCTGATTTAATTATTGAGCCTTAGCTCATTTGGCATCACAGATGCCTCAATAATATTTTTCTTGGAATTAACCTGTGCAGCCTCTTACAATAAGACTTTTAAATGAAGCATATACTTTCTTAACCAAGATTGGATGGGGTGACAGAATTGTTATTTTATTTTCCCAGAGCATAAATATTTCCTAATCTAACTTTTTACAGATTCGGCAAGTCATTAAACAGCTCAAAAAATTAATGCCTTCAATATACTGTAGGTATTAGGAAGCAGATGTGTGTAAATTATAAGTTCACTTTTACTTACCTGTTTAAAAAGAAAACCCTAAAGCTTAAGAAAACCCTGAAATATTTAATAAAGTCAGTAAAAATTTATAGTACTCAATTATATAATTATGGCATTAAAATATGGATCTGCAATTTCTACCTTAAGTTTTGAGTAGCAGCTCTGTAGATGGTCCATATCACTTCCCAGCTTCAAATTCTGTGTCTCCACATTTTCCTGAGCTAGAAGGTTCTTCCGCTGAAGCACAAGCAGCTCATTCATACAATTTAGTACAGCTACTATATTTAACTCTCTCTTTGTCTCTTTACCTTTGGATTCTTCATATAATGAAGGAAAACCAAAAGTAGTCAATTCCTGGTAGGAGAAAATGTTTTCTTAAAGTTGGTTACAGTTGAGGAGATACTGGTCAGAGGATACAAACTTTCAGTTAGATAGGAAGAATAAGTTTAATAGATCTATTGTACAACACGGTGACCTCAGCTAATAACTACGTACTATATTCCTGAAATTGCTGAGCAAGTAAATTCTCACCACAAAAAATGATATAAGTATGGGAGGTATGCACACTGAGCCATTTCACAATGTGTATTATGAAACATCATGTTGAACATGACAAATATATATAATTTTTGTCAAAAATTAAAAATAAATGTGAATTATTTTAAAAGGTTGGTTACTGGGCAACTTAGTAAAAAAAAAATCAAAAGATAGAAATCTTTTCTTAGAAAAATAGAAAACTATCTTGAAATAGTTAAGAAAATGGTCAATATCCCAAAGGACAAAGAGTTAAGAGGACGGGGCTCTTTTAGTCTCTGCTATAAATCTGTGACATGGAGCAAGGCACTTGGGTTTCTGCATCCATAAAGTGATGGCTGGACTCTCAGTGGAGGAGCCCCTGGGACAATGAGGAGGCCAAGGTGCTCCACACAAAAAAGTTAGACTTGCTATCTCTAGATGAGATAATCACCAAGGTTCTCTGAAAATCTAAGTCTCAGGGGCACTACATAAACAACAAACTTGTGTTTGACAAATGTTTTTCTCATAATTTTGATACATTCTATTATATAACATGATTTATGCTACTGTTTTTTACAAAAACATGTTACCTGATCAAGATATGAGATACTCTGTTCAATATTATCTTCTGTGCAGAAGGCACTGAAAAAACTGTGCACATTTTTCGATAAAGGTATTGAAGAACATAGCACTTGCTGTGAGTATAAACTTGATGGAGACATCTTTGTTTCTGAGGTATATTGAGAGATAGTTTTGCTTTCTGAAAGAATAAAAGGCATCTATATAAATAATTTAGAAAAACGTATGTAAAGCTAACATAATCGCCATTACTAAAGACTTTGAATTACATATATACATATAAACATAGATATAATATATACATACATATTTTAAGGTATTTTCAAATTAGGGCAAAGCCTCTTTATGAAAATGATATACTTTTTTTTCCAAAAAGATACAAATACAGTGGTGTTCTCAGTAGACATGAAAATAAGTATTTTACAACGATTTGTCTCTCTTTAGTCACATCTTCAACATCTGCAGTAATTATTTTATATTTTCATTGAAAAATTCACCTTTACAGTTTCTGCTTTTGTTTACAATTATTTAGACTTAATTACCTGAAGACAGACCTGGATCTGTAACAGTCATCCAATCTCCCATAGCAATCTCTAGAGCCAGGATACCTGAGGAACTAGTTCAGCAGTTAAACATTTAGTCTAGCTGCTGTCACTCTTCTATGTAGGCATCTCCTTAAAAAGCAGATTATAGAATAATAGCATCTAATTTAAAATATGAAAGCCAATATAAACCCAATGCTTAAGAATTAGTTGTATGTGCTTCAAAACAGAAGGATTTTGCAATACCTATTCCCATGCACAGATATAGAACATGGTGTGTGTATATACATAGAAATATAAATAATATGTAAGGATCAAGGTTAAAGGCTTCCCAAGTTCTACTGAGGTATTCATATTACTTTATATACAAGATACATGGTACACGATTTGACTCAACATACATCTAAGGTATAGCATTGTACTAAGTAATATTTCTATATTATATCCTCTAAAATAAAATACAATTATATAGATAAGATGATGAAAAACTTCTTCTTGGCCAGCATTTTCATTTTTGTTTGTTTTTACCAACTATATTGGCAAAACTTGTAAATTACAATTCCCAGTGTTGGCAAAGATGTAGAGAAATGAAACTTCCATATACTCCCTCCAGATTATAGCAATTTACACTACTACCAAGAAAGCTGACAATATGTTTCAAGTCTTAAAATATATTTTGATCCAGAAAATCTACTTCAAAAATATTATCCTAATAAAATGCTGTGTACAAAGATAATCTAAAATGTTATTTACAATATCAAAAGAACAAAAATAATGTGTTTATGTTTCCATAGAAGAATGAGTAAATAAACAATATATTTATACAGCATTTAAACGTAACTGTGTGGAATTAGGATGGCAAACAAACAGCCAAAACTACAAATGAATGGTATGGACTAAGTATAAGACACCTTTTCTGTTTTCATTTATGTTTTCACTTTTTTATAGAGACAATGGAAGAGATAAATATTTCTCCATCATAAGAAAAACAATTCAAATGAAATTGTAAGTGGCAACTGGCAATTGATTTCAAGGTCAGGGGGAAGAGGAGGAAGGGTGAAGACTGCAGGCAGCCTGGGGAACACATGTCAATACTGTGGACAGCTGCTTCTCGGCTACAATAAATTGTGGTCAAGGGGAAAGCGGTTGTGTTGATCTTTGATGTTTTTATGAGATACTGGAACTCTGAATTTTTATGTGAAGTCTCCCAATTTTAAAATGCTAGTAGCTAATTAAAAAAAAAAAAAACTCTATGTATTAAGTTATCCTGTGGGAAAGGGGAGTGGCTAGAGAAGGAAATGAGTGAGTCTGGGGTGCCAAAACTTTTTACATCTTGATCTGAGATGTGGTTATACTGGTACACACAAGATCAGTTCATCAAGTTGTACACTTAAGATCTGTGCACTTGACTGTAAGTTATACCTCAAACAACAGCACTATGTAATAAGCCAAATAAAATGTGTCTTTAGGCCAGATCTGGACTGTGGATCAAGAGTTCACAACCACAGTTCTGAATATTTAAGACTGTGGTAAAATATTCAAAATATAGTGTTAAATGAAAATTTAGTCTGGCTGCAGTGGCTCATGCCTGTAATCACAGCACTTTGGGTGGCTGAGGTGGGTGGATCACTTGAGGTCAGGAGTTTGAGACCAGTCTGGCCAACATGGCGAAACCCCCGTCTCTACTGAAAATACAAAACTTAGCCGGCGTGGTGGCATGCGCCTGTAATCCCAGCTACTCAAGAGGCTGAGGCAGAAGAATCCCTTGAACCCGGGAGGCAAGGTTACACTGAGCTGAGATCGTGCCACTGCACTCCAGCCTGGGCGACAGAGACCCCATCTCAAAAAGAAAAAAGAAATTTATATTCATCCAATAAATACTAATTGAGCTCCTACTATGTGCTACTACGTTTTCCTAGGCACAGGGGAGGCCATGTTCTCAAGAAGTGAAGTTCATATTCTGATGGAGATAGAAATAAATACTAAACAAATGAGCAACAACTTAACAGAGTGATAACTAAAAAGAAAATAAAACATGGTAATATGAGAGAGTATTAAGGTAGGGAGCATCTAGATCAGTGAGAAAACCTCCACTGAAACGGTGACATCTGAAGTGAAACCTAAATGATACGGAGTCAGCCGCAAGAAAATCAATGACCAGAGCAGCCCAGGTAAAGGAAACAGCAGATACAAAGACTTATGATGGATATTAATGTGTTAACGATGAAAAACAGAGAGAAGGCCAGTATATTTGAAGCACAGTAAGCAAGGCTACAGCGTAGGAAGTCGGATTTCCTCTAAACTGCAATGAAAATCTATTGATGTGTTTCTTGTAGGTAGGAAAGTAGCATGTTCTCTTTTATGCTTTAAGAAAGATTACTGTGGCTACTCTGTGAGTAGACTATAGGTAGGCAATTGTAGAAGCTGGAAGAAATCAGGAGGCTACTACAATAGTTCAGGCAAGATGACCAGTGTTAAACTACAGTTCTAACAGTGGAAGCAGAAACAGGCAGATGAATTAGGGATGTGTTCTGGAGACAGAACCTTCAGAACTCAAAGATGGATTGAAATGTGGGCAAAAAAGAAATCAAGGATGATTTCTAAGTTGTAGAGAAGCATATAATATATACTAAGACAGATGATGTTACATGTCATATTACATGTTATGATGTTACACACACACACAGACACAGGAGGTAATTCAGTCTGGCAATGGTCTTTTGCCACTTTTCTACTCATGTGCTTGGTAAGGAAGGGCACCTTGAACTATTTTGTTCTTCCCACTGTCCTTAAATGGGTATTAGCAACAGGATGAGAAGGATAAAGACTGTACCAACTAAGAAAGACACTGATTTTACTTCTAGCTTTCTGAGATAATCACTATAAGTAAAACAGAATCCAAGGGACAATAAACCTATTCTAATAGAACTCTGCTTTGGGTAAATTCCTTAACCTCTCTGAGCCATACCTCTCTGATAAATTACCGTAACAATGAAGCATACCTCCTAAGTTTCCCAAGAGATAAGGTATAATGTACTTATCCCAAGAGATAAGTCATAAAGTATTTAGCACACTGCTTGGCATAGAAGACACACATAAGCTAATATTAATCATCATCATCATTATTATCTAGACACAGGGCTATTTGGTATAAATGACAGGCTTCTAAAACCTATAACAAAATGTACCGCTGCTCTTAATAAAGGTTGAACACATATTCTTAAATGATCTAGAGACAGATATCTTTATAAAAACACAGTAAGCAGTGAGCTAATTTCATAATCAACTGGTTGGGGGGAAAAAACAAGGTCAGAAGAAAACAGTAATAGGCACCTTTCCAATTTGTGTTCTTGTTAAGGTATTTGTAAGTAAGACAATAGTGCCTTAAGTGTCTTTTCTCCTTATACAGAAAGAACACCAAAATGTGTCTATTATATATCCATTCTTTAAAACTGTAAGTCAGTTATTCTCTCTGCGAATTTGGCTCTCCTGTCTATAGATTAGACAGTGAATTGTTCCCTGCCCTATTAATACCAACAAACTTTGTAAAATGTTTACAATGAAAACCAAAACCCCATTTTGAAGTCCTATGAAACAAAAAACTTAACTAACAGTATATGATTTCACACAATCTAAAAGCTTCCATGAATGCTCTTCTGTTCAATGATGTACCAATTACATGCTAGGAGACTTGCGATATAAGAAAAGTTACCCGACCAGTTTTTCCAAGAAAGGGGACTTACGACTCTTTATCAATACATACCCTAAACTAAGCAGTGAATTTAAGCATATTATTGTATTTCAGCTCAAATATAGCTAAAACTGCCTTGCTGAAGGTTGCAAAGCATTTTTTATGAAGATGTTAAGCTAATTCAATGTTAATTTCAAAAGCAAAAGAAAAAGGTAACAGAACCATATCTGTTTTGCATAAATATAATACCATCACAAGCCCATTTCAATTTGAAAGCATCAAATGCAACCAAGAAGGACTCCATTACAAAGTCAGTGCAGGAACACACGTTCATATTATAGATTAATCAAATAATAGTAAGCCATTGTATAGTGGACATGATTATTCCTCACAACTGGATGAGAACAAACTTAGTTTTCTAGCACTGTTACCATAGTTACCTTAGGAGAAAAAAGTAAGCAGTGATTCATGTTTTAGTTCAAGTAATGTGTAACCTAAAATTCTATCTATTAATATGATTGGTTAGAGTATGTGAAAGGCAAGTAAGTCTTGGGACCCTGAAATCACTAAGCCAAAGGGAAAAGTCAAGCTGGGAACTGCATCAGGCAAACCAGCCTCCCATTTTATTCCTAAATAAAATAGCTACAAAGATTAAAAAGCTACATTTGTCCAAAATTCCTTGTGGGCCTCAAGGTTTTTACCCTAAAACAGTTCTGTTGGATTTCACTCTTGCAGTGTAAGCTGATAGCTTATTTTCCAACGTGTGGGACAAAGGACAGAACTCAAAGTTATCCCTCTGCTTACCTGAGACAAATGCACATCTGATTGCTTCCTATGCCCTATTATTTACGTAAAAATGCAGATTCAATGAACCAGACTAAGGTCTAAGTGGCTATTCCTCTACTTCCCTCTCACATGTAAATTGCGTATTCAGTGAAAGGCTGATCAAAGACCCAAAAGAATGCAACCTTTCAACTCATCTACCTGGGTCCTGGAAGCCCCTGCCCCCCTTTCCCTTCCACTTCAAGTTGTCCCGCCTTTCCAGACTGAACCAATTAATGTACATCTTACACATACTGACTGATGTCTCATGTCTCCCTAAAATGTATAAAACCAAGCTGTGCCCCAACCACCTTGGACACATGTCGTCAGGTCCTCCTGAGGCTGTGTCACAGATGTGTCTTTAACCTTGGCAAAATAAGCTTTCTAAATTCCAAGATACAGCTACCCAAATTCCAAGATGGATCAAATTCATGAGTGAATTTTATGAGCAAACCTTGAACATTAAATAATTAAAATATCTTGTAAAAGGCATTTCATTCATTTAAGATTGTCAGGGAACAAACCTGAAATACATCAAAGCAAAAGTATAAAGTAATCCATAAATAAGAGACATAGTTTTGTTCATTAGCGGTAGGTAACACGTATATAGCCATCTAATAAACTTCCTTGTTCAAAGTACTTCTCAACATAGATTCCAATCAATGTCTTTATACTGTAATAGAAAATCTTATAATACTTTTAGTAAAAGCTTTACCTTACTACTTTTGAAGTAGTAAGTACTTTTTAAGTATTAGTACACTGTCTTCCCTATATGTCACTATGGGTTGCAAAGTACCAATGCCATACACTTCAGGTATAAAATAAGAAAGGGAACTCTGGTCTTTTCTGGGTAAAATCATGCAGAGCTTAAATCTATCATTCCTCATGTCCAAGTGTTTTCTCTTTTGCTTTCTGTATTATAGACAGGAACTAGTGCTCAGAGAGATCAACAGGTTTGCCCAAGGTCACATTTCTAATTGGTTGTGAAGCCAGGAAACAAATCTGATTTCAAGACTCTGTGCTCTTTTCCTTTTTTTTTTTTTTTTTTTTTGAAACGGAGTCTCGCTCTGTCACCCAGGCTGGAGTACAGTGGCGCAATCTCAGCTCAATGCTATCTCAGCCTCCCGGGTTCAAGCGATTCTCCTGCCTCAGCCTTCTGAGTAGCTGGGATTACAGGCGGATGCCTAGCTAATTTTTGTATTTTTAGTAGAGATGGTGTTTCACCATGTTGGCCAGGCTGGTCTTGAACTCCTGACTTCAAGTCATCTGCCCGCCTCGGACTTCCAAAGTGCTGGGATTATAGGCGTGAGCCACCATGCCCAGTCAACTCTGTGCTCTTTTCATTCTATCACTATTCAACCTTTCAACTTTGTACACATAAATCTCTATCGTGCATGCACATCCAACTGAAAATAGAATATAATCAAAATGATTTCCACTGTTTATTTAGAAGATTGTGTTCTTATAATCCACTTAAAATGAGTCCATTCAGAGCATACAATTCTCACTGGAACTTATATACTAATTAAGTTGAGGCATACTTGTAAAATTGGTCTCTGCTTGGCCACAAACAATAGCTTTGTTCTTGTTTATACTTCTCTATCGTAAATATCAACACAATATTGAAACTAACTTTATAGACCTTTAGCAAAAACATCTTGTTTTTTCTGGTTAATCACATCTGTTTTTTCCATCAGTAAAGTTCGTTGGCTAGCTCATCTTTTTCCTTCTACCCCAAAGACGAAGAGGTTCTCAATACACAACAATACCTTGTAGAACTTTAGGTAAGCAGTCTCTAGGATGGCTCTCAGTTATTTCTGCCTTCTGGTGGACACGCTCTTGGGTTATTCTGTTCCTTGAGTATGGGCTAGATTTATTGACTAGCTTCCAACAAACAGAATATAGCAGAAGTGAAGGGATTTCACTTCCAAAATTAGGTTATAAAAAGGCTGTGGCTTCCATTTAAGGTTGTTTTTTTACTTGTTGCCCTCTTAAATCCCTCCTCCTGGGGAAAACAAGCCATCACGTTGTAAGCAACTCTATGAGAGGTCCGTGTGGCAAGGAACTGACGTCTGAGGTCAGCAGGATCTGAGGCCTGCCAAAAGCCATACAAGTGAGTTTAGAACTAGATTTTACCTCATTCAAACCCTGAGATGACTGCAGCCCTGTCCAACACCTTGACAGCCTAGTCAGACACCCTGAGCCAGAGCACCCAGCTAAGCTGTGCTCAGATTCCTGACTCATCTGTTCTAAGCTGGCTGTTAAAGCTGCTAAATTTCGGAGTAATTTGTTATGAAGCAACAGATAACTCATACAAGTTTTTAAGTATGTATATTAAATATACATAAATTTCTTGAGAAATTTCGGAGTCCCTTCTAAAACTTAAACCATAATTTACTGAAACATAACTAAAAATGATGCCATACACTACAAATGCCACTGATCAGGTTTTTAACAATGATATCATCCAGTATTACAATTAATCATTCTATAGTATTATGGTTAGATGTCTTCCCGACTAGTTTATGAACTTCTAGAGGGCAGGGAATGTCTGCATCTTTGCAGCCAACAGTACCTGAAACATAGCAGGTGCTCAGTAAATGTTTACAATATGAACCGAGTCCCACTTGTGGCACACTCACTTCAGCCTCTGTGCCTCCACCTGTGCTTCCTTCTTGCACGTATTTCAAAACTAATGCTTTTACAAAACAGTGCACAACCGCCATCCCCATCACATAACCTTCTCCAACTACTCCAGCCCACAAAGCTCAATCTCTAAGCCCTCCATATACTTATTGGTTTGTTTCATCTTTCCCAACCACACTCTCAAGTACCACACATTTTACATTTCTGTATCCCCTCCCTCCCACTAAGCTTAAAGGATGGCATAATCAATGAATACTCAAATAACTGATAACAAATTAACATGTTCATTCTGGCAGGTAGAGGTGGAGAAAGGAAAAGAGCAATGGAAAAGTAGCAAAAGAAGAGTCAATCCTTTACAGAAAAGAATTACTCTCAATTCCCATTTGTCTTGTCCTCTTCACCCCCAAATCTCTGCAACTACAAACTGAAAGAGAGCTCTGCAGAAACACAGTATTCTGATTACAAGATTTCCCTCACAAAGTACAGTACTTTAAGTGTTCTTTTCAAGGTCACTTGAAAGTCAAACTTGAGAAGGTACAATTGCCTACCTACTCAGAATTCTAAAACAATTTCAGTCGACAGAAAATAATAGCTTTCCATTATAGAGGGACATGGTAACTTTACACCATCTGGGCTTCTAAATATTGCACAGAATTTTTCACAAATAGAGCTAACTGAAGTCTTTGCTAAAATCTCACAAAGTTAGAGTTACCACACTGTTGGGTTAAGAAGATAAAACTAAGTGTTGGGTTAAGAAGATAAAACTAAGTCACTTAACATTAGTCCTATTTTACAAATTCAGTCCTAAAACTTAACAATTTAGTCATCAGTATTGACTCTTAAAAACTAGATATATTACAATTATTTAAAACTGTAATACCACCTTCAACTATGATTTTGTTATAAAGGAGACCGTAGCTTTGAATTCCATTAGAAATATCTCTGCACCTTAAAATTGTTCAGATGCGCACATCAGTACAGAAACACATTAAGTCCAACCTCTTAGAAAATCTACTCTTTATGAATTTAAAATCTAAATTATTTCTTCTGAGTGGTGCCATTTTCCAGATATTTTCCACAGAAATAAACTCTTCCTCATAAATTTAAATACACATGAATGGTGCAAACTCAAAAACTGATATTAATAATGTGCCTTCCTGATGTTTTGTGGCCAATAGAGGATTTATAGTTGGAAAGTACAGTGCAAACAATGCCAGCCTCAGAGGCCCGGGTCAACAGACTGATTCATATCTTGACGAAGACACTTATTTCCAAGATGCTCTCTTCAAGATGGTTTCCTCACCTTAAAATGGGGTGATGATAATCTACTTCTTAAGGTTGTGGATATTTAACAGAGTAAGAGGTGGAAAACTAAGTACACTATAACTAGGACATAGGGTACTGGTTTAATAACACATGTGCCAGGAGCTATTCTAAATGCTTTACGTATGTAATTAAGTCAATCTTCACAACAACACTGTTATTTTTTCCTTTTTACAGGTAAGGAAATTGAGGCAGAGAGGTTAGGTAATTTGCCCAAGGTCACAGAGCTAGCAAGTGGCAGAGGCAGGATTCCAACCCCCCAACCCCACATTGGACTGCAGAGCCCATTCTCTTAACCATCACATATTGTTGCTTCAGTGGGTGAGGGGCTCAGGAAGCAGCATCTCCTACGACTACTCCTTTAAGAACCAGAAAAAACAGAACTCAATCTATCTCCCAGTTGGGCTCAGACTGCATAAAATAGTGTGAACACATAAATTATGGTACAATAATTCATGTGTATCTCTGGGTTGAGGGATATAATCTCAATGAAGCTCCTGGCCAAAATCTGCCATTAGAAAGCCATCCTCAGCTTAGAAAGCAGGGAGCTACATGCTGTTCTTTAAATTCCTTATATATCTTTGAACTGATCATTGCTGCAGTATGAGAAACAGTACAGTAAAAGAGTTAAAATCCAAAGCCAGACCATCTGGTTCCAAACCCCGGCTTCTCCACTTACAGACTAAATGGTCCTGAACATAAATCTTCTTTGGGCCTCACTTTCCTCATCTGCAAAAGGAGAGTAAAAGCAGTTTACCTCAAAAAATTATGTGGTTAAACAGTAAATTTAGTTACCAAATTTCTTTAATAATTTTATTAAATAAACTTATGCATGTAGAGGGCTTAAAAAAAGGTCATGGGTACATGGTAAGTGCTCAATAAATGCTAGCTATTATTAGCTATTTTACTCTTGGAAAGACTTCCATGATATTTTGTTAAGTAATGTAAAAAAGTTACAAAACCATATCTAATATGAGCTTATTTAGTCCTCAGGAAAAAAAAACAAATATCAGTAGATATGTACAGGCATAAATTCTGCTCTATAAACACAAAAGTTGGTATAAGGACAGAAAAAATTGCAAGGAAAAACCAACTTAAAAAATAGGGAAAAGGCAAGGGCAGGACTTTCATTCCTTTCTTTATGTACTTTCATGCACAAAAATATAACTTTTATTTTATTGTGTCTTCCAAATTTTCTATAAATGAAAGTGTTTTTCATATTAAGAAAAAAAATTTATGTTTTTAAAAGGCAATTATGGTGATGATAAGCACAGGAAATGGGGATAAACAGCACCATTCTGAACCACCAAAACCAATGGTAGAATGGCATGAGTGATAAAAAATGCATAAAATAAAACAGCAAGCAGTCTTGTTGGGCAAAAACTGGTTAGAAAATTATACAAATGTCCTACAGTTTTTTAAGATAGTCAATTATGTAAGGGAAATAGCACTTTACCAGAGATCAGTAGTTTGTTGTTTTAAAGGGCAATTCCAACAGTATACAAATATTTGAAATGTGTAAATCTTTCCACTAAACAATCATACTTCTAGGCATATAAGAGAGCAAGCATAATATATATTGAGGACATTGTTGAATTGCAGTATTATTTGAAATGGCAAAAAACTAGAGACAATCTTAATATCCATCATGGACAAACTGTTAAAAACCAACACATATGGTACAGCCAGGCTATTCTGGGATTATTAAAGATTAAAGCACATATGCATGTATAGCACAAAAAAAGAAGTTACAGGTTAATTAGAACAGTATGATCACCATTTTTTGTTAACTCAAACTACCTATATATATTTAGGGGAAAGTTCTGGAAAAGTTACAAAATGTCACAAATGACACTTCTTGGGATGGAATAATTTGGGTACAGGGAGGGGTAGAAGAGCAGGGCTTTCACCTCTTCCATAGCATATCTTTATATAGCTTGAATGTTATAGGAGCATGTATTATTCTGTAAAATTTTTAGCAGCAGAGTATTCAAGCACAATTAAATGAGATAATGTGTGAAAGTACTCTTAGCTCAATCCCAAAAAGTAGCAGCCCTGTCCTTGAGTGGAAATCTCGACTTAGACAAATCCCACCAATCAGGTACACTTCTAGCACCTGTTCCACATATGTACGCATACCCATGAGCAAGGGTAATGCAGTCTTCATACCTGAGGGAATGTCTGTGGGAATCTGGCCCATCAGGAAGACAGGGAACAGAAATACAGAGGCCAGACTTTTCCCCAACTATCATCAAGGGCAAAGCCATGGAGTACTGGCAGACCTGGCAAAAGTGGACTCTCCCCCTGGCTTAATGAACAATCCAACCTTGGTAGGAGGAAAGAGGGAAATTGACTTTATTAACACCCTCTTCAAAAACAAATGCTCTTCATCTTTCAACCTTCAATGAATGAAATTACTAAGAAGGTGCATTTCCGCTTCAAGAGAGCAGCTCACAAAGTTAAATACGGTAGGGACTTAATCTATGTACACCATCTGATATTCCATTATATACTGACTTTTTATTGCTAATGTTTTCACCTGTTTTGGACTTGGCTGCCAATTAAACTGTTAGTTTTCCAGGGCGCTGTCACTTCAGGGAAGCTGCACAGGGTACTGAGAGAGCGCTGGACTGAGTAGCATCAGAGGCCATGGTTCTCAGCAACACTTCTGTTATGTACTGAGAAACCTTGAACCGGTCATAATTTCTTTGGGTTTCAATTATGAAGTCAAACTAGATGACCTTTAAAGAATTTCAAGTTCTATTATCTTTTGATTTTTACATTTCTCATAGGACCCAATATGGAACTGAGTACAGCTATTTATATCAAAATTATTTTGTCTTCACTTTTTTTTTTTTTTTTGAGACGGAGTCTTGCTCTGTTGCCCAGGCTGGAGTGCAGTGGGGTGTGATCTCAGCTCACTGCAACCTCTGCTTCCTGGGTTCAAGCAATTCTCCTGCCTTGACCTCCCGAGTAGCTGGGACTACAGGCGCATGCCACCGCACCTGCTAATTTTTGTATTTTTAGTAGAGATGGGGTTTCACCATGTTGGCCAGACTGGTCTCGAATTCCTGACCTCGTGATCCTCCCACCTTGGCCTCCAAAATGCTGGGATTACAGGTGTGAGCCATCACGCACTGCCTTTTCTTCACATTTTTATAACAATGTGCACACATTGTCTTTACAACCCAATGTTTAGCAAATGAGATTCTACCTAATTTTAATAACAATAAAATAATTTATTAAGCATGTAGCAATTACTTGGAACAATTCTAAGCATTTTATGTGTACGAACTTATTCAATCTTACAATGATCCAAATACTTTCCCCCATTACAGATAAGGAAACTGAAGCCTGGAGTTTTCTTGACCTAGGATACAGAGCTGGAACATGACAAAGCCAAAATTCAAACCCTGGTAGTCTAGCACATTTAACATTACACCCTACTATCTTTAGTACAGGAGAGGGGGAAGGATACAATATTCAAGCTGCTTTTTTTTTTTTTAAGTTTTGGGATACATGTGCAGAACGTGCAGGTTTGCTGCACCTATCAATCCGTCATCTAGGTTTTAAGCCCCGCATGCATTAGTTATTTGTCCTAATGCTCTTCCTCCCCTCAAGCTGCTTTTTCAAACCGAACAAGTATTCTCTTCTTTACCACCTCACCTGAAACTAAATTATAATCAAATAATTATGCCAATTGAATAACTGGAATGGGAACTACACAAAAGCAGACAAAATATTAAATTCTGGATGTAGCAATTCAAAAAAATTTTGAAAAACCTAGCAAATATATTGCCAGGCTTTCCCTGCACTGCCATCCCTTCTCTCTGTGCTTCTAGAACACTTAACATGAACTGTATTACAGCACAGATCTAACAGGAATAAAATTTCTCTCCCACCACAACTGAGTTCTCATTTGGCAGGCTTGTCAGCATATTCTTTGTACCCCACTTCGGTAACAGGCATCATCACTCACTCCAAGGTTGGAGCCCAGTCAAGATTGCTGAATGAATGTCCAAGTTCAAGGATGTATTAGTGTAAGGTTTGCTGCTGTTTTAGTATGATAGACAAGTCAACACTTTGGCCATGCTGCAATTTGGAAGGGCTTTCAACGTAATCTTGATTGGTAACAGCTCAGAGAAGGAGAAAGGTGATTCAGGGTATGAATCAAGAGCATGGCAATTTACAAACAGTGTATCAGTTTCAAATTCTTCCAATGTACACACAGGAATAGCAGCAATCATATTCTTAGAAGATTATTAAGAAACAAGAAAAAAAAGAGGCACTTTTAGAAGTCTATCAACTTTTAAGGTTAAAAGTCAGCTAAGAAGTCCAAATCAAATTTTAAAATTACTATTTATTGGTATTTCACTCCTCAAATAATGAAATGGTAATAGCATCTACTAAAGGCATTGGAAATAACAAAGAAACCAAACATAATTAATAAATCTACTCATCGTTTTTTCAATGATTTAGCCCAAATTCAATCATTGGTTATAGTTGTCAACGTGTGGTCCTGGGACCAGCAGCATCAACATCACCTGACTCAATAAAAATGCAAATTATCAAGTGCCACTACAGACCTACAGATTCAGAAACTTTAGTGGTGGGAGAACCTCCACGTAATTCTGACAAAGTTTGAGAATCACTGCTGTGTTCTATAGAATGTGGTTCAGTATAAATTAGTATTCTATTTATATGCACTTTCAATTAGAGAACACCAAAAAGGAATTCTTATCTAAGGGTCCTACAAAATGGATTCCAAGAATGATGTAAAAGTGTTCCAAAGCACTAAATGGAGGCTGAAAATAACAGTCCTAGGGAATGCCTGGCTAAGCAGCTTATTAAACCTTAGAGGATGGGGGGAAACTCTGAAAAATAAACAGTTCATCAGCTGAATATTCATTTATCCTATTCACATACTCTACAGCCCAGCAAGTCCACTCCTAGTGAAACCCAATCGAAACTCTTGCCTACGTATGCCAGGAGGTGTGCACCTATACAGCAGCATTCTTCACAATAGCGAGTAGCACAAGAGTATCACCCTGGAAACAACCCATATACCACCAACAGGAGAATGGATAAATTATGCCATATGCACAAAATGGAATATTATGCAGTAATCAGAAAACTTCAGTGACACATAATATAAATTTCAGTATTATAAAATGAAAAAATTTTCAGAAGATAGGGCATGTAATATATACAGTTTTAAATTATGTGATGCAATAAAACTATAAAAGACACCGAGAGAATGATGAATATAGGATTCAGTAAATAGCTGCCTCAGGTGAGGGACAGAGGAAAAAGGAATGGAGGGGCCCACAGGGTTATGCACAGGGTTAGGTGGTACTTACTGTATTATTAAAACTATAAATGGACCAATTAAACAAACGTGTCATGAGCCAAGGAATATAAACTAATTCTTTACACCTGAAGTCCTTTAAAATGCTTTAAATACATATATATAAAATGTTCCTCCAATATTTCAAACAATTCTAAATTCTACCCAGTCAGTTTGGCTGTGGAGGCACCAAGAGCCCTGGGTCCTTGGCCTTACTGCCAACTCAGGGGTTAAAATGTTTTGGGTCCCAAAACCCAAAGCCAATGACCCTCTTCCTTTAAAAGTACAAGAACAGGCAATTTGGGCTAGAGTTTCAGAGGATCTATGAAGCCATCCATTTGCAAAGGATCCATGGATGGCAAGTTAATAACTCCTGTACTAGCTAATTATGTGAAACTGGTAGGAGAGAAGCTGATGATGAACTCAAGAGCACCTAATGCATGCCAGATGGGGCTCCATTAGCTGTTATCACTTAATCCTCACGCTAGCCCTAGGAAGGAGTAAAGATAGCACTGGTTTATTGATGGAAGAAACTGAGGCAACAGATTAGGTAACTTACAGTTACAAACCTGGAAGACAGAAATAAAATCCAGCTATTTAACCTGGAAAGACTAAAAACTAGCTATTTATGATTCCAAAGCCTCACAGGCCTGGTTTCCTCCTGACATTCAACAAATATGCTGAGCAAATGATATCAATTCTCTGAGCCTATCGCCTCATTATAAAACAACATGGCTAATGATGGGTTGTACTTACAGATTATTTCTATGATGTTGGCTTGCTTTTATAGTCTAGATCCTATGCAGGGGGATATTCCTGAAATTTGGCTATAGAATAGAAAATAAAATCGAAGGCTATAGAATAGAGAATAAAATAGATAGGAAAGCACAACCAGATTACAATTAACAGGCAAATGAAAAGTATAGGCAGTGGCTGGAACCCATCTTGAATTTTAAGTATCTACTTTACACTATTTAGGCTCTATATACGATTTCAAAATTATTTAGTCCTACAATTCTTTTAGAACAATATTTCTCTACAAATCTCCTCCAAACTTAATGCTTGCAAAATAAGTTCTATTTGTAGCACCGTGGCACAAAAATATATTCTCAGTGCTGACTGTATGCCAAGAACTACACATGAAGTAACTTAAATACTTTTTTGCTTTTTATCTTAATTTTTAAAATTTTTTTACAAAAAGCATACAATACTTTTATAATCTGAAAAAAAAATCTTTGAGACAGATATTATAGTAAACTGGGCAATTAATGGTCAGGGACCAGCTGGCTGACTTAGTCAGTGACTGAGGATAGTGAAGAACAGGTAAGAAATAATTCAGGACATGGTGACAAGTACACAAAAGGGAGGCATCTACTCTCTCACATAAAAACCTGTCTTTGGCACTTGACAGATAATAGTGTCATTTAGATAAAGGGAACAGAGGAGTAAAGTTAGTAAAACTGGGTTTGGGCAAATGTGTGGAGATAATGAGCTTTGTGTAGCTTACTGGGTTTGGAGATGCCCTTATGAGACATTCACATGGGGATAAACTCTAGGCCTAGAACTCACAAGACATCCGAGCACATTTAGATAGATGAATTCATAAAGAAAAAAGGGGCAGGAGAACAAACCCCAAAGAACATCAACATAAGCGAGTGAAGCAGACCCAGACACAAGAGATACAAAGAGACAGGGGAACGGACTTCAGGAAAGCCAAGGGAGAAGACTTTTAAAGAGAAAGGGTGATACACAGCAGCAAATGCCATAGAATGGGCAGGTTTTGAATTTTAAAAAGTGTTGAATTCGGTGATTAGTGACTTAATGACAAAGCTGAGGGGTAAAAATGAAAATCAGACTTCAGAAAGATGATCACCAAATAAGAAAAGGAAAATCACTTGTTCAAGAATCTCAGTTTAAAAGAATGTTAGTTTCTCTGAATGTAGAGGCTTTATTAGACGCTCATGGATAGATCTAGCATGACAAAAAAAAAATCCTGTCTTTAAAGTCTGTTCTTACTCAATTACAGCATTTTTATATCAAGTAGAAATATTAAGTGCTCAGTAAGTATGAGCTATTTTTCCAGGCATTGTTCTGGATACTAACCTATTTTTCTAATCACACCCCTACGAAGCAGGTATTGTTATTATCCTTCATAAATGCGACAACCAGGGCACAAGATCACATAGCTAGTAGTGTGGTAGATCAAACCGAAAATGTGACTCAAGAGAATATGAGAAAAGGATATGTGTGAAGCAAGAGTTAAAAGATGAGAACAACTGGAGTTAAGATTGTTCTGAATGTTTAACTGCTTGTAGTTTCATTTCTATTTAAAAACTTATTTTTGCTAATTTGAAAGACTATTTCTTCTCTCATCTCAGAATCCTACATTGCTAGAGTCTGACATTTTTATGTCTGACACCCAGATTCTGTACTGCATTATAACTGTGTTATTTCTCCTACTGAACTGCAGGTTGCTTGAAAATGGGGAAGTATCTTATTTAATTTGTATCCCTATTCTTCCAGTCTTCAAAGTAGAAGATACTTAAGAAAGGTTTGTTGTATAATTATTTCTGCTTTTCTGGAGTTTCTGAGGGCTTCAGCAAAATATACTTCAAGTCTAACTGCTGTGTGGGACTGTCTTTCAGATATTATTTGCACTATACTCAATACATTTTGGATCACTCAAATTACTGATTTTGGTGGAAATATCCTTCTAAAGTAAAAATAAAATATAATTCCCCTTCATAAAACCTTCTGAAGGTTCCCTGTAACCTACTGGTCAATGTTCACAGCACTGTTCTACAGCCTTATTAATATGGCAACCCCACCCTGGTCCAACTCTACCAAGCCACCTGTAACTCAACTGTACACTGCTGCAGAATGCACCAGCTGCTTGATGAACTCCACTGCCTCTACCAGACACAGCTGAAATTCTCCTTCTTTTTGAAAGCCTTCCTATATTTGTTTTTTGTGAGGTTTTTTTGCTTCCTGCCTCACTATGCTGATAATTTCTAAAATACAAATTCCTCAAGGCAACACTCATCTTTTTATCCTCAGGTCAGGCAAGTAGCAGCTTACTAAGCGTTTAATGAATGTTTATTGAAAGAATTACTAAAGAATAATTCAGTAAATCTGCTGGTACTACATAAAACATTGGCCCACAATCAAAAGGCACAATTCTAGGATGTTTTTCATTACTACTAATGAATGGTGCATTTCTCTATTCTATCTCATCCCATAAACTCGTGAATTCAAGATAACTTGTACCTTCACTACTAGCTAACCATATCACCATTACCAAAGCCACAAAACAAACCCACATCGTATCAAAACCTCTTTGCGTCATGAGCAAATGGTGAAACCAGTAAGGCATATTCACAGCTATTGTAAAAGATATGGAAAAAATAACTTAAAAATCTTTGAAATCGATCCAATTTAAGCATGTTAAATGAATTAAAATCACACAATTTGGGGGCGGTGTCTTTTCATGCACCTAATTTCTCTAGGGGTATACTACATAAAAGGCACTCAAACGCCTACTTTATAAAACCGGTGTCACGGCCTGCTTTGGCCAAAAAGCAGACTGTCAAGTACTAGGAGATCCCAAGTATACAATTGGACACTGTGCTGGACTTGAGGTCTTTAGCAAACAATTTCAGCGTAACATTTTAGTTTTCTCATATATCTGCCTCATTATGTTTAGAACATAATGTGCTTTAACAAGTCTTGTCACAAGGCACAATGTGTTATGAGATCTCCACATTTCATCCTAGAATAACTAAGTCTTCACAGTTATCTTCAAGCTGCCTCACCCATGTTACGTAATCCATGAGCTTTTTATCTTCCCTGTACAGTTGGGGAAAGAGAAGGGAAGGAAGAGTACAAAATGACTTGGCCTAAGAGGTTCAGCCAGTCACTAAAAGAGCCTTCGTTTTAATTATCAGTTCCTAACCCTCTTCTCAAAGAACCGTTTTGTTTGAGAAACCTTCATTAACAGCAGGCAGAACAGAGTGTTAAATTAGCTATTAGCTTTCCTTACTTGTTTAGTGTGAATGAATAACCTAAGCTTCCTAAGCCTGTAGGTTGATAGTTTTAGGATAAGAGATCTGATGGATCAAGTTTTGCCGACTGGATCCAAATTCATAAATCTACCTCTAACTTCTAAATTTCAAAATAGCTTGACGTGAACTTTAAAGGCATTTCTTTCCTCTCCAAATTTCTAATTCTTTACAAATTTTATTCACTCTCCTAAATGAGTCAACTCATACCAACCTTTCTAGTTCAGGATCAAACTGTAGGATCACCAGAATTTTCTTCTACCCCACAGTAAGCCAAACCCCCATGAACCATGAAAAGGTCCATGACATCCATCACCCACAGCTAACTCTACACCTTGACTCTAATCTGAATTGTTAGAAAGCCCAGGAAGTTCAAGAAGCCTCCACCCTTACACTTCTAAATCACCTTCTTTTCTAATCCTCAACCTATTACAGCGTCCAGAAAAGAGAAATCTCAATTCTCTCAGATTCAAGAACTTTATCAGCGTTGCTAGTAATCGCAGTTTGGCATTTACAACTATGGGTCCTGAAACTGGGTAATAATCTAAAAATTCCTACATTATACGTGCAGACAGCAAATTAGTATATTCTATGTCCTGGGCCCAAGCGATATGCCTAACTGGGCAATCAGCATAGGCTCAAAAAATGTGCAGGGAGCTCACAATTCAGTTTACTGTCGTTGACTATAAAATTCTAAACCAAAGTATTTTCATGATAAAATTATAAACCAAAGTATTTTCACACATGCCTGCCTCTTGGATGATGTAAATTCTTCCCCTAGACTTTTTACTAGACCACTATCGGGGTTCTCTTCCACTGCAGCGGCCACCCAATAACTCGTTTTAAAGACTGCCTCTTGCGGCTGCACTAGCAAATCGCCAAACCCCGCATGCCCCACGGCCGCTGCTGAGACTCTGCAGCCCCAAATCGGCCATCCCCTCCTCCCCCACGTCCCCGCGCTGCTCGTCCCCCAACGCCGGGCGCCAACCTTGCTCCATCCCAGAGAGGGTTTGGGGCTCCCCGGGTCAGAGCGCTCCGCAGGCGCAGCTCCGCGAACGCCAGCGAGAGCGGTCCCGGGGCCAGCACCTACCTCCCACCTCCTCCTCCAGGAGCGGCCCGGGTCGACGCTCGCCCGCACCCTGCAACGGCCCCAACAGCCGCGCGGAGCCTCCCGCCGAACAACGGGGCGCTGAGCCAGGTGCCGGCTCTCACCTCCGCGCGCGCCCGCCCCTTGCCGGCGCCCACCCCCGCCCGCCCCTCCCTGGCGGGGCGCGTCACAATCCCCGACGCGAGGCGCTGCTGCTCACCGTCACGGCCCCCGGGAGCGGCGGGGAGTCACCGCTCGGCGTCCTAGCCCGGCTCCCGCAGCCCGAGGGCCAGCAGCGCCTCGCAGCGCCTCCCGCCCGCGGCCCCTCCTCCGCTGCGGGCTCCCGCCTTCCCCGCCCCTTGCAGCCGCCTCCCGGCCTCCGCAGGTTTCCGAGGTTCCCACCCCGCCCCCGCGCGCCGGCGCCGCAGGCCCCGCCGCCTCCCATTGGCTCCGCCAGTTGCTAGGCGATGAACAACCGTGGCCTGCATTGGTCGGGTGGGGGCCTCGGTAGTCTCCTCCTTACCTCCAAAAAAACCCGGAGAAAAAGAAGACCTTATCCCTGCGGTCCGCGCGCGCTGCGGGCGCAGCTGCGGCTGCGGCACCTGTTACGCCCAGTGATTCACCCGGCCGTTTTCTGCTCCCCGCCCCCTTCTGACGCCTGCAGCGTCCGGGGCCGGGGCTCTGTGGGGGCCGGGACTCTGCAGGGACCGGGGTCGTGGCTACTTTAGAGCACGTTTTCCGAGCCCCACTGAACCCCAACACCCAGCCTAGCAGCAAAAGTGAAGCTTCCAGGAGAGCCACGTGCGTTTGCCAAAGTGGAGAAATAAACTGCGGGCACCTAGAATTAGGTCAGGTCCAAGGAACGGGAGGTTCAAGCGTCGGGAGTCGTGGATGCAAACAATCCAGCCGGGAGAAAGTTATATGTAAAATTAGGGCGAAGAAATGGATCTGGGCAGAAGACCGCGGGCAAAGGAAAGACTAAGAAATAGCATTCGTGAACTCAGTTTATGCAAAAATGTCTTACACCCACTCGACAAAGTATGTGCGATGAAAATGTATGCCTGCTGCACCCGTGGCCAGGGTCAGGCTGTCTCCTCCCTGGTTTCATGGCAGCCTAAAATTCACTGGGGAAGAAAAGAAAAGAGGCCAGAGAAAGGAGATCAGATGGAGAAATCACAGGCATATAGGTTACACAAAGATGTTCTTTGATTTTTGTTTTGTTTAGTTTTGGTGAAGCCAAGGGATTTATTCAAAAGGCGAAAAACAGGTTTGGTGTTTTAAGGAGACTCCTGAGAGCACTTTGAAACCAAAACAGTATGAGTGAAGATGCTAACACTGAAAAACAAGAGCGGGAGGAATGTCCACCTCCCAGTTTGCATGCACGTATCCCCAATCCTGGATGAAAGATCAGGGCCAGAAGAAGCACGCCACGGTGACAACTTCAGGGCCCAACGAAATCCTCCTCTTTTCCTTTGGCCAAGCAATCAGAGGCCCGTCTAGCTGCTGTTGAGCCCAGGTGGCGTTACCATTAACAGTTACATTTTTAAAAGGTTTGAACCAAGCTTAGTTGAGCTCTGGGAAGTTTAGCTCTGACCTCAGCAACCCCGGGAAAGGAATAAGATCTGCCTGAATAAACCAGCGGTCTCAATCTTTTGGTCTCAAGACCGCTTTCCACTTGTAAAATTATTGAGAGCCCCAAGAACTTTTCTTTATGTTGGTTACAGCTATTAATATTAAAACAGAAATTTAAAAATTGCTATTTTTTAAAATAATAATGAATAAAAATAAAAATGTCAAATAGCGCATTTTAATTAAAAATAACTATTTTCAAAAAATTAGTTAAAAGAATGGTGTTACTTTAAAATTTTGCCCATATCTTTAATGTCTTGCTTAATAGAAGGCATTTGGATTTTCATATCTGTTTGTGCATTCGATCTGTTGTGCTATTTCAGGTAGCGTCTGGAAAACTCTACTGTGCACTCATAATGAGAGGGAAAAAGGCAAATAATATCTTAGTATTATAACAAAAATAGTTTTGACTTTGCAGACTCCCTGGAAGGGTCTTGGAAACTTGCCGCCCCAAGGTTCAGCAGATCTTTGAAAACCACTGGTCTAAACCTCTTTGTACTCTGTCCCTCTTTGTTAACCAATAACTGGTTAAGGGGCTAAAAATATGACCTAATTCTGCTCAGTCCATAATGGGGAGTGGGGGATGAGGAGCTTCAGGGGAAGGATTTTATCCTGACAGACTAAGGACAAGTTTTTTCCTTCTTGCCTTGGACATCCTCCAGTAAGCCAGACATGTTTGGAGCTGTGGCAGCATATTCTGCAACCACGAGAGAAAAGCAAGAAAAATACATGCGTACCTCGTTTTATACTTCAATTTATTGCACTTTACAGGCACTGTATTTTTTTTTAATAAAGGTTTGTTGCTCAACCCTGCATTGAGCAAGTCTAGTGGCACCATTTTTTCTAAGAGCATGTGTTCACTTGGTGTCTCTGTCACATTTCGGTAATTTTTGAAATATTTCAGACTTTTCCATTAAATATGTTACGGTGATCTGTGATGTCACTATTGTATTATTTTGGGGGTGCCGCAAACTGCACCCTTATAAGACAGCCAATTCAATGTATATGTTGACTGCTCCACTGACTGGCTGATCATCTCTCTCCCTCTCCTTGGGCCTCCCTACTCCCTAAGACACAGCAATATTAAAATTAGGCCAATAAATAACCCTACAATGGCCTCTAAGTGTTCAAATGAAGGGAAGAGTCACATATCTCTCACTTTAAATCAAACGCTAGAAATGATTAAGCTTAGTGAGGAAGGCATCTTGAAAGCTGAGATAGGCAGAAAGCTAGACCTATTGTTCCAGTTAGCCAAGTTATAAATGCACAGAAAAAGTTCTTGAAGGAAATTAAAAGTCCTCCTCCCTTGAACACAGGCATGAAAAGAAAGTGAAACTGCCTTATTGCTGATAAGTAGAAAGTTTGAGTGGTCTGGATAAGAGATCAAACCAGCCACAGCATTCCTTTAAGCAAAAGCCTATCCAGAGCAAGGCCCTAATTCTTCATTTCTATGAAGGCTGAGAGAAATGAGGAAGCTTCATTTAAAAAGTTTGAGGCTAGCAGAGTTTGGTTCATGAGGTTTAAGGAAAGAAGCCATCTCCGTCACATGAAAGTGCCAAGTGAAGCAGCAAGTGCCGCTGTAGAAGCTGCAGCAATTTATCTAGAAGATCTGATTGATGAAGGTGGCTACACTAAACAGATTTTCAGTGTAGACCAAAAGAAAGCCTTCTATTAGAAGAATATGCCACATAGAACTTTTCTAGCTAAAGAGGAGAAGTCCCTGCCTGGCTTCAAAGGACAGGCTGACTCTTGTTAGGGGCTAATGCAACTGCTGACTTTTTATTTTTATTTTTTATTTTTTGACACAGGGTCTCAATGTGTTGCTCAGGCTGAAGTGCAGTGGTGCGATCACGGCTCACTGCAGCCTCAAGTGATCCTCAAGCAATCCTCCCACCTTAGCCTCCCAAGTAGCTGGGGCTACAGGCACACACCACCATGCCCAGCTAATTTTTGTATTTTTTGTAGAGACAGGGTTTTACCATGTTGCCCAGGCTGGTCTCAAACTCCTGAGCTCAAATGCTCCACCTCCCTCAGCCTCCCAAAGTGCTGTAAGCCACTATGCCCGGCTCCAGCTACTGACTTTAAGTTGGAGGTAATGCTCATTTGCCATTCCAAAGATCCTAGGGCCCTTAAGAAATATCTAAATTGACTTTGCCTGTGTTCTATCAATGGAACAACAAGGCCTGGCTGACAGCACATCTGTTCACAGCATGGTTAGTGAATATTTTAAGTCCACTGTTGAGACCTATGACTCAGAAAAAAAGATTACTTTCAAAATCTCACTGCTCATTAATAATGCACCTGGTTACCCAAGAGCTTTGCCTGCTAACACAAGATCTATTCTGCAGCCCATGGATAAAGGAGTAATTTTGGCTTTTAAGTCTTATTTGAGAAATACATTTCATAAGGCTGTATCTTCCATAGATAGTGATTCCTCTGATGGAACTGGGCAAAGTAAATTGAAAACCTGGAAAGGATTCACCATTCTAGATGCCATTGAGAACATTCATGGGCACGGAAGGAGGTCAAAATATATCAACATTAAGAGGAGTTTGGAAGAAGTTGATTAAAACCCTCATATATGACTTTGAGGCGTTCAAGACTTCAGTGGAAGAAGTAACTGGAGATGTGGTAGACATAGCAATAAAACTAGAACTAGAAGTGGAGCCTGAAGATGTGACTGAATTGCTTCAATCTCAGGATAAAACTGGAACAGATGAAGAGCTACTTCTTATGGATGAACAAAGAAAGTGGTATCTTGAGGGGGAATCTACTCCTGGTGAAGATGCTGTGAACGTTGTTCAAATGACAACAAAGGATTTAGAATATTCCATAAACTTAAACTGATAAGCAGCAGGGTTTCAGAAGATTAACTCCAATTTTGAAAGAAGCTCTACTGTGGGTAAAATGCTGTCAGACAACGTTGCATGATACAAAAATATTTTGTGAAAGGAAGAGTCACTCGATGTGGCAAACTTCATTGCATTATTTTAAGAAGTTGCCACAGCCACCCCAACCCTCCGCAGCTACCATCCTGATCAGTCAGCAGCCATCAACATCAAGGCAAGACCCTCCACTAGCAAAAAGATTATAACTTGCTGAAGGCTTCAAGATTTTTTTAGATTGTTAGCATTTTTTAGCAATGAAGTATTTTTCAATTAAAATATGTACCTTGTTTTTAAAGACATAATGCTATTGCATACTAATAGACAATAGTATAGTATAAAATAACTTTTATATGGACCGGGAAGCCAAAATACTATGTGACATCCTTTATTGTGATATTTGCTTCATTGCTGTGGTCTGGAACCGAACCTGCACTACCTCTAAGGTGTGCCTGTACAGAAAAGGCAACCCCAAGCCCAGATGTTACTGAGTGGCTACATTAGCCTACCTTGGCTCTGTATATCTCTACACTGCATATCATGTGAGACAGTAAATGGCCTATTGCTTAAGCCATTGTAGGCTTAAGCCTAAGAACATTTTTAGCCCAGGGCTAAAAGAAATTGGGCTTGATAGAACTTTACTATGGTAAGTGTATTAGGCCATTCTTGCATTGCTGTAAAGACTGGGTAGTTTATGAAGAAAAGCGGTTGAATTGACTCCCGGTTCTGCAGGCTGTGCAGGAAGCATGACACTGGCATCTGCTTCTAGGGAGGCCTCAGAAATCTCCAGTCATGGCAGTAGGTGAAGTGGGAGCAGGCACCTCATACGGCGAAAATAGAAGCAAGAAAGAAAGATAGCGAGGTGCCACACACTTTTAAGCAGCCAGATCTCATGAGGAGTCACTATTCTCATGGAGGACAGCCCCAAGGGGATGATATTAAACCATTCATGAGAAACCACCCCCATGATCCAATCACCTCCCACCAGGCCCCACCTCCAATACTGGGAATTACAATTCAACACAATATTTGGGCAGGGACACATATCTGAACTATATCAGAAAGGAAAGATAAGATATGAAAATTTTATTTTAAAAATGCTTAGTTTGCTTTCCACTTTTTTTTAGCAAAATTAAAGGGATGTGACTATGAAATGCTGCTGTTGTTGTTTTCCAAAACTTATCAAAACTTCCACCCTTGCTCCTCTGTAGTCTATTTATATCACAGTAGGCAGAGTAATTCCCCTAAAATGTGAGATCCTGTCACTTCTCTTCTTTGGCTCCCCTAACTCAATGTTAAAGCTAAAGTGCTAACCATGGCTGCAAGGCTCTTACAACCTCACCTTCACCACCTTACCTCTCTGACTCCATGTCCTACAATCTGTCAACCATTCAACTAAGCACTCAACCAACCACTAGCCACCTCACTGTTCCTCAACTTTGCCAAGCACATTCCTGCTTCAGGACCTCTGTTTGAATGTTCATCCCCTTAGCATCTTTGTTACTTACGTCCTCCCTTTAGAGTCTGCTCAAATGTCACCATCTTGGTAAGGGCCAACCTGACAACATTGTTTAAAATCGGAACTCCCTTCCAGCTTTCCAAATTTCTCGTACTTTGCTCCTATACAATCTTAAACCATGATAGATCCTTTACTTATTTTGATTGTTCATTTGGTCTGTCTCCCTCCACTAGAATATAAACTCAGCAGGAAAATAAATTTCCTCTACTTGGTTCATTAATGTATCCCCAGTGCCTGAAACAGTGCCTGATGCTTTGTGGTTGGTACTCAATAATTATTTGGTGACTAAATTTATAAATTCAAATAAATGTTTTTCATTTCAAAGTAAGCACTTTATTAGGCTGTATACATATTCCCATGTATACATATTCAAAAGGTATCACATCATTATTTACTGAATTTGTTGAAAATAATGCTTTCCTTTGAGCTGGAGTTGCAAGGTTAAAAAAAAAAGAAAGAAAATAATTATTTTTAAAAAATAAATCTGATTTCTGGGACAATCCAAAAGTCATGCAAGAGCCAAATCTGATGAACACATTCTGGAGCAAAATGTTAAAATCCCAAACCTGTTTTCCTGCTAAGTTACTGCATTTGAGTGGGTAAGGAAAGGTAAAAAAACATAATGTGTTTGATTTTTCTAGGAGGCAGTAAACCAACTCTGAGCATAATTTCAAAGAGGAGTTCTAAAAATGTACACCAATAACTAGTTGCAGAATAAGTACTATATGTTACCATTTTTGTTTTTAAAATAGAAATATTTATTTCTATATGTCTGTGTGTATGTGTGAATGAATTTCTTCCAACCTGTCTGAAGACTTTCATTTTTGCCCCCATTACATTAGAGGCATCTTTCAAAAGTGAAAATCAAATTCTGATTCCCCTTCCCTATTTAAGAACCTTCAATGGCCTCTCATTGTATTTAGTAACTTCCCACCTAGCCCTCCCTGGCATGATCTGGCCCCTGTTCCCCATCCTCCTTTCAGAACTCGCACTTTGGCCACAAAGTGCCAACCATAGAGGCAGCCTTTTCAGTTCCCTTGGCTCTTTGTACTTGCCATTCAGTCTGCCTAGAAGGCTCTTCCCATAAAGATTCAAGACTGATTCTTTTTTTTAATCATTCAGATCCCACCTCCATATATAAAGAAACCTTCTGAGGCTTGGTTTTATTTATGTTTTATTTGTTTCCTTGCTGTGATCTTTCCCCTTCAACTAAAACATAAGCCCTCTGAAGGGAGGGTCCTTGTTGGTCATGTTTGCCTCTGTAGCCCCAGCTCTTCAGTGCCTGAGATAATGATGAGATTGAGGGCCAAAAAGATGAAGAGCTGACACCTCATCGGAAACCACGGAGGCCAGAGCCTGTGGAATGACATATCCAAAATGCTGAAAAAAAAGAAAAGTTAACCAAGACCTTCTAGCAAAACCATACCTCAAGAACAAAGGAGATATTAACACATCCCCAGATAAACAAAAACAGAATTTGTTGGTAACAGACCTGCCCTACAAGAGCTTCTAATGGGAGTCAATCAGGCTGAAATGAAAGGACTCTAAGCAGTAACTTGAACCCATGCAAAGAACTAAAGAACACAGGTAAAGATAACTACACAGGTAAATATTAAAAAGGCTGGGCGTGACAGCTGATGCCTGTAATCCAAGCACTTTGAAAGGCTGAGGCAGGAGGATTGCTTGAGCCCAGGAGTTTGAGGCTACAGTGACCTATGATTGTGCACTGCATTCCAGCCTGGGCAACAGAGCAAGGCCCTGTATCAAAATAACAACAACAGTAATAATAATAATGAGATTGGGAGGAAGGCAGAAAGGAGCAAAGGAACATTTGTCTTACCTTTTATTAACTTGTTATATGAATTTTTATAAGCATGTATTATAGTGATCTTAAAATATTTTAATTTTGCTGTAATAAATAGGCTCTGATTTTAATATGCATTAAGCTAATGACCCACACTTTATTCTACTCATATGTTTTCCTCAGGAACAAGTGTTTCAAGTACCCCAGCCAGCATTCAGGCCACAGTGCTTCTACTAACATGCATATTCACATTTGGATAATAATGGGCCAACTTATAAAGGCTTTCTTCTGTAATGCATACCATCTGGGTTATTTCAATAGGAGCAACAATTTCTGGATCTGGTAGAGAACATTTCCTGTTAGGGCCTTATGCTGTAACAGATGAGAATATGGGCTGAGTCACCTCTGCTTAACGGCCCCACTTTTATTAATTCTGTGTTCTGGCCAGGACTACTTTTCCAGAAATAACAGAATGAATAAACAAAGTCTTTCTGAATACTGTGCTAGGCACTTTCATATCCATGGCTTCATTTTATTAGCAAGACCAACTTTAGGCTGTTTATAATTTACTGCAAAACAGTATGGGGCAGAGTCCAAGGGCCAATAGACTTCAGAGTCTTCTCAGTGGGCTAGAATTATCAGGGAGTACTCCATGGAAGAGAAAAATCTAGACAAGGGCCTTGGGGCAATCTTGACTCTGCAAGCTTCACAATAGTTCTGTGAGTTAAAAAAGCTTCGAGACCAGACTGCCAGCTCTGCTTTCTGACTTCTAAAACATGGCCTTAAACTTAGCTGGGATTGACTCCTCTGACTATCTTAGTGAATTTCTGCATCATGCTGCATTTCCAAAGATGATTCATTTCTAGCTAATCCCTTTGGATTTGGGCCAGTAGTAGTAGTAGTTGAAATGACAGTATGTGCCACTTACAAAGTGCTGACTGAGTTTGCAGGAAAAACAGACCACTGCTGTTCACTCTTCCTCCCACCTCCAGCCAGGTGAAAATCTCCAGAAAAGGAAACTCTCCCTCCTCCATCCTGCCATTTCCCCACCCCACTACCACCCAACCCTGTCATACACAAACACACAGATCAGCAGACAAATGCCTGGGTGTTCCATTCTCCTGGGTGTTACATTCTTAGTACTTGAGTTTTTTGACTGATCTGCTGAGTGTTTTGCCCCATGATTTCTTCTAAAAGGACTCTTTTTGAGTAAGAACACCTGATGAATTTTATCAAGAGCTAACACATTAGTTCCCAACTCTCCAAATGTCCCAAAAGTGATTTATTAGTTTTAAATATGACATGTGAAATTTGATGATGCATACATTAAACAGTTGATAAGGTATCATCATAGAAAGGTGGTCAGGGTACCAAAGAGAGTAGTTTTCAAACTGTATTTCCAAGAGAGAAATATATCACCTTTAGTAAATGCAGTGTGCACATATGCAAAGCATGGGTGCACACACACACACACATGCACGCACACATGATAGGTAATTGTTTTAAGGATTTAGGTGGACTGTCCAAAATTCTGATATAACATTTCAACCGTGTTAACCCAAGTTCTTGACATAAACTCATCTTCATCAGTATCCAACAATACCAAGTATCATATAACTTTCATAGATTTACTGAAAACTTGTGGGTCTCATCACACAGCCTATAACATTTCACTTTTTAAAAAATCACCAGCAAACATACCACTTCTCGGGTCTCTCCTCCAACTATTTTGTGTTTGATCAATTCCTCTTCCTTTCCAGCACACACACACACACACACACACACACACACACACACACACACACACACACAGAGAGAGAGAGAGAGAGAGAGAGAGCTAACCTTGCTGACTCCAGAGTCAGCCTCTAAACCTTTCTCACACAGAGCAATTTAGCTCAGTCTACTTTTCTAAAGTTGCAAATTTAAACCCAGAGTCTTATTCAGCCAACAAAGTTTGCTCTAAAAAAAATGGGGGACTATAATTGACCCAAAATGTCTTCCAGTTATACTGAAGTCTCTTTAAAAACTACAGAACACAGAGATCCAGCATTAATTTGAATAATCTTAATTGATTTACTTCTGTACCTAAGCACCTTTTTATTTCACATAGTTCTAGTTTCCCTCTTCCTGTTTAAAATTGATCTCACTGGTTTAATAAATATTTATTGATTAACTATGTGTCAAGCACTGGGAAATATAAGGAAAGAAAAGATCTCTGCCCAAAACAGGAACTCAGTCTCCTAGGACAGAGTAGTGAAACTGTAAGTATTGCAGAGAAGAAGTAGAGTGTGCCATGTGCACATAAGTCAGACTGCCTAGACAAATCAGCTCAGCCACCTGGGTCCATGTTGATAGCACTGAGCTCCCGAACCAACATGGGGCCACCTTCCTCTGGGCATTCTGTTTAGTAAACAATAAATGCTTTGAGTTCTAAAATGCTACTAGGTTGTCTGTACTTGCAGCCAAAAGCATCCCTGATAGTACACTGAAAAAAGGACATTCATGAAGGGACCTGAGGCTATGATATTTCATTTCATTGGTACAAATATGCTTAAGTGTCACAGATGGAAACAGTCAAGTGAGCAAAAAAAGTCGGTGGGAAATGAAGTATACAAGTTGTTACAGAGCACTGCATGAATGGAAAAATTAAATAAGAAACAGGAAATATGTGGGGCTCTTTATACTTTATATTATCAGCATATATCTAAGATATGAACATTTTTCTGAATCATATCTTTTTTCTTTGCTAATTAGGCCAGACAAATTAAAATATATTGATAAATACAACTTTTCACAAAATGATTTTTTCCTTTCTGAACTTTTCAGGCCACAGCACTATGTTTTCTTGCTAGTACTTGCTTTATGTAATAGATATTTTCCAGGAAAAGTCGTGTGTAAATAATGCACTTATAAATCAAATCATATTCTAAATGTACTAGCGAAGCTAGATGTTTAAAAGAAAACTATGGTAAGTCTTTTTGCATGATGAATAACACCTTTGTAGAACACATAGTCTCTTTATCATTTATCTATTCTATAAGATCATATTTTAATATGCTGGATTTCCTTTCTTTCCTTACCTATTATTTAAAATCAGACTTTTGTGCAATTATTTTAATATAGAGTTTTCTGTAATGCGAATCACACTACAGAAGGCTAAGATGTTGCAAACAGTTCATATGTTTTTAATCTGTAATTCTCAATTTAATTTTTATCTTGTTTATAAATTTCCATTTGCTTTCATTATTTGTATTTCACTAGGCAAAGTTTCTTTTTCTTCATTCTCAGTGAAGAAGAAATCTGAAGGCTTGATTCCTGATGGATTACACTTTCTGCTTTGTAAACCTTTATCAATAATGTCATCAAGTAATTGCTCAAATTGAAATATAGTGAAATAGAATCCTCTATGTACTGAGTAAAACACCCACATAAAATTTTAGATTTGAAAATCTTTGATGTCAATTAAAATATACTATGTTTTTAAATAACAGTTTAAGACTTAAATCTTATATAAGTCTGCCTGTCCCTTTAAGAAACGAAATCACGTCTTGCTTGCTGGGCTCTCTTGGATTTATTTTATCTTAGCAGCTGTTCCTGAAGTCGATGTTATTCAGATGCGGGTTTTTAAGCTCTTTGTTGTGTTTTTCAGCTTACTGTATATGCTATCGAACATAAAACCCAGATTTAGAATGAGGTAGGGAGGGGGACAGCTAGAAATGCTAGAAAAAATAAAATAATATTGGGAAAAGGACCTCTAATTTTCATGTAATAAAACTGTTGAACATGATCTGCTTGAAGCCCCAGTAAAAGCTGCAAGGCAAAACCCCTGAACCTCTAAGCACCAAAAGTTGGATGATATATTTAGTAGTAAGTGTGTGTGTGGGGGGGGGTGGGGGTTGGGGAGAAGTATCTGAAATGAAATAATGGAAATTTCTGTGGTTATAAAAGGTAAGGAAAGAACACAGTGAACACTTTTGCTACTTTGGAAATAAGCATACTATAAATTTTGCTTAACATATGCTACTTTGATCTAGAAAGAAAAATTTTACAACTTATACACCTCTTATATCATTTATTTTTGTTTCATTTATTTTTCAAGAGGCAGGATAACATAGTCCTTAACAGTGGAAACTCTGGGTAAGAATATTGGCTCTGCCACATACTTATGGTGGAAACTTATACCTTTTTGTTTAGTTTACAAATTAAAGCAGTTAGCTTAGGTAATAGCAAAGTACATATCAAACTTATGTGGGGGTTATTGTCCTAATTTTTATGTCATATATAATCATTTCCTTGTACTAATGTGATGATTTATTGCATGATTACTAATTGTCAAGCACTGCTCTAAGTACTTTACATATTAGCTCATTTAATCCTCACAACAACCTTCTTAGGTATCATTATTGCTTTCATTTCCAGATGAGGAATTTAACAGGGAGAGGTTAAATAATTTGCACAAGATTATATATATAGTTAGTTAATTTCAGAGCTAGGATTTACCGAGTTCTCCTTTTAGCCACCATGTCATTACCAATCTGTTTAGGACTGCTTAATCTCTTTTGCTCTCTGTCATTTTTATTCAAAAGATGATGATTAAGAAACGGACATCTTCAAACTGGGATAAACCTGCACTTCCCCGCAGCTCCCAACCCCCAGCCCCTCCCCCAAGATACATGAAGACTCTCCTCCAGTGGTGCAGAGCAGGATAGTTTCAAGAGAATCAATTCCATGTCCTTGATCCTTTTCTACGCTTTCCTAAAACCGATCTGCCTGAGAATGTGCATGTGGTCTCCATTCCATTCCCCTTTCACAATGGCCATTTCCCACTTGGCAAAAAGTCATTCTTCTCACAGATCCCACATCTTACTAGAGTGTATTGTCCCAGGTGCACACAATATGGCAAAGTAGAAGCCTGTGCGGGCATTGAGAAAGAGAACGCCTGTGATGACTGGGGAGCAAAATTGCCACCTGATAGAGCATTAGAAATAATGTAAATAATCTATCATTGCATGATATTTGGCATATAATTGAAAGGAATTCACAGAATTGAGTAACACTGCTACAACAAGTTCTCCCATTCCCATCTACTCAATTTCTGTGAACAAAGTACCTTAGCATTTATATCTACAAAGACAGAGTCAAACACATGAATACAATTGGGGAGGAGCTTTGTTTCCTTCTAGCTATAAATAATATTCATCCATCACTACCTTGGAAAAGAAAAAGTTCCTTCCATATAATCAATGCATACACTTTTATTTTTTGTTAAATATACTTGTTAATTTATAATATAGTTACTGTTTGATCAATTGTATATTACTAATAATTATAAGGATAACTCCACCCAGAGATACTTTTAACACCTCAATCTTTAGAGTCACAAGAAAGTAAAATTATATAAATATGTAGTTATAATGTCTGTTGTAAAGAATGACATACTGATCAATAAAAATTTTTCAAGCATGAAAATATCAACATGATAACATTCTGTGGGGAAAATGCAGTGAAAATATGAGTTCAAGAAGAAAAGGGAACAATGCAAATTTTCTGACTGTGAAAGAAGAACTGGTTCATGTATATTTAAAATGAATAATGTTGAGTAACAAATCACCGTGGGATTTAGATTCTTCAGGGTAAATTTAAAAGAGTGAGCTAACAGCTTTATTTTAAAATATCATGAATTGCAATATGCTGGAAATAACACCCTTTGCAAACTTGTGATGAAAAATTATACTGTAGGTGGCAATAAAAGATGTGGAAGGGATGCAAGGTTTTCCAAGGTTTCGCAGAGCAGCATGTGGGCAAAAATGTTTGAAGACCACTGATCTTGAAGACCACAGAAGATCTCCACAGGATGCTTAAAATCTAGTCCAGATAATTATTAACACAAACATTTTACATAGAAAAACATAGATCCCATGTGAAATAAAATGCTATTGGTTTCTGCTTTGAATGCCCAAGGAATTCAGCCAAATGCTTACAAATGAGAACTGGGCTTTGAGCTGTGGCAATCACTTTTTCCTGTGCTATCCTTTTATCTCTTCAGTCACTGTGTATAGCTATGTCTGCCACATTGTGAGTTTCAGGAACACAATAACACAAACATAGCCTTTAAGATAAAGAAAAGTGCCACAAGATTTCCATGTGAATTCCCTGTCAGTATATGCCTGGCCTGTAAGCTATTGGAGATATATGTTTTCCTAACTCCAGTTTAGGACCCAAGACCTGATACATGAAATTGTTCCTTGGAGGTTAAACTGGCAGTTTACTGGAATTGGAAATTTCCTGACAATCCAGAGCCCTGGAACAAAATAAGTAGATATAATAGGCATCATGTCTGCTATCTTAGAGTGACCATCTTATAACTTACCCTAGTACAAAAGTTGGACTCTGGAAAGTTTGGGTTCTCATTTAATGCTGCTAACTAGTTGTGAAATCATTAGTAAATAACTCTGGGCTTCATTTTCTTTTTCTGTGAAATAAATGTGAATACTTACATTTATTTTGCTTCCCTTCTGCACAGAAACTCTATTTGTTCACGAATTCAACAAATCTCTATGAGCCCTTCCTCTGTACTGGCACCGTGCAAGGGGCTGGAGATTCCAAATTGAGTTAGACAAAGTCTCTTCCCTCAAGGAGCCTCTGGGCTGTGAGGATGGTAGGACTGCTTGCTTGTTTGCAGATACTTAACAATATAAAGTGATAAACGCTGCCACCGAGCTGTGTGGAGGGCATGATGGTAGCTCAGTGGAGATGAGCATCAAGGTAGAGAAGACTTACAGAGGAGGAAACACTTGACTCTTTCTTTCTAGGGGTCTATTTAATGCTTAAATTTTTTTTCAATTCCATTGCTTAAAAAAATGAAGTAATATATTCATAGAGTATAAAATTCAAAATGTACAAAAGGACATGCTGTGAGAAGCTTCTCTTCTACTCCTCACCAAGCCACCCAGTTTCTCTTCTCAGGAACAACCAGGAGTGTCTGTTTCTTGTTTATTCTTTCAGGGACTTGAATTATTTCTTAAAAGATGTATGCAAGGTACTCAAGTGAAAAAGAGGAAGCTGAGCATTGCAGACAAAGAGAACAGCATGAGACTGTTGGGGAGTAGGACCCATGAGGCGGAAGGCAGTGAGAGAGTCCTCTCCAGGAGGGGCCTTACCATGCTAAGGAATTTGGATCTGATCCTGAAGCATTAGGAAAGCCATTAGTAGATTTAGAGCAGAGGATCTGCCTGATGAAATTAATGATTTACAAGGAACACTCTGGCAGAAATGTGAAGAATGGATTGGAGAGAGGCGAGATCAGTGAAAGATACCAGTTAGGAGGCAATTGTAATTGTCCAAGGAAGAACTAATGAGGACTTAAATCAAGACAGAATCGGTGTGGATTGGAAGGGGGGCCAACTCTGGTTGTTAAGGAAGAAGGATGAACAGCATTTTTGGATCAATTGGATTCCAATGAATTTAATTCCTGTTCTCTCCTTATCTAAGAATTGCCTAAGAGTCACATGCCAAGAATAATCAGAATTAATTGCCCTCTCCCTTTAAGCAGTCACCAAGGCACCCAGTCTTGTCTTAAATATCTAGCTCAGTGACCTTAAGATATCTAAGCCTCCCAGGTCAAATTTCATCACTCAAATCTCTATTCCCCGCTGTCATCAGAAAAACCCCTCCAACCACACTCCTCTCTGAACAGTCCCTTCACCTTGCAGCTCGAAAGGAAACTTTCCCCTGAGCACTCGGAATTCCCTGCAGTGGTGGCCAGTTTTCTCTCACCTGTCACTTCCCACTGTTCCAGAGGTGATGCAGATGTCTTCCCTACTCCTCACTGTCACTTCCAAACTGCTGTCCCTTCCTTGCCCTCCCCCATCGGGTCCTTTGCCACTCATGCCATCAACCTGCTCCTCCCTACAGGCCTCCTGGCTGTAGCCCTCCCCTGTCCTCCTGATCACTACCACACATTTCTTGGAAATGTCAACACCAAGTTTATTGTCTTTCTCTCTTGCATTCTTTTGTCATTATTCCTGGTGATTTCAGTATCTACACAGATGGCCCATCCAAGCCCATGGCTTCTCCATTCCTCTATCTCTTTATTCCAGTGCATCTGGTCTTCCACCATTCCCCTTCAGCCACCATCCTCCATGGTTAGCTGCAGACCTTGTCATTTACAACAATTGCATTCTCTCACTTATATTAGTTTCAAGCATCTCATTTGTATATTTTCAGCTCATGCTTGTACCCCAGCTCAAAAAATTCTTTTACTCCACTAGGTACCTTGTTCATGTGACTCCTGACCCTGAAGGGGATAGGGGTTTAAGTAATGAAATAAGGTCACTGAGATAAATATTTAAGACAAGACCGGGTGCCCTGGTGGCTGCTTAAAGGGAAGGGGGCAATTAATTCTGATTATTCTTGGCACTTGATGCTTAGGCAATTCTAAGGTAAGGAGAGGACAGGAATTAAATTCATTGGAATCCAATTGATCCAAAAATGATTTTCACTGTTTATCTCCATCCCTCAAAACCCATTCTCTCCTTGCCTGGCTTAGATTCTGTGGTCCTTTATATAATCACTCCTTTAAATATGCTCTTAGCTTTCTTGGCCCTGTAATATCCCATTATGTTATTCTGAACAAAGTCCCAACTCTGGTAATAGTTCCATCTCTACCTTCTGTGCTCCTTCTCCTGAGAATCTAAATGTGTCTCAGGAGAAACATGGTTACCCTGACCTCAAACATTAAGTCGGCCCTCAAAGCTGCTTGGTGGTCCTTCAGCATTTTCCTAGTCAATTTATTCTTTGACTCTCCCAGACTATTTCATTCCTTCTCCAAACTCCATCACCCTCCTCATCAATTATGAATCTTATTTCTCTCAGAAATATATAAGCAACAGAAGAGGCTCTTAGTATCACATTTACCCCCTTCTTTCCTCTCTTCCTCTATCCACACTCTGCTTTTCCTTCTGTTGCAATGGATGAGCTGCTCACCTTTCTGCCTAAAACCATCAACTTCACTTGTGCACAGGATGCTCCCTCTTTATCTCACTCCCATTGTTACCCATTGCTTTCCTATATTATATGTTCAAATTTTTATCTCTCAGTTGAATCATTCCCACTAGCAAATGAACATCATTTAAAAAAAGCCTACCTTAACTCCATAGCTCCTCCAACTACCACATCATTTTTCTGCTTCTCTTTATAGAAAAACTCCTTAAAAGATTGTCAATGCTCAGTGACTCCACTTCTTTACTAATTAGGCTTACATTCCACCATGGAAACCTCTTTTGTCAAGTTCATGTTACCAAATCAAATGGTCAGTCATAAGTCCTCAACTTCTCATCTTACTCAGTGAGTGACACAGTTGAAACAATTTTTTTCACTTCATTTACATACCCCAGCAATCTCCTGTTTTCCTCTTTTCTCATTGGCCATTCTTCTGTTTATCTTGCTCATTCTTATTCTTTGACCACTAAAGTTTGGAGTATACAGTAGACACACTCTAAGGTGAGGCTCAATGGATCATGCCTTGTATAATACACACCCCTTAAGTGTAAGTAGAACTTGTGTCTTGCTTCTAGCCAATAAAATATGGCAACAGGGGAGGGACTTTGCAGATATAATTAAGGTCCCAAATCAGTTGAATTTGAGTTGACTAAAAGGAGATTATCCTGAGTGGGGCCTGACCGTAATTCTTTTCTAAGAATGGTAGCCTAAATTCCTTTTAGGCATAAGCTCAGGGGTTATTTTTATGGTGGGATGGGAGATGGGTGAGGGTAAGCTGGGATAGAGAGTTTGAAGAAGTGATAAGGGTTTAGAATAGCTGTTGTAAAGAATGAGTTTCACAAGAATGCCAAGTCCTTATAGCAGTGGTCTACATGGAATATCTGGCATCCTCTAAGTAGTTAAAATTCCTAGGCTTTTACTGAATAAAGGATATACAGTAAAGAAAGTAATAAATGGTGGCTTAATTAAATACATGTTATCAAATTCCTCATCTTGAACCATTTTAAAGGTTGTAGGTTATGTCCTTTAACTTGGCAAATAAACTAAACCCTTATATACAATTTATTTTTATAACATAAACCTTTCTATTGCAGTGTATTTTTCACTGTGATCCTTCCAGCCCTGATGGTATCCAAATTACCTATCCTTCAAACTTGGACTTGAAGGCAAACAAGGCTTCGATATTGAAGGCAGAGGAAAAAGGAACTCGGAGCAGTGAGAGGAGCATGAATAAAGGCTGGTAGCGACGGCTCTGCTTGCATTAGTCAGAATTCCTTCTGTTGTAGGTGTCAGGAATTCAACTTAAACCAACTTAAGCAAAAACTGAAATTGGATTTCAAAACTGGGAATACTAGAGATGGATCTGGTCTTAGGCATGATTGGATCTAGCATTTCAAACAGTGTCACTGGGACCCCCTGCAGTAGGACTGCCCTTACACTCTGGCAAGCAAGGCCCCTCTGCTGAGCCCTGAGCCTCAGGGAGTCCTGTCACTTGGACATCCTTGGACACATTTTCAAGTCTTCCTTTGAATTAGCAGTGCCAATGGGGCAGAGTACCCTGGGCTAAGACCAGATACCATATGCATCCCAGCTGCTGGAAACATCTTCATCAGAATGTTTTAAGTCCTGTCTGTGACTGGGATTGACCAGGGCCAGTAGAGTTACCTGAACCTGGATCAGGATCCAAGTGGGCCCCTTCCCCTGTTTTGTGCTTTTGGGGTGGTCTCAAACCTGCTATCCTGTGTGTGGAGTCAAACAGATGCCCCAACTAGCTCCAGGACTCATACTCCTAGGGTCATCCTTAGGTTCTGAGGCTGGGCCCCAGTTCCGGGAAGGCAGCCTGATGAGAATCATTCCCATTGGCCAGAGTGTTAATTCTTTTGTGGGATTGTGTGAGATTGGGATGCCAGAATGATGCTGACACACTGATTTTGGATGACACTCAGTCACTTCAGACAAGATGAATTCAGGTCTTTGGGGTACTAACAACTCAAGTTAACCCTTAGTTTGAGCTGCACATATGGGCTCTTGGGTCACCTGTTGTCCATCCAAGTTTCAGCCACAGTGCTGCTTTCAGGTTATAGTACTTGAGGGTGGCTTGGTGATGGCAGACATCCTTTACCTTGTGCCCCCACCACTGGCACCCAGGGCAGTCATCCCACCCTCTCTGCTGACTCCATACTTTGGGTCAGGCAATCCTCCAGGGTGGCCATGCCTCTTCTCTGAGTACTTTTGAGATAATTACCATGCAAAGCCATTGGATCATTAGGATCAATGTCCACACTTGCCCCAACTTGATAAGGGCTGTGCTCTTCTAAGTCAGTCTTAAGCTGTGCTAGACTAAGGGCATGCATTCCTTGTGAAAATGAGACCACACTTATCTTCTACTCCACGAGTTCATTGCCTATCCCCTGTTGTCAGAAGTATATGGAGGACATGGGTGTGGTCAAGATAGAAAGAGGTCACATTCTACAAATGGAGTGATTATGTCCAAAAGAACTCAAGAGAAAATGTAGTTGAAATATGTGCTGTTATGTTTATGCTTTAAAGTTACAAATGGTAAGTATAACATGAGAAGAAAAACAAGTGATCATTCATATTTTCCTGCATACACTGGATAAGACTTGTGTTCGTGGCCATCATGCATGAAGCACAGTAACCACCTCTGAGAGAGTCATTGGAAGTCACTCTTCATGTGTGGCACCATGGATGATGCAGCTTAATGAGCAATCATGCAATTAGCATTAAGTAAATTGTATTGGGAAATTCGCAGGGGCCAGAACATCTATATCCTTCCAGTACGAATGAGGTTCTAAAGAGCCATGACAGTGTGAGTAATGAGAGCACGGTCACCTTTTTCTCATGGTAGAAGATGTACTGTTAGTGAGGAACAGTGCATTCAGAAATAACAAAAATGAAGCCATGATTCCTGAACCTAAGCAGAAAAGATGGTATCTGGACACTACAAAGACTCTTTATGTAAACAGATTGGACCATAAACAAATACAAAAGTACCTCTTCTCTACCCAGTATTCTAAATCTTCAGCAATAAACCTCTATACATTACATGGGCCCAAGAATTTTGTAAAACGTGTTTGGATCCAGTGATTTATATAAACAGGGGTCCTGCAAAAATTCTTTGCCTGAATTCTCTGTCTCTGTCTCTTACATGTGCCTCCTTTGGTACATTTGGCCTCATTCTGTCCTGCAGACAAGATTTCTCCATAAGGCAGGGAGTGTGGATGCAAGTGTGGCTCTTGGGTTATATCTTAATGAGAGATGAGAATGATATCTATTCCAGAAAATTCTGGAAGACATTGATTGTTTCAGTGGCGGGGGGGTGTGCCCACTCCTTGAATCAATTATTGTGTCCGGAGGAATGTAATCAACAACTAACCTAGCTTGGATCACCTACTAAAATCCTCTGCCAGAGGCAGCATTAACATACTTGATAGTCCCACCAGAACCACATGGAGTAAAGGAGGAGCAGTTGAGGGACTAGTGCTGTTTCCAAAGTAAAAGGGAGGCAGGACAAAGGAAAACAACAGATGCACCTACTAAAGTTCCTAACATGGAATAGGAACCTGGAAAAGTGGGTGGCAGACGAAACCCGGAAGACATGATTGTAGTATATTTAGATTACAATGTATTTCATAACTAAAGTGGAGTTGGTGAAATAAACTAAAATGCCCTGTCCAATCATCTATAACGTTCATAAAATAATATTAAGCAAAGGCTCTATAAAGTAAAACTCAGGAAATGATAAAAGGAGTCTAAGTTTTATGTTCCAAATTGGCAACACATGAGACACCTACCCAAATCAGAACAATATGATTAATAATCTTTGCTTTTCATTTTTATAAGAAATAAACCTTTAAATTCACCTTCACACTTTCCTGAAAACCTAGTTTAGAAAATCAAACACACAAATGCGTTCAGTTATTCAAACAAGCATGGCCTTAAGAAGCAAAAATAAGCATTTGAAGTTTTTATCTATACAGAAAAGTTTTGCTATATCATTTATTTAGTGTAAGACTAATTGTTGATAATAAAATGTCTTTTTAAAAAAACTATGCATAAAAAGCAAAACAAACAAAATAAATAACACAGGAAACTCTGTAAACCCTGCTGAAGGTTTTGAGAGGCTAAGTTTTCAGAACTGCTGTTTGCATTTCTAAAATATGATGAACTATTTATAATCCCAACATTTCCAGAATTCAGCATATTTAAATGCTGCTAACTGACTTTACAAGCCAAGGGATTTAAGCTAGAACTGCAAGCAACATGGATAGAATAGTCAAACGCAGACCAGATGGCTCTTTAATGCAAGTGAAGTAGGCTGGTGGTAATGAAGTGTTATCTAAGGATTGGGAAAAAAAAAACAACCACACACTTCAAAAATATCTCTCTTATTCAAGAGTTTTGGTGCCTGAAACTCCACCTTTAGCAAATGGGGAAGGCAAAGGACATATGTTGCTTTTTGCCTGCCCAGCATCTATTCCTCCTACTGGTAACAAATCCAGTTTTGTTTTTCCTTAGGAAACTCCTTTCTCCAGCTCTTCTTCTCTTTTCTTTTTTCTTTTCTTTCTCTCTTTTTTTTTTTTTTTTTAAGAAACTATGTTGCCGAGGCTGGTCTTGACCTCCTGGCCTCAAACCATTCTCTCACTTTGGCCTCCTGAAGTGCTGGGATTACAGGCCTAAGTCACTGCATTTGGCCCTTCTAGCTTTTCTTGAAGCAATTAAGTGTAGTTAATTCTGATGCTAAATTTGGAAGTGGGCATCGTGAGAGGTAGTCTTGACCAATCAGAGAACTGCATCTTTCTGGCCTCAGCAAATGGTTAATGGACAGACATATAACCTGATGAGCTCCTGTTGTGGGATTATGGATGGAGGGACTGAGAAAGAGACAGTACTCCTTCCCTGGGAAAGCTAGCAGCAAGAGTGATATAAGCTTGGTTTGCCAGAGCTGTTCCGCCTTCTCCCCACCCACTCACTTAGACGAACCACTGTGGTGATGGGATTGGGGAACGCCTTTGTAGGCTTCTGCCTAGGCCTTAGAGTCAACCAACATGGCTCCCCAGTGACATTTTCTAGCTCTCTTAGATAACTAAGGATGATTCATTGACATCTGTAAAGCACTAACTTCCATGTTTTCCAAACAAATCCTAAAATACATGTTTCAGGAGAACCGTGTTACCCTATGTAAATGTGTGGTATTAATATTGCTGCTAATCCTCACACAAGAGGGAAAAAGAGATATCCATTTGTAAGGAATCACTGGAATTTCCTTATTTGTATCAGTCCTCTTGGAAAGAAGCTAAATGGATATTCATATTTTCCATTACAAAAGTAGAATATAAATACTGAATTTACTGTATATACAGTAAAGAAGTTCTGTATATTGGAAAGGTCTCAGAGTATTGTAATCAACAAGGACCTTTGAAACAAATCCATTTTGTTCCATCTTGGAAGTCTTCCATAGTGACTCACAAAGCCAACAGTGGGAAGAAAGGCATGGTAAGATTATTTCTCTGAGTTTATGTCTCTTCTCCCTCATTTCCAAATCTGGCAAGGTTCTAGAAGAAACCATCTACAGTGTGAGGGGAGGTGGCTTAACAGTGGGCCCATCTTATAAATGTTTAGGAGTAGAATGACACGAGTTTGTGCATATGTTTTGCTACTTCCGTTCCTACCTTCCCCCAAATCGCTTACTGTACACCTCCATTGAGACAGAGGATACTGTGTGACAGATAGTGCCCTAGGCCTCATGGATACAGCAACAAAAAAGACAGATAAAATTCTTATCTGGTGGAACTTATACTTTCTGTTGAATGCTACAGGGAGAAAACAAACAAATCAACCAACAAGGCAACTTCAGGTGGTGATCATAGTATGAAGAAAGTAAAATAAGGTGTGTGATAAAGAATGACGACCATGTGGGATACTTCAGGTAGGGTGGTCATTATAAAATTTCAGGGCAGAGCACTCCAGGTAGAGGGTACAGCAAGGGCAAAGGCCCAGAAGCCAGAACAAACTTGGCGTGTTCAGGGCATGGGAGAAGATCAGTGAGGGAGTATGTAGTGGTTTCCCATTGCTGCTCAAATCATCAGAAACTTAGTAGCTTAAGATAACACACATTTGGGCAGGGAGTGGTGGCTCACGCCTGTAATCCCAGCATCTATTCCTCCTTTGGGAGGCCGAGGTGGGTGGATCATGAGGTCAGGAGTTCAAGACCAGCCTGGCCAATATGGTGAAACCCTGTTTCTACTACAAATACAAAAATTAGCTGGGCGTGGCCAGGCGCGGTGGCTCACGCCTGTAATCCCAGCACTTTGGGAGGCTGAGGCGGGTGGATCACGAGGTCAGGAGATCAAGACCATCCTGGCTAACACGGTGAAACCCTGTCTCTACTAAAAAATACAAAAAATTAGCCAGGTGTGGTGGTGGGCGCCCGTAGTCCCAGCTACTTGGGAGGCTGAGGCAGGCGAATGGTGTGAACCTGGGAGACGGAGCTTGCAGTGAGCCGAGATTGCGCCACTGCACTCCAGCCTGGGCGACAGAGCAAGACTCCGTCTGAAGAAAAAAAAAAAAAAAAATTAGCTGGGCGTGGTAGAGTGTGCCTGTAATTCCAGCTACTCGGGAGACTGAGGCAGAGAATTGCTTGAACCTGATAGGTAGAGGTTGCAATGAGCTGAGATCGTGACACTGCACTCCAGCCTGGGTGACAGAGCAAGACTCTATCTCAAAATAAATAAATAAATAAATAAATAAATAAATAAATAAATAAAAATTTAAATATAACACACATTTATTATCTTACAGTTCTGGAAATCAGAAGTCCAAAATGGGTTTCCCTGGGCTGAATTCAAGGTGTCAGCAGGGCCATACTCCCTCCAGGGGCTCTAGGGAGAATCCCCTTTCTTGCCTTTCCTAGCATCTACAAGCCACCTGCATTCCTTGGCTTTGGCCCATTCCTCCATCATCAAAACCAGCAGTGTTGCAGCTTCAAATTTCTGTGACTGCCCCCTCTCTGCCCTCTTCTTTTCCTCAGAAAGACCCCTGTGGCTACACTGGGCCCATCCAGATAACCCAGGATAATCTCCCCACCTCAAGTTCCTTAATTTAAACAAATCTGCCCCTTTTGCCATGTAAAGTAACAGGTTCCAGGGATTAGAATGTGGACATTTTGGGGAGGCTATTATTCTAACTACCACAGAGTATGAAGGAGAAAAGTGGTGGGGAGTTTGAGCCTTAGTCGGCTAAGTGAGAGGGGAAGCCATCAGGGTAGAGACTTGATCTGCTATACATTTTTAACACAATCACTCTGAACGTAGTGTGGATAATGGAAGTAGTGATGCCAATGAGGGAGCAAGGAGACCAATTAGGAGGCTTTTGCTGCGGGTTCAAGGGAGAGATGATGGGGGCCTACCCTTTGGGAGAGCTGCTTGGCTTCTCTGTGGCTCAGAAGACTTATCATAAAATAAAGTTAATATTGCAGGGCAGTATTGAGTTAGCAACAATCCATGTAAAAGATTCAGTGTAGTACTTAATTCCAAATAGTCCTTAAGAAATGTAGCTATTATTTTTATTATGCTTTAAAAGTTAAGTTCTAATAAAGAATTTGAGCATTTAAGAAGTAGAAGAAATCTTCAGAATTAAGAAAATGAAACCCAGAGAGGAAAAGCAACTTGCCTAAGGATACCTCGTAGTTAGCAGACAGCGATCAAACAGAGCATCACAGACGAGTAAGGAGAAAGGGCCACTTTCTGTCCTTACAGTAACCAGGAAAGGAAATTCAGAGCTCAGCGGGAAGGGACTCAGGGAGGCTGATACCATGTAGCCATTACGCAAAAGACTTGTGGTAGGAAGGGATGTACAGATGGCACCCAAAGACCTAGTTTTAAATCCTATTACTTATTGGATATGTGATTTGGAGCAAGTCATTTAATCGCCCTTTACCTCATTAATTTCTCTTAAAAATGGGCACGACAGCACACTCCCCAGGTTGTCATGAAGTTAAAATGAGAAAATATAAAATAGAGCATTTTGTAAACTGCCAAGGCTATGAAGTTAATTATTATTATGCCTCTCCTCCCAGTAGCCTACTTTCCATTCCCTCAAACCTTTAAAGGCATGGGGACATGCTTCTTTTTTCAGTTGGGTAGCAAATCTCCTCTTTTCACAGGATTTTTTCCTGAGTGACAGCCTTCTGATGCTCCTGTCTAGATAATGGTTCCAGCTATGTTCACCAGTTTCTGCTTCTGAGTACATCATTATTTCCCTTCAAAAGTTGACATCCAAATGCAAAATATGCTTTCTCCAGTAATATGGTTCTGGGTTTTCATTTCTCCAAGTTTTTTTTTTTTTGCTTGCAAATTCATTTATTATAATGGAACTCAGAGGCAATAAAAATAACTGTACTCTTCAAAAAGATAGAATAGATTTGAAGCTATATGCAACTGGGAATTATTTATAGCAAAGTCAGTTTAAGGATGTATTTAGCTAACTAGCATATCTATGTCTTACACAATAGAGTTTGGAGAGGTCTTAGAGAGCATTAGAGATGACAGAGTTTTCAGGCGAAATAAATGGATATAAGCCAGTGCTGCTGTCACCCAAAAGGCCAAAGCTAAAATAGTAATATTGCCTTTCACTGTTCACACACATGAGCTACAGTGCTGCCAGCTTGTGGATGGCTGATCTGATTAGTAAACCGCAACTACCTGCTCTGAATACAACATGGCACTCCCCCTCCTCCACCTGTTTGTTTTCAAGAGTTCACAGCTGTGAGTATATCAAATGCTGTCTAGCATTAGGCCCACCTTGTTTCTCCCAGGGGAGGGCCCACTTGTCTGTCTTCTCTATGGAGGCCTGAATGGAGCTAAGTCAGCCATTCAGTACATCTAATCAGATGAAAGTCTATTCCCTGAGGGATGACCTCAATCCCACAGTGAATGAAGAAGGGATCAGCATATCGTGGATCCCAGGGCACCAGGCATTGTCTGGTAAACAAAAAGAAATTAGAAACACAGGGGTAGGACACAAAAGTCAAGACAGATAAATGCTTTATGTATGCTAATGTTTATCTTTGTTTAAATAAAGGTTTTTGAGACAAGTGGTGAGTCCCTGGGAATAAATGTCTGGTTAGACTACAGTGTGGGATGGAAAGGGAGAATGCTTGTTCAACAGAAACTGTGAGATTTAGATTTCATAGGTGAAAGCTCTAGAATCATTAAAAATAAAACAGACTTCCTCCTACCACCAAACCTGTGTTATACAACTGGTCTTGATTTTAGGCAGGGCTCCATTATATTGCAGGCATATGTACAGCCGAAAGGATGAAGAAAACAGACAAAAAAAAAAAATGAGACTAAAGATTAGCAGTAACTACAGGAATCAACAGTGGCCAGGGGAGGATGCTAAATGATATATGAAGATCAACAAAACCCAGAATGTAGAAAATTTTGCAGGACAGATGACCTAGATTTTTCAATAAATAAAATGCAAGAAAAAAATTAAAAGAGGAAAGGAAACCTATAGAATAAAAGAGACACAAGAGACATATCAATCAAATGCAATATGTGGACCAAGTCTGGATCTTGACTTGAAAAAATAAGTGTTAAAAAATCCATGAGACAACTCAAAATGGATTAAAGATTTAGAAATGTAAGGCCTGAAACTATAAAACTCCTAGAAAAAAAAGACATAGGGAAAAACTACTTGATATTAGTCTGAGCAATGATTTTTTGGATATGATACCAAAAGTACAGGCAATAAAAACAGAAATAAGCAAGGGTAACTACATCAAACTAAAAACTTCTGCACAGCAAAAGAAACAATAAACAAAATGAAAAAGCAACCTACAGAATGGGATAAAATATTTGTAAACTCTATATCTGACAAGTGGTAAATATTGAAAACATAAGGAATGTATACAACTCAATAGCAAAAAAACAAATAGACCAATAAAAAAATGGGCAAAAGATGGTCAGGTGCGGTAGCTCACACCTGTAATCCCAGCACTTTGGGAGGCCGAGGTGGGCAGATCACGATGTCAGGAGATCAAGACCATCTTGGCTAACACGGTGAAACCCCGTCTCTACTAAAAAATACAAAAAATTCGCCAGACTTGGTGGCGGGTGCCTGTAGTCCCAGCTACTCAGGAGGCTGAGGCAGGAGAATGGCGTGAACCCGAGAGGCAGAGCTTACAGTGAGCCGAGATTGCGCCACTGCACTCCAGCCTGGGCAACAGAGAGAGATTCCGTCTCAAAAAAAAAAAAAAAAAAAAAGGCAAAAGATCGTAATAGACATTTTTCTAAAGAAGACATACTAATGACCAGCATGTGTATGAAAAGGTGCTCAACATTACTAATCATCAGGGAAATGCAAATCATAACCAAAATGACATATCACCTCACATCTGTTAGGATGGTTATTATAAAAAAAAGACAAAAGATAACATGCATTGACAATGGTGTACAGAAAATAAAACCCATTTACATCATTGGTGGGAATGTAAGGCTATGGTAGTTATGGAAAACAGTATGGAAGTTCCACAAAAAATTAAAAATAGAACTACCGTATGATCCAGCAATTCCACTACCAGGTGTATATCCAAAGGATATGAAATCAGTATCTAGAAGAGACATCTGCACCCACAAGTTCATTGCAGCATAATTCACAATAGCCAAAATATGGAAAATCCTAAGTGTCCATCTACAGATGAAGCAATAAAGAAAATACAGTAACATGATCAGTGGAATATTATTCAGCCAGAAGGAAAAGAAAATTTTGACATCTGTGACAACACGGATAAACTTGGAGGACATTATACTAAGTAAAATACGTTGGACACAAAAAGACTAATACTGTATGATCTTGCTTATATGTGGAATCTATAGTCAAGCCCACAGAAGCAGAGAGTTGAATGGTGGTTGGCAGGGACTGGAAGTTGGGGAAAATAGGAAGATGTTGGTTAAAGGGTAAAAACTTTCAGTTATAAGATGAGTAAGTTCTGAGAATATAATGTACAGCATGGTGAATATAGTTAATAATAGTGTATTTTATACTAGAAATTTGCTAAGAAAATAGATCTGCAGTGTTCTTACTATTCCCCCCAAAATGGTAACTATGTGAGATGATGGATGTGTTAATTAAATCAACTGTATTAATCACTTCATGATACATACATATATCAAATCATCACATTATACACCTTAAATATATACAATGTTTGTAAATTATACCTCAGTAAAGCTGGGGAAATAAATTCATGAGAACTTTGGGAAGATTTGAACACTGGATATTTGACAAAATTAAGCCATATTTCTTAGAGACATATATTGAACATTTATAGATACAATGATATAATGTTCAGGATTTGGTTTAAAATATGAAACATGATTGTCCATAGTTGATCATTATTAAGGCTGGGAGATGGATACGTGGGAATTCTTTATGCTACCCTCCTTACTTCTGTATATGGTTAAAATTTTACATAATAAAAATTTTTTAAATGATCAGGCTTTGAATAATAAAACAGAAATTAGAAATACTTTGTAGTATTTTTAAGTATTTTTGTATAAGGATACTACGAATGTCAAATCAAAGTTTATGAACAGAGAAGCTCTTTTCTAAATGAGTTAATACACATAGAGCACTTAAGATGCTGGGTCCACTACATGCTGAGTGCTCAGGAAGGTTAACCATTGTTATTATTTTCTTTAATGTAATGCATCTAAATCTTCATCTACAAACACAAGTATATAAGGAACAGAGCTTTATTTTTCTGCAATTGGACATAATCCCTTTTTCAATCCCACTTTCTCCTAGGGTGGTAGAAAAAAACCTCAGTCAATTCCAGGATTCTCCTGAACTTTTACCTGTAATTGTATCTAAATTGCAAGAGGCTCCTAAAGCTCCAAGTGTTGGACTTGGAGGTATGCGGGGAAGTCTATCTGATCCTCAAAGTCTTCTGTTCGCATTTGCCATCTGCTGAGACATCCGTTGTCCCATATGACCCACTCACCTGCGTGTTCTCCCTTTCCCCCATCTTTGGGTTGGATGGGTCTCTAATCTACTTCTAGGCCAATCTCTGGCCCTGGGGAGTCTTCTGCTCCTGTCACAGTGATGCTTCCATGAGATACTCCAGGGTCATTTCTTCTCTGCGTTTTCCCCACTCTCTGAGGCTCCATCTGGGAAACAAGACACTGATTTCTACTTCTTTTGAACCTCACAAACATAGGCTAGATTTTGCCCTTTTGTTTCCCTCCACTGCTTCCAGTCCAGGCTGAGCCCAGAGAACTGGAGCAGGGCCTCCTTTCTTTCAGACCCAACAACAATGATTTCTCACGTACCTTCCATTTCCCTTCAACACTACGTTCTCTTCCAACCTGGGAAGCCCTTGTTCTTATTCAGCTGTTTTCCCTCACCTATTTTTCTGAGCCCTTTAAAAACCCAAACACCAGGAAAAAGGTGCCTTTTTCTCTGCTTTCTCTTATTATAGCCTGTCTTCAAGGCAATGATTAGAAAAAGAGTAGCCGACTACCAGAGGAAAGGAACTGATGGGGGAATATGTCCTTAAAATATTTCAATTATTCCTTCTTCCATTCCAACAATGCATGAGTGGAAAAAAGTACACAGCTGAGTTACTTAACCTTATTCAAACTCCCATAATTAGTTTAGACAGCCTGGCTATGTTTCAGAACGTCCGGAATGAAGATCATATTGAATGTCTCCCCTCGCTTAGCCCCTGAAAGAACAGATAAAATCTCCATTGTAGGTTTACAGCTACAAAGATTTCCACTTCAAAATTTTCCAAAAACACATGAATTCGATTCCAGTAGAACTCATAAAAGCTAGCAAGCTTAGACCAAGAAAAATGTGGCCAGATAACATTCACCAGCTGCTGCACTTTGAGTTTTAGTTGAAGCGTTCAAGTTTTCAGTAAAGTCCCCCCTCCCTCCATTCGTGCCTTTTTAAAAGACGAAATAGAAGCTAGTGAAAGTAAATTTTAATGCGTTTAGTTCTGGATTGTCCCATCCTGCTGCACATTTGGATCTCATGTCATGCTAGGAGTTGCATTCATTTTTCCATTCATGCATTCACTAAATATTTAGTGAGTGTGTGTTAGGACTGTGCTGAGAACTCACAGTCACAACTAAGCATGTGGCAGTTTGCTTCTTCTTAAATATATTTTGGGCTTGTTTCCCAATCCAACTTGACCAGTCTATGGAAACAAATTTGAAAAACCATTAAACTATTAAATGCTCTGGCCAGAAACATTAATTATTACGGGCTAAGAAATGTGTCATCAGAAAACATGTGATTAAGAAAAAAAAGCATTAATAGTGGCTTTCAGCCGAACAGGCAGAGAGTGGAATGAAAAGGCCTTTTATTAATGTGTAACTGTGCGAATGAAGCACGGTGGTGAGAGTGCTTTGTGCCATCTGAGTATCAGGTTAAATGCCACTGCATTATTACTGGTCTAATGAATTTTAAAAGTATCATTCTAAAGCAAATCTAGTGAGCAACAAAGATAAGGAAATTCTGCTGCCACAGCTGAAAACATTGCCACCACCAAGGCACTTTCTAAACCAGCATATGCTCAGAATGGATTACACTTTGCACCCATTGGAAACTCCCTCCTCAAAACAAACATCTCTTTGAACTTGCAGTTCTTAACCCAAGTTAAAGACTAAGAAAAAAAGCACTAATTGTAATCTAACAGTTCAGGGACCAAAAGGCCAGGTGTTCGCCTTAGTTCACAGTGTCATGCATAGTTCACTGAAAGTTAACTATTCGATGTTACATTTTTTTCTTACATATCCTGTATTTTTTCCTCCAAAATCAAAAGCTGAAACTCTCTTTGTTAAATTTCTATTAATTAGTAATAATTATGGGGCCTACTGCCAGCTGAATCAGATCATTGGCTAAAAAGAAAGGTTCCCTTATAGAAGTTGCTGGGTTGTTTTATTATTTATAGAATAGTTAAGGGGTCAAAGCTATTTCCATATGAAATCTAAATAAAGTGGGTGTTCAGATGAGATCCCATCTGGAGATTAGTGACTTTGAAAACGCAATATATAAAAGAGAAATAAGAAGAAATATCCTTTCTCAAATACTTAACCAGCAGTTACAGTATAAGGATGAACACTTCTATTTAAATCACATTTTGTGATAAAAGCCATGTCTGTGCAAATCTACATGGGAAGTGGTAAAAATGAAGACAGAAACAGTTTCTTCAACTAAGAGCCATAAAATACCTCACTATGGTATTTGTAAGTTATCAGGAACCATGACTCAGTCTGCACCAATAGAAACCAGACTTTCTGATAGAAGAGAGGTTTGCTGACTCAGAGTCTTCTTGTCTCCCTCAAATTAGGCCCTCTGCCTCAAAGTCCCAGGGCTTCATCTACAGATCAAACTGGTAATTCTTAGGTAACACTGAACAAAGGCTTAGTAATAAAGGGTGAGCTAATTATAGCCTCAAATCCAATGCACGTTATTTGACAAAGGATATTGAAGGATAGTAGGTAGCGCAGAGGGTCAGTAGTGGAGGCTATCCTTGTAGAGTCAGAAGCAAGGCTCAAACCACATGATAGGGGCTACTCTGGAGAAGACCTCATAGCTCATACTAATAGGGATAGGACTAGATGCCAAGAACTCTGCCGTGACTGCTCTTTAAACATGGGATGTTTCCAACCCCACCTTCACCAATAGATCCTTTCTTCACTGTACCTACATTTCATTTTACTCACTTCTAAATAAGAGGTATGCACAGTGTGAACCCCAAATATCTGAGGTAGGTCTCAGTCAATTTTAGGAAGTTTATTTACCAAGGTTCAGAATGCGCCCATGACACAGCCTCAGGAGATCCTGACAACATGTGCCCAAGGTCGGGGCACAGCTTGGTTTTACACATTTTAGGGAGACATGAGACATCAATCAATATATGTAAGATGTACATTGGTTCAGACCAGAAAGGTGGGAAAATCGAAGTGGGGAGGGGGCTTCCAGGTCATAGGTAGATAAGAGACAAATGGTTGCATTCTTTTGAGTTTCTGATTAGCCTCTTCAAAGGAAGCAATCAGATATGTGTTTATCTCAGTGAGCAGAAGGGATGACTTTTGAGTTCTGTCTGTCTTTTGTCAGCAAGGAAGTTCCTTGTGAACTAATTGTGAGGGAGGTCTGTAGCTTTTTTATCTTAGTAGCTATCTTTATTAGGGTTAGAATGGGAGGCAGGTTTGCCCTAAGCAGTTCCAGCTTGACTCTTCCCTTTGGCTTAGTGATTTTGGGGTCCCAAGATTTATTTTCCTTTCATAGCAGATAGGGCTGAATCAGGGTCACATGCCTGTACCCTAGCTGCAAGGAAGAATAATTTGAGGAAGAGGAAATCAGTATGGAAATTCTACAAACAGTGAGTGAAAGGATGCTAGGTGATCACAAACCTGAATAATGCTGACTTTAGTCTACCCCTTGACTGTTCAAAGGTAATATTCAGCTCTCCTTCTATACCAGCATTTCCCAACTCTTCATTTTAAGAGCCAAGAACATGCTCCTCTTCTTTATGTCATACCCTTTTCCTAGCAAGAGTCAGGATTTGATCACAATTACTTCCCCCAATTCATACTCCATTATCCCCTCTTCTCTTGCCACCATTAAATAACCACATGGCTCTCTGTTTTTGTGGGGTTGATAATTCCTCATTGAAACAGTGGTTATTTATTGTTTTGATTGTTACTATATTAAGCTTTGGGAGGGATCGGGTGTGACGGTTAATTTTGTCAGCTTGGATAAGATATGGTGGCTAATTTTCTGGTCAAATACCAATCTAGATGTTGTTACGAAAGTATTTTTTTTAGATGTGGTTAACATTTAAACCAGTAGACTTTGAGTAAAGCAGCTTGCTCCATAATGTGGTGAGCCTCATCTAATCACTTGAAGGCTTTGAAGAGAAATGACAGAAGTCCCTCGAGGAAAAAGAAATTCTGCTTCCAGATTGCCTTCAGACTCAAGATTGCAACATCAACTCTTCCCTGGGTCTTCATCCTGCTGGCCTACAGGATGAAATCTGGCCAACATTCATGATTGTGTGAGGCAATTCCTTAAAATAAATGTCTCTCTCTTTTCAGCTCATTGGTTCTGTTTCTCTGGAGAACGCTAATACAAGGGAGAAGGGAGGTTGAAGGAGATATTAATAAGTTCCTGGCAGGGAAGTTTCAAGACATAATTTAAAAATATATATTTTTAAGTGTCCTTTTGTATTTTTTCACTTTAGCCATTCTATTGTTCAGCTTTTCTTTAAAAGTTTGGCTAAAAAGTTTGATATATCTCTTTCCCTATGCATACCCTTTGTTGGAAGGAAGGGCTGGGTTGTAATTCAAGATTGTAGCCACTGGCTTGAATCTCTCCCAAAGTTTCTTGCGCTCTAGGCTTCCTCGGGGTTCAGTGACCTACTAGAAAATTATTCTCTCTCTCAGGAAATAAATCTAACAGTCTCCACTTTTCTTCTTATGTCGAGGGTGACTCACTAGAATGTAAGAGACGACCAGATACATTATCATTCATTTATTCCTTTTGTTCCTTCATTTCTTACTGTGCAAGAAATGTAAAGAAGAAATGTAAGAAGTGTAAGGCTTGTAAACCCAGAGGTTAATACGGCTCAGTATCCTAACAGCCGCGTGTTCAAGAAGCACAGCCAGGGGGAATTCTACTGTTTTTGGAATTTCTCTAAGAACCTTAAATGGACCCTAACATACATTAACACTTCTTCAAGCCACTTCCCACTACTCCCACCCCACCATGGCTCCAGTGGCTCTCTCCTCAAACTGACCCTCAAAAGGCTTCTATCCTGTAGCACAACATTATCTCTATGCTTTTAAGCTCTTACTCCAGCACTCATCATTTATTACTATGCAAATATATGACAAGAGGTGGGGCAACTCCCAGAGAGATCTAGGCTTGGCCAAGGAATCAGCATTGAGTTCCCAGAGGATTCTGATAGGGAGGTGGGGACAGTCCATGAAGAGTGGAGGGAATTGCACTTAAGACAAGTACCAGCGAAGCACCAATAAATCAAGCTCCCTCCCCTTCTCACCTACTAGCTAATCTCTCGATTTCATCCCTCTCTTACTATTTTCCACCAAAAAAGTCCAAAGAACAAGTTCATCAACAACAGAAATCCCCTCAGTGGGTGGAGAGAGTGGAGAAAGAAAAGGCAGAAATCAAATTCACTATAGCAGGAAGAAAAGAAGTTAAGCATGCAAAAACCTGGGGTATGGGCTGGTAGATGGTGCGAAAATTCAAATAGTAAGCATTTTTGTCTGGTCTCAATTCATTCATTTGTTCATTCTTTTTGCTTTCTTGAAAAAAAAAAATTAAGATGCTGTCGTGTTCCAAGGCAGTGGCCTAAGTATTGAGAATTCAGGAATAAATTAAGAGCACAGTCCAAGCCCTCATTAACCTCCCTGTGGTTTCCCTGCCACCCACCCTGGCTGTACCTACTGCGCTTGGGGTGTTTAGCTCAGAATCGCAGAATTGCGCCCCCTGGCTGTTCCCTTTTGCAACAGCGGACGTTGGGAGCAGATGACGCTCCCAGCAGAGCTCTGTTAATGGTAGCAGGTTCCCAAATTCCCGGTCCCAGGGCCTGTTCCTGTCAGCAGTTCTCTTACGGCACCTGTTGACTCTGCACTTTGAGAAATCAATTCCTCTTTAGCGTCAGGGCTGGGCGTTTCGGCATCACCTCCTAGGACACTGCTCACAGTATGTGCTGCCAAAAGGCAACAGCAATGCACATCAGATCCTTTCCAAACGTCCTTGCTTAAAGACACTGGAACCGGTTGCTCAACTTCGGTACTGTGCAGACGCTTTTACATCCCCTACAACCCCCAGGAGCGTGCCTGCAAAATCCAAGCGAGAGATACTTTAAGTAACCCCTAAATCGATTAAAGTATGCATCAAGTGGCTATTATGGGAAAAGAGAAGTTTTATTTATATACAGTACATAAAATAATTTCCTTTTACATTACTATTAAAATGAAGATAGAAAAAAATGTGGAGAGTTCAAGGGTCCCCCAGAATGACCCTATATTGACCCTATATTCGAGGAGGTGAACCTCACTCCACTCTACAGCATTTCACTCCTAGCAATCTCCTGCTGGGCACTCCTGAAGCAAAAGGTGGAGAACTCATGCAATGATGGCTTAGAGCAAGCTTGTCCAACTCATTGCCCGTGAGCCACAGGAGGCCCAGGATGGCTTTGAATGTGGCCCAACACAAATTCGTAAACTTTCTTAAAACATTATGAGACTTTTTTGTGACTTTTTTAAAGCTAATCGGCTATTGTTAGTGTTATTTTATGTGTTCTACAAATGTAGAACAGGGAAGCCAAGAAACCGGACACCTCTGGTTTAGAGTGAACTTTCATGCCCCAAAAGAGTCCTCTCAGGACTGACGTGTGCAAAGGTAGGTAACCAGAGAATTGGCAAAAGTGGAGCTTTTCTTTTTTGCTAATTCCCTTCCCCCATCCTCAGAGGGCACAAGGACACCAGACAAATCAAGTCCGAGAAACTATCTCATCGTTCTCCAGCTTATGAGTGGCAGACACTGCTAGCAGCCTACCTAGTAGGCTCTATAGATACCTAGTAGTATCTTTTATTCATTACTAAGAGATTCTCCATTTTGTTCAAGGTAACAATGTACTCAACTACATTTCCCTTGTAGCTAAGGCTGACTATGGTACAGGGTTTTAGCCTTAGTCTAGGGTTACAAGCAGTGCTGCTGATCAGGGCTTCTGGAAAGCTCTTTAAAGGGCTTAGGTTTAGGAAGTTTTTGCCCTTCACCCTACTCCTTCTTTGGCATGTGGAGGCCATATGATATGGTTTGGATTTGTGTCCCGCCCAAATCTCATTGAATTGTAATCCCCAGTGTTGGAGGAGGGGCCTGGTGGCAGGTGATTGGATCACGGGGATGGACTTCCCCCTTGCTGTTCTTGTGACAGTGAGAGAGTTCTCATGAGATCTGGTTGTTTAAAAGTGTGTAGCACCTTCACCTTTCCCTTCTGTCTCTCTTCCTCCTTCTCCAGCCATGTAGGATGTGCCTGCTTCCCCTTCACCTTCTGCCATGATTGTAAGTTTCCTGAGGCCTCCTCAGCCATGCTTCTTGTACAATCTGCATAACTGTGAACCAATTAAACTTCTTTTCTTTATAAATTGCCCAGTCTCAGGTAGTTCTTTATAGCAATGCAAAAACTGCCTAATACACTATAGTAGAAGTGGAACTGCTGTCACTTACCAGGGTGTGGCTGTGAGCCTGAAAGCCACATGCTGAGGGTGGTAGGGCACTGAGCCCGAGTCCTTGGTACTATATGGATCCTTTGTACTGGCCCCAGTTGAAATAAGCTATTTCAACAAAACTTGCATGTTATCCTCACAGTGGTATTTCAAGTAATATTTCTGTGAGATGATTCTGAAGCATGTTGAGTTTTCCCTCCTTTGAGACTTACAAGTATTTGGGGCAAATTTGTTATTTTTCTTCTCTATCAAAATGAAAAACGGATCCATATTTCCTGTATCTTACAGTTTTGTTGACATAAAGTAGAATTGATAGTCTAATATATCTAAAGTGGATCATACTGCTTTGTTTTTGTTTATGGGTTTGGATTAGTCAGGACTCTCCAGAGAAACAGAACAAATAGAATGTGGATTTATATAGGAGATTTATTATAAAGAATTGGCTCTTGCAATTATGGAGGCTGGCAAGTCTAAACTCTACACTGTGGGCCAGCAGGGTGGAGACCCGGAAAAGCCAATGTTGCAGTTCCAGGAGCCTAGAGAATTTCCTCTTGGTTGAGGTGGCTGGTCTTTTAATTCTACTCAGGCCCTCATCTGACTGGATGAGGCCCACCCACATTATGGAGGGTGCTCTGCTTATTCAAAGTTCACTGATTTAAATGTTAATCTTATCCAAAAACACCTTCTGAGTTGATACATAAAATTAACTATCTTTGTTTATTTTTTAGGGCAGACTGACTCAGGGATAAATGGAATGTACATTTGCAGCCTTGCCAAATCCCTGGAATTATTTATTTTTCCTCTTTAAGAATGAAAACAATATCTAAAACTCATAGCTACCTCTTAGTAATAATTATATCACTCTTCGCTTTAAAGAAAGTTAACAGAGATTTCTGAAAGTGCCAGTAAAAACTGCATTTATTGAAATTCCCCACTCACCTCAAACCTTGCCAAAATTTCCCTAAATTCCAGAAAGACCAGAGTTTTAAATTGTTACAAACTAACAGTAAGAACATTCACTATGAAATACAGCAGGGTGCTCCAAGATTTAATTCTGTGCCAGAGCCTGACATTCTAACTGTGGAATTCAGTAACCCACCTCCATTTTCCTTCTCAAAATAATACCTTAAATTACCATACAGTTTTCTGCCTCTGAGCTCTCAAGTATCCTGGGGGTTTTTGTCATTAGTATATGATCTGGCTAGTCTACCCAAAGAAGCATAATCATGTATTCAAACATCTTTCAAATCCCACCTATTCTACAAAGGATTTGGGACATCTTACAAAAATATTTATGATATGAAAAAAATTTTAAATAGGACACTTTTTTTTAAACTTCTGTTTTGGTTCAGGAGTACACATGCAGATCTGTTATATAGGTAAATTGCGTGTTGCAGGGGTTTGGTGTATAGACTATTTCGTTAACCAGGTAATAAGCATGGTACCCAATAGGTAATTTTCCAGTCCTCATCCTCCTTCCACTCTCCATCCGTAAGTAAGCCCCAGTGTCTATTGTTCTCTTCTTTGTGTACATAAATACTTGATGTTTAGCTCCCACTTACAAGTAAGAACATGTGGTATTTGGTTTTCTGTTCCTGTGTTAGTTTGCTTAGGATAATAGCCTCCAGCTTCATCCATGTTGCTACAAACAACATGATCTCATTCTTTTTTTTGGCAATGAAGTATTCCATGGTGTATTTGGACCACATTTTCTTTATCCAGTCTACTGTTGATGGGCATTTAGATTGATTCCATGTCTTTGCTATTGTGAATAGTGCTGCTATGAACACATGCTTGCAAGTGTCTTTATGGTAGAATTATTTATATTCCTTTGTGTATATATTCCATAATGGGATTGCTGGGTCAAATGGTAACTCTGTTTTAAGTTCTGTCAGAAATCACCAAACTGTTTTTCACAATGGCTGAACAAATTTACATTCCCACTAGAAGTGTATAAGCTTCCCCTTTTCTCCACAGCCTTGCCAGCATCCGTTATTTTTTGGCTTTTTAATAGTAGCCATTCTGATTGGTGTGAGATGGCATCTCAGTGTGGTTTTGATTTGCATTTCTCTAATGATTAGTGATGGTGAGCATTTTTTTCATATGCTTGCTGGCTGCATGTATGTTTTCTTTTGAAAAGTGTTTGTTCATGTCCTTTGCCCACTTTTAATGGGGTCTTGTTTTTCTTGTAAATTTAAATTCCTTATAGATGCTGGATATTAGACCTTTGTCAGATAGATAGTTTGTAAACATTTTCTCCCATTCTGTAGGTTGTTTGTTTACTTTGTTGATAGTTTCTTTTACCGCGCAGAAGCTCTTATGTTTAATTAGATCCCATTTGTCAATTTTTGCTTTTGTTGCATTTGCTTTTGGCATCTTTGTCATGAAATCTTTGCCTGTTCCTATGACCAGAATGATATTGCCTGGGTTGCTTTCCAGGGTTTTTACAGTTTGGGGTTTTATATTTAAGTCTTTACTCCATCTTGAGTTAATTTTTGTATATTGTGTAAGGAAGGGGTCCAGTTTCAATCTTTTGCATATGGCTAGCCAGTTATCCCAGAACCATTTATTGAACAGGAAGTCCTTTCCTTATTGTTTGTTTTTATCAGCTTTGCTGAAGATTAGATGGTTGGAGGTGTGCAGCGTTATTTCTGTGCTCTCATGTTCAATTGGCCTATGCATCTATTTTTGTACCAGTACCACACTGTTTTGGTTACTAGCCTTGTAGTATAGTTTTAAGTCAGGTAATGTGATGCCTCCAGCTCTGTTCTTTTTGCTTAGGATTGCCCTGTCTATTCAGGCTCTTCTTTTGGTTCCACATGGAGTTTAGGATAGTTTCTTTCTAATTATGTGAAGAATGTCATTGGTATTTTGATAGGAATAGCATTGAATCTATAAGTTGCTTTGGGCAGTATTGCCATTTTAACAATGTTATTCTTATTCAGGAGCATGGAATGTTTTTTCATTTGTTTTGTATCTCTTGTTTCTTTGAGCAGTATTTTGTAATTCTCATTGTAGAGGTCTTTCACCTCCCTGGTTAGCTGTATTCCTAGGTATTTTATTCTTTTTGTGGCTATCATGAATGAGATTGCATTTTTTATTTGGCTCTCAGCTTGGATGTTGGTGTATGGGAGTGCTACTGATTTTTGTACATTGATTTTGTATCCTGAAATTTTGCTGAAGTTGTTTATCAGATCAAGGAGCTTTGGGGCAGAGACTATGGGGTTTTCTAGGTATAGAATCGTATCATCTGCAAACAGGAATAGTTTGATTTACTCTCTTCCTATTCAAATGGCTTTTATTTCTTTTTCTTGCCTGATTTCTCTGGCCAGGACTTCCAGTACTATATTGAATAGGACTGGTGAGAGAGGGCATCCTTGTCTTGTTCTGGCTTTCAAGGGGAATGCTTCCAGCTTTTGCCCATTCAATATTATGTTGACTATGGGTTTGTCATATGTAGTTATTATTTTGAGGTATGTTCCTTCAATGCCTAGTTTGTTGAGCGTTTTTAACATGAAGGGATGTTGAATTTTCTCAAAAGTCTTTTCTGCATGTATTGAGATAATCATGTAATTTTTGTTTTTAGTTCTGTATATGTGATGCTTCACATTTATTGATTTGTATATGTTGAACCAACCTTGCATTGCAGGGATAAAGCCTACTTGATTGTAGTGGATTAGCTTTTTAGTGTGCTGCTGGATTTAGTTTTCACAACCTCTGTCCCCTAGGTTCAAGCAATTCTCCTGCCTCAGCCTCCTGAGTAGCTGGGATTATACGCATCCGCCACCACGCCCAGCTAATTTTTGTATTTTTAGTAGAGACAGGGTTCACCATGTTGGCCAGGCTGGTCTCAAACTCCTGACTTCAGGTGATCCACCTGCCTCAGCCTCCCAAAGTGCTAGGATTACAGGCATGAACAACCCGCTTCCAGCCTGGATTTGGTTTTCTAGTATTTTGTTTTATTGTGTCTCTGCCAGGTTTTGGTATCAGGATGATGCTGGCCTCATATAATTAGTTAGGGAGGAGTCCTTCTTTTTCAATTTTTTGAAATAGTTTCAGTAGGATTGGTACCAGCTCCTCTTTATACATCTGGTAGTGTTTGGCTGTGAATCTGTCTGGTCCTGTGCTTTCTTTGGTTGGCAGGCTTTTTATTACTGATTCCATTTTGGAACCCATTATTGGTCTCTTCAGGGATTCAATGTCTTCCTGGTTCAGTCTTGGGAGGTTTTATGTGTCCAGGAATTTATTCATTTCTTCTAGGTTTTCTAGCTTGTGTGCAGAAGTGTTCATAGTAGTCTCTGAAGGTTTTTTGTATTTCTGTTGGGTCAGTGGTAACATCCTCTTTGTCATTTCTGTTTGTTTTTATTTGAGTCTTCTCTCCTTTTTTTCTTTATTAGTCTAGCTGGTAGTCTATATATTTTATTAAATTTTTCAAAAAAAAAAACCTCCTAGATTTGTTGATGTTCTGAATGGTTTTTCACATCTCAATTTCCTTTAGTTCAGCTTTGATTTTGGTTATTTCTTTTCTTCTTCTAGCTTTGGGGTTGGTTTGTTCTTGTTTCTCTAGTTCCTCTAGTCCTCTCTAGTTCATCTAGTGATGTTAGGCTGTTAATTTGAGATCTTTCTAACTTTTTGATGTAGGCATTTGTGCTACAAACTTCCCTCTTAACACTGCCTTGCTGTGTCCCAGAGATTCTGGTACGTTGTATCTTTGTACTCATTAGTTTCAAAGAATTTCTTGATTCCTGCCTTCATTTCATTATTTACCCAAAAGCCATTCAGGAGCAGGTTGTTTAATTTCCATGGAATATGGTTTTGAGTTATTTTCTTAGTATCAATTTCCATTTTTATTGCACGGTGGTCTGAGAGTGTGGTTGGTGTGATTTTTTTGTTTTGTTTTGTTTTTTTAATTTGCTGAGGATTGTTTTATGTCTGATTGTGTGGTCAATTTTAGAGCATATGCCATGTACAGATATGAAGAATGTATATTCTGTTGTCTTTAGGTGGAGTGTTCTGTGGATATGTATTAGATCCATTTGGTCAAGTGTTGAGTTCAGATCCTGAATATCTTTGTTAGTTTTCTGTCTTGATGATCTGTCAGTGGGGTATTGGAGTCTCCCACTATTACCATGTGGTTATCTAAGTCTCTTTGTAGATCTCTAAGAACTTGCTTTATGAATCTGGGTGCTCCTGTGTTGGATGCATATATATTTAGGACAGTTAGTTCTTGTTGAATTGAGCCTTTTACCACTATGAAATGCTCTTGTTTGTCTTTTTTTTAATCTTTGTTAGCTTAAAGTATGCTCTGTCTAAAATTAGAATAACAACCCCTACTTTTTTCTGTTTTTCATTTTCTTGGTAAATCTTTCTCCATCCCTTTACTTCAAGCCTATCTCACTGCAAGTGAGATGGGTCTCTTAAAGACAGCATAACATTGGGTCTTGCTTCTTTATCCAACTTGCCTCTCTGTGCCTTTTATTTGGAGATATTTAGCCCATTTACATGCAAGGTTGTTATTGATATGTGTGGATTTGTTCCTGTCATATGTTGTTAGCTGGTTATTATGAAGACATGTCTGTGTGGTTGCTTTATAGTATCACTGGTCTATGTACTTAAATGTGTTTTTGTAGTGGCTGGTGTTTAGCATTCCCTTCAGGACCTCTTGTAAGGCAGGTCTAGTGGTAACACAATCTTCTAGCATTTGCTTATCTGAAAATGATCTTATTTCTCTTTTATTTATGAAGCTTAGTTTAGCTGGATATGAAATCTTTGCTGGAAATTTCTTTTTTTTTTTCTTTTTTTTTTTTTGAGACAGAGTCTCACTCTGTCACCCAGGCTGGAGTGCAGTGGCACGATCTTGGCTCACTGCAAGCTCCACCTCCCAGGTTCACACTATTCTCCTGCCTCAGCCTCCCAAGTAGCTGGGACTACAGGTGCCCAACACCATGCCTGGCTAATTTTTTTTTTATATTTTTAGTAGAGACGGGGTTTTACCATGTTAGCCAGGATGGTCTTGATCTCCTGACCTTGTGATCCGCTCATCTCGGCCTCCCAAAGTGCTGGGATTACAGGCGTGAGCCACTGTGCCCAGCTGGAAATTCTTTTTTTTAAGAATGCTGAATATTTTTCCCCAATCTCTTCTGGCTTATAAGGTTTCTGCTGAAAGATCTTCTGTTAGCCTAGTGGGGTTCCCTTTGTAGGTAACTTAATCCTCCTCTCTAGCTGCCTTTAACATTTTTCTTTCATTTGAACCATGGAGAATCTGATAACTATGTGTCTTGGGGATGGTCTTTTTGTATAGTATTTCACAGGGGTTCCCTACTAAAAAATAGGACACGCTTAAGGGTAGGGGGAAAATAAAATCAGAGGGAAGATTAGCAAACAAAATGAAACTCACATCATTTTATATGTTTGCTAGAGGTGACCACAATTTTGGCTCCAATATTTCTGTTTGTTTTTTGTTTTGGCTTTGGTTCCAATACTTCTAGTGGTCAAAGGAAAGTGAGAAACCCAATCAGTCACAGGATTCAGAATTTTCCATAAGATTAAGTAAAAGGGAACGGAAATGTTCTACAGAAGAACAGTTTTACTTGATTTTGAGTTTCCTAAAGATATGAAATGTTATGGATAATATACTTCATAATGTTCCTACTGAAATATGCACATTTATGATTTTCACACCACTGCTTATGATAGGGTATCTTAAAGTGGGCCAATTCTGTAGAAAAATATTCTACAAGGGAGCAAAATATATGTCACTCTCTAACGCTTAATCTAGGGGCAAAATTTGACTCTAGAATTGTGGTTTTTTTAATTGTACATCTTGGAAACTCTTGAATTTCAGAAGATGCTTCTAGGGCTGCCCTGGTTTTGGGAGCAGGGCTGAGCCTGAGGAATCTAGGCTGTTGTTATCATCTGTTATCCCATTAATACATTTCTAGATTCAATTTGCTAATATTTTTTGTTGAGGATTTTTTCATCTATACTTATCAGGGATTTTTTTTTTTTTGATGGAGTCTCACTCTGTTGCCCAGGCTGGAGTGCAGTGGCACAATCTCAGCTCACTGCAACCTCCACCTTCTGGGTTCAAGAGATTCTCCCACCTCAGCCTCCCAAGGAGCTGGGAGTACAGGCATGTACCACTACACCCGGCTAATTTTTGTATTTTTAGTAGAGATAGGGTTTTGCCATGTTGGCCAGGCTAGTCTCAAACTGGTGGACTCAAGTGATCTGCCCACCTCGGCCTCCCAAAGTGCTTGGATTACAGTTGGGAGCCACCACACCTGGCCTTATCAGGGATATTGGTCCATAAATGTCTTTGCTTGGAATGTCTTTGCCTGGATGATGCTGACTTTATACAATGAGTTGGGAAATATTCCTTCCTCTTGCATTTTCTGGACAAGATTGTGTGAAGTGACTATTATTTCTTCCTTAAATATTTGATAGAATGCCTCATATTTCTCCCTTTTATATCCAAGTCTCACCTGGGTAGGGTTGCCAGATAAAATAAAGAATTTTCAGTTAAAATTGAATTTTAGATAAACAACAAATAGTTTAAAATATAGTTGTCCTATGCAGTAGTTTAGATGTACTTATACTAATAAGTACATCTTGTTATTAATATTATGAATGAAATATTATTCATTGTTTATCTGAAATTAAAATTTAACGTAACCACAAGAATAAAAAGCACGTGTTCACACAAAAACTTGTACATGAGTGTTCATAGTAGTGTTATTCATAATAGCCAAAAGGTGGAAACAATCCAAATGTCTGTCAACTGAGGAATGGATAAACAAAATGCGTTCTACCCATAGTATTAGTCAGGGTTTTCCAGAGAAACAGAACCAATAGACATAAAATGTATATGCATATGCAGACTTATTATGAAGAATAATTAACTCATGTAATTAAGGAGGCTGAGAGATCCCACGATCTGCCATCTACAAGCTGGAGCCCAGGAAAGCTGGGCATACAATTCAGTCCAAGTCCAAAGGCCTGAAAACTAGGGGAGCCAATAATGTATATTTTAGTCCAAGGGCAGGAGAAGATGAGATGAGATGTTCCAGCTCAAGCAATAAGGCAGAAAAAAGGAGGAAATTCCTCCTTCCTCCACCTTTTTGTTCTATTCAGGCCTCAATGGATTAGATGATGCCCACTCACATTAGGGAGGGCCATCTCCTTTACTGAGTCCACAGACCCAAATGCTAAACTCATCTGGAAATATCCCCACAGACATACCCAGCAATATCGGGCCATCCTCTAATCTAGTCACATTGACACATAAAAATTGTCCTATGATAAAATGGAATATTATCAGCCGTAGGAAACAACGAAGTACTGATTCCTACGATAACATGAGTGAACCTTGAAAACGTTATACTAAGTGAAAGAAGCCAGACGTAAAAGGTCACGTATAGAATGATTTCATTTATATGAAATGTACAGAATAGGCAAATTCATGAAGACAGAAAATAGCTTAGTGTGGTCAGGGGCTGGAGGAAGGAGAGAATGAGGTATAGAGGGTAGGGGGTATATGGTTTCTTTTTGGGGTGATAAAGTATTTTGGAATTAGATAATAGTGATGGCCGCACAACTTTGTAAGTATACTGAAAACCACTGCATGGTACACTTTAAATGGGTGAATTTTATAGTATGTGAATTATAAATCGATTAAAAATATGTATGTAATAAAATATTTTTCTTCCTATATTATTATCTAAACCTGGGTGCATCTGATTGGTGAAAGCCATTACGTATCTCCGCATTCTAGCTGCAAAGGAGTCTGGGAAATGTTGCTGCTGGACTCCCAATGTGGAAAACTTTTGAAATGTGGAGAGACTGTATAAAATGTGTTCAGCCTGTAATCTCAGCACTTTGGGAGGCTGAGGTGGATTGCTTGAAGCCAAGAGTTCAAGACTAGCCTGGGCAACAAAGTGAGACCCCATCTCTACAAAAAACAAGCAAAAATTAGCTGGATGTGGTGGTGTGTGTCTGTAGTCCTAGCTACTGGGGAGCGTGAAGCAGGAGAATCACTTGTGCCCAGGAGTTGGAGGCTGCAGTGAGCTATTGTGGTGTCACTGCACTCCAACCTGTGCCACAGAATAAGACCTTGTCTCTGAAAATAAATAAATAAATAAAATGTGTTGAACATCCTCAAATGGTGGATATTTACTCCAGATTCTGGAGTTGAATACCTAGATTTGAATGCTGTCTCCATCACTTAGCAGTTGGAGAGCTAGAGAAGGTGATTTAACCATCTGCCTCAGTTCTCTCATGTATAAAATCTGTCAGTACAGGTACTGTAATTGTTTCCTAACCCATCTCCCTGTTTCCTTCTGTCTTCTTTCCTGCATTCTTTGTTCAACAGAGAGGCCAGAGTGATCCTTTTAAGGCATAAGTTAGATTGTATCACTTCTTTGGTTAAAATTCTTCAGTGGTTTCTCAGATTACTCAGAGTAAATGGACAGGGACTCAAACTGAGGAGAAATTTTAGGGAGTGGAATCAAACAGGAGCAAGACAGGAACAATACAGATAAAGGAAAGTTAGCTACAAATAAAAGCGTGGCAGGAAACAGAGCTAAGAAATCTCAGGAAGCAAACCATCATGTTTTCTAAACTCTACATGAAAAAACAAACACACAAACAGAAGAAGCAGCTCTGTGATGTTAGAAAAGCTCTCTTAACTTATTTCAAATAAAAATGAGCAATAGAAAGGAATCAAGATCAAACACCATACAGTTATTATAAATACAAAGACAGTAAGTAACAGAATTACACCTGCAGTCAATAAAGCAGACAAGAAAGATAGTGCCTTTAAAATAAATCAAAGCTGTTATTTCAAAACAAGCTAAAATACATTAAGAAAATAATATAAAACGTGAGAGAGCAAGATAAACCAGAATTAGCAAAACACAGAAATGAGATGACAGAACTCAAGAACTCAGTACAAGGAATACAAGAAAAAATTATTTTAGATATGAAGTTTATAGGAAGGACATCAGCAAATAAACACAATAAATAATGTCTTAAAAGAAGCAGAAGGTGAGAAAGAGAAAAATGTTAAAAATCAAAAGCTATAAAGGAAAGTACAAATACTACTGATGAGAGGCAGAAACAGATCTGTACATATAATGGGAGCCAATGAAGAAGAAAACCAATGCAAGAGAAGAGAACAAATAACAAAAACTGTAATTCAAGAAAAAGTATTGAAATAAGAAATGATTTAAAAGTATATAATGAAAAAGCACACCATTTACCTGACAATATCAATCCAAGATGACCAACATGTCATGCTCCAGTAAAATTACTGGACTTTAAAGTAAAAGAAAAAAATCCTTTAGACATCCAAGCAAAAAAGAGGAAGTGCCTTATAAAGGAAAGGAAATTTGATTATTTTCAGACCTTTCAATACCAACACTTCATACCATAAGAAAATTGAGTAACATATTTAAGGTATAAAAAGAAAGAAATGTAAGCCAAGAATTTAATATTCACCAAAACAAATTTCAGTATAAAAGGCACAAGCTGTTATGAACATACAAAAATCCCAGAGAACACTGTTCCCCTGAGCTCTTACTGAGGAATTAACTCGATGTGTGTGAGACAGCCTAAATGATCTGAGAAGTATCAACATATGACCGGTGGTGAGCACTGAAGGTGTAGAATTAAGACTAAAGAAGAGCTAAGAGGGAGAGAGCATTGTATGTCATGGCTGTATTCTCTGATAGTGTAGATACAGAACAACTTTATATAATATAAAGAAAGAAAGAAGAATAGGGATAACAGATATAAAAAAAGTTTAACTGTTTTCAGTAATCATAATGAGTAGCGATAGTGTTCGTACTGTCATTCTGAGCCCGCTGTGTATGTAATGTGGAATAAAGCAAATGAGTAAGCATGGCATTTTCTAATTCTATCATCCTTGAGAACCAGAAATCTTACCAGGGAAGAAAGGAGGTTTGAAATCTGTAGTCTTGGTATTTAAATGGAAAATATCTGTATGAATACTAAAGTATTTTATTTTTAGGAAACAATGTATGTGTGTATATGTAAACACTGAAAAGTTTTGGGCACAATGAACTACCCAGATACCCACGAACACCCCTAATGCCCAGATTGAGAGCTTGAAATATTATTACCTCCTTAAAAAAAAAACCTAGGGCTTCTTGTTTTTGTAGAACTGGATGATTTCAGGAATGGGGCAGGCAATGTCCAAAATGAGCCTGAAACAACTCATGATTGCAGATGGCAAGAAAGCTGTCAAAGACTGTAGGGTCATGTCAGAAAGACTCGGAGCCAACTTGCAAAGGTTCCCACTAGTCAAAAACAAAGATAGTGTGAGATTTAGTGATGATGATAACTACAATGGGAGAAGGAGGAAGTTCTTACTATTTTTAAGTCACAGCATGTGGAGGGATTTGTAGAGCTGTTGACAAAGTTCTTTTCCCTAGATCGGGGTGGTGATTACAACGGCGTTTGGCTGAAAATACTTCACTAAGCTATATAGTTATTTTGTGTGGTCTTCTGTGTTTTTGTTTTATTTCACAATAAAAAGTTATTAAAAGTTACTGTTGATTGAATGACATGATTTAAAACTTCCGGGCTTTGTTTCTTTGCCTGGGCAATGAAGAAATAGCTTCTTATGTTCACTCTGGAACTTTACTTTATATTTCAAATAATGTTGTTCATCTAGTAGTGATTTGTCCTGGTTATGGGAAATGACTGCGTGCATTTCAGTTCTCCAGGCCAGTGCTTAAATCGTGTTTAGGGAGTGGAGGCAATAGAGAGGACTGGCTTAATTTTGACAATAATTGCCTCTATGCTTTCCTTTTCTCTTTACAACTGTCTAAGAAACACACTCTCTCACCAGGACCCCATCAAGGAAGAGGTGGAAGGTATAAGGGCGGGCTTCTCTGAGGCCGTAAAATATCCTTGCTCTACCTCTTCCTTTCTCTCAGGAGGATGTATATTTACAATCACCAATCACACTATCCTGCTTAAGCTGAAATCGTCACACAGCCAAAATCTGCTGAGAAATCTCATGGGATTCAAGGTTCAACAATACTTTCAGCCCAAATAAAGGAGAGCTGCGGCTAGTGATGATGCGTGGCAAGGTCCGGGCCCACCGATCGCGGAGCCGTTGTGGATGCGGAAAGCTCAGCAGAAGGGCCAGGGCCGCACGGGAGACTGGAGAGCCACAGTGGACTGGCTTTGCCCTGGCTGATGATAGTCTGCTGTGTCCCTAAGTCGTGGCTTAGAACGTAGACAAAAGAAATTACAAAGGGAATTATGAGGGAGCTTGAAACCACTCACCTGGTTTAGGAACATTTACATCCCTTATTTCTCTTCCTTCTTCTTTTAAATGCATATTTATTCCTCTCATATATAAAATTTTAGTCTCTTTATTATTTATTTATAATATTTTATGGCTTTCTTAACCATAATATTTTAATATATTAAAATATATTTAAATTATATTTTATTTTTAATATTTTATTTTTAATATATTAAAATATATCTTAAAATATATTATAAAACATATTTATCTTAAAATATGTTATAAAACGTATTTATCTTAAAATATATTATAAAATGTATTTATCTTAAAATATATTATAAAACGTATTTATCTTAAAATATATTATAAAACGTATTTATCTTAAAATATATTATAAAATATATTTATTTTAATATATTAAAATCTATTTTAATATGTTGTTAAAATATATTTCTTTTTAATGTGTTAAAATATATGCTTAAGATATATTCATATTTAAATATAAAAGGAGGAAAGAAATTTTAAATTTAATTTTCATTTTAATTTTTATTGCATTTTACATATGTATCAGTGACTGAAATTAAAAAAAAAAGTGTTTATCAAAGATAGTTTGAGAAGCACTGAACTAGACTACATTAAAATTAAGAGATTGTATTCATTATAAGCCTCTTAAAGAGTGAAAAAGCAAGCCACAAAATGGGAGAAAATATTTGCAACACAAAACAAAGGACTAGTATGTAAAATACTTGAATAATTCATTGAAATTAATTTTAAAATGGGCAAAAAAAGAAAACCTTGAATGGTCACTGCACATAAGAGGAAGTCCCAATGGTCAATGAGCACTTGAAAGAGTTTAATTCATCAAGGAAATAAAAATTAAAAGCACAGTGAAAAACCTCACACTCAGATCAGCAAAAATTTAAGCCTGACAATTCCAAATGTTGGTTGAGGGCACAGAAGCTCTCATATATTGCTCCTAATAGTTTTTAAATCAGTGAAAAAAATCGCTTTAGAAAACTCTCTGACATATGCATCTATGAAAGCTTAATATACCTATGCCTTATGAGCTAGCAACTCCACTCCCAGACATGCCACAGGTATTTGACATGGTAAGTCAAATGGCAGGTGCAAAAATTCTCAGAGCAGCATTATTTTTAATAGCTCCAGATTGAAACAACTCAAACGTACTATCACCTGAAGAACGAATGAATTGTAGTATATTCACAACATGGAGCACTAAACAGGAATGAAAATGAACAGCTTTGCATGACAACACAGAAACTCAGTTGTCATAGGAATTCATCATGGTTCTACCAGAGAAGCAGCAGGATGTTTCAGTGCACAGACTGGTTTATAAATTCAGATATATCTTGCTGCCGGAATGTTCTCGTTCAGAGACTCAGCTTCATCTTGGAGCTAAGGTGTTATGAAGAGGAGGTGCATGTTGAAGTCACCGATGAATTCTGGGGCTGGGGGAGATCTCAGATTCTGACTTAGAGTGTATGGCATGAAAGTCAGAGGTAAAGACCAGAACTAAAACCACCAGACCCCTCTGCTGGAGTTCTTGCACTGACACTGATAGGACTGAGAGTGGATGAGACAGAAAGTCTTCCTGCTGTTAGAACTCCCAAGGGGCTAGGCAGAGGGGAGCTGCAGGAACCTAAGGCCCTGGGACAATAGGATTGGCAGAAGCAGATCATGTGCCCAACATCACTTCCCAAAGGTGCCATCTCCTAATGTCAGTGCACTGGGGATGAGGGTGCAGCATGTGAATCTGGAGGACATAAACATTCAGTCTATAGCAATATGAGACTAATTTATAAAGTTGGGAAATTTACCCATGTTTCACCCTTCTCTGTCAGCACAAATAATGAAGAGTTAGCAAAGCTGGCTCAGAAATGAAAGCTTTTGTCATTCACACAGTTACTGCTTTCCTGCCCTCGGAATCACTACCTATTTTACTGTAAGAGGCATAGAACTCACATTCCGACAGAAAGCCTCTCCTGCTGGGCCCCACTATAGAGGAAAAAGCTTCAAATTTTGCTTAAAAACTGTATGTGGGAAAAAGGTTCTGTTTGGCAACCATATGAAACAAAATGCAAAATGTTATATTTAATTACAAAAGTGAGAATTAACTTTCAGTTGTATCCTCTGTGTTTCTCCGAGGGTTGCAGCTTGCTGCTTTTTGTAGCTCATGTCTATGTGTGATTCACTATTGAGAATAAGCATCTCTCTAACTCAGAAACAGAATGGTCTGCTGTAAATCCTGTTGGTTCACAGTTTGAAAGCTTGTTTTGTGCAGATGTTAATACTAATTTGTGGCTTTAAAAAACTTCTTCCACTACACCAATTTTCCAGTCCAATATCCCCCATGGAGGGCTTTGTCTATTATATTACTCACCCCCTTAATACCAAGCCTTACCTGACAGCAAGAAACACAGTCCACCTTTGAATATGCTAGAATGCAAGAGGAAAGCAGTCTCTCTTCTGAGTTAGAAAAAGGAAGCTACGCTTTTGAAGAGGAAAATGTATATATATCTCTATTTATAAATAATTGATTTTTACACTGTATTTTTTTTTAGACGAAGTCTCACTCTGTCACTCAGGCTGGGGTGCAATGGTGTCATAGTGACTCACTGCAGTCTCAACCTCCTGGGCTCAAGTGATCCTCCTGCCTCAGCCTCCCACGTAGCTGGGACCACAGGTGTGCACCAGCACACCCTGCTAATCTTTTGATTTTTTGTGGAGACGGGATCTTACTTTGTTGCCCAGGCTGGTCTTGAATTCCTGGTCTCAAGTGATTCTCCCCCCTCAGCCTCCCAAAGTGCTGGGATTATAGGTGTGAGCCATCATGCCTGGCCTACACTGTATCTACTAATTTTATCAATCAAAATGAATTAAGAATCTGTTTAGTACAGATACCATGCTAGGGTGTTGGAGACATGAACAAAATATGGCCCCCAACTTCAAAGTTCTAAATTGTCTGGCGAGGGTGAGTACTTGGCTACTGTGCAGTGATGCGATATAGAACTTTTTACTCATCTTTTCAAATTCCACATTTGTATCTAGACCCATCACTCATGTAAGCATCAGTCTCTTCTTTTAGATTATGAGAAAGGAAAGCATGAACTTAAATTTCCATCCTCTTGCTGCAGCCAGCTATATCCATGAAACATTTTCCTGAGGTATGTTTGTCTAAAGAAGAGCAAATGCAGAAAAGTGGCACCCATTTGGTAGTGGCCACATGTTCGTGGGCAAGTCGGCATGTGGCCATTTGACTACAAGGAAGGAAAGCATTGGGATTTACAGCCATAATCACTTTCTAAGGAGGATGGGGCTTGTTACATGAAAGGTCTTTTCAGCAGAGCTCTTTCCTGGGAGCTGAGTTTAGACACAGGAGCTGCAGTAAGCTTAATTAATTTGCATAACAGACTGAGAAGAATTAGGAATTCTCTGTGCAAAATTGTGGGGGATAAGATGAAGAGGCAAGTAGAGAGGCCAAGGAGGAAGGAGTTGGAGGATGGGGAAGAGAAGTAAAAAGGCTCAGATGCTACACAGGGTGAAATGGCCAGGAAACCACCCTCAGTGGTGGAATGGCCAAAAGGTTGCTGTCTGAGAGTCCGTTTGAAGTAGTTGTGTGGTGCAATGAAGGACCCCTCCTTCCCGAAATCTTCCCCGCCCTGCAGTAAAGTCTGCTACTCATACCCATGACTTGGGTGAATGGGTATTGGAGTGCGTGGTAGACAGAATAATAGCTCCCAAATGTGTCCTAAGCCCTGGAACCGGTGATTATGTTAGATGGCTTTGCAGGTGTGATTAAATTAAGGATCGTGAAGTGGGGAGATTACCCTGGGTTACCTGGGTGGGCCCGATGTCATCATAAGGGTCCTCGAAAGTGGAAGGGGAGGCCGAATAAAAGCATTTGAGGGAGATGTGACTTCAGAAGAAAGGCACAGAGAGATGCAACGTTGCTGGCTTTGAGGATGGAGGAAGGGTGGGGGGCAACTACAGCCCTGGGAAAAGGCAAGGAAACAGATTCTCCCATGGACCCCGCAGAAGGGAAAGCAGCCCTGTGACACTTAAATTTTAGCCCTGAGAGGCTTCCATTGGACTTTTGACCTCCAGAACTGTAAGCTAATAAATCTGTGTTTTAAAGCCACTGTTTTTATGGTAATTTGTTACAGCAGCAGTAGAAAACTAATACACAGTGTAAATCAGGGAGAAGAGCTGAGTGCAAAGACAGGAAAATCTAAGTATGATTTAGGGACAGTCATTCGGCCAGAGGGTGGCTGTGGGGAGCATAATAGAATTTAAAGTCAGGAAGGTCAGTTTGAGTCAGACTGTGGGGAGCCTTACATGAAAGATGAATGAGTTGAGTCACTATCTTTGGGCCATGGAAAGCCACTGAAAAGTTCAAGGGTGGAGTGACATAAGAAACAGAATTTCAGAAAGGAAGACCAGGGGCACTCTCTGTAAGGATGCCCATGGCTGCCTGGGGAGACAGAGTAATGTCCCCCAAAGCTGTCCTAAGCCCTGAAATCTGTGATTATGTTAGATGACTTTGCAGGCATGACTGAATTAAGGATGTTGAAGTGGGGAGATTAGCTTGGGTTACCTGAGTGGGACTGATGTCATCATAAGGGTCCTTAAAAGTGGAAGAGGGGCTCAAAAAAAGCATTTGAGGGAGATGTGACCACAGAAGAAAGGCACAGAGAGATGCAACATTCTGGCTTTGAAGATGGAGAAAGGGGGCCAACTCCAGCTCTGGAAAAGGCAAGGAAACAGATTCTCCCATGGACCCGACAGATATGGCTGAGTCACGGCAAGTAAACAGGCCCTGGGACTCTCATCCTCACTTCCCCTAGACCCCGGCCTTGTTACCTGTTTCATGTTCAGGGCTTCCACTTCAGGTTTCATTTGAATAAGGCATTTTGTATTTAAGATAAAATGAAAACAACAAATGAGCACAGCTCGGTGCACAGAGAAGTTCAGTATCTTGTTCCAGCTCACCCAGCTATACAGTGAGAGGACAGGGACTTATTCCCTAGGAATCCTGACTCCCAGTCCTAGACTATTCCGGTGGAGGGCCAGGGGGACTGGAAAGGGGAATAAATAAGGCCATCTGTTAGGTGATCCAGGTATTAATTCCTGGACTATGGAATCTTTGAGCAGGAAAGGAAGGGCCTAGATAGGAAGGACAAGTCCCATGAATCAACATGCCTGGGAGAGCCAATGGACCCAAGAGCACCAGTGCTTCATCCTGAGGCCAGCAGGTACTAGTGAGAAACACTACACTGACCCCCTCTCAAGTCCAGTAATCTATAGATGGAAGGAACTGGACACTTTAGAGCTCCAGCATGAAGGAGAATCATATTAGCAGACCCCAAAGAGGGCATACTAAAAGATGCAGGGAATGCTTTCGAGGGAGGGTCCAGTCTTGGGTTAATAAAGCAAGAAAATGAATGAAATGATAGAGCAGGAAGTGGAGACCTGGACTTGGGCTTCTGCCAATGATCCCAGAAGAAACACATACAGCCCAATCTATTAACTTCCTCATGACCTCACTTCCAGGAAACTGGGAGAACTACAAACCAATAAGCTCTGTGAGGGCTCAAAGTGAATGTTTAGGGCCTGGTGGTTCTCTAAGCACATCTTTCGATTGTCAGGGTATTACTAATTAAACAAGAACGCTATAATTACTTGTGCATTATTACAATACACAAAGTGATTTAAGCAGTAAAAAGGGCTTTGATGAATTAGTAGTTCTTTTGATTCCTGTAGTTTTGTGGCTCATGTTCAAAGACATCTTTTAAAAGTATTCAGATTCATGGGAAAGCTGCAATATCTCTTACCCAGGCTTTTTTTTCCTGACTTCAAGTCTGCATGCGTTACTGCTTTCTGGACACGCTACTCACGAGCCCCATCCCACCCTCCTACTTGACTTGTTCAAAATCGAAACTCAGCCCCTTTCATTCCCAGCTTGCTCTTCTTCCTCTATTTTGTACCTGGGTAAATTGCCTTTCCACCCATTCAGCAAAATTTGGGGAGTTATCCTCATTCTTTTCTTTCTTGTCCTGTCTCCTATACCATCATTCTTCACATCTATGTAACATCCACCACCATGACAATAAATAATAGTGGCAACACTTTTTTGAGTGCCTATTACATTCTAAGCATCTTAGATATATTATTGTGAACCCTTACAAATCCTGCAAAATTTGTACTATTATCCTCATTTTATAAGTCAAAGAGCCTGAGGTTCAGAGATATTATTTCCTCAAAGTTCATCTGCAGGTAGGTGGCAGTTGGGGTCAGGATTCAAACCCACATTTCTCTGATTCTAAAGCATATACATTTTATATCACACAGGGCTGCATCCCATAGAGCACCAACAGTTCTGCCAAATTTGCCCAAGTCTTGACTAAAATCCACCTACTTCCTTCCCTCCGTAGGCTATTTGCTACCTTAGTGTATGCTGTCATTAGTTCTCACCTGGACTGATGGCATAAGCTTTCTCACTTGTCTCTCTACCTCCAACCTTGCTGTATTCTCTAGTGGTATGTCTGTTAGCTGACTGATCATAAGCAAGTTCCTGTGTGCTCACCCTGAACCTACTAAATCACAATCCCCAAGCCTTCATGTCAGTCTTAGTAATAAGCACCTCCTGTTGATTCTTATGAGGAGCGAGTATAGCCAAAGGCAGTTCTAAAAAGAAAACTCCAGGCTCAAAGCCTTCAGTGGCTCCCGTTCACCTACATGATAAATTGAATATTCTTTAATCTGACATTTAAGGGCCTTTTATGGTCTGGGTAAAACTCGTCCTTTCTAATCATGCTGGCACAAAGAAGTCACTCAGCAAACGGACGCATAGTATGGCAGGCAGAATAATGGGCCCCCAAGATGTCTGTGTCCTAATCCCCAAAACCAGAGAATATGTTACCTTACATGGCAAAAGAGACTTTGCAGATGTGATTGAGTGATGGACCCAGAGAAAGGGAGATTATCTTGGGTTATTCAGGTGGTACCAATCTAATCACAAGTCATTAAAAGAAGAAAATCATTTCTGGTTGTGATCAGTGAGAGATAACATCATGAGAGAAGGGTTAGAGAGATAGAATGTAGAACGATTTGACCTTCATAGCTGATTTTGATAATGGAGGAAGAGGACCATGAGCCAAGGATGTGGTGGCCTCTGGAAGCTGAAAAAGGCAAAGAAATAGATTCTTCCCTATAGTTTCTAGAAAGTAGTGCAGCCCTGCCAATACCCTGATTTTAGCTCATGTTGGGCTTTTGACCTAAAGGGCTGTAAGATAATAAATTTGTATTATTTTATGGTATTAAATTTATGGTAATTTTCTATAGCAGCGATAGAAAACAAATTCACACAGTTTTTTTTATGGCGACTTGCTTATCTATACTTTCTACATGTATCATTTTCTCTGCCTGGAGTGCTCTGTTTGGTTCACTTGGAAAACTCCTATTCATCCTTCAAAACCCAGCTCAAAATGGCTGATTCAGACAGGAATTTATACATGGTCCTTCAACTCCAAGAGCACCCAATATTTATTCATGATAAATGTTAATGTTATTTTGCTTTGTATTTACTTATAAACTTACCTACATCTCTCACCTCCTTAGAGAGCTTGTCTTGCTCATTTTATATTCTTATCCTGGCATAGTGTCCATAGTGTCTAGCATATGGTTGGTGCTCAAAAAATATCTTCTGGGTAATAACTACAGAGACATTGAAGGAATTGTATTATAGAAGCACCTCATGTAAGTCAATCAATGTTGGATTATATGAATTCTTATCATTAGAATACGATGGTTTTAAATATCAAAAATAATGATTCCAAAAAAGATAATAATTCCAAAAATGAGTCTCTTTGAGATTGACAGTTAATGTTTATTACTTATACTTAATTACTTTCTTTCTTTTTTTTTTTTAGACAGAGTCTCACTCTGTCCCCCAAGATGGAGTGTAGTGGCATGATCTTGGCTCATTGCAAGGTCTGCCTCCCGGGTTCACGCCATTCTCCTGCCTCAGCCTCCCGAGTACCTGGGACTACAGGCGCCCGCCACCACACCCGGCTAATTTTTTATATTTTTTAGTAGAGACGGGGTTTCATCTCGTTACCCAGGATGGCCTTGATTTCCTGACCTTGTGATCCTCCTGCCTCGGCCTGCCAAAGTGCTGGGATTACAGGCATGAGCCACCGCACCCGGCCAATTACTTTCTTTTGAGATCAAATGATTTTTCTTTTCCTTATATGAAAACCATTTATTTCTACTTTACTCCAGGCAGGAAAGGCAGAAGAAAAAATTACGTCAATTAAAAGCAAATCCTGGGCAGGGAGAGATAGTTCACGCCTGTAATCCTAGCACTTTGGGAGGCTGAGATGGAAGGATGGCTTGAAGCCAGGAGTCAGACCAGCCGGGGCTACATATAGTGAGACCTCATCTCTACAAAAAAATTAAAAAAAAAATTAAAAAAATAGCCAGCCATGGTGGTTCATGCCTGTGGTCCCAGCTACTCTGGAGGCTGAGGTGGGAGGATTGCTTGAGCCCAGGATGTCAAGGCTGCAGCCAGCTACGATTGTGCCACAGCACTCCAGCCTAGATGACAGCACAAGACCCTGTCTCTCTCTCTCTCTCTAAAAAAAAAAAAGGTAAATTCTGTATCCCAGTGTCATTATCTAGGCTGAGTTTACACATCTTCCCGGTCATTAATGCTCACTGGTGCCCTCGCTCTACAGGCATATGAAGTTAAGAGGCTTGTCAGGTTTCCTCTATCACAGGTAAGAAAGCCCGCAGGAGCTGGGAAAGCCCTAGCCAGACTAAGTAAGAAGTGAGACACTCTTGAAAGGAATCTTATGCTTATATCCTGCAATCCCTGGTTTGGCTCCACTTAACATCCAAAGGAGCCCAGGGCCTGCCTCAGGGCACAGGAGAGGTCCTAGGACAGGACCTTAAGATGCCACACAGACTTATTCCCTAAGGGACCTGGAAAACTGTTATTAAGTTTGTTTTAATGAGTCGCTTGGTTCTCAGCCTTGGCTGCAAATTAGAATCACCTGGAGGAGAGCTATTCTGATGTGACCAAAGGAATTTTTTTTTTTTTTTTGATGGAGTCTCGCTCTTGTCACCCAGGCCAGAGTGCAATGGCGTGATCTTGGCTCACTGCAACCTCCACCTCCTGGGTTCAAGCAATTCCCCTGCCTCAGCCTTCCGAGTAGCTGGGATTACAGGTGCCCACCACCACACCCAGCTAATTTTTGTATTTTTAGTAGAGACGGGGCTTCATCATGTTGGCCAGGCTGGTTTTGAACTCGTGACCTCAGGTGATCTACCAGCCTTGGCCTCCCAAAGTGCTGGGATTACAGGCGTGAGCTACCATGCCCAGCCCTAGGAATTGGTCTGTGAGAGGTGTTTTTCAAAGTTCCCCAAATGATTTGGATGTGCACTCGGTTGCAGTTCGCACTAGGCAATGTTTTTGAAATTTCCTTTGGAATAAGAATCACTGGGGTTGAGCATTAGGCACCAGAAGGCAGGCACCCACTGGCCGCGCCCTTGAACTGCCCTTTCCCTCAGATTCCAGTCAGCAAATCTGCAGTGGAACCTGGAATCTGCTGGTCTGATGTGCAACTCTAGTGAGTCCAATTCGGGTAGGTGGTACCCCCCTCCGCCCCCTGCAGCCTGCCCTAGGGAGCACTGATACCATCAGTAGCTGCCCTCTGTAGGCACCTGGACCTATGGGGAAGGACTCTTGACTAGGGCCTCTGAAACAAAGGCTGCAGATCCTCTTTGCCTATACAGTGCTGACAATGTGAAGAGGAGAGAAAAAGATGAGAGTGTGCTCACAGCGCTTATACAGAAAACACCCCTCCTTTCACACCAGGTGGTAAAAGCTAAGCAAGCCTTTAGAAAGTGCCCTAACTACCACCAATGCCTGAAATCTCAGTGCTGCCCTGGCCCCACCCTTTCCCATAGCCAGTGGGTCCTTTGATAACATATTAACATCTTACATTCCAATGATAGATTTTAAAGGCTGAATTTCAAAGAAGAGTTGAAGTGAACACCCACACGTTAACTCCCACCACGCATTGCAAAATCCAGTTGCTTTAGATTTATCCAGCTTTTCATCAGCTTAAATTTTGTGACAAAAATGTTTGGACTTTACTGATGTAAGTATAATGGAAATTTTGTGAGTTGGTCACACTCATGGATAAGGCTGTTGTCAGGCAGGTCGGCTCTACTTGGTAATCTATGGTTTCACTCTGGAATATTTACACTGGCAATCCTACTCATTACAGACAAGCAAATCTTTACTTACATGAGGCGGGAGAATGCAGACTTCCTCACCTCTCACAATCACCTTTCCTATCCTATTGGTTCAATTCAGGATGGTGTCAGGTCGCCTTATCTTCTGGGAACAGTGGGCTTCTAATACACCCTGTGGATATGCATCTGGAATGATCCCGACAGAGACTTAAGGCAGTGATACCAGAGTGGGTCATCTCCAGTTTGGCTCTGCTCCTGAGGACTCTGGGGACAGTGAGCAGTTGGGTCAGGGACTTTTTTATGACCAAGCTCAGTGATGCCAGCATTTGCTAAGATTTCAGTGTTTAAAATAAATTGTTCTTTGAATCTTCCACAGAAAGATTCAGGGGTCTTGGAACAGAGGAAGCCTTGGTTGGTGACAGGGTCACAGTCTTCAAGATAGGTTGACACAGGCTGGCATCTATGGATCTTCCCAGCCCTCAAGCACTGGACATGACCACAATCCTCGAGGTTCACTCCCTCTAGTTACATGAGGTCACACTTTCCCCTTCTCCAGGAAAGGCTGTCAAACAAGAACTATAGCATTAGAAAATTATCACTGGTATATCTGGAATCAGCAAAATTTCTAAGAAATTGTGAAAGTCTGAAGAAGTGAGTAATTGTTAACCTGAATGCACTTACCAGCTTGTTAGTTGCCACTTCATGACAGCCGATACTGAAAGCATCAAGATGAATGTTGACTCCTTCCCTTTAGAATCTTACTGGCCGCAGGTTGCCTGCAATTTGTGTGAACAACATGAGAACTACAGGGAGAAGAGGCACTTGAAGCCATTTCTGCACACCCTTGCCTGAGCCTCACCTGCATTCCAAGTTCTCCTAACATGTTCAGACAGCATATGTGTGCTTTTGCTTAATTCTTGAGATTGGTTTGGATCTTGTGTAAAGGAGGGCAACCACTTTATAATAGCCACAGATCACTTGCACTGCTGCTGTGATACAATCATTCAAATATCTTCATTTGTTTAGAAATGGTTGAGGATCATTCTTTTTTCCCAAATGTATTATTCTCCATAATTCCATCCCCAAAAGCAAAAATGTCACAATGACTTGCTGAATGCTCAGTGTGATTTGAGCTTACTGATAGCAGAGACCATGCTTGTCTATCATTGGATCCCCAGCAGCTACCAACATTCTTTGCACTTACTGGGCGCTTGTAAATGTTCATTGAATGAAAGAATTAATCAATGAATGACAAGCTGGGCATTACTTGGTTCTATCAAATTTAATCATGCTTCCACGGTTTCACAATCTACCTTTGGAAGTGAAAATGTGCGGCATGCCTCACATTCCATCAATAATGCAAAGGCTTCTATGAGACACTAGGGAAGTAGAAAACAGTGGTTTATTGAATCAGACTAAAATCTGTTAGTGGCAGAAGTACATATTTGCAAACAACTCTAATAAAATGACCTGGAGGGACTTTAAAAGGCTCCACAGCTTTGTGAGGCTCTGGGTGACTCCCTGGCAGAAACATTCCGTGGCACTTTGACTTGTATTTTCCTGCCCGATGAGGCACATTACTCAGAGAGTTGACATAAACTTCCTTTGGCCAGCCATGGGAGGACGTGTGCACACACGCATAATGGGATGGAGAATTGAGAATGTGTTAGTGCCACTCCAAAAAAGACATCTGCTTTCAAAAATGTTTATGTTTAGCACAAAAATGTATTCCATGGAATTATGGCATGCATTTACATATTCATGGGCCTTAGAGGATATCCAAGTTTAAATTAGGAGCTTTCTCTTCAATTCTATCAAAGCTTGGAATTGCCATGGGAGTATGGCACCAATACTCTGGCAAGGAAGTTTGTCCCCTGAAGCCTCTCAGAGAAGGATCACCCAGCAGGGCTGCCACTATTCACACATAATGCTTGACCTATAAAAGCTTTCCCTTATTATGCAATGCACCTTAATTATTTCCATTCTATTCTAGTCCATTTCTTTAAAATGCTGGTCACATTCACTATATTGATTACCTGACCCACTAATGGACTGTGATCTGTAGTTGGAAAAATACTGCAGTAGAAAAATGAAGAGTGACCCCAAACTAAAGACTCTAACAGGAAGCCACAAAGACTGCTTGGAAGGTTTGGGAATGTTGTAGTCAAATCCATACCCAGAATGTGCTTATCAAGTGTGGCTTGCAGCTCGTGATCTGGGATGCCAGGCTGTCTGGATGCACTATGGCGGCAGTATCATGGGCTCACAAAATGGGGAGAAGGGATGGGAGATGGCTTTGAATTCTTTCTCCTTTAGCGTGGTGTTCAGGAACAAGCCACCTCTCTTAGCTTGGAGGGGAGGCTCATAGAGCTCTGTCATCCACAAGGAAATCTCCCATCCTTTGAGAGGAAATGCAAATGTCATCATCCCTTTCCTTGATGGGTCCTGTAAGGGTCTACTTTCCTTGACCCTTACAGTTGAAAGTCCTCTTTTTTCTTAACCCCTAGGGCACATAATTTATTTCTCACTTTGAGTACCTAACACTTTCTAAACTATGCTTTCAGCTTTTTTCCTTTATTGACTGTATGTAGCATCAGGACTATGATGATGTCCTACTCATTTTGTATCCCTGTGTCTAGTATGTGCCTTGCACATATCAGGTGCTCAATCAGCATTTAGGACATACACAAAGAGGCCAGAGAAATGCTTTGTCTTATAACATTATCCCTCTGTATCCATGGAGAATTGGTCCCAGGAACCGCCCTCCTCCCCACCACCACCCTGCAGACATCCAAATCCTCAGATGCTCAAGTCCCTTATATAAAACGGTCTAGTAAAATAATGTGTGCACATGGATACAGAGAGGGGAATATTAGATATTGAAGACTCTGAGGGGTGGGAGGGTGGGAGGACATGAAGGATGAGGATTTACTTAATGGGTACAATGTCGCTAAAAACCCAGACTTCACCACTATACAACATATTCATGTAACAAAATGGCATTTATAACCCTTAAATATATAAAAACAAAATAAAATGGTGTCATATTTGCATATAACCTATACATATCCTTCCATATACTTTAAATCATCTCTAGATTACTGTATACCAAATATAATGTAAATGCTATATAAATAGTGGATGTACTGTATTGGTTTTTTATTTGTATATTTTTTATTGTTGTATGGTTATTTTTTATTTTATTCTCAAGAATATTTTTGACCCAAAATTCATGGATGTGGAGCCCATGGATAAGAAGTGCCACCTGTTCTCAGAACTTGAGAATGATTTATCTTTGAGATGATGTCACTAGGATTCTGCAGGAGGCTCACTTATCAGCATTGGTATTCCCACATATCTTACCTTCTTACTCTTCTCCTTCTCCCTCCTTCTCCTTCTCCTTCTTGCTCCTTCTCCTTCTTTTTTAGAGAAGAGTCTATGTTGCCCAGGCTGATCTCAAATTCCTGGCCTCAAGTGACCCTCCCACCTCAGCCCCCCAAAGTGCTGGGATTACAGGCATGAGCCACCTCTTACCCTGAGCCTGCCCATTTTCCCATGCATCCATCCTCCCATCCAGCTCTTATTGAGAACCTGCTGTGTTCCTGTGCTAATCGTGGTGGTTACTAAGGTGGGTAGGGCAGTGCCTGCCTCTAGATCCCAAGTCTAGTGAGGCAGAAGAGAAGTGAGGGGGTAATGACCACAATGTGAGAAGCGCTATAAGGGGGGCAGTGGCCCACGTCTCCCAACTCATGTCACAGTGCAGTGCTCTCTCACCATATGCTTTTTGACTGCTTCTCTCAGACTTCTTTTTTTTTTCTTTTTTTTTTTAGATGGAGTCTCTCCCTGTCGCCCAGGCTGGAGTACAGTGGTGTGATCTCGGCTCACTGCAACCTCCACCTCCTGGGTTCAAGCGACTCTCTCCCTCAGCCTCCCAAGTAGCTGGAATTACAGGCGCCTACCACCACGCCTGGCTAATTTTTGTATTGTTAGTAGAGACGGGGTTTCATCATGCTGGCCAAGCTGGTCTTGAACTCCTGACCTCATGATCCACCTGTCTTGGCCTCCCAAAGTGCTGGGATTACAGGCGTGAGCCAGCGTGCCTGGCCTCTCAGATTTCTTAAACTCTGCCCCACCAGCAAAGATTTTGTTAAGCTTTATATCCCATAGTTTGTATTAGGAAAACAATAGCTGTGTTAAAAAATTAAATTGTTATAATATTGAATATGCATTTTCTAAGTGTTCACGTGTCTAAAGCAACAGGTGATACAGTGGGAACTGCAATACGGTGTGAAAAGGAAATTATTTAAACAAATAATAATAATCGAATTATCTTCAAGACATTTCCTTTGGCCAGGAATAACATCTGAACAGAAGCGTGACCCTGGCCTAAAGGTTTCTGCATGATCCGGTCCCTACCTGCTCATCCCTGGCCACAACCTCTTCCCTCATTGTGCAGCAGCCCTGGTGGGCTTCGCTGTCCCTCTTCTTCGTACACTCTTCACCTATCCCTTCCAGGTCCACGGCCCTTCTTATCCTTCAGGTCTCAGCCTAATAAGTCATCAGACAGGTCTTCTCTGACGACTTTGCAAAAAAGCTGTTGCCCACCTTAGTCTCCATCCTAGGAGTCTGATCTTTTCCTTCATAGACCTAATCACAAAGTGTAATTATTTCATTTGTTTGGTTGTCTCTCTTGCTAGACTGTGAACTCCACAAACTGTTCACCAGCCTATCCCCAGAGACTCGCATGGTTTCTGGCACATGGCAGACACTATAAATACATTTTGAATAAATGCATGTTAGGGCGGCTCACAGAAAGCATCTACTTGAAAGGGAGGACATCTCACCAGCGGGGGACAGCGCTGCAGAACCCAGCAGCGGAACAACAGCGACACCAAGTGGCCAGTCCGCATTACCCACAGCAGCTGTTCCTTGCCAGAAATCTCAGGCCTTGGAAGGCTGATGCTTGTAATTTAATGTGGATACTAATCCATTAAGCTTGTTTATTCATTTCCTTAATTTAAAAAAAATCTAGAAACTGCCCTCAAATATCTCCCACTATAGAGTAGGACACTTGAAAGCATGTGGCCACTAGCTAGACAGACTTTAGGAGTTGCTATGGTAACTTTTCCCTTTTTTGCTAACCATTTGGAAACCTTACATTTTTCAAATCTGCATGCTTTGAAAAGGCCTGCTTGATTCTACTTTGTTTTTCAAGCTTTGCTTTGATTTACTGTATTTAATTTGCTTCACCTTCTAATTTGTTAAATGACATGTTATTAAAATTCCCCAGGGGGCCAGCAGGAATCTGTGCCGCTGAGAGACAGCATGCATTCTGGAAGTCGGTGATTCACATCTGAGCACTCAGAGGAGATTTTGGAAACCCATTAGGTTAGCAGAGCCGCTCTGGGCAGAATCAGCGCTGGCAGGGACGCTGCATTTGACAACTCAAGTCTTTAGGTGATGCTGAAAAGCCTGCCCTAGCTTCTCATTTCCTCCGTCCCCCAGCGAATCGTTCTTTGCTGCTGCTGTCCTCGGTGTGAAAAGGTGACCCCCCCACTGCCCATCGCACCTGCTTGCTATCTCTCGTCGGTCACCCCCTACAAGACCGGAAAACAGGTCTAAAAAAGCCAGAGCGTTCCGCGCTCAATTACAATGACGCTAAAATGCATCCTGAGGCCTGTCCATCGCGGATTTGAGAAGAGCCGCAGCAGCAGAACACGCCATTAGGCGATAATGGCCCGGGCCCGCTTCAGTCATAGGGCCGGGAAATGAGGGTGATTTAGTGACGCTGCCAATGCCCGACACCATCGCCGCGGTAGGCAAATGGCAGCAAATGGAGGTGTTAAGTAAAGGAAGTGCAGACAAACCATGGTTGCAGAAAGGCTCCTAATATTGATAGAGCTAACCCAGGAGGAAAGCTGGGGTAAAATTTCTTTACATTGCGAGAAAAAATAGATCCCAGCGCTCTCCTAAACATTATTATTTGCTTTAGGGTCCATCTTGTCCTTCATATGAAAATGGAGACAATTTCTCTCAGCGAAGACCGAAGCCCCGGTGCCCATTTTGCTAGCGGCATGTGCTTCCACTCCACTCCGCACCCCGCTCATTTTATTTTTAAAAAATAATAAATATGTGTTCATTGTTTAATCAGATGCATGTCCCTTATGTAAGAAAAAAGGTCATATGACAGGGAACTGTGAAAGTATGAAAGTGAAAGTCGTGTGTGTGTGTGAAATACACATACACATTTATAAATATATGTGTATATATACATCTGTACACATACATGTATACAATTTAGGCGTAAAATTCCACTTAATGATGCAATTATCTCGTGCTATTTCTGGAGTGCAGTCTTGACTGTTCTTTCGACTTTGGTCCAGTTTGAGTCTCAGGCACACAACTTTTTGGTCTGTACCGCTTTGGCCTGTCCCAGAATCTGACCTCCTCCCACCCCCGCAGCACCTTCCGCTGGCCTCCCTACACCTCATCCCCTGGGCTCTGCCTGTTGGATCTGTGCATCGCGAATGGGCTGTCTGGATTTTCTTCATTCCTGCCGCCCTTTGGTTTTCTTGAAAAGCACAGCTTTGACAGTGACCACATGCTCCCAAAATCATTTCACCCGAGGAAAATCCACCCCTTCTTTTACCCCACCCACTGTCACAAAAGTCTCCAGCAGCTTCCATGATGTCTCCTTATCTTTGGGTGGGACACAAAATTCCTAGTGTGTCTTCCACCCGCAAACTCTTTTGGCCAAGCTTCTTGTCATCTTGCTGCCTTAACACTTGGGCTTGGCTCTTCCAGCCCTAGGGTTTCACAAATTTGGTTAAGTCCAGAGCACATTCATGTGTACGTATGCAATCTATCTGGTTGGCGTTTTGTGTTTATTACATGACGATGGTCATTTTCCTCGAGAATAAGGAAGAAATGGACCATCGTTGCAAAGCTTGCACAGTAGCTTCACAATGAAATTATTTTGCCATTTGCTTCTAAGTAGAATTGTAATGTTGGCTTCTAGGTGCACCTCCCACTTCCTCCTTCATTTTTACCTATAATTTCTTTAGCATCGATTGAGAAAGTGTTTATTCAGGGCATAACCCTGTGATAGGTACTGTGAGCGATATGAAAAAAGCCATGGGGCCAACTCTTTTAAAAAGGTGTTAATTGGATTTTTCCCATATAAAACCCCCCATAGCATTTTATTTCCTAACTCTGCTTCTCACCGTCAACTTCATTTGCCTATTTAATGCAATTTGCTTCTCATGATAAGATTCTATTAAGTGATTATTAAGACATTCTGAGTTACCTCAGCCAAGTACATCTATAATCATTACCTACCTCCTGGGGGTGATTTGAGGTGTAATTAGTTAAAGCTCACTGTTACCTCCCAACATCTGAACGACAAACAGAGACCACTTCTACACAGCCAGTCTGTGAGCCTGGTGCAGCCTGTTCACATTTACATAAATCCCATAGATCCAGGTTTCACGAGAGCCCATGTTGGGTCTGTAGAAATAGAGAGCATACTGAAAATTGCCTACCTCTATTTATATCAAATTGTACCCCTGAGGGTTAATTTCTTTTGGTTTCTAAGTGATATTATTTAATAGCCCTAACGTTAGTGTTAATAAAACAAACACAATAAACCTCCACTAAAAATTGAGATATGCTGGAACAAATCAGCCTAGCACGACCCTCAAACCTCTTATTCTTTCAGTCCTTCAGAACCATTTATTGAACTTCTACTGTATGTGAAGCATTGGACTAGGCTCTAAGGCTGTGAAATTCAGAAAGAAAGTCACTTGTCCTCAAGGAATTTATAGTCAGCAAATTTCACAGATGGTGATAATGACTTTTAGAAAACTTTCACATTTACTCAAAAGCCTATCTAGTATTGAGGGGGTGAGGGGGGGTGAGAGAGAGGGTGAGAGGGGGGGAGGGGGGAGAGAGAGAGAAGGGGAGAGAGAGAAGAGAGCGAGCAGGAGGCTCCAAGTGGTTTAAATACTTTATTGATGAAAGTTCTCAAGTCAAATACCAAAGGCCCCAGGGCTCCTGGGATCTTTTCTCATGGAGAGCTACTTTTAGCCCATGGAAGATTAGAGACATTTAATTAGGAGGAGGAGGTGAACTGTTTCAGTAGGCACACAGACAAGAAGAAGGAGAGACATGGATAGCATCCTTGTAATAAGTAATCAGGTAGAAAAACTGAAAGAAAAAAAGAAACAAGAATTCATGGAGCATTGCAGTGTGGAGATATTTAGTATAAAGGCAAATAGCTTTGTAAACCCCAATGGTCTTGAGGGTTTCAATTTGCATTACAGCACAGTACAATAATTTATTTTCATAATGACTGGAACACACGAAGGCAACTTTAGAACATGGCTACTAGGCAGTAGAATAGGGAATAGAGAATGATTTCCATCAAAAACTATTTCTAGAAATTTAAATCAGTCTTAAAATGATTTAAATCAGTTCTTAAAGTAATGCTTCAGTTATAAGATACAGTAGGCAAATTCTAATTCAATATAAAAAAGTGCTTTCTAGCCATTTTAGCCTCCTTTAAAGCGGATTTATTGACCTTGGGAGGTGGTGAGCTTTCTGTGGCTTAGAGGAACGTAAGCTAAGTGCAGACAGCCACCTATGAGAACGCTGCAGAGGGACTTTGAAAGTCCACCTGCTGGTCAAATCCAGACTGCCGCAAATTTTGTACAGCCTGAGAGCTAAGAATAGTCTTTACATTTTAAACTGAAATTGTAAAATTAAAAAAAGCCTTTTAGTGAGAATAGTTGTTCAATTTTGCCTCCACCCACAAAGCCTAAAATGCCAACTATCTGCTCCTTTACAGAAAAACTTTGCCAACCCCTACTCTAAGGAGTTGCTCTTTCCCAACTCTGAGGCTCCGGGAGCTGAAGCACACCTCATTTTCTCATGAAGGCTCAATGAAAATGACTCGATATTAAAACTGCTTTACTCTGGCCAGGGTAGAGCATCCTTTTAGATACTGACAGTCTCTGGAAATCGGCCTTGATCTAGTGTTAGGTAACGCTTGCTGGGATATACAAATATCAGATTTCGTACTTCTCAGTCTTACAAATTAAATTTTATACTTTCAGATTTTATTCACTGGCTAGGGAGAAAGACAACTCCATGCGCTTCACTGAGTAAATAGCAGAAACAGGGCGTATTTCAAAGCCACCCAGACCTCCCCTTATGTCAATGCCACAAACAAGGCCCAGTGAGCTCTGGGCCATTCTTAGGGGTTCCACCAGGGAAGATGGTAGAGGTGAGGTCATCGTCTCTTGATGGTAGATGCACAGGCCAGGGACCATTATATTATTTTTACCCTAAAAGAGAAATGCCCTTAGGAAACAAAAGTGTTCATAGTTTTCTCAAATTTTTTCTCCTATGTTTTTCCCTCTAAGTCTGGGAGTAAAAAACTCTTAGCTTAGAGAAATGCCATCTCCACCTATTCTGCCTTTGCTGAGAGATTAGCAACCCTTGAAAGGCTTTGGTCTCCAGGCATGCCGGGGGCAGGAAGAAAATGTCTGGTCTTGTGACTCTCCCAGGTGTGAAGTGATGGTTTCAGTAATGTCAGTGTGATTCCTGGGTCTTAGAAAGAAAAATAAAGCAGAAGAAAACCCTGGCATAACCCAGTGAATGGTAGCTTAATGTCATAAATTCCATGGCTCAAGTCAGAACAACAGTCTTTGGAGGATTTCATTCTCTCCAAGGACAAATACGTGTTTCCAGTTGGTTTTATAAATGTGTATCTATGTGTGTTTGCATCTTTCCTGTGGCAGAGTGCCTAGACACGGGCAAGTCATCTGTGGATAACAGCATGCAGCATGTGACATGAAAAATCACACATTGTATGTTTAATTGCTTCAAGGCATTACACACACACACACACACACACACACACACCCCAGCTTAGTGCTGTGTGACTTCTGCCACTGCCTCCTACCCTATTTGTCAGATTACAGGGACACAGAGCAAAGTTTACTGCACACAAAAAAGCCAAACTAATGCTACGAGCCATGCATGGATTCTCCCTGTCTTCCATTTAGAAATCCCCGAGTAAAAAAGGATTATGGTCCTATCACATTTTACTAAACATTCATTCTGTGACCCAAATAGCTCCTGAAGACACAGTTATCACCCACTGTGGGTGCTTTCTTTGTGACTATTTTCAAAGGCATCTGCGGGATAGGCTAGAAATATCAAAATATCATTTGGAGATAAACTGTGGTCAGGACCTATAAATAGCTGCTTCCCTTTAGTGTCTCCGCCCCCCTGTTCCCTGGTCCCCCCTTCGCTCCATACTGCTGCCCTTCACCTTCTTTTTTTCTCACACACAGGATCACATGCTCCTCCCGGGGAATGGACTTGGACCACGTGCATAAGAAATGGCAATCTGGACGGGCACATTTCCTCTGTCACAGAACTGTGTCTTGTATCCCAGCATCCTCCCCACCTCCTTCCCGTGGCCCTGTTTCACAATTAGAATGCAGCTCGGAGTGGAAAGAACTGGCACCCAGCAGATGGCTGCAGGCAGTACCTTCACGCAGCCCCGACGCCCACTCCTCGGCAGCAAGAACTGGGGAGCGCCATATGTCAGAGCTGCCGCCGATGCCAGCAGAAGGGAGGCTTTGTTCTTTTGATGGGTTTGTTTTGAAAGGGGAACATAAATAATACACACCCACCTCTCCTTCCCCAGCAATCTGGGCAGAGCTTGCCGGCAGTCCTTGTGGCTCAAAGTGCCCCAATTGTTCCCTGAACATGGCTGAGTATGAGGGCTGGTCTTGGCCACCAGATGGATTAAGTCTGATTAATTTTCAACCGTAAATAATGCTTTTCTCATATTTAATCAGTGAATACTTAATCAGCTTTTCCCTGGGAAAAAAAAATCATGTTTCCCTAAAAAATTAAGATATTTGTTTTCACACAATCCAAAAAGCTTCTTGCAAAGTCTATTGGAGCGATGGATGGCCCACCCCCTTGACTAATGTGTGTGTGTGCAGGCGTGGAGGGGAAGGCTGAGGCCGGAGTGTGTGCAGAAGGGAGAGGAGCGGGGTCAGAATGACCTCGTGGCTCTTGAGGAAAACAGTCCAGTGAAGGAGCGTCCAGGTCTGTCCTGCCACCAGCTGGCCAGGTTTGTTTCTCCTCCAGAAATCCTGCATGTTCTCAAAGTCACTCACTTCAAGCTGTGAAGAGCGTCCCTAAGCCCCGAGAAGGCAGCACAACCTTGCTCACCACTTATTCAGGCCGGGCAGTGCTGGGCACATCATAAATCCTCAGTAATTTCGGTTGGATAAGTGAATTGTGGTTAAATGAATGACTGCTTCTTGGGTTAAATTCTTGATAGCTTAAAATGTGTTTTGGGAACACATGGTTGTGTGTGTGTGTGTGTGTGTGTGTTTGAGTGTATATAAGTATACAAAAAGGAGCTAAAATAATCCATCTATAGAATGTACAGCACCAAGAGTGAACTGCAATGTAGACTATAGACTCTGGGTGATAATGATGTCTCAGTGTAGGTTCACTGATTGTAACACATGCACCCTTCTGAGGAGGAGGTTGATAATGGGGAAGCTGTGCATGCATCGTGCAGGAGGTATTTGGGAATTTTCTATACCTTCTGCTTTAATTTTGCTGTGAACCTAAAACTGCTCTAAAAAACAAGTTATATTAATTTAATAAAATAATCTATTCAAGGTATTAATCATGTTTAATATTATTTATTGCTAGTCTCTATTTTCTGTTTTTCATGTATTGTTTTTATTATTAGAAAAAAATTAGCTTTATTTGGAAAAGGAAGCAAACATGTAACATTTGTCTTACGAGTCTCAGGGCTGAAGAGTATGCTGGTAAGAAGGAAAAATAAACCAAAGCAATATCAATCATCATCATCACAGTAGTTGCAATTTATAAAGAAACTAGAGTGGATGCCCTGTGGAAGACACTGTTTTATTTTACATGCATGAACTCATGTAATCCTTATGACCGCACTATGAAATAGTAACTGTTATTAACGCTTTCCACAGAAAGAAAATCCATTAATGCAAACAATTTATGTTTTTAAACAGTGTGCATAGTGCAAAAATAAATGAATAAACACAAAATACAATTTTGCAACACTAGCATGTAACTGACAACCAGGCTCTGAGGTACTAGCAGCATCAGGAAGTCCACCTGAGGGACAACACCTGCCTTGTTGGTTTTGAGAGGAATAAATAACATATAGAAGTTTCAGGCACTGTCCCTGGCTTTGAGCTGGGACTTAATGAATGGTGGCTGTTTCCTAAAACCAGTGGTCCAGTCTTTCCCACAGTTTCTCTGGGATTTTTTAGGGGATGAATTGGTAACATCTTAGGCTTCAACTGCAGCATCTGGAAATACCAACAACAACAATAACAACAACAATAAAATGACCACTTTTGAGACTTAAGTGTGGGTCAACCCTGTGGTAGGTTTTATAGCTGTTACCTCAGTCATTTCTGTCTACTAACTGTGCTGGTCCAGTAGCAACCTGTATTAATTCCATGTGCCAGACACAGTGATATCAACTGGGCTTTCTGTAAACACCATGAGATTGCCAAATGCCTTCTGAAGAACCACCACTTCCTAAAATTCATGTTCCATGCCATTGCAGTGTAAAATTGATTTTCTTTGAAAAATGTTACCTCTTTCAAAGTCAGTAATCTGTACAGAGTTGTCACGTCCACTAATTCAACTATTTGCTGAAAGTTCACAGATCATGCACTCAACGAATAGAATGGGCAGCTGTGAGATTCTGTAGAGGGTAGAGAGCACTCAAGTTCAGAAGACCCAGTATTAATTCTGACTCTGCTGCTCACAAGTTGGGTAACATAGGGCTTCAGTTTTCCCTACCATCCATTTGCTTCCAGCTAGGACATTTCATGAGTCTGAGCTAACAGAGCCTTTAGGGGAAAATTAGGCAGCAAACCTTTCCTCTAAGACAGGGGCATTATGTAGGCCCAAATCCCATAGGTTCATGAAGCCTGTGCTCTGGCATGATGGCTTGGTCTGCCTGTCATCAGAAACCCTACGCTTATTAACTCAACAAACTTCTGTGGGTGCCTGCTGTGTGGCAGGCATGGGACAGTACTAGAATGACAGAAGATCTGGTCCCTGCCCTCAGGGAGCTTGCAACCTAGTGCTCAGTCTAGATTGGGCCAGGTCACTGGAGGGCTCAACATCCCCTGACTTTTGGGAAATGGAGCAGAAGAGGGATCTTACAACTCAGAAAAAGGTATCTCAGACAATTTAAAGATTACCAGCCCAGAAATGAACGGATCAAGCAGCTCTGCAATGTTGCAGGAGGAAGGGAGATGAAGGAATTACATCTTTCTTTTAAGATATTTGATTCCTTTCTCCAGGCCCCTTTGTGCAAACCCCCCTGCAAGCTCTGACAGAGTTACTGTTCTAAAACGTTGATAGCTTTGGGTTGCTCTTCAACAACAAATCATTGGCTCTCCATTCGCCATAGGAAAGTCCCAGCACAGCATTCACGGCCCCCTACACAATGACTTCAGCCTATCTTTCTAGCCTCATGCCCCTTCTCATCCTTTTGTATCCCAGAATATCTCAGAAGTGTAGCGGGGTTTTTTTTGTTTGTTTTTTGTTTGTTGTTTTCTTGAAACCAAGCCTTCCTCTGTTACCCAAGCTGGAGTGCAGTGGCACAATTGGGGTTCACTGCAACGTCTGCCTCCCGGGTTCAAGCGATTCTCGTGGCTCAACCTCTCAAGTAGCTGGGATTACAGATATGTGCCACCATGCCCAGCTAATTTTTTTTTGTATTTTTAGTAAAGACAGGGTTTTACCATGTTGGCCAGGCTGACCTCGAACTCCTGACCTCAAGTGATCCGCCCGCCTCAGACTCCCAAAGTTCTGAGATTACAGGCGAGAGTCCCAGAGGTGTACTCTCATCCTGTTGGTTGTTTCTCATTTCCTGAAGGTCTGTACTCCCTCTTCTCCTCATAGGTCCAATTCAAATATTATCTTTCTTGATAAGATTACCCCTAACTTACACACACATTTGTTCCGCTTAGCTCAACAAAACATTCACTGTGTTCCTTTTCTTCCAGTACCTAGCACATTGCCTTAGACATGCAGGCATCCTCATGAGGCAAATCCTCAGATCATGAAGTGATTTTGAATGAAATCACTAATAGATGACTCTAATTTGCAGACCAGAGTTTTATCTTGCATGCCAAACCCTGTCAATTGATAGCAGCTTGCTGGAGCACAGTGCAAAGAAGGATTTTAATGCAACATTTTGGTATACCAGGAAAAGCATGGTGATTGATTCATGATGTCTATTGCAGTCACAGGAGGGAAGGAGGGAACGACAACATGCATGCCATTTTCTATCCTTTCACTGGATACTTCCAAAGGGCACATACCTTTTTGTGGTTGTTAATATAATCTTAATCGTTTATTTTCTTTTATTTTTTAGAGACAGGGATTTTGCTCTGTCACCCAGGCTGGAGTACAGTGGTAAGATCATAGCTCACTGCAGCCTTGAACTCCTGGGCTCAAGCGATCCTCCCACTTCAGCCTCCTGAGTAGCTAGGACCACAGGTGCACACTATTGTGCCCAGCTAATTTTTTAAAAATTTTTTGTAGGGACAGGGTCTTGCTATGTTGCCAAGGTTGGTCTTGAACTCCTGGACTCAAGCAATCTTCTTGTCCCGGCCTCCCAAAACACTGGATTACAAGTGTGAACCACTGTGCCCAGCTTGTTTATGATTTTTTTTTTCTGTCAGTATAATATGCTGTTGGTTGCTACAGTTATTCTTCTGTGTGTTGTTCTCATTGACTTCATCCACATTTGGCCTATAGATGCTTGCAGGCTTGCACTTCTATAAAAGTTCCTGTCATCCATAGCTCGGGCTAAATAATAAGCAAAAATAAATCTTTTAAAAAGCAGCTGTATTAATACCTTCCATTGATATTTGGAATGATTAAGGTATAATTACTTGGAATTTTTGTTTTCAATGCTCTGAGCCTCGAATGCTGCTGATTGCATAACTAATCCTGCCTAATGCGTCTCTACACTCAATTAATAACATGTTCTGGATGCCTAACAATGAAGCACAGTCTGATTTTCATACAGCTATTTGGAGAGCAAAATGCTCTTGCAAAAGACTAAATATACCTCTTCCCATCCTTATTTGGGTGCCCACAACAGAGAAATTCATGCCTGAAGCTCAAGCCAGGGCCCCTGACTCTGTAGAGGTGATTCGCAATGAGGTTTCTTTCTAATGCAAGTCAGGTGGCCACGCAGTGTCCTGTGATCAAAGTCAACTCAAGTAAAAGAAGGAAACCTCCCGAGTTGAGGCTAAAAGCAGGTTTTATTCCCTCTGTGTTTTTTGTTTTGTTTTGTTTTGTTTGTTTTTGATTTTTTTTCCACTTTCTCCGTAGGCTCTGAAAGTGATTATCTTCCCAATCAGGGAACAACCACTGCAAAGGAATGCAATCCTTGTAAAGCCCCGGGGCACACAGGTTTCTCTAACCAGCAGCATGCTTCCCAGTGTGAGGGGCTGCCTGGGATGTCTCCACTGCCAAGGGACGAGGGAGGGAACAGAACACAGCTCGGATGCCAATGCTCCGCTGGAGGGGAGGCGGCTGCCATTTGAATTGATGCTTTTTAAAATCTCCTGCTGGGGAGAAATGGGGAAGTGCTAATGGACCTAATGAACCAAGCCTCCCAAGGAAGCGAGAGAGAGCGGTCCCATCAGCCGGATCATTTAAAACTAGAGCAAGGAAAGCACTTCGGAACAATATAGTATGGGCAGGAACACAACATAGGCAGGAACTCAGAAATTGAGGAACTGGCCATCAGCCCTTTAGCCCTGAAACAAGTTATGTAGTGTATTTCCAGCACAGAGACTGCTTGTGGGTGATTAGTTGCAAACAGGGGTCTCCACGTGCCTTGGGAAGGCAAGGAGAGTTCGCAACTCTAGCCTGCAGTACAGGGGGATGAGGGAGGGCGCAGGGCAGCTGGGGCTGTGTCCTCACCCAGACAGCCCCCTCCCTGAGTGCACGTCCCCTGACCATCTCAGCCTTGTCTGTGGGCATCAACGGGGCACCTGCCTCCCCCTTGGCCCCTTGAATTAGTTTCCTATGCTGCTGTAACAAACTTCAATACACTGAGTGGCTTAAAACAAAGCACATTTATTCTCTCACAGTTCTGGAGGTCAGAAGTCCAAAATGGGTCTCATTTGGTTAAAATCAAGGTTGTTGACAGGGTTTCGTCCATTCAGGAGACTCTAAGAGACAACTCATTACCTTGACTTTTCCAGCTCCTAGACACCACCTACATTCCTTGGCTCATGGCTCCTTCCTCCATCTTCAAAGTCAATAACGTAGCATCTTCAAACCTCTCTCTGACCTTCCTGCCTCCCTTTTGCTTTTATAAAGACCCCTGTGATTACATTGAGCCCACCTGGACAATTTCCGTATCTTAAAATCCTTAAGCGCATCAGTAAAGCCCCTTTTGTCATGTAAGGTAACATATTCGCTGAATCCAGGGTTTAGGACATGGACATCTTTGGGGGCCATGATTCTGTCCACCCCATCTCCCTACAGTCTCAGCAGCCAGGGTGTCAGAAGCACTAGGCTGTCCCAGGGTTGGAGCTCCAGAGCCACAGTGAGGGTGAGTCAGATAGGACCAGGGATGGCATGGCTAGCATTTCTTTACCAGATGGATGGTGTGGCTGGCATTTACTTGAGCTTGCCACTTCATCCACTGATCCTGTCTGGCTCAAATACTGCAACTCCTGGGACAGCCTCACACTTCTGCCACCTTCTAGATGGACAATTCACCAGGAGTGTAGACCCCCTCTGCCCATACCCATGAGTTTGGGCCCCCTCAGGCATAACTCTTCCCTGCTATGCCTCAAGTTTGCCTTCTCCCTAGGGCTTGGCAGATGTAGAGAATTAATAAACTATTTTCCCTGCCCTCTCTTCCTCATCCACTTGCTAGAAGCAGTCCTTGAATCTCTGTGACACAAGGCGTGCTTGAGTCCGGGCATACCCTGTCAGAAATTAAAATACACTTTCCAATAAAAACAGCATTAATAATCACAAAGAGAAATCACTAAAATTGTACTGTGCTCAAGGTCCATTATGTGCTAAACGGATTTGTTGGGTGGCTGAGACATGCCCTTCACCTTCACCTTCATTTCTACGGCAAAAGTGCTGCTGAGCAGCAGACATGCATCGGCTGGCCTCATCTGAATGGTGGTTTTCCAGCGACTGTGATGAACTTACTATTTCACTGCATCGCCTGGCCCACACTCATCCCTCTATTACTGCTCTGCTAAATCACTCCCTTCCTAGGGGTTTTATTATTTCAATGGTCACTTCAGTTACCTCACTATGTTGTAGAGACACGGCACGTGCCTCTTTGCCTTACAGAAAGAATTTACAACATTGGGACCTCAATCTAAGGTTAATGGAAAGAGCAGGGAAGTACAATTAATGGGCAAGCTGTTAAGCTCCATGTAGCCTTGTACAGCGGATGAGAAAAGTATCTGGTGGTGATTGAATCTGGGCTCAAGTCAGACTTTCCTGAAGGTTAATCCTAATTCTGCCATTTCCAAGTATGTGACTTGGGGAAACAGAAATAGAACCTCTCCATGTCTCAGCCTCCTTGTCTGTAAAAGGGAGATAACAATATAAATGCAGCAGAAGGCAAGTGGTTGCCTACCCAACAGCTGTGCCCAAAGCCTCTTCCTTGCCTTGAATGCAGCAGACACACACTCTTTGGTGTGTCTTCTCCCTTGCAGCTAGGGGCAGCCATGCCACTTAGTTCTAACCAAGGGGCTGAAAGTGGACATCTGCTGGGGACCCTGGGGAAATCGTTTCCTCCATAATCATAGGCATAGGAGGAGATTCCTCTTTCTCTTACTTTTCTCTCCCCCGCTTTGGAGGGTGTCAAGAGAGAATGTGATATTTGGGGCTTCCATAACCATGTCACCATGAAGACAAAGCCAAGAGAGTGTAGAGATGCCCAACTCATGTCCTGGTTGCTAAATTACCCTGGAACTGCTCACCTCTTTGTTAGGGGAGAAGATTAAATGACTCTACGATTTAGGCCACTGTCGGCTGAGTGTTCAGATTCTTGAGTCTTAATGCATTCTAACCAATATAAATTCCGATCTCAGAAGAAACAGGAACTCAGATCATGCATATCAAGTGCCTGGCACAAAGCTATTATTCCAATAAATGATAACCTATAATTCTCATTATTAATACCTGGGGAAAATTAAGATATACTGTTATTTGCTTTTTTTCTTTTGAGACAGGTCTCATTCTGTCACCCAAGTTGGAGTGCAGTGGCACAATCATAGTTCACTGAAGCCTTGACCTCCCAGGCTCATAATTGCCTATTTTATTTTATCTTTTTTTTTTTTTAAACACAGTCTCACTCTGTTGCCCAGGCTGGAGTGCAGTGGTGCCATCTCTGCTCACTGTAACCTCCCCCTCCCAGGTTCAAGCAATTCTGTGCCTCAGCCTCCCTAGTAGCTGGGATTACAGGCGCCCGCCACCACTCCCAGCTAAATTTTTTGTATTTTTAGTAGAGACGGAGTTTCAGCATCTTGGCCAGGCTGGTCTTGAACTCCTGACCTTGTGATCCACCCACCTCGACCTACCAAAGTGTTGGGATTACAGGCGTGAGCCACTGCGCCTGGCCTATTTTATTTTTTAGAGACAGGGTTTTTGCTCTGTCACCCAGGCTGGAATACAGTGGTAAGATCATGGCTTACTACAGCCTTGAACTCTTGGGCTCAAGTGATCCTCGCACCTCAGTCTCCTGAGTAGCTGGGACCACAGGCATGCATAACCACACCCAGCTAATTGTTGTATTTTTTTGTAGAGGTGGAGTCTCACTATGTTGCTCAGGCTGGTCTTGAACTCCTGGGCTCAAGTGATTCTCCTGTCTCAGCCTCCCAAATTGCTGGGATTATAGTATTATTTGCTGGTTAACTTCCCACTTTTCAACCTCACTAGCTCACCAATTTATGCTTGTGCTGAAAAATGAGTTGAAGTCTCACAGGTTCAACTGCACTTGTTGAATAGTTATATCCTTGTTTGGGTTTCCAGAACAGGAATTTCTCAAGGCCAGACACTGAGTCTTACGAATCAATGAACTCTGTGCCTCGCTCACAGAGTGCCCTCCATTGGTGTTCTTGGTGGGTGATTTGGTGAATGGATGAATGGGTGGGACAGACGGACAAGTGAACTAACTCCAGAGCCAGCTGCAGAATCCCTTCTTACCTAGTGTCACGCCTGGTACCCTCTTGTTCTCTTGTTCTATATAACACACACACGATGAAATGCAAAGTCAGACTTCTATGGGAATCTGGCACTTCTGACCTTGAAACCCTAACCAATGATGTTTTATAGTCTACCAAGGGAGATTCCTATCTGGGCAGAGAATATAATCCAGTGTTCTCCCAGCCCAGCATGAGCCAGTTGTCTATTACTTTGATGAAATGTCTAAATATGCTGTAAGGCTTTTATATAATGCGACTTTCTTTTTCCAAGAGGAAGCAGATGACTTGCACAGAGGAGTTTTAAGAAAAGTGCTTACTGCAAAGAAAAAGTGATAATGTTTTCATTATACTATCAGGGCCACACACAAAAAAATTGTTCCCAATAACCAACTTCTGTTGAGGTTTCTGCTAGATGAGATAATCCAATTTCCAAGTGACTATAGTTATTCTCTCATTTGCAAATGCTAAATTTGGGGATAGATGTTGAATCAAGGGTTGAGGATCAATGCAAATACTTATAACATGCTTTGAAGCTACTGATCAATTAGCTCAGGCAATAGCACTTGTTTTTTTCCTGTATAGCCTGATATCCCTCATCTTTGCAAATGAGCCATGGGGTGTGTGTGTGTGTGTGTGTGTGTATGTGTCTGTGTATGTGTGTGTATGCATGTATGTGTGTGTGAGTGTGTGTATATGTGTATGTGTGTATATGTATGTGTGTGTGTATTTGTGTGTGTGTGTGGGTGTGTGTATGTGTGTATTTGTGTGTGTGTGTATGTGTGTATGTGTATGTGTGTATGTTTTCAGTCCATTCTTACCTCCAAGGTTTCTTTCTTCCTTATGCATAGAAATTTTACAGTTCAAGATAAAGAGATTTACACTGGGATGATCAGCATCAGTCATCAAAATTCACTCTGTCATATCTTTCCATACTCCTGTATCAGTTAGGAATCTCTATTGGCTGCTAATAACAGACTGAAAAAAAATGTGCAATAAGTATATAGTGTGGAGGTAGATTGCATAGATTTGGCAGTTCCACAGTGTCATCAGGAACTCAAGTGCTTCGATCTCGCTCTTTTGGCATATGATTTCCATCCTCAAACCAGCCTCAGTCTCAAATATGGCTACAATAACTCCAGTCATTAAACCTGCTTTACAGATAGGGAGCAAAAAAACAGAGGGAGGGGAAAGAAGAGAAAAAGATCATATTTCAACTATTTTTCCCTCTTTCAAGAGTCTTCCTGGAAGTCCCACTCAGCAACATCCATTTATATTTCATTGGCCCAAATTTAGTCTATGGGAACTACATGCAAGGGAAGCTGGTTGTGGTGTCACCATGCATAACTGTAGCTCATTATTAAGGAAGCCTGGGAGAATAAATATTCCATCGAAACAACAGGCACGTGCCTCACCCCAGCTTTACTCTGCTTGCCCTGTTTCACCACCAAGACCCATCTAAGTTGTGACTTTAGATCTGTTTGGGTTTGAGTTCTTCCTTAAATCAGTGTTTTGTTTTTAATGTTTATTATTTATTCTCTGTATGGATTGGCCATTTGTGGCTAGTGATGCTCTTCAACCAGACAGACTGAGCAACTCCACCCAATGAGGCTGTAGTCTTAACTTAAACAGAAGTCTAATGCCTCCAGGGTCGCCTGCTGTTAATCTGCCAACACCATCAAAGATGCTAATGCAGAAAGAGGCAAACAACCTGTTAATTGAGCCTTTATTGTGCCTTGTTTAATCCTTCCAACCAACATCTCTATGAGGTTAATCCCCATTTTATAGGTGAGGAAACCAAAGATCAGAGAGATTAAGTAAGTTGTCCAAGATCACAGCTGACAGTGAAATTTAAGCCTTGATATGTTTTATTCTAGAGTTTTCCCTATTATCCTGTATTTCAGCCATCTCTGAAAAATTGGAGCCCACAAGATGTGAGCTATGCCCAGAACTCACCAGCTCTAGCCTGGTTGGAGTCACTAATTTCAGAGGCTACTCTTGGCCCTTTGCCAATCTGCAAGATGGAAGCAGGAGGGGGAGTGGATAGTTTTCTGTCGTCTGGTTCTCAACCTTGGTGCTGTTCAACTTCTTTCCCATTGTGGCATATGTTAAAAGTGATAATCTTCATGCAGCCTGGGGGTAGCGGAGGCTGGCTGATCTGGGCTCCCTCCTGCCAGAGGCTGAAGGGTCCACATCTTGGCGGACTCCATGGTCTTTTTCTCTTGCTATCCCCTCTTCCAGGAAAACTAATGTCTTTTTCTCTTGCTATCCCCTCTTCCAGGAAAACTAATGTCTTTTTCTCCCCCAAGGTCTAATCCAGGATCCCACACTGCATTTTCCTGTGATATCTCCTGTCTTCTCCAATCTGTGACATCCTCAGTCTTTCCTAGTCTTTCATGACATTGACACTTTTCTTGAAGAGTATTGCTAGGTATTTTTGTAGAATGTCTCTTACATTGGGTTTGTCTGATGTTTTCTCATGATTAGATTGAGATCATGCATTTTTGGCAGGAATGCCATGAAAGTGATGCACTCAGCTCATCGTGGCAGGCGTACATGAGGGCAATATGTCTTATTATGGTGATGTTGACCCTGAGCAGTGGGTTAAGGTGCTGCCTGCTGGTTTTCCCACTGTTAAGTCATTACTTTTTCCCTTTATAATTAGTAAGTGTCTTAGGAGAGATACTTTGAGGCTATTCAAATATTCTATTTCCCTTCAAACTTCTGCCCACTAATATTAGCATCCATCTGTGGATCTTGCTTATGGTACTCTAAAGGTGATTTTATACGATTTGCATTCCTTTTTAGTTGTAATTCTTCAGAAAGGAAGATTTGTCTTTTCTCTATTTTATTATATTGTTTATTTATACAATTATTGATTCATAGATATTAATTTTACTCTATAAATTATAATCCAATGCTATGGTTATTTATTTTGCTGCATAAATTGTTCCCATTCTGGCCACTCTTTCAGGTAAGTTCCCATGCTTGTCCAAGATGCCATCAACCTTTTTGGGGTACTTCCTTACTTTCTGGTACCACCACAGTCTCCAGGCTCGTCTTGGATATTTCCTGTCTCAGTCCTTATCCAAAAAAGCCCTGGTTTCTTCTGTTGAAGAATATATTAGAAAATAAGACCTAGGTTCTATGTGGCATTATTTATCATTATAAGGTAATTTGGAATCAAAATAAATTTCAGTTTGAGGATGAAAAGTGTGGAGATTAGTGAGGGTACCCGATTGCCCAACATTACACAGCTCAGAACTGGCAGACAAAAAGCTCAAACCAGGGCAGATTCTGTACTCTTAACCTCTCCACTAGCGTAAATGCCTCATTTATTATAAATATGAATTACTACTTGGCAGAAAACGTGCAGATGTGCCAGATAAATGTGATTTCTGGTTGATGGAGTGTCCGATAAAGTAGACTTGTCTATAAAAACAAACTTGGCATCCGATAAATATTTTTAGATAGATTTTGTTGAAAGAATCATCATTATCCTCAGACATTTCTTGGTATCTATGAAATTTCTGTAGAGTTCAGTTGTACTTAATTCCTTTATGGAACATGGTAGAACATATATAAAATAATAATGAATATAGAAATATGAAATAGAACAAAAATAACTGCAGGTTCACTTTCTGGATCCCCATGGCCTTTGGCTGGAAACTTGATGGTGGGGTTCACTCTCTCTTTGCCTGTTGCTTTAGTAAACCAAGGAACCAAGGCCTAGGGACATGAGCAACTTGCATTTGGCCAGTGGTGGGCAGAGTGGAGCTGGAATCAAGATTTCCTGGCTGGATCCCCAAACATTTTTGACCCTCATGATCTGACCAAGTAAATCTCAGGGCAGGACAACAGCATCCCCAGAGACTAAGCCCAGATGGGCAGGGCCACACACCCTGTATCATCTAAGAGGCCCCATATCATCTAAGAGGCCACCTTGTGGCCCACGCCCGTGTATCATCTAAGAGGCCCTGTCCACACTGCTGGGAAGTAGTCCTGGCAACTTCACTCCCTTTCTGTGTTTAACTCTCAACACCAAACCCAACTCCTGCATCAAATGCAGTTAAGAATCCAAGACAAATATGCCTAAAGAGGGGAAAACCTGGTGGCTGGATGGAATGAGATTGACTGGGAGGAGGAGACTGGTTTCTAGTCCTGGCTGGAGTACTAGAGTTTTGCACTTAACCAGTTGTTTATGCCAGGCAAGATCTTTCATCTCTCTGAGCTCTACTTTCCTGGCTTAAAATGATACGGTTGGATTAGATGACCTCTAAGGCCCTATTCTGCTTTGAAATTTTTGGAAGCTTCAAATTCCTTTGCAGAATTTCCCTGAGAGGTCCTTGGACCAGTCAGTCTCACCGGTAGAGCTCTTGCGCCACCTAGTGGTGGACTCAGAGGCCTTTTTCTCCCTTCTGCGTTCAGGTCCCGCCTCAACTGGAACAAGAGAACAAAGCCATTTCAGCCCTTTGCAGGACTGTGGCAAACTGCCAGACCTGGGAGGAACACATGTTTAATACATGTCCTAGAAAGATATGCTGTGTGAACACACTGCCACTCCTTATGGCAAAGGCCTTAGTGCGGTGGGCATGTGGTTACAAAGCCAGGTTCCTGATGTCAAGAACACCCAGCAAGGTGCCCTGATAAATACCACCCAGAAGAGATGTGTTTGGGGTACTCTCTCTGTATGCTGATCTGTTACACACTGATCCTTAACGCTTTCAGCTGCTCCCTGGTTAACAGTCATTAGGCAGGCATGCAGCACTGTCATCCTGGGCCTCAGCCCTGCTGTCAGAACCCTCCTCCAGATACCTGAAGCAAAAAGAGGCAGGGGACCCCTTAGGTGTACTGCTGATTTGGAGAAATCCTTCATCCGACGGAAGGTCTTTCTAGGTTCCTCCCCTGACACTCCTATCTAAATAAAAACTACTTCTGAAGCCTGCATGACCCTTAGAGTTGGAATCATCTGAGCTGTGGAGCACTTACCCAACATATCCTGGGATTTGTCAAATGTTGCCGGTGATTCCAGAATTGCAGCTGACTACCTAATAGCAGACATCATGTCACTCCGCTCATGGTGACTGCTGTTAATCTGGATCTGGAAGTTCCATGTCGTTTGCTTTTGGCTTCTATGTCCTGGCGAGGCAAGTACAGGCAGCACTGTTGGTGCCCATTGTACGGGCAAGAAAACCAAGGTTTGAAAACAGGTTCGGTGACTCCCCACATAACCAAAGGGAGTGGTGGAGTTACAATAACATGAAGGAACTCTGACTCCCTTGTCCAATCACGCAGGGTTTAGTCATTTGTTTTTATGATCTCAATGAGGGGCCTTTGGCTCATAGTTCATTAATTTTCATCACAAACACTATTGAAAACCATTAATTGCCTGTGCTTTAAATAGCAGTGTGGAGTTTTTTCCTTGCCTAGCAAGACAATGGGTGTCAGTGGGTAGAAGGAGCACTGGGCTGGGGACCAAAAATCCTGGACTCTTGTTTGACAAGGTCACCACCAAACTGAGGGGCCTGGGAAGTCACAACCACTGAGGCCTCCCTCTCCCCATCTAGGAAGCGAAGAGGGCAGGAGTAAGGTACCTTCCCTCCCAGAACTCCATATGTGAAAGAAAGGGCATTTCTGATTTAGGGTATGTTTCACTTTCTCTAACCTTGGATCTGTCCCAGTAAAATGATTAAGCGAGGATATCTGTCTTTGCCAAAGTATGACTTACCTGGTCAGTCCAGATTGTTCAGGTGGGCTTATTGCTTTCTTGATTTGTAACCTTTTGTTTTCCAGTGACCTGGACTGTTTTTGGTATAGAATTTCATTCCCAGGTGATAAATTCCTTTAGGGAAGTGATAGCAAACAGGTTTAATCTTGAGGGCCCTTCAAATCAGTGAGCAGTGGCTGTCGGGAGCTCTGTGTTAATGTCTCTGAGGCCATGCTGTAAGGCGCCATGGGAACATGATTGATTAGCCATGTCTGCTGTGGGCAGGGGCTGGGGAATGCAGAGGGGAAGGGCTGTATCTGGGATAGCACTGTGGAATTGGAGCAAGGGAAGCCATGCCGAGTGAAAAGGCACAGAGCTGCTTAGAAGCAGAGCAGGGATAGGAATCCACACCTCCTCCCTTCCAATTCAGTGGCCTCCCACACAAGACTTCCTCTTTATTTGGTGTGATGGGCAATCAGGTGCTTAGAAGATACTTTCCGATGATGAGGATGAAACTGATGGTCTGGCAGCAGCTTTCTGCCTGCTCTCTCAGCAATGTGTAAACCCACACATGTGTTTTTCCCTTTCTGAGACACAGAAAGGCTCAACCTTTGACAAGAGATTGTCCAGGAAACATCAGTAAACACACCAAATGCCTACATTCCCATTAAAACATGCCTATCTCCTTCTAGGCAGTTCCAAGCGAGACTTCTAAGAGGTCTGCCTTGCACAACTCACAGGCAGCAGCTGTGAGGAGGAGAGGTGCACCCCAGGCTGTGGGTGGGAGGACAGAGGGAATGGGGAGGCAGGAACAATGGACCAGCCTCCTTGGCCTCACAGGAGGCGTCTGAATGAACGATGATGGCTCTTGGCCTTCCAAATGGCAAAGACACATTCCCAGAGAGGCCGGCTGTGGAGGGCTCCTGCCCAGATGGACTCGCTGTACTGTGAAGGAGCATTCTGTGTTCCCTAACTGGCAGCGGCTGCCCAGCCCATCAGCTTGCCTGACTGCACACCAAGGGCCCTGACGGCTTTCTCATGGGGCACCCCGGGGCTTCTGCCCCAAGCAGATGCTGGGCTTTATGTTCCCACAGAGAAGGCTTGCCCGTGGCGGTCCATCCATCTTCCTCTCCTTCATCTGAGAGGCAGTGTGGCCTGCCCTGAGGGTCTGCAGGGAGCGCTCTCACCAGGCCTGGGAGGATGCTGCCAGGGAGGAGAGTGCCCTGGAGCCTGAATGCCTCTTTTGTTTGCAATGAAATAAAATCTGCCCTTTTAAAAAGCATCCACGCTGCCAAAATCCCAGGTAAAGGGGGTGTGGTTGACTTGCTGCTAGGGAGGAATTCCTTAAGCTCTGCAGGCTATACACCCTCCACAGGAAAGGCCTGGGCCTGGCTGTTGATGATGATGGGATTTCTCCCCCAACACATGCACCTCCCTTGGCTGGCAGGCAACTCAGGAGTGAGGAATGACCAAAGCCAATTCCCAGAGCAGCGGAGGAGCACGGTTCACCTTCCAGTCAGTGCCTCAGGGCAAGCCCTTTCCATCCTCTCCATAGCGCCACCTCTCAGCGGGAGAAATGCTTGGTTCACACACAGGGTCCACCCTGCTCCCACCTGGCTCTTTGAGCTAACGAAGTATCACCCTTTACAGGTCCTGGTTCTGATGCACCAAGATGTCTGATAATAATAAAAAAAAAAAGCCCAGTAGTTACTCACACTCCAAGGTGCCTGGGCTTTCTTCTGGGAGGTTGCTCCCTTCTTTGCGGCCATCACCACACATTCCTCTAGTAAGGAAACCCCAAGAGGCCGGATGTCTGCAGCACATGAGCTGTGTGTATTCCCACACCATGATTATTGCCAAGAGGTTAGAAACTGAACATGATTTGGGTCCTGAGGGGCCTTAAATCACTGTCAAATGGGAATTTGCTATAAACCAGCTGAGACCAGGGACTAAGTTCCTGTCTCCAAGAACTCCACGAAGGACCCTGCAAGAGAAGAGAGCACATTCCATTGTTTAGACTAAGCTGAATCCCAACTACTCAAGGCATCCTGGCCTTTGGGATTGGATAAGGTAAGTTTTGTAAGGATTCCTGACCCAAGCTGTCATGTCAAGCTTCTTTACCCATCTGGCCATATTTCATGTTCGGATCCATCACGCAGTTCTCTGCATTTTATTGACAATGCACAGGCCGTTTCCTGTGTGTAACTCCTTGCCACCCTCAGGAGGAAGGTCCTCAGACAAATATATGAATGTTCATTCATTCAACAAGCATTTATTCAGCATCTACTATATTCCTGGCCCAGTGCCAGGCTCAGCGTCTCCTGTGGATCCTCATGGGGCCTTCAGATATGAAAAGAAAAGTACAAAATGATGCAGGTGCTATGGTAGACTTAAGTATTAGGCTCCATGGGAGCACAGAGTAAGAATAAGTCATTTCCTAGATGGGCAGTGAGTTGAACTCAGGGTGAGGGGCCAGCGAATCCTCCCAACACCTAACATCTGGAGTTGTTTTGGGGGGTAAAGTACACGCAGCTCTTATGTGTACTCTTGGATCTGCATGCCAGGCATTGTGTTGTCTGCCTGCCCATCTGGTTGGACCAGCATCTGGGGGGTGGGTCAAGTCATCCAAGCTCCAAGGAGATGGGTAGGACAAGAGATTGTCAGTATCTTACTTGTCCACAATGGGAGCTATATTTGTGCATGGGAGGGTATAACTGCCTGGACAGAGGCCACTCCTTCTGGGGCACAACCCTGCCCAGGAAACCCCAAATAGAGGTTTGCTTCAATAAGAGCTATGTTTATCTAGGAAACATTCCAAGTTGTGGAGAAAAAAAGGAGAATAAAAGAAAAAGAAGAAACCTTCCATCCACAGCTAGAGACCTGAATATTGCCCAGGAAGTCTTGCTAGGTTTGTCTAGTGAGACCAGAGACATGTGATTTTATGTGGGATGTGATTTTACGTGGGATGGCTAAGGGAAAACGCTTTTACTGCACATTCACAGGCCTACCCCGCCACGTCATCATGACAATTGTGGTTCTCTCTGTGCCCAAATCCATGATTCAGGTTTTATAGCTCTTAATAATTGCATCCTTTCATAAGACTTTTCCGCAGAGTTACTGCCAGAGTTACCTTTTATATATCACATATATTAACATGGAAATGAGATGGCATTGCTGCCCAGGATTCCTACAGCATAGATACTAATTGACAGCCGAGGACCAAAGGCAGCTCAACTTGCATTGCTGATTTCACTGCTCATGGTAGATACAGAGAAACAAAATTCTAACTTGAATTACGGCAATTGCTGGGCCATGCTACAGGTCATAGAACATGTTTTCTTTCCTTTCTGCTATTTTTTATTTTATTTTATGTATTTTTATCTCTTGCTCAATTTCTCTGATCTGTGAGGGCTTTGGGAAGCCACACATGTGCCTACTGCAACCTCTGAAAGTACTTGCAATAGCCAAGTCTTCCATTTTGGAGAAACTCCATGCCCTTCAGAAGGGCCTGTAATTCCATCTCCACTGGTGGCTCTCGGGTGCTTATGGTGCAGCTCAAATCAAACTCTATATTTTCTTCACCCTTGATCTTGATCTTAATGGAGTGTGTGAGACCAGGAGCTTTGGCAGGGCAGTGCCGGGGTGTTTAGCACTCACTGGCCCTCAGTTACTCTGGCCTTCACCAGGCAGCAGCAGTAAAGAGGCAGCTGTTTGTCTGTGGAGCTGCCTTGTCTCCATCTACCAGGTGCCGTCCATGGGGCTGTGACATGTGAGCACAGGCTGGTGCAGCTCCATGATGGCAGCCAGGTAGGGTCAGGAACAAATCTCACTTTTGCTTTTTCTTATAGAAAATCATGAAATAAGCTATGTGGTGACATTAAAAAATAAGTTCCAAAGCCAGGTGCGGTGGCTCGCAACTGTAATCCCAGCACTTTGGGAGGCCAAGGCGGGTGGATCACTTGAGGTCAGGAATTTAAGACCAGCCTGGTCAACACGGTGAAACCCCATATGTACTAAAAATAAAAAAAAAAAAAAACAAATTAGCTGGGTGTGGTAGTGGGTGCCTGTAGTCCCAGCTACTTGGGAGGCTGAGGCAGGAGAATCTCCTGAACCCAGGAGGCAGAGGTTGCAGTGAGCCAAGATTGCGCCACTGCATCTAGCCTGGAAGACAGAGTAAGACTCCATCTCAAATAATAATAATAATAACAATAATAATAATTTCCAAGTTTAAAAGCTGTAAACTATCCGCTGTCACAGGTTAGTTTTAAGACCTACTTTTTGTCCTTGAGAAAGTGGCATTACCTAATAAGGAATCCTGGAGGGAGGGTGAAGAGGCAAAGTCTGGGAAGCACACAGGGTGGGGAGCGCCTGTGTGTAGTCACTTCAGGCTGTAACTTTCCTAACAAAGAAAACTGCTGAGCCATTTCAGACCCTCTCCAGCCCGATGCAGTGATTGCTTTGCCCTTCAGGGCTGTAGGGCTTATGGAGCACAGCTCAGCATCAAGTGACCAGGCCATCTTGGTCACTATGCTGGTGGCTCTGAAGCCCAAGGCTTTCCCAGATCTGCACGAGTTTCTGTAACTGATGAACAGTTTTACGCTGTGCCATTGTAAGGACTCACAATCTATACAGGAGGAAGACCATGTATTCACATGTGTTCAATAACTATTTACTTGGTACCTTCCCTAGGCCAGGCACTTGTGTTAGTCACCAAGGATTCAGTAGTGAACACAACACAGTTGCTATCATTATGGGGCTAATGTTCTAGGGCAGAGATCCCTGACCCCCGGGTCACGGACCACTGCTGGCCCATGGCCTGTTAGGAACCAGGCGGCATAGCAGGAGTGAGTGGTGGGTGAGTGAGCAAACTTCATCAGTATTTACAGCTGTTCCTCATTGCTCGTGGTACCACCTGAGCTCCACCTCCTGTCAGATCAGCTATGGCATTAGATTCTCATAGGAGCGCAAATCCTATTGTGAACTGTGCTTGCAAGTGATCTAGGTTGTGTACTCCTTATGAGAATCTAATGCCTGATGATCTGTCACTGTCTCCCAACACCCCCAGAAGGAACCATCTAGTTGCAGGAAAAAAAACTCAGGGCTCCCACTGATTCTACATTATGGTGAGTTGTATAATTATTTCACTATATATTACAATGTAATAATAATAGAACTAAAGTGCACAATAAGTGTAATTTGCTTGAATCATCCCCAAACATCCCTCCCCACCCCCACTGGGTCCATGGAAAAATTGTCTGCCACAAAACCAGTCACTGGTGCCAAAAAGAATGGACTGCTCTTCTAGGCGAAGGAGATAGACAATAAACAAATAAACACAGTAATCTACAGCACAGCTTCCCATAGTGAAAGATGCCAAGAAACACGCAGAGTGGGGTAGAAGGATGGGAGCTGCTCTGGGTCAGGTGGTCAGGGGCAGTCTCCGGAGAGCCAACCTTTGAGCAGAGAGTCCTGACTTTAGAGGGTGCAAGCCTCGGGGTTGCCTAGGGCAGAGCATCTCAGAGGGAGCCGCGGGTCCAGTGCTTAGCAGAAGGAAGAATCTGACTGGGAGCACTGTGAACTCTAAAAAGCAGCTGCTATCTATTAAGAGCTTACTATGTATCAAGCACTTTGCACGCCTCTTATGCGCCATACAAACATGGTCTCATTTAACTATTACAACAGTCCTGTGACATAGATCCAACTGTTCCCATTTTATAGCTGATGAAACAGAGGCTGAAAGATAACCTAGCCTGCCTCAGAGCAAGCTTGTCTAACCAGTGGCCCAGGACGGCTTTGAATGCAGCCCAACACAAATTCATAAACTTTAAGACATTATGAGATTTTTTTTTGCGATTTTTTTTTAGCTCATCAGCTATCATTAGTATATTTTATGTGTGGCCCTAAACAATTCTTCTTCTTCCAAAGTGGCCCAGGGAAGCCAAAACATTGGACACTCCTGTCACAGAGTTAGGAAACGGCAGAGCTGAGACTTGAGCCTGTATCTAGTCTGTGTCCAAAACCCTCTGTTCCCAACCTCCTCCAAGACCCACAGCTCCACTCTGTTGTAGTGGGAGAGCGCTCACAGGCCCACAGCACTTCGTGCGGAGGAAAGGATACTTTTGAGACCTAGTTTGCCTGGAAGAAGCTTTGCTCATCATGAAAAGCCACTTTCTTTTCTAACTGTTTTCTCTCTCTTGCTTGGAAACATTGTCCAGCCAAAGCTGCTTCTCTGGGTGGCTTCCTCTTTGTGGCTTCATTGTTTTATGTGGTGAATGCTGTTGCTACCAGGATGCCCACAGAGTACACTTGGGTCCCCAGCTTTATTTCAGGGCTTCCTGGGGCTGCCAAAAAGTTGTGCAATTCTTTCAAGGCCCTGGCACCGGGGACTCACACTTGTAAGGCTGATTCATTCTTATGTCAGCTCTGAGACCAGAAAGGACTCTCCAAGGGTAGCCACCTAGGTGCATGCTTCATCCCCAGAACCACATGGGCACAGAGTGGTGCAGAAGAAAGAACAGCAGGTTGGAATCAGTCAGTTTACACGTTTGCAGAGTCCCATAAAAAACAAAACAAAAACAAGAAGGCAAAGTAACCAAACCGCGCAATCCTGAGCAAATAAGTCAGCAGTCCTCCAAGCCTCAGGGTCCTTATTGTAACAATAGGAGCAGTCTTGCTAACCTCTGTCCGCTGTTTTCAGCGGCGATGACACCCCCATGAGAATATGCTTCTTGCAAAGGATTTCCTTCATCTCTCCCCATAAGAAAGGAGGAAACAAGATGAAATGCATGGTGCAAAGCCCAATGCCTATCTGCTGGATGTGAAATGCCTGCATGCTATAAAATCACTCTGGGGTTTACCCACGCTCTAACAGTGGTTGTGTGTGTTGACTATTCTCTGTCCTCAGCCAGCCTACCGGAGGCAAAGTATGGTGACTGGAGGACATCTCTGCAGGCAGAAGCAGCACTGAAGGCACCTGGAATGAAGATGAGTGGAAAACATCTCAGTAAACACAGCACTATTCATGATAGCCTAGATGTGGAAACAACCTAAGTGCCCATTGATGAATGAATGGATAAATAAATTGTGATATCTATATATATTACAATATCCCTACAATGGAATACTATTCAGCCTTTAAAAAGGAGATACTGCTATTTGCTACAACATGAATGAACCTGGAGTACTTTATGCTAAAAAGTAAGACAGATACAGAAAGAAAACTACTGCATGATCTCACTTGTATGTGGAATCTAACAAAAAGTCTAATACATAGAAACAGAGTAGAACAGTGGTTACCAAGGGTGGGGAGGGGAAAGAAATGGGGAGTTTGTCAGAAGGTACAAAGTTATGTGGGAAGGATAAATTTAAAAATCCAACATACAGCAGGAGGACTATAGTTAATCATACAGTCTTGTATATTGAAAAGTTGCTAAGAGACTAGATTTTAGGTGCTCTTACTGAAAACAGGGTAACTAGAGAAGGTAGGGAAGGTGATGAATACGTTAATTTGCTTACCTGCAATAATCGTTTCACTATGTATATCAAAACATCATGTTGTATACCTTAAATATATACAATAGAAAATAAATAATAAAATAAACACAGATTAAAAAATAAAAACAACTCAAGATACAAATGTACATATGGCTGGCTGTAGATGTAGTTACTGGCTAAGGCATGGATTCTGAGCCAATCCCTTTGAGTTCAGATCATGGCTCTTCCACTTTCTCACTGTATGTTCTTCAGTGATGGCATCTTTTTTAATGGCTTAGGAATTTTTTAAAGTCCTAAATTAGGTAGTTTTAGCTGGTAGATCCGTGGATATGTCTTGTTCTTCTTCTTCACTCTTTGTAAATAGGGGATAATAATACCACCTACCCCAGGGTTATTGTGAGATTTAATAAGTAAATATGTACACACAGAGAGAGGCAAAGAAAGACAGAGCAGTTGGAACAGTCCCTGACAAGCAACTTTAAAGTGTTGGCTATTATTATAAGGGAAGGGCCAGGTAAATGCTGGTGCTTGACACTTATTTACTTAAAAAAGAGAAAAGAAAAGAAAAGAAACAAGTCATACCCAACATCTACCAGCTTAAACCACCTAATTTAGGGTAAAAAAAAATTCCAGACAATGGAAAAGATGCTGTCTCTTAATTATTCAGGGAATGGCTTTTCTCTAGGAAAGGCAATCTGAAATGTGTCCTGGCAAACCAACTCTTCGGCTAAAGACACATGGTGGCTCTTGGTTGGGCGTGGATTAAAGCGCAGCTCCTCCCGCTTTCCAAACTCAGAAAGGAGGAGGAATGTTAAGTGTGGCTGCATTGTCATTAATTAATTTCTCAAGGGCTGCAGTAATCAGGAAGCTCATTAATGTGTTTTAGCCTGCCTTTCATTTAGAGAATGAGTAGGAAATGTAAATGGAGTGCACTTAGAAACCTTAAAAATCGTTCAGTGCTGTAGTGCGGGGGGAGAAACCATGGTATGTCTCTAAGGAAAAGCAAAAACCCACAAGGGCTTCTTTAATCACATGAAAGAGAAGCAATTCTAACTCAACAGCAGCAGAGGCTCCCCGTGGCGTTTCAAAATATTATCATTTGGACTTGGTTGTTCCTCTACTCTTGTGCCATGTTTAAAGACGCCACGCTCCATCCATATTTATACTTCTCCCAGCAGGGAGCATAATTGTGAAGGGCAAATTCCAGGGGCCAGAGCTCCGCGGGGCCATTCCACAGGGTGCTGCCAGGAGCTCCCCTGGGGTATTCATTAGGAAAGGCGGCGCAGAGGAAATCAGGTCTCCACGGCTCCCCCTAGCGGAGGCTCTGCTGTTGGGCCAGGTTGGGGGCGGGGCACCAGCAGCTTCTCTAATTCTTCAAGGCCAACCTAGGGCCATACATGTTCTCCTTCATTCTGCTCTTGACCGCCCCGGAGGAGGTGCCTGAAATTGAGCTCATTCCTTCTCCTCTGTGAAGTCAGCGTGTTTCAGAGGCCTCCTCTCACAGACGTGGACCAATTCTTCCCTTGCAATTCCTGTTAAATGTATACATAAAGCACTTAGAACAGGAGGCAGTGTTCTGTCATTCTCATTGTGATTGTTAGTGCTAGCTAGTGGCAGACAGTGGGCCACCCGGTTTTGGGGGGTGTTTACCCCTCCAGTTTCCACACGGGGCTTCCTGACAATGATCACTAAACAATTCGTCACACGACCAGCCATAGAATCTTGAGTTGTGACTCAAACCTCCCTCTGTCCTATGTCCACATCCTTATCTTTGGTAGATGCAGGTCTCACTTTTACTCTCCTCTCGATGTGAGAGGGAGGGGCTGGGCCTGAGTCCACATACACCCTCTCTAGTAGGACGTGCCTCTGGTGGGCATGGACATGAGCCTACAGGAAGCCAAGTTTCTTCTGACCAGAAAAGGGAAGCCAAGTAATCTATGTCTCTCCCTGGGGAGACCAGGGAACAAATAAGCCACTTAACACTTATCCTGCCCCATCTTACCCCGCCCCCACCTCTCCCAGGGGACCTTGCATACATGACCCTCTCCTATGACCCCAACCGAACTTTCCTCTTCAGTTCAGTTCAACAAACGTCTATTGAACACCATGTGCCAAGCCCTATGCCAGGTGAGGGGATCCAAAATGAATAAGACGTGTTTCCATTCTTAAGGAACAGATTAGGGAGTAAGTCAAACCCAGAGGCATTATTCCAACAAATGGGAGTACAGAGGGGGCTGGAACTCAACCTAGGCTTCCTGGAAAGGAAGGGAGCCTGAGGTTGGCCTTGGCAGACATGTGGCAGGTTCCCCGGGACTGGAGAGTGGTGGGCATAGGACAGCGTGGCAATGTGCCTCCAAGGTGAGCACGGTACTTGGCACACAGTAGGTGGTCAGCACACGCACTGAGCTGATAGATGGAGCAGGTAGCCAGCAGTCAGTGCTACTGGTGCGTGAACGCTGGCCTGTGGGGGTTGATGGCGCTGAAGAGGGTCTGAAGCCCGAACCTGAGGAGGGCCTTGAGTGCCAGGCCCTTATCTTATAAGACCTTACCCTACAAGAGTTTGAAGCAAAAGAGTGACATAGTCAGATTTACATCTTCTTTGCTCATTATTCCACTACCCTAAGGAAGCCTCCTGAGAACTTTGAAGAGTTGCCCTCTAAGATCACAGTCTCATGTGACTGGTATTGCAAGCAGCTACTCTCCAGCCATATTATAATCGTGGTGCTCCTTCAGCCAACAAATGGGCTAACTAGATAGCTAATCTTGAGATACTCGGTCGACAGTTTATAGGGTGAAATGTTCAGTCTCTACCTTAGTTCCTAATCTGTAAACAGACCTTTTGAATTCTATTGAAAAGCTTTCTCCACAAACCTTTCCTACAAACAAGAGTTTATTCCCACCTCCTGTCCTTAACTGCTACAATGCACTCTTACCATCATGAACACACCTCTGCACATCCAAGTACCCAGTCCTATTTGTACACTTACGGACCAGTATCATAATATGACATCCTGGATCAACTTCTGAAATGCAATAAGCAACGTGTCACAGCATAGGAAAGAATCAACTTCAGGCTTGGGCACAAGGTAGGCCAAGGCTGACATTCAAAAGAGGGCTGTCTATTGTAATGTCTAGTTTTAAACCTGGATCATGCCTCACTCTCTGAGATTTCTGCTACGTTTTAACGATTTTTCTGAAGATTGAATAAAATAATGAGTAAAGTGCTTAAAAATGCCCTACCTATAGTAAGCTCTCAATAATATTGTCTATGTTCATTATGATTAACAGGATAGTTCTGCCAAACGTTCAGGTCATTTATACCTCTGAGGATAGAGAGAAATTTATCTATTGTGAGAAATGAATTTGGCAGTTTTTAACGTTAATTACTTTGGTATTGTTCCTTCATGTTTTGTGTTTATATCTTGGCCCCTAATTATACTGTTAGGACTTTGAAGGCAGGGATCTTGTTAGATTTGTATTTTTATATCCTTCAAAGAATCTAGCACTATTTCTAGTATGTCATAGATATTCAATAAATAGATCTAGATTGACTCAATGTTAGAAGGGCTCTATAAGTATTAAAGTGTTAATCACCACAATACTCGGCAAGTGATAATCTGCCCCACAGTCCTTGTCTTTGCTGCCACATCAGGAAAATGGGCAGACATAGGTTCTTGAGGTGGGTAATGAGCCCAAAGGTCTGTAGACTATACTGTCTGACTGGTTCGCACACCCCAGCTAATCACTGTATCTCTGCTTGCCACTATACACTGGCTGAGGAAACCTCATGAACTTCTCTGACCTGCAGGCTCCAGGGTCCCAGATGCAGCACCGGTTCCCCAGGCATTTCTTGTGCTAAGGTGCGTATGACTCCTCCAAAGGTCAGGAGAGGCCCTGGAGAGCTGGCCCCCTTCTTGGGTATCACTTGCAACAAGTTGGGGCAGACTACTTTGGCTTCTTCCTCCTGGTCAAATAATAGGCCATTCAGTCTTGGGGAGAGAAATGAATCAGCAACCCCAGGGCCATTCCAGTGGCCCTGAAAGCTGCCAGCTGGACAGCCCATTTCAAACAACCAATTAATATGAGCACCACAAGTTGATTTGAGCAAATCCAGGCACCTCTCTCTGCAAGTACAAGACGGGCCTGCGTGTCTGCATGGAAAATGAAGTTGTTTCACCTTCCATGGCATTGTTCCACTCAAAGAAACAAGCTTTATTTATCTCAAAACTTGGCTTCTGTTGACTTGCCAGATGAAAAATGATGTGAAGTTACTGAAATCATCTGCTAAGGGAAATGAATCCAAGCACGGTGAAAGATGTTTTGCTGCTTTTTCAAAGCACATCAGTCAGCTTGTCTTACAAGCACAATATAATTTTCTACCAGGTAAAGACAGTAATTATTTCAATTAGCAATTGAATTAGATGTAGAAGATAATGAGGAATAAAGATGCTGAACTAAGTTCAATAACTCACCACATATGCTTCTCTTTCTTGTTCTAGCTAAAGTAGCAGTAAACAGAGTGAATTCAGCTGTGGGATGATAGGGGCCTTTCCCCGCAAGTGGACTGAGTCTCAATTCATCATTCACTGCCTGATGAAGAGGCAGTATAGCAGACATGAGATGCCAACAGTACTCAGCCTATGCTCAGTCCAGCACCATCCTTGGTGCACAGTGACCCTTGTGGAAAATGGGAAATTATGAAGTTCTATGGTAATTAGTGAAACAATAACTTAAAGATATTTTCAGTTCCACTGCTGAAATAAAATAAGGAAATTCCAAGGATCTAGAGTATTTTTATTCAGCATCTTCTGAGACCATTCCTTTGATTTCACTCATGTGCGTTTCTGGAACGGGAAGAAGGAAAAGAGAAGGGGAGAGAGTGCAAGAGCCAGGGCTTCCTTATTCTGGGAAGACTTTGACCAAACTAGGCTAATACGGCAGAAAGAAACTGACACAGCTGATGGTCTTTTTGCACGTTTAGCACATCTGAAGTTTCTGTTTTGATTAGCGCCTCTCCATGTTATCTGAAAAGTCTATCACTAAGCAAAAACTGACAGTACTTCAAGGAGTAATTGACAAATTTGTGATCAGAGTGGGAGCTTTAACATGTCTTTCTTAGTAACTGATAGATCAAACAGCCAAAAAATTCAGTAAAGTTATAAAGATTTGAACAAGACGATTAACAAGTTTGATATAAAAGACTTATATAGAGCACTGCATTCAACCACTGGGGAATATACATTCTTTTTAAAATCACATATTACCTTTGTAAAAACTAATTGTGAATTAGGGCAGAAAGCAAATATCAAATCTCAACAAATTCAAAGAATAAGTATCAAAAGACCACAACACAATTAAGTTAGAAAAAAGTGAAAATTATAATTAAAAATCTTCATACAATTAGAAATTTAAAACACATCACATAAAAATCCATAGAGACAGAAAGCAGATTGGTGGTTGCCAGGGGCTGGGAGGAGAGGGGAATTACTGCTTAATGAATAGAGTGTTTTCTTTTGGGGTGATGAAAGTGTGTTGTTACTGGATAGAGGTGGTAGTTACATAACATTGTGAATGTACTAAATGCCACTAAAGTGTGAATTGTATACTTTCATACGGTTAGCTTTATGCTATGTAAATTTCACCTCAACAACAAAAAAAAAGTGCTCATATCTCTGTGTTTTAATTCTTTTTTTTTTTTTTTAGATGGAGTCTCGCTCTGTCACCCAGGCTGGAGTGCAGTGGCACGATCTCGGCTCACTGAAACCTCCGCCTCCTGGGTTCAAGTGATTCTCCTGCCTCAGCCTCCCGAGTAGCTGGGATTACAGGTGTACACCACCACATCTGGCTAATTTTTGTATTTTTAGTAGGGACGGGGTTCACCATGTTGGCCAGGCTGGTCTCAAACTCCTGACTTCATGATCCACCTGCCTCGACCTCCCAAAGTGCTGGGATTACAGGCATGAGCCACCATGCCTGACCTCTGTGTTTAAATTCTAATGTGTGGATACACAGGTGTGTATAGTTTATGAAAGTTTTTCAAACCATTCACTTATAACACGTACACTTTCTGTATTAAATGTGTATATTTACATTTTCTATATTATGCTTCAAATAAAGAGTTTTAAAATGAAAAGAAAACATATTACTTAACTCATGGGTCAAAAAGAAATTGTGCAGGAAAATATAAAAAGCTAAGAACTGTATGACAACTACACTAAAAATGTGCAGTTTGCAGTGCATTTATTCAGACCAAGGGATGCAGGTGAGAAATCAGCTGTGGGAGAGGACGGCAATGGGTTCTCTTAAGTATGTATGAATACGAATTTATAGGTTTGAATGTTTATTTGGGAAAAAATGCCACTTTAAACATAAAATTAATAAGCTAAGCATCAAACATAAGAAGGTAGAAAGAAAACAAAATTCCCAAAGAAAATAAAAAGAAGGAAATGACAACCTTAAATTAGATAATAGATACAATAAGTACAATCAACGAAGCCAAAAATTAACACTTTGAAGAGACTAACTTCTGGAAAGACTGTATAAGGAAACTAAAAAAATATATAAAGAGATAAGGCACAAATAATATTAGCAGAGAAAGTAGAATACAAACGGTCAAAAAGATAATAAAAATATAAAATGAAAAACCTTATCCAATAAGTCTGGAAATGTTCATTAAATGGACAAATTCCTAGAAAAATATAATTTGCCAAAACTGACCAAAAAAGAAATAGAAAGCCTGTATAACCAGCAGTAAAAATCTTCCCACAAAATAAATCCTAGGCTTAGAGAGTTTTATTTGTGAGTTTTACAAGGCGTTTCAATTACAGCTGAAGATTTACCAGTATGTTAAAGAAGCAGGATTCATGGGATATAATCCAGAAAGTTATTAGTTTTGTCTCCTATGGCCCCTTTAAATCTTCTCAGTGAAGGCAATCCTTCCCCTGCCATTGGATGAAAACTCAGGCAAGCCCTATATAAAATAACTATAAAATATTCACTTTTATAGTTGTTCTTGAGTAATAGAAATACCTTTATTCACTTTCAGACACAAACCCAGACTCAAATTAGTAACTTGACATAAAAAGCCAGGCTTTTTTTTTTTTTAATTATGCTTTCAGTTCTGGGATACATGTGCAGAATGTATAGGTTTGTTACATAGGTATACATGTGCCATGGTGGTTTGCTGCACCCATCAACCTGTTGTCTACATTAGGTATTTCTCCTAATGCTATCCCTCCCCTAATCCCCCATCCCCAACAGGCCCCAGTGTGTGATGTTCCCCTTCCTGTGTCCATGTGTTCTCATTGTTCAACTCCTGAAAACCCAGGCTTTCAATTTAAAAGTTAAGACTTCTCTTCACTCTACCTTCTTTTCCCCCAGCTAAGGGCTATGGCAGGGAGGCCACCTGTTTGGGGGAAAGACATAAAATCCAATCTCTTCCTTTTTTCTGTCTCACCTTGTCAATCACCCTCCCCTATACTAGTCAGGGGACAGAAAACACACCAGTTATTTGAGAAATAATTTAATATAAAGAATTATTAACTAGATATAAAGCTACTAACCAGGTAACAGAAGAGAGAAGAGAATGCTAAGGCGTCATAAGCAATCATTTGAGGAAATGGCTATCATTCCCAGGGCTGAAGAAATAAAAGGAAGAGATTGGAATTCTTGAAATCTAAAAGCTGAGACAAAGGATCCTGGTGAGCTGAAACCCTGACCCTGAGGAGGGGGAGATGATTGACTGATGGTGGTGTCTCAGCTCAGAAGAGCAGCCGGGGGAGGCTGGGGCCCGGACTCTGAACAGGGGGCACTGGTCAGCACATAGTCATGTCTCAGGTTAAAGGGGTGAATGTGACAAGTCTGGTCCTGCAAGTTTGGTAGAAATAGCGAACTGGATCAGCTGCTGCTATGGAAGGAACTACCACCAATGCAGTGAAGGTGCAGTGCTGGAGTGATACTCACAAGAACTGTGAGCAGAAAGGAAGTCCAAAGCAAGCAACTGGGAGGAGCACATTCCTTCTGCTCCTCCAGCCTTTGAGTTTCCCTCTAGCACCCCAATTGGCAGAGCCCAACAGGGAATAGCTGGCAAAGCAGAAAAATGATTTCCAGGGTTCCTGTCCAAGCACCAAAAAGCAGGGAATAAAAGGGTGGAATGAGCTGAAAGACAATTAATAACTCATACATCCCCCATCCATTTACTGCTGTTTCTGATCCTCTTCAGGTCTGGGAGATGGGGAAGGAAGACAGGCAGAAAGTCCTTACTTAACTGGTATCAGCAAGGTATTTGAAGCTGATTCTTTCTCTTATGGAATGCTTTCATGTGTACTTTGGAGAACCTATTTTCTTACCCTATCACTGCTGATTTCCTTTGATCTGAATGAATGCACAGTGTTCTGGAAGTTGCTCACTTACTACCCCTTACTGCCAAGGAAAGCAGTATCCACCTCTAGCTCATGCTGTAATGAAACCTGTTCACCTCTCCAATTGACCTGACTCTGAGTTCATCTATGATGACCCAATTCCCAGCTCTTTTGTGTATACCTAGCCAAGGAAACCATCGTACTGCTTTGTCCAGGCAAACTGGGGGATTACGAGCTGATTCAAGCCCAGCAGCATCTTTCATTCAATCCACCACCAAACCACTTAGCCTATCCTTTTCTTGCCTTCTGTGTTCTAGATGGGAGCTGGACACAAGTCTGCTGACCTGCCTAGGTGGAGAGGACGCATATGGAGCTTTCCACAGGGAAAACTTGAATCCCTTCTCAGTTGGCTCAGTTCATACTAGCAATGTTTTCCAAAGAAATCCTCTTCAAATCTCCATTAAACTCCCCTTTCTAGTCATTTATTTGCTTGAGAGGGCAAGGAGTTGTTAGTGTGAAGGAATGATTCCTGGATATTTCCTTTGGAAAGGCAATCTTGGTCTAACATTTCACTTTGAAAGTTTATATTTTTTGAATCTTGGTGCTTCAATTGAAACTTAATTTAACATCCTTTTTCACCATTCTTAAATTCTTCCTTTTCATCCTGAGATCAGTATAACATTGATCCTAAAATCAAATTAAATAGTACTAGAAAGGAAAATTATTGGCCAATCTTATTCACATGCAAATTCGCCAAAATTCTAAGCAAACTATTATCGACCAAATCCAGCAGGGTATGAAAAAAAGTCCATCACACTAAGTTGGGTTTATCCCAGGAATGCAAAGCTGGGTTAACATTATAAAATTAATTAACGCAATTCCTTATATTAACAGATTAGAGAAAGAAGACAATTTTATCATTTCTTTTCCTTTTCCTTTTTTTTTGAGATAGACTCTCACTCTGTTACCCAGGCTGGAGTGCAGTCGGATGATCTCTGCTCACTGCAACCTCTGCGTCCTGGGCTCAAGCGATTCTCCTGCCTCAGCCTCCTGAGTAGCTGGGATTACAGAGGCGCACCATCACAACAAGCTAATTTTTGTATTTTTAGTAGAGACAGGGTTTCACCATGTTGGCCAGGCTGGTCTCAAATTCCTGACCTCAGGTGATCTGCCAGCCTCAGCCTCCCAAAATGCTGGGATTACAGGCGTGAACCACCGCACCCAGCTGACAATTTTATAACTTTAATATACGGCAAAAAGCATTTGAGAAAAAGCAACCTAATTTGTGGTAGAAACACTGAAAATTATAATTAAGAAGGTAACTCGTTTAACAGGATAAAGGTCAAAAACAAAAATTTATGGCAGATAATATTCTTAATAATAAAACTTACAACTATTTCCTTTAAAATCAGGAACAAGTTGAAGATGCTCAATATTATCATTCTATTCAACATTATTCTACTGATTCTCATCAGTAAAATTTTAAAAAGGAAAATAAAAAGGTACGCAAATTGGAAAGAAAGAATAAAATAATAATTATTAGCAGATAATATGATTGCCTATGAAGTATATTTTTAAAAATCTATAGTTAAATTATTAGAGTTAAAAAGAGTTTAAGTTTTGCAAGGTAGCTGGGTATACAAAAATCAATTGCACTTCCATAAAGCAGCCGTAAAAATTGTAGTAATATAATTTTTAAAAGATACCAGTACAATAGAAATAAAACTATAATAAAATAAAAGCAAGACCTTTATGGAAAAAATGCTATTGAAAAATGTTAAAGAAGACGGAAACTAATGGAGAGATATACTGTTCCTAGGTAGAGAGATCCAATTTCATAAATATGCCAATTCTCCCTAAATACAATGCAATTCCAGTCAATATCTCAATTGTTTATCATGAAACTTATTATCTGATTTCAAAACTTACATGGAAGAGTAAAAGCCTACAAATAGTCAAGATACTTTTGAGGAATAACAACAAAGTGTGTGTGTGTGTGTGTGTGAGATGGGGTAGAGGTAGGGGTTGCCCTGCAATTTGTGGTAAATCTATGTAAATCATGTAAGTCATGATAAATCTATGTAAATAAGATAATGTGGTATTGGAAGACAGATAAACAAATAGACCAGAGGAAAGAATAGTGAGCCCCAAAATGAATCCATGAATATATGAAGACTTACCTACAGGCATTGCATAGTGGCTGAGGTGTGGGGCCGGGGTAGAAGGCATGGTAGAGAATGAACTGCTCAATAAATAGTGGGGGAACAAGAGTTTATCCATATTGGAAAAAAATGATATTGGATCCCTCCCTTATACCGTTTATAAAATAAAGTCCAGGTAAAATAAAGACTTAAATGTAAAAGGAAAAACTTTAACATGTTTAAAAGTCAATATAGAACAATAGTTATGTGACTTTGGCTAAGAGAGTACTTTCTAAACAACACTCAGAGAATACAAGCCATAAAATAAAATATTGATAAATTAAAGAAATTCAAATAAAAAATTTCTAATTTTTACCTAAAGACACCATAAAGTGAAAAGACTAGCCAAAAATCTAGAGGGCATATTTTCCATGCATATAATTAATAAAAGATTAGTATTGAGAATCCATAAAGAAGTCCTAAAAATCAGTGAGAGAAAATACAAACAACCCAATAGAAAATGGCCAATAGGAATGAAAAGATTTTTCACAGCAAAGAAAACATAAATGGCAAATCAATATACAAAATGTATCTTAATTTCATAAGTACCAAGAAAAAGAAAAATGAAATCACAATGAGAGATAGTTTTATGCCCACCAGATTGGTACAAATTAAAAATCTGACAGATTTAAGTGTTGACAAGCTGTGGTACAAATTAAAAATCTGACAGATTTAAGTGTTGACAAGCTGTGGTACAACAAGGTCTCCTAAACAGTGATAATGGGTGATGCAATCACTTTGCAAAACAATTTGATGTGATGTAAGCTAGTATAGCTGAGACTGCGCATCTCCTATGACTCCTAGGCATGTGCCCTCGGAAAACTCTTGCAAATAAGAACCAGGTAACAAGTTGGAGGCAGCATTGTACTAACAACAAACTGAACACAACCCAAGTGTTCACCAACTGGAGAATGGACAAATCAATGTGATTCTTCATAAAACAGCTATAGTGATGAAAATAAATGAATCAGCAGTGAAATGGAATGTCAGATATAGAATGTTAAGAGGAAAATTCATGAAATATGATATGTTAATAAGCTTGGAAAACAAGCAAGGAAAGCAATACTTTGTTTATTGATACATATAAATGTGTAAGGCTATCAACAACAGCAATGGAATGATAAAGCCAACTTTAGGGTAATGGTTGCCTGCCATTACCTGGAGGCCCAGGTAACTTTGAATTTAAACAATGAATACATTTTTTAGTATAAGTATGTCCCAGATATTGCATGGGACATACTTACACTAAACAATTATGCATTGTTTATCTGAAATTCAAAGTTAGTTGGGCATGTTTTCTCACTGCTGTTGTTTGTTTTTGGCTAAATCTGGCAACCCTACTCAGAGAGAGCTTCAATGATATTTATAACATTTTATTTATTATGTTGGGTGGTAGGTTCATGGCTGCTCATTGCATTATTTTATTTAAAAAGAAAACATTAAAGCAAATCTCATTGTTTATAATTCCACTTGGTGGATCCAAAGCTTTTGCTAAAAAAAAAATAAGCAGTAGCTGTAGACTAGGCTAGAGTGTCAGGAGCTGATCCTCCCTGGCCATGTGGGGATATGTCAAATGGTTTGTAGCTGGGCTTTCTTCTTCTCTCTCTCTCTCTCTCTCTGTGCTGTGTTGGTGATCAGCTCACCACACTCTAATACTCAGGAGCTGCTGATGGAATATACTCGGTCAGATACCCACCATCTACCTTTCACAATGTCTGCAAGTGTGGGGTGTTATTCATTGCAGGATCCAGTTAAAGCTCGTGTTCCAAGCCATAAAAGACCTTTTAACCATAAAACTCCCTCCTATCTTCCCAGCTCACATCCCTCAGAGAAAACATCAGAAAAGAAAACATGAACACCCAGGTGAAAGAGGCGATTAGTTACAAAATCACTTGCCAGCCCAATGGGAAGGAGCTCACTGGAGGGAGAAAAGCCTTTCTCAAAATTTACTTGATGTCAAGGCTCACGACCTAAAGAATCTTCTTGAAGCAAGTACACAAGCAAAGGATAAAGACTTTGCAGAGAATATAAGGACCCAGCAACAACAGCAAGACATTCCAGCATAGCACAAACAGCTAGCAGGGAGGGTATGGGCTGCTCAGCACATGTAGAAGAGGTTCAGACCAGATCTGTCTTTAAGCAAGCCTGAGGAGAGTGAGCAGGCCTGTTGAGCTCACTGCAGTATTCCAGGGCTTAACCCAGTGACTGGCATAGGGTTGTCCTCAATAAATCTTTGTGGGTAGAATGCATGAAGCCATAGTGAATGAGAGAAAGAGCAAATGCAGCATTGAATGTTATTATCATTATCTGATCCTTCAAACGATGGAATCAAAAAGTCATATCAGGATCTGCCGATTATCGTATATATTTCATTGTCTATAGGTATGTACATTGCTTGTTGTTCTTAACACAAGGTATGGGTTTATAAAGCCCCGAATTTAAAGAACCCTGGGTGAAATCTGCATATGTTTTTCTTTTCTTTTCTTTTTTGAGATGGAGTCTTGCTGTGTTGCCCAGGCTGGAGTGCAACGGGTCGATCTCGGCTCACTGCAACCTCTGCTCTCCAGGTTCAAGTGAGCCTCCTGAGTAGTTGGGGTTACAGGCATGCGCCATCACACCAGACTCATTTTTGTATTTTGAGTAGAGACAGGGTTTCACCATGTTGGCCAGGGTGGTCGTGAACTCCTGACCTCAAGTGATCTGCCCACCTCGGCCTCCCAAAGTGCTGGGATTACAGGTGTGAGCCACTGCACTTGGCTGAAATCCGCATATCTATTATCTATTCCAGTCAAGAACCTGGTGCCCAGAGTGGGTAGAACCAAGAAGCAGCCTCTAGCAGACACCCCCTTAATGAGGCCAGCTTCTGCCTGGGTTTGCTCAATCACCTTGGGAGGTCTGTTTTCTACATGTTTGGTTCCTTCTGGCAGACCTTGAGGGATGATAACTTCAGACACTTCTTCTTTTGACATGAGGTGTTGATGTACTGGCCTTCTGCATCAATCCTTGCATTTAATCATTTATTCAATTAATATTTATAAGGTATGTGCCAGGTACTGTGCGAAGCCCTGGAGATTTAGAGGTAGCATTTAATGAGCATTTACTTACTAAATGTCAGGCACAGTGTTAAGCTCACGACTTAAAGTGTCTAATTTATAGCCCTAAGCAGTAGGCACTATTATTATCCTATTTTGCAGATGAGAAAACTCAGAGATGAATAAGACATGGTCAGTGGCTTTAAGAGGAAAGCCTTTCCTAATGAAGAGGGCTTCATTTTCACTGCTATAGCTGTTTTATGAAGAATCACAATTGATTTGTCCATTCTCCAGTTGGTGAACACTTGGGTTGTGTTCAATTTGTTGTTAATACAATGCTGCCTCCAATTTGTTACCTGGTACCATGGGCAAGAGTTTTCCTGGGGCATATTTCTAGGAGTCACAGGAGACGAACAGTCTCACCTATACTAGCTCTTGTCAAATTGTTTTGCAAAGTGATTGCATCACCCATTATCAGTGTTTAGGAGACCCCATTGTACCACAGCATTGCCATTTGCAACACATGGTTCTGAGGATTTTCCGAGGTACCTTAGGAACATAGTGTATGTTGCCAAAATATTAATATGTATTAATTAGATAATTAAGTATTAATTATCTATTGCTGTATAACAACTTAATCAGCAGCTTAAAAGAACATGCATTTATTTCCTCACAGTTTCAGTGGATTAGGAGTCCAGGTATGTTTAGCTGGGTCCTGTGTGTCAGGGTCTCACCAGCAAGCTGCAATCAAGTGCCAGCCAGGGCTGGGTTCTCATTCCTCTGCTTGCCTGGGGAAGAACATGCTTCCAAGCTCATGTGGTTGTTGACAGCATTCAGCACCTTGTGGCCTCAGATTCTTCCTGGCTGTCAGCTGTTGGCTGCTCTCAGTTCCTTGCCACCTTTCCTCTCCGTGCTCACAATATGGCAGCCTGCTTCCTCACAGCCAGCAAGGACAGGGTCTCCCAGCAAGGTGAACATTTAAGCTCTGTAAGCTTCTGTCTTGGGTAATATAATCCAGAATGGACATCCTATCACCTTTGGCATATTGTATTAGTTGAAATTAAAGTCACAGTCTGGCCACATTCAAGACAGAAAGGGCCTGACCAATTGACCAACTTGGAAGCAAATGGAGATTTTAGGACCAGCAACCACACAGAAGGAAACCAAGGATACACGCAGCAATAAATGGGAACTAAAGTACTAAAGCCAGAAATGGTTACCACTCCAAAATAATCATTCTGTGGTTTTCTCTGTAGGAACAGAGTTGGTTCCTCAATTGAACAGAAGAAACAGAAAATCAGACACTTGCCTGGATGCCACACTTACCGTACTATCTTCGGGAGGAGAGGTAGGGATGAGCAGAAGTCAAGCTTTGATGGAATTCACGTTATCTGTTCAGTCACTAGCAGCCTTTGGACCTGATGTCCTTCACATACCGAGGAACACTTTGACTCAGAACAAAGGCACTCGCCGGCAAAGTTCATGGCCTTCCACTGTTCTGACCACAGCATAGATCACTTTCACACCATCCGGACAGTGCTTCATTTCTGCTGACCACCTCCCTTGGCCCTGTTCCTGAAGAATGGAATAATTAGAAAGTTTTTTCTATGTTGTTTCTATTATGTATGAGCTTTTTTTGGTGCCCTCGAGTGGTTTTGAGGGCAGAAAAAACTATTCAGAGGTTAATGTTGCTTTTTAAAAGTTAATATTAAATTATTAAAGTTACAGATTAATAAGCCCTATTTTTCCTAAAGCTTTTATGTTCTGCATAAAATCTTATTGTTTCTTGTATATTGCATATGGTCTGTCATATTTTCAAGAACTGTGTTAAGGGCCTTTGAATAATATGTGATCCTATTTATAAGCTTAGCTAATTTAACATCCTCAAGCATTTTAAATTGAATTTATAAATCAATATATTCTATTTATCTTTTAAAATTACTTCAATTTTCTGATTAAACTAATATAATCTTTCTGAGTACTTAACACAGAATACCTATACATCAAACTCATAAATAGGGTTAACTTTAAGTTCCTTTAAATATTTCAATGACCTATATAAACTTAGTAATATTATAACTTTAAAACTAAATCAATTATTCACACATTATAAATTGGAATCTAAAATCTGTTCATTTTAATTATTAGGCCAAATTGTCTTAAACATTACATGCATGTGAGATACCAAATACGTGCTTCTATCTCACATAAAGGATTAATATACAACAGGTTAATTTCCTTAAACACATCCATACTTGAATTGAAATCAGCCTAGGGTTGGGTGATACTTACCCACTGTACTGTATTAGTTTCTCTGGGCTGCTGTAATAAATCATCATAAACCAGGTGGCTTCAAACAACAGAAATTTATTCTCTCACCATTTTGGAGGCTGGGATTCCGAAATCAAGGTGTCAGCAGGGCCATGACCCTCTGGAGTCTCTAGAGGTGAATCCCTCCCTACCTCTTCCAGCTTTTGGTGGCTGTTGGCATTCCCGGGCTTCCTTGGCTTGTGGCCACATCACTGCTATCTCTAGCTTCATGTTCACAGCACCTTTGCCTCCACGTGTCTCCACTTTTCTTATAAGGACGGTTGTCATTGGATTTAGGTCCCAGTCAGGTATTCCAGGATAATCTTATATTAAGATTCTTAACTTCATTACATCTGCAAAGATCAATTTTCCAAATAAAGTAACATGCACAAGTTCTAGGGATTTGGAGGTAAACATATCTTTTTAGGGGCCACCATTCAACCCACTGCACCCACAAAAGAGCTACCTGTCACTCCCATGAGTCATGGTAACGCCCAGAGGTGGTGTCTGGGAAGCTAACTGCCTTGCCATCAGCAATGCTGCTGGAACATGCTTCGTTCTATTTATAGCGGCACTATCAATGCCCTTCAGATGATGTGTCTCACAGTCCATGTCCCCAAGTTCACATTCTACTTTACTGAGTTTCTTTATCTCCTCACAGAAGCCTGCAGCACCCCCACCCCACTCCCCTGGACTGCATACTTCACCCAATTATGTTTTGCATATAGATAGATAGATAGATAGATAGATAGATAGATAGATAGATAGATGTATATTTGTGTATATACATATACATATATATGTGTGTATATATATATGTATTTTTTTTCTGATTCTCTCCAAAGACATTTGAACTTGATAGATAGAATCCTGCATTCTTTCAATCTGTTAGGATAATTAATTCTTAGGGCTATTAAAATGACATCCAGTTGAATTCTGGCACCTCTCTTATGGCTTTGCCTGACTAGTTGGTCACACTTCTGAGGTCTTTCCACTGTTTCAAACAGCTGGGTAAGAATTCTTTTAGGGCTTTCGGCAACTGTTGAAAAAGGAATACCAAAGAACCAATCCTGACAATAGGTCTTTGCTTAAAGGAGGTAGAATTGTGAAGTGATAAAGAAACTCAATCCCAGCACTTTGGGAGGCCAAAACAAGATGTTTGCTTAAGGCTAGAAGTTTGAGACCAGCCTGAATAACATAGTAAGACCCCCATTTCTAAAAAAAAAAAAAAAAAAGATTAGGCATGGTGGCCCATGCCTATAGTCCTACATCCTCAGGAGGCTAAGGCAGGAGGATGGCTTGAGCCCAAGAGTTCAGGGCTGCAGTGAGCTATGATCATGCCACTGCGCTCCAGCCTGGGTGACACAGTGAGACAGAAAGAGAGAGAGAGAAAGAAAGAGAGAGAGAGGAAGAAAGGAAGGAAGGAAGGAAGGAAGGAAGGAAGGAAGGAAATAGTAAGACCCCCATTTCTAAAAAAAAAGAAAAAGATTAGTCAGGCATGGTGGCCTGCATCTGTAGTCCTACCTCCTCAGGAGGCTAAGGCAGGAAGATGGCTTGAGTCCAAGAGTTTGAGGCTGCAGTGAGTTATGATCATGCCACTGCACTCCTGCCTGGGTGATACACTGAGACCCTGGAAAGAAAAGAAAAGAAAGAAGAAAGAGAAGAGAAGAGAGGGAGGGGGAGGGAGGGGGGATAGAGAAAGAAAGAAAGAAAGAGAGAGAAGGAGGGAGAGAGAGAGAAGAAAGAAAGAAAGAAAGAGAGAGAGAAAGAAAAGAAAAGAAAGAAAGAAAAAGAAAGAGAGAGAAAGAAAGAAAGAAAGAAAGAAAGAAAGAAAGAAAGAAAGAAAGAAAGAAAGAAAGAAAAAGAAAGAGAAAGAAAGAAAGAAAGAAAGAAAAAGAAATTTATATATACCTATATATGCTGTGTGGTTTGGGAAAATCACTTAACCTTTCTGATCTGGTGTACTGGTGTACTCCTGTCTATACAACGGAGGTAACATCACTCCAAGTTACTTCATTGGGTTGTGATAATTTAAAGAAATGATGCTTGCAGAATGCTTCCCACAGTGCTCAACTTATAAGCACACGATAAGTGTTAGTGATTAGAATACTTGAATTTGGCCAGCCATAGTGGCTCACGCCTGTAATCCCAGTACTCTGGGAGGCTGAGGCAGGTAGAGCACCTGAGGTCAAGAGTTCAAGACCAGCCTAGCCAACATGGTGAAACCCCGTCTCTACTAAAAATACAAAAAACACTAGCTGGGCGAGGTGGCAGGTGCCTGTAATCCAGATTCTCAGGAGGCTGAGGCAGAAGAATCTCTTGAACCTGGGAGGCAGAGGTTGCAGTGAGCCGAGATGGCACCACTGCACTCCAGCCTAGGTGACAGAGCGAGACTCCATCTCAAAACAAAACAAAACAAAACAGAATACTTGAATTTGTGTGCCTAGAGTAGTTGTTCAGAAGAGTGTTCCCATTCTCTCTTAGGGACTATATGAACACAAATTCAATGGAAAGAGACAGTACAGTATTGCACACTTTAAAATATGTTAAGAGGATAGATCTCATGTTAAGTGTTCTTACCACACACACACACACACATGCACACACACAGACAGACAAGGAACACCAGGAAATATTTGGAGGTGATGGATATGTTTAGTGATTTGATTGTGATGATGGTATTACAGGTGTATGCATATGCCCAAGCTCATCAAATGTGTACATTAAACATGTGCAATTTTTTGTATCGATTATACCTTAGTAAAGCTTAAAAAACAAATCCAGAAGATGGAAATATTCCTTAAAAGGAGGTTCCCTCCTGTATATTATACATTCATTCTTTATTATTTATATCCAAATATTTACAGAACACCTACTATCTGCCAGGCTGTTCTAAGTGCTTGGAATAGATCACTGAACATAAGAGGCAACAGTCCCTGCCTCATGGAGCTTAGGTTCTAGTAGGGGGAGCGTTTTAGAAGATGATAAGTACTATGAAAAAAATGGAGCAGAGGAAGGGGGAAGGTCAGAACCAGGAGTGGGGTGGGTTACAATTTAGATAGGATGGTTGGGGAAAGTCTCATGTAGAAGGAGGCATTTGGGTACAGATTTGAAGGAGCTGAGGAAGTAAGCCATGTGCAGATATATGGGAGAGGAACCAAGAGCACAAGGGCCCTGAGGCAGTAGCATCCCTGGCATGTTCAAGGACAAGCAAGAGGATGATGTAATGGGAATGGTGTGAGTGAGGGGGAGAGTAGAAGGAGGAGAGGTAAAGAGGTGACGGGGTAAATCGTGAAGGTCGCTGACATCACTTTAATAAGATGGGAAGCCACTGCAAAGTTCAGAGTGGGGAGTGACATGACTTGACTTGAATTGTAAAAGGCTCACTCTGGCTGGAGTGTGGAGAATAAATGTAGGAAAGAAGGGTAGGGGCTGGAAGACCAATGAGAGGGTATGCAGGAATCCAGGCAAGAGATCAAGGTAGCGCAGACCAAGAAATAGCATGGGGGGCTGTGAGAAGTGGTCAGATTCTGGTTTTACATTAAAAAGAAACAAGGCAGTTTGTTGACATATTGGACAAAAAGTGTGAGAAAAAGAGAAGTGAAAGAGGAGTCTAAGATTTTTGACCGGAGCAATCTAAAGAATCGTGTTACCATCAACTGAGATGGGAAAGACTGAGGGTAGAGTTGTTTGGGGGCAGGAAGAAATGTATGTGAGCTGTTTAAGTGAAATTTTCTACATGAGTTTGGAGTTTGAGAGGGAGAGGTCTTGGCCATAGATAGAGATTTGGGAGTTGTCCACATATAGATGTTATTTAGAGCCATATGATTGGATCAGATTATGAAAAGAGTGAGGGTAGATAGAAAAAAGAACTGGACAAGCGGCAGTGCCCTCCAGCATTTACAAGCCAGGGAGAAGAGTAAAAACCAGTAAAAGAGACTTGGAAGGGGCAACCAAGGGAATATGGTGTCCTGGAAGCCAGTGAGCTGTGTCCTCTATGGTGCTAGAGTCTGCATTTAACTCTGTGGGAATTTCCTCCATGTGATGACAATGGAGTCAACCCCTTAGCAGTCCAGGTGACACCAGTCCTAGCACTCCCAGTTACCCTTAACACGTCCTCTCTAGCTAAACATATTTTGCCTTTCTGCATTCTTCTGTAAGGGAACCAAATGGATTTTAATAATTAAAAAATAATAATGGAAACAAAAATCATGGAGTATGCTTCAGGATAGCAATAATAATTTTTAAAGGATGTCTGTAATTCATTTATATAATCTACAGAACATGTGTATCTCATACACAAATGTCCTTGAAGTCATTGGTTCTTCGGAAAATTCTAGTTGGTTCCATAGCAATAATGAGTTTTATACCATATGCTGCAAGATGTATAAAGGCAATCCAAGTGGCACTTTTTGATAGTCATAAATCTGGTGAGAGACAGCATAGGCAATCGGTGAGTATGTTGCTCCTTTCTTGCTTCACAGTATTTTTTTTTTTTTTTTTTTTTGAGATGGAGTCTCACTCTGTTACCCAGGCTGGAATGCAGTGGCACAATCTTGGCTCACTGCAACCTCTGCCTCCTGGGTTCAAGCGATTCTCCTGCCTCGGCCTCCCGAGTAGCTGGGACTACAGGCACACACCACTACGCCCGGCTAATTTTTTGTATTTTAGTAGAGACGATGTTTCACTGTGTTGCCCAGGCTGGTCGCGGACTCCTGAGCTCAGGCAATCTGCCCACCTCGGCCTCCCAAAGTGCTGGGATTACAGGCGTGAGCCACCGTGCCCGGCCTATTGCTTCACAGTATTTACTGGAAGAGCCTTAGTCATTAATGTAAGTGCTTTTTGAGCTCAGGGTCCATTTTATTTCCCTCACTATCTTTCTCGGTTCCCAGCACACTGTTCAGCCCATGGTAGATACTTTATACAAGTTTGCTCTATAAATGGTTGAATAGTGCAAGCTGCATCAATGAGTGACTTAAACTAAAAAGACTTTCTTGGGACAGAAACTGAAACTCAGACAAGCATAACAATTACACTTAGAAGTTGCCTTTTATGTTGAATTTATTGCATACTTTCTGGTTGGGTCATTTGTAGTCCTTTTCTTTCTGTAACAACAACAACAACAAAACCCAAAAGTGAATGCTTTCTACCCAAGGACAGGCAAGATACATGCCACCTTATTTGAACCACATGTATCTCCCAAAGGAATACCTAGGCAAAGAAAGGAGAAATGCAGCTTTCTAATCAGCAGCGCTGATGAGGACAGATGCTAGTTTATTTTTCATACACCCCATTTTTTTCCATGATTTTACATTGACTGTGAGCACACATATTTTATTTTTCATGCTCTAATTCAGGAATTATGATTTTCCATATTATCAAAGCAAAAAAAAAATCTCTGTGAGAAGGCAAGCAAAGCAATGTTGTCACTGAGCACATCACACAGGTGCAGATGAGAAGCTGTATCCACAGGCCAAAGGGGCATAAAATAGAGTGACTCTGCAAACCAATCAAAAGGACCATTTCCATAAGCATCCATCTTATTAAATGTATCATCAACAATCTACCTAGGGCCTCTTTCTGTGGGAGAAGTGGGGAAGATAAAGATTCATTTTGTCAGTATATTGTAGTTTTTCTTATGATTCTTAGCTGTGTCTAGAATTTTTTTTCAGCATTCAGACAGACAGCTATAAAACTGATTGGCTTGAAAGCCAAATAAAATAAAACACAGTAGCCTACTTTATCATTTAACACTAGCTATTTATTATGAGCAGTGCTGTGTTGGGATATCGACCCTGAGATTAAAGCTGGGGAAATATAGATTCTGAGATTCTGTGGACACATAAAGCTCCCAAGCCATGGTGACAAATAATAATGAGCTTATACTCAGGGGCCATCTTTTATCTCAATGGAGCCCAACAGCTATCATTTTTTAAAAATAATGAATTGTATAAACAATGCAGGGAACATTCACTTAGCTATTCTGCAATGCAACTTCCTTGGGCCCTGAGTACATGCTCAGCCGCCCAGCCAACTGGCCATTGAAGACAGACACTCTCCTAATTCATTTATTCCTTGGTTGGTTGGTTAGATCATTCATTCTTTCATTTATTTCAACCCATTTGGCCCTGGGAGGCATCCTTCTCCCTGAATATTCCCTGAATTCCTCATGTTCTTTCTTGCCTCCAGAGCTTTTTTTCCTCTAGCTAGGAAACCCTCTTACATCTCCAAAATAAAAATTCTACTGCTCCTTTAACACACAACTGAAGTCACACATCTTCCACAAAATCTTAAGCAATAATCTTAGAGTAAATTGTTTCTGGATTCAAATCCTGGCCTTACTCCTTATTAGTTGTGGACCTGTGGGCAACTCACATCCTCATTCTCAGTCTCAGCATATTTACTCTAAAGTAGAGGTTAAAATTCTTATCTCCAACAGTTGTTTCAAGACTAAGCATATACAGTGTTTAACACAATCCCTAACCCATTGTAGGTACTCAATCAATGTTGGTTCCCCCTCCTTGGCTCCTGTTCTCTGAATTACAATAGCAGTTAAATTTATAGCTTACGCTTATGTAATTAAACATACACTGAATTTTTCACAGCTGTATTTCCTGGAGCTCAGGCTCTTCACTGTACCTTCCCTTCACCCTCTTGCTTTAATCCATGGTTCCCAACCCTGGCTGCACATGACAATCACTTTGGGTGTATCTATGGTTGGGCCCAAACCCCAGAGATTTTGATTTAATTAGTGGAGCCCAGACATTGCCTGACAAAATAATTCAACTCTGTCTACAGCATAACGACATCCAGGCAGCTAGATGGGCTGGAAAGGACATATGGCCTTTCTGAATGGTAGCACCTTAAATCTGTGCCCCCCAGCCTCACTGAGGGGGACTTGGTCTAGCAGCCCTACTAAGTCTCCTGGTCCACTCACTGCCCTACTCCTCGGGAGCGTGATTTCTTACCTTCTCATCTCCTCAAACCTCCTCCTTTACCATTACCCTCTGCTAATGATCTGGGGCACTCACTGATAAGACAGGAGAGAAAAAAGTGAACATTCTCACCCTATCTTCTAACTCCCTGCATTCATACTCTATCTTCCTCTTCTTACTATGGATGGAATGTCCCTGTTCAGGTCAAAAACCAGACTCCTCCACCTATATCCTAAAGCCCATTCCTTCCAGCAATTGTCACCGCTCACCTGAGTTATCACTTATTCCACCTGTATACGTCCCACACTGGGTCATTCCCACCAAGAGCTAATATGCTGTAATAATTCCCATCTTAAACCCCTCCCTCGACCTCATATGCCCCTTTAACTATTGCCCCATATCTCTGGTCCCTTGTCAGGAAAAAACAAACGAAAACCTCAAAAATAGCCTGTCCTCACTGTCTCCAATCCTCTCCTTTCGTTCTCCCTTGAACTCCTTCCAGTTAGGCTTTCACCCCTTTCACTCTACTGAAACAGTTTTGTCAGGGTCACCAATAACCACCAATAACCTCTCAAGCCTTGACTTGCAGTATCTGACATGGTTGTTCTCTCCTGGGTCTCCACTGACTTCTAGCTCTCTTCCTATACCACTGGCTTCTCCTTCTCAATCTCCTTACCAACTCCTCATTTCTCTGAGTTCAAACATTGGCAGCCCTCAGACCTGTTGTAATCTCTATCAACACTCACTGTTTAAGCGATTTTGTCTAATCTTATGACCTCAAACAGCATCCATATACTGGTGATTGATATCTCCTGTGTGGACCTCTTCCCTGAGCTTTGTATTTACCTGGCTGCCTTCTTGACATCTCCACCTGATTGTGTCTCTGTGACATTCAATGTCATACATCTAAAATGGAATTCCTGATTCCCACCCACTCCCAAATCTGCTGCTCCTAGCATTTTCTCTATCTCAGGAAAAAGCAATTCCACTTTTGTGGTAGTTTTAACCAAAATTTTTGAAGTCATCCTTAAAACACATCTCTTGGTACCATAGCCAATCCATCAACAAATTCTACATTATACATGTTTTTCAATATTATTCACACCTATAACTTTAAATCACTATATAGAATCCATCAATAATAATAACAGCAAATACACAGTGCCCAGCACTATTCTAAGTGCTTTACATAAAACTTAATCTCCACAAAAACTCTGAGATAGGCATGATTGCTATTCCCATTTTACAATAAGAATTGAGGCACAAAGGAACTTGCCCAAAGACACAAAGCTAGCCAGTAAAAGAGCTAAGATGAAAATCTAAGCAATTTGGTTCCAGAGTCCATGTACTTGACTACAGTGCTTTATATTTATCCTGTACTTAAATATTTAGATTGTTTAGAAGTTTCCAGTTCCTATAAATCACGTCATTTTAGCCACCTTTGTGTACAAAACCTCTTCCTAATTTAGAACAATTTCTTCAACATACATTCTCGGGAGCTGAATTACTCAAAAAGCACAAACACTCTTAATCCCTAAAATAGGCTAATTCTCAGTAAACATTGGCTCTTTGAAATCTGAATTTATATCCAGTCATTCAGAAACTAGGTTTGTTTTTTTTTTTCTGAATAGAGAAGGCCTAAAGGAGAGCTTAGAGAGCAGTTTGATCCTTGATTTAATCACTATGTATTCTGCTCATTCAATCTTCCAGTCTTTATTTTCTTCATCTGCAAAATCAAGATCATCCCTAAGTCACAACTTCCCCCACGATGCACTAATGAGACTCTTATTTCTATATTAAAATGTTGGTCTTATTTCCCACAAATCCTGAAACTTTGATCTATTATTGTTCCATCCTAAGAAGGTTTTGATCCATTGCATCTTTTAAGATCATAGAACACCGAGTCTGACTTTTAAAGTGACTTTGCATATCCAAATTTTACACCTCCCTTTGCTCATTCGTTATTGTTTCAAGACCCTATTCTACTCACCATCTGGAAAGCTAAAGGAAAGATTATGTATTGATGTATTTGCCATGGTTTTATATTAACTGTGACCACACATATTTTATTTATCATGCTCTAAACTCAATTTTGATATCACAGATTTGGATATTGAATAGCTAATGATAAGTGAAGTATGATTTTTTTTTGAGGTGGAGTCTCACTCTGTTGCCAGGCTGGAGTACAGTGGCTACATCTCAGCTCACTGCAACCTCTGCCTTCCTGGTTCAAGTGATTCTCCTCCCTCAGCCTCCTGAGTAGCTGGGATTACAAGCATGCGCCACCATGCCCTGATAATTTTTGTATTTTTAGTAGAGACGAGGTTTCACCATGTTGGCCAGGATGGTCTCCATCTCCTGGCCTCGTGATCCACCCACCTCAGCCTCCCAAAGTGCTGGGATTCCAGGTGTGAGCCACCGCGCCTGGCCTGATGTTATATTCTTTTTAGGCTTTTTTCCGTTCAGCCTTTGGATGATCCCTATACTACAATGTGGAACTCCTATGTTATATGTACCAATATATTATTATTATTATTATTATCATTATTATTATTATTTATTTTTTTGAGATGGAGTCTCGCCCTGTCACCCAGGCTGGAGGGCAATGGCACAATCTCGACTCACTGCAACCTCCGCCTCCTGAGTTCAAATGATTCTCCTGCCTCAGCCTCCCGAGTAGCTGAGATTACAGGCGTCCGCCACCACGCCCAGCTAACTTTTGTATTTTTAGTAGAGATGGGGTTTCACCATGTTGGCCAGGCTGGTCTCGAACTCCTGACCTTGTGATCTGCCCGCCTCGACCTCCCAAAGTGCTGGGATTACAGGTGTGAGCCACCATGCCCGGCCCCAGCATTTTATTTTTAAGAAAATTTTCACCTTACTCTAAAACTGTTATATTATCTTCTTCCCTCAGTCATAAAAAACTAATACAATTGTTCTTAGAAAGGAGAAAGTTCCAGAAGCCAAGAAGACCCCTCTCCCCTTCATTTGTTTCCTTCTCTGTGTGCCAGCTTGTCTGCTGACAGTGAGTTTTATTGCTGTTCCTTTCTATGCTGTCCCCTGTATCTGAAAGGCTGGAAGCCTGGGAACTATATTTCCCAGAATACACACCCAGTAAATATCTCAGACAATTACTAGAGATGAGGAGGGCAGAGGGAAGCAGAACACATATTCTTCTACTAGTGGCAGATTTGAGAGTTTGGAGTGGCCTGTGGTGTCCTTCCACAACTCACAGCCTCAGGGGGCACTTTCCAGTAGTTTCTGACCTGTGTGGCAATAATTCCCTAAAAGTTAACTGCAAATCTGAGAGCTAACTATGGGCTTCCTTTGCCTTTGTTTCCTCTAGCCTTTCCAACTGTTTTATAAGCATCTGTCTGTTTTCGATACCTTCCTGCTTCAAATACCCAGAGTGGCTTCTGTTTTTCTGACTGAATACTGACTGATAAGTCCCATCTTTAAGACTTATGTAAACCTGTGGTCAGACATCCACCTAAGCAAGATAAAACAGAACAAACAAATAAGTCTAGTTTACATCATCAGTATCAGATCCCCAAATCATAAACTGTAAAATGTCTTTAACCCAAAAAGAAGCCTATTTAGCCGGATGTGGTGGCTCACACCTGTAATCCCAGCACTTTGGGAGGCTGAGGTGGGTGGGTGGATTGCTTGAGCTCAGGAGTTCACGACCAGCTTGGGCAAGATGGCAAAACTCCATCTCTACAAAAACCACAAAAATTAGCCAGGCGTGATGGCGTTCACCTGTAGTCCCAGCTACTCGGGGGGCTGAGATGGGAGGATTGCTCGAGCTTGGGAGGCGGAGGTTGAAGTGAGCTGAGATCGCGACACCAGCCTGGGTAACAGAGTGAGACTCTGTCTCAAAAAAAAGAGAAAGAAAAAAGAAAAAAAGAAGCCTGCTTATATGATTTCCTTTTATTCCTCTAGGTCTCAGATAATTATATATCAAATTACAGAGGCCCAATCTAAAAACCCCAATGCCAATAGCCAATATCACCAGTGTTCCAGTATAATGCCTTGAGGGTGGCTAAAGCAATACAAACATGTCCATCCTTCATATTTCACCTCCCTTTCACTTTAGTTCTCTTATTTGTGTACTTGTGCATATGCTTGATTTATGATTTTTGTTTTTTCTTTTAAGAGCAGGTTTTTTTGGGGGAATGGGTCTCCAGCACCTAGGAAATGTTCTAAAGATGTTGGTTAAATTAAATGTAAAATAAATGTGTGGTTTTCTATTAGGCTTGATGGAGTAAACAGCAGCTGACACATATCAAATTAAGTTCACTCAGGAAACATAAGCAAATCATCAAGCTCTTAGGTTTTCCATATGGGATGGCGGTTCCATTTTATTTTGAAAATCCTTTTTCCCCTGTATTGATGATGAATTTATGATGACATATCTCACACCTGCCTGAGGCACACAGATTTTAGGTTATCTCCCTAGGTAATTCTGATGCACACTAAAGCTTGATGCAGCAAATGAAAACAGAGCTCCTTTTCTTTGAAATCTCTATGCCAAGAGTGAAATGCACAGAATCCAAAGACTTGGGTCTCTTTTCCAGGATTCACATTTGGGAGACGAAGCACAGAAAGTGAATTTTGGAGCTGAAAAGGTCCTTATAGGTCATTTAATTTAAGCCTCTCATTTAGAAGATCAGCACTCATATCTAGAGTTTCTTTGGCATTTTAGGGCAGAACAGAATTCAGAACACAGGTATTTTGAATTTCAGTCCGATGTGTTATCTCCATGTGTCAGCTGTACTGTGGACAGGCATACGTATTAGCAGAGTTTTCTGGCTGGTAGCAGTAAAGTTTTTCCAATAGATGCAAGCATCTTGAGGAAGAGATATCATTTTTCTAATATGCACAAAGATGTAACATGGGCTTGTGGCAGGCAGCCCTCCCCCTTTTTCTTTCATATATCTTATTAATATACAGTGTGGAGGCTCTAACCTCAATAACAAAATACAATACAGATGCATTTTAAGAAAATTTGAATTATACAAAGTTGAAATTGCTGATTCAGAAAAATATTACAAAGTTTTGCTGCATAAAATTGCAACTTCCTAAACAACTGCCAAGGACTGCAAATTATAAAATGGGCTGGTGCAGTGAATTGCAAACCATGTTCATGGACTGTCATGCAGAGGCGCTGCATTGCAGTAGTAGGATGTGACCCACGCTTTTATTGACGTACACTGGAACCTGCCTGCATGTGATTCCAGTGACCGTTGTGCTATTATTTGTACAATAAACTTGTATTTAATTTAATTAATAATTAATTCATTTATTTTTGAGACAGAGTCTTACTCTGTCACCCAGGCTGGAGTGTGGCAGCACAATCTCAGCTCACTGCAACCTCCACCTCCTAGGTTCAAGCGATTCTCCTGCCTCAGCCCGACGAGTAGCTGGGATTACAGGTGTGCACCATCACACCTGGCTAATTTTTGTATTTTTAGTAGAGACAGGGTGGGTTTCTCCATGTGGCCAGGCTGGTCTTGAACTCTTGAGCTCAAGCGATCTGCCTGCCTCAGGCTCCCAAAGTGCTGGGATTACAGGCATGAGCCACCATGCTCAGCCTGCACTATAAACCTTTAACTCAGTAGTTATAGATAACATAACACTCTGAACCTCTAACAACTGCCATTAGTAGCTTACCATCTGTTAATTTAGGAGCAAGCATACACCAGAAAGCACTGAAGAGAATGGTGTAAAGATAAAATATGGCATTAGGGCCAAAAAAAGAAAATAACCCACATCAACAACATCTCCCATCGAATGTTTATTTATCTGTGAAAACTAGCCTTAAATTATGAGTATTTCAAACCATTTAATGAGTTCAGGAGGGCATCCCTCACACAAAAATTCAGCTTCCCTGACTTTAAAAACTCTTCTTTACTCCTAAGCCTGAAAGACAATGTGTAAAATTGGAAGGAGCCTAGGGGTTTCCAATTTAACACATTTCTGGTCCACAAAGGGATAAAATTCTCTGGTAAGTCTCCTAGAAGTCAGATCTGCTTTTGCCTGTTTTTAATTCCTTTTAGCATACAGTGAGATGCATCATCATGTGTTTTTACTCCAGGCTCTAACAGGGCCGGAGTTTGTCACTAAGTCACCTTCACGGCATCTTCACAGACCTCACCTTCATTAAGTCTGCTCAACCAATTAAAAAAGAGAGCCAAGTAATCTTATTGTCCCCTTCCCAGAATGATTAGAGGATTAATGAGCTAAACAAAACACTCTCAAGCTCAGGAGGAACACTGGTCTACAAACACGGAGCATGGCACGCTCTGTGGTCTCCAAGGGGTGACATCTGCAGATGAAGAGAACCGCACCCCCTGCAGCGCCTGATGCTGCTGCCGCCAACTCTGTCGGGTCCTTGGTCTTGGTCCATCCAACCGGGGCCGAGCGTGTGCTCAGTATGCTGATGAAGCTGGGACACCAGAATTTCTAAATTTTAATTAGTATGTATAAAAAGCATCAAGGGGCTGAGTGTGAGGAAAATTAGAACTTTACTGGAGGCTTACATTTATTTTAAGGTTTGGTATTGTTTTTATTTGGAATTACATGAATGGGGGCAGGGTGGTGTGATAATCATTTCCGTGCTTAGGGCTTCTCAAGGTCACAAACTGGTTCCAGGCTTACTACTCACTTGAAAAAAAATTCACCAAAAAATTCAACAATTTATTTCCACAGGATTATTTCTTTCCAAGCAAGCTGTCTTCATGAAGTACTAAATTCTTTCACCAGTACAGATTTATCAGAACATCTTGGACAGTGCTACAAATCTAAGAAGAAAATTAAATATCATTTAGCTAGGGAGTAGCCTCTGCTTTGAGTCAAGGGCTGGTCTGATGAGGTCTAGATGAAATTTTCAGGACCACCATATTGATAACTTGCAGATAAGCTTTGGATCCTAGAATCTGAGGACACACAAACACACAGAAAGGGCCAGGTCTGTCAAGGGTCCTTGGTGAGCTCTGTGACCCCTGCCACTCGTCATTTCTAAATATTCCCGACTTCCTTACTCTTGTGCCCTTGCTGAGATGTGTGTGTGCATACAAACAAAAGCTATATATTTCTACCCTGAGTTTCCACACTTTGGACCCCCTCCAGACACCATTCTGAATATGACACTCTGCTGCAGGGTACTAAAAATTGTTCTTTCCTCAAAATAAAACCTTTAAAGATCCCTTAGTAGCTATTTGGGGACTGGAATTCAATTTCAGTTCTCCACCCTTTGGCCAGCTATAGATTCAAAATGCTTACATAAAACATTGAGAGTATGTACTTCATGGCAAATTTGATTTTTCTTCTGCAATAGAAATTTATGCTGTAGTTACCACAAACTATATTTTTACTTAGAAAATACACAAAGCAATAATGCACCTCAACAAGAGAGAACAGATCTTTTAAAATTTTATTTTATAGGTAGCTTCGATAAAAGCTTCAGATAGACCCACATACTATACAGAGTTTGTGAAATCTACACTTTCAAATCATAATATTCTCTATTTTAGGCTATTATATTTAGAAGCATGACATCTCAAATCCTTTTATTACAAGTAGTTCTTGCACATAAATGTTATATCACAATAGCAAAAAAATGTAAACTTCTTTTGCAAACTACATAAATACTATAATATCTACCTTGAAGTTATTCTCATTTTAAATCAGAATACACTCTAAATGTTTTACATAGAAAACTCTCGTTGGTAGCCTGTGTGTATGAAACATCATTTTTTCTTTCTTAACTACTTGTCTTTCATGTTGCCTACTTAGGTCTCTGAAGGAGAAAAATTCAAAATAGAACCCAGATCAAAATTCAGTTCACATGTAAGCCAGGTACCAGAAGGATGCCATTAACCTTGGGAAAAATAAGAGATGGGAAATTATTCTACATGCTAAATCCAACATGCCACCAGTTGGTATGGAGGTAACTGAAGATAAGGACTGGGGTCAAGCTCATATTTCATTCTATATGGAAGGGATTCAGCCTGCTCTTCAATACAGCTTTTACTCTGATGTATAAAAACATCTGTTCTCAAATGAACACCTCTTTCTCTTTTCTTGTACAGCACAACAGATCATTGCTACAGCTCTAGTCCTAGACTGGAAAGTCTAGGTGGCCCGTGAATTGATTTCACCTTCGCTGTCCTTCGAGTTTTTAAATGCAAAGTGAAGTTGTTTAAATATACACATGTGTTCCCTGACATTCTCTAGTCTTTTTTTTTTTTTTTTTTTTTTTTTGAGACAGAGTCTTGCTCTGTCACCCAGACTAGAGTGCAGTGCTGCGATCTTGGCTCACTCTGCAACCTCCACCTCCCGGGTTCAAGTGATTCTTATGCCTCAGCTTCCCAAGTACCTGGTATTACAGGCATGTGCCACCATGCCTGGCTAGTTTTTGTATTTTTAGTAAAGATGCAATTTCACCACATTGCCCAGGCTGGTCTCATACTCCTGGCCTCAAGTGATCCACCTGCCTCAGCCTCCCAAAGTGCTGGGATTACAGGCATGAGCCAGCGTGCCTGACCTCTCTCCTTGATTCTTAACATTGTTCTTTGGTCCTCTTATTCCTCTGTCCTTTTGCTGGGTTTTCTCTACCTGCTCCTTAAACGTTGGTGTTCTCTTGGCTTCTTTTGCTCTTACTAGGCAAGATTATCAGCTGGATGTTCCATAGGCACTTCAAACTTCACATTCTCTTCTCCTTGTTTTCTGCATAAACCCTTTACTAGCTCTCCACTGTTTTTCACCATCATGAGGGAAAATGAGAACTAATGTGGACTGGCGGGAGGCAGTCTGGGGCGGTAACCCCGTATCTGAAATACTCCAGGGATCCATGTTTCTTTCAATAGTCAGATTAAGCATTCCCCAATCCAATCCCCAGATATCTTTGAACAAAATCAATAAAAATCAGTAAAAACAGGAATATATATATATATATATATATATATATATATAGACACACACACACACACACACACACATGCATATACACACACATGCATGGAGGACCATACTAAGGCCTTTTTCAGGTCAAAAAGGGTTTTCACATTGACCTTTTTTACTTTTAAGTATTTTTCCTCAGAATGTTCCTTCAGTTAAAAATCAGGTTTAATCTGGAGCTCTTACTGATTTTTCTTTGATTCCTACTGAACACCTAGCTACTGGCCATGGTTTCTTTGAGGAAAAAAACACCATTGCTGAAGCATTTCTAAACATTTTTAATGCATGCAGAAAGAACTACATAGACTCTCCAAGCAGCTATATAAGGTGGCTCAAGTAACATTATGATTTATTTTGGTCTAAGCCCTTTCATAACGTCCTTTTAAAATACAAAGAGAATGGCTACGAAATGGTGCCAGAACCCAGAAGGCCCAGCTGGACTGACAGGAGCTCTGAGCAGTTCATAGGACAAGCAGGGACCCGCCGAACCTCTCCCGTTTCTGTGCTTTCTCTAAATGCAGCAGGTCCTCTCTTTACTGCCCATGCTTTTAAACTATGAAAAAAAATTTTTTAAAGAAATCTAGCAGTGATTAATGGAGACCTCAAATAACACTGTACATGGGCTTTGTTAGAGACAGGTAATCATTCTTAACAGCTCTTTTCCCAGAGGAGGCCTGGGTGGGCCGAGAGGCATCCAGAGTTTAGGAAGTGCTTTTATTGCAGACTGCACCTTGGCTAATACTATCCTCTATGTACTGGCTGCCTGTGTCACTCCTGCTGAGGACTGTGGAGGGGATGCGAGAGGGACGCCTCTCTGGGTTCTCCTGAGAGAAGCAGCAGATCATCTTCTTCATGGTGCCATACATGTCCTCGTCCTTGTAGGAGTAGATGATGGGGTTCACGACGGAGTTGAGCAGCGCCAGCAGCAGGAACCACCTTTTCACATGCTGCACGCCACACTGCCTGCAGTTCAGGCCGTCGAGGAGCAGAACCACCAGGCCCGGGGTCCAGCATACCACAAACGCCCCTGCAAGGAGAGAAGAGGAGGCAACAGATGCTCAGACCTTAGGGGACTTATTCAGGTTTTCTTCTCTCCCAGCCTTTAGCCAGTGGCATCAAGGGGCCCTCATGATTTGTTTTGACAACTGCAAGGCAAACTTCCACCTACCATCTGAGCATTTGAGACCTACGCTTGGTACAGGCAAATAGGTGGGAACCTCCTTGACTATCAATCACATTTCATTTCACTTTCTTTTCTGCTTACCCAGGTCTTGTGATTATGAGAGACTCACATTTACATTCTGCTTAGGAGGCAGTGCACATGCATGATCTCCGTTAGTTCTCTGAACCACACTGGGAGGCTTTGTTGCACTCATTATCCACATTGGACAGATAAGAAAACCAAGGCCCAATTCTAGGGGGAGATGAGAGGAGAACTCTCTGACTCCAGGGCTCCCATACTTCACCCTACATTCTGCTGTTACAGAAATCAGATTTTCTAAATGTGCTCTTGAAAATAAGACACAATGAGTCTACGGCATTCTTCTAGTAGTTTAACCAAATCACCTGCTCATAAATTTCATTCTTCATAAATTCATGTGGATGCTTAGTAAGCACTATATTCTTTTTGACATATTCACGGGCCATCTGCATAATCATCTGCTCTACATTTAGATTTTTTGGTCAGAAATAAATCTTTCATGATGAGATAGTTAAAAATCTACTTTTCAGACTCTGCAATTGAATATGAACCGTAGTCTCTTCTGAGTCTCTAGCCACAGCATCATACTTACCTTATCTCTAAATTTCATGATATTTTTCTCCCATTAAGACATGGGTCCACTATTTCCCTACTATTATCATAACCTCAGATAGCAATAACGACTCATCTTTATACAGCACTTACTATAAGCGAGGCACTGGTGCAAACGCTTTCCTTGATTAACTCACAGGACCACACTATGACATTGGCATTATTATTATCCCCAGGAAACCGAGGCACAAGAGAAGTTAAGTAACTTGCCTATGATCAAATAACTCTTAAGAGACACGATTTTGAACAGAGGCCGTCTTTCTCCACAGGCTGTGCCCTGGGCCACTATATGACCCGCCTCTGTAGTATGATGTGGTTGCTTTCGGCGAATGTCCTTGTCATTTCTAAATGCACTTGCTTGTCCACTCATAAATATTCATCTGAAGCTAACAATGTGCCAGGAGCTGTACTAGACAGTGAGTGAGGTGAAGGCCACGCACTCAGGGAGCTAAAATACTAACAGAGAAGACGACAAACAAGCAAGTCTATAGATGATATCACCAACTACTCTACTTGTTAGAATTAGTTCTGCATAGTATTTCTCTTGTTGCTTTATCTTACTTCTAAGAGATATAATACCAAGCAGGGAAAGACAAGGATTATAAAGAGGCAGTGTAAGGCAGGGAAGAGCCACGAACTTTGGGGTCAGACATGTATGCACAGCTCAACCTATGAGTGACCCGAATTATGGGAATTACTTCACTTTTCTCAGCCTCCATTCCCTCCTTTATACAATAAAGTTAATAAACCCAACTATGTGAGGTGGTAGTTGTGAGGATCAGAGGTCATGGAAAGTGGTACCCAACACTGTGGTGGGTTCACTGAGCAGCAGTTATCATGAGGTGCTCTGTTTCCACAAAAAATATCTATATGTTTAGTAGCTAGCAGGGGGGTTGAATTCCTTATTTCATAATTACGGTTCAGCAGTGGTTCCCTTTTTTCTCCACCTTGTATTATTATTTTCGGTCTGGCTGATATATGTGAATAAAGAACTGGACTTGGAGATAAGAGATCAGAGATTTGGGTTCTAATTCTTCACTTACTGTACAACTCTGGGAGACCCATGTCATTGCGCTGGGCTCAGCTTCCTCAGCTGTAAACTGAGGACTGACTTTAGGCTAGGTCTGAGTTTTTCTAGTGGTGGGTCAGAACTTGTTAGTGGGTGTGCAATCAATGTGACAGATTCAGACTGGTTTTTTGTTTTATTCAGACTGGTTTGAAACAAGTGAAGGAACTGGATGGGCAGCCAAGTTTGCAACTACCAACTTGAGAATTCATATTAGTAAGTTTTTAGCCATACCACCCGATAATTGTGTCTGAGAAACAAACAAGTCAAATTTGTTTGAGTTTTATGGAGAGTTAAAAGCCACAGTTTCACAGAATTCGGCAGTTTCCTACTTGGAAAAGAGTTCAGAAGCCGCTTAGCCTGATCTTTCATTCATAGGAAAAAGGCCTTCCCTTTGTACATCTCAGAACAATCCAGGCAAAGGAAATGCCCTGGTCAAGGGAGGCTCTTCAACTGCTGAACAATGGTTTCTTCTCTTAAATAACTTCATTTAGGCTGGGCGTGGTGGCTCACATCTATAATTCCAGCACTTTGGGAGGCTGAGGTGGGTGGATCACCCAGGTCAGGAGTTCGAGACCAGCCTGGCCAACATGGTGAAACCCTGTCTCTACTAAAATGCAAAAAATTAGCTGGGCATGGTGGCAGGCACCTGTAGTCCCAGCTGCTTGGAAGACTGAGGCAGGAGGATTGTTTGAACCCAGGAGGCGAAGTTGCAGTGAACCGAGATTGTGCCACTGCACTCCAGCCTGGGCAATAGAGCAAGACTCCATCTCCAAAAAAGTAAAAAGCAAAAAAATATATAAATATCTTCATTTACTTGAAAAGAAGGCTTGCATCCAAACTCTGCCTGTTGTACTCTTCCATTTGTTTTGTGTGATCCTCTGCAATAGCCCAGGAAAAGTCTGTGCTTTCTCTATGTGATGCCCTTCAGGTTTTTGAAGACAGTTAACGCTTTCTGTCTTTCTTTAGCCTTTTCTCCAGGAGACACATATTGAATTTTATCTACTAGTTCCCAGATGCGTACCTCTGGACACTCATTCATATTTGTTAATGCTGAGAATTTTTTTTTTAAAGTAATCTGGGCATCACACAAACTCTTCTTTGAACCCTGCTGGTTCCCAGCAGTCATAGTCTGAGCATTGAGGCTAAATACTCAAAAGACATTCCTTTTAGTTTTTTTCTTCTGGATTTATGTAGATTGGTAGGCAACTAAGTGATAAATATTTTCCAGGATCTATCACACACACACACACACACACACACACACACCCCTCACTTTTAAGAATTAGTCCAGTTACCTGTTTGAATGTTCCTGACATCTCCACATTCTCTATGAATTCTCCAAGACTACAGAGCCTAGGGTGTGGAGGTGCGTGGGGAGGACTTATGTTTAACTGCTAACATAGAGCAAACCCCCTCAAAGTATGAACTGTTAGATAAACTGTGCATCTCTTCTGAGATGTGTTTGGAGAGAGATCTTGGCCTCCAGGTGGAGGAGGCTTGGAACAGCTGTTTCCCAGGGTCACTGCCGGGGAGCATCTGCTTAAGGCAACATCTCTGAAGTACCTGTTCTCTAGTTTAGCCACCTAGTATGTTTGTGCTGTTCTGTCGAAGAACATTTGCCTTTTGTTGTTCATTGGAAACAGCATAAAGATGAGATCAGCAGATTTTTATTTCTCTTCTGACACCACGGCCAGCCAATCAGCCAATATTTTTGTTGGATTCCTTTGGATTCCTTCCCTCCTTCCATCTCTCCCTCCCTTTCTTCCTTTCCTGGCCAAAAAAAAAAAAAAATCTTTCCTTTAACAACCAAAGAATGATGTAATTGTGATATATGTAGCTTTATGGTCAGACATGACATACTACGGAGGGGCCCTTGAAGTCCAGAGGTACCCTCCTACTCCTCCTTCACTCTCTTCAGTAGTAAGATGCTTTACGGGCCACAGCTGAGCAGCCTAGCACAAAGTCAGGAACATGGCTCTGGTGCCAGGCTGCCTGGGTTCCAATCCTGGCTCTTCCACTGATCGGCTGTGTGCCTTTGACCACATCACCTAACTTCTCTGTGCTGTAGTTACCTCAGGCTTAAAATGAGGGCAGGATTAGTACCATTCCCAAGGGTTTTTATAAAAATTAAATGGATTAATTCATATACAATGATTAAAACAGCATCTGACACAAGATCATTGCTCAATAAAAAGCTTATAAGGTTTTAATTGAATGAATTATTTTATGTAATTCAACGAAAAGGGAAACTATATAGGAATTATCGTATTATGACAAAAAGCATCAATGTGAAGACTTGTTTGGAGTGTTGGGTCACAAGATTAATTCAAAACAGAGTTTTGTGCTGGGGAGAAAACTTTCATGACAAAAAAATCACGTCATTAAAGAACAAAAAATCACATTAAAAATTCACATCTAATAATATGAGAGTGGGGCTTTAGGAAAACATTGGCAATTTATTTTTATCCTTTTTTGAGTGTGTGTGCGATGCACGCATGCCAGGGGGGTGTATTATATTATTCAAACAAAACTACAAAAAATATAGTGAACTTTAAAAAATAATGCTTAAAAGAATAAAAAAAATAAGAATACCTGTCTACTTACCACCCAACTTAAAGAACTTAAAGAAACTTCAAAGAACACTATCGTATCTTTAGAGCTTCCTGGGTGCCCACCCCAGGAGCCCTCTCTCCTGTTGAGATAAACGTATCATACATTTTGGGCTAATCATCTTCTTGCTTTTTCTCATGGTTTTCCAATATACGGATGTAATGTTAGACATCATATTGTTTAGATTGATCTGTTTTTTAACTGTACCGTGATTTGCACTGATTTTAGTTATCAATATATTGGAATTCACTTCTAGCATCTTATTTTGTTCTTTGTTTCATTTTTTTCTATGTTTCGCTTTTTTCCCCCTCTCTTTTTTCGTATTGAGATCTTTTATTTTTTCATTTCCTTTGGTTTCATTTTCCCCCTTCCACTGGTTTGGAAGTTGTAGACTCTATTAAATCTCGACTTACATGTTTAACAAAGTATAAAGTTGGCCAGTGTTTGTCCTTCCTTCCCGTCAGCATAAGGACCTTGGAACACTCCCACCTGGATTTTTTGGAATTATACAATTTCATATAGAAAGGACTCTTCACATCAAAGTTGGTAGCTATAGCTTTTGATGTCTGGCTTGTTTAGTTTTTCTCTCTTGACAACACAGTAACCCTCTCTTGAGAATAGCAGAGAGAATAAAAATGTTACTGTTATGGGAAATACAGATCACTGGAGCTGGGTGGGGCCTTAAAGATTACCAGTGTTTTTCAAACTTTTGACCAAGCCAAATGAAAATTAAAGGAACTTTTAAAATAATGCATATTCTCTGGTCCCACATCAGACCCAATAGTCAGAATCTCGGGTGGGACACAGAAATCTGCAGGACTAAAAAGTTCCCTGGGTGATCATGATGCACAGCCAGTTTTGTAACCTATTTCTCCATGCTGACCCAAAATGGTTTAATCAAGCTGACTCCATAAGCAAAATTATAGATGCCATATAGACTTAGCAAAAAGCCATGGAAAAGAGAGAGGGAGCACAGTTTTTTCAAATGAGAAAATAAGCATCTCTAGAGATGAATATCTTCAATTTGCATTTGGGAAAATGTTTGAGCACATACGCAAAAATAAATATACAAAGAGTGGCAGCAAAAGTAGTCTACAGGCAAGGCATCCACAGTCCTCCTCTGCTGCTCTTTGGCTCGCCGTGCCAGGAATGCCTTCTCACCTCCTAATCTGAGGTCTGCTTTTCTTTCTAAGCTTAGTGCATACTCTGCCTTCTCCACTGGAGCTCTCCCATCTCTTCCACCACAGTGTCCATTTCCTCCTCTCAACTCCTGTAGCACTTTCTACCTATAGCATTCACGTGGCACTGGGCACATTACCTGCTTAATTCCTCTCTAGCATTTCCTGAGAACTCTGGGTCAGGCAGTGTGCTCAGGGCTTTACATGCACTTCCCCTGTAAAACTCACAGCCTTACAAAGTTGCTACTTTTATTATTATCCTAGACTAACATACAATAAATTTGAAGTTTAGAGTAGCTCAACAGTTTGTCCTAGGTGCACAAGCCAAAAAATAGAAGTTATCATTTGAACTCAGGCCTGACTTCCCCATGCAAACTCTTGAGCATTGAGCTATACTAGAGGTAGTTTTTAATACATACGTCTTGTGTCTCAGGTGTGTTCTAAGCTCCCTAAGCAGGTATGCTGTGCCTCATGTGTTTGTATTCTTAGAACTAAGTATCTAGCCCACACTCAGTAGCACAGGAGATGAGCCAGGTGAATGTGACTGAAATTTATTAATCACTTCAGGGATTGACAGGGACAGAACCTGGACCTGACGACTCTAACTCCTGTCAATGAGGGTCTCAGTCGAAGTGACACTCAGTTGAGCTGGTGCTGAAGGGCAAGAATGACTGTGCACAGGTGAGAAATAGCGTGAAGCATCTGGGTAATTCCAAGTGGTTCAGGATGGTTTTAACCCAGGAAGATGATTGAGGAAGTAAGGTAAAGTCTGAGAGGTGAACACAGGGCTAGATTGAGAAGGGCCCTGTGTGCAATAATCAAGAGTTTGGATTTATTACAGATCAGACACTAATAAGCCTTTTTTAACCAGGAGTTCATGCAGAAAATTAAGTCTGAATGCCCTTAGGCACCCATTGTATGTAATGAACTAACTTCTCTTCTAAGCATCTAGAATGGTGTGAGTTATGTACCACCCTTGAAAAGATTAAGAAAATCTTTCTATGTTCCTTGGTTCATAAAGGAACCCCACTGAGAATTGCTAGATCAAAGTTTTTCCAGACACAGTAGCAATTCAGTGGGTTGTGAAATCAATTTAGTGAGTTGCAACCAGCGATTTTTTAAAAAAAATGAAATAGAAACAGAAAACATCAGAGTGCATCAAGTAATAGTAAGGGCATGTTCCATAAAACTTGTTTCAATTACACAGAAAAATAAGTGTGTGAACTGGGCTGTGATACAAAATGTACACTATTTCTTACTGTGGGTACTGCTTTTTTTTTTTTTTTAAAGTTTGAAATCCACTTCAATAGATCAGTGGTTTTCAAACCATTTCTTTTTTTTTTAAGTAGAGGAATACTTTTCCCAAAGGAAATATCTCGTTAAACTTCAAAATCAGAGCTGCTCTGACTAAAGAAAGAGACGGAGGAGAGGGGGTGTTAACTAAAGCCCTATGTAGCAGAATGGGCTCTCATCTTCATACTCCAAACACCCTCTCCCCATACACGTCCACACACTGAGGCCCCTCTGAGGGACTCTTGGCAACTCTACTGACCACTACTTTAAAAATACTGTTATTGAATGGTAGTTCTTCGAAGATTTTTAATCAGGGATGTGAACAAATCTTATATTTTAGAGTAAATTTTTATCTAAGTGCTCAGGACGGACTAGAGGTATTTGTGGAACTAGAAGTCAACTCCAGTCTGCATCAAAATCATCTGGGCTGCCTGCTTAATATTCTGATTTCTTAAAACCTAGTCCTGCCAAATGAGAAAGTGAGGAAGGTGTGATCTAGGCATCTCCATGTTAGCCATCTCCCTAGGGAATGCTTTTGCGTGGTAAAATTTGAGTACTGCTGGCCTGCAAAGGGAGATTCATCTGAAGACTAGCTAAAATCCAGGTGAAACTATCAGGATCTGAAAAAAGCAGTGGTTGTGGAGATGGTCAGAGAAGCTGTAAGGGGGAAGGAAATGTGAGACCTGATGAATATTTGGATCTAGGAAGTGAGGGGAGGAAAGACTCCAGGGTGAGTGGGTAGCATGTGGCTATGATAACTAAGCAGGGAGACAGGAGGGACAGGTTTAAGAGGAGACAGTGTTCAGTTTTAGGCATCAGGCACTTAGAGTGTCTGTGGCTTCTCCAGTTGGAGATGTGTAGAAGGCAGCCAGGAGCATGGGTCAGAACTCTGAGAGCTCCAAATTGAAATGCTGATTTGGGAGTCATCAGCAGTAGGTGGTAACTGAGGCAAATGTCCTTCTATTAATAAATATTTACTAAGCAATTACCTACCATGTGCTAGTGAATGCCTTTATGAGGACTCAGTTTGTATAACAAACCTATTTCCTTCTGTGGCCAAGTGACAGGTCAGTTATATTGATAAGAAGCAATTTTTTTTTATTTTAATGATGTTCTACATTCCTTCAGTACCTGTTTAAGAGACTCACTAATAGTTCAATTAGACTATAAATAAGCTTTCCTCTAGTAATTAAATAAACTAGTTTGAGAGTTGTACTCAAAAATCAATAACGTGAGTTCAATGTTAATTTTTAAAGTTAAGTGAATAGCATGCTAGAATATTCAATTACAGCACTGAGATGATATCTTAATGACTGCAATTTAAGGTAATCAGAAACATCAAATTAAGGAATGTCTAACACTTTGGAAGGTACAATTATATTGGTGACAAGCGAAGTAAAAGATCTTGCAAAGTACCTAGTCAACATTATTGTTTACATACTCGATAACAACCCCCACACCCAAATTTGGAAGTTTACAAAATACCTCAAATAGTACCTTGGTGAATACCTCATCTCCACATTATAGGAAATAAGAAGGGAGAACACCCTCCCATCTGGAGAAGCACCCTTCACTGGAACGTATTTAAGATGGTTCAGCATTCCTGGGGTTTTGGTGATGGATAAGGTCTCAGTTTACACAAGGCCTGTTCAACATTCAAACTTTTCTATTCCTTCTATTTAGACTTGCAGCCATATTTCCATCTGTTTAAAAATTCACACATGCAATTAATCAAAGAACGTTGACATATGAGTGGCACACAAATAAAACATCCATAATGATAAAAACAATCACGTAGAATACTCTCACTTTGCCACATGGACTACTAATTTCATCACAAGGGAGGATATATTTTAAATCTGTTCACTGTCTTAATCTTTGTTTTTAGTCCAGGAAAAAGCAGCAGGGCACAAGCAATAATACTAACCTAGTAAGCCGCAGGGCCATCTGATTTACTAAAATAGAAAATTATAACTCTACATAAAAGTCAGGTTTGTGGACCTCAACCTAGGGAGGCATTCTTCTTATTTGAAAAGGAATTTTTAAAGTAGAATTTCAAAGTAAGCATCTACTTTTGGTTAGAAGCATTATAATGTGTAAGTCACACATTAACAGAATATTTAAGTGAAAATGCTCTTACGACATTAAAGAATTTGTTTAACAATTTAAAAATTAACACTTTCAGATGTGGTATGCAGTCAAATTCATATTCATTTAGCATTTCAGAAGTCCAATAACTCAGAAAATAGATTGTCACCGATGTGAAAGGAATGAAAATATACACCTTTAGTAAATCTGATTTATATTTTTACTGTAGAAAAAAGGACACCAAGATGCTTCAAATAGATGATGAGCAGTTAAACATTCCATAAATGATTCATTTAACACTATCGTTACTAGTGTTGGGTATTTTGACTCTAACAACTGGTTTTAGATACTTGTTTTAAACTTGTGGCCAGCTTTCCAGCTTTGAAAAACTGAAAATCTTGATACCAAGGGCAATAAAAGATAAAATTTAAAGCAGAGGCATACCAGCTAGAACCACTGCCTAGACCTAATTCTAGTGTTTAACTACAGGCAACAGCTGGAAGTTATAAACCATGTAAGAAAACACCATCTCCACCTCCAGATTCCACTTTAAGTGTTATGTGTACTAAACAGCAATGCCTCAATACTTCACTAGCTATTATATCAAGGGCTCTGTGGCAGAGCTACAGAGAAAAGGTGTGAGATCAGCTGTGTGTACTGACAGAGTAGCAGCTATTTGCCTGGTATAATCTTAAAGAATGACAGATCCCAACTAACCTTCCCAAGGATTGGACATTCTTCCTGCTGAAGTCACTCCTTTGGATTCAGAAGTCCTCTGTTGCAACTTACCTAGAAATGCTAACATATTAGGCTGTGGGCATGTAATATTTAATCACATAAACTGTCATGAGCATAGAACAGTGCCCTGGGGGAATGTATAAGAGATGTCTCTAATGGGGTTGAAACATTTTGAAAGGACTACAGCATTGGGCATTGCACAAGAAACTTGACCTACCTAGGACACAACATTCTGGACATAACAGATGGCATAAAATATCATTCTGAGCTCAGAGGAAAGGAGTATGAATGAAGTGGCAGGCACTGGGGTAGCGGTTGAAACCATGCTGCCTTACAGAGAGATGGGCCTGGAAGAACTATAGCATGGTACAGTTCAGGAATGACATGGTCCTGACACAGGATACCACTTTCCATCCTCCACTCATGATTAAGAAACCATGACACTATTTGTTTCTGGGCTCAGATATGACCTAGAATCTCTTGCAGCACAATGCTCCAAGCAGTCTCTGGCAATCAAATAGAATCAGCCTTGAAATGAAACCTACTTATCCCCATTATAGTAAAATGAGCATAGGCTTGAAATCAAGCAGACCCTGAGTTGAAATCCTGGTTATGACTAAGGGCAAATCAGATCACCTTCCTGGGCCTCCATTTCTTAGCTATGGAAGGAGCATGATGATATGACCCAACAGGATTTTTGTGAAAATGGAATGAGATAATATGTGGAAAGTGTCCAACACAGAAAGCACTCAGAGAATATTAGTTGTGACTACCCAGATAGTGTTGGTTACTTCCTCTGCTGTCCTTCTTAGGCAACTTATAAGCAGATCTGGGAGAGTATTTCAGTTGCTGCTGTGTGCCCACACATGTGTGCGCACACAATTTCTCACACTCTGCCCTGTTTCTGTATCCATCTGGCTGTCCTGCTAGACTGACACCCTCAGGGGAGATCTCTTTTGTGCCTTATTCAACTTAGATTACCCAGTGCTTAGCCAAATGCTATACACCTAGTGGTGTTTAATAAATGTTTGCTGAATGAAGGAGCAAGGAGTCTTGATTCAAGTTCAGATCCTGGACTAGAGTGTGAGTTTTAAAAGGCCATTCTATTTCTCTGCTCCCAGTATCTCCATCTATATGTCACTGGGATTGGATGAGAATGCCCTGTAAGGGTCCTGTCTGCTGTTACATTTGATGGTTGTGGGGTTCTCTCATAGCTTCCTTTAGTCACAGCCAACATGCAGTGCTAGGAACTGAGGAGAAAGACAAACATGGATGCTCTGCATTGTGCAATGTGAGAGAATCTCGTGGTAAAATTTAAGACGCATGTCACCTGACTCCAGCAAAAACTGGGATCTTGATGGAGTACAGGAATGCTCTCAGATATTCAATATCTAACATGCAATGGGCATTTGTTAAGTGTCAGGCACTGTGGCTCATCACTGGGAATAGCAAGATAAGGAGACAGAGGAGTAAATGATTCCAGGCAAGATATACCCAAGATGATGTAAGGGCACGCTGCCTAACTGTCTTCACAAGGGCTGAATTTAATGTTCTCTGCAAGGCCACCATGTTCTGTGTTTTTAAATGGACAGGAATGTTAAGAATCTCTCTGGTTGGGCATTATAGGAGGCGATGCAAAGGGGCTCACTGAACATCCGCTCCTTCTCCAGGTCTCCAGTACTGTACTTTATCTCTCTGATCTTCTATTCTAGTCACAAATCCATGATTGCTACACTATGTTTATAAGCTCCCTCTGTTTAAAAATGCACCTCTGTTTAAAAATGTTGCCAGGTTTGATGATGACGCTGAGGTTCCTATCTCAAACAGAGAAAGGCCCAGGAGGCCGGGCCTACTATCCTGCCTTGGTCATCAGTACGGTGCGCAAACCCTGAGGATCTCAATCCCCGCTTACTGTGGGTACTCAGAAAATCTGATAATGAATAAAAGAACAAATGTATAAACAATATTCCAAAGTTACAGAGCAATCACACTAAGTAGTAATAGAACCCTTCAGGCTATTTAAGTGATGTGAAAACCAGTATAAAAACTCCATATGGACATGACTTTCCTGAGTGTAAGGTCTTGCTGGGTGTGCACTAGAGAATATAATGATAACGGTGCTTTGCGGAGTTGTGCAATGTGAAGAAACGTCACTACATCACTACTCTAGAGCTCGAGTTATTTTACATATATTTTTGAATTATGTATAATAGCAACATATAATATATACATATTATATGTATATATATACATATATAGTGCTCAACAGCTATATCTTAAAAAAAGAATAAATCTGATTTTTACAGATAGTCTGAAGAATTTCACTCATTTCATCATGCTAGTATTTGTCATTTTTGATGAAATCATATCAGAAAAATTCAACAAGAACTTTCAGCTTTTAGGTCACAAATACTCTGGGAATACTATAGGTTTTCAAGATTATTTTTCCTTTCTAGCTGACATTTTCTTTGAATGGTTGACAGAACTTATTTTTTTAATCTTAAATTTAGTAAACCATAAAATCTTTAAGTCTTTACATTTAGTAAACTCAGCTATATCTAGGAATTTTATAATGCAGCTAACACCCCTGAAAATCATGATTCATCCAAACAGTGACATACTATACAGCTATTGAAAATAATAATATTGATATGAAAGATGTTTATTATTTATTGTTTTTAACCAAAAAAAAAAACAGGTTACAAAACACTATGCATAGTATGATTCCATTCTGACTACATTAATTCACTAAATAAACTGATTGATAAATTAAGCAGGCATCTGTGCATATGTGTGCTTAAAAAAGATCCTGAAACAAATATCCCAAAATCCTAGCACATATAATCTATAGGCAACATGATTCAAATGATTTTTACCTCTTCCTTACATCTTTTATTGTTCTCTTAATTTTTTGCCATAAGCATGTCTTTCTTTTAAGTAATACATCTTCACTAAAACTACTCCTGTTGCCATTTTGGGAACAAATACCTTTGCATGCACTAGATTTCTACGGCAAGAAACACTATAAGATTGATACAAGTTAAGAAACTCTAAAGTCATGACTGACTTTCCCAATTAATCTTTTAATGGCAGTTTCACTTAATTTTATCTACAGTTTACTAAATAGAAAAATGCACCGCAATGCATTTTGTATGAGGGAGTCATTCAACGGTAAAACCACAACATAATCTTTGAAGTGGAACCAATAAAAATCAATTGTGTACAATGTGTGCCTTGTTATTGCAGTATTAATTTAAAATTTGTTCTATTAGTTGTATATTAAATCACAAAAAGCACAGGGAAACATATTGTACTATACACTGAGCCAAAAGTCACAAATGATCATTTTCCCCTTCTCTCCAAGAGCACAACTCTGGCTGGTCCCCATTGGAAAACAGGGGCTGGGGGAGATGGAAGTCACTACAGATTATGTATTATGGGGGTAGGGGTTGTTAAATTCTTTCATTTATTATCAGAGGATGAAGGTCAATGACTCCATCTTCCAGATAACCAAAGCTTAAAAACCTTTAAAATAGAAGCATACCCTCCCTTCCTTGAGAAGTGGAGCCTACTGCTCACACCTCTGTCTTTTCTTGACCAACTGTCACCACCATGAGCATGTCACCCCCAGAGTGGGCGATATGACTGGAGAGCTGCCCTTCACTTGTGCCCTCATGATGCAGCCATACCCGTGGTCCCTGTGCCCCTAACAGGCACTGCTGACCATTCAGTTTGCTAATTTACAGTTGACTTAGAAAGCAGATGACCGCATCTGGTAAGAACTGCAACTAAATAAAGTCAACAGAGCTCTGAAGAATGACATCATGAATAAAGCACATTGAAAGGCTTAGAGACAACTATTTGTGTTCAGAGGACATTTTCTACCATGGGTGTAGGTGCTAAAAGATTGTTTTATAGATTAAATAAGTCCAGGGACACCAAGAACACACAGTTCATATCCACATGGGCTAATTTTAAGAATTCATTCTTTCTCATGAAAGATGGACAATACTCCACCATTGTGACTACTGAAAATCAAACAAACAAAAAACAGCTAAACCAAAAGAAGAAGAGGGGGTGGAGGGGAGGAGGGAGAAATAATTATTTAGCAAGTATTTATAGCTCAGTTACAAAGTTTCATCTGAGATCTGGACACTACCGGGAAAACACATTCATCTCTCTCTCTCTCTCTTTTTTTTCTATTGCAGGCCCTCACTAAAAGCAGGCTAAGTGAGCGATGGACACACACACAGATGTAGAGATATGCTGCTGTGAGTGTACCCTGATAATTCTTAAATAGTCAGCTTCTCCAATACTGCATTTTGCTTTTTTATGCTTTTTGCTGCCAGGAGGGGAAAAAATTCGAATGGCAATCATTTATAGTTTTAAATTGGCAGCAGTCTGATTCAGAGCAGCATTCAAATTCTATTGAAATATCTTCCACTTGTGACTTCTGATCATATCTAACTTTTCCCTAAGCTTGTTAGAATTGGTATTTATTCTAATTTTCTTCAAAGTGATGTAATATAACACTGTCTTTGTTTTCTAAAGGCTTTTTAAAAGTTTACTTTGTAATATACAAAGCAATGTTAGTAAGAGCACAGTGCTCAATCCCAAGAATATGGCAATAATTACTTTTTACCCTTTGAACTGGCAGGTCATAAGGCCAGAGGTGCGAGCATGGACTTGTTTTCTTCCTCTCCTTGTTCCTAAGCTCCTTGGCTGTCCCATGGCCACCCCCTCCAGGCCTCTTTTCTCACATGTTCTTCTTTATACACTTTTCTTCATTTTCTCTTTTTCCTCAGGAATTCTGCTTCTTGCAGAATTTCCTCAGATATTCTGTAAATATTCTATTTGTGATAGCAACCTCTCTTAATTTAGTAACCCCTTTGAACTTCAAGAACACTCCATTGATTCCATTGTTCAGATTATGGGTACGACATTGCTGTCCAAGGACTTCATGCATAATCCAACAAGTATTTATTAAGCCCCCACCAGGAGCCAACGTTAGTGCTAATACTCAGGACACAGGTAAACAAGATGGACATGAGCTCTTCCCTAGCACCTGACTTCCTCAGCTCCTTTTCATAGTTTAGGTCTCAGCTCCAAGGGGATATCTTTGGAGAGGTTTTTCTTTGTGCCATGTAAATTAATACCCAGCCCAGCAGCCATTCCCTAAAATATTATTCTGCTTGATTTCCTTGTATCCCTCTCTGCAATTTTTTTTTTTTTTTTTTTTTTTTTTTTGCTTATTGGTTGATTGGTGGATGGATTGATTTGCTTTTTGTCATTACCCTAGTTGGAAAGTAAACTTGAAAGTGGGAACTTTGCCCATTTAATTCATCTAGAGGTAACTTCCATGTATAAGGTGCTGTCTAGTTCCCCTCTAGAGATTCTGATTCCATGAGTCTGGAATGGGGCCCAAGAATTTGAATGTCTACCAAATTCTCTGAGGGACTCCCATGCTCAGGTGAAAGTGGGAGGTGCTGGAGTTTATACAAACCCAGATCTCTAACTCATCTGCCAATCCAAAAGTTTGATGACCATATCTGCTTCCATCCCACTGTGGGATCCTTCTGCTAGGAAGGAAAAGATCTTCAACTGTGATACACTCTGGAGGCTCTTGGGAAATGTCACTTGGTAATAATGAATGGCATGGGCCTATAGGAACTTACAAAAGATCACGTCAGTCAGGCTCATGCTCAAGAAAAAAAAAATGGTAAGGCACAATTTGGTTAATAATGTACTATAATGACGAAAATATGCATCCAGAAAAAGAAAAAGAAACACTCTTTGGAAATGTTTTCTTAATTTGCACTGAGCAAACTTTCAAAGTTTGACAGAAGGAATATGAGGGAATGGGAGTAGAGTAAGGAGGAAAGCAGAAAGCGGCCAAGTAAGGCAGAGGACATAAATAGAACATGTATAAGAGACAGCAAGGGAAGGAAAGCAAGGACAGACAGGGCAAGCAGTACAGGGCGATGCCATTAAGGTATCCCATAAAAACCCGAAGAGAGAAGAAAGGCTGCTCTTTGAGTTAAGCCCTCAACCAAAGTCACCATACAGAGATATTGTAGTCCCACACCTGTAAAACCTTTACTGAAATCTGACTGAAGGCAATGACATCTCAGAAGAAAGAATGTCACCGGAGCCAGGGATGTCTAGAAGGACCCTATGCAATTCCCAGGGAGAAAAGTTCTTGGTCAAGGTCAACCTGTTCTCGTAGCTAGTTCTGCTAGTTCTCTCTCGTTCTGATTCTCTTCAAAAGGCAACCTGTTTGTAACTGGACTTGCCAAGTATTGAGTATCTGAACTCCTTGGTAATTATACTTCCTCTGTCCAAATAAACACGCCCCCATTCCAGTTAATTAGATACATAAACAGACTACCCAGAGACAGGGCAAGCCAAAGGGAGGAGGGAAAGAGGCAAATTAGCTGGGACTTCCATCCCTCATTCATATTCTTCCTCCTGCCACTGTTAATGCCTGGTGACCTCCTCCTCATTCTTTGAAAGCCAGCTCACTTGTCACCTGTGTGCGAATCTTTCCCCAGTCACTCTCCTCTAGGTTGAGTCCAACGTTTCCCATTCCACAGCACACTCTTACACACTTATTGTCAAATCAGATACCATCAGTGGATTATCCATCTGGCCAGCTAGACTGAGAGCACCTCAAGGGCAGAAACACTGCCATTTTCAGCTTGGATTTTCGACACCTGATCAGACCAGACGCTTAGTAGGTGTTCAACTTTCAGAGAGGCAGCAAAGGAAAGCTGAAATGTCAGAGAGGAAACACAGAGGTAATGGAATGGAAAATTAAATGTGCTCCCTGCCAGGATTTCATGTAGAATGGCTCACTCCATTCTACTGTTTTCAGACGGAACATTTCTCAAGCAATCAACCCTGATCACCTTTACCTTACCCCCGGGCAAATGCGAGGCTACAGCACCACAGGAGACCCACTTTATGGATTTACTCAATAGCCAATTCTGTTCCCAAGCTTTGCAAGCTGATTGTTTGGAATTCAAAAGACACTATCATGAGCACACTGATACATGTGGCTCATAGGGCACTTAGGAAAGCCTATTTCACCTATATATAGTTGATTACTTTATAGGCAATTCCAGACTTAGAACAATTTAATTTGTAGTTTAAAAAAAAATTCTTGGCCAGTTAAACCTTTTTTACCCTTGCTAATGTTTAGAAGAAGTTCCAAAAGTCTCCTCTCAAACAGTGAACCTCACCTTGTGTGAGACCCTGCCAGTTCCTGCAAGGAGTAGAACTGGTCTGTCTTTGGTTTTTTGGTTATTTCTTCAAGACCCCTCAGTCCTTCCCACCACTCCTGATATCTCTTACACCTCCGTATTTGAAAATAAGCTGGCCTGGTGCAGTGGCTCACACCGTAGTCCTAGCTACTTAGGAGGCTGAGGTGAGAGGATGGCTTGAGCCCAGGAGTTTGAAGCTGTAAGGAGCTATGATTGTGCCACTGCATTCCCATGTGGGTGACATAGCAGGACTCCATCTCTAAAAAAATAAAATAAGCCAAATTAAATCTTAAAACATATAACTACCCTCTTTACATTGCATTATATATATATCATCATATATCATATATATCATATAACAATTTACAAAATATTTATTGTTGTTTACACATTTTGACTTACTCATCTCATTTGACTACTTAAATAGTACAAGTAACTTTTTAAATAGAGGATTCTTTCAAACTATGACATAATGTGGTTTCAATATATCTGATGTATCCAAATGTGGAAACCCATGGCCTGTAAGAAGAGCCTCACACTCTTCTGTTCTAGGTTATAATAAAACGTTCAAAATTAGAGGAGAACCCCTAGCTGCCCAGCCACCTGTGATAACAGTTTCTTTGGGTAAACTGTATCATATATATATATATAATATACATATATCATACATATATGATATACATATATATATATACACACATATGCACATACACACACATACTTTAAAGATACAGGCTTGCTTTATGTTATATATAGGTAATTCAGAGTCAATAAAATAGAATATTGGTAAAAACTCCCATTAGAGAAATGTTGAACATTCCAGACTCTTGGGTGGAAACCTAGTTCCCTATTAAGACATTGCTCCTACTGAAAATTTGACCGAACTGAGTTTCTATCATTTTCTTCTGGAAAGCATGCAGCAAGCTCAAATACAAGGACCACCTGCGCTAACAGTGCTGTACTGCCGATCCACCATGATCCCCCACGAAAGGGCAGTCACAGTTACAATCTGTGTTGTCAGCCATAAACAGGCCCCCTCCCCATCTAGGAACACTGATATAAAATTCTAATGTGCATTTTCTTGTTTCTTCCTACAATCATCAACTCATTTATGAATCTCTGTAATAAGTGTCGGGAAGTCAAGATGGTTTGAAAGACAATACCTTTCCTCCAAGTGTTTGCCCTCTAGTAAGTCAAAATGGGCACACACATAGAAATAACTGTCATAGGCAATAAATGACACATATTGTATAAATGGAATAGGCGAATGAGTCAGGAACTTAGAGAAGATATCACAGGTTGAGGTAATTGAAGACGACATGATAAAGAAGATAGGGTGTAGGGGCAGGGTCATGAAGGAGTTGCAGGAATTGAACTATTAGGGAAAAGGAGTATTCTCAATTTGTCCCTCTACCCCTCTGGCCAAATATGTAACATATAAATACACCAAACACCTTCGAGATCAGGCACCATCCCTTGGTGCCGTAGTAACAACAAGCTGGGTCACCTTCCAGTGCACGTTTCACCCAAAGAAACTGTTATCACAGGTGGCTGGGCAGCTAGGGGTTCTCCTCTAATTTTGAACGTTTTATTATAACCTAGAACAGAAGAGTGTGAGGCTCTTCTTACAGGCCATGGGTTTCCACATTTGGGTACATCAGATATATTGAAACCACATTATGTCACAGTTTGAAAGAATCCTCTATTTAAAAAGTTACTTGTACTATTTTAGTAGTCAAATGAGATGAGTAAGTCAAAATGTGTAAACAAAAATAAATATTTTGTAAATTGTTAATCAGTGAAGAAACTTCTAAACCACATAAATATAAAGGCTAAGAAAGATTAACGCTTAAATGGTTCTTTCTTTGAATTAGAGATCGTCTGCTTTGGTTCAGGATACAGGAGAAATCAAACACCCTAAGTTCAGTAATGGGAACGTGGTATACCATCTCTCTTAAACTGTGGAACTAAAGATATCATGACACTCAAATAACAAAAAGCTCACATTCATGTCCTTTAGACTTTCCTGCTGCCCCCTAGGAAAAACATTAAAACTTCCTGTTTCAAAATATTCCTTTTTATTTTCCTGAAACAAATGTGTTTATTATTGTAAACAATGACTCATTTGGCATTTTTACCTAATGATATAGACAAACTGAAAGATTTACTAGTTAGGTAAACTTGGGTAATACTCCCTAAGCCTTGTTTCCTCATCTGTAAAACAGAGACAATAAATCCCCCTCCTGGGATTGGTAAGGACTGAGCGAGAGAATGGATATAAGCCCTCCAGCATTGGGTCACCGTCATGATCATTAGCTTGCTTTATTACTCCAGGAAAGGCCTCGTGGGGTCTGATATTTGAAAACCTAGAACAGCATCGGTCAGAGGGGCAAATGGCACAGTGTTTTAGCAGCGTGGCTTCTAGAGCCAGACCGCTGGATTCAAATCCCAAATCTATCACTTCCTTATAGGTAACCTTAGGCAAGGTGTATTTAACCTGTTAGCCCACCTGTACCTCATTACCTTATCTGTCACACGGGGATAATAAGAACACCCAGCTGCAGGGGTGGCTGTAAGGGCTAAATGGCTTATGATACCTAAAGTGTCCAGAACAGTGCTTGGTGCAGAGTAAGCCTCTATCTGTCAGCCATTCTTGCTGTTGACACTGCTCTCCAGCTTTAAAGATGGTCAAACTCAAACTCAAGAGTCTGGGAAGAGCTGGAAAAAATGCTTAGACACGAGAGCTAAGTGAGATGCAGAAACTAGCTATTCTTTTCTAACTAATTCTGGAGGGGTGTTGACTTTTCAAAAAATAAATTTAGTCATTTAGAACAAAGCTGTCCAGATGGAGTTAAGTGAAAAAGACCTGCGTGGTAGAAGTAGTGTGCTGAGACTGAGCCATGCAGTGTGTCTCTATTAAAGCCTAGCCATGCTGCAAATATTTTTTAAAAATTTTCATGTCCACTTTCTCAACTAGATCATATAGGTATCAGGGATTGGGACTATATATTGGTACCATTTACTTTCATACTTCCAGTATGTAGCACAGTGCCTGTCATAAGGCAGGCATTTAATCAATATTTATTAATGAGTAAATGATCAAATGAGTGCATAAATGAACAATCTGAAGATACAGGTAGCTATTTCCCCAAGTGCAAGAAGACCTTTAAATACTAATAAGAGTAGAATTTGACCCTTAGGTAACCAGGTTGGAGACGATAGCAAATGAGAAGATAGATGAGCAGAAGTGATGTTACTATACCTGGAAAATCAACTTTACTGTTCCTATGGGTCCATTTTACTGAACAGAGGTTTTATTATGAATCACCTTGTTTGCTTGGCAATTCTAGTTAGTCCAGCCAAAGCAAATGTATTTCATGGGGCCTTTGGCAAGACTGCTTTCCTTTTCTTTGTATGTGTGTACAAGATGATTCATAACACATACCCATGTAATTGAAGTATTTAATGTTTGTGCCTAGCTAAAATGAGATCAGGTCATCAGCCCATTCTTATACAAAGTCTTAGCAATAAATCTCATAAACTGTTTTTTGGTAGAATCACAGACTCTGAGACTTGCAAGAATTCTTACAGGGTGCCTATCTATCCTCCCACTCTATGAAGGAATCCCCTAAATGGCACTACACACAAGGGTCATCAACATCTACTTAACACTTCCCACAAGGACTTCACCTCACTGCACCAGGCTGCCAGGTCCACTGCAGAGGAGCTCCGATTTTTAGAAAAGTCTTTTGACAATGAGTTAAAATATTCTTTCTGTAACTTCTACTTGGTCCTAGTTTTAACTTCCAGACCTCTGAAATAAAATTCCTTTTCCAGGTAACAATTCTTAAAATGTTTTAAGAGAATTGCTATGTCATTTCTTCTCTGGTGACACTCCCCCAATTCCTTCATCTGTTCTGGATCCTTCAAAACTCCAGTTACCTTCCTACAGGTGCTTACTACACTGACTAAATTCCTCTTAAAATGTGATGGCCAGAATTGGCCTTAAGATGCACCGTGGACTGATCTGTTTCCAAAGAAAGCAAAACAATTTGTTCTCCAACTCTGGATTCTACACCTTTGATTAACGTGCCTGCAACTGCATGTCCCTTTTTGGAGAACCACGTGGGCATGATGTAATCTACCCCACAGCATTTCTGGTTCATAGAAACCCTTAAGTCTTTTGTTTTCCTTGAACATGCACTGTTATCAAGAAGGTCTTACTCATCTTTGTGGAGTTGTGATTCGCAAATGTGTGTACGTGTGTGTACGTGTGTGTACGTGTGTGTGTTTTATCTAAACAATGAGCATATCTAGTCTCTTAAAATGCTGTTCTTGCTTGTTTTGGCATAACATTTGACTCTGTTGATGGCTATTTAGATCTGGAACCTCCTACTTAACCTATTAGCTATTCTTCCCACATATTTTGCCACTTACAAGCAATTTTTAAAATATCTTCTACAAGTCCAATATTACTATTTTGCTCAAAAAATATAGACCAAGTACAAATTTCTCTGGCACTCCTTGAGATTCTTGCTAGATTGACGTCAATCTTGTCTTAATCACCAAACTTCAGGTGTAACTGTTCAGTTATTGATGAATCTCCTAACTGTTCTAGCACCCTGCCCACACTTCTTGGTCAACAGAATATTGTGTCCAATTATCAAAGGCCTTCTGGACATCCATATACTACATACTTTCTAGAGCATTTTCTTTATTTAACTAGCAACCTTATCACGAAATGTAAACTGAGTTAATTTGTTTAATTTACCTGGTGTTGTATGAATATGAATGCCCCCCCAACCCCGGCCTTTTTTTTTTTTTTTTTTTTTTTTTTTACTTAGAAACCCATTCTACATGGCTGGGTGTGGTGGCTCACACCTGTAATCCCAGCACTTTGGGAGGCCAAGGCGGGCAAACTGCTTGAGCCCAGGAGTTCAAGACCAACCTGGGCAACATGGCAAAACTCTGTCTCTACAAAAAAATATAAAAATTGGCTGGGCATGGTGGCACACGCCTGTAGTTCCAGCTACTCAGGAGGCTGAGCTGGGAGGATTGCTTGAGCCCAGGAAGTCATGGCCTCAGTGAGTCATCATCGTAACACTGCACTCCAGCCTGGGCGATACAATGAGATCCTGTCTTTAAAAAAAAAAAAAAAAAAACCCATTCTGCAATTTTGCTGAGCATCTGTCATCAATCTGTCATCAAACATTAAAATAGTTAACCAATATAAATTCATGTCTAATATAAAACCACTCATGTATAAAATATTTCCAATCTTCTGAATGTGGTTAGAAAATGAAATTTAAAGTTCTACTGTTTAAAACTGACATGTTCCTTTCTTCTCAAATATACATACACTATGTCCTGGGGAAGGATAATAACATTTCATTTTCAATCAATTAGAATAACTTATTTGGAATTTAATTTAGAAAATTAGAACAAAATCTTAAAATCATAGTTCTCTCTGAAGCTGAGATGGCCTTTCAGGAAGACCAAAACAAAACGAAATGACAGTTCTCAAATTTAACAGTTATTTCTGTCCTTTCTACTTGCCTTATTTTATAGATGAGAAGACTAAGGCTAAGTAAATATTAGCAAATAATATAATGAAAGCTACTCTTATCCTGCAAATTAAAAGCCCTATATTATTTATTTTTGTTTTAAATGGATACATTGAATTGTACACATTTACTATTTACAATTGGATGTTTTGATACATATATACATTGTATAATGATCCAATCAGTGTAGTTAGTATACCCAAAAGCCTTATATTCTTAAGAAAAAAATAATTCTATCACTAAAGGAAAAAACCTTACTTTATCAATTTTTTTTTTTTTTTTTGAGACGGAGTCTCGCTCTGTTGCCCAGGCTGAAGTGCAATGGTGCAATGGCTCACTGCAACCTCCACCTCCTGCATTCAAGTGATTCTCCTGCCTTAGCCTCCTGAGTAGCTGGGACTACAGGCACGTGCCACCACACCCAGCTAGTTTTTTGCATTTTTAGTAGAGACAGGGTTTCACCATGTTAGCCAGGGTGGTCTCGATCTCCCAACCTTGTGATCCACTCACCTCAGCCTCCCAAAGTGCTGTGATTACAGGCGTAAGCCACCGCTCCTGGCTACTTTAATTTTTAAAAACCACACTTGATATAAATATCACACTTTAACTATTTAAAGAAAGAAAATTCCCCTAGGCTAATCCCACATAGCCAGCAGGTATGCTTCCCTGCAGGTTCTGAGCCAGTCTGGCGCCAGCAAGAATTTGGAGTCTTTTCCCACTATAGAAAAAAAACAAGACAACATCACCTCTGAGAGAGTCAACAGAGGAGTGTATACACTGCCAAACTTAAGGCAGAAGTTTCTCATTATAAAACATGGAAATACAGTGCATTAGCGAAGTCTTTATTATATATGTTATTACACCTACACACAAATAATATTCGTAAGTTTGTTGACACTGAAAAGAAAGTCTGAAATGCTAATAATGGTGGTAATGAGATAAAGAAACAGAAGGGCAGTAAGGCTAGAAGAGTTTCTGCAGGTTGTAATCAAACTTCACTTTCTTTTATATACCACTTCTTTTCTGGACCACTGCAAAATCAAAGGGCATATGGTTTCCATCTCTGAAAAGAAATGTATGTTCCTATTTGCACAAAACCAGGGTATCTGTTATTTGGAGCTAGAAGAAAAATGATACAATTCAGAAATGGTATCCTTAGATTATACATAATTCATTTCTAGGACATCTACTTGTGAAACATCCTGGGGTTGTTTAACTAGATGGCTCCTATGGTTCCTACTAGTATAAGGTGATGTGATTAAAACATCTCCTTAGAACACTAGAGCTCTGCAAAACACAGTTCTAGCATGTATTGGGGCATAAAGAGCACAGGCCAGCTCCTGGAGATACAAGCTGTACTCACCTCCCACAAAAGTAGTCCTTGGGAGTTGGGGACAAGCAGGGGATCCTTGCGGCAAAAGGTATCTGACGGTGAGGATCACTGTTGCCAACAGCCCTGTGCCAATACTCTAGCCACTAGCCTCTGTGCATGAATGCTAAGAAAACTGTGCCAGCCAGCATTGACACGGGGATCCATGGTGGATTCTTTCACAGATCACCCTCTTGCATGGTATACTCCACCATCTTCTCATGGTCCCATTCTCAAAGATTACAGACTGCGCTCATATATGGGCTACATGCTTTGAGTTACAGTGAACAGTATCACTGTACACCCAGTTGTCCAGGATAGAAATTTGGGTGTCATCCTTGACTTCCCTCTCCCCATCCCAACATGTGAAAAATCAGTAAGTACCATTGACTCTGCCTCCTCAGTTATCTCCCTAATCCATCCATTTCTTTCTAACTATTCTATCCCTCTGATGGTGATTACATCAGACCACTATCATCTAGAGTCTGAATTAGTTTAATAGCCAAATGGCCTTCTTGCCTCCAGTCTCAACCTCTCTAATTCATTCTCCATAGTGTGGTCAATCGTCTTTATATTAAATATAAGGTAAGTCTGACAGGACTATCTCCTTGCTTCAAAGTCTTCCAGATAAGGGCCAAAGGACACAGCCGGACAGGCAGGTGTTCATGACTTCTCCCCGACTGACCCGCCCACCTCTCTGCTCCTCTGACTAACCTCTCTTTTAACCCCTTGTTCCTGTCTTGTCATTTGCAGTGCCCCGGACTGGCCCTGCCATCTTTCATTTCCGGGCTTTGTCCCTGCAGCTACCTTTGCCTTCAACATGCCTTACAGGTCCACAATCCAGATCCTCAGACACCACCACAGGTTTCAGTGCTCTGTTTCATGAAAATGGTAACTTACACTTATTGTGCAGGGTTCCATTCAAACCATTTTTATGCATTCTGCCATTTAACCCTCACATCAACCCTCCGAGGTAGGTATTATCATGGTCTCTTTTCATAGATTAAGAAACTGGCACCATTTAGATAGCATTTGGTGTAGAAACCAAGTGAATGATCTTCAAGTCTGGATCATATGCATCTTCTATGTGCTCCCAGAACTCCCAGTGTTTATTATAAAAGTTAGAATTATGTGTTTTCATAATGATCTGTTTTCCCAATTTTTTGCACCACAGACTGTAGGTTCTTAAGGGAAAAGACATGTCTGATTTTTTATGGTTCCCTAGATTAAGTTCAATAAGTGTTTGCTGAGTTAATAAATGTGGACTGGGTACAGTAGCTCATGGCTGTAATCCCAGCACTTTGTGAAGCCAAAGGTGGAGGATTACTTGAGGCCAGGGATTCAAGACCAGCCTGGGAAACATAATGAGACCTGTCTCTGCAAAAAGTAGAAACAATTAGTTGGGCATGGTGCACATCTGTAGTCCTAGCTACTTGAGAAGTTGAGGTGGGAGGATCACTTGAGCCCAGTAGTTCAAGGTTACAGTGAGCTAGGATCACTGCACTCCAGCCTGGATGACAGAGCAGGACCCTGTCTCTAAATAAATAAATACGTAAAATAAAATAAAATAAAATAAATGATGACAACACTGTGCAATATGATGCAAGGGTTAGGTACACATCCCAGGACCAAAGTGCACTCAAATCTTAGCTCTTCCAATTACTGTGTGACCTGGGGTAACTTATTTAACTTCTCTGCTTAGAATAGGAATGGTGATAATACATACTTCATATAAAAATTAAATAAGTAAATATCCATAGAGTGCTTATTTAAGCTCCTGGCAAATACAATTATATAAGTGCTTGCTTCTATTTTTAAACAGGGTGTCACTCTGTCGCCCAGGCTGCCCAGTGGCAAAATCACAGCTCACTGCAGCCTTGAACTCCTGGGCTCAGGCACTCCTCCCACCTCAGCCTCCCAATTAGCTGGGACCACAGGTGTGTGCCACCACACCTGGCTTATTTATTTATTTATTTGTAGAGATGGGGGTCTCACTATGTTGCCCAGCTGGTTTCAAACTCCTGGGCTCAGGCAGTTCTCCTGCCTTGGCCTCCCAAAAGTGTTGGAATTACATGTATGAGCCGCCATGCCTGACCAGTGCTTGCTTTTATTAGCATTAGTGTTAATGAAGAAACCAAAAGCACTTGTAAGACTAAATGAGTATCATTAACGCAATTTCACAGGCAAGAGGAACTGATCAAGATAAAGTGACAATTGTCAAATATGTGCTGGTCCTAGAATTAAATATCATCACCCCAAAATTTGTTACAAAGCATCAAATATCTAGCTTAAGGATTCCTTTAAAAAATCTTATAGAAGACTTTTAACAATAACAAAAACCAACAATGGCAGATGAATGAGTTGGCTCCTTGCAAACCCTGAAGAGGAAACAATCCAGAAGTATCAGTCAGAGCCCACTTACTTATACAAACAATAAACTTTTATGCATAAGGACCAAATTTATAATAAAGTTACAAGGAAATGTTTCCTCAGATTTTGAGAATGTTTAGGACCAAAGAAATGCCATTTTATGAGGAAACTTTTCTGAACAATTTAGTCATTGACATTGAAAAAAAACTGCATCCTCAGACTTTGACAGGGGATTAAGTTGTATATTCTTCAAAGTGAAGCTGATGCCTCTTTAAAACAATAATTGTGTTTAAGAAAAGATATAATCAAAGGAGCCAACATTGTGCCAGGATTTTGTAGTGTAATTAAGTATTGCATCCCTTGTCAGGGACACAGTCTTTTGCTCAAAGATTACTGGAATAGAAACCCCATTTCCTGAAAACAGTGGCCGGTTTTTACCAAAGAAGATACAGAAACACAGAAAAGTTTTATTCACTGTAGACCTTCTTCTGAGCAAGCCAAAGCCTTGATCCTCATGTCTACAACATATTGAAAGGCTCACTGGAATTTCCTTGTGAAACAGTTACCAGACCTTTTACCTCAAGTGGTAACCAGTCCTTCAGTTTTCAACAGTTATCCAGGCTTTGGCAATGAAAATAATAAGTATTCACTGAGGGATCCTTTCTTTCTAGATCACAGATCAAAAATGAATTCCCGAAACTCCATTTCCCATTTTTGTGATACATATTAAATCCTACTTAAAACACAGCATAATCATGAAAATTTGTATTTACTTAAGAGGTTTACAAGGACAACCGACGGCCCCTTATGACAATTAAGGTTTGCTTTACTCATTATTAAAAACATTTTGAAACAAAAAAACCCATTACAACTAAAAATCTGGACAGTCCCTGGATTAGGCTGTGGAGTTTGTCCTTTGGAGGAAAAGAAAAGTGAATGAAACCCCCATGAGAGTCTAGGAAATTCTCAGTGGTTCCTGTCAGTCTCCAAGCTTCTATGTCTATACTTTCAGGTCATTTAATGTTACAACTTCATGTTTTGAGATTAAAATCGACACCTTCTATTCAATGTTATACCAGAAAAACTAAAATAAATAAATAAACAAAATAGACATCTACAAGTCAAAGATTCCCTCTTCTATGGTAACTGCTTCTACCTGCACACCCCTCTCAATCAAACTCCCGTGTGTGGCTACACAAACACATATCCTCCATTCATACGGTAACACAGGTGAGGCTCCTGACAAATGTGATTTCACTCCTGACCAAAATTGTTAGCTTCAAAGCACCTGAGGCAGAGTGGTCTGCTCATAAGTCCTTCCCTGGACCCCAGCTCTGGCCAGACTTGAATGATATAAGGGTTGGCATATGATTCCAGTCTGGAGCAGCAGAGTCCATTCCCAGAAAATTTGCAAAAGAAAGAAAGAGAGACCTTGATATACACACTTAGGAGCTACTGGCTGCCATGTTCGGTACAACATAAGCAGAAGAAGCAGGACAGAAAAAAAAAAGTTTGTAGGGGAAGAATAAAATTAGCACATGGAGAGAAACTCAGATGAGAAGTGAAGAGAAAGAATTTCCTGAATAACACAGGGCTTTCCAACACCTAGTTCCAGGATGTTCCTTAGGCATGGTAATCTCCACACCCTTGGGTTGTATGAGACACTAGTGTTCCTCTCCTTTTTCACTTAAGCTGACGTGAGTTGGTTCTTGTTTTTGCAATCAGAAGTATAGTTAATACATTGAATGGACTTCTACATTTAAGTATAGGGCAAGAAATTGAAACACACAGTTCCTTCCAGATAAGTCATAACCACCACTATCGGATCAATCATTTGCTATAGTTCTAGAGTCCCAAACAAAAGAAATTCAGTCACTGGTCAAAAGCCAAAAGGTTTCCAGGGTTTGAAACAAACCTATAACGTATGGTTATGCAAGCTGAATTTTAATCATGCAAATGAATGAGCAGAAATCATTTTCCTTACATTGCCTTTAGCTCCATAAGTTATAGGTTTGAAAAGATGTTTTAAAAGAAATGCACTTAAGTAGATTAGTTTTCATTTTGATAAAATAAAAAGTATTAGTGCAAATTATAAACTTCATCAGTCTGCTTATTCATAGCACTCTTAAAAATTGTCTTCTGAAAAAATTTATCTGCTAAAGTACTTACAAGTAAGCACATTTTTTCTTTATGTAGGCAAATAAGGGTAGACTTGGGAGTTCTTTTCAGAAGTAGAAGATAATCATAACAGTCCTATGTTTGAATTTCAAGTTCAAGATCACATTTGGCATGGATTTCAAAGTCTTCCAGGGGTGCTGTTTTGTTCACAAGGAGGTTTTTCTTGTTTGAGCTCTCTTGCATAAGACTCTTGGAGGAGAGCAAAGAAGAAAAAAAAAGATTCCCTACATGTTGAGACATGGAAGAATTAGATTGCAGGAAATGAAAGCCACCCAATAAGCAGTGCTTCAGTCCCTGTAAGCATTCCGTCAAGGCAATTTCAATCCTCCCCTTAAAAGATGAGGTCTGAGAGGGGGAGGACCAAGTACTGAAGAGAAAGTGAGCTTCCGCCTTGGTCTTCATGCTGCTTAAAAGTCAATCAAGCCTGGGGTGGGGACAGGGCTGAGCCACAAGTGCAACGCCTGTGGAGGGTCTGGCCTGCAGAAAATCTAACTCCTGTCTTCACCTTCACATTTAAAACTCCATTTCTTCTTTTGTTCCTGTCCTCTTTTGCCCTCCACACAGCTATGCCTCATCTCCTGCTCTCAGGCCAATACTGGAATCCTGAGTAGGGGGTAGTAGTGTACTATTCTTAGACATCCAAGAAACTTCCCAGGCTTGGTAAGTGAAAGTTTCTCTTTGTGACCACCTTCCAACAAACCTCTTTTTTCAACTGTGATTTCTTCTCTCCAATGGTATTAAAACACATTTAATGAACTGGGTTCTTACAAGGCAAAGCAGCAGAAGAAGGACTTGCCAGTCATGAAAGTGTGTTGGTCTAGACTTTTCCAAGCTGGAGGTGCAGTGGGTCTATTCTGCACTGGTATAAGTTTCAACAAGGACAGTCTTGAGCTAGGGAGAGGGGTTGCGTGAAACGCCACACCTGCTGGGTGTTGGCAGAGACTCGCTGATGGATTTTACTGGTTAAAATACTACCCTATGCTAATAACATCACTTTTCTAAAGAGATCTAAGTGCTTCACAAGTTCATTTGCCCAAACATGGCATTCTATAAAGAAAGTAAGTAGCCCAATTATCCTCTCCGGTAAATCAAAAGTCAGTGCAGCTTTGGGGCTATTCCTGGAACCCATCAAGCTGGCTCCTTTCTCAGGCCTTTTGCATCTGCTGTTGCCAGCTCTACCTGGATGGGCTCTCCCAGGTGGCCAGTGGGCTCAGTCTACCCTGCATCTGGGTTTCTGTTTAAGAAGTCCATGACCACCCAGTCTAAAGCAGCCTCCCTACCTGCATCCTACCACCCTTATCTCTCTCCCCACTTTCTTACCAGAGGTCTTAACAATTCTTGACATTCTGTTCTAATTTATTTGTTGATGGATCACCTGCACTAGAATGTAAGCTTATGAAGCCAGGGACTTTGTCTTGCTCATCACTGTGTTCCCAGGGCCTAAACAGGGCCTGGCCCATTGCAGACCTCAGCAAATGTTATATGAATGAATGAATAAGAATGGTGGCCAAATATCTCAATTTCTAGCTTAACATGTGCTCACTGCCCTGTCAGCTTTAATTTACTCTTCTATGCTTCCTGCCCTTGGTTTGCTGACAGGCACTGACAGACAGCTAGATAGTTCTGGTCTTTTCAAATGTCTTGTGCTGCAGCAGAAATGTTTCATTTAGATGTGTGTGAATTATAAAAACCTGATGTTGATGGAAAGCATAAGGAGAAAGATTTACTGCACTGTTTGTGGGAGTGGAGATTGATGCAATCTGTTGAAGGACAATTTAGAGATAGCTTAACAAAATTTTAAACATGCATTTTCCTGACCTACTAATTCTTGAATAAATACAATTCACAAAAATAGACCCAGGAATGCTTGGAGATGTATATAAAACGACCCTCATTGCAGGGATATTTTAATGGCAAAAAATTAGAAATAGCTCATAAAATATCATCAATCAGTATGTAATACAATGTAGCCTTATATAGCCACTGAAGAGAATTAGACATATGTTTATACAGACATGAAAAAATATTCGTATGTTGTCAAGCATAAAAAGATGGGGAACTATTATGACTATTAAGAACACATTTCTGTACAAAAATCATTACTCTGTGAGTACTATACACACATACAACCCCGACCCCGCCACAGTCTTTTATTATTTGCAGGGAAAGTGTCTGCAAGCCAGCATATTAACCTGTTAACAGTGGTTCTAAAATCTCTAAAGAGAGAACTAAGGGGGACTTCCACTTTCTAAATCATATATTCTACAATGTGTACATTTTAGAAACAAGCAAATTACATCCACAATAACAAAAACAATTAAGATTTTAAACTTCATTTAAATTCTAGTGCCAAAGCACTTCAATATTTATAAAACTATTTAAATTCTGAGCTCTGGGCCCAATGTTCACATTAACAAATCTGGTAACTCCTCCAGGCTTTATTTATTCCTGATCCATAAAATGAGGCTAAAAGTGCTTTTCCTTCTACTGCTTAGGGTTATTGGATGGCTAAATAAAATCAATGGGAAGAACATTGAAAAGCATTTTTAAATCACTAAATTAATTCCAAGTGGCCATTATATACATTGTTTAAGCTTCTTGTTAGCATTCTACCTGTATTTCATTGACTCATAAGAATACACTCTAGGAGGGATTTGTGTTACGACTTTTACAGATGAGGAAACTGAGGTGTAGAGAAAACGAATTTCTTTCTTGGAAAGCAGAACTAGAATCAAACACTCAGACTTTATCCCACACTTTATTCCTCTTCCATCTCCCACACTACTCAGAGCAGGTAGGTATAAAGGCCCTGTAAACTATAAATCTGTCAAACATGAAAGGGACTAGGATTATAGTCAGGAGCAGTAATAAGCACCTTTTGAACTAGAAAAGAAAACTGCAGTGAAAAAATTGTATGTTTCTTATCCTGCACTGTGTTGGTCCATCATTACCAAAACCAATTAATCTTTTTAATTACGCTCAAACCTTTTTATGCACTCCAAATTAGAAATCAGAACAGTTTAGGAAAACCTCTCCAGAATATATATTCAAGGTTTTATAAAAAGAAAAGAAAATGCAGGCTTTGATAAACTCAACATGTATTTACTTGAGGAAAAATGAGATTTTTAGAAAAAAGTAGGGGCAAGTGAATTCACCAAGCTGTGAAAAGTATACTTTATCCACTGGGAAGTTTCTGTGAGTTTGCTTGTTACAGGAATACTAGCAATATATACAAACAAGGTACACAAACACAGCGACAGGACACGTTCCACCAATTCCACACAGCCACAATCCTAAGTCATTACTCTTAGCAAAGCCTCATATAAGAGGGCTCATTTCTAAATAAGGTGGGTAGGCTCCAATTCCCTCAGCTTCAAGTAAGCAAATTTTGGTCTGATATTACAAAATACAATCAATTTCCCGGTACCACAGGTCCAGTAAGAAAATAAATAAATTCAAGATTGTAAGTTTACTGATCATAAAATATGTCAAAAAGACTTTCCAGACAAATTCTCATGTTAAAAAAAGCCATTTTAAAGATGTTTCAGCTACATAAAGGGATAGTAGAGAACTACGAATCACATTGCTCCAATTAAGGTTAGAAATGCTCTAATTTGTGTTTCCTTGAAAGTTCCAGTCTTATTAGAGAGTCTCAAAACACAATATTGCAGAACTGCATACAATTTTTTATTTTCGTAATGCTATAGTGATAGGCTCCTGTGTCCAATTCAGATTGGTGACATGCTGCTTGAAACTAGTAAACCTTGTCATCAGGCTAATTTTACAAGTCCCTTCTCCCCTCTCATTTATAGCTACTTATATTTCTCTGCTTTTCTTTATGACTTTCCACATGAAGCATTCTCTAAAATATTTTTGGGCAAAACTTCATTCCATGCTTCCTCAAGAGTGCAGTAATATTGGAAGCACAGTTTGCAGGTCACTGTAAGAGGTCAGTGAGAAGTCTCCTGGTGTTAATAGCTTGAGTAATATTGTTTTCTCCTTTAGATCACACCATTAAATTGCTTTCATTACCCACAAAGGGGTTATTTGTGTCAGAGCAAATAAGATCTCATTCAAATTCAAACTGGATAATTTCAACCTAATAAAATAGTTTATTTCTAATAACTAGAAGAACAAGACAATGACAAAAAATTGTAAAGTCTTTTTAAGACATACAAGCAGAAGAGAAGAAATGTATTTTTTAAATAGGTCCTACAAGAGTTTTAATGTGCTATCTGGAAATTTTGGAGGGGGCTACCCTGTAGTTTATTCTCCTAGAAATGGGAGGGTATGAGGTATTTCCCAAAGGTTTTACAAGAAATTATATCTTATGTTCCCTGGGAATATCAGAGATTCCACTTTGGACTTTTCTATTTCACTGAGTTTCCTCCATTTCTGACCCACCATCTTCTTTGTTCTTTTAGTCATCCAAATTTAAAACACTGAAGCTGGATTCATCCTTTTGCTACTCCCCTCGGGCTCAATGTGTCACTACCTCCTGAAGTTTCTATCATTTTAATGTATTTTAAATCCATTCTTCCTTTTGTTTTTTCACTGCTTTCATAGTAACTCTTGCTTCTGAAATGTTTGTGCCTGGGGTAAGGGCCTTCAGAATACCTCAGTTGTTTCTTCAAAACAGGGATGTCAGGGCTGTACTAGTGGATCACTGGATTAGAAACCAGCATGTGTGTGTGGGAGTGGAGGGAGAGCTCATGCATACGCTGGGCACGTTGCCCTGGTGATGTTGACACAAAGCACCACACCACCTCCTGAAACCACATTTCTATGAAGAATTGTCTGGGCCAGCCCTGTTCTGGCAAACTTCCAAACCCAAGTGCCTGGAGCCAGTTGGAGTCCATCAACAAGCCCAGGAAGCAAGTCCAGCTCCTATCAGGGAATCTGAAGACCCCCCTGTCCTCAGCTGTGCCTGCTGATTGGGACCTGGGTGTCTGTTTTATATCCTAGCTCCACTACTTGGGGTCTCCAGGGTAGCCTGAATGGTACTCTAGCTCTGCTGATGCCAGGGTCCTCCTCAACTCCTGTCAGTCTTTCAGGGACTTACCATCACTCCAGAGGATGCATCTACCCTTCCTGATTCCCAACCTGGCCTACAGCCATGGCCAGGCCTCATTAACTGCTGCCAGGTTTCCCTGACGCTGACTTCTAACTACAGGGCCCAAAGTGGATTTAAGCACCTGATTGCTAAAGGAAGTAGCATCTGTGGTCCCCGAATCTCCTGCCTAGGTCCCACCCCTTCCTTGTTGGCTCCTGGGCACTATTCTAGGGCCCAGGTTTTTGTGGGAACTGCAGTTTTGCCCTGTCATCTAGGAGCTGCCACTTAACACTGGTCTGTCTGCAGCACTCCCTTAACACCACGTTGAACAGCAGGCATGGGCCTTTGTGAGTCTGCCCAGATCTAGCCAGTTCCTTCCCTCTACTGAACTGTCCAACAAGCCTGGCCACAGCCTGCCAGTCACCTAAGCCTTCCACCCACTGCAGAGCTCAGATAGTGGCTGTTGGAAGGGACAAGTGTTGTCCATCTGGATGTGGCCAGCCACCATCTTATATAGCTTCCTTCACCTTAAATGCAGGTCCCGCCAAGAAAGCCTTCAACTTAAGAACCCCAGAATGCCCCTGCTGGGCCCTGAGGCTGGCCACTTTCCCTCCCAAATAACAGAAGTACAGAATCCAGTGGTCGGTTCTTAGCACTGTCCCTGTGGACCACATTCACAGAGCCTCCCTGAGCCAGGAGGCCCTGTGTGATCCCTTGTCATGCAGAGGCCAGCAAAGAAGAATTGAGAAGCCAAAATATTCTCCAGGCTCACCCAAAAGCTACCCTCCCTGAGCTGCAAGTTGCCTTAGACCAGAGACACAATATTTCCTTTCCAAGTTGGAACAAATGAAGAAGGGTCCAGTTAACACCCCATAAATGAGCATTAACCTCTTGTAAGACAATCTCTATGTCCTTCTGAGAGTCCACTCCATGCAACTGAGAAGACACAGTTTTAGTTTCTAAGCTGCATGCAAACTCAGGTAGAGCCTCCAGAACAACCTGGGTCTGCTGTGTCACCTCAGCATCTTCACTAGTTCTCCCAGTCCCAGCAGAAGGCACAGAGCTCCACTGTGAGACAGCATTCGTTAAGTTTGCCACATGTCAGGAGTCACAGAGGGATGTCTAAGCAGTCACGCAGATCCTAGGAACTCTGCTACATGTTTTGCAACATATGGACCCTCAGAAGTAAACTCAGTACGTCTCTGGAGCATCTTTCAACAGAACAGTACAATGTCTAGAGATCCCTCAATAGAACATCAGGCCTAACTGTAAGATGCCCTAGAACCAAGGAGCTTGGAACATATCCTGGGGAGGAAAACACTGACCTTCCAAGGGAAGAGTTATTTAACTTGTATAAAAAGTTCTGGCTGGGCACAGTGGCTCACGCCTATAATCCTAGCACTTTGGGAGGCTGAGGCGGGCGGATCACGAGGTCAAGAGATCCAGACCATCCTGGCCAACATGGTAAAACTCCGTCTCTACTAAAAATACAAAAATTAGCCGGGCGTGGTGGTGGGCACCTGTAGTCCCAGCTACTCGGGAGGCTGAGGCAGGAGAATCGCTTGAACCTGGGAGGCAGAGGTTGCAGTAAGCCGAGATTGCGCCACTGCACTCTAGCCTGGTGACAGAGTGAGACTCATCTCAAAAAAAAAAAAAAAAAAAAAGAAAGAAAGAAAAGTCCTGAACTTTGGTCTGGGGCCTATTTATAGGATTCTGAGGCTGTAAACTGAGTCATGAGGAAGACTGTTCTGGATATAACACTTTTATCATAAGCCTTGTCATGGGCCCAGATAGGCAGACTCAGCACAGATAGAGAGCAGGAACACTGTCTCCCTGACTCATTGGTGAGTCCAGTTCTGAAAGCCCAATAATGTAGAAACTCTAAGGGGAGTCCCTGGGATCCACCAGTTGCTAAGATAACTGGAAGAAGGTCTCTGCCACGTAGCACCAGTGTCCCTCCTGCTAGTGCTCGAGCCTGGTGATAAGGAGTCTCACCCTGGGGAAAGATACCAGCCCTAGAAAAGACAAAGAGGCCTCAACGAAAATACTTCTCAAAACCAAGGAGGCTGATCAGAGGCAAGGTACACAGCTAACCCTCTAACCCTCATGATCCCAGGAGAGCTAATTTAATGACATCTAAGTCTCCTGAAGCTCCCTGGATCATAGTAGGGTTGGTCCTAGGCTAGCTAAGGCCAAGCATTCCAGGGCCGGCCTCTCGGATGGGCGGCCCTGTGTGATCACGCAGATCTGTGCTCAGAAGGGCCTGCACTTGGTTGACAGCTCTGCTGTCACGTTCTTGAAATCTTCAACAATTTTCTCTTTGAACTTGTATTTTGTAAGGGAGCCAGAGGAGCATGAGGATGAGCAGAGGAGACAGGCGGAAGAAGGGAGAGAGCTTTATATTTTAGTACCTTCAGTGGCACATCTCCCCTGCCTTTTGAACAAAAGACCCACAAATTATGTAGCAGGCTGTCAGCAGTCCTGATGGAACCCCCTCCCATGTAACCAGCCACCGCACAAAGGAGGGAGTTAAAGACTAACAATCAAGCTGGGAGCACTGGCTCACGCCTGTACCCCAGCACTTTGGGAGGCTGACGTGGGAGAATCGCTTGAGACCAGGAGACTGAGACCAGCCTGGGCAACATGGTGAAACTCTGTCTCTACAAAAAAAAAAAAAAAAAAAAAAAAGAAAAAGAAAAAGAAAAAAAATAGCTGGACATGGTGGTGTGCGCCTGTACTCCCATCTACTCAGGAGGCTGAGGTGGGAGGATCGCTTGAACCTGGTAGGGGCAAAGGTTGCAGTGAGCCGAGATTGCACTACTGCACTCCAGCCTCGGTGACAGAGCCAGATGTTGCCTTGAAAGGGAAAAAAGAAACAAAACTAACAATCACCAGGGACTCTAGAGATCCCCCAACCTCTAGTCCCAACCCTAACCAAAGAAATCTTTCATGCCTTTGGGTCACTCACAGAAGTCAATTCCAGACCCAGGCTAACTCTGTACCACAGATCCCCCCGGCTCAGGCCAAGATAACCACTGGTTAGAACCAGGACACAGGAGGCCTGCATTCCAGGAAGCAATTCATGGCTGATGCGCAGAGTTAGTAAGAGGGGTCCCAGGTGACATAGAACGAGTTCTTGTAGTTACGATCAGCACAAGGACCCAGGCTGAGCCAGTCTGGGTGGACCAGCCCAGAACCACTGTCACCCAGGCTGCCTCTCCCACCCGCTGTGGGCTGGTGAGATGGTGGCTCCCAGCACTGGGAGGAGGGTATGCCCTGGGGCAGGGGGAGCCTTTACCACAACTTGATATATGACCTGGGGCAGGTTTCCATCTCTCTGGGCCTCCATTTCCTCAGATTTAAAATAATGGCAGCATCACCTTCTAAGAGGATTAAACAGAGTATGTATAAATGCCTGGCACAAAGTGGTGGTCAATTTTTAAAAATCCCTTTTTTCTCAATAGAGTTGTTATTAGAAATGAGCTGTTATTAGAAATGAGACAATTATCCATAAAAATGCCTGACAATTCAAAGTGCTTCATAAATGTCGATTCTCTTCCACGTTCTCCTTCCCAGTCCCTCTTACCTTTGTTCTTGTGACCAGACCCTCCACTAACTGCCAGTTCCCACCCCAGGTCCCACCCAATAAGCATGTTTGTTGGCTCATTATATAAACATTTACTGAGTGCCTACTGTGTGCCAGGCACTGTACAAGTGAAAACACACACACACAGTCCTGTCCCTGAGAAGCTCACAGTCGGGTAAGAGAGGCACTTAGCAAATAAATTTTAATAGAGTGGGTTACTTTTATGAGTTAATTCTTTTAATATATAAATAGTATACTACAGAAGCACTGGATAATCAACTCTGCCTTGGGGAGTCAGAGAAAATATCATAGAGAAGGCAGACTCTTGAGTCGGATCTTGAAAGATGGACAGGAGTTTGCCATGCTACAGAAAACTTCGAGGAGCCTCAGGCAGTCACTGCACATGTGCAGGACAGTGAGAAGCTTGGCATGACAGAAGCAGGGGCTGTGTGAGGGGAGTGCATAGAAAAGGAGGCTGGGAACAGGACTGGGAAAGCAGCCTTGTAATCCCAACTAATTTGGGCTTTATCCAGTTTGGAAGAGTAGACAAGAAAAGATCAGAGCTAACTGTGCTTTTTAGGAAAATGCCTCAGCTGGTGGTGGGGGAAGGCCTGGAGCAAGAAAATGCTGGAGGAGGGAATCCAGACGGAGATGACCGTTAGCAACACACAGCAAGTCTTGGACTAAAGGCGTGTAGTAGGATCTGAGACACCACTGAAGTAGATTTGGTGACTAATTTTTTTTTTTTTTTTTTGAGTTGGAGTCTCGCTCTGTCACCAGGGTGGAATGCAGTGGTGCAATCCCAGCTCACTGCAACTTCTGCCTCCTGGGCCCAAGCGATTTTCCTGCCTCAGCCTCCCGGGCCCAAGCGATTTTCCTGCCTCAGCCTCCCGAGTAGTTGGGACTACAGGTGTGCACCACCACGCCTGGCTAATTTTTGTATTTTTAGTAGATGGGGTTTCACCATGTTGGCCAGGATGGTCTCGATCTCTTGACCTCGTGATCTGCCCTCCTCGGCCTCCCAAAGTGCTGGGATTACAGGCATGAGCCACTATACCCAGCCAATTTGGTGAATAATTTTAGATTTGGTGATTAATTGGTTATAGGTGGTGAGAGAGATGGTACTACCAAGACTTCCAGCTTGGAAGGCAAGGCAGATGAAACCCATTGCAGAGATCCTATTTAACAGGTAGAGCAGGTCTGCAGGGCAGCTGAAGCTTGTGGTGCCTCCAGGACATCCAGGTGTGCACGTGACAGCAGCTGGAAACAGAGATTGGGATCTCCTGAAAGGCTGAGGATGGAGAGGCTGCTTTGAGAGACGTTCACATGGAGGGGTTGGTTCAAGCTGCAGGAGTAAAATCACCTGGAAAGAACTTGGGGACCCAAAGGAGAAGGAACAAAGGGCATTTCAGAGATGGTCAGAAATGGGAGAGACTGGACAAGCAGCAGAGAAGGAACAGAAGGAGGAAGACACTATCAAAGGGAGCATGAAGCAAGCAGGCACATAACAGGAAGGTCAAGGTAGATCACTAAATCTGGCAACTAGGAAGACAATGGTGGCTTAATCAAACACAGTAGTATTAGAGTAGTATAGGAAGAAGCTAGCTTACTACGGTTTGAAGTATTAAGAAAAGAAAATAAACAAGAGTAAAAAAATCAGCGGGGCACACTGGCTCGTGCCTATAATCCCAGTACTTTGGGAGACTGAGGCAGAAGGATCGCTTGAGCTCAGGAGTTTGAGACCAGCCTGGGCAACATAGGGAGACCCCATCTCTAAATAAGAAAAGAAAAGAAAAAAAAAAAAAAACCAAGAACAAAAGTCTGGTAGTGAAGGGAGGGAGAGACAGAGCAGTAGTTAGAAGGGGAGTTAAGGTCAGGGCTTACATTTTTGAACGATCAAGCTCATAGGAAAGCAAGAATAAGGACAAGAGTAGGCTCGTGGATCCCCCAGCTCCTGGCTGGAAGGAATGAGCCCTAGTGAAAAGCTAGGATGGTAAGGATGTGACCTGTGCAGGTGGACTCAGATATGAAGGAAGGGAAATTAAGGGAGTTCATGCCAGATGAAGAAAGCAAAGATTGGGAGGTCAGCTGGGGAATGAGACAGGGCAAAGCTCAAAGACCTTGGGGAAAGTGGCAAGGCTTGATTAAGTGTTGCTCTTGCCTGACCCTGCCTCTGAATTTTAGTTCCCATGATGGATCCCTCTTCCTGCTTCTTCTCTCTCTGCCTCCTGCCAGATTTCCATAAGCTCACGCCCCACTGGCCTGCTTCTCTTCTCCTCCCCTGCAGCCCCGATGGGCCTTCTAGCTGCTGCTGACAAATGTGCCTTCCTACAACATCTACCATGATGGACCAGCTCTGCCTCTCTCTGGCATCTGAGCTACCTCCCATCCCCAGATCCTGGGGACTCTCCTATTGTCTCCTAAGTGATCTCTCCCTCTCCAACCCACCTCTCATCTTTCTAAAACCCTGCTTTGCATTTTGCAACTCCCACCTTCTCAACACTCAAGATCCTACATGGGCTCTTTCTTGCCAGATGAGGCAGTTCAGCTGTGGGCTGAAGACTGGCCACAGGCCTATTTAATTGGGCCTGCATGGTCTTTTAACAAAAAATGAAACTGATTGTCTTTACACAGGGCATGATCTGTCTAGTTAGCCACAGGCACCACCCCTCCCTATTTCCTTATATCCACTCCAGACCCAATTCATATACCCATGTTATCTGCCTAGTCTCTCTTAGATATCTGACAATGAAGTCCACAGGACCCTAGGATCCAAGGCCTTCCAGTCTCTGGCTCCCTTATGTCTCTCAAACCAGATTGTCATTACTATTCAAACTCCTTATTCCAGAAATCAGTCTGCCCAGTCTCCCCTTTCTACCCACGGCCCTGGCATGGCCTCCCTAGACATATGTATACCTGTCTCCCACCCTGCCTTTCCTCCTATCTGCAATGCCTTCCCCTTTCCTCTCCACCTGTTACACTGAAATCAGGCTTATATTCTACCTTCTCAAAGAGGCCTCCATGGACCATCCAAGCCCACAGCATTTTTTCAGCCTAGGCCCCCTCATTCAGCCCTTATGTATATTTCTTTGTGCCTTCAGTTATCTTTTTTGAGTACATTTCTCATTTCCTCAAATAAGCCTGGAAATAGGGTTCTCTATTAGTCACACACAGGAAAAGCCACACAGAACAGGTCTGCCTCCATGTCATCTATCTCTCATGTGACACAACCGTTGACTCATAAATCTTGGTCATTTCCTGACAACCATAAACCACTAGAGCAAGCACAGATTCACAGTGCCTTCAGGGTAGAGGCCATGTCTCATAGTTAGTACACTGCCTAAAACCTAGCAAGGTAGTCAATAAATGTTTATGATGAGAAAATATAAAATGCAGAAAAAAACATAAAGAATAAAATAGGTTCACCACTGAGCAGTAAATTCTCTGACTTGATGAAAACAACGCCTGTTGTGATTCACTGTCACTCAGGCATCCAAGGACAGGTATATTTTGCCAAGGCAAGAAGTTGGGACCCACTAGAAGAAGCAGGAACTAGAAGGTCCAGAGCTGCAGCCACAATGCTGCAGTAATTTACAAAGTGAACTTGGTCAAATCTCTCAACAGTATTGATTCTTTGAGGTAATGGGATCTTTCCGCCACATACTCTGCAGAGTTAACAACAATCTGGTGGTGAGGGAGAGCAGGTGGCTGGGCTGGAGGGACAACTGTCAGTGCAGGAGGGAAGATGACTCCTGCCAATAACTCTTGGTTCCCTTACCCCTTATCCCAGCTTCTGTGTTGATCCCTAGGTCCACGACAGGGCATAATTCCAGCAAACACCCTTTACTCCCAGTTCCCACCCAACATGTTTGCCATAGATACACAATGAACATAGTAGTCCCCAGCTGAAATTTTCGAAGTACAATGTTAACATGGAATTTGATAAAATTCTACCATTGGCCAGCACACACCATACTATTCCAGATGTTGAATTAGCCCAGTGATATGACGCCTGAGTCACAGACGATGACCACATTTCTCCTTTGGCAGAAATCAAAGCCCTAAGAGAGGGTGTTCCTGAGTTCTGGAACATGAAACCTTCCAGGAGGCTGGGTGTTGGCAGGAGGGTTGGATGTAGTTGGGTACTGGAACCTCTCCCTATACCTTCTTTTCAAAGAGGTCAAATTTGAGAAATGTTTCTCCACCTTGCACTCAGAAAATATTCAATAATTGTTTGTTTCAGCTTAAGAGGAAGGTTTCAGTTTTCTAAAAAGAAGAAAAGCCAGAAGTTCTGAAGAAGGGGGCATGAGAGGGGAATAAAAGAAGCTGAGTGCATTTGGTGTAATGGAACTGAAGGGGTCTGGACCAGAGGAAATGGAAGAAGTAAGAGGGCAGGGCAGTGGTTACATTGGAAACAAGAACACTGATTTGGGAAAAGCACTTCTAAACTGACTGCCAAGGGAGGTGTCTGAAACAGTGGCGTGGGGGGAAAAGAAAGAACCAAGAGCCAGACTTGAGGTAACAAATGGCTACATATGGCAGAGACAGAAGAAAGAAGACAGACTCCTGGAAATGTGGTGTTGGAAGAGGTGTCAAGATGGCATTTGAACAAGTGGGATGGAGTGCCATATGAGGGATTTTCTTTTTTAATTTGAAGCTGTCTTCCTTCCAGCATCAGACACTGAGGTCATCTCAGTCCCCACGTTCCCCGTCAGAACAGGAAGGGATGTGTCAAACAGCAGCGTAGGGGCAGCAACTGAGTGGCAACTGCATTTTTGCACCCACCGATTGACGGCCTGCCCTGAAAACAATGCCTCCCTCCCATAGGCCTCTGTAGCAATGCCATGAAGCACACAGGAAAATCATCTGTGACAAAGGTGCTCCTGGGACTAGCCATTTCAAGACAAAAGTACGAACACCCCCGGACTCAATGTACTGAGTACTGGTGCCTGGATGGCTTGACTCTGAAAAGAATCACCCTCCTTCTGATATGACTCTCTGCACAGCAACAAGAGAGCCCCTGTGTGCCAACAATCTGTTCATTTCACTCAGCATTTCTTAAGGCAAAGCTTTAACTGTTTTCTTTTTTTCTATTTTAACAGATATTTGATTACTAAGGCATGCAGGCAGTAAACATTGAAAGCAGGCTTCTGTGTTGCAGAAGCAACTACAAGGCCACAGAAGCTGAAAACAAATGTTTCAGAATTCCTCACGAACTTAGGCACATGTACTTTTTTTTTCTCTCTCTCTCTTTTTTAATGGAGTAAGGACAGTTCATCGATGAAGCTTATGAATAATACCAAAAGGCCTGTGTTTTGGTCCCAACTCTTTTCAGTCACAGGGCAAACTTTCCAATCCTAGCAAAGGTGATAATAGCAGCTGACGAACTAGCTACTCTCGAAGGATTTGTTAGCAAGAGGGGGACAGTTTCTTATGAGGACCATCCTATAATAGAGCTCTATACACAAGATGTTGGTGCTGTATCACAGGACTCTTGTCAAGCTAATGCTTTGTGGCCAGGGTCTCATTTATAATGTTTTATTCATAAATGTTGCAAAAGTGAAATGAATTATTAATGGAAAGATCATCTGTCAGAGACAGGAATCATTAACAGAATTTCGTAGGGGAGAGGGTGGTTTATAGGGACTAGCAATGTAAGCACAGAGCTTTTCAGTTCTGTGGTGACCATGTGTTCAGACTGTCCTGGGTCTCCAGTAACAGAGCTGGTACCATTTGCCATCTGTCAAGGCAGCCTCTGCAAAGCACACCCGGTCAGCTTCCTCTTGGCTACTTGTCCATTTTATAAAATCTGCCATCATGATGGCACCAACAGTAGGCTTCTAGTCCCTGTGTCCAGGTTACTTGGTGATAGAACTGGACATAAAAGGGCATTCTGCTTGAATACAGGGCATGGCTCTTTAGAATCAAACTAAGGTCTAAGAGTAGCTAATATTTACTTAGTACTTACTATGTACCAAACATTATGCTAGGTGCTTTATGTGTATTAACTCATTGAATCCTCAACACCTCACCATGCCAAAGATACTATTATCCCTTTCTTACAGATGAAAAAACTAAGGCACAGACAGGTGAGATGAATTGCTCAAGGTCACACAACTTGGAATTGACAAAGCTAGGATTTAAATCCAGTTCCCCCCGCCGACTCCAAAGCCCCTATTCTTACCAATGATTTTAATAAGCATAAAGTTTGAAGAGTATAGAGCTGTCATTTTCCAGGAGATGTTTTCATAGCTGTCACTAGCATGCTGCAAAACATTTGGATCAAGGGCGAGCTAAATGTTGAAAGAGCATGTGACTTTACAGAAATGAACTTTATAGAAACCAAGGGAGATACAAGTTATAAACTTCATGACTTGGGTCCAATCGTTCCAGCCCCCTCACTTCCAAGAGACTATTAACTGACTCTGAAAAGTAGAGTATGGAGCCAGTCTCCTGGGGTTGGAATCTCAGCTCTGCTACTAACCTTGAGCAAGACATTGAACCTTTTCGGGCCTCAGTTTCCTCATCTGGTAATAACAGAACTTCCCTCAAGGGTTGTCATGAATGCTAAATGAAATAAAACATATAAGTTACTCAGAACCATGTATACCCCACAATGAATATTAACTATTAATAATTTTATCAATACGGGTGTGTGGGCAAGAGGCTAAGTCCACTCGAATCTCCTTGTCTTAAAAACAGATCTGCATAGAGTTGTTATGAGGGTTAAGTGAAATAAAATCCTAAAAGCCTGGAACACGCTGACCTCATCATAAGAAGCATTCAAAAAATGCTCATTTCTTTTCTCCTTCCCAAGATAATACTATCGCTTAACCTTCAGAGACCTCGGCTTCTCATATTATAAAATTATAAGATAAAACAAGGGCCGGGCATGGTGGTTCATGCCTGCAATCCCAGCACTTTGGGAGGCCGAGATGGGCAGATCACTTGAGGCCAGGAGTTTCAGACCAGCCTGGGCAACATGGCGAAACTCTATCTCTACTAAAAACATAAGAAAAGTAGCTGGGCATGGTGCCACATGCCTATAATCCCAACTATTCAGGAGGCTGAGGCACAAGAATCACTTGAACCCAGGAGGCGGAGGTTGCAGTGAGCGGAGATCACACCACTGAAACTCCAGCCTTGGGCGACAGGGCGAGACTGTCTCAAAAAAAAAAAAAAAAAAAAACCTAAAAAACACGATTCTTACCTATTTCCCTCCCTTGTCTACCTGACAGGCATGTCTCAGCCAGAGCCCATCTAAGGCCAAGATGGAAGTGAGGAAACCTGGGTTCTGCTTTTAGCTCCAGCATTTGAAAAGCCACTTACCTTCCCCTCAGCCTCAATTTCCTCATTTATTCATTGTAGTACATCTCAACAAGTGTGTGCCAGATAGGGTGCTAGCTGAGAGTACTAGCTGTTAGATATGTAGAGACAGATAAATAAGGTACAGTCCCTGACTTCGAAGGGTGTATACTCTAGTGCAAAATAAAGGCATGTAAACAATTAAGTACGTTGATTGTTGTATGGACAAGACTGACAGGCAGCCCAAGGGAGGCAGTAATCAGATTTACTCCAGTAGGGCAAAGGAAGATTCAAAGAAGATAGACCTTTGAGTTAGGTCTTACAAGGTGAATGGGAGTTTCCCAGGCAGAACTAGGGGAAAGGTATCCCAACATCTGCAAAGGCTTAAAGAGACAAAATGGGGGAAGCGCAAATAATTCATTATAGCTTGAGTATAGGATACATCTAGGGGAGTTGCAGGAAAATCGGATAATAATACCTTAACTACTTGCTTGGCAGGATTTCCATGAGACCAAAGAGAACAGTGTATTAAAACTGAAAAAGACACAGTACTGCAGAAACATCATGTGTGATTATTATTAGTACTCTGGCAAGGCTCTTTATGGTACTTAATTTTCACCCATTTCCTCCTAGCATGAGAACTTGAGCTATCGTTTCGTTGCTTACTGCTACTTTGCCTTCTTCCTCTCTCCCCTAAGAGACAAAAGAGGATGATTTAGCATCAATCTAAGTGGAGAGGAGGGAGGAAGAAGTGAGAAGAAAAACAACCAGCTCCCTGTTTTAATTACCACAAGCCCTAAGTCCCTTAACAACGATAATGTTTCATATTTTAAAAGAGTTCAGTGCTTTCTGGCAGAAAAATAAACCTTGACCCTCAAGATCATGGTTTTTCAAACGTTCTTGACGATAACTCATGATAGGAAATACATTTTATATCACAACCCAGCACACACACAGGCACGCAAAGAAAGGTTATAAAACAATATTGATACCTGTTAAATGCAACACACTCTGACATTTTCTCTTCTTTTTATGTCATTTTAAAAAGTGTTGCTTACAATCTCATCAGTGCATCAAAACTTACAGTTTGAAAAACATCACTAAAGGACAGGAGGGTTCATGGAAGACTTCAAAAGAATGGTTTGCAAGTCCCTTCCCTCTTTCTTTTCTCTTGTATTTTAAGACACTGCAAAATAAAGCAAAGTCCAGCCCATTTTCTGGGAAATAACAAAACATTTCTGTGTGCACAGTTCACATGGTGTGTTGTTTGACAATAAATTAGACGTTTCCATGTGGGGTTTCTTGTGTGTTTGGTTGCTGTAGCTGATTAGGCTTGTTGACAAGTAAGATTTCAAAACCCTTTCTTAGGCAGGGCCTTGGTGCTCTTTGGAAAGCAGGATCGTATGTCTCCGATGTCTTTTCAATGAGAACATTCAATAAGCAACTTTTTTCACATAAAGGGCCCCATCACACATTCTAACCCAGAAGTGAGCAAGCATTTTGCCTCAGGGCTGCTGAAACGGGAACATGATGCCTTGATGCCTTTCCAATCATGCACACACAGATTGAAAACTCACATCACCATCATCACTACCACCACTACCCTCAAGGAAAGAGTCTGAATCCCCATGCTGTTAGCTTTTGTGTTCAACCAAAATCCCAAAGCTGGAAAGGAACACAAAGGTCATCTGGTCTACTCTCCTTCCAAAGAGGATAGCCAACTAAACTTTGCTGGTTCACAGGTGAGCTATTTTTCCACCGCACCACAGCAAGTATTTGTACTCTGTGGGGCCTTCCTCATGGTAATGCACAAGCTTTAAATGTTTCTATCATCACACTTCTGAGTATGCCATTTCTCCCTCTTAGAATGTGTCTTCCTCCAGCCCATGCAAATCCCACCTATCCTTCCAGATTACATCCCAGCCCATTAAGAAGCCGTCTCCACACTCAACAGCCCCTGTCCATCCTTTCCTCTTCTGAAATAAGATTAAGCTCACTGAATTCATGCAACCATGTACCTCTTAGATACTGTTTAATAGACAGTTAATATGTACTTAGAGACTGACTTTCTAATATGTAAAAGAAGAGGGTTCGTAAGAAACTTTAGGATTTAATTTTTTTTTTTTTTTTTTTTTTTTGATACGGAGTCTCACTGTCACCCAGGCTGGAGTGCGGGGGCGCCATCTTGGCTCACTGCAACCTCCACCTCCTGGGTTCAACCAATTCTCCTGCCTCAGCCTCCTGAGTAGCTGGAATTACAGGTGCCTACCATCAAACCCAGCTAATTTTTGTATTTTTAGTAGAGACGGGGTTTCACCATGTTGGCCAGGATGGTCTCAAACTCCTGACCTCAAGTGATCCGCCCGCCTCGGCCTCCCAGAGTGCTAGAATTATAGGCGTGAGCCACCACACCTGGATGGATTTAATCTTAAATGAATCTTTCCTACAAAATATGTATCAAGGAGTAAATGGAAATGTTTAGCATTTTATCATAAAGACATTTAAATCCTCCAATTATTAAAAACATGAGTATTAAGCTATTCATCTCCACATAATCAGAACCAGTGATTAGATGATGGTTAATGCCAGCACTGTTGATTTTTCTAATATACTATCATTTGGGAGATGCTTGTTTCAGGCAATTGAATTCTTACATGTAGTATGTAGGGAACTGGGGGCTTTCTCCCTAGGAAGATACTGTGGTAGGTGCTGCTGTCAAGGAAAGAGGCTCTGTGCTTGGATCCACAGAAATGTTTGGTGCTGCCCCACAAGATTCATATTCTCTCTCTCAATCTCTCTCTCCCTCTCTCTCTCTCCACTCTTCCTTTTCATTCCCACCTTTGGTTACTAACTGTCATAAAGGATAATTGAACTTTGTAACTTGTAAAGAACTTAAAGATGGTCTATGCCACCTGATGAGGGAATCTAACCAAGAAAAGATGAGCTGATGTGCTGCAGATCACCCTTGTAGAAAATGAAAGAATTGGGGGTAAAACCCAAATCTTTCTGTTATCTAGAGAAATCAGGAGCTGGAAGTCTTCAGCCTTACACCACCTAGCTCTTGAGTTTCATTTCCCTCGTCCCTGAACTTCCTGTCTTCCACCAGGTTCCTCTGTCTTACCATTAAGGAACTTCTGAGGTCCTTGACACCAAACTGTCTTTCTTCCATTAACCAATTCCCCAATGTTGTCTTATCTCAATTGCATGACTTCTCTTATCCTACTTGGAAATTTAATTGTTCATTCTGGTTTTTCTCTTAGTCAATACCACACCTGCCAAAACCTCCCAGCTCCTTTCTTTTAACCCCTTCCGTAACTGTTGCAGACAAAATTACATACAAAACTGAAGTTTGTGACCATGACTGTCTCACAAAGGGTCCTGTTCTCTCCACCTAGGATTTTGGAATCCTTGTCTCTATCATGCTGTATACTATATTATAATATGATGAGAAAAGAAAGTTTTCTTTTTAAGCAGGCGGGTAATTTCTCAAGACACATAGCCAAGCAAATGATTATGCCTACAAGTTAAGCAGGGACAGCAGCACAGTTCATTGACACTATCTGTAAATACCAAAGTTCATTCTTTATCAAAAACATCAATATCTTCTCCAGCTCGAGGGGAAATGCCGATTAATGTGAACCCTCTTTTTCTTGTTCTTGTCCATTTTCTTATCAATGTGTCAACGGTGTCAAAGCAGAAGACAGGACAAAAAGATGAGCGTAAAAAGTCCAGATAAATCACAAGTAGCCACAGAGTATGGTGGTAAATATGTGAACTCTAGAGGCCAGCTGCGCAGTGAGTCTTGGTTAACAGCTGAGTGACTGGACACACTGCTTAAACTCTCAGTTTCTCCATCTGGTAAATGGGTATAATAGTAGCACCTATCTCACAGGGTTTCCATGAGAATTAAATAAGTTAATGTTTGTAAAAACACTTAGGACAATGCTTGGCACATATTAAGCACTATATAAATATTTGTTAAATAAATCCTCAGTTTGAAATTATTTTAACAATCACACTCTGTGTCTGCTGACCCCCAAATCTTACTAGCAGTTTCAGGACCTAGAGGCATTGTGAGGGTTTCTATACCACACCACACATACTGTATCCTCCACTATGAACTGCTACCTGATAATTCATTTTATAATTCCTTCTCATAAGGAGTAGACAGAAATGTACTCCTGAATCTCTCTCAGCAACAGTCCCCATTGCTGCAGCCACACACACAGTGAGAAACGGCCTCTCTGCCTTACAAGACAAGTTCTGTGAAACCACAAAAGTTCTTGTCTGCCCACACATTACAAATTCTACCTGTAACCCAGAATTAGAACTGGGGAGGTGGGGCAATAGGCCACCTACTTCAGAGAAAATAAAACAAAGGGAAAATTCTACGAAACCACATGTCTTCTTGGTACAGGGCTCACAACCTTTCTCTCCTCCCTTTTTTTTTTTTTGGTTTTGTTTTTGTTTCTTAAGACAGGCTCTTACTCTGTTGTTCAGGCTGGAGTGCCGTGGTGTGATCACAGCTCACTCAACCTCAACCTCCCGGGTTCAAGCGGTTCTCCCACCTCAGCCACCCAAGTAGCTGGGACTACAGGTATGCACCACCATGGCCAGCTAATTTTAGTATTTTTCATAGAGATGGGGTTTCACCATGTTGCCCAGGCTCTTCCTTTCTTTCTCAATTTTACTCCAATCAGGCTCTTGGCTATACCAAATGTGATGATCTCAAGATCAGCACAAGTCCACCACTTTGGTAAGGCCAGCAACACCTGGTCTTACACCACCTCTCAGGGGTACCAACACTGCTAATGCTTCCTCTCCTCGATTGCCTTCTTCTCTTTCTTCTAGTTCCCCAGAGTCTCCTGGGTTTTCCATCCCTTCTAGGGCTCCTTTGCTGGCTGCCCCTTACCTCCTGACCTCCTTACACTGGAGGGCCTGCCCTACGGCTCCATCCTTGGTCCTCCTCTCCTTCATATCCACATTCACGTTCATGGTGAGCTCACGCAGTCCTGTGATTTAAAATACCAGTTTCCCCCCAGGACTCTCAAATGTACATCTCCAGCCCAGACCTAAATCTTGAATTCCTGAGTCAAACATCCAACTGTCCACTCAATAAAATTGCCACACCCCTTGGATGTCTAATAGGTTCCTAAATTTAGCTTGTCCAAAACCAAATCTTCCCCCAAAACCTCCTCCTCTTCAGTCTTCCTCATCTTGGTTAATGACATTCCCCACCTTCTCCTCCACCTCTCATCTTCCCCTCTACCTTACCCATCAGTAAATCCTTTAAAAAATATCTGGAATCTGGCCAGGTGCAGTGGCTCACACCTGTAATCCCAGTACTGTGGGAGGCCGAGGCAGGCGGATGGCTTCAGCTCAGGAGTTCGAGAGTAGCCTGGGCAACATGGTGAAACCCTGTCTCTAAAAAAATTACAAAAATTAGCCGGGCCTGGTGGCACAGGCCTGTAATCCCAGCTACTTGGGAGGCTGAGGTAGAAGGATCACTTGAGGCCAGGAGGTGGAGGTTGCAGTGAGCTGAGATTGCACCACTGCACTATAGCCTAGATGACAGAGCCAGGTCCTGTCTCAAAAAAAAAAAAACAAAAAACAAAAAAACAGAATCTGACCATCACCTTCAACTACCATCTGGCCATGGTGATCTCTCCCGAGTACTGAAATACTCTATTAACCCATTTATGCCAGGGGTTGCAAATTTCTTTTGTGAAAAATCAGAACTTGTCAATGACCTTGAGCAGTAGGATATAAATAACTCCCACAAGCTTAGCATTCCAATAATGGAACACTAGGCATAAATAGGTTAAACAATTTTCCTGTTTTTGCTATTGCCTCATTACAGCAGTGTCTTAAAACAGTAGCCAGAGAGATACCATTAAAATATAAGTCAGATCATGTCACTCCCCTGTTTAAAACCTTCCCATAGCTTCTCATCTCACTTGAGACTGGCCCAGCCAACATGGAGAAACCCCATCTCTACTAAAAATACAAAAATTAGCTGGGCATGGTGGTGCGCTGCCTGTAATCCCAGCAACTTGGGACGCTGAGGCAGGAGAATTGCTTGAACTCGGGAGGTGGAGGTTGCAGTGAGCTGAGACGGCACCACTGCACTCCAGCCTGGGTGACAGAGTGAGTGAGGCTCCGGCAAAAAAAGAAAAAAGAAAAAAAAATGAAAAGCTGAAGTCCTTATAACCACATGACCCTACATTATCTGAGTAGCCCATCCCCTACCCCACCAGCTCCCTGACCTCATCTTCTCCTACTCCCTCTGCTCGATCCATGCAGCCATAGTGGCTTCCTGGCTGGTCAGGGCTCCTGTGCTTACCGCTTCTCCCACCTGGAACACCCTTCCCCAGACACCAGTATGGTTCACTCCCTGACTGCCTTCACACCTCTGCTCAAAAGTCATCTTCCAGGCATCCCTCACAACACTTTTTTAAAGTGCAAACGATACCTGCTTAGCTTAGCACTCTCCAGCTCCCTTCCCTGCTTTATTTTTCCTTCCTTCCCTGATTGATTTTTCCACAGGAGACTCATCTTATTTCACTTAATTTGTTTACCCCCATTAGAATACTTATTTTATCTTTCCTTATTAGAGTGTAAGCTCCAGGTGGGTGGCGATTTATGTCCGTTCTTGTTCACTGCTGCATTCTTACTGCCTAGTAAGTGCCTGGTACACCACAGATGCTCCGTAAAGATTTGCTGAATGAATGGGAATGATGGCTTGCTTGGGTCCTCTTACCTACCTAAGACAGTCATCACCGTCTTCATTAGCTTCATGGGTGTCCTCCGGCGGCTGATGGACCCACTTGTATGCGGAGACAAGACGTTGGTTTTCCTCTTGACGTACACGTAGATCCGCAGGTACACCACAACCATGATGAGGAAGGCCATGAGGTTGGACACTGTCCAGAAAACAAGGTAACTCCTGCTGTAAATGGGGGCCAGGGAAGAGCAGGCAGAGATGTTGCAGAGGCAATTCCAGCCCAGTGTGGGGACCGCCCCCATAAAAATGGCGATGGCCCAGACAAGCAAAATGAGCAGTGTCACCCTCTTTTTGGTCAGGTTGCTATGGACCCGCATCCTCATGATTGACATGTGCCTCTCCACGGCGATAACCAGCAAGTTGGTGAGGGAAGCAGTCAAGCTACTGTCCAGAAGCCCCTGACGGAGAAACCAGCGGTTGACAGTCAAAGTTTTTGAAACTGGGCCTGTGTTAAACATCAGGAATACATAGGCAATTCCAGCGAAGAAATCGGCAGCAGCTAAATTAGCCAACAGGTAGTAGAAGGGGAAATGAAATTTTCTGTTTTTGATCACTGCCGCGATGACCAGAGAATTAGAAAAAAAAATAAACAGGCAGAAAAACGTCCCAACACACAAAACAATCACAAGCTTTGTTCCTGTCCAGTCATCGACAGTATCAGTGTTGCTCCTATTATAAAAAAAGTCCATGTGCTTGTCATAGTGACACTCATTCATTGTGGAGAAGTGAACATCCTAGAAAGAAATTTAAAGAAGAAACAAATATCATTTGTAAAATCAGTCACTAAGCCATCAATTGCTGTTTCTAAGCCCGTTCTGGCTAACTCCCATCAAGGGAGTTGAAGACCTGAAGTGTCAGGTCTCAGTGCAAATGTCCTTTGGTCCAGGACATAGCCCCTGACCTCCTACCACAGCATTTAGCGCACATTTTAATTGTTTGTTTCCCAGGCTAGGCCGCTCAGGTTAGGAGGGTGTATCTCTATTTTGTTCACCATTACAACCCTAGGATTCAGTTGCTCTGTCTGCCTCATGGTGGGTAATTATTGGTAGGTTGGCTGGCTGGCTGAATGAATGAATGAATTCTCATGGAGGCATCAACAGGGCAAATGTGCTGAGCCCTGCAATATCCACTCTGCACTGGTAACACAATGACAACACATTATGTTAATGCCTCCTCCTGGCTCCCAGTTCATTAGTTATTTATGGATATGTTCATTAATCAACGGCAGGTTGGTAATTTCAGGTACATTCTTCCCAAGATAATAGGAGTTGAATTACCATTCACATAACCAAACAGATACCCCAAGAGACCAGTTTTCTATGACTTCTGATTCCACTCCTGATCCTCCTTTTGCCATCTTTTGGTTTCAACAAACAACTCTGATATTCACATATTAGGTATATGATGCAGGGATGGAGACTTTGGTCCCAATATCTCCCTTCCTTACCTTTTGTTCACTTCTTCCTTATAGTCTCCTAACCCAAACTGTACCAATGTGAACCTGCTCACTGGATTTTCCAGCATTCCTCAACACGGCAGGTGGAGGAGGATCGGGCTTCCACAGGCAAGACTGAGATTTGGAATTGGGGCAGATCTCCAACTCAATGTGGATGTGAGAACATATCTATTAAGTGAGGGCATGTTCTTCAGACACTTGTCTGAAAGAAGACCCCAAACTGGGATATCAGGCAGACAGGGAAGACACTAATCCTCTCAGTAAAAGATCTCTTGAATCCCAAAAGCGAGGGATCTTGGCCAAGGAAGGGCTGGGCAGAAGCCCCACGGATGCCCATCTGTCTACACGTGGTGGGGAAAACCAAGTGTTCTGCCTCACAGTGGTCTGGCCACAGCCATGAACGGTCCTACGGAAGAAGATTGGGCTTAGGGTCAGGGTTCTAGCTTCTTGGAAGAATGACCATCTGCTCCCTCACTGAGAATGAGGCTGCAGCTTATTCCCTGGAGAACCAGAGATTCAGTCGGCAGAGGGACTGAGCAGCCCTCTGGGAGCTGTGACAGTAAAAGCTCAGTAAAAGCCCCCAGATTTTAAAGTTCCTGAAAATTCTGAAATCTAATACCACAACCAGAATCAAGAAGACCAGATAACTATTAAGTAGTACAAAATAGAAATGTATCTCAGTCTTTTTTTTAATTTATATTTTAATGGTATAATGATACTTTTACATGAATTAGATATTGCTTTTTGGCCATAGCAAATGGGAGGTAAATATCATTTTATATGCTTAAAAAAAACTGGGAGTAGTCTCAAGAGACAAATGGTTCCAGTATCTTTCAATTACAAGAAAGGAAGACTCAATTTTCATAATGACAAAATAAAAATTACTCTCTTTGGCAGACAGTCACCAATATTTAACTGTAAATATCAAATAAATTCATGATAATATCATATATTTACACTATATCATAATTTCCCCAAATTAAAAATACAGGTAGTATAATTTTAATAGCTTCACAATATTCTATTATATGAATAGGCCACACCTGACTTAACTAATCCTAAATACTGGACATTAGGGTTGCTTCCTGTATTTCACTTTTATAAGCAAGGCTGCATTCTTGTTCATTAATCTTTATATATCTAGCCAATTGTTTCTTTAGGAATAACCCATAGATTTCAAATTGAAGTAAAGGATATAAATCTATTTAAGGGTTTCTGATACATCTTGTGAAACTCCACTTAAGAGAGATAGCATTTTTTTTTTTCCAAGATGGAGTCTTGCTCTGTCGCCCAGGCTGGAGTGCAGTGGTGCAATCTTGGCTCACTGCAACCTCTGCCTCCTGGGTTCAAGTGATTCTCCTGTCTCAGCCTCCTGAGTAGCTGGGACCACAGGCGCATGCCAGCACGCCCGGCTAATTTTTGTGTTTTTAGTAGAGACGGGGTTTCACCATGTTGGCCAGGATGGTCTCGAACTCCTGATCTCAGGTGATCCGCCCACCTTGGCCTCCCAAAGTGCTGAGATTACAAGCATGAGCCATCACACCCAGCCTGAGAGATCATATTTTTAATTCTACCAGCAGCATATGAGAGTTAAATACAAGGTGCTAATCTAGTGATACTCAATTTAAATATTTAAAGAGAAATACAGCTTTCAACCATGTTGAAAGTATACAGAAATTCAAGACAAACAATCCGAGAATCACTTGCTATGGTCTGAATGTTTGTGTGCCTCCAAAATTCATGTTGACACCTAACCCTAACTGCAGTGATATTAATAGGTGGGGACTTTGGGAAGTGAATGGGATTAGTGCCCTTATTGAAGAGGCCTGAGAGAACTCGTGAGACCCTTTTTGCCACACTGCCATTCAAGGACACAGCATTTGCCCCCTTCTGGAAGCAGAGACCAGGCCCTCACCAGACACCAAATCTACTGATGCTTTGATCTTGGACCTCCTAGCTTCCAGAATAGTGAGCAATAAATTTCTGTTATTTATTAATTACCTAAAGTATTTTTATTATTGCAACAGGAATAGACTAAGACACCACATGGGAAAATTTAATAATACAATTATTATGTGTCTTTTCTAATTAAAAATAATGTATATATTTTACTTTGTTTCATGCTCTATACATCTAAGAGAAACATTTCTAATTTAAAAGTTATATTATCTTTGACTAATTTATTAGAAATATAAAGATGAATATGTCACAAAGACATTGGAATTAAGACACTACAAAAATACTACTCAAATTTTCCTAATTTTATTTTGAAGGATCTTAACATTTTAGTTTTATTTCTTACATGTGGTCGAATTTTTAATTATATCAAGCACTAACACCTCAATGATTTTTACTTCAAAAATCTTCAAATTCAACTGTCCCTTGTCAAAACCAAAACAGTTTAAGACATGTTTTTAGCAAAAATTGCCCTGAGACTGCAAAGCAATTTTGTCTGACAAAGTTGAGACATCACAGAAAAACTATGATTAGCCAGAACTCCCACTAAGCAGCACTGTACCCTGGTTCCAGATCCTACTTTTGAGAGAAACAGGTAATGAGAGAAAAAAAACTTCGCATAGGAAATTGGTGAAAAAGATTGCACAGGATGGAATACTATACAGTCCATGAAAAACATACTCACTATGAAGTTGCGGTAATACAAGAAAAAGCCCATGTCATTGCTTTAATATACAATACACATAACAAAAATTTATTTGTGTTGACTATATAGAAAAAGATAATGAAAAAAAATCTCAAAATGTAAATAGTTAAGAATGGTGGAACTGTGAGTCATTTTTTAAAAATTCTTTCTAATTTTTTCCATCTACCACATTTTCTGTAATAAGTAAATCAAGACTTTTAATTAGAAGCATATATTCTACTTAATGTATTCTATCTTCTACAATTATGGCTTTGAAAAATCAAAATTAATGTTCAAAGGAAAAGCCTCAAAGATTTGCATATGTTCAGTTTATTCTTACAAGCACAGCACACTTCAGGGTTTTTCAGTGACAACAAAAATAAAATAGTTTTCTACTTAATCTTCACATAACCAAAACTTGACTTGCAAAACCCTGACCACACAAGGATGTAGCTTTCACCAATTCTCCTATAAAACATTGCCTAATGCCATCACCACAGATCTCCCCAGTACACGTTATCTACAGATTATCATACTGTCTTAGCTAGAATTACCAAAAATTTTTAGCAAGCTTATAACAAATGACTGATTTATTATTATCTCTTGGCCTCCCTTAACCCTTAAAATATGATTCTGTGATTTTGAACAAATTAATCAGTTACTTCAGTCCTAGTCTCAATGTCCCCTCCACAAAGATACTTTTCTGACTAATTCAAGATAGCTCCACAGCTCTCATTCTCAGAGAGCCCTTGGTTTACCTCCATCAGAGCTACCCAGTTGCTTGTGACCCAGTATTTTCTTTTGTTGCTTAAGAATTTATTGTCCATCTCCCACCCCTAGACCGTTCCACTCCAGCAAAGCAGGGAACCTGCCTATTATGCTCATATCTACAGGATCAGTATTTGTTGAATGAATGAATGAATCTCTGTCTTACACTATCTTTTTCCATGTCTAAAATGAAAAGGTTCTGTGAAATGCCTTTGCTGACTTATACATCAATCACTAAGTATGACAAGTAGCGAGCTCTGTCACCTATTAACTAAGTGTTTTCAGGTACATTACTTAATATCTCTACTTTATTATTACTATTTTTCATTATTAATATTTGAGTGCTTATCTGTGCCAGGTGCTGAACTAAGCATTTTACATGGATTATCTCATGGTATCCTCCCAACAATGATGTAGATACTATTATTACACCCATTATGCATTTGAGAAAACTGAAGCACCCTTGCCTAAGGTTACACAGCTAGGAGTGGGAGACCCTGGATTCTATTCAGGCAGCCTCGTTCTACAGCCTGCATTCTTATCTGCAACACTATACTTTATCTCCACAGGCATGTGAAACGCCAGACAGAACCAAGGACTATATTTATACTTACAAGAGTTACAGAATTACCAAAATAGAATGATCTGATCAAATCACATTAAAAGACTGCCCCATGCTATAAAAAATAGAGGGCATTCTAAATAGCCTTTGGCCTTTTTTTTTCTTAACCCTGAGAAGACACTTTTCTGAAAATATGTTTTCAACTTTTATGGTAAGTAGGATACAATATGGTCAATTTCAGGACCAGGTTAACATTGCTCAACTTTACTTCTGTCAAATCCCAAGCTGTTTTTTGTTTGTTTGTTTTTATACTAAAGGTTTAGAGGGTCTGATAGTTCTAACCTAGAAAAAAAAGATGCTAAACTTTGGAGCAATTACCACAACTTCAAACTTCAGTAATTTAAGACTTCATAAAATGATGGTTTAGAAAGTCTATATGTGGAATCCAAATGAAAACTTCATGAGCAAAGCTTTCATTTAGACTCTTCCAAACTTGCTTCCCTGAAAAAATGTCCAGCCAGCCCAGAATGTGGAAACAATTATGAGAATTAAGACATTTGAAAACCACTCAAGCAGCTTTTATTTCTAGCTACATCTTATGAGACAAGTTGCTGCCTGGCTTTTTAGCTGGCTTTCAATAACAATCTCTCCTTCCTCCTAGAAAGAAGTATGGTACATCAAAGACATGGTCAGTCAATACTGAGCATATCTTCTTTCTCTGTGGTTCACAAATGTAGACCAGTCCTCTCCTCTTAGGAAACTCTATCCAGATGGGAGTTGGATGTTAGGTTAGTTGGTACTCTAGCAACCAATCCTGGGTCAGCAATCACGTCTGTTCACTGAATTCCTTTTAATAATTCATGTTAATGGCAAAATCAGGATAGCATGGAAGATTTAAATCCACATGAAATCCCAGAGGTTCATTTTAGCCATAGTTTCAAGGCCTTTGCACTTGCCATTCCCTCTGCCCAGAAGACTTTTCCCCAAGATACCCAGGGGGCTCATTTCTCTACCTCATTCCTGCTCAAATTCATTTCCTCAGAGATCCTTTCCCTGCCACTCTCTAAAGAGCACCCCAAGCCTCCACCCGCTGCTGCACTTAAGCCATTTACCCTGCTTTATTTTTCTCCACAGCATTTCTCCATACCTCAACTATCTACTTGGGCTACGGTCTATCTCCCCAACTTCTATTTAGTCATTATGTCTCCTTAGGCTCCTCTTGGCTGTGACAGTTTTTCAGATTTTCCTTGTTTTTGATGAAGTTATGCTTAGGAAGGCAGAGAACGTATGTTGTTATGGTGCCTGCAACAATGCCCAGCACACATTAGGCACTCAGTAAATACTTGTTAAATGTAGAATTAAATGAAGTAATGCTTGTGCACTCATGTCTACATGCTCCCTAACCTTTACCCAAATTCAGCATTATTACTTTATGCTTCTTCTGCATATTCTCTAATTTGGGTCTCACAACCCATTTATTCCTCTGGGGAGACTTGGCTCCAAGTCCTGCAAGCTGAGAGGTATAAGGAGTGGGTTCCCTACCTCCAGAAAAGCAGCTCACCTGAGCAGACCAGTCAGGGTCGTTCTGAAGGACAGTCTCACAATAGAGACCTCTCTCTATTAGTATGAACACCAGAAACAAAGATTCCTCTTTGAATAATACTTCAAAAGAGGGACCCAATGGCCAAAGCTACAACAATCCAGGCAACAAAATAAAGTAGTACTGGATTATAACCCGAAGTATAAACATCCATGAGTCCATACTGACATAAATAAATTATTGAAAAAAATAATAAATGGAAAGATGAGACAAATCTCCCAGGCAGAAGAATACCAAATAAATAACATAGATATTCCGCTGTAAAGGAGGGGGAGCATAGCTCCTTTATATGTAGGCTGTACACAGGGACCTCCTTCCAAAGAGCACAATATGGAAATGGGGCGGGCGGTGGGGGCAGTTAGTGACGTCTCAGCAGAGAAACTTGACAAACACTACTTCAGCCAGATGATCAAGGTCAACATCAACAGTGATAAGTCATATTGCTAGTCTGTAATCTTGATAAGATGTATTACTTCATGATGAAGATCAGAGAGTAAATCACAGTTTACTGTGATCTTCCTCCCAAAAACCCATAACCCCAGGCTAATCATGAGAAAAACATCAGCTAAATCGCAGTTGGGGAACATTCTACAACATTTCTGACCAGTACTCCTCAAAACTGGTACTCATCAAAAACAAAGAAAACCTGAAAAACGGTCACAGCCAAGAGGAGCCTAAGGAGACATAATGGCTAAATAGAATAAGGATCCTGGGTGGGATCCCGGAACACCGAAAGGATAGGGGTAAGAACTAAGGAAATCTAAACAAAGTACAGATTTTAGTTAACGTTAACATATCCCTATCAGTTCATTAACTGCAACAAATATACCACAGTAATGTAAGATTTAATAATAAGGGATACTGTGTGTGGGAGGGGTTATAACATAGGAACTCTCTGTACTATCCGTTCAATTTTTCTGTATATAGAAGACTGCTCTGTAAATAAACAAATATTAAAAATAACTTTTAAAGAGGAGGCATGTTGTTGACTCTACTACACTAATTTTAAAATAAATAAAGCCCCTGTCTTTCATAAGCAGTTACTTTACTCTTTGATATGGTAAAATAAACAGAGGAGTGGCAATTTGTTCAAAATTAAATTTAAACAGACATTGTAACTGAGAATGAGATGCCTCTGATATTCTTGGATAAAGCGAATATGTTTATTAGAGGGGTGCTTGTTAAGGGTAGGGTTACAATTCGGTTTCTGTATCTTCATACTCTAGATCATTTCTCTTGAGAAAGCTAAACCCTCAGTGTTGCTAAAGTTTGGGTTTGGTTACTCTGCTTCTTTTGAACAGTTTTTTTTGTTTGTTTTGCTTGTTTGTTTTTTTTTTTTGAGACGAGTCTCTGCTCTGTCACCCAGGCTGGAGTGCAGTGGCACAATCTCTGCTCACTGCAGCCTCCGCCTCCCGGGTTCAAGTGATTCTCCTGCTTCAGCCTCTGGAGTAGCTGGCATTACAGGCGCCCGCCACCATGCTCAGCTAATTCTTGTATTATTAGTAGAGACGGGGTTTCACGGTGTTGGCCAGACTGGTCTAGAACTCCTGACCTCAAGTGATCTGCCAGCCTCAGCCTCCCAAAGTGCTGGGATTACAGGCATGAGCCATGGTGCCCAGCCTCTTTAGAACAAATCTTAAACTCAGACACCTAAAATTGCTCTGATCTGGATCCTGTTTCACGTATCAACAAAGTCTCCATAATACTGGTCAGTAGAGGTTCCAAGAGGAGAAGCCACAGAGAGGCAAGCGTACAATGGGTGTGCTTGGGAAAATACTTAATACAAACGCAAAGCTTAAGCATCTCAGGTCATCTTCAGCTCAGAGATGGTGACACGCAGGGAAAACTGCAGCCTGAGCTCAGCAGAATAAACAGGTTCTTGTGTCAGTGCAAGTTTTGGAGACCTTTAGGCAGGGAGGACAGCCCATGGCACGTCAGGGGGCTCACCTACTGTTCTCTCCCAATCAAGTGGGGTTTACAGAAGGTCTTGGTATATACACACAGCTTCTACCCTAGGACTTGTTTAACAAACAACTAGAATCAAAGATATTGTTCCCCAGATGTTCCTGATGGCCAAAGACTGTCTTAAGCATATTCATTAAACAGGAAAGCAAACATGAAAACATACAGAATTGAACTAAATAAAAGAGGTGACAGATGAATTTTATGGGATCAGCAAATTCCTTGACTTAGTTTATCCAAACATAACACAAATCTTTACTTGTGTTTGCTTTATATAAAATTTTAATATTTGTCTAACTCATTAGGCTAGAAAGATGACTAATACATCTTGTCCCTTGACTCATAAAAGGACAGAAAAAGTAAAAGATGCTAATCAAAATGCTTAAAATTAATATTATTTACACATAATATAACTGGACATGGTCTATTATACAGCAAATAAGCCTTAGACCATTGTATAATCACATTTCAGTAGCTTTACTGTTTGAAGGGGTTGAGAATGTCAATTTTTTTTTTTTTTTTTTGAGATGGAGTCTAGCTCTGTCACCCAGGCTGGAGTGCAGTGGTACGATCTTGGCTCACTGCAACCTCCACCTTCCTGGTTCAAGCGATTCTCCTGCTTCAGCCTCCTGAGTGGCTGGGACTACAGGCCCAAGCCACCATGCCCGGCTAGTTTTTGTATTTTTAGTAGAGACGGGGTTTCACCATGTTGGCCAGGCTGGTCTCAAACTCCTGATCTCAGATGATCCGCCTGTGTTGGTCTCCCAAAGTGCTGAGATGACAGACGTGAGCCATCATGCTTGGCCGAGAATGTCAAATTTTAAAGTGTGAACATTCACAGCTGAAAGAGATATTCTTCTTATACAAAGTACCTTGTCATATGCAAAAATATATTTTGAGACATTTCAAAGTGCTTGTTTATACCAGTGACTTCTGCTATGGTATAATTATGCCCCCCAGAGTTCATGTGTTGGAAACTTAATCCCCAGTGCAGCAGTGCTGAGAGGTAGGACTTTTAAGAGGTGGATTAATGGATTAACACTGTTACTGAGAGAGTGGATTTGTTATCACAGGAGTGGGCTCCTGATAAAAAAGAATGAGTTTGGCCAGATTTCCTCTCTGTCTCGCATGCTCGCCTCTCCCTTCCACCCCTCCACCATGGGATGGCCCTTGCCAGATGCCAGTGCCAAGCTCTTGGACTTCCCTGTCTCCAGACTCTGAGAAATACATTTATTTTCTTTATAAATTACCCAGTCTCTGGTATTCTCTTTTATAGCATCAGAAAATGAACTAAGGCAAATTCCCATGAAAAGGAAATTCTATTTCTTTACATTGTAAAATTCACAACAGACAAAATTTTGGTTTAAAGTATCTGTCCTAATCCAACTGTGGTACCATATTCCCTTTCTCATTCCATTTTTCATAACCTGTCTCCTGTCTCCTATCTTGAGAAGGATAGTCAGGAGTCTCTTGCTCCATATGGTTTGTTCCAAATAATCCTGTTGCCAGTAACAGGTTAACAGTGACCTACAGCAACTCCTTCTTGCTTCTGGAGATCATACACACCCAGGTTAGTGCCTGTCTGAATCCTCAAACTCTACATAGGAAGGAAAATAATATTTTTAAAGCATGCAGCTGTAGCGGGAAACAGTTATTCTAATCAAGGCTTCAAAGATACTAAAGAAGAGCACTGTTACTGCTAAACAAACAAGCCAGAGGGGCTCCTCGAGAATGCTATGCCTTGGTTAGGAAGCAGCATCCATCACTGGAGAGGAAGGCTCATATCTCATACCCCTCCTCTCCTGCCTGCCTCCCTCTCCTACCCCGTGTTCTGTCTGGTAGTAAAGGTAGCCAGGTCGTGTAAATGAATATAACGCACATTTGAATGTGGTGCCTAATCTCATCACATGCATCTTCCAGCTCCCCTCCCTACCCTGTATCCTACAGGGCTGGCCCTTAGGGACTGCTTCCTTGCTTTCCAGCTTCTGCCAATGAGAGGAACAGCAAGAGATTGGAAGGCAGGGAGGATGAGGTTGAGATACTGATTTCTCCTGCCTCCTCCCCTCCAGGTTGCTGTAGGTTGGCTGGGTTAACCACTATCAGGCATCCCTCTATATAAAGGTAGCCTCCCCTCCCTCCTCTAGCTTTCAGGTTGAGAGGTGTTAACCACTCCTTGCTGCTTCTAGCTCGGGGACACTGTACCATCTCTTGTTGGTTTCTACGATCTCTGCCCTCACTCTGTAAATGGTATCCCCTCCCCGCCGCTCCGGTTACCAGGTTGACTATATCACCTCTTGCCTGTGGAACTCTACAGTTGTCTTTCAAAGTACATTGTAATAACAACAAAAACTGTTATTTGAAAAGTCATACATGTTATGGATTTTCTTAAATATTTTAGAATGATCTAGTACACTTTTCCTAATTATAACAACTCTCAGAGAAAGAAAGGGGAATATATCACATTCCCAAGGGCATGGACCAGTAGCACAATTCTTTTGATGTCCTCAATGTCCCCGCACAAATACCAAAACCCTAGTAAATTTCTCTGCAGATAGTAAGTGATTCAATAAATGAGTGATCTACCCATGGTTTACTGCATACTGGAATCTACCTCACAAATGTCCTTCAATGTCATTCAGAATCAGTTCCAACTCTAACTGTATTCCAGCCTTGTGCACCATGGAAATTTCATACATGATATGGATTTACATTTTAATTCTAAGGATTAGCCACATTTGAATTTAGACACTACAGAGAAGGAAGAAATAGACTTTTCTTATGATGTCTGGCAAGGGGTAAGGTAATGACAACCTGAGCCAAGGGGAAGCTGCAGCCAGATGCAAGGCAAAAGCAATGCAAATGTAGCTACAGAGCTGCACTTAGGTGTGCACTATGGTTCATCCTACACAGTGGTGTTTCCAGTGACTGGCCAGCCATGGGGGATGCTGGGTAAGTGTTGCTCTCAGAAAAGCTCTCTTGCCTGCAGCCTTAGTGGAACTACTATCACGGCAGATGATCTTTAGACTCTGGGGACATAAGTCAGACACAGTCCCCAAGTAGACAAAGCAGCTTGGGGGCTCAGAGCACAGAGAAGGGGGCTCAGGAATAAGCTCTTCCATATTCCACAGCCTCATCTCACTGTAGCATTCTTAACCTCTGTTCCTTCACCTACTCCTCCCAATCTGAATACAAATATGCTTGGGGAAGATCAGAGGCAATCCTCAACTTTTGAACCTCTATAATCCGTACAACTGGAATTTTTATACATGTTACATTGATGCTCCTAAAATGGATTTTTATTTACTAGATTCGGACTCTCAGTCAGGAGGTGGGGTGGGGAGTCCCCTGACATTGCACTGTATATGCATTCTTCACCTACGTGTCAGCCTTTACCACCAGACCATGAGCTTCTTAAGGAAAAGAACAGTTTCTGACTCATGATTGTGCCCCTCATGTCCAGTACAGTGGCATGTAGTAAGTAGATGCACAACAAATCTCTGGTCGATGTGTTAGTTAGTTGGTTACTTTCAGTTAGTTGGTTATAAGGGGATTTGGAAACCTGATGACAATTGTGTTGAACAATGTTAGGATGATACAGCAGAAGAAAGCAAGTATAGGGTATTCTTGAAAAAAAAAAAGGCTGAGAAATACTTGTGACCTCACATGACATTCAACATATTTTATTAAATATTTGACTTAACCTCACTTCTAAATTTGTTAGGAGCAGGGCTGGTATCCTTCTCTCTCTGATTTTTGAACCACAAACAGAATCTGACATAAATTTTTTTTAAAGTATTCAATTTGATTGAATAATTCCCAAATCTTCTGTTTACAGTCCTTATTTTCTTTGGTTTCACTGTGGAAGCTGACAATAGTTATTCCCTTCTTCAAACTCCCCTCCTGCCGCCTCAGTGACTTGACGCTCCTGTTTTTTCCCAATCTCCTCAGTATTCCTGTCTCCTGTTTTTCCACCATTCTTGAATTGCAGACACTTCCAGACTTGGTTCTCAGCCCTCTCTTCTTTTCCCTTTAAATTCTCTTCTACCAAAAATATTATTGCTTAAGTTATTTCCTCTATGTGGATGACCCCAAATAATTACCACAAGCCCCGACACCTCTCACGCCTTCTCTTTCATGCTAAGCTACCACTTGCATGTCAGGAACCCAATGTGCCTTGGAGCTAAAAGAAGAAGAAAGGCACCATGAGGGCAGCATGTATGCACTCTCAAATGAATTTTCAATCTACCTCAGCTCAGCTGTTGGAAGATAGTGGGGCCACCATAAGGAAAAAAGTTTCAACTTTAAACACCAGGATTTTAACACAGAGGATAAAATCATGGTGACTTCAGGACCCCAGGGTTGTTTGTAATGAAGCATTGGCAAGTTGGCAGGATGGTTTGGAACTGGAAAGCCTCCGTCCAAACTACACTGGCTAGGACCCTTCACTCTCCCTCTCTCTGGTGTTTTCCTTGGGCTCAGGGTAGACTGCTGAAGCCACTTTACCTGAGGCCTAGTCCTGACTACTATAGTGTTCCCTGCCTTTGAATCTGCTCCTGACCAATTACTCTGGACATAGCTTTGTGAATTCAAACTCAGCTCCAAACCTAGGAATCTGGTTTCTGAACTTTCCCACTGAGAATGCTTCTTAGCCTCTTCTCACTTGAACTTTGCATGGTTAACCTCTAGCCTCGACCCTCAGGCTACATTAAAGAAGCTGCAGAACCCCAGGCTCCATTTCTAAAAAGTCATGCAATGGGTGGTATGACACTAAACTCACAGCTGTTCTAACTCATTTGCCCATAATTGCATATTGCCCTGTGACTTCTTTTGTAATTATTTCTTTGTATTATTATTTAGCTTTATGTTCTGTAGGACAGACTGCTAAATCACATTTTCCTTTTCTTTCTTTTCTTTTCTTTTTTCTTTTTTTTTTTTTGAGATGGAATCTCGCTGTGTCGCCCAGGCTGGAGGACAGTGGCGCGATCTAGGCTCACTGCAAGCTCTGCCTCCCAGGTTCATGCCATTCTCCTGCCTCAGCCTCCCGAGTAGCTGGGACTACAGGTGCCCACCACCATGCTCAGCTACTTTTTTGTATTTTTGGTAGAGACAGGGTTTCACCGTGTTAGCCAGGATGGTCTTAATCTCCTGGCCTCGTGATCCACCCACCTCGGCCTCCCAAAGTGATGGGATTATAAGCGTGAGCCACCACGCCCAGCCCACGTTTTCCTTTTCTTACAGAGTAATGGGCTTATAGCTGGGCACCAGGACGCCCAACTGTACACTCGGTTTTCCAGCCTCCTGGTACCTCCTTGCAGCTAGGGTGGCTGCGTGACTAAGTTCTTACCACTAGAATGTAAGCATAAATGAAGTGTGCTGCTGCCAGGTCAGCCCCAAAACAATGAAGGTGCCCTCCTCCATGCTCCTTTCCCTACCTGTAAGTTGGAACATAAACAGGCCTGTGATCCACTTTGAACACCCAGCAGGGAAAAGCCTTTGGGCAGCCTAAATCCACGTAGTCCATGGACTAGTTTCTATCAACAAGAAAATAAGTATAGAAATTGAAAATAAACACTCAGAAATGTTTATAGCAATTTAATTACTCTGATCTGATCAATCTGATCACTATATAGTACATGTATCAAAACATCACAATGTGCTGGGTGTGGTGGCTCATGCCTGTAATCCCAGCACTTTGGGAGGCCAAGGTGGGAGGATTGCCTGAGGTCGGGAGTTCGAGACCAGCCTGACCAACATGGAGAAACCCCATCTCTACTAAAAAGTACAAAATTAGCTGGGCGTGGTGGCACATGCCTGTAATGCCAGCTACTCGGGAGGCTGAGGCAGGAGAACTGCTTGAACAGAACCAGAACATGAGCTTGTTTTGGCTGCTCCTTGCAGCTTTTAGCAAGCGAGACAAGAAAGAGATGAGCTCAGGCAAGACTTTTTGCAAGTACGTAAGCAAAGGTGGAAAGGAATGGACAGTGTCCAGAAACGGAGGGCCTTGGAGAATCAGAAAAGTCAATTGCCCGTGTAGCTCCAAAGAGTAGAAAATAGTATTACCACTTGCAGCCTATCTCAAAGACCTCTCAGTAAACTGTTGCAAGGGACAATGCCAGGCAGGTCTGTAGTAATGATCAGAGTATGGGTGCATCTTCCCATCCAAGTCCATGCTGCAGAGGACCTCAGAGTACACACTACTGAAGAGAGGCAGAGAGATGAGCCAAGCATGCAAGCTGGAAAATAAGTCATGCTTAAGAGCTTGACCCAGAGTGGGATTTGGATGCGGTAACTGACCTGTGGAACTGACTAGCAGTCTATCAAGTTTATAAGGAATTGTAGTACCAGGGAAGCCACAGTTTGGCCCAGAAAGGCCCACGTTCATTCTCCCCCAAGGAGTACACACTTTCCACACCCTTCAAATGTGGCCACAGAGGGTACAGAAGAAGGAAGGACTTCCCAGGGGACAAAGACAAAGTCAAGGCTTCTGGGAGGCCCCACCCAGAGAGGGGAAGCATGGACCAACCATGGAACTGACTCCACTGCCAGGGCAGGGAGGTCTTAATAATTCCTGCCCAGCAGGGTTTCGTCATTTTTAGGCCCCTGTTACTTGTCTTCAATTCTTCTGAATGGGAAGTTTTATGGTGGTTTTCTTGTTTCTACTTGTCCACTGAATAGTGGATGTTTGTCAGAACAAAGAACAGAAAGGACATTTTAGAGTGAGTATTTAAAACAGAGGTTAGAGAAGGGATAGCCAGACCTGTGGAGTTCTGGGGTCACCTGCACGCTGAAGGAAAGCATGGCAGGTTGTGAGGCATGGTAGGGGCAGGATGGTGAGGGGAGGGAAGGGGAGGGGAAGCTTCAGAATCAGCTGGACCTGGGTCAGATGCAGGCGCATCACTTTTAGCAGTGGCTCTCACCTGGCACACTGCTGATCTGGCCAGAACCTTTTCCTTCTCTAAAACTGGCATAATCATGACAACTGTGTAGGATTGTTGGATGGACTAAATTAAAGCAATTATTTCTATAGTGCTTAAGGAAATGCTTAGTACACAGGATGCACTCAATAAATGGCAGACAGCACTTCCCAAGAAGGTTAGATAACTCAAAATTTCTAAAAAGTTTGGTGAAACATACAACTGGCATTCTGGGAGATTAACTGTTCATGCTCTAACACCTCAATTTAACAAGGAATGGTGACAAAATCATCCTGTAACTACACTAAAATAACTACAGTCCAAGAAAGAATGTCCCCCTGCCTGAGTATGGGCTCAGTGCTGCAGTGACTAAGCTTAAGACAGTACCACATTCACTCTGCTGTAGCTTGAAACAAAGCAGGGAGGCAGGATTGGAAAGGGGGAAGAGGAGGGAGAGGAGAAGAGAGGCAATGCAGTACAGCAGAAGAACACAGGATTTAGGTCCAAACACTAGCAGATAAGCAGGTGAGCCGAGTATTTAAAGAGCATGGCCCCCACAGCTAACATCATACTCAATGGTGAAAAACTGAAAGCTTTTGCTCCAAGATGAGGAACAAAGCAAGGATGCCCACTCTTATCACTGCTATTCGACATAGTATTGGAAGTCCCAGCCACAGCAATTAGGCAAGAAAAATAAATAAAAGTCATACAGATTGGAAACAAAGAAGTAAAATTATCTCCGTTCATCAACAACATGATCTTATATGAAGAAATCACCAAAGATGCCACCAAAACACCCATTAGAACTAATAAACTAATTCAGTAAAGTTGCAGGATACAAAATGCACATACAAAAATCAGTTGCATTTATTTCTATGCACTAACAACAAACAATCCAAAAAAGGAAATTATGAAAACAATTAAATTCACAATAGTATTAAAAAGAATAAAACCCTGACAAATAAACTTAATCAGAAAGGCAAAAGACTTATACACTGAAAACTATAAAACACTGATAAGGAAATTTTTAAAGACACAAATAGAGGTAAATACATTTCATGTTCATGAATCAGAAGACTTAATACTGTGAAAATGTCCATACTACCCAAAGCAATCTATAGATTCAATGCAATCCCTACAAAAATCTGAATGGCATTTTTTACAGAAATATTAAAAAATCCTAAAATTCATCTGGAACTACAAAGGACCCTGAATAGCTAAAACAATCATAAGAAAGAAGAACAAAGCTGGAGGCCTCACATTTCCTGATTTTAAAACATACTACAAAGCTATGTATGGTAGTATGGTACTGGCATAAAGTCCAACATATAGACCAGTGGAAAAGACTAGAGAGCCCAAAAATAAACCCACACATACATAATCAACGGATCTTTGACAAGGGTGCCAAGAATTCACAATGGAGAAAAGATAGTCTCTTCAACAAATGGTGCTATACATATGTAACAAACCTGCACGTTGTGCACATGTACCCTAGAACTTAAAGTATAATAATAAAAAAAAATGGTGCTAGAAAAAAATAGATACTCACATGCAAAAGGGCATGGCCCTGGAGATAGCCAGACTGAGTTTAAAGCCTTGCTTACCAACAAGTTAGTTATCTTCTCTATCTTAATTTCCTCATCTACAAAACGGGGATAATAAAGGTAACTTCCTCCTAAGGCTGTTAGGAGATTTAAAGGTGCTTAGACTAGCCCCTAACAAACAGTTCTAATTTAATTATTGTTATTATCAGTGGGATCTGAGAAATGGAGCCTCGATTTCCTTTTTTGTAAAAGGGAGATAAGATCTAACTTGTCAGGTTAGTGGGACAAAGTGAATGACGTAGCAAATGTAAAGCCCCAGTCCACTTCAAGGTCTAGAGGAGTCAGAGAAAGTCCACTGAGCTCCACGGTGAGCTTGTTCCCAAAAGGCTGGGGAAAAGGGACCCCAACAGAGAATATTGGGAAGAGGAGACCAAAGGAAGAATCCTTTCCCTCACACTGGGTGGGTCACCACAATAACACCCTAAAGCCAAAGCCTTCTCTCTTCTACCAATCTAGTCAGAGAGTCACTAGCTGGTGTTTTTCATTACCTTTTAGTCCCAGAGTCCCAGATGAATGTGTACAATCAGGAAAGAGGGGTTTAGCCAGCTGGGTTGAAAACCTAATGTTTAACATTCTTACTATGTTACCATACTTCCTCTAAACCACTCCTTCAGGATCTTGGAGTAATCCACCAAAACACATTCACTGATATACTAGTGAACAAATTTCAAAGTTTACATCTCTTTCCCCATTTGATCCCACAGTGAGATGGGCAGTTCAGCATTCTCCATTTTACAGAGAAGAAATGTAGAAATTGGGGACTGATTCACCCTGACCAGCCCTCATCCTTCTGGCCCAGGGATTTTTTTGTTTTTTTTTTTTTTAAACAATACTGACCACTGGAGCCTCTTTTTGGAAGCAGTCTCTGCCACCTGACCCCCAGAGAAATGTAAGACGTAGATTTGTTCTCCATAATGACATTAATGCCTTTTGCAAACATTTACTGAATCTAGAAGAAATATAATTGCAGAAAGTAAAAAGTTTCCTCTTCAAAGTTTCCCTTCTTGTTAAATAATAAATCATAAATGTTAGAAATAATAGTTTCTTTTAAAATTTTTCTTCAAGCCTCCTTGCTTTGTGCTAATAACTCTTTGTTAAGCATGTAGCTGTTGGACATGCTCACAGGCATGTTCCAGCTCACAGCCTATGCCCCTTTCTTATTTGGAAATGTTATTACTTCTTTAAATTTTTCAAAAGCAACTTCCTCTTTTCCTTTGTTCTCCCTTGCCTTTACCTATCTAAAAAAGTTTTAGGCTCTTAGCAAATCGGGTATCAGTTTAGACTGTGAGGTTCGGCTCCAGCCAGTGGATGCAGGACACAGCAGTGAGGACAACCCAAATGTGTAAGGGATAAATATGTCTGCTTTTCCTTTGTTTGGTGTACTCTCGTGGCAAGACTGCTGGTGAGTATACCCTTTCCGCAGAAAGTAAAAATTGCCTTGCTGAGAGAATTAAATTTATGTTCAAGCGCTATTTCTTTGTGGCACCGGGGAACAAGCATTTTGCATTTCTAACATAATGATTGTGGTAAATGTCAATAAAAATCTTGAAGCACATCTCTCCTTAGAGTTTTTGGTAAGAGTTTATGGAGGAAAATCTATATAATCAAATGAAAATATCACAGTAAAACTCTAAATGCATCATAGAAATTAGCAACCATTAGTCAGTTTGCCTGTTTCAGAGAAAGCTCAGAAGAAACTCAGTTTACCTCTACAATGTTAAATGATGTTAACACCTTCTCCTAAAGCATTTTACTTTCCCCATCAACAAAACAGAGTATATCAGCTGAAATAGGCCACAGACCTCATTGTCTGTCTGTACGAAACTGGGGCAAAAATGAACTCAGAAAGACAAGTAATAACCTGGTAGCAATCCATGGAAAGTTAACCTTGCTGACATTCCTCTTCACTTCCCTCTGTTGGATGTTCCTGGAATTTGCATTTGTGGAAAGTTGCATACTTGCAGTGAACAAGTTCCACTGGTCCTGTTGTAGTGGATTCCACCTAACCTTTTATTCCTCTCATCCCTGTCCAGCTAACGTTCTCTCACTGTTCAGCATATGTACGTCAAAGACAGAAGTGCATGAAGACATGTGTAAAGATGCAAAATTCCCCCAGGAAACTCATTATCTAGAGCAGCCAGGGCCAATCCTCTCCTCCTCCCAGGGATTCCTAGCAATATCTGGAGACATCTGCATCAGTCATGACTTGGGGGAGGGGGGTACTATTGGCATCTACCGGGCAGAGGCCAGGAATGCTGCTGCACACGCTACAATGCACAGGCCAGCTCTCCACAACAGAGAAGTATCCGGTCCAAAATGTCAGTGGTGCTAAGGTTGAGAAATCCTGACCTAGAGGGTGAGATGAGACATATAATACAGGGTTAAGTGTGGCAGAGCTGTAATAGAGCTAAAACTGGAGTGCTATCAGATTGATAACATTTAAACAAGCGGCTATTACTTGCCAACAAGTGTTGGCAAGAATGTGGGGAAAATAGTACCCTCATAACATGTTGGTGAGAATGTAAACTGATAGAACTTTGGGGGAAGGCAATTTGGCAATATCTAATGAGACTTTAAAATATATACACTATTCCTCTTTGCTTTCCTTCCATTCCTATTTTCTTTCTTCCTTTCCCTTCTCTTTTCTTCCTTCCCCAGAACACAGCAATCAGCATGTAGCTGGGAATGCAACGTGAGGCTGGGGAGTTTGGGGAGGTACATAGAGACATGAGCTATGGCTGGGAAGAGCTGTGAGCTAGAGGGACTGGAGACTGATGATTAAGCTACATAGAGACACAGGCTAGCAGGCCTGGCAGCCGAGGACAAGAGGCAGTGGCAAAGGTGGTGGACACAGAGGAGGCAGGATGACCTTCACATTTGTAAGACTGGTTACTGTATGCAAATAAGCAAAAATATTGAAGATAATGAGAGTCAGGTTTTCTAACTGCCAGAGAAGATATGTACAAACATATAAAGGGGGAAGAACAGAAAGCTCTTTGGGTGTTAGATTGAAATTGTAGGTATAAGTATGAATCATGATTTTATAATACACAGCCTAATATAGAAAAATTTATAAATGTGTGTACACATATACACATATATTTCCTAGCTCTGTCCTCTGAGAGATCTAGAAGCAATAATACCCCAGTAACAATGGGCACATCAACCTCCTATGTATTGGTGTCTAAATACAATTCTCATATTGCATATTAGATCTCAAGACTTATTCATCCTACATAACTGCAACTTCGTACCTTTTAATCTACATCTTCTGTTTTTCCCTGTTTCCACTAATGTACAACACAAGGACTACAGTTACTAATACTGTATTGAGGCTGAGCATGGTAGCTCATACCTGTAATCCCAGCACCTGGGATGCCAAGGCAGGAGGATGATTCAAGGCTGGAGTTGGAGGCCAGCCTGGGCAACACAGCAAGACCCCTCCTCTAAAAAATATTTTTTAAATTAGCCGGGAATGGTGGTGAGCACCTGGAGTCCTAGCTACTTGGGAGGCTGAGATAGGAGGACTGCTCAAACCTAGGAGTTAGAGGCTGCAGTGAACTATGATCACGCCACTGCACTCCAGCCTGTAGTACAGAGCAAGACCCTGTCTCTAAAAAAATTAAAATTAATAAATATTGTATTCTGCTAATTTGCCAAGAGAGTAGATTTTAGGTACTCTTATCACAAACACAAGAAAGGTAACTATGATGGGCATGTCAATTTGCTTGACTGTAGTAATTACTTCATTACATCTATGTTTATCAAGATAAATACATGAAAATATCATGTTGTATGCCTTAAATATATAAAATATAAATAAGACAAAAGTACCATTCTCTACTAAAAGGGAGGCCTAACTAGGTCAAGGAAAGTAGAAGATGAGTCCAGATGATCTGGTGGAGCCAGAAAATAAAGAAATGCTCAATGAATAATAGGGATGTGTTAAAAGGACACAGGAGGCAGCTCCAAGGGGTCCCCATTGGCCAAATTGAGCACAATTTGAGCATTAAAATAAAAAACAATCGTGAGACTTCAACTTATTGAATACATAAGGAATCCATGAACAGTTCTTAGTAAAAACATAACAGAAAAATAAAGTTCTTCCTTATAGTAGTATGCCAACTAACAAATGTAGAAAGAGTGACGGTGATAAAGAATCATCACTTGAGGCTGGGTGCAGGGGCTCATGCCTGTAATCCCAGCACTTTGGGAGGCCAAGGCAGGTGGATCACTTGAGCTCAGGATTTCGAGACCAGCTTGGGCACCATGGTGAAACCAACTCCATCTCTACAAAAAATACAAAAAAAAAAAAATAAGCCAGGTGTGGTAGTGTGCACTTGTAGTTCCAGCAACTTGGGGGGCTGAGGCAGGAGGATCACTTGAGCCCAGGAGGTTGGGGCTGCAGTGAGCCAAGATCATGCCACTGCACTCCAGCATGGCAACAGAGTGAGACCTTGTCTTAAAAAAAAAAAAAAAGAATCACCATTTGGCAACATTCATAGAGGTGGCTGATTCAGGCAGACGTCATCAATAAATGGTAGTTTCTGTAGGTACAGGTTTAATGAGGAACAGGCTATTTGCATAACCCTAGAATAGTTCCCCACAAACACTAGTACAAAGGTGTTTTCAAACACCTTTGGGGAAACAAAGGGAAACGAAGGAAAAATGGCGAATTTAAGGTGAAGAAATCTGGCAAACACCAACATAACCAGGTGATTGAGGTCAATATCCCAGCAGTGGGATGGGTTGGCACCATGTGCCTTCTGTTGTAAGAAGCTAAGAAGAGCTGAGTTTCATTTCTGAAGGATTCCTGCCAAGAATGCATGACCTCAGTCAGGCTGTGAAGAAATACCCAATACAGCCAGGTTGGGAGTCATCCTACAGCATGTAGGACCTATACAACTGCAAACACTTTAGGAACAGGGAAAGTCTGAGGAACCGTTCCAGAAGAGACATGGTAACTAAATGTAACATGAATCCTAGATCAGACAGGTAGAAGAGACATTTGGGGGATAACTGACGAAATAGGAATGGGCTCTGTGGATTGGATGATAGTGTTTTGTATCAATGTCCATTTCCTGATTTGATGGGTGTACGCTGGTTATATAGGAGGACAGAGTGCTTGCTTTTTTTTTTATGCTGGAGTGTTTTCAAGAGTGATGGAGAATAATGTCTATGACTTCCTCTCAGAATAAAGACTGATGATGTATATTTTATATATATATATATACATACATACACACACACACACACACACACACACACAGAGAGAGGCAGAGACAGAGAGAAGGAGGGAGGGAGAGAGAGGGAGAGATTGAGATTTCAAACCTAATGCCATGGAGACATAGAAAAAGATTATACTACTTATTTTCTCTTCACCAGACCCATGTGATAGTTTTTGTCCAGAGAAAGGCCTTCCTTACCCCCATTCGACGAACTGACTTACTAAAAATCAAACAGGGCAGGAGGTAAATGATTCACTGATGTGCTCCCAATAAATTCTATACTTGATCCCTTGCTTTGGTTTTCTATAACTAGTCACTGCCAATGGCTTTGAGTCTTAACTCTGGCTTTCTACCTCCTTAGGGAGTGAATGCTGCTGATAGACTCCGCTGCCTATCTTTGAATTACATGGTCTGAGTCTGTCTGGGGGCAGCTCCAGAATTTCTACAGAGGATGTGCTTCGGGATAGCTTGGCTTAAAAGGGGAGACCAGGGGCTTGCCTTAAAGCTGCATTTATAAAGCAAATACACTGCTTTTATTTAGACCGCATGTTTGCTTGGAAGGCCTTTGGACCAAATAGTGCACTTATGGAGGGGCTAATGTGCCCTCCAACCCAGCCCTGCCACCTGCCAAGCCATCCCTTGATAACTGGTCAATCTGCACATGGGTGAGTCAAGGCCAGGGCTAGTAGAAGCTCCAGCTTAATGTCCCAGGGAACAATGTAGACACAGGACTAGCTGATGAGTAATTAGAGGGGTTGATGAACATCCTCAGGAAGGGGTGGGGCAGGCTGTGCTGGGCAGGTTGCTTTCCACAGTGACACCCAGTCTGGCCCAGCCTGAGGTGTACAAATGATTCACATCTGAAGAGGGGTGACAGAATCATGGGAGTAGGGCAGTATCAGGGGTCATGGGCAAGGGAGGAGTTCAAGGTTGTAGATACACAGGACAAGAGGCCAGCCAAGGAAGAGGAATAAAGAGGAGGACATAAGACTGGGGGTGATGAAGAGAGGGGTGGGTATAACCCAGGATGTCAGAACCTTCCCCTCAATGGTACTAAATCCCCTCCCCCACCCTCCAGCTGGCTTGCCAGGACAGGTAGAGAGCAACAAATATCTTTCAGACTGAATTAAGTAATTAGCTTAATTTGGGGGTGGGGGAGCAATGCCTTTGGTCAGTTTAGAACTTTGCAGAGTAAACTAGAGACCCAAGTCAGCAAGAAGGCACAGGGGAGTGAGGATGGTATAGGTGGACCCAATACATTGTCCAACATTGCCATCAGCACCCTCCTCCTGACCTGTGGGATGGGTGGTGGCCAGCTGTTTGTGTTTGTCCACTAAGAACTGAGATGCGCAGACAGTACAGGTAATTCCAACACGAAATTAAAGCTTCTTTGGAACTTTGCCCTATGCCTTCGATCATGTAGTGTTGGGTAACCTCAGTCCTGAAATTTAACTTCCTCTCATATTCCCCACAGAGCAGTTTCTCAACCTTTGATGCTATTTCCTCCTCGAAGTCCAGTATGATGTCAGAGGACGGGAGAGAGGAATATGGAAGAACTGCAGCAGTGCCCCCTTAGCACTCAAAACATGCTTGTGGAGATACTGCCAACCCCCAATAGCCAGAGCTGAGTGGGCCTGCCTGGGGTGGCCCACATCTGGATGTCCTGCCTCTTTAATTCCAATGTTTATGCACTCTTCACAGGGTACAAAGCTCTTTCACGTACATAAGTTAATGGAACTCATTAACAATCCATGTAGACAGGTAGAAAAGTAATTATTATCCCCACTATATAAATGAAAAAAACTTAAACATGACAATCTATTCAGGGTCACAAGAACTCACAAAAGTGGGACTAGGATTCAAAGACAGAACCCTGTGCTCCAAGTACCTCTAGTCCACCGTTTGTAAAAGCACAAAGTCTCTGCACTTATGCAGATAGCTCCCCAGCCCCATCACCACCTCTGCCATCCACAGCAGGACTGAGTTCCAGGTGACTCCTCCACAAATACAGAATCCAGGATGAGGAACAAAGGATCATCAAGGCCGGAAAGGGGGAGGCTCAGTACCTGCAGGAGGAATGACGAAGGGAGGAACAAAAGGCCCATGGCCAGGAAAAGAGAAAGCAAGTAAGAAAAGTGTGTATAACATCTCTAAGTCATCTAAGGCTTAGAAATCTTTGCACTTTTACCAGAATATACATTTGCACCCATGTTTACACAAGTGTTAATACTTAAATTTTTATCTAGGAGGAAAAGAGGGCAACCAGCATTTAAGGAGTACTTCCTGTATATGAGAGACCATGCTCAGTGCTTTCTCTTTTAATCTTGGGAGATGGATATAATCTTCATTTTTACAGATGAGGAAATTAAGACTTAGAGAGGTGAAGCTATGTGCCCAAGGTCACAAAGCTTGGACTGGAACAAAAGCTGGTCTGACTGCAAAGCCTTGGTCTTCCATTTATACTGCATTAATAATGCCTTGGGCCTGGTCTCTGCCATCTAGAATCCTGCAAACAGACTTAACCACTCTGTTGGGTATAATCACAGGCCAGAAAGCATTTGAACTAATGTATACTCCAAGGAGAATGGCTAATGGGTAATCTGAGGTACAGTAATTCCCATTTCAGTTATAGTGATTCCCCTTGCCCCAGCCCAAAGAAATAAGAGGCGGGTCTTAAGTTATCACGCACTGCTGCTCCTCAGCAGCAGGCTGAGAAACTTGGGGGAGAAGCAGCCAGCCTTAGGCATGTGTGTATAAGTGATGTTGAGAGTGTGTGTCTGGGTGCTGCCTGGCTACAATGCTGTGTGTGCATTTCTTCCACTGTGCACGTGTGTTTCTGAAAAATGAGATGGAGAGTTAACATGCTGTAGTTTCTTAAACAGATTCCGGTGAACACACATGAAAAACAATCTCATACTTTAATGTTTTAAATTCAGTCTCCATTCATAGAAAACATATGCAGGCCTGTTCTAACAAATATCTTGCAGAACAGCAAGATATCTAAAATAGGTCTGATCTGATAAAAAAAAAAAGAGTGGTAGTTGATAAATGCAATTGAAAGGTTTAGACAAGAGGAGTGTCATATGTAATTAAATCAAAACCTCAAAGTTTCAAATTCTAAAGACAAAGAAAAAATTTTTGCCAAAATGACCTATTTTCTTAGTTATATGATAGTGACAATCAATGTAAGTGTTGTCCAAATAGTTAGACGTCCAGATCTCCACAGGATAACTAGTTCCTTGCTGTCTCAAGGCACAAGAGACAACTCTGGAAGCTTATCTCAAGTACACAACTCTGACTGGCAGGGTTTGCTCGCTCGTCTTTTTAGTATAGTCCAGTTTGTTTAGACAAGCCTGGGGTTAACAGAGCCAAGGTGTGTGTTTCTAACCGTATCACTTCTGTCCCAAAAAGAGGAAAACTCTGTTTACTGGACTCAGGCCACTAAATATCAGATCCACTGCCCATGGAAAGCAGGGTTAGCAACTGTTGATGGATCAATGGAAAATCCAGCAACTCTTCTCAGCGATACAAAAGTCCATGCATTAATGAAACGTTGTGCGGTACATGGAATTTGTAAAGAGGAGATTGATTGTCTGTCTGTAATTGACATTTACTTTATTCTCTGATACAGACTAAGTTGGAACCGTGAGAAAGCCCTTTATTTCTAAACGGCATCTCAAGACCAGGTAATGCTACTTTCGGAGGAAAAGGAGGAAGAAAAGCGTTGTAATGACAATAACAAATTACGGGGGAAACATTTCGTGGAAATTACTCAGTTTAAAAAACTGACCTAGCCGGGCGCAGTGGCTCACACCTGTAATCCCAGCACTTTGGGATGCTGAGGAGGGTGGATCACGAGGTCAAGCGTTCGAGATCAGCCTGGCCAACACAGTGGAACCCCGTCTCTACTAAAAATACAAAAAATTAGCCTAGCGTGGTGGTGGGCGCCTGCAATCCCAGCTACTAGGGAGGCTGAGGCAGGAGAATCGCTCGAACCTGGGAGGCGGAGGTTGCAGTGAGCCGAGATCGCGCCACTGCACTCCAGCCCGGATGATAGTGCGAGACTGTGTCTCAAAAATAAATAAATAAATAAATAAATAAATAAATAAATAAATAAATAAAAACTAACCTACAAATGCTTTTCAGGGCCATTTTAATGATTACCTTAATAAGACTAAATTGTTTCCAATATTCACAGTCACTCCTCAAATTACATGCGTGCGGAATTTCTAAGCAATTTTGTGTAGCTGCAACTTGTTGAGGGAAAGCAATAAAGTAACTCTGCTACAGAACAAAAGCACTTTTGTCTCGTGGTGGTGAGGGGGCATACCCTGAACAAACAACCCCGACAGTGTTGCTAGTTACTAGTTCCCGAATCTCTAGAAGCCTGCACATGGTTCAAGCTGTTCCCCAGCGGACACAGCACAGTACCAGATGTAACTGGAGGCTGAAAAATGTTATATCCCTAGGCTTCACGAGAGAACCCCAGTTTCCTAATCACCATCGATGGCAATGAGACTGAGTTTGGAAAGAACCACGTGTGCAAAGGCAGACGCAACCCGTGCGGCGCTCTCCTGGCCTCTGCGCCCAGCCCGCCAGCCCTCAGCAGCGGACGCAACGCCGATTTTGCATCTAGATTGCTTTTTGCTCCTAGCGGGGAAAAAGGTGGGAAAAGAGCAAGTTGTGCCATACACCCGCCGGGAGAGTCTTGTCCCGGGGTTTGGAGTGGGTCTGGAGCCCAGGCTTGCACGCCAGGCAACCCCGAAAAGCCGCAGGCTAGAGCCCTGCAGGCGCCGCTGCGCCCCGGCCTCCCCACGACGCACGCCCTGGTGACTGCGGCTCGGGGTACCCTCCCTGCGCCCGGACCCTCACTCACCGCTCACGTTCACCCGCGCCGCCGAGCCCGGGAGCGGGGGCCCCTGCGGCTGCCGCATGCCCTCGGGGTCGAGCGCGACGGGGCGACCGGGCGCCGGGCTCCAGCCGGGCGCGGAGAAGCAGCGGAGGACGCGGCGGGCGGGCGGAGCGCCTCCTCTCCAGCGACCCCTGCGACGCGTCCAGAGCCAAAGGAAAGTTTGGCGGTGCGAGGGAGGGACCTAGGGACAGCGGCCCCTCCCTGCCCCGCCCCGCCCCGCCGGGTGCGTTCGACGTTCCCACTGGAGAGCGTCCCCAACCTGCAAGGCCGCGAGCTGCGCTCAAAGGGGCCCGTGCGAGCCGCGGGAGGGCAGCGCTCTTGCAGACGCGTTCCTGCCTGGGATCGTCCCCAGGTGGGTGGTCGGCCGGCCCCGAGAGGGAAAAGCGCCCACTAAAGGACCGCTAGTACCCACAAGCCTCACGGAGCCATACCTCGGAGCTCCGTATTAGAACGCAGTCCCTCTGCCCCTCTGTCCTCAGAGATTTGTTTGAAGTGGCTGCGGGAAGTGCAGCCCACACCCACCACCCCCGTGGGAGGCAGGCTCTACTCCAAGCCCGACCTAACGCTGGAAACCTCAACCCCAAAGCTACCCGAGGGTGCGGACAGCCCCCAGAGGCAACCAACAATATTTAAGGTTCTTGTAAGAGGTTTCTTGGCCTCCTGGGGCAAATAGTCCTGGATACTTTGTTTTTCAAAGCTGAAATATAAAACCTCCACTGACCCACCTTTAGTAAAGAAGAAAGATGCAAAGTAAAACAAATGTCATGAAGGCATTGTTCTCTCTGAATTCTGCAAAGCAATAACGAAGTCACAGAAATGTTCAAAGTTGTGCTTTCCTGGTGACCTTACAAAAAGGAAATACTGTGAGGTGAAGTCCTTCCCACTCAGACTTCAGGCCCTTAGGAAGCAATGAGAGTTGTGTGCCCAGATGTCTTCCTGTGACCCTTTGCCATCCATCCATCCGTTCATTCATTCATCTTGCATTCACCATTAATACTGCGCCCTTCTGTGTGCCAGCTAGGAACCTCATCCTTGCAAACAACCTGTTAGATAATCTGTCCCCTACCATCAAAGAGATTCTGTTTTCTCTGCAGAGGATGTTTTAATAAGGTTACGTCCCTTACTCCGTGGGTCTTATCCTATAGACCATAATAGCCTAATGTGCCTCAAACCTCCCCGGGGCTACAGCTAAGTTTTCATCAGCATGTGAAAATTATTGTTTCATCTAAGTGTTCAGAAAATTATTGCGGTGTCTTGCAGTTGAACTGTGTAGAGAGAAGTACAACTTGCGAAGCTAGGGCTAAAGAAAGATCATGTGTTTACTTTTACAAGCAGAAGCTTTGCATATGATAAAAAAGCTCGGTGGCAAACATGGTGAAAACCCGTCTCTACTAAAAATACAAAAAGCCGGGCGTGGTGGCACGCACCTGTAATCCCAGCTACTCTGGAGGCTGAGGCAGGAGAATCGTTTGAACCTGGGAGGCGGAGGTTGCAGTGAGCCGAGATCGCGCCACTGCACTCCAGCCTGGGCGACAGAGCAAGACTCCGTCTCGGAGGGGCGGGGGTCGGAAAGAGCTCTCTCTGTCAAGGGAGAGAACAGCTCAGCTCAAACATCACGGTGCTGAAGGGCAACCTGGTAAACACAGAAATACTCAACCACCAGCATTTACTGAATACTTGACGCAACAAAGGTGTAGTATGTTGAGTAAGATGTTGCAGGCTAGACTGTAAACACCACTAAGAGCCTTCTTTTGCTGGGAAAATCTGTTCTGAATCCAAACAACTTACTAACAAAGGCACTTGGGAAACACATTATGTTGCATTATGTTGTACCTTGGGAACTTCCTGAACTCGAGGTAATTGCAAAGCAGAACAGGGATCCCACAGAGTTGAATCTGAATCCTTAAAAAAGGAGGAAAGTGAAGAGGGCATGGGGAGCTGTGTTGCAAAAGGAAAGAGACTTTCCAGATAGATGGTTTTTAACAGCTAGATGGGTCAGATGTGAGGGGAAGGCCAGAAGGTGTTACAGAGAAACAGATTCAGAGAGGAAAAGCAGTGATAAACAAACAAACAAACAAACACCTATGGGGAGAAGCAGGAAAAGAAAAGACGAGGCAAACGACAACTAAAAAGAAAGATGTGGCCCCCAATTCCTAGTTTTTAGAAGGTAGCCCAGGGATTATCCACCAGAACCTCCTACAAATCCTTGTTTGGCCTGTGGTGTCTCACTTCTCTACCGAAATGTTTTTATTAGCAAAGCCAAATTAAAATTAACATCAAAATGGCAAGGATGAAGGCTGAGGGTGTATTTTGTCTTAGAGATCACTGGCTGGAAAGTCATTCAAAACTTTCAACAAACATTTGCTAGTCAGCTTCATGTATACAAGTGTTGTGTTTTGTGTTCCTGGAAACACAAAGAGTTATAACGTTGTTTCTATAAGGAGGTAAAAGGGGCATTCCACAGTGCTTGATAGAATGAAATTGTGATGGCTGAAAGAACAATTGGGGGTGGATGTGGTGGCTCACGCCTGTAATCCCAGATATTTGGGAGGCCAAGGTTGGTGGACCACTTTAAGGCCAGGAGTTCAAGACTAGCCTGGCCAACATGGTAAAATCCCATCTCTACAAAAAATACAAAAAATTAGCCAGGCATGGTGGTGTGCACCTGTAATCCCAACTACTTAGAAGGCTGAGGCCAGAGAATCGCTTGAACCCAGAAGACAGAGGTTGCAGTGAGCTGAGATCACACCACTGCTCTCCAGCCTGGGTGACAGAGTGAGACTCTGTCTCAAAAAACAAAGTAAGTTTAAAAAACACAAAACTGCCTGCCTCCTTCCACAGTGAGAAGCAATGTGGGACTCAGGCAAGGCTTCCTCCTCTCTGGATTTATGGAAAGAGGCCATGTTCCTCTGTCCCCAGCTCACCTTGGGGCTTCAATCATATGGGCAGGAATTCACAGATGTGTTGTTCTTAACTTTGGGAAGTATCTGAACTGAATCTCTGCTGAATTTTGCTCATCTATACTAATTAGCAATGAGGATGCCTACAGCAGGTGGATAGTGTGAGAAAGTGGAATGGGAGCTGTAATGTGAGAGATGAAAGTGGTACCTGAAATAACAGTTCTGAGAAAAGACTGAGCAAACAGTTAACTCCATAGAAACTACTGGCAAAGAGAGTACAAGAATGGTAGGTGGCCCTGTGGAGTATCTCTCAGTAGTATATGAGTGACTTCAATTGAAAGTCATGGAAATAGTCCATAAATAAAAAAATCAAAAATAAAAACCAACATGTTGAAAAAACAGAATCTAAGGTAAGCTCCCTGTTTTACTCGGTTTCTGGTTCATTGTAATTTCATGTACATTCACTTGAGTATTACTTTAGCATACGTGTGAGCTTGGCTAGTGTGATACTGTAGGCAAATATTGTAATTCTCAAGGGGAAGTTTCAAGCAGAAAATAGGAAGCTAGCATTGTAAATCTTTTACAAATCCTTTCTAAAGAGCATTGGAGATTATGGGATGGAAAGTGATAATCCACCACTACTACAGTAAGCATGCTTTAGAGCAGTCACTCAAGACAAAACACCCTAAAGCTCCCATCCAAGCAGGCTTTACTTTCACATCTACTTTACCTACCTTCCAGTTTTGAGGAAATTCTATCTGGAGACAATAATTGAGGTTTTCTTTTAATACCATTCCTTATTGCCCTCATGACTACTCAGCTCACTGAGGCAAGAGAATCTATTTTTTCTGAGAGCATTTATCAAGGGTGGACACAAAAACAACAAAACAACCACCAAAAAAAAACAACAAATTTTTAAAAGAAAAAACAAAGCGGACCTGGCATGCCTATAACCTCAGCATTTTGGGAGGCCAAGGTGGGCAGATCACTTGAGCCCAGGAGTTCAAGACCAGCCTGGGCAAGAAGACAAAACCCCGTCTCTACAAAAAAAATACAAAAGTTAGCCAGGCATGGTGATGTGCACCTGTGGTCCCAGCTACTCAGGAGGCTGAGGTGGGAGGATTGCTTGAGCTCAGGAGGTAGAGGCTTCAGTGAGCCATGATTGTACCACTGCACTGCAGCCTGGGTGACAGAGCAAGACCCTATCTCAAAAAAAAAAAAAAAGTAAGAAAAGAGAAAGAATAAAAGAAATCAATTCTCAGCTTGTAAATAGATTTTTTAAAATTCATAGCAGAAAAACTAATCTTAAACACCAAGGTTTGTGATTTTGCAAAAGATGGGTTTTCTGGAGCTTCAAAGGGCTAAGTGCAGAAAGAAGTGAAACATGAATGTTTTGTCCATAAACAGTCAATTAGAAGAGAACAGATGAAGAACCAGACCACCCTCCCTGGAGGTTAGATAGGGTTTCCTGACCTGGGGAGGAGAATTTGAATTGAAGAAGAGATAGCACTGAAAGCCATGAGCATGGTATTTCTGACCTCTCACCACTCCTCAGGCTAAGTTATTAGGGACACTTAGGTCTCCGCTCAAGTTTAGGAACCCAGGAATAAAGTGGTAGATTGCATTATTATTTAAAAATATATTGGCTCGGTGCGGTGGCTCATGCCTGTAATCCCAGCACTTTGGGAGGCAGGGGTGGGTGGATCACAAGGTCAGGAGATCAAGACCATCCTGGCTAACACGGTGAAACCTCATCTCTACTAAAAATACAAAAAATTAGCTGGGCATGGTGGCAGGCGCTTGTAGCCCCAGCTACTCAGGATGCTGAGGCAGGAGAATGGCATGAACCCGCAAGTCGGAGCTTGCAGTGAGCCGAGATCATGCCACTGCACTCCAGCCTGGGCGACAGAGCAAGACTCTGTCTCAAAAAATAAAAAATAAAAAATATATAAGCTGCCCCTGGCTGGAAGCAGTGGCTCACGCCTGTACTCCCAGGACTCTGGGAGGCTGAGGCGGGCAGACCACGAGGTCAGGAGATCAAGACCATCCTGGCTAACACGGTGAAACCTCATCTCTACTAAAAAAAAAAATAATTAGCCAGGCATGGTGGTGGACGCCTGTAGTCCCAGTTGGTTGGGAGGCTGAGGCAGGAGAATGGCATGAACCCGGGAGGCAGAGCTTGCAGTGAGCCAAGATTGCACCCCTGCACTCCAGCCTGGGCGACACAGCGAGACTCCATCTCAAAAAATTAAAATAAAAATAAATAAATAATATAAGCTGCCCCTTTCCAGAGGAGAATTCAACTTCTCTGCCTTATTGATGTCAGGTTTATCCATTTGACTTGCTTTAGCCAATAAAATGTGAGCTTTTCTAGCCAGCACAAGGTTCATTTTATTCTCTTTTTCCTCTACCCTGATATCAGCAATATCAGCTCCACCAGCCTGGATCTAGGAGAGCACAAGGCATGGAGAAATACCATGGCTGACCCAGGAAGGCCAGGCGAGTGAAAAATAAACCTTAGTCTTTCTAAGCCACTGAGATTTGGGGAGCATTTGTTACCACAGCATAACGCAGATGACCCTGACTGATACAAATAGAGAAGAGGTCCCCAACCTTTTTGGCACCAGGGACCGGTTTTGTGGAAGACAATTTTTCCATGGACAGGGGTGGGGGATGGTTTCAGGATGATTCAAGCACATTGCATTTATTATGCACTTTATTTCTATTATTATTACCTTGTAATATATAATGAAATAATTATACATCTCACCATAATGTAGAATCAGTGGGAGCCCTGAGCTTCTTTTCCTGCAACTAGACAGTCCTATCTGGGGGTGATGAGAGACTGTGACAGATCATCAGGCATTAGATTCTCATAAGGAGCCGCACCTAGATCCCTCGCACGTGCAGTTCACAATAGGGTTTGTGCTCCTATGAGACTCTATAATAATGTCACTGGTAAATCTCACAGGAGGTGGAGCTCAGGCAATAATTCAAGTGATGAGGAGTGGCTGTTAATACAGATGGCGCTTTACTCACTGGCCCACTGCTCACCTCCTGCTGTGTGGTCCTGTACCTAACAGGCCAAGGACTGGTACTGGTCTGTGGCCCCAGGGTTAGGGACCCCTGAAATATTGTACTGTGCCCTGCTTTCCATCTGAGACTTGGATAGAAAATATTAATGGAAGTGCTTCATACCAACCTGATATGGGGAGCAGCAGTACTGAAGTGGTGACATGGCAGAAATAGACACAGGAGGGACTGAATCCACAGTTTCCTGTGAGCCCCAGAGTGATGGAGAATAGCACTCAAGTCAGTTCTTTGCTGCTAAATACCTAAAAGGAAACCTGGGTGGTGAATGCAGCAGGGACAGAGGCCAGCATCCAAAGATTAGGAGGGAGAATCACCCCCAAAGGAATGTAGTGAGCCAGGTGTTTACCACCCACCCACTCTACCCCAACACCTGAACACCTTAAAATCTCTTTAGAACCTAGATGCCACACGGAGAAAATGAGAGGGGCAGAAGCCTAAATATAAACTTAAAATGACTGAGACTGTTGCATTTGCCCAAGTTTACCTGGAAAGCCATACGACTAAATTATTCAGTCAGTGATAAAAATAGTGGGTTCAGCCGGGCACGGTGGCTCATGCCTGTAATTCTAGCACTTTGGGAGGCCAAGGCAGGCGGATCACGAGGTCAAGAGGTCAAGAGATCGAGACCATCCTGGCCAACATGGTGAAACCCCGTCTCTATTAAAAATACAAAAATTAGCTGGGCGTGATGGCAGGTGCCTGTAGTCCCAGCTACTTGGGAGGCTGAGGCAGGAGAATTGCTTGAAGCTGGGAGGCAGAGGTTGCAGTGAGCCGCGGTCGCATCACTGGACTCCAGCCTGGCAACAGAGTGAGACTCGGTCTTGGAAAAAAAAGAAAGAAAGAAATAGGAGGTTCAAGATAGAATTCAGATCCGCTTTTACAAAAATAGTTGTATGTTTGTCTGCCTAAGTTTGCAGCCTGAGATATGTATACACACTTCACCAAGATAAGAGAACATTATGGAGACTCCATGAGTTCAACAACTGTGGAATGCTGAGGGTCCACCTAGGCAAAGATGAAGTCATGTGTGGACAATGATAGCAGCTTGTATAGTAGACTACCTTCCCCCAAGCCTGATGTCCATGCTATGCCTAGATATTGGCTTTGCTAAGGCAGCCATCAAGGATCTGCTTCTAGCAACACATTCAGCTGCACAAATATTTATTCTAGTAAACCTGAAAAAGGAAATAGTTGTAAATAAATCCTGCCAGAATTTTCTTCATTCTATGCACTAAACTTTTTTCCTTGTTTTGCAAAAGAAAGCTGTAATATGACACTAACATTCTCATCTCCGGGATTGATTTTTTTTCAATTGGATTTGAGGGGCACTGGCCAGATTAATATTTAATGTTTTTGTGTAATTTGAATACTAACACAGTAGACTAAGATAATGTGAATGCACTATAAAAAAAAATCAGAGCTTTAACCTTTAGTTCCTCTGAAATAGAGGGCTGATGCCTTTAAAATGGAAGATCAAGGGCTAAGAAGTTTTCAGGCTTTGATGTCATACAGTTTGAAATAAAAAATATATACGATTAAATAGGATTCTATAATATTATGACAGAAACATATTAAAACAAGTAAATCACACAATTTTATACTTCACTTTGAAAGAATTTAGTTATTACTTACCAGCAAGAAAATATGTCATGATAAATGATCTTGCTATAATAGATTTTCTAGGAGGTTCAATATTAGGTTTTTTAATTACTTGGACATGGCTTACTTTCATTATGCTGTGTTGTGATAGAACTAGTATAGCAAAGGCGAATAACAATGACGGGTACAAAGTATAAATATGAGTGAGGAAAATAATGACCAATGTGTGTAGAAATAAGCATATAAGTAAAAAGTTGTGAAAAACAAAAGAATAAAACTGAAACATGTTATAGGACTTAATTAAAGTGCCCATGACTTCTAAGATTCGCTGTCAAGTTTGAAAACTTTTTTTTTTGAGACGGAGTCTCGCTCTGCCACCAGGCTGGAGTCCAGTGGCACAATCTCGGCTCACTGCAACCTCCACCTCCCGGCTTCAAGCGATTCTCCTGCCTCAGTCTCCTGAGTAGCTAGGACTACAGGCGTGCACCACCACACCCAGCTAATTTGTGTATTTTTAGTAGCGATGGGGTTTCACCATGTTGGCCAGGATGGTCTCGATCTCTTGATCTCATGATCCACCCACCTCAGCCTCCCAAAGTGCTGGGATTGCAGGCCTGAGCCACCGCACCCAGCCTTCAAGTTTGAAAACTTTTATACGTTCTACCATATTTACTAGTTAAAAACCTTGGCCAATTTCACTCAGTCTCTACAATTATAAATGGAGTAATAGTACCTACCACCAAATGCAGTGGAAATTAAAAAGATAAAATATATTGTGGTAATTTTTTAAATGTGCTTATTACCTGGAAAAAAACAATTATTTCATGATGATAAAATGATCAACTCATCAAATAATGAACCTTCAAACTATATGAAATAAAAATTATCAGAGCCAAAGGGAGAAATAGACAAATCCCTAATTATAGTTGGAGATTCTAACACTTCTCAATAGTTGATAGGACAGGTAGACAAAAAAATAAGGTTATAGAAGATTTGAACAACCCCATCAACTAACTTACCTGATTGGTGTTTATAAACGTTAACACCCATCAACTACACAATATGTGTTTTCAAGTACACATGTAATATTCACCAAGATAGGCTATGTATTTTTTAAATTTTTTATTTCCATAGTTTTTGGGGAACAGGTGGTATTTGGTTGCATGAGTAAGTTCTTGAGTGGTGATTTGTGAGATTTTGGTGCACCTTTCTCTCGAGCAGTATGCACTGAACCCAATTTCTAGTCTTTTATCCCTCACCCCCTTCCCACCCTTTCCCCTTGAGTCCCCCAAAGATAGACCATATTTTGAATCATAAAACAAGTTTCAATAAATCTAAAATAATTGAAATTATTCTCTGGCCAAAATGATAGTAAATTAGATGCCAACAACAAAAAGATATCTTTAAAATCCACAAATATTTGGAAATTAGGTGACACACATATAAATAACCCATGGATCAAAGAAGGAATCACAAGAGAATTTAGAAATTTTGAACAGAATAATAATGAAAACATTACATATCAAAATTTATGTGTTGCAGCCAAAGCAGTACTTAAAAAGATGTTTATAGTTTTAATTGGTTATACAGATGCTTCTCTACTTATGATGAGGTTATGTACAGATAGACCAATTTTAAAGTAAAAAAAAAAATCATAAGTCAAGCCATAGGTGCCACCTGTATTAGAAAAAAATAAAGTGAAAAAATTAACGATGTAAACATCTGCCTTAAAAGGCTAGAAAAAAGAAGAGCAAAATCAACCCAAAGAAAGTAGAAAATGGAAATAAAAGAACAAGAATGGAAAGCAATTAAAGAGAAAACAAACAGTAGGGAAAACCAAGAGTTGTTCTGTTGAAGAGATTGATAAAACTGATATTCTCATAGTAGATTGGTCAAGATAAGGAAGAAAACCCCACAAATTGTCAAATCAGTAATGAAAGGGGAACATCACTATTGTTCCTACACACATCAAAAAGTTCAAAAATAATATTAGATAAATTTGACAAGTTGATGAAAAGGACAAATTCCTTTAAAAACATTGAGAGGTGAAGCCAGCTGAGCTTCTGGGTCAGGTGAAGACTTGGAAAACTTTCGTGTCTAGCTAAAGGATTGTAAATGCACCAATCAGCACTCTGTGTCTAGCTAAAGGATTGTAAACACACCAATCAGCACTCTGTAAAAACGCACCAATCAGTGTTCTGTGTCTAGCTAAAGGATTGTGAATGCACCAATCAGCACTCTGTAAAAACGCACTAATCAACACTCTGTAAAATGGACCAATGAGCACTCTGTAAAATGGACCAATCAGTGCACTGTAAAATGGACCAATCAGCAGGATGTGGGCGGGGCCAAATAAGGGAATAAAAGCTGACCACCCCAGCTAGCAGCGGCAACCTGCTCACGTCACCTTCCACGCTGTGGGAGCTTTGTTCTTTTGCTCTTTGCAATAAGTCTTGCTGTTGCTCACTCTTTGGGTCTGCAGTACCTTTATGAGCTATAACACTCACCGCAAGGGTGTGCAGTTTCATTCCTGAAGTCAGCAAGACGATGAACCCACCATGAGGAACAAACAACTCCAGACTAAAGAGGTGTGACACTCACTGCGAAGGTATGCGGCTTCACTCCTGAAGTCAGTGAGACCACAAACCCACTGGAAGGAAGAAACTCTGGACACATCTGAACATGTGAAGGAAGAAACTCCGGACACACCATCTTTAACAGCTGTAACATTCACTGCGAGGGTCCACCGCTTCATTCTTGAAGTGAGACCAAGAACCCACTGGAAGGAATAAATTCCAGACACAACATGACTTACCAAAACTGATAGAAAAAGCAATAAGATGTCTGGCTAGCATTATGCTTATCAAAGAAATTGAATACGTAATGGAAAACCTCATGAACAGAACTCTAGGTCCAGAAGGCTTCGCTCATGAATTGTATCAAATATTTAAGAAGAAAATAATAATTATCTTATAAAAACTTTCTGAGGAAATATAGGAAGGAAAATTTCTCTACCTATTTCATGAGGCCCGCATAGCTTTAATAGCAAAACCTGACAAGAAGATTATGAAAGAGGAAAATTATAGAGTAATACCATTTATGAAGATAGAATACAAATTCTCCAAAAAATTAGCAAATAAAATGTAGCAACATATGCAGATAATATAGCATGACTGAGATTTAACTCATTAATGTATGGTTGTTTCAACATTTTAAAAATCAAAGTTCAGTAATTCACCAGATTAATAAAATAAGCATTAAAATTATATCATAATTTCAATTTATGACAAAATACAGTTGGCAAAAGCTAGCACCTGTGGATTATTGTTTTTTGATTTGTTTTGTTTTGTTTTGGTTTTTGAGACTGAGTCTGACTGTGTCACCCACAATGGAGTGCAACGGCAGATCTTGGCTCACTGCAACCTGTGCCTCCCAGGCTCAAGTGATTCTCTGCCTCAGCCTCCTGAGTAGCTGGGATGACAGGCGCCCACCACTATGTGTGGCTAATTTTTGTATTTTTAGTAGAGACGGGGTTTCACCATGTTGGCCAGGCTTGTCCTGAACTCCTGACCTCAGGTGATCCACCTGCCTCAGCCTCCCAAAGTGCTGGGATTACAGGCGTGAGCCACCTCACCTGGCCCCATTTTTTGATTTAAAAAAAAAAATACCAGCAGGACATGGTAGCTCACACCTATAATCCCAACACTCTGGGAGGCTGAGGTGGTGAATTGCTTGAGTCCAGATGTTCAAGACCAGCCTGGGCAATGTGGCAAGACCCCATCTCTACAAAACATACAGAAAATTAGCAGGGTGTGGTGTGGTGGCACATGCCTATAGTCCCAGCTACTCAGGAGGGTAAGGTAGGAGGATCACTTGGGTTGAGGAAGTGGAGGTTGCAGTGAGCCAAGATCACGCCACTGCATTCCAGCTTGGGCAACTGAGCAAGACCCTGTCTCAAAAAAGTAAAAAATAAAACTTAGCAAAGTAGAAGTAGAAGGAAATTTTTCTCAGTTTGATAAAAGGCATCTATGAAAGACCTACTGCTAACAGCATGGCTAATGGCAAAATATTGAACACTTTATATGTAAGATCAGGAACAAAGCCAAGATGTTTATTTTCACTCCTCCTATTTGACATTCTACAGGAAATTCTACCTGTGTAAAAAAGCAGTTAAATGAAATAAAAAGTCATCCAGATTGGCAATACATAAAGAGCTACACCATGTTGATGGGTTAAGATTTTAATTCTCCCCAATTCAATCTGTAGAATCAACGCTATCTAATCAGAACTCCACCAGGCCTTTTTGCAGAAATTGACAAACCGATTCTAATTTTATATAAGAAAGCAAAGGACCTTTTGGATGAAGCTGGAAACCATCATCCTCAGCAAACTAACACAAGAACAGAAAACCAAACACCTCATGTTCTCACTCATAAGTGGGAGTTGAACCATGAGAACACATGGACACAGGGAGGGGAACATCACACACAGGGGCCTGTTGGGGGTTAGGGGAAGAGGAGGGAGAGCATTAGGACAAATACCTAATGCACGTGGGGGTTAAAACCTAGATGACAGGTTGATAGGTTCAGCAAACCACAATGGCACATGTATACCTATGTAACAAACCTGTACATTCAGCACATTTATCCCAGAACTTAAAGTAAAATTTAAAAATAATAAGTTTAAATAAAATAATTTTTAAAAAGCTTCTTTATTCCATGGTTTTCTCTCGAAAGGAAGGAAGAGAGAGAGAGGGAGAGAGAGAGAAAGAAAGAAAGAAAGAAAAAGAAAGGAAGGAAAGGACCTAAAATGACCAAAAAAATTTTGAAAAAGAAATCAAAGTTGGAGGATTTATACTACTTGATTTCAAGGCCATAAAATTACAGTAATCAAGACAGTGTGATATTGAGGCAGGGTTAGTTAAGTAGATCGCTGGGACAGAATAGAGTCCAAGAATAGTCTTCCACATATATAGTCAATTGATTTTCAACAAAGGAGCCAAGGTAATTCAATAGCGAAAGCATAGTCTTTCAACAAATGGTACCAAAACAACTAGGTATCTATGTGGAAAAATTAGATGAACCTCCACCTCAATTTCATACCAAAAATTAATTAGAGATAAATCATAGACCTATGCATAAAATGTAAAATTATAAAATTTCTAGAAGAAAGGTTATAGGACACTATAATGAGAGAGGCAAAAATTTATGAGACAAGAAACAACACTAAAAGAAAAAAATTAATAAATCAGACTTCAAAATTATAAACGTCTGGTCTTCAAAAGATACCATCAAAAAAATGAAAATGCAATCCATAGACTGGGAAAAAATATTTCTTCTACACGTGTTTGATAAAGGATTTGTATCTGGAATACACAGAGATCTCCTAAAAATTAATAATAAAAAGATAACCCAATTTAAAAGTGAGCAAAATACTTGAACTGGCACTTTGCAAAAAGAATGTAAATGAATGGCTAATAGACCCACAGAAAGATTATCAAAAGGCACCAGGGAAATAAAAATTAAAACTTCCATGAGATATCACTTTGCATATACTATAATGACTAAAATTGAAAAGACTAAAAATGTCAAATGTTGGTGAAAAGTAAACCAACTAGGAGTCTCATACATTGTCAATGGGAGTAAAAAATGGTACAACCATTTTGAAAACCTATTTGGCAGTTTCTTACAAATTTAACCTACTAAGTCCTACTCTATGACTTAGTAACTCTACTCATAATTGTTTACTCAAGGGAAATGAAAACACATGTTCATAAAAAGACTTGTATAGTAACATTCATAGCAGCTCTATTTGTAATAGGTAAAAACTGGAAACAACACAAATGTCCATCAACAGGGGAACGGATAAATAAATTATACATCTACACAATGGAATGCTACTCTATTAAAAAAGAAGCAATGGACTATGGATACCACAATAGCTGGGACAAGTATCAAAAGCATTAGGATGAATAAAAGAAGACAGACATAAAAGAGTGCATAGTGTGTTATTCTATTATATGAAGTTCTAGAACAAACAAAACTAAAGTATAGTGAGAGAAATCAGAGTAACGGATTCACTGAAAAGAGTCACAAGACAACTTCTGGGGGTGATGGAAATGTTCTATATTATGATTTTTTTTCAAAATCATTGATCTTCCCACTAAAAATTGGTATTTGTTATGATTCTCTCTACTTTGGGGTATATTTTTCATTTCTGTAATAACATTTTATGGAAATTATAAAATATAAAATGATTCTAGTTAGTGATTTTAATGGCTTTTTTTCCATTTATATTGTGGATGAAGTCCCAAAGGCCTAGAATAAAATAGATAGCAGGATTCTGTATTCTTAAATGACCTGATAGACCCCACTTGTGCAAGTATAATAAATGATTGTAAAACTATTTCTTTCAGCACTGGCAATCTGTCCCCTCCAGTCTATAAAAGAATGCAAGTGGAAGAGGTCAAGCAAGGGGATTTCTTTGAAAAATATAAATGAAATAGGTGCTTTATCTCCCCCACTCCCAAGCAAAAGAGAAGTGTGTGTGCTTCCCCTAGATCTCAAGCAAATGAGAACAACATAACATTCAATAAACCTGACATATATGCTCCAGAGCCTTGCTACTCAAAGCGTGGTGCATGGAGCAGCAGCATAGGCATCACCTAGTTGCTTGTTAGAAATGCAGAATCTCAGTCCCCAACCTAGACTTGCTGAATCAGAATCTGCATTTTAACAATATTCCCCAGGTGACTGGTATAGGCATTAAAGTTCGAGAGGCACTGCCCTAGAGTTTAGGTGAGCATAAGGATCAGAATGAGGAGCTGTGCCAAGTTGCCCTGAGCTGGCTGAGCAGAGAGGAGAAAAAGGCCACATTGGGAGCAAGCCGCACTTTCATTCATGGCAGCACAGAGGCTGTTCGTGTTTTCATGAGCCAAAAGGTATTCACACAGTGTGCCATCAGCCTGAGGCTGGATTTAAGGGGAATTTGCTGCAGAGGCCTCCTTGAGAGCAACGTGATTCATAGGGGGAAATACAAGAGGCTAGGGTCAAGACTGGAGAAGTGTGGAACTAACTACAAGTAAGGCATTTCTGACTCATGGGAATTTATTCTAATTGTCGGGGGAGGGAAGGAGTGTTATCTCTGAGAAACCCAGAAAAGCATCCTATGAGAAAAAGAGACAGCAATTGAGTCCCTGTACCGACGGACAGTATCAGCCTTAGAATATGCCCTTTTTCCTGTTCCTCTAACTACCTGGGTTAGAACATGGAGAGATTCGAAACTAAGGCTACTGACTAGAGGGACACAGACAAGGAGAAGAAAATGAAAGACAACCAGACTCCCCTCTTCCATTTCAGTTTCTTGACTTGAAAAACGCAAACCTTGGAAGGAGAGAAGGTTTAATTTTGAATGAAATTCAGAAATTTAATTATTATACCAGGTAGGTCATTATAGTTACTGAAACAAGACTGTTCTTTGTCTGAAAATAATCACAAGATGCCTAGTTATCTAATAACAATTAGAATATTTATGAGACCTGTCCAAGATTTCACCCAAAAGATAGGTAAAAGGCTAGACTATATATTAGGTTTAAATGGGTAATTTGGGAAATACTGTATTTATCTTCTGTTCACATGTGAGTTCATCCTGTTAAAAAAAAAAAAACTAAAAATATAGGAAGACACTTTAAAAAGAAAATATGTCAGTATAAAAACAGAACTCCTATTCAGTAAATGGCACTGGGAAAACTGGCTAGCCATATGCAGAAAACTGAAACTGGACCCCTTCTTTACACCTTACACAAAACTTAACTCAAGATGGATTAAAGACTTAAGTGTAAAACCCAAAACCATAAAAACCCTAGAAGAAAACCTAGGCAATACCATCCAGGATATAGGCATGGGCAAAGACTTCAAGACAAAAACGCCAAAAGCGATTGCAACAAAAGCCAAAATTGACAAATGGGATCTAATTAAACTAAAGAGCTTCTGCACAGCAAAAGAAACTATCGTCACAGTGAACAGGCAACCTACAGAATGGGAGAAAAGTTTTGCAATCTACCCACCTGACAAAGGTCTAATATCCAGAATTTACAAGGAACTTAAACACATTTACAAGAAAAATACAAACAACCCCATCAAGAAGTGGGGAAAGGATATGAACAGACAAGTCACAAAGGAAGACATTTATGCAGCCAACGAACATATTTTAAAAAGCTCAATATCACTCCTCATCAGAGAAATGCAAATCAAAACCACAATGAAATACCATCTCATGCCAGTCAGAAAGGCAATTATTAAAAAGTCAAGAAACAATAGTTGCTGGTGAGGCTGCAAAGAAATAGGAATGCTCTTACACTCTTGGTGGGAATGTAAATAAGTTCAACTACTGTGGAAGACAATATGGTGATTCCTCAAGGATCTAGAGCCAGAAATACCATTTGACCCAGCAATCCCATTACTGGCTATATACCCAAAGGAATATAAATCATTCTGCTATAAAGACACATGCACACGTATGTTTATTGCAGGACTGTTTATGATAGCAAAGTCATGGAACCAACCCAAATGTCCATCAATGATGGACTGGATATAGAAAATGTGGTACATATATACCATGGAATACTATGCAGCCACAAAAAGGAATGAGATCATGTTCTTTGCAGGGACATGGATGAAGCTGGAAGCCATCATCCTCAGCAAACTAACACAGGAACAGAAAACCAAACACCGCATGTTCTCACTCATAAGTGGGAGTTGAACATTAATAACACATGGACACAGAGAGGGGAACAACACACACCAGGGCCTGTCGAGGGGTTGGGGGGTGAGGGGAGGGAACTTAGAGGACAGGTCAGTAGATGCAGCAAATCACCATGGCACACGTATACCTGTGTAACAAACTTGCACGTTCTGTTCATGTATCCCATTTTTTTAGAAGAAGTAAAGAAAACAAAAAGAAATGAAAAGAACTAGAAATAAAAAATTGAGTAACTGAAATTTTTTAAAAAACTTAAAACTTTAAAAACAGCCAAAACAGAGAGTTAATGAACTGAAATATAAATCTAAAGAAATTCATGTGACTGGAGAGAAAAAGGGATGAAAAATGTGAAAGAGAGATGAAGAGATATGGAAAAGATAAAGAGAAGGTCAACATGTTTCAGAAAGGGAGACAAGAGAGAATGGGCCAAAAGAAATATTTTTCTGAAACAAATGACTCGGTATTTTTCCGAATTGAAGAAAGACATGAATGTTTAGATTCAAGAAGCACAACTACAGTATCTCAAACTATTAAATTTAACACACACATACACTGAAGAATAAGTAAGCCTTCAAAGCAACCAGTAAGAAAAGGCAAATTACTTAGACTCATAACAGACTTCTCAAGAGAGACCAGGTAGAATATGGAATATCATTACCAAAGAGTTGAAGGAAAATATTGGGGAAACTAGAACTTAATTTTCAGCTAAAGAATTATTGAAAACTGAAGGTTAAGTGAGGATTTTGAGATGAAGACTAAGCCTCAAAGAGCTACTAAAGAAAGAATAACATCAAACCCAAAAAGAAATAGTGTGTGCAAAAAGCATTTTTCCTCTTGCAAATGGTACCAACATGAGTAAATTAAGGTTTTAAAATTTTCGCTTTTATAAGCTATAAAAGACGTAAATTCGAATAATCATTGTCTATACCAGACAATAAGTAAAAATAACAATTAATCAGGGAAGAACATGAAAAAAGGAACTAAAATACTAGGCAAGAAAAACATAAAGAGAGAGTGAACAGAGATTGGGGATGGGCTAAGGCATAAAGTCTAGAGTTCCTATGTTATTGAAGAGTAGCATAGAGACTTTTTATTAATTCTGGATTTTTCTAAGTCAGGTAAAAAGTAAAGAGGTTAAGAGTAAATACCAAATAAAAAGGAATAGAAGGAAATAAACTCCATTAATCCAATAGAAGGAAAGGACGGGGGAAAACAAATAAGAAAAACAGCATGGTTTATGCAAAACACAAATTAGGATTATAGAAATAAATCCAAATATATCAGTAATCACAATAAATGTAAGCAAAATAAACAATTGGGTTCAAATAGAGATATTGCAATTAAACCAACAAATCCAGCTACATGCTACTTGAATGAGATACGTTTAGATCATCATAATAAAAAAAATATACTGAAAAAATACTAACTAAAAGAAAGCCTGTGTAACTCTATTAATATCCATCAAAAGAGGCCTTAAGAAAAAATGTGTTATTTGGACAAAGAGGGTCACCACAAATAGAATAATTCTTCAAAAAGTTACTTTGCTAAAAAGCAAGATTTTGTCCATAAAACCATTTTCTCACAACTTTCATTGCAACCTTTAGACAAGTGTTTTTACTAGGGAAAAAAATAACAACACCTTCTTATCCCACCTCCCAAGTAAATCATATCTAAAATTACTAAGTTTTGTTCTCGTCTTTCTTTTTAAATTAACCCCATGGCAATCTAAAAGCTGCTTAAAATGTTCAGTAATGTCAAAGGAAAAGGATTCATATTCAGTACTTGTGTTATTTTATTTATTAAATCCTGATTGCAAAGAGCAGCAAAAGGAATTACAGATTTAAGTGAGGGTTCTCTGTAGGTTGAGAACACTGATTCTCGTGTATTAGCAATTACATTAAATATTATAAAAGAAAAATGTCCAGGCTTAAGAGTAGGTAGTTTCAGAAACAGAGTAGGTAGTTTCAGAAACAGAGTAGGTATTTCTTATGCCAGATTTCAAATACGTATTTTATAATCCACAGGCATTTCGATTAGCTTTCTTTCTTTCTTTACTTTTTCTGTTTGTGAAATAATATGATTGTGCCATACATAAAGTAGGGATAACAATACCTGCTCTACCTAGCATGGGGCTATTGTGAGGATAAAACTAAATAATATACGTGAAAGCCCTTCACACACCTTTTAGTACTATGTAAACATATGGTGTTATTCTTATTTTGAACCCATGCTCCTATGGTGGATTGTTAGTATTAAAAGTTTTACCCGCCACTTCTTAAACATGCCTGTAATATCTCACTTATCTGTTATTGTACACTTTGTCTAACCTTTAAGAGTAAAACTACCATCATTTATACATTTACATAAGTAAATGGTAACGGTAAAAGAGTTCACACCATTCACCTTTCTATCACTGAACATGCTACATATATATCCAAAATGAAGAAAAACTAGTGTTAAGTGTTTAGTGTAAAAAATGATTTTTCTTAGTAATGGGTTTTGGAGCTCTTGCAAGCATGAGACCAGAATGTCTTGCCATGCCTTGCTATGGTTTTAGACAGGGTCTCATTCTGTTGCCCAGGCTGGAGTGCAGTGGCGCAATCTCAGCTCACTGCAGCCTCTACTTCCCCGGCTCAAGCCATCCTAGCACCTCAGCCCCCAGGTAGCTGGGACTACAGGCATGCATCACCACAGTTGGCTAATTTTTGTATTTTTAATAGAGACGGGGTTTTGCCCTGTTGCCCAGGCTCGTCTAAAACCCCAGAGCTCAAGCAATCCTCCCACCTCAGCCTCCCAAAGTTCTGGGATTACAGGCATGAGCCACTGCACCGGGCCTTATTCTGAATTCTTGAGATGGCTGACATGAGTTAGAAAATACAAAACAAACAAAAAATAATAATAAAAGAAAGTAATTGGGACACTAATAGAGTCATTGGCCAGAAGTCAGTGGGAAGCGTGGTCCCCATGCAGATGGAGTCTGAGTGCATCAGCCAGGACAGCGTATCAATTATGCTCCTCACAACAGGAGATCAGGGCGGTGCATTTCTATAACCACCACAGCAATGGAGAAGCCGGACAACACCGTGACTGGGATGAAAATAAATGTCACTAATGAGAGGCAGACCAATGCGTGGATCTCTGGATATAATATGACACCACACTGCTTCTGTGGTATTCCTGCCGAAAATGCATACCCTGAATCTAATAATGAGGAAACACCAATCCAGATTAAGGGGCTATCCGTAAAATAATGACCAGTATTCTTCCAAAATCTCAGTCATGAAAGACAAAGAAAGGCTGAGGGACTGTTCCAGATTAAAGGAAACAAGAGGTGCGACAACTAAATTCAACAGTGACCCTGGATTGGATCCTGTGTGAGAGGGGAAAGAATGCTATAAAGAGAATTGTTGGGACAATTGATGAGCTGGATTATGGACTGCAGATTTGATGAAAGCATTGCATCAATATTAAAGTTCCTGAATTTGAACACTGTGTTGTGATTACATAAGAGATTATTCTTGTTCTTAGGAAATATGCACTGAAGTTGCATATTTATGCAACTTTTATGCCCTTTATGCCTTATAATATTTGTATTATACCCCTTTCATAATAGTATATGCAATCTTCTCTTGAATAGTTTAGTAAAATAAATTCTGTAAATCAGAGAGAGAATATGAAGGGCATCTTCTGAAAGGTACAGTAATTGAGATGCATGTCCAACTGCTGATTTCACCAATGATCAAATACTGCATCAAGGCATGAAAAGTACATGAGTGGTATTAAAACACATTATTAACACGGACTCTCTTGGCTTCTAGCCAGTGAAATGAAAGAGGTGCTGAGTCCAGATTTTATGAGGTAACTATCTTTTAAAAATCATGATTTGGTGATTCATTATTGCACATGCCAGAAACTCCACCCCAGTGGATGCAATTATCTTTTTTTAAAAAAGCTAGTTAGATAAGATTATAATTGTGGGCAAGCTGACTTGGATTCATTAACCAATACTGCCACACTGGTTTACTGTAAAGGGGGCAGAAAGGAGGGGATAATCGGCTACTAGTGTATATTTTCAGCTATAGAAATTTAAAAATAGATAGTAGGTCAAGAAGAACACACCAAGACATTTGAGATGTTCATATCAAACTAATTTTCATAATTCTTGCACAAAAAACAGGCTTATTACTTTAAGTTTTCTCTCCATTCACCCAATGTGTCCAGTTTATCCTTTTCAAAGCTTGTTCACGTTCATTTACTCCTAGATATTACATCAGCCTTGTGAACTACCCAGCTGTAAAGACAAGCTGCCCACTCAGGCGGTTACTACTGTGTAACCTTGGACAAATTACGTAACCTTTCTGCACTCTCAGTTTTATTATCCCTGTATTACAGATAAGGATTCTGAGACTTGGAGCAGCTTAACAACTTGTCTAAATCACTAAGCAATTTAGTGTTAGAGCTGGGAACTTCTATGGGGCTTTCGACTCCCCCACCAAGGTAAAAATTATTTTCCATTGAACACCAGCATTATTTGAGTTCAAGGAATGTTGCTTAACAAGGTGTTGTTTGAAAATAGAAGTCACATTTCTCATTAAGTAGGCTAAACATTTTTTTCTGCCATTCAATTCTATTCAATAAGCATTCATTTGGAAGGCAGGCAGCGGAAAGGGAAAAATGGAGAAGGCTTTGGAGTCAGAAGCTTTGGATTTGAATCCAGGTTCTCTACTTACTCTGTGTTCAATTTTCTTTTTGGTAAAATGGAGATCCTGTTATGTAATCTGTATGTTTGCTGAGATGAGTGGCAACAATAGATGGACATAGTGTGCATTCAACCAAATATAGCTTTTTAAAAATATGTTATTTGTTGATAGCCTGCTATTCACCAGGAACTTTACTAGGCACATGAAACACAGAGACAGAAAACAGTCCTTATGGAGGGGGCTCCAAGAATTAGTAACGGTTCTTTCTTTTTTTCTTTTTTTCAAGACAGAGTCTTGCTCTGTCACCTAGGCTGGAGTGCAGTGGCACGATCTCGGCTCACTGCAACCTCCACCTCCCAGGTTCAAGCAATTCTCCTGCCTCAGCCTCCCAAGTAGCTGAGATTACAGGTGTCCACCACCACACCCGGCTAATTGTTATATTTTTAGTAGAGAAGGGGTTTCACCATGTTGGCCAGGCTGGTCTCGAACTCCTGACCTCGTGATCTGCCCGCCTCGGCCTCCCAAACTCTGGGATTACAGGCGTGAGCCACCGTGTTTGGCCTAGTAATACAGTAAGCATACTAAGCCAGCCATATATGCTGCAATGGTTTTTTCCTTGGTGTGCTTTTTGGTTGTATGTATGTATTTATTTTAAGAGACGAAATCTCACCCTGTCACCCAGGCTGGAGTTCAGTGGCACGGTCACAGTTCTCAGTAGCTGAGATTACAGGTGTGGGCCACAATGCCTGGCTAATTTCTATTTTATTTTTTGTAGAGAAGGGGCCTCACCATCTCGCCCAGGGTGGTCTCGAACTCATGAGTTCAAGTGATCCTCCTGCCTCAGCCTCCCAAAGTGCTAGGATTACAGGCATGAAATACTATACCCAGCCTCTCAATGTGCTTTTTAAATTGTGTTTACGTTCTTACTTTTCTAAAATGTTTTGTTTTTATATAATAAAATATATTTGGTTATTTTATGGTTTTGTGCAGCTTTTTTTTTTTTTTTTTTTTTGGAGATGGAGTCTCCCCCATCCCCCAGGCTGGAGTGCAGTGGAGAGATCTCGGCTCACTGCAACCTCTGCCTCCCTGGTTCATGCAATTCTCCTGCCTCACCGTCCCGAGTATCTGGGATTATAGGCTCCCGCCATCATGCCCAGCTAACTTTTTTGTATTTTTAGTAGAGACAGGGTTTCGCCATGTTGGCCAGGCTGGTCTCGAACTCTTGACCTCAGGTGATCCACCTGCCTCAGCCTCCCAAAGTGCTGGGATTACAGGCATGAGCCACCATGTCCAGCCTGTGCAGCTTTAAACTCAGAAAGTCCTTCTTGACTTCTGAAATCACATCAATATTTATTTGTATTTTTTCCTAGTCCTTTTATAGGCTTAATTTTTCACATTTAAATCTGTAATCTATCCAGAATTTATTTGGCTACATGGTCATAAGGTGCTGAATAGTTATGTGGATGACACTGGTTGATGTTACTGTTTCAGTTGGCTTTTACCCATTTTTGTCCCAATAACTTGACCTTCTAAGCTGCCTGCTGTGAAAATTGATTGCCATTTTTGAAAAGGCCAATGGGGAAGAAATATATATCTGTGAGTTTTATCCCATTTAGTTGCTTCAGTTTTAATGTAGGATAATAAATGTTGGCTCTTGTCTCAATCACATAAATGTGGAAACTTTGACAAGAGTATTTTGCGTAAAGGCTAAAGGTCAGAACCTCCCTCATCCTGGAGAAAAGTGGGAGGAGGGTGGAGTCATGTCGTTGCCTGTTAACTCCCCACCTCCAAACTTATCTGCCCATCACCTAGGTTAAAACCCTATCTGCCTCTGCCATCTCTTCTCCTTACACTTACCTTTTCCAGGTGGACCATGGGGCCATTTATGCAAGGGAGATAAAAGTCTAGTAGAAGGATCATCACTGATCCACTCACCCCTTCCTCCAACTGTTACTATGGTTCCTTAAAAGCTGTTCAAGAAACTTGGCTGTCAAGGGATAAGATACAGGAAGCAGTCTTTATGTTATTCTGGCTTGAGGTTGAAATGCATTTTCCCCAGAGATCAAACCAGGACTTTGTGGCTCATTGTTCAGAAATGACTTTGGACAATGTTGATATCCCCTCATAGTGCCTCACTGGTCGTGCAGGGTCACTGTGCTGGAGTGGATCACCTTAAGGCTGTGGCTTAGCCCTCTGAGCACACTGTCAAGAGCTGAACCTTACGGGGTCTATGCCAGTCTGCCTTTTGTGCCCCTCAGGGCTGGAGATGGGTGTCCTGCTTCATAGTAAGCCTGCAGGGTGGCGAGAGTTCTCCCTCAACGCCAACGTCCAGCCTGGCTCCCCTGACCTGGCTTGGAGAAATGAGGAAATTCCTGATGGGTTTTTTCTGTCCTTGCACCCCATATGTTCCGTACATTAAACCTACTTATGCCTAGTGTTCCATTATTGGAACACTAAGTATGTGGGAGTTATTTATATCCTACTGTTCAAGGTCATTGCCAAGGTCTGATTTTTCACTCATGCAAAAATTCAAAAAGTTGCAACCTCCGGCATACATGGGTTTTAATTAAGGAAATGTTAGGAGCTTACCACCTGTAATCCTCATGGGGTGCAGTCGCTGGGGCTGGGAGAGTCGGAAGGAGCATCACTGGGACTGGTCTCAACACAAACTGCTGACCATCTCTGCAGGGTCTGGATGGAAAAAGGCAGATCAGTACCACATGCACTCAGGCATTTTTACAACTTCATTTTTTCTTCTTGTGAGATGGGGGCCATGCCACTCTCCTTGCTCTGTTCCCCCAGTCTCAGGCTACCTTGGTCCAGAAACATTCCTCCAACATGACTGTATTTACTACCACCTTCCAAATGAAGGCAGTCGTAGGAGTGGGCACAAAGCAATCCTGTCTCAGCGTCCCTCCCATCAGTTCACTCTCCCTTCCCCTCCCCTTCAGTCTTCTCACGCCCACCCCCACACACCGCCCTAGCCTAAGGGAAGCAGAGGCAAAGCACCTCCTGGCATTTACTTGCAAGACCCTCCTTTCCCAGGCAGCCTCATTAGGCTCTAAACCTTTGTGATCCCACTCCCAAATCTTGATTGTGGTCACAGGTGGGAGGCTGAGGGTAGGATGGAGTCCTTATAAAGTCCCTATGCAGTTTGTAAGCATCAGAATACAGAATACAGATTTTATTAGTGGTTACACCAAGTCTTGACACCTTAATAGACACAAAACTGCTGCTGGCCAAGGTCAGAGCATCTCAGAGTGTGTGGGTATAGGGGTAATGGGGAAGGGATGATGCAGAAACGGAAAGTCTTGGATATGCTTCTTTTCTTAAAATTGTGAGAAGAGGCAATATGCATGTGATGGAAATATGCATTCAACCCATTCATCCTAACAAATGTATATTTCTCAATAATAGAAGCTATGAAAGGAGACCCTCCCCTCCAAATGCATAGTTCAAAAGCATTAGCCCTTAAGAAAATGACAGGGTAATTAGCAGAAAAGTCTTGTGAGAAACAAAAATATACAGTTGAGAAACAAAAATATACAGTTGATCCTCCAGATCCATGGGTTCCTTATCTGTGGATTCACCCAACAGAAGAAATGTATGGTTGCATCTCTACCAAACATGTACAGACTTTTTTTCCTTGTCATTAGTCCCTGAATACAGTATAACAACTATTTACTTAGCATTTACATTATATTAGGTATTATAAGTCATCTAGAGATGGTTTAAAGTATATGAGAAAATATGTGTAGGTTAGGTGCAAATATTTTACATTAGGGACTTAAATATTCATGGATTTTGGTTTCCACAGGGGTCCTGGAATCAATCCTCCATGGATATCAGGGGATAACAGTATATACAGATAGATAAAACATATATGTATATACACACACACACGTATATATACACACACATATACAATACATACACATATGTTATATAATACATATTTTATATATATATATACATGCACACACGCCAATCTAGTGTATTTCTGAGAGATAATTTTAAGGCAAATTTCTCGTTATGTTTGTGATTGTGTTTAATTACAGGGTAATGGCATTTCTCTCTCTCTCTTTAATCTGGATGGCTGCAGCAGCTTTGTGACTGATTTCCCTGCTTGCCTCCCTCCACCTCAACCCATCCTCCACAGTTCTGCCCTCTCTGGTCATGCAGTTCTCAGGTCTAAAGCCCTCCCTCTCATGGCATACATACTCCTGTGGCCTTGCCTTGTCCCTTCTCTAGTCCTGTCTTCTGTCATTTTCCCTGTATACAGCCTATACGCTGACCACGCCAAAGCATCGTTTTCCTAACTGACCAGGTTCTCTCTCTGATGTCCAGGCCTTTGCCATTGTTACCCTCATCCATCCCACGCCATGGCCATCCCATGCCATGGCCATCCCACGCCATGGCCATCCCACGCCATGGCCATCTGGTCAAATACAACATATTCTTCAAATCTAAGCTCCAGCATTGTCTAGTCTCCTCAACAGGCAGGCAGAAGCTATCTCCATTCTGCTCTCATGTAGTACCTTGGGCTGACCTTGTATTATCTTTGTTTTTTTCTGTGATTCTCTCTCCCACTGGACACCAAACTTGGTGAGGGCAGGAATCTTCTCACTCATTCCTTGCATCCTTAGTACTTATCACAGTAGTGGAAATCAACAAAAATATGCTGAGTTAATGGTCTTTGATAGCATCATCATTCTCCTTCTACATATCATGTAGTTACCTAGTGTTTCCCAAAACTAATGATGCTTATCACTTCCCTTGTTTAACTTGTCACCTAGGAAACTTCCATGCTTATTAGCTAAGTCTATCTTTCAAACCATGCCTCCCTGCCCCCCAACCAGCCAGACGAAATTAATTATTGATAGCAGCACTCTGATTTTCCCCCAAAGGCAAACCAAGAGCTAAGACTCAACCCACTGTCCTGCTATCATAAATAACACATGTAGGAGGGCACAAACACAGTGCTATGTCCGAAAGGCGTGATTAATACCTGCTCCCTCTGTAGACCTAGCATAGTGGGCTCACAAGTGAGGATGTAAATTCACTTTTTCAGAGCAAATGTTCCTCTTGGGGGACATCCACTCAACCTCGAGGACAGAGTAATGACCACAGCCCATAGGCCGTGGGAGATGAGTAATTTACTGCTGCTAGGCAATTAGTGGTGCTAGAAAAAAAATTACTTTCATTTAAAATTCTCTTTAAGCCATATGTATCATGGCTCATGGGATAATTTATGTATCATTAGAAACTAAGAAACATACATCACCCTAATAAATTGTCTCCCCCATTCACCATAGCCAGTAGCTCCAGATGTCTTTAAGAAGTCAAAGTTTTGCTGTCCTTGTTGTGTAAGGTGGTGTGGAAATGCTTGTCTGTAACTCGTTTAGCTTCATATTCACTCCCTGGTTCTCTGGCAGAGACAGATGGCAAGAGAAGCATTTGCCATCTTTTTCATGCACTGGTTTGCAGTAGCACTTGCTGTAAATGAGCCCATAGTAAAACAATCACGAGTTGTATTGTTTTTCCTAACAAGGCTGGAGGTCATATGGCAACTGGGCAAACATGCTTGAGTTCAGAATGTGAATCACTCTAAACCAAGTCTCAGTTAAGGGTAAAACATTAAATGGAAAGACAGAAAATGAGGCTTTTCACTGATGGAGGGTGGGGCATGGGACAAAGGAAAGCAGCTCGGCACCCAGCCTGCAGGCACAATGTGGGAACCTTGATCAATATCACCAAACACAGAAGTCTGATCTCCATCTTTGTAAGGCAAAAAGTGGCGCCACAGCCACTTATTTGTGAGGACAGAGGAAAATGGTGTACCCAAATGCCTGTTAAAAAGCAAATCCATGAAAAGACGTGGCAGAAACTTAAATGTATATCACTAAGTGAAAGAAGCCACTCTGGAGAGGCGACATACTATAGGATTTCAACCTTATGACATTCTGGAAAAGGAAAAACTATGGGGACAGTAAAAAGACCAGTGGTTGCCAGGAGTTCAGGTATGGGGTGGTGGTGAGGGAGGAATGGCTAGGCAGAGGAGAGGATTTTTAGGGCAGTGAAGCTACTCTCTATGACACGATAATGGTGGATACATGTTATACATTTGTCCAAATCCAGAGTGTGCAACACCAAGAATGACCACAATGTAAACTATGGACTTTGGGTGGTAATGATGTGCCAGTGCAGCATTCATTGGTTGGATTGTAGCTAATATACCACTCTGGTGTGGGATGTTGATAATGGCAGAGGCTGTGCACATGTGTGGGCAGGAGGGATATGAGAACTCTCTGTACCTGCCTCTCAATTTTGCTGTAAATCAAAAATTGCTCTAAAAAAAGTCTGTTTTTTAAAAAAGCAATGCCAACTCAGATTCATGCTTTTCTTTTATTAAATTTATTAAATTTAAAAGTACATTCCTGGGTTCCTAGGCTTTTCTTTAAAAACCATGCTTTAATCACTGAGTTATATAATCCTATCATCAAGATTCACTGCATAACTTGTAGGGCCCACTGAAAAATGAAAATGTGGGGTCCCTTGTTCAAGAAATATTAAGAATTTCAAGACTGATGGAGGACCATTAAGCCAAGCACAAGGTTCTTTGAGAATGCACGGATTACGCAGCCACAAAGCTGGCCCTGCATGTCAGCAGTATTCAGAGCCTGGAACATCTCAACTGTAGGAAGGAAAAGCAGAGGTGCTCAGTCAGCACCTGCATCAAGACACAGGACCAGCAGTTTCTTGTTCCTGTGCCTATTGTCCTTCCTCAAGTGCCTGATACCAGAATGCTGTGTTTAGGGTTTAGCCTGTAAGGTCCTCATTACTCTTCATGCAAGAGCTACTTCATGCATGCTTTACAAACTGTGTGAAATTCTAGATATTTGGTAGAGAAAGACTCAACCTCATTGCAATATAGTAGGCTACCCTTATGCACTTTCTGTGGTTTCAGTTACTAGAGATCAACCGTGGTCTGAAAATATTGAATGGAAAATTCCAGAAATAAATACTTGATAAGCTTTAAATTGCTTGCCATTCGGAGTGGTGTGATGAAATCTCCTGCTGTCCCATCCCATCCATCCTGGCACGTGCATCCTCCCTTTGCCCAATGTGTCCATGCTGAGATGCTCCTCATCCATTAGTCATCAACATCGTCTGCTCCTGACATCTAACCATTGACATCACCATGGCTCAATGATCTGGGACCCCCTTCTGATGTATCATTGGAAGGTCAGTAGTGGCCTATCGTTACGTCACAATGCCTGTGTCACTCACCTCACTTCATCACATACACATTTTATCATTTCACATCATAAGAAGGGTGAATACAGTATAGTAAGATATTTTGTGAGACCACATCCTTATAACTTTTATTACAGTATAGTGTTATAATTGTTCTATTTTATTAATATAGTATATTGTTATTATAATTGTTCTATTTTATTATCATTGTTAATACAGTATGTTATTGTAATTGTTCTATTTTTTGTTATTGTTGTTAATCTCTTACTGTGCCTAATTTATAAATTACACTTTATCATAGGTATGTATGTATAGGAAAAAACATAATATATAAAGGTTGAGTATCCCTTATCCAAAATGCTTGGGAACAGAAGTGTTTCAGCTTTTGGATTTTTTCAGCTTTTGGAATATTAACATATACATAATGAGATATCTTGGGGGTGGGATCCCAGTCTAAACATGAAATTCATTTATGTTTCATATATACCTTATATACATAGCTTAAAGGTAATTTCATACAATATTTTAAATAATTTTGTGTATGAAACAAAGTTTTGACTGTGACCCATCACATGAGGTCAGCTGTGAAGCTTTCCACTTGTGGAGTCATGTCAGCAAAAGTTTCAGATTTTGGAGCATTTCAGCTTTTGGATTTTCGAATTAGGGTTGCTCAACCTGTATGGGATTCAGTACTGTTTAGGGTTTCAGGCCTGTACTGGGGGTCCTGAAACATATTCTCTGTGAACAAGGAGGGACTACATGGTTAAAATGTTCAAACTTCAAGTGAAGCAAAGCAAAAATAAAATTTGCCCAAGTTACAAGAAAATAAAAATGGAGCTGATTAGCAGTAAAATGAGGTCTATTCGTCTAATGTTACTGCAATATGTGGCTGTCACAAGTGAATTGTTCAGGTATCTGGAATCGTACCTGTAAGCATCACAGCTCTTGATATTGTCAAGAAACAACTCTGTGGCCAAGACCATGGTGGCAGTTTATTGAATATACGTTTCCAATGACTTTAGAAAGGCCCCTGAACATCAATACAGTGCTGGGCTATATATACATATGTGTGTGTGTGTATATATATATATATATATATATATTTTTTTTTTTTTTTTTTTTTTTTTTTTTTGAGATGGAGTCTTGCTCTGTCACCCAGGCTGGAGTGTAGTGGCACGATCTCGGCTCACTGCAAGCTCCGCCTCCTGGGTTCACACCATTCTCCTGCTTCAGCCTCCCGAGTAGCTGGGACTACAGGTGCCCACCACCACGCCCGGCTAATTTTTTTGTATTTTTAGTAGAGACGGGGTTTCACTGTGTTAGCCAGGATAGTCTCGATCTCCTGACCTTGTGATCCATGCGCCTCGGCCTCCCAAAGTGCTGGGATTACAGGCGTGAGCCACCACACCCGGCCAGTGCTGGGCCATTTTTACATGAAGGTCCACAGGGACAAGAGGGCGACTGGCTACCCCTAGATCAAAAGGCTGGGCTATTGTGCTTTTCATAAACCCATGATTCCAAGCGTGGTCTTCCACTGGATCAGTGTACCCTTTTTACAATTGTTGGAGTGTAGGTCCTCAGCAGGAGTGGGGGACAGTGCCTCGAATCGCACGAAGAGCTTTTCCTAACTACCCTCTCTCACTCTTTTGCATTCACCACTTTGAGTCAGCAATGGGTTGAGAAGGAAGTGGGCCTGAATTTTATACATTCTGACAAGTTTGGTTAAGGGGGTAGTCCTAGTAGAGGACTGAGGGTCTCACCCAGGGTGAAGGACTGAGGCTTTGTGACAGCTTGTGCACCTCCTGGACCTTTTCTCTTCCATCAGGACTGACAGCTGTGCCCCAGCCATTTAGGCTGCTTCTCCTTGCTGCTCCTCTATGGCTAGGTGTGAGCTTCTTAGGGCTGAACTGATCATTGCCTCCAGGACAGGACTGGATGGGGGACTTTTGCACACTTAAAGTTCTAACTAGAACAAAGTCCACCAGAAGTGTGTGGTGAGTGCATTATAAAATAAAAATCTTCCTGGCTGGCCCAGATGAACAGATTTGTACATTTGTAGACCATGTTAGTAAGACATGTTTTTTGAAGAGCTAATAGTCATTGAGCACTTAGGAGTCACGCCCTATTCTATGCACTTTACGTTTGACTCATTCAATCCTCATAATCCCATTTTATGGATGAGGAAATCTATGCATGGCATGACCTGTCCAAGGAGACTCAGGTAGCAGTAGGAAGAGGACAGCTGAGGCAGACAGGTTGCAGAAGCAAAGTCGTGTCTGCATTATTCCATGGTCCCATGGAAACTATTGCAAACATGTTAGAGAATCAAAGGGAAATAACAGCTCAGGAATGAATTCAATACCAGGCTCTGCATAAATTATGTGACTTAAGTGCCAGTCTTGGTTGAGGTTTATCATCACTTAGAGGAAGAAAGTAACTTGTTCAGGGCCTTAAAGTTAGGTTAAGCTGGAATTTTAACTCAAGTCTGTCTAGATGGCTCTTATGCCCACACTCTCTCCTACCAGCTCAAGTGAAAAAGCTTTAAGATGTTGTATATGGTTTTGACTGTGTCACCACAAGCCAAGGAGTTAAATTCAAGGGTTGGAGATCCCAGAATGAAACCAGCAGGCAGAAAGAATGTGTCTCCTAACTTTCACAGGGAACCCTCTAAGTGGAGGCCTATGATAAGAGAGAAAATGATTTATCCCAGATGCATCTATTAGCAGAATTATGAGACAACATTGTTCAATAAAATCCAAATAACAATACAGTTGATAAAGTGACAATTGTTTAACATTATTAAAAAGGGAGAAAACAATGTTTCTATAGATGTGAGCTAACCCTGAAAAACATTTTTCTTTCTAAAACTGTTTTGTCCAGCTGGAGGGAAAATAAATAAAAGAAAACATGAAAGCCAATAGAAGAATAATATGAGCATGAAAACCCATCATTAATCTTCTATTCAAATGGCAGTCACAGCTGCAGAACAAATGAAAGCTTTTTTTTTTTTTTTTTTTTGAGATGGAGTCTCACTTTGTCACCCAGACTAGAGTGCAGTGGCCGGATCTTGGCTCGCTGCAACCTCCGCCTCCCGGATTCAAGCGATTCTCCTGCCTCAGCCTCCTGAGTATCTGGGACTACAGGCGCCTGCCACCACACCCAGCTAATTTTTGTATTTTTAGTAGATACAGGGTTTCACCATGTTAATAGCAATTCTTGGGTTGGGCGTGGTGGCTCACGCCTATAATCCCAACACTTTGGCAGGCCAAGGCGGGCGTACACGAGGTCAGGAGATCAAGACCATCCTGGCCAATATGGTGAAACCCTATCTCTACTAAAAAAATACAAAAAATTAGCCAGGTGTGGCGGTGCATGTCTGTAGTCCCAGCTACTCAGGAGGCTGAGGCAGGGGACTCGCTTGAACCTGGGGGGCAAAGGATGCAGTGAGCCAAGATCATGACACTGCACTCTAGCCTGGCAACAGGGCAAGACTCTGTTTAAAAAAAAAAAAAAAGAGAGAAAGAAAAAAAATAGCAGTTCTTTTCAGAGACAAAACTAAGTATATGACAATATACTCAGAAGTTAACAAGTGGTCCAATTACGTATCTGATTCTTGGGTCAGGCAAATGACCCCAGAACCACCAGTTTAATGGTGTCTTAGTTTAAAAATCAAACATAACTCTTCACATATCTTGTAAAAAAGAAAGTTTAAAATAATTTTAGCAAAGTACTCTGTGTGTAGACATGAGTCATCTACTCTCTTATATACTTTAATGGTATTAACTGCATGATTTTCCCTGCCTATAGTTGGTGCAGGCATATGAAGATGGGGTCAGAGCAAGGAGGGGGAAGGTGACATGAGAAGGAAAATTGGGTAGGGGCTTGTGGGGAGGGCGACTGAGGCCAAGGAGAAAGAGGAAGAGCCCTGGAAGGAGGGTCCTGCTTAATTCAAATTCTCCTCTTCACCAATAACTTTAAATAGTTGGCCACTGAGATAGCTCAGGTATGAAATAAGTCTATGCATGAAGTGATCTTCATCTCTCAAGCTATCATCATAAATATTTATTGAATAACTTCTATATCTTAGCCCCTGTATATCCTTCACTGCTTTTAAGAAATTGGGAAATCCCTTTTGGAGACCAAGTGGTTAAGAGAGATGTGATCTGAATGTTTCATTAGGTAGTTGTTTAGAGACAATGCATAAAATAGTAAGAATGCCATATGGAATGATGAAAATAAATTTATTTAGAGAAAATATATCATATTTCTTTTCTAGACAAAGGTAAATACCCAACCCAGCAGAGTTCAATTGTTAAAATGAGTGACCGCTGCTACAGGTCACTTCCACATGTCATGTGTGTACAACTGACCATTAGCACAAGTGACGAGGCAGCCAAATGATTCCATTTCTTATTTATCCCACTGGCTATGCCAACAGTTGCTTCATATCATGCTGAAGAAAACCCACAGGAAAACAGGCCAAGAAATGTCCACTGCATGAGCATGAGGTCTTTTTGTTGATTTAAGGGTGATTTTTTTTTTTTTTTGAGACAGGATCTCACTCTGTCACCCAGGCTGGAGTGTAGTGGCACGATCATGGCTCATGGCAGCCTCCACCTCCAGAGCTCAGGTGATCCTCCCACTTCAGCTTCCCAAGTAGCTGGGACTACAGATGCCTGCCATCACGCCCGACTAATTTTTGTACTTTTTGTAGAGGTGGGTTTTTGCCATGTTGCCCAGGCTGGTCTCAAGCTCCTGAGCTCAGTCTGCCTGCCTAGGCCTCCCAAAGTGCTGGGATTACAGGTGTGAACCACTGTGCCAGGCCAAGGGTGATCTTTAAACAGCTTAATAGTTCACCAGCTTGGACTCTCTAGATTGGTATTGCAACCAGCTTCATTTCTGTACAGACCATGAATTAACAAATGTCTTCAAACCCAAGAATCACCTTTAAAACAAATCCTTATTTGACAATAAACACACATATTTAATTACATGGTTAAAGACTATTATTTCGCACACTCTGAAATGATCTTTTTCCATTCCGAGATCATGTCATAAATTAACAGACTAATAGAGAATTTTATTATCGCTGTTATATTGCACTAATGCCCAGTAGTAGCCCATGGTCTATTCTTTATCATTCAAGTTTATAAAAAGTAAAGCTGGAACTTCAGTCATGGTCAGCTGGCTAACTGTGAGTCCTCTTTCCCACTCCACAATTAAATAAGAGAGTCATTTTGGAACTGCTTGTCCAAGTCATTTGGGGTTCCTCTGCTCAGCCGCTGGATAAGGATGCCTGAACTTTAATCATCTTTAGCAGAACTTTAGCTAATAGGTATCAAGTGATCATCACTTCTTTTCCTGTAACAGAAAGGGAAAGAAGAAAAGAGGAAAGATACAATACTTTAACATCTTTGAGGAGCAATAGGAATACTCTATATTCTAGGCCCGTAGATTATAGACATGTTGAGTGAAACATAGAAGAGGAAGAAAAATTAAGACAGGCAAGGTATTCTGATTATTTACCAACATTCAGAAAAAATAAGTAAATAAATAAATAAAGGCAATGTACACTGTTTGAGGTTTGAGCAGATGCTTTTGGAAACACTGTGAGGAGTCACCTGTCTCTTAAGAACCTCCATGCCCCCAGGGAGGGGAACATCGCACACGGGGAAATGTTGGGGGGTAGGGGGAAAGGGGAGGGAGAGCATTAGGACAAATACTTAATGCATGCAGAGCTGAACCTAGATGATGCGTTGATAGGTGCAGCAAACCACCATGGCGCATGTGTACCTATGTAACCTGCACGTTCAGCACATGTATCCCAGAATTTAAAGTAAAATTAAAAAAAAAAAAAGAAAAATATATGTTACATTTAGGTTTTACTCAATAAATACATTGGTTTGTTTCTGGAAAAAAAAAAAGAATCTCTGTGTCCCTTCGCTAACAAGGCCTTATAAATTACTAGAACAGCCAATTTTCCTCCTTCACTGCAATAGAGGAAGGTAAAGGTTAACTCTGCATCTGTTCAACCAAGCATCTCTCTCCAAAGAACCACATCGCTTTAGAACTGGAAGAGGTTTCAGAGGTCATCTGGTCCATCTAAGAGGTTTAGGAGAGGTCACAGGACACACTTGGTTAATGGCAGTGTCCAAAATGAAAACCCAGGTGTTCTGATGCTCAGGCTAGAGGCTCTGTCAAAAACTCAAAGGAGAATCAAATGTGTGCTGGTTGTTGGACTGCTTTGTTGAAGAGTGACCACAGCCGTGCTCTGCAGGAAGCAGCACTGGGATAGCAGGTGTCATCTGTCATGGTCACCAGACAGGGGGCACAAAAACCAATCTTTGCAGAGATGAATCTTTATGTTCATCTTTAGCCTCCATTCACAGCCTTCCTCAATTTTAGTCCATTCTTCTGTCCCTAGCTTTTATTTTATTTTTTAAGAGGCGGGGTCTCACTACATTGCCCACGCTGATCTCAAAATCCTGGGCTCAAGCAATCCTTCTGCCCTGGCCTCCCAAAGTGCTGGGATTACAGGCACGAGCCACCATAACCAGCCCCATTCCTAGCTTTTAAACACATCAAGCTATACTTAATTTTAGATGGAGTCAAAGCCATCACTTGTTCTCAAGGCCCCATTACAATCCATTTCCTTCCATCACAGCCTAGGCCCTTCATTCACTCTGCAGGGTCCATGCAAGCCCCCTGGGATCTAGGCTTTGGTCTGATGATTCCACTGAAATTGCTATAGCTGACTTCACTCAGGACCATCGTTTGGCCAAACATAGTTACAGCTACCTGTCTTTGTTTTTTGATATCCTCTTTTTCAAAACTTTCATCATCCTAGTTCTTCAGTTGATCTCCTTGGTGGGCTCTCTTGTTCCCTCAAATTCTTTCACTCTTCATGAGGGGCAGACCCTCCGTCTCACCATGCATCTTCTCAACAACCCTCAGCACACTTTAGGGCAAATGGTCTGCTGCTGTTGCTCCTTGCGTCTCACCACTCAGACCCAATCTTACCCAAACGTCTTGGGGTCCACGCCTTAAATCTTTCACTTGTTCCATAGGGCTGCATGACAAAACATTTAACAACCTCCCAGGACTTTGTGTGGCACAAACCAAGGTCCAAACACCAAAGACCTATCGTTTACTTTTTAGAATTCATGACTACATTTTTCAATGAAGTTTATCCCCCTTATAGTAAAAAAGAGATTTTGAGAGACTTTCCTTATACAAGGTACCTCTTAGGAGGCAGCTGCCTATTAAGAAAATTAATTTCCTTTATCCCAGCTTTCACAGCAACAATTTAATGCTCTGAGAAAAAAAGGTGTGATTCTGAAAACAACTCTTCTCAGATCTCATTTTCTATTTACCAGACATTCTCTGGATCTGCTCAGTCATATCATTGTAAGTCCCAAGATGCTGTATGAATTGATTAACAGAAAAATGCATCCTGTGGTTTTAAATAGCAATTATGTTCTCATAGCTTCCTTCAGGAATTTGGGTTACAGAGTCCTTCCAAAAAGAAAAAACATATGTAGGGTATACTTTTAGTTACAAACTGGCACCCCTGACTTCAGATGAAAGCAAACATAGGCACATTAAAAAAAAAATTGTCTTCACCTGACCCCATTCTAGTCCACAAATCACTATGTAATATGCTTTGTCCACTGAGGTCTAGACCATTTCTCTACATGTCCTGACGAACAACAGGCAAAGCACAGCTAGGCAAGGAAGAGCTACTGGTGTGCACGGATAAGCAAGCACTTGGACAGCCTCTTCGCAAGGAAGTTTCCTGCTCTCATCAAGAAAGATTGCTTGTACCACATACTGTGAAAAGGGAAAACACCTCTGACACTCCCAGAGTTTCACCTCTAAAAATAAGAGCTTTGACCTCTTACTTGGGCCACTTAAGAGTTCAGCCTCTTGACTTTAAGGACATAATTTATGCCTTCTCTTAAGAGTCTTATAGTATTTCTAAGAGATTCCAATCACATCGTGTAGCTTTCTACATAACCCTGTTTTAGAAGAAATAATTCATTTCTAAAGCCAATTTCAGTGGGAGGAAAGAAAAGAAAGGTGAATTATTTCCCATGATAAGCTGGTCTCTGAATGTAATGGTAATCTTGGAGGGGCTCTTTCTTAAGACAACAGAACAGCCCATCTCAGGAGCATGGAGAATAAACATGATACTGACCTCCTCCGACAGCAGATGCAGGACAGGAAGGCTGAGGACTCTTTCTGATACTCTTCTTTGCTACTGCATTCCTTCAGGAATTCCTGCAAATCCGTTTCAGGAAACCCATTCTGTTGGAATTTCTTTAGAAAGTACACAATGTTGTTACCTTATTTATAAGGCATGAGAAATTGCTCTTTTGTCAACAAACCAAGCCCACCTTTGCTAAAATAAAACTCTCCCACATTGCTAGCTCAGATCCAAGAACTGATATTTACAATGATGAATCAATCTGTCAGTCCCAGAACACCAAGGCAGGGCCACTGTGGGAACAGAGAACAATCCAAAGAAAAACTTCAGAAAGAAAGCAGAGAAGAGCCAGGGAGAGGTTTTTTTTAAAAAAAAAAAAGGTAATGAAGGAAATAATCAAAAGTCAAATGTCTAGTCTGGGTATGATGGCTCATGCCTGTAATCCCAGCACTTTGGGAGGCCAAGAAGGGAGGATCGCTTGAGCCCAGGAGTTTGAGACTGGCCTGGGCAAGATGGTGAGACCCCATCTCTACAAAAAATACAAAAATTTTCTGGCCATGGTGGTGTGCACCTGTAGTCCCAGCTACTCTGGAGGCTGAGGCAGGAGGATCGACTGAGCCCTGGAGTTGGAGGCTATAATGAGGTAGGATTATACCACTGTCCTCCAGCCTGGGAAACAGAGCAAGACCCTCTCTCTTTTTTTAAAAAAAAAAAAAGTCTAAACTTTTAATGCTAACAGCAAGACTAGATGAGACCTCCCACTCCACACACACATTGGCAATGTAGACTCTGCTTGGAAAGTAATCATTATTTCCTCTACTTTTATGGAAGTTGGTCGCTTAGTGGAACAGAAGAGAGATTTTTTTCCAAGCAGACACAAAGACTCCCTCCCCTCATGCTTAATGAGATAACCTACTTCAACACTGAGGCTTGGCCCCCACCACGCAGAGACATTGCCACATCAAAGACATGAATCTCTGTGGCAGGAGTGTGCACCTCTTCCTTCTCCATGCAAACCCTGATGCGAGAGGCAACTACCATTCCCACCTGAACACTTACTTATCTTCCCACACACTCAAAAGGTAGCGGACTGGGTTTCTTCTGCATTATTCTGAGAAAGTGGTTAAGCAGAAAACAGCCCTGACAAAGGCACTGGCATGGCACCCCTGGTTTTTCAGTCACTGACCCTGAAGCAGGGTTTTCTAAGCATGACCATCTGCTGTGAATAAGGTACCAGCACCCAAGGAAGTGAAATTCCTTCAAGCCACAAATCAGTTAAATGGCCTAGTCTGAAAGGATACAGAACCCATCAGGTAGCTTAAGAAAGCAGGAAGCTAAACAGTCACAAAAGCCTTAGTTTTCATAATTTAAAGGAAGCCTGCACCATGCCAGTAGCTGTATTATCCAGTGTGAGTTGTAGCAATATCTGAGAGTTGTCAGGGTGCCGGTCACCTCTCATCCCTGAAACTTATGACTCAATCCTAAGTTCCAGGCAGCCACACTGGCAGGTATATCTGTCAGGGCTAAGACCAGCAGCCTGACTACCTGACTTACCCCATTCAACCCATGCTTACCCCATTTCCCTTTTCTTTCCCACCACCCCTCCAAACCAATCCACCCTGCTGTGGGTAACAGGGACAATGCCCTAAAATTCATCTCCAGCGTCTAAAAAGTTTGTCCACAAAACCTCAAAATCTGAACTGTAATATTTTAAGTTTTTAAAATGTGGTATTTTCCTATAATCTATATAGAATTTGCAGTGATTTTTTGGCAGCAAATTTTGATAATTACTTACCTTAATGGTGTCATAAGAATCTGTAATAAGTGCAATAAAAAGACTGAGAATCATATATATAAAAAGGCTGATGAAGGAATATAAATACAGACGACTGAACAGCCACACCAAGATGCTCTTCTGCTGGATTTGGGCAAAGGTTGCAAACATGTCATCACCGTTGACCAGAGAAAACAGACACTCAGCAACTGTGTTCAGATTTTCAAACTGTAGGGGGAAATAAAAACTAGTTTCTGAAATAGAGTATTCTAAAAAGCAGAGGATATCTAGTTAGCTTGTTTTGTTAACATTGTTTTTGTCATTGTAGTAGTGGTAACTTACTTATTTTAAGATGCTAGAACACCATAAGAAGTAGGAAAACATTATTCAAAAACCCCCTCTGGGCCAGGCACAGTGGCTCATCCCTACAATCCCAGCACTTTGGGAGGCCAAGGTTGGAGGATCACTTGAGCCCAGGAGTTTGAGACCAGCCTGGGAAAGATTACAAGACCCCATCTCTACAAAAAGTACAAAAATTATCTGGGCATGGTGATATGCCTGTAGTCCCAGCTATTCAGGAGGCTGGGGTGGGAGAATCTCTTGCATCCAGGAGGTTCAGGGTACAGTGAGCCAAGCTTCTGCCACTGCACTGCAGCCTGGGGGACACAGCGAGACCCTGTCTCTTTAAAACACACACACACACACACACACACCCCTCCATACTCTCAAAGTTAATCTCTTAACAATTCCCACAGTTTTTCCCTATGTACTTTTTATATATCTAAAACCAGGATCTAACAAGTTTAGATCCTGGTTTTTCTCCTAATTAACATAAGCATCTTCTTATGTTTTCTACACTTAGAGAGCATTTGTAGGTTTTGTTTGTTTGTTTGAGACAGAGTCTTACTCTGCCACCCAGGCTGGAGTGCAGTGCAATCCCAGCTCACTGCAACCTCTGCCTCCAGTGTTCAAGCGATTCTCATGTGTCGGCCTCCCAAATAGATGGGATTACAGGTGCCTGCCACCAAGCCCGGCTAATTTTTGTATTTTTTTGTAGAGATGGGGTTTCACCATGTTGGCCAGGCTGGTCTCGAACTCCTGGCCTCAGGTGATCCGCCCACCTCAGCCTCCCAAAGTGCTTGGATTACAGGCATGAGCCACTGTGCTCAGCTGGCATTTGTTATATAACAGACCATTCCTTGAAAATGCCAACAAAACAAAACTTTTCACCACCCTAACCAGAAAAATGAACTTTTTTTTCTAAATTGCCCTATTTCTGTCAGTGATTCCAATCTCCTACCAAAGAAACATTTACTCTGAAATAATTAAGTCCTTAAAACTCTGTGTTGAATTGATTACTCTTCCCCGCTTTCAGTCTTCTAAGGCCTGTCTGTTCCTATCACATGTTTCTCCAATCCACCCTTACTACTCTACTGTGATGTCAACACAAATTTCTGAATTATTAAAGAAACTTCCAAGGAAGTCTCTTTTACTCCAATCTCTTTACCCTCCCCAGTCAAAGCTGCAGTAAAACCTGTACTTTAAGAAGAAGGCTTTCAGGTCATTTCTCCCTTGTGAGATTATACAAAGTTTGGATGCAAAATAAAAATCTAAACCAAGAAGGTTGTGATAAGTTCCTCCTTTATGCAGCCTCATCACATCTCCTCCTTGACAGTATTAATATGCTGTGCTTATCTTCTCCTCCAACACCAGGCCCATCCCTACATTTTTCCCTCATGGAATTTATTCTCCTCACCTGCTCTATTCTTCTTTCTCTTCTCTGTGTCCAATTAAGCCAATGTTCAAGGGTCATTTCAGAGTGTACTTCAAGACCAAGTGCCCTGGTAGTTCTAGTCCTTTCTCTGCACTCCGTATCGGTAAGAATCACAGAATGAACTATGGTCTTCTAATTGTTTTTATACACACTTCCCTGTACTCCAACTAGATACAAACACCGTGCCTTACACTACCAGCCACGTGGCTGGACCAGGCAAGGTAAAGTTGGTGGCCAAGGGAGAAGGTCTACAAACGCACCCCAAACAAGGATCCCACCCATGGCTTTGCTGCATCAGCAAAAACTCTGATGAACTAAAGTCCTCCTCCAAAAAGACCTAGAGGAAATATCCAAATGAACAGATCACTTAACAATATGTAGATTATTTAACAGTAAAACAGGCGATTGCCAGAGTAAATATTTTCCATACGCTACACAAGCCTTAAAACATTGAAGTTAAAGCTGAAAACATTGACATTAAAGTTGGTTTCTATGGATGTCAACTACAACTCTGACAGCACCATTAATAATTCACATTTCTTAGTTTCTTTTGGAATCCAGTCAACTCCTTTCTCTAGTTTCAAGAACCCCTAACTCCAAGCACAACTGTCTGTGCTTCAGGTTTCAACTGCAAATAGCTAGTTTGTCAGTACATGTCACATTCATTTTTTAATTTTCTGTTTAGTTACTTACCAGGCTACACACAATATCTGTCTCAACATTAACATTATTCATAACCATTTTACCTCCCCCTCCTCTTGTGAACATGAGAATTATTTTAACACACCAAAGAGTTAAAACAGAGACCCAGTCAATTTTAGGTGTTTGGTAACACCCTGCCATTTTGTACAAGAAGTGGCTGTGAACCAGAGTCTATTTCAGTGGCCAAATTCCATAGTAGAAGTGAGCTTAAAAATACTCAAGGTCCTAATGTGCTTCCAGTCTAGAAGGACCACATTTGTAAGGCATTCCTTTGGATCTTGAGTGATCATAAGCCCCTGGAAAGCAGGTACTACTCTCTCTCTGCTTCTTGTTTGTTCAAAACAAACTTTTTGGGCACCTACCATGGTCTATGTGCTGTGCTGGACACTGGGAATGTAAAGAGGAACAAACTACAGTTCCTTCCCTCCAAGAACTTGGTCTACAAGAACCTAGCAATGTTGGGTGCACAGTAGATATTTAATACGTATTAAATGGGTATTTCCATAAAGAGTCCCCATAGGTTCTCTGGGCCCACGATGAGAACTCAACCATTCATTTCACAAATGATAAGTTTGCAGTTGGGCCAAAAACCTTTAATTTCAATGAAACCATAACCTGCAATGGCTTATGTCAGAGAACAACATAAATATTTGCTTTAAGAGCTGGTGCCAAGAATCTCATGCAAACTTTAGGCAAAATGTTTTAGCTGAGGGGTACTTGGCTAAAACCAGAGGGCTTGGAAGGAGGAAAATGTAATGCAGAGTCTGCTGAACTTTGACCCATGGCATCAGTGAAGTCCAACAACTTTTCAAGTCTTGGTCTTCTCATTTGTAAAATGGGGACAATGCAAGGCTATGATTTATTCCTCACAGGAAAAAAAGTCCTCTGGAAATGTAAAAGCCGCATTAGAGTAATGTTTAATAATTCAAGATGAGGTCTGGAAGAACATCAACAGTCTCTCACCCTCTGTGCCCAGGCATTTTGAAAGGGCACTGTGCCAAAGTCCATTAGTGCTGGGAATACACATCAGCAGGAAGCCTTTTGCATCTTGACTCCCTTTCCATTGAGCCCCTGAAATCAGATGCCTAACAGGAAGATAGGAAGCTGAAGTGTTATGGGACCCCAGCTATCAGTCAAACGGTTTTCCTAATGTCTCCTTTTTAGTTGTTTTGTTTTAAAGAAAGAATTAGCTTTCACAATCAAGGTTGCTGTGATTCTAAAAATCCCACAAAAATGCCCGCTTGGAATGCCTAGCTTTTCAAGGCTTCAGGTAACCTGAAAGTCCTCTGATTCAGATACTGGCAGAACCTGAACATGCTGACAGCTTGGATTAATTTGGGGGAAAGGATGCAAGGGGCAATAAAATATTCTAACTTCAGATTCAAAGAGGCAGCAATATGGTGAAGAAAAGCACAAAGTTCCAAAACCAGACTGACGTTCTCTCCCCCAACTGACTTGTACATTCAGTGAATTAACTCAGCTGTGTATTTCCCCAATATATCAGCCTGGTGAGAGATGCCATAAACAGACCTGCAGGCAACCCTACAGACATCCCTTATCCCTCCCCTCCTCCAGGGGTATAAAGGAAAGCTAACATTAAGTGAAAGACATAAGTCTAGAGCTGCAATGTCCATAGTGGTAGTCACCAGGAATGTGTGAATAGCCAGCATCCAATAGATAGCTAGTCCAAATTGAGACGTGCTATGTGGATAAAATATCCACCAGATCAAAAAGACTAGTATGGAGGAATGTAAAATATTTCAATATTTTATACTGAATACATGCTGAAATAATATTTTGGGTATATTAGGCTTAAAATATATAATTAAAAATAATTTCATCTGTTTTTTTATTTCTTCATGTAGCTACTAGAAAATTTTACAGTATAGGCAAGGCTCTCAATTGTAGCCCAAACTGTATTTTTCTTGGACAGTGCTGGCTCAGAGCATCCCAGTTTCACCTGGATCCTTTGAAAGGACAAATTGAACATATGGAAATGCAGTCAGGCTCACAAAACAAATAACCTCATTTTCCATGAGGTGACCTTGACACCATTGAAAGAATGAAGCCGATTACATGGCTGTCCTCTCACAGTTGATCTCCAAGTACAAGACTGTTTCTTGTCAGGCTAAATGCTCTCTTGCAATGATCTGTTTTAGATAATACCAAGAAAAGCTCTACAGGGTATGGGTCAAAGCACAGGTACTGGAGTCAGGCCGACCTGGGTTTGAATCCCATCTCTGCCACTTTCTAGCTGGGTAATCTCAGGAATATTATTTAATATATTAAGGTGCCTATTCTCTGTAACAGGACAATCAGATTTCTTCACAGAGAAGGGGAGGGAAGGGTTAACACAGCAAGGGAGATGAAGAATCTTGGGCACCATGCCTAACAGACAGCACTTGAGAATGGTAGCCATCTAGTAAAATTCTAGCAATCTTATCTGAGCACCTTCCAGAATAATGATGAGGTAGGGGAGACGGGGATGGGGTGCAAAGGAGATGGGACCACTTGTCCACAGACCTTGGAGTCAGTGAATTAAAGCCGAATCCTCAGGAACGGTATTTATTCCACACAGTGCAACACTGCCCTCTAGTGACAAAGAGGTGGAAAAGCTTTCAGAGCATGAGGCAAGCAAGGAAGAAAAATACATTTTTCCAGGCTCTAAGACAGTAAGTTCTCCAAATCAGAGAGATCATATCAAAGAATAATTTTTTCTCATGAGTCACCTTTAAAGCAGTGACATGGAGTATGAAGAGCAATATTATCAAGATTTACTACCAACCCAGAGGTTGTCACTTTGTTAATTATATAATATCTCAAATAGGAAAAACAGTAATTCTCTCTAGACATATTAAATGTGACACCTAAAAAGAAGAAAGTCTGAGTGTTCCAGGTTACTCGACATTATTCTGGTAGGACAGCACGGAGGTTTAAGATTCATGTATAACAGTTTGTAAACCAGATTTGATCACAGATTTGGTTAATGCAACTAACAAGGTCAAAACTTAAGGCTGAACTGGTATACAAACTTGGAAGGAATACTTACCATTTTTAACCTCTTTTCTCCTTGCAGAGCACCTAAGTGAGGCTAACAGTACCCTGGGTTGTTGTGGGGAGTAAATAAGAAAGAACACCGAAATGCCCAGCAGAGTGTCTAACACACAAGCAGTAAGTGTTAGCTGCTGCTATTTTTGTTGTTTCTGTTGTTCCAACTGCCACAGGCCCAAATGGAGGAAAAGCCATAAGATAAAATAACTCCTTTTACTTTTTTGGGTTAAAACCAAGGCTTACCTAGTTTCATTTCCTGATGCATCTACCAATCAAATGTATCATTTTATAACAAGAACATCTTAGCACAACTTTGATGTCCCTGAGATTATAATGCTAACTGAAGTTTGGTAATAGTTTAGAATTCAGATACTGATCTTTAATAAGGCAGAAAGATGATGCTGTAATCAAAACCGTCTGCAGAGACAAGACGTGTCACCATTTCTATCGTAAACCTACTATGGTCGTTTTAGGCAGTCTCTGCCCATCTTCATTCTTCTCAATTAACTTGGATGAAAAACATAATACTTTAAATTGGAAATTTTTTATAATAATTTTCCTCACTTAATTTTCATTTTTAATATAGTGATCTCACGTCCAAACATTTCCCATTTGATGATCACCGGGTAACCATGTGACCCCTTAAGCCAGTCCCAGACAACTATAATACATGCTTTCTAGTATTGTACAGTTCTTGTTTCAATATCCTGTAGTCACTTCTATATCCTGAAAAGGAAAAAAAGAAAAAGAAAACTGATACAAAGATATGTGATTACTGATGTCAAGGGTACATGCTAGAGAAGACCAGGAAGCAAGTAAGTGCTAGAAACCCACGTTCAAGGGTCCCACGTGCCCCATCTGCAGAAGGAAGAATGTGAGCTACACACCTTGTCATGGTATGGTCCTAAGACAATCCAGCCACAGAATGTGTAACCCAGATAAATCATACCAGCACAAGCACAAAACCGAAGAACTTTTGGCAGTGAGGCCTGCATTGTTAAAATCAGCACCTGAAAAAAAGAACAGAATGGGTGAAATGAAAAAGTAGCTATTAGAACCCAAAGAATAAATGAGTCTCAACTGCAGTGGCACTACCCGGTGCCGCATCCTTACATTATATGCCTGGAAATAACCCAGGTATCTGATGACTCCAACCCAAACCAAGAGCGTAGAGGTTCCAAGAAAAATGCTGCAGAGATCATAGTTTGTGAGATTCTAAGGAATGAAAAAAAAGAAAGAGAGAAATGAGTAAAATATTTGACTCCACTTAGCTTATTAGCCTTACATTAAACCAATTAATAAAAAAAGAACTATCTGCCTCCCTATAGGTGATAGAGTTTTTTTTTGAAGAAAAAAAAGAAGAAAAACAGATATAATTCCAAATATTTGTGTTTCTCATTTTCTTTTAGTATTTCAATTGGTTGAACTAAATTTTTTTCCAAATAATACTCTGAAATAGAAATTGTATTTAGGTTGAACTAAATTTTTTTCCAAATAATACTCTCAAATAGAAATTGCATTTATCACTGACCTAGGCATTCGAGGATACAAATTAATGGTGTTTGTTAAGTACCAAACAATACAATTCAGCTGCTTTTGAAAGAAAACTCCAGCATGATTTCCTAACACAGCTGCAGCTCTGAGGAAATTCTAGGGCTAGTTGAAAAGACAAACACACAAACATGATTCTCATATAATACGCTAAATGCAGTGAAAGACACAATGCCTAGCTCATCACAGAGGGACACCACAGACACGACCCCAGAGCAAAGACAGGCCTGCAGGACAGGCTGGGAGGAAGCACCACAGGTAAGTGGACAAAAGCTGAACAAAGGCACAATGCTGACAAGACGTCCTAGAGGGGCAGGGTCAGAGCAGGGGCAGGAGCAAGAGGCAGAGCTGGATGATGATGACCCCAGGGGCCATGCTGCTGAGGGAGGCCACTTCATCCCAAAGTAGGCCCCAAGAGGTAGAAAGGATGGTAACAGCTGGATAGACACTTCCAGAAAAGTCCCTCTGACAGCTGTGTGAATGGATCTCAGGGGTATGAAGTAGAAGACGGGAAAGCTGGTGAGGAGGCTGCTGTCACAGTTGGCCAGAAAGGAAGAAGCCTGAAGAAAGCCAGAGGGAGCCGGGATGGGAGAGAATTAGGCATGTCAGGGTTAGGAGGTGTGGCTGGAGGGACCTCTGACCAACAGCAGAGAATGGACGGGAGAATAGTGCGGTGAAGGAGGAGTTGAGGCTTAGTTAGGAGATCAAATCAACTAAGTTATACAAAGGGTCAGGCTTTAGCGGGCAGTCTGACATTCCTGCCCTCACCCCATCCGTCGGAGCACCCAATGGTCACAGATCCTCCCCACAAGCTCTTGACATGCAGGTTCAGGGAAGGGACTGGTTTATGGATAAGCTGCTCCTTTGGCAACTTAAAAAGAAAAATGAGGCCCAAATAACCAATCTTTTCAAGCTTAGTCACTATTCTGGAGCTGTTGCCAAGTTTCGTTCCATGGAACATCGGCTTCCTTTCCCTTCACGAGGAACCAAGCCAGGGGAGGCCTCACTTGTGCTGGTGTGAGAAAAGGGAAGACACGAGAATCAAAGTGGTCTCCAAAGGATGGTACGTCTTAAGATGCCTGTGGCCATCCAGGAGAAGATGAAGAACAGAGACTTTAAATGGGCTTCCCTCACCTTTGCTTTGATTTCCATTTTTAATATGGAGCCAATGATTGTCATTAGGTCGCTGATAATCACCAGGACATACCAGCCGTTGATGAACTCCCACTGGTCGGTGTCACACACAGGCCGCTTGTACTTCTCCAGGAAGAAATTTAGAAATCTCTATGGCAAACATTTAAAGAAGCGTTTCTTACAAACCACACTGCCCTCTGGAAGAAGAAGGCAAGTGCAAAACAGTGCTCTCACCTGTAAAAGGACATGGCATTGCCTTTCCAATTTGCCAGATCCACCTCGAAAGTGGAGGTTACGGCACACACTTTCCCCTATAATCTGAGTAAGCATTCAATTGTCTGTGAAGTTACCTCAAATATGAAATACGTACGCGGTAACTCCAGCAGGTTCTTGTCATAGCTAACACACAGTACATTCCAAATACTTTTCATATTACCAACACATCCATTCCGATAACAACCCAATGAAGCAGGTACGAGCAGGTCTATCACCCAGAGAAGGGAACTGAGGCACCGAGAGGCTAAGCCAGGATCCGTGTCCAGGCAGGCCGGCTCCAGAGTGCGTGCTCCAAATATGAGCCCCCTCACCTTGGCAGGGAAAGGACCTTAACTTTGCATTCAGAATATCAAGGGGATTGGGGAGCATGTAAGAAAGGTGGATATTTACAAAGGACATTGACAAAGGTCAGGATTAGGCAAAATCAAATGCAGACTACGTCCCTGCTCCACAAATGGTACTCTGTGGACTTCCAATTTCCCCTGACCCCAGTGTGCATTTGTACACACGCCACAGCCAGAATAAGATATGTGGGGAGCGGAAGTATATATTCATAAGAGCCCTGAGGGTAAAAAGGCAAAATGAAACTCAGGGGAGAATTTTAAAACTATTTTAAAAACAGAATAAAGTATTTTATGCTTCATTATAATCCATTTACCATGCCTCCCTGTCAAAATGAACTCTGATTTGAAGACAAAAGATGAAACCCACACATGCTATTACTCTGTTCTTCAGATCACTCCTGAATTGAAGAGGGATTTGTTATTCTGGAAACATTCAAAAGCCTGAGAGTTCACCACTGTGCATCTGTACATATCAGCTCAGTTTTAAGCAGGATAATTATCTGATCCCACTTGACATACTCAGAGCCTTTACTCACTTCCTACACCTCAGGCTGATGAATGCCTCATAGCGGGCAACTACTCAAAGGAATCTGATTTAGTCAAAGGTCTCCAAAAAAGGCAGGTGCACAATATCGGTGGTCCACTGCTTGGGCAAACTGAGGGCGCAGGCCAAGAGGGCAGGAAGAGAATGCGAACACACTCTTACCTTCCGTAACCTTAGAGCAAGAACAATGGATCTTGTACACAGAATAAGAGATGCCAAGCAAATCACAATGACAAATGCATCAAACACCAGGACATACTGAGCATTTTTCTGAGCTGAGGAATAAAACAGAATTCAAATGTTAAACACACCTTACCGGAGAATAATTTCCAAACAAAATGGCAGTGTGAAAAGAAGTTCAAACAATAAATGTTTTGTCTATTGTTAAAACAAAATGGTAAATATCAGAAACAAATCACACCGCATTCATTCAGAAGTACATATGTAAGGCAAAACATTCCCTGATATAAAGCTATACATTTAAAAACATGTGAGCTGGGCCAGGCACGGTGGCTCACGCCTGTAATCCCAGCACTTTGGGAGGCTGAGGTGGGCGGATCACGAGGTCAGGAGATCAAGACCATCCTGGCTAACACGGTGAAACCCCGTCTGTACTAAAAATACAAAAAAATTAGCCAGGTGTGGTGGCAGGCGCCTGTAGTCCCAGCTACTTGGGAGGCTGAGGCAGAAGAATGGCATGAAGCCGGGAGGCAGAGTTTGCAGTGAGCCGAGATCGTGCCACTGCGCTCCAGCCTGGGCAACAGAGCGAGATTCTGTCTCAAAACAAAAAACAAAAAACAAAAACAAAAGCAAAAACTATGTGAGCTGCTAATAAATTCACTCAAATTTATATATAAATATTTACTGTAGAATAGAATTCAACAGAAAGTGATCCATTTGGGCTCCATTCAAAAAAAGGCAAAACTGCTGACCTACTCTGAGTTCTTTCACATAAAAGCAGAGACATCAAGTTCACCATTAATAAGAGAACAAACAAATTAAAACACCACCACTCAGAATCCCCACTTCTGCTTCTCAACCTCACTGTGCACTTTCCCAGGACATAGTGCCAATCTTATAAGCCTTCTCTGTATGTAGAGAAAATTACTTCTTGGAACAGAAGCAAGGAGGGGAGTGGTAATCAGATTTTTGGTTTGGAGCACACAGCAGCAAGAAGAATGTATGGGAAGGAGATGAATCTAACCTTAGTTTCTCTCAGACTTCACGGTAGTGTCTCCAATCCCAGCCCAGCTCTCTTCTGCCTGACCCCCACCTTCTTCACCCTACAGCCACACTGATCTTCCTTCTTTCCTGCTCTCACCTCAGGGACTTTGCACATGCTGATCTGTCTGCCTGGAACAGCACTTCTCCCACATGCATGGCTCAGCTTATTTATTTTCAGCCTCAAGTTCCAAATGAAAAATCTCCCATCTCAGAAAAGAATTCCTTAAATTCTCATCTCTATTAGCCCTCTCCTATATACTTTCATGGTTCTTGGTTACTACACACACCCAGAGCTCCTTTACTTTCCTCTGCACAACAGACACTGACCTTTCATTACATCTGCAAAGGCAGCACAGCATGGAGCACAGAGACAGTGTAGAATGGGAAAGAACATGGTCTCTGGAGCCCGACAGCCTGGCTCTGAATCTCAGCTCTGTACTCAGAAGCTGTAGAGCCTTGAGGAAGTTGCTTAACCCCTGTGCCTCAGTTTCCTCCTCTGAAAAGTGGGTAGAATTAAAAAATACCTACATCATAGGGCTATTGTGAAAATTATGCAAGTTCATATACAAAGAGCCCATGAAACAGCCCCAGGAAAATAATAATAGCAAACACTTACAGTGGTTACTATTTTATCATTAAGTGTCCATCTTCCCCATCAAGTGACAGGCTCTCTGAAGCAGGGCCCATAGGTAGTTGCTACGGTTTGAGTTACTTGTCTCCTCCAAAACTCATTTGAAATTTAATCCCCAATGTGACAGTATTGAGAGGGAGGGCCTTTAAAAGGTGATTGGGTCATGAGGTCTCTGCCCTCATAAATGGATTAATCCACTCATAGATTTATGGGTTATCAAGGGAATGGCTCTAGTGGCTTTTTAAGAAGAGGAAGAGAGACTTGAGCTAGTATGCTCACCCCCCTTACCATGTGATGCCCTGCACTGCCTTGGGACTCCACAGAGACTCCCAACCAGCAAGAAGGTCCTCACCAGAAGTGGGGCTCCGACTTTGGACTTCTCAGTTTCCAGAACTGAAAGAATGCATTTCTTTTCTTTATAAATTAGCTAGTTTCAGGCATTCTGTTACAAGTAACAGAAAACGGACTAAGACAGTAGTGTTGAATACAGCACCTGTGCTTAGTATAATGCTTCAGTATACTTTCAAATTAATGAAGAGAATCAAGCAGAACATAAGACCACTGAATAATCTAAGTTAGAACTTATGTTGGTCTGAGCTAAGTTGCGGCAGAGTGAAAGAGGGCACAGAATCGTAAGAGATGGAGAGAGTCATGGCCTGGTCTCTAACTGGACTTGGGGAATAAGGAAGAAGGACAACCAAGAATGATTCCTGGTTCCCTGTCTTGGGCAAACTGAGTTTACTCTGGATATTCATGACAAGAGAAGACTATTCAGTGGCAGTTAAAGCCATGGGAGTGACGGCCCCTCAGAGAGACCACTGGGAAGGACAGCGTCGGGGATGGGGAGCAATGTTTGAGAATTAGAAAAGGAGATGAGCTCAGGAATGGGATGGAGCAGAAAGGCCAGAGGAGAAGCAAACAGAACCAGGGACAGGCGACCCTCAGAGAACAGACTGCGGTCAGAGTCTTCCACAGCAACACCTCTGCAGAGACAGCATTGAAGAGAAATGCCAGAGTGTCTATGGACTTAGTAATGCAAAGATGTGGGTGACACTGGCATGAGTGTCTGAGGGCAAAGCAGCTCCTACAATGGGTGGCGAGCAGAGACAGCCAGCTGGTAAATGCAACTCTCTGAGCAAATGATTTCATCTTACTAAGCTTCAGATGTCCCACCTACAAAATGGGGAGGGCAAGCGTACTGGTTCCTGAGGCTGCCATGAGAATCAGGTGGAACAGTCTGTGTGAAGTGCTTGTTACAGTAGTGCCCAGTGCCTAGCACTTACATTTACCCTTAGCCATTTACACTCAAGAAAGTTATCTTGAGGTATCATCTAATGGGTAGGTAAGAAAACAACTTAGCTCTATCATAATGCAAGATTTTTTTTCCCCTTGGATCCATGGAATGGGGCAGAGGAAACAGAGGCAGCTCTTGGGAAGATAAGACTGAAAATCTTATGAAATGCAAGGACAGCATCTAGTACCTTCCTTTCTGACATAAAACTAGAACACAAATCTCTAAGACAGTTTGCATTGGACCTTGTTTACAGATGGGAAAACAAGCAGGCTTAGAAACAGAAACCAGTCCTCCTAACAGAATCCAGTATAGGATTCTGTTTTTCTTTGAATTACTGAGAAGACTAGTTCTATGGTATGCTAAAAATATGTATTTTATGAACATCTTGGCCAGGCGCGGTGGCTCACGCCTGTAATCCCAGCACTTTGGGAGGCCGAGGCGGGCAGATCATGAGGTCAGGAGTTCAAGACCAGCCTGGCCAATATGATGAAACTCTGTCTCTACTAAAAATACAAAAAATAGTCGGGCGTGGTGGGGTGTGCTTGTAGTCCCAGCTACTTGAGAGGCTAAGGCAGAAGAATTGCTTGAACCCAGGAGGTGGAGGTTGCAGTGAGCAAGATCGTGCCACTGCACTCCAGCCTGGGAGACAGAGCGAGACTCTGTCTCAAAAAGAAAGAAAGAAAGAAAGAAAAAAAACATCTATATCACCCATCACTGGGGAATCCCGCCAAGAAGGAGTCCCCCAATTCCTCCCCAAGCCCCTCATCTCCAAATTCCTATATTTATGAAACCAAGTTAAATGAAGACATGGCACATTTAGAGAGGGGACTTCGGAGTCACAAAAGGCAGCATGAGGTTTGTATGTGAAAATGGACATTCACCTGCATTTGCTTCAATATGGGTAATGACAAAGGAGAGAGGAGCCTGGGGGTAAGCGTGTGGGTGTGAATGAGCCTCTGAACTGTTAGAAATAGTGTAAGTGTCCCACCAGATGTCGCCCTTGTCCTTGCCCACTTCCCCCAAAGCCAAGGCAATCTCAATCCACCAGACAGCTTCATATAGGGGAAAAAGTCCATTTCCTAAGATGGTTTCCAAACATAAGTTTTTTAAGGCTTTCACATCACATCATCTTATTTTAAATTCACATTCTCCTAGTGATAGAACCTGGTTTCTTAAGACACAGCTCTAGGAGAATATGTAAATCTTAAAAGAGCTTTTACCCAGTGGTCTAGGAGGCTTGTGTTTCTCCTCATTGGCCACAGGAGGGGGCTAGAGATACTCTCTTCTGAGCACAAGCAAGGAAAACCCCTAACGTTGCAAGGAGGGCAGCAGGCGGAAGGAAAAACTCACTGTTCTGGAAATGCATTTGACTGACTAGCTTGGAAATTTCCATCATTTTGATCTTTATAATGATATTCCAAATCACATATTTGACAAAGGTTAGTTTCTTTTCACAGAAAATTGGCAACCTATACTTGGACTTAGAAAATATGCCCCTGATCTCTGCGTATCTGTAAGAGAGTGGTGTATGCTGGGGAATAGTAACCACTTTTTAACAGAAACTGAAACTATAATCGGTGGCTTAAGTCAGTCAGTGAAATTATTGAAACCAAAACTTCAATCGTCAGGACATATTATACATCTGAAAAGCAGCAGGCCACAAATCAAATATACTTTAAAACAAATATAAAACAGAAGCCACAGGTATTTTACATTTTATTTCATTCTGATAACCTGGTCAAAAGGAAAGTCATTTAAACAAAATCTGCAAAATAAAAAACACTGAGCATCCATCATTAACATCATCCTAATTCTTTACTGAGCAAACAGAACAGGTTCCATAGGTAGCCCATGATATTTTATTTTATTTTAATTTTTTTATTTATTTTACTTATTTTTGAGACAAAGTCTCACTCTGTTGCCCAGGCTGGAGTGCAGTGGCATGATCTCGGTTCACTGCAGCCTCTGCCTCTCAGGTTCAAGCAATTCTCCTGCCTCAGCCTCCCAAGTAGCTGGGATTACAGGTGCATGTGCCACCATGCCCGGCTAATTTTTGTGTTTTTAGTAGAGACGCGGTTTTGTCATGTTGACCAGGCTGATCTTGAACTCCTGACATCAAGTGATCCACCCGCGTAGGCCTCCCAAAGTGCTGGGATTACAGGTGTGAGCCACTGTGCTCAGCAGTAGCCCATTTTAAACATGTGGATTAAGAGATGTTTTTTGAGCAATGACTGAGTAAATGACTCAGCATTTGCAGCGGTTGCTGTCTGGGCTCTGAAGGCCCTGATCCTTCCCCACTGTCCAAGGCTCAGATCAAAGCATACCTTCTCCAAGAATCATTTCTTTTCCTACTCTGCCCCACTCAAACTTATTACCTTTGCTTTTTTTCTCCTCATACTTTTTGTATGTATACCCTTATTTCTCTCCATAACACATCACAGATTTTATAAGCACGTCAGTCTCTCTCACTAAGGCATTTTCTTCCTTTTCCCATAATGCCTAGCAATTAATATGTGCCAACTCTTGTGTTCAGTGCTTTGCTTTATATACTAATTCATTTAATATTCAATATCCTGGAAGGTAAGTTTAGGCTGAGTATGCCCTATCCAGAATGATTTGGGACCAAAAGTATTTCAGATTTCTTTTGATTTTGGAATACTTGCATTATACTTACAGGTTGAGCATCCGAAATCCAAAAATTCAGAATCCAAAATGCTCCAATAAGCATTTCCTTTGAGCTTTGGTCATGTCAGTGCTCAAATGTTTCAAATTTTAGAGCATTTTGATTTCAGATTTTTCCGATTTGGGATGTTCAACCTATACTATTACTCTCATTTTACATAGAAAGATACTGAGACAGACAGGTTAAGTAACTTGTACAAGATCACAGGCACAGTAAACAGAACTGGGACCGAAACCCAGGCAATCTGGCTCCAGAGCTAAGCTCCTAACCACTGAGTCATGCTACCTCTTCTAAGAGGCATATAATAAACATTTGCTGAATTAAACAAAAATACAAGGCTTTGGGATATTCTTTACAGGATCTAATGCTCGAGGCGGTTTTCTTCCTATTATCATGCAAACAAACCATTTAAATACCCCAAGCCACAAAATAAAGTGTTAAAAATCATCTATAATTCCCATGGGCAAGTATATAGCATACTTACTAGATCCAAATATGTTCAAGTCTTTACATTCTTCAATTTTGGCATCACTGTCAAAATAGATTTTGATTTTGCCACTGTGAGCTTTATTGTCAAAGATAATCTGGAGACACAAATGTATAGCGAGATTACAACACAGAAGAAAGTATAACATGTTAGATCAAATCTGCTTAAAAAAAAAATCACTGGCATCCAGTGTGCTGATCCAAAGAGAATTACACAGGCCAGCAAAATGGCTGACTAGAATTACTTGACACTCATTTCCTGCACCCCCCACCACACACACACACACACACACACGGGACCAAAATAATGAATAAACAACTATATTTTGACTGAAATCACTAAAGAAGTACACTGGAGAGCACCAGGGTAGCAGGAAAATCCTGTGGAGCATGAAAGCCCAGGACAGCAACATAGGAAGGGGAGCAAGGCACCCTGCCTCTGCCACACTGTCTCCCCAGCCAGGATCAGCTTAGAGCCAGGGGAATCTCTTTGGATAGGAAAACGTTAGGCTAGAGACTCTGGTGGTCCTCATTATGGCCACAGAATGCCAGCAGTCCTTGCTACAGGAGAGCCCTCCAGTCCTCACAGGCTTTGAATCCAGTTTGGAGAGGTGCCGGGAGTTCATACAGCCATGCTGCCCCAGAGTGGAAGCACACATTGCGCACTCTTCACCTCTGTGACCTAAGCTGCTATGGCATGACACCATTTAGAGACCAGATGCTAACAGAGTGTGTTCTGCCCTGGGGGCCAGTACTCTTTGTGTCTCTCCATCCCTGAAGTCCTGCCATTATTCTACCATGTTCACAAAGGTGCCTGCAACACCATGACACTGGCTGCCTAGAGCCTAGACCTGATGGAACATCTGAGACCCTGACATCTGAATCCATGCAGCACCCCTTCCTGCCCCTGCCCCTGGGAACAGGCAGAAGTGCACAGCAGGAAGCTGCCAAACAGCTGGCTGGTGTGCTGTGCTTGTGCACACTTGGGCCACACAGTTGGCTGTCTCTCCACACCCACACAGGCCTGACAGCCAGTTCAGCTGTAACTTCGCATCTCTAAAGAGCCTGCCTCACAGCCTACTGGCCCCACCACAACCATGCACACCTGGCCTGACAACCAGCTGGGCAGCAATTGCCCCTACCCAGTTGAAGAGCCTGCCACACAGCCTGCTGCTTATCATGTATGCACATGTCCAGCCCGACAACAAGTCTGGCATCCCTGCCTCCAGCAAAACTGTGTCATTGCTGTTAAAAACTCCCTCAGCTTAGGCCACTGAGCCAATCACAGACATCACTGACAAGGAGTACAACTGAACAAACTGCATGGACACCATACTACTGAGTCTGCCCAGAACCAAAGCCACTATAACCAACCAACACCCTAGGGCCCATCTACAGGAAAAAGTCTATCCCTGTGAAAGCTATTCCATAAAATTGGAAAAAGCAACTATTTCACTAGATGCATAGATAACAATGTAGGGACACAAGAAACATGAAAAGGCAAGAAAACATGGCACCCAAAAGAACATAATAATTCTCAAGTAGCAGACCCCAAAGAAAAGGATATTCATTAAATGCCTGAAAAATTCAAAATAATGATCTTAAGAAAGCTCAGTGAGATATAAAAGAATACAAACAATTCAATGAAACCAGGAACATAATTTATGATTTGATTGAGAAATTCAACAGAGAGACATAGCATAAAAAAGAACCAAACAAAAATCTTGGAGCTGAATTATTCAATGAGTGAAATTAAAAAATTACAATTGAGAGCTTCAACAACAGACTACATCAAGCAAAGAAAAATGAATTTCTGGCCGGGTGCAGTGGCCTGCCTGTAATCCCAGCACTTTGGAAGGCCAAGGCAGGTGGATCATTTTAGGTCAGGAGGTTGAGACCAGCCTGGCCAACATGGTGAAACCCCATCTCTAATAGAAAATACAAAATTAGCTGGGTGCGGTGGCAGGTGCCTGCAATCCCAGCCACTGGGGAGGCTGAGGCATGAGAATCACTTGAATCTAGGAGGCGGAGGCTGCACTGAGCTGAGATCACACCACTGCACTCCAGCCTAGGCAATAGATTGAGACTCTGTCTCGATAAAAATAAAGTAAAATAAAATGAAAAGAATTTCTGAACTTGAAGACAGGTCTTTTCAAATAACCCAGTTGAAATCTTCTCAAGTCTTGGGAGAGATATGGACATCCAGATCTAGGAAGCTCAAAGATCCCCAATTAGATTCACCCCAAAAAGATTCTCTCCAAGGCCCATTATAATCAATCTGTCAAAAGTCAAAGACAGAGGCAATTCTAAAAGCTGCAAATAGGCCGGGCGCGGTGGCTCACGCCTGTAATCCCAACACTTTGGGAGGCTAAGGCAGACAGATCACGAGGTCAGGAGATCAAGACCATCCTAGCTAACACGGTGAAACCTCGTCTCTACTAAAAATACAAAAAAAAATTAGCTGGGCGTGGTGGCAGGTGCCTGTAGTCCCAGCTACTCAGGAGGCTGAGGCAGGAGAATGGCGTGAACCTGGGAGGCAGAGCTTGCAGTGAGCGGAGATTGTGCCACTGCATGCACTCCAGCCTGGGCAACAGAGCAAGACTCCGTCTCAAAAAATAAAAATAAAAAAATACTGCAAGAGAAAAACATCAAGTCACACATAACAGAATCTCCATTAGACTATCAGAACATTTCTCAGCAGAAACCAGGCAGGCCAGGAGAGAATGAGATGATATATTCAAAGGGTTTAAAGAAAAAAAAAAACAACAAAACTGTCAGTCAAGAATACTATATCCAGCAAAGCCATCCTTCAGAAATGAAGAAGAAATAAAGACCTCCCCAGACAAGCAAAAGCTGAGGGAATTTTCACCACTAGACCAGCCTTTCAAGAAATGCTTGAGGGAGCACTAAAACTGGAAATGAACAATAATTATCATGAAAACATGTGAAAGCATAAAACTCAACAGTAGAGGTAAGTTTATAATCAAATTCAGAATACCCCAGTATTGGAATGGTGCTATATAAATCTCTTAGTCCTCTAGTATGAAGGTTTTAAGTCAAAATTGTAAAAAACAAACACAAGTACAATTAGAGGCTAAGGAACTCACAATAAAGACATAAATTAAGGCAACAAAGAGAATTATGCCAATGAAAATGTTCACATCACAAGATTTCTTCACAACTTTCTGTTATTAGTGAAACAAATATGATTGAAAGGGCTAATATGTGAAGTTTTACTAAATACAGGATATCAGATATCTGGTTCAGAGAAATCCTAGAGAAAAACAGACAACCAGTCCTAGGAATAAAAACCAAAATTAACTAACCTTTGAAAGAACACAAATGATCTCATTTATTATTCTGAATTGAATTTAAAAGCATTTCCTTCAATTTAGTTCTTTGGGTATGAAATTCTAGTTTTTGTTAGGCTAGAAATTATTTTTCTATTTGTTTCAAGAGCTACATATAATGTTTTCAGAAAGAACAAAGATTGCTCCAAGACTGCAGGCTGAACTTAAGATGTCCAAATGCCCTCAATCTTCTACCTTATGAAATTTAAATCAATCATTTAAATCATTTACAGTTTATAAGTGATATATGCCAAGTACTTATTAGGGTGAACACATTAAGAAAACCAAAAAGTTCACTGGCAGAGCTTGGAGAGCCGGATATGTAGGTGATCAAATCCACATGCACCTGCCTGTCTCTGAACACAAGCCAGGTTTGCCCAAGATCACACACTCAAACCAAAGGTTTGAGAATTAAACCATACCATCCTCATTTCTATACCTGTAAGTTATGATTAAACCTCCATTAGCACTGGCACTCAAGATCTCTGTTTCCCCCAGGAGAGCCCCTAAAATGCTTTTCTCAAAGCAGACAGAAGTCCAAAGAACAAAATAAAAATGAAAAGCCAATATTTTTAAACCCACACTTCCGACCATATCATGACAAAGTCATCAATGACCTCATCCTTGCAGACCAAACTCCATGCTCCTCTCCTGCCTTTCTCCTCATCCCTGCAGATGCTCCCAGTGCTCCTCTGGCCCACCCACCCCAGAGAGCTTGCAGCTGGAGACATTCTTCCTTACCACATATCACAACCTGTAGTTACTTTTATTTCGTTTACTTGTTTTTCTGTTTCCCCTACTAGGCTGTAAGCTTTCCTGAGGGCCACTGTGCCTCTAGGGCATAGCAAAATGCCTGGTGCATAGTATGGACTCATTAAGTATTTATTGATAGTTGAATGAAACACTCTTCTGAATTGCTAAAGGACAGTATATACAACTTTCAGCTAGGCATTCAGTTTAGTCCCTTAATGAACAGGGAAGGCAGGGAGGGAGAAAAAGAAGGAAGGCGAGAAGGACAGAGAAAGTCTATGAAAATGAGAAGGCAGCTTACTTCCCCATAAAAGTGAACTGTCTCTTCTACTATACATGCCCCCTCCCAAAATAAAAAGAGAAACAACTGCTCCTTTGCAGACTGGTCTTCACATCAGTGGAGCAGTTTATGCCTCGAGGTTTGAAAATATTTGCTATAACATTTGCAAAGACCTTCCTCTAAAGCTGGGAAGAACACTATAGACATGTAAAACACCTTCATAAACATTTTAAAAAATGTATTAGGAGAGTAGAAAGTCAAAGCCAATTTTTTAAACTCTTCTTTTCAATGTAGAAACTTGGTTTTTAAAAGTTGAAAAGGGTTTGCTTCATCTTCAGAAGTAATGGTCTCTGGATCAACAATAATACCATAATGAGGCTGGGCATGGTGGCTCATGCCTGTAATCCCAGCATTTTGGGAGGCCGAGGCAGGCAGATCACTTGAGGCCAGGAGTTCGAGACCAGCCTGGCCAACATGGCAAAACCCTGTCTTGTCTTTACTATTAATAAAAACACAAAAAAGTTAAGCTGGGTGTGGTGGCACATGCCTGTAATCCCACCTACTTGGGAGGCTGAGGCATGAGAATCGTTTGAATCTGGGAGGCAGAGATTGCAGTGAGCTGAGATCACGCCACTGCACTCCAGCCTGGGTGACAGAGCGAGACTATGTATTAGAAAAAAAGAAAAGAGTATCATATTGTATCACTAAATCTGTTTTAAACATGACTGCATTTAACACATCTGTAGGCTGCTGTGTTTTATACTCTGCATCAACAAAAAGTGTAGGAAAAAAATAAAAGGAAGTAGCTAGTAAAACAAAGATACTTGCCGTATTCTGAAAGACATAACAGTCTGGTAACTCACGGGAATGAATTGTCTGTAGGTCAATGCCTTTAAGATGAAAGGAGATTTCAACCTGTAAGAGCCTGAATAAAATATATTGAAAGGTATAAATTGTCATAATCTTACTATATACTATTCTCCTTCTCCCACCCTCATCTCTTAGGGAATAACACTTTAAAATGTATTTACCGATAAAATTCCAGTCTGAAGAATGATGAGTTCTTCCAGTCCGGAGGCTTCTTGGAGAGGTCCTGAAGGTCTAATTGAACACAATCTAGGGCAATGAAAGAACAAGAAATGGTTGTTTCAGGCAAGAATTAGGTGCTAAAACTAATGGGTGAAAGTGTGACAAGAAGCAGGTTACTTACGGAGTTTCAAAGTATCTCCCTAGAAAATACTTAGCAATTATTCAGGAAAAATGATAGTAACCTCACAGACACCTGTCAAGTGAACCTGGCAGACACCACACTAACCAAGTGATCAGTTACATCACAGTAATGAGATAAACAGACATGTACCTCCTGATACAATGAACTGAGAAGCATATGACATCACTTGTGTGGTATTCCTGCCAAAAAATGTATAACTTCAATCTAGTCATGAAGAAACAGAAAAACCCAACGTGAGAGACATTCTACTCTTTAAATGTATCAAGATCATAAAAGTTAAACAAACAAAAACCAAGAAACTTTAGACTGAAAAGACATAACATGACAACTAAATGCCAGATGTTATCCTGAATAGGATCTTGGAGTTGGGTGCAGTTTTCATTTTATGATAAAGAACATTAGGAAAATTTATGAAATGTGAATAGGGTTTGTAGAATATAGTATTGTATCAATGATAACTCATTATTTTGAGCACTGTATAGTGGTTGTGTAGGAGAATGTTCTTGTTTTGGGGAAATGCACACTGAAGTATTTAGGGGCAAAGGAATAGCATGTCTGCACCTCCAGGAGAAATATTTATGCATAGAAAGAATGATCAAGCAAATGTGATAAAATGTTAGTATTGGCCAGGCACGGTGGCTCACACCTGTAATCCCCGCTCTTTAGGAGGCCAAGGTGGGCGGATCATGAGGTTAGGAGTTCAAAACCAGTCTGACCAACATGGTGAAACGCCGTCTCTACTAAAAATACAAAATTTAGCCGGGCGTGGTGGCGTGCGCCTGTAATCCCAGCTACTCAGGAAGCTGAGGCAGGAGAATTGCTTGAACCCGGGAGGCAGAGGTTTCAGTGAGCCAAGATTGCGCCACTGCACTCCAGCCTGGGCGACAAGAACGAAACTCTATCTCAAAAAAAAAAAAAAAAAATGTTAGTATTGGGGAAATCTGGATGAAGGCTATACAGGAAATATTTGTGCTATTTTGTAACTTTTCTGGTAAGTCTGGCACTTTTTCAAAGTAAAAAAATAGAAAGAAAAAGAACACAGGTTGTATTCAAGTAAAAACAGATTATGAGCTGTAAATGATAGAAGAAAGATTCCAAGAACCTCACATAAAAATTAGTCTCATTATTGTGTAGGCTAACACCCTTGTTTTACAGGGCAGGAAACAAGGAGCTCTAAAGACAAGCACCTTTCAGGGTCACAGAAACCTAGTGACAGAACTGGTATGAAACCAGCATGGGTGACCCTTGCCCAGGCTGTTGCTGCCCCTTCCATGCTGACTTTGAAATGGAAAAGTTGGGGCCTTGTGCAGTGCCTGGCACCTAGTAGGTGTTCATGAATCTTGGAAAACTCACTGGCTGATTCTTCAAAAGTGTTATTCCACAACTGCAACTCTTCATTTGCTTATTTATCCTTCCAACTAGAGTATAAGGTCTTTGAGATCAAGAGCACAACTTTATTGCACCTTGCTAAACGCCCATTGCCTAGCATGTAGCTGGCACTCAAAATATGTCCTGATACACGGGATACACTTACGTTTAATGAAAATTAGATGTCCTGAGCCAGAAACAGGGCCCAGAGCTAAACAGACAACTCAATAGACACAATATTTTTAAAAGATAGTTGCAGAGAGTGTGTCTCCCTGTGTTTGGCAGATGGAGTATTACACAACTCAATACTGGTTTTCCTGACTAGACCTTAATTAGTACAGTGAGGGAAGTTGGTCAAAAGAAACTTGTTTCTGGCAGGAAAAGACTGATGATAGAAATAGCAAAAACATATTGGCACTTAACTCCATACCAGACACTGTGCTGGACTTTATATATTCTCTCAATTAATGCATCATCTCATTTAATCTTCAAAGCAACCTTGTGAGATAGGCACTATTAGTGCCATTTCACAAATGAACAAACCAAGGCCCAGAGAGGCCAAGAAACTTCCTCAAGGTCACACAGGTAGCTACTAGGTATCCAAAAGTTAATTCGACTTGTGCTTGGTTCTAGAGCCTGAGCTCAACCAGTGCACTGAGGAGGTTGACCTCTGAGCACATATTTTAGAAGAACATCAAAGACCCAGGCTCCATACCCAACTCATTCGTTTATTCAGTAAATATTTGCTGAAAGCCAGGCACTGTGCTAGGCACTGAAGGTAAAGCAATGAACAAGACAGACATGGTTACCATCTTCATGGAGCTCACATTCTAGTGGGGGAGATAACAGTAAGTAAAAATATATACAAGGTAATTTCACAGTGTGAGAAGTACTATGAAGATAAAGTGAACAAGAATAACTAAGAGGGTGATATGGTTTGTCTGTGTCCCCAACCAAATCTCATCTTGAATTGTAGTTTCCATAATCCCCACATGTTGTGAGAGGGACCCAGTAGGAGGTAATTAAATCATGGGGGCAGTTACCCCCATGCTGCTGTTCTTGTGATAATGGGTGAGTTCTCATGAGATCTGATGGTTTTATAGGAGGCTTTTCTCACTTTGCTCTGCACTTCTCCTTCCTGCCACCATGTAAAGAAGGATGTGTTTGCTTCCCCTTCCACCATGATTGTAAGTTTCCTGAGGCCTCCACAGCCCTGCAGAACTGTAAGTCAATTAAACCTCTTTCCTTTATAAATTATTGCGTATGTCTTTATTAGCAGCATGAGAACAGACTAATACAGAGGGGGAGTCCACCTTAGGAAAGATAGTTAGGGAATGGCTTTCACGGTGCGAAACATGTTTGAACTGAAACCTTTTTCCTGAAAGGAAAAAGAACCAGCTATGCATAGATCCAAACAGGAAAAAAATCAAGCACTAAGACCTCCAAGCAAGAAAGAGCCTGGCTTGCTCAGCAAACAGAAAGGATGTTACAACAGAGAAATGAGGACAGGGGTCTGGAGAGGCAGGCAGGGGGCTAGTTTCTATAAGGACTTGTGGATTTTATTCTAAATGGGATGGGAAGCCACTAATGATTTTTAAGCCTGGAAGAGATATGACCTGATTTACCACTGCGGTTTCTGCAGGGCAGGGCAGGGGCTCGTAGAGGCAAGACCAGAAGCAGGGAGACCACAAGTAGTGGCTTGGATGACAGTGGTGGCAGTGAAAATGGGGAAATTGGCAACTTCAAGTACGGGGCTTGAATAACTGGGATTATTACAGTATGATATGAAAACATGATGACTACACACCAGAGGTTTGTTGAGTGAACAACAAAACAATAAAATAATGAAACATTATTTTAAAAAACAAAAAGTCTTAAGCCAAACACCTCGTATTTACATACAGTATGCTCTTAAATTCTTAACAAAATAGCACAAAACAATTCGACTTGATTAGCCATTAACTTGTTGCCAAGGGATCTCCTAAGAGAGAAAGTGAGTTGTTAATCACAATTCACCTTTGAAGAGCATTTCTATATTTTACAAATAATAAAAACAAGTGTACAAAACATCTTTATGTATATTATTTCATTTAACACATACAGACCGTTTTTTCAGAAAGCCTAATCACCCCTTCATAGGGAAAAAAAAACAAAAAACAGGACCTGTGAATATACCCCCAAACCAACAATCTTGAGTTGCTCCAAACAGATCCACAAATGCTGTCCCTGTCCCATCGCCACAACCCCACAGTTTCCTGAGCCAAAGCCCCTCTGCAGGCCAGTGTTGGAGTGTCAGCCCCTAACAGGTTAGCTCTCACCAAAGCAAAGTTTTTCCATCTGGGTTGCTAGCACATGAGGGCATTTCTGCTCTTACCAGAAGACGATAAAGGTACATCATGAAATTATCACTGCATTACCGAGCTCAACGTCGTTGTCAATATTCAGTGTCTCATTAGAAGGAAACATGGTCCCTTTCTTGTAATGCTGCTTACAGACTTTTAAGCCAATTCTATTGTCTTCATTTTCTCCATAACCAAGGGTCCCCAGGGTAATGTCCTTTAGCTGATGATACTATTAAAAAATAGTCAAGTAAAAACCACATATGACCTTTTATAACTTTGATCAGAGGTTATAGCATATAGAATGTACTTTCAGTTACTTTGTATTGTTTACATCATGGCTCTCAATAGAACTTCCCAATTTAAAATACTACAAAGAAATCTTCTCAGTTTGTTCAGCAAGACACTGCCTCACAGAACTCGAAACAAAACAAGGTGATGGACAGCTCCCACCTCACTCAGCCAAAGCCAAGGTCCTGCCTTATCTCTAGGACCTCATCTACTCCAGTCCCTTGGCTCCAACCTGCAAAGCTGCACTGCCCTCCAGGCAGTTCCTGGAGCTCACACGCATATTTTTGCCTCTGGCCTTTGCTGTTCCCTCTGCCTGGAGACCCACGTACATACCCGCTCGGTTTACTCACTCCTTCAGCTCTCAATTCCGCACCTCAATGAGGCCTTCCCTCCCCAAGCCAAGGAAAATTGCAAACATATATCAAAACATCACATTGTACCCCATAACTATATACTGTGTGCAATTATGCCCTGTCAAATAAAAATAAAATAAATGCAGTAAAAAAGAAAGAAAGAAAGAAAATCACAAACATCCATCACTGCACCCAGGTACTTCCCATCTCCTTCCCTGCTTTACTCCTTAGCAGTTATTACTTTCTAATATCTACTGAGGACATGAGCCATCCACACTCCACAGCTTACATCAATGACTAACATGAACCAACATTAGCTTACCTCAGCTTACATTAACATGGCTTTACTGTTGGCTATCTGCACTAATAGGGCTTTACTAGCTCTGTCTTCATTAATACGACTTTACTATTCCTGAAAATTTTTGCCCTGGACCATAAAATTCCCTCTATTATTTCAGGAACATCCAAAAAATTCATTGAAATAGATAACAATTGGAAGATTTTGTCTGAAAACAACTCCAAGATTCTTTGAAACTGCCTTCCCAATCCTCACCTTGCCATGTCCATCAGTCCTAAATTATTATATCATCATCCTTACCTAATTCTAATCAAGCTCCCCTCACATTAAAGAACTCCCTCCTCACCCAAGGCAAGATGGCCTCTGATCAATATAGCATCTCCCTTACCACTCTAAGTAATAAGCTCAGCTTTGCTCATCAACATGTTTTTTGTGTGGTATTCTCAGGGAGCTAGCATTTGATATTACACATTTCACTTCTTTTTGTCTAGCTCTTCGTTCCAGAATTAAGCTCTATAAAGGAAGGCGCTTTGTCTGTTTTATTCACTGATGCATCCTCAATGACTGGAATAACACCTGCTACATATTAGATACTTCAATATTTATTGAGTGAATGAAAAAGAGCAGGAACAGTTTCTCTTTCCTAAATTATTTCTTCAAGTCTACTAATCTGCTTTCTCATACCTGTCTAGATACAACTATTTTATATTCCATATTCTTAAGATTCAGCTAGGGTTATTAATGCTAAAACATCACAATTAAGGCCACAGAATCCCTGATTTTTTTATTTATTTACTTATTTATTTTGTAGAGATGGGGTTTCACAATGCTGCCCAGACTGGACTCAAAGGATCAACCCACTTTAGCCTCCCAGAGTGCCTGGATTACAGGCATGAGTCACTACGCCAGGCTGGAATCTTTGATTTTATATTAAGCTTTCATCAAGCCTTCTGAGATTAAAAATCTACTCTTGCTATTTGATCTGGGGTAATTTTCCAAAAGCAGTAGGTATGAAGTGATAAATTAAAAAGATAAATATTTTTTAAAAAGTCAAAATAGGCAAACTCTTTTGTGTAGAAATGTAGCTTCAGAAATAGCAATAAACATTTTTTGGCAGACTGCAAAACTTACATTAGAATATTTTAACATGTGTATAATTTTTGTTTGTTGGCTAAGACAAGGCCAAGTATCAATACATTGTTAAAGTATAGGTCATTCACAACAAAACACTTGCCTGATTAATAGCAAAAAAGATGCTCTCATAGGCATCCTCTTGAGTATATACACTGCAGCTGTAGTCATCTTCATCTGTACCAGAATATCCTTTCAAAAACAAGTGCTTAAAAGCAACAGTGTTATCTTCTTTGAAAGCAACCACCAGCTGGTTACTTAAACCAAAACGAACAAGCTAAAAAATAAAATAAAATAGAAACACATGAATTACACCATTTATCAGGGGAGGCAAATGTCTTCTCACTATCATCAACCATTACCTATAAACATCAGAAAATAATATCAATTTTTTTTGGTTTATACTAATAGCATCAATGTCAAAATACAAGTCCCACAGAAGAATAACCTCATCAAGCTACATCAGCAATTCAAAGTAGCATAAAATTAGAAGAGATTACTGCTCCCAATGACTACTGACTCTACTGGCCTTTAAGAAAGAAAGAAAGAATCCAAATCAGCTAAGTCTCAATCCATTTTTCTTATATTTGGATTTCAAGTTAATTGTTTTCAAAATCAATTACTTAGTAAAGCAGTAACTCATTGTATTGATTTAAGATTTAGAAATTGTAGTATTTTTTAAAATCACAACTATGTTTTACATATGGCTTTTAAAAGTGTTTTTTGAAAAGTAGCCTACATAAAAACTTACTCCAGCTAGGAGGTAATAGTTGTCAAAAGAATTCAATTAATTCAGCTCTGCAAGAATTCTGTATAAAATTTACACCTGAGAGTTTCCCTCACCAAATTCTACAGTATCAAAGCACATGAAAGAATAACAGAGCATGCTTTACTTGTATGATGTCAAACCCATTCATTGTCACCAAGCATCCACCTACTGAAAAAATGCCCACTTATTCTCCCTTTCACTGTATTCTGGCAGAATTTAGGCACCCAAGGGCTCTCTTCACCAGAAGTGAAAGTTTTCTTCTTGGAACCCAATAAATGGAGGAAATTAGTCAGCACCAAAAGTTTACACAAAACCTAGGAAACTACACACACAGCTACACACATACCTCATCACACACGCACTCTCACACGCACATTCACACTCTCTCACGTGCGTCCTCTCTGTCTCTCTCACATACATACACAGGCAGTGACGGTAGTCAAATCTCTATAAGCCCTGTCCCACACACCTTTCCCCACCTCCCTAAGTGATTTCTTCAGCTGCCTTATAAAACAATGAGACTAGAAAGTTTGCTCCAAGTCCTCACTCAACTAAGCCACCAAATTTTGGGACTGTTTTCTTCCTATGTAAAATTAGCAAGTGTAACTAGATGACCCTGACAGTTCTGTTATTTGTTGTCATTCCATGGTTCAATATGATACATCTGAACAATAATATACAAGATACAATTCTGAACAATTCAGATAAAACTAATGTTAATTTAGCTGGGTGAGGTGGCCTGTGGCTGTAGTCCCAGCTGCTTGGGAGGCCGAGGTGGGAGGATCACTTAAGCCCAGGAGTTCAAGGCTAGCCTTGGCAATATAGCAAAACCTGTCTCTAAAAAAATAAAGTAAAATAGCTAATATTAATTTGCATATGCAAACAACATACAGGCATACGGTTTTTTCATGGTTTACATTTTTTAGCTTTTATATTTTGTTGTTTTAAAAAATACTAAAGAATTAGGAAAAATAATCACCATTTTCAGCAATTATTATATGCCAGGTACTGTGCTAACTGCTTTACATGCAGTGCCTCATTTACCCCAAGCGGACTATGAAAATGTTACTACTGTTATTCCATTTTACATACGTGCAACCTGAGATTTAGCCTCATTAAATTGCCCAAGTCACCAGAATGGAAGCCAAGTCTAATTCCAAAGTCATCTGTGTTATGCTATAAAAACAACTTCCTTCTGCTGAAAAAGTTCTTTAGGATGCTTCTTATAATGAACTTAAGTGCTAGCTTTTCAAAATTAGGAAAGGCAACTATCGCTTGAGAAGGTACACAGATGCTACTGTTCAGCATTTGAGTCTCACCATGTCACATTCCTCAAATGCCATGTCAAAGGATTGTGCAACTGCTAAAACTCAGCTATTCTAAGGAAAACATCAGATAAGAAGTCCCACATCATCCAGCTTGTGCTGAAAATTAAGCAACAGAAGGTTATAAGTTCTTCTAAGCATGTGATGTCTGTCAATGGTGCCTGTAGGAGAAGCCAGAAAAGGTCATGTTGCTCTTGAAAGCTAAAATGTAAACCAGGGAAGCAACACATACATGATTGCTTCAAAGTTTTATTAAAACTACTGACACATATGAAAAAACTGGTACACACACCACACATGAATGAAGTTCTTCAATCAAAGTTTGCTGAGTGCTTACTCTAAGCCAAGCTGGTATACAACGTGGAAAAGAACACTGCATGGTACGGAATAACAACTCTTATCTGTTGAGAACCAGGCATTGTGCTAAAATTTATAATTATTATTTCTCATTTAATTCTCAACACCCTATTATTACACTGGGCTCTGCAAGGACAGGAATGTTTTTCCTTTTTCCCTGCTATTATATACTCAGGAAATGAAATAATGCCCATCACAATGTCAAACACTGAATCAGCTGATGAATATAATCCCATTTGATACATATGCAATCTGAAGTCAAGTAATTTATCCAGGTTGGAATATCCAGAAAATGTTAGAGTAAGGATCTGGACCCAGGTCTGATTGATTCTAGAGTCTGTTTGTTCTCTCAACCTCTTGGCCCCACAGCCTCTTAAACTGAAATGCTGCCAATTTAACTCTAGAGGCAGGGATATTAGACCCATTCCTCCCACATTAATAGTGAAGCTAAAGAAATAAAAAAAAATGTAAACTAGGGAATGAAAAAACTGACCATGAAAGTGGTATATAGTTTGCTGATATTTGAAGCCATAACCTTAAACTCAAAGCTCATCAAAACTCAGCTTTGGGGATGAGAGGACTCTGTTGTAATCTCTGCTTGGAACCTCCCCTATCTGGCATCAGGAGCAAGAAATTTCCTCCATTCTATTCATAGAACAAGCCAAGATAAAAATGTATGGCCCAGCATTGGGGAAGGTTGGGAGGAAACTGCGAAGTCCCTTTCTTGTTATGACAGAACCAAACACTCCCTGCAGAGTAAGAGTAAGGGAAGATGGTATTGGCCAAATGACTGGGTTTTTTTTAAAGGCATTGACAGCAAAATGCATCCTAGTCCCACTAATTAGACATTAAGATTTGCTGAGAGTATGATACAAGACAGAAAAATAATTACTTATAAGTGTAGTCTGGCAAAGATTGTGAATTTAAGACCTCATTATGAAATCAATGTAGGATAAAATATTCTGTACCAGGTAAAAACAAGATACTGCTCTAATTATGTACAAAGGATATGGGAGAGAAAGAGTAGAACTAGCAAAAGAATGTAGACACCTCTCTCAAGATTATAAATTACTGCACAATTCAGAGCAGGAATTTTAAAAAAATTTTCTTTCTCATCAGTCCTCATACCCATCCCATTAGACTTGAGGATGAAACACAAAAAGACAGAAAAAGAGAGGGAGGGAAAAGTGAGATATTATGCAAGGAAAGGTGATCAAGAAATCTGCTCCAATTAGATATCACCCAAATAGCAAAATTTGTTAGAATGATCCTATATGGAAACAAAAGTTTAATCCTTCCCAATTTTATTAGGGGAAACAGGGTATGCCCACATGAAAAGTAAACTACAGTTCCCAGAAATATTTTGTTATTTAAAGTAAAATTAGTAGGCTGGGCACAGTGGCTCATGCCTGTAATCCCAGCCCTTTGGGAGGCCAAGGTGAGAGGACTGTTTGAAGCCACAAGTTCAAATCAAGTCTGGGCAACAAAGCAAGACCCCATCTCTACAAAAATAAAATAAAAAGCCAGGTGCAGTGGCATGTGCCTTTAGTCAGCTGTTTAAGAGGCTGAGGTGGGAAGATCTCTTGAGCCCAGGAGTTCAAGGTTGCAGTAAGCTATGATTGTGCCACTGCACTCCAGCCTGGGTGACACAGAGAGACCTCATCTTGAAAAAATAATAAAAAATAAAATTAGTCATGTAGACAGGAAGAAGTACCAAAGAAAACCATGTGCTGGATGGTCAGGCAAGGCCCAGTGGGGGAGATGGGACTTCAAATAGTACCTGAAAGGTGAGGGAGAAAAAGAATCACCCCGGACTTGGACGAACAAACAAGATGTGGAAGAGAATCATTGGGTTGGCCTGTCTGGCTGGGATTTGGGTAGGAAATAGTAGATGAAAACTTGTTGGAAAGACAAGTTGAAGGAGACTGGAACTCTTTGAATTCCTGGCTAGAGAGGTGAAATTTTCTTCTTGGGAAGTAGGGTTTTATAGGAGTTTCTGAACAGGAGAGTGACACAATAAAGTCTATTCTACGAAAAATTAAGCTGATATTAGCATCGAATGTATATGGATAAGAAAGGTAGGCATAAGACAAAGCTAGAAGCTGCCTAATTAACTTATCTATATTCCAACACTGCAAACTCTGAGGACAGGACCTATATCTAGAATAGAAACAGTCTGAGAAGAGTACAGACTCCAGAGCCAGACTGCCCAAGCACAAATCCCAGTTCTGTCACTTACTAACTGAAGGATTGTAAGCAAATTACTTAACTCCCTTTGCTCCAGTTTCTTCATCCATAAAAAGGGGATTATAATTGAACCTACCTCACAGGATTGCAATGAGGATGAAATGAGTTGAAGTACATAAAACATTTATTGTGCCTAGGACATGGCAAACACTAAGCTAACTGTTAGCTGTCAGCAGCACTGGTAATACAGTCACAGTTGTATTCCCAACAGAAGGCCCACAATATGAGATGCTTCACATTTATTTTTCATTAACTAAAGAGTCTGTGCTAGAGAGAAGATAGTGAGTATGGGAAAACATAAATAGATGCAGTTTTGAAGGAAGAATCAATAAGATTTAGTAGGTATCAGGAAAAAGAAGGTAAATCCAAGATGGTGATATGGTTTATATTTGTGTCCCTGGCCAAATCTCAAGTCGAATTGTAATCCCCAATGTTGCAGGAGGGGCCTCCTGGTGACAGGTGACTAGATCATGGGGGTAGAACTCCCCCTTGCTGTTCTCATGATAGTGAGTGAGTTCTCATGAGATCTGGTTGTTTAAAAGTGTGTATCACCTTCCCCTTTGCTCTCTCTCATGCTCTGCCATACGAAGATGTGCCTGCTTCCTCCTCGCCTTCCCCCATGATTGTAAGTTTCCTGAGGCCTCACCAGCCATGCTTCTTGTACAGCCTGCAGAACTAAGTCAATTAAATATCTTTTCTTCATAAATTACCCAGTCTCAAGTAGTTCTTTATAGCAATGGGAGAACACACTAATACAGATGGCAATGATATTTTATGCCTGGGTAAATTAGAATTTTAGTAACGTTAATAGATCAAATAATTGAAGGAAGTTGGTTTAGCAAGAAAAGATTTTGGGAAACAATTAAAATTAACCAACTGAAAAAAGGGGACATTATTTCTTCTCCTTCCAAGTAATACTAACAATGTATCAATGTATCTATTTTATTGGTTGCCAAGACCAAAACTTCAAAACAAAGAATGAAATAAGCTAACAATAAGCATACACATTTAACAATGTCTCTGCATCTCAACCTTGTTGTTTCTTTTGAAGTAACTTGCTTTCCCTAAACTTGAGCTGGTACACATGGCATGTCATATACTGAAAACCTCTTTATGAACACAGAATAAAGAAGCAACTCTAGTTATGGCAGGGACCGTCTCCCATTTCTAAAACTAAAGGTATTTTTAAGTATTTATTTTTATGTTCCAGAAATAACATCTTTACACACCTCTACACTGATAACAGAATGATTATTTGCCAATAGAGCCAAATATCCCCAATCAGTTTAAAAGGGCGTGTGTTTCAAATATGGTTAACTACAGCAATGATCCCCAACCTTGTTGGCACCAGGGACTGGTTTTGTAGAAGACAATTTTTCCAGGGACTGGAGTGGGGCAGGAGTGGGGGGGGGTGGGTAATGGTTTCAGGATGATTCAAGTGCATTACACTAGTTGTGCATTTTATTTCTATTATTACCACATTATAATATATAATGAAACAATTATACAACTCACCATAATGTAGAATTAGTGGGGGCCCTGAGCTTGTTTTCCTGCAACTAGAAGGTCCCATCTAGGGGTGGTGGGAGACAGTGACAGATCATCAGGCATTAGATTCTCATAAGGAGCCGCACCTAGATCCTTCGCATGTGCAGTTAACAATTGGGTTTGCGTTCCTATGAGAATCTAATGCCACCACTGATCTGACAGGAGGCGGAGCTCAGGCAGTACTGCAAGCCATGGGGAGCAGCTAAAAAAACAGATAAAGCTTTGCTCCCTTGCCTACCACTCACCTCCTGCTGTGCAGCCTGGTTCCTAACAGGTCCGTGGCCCAGGGGTTAGGGATCCCTGACCTACAGAGAAGCCTCCCCAATACTGGTTCAGCAATACAGGCCCCAAAACTAGAGGAAAACTCTGATGGCTGTTTTGATCATGGTAATAAAGAGCTCAATAATACGAACTTGAACAAAAGGTCTAAATGTAGCTTTTGTATAATCCTGATAGCGCCTGGGATCAGTATTTACTTAGATAGAGCACACTGTTATGATAAAAGGAAAACTTAGGATTCTATAAGTCTGAAGACAAAAAAATGCAGATTTTGGAAGTATATTTGAATAAGCTGTGTTTAATAGAGAGTTCCAGAACACAAATGTGTGTCACTCAGATATAGAAACCCCTCCCCACAGATCTGCATTTATTCAGCATTTATAGAATCTGTACAGAGAGGCCCTCAGGATCTCTTACTATGACAAGGTTGTCTTCTAAACAGAACTTCAACCTAGCCTCTGCTCTCCAGAGTCAATATAATTTTAGTTTTATGAACTTGAGTGTGGGCTTTTCAGAACAAAAGTCAAGTACAGAACACATGAAAAGAGTTTTGTCTTGTGGTAAGGGAAAAACCAAATGAAATAATAAGATAGGTTACCTGTGTGGTGACCATGACTATCTTCAAAATCTGCAAACCCAGTTTCCACGGAATCTGGCGTCTGGCTCGGTATTTTTCACAAGGGCTCATGAAGTAAAACTTCAGGTCTTCCCTTAGACATTCTTCTTTCATCTCAGAATCACGATGTGCCATTGCATTTCTGCCACAGAAGATTAATTTTAAATATCCAGGAAAGCCTCTCCCTCAGTTCCTTTTGAAGTAACTTGCTTTCCCTAAACTTGAGTTGGTACATATGGCATGTCATATACTGAAAAGCCTCTTTATGAACACAAAATAAAAAAGCAACTCTAGTTATGGCAGGGAGGTTCTCCCATTTCTAAAACTACATGAAAAATTATTCCAGACCTTCTACCTCCTACCTTTCCACACAGCCACCCATCTTGTTCAAAATGGCCAATCTCGGCCAGACGTGGTGGCTCACACCTGTAATCCCAGCACTTTGGGAGACCGAGGCGGGTGGATCATTTGAGGTCATGAGTTCGAGACCAGACTGACCAACATGGTGAAACCCCATCTCTACTAAAATACAAAAATTAGCTGGGTATGGTGGCGGGCACCTGTAATCTCAGTTTCTCGGGAGGCTGAGGCAGGAGAATTGCTTGAACCCAGGAGATGGAGGTTGCAGTGAGCCAAGGTCACGCCACTGTACTCCAGCCTGGGTGACAGAGCGAGACTCCCTCTCAAAAAAATTAAAATTTAAAAACAAAATAAAAAAAACAAAATGGTCAATCTCAAGAATTATAAAAATTGGATTTTACTTACAAGACTCATCAATTCCTACATCTTAACATAGAGCATTCATCTGTCACTACAGAAAGTATGTATGTTTATGTTTGTGTGAGTGTGTGTGTATGAATTGTAAGTGAGTGAGTATATGAACAAAAACCAGACAGGACATTTTCATGATACTCCAGGTATGACATTACAGAAAATTAGTATAAACAAACGGAATTAGATTGTTATGGAAGAAGAGAATCTTTGTTCTGTAACTCTGTACTGAGAGAAGGACTATGACTCCTTTTTTGGATAAAATATCAGTGATTATATGATTCCAGAATATAAATAGCTTCAAAAAGATAAATAGCATCTCTCTATTTAAGCCTACTCAGATATTTGTCACTTTATATTAATAAAATTTTGCTTTTACTATTTCAAGGACTCTGGACTCAGGAATGGGCACATGACTCAAGGTAGGCCAAAAAGAACCAATGAGACATGGTTCACAGGACTGTTATTGTAGTCCCCAAAGTGGAGTGCCGAAAACAATCCATTGGGAGTATAAAAAATATTAGTATTTCTATTTTATTATTTATATTAAAAACTAAAAATTGAACTCCATAATTAGTACAACATAGAATATACATACAACACAGCAATATAACTTACAGCATATGTACACCATAACAAAGAATATACATTATATAACACATAAAAGTAGTATCCAGTAGCATATCATATATAAAGAAATATATACACATTGGGACTATTATGCTCAACTTTTACTGTTGGGTACATAATCAACAAAGTTTGGAGATCAGTGACTTCAAGCATAGACTGTGAGTCCGGAGTTCCTAAAATCCATCTCACCACCAAAGGAGAGCTTGTCAGAGACTGAAGGTCAGGTAGACAGGCACTATGCCTAATGACAATATTTGAATTCCTGGATCCAGCTATTCCTGAAGTAATCCATCCCAAGTCTTTCCATTTGAGTCAACAAATACCCTTCATGGCTTAAGCCAGTTTGAGTTTGACTTCTTGCCTTAGGAAGTATCTTGATGGTAAGGGTAAAGAATAAATTCTAGTAAGTTAGGCTAATCATTCAAGTTACTCATTTCTTGGAAAGGTTTTATACTTGTGGGTCATTTTTTAAGGTTCTGTTTACTGGAAATATGTAAGTGACATATTTTTATACTGACTGATGATCTATGTTATCTGCCTTGACTGACGAATCTAAAAGAATCCTAAAAGGGGATGCCCATTTTAAAGCTTATTGTCAGTTGTTAATAATTTACTATTTCTAAATAGATTTTTAAATCTCCTGTTTCTAGTATTAGTGGGCTAAGTTATTCAGAACTATCATGCTGGAAAGGAAGGAAAAGAGGAAAGAAAGAGAGAAAGCAAGGAAAGAGGGAGAGAAGAAGAGAAGGGAAGGAAGGAGGGAAGGAGAGAGGGAGGGAGGGAGGGAAGGAGAAAAAGGAGAGAGGGAGGGAGGGAAGGAGAAAAAGGAGAGAGGGAGGGAGGAGAGAGAAAGTAGTGGAGGGAGGGAAGGAAGAAGGGAGAGAGGGAGGGAAGGAAGGAAGAAGGGAGAGAAGGAGAGAGGGAGGGAGGGAAGGAAGGAAAAGAAAAATCCTAGATACAATACATTCTTCTTGAGGAGGGTGAAGAAGTACCTTTAAAAGATTGAAGAGTTAAGGAGAGCAAGAACTCCTGGGTCAATCTTGGGGGATACCTACACGAGTAACAGCCAGTTGCCACCATTCAAGTACACTCAGCTTCCGTTCTGTGGCCTCAGGAAACGGGAACAAGAGAGCCAAGATTCTAGGCCCAAAGGCATCAAAACTGCCTGTCCTCAAATTTATAGGACTACAGAGAAGGCCAGAGTGGTTCCAAATCAAAGAAAAGAAAAAGGAAATTTAAAAATAGACCCATCCTGATAAAGAATGCCCATAAACCAGGCCATGATTAAATAAGGCTCATAAACCTTTGAGCCTTACACCTGGGTGAGCCAGGGAACTTCAAACTGTGGGCCTGCTTGGTTCTGGAGGACCCAGACTGGAACTGTTCTTCATATCCCCGGAAACACCCACAGAACTCTGTGTCTTAGGTTCATCCTAAGACTTGGCACTCTAATAAATAACTTATAAAACACAATGACAAACAGGTAGTTAAATATAACTAAGCACATGAGGAAACCAAGTGACATAAAACAGACTAAAAACAGAAACAGGACTAAGCATATTGGAAATTAGACACATTAGAAAATAACCATGCTTACCATCTGTGATATTATGACATACATACATGTTGGTTTTTGTCCGCAGCTCCTAGCTCATAACTCCCATAGCTTTTGTTATACTGTTGAGGCGCCTTAAGGCCTCATGAGCAGGCCTCAGAAAACATAATCTCTCTGACCTTCTCCTGATCTCCTTTAACCTGCTCCTTCTTGTCCCAAAGACAGGCATCTTCCCCACCTTGCTGTGTAGGAGCCAGCCATAAAAAAATTCTCTGACCTACCCTGTCTGATTGTAGGTCACAAGACTCCCATTTCAGAAGGGGTCCTGCCCCAAACCCTGGAAGAAGGAAGGCTGCACAGAGAGGCCAGAAGGATCTGAACAGACAGGCCTTGCTGGGTTTCCCTCATGCAGTCTATTAGTGTTTGTTCATACCCTTTTTGTCCAGTCACATTTCTACATGGTTGTCAATCATACCTATCCAATAAAGTCTCCATAAAAGGCCCAAGAGGACAGGGTTGGGAGAGCTTCCGGAACACATGGCAGTTCCTGGAGGGTGTTGTACCCGGGGAGGGCACGGAAGCTCTACACTCCTTCCCCATAGCTTACCTCATGTATTCTTCACTGTATCCCTTGTAACAACCTTTACAATAAACCAGTAAATGTGTTTCCCTGAGTTCTGTGAGCCTCCCTAGCAAATCATTCAAACCCAAAGAGGGAGTCATGGGAACCCTAACTTGAAGTTGGACAGTCAGAAGTTCCAGAGGTGGCTGGGCACGGTGGCTCACGCCTATAATCCCAGCACTTTGGGAGGCAGAGGCGGGTGGATCACCTGAGGTCAGGAGTTTGAGACCAGCCTGACCAACACAGTGAAACCCCATTTCTATTAAAAATACAAAAATTAGCCAGGTGTGGTGGCACATGCCTGTAATCCCAGCTACTTCGGAGGCTGAGGCAAGAGAATTGTTTGAACCTGGGAGGCAGAGGTTGCAGTAAGCCAATATGGCACCACTGCACTCCAGTCTGGATGACAGAGTAAGACTCTGCCTCAAAAAAAAAAAAAAAAAAGAAATGAAAAAGCAATCACCACAATGAGTCTCATTCAAAAGAATGTGAAGGCCTTAAACATGTGTTTGTCCTGAGCCTGACACACTCACCTCTTGACTCAACTTGACCAACTTAATGAGCACTTAGTCCGCGGAGCAAGCACTGTGCTGGGTACACAAGGCTGAATAACCCTGAACTGCACATGCTTAGTGTCCAGTAGAAGAGAAAGACTTGTCAATGCATAATTATTAAAGAGTTCCGTGAATGCTGTAAAATAAGTAAATATTACGGAAGCAGAGTTCTGACTCTGGAGAGAGGGGTGAGAGAGCTGGTGGGAAAGCCCATAAGAGTCATAATAGACGATGTGGTAAGTGCTACGGGGGCATGTGACTGGGCGCATTGAGGGAGGCATTTCCAAGAAAAAGGTGCATCTTAACTGTGCCTGAGAGCAACATCCTCAAACATGAACTTTCAGATCTCCTGAGAACATGCCTGTAAGAAGCCCCTGTGGGCATGTTTCAGCAATACTGAATTTAGTGTTAATTGCTATCACTGTAGTGGATCAGTGTTGCTAAAGCATCCCTCCTGATGACTCAAAATATGCTTTTTCATTTAATAAAAAGAGTATATGAAATGGTGTACACTGAATTCTCAGGCCCTTGAGAATAAAGCCATAGAAACTACCCCCCAACTCCCCCCACCCCCCAACACACACACACACAGCCTCTGGGTGAGAAACACTGAACTGAAGGACGAAGAAGTTGTTTTCTCGAAACAGTGGTGCAAAACAAGGCATTTAATCAAATACTTAAAGAATACTGGCCAGGCATGGTGGCTCATGCCTGTAATCCCAGTACTTTGGGAGGGTGAGGTGGGTGGATCACTTGAGGCCAGGAGTTTGAGATCAGCCTGGACAACACGGTGAAACCCCATCTCTACTAAAAATACAAAAAAAAAAAAAAAATAACAGGCATGTGTGGTGGCACACGCCTGCAATCCCAACTACTCAGGCAGCTGAGACACGAGAATAGCTTGATCTCAGGAGGCAGAGGTTGCAGTGAGCCAAGATTGCACCACTGCACTTCAGCCTGGGCAACAGAGCAAGACTCAGTCTCATAAATAAATAAATATAAATAAAAGAATACCTTGTGAGCCATGCTCTGCTGGAGACATTTTCCTGCCTTCCAGGAGCAAATGTGAATAGATAAAAGAATGATACAATGAGTTAAGAGTTATACTGGAAATATTCACTGAGTGCCCTGGAAACAGAGAGTGCTTGATGCAGCCCAATTGCTTCAAGAGGCTTCAAATAATTCTTCTGACTGCTGGGTTCCTTTGACTGAGTGGCCATTAAGTGTTCAAGAAATGATAACTGATGTTAGCATTGCCCTAAGAAACTTTATTAAGAAGTCTCAGGCAAAAAGAAAAGAAAAAGGTCAAAGTAGCAGATAATGACTGTGAGATCACTCATTGTGTTACACTATTTATACTATCTATCCTTCCATAATTGTTTCATTTGGGTATTTACAGAGCAGTTGTAATACTTTTAGCAATATGAAAGATGAAAAATGAAAAAACTAGCAGGAAAAACATTTCCCTCAAGAGTACATGAGCCAACTAGTGAAATACAAGCTAGTACTAGTCAACTGATGAAAAAATGATAGACATGTAGGGGGAAAGAGTTGATAATGAATAATAAAGGTGCATGATGAGATAGCTGTTTTTTAATAAACCTAAGTTTTAAAATAATATGTACATTTGGGAGGAAAAGATAATGAAATTTAAAAATTTAAAAATTTAAAAATTCTGATATTTCAAGGAAAATATAAATGTATAAACTTTCTAAACTTTACTTTTCTGAGGGCTCTTTATTGCCTCCCTCTTCCCCATTTGTAGGTTTGTCCTGGTAGATGAAGGGTATTAAACAGACATACACACACACACACACACACACACACACACACACACACACACACACGATATCTTATTGCTATAACAAAAATAAAATGGTATAAAAATGGTGCAAAGTAAAGAGGGAAAAAAATTTTAAAACAGAGAAAGAGAGAGACAACACAATATCATAGAAATAAAACACTCTTTTATTTAACACATATTTACCCTATATACCTTGCAATGCTGAACACCTGGCTGGGGGTTTTACAGGAGTCTTAAATTACAACCAGGCTTCATAACCAAGAATTAGGTCAGCAGAGGCTGGGCATGGTGGCTCATGCCCGTAATCCCAGCACTTTCGGAGGCCAGGGCAGGCAGATCACTTGAGGACAGGAGTTCAAGACCAGCCTGGCCAACACGGCGAAACCCTGTCTTTACCAAAAATACAAAATTAGCTGGGCATGGTAGCACAAACCTGTAACCCCAGCTACTCGGGAGGCTGAGGCACAAGAATCACTTGGAACCCAGGAGGCAGAGGTTGCAGTGAGCTGAGAATGTGCCACTGGACTCCAACCTGGGGGACAAAAACAAACAACAACAAAAACAAACAAACAAAAAAATTAAGTCAGCAGACGGCAGAAATACTGCAACTTCCATCACAAATGAAAATCACCAACAGTTTAAGAAAAGCATACAGCTGCTAACTTGTGGTAACATAAGTCAGGAGAATGAAAGTAACTGTACCGTAAAACCACTTAAGGAACAGAAATCAATGAAGATCTAAATTACACAGACCCATCAGCTACAGGGCTGTCATGCAATTGAAATTGCATGAAATAAATAAGAGCAATCACAGCTTTTATGAATTATTTATGTTTCATTAACCCATAGGAAATGCATGATCTGGATTTTTATAAGCTTAATAATGGCAGCACTAAAGAACAAAATATCAAAGAAAAAAAGCATAGTATTTGAAGGCATAAAAATAAGATCTGAAATAGAATAGAAAGCCACCCATACAGTGGGTTAAATAAAAGCCAGAGATGCTGGAATAGAAAATGAAAGAAAAGAAGGCTGAGACTGGTACTGTGGTAAGAAACCAGGAGGAAGGCACAACAAAGCTACTGTCAGGTATTAAGAAAACCTACTGTCTCCACAGATAATCAGGACTATGAGGTTGGCATTAAGAAAACCTACTCTCTCCACAAATAATCAGGACTGTGTGACATTGGCTAAGTTTAAGGCTATCATATGATCAAGGGCAATTTCAGCTTTATCAAAACAATGACTAAGAGTCTAACGGAAGCCTGAAGTTTTGAAACAAAACAAGATGTCAGTGATTCTTAACCTTATTGGGGTTATAAACCCCTATGAGAACAGAAAAAGGCTCTTGACCTTTGCCCCAGGAAAATGAATACACCAGTTTCAGTGATGGTATTTTGTCAGCAAATAAGCTAACCAGCCCAGGATGCTATTGCCTTTGGCTTATGTGATCCCCCTACTTGACAAGGGGCCTGAAAGTTGTTTTTATCCCCTGCTGCAGTTGTCTCCAAAGTGGGGTCCTTGTGCACAAGGACGTATGCAAGACCATTCACTGGTATGTGAGAAGAAACTATTAGGGCTTCTAATTGTGTTAATTTAGAAAATAGAGAAGTAAAGAATTCCCAAGATTTAATATATGAATTGTTACCTATCACACCTAAGGTGCCCTCACTCGGTCAGTAACATCTGATGGGACTGACACAGTGGCTCATGTCTGTAATCTCAACACTTTGGGAGACTGAGGCAGGAGGATCACTTGAGGCCAAGAGTTCAAGACCAGCCTGGACAATATAGTGAGACTCTGTCTCCACAAAAACTTTTTAAAATCAGCCCAGTGTGGTGGTGGATGCCTATAGTCCCAGCTACTCGGGAGGCAGAGGTAGTAGATTCGCTTAAGCATAGGAGTTCAAGGCTGCAGTGAGCTATGATTTTGCCACTGCACTCCAGCCTGGACAACAGAAGGAGATCCTGTCTCAAGTAAATAAAACAAAACAAAACATCAGGTGCCTGTGTTTCACTTAGGTATGTGAGACATCCTGGGGAAATTGTCAAGTTTCCCAAATTAGGGGGTTCATGGTGGTACCCCCATTGATTTTCAGCATATTCCCACCAGTTATGTTTTATGTGGGCCCACTTAAGCATTTTTAGAATGTATCATCTAGTTTCCGTGGAAATAACCCTTGCGAAATAGGCAAAGGACATAAAGATTCTTGCAAAAGCCCAGAAGGTGGAGCAAGATGGCAGAAGAGAAGCCTCCACTGATCATCCTCTCACAAGAGGACATCAATTTAACAACTATCTATGTAAGCAAAGCACTTTCATAAGAACCAAAAATCAGGTGAGCACTTGCACTACCTGCTTTTAACTTTGTATTGCTAAAAGAGGCACTGAAGAGGTAGAAAAAACAGTCCTGAAGCACTGATACCACCCTTCCCCCAGCCCCAGCAGTGGCCACCTGGTGCGCAGAGTGCCTCTGCATGCTGTGGGAGGGAGAGCACAGCAATTGTGAGGCAGTAAACGGTTCTGCCCGGTTAGAGCAGAAAGGAAAACTGGACCAAATTCAGCTGATGCCCACCCACGGAGGGAACATTTAAACCAGCCCTAGCCAGAGGGGAATCACAGGTCCTTGTGGTTGGAACTTGAGTTCCCACAAACTTCACCACTGCAGGCTAAAGTGCTCTGGGTGTCTAAGTGAATTTGAAAGGCAATTTAGGCCACAAGGACTGCAACTCTAGGCGAGTCCTAGTGCTGAACTGGGCCCAGAAACAGTGGACTAGAGGGGCATGCAATCTACCAAACTACCAGGGTGGCTAAAGGAGTGGTGACATCACCTCTCCCCTAACCCCAGGCTGCACAACTAGTGGCTCCAAAAAAGATCCCTTCCTTCTGCTTGAGGAGAGGAGAAAGAAGAGTGGGGAGGACTTTGTCTTGCATCTTGGATACCGGCTCAGCCACAGCATGATAGGGTCAGAGTCATAATGCCTCTGTTCCAGGCCCTAGCTCCTGGGCAACACTTCTAGGCACACCCTGGGCCAGAAGGGAACCTACTGCCTTGAAGGGAAGAACCCATTCCTGGCAGCATTCATCACCTGCTAACTGAAGAGCCCTTGGGCACTGAATAATCAGCAGCGATACCCAGGTACTACATCTAGGGCCTTGGGTGAGCCTCTGAGACTTGCTGGCTTCAGGTTCATCTCGGCTATTGGGGGGTGGAGCAACAAGTGGGCTCCTGGAGTCCCCAGTTCTAAGAGCTGACTCTTGGATGGCATTTCTGGACCTTCCGTGGGCCAGAAGGGAGCCCACTGCCCTGAAGGATGAGTCTCAGGCCAGACAACCTTCATGACAAGCTGACTTAAGAGACCTTGGGCCTTAAGAGAACATAGTGGTAGTCTGGCAGTACTGCCCATGGGCTTCTGGTGGTGATGACCATGGGGAAGGTCTCCTCTGCTTTTGGAGGAGGGGAGGGAAGAGTGGGAAGAACTGCATCTTGTAATTTGAGTGCCAGCTCAGGCACGATACAATAGAACACTAGGTAGACTTCTAAGGTTTTTTATTGTAGTCCCTGACTCCTGGACAGCACCTCTGGACCCAGGAGGGTCCTGGGGGAGCTCAGCATCCTGGAGGGAAGAACACAGGCCTGGTTGGCTTTGCCGCCTGCTAACTATAGAGCCCCAGAGCCATAAGCAGACACAGGAAGTAGCCAGGGAGTAGTTACAGCCGGCCTTGGGCAACACCCAGTGCTGTGCTGACTTCAGGTCTGACCCAGTGTAGTCACAGAGGTAGTAGCCACAGGGGTGCTTGTGTCACTCCATCCCTAGCTTTAGATGGCTCAGGACTGAGAGAGAGACTCCATTTGTTAGGGAGACAAAAAGGGTAGAGAACAAGAGTCTCTGCCTGGTAATCCAAAGAATTCTTCTAGATCTTGTTCAAGGTGGTAACTCCATGAGTCTATAAGAACCACAGCATTACTAGGCTTGGGGTGCCCTCCAAAGCAGATAGAACTTAGATCACAATGCCCAAGTCCTTTCAAATATCTGGAAAGCCTTCTGAAGAAGGACAGATAATAAAAGCCCAGACAGTGAAGACTACAATAAATTCCTAACTTTTCAATGCCCAGACACAGATGAACATCTACAAGTATCAAGATAATCCAGGAAAACATGGCCTCATCAAATGAATTAATAAGGCACTAGGGACCCAATCTTGGAGAAACAGAGACAGGTGACCTTTCAGACAGATAATTCAAAATAGCTCTTTTAAGGAAACTCAAAGAAATTCAAGATAAGACAGAAAATTCAAAATTCTATCAGATAAATTTAACAGAGATTGACATAATTAAAAAGAATCTAAAAGAAATTCTGGAGCTGAAAAATGCAATTGGCATAAGGAAGAATGTATCAGAGTCTCTTAATGGCAGAAATGATCAAGCAGAAGAAAGAATTAGTGAGCTCCAAGACAGGCTATTTAAAAATACACAGTCAGAGAAGACAAAAGAATAAAGAATAAAAAACAATGAAGCATGCCTACAGGATCCAGGAAATAGCCTCAAAATGGCAAATTTAAGAGTAATTTGCCTTAAGAAGGAGGAAGAAAAAGAGACAGGAGTAGAAAGTTATTCAAAGGGAAATAACAAAGAACTTCCCAAGCTTAGAGAAAGATATCAATATCCAAATACAAGAAGGTTATATAGGACACCAAGCAGATTTAATCCAAAGAAGACTACCTCAAGGCATTTAATAATCAGACTCCTAAAGATCAAGGTTAAAGAATGGATCCTAAAAGCAGCAAGATAAAAAAACAAATAACATACAATGAAGCATCAATACATCTGGCAGTAGACTTTTCAGTGGAAACCTTAAAGGCCAAGAGTGAGGGGCATGACATATTGAAAGTGCTGAAGGAGAAAAACTTTTATTCTAGAATAGTATGTCTGGTGAAAACATTCTTCAAACATGAAAAAGAAATAAAGATTTTCCCAGACAAGGTCGGGTGCAGTGGCTCACACCTGTAATCCCAGCATTTTGGGAGGCCGAGGTGGGTGGATCACGATGTCAGGAGTTCGAGACCAGTCTGACCAACATGATGAAACCCCGTCTCTACTAAAAATATAAAAATTAGCCAGGCATGGTGGCGCAGGCCTGTAATCCCAGCTACTGGGGAGGCTGAGGCAGGAGAATTGCTTGAACTCAGGAGGTGGAGGTTGCAGTGAGCAGAGATCATGCCACTGCACTCCAGCCTGGGTGACAGACCAAGACTCCATCTCAAAAAAAAGATTTTCCCAGACAAACAAAAGCTGAGGGATTTCATCAACACCAGACCTGTCCTACAAAAAATGCTGAAGAGAGTACTTCAATCAGAAAGAAAAGGACATTAATGAGCAATAAGTAATCACCTGAAGGTACAAAACTCACTGGTATCAGAAAGTACACAGAAAAACAAAAAATATTATAACCCTGTAACTTCCTTGTGTAAACTACTCTTATCCTAAGTAGAAAAATTAAATGGCAAACCAATAAAAAATAATAACTACAACAACTTTTCAAGACATAGACAGTACAATAAGATATAAACAACAAAAAGTTTAATAGTTGGGGAGACGATGTTAAGGCATAGAGTTTTTATTAGTTATTTTTTTTGCTTGTTTGTTTATGCAAATAGGGTTAGGTTGTTATCAGCTCAAAATAATGGTTTATAAGATAGTATTTACAAGCCTCATGGTAACCTCAAACCAAAAAATATACAACAGATACACAAAAAGTAGAGCAAGAAACTAAATCATATCACCAGAGAAAATCACCTTCATTAAAGGAAGACAAGAAAGAAGGAGAGAAAGAAGACCACAAAACAATCAGAAAATAAATAAAGTGGCAAGAGTAGGTCCTTAATTATCAATAATAACATTGATGTAAATGGACTAAACTCTCCAATCAAAAGACATAGACTGGCTAAATGGATGAAAAAAAAACCCACTGATCTGTTGCCTACAAAAAATACACTTCACCTATAAAGACACACATAGACTGAAAATAAAGGGATGGAGAAAGAAATTCCATGCCAATGGAAACCAAAAAAGAGCAGGAGTAGCTATGCTTTTGTCAGACAAAACAGATTTTAAGACAACAACTATAAGAAGAGACAAAAAAGTTCACTATATAATGATAAAGGGGTCAATTCAGCAAGAGGATATAAGAATTTTAAATATATATGTACCCAACATTGGAGCACCCAGATATAGAAAGCAAATATTATTAGAGCTAATAAGAGAGATAGGCCCCAATAAAATAACAGCTGGAGACTTAAACACCCCACTTTCAGCATTAGATAGATCTTCCATACAGAAAATCAACAAAGAAATACTGGACTTAATCTGCACTATAGACTGCATGGATCTAATACATATTTACAGGACACTTCATCCAATGGCTACAGAATACACATTCTTTTCCTCAGCACATGGATCATTCTCAAGGACAGACCATATATTAAGTCACAAGACAAGTCTTAAAACATTAACAAAATTGAAATAATATCAAGTATCTTTTCTAACCACAACAGAATAAAACTACAAATAACAAAAGGAATTTTGGAAACTATACAAATGTATGGAAATTAAATAAAATGCTCCTGAATGACCAGTGGGTCAAGAAAGAAATTAAGAAAGAAATTTAAAAATTTCTTGAAACAAATGATAATGGAAACACAACCTACCAAAATCTAAGAGATACAGCAAAAGCAGTACTAAAAGAGAATTTTATAGCTTTAACTGCCTACTTCAAAAAAAAAGGAAAAACTTCAAATAAACAATCTAATGATACATCTTATAGAACTAGAAAAGCAAGAGCAAACGAAACCCAAAATTAGTAGAAACATAAATAAAGATCAGAGCAGAAATAAATGAAACTGAAATAAAGAAAATAATACAAAAGATCAATGAAAAAGTTGGTTTTTCAAAAAGCTAAAAAAAATTGACAAAACTTTAGCCAGAGAGAAGATCCAATAAATAAAATCAGAAATGAAAAAGGAGACATTACAACTGATACTACAGAAATTCACATCATTATTGGATACTATGAGCAACTATATACCAATAAATTGGAAAATATAGAAGAAATGGACACACACAACCTACCAAGATTGAACCAGGATGAAATCCAAAACCTGAATAGACCAATAACAAGTAATGAGATCGAAGCTGTAACAGGAAGTCTCCCAGCATAGAAAAGCCCAGGACCTGATGGTTTCTGTATTAGTCAGGTTCTCTAGAGGGACAGAACTAATGGAATGTATATGTGTATAAATATATATATACACACACACACATATACATATATACATATATAATACATATATTAAGTATTAACTCACATGATCACAAGGTCCCACAATAAGCCATCTGCAGGTTGAGGAGCAAGGAGAGCCAGTCCGAGTTCTAAAACTGAAGAACTTGGAGTCTGATGTTTGAGGGCTGCAAGCATCCAGCATGGGAGAAAGACATAGGGTGGAAGACTAGGCCAGTCTCTCTTTTCACATTTTTCTGCCTGCTTATTCTAGCCCAGCTGGCAGCTGATTAGATTGTGTCCACCCAGAATAAGGGTGGGTCTGCCTTTCCCAGCCCACTGACTCAAATGTTAATCTCCTTAACACCCTCACAGACACACCCAGGATCAATACTTTGTATCCTTCAATCCAATCAAGTTGACACTCATATTAACCATCACAGCTTCACTGTTGAATTCTACCAAATGTTTAAAGAAGAACTAATACCAATCCTACTCAAACTTTTCTGAAAAATAGAAGAGGAAACAATGCTTCCAAACTCATCCTATGAGGCCAGTATTACCCTGATATCAAAACCAGACAAAGACACATAAAAAAAATTACAGGCCAATATCTCTAATGAATATTAATGCAAAACTCCTCAACTAAAATACTAGCAAACCAAATTCAACAACACATTAGAAAGATCATTCATCATGACCAAGTGGGATTTATCCCTGGGATGCAAGGATGGTTCAACATATGCAAATCAATCAATGTGATGCATCATATTAACAGAATGAAAAATAAAAACAATATGATCATTTCAATTGATGCTGAAAAAGCATTTGATAAAATTCAACATTGCTTCATGATAAAAACCCTTAATAAACTGGATATAGAAGGAATATACCTCAACATAATAAGAACCATATACAGCATACCCACAGCTAGTATCATACTGAATGGGGAAAAACTGAAAGCCTTTCCTCTCAGATCTGGAACACAACAAAGATGCCTACTGTCACCACTGTTATTCAACATAGTACTGGAAGTTCTAGCTAGAGCAATCAGATAAGAGAAAGATATAAAGGGTATCCAAATTGGAAAGGAAGAAGTCATATTATCCTTGTTTGTAGATGAGATGATCTTATATTTGGAAAAAAACTAAAGACTCCACTAAAAAACAGTTAGAACTGATAAACAATTTTAGTAAAGTTGCAGGACACAATATCAACATACAAAAATCAGTAGCATTTCTATGTGCAAGAGTAAGCAATCTGAAAAAGAAAATTAAAAAGTACTCCCATTTACAATAGCCACAAATAAAATACCTAGAAATTAACTCATCCAAAGAAGTGAAAGATCTCTATAATGAAAACTGTAAAACACTGATGAAAGAAATTGAAGAGGACACCAAAAATGGAGAAATTTCATGTTCATAAATTGGAAGAATCAATAGTGTTAAAACGTCCACACTCCAAAGGAATCTACAGACTCAATGCAATCCCTATCAAAATATCCACGACATTCTTCATAGAAATAGAAAAAAACCCTAAAATTGATATGGAACCACAAAGAACCCAGAATAGTCAAAGCTATCCTCAGCAAAAAGAACACAACTGGAGGAATCACATTATCTGACTTCAAAATATACCACATAGCTTTACTAACCAAAACAGCATGGTATTACACAGATACAAAACACAAAAACAGATACACAGACCAATGGAATGGAATAGAGAACCCAGAAACAAATCCACACACCTACAGTGAACTCATTTTTGACAAAGGTGACAAGAACATAAACTGGGGAAAAGGCAGTCTCTTAAATAAATGGTGTTGGGGAAACTGGATATCCATATGCAAAAGAATGAAACTAAACCCCTATCTATCACCATATACAAAAATCAAATCAAAATGGATTAAAGACTTTAAGACCTCAAACTATGAAACTACTACAAGAAAACACTGGGGAAAATCTCCAGGACAAAAATTTACTGAGCAATACCCCACAAGCACAGATCCAAAGCAAACATGAACGAATGGGACCAAATCAAGTTTAAAAGCTTCTGCACAGCAAAGGAAACAATCAACAAAGTGAAAAGACAACCCATAGAAAGGGAGAAGATATTTGCAAACTGGAGATTAACAGCCAGAACATATAAGGAGTTCAAACAATTCTATAAAAAATAACCTAATAATCTGGTTATGGCAAAATGGGCAAAAGACTTGAATAGACTCGTTATGTCTCAAAAGAAGACATACAAATCACAAACAGGGATATGAAAAGGTGCTCAACATCACTGATCACTAGAGAAACGCAAATCAAAACTACAATGAGATATCATCTCACCCCAGTTAAAATGGCTTTTATCCAAAAGACAGGCAATAACAAACACTGGTGAGGATGTTGAGAAAAGGGAACCCTCATACACTGTTGGTGGGACTGTAAATTAGTACAACCACTATGGAGAACAGTTTGGAGGTTCCTCAAAAAACTAAAAATAGAGCTACCATATGATCTAGCAATCCCACTGCTGGGTATATGCCAAAAATAAAGGAAATCAGTAATATCGAAGAGATATCTGCACTCTCATGTTTGTTGCAGACCAGATCACAATAGCTAAGATTTGGAAGCAATCTGTATGTCCATCAGCAGAAGAATGGATAAAGAAAATGTGGTACATACACACAATGGAGTACTATTCAGCCATAAAAAATGAGATCCTGTCATTTGCAACAACATGGATGGAACTGGCGATCATTATGTTAAGTAAAATAAGCCAGGCACAGAAAGGCAAATACCGTATGTTCTCACTTATTTGTGTGATCTAAAAATCAAAACAATTAAATTCATGGACAGAGAGAGTAGAAGGATGGTTACCAGCGGCTGGGAAGAATAGTGTGGCAGAGAGGTGGGGGATAAAGGGGCAGTAGGGATGGGTTAATGGGTACAAAGAGAAAGAATGAATAAGACCTAGTATTTGATAGCACTCCAAGGTGACTACAGTGAATAATAATTGTACATTTAAAAATAATTAAAGAGTATAATTGGACTGTCTGTAACACAAAGGATAAATGCTTGAGGGAATGAATACCCCATTTTCCATGATGTGATTATAATGCATTACATGCCTGTATCAAAACATCTGATGTATCCCATAAATATTACATCTACAATGTACCCACAAAAATTAAAAATAAAAGATAAAAAATTATTGCAAAAAATTACGTTTATTGTAAAACTAATGTAAGCCTAAATTAATATCAAAAAATAGGAGAGCTAACACTCTAAATGTTGTTAGCCATGGGTTTTTTTTTTTTTAAAAAAAAGATGAAAAGTGTATCTGATTTGAAAAGAAGCTGGGGTGGGGGGAAGCAGATTTATCAAGAAAACAATTTAAAATATTGGTTAAATCTACTACTGCTAAATGAGGTGCATGGCTCTAAATATATAGTACCATAAGATATTTGCTAATGACACTATGAAGTCATAACATAAAGTTGCTGCATTTGGCAATTCATTTTTTTATTTTAATTTTTTAAAATAAAAAAATAGAGATGGGGTCTCACTATGTTGGCCAGGTTGGTCTTGAACTCCTGGCCTCAAGCAAGCCTCCGGCCTTGGCCTCCCAAAATGCTAGGATTACAGGCAATGAGCCACCATGTCCAGCCTGGCAATTCATTTTTAATATCCTCATCTATCCCATGCCTTAAAATGTTCATTTTATCTGTTTCATAATATACATATGGTTCAGCATATGATATGTAAATGAATACGTATTTAGAGAGGGTAAATGTTCTTTCAACTGTTGGGAACAAGTTATAAAAAATATTTGGAACTACTTCCTTATTGTTTCAGAGCTCCAACCACCCCTTAGCTGTGGTTGTTCTTTGTTGTCCTAACTGCTATTATAAACTTGTTAGCTTTAAAGAAATTTATGTTTGTTCCCCTGACCCCAACAAACAAACAGAAAATACAGAAAATGGAGTACAGTGGTGCGATCTTGACTCACTGCAACCTCCACCTTGCAGGTTCAAGCAATTATCCTGCCTCAGCCTCCAGAGTAGCTGGGACTACAGGCACCTGCTACCATGCCCGGCTAATTTTTTATTATTATTATTTTTTATTTTTAGTAGTGACAGGGTTTCACTGCGTTGGCCAGGCTGGTCTCGAACTCCTGACTTCAGGTGATCCACCCACCCTGGCCTCCCAAAGTGTTGGGATTACAGGGGTGAGCCACTGAGTCCGGAAGAATTTTTTTTTTTTAATTCACAAGTATATCTTACCAGTCTCAGGGGATGGGGCAGGGTAGGCAGGGCAAATCACTTCCCAAATCTATCCTTCATTTTTATCCTCATCACAGTGAGTGGTAAGCCAGCCTCCCAGGTCTCCACACCAGCAACCCAAATCTGTGTGGCTCTGCACAATCTGGTCTCACCTAACTCCCCACCACCTTTATTTCCCCCAAATTTAATAATGTACACAACTGTATTTTTGTTTTTCTTTTCTTTTTCTTTTTTTGAGATAGGATCTCACTCTGTCACCCAGGTGGGATTGCAGTGATGCAATCATGGCTCATTGCAGCCTTAACATCCTGAGCTCAAGCAATCCTTCTGCCTCACTTCCAGAGTAGCTGGGACCATAGGTGTATGCTGCCATGCCCAGCTTATTTTTTATTTTTTTGTAGAGATAGGGTCTTGCCACGTTGCCCAGACTGGTCTCAAACTCCTGGATGCAGATGATCCTTCCCCCTGGCCTCCCAAAGTGCTAGGATTACAGGTGTGTGAGACACTGCGCCTGGTCTGTACATAATTTTAAATGAATTATTAATAAACCCCACCTCCGATTTCTGTTCCTTAGGTGCAACTACTTTTATCTGTCTTTTTAAAAGTCATTTACTTTAAAATTTCTTTTTTTTTTTTTTTTTTGAGACAGAGTCTTGCCCTGTCACCCAGGCTGGAGTGCAATGGTGCGATCTCGGCTCACTGCAACCTCCGCCTCCCGGGTTCAAGCAGTTCTCCTGCCTCAGCCTCCCGAGTAGCTGGGATTACAGGCGCACGCCTCCACGCTCAGCTAATTTTTGTATTTTTAGTAGAGACAGGGTTTCACCATGTTGGCCAAGCTGGTCTCGATCTCCTGACCTTATGTCCACCCACCTCGGCCTCCCAAAGTGCTGGGATTACAGGCGTGAGCCACTGCGCCCAGCCCTACTTTAAAATTTCTAAATAATACTTATGCCACTATTTTTTCATTTTAGGTATTATCAATTTGAATCCTCCCTTGGAAAATATGGATTTAGCTCTTATATCTGCTCCCCAACATACATTTCACCTCCCTACTCATCTTCCCAACCAAGTTTTAATGCAAATTTTGGATAAATTAACATTAGATTTTATGAAGTGAATATGTAAAAATTCTTCAGAGTTGAGCTATTAACATACTGTAATGTTATATTCTTCATCATTCCAACTATTTTCCTGGAATTAACTGCCCTTTTCCCCATTTGTTTAGTTTTCTGCATACCAACTATAACTTTATCACCAAACTCTGGCTGAATCTGACAGCACCCTTAAATACACACAAGCCAGGTACCCTGTCAATTCCTTTCTTCCACAGAGAGACATCAATGCTTTTGCACAATCCTTTTGCTCAAATCTACCTGGTTGCTTTCTAATCACTTTTCAAGGCCATAACTTTGGGAACTCCTTCACCACCTTCCTAAATTGGAATCCCCATCTCTTGGATCCCATGTCTGCTTCTTTCTTTACTCTCTCATTTTGTGGAGAATATTCTTCAATCCCTTCCTGGGAAAGGAAGCCTGAAAAGTAAATTGTTAAGACTTCCTGTGACAGACACTACTAGTTGCCTGCGCAGTATCCATTCCTCTCTTCCTGTTTTGTTGAAAGCAAGCAATATATTAATACCAAAGGATAAAATAACTCAATATGGCCAAATGTGGTGGTTCTTGCCTGTAATCCTAGCACTTTGGGAGGCCAAGGCGGTGGATCACTTGAGCTCAGGAGTTTGAGAACAGCCTGGGCAACATGGCAAAACCCGTCTGTACTAAAAATACAAAAAGTTTGCTGGGCATGCTGGCTCGTGCCTGTAGTCCCAGCTACTTGGGAGGCTGAGGTGGGAGGATTGCTCAAGTCCAGGGAGGTCGAGGCTGCAGTGAGCTGTGATCACACCAGTGTACTCCAGTCTGCAACAGAGCAAGACCCTGTCTCAAAGAAAAATTGAAATAAAATTAAAAATGTGTGACATTTTGGCAAACAGCCATCCTAGTCCATACATTCAAGAAACTTCTACATGGTCATATTATCAAAATGAGGAAAAAAAAAAAAGTAAAGCCATCTGATGGAACGAACCCAGCATTTACCTCCTCAAGCTGACTTTGTGGTACAGATTCTCTAGAACAAACACTGGGTTCCCATTTCTATTACTCCATTAAAATGCTCAGGGTAAACCATTTCTTGCTATAGATTCTAATAAACACTTTTCAGGCTTATTGGCTCAGCAGCATTTGATACAGCTGACCACTACCTCCTTGGGACAACCTCTTCTGTCAGTTTCCAGGACACCCCCCTCCTCTTGATGTCAGAGTGCCTTGGGGCACAGTATGGGTTCTTCTAGTCTCCATCTTCTGTTCTAAAACAGCTTGTCCAATCCTATGACTTTAAATACTCTCTACATGATGTGGGTTTCCATATTTGCATCTCCAGCAAATCTCTCTCTTGAGCAGACTTCCTTATCCAACCCTTTTTATGAAACTCCACCCACAGGTCTAATTGGTCTCTCAAACCTGCCCTCCACCTGCTCCTCCACCCATCTGCTCAAAGCAGTGATCTGTACACACTTATTCAAATGCTTCAGCTGCTGACCAAGCTGAGAATCAAATAAAGAACTCAACCCCTTTCACAACAGCTGCAAAAAAAACCAAAATTTAAAATTAGGAATACACTTAACCAAGGAGGTGAAAGACCTCTACAAGGAAACCTACCAAACACTGCTAAAAGAAATCATAGATGACACAAACAAATGGAAACACATCCCACGCTCATGGATGGGTAGAATCAATATTGTGAAAATGACCATACTGCCAAAAGCAATCTACAAGTCCAATGCAATTCCCATCAAAATACCACCACCATTCTTCACAGAACTAGGAAAAAAAATCCTAAAATTCATATGGAACCAAAAAAGAGCCTGCATAGCTGAAGCAAGACTAAGCAAAAAGAACAAATCTGGAGGCATCACATTACCTGACTTCAAACTATACTCTAAGGCCACAGTCACCAAAACAGCATGGTACTGATATAAAAACAGGCATACAAACCAATGGAACAGAATAGAGAACCCAGAAATAAAGCCAAATACTTACAGCCAACTAATCTTCGACAAAGCAAACAAAACCATAAAGTGGGGAAAGGATACCCTATTCAACAAATGGTGCTGGAATAATTGGCAGGCCACATGTAGAAGAATAAAACTGGGCCGGGCGTGGTAGTTCACGCCTATAATCCCATCATTTTGGGAGACCGAGGTGGGCAGATCACCTGAGGTTGGGAGTTCAAGACCAGCCTGACCAACATGGAGAAACCCTGTCTTTACTAAAAATACAAAATTAGCCAGGCATGGTGGTGGCGCATGCCTATAATCCCAGCTACTAGGGAGGCTGAGGCAGGAGAATCACTTGAACCCAGGAGGCGGAGGTTGCAAAGAGCCAAGATAGTGCCATTGCGCTCCAGCCTGGGTAACAAGATCAAAACTCCATCTCAAAAAAAAAAAAAAAAAAGCTTCTGCACAGCAAAAGAAACAATCAGCAGAATAGACAACCCAATGAGTGAGAGAAAATCTCACAATCTATACATCTGACAAAGGACTAATATCCAGAATCTACAAGGAACTCAAATCAGCAAGAAAAAAAAATAATCCCATCAAAACGTGGGCTAAAGACATGAATAGACAATTCTCAAAAGAAGATATACAAATAGCCAACAGACATACGAAAAAATGCTCAACATCACTAATGATGAGGGAAATGCAAATCAAAACCACAATGTGATACCACCTCACTCCTGCAAGAATAACCATAATCAAAAAATCAAAAAATAGATGTTGGCGGGGATGGGGTGAAAAGGCAACACTTTTAAACTGCTGATGGGAATGTAAACTCATACAACCACTGAAAACAATGTGGAGATTCCTTAAAGGACTAAAAGTAGAACTACTATTTGATCCAGCAAGCCCACTACTGGGTATCTACCCAGAAGAAAAGAAGTCGTTATATGAAAAAGATACTTGTACACGCATGTTTATAGCAGCACAATTTGTAACTGCAAAAATATAAAACCAGCCCAGATGCTCATCAATCAATGAATGGATAAAGAAAAGGTGATATATATAGGCATATCTATCTATCTATCTATCTATCTATCTATCTATATATATGGCATATATATACAGCTATATAGATATGTATATAGATATACATATAGATGTATATATATATCTATATACATATGCCATGTAGATACATATACATCTATATGTATATAGATATATAGATATATGTATATAGATATATGTAGATATATATCCATATATTTATATAGATATATACATATGTATATAGATATATTTATATATGTATATACCTATATACGTATATAGATATATACATATATACATATATGTATATATAGATATATATACATATATACATATGTATACATAGATGTATACATATGTATATATGTATACATCTATGTATACATAGATGTATACATCTATGTATACATAGATGTATACATAGATATATACATATGTATATAGATGTATATCAATCTATATATACATATGTATATATGTATATAGAAATATATACATACATATGTATATATGTATATAGATATATAGATGTATAGATGTATATAGATTATATATACACCATTGAATGCTACTCAGCTATAAAAAGGAACAAAATAATGGCATTTGCAGCAACCTGGATGGATCTGGAGACCATTATTCTAAGTGAAGTAACTCAGGAATGGAAAAACAAACATCATATATTCTCACTTATAGGTGTGAGCTAAGCTGTGAGGATGCAAAGGCATAAGAATGATACAATGGACTTTGGCGACTCGGGAAAGGGTTGGAATGGCGTAAAAGATAAAAGAATACAGACTGGGTACAGTGTACACTGCTTGGGTGATGGGTGCACAAAAATTTCAGAAATCACCACTAAAGAACTTATTCATGTAACCAAATGCCACCTGTTCCCTAAAAACTACTGAAATAATTTTTTTAAAAGAAATGCATTGCTATTAGTATTTTTAAAAAATGCTTCAGTTGGAATCCTTAGTGCAATCAGTGGCCCAGCTGCAATCCTTAGTCCATTCTCCATCTTGGGTGCACAGCAGAATCATCTGAGGATTTTTTTTTAATTTTAATTTTTGCTTTTTTAAATGGAGACAGGTTTTGCTATGTTGCACAGGCTGGTCTTGAACTCTTGGACTCAAGCAATCCTCCCACCTCGGCCTCCCAAAGTGCTGTGATTACAGGTGTGAGCCACTGTGTCCAGCCCACCTGAGGATTTTTAAAATATTTCAGCGCTTGCCTCTCAGCCCCAAGACATTCTGATTTAATTAGTAGGATGACTGAACTGGGCATCAAGATTTTTATAAGTTACTCAGGTGATTCTAATGTGTAGCAAAGTATACTTTGCTCTAAAGTATACTGCTCTAAAGTATACTTTGAGTTCCCTTTGTATTCAATTCTCACATTCAATTTATCAAGTTTTCCTTCAAAACCACAAGGAGTGGTCCCCATCACTGTCTATGCACTGCAGCCTCCCTGGTCCAAGCACTGTCATCTCTTACCCAACTGCAATAGCCTCCCAATTCTTCACATAGTGGCCAGAGGGGTAATTTTAAAAGCATAAGTCAGATATCACTTCTTTGTTGAAAACCCTTTAGGGGCTTTCCCCTTCTCTCAGAGTAAAATCCAAACCTCCTACAACTGCTAAAAGACTCCTGCCCACTCCTCCCATACCCTCTTCCCCTTCCTCACTACACAATGACTTCCTTCCTGGGTGTGGACAGTCCCCGCTCTGCACATTTCACTCACCATTTCATCCACCCTACTGCTGTTCCCCCAGCTCTTTGTGTGTCTGGTTTCTTCCTGTCACCCTTCATCTCTCAGCACAAATGACACCTCGGTAGAGAGGGCTCTCTGGCCACTCTATTAATGTGGCCTTCCCCACTGCCTCTATCATCACTTTATTTCCTTCATAATTGCAATCACAATCTTTATTGGTCTCCCCTACAATGGACTTCATGAAGGGTGGGTCTTGTTTATAACCATATAGCCCAGCATACAGCATAGTATCTAACACATAATAGGTGTTCAATGAAAATCTGTTGGAAAAAACAAATGAATCAATAATGAGACATCAATCTTGACTACACGAACTTTTCCTTGGTTAATATCTTTTGTGATCAAATAATAATAACAACAATATTAATAACATGATAAAAATAATAGAAAGTCTAAAATATTAGTATTAAAAAGTGAATTAAAAATATATTTAAAAGTAAGTCTTACTTAGTCAAGATACATTAGCAAGTTGTAGGTAATTTAGTTGCCTGGTTTGCTGATGATAGAAACCCTACTTTGTTTTACTCATTATTCCTAGTCTTTCCAAAGAATAAATTATTCAATGAGTTGTTATTAAAATAATTTGCTATCCATTTGGGAAAGAGAAAGAGTATTCTCTCAAACTGAGTGCAAAAATAAAATTTAGACATATTTTTAAAACAAAATTGATAGTAGTATAATATATAGGATTTTTAAAATAATTTAACATGCCTTTTTAAGTACAAAAAAATTTAGAAGATGTAAAAATGACTGAAAGATCTTAACATAAAAATTTAAGACTTCAAAAAGTTAAAAGACAAAGAGATTTGGAGAAAAATGTGCAATATATTTACACAGGCAAAAGTTAACTATCTATTGTGATCTGTAAAGAGCTCCAGACTATTAAGAAAAAGACAATCCAATGTAATAGGCAATGAATCTGAACAAGCCAGTGAACATTGAACAATAAAAATTTACTAACAATCAGGTTGGTAAAAACCTATCTTAATTTTTATTTATGAGGAATGATTTTCAAACTATTAAAAGAAATGTAAATTTGGATTGGCACTTGGGCAGTATCTATAAAAGTGACTTAAGAATCAAACTTCTGGGCCGGGCGTGGTGGCTCACACCTGTAATCCCAGCACTTTGGGAGGCCAAGGCAGGCGGATCACGAGGTCAGGAGTTTGAGGCAAGTCTGGCCAACATAGTGAAACCCCATCTCTACTAAAAACACAAAAAAAATTAGCCGGGCATGGTGGTGTGCTCCTGTAATCCCAGCTGCTTGGGAGGCTGAGGCAGGAGAATCGCTTGAACCTGGGAGGCGGAGGTTGCAGTGAGCTGAGATCGCGCCACTGCACTCCAGCCTGGGCAACAGAATGAGACTCCATCTCAAAAAAAAAAAAAAAAAAAAAAAAAAAAAATACCTAATGCTAAATGACGAGTTAATGGGTGCAGCACACCAGCATGGCACATGTATACATATGTAACTAACTTGCACATTGTGCACATGTACCCTAAAACTTAAAGTATAATAATAATTAAAAAAAAGAATCAAACTTCTATGGATTTATAATACAAATTTTAAAATAATGAGTTAGTTATAGAAATGTTAATTGCGGCCCTATTCGTACCTTTGCACTGACTTGAAGATGTCTATAACATATTGTAATTTTTTTAAAGTTACAGAATAGATATAGTGAGATCTCATTTTTCAAAAAATGTCAGCATAAGCTGGGCATGGTGGCTTAGGCCTGTAATCCCAGAGCTTTGGGAAGCTGAGGCAGGAGGATCCCTTGGGCCCAGGAGTTTGAGACCAGTCTGAGCAACATAGGGAGACCCCCATCTCTAGAAATAATAATAATAATTAATAATAATAAGCTAGCCAGGAGTGGTGGCAGGCACCTGTAGTCCCAATTACTTGGGGGGGCTGAGGCAGGAGGATCGCTTGAGCCTTGAAGTTTGAGGCTGCAGTAAGCTGTCATTGTGCCACTGCACTCCAGCCTGGGTGACAGAACACGACCCAGGCTGGAAAAAAAAAAGCTAGCATTTATATGTGTATATAGACATTTTAAAGTCTAGAAGCATGTGAGCCAGCCAAAAAAGCCTCCATATTTTTATAATCTCTGTGAAGTAGTATTATAGGTAATCTTAATTTTCTTCATTAAGTTTTCCATATTTTTTTCATTTTTGGTGGTTAACGTATGAATTCTTGAGTTATTATTATGAGTTAAAATGGGCCATTTCAAAAAGAAAGAGTCTGGTATGTATCAGCTAGTCAGGTATTTCCCTGCCTTAGTTTGTGCACGACTGGTTTGGGGTAGAGGGTGGAAGAAGTGATAGATACGGAGACTAAAATTCAATGTTTCTACAGTAATGACTGTGTTGGCCCCAGGATAATACCAGGGGCAGTTCAACAGATAAAATGCTTTAGACCATTCCTAACAACTCGCACGTCATTTTTTCACTCCAATTCCTACGATGAACAAATTTTCTCGTGATCTGCTAGTCTCACAAGAGAGGAAGAAAGAAAAATATCTAGCCAACTGAGGTTTTGAGGTAGCTGAGTAGGGCAGGCAGATGTCAATTAAGTGAAGTTGAGGGGAAAAAAGGCAAAGAAGAAAACTTTGGTTCCCTTCTCAGCACAGCTCTCAGAACATAAATGACATGGTCATTCTAACCCTAAGAAGCCCCCTGAAGAAAGGCCATAGGGGCTTTTCATTTTCCATTAGAGCCACTCATGAAAGATGAACATGCTAACCCTTCAGGAGTTTTCCTACAGACAACCGTGCCACCAAGTTCCTAAAAATCACCTCTGATCACCACTTTGCTGCCTCTGAACACCAGGAAAGCAGAACTAGGGCTGCATACTTTTAAAGTGCTTCTTCTAAACAAGCCACACTCCTTTGGAAACTAGAAGAAACAGTTCTCTGAGGAAGAGATAAAGAAAGGGAAACTCCATTTCTCAGCAATAAAGGATTCCACATGCAGTTAAAACTGAGGAAGATGACTGGAATTATGACATTTCCTAACATTTTTCTTTCTCCAATATTTTCAGTAAGAGCCCAACTTAATAGAGTCATGCTGATGACTCTCCCTAAGGAAAAGAAATTATAAAGAAATAATCATTTTTTCCTCAAAGCATTGAGGTTACCTTAATTTTGGACAAGCCCAACTCAGTTTCATGTTGGTGAATCCCTACATTCTAGCTATCTCTAGAAAATCCCTGTAGTTGGCATAAGTAGTACAATTTTTTAAGGCCACCATTTAAATTGTGGGTCTTCTAGAATTACACCAAAGACTATTTTCAAGAATCTTCTGCCTCATGAGTTATCAATTATTGCCTCGCAGATGTTTTAGGCTGAAATTACAGAGATGTATTCAAGGGGAGAAAACAAAACACAACCTTCAAAAGAGAAGAAAGGAAACAGCCCACCCAGCTGAGGGAAAAGGAATATGGACAACATTCGCTGGACACAGTCTCTCATACCAGGAAAAAAGGGGCTGAGGCCCAAGCTCAAAACAGAGTAGAAAGCTCAGCTATAGGCAGGCTGAGAAGAACGGGAAGAAAAAAAAATTCAGATGATTGCCAAAGCAAACAAATAAACAAACCAAAAACATGGCTGTAAACATTTAATACTGAACAGAACATTGTAGTTTGATAAGATGAAGTCTGGAAATAAAATTACAGGCACACCTCAGAGATATTGCAAGTTTGGTTCCAGATCACCACAATAAAGCAAATACTGCAGTAAAGCAAGTCACACAAATTTTTTGGTTTTCCAGTGCATATAAAAGTTATGTTTACACTATACCATAGTCTATTAAGTCTGCAATAGCATTATGTCTAAAAAAACCACCTTAATTTAAAAGTACTTCATACTAAAAAATGCTAACAATCATCTGAACCTTCAGCAAGCTGTAATCTTTTTGCTGGTGGAGGGTCTTGCCTCCTTGTTGATGGCTGCTGACTGATCAGGGTGGTGGTTGCTGAAGGCTGGGGTGGTTAGGGCAATTTCTTAAAAGAAGACAACAATGAAGTCTGATATATCAATTAACTCTTCCTGTCACAAAATATTTCTCTGTTGCATGCAACGCTGTTTGATTGCATTTTACCTACAGTAGAACTTCTTTCAAAATTGGAGTCAGTCCTCTCAAACCTTGCTGCTGTTTTATCAACTATGTTTACGGAATATGCTAAATTATGTGTTGTCATTTCAACAATGTTCATAGCATCTTCACCAAGAGTAGATTCCATCTCAAGAAACCACTTTCGTTGCTCATCCATAACAAACAACTCCTCATCCATTCTAGTTTGATCATGAGATTGCAGCAATTCTGTCACATCTTCAGGCTTCTCTTCTAGTTTTCTGGGTATTTCCACCACATCTGTGGTTAGCAGATCGCTGCAAAAGTAATTGTGTTTTTTTGCCATTAAAAGTAAGGACAAAACCCACAATTACTTTTTCACTGACCTAATACTTCCTCTACTGAAATCTGGACCCCTTCAAAGTCATCCATGAGGGATAAAATCAACTTCTTCCAAACTCCTGTTAATGTTAATATTTTGACCTATTCCCATGAATCATGAATATTCTTAATGGCATCCATGATGATGAATCCTTTCCAGAAGGGTTTACTTTGTCCAGATTCATCAGAGGAATAATTTTCGATGGCAACCTATAATGTTACAAAATGTAGTTCTTAAATAATGTCTTTTTTTTTTTTTTTTTTTTTTGAGACGGAGTCTCGCTCTGTCGCCCAGGCCGGACTGCGGACTGCAGTGGCGCAATCTCGGCTCACTGCAAGCTCCGCCTCCCGGGTTCACGCCATTCTCCTGCCTCAGCCTCCCGAGTAGCTGGGACTACAGGCGCCCGCCACCACGCCCGGCTAATTTTTTGTATTTTTAGTAGAGACGGGGTTTCACCTTGTTAGCCAGGATGGTCTCGATCTCCTGACCTCATGATCCACCCGCCTCGGCCTCCCAAAGTGCTGGGATTACAGGTGTGAGCCACCGCGCCCGGCCAAATAATAAGTCTTGAAAGTTGAAATTACTCCTTGATCCATGGGCTGCAGAATGGATGTTGTGTTAACATATATGAAAACAACATTCATCTCCTTGTACATCTCCATCAGAACTTTTCAATGATCAGAGGTATTATCAATGAGCAGTAATATTTTGAAAGAAATCTTTTTTTCTGAGCAGTAGGTCTCAACCATGAGCTTAAAATATTCAGTAAATCATGCTGTAAACAAGTGTACTGTCATCTAGGCTTTGTTGTTCCATTTACAAAGCAGAGGCAGAGTAGATTAACATAATTCTTAAGTGCCCTAGGATTTTTGGAATGGTAAATGAGCACTGGCTTCAACTTAAAAGTCACCAGCTGTACTAGTTCCTAACTAGAGAGTCATCCTGTCCTTTGCACCTTTGAAATCAGATGCTGGCTTGTCCTCTCTACTAGGAAAGTCCTAGATGGCATCTCCTGCCAATAGAAGGCTGTTTTGTCTACATTGAAAATCTGTTGTTTAGAGTAGCCTCCTTCATCAATGATCTTAGCTACATCTTCCAACTAACTTGCTGCAGCTTCTATATCAGCACTTTCTGCTTCGCCTTGCACTTACATGTTATAGAGATGGCTTCCTTTCTTAAAGCTCATGAACCAACCTCTGCTAGCTTGAAACTTTTCTTCTGCAGCTTCATTACCTCTCTCAGCCTTCACAGAATTGAAGAGAGTTTGGGCCTGCTCTAGATTATGCTTTAGCTTTAGTGAATGTTGGTGCTGGTTTGATCTTCTATCCAGACCACAAAAACTTTCTCCATAACAGCAATAAGGCTGTTTTGCTTCCTTATCATTTGTATTTTCACTGGAGTAGCACTTATAATTTCCTTCAAGAACATCTCATATGCATTCAAAACTTGGCTAAATGGCACAAAATGCCTAGCTTTTGGTCTGTCTCAGCTTTCAACATACCTTCCTCACTAAGCTTAATCACTCCTACCTTTAAAGTAAGAGACCTGTGATTGTCCCTTGCACTCAAACACTTAGAGACCACTGTAGGGTTATTAGTTGGGCTAATTTCAATATTGTGGTGTCTCAGGGAATAGAGAGGGTTGGGGAGAGGAAAAGAGATAGAAGAATGGCTGGTCGGTGGAGTAGTCAGAACACATACAACATTTATTAATTGAGTTCCCTGTCTTATATGGGCACAGTTCATGGCACCCCAAAACAATTACAGTAGTCACATCAAAGATCAGTGGTCACAGATCACCATAACAGATATAATAATAATGATGAAAAAGTTTGAAATATTGAGAGAATTGCCACAATGTGACATAGAGACACAAAGTGAGCACATGCTGTTGGAAAAATGGCACCAATAGACTTGCTGGACACAGGGTTGCCACAAACCTTCAATTTGTAAAATAAAATAAAATTGAATTAAATGCAGTATCTACAAAGTGCAATAAAGCAAAGAACAATAAAACAAGGTATGCCTGCACTTTTTTCTATGAACCCCTTAACATGTGACACAAGAGCTCACTAAAGAGTGATTTAATTCTTCAGAACTGACACACGGAACTTAGACCCTAGGCCTTAAAGAAAACAGCCCAGCTTCAGGAAAGTCCACTTTTACTTTTACAGCCAGAAGAGTTTTCTTTGGCCACTACTTTTACTTTGAAAGCTATAGTCACAAGAAGCCATCTCTTTTTCCGCCGGTTTTAAAATTGTCTTGTTCTAGGTTTCACTTCACTGACAGAGACATAGCCAAAGAGATCAGCTTGTGAATATGATCATTCTTGACTTTCAGTTCTGTATTTCGTGCCCCTTTGCTCAAACTATGTCTCTCAGTTCTTCTCACTTGCTTCATTAAAATATTTTATATCTATTACTCTATTTTTTTAAAAAAAAACACTTTTGATATGTTCCTCCTTCACAGAAAAGAATGTGGCTACCTCAAACACTTTATTAGGATTCACTCATTTTTTATTACAGGAGGTTAAATAAAATTGGTATTATGATGGCCTCTGTATGGAAAATGTGTCGTTTTTAGAGTTCCGGCCACAGAAACTGACCTATGAACGGTTTTCTAAAGGAGAAGGGTGTGCCTGTGGAAAGTTCACGGCAACGGGAGTTTGACTCCTCTTAAGGTATGAAGAGGAAGACAGGCTAAAGTCTCAAGAAACTTCTGACTCAATAGGGGAAAGCTATCAAATTTCCCAAAAGTTGTGCGATTTTGGTTAGCACATCACAAAGGTGATGAGCAGCTCCTGAGAGTGAAACCCACATCCCATTTCTGGGGAGAACTACGTAGTTGGTTCCCTCTACATAAAATATCAGAGTCTACATCCTGACACCCATAAGAAACCTCTCCCACCTTTCTCTTACTAACCTTTTCTTCCATTCTCAGTTTACAATGACACACAATTTTGTTTCCCACAAGTACCGTTCAACCAGAGACACACACACTTACACATACGTATATATTTCATATATATATATATATATATATATATATATATATATATGTTTGGAGAGCAGGAAACGGGGGAGCCAAGGTCTGTTTGTACTCACAACTTTGGCTCAACTGTGCTGGGGTGGCTGGAGGTTTGACCACGGAGGAGGGGCCCGCTGGCAGCGCCAACCGGCTGAACTGTGCGCCTTTTCATAAAGGCCGAGGAACTGGGGTTAGCCACACTACAACCCTCCCACCTGAGGGAAAGGCCTGTTTGTTCTGGAAGGCACAGCCTAGCCTTATTTAACTAACTGCAAGCAGTTAATATAAGCATTCCCAAGGCAGCAAGCAAGCTCTAGTCTACGAAAGTAAAGCCATCGACTTTAGGAAGATTTCTCCAGTCCAGCATCCTGAAAGATGAAGCCCAGACTCCTCACCTGACGGTTAACCTGAAAACACCTGATCCTCTCTCCGGAATCCTTGCCTGGGGAAAACGATAAGGCTGCCGGGCCATGCCTCCTCCTTCAAAACTTTCCAGGGCTCTCGGGATTCGGAACAGGAAACACCGTTCACGGCCGACTCATTTCGCCCTCGCCGTAACGCGTCCGCCGAAGTTGGAGCCCTGCAAAGCGGGGTTCCCTTCTCTTACCCTTTCTGCCGGCCGCGTGGTGCGCGCAGACCCCGGCCCGAGAGCAGGCGCCGCAGTCGTGGAGTGCGGCGGGCAGTTCTCGGGCGGCTGAAAGGCGGCTCTGTGTGCACCCTGCAGGATGCGGCGCGTGGCCAGGCGCTCCCGCCCCGCCCCCAAGGGGCTGCCCCGCCCCGCCCCGCCCCGCCGCCTCCTACCGGGGACCGGAGCTTCCCCAGTTGGGGTCCTAGGGGACTTATTCCACGCTTCAGCGGACCAGCCTCCCCGCGCTCCCGGAGAAGGGGGTCGGCGACGCGGAGGCGGGGTGGGGGCCGTAGGGGATGGAACCGAGGCGCGCGCGAGAAGAGCCGAGGAAGTAAGCAGTCCCAAAAGGGGGCGGCGGTGGGGCCCCCAGGGAGGCGTGGGGCACGCCAAGGGCGCCGTGGGGCACTGACCTGTGGTGCGGCCCCCAGGACAGGCCCGAGGCGCGGTTGCACACCGGCAGGTCCAGCACCTCCATGCCTCGAGGCATGGCGCGGCCAGGGAGCGGCAGGAGGACACCTAGCGTGGGACGGCTACACCTGTCTGGGCGCAGGCCCGCCGCCCTTGCACTCTCCACCCAAGTGCCCAACGCTGCGGTACGGCCCGCTTTGGCTCGGGGTGTCTGCCGGAGAAGCGCCTTACAGAGGGACCCGGGCGGTGGGCCCTGCGGCAAAGTGGCCCACGCACCCTCCACACCGCTCCCGGGCGGCCGCACCTGGCACTCCCGGCCCTCTGGGGTTCCTGCCTTTTTCGGGGGGGTGGTGGTGAGACCGGGTCTCACTCTGTCGCCTGACCTGCGATCACTGCTGACTGCAGTCTTGAACTCCTGGACCCAAGCGATTCTCCTGCCTCCGCCTCCCAAAGTGCTAGGATTACAGGTGTAAGCCGCTGCGCCTGGCCCCTTCTTTTCTTCACTCTCTCATGCATTCATTTCTTGTTTCCACATGCATTAATTTGTCCGTTGCTTTGGTCATTCCTGTTTTGATGCTTAGGGAAACACTCACTGAGAGCCAAGCCGACCGTTGGGTACTGTGGTCTCTGGGATGACAAAGACATGGTCCTTTCCCTTGAGGACTTCACATTAAACTGACAAGTTCATTCATTCTGGCTTTTCTCTAAAGTGCACGATCATGAAAGTCTGTGACAAGGGCCATATTTCTGAGATGTTAGAAAGTGCGACCGGCGCGCAAGGAATAGGAAAAGCGAGTTGCCCTGCGCCCGCGTCGGGATGAAAGGCAGGGAGCCGGGAGGGAGCGTCAGCGTGGCCCGGCGGGCGCGGAGGGAGGGCGCACGGCCCCAGGGCTGGACTCGTAACCCCAGCGCCCTGCTGCAGCCGCCGTTGCTTTTCCCTCTTGGTGCACGAAAGGAAGACGCCTGTGGGAAATCGAACAGACAATCGGTCGCCGTTCGTGAATCTTAGAGATGAGAGTCGTCAGTACATGACCAAAAGCCGTGTTCGGCTCCTAGTGATGTTAGCTTGGTAGTTTGGACGTGGCCGACAGCCTCCTAGAGCTCGTACCCCTCCTTTTCACGAGGTAGCAGCAGCAAAGTCCGCAGTGCCAGGCTCTGTGAGTCTGCAAGCGTTTAAAAGATCTCCGGGTTTAGCTCAGGCAAAGAATATTCTGCCAGGTAATTATTTTAATATGCGTGTCCAGGCAGAAGCAGTTGGACAGACGATGTATATAAAAGCACACATAATTGACCCTCTTTTAAGGCACTTCCAAGGGGTTATTAGGCAGAAATGCCTTGGTTTTGAGCCCCTTTCATCGGAGGTGCGCAATCATCCAGCTTTGTGAATAGTAACTGCACTCCAGCCTGGGCAACATAGTAAGACCCCAACCTTTTGGCACCAGGGACTGGTTCCATGGAAGATGATATTTTCCACGGACAGGTGGGGGGATGAGGGGAGGATGTTTTCGGGATGAAACTGTTGCACCTTAGATCAGTAGGCATTAGAGTCTTATAAGGAGCACACAACCTGCAACTTAGATCCATCGCATGCGCAGTTCACAGTAGGGCTTCTGCCCCTATGAGAATCGAGTGGAACCGCTGCTCTCTTGCTCAATGTTCACTTCCTGCAGCGCGGCTTGGTTCTTAACAGGCCACAGACCTGTACCAGTCTGGAGCCCGGGGTTTGGGGACCCCTGCAGACGGAGAAATAGTTTCAAAAGGGAGATCTGAGGATCTCAAACATTAATGTGCATATGAGTCACCAGAGTTTTTATTGAAGCAGACTGATTCAGTAGGACCTGAGGTTTTGCATTTCTAGCAAGAAGATGCTCCTGCTGCTGCTGCTGCTGCTGGTCCCACTCTGTAAGTAGCAAGGTTCTAAGAAATATTTAATCTGAGTGTGTGCGGGAATTAAGGGGGGAGAAGAGTAAGAGTGGAAAATTACTGGAGTCAGATGGCTGAAGGATTTATTATAAATATAACACATACTAAAGTTTTCAGCCATTGAATCTAATCATTCTCAATTAGTAAATTTAATTCTCAGTAGGCATTAAGTTTTTAACTTTCAAAAAGTCACTTGTTTGTGGTAAAGATCATGGCTCATTTTTCAGTGTGTAGTAATAGACATTGTTTTGTGCTATGTTAATCCTTTCAAGCATTTGTGTTCTGTTCTGAATATCATAGCACAAAAAGCTTTGTGTCCTGACTCAAATTTGTAATGACCAATAACCAAATAACACAAGAATCTTTTGCTCAACAGTGTTTTATAATATGACATTTTAATTTTACAACCTAAAGTTCTTAAATTTCTCTAGCAGTTTGTCTTCATGTGGAAGTTTCACTGATTTAGTGTTAAAAGGGAAATTTTAGAAAGTAGTCTAAAAAATGTGAGATAGGCCGGACACAGTGGCTTGCACCTGTAATCCCAGCACTTTGGGAGGCCAAGGAGGGTGGATTGCTGGAGCCCAGGAGTGCAAGAATAGCATGGGCAACATAGCGATACCCTGTCTCTACCAAAAATACAAAAATTAGCTGGACATAGTGGCCCACGCCTGTGGTTCCAGCTTGCTTGGGAGGCTGAGGTGGAAGGCTTGCCTGAGCCTGGGAGGTCGAGGTTGCAGTGAGCCAAGATTGTGCCACTGCACTCCAGCCTGGGCAACAGAGACCGAGTCTAAGAAAAGGAAAAGAAAAAAAGAAAAGAAAAGAAAATGTGAGTCAGGCTAGTAGAAATGCAACAATTTAAATTTTCTAGGTTGGGCAGACAAAAAATATTTATTGTGAAGAATATGGGGAGGGAGAATAGAATAAAATAAGAGAAAAACGATGCTCTTTATTTACTTTCACATTCTTTCAAAAATTTTTTGATGTGCAAGTAGTGTTCTGTATATTGTAGATATTAATTCCTTGCCAGTTCTAAACATTATAAGTATTTTCTTCCAGTCGTCATCTATCTTTTTGTCCATGGTGTTCTTCCTTGGATGAAAGTCTTTAATTTTGGTATAGGAAATCAAAATTAAGGATATTAATCCTTATAGTTTGTGCTTTTATGATCTTTTTAAAGAAGTTGTTCTCTACCCTTAATTCACCATTCTTCTGCATTTTCTGTAATAGTTTTATCCTTCATATCAAATTCCATTGTACTTCAACTTTGCATGTGGTGGGAGATATTAATGCACCTTGATTTTTCGACATCAAGTAAGCCAGTTTCCAACAAGCTATCTTATAATTCAGGGTTGGCTAATTTTTTTTCTGTAAAAGGTCAGATACAAATATGTAGGCTTTGCGGATTGTACTTTCTCCTTTACAAATATTTAACTATCTAGTGTAAAGATAATCATACACAATATGTAAAAAAGAGAGTGGCTGTGTTCCATGTATTACAAAATATTTATTCTTATTTTAATTTTTTAAAAATAGACTCTTTTTAGAGCAGTTTTAGGTTTATTGCAAAATTTAACAGAAAGTACAAAGTTCCTATATATTCCCTGCTCCCACATACGCATAGCCTCTCCCACACTATTAACATCCTACACCAGAGTAGTACATTTGTTATAATCAATGAATATACATTGACAAATTATCACTCAAAGTCCATACTTTAGGGTTCACTTGTGTGCAGGCTCTAAGTTTTGACAAATGTATAATGACATGTATCTACCACTATAGTATCATACAGAATAGTTTCACTGCCTGCTGTGGACTGAATGTTTGTCCCCACTTTACCAATCCCCCTCCCCCACCAAAATTTATATGTTGCAACCTAAATCCCCAATGTGATGACATTTGGAGACGGGGCATTTGGGAGGTAATTAGGTCTTGAGGGTCGAACCCTCGTGAATGCAATTAGTGCCCTAGTAACCATATAAGAAAAAACAGGAGAGAGATATATCTCTTTCTCCACCATATGAGGATATAACAAGATGATGGCTGTCTGCAAACCAGGAAGAGCACCCTCAGCAGACACCAGGTGTGCTAGCACCTTGATCTTGGATTCTGTGGCCTCTAGAACTATGAGAAATCAATTTCTGTTGTTTAAGCCACCCGGTCTGTAGTATTCTGTAATAGCAGCACAAACTGATTAAAACACTACCCTAATAATCCTCTGTGCTCCTTCTATTCATCCCTCCCTCCAACCCCTGGCAACCACTCATCTTTTTACTTTCACAATAGTTTTTCCTTTTCAGATAGTTGGAATCATATGGTATTAGCCTTTTCAGATTGACTTTTTTCATTTAAGCATTTGGCATTTTTGCATTTAAGCTTCTTCTTTGTCTTCACATGGCTTGATAGCTCAATTCTTTTCAGCACTGAATAATGTTCCATTGAATTAATACATCACAGTATATTTGTTCATTCACCTACTAAAGGACATTTTGTTTTTTTCCAAGTTTTGGCAATTACAGATAAAGCTGTTATCAACATCTGTGTGCAGGTTTTTATGAACACAAGTTTTCAGTTCCTTTTTTTAAATACCAAGGAGTACAATAGCTGGATTGTATGGTAAAAGCATAGCTTTGTAAGAAACTGCCTATCTTCCAAAGTGGCTGTATTATTTTACATTTGCACCAGCAATGAATGAGAGTTCCTATTGCTCCACATACTTGCCAGTATTTGGAATTTTCAGTGTTTTGGCCATTCTAATAGGTGTGTAGTGGTATCTTGTTTTAATTTGCAATTCCCTAATGACGTATGATGTTGAGTATGTTTTCATATACTTATTTTTCATCTGTATGTCTTCTTTACTGAGGTATCTCTTCAGGTCTTTTGCTTAATTTTTAATGGGATTGTTTATTTTCCTATTGTTGAGTTTTAAGAGTTCTTTAGGCTGGGCACAGTGGCTCATGCCAGTAATCTCAACAGTTTGGGAGGCTGAGGTGGGAGGATTGCTTGAGGCCAGGAGTTCAACACCAGCCTGGGCAAAAAAGAGAGATCCTGTCTCTATGAAAGAAATTTTTTTTTAATTAGCTGGGTTTGGTGGTATGCACCTGTGGTCCTAGCTACTCGGGAGGCTGAGGCAGGAGGATTGCTTGAACCTAGGAGTTCAAGGCTGCAGTCCAGCCTGAGCAATAGAACAAAAACCTCATCTCAAAAAGAAAAATATATGAATTTTTTATATATTTTGAATAACAATACTTTTTTCAGATAAGTCTCTTGCAAGTATTTTTCTCCTAGTTTGCAGCTTGTCTTCTCTTTCTCTTGATGATATCTTTCATAGAGTAGAAGTTTTTAATTATAATAAAGACTAATTTATCAATTATTTATTTCATGGATCATGCTTTCAGTGTTGTATTTAAAAAGTCAGCCTCCAGGAAAAAAAAATGGCAGATAGGAGGCAGGACTAACTTGCATCTCCCACTCAGATGAACAGAACAGCATGTGGAGACTGACATCATGAGCTTTTGCTCCAAGAACTACCACAGGAACATACCAGGAACACTGAAAGGATTCACAGACTCTTTGAAAAAGTGGCTTGTGGCTGCAAACTCTGTGAGGCAGCTGAAAAATTGTGAGTGCCCAAAATGTGAAGGGGGAAAGCCTACCTCCGAACACACATCCTCACTGGGGAACCTGAAAATCCAGATCACGGGAGAAGGATTTAACCTTACCTAGAGCTGAAATGAATTTAGAGAGCTGAGAAAAATATAAAAGTAGAAGCAGCACTGGGAAGAGCCCTCTAGGTGCTCCCAGTCACCAGGGAAGCCATTTCTGACTTTATCTCACTGGGGTCCTTGGGGAGGGCTGCCAATGGAATTGGGGAAGGACCATAGGGAGAAGGAAACTTCCAGTTGAGCTTTGTAATAATTTTGACCAAGTGTGAATTTTCCTAGGCAGAATCCAGGAGTGGGAGATGGACGGGAAGTGCAGATAGGACCACAGAAGCAGTGGCAAGCTGGGAGAGGTAGGGCCTGAAAGCCCTGCTGGCTTTTTCAGTGGAGAGGCTTGTAGCCTGGGGCAATTAGTGCCCTAGCACCCATATAAGAAAAGACAAGAGAAAGCATTTGAGAAAACCAGTGTACTAAACAAAACTACAACCAAGGACCCTCACAGAGTCCACTTCACTCATATGCTACCTCTACTGGAGCAAGTGCTGGTATCCATGGCTGAGAGACCTGAAGACAGATCACATCACAGGACTCTTTGCAGACACTCCCCAGTACCAGCCCGGAGCCCAAGCTCCATTAGGTGGCTAGACCCACAACAGCAATAACAATCACTGTCTAGCTCTCAGGAAGCCCCATCCCTAGAGGAAGGGTGAGAGTACCACATCAAGGGATCACCCCATGGCACAAAATAATCTGAACAGCAGCCCTTGAGTCCCAGATCTTTCTTCTGACATAGTCTACCCAAATGAGAAGGAACCAGAAAAACAATTCTGGTAACATGACAAAGCAAGGTTCTTCAACACTCTCAAAAGATCACACTAGCTCACCAGCAATGGATCCAAACCAAGAAGAGATCTCTGAATTTCCAAAGAAAGAATTCAGAAGGTCAATTGTTAAGCTACTCAAGGAGGCACCAGAAAAATGTGAAAGCCAATTTAAAGAAATTTAAACAATCATACAGGATATGGACAAAAAATCTCCAGAAAAATAACACAAATAAAATACAATCAACTTCTGGAAATGAAAGACAGACTTAGAGAAATGCAAGCTACCTGGAAAGTTTCAAAAATAGAATCAAATACATAGAAGAAAGAACTTCAGAGCTTGAAAACAAGGCTTTTGAATTAACCCAATCTGACAAAGACAAAGAAAAAATAATTAAAAAATGAACAAAGCCTCCAAGAAGTTTGGGATTATGTTAAACAACCAAACCTAAGAATAATTGGTGTTTCTGAGAAAGAAGATTCGAGGCAATAATTAAGGGAAACTTTCCTGGCCTTGCTAGAGATCTAGACATCCAAATACAAGAAGCTCAAAGAACACCCGAGAAATTCATCACAAAAAGATCATCAACTAGGCACATAGTCATCAGGTTATTGAAAGTCAGGATGAATGAAGGAATCTTAAGAGCTATGAGGCAAAAGCATCAAGAAACCTATAAAGGAAAACATGTTAGATTAACCCCAGATTTCTTAGCAGAAACCCTACAAGTTAGAAGGGATTGGGGTCCTATTTTTAGCCTCCTCTAACAAAACAATTATCAGCCAAGAATTTTGTATCCAGCAAAACTAAGCTTCATAAATGAAGGAAACATAAAGTCTTTGTCAGACAAACAAATGCTGAGAGAATTAACCACTACCAAGTCAGCACTCCAAGAACTGCTAAAAGAAGTTCTAAATCTTGAAGCAAAACCTCAGAATACACCAAAATAGAATCTCCTTAAAGCATAAATCTCAAAAGACCTATAAAACAATAACACAATGAAAAGAAAAGGTATTTAGGCAACAACTAGCACGATGAATAGAATAGTACCTCACATTTCAATAACGTTGACTGTAAATGGCCTAACCACTCCGCTTAAAAGATACAGAATGGCTGAATGGATAAGAATTCACCAACCAAGTATCTGCTGTCTTCAAGAGATTCACCTAACACATAAGGACTCACATAAACTTAAGGTAAAGGGGTAGAAAAGGATATATCATGCAAATGGAAACCAAAAGTAAGCAGGACTAGTTATTCTTATATCAGACAAAACAGACTTTAAAGCAACAACACTTAAAAAAGAGGGATATTATATAATGATAAAAGGTCTAGTCCAACGGGAAAATGTCACAATCCTAAATATGTATGCACCTAATGCTGGAGCTCCCAAATTTATAAAACAATTACTACTGGACCTAAGAAATGAGATAGACAGCAACACAATAATAGTGGGGGACTTCAATACTCCACTCACAGCACTAGGCAGATCATTAAGACAGAAAGCCAACAAAGAAAAAATGGATGTAAACTATACCCTAGAACAAATGGACTTAACAGATATTACAAAACATTCTACCCAACAATTGCAGAATATACATTTTCATCAGCATATGGAACATTCTCCAAGATAGACCATATGATAGACCACAAAACAAGTCTCAATAAATTTAAGAAAATCAAAATTCTATCACGTACCCTCTCAGACCACATTGGAATAAAATTGGAAATCAACTCCAAAAGGAACTCACAAAACCATGCAAATACATGGAAATTATATAATCTGTGCCTAAATGATTGTTGAGTTGAAATCAAGGTGGAAATTAAAATATTATTTGAACTGAGCAATAATAGTGACACAACCTATCAAAACCTCTGGGATACAGCAAAAGCAGTGCTAAGAGGAAAGTTCATAGCATTAAATGCCTAAATCAAGAAGTCTGAAAAAACACAGACGATCTAAGGTCTCACCTCAAGGAAGTAGAGAAACAAGAACAAACCAAACCCAAACCCAGCAGAGGAAAGGAAATAACAAAGATCAGAGCAGAACTAGATGAAATTGAAACAAAAAAAAAATACAAAAGGTAAATGAAACAAAAAGCTGATTCTTTCAAAAGATAAAATTGATAGACCATTAGTGAGATTAACCAAGAAAAGAAGAGAGAAGATTCAAATAAGCTCAATTAGAAATGAAATGGAAGATATTACAACTGATACCACAGAAGTACAAAAGAACATTCAAGGCACAAACTAGAAAACCTAGAGGAGATGGATAAATTCCTAGAAATATACAACCCTCCTAGAAGGGCCAGGCACAGTGGCTTATGCCTGTAATCCCTGCACTTTGAGAGGCCAATGCGGGTGGATCACTTGAGGTCAGGAGTTCAAGACCAGCATAACCAACATAGTGAAATCTCATCTCTACTAAAAATACAAAAATTAGCTGGGCATCGTGGTGTGCACCTGTAATCCTAGCTACTCAGGAGGCTGAGGCAGGAGAATTGCTTGAATCCGGGAGGCAGAGGTTGCAGTGAACCAAGATCATGCCACTGCACTCCAGCCTGGGCAACAGAGTGAGACTCTGCCTCAAAGAAAAAAAAAAAAAAATATATATATATATATATATAATATATATATTTTATATGTGTGTGTGTGTGTATATGCATATGTACATATACATACATATATGTGTGTGTATATATGCATATGTACATATACATACATATATGTATGTGTATGTATATGTATGTATATGTGTATATGTACATATACATATATATACACACACACACACATATACACATATACAAACATACAAAACCATCCTAGATTAAACCAGGAAGAAATAGAAACTGAAAAGATCAATACAGACAGCGAGATTGAAATGGTAATTTTAAAATTGCCAACAAAAAAAAGTCAAGGACCAAATGGATTCACAGCTGAATTCTATCAGATATTCGAAGAATTTATATCAATCTTATTTAAACTATTTCAAAAAATAGAGAGAGGAAATCCTCCCTAATTATTCTATGAAGCAAGTATCATCCTAATACCAAAACCAAGAAAGGACATAGCAAAAAAAGGAAACTACAGACCAGCATCCCTGATGAACATAGATGTAAAAATCCTCAAAATACTAACTGAATCTAGCAGTGTATTAGTCCATTTTCACACTGCTGATAAAGACATAACCGAGACTGGGCAATTTACAAAAGAACAAGGTTCAGTGCGCTTACAGTTCCATGTGGTTGGGGAAGCCTCACAATCGTGGCAGAAGGCAAGGAGGAACAAGTCATATCTTACATGGATGGCAGCAGGAAAAGAGAGAGCTTCTGCAGGGAAACTCTCCATTATAAAACCATCAGATCTAGTGAGACTTATTCACTATCATGAGAAGAACATGGGAAAGACCTGCGCCGTGATTCAACTGTCCCCCACTGGGACCCTCCCACAACACCTGGGAATTCAAGATGAGATTTGGGTGGGGACACAGCCAAACCATATCATTCCACCCCTGGTCCCTCACAAATCTCATGTCCTCACATTTCAAAACCAGTCATGCCTTTCCAACAGTCCCCTAAAGTCTTAACTCATTTCAGCATTTACTCAAAAGTCCATAGTCCAAAGTCTCATCTGAGACAACGCAAGTCCCTTTCGTCTATGAGCCTGTAAAATCGAAGGCAAAGTAGATATTTCCTAGATATGGTGGGGGTACAGGCATTGGGTAAATACAGCCATTCCAAATGGGAGAAATTGGCCAAAACAAAGGGGCTACAGGCCCCATTCAAGTCCAGTGGGCAGTCAAATCTTAAAGCTCAAAAATGATCTCCTCTGACTCCATGTCTCACATCCAGGTCACACTGATGCAAGAGGTGGGTTCCCATGGTCTTGGGCAGCTCTGCCCCTGTGGCTTTGCAGGGTACAGCCTCCCTCCCAGCTGCTTTCACAGGCTGGCGTTGAGTGTCTGTGGCTTTTCCAGGTACACGGTGCAAGCTGTCAGTGGATCTACCATTCTGGGGTCTGGAGGATGATGGCCCTCTTCTCACAGCTCCATTAGGAGGTGCCCCAGTAGGGACTCTGTGTGGGGTTTCCGACGCCACACTTCCCTTCCACACTGCCCTCACAGAGATTCTCCATGAGGGCCCCATCCTGGCAGCAAAGATCTGCCTGGCATCCAGGCATTTCCATACATCCTCTGAAATCTAGACGGAGGTTCCCAAGCCTCAATTCTTAACTTCTGTGCACCCGCAGGCTGAATAGCATGTGGAAGCTGCCAAGACTTGGGGCTTCCACCCTCTGAAGCAACAGCCCGAACTGTTTCTTGGCCCCTTTAAACCATGCTAGAGCAGCTGGGATGCAGGACACCAAGTCTCTAGACTGCACACAGCAGAGGAACCCTGGGCCCAGCCCACAAAACCACTTTTTCCCCTAGGTCTCCGGGCCTGTGATGGGAGGGGCTGCCTCAAAGGCCTCTGACTTGCCCTGGAGACATTTTCCCCATTGTCTTGGGGATTGATATTTGGCTCCTTGTTACTTATGCAAATTTCTGCAGCCAGATTGAATTTCTCCTCAGAAAATGGGATTTTCTTTTCTATCACGTTGTCAGGCTGCACATTTTCCAAACTTTTATGTCTGTTTCCCTATAAAAACTGAATGCCTTTAACAGCACCCAGGTCACCTCTTGAATGCTTTGCTGCTTAGAAATTCCTTCCACTAGATACCCTAAATCATCTCTCTCAAGTTCAAAGTTTCACAAACCTCTAGTGCAGGGCAAAATGCCACCAGTCTCTTTGCTAAAACATAACAAGAGTCACCTTTGCTCCAGTTCCCAACAAGTTCCTCATCTCCCTCTGAGATCACCTCAGCCTGGATTTCATTGTTCATATCATTATCAGCATTTTGGTCAAAACCATTCAACAAGTCTCTAGGGAGTTCCAAACTTTCCCATATTTTCTTGTCTTCTTCTTAGCCCTCCAAACTGTTCCAGCCTCTGCCTGTTATCCAGTTCCAAAGTTGCTTCCACATTTTCTGGTATCTGTTCATCGGTGTCCCACTCTACTGGTACCAATTTACTGTATTAGTCTGTTTTCATGCTGCTGACAAAGACATAACTGAGACTGGGCAATTTACAAAAGGAAGAGGTTTAATGGGCCAGACATAGTGGCTCACGCCTGTAATTCCAACACTTTTGGAGGCCAAGGCAGGTGGATCACCTGAGGTTAGGAGTTTTAGACCAGCCTGGCCAACATGGTGAAACCCCATCTCTACTATAAAGAAAAAATACAAAAAATTAGCCAGGCATAGTGGTGGGTGCCTGTAACCCCAGCTACCTGGGAGGCTGAAGCAGGAGAATCACTTGAACCCAGGAGGCAGAGGTTGTGGTGAGCCAAGATCACTGCATTCCAGCCTGAGTGACAAGAGTGAAACTCTGTCTCAAAAAAAAAAAAAAAAAAAAGAGGTTTAATGGACTTACAGTTCCATGTGGCTGGGGAAGCCTTAAAATCATGGCAGAAGGCAAGGAGAAGCAAGTCCCATCTTACATGGATGGCACCAGGCACAGAGACAGCTTGTGCAGGGAAACTTCCCCTTATAAATGTGTCCGACCTCATGAGACTTATTTACTATCACCAGAACAGCATGGGAAAGACCTGCCCCCATGATTCAACTACCCCCAACCAGGTCCCTCCCACAACACATGGGAATTCAAGATGAGATTTGGTTGGGGACACAGTTAAACCATATCAAATAGCATATCAAAATATAATCCACCATCATCAAGTGGGTTTCATACCAGGGATGCAGGGATGGTTTAACATACGCAAGTCAATAAATGTGATACACCACATAAACAGAATTAAAAACAAAAATCAAATGATCATCTCAATAGATAAAGAAAAAGCATTTGACAAAATCCAGCATCCCTTTAGGATTAAAACCCTCAGCAGAATCAGCATACAAGGGACAAACCTTAAGCTTATAAAAACCATGTATGACAAACCCACAGCCAACATTATACTGAATGGGGAAAGTTGACAGAACTGGAGCAATACAAGGATGCCCACTTTCACCATTTCTATTCAACATAGTTCTGGAATTCCTGACCAGAGCAGTCAGACAAGAGAAAGAAATAAAGGGCATCCAAATCGGTAAAGAGGAAGTCAAACTGTCACTGTTCACTGATGATATGATCATATACTTAGAAAACCCTAAAGACTCATCCAAAAAGCTCCAAGATCTAATAAATGAATTCAGTAAAGTTTCAGGATACAAAATCAATGTACACAAATCAGTAGCCCTGCTATACAACAGTGACCATGCTGAGAATCAAATCAAGAACTCAACCTCTTTTACAATAGCTGCAAAAAATTTTTTAAAATTAGGAATATACTTAACCAAGAAGGTGAAAGACCTCTACAAGGAAAACTACAAAACACTGCTGAAAGAAATCATAGATGACACAAACAAATGGAACCACATCCCATGCTCATGGATGGGTAGAATCAATATTGTGAAAATGACCATACTGCCAAAAGCAATCTACAGATTCAATGTTATTCCCGTCAAAATACCAGCATCATTCTTCACAGAACTAGAAAAAAAATCCTAAAATTAATATGGAACCAAAAAAGATCCTACATAGCCAAAGCAAGACTAAGCAAAAAGAACAAATCTGAAAGCATCTTATTACCCGACTTCAAACTATACTATAAGGCTATAGTCACCAAAACAACATGGTACTGGTATAAAAATAGGTACATAGACTAATGGAACAGAATAGAGAACCCCGAAATAAAGCCAAATAGTTATAGCCAGCTGATCTTCAACAAAGCAAACAAAACCATAAAGTGAGGAAAGAATACTCTACTCAACAAATAGTGCTGGGATAATTGGCAAGCCACATGTAAAAGAATGAAACTGGATTCTCATCTCTCACCTTATACAAAAAATCAACTCAAGGTGGATCAAAGGCTTAAATCTAAGACTTGAAACCGTAAAAATTACAGAAGATAACATTGGAAAAATGCTACTAGACATTGGCTTAGGCAAAGACTTCATGACCAAGAACCCAAAACAAAAGCAACAAAAACAAAGATAAATAGATGGGACTTAATTAAACTAAAAAGTTTCTGCACAGTGAAAGAAACAATCAGCAGAGCAAACAGACAACCCACAGAGTGGGAGAAAATCTTTGCAATCTGTGCATCTGACAAAGGACTAATACCCAGACTCTACAAGAAACTCAAACAGATCAGCAAGAAGAAAACAAATAATCCTGTCAAAAATTGGGCTAAGGACATGAACAGACAATTCTCAAAAGAAGATATACAAATGGCCAACAAACATATGAAAAAATGCTGAACATCACGAATGATTAGGGAAATACAAATCAAAACCACAATGCAATACCACCTTATTCCTGCAAAAATGGCCATAATAAAAAAATAATAGATGTTGGCGTGGATTTGGTGAAAAGGGAACACTTTTACACTGCTGGTGCTGAATGTAAACTAGTACAACCACTATGGAAAAACAGTATGGGGATTCCTTTTTTTTTTTTTTTTTTCTTTTCTGAGACAGGGTCTTGCTCTGCCACCCAGGCTGCAGTGCAGTAGTGTGATCTCAGCTCACTGCAACCTCTGCTTCCCAGTTTCAAGCTATTCTTCCACCTCAGCCTCCCAAGTAGCTGGATTTACAGGCACATGCCACCATGCCCCGCTATTTTTTTTTTTTTTTTGTATTTTTAGTAGAGATGGGGTTCTGCCATTTTGACCAGGCTGGTCTTGAACTCCTGACCTCAAGTGATCCACCCACCTCAGCCTCCCAAAGTGTGTGAGTCACTGCACCCAGTCTGAATTCCTTAAAGAACTAAAAGTAGATCTACCATTTGATTCAGCAATCCCATTACTGGGTATCTAACCAGAGGAAAAGAAGTCATTATACGAAAAAGGCACTTGTACATGCATGTTTATAGCAGAACAATTCACAATTGCAAAAATATGGAACCAGCTCAAATGCCCATCAATCAACGAGTGGATAAAAAAATGTGATATATATACAATAGAATACTACTCAGCCATAAAAAGGAAAGAAATAATGGCATTTCCAGCAACCTGGATGGAGTTGGAGACCATTATTCTAAGTGAAGTAACTCAGGAATGGAAAACAGAACGTTGTATGTTCTCTCTCATAAGTGGGAGCTAAGCTATGAGGGCACAAAGGCATAAGAATGATACAATGGGTTTGGGGACTCAGGAGAAAGGGTGGGAGGTGGTGAGGGATGAAAGACTACACATTGGGTACAGTGTACACTGCTCGAGTGGTGGGTGCACCCAATCTCAGAAATCACCACTAAAGAAATTATCCATGTAACCAAACACTATCTGTTCCCCAAAAGCCTATTGAAATATTAAAAGGTGAAAAAAAAGAAATATTCAAATAGTGGCTTGAATAAACTGTTTTTAAGAAAAAAAAAAAGGTGGGGGCTGGGCGCGGTGGCTCATGCCTGTAATCCCAGCACTTTGGGAGGCCAAGGCAGACAGATCACGAGGTCAGGAGATCAAGACCATCCTGGCTAACACGGTGAAACCCTGTCTCTACTAAAAATACAAAAAAAAAAAAATTAGCTGGGCGTGGTGACAGGCACCTGTAGTCCCAGCTACTCGGGAGGCTGAGGCAGGAGAATGGCATGAATCCGGGAGGCAGAGCTTGCAGTGAACCAAGATTGCGCCACTGCACTCCAGCCTGGGTGACAGAGCAAGACTCCGTCTCAAAAAAAAAAGAAAAAGAAAAAAAAGGTAATTGCCAAACCCAAGGTCATATAGATTTCCTCCTGTGTTATTATCTAGGAGTTTTTACTTTCCAACTTTCATTTACATCTATGATTTATTTTGACTTAATATTTGTAAAGAGTGAAAGGTCTGTGTCTAGGTTCGTGTTTTTACGTGTGGATGTCCAGTTATTACCATACTATTTATTAAACAGACTATCTTCTCCATTGTATTCTCTTTACTCCTTTGTCAAAGATCAGTGGACTATATTAATGTGGGTATATTTCTGGGCCCTCTATTCTTGTTTTAAAAACAGGATCTCACTCTGATGCCCAGGCTGGAGGCTGGAGTGCAGTGGCATGACCTCGACTCACTGCAGCCTGGATCTCCTGGGCTCAAGCAACCCTCCCACCTCAACCTCTCAAGTAGCTGGGACTACAAGCACACACCACCACACCCGGCTAATTTTTGTATTTTTTATAGAGATGAGGTTTTGCCATGTTGCCCAGACTGGTCTCAAACTCCTGGGCTCAAAGCAATCCACCCACCTTGGCATCCCAAAGTGTTGGGATTACAGGCATGGGCCACTGCGCTGGCCCCTGGGTTCTCTATTCTGTTGCATTGATCTTCTTATCTATTCTTTCACCAATACCTTGATTAGTGTAGTTGTTTGTTTGTTTGTTTTTTTGAGATGGAGTTTCACTCTTGTCACCTAGACTGGAGAGCAATGGCACGATCTCAGCTCACTGCAACCTCTGCCTCCCAGGTTCAAGTGATTCTCCTGTCTCAGCCTCCCGAGTAGCTGGGATTATAAGCACCTGCCACCATGCCCAGCTAATTTTTTTTGTATTTTTAGTAGAGACAAAATGGGTTATGGGTTTCACCATGTTGGCCAGGTTGGTCTCGAACTCCTGACCTCAGGTGATCCACCCACCTCGGCCTCCCAAAGTCCTGGGATTACAGGCGTGAGCCACTGTGCCCAGCCGATTACTGTAGTTTTATAGTAAGTCTTCACATCAGGCAGTGTTTTTTTGGTTTTTTTGTTTGTTTTTTGTTTTGTTCCTCTCCTTCAAAATTGTGTTGTCTATTCTGGTCTTTTGACTCTCCATATAAACTTTAAAATCAGTTTTTTTATATCCACAGAATAACTCCCTTGGGTCTTCATGGGGGTCGTGTTGATTTATAGATCAAGTTTGGAAGAACTGACATCTTGACAATATTGAGCCTTCTTATTCATAAACATGAAATATCTCTCCACCTATTTAGTTCTTTGATTTCTTTCATCAGAGTTTTACAGTTTTCTTCATATAGAATTTCTACATATTGTTAGATTTATAGCCAAGTGTTTCATTTTGGGGGATATTTCTACAAATGGTATTGTGTTTTTAATTTCAAATTATAATTGTTCATTGCTGATATACAAGAAAGTGATTGACTTTTGTGTATTAACCTTGTATCCTATAATCTTGTTATACTTATTAGTTCCAGGAGTTTTTAATTCTCTCAGATTTCCTACATAGACAATCATGTCATCTCAAAGACAGTTTTATTTCTTCTTTCCCAACCTGAACACCTTTTATTTCCTTTTTGTATTTTATTGCATTAGCTAGAACTTCTAGTATGATGTTGAAAAGGAGTGTTAAGAGGGGACATCCTTGCCTTGTCGCTGATCTTAGCATAAAAACTTCTAAGTTTCTCATCATTAAGTGTGATGTTAACTCTAGGTTTTTTTTGTAGATGTTCTTTATGAAGTTGAAGATGTTCCCCCTTTTTCCTAGTTTGCTGAGGGCTTTTTCATGAATGGATGTTAGATTTTTTTTAAATGCTTTTTGTGTATGTATTGACATGATCATGTGATATTTTTTCTTCAGCCTGTTGATGTGAGGGATTACATTAATTCAGGTTTGAATGTTGAATCAGCCTTGCTACCTAGAATAAATCCCACTTGCTTGTAGTATATAATTTTTTTCATACATTGTTGAATTTGATTTGCTAATATTTTTGTTGAGGATTTTTGCATCTATGTTCATAAGAGATCAACATCTTTAGTTTTCTTTTCTTATAATCTCTCTCTGGTTTTGATATTAAGTTAATGCTGGTCTCACAGAATGATTAGGATGTATTCTAATTCTGTCTTCTGGAAGAAATTATACAGAATTGGTATTTGTTCCTTAAATGTTTAGTAGAATTCACCCGTAAAACCATCTGGGCCCAGTGCTGTTTTGGAAGGTTATTCATTATTGATTCCATTTATTTACTAGAATCTTATTCAGATTGTTTGTTTATTCTTGTGTTAGTTTTGTCAATTGGCAATTGTGTCTTTGAAGGAATTGGTCCATATCATCCAGGTTTTCAAATTTGCAGGCATAGATTTGTTCATATATTCTTTTATTATCCATTGAATGCCCATGGGATAGGTAGTGATGCTCCCTCTTTCATGTCTAGTATTAGTCATTTGCATCTTCCCTCTTTTTTCTTAGTTAGCTTGGCTATAGGCTTACTGATTTTATCTGTCTTTTCAAAGAACCAGCTTTTGGTTTTGTTGATTTTCTCCACTGATTTCCTGTTTTCAATTTCATTAATTTCTGCTATAATTTTTATTTTTTTCTACTTCCTTTGGATTTAACTTGCTCTTCTTTGTCCATTTTCTAAGGTAGAAGCTTAGGAGATTGATTTTTACATCTTTCTTCTTTTCTAATATATGCATTCAATGCTATAAATTTTCCTCTAGGCACTGCTTTTACTGTTTCCCATAATTCTTGATCATTTGTGTTTGCATTTGTATTTAGTTCAAAATAATTTTTAATTTCTCAAGATTTCTTTCTTTCTTTTTTTGAGACAAGGTCTCACTCTGTTGCTCAGGCCAGAGTGCAGTGGCACAATCATGGCTTACTGCAGCCTCGACTTCCTGGGCTCAAGTGATCCTCCTGCCTCAGCCTCTGGATATTTCTTCTTTGACCCATGTGTTTTTTAGATTCTATTAGACTTTCTATGTAGATTATAATATCTGCAAATAATGAGTTTTACCTTTTTTGTTCTAATCCATACACCTATTTGTATGTATTAATTTAATTTGAAAATAGTGTGGTGGGATAAAAAAATTAAAACTCAATATGTATTAGATAATTTAAAACTTTATTGAGTGAAAAAAGAAAATGGCATCTGAATTGTTTAAAAAAATGTAACAGCAAAATCAATGTCTGCACAAAAATGATTTTTACAGACACAAATACTAAAATATCCACGTTGATATCTATAAGCCCATTTTCTTGGTGTTTCTCTCTTGACTACTGTGGTTTCTCTCTTGAGTGATAGAAGACCATTCTGAATACTGAGACTTATAAACAACTTATTTGTAGCCCAACAAAGGGATTTATCTGTTCCTGGTTGAGCTCTGGGCCCTGCAGCCACCACAAACCACTTGTGTCAGAATCACTTTGTGTGCTGGCTAAAAATGGCAGATTCCTGGCCTCCCCCAGGACATGATGAATAAGAATCTGTGCTTAGGCTTTGATAAAGAGAAAGACAAAAAGAGAAAGAGAAAGATAAAGAAAAGAGAGAAAGAAAGAAAGAAAGAGGAGAGAGAGAGAATATGAATATCTCTGCTGGTATTACCTGTACATTCATGATTTTAACAAGATCCCCCAGTGGGCCGGGCATGGTGGCTCACACCTATAATTCCAGCACTTTGGGAGGCTGATGTGGGCAGATCACTTGAGGACAGGAGTTCAAGACCAGCCTGGCCCACATAGCGAAACCCTGTCTCTACTAAAAATACAAAAAAAATAGCCAGGCATGGTGGTGTGTGCTTGTAGTTTCAGCTACTCTGGAGGCTAAGGCACAAGAATCGCTTGAACCTGGGAGGCGGAGGTTGAAGTGAGGTGAGATTGCTCCACTATACTCCAGCCTCCAGCCTGGGAAACACAGCAAGACTCTATCTCAAGAAAAAAAAAAAAAAATCCCCTTATGCTTACAACCCTGAAAATCATTATGGCAGGAGGAGGGGACAGAGAATCTGACTTCCAGAAAAAGGGGGTATCATCGACAAAAATCCAGCCCTGATTTCCTGGGATAAGAAGACTAGAAGCCTGGAAGAAAAGTGACTTCCATTCTATGTTCTTTCTTACAACTGCCTTGACATTCTCTATGATACATATATACATGTAAGGAGAGCTCTAAAATGGCCCATAATTTATCTGCCTACCCAGATCAAGCCATTGTACTGGTTTGAGGACAGTTCAAAAAAGTCAGTCAGTGCTATTTCTTTCAGTAGACAGAAGAGCTATTCTCTCATGGACATCATTACTAAAAATTAAGCCTTGGAATTTATCAGGGACTCCTGCCACAATAAGAGAGCCTGGAGAAATAGGAGAGAGATGTGAAGGCAGCAAGTCATTGGCTGTGATTCTACAGAAGAAATATAATGACTTCAGAGCAAAGCAAAACTCCAGGCCCAACACTGCGTCAGTGTTTTCATGTTTCCATTGAAGTACTGTTAGTCTAAAAATCTCAAAAGATGTAAAGAAAAGGACTTATCAGATAATAAACATGATTTCAAAACTCACATAGAATTCTAGTAATTTCTAAAAGTGATAGTATTATAAATATTAGAACTGCCCCCAAAATAGTCACTTAGATATTTAGATTTTTTTTTTAAAGCCTCAGGTACTTCAGAAACAGCTTATACCTGTTATAAAACCTCCCATTTCAACACCTGGAGTCATTATTATGACTGTCATTATAATTAAATAATAAAAATCTCAGTAAAACAAAATTAGAAATTTAAAAATCAGTTTTTTTAAAAAAAGTTTGCTTTGAGAAGATCTTTACTGCACATAACTGAATTCACTTCTATTTGAATAAATAGTAAACACAATAAATATTCATGTGTTGAAAGTCCCTGCAATTCTCAATTAGCAGTCTATAAGGGGTAGAGACTATTATGTCTTTTTACAGCACACATTTATCTTATCTTAAAATTTTAAGCATAATTATTTTCACATATATATATGTGTGTACATATTTGAGACAGAGTCTCACTCTGTCACCCAGGCCAGAGTGCAGTGGCATGATCACAGCTCACTGCTGTTGACTTCCTGGGCTCAAGCAATCCTCCTGCCTTAGCCTCCCAAGTAGCTGCGACTATAGGCGTGTACCACCACGCCCGGTTAGTTTTTTCTGTTTTTTTTGTAGATATGAGTCTCACTATGTTGCCTAGGCTGGTCTCAAACTCCTGGGCTCTCGCAATCCTCCTGCCTTGGCCTCCCAAAGTGAGGTATTACAGGCATGAGCCACTGTGCATAGCCCCGAAATATTTTTAATGTGAGTTATAGAACCTTGCCCCATAAAACCACAGCCTCTCACCCCAAAACACTTCGCTGTGAGACATAATGTGCCTATGAAAGGTATAGTACATCACTAGTTTTAACAGGCTGCTCAAGTACTAATAAAATAATAATTACTTCATCAAAAATGCATTTGGTATATGCTTTAATTTCATGCATGTATAAGATACTCTTTTTACTTTCTACTTTAACACTGAAGGAGGATAGAAAACTTGTAAATGAGTATTTAAAAGCCTGATCCTCTTAAGAACTAAAAGCAGAATCAAGTAACAGTTGGCTTTCATAACCAAATACAGTCATATGCTGGATAACGATGTTTTGGTCAATGATGTACCGCATATACAATGGTGGTCCCAGAAGATTATAAAACCATATTTTTACTGTCCCTTTTCTATGTTTAGATACTTACCATTGTGTTACAATTGCCTACTGTATTCAATACAGTAACATGTTGTACAGATTTGTACCCCAGGACCAACAGGCTATACCAAATAGCCTAGGTGTGTAGTAGGCTATACCATCTAGGTTTGTGGAAGTACATGCTATGATGTTTAATGACAAAATCGCCTAATGACACATTTCTCAGAACATATCTCCATCCTTAAGTGACATATGGCCGTATCACATTGTTAGCTGGTGCGCTCTTATTCTGGTGCGCTCTTATTCTGGTGCACTCTTATTCTTCCTTTCAAGAGAAGATTTTAAAATGCAATGATTACTGTATAAATGATAACTACACCCACTCTCTCAAGGATGGACTCCTGAGAGTGGTCCAAGCCAGGGTTACTGAGTTGTCCAAAGTCACAGTCAGACCAAGGATTGTTTTCCACTAATTACACAGTCTGCACAATCAGAATAGCAGGAGCAACAGTATCAGAGCAAAAGAGAGGCATACAGAATACATTCTAAAGCCATGGCAAAATAAACAAGAAATAATAATAATCCAATAGCTTTCCTCATTAAAGTTTTTTTAAAAACAATCCCAGCATAAAGTTGCAAAGACATTAAATATTGCTTTTAAAAATATAAACAGTTATTGGTGAATTATAGGTCTCAATTAGCTCAAAATAACAGTCTTCAAACATACTACATCTGATCTCAGAATATCCACAGTGTTCCAACTCAGCTACACATTATATTTTCCTCTAAAGTACAGATAAACCTGATAGCTACTTTTTACAACAGCAGAATAAAGATACTGGAGGGTCATCTTCTAATCTGTATTTTCCAGAGTTGGGTAGATCTTTGCATTCTGATATAAATGTACGAAGTTCAGTCTCTGGGAAGCCATCTTGTTGGTATTGCTAAACAGAAGAATGTTAAAAAGCTTTTATTAATAAGCTCCTTGAAAACAGCTTCATTCCAAATTCAAAATGGATCATTTGGCAAGGGAGGGGGTTTTCTAGAGAGATAGTATCGTTACTCCTGAGTACCTGCAAAGGAGATGTAGCCTCTAGAGTCACTCAGGTTTGGCGGAGGTAAAGTGGGCCTGGGATTCTGCAGCTGCCTACCTGAGCTCTCTTTCTGGGTCCACTGAAACCCAAATGGGCACACTGAGTCGAAGTCTGAGTCGTCCTTCCAGGGAGAATTGAGCTAGCCCCATCCCAAGTCCGAGAACCTCTGTCACTACTCTGCCCTGCAGGCCTGTGACTTCCAGACCAGTGTGATGCAGGCATTTTTGAAGGAACATGGTTCAGGCCACAAGAAGCCCAGTGGATCTAAATTAACAAGGTTTTCTAGTAGGCCAAGGGATGGAAATCCCTGGCCTTGCCCAGAACACCTCAGCACAGTCTTGGACTCTCTCGAGTTGGCCCAAGTGTCTGGACAAAGGTCTGAATGCTGTAAGGGACCTTTCCAATCTGCACACCCTTTTGGAGTCAGTCTTCCAGCCAGGCAAGTTTGTTTAAGGGCCTCATATTTATATCGGTTTGGGACCTAAAATTTCTAGGACATGCCATGATTAGAAAGGATCAGAAGTAACTTAGCTTGCCCATTTGGCAAGTGCTCTGAGCCCACGGAAAGAGGTTAGCGTCTAAAATACGAGTTTCAGGCTTATGTCATCAAAGGTGAAAACCCATGTTATCCTTAGAGCTCTCAGATGTCACCCTCGAATAACACACAGTTCTCTGCATGCAGAGTTGGAGGCAGTGAACTTTTAGAGCACCATTTGGAGGGATCTGAAGTTACAACTACATTCTTTCCCAGTTGCCTTGGTGATCCTAAGGACACATCTGCTAAGCAGATGAGAGCAAAGAGGACATTCGGTCCCTGAAATCTTGTTCAGTGAGGATGAAGTCACAGCCCTGGCTTCATGAGCAAAGTATTCATCATTATCAGCTTCAAACCAAGGCGTTCTCTTTATCCCTAGGGCCAATCACATGGCTTCATGTTTCTTTATCCCTCTCATACCCAGAAAGAAAAGTCCCCAAGTGGAAGTGTCTATGCCACAAATACACCTAACAGTATAAGTTATGGAAATTGAAACATATATGGATATTTATTCTGCCTTTCCATATTTCAACAGGCTCAAATTGATTTTTAAAAGATTTTATATGAATGACAATAGCTTTTCAGTTCAGGTATCTGACTGTATAAAGCTACATGCTAGTACTGGACCCATTAATCCTTTTGCTATTCTGGAGGCTGGGCCCCTGGGCTTGTGCCCTGCAGGGCCTTGCAAAGAAAATGGGCTCAGTTACAGTACACTCAAAACAAAGGGGTCAATTTTTCTTTATGAAAATTGGAGTTTTTATGTTCCCCACAATATTTTGGCTTTCTGAAATGCCATATGTTTTATTCACACAATATCTACTAACCCTTATAATTCTTTATTTAGTTTTTTACTCTTTGCCCCCCAGACTTCTAATGACCCTTATAATTCTAATAAAAGGTTAGAAAGCTTGTGTGAGAAAGTATAACTACTTAGAGACTAAGACTTTCAACATTCAATTTTTCCACTAGTTCTATTTATCAATTTCTAAAAATAAGGTCCTTTTTCTCTATCCTGAAGAAATTAACATTCCATCAACTTTTCTTCTACCATTAGGTACTGAATTTTACTGCTACTCTACAAGTTATAGGACAATGCTACTACTTATGGCTCTTGATAAACCTACCTTAATTGTTTCGTATGTATCAGTGATCAGTGCAATGAAAAGACTTAAAATCATATATATAAAGAGGCTGATGAATGAGTAGAGGTAAATTCTACTAAACAGCCAGACTAAGTAACTTTTTTGCTGCATTTTTGCAAACGTGGCAAACATATCATCTCCATTTATCAGAGAGAAAAGGCACTCAGAGACCATGTTCAGAGAACGAAACTGGAAAAAGAAAAGAGAAAAGTTCACTTTATTCCATGTTCCTTCCCATTGGAGACCTTTGTTCATGACATTGTATTAAACATAAAGGGACCAGATAACCCAAGCTACCATTTTCAAACAAATAACCTGAGGTAACCACACACATTTGCTTTGTGATGCATATAACATAAATAAGCCTACTATTTTTTCCTGAGACAAGCAGCTTTCTCTTAAACTAGCCTAAATCAAATGTAGGAGCTGCTCTGCACCCTCAGTGCTTTTTTGAATCAAGCCTTGCATCTGCCCTTTACCTTAAAGAGACCTTGAAATGCCTGTGCAGAGATACCCAGGTCCCAACCATGCATGCTCATACATCTCATTTTAAAGTTCATTTCATTTAAGATAAGAGCATAATATTCCAGACTATAGCTCTAGTAATAAAATTTTCAAATATTTCTACAAGTTTCCCCCTATGCTACTTTTTAAATAATGTCACATTTTGAGAAGGCTTATCTGAAGAGACTGCTTTTGGATATATCGATGAATCAAATTGACTAAACTTGACTTCACTGGTGGTAAACGGGACTTAATTACCTGATATATTGCAAGAAAGAATGTGAGACAGTTGAGTACATCAAATATTCTCTCAAGCTGGTCACACCCTTTCACTTTATAAATATGGCACTAGATATACTACCTTCAACATTTTAAGGCTGAATCACAAAATAAAAGGAGTTCATTGAAAAAGGATAACAAGCCACTGGCACTATGCTAAAAGCTTAATAGTAACAGGAAAAAAGTTGTTTATCAGTACCTTGTCATGGTAAGGCCCCAGCACGATCCATCCACAGAAGCAGTAACCTAAGTAAATCATAGCTGCACAGCAGCAGAACCTGATGACATTGGGCAGCGCTGCCTGAAGGGTCAAAATGAGGAGCTGGGAAAGTAAGAGAGGCCATTAGAATGGTTTTGTCCTTTAGCCAAAGCAGTGCAATAACTTTGAGAGAAATACCAACAGCATGGAGATCCGTGGAATTCCTTACGTTGTACTTTGCAAAGAAACCGAGGTATCGGATGACTCCAAGCCACACGAGCATGGTAGAAGTCCCAAGAAGTATGCTACAGACATCATAACTAGTTAGACTCTAAGAGAGAGTGGAAAAATATAATCAGATTATAAAGCAGAAATTCATTTGGCAATAAATATTGAGGTAAGTATGAGTAAGGCACTGTTTTAGGTGCTAAGGATAAAGCAGTGAACAAACAAAAGTCTCTGCTCTCATAAAGCTTACATTCTAGTGGAGGGAAGAAAGAGACAACAGAAATAAGTTAATAGAAACTTTGGGACACTTGCTGCTGATAATTGCTGAAGAGAAAATTCAGAGGAGGGGATAAGGAATGGGTATGGGTTTGTCATTTTACATACACTAAAAAGAAGGCATTTGAGCAAAGATCTGAAGGGAGGGAGGGAGAAGTCATGCAAAAATCTAGGGGAGAAGCCTTCCAGGCACAGGGACTGGCAAGTGCAAAGGCCCTGAGACAGGAGGGTGCTTGGCAAGGATATTGCATCTGGCTGGAGTGAGCAATAGAAAGGGTATACAGTTATAGAGATAAGGTGGCACTCACCAAGTTTGTCTTTTACTGTAACTCAATTGGGGAGATTTGAGAACCACAAACAGAAGTGATATGATCAGATGTTGGCTGCTGTGGTTGACAGCAGGTTGTTGGAGGAGTGAGGATGCTATTGCAATAATATAAATGAGAGATAGTAGCTTGGACCAGGCTGGTAATAGTGGAGTTGACCAGGTGATTTTTATTCTTTTTTTTTTTTTTTTTTTTTTGGAAACAGGGGTCTCACTCTGTCACCCAGGCTGGAGTGCCGTGGCACAATTGTGGCTCAATGCAGCCTCGACTTCCTGTGCTCAAGAAATCCTCCCACCTTAGCCTCCCAAGTAGCTTGGATTACAGACACATGCCACCTTGACTGCTAATTTTTTTAATTTTTTGTAGAGATGGGGTCTCACTATGTTTCCCAGGCTGGTCTGGAACTCCTGGGCTCAAGCCATCCTCCCGCCTCAGCCTCCCAATGTGCTGGGATTATATGAGTCACAGTGCCTGGCCAATGAAGGTAGAACAATAGGATTTCCTCTTGGATTAGATGTGGGAAAGAAGAGATTAGTGAAAGAGAGGAGTCTGTGATGAATCCAAGATTTTTGGCTTGAGTAACTGATGAGAGTTACCATTAACCGAAATTTGAAAGGCTATGGGAAAAGCAGGTTTTGACTGCAGAGGTGGGGGCTTTAGATGTTCTGTTTTAGGTGTGTTAAATTTGAGAGGAAAAGCAGACATCCAAGTGGAGATATAGACTAAATGGTGGATATGCGAATCTGGAGTTCAGGGAAGAATTCTAAGTGGGGGTATAGATTTGGGAATCATTGGCATATAGATACTAAGCTGTGGGACAGGATGAGATTACCAAGACAGTGGCAGAAAAGAGAAGATGTCCAAGCACTATGCCTTGAAGCATTATCACCTTAATAGGTTGGTGAGATGTGAGGGAACCAGCAAAGTCAGAAGACCAGCCAGTGACTTAGGAGGAAAACCAGGTGATAGTCCATTGAAAGCATGTCAACAAAAAGGGAGTGCTTGGCAGTATTCAAAGCTGCTGCTAGGTCAGCATGAGGGTACATAGTTGGTTATTGGACTTATCAGCATGAGAGGACACTGAAAAGAACACTTTCCTTGGAGTGGCAGGGCAGCCTGATTGGAACAGACACCGAAAGAATGAGATTTTGGGGGGCTGTGAGGTGGGAGGATTGCTTGAGCCCGGGAGTTTGAGGCTGCAGTGAGCTATAATCGCGCCACTGCACTCCAGCCTGGGCAATAGAGTGAAATCCTGTCTCTTAAAAAAAACAGGTGGGGGAGGGGAGGAGCAGAATCAGAAACAACAAGATTAACTACTTTTTTGAGATATTTTACTAAATAAATGATGGTAGTAAGTTAGCGGGAGGAATTAGGGTTGAGATATTATCTCTTAAGAAAAGCGGCAAAAACATGCTAATGGGAATGACCTGGTAGACAGAAGGAAACTGATGATCCCCAAGAGAAGGAAAACTACCTGGAGCTGTGCCCTTGAATAAACAAGTGGTGATGGCCTCTAGTAGGCAGGTGGAGGGGTTGGCCCTGAATAGTGGCCTAAATAATGTATCCACAGAAGAAAAGCACAGTATATTGGCACTGATGGCAGGAGGCAGATAAATTAGGTGGGGGTTTGTGGAAATTCTGTTTTTTTTTTCTATTATTTTTGTGAAATAGGAAGTAAGGTCATCAGCTTAGAATGAGGATAGGACAAGGGTATTAGAGGTTTCAGAAGAGAAGAAAACATGATATGATCATCTATGAGGCAGAGACGGTGAATGGTCTAGAAAGATATTTTGTTGGATACCATTTAGGGTTCACTGAAATTAATGATAGTTGAGGTTGGTAAAAATAAAGATTTGCTGCAAATCTCTCCCCTTACTCCTTTTTTTGTTTTGGTTTTTTATTTGTCCCTAAAGTTAAACATCTATTCCAATGATACATACTATAGCCACATATAGTGGCAGCTGCTAAGTGTCAACCTAAACCCATTCTCCCCTTCCTAGGCACATGCCTGGGCTGTGTTCCCTGGCTCCCTCTGCAGTTAGGATTGACTAAATTCTATCCAGTGGGATATGTACAGAAATAAAGTCGGCCACTCTTGAGCCAAGCCATCAGTCTATGGGAGAGCTTCTACCATACCGTGTTTTTGCTTCCCATAAGCTGCAACCTGTTTGAGGCAACACGGCAATAATCATGCAGTCAGGGCAAGTCCTTAAGGGGTGGCAGAGAAACAAAATGGGAGGAACATGGGTGCCTGAATGACTGTGAGATGTTGAGCTACTCACCAGTCTGTAAAACCCATTCTGACTATTGCATAAGACAGAAATAAGCTCCTATCTTCTCTGAGCCATTGCATTTGGGGTCTCTGCCCAGGTTTATAACCAACTCCCCAGGTGACTCAATCAGTTGCATCAAGACTAGGGAAACATAAGTTTGAGCAAGATTAGTCTGAACACTATTAGTTTTTTTAATGTGATTTTTATTTTGTGGGGACAGTTGATTTTTAGGCTAGGTTAGTCTTAAAATAAATAAGCTTGTAGCACATCAATGGTAAAGTAAGAAAATGGGAGCATTCTCACTTTGAATGGACGGAGGAAACAAATGCAAGCATGCACACCATAGTGCCTTGACCTCACTTTCCCCTATAGCCCCACTCATTTTTGTTAAAGATTCGAGCATTTCTTGTAAGATTAAAAAAAAAAAAAAAACTCTTACCTTAGTTACCTTGGTTGTGTATGAATTTTGGTGTGTGTAAGAATTCACAGGCCCCGCCGAAGAGTCTGAATTCAGTAGGTCTAACATGGTACACTTTACCAGGCACCCAATGATTCTGATGCAATGGTTTGTGGATCACACTTTGAAAAACTCTGCCTAAGAGACCTCCTGACTAGATTTAAGAAAATTACCATTACCAATTTCAAGTCTACTTGATATACAGTTTGGAAGAAACAATTCATTCTGAAAATTCTTACATTCTGGAAAAATACATTACCATTAGTGCAAATCTGACACTAACAATAGCATGATTAGGAAAAAAATTACCTTAGCTTGGATTTCCATTTTTAGAATTGATCCAATGATTGTCAATATGTCACTAATAATAATCATAATGTACCATCCATTGACAAATTCCATTTGATCAGAAACAGAAACTTCCTTCTTATAATGGAGGAGGAAAAAATTGACAAACTCCTTTAGGGAAAAGAGGGGAGGCACAGTGAATGTCTCTGTCAATCAAAATGTCAGTAGCATTCCTAGAAAGCAACGTTCCCTACCTGCTGAAGCTGAAGTCCTCTAATCACAGATCTAATGCAGAGGATTAATGAAACCAAGCAAGTCAGAATGACAAAGGCATCAAAGATCATCATGTAATGAGTGTTCTTCTGAACTGAAAGCAAAGAGGATTACATAGTGCTTATGTAGTGGGACATTAATATGGTGACATCTTCTTTTTAGAATCATTTAAATAATTCAAGCATTCTTTCTGGTAAGACAACAAAGAAGCCCTGATAAACGGTCTTCCAATTAGTATTTGAAGAAGGGCAAAAGTCTTTCTTTTAAAAAATCACCACAACTGAGGCTGGGTGTGGTGGCTCATGCCTGTAATCCCAGCACTTTGGGAGGCCGAGGCAGGCGGATCACAAGGTCAGGAGATCAAGACCATCCTGGCCAATGCGGTGAAACCCTGTCTCTACTAAAAATACAAAAAAATTAGCCGGGCATGGTGGTGAGCGCCTGTAGTCCCAGCTACTTGGGAGGCTGAGGCAGCAGAATGGCGTGGACCTGGAAGGTGGAGTTTGCAGTGAGCCAAGATCATGCCACTGTACTCCAGGCTGGGTGACAGAGCGAGACTCCATCTCAAAAAAAAAAAAAAGAAAAATCACCACAACTATCATTCCAAGATCTTTAATTATAAGCCTGTAGTCTTTTGTTCTTAATACAATTACCTCCCTGCATATTCTTTTTTTTTTTCCTCAGCCTCCCTCGTAGCTGGAACTATAGGTATGCCACCATACCGGGCTAATTTTTAATTTTTTTGTAGAGACAGGGTTTCACTTTGTTGCCATGGTTGGTCTTGAACTCCTGGTCTCAAGTGATCCTCTCACCTCAGCCTCCCAAAGTGCTGAGATTACAGACATGAGCCACCATGCCCAGGCCCATCTCCCTGCATATTCTATTAAAATGTACTTATCTAGGTATAAAATATTTATTATGCATTCACTATGTGTCAGGCATTTTTCTAGATGTTAGGATACAGTGGTGAACAAGATAGACAAGGCCCTTGATCTGTGGAACTTCTATTCTACTACAAAGAAGTAAACAAACACATAACAAAATACTTTCAGATAGGAGTAAGTAATAGAAAGAAGATAAATCACAATAGCTAACATGTATTGAGCACATTTCTTGCCAAACATAGCTCTAAACACTTTATATGTGTTAACCTATTTGATCTTCACAGCAACTCCAATGAGGTAAGCATGATTATCCCCACTTTGCAGGCGAGAAACCTGAAGCACAGAGAGGTCACATGATTTCCCCACAGTTGCAGGGCTAGTCAGTGAAAGAGCTGGGGGAAAATCTGTGCAGTTTGTTTCCAGTGTCCATCACTCTATGTCAGTGGTTCTTGGCATTTTTTGGGAGCTTGTTAGAGATGCACATTCTCAGGTCCTACTCCAGACCCACTGAATCAGAAACTGGGTTTCTGCAAGCCCTCCAGGTGATGCTAAAGTTTGAGACCTACTGCTCTATATGAGGGAGGTTAGTGTCGGGCAATGTGGAAGCAGAGAGGTTGATTTATATTGCATAGTAAAGGAAGGCCTCACTGAGGGAGCAGGGGGTTTTAGCTGAAACCTGAGTGATAAGAAAGAGCCACCCTTATGGAGATTTTGGAGAATCGAAAGTGCGAAGTCCTGGCCACCATGCGTGGAGCCAATGGAGAGAGGTGGGCAGAGGTGTCAGCCATTGTACACTGCCACAGAGCTTGTCTCTATTTAACAAGTTAGACTGCTCTCTGCTGACAAAAAAAAGAAAGTACTTAAAACTAGCTCTGTGATGAAGCATCCCATTAGTATCTGCCAAGGAGCATAATTACTACATAAATGTCTAAATTGACTTTAGAGAAACTTACAAATTAAGAAACAAACATTTGAGAGAATGCCTAGGTGCCAGACACTTGTGTATGCTGTCATTTTCCTCATTCTGGTGTTTGTGGAGAATGATTATAAAGTATACAGATGACAAAACAGGCTTATGTTTCAAATGTGACTCAAGAGCCTCATATATTTGAAGTTACCTATTAGTGAAAAAAATACTATCATGGCAAAATTTCATTTTATTTACTCTATCTCATTATTACGTCTGAACTTGGCAAATCAATTAGTAAGAAACTTTAGAACTGTGATTATCCAAGTATAGTCTGAGTAAGGACTATTTACACATTTCTAGGCCCCACCCCAGACCTACTGGCTTGCATAGAGCTGGGGAAACTGCATCATAGCAGGTACCCAGGATGATTCTTCTGCTGATTAGAATCTGAGAACTCCTCATCTAGCGACCATTAAGTCCAGTACGATGTACCATTATGTCACTTATGAGAGACTAGAAAATTAGATAAATTCTTTCCAGGCAATTCTCTCCAGTTCAGCTCCAAAATTCTTGACAGTATTTGGTCTACACCTGAATTTTTGTCCATATTTCTAAGAGTAGATCCTTTCCTCTTTCAGTACACTTTTAAATGGACTGAAGACAATCATAATATGTGGGATGCTGCAGGGTCACATCCTACCTGACTTGCCCCTGGCTTCTGAGCCTTAGTTTCTTCATCTGTAAAAATAAGGATTCTCCCTATCTTAAGGGCATTTAAAAATATTAAAATGAAGAAAACTAAGGTGGAAGTAGGTACACAGCATGCACTCGGTAAGTGTTGGTCTGGGAAGATGTATGTAGGGTTTTGGTGGCGGGGGACTGTGAGTACATTCTTGGTCAGGAGTGGGCAAGTGAGGGCACAAGGAGAGGAAGGCCATTTCAGTTATTCATGACTCACATATTGCCTGAAACATCAGAGTTGATCTACTTGTAGAGGTTTAGGGACTTGAAAATGGTCTAATCTTCTATTTGTTGTTCTAGATATCCAGAGGGTGCTATTTTAATAACCATTTTACATTATTTAATAACCATTCTGAAAACTAGTAATGCGCATCACTTACTTGATCCAGATACATGCCAGTCTTTACATTCTCTGATGGAAATGTCATTATCTAAACTTATTTTAATTCTTCCACTATGGGCCTTGTTGTCAAATGTTATCTGTGAAGACAGGAAAACAGTCAAAAACATACTTATAGTTTTGGAGCCAAGAAACCTCTACACATTAATTAGGAAACAATTCTTTCAAGGGGACAGGAGACCCAGATTCTCAACTCTGATCTGTTGCTAATTCTGTTCAACCATGGGAAGTTCTCTTCATTTCTCTGTGAAATGAGAACGATGAACTAGATCTTCTACAGAGACCCTGTAGTCTCTAAAACATTATATGTCTAGGGCAGCATTTCCACTCCAAAGAACTTATATAACAAGAGCACTTCCTCTTGCTCTCTGTTCTAAGTACCTCCAGATACCTTCTTCATGTGAGCAAGAACTGGTACAACTGTGCTTTCTCCCAAATTCCGGCAGGACCTCAGTTAGGGGTAGATTTTTAGTGCTGCTATAATTCTTACTAATACAAAGGCTCATTATTTCTGCTTTGAGACATTTCAAGTGGAGCTTTTTTGATTTTTATTCTGGGCCTAGATTTCTTAGTCACGTTGGCACTACATGTATTATAAAGGGTTTGGTGACAGGGAGTCAACAGTCACATCTTGCTTCAAGAATAACCACTTCAGGACACCAGGGGCCAAGCAGGACAAAGCTAGGCCAGAACACCTTCCATAGTTTTCCTACTGTCTTCCTTATGCAAGGACAGGGAAGGCAAGGCAAGAAAATCAATCCGTTTCATTTCTGCCTCTTCTCTTTCTCTCAAGTCCTGAAGAAAAAAAGTTCTTTGAAAACTTTGTCATTTAAATAAATTGTATTGAAGCTTCTCCATATGGGGTAATCAGAAACACTTCAAATATAAGATTTCAAATGACTTTTAAAAGTTCAACCACTGTATTTCTCCTCATGAGGGATTGTAAGCTTCTTTCTTTGACAAGCAACTGAGGGCACAGTCAGTGTCTGCCCATATCCCTAACGGCTGCAAGACCCAGCCTATGGCCTCGTGCAAGGAGGACGCTCAGTGTTACTTGATTGAGTCAGAAATCCTTGCTACGGAGAAGCCATGCTTTTCCTACACAAAGGGCCTCCAACTTGTACAAATAATAGGTGCTCACTAAATATCTATTGAGTAAAAAACTGGGACTTAATGTCAATCACATCTCAGTAAACTGAATCCCAAAGAAAGAAGAAAAATAATGGATGGGATTAGAAAACATTAGATAGCACAGAAGAAAAAACAGTGAATTTGAAAATATAGCAACAGAAAATATCCAAAATGAAACACACTGAAAAAAACTGAGACATAAAACAAACAGATCATTACTGAACTATGGGACAACTCCAAGTAACCAAATACAGACGTTTTTGTCTCTGAATCTCTGAAAAGGTGGGGGGAAGTGACAAATATATTTTAAGAAAATCATGCTGAATAAATATCAAATATAATGACAACTATAAACCTACAGATCCAAGATGCTCAATGAACCTTAAACACAGGAAACATTAAGAAAACACCATCAAAGCATTTCACAATCAAATTGTTTTAAAGTAAGAGATAAAGGAAAAATTTAAAAGCCAACAGATGGGAAATAACATCCCATAGATAAGAACAAAGATAAAGATGACAGCAGATTTCTCATTAGAAATAATGCAAGCTAGAAGCAACATCTTTAAAGTGCTAAAGAAAAAAACAGTCAACCTACAATTCTATAGCCAAGGAAACTACCTTTAGCAAAGGAAGGCTTGGAATAGAATAATGGTTACCAGAGGCTAGAAAGGGTATTGGGGAGGCGTGGGGGATAAATAAGAGTTCGTTAATAGGTATAGAGATACAGTGAGGGCCGGGCACGGTGGCTCATGCCTGTAATTCCAGCACTTTGGGAGGCCGAGGTGGGTGGATCACGAGGTCAAGAGATCAAGACCATCCTGGCCAACATGGTGAAACCCCATCTCTACTAAAAATACAAAAACTAGCTGGGCGTGGTAACGTGTGCCTGTAGTCCCAGCTACTCCGGAGGCTGAGGCAGGAGAATCGCTTGAACCCGGGAGGCAGAGGTTGCAGTGAGCCAAGATCACACCACTGCACTCCAGCCTGGCAATGGAGCGAGAATCCATCTCAAAAAAAAAAAAAAAAATACAGTGAGATGGGAGAAATAAGATCTAGTGTTTAGTAGCACAATATGGCAACTATAGTTAATAATTTATTTTATATTTCAATATAAATAGAGGAGTAGATTTAGAATATTCTCAACATAAAAAAGTGGTAAATATTTGAGGTGGTGAATGTTGTCCCAATTACCCTTATTTCATCATTACACACTGAATGCTGGCATCAAAATATCACCTGTACCCCATAAATACGTATTCGTAAAATTTTTATTTAAAAGATGCTAATAAGAACTTTAAAAAGGAAGGCAAAATACTTTTTTAAACATACAAAAGCTGAAAGTGCAGACCTGCACTGTAAGAAATGTTGCAGGAAGCCCTTCAGGCAGAAGGAAAATAATACCAGATACAAACTGGGAGCTACACACAGAATGAAGCACACTGGAAATGGTAGCTACATGGGCAAATAAAAAAATGTTTTTATTATTATTTAAATCACTTTAAAAGATAATTGACTGTTTAAAGAAAAAATAGGCTGGGCACGGTGGCTCACGCCTGTAATCCCAGCACTTCGGGAGGCTGAGGCAGGTGGATCACGAAGTCAGAAGATCGAGACCATCCTGGCTAACGCGGTGAAACCCCGTCTCTGCTAAAAAAAAATACAAAAAATTAGCCGGGCATGGTGGCGGACGCCTGTGGTCCCAGCTACTCAGGAGGCTGAGGCAGGAGAATGGCGTGAACCCGGGAGGCGGAGCTTGCAGTGAGCCGAGATCGCGCCACTGCACTCCAGCCTAGGTGACAGAGCGAGACTCTGTCTCAAAAAAAGAAGAGAGAGAGAGAGAGAGAGATTAATAACATATATTGTGGGTTTATAACACATGTAGAAATACATTATATGGCCACAATAGCATGAGGGCCAAGATGGGAGAAATGGAAGTACATTGTCGTAAGGTTCTTACACTGTGTGCAGTGGTATAACTTGAAGGTAGACTGTAATAAGTTAAAGATGTATACTACAAACCCCAAACATGGAAACATCCATGGTGAAGACACTAAGTAACAAGAACCCTTGGCAGTAACCTTTAGCTGACAGCCAGCCATAGATTGCTGAGAGCCAACCACACAGAACCTAAAAACACCTATTCCTTTTGGGTTTGAAAATCTATACCAGGCACTGTTCGTGGTACTGGAAATAGTAGTGAACAAAACAAGGTCCCTGCTTTTCTAGAACTTATACAGAGGTGTAGAAGACATAACTAACAAGTAAACTTGTTATTATAGCAAAATAGAGCTAGATGTATCAATGCTTCCCTTATGCACATTCAAGTGAAAACATCCTATATTTTTTTATCACACCGTAATCCAAGGATATGAAACATTACCAGATAAAACAATTTTTCTCCAGACTGGAACCAAATTCAGCCTGGCCCACACTTACAGTCAGAGTAAAGTCATAACAGTCAGGGAGTTCTTGATGACGAACTGTCTGCAGATTAATGGCTTTCAGTTTAAACTGAAGCTCCACTGTTAGGAGTCTAGAAAACAGAGGTGATTTTAGTTCTGTGGCAATATATACGTGCAAACGTAAGTTACACTCCTGTCTGCTCCCCTCACCTGTGGAAGTCCAGTGTTAAGTTCAGTTTATTTTCTGCTGGTGTCCCAATGTGAAAAGGTTCATCTGGCTCCACAAAGAAACACTCTGCCATAGAAAGGAACAAAAACATGATACAGTACTTAAATAAGACTGCATTTTGAAAGGCTGATACATTTAAGACCAGTTATTCAGATTCTATTATTTTTCAGATTCTATTATTTTTCTGAATTAAAATTTTAAAAGCTAAATAAACATTGATACCACATGGTTACCGTGACTCATGTGTTTTTAAGACCTAAGTGGCTACATTTCTGGAGTGGATGGAGGCTAGACAAAGATCTGAACTCTATTTCATTAATGTTATATAAATGCTGTCTTCGTTTTTAAGCCTAGATAAACTTTGAGTCCCTCCCCCTTTTTGTATCCTAAGCATAGGATTTGAAGCACTTGCAGTAATTACAGTAATATTTTCTAAGCAGTTTGAGGGATCTATTTTTAAAATATTATGCACTAACAATGTTTCTTCAATAGACATCCCACACACACACCAAAAAAGGAAGACAGCATTTTAGAAAGTTTTCCCTTTCAGTACTGTTATCAGTATTATCTCTAGAAAAAAAAATCCTAGTGGCTGTTGTTAAAAGTATTTCAATACTTATTTTTTAACTCAATGACCTAAGCTAATATTTTAGGCATAATTGCAAATAGAACTTTGCTAAGAAGAATACGCCATGCTATTCCATGTTCTGATTTTCATTCCTCCCCTTCAATCTACCCCCAAAGATGCATGATAGTGAAGTGGTATTGGGGCAGGAGAGTTTTATATATACCAAGAGTTTGCAAGCATAATGTTTTACAAACATTATATCTATCTATTAATACTTCACTGGCATATCCTGCACAAGAGATGGTGGAATACGATAGCTAAGAACACAAACAGCCTGAGCCCAATTTCAGCACTGCCTCTTCTAGCTCCATCTTTGGCAGATCATTTAACTCTCTGAGCCATAATTTAGTCTTCTATAAAAGGGGATAATAATAATCCTTGACTTGCTGGGTTTCCTTGAGGATTCTTGAGTTATAGTAAAGGGCTCAGAACAGTACCTGACACATAATAACTCGTATATCATTCTTACTATGTCCTAATATCACAGACCAAATCAATGTTTTCAAAGATGAAATTACTAATTTTAAATATAAATTGAGGTGTTAAAAATTGAGGTTCTAGGTTATAGAAGAACATCACCAGTTTCAATTTCTGGATCGATGTCAAAGGTATCATTTCCAGGGTAGATGTTTCCTCGCTTGTAGAAGTGCTGACAGATTGCCATAGCAGATTGCTTGGTACCTTTGTTCTCATAAGCATGATTCCCAACGGAGACATTGTATAGCTGCAAGTACTTCAACCAAAATGAGAAACAGAAAATGGGAATGCCAGCCAGGGCAGGAGTGAAGCCATAACTCCCCTCCCTCCCCACCTCTGATCCTGGCAGGTTCCCTTGGGATAGAGACATTCACTTTGATAAACAGGGTAAGTGACTTGCTGCTGTGCACTAGGAAGGCAAAGGGCACTCACAAATTAGAGTTCTAGATTCAAGCCTCATTTCTGTGACAAACTTTCTGACCTTCTAGTTCCTGATCTGTAAAATTAAAGTCTGAAGCCACATACTCTTTGCATTTCTTTCCTCCCTTAAAGAATTATGTTTAATTCAGGTGATATTCAATGTAAATACATATTTATCTTTAAACTATCTCCTGTAAGGTCAGAGTTCTACTTTAACACTGTAGTATAAGAAGTGGGATACAATTATTATAGGCTAGCCAGCAAAACCTTTTTTAAAGAAAGTATTGGTTTAACCTTTATCTTTGCAAGATTATAATTTAATCACCTTTATACCAATATTGCCTATCCTAGTGGGTCCTCTACATTTAAAAAAATTACTTTTACAAGTAAGAATCTTACGGTGCCTTGGAATAACTGTCATCTTAAATTCTTAATGGATGTCTGCAGACATGTTTCCAAAACAAAGTGTTTTTGGAGCAATATGTCTGGTACAGTTGGTCATTCTGTCACTCTTGAAATGAACAACTTTGTGTGATCGACACATAGAAAATAATTCTGCTAAAAGATATGAGTGAAGCATGCTATGACAAATGAATAAAATAATTTCTAATATGGGATGGATTTTGAGTTGGACCTTGTCAAGGTCACTAATGAGCAGTGTATTACCAAATCTGATGCCTAGTTCTCAGTCCTCCTATAACTTGACATCTCCATGGTATTTGATGCAGTTGAATGCTCCTCCTACACGGAATACTTTCTTTACTTGACTTCTGGGACACTGATTGTTTCTTCTTGGTCTCCTTTGCTGAAATCCTCCCACTGCCAACCTCTATATTTTGGCCTATCTTTGGGTTCAGGCCTTGACCTCTATCCACATTCTCTCCACAGCTGACTTCAACCAGTCCCATATTTCAAATACCACCTCTATGCTGACAGCTTCCAAATTTGCATCTTCAGCTCTGACCTTTCCACTGAATACCACACATGGATGACAATCTGCCTACATGATGCCTATGGTGTCTAAGAGGAATCTCTAGTAAATGGGCAAACAGAAACACCTGCTTCTTCCATAGTAATTCCCTTCTCAATAAATTATTCTGTAAGTCAGTCAGTTGTTCAGGCCAAAACTTAGGAAAGATCCTTTTGTCAATTCCTCTTATACTCCACTTCCAGTCCATCTGAAAGTCATGCATGACTTTCAAATTATCTCTGCAAAAGAATCACTTAAAAATCTGAGCCTCTTCACCACAAATAGGACTGTCTCTCATCACCTTCACTGATATGGCCTCAGTCCAAACCACCATCCTCTCTCCCCTAAAAAATTAAGCCTCTGCCTCTCCAATCCTCCCTCTCACCTTAGTCTAGTCTCCATCTAGAACTCATAGGATTGCTATAAAGAGTGAATGAATTCATGCATGTACAGCTCTTAGAACAGTGATATCCAAAATACACCTGCTCAAGACTCTTGTTTTTACTGTTCTTCCTATCTGGAAGGTTCTTCCTTGAGATAGACACAGGCTGCATGCTCTCTCTTTAGTCTGCTGTCTGCTTACATGTCACCTTGTCAGAGAGACCTTCTCCAACCACCTCCAGCTATTCACTTTGCTGGCTTTGTTTTGTATTTCACAGTACTTATAACAAACTGACAGATGATGCTCTTCTATACTTATTTACTACCTGGCTCTTCCAATGAGAATATGACCTCCTTGACTTTATTTGTTCACTGCAGTACCCTTGCACACACAAAAAGTGCCTGATACATAATAGATACTATTTTTGTTTGTTTTTGTTTTTGAGAGGGAGTCTCGCTCTGTCACCCAGGCTGGAGTGCAGTGGCATGATCTCGGCTCACTGCAACCTCTGCCTCCTGGGTTCAAGCAATTCTCCTGCCTCAGCCTCCTGAGTAGCTGGGAGTACAGGCTCATGCTACCACACCCGGCTAATTTTTTTGTAGAAGTAGAGACAGGGTTTCACCATGTTAGCCAGGAAGTTCTCGATCTCCTGACCTCGTGATCTGCCCACCTCAACCTCCCAAAGTGCTGGGATTACAGGCATGAGCCACCGTACCCAACCAATAGATACTATTTAATAAATATTTGAGTGAATACATGTTAGATTTTGCTTATGTATATTATCATTGTCTCTCCCCTATCAAAAGCCCTTCCATGGCTTCCTGTCTCTCTCAGAATAACATTCAAGGCTCCTTTCCATGTCCTGAGAGACCTGGCCCCCAGCTCCCCTGGCCCTAACTCTGCCCCCTCATACTTGCCTCCCTCGCATTTTCTCAAACATACCAAACGCTTTCCAGCTTCAGGGCCTTCTGTTGCCACGCCTTCAGCTTGAAATATTCTCCCCAAGATTTCAAGTCTTCAGAAAGGCATTTTCTGACCACTCCGAGACTACTGTTATTGCCTTATGCTAGTTTATTTTTCTTCATAGCACTTATCATTACCCTAAACCAAAAGATTTTAGTTAAACTTGTTTAAAATCTATCTCCCCCATTAGAATGCAAGTTCCACAGGACAGGGAATTTATCAATTCACTGCTCTAACACCAGCCCTGCAGGCACACAGTAGGTGCTCAAATATTTGTCAGATTAATGGTGAGGTGAAAAATTATAATAATGCGATGGAGCTCTTCATTACTAGAGCTAATCTGTGCACAGTGAGTTGGTAAACTGTTAGGATAAGATAGGTGATTATGGCACCAAGCTTTCTGTTAGCATTAGGATTGGGAAAGTGAGCCAGAAATCTATGGTAACAGAAGCAAGCTTCCTAAGCTAGTAAACAACATTATGCTTGGCATATAGGGATAAAGTAGAATAATGCTGGAGATACTCAGTTTTGAGATTTTTGTTTTCCATTTAAGGTACCCAGTAGACCAGTGTGCCTAGAACATATGATGTGTAATGGGAGGTAAACTGGGAAAGGCAAGCAGGGGTCACGACGCACAGTCATAGCTGTGATGGGGCCTACAACTCTCCCAGAGTCCAGGTGTAATTGTGGGGCAGTCCCCACAAGAATCACCTAAAGGTCTGAACCTCCTGACCACAGAATCTTGTGTCTTAAACCTTTTAAGTTCTTGAACTGTGAAAGATCTGAGACCCACGGCTGCAGGTACCTGTTCACATTATACCTACATACACCACATAGTTACGTTATATAATATATACATTAACTATATACGCTATAGCCAGACTTCCTTGAGCTCTTCATATGGCTCTTTGTGCAGGTCTGAGCATCTGGCAAGAACTGGGTAATCTAGGGAAGCAGCAGGGCTGTGTCCAGCTAGAGGGCAGCTCTAGAGCCCAAGACAGAGGGTTACGGGACAGAAATGTGGTATGAGATGATGGTTGGAACTAACTGGTGGAACTAACAATGGTGAGACGGCACAGAGCAGCCAAGTGGCTGAGGCCTTGGAGGAGCTTTAATTAGTCTGGGCATCCGTCCCTCCTGGTCTCTGCAGCTCTGCCTTGAGAGAAGGAGTTTTCAGTCAGATTCATGGGTCCCAGGTCAGCCTTTGAGTGGTAATATAAAAACACATTAAATGTCCTTAGCTAAATGCTGTGGCACCAAAAGCAAGAGGTGGTAGGGCAGGGTGGGTAGGAAAGAAAGGAAGCCATCCAGAAACAGGAATTTATAAACTATGTTTGAGCTGCAAGAATAAATGATTCCCGGAAGACCCTGAGGCCTTTCAACCTAAGCCAGAAGACCAGAAGGAAGAAACAGCCTAGGGAGTGGGTGGGAGGAGAATATGAAGCTGCTCTTGGATGGGCAGTTCTGAGGTGCTTGTGAGGTAGGTGTCTGGCAGTGTGGGCAACTGCTTAGGAGTCCCTTCATCATACTGATGGCTGAGGCTGGGTAGTGGAGGACATTTCTGTAGGAAAACGACCAAGCTTTGAGGACTGCTCAAATTTAAGAGGCAGATGAAAGAAAAGGAGCCAATAAAGCTGACCCAAAAATTATTAAAGAAATAAGAGGAAAGCCAGGAGACAGCCTAAAAAGAAAATAAGGTCTCTCACATTCAAATATAGAAACATATATAATAAACAGTAGTGCTGTTATAATCACAGTATTGGATCAGAATGAGCCCTGGAGATTATCCAGTAGGATGACATCTTGGGGCTAAACCCTTGGGGATAACTAATAGTCATGGATATGCTTCTAAGAACTGAGATGCCACTGCCCTATTTGTCAGTTCCTCTCAGTAACAATCACCTCAACTATTAAGTAAAGAAATGCTTTCTTCACAGAAAACAAAGATCCTTCCTGTTTTAATAACAATTTACATTTTGGCCAGGTGCAGTGGCTCACACCTGTAATTCCAGCACTTTGGGAGGCCAAGGCGGGCAGATCACTTGAGGTCAGGAGTTCAAGACCAGTCTGGCTAATATGGCGAAACCCTGCTTCTACTAAAAATACAAAAAAAAATTAGCTGGGGGTAGTGACGGGAGCCTGTAATCCCAGCTACTCAGGAGGCTGAGATGGGAGAATTGCTTGAGCGCAGGAGGCAGAGGTTGCAGTGAGCCAAGATTGCGCCACTGCACTTCAGCCTGGGTGACATGGTGAGACCCTGTCTCAAAAATAAAAAATAAAATAAAAAATAAAAAATATTAACTCACATTTTTTCTATTCATTTCTCAGAAGCCTGAAAGAGAACTGACCTCATTAGACCTCATTAACACTCAAAACCCTACTTATTCATAAAAATTTTGATCAAGACACTTTTTATCTTCAGCTAAAAGTACCTACTGGTGCTTAGAAAAACAGTAAATCATCTTAGAAAACAGTAGGGAATCAACAGTAGGGAGTCATACATGGAATGTATGTGTCCCTCCAAAGTTCTTATGGTGGAAATTAAACCCCAATATGATAGTCTTAAGAGGTGGAGTCTTTAGGAGGTCAACAATCATGAATAGGACTACTGGCCTTATAAAAGGCTGGGAGAAATTAGCCAGGCCATTTTGTCCTTCTGCCTTCCATCATGTAAGAATACAGCAAGAAGGTGCAAGCCATTACCAGTGGTAAGGTAAGTGATCTTGGACTTCCCCGGCTCCGGAATTATTAGGCAGAAATTTCTGTTGTTTGTCTGTTATCTAGTCTCAGGTATTTTGTTGCAGCAGAAGGAACAGACCAAGACAACTAGAATAAAGCAGGTACCTGCATTTCCAGAAGGAATGTGGAAATCTGAAAAAGCAGAATGGCCTAAGTGCCAAATACTACATTTTGAAGACTGAGTCTAGGTCTACGAATAAAGGTTAAGATGATTTATAAGGAATTTAATGCACTTTGGGAGGCTGAGATGGGAGGATCACTTGAGGCCAGGAGTTTGAGCAACCTGGGCAACATAGGGAGACCCTGTCTCTATAAAAAAAATTTTTTTTTAATTAGCCAAGCATGGTGGTGCATGCCTGTGGCCCCAGCTGCTTGGGAGGCTAAGGTGGGAAGATCACTTGTGCCCAGGAGGTTGAGTCTGCAGAGAGCTGTGACTGCACCACTGCACTGCAGCCTGGGTGACAGAGTGAGATCCTGTCTCAAAAAAAAAAAAATTTAATGAACTGTTTACCTCTTGCCTCTATCCCACTCCCCGCCACCCCTCGAAAAACACCAAACTACCAGTTTAGATCAGACTAGCTTTAGAGAAACGTAATATACTTAAAATTCTAAAAACGGAGTATCTCCATCATTATGCCTTCTTCCCCCTACAAGCTGTAGGACATAGTTCTGTTGAACAGTTTATGTAACTTATTTCTATTACTTTAGATTTCTGGCTCATTTTCCCAACCCCAGTGCTAACAGAAAGACTTCATGCCATAAATATGTATTTTATCCTAGCAGTTTACATCTTACTGTGCATAGACTGTCTCTAGAAAATGAATAGCCATGATTATACGATAATAATTTTCTGAAGAAAAATTGTAATAATTTTGAAATGTGTCCTTCAAACTAACCCAGTCTGGGAATGCTGACTTCAAGGACGCTTTCAATGACACCTAGAGATTTAAAAATTTGGGGTCTTGAGAAAAATATATTATTTCTGGCAAAAATATATATTACAAACTCAGAATAAAATACAGCATTCATCTATATGAAAAACAAGCTTGTTTTTTGTTTGGCAGTTAGTCAATGTCACAATAAAATCATTGTCATGTATGACATAAAGGCCTTACTTTCAAGTGAATTTTTAGGTCTTGGTTGCTGTACAAACTATGAAAAGTTAATATTCTCATTATTTGTTAAGAGGCCCTGAAAGTATACTTTCAGCTCTGAGGACTTAATGACTACTTATACCCAGGGTCATAGTTAGTAATTTCAATCTTTGAGACTCCCATGCCAAGCCCTAACTCTGATTCTTTTAATTAAATCTTCAAAGTTTCTGCCTTTCTGTTACTAAACAAAAGCTTTTCTCAACTTCTGGTTTTATAAAAATTTGTTGACAATATTTTTAAAAAATTAAAAATAATTTTGTATGTGTCATTTCCAAGCAGAAATGTTCACCCTTCTCCACTTGAATGTCAGTTTCTATTATGTACATTGCCACCATTTTTCCAGTCTGTTCTTTTTCCCAAGTAAATAATGCACACACTTGATTTACCTGGTTTACTGCGAAGATTAACTGATCATACACGTCACTTTGTGTGTACACTGCATATGTGTCATCCATTCGGTCCATATATCCTTTTAGGAAAAGGTGTTTGAATGCTATAGTATTCTCTTCCTTGAAAGCTACCACCATCTGGTTACTTAGCCCAAATAAGACCAGCTTAAAAGAAAAAAAAGAAAAGGTAAGAGGGTGGAAAATGTGGGCAGAAAAAGCAGAGCAGAAGGTACAGGGGCTTGAACAACAAATAGAAGAGTTTAAAATGAATTCTCTGGGACATCAAGAAGGTTTTGCAGCAGGTGGATAATAAATTAAGAAAGTCCAAGTCCTATGACCAAACTATATTCCTAGGTCTAATCACCAAAACCATGACAGGAAGACCAAAAATAGAAAATACCCTTTCAACTCATGTTTAAATTAAAGTATATTAACATAATGTGTCCTTAATAGTCACGCAGGATTGACCTCAGCATTTTACGTGAAACTCAGTTGTTGACACACACAAAAGGTTTCACTGCACTGTTGTCATATTAACCTAAGGCCTTTCAATTATACCTAAAAGCTTACTATACAGCCGGGCGTGGTGGTTCACGCCTGTAATCCCAGCACTTTGGGAGGCCAAGGCAGGTGGATTACCTTAGGTCAGGAGTTTGAGACCAGCCTGACCAACATGGTGAAACCCCATCTCTACTACAAATAAAAAAGTTAGCCAGGCATGGTGGCGCATGCCTGTAATCCCAGCTACTCAGGAGGCTGAGGCAGGAGAATTGCTTGAACCCGGGAGGCAGAGGTTGCTATGAGCTGAGATTGTGCCATTGTACTCCAGCCTGGGCAATAAGAGCGAAACTACGTCTCAAAAAAAAAAAAAAAAAAAAAGCTTACCATACTCTTAAGTCTCTCTTTTGTCTTCTCTTCCCTCTCATCCAAACCTCTCTCTCTCTCTCACACACACAAATGCACACACAGCACACACAGGCACACACACACACACACACCACATGCTGTACATGCTGTAAATTGAGAAACTACACCCTTACTTAAATCCCAGAGTGAGGCAGAGTATATTTTATATGGAAGGCGGGAACAATGTTGAGCACCTATGTGCCATACACTATTCCAGGAACTTTCCTCATACTAATCCTGCGGTGTATTCCTCATACACCAATTTTAGAGATGAGGCTCAGAGAAGTTACATAGTTTTTTCAAGTCACATCACTAGCCAGTGTTGATACAGTGAAAACTGAAACCCATGTCTGACACACTAAATCTAGGTTCTATCCACCCTGTCATGCTACACAAAGTAATCCAGGGTTTGATCAGAAAAAATACAGCAGACAAATCTTTTCCCCTCTCCCTTCCACATATGATATATGGTCTGCACCCCACACATATCATCACTCTGCACCTAACTCTCTTTTCTGCAGAGCTTCTTTAATTGTCCTCAATAAGATGACATCTTGATATTCTAGGGATTTTGCATCTGTTGAAGCTGATGACCAAACAGCCCCAAAGAATTCCCAAAGATATTCTTACCAGTCATTCAAATACATGAGTACCTCTCCTGTGTCAGCAGTGAGCTAGGGACTGAGGATACAATGAGAAGACAATTGGTCCCTGCCCTCAAAGGTTTAGTGGCAGACAGGAATAACAATGGCTGAGAGAAAACTGCTGTAATTCAGAGAGTAAGCCAGGTAGTGGGAAAAGAGAAATTTTTAGTAGGGTGTCTATCATTGTAAACATCTTTCTTTTGCTGCTGCAGACACAAAATCTCCAGTTTAACAGAAGGACCACCTCATTTTCCCTGAGATAATCTGTCACCATTTGCTCACTTCATTTGCTCAATTACAAAGCTGTCTTTATCTAATATTTGTTTGATTGCTCTGATATAAATTAAGGAAACATCACAATTAAGAAACCCTCAGTTCCTTTTAAAAACTTACCTAAACACCTTTTACATGCTTATTACTAGCAGCCTTAATATCTTAAACCATTGTTCAGTTTTCCCTTGACCACCTTAGTAAACATAGGAAGGTAGATGAGCTCCCTAAAAATTAAGAAGTAATTACGAACATAAATCTTAGAGAAAATAAATCTGAGTTTGAATATCAGTTCTACTCTTCTAGTTTCCTGACTATGACAGGGTCCTTTTCCTTACCAAGACCCTCATTGTTCTCCTCTGTGAAATGAGGATACCACTACCTACCCTCCAACTTGTTTTAAGAATTGAGTATGGGCCGGGCACTGTAGCTCACGCCTGTAATCCCAGCACTTTGGGAGGCCTAGGTGGATGGATCACCTGAGGTCAGAAGTTCAAGAGCAGCCTGGCCAACATGGTGAAACCCCATCTCCACTGAAAATACAAAAATTAGCCGGGCATGGTGGTGTGTGCCTGTAATCCCAGCTACTGAGGAGGCTGAGGCAGGAGAATCGCTTGAACCCGGGAGGCGGAGGTTGCAGTGAGCTGAGATGGCGCCACTGTACTCTAGCCTGGGTGACAGAGTGGGACTCCATCTCAAAAAAAAAAAAAGAATTGAACATGATGACATCTATAAAATGTTTAGCCTGGTATACAGCAAACACTCAAGTGGTACCTATTATTATTCTAAGTAGAAAATATTCATGTTCAATTGATACAGGCTTTTCTCCTTTATAAGAAACTAAACTTTTCACTATTGAGACACACCATATTATCACTCAGAAGTTAAGAATTTCAATTTCAACTTGCCAAGTATTTGGCTGAGAACTGAACATCCATTTTCAGGGTAATATAATAGAGAGAATGCCTGCCTTCAAAGTCTTGATATTGCCACTGACTAGCCATGTGACTTTTTTTTTTTTTTTGAGACAAGGTGTCGCTCTGTCACCCAGGCTGGAGTGCAGTGGTGTGATCACCACACCTGGCTTATTTTTGTATGTTTTACAGAAACAGGTTTTCACCATGTTACCCAGGCTGGTCTGGAACTCTTGAGCTCAAGCAATCCACCCACCTCAGCATCCCAAAGTGCTGGAATTACAGGCATGAGCCACCCTGCCTGGCCAAGCCATGTGACTTTAAAAGAGCTCTACAAACATCAGTTTCCTCTTCTGTAAAATGAGCCAGTAAGAATGTTAGAATTAAATGAAATAATGTACTGGAACAGGGTAGTCACTAAATGTTTGTTTCCCTTGATACAACACCTAGCATTAGAAACAAGCAAGAATTCTACCAACTTCATATGATTGTAAAAATTGCCTTGGTTCCCTAACAATCATAAGTGTTTGTTCTCAATAAGCAGTTAAAATTAGTAATATCCTGTTTTTTTTAATCTCTCCTTCAATACCAATTGTTTATTTACTTAGGCATTTTTCACCAACTTAGGAAGAGTAAGTAATAATAAAAATAAACCTATCACATCTATTTTTCTCACTAAAATCTGCTTCTATTTTGCCCTTTGCTTTTAGCAAGAGATAATTTGACCAACAGGAAAACATATTTTCATAAGAATAAATCACAACCAGTATATATTAAGAATCACAAAATATGGTTCCCCCTTTCCCCCAAAAAAATATTAAAAGCAGCCAAGGAAATGTGATTTAAAAGCTCCCTTTGAACTAAAAAGAGGTCCTGTGTTTCACTAGCTCCTGCCACTCCTCTTCTGTTAGTTAACTTCACATTCTTCCATTGCATGGTTCTCATGATCACAGGGTTGTGAGAATCTAAGAATTTGCCTGTAGCAGGAACCCTTTAAGTTTCTGAAGAGAGAAATTCCCAGGAAACTAACTAGGAAGGAAAAGAAAGTCCTAATGTTGGACAACACTAGTTTCCATGGCTTATTTAGAAACCAGCTGAACCTCTTCATTGGAAGCCAAATATTAGTTTTCTTTTCCTGAAAATTAATTAGATTATGTGACTAAAATTATAACTTAGCGAACGATACAAGAAAAAAACTAAGAAAAAAGAAGACAAACTCTTTCACAAATGTTGAAGACAGAAGGGTCTAAGATTGTATGTTTTCTTATCTGTTACTCTTCAACATTTTGCATATAGTTAAAAGTTATTTAAAAAAAAAACCACTGTCCATAGTTATCTTTGTAATTAAAAGAGGCTTTCACCAAACTCATGATCTGAGATGCTTACCTGGATAGTCACCATTGCAATTTTTAGAATTTGTATGGCAAGTTTCCATGGTTTTCTACCTCGAGCCCAGAACTTCTCACAGGGATTCATGAAAAAAAATTTGAGTTTTCGCCTCATCTGGTCTTCTAATAGAAGCTCCTCAGATGGAGATGTTTGCTGGTTAAAATTGCAGCGATTTTCCTCTTCATGAGAGCTGCAGCTACTCACAACTACCTCAGGATCTGCCATCTCTAGAGGAAAAAAACAACAACAACAACAACCAACATTTCCATTTAGTGAGTAAAGACACAAGTCCATATTCTTTAATATTGCAAGGAGAAGCCCATACAGAAGTCCTGGTTTCAAATAAGCACCATTGCTCTAAACTGCATTTTAGATGTTTACAGAATCAGTTCCAATGTAGGACGTCACTTTTTTATTTGTTTTAATTACAAAGTGAATTTTCACCTAGTTCAAAGTTACCAAATTCAAGGGCTGCTCCCATTAGTAAAAGATTATATGTACATATATATAGGATGTATATGTTTTCTGCCTCACTCAGTATAGTTAGAGGATCAGAGACCTGAGGACCTGGGGGAAGGACTTCAGAGGGTAGGTGGGCCTTGAAGTTATATGAAAACTTTCATATATGTGGCTGTGGACACTTTTTCCTGGGAGGTAACTAAAACTTTCACAGATTATCAAAAAATGTTTAAAACCACCGAGTTAAAGATAGCAGGGTGTAGTGTAAAGAACAAGATTCAGTTTGGTTTCTAATCCTGGTTCCATGACTTGACGTTTCTGCAATCTCAGGGAAATCACTTAGCCCTTCTGAGCCTCAGTTTCCTCTCCAGCAAAATGGGAATAACTACACCTACCCTTCTATGATTGTAGCCAGAATTAAATAGTTATGAGTGTAGAGAGCATTAAATAAAACAGTAAACAAAGCCTTTGCATAGGGTCTAGCGCTAAGCAGACTCACCTACCTAACACCCACAGCAGACAGGGTGGCTTCCTAGAAAGCCAGTAAGGTTCTTAAGGGGCAGTATGAGCCTCAGGAAACATAACTGTTGTACAAAGGGGAAAATGGGCCCTCAATTTAAGCCTAATTCCCAGTCTGTGGCATCGCTTGTAATGACTTTTTATTGAAGGCCTTATATTTATAGCATATTTTCAAAGTACTTCATATCTATTTGGGGGGGGGGGCAGGTACGTTTGAAAAGGGTTGGGTCGGGCTGGTTTTATTGTCTTCAGAATCAGTTTTTTCAAAGTGACGGAGAAGTCACTCTAGAGACTGGGATGGATCTTGGATTTTCCCTCAGACTAAGATTGATATTATACTATGGAAACCTGTTCAAAGTAAAATACCCCAAACAATGAGTAGCGTCCTTCCATACGGAATAGAAAGGCAGGCTTTATTTGACATTTTAATAATAACTTGTACTCAGCAATGAAGAAGGAAAATTGTAACCTGCATTCATACAATATCTTACAAGTCACTGGTTAGATACCATGCTGCTTTCCAAGTCTAGAACCCCACTTTTGATTCCAATTCAAGCATTCTTAGGAAGCCCAACATCTCCGAACAATAGATACTGGCTATAAAGAATAGCATGGGGAAGGTTCTTAAACTCTTGTTAATGAAAAGATTAATAAGGATACTGCTGGATGAATAAACCATAAAACATATTTACTGTATGGCAAATGCAGTACCTTCAAAATGAAATAATTATTATATAACTCATTAAAGTGTGGCTCCTGTGTGCGTGTTAAAATGCCTGTCAAAGCATAAATGCAGTAATTCTTAGGTAAAGGCATAAAGGAAAGAAAAAGTTATTAATAAATTAGGATTTTCACTTAACAGTTTTACTTCCTTCAAAAAGGCAGGATATTTTAACCAGCATTTAAGGAGACTTTATCTATAGGACTTAAAACGCAGATGATTTCATGTTGACCAAAGCTCGCATATGAACACCAACATAATGATGAAGCTGTTAATAAGCATGTTGGTGAGTTGTATATTGACACTAAGCGCTTTCCACTTTGATACAGGGAAAATTAAATTTTAAACAAACTAGCCACACACCATGTACAGTAATCCACAGGAACAAAGAGAAAACAAGCCAACCAGCATATATTCAGCACATCACAACGAGTTGTCCCGGTAGACATTTCATTCACCAGGACCAGATGCTGACCTTGGAAAAGTCAGGTTTACCCAGTCTGAAAAGCCCTTCCGAGGGTGCACTTTTAAAAACTGCAAACTGTCGGGAACCCCAGCAGCTGAAGGAGGTATTCGCAGCCAGCCACCCTTGACATTCACCCGGAGCGCCGGCGCGGGAGGCAGGGTGGGCGAAGGACCCCATCAGGAGAGGCTACCCGACGAAGGGGCCATCCGGAGAGGCTACCGAAGTATCTATCAGGCATGCTCTTAGAAGGAGCAAACGGACACACACAGGTTACCTGTTCCTGGCGGGCAGAGGCTTGATTGGAGTAAGCTGTAGAAAATTGGAGAAAGCCCGGGAGTGTATAAATAGCAAAGGCCTCCCAGTTGGCGACAAAGTTATGCAACCTCGTTTTTTCAGAAGCGCTTTCCCACTTCACCAGACACAAAACTTTAGTCTCTCCAGTCTTCTTTTTTTTTCAAACAAACAAACAACAAGGGTTGACACTTTTGTTGGGTAGTGTGTGCGAGAAAGATCTGCAGGGTTGCAGCGATGTCCCAGAGCGGTCGCTGCCATCCCCGGGCACTGCCGTGGAGCTCAGACGGCCGCAGCCCGGCTGGCGGCTGCTTTCAGCCAGCGCAGCGACCCGGGCCTGAGCCCCCACTTCCAGCCGCCCCCACCTCTAACAGGGGGACAGTCCGCCTTGAAAGGGGCCAGCCGAGCCGCGTCAAGGCCATCTGGAGCCCCGGCCGGCATCCAAGCCTTCCAGCCCAGGGGCTCCGGGCGGGGGTGGCTTCCAGCCCTCTGAGCCCTGGCCACAGGTGGGCGGCGGCCTGGAGGGGGACCGAGGAGCAGAGCACCCCCACCCGCCCAGCCCCGGGCAGGCCCGGCAGGCGCGCTCCTCCACTGACCTGCGGGCGGCTTGGGGGCGGCGCGGAACAGCTGCATCTCGCGCCCAGCTCCAGCCCGCCTGCCCTCCATGGCGCCGACTGCCCGGCCCGGCCTTCCCGCGGCGTCCCCGACAGCTCGCTGCCTCCCGGCCTCCCCGGCCCTCCCTGTGCGCCGCGGGCGCCGTTCCCGCGACACCCGACGCCCCGGGGCAGCGCCCCGCGGGCTCACCTGGGGGACAGCGGGGAGCGGCCGCAGCTCCGGTGTCCGCGGCGAGGGCGCAGGGCGAGTCAGCGAGCGACTCCAGCAGCCTCGAGCCCCGCTCCGCCCAGAGTCAGACGGGAGGAGAGCGCCCCGTCCGCCGCCCGCGCATCCTCCCGCCCCCGCCGCTTTAACTCGTGACCCTACTCCCGGCTCGGGTTCCCGCCGCGCCCTGTCGGGGGCCGCTTTTCAGGAGCACAGGTGGGACGCAGGAGGCCGTCCGGAGGAAGCCGGCGTTGTGCCCGTTCCCTGCCACCCCCACCCTATCACTCCCTTCATTTTCTCCCTGAGCAACCCGCACCGCCCTGCTCGGGTTTGCCAGGTTTGCTCCGGAGCTGCCGCCGGCGCCGGGGGGCCACCCCCTCCTGGCCAAGGCCCCTCAGGTGGTTGCCGGGCTCCGCGGGTGCGGGATCTATAGCGCCTAGCTCCGGTGAGTGTGAGGCCCCGCTGCAGCCTCCCATTCTGATTTTTGCATACAAGGTGAAATCTTGAATGTCTTAGCGTTTCAAGCCTGAACCTTGTTCCCTCCCTGGGTCTTCTAGTTTCAGACAAGTGCTGTGAAATGAGTGGACAGTCGACTAGACTCTTCTGTAGATTGGCGGCTGGGGCAGAAAGAGCCCTGGGAAACTTTTCCAAGAAATGTAAATAGAAATACCTGAAGTAGACTTTGAACCGTAATCTTTTTCTTCATAAATTATCTGTAAATATTAAACCTAATACCCCTTATCAGGATTGGATCAGGAACTTTGGTTAATTTTAATTATAATTACTTTGGATGTGTTCTGATTTTTAATTTTTACTTATTTTTTTTTTTTGGCCACGGGTAAATTTGTAAAGGTCACTGAATTTCCCTACTAGGGTATTCCTGAAATTAGATCGATACCTAGCAAACCTTTTATAAAACCTGTTTTCAAATCCTAAACCAGTATGCATGGATTACTAATAAATTTTTGCAACAGGGTACAAGAATTTTATGCTGTTCCTCAACCTGGATCCCACATACTGTGAACAAGGTAGATACCCAGAAAGGATATAATTGGCACAGTCAATTCTCAAGTGCAATTTGGAAAATATAATGTAATCTTTAATCCCCATATGCCTACACACGATGTAACGCTATCTCCTTACTTGATGGTAAGAGTTTGAAATGCTTGATTGTTCAGGAACAATCTGAACTTTGAAGAGGTTCACAGTCATAAATGATGGCACTTGCTTAACCCTCGTTTTAGCTGAGTTATAAGGACCGGTGAATAGATAAAGCCAGGTTTTGGAGTCAGACAGATGAGGGCCCAAATTCCCTTCTGTGCCACTTATTGGTCTCTAGGGAGTTACTTACCTTCTCTGAACCCCTTTTCTTTTTTATGTGCAATCTGTGAAGTTAGCCGAGAGAAAGGACGAGAGAGAGAGAGAGAGAGGGAGAGAGAGACCGAGAGAGACCGAGACCCAAGTTCAGGCAAGCCTTTATTCAACCTGCCGGCTGCTCCATTACAGACAGAGGAGGCAGCCCTGAGCTTACAAAATGAGGGTTTTATGTGGGGGAGAGAGACCCTGGAGTTGTTTGTTGGTTAACTCTGCCACATATCACCTTGTGACGTTTATGGTACCGGAGGGTGTAGGTAAAGTTTGTTTATACTTCCCACGACCTCCCACTGTGCAGTCCGGATGGTTTGTAATTGGGTTTGCTTTATAGCAGCAAGACCTGATAGGTAAAAGTCTCCTGGCTTCACCGCGGTGCCTAGATAGGGGCTTAGAAATGTAAAAAGGTTTGGGGGAAGAGGAGGGGTGGTACGGAGAGGTTTGCGGGGGTGGGGGGCGGGGGTGTTGGCAGTACCAAGAAGCTTTTTTGGGGTAGCTTGTCCCTAACACAATCTAGCTAATAAAAGGAATGGTGATTTTTAATTAATATGATACATGTAAAGCACCCATTACTATATGAGGCATATGTGATGTGCTTATAAATGCTGATTCCCCCTTTTATTTGGAAAACTTAATGAAAATATCAACCATGTTCATAAATTACAAGACTCAGTATTATTAAGATGTCAGTTTTCACCAAGTTCATTTATAGATTCAACCCAATCTCAATGAAAATTCTAGCAAACTGTTTTGTAGAAATTGACAACCTGATTCTAAAATTCCTATGGAAGCAAATGCAAAGAATCCAGAATAACCAAAGCAATTTTTTAAAAGAAAGATAAAACTGGAGGATTTATCCTACCTATATCTATAAAGCTATTTAAGCTAAACAACTTGGTACTGGTGAAGACAGACATATAGACTACACATAGGCAATGGAACAAAATAGAATCCAGAAATAGATTCACACATATATGGTCAATTGATTTCTGACAAAGATGTTAAAACAATGTAAAGGGGAATATTAAACCTTAACAATCAACATAATGATGTTACTGGCTTAAAGGAATATATTGAAACCAAATCAAAAGAAAGACAGGAAACGCTGACATCAAAGGTTTACATAAACATTCCTGGAAAGCAAGAGAGGAGTGCATAAAAGAGAAGCGGTAAAGATCTTATCAGTCAATCTTGCTTTTAACTTTTACAATGTTATAAGTTTGTGTTTCTGGACTTGTCAGTGAGTCATTCTTGTAAATAAACATCAATACATTTATAGTCATAGAATACATTTGTTTTTGTTTTTGTTTTTTGAAACAGGGTCTAGCTCTATTGCCCAGGCTGGAGTACAGTTGCTCGATCTCAGCTCACTGCAACCTCTGCGTCCCGGGCTCAAGTGATTCTCCTGCCTCAGCCTCCCGAGTAGCTGGGATTACAGGCACATGCCACCATGCCCACCTAATTTTTGTATTTTTAGTAGAGATGCAGTTTCACCATGTTGGCCAGGCTGGTCTTGAACTCCTGACCTTAGGTGATCCACCCACGTCGGCCTCCCGAAGTGCTGGGATTATAGGCATGAGCCACCCCACCTGGCCTCAACATATGTTTCTATGTAATGCTTTTGTTGTTGCTAGAATATCCAAATGGTATCTTACTATTATAACACATTTTGGTGGACGACTGACTACGTATACAACACTTCTCATAAGATTATAACAGAGTTGAAAAACTCCTATCACCTAGTGATGTAATAATGTCACCGCAATAACGTTGTAGAGCAATGCGTTATCCACCTATTTGTGGGGATGCTGGTGTAAATAAACTACTACTGCACTGCCAGTCTATAAAAGTGTAGAACATACAGTTATGTGCAGTACATAATACTTGACAATGATAATAAGCAACCATGTGATTGGCTTACATATTTACTATACTATTATCATTATTTTAGAGTATACTTCTGCTTGAAAAAAAAAAGCCAGCTGTCAAATAGCCTCAGGATGATTTCCAGAAGAAGATTGTGTTATCATAGGAGATGACACTTCCATGCCTGTTATTACCCCTGGACATCTTCCAGTGAGATAAGATGTGGAGGTAGAAGACAGTGATATTGTTAATCCTGACCTTGTGTAAGCCTATGCTAATGTCTGTGTTTTTGTCTTAGTTTTTAACAAAAAAAAGTTTTAAAACATTGAAAAATAGAAAGAAGCTTGTAGAATAAGGATATAAATAAAATATTTTTGTATAGCTGTACAATATGTTTGTGTTTTAAGCTGTGTTATTACAAAAGAAAGTTTACTCATTTTAAAAGTTTGGCCAGGCACGGTGGCTCACGCCTGTAATCCCAGCACTTTGGGAGGCCAAGGTGGGTGGATCACAAGGTCAGGAGTTCAAGACCAGCCTGGCCAATATGGCGAAACCCTGTCTCTACTAAAAATACAAAAATTAGCCGGGCTTGGTGGTGGGTGCCTGTAGTTCCAGCTACTCTGGAGGCTGAGGCAGGAGAATCACTTGAACCCAGGAGGCGGAGGTTGCAGTGAGCCAAGATTGCACCACTGTACTCCAACCTGGGTGACAGAGGGAGACTCCGTCTCAAACAAAAATAAAATAAAAATAAAATAAATAAAAGTTCATACCATTTCCATTGTGCAATGAAAAATAAATAAATGAATAAATAATTTAAAATTTTAGGCCAGGAGAGGTGGCTTATCCCTGTTTATCCCAGCACTTGAGAGGCCAAGGTGGGAGGCCTGCTTGAGTCCAGGAGATCGAGACCAGCCTGAGCAACATTGGGAGACCCCATCTCTACAAAAATTTTTAAAAATATCCAAGGATGATGGCATGTGCCTGTAGTCCCAGCTACTCTGGAGGCTGAGGTGGGAGAATCACTGTGTCCAGGAGGTCGAGGCTGCAGTGAGCCATGATTGTGCCACTGCACTCTAGCCTGGGCGACAGAGCAAGACCCTGTCTCAAAAATAAAAAGTTTATAAAGTAAAAAACTTACAGTAAGCTAACATTAATTTATTATTAAAGGAAGAAAAATGTTTAAAATAAATTTAGTGTAGTCTAAGTGTACATGTTTATAATTTATGGTAGTGTACAGTAATGACCTAGGCCTTCACGTTCACTCACTGCTTACCTACTGACTCACCCAGAGCAACTTCCACTCCTGCAAGCTTCATTCATGGTAAGTCTCCTATACAGGTGTACCATTTTTAATCTTTTTTTTTTTTTTTTTGAGACAGAGTCTCGCTCTGTTGCCCACGCTGGAGTGCAGTGGCACGATCTCAGCTCTGCAAGCTCCGCCTCCCAGGTTCACGCCATTCTCCTGCCTCAGCCTCCCAAGTAGCTGGGATTACAGCCACCTGCCACCACGCCTGGCTAATTTTTTGTATTTTTAGTAGAGACGGGGTTTCACCGTGTTAGCCAGGATGGTCTTGATCTCCTGACCTTGTGATCCACCCGTCTCAGCCTCCCAAAGTGCTGGGATTACAGGCGTGAGCCACCGCGCCCGGCCCCCATTTTTAATCTTTTATATCATATTTTGACTGTACCTTTTCTATATTTAGATATGTTTACATACACAAATACTAAACACTGTGTTCCAGATGCCTACAGTATTCAGTAAGGTAGCATGCTGTACAGGTTTGTAGCCTGGGAATAATAGGCTACGCTATATAGCCTCGGTGTATAGAAAGCTATCCCATCTACGTTTGTGTAAGTACACTCTATGATGTTCATACAACGACAAAATTACCTAACAATGCACTTGTTACGACATATCCCCATCATTAAGCTATGCATAACTGTATTTGAATACCCAATCTTGTTTTCTGCATTTTCCATAGTTTGAATATTCACTGAAGGGTTTAGTTCTTTGTAAAACAAAATATTTTTTTTGTTAAAAAAGTAAACGAGCTTATATAAAGCAACAGATACCCCAACGTCCAATCTGATAATACTTTGGAAGCACGTTTAACAAGTGAACTGACATGAAGTGCAAAATGAGAGAAATTTTCTCTCATCTGGAATATCTGTCACAAAGCAAAGATGAAATCTATCAGATAAGGAAATTGTTTTATGTGTTTTAAATTGTCACTTGAAGAATTATTTTTTAATTAAAATTTAGAATTTTTTATTTAGAATTTATTTTGCATTGATGCTTCCTTCCTTTAATGATTTTTACTATGAAATATCTATGACAGGTAGTGATCATTATCATATATAATCAAATATATACTGTTCTTCAGTATGTTGGCTGATAATAATAATCATGCTTTTATTATCTTTTTTAAACCAAAATAAACCTCTGAAACTTTTAGTATAATCCTAGCACAGAAAAGATTCAGTTTATTGTTATGGTTACTCATTATGTTTTTAAAACATGTAAAGTGTTATGAAAACTACAAAATAACTTATGATTTCAAGAATTCCAATTTTTTGCTCCTGAATCTCAAGCCAATAGATCTCTATGACATTCTTCATATCTGCTGGGTGAAAGGGAGCTTTTTTCACTCCTTATCTTCGCATTCAAAATTCCTATCTGTTTTAGAATAACAGCTCAGCTGAAAATGTCAGGTAGCCTGGGTATTAAATCACACATTTGTAAACCCAAAATACTTTTTACGTTTCTGTCTTCTTACATCCGTACCATTCATCTTTCTCCCCTTAATTTCTTCTTTTTCTCTCAACAAAATTTTTATTTATTTAACACATACATATTTAGCGAGTATTTATTGAGGACTCCTATTTTTCAGTAATGGTATTAGATACTGCCAATGAAAATATTAATAAAATATAGTTGCTGTTCTTAAGGATCTTACAGTCTAGAAGATGATTTTTTAATTTTGAGAAAATTTCAAATACAGAAAAGTACAAAAATAACAATACATTAATGCCATTCAATACCCACAACCCCCCAAATTGAACAAATTTTATATTTTCTTTTGTTTTTGGCCTTCCTAATTTATGAGGAATAAAGCATTATAAAGTTAACCAACTGATACGGTTTGGCTGTGTCTCCACCCAGATCTCATCTTGAATTGTAATCCCCATAATCCCCACATGTCAACGGAGAGACCCTGTGGGAGGTGATTGGACCATGTGGGCGGTTTCCCCCAGGCTGTTCTCATGATAGTGAGTGAGTTCTCAGGAGATCTGATGTTTTTATAAGTTTTTGACAGTTCCTCCTTCACACACTCACACTCTCCTGCCGCCTTGTGAAGAAGATGCCTGCTTCTTCTGCCATGATTATAAGTTTCCTGAGGCCTCCCCAGCTATGTGAAACTGTGAGTCAATTAAACTTACTTTGTTTATAAATTACCCAGTCTCAGGTAGTATCTTTGTAGCAGTGTGAGAATGGACTAATACACCAACCCTCTGCAAGTGCAACCTTCTATCATGAATTGGTGTGAATCATTTCAGTCCATTTGTAATACTTTTCTTGAATATATGTTCCCATTATATATAGGAATCATTCATGCATGTTTTTGTTTACAAAGATAGCATTGCTCTGTACCTAATCTTTATCACTTACCTTACCAGTTTGTCTTAAGCTATATCCATCCAAGTTTATTTTAGCAGCTGTATGCCATTTTATTGATTATACCATATCATTCTATGCATTTTACTGCTGATGGACATTTAGGTTTCTGCCATCTTTTGCCATTACAAAAAACAAAAAAAATTCAGCAGTGAACATCCATGAATCATTTCCTTATGCACGTGTGTAAAATTTTCTCTAGGGTAAATATCCAGAAGTAGAATTGCTAGATTATAGGAGGTATTCATTTTTAGTTAATATATACTGCCAAATTACTCTCCAAGGTGGTTGTTCCAAATCCTTTAATGAACATTTGTGGCATACCTTCTATATGCCAACATAGACTTAGACACTGGGACAGGAGGAGTAAGCACGGCAAAAATCCCTGCCCTTGTAGAGTTCACATTTTAGTGGACAAAAACAGTCAAACATAAGTACATAGTGTGTTAGAAGGTGATAAATATTATGAGTAAAAATAAAACGGAGAAAGGAGAATGAGGAAGGCTGAGAAGTTGGCATTTTAAAAAGAGTGGAGAGTAGGCCTCACTGAGAAGTTAACATCTTAGCAAAAACTTGAAGGATATCTTGTTTAAGTTCTCCAGGCAGAGGGAACAGCCAATGCAAAAGAGGAGATGCCTACCTAGTGTGTTTGAGTAACCTCAAGGACACCAGTGTGTCTGCAGTGGTGTGAGCTGCAGGGAGTAATGGTAGGAAATGAAGCTTGTAACAGGAACCAGGTTATGCTGGACCTTGGCCATTGTGAGGACCTTGGCTTTTAAATGGAATGAAATTGGAGCTGTTGGAGGGTATTGAGCAGAAGACTGACATGATATGACTTGTTTTAAAAGTGCATCCCTCTGACTGCAATGTTGAAAATATATCCTAAAAGTATGAAGGATGGAAGAAGAGGTGTGAAGTATGACTCTTAAGTTTGTGCAAAGTGACCCTGAAGATGAAATTGCCATCAGCTAAGATGAAAAAGATGGCAGGAGGAGCAGGTATCTGGGGAGAACCAGCAGTTCAGTTTTTAGTGTGTTTTTGAGATGTCTGTAAAGTGCTTCTCAGACTATCTGTTAAAGGGTTAGTTGACTTGGTTTTGTTTTCATTTCTTTCACAGACTAATAATTCTGTAAAATTACAACATAAATAAATTGCTAAAAGAATGAAATAAGGACGTTTGTAATACGAATCTCAATTTTGTTCATACATAACATAAAGTTACTGTGTCAATTTGCTAAAAAGTTTTTAAACACCCAATTTCAGTACTACTTTTATTGCAGCTGGGTAACAATTATTTCATAAACTAGTGGTCTAGTAGCAAATATTTCCTGGCTGGCATTGAAGGAAAGGCCAGGCTTTAGATAACTATGTATTAAACATCCAAGTGGAAATGTCTCGTAGACAGTTGGATACTCAAATCTACTTTTAATAGTCACCAAAGGACAGAAGTAATGTCTATACATTCATTTTGAACAGAATTTTGATTAATTCTGGTTCCACAGCTATTCATTGAGAATATGCCACATTTGAAGCACTATCTGGTTTTTCATGGCAATGCTATGAGGAAGGGACAGATTAAAATCTGTGGGCAATCTGGACAGGCTAGTAATTTGGTATCTGTTCATACTAATACCCCTTAAAAATGTGTTCACTGTTTTTCTAGTGGAAATAGGGAAAAACTGATTTTTGTTAATAAACATATATATTCTTTCTTTACATTTGAAACAACTTATTAAAAACACACTTTTCCAAACTAGACAACTTTTGGGGAGAGTGCTGAACTATTCAAAATATAAGTATCAGGCCGGGCACAGTGGCTCATGCCCATAATCCCATCACTTTGGGAAGCCAAGCCAGGCAGATCACTTGAGGTCAGGAGTTCAAGACCAGGCTGGCCAAAATGGTGAAACCCCATCTCTACTAAAAATACAAAAAAATTAGCTGGACGTGGTGGCACACACCTATAATCCCAGCTACTCAGGAGGCTGAGGCACAAGAATCGCTTGAACTTGGGAGGCTGAGGTTGCAGTGAGCCAAGATCATGCCACTGCTCTCCAGCCTGGGTGACAAAGCAAGACTCCATCTTGAAAAAATTAAATCAAAATGTAGGTATCAACGCAGGCTGAACTCAGGAATGGGAGTATTGCCTTTTGGTTGACCCTCATGATTGGTACTTTTACATGGCAAAATTTTTCAACATAGATTTTATTTCATATCTGAAGCTATTTGGTTGAGAGAAGAATACATTTATGTCTCTCCTGGCATGTAAAAATTTCCCTATGGAAACCCAAACTAACTGACAACCTATTCACAATTCACTACAGGGAAGTTTGGTATCTTTTGAAGAATGCCCCTTAGGGCAGCATTGGTTGCCCTCACCCTTAGTTGTTCAATGTGGTTGCTCTTGCCCTTTATCTGGCCTGGCTCTGATGAAAGCATTATCATCTCAAATTTTGCAGATGAGATTTAGAGAGTTTAATAACTTGTCTAATGCCACCTATGCAGAAAGTGACAAATTTAGGCTTCAACATAATTTCCTTACTTTAAATACAATATTTGAGTGACTTCACTTTAAAAAATATTTAAGTGCTCTAATGACAATAAAAATTATACATGTAGAACTGATATTCACTGGCTTTTAATGCTTTATGATATTGTAGGACTGTCACTACCATACAATGATTCTCCCACCACCAACTATTTCTGGGTGTAGAGAGTTAAGTCTCAGCCATACTGACAAGTAAGTCCACTCTGCTACCACATGGCCCTGTTTTTACCTCCACAGCTCTTGCTTTGGCCCTTCTGGAGATATCTACTGCCTGAAGACTGCAGATGAGTGCTAGAGCCCTGCCTTCTCTTATGGGAAGGACCAGCAATTCTGGAGCCACATGGGGCCTGTGTCCTCCTTAGTCCCCAGTAGACTCAAGCTATTCTGTGCAGTTAAGAATGCCTTTCTCCTGACTTTAATGTTGTATAGATCCTAATTTCTCATTGATGTTCTAGTCCATTTTTTTTTCTAGAATTGCCAAAATTGGCCCTTTCTTCCAACAGCTAAATCTTTGTCCCAGGGTCAGGCTTTTTTGTCTCTTTTTCTCCTTTCTGAAGCTGAGTACTCTTCAGATGATTCTCACTTCCTCATGCAATAGGTTGTGGTAGTTTCCCCAAGTGCTTGGAAAATATGTAGTAATCCCAGCAGTTTAGGGCTCAAACAAGAACATTTCTCCCTTCCAGACATAAAATAGGGTCCTCCACGCCTAGTTTCTGAGCTAACTTTTTAAAAAAATCCATAAAAAGAATGAGTCACTCACCAAAATAACTAGTAAAAATCTACCTCATATCAATTTATCAGATTGTCCTTTTGTAAACCCAATCTGAAACTTATCAAGATGTCCTTAAAGAATCAGAGAAATATTTTCAATTATGACTTCTTGACTCTTTAGATGTTCACTCAATCAATAAAACTAAAACTAATTTTTACATATCTTCAAGTTTCAGGGAAATTCAATTCAACCTCCCCTGGAAAAGCATGGACACATTCACTAGCTACCATGATGATATTTCATTTCTGACCACTCCCATGAAAGAACAGATGGTCAATCAATCATGAATTTGTAACATGAAGAAATTTCTAAACATTTCCAATTTAACTTTTAACTTTCTTGGTATTGTGACTTATGACTCATTCCATCAAATGGACATCCTCTTGGCATGTCTCTAAAGAAAAGATGACAGAAGGCCTTGGTGTCTCAGCCAGATCACAAGGTTATATAATTCTTACTTCCTTAAATCTGACCGTGAAGGATTATAATTTTTTTTAAGGAAAGCAAATTATTTGGAAAAATACAAAGAAGCTTCTGTTAGAGTTTCTTTTAGATTTACTTCCAAGAATAGTAAATCAATTACATAATTAAATATATGTTTTATTAAATACCTATGTCCAGCCGGCCATGGCGGCTCACATCTGTAATCCCAGCACTTTGGGACACCAAGGCTTGGGCCCAGAAGTTCAAGACCAGCCTGGGCAACATAGTGAGATCCCCACTCTAAACAACAATAACAAACCAAAATCTATGTTTGACATTATATCACAGTGTGATATAAAGGATATAAAGGAAATATAAAGTAATGAGACACCATCCCTGCCTTAAAGTCTAGAGGGGGAGACATCTATCTAAACAAGCTATTGCAACACAATGTAATACTTGCTATAATGGAAAAATAGAGGAAAGAGTGTCTAATTCTACCGAGTGCCTGTATGGCTGGACAGAGAAGGTGACATTTGAGTTGGGTCTTGAAAAATAAATAGTCATTTACCAAGTAATGAGGATGAAGAAAGGCATTACAGATGGAGGCAGAGGTAGAAGTGGTGGCACCTGGATGAGCAGACACACAGTTGTAACCCAGCACAGCACAGGGGACCAGTCAGGAGCTGTGTAACCAGAGCTCTGGCTCTCAACCTGAGACCCACACACTCCTGGACCTGCACAGCAGTATGTCAGGGGCTGTGCAAAACCACAGGATGAGCATGTCACAGTTGCCTAAGGTTTCTTTGTGTTTATTCAGTTTTCTGTCAATTTTAGTTAATAGTGGCTTTAGACATTTTTTTAAAAATTGAAACAAACACGAATCCATTGCAAAGCCAAATGCAAAAACTTCATAAATTCTTTATATGAAACAAATATGTCTCAGTTGCAGAAGTCTATTTCATGTTATAAACCTTCTTTCCATCAACCTACTACTCACTCCTGGCCCCTGTGATTTCCTGCTCCTTGGCTGTTAAGGGTCTTCAGTTAAGAAGCACTGGACTAAAATGTGGGTTGGGCTGGGGACAGAGGCAGGAAATGAGGTTAGAAAAATAACTAATTACCTTCCAGATTTATTTCCAGTGTCTTTCAGAACCCTGTTTATACAGGGTTTCATATGCCAGATTGAGCATATTTAAGCAGGGTGACGTCAGGATTCAAACTATGGAAAATTATGTGGCAACTTGGCAAATAAATTAGAGGGAAAGAGATAGAACAAGTCAAAAGACTATTGCTACCGTCTAGGTGAGAGATAAGGCATATCTGAAATAAGGCAGAGGCAGAGGATGGCTAAGAGAAAATGGATTATTTGAGAGACAATTAAGAAAGAAAAATGACAGAACTTAAATGATATGTTGACTGTGGGCAGTAGAAGAGGAGTCAAGGATGACTTTCAGATTTCGTTTTGCAACTGATGGACAATGATACTATTACCTAGGGTAGAAAATAAAGAAGGAAAAAAAGTTTCTGAAAGATAATGAGTTGACTTTGGCTCTGCTAAGTTGTGGTGCTATGGTCATTCATTCATTCACTACATTTAATCTTTATTTAGCATCTATTAAACAACATGAACTGAACTACACAGGTAGTTGGAAATGTCCAGTAGCTAGAGGAAATTCAGGTATGGAATTTAAGAGATATGTTAGGCTGAGAATGTAGAAATGGAAGTCCAGTGTGTTTAGTGGTGATGGCTGAAGCTAAGGGGAATATATGATGCCGACGCCACCAGGAGAGTGCGAAGAGTGACAAAAGAAGACTCAAGACTGAGCCCAGGGGAAAACGAATCTTCCACTTCCTGGGAGTGGACAAGCTGGAAAAAAGTTGTCAGAATGTTTAGATAATACCTCTTTTTTAGTTTTTTTCCTTCATAATTTGTATTGTAAAATTCATTTGAATTTTGTGAACACAAATTCTTCAGAAATTTGAAAGAATCTATATAATCTTTCTGCACATAACGTAAAAATCTTCATTCAGGATCCTTAAAGTCTCATATGTTATAAATGATTAGCCTCTTCTCAATTAAAGATTTTATTTAAATTGGGTGTAAAAATTAATTTAGACCAATTACAGAAGTCAATTACATTGCTTTATTAAATTCTGCCAGTTTACAAATTAGGAAGTTATTATTATTATTATTTTTTAAGACGGACCCTCGCTCTGTCGCCCAGGCTGGAGTGCAGTGGTGCGATCTTGGCTCCCAGGTTCAAGCGATTCTCCTGCCTCAGCCTTCTGAGTCGCTGGGACTTACAGGTGCACGCCACCACGCCTGGCTAATTTTTTTGTATTTTTAGTAGAGACGGGGTTTCACCGTGTTAGCCAGGATAGTCTCGATCTCCTGACCTCGTGATCTGCCTTCCTCAGCCTCCCAAAGTGCTGGGATTACAGGCATGAGCCACCGCAGCAGCCCCCTGAACTCTCATATGTTATAAATGATCAGCCTTTTCTCAATTAAAGATTTTATTTAAATTAGGTGTGAAAATTTATTTACACCAATTACAGCAGTCAATTACATTACTTTATTAAATTCTGCCACTTTACAAATTAGACAGTTATAATTATTTTTTAAGGGAAAGGAGGAGAACAGTGTTCAGAGAGTTGAGCGTCACTGTATGAATCCCACCGGACTCCTAATCACAGATAAAATGAACCTTGGGTTACTCACGGATTCAAGTTTCTTCCCCGGAGACTCATATTTACAGCTTGAGTCAAATTCTAAACAAAAGTTATTCTGGCAAGAAGGAAATGTAACCCATTAGGGTTCTGGGGCGCCCACGACAACCAGTGGGGCGCAGCTTCCTCTCCACTCCCTAGGAGGGCCCAGCTCGCTGCAGGGGGTGGGCAGGAAAGCTGCCCGAAAGGATTCTGAGCGGGCAGCCTCCTTAACATTTTCTCTCCTGGTTCCTAGGGTCCACACCCCAGAAAGATTCTTCTCTGGCTGAGATTGCGGTGGGTGTGAGGCATGGACCGAGCCTGTTAGACCTGGGGTCAGGCCGGGCCACTGTCATTAATATACTTAAGACACAAAACTCTTTCCTTGGTAGTGGAAAGCTGCTGGCCTCACCCGGTTCGCGTTGAGTGACGTCACATAGTGGCAACCAATCACAAGTCTGCTTTGAAAGATACTGTTAGGGAGCGGACACTGTATTGGTAGAGATGCTCTGTCAGTCTCGCAGAGGACTCGCCTCTTTTCTCTTAGCGACAGATGCGTCCTGGCAACAGTCGGCAGAGTTGCTGCGGTTTGTGCCCTTGCGATTTCTTTTTCTGAGAGAGGAGAGTCAAACTCCCACCTCCAGCTCTCGAAGGAGCTTTTCCTGAGGGCACTGCAAAGAGGCTCCTTTTCTTTCAGATCAGCAGTATCAGGTAAGAGAAGCTCTGAATGGGAAAGGCGGCTTGGAAAACAAGTATTTTACTCACTCTTTCAAGGGTATTTGAACACTCGCTGTGTCAGCAATGTGCTAGGCTAGTGGCAGTGAAGACTACAAAAAACACAAGTCTTTCCCTGCTTTCAAAGAGCTTCCAGCCTCGTGAGGGAAACAAAAATAGCAACGAGAGAGCAGTTAACGACACTCTAAGAACTTTAAGGGCATGTACTGTCTTGTTCCCATGTTATATATACCCAGTGACTATCATATTGCCTAGTACATAGTAGGAACTCAATAAACCATGAATGAGTCAGTTAATGAATGAATGAATGAATGAATGAATGAATGAATGCCAAAACAGCATGATTCTGATTATCCGTCTAGGGGCGGGGGTCAAACAATAAAAGATTAATGTGGGCTGAAATAGATTACTTCAGGACTGTTTAGAAAGGGCTAGAGTAGATAAACAGTGAGGAAGATGAACAGGGAACACAAACTCTTTGAAAGTAAGGACATTGTCTTATTCCCCTAGTGACTAGTTTACCCAGTACCTAATTGCTGCGCAATACTTTCTCCTTCTTCTTGTGTATGGTGAATGCTAAATGAATTCACAGCAATCTTTTAGGAAGCTCAGAGTTTGAAGCCCTCTGCCTTTGCAGAGGCCTGACATAAGTAATTACACATAGTATGACTGGAAAGTGTCAGGGAGAACAAGATTGTTTCAGCCTGAGTGAGGAAGTCAGGGAGGCTTTCGGCTTTGGGGGAAAAGTTCATAATTGCCTTGAATGATGAGAAAGATTGAAGCAAGCAGAGAGATGCCTGCATGGTGTGGACCAGGAGCAGCAGGAGGGGTGGGAGGGAAGGGGATTCTCCAGAGAGGGAGGTGGGAAAGTCCTCGACTGTTTGGGAATGAATGGAAACCGTGTGAGGCTGGAATAGAACTGGAAAGGTTGACGCAGTGAGGCACACTGTGAAAGTACTGAAGGCCATACTTATGTGAGTTCAGACTCTATTTTGTTTTGCAAAATCTGGTGTATAGACCACCAGTGCAAGACTGTCTCACAATGCTTTTAAAAATGCGGAGTCCCAGGCTCAACCCAGACCAGCAAAATCAAAGGAGGTCCAGGAAATTTGCATTTCAAATGAGCTCCATTTCTACAATCTGGAAGAGAATGCTACTGTGAATGATAGGGACCCATAAAAAGTCATTATACAGGGAAGAGACTTGATAAGAGATGCATTTTTGGAGAGCTCTGAGGTTGGCCTCTTGAGTAGTTGTTCTGGTTAGAACAGAGGCAGAGAGGCCAGTTAAGTGTCCATGATCTAGGGCAGAGGATTCAGGGAGGAGAATCTGTGGATTTTTTTAATTACATATTTATTTTCACTAACCACCAATTGAAATGTATTCAATTGGTAACAAACCACAGTAGTACTCACAGGCCTGTGACTTTGTTAGTAACTCTTTTCATATTACATTAAAGAGATTGTAAATATATTATTTATACTCATCATTACCTCACAATTAAGGTAGTTATTAGAACCACAGCTAGATTTTGTTATTTAACGTGTTAATAAAGTACAAATTATTTTATCATAATTTAAAAAATATTTTAATAACTATATTTCCATATAATCTGTCTTCTTTGTAATCCCATGTTTTTATTTGATGCATGGGCTTCACCAGGCTGCCAAAGGTTCATGGCACAAAACAGGGTTGGAGCTCCAGTTTTGGAGGACATGTTAAAGACCTGAACCAGAGGAGGCTGTGGGAGAGAAGGGCTTGGAATTCAGAAGATATTTGGAAGGGAGAAGTAATAGGATAGCATCTACTCAAATAAGTGAATATCCAATCTTGGAAAGAAGTGGAAATAGGTATGGAAGGAAGGAAACAAGAGTATAGACTAATAGACATTGTAGGAATAGTTGTCTCTAGGGGTGGATGTTGTATACTTGCCAAAATATGGCTGAAGGACCCAGGAGAATCTTGAAGTTTAATCAGGGTCTTAGTGAAGATTTACTGAGAATCAATAGTTCTTGCAGACGCATTTACCAGAGGCCCAAGATGTTAGTCTTGGGTTTTATTCTAAATCAATGTTTGTTTGTTTGTTTGTTTGTTTGTTTTAAAGATATCCCTGGAGAGGTACCTCACGTCTATAATTCCAGCATTTTGGGAGGCCGAGGCAGGAGGATTGCTTGAGGCCAGGAGTTCTAGACCAGCCTGGGCAACGAAGCCAGACCTCACCTCTTAAAAATAAAATAAAAAGCTGGGTGCAGTGACTCACGCCTGTAATCCCAGCACTTTGGGAGGCCGAGGCAGGCAGATCACCTGAGGTCAGGAGTTCAAGACCAGCCTGGCCAACATGGCAAAACCCCATCTCTACTAAAAAATAAAAAATTAGCTGGGCATGTTGGTGGACACCTGTAATCCCAGCTACTTGGGAGGCTGAGGCAGGAGAATCGCTTGAACCCGGGAGGCGGAGGTTGCAATGAGCTGAGATTACGCCATTGCACTCCAGCCTGGGTGACAGAGCAAGACTCTGTCTCAATTTAAATAAATAAATAAATGTAGAAAGATGGAAACAAGCATTATGAGCTTATAAATTATTTGGGAAGAGGAAAGAGGATGATGACCACCTAGATGAGGTCAGCTAATTGAAGAAGACCTGGGAAGATAAGACTTTCGTAAGGAAGAACCCAGTTAAAGAGAAGGTGCCAGTGCTACAAGTCCTTTCATAATCAAGATCTCTTGGCTGGGAATAAGCCACACATACACACAGGCAACAAATGAGAGCATGTAAACAGGTGTGTGCTATCAACCTAGATAGCAAGCAGAGAGGGGGACTCTCTAAAATAAAATGTTTATTTGAGAATAGGCATTAACAATGGGAAGATGCATGCGGTAGTAAACTATATGTATATTCAGGGAGATAAAAGGACACAAACGTTTTTAAAGGAAAAATGAGGAGGATTATGTCATTGTCTTCAGATAGTTATCCTTGGCTACAGAATCAGTGACAAGGGTGGCACCAGTCTGAGGTTGGACAGGCAGTTCCTGGGCAGATATCCTTGCAGAAGTATTTGTGTGTGTGTGTGTAGAGTGGCAATGGCCTTTATGCAAGTTTGTGATTCTGTATAGTCTTTTGTGATAGTTCTTGTTATCAGGCATTTGTGACATATACTCCCTTCATGGCCTTCCCTAGCTGTGTTTGTCTGAGTTTTTAACACAAGTGGCTCCATGCTGATTCTGACAACTTTCACAATGCATTGCATGAATAAAGTGAAGAGAGGAGATTAATAGCTGTTTAAATCACTGTATTATGACAATTTAATTTATGTTACTTATGCCTTCATCTATAGTAGTTCACCTCCTGAATAATAGAAGCATCATAAAAGGATATAGTCATGGGCAAGTTGGAGAGTTAGTTTGGAAGCAGATCGTAGACAGCTGTGAATGCAGGGTTCCTCGTAATCAAGTGGTGCACCATCACAGGTTTTGATCTGTTATGCAGGGGACTTACCCAATACACACTTTTGTCAACCTCTAATGTCTCTTGTTGTTAACGTAGAATCTAGAAAATGTGACCTTTGTGCATTGATGGCAAAAGGTGTTCTGAAATGGGTAAATTAATTTACAAAGAAAATAAGTAGTTTAAATATCAAGAATATTTTTAATAAAAATGCTTAAACATTTCTAAGTGTTACCTTCCAAAATTTCTATTTTGAAATACACTCAGCTCTAGTGGTTTGAAAACCAGTCAAAACACAAGCCACTGGGTTAGGCACAACATTGATTTTAGGAGTAGACGAATTATCTCTTCTGCTACTCTTTTTTTTTTTTTTTTTTTTTTTTTTGAGATGGAGTCTTGCTCTGTTGCCCAGGCTGGAGTGCAGTGGCATGACCTCGGCTCACTGCAAGCTCCGTCTGCCTCCTGAGTTCACACCATTCTCCTGTCTCAGCCTCCCGAGTAGCTGAGACTACAGGCGCCTGCCACCACGCCTGGATAATTTTTTTGTATTTTTAATAGAGACGGGGGTTTCACTGTGTTAGCCAGGATGGTCTTGATCTCCTGACCTCATGATCTGCCCGCCTCGGCCTCCCAAAGTTTTGGGATTACAGGCGTGAGCCACTGCACCTGGCCTCTTCTGCGACTCTTAATAATTACAAATTGATTTCAGCTGGGAACAGAAAAAATGTTATGCATATTTCAAAGTAAACTTAGACTAAAGTAGGATTGGATATTGAAAATTTTTTCATAAGCTTTTAATATGCAACTTAATAGAAAAAAGTTTGTTAAATATAACACATTTATGAAATATTCAATTAATTTTATGAAAAAAACTTCAGTAAGCCCTGCTATAATTTGAAAGTAATATCTTTGTTGGGGATTTGTTTTTAAAAAGAAAGATCTACATAAAAAATAAACCTTGAATAAATGTGTTTATTGAAATTATAAAAAGTGTATTATTCATTTGGTTTCGATACCCCCAATTAAAAGTTATTTATTTTCTAGACATAATGTTGGTAGGATTTTCATTATTTACAATTACTAAAATAAACTGCAAAATTTTGCCTGAAACTGAAATACAATATAAGGTGGCTACTCCCAAAGTAATCATTTTCCTTTCAGTTTAGACTATATTCACCGGGCTCTCTTCAGCTTATAAATGTTTCTATCGATGGTGCCTAGAAATGTAGATATTATGCTTTTTAGTGAAGAAGAATTAAGACCCCTAAAAGCCTTTAGAACAACCTGGTCACTAGTACCTGGTCACTAGTCACTCTGCCCTTAGTCACTAGTCAGTAATTTAGACAGAAGTCAATTAACATTTGTGAAAGTAGTAAATGAGCTGTTCAGGTAAGGCAGCTTGCATTAATGCACATTCCAATTTTGGTGCCTAATTTATTGCCAAAAATTTGACTTTGTTTTTCCCTGAAAACTGGAAACTCAAATTATCTACAGAGTATTTAATAGCAGCGTTTGAAAAGAACAGGACACTTGTTTACTTTGATTGTTTGGGGGATGATTGTAAACTGATACCTGTATTCAAGTTTAATTCTACGGCAGCACTTCTTAATTCCTGGAACCTGTGGATATGTTACCATATATGGCAAAGAAGTAAAGTCACAGATGAAATTAAGATCAGCGGAACTTAACATAGGGAGATTATCCTGGATTATCTAGGTAGGCCCAGTGTAGTCACAAGGGTCCTTAAAAGTGAAAGACAAAGAAGAGGTTAGAGTATGCTATGTGAGACTTAACTCTCCCTTCTGACTTTGAAGTTGGAGGTTGGGGGCCACAAACCAAGAAGTGCTGGTGGGCTCTAGAGATTGGAAAAGGCAAGAAAGCAGATTCTCTCTTAGAGGCTCTGGAAAGAAAGGAATGCAGCCCCACTGACTCTGGTTTAAGTCCAGTGAGACCTGTGTCAGATATCTGAACTACAAAGCTGTAAGATAATAGATTTGTGTAGTTTTAAGTCACAAAATTTGTGGTAATTTGTTACAGCATTAAGAGAAAACTAATACAGCATGACTATAGAGTATTCCACAGACCATTAGGTAGAAGCCTTTTGTTTAGACTGGAAATTCATAGGCTAAGCATGGCAGAAGGGAAGGAGGACCAAGGAGTTATTAATCTAACTTTTTTTTTTTTTTAGTATGTTCACTGTGCTAGTTACAGGGATTACAAAAATTGGAAAGAAAATACAATCCCCATGCTCACAGAGTTTATAGTCTAGTTTGCAGTCTAACTTCATATACCTTCAGTTGAACTCCTGAACTTCTCTTTCAAATCTGCTGTTCCCATGGGATCTCCATCTCAATAAATAGCAACTCCATGCTTTCAATTTCTTAGGCAAAATTCATTGATGTTATCCTTCTCATAAGCGATATGTTCAAGTCACCAGTGAATCTTATTGGGTCTACTTAACAAAAATACCCAGAATCCAGTCACTTTTCCCATATCACTTTCACCTGCCTGATCTAAGCACCCTCATCTCTCCCATGGATTTTTAAATGTCTCGCAGCTGGATTTCCTGCTTCAGCCTTTTCCTTGCTGCAGTCTTTTCTCAACACAGCAGTCATATTGATCCTTAAATTGTGGGACAGATGGAGTAAAGTAACTTCTCAGCTCAAAACCATCCAATAGCTCTCCACCTCATTCAGAGTGAAAGCCAAGGTCCTAATACACGACCTAGCCCCCCTTGTGGTATATTATATAGCTGTTTCCAATTATATCATTCCCAGCCACTACCTCCCGTACCTGTAAGAGGATCATACATTCCCACCTTCTGCCAATCAGGCAGAGAATCCCTCCCCCATTATCAGGATTGACTTACTTGCTTAGGCCAATAGAATGTGAACAGGAGGCACAACATGTCAGTGCCAAGGAGAAAGTTAGGAAGCATTATGTAGTTCCATTAGCTCTCTTGCTTTTTTCTCTGCTGTGAAAGTGGTATGTGTGAAATAAGGCCTGCTTCTTCAGCCTGGATCCCGGAATAAGAAGACTTGCAGCAGCTCATCCACACCACAGTGCATAGCATGAGAAGAAATAAATGTTTGTTACCGTATGTCACTGAGATGTAGGGGTCATTTGTTACTGCAGCAAAGCTGACTAATATATCCCTGTCACCTTTCTGACCAGCTTTGCCTGTAGTCTTTCCCTGACTCTGCTCCAGCCATCATGACCTTCTTGCTGTTTTCTTAAATATGCCAGGCATGATCCTTCCCCAGAACCTTTAAACATACTGTTCCCTCCACCTGAAAATACTCTTCCTCTCCCAGATATCTGTGTTTCTTGCTTTCTCCTTTTTCAGATCTTTGTTCCAATGTCCAGTTCCTTTTCTTACCTTATTTTTCTCCTTAGTAGTTCTTAAAATACTAGTTATATTTTCCTCCTTTATTTGTTTATTTGTTCTGTCTTCCCCTAGAATGTGAGCTTGCACAAGGGGTTTTGCCTATTTTGTTCACTGCTGTATCCCTAACACCTAGGATAGCATCTGGTGCAGCATAGTCACTCAATATATATATGTGGAATAAATAGTGGTGGTGGTGATGGTGTGTGCGTGGGGTGAGGCTAAGTGGTGTGAAGAGTTTTTCACCATGTTGGCCAGGTTGATCTCGAACTCCTGACCTCGCGATCCACCCACCTCGGCCTCCCAAAATGCTGGGATTACAGCCATGAGCGTGCCACATACTCCAGCCTGGGCGACAGAGCAAGACTCTGTCTTGGGGAAAAAAAGAAAGTTTTTCAAGTATTTTACATCAAACTAAAATGCAGCTGGGATAGCATATGGAGAAGGGGTACATTGATAAGGAATCTTCTGAAAAAAAGGAATAGATGAAAGATTTGAAATTATGCTAAGACTGGGAAGTGATATGGAGGACATTTGACAGTCTAAAGAGTTGAGTCAGATCCATTCATTGCAGAATATCTTAAAAATAGAAATTGTCAGAATCATAAAATATTGATTAGATAATAAAATCCTGCTTTTTAGCTGGGCGCGGTGGCTCATGCCTGTAATCCCAGCACTTTGGGAGGCCGAGGCGGGTGGATCACCAGGTCAGGAGTTCGAGACCAGCCTGGCCAATATGGTGAAGCCCCGTCTCTACTAAAAATACAAAAATTAGCCGGGCGTGCTGGCGTGCACCTGTAGTCCCAGCTACTTGGGAGGCTGAGGCAGGAGAATCGCTTGAACCTGGGAAGCGGAGGTTGCGGTGAGCTGAGACCGCGCCACTGCACTCCAGCCTGGGCAACAGAGTGAAACTCTGTCTCAAAAAAAATAAAATAAAATAAAAATTCCTGCCTTCCTAGGTAAAGTCAATGATTTAAAATAGTTTCATTTGCAATGAAACACAGCAGTTATCATTGAAATCCAAGGGATCATCTAGTACAGAGGTTAAGAATGTGGCTATTGGAGCCAGGCTGCTTGGGCTCACAGCCTGACACCACTGCCTATTGCGCTCTGTGTCCCTTCAGGAGAGTCACCTGAACCTCTTGGGGCCTCGTTTTTCTCATTATAAAATGGAGATGAAGATAATAGTAATAATAAAATGTGGTTATCTAGTATTCAATAGTACAGTAGGAAAATTATAGTTAACCATAATCCATTGCATATTTCAAAATGCTAGAAGAATTGTAATGTTCCCAACACAAAGATAAATGTTTCAGATGATGGATAATCCCAGTTATGCTGATTTGACCATTATACATTGTATACATGTATCAAAGTATCACATGTACCCCCAAATATGCACAACTATTATATGTCAATAAAAATGTTTTAATGTGGTTAAGATTAAATTAAAAACACAAGTAAAGTACTTGGAACTGTGCTTGGCACATAGTAAGCACTTCACAAATGTGAGCTATTATTTTTATCATTTAAAAAAAATTCATATGAGAAAATCTAAAGGGAAGATGTTTACACAGGAACACAGACACACTCACATCCACACTTTGGACAAGATTTTGTGATCCAGCATCTAGGAATAAAATAAAACTTGTGATATTTTGACCATGGGCTATGAAATAATAGTCTGTGTTGATTTGTTAAAGTGACGCAAACCAGTCAGAGATGATTGAGTTGATTGATGACACTTTATTTCATTAAGTCTTCACAATCACCTTGTGGGGTAGATTTTATTATTATCCCCATTAAATAGATGAATAAACTGAGACTTAGAGAAGGTAAGTAATTTGCCCAAGGTTACTCAGCTGGAAGAAGTAGAGCCTGTTTAAAAACTCTGCTGGCCAGGCTCCTGCAGTCACACTCCTAACCATTTAAACAGAATGGGACAAAGGTGAGCATGGCGGAGATGACAAGGATTTGATGTCATGGTGATGACCTTGGCCAGTGTTCTGTCCTGTCAAAATTGATAAGCAGTTCCATGGAAAACTTTTGGAGGCATTCTCTCTGATAGGCCAAATAAGGCCTTAGTGGTTTTGTGTTCACATGCTGAGATAAAAGTATGAGCTCAATTACGTTAATTTAAAAATTATATATGCATATGCACACTGTGGGCCTGTCACTCCCAGTGGCCTATCTTGTCTTTGTAGCTGGGCTACCTGTTGGGAAGCCCAGCAAAAGGCAGCACAGAGCAGCTACCTGGCATGGGAACTTCAGTGAGAGGCGGGGAAGCCAAGTCCTCTGTCGTGCTTCCATGGCAGGACCTATGGCTGAGACTTTGTTCTGGCAGGTCACCACGGTGCGCTTCAGCTAAATGGCTCCACCAGAACAGTAAGATCTCATCAGTAAGATTGTTGTTGCAATAAGCCTTTGTCACAGAACACCCGTTCTATGAAGATACAGGTTGATTTAGCCCAGGGTAAATCTTAGAAAACATATTCTTATGTTTATTAAATGATAATGTTTAGTATTTGAAATTGTAAGTTGTTTGCAAATTGTAACAATTTACTAATAATATCATCTCTTTATGCAGCCCAAGTCAGAACCATGGCTCCAAAACAAAAGAAAAAGACATCACGTGGCAAAAAAAGACTAAAACCAGTATTAGCTGGTAGGAATATTTCTTCATTGAATGGGATTTTTTGTGGAGTATTTGTGTATATATTAGCAGCAAAATGATTATGGTTTTACATATCAAATGAAATAAAATATTTCTGTGACATAAAGTCAAATGTATGAGGAATAAGATATATGGAGATTCATTCTTACTTTTGACTAATTTCATTATGATACCAATTAGATGCGATATAATGAATGCTGTAGTAAACATGTCACTAAGAGATAACAGTGTGAAAGACAATTATTCAGATTTTCTCTGTTTAATTATTCACAAGATAGTTTAAGTCTTCATTGTATATTTGCACTTATATTTTGTGTTTTGAGGTTTGGTAAAGATTATAGTAAACTGGCTGGGCGCGGTGGTTCACGCCTGTAATCCCAGCACTTTGGGAGGCCGAGGCGGTTGGATCACGAGGTCAGGAGTTCGAGACCAGCCTGACCAACATGGTGAAACCCCGTCTCTACTAAAAATACACAAATTAGCCAGGCGTGGTGGCACGCGCCTGTAATCCCAGCTACTCAGGAGGCTGAGGCAGGAGAATCACTTGAACCCGGGAGGCAGAGGTTGCAATGAGCAGAGATCGCGCCACTGCACTCCAGCCTGGGCAACAGACTGAGACTCCATCTCAAAAAAAAAAAAAGAAAAATAAAAAAAAGATTGGCCGGGCACAGTGGCTCACGCCTGTAATCCCAGCACTTTGGGAGGCCAAGGTGGACGGATCACAAGGTCAGGAGATGGAGACCATCCTGGTTGACACGGTGAAACCCCGTCTCTACTAAAAATACAAAAAATTAGCCGGGTGTGGTGGCGGGCGCCTCTAGTCCCAGCTACTCGGGAGGCTGAGGCAGGAGAATGGCGTGAACCCAGGATGTGGTGCTTGCAGTGAGCTGAGATAGCGCCACTGCCCTCCAGCCTGGGCGACAGAGCAAGACTCCGTCTCAAAAAAAAAAAAAAAAAAAAGAAGAAATAAAAGATTATAATAAATTGAGATGTATTTGATTCAAAAATGTAAATTTGACTTCCTTTTATTATATTCTAGCTAGTGAAGACATGGAACCAGTAAATATGGAGAGCATGGGTAAGTGGAAATATAATTTACAACTTACATCCTCAGTTTTATAATATTTTAATAATGCAATAAGCAAGCAGGAATACTACAAACTGAAGTGATCAATCAAAATGTACATGGGCTAAAATTATACCATTCCATTTAGAATATAAAATGAAAAATTTTTAAAAGAAAAAATAGAAGTAGAGAATTTCAAACTGAGAAATAAACTTCAACCAAGCAGTTAGTTAAAAATGCATTATATGATTATTGAAAGGCCTTTTATAACTATAAAGTGTTATAAGCCTGCAACTTATGACTTTTATCAGATAAGTATTTTTTCAAACTTTTGCTCATAGGTAATATTTATCTGTACTTCACGCTAAGATGCCACTATTTCAAGGAAAGAGGCTGGTTTTTAAGCAAATAACTAGAACTTAGACAACTAAACTAATGTTGTTCCTACATGTAAAGGCTAAATAATCTTACAACAAGACTTCTTTTGGTGGGATGGAGGGGGAACCTCTCCCTTAGAGTTGACTTAGATGACACGCTTCACTTTTAGAAACAGAAAGGAGACAATGAGGGGGGCAAGGAGGAAGACCTAAAAGCCCTGTAGGCCACTGTAAAGATTTTGTCTTTTAATCGTATGGAATGAGGAAATATTGGTAGTATTTAAGCAAAGGGTGACTCCATCTGACATGTTTTTAAAGGGTCAGGTCATCCTGGCTACTGTGTAGCAAATTGCAGGAGCAAGGACTGAAGCAGAGAGACTAGTTAGGAAGTTTTTCCAACAATCCAGGGGAAAGATGGTGATGACCTGGGCCAGGGCAGTAGAGGGGGCAGAGGTGTGGAGTGTGGAGGTGGGGAGAAAGTGGGAGAATGTCAGCTAATGTAAGTGGCTCTGTTATCAGCACCCAGCACAGTGCCTGCAGCAGGATATGCTGCCCAATAAATATTTATTGAGTTAGTGAAACCTGGGAGTCATCTTTAATTTCTTTCTTTCTCTCCCTCCACACCTCCCTACCCCTTTCAAACCACCCCAACTTATGTGAATTCCACCTGTTTTAAAATATATCTCAAACCCATCTGCTTCATATTATCTTCCCACCTGCAACCTTAGTCCAAACCTCCGCACTCCTCACATCGGTTAGTTCCCAAGGCTCCTATTTGATATCACTGCTTCCACTCAGCCTCCTTCTGTCCATTTGGCGCACAGCAGCCCAACCATGCTTAAACTCCTCTTTCTTGCTTAAACTCCCCCATAGTCTTTCTTTGCCATTGGGCACAACTTGCAGTGGTCCTGGCTCCTGTGCTCAAGTGGTCCTGACCTTGTTTCCTCCTCCTCTTCGCCAACCTACAGCCCATCAGCCTTGCTTAGCACAGAATGTTCCAAATTTATTCCAGCCTCAGGGCCATTGCTTTTGCTGTCCCTGATGCATAGATAGATCTTCCCTTTATGCAACTTTCTCTTTCTTATCATTGAGATCTAGACTACCATCTCACTTCCTCAAGAGACTTTCCTTGACCTCTGTGTCACCTATTACCTTGTTTAATTGCTTTCATAGCACTTAAAATCCTGAAGTTAAAGTACAGTCAATTCTCGTTCGTGTATTCTATACAGTCCCTTTGAATACTGAATTAGCCAATACTGGACTATTGCTCCTAGGGGAAACACAGGGTTAGGTTCCTGTGAGCTTCTGTTCACATTTTCATTAACTAGTCAATACATAACCTTGTTTTATGTGTATTTCTGTTTAAAGACTCCTTATTTAATGTATATTGTTGATTCCTTAACACTGAACTCATGGCCAAATCATGGCAAACAGCACTATAACTCATTACTGAATAAATAAATGAGTGAATGAGTTGTGTTCCCTCTTGCTCCTATCTAAATAGACCACCACAGCTACCCTTCTTAGTTCCATCTCTCATCCTGTTTTCTCCCAGATAGCACTTATCACAATTTGTATTTACTTATTTTTGTTTTTTATTTATTTTCTTCTTTTTTTGTAGAGATGGGTTCTTGTTATGTTGCCCAGGCTGTCTTGAACTCCTGGGCTCAAGGGATCCTCTTGCCTTGGCCTCCCAAAGTGCTGGGATTACAGGTGTGAGCTACCATGCCCAGCCCAGTTTGTATCTATGAGTGTACTTCATTGTTTATTATCTGTCTCTCTGTCTAGATTGGATACCCTGGCACTAGCATCATGCTTTTCACATAGTGGGTGCTCAGTAAATATTTCTTAACTAAATGAATTGACTGGTAAGAAAATCTATGAACCTGATAAAGGGGCACAGTTTGAGATGTATTCATTGAAAGTAAATGAACTGAAAAATAGGAATATGTTTGCTTAAGGGAAAGAAAAAACCAACCTCAGAACATTATGGTGAGACAAGTGTAGGTTTTGAGTTAGCATCCCCTTCTCCTCAAGCCTCTTTCTACCCCCAGACTCCCCTCAGGTAGCATCAGGACCCCTCTGACTTCCTCATGGTGGGCCCTGACCTTGCCAACTGTTAATCAGGGCTGATGGCTGTCATGCTCCAAGAAACTGAGATCCCTTTTTCTAACAAGGAGCCAAGGTATCAATAGGCTAACTAAAAAACTGTCAGTCCTAAGGGCCTAACAAGGCAATGCCCAGAGGTTTCTGGAGAATAAATATAATTTTTACACATAGCTAATATTTGTGGAGCAATGACTTTCTGCCAGGCCCACTCTTCTTATTGCCTTAGCTCTATAAAGTAGGCATTATCAAGGCCATTACAGACATGAAGGTGCTGTGACTCCCGAATGTTAAATAATTTACCCAAATTATAATACGAGTTAGTGGTATATGAGTTGCCTATTGCTGCTGTAACAAATTGCCACAAACTTAGTGGCTTAAACAATATAAATGTATCATTTAACAGTTCTGGAAATCAGGAGTCTGAAATTACTTTCACCAGGCTAATGTCAAGGTGTCAGCAGGGCTGATTATCGCTGGAGGCCCTGAGAGGTGAATATGTTTCCTTGCCTTTTTCAGCTTCTAGAGGCCACTGTATTTATTGACTCCTGGCCCCTTCCTTCCTCTTCACAGCCAGCAGCATAGCATCTTTGAGTCATTCTCTATGACCTCTGTTTCCCTTGTCACATCTCCTTCCTTGACTTTGATCCTCCTGTCACCATCTTATAAGGCCCCTTGGGATTACACTGGGCCAATGTCAAAGGCCCAGTCATCTCCCCACCTCAAAATCCTTAACCTTCAGTATCTGGGATAAATGTTTTAAAAAATGAAAAATAAATAAATAAATAAAAAGAACATAAAAACAAAAACAACAAAAAGTAGAGATCCGTAACATAATTATATCCACAAATCCCTTTTCTTATGTAAGGTAACAATACAGAAGTGCATTAGTCTGTTCACATGCTTCTAATAAAGACATACCTGAGACTGGATAATTTATTTGAAAAAAGAGGTTTAATTGACTCACAGTTCTACATGGCTGGGGAGGCTTCACAATCACAGTGGAAGGTGAATGAGGAGCAAAGTCACATCTTACACGGCAGCAGGCAAGAGAGCGTGTGTAGGAAAACTTCCCTTTATAAAACCATCAGGTCTCATGAGACTTATTCACTATCATGAGAACAGCACGGGAAAGACCTGCCCCCATGATTCAATTACCTCCCACTACACATGGGAGTTATTCAAGATGAGATTTGGGTGGGGACACAGCAAAACCATATTAACAAGTTTCAGGAATTAGGACATGAACATATTAGGGGGACATTATTCTGTTTGCCAGAAGTGGTTAATAGCACAGGCTTTGGAATTAGGCAGACCTGGTTTAAGTCATAAACTTATGACTTAAAGTCATTTAGTGACTGTGTGGCCACAGATGACTTCACCTTCCTGAGCCTCTGCTTCTTCATCTGAAAAGCAAGATAGACTATCTACCTCATAAGACTGATGTGGAAATTAAATTAGTAGTACATGCACATTTCCTTACATAGGGCTGTCACAAAGTAGGTTCATGTTAACTCTTTTTACTATAAAAAGATACTATAAAGACAGATAAGTAGATCAATGCATGAGAATAGAGTCCAAAAATAGACCACATGTGCATGGTCAATTGATTTTCATCAAAGATGCAAAGATAATTCAGTGGAGAAGGGATAGTCTTTTCAACAAATGATGCTGGAACAGTTAGATAGCTGTAAGTAAGAAAGTGAACTCAATCCATACCTCACACCATACACAAAAATTAACTCAAAAGGAATCATAGACCTAAAGGTAAAACCAAATATTCTAAAACTTCTAGAAGAAAACAGGAGAAAATCTTTGTGACCTTGGAGTTGGCAAAGATTTCCCAGATATGACACCCACAGCCAAAATCCCAAGAAATCTTAAAGCTTTCTTAAGATTTTCTTTTTTAAAATCTTAAAGATTTTTTTCTTTTATGGAATACTTGCCAGCAATGGAATGAACCATTGCTACGTTCAACAATATGAATGAATCTCAAAATAGTTATGCTAAGAAGATAAACAAAAAGAGTACATTTATAAATATTCCAGAAAAAAGCAAACTAATCTATAGTGACAAGAAAACAGCTTAGTGGTTACTTGGGGTTACTTAGGGATGAAGGAGGTGTATTGGAAGGCAGGGGCAGGAGGAAACATTTGGGTCTTATGGGTATGTACTTTATCTTGATTGTGGTAATGGCTTCATGGGGTATGTGCATATATTTATCAACTTGTACATATTGTATGCAGTTTATCGTTTGTCAATTATAACTCAGCAAAGCTGTTTTTAAAAAACTAGATAGCAACCAAAATGTTAAAAAAAAAAAAGAATGTACAATTGAAATGTATGAGAGTTGTTTTAAACAACGCTCATTATGTAGGATAATATATGTGTAACCTATGATTTATATTGCATAGCCTTCTATTGTGTGCACATAGTAAGATTCTGAGGCATGAATTGTGTAGAGCTTGAGTCTGCCTTTGGTTCCTGCTAGGTGAATAACTGCCATTCACTGGATCCTATGGAACATCATCTCTGTTCCCTCCTTGTCTATGTGTAGAGAAGCAGGACCCTCTCCATGGATCTTCTGTGTCCACTCATTAGAGAGAAAGCATAGCATAGTTGAGTTCAGGGATCTTGGTTTTGATCCCAGTACCACCACTTTCAACTTCCAGAGGCTGACCTTGGACATGTTATTGAACTCTGTGGTCCTCAGTTTTCTCAGCTAAAAAATGGAGACAAATATAGTAACCACCTCTGAATGTTGTTGTGAAGACTAAATGAGTTAATAATACACATAAAGTGCTTAAAACTGTGCCTGGAGCAGTAGGTGCACCATGGAAGTGCCCTCGCAGACATTGTCCTTGTGATTGGCACTCCTGACTTCAGTCAGCTTCAGAAGGCCCTGAAGGCCTCCTCCTCTGCACCAACACTTGTTTTACACTCCTTGGAGCAACCAGCCTCCCACTCTGCTGGAGGCTCCAGGGAGCCCATCTCATTGCTGATCACAGTGGCCTCATTGCTGTAGCCTATGGTGCTGTTCTCAGTGTGTGCCTCAAAGCCTACCCAATAGCAGTTGTTTTACAGTATTTGGCTGGTGACCCTTTGGGGTGGCCAGAAGCATCAGGCCTTGCCCTGGTTAGTTTAGTTCTCATGGCAATGGAGCATGATGGTACTGGACTATAGCAGTTTTGTGTGATCTGTTGGCTGCCAGTTATCTGCAGTTATCACTGTTTGCCAACTCGAAGCAGAAACAGTCCACTAGTTTTACTGACTTCTAGATAAAGGAATGTTAGATCCTATATTAGAGTTGCCTTGAAAAAGTCCAATTAGTGTGAAAGGATCATTTTTTGTGTGTGAAAAATATCAAGCCAGTAGAATTCGAAGTGTGTGTTTAGTAGGGGCAGATAACATAGAAAACAATCTTTGATGCTGTCTTTCCAGTGTCAAGGATGATAAAAAGCTTTCTGGTCTTCTGAATGCCTCTGTTTTATTAGGGACAGCTGCCTTCTTTTCGGCACTAGCACAGTGTGAGTCTCACAGTCCCACCTAGTGGTTTTCTCAGACAAAACTACAGAACTTTTGTTACCCATTCAACACTACAAATGCAGTCTGTTTGCAGAGGAGTACTTGATTCGAATCAAGTCAACAGTTACTTATTGAGCATCTTATAAGTGCCAGGTGTTATGGTTAGTCTTTTGAGGGAGATAAAAGTGTATAATTTGTCCTTCACTCATGAACAACTTGAATTCCCAATGTTATGCCAACTGACTGCAGTTTGAAATATGCTTCTGCATATAATCAGTGTTATGCATACAGTTATTTAAAACCTCCAAATTACCTGAATTATTGTATCATAGAGCCCCTGGGGTGGGGGAAAATATTTCTATTGGAAAATAAGCTCAAAATTCCAACATGAGAGGCCACATACACTTTCCCCCTTGCTGGCACATCTATTGAGAAGTTGGAGGGAGGATGGCCTGACATCCAGGGGCGTGGGTGCTAGAGGAGATGGGAGTGGACCCTGGGAGTTGGGGAGAGAGTCCTGGGGACAGATGCAGAGCTGAGACTGTTGTGGCTGATGATAGTGATATGAAGGATAAAAAAACAGGAAGAAGGCTTGAGAGAGGGGAGGGCAGCAGGCAAAATTCTCCTTTGTCCTCTAGCGTCCACCCTCCCAGGGCATGCTGCTGCTGAGGACTGGCCTGAGGCGCAAAGAAGGGATGGGAAGACCAGGGATGGAAGCCTCTTGAACCTCTCCTCTCTCCTGAGAGCAATACTGGGACTGGCAGCCAGATGGGAGGAAAGGGATTCCCTACCCACTTTCCTGTGTCCAAGGGTTTATTAATACAACCAACTGAGAAGCCACTATTTGAAAAATGTGAGGAATTGAGTAACAGTAAGTTTGACTGTGAAAAAGAGAAGCCCTAAAGAGCAGAGATCCCTATATAGGCTCAAGGGAAAGTTTCTTTTCTTTTTCTTTTTCTTTTTTTTTTTTTTTTTTTTTTTGAGACAGAGTCTCCCTCTGTTGTCCAGGCTGGGGTGCAGTGGTGTGATCTCTGCTCACTGCAACCTCCACCTCCCAGGTTAACACCATTCTCCTGCCTCAGCCTCCCGAGTAGCTGGGACTACAGGCGCGTGCCACCATGCCTGGCTAATTTTTTGTATTTTTAGTAGAGATGGGGTTTCACTGTATTAGCCAGGATGGTCTCGATCTCCTGACCTCGTGATCCGCCTGCCTCGAGCAGGTGTCAGCCACCGCGCCCAGCTTTAAGGGAAGGTTTCTTTAAAATGAGAGACCATTGAGCAAATCTGCATGCTGAGGGAAAGCAGCATGGAAGAAAGAAAAGCTGAAAGGAAAGGAATAGTTGAATGGATGCTGGTGGCTGAGGAGGGCAGGTCCTCTGAGTGCATAAGGGCAGAAAGGTGGTGCCCATTTTGATTAGCAGGTGGGCAGGGCTGCAGGACCTGGCAGGATTCTGTGCTATTCAGACCCTGTTTTCTCTGTGAAATAAAAAGCCAGTCACCTGGTAAGAGAGAGCAGCAGGGGAGAGGGTGAGGTTGGGGTGTTTTAGAAAAGTAATACAGGCTGAAAGCCTAAACAAGTGGTCATACCTTCCAACAAATAATTTCACTTTTTAAATCTATCCCAAGAAAATAATTTGAAATGCAATAAAAATTTATAACTAGATATTTGTTTGTAGGATTATTTACAATAATTGGAAACAAGCAAGAAAAGAAATTAGAATGCTTACCAATACGAGAATGGTTTAAAATTATGCTATAGAATTCAATTCATCTAAAATTATGTTTTAGACAGATACTTAGTGTCATTGTAAAATACTTGTGACATAATGGTAAATATTAAAAGCAGTATTTAGAAGTTCATATGAGGTATATATGGAATGACTAGAAGAAAATAAAACAAAATATTAATAGAGGTTTTTCTTCTTGAGAGGTAGTATTATGGGCCATTGTTATTTTCTTCTTTTTTAAAAATGTTTTTGGCATTTAAAAAATAATGGATATATTTACTTTAAATACAGGAATAATAATTTTAAAGTCTTAAAATTTAACCAAGATAATTATTAAAACCAAGCGATTGCATGTTTTCTAATGCTAATATTTTAAGTGGTCATATTTAATGTCCAAATTCCACTTTGTCTTTCCTAGGTCATCCAGAAATTTATCCTTTAGTATTAACCACCAAGACCCAAGAAATATTTAACTGCCGAATAGATGAAGATGTCACAGATGAACAACCTTATAAGCTTATCAATAAAGAAGACATTTTTGAGGACCTGCGCAACAGAGCTGCAGTATCTGATTTCCACCCAGTCAAAAAAATTGTCCAGGTAAGCACAATATCCCTATTTATTTTCAGTCCTACCTCAAGAAGTTCCTGGTACATAATAACAAAAGTTGGAGAGGTTGTTGGTTCAAATCTGGCCCCATTGCTTTGGGCAAGTGCTAGCTTGCCCACCCCTCCTTGGGAATCCTGTTTGATGATCCTCTGTGAAAAGCAAAGTTCCATCAATGACTTGTTATCTAATCCCACACCCAGAAAAGCTCATCCTTGCCCAGTTTTTGTTTTGTTTTGTTTTGTTTTTTGAGGCAGGGTTTCACTCCTGTCTCCCAGGCTAGAGACGCAATCATGGCGCACTGCAACCTCCGCCTCCCAGGTTCAAGCAATCCTCCCGTTTCAGCCTCCTGAGTAACTGGGACCACAGGCACAGGCATGCCCAACTGATTTTTGTTTTTATAGAGACAGGGTTTTGCCATGTTGCTCAAGCTGGTCTCAAACTCCTGAGCTCAAGTGATCTTCCCGCCTTGGCCTTCCAAAATGCTGGGATTGCAGGCATCAGCCACCGTGCTCCGCCTTTGCCCAGTTTTAACTAGAATATGAATCTATCCTTATTTTCTGCTTTAATTGTTTAATTCATAATTTTGGTTCTGATTTATCTCTATGCATGCTACAGAGCACAATACCAAACAAAAACTGCTTCTTTTTTCCTGTTAGAAGTAAAAGTGCATGTACATTTCCCTGGATGCATTATGTTTTTAAGAGCTTTTTAAAGTTAATAAAATAATTTTGCAATTTGGTGTTATCAGCCATAGATTAGCACAATGGTTATCTTCTATAATTGGTTGATTAGCGAAATGTGAATTTTGTGTTGGCATCAAAATAAACTGAATGACCATTGAACATTAACTTCCTATCTCAATTATATTCTTGTAGGAATATCCTGGAAATGAGCTTCTGCTTGTTTATGACAAAGACTTCAAATATGGACTTAACTTTTATCTTATTGCAACTGAAGAGGGCAAAGAAAACTATTTAAATGTGAGCAAACCCCAAGCCCTTGTAATTTGTTTGTTTTTGTTGTGGTTGTGGTTGTTTTTGAGATAGGCTCTTGCTCTGTCACCCAGGCTAGAGTGCAGTGGCACAATCATGGTCACTGCAACGTCAATCTCCCAGGCCCAAGTGATCCTCCCACCTCAGCCCCCCAAGTAGCTGAGACTACAGGCGTGCACCACCACGTCAAGCTAATTTTGTTTATTTTTTGTGGAGATGAGGTCTCATATGTTGCCCAGGCTGGGCAATTTGTTGATTAGCAGAAGGAAGCAGAAGCGGTACCTCTGCGGGGATCCCTATACATAGTGATGATTATTCTTGTTCAGCTCTGTTTCTTTGGGACCCAGATCGGGTTCTGGCACCTAGAATATGTAAGCAGTAAATGGGGGATGAACTAAATCAAGTATCTCAGGGTAGCAGATTTGCCCTTCGTTGACCTCGTGAGAGAGGAAACAGTGAATCTGGAGTACCGCTTTCCTTGTTCTCTTCTTGCCGTCTCCACAACTTTGAGTAAGTTACTGAGCCTCTCATTGGTAAAATGGTGGCACCATTATTGCACATTTCCAGGGCTTTCATGAGGATTCATATAGGTAAAGCCCTTTGTTCAAGGTGGGTAAGAAAGGTAACAGATGTATGAGACTCTCTTTCCAATCTTCCATTCCTGTTTGGTAAAATTGAAGGAAGCAATTTGGGAGGTTTGTTTAAATTGTTTGAGGATGACAGAGAGGTTTGTGTGGCTGTCCAATAAGCAATAAGAATAAAGGGAAACCATATAATTAAAAAAATATCTAGGCTGGGCACAGTGGCTCATGCCTGTAATCCCAGCACTTCGGGAGGCTGAGGCGGGATCACTTGAGGCCAGAAGTTCCAGATGAGCCTGGGTAACATGGCAAGACCCTGCCACCGCAAAAAATAAAAATATTAGCCAGGCATGGTAGCACGTGCCTGTAGTCCCAGCTACTTGGGAGGCTGAGATGGGTGGATCACTTGGGCCGGAAAGGTGGAGGTTGCAGTGAGCCATGATCATGCCCCTGCACTCCAGCCTGGGTGACAGAGTGAGACCCTGTCTCAAAAAGAAAAAAAAATAAAATAAAAGCTAACAGTTTATAATTAAAAATCATCTTTCATTTAGCCTTAACATTTTCAATTTTATTTTTATGATTGTTGTTCTGTTTTTAATTTTTTATTGTAATGAAATATTTTAAATGTTTAGAAAAAACTACAGAGTAGTATAACAAATATCTACACTTAATTATCCAGAATTTTAAAATATTAATTTTTATTATATTTACTTTAAAACTTTTTTAACAAAAGAAATAAATATTACAGACAATATTCCACTCCCTCTCGTATCCTCCCTAATTCCATTTTCTTTACTCCTCCCTATAAGGAACCATTATTCTAAATTGTTACATATTGTTCTTGTCTGTGGTTTTACACTTTACCATATATTTATGTTCTACAATAATGGATCTTATAGTCTTATTAACTTAACATTCACATAAAAATTGTGTCATTTTTATACTCAGTCTGCAACTTCATTTTTCACCAAATTATAAAATTCTAGGATCTATCAATATCAGTACATTTAGATACCATATATATGTAGGTCAAATTTGTTCATTATAACTGCTCTATGGAATTTTATTTTATGGTTTTACCACACTGTCATCAATCCATTCCTCTATTGATATTCATTTGGTTGATTTTTTTTTTTTTACTATTACAAATAAAGCAGCAGTGTGTGTATATATATATGTGTGTGTGTGTGTATATATACACATCTATATGTAGAGATGTGTATATATATGTGTATATATATATCAGCAGTGTGTATATATATATATATATATATATATATACACATCCATATGTAGAGATGTGTATATATATCTTTTCTTGTCTACTGTCTTTTTCTTCTTTCTATATGCTTGATACCTCTTTTTTCTTTTTCCCTTTTTTGCTTTGTTTCCTTTTCATAATTCAAAAGTGTGAATTGACAAAAAAAAGTAAAAAGGTGCTTAATGAATTTATATAAAAGTAAAGTTTGTTGCAAAATATATATATATATATAAAGCTATAACCTAAACTTGGGCATACATTGTAGAATGCTATTTATTTTACTTTAGCCCCCAGAAGTACCAGAAGAACAAGAAGAATATAAAGAACATATTCCTGAAGATGTGTATATTTATAAACCACCTGTCTCTAAACCATGGGTTTCTTTGGGCAGTGAAAAAGAAATTGAGGAAGAATCAGTTACGGAATCTACAAAGCAGGTTAGAGGGTTATATATGATCTGTAATCATTACCTCCCTGTAGCTGAACAACACTTATTCCTGAGGGATTCATAAGGTTTACTGTGTTTGCTATGGAGGCATAGTTTTTGGTGTGTTGTTTTGGTTTGCTTTTATAGAAGAATGGTCATTGTCTTAAGTGGGTGTTATGAGTTGAATTTTGTCTCCAAAAAATGGTATGTTGAACTTCTAACCTCCAGCACCTCAGAATGTGATTCTATCTGAAAATAGGGTCATTGCAGGTATAGCTATTTAAGATGAGGTCATACTGGAGTAGGGTAGGTCCCTAATCCAATACAACTGGTGTCCTTGTGATAAGATGGCCATGGGATGACAAAGAGACACAGGGAGAATGGCATGTAAAGAAGCAGGCAGAGACTGGAAAGATGGATACACAAACCAAGGAACACAAGGATTGCTGGCTGTCACCAGAAGTCAGGACAGAAACAGGGAACAGATTCTCCCTCAGAGCCTTCAGAAGGAAACAACCCTCAAACACATCAATTTCAAACTTCTAGCCTCCACAACTGTAAGAGAATAAGTTTCTGTTGTTTTAGGCCACCCCATTTGTAGTACTTGGTTATGGCAGCTGTAGGAAGCTAATATAGTGGCATTCCCTCTCAAAGGAACTCCTGTGAGGGGGAATTGTGTATGAGTGGTTTATTAGGAAAGTGCCCCAGAAGAGAACATGACAAGCGCTGAACAGGGATATGGAGGAAGGCCTGCCAGGCTGCACTCTCAGGCAAAAGTCTGCAGAGGGAAGGCTTCAGCCAAACCCAAAGAGGTACTCTGAGTGTAAATTATACCTCAGAGTTGTCCCACACAGAAGCCAAGGAGAGGGGTTTATGTATCCCTCCTGCCAGTCCACCATTAGTCAAGATGAAACTGCCAGTTACTTCCTGTTCTTTGCACCTGCTGGCAAAGTGGTCCCAATAGCCCTAGAGCAGCCCTCCAAAGAGGAGGAGCGGGTGCTGCTCATGTGAATGGAAAGCATGCAGAGCTGGAGGTGCTCACAGAAAGTGCACAAAGGGCTCTGAGTGGATCTGAGCAGAGTACCAACATTGCCTACACATCAGGGACTTCATTATGTTACCTTTACTGTTTACATGTGTTACAGATTACATATATGATTTCTCGAAAACGAAGTGAATTTGGTGCACCAATTAAGTTCAGTGACCAGAATGCTTCCAGTGTAAAAGATGCCTATATTGAATGTACAGCCTACCCAGATAAAAATTTTACCCTTAAACAACTTGAAAAAGATGTTGGCATGCAAGTAATCCCCCAAATAAAGGACATAAGCACTCAGACAAAATGGTAAGTATGTGATGGGTGTATGTAATTTTATAGCCAGTTACAGTAAAATCTAGTAACTTCCATTATTATTTTGAGAGCTCTTTATAATAAATAGAAATGGATTAATGATGATGACACATAGATCTCCACAGAGTAATTCAATTCAGGAAGATCTAATTATATTCAATAATGCCTTTAAAAATCATAACAGGAAAATGAGATAGAAGTATGGAAGATTGTAAAGACTGGAGTGGGAAAATGAGTGATGCTGTTTATCATGACAGTGCTGGTCATCTCTCATCTGGCATATTACCATGCCCCTCATTGCTCTGTTCTACTACCTAAGTCATCATTCTTAAACATCAAATCAGATGGTGTTACTTCATTGTCTAGGTTTCTTCTTTGGCTTTCATCACTTAAAAAATACATCCATCCAGAGCCCTTAGGATGGCATATGAGGTTCTCCTTCCTCTATGACGAGGAACTGTCTGCCTCTCCAGTCCCATCATCCCTTGTTCCTAAACAAGCTCTCTGTGTGCCAGCCCTATGAGTTGCTTCCAGTTCCCAGAATACCTGCGGTTCCACCTCCTCCTGCCATTGCCCATGCTGAATCTTCCTCCTCTCAGTAAGTGGTAATGATATTGTTCTAATTACTCAGACCAAAAGCCTTGGATTTTGTTGGGTCTATCTTCAAAATTTACCCACTGCTATTACCTTAGACCATTCATCATCATCTCCTGCTTGGATTACTGTAATTCCTTCTAAGTGGGCTTCCTCTAGCCATCCTTTCTCTCCTGCATTCAGTTCTCCATAGAGAAGCCCTGGTAATCCTATTAAAATGCAAGTCAGATCATGTCACTGATCAAAACCTTCCAATGGCCTGTCATCCCAAATGAACCTACAAGGCTTCATATGATCTAGATCCCTTTACCCCTCTGCCCTAATCTCCCACAGTTCTCCCTGCTCATCCATCCAGCCACACTGGCTTCCTCATTCCTTGATTCACCACGCATACTCATACCTGATGTGTTTAAGCTTACGAGTCCTTTACATAGAATGCTCTTCCCTTGTGCTTATCCCCTCCTTCATTCAGATCTCTGCTCAAATGAGGTGTTCCCTGACACTCCTATATAAAAGCAACAACTTGGCCGGGCACCGTGACTCACGCCTTTAATCCCAGCACTTTGGGAGGCTGAGGTGGGCTGATCACGAGGTCAAGAGATCGAGACCATCCTGGCCAACACGGTGAAACCCCGTCTTTACTAAAAATACGCAAATTAGCCAGGCGTGGTGACGTGTGCCTGTAATCCCAGCTACTTGGGAGGCTGAGACAGGAGAATTGCTTGAACCCGCGAGGTAGAGGTTGCAGTGAGCCAAGATAGTGCCACTGCACTCCAGCCTGGTGATAGAGCTAGACTCCATCTCAAAAAAAAAAAAAAAAAAAAAAAAAGAAAGAAAGAAAAAAAAAGGCAACAACTCCATTACCATCTATCCCCTTACTCTATTTTTCTCCACTGTGCCATAATCACTTGATTTGTGTTTTTCGTCATCTCTCTTCTCTTCACTCTGCCCTTGGAATTTAAGCTCTATGAGATAAAAACTTTGTATATTTTGTTTACTGCTATGTTCCCAACTCCTAGGACAGTTCCTGGCATATATTTATTAAATGGAGGGGAAAAAAGAATGGAGGAGGGAAAACAGGAAGAAAAGGATGTAGGTAAGGAAGAATGTGCAGAATGATGACAGACTTGAATTCAGTGTTAAGTGAAGAGCTATGAAATACACAGTGAGACAAGTCATGACCAGGAGAATCAGGGCTCAGCACCATGGAATGCAATACAGAAGATACTTTTCAGATCTATGTGAACTAACAGGTTAAAAACCATGAAAGTGCAATGTTAAAGTCAGGGCATATATATATATGGACTCCAAAAGTTGGGCCAAGAAATGAGTCAGAAACAAGAGAAGAAGATGAACAGACAGGCCAAAACAAGAGGCGGTAAAGAGAAAGGCAAGAATTGGTGGTCAAGTCCTGGCAGGGAAGGAGGACATCAGACATCCATAAATATCAAGAAGTGAGGGCAAGAGAGGAAGGAGAGAGGTGATATATTAGTACCAAATGAACTTGAATTTTGAGACAAATTTCTAAGTCAAGCCAGCCAGAGATTTATTTTATGTTCCTACTAGGGTACAGACAAGTACCAAGAATGAGTCAGCCAGGGTAGACTCAGTAGGTAGACTCAGAATACAGACTAATAATAATAATATTGGCAGTGTTCCTACATAGAGGGAGTAAACAGATGAGAAATAAGGGCAGGTCTTGACCCACAAAATGAAAAAACAATTTTTTCAAAGAATTAAAAGGAACTCAAGTGGTTTAAACCTAGGTGACTGGGAGAATGCTGGTACCATGCATTACAAGCAGGAAATTGGGAAGGGTAGCTGGTATGAGGTAGAGAAAGTAGGATATGTGATTATATTGGAGGGAGTCAAGAAAAATCAAAGATGAAGTTCAAAGAATAATGACAGTGAAAGCAAATGCCTAGTGTTCCCACCACATACCAGGCATTCTTCTAAGTGCTTTACACACATCAATTCAATCCTCACAAGTGCTCTCTGAGGTAGGCACTATCCCCATTTTACAAATAGAGAAACTGAAGCAAAGAGAGGTTAAAAATGAAAGCCCAATGTTTCGGGCATAATTTAAACTTGAAGCAATAATGAATGGTTTTGCTGAAAAACAACAAAACAAATCATATTTCGAAAGTAAGAGTGACTCTTAGGCATGTTGCTACTTTGATAAAACCACCAAGCAATATATCATTTTGTTTTTTTTTTACTTAACCCTGTCTAGAGAGCAGAAATTAAAAGGTGAAGCTGAGAATTGAACCCAAGTCTCTCTGGTTCCAATACTAATATTATTTCTTTCTACCACTCTGCCTTCTGCTATGGATACTGACCTAAACAAGGAAAAAAAATGAATTATTCTAAAAACTCCCTTTACCCCTTTGTCTGATTACTCTCCATTTAATATATTACCTCTCACAGAGACATTCTGCATTGTGCTGACATTTGTTCAACAAACACAAATACTACATAATATTTTGTTGATCATTTAAAATGTGCTAGGCACTGTTTTTAAAGTTTTGCATGTATCAACACATTCAATCCTTACAATGACACTATGAACTAGCTACTTGAATAATTTCATTTAGAGATGAGAACACAGGCACAGAAGGTTAGATAATTGGCTCAGGGGTCATATAGCTAGTAAATGATAGAACCAGGCTTCAAAGCCAGGCAGCCAATCACCAGAATCCACACTCTTAATGATTGTGCCCTGTGACTTTTCCAAGCTCTACATGCCAAGATCAAGGGCTCACCCAGTCTAATACTTGAGATTGATAAAGCCCAGAGGTACAATGCCATATGAGGTGTTCACATACAGAGGCCACTAAGAGCATACTAGATGGAGCAAGACTTCCTGCCACCATCACTGCTGAAATGTATCTTATTCCTAGTTTTGTATGTTTAGAGCAGAGTTTCTCAACTTCAACAAATTGACATTTGGGGCTGGATAATTCTCTTTGAGGGAAGGCTGTCTTGTGCTTTGTAGGGTTTTTAACAGCATCCCTGGGATCTATTCACTAGACACCAGTAGCATGTCTAGGTTGTGACAACCAAAAATGTTTCTAGACATTGCCAAATGTCCCATGAGGGGGTGAGGTGGACACTGACTTAGTGAAATGAAGAGAGAGAGAAAACAATAAAGATGGCAAAATGTTAATAATTGACGAATCTGGGTGAAGGGTGTGTGGGAATTCCTTATACCCTTCTTATAACTTTTCTATAAGTTTGAAATGATTTCTAGGTAAAAATTTTACAAAAATAAGATTTTTTTGATTATGTTGGAGAGAAATTCATGTAGCCTTTGAATAGTGGTCAATATCAGTTGTCTAGGATAAAGAAAATTCAATGTATATAATTTAAATATAAAATAATATCCTAACATCATTGTCACAGAGACACACTTTTGACCTGTTGTGGCCCATATTTGCTCTTCTTTGACCTAATCTTTAGTATTGAATTTTCTTTTAATATATTAGGACATATCCTAAAAATGCTACTACGCAATATTATCCAAGAGAATTCTCAGAAGAGGAAAAAGAGACACTCAAACAATCAAAGCCTTTGGTTGATTTTCTTAACAATGCATCCATAAGGTAAAAAATTGCATATTAAATTTTAAAAATAAAACATAAAATGTATATGTTTACATAGAATAACAGGTCTAAATAAACAATTCCATATAGGGTATCTAGATAAAAAGTATGAAGACAGTTGTCAGTGTGACACATTCTACAGATTCTCAATATTTATTTCCTTTCTATTGCTAAGCAACATCTTAGCCCTATCAAGCTAAGGCCACATCAAACTGTGTGAGGAGTTGAGTGTGTGAGGATGTTTTCCTAATTGCAGATTAACATTTACTTGTATTTACCATGGTTACTTTTACGTAATTCTTTTTCTCCACTCCTCACTCCTCTTCCTCATTAACTTTTTATAGGATGAGGAGAATGCTGTGGCCATTATTATGATGATAAGTATTTGCAAAAATATCTTTGTAGATGAGAACCTGAATTTAATTCAAATGTCTTTTTGGACATTTCACTCTTATCACCAATTCCTGTGTTCCTGCACTCTTACTGGCTTTGAAAGAGAAGCATCTTCAAAATGCCCCCTAAGCTGTTAGTAGGACCCTGGGTAGAGTTCTGGGGCTTCTAAACCAGAGAAACAGCTTGACAAGTTCTCACCAAGCTGATACTAGAGTTTAGAGAAGTGGATCCACTGGAGGACAAGTCTGCCAGTTATACTCAATAGGCTGGTTTCTATTTCTTTCTAAAATTAAAAACTTGGTGGTCAAGTTCATATATAGCCCAAGTTAAACTTTTTTATTTTTAAGAAATGTCGTTGGTTCTTTCATACTGGATTAAATATCCTAAAAATTCCAACAACTCTCAAACTTGTTACTTATGCCTAGGGAGACTCTGGCTCAAAAATTCAGTTAATGATTCAGAGAGAACATTATTTGCCACTCGCAGGAAGGATGCTATAATTTTTGCTATACGGGCAATGAGATAGAAACAAGAAAACCTGAGTTTCACCCTCCCCTTATCAAAATTTAGTAGTCATTACAATTTTTCCTGTAAGAATATTCAAAATGAGAAGTTTGTTTACATATAATCAATATCCAGAGAAAACTAGATCTTGAGGGAATAAAAAAATGTTCAAAATAAATCCACATTGTATATTATCTTTAGACCTGGGCTTTTATTCTTCCCTCTGAATTTCCATGCTTATAAAGAAAAGAATAGTGGACAGCTTTATGATTCCATCCCTGAGATGTGGGAAGGAGAAGCCAGATCTATAAGAAGAAAGAGGAAAATTGGCACAGGAATTATAATAGCACTGGCCCAGAGTGGATAAGAAACCCATGTTTATATCACTGCAAACATAACTTCCAGCTTTAAAACTGCTTAAGCTTTATTCAATAGTTTTTAATTAAGGTAAGCCTGATTTTGTTCTGGAAGAAAGCCCTTTTAGAAATGGGAAATTTCTTTCTCATAGAATTTTATCTAAAACAAACTTAAGGGAAGCATTATTTGCAAAAGAAGGCAATGACATGAGATGAGAGAGAGGAACTTCAGGGGGATTCACAAAACAACTAAGAAACCTTCCTTTCGGGGTTAAAATTCCTAGACAACAGTTTTGCTAGCCTCCAATTTGTTACTCTCGGGAGCTACATGGTTCCAGGAAAGCAAGAAACCGGAAACCAGAAGAAAGATGTGTTTTCACTTCTTCCGTTTGAATTACTTCCCCGTTCTGGCTAAGGAGGTAGAATCAGGAAACCAGAGCGGAAGCCACGTCTTTAACTTTTCTCTTGAGAATTCCCTTCTCATTTGGGCTTAACCAGAAAGAAATATGATTTGGAAAATGCTTACTAATGCTTCTACTGGAAACTGTTTAAGCCTCGAGAGTCCGCTACACAGGGTTATTCAATGTTCAGTGTGCTTATGAATCACCTGAGGACTCTTGTTAAAATGCAGGTTCTGACTCAGTAAGTCGGGTGGAGCCTGCGACTCTGCATTTCTAACAGCCCCAGGTCATGTTGGTGGTCACTGGATCACACTTTAAGTGGCCAGGTCTTAGGAAAGGGGTCTATTTTGAAAGATGAAATACAAGAAGAATTTAACCAAGGGAGGACTCAATTAGGCAATGACTGGTAGTGTAATGATCAATGACAGGGGTATCAAACGGTGCCCTTTTTTATATTTTAGGAGTATCTGTTTTTACTGTTTATATTGAACTATCTAAAGGATTTTTTCTTATTTTAAGAAATTCACAATTGAGAACCACTTTTTCAACTTACCACACCTATATAAAACCAAGAAGTTTACAGTTTTGATCAGTAGGGTAAAACCTTGGGTGGCATTCTAATTGTGGGAGGGCTCTTAGCAACTTTGGGAGTATGCAGAGCTTTCAGATCTAAGCATAAAAAGGGACAATAACTATCATAGTAACTACTTTAAGACAGGAGCCTGTCAAACCAAGGTCCCTAGACTATTAGCAAATGATCCTAGCACTCAGATGGTATCTTAAAGGAGCAATGTTAGTATTTTTAGCAGGATAATTTTTCATTTTGGGGACTGTCTCATGCATTGCAGGAGGTTTGGTAATGGAATTAAACACAGTAGCACCTCCCAGGCATTGTGACAACTAAAACTACACACACACACACACACACACACACACACACACACACACACTTCTAAACTCCAATTCTTCCCTTGTTCAGAATCTCTTATTTGTTGTTTTGAATTACATATGTATTGGGGCTATCCTGTTAAGGATAAGTGATCATTTAGTACAGAATATGCCTAAGAAAACTGCCATTTGTGACAGTTGGGGCTTTCCAGGAAGCAAATGACATCAAGTTAGAGGCAGACGTTTACTGAGGATTACACTGTGAAAAATAAAGGAGGAGGAGACAGGACCGGGAAGGTAGAGCATCAGACAAATTCTCAGCCTACTCAGCAGGAGCTCCAGAGCAAAGATGCCTGCTGTGGGAGTGCTGCACAAGGAGGACTGGCCAGGCCCAGCCATCCCTGCAGCTGCATGCTCAGGCATTGGCCTGGAGAGAGTACAGCCTTGGCTTGGAAACTGAGGCAGATCATGAAGTTGCTCGAGGTTCTGAGTAACATGCCACCATGATGTTTTTTTCTCTTAAGTCATTTATTTCACATGAGGTTAATCATTATCACCAAATATAATTGAGAATTATTATTTTTTGTTCAGTATAAATGAAGGAGGAGGAGTTGCTAAGATAGTCACATTATTGGATACTAAAAACCAATATCTTAATTGCTTTTTTTATTTTTACAAATTAGTGTTGAAATAGCCCTGCAGCAAAATGAAATCATGAACACATTTATTGATGACTGGAAATACCTCGCAGAAGAAGAAGGCACCTTTGGGGACAAGACCGATACCCACCTGAAAGAGTACCAGTCCTTTACCGACCTTCATAGCCCAACGGAGAAAATGATTACCTGTGTCTCATGGCATCCAACTATCTATGGTGAGATGGAAATGATGGGGATTCCCTTTTGTGATAACATTGAAATTGTCTGTTGCTTTCATATGTAAAATTGCAAACTAGTTCAATGTCAATAAGACACCTTCCATTTGCTCTGTACTCACTAGGTACCTGCCATGTGCTTTCCACGCCCTCACTGTCATGTGTCCTCCCAACAACCCTGTAGGATACACACCTGTCATTATCTCTGTTTCACAACAAAAGGACCCAAGCTCAACTCAGGGAAGTGACTCGCCCAGGTCACCCAGATGGCATAAGGCAGAGTCTGGGTTGGGCTTGGGCCTGTTGCTCTCCCAAGGCTAAATTTCTTCCTCCTAACACTGCCTTTCTGATTACTAGACAAGAGAGGAAATGTGCCTCCTTTAAAGAGCTCAGCAGCCAAGGGAGGTAGGTAGGGATGTGCAAAGATGGAAACATGGAAAGAGAGAGGTATTTGTCCTCTTTCTTCCTCCTTTCACCCTACACTGGCCCTTTTCTCACAAAAAAGAAACAAAACAAGATTTTCTTTTCTTCCAAAATCTTCTGAGTCCCCTGTATATTTTATACTAACAGTACATGTCAGTTTGGACCAGCCAGATTTCAAGTGCTAAATAAGTAGCATGTAACTAGTGGCAACCACATTAGCCAGCAGAGCTCTAAGAAAACTCTTGCTCTCCTGTGGACAAAGTGTAAATGAAGAGTGGCTGTGTAGAAAAGCAAAAGCTAGAGACATCTCTCCATGTATAGTTGCTGCCAACTTTAATTTCTACATGTGTTTCCATCAGGGCTAATAGCTGTGTCGGTAGCCGTGCGACTTTCTTTTGAAGACAGAGTTCACTTTTCTGGTAAATTATTGCTGCAGCCATCACTGATTCTTTTCTGGAGCTTCTCTGATCCTATACATCCTCAGGTAATTAGGGAGAGTTGCCTACATAGCCTAAATTTTCAAATACTACTTTCATGTATACCTTTAGCAGTTTTTATTGCAAAGTACTTTATAATCATGTAATGTTGTAAACATTTATAAAGTTAGGCTTTCTTCAATGCAGAACTTGTCATCATTCAATTTGAGCAAAACTAAAGTTTACAATTTGTTTATTGAACAAATCAACATGCTATTTTTTTCAAAGATTGTAAGAGGAATGTTTAAACTATTTTTAAAACAAACTCTTTTATGGACTTTACTTGAATACTAATTGGTCAAATGCAAATAGATTTTAGTTTCACATGAGTTTCCTCAATTCCAAGGATCACTGGGTAATAAATAAAGGTGAATGTGTGGGAGAGCACTGGGGAGTGGTAGGGACTGCGGCCTTGGAGAGTGCATTATCCATCTCTAGGCTGGCTGCCCTCTTGTTGCCAGGTGGTCCCATTGTCAAGAGAATTGAGAAATTTGGAATTTTGTATGAAATCGCCCAATTTTAAATAGCTCAACTAAAACCAAGCCAAAACACACAAAAACCCCACTCAAACCAACCAAAACACATAGCAATTCAAATAAAATGAGGCTGAAGGCTGGGTTTGCTACACAGGGTTCTAGTTTTCATGGTCTGCTCAATAAGAGATCTGCCTAGTGGGTGGGTGGTGTATAGTGTTAGATTAAGTTATTTCAATGTTTTAAATATAATAATATTTTGTTTCTAAAAAGTATTCATAATTAAGACTTTCCCTAAAAAACCCTAGCCTCCCCTTCTTCCTTTCCCCAATTCATTTGAATTAAGGTAGTTTTACTGTAATAGATTCTAGATACTTTAATGATTATAGACCCAGAGATCAAATTGAAAGATCTCTAGCCCTTTCTTGTCAGCCACAAAAACAGAGCCACTCTCTCACTAGAGTTTTCTAACCTTTCTACCCTGTAGATCTCCTCTCCACTCCAGGAGTGCCTGGCTCAGTATTCAGCAAGCAACAAAACAGACACAGATCCTGTCCTCACAGAGCTTCCCTTCCATGGTTTTCAGGAACACTAATTTCATAGTCTTTTTGTTATAAACATTGTAACATGCTCCCAAAATAACTACAATTTGTTTCCACTGAGGGGTGGGTTGGGGAATACCTGGGTCCCCTTGAGAACATACTCACTGTCACTCGTATGGCCAATGTGCACAATAAAATTAAGCAAAAGCAGCTTTTAGTCCAGAGGCAGAACTCTGAGAATAGACTCTCTACGCACCTTGCTTATAGATAGCTATAAAATTAGACTTTTAACTGTCTTAATATTATTTTCTCGCCATGATCTTAATCTCTTTTCTCATTCTTTCATGAATTTGCTGGGTTTACTTTAGTTAATGCTGGAGAGCCCAGATGACATCTTCTGCTTCAAGTTCTGTCCGAGTGATCCTAATATCATTGCTGGAGGCTGTATCAATGGGCAGGTACTTAACAGAATTTTTTTCAGCTATGTATTAATGTAGACAACCTTTGGTAATAAGTTTTGACTTGGCAGTTCCTTGGACTTAAGGATTCAATTCAGCAGAAGGAAGGCATGCCAATTGTGTGCCAGACACCACACCAGGAAGCAGGGTATAGAGACGTGTTACACACGGTATCAGCTCCTGAGGTGTTCACGGGGTAACCCAGCTTCAAAACTGAAACAGAATTGGGTGAAATCTATTTGTGTTGCTGGGACTGAACCACATATTGTATAAGATTCCATGGAAGAACAAAAGCTACAAGCATTACTACCTCTTGGAAAAAAAGGCCTCTTCTGAAATTTCCTTGGGAGTAGGAGTTAGGGGATGATCCAGAACTTAAACAGAAATTCACTAGAAAGCATACACACATCACTGAATTTATAGGCAGATATATGTGTGTATATATATATATAGATAGATTATATATATATATAAAGATTATATATAAAGATTATATATAAAGATTATATATATATATATGTATCTCAATACCGTTTGCTTTTATCTTCTTTTTAAGTTATCTAATATCAAATTTAGATCCTATCCTCCAATATCCTGTTTCTCTAGTGAAGCAAAACAATCATAAAGCTGTTTTATGGTCAAGGTTTAAATTCATTGTGATTCAGTGGGTTTGACCATCAAAAGGGTATATGATTTTTGTGTGTGTGGTTTGAAAAACTTCCTTGTGGTTAAAATGTAAATGTCTGCAGCTTCCATGTCCATTTATCCAGAACCAAAATAACCAGGAAAACAATTTTTTCTCCCTCAGTTTTGTTCAACAATAACTGAGGGTCATAATGACTCAAAGCCCATCCTCCAAGCCCTGCAAATCCCGAAATGCCTTTTTCACTCATTACAAAGGTAATGTGACTTTATTTTAGAATATTTCAGAAAAGCACATGATGAAAATAAAATCACTTACAATTCTGTACTCCTGACATTTTGTTAAAACTTTAGTGTACTGAAATACCTTTTAGTCTTTGGAAACCTAATTTAGTGTTATATATCTACCTTATCCTGACTTGTTTTTAAAAAATGGCCTTCTAGATACATAAGAATTCAGAGTTGGCTGTAATAGTCAATTAAATAGAAATAATCACTTCCCAGCCTTCTTTGGACAGTCGGGTGTTTGTACTCAATTCTGGAGTATGGGCTGTTTTTTCCTGGGTCCAAAGCAACTGTCCCTACAATCATAGCACACCTCCAAAAACAGGAAGAACTTTTCCTAAAGCAAAGGGAATTGCATGACATTTATTTTGGATTTTTTAAAAATACTGGCCTTTATTAATGTAAGCACAAAAATGAAAGTGCTAAAGATACTTTTACAGAGAAGAAAACATTCTTTTTATATTAGCTTTAAAAATTGCTGACTTACTTAAGATATAAGCTACATTTGATTATCCCCTAAGGTGATTGACTTATCAGGCTACAAACCAATAGTTAAAAGAAAATTAAGACTCAATTAGATATTTTCTGAAAAGGTTATGATAACATTTATTTCCATTTTAGATTGTCATGTGGGATATCACCGCACATGCAGATCGCATAGAAAACATTAAGGCAGGTGGTAGTAGAAGTAAAAGAGCCACACTGAAGGTAAGCTTTTTACAACATTTCACTTGCAAGTTTTTTCCATTGAAGAGTTTATGGAAAAGTACATAATATAGTTGCCAAGGCTAATAAAAACTCAAGAGAAAAAAGGAAAAAAAAAAAGAATGTTATTTCCCAAGCCTTCACCTGTGCTTGTGAACATGTTCTGAATCACTTTTATGTGGGCCCTTGATTAAAACACAATGAATCAAGTTGCACCATCTACCCAAGGATATGAAGTTCTGTCTGGTTGTTATTGTTAAATGAAATGAAGGGACCAAGTGACTTGCCTAAAGTGAGGTGATTGAAAGAGCACTGGACAGAAGAGCGGATACCCAGGCTGTGGACCGTAGTCCTGTGAGTTTGGACATGCCACCTCACCTCAGCACGATAGCTTTTCTCATGTATAAAATGAAGGGGTTACATCATATTTGATGATAATATACCATGATTTTGTGGGGCTATGGATTCTGTTAAGAGGGTTGAGAAGATTACTCCATACCTACCCACCATATTATGCATCTACTCCAGCCCAGTTCTTCAGCCTTAACATCAACAAGTCTCTTACCAAAGAATGGTGAGATGCAGCCTTCTATAGGCACAAAGAAATACTCCTTCTAAAATGAGATGTCTCATTGATTCTTTATGGAGTAGGTCAATAATACTTGTTAAGTTTAGAGAAATAGTCTTAGACCAAACTGAAGGGAAAAGTAGATAATCCTATTACCTAAATATATGATATAGAGAAACACTAATTTATGTTTTTCCTTGAACTGGTATATCTCTAAATTGTTCATTTTAATTGAGATGATGAGTAAAGTATGAGTTCATTCATCAGCCCTCTGAAATTAGCACTTAACTTTCTTTTAATATTTTTCAGCCTATGTTTCTCCTTGAACCGGAGAGTAATAAAGAAGCAATGTATATCAGACACTGTGCAGTCTCTTCAATAGAAAATGGACATAAGAAAGTAATTACAGATATACACTGGTTGTCTGACACATTTGAGGTGAGACTTGATGGCCTTATACTTTTCTCCTGCTGAATTACACATTTTCAGATTTTATGCAAAGAAGATGTTTCAAGTCAACAATTCATTTACACTTAAATTGTGAAATAACCAGGAACTAAGCATCAAAAAATGGGGTTACTGTTGCCAGACCAGTATCTGAGTTGGAGTAAGAATAAGGCCAATCTTTCAACTCAGTTGGCTTCTAACTAAAAAATGTGGGTGGTGTCAACACTGGTATAATACAATAGTGGAGAAGATGAGGGCTTGATGTGTAAAAATGAACTGCAAATATTTTACACCCTTAGCATGTATGAATTTAAGATTTATGATCTCAGATATCTGGGGGAAGGGAACCCTAAAGATCTGTGGCATACCATGTAATTTTGCTGGGCACAATCTGGAATTGAGTGTGCTGAGAGGCTGGTGGGTGAAAACTAGTTGTGCAGTCTGTGAGCCCAGCTGACTGCCCAGCTTCTGCACTGGTGTTTGTCTTTATGGTTGTACACTTACTTGACTATAACCTCACAAAGCATGGGATCTATAAATTTGGAAACTGGCAAGTTCCCCACATGTTTTCCTCAAGGGCATTAAAGATCTACTATGTACTTTGAATAATTAACAGGTGAAATATCAAGAATATTCTGAGAAAATCACAAGCATTCTATACACCAATAACAGACAGAGAGCCAAATCATGAGTGAACTCCCATTCACAATTGCTTCAAAGAGAATAAAATACCTAGGAATCCAACTTACAAGGGAAGTGAAGGACCTCTTCAAGGAGAACTACAAACCACTGCCCAATGAAATAAAAGAGGATACAAACAAATGGAAGAACATTCCATGCTCATGGATAGGAAGAATCAATATCGTGAAAATGGCCATACTGCCCAAGGTAATTTATAGATTCAATGCCATCCCCATCAGGCTACCAATGACTTTCTTCACAGAATTGGAAAAAACTAAAGTTCATATGGAACCAAAAAAGAGCCCGCATTGCCAAGTCAATCCTAAGCCAAAAGAACAAAGCCGGAGGCATCACGCTACCTGACTTCAAACTATACTACAAGGCTATAGTAACCAAAACAGCATGGTACTGGTGCCAAAACAGAGATATAGATCAATGGAACAGAACAGAGCCCTTAGAAATAATGCCGCATATCTACAACCATCTGATCTTTGACAAACCTGAGAAAAACAAGCAATGGGGAAAGGATTCCCTATTTAATAAATGGTGCTGGGAAAACTGGCTAGCCATATGTAGAAAGCTGAAACTGGATCCCTTCCTTACACCTTATACAAAAATTAATTCAAGATGGATTAAAGACTTGCATGTTAGACCTAAAACCATGAAAACCCTAGAAGAAAACCTAGGCAATACCACTCAGGACATAGGCATGGGCAAGGACTTCATGCCCAAAATACCAAAAGCAATGGCAACAAAAGCCAAAATTGACAAATGGGATCTAATTAAACTAAAGAGCTTCTGCAAAGCAAAAGAAACTACCATCAGAGTGAACAGGCAACCTACAAAATGGGAGAAAATTTTTGCAACCTACTCATCTGACAAAGGGCTACTATCCAGAATCTACAATGAACTCAAACAAATTTACAAGAAAAAAACAAACAACCCCATCAAAAAGTGGACGAAGGATATGAACAGACACTTCTCAAAAGAAGACATTTATGCAGCCAAAAAACACATGAGAAAATGCTCATCATCACGGGCCATCAGAAAAATGCAAATCAAAACCACAATGAGATACCATCTCACACCAGTTAGAATGGCGATCATTAAAAAGTCAGGAAACAACAGATGCTGGAGAGGATGTGGAGAAATAGGAACACTTTTACACTGTTGGTGGGACTGTAAACTAGTTCAACCATTGTGGAAGACAGTGTGGCGATTCCTCAAGGATCTAGAACTAGAAATACCATTTGACCCAGCCATCCCATTACTGGGTATATACCCAAAGGATTATAAATCATGCTGCTATAAAGACACATGCACACGTATGTTTATTGCGGCACTATTCACAATAGCAAAGACTTGGAACCAACTCAAATGTCCAACAATGATAGACTGGATTAAGAAAATGTGGCACATATACACCATGGAATACTATGCAGGCATAAAAAATGATGAGTTCATGTCCTTTGTAGGGACATGGATGAAACTGGAAACCATCGTTCTCAGCAAACTATGGCAAGGACAAAAAACCAAACACCGCATGTTCTCACCCATAGGTGGGAATTGAACAATGAGAACACATGGACACAGGAAGGGGAACATCACACTCTGGGGACTGTTGTGGGGTGGGGGGAGGAGGGGGGATAGCATTAGGAGATATACCTAATGCTAAATGACGAGTGAATGGGTGCAGCACACCAACATGGCACATGTATACATATGTAACAAACCTGCACATTGTGCACATGTACCCTAAAACTTAAAGTATAATAATAATAAAATTAAAAAAAAAGAAATAGCACTTGAACATAAAAAAAAGAATATTCTGAGAAATTAGAGTTGTAAGAGGTGATTATCATTATACCAGTTTTAAGAGGTATTCAAATGGATGATGCAAAGCAATGATACTTTTAAAAGTCATAATGAACCAAAATAAATAGCCCACGTATAGTTTCTGTGATATGTTAAAAGTTTACATATAATAATGGGAGTTGTAATACAAGTAAAGGAACTTCATATCACTTCCATTTCAACACACACCATGCATGCAATTTAACTGAGATGATTTTAAATTTAAATGAAAATAACAGGCTGGGCGCAGTGGCTCACACGCCTGTAATCCCAGCACTTTGGGAGGCCGAGGCGGGCAGATCACGAGGTCAGGAGATGGAGACCATCCTGGCTAACATGGTGAAAGCCCGTCTCTACTAAAATTACAAAAACAAAATTAGCCGGGCGTGGTGGCGGGCGCCTGTAGTCCCAGCTACTCCAGAGGCTGAGGCGGGAGAATGGTGTGAACCGGAGAGGCGGAGCTTGCAGTGAGCCGAGATCGCGCCACTGCACTCCAGCCTGGGCGACAGAGCGAGACTCCATCTCAAAAAAAAAAAAAAAAAAAAAAAAAGGAAAATAACAAATCATACAAAAATACAATAAAATCAAAATAGAGTATCAGACTCTGGAATGAAGATAGTTTTCAAAGATGATTAATGTTGAAAGAAATCAGAAAGGAATGATTGACAGATTCAAAATATACACATATAAATTTCTAAATTAAGAAATAATGAGAGGCCAGGCATGGTGGCTCATTCATACCTATAATTCCAACACTAGGAGGCTGAGGCAGGAGGATGACTTGGAGTTTAAGACCAGCCTGGGCAACATGGCGAAACCCCGTATCTATGTAAAAACAAACAAACAAAAAATTAAATAATGAGAGGGATAAAGAGAGGTTAATTAATGGGTACAAATATACAGTTAGATAGAAGAAATAAGACCCAGTGTTTGACAGATTAGTAGGGTGACTATAATTAACAATAATCTATTATATATTACAAAATAGCTAGAAGAGAATAATTTGACTGTTCCTAGTATAAAGAAAATAAATATTATTACTTAAGGTAATGGATAGCCCAAATACCCTGATTTCATCTTTAAACATTATATGAATGTATCAGTATATCACATATACCCCCCAAATATGTCCATCGGCTATGCATCAATAAAAAATAAAAAGTAAAGAAGAAATAACAAAATGGAGGAAAATATTTGTACCAAATATGGTAAATATAAAAATTTTTCATAAATAAGCAAAAGACATATAAAATAAAACAGTAAATCAACATGAAAATCATTCAGCCTTTCTAATATCAAAGAAATTAATAGTAAGGCAACAATAATGTGCCATTTTGGATTTATTTAATTTTTAAATGAAAAATGTGATTAATATGTTAAAAAGAATAAAGTGGTGAAACCAGAACACATTGCTGATTTCAACATAAAACTTTTGGAATGCAGTTAGTCAAGGTGGTTCTTAAGTCATCCAGATTTTCAAACTGTTTGACCAGTAATTCCAATTTTAGAGAATTCATACTAAGAAATGATCCAATTTGTATCTCTAGATACAAAATTATATGCATACCTTGAAAAATCATGTCACAGTGTTTCCATGAAAGAAGACTGGAAGAGAATATACGGGAGAATTATATATGATTCTAAAATATTCTGTTTTCCAAACTTCTATAATACTGTTATGTTTTTGGATTTTTAGTCATTAAAACATAAAACCTCAGAGCAAGCACATCTCTGGGGTCTCTGACTTCATTATAGCAGAAAAGCCTCAGTAGAGAGAGAGGTAACACCATGCAGGTTCTGGAATGAGTGGAAGTTGGTAGTTCAGGCCACAGAGATGTCCATCAGGTTTGTGATTGTTTGGCTTCTGGATGCCTGCAGACATGACCCAGGTGCCACCTATACCTTCCCCACCCCTGTTTTCACCTAACTTCATTTGCTGCTAGAAGCCCCACCTCTGTTTATTATTTTGCTCATCAGTTCTTTCAGGAGGTTAGAGAATTGAGGAAAGTCATGCGTTTCCCTCTCAGTTCCAGAGTGGCATCTTCACAGGTTGCCTCAAAGCCTGCTGCCTGCTTTGAGAGCTAGTGGGTTGGAATTTTGGACCTTCTAGGACCTGAGGAACCATAAACCCTCCTGTGAATCCTCTGTGTGCATGCAGACTTATGCCCGTGATTACAAAAAGGTCAGGTCTTACAACAGTCATGGCACACTTTTATTTGGCGTCTCATTTAACACTTAGCCTCTTTCCCATTGATCTTACCTGCTTAGCAACCTCATAAAAGCCTCTATGTTCGACTGCACAATTCAGTGAAAAACTGACAGAGCCTACATTTCTAATAATAATGGGTAATGAAATGGTGGTATATCATCCGTATATTATAAAAGGATTAAAATAATTTATGAGGCCGGGCGCATGGCTCATGCCTCTAATCCCAGCATTTTCAGAGGCCGAGGTGGGTGGATCACTTGAGGCCAGGGGTTCCAAACTAGCCTGGCCAACATAGCGAAACCCCGTCTCTACTAAAAATACAAAAATTGGCTGGGCATGGTGGCACATGCCTGTAATCCCAGCTACTCAGGAGGCTGACCCAGGAGAATCACTTGAACCTGGGAGGCTGAGGTTGCAGTGAGCTGAGATTGTGCCACTGTACTCCAACCTGGGGCACAGAATGAGATGCCTTCTCAAAATAATAATAATAATAATAATAATAATAATAATAATAATAATAATTTATGAATATATAGGTAAATGTTCAAATTATGTGGAGGGAAAAATCTCAGTATAAAAATGTATATGCATTCTAATTACTACTATGTAAAAATGTTTCTGTGACAAAAGACTAGACAAGAATATGTTGCAGAATTGTATTTAATTTTAAACCTTCTGTTTCACAAACTTCTGAGATAGTGGTATGTCCTTTTTTTTTTTTTTTTTTGGGCTGGAGTCTCGCTCTGTCGCCCAGGCTGGAGTGCGATGGCACCATCTCGGCTCACTGCATGCTCCACCTCCCGGGTTCACGCCGTTCTCCCGCCTCAGCCTCTGGACTAGCTGGGACTACAGGCGCCCACCACCACGCCCGGCTAATTTTTTGTATTTTTAGTAGAGACAGGCTTTCACCGTGTTAGCCAGAATGGTCTCTAGCTCCTGACCTCGTGATCCTCCCTGCCTCAGCCTATCAGAATGCTGGGATTACAGGCGTGAGCCACTGCCCCCGGCCGGTATGTTCTTTTATTAACATTTAAAACAAAGAAGAAAAGAATTTAAAAGGTAAATAGCTATGAGAAAAACAATTTTATTTCTCTTTCATTTTTGAAAAATAGATTAACAGAATGGGCTCCGTCTTTGAGAATCGAAGTGGAATATGCTGTCAACTTGTCACATGTTCAGCAGATTGGTAAGTCTTGTTTCAAACATTTCCTAATGTGTTTTCATACATGGTGTTTTTTCTTCGATGCTCCTAAAATCAGTGTCTTCTTCTCCTTAATATTTATGGTAGCAATTAAATCTAATATAACTAAATGAAAGAATGTTATGGATTGTTGCTAGCTTAAAAATTGTTTTATAGAGTTAAATGTTATGTAAAGAAGAATTAACTAAGCTTTGTGGTTGATAACGTTGTATAGCATTATCCATAGTTCTTCTTCACATTCTCATATTTGTAAATTTGTAATATATGTTATTTATATTCAGTTTTATCTAAGAATTTTGAAGATTACAACATTTAATTGGGAAAGCCTCTTTTTAAAAGTAGAAGAGTTTTTACATTTTTATTGTATATTTATAAAAAGTGTTTTTATAAACAACTCGGTAGCTACTTTGAAGAAGATTTACTTAAATAAAATTACATCTCCCAGTTTATAGAACTAAGAATTCGTAATGAAACAGGAAATATGAAGAGTAATATCATTATCTAGCATCCAAATGTTGGACAAACTTTCCCATTCCAAATCCTTTGACCCCAGTGGAAACAATGACACCATACGCCACAGAAAAAGGTGTGGAGTGGCAGAAGAAGGCACAAGTGATGTTAGTAGCAGCCATGGGCCAGGGATGAGGGAGACATGATTAATCCTGTGAGCATGTGTTGGGGAAGATTCTGTGACTACAGGCAATGAGAATTGACTGTGGCTAACTTAAGGGAAAGAAATAAGCTTATTGGAAATAAATGTATTGGATATTTATGCCAATACTCTACTGAGTGCTTTAATGGGTTAACTATTTTTATATTTGCAACAACCCTGAAAAATATTTACAGATAGAAAATATGAGGTGCGAGATTGCGCCATTGCACTCTAGCCTGGGCAACAAGAGTGAAACTCTGTCTCAAAAAAAAAAAAAGAAAAAGAAAAAGAAAGAAAGAAAAGAAAATATGAGGCTCTGAAGGCAAATTCATATTCCACCTATAGCTGACTAAATATAGAGTGAGTTATATGTAACACTACTGAATGTCCTATATTGTAGCTAGTAAGTAATGACATTCCTGAATCAAAGGAAGAGCTGACTTGGGCCTTGGAAACAGCCCCAGAGATTTGGGTAGCAGGAACAAATGGCCAGCCCCTTTTCTCTGAATGAATCAGTGCCAATCATTGTGTCCCGCTGCTCAAGATTCAAATTAACTGGAAGGGGTGTGCCTGGCTCCTACTGTATCATGAACCCATCCCTTTAGCCAGGAAAGAAATGACAGAGCACCTTGAGTGACGATCCCAACCTGACTGCATGTAATGGAGAACGGGGTGGTTCCCCAAAGAACCACTAGAATGCCCCGTCTCTACTAAAAATACAAAAAATTAGCTGGGCATGGTGGCACATGCCTGTAGTCCCAGCTACTCAGGAGACTGAGGCAGGAGAATCACTTGAACCCAGGAGGCGGAGGTTTCAGTGAGCCGAGATCATGCCACTGCACTCCAGCCTGGGTACTTCTTGTCTTGTTGGGTGCCTACTGTGTACAAAGCACATTATATCCAACTCTGTGTATGTTATTTTCACTATATCACTTTTAAGATTATGTAACTTTGATGAAACACCAAAAGTGCAAGCAATGAAAGAAAAAAATAGATAAATTGGACTTCATCAAAATTAAAACTTTTTGAGCTTCCAAAGTTACTACCAATAAAGTGCAAAGACAACCACAGAATAGGAAAAAATATTTACAAATCATATATCTGATAAAAGACTTGTATCCAGAATATATAAAAGAACTCTTACCATGCAACAATAAAAACCCAAATGACCCAATTAAAAAGTGAACAAAGGTTCTCAGTAGATATTTCCCCAAAGAAGATACACAAATGGTCAATAAGCACATAAAAAGATGCTCAATATCATTAGCTGTCAGGGGAAGGCAAATAATGAGACCTAGAATAGCCAAAACAATCTTGTCAAGGAAGAAAAAAGTTGGAGGACTCACACTTCCAAATTTCTAAACTGTCTACAAAGCTATAGTAATAGAGACAGATGTACTAGAACTAGCATAACAATAGATACATAGATCAATGAAATAGACCTGAGAGTCCAGAAATGAACCCATACATCTTTGGCCAACTGATTTTCAACAAGGATGCCAAGACAATTCAATGGATAAAGAATAATCTTTTCAACAAATGGTGCTGGGACAACTGGATATCCACGTGCAAAATATAACGTTGGATTCCTATCTCACCCTATATACAAACGTTTAAAATGGAATAATGACCTAAATGTAAGAGCTAAAACTAGAAAACTCTTAGAAGAAAACATAGTCACGTATCTTCATGACTTTGAATTGAGGGGTGATTTCTTAGACATTACAACAAAAGCACAAATGCAACCCAAAACTACTTTTGATGAAATACAACTTTATACCCACTACAATGGCTATAATCAAAAGACAAAAAGCAACAAGTGTTGGTGAACGTGCAGAGATTTGGATAAATTGTAGTGATTACACATTGCTGATAGAATGTAAAAATGGTGCAGTTGCTTTGGAAAACAATCTGGCAGTTCCTCAAAAGATTAAACACAGAGTTACCATTTAACCCAGCAATTCCAGTCCTAGATACACCCAAGAGAAATGCAAACATATACAAATGTTCACTGGCAGCATTTATAATAGTGAAAAAGCTGTGGTGGGGAGGTGCAGAATTCAAATTTATTTATCAAATGTACTGATGAGTGGATACATAAAATGTAGTATACCCACACAATGGAATATTCATCAGTAAGGAGTAACGAAGTCCTGATACGTGCCAGCCACAACACAAATGAGCCTTAAAAACATGCTAAGAGAAAAATGGCAGTTACAAAAGACCATATATGATTCATTTTATTAAATGTCCAGCATAGTAAAATCTATAGAGCTAAGAAGCAGATCAGTAGTTGTCTAGGGCTGGTGGGATGGCTTGGGAAAAACTGCTAATAGGAAGCAACTGCTAATCTGCATGAGGTTTTTTGGTGAGGTGGGAGAGTGTGATGAAAATCTTCTAAAATTGATTGTGGTGATGGCTTCCCAACTCTGTGACTATATTGAAAACCATTGAGTTATACACTTTAATTGGATGAATGTTGTAGTATATGATTTATATCTAAATAAAACTTACATTTTTAAAAGATTGCATCAAACTCAATTCTCATATGTTATTAGTCCCAAGATGAGGGAGGCTGTTAACTCAATAAACAGTTTAATTCTCTAAAATATAAAGTACAAAGCTGTCTTGTTTCATAAAAATCTTAGTTTCAGATACATTAAAATATAGCCATGGTCACAATGCTAATATGTAGCAGCATTAATGGTAGTCCTGAGGCTGCACCTCTTGTTTGTACTTAATAAAAAATATATATAAATTTTTTTTAGCACAATATGTTTTTGGGATATTAGACCACAGAAACCTTTAACCCCCCAAACAACAGAGAAAAAGAAGGAGGAAAGTATTGAAATTCCTTTTGATGTACCATCTACTTTTTTGCATCTGGATCTCTCCTGGAAACCTCTCACTAAGGTAAGTAATGTGGGGTTTTTAGTCCATCCTGCTTGCATAATACACTATTTACTTTGCATGCATAGACATACATATACACACACTCTCTAAAAGTAGAGCAGCTCAGATTAACACAAGACTGTACAATTTGTGTTTATTCAACCAATAAATTCCTTGATTGGGAGGATTTTTAGTTTTATTTTATTTTTAATTGATACATGTTATTGTATATATTTACACAGATTTACTTTGTGTAATCTGTGTAATACACACATACACTGTGTATGATTTACACAGATTTACTTTGGAAAGCTGACAATGAAGAAGTATATGGTTGCTGATGTAGCTGATGTTTGCAATATACAGAAAAAGGGAGCAGAAAAACATTTCAGTCATTCTAACTGTGCCAATAACAATGATAAGTTTCAGAGTTCCTGGGAGAGCTTCAAGCTCTCATTATTTTTTAATTATTATTTTTGGATTCAGGGGGTACATGTGCAGGTTTGTCCCATGGTTATATTGTATAATTTTGGGGTTTGGGCTTCTGCTGAACCCATCACCCAGGTAGTGAACATAGTACCCAATAGGTGGTTTTTCAACCTTTGCCTCCCTTCTTTCCTTCCCCCTTACAAGTTATTTTGATGCCTCTTTAGATCCAGGTAGAAATCAAAATCATCATGAATTCAAGATTGATATTTCATGTATAAACAAGCCACAATTTCCAAATGGTGTGTGTAATAATTATCCAATAGCATGTCAGTTGCCTGAAAATTGGTTGGTGCTCAAGTTAGTCCAGAAAAGCTAATTTTCCTCCCTACTGTAGCCAAAATTCTGCCTATCAAAATTTTGCCTATCAATAGAAGGAACTGGTATTGTTCCTTCTGTACGTTTTTTGGGATATTAGACCACGGAAAGCTTGATAATACCTATGACCAAACAGAACTGAAAATTAACTGAATGAGAAGTTGTTTGTATTTATCTCACATAGCAGAGCTTGAAGAAAAGCAGTTTTAATTTGAGAAAAATATGGCTATGGACAAGATATGTGTGGAAAATATAAATGGACTTCAAACTTGATGGCTCTCTTTCTTTAGAATGTCTAGTTTTAAGTTTAACTTAATACTTTTCTTCTGATTTATAAATATCACAAGAATTATATTATTTTGTATTTGCTCCCAATGGAAGAGAGAACATGGAGGAATAAGAATATTGCTGAGATAACTGGGAAATAATTGGAAAGAGAAGATTATAAATTTGGGGGACTGGGGGTAGGATCTACTGAGCTATGAATAGTTCAAACAAACAACCCCAAACTCATCTAAGAATAATTGCATAGCATGTGGACAAACATCCTGAAGGAGAAAGGGCTGAGGGAGCTGTGAGGGAAAACTGTGAAGTGTGACAGTTTCTCTTTCCAGCCACCAGGATGCAGTGCAGGCCCAGGGCCTTCTGGAACTCCAGTGCATGTGTTCCTGAGAGGACTTGGAGGTGGCCAAGCAGATGCAAGGTCCCTGCACAACTTTCTGGGGTCTCATTTAACTGAATGATTTAGGGAACAGGGTAACAAGTAATTATTTTATATTAAAACTCTTAAGGATGTATTATGGAATACAATACAAGGCATTTTTCAGAAAGAAAATGACACATGAGAATTTGGGATGTGGAAATGTGTCCTCAGACAAGCTCCTTTCTGTAGCTGGGTTTAGAAATGTGGTTTAGGTGCTTTCCATGGAGGAAAGAAACTAGAAATTTGAGGGAGGAAAGGGAAGGAAGAAAAAAAAGGAGGTGGGTTTCCTTCAATATGGGAGCAGAAGGGAAAGGCAAGAATAAATTACCCAAGGATAATTTCAGGATATGTGGAAATAATCTTTGCTATATGTTCTCCCAAAAGGTAAGGCTGTCCAAGGGTGAAACAAGTTTAGACCACTGTCCAACCAAGATAAGCCTGAATGAAGACCATCTTCTTTGCAAAACACAAGGTAACTGCCTTTGCTTATTTAAAAAAAAAAAAAAGGCCGGGCGCGGTGGCTCACGCCTGTAATCCCAGCACTTCGGGAGGCTGAGGCGGGCGGATCACGAGGTCAGCAGATCGAGATCATCCTGGCTAACACGGTGAAACCCCGTCTCTACTAAAACTACAAAAAATTAGCCGGGCTTAGTGGCGGGCGCCTGTAGTCCCAGCTATCCCGGAGGCTGAGGCAGGAGAATGGCGTGAACCCGGGAGGCAGAGCTTGCAGTGAGCCGAGATCGTGCCACTGTACTCCAGTCCGGGCAACAGAGCGAGACTCCATCTCAAATAAATAAATAAATAAATAAATAAATAAATACATTTACTAATTTGAGTGTTAGTAGCTGATTATGACTAACGTGAGTTACTCACTAGGATAGTCTAATTTGTAAAAAGAATACAGAAAATCAAACCCTCCAATGTGGAACTTTATAATGGCAATAATAGCTATTGCCAACGCATTAAAATTGCCTATACACAAAAAAGATTCAGTTCATTTCAGCTTCTCAAAATATTTATTGAGCACATTTATGTGTCTTCAAAAACTCATTACATTAAAATAAAATGAAGCCCACTTAATGAATGTTACATGCTCAAAGAATAATGCTATAGGATGGAACACATCTGAAGTCTAGTAAAATAAGTTATGAAGTATCAAGAAACAAATTACCATTCTCAATTAGAATATAATTTTTAAAAATAATATTTATATGGCACCAAGATAAAACTGAATAAAGAAAGAAAACTGACTTTTAAATCTATCTCAACTCAACCCACACATCTTTGCTGAAATAATTGAAGGGGGCACATATAAGCTGTCAAAACTATTAAGATAAAGGTATGCATGAATATCCCACCTGGAGAGCAATGCATAATGAAAATGTTCGAGAATAACTAGCAATTGAAATATTTCCCAAACATTCGCCTTATCAAAAGGATTTCCATTTATGAATTTTTCAATGTTAAATGATAGAATATCTAAGAAAAACACATACCTAATACCCAGCTTGAGCAAAATTTCACTTTGAAGCCATGTGTTTTATTGATATAACCCAAAACCTCATGCTAAAAAATACTGATTCACTAAACTTTTATAGACATTGTCAAAGCATTATTAAAACATTGCATGCTGTTTCTCTATTAGGGCCTGCTTCATTCTAGAGGGAATCTAACGGGAGTTTTCTCCTTCTCCACCTCTCCTCCTCTTCCTTCTTTTCCTCCTCTTTTGTATTTGATCATTGGTTATAATGTATCACATTCCAGCCATGGTTCAGGTACGGTGCTACTATTGCACATACTTTCATTCATTTAACAGATATTTGTAATTTGCTTACTTTGTGCTAGGCCCCAGGGGTACGATGGTGAGCAAAAACAGATGCTAATGATCACAACAATCTGCAAGCTGGGAATTTCCATTACCATTTTATAATTAAGAAAACCAAGGCTGAGAGAGGTTAATATAACTTGTAAAAAGGTAACTTTATTAAATGTCCTAGTATTATTTTTTAACCTAATGAAAACAGGTGGCCAGGAGGATGAGACTACCTTTATCCAGTTTATAGGAAGGATATCAGTATCTCTTTTAAAGTGTGAGGGGTTTTTATTCATTTTTAACAACCACACTGAGGTATAATTGACATACAATGAACTGCATATTGTCAAAGTGTTTAATTTGATATGCTTTGACATATGTACACACCCATGAAACCATCAACATAATCAAGATAATGAACATATTCACCACTCCCAAAAGTTTATTCATAGAGGAATTCCCTTTGGGACACTTCCCTCCAGCACCTCCCTCACTCCCAGGCCACAACGGATCTACTTTCTGTCACTATACATTAGTTTTCATTATCTAGAATTTTATGTAAATCATACAGTATATACTCTTTTTTTTTTTAAGAGATGGGGGCTCACTCTGTCACCCAGGCTGGCATGGAGGGGCATGATCATAGTTCACTGCAGCGTCTAACTCCTGGGCTCAAGCAATCCTCCTGTCTTAGCCTCCTGAGTAGCCAGGACTACAAGCATGCGCCACCACATGCAGCAATCTGGCTTCTTTTAATCAGCATGATTATTTTAGAATTAATTCATGTTGTCTGAATGAATCCTTTTTATTACAGAGTGGCATTTCATTGTATGGATACACAACAGTGGTTTATCCATTCACCTGTTGATAAACATTTGGATTTTTAGCGTAGACCTATTACAAATAAAGCTTTTATGAACATTCATGTACAAGTCTTTGTATAGACATATGCCTTCATATTTTCCTGGGTACATCCCTAGGAATAGAATGGTTGTATTATATGGCAGGTGTATGTTTTACTTTTTCAGAAACTGCCAAAGCATTTTCCAGTTTTACCAGTTTACATTCCCACTAGCAGTGTATGGAGAGTTCCATTTTCTCCACATCCTTGCCAACAGTTGATATGGTTAATCCTTTTAATTTAACCATTCTAAAATATACAGTCGGATCTCATTTACACTTACCTAATGACTTAAGTTGTCAAGCAAATTTTCGCATGTTTTTTGCCACCTGTATATCTTCCCTGGTTAAGTGTCTGTTCAAATCTTTTGCCCATTTATCAGTTGGGTTGTTTGTTTTATTTTTATTTTTGAGACAGAGTCTCGCTCTGCTGGCCAGACTGGAGTGCAGTAGCATGGTCTCGGCACACTGCAACCTCTGCCTCTGGGTTCAAGTGATTCTCATGCCTCAGCCAACCGAGTACCTGGGATTATAGGCATGTGCCACCAAGCCCAGCTAATTTTCATATTTTTAGTAGAGACAGGGTTTTGCCATGTTGGCCAGGCTGGTCTCGAACTCCTGTCCTCAAGCAATCTGCCCAAATCGGCCTCCCAAAGTTCCAGGATTATGGATGTGAGCCACCACATCTGGCCTGTTTGTTTTCTTATTATTGAATTCTGAGAGTTCTTAATATATCTTATATACTAGTTCTTTCTCAGGACTAGTGATATGTGATTTTTAAATATTTTCTCCTAGTCTGTGATTTGTTGTCTCATCTCTTAGCAGTCTTTTGAAAATCAGAAGTTTTTAATTTTGAGGAAGTCCAGCTTATCAATTTATTCTTTTGTGGATCATGGTTTTGGTGTTGAATTTAAGAAATGTTTGCCTAGCCCACAGTTGCCAATGTTTTTTCCTAATTTTTCTAGTTTTATGGTTTTACATTTAGGGCTATGATTTCTTTTGAGTTAATTTTTGTAATTGGTATATGTTATGGATCAAAGTTCATTTTTTTGTGTATGGTATTCCCACACCATTTGTTGAATACACCATCCTCTTTCTACTGAACTGCTTTGCACCTTTGTCAAAAAACACTTGTCCATATATATGTGAGTCTATTTCTAAACTCTATTCTGTTCCATTGACCTATCTTTAGAGCAATACGACACTGTTTTGATTATGCTAGCTTTATAATTAGTCTTGAAATTAGATAGTGTTAGTTTTCCAACCTTTTTTTTTTCAAAGTAGTTTTTGACTGTTGTAAGTTTTTTGCTTTTCCATGTGAATTTTAGGAACAGCTTGTTATGCATAAAAAGCTAGCTGTGATTTTGACTGAGATTGTATTGAATCTGTAGGTCAGTATTATGAGAATTAGCGTCTAACAAAATGAGTCTTCTAACCCATAAACACAGTATATCTGTTCGTTTATTTAGGTCGTTAATTTCTCAGATATGTTTTGTATTTTACAGTGTACAGGTCTTTCACCTCTTTTGACAGGTTTATTTCTATATTCTTCATATTTTTTGGTGCTCTTGTTAACGGTACTTAAATTTTTTTAATTTCCAATTGTTCACTGCCAGTGTATAAAAATACAATTTGTATCTTTTTTTTTTTTTTTTGAGAAGGAGTCTTGCTCTGTCGCCCAGGCTAGAGTGCAGTGGTATGACCTTGGCTCACTGCACCTCCATCTCCTGAGTTCAGGTGATTCTCCTGCCTCAGCCTCCCGAGTAGCTGGGACCACAGGCATGTACCACCACACCAGGCTAATTTTTGTATTTTTAGTAGAGATGGGGTTTCACCATGTTGGCCAGGCTGGTCTCGAACTCTTGACCTCAGGTAATCCACCTGCCTTGGCCTCCCAAAGTGCTGGGATTACAGGTATGAGCCACCACGCCTGGCCTACAATTTATCTTTGAATATTAATTTTGTATCCTGAAATCTTGCTAAAATCTCTTACTAGTTATAGTGGCTTCTTTTAGACATACTGAGTTTTCTATATAGATAATAATGTCATTTGCAAATAGAGACAGTTTTACTTCTTTTCCAATCTGGATGATTATTTTTTTCTTACCTGATTGCACTGTGTAGAGCCTCCAGAATGTTAAATGAAGTGTGAGAGTGGACATCCCTGTTTTGTTCCTGATCTTTGGAGGAAGGTCACTCTATGGCCATGATCTGCCTCCTGTGTGAATGGCCAGCTTTCAAGACTTTGAGATCAACTATGGTATTTCAGATTTCCTTTGGTCACACTGCCGACTATCCGCCCATTCTGACCAGACTTGGCCCTGTTAACTAGAATATACTCATAAGGTTCTTGATCACATTTTGATTCTTGATCCTGTACTGGTTTCTCCTTTGACTGTATCACAAGTCCTCGCTATCCCACCATTTTCTCTTGAGGCCTGTTGAGACTTAGTGTCAGTGTCTGGTACTCTGTCACTATCTAATGGCCAGGGACCACCCACCCTTTGTCTGCCATTTTAGGTCCATGACAACCCATGCTCTTCTAAGTGGTCACTTTAAGAAATTCTGTATTTATTCTGATAAGGAAACCCTTGCTCTAAATGCTTTTGGAATTCCTCTGTTGGAATAGCCTTTAGAGCCTGACATATATTCTTCTAAGCAATGTGGCATAGCAGCTATGACGGTAGATTCTGGAGTTGATGGTCTGGGTTTAAATCCCAAAGCCACAATGTATTATTTGACCAAGTTAAATTACTTTACCTCTCTGTACCTTAGTTGTTTTTTTGCTTTTAAATCCATTTGAAAATAGAGTGAGGAAGATGAGGGGAGTAAATAATAAAGAGAACTACCTCATAGGGTGTTGTGAAGATGAAATGAGTTATACACGAAGCTCTCAGAATAGCACATAGTCAACACACAGCAAATGTTAACTACCATGTGTGAGACCTTGCATAAATTACTTAATCTCTCTAAGCCTCAGTTTACTCATCCTTGGAGGAGGATGAATGCATAACCACCTGGAAGTTCTTGTGAGGACTGAATGAAATGGTTCCTATAAAGCACACACTTTAGTGCCTGGCATGTAGTAAGCATTCAATAAATGTCAGATGCTGTTATTATTACTATCTCAAAGGATGGGAAATCCATGACCTATGAGGATGATTTTGAATCTAAGTATCCAAAGTTATTCCCGTCAACTCTGAATAAACATAGTTAATAACGTTTTTCCCTAGCCTCACCTTCTTTGACTCTATCATAGCCTTCCCCAACCTTTTTTGCACCAGGGACCAGTTTTGTGGAAGATAATTTCTCCACTGGGTGGCAGGGGGAGGTGGGGGCAGGGGGGCAGGCATTAGATTCCCATAAGGAGCGTGCAACCTAGATCCCTTGAATGTCCAGTTCACAATAGTGTTCACGCTTCTGTGAGAATGTAATGCTGCTGCTGTCTGACAGGACATACTGCTCAGGCAGTAATGCTCTTTCGCCCACCTGCTGCTTGTCTCCTGCTGTGCTGACCAGTTCCTACCAGGCCACGAACCAGTATCTGTGGCCCAGGGGCTGCAGACCCCTGCTCTACCACATTAAATGCTATTAACTCAGCCTATTTTCTTGGAGCGCACACTTCTCTTAGCATCTGTGATTTTCCTATCCTGCTACTTCTTCCGTTATTCCTCCTCTATCTCCTTTCCTGGCTCCATTTCACCTTGCTGCCATCTACTCATGAATGTACCTTGAACTTTAGCTTCAGCTGTGTACTTTCCTCATTGGTAACACAGTCTACCTGCATGGCTCTAACTTTTATCTCTGCTGAGAATTCTCCATCTGACTCTTGCTGTCTCCTGGGTTTAAACCCAATCTACCCTATCCAAGTCAATGTGTCCAGAACAGGATTGATAACTTGAGTCATTCCTGATTCTCTCTTCAGGCCTCCACTTCCAGTCTCTCACTCAAGTTAATCATGTTTTCCTTTACATTTATCGCACCTTTGCCTCTTCCTTTTCATTATCAGTTGTAACCCTATAGATCAGGGTCTTGTCTCCCCTTGTGAGACCAGAAGTCTCCACACTTTTAATCTTATAGCCCCTTGTTTAACATTTCTGAGTTCAGATTCTCAATGTATGTATATGTATTTACAAATTATATACATATTCTACTTCTCTAATATATTTGTGTACATGATTTAAAAAGAGAGGAACAGACATTGAAATGTGAGTGAAGAATTTGAAATAAATATTTTAATGATTTTAATTGTATACATTAAATGGGTACAAAATGCCTTTTTGCTCTTCCTACATGTATTATAAATAATATCTTTTAATGAGAATAATGTGATTGAATATGCCCAGTCATGTTTGAAATGTTGGTTTACACTTTGTAATACAGCTATTTAAAGATCTAGTTCGATGTTTGGTTCATTTTGATACTCGTTTTTGATGTCTTACTTAGTGGGAAAAGATACGTCTCAAAACATGTAGATCCAAAACAAAGAGAGTATTGGTTGACTATACCAACTAAATCATGATAATCATTTTTAAGTTTTGTCCAGAATTATGCTAAAGTTTTTTTTAAATGTAATATGTCTTTTTAGTATAGCTGAAGTTTTATTCTCCTGTTTTAGTTTTCACTTGTCTGTTTGTTGGTTGGTTTTATGGCTTTTTGTTTCCTCTTGGGTAATATGACTCAGAGGACATATTGAGGAAGTGTGGTAGAGGAGGGTTTTATGAGCATATATTTCTCTACCATCTTTCCCAGGAATTGAATATCATATTTTCAAAAATCTAGTAAGTTACCTGGAAAAATGTTTAGGACATAGCTTTAAGAGAATAGAAAAGCAGCATATAAAACTAAAATAGGATATTATCCAGTTTTTTAAAAAAAAGTGAATTTACAAGAAAAGTCACAATATTTTAATATTATCTCTGGGAGACATGATAATGGATGATTTTCGTTCTTTTACTCATGCTTTTCTTTATTCTCCAAGGCTTAAATAAATAACATTTATTAATTTTAGATTACAAAAAGACTTTTAAAACAAGGTGACATCAAATACTTTTAAAAAGAAACAGGTTGCCGATGATGTTTGTGTTTCAGCCCCCGAATTACCTATGCTCTTACACTATGTGCAGGTATAGCTAGAGCTATAATATAGCACAGTCATTGATGTTTGGTTTGGAACAAAAGAGGGTTCTTTTGCTAAATTAGAAATCTAAAAATGCTTGGACTTATGCTCACTACATTGGGAAGGGAATGGGGCAAATGCAGGTGGCAAGGGGCAGAAAATGTAAACTGTCTATATTTTAAAAGATGTTTCCCTGTAAATATGTACTTCTTCTACCCACACTCCTCTGAAAGACAAAATGTTAGCACAGAGCAAAACAGAGAAGGCAGAAGAAATGAACCCGTATCATAATCTGGAAAGTGGGATGGCCAATCTTCTCAAGCCAATAGATGACTTCTGCACAAAGTTCTTTGTGGGAACAGAGGTAAATTGGGATTATCTGCTTTTAAAATTAATACTTATTTATACTAAAATATGTTATTACAATATCTACTGTACATTTTTGCTGTGTAAAGACATAAAAGTTATACCATTTTCATATTTTAGTATGCTTGTTTGCATTAAACATTTTTAACTCTGATACCTCATAGTTTCACCTTTAAAATGTTCCTGAACGTATGTGGACAAATCTGTAAAATTGCATACTTTTTAACTAATAATATATTGTTCAATCTACAAATATTCATCAAATACCTTTATCATTTGGAAGAAACCATACTAAGTGTTAGAGATTTACTAAGAAACTATAGTGTTTTGTTGGGCTAACACAATCTAGTAGAAGAGACAGAAAAAACTCACTCATTTCAAAAGATAAATAACAATTGGATATAATAATGATAATGGCTGCCATTTTCTAAGGACATACTGTAATAATAACCAAAGCGAGTTCACATTTACTGGACATTTTCTATGTATCAGTGTCTGTGCCAAGTTATTTTCCAAATTATATCCCATTTAATCCCAGTAATCCTGTAAGGTTGGTATTATTATTGCCATTTTATAAATGAAGAAATGAGGCTCAGAACTTTATCTACAGTCATACAGAGGCAGAGATGCTCTTTTCACTCATGACTCTCATTCCCTGAAATACAGAGTATTTTTCCCAGGCCAAGTCACCATGAGAAGAGGCCATAGCTCAGTCTCACCAGAATGCAATCTTCATCCACACTTTGGTATGAAGAGGAAAGCAATCAATTCCACAAGCTCTGGAGAACATGACTGTGTCTCAGGCACAGCACTGGGTGCTGGGATCAGAAGTGAATAGCATGGTCCCTCTCTCCTCAAGGCACTTTCTGCCTAGTCGAGGAGCAGACACATGATAAACACCAACACCAGTCCAGAGGCCATTCCGATAGGAAGAAGGAGGTTGGGGAAGGTGACCCACAGGCTGCTTGGATGTTGGAGGTTGAGAAGGAATCTCAAAGGTCAGGTTGAGAGTAGAATTCCAAGCAGAAGTAACAGCCTGAACAATATTTGGAGTTATGAAAGCCCAGTATTTGTCTGGAGTTAGTGAAATAGTTTGGTGTAAGAGGGAAAGGTATGTCTAGAATGCCTGGTTGGAATCCAATACTGAAGAGCCTTTCCTGCTGTGTTAGGTAATTTGAGTTTCATTTAGTAAGCAATGCAACACTACCAAATAAATATGTGCTTTATAACTTGGGTTTCACAGCAAAGTTTAAAAAATTTTTTTAATTGTGGTAAAATATATGTAACATAAAATTAATCATCTTAGCCATTTTTAAATGTACAATTCAGTGGTATTAAGAAACTCCTTTCCCAAAGGAGTTCAATAATCTGTTGGAAAAGTACATTCATATTGTACAACCATCACCACCATCCATGTCCAGAACTTTTCCTCATCCCAAACTGGGCGTCTGTACGCACTAAACACTAACTCCCTCTTCCTTTCTTTCCCTACCCACTTGTAACCACCATCTACTTTCTGTATCTACGAATGTGACTATTCTAGATACCTCACGTAAGTGGAATTATACAATATTTGTCCTTTTGTGCACCAAAGTTTATAAAGCAGGGGAATGACACCATCAGACCAGATTTAGAAAAATCAGTGACTGCAAGATCTTAAAGCAGAAATTAAAGCATGACACCCCCTGCTCAAACTCTTCAGTGACAACTCAGTACAACATGAATAAAATCCAGACTCTTCACACCATGGCCTATAAGATTCGTCCCCTGCCTATCTCTCTGCCTTATCTGCACCAACCTCCCTCTCACTCTGGCAGCTCTGTTTTTTCCTTTTTTCTTTTTTCTTTTTTTTTTGAGATGGAATCTCATTCTGTCACCCAGGCTGGAGTGTAGTGGCACGATCTCGGCTTATTGCAACCTCCACCTCCCAGGTTCAAGCAATTCCCCTGCCTCAGCCTCCTGAGTAGCTGGAATTACAGGCGTGTGCCACCATGCCCAGCTAATTTTTTTGTATTTTTAGTAAAGACAGTGTTTCACCATGTTAGCCAGGCTGGTCTTGAACTCCTGACCTCAGGTGATCCGCTCGCCTTGGACTCCCAAAGTGCTGGGATTACAGGCGTGAGCCACTGTGCCCGGCCTTTTTTCTCATCCTCCTAATACAAACTCTTGCCTGCCTTTGGAGGCCTTGCCCTACTTGGAATTTCTTTACTCATCCCTCAACAGATACTCACTGCACATTTAATATATGCCAGGCATTGCTCTTGGCCCTGTAGATATAGCACTGAACAAACAGACAAAATTCCCTGGCCTCATGGTGTTGGCAGTCCATTGGAAGGTTCTACCAACTTGTGACACAGCTGATCCATCTACTTTGGATAGAGATGTTCAGGGAGGCATCACTGGGATCTCGACTGGCTGGCGTGGGCTGAGGGAAGGGAGTGGAACCCTGGAGGGAGAGAAGACAGGCAGGCGGTGATTTCAGGTGGGCCAGCCCAGAAATGAAAAGGGCCTGAGCAGTGGGGCCAAGAATGTCAACACAGGGGTCAGAGAAGTGGAGTTGGGTAACAGAATTACAGAAGTGGCTAGAGAAGGGTATAGAGGTTTCCAGCTAGGTGACTGATGATACGATGAGCCTTCAACACACATTTATTAGATTGGTTCCAACTAGTCCTCGTTGACTTGGTTCAATTTCATTGTTTCATGTACTGGCTATGAGACCCAGGAGATATTAATAACTCTCTTACAGGACTTTGGTGAGGGCTAAGGGTCACATCCATAAAACTCCTAAGAACGCTGGCAAGGACTGAGTGCTCAAGAAGTGGTATCCGTGAGGGTGATGTGCAACATGGCCATAGATTAGCAAAACATGTACCCATCTGTCTGCTTCCTTAGACTGTGAGGATCGTGAGTAGAGAGAGGGCTTGTCCTTGGATTTGGAATTTCCAGCACCAAATACAGTCCTTGTTTGTTAAATGAATTAACACAGATGAATAAAAGCTCAGGTGGGTGAATGAGTGACCTTGTCCCCAGTGAGTTTATCCTTCCCTTTGCATAAATCAAATGTGCTCTTATCTCCCCTTCCTGGCTACAGATCCCAATCCATCCCCATTTTATACAAACTCCTGTGTTTTTCTCTTCTCATCCAGTGAAGAAACAATGGAATTAGGAGATCGCATGGGGTGATCTAGAGCAAGTCATTTAACCTCTCTCAGTTTTCTCATCCATCCAATGACAGCGAGGGACTAATTATTTTCTGTAAACTTCTCCCACCTCTGTAATTCATCGGTTCTCTCTGTCTTTCCCCTTTGCATGACTGTTTCTTCCTCTTCTTACATCAGGTCCATTTGCCTTCCCCTCTCCTTAAAACGGCCATAAGACAGAATAAGAATACATATCGCTTGCTATTTTATTTAGATTGAACTTTATGTTTCCTGTTCTCAACCTGAAAAGTAGTAATTACTACCATGTATGCATTCATAGTCCCTCATTCTTGCTTATTCCACAAATATTTATTAACAATTGACTTTCTAATGGGCTGAAAAGTAATCACTGAATAAGATGGCCTGATCCCTCCCTTTACGGATCAACAACAAAAACTTTGGATGCCCAGCGGTTGGGACTATTGTCCCAGATGGAGTATCTGCAGAACTATCATGTTCTCCACATCATTATATGTGGATAAAAACACAACAAACTCATTGTTTCTTCAATATAAAATTGAGTACTCATTTTGAGGCTTTCCCTCTCCCCCACTGGATCAAATTACTTGATTAAATTGACTTGTTGTTTTGCATTTGTTTTGCTTAACAGTCAATCTTAGCACATGAGTGTGAAGTCTTTTGTCTCTTAAGTTGTCATTGTACTCATCAGGAACCTGTAATATTTTTAGGAAGGCGAAGTGATATACACAGATTGGAAAATGGAAAAAGACCCTGAAACTGGCCGACTTATGTGTAAGTTTTGTGATTGCCCTGTTATTAATAAGATGTTCCTTTTAATTTAAACTACCCAAAGGAATCTCATGCAGTACAGAGTCACCCTGGTCTTGCTAATGGGAGGGAAGGCTCCTAAGGTACTGACTAATAAAGTGAAGGCCTTGAATAAGCAGCATAGTCATCACCTGGGAACTTGCTGAAAATACACATAAAAATCTTAGATCCTACGCCAGGCCTTCTGAATTGGAATCTGGATTTTAATAACATTTTCCAGGGTATTTGTTTTCACACCAAAATTTGAGGAGCACTGACCTATATGTTGCTTAAATGACGGAGAAACTTGAGTGATTTAATTTAAAAATAAAATACTGTTTCAATAATTCAATAACCTGGTAGTTCATCTATGTGGAAAATCTGAGTCAATGTGAGATTATAAGCAAAATGTAAGATAATCTAGAAGACCCCAGCAGAGTATGGGAAAAGGGACTGCAGGACCCTCCTTTGGGGCTAGGACAGGTCGTGTCTTTATGTCTGCTGCTCCCAGGACCTGGGCCTCTGGAAAGCTGAGCAGAAGCATGTGGGTCACATCCAGGCGGGAGAAGGAACTGCAGTCAGGAATACAGGCACCCCAATAAGCAAAGCTCCCTATCTCTAGCAGGCTCAGAGCCTTGGGGTTCACTACAATTATAACTGCTCATTTTAAACCTTTGAATTTTGTCATAGTGTGAAAATATATTTTAATGCATTTCACAGTTTGGGATAACCATAAGCAAACGAAGAGGCAGCTCCTGGGACTGCTAGGCCCACAAAGGCTTGCAAGAAGTCTTCAGAACACCATGAGGGAGCAGTGTGGTAGAGCAGCTGGATTCTTTGCAGAAGGGTATCTAGTCAATCATGCGAGTGGAAGTGTGAGTGACTGACAGGGGAGCAGGGCCCTCTAAGAACATAGCAATTAATATGATAAAATTCAGAAAACATTAGTATAAAGTGGCTGGACATTGTGGTGTGGCCTTGACAGCCATATGTTTTTGTGGTCATGCCTGGGGCATAGGGTTGTGGGCAACAAGAAATTAGGAGGATTCAGTTCTGCAGCCAACTCTCAGGGAGAGGAAACCCAAGCAGAATCCTCCTGTTACCTGAGTAAAGAGACCAGAGAAGCAGGAAGACCCTGGGACCTGGGGCAGAGGCTAAAGTGAACTCTTGATCTTAGCATTAGAACCTGTAAGGCTTCCCACTGGCAACAAATGGAAGGACTGTGGCTCTTGTCAGAAACCTGGCTGTCATTCTCAGCATTTCATCTCTGTCTTCCTATTCAAGTTGTCTCCAAGTCCTGTCAATTCTAGCTCACAAATATTTCTTGATTATCCCTTCTTCTCCCTTGCATCTTAGACCACGCCACCATCCTCTCTCACCAGAACTGCCACTGCAGCCTCCTCTGCTTTTACCTTCCCCTAATCCATTCTCCCCACAACAGCCAGAGACTCTTTCAGAAATGTCAATCAAATTGTCTCACTTGGAGACCTAAAGGACTCATTACAACACACAACACTTAGAGTGTAATCTGAACTCCTTTCTTACAAGGCCCAGCATGGCCTAGACCCTCCTAGTCCCCATTTGTTTCATGTCTCACTCTAAAATGACCAGATTGCTGTCGGGGGTGCCTTCCTCAAGTGTGTAAAAGCACTAAACACTTCTCTCCTTAGGACTTTGGTGTGTGTTGTTTCCACTGTCTGGAATGTTCCTTCACACCAAAATCTTCCCATGTTGAGCTGCTATTCAGGCCTACATGATGCATCTCCACAGAAGCCTTTCCTGACCCTTCAGTCTAAATTACAAATCCTCTTGTTATTCTTACTTGTAATATTTTTTCCTTCACAACACTTTTCACAATTTTTACATTGTATACTTTGGGATGTGTTTATTGAAATTCTATCTTTCCCACTGGACTGTAAGCTCCTTGGGGGCAAAATCATGTTTATTTACTAACCATTGTCTACCCAGCCAGCTACAGTACCTGCTATTACATATTGGCAATCTATAAATATTTATTGACTAATTGAGTGAATTAATGAATGAGTAAATGAATAACACAAAGTATTCATTTAAGCTTGAAAAATGGCCTTGATGGGATGTTCCCTGGACATTCCATAATAACAGAAGGAGCCATCCCTTGACAGATCTATTCATCCCAGCTAGCCTCTGGTTCTCCACTCCCCGACCCCATTCATGGGGCCCTGTCTGTCCATTGGAGGTCTGTCCATTCCTCACTGCAGGAATGCAAACAGTGTTATTAAAGATGAGATGGTCTTCTTTCACTCCAATAGCAAAGAAGCCAGTGAGCCACCACACCATTCACGACGGAACTGTCCACACTATTCAGAGATCACCTTTCTACAACGACATTATTCTCACGGTTGGAGGTTGGAACGTGGCCATATGGAAAGAAGGTGTTATGGTAAGTTGCCTGCAAAATGGAAGCATGAGTGTGTGATCTTTTGTTATTCAGAAAGACAAGAGGAACTGTTATGTTCTGACATAATAGTGCCTTTGGGACACTTTTTAGAGAAATTAGAACAGATGGCAGGGACACCAGCTTGTCAGCAGAACCACTGTAATCCTTTTGAAAACACATTCATTTGTTTTTCCTTCCTGAGGGGAGAAAACAGTTTACAAGTTCCTTGTTCTCTGAAACTTAACAGTCTTGGAATATCTACTGTGGGCAGTTGACTTCACTGGCATTTTTTGGGGGTGGGGGCCAAGGTCTCACTGTGTGGTCCAGGCTGGAATGCAGTGGCGTGATCTCTGCTCACTGCAGCCTCGACTTCCCAGGCTCAGTTGATTCTCCCATCTCAGCCTCCTGAGTAGCTGGGACGACAGGTGTACGCCACCAAGCCCAGCTTTTTTGTGTGTGTTTTTTGTAGAAATGGGGATTTCACCATGTTGCCCAGGCTGGTCTCAAACTTCTGGGCTCAAGTGATTCACCTGCCTCGGCCTCCCGAAGTGCTGGGATTACAGGTGTGACACCACACCTGAACTTGACTTGCATTTTTCCTCCCTTGGAAATACAAGATGGGATGCCTAATTCTGATTGAAGTGCAAGGAGAAACACTGGGTTTGTCATCTTTCCCTCTGCACCAGGAATATCTTGGCAGGTGCAGAAAGTGGGAGTGAATAAGCTGAGGGTATGTCAGCAGGCAGACCCTTGCCTGTCCAGGGACATACAGTAGTTAAAGGGAGGCAGCAAGAGTGTGGTCAGGATTAGGAGAGGGGCTGGATCTAGGCAGATAGGAGCTAAACTGCCAAAAACTAGAATGATTGATAAAATCCAGTGAAGCAAGGGTGTGGGGGAATCAGTACTTTTGGTGGGATTGTAAGTTGACATGTCTCTTTGATGAGCAATTTGAGATTATCAAAGCCTGAAACTATATATATATGTGTATATGCATATAATATATATGTATATATGCATATGTGTATACCAACTTTGAAATACATGTGTGTATGTACATAGGCATATAATGTGGATATATATACACACACATATATATATTTCAAAGTTGGTATACATATATACATATATAAATGTATATATATTTAACCTAACAGTTCCACTTCTGAAACTCTAACATATACAAATACTCAAAAACTGTATATTTATCATTGAAAATAATTTAGAAACTACTTAAATGGTCATCAACAAAGAACTCTGCTTTATGCCAATGTACTTCTGTATGTTTGATTTTTTTTTTTTTTACAATTAGCAAGTTTTGTAGTTAAAGAAAAAGAAAAAGGAAATTCAGGCATGATTGTCCAAAGACTATGCCAGGGTCAGGAATTTGGTTATAGAAACTCAAGGTGCTGGGAGAAGTAGACAAGGAGAACAAGTTTGAAATGTCACCTCCACAGAGTCCATGAATCTGCGACATGCTTTCTTCACAGGAAAATCTCTTATGCATATATTGGAGGGTGGGAGACAGCTCCATGATTTAGTTTAGTCCCTGCAGATGTAAGTAGGCGAAGGAGCACCCCTGGTCAGTAGATGAAGCCTGAAGTGGGTAGAAAGCACATTCTATTCTTACTTTTGAAAACCTCCCAAAGAAGGCAGACTACCCCATGGTAGAGAAAAGAGAAGATGATTGCATGATGCTTTGATGGTCTAAAATCTCTTCCTAGTGTATTTATAGGTGATCAACTGCTTCCAGCTGAAGTCACTTTATATGAGAATTTGCCAATTCTGATGTTGATTTTCAACATGCAGTACACAGCTGGAACTGGCAGACTTTTCATTTGTTTTACTCTCTACTGTTTACTGAGCTGTTTCCATGGGAAGCAGATATCTGATAGCAAAATAAAGGCATAAGCAGAATGTCCTTATAATCTTTACTTGTCTAATGTCCACCAATTTCCACAGAAATAGTCGTAAGGTTAGAAGCAGTAGTGGGTTTAGAAGTTGGATTATTAGAAACTTCAACAACTTAATTGGAATGTTTAATATTTTCTGAAAAGCAACTAAAAATGGCTTATGAAAACAAGAAAGAAAAGCTGGTGTTATATAAAAACCCTACAACAAAGAGAAGTAAGACTTCCTGTGGGCATAATTTTGTTGTTATATGATCATAGCTAGCTTGAGTTGTACTTAATGAACAGCATGGTGAATTTCCCTCAGATAATAACAAAATCTTCTTTATTTGTCTTTTTAAAAATTTGTTTAAAGACTGGACCGCTCCTTCAGTCATGCTGTGCACCAAAAAGGTACACCTCAGGCCACTGGTCCCTGACTCGGCCCGGAGTTTTCTACATCGGCCGAGAAGATGGATACATTGATATCTGGGACCTTCTGGAGAAAACCCATGAACCAGCCCAGTCTCAAAACATTTGCATAACTATGATCACCTACATCAAACCCTGGATCTTTTCTTGTATGTTAATTCTAACTAAATAAGCTAAGTCATTTTGGGTAACTCGGGAACATCTTGACATTCATCTGAAAAGCCTCCAATGTTTATTTCTTAGTTTTTTGTTTTTCTTCCTGCTCATCCCTTCTTATCCCTTCCCTTCTCTTCCTTTCCTTTTCATTCTTCTCTCTTCCCTTTCCTTCCCATCTTTCCTCTTCCTTTTCCTTCTCTCTTGGTCTCAAACTTTGGACACAACCTGAGCTCTTCTCACTGTTGCCTCATCAAGAATGATTTCTGAGACACGTGTCAGGCAGAGGCTGGTTTTGAACTGCACGATGGGAACATCCTTCTCTTCTCCGGGTCAGACAGGATGACCCGGATCTTTGTTATCTTTTGCTGATTTTTTTTCCCAGATAGAATAAATTTTGTTTCTTTAATTTTCATTACAAATCATATTTTTAAATATTATATCACTTTTGTGGTTCTCCCCTGGCTAATATCAAGCAATTCTCTTCATAAGATAAAATGATTATCTGGAGTTATATATGTATTTAAGCTTTAACCTTTGAACCAACTATGAGGAAAAACTACTATATAACAAAACAAGCATAAATTCAATGATGTGTCTATAGAAACATGATGTATGTCCTTTGTCTCCATTTTTTTTCTGTTTCGCCCAAGTAGTAATTTCTATGTAAATCCAGTATGTTTGCCTTTTTTTATTTTATTTTTTTGCAGTGACGTCTTGCTCTGTTGCCCAGGCTGAAGTGCAGTGGTGTGATCAATCCTCCTGCTTCAGCCTCCCAAAGTTCTGGGATTATAGGGGTGAACCACTGTAACCCACCTGCCTTTTTTAAAAGAAGAAGTTTCCCTTTGTTTCCAAAGGTGTACAGCATGAAATTCTCTTTCTATCCATTTCTCAGAAACATTAGATTTGGAAACTCAGTCTTCAGCATCTTGAGTGTCACAGTCAGACTACTGCTTAGCCATATGTGCCACCCAAGTATCTTTTCCCACTTTGGTGTAAAACATTGCTTTGTACGCCTACAGGGATTATGAATCCAGGATTTTGCAATTTGAAGCAGACCTACTAAAAAGGAAAAGAACACACACACAGTGAGATAGAAAATTACAATTCTCAGGCCGGGCATGGTGGCTTACACCTCTAATCCCAGCACTTTGGGAGGCTGAGTGAGGTGGGGAGATCACTTGAGTCCAGGAGTTCAAGGCCAACCTGAGCAACATGGCCAAGACCCTGTCTCTACAAAAAATACAAAACAAAAATTAGCCGGGCATGGTGCTATGTGCCTGTAGTCCCAGCTACTCAGGAAGCTGAGGTGGGATGATTGATTCAGCCTGGGAGGTTGAGGCTGCAGTGAGCCATGATCATACCACTGCATTCTAGCCTGGGCCACAGCGGGGAGACCCTGTCTCAAAAAAAAAAAAAAAAAAAAAAAAAGAAGAAGAAGAAGGAGAAGAAAAAGATTAAAAATCTCAAATACTTTGCATATTATACCCATTTTAAATGTTCAAAGGCAGCTACTTGTTTTTACAATAAGACCTGTGATTCTGGCTACATCTTTGAAATTCTTCTGGATGATGGTACCCTTTAGCCCTTTCTGTGTTCAGTGAAAATGAACTTCATAACTTTTCTTTGAAAATCTTTCCATGTGTTCTCCTTGCTTTCTTCTCAAGTATGCCCAGTGGGCCCAGCCACAGAGAGAGTCAACTTCAGCCAGGAGCCACATTCCTTATACAGTCACCAGAAATACAAGTTTTGAGGCAGCAGGGGAACCGACAAAGGCTCAGTCTTAGCTTTCATTTCATCAGCTGGAAAAAATGACTTGTACATGTTTACATGGTCCAGCCATGAACATCTGATGAAAATGCCAAGATCACTGGAACCACAGCAGGTCCTTTGGGAGAACACAAAACAAAAACATACTTCATGTTTAACTGCTTAAGATGGTTTTCTGTTTGCTGATTTTTTCCTCCCATTTATTTTAAAATTTTCAGCTAAACAGCAATTTATAGCCACAGCTGATTATTATGGAACACTGCATATATTAGAAATTCCTTGGACATTAAGTCGCCCTTCCACCAATGAGGTTAGTAACTAACTTATGACTTTGAGAATTAATGTGACCAGATATTGCTGAGATATGTCTTTAAAAAAATGTTAGAAATGACAGCATTTTTGCTCTGTAAGGGAACAAAAGACTCATACAGTAAATAAGAGGATGTATTTCTGTTGTATGAGTTAAATAGTTTGAAGCTTTAAAAAAAAGCCCCAAACATGACATGGGAGGGAAACCAAGTCAATGAAGTCCAGATTCTGAGAGAATAATGACTTGGGGATTCATAATCAGAAAATGTCATTTTTCCCATTGTAACCGAAGTGTGGGGTGCTGATTTCAGTGATACCCTTCCCTGAGGGCCCAGTTGACATGTTCATGCATCTCTCCATCACCCACCCCCTCCGGCTCCCAACCCAACTTGGAGTATAGCAGGCAGCACAGCTGAACTGGCGGTATTCTGCACCCCCCACACTGTACCCACCACCCAAGTGTTTCAAACAATGTTAATAATGAGGCTTTAAAAAGATCAATGAATAGAAATATATAAATGTATATACAATGAACATTAAACATATAGATTGCAGTCTGCTGCAAGTCCAAACATCAGCCTAGTTACTGGCAGGCAAAAGGCTGTCTCTGCCCTGGTTGCCTTCCCCAAGGTCTCTGCTGACTTTCCTGCTTCTATTCTATGCCTACACTCGAAGCCCTCCAGGGACCAGGAATTCAGCTCTGCTTCCAGTCCCTCTAGGATCTACATTGATACTCTCATCTGGGTTTTCTAAGTTTGATTGATGATATGAAACTTCCCCCAGATTTAGAAGGAAGAAGGAAGAAATGGGGAAAAAGCAACCCCTGAATATTTCTACTACAAAATTGCACATTTTTGCAGCTCTCTCCTTCCAACCCTACTTTGGAAACCTCCAAGTCACAGAGCCCTAAATGTTAGCACAGTAGCCCCTGAATTGTACCAGCTCCTCTGGTAGTGGGCCTGTGAATACAATTTCCAAATTATATTCACCTAAAAGATTTAAAGTATCACAAAATAGATAATCTACATAATGATTAGGTAGATGATCATTAGATAATGATCAAGTAGATTAGGGAGGTAGATTAGGTAGGTCGTCTACCTAATTACAAGCAGCAGAAATTCTAACAGAGCCTTGTAAAGGTCATGGGGGCTTCCTGCCTGTCACCCTCTCATGGACTTCTGTTTCTAACAGATGGCAAGTGTCAACCACTATTTTGAAAGAGAAGTCAAGCATCTGGAATACGTAGAACAGCGCAAAAAAATTCGTGAGCAAGAAAAGAAAGAAATGGAACTAGAAATGGCAAAGAAAAAAGTTGTAAGTTAAATTTCAGAAATGAAAGATGTTTTCCTCGAACACCAGTGGAAATATATTTGTTTGGCTTAATCCACAGTTTCCATAGAAAAGTTATACTTTTTCACATTCTTCTCTTGTTCTCATGAGAGTCAAGAGGGCATTCCTTTGATTTCCTAGCTCACTGCCAGTTAGACACGTAGTGAGATTCTGTCCAATTTAAGTTTCTGAAATTTTCTATAATTTCAAAGTCCTTTAGTACAGATACCTTAATTCAAAATTTGAATGCTTTCATTATAGAATTTTAATATCTGGTGAATAATGCATTAAAGAAGGTGGTGCAAAAAGAGTTGAATATGGAATCAAGACACGTGGGCTCAAATCCCAACTCTGCCACTGACTAGCTGTGAGATTTGGAGCAAGGCTGTCACCTTTGCTGAGCTTCAGGTCTCTTATCTTGAAAATGGGAATACTAATAACTAGGATTACTGTAAGGCTGTCAGTTAAAGAAAGTGACAAATAGACTTTCAGTAAATAGTGCTATTATAATTATAATGATAGATGATAGATTAGATAGATGATAGATAGATAGATAGATAGATAGATAGATAGATAGATAGATAGATAGATAAATAGATATGAGGGGGTAGAGAGAAAGAGGTGAATTTTACTGTATATGATATGCTGAAGATATGAAACTTGAAATAGAGGAGAATTTGGTACAGGGCACATCCATCTTAAACTCTGCCAAAAAAGAACCTAAGCTCTAAAGCACCCCATGCTCCCTTTCTCAGCTTCTCCCTGTTTGATACGAATTCTGTGACTCTGCTGGTCTTCCCTTGCCCACTGGAATTTTGGGCTTCTAAATACTTTGTGAATTAGGCTTTTCTCTCTTTCTCACTTGAGATCACCTCAGTCTCAATTTCTGTTTCCCTCTTGCTCCCTCTCTCCTTTGCTCTTTTGTTACCAGCATTTCATCATTGATCTCATCTGTAGGTTCCGTATAGCCAAATACATACATCCTCAAACACAGTTACTCACATGAGGCCTTCAGTCTCAAAAGCATTAGCATGTGGCACTGGGCGCCGTGGCTCACACCTGTAATCCCAGCACTTTGAGAGGCTGAGGCAGGCAGATCACGAGGTCAGGAGTTCGAGACCAGCTTGACCCACATGGAGAAACCCTGTCTCTACTAAAAATACAAAATAAGCCGGGCATGGTGGCACATACCTGTAATCCCAGCTACTCGGGAGGCTGAGGCAGGAGAATCACTTGAACCTGGGAGGCGGAGGTTATGGTGAGCCGAGATTGTGCCATTGCACTCCATCCTGGGCAACAAGAGCGAAACTCCATCTCAAAAAAAAAAAAAAAAAAATAAAGCATTAGCATGTGGAAATATTGTAATGTGCTGCATTAGCAAATAAATTAACATTATCACTCATTGATAAATACTAATTAGTGCAATAAAAGCAGAGGATCTCATTTCAAAACATGTTTGGTGACAAAGTGTAAAAGAATGCCAATTAATTAAACTTTCATTGCATTCCACTGCTACAAACAAATTGATCTTAGTTTTGTTCTTTTGCACTTAACAAATGTTGATTTGTTGAGATTCTATTGTGGGAGAGAATCTGCCACCCTTCCCCTTCCCCAGCAATTATCCACGATTATTATGAGTGTTTAAATACCATAGCAACAGCTCCTAATTATCTACATCAGTGGGAGCGAGTAGAATTGTGGATAATCCAAAAATAATTTGCATGTGAAATACTTTTTAAACACCTGAATATTATAATAATAATATCTTAAATTGTATTATACTTTTCAATTTCCAAAACGTTCCCAACTTCTTGTAACTTTATTTCCATTTGATATGGTGCCCTCTTTTAAGTAAAGCCACCACTTCTCAAATTTTCTCTGCAACTATGAATAGATTGTGGGTATGTGAATGAATTTGAAAGGGTTCCTCTGTTACATTGAGAACATAAAAAAAGTCACTAAGGAAAAACAACTAATGTTAGTCAGAAATGTCTCCTTCTAAGCAACGGCTGATAAAGGGGGAAATGGCAACAGTAACAACCTCAGAAGATTGCAATGGAGCTTAAATGAGTTAAAATATTTACAGCACTTAGCCAATAACTGGCACATAGAAAGTGTTCACATGTTCGTCCAGCAAGGCTGGCCTGTGTGAGTGCTCACCAGGTGCCAGGTTGAGGCTGTACAGTTCAACACAGATTTCAGGAAAATCATGCACCTGTCTCTTTGCAAACATAAAATCTGGAAACAGCTCACTCCTCAATGGACAATAATAATCACTGCTCTAGTTGCATATGAAATGGGAATTTTCCTAACCAGAATTTCAGCTGGAGACTCAGCCTGGGACAGTAGTCATTGCCGTGTGATCCACAAGCTATGCCATCCATATGGACTCAGAAGAGGGGGATTTCAAAAGAATTCTGCAACCTCTAGGCTATTAGTCACCCTCCAGTCTACATAAGGGAAACAAGAGTTATAGGGAAGAAGGCCGGAAAAAGGGACTTTTTTTTGAGAGACAGTGGTTGGGGACCATGTTTCCCCCCACTCCCTCCTTTCCCAGCACATCTGACTGCCTCCTGCCCACCTGCCCTCCTGCCTTCCTGCCCTCCATCCAGCCCTTTCCAGAAAACAGCAGCCAGGTCAACTATTCACAAACAGCCCCTTCTCATCCTTTGGTATTTTTAGATATCAGTGTTTTATAGGGATGTCTTGTTTTTCTTCCCCCCCCAGAAAACATATCAGAAGTCAAAAGAACAAATGCAGGCTGAATTAAAAATGGACTATGAGAGTTATCTGGAACTGGAAAAGACTGTTCTTATCAACCTTGGCCTAATCAAAGTCACAGAGAAGGGGTCATACATGGAGGTGATGTAAAAAAGCTTCCTGAAGGGGTGTTTTGGGGACTTCTTCCCTCTATTTATTTTTATGTCAGGTGAACTGGCATGCTGAACATATATATATATAGGCTCATTTATAGACTTTTATTTCCCTGCTATTAAAACTTTTGAATTTTAGCAATGAGATCTATTTCAGTTTTTGTACCATGTATGTACCAAATTTTGTACTGAATATGAAAGTGTTCTTTTTTAATGAATGTTTTCAATAACAAAATTTGTATTTTCCTATAATAATAGAGAACTTTGGATGTCCCTTCCATCCCAATCCTTGCTGTCCACACAGAGGCCCTCATTCCAGGCAGAAGGGGAAATCAAACTGCTCCTACTTATCAGCTTGCTTTTGGCCACCTTTCCAAAAAAAGTGCTTCCCCTTGGCCACTGTACAAACTGTAGGGCCATGTGCTAAACAAAATATTAGCAAATCAAATCCAGAAATATATATATATATATATTTTAAAGAGGTTAACACATGAAGACAAAGTTGGGTTTATCCAAGGAAGATAAGGTTAATTTAAGAGTAGAAAATAAATCAGTGATTAATCAAAAGAGAGAAATTATGATGCCAAGTCGATGCAGAAAAACATTTCATAAAAGTTGACATCAATTCATGATAATAATGATACATTCTTGGCATCTACAGAAAGAATTCCTGTAATGTGATGAAGGGCGTGTAAAACAATACTACACCAAACATGGTACTTCATGGTGACAAGCAGAAAGCTTTCCCCTGAGATGTGGAACAAGACACAGCTCACACCATCAGGTGCCTGACATCATGTACTGCAGTTGCCTTTTTGTTCCCATGCTGTTTAAGCCTAGCATAGGCACCAAAAAGCAACAACAGTATGTGAAACTGAGACACAAAAGAGCTTGGAGCCAGATTGTGAAGGCTCCTGTTTACCAAGCTAAGGAGCTGGATTAGAATTTATGGGGAATGAATGGAAGGTCTAAACAGGAAGTTGACCCAATCAGCTTTATTTTTAGGAAACAAGGAATGAACTAGAGCAGGGGAGAGTCTCATGGCAAGAAATCCTATTAGGAGGCAGGAGGAATTGTTCAGGGCAAAGGATTAGGATGCCCTGTACTAAAGCTTAATGTGAAGATAGAAATCAAAGGCTGGTTGGATGGGGAAGGGAAGACAAAGGATAATACCAAGGTTTATAAGTTAGATTGCTAGAGGAAAGAAAACTTTGTCGGATAGATTTTAGCTCTTAACCACCTGTGTGCCCTTGAACAGATGACCCAGCTCTGTGAAACAGATTCCCCTTCCATCAAGTCAGGTTGAGAGAACTTAACTTGCAGCATTTATGTAAGGGGCAAATGAGCCCCTGCAGATAAGGGGCCTGTGCCTGGCACATATTATTGTCATCATGATTGAAATATCCCAGGGCTCATCCTTACACTTGAACTTCTTTTATTCTTTCTTTTTTCTGCACTCACTTTCTAGGTGCATGCATCCACTCTCAAGGCTTTAGATACTACCTCTGTCCCTGACCTGGCCTTCTCTCTAAAATCAAGAGATGTGTATCTATTTGACCTTTTGTATCTCCACTTGGATGTTTAATAGGCATCTCAAACTTAAACATGTCCAAAATTGAGTGCTTGATGTTTCCCTTCAAAAACCATTCCTCCAGCAGTCCTCCCAGCCATGATGCTGCTTGGGGCAAAAGCCTTAAGGTCATCCTTCATCTCCTTTCTTTCACAATCCACATCCAATCTGTCAGCAAGTCCTGTTGACTACACGTTCAGTATGCATGTGAAACCTGATCGCTTCTCTTCTCCCTCACTGCTACCACCATGGTCCAAGCTGCATCATCATCAGCTTGGATTTTGCAGCAGCCTCCTGTTCTCCCTGTTTCTATGTTGTCATTTTCAGTCACTTTCAGCCACAGCCAGATGGTAGTTTTAAATGGATGCTGTCAGATGCTGTCATCCTTCTGCCCAGAATCCTTCCTCAACCTCATAGTATGATCACTCAGAGTATGTTCCCAATGCCTGTCTGTGCCCTGCAAGCCCTTGTACAGGCAGGCCTTCCACTGTCACCTGGTCCCATCCCTCCTTCCTCTCCCCTCCATCACACCCATCCCAGTCATGCTGGCCTCCTGTTCACCAAACATGCCAGGCATCTTCCTCTCCCTGGGCATCTGTGCTTGCTGTTCAGTACTTTCTCCAGAGATTTTTCTAATTTTATTTTCACGAGTTCACTCTAAAAAATGGTTTGTTTGTTTTTAAAGACAGGGCCTCACTCAGTTGCACAGGCTGGAGTGCAGTGATGCAATCATAGCTCACTGCAGCCTCAAGCTGTTGGGCTTAAGCAATCCTCTTGCCTCAGGCTCCTGAGTAGCTAGGACTACAGACACATACCACCACACCTGACTTTAAAAAAATATATTGAATGCCTTCTATGTGCCAGGGTCTACCATTTTAAACAGGATGGTCAGGGAAGGTGACACTTGAACAAGGCCTGAAAGAGGTGAGGGGTTTCACCTGTAGTCTTCTAGAAGTGTGTTCCATAACCCAGTCTCCCTCTCTTCAATGAAAAGAAGCTGGGACTACAGAGAACAGGTGTGTCATAACTGAGTGTCATAAACCATGACTGGAGGCTGAGCACATTGTTGTCTCAAATAAAAGCAGGGTGTTGTTAGCATAAAGGACTGGAGTAATGGATATTGAATAAGTGTCTGCCTTAGGGTTAGCAAATATAAAGCTTAGTATAGTGGCTAGCATACGGCAAGCAGTAAATATGTTTTGCCTGATTTACAAATACAAAATGGTTGTAACATTCTTGCTATAGAAACTAAACATGGGGCTCCTTATGGTTATGATAGCAGTTATTATTAGTTCAGTGTGATTTTTGTCTTTATTCTTTTTCTTTTTTCTTTTTTTTTTTTTTTTTTGAGATAGAGTCTCACTCTGTTGCCCAGGCTGGAGTGCAGTGGCTCGTTGTTGGCTCACTGCAACCTCTACCTCCCAGGTTCAAGTGATTCCCCTGCCTCAGCCTCCTGAGTAGCTGGTATTACAGGCATGTGCCACTATTCCCAGCTAATTTTTGTATTTTTAGCAGAGACAGGGTTTCACATGTTGGCCAGGCAGATCTTGAACTCCTGACCTCAAGTGATCCACCTGCCTCGGCTTCCCAAAGTGCTGGGATTACAGGCATGAGCTACTGCTCCCAGACCTGGTGTGGTGTTTTCATTGTGTGTTTATAACCTCAGTTTTCCTGAGTCTCATCACCTGTGGCCACCGAGAGGACACATAAGCAGCCATAGCCCAGGTTTCATGGGACCTTGGCCCACTTGCTTCTCAGGTATGCTAGCCTTCTGCAGAGTGCCCCCAAGTGTGTCCAGTGGCCACTGGGATGAAGATGGAGTCACATATGTTCAAGCCCACAACCACCAGGCACTCAGGGATCCCTTCTCTCAAAATGCTAGAGCTGCCTAATGGCCTGTAACGTGGGGGAAGGTGCTGGGACAATGCTTCTGGGTTAGTTCAAGTTCAGCGAGAAGCAAACACCAAGGCAGTAGCAGAGGTGCAAGAAGCAAGGCAGAGCCTTCAGAGCTCATGCAGGTCTGGTACCTATGGAAGAAAAGAGGAAAGGACAGAAGATGATACGATTCATCTCAGACCACTCAGCGTGGTTTAATTATTCATGATACCTCTCTTGGACACTAAGACTTTGAAACAGACAAACTCATAGTGATGTCTCTTCCTTCTCTGGGATGAGTTTTCTCTGAGGCTCTTCAACCCCTTAAGCTAAGGTCCTTTTGTTTGGCCCAGAACTTCCATTTGGCAGACAAGGCCAGGCATGCTGAATCCCAGTAAAGAACACAGCTGAGCCTCAAGCGAGGATGCTAACCACCTGTACTGAAGATGTAGGAATATCAGGTGTGAATGCAAATAGAATTAACTGGTATGCCTCCTTCCAATCCCCACAGCTCCAACCCTTTCCCCTACCACCCATTGTGAGTCGATCTGATCTTCTGACCTTAAGTCATTTGGTCTGGTCTACAGTGTAGTGAAAAGACAGGGGTCTTTAGGTCCTGGCAGACCTGAGTCCAAATCCCATCTTCATCACCTTGGGCAAACTGCACTATCCCCTAAGTCTTAGATGCCTTGTCTGTAAATGGGGATAATAATAATACCTAGCCTACCCCATACAAAGACAATGTATATAAAGCACCTGGAATATAGTTGGCGCTTAATGAATGTTGTTGCCTGTTCTTGCTTGGTCACAGGTGTATGTGCACACACAGACACACACACACACACACACCAGAGAAACGTAGTGTTTCCTCTTTGTTCTATGTAGTAATCTCTGATTTTAACTTTTTGTTGCCACTAATAATAACAGGAATGTTTCCCAGACTCAAATGCAACTTAAGCAGTGACTGTCCATGCCTGGTTTAATATTAGCCTTTGATCATCTTAATATGAGACCACAAGTGTTGGACATACTATTTAACATAAAATTTAAATAAATTTGAACAGCTTTCCTTTTTGCAGAACTGATAATGCTACTCAGAAAATTGATCATTCTAATATTTGATTAATTTCAATTAAATTTAATGATCATTCAGCTTTACAAATTGCTTTTTATCCGCCAAGAAACATGTAATTAAACCAGCATATTTTCAGGTCCTCAGATAAGCACATCGTGTGTGTGCACTTCAGATGAAAAGGCAATTAACTCCAGTTGGATGGTGGCCTAGGTGCTCTTCACGGCTTCACTAATCCAGCACTGTAAATAATTAACATCTCCCTGCACCCTTCTACCTTGGAGTGCTGCCCAGGGTCGGCGCTGCTCCACCGGGTTGCTAAGTTGCCATTGCCAGGGCAGATCTGTGCAACTGAGCAAGGTCCTCACAACGGAAATTAAATATCTCAGTGAAGGGCTGATGAACCCCTGTGTGGTCAATTTCCTCCTGCCATGGCTGATCAGCTCTCTGCGGGCACGGGCTCATGTGAAACAGCACACACTGTCAGAGCAGAACCCTGCACACCAGCAAAACCAGCCTTGGGAGCTTATTGGGAAACGATGGATTTTTAAAAGTTGTGTAATTGCTTTTAAATGCTTTCTTGTTAACAAATATGACATAAAAAGCATAGACGGTGAGTATGACAGATAATATAGGTTGTGTTTTTCTACAATGCCAATGCTCCAAACTTAAAAAGACAGAAAATAAGCTTTCCCAAACTCATCTGTATATGTGATATTCTGAGATGTTTTTATTCTTTTTTTTCTTAAGAAAAGGAAGAAAGTTGTAAAATAGAAGATTTCACATTCTTCCCTGTCAACTAGAGATGCATTTTCCAGTACTTTTTAGGAACCATATTTTTAAGAATAATAATTCCCTTTAGAGAAAAAAAAAACTTTAGAAAATAATGCTAAGTAAAATCTAAAATACAGAAAGTGTCTGCTTTGGCTGAGAATGGTGGCTCACACCTATAATCCCAGCACGTTGGGAAGCCGAGGCAGGTGGATCACCTGAGGTCAGGAGTTCAAGACCAGCCTGCCCAATATGGTGAAACCCTGTCTCTACTAAAAATACAAAAAATTAGCTGGGCCTGGTGGTGAGCACCTGTAATCTCAGCTACTCAGGAAGCTGAGGCAGGAGAATCACTTGAACCTGGGAGGCGGAGGTTGGAGTGGGCCGAGATTGCACCACTGCATTCCAGCCTAGGCGATGAGAGCAAAACTCTGTCTCAAAAAAAAAAAAAAAAAAAAAAAAGAAAAGAAAGTGTCTACTTTATTTCAGCCTTTGTAAAAAAGCTAAATTAACAATTGAATTGATACCAATTGTTCATTTATAGTGAAGTTTGTATGGATCTAAATATAACAAATATAAAACAGAGGCCAGTCATGGTTGCTCACTCCTGTAACCCCAAGACTAGCCCAGGCAACTTGGCAAAAGCCCATCTCTACTAAAAATACAAAAAAATTAGCCAGGTGTGGTGGTGTGTGCCTGTAATCCCATCTACTCCGGAGGCTGAGGCACAAGAGTCGCTTGAACCAGAGAAGGAGAGGTTGCAGTGAGCTGAGATCGTGCCACTGTACTTCAGCCTGGATGACAGAGTGAGACTGTCTCAAAAACAAAACAAAACAGAATAAACTCCCAATTATCCAGAATCCTAACAACCAATAGCTAGAACTTCATTATTTTCTAGTTCTGCAATGAACATTTATGACAACAAAAGACAAATAAGCAACTTTTTATTAAGGAGTTATCATCATGTGTAGAACCAAATTCAAGGTCCATCCAAATGTCAGAATTCATGTCTGCAGGACTGACAGTAATGACTGATGGTCATCAGTATAAAGACAGCTCATCTCAAGCTTTGTAATGTTGGGTAAATAACCTTTCTGATTCATTTCTTCATCCAACAAATGGGGATAATAACTCCCACTGCATGGAATTATAAAGATTAAATAAGATAAAACATATGAAAGCACTTTGTAAAGTCTAAGTGGTTTAAAAAAATATGTAAAATATATATTAAAATATTTTACATAGATGCTGAACTCCTTTGGGATTCTGAGGTCACTTTTGAATTATCAAAGGAAGTTTAATTATATTTATTGTAGTATATTTTTATTACATTGTAATTCCTGATAGTGTTTAATTAACAGTCAGCTTGGCCTGGCTTGGTGGCTCATGCCTGTAATCCCAGCACTTTGGGTGGCCGAGGCAGGCAGATCACCTGAAGTCAGGAGTTCAACACTAGCCTGGCCAACATGGTGAAAACTTGTACCTACTAAAAAAACAGCTAACCAAGATATCCATTCTCTTACCCTACTAGATGAATAATTTACATGTATTTGTAGCTAATTAGTTTAATAGTTATGTGGGTCCTCTCAGCAGATGAGAATAGGAAAAAAATAAAAAATAAAAACAAATGGATCTTAAAGTCTGAAACTTAGAAAAAGGGAAAAATATTAGACCTGGTCGTATGAAAGCCACTTGTTTAAAAGGCAGGATGACATTCTGTATGTTCCTTTCAACCCATCCATGTCAAGTAGGGAACCATGTAGCCATTACTCAATCATACATTTTATTTTTTAAGACTGTTGGAATTTTGTCTGCATTTCTCTAACAGGCACCTTAGCATCAGGAGAGGGCAAACTCCAGAAAAACACCTGGGCTATAAGTAGGGAGTACTTGTGAGGTGTCTAGTTCTCAGAAATGATATGCTGTAGACAGAATTTGAAATTAAAAAACTGCATCAGTTCATTATGAGAATCTCAATTTTAATTGATTGAGAGTAACAGAAAATCTGGACAGGGAGGAAGATGGCAGAAACCACTTGTGCTGGTCAAATATCCACGTGTACCTCTGCATTTACCAGCCTCCTTTGCAGTCAGATTGGAGCCTTTAACCGAATCCTAGCCAACAGGATGTAGGTGGAAGTGACGGAAGCCACTCCAGGCCTGACTTTAACTCATCTCATGAAACCTTCCAACTTCATCTCCCCATGCTATGTGTTCCAGAGGCCATAATTTACAAAGTAGAGAAAAGTTTCTCATTCTGTATCAGACTTTTCACAAGCAGGTGATAACCCTTTATCATATTAAACCACCGAGACTTCAGGGTTTATTTGTTATGCCATTAGCTAAGCCCATCCTGATGAACCCGGGCAGACTAGAGAGCACGCCGTCTTACTAGAACAGGTGTGCCCAACTCTCAGTTGGAACCCAGGATTTGAACTTAAATCTATGCACTGTTAATAAGACACCAGGAAAATTAAAAAGCCAAAGACATCAAAAGGAAAAAAACCTTTCCTGAATTGAAAATACCTGCGTCTACAGATTGAACGAGCATAAAATATTCTAAGCAAATTCCAAATTATGCAGTAAGTGGGTGAATTGAGATTTACATATCACTCCAAATCCTATGCTTTTAAATTCTCAGCACTGAAGCCGAAGTGGTCATTTAAAAATCAGGCCTGAAATCCTTCACTTCCCTGCTCACAACATTTCAATGGCTCCTCCTTGCCTCGGGGATTGGGTCTAATCTCTTTGCCTTCCTGTGGCATGGCCCTACTTGCTTGTAAACTCATCTCTTACAGCCTTGCTCTCCCCTACTTCTGCTCTAGCCATTTCACTCCATGCTGTTCTCCACACATGCTATATCCTCTCACCTCTGCTTCCTTGAAAATGATATTCCCTTTCCCTGGATAAAAAGCTACCAAAAATTCAAAAATGGTCTATGAATTAGTATGTTATGCAGCACAACAGCATCTATACACATTTGAAAAAGTATTCACATATAGTCCTCCTATGGAAAAATGAACAGTGCTCCAGGCAACCAAAGTAAATATAGACTAAATGGGATTACATCAAGCTAAAAAGCTTCACAGAGCGAAGGAAGCAGTCAGCAAAGTGAAGAGACAACCCACAGAATGGGAGAAAATATTTGCAAATTACCAATCTGACAAAAGATTAATAACCAGCATATATAAGGAGCTCAAACTACTGAATAGCAAAAGAACAATCGGATTAAAAAATGGGCAAAATATCTGAATAGGCATTTCTCAAAAGATGACAAATCCAACAGGTATATGAAAAAATGATCAACATCACTAATCATCAGAGTAATGCAAATCAAAACCACAATGAAATAGCATTTCACCCCAGTTAATGTGGCTTTTATCAAAAAGACAGGCAATAATGAATGCTGGCAAAGATGTAGAGAAAGAAGAACTACGCTGCTGGTGGGAATGTAAATTAGTACAACCACTGTGGAGAACAGTTTGGAGGTTCCTCAAAAGACTGAAAATAGAACTACCATATGATCCAGCAATTCCACCACTGGGTAGATCCTGAAAAGGAAGGAAATCAATATATCAAAGAGACATCTGCACTCCCATGTTTATTGCAGCCGTATTCACAACAGCCAAAACATGGAATCAACCTAAGTGCCTATCGACAGATGACTGGATAAAGAAAATGTGGTACACACAGTGGAATATTATTTAGCCATAAAAGAGAATGAAATCTTGCCACTTGCATCAACATGGATGGAACTTGAGGTTATGTTAAATGAAATAAAACAAGCACAGAAAAATATCACATGTACTAGTTCATTTGTGGGGGCTAAAAACGTGGATCTCATGAAGATGGAGAACAGATTGGTTGTTACCAGAGTCCAGGAAGGTGAGGGGGTGGTATGGGTGAAGAGAAGTTGATTAATGGGTACAAATATATGGTTTGATAGAAAAAATAAGACCTAGTGTTCAATAGATTAGTGGGGTGACTATAGTCAATAAAATCTATCGTAGATTTCAAAATAGCTGGAAGAGAATAATGTTTCTGGCATAAAGAAAAGACAAATATTTAAGGTGATGGATATTCCACGTGTACTGATTAATCTTTACAAACTACATAAATGTATTAAATGATCATATGTACCCTGAAACTACGTACATCTATGTGCATCAGTAGAAATTTTTGTTTAAAAATAATAAAGAGTGCTTATAAGAATTTGTTTAGAGATTATAAAAGGAATTGATCATGTGATATTAATAGCTTTAAAAGTCACATAGAGAAATATCTGAATCATAGTCTGGGCTTTGGAGTCAGAATTTTGAGCACTCAGCCACTTACAGCTTCAATCATTTAACCATGATGAGCTTCTGCTGCAGCAGAAGGAATTCTCAAAAGTGGAGCAATATTTCCCATTCCACCGGTTCTTGCCACATCCCATCAAGAGACAGACTCCATTTCCCCTCCTCTAGAAACTGGGTGGCACTTTGTGATTTCCTCGAACAACAGAATGCTGTGGAAATGACACTGCATCTCACCTGAAGCCAGGTCATCAAGGGTGAGACAGCTTCCACCTGGCTCTCTCTCACTGGGCACTCACCCTGGGAACCCAGCCACCATTGTGAGGCAGCTCACGGAGAGGGAGCATGGAGGTGTTCCAGTCAACAGCTCCAAATAAGGTTTCGGCCCATGGCCAGTGTCAGCCACCAGGCATGTGAGTGAATGAACCTTCAGATGATTCCAACCCTGAGCCTTCGAGCTACCCCAGCTGACGCAGAGCAGAGCAGAGATGAGCTTTCCCTGCCTTGACCTGTCCAAATGCACATTGGTGAGTAAAGCAAATGCTGTCATTTATTATTATTATTATTATTATTATTATTTTCGAACTGGAGCCTTGCTCTGTCACCCAGGCTGGAGTGCAGCAGCGTGATCTCGGCTCACTGCAACCTCTGCCTCCTGGGTTCAAGTGATTCTCCTGCCTCAGCCTCCTGAGTAGCTGGGATTATAGGCTCCCGCCACCACACCCGGCTAATTTTTGTATTTTTTGCATTCTTTTTTTTTTTTTTTTTTTCAGTAGAGACAGGCTTTCACCATGTTGGGCAGGCTGGTCTCAAAGTCCTGACCTCAGGTTATCTGCCCACCTCAGCCTCCCAAAGTGCTGGGATTATAAGCGTGAGCCACAGCACCCGGCCAATGCTGTCATCATTTTAAGCCACTAGGTTTTGGGACGGTTTATTATGTAGCAGTGGATAACTGGAAAAACCACTTCACATGGCTCTTGTGAGGATAAACTGAGACAGAATATATAAAATGCCCATTACATCGTCTGAAACATAGTAGATCCTCAGTAAATATTAGTTATTATACCTATAATGTGTCAATAACCGCTTCCATCTGCACATTGCCTTTTCCTCTTCTATAGTCAAATCTCCATTTGCCTCTCTTTCAGCAGAATCCCTGTGACTAAATTTAGGGCTCATCTAGATAATCCGGGACAATCTCCCCCTCAATATCCTTAGCTTAATTAAATCTATCAAATCCTTTTTGCTCTATAAGGTAACATTCACAGGTTCCAGAGATTAGGGCATGAATCTCTTTGGGGCCATTATTTGGGAAATTACCTCCCAAATAGTCGGTTTATTTCTTTCTACTTTGTTCCAGGAAAGATGATAAGGAAGTATAGTGTATCCTTGCCTTTAATACATACAATCCAGTAGACACAATAAGCTGTGTACTCAAATACCTAGAACAGAAAACAGGAAATAAGTGCTATGTGTCTTAAAAATTGATAAAGGTGAAAAAAAAAAAAGCCTATAAATAGCAGAAACCTCTAGAGAGTGGGATTGCAGATTCAGGACCGTATCAAAGCAAGGCCCTAGGAGTTTGGTGCAGCTAGAGTGCCGGCGGGGAGGGCAAAAAGCAGGTGAGTTGAGTTAAACCAGCCCCTACTTATATAATGAAAGGCTATTAGAAACTCATTGTTTATCACCAGTTTTACATATATAACTTTGTTTTGATGTCTGCAAACTACTGGGAAGAAAAGCAATTAAAAAGAACAATAACAAGCAACAAATTGAAAAAAAAAAAGCAAAATTAATTACAGAACATTGTGAATAGAGCTCTGTATTCATTTCCTGACAGACTACCATGAACTCTGTACCTTAAAACAAGAGAAATTTGTTCTCTCACAGTTCTAGAGACCAGAAGTTTGAAACCAGCAAAACCAGCAGGGCTAGTTCCATCTGGAAGCTCCAATGGAGAGAGACCCCTTCCTTGCCTCCTCCAACTTACTGTGGGCATTTGCTGGCTCGTAGCTGCATCACTCTAATCTCTGCTTCCACCTACACATTGCCTTCTCCTCTTCTTTAGTCAAATCTCCCCTTGCCTCCCTTTCAGAAGAACTCCTGTGACTACATTTAGGCCCCATCTAGATAATCCAGGAAAATCTCCCCATCTCAAAATCCTTAACTTAATCTGTCAAATCCTTTTTGCCGCATAAGGTAACATTCACAGGTTCCAGGGATTAGGGCATGGACGGCTTTGGGACCATTATTCAGGCTCCTACAACCTCATAAAAAGATTCCAAAGTTGGAGAGAAATTCTAATAAAGATTTTACTTACTAGTTTATTACTTTATGTGGAAAATAAAGGACAAAACATTAATAACGGGACACATAAAGGTCTGCCTCCAAGGGAATTGTGTGACTTAGTAAACAGAAAAGAAAAAATGTTGAGTTTGTGGATTAAAAAGCAAACTTGAAAGTGTGCCTCCTTCACTTTCTGCTGGCAAGGAAAAAAAAAAAAGAGAAAAGAAAGAACAAGAAAAAAATAAGGTTTTAAAGAAAAGAATTTAAAAAAAAAGAATTTAAAAAACACTTGACATACTTTCTCAGGAAAGCAAAAGCAGCCTGCACTGTGACTTAAACATAACAGTAGTAGAAATTCACTTTCATTGTTATTTCTCTCTCTATTTTTTGGCCTATAAAGGTCAGGCTCATAGAATAAGGAATTCATTGGTCTTCAGAGCATTCAAGGAATCAGTGGGTGGGGAGTGCTAACCGAGAAGCTGACAAAAGTGTTGACTTCTGGTACTAAAGAGAGAAAATAGATAAATGAAAAATGAAGCAGATGATAAAAAAAGAAATAGAAAAAAGAGAGAGAAAATATTGGCCAGAACAAAATTGTAATGTGCGGAAGGGATCTACATGTCCATCGGTAGGAAAATGGCAAAATATGTTCATCAGACAAGGACCCTTCAGCTGTGATGAGGAACATTCTTCATTCCAACAAGAAAGGAAGTTTACAAATTATCAAGGGAAAAATCAAGTTGCAAAACAATGTATCCAATATGACCCCACTTGTGTAAAACTGTGTATGTGTATTTGTACTAACATTCACATTTCTCTGTATGTATAGAAAAGTCTGGAAGTGTAGCCATCAATGTGTTCATTATGTTTACTTCTGAGGGATGGAATGGGAGAAGGGACAAGTGTGCAAGGCAAAGAGGGGACTTTTACCAGCCCCAGCGTTTATAAAGATCAGTACATGACTAATCTTTAACCTACACTCCTCACTCCATATTATTTTGAAGCAAAGATAAAAATTTTAATAGATCTCTGTTGCTTGAATATTTTTATAATAGGTCTTTATTATTTGATAATGGTTGTGTTTACTGCTGGAAACTGTTAATAGATGCCGTACTCCTAATAGCAATAGCTGTCATTTCCTATTACAGTGTGAGGCACTGTTCTTTTTTTAAATTCATGTCTTACTTAGATTTTGTAGGTATGTTTAATAAATTTAATACCCATTAAATTTAAATAGATGCATCTAGATAATATACTTTTTTTTTCTTTTTCTTATTATACTTTAAGTTCTGGGATACATGTGCAGAACATGCAGGTTTGTTACATAGGTATATGCGTGTCCTGGTGGTTTGCTGCACCCATCAACCCGTCATCTACGTTAGGTATTTCTGCTAATGCTATCTGTCCCCTTAGCCCCCAGGCCCCTGGCAGGCCCTGGTGTATAATGCTCCCCTCCCTGTGTCCATGTGTTCTCATTGTTCAACTCCTACTTATGAGTGAGAACAGGCAGTGTTTGGTTTTCTGTTCCTGTGTTAGTTTGCTGAGAATGATGGTTTCCAGCTTCATGTCCTTGCAAAGACATGAACCCCTCCTTTTTTATGGCTGCGCAGTATTCCATGGTGTATATGTGCCACATTTTCTTTACCCAGTCTATGGGCATTTGGGTTGGTTCCAAGTCTGCTATTGTGAATAGTGCTGCAATAAACATACATGTGCATGTGTCTTTATAGTAGAATGATTTATAATCCTTTGGGTATATACCCAGTAATGGAATTGCTGGGTCAACTGGTATTTCTGGTTCTAGATCCTTGAGGAATTGCTACACTGTCTTTCACAGTGGTTGAACTAATTTACATTCCCACCAACAGTGTAAAAGCGTTCCTATTTCTCCACGTCCTCTCCAGCATCTGTTGTTTCCTCACCTTTTAATGATCGCCATTCTAACTGGTGTGAGATGGTATCTCATTGTGGTTTTGATTTGCATTTCTCTGACGACCAGTGATGATGATGAGCTTTTTTTCATGTTTGTTGGCTGCATAGATGTCTTCTTTTGAGGAGTGTCTGTTCATATCCTTTGCCCACTTTTCGATGGGGTTGTTTTTTTTCTTGTAAAATTGTTTAAATTCCTTGTGGATTCTGGATATTAGACCTTTGTCAGATGAGTATCTTGCTATTACAAATTAGTCTGCTATGATAACTTCTGTACAAGTTTTCCTTACAGACATATGCATTCATTTCTTTTGGATAAATATCTAGGAATGGAATGTCTGGATTCTGTGGTATGTATATGTTGACTTTTTAAAGATAATACTAAATAAAAGTGGTTGTGCCATTTTACATTCCCACCTGCAGTATATGAGAGTCTCATTTCTTCCACATTCTTGCCAGTAGGGTCACTGTTTTCAAATTTAGCCATTCTAATTGCTGTGTGGTGGTATCTTTTTGTGGTTTTAATTTGCATTTCCTAATGACTAATGATAGTGGTTAATTTTCATGTCTTCATTTGCCATTCATATATACTCTTTCATGAAGTGTTTGTTCATGTATTTTGCTCATTGCAGGGAGCAAGGGGAGTGTTTTTTTAATTATTATTGAGGTTTTGGAATTTTTTATACATCCCAGATGCCAGCCATTATCAGATATATGCAAATATATACTCCCAATGTGGTTCATCTTCTTATTCTCTCAACAGGGTCTTTCAAAGTGCAGAAGTTTGTAAATTTGATGAAGTTCAGTTTATTAAAAAAAAAAAATTTTATGTATCATGTTTTTGGTGACCAATCTGAGAAATCTGTGCATAATCCAAGGTTTTCTTCTAGAAGTTTTATACTTTTAGGCTTTACATTTAGGTCTATTATGTATTTTGAGTTCACTTTTACATATGGTATGAGATGTGGATCAAAGCATTTTTTTCATGCAAATATTTTATTGTTGCAGCACCATTTGTTGAAAAGACTATTCTTTCTTCACTGAATTGTCTCATCAAAAATCAGTTGTCCGTATATGTATGAATCTATTTCTGAACTTTTATTCTATTGATTTGTCTATTTTGATGCCATTACTATACCATCTTGATTACTGTCACTTTATAAGTCACCTTAAAATCAGATAATGTTGGTCCTCCAACTCTGTTCTTTTTCAAAGTTGTTTTGGTTAGTCCTTCGTATGTGTATGTATATTTTAAAAATTTACATATGCAATTCTGACTTTCATAAAATTTCCACTAGGTGATTTGTTAGAAGCCCAACAACCTCCTTGTGACCTAGGCCCTGTTTAAATGCATTAAGGATATGGCTGATAATGGCTTAAGTACTGTTCCCTACTGGCTGAAGCTGAAAGTAGACCTGAGAAGTTGAGATGGCTAATACAAAAGCCAACAGTCTTTCAGAAGTGAACATAACATGGAACTGTAGCAGGAGCATCGAGGGACCCCACAGTTAGCAAAAAGAACCAACAGAACCTAAGGAATACTTCCAGTACTTTCTTAGGCATAGTTTAATATGCTCCCATTTTAAAATAAAGTACAAATAAACCCTATCCATCATTAACACTTTAGCATTTGAATCAGGTGATGAGAGCACATTCTTCCAGGCAAGATTGTAAAACCAAATGGAAGGCAAGATTTCCCTGGAGGTAGAGAAGGAGGAGACAGATTCTGTTGGGCACAGGAAGGAAAGGCAAGACTGCTTGGGATATCTGAGGCCCAAGGCAGCCAGAGGTGGCACATGGCCACTGGGGCCTGAGGGGAAAGGATTTACCAAAAGAGGTGAGAATATGCTGCTTTGACCACTTTGCAAATTAACTGGGTGCCCCATGGCAGCAATTGCCTAGTGATTACCTGGAAAATCTTTATGTGTGTGTGTGGTTTTTTTTTTTTTTTTTTGACTGCCTATGTGCAGTTCAGCATTTCCACTTCCTGCTCCATTTACAAAAGGGTCCCAAAGTTTATCTTGTGACATTTGGTCCTTTATTAAGAGGAAGCAATAGGTGGTCATTTTTAGAGGATAACATCCTGTGCTTTTACCATTTCCATAAAAGGGAGGGGATTTAGCTACTTCTCAAGAGAAAAGAGTATGAGAGAATCACTTCCAGCTTCTCTTTAAACCCCTAATTTACTGTTCCCCAAGTCACAAAGAATGACTCATCTGAGTAGTGAATTGAGAAGAACTTGAGCATGCTTGGCTAGGGGCCTTCTGCATTCTCTCACCACACACCAGCCTGTTGGTAATACATACTTTTATGGTGCTGACAGCCTCTGCCCATGCCAGGAGAGGTCTTTTTTCATTAACTCCACCAGTGACTAGGTGGGGATGATCAGATCACAGAGGATATATGAAGAAGCCCACTTGGCCATAGACCCAAGTCATATTCTCCAGCTTACCTTTGTCAAAAGTAAATTTGGTATTTTGATCTCTATGTCTGGCTCCTATGCCCTGGTTCTAATCTTAGGAAGGAAAGATACATTTTTGGTGGTTTCCTACCAACCCTATGTTGGTAGTTCAGGCGAAAATATGCTGGTAGGAAAGGGTTAAAAGTGTGAGAGGAAACAAAATGAAAAAAAAAAAAATGTGTTCAGGGAAACAGCACTGAGAAGTCCTCAAGGCAGAAATGCAGGCTGTAAGAATTGGGCTTTAGCTCTGTTCCTGCCAGTGTGGAACCTACAGGGTTCATGAAGAATGGGCCCCATTTGGGACACAATCTCAGACTGCAGACAGACCCTCCCCAACCCTGCTATAGGAGACCTTTCACTCTCTCTATCGCCAGCTCCGGGTGGGAATTAGTCAAGTGTCTTACCTAGACATGGTGCTTTTGTTCCTTAAAAAGAAAACAGACTGGTGTTATCTGTGTGTTCAACTTTCAATGCAGCTTTGACTTTTCTTGTGTCCCAACATTTGTGATAGAAAAGATGGAGATTGTCTTAGTCCACTTTGTGTTGCTATAAAGGAAAACCTGAGGCTAAGCAATTTATAAAGGAAAAAGGTTTATTTGACTCATGATTCTGGTGGCCAGAAAGTTCAAGATTGGGTGAGGGCTGCTGGCTGCTTCCATTCACAGGAGAAGGTGAAGGAGAGACAGTGTATGCACAGGTCACGTGGCGAGGAAGGGGTGGTGGTGGAGGGAGAGTGTGCAAGGAAGTGCTAGGCTATTTTTAACAACTGGCTGTATTGGAATGAATACAGTGAGAATTCACTCCTTACTCCACCTCCCAGGGAGGGCATTAATCTATTCATGAGGAATCTGCCTCCATGACCCAAACAACTTTCACCTCCCAAGACACCACACTGAGGACTAAATTTTGACAAGAGATTTGGTGGAGACAAACAAACCATATCCAGACCATAGCAGAGACTAAACTCAGTATTTCCCAAAGTGTGGTATGCATGTTAAGGTGTACATAACTGTACATAGAGCTCACACCTTAATTATCTCAATAGTTGTGAATTCATTTTAGTGTATAGAAAAAACTGTTTAACTCGTTAATGACAAGTGATACTGGTTTTCCATATATGGCAGCAGTGTGAAGTTTTACATTTCAATTTTTTTCAATTGAAAAAATAATTTTAGATAAAATAAAGTAATATTACACACAGTATTTAAATATGGTAGAAATTGTGCAGGTTGTCTGTGAATGATGGGAGTCTAGGATAGCTAAAAGTAATTTGGTAAGAATTACAAGATATACCTAAGGTCAGGAGTTCACGACCAGTCTGGCCGACATGGTGAAACCCCAGCTGTACTAAAAATACAAAAATTAGCTGGGTGTGGTGGCACGTGCCTGTAATCCCAGCTACTCAGGAGGCTGAGACAGAATTGCTTGAACCCGGGAAGCAGAGGTTGCAGTGAGCCGAGATCACACCGCTACACTCCAGCCTGGGTGACAGAACAGGACTCCATCTCAAAAAAAAGAAATAATTACAAGATATTCATTACTTGTATACAAATGAATACAAAATATTCATTACTTTTTAGAAGCTATTAATAGCAATGTTGGTTCTAACAGTGATGAATTCTAAGATTTGTGATGAACTAATACCACAAATCTTTTAGAGGTTAATTATAATCACACAAAGTTCACCAACAATTGAATCTTTTTTTTTGGCTTCCAAAATGACACTTACTGTGAAATATCCTGATTTACCCACCCACTGACTTGTAGTCACTAATTTTCCCAAGACCACTTTAACTATAAAAAAAAGACAAGTCGTTTTTTAAAAAGAGATAAAACATTACTCTCTTAACCACAAATAATTACTCAGGAGTGAATATTTTTAAAATTATGTAGACATTGCGATTATAGTACTTAGTCTTTTCCTAATGTCCTGATGCCTGCAACTTACTTTGAAATGCACAAAAAAATATGACAAATAATGGATAGATATGTGATTGAGCAAATATAACAAAAAGCTTATAAATTATAGAATCTGGATGCTAGATATATGGGTATTCACCATAAAATTTTCAATTTTTCTATAAAGTTGAAAGTGTTCATAAACGTTGAGGGAAAAGACACTGGTATGGCTTCTTTTATGTATATTTCCTTGGCTTTATAGGTGAATTTGATATAGAGTACAGATCAAATGTAGATTTATAACCTTGGACAGATGGCACTTTATGCTCTGACATTTCTTATCTACCAGCCTAGACAAGTAGTTTTCACTTACCTAACGATTCAAACTTGCTCTTAGGTTAAAGAGTGGGTTTTACAATGGCCACAGGGGGAGAAAAGGCAAAAACAGACGCAAACAGGCTGGCAACCTGCATCTCGTTTCTTGAACAAAGGTCAAGAACAAGGGGTCACCGTTCAATATCTGCAGCTGTGAAAAAAATGTGAGCTGCAGGCATGCTGTTTCATAACTTTCACACAAAAAAGTCTTGAATGTGAGGGGCTTTCCTGTTTCTTCATTAAATGTGTACTGCACTTTTCTAAAGTTGAAATTTTAAACTCTCTTTGGAAAATTATTTTGAAGAGTGGAATTTCCAAAGTATATAGAATATAGAGGGCAACACCAAGTTTCTACTACATCTATACCTCCATTAAGCAAGAAAGCCAGATTAACCCAAATAACTTAAAAGCATGTCAAGTGGCCTTATGAAACAAATAAGAATGAAGTTAACCCAACCCAAGGGCAATGTTTACGCATTTTCTCATTGCTTAAAACAAGCACTTGACATTGAGGAAAATAAAAACATTAAATGTAGTGCCTGTCCCTCAAAGTGGTTTCTCTGCTATTTTTTCTAATAAGGAAGAGTTCTACTTATAGGGTTCATTCAAGTTTATGAAAATGTTTTAACAAAATGAAAAATAGTTTTTTCCAGTTCTAGAGAAAGTGCATATGAAGTAAATTAGGTCAAAATTAAGAGGATATATTTTGCTCTTTATGATTTCTATAAAGAAATGATGCATTTTAACAAAATATTTCTTAAAGATGTTTCTTTGTCATGGTGAGATGTGCATTTTCATACACATATCACATAAATAATTGTTTCGACTGTGTTCTGCAGCAAAGAAATGCTACAAAAAATCACCCCAAATTTACCCACCGACTTGTAGTCATTAATTTTCCCAAGACCACTTTAACTATAAAAAAGACAAGCCATTTTTAAAAAAGAGATAACATTACTCTCTTAACCACAAATAATTTATTACTCAGGAGTGAATATTTTTAAAATTATGTAGACATTGCGATTATAGTACTTAGTCTTTTCCTAACAAAAAGACAACCATTCTCAAGTATCTTATTACAGTTATTCATTGATTAACAATTAATTGAACAGCTTCTATGTTATAGTCCCTAGGCATATGGCAATGAACTAGATTGTTATACAAAGTCCCTGCTGCCATGGAGATTACATTCTACAGGAGTGGACATAGACAATAAATGAATAAACAAATAAATAAATGAGATAATTTCAGATAATGATAAAGCCTTGAAGCCCAGGTGATAGACAAAAAGTGACAATGGATGTGGGTGTAGTTTTTTAAACATTTTTCTTCTTAAATTTGGTTTAAATGTAAACATTTACCAAAGTGATAAATATCTGCAGTTTAGTCAGATAGTACCATAAGTATTTATTAATAGCATTTATTACAAAAAAACCCAGAAATCTCCATCTGCTTCTTCCCCTTATTCTCAGAGCAGGCTGTTCAGAAGCAGGCTCTTTGAAGTGACATTTGAGCAGAGAAGCGAATGACAAAAAGGAACTGCTTAAGTAACATCTGGATAAAGAGCTTTCCAGACAGGGGCAATGGCAAGAGCAGAGAGCCTCAGACAGCAATGAGGGTCCCCAGTGTTGCTAGAGCCAGGGAGCAAGGGAGAAGGCCTAGGAAATGATGCAGTATATCTTTTTCATAGTAGCTTCCATGAATAGACTGGATCGTGGGTGTAGAGAGGGGAGAGTGATAGCAGAGAGGAAATATGAGATTGAGGGATGATGGTGGCTTGGACTAGGGTATTAGCAGTGACAAACTCCAATGCAGTTTAAGACACACAGCACTTAGACCTGTTGATGGCTGGGATATACAGGGGGGACAGGGTAAGAAAGACTCCAATTTTGGAGCAACAGGGTTCAGATGATTAGGAAAGTGTTGTGTATATTTGTCACTGTTTTGCCTGCTCGGCATCCAAATCTCCTTCTGCGATCATAGAATCTACTTACTATGTAAATTCTAAGAAAGGATGCAAGCTAATTCCTCTCTGCCTCCTGGAAGCTGGAGTACAATCTCATGCTTCTGTCTGGGACTGTGAATCAGGAGTAATGGAGAATGAGGATGTTTTCTAACTAACTCCAGTGGGGAGTACATGAGGCTGCTTAGTGACAGTGACAGCAACAGCAGTGTCATAACCAGGTATGGCCTTGATTGCTGTCATTCTGACGACCTAGCCTCTCTTAGTTTCTGTTTCTTTTCCAAGTCTATTTCTCAAGCTTGCCCATTAAAAAAAATTTAAAAAGAGGTATGACATATAAAGGGCACAAATCTTAAGTATGCAACCTGATATGTAAACACCTATGAAACCACCACCTAGACCAAAATATAAAAGACTTTCAGCACCCTCAAAGTCTTCCCTTTGATACACTATTTTCTCAACAAATTCAATTTCTGCCTGAGTTAGCAAGTCCATTTCAGGCTGAGGCAGAATGCAATCAAGAAATCTGACTTGTGGCACTTCAGTGTTTATCACATATGACCCTTTTGCATTCAGAGTGAAAATTGGTCAGGAAAAACAGCAAAAGAGCATTTTTGTACCAAAGTCCTCAAGTGAGTAAGCCTCAAATTAAGACTTGTTATTATTAATCATAATACAACTTTATCATACCAAAGTACCTAAAAATTGATATATTTAATTTATAAAATCTTAACCATCAAACTCAATCTGTGGTCTGGAAACTAAATTCTTTTCAGGGACCCTACCAGTACTCAACCTTGTTTCTTTAGGGTCCCTAACATGTAAAGCTACATAATCTAAAATTTTCCAGACAGTTATTTATTTTTCATTTTTTATTTTTTGAGACGGAGTCTCGCTCTGTCGCCCAGGCTGGAGTGCAGTGGCGCAATCTCGGCTCACTGCAACCTCTTCTGGCCTTCTTATTCTAGTAGTAACTCTATGAGCACCATCACCAAGTACAGAGGCATTAGTACTAATCGTTAACAGGACATTATAAGACATTTTAATAACTACTATATTAACAACACCAACGTCCAATAGAAGGAACTCACTGAAAAAACATGGAGTCATTTCAATCTCATTTGATGGCGCTCCATCATTCAGCTGCTCAGGCCCTACTCCTTTCATAGTCCACTGGCAGATTCTTTTAGCTCCTGCTTCAAAATATATCCAGAATCCAACCATATCTCACCATCTCTATTGTTTCTATCCTTGTCCGAATCTTTCTAGCCTGGACTACTGCAAAACTGGATGCTTGAAGGTAATAGTGAAATGTCTTCAAAATTCTAAAGAAAAATGAGTTTGAACATAGAACTGCAGGCCCAATAAAAATAAAGTGTGAGGAAAAAATAAAGGCCTTGTCAAACACACAAGGACTCCTAGTTTCTCTCCCATGCACCCTTTCTGGGGGAAAAAAAGGCACCTGTAAATATACTTCAGCAAACAGAAAAGACAAATTCAAGAAAGAATGCAGCAAAAAAAAAAAAAAAAGAAAAGAAAAAGAAAAAAGAAAAGAAAGAAAAGAAAGAAAAAAAAAATAGGAGTACAAAGAAAATACATCCCAAGATGATAGCTAAAAATCACTTTGTCCTAATTTGATGAAGCTGATTAAGAAGCATAAAATGATCTCGGGGTTAGAGTGAAGAACATACTTCCTTCCTTCCTGTCAATTCTGTCAAAGAAAAATAAAGACAAGAATATAGTTCCAGAATCCCAAGATGAGAGCTAAAAGCACTCTGAACAAATCTGGTAATTCAATAGTATGATTAAAAGAAGAGCTACAGTAAAGCAAGTGTTTTTCTTCTGTCGAGAAATAAAAGCAGGCTGGAAGCAGTGGCTCATACTGTAATCCCAGCACTTTGGGAGACTGAGGCGGAAAGGATCGCTTGAGCCTACAAATTTGAGACCAGTCCTGGCAACATAACAATACCCCGTCTCTATTGAAAGATTTTTTTTAAAAAAAAAGAAATAAAAGCAATTACTTACTCCAGGAACCATTAAAGTATGCAAAAGCCATGACCCAATTACGTAGCAAATGACACATGGCATGATTTGGGGAAGTTGACGACTGGCTATAAAAGAATCCATTTGGCCTTTATGTATGAAGCATTCTGCTTAAATCAGCACAGACTTAAGGATATAAGATAGATACATAGAAGGAGATAAATCACCTGGTTTACCTGTGCATACTTTTGCATAGTGTGACTGCTAGTTACTGATTTGCAGTGTTTAGAATAAATATACAGTATACAGTATATACAATATACAAATAAATATACAGTATAAAGGGAAAACTATACATCTATTAAAACTGATTATATAAACTAATAGTATAACTTAAGAGAAGTTAGGAGGTAAAGGACAGTAATGGAAGGGAAGTACAAGGTTGGTCATTTCCTCAATGTTATGGAAATATATTTAAAGTCAATGGATCAAAAAAATTATTAACTACAGTTATAAAGGAGAACAAATGAACTAAAAACATAACAAAAATGGTGAGAAGGAATGAAGTGAGATAAACTGTTTATCATTCATAGAATAACAAATTTGGCTTAAATGATAAGAAACAGCAGCAAGAAACGTGCTGTTAACCTCTAAGAGGTGAAATTGGTGTGGATGGCAGACAGAAACACTTGTACTTTTATTTTCTATCCATCTGAATTGTTTAGAATTTTTATTCAGGTACATGCTCTAAAATTAAAATTGTTTTTAATCCTAAAAAACATTAGGGGCTGGGCATAGTGGCTCACGCCTGTAATCCTTGCACTTTGGGAGGCTGAGGCGGGTGGATCGCTTGAGCCCAGGAATTTGAGACCAGCCTGGGCAATATACTGAGATCTTGTCTCTATTAAAAAAAAAAAAGAAAAGAAAAAGAAAAATTAAAGCTGGCAGCCTCAGAAAGGAGCAACAGTTGACACTACAGAAAGATCCTAGGAAATTATAAAAAGCAGGTATAAAAACTCGCAAAAAATATTTGAAGTAAAATGCCATTTAAAGTAAAGACATCTAAACTTATCCAACACTTCTGGTACAGCAGAGTCAATAAAAGCAGTTTATAGCTATAACTCGGTGATGAGACAACAAAAAAATGATAGAATTCTCTAAGAGGGCAGAGATCAACTTTAAAACTATTCTCATCCAAAATAATATAGTAATATAGTAATACAAGCATGGCCCTTAAAAGTATTTCAGATTCTGGAAAATTCTGGACAAATAAATGTTATTTACATATATTGATGGATAATACATGATGGTCCAAAATTTTAACACCTTTGCTTAAAAAGAATATTAAAATAAGTGATCCTTAAAACCATTATAATAGCATAACACGAAGATTATAATATTTTAATAAAATTTTTACATTTCTAGAGCAATTTATTCAATTCATACATGATATAGCAACAAAAGGAAGGAAACTGAGACAGCTTTCCTATAAAACATTCAAGAGTACTTTCCTTTGACTGTTTACTCAATATATATGTTCTCTTGGTATTCTTCTGAATTGTTAACACAAAGTTTTAAAAAATGAAAATTTCATATAAAAATATTTATCTTTTTTAACAATGGGTTTTCAAATTAAATAATGTCTGTTTATCAATATTTATTGCATAGAAATATTTTAAGTACTTTAATATTTAGAAAAACATCAGGAAGCCAGTTTTTCAATGGCTGCCATGTCTTAAAAGTTGGTAACTTAAAGTCTATTTATAATTTTAAAATTACATATTCTGTAGATATAAAAGTTAAAAAAATACATTTTGATTTAATACAAAAGCCTTCTAAATTTACATTTTCAAACATTACTGTGATTCTATAACATTGTATATATACTTAGCCAAAATAAGTTAATTTTTAAAAATCAGTAACATGTAATATGCTGGCAAGACTATTTAGAAACAAATGGGGGTAATTATAAAGTCAATGTTATAAATGTACTACTACAAATAAATAATTAAAACAAAGCAGAATATAAAAATGCATAGAACAGGAGCAGATTTATTAAATCTAAGTCACCAGTGCAGAAATCTGGGTACTTAATCCCTTAAGGAGTTAGAGGATTTCAAATTTAAAAGATGACTTTTCCCAGGGGACATTGTGACTTTCTGTGAATAAAGGAAAGAAAGTCTATTATTTCTATTCAGATGCTTCTAGAGTATTATTGTTCAAGTGTTTTTATGTAATTCCTCCTTTAATTTAAATGTTCTTTCCCTGAAAAAAATACTTTAAGATAATAATTTTGGCCTCATGACATATATACTTTAAAAATACATGTGATTCTACAATAACCCCTCCCCCATCCTGATATCTATACATATATGCATTTATAAATATATACAGTTTCAGGATTATAAAAATATTTAATTTTTATAAGCTTAAATAATTACTGTTAATACAGAAAACATTAATACTTGTATAATTTCACTTTTATTTATAAAAAGATTTTCTTATAGCAGCATTTGCATTACAAATAAAATTTGACCAAAGGATGTTGCAGTGTACCAGGACCAGTACTGCAAATCAGACTGAGCAGCTGTGATGTTCCTCTAAAAGAACATCTAGAGGCCAGGCGCAGTGGCTCACGCCTGTAATCCCAGCACTTTGGGAGGCCAAGGTGGGCGGATCATCTGAGATCAGGAGTTCGAGACCAGCCTGGCCAACATGGTGAAACCCCATCTTTACTAAAAATACAATAATTAGCTGGGCATGGTGGTGGGCCCCGTCATCACAGCTACTCGGGAGGCTGTGGCAGGAGAATCACTTGAACCAGGGAGGTGGAGGTTGCAGTGACCTGAGATCGCACCAGTGCACTCCAGCCTGGGCGACAGAGTGAGACTCTGTCTCAAAAAACAACAAAAAAAAGGACATCTGTCTCAGCTACAGAAGAGTGGTTCCCATAAAGCAGAAAAACCTTGAGGGGCTAATAACTTATGTGAACCTTCTTAAGTGCATTTGAAAGTTATCTCCATAGAGTTGGCAAGATTTAGTAAAATATCCCAAGAAGTCCAAGTTTTATTGATCCCCAGAAAAGTTTTCTAGTGAGATAAGTAAAAATTGTATTAATGAATAGTGTTTTTAATTGAATCAGATAAACTTATTAAAAATTAATTAAAGATTTCAAGAGTAAAAAAATGAAAACATCGCTGTGGGTGGTATAAGAAAATAAAACAAAAACAGATTTGAAACTTTAAGACATTACAAAAAAAAACCCTCAATCTCAAAAACTCATATTAAGCTTGTTTTTGTTGAGCTCACGTTCCAGATTTCCAATCAAAGTATCAATACTTTCTTGTAGATCTTTGAGATTGTTTTTTCGATCCACTGTAGACTCAACTGTCTGCATTGTCAAATATGTCTGAAATGTACACTCTTTGGACATGGGAATTGGCTGTTCAATCATTACTTCTGGCCCATCCATTTTGCTATAATTTTCTCCGATTTTTCTATCTTCTGAAGGGACATCATCATAATCCACATCATTTAAATTTTCTTTTGTATTTAAAAAGTAGTTTTCCCCACAGCTGCTCCAGTCTCCTGCATAACGATTGCTAAGTGGACTGTCTAATCGGTTTTGCCTTGGCCTAAGTACTCCTGATGAATCAGTACCACTCAAATTTAACATATGAGGTCGTTCTTTCTTCTGCCTCAGATAATTCAGAGAAGACTTCTGCTCTGGGAATAAATTGTCTGTTGATTTTTTGACAGTTAAACGCTGCACTAGAAACAAACAATAATTTTGCTTTAGTGACAGTAATCCAACTGAACTTAAAAAAAAAACAGAGCTAAAGATAAGCCATTTAATCATCAACTACAAACATGCATTAAAACAAAAACATGCACTCTGTCAAAAGAAAGCATTCCATAATTATTTTTTATTACCAGAAATAATCTAGATTAAGGATAGAAGCAGTATAACGTTCCATGGTGCTAATTCATGCTACATCATAACGTCCCCAAACAAATCACATTTCCAATGTCGATTAATTTTCTATGCAACTTTATTATTATCTAGCTATAATTCAAACAATAGCTAAGCTGGTAGCTTCTCCTAAATTAAAAGCTACAGCAAAAAGCAGGCAAGGCATATTGGTGTACAAACAAAATATAACAAGAAGTTCCTTTGTCTGCAAACATCTAAATGAGGCAAAGGCATCTAAAGTGATCAGCCTAGTAAGTTCCGACCCTTGTGGGCTTTTCTGCAATTCTATTAGCATCAGAGTCATAGTTTACTAAGCAGATCAAATTTCACTTTGATAAAATGTACAAATACTAGATTTGACCACTTTGTTACCTGAGTTTGATTATACAGCATTATCTACTATCTTCATTTATTGCCTGGAAATAGTACAGATATTTTATTTTCTCATTCTGGTTAGGTATTTAACAATCCCAAATAACATTTTCCACATTAAGACTAGTTTATTCTGAGAGTATGCATTGTGCTAGCCATATAGACGATTACCACAGAGACACACATTACTTCATTACAAACCAAGGTTTACTCTTGTGTGTTGAACAAAATATTTAAGGCTATTCTGTATATAAAATAGACAATTTAAAATGCTGACACATAGCTATTAAAGATTACCCATAATATCTTTCTCTTTCTGCATGAATAAGTGCCCCTTCCTATTTCCCTGCACTAAGATAAAGCAACATAAATCAGTGATAACACACCAACTTTATACTCTCCAATATATAATGAATGCTTGTTTGCTGTTGTATAAAATAAGACAACTGAAAAACTATAAAAACATATATATGGTTCTAGTTTTCCAGACTTAAAGTGATATTCATAACATTTTTCATAGATCTCACACTTTTTTAAATTTAGATTTTATTGAAATATTTGATAACTGTACACAGGTATGTTTTTAACATTTCTATTGCATTTTAAAGATGGTTATTATGTATCACTATAGATAGCCAAAATTTCTTGATCTAAAATTTTCTAGAAAATAAAAGCTATTTACTTTAAATTGATCTTTAATGTTAGTATTAATATAGAATGGTCCATACCATCAACTGATGTAAGTGCAGAATGGATAACTGATTTTTCCACTGTGTAATTATTCATATTCTTTTTCTTCCTCTAGCTGCTTATCACCACTATCTCCTTGCTTTTCCCCCCTCATTCTTTGTGCTATTCCTTTTCTTTTTAGTGCTTAACTGTCATGCCTGTTGTTTTCACCAACCAATTACAATATTCTGCTAGCCTTGAGGTTATCTGGTCTGATCTAACCATGTATTTTTGCTTTATGTCTTAAAATTGTCCTATTGTGCCTGCATTTTCAGACATTTGCCTGCAAAATCCAGATTCATTTTGTTGCCAGTCGCTTAGAGTTACTCACCTAAGACCCTACTGAAACATTGTTTCTGTGTATTATCTTGGAAAATATTAAGAAACCAATTAAACTGATATTTTATATCTTTTAGACTAAAAATTTCAATTTCTGAAAAACCAACATCACTGACTTTTTAGACTACTGATGTCAGAGTGGTTTACAACTAAATATACGGTGAAAATGGCTAATTTTAACCTCAAAAGTTCTGGTTTTCCCATCACTGTTGACTACCCACCTTCAGTAGAACAAAATTAAAAATGCAGTCTATAAGGTTGCTGAAAAAGAATTCAAAATGTAATAAGTACTAAGAAACTTAATTTTTCCTTATCTTGTTTTCTACCAGTAGATTTGTTTCTAATTAGTACTTTATTATCCTTTTATCTATAATTACCTTATTTAACCCAAATACTCTGCTAGGACCTGGGAATATAAAGTTAAAAAGAATCCCCAATGTCACCAAACTTAAAATCTTGTAAGAAAGATGAAATAAAAAGAAATAAGAGGAAAACTGATACCTTTTCCAAAAAACTTGCCCCAAATATATTTATCATAGAAAATGTGGTATAGTGGCCAGGTGGTGGCTCACGCCTGTAATCCCAGCACTTTGGGAGGCCAAGGCAGGCAGATCACTTGAAGTCAGGAGTTCGAGATTGGCCTGGCCAATATGGTGAAACCCCATCTCTACTAAAAATACAAAAATTAGCTGGGCGCAGTGGTACACGCCTGTAATCCCAGCCACTCAAGAGGCTGAGGTAGGAGAACTGCTTGAACCTGAGAGGCAAAGGTTTCAGTGAGTCAAGATTGCGCCAGTGCACTCCAACCTGGGCGACACAGTGAGACTCCATCTCAAAAAAAAAAAAAAAAAGAAAGAAAATGTGGTATAGCAAGGATCTAGGAATTATACTCTCTCTAAATTGATTTATCCATCTTTAAAGTGATAGGGGGGCCAGGAGTATTATTTTCAGTATTCTTAAAACAGAAAATGAATATCTAAAAGAAACATTTTTGTGAAAACTCAATACATAAAACAGATAAAAAAGAAGGCTGTTCTGGTCAACGGGAAGTGTGTTTCCATTTTGTTCCCCCATCCCTTGCTGATCTGGCTTCTAAGCTGCTTCCAAAGAACCCTAGAGCTTAGTAGAAGACAATCTAAAAAAGTATTGGCAGGACGACTTTTACCTTCTAATGCTGATACGCTGAAGTTCTAACCAATTACTTTGAAGACAGGATTTTTCAAATATAAATCTCAAAGCAAATTATCTTCTTGCCCAAAAATAAAAAACAAAAAATAACATGAAACAAAACAAAAAGTTTAGAAAATAAAAAATAAGGGGGCGACTCTTTTTAACTCTGGAGTTGGAGAATTTCCAAATGGAAAAATAAGATATGCATATCAAGGAAAGCTAAAACCTTCTATTGAATGCATGGAGATAGGATAGGCATTCACTGAGTTAATATGCTGTGGCCTACTAGTCTTTGCCACATTCTCTATGTCACCATCAACTTTCTCAGGCCAAGTAAATGCACCTCGTCTACTTGATTTCTGCCTTTTCTTGAATTCAACAGCAGGTGATTGACAGGGTAAAACTGTTGTTTCTTCTCAACTTTCTGCCCTGTTTTTTGTCTGAGGTACTACAACTAAAGAAAAATAACAGGTTATAGAAAAAGGAGCAGTTATTTTTAAAACCACCAACACAAATCTTTGGAATAAGGTGCTGTACACTAGGAATAGTTGTTTAAGGCTGTCTTTAGAATACGGTGAATTTGAAATCTGAACCTGCTTTTTCTATAACACAAGATATACATTAAGTTTCTTCTCTCAAACCCAAAACTAAGGTGGCTACTATTACAAAATAATAAAATGACCTTAACCTCTGGCACAGAATAATTAATAATCATAACAAACTCAGGCACTGACAGTAAACTTAATGGTATCTCCAGGGAAGCAAGTTTTCATTTGTGGTAATGACAAGATGGCTTTCTCCCAAATTCTTGGTGTTTATTAGAATTAAAGCTGTTCTAGAAAAAGGAGACACAGTTGACACTCTGAAAGATCCCTTATGTTGGGCATCAAATGCTGAAATTAGCTCAATTACCCTGAGAATCTTGATTCAGGGTTTTAAAATAGTTAAAATAACATTCTAATTCAGTTAAAACATGAATTAGAATAATTTTTAAGCCGGCATTTAAAAGAAAGTAAAAGCTTTAACTTTCCAAATTTTAAAGTTGAATTTTTTTTTTTTTTTTGAGACGGAGTCTCACGCTGTCCCCCAGGCTAGAGTGCACTTCCGCAATCTCGGCTCACTGCAACCTCCGCCTCCCTAGTTCAAGCGATTCTCTTGCCTCAGCCTCCCAAGTAGCTGGGACTACAGGTGCCCGCCACCATGCCCAGCTAAATTTTTGTATTTTTAATGGAGGCGGGGTTTCACTATGTTGGCCAGGCTGGTCTCAAACTCCTGACCTTGTGATCCACCTGCCTCGGTCTCCCAAAGTGCTGGAAAATTTTTATTAACTTAATTTTTAATTCACTTTAAACGATGAAATCAAGCATTCTCTTGTACTTTAATCTATATATATATATATATATATATATATATATATATAACAAAAGAGTAACCAAAGACATTGACTGAGTGCTCACTTTGTGCTAAACATTTTGCTCATTGCCTTAGATGCTTTATCTCAATCTTTACAACAACCCTGAGGCAGGCATGATTTAGAGAGGAGCAAACTGGGAGTTGAAGAGGTTAAAGTTTTTGTCGTAGCCCATCCTGCTGGCAAGTGCCACCATCCAGATCTGAACCCAAACCTGACCCCGGGGCCAAGCACGGTTACTAGTGTGCTCTACACTAAACACCAAAGTACTTCACACTTGGTCCCATGCAGTGTGGGGTGAGAGTAGCAGGGGTTACTAAAATCTAAGAAAATTTTGAAATTTAAATGCAGTGTCCTTTATAGAATGTCAAATTAAACACATATTTCTTTTAACTCTGAAATTACATCAGAGATAATTAGGAAAATATTTGTCAGTCTTTAGTTATTGATTGAAATAAGGATTGGATAAGAAAGATGGAAAGGTCAAGGGTAATTCCCAATTTAAGCTGAGATAATTTGACTAATGACCATGAATGCAGTTAAAGACGTAAAGAAGAATTGATTTAAGGGGAAAAATGAATTCTGCTTTATACCGGTTGAACTAAAAATGAGAAGAGTAAATAAATTAGTGTTTATTGAGTCTCTATTACATGTCAAGAGCTACACTGAGCACATTACATACACAATTTTTAAAAATCCTAATAAAAATCTATAAACATATTATTAAATCCATATGACAAAAGATGATACAAGGCTCTAAGACGTTAAGAAACCAACCCAAGGTCAGATTGCTAATAAGTGGTACAACCAGGATTTAAATCTAGATCTGACCAAGTCTAACATGTGCACATTAATCTACATGCCTACAATGTCATCAGCAAAGGCAGAAAACATTTAAATGAAAAAAATCTAAAGGGCAGGTATCAATTCACAACATTTTGAAAAAGCAAAATCTAGAAGAGTTTCTTCAATCATATATGAGCATATTTAATGATTAGTTAATTCAAATACCCTATCATTGAAAGTGAAAAACATTTCCATAGAATCATTTACCTGGCCAGAGTTGGAGTAAGTAATGAAGAACTTCAATGTGTTTTTTAAAATCCAAAGCACTTGCAAGTTCTTCTGAATCAGTAAAGACTCTGTTGTTATGGGTGGAAGGCTCTTGCCTCTGACTTAATAATACTGGTCCAAAGCACACAGCCAAATTCTGGCACGTCATCTTATTCACTTCATGATAGGAAGCCACCAATTTCAAATGATCCAACAACATCTTTAGGGTTGCCTAAATTAAATTAAATTTCAATTAATATAGTCATAAAGAGGCAAATTCAAGGACACAATTTATAGCAGGAAATACAGATAAGCATCTTGTCACTTTTAAAAGGATTTTTTTTAAAGATTTGCGTATAAATTGGATGTTTGGAACCTAGAACATAGTTTCTAATAGAAACATTATATGGGGCCTAAATTATGTTCCAGCCGGGCACAGTGGCTCATGCCTGTAATCCTAGCACTCTGGGAGGCTGAGGCAGGAGGATCACCTGAGGTCAGGAATTCAAGACCAGCCTGGCCAACATGGTGAAACCTCATCTCTACTAAAATAGAAAAATTAGCCGGGCATGATGGCGGGTGCCTACGATCCCGGCTACTCGGGAGGCTGAGATGGGAGAATCGCTGGAACCCAGGAGATGGTGGTTGCAGTCAGCTGAGACTATACCCCTGCACTCCAGCCTGGGTGGCTGAACGAGACCCTGTCAAAAAAAAATTATGTTCCAACAACACAATTTAATCCATTAAATGGTTAAAATATACATTCTTTATAAAATACTTATGAATGCATTCCAAATTTCAGCTGGAATCCCTGGGAAAATGCGTCCATTACCTCTTTCTCTTCTAACATGGCAACAGCAAAGGCTGTGATGAAAAGGGGATTAGGGTAAGAATGTTCATTTTTAAGTACAGATAAGTCCTGTAGTTGTAAGTTGTAATCACTATCATGCTTAAATCTAGGAAGCTAACCATTCCGGAACATGGCCAGGTTCTATAATGATTTGGATTATGAAAGACATGTTTAAAAGGCCAATATGCTTCTTAACTAATATACATATAAATAAATAAATAAATATATATATGTGGTAAATAAACCTTAAAAAGAAGAATAGTACAGTTAGAAATGAAAGAAAAAAATTACCAAAAAAAATATTTTTTAATCCTTAAAGAAACTAGTAAGGGGAGTTGGCTCAAAAAGTGGAATGGTTATTTAGGTTTCAACAGTTATGGAAAGAAATGATGTTTTTTGATGTAGTGGCATAGGATCAATCATTTAACAAAATGAGTAATTTTTTCTTCAAAACTGTATTGAAGACATTGATGCCAATTAAAAACTTTAATTTTTTTTTTTTTTTTTTTTTTTTTGGAGACAGGGTCTCACTCTGTTGCCGAGGCTGGAGTACAGTAGCATGATCACAGCTCACTGCAGCACCGACCTTCCTGGCTCAAGCAATCTTTCCACCCCAGCCTCCCAAGTAGCTCGGGCTACAGGCATGCGACACCATACCCACTAATTTTTAAAAATTTTTTTGTAGGCCAGGCATGTGGCTCTTGCCTGTAATCCCAGCACTTTGGGAGGCCAAGGCAGGTGAATCATCTGAGGTCAGAAGTTCAAGACCAGCCTGGTCAACATGGGAAACCCCGACTCTACTGAAAATACAAAAAAATAGCTGGTGTGGTGGTGCACACCTGTAATCCCAGCTACTCAGGAAGCTGAGGCAGAAGGATCACTTATTCTGGGAGGCAGAGGTTTCAGTGAGCCAAGATTGTGCCACTGTACTCCAGCGTGGGTGACAGAGCAAGACTCCGTCTCAAAAAAAAAAAAAATTTTTTTTTTTTTGTAGAGACAGGGTCTTGCTATGTTGTCTAAGCTGGTAAAAATCTTATTTAAAGAAAAATCAAAATAACATTATTTCTGGAGCCAAAAGCGACAAATGGATTTGCTGGTCAGAAGGCCATTTAATAGCTGTGGCAAGAACAAGTCCAGCAAGATGAGGTAGGAAGCCAGATTACAATGTGCTGAGTAGTAAATGAGTGATGAAGAAGTGATAACAGCTGGAATAAATAGCCCTTCAATGTTTGGCTATGAAGGGAAGGAATGAAGAGAGAATGAAAACTAGAGAAGAATATGGCATTTTAAATCAAAACAAGTCAAATATATGAATCATATTTCTTTTTTAAATTCATAATTATTTCCTAACACAACTCCATATACATTGGCCTCTTAAGGGTATTTCCAGCAATAATTGTGATCATACACACACACAGACACAAACAACACACTACACCTGGTTAAATATATGTTCAATCTCAATAGCAAGCAAAGGAATGCAAATTTTTTTTGACTACTAAATAAGATAAGCCAAAAAATGTAATTGTCATGTTCCTTTTGAAAATTAGTCTGGCTGGGCGTGGTGGTTCATGCCTATAATCCCAGCACTTTGGGAGGTCGAGGCGGGTAGATTGCTTGAGCTCAGGAGTTCGAGACTAGCCTGGGCAACACGGTGAAACCCAGTGTCTACAAAACATACAAAAAAAATTAGTTGAGGGTGACGGCACATGCCTGAAGTCCCAGCTACTTGGGGGGCTGAGGCAGGAGGATGGCGTGAGCCGGGGAGGTTGAGGCTGCAGTGAGCTGTGTTTGCACCACCGCACTCCAGCCTGAGAGACAAAGTGAGACCCTGTCTCAAAAAAAAAAAAAAAAACCAGAAAAAAAAAGAAGAAAATTAGTATGCAAACATATAAGGGCCTTAAAATGTTCATATTATTTAAATAAGCAATTCCACTTCTGAGACTCTATTCTAAATAATTCTAAATTAAAAATAAATCTGTGTACAAATATTTACAAATCACTCAAAATCTAAATATACAAAAGGGAATACTGATAAATTATGTTGTCAAATCCACTCAATGGTATATCACACAGTTATTGACTGATTGACTGACTGAGACAAAGTCTGGCTCTATTGCCCAGGCTGGAATGCAGTGGCATGATCTCGGCTCACTGTAGCCCTCCCTGGGCTCAAGCCATCCTTTTACCTCAGCCTCCCAAGTAGCTGGGACCCTAGGCACGTGCCACCATGCCCGGCTAATTTTTGTAATTTTTGTAGAGACGGTTTCGCCATACAGCCCAGGCTTACTCAGTCTTTTTAGAAAGGATGGTAATAGCATGGGCCTTAGAGTCAGAAAGACTTATAGTGTGATAGACTATTTAATATTCACAGAAGTATGTAACTTTCGGCAAGTGATTTAAATTCCCTAACAGGCAGTTCTTCACTTATAAGTGGCACTTATAATTTTACCTAGTGCTGGGCATGGTGGCTCACACCTGTAATCACAGTACTTTGAGAGGCCAAGGTGGGCAGATCACTGGAGGTCAGGAGTTTGGGACCAGCCTGGCCAACATGGTGAAACCCCGTCTCTACTGAAAATACAAAAATAAGTCGGGCATGGTGGCGCCCACCTGTAGTCTCAGCTACTCAGGAGGCTGAGGTAGGAGAATTGCTTGAACCTGTAAAGGTGGAGGTTGCAGTGAGCTGAGATCGCACCACTGCACTCAAGCCCGGGCAACAGAGTGAGACTCCTTCTTCAAAAAAAAAAAAAAAATTTTACCTAGTGTTGGGAAACCAGTATCTCTACTTTTTCCACCCACCCCCTTAAACTTCACCCCACCCTTGTGCTTCTGCACTCTTTAGCTGTTCCCTTCCCCTAATCCAAAGGAGGAGTAACTGTTAATCCAACTGGACAGAGCACAGGACATTCAGGGGACCACAGTAAACTCGCAAGTCAAGTTACTGGACTTACAGTTTCTACCCACTAATTCTTGCTCTTTCTGCCCCAACATGATAAAAAATGTAGGCAAATTTAGCCTCATCTAGACAAGCCCAGTCATACATTTCTCCTATTTTCCCTTCTATTCTAAGGAACAACAGATAAAGTTAGGCTAAGGCTGGTTCTGAAGACCTACCTATCCTTCTCTCTCTCTCCTACAGGCATAGCTGAGGATGCTGGTCTGAAGATTTTGGAGAGGGGGTGAATGGAAAGGATAAGGAGGAAAAAACGAGGGGAGGGGCTTTTGTTTGTCTTAAAGTTAAGCCATGTACACCAACACAGTTGTTGTATCTAAAAAATACTAAAAGGAGACACACCAAAATGTTAATTATAGCTGCCTCTGGATATTGATGATTGCAATTTTATATTCTTCTTTTCTGTATCTTTTCAATATTTCTATAATGAACAAATATTATTGTAATAATATTTTAACAATACAATTAAAAAAACTTCAGTGAGTATTCATGCTTGGGCTAAAATCACATATAGAAAAGATAAAACTGTTTTCTAGATTTATTCTGTTTAAGAAGCTTTTACAGACTTAGGCTGTTTAAAGGCAGTAATGGCAGAGCTTTTAAATCCATGAGTGCCACAAATGTCAAATATCTAAAATTATTTGTAGCTCTGGAGGTAGGTATACAGTTCATTAACTGGCTTTCAGGAAAAATGTATACTGGTAATGCTTACCTTCTCAATCTCTGGCAGACAATCCAGCAGGTCAACAGTGTACTTAGAGTCACCTGGGTCATTCTCACAACCATTTGATGACATTTTCAAAGGACTTTTTGCCATTGCATCTAATACAGCCTCATAAAGCTGCTTTGTTATCAGAGGAGAAGGGAGTTCTCTTAAATAATCCTTAAGAACACCTTTAAAAAACAAACCGCAGACAGTTGGTGATTGGACTGCAGAGTGAAATAAAGAACTATGGTCAATTTTTTAAAATTTAAGTATTATAGCCAACTTTCAACATTTTGAAAACAATAAAGGCAACAACATAAAAAGAATTATAAAATACTAGCATTTTGTATTCTTTTAAGTTGCCTTGGTAATTGACTTGTTTTGAAAGCATGCTAAAAATGTACACATAATTTTCAGTTACCACACGTTAGGTTTGTTAATCATAAAGTAAGCTATTCTTGATACATATACCCTTATTGATTCTGCCCCCTATAAAAAGCTTCTCTAAATGCATGTGAAACAGAAGTTAAGAAAGCAAGGCATATTTATGTTAATTATGAATTATTCCAATTACACAAATTTTGAGTTTCTAGACTTTAAATTGATAATGAAAGAGTACCAATTGTCTGAAACCCTTGGAAATAAATACATTTCCTCTTTAACACTGGAGAAATGTCTTAAACCGATATATTGGATGGCTGGATAATTGCTAATGCTACACTATCATATGCAAGAAAAAATCATTCCTAAAACCAAACAAATAAAACCAAAAGCTAAGAACAGAAAACATCAGACGTGTCACTATAATGGGAATGAGGAAAGTCAATTGCAAACATTCCACACGTAGTTTTGAACTAAGAAATATTACTTATAGTAGAGGAAACTGGAAAGAATAGTGGTTGTTATATATAAGTAAGGTAGGTAAGATACAAGCTAAAGGCTGGCATGTGATCACAAAGGAAAACAGGAGATACTCCTAACACCAAAACCTAAATATATACAATATTGATCCAGAACATGCTCTCAGCCTTGCTTAGTTTGAACTTAAACATGATTCTATACGAAGCTTCCCATCTCTTTTTTTTTTTTTTTTTTAATTGTGACAGGGTCTCGCTCCATCACCCAGGCTGGAGTACACTGGTAACCTCAAACTCCTAGGCTCAAGCAATCCTCCCACCTCAGCCTCTTAAGCAGCTAGGACTACAGGTGGTTGCCCCCACACCTGGCTAATTTTCTTATTTTTTGTAGATCAGTGTCTCACTATACTTCCCAGGTTAGACTTGAATTGCTGGCCTCAAGTGATCCTCCCACCTTATTCTCCCAGAGTACCTGGCATGAGACACTGTGCCTGGCCCCAAGTTTTAAATATTTAATAGTAACATGATTCATTAGTTTCTTATGCATCCTTCTAATGTTTATGCAAATATAAATATGATTTGTCTCCCTCATTGAGAGTTGAGTATCCTTAGTTTAAAAATCCAAAATGCTCTAAAATCCAAAACTTTTAAAATGCCAACATGATGCTCAAAGGAATGCTCATTAGAGCATTCTGGATTTTTGATTTTTGGATTAGGCATGCTAAACTGGTACACATAATGCAAATATTCCAAAACCCAAAGAAATCAGAAATAAGAAACCTGCATATGCTATTTTGTTTCTTGCTTTTTCATTTAACATCATATCCTTGAGATCTTTTCAGGCCATAGAGAGCTTCCTTAATCACTTTTATAGCCACATTATAGTAGTTCAATGTAAGGATGTCCCATAGTCTTATCTATTCAGTCTCTTACAGATGGATACTAGAATTGTTTCTTATCTTTTGTTTTTCCAAAACATGCTACAATTAATAACCTTGCACACAATCACTTTGTATATATGCAGGTATGTCTGTAGGATAAATTCTTAAAACAGGACTGCTAAGTAAAAAATGCATTTGCAATTTTGAGGAAAAAAGAGGAATAAGAATGTTTCTTTCCTAGGCTTGGAACTTGAGTATCTAGGTGGATACTAGTGACACTATTTCAAATAGAGAACGCAGGAGGAAAATCATGTTTTAGGGGGTAAAGAGAAGAGTTTCATTTTGAACATATGGAGCTTAAGGTATCTATGGGGCATTCAAGGCTGCTGGATATAAAAATCTGAGATGAAAGAGATGACTGGAGACACAGATTTAAGAATGATCAACTTAAAGATAACTGGATCTTGGGAATGATTATCAGGGAGACATACAGAGTGATTAAGAGAAGGCTCAGAAAATAACCCTGAAGAACATCAACTTTCCAGGGGTCATCAGGGAAGAGGATCTTCCAGTTGTGACTAAGGAAGAATGGCAAAAGATGTATGTATGGTGAGAGGAGGTGGGGATGGGGCGAGAGGAGAGTGGCAAAAGTGAGGCCAAGTCGAGGAAAAATGTTTCAAGAAAGAGTCTATGATATCTAATGATACCCAAACAATAGTTGGGTTAGATAAGAATAGTGTTAAATATTGCAGAGAACAGTGTTTTTTCAAAATTGGCTGCACACTGAGGCTTTAAAAAAAATTAGATTCTGGAGCCCCATGCCAGCCATACTAAATCATAATGTACAGAGGTCAGAGCTCCTGTCCCAGTATTTTTAACAAATTTGTCTTATGTTTAGACAATGGGGTTTTGTAACCAGGTATAGAAAATAATGATCTAGAGACAATTTAAGAACCCAAAAATGTCCACCAGAAAAGGAAGTCAGCAACCTTGGCAAGCACAGTTTCAGGAAAATAAAGGACACTGAACTCAAGTTGCAGTTGGTTAGGAAGTAAATGGGCATTAAAGAAATAGACAAAGAAATGCACACAACCTGTTCAAGAAATCTGGCTTTGAGAAAAGTAGATAACCACAGAGAAGAGGGGAGGGCGGGGGAGAAACAAGATCAAAGTGGAGATTTTTCTTTAAAAACAGGAGACACCTAAACATTTCAATGGTAATGTAAAGGAGATAGTAAAAAAGGTTTTCAAGGTTCAGGAGAGAGGAAATATGATCAATTGAGCAAAGTCCCTAAGAAGAAAGAAGAAACTTCTGAGTACACATGAAGGAATTAGAATTTGTCCAAGATGTAAGGAAGATCATTTCTCTATTATTACAGAAAGGAAGTGGAAAGAATGTATGCCAAAGAAGGCACATTGATAGGCTGGGTCACAAGAAGTAGAGCAAGTTCCCATCTGATGGCTTCTGTTTTCTCTGTGAAGTTAGGAGGCAAGGTCGTCTGCTAAGAGTGACATGGGTGAAATGAGGTTTGAGGGGAGTGAGAAGATATTAAGTAGACACTCCAGAGTATAAGAGAGCTGATAGGAAAACATACAATTATTAGGCACCATTCACAGCCTTCTAATGACTTTGAAGTACATGGATTAATACTGATACCAAATAATATTGATTTTTTTTTTCTCATTGCAATCAGTAACCCAGATACAGGCTAGAAAGGCAGACCAGTGTTTCTAGGCAAGATGGAGCAATAGGGACTAGATTTACCTTCCTGCTTGCAACAACTGAAAATGCCAGACAAAATATCTGACAATACTATGTCTAAGACATTGGACATCAGGCAAAGGACAAGGATCCCTGAGAGATGGGAACCAAATGAAGTGTGCCCACAACAACCACAGCTTATTGCCTGGAGAGACTTTGCAGGTCGCAGTAAGGAAATGAAAACCCAGGTAAAGCCCGACAGTTGAAGGGGAGCTAGAAATTCAAGGAGGCTAAAGCTGCTAGACCTTGCAGGACAGAGCACTTGAGAGTAAAGGGCTGCCTAGACATGACTCAGGAAATCAGCAAGGAGTCCCAAGTGTTCATCTGAGTACTAATCAGCACACGCAGGTGGGGCAACTCCCCAAGGCTGGAGAAAGAACCAGCCAAACAGATTAGAGAGAACAATTCTTGGAGTTTTCATAGTGTGGGCAATCACTCTCGTTCCATGCAGCCAGAGTGGAAAACTTCATAATTCATGGGATATGGGTACAGCACTATGTTGAATTGTGGCCCCCACCCCCAACCAAAAATAAAACATGTTGAAGTCTGAACTCCTAGTACCTCAGAATAGGACCTTATTTGGAAAGAGTCTTTACAGAGGTAATCAAGTTAAATGAGGTCACTAGGGTGGGCCCTACTCCAATATGACATGTTCTTATAAAATGGGGGACACAGAGAGAGAGCAGATGATATGAAGAAACACAGGGAGAATGCCATGTGAAGATAGAGTATTGGAGTTATGCATCTACAGGCAAAGAAAGGGCTGTCAAAGGTTGCCAGCAAACCACCAGAACTAGGAAGATGCAAGGAAGGATTCCCCTGCAGGTATCAGGGGGAGCAGGGCCCTGCTAATGCTGATTCTGAACTTCCAGCCTCCAGAACTGTGAGAAAATACATTTCTGTTGTTTTAGCCACCAAGTTTGTGGTACTTTGTTATGGCAGCCATAGAAAGCTAATATAAGTACACAGTATATAGCAGAGTTTTGCTTCAGTAGAGAATCAAAGAAATAGACAAAGAAGAGCCTTATTTAAAAGCAGTTCACATTCTGCCTAATAAAGCTTAAAAGCAAGACTAAAAAAACTCTTTGCAAGTAACGTACTTGCATACCAAACAACAGAAATATCCAGCACCCAAGAAGGTAAAATTTACATTTGATGTCCAGTAAAAAATTACGAGGCATATAAAGGAGGAGGCAAATATAACCTATAATGAGGAGTAAAATCAATGGAAACCAACCCAGAAAAGACATACACAATAGAATTAGTAGACAAGAACATGAAAACACTTATTATAACTGTATTTCATATGTTCAAGAAGCTAGAATAAAGACTGAACATATTAAGTAGAGACATGGAAAATACTGAAAAACCCATATCGAACTTCTAGTAGTGAAAATTAGGGTGTCTGAAACTAAAAATGCAATGAATGAAATTAATATCAGAAGACAAGACTAATATAACTTGAAGATACAGCAATAGAAACAATCTAAAATGAAACGAAGTATGGAAAAAGCTGAAAAAAAAATACATTATCAGTGAGCTGTCACATAACGTAAAATGGCCTAAGACATGCTTAATTGTAATCTTCAAAGGCAAAGTAGTGGCAGTGGGTAGGTGGGGTGGAAACAAAAACAGTTTGAAGAAAAAATAGAGAAAAACTACAATTATAGTTGAAGATTTCAACACGCCTCTCAGTGAGTAGAAAGAAAACAAAGATGTAGAAGACAGGGACATTATTAATTAACTTGACTTTATTGATAGTTACAGCACAATTTATTAATTAACTTGACTTTATTGATAGTTACAGCACAATCTGTCCAAAACCACCAGAATATACATTCTTTTCAAGAGCTCAAATGGAACATTTACCACAAAAGACCATATTCTGGGCTTCAAAATAAGCCTAAATAAATACAAAAGCATTTAGGACCTATGAATCAGAAGACTGAATATGCACATATACAAAATGAGAATCATTCTCTCACATACAAAACTTATATAGGTAGTAAAGATACAGTTGATTAGGTAGATTTGAATGTTGAATCACTGACATTTCCTGAAGGTAGAGCTACAAATTACTTTTTTAAATCCACTAACCCACCCCCACCTTACCTCACTTACTCTTTTTGGCCTTACCACCTACTTTAGTCATACCCTATACATGTTACTCAGACCAAATGGCTCTCATAAACAATCTCAGTATATGTGGGTTGCTAAGTCTATGACCATTCCTCAACATTTAGCATTCCTTGGTGCTTGCACAGTTTTGACATCTACATGCAATCTAGGTAAAGGAAAACGGAAACAATTTGTGAGTTAATGTTCCAGAGGTCAGAGAACATATAATATGTATGGTAAGAAAATGTATAGTATGTACAAAAAAGATAAATATTAATGTTTTCAAGATCATTTACTTATATTCTGATAAAGTTTTCCGTGAATGGCAAATAGGACAAAAATGACTATGGTAGGATTAAAATCATAAAAAGGCATGGTCAAATGAACTTTCAGGTACTGAACCTAGATACTGATTATGTAGCACTGACATGAAATCTATTTTACAGTAGTTAGATACATGTAATCCTCATCAGAAGACTTATTTTTAATAATCACTAAACAATAGATGACTTTTAAAAAGCCTTCTGTTCTTTGGTAATAAGCCCTATAAAGAATTATGAATAGGCTGGGCGCAGTGGCTCACGCCTGTAATCCCAGCACTTTGGGAGGCTGAGACGGGAGGATCTCCTGAGTTCAGGAATTCGAGACCACCCTGGGCAACACGGTGAAACCCTGTTTCTACTAAAATACAAAAAACTAGCTGGGCGTAGTGGCGTGTGCCTGTAGTCCCAGCTATTCGGGAGGCTGAGGCACAAGAATTGCTTGAGCCCCAGAGGTGGAGGTTGCACCACTGCACTCCAGCTTGGGCTACAGAGTGAGACTCTTTCTCAAAAAGCAAACAAACAAAAAAGAATTACGAATGGATTTTATACCTAAAATTTTGCACTTGATTTAAAAAAAAACTGGTTCGTCTGGAGTATTTCATTCCATGCTCCAGACAAACCAACTACTAAAAACACATTAAACTGTGAACAAAATCTGTCACTCATTTCATTAATTTCTCATTTTTTAGACCTACTGAACTATTAATCATATTTCAAAGTTTACTCAGAAATGTGAGTTCATGAGGAACAAACACATTAAGCATCACTGTCACTGGCTAACTCCTCAAATCAACAATACCCTTTATTTTTAGCCATGAAAACCTTGTGTCATGCAATTATTTTGCAGACAAATCTTAAATCATTTCATTGCCTTTTTATCAAGAAAAAAATAGTTCTAAATTCTTCTGAAAAACAGCTTTACCCAAATGGAATAGTACAAAGAATTGAGCCAAGAAATATCCAATTTATAAATTACAGAAACTCTCAATTTTAGGAAAGAATGCTGTAAATCCAATATTCATTGACCTATTGTTCATATCTTCTGCATATGCTGCCAATTTCCAAAACTAGGAACCCTTTCTTCACTTCATATTTTAAAATTATACATGTTTAACATAATTTTTATTTATAAGACAAAGCTTCACCAAGACCAAATCTATTTTTATTTATAGAGTGTACTTGCTGGAAATTTGTATTTATAAAACTTCTCTTTCATGGATTCATAAAATGAGTCTTTTGCTGATTTTGTTAATTACACATTAACAAGGAAAGAACATTCTTCAGGTATCTCAATTTTTTGTAGAAATATGCCTCTTCCTATATAAAAATTAAAAGGAACCATTATTTCTGATTTGTTAAAATATGTAAGAAAAAAGTGACAGTTTGTTTTATCTTACTAAAATGCTTGGAATCAAAGTTTTGATTATCCAAGAGTTATATATTAAATACTTGATGAAAATACAGTCATTCAGCACTCAAAGGGTGGGAAGCTCAATTATTCAGAAAGCCTCAATCCTAAAAGTAAGCTTTAAGGATTTTCACCAACAAAATTCTCTTAAATACGTACAAGATGAACCTTCCTCAAATTTTAACCCAAACAATTAATTTTGAGTAAAAATAAGAAAGCAAGTTATAAGAGAAAAATTAACACATTACAGCAAGAAAAAAATGGCAGTTGTCAGTAGAGAGGAGAAAGAACTACCAAAATACACAGAAGATCTGGAGATACACACTGAAGCATCTATAAATGAAAGGATACGTCTGAGATTTTCTCAAAATAATCAAGGGTTGAGAAGAAGCAAATGGGGGGATGAATGAGACAAGTCTGTTCATGTGTTGATATTATGGAAACCAGGTGACAGAGAGGATTTTTCATAGTATTCTCTCTACTTTCGCATATGCTTGAAAATTTCAATAATTAAAAAATTAAAACGACAAAAACAAATATGGAATTATTATAAACCAGTAGCTCCTGAAGGTTACCAATAAGGTTATGAGCCATTTCTTAATGGCCAAATTCAAAGGCCCTTTTCTTTTCTCATATAATCTCTCCATAGAATGACTGTATCACACCTTTGCTTAATCTCTGTTGTCTCTTATTTCCCAAACATTCTGACTCCTTTCCTCTCAATCTCTTTAGGTGTTTCTTCTTTCTTTGCCAGCCTCCAAAGTTTGGAGACCCCCAAAGTTCTTTCTTTTCAAACTTTATGGACAATTGCAACACTTTACTACACATATATGCCAATGACTCTCTTTCCACTCTTATCTTTCAGGGGTAATAGAAGTATATTTCCAATGCCATACATTGAATTACAGTCACCACTTGGGTAAATAAGAGATCCCTCAAATTCTACTGCATCCTCTTCTTAGCTGCAGATGAGCAGTTTCAACTTTGCTTGATCTACCCATTTAGATCTCCTACTAGCACTTCAAATTCTATATATCCAAAGCCCAATTCATAATCTTTCTTGACACTTCCCCACCAAAAGCAGTAGCTCTCCCTGAAGCTCTCTTTTTCTGCTAATGGTACCCAATCAACCATGTCTCAAAGTCATATCTGTCTGGGCTCCTTCTTTCTCCACCTCCTTTCAATTCTACTTCTTCCTATTTCTACTGCTACAAGCCCCTTTAGCTCTTACTACCTCTTTGCCTGGACTACGGCCAAGGCTTTCTAATTGGTTTTCCTTCCTCTGGTCTCTTCTAATTTCAATCCATCACATAGAGTTGCCAGATTAATATTCCTGAAAATAATCTCTATGATATCACTCCCCCACTCAAAAAATCTTAATGGATCCCCTCTGGCTAGTAAATAAATTTAAATTCTCTAACCAGATAGTCAATACGCTCTATATCACCTAAGTACCAGTCAAACTCAACTTCCAAAGCATTTTATTTATCCCTCTATGAAGGTACCTTTTTCTTTCTGCTAGCTACTATAGCTAACTTAAAGTAGGTCTTACTTCCCTTCATCATGTCAGCTGTTTGTGGGCAAGGGACCATAGCTTAATACCTTCCCATAGAAAATAACACAGTAAGTAATGTTTGTGAAGGAAGAAAAGACTTCAGAATAAAAACAAATTAAATTTCAGCTACAAACGTATTTCAGTTATCTTTCTTGCAGATGTAGTCTTTCCAGAAAGAGTACATAAAATAAAATCTATTTATTACCTGTTATTACATTTATATCTGGGTACTGGTTTTCACACAGACCAACAGCTTTGCTATCTCTCTCAAAAGCCTCTCGCAGTTCTTTCTTGACTGCTGCCGAACCACATAATCGATACAGGCCTACTACCTAGGAATAAAATTATGGCCACATTACAGTAAATTTGATAAAGGGAAAATATAATTGCATTATAGATCACATGAACTTTGCAATCAAATATGTTCTGATGTCATTTAATTTTAAATACCTCAAATATAGCTTTTGAAGTCTCATTATATACTATGTTGATTAGTTTAATAAAAATATCCTATTCTTTCATTTAAATTCAAACAATACACTATCAGTTCGGTAATGCTGGCTACCTATCTTAAGCAAAACACAATCCCTTCTTTTCAGTTTTATATGCTCAATAAAGATCTCCATGCCCCAGGAATGTGCGCCCTTTCACATCTTTTGTTCTAGACTGAAGTAGTACAGCACAGACACTGAACAAGGGTTTTGGAGTCATAAAGCCCCACTGCTTGCTTCATGAATTTGGGCAAGTTATTTAATCTCTTTAAAACTCAGTTTCTTTTATCCTTAAAATAAGTATATAGTTGAAATAAGGTTCTAGTATACTATATAAAACTTTTTAAGAAAAAAGATTCTCAGGAAGACCCAGAAGCAAACCTAGGGTGTTTTTTTTTTAAGTTGTCAAATTAATTGATTATAAAGTGATGGAGGAAATTTAAAATAATATATTAAAGGTAAAATAAAACCTCTATTTCAAAATTTATATAAGATGCACAGACACTACCCATCCCACCAACCTACATTGAAAAGATTTGTCTTTAAACACTGTCATACAGGTTCTAAAATATTAAGTCTTAAGTTATTCACTATAAATTTACTTAGAATAAACATGATCTCTGTAAAGAGAAAACACGCCTGATTAAGCTATCAAAGTTCTTTGAAAGAATAAAACTTCAAAAAAACTTGAGGAGAGAATAAGTGATTGTCAGCCATACTTCCACATCTAAGACTATTTAGAAAGCTCAGTCACTTTGAACTGAAGGAAAAATTTTGGAGAAATAAACTATTTAAAGACAGAAATAAAGTAAAAGTAATCTTCCAGGATTTGAATTAGGAATCACTGTAAAATGCAATAAATGATCTAGAGGAAGAAGTATACAAATGAAATTTCCAGGGTTACTTATGATACTAATCTCTTCTGACTCATTAAAAAACTGATAGAATACACTATAAGGTGGGTCTCAATATGAGAAAGTGTCAATAGATACAGGGAAATATTATCTAAAATATTTGAGATGATAAGCTATAGGTATTAATTGAAAGATAGTAAAGAACCTAAAACTATTTCCAAGAGGTGATAATGCAAGGTGCTGCTACATTCAAAAGGATCAAGATAATATGGGAAACCAAGAAATAGGAAAAAAATTCAAATTTCCTACCCTGATCCACATTCATGATGCATTCACATTGAGAATGGAATGAGTTATGCTGATCACATCATCTCAAGAAAGACACAGTAGAAATGTAGACAGTTCAGAAAATGAAACTAAAATATTAAACAGGATCAAAGGAAATGCTACCACAACAGAAGAAACGAACTTGATTATAGCCCTGCTGGTGTGAGCACATTTAAGTGTCATAAAGTACCATACAAACGATGTATCCCCTTAAACTTGAGAAGAAGATGAGCCTAGAACAACTTAAAGGAAGTACTACTTAACTAGTACACAATAAATTAATGGGATATTTTACCCCCAAAAGTTGAAATCACAAATATAATTTTTTAAAAGATGAAATAAAGGAAGGAAGATCTACTACAGGTACTTCAAGGAAAAGATATTTTAGGATATATCCCTACTTTCTGATGATGATATCTTGAATCAAACCCTTGAAGTACATGCTCGATGCCTCTATGAAAGACAGACCATAAGTATGATCTCCATAGCAATTTTTCCCGTTTTAAGCAGGAGATGGGTGGTAGTAGCACTCAAAGCATTTGGAAGATGCAAAGACCCATGCCACAAACTCTTTGTATATGACTATCAAAGCCTATTTTCATGTTTACAATAAAAACCCAATAATACAAGAATAATTCCTGACTAAAAGGGTAAACAAAATTTAAGCAGTATGCCAGTCTGTAAAATACAAGCACAATAAGCCTCTCTCTACTGGGGGTGGGGAAGAGGGGAGGGCAAGTGAGGGAGAAAGAAGCAGGGGAAACAAAACAAAAATGTCTTTAAAAAGTACAGTTCTAGGCCGGACGCGGTGGCTCACACCTGTAATCCCAGCACTTTGGGAGGCCGAGGCAGGCGGATCACAAGGTCAGGAGCTGGAGACTAGCCTGGCTAACATGGTGAAACCCTGTCTCTACTAAAAAAAATACAAAAATTAGCCAGGCATGATGGCGTGCACCTGTAATCCCAGCTAATTGGGAGGCTGAGGCAGAATTGCTTGAACCCAGGAGGCGGAGGCTGCAGTGAGCTGAGACTGCGCCATTGCACTCCAGCCTGGGCGACAGAGCAAGAATCCGTCTCAAAAAAAAAAAAAAATACAGTTCTACATAAAAATGAAAAGCATTGCTAAAAATGTTTTCTTGGCACTTAAAGTGGTAACAGTCTATATATACCTGCTCTTTCTAAATATTTCAGAAAATAGACTGTAAAAATATAGTGCCATTTGAGTTACTTAATATTCAACTATAAAAGTTTGTTTAATAATTAGCTTTTAAGTCTGCATAATTTCTGAACTCTACCCTCACTGCCTGAAAAAAGATAAAAGAAAAAAACAGAATCTTAAGAAAGAAAAATAATTAACCAAAAGTTGGATTGGAAAAGTAAAGGCCTCACTCACACAAAGACAACACAAACTGGAGACAGAATGATGTATCTGAGTTAGAAGTTTCATCCAACCCCACTGGGGGGCCTGAAGAGGGGAAGTTTCAATAGTTGAGATGTGTTATCTCTTAGCTTCAGGAAGCTACTCCATTTTTTTTTTTTTTTTTTTTTTTTTTTTTTGCAACGGAGTCTCACTCTATCGCCCAGGCTAGAATGCAGTGGCACAATCTGGGCTCACTGTAATGTCCACCTCCTGGGTTCAAACAATTCTCCTGCATCAGCCTCCTAAGTAGCTGGGATTACAGGCATGCGCCACCATGTCGGGCTAATTTTTGTATTTTTAGTAGAGACAGTTTTCACTATGTTGGCCAGGCTGGTCTTGAACTCCTGACCTCAGGTGATCTGCCCGCCTTGGCCTCCCAAAGTGCTGGGATTACAGGTGTGAGCCCCCATGCCCAGCCACTCCATCTATTTTTATAGATACAAGCAAGTAAGACCCACAGAGATTAAGTGACTTGCCCAACATGACACAGCTAAGTAATAATGGAGGAGAAACCAGAATCCAGGTATTCTGTATCTTAATGCAAAATTCCATTAACTTAGGCTGTTTCTATAGTTTCCATGTTAAGCTTAAGTTTATTAAATAAATATTTCAGATTTTATAATATTTACTCATTGTCTTTTAACTTAACTTTTCAACCAATATTATAAATTCAGATAGTACTAAAGCAGAAATAACTCAACGTAATTTTTAGTCTTAATATGTATCACAAAAATTAGTATAAAGAATCAATATCCTTTGCCTATGTTATCAGCTCTGACTTTTCCTTTTAATGCCATTTTGAAGCAATCCTGATTTCTAATTATAAGACCCATGAAGCTCTGTGTTGCAATATAAATTTGTGGAATCATCTAGCATGCTCTCAATAATGGACAACATGAGTCAAGTTAAAAATTATACCCTAAACAGTAATGGAATAAAAATAAAGAATAGGAATGGTAAAATATCTAAATTTGATTTTTTTACATTACCTTGAATTTCTTCCCCCAAGACTTACAATTAATCAATCAATAAAGGAAGTAGTAGGGAACCATAGTAAGATAATACCTGACAGCCTCTCTTTTCAATTTCCATAATACATTTCTGTATCAGAAGGGGCACCATCAGTCCTATATTTTCTTTCTCTACAACTTTTTGAATATCAACTCCAAATATTATTGGTTCTTGGTTTATATCTAGTCCATGAAGAGAATTCTCCCACTGTTCCATAAGAGTCACTTTCACATAAATAAGACCTCTAGGTTCAAGTTTGACAGCCAACTGATGAGTCTTTGTCACTCTAAATAAGGTGGGAAGAACAACAGTTCCATGACAACAAACTCGATTTTTTCTTGGAGTGGGTTCCCAACTGAATACTACTAGTTTCAAATGTTGTGCATTTTCAATTTCTATGTTGAAAGTGTGATCCATGTCTAAAAATGTTGTTCGGCATGTGAGCAAAGCTGTTCTTGCTTTGTTTACTGAATCTACCTGAATTGCACAAAAGACGTCTTTTGAATCTATCCGAGGTGGTTTTAAATCCTCAGCACCATAGAAATGTACACTCATGAGCCCAGATATGTACTGTGAACACTTAGGTTGATCAGAAAAGCTATAATGCCTAAAAGCATCAATGTCTATTTCATTCTTGCTACAACTATTTGAAATTATTTCTTTTCCTTTTCCAAATTTGTTTTCAGATCCATGTTTGCTAGCTTTAGTTGTAAGTTCAGGTGAGTCTCCATCACTAAGGTAACCACCTTTGCAGGAATACTTAGAACTCATAGAGTTTTTCTTCTGGTAGCTCTGCTGGGAGGATACACTGGTATCAAGATGGTATCGGCTTATAACATTCCTCTTAGCAGCGGTGGTTGTGTTCCCAGAGGGCAGAATATCAGTATGATGAACTTCTCGGCAGTTATATTTAGACAAAGAAGGAGTATTATCTGGACTGTTTATATAATTCAATGTTCCCTTAACGCTTAGCTTTCGGCTAAATTCTGGCAACTTTTTCATTTTCATGGAAAGTTTCCTCACAGTTCGTGGAGATTTTATTTTATCTGGCAATGACCAATTAATTGAACTGCCTTTTTTCACAGGGCTAGGATTTGGAGAAGATGGTTCCATAATTCCCAATTCAGTACTATTTGTAGCAGCCAGGATCCCAGAACCTTAAAAGAAAGAAAGAAAAATACGTTATAAAGCAATATGTTTTGATTTCTTTTATTCTTATTTTATAAACCATCAACTAAACAGGCTTTCACATAGGCAGAAATTCTTCTCTTATTTCATCTCAATGGGGAGATTTCATTAGAAGTTCAGGTCAACTTCCATCATGATATTCAAGCAGAATACTGCATTATCCCAATTATTTAAAATTTAATTTAATTTTTCATACTTTATTCCTTATAGAGAAAGATCTAATAACCTCACATCAAAAGCTAATGTATGTAACACAACATTTCACAATTAAAATGAGAAAAAGTGTTTATTCATTTTAAAAAACAACAAATGACCTTTCTTTAAAAAGTATTAATATTCTCCCTCCACCCCATGTGTCCTAATGACAAATAAGTAGTTTCTTTATAGAGAAAAAAACTATTTTAAGTATGCCTACAGGGCTTTTCTATTAAGAAGATAATAGAAAATGGAGTGTTTGATAAACTGGATAAAGCATCCCCTTGTACTAAAATTATAGTACAATTCTACTGGCTTACTAGTTTGAAACATTCTAGAGTTAATCGGGGTCCTGCTTCAGTCTATAAACATCAATCTGTCTATTTTATCACAGCCTAGAAAAGCTATCCAGTATATTAAATTGCTTTAGATTAAATACATTATCACATAAAAAAACTGACTCTTTTTACATACTGTAAGTAAATAATTTCTACTGAAGTCCTTAACTAATTATTAAAATGAAATACTGTACATGATAGCAACTTCTACTGCAGATAAAACTGAATTTATTAAAGCCAAAATGCTTTGTTTTTATAAAACCCAAGAGTCAAAATATTACCAAATTCCACAGTCGCTTAAAATTAAACTACAACTATACTAATCAAATCACATACTATCTTTAAAAAGAAGGTACAAAATAAAAATCTTTAAATATAAATTTATGAACTAGGCTAGAGTCGAGTGAAACTGGCACACTCCTTCAGCACCTAGAACAGTAACTGGTACATAGCAGGAACTCAATATTTAGTGAATAAATGAATAACCAATTGTTAGTTGCCTTGTAAACTGGCAAACTTTGTAGAAAATGCAACATAGAAATTAACAATAATAATTACCAGGCATAAACACCAAGTAATGATACTGGTAATTGATCTGAGTGAAGTAAAAAACATTATGAAGATCACTGCAATAGCACTGGAAACAATCTATCAACACCTAACATTAAGGAAACAGTCAAATAGATTAGGGCACATCAACGCAGTTAAATACTGTACTACAATGCTTGAGAAACAATACTACCCTACATGTAACAATGCAAGATGAAGATACCAAGTAAAAACAGCAAAAATCAAAAATAAAGTCCACTATGATTACAACTAGATAAAAGATACATATATATCATGGTGGCTCACTGTTATCCCATTACTTTGGGAGGCTGAGGCAGATAGGAGTTCAAGACCAGCCTGGACAACATGGCAAAACCCCATGTCTACAAAAGATACAAAAAAATTAGCAGGTGTGGTGGTGTGCTATAGTCCCAGCTACTAGGGAAACCGAGGTGGGAAGACTGCTTGAGCTGGGAAGGTCGAGTGTTTCTCAGGCTGGGAGGCTACAGTGAGCCGTGATTGTGCCACTTGCACTCCACCCTGGGAAACACAGAGATACCCCGTCTTAAAAAAAAAAAAAAAGATACATATGTATCTGGGAGTTAATGAGGAAAAAACAAGTCATAATTGCATTAGGATGAATTAGCTTTCCAATTCTCTGATCAAAAATTATTTTGAAATTCAACCATTTTCTTTGCCAATTTCTCAACAGCTTTCTGCCAATACTGCTAAGAAATAGATCACTTTAGGTAACGGTTTTTCCACCAAAATAAAACAACAAAAAAAGATGACTTATAAATAAACTGTCTAAATATTTCCTTTGGTCAATTTAGGATTTTTGACCAAAAAATATTTTAATTATATATTATCATATATTTTACAATATTAAATGTAAATATTTAATATTTATAATATATATTTATATTATTTTATAATTATAAATATATTTTAATTATATATTTATGAGAAGAATGACAGTAAAAAAGGAGATAGTAAAAAAAGCAGATATAGCATACTTTTAAGTTGTGTTTTTAAAAAAATGTCTGTTAGTCTTTCCAGGTTCACAATTTGCCACAAACATTAAAAAAAAAAGTTTACGATATTGATTCTTCCTACCCATGAGCATGGAATGTTCTTCCATTTCTTTGTATCCTCTTTTATTTCATTGAGCAGTGGTTTGTAGTTCTCCTTGAAGAGGTCCTTCACATCCCTTGTAAGTTGGATTCCTAGGTATTTTATTCTCTTTGAGGCAATTGTGAATGGGAGTTCACTCATGATTTGGCTGTTTGTCTGTTATTGGTGTATAAGAATGCTTGTGATTCTGTACATTGATTTTGTATCCTGAGACTTTGCTGAAGTTGCTTATCAGCTTAAGGAGATTTTGGGCTGAGACAATGGGGTTTTCTAGATATACAATCATGTCGTCTGCAAACAGGGACAATTTGACTTCCTCTTTTCCTAATTGAATACCCTTTATTTCCTTCTCCTGCCTAATTGCCCTGGCCAGAACTTCCAACACTGTTGAATAGGAGTGGTGAGAGAGGGCATCCCTGTCTTGTGCCAGTTTTCAAAGGGAATGCTTCCAGTTTTTGCCCATTCAGTATGATATTGGCTGTGGGTTTGTCATAGAGCTCTTATTATTTTGAGATACGTCCCATCAATACCTAATTTATTGAGAGTTTTTAGCATGAAGGGTTGTTGAATTTTGTCAAAGGCCTTTTCTGCATCTATTGAGATAATCATGTGGTTTTTGTCTTTGGTTCTGTTTATATGCTGGATTACATTTATTGATTTGCGTATATTGAACCAGCCTTGCATCCCAGGGATGAAGCCCACTTGATCTTGGTGGATAAGCTTTTTGATGTGCTGCTGGATTCGGTTTGCCAGTATTTTATTGAGCATTTTTGCATCAATGTTCATCAAGGATATTGGTCTAAAATTCTCTTTTTTGGTTGTGTCTCTGCCTGGCTTTGGTATCAGGATGATGCTGGTCTCATAAAATGAGTTAGGGAGGATTCCCTCTTTTTCTATTGATTGGAATAGTTTCAGAAGGAATGGTACCAGTTCCTCCTTGTACCTCTGGTAGAATCTGGCTGTGAATCCATCGTGAAAATGGCCATACTGCCCAAGGTAATTAATAGATTCAATGCCATCCCCATCAAGCTACCAATGACTTTCTTCATGGAATTGGAAAAAACTACTTTAAAGTTCATATGGAACCAAAAAAGAGCCCGCATCGCCAAGTTAATCCTAAGCCAAAAGAACAAAGCTGGAGGCATCACGCTACCTGACTTCAAACTATACTACAAGGCTACAGTAACCAAAACAGCATGGTACTGGTACCAAAACAGAGATATAGATCAATGGAACAGAACAGAGCCCTCAGAAATAATGCCACATATCTACAACTATCTGATCTTTGACAAACCTGAGAAAAACAAGCAATGGGGAAAGGATTCCCTATTTAATAAATGGTGCTGGGAAAACTGGCTAGCCATATGTAGAAAGCTGAAACTGGATCCCTTCCTTATACCTTCTACAAAAATTAATTCAAGATGGATTAAAGACTTAAACGTTAGACCTAAAACCATAAAAACCCTAGAAGAAAACCTAGGTATTACCATTCAGGACACAGGCATGGGCAAGGACTTCATGTCTAAAACACCAAAAGCAATGGCAACAAAAGCCAAAATTGACAAATGGGATCTAATTAAACTCAAGAGCTTCTGCACAGCAAAAGAAACTACCATCAGAGTGAACAGGCAACCTACAAAATGGGAGAAAATTTTCGCAACCTACTCATCTGACAAAGGGCTGATATCCAGAATCTACAATGAACTCAAACAAATTTACAAGAAAAAAACAAACAACCCCACCAAAAAGTGGGCGAAGGACATGAACAGACAATTCTCAAAAGAAGACATTTATGCAGCCAAAAAACACATGAAAAAATGCTCACCATCACTGGCCATCAGAGAAATGCAAATCAAAACCACAATGAGATACCATCTCATACCAGTTCGAATGGCAATCATTAAAAAGTCAGGAAACAACAGGTGCTGGAGAGGATGTGGAGAAATAGGAACACTTTTACACTGCTGGTGGGACTGTAAACTAGTTCAACCATTGTGGAAGTCAGTGTGGTGATTCCTCAGGGATCTAGAACTAGAAATACCATTTGACCCAGCCATCCCATTACTGGGTATATACCCAAAGGACTATAAATCATGCTGCTATAAAGACACATGCACACGTATGTTTATTGCGGCACTATTCACAATAGCAAAGACTTGGAACCAACCCAAATGTCCAACAATGATAGACTGGATTAAGAAAATGTGGCACATATACACCATGGAATACTATGCAGCCATAAAAAAGGATGAGTTCATTTCCTTTGTAGGGACATGGATGAAATTGGAAATCATCATTCTCAGTAAACTATCTCAAGGACAAAAAACCAAACACCGCATGTTCTCACTCATAGGTGGGAATTGAACAATGAGAACACATGGACACAGGAAGGGGAACATCACACTCTGGGGACTGTTGTGGGGTGGGGGAGGGGGGAGGGATAGCATTAGGAGATATAGCTAATGCTAAATGATGAGTGAATGGGTGCAGCACATCAGCATGGCACAAGTATACATATGTAACCTGTACATTGTGCACATGTACCCTAAAACTTAAAGTATAATAATAATTAAATTAAATTAAAAAAAAAGTTTAAGGATAGTCACTTAAATCAAGGTGTGTGTCACTTCATGAACACCAACTTTCTATCTTTGCTCTTATCCTTACACTCTCTTGCCTTCTCTGAACTATTCTATATCCGTCGCTATCTGTGATACTATAGCCTTCCCTATCACTCCACCCTGATCACAATCTGCATTCCAAATTACTATTCTATATAGTATTTATTTCTTTCCCCATCCAGATTACAAAAGCAGCACACATTTGCTCTGGAGAATTAGCCTATAATTAGAAATGCACAAAGAAAAAAATTTAATTACCTTCAATCTCAACACCCAGAAAAAAATAAAAACAAATAAAAAAACACAACATTTCCAGGACATCTTTCAGCTTTTCTTTCAAAATTGCCATCATACAGTACACATTGTTTTGGAACTTCCTTTTTCTCTTAATATACATTTACTCCACCTTCCTATGTCCCTGAGAAAAGGTTTGTCCCTGAGAAAAGGTTTTAAATGTAAGTAGTTTATTTGCAAAGTACAGAAACATCAGCGAGGGAGCTGAGAAAATTCAGGGGAAAATTCAAGCTGAATTATCAAGCCTGCTATCACTACGGGCAACTGGAGCTTGACCTCATGAGAAAACTCTGGGAAACAACATAGAATATAAACTCAGAATTATTCTGCCCAAGGGTTGAGGGAGATGACGTAGTTCTATACCAGCTCTTGTGAGTCACTGGTTGAGAGGCACGCCGAGGCTGCCCTGCAGAGATTCTCTAAGACTTCAGAGAAAGTCCTTAAGCAGAGGTGAAGATGTTGGTGGCTGGAAATAGGCTTCTCCCATTTAAATAGTAATAAAACCCAGGGGATATAAGACAAAGCACTGACAGCATCTCCTATACCCCACATCTTTAAATATTCTGCATCATTTGAAATTCTGTAAATTAAAATGACTTGATATAAAACAGAACTGCTTTCTATTCTACATTTGATATTTGCAAGCAAATGTGCCTTATGTTCTGTTTCCTGGGTAGTGTGTCTGGGACTAAAAGAAGCACATCAGAAAATTAAAGGCAATTTTTGTACATCAAAAACTTTTGAATATTCACAATTTCAAATGGGTCAACCTAATATACATAAAACTTCAATTATTTCATTTTTAGGTTCCATAACTACTGTAGCACTTATTTTCAAATGGGTCAACCTAATCTACATAAAACTTCAATTACTTCATTTTTCAGTTCCATAACTACTGTAGCACGTATTTGCAAGGGACTTACTTCTACTTCTCATTTCTTTCTCTCTTCTTTCTTTTGCTCATGAGGAAACTTACACATAAAAAACACAAACTAATGACCACTGGTACACTAAAAACAAAACTTTTCAGCTGTGGCCAGGCCAGGTGTGAATGAATGAATGAATGAAGCAAAATAAGACTTACTTTTTCTTCAACTCCCTATGATTTCTTGCTTCCAACTAATAGGCAAGCAATTACTGTCTCAAAGGATTGACATATTAAAGCACACCAGATTATAAAGTCAAGTCTGTGGCCAGGCACAATGGCTCACACTTATAATCCCAGCACTTTGGGAGGCCAAAGTAGGCAGATGGTTTGAGGTCAGGAGTTCAAGACCAGCCTGGTCAACAAAGCAAAACCCTGTCTCTACAAAAAATACAAAAATTGGCTGGGCATGGTGGCACGCACCTGTAGTCCTAGCTACTCAGGAAGCTATGGTGGGAGGATCACCTGAGCCTGGAGGTCAAGGCTGCGGTGCGCCATGATTGTGCCACTGCACTCTAGCCTGGGTGACAGAGTGAGACCCTTTCTCAAAAAAATAAAATAAAAATCAAGTCTGTGATAGTAATAATTAAACCAGCGTGTACGTTAAAATGTTTATAAAACTTTTTGAGTTTTATTTTCATGAAAATATATTCACTTCACAAGAAAAAGTACATGAATATAACAAACATCTTTTATATTTAGTTTTAGCTATTATCAAATAATTCAAAAATGGAAGAAGAAAGAAAGACACATATATGATCATTTTTACCTGCAAAAGGAGATTTCAACATGGGACTGTCCTCCACCATTATACCTTCTTGTGTCTTGTGTCCTAGCTTTTGCTTGTACTGCTGCACAAATTCTGTGGAATGGGCAGGATGTATAGGATTCATTCCATTTGACCGTGTGGTCTGAATATCACCTGCATGTTCGGAAGAGCACAGTGAGTCTTCAGTATGCCGCTCTGCTTTCATCAGGTCACTGCCAGACAACATGCTCAAATTGACAGCAGGGAGCTTCAGAACAGCAGAGTCGGCCTCACCAAAACTCAAGGCACTTGATATACCAAGGTCATCATCCTCAGGAATGGGATTGTACCATATTTCTCCTTCATCATCTGCATCATTTTCCTCATTAAAATCTAAAGCACAGTTTTTCGATAATGAAGAGTTTGTAGCGTTACATACCACATATGTACAGTACTCTTTAGATGATTTGAGGAAAGACTGTGATAGCTGATGTTTAGGTAGAGACACAGGTGAGATGGATAAATGACTTCTATCTTGGCATTTCTTATTTTCTTCTTCCAGATTAAGAGGCCTCAGAGTACTCTGATATAGCCAATTGCGTTTCTTTGAAACAGTGATGCTGTTAAGTGGCTTATGACCTCTGAATTCAATATTATCCTTCAGCTCTTCAAGTTCTCTTCCCTTCATTGAAGACCCATAGGCATTTTCAAATAAATCTGTTGCAAAGATAGAATAGAAGGTAGAATATAATGGCTGGTATATCAGAAAGACATGTCACTTCAGACCAGTTATTTAAAAAAATTTTTTTAAACAAAAAGTAACAACAATCACATTCAGAGACTAAAATTGAACTAGAAAAAATTTGAATTTTACATATAAATATGATTTATATTATTTAGAAATCAAACTGCTAGTACAAGTGTCAAAGAATTCTAAGAAAAAGGATATACAAACTCTGAGCCTGCCTTTATAAAAACTATAGTGCTAACAAAGCCTTACCCTAAGCAAAACATACCTTATAAAAAGTTTATCTAGAATGCTTTATTCATAGTATACCTCTAATCAATATTTGAATAAGTTTCAATTCATTATTACAAGGACCAGAAGTCCTTAGAAATATAATATTCCTCCTACCCTTTTCACACAAAGATTAACTTTCAAACCTAACAAGAAACTATGCCTTACTAATATTAAAATGTCAACATAACATTGGCTTCCTATCCACATAACACAATGGCACCTTATGTAGGGTTTAAGTTCTAAATATCTAGGGCAGAACTAAAAACAAAAATCCCTTCAGAAGGCCCCAGATTAGAAGCAGGTATGCTGTCTCACAGTATGCACTACACAGCTATTATTTTTTTTGGCCAGGCACAAACTTAAGCAGCAGAGAAATAAGAATGAACAAAACAATCCCTTCCCTTAAGAAATTCATAGTCCAGGCCCTGCGCAGTGGCTAATGCCTGTAATCCCAGCACTTTGGGAGGCCGAGGCAGGAGGATCACGAGGTCAGGAGTTTGAGACCAGCCTGGCCAACATAGTGAAACCCCGTCTCTATTAAAAATACAAAAATTAGCCGGGCATGGTGGCACGTGCCTGCAGTCCCAGCTATTCAGGAGGCTGAGGCAGGTGAATAGCTTGAACCCAGGAGGTGGAGGTTGTGGTGAGCCGAGATCGTGCCACTGCACTCCAGCCTGGGTAACAGAGCGAGATTCCGTCTCAAAAAAAAAAAAAAAAAATTAATAGTCCAATGGGAGACCTCAAATGCTTAGATATATGCACATCTTAATATAAGTAAGACTCTACAAATGTATACATAACATTAATTTCATCTAAAGAGGAAAATATTTTGTGTTTCCAGAGTTGTAAAGCAGGCTTCAATGACAGTCCATAAGCTAAGTATATAACTATCATTATAATAAAAATTCACCGTACATAATTAAAACCACATTTTAAAAATCTAAGATCATCTCAGGTTTCTAAATTATGGAATTATATGGTCAACTCATCTTATTGGCACAGCAAGTAAAAAATAATGGTCTAAAAATAGAGTGATAAAACACACTAAGCCACAAGGAGCTTAAAACAACCAAAAAATCAGATTTATGCAGAATCAAGGTTTTCAGTAACCTCCCTTCTACTGAAAAGAAAATCCTTTAAAAAATCCAAATGTCCAGCCTGGGCAACATGGCAAGACCCTATCTCTACAAAAAATTTAAAAATTAGCCAGGTGTGGTGGCACACACCTGTCATCCTAGCTACTTTGTAGGCTAAGCTGGGAAGATTGCCTGAGCCCAGGAATGTGAGGCTGCAGTGAGCTATGATTGTGCCACTGCACTCTAGCCTGGGCAACAGAGTGAGACCCTGTCTCTTAAAAATAAATGAATAAATATATTTTTCCTTTTACAAAATCCTAAACATGTACCCAACCAAGCAGATTAATAATAAATAAATAAATAAACAAACCTTAAACACAAATTGCAAGTCACATTCAATTCCAGATGCAGGAATTAGACTAGAAATCAGAAGGCAAGGAAGCTCCCATGAATACCTACTATGCCAGGCATTTATTTACTCCACAAATGAGTGACTATTATGTGGCAGGCATGAGAGATAAAGAAGTAAGGAGGCCCCCAACCTCATTTAACCTCTAGAACAATCCTATGAAACAGGTATGATTACCATCATGAGCCTCAAAGAGTTTGAGAAATATGGTCAAGTCGCTAGCCCTAGGATTCAAATTTAAGCCTGTCTAACCTTAAAACCCATGCTCTACTCACCATGCTACCCACAAACCACACGATGCTACCCATACCATGCTACTCACAAACAGTACAGAAGTAGGCAACCCTTTCTGAACATGGGGATATTCATCCCAATTTATCTTATAAATTAAAGTGGCTGCTGGTAAGAACTAAGTGAAATAATGTTCAAAATACTTGAAAAACTATTAAGTTCTACTCAAAAACGCCAAGTAACTTGTTCAAGAGTACCTTGTTGGTAAATGGAAAAGGCAGCACTCAAACTTATTCTGACTCCAAAGTTTGTGGTGATATATCTAGGCTACTATAAGGGAAATTCAAAAGTCTTTCTCTGGTTCTATCTCCATTACACTTAAAATTAACAACTGAAAATTAAAACATACTCAGCAATCACTGGGGTTTCTGGGTTTTCAGTGATCACATGATTTTGCCAGGTGCACTGAAGTCTAAATCTATTTCACATTTAAGTTCAAATCCAGTATTACTTAACAGTATTTCAGACCTTCACAGGATATTATAGTTTGACCCAATTTAAATTTGAAGCAAACAGTATAAAATTACATTACTCATGATGGCTATGAGCCACATCTTATTTTATCTTTTTCTCAGACATCTCTTAGAAATTCCAAATTTTTATATAGCTAGACACATTCATTATTTTAAATCTTTTTGGAGTTTTCTGACATACACTATAAATGAGTCTTTGAACATGTTTCTACTACATTGCAAGGAACTACAGTGAGAAAAATAAAGCTACCAGTATCCCATATTTAAGCAAGTTGATACTTCCATTGATATAATCATTTAATGAAAGTATAATATTAAAAGGAATTTTTTTTTACTAGATAGGGTCTCACTCTTGTCACCCAGGCTGGAGCACAGTGGCACCATTATGGCTCACGGCAACCTCAACCTCCCAGGCGCAAGTGATCCTCCCGCCTCAGTCTCCCAAGAAGCTAGGACTACAGGCTTGCACCACCACACCTGGCTAATTTCTTTTTTTTCTTTTGGTAGAGACAGGGTCTCACTATGTTGCCTAGGCTGGTCTGGAACTCCCAGGCTTAAGTGATCTTCCTGTTTCCCCCTCCCAAAGTGCTGGAATTACGGTGTGAGCCACCATGTCTAGCCACTATTTTCAATGAAATTACAAACTACAAAAGCTTGAATCCATTCACTCTGATTGCTATTGCCGAATATTTTAAAATACATGATGCTGAACTTTAAACTTATAGATAAATGGCACATTATTATAATTTATATTGTGTATTATAAATATATAATATTACAAAGGCCAAATTTATTTATTAAACTGAATTAATCAACACATTATTCAAGATAATAAACTTGAGCAATTATTTATAATTAAAACATTTTTATCTCACTTAAATTAAATGGATCCACATGAATGTAAATTCATAGATATGGAAAGCTATTTGCAATCTGCCCTCCCATTTAATGCAACAATGTTTAACCATATTAGCATAAATTTAAGAGTTTTAGCTTCATATATATGAAATATGTTATTCATAAATTATAAATATTTTTGTAGAGAAAGGGTCTCATTGTTGCCTATATATTGCCTATAAATTATAAATTTTTTTGTAGAGACAGGGTCTCACTGTTGCCTATATATTAAATTATATATTATATATAAAAATACATACAATATATAATAAAATATATTTCATATATAATATAAAAATATGTTATATATACACACACACATATTGAAAGAAGGTCCAACTAAAAATATAAAAATAAGTATGCAAAGTTACAAGGCAAAAAAAGTCCTTAGTCTCTTGCAACTATACATGTTATGGGATAATTTTCAGATTCTAATTAAAGTAATTTTACTTTGAATCTGTAAGAGAAGAAAGAAATGGCAATTAAAAGTTTTTCACTCAGAAAAATATTCCACACAGTGGTGAACTACCCAAGTCAATTCTGTTTTCTCAACTATTATTTCATAATAAATCTAGATTACTTACTGAACATTTAACTAGTGCCCCCAGCTCAAATGCCATCAGCAAATTTTCCAAGAAATTATATATTTCAACCCTCATTGAAAATCTGTAGTACCGGCTGGGCGCGGTGGCTCACGCCTGTAATCCCAGCACTTTGGGAGGCCAAGGCGGGCGGATCACGAGGTCAGGAGATCGAGACCATCCTGGCTAACACGGTGAAACCCTGTCTCTACTAAAAATCCAAAAAATTAGCCGAGCATGGTGGCGGGCGCCTGTAGTCCCAGCTACTCGGGAGGCTGAGGCAGGAGAATGGCGTGAACCCGCGAGGCAGAGCTTGCATTGAGCCGAGATCACGCCACTGCACTCCAGGCTGGGCAACAGAGCTAGACTCCATCTAAAAAAAAAAAAAAATGTGTAGTATCTAGAGAGACATCTTTTCATCATTTTAAAAATTCTGCAGAAATAAACTCTCTTGCTTTTCCTTACTTCTCTTTAAAAATCCCAAATAAAAGTATCTTATGAACACTGTATTAGATGTTTAAATCTGTTTTAAAAGCATTAAACATTTTAATATTTATTAAAATCCTGTTTCTAAATAAGTACAAGTATCCCCTGCTTAGAGTCAAACTTGGCAGTCCAGATGAAATTACTAGAATAAACTTAAGTCTTAAGTTTCTGTGTGTGTATATGTGTGTGTGTATCTTTATCTTTCCTAGACAAATCTAAAAGGAGGAGAGGGATGGAATGAAAAGGAAAGAAGCACCTTTTTTATTTTCATTCCCTTGTGGCTAGCAATAAAAACCCTAAAGAAAAAAAAAAGCTGTGTGTTAGCTTTTGAGACGGGAAAGTAGAGAAGAAAACTCTGAGACCGTTTTCAGTTCCACAAAAGTAACAGGGAGCAGCAAAAGAAAGGAGCACAAAAGATGAGCAGAATAAATAAATACCCCAAAAAGGTGTCCTCTAGCTCAATTCCCAGTGCTCCTCAAGGCAGTACTCCTCAACTTCGACCTTTTCACTCTCCATCTAGAATCCTAATGATCTGAGGCAAAGCAGTATTCTCACAAAGCCTGCTTGCCTTCCCCTTGATAATAACAAGTAAGTGCTAGGCACAGCACCAAATGGATTATCTCTTTTCATCCTCACAGCAACCTGAGGACTGAGGCTACACAAGGTTGAGTAACTTATCCAAGGTCACAAGCCTGGTAAGTGGTAGAGTCTGACCAGAAACCCAGAATCTCTATTCTGTTAACCATTGTCCTATACGGCCTCCTCTCTTGCATTTCCAAAATCTCACTAATACTTGTTAGTTAAGCAAGATGAGGCCAATATAGAGGGAACTGCTCAAATGTGTAATATATAAGTAGTAAGTATATTAATTCATATACATAAAACTGAAGCAAAAAGAGCCCAAGTGCTTTGCTCTAATAGGGGTAGTTTAAGTACCAAGTATCAGAATAAGGTAGAATTTTTTGTAAAACTTCGGGGATGTGAGAGCTCTAGAAGCTTACTATTCAAAAGTACGGTACACCAGACAGCAGCATCTACACTGGGAGCAGAATCTCAGGTCCCACCCCACACCTATAGAATCTGCATTTCAACAAAATTTCCAGGGAATTCATATGGACATTAAGTTTGAAAAGCACTGCTCTAAAACATTGAACCACATTTTGAGTGGCAAAGGTCTAGCAAACAGCCTTCTTAAACACAGCATTTCTTGGGAGCCACTGGTCTAGAAATGTAGGACTTTCAAATCAACACAACACTGTTTTCTGCTGAATTTGTAATTCTTGAAGTTTTCCAGCCACCAGCAACTCCAATGTTCCATGACACTCTTCCAGAAAAAGAAAAAAAAAAAAAGCAACTGCACTTGCTTTCTAGCACCACAATAGCAGAATCTCTCAGGAAGAGATTTAAAATTAGAAGACTGTCAAAAACTATATAACTATTGCTACTCACCTTGAAAAGGGCAAATACAGAAAAAAATTGTTGGAAAAATTCATAAAGATTATGCAATTCATAAAGATAAAAAATCAGAGTTACAAATACTTGAGAAAAGTAGATGGGAATCAAGTCATAGTGTCAACTTCACTTTAAGATGGTTAAAGATCATACCAAACTAATTAATACTACCTTAAAATAATTGTCTAAAAATTTTAGACAAAATACTAAGTTATACAGTCTAAAGTTTTTTCTTTCCCAGACCATGTAGCAGGAAAAGTGGAGTCAAAGTAGGCTAATTATTTTTTAAAGCAATAAAAGGTGCTTTTGAATTTGTTTCTGAAAACTATATGCTAATTAAAACTTATTTATAAAGATTTATAATGATGTATAGTTGGCAAACACATTAAGATTCCTTTGTAATCTTAAGGCTTGCAGAAACTTGACAATTTTTATTATGTGTAATGACTTTAGATTTCTGAAATAATCATCTCAATTAGGAACAATTCGGCCAATCTGCGAACACTACATACTTAACTGCATCAAATCATTTGTCATTATAATACTATCAAAAGTTCTTAGTAGGAGCCAGAAATCAAAATAGAAAATCATTTGTGTTTCCATTTGTCATATAGTCTCAAAAATTTTCACAATACCTATATGAAGTATCTCCATTCCACTGAATAATTATTCTGTATTACAAATTCTAAATGTAATTTTGACAAAATATCTTATGAATAATACTGTACAGAAAAATGTGCTATAAACCTTTTAGGATATTTAACATCTTTACATAAACAAGAATGTACTGGTTCATCTAGACCGCTCCAAATAAGTTTTGCAGAAAACATGATTTAAAAGTAGAAGTCAAGTGACATCAATTTCAAGTAAGTAAATATTTAAAGGTAAAAGTTTAAAATGAATACAGCAAATGCTTTTTTAAATTTTATTTATTTATTTATTTATTTTTTTGAGACGGAGTCTCACTCTGTCTCCCAGGCTAGAGTGCAGTGACACGATCTTGGCTCACTGCAAGCTCCGCCTCCCAGGTTCACGCCATTCTCCTGCCTCAGCCTCCCGAGTAGCTGGGACTACAGGCACCCACCACCACGCCCGGCTAATTTTTTGTATTCTTAGTAGAGACGGGGTTTCACAGTATTAGCCAGGATGGTCTCGATCTCCTGACCTCGTGATCCGCCCGCCTCGGCCTCCCAAAGTGCTGGGATTACAGGCATGAGCCACTGCGCCCGGCCCAGCAATTACTTTTTAAAATGTCTTTAAACCCGGCCTAAGATTCTCCCATCTTCTTTGCAACTTTGAGGAAGTTACTTACCCCGCTATGCCTTGTTGAAATTCACCCATATCCTCAATCCAAGCAATTTAATAGAATTAATTGGATCAGACCTTTAAAGAACTCTAGAGTCTCTGATCTTATGTAAACAGGGGCTTTTTTCAAACTCATGACGCCTTGGGTTTGAATCCACATAGTAGTTTGAATCCATACACAGGTACCAACTGAGTGATCTTGGGCAAACTGCTTAATCCCTCTGTTCTTTTTCTTGTAGCTGTTGTTAAATGACAGCATATCTCCATTTTGGGGGCTATAAAAATTGTATGAGAACCACCTAATGTATCCAGAATGGACTTAGTAAGACCAACTAAACTTCATGAAAAATAATTTTTTTAAAAAGCTCTCCAAATCTATACTAGATATGTAAACACTGCACAAATTATTTTCATCTCTCCTGAAAAATGAATTAGTGGTTTAAAAGGAAGTAACATCTGAGAGTTGTTTAAACCAGAGATTATGGTAGCTTTGGCTTAGATTTCTCATAAAATATCTAAAATATTATCACATAATAATTGTTTCATTTTAATTTCTAAGTTAGCAGTTTCATTTAATTAGTTGCTTAATGCAAAAATCAAATTCATTCTTAAAGGAACTATATTTATTACTTTAAAAATCCTTGAATGTTTACTACTGAGGGCATTAAAAGCCATCACATGGTAAGTGTTTTAGCTCTGTGACAAAAGGGTGAAAAATATTTGACTATTTTTTGTTATGGCTGAAATTCAACTATGGTACCAAGAGTTAAAACTAAGCCAAAGGGGGGGAGGTAAAAATATTGTGGCAATAAAATATAATAAATGATTACAAATTACTCCTGGAAATGCATGTTTAATATGAACTTAGTATAAAGTACACCTCTCAACAAAGAATTTACATTCTATTATCCTTTTGTTCAAGTGAAATGGAATATTTAACCTTGAGAATAAAATTTGACAGGTGTGTATTAGAGCCGTATAGACAGGAAAAAACTTTGCAAGTTGGCACACACTTTGAATGAATCATTTGATTTGTCTTCATTGTTTGATAAGAAGTTTTGTGAACTTTGTTTCTCCCCACTGTTGTGTGTTTATTGGTTAAACAAAGTTAATGTGTATAAATCCAGTCCTGTAGGATTTATAATTACTACCAGAGAAACCGCCAAGTACTGTGAATACCTTTTACATTTCAGGATTTAATGTTTTCCAAATTATTCCTGACTTATAAGTCTTTATGATCACTAAAAATTTTTATATGTAAGAGTATTCAAAAGACCATGTTGTTTTGGCTCACTTTGAAGATATTATACTCCTTTCAGGAAAGATATTTTGATATTTACAACATAATTGACTGGTTTCTAGAATTGATAACCTAAACCTTCAGTGATAGTTAAAAATCATGCACATACAAAATAGGGAGCTTAATCCTATTATAAGGATCAATATACTTTTTAAAAAACTAATTTACTTCTCTTATAAATAGGATTTAAGTTTGCAAATGACTGCTTTAAAAACAAAACTACCTGAGGAACATTTTTCTTTTGATTAAAATGTTAGTGTCCTTGATTTTTCACAATAAAAAGATTACTTTGTTGAGGTTTCTTTGTCGGGGGGAGGCAGGTGGAGAGATGGTGTATGTGAAATACTACCTGACTAAAAAATTCTACTTATGGTAGGGTTTTTTTTGTTTGATTTGTTTGGGTTTTTGGTTGTGTGTATGTATGCATGTGTGTGCGTGCCTGGGAGAGGCAAAAAAAAAAAGTTGTAATGAGTAAAATGACAGTTTATGAAGCCTATAAAATCTACCTTGAATCAAATTCAAATTTACAAACTCCACAAAAGTCTACGGATTTGCCTAGAGCTACAAAGAATAAAAATCAAGACAGTGCCGCCCATCTGTAAACCTACTAAAAGTGTGTTATACTTAACCTTTACTCCTTTAGGTAATACTTAGGGAATAGACACACTGGTTTTTCGAGAAGAAATCACAACCTCAATTCTTCATGCCATTGTCTGATTAAAAAGAAAAAAAAAAGCAAAACGAGTAAATGCATTACATTAAGTAACCCCGAAATTACTTTAAGCTGCCACTTACATGACACTTACTTTCGCCCGGTAACGTACCTGTCGCAAAAACATAACTTTTTCTTGGCTCTTAAGACAGAAGCCCAGTCGGTAAACAGTAAGGCTCGCGGTGCTAGCATTTTCATCGCAAAGTATCCTACCTGTCAGCGTAATTCTTTGGTCTGGAGGCACCGACAGGACACGGTTTTCACGCACTTTCAAAGCGCCCACATTTGGGGAGGCTGCCTGCGTTCCTGTGACTTTGGGAGCCGTCCCACGGGCACGACCCTTCATTCCCAGGGACAGCAGACGCCCTTTGTACATCCACTTCTGCAGCTTCTTGACTGTCACTGCCGGCGGCCTGAGGAAGGAGGGGCCTTCCTGGCGGTCTCCTTTGCCACTGCGTATCACAGAGGACCCCGCTGGATCCCTGAAAGGGCTTCCCGAGGAGCAGCCGTGGTCCTTGCAGCCTGGAGGCTGGAGGCCGGTGGGTGCAGCCGCCCGGGCGCGGTCCCCACTCCAGCCGTCCATCCTGCCTCCACGTGGCGGGGGCTCGTCCCAGTCCCGGTGCGCGCCGCACCTGATCCAGCTGTCGCTCGGCCACCGCTGGAAGGGAGGCGGCTTGGCACCCACCCGGAGGCTCTCGAGGCTTCTGCTGCAGGACGGCCGCATCCGAGGAGTCCGCAGCTGGCCTCCCCGCGGCTCCCTCTGAGGCGACCGGGGCGGGGACACCTGCTGCCGAGGGCGTCCGCCGCCTCCCCGCTCCCCGTCCCGGGGGCAGGCTCGGCGGTACGCGGCGCCGCGGGAAGGCGGCTGGCCCGGAGCCCGGGCTCCCGCGGGGAAGCTGTGATCCGCCAAGCCCCTGCCGCCCCGCCGCGCGCCCGAGTCAGGGGGCAGGTCGTGCATGGCCTGGATCAGCAGATAATAGGCCTCTCGCAACTGGGTCCGCAGCCTGCCTGTCTCCAGGCGGCCGCCCTCCGCCCCCAGGGAGGAGCCCGCCGCTGGGGGAGGCGGGGGACGCCGTTCCGCCTCCGCCCCCTCAGGCTCGGGCGCAGACTGCGAGCCGCCGGGCAGGTTTTCGTAGTAGTCGGCGTCGTAGTCGTCTTCGTCCTTGTCGTCTTCCTCCTCCTCTCCGCTGTCCTCGGAGCCCTCCGGGGAGTGCGGAGGGGCGTGAGCGAGCCCATGGCTCTGGGGGGCGGCCTCCTGCCCGCCGCGCGGCCGAGGCCCGAGCGCCCCCAACTGCTCCGGGTGCCCTCCGGGGACCCGCGCCCCGGGACCCCACGCCTCAGGTGACGGCGAGGGCTGCTGTAGGCTCCGCCCGTGTCCCCCGGCGTGCTCACGTGGGAGGGTGTCTGCGGCACCCCAGGCGTCTCCCGCGGCTGCCGAAGAGGCCGCCACCGCAGCTGCGGCTGCCGCCCGGAGCCCTAGCCCCCCGGTGCCGCGGGGACCCCGCCTTCCCCGGAGCCTGGACAGCGTCCTCCTCAGAGGGTCCGCCATCCCCTCTGCCTTAGCCGCGAGGCTCACCCCCGCCAGGGGGAGAGGTCGGAGCCCCGCTGGGGAGAAAACCGCGCTCGCGGAGGCGGAGGCGGAGGCGGCGGCGGCTCCCCATGACCGGCGCTGGCCCTCGCCGGCTCCTCACATACTTGGCATAACTCTGCCGCGGGAAGGCGTGGGGGAGGGCGGTGGCGCCGCAACGCGCATGCCCCGGAGCCCCGGGCCGCGACGGGGCGCGCGGGCCGGGGGCGGCAGAGGTGGGTTCTCGGGGTGGGCGAGTGGTGCAGGTGGAGGCGGAGGGCGCGGGCCGGTAGGTTGAGTAGTAGGTCGGCTGAAGCTGACCGACGGAAGCAGGGGTGGGCGCACAGAGCGCGAAGGGTGCGGGGAGAGTTGAGGCAGGGGAAAGAAGAACGAGCAGGAACGTGAGTTTGGGCTGGTGGCTGCAAAGTTTTGGTTAGGGAGCCCGAGAAAGGGAAAGTGCCCTCCTGGCTGTCACCCCAGCACCTTCACCGCCACCGCTGCACGAGGTGTGTCTTAGGCACAGCAAGTCCTAGCTTGAGAGAAAACAAAGATTGTTTTGACGGACAAAGTACGAGTGCAGGTGTATCTCGGTGCATGTGTTCTAGAAATGTATCAATCATTTTAATCGCCCAGAGAGCTAGCTAGCTAAAAGAAATTTGCAGCGATTCCTTTTCTATAAGAGTTCTTTTATCAAAAACAAAACAAAACCCACCCACCGATGTCTCTTTTAAGTCTGTTTTTCCTTCTTTATTTCAGTTAATGCATGCTAACAAAATTATTACATCAGCCAAAACTTGTAAAATGGAGCCACAAATATTATGTCCCTCATCACCCTACCTACAAGATTATCATACAGGTTTGCAGCTTTCTAATATAAAAAAGTTAACACTTCATTTTAATTTAAATAGTGAGTTGAGAAGCAATTGAATTGAAGTTGAGACACAGTGTAATCTAGAAATACCGGCTGTCTCCCAAAAACGTTAAATTCCAGGTTCTGGGCAGCAGTTGCAAACTCAAGTACCCCTCGTTGCCAGAGATTAATTGATTCAGTGACTGATAAGAATCAGTCGTGCTATCATCCCTGATTTGAGTTACTTTTTTTAGTGTTTACATAGTAGAAAGGGCCTTTTTCTGAGTTACTCATAAATATGCTGACACCTAGCACAGTGCGTGCACTTAGTAGATACTCAAATACTTAAGAAAATATTTGTTGAATAAATAAATGTTTGCATTACTGAATAAAATGAAATAATTTTGCCCTAATTTACCTTATTTGCAACTGCAGTATATTTTCCTATGTCAGTTGTTTTCTTGTTGTCCAGTGGCTCCAATCTCTGAATGTGCTTTGACTATACTACCTTTATTAGTACCTAGTCTCTGCTTTCTGGAATAATTGTTACCTGCATCTGAGATTTGCAGATAAGAGAGAATATTTGCAGAAATCTTACCCACTCTCTAAAACTCTGCTCTAGGCCAGGCGGGGTGGCTCATGCCTGTAATCTTAGCACTTTGAGAGGCTGAGATGGGCAGATTGCTTGAGCCCAGGAGTTCAAGACCAGCCTGGACAACATGGCACAACCTGGTCTCTACGAGGAACAAAAACAAACAAAAAAAAAAACACAAAAAAAATTGGCTAGATGTGGTGGTGTGCACCTGTAGTCCTAGCTACTCTAGAGGCCGCGGTGGGAGGATCACTTGAGCCTGTGAGGCTGAAGCTGCAATGAACCGAGATCATGACACTTCATTCCAACCTGGATGACTGAGGGAGATTCTGTCTCAAAATAATAAGAATAAAATAATAAAACTCAGCTCAACTGCCTTCTTGTTTATGAAGTCATCTCTGATCTCCCAGACGGGAACTCAAGTTCTAAACTTCAATATTACTTTATTCCCACCCATAGTATAGTTACTGTTTTTTGTTTTATACAGTTTGTATACATGTCCTTTCTCCTTTACAAGAAAATTCATAAACTCCCTAAGGGCAGAAACTGTTTATAATTGACCTTTATATTCTCCACAGGAGTATAACTTTAGCATCTTATATATTGTGCATGATGAATAAACATTTTTGAATTAATATCAATTTTAATTTAGAGAGAACAAGTGGCTTTAATTCCAGTCTATTGCCTAACTCTCCACTAGACCATGCTATATTAGTGTTGTTTTAAAATTCTTTCTGCGATGAGTAAGAGACACAGTTTGTTAAATAATCTTAATTCGTATCTAAGAAAATGCAATGAAATGTGATGAAATATTACACTATAATTTGCATATATTGATATTTGTAGTTCTACAATATTTTCATTCCATGGGCCCCAGGCTATTTAATGAATAGTCAAGGCATAAAACTATGTCCCAGTGAAATATTCCCACAGGAAATGACTGATAGCAAAGTTGCCAATAATGGTTCTATAAACACAATTTGATCTCTATCTCAGAAATTGTTTCCATTCCAACTCTGTTGCAAAATCTTTTTATGCTTTGTAGTTAACATAGCTGTTAAGAACACTATAAGCTGCATATATATCTATATGCAGATAGATATATATGAGTAGAAAAATATAACCTTGAAGATCTGGATTGAACTTCATCCCGAATTCAGTTTATCCACTTGTTCAGGAGTTATAAAACATTGGTTATTGGCCAATATAAAATACTATGCATTGTTCTAGGCGTTACTCAGAACTAAGTTTGATGCAGCATACCACGACTGAACTTAATGCTTCTTTAAAGTTGAGAATGTTCTAACTCATGAATTCACAATTTTAATCATTTTGTGTCACAACAGAAATTAATAAGGCAGTCATGGCCATATGACACTATTTAAAGACCTTAATAATGTAAATTCCACTTTTCTGTATGTGCATTACACATCAATAAAAAGTTGGTAAAAATGTAATTCTAAAGAGACAATGCCCACAAAACTTATATTATGCCTAATATAATTAAGATAATGACAAGATATGAACATAAACTATACTTTGTAAAATCTTTTTTTACAATTTGTATCCTATTCCCTCACTTATCTCAATTTTCATATCTTTCTAATCCATAGATTCCCATGAAAATTAGGGGATGGGAATCATTTTTCAGTGTTTATACTTGTTTCTCAGTGACTGGGAAATAATTTTGATGCCCCATCTATTACTAACTATGTGTTGGCACTGTCACAAAAGATATAACAACTACGGGATAACAGGGCTCCAGTAAGGCAGGGATCCAAACTAGGGATGGAGTAGCACTGACTCAATCTGGGAGGAGGGGGAGAAAAGCAGGGCAAGTTGAGGCAGAGGGCTAGGTTTAACAGTAATAGAAGGGAAGTGTTTAGGTATGTTATGGTTATTTTCTAGTCAATTTAGAGTGCATTTCTGTCTCACTGATGTTCAGTCTTCCATTATACTCTTAGTGGAACCAAAGGCAAATTTAGCTCTACCATTTGTCCAGTATTGTCTCCCTAAACTGCCTTACAGGGATGTCCTGGAGTAGACCTCCCTCGTCTGCCATGCAACTCCGTTAGTATGGAGTAAAATATACTTCAGCCTAAAGCTGACCACGCTAACACTGCACTGAGAATCAAAGATGGCATATTCTCAGTACAGCAATTTGTACTATTTCATAATTAATATCTGGCAATTTGCAATATTGCTTAACCCATCCCCACCCCCATCAAAGTAATAAAAAAGATAGGCTGGGCCTGGTGACTCACGCCTGTAATCCCAGCACTTTGGGAGGCTAAGGTGGGCAGATCACTTGAAGCTGGGGGTTCAAGACCATCCGGGCCAACATAGAAACTGTATCTCTACTACAAATACAAAAATTAGCTGGGTGTGATGGCTCACGCCTGTAATCCCAGCTACTTGGGAGGCTGAGGCATGAGATTCACTTGAGCCCAGGAAGTAGAGGTTGCAGTGAGCCTAGATGGTGCCACTGCACTGCAGCCTGGGTGACAGAACAACACTCTGCCTCAAAATGCAAACAAAGGCCGGGTGCAGCGGCTCACGCCTGTAATTCCAGCACTTTGGGAGGCCCAGGCGGGCGGATCACGAGGTCAGGAGATCGAGACCATCCTGGTTAATACGGTGAAACCCTGTCTTTACTAAAAATACAAAAACAATTAGCTGAGCATGGTGGCGGGTGCCTGTAGTCCCAGCTAGTTGGGAGGCTGAGGCAGGAGAATGGCGTGAACCTGGGAGGCAGAGTTTGCAGCCGAGATCGTGCCACTGCACTCCAGCCTGGGTGACAGAGCGAGACTCTGTCTCAACAAAAAAAAAAAAAAAAAAGGGAAACAAAAACAAAGTAGTAAAAAAGAACTTTTGTTAAGTGCATGTGTATTTTGTGATGTTTTAGAAATGTATGCTTTAGAATAGTCACTGATATTTCAGAATCTCTTATTATATTAATATACTTGGGATATATAGAACAACTTGCCCAAGCTCAGCGTAATAAGAAGAATTCAAATCCCATCTGTCTGATTCCATAGGCACTACACTCCTGTGTTATTTCTTTGAATAGAAAAAGAGACTAGACAGTTGATGTAATAATCCTTGCACTGGCTTGAACCTTTGTTTTTATAAATTATTTAGTTGGTCACCTTTCAGAAAAGAGTTTAATAGTTTATGAACTTTTGTGAAATGCATCTGAACGTTGGGAAGCTGCTTGTTAAACATTTGAATGCTTCTCAGTACAGTCCAACTCAAGGGTGTTAGAACTAAATCCTATATTTCCATTTAGTGATAAATCTATTCATATTACACCACAATGCAAAAGTGCATCCTGAAATGTACTCTGGTTTCAAACGTAGGACGAGCTTTAAATACATAAAAGACAAAATATACACTCAGATAAGCCTGTTTCAAAAGTAAATAGGCAGTGAGAAAAGGGAAAGTGTAGGCTGCCTTTCCTAAACCACATCATTGGACTTCAGGGTCACAAATTAGTTCATGAAGGGAACTTGCTCTGTTTCAAAGTTGTCAATCTAATAAATGAAGAAAAATTGATACAATGTTGCCATTTTGAAATAATGGATCTAGGCAAAAATCACCAGTGGCTTCTAACATCAGTGACAGACAAACGGACCTACAGCCTCTGATCAAGTATACACCACCACCTATGATTTTATTCATGTTAGAGTTCTTAGAAAAATAAAACCTGTGTCTGACCAGCCTCAAGATTTGATTGCCAATTTCCAGGAATTATAGAAAACAAAGAAGCATGTTAAATAACACCATGGGGATGCAATCAACAAAATCCAGACTGTGGGAAGCTACAGGACAAAGGCCCCAGTTTCTTCAACATATTAGCCAATTGTAGTGAATGGACTTTATTTGGAGTCTGATCTGAACAAACATCTGTTTAAAAAAAATAATGAGCCAATCAGGAAGATTTGAACACTGACTAGATATTTGATGATATTGAAGAATTATTGTAATTTTAGATGCGATTTTTTGACAAATAGCGCTTTATCTCTTAGAGGTAAATATTGAAATATGGATGACAAGATGTAAAGCCAGGGATTTTTCTCAAAGTAATTGCAGAGGAAAGAGACTGAGGATGTGGAAGAATGAGGATGAGTTTTGGGCTGGTAAGTGTTGAAATTGGGTGATGGCTACATGGGGGATTGTTAGACTAGTATCTCTGTTTCTGTACATGTTTGAAATTTTCCAGAATATATTTTTAAAATCTTAACATGAATCAGACTTTTATAATAGATCCTGGCAACTGTTTAAAGCAACACAACTTTGAGGGCAGCCAAATGCAGAGGTGGTAAGAGAATATTGAAATCTAGGTCCAAGAACTATAATTCCAATCCAGACCTGAGGTGGTATAATGGAAATGACTGGAAATCAGACAGAACTAGTTTAAATCCTAACTTTATCAGTCATATACCCCAAAACCACTGATCATGGAAGTGAACTCTTGTTCATCTTTGCTAATTCCAGACCATTATTCCCCCTTTCTAAAAATCTGCGGCTCTTTTGAAATATATGACATTAAATGATACTACTGCTTTTTGCTGTTTATAGTCATCTGCTTTTTGTAGTTATCCACTAACTTCCCTCCATTCATTCTAGTGTCTCCCTCATTATTTCCTTTTCTTCACCATTTTTCTTGTCATCCTCTTGGTGATTTCATTATTCACAAAAAGGGTCCATCCAATACCCTGGTCTCTTATTTTCTTGAGTTTCTCTTTAATAATCTTAACCTCCACCCACCTCAGCCACACAGTCCTAGAGTCTTACATTACACTTTGTCATAACCAATAACTACAAACTCTCAAAATATCACTTCCTATTTTCCAGCTCACTCCCTCTGGCAGTCAGACTCCATTAACTCCATCCCACTAACCTACAGTCTCTATCATTCCCCCTTCTGTCCTTTCCTCCCTGCTTTCTCTGTTGAGATTGTATGGTCCTTGTAGAATCACTCCCTTGCACATATCACCATGCTCTGTTGTCCCTCTTGATATAAGTCTTTGTTTTGTCTTTTTTGTAGAGATGGGGTCTCACTATATATCCCAGGTTGGTCTCGAACTTCTGGCCTCAAGTGATCCTCTTCTGCCTCCCAAAGTGCTGGAATTACAGGCGTGAGCCACTGCACCCAGCCTATTGTCTCTCTTTCCCATTGTCCTCCTTACTTGGCAAAACCTCAGCCCTGGTTGAAACTGATTTTCCTTCATACTCTGCATTGGCACTTGGAAGGCTTAATGTGGCTGGAGAAAATCACATCACAGAGAGTCCCCAGGTGTTGCTAGATAACTTCACCAAAATATCCCTGGTCCATTCACTCTCTTCTCCACTTTCTGACACCATCAACCTCTCCTCACTCTCAGTTATCACTTTTCTTCTTGTTACACTGAGATAACAAACACTCAGGAGTTTCCTCATCCTTCCACTACCGGCTATACCAGCCTGTTTTATCTGTACTCTGATACTCTGCCATGTGCCCGCTGCCCTGTTACAATAGGGTTGCCCCTGCCCCTAACTGAGGCCAAATCTCTTGCCTCCTCTACCTCTGTCCTCACCCCCCTCCTCTCACTACCATCCATTCATGCTGGCTACCTTGTTGCACACTAAATGCACTCCTGCCTCAGGACCTTTGCATCTGCTCTTTCCTCTGCCTGAAATGATTTCTTCATGACCTCCTCCCTCCTTTCATTCAGGTCTCACTTCAAATGTTATCTCCTCAGAGAGACCTTCCCTGACTCCCCCACCATCTAAAATAATACCCTCTGCATTTCCTATCCACTTAATTTTTCTTTATTTTTCTTTATTATACTTACTACTATTTACCATTATATTGGATGTCCATTTATTTGTGGTATCACCACCTTCTAAATGCCAGAACCTCACTTTGCAGAAGATTTCTGTCAGGCATAGGTGCCCCATACATGTTTGTTGAATGAAAGTGTGATTGTTGTGCCCAAGAGCAAGTTAATATATGTTTCCATTTCCTCCATGGTAAAATTGGTTTGCCATTGTTTCACAGGGCGTTGTTAAGAGAATTAAAAGAGTAACAGTCAAGGTAGATGAACCTTGAAAACATTATGTTCCAGCCGAGCCTGGTGGCTCATGCCTGTAATCTCAGCATTTTTCGAGGCCAAGGCAAGTGAAGTTCGAGACCAGCCTTGGCAACACAGTGAGATTCTGTCTCTATAAAAAATACAAAGAATTAGCTAGAGATAATGGCCTGTGCCTGTAGTCCCAGCTACTCGGGAGGCTGAGGTGGGAGGATCACTTGAGTCCCGGTGGTTGAGGCTGCAGTGAGGCTAGATTGCGCCACTGCACTCCAGCCTGGATGACAGAGCAAGACCCTGTCTCAAAAAAATAAAAAACAAAAAACAACATTACACTAAGTGAAAGAGGCCAGACACAAAAGATCTCATAGTATGATTCCATTTATATGAACTGTCCAGATAGGCACATCCATAGAGGCAGAAAGTAGATTAGTAGCTGCTCGAGGCTGGGGGAAGAAGGAAATAAATGAATGATTTCTAAAGGACATATGTTTTCTTCCTAGCATGATGAAAATGCTCTGGAACTACATTGTGATAATGATTGCACAAACTTGTCAATATACTAGACTTTAACATGGTGAATTTTATAGTATGCAAATTTTATCTCAATTTTTAAAAAGAGGACTCTTTTCTCTCCTTATTTTTATTATTATTATTATTTTTTTTTTGAGATGGAGTCTCGCTCTCTTACCCAAGCTGGAGTGCAGTGGCACAATGTCAGCTCACTGCAACCTCTGCCTCTGGGATTCAAGAAACTCCCCTGCTTCAACCTCTTGCGTAGCTGGGACTACAGGCGCCTGCCACCACGCCCAGCCGATTTTTGTATTTTTCTAGTAGAGACGGGGTTTCGCCACATTGGCCAGGCTGGTCTTGAACTCCCTGCCTTTTTATCATTAGCTATCCTCCCAACTAATATTCATGGAAAATCTTAAAAGAAAACGTTTTATTGGAACTTTTAAGAAAGGATTGGAGATACAAATAGCTTGAAAGCTACTTCATTGGGTAATTGTTGTCAGAAATACTGTCACATTCCCAAATGCTAGTTTTTCAATAAAACCTTTGATTCTATAGAGTTTTCATTCACTACCCTCAGTGGATTGGTTCTAGAATCCCGCTCAGATACCAAAATTCACAGATGCTCAAGTCCCTTATATAAAATGGCATAGCAATTGCATGTAACCTAGGCACATCCTCCTGTCTACTGTAAATCATTTCCAGATTCCTTATAATACCTAATACAATGCCTACATATCATTTCATTCAAGTGGATTCAACACAGTACTCAGTGGATGGCAAAATCAAGTTTTGCTTTTTGGAACTTTGTGGAATTTTTTTTTCAAAATATTTTTAATCTGAGGTTGGTTGAATTCATGGATGCAGAACCCACAGACATGGAAGACCAACTGTCTACTCAACAAATAAATACAAATGGCTTCTTAAAGTTCACTTTTCTCTATCAACTACCAAAGAACTCAAATACAGAACTACAAAATTAAACAAGACTTCTGGCCCCCTCAATCTCTCACTTCCACCAAGAAAACAAAAACATTTTCCAGCATTTAGAAATAACAGCCTACTTTCATTTCCTGCTGGAAAGTCATGGTTCTTTCATGTAAACAAAACCAAAGGACATTACCCTTATAGCAAAAAAACTACCTGGAAAAACCATAATTACACTGAAAAAGATAGGTAAGTAAACATATCTTTAGCCTTTTGTATTCTTTTACTGGATAATTTTCTCTAAGGTAGAGGGTGAGGAGCTATATATTATGTAACATTTTAGAAATAGCAGAAAACCAATTAGGGGGAAGAACACAAACCAAAACTACCCGATAACTTCTTTCCTGATTAAAATTATCTTCCAACAATTCAATTATATGTAAAGAGGGAACCGTGGCTACACACGTATTTATTAACTGTTTCTGGCGGTCCAGAGGAAGCTGGATTATTTTTACCATAACAAAATCAGTTATTTTCAGCCGGGCGCGGTGGCTCAAGCCTGTAATCCCAGCACTTTGGGAGGCCGAGGCAGGCGGATCACGAGGTCAGGAGATGGAGACCATCCTGGCTAACACGGTGAAACCCCGTGTCTTCTAAAAATACAAAAAAATTCTCCGGGCGTGATGGCGGGCGCCTGTAGTCCCAGCTACTCGGGAGAGTGAGGCAGGAGAATGGCGGGAACCCGGGAGGCAGAGCTTGCAGTGAGCCGAGATCGCGCCACTGCACTCCAGCCTGGGCGACAGAGCGAGACTCCGTCTCAAAAATAAATAAATAATAAAAATCAGTTATTTTCCTCCCAGCCTCATTTTCATAAGCGCACATACAACTATTAATGACTCTTTAATTTTACTGTTTAATTTTAATTTTACTGTTTAATTTTACTGTTTAATTGAGGTGTTTAGAAACACCTCAATTTTATCTCAGTTGCTGTTTTTTGCGTTTTTTTGTTTTTGTTTTTGTTTTTGTTTTCAGACGGAGTCTGGCTCTGTAGCCCAGGCTGGTGTGCAGTGGCTCAATCTCGGCTCACTGCAAGCTGGTTCACACCATTCTCCTGCCTCAGCCTCCCAAGCAGCTGGGACTACGGGCGCCCGCCACCACGCCCAGCTAATTTTCTGTATTTTTAGTAGAGACAGGGTTTCACCGTGTTAGGCAGGTCTTGACCTCCTGACCTCGTGATCGGCCCGCCTCAGCCTCCCAAAGTGCTGGGGTCACAGGTGTGAGCCACCGCGTCCGGCCCTCAGTTGCTGTTTTAAAGGGTGGTGCATGCATGCAATTATGGCACACACAAGAAAGTGAGACATAGTATATATAAGGCCAGATATGTCCATTCAGTGTAGAAATGATACGTTCCAAGAAACATATTTCAAGTGAATTCTTAGGTCAGGAGTTCAAGACCAGCCTGGCTAACCTGGTGAAACCCCGTCTCTATTAAAAATACAAAAAAATTAGCTGGGCTGGTGGCAGGCACCTGTAATCCCAGCTACTTGGGAGGCTGAGGCAAGAGAATCACTTGAACCCAGGAGGCAGAGTTTGCAGTGAGTCAGAATTGTGCCATTGCACTCCAGCCTGGGTGACAGAGCGAGACTCTGTCTCAAAAAAAAAAAAAAAAAAAAGAAAGTATATTCTTTCAAAACAAGAAAGTTTTTAAAGTAACATGTTTTTAAAAGGTTATCAAAGCAGTGAAAGATTTTGCTTTTTTGTATATTTGAGATAAATACTGATAAATCACATCAGGAATTTAGGATAGTTTCTTTGCTCTGAAGAGTTCTCTCTCCAATTATTCATCACAAGACAAGATAGTAATTGTCAAAGAAATTCTTTTCTGCATTATTATACTTTCCTTGAAGGCTGAGATCATATGTTATTTATTGAATCCATTGGGCCCAGCACTGCACGCCTCTACCTATCTTCTGAAGTCTGGACATCAGTCTCAAGTCACATTCCTGTCACCTTCTCAGCATTTTTACTACACAAGTCATCCAAGAGTTAACAAAGTTATTTCACACACTAACACTGAACCCAAGATGAAGAATAGAACTATCTATTTTGTCATCAGAGTAGACAAAATCACCATCTCTGACTCATTTAAGATGAAGCATAGCCCAGGTACAGTGGCTTATGCCTGTAATCCCAGCACTTTGGGAGGCCAAGGCAGGACAGCTTGAGACCAGGAGTTCAAGACCAGCCTGGGCAACATGGCAAGACTCTGTCTTTACACAACATTAAAAAAAAAAAAATTAGCCGGGCATTGTGGTGTGCACCTGCAGTCCCAGCTACTTGGGAGGCTGCGGCTGGAGGATCACTACTTGAGCCCAGGTGTTCTTGGATGCACTGGCACCACTGCACTCCAGCCTGGGCAACAGAGCAAGACTCTGTCTCAAGGAAAAAAAAAAAGAAAGAAACATGACAATTTTCCAAGAGAAGAGCAGCTTGAAAGCTATGTTTCATTGCATAATCACTGTCAGAAATGCTTTCACATACTATATTCTAGTTTTTTGATAGAGTCCTGAAGTCTACATATTAAACAAATAAATACAGTGGCTTCTTATTTTTTTTTTTTTTTTTTTTTTTTGAGGCGGAGTCTCGCTCTGTCGCCCAGGCTGGAGTGCAGTGGTGCATCTCGGCTCACTGCAAGCTCCGCCTCCCAGGTTCACGCCATTCTCCTGCCTCAGCCTCCCAAGTAGCTGGGACTACAGGCGCCCGCCACCACGCCTGGCTAATTTTTTGTATTTTTAGTAGAGACGGGATTTCACCATGTTAGCCAGGATGGTCTTGATCTCCTGACCTTGTGATCCGCCAGCCTCGGCCTCCCAAAATGCTGGGATTACAGGCGTGAGCCACCGTGCCCTGCCACAAATAAATAAAATACAGTGGCTTCTTAATTAAAAGACAAGAGGAGACTACAGAGTCATCAGCAACACTGTGATGGTCACTGGAGAGGTCAGTACCCTATGGAAGCTCAGTAATTGCTCTGAAAATAAAAACCTAACGTAGAATTCATGCAAAGACAACTTGATTTTACACATCTACAACAGGATTCTAAACTCAGTGCCTACTGGGGCCAGGCAGGTCCTGTCAATGAGTGTTCAAGTCCAAACATAACCAGAGGACTTAGTAAAAAAAAGTACGTTCTCAGCTGAAAGAATGGAGAACTACAAAGAATCATTCCCTCACCCTTTTCCCATGTTCCTTTCTTCCACCCTTTGGCTAAGGAAGTGAGTTTCACATTTTAAAATATACTACATAGGCTAACTCTGGGTGGGTCAACCAAATACATGTGCTAGTTGCTAGTTTTTGACCTCTGATCTTCAGGGAACAACACACAAAAATTTTTTCCAGAAGAAAGGAATGCATAATATCATAATTTTAAATAATTTACCATTAGCCTCATGACTGAAAGGGTTAAGGTCTATGGTAATGATAAAAATTCCCTCTCTTGCCTTATTTTTCATCATTATAATCTCAGTATCAGCAGGAGCCTCATAATTGCACAGAATTTATGAGTAGTAAACTGTTTTTACTTTACCTCTTAGTCTGATTCTCACCAAAAACCTTTGGGAATAAATAAGCAGAACAGAGATGATTGTAACCACATTCAGATGAGATAGCTGAGACCCAGAAGGGACAAGCCATTTAATCACGCTTATTCAGGTTTGAGGATGATGCATCCCTAGTTTTCCAAGCTTCTAGTACAAGTATCCTCATTTGTAAAGCATGTTTAATCTGATGAAAGTGATGCTTTCTTTAAAATCATAGATAGCTTAAAAACATGGAAAAGCAAAGATAAACAAAAAGAAAAATCTCATGTAACCACTCCCACAGTCATAATTATTAAAATGGAATTCAGTTTTCAACTTCACGTGAAGAGTAGTTGCTGGAAACCGTGTTTTTCAATATTTCAACCTCATAAGTAGTACTAAAGTAATATTCTGGTAATACAGAACAATTATCTTAGAGTGTGATATTTTATTGTAAACAGCATTGGTACTTGCTAGTATATTGGATGCAACATGTGTGAGGAAGGAAAAAGTTAAAAACTTATTTTACAATGAGAACATCAAATTACCCAGTAGGAATGTCATTTCTACCAGGATCTCTGTGAAATTGCTTTGGTGGTAAATGTTTTTCTTTAAATGTAGAAGAGGTTCACTAACCTGAAAACTTTTTTTTTTCACCATGCACGCCAGTCAGCAACCTCATAATTAAGTGCCTGAAGATTGTTCAAATAAAAAGGGAACAAAGCTCGCAACAGAGTTCAATGCCTAAGTCAAGACTGCCCTGAGGCATGAGAAGTTTTATGTCTCTGTTTACCCTAGAAGTAAATTAAATAAATGCGTATTTAATATATGAATCACAGTTATATTTGGTTCACATATTATAGACAAGGAGAAACGAGAATTCTTTTTCAGATAAAATTTCTTAATAAAAAGCGAACGTACACCCACGAGTCTGGATACTTCTCCCCAGAATGCAGTCATAACAAATGCAGTATAAAATAACTGCAAAGCCGAAAAGCAAACCAGCGTTTTGGGTGTTCTGGTTTTGGGTTTCGAGTGTTACATTTCTAATTATAAAATGTGGACAGAATGCACATGCAGCACCACACCTATTTGAAGACTCTGAAAGTGAATAGTAGAAGGTGGATTGTGGAAGATCAGCATTCAATGGATGACCAAAATCATGATGAGTTTACTTTTTTTTTTCTTTTTCTTCCAGTATCTCTTGACCTGAATGCAATGCAGCCTTAAACCTGGAAGTGGGCACTGGGGCCCAAAAAGGGAGAGCTCCAGGAGAAACCCTCTAGGTTTCTGTTACAGAGCTGGGTAGGAACTCCTAACGCTCAGAGAAAGTACAGAAGTCCTCAGAGTTTTTTCTTCTCTCTGCTGTCTTGGATTCCAACTCTCAAGCAGTCTCGTAGGGGTGATGGTGGGGACCACAATAGGAACCTGCAGGAGCCAACACTCTGTGAGAAGGAAACTTTCTCTCTGAATGGTGGAACTGTGGCCCCAAGAGAGTGGGGCAAGCCCCCATTGCCTTTTTCTCTCTCTCTCCATCCTTCTGCTACTTGGCCCTGTATGCAAGCACAGTTATAGAAGGGTGCAGCAGAGATGGGTAACTAAAGCCTCAGCTTGGTAGCCGAAGAACAAAAACAGGGAGCACCAGGGGACTGGAAAGAACTATAGAAACTGGGGAGATGGATTATGAACTCCTGAACTCATCAGTGAGCTCTGCATACATGAATCTGATTCTAATCAGCACACCAAAGACTTTGAAAACCAAACTAACAAATGTGCCACCATCCAGGGCCCAAAATGGCCACCAGATGACCTATATATGGGACAGATCTGAATAGCACAACAGAGGCTTAAAAAGCTGAGCTGACGTTAGAACCACAGCTCACAGAAAGTGGGTTGAAACTTGCAGCCTTAACCTAACCGGGTCAACTGTCTGCTGAAAAAACAAACCAAAAAAATCAACATTCACTGTAGAATGTAAATAAGACCCAGAGTTTCAGAATATGATATTCAATATGTCCAAGAGACAATCCAGAATTACTTGGAGGTAGTCAGGCATGATGGCTTATGCCTGTAATCCCAGCACTTTGGAAGACTTAAGTGGGAGGATCACTTGAGGTCAGGAGTTCAAGACCAGCCTGGGCACCGTAGCAAGACCTCATCTCTACAAATAATAGTAATTTAAAATTTACTTGGTGTACAAGGAACCAGGAAAATCTTAGCTTGCCTAGGAAATGATAACAGACACTAATACAAACTTAACACAGATGTTGGAATTATCTGACAAAGACTTTAAAACAGCTATTATATAAATGCTTTACCAAACACTTGCAAACACTCTTAAAACAAATGGAAAAATAGAAAGTCTCAGAAAAAAAGAAGATATGAAGAAGAACCAAATGAAAATATTAGAATTGAAAAATACAATGGCCAAAAAAAACCACTTTTACTCAATAGGCTCAAAAAAAAGATGGAGATGACAGAGGAAAGAATCAATGAACTTAAAGATATGTCAATATAAATTTTCCAATCTGGGCCAGGCACAGTGGCTCACATCTGTAATTCCAGCACTTTGGAAGACTGAAGTGGGAGGCTCATTTAAGCTCAGGAGCTTGAGACCATCCTGGGCAACATAATGAGAACTTTGTCAAAAAAAAAAAAAAAAAAAGAATGAGAAAAGAAAGGAAAAGAAAGAGAGAAAGAAAGAAAGACAGAGAAAGAAAAAGAAAAGAAGGAAAGCTTTTAATCTGAAAAACAGAGAAAAAAAATTCCTTTTAGAAAATGAATGCAGTGTTAGGGGCCTGTGAGTTACTAACAAAAAGTATAACTTTCCCAGCCTGGGCAACATGGAAAAACCTCATCTCTAGAAAAATTACAAATATTTGCTAGATATAGTGGTGTATGCCTGTAGTCCCAGCTGTTCAGGAGGCAGGAGGACCACTTGAGCCTGGGAGGTTGAGGCTGCAGTGAGCTGTGATCATACCACTGTACTCCAGCCTGAGTGACAGAATGAGAACCTGTCTCAAAAAACAACAACAGCAACAACAACAAAACAAAAAACAAAGGCTAACTTATGTAATTAGAGTTCCAGAAGGAAAAAGAGTATGGTGCTGGAAAAATATTTGAAGATGTAATGACTGAAAACTTCACAAGTGTAGCAAAAGACATAAACATAGAGATTTTTAAAAATTCAGTGAACTCTGAAGAAAATAAAGCCAAAGAAATCCATGCCCAGAAATTATAATCAACCTCCTAAAAACTAAAGACAAAGAAAAATAATCTTAAAAGCAGCTAGAGAAAAATGATGCATACCTATAAGAGGGACAGTGATTTCAATGACTGCAGATTTGAGCCTTGCAGATCAGAAGGAAATGTTGAAAGAAAAGAGCTAGAAACTCAGAATTATATACCCCCATAGCACTCTTTCAGGAATAAAGTGAAATAAAAATAGTCTCAGAGGAAGGAAAACTAAGATAATTCATTGCCAGTAGACCAGCTCTAAAATAATTTTAAATAAAGTTCTTCAGATAAAAGAGAAATGACACTAGAAATAAATTTGATTGGAGTGTTCAATCTGCAAAAATTTAGTAAAATTATTGATATGTTTCAGCTAGGGTAGTGGCTCACGCCTGTAATTCCAACACTTTGAGAGACAGAGGCAGGTGGATCACTTGAGCCCAGGAGTTTGAGACCAGCGTGGGCAACATGGTGAAACTCTGTCTCTACAAAAAATACAAAACTTAGCTGGGTGTTGTGGCATGTGCCTGTTGCCCCAGTTACTCAGGAGGCTGAGGTGGGAGGATCACTTCAGCCCAGGAGGCAGAGGCTGCAGTGAGCTGTGATCACGCCACTGCACTCCAGCCTGGGCAGCAGAGCAAGATTCTGTCTCAAAAAAAATAAAAAATGAAAATTATTCATATGTTTGGATTTAGGTCCACCCTTTTATTATTTGTTTTCTGTGTGTTCTCTCTGTTATTGTTTCCCATTTTCTCTATTCTTTGGGGTTTTTGAATAATTTTTCATACTCCATTTTGATGTATGGCAATTTGGACTCTATCTCTTTGTATAGTTTTTTTTTTTAATTAGTTCATCTGGGGAATAATATACACACTTAACTTTCCACAGTCCACTTAAAATCAATATTTTACCACTTCAAGTGGAATATAGAAACCTCCCAACATACAGGTCCTCTTGCCCTCCCTGCTTTATAATAGTCTTATCTCTTATATCTACATATGTTGAAACCCCATCAGAGAATGTTAAAATTTTGCTTTATTTTTATTTTTATTTTTTTATTTTTTGAGGTGGAGCTTCTCTCTTGCTGCCCAGGCTGGAGTGCAATGGCACATTCTCAGCTCACTGCAACCTCCACCTCCTGGGTTCAAGTGATTCTCCTGCCTCAGCCTCCCGAGTACCTGGGATTACAGGCGCCCACCATCACCCCAGCTAATTTTTGTATTTTTAGTAGAGATTGGGTTTCACCATGTTGGCCAGGCAGGTCTCGAACTCCTGACTTCAGGTGATCTGCCCGCCTCGGCCTCCCAAAGTGCTGGGATTACAGGCATGAGCCACCGCACCCAGCCTCAAAAGTTTTCCTTTCAACCATCAAATATATTTTGAAGAACTTAAAAGGTAAATACTAGTCTACTATGTTAACCTAAATATTTACCACTTCCATTGCTCCTCCTTCATTTCTTCAATGAAATTATTTGGTAGAATGAAGTGCATGTTTTTCTTCTTAACAAGACTGACCTGGTTAACAACTGCTGAGAGTCTAATCTGCCATCAGCCTAGTCCACACTGAGTCTGTAGAACAGCAACCTTCATCTGGAGGAGCCTAGCACCTTGGTAGCAGGCTGATGGTGCTGGATCCCTTCCAACATGGAGAGAATTTGTTCTCCCTGGACTAGAAACATATTCATAATATAAATTTGCATTTCCTTCCTACAACACATCTGCCAGTACCATCATCTGTGGACTTTACAGAATGCCTTATTCTCTGTCATAACTTTGATTCTGTTCAAGGAGTTCAATAAAAGACAGATAGCATAGGATACGTGCTCAGATTTCATGGTCTTAACACTTATCCCATCACCCAGAAGCAGATAACCTACTAGAAATGGTGGAAAGTACCTGGGTGCAGTGGTGTGCGCCTGTGGTCCCAGCTACTCGGGAGGCTGGGGAGGAAGGATCACTTAAGCCTGGGAGGCAGAGGCTGCAGTGAGCCAAGATTGCTCCACTGCACTCCAGCCTGGGTAACAGCGCGAGACCTTGTCTCAAAAGAAAAAAAGAGAAAGAAAGAAATGGTTGAATGACCTCCTGAAGGCTTAGTTTTGGTGCCAACTGGGAGACAACCTCCTGTGAAAGGGTGATGTTCTTTCTATTTTACAAAATGGAGTATGTGCTTTGTATCAGCAACCAATATAGGATATTGTTTATACCGTAGTAACAATATAGGAGTCCCAGAATCAAAGCGTAGCAGGAGGGGGTAGAGGTTCTTCTCACTATTATGTCTCAACTCTCTCACAGAATTTGTGCTTCCTGTCCCTGAAACTTTGTGCTCTGTTGGCTTAGAGGCCTTAGTCCCCGTGAAAGGAATGCATCCATCAAGGGACACAAAAATATCTCATTGAATTGTAATTCAGGTGTAATTCAGGTGTAAACTATCACCTGGTAATTTTGGGCTCCTCATGCCATTGAACTAACAGATAAGAAGAGAGGTGAATTAGCTATTGGTGCAATAATAACGGTATAATAAAAACAACCACAAAATATAAGGGGCATACAACAATGAATATTTACTTTTGGCTGATGGGTCTGCAGATCAGTTGGGGCAGCTCTGCTATCAGACTACAGGTCAGCTTGGCTACACATGCCTCACTCTGCTGCCTGGCTGAAGGAGCAGTGGCTACCTGTGGCATGCCTCTAAAGGCATAGGCTTGGAACTGACATGTCATTTCTGCTGCCTTCTATTGGCCAATGAAAGCCACAATACCAAGGCTAAGGATACACATATTCAACTTTTCTAATCCCTGTGCTTTGAATTTCTAACTAGTTCCTATGGGCTGACTTTAGTCTTCTGCAAACCTACTATTTATACTTGATACTACCTGGCATCCCACTTCTTTGGATAGCTGCAGACTGGGGTCCCTCCCTGATCTCTTCCCATATAGAATCTAGTGAGGCAAAACTAACATTTCTGGAGATCCAAACCCGTGACAAGCACTAAGTCATATATCATCTCATTTATCCTCATAACTCTGAGAAATAGGACTTGCTATCTCAACTTCACAGGCTCAGGGAGGGAAAGTAAGTCATCCAGGGTCACAGAAGTGGTAACTGACTTTTAGAATTCACATGAAAAAAAAAATCTGATTTGAAAGCTAAAGCTTTCCTTCTATATCTTACTAATTCCCCAAATACCTAGTTCTTTTACCCCCCACTCTAGCCACAGGCTTATCCCTTTGTTTACTGAATCTTGAGTTCTAGCTGTTGTCTTCGGAAAATCTGATCAGGTCATTTCATAGTCTTAGGAAAAATGCTCATTGAGAAATCAAACAAAGACTTTTGATTAAAGGGTTCCAAAAAGATTCAGTGAAGGAGGCACGACCCAGATGTTGGCTGGTAGAGATGAGTGGGAAGGTATCCACCCTTGTGGAACAGCATGAACAAAGGCAGAGAGGTGGGAAAGTACACCGTGTACTTGGGAATAGCAAGGGGTCTGCTTCAAAAGAACGTGAGATCAACTCCTAAGTAAGACTTGGAAGAGGGAGAGGTTTAACATCCCATTCGGGGAAATGACTGCGGTGAGGTCGTGTGTGAAAGAGGAGTGAGTGCTTTTTCCCCAAAAGGAAATCACAATGAAGTAGCAGTTACTGCCAAGACCTGTCAAGGCTGAAGGAAAGCAAGGATTTCATTCCATAGCATTATGTTAACAAATGAATAAGCCAAACTATAAACTAATTCTCCATGTAAACATTCCAGAACTACTGCTGGAGAAACACAGAGTATTTGGTATGCTAAAGAAAACGCGTGAATGAGGTCAATTACAGGCCAAGACAGAAAGGCAAAGAGGGACCAGAAAGATTAGTTATAACTGGAAAGCTTATCAATGGAAGAGCCTGCCAGAAATCTCCCTTTGGGAAGACATGGAGAAGATGGCCATCAGTATAAGCAAGAAATGCAAAGGCTGAAATTGAATTCATAATTTAATGAAAGGTTTTTTAGAAACTCATAATGGATTTCTGCCCAAACACAAACATCCTATTAATATAAAATTCCATCCTGTTAATGTAATTCTTATTCATGGAAATAGACACTTTCACCATAAATGATCTCCCTGCACCCTTTAGAGAGGCAGTGATTTCTGAACCAATAAAAATAAGAATCACCAATGATTTCTAATTACCTATGGCCAGAGAAAAGGAAGGAGAAAATGATACTGTTCTGTGTCCTTTGAAAGACAACCAGTGGGTCAAAGTTGCTCACTTAGTTCATTTAATGTGTCCTCAGAACATGATAAATCCATTTAGAAAACATGCTTAATTTCACTGGCATAGTGAAATGTTCTAAAGCTTTGGACTTTAGGGGCTGTCATTTAACTTTTGACTACTGACAAAATTTTAGTGCAGAAAACTGCTCAAGTTAGTTACCATATCCATTTCCATTCAAAATTCTAAACAAGGAGCTCTTTCCTAAATTTTAACAATTTTTCCATAGTTTTTATTTCTTTCTCTTTTTAGAGATAGGGTCTTGCTCTGTCACCCAGGCTGGAGTGCAGTGGTGTGATCTTGGCTCACTGCAGCCTTAACCTCGGGCTCAAGCAGTACTCCTGCCCCAGCCTCACGAGTAGCTGAGACTACAGCTGTGTGCCACCATGTGTGACTAAATTTTATCCTATTTTTTTAACAGTGAGGTCTCACTATATTGCCCAGGCTGGTCTCAAACTTCTGGGCTCAAGCGATCCTCCTGCCTTGGTCTTCCAAAGTGCTGGGATTACAGGTGTGAGCCACCACTCCCAGCCATGCTTTTTCATATCTCCACATTTTTGCATGTGACACACTTGATCCTGAACACTTGTCCCCTTCACATCCCCAACTCTCTGCTGCTTAAGCCCTTCAGGGCCTTATTGCTTATAGAATACATTCCAAACCCCCTTCCTCAGCCTACGAGGGCCTGCACAATGCGGCTTCTACCTGCCTTTGTATCTTCAGTGTCTTAGTCTGTTCCAGCTGCTACAACAAAATACCATAAACTGGTGGCATATAAACAACAGAAATTTATTTATTACAGTTCTGGAGGCTGGGCAGTCCAACATCAAGGTGGTAGTAGATTTGGTGTCTGGTGAAGGCCCACTTTCTGGTTCATAGATGGCACCTTCTCACTGTGTCCTCACATGGTAGATGGGGCAAGAGACCTCTCTTGGGCCTCCTTTATAAGGGCACTAATCCCATTCAAAGGTCTCACCTCTTAATACCATCACTTCGGGAGTTAGGATTTCAACATATGGTGGGTTGGCAGTGGACACAAATATTCAAATCATAGTATTCACTTCATACCACTCTCCCCCTCCCCCTCCCACTACGCTGGTCACCTTTTTGTTTCCCAAACCTGCCAAAGATTTCCTGCTCAGGGACTTTGCACAATAGTTCCTTTTTGCAGATAATTCATGGCTCTTGTTCAGCCCTCTGGTCTAAGCTTAAATGTCCTTGTAACAAAGAGTTTCTGGTCATAACATATATCACAAACTGTAATTATCTTCTTTGTTGATATATTTTACTTATTTACTGTCTGTCTCTCCCACTAGGATGTAAACTCCATGAGGGCAGAAAACAAGCACAGGTACAACCCAACTTATCCTTCAAGTGTCAGCTCAAATATTGTTCTTCATATACGTAGGGCCTGGCACATAGTAGTTGGTGGATAGATGAATGAATGAATGAATGAATGAATGAATGAATGAATGGAAAAGGAGTGAGGCAAAAGGCAGCGGCCTTAAAACAGACATATAAATCAGACTGAGGTTGTGCAAAAAAAGTATTTCTGAAACTGAGATACTCCACAAAATCCATGGTGTCAATAATATAGTATCATTTATAGACCTTGTAATTATTTGTTTTAGGTTAAATAAACAGTGTCAATTTGATACTAGCGGGATAGGTGAGGTCCTGAAATGCTGGTGGGACCTCGACCCTGGCCAGTGTCCAGGTTCTTGACAACATGGTAAGAAGGAATTCAACGATGAATCAGAAAGTAGTGAAAGTACGAAGATTTACTGCAAAGCAAAAAATACACACTCAAGAAAAGGGAGTGCAGGCGTACATAAGAGAGAGTCACGTGCATGGGGGTTTGAGGTAGCTACCTTTAGGGTTTTCTTTAACTAAGGGGTGGAATATTCATGAAAATTCCTAGAAAAAGGTAGAGATTTCTCAGAACTGTTGTGTCAACCATTAACTATGGGTGTCCCTGGAACTGTCATGGCACTGATGGGTGATTTAGCATGTTAATGAGTATATAATAAGGTCCTAGGTGAAACTTAGATCAAATCTAGCACCATGTTGGGTCCAGTTGGGTCTTAGCCAGCGTGATCTACATCCTGGTTTTGGGGATCTTATAAGCCCCTAGCTTCTGTGGGTATTTCAACAGTTTCCTTTTCCTAGTCATGTGAAACTGCTGCCTGGAATTTTCTATTCTCCTGCAGCCACCCCTGTATTATTTCTGTCTCACATTAGTTCAGGTTGTTACAAAATAAATTGCCTCAAAGTTGTTCATTTAATATCAAAATTGTGGCAATATTTTAAATTGGAAAACCTGGCAATTCTTGTCACTTTCATATCACAGAGCTAATTATGGAAGCAAATAAAGTTGAAAAGTTCTTCAGACTTGAATATATGCTACAAAATGATACCTTCAAAATGACTGTCCTAACTAAAAAAGAAAAGGTAAAATAAGTCATTGTTTAACATTGGCTATTTAACTATTGTCTACCACCATGGAGCCAGTTCTATTAAAGTATATCTCTCAAGAAAAGAGTACCTTGCCATATATATTAAATGCTAAATATGCTTTAAATAACTGGTAGTTATGAATAGATTTAAATAATTGGTATATATAGCTTCCGTTTTGCTTTATAGAATACTAACATTGAAAAGTTAATTAATGAAATGCACATTAAGGAAGATAGTGTTTTAATAGTCTATATCATTCCCAATAACAAGCTTTGACTTGCTACTGTAGAACAGAATGACCAGGTGTTATTCTTCCCCACTTCAAAAGAAGAATGCTATTCTGATAAGGATTTTTGTTATTATTAAGTGCTAACTGCCTGAGATATTTTAAATATTTACATTCTTTGGTGAGTGGAAGTCCTACTCTCTCTTCTAATTACATTTTTCTGCAAGCATCCTGCCAAACAGCCTTCAAAACAACTTACATTTAAAGAGCTCTTTGCATTTTTTTTACCCAATCTGTCCCAATTTTTAGGAATAAAACAGCAAATCTTAGCTAGGAATTTACTTTTCAACTGTGAATGTCAAAGATTACACCAATTTTAAGGAGGTTTTTTTTTTAACTTTTACAAATTGAAAATAGTTCTCTGAACTATCAAGAAAAAACTAAAAATTGAAATCTGTTTCTTAATAGAAGCATTAAGATCATAAATCATGGCAGGCAGAGGGGAGAAGTCATCTCAAAAGGGTAAAGTGCAATCCCCTAAGAACAGAACACTTGAGCTCAGCCTAAAGGGCATATCTTCAAATTGCACATGTTGGTTTGTTATTTTAGAACTGCTCTTGAGAGCTGGGGTTATAGGAAAGGCCTTGTTTCCATTGGCTGCTATAAATAAAATGTGAACCATTATATCATCTCTTAAGAGAGTTTTATAGAAACACCAGGCATAGCTTCAAGTATAGCAATTTATACAAGTACCTCTCTAAATATATGTCTTGGAATCGTTGCTAAACCAGGTAATAAGGGACATTACCACTTTTGCTAAGGCATATTTGTGTGACAGATTAGACCCTGTTTAGGCACCTATTTACAGGTCAAAGCCTGCAGGCCTTGAAAAGAGAAAGCAGGGAGTTCACCCCGCCTGGCCTCCAGCTCCAAGGCAGCTGTGTAATCCCACTGAACCTGTTTGGCAGCTCATGCAGTAACTGCTGCAGCTTGCAGATAAGACCCTCTTGGAAAGCCTGATAGCCCTTGTCAATAATGAAGCCTCAAGAGCAACTGGAATTTTCTAAAACATCAAAACACATTATCTGATTTGTGCTGATACCCAGTCATTACAGAGAGCCAGTTGAGTAAGATTTTTGTTAAGGAAAGATAGATGTCTTTGCTTCTTTAAAGGTGTCATATGTAAATCTCAAATCTTACCTTGATCATAAGCAACCATTGTTTGCTTACCTGTTGCATCACTGAAGCAAAATAAGTCATACTAGCCACAAAAACAAGACTAACATTGGATTTCCACAGCTCTTTCGGCAGTGGGCTGGAAAGTGCTATTAAAACATGGCTGTTTCATAATTTCCCTATTGGGTAGGTATTACAAGATCTCATTTTTTACATGATCATGAATTTTATTGCCTCTAGAAAAGCAGAACTGGTCTAGGTTAGGGGGCAAATGAGTGCCCTACCTGCAACCCATAACAAAGTGAGGCTTTTAGCCAGAGGAGGAATGAAGCTGTTTAGCACTCTGGATCCAGGGCTACGTACTAAGGCGTCTCACTCAGGGAATATGGAATGTTCCTGAAATTCTGCTGGGTCTATCCTTTTTGCTTTTCAAAAACCTGGTCACTGAAGAGAGAATATATTTATTAAATCTAGATACCAATAAACCTCTCATTGTGAAATAAAAGAAAAGTTGCTGGAATACAATACTCAAAAAGACCATGAAGATGTTTCAGTCAGAGAAAGAAGAAAAAGACTGCGTGGGTAGACAATGACAAGAGGGCTGGAATGTAGAAGCCCAGGGGAGTCAGAAAAGAGAAAAATGTGTTTATGTGTCTGGCGAAGCTGTTTGAAACAGTGCCCTATCTCTCCGTGTCTAATCAGTCACAGTTTATGCTGATAGAGCTTTCACTGCTGTCTTTTCCCTTTAATACCACTTCATAGTGTAACAGGTAGAGTTCCTTTCACAGTTATGACTTAGCTTTTCTTTTGTAAACAGCTTTTCACTTATTTAAAAGAAGTTGTACATACATATGAATGGACTCACAAGGAAATAATGAGAAACACTATAAATTCTGTGTTGAGGCTGTAGAAAGCCAAAGTGCTCTAATAATAAGTTTGTTATAGTATAGTTGATAACCGAAAAGTTCAATCAGATTTAAAGAAGCAGAGTGAGGGAATAAACCATGAAATAGCAGGTCTCAGAATATGAGGTTGTGGGCCATTGAAGAAAAAAAATTAAAGGAATTCATAAAAAGTATTAAAAGAAAATAAACCTTTTAACAAATTTTGTTCTTTTGAATCACAGTGAAAAGTTTCTCTCTCAATAACAAAATCTTAGTCAGACGTAACTGACTAAGTTTGCTACGTTTTATTACCTAAGGTAGCAAACTGGAAAGAAACACTTAAAAGTACTTAAATATTTTTATTGTTTTAAATCAAGTTTAAATAAAGGAAGAGACGATTCAATATTGCCTAAGTATTTTCATGACATTTCAAGTTTCTTCCTAAATTAATATCTAATTTAACAAGAAGTTTATTGAGGATTTTCATTCACTTATTTATTTCCCCAATAATGAAAACGGCTTTATGCTTTTCTGACTATATAAGTAATGAATTTTGAAAAAATTCAAAAACAAGTTATAGACAGAAAGAAAGTAAAAATGTCCTGAAACCTCATCACCCTGTGATAACCACGTTAACATTTTGGCACCTGTCCTTTCACACATCACACATCTCCGTATACACATTTATATAAAGAGAGTAACATGCATGCTATTCTTATTATGGCCCTTAATTTTTAAAATATTGCTTGGTTGGTTGTTTTCTTCATCTTTGGGAATCAATATCAAAATATGGTATACATATGTTCTTTTCCTTCCCCATGCTTATGAAATCAGATACATATATACCCTGTGTGTCTGTGGGTAATAGGCATTCTATGCATTTTGCCTCTCTCATCTAAACTGTCATGGATTCCCCTCCAAAAACCCTGGATAGTTCTAAATCATTCTTTTTAATAGCTGCATAATTTTTCTATTGTATGCATGAAGCATAATTTATTTAATCGTTTTTCTACCTAACACTTAATTTTTAACTTTTTTTATCCCAGTGGCACACCAGGATGCAGTAAATATCTTTCTGTGTGTAGCTTTTCATACTAATGCTTTTACGTAAGTAGGAAAATTCTTCCTACGAATAGATTGCTGAGAAAAAGAGTATATATCTTTTTAATTTTAATTTCGCTTTCCAAAATACTATAACAATTCACATTTCTATTAGCAATGTGTGAAAATAGCCTTTTCCACATATTCCTGAAAGCAGTAGCTGTTATCCCTTTTTCATTTTTGCCAATATGATGTCTGTAGAGAGAAAGCTCACTTGTTTCTTCAATTTGCAGTTCCCTGACTCCCCGTGAGATTAATCGTTTTGGCATCTTTTTCTATGTTTAGAGGCCATCTTGGATTTGCTCTTACGTGAATTGCCTGTTTACGTCCTTTGACTGTTTTTTTAATTATGTGACCTTCTTAGCCTTTTGTGCAGTAAAACTCTTAACCTTTTATTTTTCACATGCACTGGAAATATTTTTCCTAATTTATTATTTGTCTTTTTAATTTGTCTGTGGTATTTTTTTCCACACTATAATATTTCTTATATTTGAGTAGTTCTCTCCTTTTACTTTTACAGCTTCTGGGTTTCCTGCTAAAAAATCCCTCCAACATCGGCTGGGCGCGGTGGCTCACGCCTGTAATCCCAGCTACTCAGGAGGCTGAGGCAGGAGAATCACTTGAACCTGGGAGGTGGAGGTTGCAGTGAGCCGAGATAGCACCATTGCACTCCAGCTGGGTGACAAGAGTGAAACTCCATCTAAAAAATAAAATCCCTCCAACATCTAGGGCAAAATTTCTTTTTTATATTTTCTTATATTGACAAATAAAAATGGTGTATATTTATCACATATGACATGATGTTTTGAAATATGTATACATTGTGGAATGGCTCAATTGAGCTAATTGACATATACATTATCTCACATATTTTTTATTTTTTGTGGTCAGAATATTTAAAATCTACTGTCTTAGTGATTCTCAAGAAAATAATGCAGTTATTTACTATAGTCACCATATTGTACAATAGATTTATTGAACGTATTCCTCCTATCTAACTGAAATTTTATAGGGCTAAATTTTCATCATTACCTTTTTTTTTTTTTTTTTTTTTTAAGAGACAGAGTCTCATTCTGCCACCCAGGAGTGCAGTGGTGTGATTGTAGCTCACTGTAGACTCGAGCTCCTGGGCTCAAGTAATCTTCTCATCTCAGCCTCCTGCGTAGCTGGGACTATAGTTATGCACCACCACACCCAGCTAATTTTTAAATTGTATTTTTGTAGAAATGCGGTCTCACTACGTTGCCCAGGCTGGTCTTGAATTCCTGGTCTCAAGCAGTCCTCCCACCTAAGCCTCCCAAAGTGCTGGGATTACAGGTATGAGCCACCACACCTGGCCCCATTGTTACATTTTTAACATTTATAACTCAAGTCCATCTGAAATTTGTTTATATAGTATAAGGTAAGAGTCTCACTTTTTAGTCTAACCTATAGAGAGAGGCATTTATCAGCTAAATATGTGAAGCAAATCATTCTTAACCACTGAATCGAAGTATAACATTTTGCATTTACTAAGTTACCGTATGTCCTGGGACCAGGGGTACATCCAAAATATAAACAATTAAAACAGTATGGGCACAGACCAGTCAGAACAGATGCTGTCTGTAAACCACTGCAACAGGGATATAGTGCAAACCAAGAGGATAGCAGTCCTGCCTTGAATCTATTTCTGGGTTCTCTATTCTGTTTCAATGACATACTTGTCTATTCCTATGCCAGGATCATATTGTTCTAATTTCAGTCACCTTTGAAGTATTTTAACATTTGAGCAAGCATGTCCCACACATTATTTTATTTCATAATTTCTCTGGCTGTTCTTGGACATTTATTTGTACACATGAATTATAAGTTATGTTTATCCAGCTCCCAAAAATAAACTATTCTTGTGTAAATAAACTGTGATAAAGTTATATCAGTTTTGGAAGATGTTACAGAAACTACAATTTCTCTTTTACTATTCTCCTCTTCTTCCTTCCCAGTAAATGTTTCGGCCAGTTGCAGTGGCTCATGCCTGTAATCTCAACACTTTGAGAGACTGAGGCAGGAAGATCACTTGAGGCCAGGAGTTTGAGACCAGACTGGGTAACATAGTGAGTTCCCATCTCGACAAAAGATTTCAAAAATAGCTGGGCATGGTGGTGCATGCCTCTAGTACAAGCTTTTCAAGAGGCCGAGGCAGAAAGATTGCTTGAGCCCAGGAGTTCAAGGCTGCAATGAGTTATAATTGCACCACTGAACTCCAGCCTGGATGACAGAGTGAGATCCTGTCACTTAAAAAAAAAAAAAAAATTTCGGCTGGGCACGTAGTCCACTAGAATAAAGGCTCCATTTCCTAGCCTTCTTTGCAGGTACCAGTATGCATGTGACTAAGTTCTAGCCAATGAGATGTTAGCAGAATTAATATATGTAACTTTCAGGAAGTGCTTTATAGTAATACTTTAGGGCAGGGCCACACAGCAGGAGGGAAGCAGTGAGCGAACAAAGCTTCATTTGTTTTTACAGCTGCTCCCCATCACTCACATTGCCACCTGAGCTCCACCTCCTGTCAGATCAGCGGTGGCATTAGATTTTTGTAGGAGTGTGAACCCTAATGTGAACTGTGCATGTGAGGGATCTAGGTGCGGCTCCTTATGAGAATCCAATGCCTGATGATCTGTCACTATCTCCCATCACCCCCGGATGCGGCCATCTAGTTGCAAGAAAACAAGCTCAGGGCTCCCACTGATTCTACATTATGGTGGTTTGTATAATTATTTCATTATATATTACAATGTAATAATAATAATAGAAATAAAGTGCACAATAAATGTAATGTAGTTGAATTATTCCGAAACCATACCCCCACCTTGGTTCATGGAAAAACCGAGGTGCTTTTGGCACCAGTGACTGGTTTCTTCCACAAAACCAGTCCCTGATGTCAAAAAGGTTGGGGAGTGCTGCTTTAGGGCACTGCCCAGACACCACTTCAGAGCTGCTGAACTCATTCCCTCAGCTGTTGGCTCTCAGCTGCATCCTGCTTCAAGAACTGCTGCAGGGAGCCACCTCGCCTAACATTGCTTCCTCTTCCCAGGGCTGCCCATCAACCCACCTCCAATGACTGGTCGGTCCAGTCCCCTTGCTTTAAGGGAAATCAATGCTAAAGAGCTACGACACTTCCAGAACTCCTCGAGGAACTGGCTGAGGCCTTTGTTGCAAATTTTGTGGTAGCTCTTTGCCCAATAACTCTTCCCCCAGATATTTATCCCAAGATCACTTCGCAGTAAACTTCCTGCTGTCAATCTCTGGCTCAGAGTCTATTCGCCTGGAACCCACCTTAGATGTGTCCTCAAAGGGAAAGGGCATGCTCTCTCCTCCTGCTGGCTGGGTGAAGACATGGCAGAGCATCAAGGGAAAAGAAGCCTGAGGCTCTGGCATTGCGGAGCACCTTACCAGCCCTTGAAGGGCCTACCCAGACTTTTACATAGAGAAAAATAAGCTTCTAGGTTGTTTAAACCACTGTTAGTATGAATATGCCCTAATATACAATAATTAACTTTTTTTGTGATATTAAATTCTCCCATCCTAGAACACGTTGAGATCTTTTTTTGTACCTCTCAAAAAAATCTTATCATTTTCTTCATATGGGTCTCATACTGTTCATGTTAAATTTATTTAGAAATAATTTATAATTATTTCACTACTGCAAATAATCACTACTTAGTGATTTTTTTTACTTCTTATTTTTGTTTTTATTTTCTTGAGACAGGGTCTTGCTCTGTCACCCAAGCTGAGTGCAGTGGCATGATCAGAGCTCATGGTTGTTTTCAGTATAGTGAAAAGAAATTATAGTGGTTTATTTGTTTTTACTTTTTGCTTCAGTTTTTATTTTAGATACAGGGAGTACATCTGGAAATGTGTTACATGGGTATGTTGCACTCAAGTAGTGAGCATAGTACCCAATAGGTAGTTTTTCAATTCAGTCCCTTATCTTTTGTTCCCATGTTTATGTCCATGGATGCTCGATGTTTAGCTCCCACTTATAAGAAAGAACAATGCAGTATTTGGTTTTCTGTTTCTGTGTTAATTCTCTTAGGCGTATGGCCACCAGCTCCATCCATGCTGCTGCAAAGGACATCATTTCCTTCTTTCTTATGACTGCATAGTATTCCATGATGTATATGTACCACATTTTCTTTATCCAGTCCATCACTGATGGACACCTACGTTGATTCCATGTCTTTGATATTTTGAATAGTGCAGCAATGAACATATAAGCGTATGTGTCTTTTTGGTAAAATGATCTATTTCCCTTTGGGTATATACCCAGTAATGGGATTGCTGGGTCAAATGGATCTCTGTTTAAAGTTCTTTGAGAAATCTCCAAACTGCTTTTCACAGTGGCTGAACTAATTTACATCCCAACAGTGTTAAGAATTCCCTTTTCTCTGCAGCCTTGCCAGCATCCATTGTTTTTTGTTTTTGTTTGTTTGTTTGTTTTGAGACAGTCTCGCTCTGTCACCCAGGTTGGAGTGCAGTGGTGCGATCTCAGCTCATGGCAACCTCCATCTCCCGGTTTCAAGCTATTCTCCTGCCTCAGGCTCCTGAGTAGCTGGGACTACAGGCATGTGCCAACATGACCGGCTAATTTTTTTTTGTATTTTTAGTAAAGATGGGGTTTCACCATGTTGGTCAGGCTGGTCTCAAACTCCTGACCTCAACTGATCTGCCTACCTTGGCCTCCCAAAGTGCTGGGATTACAGGCGTGAGCCACTGCACCTGACCTGTTTTTTTGACTTTTTAATAATGGCCATTCTGAGTGGTGTGAGGTGATATCTCACTGTGGCTTTGATTTGCATTTCTCTGATGATTAATGATGATGAACATTTATTCATATGCTTGTTAACCACATGTATGTCTTCTACTGAAAAGTGTTCATGTCCTTTGCCTATTTTTTAATAGGGCTGTTTTTTGCTTGTTGATTTAAGTTCCTTATAGATTCTGGATGTTGGACCTGTGTCACATGCATAGTTTGCAAATATTTTCTCCCATTCTGTAGATTGTCTGTTTACTTGTTAGTTTCTTTTGCTGTGCATAAGCTCTTTAGTTTCATTAGTTCCCACTGTCAATTTTTGATTTTGTCTCAATTGCTTCTGGGGACTTAGCCAAAAATTCTTTGTCCAGGCTCATGTCAAGAAGGGTATTTCCTAGGTTTTCTTTTAGGGATTTTATAGTTTAAAGTCTTACATTTAAATCTTTAATCCATCTTGGGTTAATTTTTGTATATGGTGAAAGGTAAGGGTCCGGTTTCATTCGACGTATGGCTAGCCAGTTAGCCCAGTGCTATTTATTAAATAGAGTGTCCTTTCCCCATTGCTTGTTTTTGTAGACATTGTCAAAGATCAGATGATTGTAGGTGTGCAGCTCTATTTCTGGACTCTCTATTCTGTTCTAGTGGTCTATGTGTCTGTCTTTGTACCAGTACAACGCTGTTTTAGTTACTATATCCTTGTAGTATATAGTTCGAAGTCAGGTAGTGTGATGCCTCTGGCTTTGTTCTTTTTGCTTAGGATTGCTTTGGCTATTCAGGCTCTGTTTTTTCCATGTGAATTTTAGAATAGATATTTCTAATTTAGTGAAGAATAACATTGGTAGTTTGATAAGAGTAGCATTGAATCTGTAAATTGCTTTGGGCAGTATGGTCATTTTCATGATACTGATTCTTCCAATACATGAGCATGGAATGTTTTTCCATTTATTTGTGTCATCTCTGATTTCTTTCAGAAGTGTTTTGTAGTTCTTCTTCTAGACAACATATTTTACCTACTAGGTTAGCTCTGTTCGTAGATATTTCATTTCCTCTGTGGCTATTGTAAATGGGATTGTGTGTTTTATTTGACTCAGCCTGGACATTATTGGTGTATAGAAATACTACTGATTTTTTCATATTGATTTTATATCCTAAAATCTTACTAAAATCATTTATCAGTTCTAGTAGCCTTTTGGTGGAGTGCTTAAGGTTTTCTAGGTATGGAATCATATCATCAGCAAAGAGAGATAGTTTGACTTCTTTTCCTGTGTGGATGCCTTTTCTTTCTTTCTCTTGCTTGACTGCTCTTGCTAGGACTTCCGGTACTATGTTGAATAGGAATGGTGAGAATGGGTATTTTTGTCTTGTTCCAGTTCTCACAGGGAAGCGTTCCAGCTTTTGCCCATTTTGTATGATGTTGGCTATGGGTTTGTCAATGATGGCTCTTATTATTTTGAGGTATGTTCCTTTGAGGCCTAGTTCGTTGATGGTTTTTATCATGAAGAGATGTAGAATTTTACTGAAAGCTTTTTCTGCATCTATTGAGATGACTGTATGGTTTTTGTTTTTAATTATATTTATGCAATGAATCACATTTATTGATTCACGTATGTTGAACCAGCCTTGCATCCCAGAAATGAAGCCTATTTGATTGTCCTGTATTAATTTTTTTTTTTTGAGACGAGATCTTGCTCTGTAGTTCAGGGGTGCAATTTCAACTCACTACAACTTCCACCTCCCAGGCTCAAGTGATTCTCTCACCTAAGCATCCGAGTAGCTGGGACTACAGGCACATGCCACCATGCTTGGCTAATTTTTAAATCTGTTGTAGAGATGAGGTCTTATTATATTGCCCAGACTGGTCTTGAACTCCTGGACTCAAGCAATCCTCCCAAAGTCTGGGATTACTGGCATGAGCCACCACTTCTGGCCTGTATTAACTTTTTGATGGGCTGCTGGATTTGGTTTGCTAGTATTTTGTTAAAGATTTTTGCATCTGTGTTCATTAGGGATATTAGCCTGAAGTTTCCTTTAGAAATTATAGTTCTTTACAGAGTGTACTGAGATGATTTGTTTTTCTTTCTTTTTTTTTTAAGGGACAGAGTCTCCCTATGTTGTCCAGGCTGCAGTGCAGTGGCTATTCACAGGCAGGATCATAGCACACTGCAGCCTTGAGCTCATGGGCTCAAACAACCCTCTTGCCTCAGCCTCCTGAGTAGCTGGGACTATAGGCATGTGCCACTGTGCCTGACAAGATGACTTTTTTTTGAGATGGAGTCTCGCTCTGTCACTCCAGGCTGGAGTGCAGTGGTGCAACCTCGGCTCACTCCACTTCTGGATTCAAGCAATTCTCCTGCCTTGGCCTCCCGAGTAGCTGGGATTACAGGTGTGCACCACCATGCCCAGCTAATTTTTGTATTTTTAGTAGAGACAGGGTTTTGCCATGTTGGTCAGGCTGGTCTTGACTCCTACCCTCAAGTGATCCACCTGTCTCAGCCTTCCAAAGTGCTGGGATTACAGGCATGAGCCACCACATCCAGCCAATTGTTTAATTCATATTTATTGCATAGTGGTTAAAGACTACTCTAACTCTGACTCTACAGTCCGACTGCCTAGGTTTGAATCCTGACTTCACTTCTTACTTTGGGTGAGTTTCTTAGTTTCTCTGCCCCTCAGTTTCCTCATTTGCAAAATGGTTTGATGTACCTCACTTATAGAGTTGTCACAAGGTGTTAAAAAGATAAACTTAGATACATTAAAAATATAAAGCACTTGTTTGAGCATTCAATGATTCACGAATTGGGCAGCACAAGCAGTTTAGCACTCCACTGGGTGGGGGGTGGTGAGAAAGGAAACTTTTATAAGGTGTTCATGAAAGCAAAACAAAATGTATTTGGGGCTGTGCACAGTGGCTCACACTTGTAATCCCAGCCCTCTGGGAGGCCGAGGTGGGAGGATTGTTTAAGCCCAGGAGTTCAAGAGCAGCCTGGGCAACATAAGAAGACCTTGTCTCAACAACAACAACAACAACAACTACAACAACAACAACAAGTATACATACATAAAAATAGACATCTATGTATATATGTATGTGTATATATGTATTTGGTTAAAATAGAATGTCTCTGGTTAGAGGTTAGTTAGGGGTTTCTGATTAGTCAAGCTTAGGTTGTTGTTTTGATTTTTTGCTTTTTGTTTTGGAGATGGAGTCTCACTCTGTCACCTAGGCTGATATGCAGTGGAACGATCTCAGCTCGCTCCAACCTCTGCCTCCCGGGTTCAAGCGATTCTCCTGCCTCAGCCTCAGGAGCAGCTGGGATTACAGGCATGCACCACCATGCTCAGCTAATTTTTGTATTTTTAGTAGAAGCGGGTTTTCACCATGTTGGCCAGGCTAATCTCGAACTCCTGACTGCAAGTAATCCACCCACCTCAAAGCTTAGGTTTTTTATACTGTTTGCATGGGCTTTGGTTTGCTTATGTAGCAACCCAGGGTACTGGAGTCATCTCAACCTAATGGTCTCCCAATTAAATTTATTTTTTAAAAAGGATTAAGTGAATTTATACATATAAAGCTCTTAGAACATACCTGATACATAGTAAGTCCTATATAACATTAGCTATTATTATGATTTTTGTCATGAAAATTTCCAGCAAGGGCCCATCATAATAGACAGATGGTGAGTACTTTGTCCTTCAAGTCAATTCAAAGGCTTACATATTCTGAAATTATGGTAACTTAGTCATTACTCATTGTATTAGAAAAGGACAGGTAATGTGATCGTATATTGAATGTCAATACAACAAAGGTTTATTTCTCATTCCACATGTCCAGTTTGAATTACTGGGGGTTGGGAGGTGGACCTGCTCCAGTTAGTCATTCAAGGACCCAGGTGAATGGGGGCTCCCAGTGGCTTCAAGGGGAGAAAAATCAGGGAGAATTCACATCCATTCTGAAATGCTTTGCACCAGATGTCATCTACGTTTCTTTGACTTACTGTCCCTTGATGAGAACTGGTCATGAGGCCTTAGCTTATTGCAAAGGGGCTGGGAAGCATGGTTTTCCTGTATTCCCAGGAAAGAGAGGAGAACCAGATATATGCAAGGAGTGACGTATCTGTCACGTCTATTCCACTCTTCACGGTGATTTCAATCTGTTGTGATGTTTTTTATCCAGTCATTCTCCAAAATGATGATATAAAGCATATAAACAGAATTGGACAAAAGTTGTCCATACAAAGAGTATTACAGTTGGGGATGACATTTTTGACAAAGGTCGTATCAACAATAACAATGACAGTTATAAAAATAACTATAACTTATTGAGAACTTATTGTTAGTGAAAGACTTTTCCTGGATTATCTCATGCTGAGAAATTATTCCTAGTATTATTTGAATGTTATAGATAAGGAAATGAGGCTCAGATAGCTTAAGCAATTGGCCCAAGGTCACAGGTCGTAAGGAACAGGGGCAGGAACTGAATTCAAGAGGGCTGAACCCAAGATCCAGGTCTTACCCACTGTGGCACAGAGTAGCAAATGTATCACAGCTGTGACCAGTGACATGCTGTATAAACAAGCTATGATTCGAAGCCTCTCTAACCCTTTACAGTGACAATATCATGCTTTGATTCACATAAGTTGGTACTAGAAAGCTTCTTAGAGATCATCTAGTACAACTCTTTCTATTTTCTTCAAAAGAAATTATGTTAGGATGAAGTTAAGTCATACCACCTGGAAAAGAAGTTTCTTTTTCCTCTATATCTCAGTTTTAGTGTGAATGGTCTAGGTCTTCAGGGTAAATTTGCTCCTCATGATCACTCAAGGACTGAGATTCCTTTTAGGAAATTGCTGTGCCCTCTCATAGGGCTTTGTCATCAAAGCGAGGCCACCATGTCCAAGTTCCAGCCAGCAAGAAGCGGGAAGAGAGCACGCACGAGGTACATCTAGGCTCAGCCTTCCAAAACCTTAATGAAAACAGAAGGGGAAAGGAGAAAGAAGCCCCAGAGGGCAGGAATAAATGGTGAAAAGAGAACATGACATTCCTTTGTTTTTGTGGTAGGAGGTGATATTATGGGCTGAAAGTAGAGAATTTTATCAGCCGGGGGTTAAAAAATATACACCAGAGAACAAAACTGCTTCATGTCTTTTCCCTCTTTTTTCTTTCTGTCCACCTCCTCTTATTACAAGTGTACTTACGAGGAAGGGAAAGGCTGGTGCATGTCAGTGAGCCAGCACCTCATCCCTCCAAAGAAAAGGAGCACTGAAAAGTGGGACGTGCTTTTATCCTGAAATGGTTAACAGGGATGCTGGGACTGAGGTTTTTCTGGTTAATGGAACTTTCAATTAAGCCATTGATCAGAAAATTATTTTGCTTGTTTTGTATCTTTAAGTAAATTTTTAAAAGTAAGTGATGCAGTCACATTGTTTAGAAATGAAAATGATATTAAAAGATATACACAGAGATGAGTATCAGAGGAACACACCCCTGTTCCCAATCCTGTTGTGAAAATGCACTGGTCAGTTAAGGAGATTATTTTATTCTGGCTACTGTAATAGTGAGAATGTTTATCAACAAGGAATGTTTCTAAGAGAAGGCAAGGGGCAGATAAGCAAGGGCGTCACCATGCATGGGTCTCATGGGATTCCTGAGAAGGACAGAGTTGGATCTTACCTCAGACAGCAGGTGCTCTTTGCTGGTTCCTGGCACACAAAGAATTGGGTATTTCTTTTTTTTGATTATTATTTTAGATGGAGTCTCTCTCTGTCACCCAGGCTGGAGTGCAGTGGTGCGATCTCGGCTCACTGCAACCTCCACCTCCCAGGTTCAAGCAATTCTCCTGCCTCAGCCTCCCGAGTAGCTGAAACTACAGGCGCCCACCACTACACCTGGCTAATTTTTGGATTTTTAGTAGAGACAGGGTTTCACCATATTGGCCAGGCTGGTCTCGAACTCCTGATCTCAGGTGATCTGCCTGCCTCAGTCTCCCAAAGTGTTGGGATTACAGGTGTAAGCCACCTTGCCCAGTGGGTTGGGAATTTCTTAACCTTCACTGTTTTCTGGAAGCACAGGGCTTAAAGTTTGACATTGTTAGTGTCTACCCCAAACTCCTCCTGCCCTCTATATGTGAATATTTTTATTGGTTTCTTACATGGTGACAGTATTTCCTAATACAAATGCAAGTAAGTATGAATATATATTCTTATCTTCCCCTTTCTTCCACAAAGAGTAGTATAAGTAAATATATCTTCTCCAAATTTCTTATTTCATTTTATTGTATATCCTGGATATCTTTCCACAATCATATGGAGAGTTTTTTATTTTCCTCATTTTCCCCACTGCGTAATGTTCCATTGTACCACAGTTATTTAACCAGTTCCCTATGACACTTGAATTACTTCTAACATTTTGCTATTATAAACAATGTTTCAGTTAATAACTAGTACATATATCGTACATGGACAGGCATAGCTCCAGGATACATTCCCAGAAGTGAGACTGGTGGGTCAAAGAGTCAATATATTTGTAATTTCTGTAAATATTGTCAAATTGCTCTCTATATGGGTTGGACTATTTTGTCTTCCTACCCGCATTGTAAGGGTGTGCTGTGTTCCCGCTGCCTTACCAACAGAGTGTGTTGTTAAGTGGAATTTTTCTAATCCCCATTTGTTAAGAAATACCATTTACAAGTAGTTTTAATTTGCACTTCTCATAAAAATATATATTTGATTCAACTATTGTGAAAAATAACTTAGAAACTAGCCAGGTGCAGTGGCTCATGCCTATAAGAGATCCCTCAGGGGATCCTCCTGCCTTGGCTTCCCAGAGTACCAAGACAGGAGGATCTCTTGAGGCCAGGAGTTCAAGACCAGCCTGGGCAACATAGCAAGACTCTGTCAGTACAAAAAAAAAAAAAAAAAACAATTAGGCAGGTGTAGTGGTGCACCTGTAGTCCCAGCTACTCTGGAGACTGAGGTAGTAGGATCACTTAAGCCCAGAAATTCGAGGCTGTAGTGAGCCATGACCATGCCACTGAACTCCAGGCTGGGTGACAGAGCAACAGAGTAACACATCGTCTCTAAAAAAAGAGAGAAAGAAAGAAAATACACTCTACAGAAGACATTAACCCTTTGAATAATCAATGATCAGTTTCTCATCCCCACCAGTGCAAGCCCAAGTGAGCACTGCCATGCCACAGGAAAGAGTATTATCACGGTGGAGAGCAGCGTGTCTCAGAGTTCATGACGCAAATTTTACCAAGTTTGAGACACTGGGACACTTTACCAAGAAGCTAAAGAGGCTTCTTTATTTAATGACTCCTCAAAGCCTTTAAAACTTTTCTTTTTTTTTTTTAATGGATCGCTAGGAGGGGAGAATTTTGGACTTTAGTGGATCCCTTTTCTCAGAGAGTCTTCCATAGTTTCCTTGGAACACATTTTGGGAAACATTGCTGGAGAAGGTTTAGGAGGTTGAGTTGAATTTATACCCAGTTAAAGGCCAACCCTGAGAAGTCATTTTATTTAAGATAAAATCCCTACTGTTTTCTTATAACTTCTTTTTTTCTAATAATAGAGAAAAGGGGAGGATCTTGGTTAATGGAAGGTTTTTATTAGTTGGATTACCTGAGGTACAGGAGTCAGAATCCAGCCTTGGTTAGCGTCCCTCAGGGCCAGCCCAAGGAAATGAAGACATTGGCAAACTGCTGTGTCTTAGGCCTCTTTACTCCTTGGCTGGTTTGCTTAGTGCCCCCATCACAAACAAGCTGGCAGGGAAAGATCTGAAAACTCATTTGCTCTAAGATGGTGTTTGTTCATTTGCTCAGTTGAACAAATTGTTACTTATTGAACAATTTCTAAATTTATTGCTTTGTGCTGGGTCCCTGAGGTGGTCCCAGAAGAAATGTAAGGCTCCAGTGCACTCTCCAGCAGGCCCTGATCTCCTTAGGAGGGTAAAATATGCCCAGCAGTGAGCTAACAATGTAAGTGTGATTAAGTGGCAAGATGAGACTTAGGATAATGTTACTTCTCCCGGGTAGCTCCTCTCTTGGGAGTCTGCTTTTTAACCCTCTGGTTAATGCTTTATTGGGAGCTCTAGTTGTGGAATTTCCTAAATTCCACAAGCCAAGATAAGGAGGTATTTTCCTTCTTTTCTTTTTTGGTGAGCAGTTGTTCTCTTGTAGTTGGTTCTGGATGACTCCCACAGTGAGGCCAGCCAGCTGCTTTTGGGCATCAGAGAGGGCTGCCTGCTGGGCCACCATGGGTAATGCTTCTGTAGCCTTTAGCTCCACCTAAGGTGTATCTCTGCTAATTGCAATAATCTTGTCAATAATATACAAATGAGGGAGAAAAGGCCTAGTCTACTTTATTTTTTTGTCCCAGTTCTCTTTTCACCTCCAAATTTGTCTTTAGTACATTGTGGCCACAAATTCCTTTGGCAGAAGGTAAAATAAGTAGGTTCTCAATTTGAGCACTGATGAGTAGTTTCTTGGAGCAGTCTAAAAAGAAATGTGGTTTTTGACAGCAGCTAAAAAGAGGACATATTAGAAATGCCAAATTGCTGTTATAAAGAACTGGCTTCTGGCAAGGGACTGAACAATTCAGACTTCAAGGATATGTAGACATGTTTTGAAAGTTCTTGTTTAAATATGATCTCAGGAAGTTAGAAGCAGGAAGTCAAGCCAACTAGATAAACTTTAAATGCATACGACTTCATCTTGAAATCTTACTCACAAAAAGTAGTTTTATAATAAAATACTGTGGCCAAATGCTTATTTACAAAGATGTTTGTCTCAACATTATTTATAGTGGTGAAAAATTTGAAAACCATTTCAATGTCCAGTGGATAAATGGCTGATTAAATAAACTCAAACAGGCATAAAAATTATGAAAAACAAAGTCTCATTCTGTCACTGATATAGTTTGGATATTTATCCCCCCCAAATCTCATATTGAAATATAATCCCCAGTGCTGGAGGTGGGGCCTGATGGGAGGTGATTGGATCATGAAGGGGAATTTTTCATGAATCGTTTAGTACCATCCCCTTGGTGCTGTCCTCATGATAGTGAATGAGTTATTGTGAGATCTGGTTGTTTAAAAGTGTGCGGTACCTTCCCCCACTCCTCTCTCTTGCTCCTGCTCTTGCCATGTGACATGCCCGCTCCCACTTTGCCTTCTGCCATGATTATGGGCTTCCCCAGGCCTCCCCAAAAGCCAGGCAGATGCCAGCACCATGCTTCCTGTAAAGCCTAGAGAACCGTGAACCAATTAAACCTCTTCTTTGTAAATTACCCAATCTCAGGTATTTCTTTTTTTCTTTTTTTTTTTTTTTTTTTTGAGACGGAGTCTCGCTCTGTCGCCCAGACTGGAGTGCAGTGGCGCCATCTCGGCTCACTGCAAGCTCCGCCTCCCGGGTTCACGCCATTCTCCTGCCTCAGCCTCCCGAGTAGCTGGGACTACAGGCATGTGCCACCATGCCCGGCTAATTTTTTGTATTTTTCAGTAGAGATGGGGTTTCACCATGTTAGCCAGGATGGTCTCGATCTCCTGACCTCGTGATCCACTCGCCTCGGCCTCCCACAGTGCTGGGATTACAGGCGTGAGCCACCGTGCCCGGCCAGGTATTTCTTTATAGCAACAAAAAAAGGCCTAACACAGTCACCCAGCTGGAGTGCAATGGTACAGTCATAGCTCACTGTACCCTCGAAGTCCTAGGCTCAAGTGATTCTCTCACATTGGCCTCCTAAGTAGCTGGGACTACAGGCATGCACTATAACACCTGGCTAATTTTGTGTGTGTCTGTGACGGAGTCTCGCTCTGTCGCCAGGCTGGAGTGCGGTGGCGTGATCTCGGCTCGCTGCAACCTCCGACTCCCTGATTCAAGCTATTCTGTCTCAGCCTCCCTAGTAGCTGGGATTACAGGCATGCGCCACCATGGCCGGCTAATTTTTTGTATTTTCAGTAGTGACGGGGTTTCACCATGTTGGCCAACACCTGGCTAATTTTTTCATTTTTTTGTAGAGATGGACTCTCACTATGTTGCCCAGGCTGGTCTTGAACTCCTGGCCTCAAGGGGTCTTCTTGCCTCAACCTCCCAAGTACTAGGATTACAGGTGTGAGCCATCGTGGCTGGCCAAAAATTGGGTTTTTAAAGAATTCTCTCTTTTTTTTTTTTTTGAGGTGGAGTCTCACTCTCTTGCCCAGGCTGCAGTGAAATGGCACAATCTCGGCTCACTGCAACCTCCGTCTCCCAGGTTCAAGTGATTCTTCTGCCTCAGCCTCCCGCCTAGTTGGGATTACAGGCACCTGCCATCATGCCCGGCTAATTTTTGTACTTTTGTGGAGACGGGGTTTCACCATGTTGGCCAGGCTGGTCTCGAACTCCTGACCTCAGGTGATCCGCCGGCCTGGGCCTCCTAAAGTGCTGGGATTACAGGCGTGAGCTGCCACGCCCGGCCAAGAATTCTTTTTTTTTTTCTTTTTGAGACGGAGTCTCACTCTGTCGCCAGGCTGGAGTGCAGTGGTGCAATCTCAGCTCACTGCAATCTCCGCCCCCTGGGTTCAAGCGATTCCCCTGCCTCAGCCTCCCGAGTAGCTAGGACTACAAGCGGGTACCACCATGCCCGGCTAATTTTTTGTATTTTAATAGAGACAGGGTTTCACCATGTTGGCCAGGATGGTCTTGATTTCCTGACCTCGTGATCCACCCACCTCTGCCTCCCAAAGTGCCGGGATTGCAGACATAAGCCACTGCTCCTGGCCAGGAATTCTTAATTCTTGTCTATATTGTTTAGAATATATATATATGTGCATAGAAAAAAACACTGTAAGAAAATACTATTAACATGTTAACAGTGGATTTCTCTACTAATAATGATTTCTATTTTTAAATTTCTTTTTCTTCCAGAACTTCTATAGTAAGAATGTATCTCATCTTCATAATCAGAAAAAATTTTAATGAGTATTACTTTTAAAAATAATTTATATCTAACTATATAACATTAATGTTATGAGAATTAAAACAATGTAGCTTAAGTAGAACGAATTGTTATTGTGTTTTTGTTGTAAACATTGTTCCTGTCCTTGAAAAGGCTAAGTATATTTGTAGTAATAAAACCATGTAGAGTTTTTTTTTTCTGTGCTTCTATGACATATGGCTTACTGTTAGTATTTCTGTGAGGCAATTGAAAAGCTGTTCTCCATCATTGTTTACCAAATTTTCACAAATCCCTCTTGGAAAAACTAGTTGAAATCATGGTAATGCTAAGAAACCCTAATCCTCCTCCACCTACTCTCCTGGGCTTAAAAAAACATTCAATGCTAGGCTGCATGATCTAAAATAAACCTCCAGGGCAAAAGATTAAATTAGGGACTGGTTTGCTGCCCAGCAAGCCTGACATAGGATAGTCTTCTTACTGTTGCAATGAAACAAAAGTGGAAAAAGAATAGAAAAACCTAAGCAGTTCATAATTAGCCAGAGCAATTGGATGAATTCAGCAACTTCTATGTAAGTTAGAAACACACAAGACATTGTCCTATTATCCAGAAAAAGCCACTTTACTGTCTTAAGATTTTAAGTAAACATTTCCAAGTTGGTGCCAGAGGCATTAAAGAAATGGCAAACCTGTTTCTTTAAAATAGCATCAAAATCTTTTTTACATATTGAGCAGCAAAGCTGGAGGGGCCTCTTTCATGTATAGCAGCAAATTCCAGTGCTTCATTCAGAATTAAATCGTTTACCTCAGGGTTCCAGACAGTCTGGAACCCCAAAGTAAGCCCTTTTCCCAGGTGGCAGCTTGGTGTAGAGAATAGAGAGTTTGAAAACTCAAAAGCACCCGACAAATATAAGGGCTTATTATCTTTCTTCCCCAACTATGGAGCAGTCAAGAAAAATTAACCCTCTCATTTGTTACCCTCAATAACAGGGTTTAACTGATCTGTAGCCACGGATGGCTCAGATAATTGCCCTAATTAGTTTGGCACGAAAAGAGGTTGGGGTGGGGGATTTGGAGCTCAAATAATTAAGGCAAAATAAAAAGAAAAGAAAAAAGAGCTTATGCCTTACAGATTTGACATATGGATTCCAGATGTTATGGAAGACATTTTACTGCTAAGGCTTTTAGGCCACTTTTTTGTGGTTAAGGACAGGATTGGAAGGGAAGGCCTCAAGGCAGAACAGCCTGAAAAAGGAGGGAAAGATCCTACTGATCATTACTGAACACCTCAGGGTGTATGTATGTGTACCGGTATATATCTCCAAACTGAAAACTAGCAGCAGGGTCTTAAAATGCCCCTAGACTGGGGGTGTTGGGGGAAGGCCTTGGAGGAGTGATTTCTGAGCTGGCTTGTTTGGAGCTTTGCTGGCAGATAAGTCACCTCCTCAGTTGGAAGTGATTGCTCTGTTAGTTCACTGCAGTTTCCCTCAGGAATTCTAAATTTAAAATGTGAATGCAAACTTTCTAGCATGCCATGCCAGGGAAGGTTGCTAGGATCTGGGTCCCATTTAGAAACAGAGACAGGTAATTATACCAGGAAAAGGGCTACACTTTTACCTCAATGCCATGCACCAAAACCTCTGTTTCTTCCTTTCAGAAAATGGTAAACAAGGGAAAGAAAGAGGAGTTCCAGACCCTGCATACCAAAATATTACAGACACACAGGAAATGACTCTTCAAATCCAGGCTGTAAACCTGTCATTTCGTGGGCTTGTCTGTGGGCCTAGAAAAGCGAGACAAAGATCACACCGAAGACATTACTGTTTGGGGCTGGCTGTACTGGAGGACCTCTGGAGGCCTTTCCATGCCAGGTGCTATGATTCTAAACTCAAGTCATAAAATGAAATGTTAGAGGAAAGCCAATGAAATTTGAGGCAGAACTTGTGGCTTAAAGCTCATTTTGCTTTAAAAAATGTAGACTTTGAAAAACTGTTCTTTACAAGCAACAAAAATTTTTTAAAGAAACTGAAAAGCTAAAAAATATTTTTTGGGGGGAGGGAGTAATATTCTCAGCCCTATTACTATCTTTTAAGGCTTTCGATTACAGATACTCCAAACATGTAATAAGTTACTAAGTCCTTAAAATATGTATTAATCTTCCTAAAAGATTTGCATATTGACTTTAATCCACGTAAAAGATGTTTCTGGTGTATTTAACCAATGCTGCTCGTCTGTTTAGTGAAATGGTTTTGGATCCATTAATTCTCCAAATATTTGTATTCTGAGTGCCTTCTAAGGATAAGACATTCTTTGAATCAAACACACACAAAGAACTAAGCCAATCTAATGGTTAATGCAGTCATTCCTCCCTCCTCCAGCTTAATGTACTGGCCCCGGAGCCAGAATGCCTGGGTTTCCCAGCTCCAGTGCCTTGAACAAATTACATAACCTCTCTGTACCAGTTCTCTCCCCTGAAAAGTAGGGTTAGTAATAGCACCTACCTCATCAAACTAAATGACTCAATACATGTAAAGCATGTAGAAAAATGCCTGGCACATAGCAAGCATTCAATAAATGTTGGCTATTCATTTTGTGCCCAGTATGAGGGAAAGCAATGTAGAGGTGGATATGGAGATAAATAAAACAAAGTGCATTAAAGAGGGAATATTTCAACTGGTTCTTGGAGAAAATACGGAGTTCACAAGGAAGACAAAAAAGGGCCAAGTCAAGCAAATGGTGTGAGTGAAGGCACAGAACCACGAAACTAAATAGCATATCTGGGGAATTGTAAATGATTCATTAGAGCTAGATTAAGAGGCATGTGACATATGCTGCCTCCATCCAAAAGCAAAGATTTTAAAAAAGAGAGAGAAAAAATAGAGGCACATGGGAATGAGGGAGTAGAAACCACAGGATTTACTGACCAAACCTATGTGATAGGAAGTGAGGTAGAGCAGGTTTCTGGGTTTATGGTGATGCCATTAATCAGAAACAAAATGTGGTACATGGTGTGACCTTTGACACAATGTGTTTGGACATACAGTATGGGAGGGACCTTTAAGAACCAAGTGGAGATGTACAATTGGATACACAAATCTAGGCTTTATAAGAGCACTCTGGCAAGCCATACAGTATAGGGGATCATCAAAGTGTTACTGATTGTAGTAGCCATGAACTTGGTTGAAATCTTCAAGAACAAGGGTAGAGAATGAGAAGAATAACAATGTAGACTACACTGGCAACCAGGGGCAGTTGGAAGAGAAGGAACCAGAGAAAATAGAACCAGAATAGCATGGAGCCCTGGAAGAAACCAAAAGAGTAAATCAGTTTTGCACTAATTGATGGTTTTAGTGGAAAAATGACAGAAAACCCAATTCAAACTTGTTTACATTGTTAATAAGACATATTGGCCCATATAACTGAAAACACAAGCCTCTGGATGGGGGGATAGCATTATACCAAGACAAATGAGAATCAACCCTAAGCCAGGGGTGAGGAATTCAGCTTACTTGCAACATTTAGCAGTCATATTGAGTGCCTACTATGTGCCAGGCATTGTTCTAGTCAATGAACAAAACAGGCAAAAAGTCCCTTGTCTGTGGACAGAACACACAAATGCCTCTTGGTATCTCCCCACACTCTCTTTTCATTGAAAGGCAATGCTTCAAAAAATTGGAAAAATTATCTATGTGGAGGAAGATGAAGAGAGAAAACTTTAGAATGTAATGCAAATTCCAAAACATTTGCTGGGAATTTTAACACGATTTTGTAGGAATATGTGAAACTTCTGTACTATTATGAAATGGAGGGGTGACATAGGGAAGCAGTACAGTATGGATAAAAATTCTAAAATTCCAAAATACCACCCATGTTTTAAAGTCCAGTTATGAATTCAGATTAGTCAGTTTTTGACTTAATCAAATTGAGTTGCTGCATTTATTCGGATTATATAGACCTGTAAAAATACTTAGAGGTTTCAAATGTCTCTGGTAGAGCTTTGTACCTAACTTGTGTGACATATTTTAAATGTAGATTATGTTCAAACCTGCATTAATCCATTCATATTTTAAATTTAAAAATATAATTAGCAATAAAAGAAAGCCTCATGCTCAGCTATTATATCCAACTAAGCACTACCAGTTTCTCCATCCCTCTCTTCTCTGAAGCTAACACACTGTACATCCATGGGTACACTATGTCAGCTCACTAGGCCTATTTTCCATTCCACAATTTGAAAATGATGAAACCTACCTAATTGGATTTTTGGAAACTAAAATATTATGTGACTAAACTTTGTGAATTCAAAAGCACTACACAGCATTAAATTTTAAGATTAGAAAGTTGCAAGTTTACAACTGAGTCCAGATCTTAGTGTTTTAATGGTGAAAACGCATTGCCAATTTTCTCAGTAATTTTTTTTGGCCAAAGCAGTTGAATCAGTAATATTTTTCTGATTCCAGTTAGAATGTTTCCCATAAAACTCTATGAAGCTATTTACACTTCAAATTTTAAAACATGGCCCACATATGCTTAGTTATTTTCTCAAATTACCCTGTACAAAAAGCCATTCATGCCTGATATGGTTTATTTCTTTTTTTTAGAGATGGGATCTTGCTCTGTCACCCATGCCAGGGTACAGTGGTGCATCATAGCTCACTGCAGCCTTTAACTCCTGGGCTCAAGTGATCCTCCTGCTTCAGCCTTTCCCAATAGCTAGGACTACTATCGTGCACCACCACGCCTGGCTAATTTTTAAATTTTTTTGTAGAGATGAGGTCTGTATTAGTCCATTTTCATGCTGCTGATAAAGACGTACCCAAAACTGGGCAATTTACAAAAGAAAGAGGTTGAATTGGGCATACACTTCCATGTGGCTGGGGAAGCCTCACAATCATGGCATAAGGCAAGAAAGAGCAAGTCACATCTTACCTGGATGGCAGCAGGCAAAAAGAGCTTGTGCAGGGCAACTCCCATTTTTAAAATCATCAGGTCTCATGAGACCCATTCACTAGCATGAGAACAGCACGGGAAAGATCTGCCCTCATAATTCAGTCACCTCCCAATGGGTTCCTCCCATGACATCTGGGAATTGTGGGAGTTACAATTCAAGATGAGATTTGGGTGGGGACACAGCCAAACCATATCATTCCACCCCAGCCCCTCCCAAATCTCAGGTCCTCACATTTCAAAACCAGTCATGTCTTCCCAATAGTCCCCCAAAGTCTTAACTCACTTCAGCATTAACCCAAAAGTCCACAGTCCCATGTCTCATCTGAGACAAGGCAAGTCCCTTCTGCCTGTGAGCCTGTAAAACCAAAAGCAAGTTAGTTACTTCCTAGATACAATGGGGGTAAAGGCATTGGGTAAATACAGCCATTCCAAATGGGAGAACTGACCAAAACAAAGGGGCTACAGGCCCCATGCAGGTCTGAAATCCAGCAAGGCAGTCAAATCTTGAAGCTCCAAAATGATCTCCTTTGACTCCATGTCTCTCATCTGGGTCATGCTAATGCAAGAGGTGGGTTCCCATGGTCTTGGGAAGCTCTGCCGCTGTGGCTTTGCAGGGTACAGCCTCCATCCCCACTGCCTTCATGGGCTGGCACTGTCAGTGACTTTTTCAGGCGCATGGTGCAAGCTGTAAGTAGATCTACCATTCTGGGGTCTGGAGGATGGTGGCCCTTTTCTTACAGCTCCACTAGGTGGTGCCACAGCAGGGACTCTGGGGGTTTCAACCCCACATTTCCCTTCTGCACTGCCCTAGCAGAGGTTCTCCATGAGGGTCCCCATCCCTGCAACAAACTTCTGCCTGGGAATCCAGTTGTTTCCATACATCTTCTGAAATCTAGGCAGAGGTTCCCAAAGCCCAATTCTTGACTTCTGTGTACCTGCAGGCTCAACACCACATGGAAGCTGCCAAGGCTTGGGGCTTGCATGCTCCGAAGCCATGGCCTGAGCTCTACGTTGGCTCCTTTCAGCCATGGCTGGAGTGGCTGGGATACAGGGCACCAAGTCCCTAGGCTGCACACAGCACAGGAATCCTGGGTCCAGCCCACAAAACCACTTTTTCCTCCTAGGCCTCTGGGCCTGTGATGGGAGGGGCTGCTGTGAAGACCTCTAACCTGCCCTGGAGACATTTTCCCCGTTGTCTTGGGGATTAACATTTGGCTCTTCATTACTTAAGCAAATTTCTGCAGCCAGGTTAAATTTCTTCTCAGAAAATGGGATTTTCTTTTCTATGGCATTGTCAGACTGCAAATTTTCTGAACTTTCAAGCTCTGCTTCCCTTATAAAACTGAATGCCTTTAATGGCATCCAAGTAACCTCTTGAATGCTTTGCTGCTTAAAAATTTCTTCCACCAAATACCCTAAATTATCTCTCTCAAGTTCAAAGTTCCACAAATCTCTAGGACAGGGGCAAAATGCCACTAGTCTCTTTGCTAAAACATATCAAGAGTGACCTTTGCTCTAGTTCCCAACAAGTTCCTCATCTCCATCTGAGACCACCTCAGCCTGGATTTCATTGTTCATATCATTATCAGCATTTTGGTCAAAGCCATTCAACAAGCCTCTAGGGAGTTCCAAACTGTCCCATATTTTCCTGTCTTCTTCTGAGCCCTCCAAACATTCCAAGCTCTGCCTTGTACTCAGTTCCAAAGTCACTTCCACGTTTTTGGGTATCTTTTCAGCAGTACCCCACTCTACTGGTACAAATTAACTGTATTAGTCCATTTTCATGCTGCTGATAAAGACATACCAGAGACTGGGCAATTTGCAAGAAACAGGTTTAATTGGACTTACAGTTCCACATGGCTGAGGAAGCCTCACAATCATGGCAGAAGGCAAGAGGAGCAAGACACATCTTATGTGGAGGGCAGCAGGCAGAGAGCTTGTGCAGGGCAACTCCCTGCACTGATGGTTTTTAAAACCATCAGATCTCGTAAGACTCATTCACTATCATAAGAACAGCACCGGAAAGACCCACCCCCATAATTCAGTCACCACCCATGACACGTGGGAATTGTGGGAATTACAATTCAAGTGAGATTTGGTTGGGGACACAGCCAAACCAGATCAGGATCTCAACATGTTGCCCAGGCTTAACTTAAAGTGCAGGAAACAATCAGAAGTATCAAGTGACTCGATTCTCTAAAATGAAAGATACTTGGACAGATGATTTTTCTTATGTATATGGATTTTTAAGACTTTTCCCCACTAGGTTTCCACTAGCTCAACCAAACTTCACCTCAGTACCCACATGGACACTTGTGCAAACACGTTCCCAGGACATCTCTAAAGGGGAAAATAATCTATTCTCTAATGTGATGATGAATGTAGAGTGATATGACAGTCCGTTTTCCAACCAGGAGATACAAATGGCTGAGTCAGACTTGCTCCAAAATATTTAGCCTCTTCCCTAAGTCCTGTCTTCCTCCTCATACAACATACTCTGCACATCTCCCAGGAAAGAGAGAAAAAAGTTTGCTTTCATGCTAACTTAAGAACCTTGCAATATTTCAGTAACTTCTGAGATATTTGCTCCACCAACACATGCATCCAAATTTTAGATTTCTCCAGAGCTTGGGAATCACAACTTCACAAATATAACTTGATTTGGTTGTGTTTGGTGTCATGTACATACTATGGTCTTGCTTTGTCACTTGATGCCACTCCTTAGTATATGATACCACAGATTTCCAAATTCATTACAAAGACTACAATCTTAAAAAAACATATTCTTGCTTTAGCAATTACTTCAATTTTGGGATTCATATATTTGCAAACCTGGAGGATGGGCAGCTATAGAATTGGTTTTTCTAAACTCGATGATATACTGGAAGCCATCATGCTGTTATGGACCTTCATTCCACAAAGCACCATGGCTGATGCAATCACTCTTAATGACTTTTATGAATTTTAATCTACTTGATACACATGCCTAGGTAAACAAATCTCGCGTAATTGTTCAAATTTTATCTTCCACAATGGGGAAAAACAGATTTAAAAAAAAATACTTAGATTATGTCTTTTTCTTTCTAAATTATTTTTTGTAAAGATGAGGTCTTATCATGTTGTCTAGGCTGGTCTCCAACTCTTGGCCTCAAGCTATCCTCCCACCTTGGCCTCCCAAAGTGCTGGGATTACAAGCATAAGCCACCATGCTTGGCTGTCTTGTTCTTATACACTGAATGTGCACTGTTCTGTAATTCTTATCTCTTAAGGGCTTCAGATTCATGGAAAGATTGATGCAGAGTGTAACCTTTTTATTGTTCAAAATGCTACAAATAACTGCATTTTGGAACTCAACGATCACACCTTCCCAACTACTTCTTGTTCATTTTATTATTACTATACGCAAAGCATTAAAATAGAAGCTGGGTAGAGAAAACATGTAGAAGTAGGGTTACCAGATAAAAGATGTTCAGTTAAATTTGAATTTCAGATAAACACATTTTTTGTATATGTCCTGAATATTAAATATACTAAAACATTATTTATCTGAAATTCAAATTTAACTGAATGTCCTGTAAACTTACAATTTAATAAAGAAATTAATGAATAACCATAAAGCACAGATGACAAGTACAGTCATCCAATCAGGAGAGGAAAAGATCTCTACTAACGGATCTCCAGGTACAACAGAAAAAAGTACCTGGAAGAGATGACAATTGATGTCATTCCTGAAAGATGACTAAATTTTGACTGGTGGACAGGTGGTTTAATGTGATGATTTTGAGGTTCAAGTGTCCCAAGTTAAATTCCAAATGAACCACTCACTAGCTGTGTAACATCAGACAAGCTACTCAAGCACTCTTTATTATAAAATGAGAATACTAATAATACCTTGCGCTAGGTTGTTTAAGGATCAGAGAAAATATATGCACAAAGCACCTGGAACACAGGAGGCACTCTTTAAATGGTAATACTTCTTATTACAACTTAAAATGTCACACGACAAATAGGGTACTTGTCACAGACAAACATTCAAATGTTAATGTTATACAGTAATAGTAATATTGAATAAGTAATTTTATTTCCATGATCTATTTACACTGTACAAAGACTGTTGAAAAGCACCCTACAAGTTCACAGTACATTACAATATATTTACTTTAAAAATATATTCCTTTATAAAAGGTTTATAAGAACATTGGCATGTCAACATGTGACAAAACTCTCAAAGCATGTCACCAATTCTGTGAGAGCAAGAATGCATCCAAGTGTTATCAATTTCACAATCACAAGTCACCAGTTGAGTTTTAAATACATACATGTTTTAAATAAAAAAAGAATTCTATAGTGGAAAGTTCTTGAGGCAATACTTATTAGTTCATTAACGTATGCATTTTCATGGAGATGTGGCATAATAACCCACAATATCAACTTAATCTGTCCAAAGAAACATTTCAACAAGTTTAGCAGTACAGAAATTCTGGTCATTTGTTTCTACTTTTTCTTCTTTGCTGGTTCTCCTGGCTCTACTTTGCGCTTTTTAGAAGTATGCTCATCTTTTTCATCATCTTTAAATAGAAAAGGAAGAGTTTCAATCAGTAATTTTAAAAAACCCAACATGTTAAGCATTAAAATTTCACTGGCTTTATACCAAAATTATTACCCTCATCAATTAATGTTTCTCTCAGAGTTTCCCAATAAAAAACAAGAATTAACTTTTAGAGCTCTGATTTTTAAATGCAAGTGAAAGTGAGCAATTTTTTTTTTCAATTGCAGCCATACAAAATTCACAAAGTAACTCTTTAGGTGCTATACTAAGGTAGCTTAAAATAAGTGACTTTACTTCCCCCAAATCAGACTTTTGAAAAAGGCTCCCAAATACTCAGCAAGCTTGTCCAACCTGCCTTATTTGTTGTTGTTGTTCTGTTTTGTTTTAGGCTTTTAGCAGCCTGAAGCCATGGTTTTTAGTTTCTGTCTCTAGTGATAAGCAGAAAAGAAGGATGATGAAGGGGCTTTATTGGCCCAACCAATAACAGAAACTAAGAACTCATGACTGTATTCTCTCCCTTGGACACCACTGCATGATAGTATTTACATTGTATATATTAAAATACAATCAATGCTTTGTAAGAATGGAGCATATTGTTTTCTTTTTACAAAAAATAGGTATCACTCTAACGATGACATTATTTAAGTGGCTATCAGCTGTCCTTTTCCTTTCAATCTGCTTTCTCTCCTCCAAAAACAACTTCTTCTGCCCCATCACCTTCTCCACCCACCCCAAATCCTTATTTTGAGGTTAAAAAGCACTCACAAGTAGGTTTCCCCAAACCTCTATTTGGAATTTTATTCTAGTAAGTTCTAATTCCCATCCCCGCCCTCCCCATCCCCACTCCCACGATGGCCAGAACATTTTAATGGCAACAGAAAAATACATATCTTCCTACTTCATATTATGGAGAATTTGGAGAGGGGAGGGAGGTTAGAGAAGAGCCTTACATTAAAACAATGTTCTTTACACCTTTCCAAAATGTTAATAGTATCTGTAGCCACAGAAAATTTCCAATTCATAAAAATGTTGTCAAACCTGGAAAAGTGAACTCTTTTATTGTATTTTAAAAAATCCAACTACATGGTTAAAAAAAAAATACAGGGTAGCACAGACTAGTTGCTAATTCCATCTCCCTAAGCAAATGTGTGGTATTAAGAACTCCATATAGACAGAGTAACATGGAAAAGATGTTATGATTTATAAAATACAAATTTATTTTGAGCACATTACTAATTAATTGTAGCTTTTGACTTTATTTTCTTGATCAACAGATACTCAAAAAGTTCAACAGGTTATCATGTGGAGATCTATAAAATATCTTGATATTGAAAGGAGCCTTCATTATTAAAAAATGTGAGGAACTACTGACATCAAATCATAAATTCCTTGAAGGAAATATTAAAATCTTAAGCCTTCAATTCCCTTCTGCTGACTGTACCATAATCAGAATATCTCATTTATTGATGCAGATAACAATCAATACCATTCATCTTCACTCCCCTTCAAGCACAGCACGGTGATGTTATTCATATGCTTCACAGAGCACTATGGATTTATGTAGGCAGTGGAATAAAATACAATTCAGATCAACTCACCCCAGGAATTTACAAATCAAAGTTTTAATCAGTAGTTCATCATGTTCATACAAAAACACTGGCTCCACAAACCAAATAACATGGTATACCACCAAAACAAGCCAAACGTTTTGCTTTTTTTTTTTTTTGAGATGGAGTCTTGCTCTGTTGCCCAGGATGGAGTGCAGTGGCACCATCTCAGCTCATTGTAATCTCCACCTCCCAGGTTCACGCCATTCTCCTGCCTCAGCCTCCCAAGCAGCTGGGACTACAGGTGCCTGCCATCACACCCAGCTAATTTTTTGTATTTTTAGTAGAGACGGGGTTTCACGGTGTTAACCAGGATGGTCTCTATCTCCTGACCTCGTGATCCACCCACCTCGGCCTCCCAAAGTGCTGGGATTACAGGCGTGAGCCACCGCACCCGGCACCTTTTGCTTTTTAACGAGTTAATTATCACTAAGCTCCTCTTTTGAGATTTTCAGTAGTGATAATATAAAAATGGAAAGTACTAAGTTTACTATAATATTCACTATGCATTAGCATACATTTAGATGATACTGAGATATTTTTGCTTTTAATTTGCCACTTATTACAAGTAAATTAACTGAATAACAAAACCACAAACTACTGAAGTTAAAAAGTAACTGGCTATCAGTGATTTGAGCAGAAGTGCTATGCCATCTAGTGTCATGACAAGGCATTGCTTTATAAACTAGAGTAGGAAAAAATCTGAGCAATGTTCATTTATCAATTTTACTGAGCTTTTTTACTCGGTCTCATATAGTATAGATGTACTGGTAAGGAAACAATTTTTTTATTATGGAACTCAAATCACTCAAGTAAGTTTAACTTATCAATAGACAAACTTTCTAAATTCTAAAAAGTGTAAACTAAAAATCACTATATTAATTATGCTTTTACAATTAATTATTATACATGTCAATAAAGCTACAACTAATAACTAAGCTTTGCTTACCTACATTTTACAACCACTAAAACCAGAAGTGGCAGGGTGCGGTGGCTCACACCTGTAATCCCAGCACTTTGGGAGGCTGAAGCGGGCGGATCACGAGGTCAGGAGATCGAGACCACCCTGGCCAACATGCTGAAACCCCATCTCCACTAAAAATACAAAAATTAGCTGGGCGTGGTGGCGTGTGCCTGTAGTCCCAGCTACTTGGCAGGCTGAGGCAGGAGAATCGCTTGAACCCGGGAGGCGGAGGTTGCAGTGAGCCGAGATCACACCACTGCACTCCAGCCTGGGCGACAGAGCGAGACTCCATCTCAAAAAAAAAAAAAAACCCGAAGGGCTGATAAGCAGCAAGACCCAATGATGAGTTCTGAACCTTTCCCAGCCCTTCCTCTAAAGTAACTGGAAGACGTTAACCGGCAATAAAAGGCCAAAGGGCAGAATGGGGAAGCAAAATAAAAAAGTCACTTGCTAATCTAAAATCTGGGTAAGAGTGTAGAGTTTCTGATATATATTTTATGAATGAAAAAGAAAGGCTAAAAAATTATGACATAATTGATTTTATAGGAATCTGAAAATCACTTCTAAAAAATGGGTCTGTTATTTGATTTTGCCTGTATTTGTTTTCCAATAAAGGACCATCATGTGATCAAAAAGACAGAAATTATCTATGTGAATAGCAGTGTTACCTGCCACATATTTGGAACTCCTTCTAACTTAACTCAAAAGCTAAGCTAGAAAAAGATAATTCTTTCTTGCTTGCTTGCCCTGGTGTATAATCCTGGTTTTTTCCATATAACTACAAAGATGTGAGAGCACCAGCCTATGGAAATCTAGTTTGAGTATCAACCCTAGTATCTTTACTGCCATTCGCCCTACAGAAGAATAGCTATATCTCACTGTTGAGAAATGGCTATTCATCAGGAGACCAAATCCCAGTTTAATAAGGCATAATTTCTATTTAAAGGTCTGGATTTGAATGCCTACTACTCTGTCTCTTCTTTAGCTGCGTGAATGAATTTGGGTAAAGTCCCTAATCTCAGATTGTTTTATCATCTGTAAAACAGTAATAATGAGTCATGTAGCACTTCTGTATCAGGTTGCTCGGAGTAATAAATTAGAAAACTGTGTGAAAGTGCCTATTTTAGAATTTGGCATTTTCTAGTTTGTGACCTTGGACAAGTTATGTAAGCTATCATTTCCACATTTCTCTATCTTATTTCACAAGGTGTTGTAATAAAGATTATTTAAGCAAATATATTTTTACTAATTATGAAAAGGAATGGCCGGGCACGGTGGCTCACGCCTGTAATCCCAGCACTTTGGGAGGCCAAGGCGGGCAGATCACGAGGTCAGGAGATCCAGACCATCCTGGCTAACACGGTGAAACCCCGTCTCTACTAAAAATACAAAAAATTAGCTGGGTGTGATGGCAGGCACCTGCAGTCCCAGCTGCTTGGGAGGCTGAGGCGGGAGAATGGCGTGAACCCGGGAGGCGGAGCTTGCAGTGAGCCGAGATGGCGCCACTGCACTCCAGCCTGGGCGACTGACCGAGACTCCGCCTCAAAAAAAAAAAAAAAAAAAAGAAAAGAAAACAAAAAGATTGTACAATATGAGATATTATAAATGTTTACATCATTTAAGGTCTGCAAAAAGATGCTACTTACTGAAGATGCTCCTTCATTAGTGACTAATACATATTAGAAGTCAGCAAAAGTAATGGAAAAGCTAGGTAGAATCAAAATTAAAGAAAGAACTGCCAATCAGTTCTCCTTTCTCTTAAAACAAAACATCACTCCCTGCATGACTGTTAAAAACGGGCTAAGTAGCCCTTGTATTGTGGGAAGATCAGAAATCTGTTTAACAAAAATGGCATACTTTCTTAAAAATAATGGTCCAAAACATTAGTTCAATTCAACAATTACTGAATACTTACAATGTACTCGATACAAACACTTCAAATCCTGCTGTTTGAGGAACTCATCATAAAGCAGACAGACTTTTAAAAAAATCACATACAAGTGATGAGGGCAATCAACAGCATTAGCATAAACAAGGTACAAAGGAGCAAATAATTATTAGAGGTGATACCTGAGATTTCTTCTTTTGATTTGGATTTTGAAGGATGAATTAGTTTACTAGCCAGAGATAAGAAAGAACACTAAAGAATAAGGTGCAACGTATACTGAAAGGCAGGGAACCATACAATTCAGTTCTGGATTTCAAGATCTTCAAGTGCTAGAAAGGGGCCATTAAAAATGACTGTGGACAGGGAGAAAGGGCCTATTAATACAAGGCCTTGACTTTATCCCGTTGAAGGGTTTTAAGCAGGCAAGTTATATAATCAGATACGACTTTTAGAAACTCAACACTAGCTGCAGTGAAGGATGGTACAGATTGGATAAGAATGTGTAGGCAAAGATTACTGTGACAGTCCAAGTAAGAGACGAAATTATGCTATTATGAACTAAAGTAAAACAACTCAGTCATTATCTTCCTATTACTATGTAGTAATGCTCAGTTAAATTCATTTTGTCATACTAATTTTAGCTCTGAAGCACAACTGCTTTAATAGAAAATGAAGCCTTCGGCCGGGAGCGGTGGCTCACGCCTGTAAATCCCAACACTTTGGGAGGCCGAGGCAGGTGGATCACCTGAGGTCAGGAGTTCAAGACCAGCCTGACCAACATGGTGAAACCCCACCTCTACAAAAACAAAAAAAACAAAAAAAACAAAACTAGCCCGGCGTGGTGGCAGGCGCCTGTAATCCCAGCTACTTGGAGGCTGAGGCAGGATAATCGCTTGAACCTGGGAGGTGGAGGTTCGCAGTGAGCTGAGATGGCGCCATTGCACTCCAGCCTGGGCAACAAGAGCGAAATGCTGTCTCAAAAAAAAAGAAAAAAAAAAAGAAAAAGAAGAAAAAAAAGAAAATTAAGCCTTCAGTACTTTGTAGCTACAGTCACAAGAAACCATGAATTGATTTGTGTTGTTCTAATAATGCATCATAAATCTGACCACTGGATGAGATATCAGATATTTTACTTTAAAGCCTGAATAATTTATGATCTTTCACTAAAATACAGCAACTACTACTAGCTGAGCTATCAGAGACTTCATGTTAAAGCCAAATATGTATGATCTTTCTCAAAAGCAGAGCAGTAAGTATCCAAAGACCATCAAATTAGTTTGTCAATTCGCTAGATTTAATTTTCATTCATTAAATATCTCATTCTTTTTAAGCCCATCACGGGGATCAAAATAGACCACCATCGGATTCTGACTTTCCTTACCTGATTCCAACGTCTCCTCCCCTTCTGGTAGAAGCCTAGCTTTCTTAGCATTCTGTGGAGCATCATCACCATTGTCCTCATATATGTTAGACCATTTTATTGCCATGTCAAGCTCTGGAGGCGGAGGCTTCTTCTCAGTGGTGTAGGTCTCAGGAGGTGGTACATAATTTGACTTCCATATTTTGAATTCCTTTGGAGGCTGTTAAGCAAGCACATTAAGAAGCACTGTGACGAACCGAGGTTCCTACGATGGACGTGGGCACATGCAACTCCCTGCCGTTCGCTTATCGTTCAGGCTGACTTTTTTTTTCTTTAAGGTTGAAAGACACATTTTTCCATCAAAATCACAATACTGTTAAGTGAAAAGCCAAAGGGTTCCCTATATGAATAAAGCTAATAACTTTTAGTTACCAAAGAAGAATCCAGTCTCAGAGATACTACGCCAAGGCTGACCCCTTCAGGAGGCTGCAGCAGACACTGTCTTGGAGGCAGCACCGCAGGCACTTCGGCGTCAAAGGGAAGGGGTCTCAGGGAGAAGCTGCAGCGGGGGGGGCGGGGGAGTCACCACTGTTAGTCCTCGCCGCGCGGGGTCGGGGCACCGAGCGCGGAGGTTTGGGTCTCCTCACAAGGGGCGGGGCTGCGGGTCCGGTCTAACACCCACCAGGCGGGGAGAGGGGGCCAGGTTTCCCAGGGCTTGAGGTGGGAGGGGGTGGTGCGGCATCCCGCGGGGGTGACTGCGTGTGGGGGGATGGACAGCAGGTCCCCAGCAGGGGGCTCAGGAGAAAGGGGGCGCAGGCCGGGGCCGAGACCGAGAAACGGGGTCGGGGACCTCACCTCCTCAGGCGCCTTGACGACGTGCCTCTCCCAGTCTATCTGTTTGTTGAGCGGATTGTAGAGAAAGGCCGGGCGAGTCACGCTCCTAAACAGCTCGTCAGGTCCCGGGAGCCGCTTCTCCGCCTTGTTCCTACAGCCGCCCGCCGACTTCGCCGGATCCGGGGTTCTGCGACTCGTCTCCTCCGGCTCGATGTTATCCTCCTCGTCCGAGGAGCCTGAGCTGCTGCTCCCGTATGCCGCAAAATAGCTCAGAGGGTCCTTCTCCTCCGCTGCCATGACGGCTGCGAGCGACAACCCAGCACTCCGCCGGAAGCCGGAAACCGGAAACCGGAAGCCACCCCAGGGCCCGCCCCTCGCGTGGCCCCGCCCCAACTCTTACAAATAAGCCTGCAGTCTGCGCCCCCTGGCGGTTGCGCCACGCTCCTGCTCCCCCTCGGAGGGGCTGAGGCTGGAGGCGGGCCCGGCACGTTCCCAAGCAGGGGCGGGGGCTGCTTTTGCTCATTTCTGAGGAGCTCTGAGAAGAGACGAAGTTCTGAGCCAGGGATCCCAGCCAAACTTCCTGCATTCGATAGCATTTACCAAAGGCATAGAAGACCTAAGAATTTTGTCTTTTCGCTGTCACTCCACTTTAGCCCTTGCCCAGAGAGGGTAGGATTTTTTCCTGATCCACTGCATCTCGTCTTCCAAATAAAAATTACTCTCAGTGTGTTTCCCTAGGTTGTCATGGAAGACCTCTAGGGGTGGTGGACTTCCCAAGCCAAGAACCAAATCATTTCCTGCTTGACCTCATTCAAGTGCGCTCTGAATAGCTTTGACAAAACTCCTCTTGGATCATAGCCTACCACTCGGGTCGTCCAAACTCTCTGGCTTCTCATTGTCAGCCTCTTCTCCGCCTGCTTTGCTCCATATGGCCCTTAAATGTTGGTGTTTCCCAACATATTGTACTATCTTTCAGTGATGCTTCTAACATTTTAAAGGGCATTACAAAGTTGCAAGTCAGCCCATCCCTTTCCACCGCATTAACTACTTTATGCTATGATTCCCAAATCTGGGTGTCTAATCCCAATCTTTCCACCCAAACTCTAGACCCGACCACCACCTGGATCTTACATTTTCCATATGGTATCCTTCTGGGGCCTCAAACACCCACCTATTGGAACCGTAATCTGTCTTTTCATATAATTTTTCTCTGCATTTTTGTTCCTTCTTTTGGTAAATGGTGTAACCATATGCCTAGTATTCAGGGAAACTAGAACTCTTTGATTCCTTCTGGTGAACTAAATGGGAATGACACCCAAATGAAGTTGTTATCAGTGTATTTAGATTTCACTTAAGGATGCCTGCTCGTTTAGATGATACTCACACTCACACATAACTTGCCATTCCTCCCTGGAAGTAGGCTCCAGGGCAGAGTTATATAACTATCTTGTTCACTCCCTCTTTGCTGTGGTACGATGTCTATGAGCTCCTTGAGGGGAGGAGCTGGACTGTGCTTTGCTCATTTTTAGATTCCTACTACCCAGCGCAGTGCTTGTCACAGAGCAGATGGTTAATAAATATTTTTGGATTATAATAATTTATGATGGTATGGGTCTAGATAAGTGTTTCTCGAGTTTTCCCATCCAGGTTCCTATGTTGGCAGAGGAAAATGATGGTCTCAAAGTGCAAAGTTTGGGAGTCCCCAAAACCATCCTCACTCCTGACACCAATTTCAGGTTTTGCAAAGTTCAGACTGCCCTCAGGTTGGTTTGATAATTTACTAGAAGGACTCACAGAACTCACTGCAAGTCATTATACTCATGGTTACAGTTTATTACAGCAAAATAATACAGGCGGGGGGAAAAAACCAAACAGCCAAGGGAAGAGGCACATGGTGCAGAGTTCCACATTCAAAGCTTCCAGTTGTCCTCTCCTAGTGGAATTGTGAACAGTATGAACTTCTCGTGGCAGAGACACGTGACAGTATGCATGGAATACTGCCATCCAGAGAAACTCACCTGAGCTTTGTTGTCCAGAGTTTTTATTGGGGCTTGGCCATATAGGCACAGTTAATTGCCCACGAGTGACCTCAGTCTCCAGTTCCTCCAGAAGCTGAGCTGATACATTGTGACCCAAAGTCCCATGGGCATACATATTTATTTTTCTTAATATAAGATCTTGAAAATGTATGGAAATTTTGCATGGTTGTGTTTAATAAAGCTCTTTTAATAGACAAAAATATTTAGACTTACTTATTACTGAGTAAAACTGACACTCTGAGTGACTTTTAAAATGGGCTCACTGTTGAATGCCTCGGAGATTGAGGTACTCAGTTTGAGCAACATGAGTTCTTGTTATCAAACCATCAGTGGTCTCTGTGAGACTTGGTCCAAAGACCACTTCTTACTTGACCTTTCAACAAGATAGGTGCCTTCTTGAAATGCTTTTCTCTTGCCTTTCACTAGATCATACACTTTAGTTCTCTTCCTATTTCACAGGGCCCTTTTCAGTTTTCTCTGTTGTCTTCTCTGTATCACCTCTAGATGCAGAAGCACCTCAGGCTCAGTTCTGAGCCTTCCTCTCTTTTTTGTCTACCCTCCATTTCAAGGCAAACTCACCAAGTTCCAAGGTTTTAAATATTAGTTTATGCTAATAACTCCCACATTTACGTAACTGGTCCACAAGTCTTCCTGAACACCAAACTCCTGCATGCAATTTCCTACTTCAATGTCTCAGAAGCTCCTCAAACTTAGCATTTTTGTAGCAGATTGTCTACAAAGATGCTGCCAATAATTCCTCTTGTCTCATGTTTCCTAATGATTTGAGTCAGGTTATGAATCTTTGGCAAGAATATTATGAAAGTGGTATTACAGTCTTCTCATTGTCTTCTATCAGAAGGCACATGATTTCAGTTTGTCGTGGCACTGATGATTTTACCTTTGATTTCTTGTTTAAGGTTGTATCTGCCAGGCTTCTCCACTGTAGTTACTTTTTTCCTCCTTTGTAAATAAGTATTTTTGTAAGGAGGTATTTAAAGACCATGTCAACATCACATTCTGCTTCAAATTATTTGTTTATTTATTCATTTTGCTTGAGACAGAGTCTCGCTCCATCACTCAGCTGGAGTCATCTCAGCTCACTGCAACCTCCACTTCCCAGGTTCAAATGATTCTTGTGCCTCAGCCTCCTGAGTAGCTGAGATTAAGGCACCTGCCACTGTGCCTGGCTAATTTTTGTATTTTTAGTAGACAGGGTTTCCCCATGTTGGCCAAGCTGGTCTCAAACTCCTGGGCTCAAGTGATCTGCCCACCTTGGCCTCCCAAAGCGTTGGGATCACATGCGTGAGCCATCATGCCTAGACTGTTCATTTATTTATATTAGCATTGACCCATGGCTTATCAAATGAGTTATAATCCATTATTATTTATTTTGATGTTGAAATTGTCTCTGATTTGGCCAATGGGAGCCCCTTCAAGCAGGCTTCTGTGTCCTTTGGACATGTCCTCCTCAAGATTCTTTGATCACTTGTCTGCTTCCTGGAACAAGATGTTTCAGGCTCATCTTATACTTTGCCTTGGAATTAGCCATTTCCAAGGAACTTTGATTCCTTTTAATGGAGAATGGGTATTTAGAAGCCAAGGTCTCGGTGCTAGGTGAGCTCATTGCTAATAAGGTGTTAATGTTTCCAGGTTCTCTCACTAATTCATTCCCACCTCAGGGCTTCTGACCTCAATGTTACTTCTGCCTGGAACTCTTCCCTCTAGAACTTCCCATGGCTGGCTCCTTTTTTATGAGTTAGGTCTCTGCTCAAAGCCTCACCTGCTCTGAGAAGCCTTCTACAATAATACTATCAAGTATCTTTCAAGTTACTTTTTAACTCATGCCTTATTTTGTCTCCATGGTAACTAGAATTATCTTAGTTTTCTTTATTTTTGGACTCTCTCCCACAATGAAAACATGAGTTGTATGAGAACACAGGCTTAAGAATCAAACAGCCCTGGATTTTAATCCTAAAGAGCTGTGTGATTTTAAATCATTGACTTTATTTTGAGTTTTGTTTCTCAACTGTAAAAAAAAAAAAGTGACAATAAAACCTTCCTTGCAGGGTTATTAGGATTAAAAAACAAGAAACAAGATCACACATGCGGAAACACTAAACTCATTATTTGGCATCTAGTAAGGCTGTGGATTCCAAATTTTGTTGCCACTGAAAATCACCTGGAAATCTGATGCCTGGCTTCCACAACCAAACATTGTGATTTATTGGGTATGGGGTACAGCCTGGAGATAGGGATCTTTAAGCACTCCCCAGTTGATTGTAAAATGGACAGCAAAATTTGGGAACCATTGCAATAAAGAACTATTTCTGGTAATTAAATAGTATGGCAAGTTCAGCATGATTTTAGCAGCAGCACTCAAGTTTTTTTATATATTATCTATCCTTAAGTTCAGCTCTCCTTTCAGAAAGCCCTCATAAGATTACATTTAAAAACTTTAGATCAGTTTGCTTCTTGGTTTGCTTTTTCTCCAAAGTCAACAGTGGACATATTTATCCAGTGATACAATATAAGACTAGAGTGTGAAACTTCCACCTCCTTTTTACATTGCTTAGGTAAAAAGATGGTAGCTGTAAGACTTGATTTCTACCTCATACCATACACAAAAATTACTTTGAAATGGATCATAGAGCTAAATGAGGAACTAAAACAACTTCTAGAAGAAAGCATAGAATATCATCAGGATGTTGAGATGGGAAAAATTTCTTAAACAAGAGACAAAAATCACTAGCCATGAGAAAAAATGTGATAAATTGGATTTAAAATAAAAAACTATTTATGAAAACAAATAAACAAAAAACTGCCATTATCCTGGCCTGCCCCTATTTTACCAGTGTTTGACATTGCACACAATGAGTGACATGCTGACTAAAGACGAATCACCTCTTCAAAAGTGAACTCTCGCTCTCCAGCAAGTAGTGAATTATCTCAATTGATTGTTCAGTCACAGACAGAACTCCTTGCTCTACTCTTTCTCCCCCTCTCACTAGTGAACTTGGCAAGTTTTTAAAAGTAAACAAAGTGAACTCATCATGAAAAGACCTGGAAGAATTCTGATGCATATTGATAAGAGAAAGAAGCCAGTCTGAAAAAAGCTACATACTATGATTCCAACTGTATAACATTCTGGGAAAGATGAAACTACAGAGACAATAAAAAGATCAGTGGTTGCCAGGGTTGGGAGTGAGATGAGAGGGAGGAAGGTATGAATAGGTAGAGCACATGAGCTTTTGAAGGCAGTGAAATTATTCTGCATAATGGCAGATACATGACATTACACATTTGTCAAAACCCACAGGACTGTATAACACAAAAAGTGAACCCTAACGTGAACAACGGACTTTGGATTAATAATAGTATCAAGATTCACTCATCAGGCTGGGTGTGGTGGCACACACCTGTAATCCTAGCACTTTGGGAGGCTGAGGCAGGTGGATCACCTGAGGTCTGGAGTTCAAGACCAGCCTGGCCAACATGGTGAAACCCTGTCTCCACTAAGAATACAAAAATTAGCCAGGCGTGGGGGCACACGCCTATAATCCCAGCTACTTTGGAGGCTGAGGCAGGAGAATCGCTTGTACCTGGGAGGTGGAGGTTGCAGTGAGCCGACATTGCACCACTGCACTCCAGCCTGGGTGACAGAGCCAGACTCCATCTCAAAAAAAAAAAAAAAAAAAAAAAAAAAAGATTGGCCGGGTGTGGTGGCTCATGCCTGTAATCCCAGCACTTTGGGAGGCCAAGGTGGGCAGATCACTAGGTCAGGAGATTGAGACCATCCTGGCTAACACAGTGAAACCCCGTCTCCACTAAAAATACAAAAAATTAGCCGGGCACGGTGGTGGGCGCCTGTAGTCCCAGCTACTCGGAAGGCTGAGGCAGGAGAACGGCATGAACCTGGGAGGCGGAGCTTGCAGTGAGCTGAGATCGCGCCACTGCACTCCAGCCTGGGTGACAGAGCGAGACTCTGTCTCAAAAAACAAACAAACAAAACAAAAAACAAAAAACAAAACCCCAAACAAAACAAAACATTGACTCAATTATAACCAATGTGCCACATCAGTGCAAGATAGTATGGGAAACTGAGGGAGAAGGGGGTATTTGGAAACACTCTGTATTTTCTGCTTTTTTGTAAACCTACAACTGCTCCAAAAATAAAGTATTAAAAATATATACATATACATAAAAATGAACTAACGTGTTTTTGTATTATGATAATATGGTATCCCTGAAAAGTAACTTTTTCTGTGCTGCATTAATGAACTTAGTTAACAAATTGCATCCTGTCAAGTCATCCTAAATTACACACTTTTGGCAATGGCTAGTTTTCAGGGCTAAAAGGAAAAAAAATGACTTTGTAGAAGTCAAAAACCCACAAACCTAGCTTTATGCAAAGCTTAATTTTATTGTCTATGTAGTTAGAAAACAGTCTGAAAGAAAACTCAGTGTTAAAACTTATCTATATATAGGTGTTATTGTATATCTAAATTATAATCTTTGATTCAATTTTTAAAAAGGTGTCCACAAATTTAATTTTAAAGTCTGCTTCTGCTTTTTAAAGCACCTTCCTTAAATGTAACCTATTTTCTTTCTAACACCACTATTTTTGCTATGCATTGGAGGTGAAACATTTCTCTATAATCCTTAGAAAGTGCTTATACTAAAAAAAATCCAATCTTTAAAAATTTTTAAAGCTAATATGCCAATCTTCTTCATGTCGGATAAATTCATCAGTCCATCCAGAAATGCAACTCAATCTCACAACCTGAAGTAATGTTTTCTATAGATAATGGCACGTATTAAAAAAAGTTTTAGATACTTCCTACTGAAAATTTGGAACTCCAAAATAGCACTCACTACTTTAAAAAAATTTTATTGTTGATAGCAAAATTTCCATTTCTATGTTTTTGCAATTAATAATAGAAATATATAGGAGACAATGTCAGGAAACAGATAAAATTGTAATTTAAATAAAAACAAACAGTGAGAGCATAAGATTTATAAACATGTAAAATTAGTCAAATTTTGTTTTACAACAAAAAGACAAATCTGGCTAATGGCCCACTTGTTCAAATAGCATTAAAAACAGAATTGTCACACACACCAAAAATAATTTGTTCCAGTTATTTCAACTGTACATTGGTCCTCATTAAAAGAGAATGAAAAGTACAGAGAAAATATTTTTTAAAAATCTCATCAGGCTAGGTGAGGTGGCTCGTGTCTGTAATCCCAGCACTTTGGGAGGCCACGCTGGGTAGGTTGCTTGAGTCCAGGAGTTCAAGACCAGCCTGGCCAACATGGCAAAACACCGTCTCTACAAAAATAATACAAAAATTAGTGAGGCATGGTGGCACACACTTGTAGTCTCAGCTATATTACTTGAGAGGCTGAGGTGAGAGGATCACGTAAGCATGGGAGGCAGAAGTTGCAGTGAGCCTAGAATGCGCCACTGCACTCCAGCCTGGGCGATAGAGCAAGACTGTCTCAAAAAAAAAAAAAAAAAAAAAAGAAAAAAGGAAAAAATACCTCATCAAATTACATGTAATAACTGAGGTTTAGGCCAAGATATTTTTCTTTAGGAATGAAAATGATTAAGCCAAGAATGTGAAAATCCTAACAAAGTAGTATAATTAGTAAGGTTAATTAGAAATGAATTTTGGCAAACCGAGATCTTAGGTGGCTCACACTCCATCAAGTGTTCCTCCAGTATCAAAAAGAGGCTGTTTACATGCCTATACGACAATGGAGTGGAAAAGAGATTTTTATTTTTCTATATTGGCAGTTTTCCCATCAGTGACCGGTTTTATTACTGAACAGGAACAGCTTAATGCTGAAAATTTGCTGCTGAATGACTGGCAAAGACTATTAGACTCTTGAAAATTTCTAGCACAAATGCACTGAGGAAAAAACGTTCTTCCTAGTAAGGGTCTATTCTCAAATAGAGATATATTCCCTATTAAAATCAGTCTTAAAATAGAAAATATTTAAAAAAGTACTGAAAGACCTTAAAAAGGAAAAAAAGAAATTACTAAAAAGTACATGATCAACATGATTTACAGTTAGCTATCCTAGAAGTATGCTTTTTTAATTCTAAAAATCCTATTTACAAAGTATGCTTACATTGCATTTTAAAAGACATGCATCAAATGTAAACAAATGATTACAGCCATTTTATAAAAAGTCATATTCTTTAAAACATTTTTTGTCATCATTAAAAATTAAAAGGCAATAAAGTGTCATTGTCGTGAAACAGTACGTGATCTTAAGGGAAGAAACATCTCACTAGAGTTTGCACAAGTTCCTTCTTCTTCTAACTGTAGATCTGGTGGCAAAGGAGGAGCCCCTGGGTCCCCAGGTCTGGGAAGTGTAGTTGAAGAGAAGATGGTATTTTCAGTTCTGCCTACTTCTAGAACAGGCAAATTCAGAGAAGAATTAGTAGAAAAAAAGGGCGTCGTGCTGGATTCTCCTTCTGGATGGTACATGACAGTGGATGCCCTCAGTTTTTCAGAGAAATTACTCTCATCTGAATTTGATCTGGAGAGGTTGTTCGTGGCTCCATCTGGAAAAGGTTCACAACTGCTACATTTTAGTCCTACAATAAAATTATTCAGATGTAAATGAAAAAGTAACTAAAAAAATGGAGTCACTGTCCATCTTGTGACTTGTTAAAGATTACAAGCTAGTTACCCCACAATCAAAATTTAAATAGCAACTTGTAATTTCCGTCATAATCTATTTCAAATCTAATTTGCTTTTCTCAACAACCATGAAGTATACTATTATTTGCATTTTCTATATAACAAAATAGTCTCGTGGAAGTTAAACGACATGCTGTAATTCTCATTTAAGGTACAGCGTACATATAAACTTAACCACCTAAAATTTTTTATAAAATAAGAAATAGCTTTCACAATAAATATTCTTTAGTATTCTGGTACAAAAAATATTAGCTAATAAAAAAATGTAAACGGCAGATGCTAAAATTCTATCTGTTGATCAATGACAATGGCTAATTCTTGAATAATAGGATATTAGAACTAAAAGGAATTTTAGAGGTCACCTAGGATAGTCTCTTATTATTAAAGACGAGAAAAAAGGGCGGGGCATGGTGGCTCACGCCTGTAATCCCAGCACTTTGGGAGGCCGAAGTGGGCAGATCATGAGGTCAGGAGTTTGAGATCAGCCTGGCCAACATGGCGAAACCCCATCTCTACTAAAAATACAGAAATTAGCCAGGCGTGGTGGCAGGTGCCTGCAATCGCAGCTACTCAGGAGGCTGAAGTAGGAGAATCGCTTGAACCTGGGAGGCAGAGGTTGCAGTGAGCTGAGATCATGCCATTGCACTCCAGCCTGGGTGACAAGAGCAAGACTCCGTCTCAAAAAAAAAAAAAAAAAAAGAGAAAAAAAAGGCACAGGACAGTTAAGTCATGTCCAACATTCCAGGACTACTTTGTGGGAAAGTGAGAACTACAATTCAATAGATAATGTCCTGTTTCTCAACCTCACAGTTTACTCAAATGACAGTGGTTGTTCCCATTAGCTGTGGTACGAATGTATCCGCCAAAAGTTCACATGTTGGAAACTTGGTTGCCACTGCAGCAGTGTTAGGAGCTGAGGCCTTTGGGAGGCAACAGGGTCATGAGGGCTCTGCCCTGGACTAATGCCATTATCACGGGAATGGGTTAGTTATTTTGGGAGTTCGACTCCTTTTTCTTCTCTTTCACACTCTTGCCCTCCCTTGCTCTTCCATCTTCTGCCCTTCCACCATGCATGACCCTTGCCAGATGCTGGCGCCATGGTCTTGGACTTAACCAGCCTCCAGAACTGTAAGAAATGAATACATTTCTTTTCTTTAAAAGTTACCCAGTCTCAGGTATTGCTACAGCAGAAAACAACTTAGATACCATCAAAGAATTTTATGATATCCAAAGGGTATAGTTAACCATTATCCAGAGGATTGAAAGAATAAACACAAACACAATTTACCCTTCTGTTAGGCTTAGCAAATATTCAACCTACAGGCACAGAAACCCTGAGTTGACAATTTTTAGGCAAAACCTGCATAGTCTATAAAGGGCACTTACATGTCACTTCTTCCACTAGTTTTTCAACCTCACAGTACAGTCAGCATGTCTATTCCATGCTATACAAACTACTTTCTTAGATATGGCTCAAAAGGGAAAACTTGTAATGTGTCCCAGCAAGGGGACACTTATAGACTATGAGTTCCTTAAGGGCAGAGCCCTAAATTATTCTTTTCTGTATCCCTAATGCCTAGAAGAGCTGTAGAACATCACATGCACATTTATGTGCTCTGGAGAGAGACAGTGAGGAACAGAGGCAGGAGGGGGTTGGGGATTTAAATTGTGTAGGCAATTCCACACAATATTCCAATCAGTGAGTGTATATTCTGGAGTGAGAGTGAAATGGGACAGGTGAATCTGCTATTCTCTTAATCTGTTTCCATGCTTTCACATCTTGCCAGACTAGTTTAAAGTCATGAATATTTTATGCAACGTGATTCCTATAAACATATGCCAATTACTTCATCTTGTGATCAACTGGTGATCATAAGAAAAACTAGCAGAGTTGGACTTTTACAATACTTTGCCTAAATACTGTTCTTTATGTGTGATGTACAGTATTTTCAGAGCTTACTCTTGAATAGATTAACTTTACATTCTACTGACTTTAGAAACAAATCCTTATGTATGCAGGGATTTCATAATAGTTTTCTATAAATGGTATTAAATGAATACAAATACAGGATATTGAGAGATATTCCACTTTTTCAATGTAATAGTGTCAAATAAGGTAAAATAAGTGCAAATTGAATATAATTTTGAAGTTTAAACTTTTTGAAAGCAAAATGATCATTTCTGTTTTTGTTTTGCTTTTCTGAGACAGGGTCTTGCTCTGTTGCCCAGACTGGAGTGCAGTAGCACAATCATGGCTCACTATAGCCTCAATGTCCCAGGCTTAAGTGATCCTCCCACCTCAGCCTCCTGAGTAGCTGGAAACACAGGTATGCACCATCATGCCTGGCTAATTTTTTAATTTTTTGTAGAGACAAAGTCTCGCTATGTTGCCCAGGCTGGTCTCAAAACTCCTGACCTCAAGCAATCCTCCTGCCTTGGCCTCCTAAAGTGCAGGCACCTGGCCTGCTCTGCATTTTTTAAAAGCATTATTACATTTAAATTAGCTCTTAGATAATTAAGATATCTTACCTTTCAGATGTTCTAGTTTTATATTTCTAAGTTTCAGCACTTCATCTGTAATCTTCTGTATCAGGAAGTTCTGTGTTTTTTCTCGCCGAATAGATTCAACAAGGGTGTCCAGACCTTTTGGGTTTTCCTGTAAGTAGTCTAACAATTTTCCAGCCCTTTTTCTACTTGATGTTCGACAAGAAATTTCTTCAGTGTCTTCTCTACTGAGTATTTTTTTTGCACGTAGATGATCAAAATGTCTCTCAGCTATGATTTTCTCACACAGGTATACACGTAAATTTTCTAAGGCCTAAAAGACATAAAATATGGTTCAATGTTATTTTTAACATCTAAGAAAATCACATACGTGACTATTAGTTGGCAGTCTTAGCTGGTGTGAGACAATGTTCTAAAGTCAGGAGGCTCAGGCCTTCTAAAATGCATGCTAATTAAGATGAAAGTCCAAGTAGACACAAGTAGGTCCTAGACATTCCTCACTGCTTTGATCTCACCTTCAAACCTAAAAACCAAGACCAGGCTGTTGTGAAGAGGGACCAGCTGAATCTAGAGGGCCTGGGTCCTTGGAAACAGGGAGGTCTGTTGAGGGCCATCTTCGGGAGTAAAGATGAGGGCAAACACTACTGTACATTTTAGCTATCAGTTGGCAAGGAATGCAGAATTAGTCAGGACCAATAACTTAGTGAGAGGTCTCACAGTCTGTAACTTTCTCATGTTTGTTATTAATTACTCCATTTCCTTAAACTGTTAAAGACAAAAAACAAAACCCTAAACTGAAAGAGCCCATAATGTATCTGTCTTTGGGGTCAGCTGGAAAGACTACACTCTAACTCAGTGAATCAGTCTTGGTGGAAGGGAGATGGAAAGATGTGTGGGGAATAGGGAGTGTTCGAAAAATGAAAGAAATAAAGAAAAAGGACACCACAAAAAAGCAAACCTAGATTTGAGAAGTGCCTAAGAGCTTAATTAGTAGAAAATCCATGTTGATCTCAATAAATGGCATTAATAATTTGGTACCGGTGACTGTATTTTAGCTCCTCTATTTACTAGATATATGATCTTGGGCAAGTAATTAACTCCTCTGTGCTTGTTTCCTCAGCTGACTGTTATATGAGGAATAAAGATATGCAAAGTGCTTAGAAAAGCGCTTGGTACATAGTAAGTGATCAATATATGTTAGTAATAATGACAAAGGTAATGGCAGGAAAGTAGGCTAGGTGAAGGGTTCCTGTGGTTCTTGGTCTACGAAGTTCCACATTTACTTGTTTATTCACATGACAAGTATTTTACAAATCTAAATTCCTAATATGCCGAGTGCTGAGCACTGAGTATACAAAGATGAACAAGATTTGAATCCTACATGCAAAGGGCTCATGGTCTAGCTGGGAATACATATCACAGGTAATAATTATAAAACAATGTGATCGGGCCCAGAAAAAAAAGATTATAGGTCAAATACAGGAAAAGCACAGAGTGAGCAAATAACTATGTCCAGGACCTGGTCCTTATCATATCTGGCATGGACTATTAACAATAGAAACCTAGCTGCACTTACTACTTCCTTCCCCCTCCTCAACATTTCTCCTTCAGGAGAAAATGGAAATCTGGAGTATTATATGAATTTTACTAAATTTTTTTTAAGGATCTCACTCTGTCACCTAGGCTGGAGTGCAGTGGCTTGATCATAGCTCACTGCAGCCTGGAATCCCTAGACTCAAGTGATCCCCATCTTAGCCTCTTGAGTAGCTAGGACTACAGGTGTGAGCCACCATGCCCGGCTAATTTTTAATTTTTTTTTTTTTTTTTTGTAGAGAAGGGATCTTTGCTACATTACCTAGGCTGGTCTTGAACTCCTGGCCTTAAGTGATCCTCCCACCTTATCCTCCTGAGTTGTTGGGATTATAGGTGTGGGCCACTGTGCCCAGCAAATTCTAATATTGAAATTTTGTTAATTTAGAAAAAAAATTAAAAACAATGTTCTGCCCTGTCTTAAAGGATAAAGTTCCTTTACGTGGCAGAAGAGTAGAAAAGTTAAGGGCATGGCTCTAAAGTTGGATCAACCTCAGTGCAAATCTTGAATCTAGTACTCACCCTTGTGAGAGCTGGGCCAAGTTACTTCACCACTCCAAGCTCCAGGTATGTTATTGATAAAATAAGGATTAAAAACTTAACTCACAGGACATCAAGGAGGACTAAATGGGAATACTATATATGAAGGCCACGCATAGTCTCTGTACACAGTAAGTACTCAATAATAACTAATTATGGAAGACAAGGTTCATTGATAATATGGCTCCTACCTACCTCTCCAGCTTAATCTATCACTACCTTTGTCCTGAAAATTTATGCTCTACCTAAAACTATCTGTCTCTCTACATTTCCTTACGTATTTTTTGTCTGCTTTTATCAGACCCTAAAGCCCCTATTCGTCCTTTAAGATTTAGGTCAGTGGTCATCTTCTTTGGAAAGGTTTACCTAACTCCCCAGAATGAGTTAGGCACCCCGTCCTCTGTCCTTGTAGCACCTTGTGTATACACTTCATCTTTCTATACACCAGGACTCCACTTCTTTCACCTCATTTCCCAATTCATTCCCAGACATTTCCATCCTGCCCCAGTATTCTTCTCGAAGTCACCAATGACCCCCTTATTGCCAAATATTTTCAGTCTTCATTTCATTTTTCAGCTGCATAAACACAGTTGACTACTCCCTCCCTGAAACAAGAAAATTGTTACATGAATACCACACTCTCCTGGTTTTCTTCCCATCCCTGTGGATACAACTTTTCAATCATTTTCTTGTTGTTGTTGTTACCCTACTTTCAAGCTAACAATTCACTTTTTAAAATTCTTCTCTTTAAAGGGTTTTACACCATTTTTCTCTTCTAGCTCACAGCTTTCTAGGTAAAATCATTCAATTCCACACTTACATTTCTAGCTCAGATCTCTCTTCTGATCTTTGACTTTGCAGATGTAATTGCTGATCTGACATTTCCATGTACTAATCTAATTACATCCTCTTCCTCAACTCCCATGTTCAATCCATCACCAGGTCATATCATTTCTATTTCAAAAACTGCATCTGGAATTCTGCTCCATTCATCTCCACTGCCTTCACCCTGATCCAAATCACCATCCTCATTCATCTCTATAGATTCCAAGAGCCTGCTCACTGGCTTCCCTGTTCTTATTCTTGTTCTCCTCAGTCCATGAAACAGGCAGAGGGATCTTTAAACTATACAATTCTTCAACAAGTCCCTACTATACTTGGGGGGAAAAAAACCCCAGATACTTTACTAAAAGGCTCTTCATGAAAATGGCTCTAGCCCACCTTCCTAACTTCACTTCAGATTACCCTCTGCCTTCCTCCGATTTCCCCAAGTCACCAGGGTCTTGCCTATTTTAGGTCCTTGACAAATTCTATTCTGCCCAGAATGCTCTTCCCTCAGTTCTGTCAAATCTTTCAGGAATCAGTTTAAATATAACCTCTCCTGACCATCCTATCTCAAGTCGATTTCCCCTATTATTGTCTTGGCACTGTTTGATTCCTTCATAGTAATTGCAATAATGAAAACAAAATTTATTTATTTGTTTTAAACTAACGTCTCTGTTTGAAGCAGGCAGCTACGAGGTATGTTTTAGCCAACACTGTATATCCTGCACTTACTAGGGCACCAAGTAGTTAATGTTTCAGTTGAATGCAAAACTCACTGCACTTATTTTGTGATTTAAAACAATCCCCCTCAAGAAATTGAGCTCTTTTCAAGTTAGGATTGTGTTTTCATTTTTAATTTTTGAACTGTTAGAACCAACCACAGTATCAGCCTCACAGTAGCATGTAATCCATATTTATTAAACTGTACTAAATCCAACTAACACAATGAGGCAAATAACTAGATAGGAGGAGGGGGAGACACTAAAGAAGTGGGAGGTCCCAAGACAAAGGGTGGTAGCACACCATTCATCAAGAAAGGCAATACAGCAGCAACAGTAAGCAACTTTGGGAAAAGGATAGTAAAAGTTCAATATTTGACAAGGTGAGCAATCTGTAGGATATAAAAGTAGATTTCCAGTAGACATTTGGAAATAAGGACCTAGAGTGGAGAGAAAAGTCCAAATATGTGGATAATTTTAAAACTCTCTAAGATCAGAAGACATTTTGAAAATATCATGAAAAAAACCTCTAAGAAAAAAGCATGCACATAGTTTCTTTCATAGACCTTTTGAAACCCATCCATGGTTTCCTCAAGGTTATTTATTTCTGATATAGGCGTAAAATGAAATCCTGAAGACAGATAACATCAATGAATTGACAGAGAAGAACAAAGACCTGGAAGCCACTCTTCACATCTGTACTTGTATACAGATCTTATTTCCTTCCACTTGTAATTTCTCAGTTCCTGTTTTATTAGCTGTAAAATGGGAATGGCAATTATCTTCTTTAGAGGTTGTTGCGAAGGTTAAGTGGGAACATTGTAAACTGTGTGACACAGCATCTGGAACATAGGAGGCCTAGCTCTTGGAAGTTCAAGGTTTTACTGGCACTCACCATGAATAAGACAACATTTATTCTACAGTAGTTATTTATGTTCCATTCTTATCTCAACTAGAATGTAAAGCAGGAAACTGATCTTCATTTTTTTGTATCCTTCCAGACCCAAGGCCAGTGCTTTCCATATAGCAAGTGCTCCATAAATCTCTGTTGAATGAGGAAACTAAGCACAACTCCCAGTCATATCCAGTTTCCTTCTGCTGGTGAGTCACACCAATTGTGAGTACAGTGTAATAAACCTTACAGGGAAGAGGAAGGGATTTGAAGTGGATGAACATTTAAAAAGTTGCCATCCTGTCCAGTTCATCAAAATGACTTTGTAAAAGTACTGCAGTGTTCAATAAGAACACGTTTCATGTTGAGTTTCTGTTTTTCATTTGACTTCAGATAAAGTATTTTAGTGATACTCATATAGGTCTCATCTGACAAAACAAGTAAACGCAAAGGAAAAAGAATGTCATATCTCAACAAAGCCATTCGTTACGAATAAATATGAAGGTTTATGTGGTTCTGCACCATCCGAGAAGAGCATAATTTAGCTACTGAATATTTTCGACGTTTACCTGTACATTAATTCTCAGCTACGTGTATTCACTCCCCCAACCCCAATTTAAATATGTGGGCGTCTGCTTACTAGGGGAATTCCAGGTTGTGCTTTCAGCTGTTGAGCTTCCTCAAGCCCCCTTATGCAAAAGAGCTTCACATTTTTGGTCCACTGCTTGGGATCCTTCACCTGGTACAGCCTTCGCTCTAGGCTGAGTGAGCAGCCTAGGCAGCCTGACTTAAGGATGAATCTGAGCCGCCAGTCCCTAACGAAGCATCTCCAAGAACCCAGTTGGGGGGAAAGCATGAGGAGATGGGTGAGGAGTGGGCAAGAATCAAAACACCACTTGGCAACAAAGCCCAAGCTCTGCGTTTAGCGATGTAAAACCTGGATTGACAGATCACTGGAGGATCACTGCCACCAAGGTCCCTCGGATGCAGGGCTCGCCACAGTCCTCCTGTGCTAGGACTTTCCGCTCCTCCGACCTGGAGGATCCTCCTTGTCCTCGGACTCCAGGCTTCCGCTTTCGTCTCCCGCTGGGCTGCAGCCCGCCCCCGCCCGCCCTGGGCACAGCTGCGTTACTCACGTCCTTCTTCACTTCAGTGAGGTCCTCCTCGGTGAGGGACGGTGCGGTGGGCTCCATGGTGGAGGCGGGAGATGGCGCTTCTTCCGGGTCCGGGAGCTCGGGCTGCGCCGCCCCGCCCTGGCTGGGGGCTTCGGCCTCCGGGTAATGGGGAAGAAGGAGAGGAGGCGGAGCGGGTCGGGAGAAAGACGGCCGCCCCTTCGGGAACAGAGGGACTCGGGGGTCAAACCGTAGCGCTTCCGGCCCCGCCTCTGAGGTCGACGGCGACGCGAATCTACGCGACGCGACGCGGAGCTCGGAGCAGCGTTCCTTCCCTCTCGTAGAGGCTCAGGCGCAGGCACCGCCCCACGGCGAGGCGCGTCGCTTAGCAGAGCCCGCCCTGTCTCTGCGGCAGCCTATCGACGCCAGCCCGCGGGCCGATCCTGTTCCCGCCCCCGACCGGAGCCTTTCGGGTGGCTCCGCCCACAGCGGGCGTTTCCTCAAGCCACGCCTGCGCAGGTCGTCGGTAAGTGGCCCGGGTTAGCTTCCTCATAAGGCATCGTTTCCGTGGGTGGGGTCCGTCAGTGCCCAGGCAGCTGGCACTCTCAGCCTTTGCTGCCTGCTCACTTCGGGGGAGTCCGGTCTGGGCTTGTCAGTACCTTGGGTTCCTCCCCTTTTCCCAGACCCTGCCCTACAATTTCCTGTTGTTACGTTTGCCAGTTACTGTTTTGGTCACACACAAACGCACTCATACACACATACACATGCATACACACAAACAGCCTAACTACAATACTAAACAAATTTTTGAAAGAAAAAAAGAAACCACCTACAATCCCACCACTTTAACACCTCATTTAACGTTTGCATACTTTTTGGTCACTGTTCATTATAAACATAGCTTTTCCTCATTAGTTAATCTGTGTAATGGAGATAGATATGCTTACCTTTTAGGGCTGCCGGGATCATATGTAAAGTTCTTAAAGGTAGTTGGGCACACAGTATGCACTCAACTGATTATTTATTTATTTATTGAGACAGGATCTCACTCTGTCGCCCAGGCTGGAGTGCAGTGGTGCGATTCTCGGCTCACTGCAGCTTCCACCTCCAGGGCTCAGGCGATCCTTCCACCTCAGCCACCAAGCAGCTGGGAGTCCAGCTAGTTTTTTTGTATTTTTTATAGAGATGGAGTTTCGCCATGTTGCCCAGGCTGGTCTCAAACTCCTGGGCTCAAGCCATCCACCCGCCTCGGCTTCCCAAAGTGCAGGGACTACAGGCATGAGCCACCCAGCTCATCCTACTCAAACATTTATTGAGTCCTTACTAATATGTTCTAGGCAACTTATACTATGAGTCCTCCATTTTATAGGGGGAGACTGATGAAGAGACGACTATCCCCAGACCGTATTTTAACTACTATGGCGCTGTGTAAGAAGCAACCTGAGAAGTGTGGATGAAAAGCTACAGGTAGAGCCCTGGGCCCAAGACGGTGGCTTGGACAACATGCTAAATAAACTATAAACTAGATGGTATTTGAAGCTACGAGAGTAGATAAAAATGACAGGAGGACCAAGGAGAAACTTGGGAACGCCAATGTTTAAGAAACGGGAAAGCAAAAAAAAAAAAAAACACACACAAAAAAACAATGTAACCAGAGCCACAAAAACCAGAATCACAGCAAGGGATTCTGATGTTTACATTATGTCCTGTTTCCATGTTGACACATTACACAAGGACAGTTTTTTTCTAATTGCTTAATTTTTCATCATCTTCCATCCGATTTACTGAACCATCCTTAACTTTAGGATGAATCCTTTCATTTAACAAATGTGTTTTGAATGTCCACTATGTGCCAGACACTGTTCTAGGTGCTAGGAAAACAGCTGTGAACAAAACCAATAAAAATCTCTTTCCTCATGGAATTTATATTCTAGTTTATTTGTGTTTGGGGCAGACGAGGTAGGCACTTGAAAAATTTTATCTAAGTTTATTTATTTATTTATTTGGAGACAGAATCTCGCTCTGTCACGCAGGCTGGAGTGCAGTGGCACGATCTCTGCTCACTGCAACCTCCTCCTCCCAGGTTCAAGTGATTCTCCTGCCTCAGCCTCCCCAGTAGCTGGGATTACAGGCGCATGCCACCACACCCGGCTATATCTAAGTTATTTTAAAAAAATAATTAATTAATTTATTTTTTTGAGACGGAGTCTCACTCTGTTTCCCAGGCTGGAGTGCAATGGCACCATCTCAGCTTACTGCAACTTCTGCCTCCCGGGTTCGAGCGATTCTCCTGCTTCAGCCTCCTGAGTAGCTGGGACTACAGGCACACACCACCACGCCCAGCTAATTTTTGTACTTTTAGTAGAGACAAGGTTTCACCACATTGGCCAGGTTGGTTTCGAACTCCTGACCTCAGGTGATCTGCCCACCTCAACCTCCCAAAGTGCTGGGATTACAGGCATGATCCCCCACGCCTGGCTATATCTAAGTTATTTAATTTATTAGAAGATGATAAATACTAAGAGGAAAAAATAAAACAGGGAAGTAGGATGAGGCTGTATGGATTGGTAAAATTTAAGCTAGGGTGGTCATGACCTCCCTGCTCACTTTGGAGGAGTCTGTCCTTGTCTTGTCAATACCAAGATAAGGGATTTGATTTATGCTTAAAGGAAGTGAGGGAGTGAACCGTGTGGATATAAGGAGAGAGCATTATGAGTACAGTCAGCAACCAATAAAAATGCTCAGTGTAACTGGAAGGAGATGATCTCCTTGTGTGTTGAGTCATATGGGTGTGCTGAGTCAGACGGGAAGCCACTGGAAGGTTCTGAGCAGAGTGACATGATCTGATTTGTGATTTGAAAAGAAGCACTTTCACTTCTGTGCTAAGGGGAAAGAAGATGGAAGAGGGAAAACCATTTAGGGAGGTATTGCTATATCCAGGCCCCAGGAGGTTGTGGTTCAGACCAGGGTGGAGCAGTGAGGGTGGTGGGAGCATTTTGAAATGAAGCAAGGAAGCAGTTTGATTTCATTTTGAAAGGATCACTCTGGCTGCTAAGTGGAGAGTAGATGGCAGGGGCAAGGGCAAGAAGCAGAGACTACGTGGAGGCTACCACAATGTCAGGTTCACGACTGAGCCAAATGTCATGCTTGGGGTCAGGTTCTAGCCCATGCTGAGGTCCAAGGGGAGTGGGTGGATGAGCAGAAAGAACACTCAGGGGACCGTAGGCAGGTAAAAGATGATTTTACTCAGCAGCAGCTCTCATCAACAGCTTTCTTACACTAGCTCTCTACACTGTCTGCCCTGTCTCAGGTGCTTAGTCTGGCGGCTCCCCCACACAGCTGCATGGCCGACTCTCCCTTGCCTTCGGGGTCAGCAGCTTAACTCTTCCTCTCTCTGGGCATGAGCAAGCCGAGCTGTGTCCTGGCTCCCCACTGTCAGTCTCCAAGAGGGTCAACTCTGGCTCTCTCTCTCTCTCTCTGGGTGTCAGCACGCCTGCACGATGTCAACAGGGCAATTATACCTTTTACAGACAATAGTGGCTTAGAGCCAAGGGATGGCCTTCCCATGTTATGGCTACATAGCTGTGATAACAAGTGGAGTTATATGCCTGCGCTCTAAACTCGCTGAGTCCCTGTGGATGTTTACCTCGTCCTATCCTTGACCAAAGCACAGCCATGTTCCTTACACACAGCCATCCAGGCACAGCTTAGGATGGCTTGACCAGGGTGGGGGCAGTGGTGAGCACTCCCCACTGACACCTTAAATCCTTCCCAAGTGTTCATTGTTATTAAAAAATTGTCATAGAATTTACATATTTTCATCCTTTTTCCTTTCAAATTATCATTGCCTTTGCATAAATTCCCAGAACCAGGAGTACAAAGCCCAAGGAAATGAATATTTTATGGCTTTTCTTATATATGGGTGCTCTCCAAAAGGGCTGTGTTGGTCTATCTGTGTGTGGGAATGAACTGTTTTTACCACAGTCAAATCAGTTCTGCTGATGAAGGGGAGGATTCACCCATCAAAGCAAGTGAATTGAATGCTGCCAATTTAATGCACTCATTTTGATTTGGCCATTTTGAGATTGCTACTGCACTGTTGTTCTTTTTAAAGGAAACATTTTAAACCCACCAAACTATAAAGAATATTACAAACACCCTACGCTCACTACCAAGATTGAGCAGATACTGATATATTGCCACATTTGCTTGTCATGGCTTTTGATTACCAAATGTTAGTGGCAGACATCTTTGATTCTTGAACATTCTTCCATGCCCTATACATCTGAGTCTTTCTCTTTCCTTGACCATCATTTCATTTCTGACACCTCCAACCCTTTTCTATCCTCAGTATTCATTCCCTTATTTATTTAGTCAACTAAAAAGTTAAGTGTCTGCCCTATGTTAGAATTGGGAGTTACAGAATAAGGATCAGGGATTGGGCGGGACTGAATGAGGATTCCGGGAGTTTTTTTATAGCTGAAAGAGTAATATTTTGCTTTTCAGACCATGTGTCAATGTTCCCAAGATGAATTGCCTAGCTTAAAAAGCCACATCTGAATACCACGTGCTTAATCACAGAGCTCGTTTGTGGCAGGCTTTGCAACTCCCAGTCCTTCTTGCTTTCTAATGCATCATAATTCTTTCATTAGTAAACTAATTTTCCTCTTTCTGCTAAATCACAGGGTCTGGCTAACAATGAAGTTTGGGCATAGTTTCAAGAAAACAGCCCCACCCATCCACTACCTTGCAATAATCCTACTTCTTCCTCATCCCTTAACACAGCCTCCATACCCCCTTAACTTCCAGGTGCTCCATCTGCCTCCTACTGTGAAATAGAAGGCACCTGAGAAATGTGCCATGAGGGATACGGTTTAGGTGCTACAATCATAAGGCTGCATAACATCATGGTACAGATGAGATATCATTAAGAATGAGGATGTCTGATATCTGACAGACAGTGTATTAGTTTCCTAGGGCCATCATACCAAATTACCAAAAACAAGGTAGCTTAACAGATATTTAGTCTCTCACAGTTCTGGAGGGTAGAAGTCCAAAATTGGCAGTGCCATGCTCTCTCTGAAGCCGCGAGGGAGGATTCTTTCATTGCCTCTTGCTTGGTTCTGGTGACTTCTGGCAATCCTTGGCATTCCTCAGCTTGTGGCGGCATCACTCCCACCCCAGCCTCCATCTTCACATGACCTTCCTCTCTGTGTCTCCTCCTGTGTTTCTGTGTCCACATTTCCTTCTTTTTAAGGACACCAGTCACTGGATTTAGGGCCCACCCTAATTCAGTATGACTTTATCTTAACTTGATTACATCTGTAAAGACACATTTTTTTTTTCTTTTGAGACAGGGTCTTTCTCTGTCACCCACGCTGGAGTACAATGGCACAGTCATGGCTTATGGCAGCCTCAAATTCCTGGGCTCAAGCAATTTTCCTCCTTAGCCTCCCAAGTAGCTGAGAATACAGACATGTGCCACCACGCTCAGCTATTTTTTTATTTTTTTATTTTTTACTTTTGTAGAGACAGTGTCTTGTTATGTTGACCAGGCTGGTTTCCAACTCCTGGGCTCAAATGATCCTCCTGCCTCAGCCTCCCAAATTACTGGGATTACAGGCATAAGCCACCATGCCAGCCAAAGACACTATTTTGAAATAAGTTCACATTCCAAGTTCCAGTAGATGTGAATTTTGGGGAGATGCTATTCAAGTCAGTACAGCTGAATTCTAGATTTGCCAATTATTAGCTGTAGGATCTTGGATCAATTAGTAAGTATGCAATAAAGATAGTGATAATAAGAATTCAGAGGTAGGGAAGAGGAAACCATTCTGATCGATAAAACAACATGAAAGAGGAGTTCACCCAGTATTTAAGCTGGGTGGGAGGATTTTAATGGGGAGCTTTAACTGCTTCTTGGTTATTTATTCCATACTTCCTGTCAGATGTCAGATGTGTATTGAGCAACAAATACTATTCCAGGTGGTTGTGGAATTATAAATTGTGGATTATACATTCTCTGTAAATGGTTGGAAGAAAAAACTGGCCAATTCTGAGACAGACACTCTTAGGTTTTAATGACAAGATACTATGTGGTGAAATTCAGATGTTTCAGCACAGGGACTTTGTGAAGACTCCTGGGGGTCCTGTCTCTAGGAATGGCTCTTGGCTTAGGAAGGAAAGACCAGGAAAGTGTAGGGTGGTGGGCGTGGACCTGAGAAAATGCTCTGACAATATTTGCTAGTGTACCCCAAGACTAGGACATTGCTGGGGCTGATGAGGGAACCAGAGATAAGGGATCATTCCCTTTGTCTTCCCCCTAGAGGACTGGTTTGAAGAGTGCAGGCAGGCACCTGCTATGAGTCCTGAATGTTTGGAGGTTGCATACCTATATGCCAGCAGGGGGATATTGGAGGAGGGGCTAGATCTCCCAGTCTTACAACTCCCTGGGAAGAAATAATCACTAGCAGTTTATTTCACATTCACTCTGAGCCAAGCACTTTACATCTGTGGTGGGAATTTAATGCCTATAACAGTCCTTACAGGTAGGCTTTATTATCCTCACTTTAGAGATGAGAAATCCGAGGCTTAGAAACATGATTTGCTCAAGGTCATTCTCCCACCAAGTAGCAGAACCGGGATTCCAGTTCAGCCTTGATAATAAGGCCAGTGTTCTTTTTTTTTTTTTTTTTTTTTTTTTTTTGAGACGGAGTCTCGCTCTGTCGCCCAGGCCGGACTGCGGACTGCAGTGGCGCAATCTCAGCTCACTGCAAGCTCCGCTTCCCGGGTTCACGCCATTCTCCTGCCTCAGCCTCCCGAGTAGCTGGGACTACAGGCGCCCGCCACCGCGCCCGGCTAATTTTTTGTATTTTTTTAGTAGAGACGGGGTTTCACCTTGTTAGCCAGGATGGTCTCGATCTCCTGACCTCATGATCCACCCGCCTCGGCCTCCCAAAGTGCTGGGATTACAGGCGTGAGCCACCGCGCCCGGCCAGGCCAGTGTTCTTAATTACTAGCTGTAGACTGAGCTAAGTGCTTCAGGACATAATGATTCAGAGAAGCTAGGATGCTTGAGCATTCTCTGAATCATTATATCCTGAGCCTCACAAATGATGTATCTGCTCCAGCTTAGGATCCATGAAGGGCACTGTGCAACAATGAGAGTAGCTGAAGACTGGCAATGTTAACTAATGCAAGTCTCAGAAAGAGGAAGATGATATTTGCAAACTCCAGGTGGGGTTCGATGGCAAGCATAATTCCAGAAAATAACTTTTTTTTTTTGAGACAGGGTCTTGCTCTGTTGCCCAGGCTGGAGTTCAGTGTTGCAATCTTGGTGATGGCGTGGGTGGCCCTTCTGGAGTGGCTGCTATCATGACACTGGCTGCAGTGGGGGAGGCGTGGCCAGGGCTGCGAGCTCTACAGGGCTGGGAGGAGCCGGGAACTGTGGAAGCCCTGCCCACTTCCAAGTTGGCAGGGCGGGAGCCTTGTGCTCCCTGGGTGCAGCTGCAGCTGCCCAGGCACAGCTCCAGACCTGGACATCCCTGTGCTCTTGGGGGCCAGAATCAGGCAGGAGCCCTGCCCTCTCAGGCACAGCTGCAGCCATCCAGCCATGGCTGTGGACCCGGGCATCTCTTGGGGGCCAGGGAAGCCTCCCTGCCCCTGCAGGCTCAGAAGTACCTGCTCCTGTTGCCTGGTCTCTCCCCACTCCCGGTGCCGACTCTGATTTTGGAGCAAAGTTGAGGCCAAGCCCAGGCCCTCTTGCAACCCAGCCAGGTGTATGCATGCTCAGAGCAGCACTGACATGCCAGACCCCTGCCGCCTTGGCTCCCCTCCAGGCTTTGGGCACTGACGAGCACAGGAGGGAGGCTGAGGGAGCACTGAGGGTGGCTCAGCATGGGCCTGCAGGAGCCCCTCAACACAAATAGCTTGGGCAGTGGCAGGAGGCAGACAAGCTCCTGGGCAGAAAGGGGCAGGTCCCTGGTGAAGCCTCACCTTCAAGCCAGGGATGGCCTAAAGCCTGGTGGTGGGGCTGATGGGCCAGAATGGGAACTTATGGTGCTATTTTCAGGCCCACCCATTGCCACCCGTGAACCAATCAGCATGTACTTCCTCCCCTCTGAAGCCCATAAAAACCCCTGGACTCAGCCAGACTCCGATGACCAGATGACCTGCCTTTGGAGAGGAGCTACCTGCTCCAGGATCTCCTCTCTGCTGAGAGCTGGGCATAAGTTGGGACTACCAGCTGCAGAGAGGAGCTGCCCACTCTAGGGTCTCCTCTGCTGAGAGCTGAACACTGTTGGGACAACCTGCCTGTGGAGAGGAGCTGCCTACTCTAGGGTCTCCTCTGCTGAGAGCTGAACACTATTGGGACAACCTGCCTGTGGAGAGGAGCTACCCACTGTGGTTTCCTCTAAGCTGTTCTGTCACTCAATCAAACTCCTCTTTGACTTGCTCACCCTCCACTTGTCTGCGTACCTCATTCTTCCTAGACACAGGACAAGAACTTGGGATGCGCTGAATGCCTGGGCTAAAAGAGCTATAACACAAATGGGTCTGAAATACACCCCTTGCTTACCACGTTGTGGGCAACAAGAAGGAGAGAGAGCTGCAGCCCTTCTGGGAGCCCAGACCTAGGAGCTCCCCAAGCCAGGGCTGTAACACCCTCTCTGGGGCTCTGTGGTTCCCGGCATCTCCAAGCTTCCAAGTTCCACTGCGTTCCTCAGTGCCAGCCATGGAAGCTGCTTGTGGTCCACCTGGTCCAGCCACAGCCTCACAGGGAGCTGGCGCCTGTGCTGGTGCTTGGAACTGCCTGCCCCACCACAGCCAGTGTGCCTGGCTGTGCTCAGTGGCCGGGCACCATGCTTGCTCACTCACACACCCCTTGCTGCTCTGTGCCTGGCTCTCCCTTGGCAGGCATGAGATTCAGGCCAGTAGTGCAAGCTGAGCACAGCCTGCCAGGCTGATTGGGTGGAACAAGCCCAGCGGGCCTAAGTAAAAACTCAGGGAAAAGCGCCACTGGCCACACAGGTTTCCGGCTGGTGAAGTGACACCCACAGGATCCCATGACATCAGCTCACTGCAGCCTCAACCTCCTGGACTCAAGTGATCCTCCCACCTCAGCCTCCCAAGGTGCTGGGACTACAGGCATGCACCACCATGCCCAGCTAATTTTTGTATTTTTTTGTAGAGATGGGGTTTCACCATATTGCCCAGGCTAGTCTTGAACTCCTGGGCTCAAGTGATCCACCTGCCTTGGTCCCCCAAAATGCTGGGATTACAGGCATGAGCCACTGTGCCCAGCCTCAGAAAAGAATATTAAAGGAGTAGCTCTTGAAAGCCTAGAGTGGGAACATCTAGGCTTTCAAGAGCTACTCCTTTAATATTCTTTGAGGGTGACATCCCTCAAAATCAATCATTTCCCTTCCCATTCCCATGACTGGAGTCAGTGGTTCTCAGTCTAGGCTATTTAATAGAATCACTTGGGAATGGACATCCAAGTCCCACCTAGATCAATTTAAAAAATTCTTTGGAAAAATCCAAAGTGAAGGGAGGAGGATGTGTGCCTGCTAGCTATAAGTACTGAGCTGTTACTTCCACCATCGTCTCTATTGCTTTCCAAAGCCCAGCCCTCTCACTGGGGAGAAGCCATGGTTTTAGTGTATGTGCCAGAGAATTTCCTCCATTTAAAGGAGGTATTTGCTGCTAAGGGGACACTGTATATAGAAAGACCAAGAATGGAATATGAATAAGAAGAGGTGCCTTCACTCTCAAAGATCACAGAAGCAAACAGAGCTATGTCTTGGAAATATGAAGGAAAGGCCTGTATTCCAGACTAGCCCCAAGGGTGTGGGGTCAGAGAAAATTTCTTCAAGCAGTTCTGGAGGCTGAAAGTCCAAGATCAAAGCACCGGCATTTGGTGTCTGGTGAGGGCTGCGCTCTGCTTCCAAGATGATGCCTTATTGCTGCATTCTTCAGAGAGGAGAAATGCTAAGTTTTCATATGGTGGAAGGTAGAAAAAGAGCAAGAGGAATGAATTCGTTACATGAAGCCATTTTATAAAAGCACTAATTCTATTCCTAAGGGAGGGGCCCTCATGGCCTAATCACTTTTTAAAAGCCCCACCTCTTAATACTGTCATATTGGCAACACCTGAATTTTGAAGATACCCATTCAAACCATAACACTTGTTTTATATATATTTAAATTGTTCTTTAATAAAATATTTTACCTAACAAAAATTCTGTGGAAGCCAAAGCAGTGGTAGTTATTATCTTTGTGATAACAGTTTTATTGAGATATAATATACATACCATACAATTTAAGTATACGTTTATACATATACAATTTAAAGTATACAATTCAGTGGTTTTAAGTATATTCACAGAGTTCTACAACCATCACCACAATCAATTTCAGAATATTTCATCACTCCAAAAAGATAGTTGTATCTGTAGCCACCACCCCTAATCCTCTCATCTTTCTTATCCCTAGACAACCATTAGTCTACTTTCTATTGCTATAGATTTGCCATACTGAACATTTAATATAAATGGAATGATAACAATATATGGCCTTTTGTGTCTGGCTTCTTTCACTTAACAATGTTTTCAAGGTTCATCCATGCTGTAGCACAAATCAGTACTTCATTTCTTTTTATGGCTGAATAATATTCCATTGTATAAATATGTCACATTTTGTTTATGCAATCATCAATTGAGAGAGATTTGGATTAATTCCACATATTTTTGGCCATTATGAATAATGCTATTCATATGGCTATATGGCTGTTATGAATAATATTATAAAAATTCATTTGCAAATTGGGACATCTAGTTCCTCCCCCAGTATTCGCCAGCTGGTATATAGGGATGTGGCCTTCAGACATTTGAACTTGGGTCTTCATTTCTCTTGGGTATATACCTAGGAGTGAAATGACTGGGTCGCGTGGTAACGATATTTAATTTCTCGAGGAGCAGTGGTAGTTTTAAAACTTCCCAGTTGATTCTAATGCAGATCCAGGGCTGAAAAGCAGTGATCTCAACGAATGGTGAAACTCAGAAACGCACACTCTTGACAGCTTCAGGGAGACATTTACAGGGTCCTTCTTAAGCCTTGGGGGTCCATGTGGAACAATGAGATTGGTTCGCAACTGGCTTTCCTGCCATACCCAAGACACAGTGATTGCCATCAGTATGCAGGGAAATGTATCTTAATGCTCTGCTCTCACCTCTATTTGATTCAACATTTATAATAATGACTTGTGGGATGAATATCTGGAACAGGGGTTTTCAAATGTTTTTCTAACTGTGCAACCCTTTCTTCCAATAAAATTCTCTGTGGAAACTAAACTCAAGGCTCTGTCTACCGGGTCTGTAGAAGTTTTCTGTCTTGCCCACCCACCCTGCCCCACTACTTCTGAGTCCTTCCTCAAAGCACCAAGGGCTTTATAGAGCATTGTTTGAAAGCCACTTATCCAGAAAGTATTTTTATTAATTTGTGGATAACCCCAAACTGAAAATATAAAATGATTTTTAAAAAATTAATTTTATTTTATTTTAAGTTCCAGGATACATGTGCCAGATGTGTAGGTTTGTCACATAGGTAGACATGTGCCATGGTGGTTTGCTGCACCTATTGACCTATCACCTAGGTTATAAAAAAATTTTAATGTCAGAGTCAATATAAGGTAAACAAAACAAAACAAAACAAAACCTAAACTTCTCTAGAGTGAGCTGCATTGGGAAGTAATGTTTTCTTTCCTGCAAGGTATTCAAGCAAGCACAACCCAAACTATATATGTGTGTGTGTGTGTGTGTGTGTGTGTGTGTGTTTTGTGGTGAGGGAGTCATAGAAGGTAATTAAAAAATGAGAAGGTGGCTGGGCATGGTGGCTCATGCCTGTAATCCCAGTGCTTTGGGAGGCCAAGGCAGGAGAATCACCTGAGGCCAGGAGTTTGAGACCAGCCTGGGCAACATAATGAGACCCTGTCTGCACCTGTAGTCCTAGCTACTTGGGAGGCTGAAGCAGGAAGGTTCCTTGAGCCCAGGAGTTAAAGGCTACCGTGATTATGATTGCGCCACTGCACTCCTGCCTGGGTGACAGGGCAAGACTCTGTCTCTTAAAAAACCCCTCAAAAGCCAGAAGGTGATGTGATTGGTCTAGTGATTTTTATTTTTCTTTGAGACGAGGTCTCACTCCATCACCCAGGCTGGAGTGCAGTGGTGTGAATAAGGCTCACTGCAGCCTTGACCTCCTGGGCTCCAGTGATTCTCCTGCCTTAGCCTCCCATGTAGCTGGGACCACAGGTGCACACCACCATGCCCAGGTAATTTTTTTGATTTTTTGTAGAGATGGGGGTCTCACTTTGTTGCCTCGGCTGGTCTTGAACTCCTGGGCTCAAGCGATCCTTCTGCCTTGACCTTCCAAAGTGCTGGGATTATAGGCATGAGCCATGGTGCTTGGCTTGGCCTAGTGATTTTGAGTGTGCCCAGCTCTAAGCCTCTGTATTCACACTGCCAGAGCCACTTGTATCTTGGGCATCTCTGCTAGACAGGGGAAGAGCTTGGCCTGAAGGGTCAGAAGTTGTTATTTTTGTCCTTTATTCTTCCTCTAATTTCCTAATCTGGTTTTACTGGGGTTTTGCCTTGGAAAGGGCTGCCTATGACAACAGGGCATATGCAATCTATTATTTTTATTGTTTAATATTTAATCTATTATTATTCAACTAGGGTGTAACTCCAGTAACTCCAGTGAGGCCAGTATTTTATCTACTTTTTCAGTGCTGCTCCTAGAACAGACCCTGACATATGGTAGGTGTTCAGTAAATACATATTGAATGAGTGACTGAATCAGAGGTCATTCTTTTTTTTTTTTTTTTTTTTCTCGAGATGGAGTTTTGCTCTTGTCACCCAGGCTGGAGTGCAGTGGTGCGATCTTGGTTCACTGCAACCTCTGCCTCCCGGGTTCAAGTGATTCTCCTGCTTCAGCCTCCCAAGTAGCTGGGATTACAGGTGCCCACCACCATGCCTGACTAATTTTTTTGTATTTTTGGTAGAGACAGGGTTTCGCCATGTCAGCCAGACTGGTCTCTAACTGACCTCAGGTGATCCGCCCCCCTTGGCCTCCCAAAGTCCTGGGATTACAGGCAGGAGCCACCGCGCCCAGCCTCAATTGGAGGTCATTCTTAACCCCTTTTATGTCAGCATACTTTTTCTATTACTTTCGTGGTTCCTCTCAACAACCATTCTTACTTCTGGGATACACCAGGAAACAGCCAAAGGAAAATTCAGTGTTCTGTAGTTCCTCCTTGCCTTAGTTCTAATCCACCTGCACCAACCCATTCCTTGCCCCATCCTCCATCCTGACCTCCGTCTTTGTGGTTTCTGACTCACGCCTCATTCACTGGTTTTCAGCCTTACTTTGCCTGGGCTTGAGTCACTCCCTGTAGTCCTGTTACTCACTGTTCGGGTTCAGGCAAGTTACCTAAATGCTCCATGCCCCAGGTTCCTCATCCACCCAGGAAAAAGCTTAAATAGGAGAAGAGGGGTAAAGGTGGAATATTGGGAAACACTGACATTTAAAGAAAAAGAAATAGCAACATCTTATTTCATTGATTCATGTAAAGGCTGGAGAGTGCTTAGTTTCTGCATATACCATGCAGGCAGGAGATGTGAGCAATGATCACGATTTCACTACTCTTGAGACTTAGTATCATTATTAATTCATCCTTCAGATCTGAAACTTGTCAGCACCATCTTCTTGATGATAACCTTGATTTATTTCAGCTACACTGCAGTTTCTTCCTTCAACCATGCTTCCTTGAGGAAACCCAGGCCCAGACTGCCGCCCTGGGTGAGTTTCCTCTGCGCAATGCCTGTACACTGCTGACCTACCTTCAGAGCAGAAACATAACTCGCTATTGCTAAGTGAGTTGATTCTGTGTTTCTGATTGGGCAATCATGTACCTAGTTTGCTTTCACCCATATCAAGATGCTAAATTTAGGGATTCATTTGCAGCTCAACTTCCAGGCAGTGAGCTTGCTTCCTGTGCTTTAAACTGCTTGGTGACAGCTCTAAAGCCCCCAAACCAACCACTCGTGGTTATCTGGATTGCTGTTAAAATTAGTTTACTTCTGTCAATGACCTTAGAATCTTTGCTGTTTATTTCAACTACGGGTAATTCCTAAAGCAATGAAAAGCATGTCAACCCTCTTTAATAGGAGTAGCATTTTGCTCTGGTTTCATGAGAAAAATGGATTCCATTGTGCTTTTTCTAGGTATGCTTCTCTCAGCAGATGAGTGTGTGTCTCTCAGTGTGTATATTATTAGGGGCTCTTTGGAAAGCATATTGCCAATTTAGGATGTCTACTTCAGGAAAAAGCTAGTGCCAGGATTTGATTTGTATTTTAGGGGACAATCAATCCACCAGGCAGCACTATGGGGAGTGAAGTGGATGATAGTTTAAGACTGGGGCTCCAGAAAGGACTGCAGCTTGAAAGCTGAAGTGGTCATCCAGGCAGAACTCAGGACCCGAACTCAATGCAGTGGCAGGAGTGAGAGAGCGCGGAGAGGTGGATTTGAGGGAATCCACAGAACTTGCCAGAGCCAGCCAGGAAGCAACACCCCAACTCTGTTTTCTATAAGACATCTGGTCACATTGGCATTTTGTGATGCTTAGGAAGCCACAGACTGTTTGGGGATATTTTTGGAGAAAATCTCATATCACCCCACAGCTTTCTGTCATCTCCAGTCTCTGAATCATGCTCTCCTGCCTCCAAAGCCCAAGACATTCCTTTCTACACCAAAAGGGCAGTTTGGTCTCCACCTTCTAACATATGCTATCATTTCCTTAGGGTTATGGTTTATGATGTCTTCTTATGCTACAGTGTAAGCTCCAGAAGGGCAGAGGTCTTTGTTTTATTTTCTAATATACTGAAGATGTTTACAACAGTGCTTGGCTTATAGTAGGTACTAATAAATATTTATTGCAATGGAGTGAACAAAAAAAAAGATTGTTCAATATGTTGCGTGCTGCAGAAAATTCAAGTAGGAAGAGAACTGAGAGAAGACCCCTGATGTTAGCATAGGGAGTTGCTGGTGACTTTAGAGAGAGTAATTTCAGTAGAGTGTGTTGTGGAAGGAAGCCAAAATGAAATGTTATTATTATTGTTATTTTAAATTCACTTTTTGGAAAAGATGATGAGGCATATGGTTTTGGGAGGTAAGGAAATAAGGCCACAAGGTTAGACTCATCTTCTGTATAATATTTTGTTCATTTATTATGTTGGCTGATGGAGGTTGAAATATATTGGCCTTTATTTGGTGAGATGTTGGCTCCAGTGAAAATGTGCCCGGCAATAATCATCTAGATTCTCAAAAGGGTATTCCATTTTGCATAAGAGAAATGGAGACAAAATACAAATGAGCAGGAAGGAAATTTCCAGTTTCATTGGATAAATAAGTCACAGAATATTTTGTTAATATATGTAGACGTAGACATTTAGGGGTCAGGTTTCTTCTAGAAATATTTTAGTGCTTGCTGACATGAAACTGCTCTTTCTTCTTTGCTCCACACCCCCACAGGGCTGTGTTATGTGTCAGGTGTTGTTTGGCATCACTATAAGTCATGTTCCCACTCCTTGGAAAGCACTTCTTCTAGGAGAATTTATGAACAGTGCCAGAGCTGATCTGCATCTCAACTGGTCATTGTTTTTCTTTGTTGTTCTCAGAGGCATGGACAGAGGATTCTCTGAAGTCATCCTGACTGAAACAGCAGATTGATAATTAATTCACTTGTGGCTGGGCAGAGTGGCTCACGCCTGTAATCCCAGCACTTTGGGAGGTCGAGGTGGGTGGATGGATCACTTGAGGCCAGGAGTTCGAGACCAGCCTGGCCAACATGGTGAAACTCTGTCTCAGCAAAAAAATACAAAAAAATTAGCCAGATGTGATGGTGTGCACCTATAGTCCCAGCTACTCGGGAGGCTGAGGCACGAGACTCACTTGAACACAGGATGCAAAGATTGCAGTGAGTGGAGATTGCACCACTGCACTCCAGCCTGGGCAACAGAGCGAGACTCTGTCTCAAAAAACAAAACAAAACAAAAAAGAGAATTAATTCACTTGTGACCAGGGTGTCCCGACCTTACCATCTATACCTACAAAAATTTAAATTTCCTTTTAAATATAAAATTGTGGTAGCTGGTACTTCCTCCTCTTGGTCTGGTGATTGGAGACTGTCCTCTGGCCTATCCGAGGGTCCCCAGGGCCATCTTAAGTGAAAGCAAGATGAGTCCTTTGTGTTCTGCTGCCCCAGGCTCCTTGATGCCCAGGCACATTGCTGTTGGTGACACTTGAGAGGTCACCCCGCTGCTAAGCACAGCTATCTCCTTGGGCACTGCTACTGCTCCCACCACTTTGGCCTGAGGGAAGTGGACATTGTTCTCTGCTATTCAGGCCCCAGAATGGGAAGACCCCCTAGGTTGTCATAACGTAGAATACACCCTGCTGTAACTTTTAGCAAGTATTTACTCCATGTAAAAATAATAGAAAGTTCAACAGTGAGAAGAAGTTAACTAACAGAAGATGTGGCTATCCTTAGTGCTTATGGGCTTAGAACATCATATCTTAGGTTGGATTTCCCAGAAGCTGACTTGGAGGGAAGGAGTGAACAGCAAGTGGTTCACTTGAAGGATGATCCCAGGAAGCATTGGCAAGGGAATGGAGGCCTTCAGGGAAGGAAAGGAAATCTAGATAGGAGACGTCAATCAGAAGATTACCACTGTGGGCAACTGGGGCTCAATCCCACTGGGAACCTGTGAGAAATAGTATAGAGCTTCCCTGACCTATAAGATGGTAGCCACTAGCCACTTGTGACCCCTGAGCATTTGAAATATAGCTAGTAAGAATTGAGTTGCACTCCAAATGTAAAATACACATTGGATTTCTAACAGTATATATATATATATATATATATATATATATATATATATATATATATATATATACTGTTAGAAATTATATATATAATGTAAAACATCTTATTGATTATTTTTTATATTGATTACCACATTGATATAATATTTTAGGTAGACAAGGTTCAACAAATGTATTAATATTAAAATTAATTTCACCTGTTTCATTTTGCTTTTTAAAACTGTGGCTACTAGAAAATGTGAAATTACATATGTGACTCTCAGCATATTCCTAGTGGACAGAGCTGGTATAGAACATCCTCAGAATTGTCCCACCCTGGTACATATCCCAAGATCCAGGTTCCCCACTCAACTCTGCAGCAGGACGTCCACAGTTCAGCCCAGACTCTGCTGAACCAAGCCAAGTCCAGCTACTTTTCCTGCTTTCTCCTCCATGTGAGGTCCACATGTCTGTCCTGTAGCCCAGCAAGGAATCATGTGAACGAGAACACACAACTCCACAATAACAAGGCTTATATACAGGCGCAATACCTGATCCTATATATGAAGTGGGTTAATGTTTTAAATAATTCACTCTGTGTTCTTACCCACCCGCAGCCTGCACACCTCTTCCAGCTTTGTGCTCTCTGATTTTCTTCACTTGCACTCTAATGATCTTCCTCCCAGCCCAGAAAACTCGATATGAGTTATCATTGCTTTAGGGGAAGGATGTCGCTCTTGAAGCAGAGAATTAGCCAAATTTATAGTGTTTAAGTTCAAAAGTCACCAGTGCAGGTATAAGACAGAAACAGCCTGCTGCATAACTGCAAAATTGCAAAGAAAGCTTTGCTCTCCAGACTAAGGAGTCCACAGACTGGGGGATAGGGAGATGCTAAGGACCCCAAGGGCAGAAGGAGAGATAGTTGTCCTCTATGGACTGTAGCCCATAAGCTCTATACTCCTGGAGACCCCCACTGGTCCTGAGGACCTAGATTAGATGTCTCATTTGCCTGTGGTGAACATTGCTCATGGCCTGCAGTCACAGTGATGACTAGCAAGGCCCAAAGACAACCACCTGTTCCCTAGGGCTTTGTTCAGCCCTCTGCCCCTCACACACCACGTGAAAAGTCCCTGCTTCCAACGGTCCAGGGCACTTAGAAGCCCCAGGATTGAAGACTTGGTCTCCTAGAGGGTCTTCATGGAATAGTACCCGGGCAAGATGGGACCAGACAGAACTGGCCCCAAACCTCTCAATAAGTCAAGGCAGTGGTGGACACATTGGGTCACATATTCTCATATTCTTCAGGTAGGAATATGTCTCCAAAGGAGACATCATCTTTGGAAATGTGTCTCTGTCCATAGCTAAACCAATTTCTTACTTTAATGTGCAGAGCCACATCTCTCTTTGAAGCCACATTATTTTATGCCCATCTTCCTCCCATCTCTCTTCCAGTCCATCAACAGGATTCCCTCAACAGAGGAACAGTTTCTTTTTTTTTTTGAGACGGAGTCAAGCTCTGTCACCCAGGCTGGAGTGCAGTGGCACGATCTCGGCTCACTGCAAGCTCCGCCTCCCGGGTTCACGCCATTTTCCTGCCTCAGCCTCCCCAGTAGCTGGGACTACAGGTGCCTGCCACTAAGCCTGGCTAATTTTTTGTATTTTTAGTAGAGATGGGGTTTCACCATGTTAGCCAGGATGGTCTCTATCTCCTGACCTCATGATCTGCCCGCCTTGGCCTCCCAAAGGAACAGTTTCTTAAACATAAATTCGGTTGAAAATTACCAAGTATTAAAAAAAACAGGGTATGATCTCACCTAGTGTCACCTTATAACACATACACCTGGGCTATAAAGTCAGAAAACCAATGGAATGAGTCAGAAATAGTCATCGCAGGAGGCATAAGGCTGCTTGAGCTGGCTTCATAATTACCCACAGAGAGGTGTGTTTGGGTTGCATTCAGAATATACTCTATCTTGTTTTGTTAAAGTGGTTGGACTTAAGTGGATACATTCCAAGAGTTTTCTCAGGCCCTGACATCGATGAAAGAGGAAGATGGAAAGCTGCCCACAGGATTTCTGCAGCATTTGGCTTCCTTAGGCCAATGTAGACATTAAAACATTGCTCTGTCATTGACCCACGACCTCTGTTTTAGCTTCCCTAACACTGGAAACAAGTGTTTAATGCCCTTAGTGACCCAGCAAATATTTCAGAGGGCAGCCTCTTATATTTTATGCTTCCACTGCCAGGTGATTGTGGGCTAATGACAGAAAAGACAAATGGAAAACATCTGGACATTTAAAGGGCAATGATAATAAACTGCTTCTCAGATATTGGAGTCTGAGCACACCATCTGTTGACTAAGGTAAAGATGGTAAATGTTTTTGGGGTGATCCCCAACTACATACCCCTTTTTCTGAACCCTGTATCAGCTGCCACACCTATACAGTGTGACCCTCTTCCCTTCATAGTTGAGTGGACAAGATGTAGACACTGGACCCAAGCTGGACTCACCAGGTTTTCCCTTGTGGAATTGGGAAATGGGCCTCTGAGGTTCTTGAGCAGCATGTTTGGCTCCTGTGCACAGATCTGCAGTGAGAGAGCAGGAAATGGATGCACAGAGGAGAGATGAGGACAGTGCAGCTGGCAGAGCAGCAGCGCGGCAGCCCCTGGCCCCTGGCTGGCCAAGTCTGGCTCTCTCCTGAGGTCTTGTAGTGCCACGTGTTTCCAGGTGCCATGACATATCAACAGTAGCCCTCACCTCTGCTTAAATACCTGTGGGTGTCTGTGAAACGTATGTTCCCTGCCATCCTTTCAGAAGCTCAGTCTGTACAGTGAACACAGGTGGTGTGGCTGGAACCATTTCTAGAAGGGCTCTGCACGTGAGCATCACCACTTTCCTGACGGTGTTCTTTTGTATCTTGAACTGTTCTCCCAGTAAAGATGTCTTCTGGGCCCTGCAGTCCATGTTAAAGAGCCAGGTAGACAGGTCAGCAAAGGACAGAAGAACAGCTTCTTTTTTGTCTGTGGTGGTCTACATTTTAAGGTGTCAATTCAAGTGGGCAAAAGGGAGAGGAGAGCCTGCCTACCTTTCTCTCTTTCTCTGTTTATTCATTCAATGGACTCTTTTTTTTTTTTTTTTTTGAGATGGAGTTTCGTTCTTGTTGCCCAGGCTGGAGTGCAATGGTGTGATCTCAGCTAACTGCAACCTCCACCTCCCGGGTTCAAGCAATTCTCCTGCCTCAGCCTCCCAAGTAGCTGGGATTACAGGCATGCACCACCATGCCCAGCTAATTTTGTATTTTTAGTAGAGACAGGGTTTCTCCATGTTGGTCAGGCTGGTCTCGAACTCCCGACCTCAGGTGATCCACCTGCCTCAGCCTCCCAAAGTGCTGGGATTACAGGCATAAGCCATCGTGCCCGGCCTTTTTTTTTTGGAGACTGAGTTTCACTCTTGTTGCCCAGGCTGCAGTGCAGTGGCATGATCTCAGCTCACTGCAACCTCCACCTCCTGGATTCAAGCGATTCTCCCGCCTCAGCCTCCCAAGTAGCTGGGATTACAGGCACCCAACACCATGCCCGGCTAATTTTGTATTTTTAGTAGAGATGGGGTTTCACCATGTTGGTCAGGCTCATCTCAAACTCCTGTTCTCAGGTGATCCACTGGCCTTGGTCTCCCAAAGTGCTGGGACTACAGGAGTGAGCCACTGCACCCAGCCTCAATTGACTCTTGTTAGGCACTTATCATGTGCTAGGCACTATTTAAGATCCTAAAACTATTGTACCTCATGGAGCTTACATCATAGTGGAGGGAGTCAGACAATAAATAAACATACAGTTAAATAATTTCAGATCACAAACAGCTATGAAGTAAATAAAACAGGAAAGTAAAATAGAGAATGACTGTGTGGTGGCTTCTTTAAGAAGGATGTCAGGAAAGGACATTCTGAGGGGGTGATGCTGAATGGACATAGGAATGAGAGAGAGAGGAGGAGCCGACCACAGAGAAACATGTAGGAGCAGCTTTCTAGAGGGAGTGCCAGCATATTCAAGGGTGCTGGAACCTGTCTCCCTTCTGGCCTCCCTTGCTTCTTTCTTTTCCTTTACCTTTTCTCAAATACTAACTGAGCTGGCACTAAGAGTCAGGAGCTAACTGAAATGGATCAAAAGAAGAATAGAACACAGGCCTTTTTTTCTCTTTTCTTTTTTTGAGATGAGGGCCCCACTATGTTGCCAAGGCTGGTTTTGAACACCTGGCCTCAAGTGATTGGCCTCTTGAGTAGCTCGGATTATAGGCGTGAGCCATCATAACTGGCTAGGACAGAGTTTTTGCCTTGGAGAAATTCACAGAGCAGGGAAGGAGAAAGACAAGTCATTAAAATATAGATGGTTGTACTTAGTAGAAGGAAGCATAAAGTGTTATTGGGAAGACCATGGAAGCATAGACTGCCTGCTGGGTTCTCCTAAACACCTGACCAGCAGCTGGGTCCTCAGAGGAGAAGGCTGAGTCTCTGAAGAATCAGAAAGCTCCATTTCTTTCCAATGTAATGCTCTCTACCTTAGGAGCCTTCAAAAATTCTGCAGAGTGGGGAGCTTCTTTGACCAATCCAGCAAAGCACACACACCAAACACTAATGGGAAAATGGAAAACTGGAATTGATTCAAGTCGCTGAGAAAACAGGAAAGGTGGCTTTTATTTGGAGGACCAGGATGCAGACATAAAATACACACACACACGCACACACACTCTCAGAGGACTGAAGGCAAAAGAAGGAGTTGGCAGTCATCCCTGGAAATGTGTAATCCAAGAACGAAAGTTTACAGAAAAGGAAGAAGCCTTACACAGGGTCACAGTGAACCCCTGGGGATTTATGTAAGTGACTTAGGGTTTAAAGCGAAACTGTGTGTTGACTTAATGGTATGACTCATTTAAATGGAACGGACTTTTAAAAACACATACACGAGGATTAGGTTTTCCATTTATTGTTGTGAGGCCATGTGATACTTAATGACACTGAGGTCCAAAGATACGGAAGCTGCCCATAGAATGCGTCTGTGTAAGAACAAAAGAGAAGCAGGTTGCATCCCTTAAACAGTTGAAAAGGAAATGCTAGGCTCCAGCCACAATACCCTGTGGGCCGTCAGACTAGAGCGGGTGATGAGTGGGTGCTGGATGCTAGGTAAACGGAAGAAGTGACTGCAGTGGTGGGAGGTGTGAATGCCAGCACATAGCTTTGGTTTGTGGTAAACACCAGACAGGGCATGGAAGAGCGTGTTTTAGTTATTCTGTCAGAACAGCATAGATTAGAGGGTGACCAGATGTTCCTCTTGAGGGAACTTGTCACTCTATAAACATTTTGCCCTGAGAAGACTTTGTGGGAGAGGAACAGTTCTTGGCTAGCACTGGTCCCTGTCAGAGTTCCTTCTGTACCTGGTGAATTTGGGAGGAAAAACTGGGAGCGTGGCTCAAAACCTTATGTCCTCCTCCTGGGAGCACTCATGTGCTGTGAGCACAGGCTCTGCTCAGCTCCTCCAGGTAGGCCCTGGCCAGGGTGGAAGCTTTCCCTGGCCCAGCACTCCCATGAAAGGGTTGCGCCTAAAACTCAGGTTCCATTTGCCAAGAGATACAAGCTGGGCCTTCCAACCTAAACTTTATCAATGGTGAATGTGATATTTTGGCCTCTAACCACTTGGTCTTTTATCTTATTCCTCAATAGGTTCAGAAATCAGGGTGGGAAGTGAAATCCTATTACTGAGACTCCAACAGCGTCCTGGGGAGCACCTCAAAGGGTCTTCCAGAGTTGTTGAAATTGGGGTTCAGCCAGAGGCCTGTGTACCTGCCAATCTGGAGAGACAAGTCTTGTATGTCAGGACAAAGGAAACACGTATGGTTTCTGATACAATCCCCACACCAAGAATTACAAGGGCAGACACACTGAATGCCAGGTGTTAATTTATAGTTGAGCCACTTCTCACCTGTGCAGAACTAGCTAGCATGCTCCAGGAGGAGGGTCACCACTCGGGAGAGTATGTCTCTATCCCAGTCATGCAGGGATGCCAGCTAGGTTCTCAAAATACCACTGATTGCCTTAGGGACTGGAATGTGCACAGCAACTAGAACCAAAACCCACCAAATAAACCAACCCAGCACTTTAACTGATGGCATCTAACACATATTTAATAGTTCTTGCTCTGAAAAATGAAACAATAAAGCATAACTTTCTATATAGCATTTTAGAGTTAAAGCACTTTTAGACACATCTACTTTGACCTACGTTACAACCTCAGAGTGTTACTGTGATTTCCATTTACATGAAAGGATGAAAAGAGGAAAAAGGATGGGAAAGAATAGAGGGGGATAGAGAGAGGAAGGCAGGAAGTGAGTTACATCTGGGGGGGCAGATGTCTGGGACCACCATGTGCACCTGTGTATCACAGGTATATGTACTGCACAATCATCTACGGTGGTCTCAGAGATATCTGCCAGGTCAGAAAGAGCATAGAATTGTCAGATTATTGCCGTTTATATCTCTAACCACATCAAATTCCAAAACAACTTATGCTACCGAGTGAGGCAACAATTCTGCCACTCAGCAAAGTCACATTGTCCAGGTCTCGTGTCCAGGTTTTGGGTCCTAAATGTCTTGCTGTGCCAGGACTGGGGCCTTTTCTAGGGTTTTCTGGGGCAGGCATGACCACAGCGGAAGAAAAGTTCTATTTCTTGAGCACCCCCAATGTACCACACCTGCACAGAATAGGAGCATGCATGTTATCCTCTGCAGTTCTCTTCATGACCCGTGTGGTAGGTCTATGGTAGCCTCATTTTATAAATAAAGAATTTGAGCCTCAAAGAGGCTAACTTTCCTACCCAATCCAACTCTGGGGTCAAATGACCTCTGAAATCTCTAGAAGGAACAGGACAAACATTAAGATGAATTAAAGGAGTTGGTGGATGGTCGCAGTGGCTCATGCCTGCCATCCCAGCAATTTGGGAGGTTGAGGTGAGAGGATTCCTTGAGGCCAGGAGTTCAAGACCAGCCTGGGCAATGTAGGAGGATACTGTCTATACAGAAAAAAAATTCACTGGGTGTGGTGGCATGTGCCTGTAGTCTCAGCTACTCCGAAGGCTGAGGTGGGAAGATCACTTGAGCCCAGGAGATTGAGACTGCAGGGAGCTGTAATCACACCACTGCACTCTAGCCTGGGTGACACAGCAAGACCTTATCTCTCTATAAAAAAAGAAAAAGGTAAAAAAAGAAAGGAGTTAGCAGCAAGAAAGGTGAATACTTACTGAAGACAAGGATGAAAGAGTGCCCCTGAGAAAAAGCCACCAAAAGGGGAGTGTCATCCGGGCTGGGAACCCAAAGCAAGCAATCACCCAGATCCTGAGAATGGGATCATTTTTTGCTTTTGTTGTAGTATGGGAAGTGTCCAGTTTTCACAGAATGCAGAATAAAATTACACTCATATATGAGTGTGGTATTTTCTGAGGCAGATTAGCTGAGATAAATCACTTTTTAATTTATCTAAACCTCTACTTTTTACCTTGGGAATTAAAAAAATACACAGAACTAGAAAAATATAACGGAACCCCATGTGCCAATTATTTGCCTCAATAGTGATCAGCATTTGCCACTCTCTCATCATGTGTCTCTCCACATATTTTTTCCCTGGATTATTTTAAACAAATCCCTGTTATCATATCACTTTTACTGTAAATACTTCACTATATATTTCTATGAGAAAAAGATATTTTTAATATAATCATAATGCCATGATCACACTAACGCAAATAACAATAATTTCTTAGTATCATTCAATATCCTATCTATATTAAAATTTGCTATACATGTCTTTTTATAATTGGTTTATTTGAACCAAGATCCAGACAAGGCTTGTACATTGCATTTATGGTTATGTCTCATGTGGAACTTTCCACCTATACCCATTGAATATTTATTGGGCATTGCTAAAACCATTGACCTCAAGACAATCTGGGGTCAAGGGGCTGTGACCTACTCAAGCTAACCAGAATACTACACTGGAGAATCAGACACCTGCAGAGGTTAAGAAGGATGATCAATAGAAAATAATGGATTGTTAAAAATCTAAATATTGCACCCAAACTACTTACTAACTACAAATGGAAAGATAGTTATGTTTACAGTGGAGAACTCAGCAGACACCAGCTTAACCAAGTGATGAATGTAAACATCTCCAGTAATGACACATCAACATTATGAACACTTTGATGTGATGAGAAGAACACAATATCAGTTTTGTGATATTCTTGCCAAAAATGCATAACATGATTCCAATCATAAGAAAACATTCTACAAAATGAAGAGACAATCTACAAAAGAATTGACCAGTACTCTTCGAGGGTGTCAAGTTCATGAAAGACTGAGGAACTGTTCCAGACTGGAGTGGATGAGAAGACATGACAACTAAATGTAATGTGGGGTCCTGGTTAGGATTCTGGAACAGAAAAAGGACATTAGCAGAAAAAGTGGTGGAATTCAAATAAGGCCTGTGGTGTAGTCAATAATACTGTATCAATGTTAGTTTCTCGTTCTTGATCATTATCCTATGGTCATGTAAGATGTTTTCATTAGTGGAACGTGATGAGGGATATATATAACTCTTTGTACTATTTTTGCAACTCTTCTGCAAGTCTCAGACAAGTTCAAAATAAAATTTTTTTACAAAAGCCTGACATGTTCTTTTAATATGCATCCTGGTTTTTGCAAATATAAGGTCAACCACAAATAAGCAGCTCCTCCAGCAAGAACTAAATCTGTATTTTCTTTAAACAACCAGTGAGGGTTTTAGTTCATCTTTCCTCATTGCTGGCTGTCCTGAGGGATGGATCATGATCACTTTCTCCTGATACCACGCATGGCCCCACATCACGCTCGTGGTCACCGTCATCATTGTCATACACACTGGTTTTCTGATAAAAAGCTTTCAGACACAGTTCCCTAATAGGCAGGGTTTCCTAGGTATTTTACTTCCCATTCCTACCCCTTCTATCACTCCTCTCCCAACCCCCAGGCACAGGGCTGGTTCCCCTGCCTTCCAGTCTTTCCCTTTCCTGGGTCCTCAGGTCACTCACTGCCCAGTTCCAATCTGCCCAAGGTCAAGGAGGGTTTGGGAGACAGCAGCCACTGCACTCCAAATGGCAGTGGGTAGTATGAGCACCTGTGTCCAGGCTCCAACAAGGAAAGCCTTCTGATCTGATCTCTGCATCCACTTTCCAGCCAGCAGCATGTGCAGGGGTTTGCAGCAGCCTGGACTCTGAATTGTGCCACCTCAGAGTAAGGGCAGCCCCACTCATCCTTCAGCAGATGGGAAGGAGGGGAGTGGAGGCCTAAGGAGCAAGGTTGGTTTGTAGCTGAGGACAATTCTGGCAGGGGGAAATCCATTTTCATTCCAACCCTGGATTGTGGTATTACTGTGTCTCTGCTTCCATCTTCAAGTAGCTCCTAGCTGTTGCATCCTGGCTGTGCTCCCCATGGCCTACCCACTCTTTGAGGGGGAGGCTAGGAGGTATGCAGAGGCTGTGATTGTGAGAAAAGCCTGGGACAGTACATGAGCTCATTCCGGATGGGGAGAGAGACTATAATCTTTTCTCAATAAAGTTTTGTTGCATGAATGAATGAGTGGTGAAAGAAGGCAGTTCCATTTAGTCAGTCTTCCTAAATCAGTTTTTCCAAATCCATGGGCTTTTTGACGTACTCAAACTCCCCGTTTGCTACAGTTTGGGAAGTGGCCCGGGGATGCCGAGAGAGAGAGAGAGAGAGAGAGAGAGAGAGAGAGAGAGAAAGAGAGGTCTGTTTTTTAAAGAGCCTTTGCAGTCCCTGGGTTTTCAGAGGGATGTTCCATGAAGAAACTGGCCAAGCAGGGCCAACACTTGTCTTTCCTTTAGAGTGTCTAACTCTTGGTGTTTGCTGCCAGAACTGTTGTTGTTTTGAAGACCTCAAAATGTACAATTCTTATTATTCATTCAGTCAATATTCAAATCAATATTTATTGAGCTCCTTCTGTGTGCCAGGCCATGTGATGGTGAGCAAGCCAGGATACAACGGTGAGAAAGCTGGGTCTTGTTTTTCCCAGGAATGAGCTGTCCCACGGTTGCACACTGGATCTTTGGCCAGATCAAGCTCAGGCCAGTCCTCTGCATTGGCCTGAACTTGATCCCAGCAATCTGGGGATGAGAGAGGGTCTCTCTGCCCTTTCTCATGGGAGTGGCTCACCTCCCCTTGCACCTCAGCCCAGAAATTGCATCTGAGCCTCAGAATTTTATGTTTTTTTCCCCTGAAACCCTGAAAACCAGTCCCATGTCCTCTCAGAGAAGCCCTCAAGATTTCTCTGGATTTGGTAACATGCTGACTGGGATTCTAGCCAGAGGATTCTCATTCTTGGACCTGGATTTTAGACTCATTTTGGACAATTGGCAAATGGGCACGTGTTATGCTGCTTTAATGCAAAGAGCAAACAATATCGATGTTTATAAAATCCTAAAGGAAAAACTCCAAGATATGTGAGCATCCCAGGGTGAGGGGAACTGGGAAGCCTGGTTCCTTGTGGTTTCGCCAACCCCATGGGATTGCCTTTGTCTTCCTGGCTGAAGCTGCTTTACCAGGACCAGGTCTGGGTTTCTGCATATTGGGAGATAGGAAATGAGAGGAAGGGCATGTGGCTTCTGTTTTAAGGATGTGTCCTATAAACTGTTCATGTCATTTCCGTTCACATCTCATTGGCTAGAACTTACTCCTGTGACTATAAATTAGCTTTAAGGGAGGCTGGGAAATGTAGTCTTCAGCTGAGTGGCCAAGTGCATGGTAAAATTTCAAGAACCTATTACTAAAAGGAAGAAGGGGAGAGTGGATATAGCTGGACAATGACCAATTTTGATCACACACTCCTTTAGCCCCTTTTCACATGGCCCAGACTGTTGTGTCCTTACATTATTGGCCTTCAGACCTCATACCTCATTCCCATGTTCCCTGACCTGGTGGCTCTCTCTGGAGTCCTAGACCTGGGCTACTTTGGATTGTTCCTTTTTTTCCCTCTCCCTCTAACTCCTTGTAAGTAACTTGCTTAGGGAGGGGCCCTTCTGAGGGGAGGGGGTGTCACCAAAAGAGAAATAAGATGTTGACAGCCAAGGCCAGGGACATCAAGGCCAGACCCACTTACTCTATAGATCTCTGCAGGCCCCCTCTTTACTTCAGCTGAGTGTGGATGAATAAAACCAAGCATGGTGACGCTGCTGAGACACTTCAGGTCTCATGGTCAGGAGGGACAGCATCTGTGGATGAGCACTTGAGGGAGGGTCTAAGTATACGCTGGCATCTCTGCCCACCAGGAACCATGATTTCATCTTCCTCATCTTTTTCCTCTTCCTGCTTCACTTCCTCACCTGCAGCCTCTCCAACATCACTGTAATCATTACAACTGTTAGAACTGTACCATTGAGCACCACCAGGGCCAGATATCCCACATGCATCTTCTGTTTTTAGCCCCGACTCCAATCCCAGGAGGTAGGTATTATTGTCTCTATCTTTTGAGAAACTGAAGCACAGAATGGTAAGGACCTACTTCATACTGTTGTTGTAAGGATTAAATGGGATAATTCACATAAAAACATCTGGCTCAGTGCCTGGCAAACAGAAAGTACTCAATAACTATATTAGCCTTTATTGCTGTAACAGAGAAGAAAACCAAGGTTTAGAGAGGAATGGAGATTTGTCAGTGTTGGCTCCAGAATTCACATAGAGGAGGGGTTTATCGTGGTGACGGGGTGGTGGGGGCACTGCTCAGGGAATTGCCTTGATGCTGTGTTTGCATGAAAAGCACACATATTAACTTAGATTGTGATAAAAAATACCAAAAAATTCTCATATGGTTATATTTATACTTTACATAAGTGTGAGAACTGTCCATCACGATAATGATTATTATCATCACTTGGGACAGCTTGGGAACTCATGGAGGTCACAGCTGTTTAACATCCCTCCAAGCTTCCCTTTGGTGCTACCACAGTAATGGGCCAAGCAAGTAAATGACAGAGCCAGGATTTGAGAGCAGCTCTGATTCTAGGTCCCACATCTTCATTGCTACCCAGTACGGTCTCTGTGAGCTGGCAGAAAACTTGGCTAACCAGAGGTTTGCTTTTCCCTCCCACCTGAGGAGCTGGGGGTTGCTGTGCTCCCTAAGCTTCTGTGAAAGCTCTGTACCTACCCAACAGCTTCTCTTCACTTGCCTGTGACTCTCCGTGGGGCCTTCGTTATTTTATTTTATTTTATTTTTTTGAGACAGAATCTCGCTCTGTCACCCAGGCTGGAGTGCAGTGGCGCGATCTTGGCTTACTGCAACGTCTGCCTCCAGGGTTCAAGCGATTCCTCTACCTCAGCCTCCCAAGTAGCTGGGACTACAGGCACGCACCACCACGCCTGGCTAATTTTTTGTATTTTAGTAGAGACGGGGTTTCACCATGTTGGCCAGGATGGTCTTGCTCTTCTGACCATATGATCTGCCCACCTCAGCCTCCCAAAGTGCTGGAATTACAGGCATGAACTACCGCACCTGGCCCATTGTTAATATTTTTACAAGCAAAACTGAGGCACAGAAACCCAAAAGGTAGATTTCTCTTTCTTGCATTTTCTGAGCAGCAGAGACTTTTTAGTAGGTAAGTACAATTAAGTCGAGCCGGATCTCTTCACTCTGCTCCAGATTGTTCTGGAAACCTGTCTCCCAGCATTAGGGCAGCTCTCCAGTCAGCCCAGCAGGCTTGCTAGGTGTGACAGAGTCCACCTAATCAGAACTTTTTTTTTCTTGTTTTTACCTCCAGTAGGAAGAAATCAGAACTTTCATCCTCCCCTGGAAGGGCCCAAGGTGCTGTCATAGTCTCCTGACAGACAGCAGTAATTGTACAGCCTTCCTGGCTTTCCCCCCAAGGAGTCCTATTGGTTTTGACAGTTTCTGGATAACTGTGGTGACAGGCAGCAAGATTGGAATTTTACAAAGGTTTCTCAAATCTGTTTGAAGAGAATATCAGGATACCAGTTTGTAAAAGCCTGTCTCTGATCCTGACCACAGGTAAGAGTAACTCTTAGTTAGCTCCAAATGAGAATCTGAGCCCGCCCCATCTCTGGGGAGACAGCTGGCTGGCTTCATTCTCTCCCTCACTGATGGGTCTATTCATCTCTGGGTCACCAAATATTTACTGAGCACCAACTATGTGTCAAACATCATACTTAGCACTGGGGATGCAGTGACCTACTTGGCTCCTAACTCTAGGAGCTCACTGTCCTCTATAAAGGACATAGATGTATAATGAGACAACTACTATATGGCTTGGTGCAATCTCGGCTCACTGCAACCTCCGCCTCCCGGATTCAAGTGATCCACCTGCCTCAGCCTCCCAACTAACTGAGATTACAAGTGTGCACCACCATGGCCGACTGCTTTTTGCATTTTTAGTAGAGACAGGGTTTCGCCATGTTGCTAGGCTGGTCTCGAACTCCTGACCTCAAGTGATCCACCTGCCTTGGCCTCCCAAAGTGCTGAGATTACAGGCATGAGCCACTGTGCCTGGCCTGTATTTTCTTTATATTGGACCCAGGTATGTGCATTTGTTCATTTGTCCATTTTTGCAGTTTTAAAACATCCTGAGCACTTACCATTTCCTGTGTTAGTTCTTGTGCTAGATACCAGGATCTTGTGCTAGAAAAGGCTGTTTCTGCCCTCAGCCTCTACTGTCTAGTGGGAGAGCAGCCTGGCACAAGCAACCAGAAGGTAGCGTGGCCGACAGGTGCTGCTACTGCCAACTGGGAGGGCAATTGCATGTGTGCACTTGACTGGGCCATGGGGTGCCCAGATACTTGATTAAGGTGATTTTGTGTGTGTCTATGAGGGTGTTTCTGGTTAAGATCACCTGTGAATGAGTGGACTGAGGAAAACAGAGCCCTCCCACTCCCAGTGTGAGTGGACTTTATTGTCTGTTGAAGGCCTGAATAGACTGAGAGGCTGAGTAAGGATGGATTTTCTTTCTCTGCCTGGCTGCCTTTGGGCTGAGACATTGGTCTTCCTCTGCAATCAGATTTGAACTGGAACTTACACCATCATCTCTCCTGGATCTGCAGTGTGTTGACGGCAGATCTGGGACTTGTCAACCTCTATAATCCCATGAGCCAATTCCTTATATTAAGTCATATATATTGCATATATAGTAATTCATATATATGAGATATATATTTTTTCTATTGGTTCTGGTTCTGTTTCTCTGGAGAACTCAGAGTAATACACTAAGCAATGGTGGGAGTCCGTGGGAGCCCTGAAATGTCTTGCGAATTGAACAAGAGTGCACTTGCAAATTCTTTACGCATTTGAAGCCTAGACTAGGGCAATGAGGACTGAGTAAGACTGCAGAAGGGTCTAGCTGGCCTCCTCCCCACCCCTCTCCTCTCTCCTCCTCTGTCCTCTGCTTCCCTCCCTTCCTTTCTCCTTCCCTCCTCTCCCCTCACTTCCCCTCGCTTCCCTTCCCTTGTCCTCCCCTCCCCATTGCCGTTCCTCCCTTTCTTCTCCCTTTCTCTCCCCTTGCCTTCCATGCCTACTGTAGGCTCTCATTATTCTTAGATTCTTTCTTTTCCCCTGAAACACCTGCTACCAGGTAAGGGTCAGATGAACGTATTTCACACTAAGATATAAATAACTAATTAGAGTGTTGCTACCCATACCTCAACCCTAGAGCTTGGTGATTTTTTTTTTTTCCAAAAAGGGAACAATCCCTTAGCTAAAGAGCCGCTGCTCCAGGGGAGGAAACGTAGGCTTGGGCCCAGAGATAGGTGGCAGCAGGGGTTTCTGGCCACGAAGCCTTCAGGCCTTCCCAGGTCCCAGCGTGTGTGGATCTTAAAACACCCCCTGCCAAGGGCTTTGATTCCAATTTTGGTTTCAGCTAATTGGTTTCAGCTGAGGTGGGAGAGGCCACGCCTCAGGATCTGCCTAGGCCAGGACTGGGAATGGGTCTCCCAGGTGACTCCGCGGGCCCATAGGCAGGCAGATCCTGGGAAGACGCCCTTTACTCAGTAAGGAGGGCCCAGGCGTCCAAAGCCCACCAGGGGGCAGCGGCGGCATTCTTAGCCCCACTTCTCCGCGCTCAAAGGCCGGCTGAGAAAACGCGAGTGACTACCCGAGGGCGCTGTTACTCCACAATTTTTCTGCAAAAGCTAAGGTCGGCAAACATGGATATTCGGATTTCCATTGTTTTTGAGGCTAAATCAAAAGATGCCTCTGGGGAAAAGGGGCAACATGCACTGTCGGATCGGCATTCATATGGAAAAACAGAGGTAGGAAACATTTTATACATTTTGAAGATACTTTGATGTGCAGTAATTTTGAAACTTTCGTAGGGCACCTGTTTTTCAATGGGCGGTGTAGAGTAATGCTGCCAAACACAGAGTTTGAGCCCTAGTACCACACCCACTAGCGGTGTGACTTTTCCTGGTGACTGAGTCTCTCTGGGCCTCAGTTTTGCATAGGGGACTTGTTCCGCCCCTCCTTGTCCTAGGTGTAAATGCTGCGTTGGTGTTGCACTCATAGGCTCACCTGGCCAAGGACCAGCTTCTGTCTATATTACTCTCAAACTTGCCACTTGGAGCATATTTCATTCTCATCCCCTTTGCCTTCACACTGCTATTCACCCCAGTTCAGAAGGGCAGAGCAATGGCCAAAATGTAAGACTGGGGTTGGGACTGTGAGAAGAAAGGAACAATTGCCAGTTAGCAAATTATTATAATGGCCACGTGGGCTCCAGGGCTGACATAATGAGGAGCTTGGTATGTGTGGTAATTACACACACTTGAGTTGAGTCTTAGGAAAACATATAAAAGAAACGTTATTTTCTTTTTTTCTAAAGGCTATGAAGGTAAGAAGCATTCCATAAGCAATTATTATGCAGCACTATTTCAAGGGTTGGGCTCTGTCAATGAGTTTTAACCACTAAAGAAAAGGAATTCTAATTGGGGGCGAAGGTAGTTTTAGGAATGGCAGCTTCGGAGTTTTGTACTGACAGGTGCTGGTGAAAAGCTGATTAATCCCATTCAATACTATAATAGGCTACATTTGTATAGCACTGCATAGAGTACCAAGTACTTTTATATAAATCCTCTCATTTGATGTTCCCAACCACCCTTTGAGATATGAAGAGGACAAAGAGAATTATTGCTGTCATTTTAAAAACCAGCTTTATTGAGATATAATTCATATACCAAACACTTCACCCATTTAAAATGTGCAATTCAATGATTTTATGCACGTTCACAGATATATGCAACGATAACCACATCAATTTTCATCACCACAAAAAGAACCCTCTACCCTTAGTTATCACTCCCTTTTCCTCCCTCTCCTCCCTCCTTGCACCCTCCCCTCCAAAGCAATCACTATTCTATTTTCTGTCTCTACAGATTTACTTATCCTGGACATTTCATATAATATGTGGTCTTTTGTGACTGGCTTCTTTCACTTAGCATAATGTTTTCAAGGTTTATTCATGTTGAAGCATGTTCAGTACTTCATTCCTTTTTACACCTGAATAATATCCCGTTGTATGGATATTTTTGTTCATCTCTTCATCAGTTGGCATCCATTTCATTTATCCATTCATTAGTTGGTATACACGGGTTGTTTGCACCCTTTGGTTATTTTAAATAATTGCTGTAAACATTCATGTACAAGCCTTGGTGGGGGCATATGCTTTCATTTCTCTTAGGTATATTCCAGGGAGTGGAATTGCTGGATCATATGGTAACTCAATGTGTAGGTGTTTGAGGAACTGCCAGAGTGTTTTCCACAGTGGCTACATTTGACATTCTCATTAGGAGGGTATGATTTCTCCACCTCCTTACCAATGTTTGCTATTACCTGACTCTGATTCTAGCCATTCTAGTGGGTATGACGTGATATCTCATTGTGATTTTGATGTGCACATCCCCGATGACTGATGATGTCAAACATCTTTCTCATGTGGCTGTTGGCCATTTGTATATCTTCTTTGGAAAAATGTCTCTGATCCTTTGCCTGTTTTCAAACTGTCTTTTCTATTATCAAGCTGTAAGAGTTCATTATGTATTTTAGATAGAAGTCCCTTATCAGATATATAATTTGCAAATGTTTTCTCTGGTTCAGTGGGTTATCTTTTCAGTTGTTTGTTTTTTAAGAGATGGGATCTCACTTTGTCACCCAGGCTGGAGTGCAATGGTGAGATCATAGCTTACTGCAGCCTCGAACTCCTGGGCTCAAGGGATCCTCCTGCCTCACCCTCCCGAGAAGCTGAGACTATAGGTGTGCACTACCGTGCCTGTCTTTCCTTTTCTTGACAGTGTCTTTTGAAGCACAAGTTTTAAATTTTGATGTTGTTCAATTTAGTTTTTCTTTTGTTGCTTGTGCTTTTGGTGTCATATGTAAGTGGCAATTCTGAGGTTATGAAAATTTATCACTAAGTTTTCTTCTGAGTTTTATATTTTAGCTCTTATATTTAGGTCTTTGATTCATTTTGAGTTACTTTTTGTATATGGTGTGAAGAAAGGATCCAACTTCATTCATTCTTTTGCTGGATATGTGGGTATCCAGTTGTCCCAGCAGCAGTTGAGAAGACTGTCCTTTCCCCTCTGAATAGTCGTGGTACCCTTGTTGAAAATCAGTTGACCATAGAGACATGGACTTATTTCTGGACTTTCAATTCTATTCCATTCATCTATATGTTTATCTTTACGCCAGTACTGCATGGTCTTGATTACTGTTGCTTTTAAAGTTTTGAAATTGGGAGTGCGAGTCCCCCAAGCTTATTCTTCTTTTCAATATTGTTTTGGCTATTTGAGGCCCCTTGTAATTCCATGTGAAATTTAGAATCAGCCTGTCAGTTTCTACAAAGCAGCCAGCTGGGATTCTAATTGGGCTTGCATTTAATCGGTTTATCAACTTGAGGAGTGTTGTCATCCTAACAATATTAAGTCTTCTAATACATGAACATAAGCAGTTTTTCCATCTATTTAGATATTTAACTTCTTTCAACAATGTTTTGTAATTATCGGAGAATAAGTTTTGGACTTTTACTAAATTTATTGCTAAGTGTTTTATTCTTTCGGATGCAATTATAAATGGAATTGTTTTCTTAATCTTATTTTTGGATTTGTTCACTGCAAATGTGTAGAAACACAATTTTTAATATATTGATCTTTTATCTTAAAATCTTGCTGAATTCTTTTTTTTTTTTTTTGAGATGAGGTCTCACTCTGTCACCCAGATTGGAGTGCAGTGGTGTGATCTCGGCTCACTGCAACCTCTGCCTCTTGGGCTGAAGCCATCCTCCCACCTCAGCCCCCCAAATAGCTTGGACCACAGGCGTGCGCCATCATGCCAGGCTAATTTTTTGTATTTTTAGTAGAGATGGGGTTTCACTATGTTGCCCAGGCTGGTCTCGAAACCTGAGCTCAGATGATCCGCTCACCTCGGCCTCCCAAAGTGCTGGGATTATAGGCGTGAGCCACCGTGCCCAGCCTCATTTATTAATTTTAATATATTTTTAGTGGATTTCTTAGGATTTTCCATATAGACAAGCATGTTAAATAGAGATAGTTTTACCTCTTCCTCTCTGATCTGGATGCCTACAATTTAGCCTTTACCTCCAAGGAATCTACCAATTTCCTCTCTATTGCCTTTCACCACAACCACAACTGTTTTTGAGAGCACACTTAGACTTGAACTTCACACTCTGTTGCAAATGAAGTCAGTTCTCTAGGGAGGGATTCAGAGCTCTTCCTTCCACGGCCTGATTGTGCCCCTGGGGAAAATCTCTGAGCCATCCTCTGCGGGATTGAGGGCAGGGAAAATATGGTTCACTTCTCTCTGAATGACAACCTTGTTTTTGTTTCTCAGTGCCAGGTAGAGAGGAGGCAACAGACTCAGGTCTTTTTGGTTTGCTTCTCTGGGTTAGAACTCCTGCCCCATGAGCCAAGGCAAGGACATTCAGGCTCCCTGTATCATATTGGTACCATGCTCTCAGAGTGGAGCCTCTGTCCCCTGAGAGTTCGGGCTTGGAGGAAGAAAAGAGACCCTCCTGGCAACACTCACCCAGAACTTAGTCTCAGCATTAGGTCATGAGTGGGAATGGCAGGATAAGCAATGCTGACATCCTGTCTCTCCCCAGGAAGACTGACTTTCAATTAGGATCTGTGGAGAAAAGGAGCCTTGTGTTCTTAGCTCTACCCTAAGGTGTGGAGCTTCTGCCTCACTGAGCTGTGAGCGGGGAGGAAGGGTGTGGGTCTTGGGTCAAAATCACTGATTCACTGATCTTACCAAGTTTTAATAGATTTTCTTGAATAAATGTTTCTTCATTTGCTATGTACATTTATGACCATTTCCAGAGACTTTAAATATTTATTTATTTTTATTATTATACTTTAAGTTCTGGGGTACATGTGCAGAATGTGCAGGTTTGTTACATAGGTATACGTGTGCCATGGTGGTTTGCTGCACCCATCAACCTGTCATCTACATTGGGTCTTTCTCCTAATGCTGTCCTTCCCCCACCCCCCGACCCAACAGGCCCTGGTATGTGATGTTCCCCTCCCTGTGTCCATGTGTTTTCATTGTTCAACTTCCACTTATGTGTGAGAACATGTGGTGTTTGGTTTTCTGTTTTTGTGTTAGTTTGTTGAGAATGATGGTTTCCAGCTTCATCCATGTCCCTGCAAAGGACATGAATTCATCCTGTTTTATGGCCACATAGTATTCCATGGTGTGTATGTGCCACATTTTCTTTATCTAGTCTATCATTGATGGGCATTTGGGTTGGTTCCAAGTCTTTGCTATTGTGAATAGTGCCGCGATAAGCATATGTGTGCATGTGTCTTTATAGTAGAATGATTTATAATTCTTTGGGTATATACCCAGTAATGGGATGGCTGGGTCAAATGGTATTTCTAGTTCTAGATCCTTGAGGAATTGCCAGTTTCACTTGGGAGTGAATCCATAGACCTCTTCATGCTACCATATTGAAGCTGTAACCCTTACTACTGTCATTTAGTAGATGCTGTGATTTGAATGTGTTCCCCAAAGGTTTAAGCATTGGAAACTTAATCATTAAAACAACAGTGTTTGGAAGTGAGGCCTAAGAAGAAGTGATTGGGTCATGAGGGTGGTGCCTTCACAAATGCATTAATGTCATTGTCATGGGAGTGGGTTAGTTATCATGGGAATGGGTAGTTATAAGGTAAGCCTGATCCCTAGTGCCTCTGTCTTGTGCACTTGCTTCCGCCTTCCACCATGGGATGAACCTTGTTAGATGCTGGTACCATGCTCTAGGACTTCCCAGATCCAGAATCATGAGCCAAATAAACTTCTATTGTTTATCATTTACCCAGTGTGTGGTATTCTGTTATAAGCCACAGAAAATGAACTAAAACACTAGATGAGGGCAATGTTCATCTATTTGGGAGACTAGGGGTAGTAGAGGGGAAACGAAAGTCACCCAGAATCAGAATATAGTACAAAGGCCTACTAAAAGATTCCAGGGTGGGAAAGGAATACCTTGGTATGGATGTTAAGTATATCAGATGTTAGTGGATAGAAGGACCACTCCTGCACATGGTCCTTCAAATGCTACTTGAACACCCCAGGAAAGGGGAATTCACTACTATTAGTTTAGACTGACTATTATCCCCATAAGCAATATGACCAAGTAAAACCAAAACAGCTGTGCCTGCCAAGATGAGCAGGATGTACAAACAAAAGGAAACAGAAAAGAGGTACTTCAGGATCCTAAACAACTTTATGTTACCAGAAGGTCATGGGCATGCTACAAAAAGGCAACTAGCTGTTTTGGGATACCAGGTGCCCAAGAGACTGCTCTAATTTTAGAAATAACACAGTGCTTACTAAAGAGGTCCAGGACTCATGGGTCTGGAATGCAACGTTCTTCCACCCTCAGGCCGTGCATACTCATGTTCTGGTGTTGATTCTGCTCCAATTATTTTCTGATGTTGAGGGAGGGAGGACCAGACCACAGAACTGGCATGTGCCTAAGGAATCTGCCAAGAGTTATTAAATGATAACTGAAATAATAAATTATTTAAATTTACAGAGACTTGTAAATTTACAGAGTTGGTTATGACCACTGTCTGATAGGCTAAGAGCTCATTTTCACAGTGGCCTTGTGCTGATATCCTCTGACTCTCCAGATCCATCCTCTGCCCTTCTCTGCCAGTTCTCTGCCCTAGAACGCTGACCTCCTAGGCTGGAGGCATCCCCTGAGCCCCCAACTGCATCTTGTGGTTGTGTTCAGCCAATGGGGAGCACCAGCAGATCAGAGTTAGGAGAGAAAGAGGTTAAGGTACTTCTTCTCTGCTCTCTGGCTGGGTCTGTGGCCCTGCCTTCTCTGTCTTATATTTTGCAGCACAATTTTCTGTCCTTGTCCTGCTGGGCCTAGGAGTGCTGCTGACATCTGTTTTCCGGGTGTCTTACCACCCCTTGTTTTTACCCTTAACACCCATACTTCTGAAACAGACCTTCATTAAGGTCATCTCTTTATTTGAACCAAGTGGGAATGAATTATATTTCCTAACAGACTCCTTGATACTATTATATCTTGCCCTGCTAACAACATTCCTTCTGTCTCTCCCAATTATTATCAAGCCTGGAAAGAAGCAAACCCCATGTTACTGTCTTAGCATTAACTCTAGGGGACCTCATACCCTCATCTGGGTCCCCTGTAAACAAAATGATGACTTTGCTCACATCCTTCCCTGGAATTTTAAGCCTCTGTGGCCCTGTGAATCAGTATTTATTCCACTAGCTCCTTTTACACAGCTAGACTGTTGCTTGAAATCAGAACTTGTTTGGTTCCTGAGCTTTTCCTCCATCAATGTGAAATATGCAGTCTTTGTACCCTGGTGGGATAGAGGCACATTCAACCTATAGCATATAGGGTCCTAGTTTAATTTTGAATGGTCATCCTCTGAGTTCTTACCTCAAAGCCTTAGCTAATAAATAAGCTTTCTTGTCCATGAGCAGGAATTTAAAGTTCCTGCTTTTAAAGTGCTTTTAAAGTGAGAAATGGGGAGATGCCAAAGGGCAGAAAGTTTCAGTTTTCAAGATAGAAAAATGCTGGAGATCAAATGTATTGCAATGTGATTATAGTTAACAATATTCTATTACATACTTGAAATTTGCTAAAAGGAAAGATTTTAAATATTTATCACCAAAAAAAAAGAAAAAAAAAGAAAGTGATAACTCTGTTAGGTGAAGGCTATGTTAATTGACTTGACTGTGATTATTTCACAATGTCTTTCTAAGCATCAAGTTGTACACCTTAAATATATACCATTTTTATTTGTCAATTAGACTTCAATAAAGTTGGGGCAGCAAGCTACCTCCTTAGGCCTGTGTTAATTCACTCAAGCTCTTTCTCAGTATTCATAGCCAAAATGACTAAACTTTCCATTTATAAATAGAGGGGGCCTCCCAAGACCTAGAGACCCATCATTGCTTTTAGGCATTCATGTCACACGCCAGCTCAGGCAATATTTTACCAAGTTCATACTTGTTTGAATCTTTTATTTATTTATAGTGACAGTAATATATTTGGCACTTACCCGTCCTCCTAAAAGCCTGATAACCCCAGTTATCTTGTGCTATAAGTGGCCTAGCTTTCACTAACTTAGAAATGAGGGTTTGGAGGGGGAAGGGAGACAGGGAACATTCCGATTAGCCAACAGTTTCCTAATGCAAGTATGTCTGTGGCACAGCCATGTCAGCTACCAGGGAAACCTGTGAATTCACCACGGAAGCCGTCAGGCCAGCTTAGAGGCATCCGTGATGAAAATCCCGAGTTATTTCTGGAGTAGGTGATTGACGTTTCAAATAGAAGATGACATTTTAATGGGATCTAAGCTTGCTGTGATCGGAGTTAATAAGTATAATGATGATGATAATGATATTTACATTATCTCTTTCATCCAAAGAACCCTTCAGTTCTTTTATCGCATTTGCCTTGAAAATGTCCCTTCGGAGTTGGGAGGGGAAGGTGTTATTAATCTGTTCTTCAGGAAAGAAAATATAAAGAGACTTAATTGCCAGGCTTTCAGGCTCCATTTTGGTGGTAAGAAGAGATATTTAAATAACAAATTAAACTTGGAGAAATTAAGCTTGGCGAAACACCAGTCTTTCTCAGTTCCCAGTCATCCTATATAATGCTGCCAGATCAAGCTCCAATAATATCACTTCTTGACTGAAAAGTCTTCAGGGGATCCTGGCAGACTGCCAATTTCAGTCCAAATATCCTAACTCAGCAGGCAAGGCCCTCAATGTTCCAACCAATGTTGTCTCACCATGCTCTTACACTTACCCTGTGTTTCAGCCAAATAAATCCGCTTGCTTGACCCTATGGTCTGCTCTAAGCACCCCATTCTCCTTTAATAATGTTCATTCCCCTTGCCCTAACTTGTTCAATGTCAGTCTTCCCTGTTGCATGTACATTCCAGGAGGGTAGGGACTGTCACCACTGTATCCTCAGGGCCTAGCAAAGTTAACTGGCATGTAACAGGGGCTCAAATACTTGCTTCTGAAGTGAACACGATGCTCTCCCACCTCCATGCCTTTGCTTCTGCGGCTCCCTCAGCCTAGACAACCTGTAGTCCCATCTCAACCTATTGAAGCCAGAGCTGTCCTTCCAAGCCCAGATTAAACCCCAATTCCTATGTCTGGTCTCCCTGACTTGGGAACAGACACGGCATTGTTCTTTTGTAGTTCGTACATTCTGCTGTATCATAATCATTTGTGTAATTGTGTAGTCGTCCTTCCCTGCCTCTCCCAAACCATCAGTTCTGGAAAGATCGGAGCTGTACTCCAGAGCCTGGCAGAGTACGGGCACTTGTTAAACACGTGCTCACTCGTCTAAAATCGTTGATGACCAGCATTCTTCAGTGAGCAGAATTCCCACTTCCAGAATCTATAGCTTGCTACGGAGGGTATTTTTCTGTTTCCTCTCCCCTTATTCTTTCAGAGGTGGGGAGGAAGGTCAGTCAGGGAACCCCTGCCAACTCTTCCTTTAAGAAGTATCTCCCTTTCTCCTCTGGAGGAGCAGTATATCTGGCACTGAGGTGGAGGGCTCCATTTCCGACTGGGACCCACAGTAGGTTTGCAAGGTGGCATTTGGCATTTTTTAGCATCATTGCCAGTGACAATCTAAATAATGCAGAGATAATCAATGCAACACCAACTGAGAAGGTGTGATTAAATCAATGACATCCCCAAGGAATTTTAGAACTGGTCTTTGCATCTGATGAGCATTCACACAGCTCATTCAGTTATGATAAAAATATGCCACATGAACTAGCTCTGGGGCTGGGTGAAAGCTTAGAAGCGGTGCATTTTTGATAGACTGAAGACCCCTGGCTAATAGCAATGTGGGCATATTGACTATCTGTGACATAACACTATGTATAATTTAGAACGAGCTGCTTGAATAACCGTGTTGTAGAATATTCAGGGCTGTTAAAACTGATGATGTAGATCTACATTTGTTGAGATGGAAAGCGGCCAACAATATTGCTAAGTCGAAGGAAGCAGACTACAGAACAGCATGATTATGTAAAATTATTGCATATTTATACTGCTATCTATTTACAGATCTGTGATTATTCTCTGAAATGTTAATAATAGTTATCTCTGGGTGATAAAATTGTGGGGTAGTTTTTAAATTTACTTAGTTTTTTGTGTTGCTTGGATTTTAACAGTAAGCAGTTATTTTTACAATCATTGAAAGAAAACAATACAGATTGAAAAAACTTGTTGAAAAAAGCCTCATTTAAAAAAACCTTCAAATTTGCTAAAAGATGCTTACTATATAACAAAAACAAACTCTTGTATGAATGAGCAAATAAAAAAATCATTTACCTGCCTCCATAACTGAACCACATAACTGACTATGTGCTGAATATGGTTAACAGTGAAAGGGATGAAGGGACGCCGTTTTGAGGAGAGGCACAGGGGAACTCAAGCTCTCCTGACCTGGTGTACATACTATGCACACTTTTTAAGTGCCTGAAGTATGAAGTATCACTTCAAATATTATTTTAACCCAAGCTTTGATGGCAATTGATTTACAGGTATGGTATTTTTCTAAGTTCATAGCCTAAGGGACAAGAGAGAAAATATCCCATGACTGACAGCAAAGAAATGATGACTTCATTCCCCATGGCAGTTTCTGTTGCAAAGAAAAGAGACATACACTGTTGATCACAGTACAACTCAACACTTTATTCCATTGTGATTGGTATACATGTAAGATTGAGACATCAAGAGACTAAAAATCAGTGCAGAACTTCTCTGAACTAAAGGGCCGTGAAAGGCATGATTGGTTTTGGCACACAGAGTGGATAACCATACATTGGCTGGAATGAGGTGGTCAGGAAAATAAAATGCACAAATCTAACACCATGTTGAAATCATGTCTGAGTTCTGGAGAAAGTTAAAGTGTAAATAATTACAAAGACTGACATGCAACTCTTTACCTTACATTATTCATCTACAGACTATTTTTCTCCCTTAGAGATGAGGAGATGGCCTTAGTAATCTGTTCAGAGTAGCTGAAAAGACCAATCAATACACATTAGAAAGATCTGCCTGATTTCTATAGCAATTCATTATAGCTGAAGAAATAATGCTAAATAATGTATTTTCTCTATATCATCCTTTAACTAAATTGAATCACATCACCCAAGTAATTCTGACTTAACTTTTACTTAGTTAAATATAATTTCTCCTGTCTTTTAATGTCAAAAAGCAGTTTCCGTTAGTTTATCCATTGGTGTATATCACAACAGATGAGGAAAACTTATGTGATAGTATCTTTCCTTTTCAAAAATAACATTATGCTAATGAGAACATCAAAGAAGTAATACTATGCTGCAAGTAATTTAGGTTTTCACATCATCAATCATATAGGGAGTCCAAAGAAGCCAGCCTAGCAGGTAACATAGCAGAGCAGAATGCAATGTAGAAGAGGCACACAGAGTCTAAGTGATTTCTCCAGACAAAAGAGAAGGAAAGACAGAAAGAAGCAAAAGAAAGGAAAAGTGAAAAACAGCCTTCTGCAGAACAAATTGTTACAAAGAAAAATCTATTTGCTTGCAATTGATTAAACATAATAGAGAAGAGTTCTTTGATTTGGGATGATAGAAGTAAAGATATTAAAAATTATATGCTGGTAAGCCTAAACTGGCAGATTGGGCCATTTTTCCTGTGGTTGTATTTGAGATGTTGAGCTCTCACAGGGAGAATTTTTGCTTTTGCCAAGGAAGGGCCAGATTTAACCCAAAAGGACAACCTTGAGAACATTTTTTCTTTGTTAACTTGGGCATGTGGCTAACATTCGTTCTCTCTCTGGTAAAAAGATATTATTCATCTCTGATGAGATGGTTCAAAATATGACAGTGACCAAGACGTGGTTTATTCACAGGATGCACATAATTGGATATCTGCATATGGCATGAATTAAAAAGTTAAGCAACAAGGAAGAGAAGGAGGAGAAAAAAACTTTTGCAAATTTCTGACATAAAATAATCAAATAAAAGGGAAAGATAGTGGTTAAGGATGTTTTCATTTTCTCAGAGGTTTCTCCTTCCATCTGCTACGGGGGAAATGAAATGAATGAAAGTAATTCTCTTTAGGTCACCAACATAAGGAATAATTTGACTGCAAACATAGAAGTGAGCAGAGCAAGATTTGAAGTGATACTTCTTAATCTCTTTGATTCTTAATCTTAAACAACAAGCCACAGGCAATACAGGAAAGGTGGAGATGACTAGGAAGTGTGATAATGTGCCTGGATCAGTTACCATTCATTGGAAAGTACCGTTTCCCCTGCCTGTTAATAGGCTGATTCCTGCAGGTTTGAGTAAAGGAATCATCTCTTCCTTCAGTGCCGCATTGTTCTTTGTAAGAGATCCGTGTCAGTTCAAAGTTGTGTAATTTAAAGGCTAGAGAAGAAAGAAGTTTAAATTGGATCCCACAGTAAATATTCACGGATATTTCAAAGTAGAATTGTCCACTGTCTGGGGTTGGGTTCAAGCATCAAGGTGATCGCTTCCTGAACATGTTCATTGACCATGAGGAGCTGTTTACTCTGGCTCATATTAGACTACCAGTAATTATTTTCAGACATGATGTCTCTTTTGAAAGAAATGACTTTGCTGGACTAGGATAACTGCAGGGGTAGAAGACTGGAAATACGGTGAGTCAGGGTAGGTGGAAACAGAAATGAGTAGAAGGAAAAAAAAAAAAGAGTTCCTCCAAGGTCATATATGGTCAGTAATGAAGCAAAAATTCATGGTATGTGACTTAAAGACTTTCTAAGACATTGTACCCATGGGATGTTTCCAAGCTTCTTGATCTTTAATCTTTTAGCAACCTTCTGATACTGGATTTACCTTCCTAGGTGTGGTGCCCTCCTTCTGGAATTTAGATCTCTGGGGCAAACCCTGTCAGGATGTGCCTCTGTGTAGTTAACACTGCCCCAGACAGCAGCTCTGATTTCAGTCACAGTTCTGCTGAGAAGCCTGTCTGCCCCTGGCAGGGGTGAGGGGAGGGTTGTTGGTGGCAGATGTAGTCAGAGGCAGAGGAGACCAATGGCAGACAGGGTGGACCTGCAGGAAGGTAGCCAGAAGGAAAGACCTTGGGTTTTACCCAAGGTCAAGGTGGCTGTGATAGAAGAGCGAAAGGCAAAAGTAACTAACTGAATTTCAGAATTCAGAAGTAAAAGAGAAAGGAGGAGGATCCCTGGACCAGGGACTTTCACAGGAACCAAACATGATTCATGAAAAAAAAAAAAAAAAAAAGCAAGCTTATCTGACTGATCAAGAAGACATTCTTCAGAATATACTGGCAACTAAATAATTTTCACACCAAAAATACAGACACTAAATGAGTGTTTCCTTACTGGGATTAATCACATTTTGATAATTCATTAGCTCTGTATCTTCTAGGTTGCTTAATTCATTTAGCAAATCCACAGCTTAGGTACCACCTCGAGGGGAGGGAGGGTGGGGGTGTTGAATGAAGCAATTCAACTTAGAATCAAATTTTGTAAACAAGAGTTAGTAGCACAGTGGCACAGTAGATTGTCAAGGAAAACAACAGGAGTGGGCACAGAGTCATCGGCCTTGCCTGTGCGGTCTTGCCGGCTACCGGGGGGGACTCTGCAGCTCAGGAGTCTACTTTCTTGTTAATTAAAACTGAGCAGCAGGTGAGCAGCCCATCCACCTTTTCCAGTTCAGACATGCTCACGGGGATCAGCATATGGTCCTTCAGTTTCTCATAAACCTACAGTGGGAATCAAGGAAAAGGAAGAAAAGAAGGATTATGTTTTACCATCCTCAGAAGTGGAGAATCAATTTGATTTGTACATCTAGGCTTTTCATTCATTTAATCCCAAGACACACAGGCAGTCTCAACCACACACATGCCCACAGTCATCCCTATAGAGCTGGTGGGAACTGGTTAACCACTAGCCCTGTGCTTTAACCTCAAGGCCAAAGATGTGTCAGAAATGTGGTTTTGCTAGAGATGCCTTTACTCTGCCATTGTCATTGCTAGATTAAGTGGTACATGGAAGTTGGTGACCATGTGTCAGTCTGAATATTACTTTCTCTTCACACTTTATTTTTATTTATTTATATATTTTTGGAGACAGGGTCTTGCTCTGTCGTCCAGGTTGGTGTACAGTGGCGCGACCATGGCTCACTGCAGCCTCAACTTCCCAGGCTCAAGTGATCCTCCCACCTCAGCCTCCTAAGTACCTGGGACAAACAACAGATACACACCACTATCCCTGGCTAATTTTTATTTTTTATTTTCTGTGGAGACAGGGTCTCACTATTTTGCCAGGGCTGGTCTTGGGTTCCTGGGCTCAAGTGATCATCCTGCCTTGGCCTTCCAAAGTGCTGGTATTAAACAGGCATAAGCCACCACACTAGGCCTTCTCTTCACAGTTTAAAACCCTCTCAACTATACTTTAGGTTTATTTTCTTACCAACACTGCTGGAAAAATTTGACAAGATATAACTTAAGTATTTCAGGTTAAACTGCTTTTAAATTACAGGTATGAATTTTATTAGCATCTTTTGACACTAATAGAAAGCATATGTCAAAACTTCAATTAACAGTTCATAGATTGTTCTGTGATGATCAAACAAAGCATATTTTTAAAAACAGAATCACTTGAAAGTGTACTGCCTAATAACAATCTCCTGTGCTTCTTTAGGAAGCACTGCGTTTCTTAAAATTCAGCACAGTGGTTAATTAAGAGTGTTGGAGCCAGAGTAGGGTCCCAAACCCAGTTCTGTCAACCTACTACTTAAAGAATTATTTCAGTGAAGTGACATTCCCTCTGAGCCTCGGTTTACTTCTCTGTAATATTGGAATAGTAATGTTGCCCCCATAGGGCTGTTACAAGGACTGAATAAGATAATACACCTGGGATGCCTGGCACCCTGCCTGGCACCGGGGAAGCCCTCAGTAAACAGGGATATTATTAATACTATTGTTATTTTTGAGAGACAAACGGCTGAATCAGGGGGGCAGTGAATAATCATCTGGTAGGTCAGATGATCAATGTGGCTAAAGAGGGATGAATGATTCAGACCTGTATTTCTCAAAGTGAGTTCTGTGACTGGGTGCTTGTTGATATTGCAGATTCTAGGGTGGGGGTCCAGGAACTTGCATTTTTAGCAACCCTGATGTGCATTAAAGTATGAGATCCATTACTCATCTAAGAGCTGGGTAAGCCCCAGTTCTGGGTCAGGAGTACTCTATTTTCCTCAGGTTCACACTTTCAGCCATGGAAATAGAAAAAATTATCTATGTATTCCCTCACCTTTTTCTTTTTATCTGCTCAGAAAGAGGCTGTGATTAGAGAGTGAACCTAGTAATTATATCATATTGCATATTTAAAAGGTAGTATAAAATATTTTCTAATATTTGCGAAGCTTAAGACAAAAAAAAAAGATCAATGATTACTAAAGGCTCTTCTGTAATGCATAGTATAAATATCTTGTTCCTCCGGGCAGAGATGAGATGCTGAGTGCCTAGAAGATATGGACACTTGAAGAATCTATGGACGAGCACTGTTATGTTTGCTTGGTAGGGTAAAATCGAAATTACTAAAGTATATAGATGAGACTGGCAGAGTATGCTGAAAAACAAGGGAGATTTTCTTAGACCAGGAAAAGCATTCCAGATCCAGAGAGAGCTCCCTTATTGGAACACAAACACAGAGACTCCTGGAGCGACCAGTTGGCTGATTTCGAGTGTACCATATTACTACCTGCTCTATCTTTTCAATGAAGAGCTTTTTGCTACCTAGCACGGGCAGTTTCTTCTTTCTGCAGCCCTGACAATGAACACCCACCACTCTGGGTCATTCATACTCCTCTACCTAAAGAAACAAATGGCCAGGTGTGGTGGCTCATGCCTGTGCACTTTGGGAGGCTGAAGTGGGAGGATCCTTTAAGCCCAGGAGTTTGAGACTAGCTTGGGCAACATAAGGAGACCCCGTCTCTACAAAAAATAAAAAATTAGCCAGGTATAATGGTGCATGCTTGTAGTCCCAGCTACTCGGGAGGCTGAGGTAGGAGGATTGCTCAGCCCAGGAATTTGAGGCTGCAGTGAGACATGATTATGCCACTGCACTCCAGACTTGGCAACAGAGCAAGATCCTGTCTCAAAAAAAAAAAAAAAAAAGGACTGGGCATGGTGGCTCATGCCTGTCATTCCAGCACTTTAGGAGGCCCAGGCGGGCAGACTGCTTGAGCTCACGAATTTGATACCGGCCTGGGCAATATAATGAAACCCCATCTCTATTAAAAATACAAAAATTAGCCAGGTTGTGGTGGTATATGCATGTAGTCCCAGCTACTCAGGAGGCTGAGGTGGGAGGATCTCTTGAGCCCGGGAGGTGGGGTTGCAGTGAGCCAAGATCGTGCCGCAGCACTCCAGCCTGGGTAACAGAGTGAGACCCTGTCTCAAAAATAATAATAATAATAATAATAATAATAAATAAAAAAATAAAAAGAAATAAAAAGAAAAGCTGCCCTTTTCTGAGGGACAGCTCAGATCTGTCAGAAAACAGCGATACCGTTGACCATCTAATTGTAGGTCTTTATGCTTAATGAGTATCTGAGGGTGGGAAAGTACATTTAATCAGAGCTGGGGCATAGACTTGGGTGACTACTTATTTGAAAATCTGAGTATTTATTTGAAAAGCCTTGAATACCCGGCATGATCATCTCAATTACTATGCATGCATTAGTGAGCAATGACATGAATGAGAAAAGTGAAACACATTTTCCTTGTGCCCTAAATTGTATTATCCTTTCTTTTCTTAATTGTTTGATATGTATACAGGAAAAGGAGGCTCCTATTGGTCACTCCTTTATGAAAAAATCCCCAGGGAGGCTGACCCAGCTGCAGTGGTCAGAAGGGATATTTTTTTACCTTTGCACTTTCTGGATACTCTTCCGGGGTTCGGTGCAGCAAGACGTGCCCTTTGTTGGGGATATTTAGATATATACAGTTTGCTGCTATGTCATCAGGCACAGTGAGTTTGTCGTAGCGGTGGTCACTCATCTGTTGCATGATCTATAAAGAGAAACAAAGCAGGCCTAAGAAGAGTAACTCCCCACACTTTCAAACAGAAGGAAGGCAGTGTGGTAGGATACAAGCTTGGAACTGACACTTTAGGCTGTTCCTCTGTTCAAATTCCCATCTATTACCTCCAGTCACTTAGAACCAGAAAAGGAAAACTTGATTAAGCTATGAGTCTTTGGAAGAATTGCAAGGGTTTTTGTTGCTCTTTAAAAGTATGTGTTTGTCTCTCTTTTCTTTTAAGGTTTTAAAACCGTCTATTATTTTTCTAGTCTTTGTTCGTAAGACTTATCAGTAAGATGCAAAATGGCCACATGTAAGGCCCAGCAGGGGTTTTGATATCTTTGGCTGAGTAAGCAGGGCTGCCTCCTCTATAGGAAAGAAGGGCCATACCAGTAATCAGAATAGTCAATAATGTGAATCTGATTAATCAGTAACACCACACGTGTGTGCATGCACGTGCGTGCGCGCGCGCGCGCACACACACACGCTTTGCTCTTCCACATACTTTTAAACTGAATTCACCTGTTCATTGGCAGGTGATGGCCTTAATACAATGAGCATAAAAGCCACCTGGGGAGAATAAGAAAATCATATTCCCAGGCCTCACCCTTAGGGAAAGCTGGTTTGGCAGATTTTGGGTGAGGCATAGGAATTTTGCATTTTGAAGCCCTACAGATAATTTTGAGGCAGAGGTTCCCTGGACCACAACTGGAGAGAAAAAAAAAAAAACCTACTTGGCAGGTCTGTTCTTCAAATGATGAACTTATTAGTATCCTAGCATAAAATAACTTTAAAAACAACACAAAAATGAACTCTGCACAAAATTTAAAATATTGATACCTCATCCTTACCTCCTCAACATAATCAAAACTATCAAAAAACAACACTCCTCCCCCTAACAACAAGAATATCCAAATTAAAAACCCACAAAAACAAATATTATTTGGGGTTTAGTCATGTAGACTCTTTCTACTCTTTATCAATATCCATACAGTTTTAAGGAATCTGCTGAAATATCATGCTAGGAAGGTATAACATGATCTTTTCCACAATCTGGTTCTAATCTACCTTTATGGTCCCATTTACTTTTACTTTTCAGTGTTTGTATGGAAATGTGCTTCATATTACTAGGCAGACATGCCCACTCAGTCATGGGGGCACTGGATAGTAAGATTTATGGTATGAAAAGCAGAAGAGAGACAGCATGCTTCCTGTAGAAAATTCATTCCTAAGAGTGGCACATAGTAAGCCCTTCCTGACTCACCAGTCAGGTAAATCATTCACTTCTAGTGTGGAATATGTCAAGGGTGGAGAGAGGCCAAGAGCAATCCCATAATGGAATACCCTTCACATGGAATGAAACATCAGGAATGGGGATGAGCTTATGCACTGTATGAAAGGCTGAGACATACAGATGAACAGGTCACAGACCCAGTTTTCCAAGATTACAGTTTAGTGGAGGAAACTGACAGAAAAATAGATAATTATATTACAATAAGAACTAGCAGGGCACCATGCCAAACATTTTACATTTATTATCTAATCTCAAACTTCTATTTTACAGATGAAGAAACTGCACTGAGAGAGGTCAAATAACTTGCTTTAGGTCACATAGGTAGATTCAAACCCAGATCTGTGCAACTCAAAACGTTTCTTAATCATCTCACTTTGCTCTTTCTCAACTTCTGCAGCAGGAAACTACCTCCTACAAACTACATAACACCTACTTTTTCACATTCACTTGATACTTATTATTCATTCTCTGGCAGTACCATTAATTCTTTTCTTGTATGTAATCCTGTTATGACCTGCTACCGTCTGGTATAGGTAAAGGACTTAACTGGACATCTCTCTTGCACTTTTGAATTTAAATTGTTCTTGAAGGGATAGGCCCATAGAGGGGCTCACCTATGGAGTGGGTCTTTCTTTACAGCCCTGATTAGAAACCTTAGATCTAATCCAACATGTGGGCAATTAAGAAGTTAAAGACACTCCTAAAGATTAACTTTTCTAAGAAAATTAACAACATATTCAATTTAGCCCTCTTTATAAAATGGATATGCCCAGAAATAATATGAAGACGCTTGAGAGAATAAAAAAACAGACCCAAGTAGCTCTTTTGTTACGAATTGCAATTTAGTTCTTCTTATGCAGATTTTCTTTTTGGCTGCTTCCAAAACACAATAATAGCAGCTTCCATTTATTATTGTGTGCAAGGGAACAAATGAAGACCGCCTGAGCCCGGGAGTTTGAGACCAGCCTGGGCAACATGGCGAAACCCTGTCTCTACAAAAAAATTAGCTGGGTGTGGTGGCACACACCTGTAGTCACCTCCTCAGGAGGCTGAGGTGGGAAGATCATAGAGGTTGCCACCAGCCGAGATAGTGCCACTGCACTCCAGCCTGAGCCACAGATAATCTGTCTTGGAGTCTAATCCTTAGTCTTAAAAACCATAAAAGACTAGACCTACCATATTCTCACAATTACTTCTTCAGCTTCCTTCTTTCTAAGGCCTACGTTAACATGTAATCTAGTAGTGTTGCAGGCTTAGCATCCCTTCTACCTAGATCCCCTAGAGAGATAATTGCTACAAAGTTCCCAAAGTTTTTGGAATAAGGACAAATTTTACTATGAGTTTTTGTGCAGTTTTGCTCTCTTCAACCAGACTGCTACCTCCTTGAATGCAGGTCCAGGCATAATGAGGTGGACAGAGCATGGGCTTCAGAGTCAGAAAGGTCTGGGTCTGAAGCCTTGCTCAGCCACACACTAATTGTGTGACTTTGGGAAAGTCACATATGCCCTGTGAGCCTCAATTCCCTCAGCAGTAAAATGGGATGGGAATGCTATACCTATCCTCCACAGGGTAACTCTGAAGATTATTTAAAAAAAACCCCAAAACAGATAATGTACATAAAATGCTTAGCACAAGCTTCTAGCAGATATTAAATGTGTAATAAAAGTCGGTTCACTTCCCTCTTTGTTTCTTGCAAGTCACTTGACATATAGCAGGTGACCAAAATATGTTTGCACTAACTGGTTCATTTCTTCATTCCTTTCACCTTTTTAAACGCTACAGAGAACCTCAGGAGGGCACTGTGATGAACTGTGTGGTCAATCACATGGGTAAACAATTGAATTCCCTCAGAGAAACAAGGTATGGTCTATGTCCAGAAACAGAAATACAACTCATTATTTTTAATGTGAAAAAACATGGCTAAAATCAACAAGGCCAAGGTTTGTCTGTTTTTCAAAGCCATACAGAAGGGCACTATACTCTGTGGTCCTAACTCAAATGACTCTGGATGACAAAGTAAGACAACAGGGGGTTGGATCTGGAATTACCTGCAGAGTATGTGGCACCTAAGGGCATTCACAGAAAGAAAGAAAAGAAAAACTTTTGTGTATATCAAACCGAACACATAAGCCTCTGTCAGGTTGTGACCCCAATTTAGTAAAATAGTCCATAAACCCAATGGGCAGATTGACTTCTTCATAGTAGAGTGGGGCTGCCTCGATATGCAAGGTGGCAGTTAGGATTTGTGAAACTTCTAGACAATAGCTTTTGGTCAGTCTCACAAACGTGCTTTTTTCCAGGTGCAGGGAATGGGATTCCACTATGTCTAAATCTCTGTTTATTATGTGCTGTTGAGGGTGGACCAAGATGGCCAGTCTGCTCATGTTTGCAGTCAGAACTGGACGGTCATCCTGTCACATGAATTGGACCTAGTTTACCCAAGAAGTTCAGAATTTCTTCCAGACAACTGGGGAGGCAGTTCTCTGAGCCAGAGGTTTACTAAGTAGGACCCCAGTGGTTTGAGGACCTCAGAGAGATCCTTAGAACATGTATACACAACCACTGCTACCTGGTCAACCTAGACACAAACAAAACAAAATCTAGAAAATCTATTACTCACATTGACTTACTTTTCTAAGCAATTGGGAAAACTGTGTGTGGCATATTTTGGCCCACACATTCAGGCTAAGTGCTCCCACCACTCATAATCACCAGATAACTGCCAGTTGGCTTTCCATTTTAATTTGTGATCTGCAGAAGCTTCATTGTACTCTTTACCCACAGATAAATAAATCACCCATGTCTCTTAGTACCAGATGAATTGAAAGAGAAAGAAACATGGCAAGACTACATCTCTTAGGCCTGACTTTATTCACTGGATCTAGCGGTCTGGGCAAATTCCCCACCTCTCAGTGTGACTCATGCATGTCCGGAGGTGACTACAAAGCAAAAGCATGGAATGTCATACATTCCAGAGGAAGTGTTCTCAGGGATTGTTATCAGTGCTGACTTCTTGTTTACCAGTGAGGAAACAAACTAAAATCTCCAAGGTTGTGCCCATCTCAGAAAGTACCACGTGTCACTGAAGTGACAGGGCCTGTCCAGTTGACTTCAGCTGTTTCCATGCTCTGCCCTATCCCCCAACCTCACCTCCTTGAGTGAACAATCCTCTCCCCTACTTGGTTCCTATTTGAATTGTTCTTCAGTTACTGGCATGTATTTGAAATTGTAATCACTCTTCATTCTTTAATGCTTCTTCCTTTTCTGAGCCTTATTTTTTATCATTTAAAGCTTCTGGTGGGGACATTCCTATACTTACTAACATAAAGGCCAGTACCTACTTTAGAATTATTTGAGGACAGTTTCAATTTTTCATTACTGGGAGGAAAGGAATTATAATATCTTTAGTGGGGAAATAATTTAATGCTGAGAATATATGAAGTAATTCATTGATAAATTCTACTGAGAGTTACTCTTAAAATAAATGTCTTAACAAAACCCCAACAAAGCTACCTTAGGAGAAGCTTTTCAATTAATTTATCAAGACTCCACGGTTATCATTTTAAGACAGATTTAAGAATATGCCCAAAGAAATGACTTTTAATAATGAACAGGCCCCATTTGGAGCAGTGAGTAGTTCTGCTTAACTGAAAAAAATTACAAAAGTTATGTCAGGTGTAGCCTTTCTAAATAAAAGGGATGTATGAAGTGGTAACTGTAGATAACAAACAAGAAATATGCTTTTCCCCCTTGAAAATGCTAAAGGTGCTTATTATAAACACAAAGAGATTTTGTCTTTCGAGGCAAAGAACAGATTTCTCCTTTCCTGTTGGAGTAATTATTTTCCTTTCTCTTGTATGTTGTTATTGTCTGAATAAGCTTACCATTTATTTGTAGCTGGGTTTAGGAGACACATGTATGTACACAAGACAGGGTGCTGGCCATTCAGCAGGGAACATGCAGAGAAAGATGCAGGAAGGCTGTGTTGCTCTTGAACATCTTTCCCTTTTTACACCCTAATGGGCACTGTGAGGATGTGTTAACACATCCTGTCTGGTAGGGTATCACCTCAAAGAGCTCAGGCTCCTGAGGACTGAGCAACAGTGAGGCCAAGGAACAGGTTCTGTTTCCCCTTTGTGGATGCACAGAGGCTTTGTTAAAAGATGAGCACCATTTCAAATATCCCGAGAATGCAGCTGTTGGGCCGTTTAGTTCTGTTCCAACATTTTTTCCTAAAAAAGCATGGAGGAGGTGGTACTGCTCCAGTGCTGTATGTAGTGTTTTTCCAACCCCAGGGACTGTACTTCCTGCTTCTCACTGTGTCTCAAGCCAGAATGGAAAGGAGACACACCTAAACCCTCCACACGTCACCACAAATTCCTTTCCCTAAGAGCAGATTACTTGATATCCTGAGAGGCCCCAGACTCAACTCTGAATGATACAAATGAGTTCTACAGGATTTGGGGGAAAGATCTGAGAAGTCAAGTTGCTGTTCCGAATGCCCTTTCTGAATTTTGCCAAAGGAATGATTCCACTTTATGGAAACTAATTTGAGTGATTATTATGGGGATTAGATCAATTGGTGGTCAGCTCTGTTCAACAATCTTTTATGGTACGCCCCCTTCGGGCTCAGCACAATGGCAGTGTGAGGTGGGAAAGGGAAAGAGATGCCTTCAGGAGATGAAAAGCTATCATTTAAGGCAGGACAAGCACATGAAGAGTATGCTAGCAGTAAAAAGACAGTCAACCTCACTTTTATCATAGGCAACTCCTTAACGAAGAAGGCACGCAGCTGTAGGGAGGAAATAGCTCTGAGAATCATTGTGGCCACACTGTCATGGTCTGTTATGCAGCTGCTGGTTGGAGGAATTGGCCTTGTTCCCCAGGGTGGAGCTGTCACAAAATAGAGTGGGAACTGTCTGGCTTTCAGCCCAAGAGAATCTGCATGGCAAGTTGCATTAACAACCAGGCATTTCCGGCAGTTCCCAACATTTCTGGGAATTTTCTCATCCAAACGACTGAAAGCCCACTCCATTCTCTTGCTTCTTACTCATGCTTTCTTTGTATAATGGTAATTATGTTTTAAAAAATCCTGGGCTATGTTGTTTCATGGAACAATTTAGAACTTATTGGTCAAACTCTGAAGCAAAGGTATATAAAAGGTAGTTAGAGATGTTTAGGGAATATTCAAAGCACATTTTTGGGTCACTCATAATTGATCTTTATATTCATATATGTATATATATATATATAACATAATGTACCCATCTTAACATATCAAAGCTAAACCAGTATTAAAAACAACTGACTATGGTCTATTGATACAATATATGATGCCCAAGTACACTCTTCATTGCTACTGCATATCTAAAATCATTTATTTATTTATCCATCCATCAAGAGTGTATTGAGAGCCTGACAACATACCAGCATCAAGCCCTGGAGGTCTTTTTAAGGCTGAGCCAATATAGCTATGGATAACATTCTAAAACTGATAGCATATTTTCATGTTTTATAGTCTTTCCACAGACTAGTTCAAAATGAACACTGCCTGAGAGGGGCTTTAAGATGACTGACTAGAGGTACTGGACACCTGTTTCCCCAGCAAAGAAGAGCCAAAATAGCAAGTAGATAATCATACTTTGAATAGACATCTAAGAGAGAATGCTGGAATTCAGCAGAGAAGTGACAGAAAACACCTGAGATACTGAAGGAGAGGGAGGCAAGGTAGACAGCCTGGCTGGAATCAGCTGGGAGCCCAGAGAGGGTCCCTAGTGAGAGGAAAGGGTAAGTGAGAGATTCCCAGTGGTACATGTTCCCATGTTGACTGCTGAAATCCTAGTCATAAGAGTCTCTCAAACCCCAAGGACCCTGAAACTGGTATTCCCGGGGTCCGTGTGGCAGCATTGCTCCAGAGATGGAGCCCACTCGGGTCCCATGTACCCACTTAGTTCTGGACAGATAGAGAGCCAGTTAGAAAGCCCATTTCCCACCAGACTGCATTGTGCCCTGGGACCCAGCAACCCCTGTATCTTCACATCCCTGGAGCCCCACTAACAGAGGGCTGCAGGGTGCAATGCAGGTTGGACACAGTAGAGTGGCAGGGTCTCCAGAACTCTAGCCCACACATTGTACTGCACACTGGGGAGGGTGATCCTGGGACAAAGGGAGCTGAAGCATGTGTTTCCCAGAGCATGAAACCTGATTTCCTGGGGCCACTGTCAATGAAATAAAACCCTGTTCCCACAGTAGAAGGGCTGCTTCACACTAGCATGTGTCCTGAGGTCAGGCTGCCACCATTGTCATAGCCACCTGAGCAAACCGTCTGGGGCTTGGAAATTGCTCTGCCTTGTTCACCACAGCCTGGGCCCATGGGCCCCATGGGGGGCCTGAGAATAGGCCTGCCTGGCCTGGCACCACCCCTGTCCTCCATCAGTGCCCAAGCACATTGCCTGGGGGCCTAGGGATTGCCCCTCCCCATTGGTTGACCCAGGTGCATATGCATGCCATCAGGGGGCCTAACAGGACCAGAAAACCTACTGCTGAAACCCAAGCATGCTGTCTGGAGGCTGGGGGATTGCCTCACCTTGTCTACAACAGCTGGCATCTGGGCAATACTCCTGGAACTTGAGAATAGGCCTGCCCAGCCTGCCACCACCACCACTGCTGGCAATCTTCTGCATGCACTACCTGGAGGATTGGGGACTGGGCTGCCCAGCCCATTGCAGCCACCGCTAATATCAGTGAGTGCCCATGGGGAGCCTGAGGACTCATCCAGTCATCTGGCACACTGCTGCCATAACCAGCACCCAAGAAAGCTGCCTGGAGGCCCCAAAATCAGCCCTCTGGACTTGCTAACACTGGCGCCCACATATGCCACCCCGGGACCCAAGAACAGGCATGCTTGGTCTGCCGCTGCCAACAGCAGGGCCTGAGGACTGGCCCACCTGGCGTCCTATCCCCAGGAAAACCTCAGCATAATCTCTACTAACAACGGCAGCCTACGCCACTGAGGAAATCACAGACACCACTGATGGTGTATAGCCAAAGAAATCCTATGGAGACTGCACCACCATATATGCCCAGAATAAAAGAAAAGTACCCTAACCAACCAACACCATAGATCTATCTACAGGAAAATGTCTTCCCCTATGAAAACCAATCTAAAAAATTGGAGGAAGTGACTGTTACACCAGATGCACAGATATCAATGAAAGGACACAGAAATACAAAAAAGCAAGGAAATATGACACTTCCAAAGGAACATAATAATTCTCCAGAGACAGATTCCAATAAAAACTAAATTTATGAAGTGCCTGAAAAAGAATTCAAAATAACAACATTAAGGAAGTTCCATGATATAGAAGAGAACACAGATAAACAATAAAAAGAAATTAAAAAAACAACTCAGGGTATGAATGAGAAATTCACCAAGGAGATAGACATATAAAAAAGAACCAAAGAGAAATCCTGAAACTGAAGAATTCAATGAATGAAATAAAAAATGCAATGAGAACTTCAACAGGATACTAAATCAAGAAGAATTTCAGAACTTTAAAAAGAAGAAAAAAAAACAAGAAAGAAGAAAGCCAATGTGACCTATGGGCCACCATAAAGCAACAAAATATTTGAATTTTGGGTGTTCCAAAGGGTGAGAGAAGTTTAATGGCATAGAAAAACAATTTAACAAAATAATACCTTAAAACTCCCTAAGTCTAGCAAGAGATTTAGAAACAGGAAGCTCAAAGATTCCAAAATAGATACAACCCCAAAAAAATCTTTTCCCCAGCATATTATAATCAAACAGTCTAATATAGTCTTTATGTCCCCACCCAATTCTCATCGTGAATTATAATCCCCATAACCCCCAGGTGTCTAGGGAGAGACCAGAGGGAAGTAATTGGATCACGGGGACGGTTCCGCACATGCTGTTCTCATGATAGTGAGTGAGTTCTCATGAGATCTGATGGTTTGATAAGTGTTTGGTAGTTCCTCCTGCATTCATTCTCCTTCCTGCTGCCTTGTGAAGAAGGTGCTTTGCTTCCCCTTTGCCTTCCACCATGATTCTAAGTTTCCTGAGGCCTCCCCAGCCTTTCAGGACTGTAAGTCAATTAAACCTCTTTCCTTTATAAATTACCCAGTCTTAGACAGTTCTTTAAAGCAGTATGAAAACGGACTAATACAGTGTAAAAAGTCAAAGACAAATAATTCTAAAAACAGCAAGAGAAAAACATCTGATATGGTTTGGCTCTGTGTCCCCACCCAAATCTCATGTTGAATTGTAATTCCCAATGTTGGGGGAGGGACCCGGAGGGAGATGATTGGTCATGGGGGCAGATTTCCCCCTTACTGTTCTCATGATAGTGATTTCTCACAAGATCTGATGGTTTAAAAGTGTGTGGCATTTCCCCCTTCACTCTCTTTTCCTCTTGCTCCTTGTGAAGCAAGGTGCTTCCTTACCCTTCCACCATGATTAGGTTTCCTGAGGCCTCCCAGCCATGCCTCTTGTACAACCTGCAGAATTGTGAGTCAATTAAACCTCTTTTCTTTATAAACTACCTACTCTCAGGTAGTTCTTTATAGCAAAGTGAGAATGGATTACTATAGCATCTAGACACAAAGAAGTCTCCATCAGACTAACAGCACATTTCTAATCTGAAACTTTACAGTCCAGAAGAAAATGGGATGATATATTCAAAGTGCTGAAAGAAAAAAACTGCCAATTAAGGGTACTATATCCATCCAGTAAAATTATCCTTCATAAATGAAGGACAAATTCAGAGTTTCCCAAACAACCAAAAACTGAGGGAATTCATCACCAAGAGACCAGCCCTCCAAGAAATGCTTGAGGAAGTCCTACGCCTGGAAGTGAAAGAACAATACCTTCCATCATGAAAACACACAAAAGTATAAAACTTACTGGAAGAGCAAACACACGAATGAGGAAGAGAAAGCATTCAGATGTTACCACTACAGAAAACCACCAAACCACAATGATAAACAGTAAGAGAGAAAGAAAAGAACAAAGGATATATAAAACATCCAGAAAACCACTAAATAACAGGAATAAGTCCTCACATATCAATAATAACCTTGAATGTAAATGGCTTAAATTTTTAACTTAAAGATATAGAGTGGCTGAGTGGATTAAAAAACCTGTGACCTATCCAAAGTAATGAAGGTTATTAAAAAATATTTTTTTAAAACCCATGACCTAACTATATGCTGCCTAGTGAAACTCACTTCACCTATAAAAAGACAAATATGGGCTGAAAGTAAAGGGACAGAAAAAATATTCCACACAAACCAAAAGCAAGCAGGAGTAGATATATTTATATCAGATAAAACAGATTTTTAATGAAAAACAGTAAAAAGAAACAAAGAAGGTTATTATGTAATGATAAATGGATCAATTAAGCAAGAGAATATAACAGTTCTAAATACATATGCACCCAACACTGAAGCACCCAGATATAAAAAGCAAATGTTGGCTGGGCATGGTGGCTCACATCTGTAATCCCAGCCAGCACTTTGGGAGGTTGAGGTGGGTGGATCACTTGAGCTCAGTAGTTCAAGACCAGCCTAGGCAACATGGTGAAACCCTGTCTCTATAAAAAATACAAAAATTAGCTGGGCATGGTGGTGCATGCTTGTAGTTTCAGCTGCTTGGAAGGCTGAGGTGGGAGGATGGCTTAAGCCTGGGAGGCAGAGGTTGCAGTGCACCAAGATTGTATCACTGTACTCCAGCCTGGGTGACAAAGTGAGACCCTGTCTCTAAAATGAAATAAAATAAAATAAAATAAAATAAAATAAAATAAAATAAAATAAAAAACAAATGTCATTAGATCTAAAGGGAGAGACAGACTCCAATACAATAATAGCTAGGGACTTCAACACTCCACTCTCAGCAAAAGACAGAAAGTGAACAAAGACACGTTAGATTTAAACTGCACTTTAGACCAAATGTACCAAAAATATATGGAACATTTCATCCAATAGCTGCAGAATACACATTCTTCTTATTAGCACATCAAGAACATTCTTCAGGATAGATATTAGGCCCCAAACAAGTATCAACAAATGTTAAAAAATCAAAATTAGGCCCCAAACAAGTATCAACAAATATTAAAAAATCAAAATCATGACAATTCTCTTCATAGACCATAATGGAATAAAACAAGAAATCAGCAATAAGAGAAATGTTGAAAACTACAAATACATGGAAATTAAACAACATGCTCCTGAATGACTACAAGGTCAATGAAGAAATTAAGAAAGAAAGAAAAAAAAATTCCAGAAACAAGTGAAAATGGAAACAACTTACCAAAACCTGTGGGATAAAGAAAAAGCATTGTTACAAGGGAAATTTATACCAACAAATGCCAACATTAAAAAAGTAGAAAGATTTCAAAAAAACAACCTAATGTTGCACCTCAAGGAACTAGAAAAGCAAGAACCAAACACAAAACTAGTAGAAGGAAAGAAATAATAAAGATCAAAACAGAATTAAATGAAATAGAGTTAAAAAATAATACTAAGGATCAATGAAACTAAAAGTTTTTTTTTGAAAAAATAAAGAAAATTGATAAACTGCTAGACTAACCAAGAAGAAAAGAGAATGGATCCAAATAAGAGGAGGGAATTCTTCCTAACTCATTTCATGAGGCCGGGATTACCCTGATACCAAAACTAGACAAGGACACAACAAAAAAAACTACAGGTCAATATCCCTGATGAATATAGACACAAAACTCCTCAACAAAATACTAGCAAACAAAATCCAACAGCAAATCAAAAAGATATTACACCATGATCAAGTGGGATTTATCCCAAAGGTGCAAGGATGCAAGGGATGGTTCAACATACATAAATTAATAAACATGATATATTGCATCAACAGAATGAAGGACAAAAACCATATGATTAATAGATGGTGTGTATTCTCTAACTCAGCTCCAATTAAAATCCTCATTCTTGTTTCTTGTTTTATATCATCTTTCCCTTCTATTTTTAGTTATGTTATTTTGCTGTACTTAGGTGTCTTTGTAAGCTGCTTTTATGAGGTGAGGTGTGATTATACAATGTCAAACAGTTCTTCTAAAAACATGTTTTTAAATTATCACACTATTACAAGTGCATCTCGTAAAAAATTCAAATATGAAAAGTTAAAGTTCTGTTGGACTTAACTGCATACACTTGTCAAAACTCATTGAATTATCCATTTAAAACTGTAATTTTATTGTAAGGAAATTATGTCACAATAAAACTAATTTTTTTTTTTTTTTGAGATGTAGTCTCACTCTGTCACCCAGGCTGGAGTGCAGTGGCACTATCTTGGCTCACTGCAACTTCTGCCTCCTGGGTTCAAGCAATTCTCCTGCCTCAGCCTCCCGAGTAGCTGGGACTACAGGCACACACCACCATGACCAGCTAATTTTTGTATTTTTAGTAAAGATGGGGTTTCACCATATTGGCCAGGCTGGTCTCAAACTCCTGACCTCGTGATCCACCCGCCTTGGCCTCCCAAAGTCCTGGCATGAGCCACCACACCCGGCCAATAAAATTAATTTTTTCAAAAAGTTAAAGTCCCCTTTCCTCCATAGTCTATCCATTTTAATAACTCTGAAAACCCTCCTAAAGTCTCCTGATGCAATTTCCTTTAAAAGACACACTCACTCAGAGCCTGCCTTCAATGAAGAGAAAAGAGCTGCCAGTCCACACTTTTGCATTATCCTTCTGTGCAATCCACACCAGTCACCGAACTTCCATCTTTCATCAGCTTTGGTTGCTCTCCAGAGATCTTTCTCAAATTCTCTCTAACAAGCTTCAGGGATGGGACCAGACAAACTTCTCCCCCAAACAGAGATCTGGGTTTCCTTCCTCTTGCCACTATTCCTTCTTGTAGAATTTAGTATCATGTATTTAGTATCATACCACAGGACTTCTTAGCTGGGAAGGAAGGCAGACTTTTCTCTATGTCTGAGGGACTGTGTGCCTAATGAGAATGAGCATAATAAAAACTCACTGCAGATACATTGTATTTTAATATACATATGTTATCAACAGAGAAAGGCACTATATGGAAAATGTGATAAATGAAAATCTTTCATTCTGTAGGCATTTCTTTCTAAAAAGACAGCATTTTAGAGAAAAGTTAGCATTTCATAAGCACTTGTATTTCAGTAATCTAGGGGAGTTATGCTTGATTTTCCTTCATATGAGAGCTATTTCTCTAAAGTGCCAGGTATTTTACTCAATATGACATTATTCTGAATGATTTTAGGTGACATTTTCTGTTCAAGGACATAACAATTTACTTTAGGAATAGATTTTCTCTCCCTGCCTTCATGTAGGAACTGACATCTGGTGAACTCCAGACGCAGCCAGTGTTCTCACAGCGTATGGATTACCTGCATCAGAATCACGCCATGGTTCCCAGTCTTGCTGAATCAGAATTTCTAGCGGTGAACCCCAGGAATGGGATGTACATTTTAAGTGTGTACTGTGTGTGATTCTTGGGTACATTAAAGTTTGAGGACCACTAACTTACACTATTCAAATTAATATGATCTGGCTGGGTGTGATGGCTCATGCCTGTAATTCCAGCACTTTGGGAGGCAGAGATGGGGGATCATTTGAGGTCAGGAGTTCAAGAACAGCCTGGCCAACATGGTAAACCCCATCTCTACTAAAAAAAAAAAAATACAAAAATTAGCTGGGCGTGGTTGTATATGTCTGTAATCCCAGCTACTCAGGAGGCTGAAGAAGGAGAATTGCTTGAACCTGGGAGGCGGAGGTTGCCGTGAGCTAAGATCGTGCCATTGTACTCCAGCCTGGGAGACAGAGCAAGACTCCGTCTCAAAAAAAAAAAAAAAAATATATATATATATGATCTTCACACCTAACAGGTATTGTTACTGCTACTGATAATATGACTGGTAGTAGCCGAACTTTATGGAGTTCTTATCGTTTGCCAGGGTGTGGGTAAAAAAGAAATAAGTGATTAGAAAACATACAAAAACTCTAATAGATTCAGCGCTTTTCATTTAGCTCCTAATTGTTTTTCATTGTTGTTGTTTTTGGAACCCTATAACGATGAGTCACCTCTCAGTATGTGGTCACAGGTTTAAACTTGGTCCCACTTCGGGAAGAGATAAAGGGAATGGCTGTTGTAATCTATCTCCAAAGCTACCTTTAACATTTGCAAACAGATAGTGTGATGAGTAATATGGGGACCCAACAGCAGCAACAGAACCATAGCTGAGAAAATGAGATTTAGAAATATTCTTAAAGATTATTGGACAAATACAACATTTTGAAAGATGAAAACAAGGAAAAATAGTAAGTGATTAAGAGCAGGGCAATGGTAGTGGGATGGTTTTGCAGGAGGGTGGTAGAAAATTTAATGTGTTTCTTTTGCATGTCAGTATTTCTAAGGATGATCCAAATTCTAGTATTGTGTCATGTAGTGGGGAAGTTTTCCCCGGAGGCTGCAGAATAATTCATGGTCAAAATGTCACTTCTAATTTAGTGTCTATGTTTCACCCTATGCTTTATTAACCTTCAGCCAAGCAATAGGATACTTATCAACACCTACGGCATTTAATACATGTGATTTCCACAGAGAAACAGTAACCCAAAACTCAAAACCCTCCTCCTTCCAGCTCAACTGACAACGTTTCCTAATCCCTTCAAGACCGAAGGTACTGGTGTTGGCATGGCTGAGACTATCACATAGGTCATGCTGTGATGTACGATCTCAGCCCATGAGACAGAAATCATCCTTTTTTTTTAAATCTTTTGCCAAATCAATTCAGCCAATAAACAATCTAACACTGCTAGAGATGGAAGGCATGCAAATGTTTTTAAGATGATTTTTTTGGTGGGCCTTGAGAGAGAGTAACAGATGAAAATAAATGGAAAAGGGTAAAGGACAGAGACTCCAGACTTGAGTGAGCACTGATTCCACTGCTGCCAATGGAAACTGAAATGGAAGCCAACCCCGTTAGTGTCTTGCAAGCTTAGGCATCGGATGCCTACCAGAGCTGCTGTCATATCTGAGTACTGCTCTATTCCTAAAATGTGAATCTAGGTCAGTGAAATCCAGCAACATTTGCCCACCAATTTTTGATGGTCTGTTCCTTTGTGGATGAGGAATGCTGAATTCATGGTGACAGGGAGAGTTTAAACTCTTTTCCAAAAATTCTACCAAAGGCACGCCATTGTGGTAGTTATTTCTGAAGTCATTTTGTTCATCATTGTCCCCAGGGGCACAGAACAGGAGTTCTGTAATTATCTTCCAAAGTGTTGATCTGGTCCCTTTTTCTCCCTTTAAAGTCCATCAGTCACGATGTTCTGTTACTTCTCTAAGTGGGCCTCACTTTCTGCACTGCCCTTTCCACTTTCACAGCTACTTTCCTAGTCCAGATCCTCCACTCATTTATTCATAGACTGTGCTGTGCAATGGCATCAGCTAGTTTTATTACTCCTAATCCTTATCCCTGTTAAATCATTATGGGAACCGTGCCAGACAGATCTTTCTGAAAAAACACCTTCAGCTTCTACTCCTCTGCTAAAAAAAAAAATCTGTGTTGTCCCCCACAGCCCACAGATAAGGAAACCCCGATTTCATTGGCCAAGATAATTTGAAGCAGCCCCAACTTGTATCTTTCACCTCTCTCTCTGTTTCCCTGCATCCAGCCCCCATTCCAGCCATTGTCTCTTGATGGTACTACTGACACTTCCCCAGGCTGTCCTGTTTGTAATAACCACCACTCTTCTGTGCCAGCTATGCCTGACGTTCATTCAGGTGCACTCAGACTTTGAGTCCTGCTTCTGGTTGATCAATCCCTCTCCAGAACTCCTACCACCTTTCCTAGGACCCTGAACCATTTATTAGCCACTTATGTTGTGTTGCACGGTGACAGTTTTTATCTTTTAATGTTCTCTCTTGTTTCTCCAGCTAAATGGGAGCAGCCTTGAAGGCAGAGATCATGCAGAGATCATTTCTCATCCGACTCAGTATCCCTGTGCTTGGGATAGTATCTTTCATATATTAATAGTTGCTGCTCAGTAAATCTTACCACTGTGATGTCTTTTCAATTGCTGTTTTAAAAGTCTTTTTGCAGAAGAGACAGTAATAAGAGGTTTTGAAAATCTTAGCTGCTTTTCCTATCAGAGTTTTATGTATGAATTAGAAAATCATGTTTGTTAGATATCCAACTGAATAGTTATATATGTAATTAAAGCTTCTTCTAAGAAAATGGAATGAAGTTGGAATCTTTCTGTGGTTTTCCTCAAACAGGCATAAAAACATTGCTAAGCACAAACAGATATAAAGATGTTCCGGCTGGGCGAGGTGGCTCACGCCTGTAATCCCAGCACTTTGGGAGGCCGAGGCGGTGGATCACGAGGTCAGGAGATTGAGACCATCCTGGCTAACACGGTAAAACCCCGTCTCTACTAAAAATACAAAAAATCAGCCGGGGAGGTGGCGGGTGCCTGTAGTCCCAGCTACTCGGGAGGCTGAGGCAGAAGAATGGCGTGAACCCGGGAGGTGGAGCTTGCAGAGAGCCGAGATCACGCCACTGCACTCCAGCCTGGGTGACAGAGCGAGACTCTGTCTCAAAAACAAAAACAAAGAGAAAAACAAAAACAAAAAAAAACCCCAGATGTTCCATCACTTACAGGCACTGAAAGGACAATATCACATTAAGATTCTACAGTGAGCCCACTCTGAAGTGATCCTTACCACTAGTGCTTTATAATTATATGGTTGCTACTTTTTGCCAAGTAGTTGTTTGCTCCATCCTAGGTTTAAGACACAGCATTTCACCTTGACTGGCTGTTATAAAATTTCCAATGGGAAGGAACAACACTCTCGATTCCTACTGAGGCTAATTCAACTTTGTTTTTTCAAGAAGAGAACGAGTATAGGAGATAGGGGTCACATAGGGAGAGCTGGAGGCAGAGCAAGAATGACAATCCATGAAATGGATTCTAAGTTCTCTGCTTTGTCCTCATGGGCATTTTGGCCCTGTAGGCAATTATGCTTCTTTAGTAGAATCAACATATGATTATTATTTTAAAAAGTAAGGTATTCTCTAATATCAGTAATAGTGTGAAGTTTAACTTTTTTCCCCCTTTTTGGCATATATCTTCACACAGTAAGATCAGGTCCTGTTGTTAGGTTTTTCTATGAGTGTGTGTGTGTGTGTGTGTGTGTGTTGGAGGAGGAGGTATGGGAATATGAGTCAAATGCAAGCTTCCTGTTCTCAGAAAATGATAACATTAGTGATTTTGGTAACTTGGAATATTTTAATGAGGAATTTTAGCATGTCAAATGGATTAAATCATGGCATCCAAATTATTACCCAGTTAGGTATTATATTTCAAGTTTATACAATGTTTAATTCTGGGCAGGAAAAACCTAAGAAGTTTCTAGTTTTCTATGGCTTTAATTTGAATACTTTCTTTACTTTTACTGCTAATGTAATCGGGATATGTTATTTTGCACCTGTATGACAAAAACGTTGGCTTCTTCAGGTGCACATTATTCGGGATTGTAAGCTGGGCACTTTTGGAAGTTGCAGATATCCTTGAAAGCAGTGGCTCTCAACCTTGGCCTGTGCATTAGAATCACCTGCAGAGCTTTTAAAAAATGCAGATGCCTGGGTTCCATTCCAGACCCAGAATATCAGAATTTTCTGAGATAAACCCAGGGTAGTATGTTTTCAGAAAGCTACTCAGATGCCTTTAAACCACTCTCACTAGGAACCACTAATTTAAGGTCACTTATAGACTTTTTCTTTCAGAAGTTAGAGTCTTGGGTTGAAAGGCCCCTTATAAGGCTATGTGGCCAACCATCCAACAGATGATTACCCCTACAATATCCTATAGAGTCAGTTTAATACTTTTTGATGGTCTAGTATATACTGGACAGGATGAACAGCACTTTTAAATATAATTTATTCCTTTTTCCCTTTGACATTTTCTTGAAAGCCCAAAAGGAAAAAAAAGCACATTATTCCCTTTCTCCTACTTGGCCAATTTTGACTTCTTCCTGCCTTGGGACTAATGCTAAAATTCAGCATGGCTGTTTTGGTGTCATAGCTTCAAATTATTTATTGGCTTATTATGCCAAAACATTTTATTTTGGCCACCCTAGCCTTGTTGGCATACAGCTCTGGGAATATTGTCAGATGAGGCAACTGCTGCCAGGAAAAGGAGCATAAACAGTTGTTACAAATTCAGAAGCTATTTGGTTTTGTGTTTTAATTTCTTAATACACGCATGGCAGATTTAAAAAAATCATTGTTTTGTGGAGCTGGTGAATACAACAGCCAGATAGTAAGACAAAATTAAACCTACAATGGGATTGTCAGTATGCCTTTCATAGCAGAGACTCAAAGTGGAAAATCTTGTGGCTACACACTATAATTCCCTGTGACAACAATAACTAAAAATGCAAAGTCTTTATTTTTTCCATTTCAATCACCCTGTTGATATGAGCTAGTTAGTTCTCATTCTGTCTTTTGGGTTTTGCTAGTTGTCATTAAAGGAAATTCCAGGCAATAAAAAGCATATAAAATCCAAACACATTAAGGGTTTTTCCATCTTCATTTTTTATATGACCATCTATAAAATAACATGGACATTTTTGGACATAAAAGCAATGCTGCAGCTGAGTCAAAACAAGAGGAAATACAGTCTGAGTGATCTCTATTATATAGTTAGTCATTCAAAAGAAAAACAGGCTGTGTGCTATGCAATTTAAATGAGGTACAAAGCAGCTCTTGTGTTCATTCAAGGAATGTTAGAAATTCAGTTAGTTATTTCAGGAAGTAGATAAGAAACCTAAAAGACATTTCCATTGAGATGCATTGTGAGCATTTTAATTTAAAATTACAAGTCTATTGAAAAACCACATACTGTATTTAAGCTCCATTTACATGACAAAGGCACAAAAAATGGAGTGGTGATCTCATAATTCTTTTCTTACCACGTCCTTGTAGTATTTTTATTAAAAGTATTTTTAGGTAATAATTTATTGTGATACAAAAGAACAGAATTACTAATTTTAAAAAAGTCCACCAAAGAAAACTATAGCTGTATCCCATAAATATACACAAATGTAATATATGAAAAAAATGAAAACAAAAACAAAACAAGACAAAACAACAAAAAATTCCTCTCCCACGGGGTTAGGAAGGTGAGGATGCTCCTCCTGCTGCCCGGCCAGCAGATGGCACAGTCCTGTAGCCGGTCAGTGCTGCAGTCCCTCCCAGGTGGGGTCAGCAGCTTCCTCCTCTGAATAGTTTCAGGAAAGTTTTAGCTAAAGGTACCACCTCCCCTGACCTCCCTCCCTCTCTCCCTTCCCTCCCTTCATCCTTCCCTCCCTTCCCTCCCTCCCTTCATCTTTCCTTCCTTAAGAAAATTTTTTTTTCTCCAATTGACTGGAAGAGTGAATGCTACCAATGAGGTCAAGTTAAAAATCATTACTGAGAATTACTGTGAGTCCCTCCTGAGGCAGATATTACTATCTGTCCTCCTGTGACGATAGCATGTAATTAATCCAGGTTTTTGGAAAAGAAGGCAATTTCAGGGATGGATCTAGAAAAAGAACAAGGTGAGATGTGGTATAGATTTACTCTTTCTTATGTCTTTTTCCCCCTTAATTAAAAAAATTAAAAACAGGGTAGTCTGTGGAAAAGACAGTCATCATGTAGAATGGTAAAGCAGGGGGTTAGGAGTTAGGCACACTTAGTTATTGGAGAATTATTTCTGTAAGTCAATCATAGCCTACTTCCAACAATGTAACATATATATTTTTCCTAAACTTTAAAAAATTAAAGTATACAAAGTGTAATATATAAAGTATAACACACAAAGTGGCCCTCTGGACCATGACTGCCTCCCTTCATCTTAAAATAACTATTATTCTGACAGGTAACAGTAGAGAGTAGCTTTGCCTCTTGTTTAACTATGTGCATGAAAGAATAGAATATTTATTCTTTGGGGGGGTTGGCTTCTTTTGTTCAAACTTTGGAGTAACTGGAGTACTCATCTTTTTAGAGAAGGCAAACATTCCTTCTGGAAGAGTACAAACAGGTCTAATGCCTGTGTGCTAATTAATTTGTCTTACATTATTTTTTTTTTTTTTTACAGGTAGAGGGGTATGAAGGTGAGATGCAAAGTTGGGAGAAAAACTATAGGAAATGCAGGTTGCTCTAAAAACTAATTTGGCCTAAATAATAGTATTTCTAGGATCAGACTTGCTGTTAAATATCTAGCATTTGTTCAAACCAACCTAACTTCTAGTACCTTTGCCATATGGATGGTAAAATGCAGTAATAATGTCTTCCTTTCTTCTTTCCCTAGATTGGTACCCTGTATTAAATGTGTTGTGGTGGCCAGGCCTGTAATCCCAGCACTTTGGGAGGCCGAGGCAGGCAGATCACTTGAGGTCAGGAGTTCGAGACCAGCCTGGCCAACACGGTGAAACCCCATCTCTACTAAAAATTCAAAAATTAGCTGGGCGTGGTGGCGGGTGCCTATAATCCCAGTTACTCAGGAGGCTGAGGCAGGAGAATCTCTTGAAAGTGGGAGGCAGAGATTGCAGTGAGCCAAGATCAAGCCACTGCTCTCCAGCCTGGGCAACAGAGTGAGACTCCATCTTAAATGAATCAATGAATGAGTGGATGAATGAATTTATGTGTTCTGGGCTTTTTAGCTGAGAATTGCTAAACTCTTCCTAGATGGATGATTTCATTTAAATATACAATGCACACACTATTAACTCTACTATAATCTCAAATGGCAAGATGATGATCTCCATAAGAATCCACTTCATTAACCAAGAGTAGATTGCAACCCATTACAAAGTATTTCAAATGCAATAAAACTACCCAGAAACCCTTGGGGCTCTCAGCTTTACCTAAACATGTAAGAAGTAGATTCTGAAGGAACCAAGTACTCAGAGAGCAGTGACAGAGGTGAGAAGTAATCAAGCTTTCGGTGTGTAGCACAGGAAGGCACAATTCACCTCTGTTTAAGTAATATGCCCTTTAAAGAGATGCCCAAGTGACCAGGGACTTCTCTACAGAGGAAAGAACTGAGACATCAAGGTTTACAAGGGAAAAAATAAATATCTGGTACCAAACTCACACCTATCCTGAGACTGCTCAGATCCTGGATACCAGTAAAAAATGGAAAGTCAGGAGATAGGTGGAAAGACACGGAAGGAGCAGACAAGCTCGGCTAGAACCAATCTATGGCAAAATAATTAGAAAAGGTTTTCTAATTAAAAAAGAAGATTCAGTATGGAGTAGGTTGGGCAACTGGGGCCAGGGGAATCAGGGCCCAGGAAACTTGTTTCTGGAACTGTAAGATCCCACTCAAAATGATTATTTCATCAGGTCTCAGTATTTTGAACTGTAAAATGGGAAAAACAAAGCCAATACCACTTTTATCACTTATAAGTGATATATTTGTCTCTATTCATCTGTCTTCCTGCCTGTCTATAATAACATGGAGTATTTATATTTCTATGTTAGTTAGCAATTAATAATTGCCCCATTAGATCTAATTAAATGAAGGAGCTTCTGCACAGCAAAAGAAACTATCATCGGAGTGAACAGGCAACCTACAGAATGGGAGAAAATTTTTGCAATCTACTCATCTGACAAAGGGTTAATATCCAGAATCTACAAAGAACTCAAACAAACTTACAAGAAAAAAACAAACAACCCCATCAAAAAGTGGGCAAAGGATATGAACAGACACTTCTCAAAAGAAGACATTTATGCAGCCAACAGACACATGAAAAAATGCTCATCATCACTGGCCATCAGAGAAATGCAAATCAAAACCACAATGAGATACCATCTCACACCAGTTAGAATGGCAATCATTAAAAAGTCAGGAAACAACAGGTGCTGGAGAGGATGTGGAGAAATAGGAACACTTTTACACTGTTGGTGGGACTGTCAACTAGTTCAACCATTGTGGAAGACAGTGTGGCGATTCCTCAAGGATCTAGAACTAGAAATACCATTTGACCCAGCCATCCCGTTACTGAGTATATACCCAAAGGATTATAAATCATGCTGCTATAAAGACACATGCACACGTATGTTTACTGTGGCACTATTCACAATAGCAAAGACTTGGAACCAACCCAAATGTCCATCAATGATAGACTGGATTAAGAAAATGTGGCACATATACACCATGGAATACTATGCAGCCATAAAAAAGGATGAGTTCATGTCCTTTGTAGGGACATGGATGAAGCTGGAAACCATCATTCTCAACAAACTATCACAAGAGCAAAAAACCAAACACTGCATGTTCTCACTCACAGGTGGGAATTGAACAATGAGAACACTTGGACACAGGATGGGGAACATCACACACCGGGGCCTGTCGTGGGATGGGGGAGGGTGGAGGGATAGCATTGGGAGATATACCTAATGTAAATAACGAGTTAATAGGTGCAGCATACCAACATGGCACATGTATACATATATAACAAACCTGCATACTGTGCACATGTACCCTAGAACTTAAAGTATAATAAAAAAAGAAAAAATAATTGCCCCATTATTAATTTTATTGATGGTTGTAACATAGAAACCAAACTGCTCTCAAATAAATAAAGCAGCTGAGTTCATGCAAACCTGAGTTTCACCAACCCATTTCGAACCTGTGACTATTTCCTTAGGAGAGCTCATTATTCCCCAGATCAGTTTGTCCTCTTATTTTCACTACAAGGTAACATGACATTTTTGATGCTAGAAACATGGCAGGTGGGCATTCACCAAATCCACAGGCCTGTGGTTTAGGCAGTACATTTGCTGATGGAAAATGCAATCTCCAACGAATGCCTTTCTAGCTAGTGAGGATTATTTATAGGTTCTGACAAGTAGAAAAGGAACATCATTATTAACACTAACTCGAATGAACTCTACAGGGAGGAGGACTATAAAGTCTTCATAGGATGCCCTTAACAGATGTGGTCTGAGAGAATTTGACCATGGGAAGGGAAAGATGAAGAGAGAAATAGGGGTGAGTTGCCAAGCCATGCAATAGGACTTAGGGCTTGGGGTTTTTTTCCTAGGTCATCAGTGGTCCTCTTTTCTGACTGCAGGGTCTTCCTTTTCCAATGTTGGTCCAACATCTCTGAAACAATGCAGGGCTTTCTCCTCAAAGACCCAGATTGCTCCCTCACGGTGATAATCTTGTCTTCCTCACTGTTAAGTTCCTACTTCTTCAGATCTCACCTGCCCCTTCCACCTGTACCCCTGGAAACCCACTAGAAACTCTACGAGTTGAGCTGGTTTGCTCACATCTCATCAATGTACTTTGCTCAGTCTTTGCTTATGCCATGTCCCCACCTGTAATTTTCTCTCATTGAATTCTACCCTGTCAAATGCCATCCATCCTTCAAGACTCACATCTAGTCTCATTTTTCTCTACAAAGCTTTCTCTGAATATCTAGGCCTCAGGGAACGCCCCCTTTTCCTCTGAACTTTGAAGAGCAGTTAGGGCCTATATCATATAACGTAGTGCTAATTAGTCATATTTGATTACCTTTTATTTTGTTATGTGTTAGTCTCTCTAGACTATTTGAGTTACAGACCTATTGAGGTAGGGACCAAATGATTTGAGTTAGGGACCTGATCTACCCAGAATGGCAGAAGGGGCCACTTTTTCTAGTTGGTCCACCCAGAAGAAGTTCTTTCTGCTAATACACACAAATGCATGGTATAGACCAGCTTAAACCCTCTCATCTTATAATCGATCTCAGACATATGCAGACCAGCCTAGGTACCACGGATAGATACCACAGTCCCTAAGGAGAAAAATAATCTTCCTAGACCTCCTGAGTGACACCATTTATCAAATGTTTTCTTTCAAGACACCAGCTTTTTTTATATGCAAGAAGTTGACATGAACTTCCAGATGGAGCAGAACAAAAGACATTCTCTAAAGTAAACGAACAAAAGCCACCATGATACAAATCAAATTCTGAGACAGATTGTTCAGCAACAATTAATAAAAGCCTTAGAAACAGAATCAAAGATACCGTTTGGGAAGAGGTGGAAGAAAGGCCAGGTGAGCTAGCTCAAAGAGTGGCAGATAATACAGAGAGGAAATTTAGCTCAAGGAAACGATTGCTTCCCAGCCAAACCACCACACTTGGCACTGAGGTAGAAGAGAAGAGACCTGAAAGAGCCTCAGGGCCCACAGATTTGCTGTCTATGACTAAGAGGAACTTCTGGCTTTGGCCCTTTAATAAGTCATGCATGCTCGTGTGCAGGACCAGCTAAGAGGAAGGGGCTGCAGTCCTGACCCACCATTTATTATTAGCACTATGACCTGGGGTGAGTCACTTGATCTAGTTTTCTCATCTGCAAAATGGAGATAATACCACCTCTCTCATTCATTTATCCATCCCTTCATCAGACATTTATGAAGGGCCCACTGTGGGCCAAGTGCAAAGGAGCATAATGATGAGCAAAACAGACACAGTCTTTATCCTTATTGGGTGTCCAGATCATCTCACGGGGTTGAAGTTACAGAGAAGGAAAGGGAAAGCACTGCATTGTAACAACAGAAGGTCATCTTCTTTATCAATGACTTCCACTCTTGATTTAGCCGTGTGACCTGGGCAAGTCTAATTTTCTTCTGGCAAGTCTACTATCTATAAAATGAGGAAATTTCCGGTCTTAAAATGTTATTATTCCAAATGCAAATGAAGAAGTTAAGCTTTTTAGGTACTTCTGAACCATGGCTTTCTAAAAGATTATTATGAAATAGTCCAGACGCAACAAAAGGATAAGAATAATATAACAAACCCTGTGTACCAACTCTCCAACTTAAGTGAGAAAACATTACAAGGAGCTCAATCTGGTGGCATGCCCTCCTTTCCCCTGAGGGATAATGTTGATGAGTTTGGTGTTTATTATTTTGAATCATGGCCTTTTTTTTAGGAAATCTGGTGTGTAACTAAAAACAGTTCACCAGTGAAGAGTTCTTCCTACACTTAGGTGTTCCTGGCTTCTAATGAATGTGAGGTCACAACAGTGCACATCACAGAAGCTCAAATACCTGCCTGTTCTCTCCCTGCCAACCCTGCTTGTTACTCCCCCAGCAGAGAGAATGTGAAAAACCCTGTGGCAGGCACCCCCACTACATTTAGAAGGAGCACAGTTTTGTATTTACCTTAAGGGCCTTCTGTGCAGATTCACTAGACCCAATTGCGATCAGGTTAGGCCCAGCCATGCTGCAGAAACTCTTCAAATGCAACCCATCTGCCACTGGCACTGTGGAGACTGCATAGTCCTACGTGGACAATAGAAAAACAAGCAGTTTAGTATTGCAGAATAATTCTAAAACTGATTAAAAACCTCCCTGAAATACACCTACTTCTTGAAGGCTGACAGGGACCTTGAATATTTGGAAGAAAAACTGGGACCCACAGATTTGGATATTGCTAGTTAAACGAAGACTGCTTCTAAGAAGACAGTAGAGTCACCAGATGTGTGACTGCTGCAACATCTTTGCTGGCTGTTTGATCTATGGAGTGGGCTACTCTGGGAGGGTGTATTTGAATATCCTGTGTAAACAGTGGCTCAGCTGGAGACTCACATCCTCATGGGGAACGGAGCATCTTGAGAGTTATATCCCTTCCTATGCAGTGTAGAGAGCCAATCTATTAATAATCAATAGAGTAAAGGGACCTTAAGAGGATGTACGTGCAACACCTAGCACAGTTTACAGCACACAGAAGGCACTCAAGCACAGGTGACCCCTGATTCCAATCTAAAAAAAATCTGTATTTCATAACAGAGTCAATTGGGTTTCCAAGTTTTTTTTTTTTTTTTTTAGAAACAGGGTCTCACCATGTTGCCCAGGCTCATTTGGAACTCCTGGGCTCATGCAATCCTCCTGCCTTGGCCTCCCAAAGTGCTGGGATTATAGGTGTGAGCCATCACGCCCGGCCTTCCAGATTTTTTTTTAAGTTGTTGATTGTTCCAGGAACATCTGCCAGGTGGTTGTATAATTATACACTGGGAGAAGACAGAAGATGCCCATGCTAACTTAGTTGTTCTTGTGGTAGCCCAGTGAAGCTGAATTATTGAGGAATTTGAATTTTATAGCTTCTAAAACTTCTAGTAAATGTACAAACATTACGAATTATTGTACAAAGCCAGTGAAGCGTAAACACCATTACTCATGACATTGATTCAATGGTTCTATGATTATTTATTAAGTAATTGCTTTGTGCCAGGCATAAACTACCTTTTACCTACCTTAAAAGTATCAGCCAAGATTTCAGCACCTCGTTGATTTGTCCTTTTGGAAAGGCCCACAAAAAATTCTCTGCCTGTAATAGATGTCATGGAACATAGTGAGCAGGTGGCACCAGTGACTGTACATCATTTCTTTTATCTATAAATAATGACCTTAAAGCATCACACAGTTCTCTCTTACCACAGAGAACAGCTTCACTAAAGAGACTACAAAAAATGATTTCAAACTACTGCCCTTAAGAATAAACTTTTTCAAATTCAAAAGGGCAGAAAGCAGGATGGTGGTTTCCAGGAGCCATGGGGAAGGGTAAATGGGGAGTTATTGTTTAATGGATAGGAAGTTTCAGTTTGGGAAGATGAAAAAGTTCTGGAGATGCCTGGTGGTGATGGTTGCCTAACACTGTGAATGTTCATGCCTCTGAACTGTACACTTAAAAATGGTTAAAATGGTAAATTTTATGTTATGTATATTTTACTACAATAGGAATGAAATTTTTATTTAGGCAATAATAAACACATTGATAATCTCTGATCAGAAATTAAGTAATAGCAATGACAATTTAACAGTAAAACAGTTCCTCAAATAACATCATTTTGCTCAACTTTGATGAGGAAAAAGAAAAAATTGATTCTGAGCTGGGGCCATGGTCTGTAGGGAGTTTGTACATTCTCTCTAGGCCTGCGTGGGTTTCCTCCCACATCCCAGAGCTGTGCACAGCAGGTGAATTTTCATGTTTACAGGGTCCCAGTCTGAGCAAGTGTGGGTGTGTGTGGGTGAGTGTGCTGTGATGGGACGGTGTCCTGTCCAGGGTGGGTTGCCGCCTTGCACCCCGAGCTTCCAGGATAGCCTCCAGCCACCCTTGATGACCCTGAACTGGAAGAAGTGCCTTAGAAAATGAATGGATACAAATGATTGTAATAAAGCATCCAATAATCATACAAATGTACAACAATAAATGATGTCGTAGGAAAGTGCTCAATGAGCCCACCATATTTGTGATTGTTTTGAGCTGTATGGTGGGAGGAGGGGCTCCTTACAGTTTTATCTTTGCAAATATTTATTCCCTGATTTAACCCACCACCACAACTGCTGTTACTCAGTAATTGGCCAAAAATTGGGCAATTATCTTGTTTTTATTAATTTAAAAAAATGTGCATATGGCTGACATTTATTTCAATGCTTAATATTATAAGTGTTTTGGGTTTTGATTTAGAAGCTGGGTGATATTTTTGTGACTAGAAATATGCCAGAGGAACTTAACTCTTGTTTATATTAGCCTATGGTAAAAATGGTTTTGTTATATGTCACTTCGCTTAAAAGTCACAGTTTCCATGAACCTATCAACATTGTTAAGTGAGAATTTATTATACTACCTTTTTTTTTTTCACTAAAAGAACAGTACTAGACATTGTTGATAAATTCGGATTCTTTTCTTATAAAATGATCACGTGAGGCCTGAGGAAACAATCTGGGGAAAGTGAGTTAAGTGCTGACTGGTCTTCAGGTCTGACCTCTAAAAGCCGTGTCTTTGAAACTACACATTCCATATATTTGAAATCAAAACATCAAAAGATACCTATGTACAAAGTACAAAATTTCTGCAGGATGAAACTTCATTCTTATTTGACTTTTCTGAAATTCAGCAGTTTTTCTACTCAGAAGGCAAAACACTAGATAAAAATGGTCTCTTAGTTATAGGCAAATAATTATAGTATGGAGTTAGGCAATACATAAATGTGGGAACTCTCATCTTCCCTTTATTTATTGAAATTCCACATAATATGTGGAAAAGATATTCAAAGAGAAATTAGTATCTTTTTGCCTCAGAGTATTATGGTGAAGTATAAGAAGAGTAGCCATGCAGAAGTGCTTGATAGATTTTATAAATATTATAACTTTAATCTTCATAATGTCCTTATTAAACGGGCAAATGACATAGGTCAGGTGATGTTACGACAATATCCAAGGGCTTATGTTGTTGGCAGACACAGGAATCTTTTGTGGCACACTGACAGTTTTTTGGGTAATGGCATGATTGTGTTGTCCTTTAAGAAAACTCATTATATAAAGATCAAAATTTAACTCAAGGAGAGGTATTTTACTTGAAAAAAGTATTATGCACTTTATTAAATAGTCAGCTACAATGAAAAAATACCAAGTTTCTTTAATTCTTTCAAGATAAAAATAGGTTTATAAATTAATTTATTTATAACTTTTAAGAAAATCTTTTAAGAAAAACATAATACTCTGAGGCAAAAAAAATACTGATTTCTCTCTGAATATGTTTTCTCACATTTCATGTGGAATTCTTTTCCAAGAAACAAAGGGAGGAAGAAAATTTCCACATTTATGTATATAACAAATTTATAGGGTGGCATGCATACCATTTCCATTTTAAAAGACTAAGGTGTTCGGAGCGTGATGTGGGCTGATTGAAAAAAAGTAAAAAAAGGCTAAGATGTGATGGGAAAGTACAAAGAGAAGGATGCTGCTTATCTCTTCAAAGTAGGTTGGACTTCTGTCTCTGGCAGTACGTTGGATGAGATCTCCTAAATAATCTTCCTGATGGAAACAACTAAAATACTGAAATGGACATCTAAATTTTTTTGATGTCTTTTGTGTCATTTTCTTCTATGCCAATTCACAATTTTTGTTTTTCCCCTTCCTGTCTCAGTCATTTATAGGAGAAACCAGGCCATTTTTCCTACTGACTGTCCTACATTCTTGCTTTGACTGGTTGCTTCCTCTTATAACTTAACATTTAAATTTTTTCCTTTATCCTTTGTATTTTCAGTAAGCAGGCAGTTTCATGTAGATGGTTAATTAGATGCTCATTCATATATTTTTTTAATAGGACTACTGTGTGTTCAAGTGGCATCAGCCTGATTCCCTCATTATAAAGTTTCCTGTCAAGCTTTCATATAGCAGTTTTAATATCATTTGTTGATCATTGCACAGATCCATTATTTTTTTATTAGGAATCTGCATTTACTCGCTGCAACCCTAAAAAGAAAATCTCTCCTCAAGTATTTGGTCTACTTGAAATGAAATTCATAAAGGAAAGAAAAGCTAAATACTTGAGTCTTTCTTTTACATATAAATTATTACAGTTATGAGTTAGTGTTCCACCAACTTGCAATAATAACCAATAAGTTTTTTTAAAAAAAACCTCATTACCTTTGAATGAATCAAAGATTAAATCACAGTGGAAATTACAAAACATTTAAAAAAACTAAATGATAACAAAAATATCCACATAAAAATAAGAAGGAGTCTGCTAAAGTAGTACTTGGAGGCCAAGTTACATAGCATTAAAAGCTTACATTAGAGAAGATGAAAGGCTAAAATTAATGAGATAAAATTCCAACTTGAGATGTAGAAAAAAAGAGAACAGAGTAAAAAGAAAGAAATGTGAAGGAAGGAAATACAGAAACAGAAAAGAAACATTCAAGAGAAAGAGTTCAACCAAGCCAATAGTTGGTCCTTAGGAAAGATTAATAAAATTAACAAACCTCTGGCAAACAAAGAAAGAAGGCATAAATTAACATTACCAATGAAAAGATAATATAGCTATAGTTGCTGTGAAGCTTAAACAGATATTAGGAAATATAAGTAACTTTATACCCAACATATTGAAAACTTAAAACAGATAAAATCTTAGAAAATGGAACGCATCAAAACTGACTCAGGAAAATCTAAATTGTCACATAATCATTAATCAACTAAATCAGTTTTAAATTTCTCCATAAAGAAGGCACAAGAGCCTGTTTCCAAAGTTTAAGGAATATATAATTCAAATAGTATTGATTCTAGAGAATAGAAAAAGAGGAAATATTCCCTAATACATTCTACGAGGCTAATGTAACTCTTTTATCAAAACCAGACAAGGATAACAAGAAATATAAATTATAGGCCACAAAAATAATAGTCATAACAAAATGTTATCGAACTAAATTCAACACTGTGTTAAAAAGAGAATACATCATGATCAAATTTGATTTCATGCTGGGGTTGCAAGACTGGTCAAATATCAGAAAATGAATTAATGAAATTAACTACATCAACAGATTAAAGAAAATCATATAATCATTTCAGTGACAAGAAAAAGAGTTTACTCTATCACCTGAAATTCATTTCCAGGTGTTTACTTTAGAGAAACTCTTGTATATGTTCCCAGGAGACACACACAAGAATGTACATAGAAACACAGAAGATAATCCACAAAAACTGGAAAACATCCAAAAACACATCAGTAGTAAAATTAATACATACATTATGGTGTATTCTTATCACAGAGAACTACACAACATTGAAAATGAACTACAGCTACACACATCAACTTAGATCAAAAGTAGAAAAATCACCTAAGAGTTCATATAATGTGACTCTAATAAAGGTATCTTGTAGCTTTATAAAACTACAAGACAAACAAAACTAAAACAACATACACTTTAGGAATACATGCATGGAGGCAAAACTCAAAGAACAACAAAGCAATAATTAACACAAAATTCAAGACAGTGGTTACTTGAGGTCAGGGGAGAGGCTGGTTTTGACTGGGGACCCCACAGGGGTGTCTATGGTCCTGGCAATGTTCTACTTCTTAAGTCAGGAGGTGGACACCCAGGTGTTCATTTTATTATTGATCTTTAAACTGTACATAAACATTTTATAACTCTTTTTTAATGTACTCTATATTTCACAAAAATAAATAAAAGTAGAGGTAAGTTGCTGTCTATTTAAGAGAAATGGTATTGAAACAATTTTTGCCAGTAGCTGCTTGCCTGACTGACAGATTTCCCAGCAGGAACTGGATTTGGAAAGCAGCTTTCCTTCTGTCCATTTCCTGATAAATTATTAATGAGGCTTTGAATTACAGAGAAAAGAGGACATAGAGCACATAGAAAATGTTACAGACCTTATTTCTTATCTAACTCTTCCTAATCCAAAAATTGAGTGGTAATAGTTGTATAACATTATGAATGTAATTAATGTCACTTGAATTGTACACTTAATAATGGTTAAAATTGCAAATGTTATGTGTGTTTAACCGCAATAAAATAAAAGAGATGAAGAAAAGTGACAAGTAGAAAATAGAAGGCAGGAACACACATTAGGTGTGAATGGAGTGCCAAGGAGGTAAAGATATCCCAACATCATCTCAGTTTTGAACAAAGTAACTATTAACACATTAACTTAAGTATTGAATATAACAAATAAAAAAAGTCTACAGGTAGTATCAAAGGCAAGCCTAAATGCTTAGTACCTACTTTGAAGATAGGTCAAAACTACTGGGCTTGAGATGCTAGGGAAAGACCTTTGACCAAAAGAAGAGACTCCTAGTGTAAGTTGCACTTTCACACTGAGGAGATTTTAGGGGGTCTTTCTGGCTCAGCTGCTAAAATAAATGGTTGTGAACATAGCTTGGTTAAGCCATATTTCAAATGTTAACAGTACCTGCTTACAATAAGTTATTCATTGCATGGCTATGTTCTGATAAAAAAGAGTTATATTGTAAGGAAGTGTGATTTACACATCTAACTTTTCACAAAAGCCTATTTTGTTAGATAAACAGACTGTTGTTCTGTACTGTCAAAAAGAATGAAAGTGCCATCAACGGGAGACACAAAGAATATTCTAAGGGGAACTTACTAGGCAGATTCAAAGAATGCCTGAGTCTGCTTGGGCACACCCAGAGATAAGAATGCAGCGTAGGCCTTCTTGACTCCTTGTTCTGTGTTCTTAGGGTTCAATGGGCATGCAAACCAAACCCCAGAGATGGACCACTGCATGAGACAGTGGCAGCACAGGTGCAGTACACAACTCCAGGGCATACTATTCACACAATCCCTAAGAAGAATGGCGCCCCCAGAGCTGGCAACGTGGTGGCCCCACCCATAGCGACAGTATGTGACACTTAGCAAAGAACTGCTTAAATGTCACAGAATAAACACTATTCCTTCTTCAGGAACATTAATTATGTCCAAAGTAAGTAATGCAAAACATTATTTTGATATTAAAACAAAAATGGCTATATCTTGACTATACATATATATGAGATTCAATATAAAATTCACATCAGCCAAAATATTAGACTTCCAAGAAGCTTCACGCTTTCAGTGGGCCACTTGGGGCCACATTCCCAAGTCCCTGAGGACCAGCCTTTGCTGTCAGGGCTACATTGGTGAAATGTATTCTCTGACATGTCTGGGAAAATAAATTCTCACTATAAATTAAAATTACTATTGATTATCTTGCTCATCAGTATAACCAGAATGAATTTGGGGACCCAGATTTTACACATGATTTTATACAACACTAATTATACGATAAATGAGTTGAAAAGGTTAAATGCTAAAATTACTGTTTCTTTAGTAGCCACATTACACACTGTAAAAACTGACTCCAGTAAGATCAATAATAATATTAGCTGTTCATATTTTGTTGAGTTCTGCTATTATCCATCTGGCATTAAGCCAAGTCAATTTGCATAGAAATTATTTAAATCCACCTTGCCATCTGGAAAGAAAGTTATTTGTAAATGACACTAATCTTGAATTATGAATCCTTTAAATACAAACCAGATATACAGTAACAATGGAAAACGATGCAACTTATAAATTCATGCTGTAGAAGAATAAAGTAGAAGCAAGATACAAAGTGGTGATGTACATACCAATAATGTTCTTGTAAAAATATGCAAATGTATATATACGAAGTACTAAAAGGACATATATACTAAATACTAAAGTGATTATATTTGAATAGAAGGTCATTTTTTTTCCTTCTTGTGTTTTCCTGTATTTTCCAATTTCCCTCCATTTAGCATCTGTTACTTTGGTAATTAAAACTACTACAATAGGCTGGGCATGGTGGCTTATGATAGTAATCCCAGTATTTTGGGAGGCCGAGGTGTGCAGATCACCTGAGGTCAGGAGTTTGAGACCAGCCTGGCCAACATAGTGAAATCCCATCTCTACTGAAATACAAAAATTAGCTGGGCATGGTGGCACACACCTGTAATCCCAACTACTCAGGAGGCTGAGGCAGGAGAATCGCTTGAACCCAGGAGGCGGAGGTTGCAGCAAGCCAAGATGGCGCCACTGCACTCCGGCCTAGGTGACAGCGAGACTCTGTCTCAAAAACAAAAACAAAAAAACACAAAAAACTATAATAAAACAAGTAAATACAAGCCAAGTATTAAAAATATTCTTGGATAGAAAAAATAAATACAACTATACCTGTGAATAAAACATCTCCGCCATCTAAAGTTGCATTTTCATCTTTCATCTCTACTATATTGAGCTGAAGTTTTTCTAATGCTTCTTTCATCATGTCAACCTGTTGAAAATAAAATGATTCAGATTACTATGCTACAATTTCCTAACAAGAAAAAAACATCCAAAACATCTAAACACTAAATCAAGCTCTCGTGCACACACCCACACACATCCACACTCATATACACACCCATCCTTGTGAATATATAATGTATGACCAGTCATGATCATTTGTAAGAGAAGAAATGATCTGTTAAAAATTGTTTATTTTGTTCCCTTCTAGTGTAAGATTGAGTCAATACAGTGTCATTTTTTTCTGTAGAAAGCTGAGTAGTTACAATACTGTTGGAGGCCGACTAGTTAAGACACTGTTGGAGTACGACCAGTTAATGCACCATTGGAAGCTGACCAGTTCGGCCACTGTTGGAGGCTGACAAGTTAGGGCATTTGTTAGAGGTTGACTAGTTAGGATATTGCTGGAGTCTGACCAGTTAGCACACTATTGGAGGCTAACCAGTTAGGGCATTGTTGGAGGCTGACTAGTTAGGGCACATGAGTAAAGGAAGGTGGGAGGCAAGGCACCCAATTCTGACCAGTTAGCACACTATTGGAGGCTGACTAGTTAGGGCACATGAGTAAAGGAAGGTGGGAGGCAAAGCACCCAATTATCCTACCCTTGCCAGGAAATACAAGATTCCATTTTAAATCTTATGTCAGTCATTTAGTCAGAATTGCACACACACACACAGTATAATACATGGAAGGAATATCAATAACTCGTAATTTGAAATCTCAACCCATAGGACAATCACTGTTTTCTATTCAAATATTTTGTAAAATGTCAAAACATCCTTTGCTTCTCTGTAAATGTAAACTGTGTTAGTTATATTCAAACAGTTAATATGATTACCCATCTTTTAAAACCTAGTTCCTTAGAGGTGATTAACAAGTTCAACAATTACAATCAAACCAATGAATATTTGAAAATAAATTTCAGGAATTTGTATGATTCCAGGGCATGTCTAAAGCACAGAGATATTCTGGGTTGAATTAAGGAACACTTCTATTGAGGCTTACTTTAATATAAGAAATGAATGTGAAGCATAACAAATTGAAGCTCACAATTTAATTCAAGTCCTTCCAGTAGCTCAACAAAACAATTTAAATATTTTCAAAGGTCTGCAAAACCTTTAGGATAGTAAAGACATACAATGAGATGACTCGAATAGGGGACAAGGGAACAAGAGATCACATCACACTGGGCAAAGCAGGTAGTTCTTCCAAAAATACAACATGCTGAGTACACAGTGTGAATTGTCAGTGAAGAGTTTAAGAGACACAAATAGAGCAGAGTTACTTCTAAAGTAATAAAAATATGGAAATACTTTGACAACAAGCCTGACATTCATGCATTCAAAAAACATTTAAAGAGGATACAAAGTAAAATAAATATATCATCTCATCCTTGTCCTGGAACTCATGTAAAAATTCCACAAACCAGAGTGACTCAGAACAATAAAAAATATTTCCATGGACAAAATGGTCTTAATGTTGTAGTAAATACATTCAGTGACCTCTTTTAACAGCAGAATAGGTTTTCCTATGTAATAGGAAGTGGAATTGTTGCTACAGCATAAAATAAGGAGCAAACACAATATTTACCATGACTTGTTGGGCTACTATGAACCCAGGAAAACACAACTGTTTCCTTTTGACATCTCTGCTTCTTTGTCCATGGAAAATTCACTGAGCTTAGGGAGAGATCATGAGAACAGATATACAGTTACTTTTTGTTTCTATTACTAATGCTACTGCTTCTATTATAACTTAACATTTCAAAGATTAGGAGGAGTTGAGCAATAACATAAATTTTGGTTTGAAAAGTTTGTATGTAACTATGCAACATTTCAACTCAGGAACTGTATTCAATTCTTAAAAGTTAGAGGAGAATAGAAGTAGGGAGTCTACTATATACCAGTTTCAGAAACATTACATCTCTTTAAATGTCCTATGTCTTTGAAAATTAAAAAGTTTTAGAGGATAAAATGTTTGTGCTTTTCTTTTCTTTTCAAGTTAAAACAGCTGCACTGACATTAAAAAAACTAGCTCTTGTGCAGGGGCAGTACTTAAAAAAATTCAATCACATCTATACAAACAGTCATCAGGATAGGTCCATACCACACATGTTGATGATACTACATTACTTTCAGAGTTAAGCACATGGACAAGATTTTTAAAAAATTGTAAATATCAAGTAAACAGTTTTGAGAACTGCAGGGCCATATGGCATCAAATCGGCAATGCTAAACTGAGGGAGATTTCTGGAGAAGAAATGAGAGGCTGAACTCGGCAGGCTGTCCATTGGGAACCACACACTCTTGGCATTGAGGTTCCGTTGAAGCAGACAAACTCAGCTGCAAACAGGCCTGACACATGGGTCCATAGCAAGCCAGCTATTCAGGCAGTTAGAACACTAAATATAACTATAGAAGTGGGAGTTTTTGCAGGAAAAGATCCAAACCATGAGCCTTTAAGAAACTGCCCATTCTGTGGTTACATGGCCATGGTTAATGTTGACTTTATTAACTTCCAAGAGGAAAAAAAATGACCAAATAACACACCCACCTTTCATTGAGACAGTAACCCTGCAGTGTGGAACTTAGCATTACTCAGAGAAACCATCAGGACAAACAGTATTAATTCCAACGGCTGAGCTGAATGGGTCATTTTAGCCCACAAAATTAGAAATAAAAAGGGAAAATTAGAAAAACAACCTACTTAATTTAAGCCTTAGAGTATAAAGTATATACAGTAATTTTCATTCTTTACTCAAAAGATTTACAAGACCTTTCTTCCCTCCCTTTTCATGCTACATGCACTTTGCATTTCATTTTAAAACAATGTTATACTTGCATTTTTTGCCCCATTTTTCTCCTCATACTATTTATCACAGCATAGATTTCTTCTCTGGTCACAGCTGCTGCAGATCACCTCTGCTGCTTCCAGTTCTGCTACTTATTAGCCAGTGTCCTCAGGTTATTTAGTATTCTGAGCCTCAGTTTTCTCACCTTTAAAGTGGGTATTTATTCATTATAGTATCAACTTTTTAGGCTCCTTCTGGTCATTAAATACATACAAGTCACACAGTATTTGCTGAATAAATATTGTATTTTTTATGAATAACAGCTTGTGTATACACAGTGACAGATACTTGTACTATAAAATTAGTGCACAAGAAAACAACTGTTGTTTTTTCTTATATTTGGACATGTTTCTTGTGTTTTATCCCTCCATGACAGATCCCATCTGCTTTCCTGTGAATTAAAATTATAGATTTTTTTTTTGCAAAGCCAGTATACAGTTAGAGAACATACATTGAGGATACATTTAAATTTAAATTTAGATAATCCAAATCTGATTTCCTTCCAGCTCCTGGAAGCTGTCAAGACATGTGGCAAATTTCTTGTGTAACCTCTGCTTTGAAATAGCCCTTGGAAAGTACTACATAAGGTGGGAAGTGGGCCTGTCTGGTAAGATGTTCCACAGGACTCAAAAGAGCATCAGCTAAGATGATATGGAATGATCATGGTCACTGAGAATATTACCACTCTAAGGGACCCAATCAGTCTAAAGAATTCTTTCTCTTTCTCAATGCCTGGTCTCCTTCCTTACCCTTCCCTTTTCTACTCTCTTCTTTCCTTCTTTTACGGCTCTCATTTCCATCCTATCATGTTTTCATGATTATCCTGTCTTCTCTTTTCACTCCCTTTAGACCTTCATGGTGAGTGGCAAGAACCAGGGATTAGAATAAAGTCTTTATCACTTATTAGCAATGTGACTTGGATAAATTCACCTCTCTGAGTCTCAGTTTCTTGACCTGCAAATGGGAATAGTGCTTTCTCTCTAACAGGGATTATGTGAGTAACAAATAAGATAATACATGTAAAACACCTAGCTCAGTGCCTGGCATATTGTGCTCAAAACTAGTAGTTGATGATATTATTATTTTGCCCTAAATTAACTCAGTCCTTTGTTTGGATTTTGGCTACCTTTCAAAAACAAGTAAAAGATAAAAAATACAATTTTCTGTATTAAATAAAACATCTTTTAAGTTCAGTTTTCCTTTTGTTCTTGCAAAATCTCCCTCAAACCTAAAATACTAAAAGAACTCCCAAAAAACCCAAAACTCTCCCTAATATAAAACAAAACAAAAATAAAGCCTTATATAGTTTTACTAGGAAGCTATATTCATAATAACTTGTTATAGCACTGTTAGTTTAATACTCTTTATTTCAGGGCAATATTTTCCAGTTGACCCTTTCCAAAATTGACTTTTGCTGTTTATTTTCAGTAATGCCCCTTTTGAATGTTTCACATCTTCGTTCTAAATGTTGTGAATGTGCTTGTGGGGCCTGGTGAACAGTTCTGAGCTATGGCTCCTTAAAGAATATGCACCAATCTGTTAGCCAAGCTGCTTTCCTTCAGCTGTTTCTGCTGCTAGATACTATGAAATAAATGTGGCCCTCAAAGTTGGCCTGTCTGTGGCTGACATGTCTCAGTCAACCACAGTTCTGCCATGTGCTAGAAGCTGTGCTATCACCAATGTCACCACTATGTTTTCAATGCCTGCTTAAGTTGTCCTGGTTTCTTTGTAACTCATCACATTACAGGAGCTTTAAAATTATAGAATCATTCTACCCCTACACTTGTCTAGCTCCAGAGAGTTGAACAGTAGCAACATAGCTTTGTTGGTAGTGAGATGGTTTCATCTCCCAACTTTTTGCTGATTTTGTTTTGCCTTTTAATGTTGAGTGTGACATGTAGATAATGCTGAGGAAGCTGTTCAAGAAGCTGTCTTGGCACATCAAGGCACAGATGGCTTGGAACTTGCTGATGCATCAAAATCACTATATTGTCTGAGGTCATATTCAAAAGACCACATTTTATTTCTTTATGCTACTTTAAACTTCTTTGTTAATCAGCACATCTTTGGTCACTGTGGCCACTTGCTAGTACACTTGGCTGATTTTATGACATTGCTTAATGTTGTATCACATTTTCACACATATTTTGTCATGTGAATAACATCTCAGTTCAACAAATATTTGGTGGATGTCAACTTTTTTTTTTTTTTTTTTCAAATCAGGCTACAATTCTTTTTTTTAAGCCACAGCCCTTGCTTGCCTCTGTGAAATTAATCTAGTGGAACAGATACACCTTCTGAATATATAGTGACAATAAAATGGAATATTTGTTGTGATGCTCACAATAACTCCAAAAAGAAGAAAGGGTAGATATTAGTATACCCATTTTATATATGAGTAAACTGAGGCTAAGGGAGGTTGACTGACTTGCCGAGTCAAGCCTCCGGAGCCCATCCTCATTTTCACTTCACTGTATGATTAAGATTCTCCTGAGGTCTCATCATAGAGTGCAGCCCACATCAGAATTGGAGCCCATGCCTTCTGCCTTCCAATTCTGTACATTTAAGTCCACTGGATATTGTAAGATCCTGTGCCAAGGTGACTTTGTATTCCATGATCTCTTCATATCAGAGATAAATGAAATTTCTGTATATTAGGGCCTTAGGATGTTAAGTTATAGAGTGATTAAGAACACTAAGTAATATGAACAGAATATATAAACCACACCAACCTGTTTCACCAAGAAAAACCTGCATATTCATTACTACCCTTTGATTTGGAGATGCCTTAGGTTTGTTCAGTGGTTCATTCCTAAATTTGTCCATATGTGCTGATTACTTTCTTTTTTTTTTTTGAGACAGAGTTTCACTCTTTTTGCCCAGGCTGGAGTGCAATGGCATGATTTTGGCTCACTGCAACCTTCGCCTCCCAGGTTCAAGCAATTCTGCCTCAGCCTCCCGAATAGCTTGGATTACAGGCTTGTGCCACCACACCCGGCTAATTTTGTATTTTTAGTAGAGACGGGGTTTCACCCTGTTGGCCAGGCTGGTCTCGAACTCCTGACCTTAGGTGTTCCGCCTGTCTCAGCCTCCCAAAGTGCTGGGATTACAGGCATGAGCCACCATGCCTGGCTGTATGTGTTGACTACTAAAACTAGCCAAAACTACCAACAAAAAGGGATCGAACAGACATTTTGTGTACTCAATGATCCGGTCTTAAAAATTTCTAAATAAAAACATATTGGGATCCTCTTCTATATTCTAATTTTAGGACAAAGCTCTCAGAAGGAATTTAGTTAGCAATGGTAACAGCAAACATTTATATAGTCTTCCTATGTGCCAGGCACTCTACTATGAACTCATATTAACCTTATTTAACTTTTACAACCTGATGAAGCAAGTACAAGAATGATTTGTTTTACAGATGAGAAAACTGGGGCAGAGTAAGTAAATTTGATCAAAGTCTCATAGCAAGTAAGCAGAGAGCTGAGATTTCAACTTAGCTTTGCTCTTAAGTTTGTGTTATTCTTTCCTACACAATATTGTTACTAACCAACAAATTTAGGTATCTACAATGAAATCGAGTGACTGTGAGGAGCTACAGTACTCTCCAAAACAGATTATGTTCACTATTATTTATTTATTGAACAAAAATGTGGACTCAGACATTCTGGAGAAATGGAAGGATAGAGGCTACAAATTGCAGCAGTCTGAACTTGCATTTGGTTTCTAAACAGTCTAAATTTTGCTTTTCTAAGCATACACAAACTAAGGCTAATAAATTTTGGGAGCCACTACTTTCTCATCAGAGTATGAGGAGGAGTTAGTTATTTGTGTAAAAATCTTTAGGTAGTCAACAGTGTATTTTAAATAGTGAGGTTACCAAAGCATATGGATATGCAGACACACTCCAAACCAAGACATTATATACACTCCAAACAAAAGTGATGAATTTAGAGAGATGAGAAGGGTTTCTACCACACTAGGAAGTATAGTAGGTAGAATTCTAAAATGGTGCCCATGATTGCTGCCCCCTTGATGTACATGTCCTGTATAAATCTCTCCCCCTTTGAGTGTGAGTAGGACCTGTAAATATGATGAAGATATCATATCTGTGATTGGTTACTTTACATAGCACAAGTAAAGAAATTTTGCAGGTGTAAAGTATCTACTTAGATGACTTGAGTTAATCAAAGGGAGATTACCCTGGGTGGGCTTGACCTAAGGAGAACCCTTAAACGTGGGTTTAAAGGTTAGAGACAAAGAAGTCAGAGAGATGTTCTGATCTTCTGTTTTGAAGAATGTAAACATCCATGTTGTGAATTGCCTGAAGAGGGCCTACAGGGTGGCCTCTGGGAACTGAGAGCAATTCTCGGCTGATAGCTGGTAAAAAAAAAAAAAACAAAACAACCAACAAATCAAATGGGAGCCTTAGTCCTACAAAAATGGTCAACAGAACTGGAAATTATTTAATCACGATAATCTTTAAAAGTTATCAAAGTCAAATAAATATTAACCCTGTGATTATTCAGAGAACTCATGATTTTATCAAATGGTCAATACGTGTTAAAGTTTTATAACCATTTAGCTCATTTTCCCTCTTATTGAACTTTTGTTATAACTTTTACATGAATAAGATCTCTTGAAACATTTCCCACAGACTGTTACATACCCATTTCATTTTTTCCCATTGATTTCTTGGATTTCCAAACATATGGGTTTATTTCTAGTGGAAACTGCTAAAAATTAACCAAGATATTTAGCATTTTGGTTTCCATATTAGTAAACGGAGGGCACAAAGCTTAAAAATGAGGTCATTTCCGGCTCTAGACTTCTAAAAGTTGCAGTCTCAGAAAAAATTTTGGCATTCATAAATATGACTCTAACTGTAATCCTATTTTCCTCCCATAGAATTTACTGAAAATACCCCAGATGGTTACTCATGAGTAAAGTATTCTGGTGTTTAACCAAATCCAATCAGAGGCAAGAGGCTGGATATATGAATGCAGACAAGATAGGGCAAACCTAAAAGTGGATTAAAAAAACTCCAGAAAGATGGGAATCCTCAGAGGCAAACAGAAGATTCCAATGCAGTGGGAAACAAAGAGTGTGTCAACTCAACACTAACTTATGATACTTATATTTTATTTTTTTGGAAGAACCCATCACACAGTTTCTCCAAGGATGCTAATTACTTGCCAGTAGTGAGATAAGTATATGACACAGAGAATCTACAATGCTTTTCCTATAAGAGAGACGTCAGGCTCTGCTTATTTGCCAACCTTTGTGTGTTTTCTTATTTATATTCACATGCAGTATAGTAGATTTCATCAACTTTGGGTTCATTCCCTAAGTTGGACTGAGCTGTTAAATCCAACCCTAGAGCCCTGGAGTTCTTGATATATGAGATTTTTCATTTCCCAAACCAATCTGAGTTGAGTTTTCTGTTAGCTGCACCTAAAAATAACTCATTTATTCCCATGATCGATCTTAACCTGAAAAAGAAGGATCTAACAAGCTCCAGGCCGATGCTCTGAGACACAGGGTCAAGTCATTCTTTCTGCTTTGTCCTACTCCTGACCATATACCTGGGTGCTGCTTTGGTTCTTTTCCCTGAAGTCCTGTTCTAGTTACCTATCCCATTCCCTTCCTATGAGTAGGGTCCTGCTATGCGCTCTGAGGATTTGAGTAGATGGGCTTCCCCAGGTGATCCCTGTTATCTTTATCTCCTCAACACACAATCAGTATCAACAAGGTTTGAGGAACCTCTTAACCACTCATAACACTATCATTAATAATAAATACAATTTATTAAGCTCTTTCTAAGTGCCAAGCATTGTGCTAAGTGATTTTGCATGGATTATGTCATTTAATTATCACCATATTCCTTAAGGTACCTCCCAGTCTAAATCAGGCATGGCAGTTCTGTCTCTTATGCCAGGGTCTGGTGCAAGTGACCCAATATTGGCCACTGAGGGGGTGTCTGTTGAGAGGTTCCTGGAGCCATAGAAAGAAACATAATTCCTCTTCTTCCCTTGGACATTGTTCTGTATAGATGTTGTACCTGGAACTGGTGAGAACACATCCATCATCAAATATGGCAGGGCAGAGAGAGGGAAGCAATTTGAGCCTTTGATGACATTTTGAGCTGCCAAATCCAACCCTAGAGCCCTGGAGTTCTTAATATATAAGATTTTTCATTTTATTAACCAATTTGAGTTTTCTGTTAGCTGCAGCTAAAAGTAACTCATTTAGGTATACAACAAAATTGACAAGTAGTATCCAAAGAGTCAGTAATAACAGGCCACTTTATCAAACTGATTAAATTCTGATACAGAAACAACTATTAATGGAGGATTTTTTTCTGTTTATAGGAATGCACCATGCTATTTATAACCACTTACAACACTAAGACCATCCTGCCTATAGAAGACAGTAGATTGTCAAACTAAAAGCATCCCAGGATTATGTTAGTTTATAAAGCACAATTGTTGCAGCTCTGTATATCAGAGCTGGAATTAATATTTCAACACTCTTCATCTCTGAACCAGTGCTCAGATCCAAAGGGCATATAGCATCTAGGAAGATTAGACAGAAATGTGGAAGGCAAACCCACGGAGCCAGGAGAAATAAAAAGCACTCTGGACAAAACTAGGAAAGACCCTTTTCATTATCTGGAGAATACACTGAGAAAGTTCCAGAGGTTCAAAGGTCCCTCCATAACGATGTCACTACAAGACAGTTTCCCGGAAGAAGGCTGGAAGTGACATTTAGCTTTCTAAATGAAAAACAAGGCAGGAGCTCTGCTGGTCTTGTCAGCTCTCTTGATATATAATGTACTAATTCAAGCGGTTCAATTCCTTGTTGACGATAATGATACAATACATGTATTGAGTACTTAAAAGCCACTGACGTTCTGTCTGCAGGGGGCAAATAAAAATATGATTTATCACCAAATACCAAATTAAAATAAGTGTCAGCTGCCAAAAGACCTGCAAAATTTAGTAGGCTAAAAACCAGGGAACTGACAAGTTTATAAAATTCTAAACTAATTTTCCTGAATGTTGAGAAGCATAAAAATTTGCTGTGCACATGATCCAAAATAAGCACCAGAAATAGTACTCGAAGTGTTCATAATTTTCTGTGAATTCAGAGGAATCGCATGCTGCCAGACACAAACAGATTAATGTATGGGAAATATTTTGTATGTTCAGTATACAATTTATACATTGCAGGCATTAAGCTGCCCTAAAAGCCATCCAGCATATCCCTGCTCCCAGCCCAAATGTAGGTCCTGGCTGGGTCAGAGATTCCTTCTGTGTGCTCCCATGGCTCCCAGGGGATTCTTTTTTTTTTTTTTTTTTTTTTTGAGACAGGGTCTCACTCTGTCCTCCAGGCTGGAGTGCAGTGGTGCCATCATGGCTCACTGCAGCCTCAACCTCCCTGGCTCAAACAATCCTCCCACCTCAGCCTCCTGAGTAGCTGGGACTACAGGTGTGTGCCCAATGGCCAATTTTTTTTTTTTTTTTTTGTAGAGATGGGGTCTACTTATGCTGCCCAGGCTCGGGGCATTCTATTAACAAGTTCTGGCCCCTAGTTGACTCTCTGTATATGTTTACTGAATGAACAGCTGAACAACTTTGTAAGTCAGACAGAATTTCTGGAAATGTTATAAACAAGTATACGGCAAAAATATCCACCTTGTTTAGACAGGGCATAGCCACGGCAAGAGCCATACAACCTCTGTGACCTCTTTTAAACAACTCTTACGACATTTCAAGGGTGGGAAGATTCATCTTTATTTCTAAAAACCCGCAGGTGAGAAAACTACCGTTGGCCTATTTGTCCCAATAATCACTAACCGCCACTCATCTCCAGTAATTCTGTTCATTTGCTTAGTCATTCAACAAACATTTATTCAGCATTTTCAATATACCTGGCACTATTCTAGGTTCCAAGAATACATCAGCGAAGAGAGAAGAGCCCTGTGTATATTCTGGTGAGGATATGGAGAGATAGGCAATAAATAATAAACATTAAAAATATTAGTGGTAAGTGCTATGCAGTTATTTAATTCAGGAGATGTGATATAAAATGGCTAGGGTAGTTACTGTAGTTTGGAAGGTCAGGAACAGCCTTTCTGAAAGTGTGACATTTGTGCTGATATCTGAGTGACCAAAAGGACCAACTCTGTTGCCCATAGGAAGAATGTTCCAACAAGAGCCAGTGCAAAGGCCCTAAGGTGGGAACAAGCTTAACTTGTTCAAGGAACAGGAAGACAGCTAGCACAGTGCTAAAATGAAGAGGGCAAGTGTTATGGGCTATGTGTCTCCTCAAGATTCATATGTTGAAAACTCCCAGGGCTTAAGAATGTGACTGCCTTTAGAGATGGGGTCTTTAGAGAGATAATCAGGTTAAAATGAGGTCATTAGGATGGGCCCTAATCCATTATGACTGGTGTCCTTATAAGAAGAGCAGACTAGGATAAAGAGACATAGATGAAAGGCCATGTGAAGACACAGATGGCCATCTGCAAGCCAGGCAGAGGCCTCAGAAGAAACCAACCCTTCCAATACCTTGATATCAGACTGCTAGCCTCCAGCATTGTGAGAAAATATATCTCTGTTATTTAAGATGTCCAGTCAGTGGTACTAGCAAACTAATATGGCATTTTACCAGATAAAGCTGGGGTTGCCAGATGGGGTTAGCTGAACTTGGTAAACTCACATAAAGAATTGGAATTTTAAGTATTATTGGAAGTCACTGGAGAGTCTGCAGGAAGGGAGTGATATAATTTAATTTACAAATTCTGGATAGCTGCTTTGTGGAAAATGGATTGGAAGGCACAAATGGAAACAGGGAACTTAGTTAAAAAGCAACTGCAGTAGTCCAGGTGAAAGAAATGGTGGTGAGCACAAGTGTGGTGACAGTGGAGACAAAGAAAGTGCTGAATTTGGAATGTGTTCTGGAGGGTGGACGGAAGTTGGTGGATTGGATGTGGGGGTGAAGGAAAGGAAGGGCCCAGGGTGACTTTTAGATTTTTGTCTTGAGCAATTGAGTGGATAGGTGTACTGATTTCTAATATGAAAAATTCCAGGGAGAGGAGCAAGGCTGGAGAGAAAAAATTGAAGAACTGTGTGGCCATGCTGAGTTTGAAATGACTTCTAGATATTCAGATGGAGAGATCAAGGGGAGTAGTCAGAACCAGAAATAAAAATTGGGAGTCAATGATACAAAAAGTTACTTAAATCTAAGAGATATCAGAAGAGCTAACTCAAACCATGATCTGCAGGAAGTGATGTGAGGAAACTTGCCTTGTCCATTAATATTAACAATACTATTCTAACAAAAAGACTCCAGGAGACATTGCTCATTCATTACTGTTGCGAAGTTTGGTAGCTGTTTGCAGCAATGGATGCAAAAATCCCCCTTTGGCAGGAAGAGCTACTTAACGTACATTCATTATGATTGCACCAATGCCATCTAGATCAAAGGTCTGGAAACAAATAAATGGATTGTAATGAACTTTCCAGAGGTAACAGGTAGTGAAGTCATCAAGTGCTACTTCTTGCCACTTGCTTGTACATTTTCTTGTTAAATTCAGTTTTGTAGATGCTATAAAACATAGCAGTAAAGCTGGGCACAGCAGCACATGTCTGAAGCCTCACTACTTGGGAGGCTGAGGTAGGGAGATCCTTTGAGGCCAGGAGTTTGAGGCTGCAGTGCACTATGTTCACACCTGTGAATAGCCACTGCACTCCAGCCTGGGCAACACAGTAATACTCTACCTCAAACAACAACAAAAAACAACCATACCAGTAGCATAAGATTTTATTATTTCAGAAATCAATTTTGAAATTATGATCACTTGAATTGGAGACAAGCTGAAGTGCATTAAGCAAATCAATAGTGTAGGCAAGGCTATATAGCAAGAACAACTTTCAAACACATTTCAGATCAGTCAGTCCAAAATACATTCACACTGTATAGCACCATAGGACTAAATGAAAGTTTGCTGTGCTAATTAAAACACATTCATATTCACTTATTCAAGTAGGTCCCCTAAATATCTGAACTGAGAAACACTTCATTAGTATATCCTCAATGATTGCTGCATAAGTAAGGCTGCATTTCTTTTAAAAATATTGTATTTGCTAATTTTTCACCAATTGTGGAGCTTTCTCAACAGCTGGTACAAGTTGGTGCTTTTTTGACTGTTCTACATTGCCCTGGGTTTGAGCATGATATGCAAGATGGTTTTTGGAACACTGGGATGATTTCTGGGGGGGAATTTTGCTGCTTTTTTTTTCCTTCCTAGTCCTTAGCTTTTTTGTGTGTTATTAAAGCCTTCATTAGAGATGGTTGTGAAAGGCCCTAGTCAGGATAAGCAGAGTGCATAGTAATTAATTCTGAGAAGCTGCCTTCTGATTCCAGGCTGAAGCATGGCAAATGATTTTGTAAATATTCACCCTTTGTCATATGTTCATACATTTGCTTCTCTGGGAACTTGTTTAAAATATGTTAGTGAAAAAACACCAGCTGAGTATTTGGATGCTTATAAATATTAAGTAAAGGCTCATTTCCAACCATAGTTGTACAAAATGGCTAGTTTCAAGAAATTGTCCTAGGTTTTGATAACTGTCCGTGTTCTAACATTGTGTTAAAAAATAGTGAATTTTTCTTCACTATTATCAAATCTGGGCATCCTCAGCTGGAAAAGACTGGAACAGTTCAATAGTATTTTCCTAATAGAAACATTCCGGTCAATATTCTACCAAGGAAAACTAATTATCATCTAGCTAATGAGTTTTGCCTTTCCTAAATTACTTTAAAAAATATGGTAAGCCATATTTTTCTTGCCATTATAGTTTTTTTCTCCTTTTAAAAAAGTTATTTTTTACTTCTAATTTATCACTAAATATTAACTAATTTTTAAGTAAAACACTCATTGGAGGAATAACCATTAGGAATATAACACAGAAGGTACTTCATATCTGGTTTTGAGTAATACTCAAAGTACGATAACCTCAACACCATCTAGATTCTCTTCCTATGAGGCAGAGTATAATGAAATTAGATTCTCATAAATGTCATTGCCCCCTATTTACTGTCTTTTTCCTTGAACCAAGGCAGAGCTGGCTAGGATCCATTGTCTCTCAAGCAGATTTATTATAGATCGGGTGCATTCCATTTCAGAACAGGAATGTGCGTGTTATGAAATGTACAAAGCCTACAGTTGAACAAAGCACACAATCTGTCGGCAAAAAACCACTATTAGTTTAATAGTGGGTATAGTTAGTAAAATTTTTCTGATGTATCTTAACTAAATTTAATATTACATAAGTTGATATTCAAATCTTGAAATAAGTCCCTAGTGAACACAGTTCTGTTTATGCTGTCAAAACTAAATGCATTTCAGTATTATGCAAATATATAAGTGAAGTATTTCTTATTGACGTTATATAGTTAGCTAGATTTTTCTTGTTGCTTCACTTCCTCCTGGATAGTACCACAGGAACTTTGAAAAGTAAATTAACTCTTTCAGGTCTTCAGGGCACAATGTAACATACTTTAGTGCTCAATGTCATTTAGAATCTGTGCAGTGAACTAAAGAGTATCTGATATGGTTTGGCTCTGTGTTCCCAACCAAATCTCATCTCAAATTGTAATCTCCATGTCCCACATATCAAAGGAGGGACCTGTTATCTCCAAGCATTGAGGGAGGGAGATGATTGGATCATGGGGGTGGTTTCCCCCATGCTTTTCTCGTGACAATGAGTGAGTTCTCACGAGATCTGATGGTTTTATAAGTGTTTAACAGTTCCTCCTTCACACACTCTCTCTCTTTCCTGTTACCTTGTGAAGAAGATACTTGCTTCTCCTTAGCCTTCTGCCATGATTTCAAATTGCCTGAGACCTCCCCAGTCATGCGGAACTGTGAATCAAATAAATCTCTTTCCTGTATAAATTACCCAGTCTTGGGTAGTATCTTTATAGCAGTGTGAAAATAGACTAATACAGTATCCTTATAAATACCCAGGGAGAAACTAAGAGACAGCTCTAAGAACAAAAAGAATGTGGGTAAATTTAGCAGTTAAAAGACACAAAAAACTAGGATTGCAACTATTTTTTTTTAAGTATGCCTGTTAAGTATACCTCTTAAGACTTAAAGGAAATATGCAAAAATGCAAAGAGCTGTGGTTGGTTGGTGGAAAATGGTTGATGTGACACTGGTGGAAGAAGTTAAGAGATACTTGGGACCCCAAAGCCTGAATATTTAAAACTTCATCTACTACCTACAATTCCAGTAACCATTGCTCATTCTGGTTCACAAGGCAGGGGGCACAGCTTGTCAGTGCGTACTTTCCATTACTCTAAACATCCAAATACTAACGTGACTCTAGATAGGGGAGACTGGACCACTGGAAGCTGTATTACCAGAGTCTTTTTTGCTTGGGTTATCCACCCCTGGTTCACCTGTGGTCTACTCCATCCAGGCTCTCACTGTTGGAGTCCCCATACTTCCCTGGGCTATTATTTTAGACTGAACTCAAAACAGCCCCAGACCAACTTTTTCTCCTACATGACCCATTTCTAGTCCATGCAAACACTTGCACATCCTTTGTTTACAAACTCTGGCAGTGCAGCTATGACCAACACAGTAGCACTTTCTTGGCTTCCTACCTAACCTGTTAGTCACCAGCTGCTAATCCTCTGTATCTCCCAGACACCTATCCTTGGTGTTTCCAAACTGCAAAAATATATTTAATCTCTCTGAGAGGTTTATTTAAAGCCCACTCTCCCTGGACTTGAAGTGAAAAAGGTAACATATCCCATCCCACAAATTTAATGTAGAGAAATTAGAAAGTATAGATAAGTCAAATAGAACCATTAAAAATCTTTGTAATCCCAACACCCATGCATAGATAACACTTACTGTTAATAATCTATCACACAAACTTCAACACATTCCTATTAAGTATTTTTATGAGAATTTTTTTTTTGCTCATACTGTTATAAAATTATACTATAAGCACAAACATAGTTAAATAGAACACAGGGTACTATTATAAACCAATTTAAAAATAAATTCATACTATTTAAATTGAGATTGCTTTAAATTAGATTTTCTGAAAAAAATTATCTTCTGAAAACAGTCTTTTGTTGTTAGGTAACTGCAAATAAAATAAGTAAAGCTCCTTGTATTGAATTTTAGAGTACTTCAAGACCTAACCCAAAGCAGAGATACAGACTTTTATGGTGGTAATATAATTTGAGAACTTTATAAAACATTTAAATATTTAAAGAAATACTCAAGGATCAATTAGGATAGGTGTTAAAATTTGAGGATAAAAAGCTACATCACAATTCACAGTGTTTCTTCTCTAAATATGCATGAATCAACCAGAGATAGAACAAAATAAAAATATTTAGCTGCCAAAAAGAAGTTGTTCTGAGACATCAGTACAGGTTTTCTTCTGTGATGATATCAAGTTGGTCTTGCAGCAAATGTTGAGAAAGTAACTTTACAACTGCAAAATAATCATTGGATGTTGCACAGAGAGAGGTCCCTCTGTTCTCTGTGGATATACAGAGCAAACCCAGAATGCACCTGGTCAACTCGAGCCCTCATTATCTTGAAGACACCTGATATTCCATAAGACTAGATGAGGCTGCCAGCTCCTTGTCCACACTGACTACATGCCATGTACCCCATTTTATAACTAAAAAGGATTTAAAATTCATGAAGCTTGTTGAAAGCTCAACTGTCACATTCTACTCATTCCAAAGTGTATGGGAAAAAGAGCAGAACAGACATTTCAACTGAAGCCATTATTGTGCTTGAATAGCCATATTCCATTAAATTGCTAATAAACCTACTAGACGGTGTTGATCACATCAGCCATACAGTTGCATTCCTTTCCTTTATACCAACTTGCCCAGTTTCATTCTATGCAGTATTACTCTTTCTGTGCCCTTTATTCCAAGGTTGCCCAGAATTCAAAGCACTTATTCAGTAAGTTTGTAATCCAGTTTAGTATGCTATTAACAGAATTCTTTAGAGGAGATCATGGAAAAAGAAACTCAAACTCATTTTTGGGTCAATGACCAACCTTAAGGGAAACACGTATTAAACCAGTTTAAAGAAAAAGGTCAGGATCCATGAGGTATTAAGGAAAAAAGGGAAGAAAAAACATTCATTTCCACAATTTTCCAACATTCCTTAAAAATAAAAACAAGCCCAAGCATGGAATGGCAAGGCCCTGGTGCCCCTGTACTAATGGTGGTGGACAATACTGCTATTCATAGGAAGTGAGAAAGCAAAGGTTTTTCCTCAACACCAGGGAAGTTTTGGCTTCCCTTACCTTCATTTATTCTGGGGTTCAAATTGGAACCTTATAAATCTTAAGTTTGCCTCTCAAAGCAAACAATAATGTACAATGGATTAAATGCTTTAAAGTTTGCTTTTTAATAGCATAACTAATTAACTGCCTCTATTGTAAATGGCTTATTAAGCCACTCCTATTAGGGTGTTAACTACTGAAAATATGTAAAGCTGAATAGATACCGTATGGAATTAGGCATTTAAAAATAACTAGTGCACTATTTACACTACCTGCCTGATGAGTAGTTTATCCCCCATTTAGATATTAACTGAAAATATGTAATGGAAAACAAATAAAGGAAACAGATGTCTTAACTTTAAAATTCTTTCATCAAACAGCAGTTATTTTCTTATAATTTTTAAATTCTATATCCATCTTAGAGCTTTAGAAGAAAGTCTAGGTCTCTCCAAATTCAGGGTACTAAACGCTTGCCTCCATCCAGGCAGTTTTCCAGTGAGCAGAGTTGGAGAAGCTTTTCTTTTCACAGGGTAACTTGTTTGGAATAAGCTGTCTGTGTATCCAGAATGGTCTTTTTTTTTTTAGCAAAATCAAGCTGGAGAAAAGTGAAATTCACTCCCTGGATTACCTTATGATTATGAAAATATTTGTGTCTATTTTTTGAGTTCCCAAGATTAGGCAAAATAAAGTGTTTTTTTTTTTTTCCTGCAGCTTCCCTGCTGAAATACCTTAGTGAGAATGCATAAAAACCAACTCTAAATGATGCACAAAGCCACCGAGAGTAAGTGTTAAAGCAACAATAATGTGATTCAACACAAATAAGTAATAGCCCCAATACAAAAAGCTGCAAAATTACAGTAATTTTACAATCCATCTGAAGTAGCAAAACACATTGTTACTTTACCAAATATTAAGTGATCACCTAATGTATGTCAAAGCTACATGCAGATATATGTGTGGTAAATTTCTGGACTGGAGAATTAAATGAAAAGAAACTAGCACAGGATATTTAGTTCACAGAATCATGAAATGTAAAACTCACAAGAGACATTTGTGGTCATACAGCTCAGGTGACCAACTCCCAGTAGGTTGGCATGACTCTCCCCTGCCACAGAGGCAGAAGCAGGATTAGAACCCAAGTCCCCTTGTTTACGGTTTAACAAGATTCCTGATAAACTAAAAATGGTTTTGATATGAAAAGCCAATGTTAAGACTATGAATAGAAAGCTGTTTCTACTTTTAAAGTTTTAGAATCATTAATACATTATTAATTATATATACATATATATTTAAATTGTCTTCTAGACTCCAAGCATAAATTAACAGATTTCATTTAAAGTTTTCATATTGGCTGGGATTTCATCATTTCATGGCATCAAATGAGGAGCCATCTGCCATCTAACCAAACCCAAAGGCCACAGAATAAATGTGGCCTGGCACTGAAAAACAAGAGTGAAGACCATGGTACTCTGATATTAGGCAGGCAGGTACATTTTTAGACGTTTCCATACAATTCAAAGTTAATGGTCTAGGTGTTTTTCAATTGGTATTGATGAGGAAAATGTAAAAATCAAAGTGATTTACAATGTCTGCCAGATTTTCCTTCACAGATTCTTTTAGGAAGCAAAACATCTTTCTCTTTCCTTCTCCCCCTCATCCCCCCACCCCCATACAAGTAGACACACACACACATTCAGTAAAATTTTTGAGTAATCCATTTGATGACTGAAGATTTGGCTTCCCAACTAAATTGATAACCTCTCTTCTTCTTCATTAATATTTGAAGGCTGCCCACCTAAAGAATTGGAAAATATATAGTACAAACTGTAACAAAATTTTTGTATTTGATCTCTAATTTCTGACAGCTGAACACTTGGCAAATGTATATATAACGTGAGCATAAAACATGTCATATGAATAAAGTTTTCAGCATGAATATTTTATAAGTGACTTATTGGACTTCATTCCTTATTTCAATCATATTTTGCATATTGCCATTTTATGAAGGACATAAGTAAAAGACTATTCTGTTCAACACAAATGGTATCAAATTTGGAAAACCAAAAAGGGCTAAAAGAAGTTAATGAGGGTGAATGGAATCACCCCTATTAAAGGTAAAGTGATAGAGCAGGTGTAAGCTATTATGAGGAGGCCATTTTGTATCTCCTCCTCCTCATAGTTTCTCCCTAAATATGCCAAAACGAAAATCTTAGCTTTGGTTATGTGCTTAGCATGTCTTCATTAATAAAAATCTCTAGTAATGTAATGGAAAGAGGATTGTGCTCTGCTGTAGAAGGCAGAAAAAGTAATAGTAAAGGAGTACCCTCTCTATGGAACCTGGGATTTTTAATTTTTATTTTTATTGTTTTTTTGAGACAGGGTCTTGCTTTGCCACCCAGGCTGGAGTGCAATGGCACAATCACAGCACACTGCAGCCTTGACCTCTGGGATTCAAGAGATCTTCCCACCTCAGCCTCCCTAGTAGCTGGGACCATAAGCATGTGCCACCACATCCAGCTAATTTTTGTATTTTTTGTAGAGACAGGTTTTCACCATGTTGCCCAGGCTGGTCTAGAATTCCTGAGCTCAAGTGATCTATCCACCTCGGCCTCCCAATGTGCTGGGATTATAGGGATGAGCCACCATGGCTGGCCCTCTGGGATTCTTTTTAACAAGTGGAAATCCTAGCAAACGAAATGCCCTATTCTATTCTTGCAAATGAAGTAAGCATCCAGACAGCTGTTTTGTGACATCACTAAGCAAGTATAACAGGAAAAGGCAGAGAAGACACTGTACATTTATCTGAAACTCTACAGAAAACTTATAGTGACAGGTAGAGATAATGAGGCACAGCTAAAATTCTAAATTAAAAATATTTCAAAAGGCAAATTTCAAAAAGCTTTTTACCTTTACCATTTCTAAATTTCCTAATGTGCTTTAAATGCAAAAATATGTCTTAGGCCAGGCCCACAGATACTAAAATAGCACTTAATCTATTGCTCCATTACAAGTGAATACATTATTTCCATTATGGTTTATCTGTAGCAAATTTTGTTTTTAACCTCAAGGGAACCGTATAATATTAAGGGATGTAAGTGGCCTTATAGAGAATTATCCAGTCCCTTGTTTTCACAGATGAACAAACTGAGGCCCAACTGAACCTCTTGTTAAAAGCCACCAGCTAGTTATATTTCAGAGCTGTGTCTTCTGTCTCCCAGGGCAGGGAGCAGTGCTCTTTCCATCACATCCACAGCATCGGCCTCCCACTAAATGGTTGCAATAGCTATAGTCAATAATGGTGCCCAACTATGCTCTCTTCCTGGATGACCTAATATTTAAGCTTCATAACAAGTCCATGAATTACGTAATATTTGAACCACTATTCTACAGAAAATTTATAGTGACAGGTAGAGATAATGAGGCACAGCTAAAATTCTAAATTAAAAATATTTCCAAAGGCAAATTTCAAAAAGCTTTTTACCTTTACCATTTCTACAGAAAGGAAACTGAGGCACGGAACACTTACATAACTTGTGAAAGAGTCAGCCTGCAGAGCCACACCACACACCACTCTTCACCATTATACTACTGTTCACTGTTCTCTTCTTTTCCAAGGCATTTGTTGACCTTATATTCACTGTACTCTGAACTGAACTTATCTATTTCCCAAACCTGCTGGCATCCTTACTTTCCAACTCAGTTAATGTCATCACTGTCCTCTTTAATCACCAACCTTGGAATCTTAGGTCATCTTTGACTCCTTCTGAGTTCCTCACTCTTTTCCACGTTTCTACCACTGGAAAGGATCTTGAACCCATGTACACTGCAATTTCCTAACAAAAGGCCTCATTCCCTGTTGCCTGAATGATTGCAAAGCCTCCTAACTGGTCTCCTTCTAACAGCTGTCCCTTCTCAAATTCATCTCACACACTGGAGCCAGAGTAATTCTGCCAAAACAACAGAGAGCTCATTGGTTTAAAAACCCAAGCTTACCTAACATTGTCTGTTACATTTTTCTTTTAAGTGTATGAAGTTTTCTTTTTCTTTCTCAATCTTCTCCTTGAAGCCTTATACAATTTTGTGAAGTTGGTATTATTCTTCCTATTTAACAGATGATGAACCAGGCCGTATGACATTAAGTAATGTTTAGTAGATAATTTAAAAACTTATAAATTCTGTTATGTAAAAATGTAACTTCATTTTCTTATAAGTAGATAATCCGGGTAAACACAGTCAAGTCCAGTAATTTCTCAATTATTTGAAATTCCAACTCAGTTAAATTCAGGTCCATCCCCTCCTTTCCACTGCTTTCTTCCTAGGTGACATTCACAATGAGCATTTACCCAGCATTTTGTGCTGGCATCTTCCAGGATGTACAAGCATCCCAACATAGTCTCAGATTCTTGGTCCCTGGCACTGGCAGAGCTGAAATGGTCATATTCCCACTGGCCTCTGGTTACATGATCCATGCTGCCTTCTGTAGTCACATATTATTTGTGATAACAAACAAGGTAAGGATTTGTAAGGATCAGAGGTAAGGCAGGCATAACGTAGAAAACTGACTAGCACAAGGTCTCTTATTTACAATTCTGAAAGCCCAAAGTTCTGAAAACCAAGGGTATTCTTTTTTAATTTAGTGCCTGAACTTATTTGGTAGTAAAACCTGATTTGATATGAAAGTTTTAGACTTTATATCATCTAGAATGAACATTCCTAGGTTTTGCTGCACATATATTAATGTGGTTGATTAAAGGGTGCTATCTTAGACTTATGTGTGTGTGTTATGAAATATGGTTGACATACTCCGTTTACTTTCAAAATATGAAAAATTATAAATTTTAAAACACATCTGGCACTCTGGGTTTCAGAGAAGAAACTATAGACCTGAAAGATATATTCTAGCCGGGCGTGGTGGCTCACACCTGTAATCCCAGCACTTTGGGAGGCCAAGACAGGTGGATTACCTGAGGTCAGGAGTTCAGGACCAGCCTGGCCAATATGGTGAAACCTCATCTCTACTAAAAAATACAAAAATTAGCCGGGCGTGGTGGTGGGCGCCTGTAATCCCAGCTACTCGGGTGAGACAGGAGAACTGCTTGAACCTGGGAGGTGGAGGTTGCAGTGAGCCGAGATCACTGCACTCCAGCCTGTGTGACAAGAGCAAAACTCCATCCAAAAAAAAAAAAAAAGATATATTCTTTGGATACAGAATTCTAGGTTGGCAAGTGTTTTTTTGTTTTTTGTTTTTTTGCACTTACAAAGATTGTCATTACAATGTTTTCAGCCTGCATTGTTTCTTTTATTTCAATAGTTTTGGGGGAGCAGGTGATTTTTGGTTATATGGATAAGTTCTTCAGTGGTTATTTCTGAGATTTTGGTGCACCTGTCACCGAGAAGTATACACGTTACCCAATGTGTAGTCTTTTATCCTTCACCCCCCTCCCAACCTTCCCCCAGAGTCCCCAAGTCCATTATATCATTCTTATGCCTTTACGCCTGCATTGTTTCTAATGGGAATTCCGCTGTCATCCTAGTCTTTGTTCCTTTATATACAATGAGTATTTTTCCTCTGACTGCTTTTCAGATTATCTCTTCACTACTGGTTTTCAGTTACAAGCATACCTTGTTTTATTGCACTTTGCTTTATTGTGATTTGCAGATACTGTTTTTTTTTTTACAAATTGAAGGTTTGTAGCAAACCCGCATCAAGCAAGTCTATTGATGCCATTCTTCCAACAGCATGTGCTTGCTTATATCTCTGTGTCACATTTTTGTTAATTCCTGCAGTATTTCAAACTTACTACGTCCACATAAGACAGCAAACTTAATCAATAAATGTGTGTGTGTTCTGACTACTCCATTGACTGGTTTGTTTCCGTCACTCCCTCTCCTGGGGGTCTACCTATTCCTGGAGACATAGCAATATTGAAATTAGGCCAATTAATATCCTACCATGGCCTCCAAGTGTTCAAGTGAAAGGAGGAATTGTACATTTCTCACTTTAAATCAGAAGCTAGAAATTATGAAGCTTAGTGAGGAAGGTATGTTAAAAGCTGAGACAGGCCAAAAGCTAGGCCTCTCATGCCAGTTAGCCAAGTTGTGATTGTAAAGGAAGTTGAGTTGTTGAAGGAAATTAAAAGTGCCACTCTAGTGAACACACGACTAATAAGAAAGTAAAACAGCCTTATTGATGATATGGAGAAAGTTTTAGTGGTCTGGATGGAAGATCAAACCAGCCCCAATATTCTCTTAAGCCAAAGCCTAATCCAGAGCAAGGCCCCAACTCTCTTAAATTCTACGAGATCTGAGAAGAGGTGAGGTGAGGAAGCTGCAGAAGTTTAAAGGTAGCAGAGGCTGGAAGTTTAAAGGTAGCAGAGGCTGGCTTATGAGGAAAGAAGCCATCTTTATAACATAAAAGTACAAGGTGAAGCGATAAGTGCTGATGTAGAAGCTGCAAGAAGTTATTCAGAAGATCTATTACAGCTAACACACAGCATTGTATGTTATGAATATGGTTGATGAAGATGGTTATACTAAACAAAAGTTTTCAAATTAAATCCAGTAGCCTTATATTGGAAGAAAATGTCATCTAGGACTTCTCTAGCTGTTAAGGAGAAGTTAATCCTGGCTTCAAAGCTTCAAAACACAGGCTGACTCTCTTGTTAGAGGTTAATGGAGCTGGTTACCTTAAATTAAAGCCAATGCTCATTTACCATTCTGAAAATCCTTGGGCTCTTAAGAATAATGCTAAATTGACTCTGACTGTGCTCTACAAATGGAACAACAAAACTTGCATAACAGCACATCTGTTTACAGCATGGTTTGCTGAATATTTTAAGCCCACTGTTGAGACCTACTGCTCAGAAAAAAAGATTGCTTTCAAAATATTACTGCTCATTGACAATGCACCTGGTCACCCAAGAGTTCTGATAGAAATGCTCAAGGGGATTAATGCTTTTTTTACACCTGCTGACACAAGATTCATTCTGCCACCCATAAATCAAGGAGTAATTTCAACTTTCAAGTCTTATTATTGAAGAAATACATTTCATAGGGCTATTGCTGCCAAAACTGTGATTCCTCTGATGAATCTGGGCAAAATAAGTGGGAAACCTTTTGGAAAGGATTAATCATTCTAGATGTCATTAAGAACATTTGTGATTCATGGGAGGAGGTCAAAGTATCTACATTAACAGAAGTTTGGAAGAACCTGATTCCAACTTTGAATGGTTTAAGACTTCAGTAGACAAAGTAACTGCAGATGTGGTAGAAATAGCAAGAGAACTAGAATTAGAAGTGCAGCCTGAAGATATGACTGAATTGCTGCAATCTCATGATAAAACTTGAATGGATGAGGAGTTGCTTCTTATGGATGGGCAAAGAAAGTGGTTTCTCAAGATGGAAACTGCTCCTGGTGAAGATGCTGTGAAACATTGTTGAAATGATAATAAAATATTTAGAATAGTCCAAAAACTTGGTTGATTGACAGAGCAATGGTAGTTTGAGAGGACTACAATCTTGAAAGAAGATCTACTGTGAGTAAAATGCTATCAAACAGCATTGCTTCTTACAGAGAAATGTTTCATGAAAGGAAGAGTCAATCAACACAGCAAACTTCACTGTTGTCTTATTTTTTAAAATTGCCACAGTCACCTCAACCTTCAACAACCACAACCCTGATAGGTCGGCAGCCATCGACATTGAGACGAGACCCTCCCCAAGAAAAAGATTATGACTTGCTAAAGGCTCAGGTGATTGTCAGCATTTTTTAGCCATAAAATATTCTTTAACTGAGATACATATATATTTTTAAGACATGATGCCATTCCACAATTAATAGACTACATTAAAATGTAAACATAACTTTTATATGGACTGGGAAGCAAAAAAAATTGTGACTCCCTTTATTGTGGTATTTGCTTTTATTGTAATAATCTGAATGGAACCTGTACTATCTCTGAGGTATTCCTGTATTTGATCATGATGTGTAAAGTTTCTGGTATTAAGTAGTGATTTCCCCTCACTGCTAAGGCAAGGCTCTTCTGAGGCTCTACTCAAAGCCCTGTGTATTGTGAGGTCTCTCCTTTCTGGCTTTTAGGAATATAATCTCATTTCTGCGTGAGTTCTGGGAATTGTCTGGTTTATTTTCTGCTGGTTCTTTCTCTAGCTTTGGGTAGTTCCTCTTATGCGTGCACAGACAAATACATACCTACCCAAAGACTCAAGTAACAATCCTGCATATCTCTGGAATGCTGTATTTGAGCAGCCCCTCATCTCCAGTACTCTGCCCTGCAAATTCTACCATTTTAGTTCTCCCAAACTGATTTTTTGTCCCCTCAATTTGATAAGACCAGTAGGTTCTGTTCTGCATCCCCTCCTCCACCTCTGTGGCCTGAAAACTGCCTCCAGACAATAAGCTGGGAAAATTGTAATCTCAATTCATTTGTTTCCCTTCCCTCAGGGATCAGTCCTACACTTCCTGTGTGCACTGTCTGAAAAGCTGTTTCATATAGTTGGTCCAGTTTTCTAATTACTTACAGCAAAAGAAAAATTCCTGTAGCAGTTAATCTTTCATGATGGAAGTCAAAGCTTCAAGACTATACACCTAAACATTGTTACTTTTCTTTCCTGACCACCTCTGTGACAACATTATATAATGTCCCATAACTCAAATGAAAATTTTTTCTCATTTAAACAATGAGGAACAACATTTCTCCCCTTAACAAATGAACAGAAGGGAGGTCTAGAAATTGCTTCTTTAAGAACAAATTTAGTGATTCTTGATGATCTTGGTGACATTGGCATGAAAGGGAGCAGACAGTGAGTGTGATAAAACTTCTTTAGGATTTATTTACATGTTACTTAAAATGCTAAGCTCTGATACAACCTTAACTCTAATGGAACTTGGAAGCTAATTAAGGAGACCTTTTATAACTGTATAGCAGTCTGTCTCTGGACTGTATTTGGAAGATGAGTCTGAATCAAAGTGGTTAATAAGCAAATTTAACCATGACATTACAATTAACAGAGTCTCAGAAGTACAAGTAATAATCACTGCTGATTCTTTTCCTCTTCTCCTCTGCAATATCTATTTAAGCTTTTGAGTAAGACAGACTTGGTCTGCCAGAGTACCTTTGCTGAAGAACTCAAAGCCACTGGCACAGAGTAAAGCAGCTGGAAACACAGAACCATAGCTATAGCCAGGGAGCTTTTCTAACTTGAATCAAAAACAGATTCAGAATGGCTTGGAGAAAAACAATCCACTGAAGGCTGGTGAAGAAGACCAGGATCATCTTAGAAATAAATAAAGCATTAGTAAAATACATACTAAATTATAGCTTACTGACTGTATTCTTTAACAGTTTGCTTTTAAGAAAGCAACCTCATTTTAACACATATTTCAAAAGAAGAAAAGTTGGAAAATGTGAAATCTTTTCCTCAAATAATTTTGCCCACTGGAAAACCCATAAGTTTGGACCACAAGGCCTTAATCAAGGCATAACCTCTTATCTGATGCAAGTTTACTCTGCAGTTAGAGCGGCCTGGCAGGAAGATGGTATAGGAGAGCAGCTGAGCTCATGGATATTGGAACAAATGAGGCCTCATTTTGAATATAGGATCTACCACTTACTTACTAGTTGTGTGACCTTGGGCTATTACTCCATGCCTTAGTGCATTTGCATTGTTATAAAGGAATACCTGAAGCTGGGTAATTTATAAAGAAAAGATGTGTATTTGGCTCAAGGTTCCACAGGTTGCACAAGAAGAATGGTGCCAGCATATCCATCTGGGAAGGGCTTCAAATCACTTCTACTCATGGTGGAAGCCAATGGGAGCAGGTATAAGCAGAGATCACATGGTGAGAGAGATGAAGGAGGAGAGAGAGGGAAGGAAGATGCCAGGCTCTTTTTAACAAGCAGCTCTTGCAGGAACTAATAGAGTGAGAACTCACCCATTACCAGGAGGATGGCACCAAGCATGAGGGATCTACCCCCATGACACAAACACTTCCCACTAGGCCCACCTCTTAACATTGGGAATAAAATTTCAACATGATATCCAAAGTATGTAATCCTTTCCCTGGTTCCCCAAATCTCATGTCCTTTTCATATTGCAAAATGCAATCATTCTATCCCAACAGTCACCTAAAATTTTAGCTTGTTCCAGCATCAACTCAGAAGTCCAAAGTCCAAAGTCTCATCTGATACTCAAGGGAAGTTACTTACAGCTGGGAGCCTGTACCATCAAAGACAAATTATTTATTTCCAAGATACAATGTTTGTACAGGCACTGGGTTAACAGTCCGATTCCAAAAGGGAGGAATTGGACAAAAGAATGGGGTAACAAGCCCCATGCAAGTCCAAAACTCAGTAGGGCAGACGTTAAACCTTAAAGCTCCAAACAATCCTTGACTCTATGTCCCACATCCAGAGCACACCGGTGCAAGGGGTGGGCTCCTAAGGCCTTAGGCAGTGCTGTCCCCACAGCTTTGCTGGGCAGCACACATGGTTGATCTCATGAGTTGGAGTCCAATGCCTGCAGCTTTTCCAAGCTGAGGGTACATGCTGCTGGTGGGTCTATAATTCTGGGATCTTGAGGATGGCAGCCCCATTCCCACAGCTTCATTAAGCAATACCCCAGTGGGGACTCTGTGTAGGGGGCTTTTACCCTACATTTCCCTGCCACACTGCCCTAGTAGAGGTTCTCTGTGGGGGCTCCACCCTGCAGCAAGCTTCTGCCTGGGCACTCAAGCTTTCTGATATATCCTCTGAAATCTAGGTGGAAGCTGCCAAGCCTCCATCACCCTTGCATTCTGCATGCCTGAAGACTTAACACCATATGGAAATTACCAAGGCTTATTAAGGCTTATACCCTCCAGACAGACAATTGGAGAAATAACTGGCCGGAGCTAAAAGCAGCAGGGACTGGGGGGTAGTGTCCTGAGGTGGTATAGGGCAGTGGTGCCCTGGGCCATTCCCCTGAAACCACTCTGACCTCCTAGGTCTCTGGGTCTGTGATGGGAAAGGTGGTCTTGAAGGTTTCTGAAACACCTTCAGGACCTTTTTCCCATTGTCTTGACTATTAGCACCTGGCTCCCTTTTATCCATGTTAATCTCTCTAGCAAGCAATAGATCAGCCACATCCTTGGATTTCATCTAAAAGTGCTTTTTCCTTCCTACTACATAGGCAGGCTGAGAACTTTCCAAAATTTTCTGCTCTGTTTCCCTTTTAAATATAAATTCCAACTTAAGCTCATTCCTTTGCTCCCATATCTGATTATAGGCTGTTAGAAGCAGCTACACCACTTCTTGAGTGCTTTGCTGCTTAGAAATTTCTTCTACCAGATAACCTTCATCATCATCACTATTAAATTCAGCCTTCCACAAATCCCTAGGACATGGACACAATGCTGCCGAGATATTTGTTAAGGCATAACAAAAGTGATCTTTGCTCCAGTTCCCACTAAGTTCCTCACTTTCATTTGAGACCTTGTCAGCTGGGCTTCACTATCCTTATTTCTATCAGGAGTCTGGTCACAACCAATTAGCCAGTCTCTAAGAAGTTCCAAACTTTCCCTTGTCTTTTTGTCTTTTGAGCCCTCCAAACTCTTCCAAACTCTGTCCATTATCCAGTTCTAAGGCTGCTTCCCCATTTTCAGGTATTTTTATTGCAATGCTCCACTCCTCAGTACCAATTTTCTGTCTATGATGCTATAAAGGATACTGGAGGCTGGGTAATTTATAAAGAAAAAAGGTTTATTTGGCTCACAGTTCTGCAGGCTGTACAAGAAGCGTTGCACCAGCATCTACTTCTGACAAGGGCCTCAGGCTGCTTCCACTCATGGCAGAAGGGAAAGAGGAGTCATTGTGTGCAGACATCACATGGTGAGAGAGAGGAAGCAACGGAACTTGGGGAGGTGCCAAGTTCTTTTTAACAATCAGTTCCAGGGGAACTAATAGAGTGAGCACTCACTCATTACTCTGAGGATGGCACCAAGCCTTTCATGAAAGATCTGCCCCCATGACCCAAACACCTCCCACTAGGCTTCACCTCCAACACTGGGGGTCAAATTTCAACATGAGATCTGGAGAGACAAACATCCAAACTATATCACTCAACTTCTACAACTTCTGGTTCCTTGTCTGTAAATTGGAGATCACAATTGTGACTATCTCATAGGGTTGATATGATGATTAAATGAAATAATACATATAAACAGCCTTAATGAAAAGCCTGACACAAAGTGATCCCTCAATCTTAGTTATGTGCCATTACTACTATTGTTAAGAAAAAATAAACTTTCTCTTGAACACCAGTCTTATAAATACAAGTCATATAAATAGACAGTAATTGTCATTAAACTATGAGATTACAGAAATAATGTGAATGAAAAAGTCATTATATAAAAATAATTGTAAGCCTTGTTCACAGTGACCCATGAAAAAATGCAATTGGAATCATAAAAGGAAACAACACACTAAATTTGCCTCATTTTTCTGAGTACCATTTCAAAATCTGTTGTCCAGAATCATTAGAATACTTAATAAAGTGTAAAATGACATGTTACATGAAAAAATCATGAAAATGTCATTATAACAACCCAGAGCCATCTCCTCTTTGGCTTATCTGGATGTAGCACCCAGTAAATCCTAGTAGATAGTAATACTCTAGGACCACCAATGGCTCTCTGAAAAATGTCACAAAGGAGAAAGTGTCACCTTCACTGTGCTCCTGATGAAGCTATTTCTATCTACTTTCAGTGTGGAGTATTTGGCATCCTGACTGACAGTCTGTTTAAAGTTCACCGGCCCAGGATTCACTTAAAGGAATTCAAATAGACGACCCCTAAGAGGCTATGTAGCAAAATGATTACATTCACAGGTTTTGAAATTAAACAACTTGGTTCAAATCCTTTTTCTGATAGTTGCTAGTTGATTGGGAAAGATATTACACTCTGAGCCTCAGTTTCCTCACCCATAAAATGATCATTAACAGTTGTTTTTAGGCCAGGTGTGGTGGCTCACACCTGTAATCCCAGCACTTTGGGAGGCTGAGGCAGGAGGATACCTTGAGCCCAGGAGTTCGAGATCAGCCTGGACAATAAAGTGAGACCCTGTCTCTACTAAAAATGAAAATTAAATGCACTCCAGCCTGGGCAACAGAGTGAGATCCTGTCTCAAAACAAACAAACAAACAAACAAAAACAAACTGGAAAAAATAAAAATAAAAGTTGTTTTTATCTCAAAGCGTTGTGATGAATAAAATGATGTTTATAAAGCTCTTAGCATGGTGACCTACTCAGTAAATGTTCAATAAATATTATTTACTAACTATTAAATTTTAGTCTGGGAGTCTAGACTATCCCATACAGAAGTCTCAGAATACCAACTCTGTGCTACTTCCAGCACTGCTGAGTTATCCATTCACTGAACAGATGTGTGTTGAGTGGCTGATGCTGTCTCAGACCCTGTGCTCAATGCTTTACTCACTTAGTTGAAATCCTCTCATCATGATGGGCTTTATAAGAGATTGTGAGCTCTGTGAGGCTAGAGTCTCTACTCTGATGTTGATGGCTATATAACCATGTAATGTACGGGGACTGGCACAGTGCCTACCAAACAGGAGATGCTAACAAGTTTTATGGAATGAATAAATGAGCAAAGGATGAATGAATACGACACAAGGAAGATTAACTCCTTGACCTAGGGGAACTCATGTTCTAGTTGGGAGTTGGAATTAGCTCCCTAAAAGACAATGGAAGCAAAAAGTGTTAGAGAGGGAATTTTAGAGCCCACCATGCTAGTGGGCTCACCATTAGTAAAATATCAACAATTTCTGTTACAGTTATGCTAATGTAATTCAGTGATAAGAGCAAAAGAATGCATAATCCAAGTTGACGATTCTAGAAGACCTCAACTTCTAACGAAAAACAGAAGCATCTTTTTTACTACTTATCATAGGAAAATAAATTCTAGTCGTTTTTATATCTGAAGTCAAAAGATAGAAAGAAATATGTGGTCGCATATCTTTCTATGTTAAGTCAAGCCCAGTCCTGCCTCAGTGTCCTCACCCTATTTGCTGGTGGTTAGGGGTGTCAATCACCACCTCCCACCTCTTCTCTACCTTATGGCTAATTAGGAAGAGACAAATGACAAATAGGGATCATATATCAGCTTTATCCGGGGTCCCTTGGTAATGGCCAAATTGGAGAACTGGCAAGATCTCCTACCTTCTAGTTAGAACTGAACACAGCCTGATCTGCAATTAGAGTGAATCTGATTTAAAACCCAACTGCACCATCCTCTACTCCACACACCTGTCCCAAGACATTCTACAGCGTATGTGGGGATTATAGGAACTACAAGATGAGATTTGGGTAGGGACACAGCCAAACCATGTCACCTACTGACCTCCAGGAAAGGGAAGGGGGAAGGACTGGAGATTAGACTCCATAAAAACTTCTGAATAACAAGATTTGATAAGCTTTGGGGTTGGGGAACACATGGATATGCTGGGATGTAAGGTACCCAAAGAGGGCATGGGGTTGCCACACCCACCCCCATACCACAGTGCCAGCTTCTTAGACGGTAGTCACAGTAAGTGGTTATTACTGCAGGGGCCTCTTTATTTGTTCTCTTCTTGAGCACTGAGATCTTAGAGCCAAAGCCATCCTAGCTCTGAGAGACCCAAAATCCAACATAAAAATGGGATCCTTAATTTCTAAACATCTGACAACTCTGCCTTCCAGTATGCCTGCCTTTTTCACGTACAGAATTATGGCTCAGGAAGCTGCAAATATCAAATCTTACTACAGATAATATAGAATTATAATGGCTACTATGCAGAATGTTCCAGATGAACAAGACCATTCATATAACTGTACTTGAATCCCAAGTTTCTATAATTAGGCAGAGAGAATGGAATTGTTATTCTAATTGGCATTCAGAAGCCTCAAGCAGACAACAGGATTCTAAAATTGCTTTTTAAAAAAATTCATTGCAAAGAGCTAATAAAAAGTTACAAATGTGAGATATCATCCATACGAAGGACAGTAATATTAACCTGACTTATTCTGCTCCCCTCTGTCTTAAATGCCTTCCTTTTCTGAAAACACAATTAAATGCTTTCTTTATAAGAAAAACCACCCCAAATTCAGGAAGTAATCCCTGAGTGACTTATACTCTTCGGACAAAAACAGAGCCAAGGGCCATAGTTTAAAAAGTTCCTAAACCTACAGAAGACCTCCAAATATTTTCTGAAGAGAAGCCAGGTGTAGTGGCACATGCCTATAACCCCAGCTACTTGGGAGGCTGAGGTGGGAGGATCACTTCAGCCCAGGAGTTTGAGGCTGCAGTGAGTTACGATTATGTCACTGCACTCCAGCCTGGGCGACAGAGTGAGACCCCATCTCTAAATAAATAAATAAATATAGAAAAATGTAGGAAAAATTTAGGGTCTTCACTGAAACTTATAACCCCAGGATATCTGAGCTCAACCAACTAATACACATATTGGTGAGAATTAGAGAAGCCCCAAAATGGGTGAAAGATGCAGAATGGTATTACCTGACAAGCCCTGCCTGGTCCATTATGGAAAGCAGGGAAAAACTGCAAATAACTTTTTGAAAGCCATTACCAAAGTGTTTCAGTTGGATGGCAAACAACAACCTAGGCTGGCCTTTTGGCCTGCTCTGGGGCATTTCTTTAATAAATGGCTGAAAAAACAGTTTCCAAAAAACTGTTGGTATTGGTGCAAACAAGCAGGACATTGGAAAAGAGACTGCCCCAAATATTTCCAGGGAAAACATTATAAACAGGCTGTCTACCCTCTGATAAACTCCACATTGACCACCAGGATTGACAGGCCTTTGGGGGAAGCTCCAGTTGTTATCCTGTAGGTAGACACCAGAACTGTGATTTCTACTTTATCTATTTATTTTTTTTAATTTTTTTTTCAATAGGTTTTGGGGAACAGGTGGTGTTTGGTTACATGAATAAGTTCTTTAGTGGTGATTTCTGAGATTCTACATTAAACTCCATTTTTGTTTTTGTTTTTGGCTTAAGCAACAAAAATGTATTGTCTCAGTTCTGGAGCCTAGCAACTTGAAATCAAGGTATCTGCAGGGTTGGTTCCTTGCTAAGGCTATGAGGAAAGCATCTGTTCTAGGCCTCGTTCCTTGGCTTATAGATAGCTGTCTTCATATTCACATTGTATTATCTTGGTATGCATGTCTATAGGTCCAAATTTCCTCTTCTTATAAAGCCACAGTTATACTGAATTAGGGCCTACTCTAATTACCTCATTTTAATTTGATTACCACTGTGAAGACTCTATCTCCAGATAAGATCACATTCTGAGGTACTAGGGGTTAGGACTTCAACATACGAATTCTGAGAGGGTATCAATTCAACTCATAACATAAGTGCTGCTGAGCTCTTGTTAGAAAATGAACCCGTGGGCTGGGTGTGATGGCTCACACCTGTAATCCCAGTGCTTTGGGAGGCTGAGGCGGGCGGATCACGAGGTCAGGAGTTCGAGACCAGTCTGGCCAACATAGTGAAACCCTGTCTGTACTAAAAATACAAAAATTAGCTGGGCGTGGTGGCATGTGCCTGTAATCCCAGCTACTCGGGAGGCTGAGGCAGGAGAACGGCTTGAACCAGGGAGTCAGAGGTTGCAGTGAGCCGAGATCGCGCCACTGCACTCCAGCCTGGCAACAGAGCAAGACTCTGTCTAAAAAAAAAAAAAAAAAAAAAAAAAAAGAAAGAAAATGAACCCCTGATGACTCTCAGGCCTGACACTTCCCATTTTGAGGTGGGTCAACTACGATGCAACTACAAGGAAAGGAAGTAAAATCTCAGACCCTTCACAGATCCTGACTTCATGGGGACTGATGTAAGAATAAAAGTCCTGCAGTTTCCAAAGGTCTTTGACATGGACACTCTAAGCATCTGACATACATGGCTGATTCCTAGTATTTGGTCTCTCCTAGGTCATTTTGCTCTATAACAATAATTCAGTTGCCCATTCTTTTAATTGTTTTATTCCCTCAAACGAAATATTTATTTTGCACAAGACACTCCTTAATAGCAATAACAACATCAACAACTAATACTTATAGCATTGTTCTGTACACTATGTATCATCTTTACTTCTTAAAATACCCCTCTGAAGGAGATATTATTACCTCTAGTGTACAGATCAGGAGACTGAGGCATAAGTCACACAGTTTAAACTCCACTTGTGGGGACAGTCTCTCCCTCAAAATAAAAAACAAAATTTCAGTTGTGAGGAATATCAAATCCAGTTCTATCCATGAGTCCAGGCAAAGAAAATGCCTTCTTTGTCCTATTCATTAGAGGGCTCTACCCTGAAGACAGTGATCCAATTAATAAACAATCTAAAATGACCACCTATTGTACTAAATTGGTCTCTAAAATACAACTTTCTAACATTTAGCTGGCTATTTAAAAACCCCTTGTAAAAGAAATTTACATCTATGAAGAAAATCTCCATTTCTAAGGGCTTCTCTTTCTTTGCACCTAAAACCATTAGAAATTTTTACAGTGAGAAAGACATTGGCTTAAAATTCACATAACAAACCTTAACTGTGTTTATAGTACTTTTCCTGCCCATCTTGTCTTATGGGGTCTTAATCTTTGCCCTTGTCTCAGCAAATAATGGTGTTTAGATCTCAGTTGTGTGCTTTGAGATGTAAATTTTCTACATTGTCTCACCTAAGAGTCATGTCTTTGGAATGACAAATTTAGGGTTGCCTAGCTAACAATAATTTAAAACAGCAGAACAGGTAATCAGGAGATTGATAATCTAAAGAAGAAAGAGAAACTATTGAAAAACTGGCAAATAGAGAATCTTATAAAAGCTCTAAGATCTGCTTCTGGCTGTGTGTCTGTATGTCTACATGTGTTATATGTATGTGATATTTTGCTACCAAAATATATGAAAAAGCTTTAATTAATTGGCTTAAAGAAAAAGTAAGTGACAAAATATAATATTTCATCAGAAAAACTGCACTAAATGCTATGGTTTGCTGTGTGTCTGCACCAAAATTCGTGTTGAAATTTAACTGCCAATATAACAATGTGGGGAGGTAAAGTCTTTAAGAGATGATTAGGTCAATCACATAGATTAATGTCTTTCTCATGAGACTAGGTTAATTCCACAAGACTGGATTAGTTCTCAAAGGAAAACAGGTTGTTATAAGGTGAGGTCACGCCTGTGTTTTATCCCCTTTCCATGCCTGCTTTCCCTTCTGTTTCTCCACCATGTTATGATGCAACATGAGACACTCACCAGAAGCTGACCAGATGGGCTGCCCCGTCTTGGACTTTCCAGCCTCTAGAATAATGAGCTAAATAAACCACTTTTCTTTACAAATTACCAAGTCTTTGGTATTTTGTTATAGCAAAAGAAAACAGGCTAAGAGACTAACTCAAATACCTTTCAGTTCATGTGACAGGTAAATCTTTGGTAAATAAGGCTAGTTCAATAAAACAGTGTGTCTTCTGACCAACAAAATAACCTCATATTTAACTTTAGGGCTCTTGTTTAGGTAGCAACTAACATTGGCATACTGTAAAAATGGTTAACAAGGAAATAACTTGAGATAGTGGCCAGCTTTGTTTAACGACCAATTGAAGCATAATTTTTAAGAACAAGTAAATTAGGTGAAAGTAAATGAGTTAAAGGTTTTAAATAAACTCTTCATAGTTTCAAAAATCTCAAAGTAACATAATCTTAAAGTCATATGATTAAGTAACATTCCTGAAATGTCAGCCATTTCCAAGTAAGTTAGAATACTGACCCATTAATTGCTAAAAATGATTAAAGTATAGATACTTTGTCATCTTGTGTTGTTATAAAACGTTGGCATATGATAGTTCAAAATTGCTTACTTCCTAGGTTTCACTAGAAATTAAGGTTACTAAAAGTTAAAAATTCTAATTAATATATGTAATTCTATATGCAAAGTATACCAAGAGAAAGTAAAATGTGTTTTGGGTGAAAAAAATTATAAAAAGTCATGAGAATATATTTTTGTAGAAAAGAGTTATTTCAGCTAATTCAAAGGTTAAAGGCTTTTCACAATAAAGATTTATGGAGAAAATGGAAACAAGGCAGGAAGGAACTATTAAGTAGGAAAAAGAGATACAAAAAAGTTGTAAGTCTGAGAATATATTTTTGGTAAAGAAAGTTGAAAACAGACTAATTTTTTTGAATGACAATTCTGTGTGGTCAGAAAGATGAGGGAAAAAGAAAAGTAAATTTTTGCCCTAAGGTAGAATGACTGGTTGTTTCAATATGAAAACGAGGAGATTGGGCGCAGTGGCTCATGCCTGTAGTCCCAGCACTTTGGGAGGCCAAGGTGGGTGGATCACCTGAGGGAGGGAGTTCAAGACCAGCCTGACCAACATGGAGAAACCCTGTCTCTACTAAAAATACAAAATCAGCTGGGCGTGGTGGTGCATGCCTGTAATCTCAGCTACTTGGAAGGCTGAAGGAGGAGAATCGCTTGAACCTGGGAGGCAGAGATTGCGGTGAGCTGAGATCGCACCATTGCACTCCAGCCTAGGCAACAAGAGTGAGACTCCATCTCAAAAAAAAAAAAAGAAAAAAGAAAAAGAAGTGAAGGTTTGAGCAAGCTGCACGAGGTCTTTGCAAGTTTTAGAAGATTTATGGAAGATGAATCTTATGAAAGGAATTTTGAGTGTGATCAAGTTGGCTAAAATTAAAAAAGAATTGTTTTTAGGTTTTTCTAAAAATTAAGCTTTATTTTTAAAATTTTAAAACAAGGTTTTCTTGACATGTACTGATCTTTTCTTATTAAAAAAATTGTGAGACTTTTTAGGTATGTGGCCTAGAAAAGAAAGATTCTGTATTTTGTCAAAATAATTTCTGTGCTTCATGTTTTCTTTCTTAGGTCATTAATTACTTAGGAAAACTGAGTCTCCTCTTTATTATAAGAGTTAAGATTTTCTACAGCTATGTAACTTCTTTTGAAGTATTTTAATTATCATTGTGGCTAAATGAGTATTATATTCAAACACTTGATCAAAAATGTGATCCTATTTTTGATCAAGTGTTTGAATCTTTTTGACAAACTTCCCAAAATGAAATTCTAAGTCTCCTTGTCTTAGTCCCTTTAGAGCTGCTATAAAGGAATACCTAAGGCTGGATAATTTATGAAGAAAAGAGGTTTACTTGACTCACAGTTTTCCTGGCTGGAAGACTGGGCATCTGACAAAAGCCTCAGGAAGCTTCCACTTATGGCAGAAAGCAAAAGGGAGTCACAGTACAGAGATCACATGGCCACAGAGGGAGCAAGAGAGGAGTGGGGAGGTGACAGGCTCTTTTAAACAACCAGCTCTCACAGGAACTAATAGAATGGAAACTCACTCATCGCAAAGAAGACACCAAGCCATTCACGAGGGATCCATCCCCATGACCCAAACACCTCCCATTAAGCCCCACCTCCAGCATTGGGGATCAAATTTCAACATGAGATTTGGGGGACAAACATCCAAACCACAGCCACCTGGAAGTCCAAAAGAGAGATATTAAACCAATTAGGTTTATTTGATATGTTAAATTATATAGGAAATATTGTCAATAAGAGATAACGTTTAACCGTCTTTTCCTTACATTTGTATAGATACGATATTAAAATATTTATTCAGGCCAGGTGTGGTGGCTCACACCTGCAATTCCTGCACTTTGGGAGGCTGAAGTGGGCAGATTGCTTGAGTCCGGGAGTTCAAGACCACCCTGGGCAACATGGTAAAACCCTATTGCTATAAGAAATACAAAGAATAACCAGGCATGGTGGCACACAGGTGTAGTCCTAGCTACTCGGGAGGCTGAGAGGTGGGAGGATCGCCTGAGCCCAGGAGGCAGAGGCTGCAGTGAGCCATGATCACATCACTGCACTCCAGGCTGGGTGATAGTGTGAGACCCTGTCTTAAAAAAAAAAAAAAAGGTTTTTCAAAATTGCATTAAATTTCTAGAAATCAATCATAATTTTGGTTATTATGTTAAAATGTTGTATGCCACAGAAATAACACAATTTCTTTGTCAGCTGCATCATTATAGACTCTCATCAGGTTTTCAATGATGGCTATTTTAAGTCTTATTGTCCTCAGTTAATTGCTTTATTCTGATGCTGTTCTGAAAGCTTTTTGCAAGAACCATAATCTTCAAAGAAGTTCATGGAAAGAATGGAAAAAATTCTGACAAGTACAGGTTTGTGACAACTTTGAGATAGCACTGGATTGGGTAAGAATTTGTAGAACTCTAAGAAAGAAACTGGTAGTTTAGTGAAACTATCAACTAAGATCAAACAGAGCAAGAATTAATTACATTAGACTGAAAAACTGATAAGGAAAAAGTAAGGGTTTTTATTGCTTTTTTATTTAAAACATTGCTGGTTCTCTTAATGTTTTATTTTCCAGATTTAAGAAAACGATTTTTTAAAGCTATCTCTAGCTCACAATGGTTTGGTAGAGTACACTTTTATAAACAAAAATTGAAACATTCCATCTTTCTCCTTAATATGATTATTTTCATAAGCTCAATAAGAATTTGCTCTCTGTATTACACAATACAATTGGAAACACTGGTTTAATTGCCAAGGCTTTGACTGAAATGTAATATTTGAGAATTAATAGAATGCCTCGCTTCAAGGATTCCCAGTGTGATACAGTTTGGATGTTTATCCCCTCTAAATCTCATGCTGAAATCTGATCCCCAGTGTTGAAGGTAGGGCCTGGTGGGAGGCCTCTCTCGCTATGTGACTCTACTGACTCCCCTAGCCTCCTACCATAAGTAAAAGCTTTCTGAGCCCCTCACCGGAAGTTGAGGAGATGCTGGTGCCATGCTTCTTATATAGCCTGCAGAGCTGTAAGCCAAATAAACCTCTTTTTTTTTTTTTTTCATAAATTACCCAGTCTCACATATTCCTTTATAGCAACACAAAGTGGACTTACACACAGCATTACAGTGAGTGAGTAAAAAGTTGTCACTTCCTGGCAGGCCTAGGAACCTCAAGACACTAGATAACCATAGACAAAGTAGACAAAGTCTGATGTCGGCCTTGGTTTGGCTTCCTAGTGATGAGAGGTTTTTAAAAGTATAATCTGAGATTGTTTGTCAAAATTTCCAGCAAATCAAATTTAAAAAGAACTGTGTGGTTATTCTTGCTGTACTTATATACAAATAATCAGGTGAAGTTTAATGAGACGAAACTTATTTTGCAAACAAATTAGTCTTACTCTGATTATCTTTGGTAGAAATGGGGGTGATTATAGACAGAAAAATTATGTTGCAAAAGAAAAACTATAGTACACCTTTTAGTAGATTGCAGCCTTGTTCACTTTTTCCCTAGACTGGACTGGATCCTGAATTCTTTTAGTGCACTACCTCCAGTATCTAGCTTCAACTCTTCAACTAAGAGCAAAAATGCTAAGCTGGACAACTTGATAGAAATTTCAAGGGACAAGTCTCATGTGTGATGTGCGTGCCATACAGAGAGTTCACCAGAATATCTAACGCCACAACCAGGGACATTCAAACTGCAAACCAGGTTGAGAATTTGCTAACTGCATGCCGTGGACAGCTTTTCCCAAGGCCATCAGACGAAGACTTCTTATGATATTCTTACCCCTCTTAATTTTTCCTTGCTTATGCCTACTTCTTTCGCTTGGCAGAATAAGGCTATGGTTAAAGTTTCACAATCCTTAGTTTTTGTGAGTAATCTGACAGCATGTTGAATCTGTTATGTCAAATCTGAATCTTTAAAAAACCTGAGATCCTTTAGTCCACCTAGTGGGTAACTTCAGCAACATCCCTAATATCCCTAATGCAACTGTTTGTTCAAATTGTACTAGTGATCTCTTTTATAGAGTTAGTACTGTCTGTTTTAATTTAACCCATTCCTGGAATGCTATATGATAGAATTGCTACCGACTAAATGAATAGGGAGAAATCTGTGCAATTGCTAATACTTCTTGTTACCCATAGATATAATGAGTATCCGGCCTGGCTCATTCTTTGATCTATTTAATTTCAGTTGGTTTAGTTTATGGGGATCCTAGATAAAGGAGCATACTCCAAACTCCTGGCATTATCCTTTTGATAGTCATAATAGTAGTTTCTCTGGTACACTATATCCTCTCGAAAAGTTTTAAAGGTTGCACACAGCCATTCATCAAACACCAAAGAGTCTCTTTTCTGCTGGAATGACAAAAACTCAAATAAATGCATGATGATGAGTACACCATAACCTATGAATGACTTGTAGAGACCAGAAACCCAGCATGATAATAAGAGTAGCATTAATGCCCTTAGTTTTGGTCATGCACTCACCCAGGTGAAAGCATGACTGAAAGGGGAAAATTGTTAAATACAAAATATAGGAGGCCATTGTTTTGGACTAAGCTTCTGCACTAGGCCCCACAGCTCCTGCATTAGGCCCCAACAGATTTGACTAAAAATCAAAATGGAGTTATCCATGCTGAAGTTCCACATCACCAAACTGAAACTAAGTTGTTATATAACATTCCAAGAAAGCAGGAGAGAGAGATAGCAGCCAATTTCCCAAATAGGCCAATTTCAATCTTCAATCAGTAGGATAATAGTTTCCTCTGTTTTAATCCTTAAAAGTAACCTGATGCTAACCAATCTTTCTATTTTTCTGCCTCCCTGTCCCTGCCTTTCAAGGAAAGTAACTTTGAAATAATCAATCTGTTTTTTGTTCTTCATTTTTGCTTTCCTTAGCCCTTTCTGTCTATAAAACCAACCCCTTCTGTTCAACTCACTGGCAAATTTATTGTATTTTATGGCATAAAATGTTGCCTGATTCTAGAATTGCAATAAAGCCAACCGTGATCTTTAAAACTAAATCTATTGTAATTTTGTTCTTGAAATGCCCAAGTGGACTCAAATATTTTTTTCTTTGGAGAATCTTGGCCTTGTTTTGCTGCATCCCAGCCAATTGTTTAGCAAAAAAACCTTGAGCTCACTGGCATTATTTATCAAAAACAATCAGGGAGGAATGCCTGAAGGACACATAGTCTACTCTTGCAGGAATTCCTTTCTTTTCTTTTCTTTTTTTTTTTTTTTTTTTTTTTTTTTTTTTGAGACGGAGTCTCAATCTGTTGCCCAGGCTGGAAGTACAGTGGTGCAATCTCGACTCACTGCAACCTCCACCTCCTGAGTTCAAGCAATTCTCCTGCCTCAATCTCCTGAGTAGCTGGGATTACAGGTGTGTGCCACTATGCCCAGCTTTTTTTGTTGTTGTTTTTTGTATTTTTAGTAGAGAGAGGGTTTTGCCCTGTTGGCCAAGCTGGTCTTGACTTCCTGATCTCGGGTGATCTGCCTACCTGGGCTTCCCAAAGTGCTGGGATTACGACTTGAGCCACTGTGCCTGGCCTACTCTTGCAGAAATTCTAAAATGTACATCTAATTAGAGAGTTTACTTTCTATAATATTGAATTAACTGAACTGTACCTACTGGTAAAAATGTGGTAGATGATGCTATTTATATCATTACGCACTGTCCACATGGGATCCCCAGGAAGAAATTTTTCTCTGAGCTTAGTAGTAATCACATTTTCACTTCTCAGAATCTGACCTGCCTGTATCTTTAGGCCCTCATAGACTAAAATACCCACCAGGTTCACTTCTTTATGCTGGTGGTTAGAAAGCTTTCAGTGGAATTTGTGACCCATCTGTAACAGTGTGTAGACCATACATTGTGTTCCTGGCCACCTAATGGTAATCATTTTATCTTATTCCTATATCCATCTTTTGATTGGTTCTACCTTTATTATATATATCCTTCCAAGCTGCCTTCTATCCCTTCTGCAGTACAATGGTACATAAATGAAAACCATAAAAATGTAAGCAGAGAGATATGATCCATGCCCACAATGTGATTGCCTTCTTCAAAGACATTGTAGGCAAATGTCCAGGGTTTCTAAAGCTTTATATAATACGAGAACATTGGGCTAAAGAGTGAACACTTTTGAGTACAGCAGACTAACACTATCTCTCATCATTAAAAGGCGATCTTCGTGCTGCTCAAATGTAGCTTTCATAATACACTGCCTTGACACAGTCTAGCAATACAATTACAGGAATCGATCCTTTTTTCCAACAGGTTACAGTCCTAAAATGAAGAGGGCCTACTATGAAAACATTCATGAAAAGTGAAATCTTTCATTATTGGTATCTTCTTTTTACCTGGATTTATTCACTTCCTTGGAGCAGTAGAGAATGACTAAATACATCAGATAAAGATAGGCTAAATAGCACATAAAGAAGAGCATGGTTTATATTTACTTTTAGGAAAAAGAGTTGTAATGAGGATGAAATATAATTTTACCTTGGATTTTAAGAGACGCAGCTTTTCTTTTTTCTTTTTTCTTTCTTTTTTTTTTTTTTTTTGAGGAGGGTTTCACTCTATTGCCCATGCTGGAGTACAGTCGCATGACCAAGGTTCACTGTCACCTTGATCTCCTGGGCCCAAGCAATCCTCCCATCTCAGCCTCCCAAGTAGCTGGGACTACAGGCGCACACTACCATGCCCAGCTAATTTTTAACGATTTTTTTGTAGAGATGGGGTTTCACCACGTTGTCCAGGCTGGTCTCAAACTCCTGCACTCAAGTGATCCACCCACCTCGGCCTCCCAAAGTGCTGGGATTATAGACATGAGCCACTGCACCTGACTAAGAAGCAGCTTTTGAGCTCTTAAAATTCCTATTATTGAACTGTAGAATTAGATTTTCAGTTATATGTAATTTTGTTTTAAAAAGAAGCACAATTACTATCTTACTTAAAAGAAAACATTTTCAAAACTATTTTGCATCTTGTTCCTTTTTAATGTGTTCTGAAGGCAATGTATTTTATTTTACTTTAATTAATTTTTTTAGAGACAGGGTCTTGCTATGTCACCCAGGCTAGAGTGCAGTGCTGCAATCACAGCTCACTACAGCCTCAAACTCTTGGGCTCAAGCAATCCTCCTGCCTCAGCCCCTCAAATGGCTAAGACTACAGGTACGCAACCACCACTCCCAGCTAATACTTCTATTTTTTTTTTTTTTTTTTTTGGTACAGACAGGGTCTCACTACGTAGCCCAGGCTTATCTTGAACTTTTAGCCTCAGTGATCCTCCTGCCTTGGCCTCTGAAAGTGCTGGGATTACAGGTGTGAGCCACTGTGCCCAGGCCTGAAAGTACAGTCTTTTAAAAAATCTGCCTCCAATTTCTTTCTTCTAGCCAGGGTCTAAGTGTGAATGCTTTTCTTCAAGCAGAGTCTTTCAACTATAGCAAATAAGGCTACTTGTCAAACTATTCTTATAGACAAAATATTTTCAAAAATATTTTCAGTACAAATTAATTTACCATGCTGTTTTTATCTCAGATTTGATATTTTCTTCAGAAATGTATAATTTCAGTTACAAATACTAAGATATAAAAATGCTTTGTATATTTTTCTGGTAAATATAGCTGAACTAAGATTACATTTCTAGAAAACACAATTAATAAAAATCTTCTGGCCGGACGCGGTGGTTCACGCCTGTAATCCCAGCACTTTGGGAGGCCGAGGCGGTGGATCACGAGGTCAGGAGATCGAGATGATCCTGGCCAACATGGTGAAACCCCGTCTCTACTAAAAATACAAAAAATTAGCCAGACACGGTGGTGGGCACCTGTAGTTCCAGCTACTTGGGAGGCTGAGACAGGAGAATGGCGTGAACCCGGGAGGCAGAGCTTGCAGTGAGCCGAGATAGCGCCACTGCACTCCAGCCTGGGTGACAGAGCGAGACTCCATCTCAAAAAAAAAAAAAAAAAACTTCTGACAATTCTCATTTTTTGCTCCAAAAATATTAGTTTAACCTCCACAGATACCTGTTTTCTTAAGCATGCTGGGTATGTACCCATGGAGGAGTGTCTGTTCCAAGTGATAAGAAGGGATCTGTGTGTGTTGGCTGTGGACTGGGACTGTCCCTTAGGGACTGCTAATGTTTGATCTGGTGAGTAACAATCACAAGTTTGAGGGAAATTTTCCCTTGGATATGTAAACTCCTAGATTTACCACATATATACATATACCTATATATATATGAATATATATATGAATATGTATGTGAATATATATGTGTGTATATATACACACACACATGCATGTACACATATATACATATACATATATGTGTATGTATATATATGTATGTAAAGTAAAACAGAATAGTTATATCCAAAGAAAAAAAAATCTGAAAAGAATAATTCAAAACGTGCGAGACACACTGTACTTAAAATGTACTTGAAGGCTTGTTTCTGTAAGGGTTGCCTAAACATCCCTAGGCTCTACTCTTCAGGAATCTTATTTCCAGGCACAGTGTCCTGGAGCATTTGCAATTTTTCAATTGGAACTCTCAGCACTTTACTTTAAAAATAGTCTAAAGTCAGAAACTGAAATAGTGATCTATTTTTCAACCCCCAAATTGCTCCTTAGTCAATATAACGCTGAACATTTCTGAACAAAGGATTCTTAAGGCTGGCTGTGGTTCAGGCAAGTCCTAAACTTATTAAGGGTAAAATAAGTTATTCACAAAAGAAAAAATATATAGTCTATTCTCAGTTGGAGAAAGATCTATTTTCCCCCAAAACTGAATTATGTATTAAATCAGTTCAAATTTTATTTTGGACCATTAATCTGTAATTTAACATAGTTGTTAAAATAAACGGATGTTTCAGTCTATTTTATGTCAAGTTGTTTACTAGAAAAATAATTCAATGGGTAGAACATTTAAAATATTGTTTTCCCTGTGTGCTTACTTACAAATGGATACATGTTGTACTCTTGGCAAAATTTACTTGTTACATTTTAACAATGTAATTGCTGACAATAAACACATTAGTACAAAACAATTTCTATATCTTAAATCACAACTATATTCCTCCTGCCACTTTTAGTAGGATAATGAATATTTCTATAACTAGTTTTTAACAAGTTTCTAAAATATTTTTAAGCCCATACGAAAGAAAAAAAAGGCTTATGGAATTTTTCTTTAAGAACTACATATTATATTTCACAAATAAAGCTAAACAGAAAAATGCAGATCAACATTACAATTCGCAAGTATTGAGCATTTAATGACCTCCATTTCTAGAATCCACTTCTTAGAAGATGCCACCAGTTCATATTGACCCATTATACATGAAACTTCTGCCTGTAGGATTGCAGTTGACAAAGCCTGAAAGACCACATTCTAGAAGGTACTGCTAAGCTTCATTTGTCCTTACCATAGCTGACTGCCATCAAATTGCCATCCAGAACTGCTTTTGGGAAGCAGTTCCTCCGCAATCTTTTCAACAGATTCCCTGTTTTAACATCCACCTGTGTTACTGAAGAACAGTCTGACCCGGATTGAGCCATGGAGCAAATAATAACACTAACTGCAGCTCCAGACAGAAAAAAAAATAGGAGTTCATTTTCCAGACTCTTGTGGGAATACAGAGCATGTCTGCTGAAACCGAATCCAAGAGTTCAATGATACTGTAGACTCAAGTATTTCTTTAAATTCCACGTAATAGCTTTTCCGTTCTTGGTGTTTTATAACACACTTCTGAGCCATGATTCAGAAAGTGAGGGAAATTCTCTGTCTTTCTCTCTCTCTCTCAAGTTGAGTTATATAAAAATTACAATTGTAAGGTGAAGCTCTAACAGAAGGCCACAGGAGTTGCTATATGTACTGTTCTCACTGACCCATCACTGCAACTTAAGTCAGTTCATGTGGACTTTCTTTGAGGGAACGCCATTTCTTTAGGCATTAAATCTAAACTTCTTTCCTTTGGGTTTTGTTTTGCTTCATTTTTGCCAGACTCTACAATCCGCCCTAGAAAGCCTGAGTATTACATCTTCATTCTGTCATTTTCAACCCTGTTTTCTCTCTTGACAAGGATAGACATGTTATTTTGCTGATATCACTGTTGAGTTGTATGAGGCCTTCTCCCTTTATGCAGGGGCCACCAGAGTAATCAGTTTTATGTAGCTGCCACTTCATACTACTGTATCCTAACAGCAGACATGCTAGCAATTCTCTTCAGTTTAATTCAATAAATTGGCCACATGGGTCTATTTATTAGCTGATATTGGCCTCCAACATCTAATATAACAAATATTACCGAAAAGAAATAGGGTTGAAACTATACCTAAGATTACAGAGGGAAATAGTCAAGCATCTGAGGAAAAGATCTTGTTTTTCCCTGCTATTAAAAAACTTAACTGTAAAAAACACTGTATGTAGTTCTATAGACGGCATGCATCATCAGGCTGTGAGTACAGACACGGAGATGGTTCCTTTAAATAAACACAGGTGTCAGGACGCTTAAGCATGTAAATGGAGGTCACACCTTATTTTTTCTGTAAGCTTAAAGTCTTAAAAAGTCGTGGTCTGGATCAACAGGAGCAGGGGCTGTATCAAGGCATGGTCCATTCCCTGCTCCGCATTTGGCTGGGAAAGACTTGGTCCTTGGCTGGATCTAAAAAGTGCCCTAAAAAAAAAAGCCCTACTTTATAGCAGTGAATAGTAAACTGGAGATAGCATGTTGGAATACAAGTCTTGAGAGAAGGTGGAATCCTCTATGAAAAAGAGAGAGCCTCAGAGAGGGGAGACAAGAACCCAAGAATCACAAATGTTTTGTTTCTCTGCAAGAAAGAATGCCAAGGTGCAAGACTATCCCGTTCTCTTATTCCAAGCTGCCCTCATGTAATGAATGCTCTCAGCCACTCACTCGAATACGTTTCTTTTGAAATTAGAAGTAAAACCTAACACTTATGTTGCCAACTTAAAGAGGTTTGGTTGTATTTAAGAGCACACGGATATTAGCCTCCAACAGTTTTAAAGAAGCTAAGAACTGACATTTATCCAGGACCCACTATGTGCCAGGGCTACCTACCATGTTTCCTCATTTGAATTCCATAACCACCCATGGTGGTGTGCATTATTATGTTTACTTTATAAATGTGAAAGTTGGAGCCCAAAGATGAGGAGTAATTTGTTCAAGGCCACACTGTCTAGAACATGGAGCAACCAGGCCTGTCCAATTCCAAAAGCCACGTTCTATCTCAAAAGCTTCTTTTAGAATATTTGATACAGTCCTCATAGAGATTTATGAAATAGAATTTTATCTTGAGAAACTAAGAAACACAGAAGAGAAGCTTTCCTCATCACTACATCTGGATCCAATAAACTTAAAAATATTTTTTTAAGATACATTACATTTGGTTTCTTTCTCTTTTTAAATTTGTAGTCCAAATTATCCCCATCCTCTCAGCAAAATGAAATAGTAACCTCTATGATAAATTATGAGATTATCTATAATGTGAAATCATCATGAAGTCCAAAGAGAAAAGAAATGAAACAACTATTATGTTTTAAAACTTGAAATATTCAAGAAGGATACATATAGAATATACATTTTTAAAAAATTAATTTTTTAATTAACAAAAATTGTGTATGTTTATGGCATGCAGCATTATGCTTTGAAATATGTATACATTGTGGAATGGCTGAATCAGGCATATGGCTTACCTCATATACTGATCATTTATTTGTGGTGAGAACACGTAAAAATATACTCCTTTAGTTTTTGAGTATACGAAGCACTGTTATTACATATAGAGAACAGAATATACTATAAACATTCATAAAGGGCAAGCTGAAAAAATTACATTCCTTTATTTCATGGTAGTTTTAAATTTTTATATTAAAAACTATTATATTAAAGCTTTAAAATAAAATGCTATATTACAAGGGTCTTTATGACTCAAAGAGAAACAAGGAAAATTAGAGTATATTTCATAAAATTTAAAGGAAAGCTCTTTTATTTGAAATATATAAGAAGAAAAACACATTATATTTCTTTAAGAGACTTTAGACCTTCCTCCTTGAGTTTTTGTTTTTCATGTGTCCACTTTTTAAATGTTTCCATTTCCTCCACACACATATTTCTGAAGAGTTATGAGCAGGAAGTTTTCTCACGTATTTTCCCAAGTAGAAAGGCCTCCAGCTGCACACAGACTTTCCCATTGCCCCAGTATTAAAGTTCTGGGTAAAATTTTAATTACTAATTTAGGAAAGATGAGACATTTTAAAATTTAATACAGTTTGCCCTTTTTACAGACCATGTAGAATAAAGCCTCAGTATGCTTGAAAAAATCTCTTAGCAACTGAGAGCGGAGCTGGCCAACAATGGATGATTCATTGATTTAGCTTGAGTGTGCAGGAATGTCTGCCAAAAGGTCTGAATAAACTCACATTGCTAGACACTATGGTAAAATGTACCCTGACCTCTTTTAAAACTCTATCAGAGCGGAAAGTTAAACTTGCAGCTTTCCAGCAATTCACTGGCATCTGGAAACACACTTGAATTATAATATCTTGCTTTTATAACAATCGATAGATTATTATTTTCACCTAATTAGACAATGGCTGCTACTAATTGGAGGTTTCTAAGGGGACACCACCGTGCTTTTAAGCACTAAAAATAATGGTTTCCTATTCAATTTAAATCTGAAAGGAGGCTTTTTGAAATCCCAAACTGAAAGAACTGATTGTTGGTTTTTGGTAATATTGACCCAAGGGTTATGAAACATTACCCTAAACAATAATTTGTGCATTTAAAATTGGTAAACATTATGTAACAGATATCCCATGTCTCTAAGTTTATGCATACATGTAAAGATTATATATACCAGGACATCCTAGCTTATATTTATATAAAATTCAAAAAGCTCGGCTCTTTTGGTTACATCTATCATTTGTCTCCTCAACATCCTTTTTAGGGGCAAGTATTATTTCTCCTGCTTTAGAACTGGAAGACCACGCATGTGGAATTTTAAATTGTTGGCTTGCATTCATAGGTATTCAAATCAAGTGCAGGCCCGGGCTTACAAATGGATATTCTAGTTTAAAATTGAGTATTAGACGCATTGCACTACTTTATCACTCACAACTTCAGCAGCTATAATAAAAATAATCCATGAAACCAAATCCTTGTTTCCCAGTGGTGAACAAAGATATACTTCCTGGTTTCTTTTGCCCTTCACAAATGTAAGCATAGAGCATGGAACGTTCTGCCTTGAAAGAGCTGTGCTTTTGTCTGCTTTACTTCTTCTTCCTCATCTTTCCCCTTACCTTTTTCTCCTTCTTCCTTTTTTTTTTTTTATCTTTTTGTGGTAAAATATTCAGGATTAACTGAACAATTCTCTGCTCCACCCCAGAGGTAACCATGTTTATCAATTTGAAGTACTCCTTTTCATATTGTTTTGTGGAGCATTTCCATGATTAAATGAACACATAAAGGTATATCATTTTGATTTACATGTTTTCCCTGTTTAATATATTATCACATATTGTTCTATAACTTACTTTACAAAAAAAGTACTTCTTGGAAATCTTTTCATACCTGTACATTTGAATCCATTTCATTTTTAAAATTGCTAAAAAGTATGTCACAGTGTTAGCTTACTTTCTGAAATGGGGCAAGTTATACACATCCACTAAAAATACAGCTGTTCTTCCAGAATAACCTAGATGGTCATATAGAACAAAACAGCATATGGAAAAGTACAAATGAGTGAAGAAATTTAGCCTATTTTTTTTAACTTACTTCACTCTTGACAATTATATGTATCCAATAGCACCAGAGGCAATGAATGGGCTTGTTACACTGGATGCTAAAATCCAAGTAGTAAGACGAATATGATGGGGATCTTGCCAGAAAGGGGCCTTGTCACTTGGAGCAGAGGAGTAGAGAGCTTTATGGGTCAAAGCTGAATAGAACACACACGGTTCCTGCCCTCATGGGGGTAACAGTCTAACTCTTAAAGACCTTCCAACTTCACCCCTCCTTTCCATTCCCACAGTAACTGATAGTCTAGACCAAACTTGTCCAACCCACAACCTGCATGCCACATGCAGCCCAGGATGGCTTTGAATGCAGCCGAACACAAATTCACAAACTTTCTTAAAACATTATGAGATTTTTTTGATGATTTTTTTTTAGCTCACCAGCTATTGTTAGTCTTGGTACATTACATGTGTGGCCCAAGACAATTTTTCTTCTTCCAGTGTGCCCCAGGGAAGCCAAAAGATTGGACACCCCTGGTCCAGACTTTCCACATTTCTGGTGTGAACTATTGCAGGAACCCCTATGTGGTTTTCTTGAGTCTAGTGTCTTGAACTGCTAATCCACAGCAGAGATATTCCCAAAGAGAAAGATCTGATCATGTCACTGCCCAAATGAAACACCTTCATTATTTTCCCTTAAATGACAATACAGGACAAAGTGTAATCATCTCAACCTGACATTCACAGTCTAACTTCCCAATTTTTCTCCTGTTACTTTAAGTTCTAGTCACATCAAACTTCCTACTGGTCTGTGGAGATTCTACGTCACACTTCTATGCTTTTTCACATACTGCCTAAAACGTTGTTTACCTTTTTCCACCTGGATCTCCTGCTTGTTGCTCTACACCGGCTTCAACATTGCCTCTTTGGTAAAGGGCTACCTGACTTCCACAGCAGGGATTTACTTCTTCTGTGCTCCCAAAGCAGGTTGCATTCACCTCTATAATGGCATTTCATGCTGTTTCAGCATTATTTGTAATGCATATATAAGTTTTCAACTTTATTTATAAGAAATTGTACATATTAGTTAAAAATCAATTGTGAAGCACCTACCTATGCTAAAGTTTTTGTCAAATCTTAAGTTATCAGTCATAACTCATTGCTATACTAGTCCTCAGCCCTACTTGAGTTGTTGGACTGCAAGTTAATTGGGAAGATCCAAAGCCAATTGTAATCATAACAATTCTCCTTATGTATATATCAACAGAGATTATGAAATTATAGATTAGCTGAGCACAGTGGCTCAGGCCTGTAATCCCAGCACTTTGGGAGGCTGAGGCGGGAGGATCACTTGAGCCCAGGAGTTCAAGACCAGCCTGGGCAACATGGCACAACCCCATCTCTACAAAAAATACAAAAATTAGCCAGGCACACTGCCAAACACCTGTAGTCCCAGCTACACGGGAGGCCGAGGTGGGATAATCGCCTGAGCCTGGGAGGTGGAGACTGCAGTGAGCTGTGATCATGCCCCTATACTCCAGCCTCAGCAACAGAGTGAGACCCTTTCTCAAGGGAAAAAAAATAGATCTACAGAAATTTCCTTAAAATGTAATAATGTTTATCTCTTTTTGAGAAAAAGGAAATGAGGCCGGGCATGGTGGCCCATGCCTGTAATCCCAGCACTTTGGGAGGCTGAGGCGGGTGGATCACCTGAGTTTGGGAGTTTGAGACCAGCCTGACCAACATGAAGAAACCCCATCTCTACTAAAAATACAAAATTAGCTGGGCATGGTGGCACATGCCTGTAATCCCAGCTATTCAGGAGGCTGAGGCAGGAGAATCACTTGAACCTGGGAGGTGGAGGTTGTGGTGAGCCGAGATGGCACCATTGCACTCCAGCCTGCAATAAGAGCGAAGCTCTGCCTCAAAAAAAAAAAAAAAATGGAAATGAGGTTAACATTGAATATTCTGGGGTTCAGGTACTGAGTATAATTGAGTTTAAAACACATAATTTGAATAAATTTTTAAAGATGACTTTGTAGTAGTTGGCTTGACCTAGTCCTAAGAATACTTTGATTCTCAATTTTACCTAAGTTTGTATCATAAATAATTCTTTGCTTCCCTGCTAGAATGCCAAAGTATACAAGCCAATGAGAAATATCCCCCTGCTTCTGGTGGAATATGAACCTATAAGAAGCAGGCATTCTGATGACAGGTGTGGGAAAGAGGGAGGGAGACAGTATAAAAGGGTAGAGTCAACCATCAAAGAACTCGTAGGCTGTTGTAGATAGCACTGTTCATCCATGGAGCTGAGATGATGTCTTGAGACCCAACTCTACCCAAGCATATTCTTCATAGGTCCACTGACTGAGTGTCTTGGCGGGGATCCTGACCAGCTATCTTAGTCTAGCCCACAAGTTATCACAGCATCACAAAAAACACTGCAGTGCATATGAAAACATTTAACCACTGTCATCCATGAAACAGACCAATAACAGTTGACAGTGAGGCAGGAGTCTAAGAAATAGCAATAAATTGTTATGAATTGCCTGGAATTAATAAATTAAACATTTGGAACAATTGCAGTAAGTAGCTTAGAGTAATATTTAAAAAACAAACGACAAGTGTTAAGGTCAAGTAGGTCAAACAGAGGAATTCACATAACTAGAGAAACAATTAGAAAGGTAACAGGCCTGCCTTAATCAGGATGCTCATTTGCTTGACAAAGTAAATTTTGACCCTGATGAGGGGACTGATGCTGTGTTCACTACCATGCTGTGCTGTCCTTCTGTCTTCTACACCAAATTGCATGAGCTCATCTGGGGGCAGGGACTGTCTTTCATTTCTAGACTCCCTAGCTCTTAGCAAAATGGCTGTCCTGTATACATCTGTCTAGATATAGATCAGGACAACAGACAATTAATTCTATTGGGTCCTAAATATAAAGACTATGAAAGAGACATCTGCAGTTCCTGATAGCTGCCATGATGGCAACTGCTGAGCCATTTGAAGGTAAACGCTGTGTTTCACTATGATTCTGAGGCTCCCCATGGGGACTGCTGCTGCTGCAGATTCCTTAGAAGTATTCTGATCATGCTGGCTTCTGCTCTGAAAGGGAGGAATCTTGAGAAACCAGAGAAAGGTCAGCCGACACCTCAGCCTCAGCACTGTGGAGGTCAATCAATAGCTGGAAGAGGGTATAGAAAGGAATAAAAGCAGAACCTCCAATCTACCAAGGCCTGCAGGAATTTTCTCCACTGATATCATTAGAACTTCCGTCTAAATTATCCCACTGATATAGAATGTACTTGTGGAATTTAAGAGAGGCATTGGACTGATTTTTAAAATTCCTACATGTACCAAATTCCAGACATAGTGCCAATGGCAGAGAAAAGAATATTTTTTTAAAAAATTAACTTAAAACATGTGAAAGGTTTTGTTTTAAGGCCTGCAATAGTCTCTTGTTTACTATAAACTGTCTTTATAATTCAACTCCATGTGACTACAGGAATTTCTTGAGTCGGAGTCTACTATGTCATGCTAGAGGCTCTAACGCTATTTGTTAAGTGACACAAATGAACACAGAAATAATCAGTCTACTGTTAGAACACACTGAATTTCATCTTTCAGGGTCTTCTAACAATTGTTCATCTGCCTCTTCTAGCTAGTCCCTCATGGCAAACCACAATGACCCCTTCACTCAACACAAGACGATCTTCCTGTGACTGAAGTCTCTTGGTCATTACTGGCTCTAAGCCTTTGCTCGGTTATTTCTTTCACTGAGAACATCTTCCCCTCTTCTTTACTACCAATCGGTGTAGTATGGCCCAAAACTTCCCCTTTATTTCCCCCTAATCCCACCTCTTTTTGGCTTCATCATGTTGAAGGCATCTGTTGAGAGGACATTTGTACCCCTCATCCTTGGAAAAGCATCAAGGTAGTTCCTTAGAGAATGATGAGAACTGGTCTAAAGAACAGTGCAAATGGCATGTATAAAATATTTTGAGGGCCAGGCATGGTGGCCTGCACCTGTAATCCCAGCACTTACAGAGGCCAAGACAGGCACATTGCTTGAGCCCAGGAGTTCGAGACCAGCCTGAGTAACATGGCAAGACCTTGTCTCTACAGAAAACTAAAAAATTAGCTGGGCATGGTGGCACACACCTTTAGACCCATCTACTTGGGAGACTGAGGTGGGAGGACTGATTGAGCCTAGCAGGTCGAGGTATCAGTGAGCTGTGATGGTGCCACTGTACTCCAGCCTGGGTGACAGAGCAAGACCCTCTCTCAAAAAATAAATTTTTCTGAGGAAGGATTACTTTGTTAATATATTCTAGAAATATATAGCCAGAGAAAAACGTAAAATAAATCTATTACCATGAATACCTACACACCAGGCTGCTACATGACTATTACCATTATCAAGTTCTCACTACTTTTGATGGAATCAAGGAAATTTAGTGCACTTTAAACAACTGAACTGCATCTATGATAAGTGGAAAGTAAAGGAAATTTACTTAAAGTTTTACCATTTAAGGACACTGGATCCCAGTCCTATGAACCTGTGCCTTAGCACGTATTTTTTGCAGCTGCTGATACACTGAAGAGCCAAAGCTAAGCTTTGAAAGTTTGGATTCCTGTGTGTTGTGATAATCAGCTGGGGTTTGGAAATGCCTTCAAAAATCTAATGCTCTGGCCCTTTAACAAGGCTTCTGAAAAAACAATTTAACATCTGGAATCAAGTATTTTGTGGAAGTCCAAGACCAACAGGGCAAAGAACATTTCTTTCAGTAACAGTTAAAATGTGGCACTTCCTTCTCCTTCATCAAATAAATGGGTTTATTTAACAAAGATCCTGAGGTAGTTTATAATAAGTAAAATATGGCATAGAAGCAAGGTATAGAAAACAGGATACTCCAGATATTTATCACTGAAAGTCTTTCCTAAATATGCTGCTTTATTCTTCCAGCATCATTTTCTTTTCCAAAATTCAAATCCGAAAAACAATCGAAGTCAAGCCTTCTTCATTTAACCTTTCTAAGAGACTGCAGAGTGAGGATGAGTAAAGAAATTATAGAGTTCATCTTTCATCTTTTCCAACATACTTCAGAAGAAGACAAAAACAGTAACTGAATGTATGAATTTCTTAAGTCTTTGGGTAGCTACAGTAACTCATATCAAATGCAAAAACAGAAGTGGTTATATCTATTGAATGTTGACTAATTCTCTACAGATTTTAGATATTGTTTAAAACAACATATGAAAATGTGTTTCCTACTAAAATAATAACAGATGACATTTATTGTATGCTTAACATGTATCAGGTCAGGCACTGTACATTTAACTTTCAAAATAATTGTTATCCTTTTCTTCTTGTGATGAGTAATTAATACAGTGGTATGGTAGAACTGGCATAGAGAGAGACAAATAGAACAATAAAATAGAAGGATTAGAACCCAGAAACAGATCCACACATATATAGGGCTATAGCTCACAACAAAGAGAGCATTGTAGATCAGCAGGAAAAGGACAGACCATTCAATAATGGTGCCAGGAGAGTTAGTTCTCCATATACGGTGTGGGTAACAAGAAAAAGAAGGAAATTGGATCCCATCCTCACACAATATATAAGAATACATTCCAAATGGAAGTAAGGTCTTAAACATGAAAGGCAAAATGCTAAAGCTTTTAGAAGACAATATAAAGAAAGGATCTGACCACGTTAAAATTAAGAGCTCTGGTTCATCATCAAAAAGTACCACAGAGTAAAAAGGCAAGCCACAAACTTGGAGACAATCTTTGCAACACACACAATCAACAAAGGATGTTTCCAGAACATATAAAGAATTCCTCTGAAAAAGAGAAACAACTCAATAGAAAAATGGACAATTGATCGATAGGTACAGTGTTTCTCTTCCACTTTCTAAGAAATGGAGGAGAGAGATTCTCCTTTACCCACTAACCTACAATGCTCTCTTTGTCTGAGTTATGGCCCTGTACATATGTGTGGAGTTGTTTCTAGGTTATTCCTTCTATTTTATTGTTCTTTGAAAGTGGAGGAGAGACTCAAAGACTGCCTGGCAGATGGGATGTACTCAAACAACATTTGATGAATGAACAAAAACACAAATGGCCCATAAACATATGAAAAGATACCCAAGCTCATTGGTAATCAGGGAAAGAAAAATGAAAACCACAATGGTTTTGTTTTTTAAAAAATAGAAGGAAAATTTTAAAATCAAAATTTGGAAGGCCCCTGTGACTTTAACGAAAATCAAATATTTCAAGTGTTGCTTTTTTTTTTTTTTTTTTTTTTTTTTTGAGATGGAGTCTCGCACTGTCACCCAGGCTGGAGTGCAATGGTGCTATCTCGGCTCACTGCAACCTCCGCCTCCCAAGTTCACGTGATTCTCCTGCCTCAGCCTCCTGAGTAGCTGGGATTACAGGTGCCTGACACCACGCCCGGCTAATTTTTTGTAATTTTAGTAGAGACAGGGTTTCACTATGTTGGCCAGAATGGTCTCAAACTCCTGACCTCGTGATCCACCCACCTTGGCCTCCCAAAGTCTTGGGATTACAGGTGTGAAACCACTGCACCTGGCCAAGCGGCACTTTTACCCATTGCTTGTGAGAACATAAATGCTTGAAAGCTATTTCAGCAGTACTTACTATAGCTTAAAATCTTGTACACTTTACAAGCCAGCTCTACTTCTAGAAATCTGAGAGAATTTCTAGCACGTGTAACCTAGGAGATACATTTCAGTTTATTAATTGCAGGGTTGCTCATAGTATTAATAGCAAGAAACAATCCAAATATAAATCAGCAGAAAAAACTGAATATATTCATACATTGAAATACATCATACAGTAATGTTAAGTAAAATAAGTCACACAAAAACATAAAAAGTATGATTCTATTTATGCAAAGTTCAAAAACAGAAAAAAATGAAACACTATATTATTTGGGGGGAAATAGACAAGTAATGAAATAATGAAGAAAAACAAGGGAATAGGTTGACATAAAACTCAGACGAGTAGTTACCTCTGTGGGGAGGATTGTGATTGAGGAGAGGTTCACAGATGCCTTCTAAATTTTGATTTTTTAAATCTGTGTAATAAGTATACAGGTATTCATTTTATTTTCTTTAAACTTTTCAGTTGTTTTAAAACACTGTTCTGAATGTATACTTTTCAATAATTAAAAAATTATATGTCAGCTACATTTTAAAATGAATCAAATTCTTCCTGAATCCTACCATAGGAATTATCTACTTATATAAATTATATCATGAAAGCTTTAGAAAAGCAAATAATATTAAAGAAAGAAAAGCAAATAAAATAACCCCTTAATTTATTAATACTGATGCTCATACTTTTAGTTTTGAGTTTGCTTATGTTAGGACATATTTGCATATAATTTACTTCGAGGTATGAAAAAAGAATATAAATTTTTTGAATCTTTCACTCTAACAAAGTCTTATCACAGTCTTTGTGTGACTGTGATTTTGGTTTCCTTCTATATATAGTATTTGGTTTTTGTTTTTTTGGGTTTTTTTTTGAGACGGAGTCTCACTCCCGGGTTCAAGCGATTCTCCTGCCTCAGCCTCCTGAGTAGCTGGGACTACAGGCATCCACCATGACACCGGCTAAATTTTGTATTTTTAGTAGAGACAGGGTTTCAACATGTTGGCCAGGCTGGTATCAAACTTCTGACCTCAGGTGATCCAGCCACCTTGGCCTCCCAAAGTGTTGGGATTACAGGCATGAGCCACCATGCCCAGCCTACAAACAGTATTTGACTAGTTTGATTATCTGCAGGGAAATGTTCATAAAGTTCATAATATTCCCAAAGATAGTTATTTTAAAAACAGTTGTCTCTAGTTTCTGGAAAAGAAAGAATTTAGAATAGTGTGGTCAGACCTGGAGTGGATCAGACAACTGAACTGGTGCCTTCTTTTCTTTTTTTCTTTTTTTGAAACAGGGTCTTGCTCTGTTGCCCAGGCTGGAGTGTAGCTGCATGATCATGGCTCACTGTAACCTTTGCCTCGTGGGCTCAAGCAATCCTCTCATCTCAGTCTTCTGAGTAGCTGTGACCACAGGTGCACATCACTACATCCAGCTAATTTTTGTTTTTTTTGTAGAGACGGGGTTTCGCCATGTTGCCCAGGCTGGTCTCGAACTCCCAGGCTCAAGCAATCTGTCTGCATTGGCCTCCCAAATAGGTGGGATTACAAGCATGAGCCACTACTGCACCTGGATGAACTAGTGTTTTTTCTAACCAAGGTTCTCTCAGTGGCTTTTACCGGGTAGTGGTCCTACATATAACATCATGAAGACAACACTAGATTTTACTTTTTAGAAAACCATTTTTTGTGGATGAAACCCACCAACTGTAAAATGATCAAATTATCAGGTGAAAAAATATGATTTTAGTGAAGGGACTCTGCTGGCACCTTGAGTTGAAATCTGAGACCCCGACAGCCAAGCTGGCTGGGCTGGAAGGCTCTGTGAAGCACAGCGTGCAGCCAGGAGTTGGCGCTGGTGAAGGACAGCCACCTCCTGGCAGGGCTGGATCAGTCTACTGTGCTGGGTGAGTGGGAACAGCGGGGAGGGAAGTCAGGCCTGGCTGTGTGCAAGAGCCCCATTCACAGAGAGGCAAGTGGGTTCGATATGCTTGTGTTCTAGGCCTCATCCCTTCCATCATGCCAGTCTCCATCCCCAATATCACCACCCCCACACCCTCTAAATGTTGACAGGTCCCTTCCTGAGGGCAGGTTCTTCACCACTCTTACAGCTCAGTTGACTGAGAAGTCCAATCATATTTTCTGAGAATTTAAGCAAACAGGATCCCTTTGAAGAAAATCAAAGTTGGAATGTAAATCCTATCTCCTTATAGGGAAATCTAAAAGCCTTAAAAATATTTCTCTTTATCAATCTTAATACATATAACTCTCCTTGTAATCAGCAGCAGCTTCCTGCAAAATTATTCAATACAAAAAGAATAAAATAATCTCTGTCCTCTCTAATGCCCAAATAGTATGTATTTGCCCTATAAAAGCCATTTCTCTCATGAATTGAAGAGTGAATTTAGAAAATCAACTGCAAGATAATTGAAAAATACCCTGATTTGAAAACTAAAAATAGGCAATTCATTGTCAAGCTGAGATCCTTTAAAAGATGGTCACAAAGACTGTTTTAGAAATATAATTATTACATATATTTACATACCACATACCATTCTACTAACGATTACAAATCATAGTTGCTTTGCGGAAAGTCTGTAGGAAATGGTGGCAGAAGATAAGCTTTCAGACAGTTTGATTAGGATGGGCATAATGACCAAATCTACAGAGCTCTTTGAAAACATTAGGATAAGAGGCTGAAATAGCTGCTTCATCTTTTTGAACCTCATTTGCTATTAAGCTTGCTGCTGCTGCAGGCAGATAAGATCCAAGACCAAACACAAAAACATACATTTGATTCAGCAGGAGGCTTATCTCAGCAAGTGGACCAATCAAAAAATTGGTCCAAGAAAAGCATTTCCCTTTTTCGTCCCAACAATTCAGGGTCTCTCTACAATGTAACAAGTGAAAACATGAAAGGTTAATTTGTTTTTTGTCCCACTAAAATGAGACCAATAAAACTCGGTAAAACAAGAAATTTATGAAATTCCTTAAAAAACAAATTTCTTTTTATGTGTTTATTATACAATTTGACACATCTGGGGTTTATAATTTATAGGAACAGAAGGTAAAAGACCATGAATTTGGTCTGAAATGGGCGAACTATGATCTAAACTCTGGTGCAACATAATTTATGGACCAAATACCAGGAGAAGGCATCACATTTCATTGGTATTTAAAATTTCATTTACACTTTTCAGTTAAATGCTCGTTTGCAGAGGAAGTCAACAAAAGTTTTTATCTTTCAGCCTTTCTCTCTAGCAAGCTGGAAAATGTAGCATCTCTTCGGATGTTGGAAATGTCCTTTTCAGTGTTCAGGAATGCTGTCACTTCTCCTTTTAACACAGTACCCATATCCCTGCTTTCCCATCCATTTGAATTGGTTCCTGGTGCAACAGGAACACTATCTTGCCATGCTATGGGTCCTATCCCATAATCAATGTTAGTGGTGGATAAAGGAGTGGAGTACAGATTATAGGTCAGGACAGGAGAAGCCAGTCATATCTCTCCAACTTGGCTCCCTCTATGCCCTCTGCTCATATCGTAGTTGGGTTGATGTCTGCATTACAAGAGGGAAAGAGCCTTCCATGCCTTTGCCTATAAAAGACTGGTTCTGCCCAACTTTTCCTAGCTGGACAAATCAGTTAAGTAGGATCTGTAATCAACGTATGCTAAGTTTTACAGGAAAAACAAGTTGATGCATGACAGATGTGATTGCTTTTCCTAGGAAAAAGCCATTAAAATTGTAAAAGTGTTAAAGCCTTGAACAACTCCAGGAGATACCATTATATGAATGGTGTCTCCTGGAATTGTGCGATGAAGTGCTCCTTCAAACAGTAGCAATAAGAAAGTTTGGGTAATGTGGCCAGAAGTGTGGCTCACATCTGTAATCGCAGCACTTTGGGAGGCCGAGGTGGGCAGATCACCTGAGGTCAGGAGTTCGAGACCACCCTGACCAATATGATGAAGCCCTGTCTCTACTAAAAACACAAAAAATTAGCCAGGCATGGTGGCATGTGCCTGTAACCCCAGCTATTCGGGAGGCTGAGACAGGAGAATCACTTGAAACCGGGAGACAGAGGTTGCAGTTAGCCAAGATCACACCATTGCATTCCAGCCTGGACGACAAGAGTGAAACTCCATCTTAAAAAAAAAAAAAAAAAAAAGTCTGGGTAACATATTTTAAAAATAAACTTTCTCTTTGGGACAGTTTTAGATTTAAAGAAAAATTGTGAAACTAGTACAAAAAGTTCCTATATGGACCTGCAAATGCATTCCCCTATTATTGCCTTCTTACGTTAGTATGATGCATTTGTTACCATATATTGGTTCACCTAATGTCCTTTTCCTATATTGGGATCCCATCTAGGATCCAACATTGCATTTGAATCCTCATGCCTCCCTAGGCTTCTCTTGGCTATAACAATTTTTCAGACTTATTTTTTAAGACCTTGAGAGTTTTCAGGAGAGCTGATTTTATTTTATTTTATTTTTGTAGAATGTCCCTCAAGTTGCATTTCCTTGATTTTTTAAAAATAACAATTAGTCTGGGCTTATCATTTTTTGGAGAGAATCACAGGGGTAAAGTGCCATTTTCATCACATTTTATCAAGGTTGCAAACTATCAACCCTCTGGAGCTGTGGTCTGAGCTGCGGTTCGACCTGGGCTCCTCTGAGCTATGGCTAGATGGGGTTCGACTGGGATGCAGGGAGCAGTGTCCCGAGGCTGTGCAGGGCAGCACACTCCCTGGGTCTGTCCCAGGAAACCTAGGAGGGAAGCCTCCTAGGCCTCAGGGCCTGTGATGGGAGGGGCTGCCATGAAGGTCTCTGAAATGCCTTTGAGGACTTTTCCCCACTGTCTTGGCTACCAGCACTTGCCTTATTTTTAGTTATGCAAATTTCTCTAGCAAGTGGTTGCTCAGCAGCCACATGGCCAGGTTGCAAATTTTCCAAACTCTTACTCTCTGCTTCCCTTTTAAATATAAGTTCCAGCTTTAAGTCATTTATTTGCTCCTGCATATGAGCATAGGCTGTTAGAAGCAACCAGGGCACATCTGGAGCACTTTGCTGCTTAGAAATTTCTTCTGCCAGATAGATACCCTAGGTCATCACTCTAAAGTTCAAACTTCCATAGATCCCTAGGGCACGGACACAATGCAGCCAAGGTCTTTGCTAAGGTATAACAAAAGTGACCTTTACTCCAGTTCCCAATAAGCTCATTTCCATCTGAGACCTTGGTAGCCTGGACTTCACTGTGCATACCACTGTCAGCATTTTGGTCACAGTCATTTAACCAGTCTCTAAGAAGTTCCAAACTTTCCCTTATCTTCCTGTCTTCTTCTCAGCCTTCCACACTCTTCCAACCTCTGCCTGTTACCTAATTCCACATTTTCAAGTGTCTTTATAGCAATGTCCCACTCCTCAGTACTGATTTTCTGTGTTAGACCATTCCCACATTGCTATAAAGAAATATCTGAAACTGGGTAATTTATAAAGAAAAGAGGTTTAATTGGCTCAGGGTTCTGCAGGCTGTACAGAAAGCTCAGTAGCATCTGCTTCTAGGGAGGCCTTGGGAAGCTTCCAATCATGGCGGAAGGTGAAGCGGGAACTGGTGCTTCACAAGAGAGAAGGAGCAAAAGAGAGGGAGGGGGAGGTGCTACACATTTTTAAACAACCATATCTTGTGAGAACTCACTCACTATTGTGAGGACAGCACCAAGGAGATGGTGCTAAACCATTCATGGGAAAATTGACCCCATGATCCAATCACCTCCCATCAGGCCCCACCTCCAACACTGGGGATTATAATTCAACATGAGACTTGAATGGGGACACAGATCCAAACCATATCACAAAAGAAATAACTTTATCAATGAGAATACTGTACATTCTTTTTGTGTTGTATCTTTTGTTTTTAATCTTACAAATTCCACTCATTTCCAAAGTTACTGAGGTCAGCAGCTTTCTCCTCCACCCGCTTCAGTGAGGTTGCTTCACACATTGTAACACAGTTAGATTGGTTTTATCACATTCTACTTTCCATTCTGGGACTCCCAACCTCCTGAATGATTTTTTTTTTAAGTTTGCATACATTGAGGTTTATTCTTTGTGCTGTGAAGTTAATGGGTTTTGACAAATTACATATCTGTAATTATAGTATCATATAGAATAGTTTTGCTGCCCACAAAATCCCCTGTGCTTTACCTGTTTAACCCTCCTTCTCTCTCCCTGAGCCCCTGATCTTTTCACTATTGCTAAAGTTTTGTCTTTTCTAGATGTCATATAATTGGAATCATACAGTATGTAGCCTTTTTGGATTGGCTGCTTTCATTTAGCAATATGCATTTAAGATTCATCTGTGTCTTTTAAAGATTACTTATTTCTTATGATGAAAAATATTCCTTTATATTCATGTACCATAGTTTGTTTATCCATTCACATATAGAAGGACATCTTGGTTACTTCCAGTTTTTGGTGATTATGAATAAAGCTGCTATAAACATTCACATGCAGGTTTTTGTGTGGACATGCTTTTTCAATGCATTTGGGTAAATACTTAGGAGCATGATTGCTGGATTGTATGGTAAGATCATGTTTAGCTTTGAAAGAAACTACCAAAATGGCTGTTCTTACTAGCAATAAAAAGAGTACCTATTGTTCTGTATCCTTGCCAAGCGATTGATATTGTCAGTTTTTTAAAATTTTAGCCATTTGAATAGGTGGGTAGTGATATCTCATTTTAATTTGCAACTCCTTAACAACAAATTATGTTAAGCATCTTTTCAAATTTTTTTCCATCTGCATATCTTCTTTGGTGAAGAGTCTGTTCAGGCCTTTTTCCTACTTTTTAATTAGCCTGTTTTCTTATTGCTGTGTTTTAAGAGTTCTTCGTATATTTTGGATACAACTCCTCTATCAGATATGTGTTTTGCAAGTATTTTCTCCCATCCTGTGGCTTGTCTTTTATTAATTTAACAGTTTCTTTCATAGAGCAGAAGTTTTTAATTTTAATAAAGTGTAGATTATAAAATTTTTCTGTCATAAATCATACTTTTGGTGTTGTATATAAAAATTTATTGCCAAACCCAAGGCCACCTATATTTTATCCTGTTTTCTTCAAGAAATTTTAGTTTTGCATTTTACGTTTTGGTGTATGATCCATTTTGCATTAATACTTATGAAAGGTATAAGGTCTGTGCCTAGATTCACTTTTTTCTTATGGACATCCTATTGTTCCAGCAACAATTGTTGAAAAGATCCTTTTGCCACTGAGTGGTGCTATGGACTGAATTGAGTCCCCCTAAAATGTTGATGCCCTAACCCCAGTGTGGTGATATTTAGAAATGGGATCTTTGGGAGATAATTAAGGTTAGATGAGGTAACGAGGGTGGGGCCCTCATGACGAGATTAGTGAAGAGACTCCAAACGGCTTGCTTGTTCTCCCTGTCTATGTGCACAAAGCAAGGAAAGGCCATATGAGCGCGCAGCAAGAAGGCAGCTGTCTGAAAGCTAGGAAGAGAGAATCCAACCATGCTGCCACCCTAATCTCAAGATGTCCAGCCTCCAGACCTATGAGAAAATAAAAATTTCTGTTGTTTAAGCCACCCAATCTATGGCATTTTGTTATGGCAGGCTGAGCAGATTAGGAGAAATGGCTTTTAATCCTTGTCAAAGATAAATTGCCTATACTTGTGTGGGTCTATTTCTGGGCTCTCTATTCTGTTTCATTGATCTATGTGCCTATTTTATCACCAATATACACTGTACTGATTACCGTGACTTTATAGGAAATCTGGAGATCAGGTAGTGTGAGTCTTCCACTCATTCTTCTTCAGTATTATGTTAGCTATTCTAGGTTTCTCACCTTTCCATATATGCTTTAGAATCAGTTTGCCATTATCTACAGGAAAGCTTTTGCTAGAATTTTAATTGGGAATAAATCAAATCTATAGGTGAAGAAGAGAATAATTAACATCTTAACAATTTGAGTCTTCCAATTCATTAACAAGGAACTGGATTTCTTTCATCCAAGTTTTATGGTTTTCCACATAGATCTTGTACTTATTTTGTCAGATTTATATGTAGGCATTTTTCCTCCTTCCCTTCCTTTTCCCCCCTTGCTTCCTCCCTCCCTCCCTTCTTGCTTTTTTGGTGCTACTGTAAATGTATTGTTTTTAAATTTTAAATTCCAATTGTTCATTGCTGGTATGTAAGAAAGCAATCAACTTTTGTATATTAACATTGTGCCCTGAAATCTTGCTATACTTCCTTATTAGTTCTAGAAGTTGTGTTTTCTTTTTTGTCAGTTCTTTGGGATTTTCTTATGGAGACAATCATGCAAAAAATAGCTTAATTTCTTTCTTCTCAGCCTGTGCTCCTTTTATTTACTTTTCTTTTCTTATTACACTAGCTAGGACTTTCTGTAGTTTTGAACAGCAGTGGTCAGAGAGGAAATCCTTGCTTTGTTCCCAATATTAGAGGGCAAGCATTGAGTTTGTCACCCTTAAGTATGTGTTGCGATTTTTATCATGAACGGGTGTTAGATTCTGTCAAATGTTTTTTTCTCTACACATTAATATCATCACATATCTTTTCTTCTTTAGCCTGTTGATGTGGTGGATTACACTGGTTTTCAAATGCCGAATCAGCCTTGCATACCTGGCATAAATGTCACTTGTTCATTGTGTATAATTTTTTTATATATTATTAGATTCAATTTCCTAATATTTCATTGAAGATTTTGTATCTATGTCCATGAGAACTATTGGCCTATAGGCCTTTCTTGTAATATCTTTATCTGGCTTTGGTGTTAAGATAATACTGGCCACACAGAATGAGTTAGGAAGTGCTCTCTCTGCTTCTGTTTTCTGGAAGAGATTAAGGAGAATTGGTGTTATTTCTTAAGTCTTTGGTATAATTTAGCAATAAGGTAAACTTGAGCCTGGTATTCTTCTCTTTTTAAGTTATTAATTGCACTGAGATCAAGGCAGTATAGGGAATGTGAGACTAACATACAGAATGAATTATGCAACCTGATTATCTTCAAATACCTATATTTTTCAGCACAAATATGAACTAAGGTGATATCTGTCCACACACTATATAAGTAAAGAAAAGAAGATCTTTGTAGATACAGAGATAGTCTGGTGAGCATGCTTTTTAAAAAACTATTTTTCCCCCTTAACTAGTATCTCCATTTTCTCAAATGTAAAAATAGATACCATTATCTCCTTCCTTTTTAGTTCACAGGGCTATATAATTAGAAAAACACCAGTCAATTTTCCTGAGTTCCCTAAGGATTTATCATAGGCATATATACCACCTTAATGAAATTTCTAAGTGCTGTGTTATTAAATTTAATTTTTTTTAATTTTCCAAATTCTCTCCAATGAGTATATATTTATTAGTTCTATAATCATAAAAAAGTTATACAATAAAGAGAAAATGACCTTTGGCTTTCCTTTCTAATGTATCAGTGTAAAAAAAGGAAGCAAATATAAACACATAGGAAGAGATAAGAATTAGTTATATAAACAATAATGAGAATGATCACAGTCATCCAGTCTATTGTCGTTGGCTGTCTGTAGAAAAGAGTATCCCTTTTTTTTATTGAAACATTTACTTATGCTCTGTTAAGAAGCCTTCAATGTTTCAATTATTGAGATCATACAGTATCTTTTAAAATTAAGCATTTATTTGCAGTTCATTTTCATGTGAGCTGTCATGTCACATTAACTACCAGATGAAGTTAGGCATTACATTTCACACTGCAGTTCTTTCATGTTGAAACCAAAATCTCACTTCAGGACTGTAGTTTTAGACTTGCACTTTTCAAAGACAATCCATCACTTCTTTTTTTATTTTTCTTTCTAGATTTTCACTTGTTCATCTCTGCAAGCTAGTAATTTTACTCAGTTTTCTTCAAATATTTTTTTTTATTGATCCGAATTTGTATTCCTTTCCCCACAACTCCCACTCCCTGCTTCTAGAGCTAGCCATGCCATCTCTCAGACATTTATATTTCTTCGATGGATAAATCAGAGCTAGACTTTCCTCATCTATAAGGAATACTTTTGCCAATACAAACATAAAATATCAAACACACTTAGAGAATGCATTCTTAAGCAGAAACACCAGAATACTTAACAACTGTTTTCCAAGTCTGATCACCATCAATACGTAACGATTATATCTCCAGTCTGAAGTTTTACATCAAGTAAATGTTTCTTTGCAAGAACTTAAATCCGAGGATAAGAGAAGTTATTACGTTTTTCCAAGGTAGTTTAAAATTTCCCTCCAAAACACACATATTTAGTTTTGGCTGGTAGGTTATTTTGTTTCATTTTTAAAACAAGGATAGCTTGTGGTCTTAAAAGAATGCTTGAATAAGCTGTCTGAGTTCAAATCTTGTACCCACCTTGTATTAGCTGAGTGACTTTGGTTAAGGACAGTTACTTAATTATCCTGGGCCTCAGTTTCTCTCTTTGAAAAACAGATTCATTCACTAAAATAATATTTATGAAGTATTCATTTTGTGATAAGCACTAGTCTAGCTACCGGGGATATACATTTACAAAACAGATTTTAAAATATCCTGTCCTGGTGGACCTCACATTACGTTCATTACTAACAGGGATAATTTCAGTGCCTCTCTCATAGGATTGTTGCAAGAATTAAATTGATGAATACATACGTAACACTTATAACAGTGTCACAAAATGAGAGCTCAGTAAAAGCCATCATCACCATAATCAAATATTTAATTTTCATAAAAAGTTTTCCTTTATGTTTTCCCATTCCTTGTTTCCTTGGAACTTAGAAATAATAGATTTAAGTTATAAAATAATAGTGTTAATGTAGTATCACTAGGCCTCAATTTCCTTACCTATAAAATGGTGATATCCCCCTCTACAGTGTTGGTATAAAAATAAAATGAAACAATTTAAATGAAAGTGCTTTGTAAACTATCAAGAGCTCCACAGACTAAATATGTCATTATGTAGCAAGTGCCTTGGCTTAAGTCCTTGCACTCAGAAGTCCTTCAATACACGTTAATTGAATTAATTTATGGCCTAAGCAATTGCATAGCTACTATTTGAGCAGTTCTGAAATACTTGAGACCCAAGACACTAACCTATTATAAGTAGGTAACAAGCTACTCAAAACAACTTCTGCTAATTTAATATTGCCTATCAATAAATTACCTGACATCTCAAAGGAGTTGAAAAACAAGCCCAGTGTGGAGGCTCATGCCTGTAATCCCAACAGTTTGGGAGGTCGAGGTGGGAGGATGGCTTGAGTCCAACAGTTCGAGACCAGCCTGGGCAACATAGTGAGACCCCCATCTCTACAGAAAGTTTTAAAAAACTTAGCTAGGCATGGTGGTGTGCACCTGTAGTCCTAGCTACTTGGGAGGCTGAGGCAGGAGCATTGCTTAACCCCAGGAGTTTGAGGCTGCAGTGAGCCATAATGTGCCACTGCATTCCAGCCTGGGCAACAGAGTGAGACTCTGATTCTTAAAAAAAACAAAAAAAAAAAAAAAAAAGGAAAAAGAAAAATAAATTACATTTTCCTTGACTACCCACTTGGGCTAAAACTTCTAAACCTCATTATCTTAAGGATGATGTTAGTTCAATTTCCTTATTTTATACGAAGGCAAATAAGTCTCAGAAAAGTTAAGTGACTTCCACAGGATCATAGTTAGTGCCAATTTCCATTTCACCTTTAAACCAAGACAAGCACACATCAGGTGCCTTCACATATAAAAGAGAATACAGGTCTCTGATTCTCATTTAAACGCTACTAAGTTCCACAATGTGTTAAGAACTCATCATGCTTGTGGCTCTGTTTTTGTTTTTGTTTTTTTCCAAGTGAGCTAAAAAAAAAAAAAAAAAAAGTGGGAGACAATGGAAAACAAACTGGAGAAGAGGGCATTCTGTACTACAGCATGTCTGAAAATCTGTTCATTTTCTGAAATTTTTTAATGCAAAACATCAGATCTCTAACTGTCAAAAAGCCTGCTCAGAAGGAAGCAGCTAGTTAAGGAACTTTGTTTAGGATTTTTATTCCAACTGGTTCATATGGTAACTTGGATTCAAGCAAGACTTTTACAGCAGTGAGATCTTTATCTAGAAATAGCAAGTACAAAACGCTTGTGTCTTGCCAGTCTATGCAGAGCCAGCTCAAAGGGACAGACTGAAATAGTCATCATCTTCTTACATGATCATTAAACTGGGTATGTTTACATGACTGTCTGTTGTCAATTGCTCTGGGAAAACAAACAAACACAGTGTAAATATTTTGTTTCTCTCTAAGGATGTAACAAAGAAAGAGAGAAAGAAAGAGGGATAGAAAAACTTGCATTAGGAGCCCCTGATATTTGAGCATACATTTTTTTTTCTTTTTGTACCCCTCCCACCTCATAAACATGTTATGTGTTTCCTAATGAACTAGCTCCGCAAATATCACAGGTGAGGGAGGGGATAGGAAAGGCTCCAGTCTGTCAGGTGTCAAATGTCTCCTCTAATAGTGTGGCTGAACACAGGTGAGAGAAGTATAATCCAAGATAGGGAGACCCAACCCTTACATTCATGGCACCCACATCCCAGTCTTATTGGTTATAGAAGGGAAGAGGAAGCTGTGGTGTTAACCAGCTGAGTCACAGCTAACTGCCATGAAGTGGTCTACCTAAGTAAGAACCCAAGTAGTTTGTGTGACCCAAGATCCTTCCAGTTATCCATCTGCCTTTTCAGACTTCTCAGAACCAAGACTCAGAAGAAGGATATTATTGTATGTGTAGAGGTTTGATTGGAGACGGCATTAGTCTTCTCTCACGCTGCTAATAAAGACATACTTGAGACTGGGTAATTTACAAAGGAAAGAGGTTTAATGGACTCACAGTTCCACATGGCTGGGGAGGCCTCACAATCATGGCAGAAGGCAAAGAAAAGGCAAAGTCATGTCTTACATGGTGGCAGGCAAGAGTGTGTGTGTAGGGGAACTGCCTTTTATAAAACCATCAGAACTCATAAGACTTATTCATTATCATGAGAACAGCATGGGAAAGATTCGCCCCCATGATTCAATTACCTCCCACCTGGTCCCTCCCATGGCACGTGGGAATTATGGGAGCTACAAATTCAAGATGAGATTTGGGTGGGGACACAGCCAAACCATATCAGAGACAAACACTACTTAACAAGGGTAAGGTTGTTGCCAAGGTCAGAGAACTGATATCTGAGAAGGCAGTGGAAATGGTCTTGTTCCTCATCAACTTCCTGCAGCAAAGACTCAAGAGAAGTAACTCCAGACAACATAAATAGCCAGCAGCATGCCTGTTTACTCCTGCTTGCTTGGAAGACAAAGAATGCTGTGCTTTATTCAGGAAGATCAAGCATTTTAGCTAGAGGATAAGAACGCTGCTGGATTAAAATTTTCTGGTGCAGCCTTCTTCTATTGAATATGTATGATAAAAGATAAGAATCTGTGGCCATATGGCCAGAGGAAGCAACATGAGGAAGTGAAACAAGCCAAGGTGGCAATTGTTGGAAGTCTAGAGCTATAGACTGGAAGGCTAGGAAACTGGGGATGGCTGTGGGGATAGGAGGCTTTTTATTTATTTTTTATTTTTTTATTATATACTTTAAGTTCTGGGATACATGTATAGTATGTGCAGGTTTGTTACATAGGTATACACATGCCATGGTGGTTTGCTGCACCCAACAACCCGTCATCTACATTAGGTATTTCTCCTAATGCTATCCCTCCCCTAGCCTCCCACCCCCCAGCAGGCCCCTGTGTGTGATGTTCCCCTCCCTGTGTCCATGTGTTCTCATTGTTCAACTCCCACTTATGTATGAGAACATGCAGTGTATGGTTTTCTGTTCCTGTGTTAGTTTGCTGAGAATGAGGGTTTCCAGCTTCATCCATGTCCCTGCAAAGGACATGAATTCATTCTTTCTTATGGTTGCATAGTATTCCATGGTGTATATGTGCCACATTTTCTTTATCCAGTCTATCATTCATGGGCATTTGGCTTGGTTCCAAGTCTTTGCTATTGTGAATAGCGCTGCAATAAACATATGTGTGCATGTGTCTTTATAGTAGAATGATTTATAATCCTTTGGGTATATACCCAGTAATGGGATTGCTGGGTCAAATGGTATTTCTGGTTCTAGATCCTTGAGGAATTGCCACACTGACTTCCACAATGGTTGAACTAGTTTACAGTCACACCAACAGTGTAAAAGTGTTCCTGTTTCTCCACATCCTCTCCAGCACTGTTGTTTCTTGACTTTTTAGTGATTGCCATTCTAACTGGTGTGAGATGGTATCTCACTGTGGTTTTGATTTGCATTTCTCTAATGACCAGTGATGAATTTTTCATATGTGTGTTGGTCACATAAATGTCTTATTTTGAGAACTGTCTGTTCATATCTTTTACCCACTTTTTGATGGGTTTGTTTTTTTCCTGTAAATCTGTTTAAGTTCCTTGTAGATTCTGGATATTAGCCCTTTGTCAGATGGATAGACTGCAAAAATTTTCTCCCATCCTGTAGGTTGCCTGTTCACTTTGATGGTAGTTTCTTTTGCTGTGCAGAGCTCTTTAGTTAAATATATCTCATTTGTCAATTTTGGCAAATTTGTCACATTTAAGTCTTTAATCTATCTTAATTTTTGTATAAGGTGTAAGGAAGGGACCCAGTTTCAGTTTTCTGCATATGGCTAGCCAGTTTTCCCAACGCCATTTATTAAATAGGGAATCCTTTCCTCATTGCTTGTTTTTGTCAGGTTTGTCAAAGATCAGATGGTTGTAGATGTGTGGTGTTATTTCTGAGGGCTCTGTTCTGTTCCATTGGTCTATATCTCTGTTTTGGTACTAGTACCATGCTGTTTTGGTTACTGTAGCCTTGTGGTATAGTTTGAAGTCAGGTAGTGTGATGCCTCCAGCTTTGTTCTTTTTGCTTAGAATTGTCTTGGCTATATGGGCTCTGTTTTGGTTCCATATGAAATTTTAAGTAGTTTTTTCTAATTCTGTGAAGAAAGTCAGTGGTAGCTAGATGTGGATAGCATTGAATCTATAAATTACTTTGGGCAGTATGGCCATTTTGACGATATCGATTCTTCCTATTCATGATCATGGAATGTTTTTCCATTTGTTTGTGTCCTCTCTTATTTCCTTGAGCAGTGGTTTGTAGTTCTCCTTGAAGAGGTTCGTCACATCCCTTGTAAGTTGGATTCCTAAGTATTTTATTCTCTTTGTAGCAATTGTGAATGGGAATTCACTCATGATTTGGCTCTCTATTATTGGTGTATAGGAGTGCTTGTGATTTTTGCATGTTGATTTTGTATCCTGAGACTTTGCTGAGGTTGCTTATCAGCTTAGGGAGATATTGGGCTGAGATGATGGGGTTTTCTAAATATACAATCATGTCATCTGCAAACAGAGACAATTTGACTTCCTCTCTTCCTATTTGAATACCCTTTATTTCTTTCTCTTGCCTGATTTCCCTGGCCAGAACTACCAATACTATGTTGAATAGGAGTGGTGACAGAGGGCATCCTTGTCCTCTGCCGATTTTCAAAGGGAATGCTTCCAGCTTTTACCCGTTCAGTGTGATATTGGCTGTGGGTCTGTCATAAATAGCTCTTATTATTTTGAGGTATGTTCCATCAATACCTAGTTTATCGAGAGTTTTTAGCATGAAGGGGTGTTGAATTTTATCCAAGGCCCTTTCTGCATGTATTGAGATAATCATGTGGTTTTTGTCATTGGTTCTGTTTATGTGATGGATTATGTTTACTGATTTGTGTATGTTGAACCAGCCTTGCATCCCAGGGATGAAGCCGACTTGATTGTGGTGGATAAGCTTTTTGATGTACTGCTGGATTCGGTTTGCCAGTATTTTATTGAGGATTTTCGCATTGATGTTCATCAGGGGTATTGGCCTGAAATTGATAGGAGGCATTTTAGTCCTGCTAAGGATAGCTAGGACAGTTGTGCAGGGCACCTGACAAACACTTCACCTTCTTTGTCTGACAGTGAGAAAACAAAAGTTTCAGGGACTGAAGGGGACTAGGCTGTTCCTTAAGCTAGAATCCTCCTCCTTTGTCTAATAACCAGAAAACCTATGGTCCCTCTCTCCTTCTTTCCTTCTTCCCTCCTTCCTCACCTCTACCCCCTCCTCTCTCCCTCCCTCCTTCCCTCCCTTCTTTCCTTCCTCTCAGAAAGCTCTACGATAGTGTTAGAAACACTTCCACATGCCTTCCCTTGTGCAGTAATGCATCTGACCCTATTAGGAGGCTCTTGATCTGTTACTCAGTAATCAGCACCTCCATCCTGACAATGCTAATGCTTGGAGATATAAGCAATATTCCTTACATATATTTATTTACAGCTTCATAAAATAGACAGAAGGGTCAAGCTAGGTGAGGTGAATGATCTTAAAGTGTCCCGCCATTTCTCACACATGAAGTTGCTTTGAAATTAATACAAGAGGCAGGATCTCAGAGCATGATAATTTCCCACAACCTCAGGCACCTGATCTATGCTAACATACCAAATGAGTACAATCTAATGTTAACACAAACATGATGAGCTTTACAGTTAAATATTTTGTTAACTCCTAAATACAATAAAAGGGATTTCTAAAAGAACCTCAGGAAACACGTGGTAACTTTGCAGAGTTAGAAAGTTGTGAAAGGGCTATGTAGAATGTACTCCCTCTTTAGGCCCATGTCCTTCTGTGCCTCTCCCTAGACTGTGACCTCCTGTTTGGCAGTCCTAGAGCATGAAGAAATGAATAAAGGCTCAAGATAGCAAGATTGAACATCACCACACCGGAACTCCTTCAAAGTGTGGCCTCTTCATCTCCCATTTTTCTTTTTCCACAGGCTAACAGGTACATGGTTAAGCAGGCCCTCAGCTAGCTAGTGATAAATCAATGACACAACTTCCACCCATCCCTCCCAAAGCTATGATTCTGAGATGTCTAAGCAACACTAGAACAGAGATAATGCAACTTCTGTCATTATGCATGCTTCTAAATATCATCAAATCTATTTTATTTTCGTGTGTATTGTTTCTGACCAATTTCCAGTAGATTCCACCTTTCCTGGAATGGTCAGCTTTTTTCAGTAGATTCCATCGTGCCTGGAATGATGAAAGAACACCACATCCCTTAATGGCACAATTGAATTGTACTCAGGAAATGCAGTTATTTTAATATTATTGCAAACCAAAGATAATTAAGAATATGAATTTTCCCAGGAAAATATCACATGACTTACTGCAGAACGAAACAGAAATGAATCTCAGTTTACTTGATGATTTGGTTTATCTACTTCACCTTCCATTAGTTAATTTAAATGTTTAATATTTAAGGCATCTAAAAATCAACAGGAACTTTCTACTTTTAATTCTGGTATTTCAGCATCTTGAAGGCATAGCATGGTGAAAGCAAATTAGGGGCATGAACTGATCAAGACCTGGACTAACTCCCACAAAACAAAATAAACAAAACAATACCCTAGACCTTATAATTCTCCATTTTAGTTTTGGCTTAAATATATTAGTTCAGAGAAGATAACTACAGATGGGGGAATCTACTCTATGACCATGATATTTACACTGTGTGATACCAATCCATGTAACAAAACTGGTTTTTGGCCAGACTATACATATATATGCATACGTACATGCATACATATACATACATACATACATATATAATTTAATCTTTTTTTGTTGTTTTTGTTTTTAAGGTCCTCTATGTGCCACTAGTGATTTTTCATGGAAAGAAAGGCTGAGGTGCCAAGCAGAGTTGTAATTAGGAGGTAAAACACCCAGGACCTGGCAAGGGACTCAGGCTGGCAGACCTAGGAAGAGGGCAGCAGAGGAGCAGCAGGGGTTTGAGCTTGGCAGGGGCGAGGAGACAGGGCTTTCTTCTCCACCTTCGCACATGAAATCTACCTCTCTTCAGTGATTTCTGGAAAATGCATCAAGTATGTGGTTGCCATCTGTAGAGATTCCTGTCCTTAATGCAAAACAACGACAACTGCAATAACGTACAAGCGGCACACAGTCTGGAAACATCCTCAGGATTTTCTGAGGAAGGCTAATTAATACACTAAATTGTAAGGAATTTTACAGGTATTATCGTCAATCCAACAACTAGGCAAACAACATGCATAAAACTTGTACTAAATTCTTAAGCTGGAAAAAAATTGAGCAACTTTTTAAAAATCTCAAGCTTGTGTATTTTTCTATTCCTTCATAAGGACATCATTAAAATAGTCATGTTCTTTCATAAAAACAATAATGTCAACAACAAGCTAACAGCCATGCAACATAATCTAGTTATGTTATTTGTAGCCTAAGCTATGTTAACTATGAAGAGTAATACTAAGGAAACTTTAAACTTAAGATACAAATAAAATATTGTATTATTTCTGATTTAGCTCATTCAAAATCTACATATGTTAAATGTTCTTGATATTTGATTTTGTAGAAAAGAAACACATTTAAATCTTCAGGTAATTATTTATGTTACTTAGATCAAATGTAGGATTCAAAAAAATAATTTAACATTTTTTGTACAGTATTTATTAATTAAAAATTAAAATACATTTAAGATACCATATCAGGATGTAAAATGTAATCAAAGTGATTGATTTTTCCTATTGTGATTTCCTTGTTCCACTTACACTGTTTCCCTCACCCCCTATCCTAACAGCACATCTTAAAATCACCTGTTTCTCATTGTTTTATTATTACTTTATAGTTATTATATTTTAGTTATTACATTTAACATTTTGATCCATCTTGAATTTTGATGTGTCACATGATGCCCCAATTTTTAAAAATGATTAATCAGTTGCCTAGCCCCATTGACTTGTGATGCCTCCTTACCAGATTTTTATGTACACTTGAGTCTGTTCCATGACTATGACATTTCTTTAATTTTTATGTCTATTCTTACACTAGTACCACTTTAATTATTAAAGTATCATATTGTATGTGTGTTTTGTTTTTTTTTTGAGACAGGGTGTCTCTCTCTGTCACCCAGGCTGGAGTGCAGTGGCATGATCTTGGCTCACTGCAACCTCTGCCTCCCAGGTCCAGGGTAGCTGGGACTACAGGCATGTGCCACCATGCCCAGCTAAGTTTTATATTTTTAGTAGAGTCAGGGTTTTGCTATGCTGCCCAGGCTGGTCTTGAACTCCTGACCTCAAGTAATCCTCCTGCCTCAGCCTCCCAAAGTGGTGGGATTACAGGAATTAGCCACCATGCCTGGCCTAATATTCTGTTTTAATGTTACAATAAGTGACATTCTCTGACCAAACACTATCCCTTCTTTTTCAAAGTGTTCTTGGCTATTTTCATCTACATATTCTTGAATCTAGGCAAACTTTAACTTACTTCCCAAGCAAAAAATCCTTTTAGAATTTGATTGGAACAATATTAAATACAGGATATTGAAATTAATAATTAGTATATAATATGAAAGAGTATTAAATATATAAATTTAGAAAAAATAGAAATCTTGACAGTATATAATAAGTAATGATTACCCAGATTACATACCCTTTTATCTTGTTTTATGTCTCTAAGTTTTACTATTTTCCTTGTGTTGTTCCTATAACTGTTTTAATAAAAATTTTTCCAAGGCATTTTATATTTGCATAAGATTTAAAAAATATATTTGCTAACAGATTATTGATGCTATATAAAATAAAAATGGATTTTTCCACTTAATTTGCCCATTAGTTATTGTATTATTAAAGACTAGTCAAGTGCAATAGTGAGAAGGCAGGGGAAGGGTAGAACAAAGAGTTCGACCTGTAACTGACTGTAATCAACTGAGAAAACTCAGTACCTTTGGACTAGCCTGCCCATTAGTTTCAATATTATTCTATTTGATTGCCTTGAGATTTCTAATTAAATGATTTAATAAGGCAAATAACATGATTTTGTTCTCTTCTTTTCCAACAGTTATTCTTTCATTCACTAAATATTCATTGAGCATCTACTATATGTTGGGCATACTACTAAATAATGAAAATAAATGGGTGAGCAATACATACAAAATCCCCATCCTAGTGGAGCTTACATGCTAGTGGGGGATAAAAAATAAATAAGTACAACAAGTAAATGTAGTATGTGAGAAGGTAGTAAGTCCTACGGAAAAGTAGTGAAGAGTAAGGGGAACAGAAATGCAGGAGGTGGAGAGTTGTGAAATTTTAAATAATAAAGTGGTCTGTATAGGCCTCCCTAAGCAAAGGCTTGAAGGAAGTGAGAGAGCCAAGTGGCTAAATGGGAGTTAGCCTAGAACAGAAGAGTAAGTGAAATAAAAGGGACATATGATTGTGCTGGACCACTTATATCTTTTTTATTTTTATTTTTTTGAGACAGTCTCTCTTTCTCTCTCTCTGTTGCCCAGGTTGGAATACAGTGGCACAATCTCATCTCACTGCAACCTCTGCCTCCTGGGTTCAAGCAATTCTCGTGCCTCAGCCTCCCGAGTAGCTGGGACTACTGGCGTGTGCCACAATGCCCGGCTAATTTTGTGTGTGTGTGTGTGTGTGTGTAGAGATGGAGTTTCACTATGTTGTCCAGACTGGTCTCGAACTCCTGACCTCAAGTGATCTGCCCACATCGGCCTCCCAAAGTGCAGGAATTGCAGGCTCGAGCCACCGCGCCCAGCCACTTATATCTGTTTTATATTTTATTGCATTGGCCATAAATTCAAGAACAATACTAAAAATAAAGGTGAAAAAAGGTCTCCTTAACAGAATATTAGGCCAGGCATGGTGGCTAATATTCTTGTGATAATTTAAAAAATTTTTTTTTCCCTTTATTTTAACTTTATTTTTAACCTCTGGAAGAAACTTGTGATGATTTTTAATAGAAATACTTTCATGCTTTTGTATTGATCATTGATTAATATTTATCATATTTTAAAGCTACATGTGAATTCACATTAACAAGACAAAGAGAACATGGGCATAAAATATACTAAAATGGACAATATAGCTTTTGGCCAAAACCCCAGGGAAAGCTGTTGCATATCATTAATACGAATGTGTTAGAAGAGATGAGAAAGCATGTACTGCTGATGTGAAAACATATATGCTATAGCAATCTGGGACACTATGAACCTCAGTCAGAGCTGGCTCAGGCACAAAGTGTTGCTGATGCTGCAGAAGCTCTGCTGGCTATGCTGGTAATGGTGCTCAGCTTATCTCTGGGCTTCAGTATCCTGGGCTAACTAATCAATCAGATGAGTATTATGGTGGGGGTGAGAAGAGGTGTGAAGTGGGAGAAGAGAGCAGCTCTATGGCCACACAGGCCATTACTGGTGGGAAGGGAGGCCCTGAAGGGAGGTGAGGGTCACAGTTGTGAAGCGGTAGACATTTTTGACAACTCTCAGTTCTTGCACATTTCTGTCCAGGGCCAACCCTATCACTTTAAGTTGAAACAGGTGTCATGGGAGACACTACTCAAGCAAGGTTCACAGGTGCCTCCATGGTTTTAAAACAAGTTCACAAATTCTTAAGACATTCTTCCCAGGAATGGGAAGACTAATTTCCTTTCCCTTGAATATGGGCCAGTTTTAGTGGCTCACTTCTAACCAAAAAAAAACCTGTGATGGAAGTGATGCTGAGTGACTTCGAGGCTAGCTTGAAAAAGACAATGCAGCTTCCACCTGGTTCTCCCTCTCTCGCTGCCTGCCACCAGCCCCTCCACACACACTGGGCAACCTGAGCCAACATGAACATGGAGGAAGCCTGGCAACTCTGATTCTGCCATACTGGAGAGACCACATGGCATGTCCACACAGTGATGAAGAGAGAGGCCTGTGGAGCCTCACTGTGCCAGCCTCTAGTTAGTTATCCGAGTCTTCCCAGTATCAACTGCCGGATATTTAAATAATTATAGTTGACCCTTGAACAACATGGGTTTGAACTGAGGGGGGTCCATTTATATGCAGATCTTCTTCTGCTTCTGCCACCCCTGAGACAGCAAGATCGACCCCTCCTCTTCCTTCTCCTCCTCAGCCTACCCAATCTGAAGACATGGATAAGATCTTTATGATAATCCACTTCCACTTAATGAACAGTAAATATATTTTCCTTATGATTTGCTTAATAACATTTTCTTTCTCTAACTTACTTTATTATAAGATTAAAATAGATAAGACATACAATACAAAATATGTGTTAATGCACTTTATGTTATTGGTAAGGCTTCCAGGCAACAGTAGGCTATTTGTAGTTAAGTTTTGGGGGAGTCAAAAGTTATATGCAGTTTTTTTGTGCCAATGTATTTAATCTCTTAAATGTTCAATGTAAAGTTATAAAATTTTAATAAACACATAAGCATAGTTTACCACTAAATACAGATTAACCATTAATGTTAGGACTTCTATTTGTTTCATGTAATTTGTTCTCATTAACTCCTTATTTCTCACAACAAATCTAACAGACGGCAATTTGGAACTTCTCACAATAGCAAAGACACGGAATCAACCCAAATGCCCATCAATGGTGAACTGGATAAAGAAAATGTGGTACATATACACTATGTACTACTATGCAGCCATAAAAAAGAATGAAATCATGTCCTTCGCCGCAACATGGATGCAGCTGGAGGCCATTATCCTAAGTGAATTAATGCAGAAACAGAAAACCAAATACCAGCATCTTCTCACTTATATGTGGGAGCTAAACATTGTGTGCACAGGGATGCAAAAAGGGCAACAACAGACACTGGGGCTTACTAGAGGGTGGAGGGTTGGTGGAGGAGGATGAGGATCAAACAACTAACTTTATGCTCAGTACCTGGGTGATGAACTCATTTGTACACCAAACTACAGCAACATGCAATTTACCCTGTAACCAACCTGAACATGGACCCCCTGAACCTAAAACAAAAACTAGAAGAAAAAAATTTTAGGGCTCCTTAAAATGGCTCTTTATGAGATTAAAATAATTGGCTGAATTTCTATTTAAGGGTGAAATTTGCTCAAGAATGTAGAGGTTTAAAATCTATTTGCCATCTGAGAACATTCTGTAGTTCTTCCACTTTTTGGAAGATGAGCCTAATGACAGGAAATGACTGCAGACTTCTGACTGTGTGAAAGTTGATGCACTGACCCCTGTGCTGTTCAAGGGTCAACTGTATTCTAGTCCTCTTTGAGCAACCCCAGCTGACACCAAGCAAAGCAGAGACATGTTATACCACCAAGTCCTGCTTAAACTGCAAATTCACGAGCAAATTAAATGCTGCCATTGCTTTAACCCACTACGTTTTGGAATAATTTGTTGTGCAGCATTAAATAACCAGAACAGGGATCAAGATGATCCTGGAGGAAGATCTATTTTTAAAGGGCTCTTAGATTTTTAGGTATGATATACTGATACCTAGATACTTTTGTTGAGCAGACTAGGGTAAGCCAAAATATAACTTCTTATGAGAAATTAGTAGTGAAGGTGAATAAAAAGCTTTATAACAGGATGGTAATTAAAAGGATGGGTATTGAACTCAAAACAGACCAAATCTGATTTGAAATAACTCGTCTTCACTAAGTCTGTGATCTTAGTCACGGTATTTAACTTCTTTGAACTCCAACTAGCTCATTTGAAAACTGTGATAATATCAAATTCATAGAGTTGTAAAAATTAAGTGAGCTGATAAAAATGCTTAATTAATGGTGACTATTATAATCAGTCATTGTTATTTCTGCAGTTTTACTATCTTTGCATTCTGCCATTAATTAGCAGGGGTGGAATATGAATGTTCCAGCTTAGGCTGATTACCAAGCATCCTTCTGTAAAGACAATTCGCCAACTAATCAGGAATTTCCCACTGTACCCTTTACCTTTTCTGCATTCTGCTAGAACTGTGGAAGCTAAAGAAAAACATCAAATATCACCCTGGGAAGCCAACAACTTAAACATCCTAAACTGAGTAACATGCGAGTAAATGTCATAGGACTGCAGCTTCCCAAGTGTCTGACACAGTTCTGATCTCTCAGCTCTCTGCCAGGGGGCTACAAAGCTGTGAAAAAGGCTTCCATTACATCCCTGGCTGCTACAGAGATTCCTGCACATTATACGTATCATCAGTATTTAGTAGTCAATACACTATACATGACACTCTTCTCTTGTTTCTTATATCTGTTTTCTTAAACTATCTGCTCTTCAAGACAAATTTTAATCATCTAGTTACTACACATTGAAAAGTGCTTTCGATGTAAAATTTAGAAAGAATTCAACATACAGTTCAGCTAACACTTATTGTGTGTCTATTAGGACCCAGGCACAATCAGCTGGAAACTGTCAAAGTGAAATTTAACTCAGGGAGAGTGACCTAGCATCTTGTAAGAATAACAAGACAATTTTTCCGTAATGAATGGAGTTTTTACTAATTTTCCTACTTTAAGATATTTAAAATTTTTCAGACTGATAGAAAAGCAAAGAATTAATTCATAATGCTAATAAGACTACAGCATTTTAAATACATGTGTTCTAAAACAGTTCAGATAGTAGCCTTTGATATGATGTGTCATAGTTCTACATAAAGAAGTTCATACTTTTCTGAAAGGAACTCAGAATTCTACTTGGAAACCTGGATGATGATCCAGGTCAAAACAAAACAAAAGCTGACATGGGCTTTAAAAGCCTTTAGTTTTACATAAATTTTGCCTAGCTTATTAAGATTTTTTTCTATTATTTTCCACAATAATGAATATTGAGGATGTATCTGATATTTATGAGCATTAAACAGCATAAAAAGAAAAACAAAATATCATTGCATAATTAAGGTACTTTTAATTTTTGTTATACTTTTTCCAAATCAACAACATGCTTTTTCCCTTAAGGAAAAGTCTGATTTTTTTAGCGGGGTGAGCCCTGAGTCAGATCTTCAATCTTCTTTGGAATTCCAAACACCTCCATGCTCTTTTGCTATTAGCCTCTCTCCTCTACAACTTTCCAAAATCCCTCTGAAACTGATGTGCAAGACCCACTCACATTGTGAGCTCACAGGGGTCTAATCAGAGGTGAGTAGCCGGGAAAGACTGTTATATGGGTCTATGAATTATCTTCTGAGACTTGGAAGTTTATTTTTCATCCCTGACCCTATACAGGACTACTCTCAATAATTCCAGTCTTTGAAGGGGCTGGAGAATGTTATGTAAAATTACTCAAGCTTTAACTTTTCATGGGTCAGAAATACCCAGGGGCTTTGGTTTTTAATGTAACTTCCTTAGATAAAAGTCAGTTTCCTTTTTCCAATCCGGGAAGTGGACGTCTGTAATACAACATAAATTACAAAGTTTCTGATTTTACTGTCTAGACACCATCAACCCCCTTAACACTACCTTCTCTGTCAAAAGTCTGGGCAGGGCCCAAAAAAAACTGATGTCCAACTAAGCTCGGAAATGTATTTCTTCCAACTAAAGCTGGCAGGATTCTGGTGAGCACATTTGAAGCCAACAAAAAGCAGGATTGGAAAATTAAGAATGGTTAAGAGAGAAAGAGGGCAAGTACAAAACTCACAAATTCACAAGGCTCAATGGCATCAACCACTTGGAAAGTTTCCATCTCCACCCCAACTTCTAAATAAAGTGGCATGTCAGCCCTGCAGATAAATGCTGAAATTTTTAGAGCCTCACTATCCTCGGTGAAGGCTCCATGTCTGACAGATGCAGATAATAACAGAATTAAAGCACACGCTCAATAGGATAGCAATACTCACCTGGATTTTTACAGCACTTCTCTGAGCTCAAAGTCATCCTCACAGCACACAAGGAAGGAAAGATTACATACAGTATTGAGAAAGGAGGTAAGAAATCAGTTGCTGGCTGGGTGTGGTGGCTCACGCCTGTAATCCCAGCACTTCGGGAGGACAAGGCAGGCAGGTCACGAGGTCAGGAGGTCGAGACCATCCTGGCTAACATGGTGAAACCCCGTCTCTACCAAAATACAAAAACTTAGCTGGGCGTGGTGGCATGCGCCTGTAGTCTCAGCTACTCGGGAGGCTGAGGTAGGAAAATCACCAGAACCCAGGAGGTAGAGGTTGCAGTGAGCCGAGATCATGCCACTGCACTCCAGCCTGGCGACAGAGTAAGACCCCATCTCAAAAAAGAAATCAGTTGCTTGTTCAGGGATAGAAAGTGGCAGACTACACAAGGATTGAAAATTTGTTACCCCTCTCAGATCACTCAATTGCTTTACTCCAAGCCAGCTGAATAAACACTACTTTATCCTAATAATAGCAGTAGTAATAATAGTAATGACAGCTATCAGCAAGTGACTACTATGTGCTAGGCACTACACCAATGTTTCATATTTATTATTCTCACAACAGTATACCTTTCAACTTTATGTTTGCCATACAGCAGGATTCAGCAGAAGAAAGATCTGTCTTATATCACATCTAAAGAAGATTAGTTTCAGAAATTCCGAAAGAATAGTTTTGATGATATCTTCCTTATAAACTGCACTTTATAAAGACTTTTCATATATATTTTTTCATTTCATCGCCGTGAAAGTCTTGAGTGGTAGGAATCATTACCCATATTTCATCTATGAGAAAACTAGGCCCAGAAAGATGGTGACCAAAGCCACAAACTTTTTTTTTTTAATGCTTTAAGTTCTAGGGTACATGTGCACAACATGCAGGTTTGTTACATATGTATACATGTGCCATGTTGGTGTGCTGCACCCATTCACTCATCATTTACATTAGGTATATCTCCTAATGCTAACCCTCCCTCCTCCCGCCACCCCACGACAGGCCCCAGTGTGTGATGTTCTCCATCCTATGTCCAAGTGTTCTCACTGTTCAATTCCCACCTATGAGTGAGAACATGCAGTGTTTGGTTTTCTGTCCTTGTGATAGTTTGCTGAGAATGATGGTTTCCAGCTTCATCCATGTCCCTACAAAGGACATGAACTCATCCTTTTTTATGGCTGCATAGTATTCCATGGTGTATATGTGCCACATTTTCTTAATCCAGTCTATCGTTGATGGACATCTGGGTTGGTTCCAAGTTTTTGCTATTGTGAATAGTGCTGCAATAAACATAAGTGTGCAAATGTCTTTATAGCAGCATGATTTATAATCCTTTGGGTATATACCCAGTAAAGGGACGGCTGGGTCAAATGGTATTTCTAGTTCTAGATCCTTGAGGAATCACCACACTATCTTCCACAATGATTGAACTAGTTTATAGTCCCACCAACAGTGTAAAAGTGTTCCTATTTCTCCACATCCTCTCCAGCACCTGTTGTTTCCTGACTTTTTAATGATTGCCATTCTAACTGGTGTGAGATGGTATCTCATTGTGGTTTTGATTTGCATTTCTCTGATGGCCAGTGATGATGAGCATTTTTTCATATGTCTGTTGGCTGCATAAATGTCTTCTTTTGAGAAGAATCTGCTCATATCCTTTGCCCACTTTTTGATGGGGTTGATTTTTTTCTTGTAAATTTGTTTAAGTTCTTTGTAGATTCTGGATATTAGCCCTTTGTCAGATGGGTAGATTGCAAAAATTTTCTCCCATTCTGTAGGCTGCCTGTTCACTGTGATGGTAGTTTCTTTTGTCATGCAGAAGCTCTTTAGTTTAATTAGATCCCATTTGTCAATTTTGGCTTTTGTTGCCATTGCTTTTGGTGTTTTAGACATGAAGTCCTTGCCTATGCCTATGTCCTGAATGGTATTGTCTGGGTTTTTCTCTAGGATTTTTATGGTTTTAGGTCTAACATTTAAGTCTTTAATCCATCTTGAATTAATTTTTGTATGAGGTGTAAGGAAGGGATCCAGTTTCAGCTTTCTACATATGGCTAGTCAGTTTTCCCAGCACCATTTATTAAATAGGTAACCCTTTCCCCATTTCTTATGTTTGTTAGGTTTGTCAAAGATCAGATGGTTGTAGATGTGTGGTATTATTTCTGAGGGCTCTGTTCTGTTCCATTGGTCTATATCTCTGTTTTGGTACCAGTACCATGCTGTTTTGGTTACTGTAGCCTTGTAGTATAGTTTGAAGTCAGGTAGCATGATGCCTCCAGCTTTGTTCTTTTGGCTTAGGATTGTCTTGGCAATGGGGGCTCTTTGTTGGTTCCATATGAACTTTAAAGTAGTTTTTTCCAATTCTCTGAAGAAAGTCATTGGTAGCTTGATGGGGATGGCATTGAATCTATAAATTACCTTGGGCAGTATAGTCATTTTCACAATATTGATTCTTCCTATCCATGAGCATGGAATGTTCTTCCATTTGTTTATTCGTTGAGCAGTGGTTTGTAGTTCTCCTTGAAGAGGTCCTTCACATCCCTTGTAAGTTGGATTCCTAGGTATTTTACTCTCTTTGAAGCAATTGTGAAGGGGAGTTCACTCATTATTTGGTTCTCTGTTTGTCTGTTATTGGTGTATAAGAATGCTTGTGATTTTTGCACATTGATTTTGTATCCTGAGACTTTGCTGAAGTTGCCTATCAGCTTAAGGAGATTTTGGGCTGAGACGACGGGGTTTTCTAAATATAGAATCATGTCATCTGCAAACAGGGACAATTTGACTTCCTTTTTTCCTAATTGAATACCCTTTATTTCTTTCTCCTGCCTGATTGTCCTGGCCAGAACTTCCAACACTATGTTGAACAGGAGTAGTGAGAGAGAGCATCCCTGCCTTGTGCCAGTTTTCAAAGGAAATGCTTCCAGTTTTTGCCCATTCAGTATGATATTGGCTGTGGTTTTGTCATAAATACCTCTTATTATTTTGAAATATATCCCATCAATACCTAATTTATTGAGAGTTTTTAGCATGAAGGGCTGTTGAATTTTGTCGAAGGTCTTTTCTGCATCTATTGAGATAATCATGTGGCTTTTGTCTTTGGTTCTGTTTACAGGATGGATTACGTTTATTGATTTGCATTTGTAGAACCAGCCTTACATCCCAGTGATGAAGCCCACTTGATCATGGTGGATAAGCTTTTTTGATGTGCTGCTGGATTTGGTTTGCCAGTATTTTATTGAGGACTTTTGCATTGATGTTCATCCAGGATATTGGTCTAAAATTCTCTTTTTTTGTTGTGTCTCTCCCAGGCAAAGCCACATACTCTTAAGAACAAGGCTAGGCTTAACCACAGGCATCCTGACCTCAAGTCCTGTGTCAAAGTTCCACCTACAATGTGGCCCCACAGGGTAGGTCCTGAGAATGTTGTGAGTGCTAAACTGTACTGAATATAGTCTACTCAATTCAAGACATTCACTGAGCGCCTACTGTGTGCTCCTCACTGTGCTCTGTGCTGGAGGCTCAGAAGTGAAAAGGTCACAGGTGCTGTGGGAAAGGAGTTCATAGATGTGTGAGTAACCATGCAAATAAGTAAGGACAATATGGAGCGCTATGTGCTGACCAAAGTAGGGGGATTAGTCAGGGTTCTCTAGAGGAACAGAACTAATGGAATAGATATATAAATAAAAAGGAGTTTATTAAGTATTAACTCACACAATCACAAGGTCCCACAATAGGCCATTGGTAGGCTGAGGAGCAAGGAGATCCTGTCCAAGTTCCAAAACTGAAGAACTTGGAGTCCAATGTTCTAGGGCAGGAAGCATCGCGCACAGGAGAAAGATGTAGGCTGGGAGCCTAGGCCAGTCTCTCTTTTCACATTTTTCAGCCTGTTTATATTCTAGCCGTGCTGGCAGCTGATTAGACTGTGCCCACCCAGATTAAGGGTGAATCTGTCTTCCCCAGCCCACTGACTTAAATGTTAATCTCCTTTGACAACACCCTCATAGAAACACCCAGGATCAATACTTTGTATCCTTCAATCCAAGCAAGTTGACACTCAGTATTAAGCATCACAGGGGGACATGATAGCTCTAGGAGTGTGGGGTGCTTCAAGGAGGAGGGGCATCTGAACTAGGTTACGAGGATGAATTCAGGAGTTTTAAGCATACTCTTTTTTAATTATCAAGAAAAAAGCATAAAAGATTAGTGATTTGTGCAATACTAGACAGTGCCTTAAGATCAAATATTTAGAAATCTTGACAAATGTGAATCTGCACGCCAGACTATATGGCATCAATTTAGGACAGACGGTTAACGTAAAAAGCAAGTGAAGATATGTGAAAGAATAATGAGGTCCTTCTGTCCTTCCTAAAGGGTATATGCTCAATGAAAATATCATGTTACATTGGATTAATTTACTTACCTACTTATTTATTTTTGAGACAGGGTCTTGCTCTGTTGCCCAGGCTGCAGTGCAGTGGTGCAAACATGGCTCATTGAAGCCTTGATCTCCTAAGCCCAATCATCCTGCCTCAGCCTCCTGAATAGCTGGGACCATAAGTGTGTACCACAATTCCCAGATAATTTTTTTTTAAGAGACAGGGTCTCTTCATGTTGCCTAGGCTGGTCTCAATCACCTGGCCTCAAGCTATTCTCCCTCCTTGGCCTCCCAAAATACTGGGATTATAGACATAAGCCATCACACTTGACTTCATGTTACATTTTAAAGCCAAATGAAGCAATCCCAATAGTTAAATGCCATCTGCAATTCTGACCACTTGTTAGAATGGCAAATTCAAAATATTACAGTCCAGTAAGGACATCAGGAACAGCCAGACACTTATTTTCTGGTGCATGTCTGACTGTGGCATGTCAGAAGTTGAGACATTCATGCTGTGAGCTGTACCGCCCCAGCAATTGCTCATGGACTTGTTGTATTAGTCTGCTTTCATACTGCTATGAATTGCCTGAGATTGGGTAATTTATAAAAGTAAGAGGTTTAATTGACTCACTGTTCAACATGGCTAGGGAGGCCTCAGGAAACTTACGATCATGGCAGAAGCTGAAAGGGAAGCCAGGCAACTTCTTCACAAGAAGGCAGGAAAAGTGCCGAGTAAAGGGGGAAGAGCCCCTTATAAACCATCAGATCTCATGAGAACTCACTGACTATCATGAGAACAGCATGGGGAAAACCACCCCCGTGATTCAATTACCTCTACCTGGTCTCTCCCTTGCCATGTGGGGATTATGAGGATTACAATTTAAGATGAGATTTTGGTAGGGACATAAGGCCTAACCATATCAATTGTCTACTGGTGGGCTTTCAGGAAAAAGGAAAATGGAAAACCCACCTGGCCCACTTGATCATGTCCATTCCAAGTCCTATCCTTTGGCAACATCACGCCAAAGACATCAAGGTGGAATTTCTACCTTTTGAGGCCTAATATCCAAAATCCTTTCCTTCCTGTTATTTGCCCCCTTGTTTCAATCCCACCTCCCTTCCTCTCCCTCTCCCTCAATTCTCCTGCCACCCCTCCCCCAATCCTCTAGCATATGGCTTAGTGTCATGGAGATGTATCAAGTTTCTGGGTAGAAACTGAGGATTTCATTTCCAGTTAGTTCCTCCTCCTTTCTTCTTCTCCTTCTCTCTTCCTATTTGCCCCTTTTCTTCCTGATGTACACTATTCCTGCAGCAACAGCATTTTACATTATACTTAAATTTCACCTAGGATAGGAGAGACGTGTGTCTCACTGAAAGGATATAGGACAGGCCACCTTTCAACAGGAAGAAAGAAAGGTGGTCATCATTGAATTTTAAAACTCAATGGAATAAAAGATCAGAATGTGGCTTCCCCACACAAGGCACTCTTTCTTTCATGACAGGTCAGTGTTTGGATTCATTTATTAGCATGAGGAGGTCAGCTACACAGGAGACACCAATCACTGCCTGCCTATTTATATGCAAAAATATGCCTGCTGCTCTAAGCAAACCCACTCTGATCTTGGCCTCTGAAGCTACATCTGGTTGAACCAGAGCTGGGCACCTGAACTGAATTCAGTCTATTTATAGGCTGGCCAGCTATATATCACTTGGTTGCCTGCATCAAAAAATTAGCATGGGCCCATGAGGCTCTCCATTTAAACATTTTAAGTTGAGAAACTGGAAATCTGAGTCAGAAAGCCACAGCAGCTAAGTTACAGGAATATGAAGTAAACTCGAGTGGGCCACAAGGAAGCTTAAGATAAACCAGAGAATTGAATGAAGCAAGTGGACAGTGAGAAGAGATGGCATGAGTAGAAAGAGAGACTTCATGTCCCTAATGATTCTGTGGTTTCTATTTGAGTCTATCCTTACAATCTTCCTCCTCCTTCTTGCAGGAATATGTTTCAGTTATTTGCAACCTAAAGGAATCTGACTAGAATGTAAAATCATTGACCTAGTAATATGATTGCTAGTCTGAGCCTGGAGGTAGCTCCCGTTTACTTCCAAGGCTTGCCAAAGATTCAAATGGAGTTACCAGGAATTGTAAGTTTAGTCAGTCTGAATTATGCAAAATGTTAACCAAAAGCTACACTGACCTTTGATGTCTGAATTTCCTCATCAACAGGCTAATCCTTGACAGAAACACTGGAAGGATTTCTTCTCTGCAAAACTACCCTCTTCCTTCACGCTGAATCATCAGAAAGAGGAGCCGGCTGCATCCCTAAATTCATCCCTTATTTTAATTAACCCAAGGATGACATGGAGGCCTTGGAGACCCTATACAGTGCTGTGTGTTCAGCAGTAAATATCCACCCATTGTAGTCAGGAGCCAGCATCTTCATCATCCTTTCTTGTTAGAACAAACTTGTCCAACCCATGGCCCATGGGCCACATGTGGCCTAGGACGGCTTTGAATGCGGCCCAACACAAATTTGTAAAGTTTCTTAAAACATTAGGAGATTTTTTTGTGATTTTTTTAAGCTCATCAGCTATTGTGTTAGAGTATTTTATGTGTGGCCCAAGACAATTCTTCTTCTTCCAATGTGGCCCAGGGAAGCCGAAAGATCGGACACCCCTATGTTAGAACACCAAGGTCTATTACTTTGAAGTTGTTATCCTGGATTACCAATCAGAATTTGTGTTTTCACCATTACTAAGCCTACTCTTTAATTCTCTCAATCATCTCTGCTCTAAGAGATAAGGAATGGCAGGAATTATTAAGAGTGAGAGGTTCTGAAAATCTGGTTGGTTTATTTTAGAGTTCTATGAAGTATTCATTTCCTCCTTGTACCACCCCCCTTTGTTTACAAGTGAGTATCCCTCTGTTGCTCTCCTTTGGCACAAATATTCAGATGAAAAACATCCACATAAATGAGCGGTGTCTTAATCTGAAGAAATGTGCTCTGCATCCCATCAATAGGAGCTCTAATTCCCCTATGGTTCAGGACACTCCAGTGACTCAAATGACCTTTCTGCCAAAGGATCTGCATCACTTCCTTTGTTCCTGTTCTACATAATATGGAATTACAATAATGTGAATAATTTTTCTTTTATAAAAAAACCCCACGAAACACAGGAAATCTATCAAAAACAGTTTTGACAATTGAGAAAATCACATTTTAATCTGTTTAATTAAACACAGTGAAATTTCTTTTCTGCCAGCAAAGAATTTTACAAATTTTACAAAATTGGACTAGATTCAGTTTAGTGAGCATTCCAAGAACAAGTTTGTTAAACTGAGACAGAAAAGTAGCATTTAATTGATAAGCTATATAGCTAGTTACTACAGGAGAAGGGGAAAGAGACAAAGTTAAGGGTGTGCCTCAGTCAAGTTATCGTACCTCAAACTTCCTAAGAGGCTAAATCTAGTAAATACTTTAAAATATAAAAGCACACATTGGTTCTGAGTCCCGTCAGTAAAATGGCCCAATAGCACAAGGCCAGTGACCAGGGATGGTTCCGACTCTGGGCAAAACAAAGAAGACTCAGAATGGCAGCTGGCATCAGGGGCCCCCACAGAAGGGGCTAGGCTGAGGGCACAGGCCAGCATAAGGCAGGTTGGTGTCTGGCCCAATGCAGACATATGAGAAGGTTGGCAGAACATGGCACCAAGAGGACATAGCAGTATGTTTGAGAGATTCTCTCATATGAGGACTAGAGGTCAGCCTTGGGGTCTTTTGCAGGGAATCTAGGTAGGAAACCAACAAAAGGGGTCAAGATGTAAACCCAGTTAATGGAACCAAGGCACTACCTGAGCATATGAAATGAATAAGAGTCATGGTGGGGTAGGGCCATCAGCAGAATGATGAGGCTGACCAACAGACCTATTGAACAAGGGACACTTTATTTCTTCTAATAGCCAGATGGCTTCCAGGGCTTGGAAGGGGGCCAAGACAGCTAGAGAGAATGATGGATTTAAAGTGCTGGCACCCAGTAAATACAGGATAAACGATACTGCTGTTGTTTATTGCGGGTGAAGGATTAGCTGGGAGAAGGTGTATAACACTGGAAGGGGTCTCTGAACCTGAAAACTACATGAAGCACAACGGAGATGCATGTGTGGTGGGTGAAAGTCCAAGCAGGTGGGGCTGGATCTCTGGAAAGCATGGCAGCAGGAACAGGTGGCAGATGAAGTTGGGAGGTGGAGAAGAGGTGTGTTTGTACTGGAGAGAGAGGTAGACTACAGGGTCAAGAAGTCAGAGCTGGCCAGAAGCAGGTGCCCATGGTGCTGGAGTACAGGGGCAGGATTCTTGTCCCTTCCAGCAGAGAGAGGGAATATTCCTAAGAATAAAATCAGAGGTATACAAACAGGAGCAACAGCATGGGTAATCCACTAATTCCTCTGCAACACAGGTAACACCGGTCTCATCTAAAAGCTGATACTCAGGTCTTTTGCAAGTAAGGTCTCTTATTGACATTTTACAACTTTATGAGACAAGTTGCGTTTTTTCTTTAGGACACTTACTGGTATTTTTAATTACACATATATTTGCGATTATTTATTTCATGCTTATCTCTCCAATTAAACTACAGGCTCCATGAGGGCAGGCATCATATTTGTTTACTTTATGTTTTGCATGTAGTAGGCACTAAACAACAATTGCCTGTTGAATAAATAAAAGTAGTGTCACCCTTTCTTACAGGTGACAAACCTGTATCAAAAGTTTTTTTGGCCAAGTTCACCTTGCTAATAAGTGGTAGGTCTGGGTCTTTACAGGTGACCGAAGCTTTCTAAGAGTAGTCTCTTTCTATCAGGACCTCTCTCTAAGGTTGTCACAGCTTGGTGTCACAGTTATTGTGCAAAGGATATTGGTCAAATCTAGTCAATCCGATATATCATCAAGAATAGGCTAGTTATCGCCAGTCCATAAATAATAATGTTACTATTACCATACGTACAATCCTTCACTCATCATAACATTGCCACTGTAATCACTGTTGTATAAAGCATCACAGCATTCAAAAAACTTTGATCTTCATGCATCCTTGGGAAGAAGGCATAAAGGTATTTTACAGGAAACTGAAACTTTTGAGTTGCCTGAGATGATGTAACTGAGAAGTGGAACTGAGACTCAATTCCAGGTGGAATTTCACCTGCAATGTAAGAGGAATTTTTTAAGTACTTAAAATGGAAAATATATCGAATGTGTAAAGATACTTAAAATGTGAATTCAAATGCTAATATATGACTAGTTCAAGATCAGATGATAAGCTTAATGGCAGAAATATCTCTAAGTATTCATTCACTTAGAAGATCAGAGGATGAAGAGAAATTATAAAAAGGGTAGTACCTTTTGACTCAGTTGAGTCTGATGACCTACTCCTAAAACCATGAGCTGGAGAGAGGCCAGTGCCCACAAGAGACCTGCCTGTAGAGTGGCACAGGCGCTGGGTGACTGGCCCGGCTGCCAGCTGAGGATCAAGTGCATATCTCTAATGGTCTTACCATCCTCCTGGCATGTTTCAGGTGGAGTCAGCATAGGGGTCCAAAATACAAGAGCAATGAATGCCAACTGCTGGACAGAATCTCAGTCTGGGCAGGCCACAGGTGGTCTGGCCACAGCCCAATGGATGGAGGTCTCCAGTTTCCAGGAAGAGAAGATAGCAGGAGAAGGGCACAGCCTCAATCCTTAGGGGCTTGAATAGCAGCCCTTTAGAAAGACAAAAAGCATATAAAGGCAGAAAGAAGAGGGACTGATCACTGATGGAAGAGCTACTCTGTGCATGGTACTGCTCAGTACCTTACCTGTATTATTGCATTTATTCACCATAACAATGCTATAGGGTAGTCAAAACCACCTCAACACTACAGATGATGAAAGTGATGCTGTACTTGCTCAAGGCCACACAGCTAATAAGCACTGGAACCACAATTTGAATTTATAGCTGTCCCCTGCCAGTCCTCAGGGCACATGGAAAGGAAGAGAACGCCCCCTCTCAAAAGTGCCCCAGGAGTCAAGCAAGTCTGCCTCCTGAGTCAGCTTAGAAGCATGTGTCTCTAGATACCTGGGTTGAGTGAGAGGTATGCATGCTAGAGGGGTGATGAAGACTGAATCTTGTGCTGATTTGATATCTCGAGTGATTGTGGGTCTGGGAGCAGGTGGGCAGTTCAGTGAGGAGCAGAGGAAAGTAGAAGCAGTAGAAATGAGACTGGAATCAATAGAACAGAAAATGTACTAGGCTTTCATATGGCCATTTTAATAAGTGGTATGCTTTCTGAACACCTGCCATCCTGGGCTATAATATCACAACATTATAATTTGGTTTACAAATGAGTGTATCACTTCAAAGTGTACAGAAATACTCTGTAGCATTAATGCAGGGGAGTCTTTGATATTTGAAAATGCCTGTTTACTGGGAAGAGCCTGAGACTTTCCACCTACACTGTTTGTTTTCCTTCTCTTCCTCGCCATCCCCTGCATTTTGCTGCCTTTGGATGAATGGCTTTACCTTCCTAATAGGCAATGAAAAACCCAGTGCCCTGAGATCAAACAGCCCATTTGCTCAATGGAAGTCAAGTGCCTTTGACACATGCCAAAATTCTGTTGCTGCAAACAACAAAGAATGGCAACAAAAGCTAAAATGACAGCATTTATTTAAGGTATTTTTTGGTCTCCTAGATAAGTAGATTTAAAACCTGTTGACAACAACAACGACATAAATAAATAAATAAATAAAGCCTCTTGACAATGACCTACACTAAGAAGTACACTTTATGTTGCAACCTATAGCATAAGAGGGAACACGTAGATGCGTGCATGTGTATAAATGAAACAAAGGTTACATGAAACATTACCTAGCTATATTATGGGTTGCGAATACACTCTGATATTTTCTATTCTATTTCAGTTCCTTTACAAACAAACAAAAAAAAAACTGGAGTGACCTACTAGAGTAATTTTACGATCCACTTACGAGTTGAACTTAAAATTTGAAAATCACCATCTAGACCTAGAGTAAAAGAACAAACTCATAGTGTTATAGGAGCTCCCCTAAAAAAGGAAGGTAAAGAAGGGTAGGGAAGTTCTAGGAACTGCATATATGCTTTCTCCTCCACAGATAGCACCATAAAAGCCCATCCCAATGATGAAATCAAGACGACCTGCATGGAGGTGATCACAGGCTGAAAGAGCCCAGTAAAAAAGGCACAATTCATTAAAGCAAACCAACAACAACAAAAACTTTCTCCTGGCTAAACGATCACTGAAATAATGTAACTCAAGAATCCCTGTAAACATTTTTGATAATCCACAATACCACCAAGCATTCACAAGCAGAGCACTGTTAGAAAACTGATTTTATCCAAACCTGTGTATGTGTGTGTGTGTATGTTATAAAAACAGACCAAGTGATAGTAGCTGTTACATTTGCAGAATTTCCAGTCATTAGGTTGACCTCAGGGCAGGCGAGTGTTTCAGGGAGCGTGTTCTAAATCATAATTGAGCCCTCAGCTGTATTGAGGCCAACAAGCTATATCTTGTGTGTTTTTTGGCATTTACTTTCAAGAAAATGTTCTAACTTAAATCCATATTATCCCATCCACTCACCAAGAAACTTCCTTCTGAGGACTGGACAGTTTAGAAGCAGTATTAATCCTGCTTTTCTGCAAACCACTCAGAGGCTTCAGTTATCCAGCTCAGTGCTCACAAAGAAAAATGCAGACATGGACATGACAACTGCACTCCCCATTTTTTCTCATGTAATTACAGCTCCAAGTCTCACAATTCCAAGCCCTTTTCCTACAAACACACAATTTTTCCAGTCACAGCCACACACTGTTTGCCTCTATCATTAATGTCTCTCATCAGAATCTTCAAGGCACTCATTTTTGGGGCATAGAAGAGCATATATAAGGGAATACATTCCACTCTTAGTACTAGGCTGCTCAGCTAGGAGAAAGGGATCACCACTGAAAACTGGGTGCTTCATTTCCCTGCAATCCCAGATTGACCCATTACTAAACATCCATATATACTTTGTCAGAATGAACCCCAATTTATATGCCAGTCCAGATGTCTCATACTTAATAGGCACCATTACCAACAAATATTGCTGAAATGGATTACTTGGCAGAGAAAACTAAATTTTCTTTGGATTCTTACATAAGGCAGGATTTCCACTTATCTAGTGTTGCATAAGTGTGAAGGAAAGAGAGTGAAACTAGTTATTTCCAAGATCTCTTTTAGGCCTTTAGCCAGTGATCTGAGAATGACATGAACATTATAATCACATTTTAGCACATTCTGTATTTGAACACATGCTGGGGTTAAAGTAAGTGTGCTGAGTTTCGGTCCCTACCCCAAGAGTGTCTGTGGTCAAATCCTGATGTTGGATCCTGATGCCTCCCAGTGTCTGTGTAGGTCTCAGCCCCCACCTGGATGCTACTGCTTCCTACTGGGTACAACCCCTGGCAAGGGATTCAGGGAATGCTGCTGCCACCAAATTTTCCCCTCCCCGCCTCTGAAAAATGCAAAAGATGCAAGTTCAGAAGGAAAACTATGCTTTCCTGTCTTAACATAACCTTCCCTTAACCAGGTTAAAATTTGTCACCAAAGAAGGAAAGGTAGAATCAGCTTCTAGCAAATGGTGAAGCTGACAATCTTCCCCCTCTTCATGTTCCCCGATCACACCTACCAGGCCACATAGAACTATGGACTCATCACTAGTTTGCTGAATGGACAGGGGTCCAAACAGTCAGGAAACCATCACCGTAAGGAGTCAACACAAGTGAGAGGAAATAAAACATGACTGGATAGAAAGTAATGCTGAGATTTTGGCCATGATTCCCAGGACCCAACTGGCCAACAGGAATGGCCCTGCAGAATTTCTATAAAGAGGCTGAATGGTGCAATCCAGTTGAAAGGGGATGCGGTCGATTTTTCACATTTATTTTTTACCATGACCTAGTGTAAGAAATTTATTTACCTAATCAGTATACACAAACATAGTGTGTAAAAATGAAACAAGTTTTATGAAACAATACTTACCCTTATGACGCTATGTTGCAGTACACTCTGACATTTTCTACTGATTCTATTACAATAAAAATGAAAGATCTGGTCATGACCCACTAAATTGATTTCATGACCCACTAGTGGGTAGAGAGCAGCAATTGGGGAAAAAATGGTACAAAAACCTTGTCTTGAAGCTGTGCTCTAGTCATAATTGGACTGTTTCTACATTTGGGGTGACTTGGGAAGACTCAGAGATTAGGGAGGCCGAAGCCTTAATGATGTTTAGTTTGAGAGTAACAAAAGACGAAAGTGAAGAAATCAATAACCTTTCGACTAGGGCCCTTCAACATCCCAACTGTGTATTTTTCAGAGAAAAGGGAGCTGGAAAACCAGGGTCCCTGACAGAGAACTAGGATGGCATGCAGAAAGTTAGAAAATTCCAAAAACAAGATTTAAAAAATGGTTTGGGTATTTCAAAATAAAGTACTAGATCTAAATCTCTTCACACAAAACTCTTGAGCTGGAAAATATGATTACATCATAAATGGCCTAAAATATGACCTAAAGCCAAACTGTAGTAATAATAATCTTTCTTCCTGAAATGATGGTTCCCTTATGACTGAAAAAAATAATTAAAAGAATAAAATGGCTATGTTTTTCTTCCATTACTATTTTGAAACTGCACCAAGATTAATTCATTAATTTCACCTTTTTCAATCATTTCAGGCTAAAAATGACTACATCTATACCTTATTTGGCTAACATGTGTACACAGCTAATTATAGGAAGGCTACTTTTAAGTAGGTATCTTTTTCTTTTTTTTTGTCTTTCTTTAGAAAAATAACTTCATGTAGTTTTGGAAGCCAAAAGTTAAATATTAGAAAACTAACAGTTCAGCATCAGGAATAGAAACCAGCACACATATATGGAAGGTTTGTAAGAAAGAATTACCATGGGTAAGTCAAGACTTAGTTATAACAGAAAACACAACTTACAGCAATACCTCATCACCATTTACTCTCCATTTCTTCAGGCCACTGGTTCACATTCACCACACAAAAACATCAACTGACAGACACTGAGGAAAGTGATGTGTGATGGCAGACAGTATGTGGGTCTAGGATCTTACACTATTTCAATGGTTTTTATTTAAAGTCTTCTATAGAAAAAATTACTTGTCAAATGTGCTATAAATGGTTGAGTAAGCAGAGCTTTTGAAATAGATTTAGCAAATTCAACTGCATCTCATAATGGATTATCATTAACAAGGCATGAGTTCATATGATTAGTTAATTAAGCAGAAAAAGTATAATGTCTTTGGTTGAATAAAATCAGTATTTTTTATTTATCAAACTCCAATTCCATTTCACAAATGTAAGTTATCATCAGCTCCCCATCCACTTTCTCCCATCTTCTTATCTCTTTCCCACCCTACACTTTCTCTCCCCTACAACCCGGGTTCCAAAAAGAAAAAAAAAAAATCCCTCAGCTATTTGATCTTAATATCACTGCAAAAATCAAAACCAGTGTCTCCTGCCCCCAGGACAGTGGGTATCCCCACCTGGCTGCCTCCTGTAGCTCATGCAAAATTCAACCCATAATTATAGATGCATTCTCAGTTTACGCTGCACTTGAGATTCAATGGTGACTAATGTCAAGATGGAGAGATTTGTGAATAAAAATAATTTCAACAGCAAATAGAAATTAGTTTTGTCTTATTTGTCATTGACATGGGTAATGTACAGATGGTCCCTAATTTATGATGGTTCAACTTTCAATTTTTTGACTTTACAATGGTGCAAAAGTGATATGAATTCAGTAGAAACCATACTTTGAGTACTCATACAACCATTCTGTTTTTCACTTTCAGTACAGTATTCAATAAATTACATGAGATATTCAATACTTTATTTTAAAGTAGGCTTTGTGTTAGATGATTTTGTCTAACTATAGGCTAATGTAAATGTTCTGAGCATGTTTAAGGTAGTGTAGCGTGAGCTACAACGTGCGGTAGGTTACAAGTATTAAGTGTATTTTCAATTTATGATATTGCCAACTTAAGATACGTTTATCCGGATGTAATTCCATTATAAGTTGAGGAGCATCTGTATATAACTACATACTACAAGATGACAGGTTTTCCTGATACACCCTCATGTAACAAATTATGGGTCAAGGGGGAAAACCCCCAGCAAAGAATATACTGATAACTTACAGGACCCCCCCACCCTCCACCACCAAAAAAGTGCCTTACCAGAATCTAAATGGCAAACTCAGGAAATGTTTAAGTTTCAGACTTAAAGTAGACTTTAGTCAACTCCAGAGTGGGCTACATTGTTCCCAAACTGTGCCAGTCAGGAATCCTAGAAGGGGTTCCAGACCATTATGGAGCATGTGGATAAGAGTAAGAGGGAAGTACACTTAGAAATGAAGTGTGCAAAGTGGCCAAATCCCTCTAGACCCAAAACAAAGTAATACAGTTCTGTACCTGTTTCTTTTGGTGAACTTGGAATTGGATCTGAAATTTCAAAAGATCTGAGAGGGCACGGGTGAGTTTTTCTCAATTCTACATCTTCTCAACATTAATAAAATTAATCTTCACTGGACTATTACCCCCATCTTATCTCATCCTGTTCTCTGTATCTGGAAGGTTGCTCTTCTCTGCCTTCCCCTGGTTAATTCTCACTCAATAATCGCTCCTTCTGGGAAGCCTTGGTGTGGGTGAGACACATCTTCTTGAGCTTCCATGGCACTGGGCTGAGGTCTGTCATAAAATCTGCCCCCGTGTTCTGCAAGTGTCTGTCACTGATCTGCCTCCCTCTCTGGACTGTGACATCCTCAGGGGCAGTGGAAGTGTCTAATTCATCTGTATCTCCCCAGCACCAAACATTCAGCCTGGACATAATAGACAGTTATTGAATGTACTAACAGATATGAGTAACACAACTATTATCCCTTTACTATCAAAAGCAGTCATTTTTCACGCAATCATGGCACTCATAATTAATGCCACACAAAAACTGGAAAACTTTAATATTTCTTAAGCAAAATAATGACGACAGAATCAAGGCAAAAGGATGAAGACGGAGTTTCGCTCTTGTTGCCCAGGCCGGAGTGCTGTGGCGTGATCTTGGCTCACTGCAACCTCTGCCTTCTCGTTTCGAGTGAGTGTCCTGCCTCAGCCTCCCGAGTAGCTGGGACTACAGGCGCCTGCCAGCACGCCCAGCTAATTTTTGTATTTTTAGTAGAGATGGGGGTTTCACCATGTTGGCCAGGCTGGTTTTGAACTCCTGACCTCATGATCCGCCCACCTTGGCCTCCCAAAGTGCTGGGATTACAGGCGTGAGCCACCACACCCAGCCCAAAACGTCTTTTAATAAAGGCAAAGGTTTACTTACACATATTCAAACAGAGGAAAATGCTGATGTATGTATCTTCACTGGAATGATAACTTACCCCTATAAGCCCATCCAGCTGCAAAAGCAGCTTAAATGATATAGTCCTTTTAATTTGCTAACCTAAACTAAGTCGGGTTCTTGTCCACACTGATTTGTTGGACAAAATTAAACCAACCCTGTATTAGTTTGTACTTTTCTTTGTACTTTTTCATGCTGATTCCTCTTGTCATAGTTGCTTGGATAATCTAAACATTTAGCAACAAAAGTCTAAAGTCTGGTGATTTATTCCTTTCTATGTGATGCTACTGCTCCTTCAGCAGCATCAGCTTCAGGAAAATGATGTACATTATTAAATTACTTGATAATGACAAAGTGAACTAGGATGACATTACACACACACTTTTTTTTTTTTTTTTTTTTTTTTAGACAGAGTCTTGCTCTGTTGCTAGGCTGGAGTGCAGTGGTGCTATCTCATCTCACTGCAACCTCCACCTCCTGGGTTCAAGTGATTCTCCTGCCTCAGCCTCCTGAGTAGCTGGGACTACAGACACCACACACACATTTTAAAATGGGATTTGTTGCTTGAGATTATGCCTGCTTGTCCATTCAGATGAAAAGCCCCTGCTTATGAAATGAGCCTGAGATGTCTGACAGATTTAATATCTAATATCAGTTTAGGGGAAGTGATGGAAGCTAACTTCAAAGGTCAGGGGAATATTTTGATGGAAGTTCAGAGGATTCAGTTATGTAAGTAAATATTTATGGACAACCTGAAATAAATACTGCACTATGTTCTGTATAAGATATAAATGAAACTTTTTTCTCTCTTATTAAGGTTTTAGTCATTTTCTCTTTAATTATGGTACTCCCTTGATAAGCAGGAAGGAACACTACACATATCCAGATCTCCAGTCAAAAAATGAGGCTTTCTGAAATGGTTACAGATTTTAGTAGCAAAAGCCCATAAAATTAATAACTAGCACTCATTTTTAAAACATGCACCTCCAAATTTATATTGAGAATCATAAGATGCCACAAACAATTTACTTATGACACAAAGGCAGTGGAAGGTAAATCTGTTTGTTGAAAAGTTGTAAGTAGATTTTTCTGTTTTTGTGGTTTATATTAATGGATGGATACCTACCATTATTATAATAAAAACTAATTTTGAAGAAATCTGAGCTTAATAAGAATTCAAATACATGCAAAGGCAATTTTCCAGCATATCTGAATTACAAGGGATCTAGCCCTGCCTTCTTAGTCTTATAATGGTTCTCTAATGAGTCTAAGAATCTCTGCAGAAAGCTCATTTTCAGCTAATAGTATCTAATAGAAGTCACTCCCTAGTCATTTTGTTCCTTATTTTCAAGGCTTTCAAGATCAGCTGCACAGGAAGAGACTACATTATTGGATGCATCCCAGTCTCTGGGACACATCAATTTCCAAACGTTACTGCCAAGGCCATGTAGAAGAGTCAAAACAATAAAAAAAAAATCCTGAAAAGGAGCAGTTGTTCTAACTAGTTGGCGGTGATGATTTATCAAGAACTGTTAATCTGCTGCCATGTGAAGAGCCTCCAGCACATTCACTTTCCATCTTGGTGTCAGAATAATTTCTAATTATGGTTTGGGGCAGCTTTCTCACTTGAAACTAAACAGAAGTTTGAGGAAATTTATGCATTTAAAAATGCAATCATCCACTATGCTGGTAAATAAGATACAATTACGCACAAACTGTGCCTAGGCCATTTAGGGGGTTATATAAATGACTGAATTGTTATTTTTAAACTAAAGTGAAAACAACATATTCTCATTTACGAGAGAAGGGAAGTAAAATAATTCACTTAGTGTTCGAGTTAGATTGCATATCACTAATGTGTAAAATGGGATTTAAGTAGTTATTCTACATAGATTTAATGTTATGTTAGGATTAACCGCAACTGGCAACAAGCACTTCATGCAAAAAATGACCTTCAGATTTTCATAAAAACCTCATTTCTGCAACTTATTACTGTGTATGACTTTGGACAAGTCACTTAACCTCAGTTACCTGAGCCTCAGTTTCCTTATCTTTTGAATAGGGTTAATAATACCACCTTTTAGGATTCACACACATTCAAAAACTTGGCATTTGTTAGCTATAGCTATTAGACATTATCTTGATGTTCACTTGCCTCCAGGATGAACATATTTAGGCTTTTTCCTAACCAGAGAATAAACCCAGAACCAAAATATATAGGTCCTACTAAGTACCCTAATAAAAGGGGAACATCTATCCAAATTATATTCCCCATCCCTTCCATTTATGTCCCCATTCCCCCATTTGATGCCTAATTCCACTTTTGGGATTTATTACCTGGTGCTAAGCATTGACTTCTTCCTGAAGAGGCCCCTACAAATGCAAAAGCTCAAGGAAACAATAATTAAAGCTATTATCACTTTGTAAGAATGCATTTGTGTGGTTTTCTCCAAGACAAAATTACCCCACATACTAACACTTGGTACCTGGGAAAGGATAAAATAGCTGTTAAAAAGGAGCAATCCTAGTCAACAGGGTACATGACAAATAAATTTAAAAAAAAAGTAAAGGGGCAAAAGGGCCTTTTGCAAAACAGGATATATTTTGCAATTTTGCTTAAGTTAAGTTTTGTCAGTTAATCATTCATTAGGTACTAAGAACCTTTGGACAGAAACTCAAGAAATTGGCATTAGTAGTTGCCTCTAAGGAGGAGAACTGGTTAGGCAGGTGCAAGAGTGGGCGTAGAAGGGCAACACCCACTTTCACTGCATATCCTTTTGTACCTTTTGATTTTGGCACTGTAGGCATTAATTATCTACACAAAAGTTTTAATTTAAAAAATTCAATCCTCACACCCTGTTATTTCTCCTACATCATCTTTTAGATTATTTGTTTACATTATTTGACATTTAAACATTGACTTTTGGCCAGGCACAGTGGCTCGTGCCTGTAATCCCAGCCCTTTGGGAGGCTGAAGCAGGAGGATTGTTGAGCCCAGAAGTTCAAGGCTGCAGTGAGCTATGATCATGCCACTGCACTTCAGCCTAGGTGACAGAGTGAGACCCTGTCTCTAAAAACAAACAAACAGAGAAGTTGCATTTTTTCCCTAAAAAGTAAGTTGGAGTCATGTAAAATTTGATAGGCCTCTAACGGCTTATTTTTCTTTAAAGTATTAAACATAAAAAATACTCAAAATCTAAAGATACAACATTATTAGACAATTAACATTATTTACTGACTTTCTGTAAATACAGTTTCCTTCACTAAAACTTAGGCTTCCTGCACACAGGGCCTGTGTTTTATTAATCTTTGAGGCCCCATTCAGGCAAACACTGGGCTTTCACAGGAATACTTTCTTGAATTCCAAGGAAGAAAAGTCATTAAATGAAACACGATGTTTTGATTAAGAAGGAATTTCTCAAGATTTTTATAAAAACAAACAAAACAACAATAACAATAGAAAGAGGCAGGGACAGGGAAAGGGAGAAGAAGAAACAGCTATAAACCACCTACGTTCATAATAGAACTTTTGGGACCTTACTGATTGGGAATGCTTGTGAAACACCAAATATGTCATAAGGAGGGAGAATTAAGGTTAATCTAAAATAATGAGAACACTTGTTCAACAAAATATTTGCTACATGCCTATTGTATACAAGGCCTTGGTGACAAAATGTTGACCAATACAGACATGATCCTAGCCCTGACAGGTTACATAATAGTGGGAGATACAGAACGGTAAACAGGCAATTATCACGTGGTATGATATATATAAAAGGAAGTTTATAGCGTTTTAGGAGCTCATAAAAGGAGAACCAATTCCATGCTTGGAAAAGTGATGTCTAAGTGGGACTAGAGCTTTGGAGTTCTCTAAACCCGAGTTCAAATCCTGGTTTTACAGGTTACACTCTATAACCCTGGCCAATTTATTTAATCTCTCCAGGCCTCAGTTTCACCAACTTTAAAATAGGAATTATGATAGTATTGAGTTCAAAGAGTTGATGTGAGTATTAATGAAATGCACATCATAAATCTGGTATGGTGTATGGCAAGTGGCAAGTACCCAATAAATATTAGCTAATAATAGTGATAACAGTAAGCTGAGAACTTAAGACAGATAAAAGGGAAGAGAGGAAAGAGGAAGAGTACCCGGACAAAATAAAAGCAATAGTCTGGTGAGCTTCAGTGAAAGAACCTCGCTCGATCCATGGATCAGGGGATGCTTGGGGTGGGATCAGAGGTGAAGCTGAAGCTGGAAAGGCAAGCACAGCCCAGCTCAATGGGTTTATCTAAGCTCAGTGGGGGCCCCTTGAGAATTTTAGTCAGAGAAGGGACAGGATCAGATCTGAGTTTTTAAAAGACCAGCTTGGCTACAGTGTGGGAATGGAATGGAAAATTGACAAGACTAGAGGCAGAGATCAGTGACAATAATTTTAAAATAATTCCTTGGCTACTGTGGATTTTCACAGTTGGGAATGCAGACATCACATGAAAAAAATATACAGCAATCCATAGAGGGTCTTGAAGTAACTATCTTCTTGTATTAGCATTTCATTCATCATTCATTCATTCATCCACTCACTCAACAAGCATTAACACCTACCAAGGCGGTGAGCTGGTGCCGTGAGAGATTTCTACAAGCATTGCCCTACATGACTCTGCCCTCCAGAAGCATCCCATCCAACACTGACTGCCCATATTCCTCTCCCTGCCTGGGAGGCCTGTTACCCTGGTGACCCAGATCATGTGCAATGCAAAGGCAGGCACCAGCAGGAGACCCAAACCCAGAGGCAGTATCACATAGTAGAGAGATGTCACTAACTACATCAGTGTATAGCTGACTTCTTATTAACGGAGTAAATCTTCCCTGATCCATAGTTAAGTGAATAATAATAGTCAACATTCATCAAATGTCCTGTCCTGTGAATTTCAGGTAGATTAATACATCTATTACAACAACTTTGTGAAACAGGTATTATTATGTCCACTGTATAGATGCGAAAACTGAGGCAAGAGACACTCCCTAAAGGTCACAGAATTAGAAAGTGGTAGAGCTGAGATTCAGTCTAATGTTTTTATCCACTACACCATGTGACTTCTGGCAGTGGGCCACCAGGCTGATATCAGAATTAAACCAATTTAAAATGTATGCTTCAAAATCTAGGCAGGGGAAAAAGATCACTGCTCACTTAGGTATCAGGGAGGCCAAAGCTTGGAAGCTTTTATTATAGGAATAAAATGAAATGGGTGAATAAATATGGTGACAGTCTCTTGAGAAGAAATTGGACTACTCTCATCAAAAGAGTGCCATTTTGAAAGGGTTTTGAAATCGATTTTGCTCTTTTAAGTTCAAACCATAGCTCTGCCATTTGGCCTAGAACGCATTAGAAAGTATTCAAATGGGATTACATTCCTTATCAGTTTAAAAGAGTGGGACATCTCACAGACTCAAAGATGGAGAGGTGTGGCAAAGACATCAAAGGGCTAGCAGAGATCTGTTACTCTTTTGGTTTTCTGTTAATGGAGGGTGAAATAAAAGCTGATTATCTCGATGAGAAATTAGTAGAATATGCTTATTTTCTCAGACCATGTGGCATTCCATCAACCAAGTAGTGGAGCAGGTGAGGAATAAGCATATTTTATCATAAGCTCTATGAGGCATTTCCAATGTGAAGTGAATACAGACAAAATAGAAAAAAAATTCTTAAATCTCCAGAAATGAAAGAAACCACTAGCTTCTTGCAATGCCACTGGATGCCAATAGCAACGGAGTCTTGAGCCTGGGCTCTTAACTGGCAATGAGAAGAATCCCAGGCCAGATGGCATTTTAAAATCCAATCTCACTCTATTTGTCTCTCCCCACTAACCTACATTGCACTTAAAGCAATCAGCCATTTCACAAGCTGCAGTATTTCAAAGTAGTTACAACCCTTGAGAACAGAAAAACTCTCTTAATTGCTGTGAGTTTAAAAATATAGAGAATAAAAATTATGGAATTTGTGAAACAACCATCTCTAATTAAACACGCTCGCTAGCACACACACCCAACACCGCACAGAGTACAGCTTTTCAAACCTAGCCCATTCATGCACACATTTAGCACAGCTCACCAACAAAACACTTTTCCTTCCATTCATTCACTTACTAGTCCCGTTCTTTGGGACTCACTCGCCACCACTGAAAACTAACTTGAGAAGCCCCAGGTCTGTGGGCACCGACACCCCGTTAATTCATCCAGCTTGTCCTGCTCCGAGCGCCAGGCAGGACTTGGGGGCTTCGGTGTCACGACTGGCGCTGCCCCCTGGAGGGACGCCCAGCCTCCACCCGCCCTACCGGAGCGGCACCCCTCGCGGCCCTCGCTCCCTGGGAAACACTCAGAGTTGCACTGTCGTCGCTGCCGTTTAATTTTCACAAATAAAAATGCCCGTGAGACGGAATCCCCCGCCCACCCACCTGCCCGAGACCGTACAACCACATTGAATCGGATCCTCCAGAAGGCTGCCGGCAGCCGGGAGGTGTGAACAATGAACTTCTCTCTGACTCTCTGACACACACACACACACACACACTCGCCCCCCGACGGGAAGTTGTGAACTACTAGCCCGAGGGCCAATGGCGCGACTCCCCAGGCAACACGGCGGCCGGCGGCGGGGGAGGGCCTGGCGCGCGCCCCGGCCGCGCCCCTCGAGTCGGCAGTTACCTCCTTCCTCCGGCTCGGCGCCCCGGGTCGGGTGATGAGGGCCGTCTCCTCGCACACCACGGCCACGTCCTCCACGAAGACGCAGTCCGGAAGGCTCTCGTCGGCCGGCAGCTCCACCACCTGCAGCCCCAGCTTGCTGCCCAGCACGCCCACGTAGAGCTGGTGCTGCCGTTCCGCGCGGGCGACGTCCACCTCCTCGCCCTTGGCGCTTCTCAGCGCGTGCTGGCCGAGCGACTCGGGTAGCGCCCGCACCACGGCGTGGGTGGCCCGGCCGAAGGCGGCGGGGTGGCCGAGCCCGGCCATGGCTTCGGGAGGCTTAGGGGCGGCGGCGGCGGCGGAGGCGGCCGGGTCCTGCCGCGGGCAGCGCGCGCTGAGCCTGCGAGCGCCCGTCGGCTCCTCTTGGCAGCCGCTGAATGTGGTGCAGAAGGAGCCCAGCTCGCGCCCGGAGCCCTGCCCGCGCGACTGAGCATGCCCAGAGCTCCGGGCGCCGGCCCGCGCGCATCCCGCGCGCCCACTCCGGCGCTCGCGGGTCTCGCGCCAGCCCAGGCGGGAGTTGTAGCGGCGAGCGCCGGGCGAGGAGTGGGGCCAGGAGAGGCGGCCGGGGAAGCAGCGAGGGCAAGAAGTATGCGGAGGCGGGGGACCTCGGCGAAAAGCCACCGCTACCCGGACCTGGCGGTACCTGTGTTCTGTCGCAGGTGCACACCTCCCATCGTCCCCAGCGCGGACTTGGAGAGCCGGCCTCGGTCTGGACAGAGCAGCTGGAGGGCTTCCTGGTCTTTACCTGAACAGTTTAAACCTTGCGTGCTTACAAAGTCTAGCCCACTTTTGAAGAGCTATAATGGTTTACAGATTCTTCATGTTGAGCTTAAATCCCACGGGTCCCAGTTCTGTTTTCTGGCCTTACCTAAAGTACAAGTTTTTCTTGTTTTGTGTGTGTTCGCGTGTGTGTGTGTTTTCACAAAACAGCATTTGCATATCTGAAAACAGTTCTAATTATCTATGCTGCCTAACACCATCCTCTACCCCCCACCCTAAACCCCCTCCAGTCCTGGAGCCCAAACCACTGAAAAGTAACTAGTGATTTGGTTTCCAAGTCCCTTCAACATTCTGGTCAGCTTCCTTTTGATACACACCAATTTGCTTGTATCCTTTTAAAATCATAGTATCCGGAAAATAAACAATTCTTCCTGTGTGGTCTGACCAGCACAGACTACAGCAGCACCCTTGTTCCAGATGCTGGGCCTCTATGAACACTGCCTAAGCCTGTATTCACTTTTTTGGTGGTCTAGGGCCAAGGCCCAGGCTACAGCCTTCTTGCCAGAACTCTGATCCCAGCTTTTAGGAAACTCTGGATTTCTAGGAGCAGGTCTCTCTGAGCATCCTAGAATGGTTGCCCCAACTGAGCCCAGAGATGTGATCTGCCTTCTCTCCCCTCCCACAAGGGTGGTGTGAATTTATAAATGAGCTTCAAAATTCTCAGCTTCACATTTGAGGAGTTTTTTTTGTTTTTTGTTGTTGTTTTGTTTTGACGGAGTTTCACTCTTGTTGCCCAGGCTGGAGTGCAGTGGCACGATCTCGGCTTACTTCAACTGCTGCCTCCCCAGTTCAAGCAATTCTCCTGCCTCAGCCTCCTGAGTAGCTGGGACTACAGGTGCACGCCACCACTCGCGGCTAATTTGTATTTTTAGCAGAGACAGGGTTTCACCATGTTGGCTAGGCTGGTCTCGAACTCCTGACCTCAGGTGATCCACCCGCCTCCACCTCCCAAAGTGCTGGGATTACAGGCATGAGCTACCACGCCCTGCCCAAATTTGAGGAGTCTCAAGGACAGCTCTGACACTGACATTGGGAAGTGGGACCAAAAGTAAAATAACAAACCTTTAAGACCGACTAGGTAGTACTTCTAAAGCAAAATTCTTAGGGGATCCAGGCAGCCCCATTAGCCCCAGTTTAGCGTCAGAAATCACTTAATGGTGTCCTCAGATGGAGGATTTCCATCAAAGTTACAGGTGAAAGTTGATCTTTTACCTTAAGCTTGCCCTGGTTAAATATAAAATTTATTTATTTTTAAATTAGTTCATTATTTATTCTTTTTTTTTTTTTTTTTTTTTTGAGATGGAGTTTCGCTCTTGTTTCCCAGGCTGGAGTGCAATGGCGCGATCTCAGCTCACTGCAACCTCTGCAACCGGGGTTCAAGTGATTCTCCTGCCTCGGCCTCCCGAGTAGCTGGGATTATAGGCATGTGCCACCACGCCTGGCTAATTTTGTATTTTTAGTAGAGACGGAGTTTCTCCATGTTGGTCAGGCTAGTCTCAAACTCCTCAACTGAGGTGATCCGCCTGCCTCGGCCTCCCAACGTGCTGGGATTACAGGCGTGAGCCACTGCACCCAGCCTATTTATTCTTATTATATATTGTTTATTTGTTTAGCTCCCGGGTTAAATAAAGTATAGGACTTCATTCTGCTCTTTACTGCAGACTTTACCAGACATTGAGGCTCCATCTGTCTCTAGCTGGCCACCATCTAGCAATCTTCATTCATGCCTGTGCCTTGTTGGAGCCTGAATATTTCACCTACCACTCAGTGCCCTGAGTCTAACTATGAACAGGGTTCTGTGTACCACTCTGGGCTCATGTCAGTCTAGCAGCCAATTAAAACCTGATGTTAGCCATGTCTTTCCATACTGAAATTGGGTACCTGTTCTTTTAAAATCTAATTTTGTAGTTATCCCTGTTAAATGTTATTTACTTATTTCTAATTTGTCTAGTTTTGATTCTGTTATCTCGTGCATTACTTATTACTTCTAATTCGTGCCATCTGAAATTTGATAAGCATGCCTTCTATTTTCTCTAAGCAGTGGTCAAAAAGTGTTAGAATGTATATATTAGTAAAAAAGAATAATAAAAATACCAAATCCATTAGATTATAGTTTACATGCTTTCACACTTCAGCAATGAAGGACTGTTTTTAGGAAAACGGACTTTATTGAGCTTAATACATTGATATGTTCATTTTTCCCATGAATATTTATTGAAAATTCCCAAGGCACATCACCATGTTATGCACTTCAGAGTCACAAAAGAAGGAAGCACAAAGACATGATCCTTACCTTGAAGAGCTCACAATCTCACTAGGAGAACAAGACATCCAGAATTGGAGCTGGGGTAAGTGCACATGAGAGGTATAGATAACAAAGTGCTACAGGAAGGTAAGGGAAAGAGAGATCTATCTCTATGGTGGGTGGGAGTGGAAGAAAGCTGCTTGAAGATGATTGGACTTGGTTTAGGCCTTAAATAATTTTTGGATGTGAGTAACTGAAGGAGAGAATGAGAATTCTAAGGGAAAGGCATTTTCAAAGGACAGTAGGTAGATCTATTTACATATCTATAGCTGCTGTAACAAAACAACTCCAACACATATAATGGCACAAAATTGACAGAAGCTTATCTCTTGTTCACTCAAAGTCTAGCACAGATGTTCCTGATTGATTCTCAACTCTTTTTTCCAAGCAATATTCAGGGATCCAGCCTTCTTCTATTTTGTGGCTCCAACTCTTCTACATGTGGCATCCAAGTTTTCCATGCTCACTGTATTAGTCAGTTCTCATGCTGTTAATAAAGACACACCCAAGCCTGGGTAATTTATAAAGGAAAGAGGTTTAATGGACTTACGATTCCACATAGCTGGGGAGGCCTCATAATTATGGCAGAAGACGAAAGAAGAGCAAAGGGATGTCTTACATGGCGGCAGGCAAGACAGCTTGTGTAGGGGAACTCTCCTTTTTTTTTTTTTTTTGAGACGGAGTCTCGCTCTGTTGCCCAGGCTGGAGTGCAGTGGCGCAATCTCGGCTCACTGCAAGCTCTGCCTCCCGCGTTCACACCATTCTCCTGCCTCAGCCTCCTGAGTAGCTGGGACTACAGGCACCCGCCACCACACCCAGCTAATTTTTGTATTTTTAGTAGAGACAGGGTTTCACTGTGTTAGCCAGGAAGGTCTCGATCTCCTGACCTTGTGATCCACCCGCCTCGGCCTCCCAAAGTGCTGGGATTACAGGCGTGAGCAACCGCGCCTAGCCGGGAACTCTCCTTTATTAAACCATCAGATCTCATGAGACTTATTCACTACCACGAGAACAGTACAGGAAAGACTCGTTACCATGATTCAATTACCTCCCACCTGGTCCCTCCTACAATACATGGGAATTATCGGAGCTACAGTTCAAGATGAGATTTGGGTGGGGACACAGTCAAACCATATCACTCACCTTCCTCAAACTGAAAGAACAAGAAAGAACATACAGCCACCACATGTGAAAGGCTTAATGGGTCAGGCCCAGAAGGGATGCATATCACCTCTGCTCCCATTCTTCTGGCTAAAATTCTGCCACCCAGCTACAATAACCACGAGCAAGGGCTGGAAAATACATTCTGCTGTGGGCCCAGAAAGAAAAGAAAACATGAGGTTGGGGAAACAGCTAGCTGGTGTCTGCCTCCAGAGAACAGTGGGGAAAATGGAAAACAAAGGTGGAAAAGTGGGCTAAGCCTTCATCACATCAGCTGTGGGGAGGCATATGGTGTGGAAATTAAGAGCATAGCTTCTAGAGCCAGACTGTGTAATGAAAGCTTGGCTCCACTATTTCCTTGTTTTATGATTTTAGACATGTTACTTAAAAACTCTTTGCCTCAGTTTCATCATCATCTATAAATGCGGAGCAATGAACACGTTATCATAGAGTTATTATAAATGTTAATATTGCAAAGTGCTTAAAAAGTGCATAGAAAGTAACTAGAGCCTAATAGATGCTCAGTAAATATTATCCATTGAGAGGTTTTGAACAGAAGGCTTTGCACATGATTTCCTACCGAATGCCAAAACACACGTACACATTCACTGAATTACCAGAGTCATATAGCTGCTTGAAGGTATGCTTTCCAGGAGAATTTGTGGCCTTCCTAGGTTGACAGACCAAATCTCACCCACAAGTGTAATCATAGATTCAATAAATATTTATTGAACCCTTGCCATATGCCAGGTATTGTGCTAGGAAATGGGGATGTAATTATGAATGGTAATTATGAATGATAATTATGGCTTATGGTCAAATTGTTCCTTTTCCTCTTCTGGACATTTCAAGACCTTTATAAGCAATTTCCTTTAAATTCCCTCTGTTTGACATACCTAAAGCTATTTCTGTTCTGGTTGGATGTTGATTAACACAGGGGCAAGTTTTCTTTTCCATTGATAATATTGCTGGTATCTTGCCTTATTTGAAGTCAATTTTAGATAGCAAGTATCTGAAGATTAAAACAGGCATTCCTGTCTTACTCTTTTCTTACTCCATTTTAGCAGATACAAGATTTACTTTCATAGGAGACAGGTGTTTTGAGATGGGGGTGTGTATTAGTCTGTTTTCACACTGCTGATAAAGACATACCCGAGACTGGGTAATTTATAAAGAAAAAGAGATTTTATGGACTCACAGTTCCATGTGACTGGGGAGGCCTTACAATCATGGTGGAAGGCAAAAATGCACGTCTTACATGGCCACAAGGCAAGAGAGAAAATGAGAATCAAGTGAAAGGGGTTTCCCCTTATAAAACCCTCAGACCTTGTAAGACTTATTCAGTACCACAAGAACAATATGAGGGAAACTACCCCACATGATTCAATTATCTCCCACTGGGTCCCTCCCACAACATGTGGGAATTATGGGAGCTACAATTCAAGATGAGATTTGGGTGGGGACAGAACCAAACCATATCAGGGTGGGAATTCTCAAAGAGAAGGAGGGCTCAAGGATGTCCTTGTCCAACCTAAGTGCTAGAAATATCGGATAAAGTAAGTACCATAAATCTGCAATTTGACAGTAAGTCCTGAGTGTTTTAACATAATTATTACATAAATGTTTACCGTGAAAGAAACCCATTGCTGCAGATTGCCTGTTATATCCAAAGAGTGAGTGGTGTTTGGTTGAATGGGCAGGCAGTGAGTTACAGACCCAGAGATGGTTCCACGGTAACCAGGACTCTGGTTCCTAAAGTCAAGACACATAGCCTCCTAATCTCAGTTTCTCCAACTTTCATCTGGGGTTTCGTTCATTGAAGAAACATTTACTAAGCATCTACAGTATGTATGGTAGAGGAATACATAAAAGCAGTGGATAAGGCATGGGTTTTAGATTCAGACAAGCCTGAATTTGATTCCTGGCCCTCCTACATTCTGGCTGTATCACCTTAGTGTACCCAAGACCCGTGTTTCACCATTTTCTGTCTTGCTTGAAGCTGTGGAGGACTGATCTTCATGGACTTCATCACCTGCGATCCCATTTTTGTTGGTTTTGGTGAATGGGATATACTTACAGGAGACTGGAGGACAAGAGGGGACAGAGATTGGGGTATTTATTTCTCTGGCTCCCTTCCTGCTTTTTCATGGTTGTAGCAACAGCTCCATCCTTCTACAATCATAGCTTCTGCTGGCGGCCCCTATTCTATGGTTCCAGCTCTCAGCTGGGTTCTGATAATGCTGTTGCCTTCCATTATTCCATCTAGGGGTAGTATTGGCTTCTCGTTTTTGCTAGTCCCTGGGTTCCTCGTTGGTTCTCTTTACCTGCTCACACCTCTAAAAACATTCCTTTTATTAAACATGCTCTTCAGAATTCTTTAAGTATGCCATTTGTTTTTTACCAGGGCCCTCACTTATAACTCATTGTTACATACATATATGTGTATATGTGTGCACACACATTGCCTTGAATTGATGTGTAAAGTGGGAGTTATAATACCTTGTTTTCAGAGTTTTGAGGCTGAAATGTGACAGCATATACAAAGGATCTGAGCATTGCTTCTAGGACACAGTAAATACTCAATTGTGATAGCCACTAATATTAACAGTTATTGTGCTCTTGTGCCAGGCATTGTATTCATTATGGAGTATCCATCTGCCTCTGTATAAAGTGCCTATTTTCACTACTTAAAATACCCAAGTCCTTCAAATGAGATAACATAAAGTGCCCACGACAGTGATAGGGACACTGCAAACACTCAGTGCTTTCTGCACTTCAAAGCTCAACCTTCTCTGGTCCCCACCTCCTCCTGTGCAAGCAACACATCCCTTTTCTGAATTTCTGTAGCTCTTTCTGTGTTCCTCTGTTGGGGCTCAGAAAACAATGCCCCAAAATGAAGGCCTCAGAAGCAGCCTCAGAGGTGTAGGTTTGTTCTCTGACCTTCTCCTGCCCTCCTGTCCCTCAGTCCCATGCCCCACTGAGGCTAGCCTCAGAAACTAGAATCCCTCTTCCCCAGGGCGGGTCATAGAAACCAAAATGCCTTTTTCTCCAAAGCCAGACATAAAACCTAAAAATATTACTCCAACTTTCCTTCTGCCCTATTTCTGTGAAAACAGGCCATAAAGAAATTATCTGACATACCTTGTTTGTAGATCATAAGACCCCCATTCCAGAGAAGGTCATGTCCCATCCCCAGAAGGAAGGAATGCTGCTCAGAGAGGCGAAGGAGAATCTAGGCAGACAGACCTGGCTGGGCTTCCTTGCTCAGTTTATTAGCATTAGATCATACCTTTTTGGTGCAATCATATTTCTACATGGCTGTCCATACTTTGTTAAACCTAAGCATAAAATAGATCAATTTCTCCTGTGTCTTTGGGTCTTCATTCTGAAGGCTCCCATGTGTACATGCTAAATAAATTTATATGCCTTTTCTCTTATTAATCTTCCTTTTGAGAGTTGATTTTTCAGTGAAACTTCAAAGGGCCCTTGGTCCCCACACCGCTCTTATGCTGCTTATTACTTTCTCCTAGCACAGTGTAATAACCCACGGATGCCAGAGTCATCTGCCTCATTGCAACCACATTAGGGGCTAATGAGATAACCAAAATATCCTGTAAAGTTCAAAGTACTATATAAATATGTTGAGTTTTAACAAGTTTGTGATGTATTATGGTAATAAGCAGAGGTGAGTGTTGCTCCAAACTTTTTTTTAGATTCAGCGGGTACATGTGCGGGTTTGTGACATGGATATGTTGCATAATGCTGAGATTTGGGCTTCTGTTGAACCCATCATCCAAGTAGTGAACATAGTACCCAATAGCAAGTTTTTCAGCCCTTCCCACCTCCCCTCCTGTCTCTTTTTGGAGTCCGCAGTTTCTGTTGTTTTCGTCTTTATGTCCAGGTGTATTCATTGTTTAGCTCCCACTTTTAAGTGAGAACAGTATTGCAGTATTTGATTTTCTGTTTCTGCTTTAATTCACTTAGGATAATGACCTCCAGCTGCATCCATGTTGTTGCAAAGGAAATGATTGCATTATTTTTATGGCTGTGTAATATTCCATAGTGTATATGTACCACATTTTCTTTATCCAATACATCACTGATGGACACCTAGGTTGATTACATTACTTTGCTCTTGTGAGTAGTGCTATGATAAATATATGAGTGACAGTGTCTGTTTGGTAGAACTATTTCTTTTCCTTTGGGTAGAAGGGGATTGGGATTGCTGGGTCAAATGGTAGTTCCCCAAACTTTTATATTAGCTATTTTTTCAGTTTTTCAGAGCTTTTTGCAACATTATTTTTCCAGAAGTATGTTTATGACCATTTGATATTCAATATATATTTATGGGGAAGAAATAGTTTGAGGGGAAAGATCTTTCAAATTCTAGGAAATCTAAATGTAGAAGAAAAGAAAAACATTACTCTACATTTAAAATTGTTATATATGTATATGTATGTGTACACACACACACACGCACGCGCACAGGGCTCTGATAACCCCCTTCATTTCCTTGTGAAATGAAGTTGCTTCATTTTCTTACGAAGCACAGAGAAATGCCAGTTTCGCAATGCCAGGGAATCACTGTATTTGCTTTTGTGGTATTAACGCACAATGGTTTTAACATAGCATTGGTATACACATGTCCAAAGAATCCTTTGCTTCAGTGATGCTTCTCTCTCATGACTTCTTTTCTTCTGCCAGTCTGTCTCTCTCCCTCTGCTTCTACTCCATTGCTTTTCCTCATTCTTTCCTTTAAATGTTGGTATTTCCCAGAGTTCTCTAGCCTCCATCTCTTTTCTTCCAACTTTACATGCTTCCTGCTTTGGATGAGCGAATCTAGGCCCATGACTTCAAATACACCCCAGTGCCAACATGGCTCAAACTTTCATTTCTGGTCTTTTCCTGCCCAGCTTCAGAACTACCTAAAAGACATCCGTATTTGGCTGCTCCAAAGGCACTCCAAAGTTGACATCCCAAAGCACAGCTCATCATATCCTGCCCAGGATTGCTCCTTCCAATCCCTATTCCATTCATACTGGTAGTTGCTTAAGCCAGTAATCTGAGTGTTATCCTTTGGCTCACGTTCTCCTTTACCTCCACATTTAATCAATCACCATGTTTTGACCAATCAATCCCCTTAAAATGATTCAAATCCACCCATGTCTCTTCATCCACTCTGCTACCACTTAGTCCAGAAAATAATTATTGGTTTCCTAGATTACTGCAACAGCCATCTTATCCAAGGCAGTCTTTCTGAACTGCAAATCTAACTGCCATTGTCTTGTCTAAATCCTCCAGTAGCTTCCCAGTATCCTCAGAATGAAGTCCACATGTTTTACCATGGCCCACCCAACACCCCACCCCCATGATGTGGCCTCTGCCTACTTGCCATCCTCATTCTGATCTCATCCCTATTCTCTCTTACTTGGGCTTCTGTGCATGGTTTCCCATTTCCTGGAATGTGTGTGGCCCCATCCCTGCTTGGGTAATTCCTAATCCTCTTTAGACTCGTTGAAGTCATCACTCTATTCAAGAAGACTTCCCTGGGTCCCCAGGTGGGATGAGATGCATCTGTATCCCTGTTTTGACTCCTATGACAAAGCACTGTTTTACTTGCTAATCCAAGGAGCTCTTGGCAAACAGGCACATCTTGTTATTACTGGATCCTCAATTCCGGTGTGTAGAGAATGGCTGAATTAAAGCAATAGATGGCATTCCTTTCTCCCCACTCTCATCAGCCCACTTTCATAAGAATGGGTTTCAGTTCCTATAAAATAAGAAAATTATACTAGGCCCCTTCCAGCTTTAAGAATCTATGATTCTGTTGCTCCCAATGCTTATAAATTGCTATGGGAGAGTGGAGGGTTCATGGTCAGGGTTTGAACCCTGGCTTTGTCACAGCTGTGTGATCTTGTACAACTTGCTTGACCTTTCTGAGCATAAGACCCTCATTTGAAAAATGAGGGTAGTAATATCAATCTTACATAGTTATTATGAGGACTAAATTAAATTAACTTAGACAACATATGAAATATGTTCTTCGTCTCCCTTCTGCTGAGGGAGCCCTTTGTTCAAAGGAGCCCTTTGCTCAAATGCTGGCTCCACTACTTACTATCTGTACAATCCTGGTCAATTAACTTCACATACAGAGCTTCAGTATTTTTCCATTTGTAAAACAAAGATTACACATATATTATGACGTAATGAAGATTAATGAGATGATCCATGTAAAGCTTTGCAGCATGTAGATATAGCAAGTGCTCAACAAACGTTAGCCACTTCCATGATGATGGAGGAGGAGAAGGGGGAGGAGGAGGGAAAAAGAAGAAGATATGCAAAGCATAGCAATAGTTGACTTTCAACAAAGGTTACTCCCTTTCCTCTTTCCTATTCCATTATTGGTTGGGGGAAAGCTTCATTTACCCATTCTAGGGTCAAACCCCATTACAATAAAATTATTGCCCAACTTCCCCTGCTGAATGGGAACCTTCTTATATTAAATTTTGGTAAGAATTACCTACATTTTAAATAATTCAGGTTACTTAATTCAATATGTTTGACAATGTATAGGCATAACTCTTAGAAAAATAGATCATGTAAACACTGTCAGATTATTTCCCCACACTTTCTTTTTCTTGCCAGCACCATTATAAAATTATAGAGGGCTTCCATATATCGGGACCTGCATCATGCAAAAATGGTTGGGGTGGAGTGGGAGTAGAGGTTCCAAACTTCTAGTGGCTTTATGGAGAAAGCCTCACTGTCCCTATTACCTGAACTCTTACCTCTGAGGTGGTTGGGTTTTGTTTGTTTGTTCGTTTGTTTTTGGTTTTGGTTTTTTCGAGACATGGTCTCACTCTGTAACCCAGGCTGGAGTGCAATGGCACAATCTCGGCTCACTGCAACCTCTACCTCCCAGGTTCAAGTGATTCTCCCACCTTAGTCTCCTGAGTAGCTGGGACTAGAGGTGCACGCCACCACACCCGGGTAATTTTTGGTTTTGTTTTTGTGTTTTTATACAGACAGGTTTCGCCATATTGCCCAGGCTGGTCTCAAACTCGTGAACTCAAGTGATCTGTCTGCCTCAACCTCCCAAAGTGCTGGGATTACAGGCGTGAGCCACCATGTCCAGCCTCAAGATAGTTGTTACACGCTTCTTTATTTTGCCCTTCACCTACTTTCTCCTCTGAATTATCTTTCCTCAGCTCCTTCTTCTCATGCATTTACTTTTCTTACTCTTTGTTTCAGTTATTGTTGATGCACAAAAAACTACTCTGAAACCTAGTGGCTTTATAAAACAGTCATTTTGTTTGGACCATGATTTGTGGATTAGGAATTGGGGAAAAGCTTGTGTCTCTGATCCACATGGAGTCCACTGGGGCAGCTGAAGCTGGGAACCACTTTCCAGCTGACTTTCTCACGCACATCTCTAGTGCCTCAGTGTTGTTCAGCCTGACCCCCAGCTCACCCCCTCCACACAGGTCCCTTCTTCCAGAGCTTCTTCATGTGGCTCAGGATTCTCACAGAATAGTGGTCCCAGAATAGTCTCATTTCTTGGTGGTTGGCTTCCTACAGGTGAGAAGTGGAAGCTGCCGTGCTCTTTAGGGGCTATGCACATAGCTAGCATGGCATGATTTCTGCTATCCTGTACTGGTCAAAGCAGTCACAGGCCTGCCCATCAAAGGGAGGGGAACAGACACTTTCTCTTGATGGAAGCAGTGTGTATCATTAACCAGTCACACTCTTAGTATCAAGTTCTGTTATTCTTCCAAGATAGTATTTCAATAATATTTTCAGAAAAATTTCTTTCATTTTCTGAAGTTTTGCTAACTTTTTTCTGAATTAAAAACAGGGTCCATAATACACAACTAGCACTAGTCACTGACTAGTAGTAGGTGCTAATACTGTCTAGCAGAGAGACAGCTATGAATCAAACCATCACTAAATACTCACAAACTAAGTGCTGTAAAGGAAAAGGACTGGGTACCATGAGCATGTATAATAACGTAAATCCCATATGTCTGGGGGAATAAAGGAAGACTTCCCTGGAGAGGTGACTTCTGAGCTGAGAATTGAAAGATGAGTAGGTATTAATCAGGAGTGGAGAGAAATTACCAAACTGAGCCGAGCATATGAGCAAAGACACAAGGTGGGAGGGAATTTAGCATGTTGGAGGAAGGAAGAGAAAAATCTATGTGCTACAGCTGGAATGTCAGTGATATTGTTAACCTTGTTTTAAAGCTGAGGGTCAGCTCCTGGCTGAGAGCCCTGACACAGGTAAGGGCTCCATAAATACGTGCCTCCCCAATGACAGGGGGCCTGTCAATAATATGCATCCGCCCTCAGGCCTTTTCTACAGCCTTTACAACTAGAAGAGTGTCCCCTACAACCTCATGACATCTTACGTGAGAACCATGCAGATTCAGAGAAGTCACCATTGAAAACCACCCGAAGAAAACATTATCTACCGAAAATATAACACATCCTGGTGGTTATTATAGAGTGGAGTTAAAATGTAAATCAAGATTAACTCACACCAAGATTATCCTGCTCTTTAGAGATGATATATGACTCACACTACTGTCTCTGCTATACTATATATAGCAGAGATAGTATATGTATATGCATATACTATCTCTACTATATATAGAAATATATATAGTATATTATGATGTGAAATTTTGATGTGAAAGCTAGAAGAAAATGGTAATTTGTGTTCATACAGGTCACATATGTAGCTACGTACTAAATTTTTCAGGGAATTTATTTAAACATCTCAACCATCAAATTAGCATATGCATCAATAAAAAAATGCTGTACAAATTGTCTATAATTTATTGTACAGGAAATTTTATGCTTTTATTCCCTAGTATATGGGCTTCTATTCTCTATTCAGTTTTTGTTATTTTAATATATTAAACATAATTGCAAAAAATTAATGATCTATGCCATCTGCCAACTCAAAATCTCCTAATCTCAGTTTCTCCAACTTTCCTTCTAAAAAAAATTAGAAAAGCCTTTAAAGAAAGTATTTTTCAAAAATATAGGGAAAAAAGGGAAAGGAAATTGCCTTGGAAAGCAAATTTTTCTTCTGTGAGAATGCTGACAGATAAATCATTTTGGAGAGAAATGGGCAAGAATATTATATAGAAAAATCAGTTTCATTTTTATAGAAAACATGGGTTTCCACTAAAGACCATATCATAGGATACATCTTTAAAAAGAAAAGAGAAGTTTCCACTCTAACTTGCTTTTTGCCAAGAATGCTTTCTGACATCTTAATTAATTTTAGGAATTATCTGTATTAGTCTGCTCTCACGTTGCTAATGAAGATATACCTAAGACAGGGTAGTTTATACAGGAAAGAAGTTTAATAGACTCACAGTTCCACATGGCTGAGGAGGCCTCACAATCATGGCAGAAGGTGAAGGAGGAGCAAAGTTATATCTTACATGATGGCAGGCAAGAGAGCTTGTGCAGGGGAACTCCCATTTATGAAACCACCAGATCTCATGAGACTTATTCACTAACAGAATAGGAAAACCCACCCCCATGATTCAATAACTTCCCATTGGGTTCTTCTCACAACATGTGGGGATTATGGGAACTAAAATTCAAGATGATATTCGGGTGGGGACACAACCAAACCATATCATTATCCTTTCAGTTGTATCCTTCCTATTGTGACTTAATGTTTCTTGAATTTTATAATATTGTCTGCCTTATTGCAATAGTGTTCAGATCCTCATCAGAAGTGGTCATTGACGGGTAAGTTGGAGATCAGGGAATAGGTTTGGCATTGTCAGACAAGACTAATGAATATCAATTGATAAAGAATGGGTTGTTAATATTATGGGGGATAGTCTAAAGCATATTACATTACTGTATAATGCTGTATTCTATATAATTGTATATTACTTTACAATATTCTAGAAATATGGTGAAACTAATACATGCTTTAAAAGAAATTATATTTTTATTGCCTTTTGAAAGTTTACATTTAATTTTTATTTTACTTTATTTTGCGTTTTGCTTTTAAAAGATTATTGATTTGCTATAGCCCAAGAGGTAGTAGGTGAAAAGCTTAAAGTAGTTAATAATCTGAGATTATTTTTCCTCCCTTCTGTTTTTCTTTTTTTTTTTTTTTTTTTTTTTTTGAGACGGAGTCTTGCTCTGTCGCCCAGGCCGGACTGCGGACTGCAGTGGCGCGATCTCGGCTCACTGCAAGCTCCGCTTCCCGGGTTCACGCCATTCTCCTGCCTCAGCCTCCCGAGTAGCTGGGACTACAGGCGCCCGCCACCGCGCCCGGCTAATTTTTTGTATTTTTAGTAGAGACGGGGTTTCACCGTGTTAGCCAGGATGGTCTCGATCTCCTGACCTCATGATCCACCCGCCTCGGCCTCCCAAAGTGCTGGGATTACAGGCGTGAGCCACCGCGCCTGGCCCTGTTTTTCTTTTATAAAGACACCAGAAGGAAATTAAATGCTTAATTAAATTAAACAAATCAGGCACTAATATTACCACAATCGGGGTTTTCACCACTAATTGCTTATTGAGTATTACAACAGTGTTCACACAATCTGAAAGTAGAGTGGTTTTGGCCACATATCAAAATAGGCAGTGTTATAACAGTTCCAGATGTTATGGTAACAGGCACTCTGGAGGTGGGGTCAATGTGAGCATCATCAGAACACCAGACAATTAGATATTGCTAGTTCAGTTTGCTGGGCCTTGTCTTGATCCCTTTAGGGTGAAAATGGTGCTTCCAGCTTCCATCTGTTTGGCCCTGCTTGGGAAAGAGTCATGCTGGGCCAGGCTAATCACATGTTCTAGAAGAGGTCACAAAATTCTGATTTGGGAATTTTTGTAAACGACTATACCCATCTTACACATACTGAAATCTAAGAAGATAATATTTCCTTGTCACGTTTTTCTGAAGCAGACGTTCAATTAAATTCAAAGAGCACATGTCTGCTCTCATAGGAACAACTATGAGCAATTAAAAGAGAAACAGAACAAGTGACAAAACAGCTCCTTCTTCAGAAGAGTGGGAGAAGTAACCCACTGTGGATGGTTCAACACTTCTGTCAGTAGGTAAAACTGTGACAGAGTCAACATTCACCTTAGAAATTCTTCTATGTGCCCCTGCTCCACCCCACACACTGTTAGCAGTTCCCCATCCCTGGGTTGCCTCTCTGAGCACAGGCTTAAACTGCTCCCTTCCACACCAAAATATATGTGCTCTGGAGTTCATTTTGTCAGATTCCTCTTAAGCTTCTAATAAAACCTAATAAACCTATTCAGGATAGGATCTCAGATGAAAATAACTTTTCAATTCAATACTTTTATATTAAGTGACTAAGTGTGCTAGATACTGTGGCTAACGATCTGATTAAGAAATGGTTTCTCCATTCATCATTTTAAAAATCAGGAACAGGCAGGTGCGGTGGCTCACATCTATAATCCCAGCACTTTGGGAGGCTGAAGCTGGCGGATCACCTGAGGACAGGAGTTTGAGATCAGCCTGACCAACATGGTGAAACCCCATCTCTACTAAAAATACAAAAAGTAGCTGGGTGTGGTGGCAGGCACTTGTAATCCCAGCTACTCAGGGGACTAAGGGATGAGAATCACTTGAATTGGGGAGATGGAAGTTGAACGACCCAAGACTGTGCCACAGCACTCCAACCTGGGCGATAGAGCAAGACTCTGTCTCAAAAATAAATAAATAAATTAATTAATTAATAATTAAATTAAAATTTAAAATCAGAAACAATTGGAAAGCCCTATAATAAAAGAGTAGTTAAATAAATCAAGGTATATCCATACCTGTGGGATATGCTGTAGTCATTAAAAATAATGCTTTTGAAAATAATGTTTTAGTATGATCACAGTTTAATGACATATATAGGAGAAAATGCTTAATAAAATGTAACAGTAACTTTTGCTATCTTTAAGAAGTGGGATTATAGGTGATTTTTATTTTCTTTAAAATTTTATGTGTTTTCCAATTTTTCTTTAAGAAGCATATACTTCATAAAATAATAAAAATCATTTCTTTGGGTTTTTTGTTTTTTTTTTTTTTTTTGAGATGGAGTCTTGCTTTGTCGCCCAAGCTGGTGTGTAGTGGTGCAATCTCAGCTCACTGCAGCCTCTGCCTCCCAGGTTGAAGTGATTCTCCTGCCCCAGCCTCCCAAGTAGCTGAGATGACAGGTGTGTGCCACCACACCCAGCTACTTTTTGTATTTTTAGTACAGACAGGGTTTCACCATGTTGACCAGGCTGGTCTCGAACTCCTGGCCTCAGGTGATCCGCCTGCCTCAGCCTCCCACAGTGTTGGGACTACAGATGTGAGTCACCTACCCAGCCTAAAGACAATTTCTCTCTGTAAGAGTTATGTCTAGTCCAAATTAAAAGATTGAAAACAAATTATTAATACATTATAAGTGTTATAGTTACATACAAGATGTTATGAGAATAACTACCCATGTGAATGATATCACTTAATATTATACCACCACCAATGATTTCTCAAAAATCTTTTTTACACATTATAAACCAGCTAGTTTATTATTTTGTAGTAAGATATAGATCTTTTACCATGCAGACTGAAATACCTATGTCTTCATGAACAGTACTTTTCTTCCTAGAGGCAGTTACATGGAAAACCAGGTTATTATCAGGTTATTTAATGAGTGTGAAATCCCAACAAGAGGAGACTAACTTTAAGACCTATAACTCATCCATGAAGGCTGGGGGCACAGTTTCCCACCACGGGAACACCTTAGCCTCCAGAAAGCTTATTGACTCTTCTCTCCTCATCTTGGTCTGGCTGAGCACTGTCACTGGTCAGTCACTTCCTGCAGCCATACAGTCTGGCCAGCTTGGCCTAAGAGCTGTATCTCTGCTCACTGGTTTGTGTTGTCACTGCCACTGTTACTAACAGTTAAGGTTCTGAAGGGGGTACGTCAGTTGCTCCCATGTACCAACTAGGAGACACAATAATCCTGTTAGTTTGTCCTCCCAAACCCACTCAAGTTTATCAGGTAATATGCTTCGTAAGGTTCTTTCCAACCCTGTTAGCATGTGCATAGATTACCTATAAATTGACCTAATGTAACCTACTTCCTACTGAGGATTGAGGTTTTAAGGTTTTGTTTTCCCACTTTCTTGATCAGTGATTACCAACCATGTAGGAGTTAATGAAACCAATTCTGTATCACCACTGCAACCAAGACAGAGATACCAAGTGATATGTATTTTTCAAATCAATAGTATTTTATTCTCTATAATGTAAAAAACAAGTAGATGCAGTCCTCAACTTAGTACTCAATACTAGGAAGGGTCAATTTGTCAAAAAACGTCTTTCAACAGTAGAAAATGTTGCTTTCCAATTAAAAAACAAAACTGATATTGCAATCGTGTAATAATGATAAAATTACAGAAAAAAACATGTTCGGACTGAGCCACAGCATTCACACCACACCAGAATTTTGCCTGTAACGAAACAGTGAATTTTGTCTCAAAAAGTAGGTTAGGTTCATGCTGGCTAGAAACTTCCATCCCAGACCCAATAAATGAGGATGAAATACATAGTGCATGCTTAACAGACATTGCATATACATCAACCATTCTTTAATGCCCCTCACTAGGGTTTTGAGGGATGGAGGGATGAAATGTGGATGGACATGTGCACTCACAAAGGCAGAATTTTCTTCCAATTATAAAAATTCATACATGTGACCCTTTACTATGTCTTGGGCAATAGCTAAGATTTTATCTGTGGGAATCCACCTTTGAAAATCACAACAAAAATCAATAGGAAATGATTTAACTAATATAAAATATAAAAATTTCTTAGGATGAGGACTTTCACAGAAAAGGAAGAAGGGGACAACAATAAAAATGAATTTTTGGCCGGGCATGGTGGCTCACGCCTGTAATCCCAACACTTTGGGAGGCCGAGGTGGGCAGATCACCTGAGGTCAGGAGTTCGAGGCCAGCCTGGCCAACATGGTCAAACCCCATCTCTACTAAAAAACTGTGCGTGGTGGCACATGCCTATAGTCCCAGCTACTCGGAAGGCTTAGGCAGGAAAACCGCTTGAACCTGGGAGGGAGAGATTACAGTGAGCCAAGATCGTGCCACTGCATTCCAGCCTGGGCAATAGAGTGAGACTATCTCAAAAAAAAAAAAAAAAAAGAATTCTCTTAAAAAATAACATTCCCCTTATTTTGTCCCCTTATTTTGACCAACACTCAAAAATAAATCTGTACAAAACTAGGAACACAGAAAAGAACCAGAGAGGATGTTACGTTGTAAAGTCTTAGGACCTACCCTAAACTTCTGCCCTCATCAAGACCCTCATCTACAGATTTGCCTTTCGTGAACTTCAAAACCTGATTGGCTCGCTCTCCCCAGTAAAAAATCTTTAGTATTTTAAGGAAAGGTACAGTTAACAATTTCTTACCCAAAATATTTGATGCTAGATGTGACATTTTTTGGATTTTAGGAAGATAATGTGGTGAGTATATCTGTTTATGTAACACCCCCAGTGGGTCCTGGGCAGCAACCCATAATCAAATGTACTAATATTTCCATTAAGTGAGATGAATGGGGACTATAAAGCTTCACATCAATTTTGGCCACCAAATTTTGTTACTAAAACTTTTGCTTTTCAGAGCCCTTTGGATTTCTGAATTGCAGACCACGGATCGCGGACCTGTATGAGAAAAGTGGGGACTCAGTGCTACAGCCTGTGAAAGATGCATCTTCTGTTATCTAGTCTCAACTCATTCAGCCCAACACTCGCTCTGATTGTAGAAGTCATAAAGCTAATTTCAATTCAGAATAGAGCATATGATCATATTTGATCGCAGATACACACTCCAGGAGTGAAAGTTCTCTAATGCTATGTCTTAAAGACATGGTGCCTAAGGGGCTGGGGTTGTTTTAACCCCAGGAGGGAAATGTTATAAACCCAGTTTGCAAAGATTTAAAGAATATCAAGAAGTATGTGGGTCATCTAGGTAGAAGTAATATCAATAGAGCTGGCAAAAATGCACTTCTCAGTACATTTTAAAGGTTGCCTCTAGGCCCAAACATTTCTTAATCTCTCTTGGAAGAATACTGGCGGCAAGTGACCAAAAGGCTGTGGTTTCAGAACTTAACTGTAAAACTGCTGAGTTTATTGATACATAGCTGGTTCAGGATAAATTTTATCTATCTACCTATTTATTTATGTTTAATATATAATATATTTATATGTATTATATATTTTTTCAACTTTGTGGTATAATGAATTATGTGTAATGTCTGAGCTCATATCGCATACCACTGAGGGCAAGTAGCAATTTCCATAAAGTGACAGATAAGCGGTTTTAGGGGGAAAAATGCTGCCAAGGATGATTCATTTGAAATCAGCCTTGACAGTTTTCCTGCTGATGAGGCTGATGGAAGGACTAGAACAAAGGTTAAATTCTTTACTTCTAGGAAACTGTGCTCTGTGTTTAAGGCTTGGTCCTCTGAGCTCTGCTAGTCCATCAAGACTAGCATGTGGATACAAGATCTACAGTCAGACTAACCATGTAGAGCTTTTGATAGAAAAAGGAATTTCTCCACAGTTCTACAAACAGTGCAATTGATAATGCATGTCAATTTAATGATGTAAACTGTAAATGTAAATTCCACATTAATCCCTAAAAATAATGGTTTAACAATCATTATCACCATCTCGCTCAGTAACCCTATCACCAGAACCACCAAAATGTAGAAGTTGGCTGATTTGACCTCCTGTATGCCTTTTCAGCCTCTTTCTGGAAACATACAGGCTGAAACATAGCTCTAGAGCAAAAGCAGGTGAGCAATTTAAGGGACACATGTACTCTGAGTCATTGGAAGTTGGCTATTTTGAACATTTCATCAACTGCTTTCACATAATACTAAACCCTTCTTAGTAACTAATACAGGTTACTGTGTGCTATGGATAGCATACCTGAGCTTCAGTAACTTTATTTTTTGATGTTAAACTCACATTACATCAGCATGCTATAGATTCCCATCTTCATCACACTAAAATAATTATTGCCTGTTTAATATCACATAATGCTGTGCGGGTGCCACAGAAAATAAGGATACTCAGGTCCTGCCTTTTGGGACCTAACAATTTTCTACAGATAATGACAATGACAACACAGAGAGACACATAAGTCATATGATAAACAATTGCATGAACTAGGTAAAGCATCATATTAAGAACAAATAAAAGAGTTAGCTTAGGTAGTTTTTTTTTAAATGAGTAAAGAGGCAATTATAGAAGCAAACCACAGGAGAATCACTGGCTTTTAAATGAGCTTAATTAATTATTTAATTAAGACAGTGTTTCCTGGAGGAGGACAAATCCAGAAATTTTGCAGATTTGGTAACTGCAGAATAACTAAAATCCTAGCATGGGAAAAATATTCCAGGACTCCTATCATTTTTATCCCCAAACTTTACAAGAAATGGCATCAGAACTAAAGTCCTGCAAATTTTGTTGGATTTACGTTTTGCCTTCAGCCACATGTCAGTAAGATCAGATGTGCTATTTATATTGTGATTAGTGCCAGGATTTTGCTCAAATGTATACTGAACTCAGGCTTGTGACTATGCTCATTACTATAGAAAATGAGCACTAACACATTATATCAATGGACGCATTTAAACAGCATCCGTAGGACAATTAAAGTCAATGGACTCTGAAAGCAAACTATTATGAAGCCATGTTTATGCAAGCATGTCTAAATAGGTGGGGTTCAAGCATTTATTTTGTCTGTTTTGTTCAGAGTGAAGTGAATTAACAAAAGATGGGCTTATCTCTGAAGTCTGCCTCACTAGTGGCCTATTGATACAACTGAAGCCCACCAAAATCAACCCCTTTAGCTTGGGAAGTGAACTATTTTGGCTAGAAACTGTTAGATTTTTCTGGAAATTTCACACTTTAAAAGAAAATCTTTGAGAAAGACACATGAGAAAGACATCTAACTACAAAGTGGTTGAGTTTGCCCTGCTGTCACTCTTGCTCTCTTGCAAGCAAATGCGTATCTGAGGTTTGAGCTGAAAACTCACTTCTGTGGGGTGATTTTCATAGATATGGAACTTACTATCACAATGCCTAAGAAATGTGGTTTTCAGGAGATAAGGATGAAAATCCACTGGATTGCAAGCTGTCATCTATGCTTTAGAATATGAGAAGTAAAATGCTGTTAAACAGAGGAGATCTTCAAAGAGCTACCTTAGTATGGGAATGCTCACCAGAGTTTTCAAACCACAGACACACAAATCTGCAAAAGTGAAAGCCTTCCAAAAAATCAAAAGGCTCAGGGAGAATTGTTCTGACAGAATTCAGCTCTTACAAGTCAATCTGAGGCTGAATTATACTCTTAAAATGCAGAGTTAGAATCCTCCTGCAAGGCACTTTTCCTAAGCCTTGGGTAGGATTTTATTATAGGGTACTACAATGTTCTGTCTTTAAAACTTCAGCTAGACTACATATTTATTCAGTCATTCAGCCATCAAATGCTTACTGGATGCCAGCATTGGAGATGCAAAATGAATATGCTATGGCCCCTGAACTTCTCGAGTCTGATAGAAAGGACAAGCACATAGAGAATCTCAATGGTGTGCAATAAATACAGGGTGATATTAGAAAAGGAACACTCACTTTAATTTGGAAAAGCATCATCAAAAGGAAGAAATAGAAGGGTAGTCCAGGCAATGAAAATGGCATTTAAAAAGGCATGGAGGTAGAGAAAGGAAAGCACTTTGGGGTCATGGCAAAACAGCTCAAAATGAGCAGATGTGGGTAGAGAGATAGGCTGAAGCCTGATGACCAGAGTCTTTGAATATCATATTTTGAATTTTGGATTTTACCCTGAAACTAATAGAGAAGAATTCTTTGATAGATATTAAACAGAAATAAAATGATCAGAACTACAGAAGGACAATGTTCTGGGGCAGTATGATATAGTGTCCGTAAAACAATTGGATGTTTAATTCGCCAAAGTAGGTTGTGAGAAAAGTTACATTTGTGTTCTTGGAAGAGAAATTAACCCTCTTCAAATGGATGACTGGATCCTTTTCTCAGTAGTTGCTCTCCTTGTACTTAGGACTTCCAACCAAGGGAAGTTGAAGGAGAAGGTGTCACTCTCAGGCACCATCTGAGCATTATTGAGAGTACTTGAGAACTTGTGGCTATCACCTTTCAATTGAATACATGTCATGTGGGCACTTCCAGCTCTGCTGGCAGTAGCCAACGCAGATCCAAGAAAAGGGCAGTAACAATAAGAATTGCCTACACTGTCATGGGAGTTATTAAAGAGCTGACTGGGAAAGTTATTTAATACATCTGCTCCTATTCTTTCATCTTGTTCAAATTGTGCCTGCATCAAATGTAAACTTCTGCTTTAGTTATTCTGCTAGTCAGCCATCTTCTTTCAACATAATCAGTATTTTTCTTCTTTGAATATAATCTTATTTTTCCAAATGAAATGTTTTTGTTATTAAATGTTTTTGTTTTATTACTTTAAAAAAGTAAATTTTATTTATTTAATTCCTTGAACTGGTAGCACATTCACATAGTTCAAGCATCAAAAAGTATAAAAAGATATACAGCAATGTCTCCTTTCCTCCCTTATTCTCTATCTGCCTATCTCCAAAAAACAGGTAACCAATATTATCAGTTTCTCATTTACACTTCCCAAGATTTAAAAAACATATATGCAAGCCAGTACAAGTATATTTTCTCTTCTTTTTTTAACTCCCATTGCAGTACACATTGGCACTTTGCAGTACACATTGGCACTCTTTTCTCCCCTACTTAAAAATAAATCTTGGAGGCTAGATGCAGTGGTTTACACCTATGATCCCAGCACTTTGGGAAGCTGAGGCAAGCAGATCACTGGAGGTCAGGAGTTCGAGACCAGCCTGACCAACATGGTGAAACCCCGTCTCTACTAAAAATACAAAAAATTAGCCAGGTGTGGTGGTGCACACCTGTAATCCCAGCTACTCAGGAGGCTGAGGCAGGCAAATCACTTGAACCCAGAGGCAGAGGTTGCAGTGAGCTGAGATCGCACCACTGGACTCCAGCCTGGGTGACAGAACAAGACTCTGTCTCAAAATAATAATAATAATAAATATTGGAGATTGTATTAGTCAGCTCAGACTGCCATAACAAAATACTATAGATTGGGTGGCTTAAACAATGGAAATTAATTTTCTTACAGTTCTGGAGGCTGAAAGTCCAAGATCAGGGCACCAGCATGGTCAGATTCTGGTGAGGGCTCTCTTCCTGGTTTTCAGATGGCTTTCTTCTCACTATGTCCTAACATGCAGATAGAGAACCAGCAAGCTTTCTGGCATCTAATCTTATAAAGGCACTAATCACATCATGAGAGTCCCACCCTCATAACCTCATCTAACCCCAGTTACATCCCAAAGGCCTCATCTCCAAATATCATCATCATATTGAGGGTTAGGACTTAAACACATGAGTTTTGAGGGAGACATGAACATTCATTTCTTAATAGAGATCTTTCCATATAGACATATAAAGAGCTTCCCTATTCTTTTTTACAGTTGCACAGTATACTACTGTGGCATCAAATACCCTTAATGTCAAAACTGGGAAAACTGAAGCTGTCCTTAATCATTTTTTTGCTAATAGGATCTGCAGAAACAAAGTTAGAGAGCTAGAGTCCTAGAGACTGAAAGGTGATGTTTCTGATGAGGTTAGACATAAACTGGAATTATATTCTGATGACTGGTGAAAAAGTATTAAAAGTCAGGCAACATGTTCAGTGTATATTCATTAGCATGTCATTAGATCCTCAAAATTTCAGCATTCTGAATCAAATACGGTTGAATTTTCTAATATGAAGATGGTGACTGCATTTGAAAATGCAAATTAATAGACATACGCTATGAAATGTATTTTTGTCATGTCACTACTTATAAACAATAGTCAACTTGCACCCAGCTGTTACTTACCAGGCATGTTATACAGGCCATTCTAGCCATTCTAAACATGTTTAGTGGAAGTTCTGAGAAAATGTTAGCACAGAAGATTTAGTGGTCTTTGTGAATAAAGTTAAAATGGTTATTCAGACCAGAAAAGGGAAAGAACTAAGGAACAAAGAAGGGAAAAACAGTATGACCACAAAATACGTTTGGATAACCCTACTGAAAGCAAAAATAATAGGGTGTGTGCTATTCCAGCAGCCTGAACTATCACTACCTGAAGGAAGAGAAGGCAGAGACAGAGTAAATGTCTGTAAAATATGGCTGAAATTAGATTCAGGGATAAGGAGGGAAAAATCAATCATGGAATTAGGGTTTCAAGCCTAGGTGACTCAGTAAAAGAGTAACACTGTTGGCTGAGATAAGGTGGAAGATATTTGGAGTGGGGTAAGAGTTTATTTTACTATACATTTTCTTTGGGGGCTAGTGGGACATCTAGGTTAAAATTATCAGCAGGCAATTAACAGAGGTTGAAGAAAAGAATTTGTTGGTGGTTTCAAGGAGTATTTATGAGAATCAGAGAGAGAGGGAGAGAAGGAAGGACAGAATGATAGAGACCACCCACATTTAGAGATAGAAGGGAAAAGATGGACATTGAAGGAAAGAGGAATGGTTAAAGGGAGAGGAGGCAAATCAAGGTAATGAGGTTACAAAAACCAAGGAAGGAGGATGTAGTTAACTGTGTCAAATACTGGAAGATAAAGTTATGAACCCCTAACATAGTATTTTAGGAGACAGAATCAGATTTTAAGACATTAGGTAATGAGTTGAACAGTGATATAGTAAAATTAAAAAATATTTTATATTGATGGTTTTTTGAAATGATCACGGAGGGAAGAAGAAAGACAGGATTATGATATTATTCCATATTTATATTCTACTTCAGAGTAACAGAGCACTTTCCCAAATATGATCTCATTTGATACTGTTTCAAGAGGTAGGCTTGTGGTGGATAAGTGGAGAAAGATGCAATGAAGAGAGATAGTTGAAAATGCAAATAGAAGATGAAGGAATGAATGAAGTTAGTTTTCTAAGGAGGTAGACTAGGGAAGAATTTAGTGCTGGAAAAGACTAGGAATACCTCTAATTTTGAGACAGAAAAGAAGAAAAAGTGAGTTCATGAAAATATAGGAACAATTTGAGGTAAAAATAGTTTAGAAAGATTCATGACTAAAAGACCTGAAAGTAATCAAGGTAACCTTGAATTGAGGGCTGAACTGACAGGAGAAATGTGAAATGAGTGGGAAAATAATGATGTTGGCATAAAAAGTCAAAACACTGACTCTTCACCCAGTCACAAGCTCTCCGTATCTCTAACACAGTATGATAGTTCTCCCACTAATGTAATGATGAGTGGTCATTGAACCACTGGAGACAAGGGCAAACAGTTCAATGTCTTAAATAAACCCAGCAAAGCCATTAAGCAAAGTTCATTCACTATACAATCCAATTTATAAGTCTGCTTTGAGTACCACTCCCCCAAGCCCATGCTACAGGAAGGAAAAGCATTAAGCAATCTGTTAAAATAATGCTTTCCAACAGGACAAGACAGCCTGCAATTTTTCAACCAACAGGGATGTTAGTCTGTGGTCCAGCCTCTAGACACTCTCTTTAGAAAGTTCTGCTTTCTCTAAGATAATGCCCAAATGTTTATAACTTCCTTCTTTAAATAGTATGCATATTAAGAAATAAATTTAAGTCTGTAGTCTATGAGATAACACAAGTGGGGGACAAAATTATGATAGGCCTCCCTTCCTGGCTGGGCAGTCCATGTGACATGTCTGCTCAGGGCTCATGGCATCTCAGCCAGACATTCTGAGATTCTGGCCTCTTGGCTCCTTGAGCCAACTCTACCATTAAAATATTAATTTCTCTATTATAACTCATTGAAGGTGAAGGTTATGATTTTTGCTTGCCCAATACACTTCCCTCTCTTCTAATGACAACAGTAACATGTATTCTTTTTTTTTTTTTTTTTTTTGAGACAGTCTTGCTCTGTTGCCTAGGCTGGAGTGCAGTGGTGTGATCTCCACTCACTGCAACTTCTGCCTCCCAGGCTCAAATGAGCCTCCCACCTCAGCCTCCCAAGTAGCTGGGACTTCAAGTGTGTGCCATCATGCCCAGCTAGCTTTTTTTGTATTTCTGTAGAGATGAGGTTTCACTAAGTTAGCCAGGCTGGTCTCGAGCTCCTAACATGTCGTGTGCTCTTAATTGGGCCAATTATATTACTCCATCTTCCTGGCTTGGTGATTGGCTCAGGGAAGAGTATATGACCTAAACTGATTCAATGCAAGTGATTGTTAGGATTGTTTTCAAACTGCAGACAAAGACAAAGGAATCCTCTTTCTTTGCTGGTAGAACTGCTGTTAGGATGAGATGAGAGATCATAGTTGCTAGGATTCATGTTCCCCATGGCATGGAGAAAGCTCATCTGCAAAGAGAACTGGAAACATACATCAGAAATAGAGAGTATAAGCCCTAAAAGTGTGCTTGCCACTGAGTCCAGACATCCATAGGACCAGCTGTCCACATTCTGTGTTTGGGTGACATCAGCCAGCAAATTCTCTTTTTTTGTGTGATCAAGTTGGAATTCCGTCATTTGCAAAGTAGCCCAACTTGTACATAGAATGTCTTATACTTACAAGGTGCCCAATAAACATATATTGGTTATCTGGTTGGTTTGATGTCAGTGTTTTTTCTGTATCTTTTGCTTGTGTACTTTGTACTCTATACCATCATTCTCAATAAGGCTTGTTCAAAACAAAGTCTGCAGTTTGCCTGTAATAACTAGGTGACCTAACCCCCTATACTGGCATGAGGAATATGTCTGTGTTTCAGTTTCCTAATTTATAAAATATGGCAAATAATAATAGCAGCTACTTATTTAGTATCTACTAAATTTCAGGTGCTGGTCTAACACTTAACATACATTATCCTAATTCTTATGGCAACTTTATGAGACATGCATAATGATCCTCATTTTATGGATGAGGAAGCTGAGATGCAAATGAGGTTAAATGAAGTGACCAAAATAATACAGCTTGACTGGCAGAATTCAGATTCATACTCAGGCTTGTCTGAGTCTGTGTTCTTTTGAATGTCCTATGATGTCCTACTTATTCAAAAAGCTTTTGTGTGTGTAATAAGATAATGCAGGTAAAATTGCTCTAAAAATAGAAAATGTTCAGAAATCATTCTCTAATTAACAATAAAAAAATGCAAAAATGGACTCAAATATTAACAAGGAAGACTTAGGTTAAGTGGAACATTGTGACTACCCAAATTGCAGCATTAGAAACAGTAATAGAAAAAAATAAATGCAGAATCTCATATAAATGTGAAATTTTATGAAGAGGGAAAGTGCAGCCAAGATTCTGTTCCATTTCTGAAATCTCAGTAAAACTCGAAAGGATATAGATAAGCATTGCTAAGCTAGGGAGAACTAGATCTCACTTCTCATTTTCCTCATTGGACCATTGATATCAGCACGTGGAATTTCCTTTGTGATCCTGTTGATGGACAGCATTTATAAAATAATGAACATTCTGATTTACAGATCTGAATGGCAATATCAGTAATGTTTAAAATGAACAAACATATATACTTACACTGTCTATGTAGCATTAAGATATATATAAACCTAATTTTTGTATAAGTTTAACGGAAAGAAATGTAAGGCCAAGTCTATGTGTTAAATGACATTTTGTAGTAAAACCCTTATGTTTTTCAGCTTGTAATTACTCTCAAACAATGTCAAGGGAACCAACCACATTATGAACTGTCTATGTCCATTTTCTTCATTAGACTATGAGTGCTTTGGGTACAGAAACTGTGCCCTACATATCTTCTTACCCCTAGAATCTAGCATAGATAAAACTTGGCATATGTCACGAAGGGTTGCATTATCATTTTATGGGTCCTGGAAACTTTTGCCTTCATGGGCCCCTTCCTTCATTAAAAAATATTTAAAATTATATTTTATGATCATCCTGGTATGAAAATGAATATATTAATATTATATATACTTTCTTTGACCTAAAATTTTATCTTTTTCTTCTGATTTTAAAATAAAAAAATTTGTTTTCTTCTGATTTTAAAAGACTGTTTTTATAGGCCTCTAAAAGTATTGTGGGCCCCAGGTGCTATGCCTACCTTGCTTAGGGATAAGTCAGTCAAATCCTATGTGTTAAATATATTTTTGTTAACTGAATGAAATGAATAAATGACTTAAAGTTAAGTTGGTGGTAGTGATTCTTAAAGCTTCTATTTTGGAGTGACTTTCAGCTTAAAAAATTTTTCAAAAGCAAATAATTAATAAAATCACCACAACATACTAATATTCATTTAATCTGAAGCCAACTATTGAAGTTTAGTACTGTAAACAAAATTAAAACCCAAGGGCAGTGTAGAAGGCTGTCAAAGTGGCAAAATAAATATTTTAAAATAATATCAGAGGTTGCTCCAATATTGAACAAACATTGCACACCTCTTAAATAGAGAAATTTAAATATTTTCTTTTTAAAATTCTGACATTCCAAAAGAGTCAGTTCAGAAGGTAGATACTTTAAAAAATGTGGGCTTATACTTGGAGCCACATGGTTATTGACTAGAATTTAGTTAAGCATGTGCCTGGAACGCTAGACCTGCTGCCTTTCACAACATTGCTTTTGGAACTCAGCATCTCTCCACTGTTGCTTCCAGAGACAGCTTTTTAAAATGGAAAATTGATTGATGAAATCTTAGGCATGAATACATGCCAACGCATCTAATAAATTAAAATACTGTCATTTTATAAGAAAGGTTTATTGGCTAACTGTGTATTTCTAGTAATTCAAAGTCTAGTGTTTAATTTACATAATGAAATGCAGAAATCAATTACTTGGTCAGTAGTAAGGTGAAACTGATGTTCAAAAGTATGTTTTGGGATGCAACCAGGCTGGCTTATCCACTGACTTAAAATGTAGAAGGTCATATCTGAGCAGTTTTTTCCCCCTTCTGAATGTATTGAACAATGTCCAGAATATGAGGAAGCATCTTTGCATTGTCTGGATAGGGTTGTGTGCAGATTAATATCTGGATAATAATTCAGATTTGCCCTTCCAAAAAGGATATCACACATATAAAGTAGTGCTAGTATTTATAGGATGGGCATTTACCAGAACAGCTCTTAAAGGCTACATAATAAAATTGCATTAAGGCTGCCTAACTTAATTAAACATAGCTACTGAAATGAATTCAGCTAATGGATTCTGCTTCCCCAAAGAGTACTCTCTCTTAATAATAATTTTAAAAGCAAAAACATGTTTTTCCTCCTCTTTTTCATAATATGTAGCCACCTGACCAAGAGTAGTGTTGGGAGAGAGACTGTCCCTACCACCCAGGAGACAGCAGGAGGGAGAGGTCATCTAGTGATCACACTCCTGCTTCTCCTCTCCAAGGGCAAAGGGCTGCCTCAGCAGCTGTCACATCCTGCTGCCCTTTGAAACAGAAAACCAGTCTAGAGTTTCACACTTATCTCCTGCTTTGCATTACCAAATTGGCAGTCTTGCTAGACCCTAGTAATTGCCTTTCATAGATGAAGGAAGTGAACGCTCTAGGGAATGGTGAATGGGGAGGGCATTTGTGTTTGGGAAGGGGCAGTACCTGGTTCAGCTGTCTGCCATCCATCAGATGGTTCTGCAGATGAAACAAGCACAGAGGAGGAAGAGAACACACAAGGTCACTTGGTCTATCTCAGGCAGGCAGGCAGAATCATATCTTTGTGCACAGTGAACCATAGAGTCTTGTGAGGAGATTGCTAGTCATACAAAGGCACATCATGAAGGACTTCAAAGATTCCCATTGTGGACTCACAAATCACAGTTACTCAACTCACCTTCTAGTCAGACTAGCCCCTGTTTTCCCACATTTCCCATACAATGTCCTGCTTTTGCCATCTTACTGCTCATTAGCAGTTCCAGCAGAGGGCAGGCGGGGGAAAGGAGAGGAGTTGTATATTATAGCCAAATATGTCTTCTGAACGTGTTAAGGCAAATTTTCTGGATTACTTAGAGCAACAGATGTCTTTCTGTCCAATTTTTTTTTTTTTTTTACTGTCTATCTGTCTGTATAGGTATTTCTAGTTTTCAGGGTCTCCTCTTTCAAGGAATTTACAATCTGGCTTGGGAAAGCAAAATGAAGACACATGAAATAATGAGAAAGCCATGCCATAAAGCCATCCCTGTTATTCCAAGCAAAGTCATGGGTTTGAAGAGAAGAAAGAGAGGTCTTCATGCACTGAAGTTGGTGATAGCATTTGTACATTAAAAATATAAATTGAAGTCAACAATTAGTGCAGAGAAGTGAGACTCAGCAAATGGGCAGATGTAATTGTTGAAAATTCTGTAAACAGGCTTGGGTAACAGTCCCATAGAGAGGACTTGTAGGCATCCAGTGAGAATGTGGTTTTTGTAGGACAAAGGTCTCACTGGATCTCAGTACCAAGCCTTTGCCATGATCAGCTGGAATGAAGGCGCTGGGACACTGAAGCTTGGTTGGCATTCCGGGAGGAAAAATATTCAGTATCTTTCCATATCATTCATTAAGGTCTGTGTGACAATGTCATGAGCAATTCACTACTGGGAGGTCTTCATCAGATAAACAGGGCTGCAAAATTCATGGCCAAGGAATGTGGACTGGAGAGACACTCCCAGCCACAGCTGCTACCTGAACACCCAGAGCTGGCTGGGAACCAAGGAGACATGCTGAAACCAGGAGCCTCAGCGACGAGTGGCAACGTTACAGACGCTTAATCCTGAAATGAAAAGTAATTGCTTCTGGCTTAAAGAATAAAGGAAAAACAAGATCAGCCTTGGCTGGATTACATTTTTTTAAAATACAACCACGCTAAAGACCGGGTTCTGCTACTTGCTTGGTGTTTGAAAATGTGAGGAAATGGATGTTTTCTGTCAATGTAATTTAAATCTATCCAGGAGTATTGACATATAAGAACACTTGAATGCAAGTACATTTTGATGAATATAATTAAATCAAATGTGTTTACTTTTAGCTGTAAAGGAGGACATCTAAAATTTAACTTACCTAATATAAATTTAGAAGGTCTTTCTTGAAAATAGCTCTTGCTTTGTATTTTGAAGCATTTCCTACTGAAAAGTCTTGGCCAAAGTTACCAGAGCTCCTTTTCCATACAGATGAAACTGCAAATGGAGAAATATGGAAGCAGAGAGAGGGGAAAGGCATTTTAATACCTCTAATATATTTCTGTGATGAAATAGTCTTCTCTAGAGAGAAGAGAATTCATGAAAATTCACTAAGGAAGAGCTGCAAGTTTGTTATTGTTAGAATAATAGAAAGATGACTTTAACTCACAACTGAGTAAGTAATATTTGTGTTCTTACTTGTTTACCCCTCAAGACCTACAGAATGGCAAATGTCAGGAGATGTTCTGTACATAGAGTCGGTATTTTCCTTGAAAGCAAGAGAGCAATGACACAGAGTAAAAACAAAGTAAGAATAAGAGGAAAACAAATCTTTCCTTTCCAGTTCCAATTTTTAAGTTATATGTATTAATTTAAGATATTTGTAGCAGACTCACAATGATGTACAGCAAATTAATTGAATTATATCTTGTATCCTAGAACTGAAGCTGCTTTGTTTCCTGTTTGGTTGAGTCATATGAAATTGTCTACACAAATAGCAATTTCATATAATTTAACCTAATATCATAAACCTTCACAGGAATTCATCAACCAATAATAACCAGTAAGAAATAAAACCTAGCTGGTTTTCCTGCCATCATTCAGCACGAACACTAATACTATAAAACTAATATAACACGTACTATCTTCTTGCAGGCCTTAACATTGAGGACATTCTGCATAAAGGAACAAAGGCTATTTACAGACAATGTTCACAGTTTGTGTTTCTGCTTCATTAATTCAAAACAGAAAAAAATAATTCTTATACCAGAAATGTTTTGGATACCACCAGGATGACTTAACCTAACAGAACAGCACAATGACTGACAATTGTGTCTGCTTCTTGTGAGCTCAGACTGATGAACAACTGGAAGGCCAGCCACAGGCCCAATAACCTGATGCACAGTGATCACAAACATAAGGATTTATTTAAATAAAAGGTGTCATACAGCTCATGAGGTAAAGAAACAGCCACAAATAGCACTAAGAATGCAAAAAATGGCTGTGAGTTGTACTCTCTATTGGTATATAACACACAGCTGGTGACCCAAAAAGCCATGGTATTTCCAAAGGCGAGGGACTACGGTACTTAGCAACACTTTGCAGATTTAAAAAGAAAAGACAGCAGTCCTTTTTACAGCAGTGTTCTGTCATTCTCTGCCAAGAAAGAGTACTAACTGTTAAATTGGCCCCAACTATCTTTTTCACATTGAACATGATTCAGATGTTAACATGGTTTCCATTATCATTACAGAAAATTTTTAGATAATCTTTCTGATCTTGCAAAATACAATAATGTCCAAAGGAAATAGAAATTTAAAGTATAATGTGAACATATATTTTAACTGAGATACACATGATTGCAAACATTTAAATGATTAGGAAGTACATATTTATGGTATGTTGAATGCAATTTTAACTCAAATACAATACTTGCAGATTTAAGGCAATCTGTTCTCTACATAAAAAATAAGATTATAAAATGTAACACAATTATACTAATGCAATTTCTCATGTTATATATTATTAAATCATCAATGACACATTTTCTTTAAACACCAGATGACCTTGAGAGAAGCAAAGTTCTTTCTTCCCCCTGAGATTTCAAGTAGAGTCATCCCTTACTACTTGCATTTTGCTTTCTGGTGATGGAACTAGAATTACTGACAATTCAAATATAATTACCAGCATCTCTCTGGGTGAACTAACCCCCTAGTGTCTTAAAACTTGCCTTCCAGAAGGAAATATATCTCTTCAAATTATACTTCATTAATAGTGAAGCTTAACGAGCCTTTAAAATACAGTCTTAAAGTGGTTTCATTCTCCCCATCTCCTTGCCAGTATTTCCCTTCCTCTCTAAGCATCCTTCTCTTCTCCTTCTCCAGGGTGAATTTTGAAGAGATTCTGAGGGATAGCCAACAGGACTATAGCGGTGACTTCCCTCAAGGATTGCTTCATCCAACCCAGCAGGTAGGGCCTGTAAAGGACTTCACATACGACATTTGGAAAATACAGTAATCAGAGTAAACCTAGGAAGTTTTCCAGAATGGCTCTAATATCAACCTTTATTTCATTTCTTTTAAAGACAATTGATTATTTAAAGCAAAAATAATAAAACTTATCGTGGAGCTGTTAACTTATGTAGAAGTATGACAATAGTGCAAAGAACATATTGGAAAACAGAAAATTTGCTTTTGTAGGTTTTTTATACTACACATGTAGTGATGTGAAATCATAGTAGATTCTGCTAAGCTAAGGATGCACATTTCAGTCCCTAGATAGCCCAAAATAAAACAACAACATATAGTTTTCAAGCCAATAGAGGAAATAAAATGAAATATTAAAACATTTTCGAGCCCTGTGTGGTGGCTCATGCCTATAATCCCAGCACTTTGAGAGGCTGAGGTGGGCAGATCACTTGAGGTCAGGAGTTTGAGACTAGCCTGGACAACGTGGTGAAACCCTGTCTCTACCAAAAAAAATACAAAAATTAGCCGGAGGTAGTGGCGTATGCCTGTAGTCCCAGTTACTTGGGAAGCTGAGGTAGGAGAACCGCTTGAACCCAGGAGGTGGAGGTTGCAGTGAACAGAGATCACGCCACTGCCTTCCAGCCTGGGCGACAAAGTGAGACCCTGTCTCAAAAAAATAAAAATAATAAAAAAAATTCTCAACAAATTCAAAAGAAGGAAGAAAAGGAGAAACAAAGGAACAGCAACAACAGGAGACAAAACAAAACAAATAGATGGGAGAAAATAAATAGCAAAATAGTAGCTGTAACCTCAACATCGAACAAAACACTCCAATTAACAGGCAGAGATTATCAAACTGAATAAAAAAACAAGAACTAATGCTATAGAGTTTATAAAAGAGATGCTTTATGTATAAAGCATAAGTATAAACAAGTTAGAAGTAAAAGGGATAAAAAAGAATATATATATTTTTAATTTCATTGATCTACTTGTCTGTCTTTTTACTATACCACAATAACTTTATTAATGTATCTTGAATTTAACAAGATCCCTAGGTAATTCATATATACATTAAATTTAAGAAATAATAAGTAGATAGCCCTTTTGAGGTATTTAGCAATGATAAAAAGAAACTTCTTGAGGCCGGGTGCGGTGGCTGACGCCTGTAATCCCAGCACTTTGGGAGGCCAAGGTGGGTGGCTCACAAGGTCAGGAGTTCGAGACCAGCCTGGCCAATATGTTGAAACTCCATCTCTACTAAAAATACAAAAAAATTAGCTGGGTGTGGTGGCACATGCCTGTAATCCCACCTACTTGGGAGGCTGAGGCAGGAGAATTGCTTGAAGCCAGGAGGCGGAGGTTGCAGTGAGCCAAGATCGCACCACTGCACTCCAGCAACAGTGAGACTCCATCTCAAAAAAAAAAAAAGAAACTTCTTGAATTGTTACCATTTAGAGAGGAATATCAAGTATTGATTAAGCCACTTACCTAAGGTTACAGAAGTGGACCAGATCCCAGATTTCCTGATTCCCAGACTATTGCAATGTCTACCAAAAACTCAGCTTTATAATTAAGTTTTACTCATTCAATAATAGGCAAGGAAAAAAGTAATTTCTATTTACCCACATATTTACCACTTCTAGCACTAGTCATTTTTTTATGTTGATCTGAGTTTCTACCTGGTATCATTTCTTTTAGCCTGAAGAACTTCCTTTAATATTTCTTACAGTTTATGTGTACCATTGATACATTTGGTTTTTGCTTGGCAGTGTTTTTCTTCTTCCCCTTCCCCTTTCTTTCTCTCTCTTTTCTTTTCTTTTCTTTCCTTTCCTTCCTTCCTTCCCTCCTTCCTCTTTCTTTTCTTTTCTTTCTTTCTTTCTTTCTTTCTTTCTTTCTTTTCTTTCTTTCTTTCTCTTTTTTCCTTCCTTCCTTCATCTTTTCTTCCTTCCTTTCTTCCTTCCTTCCTTTCTTTTTTCCTTCCTTCCTTCTTTCCTTCCTTCCTTTTTTCCTGTCTCTCTCCCTTCTTCCCTTCCCATTTTCTCTTCTTTTCTTACTTTCATTTTTTTAAAGGATCTTTATCTTTCACTAGGTTTCTCATTCCAGGTTGACAGGTTTTATTTCTTTTAGCACCTTAAAGGTGTTATTCAATTCTCTTTTGGCTTATTTGATAAATCAGCATTATTGTTCCCCTGGGTCTTGCGCAGAATGAGTCTTTTCCTCATACTGCTATTAAAACTTTTTTCTTTGATCCTTGGCTTTCATAAACTTGGTTATAATGTACCCAGGAGTGGTTTTCTTTGTTTTTTATCCTGCATGGAGTTTATTGAGATTCTTAGTTTATGGGTTAATATTTTTCACCAAATTGGGAATTTTTTCAGCTATCACTTCTTCAAATATATTTTCTGCCCCAATTTCTCTTTCATCTTTTTCTGGAACTCCAGTTTCACAGATGTTAGGCCACCTCATACTATTCCACAAGTCAGAGAGGCTCTGTTCATTTTTTTCAGTGCTTTTTTCTCTATGTGCTTCAGCTGAGATCGTTTATATTGCCCTGTCTTCAATGTCACTATTTTTTTTTCTTCTATGGAATCTATTTTGCTGTTAAGCTCATTTAGGGATTTTTTTTTCATTTTAGGTGTTACATTTTTCAGTTCTAGAATTTCTAGCTGGTTTTCTTTTATACTTTCCATTTTTCTAGTGAGAATTTCTATTTACTGGAGTCCATATTTTCTTTAAAATTTTAAACATATTTATAAGAGTTGTTTTAAAGCCTTTGCTTGCTAATTTTAACATATCTGCTATCTCTGAGTATGTTTCTATTGACTTAAAAAAATCTGTTGTGGTCATGCCTCTTCACATATCTAGTAATTTTTGAATTGTATGCTAGACATTAAACGCTACATTATCAGGTCTGGATTTAAAGAGTGTTAAGTTTTGTTACGTTAATTTACTAGTGGAGAAGCTTAATTTTTACAAAGCTGTTTTTAAACTTTATTTGGATGAACTTAGTATAGCCTTGAGTCCAGGGCTAGAGTAGCCCTCCTCCTACCGCCTGGCCTTTCTTGGTTCTTCACTGAAAACCCCAGGGAATCACTGAGAACATCTCCACTCAGAACATCTACATCTCCAGTTTTGTGCACCTTCTGGAATCTCCACCCAGTTTACAGCCCCCCAGTAGCTATTTGCCACCAGACTTTGTAGAGTCTCACCCAGAAAGTGAGAAGCTTAGCATTTGTCCAAAGACTTTATAGTACCCATATGCAGATTTCTGGACCTGTTTCTCTGTGCAGCTTTCTCTTCATTAGCCTGACCTACAAATTCCAACCACCTCAACCACCCTGAACTGTGATCTCTGCCTCCTCAGAACAGTAAAGCAACCATTATCAACTTGGGCTCCATTTTGCTGTGCCGCCAGGAAAAAAGACAAGGTGACCAAGGGTTTCATCTCATGTGTTTCCCTTTTCCCAGGGATCAAAGTTCAACACTGGGTGAATTTCAACGTCTGAAAACAGTTGCTCCATATATTTTGTCCAGTTTTACAGCTATTTATGGCAAGAGGGCTGGTACTAGTAACTTCATCAAAGCCAGAAGCAGAAGTCCTTCACACTGGATACTTTTGCTCATCATCTCCTGTTTGAAATTCTCCCTGGTTTTTAGAACTCTAATCTTGATTTTCCTCCTAAATTTCTTATTATTCTTTCACTACCTTCTCCTCCTCTTTATCCTTTAACCATGCTTCCCATGCCTAAATTATATTCATTCTTTAAAATCCAAACTTTCTCCATAAAGCTTATCCAGTCTGCTACGCTGGAATTTATGCCAGGTATAAGTATATATGAACATACTTAACACTTTATTGGCACTGCTTCAGACAGCACTTTGCACTTTCTGCCTTTTGAACGATCATGTCACTTCCATATTGTAAACTCTTTGAAGACACGGACAATGTCTAATTTATCATTGTTTCTTCCTCAGAGCTTAACACAGTATTCCTCTATTCACCTTTAATTCTGATATGGTGCTACTGGTGGTTGCCCAACAACGAGAGGAAACGACATTTGCTGACTACACCCCACGCACTCTGCTAGATGCTTTGCACATGTTATCTTGCTTAATTCTTGAGAATGATACTGAAAAGTAAACACAACCAAATGACAACAAAGCCAGTGGCTCTGACTGAGATCACACATGCTCAACTGCTGGAATTTCAGTTCTTTGAATCTCTTCCTTTCTCCTGGGAAAATGTGACACTTTTGAGGACCTCCTTGCTGTCCCTTGCTTGTCACTGCCATCATTGCCCCCTTCTCAGATCCCTCTGGCTTCAGCCTGGTAAGAGGCTGCTTCCCATCTTAGTACCTCCCTAAGAAGTTTTTCTTGTGGCATCACCACCACTGCTGCTTCCACCTATCCCCACCGCCACCACCACTGCCATTGTTTCTGCAGTGCTGCAGCCACTGGTACAGGGCTGCTCCAGGCCAGGCAGTTTCTCACTGAAGCCTGGCCTGCATTAAAGAGTCCTCTTTTGCTGCTTCTCTTCTGGGTTCTCCAGAGATAGCCCTGCCTCTCCTGCCTCCTACCACCTCTGTCTGCAGAGCCATGGGGAAGCCCTGGAGGAGTCACACTACCAGAACACTCGGGGCCTCTGCCTGCCTTTGTCTCCTGGAGTCAGATCTGCTTCTCCTTCAGCCAGATTTTCTCACTATCCATAGCTACCAGTCAGTGGATTGATGTCCCCCTGGTGGTGGATCTCATTGAACACGGACTCAGTAAATTGTTAAGTGTTTGCTAAGAACTTTTTATGTGTATGGAATCCTATTAATTGTCAAGAAATAAGTTAAAAAAAAACCCCAACAACCAAATTAATAATTTAAAAACAAACATTTTGTTTGATAAGAGTTCCTTGCTTTAAAAAAGTTGAAATATATTAGACTATATAGATGTTCTTTATCTTTTTGTTTGTTCATTTGTTTGAAATGGAGTTTCACTCTTGTTGCCCAAGCTGGAGTGCAATGGTGTGGTCTCAGCTCACTGCAACCTCCGCCTCCTGGGTTCAAGCGATGCTCCTGCCTCAGCTTCCTGAGTTGCTGAGATTACAGGTATGCGCCACCAGGCTAATTTTTTGTATTTTTAGTAGAAACGGGTTTTCACCATGTTAGCCAGGCTGGTCTCGAACTCCTGACCTCAGGTGATCCACCCACCTCGGGCCTCCCAAAGTGCTGAGAATACAGGCATAAGCCACTGCACCCGGCTGATGTTCTTTAAAGTTCATCTATCTATCTATCTATCTATCTATCTATCTATCTATCTATCTATCTATCCATCTATCTATCCATCCATCTATCTATCTACTAAGCCCATGAAGGTACCAGGTTCTGTTCCCAGTACTTGGAATACAAGATAGACAAGATGCCTGCTATCATGGAGCTTCCAATAAACACACAAACTAACATCACCTACTGATAAGTACAATATTGGACAGTGGTAAGTGATGAGAAGAAAATAAAGCAGGAAGATGGGATAGGAAATAGTGGCAGGAAAACATGAGATAGGGAGATGAGGGAAGATCTCTAAGGTGACCTCTGGGCTAAGTGGCAGGTGATGATGGGGGAAAAGGTCAGTCTAGGGAGGGAGAACTTCAGTATTGCTGCAATGTAACGATCCAGGAGGTGAATCACAGGGGATGCGGTCAGACAGACAGACTAGCCCAGATCAGGTAGGGCTTACAAGTCCACAGTAAAGAGTTTGGATTTTATTATAAATACAGGGAAAGGATTGGAAGGTTTCAAACAGACTGGCATGCTGTGATGATATTGCTCAAAGATCGCTTTGGCTGCAGCGTAGGCTGCATTGTAGGGAAGCAAGAGCATAAGACCTCAAGACTCCAAGACCCATTAGGAGCTGTCATAACCTAAGTAAGAGATGATGGCTCTATAACTCCACGAAATAAATGTGTGTTTTATTAGATCATGCCCTCTGTTGATAGCCCACTGTACAGGATACTGGATCTACTGTATAACAAAACTAGATGGCAGGGTCATTGGCCTCAAAGACCTTTCTGTAATTCAATGGAAATGACAGGTAAAATTAAAGAGAACAAAGGGTGATAACTTATTGAGTCAATAAAAAGTTGGCAGAGATGAGCAGGCTCTCAACAATAGTCTTTGGCTGTGATAAAATCTCCTGGGTCACTCTCCTGGGTCACACTCCTGGGTCACCATAGTGCTATAGAAGAACCAAGAAAACCATCATTCAGATTTTGAATCACAGTAGCATAACCAAGCAAACTGCAAGCAAAATATGAATATGATTGTCACATATTTGCTGAGCACTTAGAATGTCTGGAACTTTCTAAGTGCTCATGCTCTAAATGAGTCATTTAGTCCCCAGAACAACACTGAGACAGTGATTATCATCCTCCTCTTCTAGATGAAAAAATCACAGCTTAGGACATGGTGACTTGCCCACTGTTACATACGCTAAAAAGCATGAGAACCCATCCTCAAACTCTGACTAGTCTGCTCCCAAACCCAAGCTTATAAGGATGATGGCAATGTTTCCCAGGGTTGCCTGATAATAAGAACTATCTGTGGCACTTGTTAAAAATACAAATACCTATCCTCATTCCCTACCCCATGCCAGACCCACTGAATCAGAATTTCCAGGGAGGGGTCTGGTAAGCTATTTCTTTTAACAATGGCCCTCAATGATTCTTTTTTTTTTTTTTTTTTTTTTTTTTTTTTTTTTTTTTTTTGAGACGGAGTTTCACTCTTGTTGCCCAGGCTGGAGTGCAATGGCGTGATCTCGGCTCACTGCAACCTCCGTTTCCTGGATTAAAGCGATTCTCCTCCCTCAGCCTCCCGAGTAGCTGAGATTATAGGCACACACCACCATGCCCGGCTGATTTTTTTTATTTTTAGTAGAGACAGAGTTGCACCATGTTGGTCAGGCTGGTCTCCTGACCTCAGGTGATCTACCTGCCTTGGCCTCCCAAAGCCAAATATTATGATAACCGTATTATCTTTTTCTTAATATCATAATTATTCTTATTATATGTCTTACACCAGAGTAGGCCACACCTAACAAAAAAGAAACACAGATAAATGGAGAATATAATACAGAGGAACAATCAAGGCAGGTGATAGCAGACACTTCTAGGAAGAAGTAAGTTTTGAGCTGAATTTTGGAAGGCCTGCTAAGAGGGAAAAAGTATTTCATTAAAGAAAGGCATGAAAAAGACACGAATAAGAGAATCAGGTGCATACAGTACTGATAGGAATTGATGTCCCGAGGAGAGAAGGTGATTTGATTCAGTGCACACCCCACTGCTCAGTTCTTACATAGGTTCAAGCAGGTTTAGAGCACTTGTGGTTTACTGAACCTGTCTATATTCTTGGCCTGATCTTGAGCAAGATTGTGCTAGAAGGGGAATCCTTGAAATAATACTCTATTATCATTATCTGAGATTAAAGGGTCAGAAAGAATCCTGATTTGAGAAATTTTTGTTTTTTAAAACTAAACTTATTTACCTGACTTCCTACAATAGACAAATGATCTCAAAAGAGAAACTTACTTGGAATATTATAATCATAGAAAATTTTCTTTAATTGATTTATAGACTTTTTTAATACATTTTAAACTGGATGCCATAGAAGCCATGTCCTAAATTCTTCTATAGCATTACCTTTAACAGCCTGCAACTTAACCAACAGATGTTCATTGAACGCTGACTTTACACCAGACACTGTGAGCAGCTCAGGGGAGACAAAGATGTATAAAATGTGGCTATTAATCATGAGGATTCAGAATCCAGTGGGAGAAGACAAACAACCAGATATGTAATTCCGTGACAAGTTCTAGAAGGAAGGTTGTAAAAATGAATGGCTGAGGTGCACTAAAGAGAGAGCCCCTCAGTCTGCCCGGGCCTGACAGGGCAACATGAATGGTCTTGCCTGCTGGGTTTTGAAGTATTCACCAGATTTCACCAGGAAAAGGATGCAGAAAGTCTTCCCACCATGGAGAGAGAAGGAAGAATGACAAAGAGGTCAGTGTGAAAGAGTGAGCATTAAGTCCCATGGGTTATCACAGAATCATACTCTGCAGTCACAATTTTTTCATTCTGCAGCAGTTTTTTTAAAAAAATAAATGACCATTAGCATTTAAAATAGGGCAGTATTAGTATACAAATCTTTATTTCTGACTTAATGGAAACAAAGATTTCACACTTGGCCCACATCCTCTCACAGCAACACTCACCTGGTCCCAAGTAATAGCTGCCCCCTTCAGACAGGGCTCCTGATCCCCAGTCCACCCTAGACCCACAACTTAAACTCTTTTATTCCCAGCCCTCTATGCGGGCATTTGAGTTTGTGACCTAGGTAGAGCTTAGGCTATGAGGCAGTAGGAGAACACCTTGAACAAGGATGTGATGTCAGTGTAGCTTGAAGCAAAAGTGTGGATGGCCTTGCTTGCTAAGCTTATTCAGACTTTACCATGTGGGTGATGAGGAAGGGAATGACTACTGATAAAGTGAAGCAAGGTAGAGAAATGGTGACAACTGATTTTTAGGAAGGTGCCTCGGATAGATGGCTTGGAGGCATTTAGACTGAAGACAGAAACATAGGAGGCCACCACAAAGGTTCAGGTAAGAGGCGATGAAGAGCAGTAGTCAGAGAGTGACCACGGGGATAGAAAGGAGTTCCAGAGGCACAAAAGAAGAGGGGGTAGAGGCATAAATTCTTTTCTAAATTGTTTAACATGAAACATCTAGAAAATTGGAAAGAACAGTAAAATAAATATCTCTACAATCTCTTCAATGTAGATGCAACAATTGTTACTATTTTGCCATATTTGCTTTATCTTTCCATACACACACAAATATATATATATGTGTGTGTGTGTATATATTTTGAAAGTTGTTGAAATCATTACACCTCACACCTAAACATTAACACCTAAATATACATCTTCTATAGGACAGACGCAGTGGCTCATGCCTGTAATCGCAGCACCTTGGAAGGCTGATAAGCAGATTGCTTCAGCCCAGGAGCTTGAGACCAGTCTAGGCAACATGGTGAAACCCTGTCTCTACAGAAAATACAAAAATTAGCCAGGTGTGCTGACATGCAGCTGTAATCCCAGCTACTTGGGAGGCTGAGGTAGAAGGACTGCTTGAGCCCAGGAGGTTGAGGCTGGAGTGAGCCATGTTTGTGCCACTGTACTCCAGCCTAGGTGAAAAAGTGAGACCCTGCATCACAATAAATAAATAAATAAATAAATAAACAAACAAACAGCATCTCCTAAAAATAAGAATTTTCTTATACATAATTGCAATGTCATTATCATTTCTAATAAAATTAATATTAGCTCCTTAATATCATATAATACCCATGTTATTTAATATATGCTCATATTCAGGTTTTCCCTAAATGTTTCTAAAAGTTTTAGCTGTTTTTATCAAGCTAAGAGTCCTTTGAAGTTCTCGTATTGGGTTGTTATGGCCTTTTAGTCTCTTTTAACCTGGGACAGCTCCCCCAGTCCTTCTCCCCACATAAAAATGACTTTTGGAGGAATAAAAAGAAAATAGTTGTTTTGTAGAATATCTCAAATTCAGATTCTTCTGCAGGATTCTTTGTAATTTGATTTTTCTTTGATTCCCTGTAACTCCTATTTATTTGAGGTTAGGCCTGCCTAAAAGCTTACTTCGATTCAGATTAAGCCCTTTTGGCAAGAATACTTAATAAATGATTTCATGAATTTCATCTGTACCCCATCAGGAGGAACATAATACAAATTTGTCCCGTATTAGTGATTCTAAGGTCAATCACTTGGTTAAAGTGGTGACTGCCAGATCTTCTCCTTTGTACTTTTTACATTTAGGAAGTGACATGTTCTGTGATGCTTTGTAACCGTGTGAATAACCGGTTCTGCAATAATCTTTTACTATTAAAGATCCTTGCCTGAATCGATTATTTCATTGGGAGTTGCAAATTAGTAAATTTCAAATATTATCACTCCTTCATTGGCATTCTTCTCTAAAGATAAATTTTCCCTCATCAAGTAGATGATATAAAATTCCTTTTAAAAAGGCAAGGTAAGATAGGCCAAGATGGCCAAATAGGAACAGCTCTGGTCTGCAGCTTCCAGTGTGATTGACGCTGAAGACGGGTGATTTCCGCATTTCCAACTGCAGTACCTGGTTCATCTCATTGGGACTGGGTTGGACAGTGGGTACAGCCCATGGAGGGCAAGCTGAAGCAGGGCGGGGTGTTGCCTCACCTGAGAAGTGCAAGGGGCTGGGAGATTTCCATTTCCTAGCCAAGGGAAGCCCTGATAGACTGTACCTGGAAAAACAGGACACTTCTGCCCAAATACTGGGCTTTTCCCAAGGTCTTAGCAACCGGCAGACAACGTGATTCTCTCCTGTGCCTGGCTCCGCAGGTCCCACACCCATGGATCCTTGCTCACTGCTAGGGCAGCAGTCTGAGATCAATCTGTGAGGCGGCAGCCTGGCTGATGGAGGGGTGTCCACCATTGCTGAGGCTTGAGTAGGTAAACAAAGCGGCCAAGAAGCTCGAACTGGGTGGAGCCCACTGCAGCTCAACAAGGCCTACTGCCTCTAGACTCCACCTCTGCCGGCACGGCATAGCTGAACAAAAGGCAGCAGACAACTTCTGCAGACTTAAACATCCCTGTCTGACAGCTCTGAAGAGAGCAGTGGTGCTCCCAGCCAGGCGTTTGAGCTCTGAGAACAGACAGACTGACTCCTCAAGTGGGTCCCTGACCCCCGTGTAGCCTAACTGGGAGACATCTCCTAGTAGGGGCTGACAGATACCTCATATAGGCAGGTGCCCCTCTGGGATGAAGCTTTCAGAGGAAGGATCAGGCAACAATATTTGCTGTTCTGCAATATTTGCTGTTCTGCAGCCTATGCTGGTGATACCCAGGCAAAGAGGGTCTGGAGTGGAACTCCAGCAAACTCCAACAGACCTGCAGCTGAGGGACCTGACTCTTAGAAGGGAAACTAACAAACAGAAAGGAATAGCATCAACATCAACAAAAAGGTCATCTACATGAAAACCCCATCTGTAGGTCACCAACATCAAACACCAAAGGTAGATAAAACCACAAAGATGGGGAAAAACCAGAACAGAAAATTCTAAAAATCAGAGTACCTATTCTCCTCCAAAGGACTGCAGCTCCTTGCCAGCAGTGGAACAAAGCTGGACAGAGAATGACTTTGATGAGTTGACAGAAGTAGGCTTCAGAAGGCCAGTAATAACAAACTTCTCTGAGCTAAAGGAGGATGTTCAAACCCATCACAAGGAAGCTAAAAACCTTGAAAAAAGATTAGACAAATGGCTAACTAGAATAAACAATGTAGAGAAGACCTTAAATGACCTGATGGAGCTGAAAACCATGGCACGAGAACTTTGTGACATATGCACAACCTTCAACAGCCAATTCAATCAAGTGGAAGAAAGGGTATCAGTGGTTGCAAATCAAATTAATGAAATCAATTGAGACGACAAGGTTAGAGAAAAAAGAGTAAAAAGAAACAAATAGAGCCTCCAAGAAATATGTGACTATGTGAAAAGACCAAATCTACATTTGATTGGTGTACCTGCAAGTGATGGGGAGAATGGAACCAAGTTGGAAAACACTCTTCAGGATATTAACCAGGAGAACTTCCCCAACCTAGCAAGGCAGGCCAACATTCAAATTCAGGAAATAGAGAAAACACCACAAAGATACTCCTCGAGAAGTATCTTTCTCGACAACTCCAAGACACATAATTGTCAGATTTACCAAGGTTGAAATGAAGGAAAAAGTGTTAAGGGCAGCCGAAGAGAAAGGTCAAGTTACCCACAAAGGGAAGCCCATCAGACTAACAGCAGATCACTCAGCAGAAACCCCACAAGCCAGAAGAAAGTGGGGGCCAATATTCAACATTCTTAAAGAAAAGAATTTTCAACCCAGAATTTCACATCCAGTCAAACTAAGCTTCATAAGTGAAGGAGAAATAAAATCCTTTACAGACAAGCAAATGCTGAGAGAATTTGTCACAACCAGGCTTGCCTTACAAGAGCTCCTGAAGGAAGCACTAAACATGGAAAGAAAGAACCGGAACCAGCTGCTGCAAAAACATGCCAATTTGTAAAGACCATTGATGCTATGAAGAAATTGCATCAATTAATGGGCAAAATAACCAGCAAACATCATAATGACAGGATCAAATTCACACATAACCATATTAACCTTAAATGTAAATGGACTAAATGCCCCAATTAAAAGACACAGACTGGCAAACTGGATAAAGAGTCAAGACCCATCAGGGTGCTGTATTCAGGAGACCCATCTCACCTGCAAAGATGCACATAGACTCGAAATAAAGGGATGGAGGAAGATCTACCAAGCAAATGGAAAGCAAAAAAAAGCAGGGGTTGCAATCCTAGTCACTGATAAAACAGACTTTAAACCAACAAAGATCAAAAGAGACAAAGAAGGCCATTACATAATGGTAAAGGGATCAATTCCACAAGAAGAGCTAACTATCCTAAATATATATGCACTCAATGCAGGAGGACCCAGATTCATAAAGCAAGTCCTTAGAGACCTAAAAAGAGATTTAGATTCCCACACAACAATAATGGGAGACCTTAACACCCCACTGTCAATATTAGACAGATCAAAGAGACAGAAGGTTAACAAGGATATCCAGGACCTGAACTCAGCTCTGCAACAAGCAGATCCAATAGACATCTACAGAACTCTCCACCCCAAATCAACAGAATATACATTCTTCTCAGCACCATATCGCATTTACTCCAAAATTGAGCACATAGTTGGAAGTAAAGTGCTCCTCAGCAAATATGAAAGACCAGAAATCACAACAAACTGTCTCTCGGACCACACTGCAATCAAATTAGACCTCAGGATTAAGAAACTCACTCAAAACTGCACAACTACCTGGAAACTGAACAACTTGCTTCTGAATGACTACTGGGTAAATAATGAAATGAAGGCAGAAATAAAGATGTTCTTTGAAACCAATGAGAACAAAGACACAATGTACCAGAGTCTCTGGGACACATTTAAAGCAGTGTGTAGAGGGAAATTTATAGCACTAAACGTCCACTAGAGAAAGCAAGAAAGATCTAAAATCGACATCATAACATCACAATTAAAAGAACTAGAGAAGCAAGAGCAAACACATTCAAAAGCTAGCAAAGGCAAGAAATAACTAAGATCAGAGTAGAACTGAAAGGGATAGAGACACAAAAAACCCTTCAAAAAATCAATGAATCCAGGAGCTGGTTTTTTGAAAAGATCAACAAAATTGATAGACCACTAGCAAGACTAATAAAGAAGAAACGAGAGAAGAATCAATAGATGCAATAAAAAATGATAAAGGGGATATCACCACTGATCCCACAGAAATACAAACTACCATCAGAAAATACTATAAACACCTCTATGCAAATAAACTAGAAAATCTAGAAGAAATGGATAAATTCCTGGACACATACACTCTCCCAAGACTAAACCAGGAAGAAGTTGAATCTCTGAATAGACCAATAACAGGTTCTGAAATTGAGGCAATAATCAATAGCCTACCAACCAAAAAAAGTCCAGGACCAGATGGATTCACAGCCGAATTCTACCAGAGGTACAAAGAGGAGCTAGCACCATTCCTTCTGAAACTATTCCAATCAATAGAAAAAGAGGGAATCCTCCCTAACTCATTTTACGAGGCCAGCATCATCCTGATACCAAAGCCTGGCAGAGACACAACAAAAAAAGAGAATTTTAGACCAATATCTCTGATGAACATCGATGCGAAAATCCTCAATAAAATACTGGCAAACCGAATCCAGCAGTACATCAAAAAGCTTATCCATCACGATCAAGTCAGCTTCATCCCTGGGATGCAAGGCTGGTTCAACATACGCAAATCAATAAACATAATCCATCACATAAACAGAACCAAAGACAAAAACCACATGATTATCTCAATAGATGCAGAAAAGGCCTTTGACAAAATTCAACAGCCCTTCATGCTAAAAACTCTCAATAAACTAGGCATTGATGGAATGTATCTCAAAATAATAAGAGCTATCTATGACAAACCCATAACCAATATCATACTGAATGGGCAAAAACTGGAAGCATTCCCTTTGAAAACTGGCACAAGACAGGGATGCCCTCTCTCACCACTCCTATTCAACATAGTGTTGGAAGTTCTGGCCAGGGCAATCAGTCAAGAGAAAGAAATAAAGGGTATTCAATTAGGAAAAGAGGAAGTCAAATTGTTCCTGTTTGCAGAGGACATGATTGTATATTTAGAAAACCCCATCGTCTCAGCCCCAAATCTCCTTAAGCTGATAAGCAACTTCAGCAAAGTCTCAGGATACAAAATCAATGTGCAAAAATCACAAGCATTCCTATACACCATTAGCAGACAAACAGAGAGCCAAATCATGAGTGAACTCCCATTCACAACTGCTACAAAGAGAATAAAATACCTAGGAATCCAACTTACAAGGGATGTGAAGGACCTCTTCAAGGAGAACTACAAACCACTGCTCAATGAAATAAAAGAGGACACCAACAAATGGAAGAGTATTCCATGATCATGGATAGGAAGAATCAATATTGTGAAAATGGCCATACAGCCTAAGGTAATTTACAGATTCAATGCCATCCCCATCGAGCTACCAATGACTTTCTTCACAGAATTGGAAAAATCTAATTTAAAGTTCATATGGAACCAACAAAGAGCCTGCACTGCCAAGACAATCCTAAGCAGAAAGAACAAAGCTGGAGGCATCACGCTACCTGACTTCAAACTATACTACAAGGCTACAGTAACCAAAACAGCATGATACTGGTACCAAAACAGATATATAGACCAATGGAACAGAACAGAGGCCTCAGAAATAACACCACACGTCTACAACCATCTGATATTTGACAAACCTGACAAAAAGAAGAAATGGGGAAAGGATTCCCTATTTAATAAATGGTGCTGGGGAAACTGGCTAGCCATATGTAGAAAACTGAAACTGGATCCCTTCCTTATACCTTATACAAAAATTAACTCAAGATGGATTAAAGACTTAAATGTTAGACCTAAAACCATAAAAACCCTAGAAGAAAACCTAGGCAATACCATTCAGGACACAGGCATGGGCAAAGACTTCATGACTAAAACACCAAAAGCAATGGCAACAAAAGCCAAAATTGACAAATGGGATCTAATTAAACTAAAGAGCTTCTGCACGACAAAAGAAACTACCGTCAGAGTGAACAGGCAACCTACAGAGTGGGAGAAAAAGTTTGCAATCTAGTCATCTGACAAAGGGCTAATATCCAGAATCTGTGATGAACTCAAACAAATTTACAAGAAAAAAAACAAACAACCCTATCAAAAAGTGGGCAAAGGATATGAACAGACACTTCTCAAAAGAAGACATTTATGCAGCCAACAGACACATGAAAAAATGCTCATCATCACTGGTCATCAGAAAAATGCAAATCAAAACCACAATAAGATACCATCTCATGCCAGTTAGAATGGCAATCATTAAAAAGTCAGGAAACAACAGATGCTGGAGAGGATGTGGAGAAATAGGAATGCTTTTACAGTGTTGGTGGGAGTGTAAAGTAGTCCAACCATTGTGGAAGACAGTGTGGCGATTCCTCAAGGATCTAGAATTAGAATTACCATTTGACCCAGCAATCCCATTGCTGGGTATATACCCAAAGGATTATAAAGCATGCTACTATAAAGACACATGCACACGTATGTTTATCGTGGCACTATTCACAATAGCAAAGACTTGGAACCAACTCAAATGTCCATCAGTAATAGACTGGATTAAGAATATGTGGCACATATACACCATGGATTAAGAAAATGTGGCACACATACACCATGGAATACTATGCAGCCATAAAAAAGGATGGGTTCATGTCCTTTGCAGGGACACGGATGAGACTGGAAACCATCATTCTGAGCAAACTATCACAAGGACAGAAAACCAGACACTGCATGTTCTCACTCATAGGTGGGAATTGAACAATGAGATCACTTGGACACAGGGTGGGGAACATCACACACCGGGGCCTGTCAGGGGCTTGGGAGCTGGGGGATAGCATTAGGAGAAATACCTAATGTAAATGATGAATTGATGGGTGCAGCAAACCAACATGGCACATGTATACCTATGTATCAAACCTGCACATTGTGCACATGTACCCTAGAACTTAAAGCATTAAAAAAAAAAAAAAAGGCAAGGTAAATGTTTAGTTCTTTCCCTTTTACTATCAATGTCAGAGTAAGGATTTATTGAATGATCACTTCCAATGATGGCAAATTAGTTTTTTTTTCCTTTTCTTTCACTTTTTTGGGTATTACTATGGACTAATGAATTTTTATGTATTCAATGTTTTGCAATCAATATAGCCATATTCAAACTGTCCAAACTTTGGCTAGTGGGAGCCCTTTCACACTAGCCCCTGTGTCCTTGTATCATGCCTCCATAAATCGCTGAGCACTTCCTTGGTATATCAAAATGTCCTAAACTTACCTTGTAGTTTCCATGCTCAACACCTAGAATCAGCTATTTCTCCTGTAAACAGGAACATTGTTTACTGTGTTTCAATAAACAAAGATGAGTAGAAACCAAGATCTGGGTTCTAGGTATTGCTCATTGCTAGAGGAATATCATTGCTTCTATGTTCTTTCAGTGTACAGAGCTAGAATACACACACACACACACATATATGTTTTTAATTCATGAGTCCATATTGATATTGCCAATTCAAATTTAATATAGTTTAAAATTACAAGTGTTGGCTGGGCATGGTGGCTCACACCTGTAATCCCAGCACTTTGGGGGGCCAAGGCGGGCAGATAACTTGAGGTCAGGACTTCAAGCCCAGCCTGGCCAACATGGTGAAACCTTGTCTCTTAAAAAAAAAAAATTACGAGTGTTTTTATTAGACATTTTAAAAGAAGCATGAACAGACTTTGAATAATGAGTTAAATGTAAGAGGCAAGGACAAAGAAAGAATGAAGAATGAGTCCCTAAGTTCCCAGTTTGAGAACCTGAACTTGGGTTCATGGTGTTGCTGCTGCCATTTTACCCAAGGTAAGGAGTAAGAAAAAGAGAAAAATTCATAGGGCAGGGGTAGGGGATGAGAAGTCAGTTTTACATAGTTCAGTGCTTTGTTTTATTTGTTGGTTTGTTATAAAATTAAATAATCTATTTGAGAACTGACACAGGTGAGCAATAAGAAAAGGAATTTACAGAGGTATAAAATGTAAGTTATATCCAAAGTACCAGTCAAGACTCATCTCAAAGACTGAGCACTCTTCGAATACTGTTAAAATTTGTGGAATCTTTGTACTCCAGTATGTGGATGAATTTAGAAACCTGAGTATGACTTCTTAGGGTGTAGAAATCTAGCTCAAGCAAAGGAGGAAAGAAAAACAAATTTAAAATTAAGGTTAGAAACTTCTGAAAAAAAAAGAGAAACTTAAAAAAAAAACCTGGATTTAAAACATAGTGGATGAGTTTGCTAGGGCTGCCATTACAAAATACCACAGGCTGGGTAGTTTAAACAACAGAAATGTGTTTTCTCACAGTTCTAGAGAACAGACGGCTAAGATCAAGTTGATGTCGACAGGATGGTTTTCTTCTGAGATCTTTCTTCTTGACTTGTGGATGTCTACCTTAGTGCTGTGTCCTCATATGGTCACCCTTTTGTTTCTGTGTTGTTTGTGTCCTAATCCACTTTTTTTCTAAGCGCAACAGTCATAGTGAATTAGGGACCACCTGTATGGCCTCATTCTACCTTAACGACCTCCTTAAATGCCCTATACCCAAACAGTCACATTCTGAGGTACTGGGGGTTAGAATTTCAACATATGAATTTGCTAGGGAGACTACAGTTCAGCCCATAACACATGGGATAGAAAAAAGCTATGTGATAGAACAGATACATACTTGAGAAACTCAGGAAGTCTTCTCTATGGCTGGGTCTCATTTCTAGCTGGACAAAGTTTGGTGGTATCATTACTCCACAATAGCTTTAGCAAGTTGGAGATGATGGTTAATGGTGAGCCACATGTTTATCCACATTTCTATGGTCAACAATAAATACACACAGAGAAAATTGAAGATAGAAGAATATATCCACCCTGTTTCCACCAAGATTTTCTAGGCTTTGGATTTGAGTCATTACGCTTAGTTTGCTTTCTGCCCAGGGTGGGTGGCATTTAATCATTGCATTTTCCCTCTTTTTTCTGGACAAGTAGCCCTATGCCAATGGCCTCATCTGATACCAGCCTTAGTTGTCATAAATGATATGGGAATGGTGGGTTTCATCTACCTTAGTACAGGAAAAACTAAAGAAGAGGAAATCAAGTTTTGTTCAGGATGCTAGAAGTTTGGCACTTTTACAGATGAGAAAAGCACAGGGCTGGGGCTAGTGAAGTGATTGGTTCAGGGACTTGCTTGGCTAGTTAGGCACACAGCTAGGGCTCCATCTCCTGACTCTTATCCCAGTGTTCTTTCTGCTTCTACACAACTAAGTAGTTCTGTGTTTAGTTTTTTCTGGTTAAAAAATGTTCCTGGAAGCATTGCTTACAAATAACTTGAAATGCCAAGGAACGTTATAGTACAGTGGTTAAGAGTGCAGACTGGCCAAACAAGCCTGTGTTTGCATCTCAGCTTTATCATTCTACTACTATATAGCCTTGAGCAGGTTGTCTAATTTCTTAAAACTTCATATTCCTCAACAGTGAAATCGGGATAACAGAGCACCTACCACAGAACAGCCCTGAGGACTTAAATAAGTGAAAGCATTCTGAAAAATTAATAGTGTTAGGTACATAGTAAGTGTTCAATAAATAGGAGGTGTTATTATTCATCATAACACTCTAAAATTTATCAGAATTCAAATTTCCATTCTTGTTTCTTAGGTAAAATGAAGCAAAAATAAAGTAACAACAGACAAACCTCTTTAACTTGACATCTTTCCAATTCACAACCAAGAGGATGTTTACTGCAACGTGCTAGGATCAAGCAGTTGAGCGCAAGGACAAAAAACAAGCCTAATAATTGAGTCAAAGGGTTTCACACCTCTAATTATTTAACATCACAGCTGAAGGAGAAAACAAAAATTTCCAAGGCAGTAGAATAAAAGGAAGTTCTGAAACAAAGGAAAGAGCATGGGAAAAAAGAAAGGATGCTACCAGATCTGCAAGCTCACCAAAATATTGGTGCAAGCCAGGAGTAGAAAAAGCCACTTTCTAGCTTTTTCCTCAAGATAGTCCCTAAAGCAAAGGAAGTCCTTTCCCCTTCCAAAGCAGAAGCTAAAGCAAAGGTTTTGAAGGCCAAGTAGACAGTGCTGAAAGGCATCACAGCATCACAAATAAATATCTACACATCACCCACCTTCTAGAGTCCCAAGACACTAAGGCTCCCAAAGGCAGCCCAAGCCCCCAGGAGAAACAAAGACAGAATAGCGCCCTCGGAGAAACGAGCTTGTGCCATTACATCCTGATGAGACCCTTCATCAGTGACTCCCATAAAATGCTGGCTACTCACTGGGCCCTCATGTTTGAGCTGGCTGCTACATTAATTTTTTAAAATCAGTGATTTCTTTCAACAGCTGGGTTCCAGGGCCCTGTTGGACAGCCTATCGTTCAAAATTAATGAGATGTTATTCATAAAGTATCTAATTGTGCACATGAGAAGCTCTAGCCTCCGTTGAAGAAATATAGCATTTTTAGAACAGATGTGTGGCACAAGTGATACTTAAAAACTATTAATTTTGAAAGCCACCTAATGCCCACCAGTAATGGACTGGCTAAATAAACTCTGATTTAGCTATATATATGCACCCTGGAATCAGACTACCTGAGCTCCCATTTCACTACAACTTATTAGTTGTGGCTGCTTGTATTCATTTCCATTGCTGCCTTAACAAATCACCACAATTTTATGGGCATTAAACAACACAGACATTATTTTACAGTTCAGCAGGTCAGAAGTCTGGTATGAACTAAAATCAGTGGGTGGGCAGGGTTGCACTCCTTCCTGTACAGTCTAAGAGAAAATCCCTTTCCCTGCTCGTTCAGGTGTTGGCAGAATTCAGTTCCATGTGGTTGTAAGACCGAGATCTCTCTTTCCTTGCTGACTATTAGCTGAGGGCTGCCCTTAGCTCCTAGAGGCCTCTTGCTTGTCCCTGCACATAAATGTCGACCTCTCAAAAACAGCGACAGGGTGGTGAATCCTTCTCAGGCTGCTATCTCTCTCACCCTGCTTCTACCATCACATCTCTCCCTAACCCAGCTGGAAAAGGCTCTACCTTTAAGGACTCAAGTGATTAGATTGGGTGCACCTAGATAGTCCAGCATGATCTCTCCATTTTTAGGTTCTTACTATTAATCACATCTGCAAAGTCCCTTTTGCCATGTAAGATAAACTCACAGGTTCCAGGGATTTGGACATAGACATCTTGGGGGACCATTATTCTATCTGCCACTCCTCTCTAAGCCTCAGGCTCCTCATCTCTAAAATGGGGCTTCTTTTGACATATAATTGTTGTGACTTTTAGATGAGACAAAGTTCTTAGCACATAGCAATTACTCAGAAAATGTTAGCTATCATCATCATTGCTATGTAGCCATTAGAAAGAATGAGATAGAACTGTGTTACTGACATAGAAGGATATTCAAAAGTTATAACTGCAAAGTAAGCTATGGAAGAGTGCATATAGTATAACCATTTTTCTATAAAACAAGAAGAAACGAGGAAAGACGGATCTTTTTTTTTTTTTTTTTTTTTTTGAGACGGAGTCTTGCTCTGTCGCCCAGGCTGGAGTGCAGTGGCATGATCTTGGCTCACTGCAAGCTCCACCTCCCGGGTTCATGCCATTCTCCTGCCTCAGCCTCCCCAGTAGCTGCGACTACAGGCGCCCGCCACCAGGCCGGCGTAATTTTTTTTTGTATTTTTAGTAGATACGGGGTTTCACCGTGTTAGCCAGGATGGTCTCGATATCCTGACCTCGTGATCCGCCCGCCGTGGCGTGAGCCACCGTGCCTGGCCAAGGATCATTGCATTGGCTTAGGGAAAAAACGGATGAATATCAACAGATTAAGACTGAGAAGATAAATACAGACTTGGAGTTTTAAAAATGATGCGTAAATTTTATTTTCATATTTAAAGTGGCAGCCCCACTAAAAAGACAAATAGAATGTTTATTTTCCAAACCAGTGTGGAAACAAAAAGGAATTTTAAAATGATTACTTACACGGACAAAAAAGAAGAAGAAAAGCATGAAAAATTTCAATAAATAAAAAATTCTAAGAAAAATGCTAAAAACAATCTTAAACTTATCAATAATCACAATAAACATAAAAGATCACATCTGCTTATCAAAATACAGAGATTCTGAAGTTGGAGAAAATAACAAAATCCATATGTGTAAAGATATTACTTGGGTAAAATTTTAAAACACAAACATTAATTAATATATTGATCACAGAAAGATACATATTTAGTAAAATTATAGGAACAGAGAAAGGAAATAAATGCATCAATTTCAGGCTTGTGGTTGCCTCTAGGAATAAAAGGAGGTAAACGGCATGGGGGAAGACTACAAAAAGGATATCAACTATATTTGTAATGTTTCATTCTTTTTTTTCCCCTTTATTTATTTATTTATTTATTTATTGGACTTATTTATTATAAGTTCTTTAGTGGTGATTTTGGAAGTTTTGGTGCACCCATCACCCAAGCAGTACCCAATGTGTAGTCTTATATCCTTCACTCCCCTCCCACACTTCCCCCTGAATCCCCAAAGTCCACTGTATCATTCTTATGCCTTTGCATCCTCATAGCTTAGCTCCTAATCTTTTTCATAAAAATAAAATATCTGAAACATGGTACAAGATATTTACCTTTTTTAATTCTGCTGTGTTACATCCTGTACTTTTCTGTGCATATAAAATATTTTGAATATTTGTTCAAAGAACTGTACTTAGAAGTCAGAAATAGAGATGCTGACCTAATGGCACGTATATTTTGGGTTCTAGAAAAAGTTCTAAACTTTTAAAGGTAGACATGGAACTAGGGCAGACAGGGAAATGTATTTCTACTACTTGTCCATTGGTTAAGGTTGTCATCTATTGAACAGTTGCACTAGGTTAAGGATGATACTGTTTGAAAATGCCCAAAATATGTACATGAAATGTTTAAGAAGACTTAAGTAGACACTTATATGCAAAGTTAATACAGTTCAGATATGTCAAAAAACAAAGCAGCAATTGGAATAGTGACTAAATGTCTCAGAGAAGTTTAATTTTGAGCCAGAATATGAAGAAGTTCATGGATTTCTAAGACGGAACAATTCAGATAGGAAAATGGACTGTGCCGAGGCACAAAGAAGGGACCTCATTACTGAACGCAGGGGACAATAGGAGTTCAGTGTGATTGGAACAGATTTCCTTCTGAAATTCTGAAGAGCTGTAAAAGCAGATACAGGAATTTTATGGGCATAAACACAGGAATATGTCAATATGCAATTAAATAGAAGAGGTAGATTAACCACACTAATCAACTTCTTCCTTATACATTCGCTGGCTCCACAGTAAAAATGTAAAGCATAAAGAAGGTATTTATGAACTGCTTTGAAAGAAAAATGGGAAATGCTGATGGAGAGCTGTGAGTCAGCCTCAGCTCCTTCCCTGCTGAAAGTGTTAAGTTACCTCTCCAGGGCCAGGTACAGTTATTTAATAGATCGACACAGACAAATATCCTCCCCCAGAAAGGATCCTCTATTTTGAAAATATCCCACTTCATGTCATCACAGTACTTTAATGTCCGGCTATTCATCATTCTGCCTTCAAGTTAGTTTGAGTGCAAGACTCAACCTATGTTCTATTTTGGGTGATGCAGACAGCCACAACCACTGATTGGAAACTTGAGTCCGTCCAGATCTCGTGGCTTACAGCCCAAGGCACCTGTGACCTGCCTGGTTCATCACCGGGTCCCACTGCTTTGGCCTCATTATTGCCCTCCACACCCTGATTCTTACCAGTGTTGTTTCAGATCTGGGCTCATCCCATTTTGCCCCAACACTGTGGCAGCTTCTAGATGCTGTCTCCACCATACAGCCGCCAGTGTGAACTCATGCTGTCTTTAATGGCCAATCTGAAAGATCCCTGCTATGCTGAAAACCTTCGTAAGAGAGCCTTACCACGGATTGCCTCACTGATGTGTTTCTGTGAGTTGTGAGGTGGGTCACAGGCCATTTGCTACTAATAATAAAACCCCAAAGACTCCATAGACTCACTCCTGTATCTAGATGCCTTCCCCCGTCGCTGAGTCACCAGCTGTGCTGCCTGGCAAATTCCTTCTCCTCCAGCAGGTCTCGGCTCAGATGCTCTCTCTGTGAATCCATAATCCGCAGTGCCCACTCCTACCCCATCCGGCTCACGTCCTTCTCCTACAGGCTTGCTGTGCTTTGTATAGACTTCCATTTAAGAATTGTCTTGTTTCATTGCAATTGTTTATACAAACGTCTCCCATTTCTTTGTAAGCTCCTTAAGGACAGAGGCCAAGTCTTAGCTCTTCTTACATCTCCAGTAAATAGCAGTTTGTGGCACATTTTAGGCACACAGCAGATGTTAATGGATGAATTAGTAAATTAGTACTACCGCTCACGTGGAGTAGACTCCCCAGTTAATCAGAGCAACAATTTTTTCCCATTCCTACTATAAGTGGCAGCAAAGAAAAACCTTTCTTCCTAATTATTTCATATAACACTGTATCATGAAATATCTGCATTTTGAGAGCAAAGCCTGAAGGAAGTTATTTTTTCCCTCATAAAATTAAAGACTTTAATTATTGGCAATAAGATGATACTACATTCATTGGAAGAAAGAGTGGTCTAGCGATTCTTTCTATGTTCCTGTAACTAATTATGGGTGAGTAATTTTTAAAAAATTGGTACCCATAAAAATTGACCACAAACCAATAAGAACAATGAGTTGAATCATAAAAATTCCATGCTATTTATATTTCTCCACACACACTCAGTACATTTATTTATTCTAAATGGAAAAGTACAAATATTGGGATAAAAACATTTAAACTACAGAAATAAGAAATTCCAAATGCTAATTCTGCCTAAGGGGCAGAATTTAATTCTGTGCTAAGCTACTGTATGTGGGATTAAGAGGCATAGTTAACCAAACATTTGAGAACAAGTAATTACCACTGCATCTCTCTATCACATATTTGCCTTACACATAATTTATACAAGTCCACAGAGGAAAAATAAAATGCTGTTTGCAACATTTTTTTTCCAGCCACACATTTTTCAGGCTTACTTTTTTTTTCCTCATCAAAGACTATTCATTTTTATGGTCTTATATTGGATAACAGTGGGATATTTTCTCTCTGTTATATAGGGACAGAGAAACAACATCTCTAATCAGTTATTCTTGGCTGTGTCCTTCCTGCCAAATCTTGGGCATCTAAATGTGGAGGTGCACAGTCCCTGAAGTTGGTTTATGTAATACTTTCAGAGTGGTATGGACATGCAAACAACACCGTCATTTATTCATTCAGCAAACATTATGAGACACTTTCTATGTGCCCAGAATTGTGCTGGGCTCTCAGGATACCCATGAATAAGAGAGGGTCCCTATCCTTGATGAGACTGTAATCTAGCAGTAGAGACAATTAAACCAACAATTACAAAATAAAACACTAACAGCTGTTGGGGGTGGGATGCACGAGGAGTTGCAGGGATACCAACACCTGTCTGAGATGGTCAGAGGCCATTTAAGTTGCTTCTTGAATGGCCTGTAGGGCTCACGCAGTTGAAGGAGGGTAGGAAAGTGGAAAATTCAAAGCTGAGGGAATACCTGGAAGAGATCAGAGTATGAAACGGAAAGTGGAAGTAGATGAGGCAAGGGGACGCCTACTGATGCAGCAGAGCAGATATTTACAAACAGAAGTAAGTCTGAGTCTCTAGGTGACTGTTTTCTGTGCTCACAACCAAGTAACAGCTCCTGCAGCCCTCCTCCCCTTCTCTACCTGGGGCACCTACAATACAGAGAACAGTTGAGAGCTCAAGTATATTTGAGACAGACATTAAAGTCTCTATGCATTAGCATCTTGGCTGGACTAATTCTGGTATTTGCTTATTTTAGCATTTTGTATGAAACATGGAGAAATGGTGCCATCAAACCATAACTTGTCTGCAACTCCAGCCCAGCTCTGGCTACAATGTGGTATTCAGCAAGAGCCTGGCCTGGAGCAAGGGATTTAACCTTCTTGTACTTCAGAGCCTCATCTTTAAAATAGATTGCAGCAAGAATTAAGTGAGTGAGTGTGTGAAAGAGCACAGAACAGAGCCTGGCATAAAGCAAATGCCCAAAAAGTATCAGCTATAATAATTTTACTCCTCATGTGGGAAGTGTGGGTGAAACTAGTTGCCTAGTTATTTAAATAACAAGCATGTCATTTATAGGAACTGGGTTCAGGAGTAAAGCTGCTATTGTTGGTTGTCTTTGGCATTAACATTAAGGATATTAGGAAAGTTAACTCTATGAACACAAAGGCTGAACTTTGGCAGCCTTTCAAAAGAGTTAGCAATCGAATTTTTTGCCTATATCCATTCATTGAACATTCATTATCCTCACACTTATTGAGTATCTACTGATGTCAGGCATGAGGATGCAAAGATACCTGAGAAGGCCAACCATCTATTATTCATTCGACACACATTTACCAAGTACTTTTTTTTTCCCCAGCAAGTCACTGCTGGGAAAAAAAAACGATGCATCAGACCCTTCAGTAGCTTACAGGTTAATGGGGGAGATAAGTGGTGTGTACACAATGGAGACACAAGGAGGAAGATGATACATACTACAAAGAGGTAGGGACAATAATAATGAACACTTCTTTACACAGGCTCCATGCTAAGTGCCTTACTTGGATTATCCCAGGGTGCTGTGGGAGTTGAGAGGATGGAGAGATGCTCTCAGCTGGGGTGATCTGGAAAAACTTCATGGAAGTGGAGGCGTTTGAATAGGACCTTAAAAAAAACACTACTTCTGGAGCATTTTGCTTAACCCTGGTTGTACAACAGAATAGGCCCAATGGCTTTCTCTAAAGATGTTTGGTATAAGCCTATCTTAAAGGAAATACTGTATCTGATAAAATGGGATTGTTTCTACTGAAGACTCATCTGGCTACAAAACAGAACTACTATCAACCTGAGAAAGAATCCAGCTGTTGCTTTAAAATTAACAACTTCCCATTACATCATCAAGCCTGATAATCATCTTGCCTGCAACTCCAATTCCATCTCACCCTTTAATACTCCTTCTTTCCCCTAGGTCACTGGGAAGCTTGCTTGTGGCACTCTCTGGGATCCTGTTTCCAGTTACTGGTTGCGTAATGTATTGATAAAGCAAAGCCAAATATGAGTAAGAAGAAAAGCCTAATTAGAAATGAAGCACGCAGTGTCCCAACAAGAAAAATGCCAGGGCTTCAAAAATAGGAAATCAGTGATGCATAGTTTCTTCTGTCACTGAAGAAATCATCCCAGTACTTAATAAGCCAGAAAATGGATTAAGCAGATGGGGGGAAGTTGTCAGCGGCAAAGAATGGGCACCTACGGAGAAACAGAATTATTTAGAATCAAAATGACTGACTGGCACACATTAAAGAATATCTGTTTGTGTCTTGAAATGAATGCTATAGAAAATATAGTAGGTATGAAATATAGAAAATATAGTAGGTATGAAAACAAATGCAAAATCGGCCACCAAGAGAGAACATCACAGGCTATGGGCTGATGTAGAAATGCTGGAGATGCTGACTTTTTTTTCTTTATCGAATTGACTATTTGAGTGAAGCAACCAAAATAATAACTTGGAGTAGAGTGTGGATGCAGCTTAATTCTAATAAACTTGCCCTTAAATATAAAGAAAACCTTTCTTTCATAAGAATCCACTCGTACAGCATATGTATCTACATATTCTTCTCTCCCTACACATATCTGAACATGTTTCTAGCTAGCTGACTGTTGACACTTAACTCAGTTGATAGGACATGTCCTCTGGCTCATAGGAGAAACAGCAAAGGTTCAGTACATTTAAGTCTTTGAAGATTATGGGAACAAAAACTCAGTTTTAAGTGTCAGGGAATTGCTGTATGATTTTTACCACATCACTTAACTTCTAAGTTTTCTAATTATTGTATTGTACAACTGAAAGAATGATATTCACACACACACACACACACACTCCATACCCTTGAACACTGAGAGACAATAGACTGATCAGGAGGCTCTTACATCTGCAAGAAACAAAACTGGAGACTAGCAGGACACATAGCTTCTGAGTGATGGCGTAACAAGTTGCTATTTATACCCCATCTTCCATTCACCAATGTGAACTAGGGGTCTATCCCTGCAAGAGAGTAATTTTAGAGAATGAGCTTCCGGGTGAGCTCACAGGTTAACACTGCTTGTATCACCATCTTGAGTCAGCAGTGGATAATGCTGTGCAGAATAAACTAATTTTAGTCCTCTGCGGTATCCTTGTAAACACTTCATAGTGATTCTTTAAAAAGTCAGTGGGAACTTGCTATCTCTGCTTCATTTCCTACTCCCAATAATTTGCTAGGGTTATTTTTAGGTAACTGTGTCTTACAGGATTTGTTTAGGTGAGCTCCTCTGTTTCAGAATGGCCATGTGAAAATTCTGCCACAGATTTTGAAGTCAGAAGGCTGTCTGGTTAAATGGATCCAGAAAAATTACTAACAGATATGGTGACAAAGGACATGGAAATGTAAGTGTCCTGTATGTGCTACAGGAAAAAGTGCTGCCCATCTTTCCCTCATTTCAGCAACACTTTCAGTGAGCCCCAGCTCATGGAAAGAGAGACGAGGAGAGAAAAAGGCTTATTCCTGAAGCTAATAGCTTTCCTTCTCTCTCTAATACTATATGTTTGCAGTGACAATGATCCCTCAGCTTCTGAATCATCTCCTCATTCTGTGATGTACCCCTGGGTTCTGAGTTTCATTTCTTTGGCAGTCAGTCACATGCTGAATATAGAGCACCTCTAATTTGTTCAGTGTCTCATGGATCACTGAGAAAGAATAGGGCCTTATGACAAACTCCACTGGTCAGAGCGCCCGGATCTAGGTGTGTGATCACAGCCTTTAACACTTGACCAGGAACTCATATTTCATGGAGTGAGAATTGTGAGACCTTGCACTAGGGTTTTGTGATTCTGAGAAAGATGCTGGGTTTGGCTGTATTTATCAAGGAATGTGGATACCAAGAGAAGGGGCTGAGTTGGGAAGAAGGGGGTAAAGAGAATTCTAGGCAAATTAAACCTCTCAGCAACGAGTATCCCATAGGCCAGAAAGAGTGTGAAGGGATTCAGTCATATGTGAAAGAAGTTCTGTGGTTTTTGTCTTGTCTTTCTTGAAAACCTCTGGCCCTGGAATGTTTGATATCGATTTTCCCTGGTCTAAAAAGAGAATTAGAGAATTTCAAATGAAGTGTATGTGACACAAAGTGAGAAGAGAAGGAGGGAGGGAGAAAAGAGAGGCAGAATCGGAAATGTTAATAGGAAAAAGGAAGAAAATGGTGTGTCCTGTAATTACTTATATAAGAAAGGCAGCTAATAAGTGTTCCAGGGTAGAACTTCTATTTCTTGAATTCATTAAAAGTAATTTTGAGACTCCTGGATTGGTGGCAGTGGAGGCAAGACTTTGCTAAGGAGAACTTTGTTTAAATGTCTCTTTCCAAAGCAAATACACATCATACCAAGATATACAACCTATGTGTAGCTTCACTGTGCTGCTGGAAACTCTGCCTCACTAGGTGATTCTTCTTTACTGAGGATCCTGCTGTCCTCATCTACCCCTTGAAAAGCGAGTTTGATGGACTCTGGGTGAGTAAAGCAAGTCTTTCAGAGGAGAGGAGAGGCAGCACCATTGGCTGTCTGCCAGCGAAAGGCTTGTGCAGCGGTCTGGTCTCTGTGAACCATGCAGGCAGTGTTGCTGCAGGATCCTAAGAAACCAACCTTTTCAGGAACGTTGTGTAAAGGAATGTCTGGAATGTGTTTAGCCTTGAGAGTTTGCAAGAAGCCTTTATGGTTCATGATGAAGAATGGGAAAAGCAGTACTATAATGTTAGGCAAGACTGGTTCAGACCAGAGAGAGATGGAGGAAGAAATCATTAAAATGAAGGATAGGATTGTCTCTTTGCAACTATTAGATGCAGTTTCAGAATTTCCTTCTGGATTCTGTGCATCACACAGACTGTCTACTCTCATCCCAGGCTAATGAGAGGGTAGGTACTATATAAGTAGGTTATAAACTTTAAAATAAAAAAGCAACTCCCTGCAATTTTTTTTTCATATTGGTCTTTAGCTTAGAGTAGATGAATGAATGAACACTGTGAAAATATCAGCATAATTGCATCTTTTACTTTATATTATTAACAAATGCTATTCATGGAATCAGAAGTTCTATTTTGAATTACATTTTAAAGGTTTTAAATATATTTGAAGTTTTTAAAAATTCTATTTATGGGTAGATGTCTGTATGCATGTACGTATACACATATGGGAGTACATTTTGCCTCCATGCCTCTTTTCTTTATTAAACAAATTTGTAAATTTGTTAAAGCTGAAGGCATTGTTTTAACAAATGTTATTTAGTGTTTAAAATCATATTTATTGTGTAATATGGTTATTTACATTTTACCTTTATTTTGAACTCTTCATTTTAGGATTTCTTAAATTTTTTGTCTGCATTCCACAGTGAGTTAGTACACTCACATGTATATGTTTATATGTTATTTGTATACACATATAAATATGTGTGAATATATATGTGTATATGCATGTATATGTGTGTAAATGTATATAAAAAAAAATTTCACAAAACAAAATCTACCCTTACCAAGTGTGATGCATTCTGGTATTTCTATTCCATTCTATTACCTCATTTGTATAAAATTTATATTAATTTCCAGACTCACCAATGGGTCATGACCCGGAGTTTGGAAAATACTGCTTTACCAAGCCCTTTGCAAAATTTCATAATTGTATTAAAGTAAATAAAATATTATAGGGCAATAATATGGGTATGATTTTAAATGATTCAAGGAAATAAAAGGTTGCTAATAAAAGGACTCTATATTTTACTTACATTAGTTATGATAACTGTTGTTATATTATCATATTCTGAAGAATATTAACTTTTTAAAGAGGAAGACAGACATGCAATCCCTTCTTTGCTTTTTAAAGAACATTTTTTGCAACTTTTCAAACTTAAAAATTAAGCTACTTCCTTCCTTTAAGCTTCCTATACCCCATCCAATTTTTTTTAAAGAAAAGATAATGAGGCTCATGCCTGTAATCTCAGCACTTTTGGAGGCTGAGATGGGCGGATCACAAGGTCAGGAGTTTGAGACTAGCCTGACCAATACGGTGAAACCCCGTCTCTACTAAAAATACAAAAATTAGCTGGGCATGGTGGCACACGCCTGTAATTCCAGCTACTCAAGAGGCCGAGGCAGGAGAATCGCTTGAACCCCGGAGAGGGAGGTTGCAGTGAGCCGAGATTGCACCACTGGACTCCAGCCTGGGCAACAGAGCACAGAATTAAAAGTCTGGTTTTAGAACAAGCTCACTTGAGACTATTCTAAGAAGGCCATATGCAGCAGGAGGATGAATGCAGATTCAGGCTCTGGACACTTGATGGTTCCTTAAAATGGATGTGTAAATTTAACATTTAAGATAGGGTCGGATATTAATTACCAAAAAAAGGGTAATTATTTAAAGAAACTTTGTGGTGATTACATCTGTGAAAATGAAGAATCATTCTGTAATGTGAATCCTGACTCTAATTCAGAGGTCCTTCACTCACTAATTAAAACTGATGGACTGGTCAGAACCCAGTAGATCCCATGTATTCCAACTTAACACGTATGGTTTATAAGTATAAATTTTTGCATATTGAGCTGGATTAAAATAGGGGCCTATCCATACCTTTTCTTGATGCTGCCTGCAGAGTTTACAAATTGAGACTGAGAAATATATATTTCAAAACTCCACACATGACAGTATAGATTCCCTGGACAGCAAAACAGACTGTTCTAATAAGAATGACCCTTTGAGAATCTCCTTTTTGGACTGGCCCCTTCCTCAGTGGCAGGTGGGGTAGAAGCACTGCACAAACTTCTCCCCAACCAAGAGCAGGGAATTCTGAGTACACGATTCTCAATATGCCGTTCCACCCCCATTCCCACCTGGCTTTCTTCATATTGCCTCACCTGAATTGCCCACCATACTCAGTTGTAAGTGCCTGCTGACTTCTGCCTCCTGTGGTAGATTGTGGGTGGCAGAGGCCAGGCAGGGTGCTATCCTGTTCGATGTTGCGTCCCTACCCTAACACAGTTACTGGGCACATTTTCTGGTCACTCCATAACAATGTGTTGAGGGAAGGAATAGATAAGTAAATGAATGTTAAATTAATCACCACTTTAACTAGTAGACCCATCCCAGAGTCAGCTTTCTCCTTACACCTTGCCCAGTGTGAAGCAGGTGCCAAGTACTCTTCAGGGAGCTTACTTCCCGGGCCCTCCCACCAGTGTCTGATGACAGCTACAGCTCTGTGGGAAGGACCCTGGGCATCTTGGAGGGGTTGGAAACTGCTGACCCACGCATTTGGAAAACCCAGAAATAGCAGAGCTGGTGGTACCCAGGGTCTGAAAAAAATATTCAGATGTCAGTTTTTGGCTTATCTTCCTCCAAACCTTTTGCAACAAGTATTTCACTGATAAAATGTGAGGGAGGGAGGTAATATTTTACAGGTAAATTGCTATGGACAGCATGGTCCAAAGTATATAGTAAGCGTTCCATAAATATTTGCTCAGTGGAGGTACAAACTGGGAGAATCCAGTCCCCATATACTAATCATCCTCCTTCAGGTATTTGGAAGGAGTACCTGAACCAGGTGGATGCAAATGGCACTTGCCGTCACTGTCCTAAGTATTAGTTTGAACCACATGAAATTGTCATTTAGTAGGTCAAAAATGTTCAAATATCAGCAATTTCATACAGTTCAAAATGTTACAGGTTGAAATGTGCTGCCTCATCACTAGAAACAAGTCAAGGCTGAATCCTGCTGATAATAAAAAGTCCAAATCGTAAAGCAGGACATTAGCAGCCTTTTGGGAGAACAAAGGACCAAAGCAAACATGAAGGATACACAATTGCCCTTGGTCAGTTCTTCGTAAAGTGCATTCTAAGCCATTTTATGAGGAAAAAAGAAAAGGACTCATTTGGGAAATGCTGCAAACCACATCTTTTTCCTAGAGTTTCAAAATGTGAATTAAAGGCTGGGCATGGTGGCTCACACCTGTAATCCCAGCACATTGGGAGGCTGAGGCGGTCGGATCACCTGAGGTCAGGAGTTCAAAGCCAGCCTGGCCAGCATGGTGAAACCCTGTCTCTACTAAAAAAAGAAACAAAAAATTAGCTGGGCATGGTGGCACATGTCTGTAATCCCAGCTACTTGGGAGGCTGAGCCAGGAGAATCACTTGAACCTGGGAGGTGGAGGTTGCAGTGAGCCGAGATCGTGCCTTTGCAGTCCAGCCTGGGTGATAGAGTGAGACTCTGTCTCAAAAAAAAAAAAAAAAAAAAAAAAAAAGTGAATTGAAATTGAAGTATATATTAGCGTATCAAAGAATCTGAGTGTATATACAATAAAGAAAGTCATTTAATGATATTTAATCCAGGGCATTCTAAATTTATTTGACTAGTGAAACCTTATTTGAAGATAATGCCTACTCTCACAGTTAACAGTTTGGGACTACCAGGACCTACTTCTGCCCCATGATCCAAGTGCCTCTACCCCTTTCAATCCTGACTTCTTAGGCCTAAACATACTACACATTTAACCCCATCTGAGACATAGAGGCCCTTGACAGAGGTCCATTTCTACTCTTTCTTGCTGTTTCCTCATAATGTAAAAAGGGTAGAATCTCAGGCTACTCCACGTGTCAATCAATACACAGGTTGCATTCTATAGATACAGTATTCAGTTTGTGCATATTTCACACTGCTATCAGCCCAGTGTTCATGTATTTTAGTGAATAATAGTGGGGATAATTTGGGGAATAACAAGACCTACCATTTATTATACATTTACCATGTGCTTTTCACACTGCACTGTGTCTTAACATTTCGAATATCTCTCATGTGTATTACATTCCTCACAATGAGCCAGGGAAGTGGGTATTTTTTTCCCTATTGTACAGACAATTATTAGTGCCCCTAAGATGTCAAGTTTGTGACCCAAAGTCCATAGAGGGATTAAATGATACCAGTTCCTATGCTTCTTCCACCACATTAATAAAGGCCGATACGTGTATAATGCTTACTGTGAACCAGGCACCAAATTCTAACTCATTTGGCTCATAATAAAACAATGTAGGTACTATTAGTATTCCCATTTTCAACTGGGGAAACAGAGGCTGAAGAAGTTAACCAATCTGCTTAAAGTCACACACAGCTAGAAAAAGGCAGGGCTGGAATTTAGACTACTACTGAATAGTGAGTGGTTCTACAATAAATTAAGGCAGTTAACCATGTTTAAACCAAGACTTTCCAAGCCTATTTGACTAGGTAATCATTATTTGTAGGGCATGCCTATTACCACAGCTAACAATTTTGGAGAATGCAATTTGGGAATCACCAAACCAACTTCCTCCCGTTGATCCAGGCACCTCCAGCTCCCAATCCAGAGTTCATGCCTTTTTATTCTACCTGCTGTCTTAGAGACCCCATAGTCTGTTTTCTGCCTGTCTCCTGGTTGCAGAGGCTACGTGTCAAGACCTGTCCATCTGCACTCTTGATTCTCTCTAAGTGCCTTATAATGTGACCAAATCAATATAACACATTTGTAAAGGCTAATGTAAATTATTTCAGAATATAAAGTGAATTTTTCCTCTAACATCCCTATAAAGAAAAACAATCTTTTGTGCTTTCAGTAACTAAAAAACCTAGAAGTCTCTAGTATTACAAAGCTATGAATTACAATGTGAGTATCAAATTCTATGAAGGTTTTCTAAAAGAATTGAGTTCAACACAAGTCACCTTCAGTTTCACCACGTTTGCGATGAATAAAATCTAACATTTATTGCATGTTTATTATGGACCAGGCACTCTGCCATGTGCTTTACCTAGATTATCTTATTTCACAACAACTTATGAGTTGGATGCTGTTGTTACTCCCATCTTATAGAAGGCACTAGGATTTTAAGTAACTTGCCCAAGACCACACAGCTATCTAGCAAATGGTGGAGCAGCATATGAAGGGGAGAATCCCTCTTTTAAGTGTCTTCTGCCACTTTAGATGCTAACTCTGGGGTTCACAGAGCAAAGCCAAAATGAGCCCCCAGGTTTTAACAAAGTGATCATTTGCTTTTTGCAACCCTTCATTAGAAAGTATATGACATCTACCAAATGGGCATCCTTGGGGAAGCTTCAAAATCTGTCAACTGGAAATAAGATTCTAGAGGGGAAACCCTAAAACCTTTAATTGCTCCAAGATGATACGCTGGTTTGGCAGATCTGGCTCAACTTAAAAGGAAGTTTTTTTGGAAGGTATAACTAGCATTAAAGAAACATGATTCTTGTTCTCATACTTATAAAATCATAGTTGTCATTTCTAGGTTTGCTGAAGACTTGGTTTTATAATCTTTTACTAAACTGGAGAAAACTCACTTAGGTACATTCTGCACTTTTTGTCCCTTCACCAAAGAACCTCATAGGGTCTTAAATATTTTTAAGTTACTCAAGACACCAAGTATTAATTTTCACCGTGTAGACATTAGAGGGAAAATCTCTTTATATACTAAAATAATTTATTTTACATTAACCTTTACAAATTGCTACATTGATTTGGTTATATTAAAAGGCTTTAAGAGAAAATCAAAATTGCGTTAAGAAAGTATTTTTTTTCTCTTCTTTTCTTTTTTCAATTGAGATGGGGTCTCACTATATTGTCCAGGGTGGCCTCAAACTATCCTCCCACCCTGGCCTCCTAAAGTGTGATTACAAGCATGAGCCACCACACCCAGCCAAGAAAGTATTATAAAATCTAAAGTAACTGGAGCTTCAATTAGTTTACTGTTTTCTTAGAAATACAAGTACAGATGGATTTTCAAGGAGGTAAAAGAGATGAAAACAGAAGGTAAAAATGATAATTTAATGAGGCAAAGAGGTGAACTTGAGAATTTGCACCTAAAGACAAGCTTAAAAAAAACAGAATAAATAATCCTGGGAGGCTGTACAAGAACAAAGCCTTAGAGTCCCATAGCATGGGCTCACTAATTAGATATGTGACCTAGTGCAAGATACCTATTCTGCCCTACTTGGCTCCTTCCTATTTAAATGAGCTTGCTAATAAGACCTACCTCATAAGGTTGCTTGCTGTGAAAATTAAATAAGACAATGTGCAAAAAGCCCTTAGGACAATGTCTGGTAAGTGTTCAATAACTGTTAGCTATTAAAAGCAGAAAATGTCATTATGGCTGCATATTTGGATGGCGGTGGAGAAGGTAAATTAAACAAAGGTAAGTTAAAACAAAACGTGGGCAATGATAGGTCTGCTGAGGCATTAATACTAGAACTGACACCTTGTAGGTGCTTAGTAAATATTGAATGAGTGAATGAATCAGTCAATCAATCAATCAGTGAATGAATCAATGAAAGGAGTCACAGGAAGAAAAACTTACTCTTAGAAAAGCTCAATTCTTTGCATTCTACAGGCTCCGTAATCTCCCCTAATCTATCCATAAGACAGAAGTTATCTGCCACAATTCAGAATAGCCTTTCCATGTCTCATGTAGCATCTCACGTCAGTGCAGTAAATTTGTAACTTCTTGCAAAAACTACCCTAAAATATACACAAAGACACCATGAACTTATAAACAAGAACTCTAACTTGAAGTGACCTCACCATGAGGATAGGAGAAAAAGATGTTTAAAGATGAAGTAATATTTAACACATCCCTTATTTCTGCCTAAATAGTGTGATTTGAAATGTCTGAGTGTTGTGTGAAAAAAAAGTATATATATATACACACACATACTTTTTTGAAAAATATAACTATAAAAGAAAAGAGAGTGTGTTGAGTGAGGAAGTTGAAATGAGAAGCCAAGATATTAGTTATTTTTCTGCCACTAGGAGAGGTATCATTATTCTATGTTCCTTCCATTCAGCTATGTACCTTCAGAAATTACTTTCAGCTTCTTTCCAATTCTGAATCATGAGTAAAATCACAAACACGTTCAATAACAATATGTTCCTCTTGCATAAATGTCTCTTCTAGGCCACATACATAATTAAAATCCTGTTGACTCAGGAATAACATCTCAGAACTGAATGTCCAAACTCTGTAACTTGCTTCCTTTTCTAACCAGACAGCACAGCTGCCAAGAGCTTCTGGGCCCTCTGCCTCTTTTCTCCATGTATAATTATTATATATTATATAGCATATATTTGATTTGCCAAAGCCTCCCAGTAAAGGTTCCTGTGACTACTTATTTGAACTTTGTTGTGTATACACGTGACCAAAAACACAGTGTACCAAAGAAAAAGAAGAAAAGGAGGTGGCGTGGGAGTGGATGTGCTTAGCAATTCTTTTTTTTTTTCCCGTGGAAATGAGATGAAAGTCTTAAGGCAAACGAATATACACTGCTTTGTAAAGCAAAATTCACTTAAGGTGAAAGGATATTTTAAAAATTAGTGATACCATTACGTAATTCAAATCCTTGGTTTACAACATTTGAAATGAGAAAATCGATGTTAAAATTCTTCAAAATATACGTGGGGCATAAAATAAAACACTTTGGCTTTCTTTCACCTTTGGGCAGCACCAGATTTAAACCAGACATGAAAATCTATCGTATTTTTAAAGATCTCTAGAGAAAGAAGTTGCACAATGCTTCTTAGGAAGTTGTTCCAATATTCCTCCCAGTCATAAAACTCTTACATTCTAACCTAAATCCCGCACGTTCTAGTTTCAGCCCATTTCCCTTTGCTCTGCCTAAGTATGATTGGAGAACAGTTGCTCACTTACCAAACCAACGTTATGAGACTATCCCCAGTGTTGTATATATGTTTCAGCAATGGAAATTAAACACATAGCCCACAGTTGCCTGGATCTCTTCTATTCCTTCAAAAATATATAGATATGATATTGGCTCTTTTTCAGTTTTCTGAAAGTTCTCCATTCTTCTGCAAATTTTCAGAGAAATCTGCCCATCTTTTAAAGCATTTCTCCAGGCAACAAAAGCAAAAGTAGAAAATGGGATTACATCAAACTAAAAAGCAAAGCACAGCAAAGGAAATTATTAACAAAGTAAAGACACTACCTATAGAAGGGAAGAAAACGTTTGCAAACTCCACATCTGGCAAGATGTTAATATTCAGATACGTAAGAACTTAGCTCAACAGCAAAAAAGTCCAAATAACCCAATTTTTAAGATGGGCAAAAGGCATTAATAAACATTTCTCGAAAGAAGACATACAAACGGACAACAGGTGAATGAAGAAATGCTCAGCATCAGTAATCATCAGGGAAGTCCAAATCAAAACCACGAGGCCGGGTGTGGTGGCTTGTGCTTGTAATCCCATCACTTTGGGAGGCTAAGTTGGGCGGATCACCTGAGCTCAGGAGTTTGAGACCAGCCTGGGCAACATGGCGAAACCTTAGCTAGGCATGGTGGCACGTGCCTGTAATCCCAGCTACTTGGAAGGCTGAGGGATGAGAATTGCTTGAACCCAGGAGGCAGAGGTTGCAGTGAACGGAGATTGCATCACTGTACTTCAGACTGGGTGACAAAGTGAATCTCTGTCTCAAATAAAAATAAAAAAATAATAAAAATTAAAAAGCCTGCTGGGTGCGGTGGCTCACACCTGTAATCCCAGCACTTTGGGAGGTGGAGGTGGGTGGATCACGAGGTCAGGAGATCGAGACCATCCTGGCCAACATGGTGAAACCCCGTCTCTACTAAATATACAAAAATTAGCTGGGTGTGGGGGCACATGCCTGTAATCCCAGCTACTTGGAAGGCTGAGGCAGGAGAATCGCTTGAACCCGGGAGGCGAAGGTTGCAGTGAGCCGAGATCACGCCAATGCACTCCAGCCTGGCAACAGAGCAAGATTCCTTCTCAAAACAAACAAACAAAGCAAAACAAACAAACAAATGAACAAAAAAACACACACACAATGAGATACTACTCATTCCAGTTAAAATGGCTATTACCAGAAAGACAAAAGAAAACAGTGTTGGTAAGGATGTGGAGAAAAGGGAACATTTACACACTTGGTGGGATCCTAAACTAGTACAGTCATTATAGGAAAACAATATGGAAGTTCCTCTGAAAATTAAAAAGAAAATTACCATACGATCCAGAAATCCCACTACTGGGTATTATTCAAAGGAAATGAAATCAGTTATGATGAAGAGATATCTGTACTCCCGTGTTTATGGCAACACTATTTACAATAGTCAAGTTATGAAATCAACCTATGTCAAACAACAGATGAATAGATAAAGAAAATGTGGCATATATATATATATATATATATATATATATATATATACGTATATACATACACACAGTGTGTATGTATATATATATACACAGTGGAATACTATTCAGTCACAAGCAAGAATAGCCGAGTGCAGTGGCTCATGCCTGTAATCTCAACACTTTGGGAGGCTGAGGTGGGCATATTGCTTGAGCTCAGGAGTTCGTGACCAACCTGGCAAAACCTCATCTCTACAAAAAAATACAAAAAATTAGCTGGGCATGGTGACATGCACGTGTAGTCCCAGTTACTCAGGAGGTTGAGGTCGGAGGATCACTTGAGCCTGTGAGGTGGAGGTTGCAGTGAGCTGAGATTGCACCACTGCACTCCAGCCTAGGTGACAGAGTGAGGACCTGTCTCAAAAATAATAATAATAATAAAAAAAAATCCTGTAACATGCAACAACATGAATGAACCTGAAGCACATCATATTAAGTGAAATAAGCCAGACACAGAAAAACAAATACTGTGTGATCTCACTCACATGTGGAATCTGAAAAAAAAAAAAGATTGCTATCACAGAAGCAGAGAGTAGAACAGTGTTTATCAGACACTGGGGAGGGGAGATTGGTCAACAGTCACAAAATTACAATTAGGAAGAATAAGTTCTGGTGTTCTATTGCAGGGTAGGAATAACTGTGCAATAGTTACTAGTAATAGCAATAAGTTCCCTACTTATACTAAGTTTTCTAACTAATTTCAAACAAACAGTAATCATTAAACTTTAAAGTACATTAGAGAATTAGGGAAGCTTCTTAAAAATAAGATGCCCAAGTTTTGACCCAGACTCAGTAAATTATAATCTTTAGGACTCTGGCATATTTTAATTGTTCTCATTTACAAGTATTAATTCTATTTAGTTAATAAGTGCACTTTAAAAGTTATTAAAATCATTATAAAAACAGAAACAAAAAACCAAAAAACAAAAAAACCCACTAAGCAGATAAGTGTTCTCTTTGTCCTTGGTAAAGCCAATTCTGCTTTTACACTTAAAACCCACACATTAACAGTCAGGCATTCAGGGTGTACTGAATGTAGACATCACAATCCTCATCAGCAGGAAAATAAAAACCATACCTGATCTGTTCCTACAAGTTTCCCACACTAGAACTAAATGCACTGCCAACAGGCTATTGATGTATAATACATTATCACATGAAAATGTGATTACGACAAATACAAGACTGCCACTGTCTGCAAGTATATAATGCATTCAACATAAGTTATGCAGGAACTTTCTCAAAATTTAAGCTGGTTTTAGTGGACATGAGCTCATTCAAGGACCCTGAATGGTATGGTATGGAAAGAAATAATTACTGCATAAAATAACATGAAAAGAGAAACATCAGGATAGTACCAAAAGCTGAGAAGTGGGAAAGTTCTATGTGAGAGGTGGCAGCACCTTTTCCAAGAAACTTCAAGGTGAATCAGGCTAAGTCTGTACTCAGATCCTAAACCATATGGTATCATTATTATTAGTGTTGGATTGCCCTAAAAGGGGAACACCCGGGGGCCTACCTCAATGATTTGCCCAGGTGGGCTCAGTTTCATTTCTTTCTCTGACATTCTCAAGCATCAGTGCTGGATTACCCTAAGGGGCTTCCTCAGATCGCCTGTGCTGTGCATTTTCCCAAAAGTTCACAGGCAAGAGAGGGAAAAAAAAAAGAACAACTCAAAGCTACTAAAGCAACCGCAGAAATGCAGGTCAAAATGAAAAGGCTCTGAAATTGCTGAGAAAGGAAAGAAGTGAAAGCAGCAAAAAGATGGCAGTCAAATGCCAAGAGAGATTCAAGGGCAACTCAGGTGTGTAAAGAAAGAGGTTTCTGTTCCTACCAATTTGTGTTTATGCTCACAAATGTGTGCCTGCGGGATCAATTATACTCTACACTGTTGGCCAGCTTTTCTTTTCTCTTTGGAGAAACGTTCCAAACGTTCAAATCCTTCTTTTTCTGGTCCCCCTACTTCTTTTCAATGAGTTATCTACAGCATGTTGTTTTCCTCTAGAGTTTCCATTCTTCAACCTCTTGTCTTTTCCCCCACTATTCCCTTCCTTTAAAAATCTTATCTGCAGCCAAGGCTTCAATTACCATCTAAATGAAAATGACTCTAATATTACATGTTTAGTTCCATCTCTTTCTCAGAATGAAGTTACAGATTTCTTTTTCTTTCTTTTCTTTTCTTTTTTTTTTTGAAACAGAGTTTTGCTCTTGTCACCCAGGCTGGAGTGCAACGGCACAGTCTTGGCTCACTGCAACCTCCACCTCCAGGGTTCAAACGATTCTCCTGCCTCAGCCTCCCATGTAGCTGGGATGACAGGCTCCCGCCACCATACTCAGCTAATTTCTGTATTTTTAGTAGAGATGGGGTCTCACCATGTTGGCCAGGCTGGCCTCAAACTCCTGAGCTCAGGTGATCCGCCTTTCTCGGCCTCCCAAAGTGGATTACAGGCGGGAGCCACCGCGCCTTGCCAAAGTTACAGATTTCTAAATGCCTCCTGGATAATCTCCATCTGGAGTTGGATTCAGTGTTTCCCAGATCAAACATATCCATTTCCTTCCACAATTGTTTCTTTTCCCGTACCTTTGACTTCGGTTAATAGCACAGTTCTCTCAATCATATCCACTTCTCCCTTTTCTGTACCGTATCAGCTGGCAGGCCCTGTCAACAGCACCCCTAAGGGAAAGCTGGGCCATTCACTTTCATAAGTTCTCCCCCTCAATTACCCCTCATTAACTCTTTTCCAGACTATTGTAGTAGTGTCCCAGATAGGTTCCATCCCTCGATCAATTCTTTACATTACTGGCAGGTGATTTTAATGACCCAGTTTGATTTGCCTTTCTTCTTTTTGAAATCCTTCAATAGTTCTCCATTGCCTGTCAAACTTAATTCAACTCTCTTTCTATAAAAATAATAACTTTATTGAGCCCACTATGTGACCAGTGCTTTACATATATAATTTTACTTATTTCTCCAAAAAGCTTATAAAGTAGGTATTATACCATATCCTTGAAAATGAAATCAATTTTATAACTATGAAATATTAAAATATTTCTATCAATTATGAATATTCCATTGATTCAATAATCTCTTTTTAATAAAAAATTATTACATTAAATATACATGCTAAGATTTTTCTTGATTTAAAAAACACTAAAATGAGAAAAAAATAATGTGAATCTTAGAAACTAGTAAATAGAGTATCATCCCCATTTTAAACTAAGTCAACAATCTTTCCAATATACTATATTCCCTTTTCCTTTGACCTGGGGTTACACCTTTTAGTCTTATTTCCCTATCTTCCTCTTTATGTTCCTTACATTTACCCAGCCCTGGGCCTTGGCGTTGATTTCTGCTGTGCCTGGACTATGAATTCCTCCTTACTCTACATGCCCAAAGACAACCAGGTTTCAAAGCCCAGCACAACACCCACTCCTTTGTTAACTCTTTCCTGATTCCCCAAATTAAAATGACCTCTTATTCCTCTGAACTACCATACATTTTGCACTCTTGTATGAAACTACTCTTTGTATCTTGTGCTAGGGTTACGTATACGCTTTCTCTCCATTAGAGTATGCTTCTTCAAGACCTAGACTATAATTCACACATCTTTGTACAACTACCTCCAATGCTTTCCTCCTATCCCCACCATAAAGCCCAGCAACTTCTTGCATGTAACCGGCTCTTTAAAAATATTTATCATTTGGCCAGGTGCAGTGACTCACGCCTGTAATCCCAGCACTTTGGGAGGCTGAGGTGGGTGGATCACTTGAGGTCAGGAGTTCAAGACCAGCCTGGCCAACATGGTGAAGCCCTGTCTCTACTAAAAAAATACAGAAATTAGCTGGGCGTGGTGGTGCATGCCTGTAATCCCAGCTACTTGGGAGGCTGAGGCAGGAGAATTGCTTAAGCCTGGGAGGCAGAGGTTGCAGTGAGCCAAGATCGTGCTACTGCACTCCAGCCTGGGTGAAAGAGCGAGACTCAGTATCTAAAAAAAAAAAAAAAAAAAAAAATGTATATCTATATCTATATCTGTATCTATATCTATCATTTGGATGACTAATCAGAACACATTGAATGGTTTTTCTCTATTATTCATTATGACCAAATGAATACCAGTTATTGTCACGTCACCAAGCATGTCACCACTATTCAGCCAAGAATTGAGATGTCGTGTTTCAAGAGACGTTCATTCTCCTGCCATGATCCAGTCACAACTGATGGGCCTGCATAGTAGCACTTTTCTAAGTGATAGCCTTTATATTTCTTTAGAACCAAAACTTATTTGAAGGTTCTCTGTAAGCACTTAGGCTAAGCACACCTTGCTTTAAAAAATATAAAATCCTTCGAAACAACAAATGGAGGAAATGTCCTGTGTGCTAAAATGGAAATTGTTTTGTCATTTTGTTCTTGCTACTGCCTGGAAGAGAAGGAGTTGCTGGAACCCTAAATATGTCTTGGCCCTGGCCCTAGTATTTCATAGGAAACTGTTATTTTTTTAAAAAAGTACTTCTCAGGTATTGCAACTTCAGACATTAGTAAATGATGCTGTGTTGGGTTTTTGCTTGTTCATGTGTTTGTTTATGTTTTATAGGTTATAGCAAAATCCTGTGGTGATCTATCACTAAAACCCTTCATTTGGGTGGTAGAGTTCACAGAAATTTTTAAACACTTTGCTACAGACTGAATATTGTGTCCCCGTAGAATTCATTTGTAGAAACCTAATTCCCAATGTGATGGTATATGGAGGTGGGACCTTTGGGAGATGATTAGATCATGAAGTTGGAGCCCTCATAAATCAGATTAGGGTCCTGGTAAAAGAGACCTCAGAGAGCTCCTTTGCTTCTTCAGCCACGCAAGGACAAAGTGAGAAGATGGCCATCTATGAACCAGGAAGCAGGGTATCACCACATATTGAATCTTCTGGCATCTTGATCTTGGACTTCCCAGCTTTCAGGACTGTGAGAAATAAATGTATGTTGTTGATAGCACTCAGTCTATGATATTTTTGTTATAGCAGCCTGAATGGACTAAAACATATGTTTTCTCATTTAGTCCTCAAAACAACTTCTTGATGTGGATATTAATATGTAAACTTTGCAAATGAATAAACTGAGGCTGAGAATTATTGAAAAATCCTTTCACCTAAGGTCATATAGCTAATAAATGGCAGAGGTTGGATTTTAATCCAGATTTTCTTACTTCAGGGCCTGAACACTGTCTATAATACAACATGGGAATGCCTATAAGAAGCTGGTGTTTTCAAGTATGGGGCCATTCATAGAAGAGTCTGACAAACTGCTGTTGTGTCATGATCTTTGAAAAGACACCAAGAGTGAATATTCCTGAAAGGCGGCAGCTCAGACATGCATAGAATCTATGTGATTTTAAAATGTTTCCTCAGCCTGTTACTGATCAGATTCTAAGGAAATCAGTATTCTCTAGCCCCTCAAACCTCTTCTCCAACTTCTCCTATTTCCAGATATCTGGCTAGGAATTTCTGTCACAAGAAAACGAGGTTTGTATCACCTCATATCTCAATTTCTAAAAATTTCCCAACACCATAAATGGTGATAAAATGTGAGGGTTCAAGAGCTACTTGGAAGGTTTTCCAGTCTTTTTAAGGGAAGAGCCTTCTGTCTATTCAGACCCTTAACCTATGTATTGGTTTATAAAAAGCTACCCACAAACAGGGAGAAAGTGATGGCACCAATATTCAGATCCACCTTGTCCAACCCAAATACACTTTCACACATATGACCTCCTGTCATTTTCCATTCTCTTTCCACTATGGTTAGTATTGTTATTGGCCCATAATGTCAAAGAAACACAGGTTTTTAAACCACATCAAGGAAATCTTTGAAACAAACCTATGTTGGTTGGCTAACACTGGGCGATTTCACAAAAATTTGTACAATATTATGTTTCCTTTTTATAATGACGTGCAGAGATGGACATCATTATCTCAGTTTCATGAAGGAGGAGACTGAGGTTCAGTAAGGTGAAGTAACTCGCCCAAGATCACATAGCCAGAAAGTGGAATCCAAAGTCTGTTTTCCTTCAAAGTCAATGCTTTTAATGATTCTACTATACTGCTTCTCAGATCTTTTTTTATATGATATTAACATGCAGATGAAGTCCAATATTATGTATCCCCAGGTTATGTTCACAAGGAGCCAGGAGGTATAACAAAAGACAAAAATGATTCAACCCTTCCATTGGTTTCTATTTCCTCTCTCATCTCAAGAATTACTGTTAGTTAAATTCTCAGTCACAACTATCTATATACATGTTCAACACATTGAAATTTTTAAAATTTCAAACATTTTGTTGTTTTGAAGAGAACAACAACTGCTGTACAACATGCACGGAGAATGCTGGGATCCAGCCGGGTGGTAGGCTTCACCTAGACTGGTAAGAGGCAGACTTGCTCACAGTGAACACAGGAAACAAGCAACTGCCTCCAACCCTGTTTTCCATCAATTCCTGTGGCTCTGGACCAATGACAAAAGTTGATCACTTCAAGGAAACATTTCCACAGCAGCATGCAATTTTGATATCTGGTAATTTCCGCAATGGTTTAGACAGGTTAAAGAAAGGAGAACACTTAAAGAAAGGAGAAACACAAGCACTTAAATTGGTCATGATAAAACTGGACAATGGCAGGCATAGCTATTCTGTCTGGGCAGCATGGCACCATCTTTGTACTAGAATACTTGTTTAAGTAATTATTAGAATAATTTGATGGGTTTTATCCATATACATCTATAAAAGTGGGGCTGAAAATAAATTCTGATACTGTTGATGAGAAGGGTTAGTTTCATAAACTTAACACAATTAAGATGAACATGGAAAACAGCGGGCAAGCCAAAAGCAGATAAACTTTTGCTTCAATTGGATGATGGTTGGATGTCAGCCAGTATTTCATGGGTCTAGTGGTGAAAGGAAAGCATTAAAGAACAAAGACAATGCTGGAAATACATGATTAAAGACTACCTCTAAAAACATGATGTATTTAGGGATTTTATAGTATTTTTGGTTCATTGGTACTAGAACTCCATTTACAATTATTTGGTTCTTGCAGGTTTGTTCATATTTTCAAGAATGCATTATGCACTGATGTACATAGAAAACTGCCTGTACCTAGTTGTTTTGTCTCTATCCTTATTCATTTAAGCTAAACAAACAAATTGGATGTCAGAATGATGAACACTGTAGAATAAGCAAATGAAAAACAAAACAACTTTAGATTCAGGAGCTGGGGCAAGCATCCAGATCTCTGTACAGGGAAGAGCTGAGGTTAATGCAGCTGCAAAAAACTAGGCACATGCACGTGGCATTGCTTGACAGACAGGAAGCCTTTCCAGGGTTTCCAAATTCTTTCAGATGTTTTGGGGAATAGTTAAAGGCACTAGATACATGAATTGAATTGCATTTAACTCTACATTTTAAAGAACAGCTAAATAAAAACTCCCAGAGCACAATGTCTATTCCCATCCCCAGGAATTTCTTGAGCTGGGAAGAATGCCTGCCAGTGAATGCCTAACTCTGTCCTCAGTTTACAGTCACAGTTTTTCTCTTCACTCAGACACCCAGAAGGCTTCTCTTAGGTGTGGTTTCATCCAGCCAGCCCTACCTATCTTAATCAGACTGACTTCCCCAGTACTAAATAAAGTGGAGAGGAAATTTCTACCCACCCACTCATCAGAGACTATAAGACCCAACTCACATCCTGCAAGCCTCAGGATGGAACACGACTCCTTTTAACTACCTGGGCACAGTAGCTGACTATCAGGAAACTGCTCGTGGCCTCCACACATTGCCACACTATTTACACAGCTGATGGAAGTTTGCCCTGGTTGAGGAATTTGGCTCTAGAGGAGTCCCCTTAAAATTCCCAAAGGGCCTATTCACCCTGTCACACCCGCACAGATGCCTGTGAAGATAGCAACAGTGGGGTTCATTTTCTAACTCCTTCTGTACACAGTTATAACTCAACATGTTTATTTAAAAGTGGGGGGTTGGAGAAGAGCTAGGGGAGCTGCAAAATCTAACATTATATGAGATATTTTCAAGAAATATTTTGAGCAAAGTCAACAACCCCCTTGCCCTGCCTCTCAGACATTCCTCAGCTTCATTCAGCAACCCAAACTCTGCCCTCCATACTCACAGGCATGAAGCAGAGCCAGGACGTGACTCCCAACAGAAAATGAGCCTTTCTAAGGCAGAGGGAAAGAAGCTGAAAGAGTCAACCAACTCTCAAAGCACAGAGGGAGAAGCAGCAAAGCAGAGGGTCAACATTCTTCTCCTTTAATAATTTAAAGCCCTGCTATTAGCAGAGGAAAAGAAAATATCAGACACATGATTGTATCATGACAATAAGGCACAGCAGAGGTGATAAGATGAAGGGAGTAATTTCCTGAAGCCCTTCTCGCTTTTTTAAAGATAAGGATCAATTCTTATTCTTTCAACTATTAAAACATGATAGAAATGGCAATAAGCTATTAATTTTGCAATTGCAGTGGCAGGCCCATCCTGGCAGCAGTGGGGCCTGCTTTCTCTAGCTGTGAATGACCTCTTTCACTAGGAAAACTGTTCAGGAAACAGCTCTGCATTTGGAAAGAGGTGTATATGAGAGGCAAATATATATCCAAAATGTTCCCTTTCTTAATTTCCTTCCCCTCCTCCTAATTTTCTCCTAGCCCAAATAATTAATCTTCTTGTGTTAGCCAAATAAATTCCATTTAAATTAGTTCGTTCTAAAGGAGAAGAAGAGGCAGAAATGGTGGAGAAGGTGGGAGGAGGAGGAGATGCAGAGGGAGGAGGGGGGAGAAGAAGAAACTGATCTTCCCATGTATTGCCTACTTCTTTCCTTCTGAGGAGGCAAAAGTCTAACCTCAAGTGTGTAGGTTTTGGTGCCAAACTCCCTGAGTTTGACTTGGATTCTGCCAAATGACTATGTGACTTTGGATAAAGCACTGGCATGTCAACTTTCTTATTTGTATCAATGTTCCTGCTCGTAAAATGGGAGCAACAATAGTCCCAAACTTCTGCGGTGGTTGTGAAGATTGAACATAACACACCTTGAATAATATCTAAAACAAAGTAAATGCTGAGTACAAGTTTATGACTACTATTTGCTATGATTTGAATGTGTCTCCAAAAAAAAAAAAACATGCGTTGGAAACTTAATTGCCATTGCAGAAGTATTAAGAAGTGGGACCTTTAAGAGGTGATTAGGCCATGGCAACTCTGCCCTCATGAATGGATTAATGCCGTTTTCTCAGGAGTTATCTTGGGAGTGGGTTCCTTATAAAAGGACAAGCATGGCCTCCTTTTGTCTCTCTAGCCCTCTCACCTTCTACCATGGGATGATACAGCAAAAAGTCACTGGCCAGATGTGACTTCGGTATTGATATTGAAATTCTCAGCCTTCAGAACTGTGAGCTAGTAAATTTCTGTTCATTATAAATTCCCCAGCTTGTGGTGGTGTTACAGCAGCACAAAATGAACTAAGACATTATTGTTGGCTCCTCCATCTCTAAACTGTCAGATTCAAGGCAGATCATGCAAGAACAGAAGGCAAACAACACTAACTAGAGATAAAAGTCACATACAGAAGAGCTCTAAATCCTTACTAGAACAGAAGCAAATGGAAGTAAATACAGTCACTCTTTTATTAAAAATCTAAATATGATATTAAACTGGTAATTACTTATAGGCTTATGATTTGTAAGAGGTGGGGAGAAAATGGTCTTTCTGTATACATGACAATAGGCAGAGCTTTATTTGAGAAATTAAGGAGAACTTAGAAAAAAGCAACTAAAAAAACTACTGAAGGATTAAAAAAAGAAGAAATAAATAAACAAAGAAGAAAATGTTAATGAATAAGCAATAAACTAACCTCATGTTCAGCTGATCTCTATAATGATACTGGTGTTTGGGGATAGAAATAACTTCATATTATAGGCTTTCTGGGATTCAGGGAGGGAGCTGCACTATAAATTACCCTGTACTCTGGGGATTGAGTTAGACCCACAGTGTAACTCAATCTCTGCCCTCATCCATCTCAAAAAGTCCAGCTCAAACCTTTTTCCCATCCTCTCAGAGGAGAAATTTGGCCTTGTGGTTAAGAGTGAAAGAGGCCGGAGTGGAGAACACCCTGGTAGGAGTACTGGAACCACCACTCACTGGCTATGTGTTAGCAGGTTAGCAACTTCACTGAGCCTCAATGTCCTCATTTCAAAAATGGGGCTACTAATAGTACCTACGTCAGAGGGCTGTGTAAGCATTCAACATGAGAATGCACATTGTAGATAAAGGTTTTCTACCAGAGGTTGGCACCAGGCAGAACCTAATTCAATCATCCATTTTACAGATATGAAAACTAAGATCTAGAGAAGTTGAGACTATCCCAGGGTCACACAGTGAGTTTGTTTCAAAGTCTGGAAATGTAAATTAGAACCTTAGTCCTGATTCCTTATTCAGTGTTTTTGCACTAAACATGCTTTTGCCTTCACAGGGCTTCACAAATACTCTCCCACATTGATTTTGTCCTTTGCCGAACATCAAGCACATTTTCAACCAGTACTGTCAGGATAGCATTTGAATACTCTCTATGACTGCATTCCATCAACTACATTATAAGTTCCTCGAAGTGACAAAAGTGGTTTAACACTTCTGTCTATCTAAAGATGTCTACTCAAATACTGGGCACAAGAGTGATTGACAGCAATTGATTGATAGAGAGGTTTCTTTAAGAAGAGCTTTTACTCTGAATAAAATATTCCTGTGAGGAAGATGCTGACTGGCCATCCAGGTCTGCAGAAGACAAGACCAGAGGAAATGGATTTTGAACATGTCCCAAGAGATCTATAAAAAATTAACTGCAAAGGAGTTTAAACACAGGAATAACAGAACAAAGAAAGCTGAGGGTTCTCTCCTGAAGTGAATGTTTTAAAAATAGACAGTCTATTTGTAGATAAAATAAGTTGACACAGGCCATTCGTTCTTAACCTATAGTCTGTAAACCCCAAATATAGCTGTTATTGCTAAGGATCTGCAAATTGATTTGCATACCAAACACTGTAGAATGAATAATGTCTTACACTTATATGCAATACCTTTTTTCAAATCCATGTGGCAAAATATATTTAATTTGACTTAATAAAATACAAATTCTTTAAAAGCATTATGAATTTTGTTGTAACTTTTGTTCATTATGTATATTTTAATCAAGCAATAAAAACAGTGGCTAACATTATTGAACATTTACAGAGATCATTTTGTTTAACTCTCATTAGCACCCAGGAGGTAGGTATAATTGTCATCCACATTTCAGAGATAAGAAACTGATATTTGAAGAGTTTAACTAACTCACCCTTTAGTTTTACTGGTATAAATAATGGAGCTGGCATCTGACTCCAAAGCTTGTACTATAATTACCCAGCATTAGGTCACTTTTTAATTAACCAGTGTAAAACATTTTACCTATTTTCATCCATGTACACATGTGTAAGGGGTGGATGTTTATCCATAAAATTTTATGTTTAAAGAAGAATCTCATATCTGCAAGGGTTAATAACAACACAAACTATAGATAAAGAGTAGCTTCAGAATAATTCACTTTGACTTTCAGCAAGCCAGGTGCTCAGAAGTAAGGGATTCAACTGGTTGATCCCTAGGAATAGCTCCAAGCCAGAAATTCTATCATTCTATAATTTAGATTTGCATTTCCCAAAATGGATTCTGCAGAATTCTGGTCTTAAGAGATGCTTCACAGAAGTTTGAGGAACACCATAAACTAAAAGAGCCACCATACACAAAAGTGAATATCCTCTTTTGGAGATTCATAATTACATTCACATAGTGTAAGCTCTGAGAAGTCCTCCAGAGCACTGGATCACACAAAATGAAACAGGTCTCCTTATTATAAGACTTAGCAAGAAAACCTTTTTCATTTTGCAGAGCCTGGGGTACCCTGAAAATATCTGGGCATCGAACTCCTGTTCTACATAAATATTTTAAATATTTCATGGAACTGGTTCCACAGAAAAGACTTAGGCTAGAACTCAAATTGGGCAGTTGAAACATTTTTGTATTATGTGGCAAGCTATGAAAAGTGAACTTTTGAGATTTTTCCTAAAACTGTCACTCTGTATGAAAGCATGGGTTTTCATAAAGGTTTTTAGTCAAAAGCCATATTATCTAAGCACTGTACAGACTGCTAAGTATTTTTGTCTCTCTTTCAGCATGGAATAAACTTTTTATTACACTACACCACTCTAAATGTTATGTCCTTCTATTCTTCAAAATTCCTTCTAGACTAAAGGTTCTCAAATTTTACCATCCTCAGAACCACCTGGAGTGCTTGTTTAAACAAGAGTTGCTGAACCCCTCTGCCACAGTTTCTCATTCAATAGATCTGGAAAGAGGCCTGGGATTTTACATTATTCACAGTTCCCAGGGAATGCTAATGCTGCTGCTCAGGGACCATACCACTCTTGTGTTAGATGTAGACTTCTTGTGTTAGATGTAGACCATGAAGTGGACACGGAAGGCACCTGGTTCATCTCTGCTTCCATCATCAAGGGCTGTTATCTTTTCTCCTGCTTTCTGTTAAGCCTGAATCTTGGATATCCTGCCAAATATTTATGTTCTTTGTGCTTTGCATTTTTAAATTACAAACGTTTTTAAAACTTCCATCAGTGATGAAGAAAGGAGTTAAGAGAAATAAGAGTGTCTTTGAGCTTTAAGAGAAGAAGATATTCCAAAAATATTCAGCATTAATTTATATGAGTTAATCTCTTATTTCTCATTCAATCATATAAATTAAATTTCAGTAGAATGAGTTTATTCTTCCCACCTTGGAAGAGTGATTAAGTAATCATTTGTAAATATAAGTGGACAAGTTTTATATCATTAACACTTCGACTGGGGATCCATTCACTGGAACCCAGAGCTCTTCCAGACCTTTAATTTCTATAATAGAATATTCTATGATGCTAGAGAATCTATACTGCCAAGGGGCTCTTTAAAATGGTGACTAAATGTAGCTACAGTGTCATAAAATCCTCAGCATGTCTGGTATAGTAGATGTGTTCCTGGGAAATTGCAAGTCAAATTACCGTCAATTGGATTCTATTTACATATTTACATATTCTATATTTTAGATATGCCCAACTACCACTGTTTCCTAACTCTTTAGTTTAAATTTTCTGCTCCTTTCACCCCTCCCAAGACCTAATGACCTGTCTAGGAAACAAGGACAGAAATTAATCTTTGCTGAGACTCTTCTAAGGGTTACATTATTCAATCTATACCAAATCTGTGATGAGGGTTTCATCCAAAGAAAAGCTGAGGCCCAGAGGTTCTGGTCAATGGAGCAGCGGTAGCATGAGGCTGCCAAGTGTGCCCACTCCAAAGGCCCCTCTCCCTTCACCCCACCTCCTGAACTACTCTGCTCCAAGTTCTTGGTGATTCTTAAAATAGGGAGCTCCGTCCTTAAAGGATAATTAAGAGCTCCCCTTAAAGGGGAGAATTATTTGGTGTTGTGATGAATTGCCCATAATCGGTATGTTTTAAAAATTGTCATTTTCATAAATGTGTCTCCTTAGAGGTGAAAACATCTGAAACTGAAATTAAGTGAGAGAGGCAGCATGGGTGTTAGGGGGTAAAATTAAGTCAAACATTTTAGTCAGGAAGATGCAAAATGTTACATCTTTACAGACCATTGTTTAATAAGCCCAGTGAATAACCCAAGTAAGTAATAATAAAAAACACACACACACACACACACCATTTAGAGGCTCTCCCTGAGCACGTATGTATTAACTTGAGGCTTAAGAAGGCAGACGTGTCATCTATCTGCTCTAGCCATTTGAAAGCAGCAACAACTTGCTAGCACTGACTGGATTACATAAAGCTGTTCATGGCAGAGTTCTTGGTAAAAAGGAAAACATCTTCTCTACCCAAGCTCTGAAACCTTGTGCAAACAAAGTTCTCTCAAGTAAGCTGAGCTCTGCCCACGGAGCATTCTTCAGGGCTTAGTCTATGTATAAGCTGAGTTACCTGCTATTATCCACACAATGTCAGGAAGGATTTTATGAATGTATGACCTTAGCTTTTAAAAGGTGACCACAGAAGTTGACAATGACCTAAACTACTCATGAATGTCAGGCTTTCAGAAAAGAAAATGTTACTGACAATCCAGGGGACTACATGGGGCTGCTCTGCACTCTGAAACCAGGCAGGGAATTGCTGGTTTTAATAGTTGCTGGGGTGTGAGAGACATGGCAATTGGGCTGCTCATGATACCTCTGGGAAACGGATTGTTAGAAATAAACAAGGTTTGTGAACAGAGCTCTACTACTCTGGGATCTGCTGGTTTTCACTGGCTAATTTCCCAGATTACTTCGGTAACTGTATGTCAACAGAAACCCAGCTTCTTCTGAGCACACTTAACCACCACTGTTTGCACAGAATGGAACCAACCCCTTGCTCATTCAGAGTGTTAGGATTTCTAGATCAGAAACACAGACCAATATGAGTTAAGTGAAGTTTCAACTTTCACTCCTTCTTGTAACATTTACTGATCACCTACTCCGTGCTAGGGCCTATGAGAGACATTAGTGATACAAAGATGATAAGGAGCTTTCTGCTCCTTCAAGGGGCTCAGTCTAATCCACAAAAATAAACATGAAATACACATGATGCTAAAATGGGACAGATGTTATGACAGAAGAGAGAACATCTTGGGAGATCAGAAGGCAGTAGCCTATGCATCGTGCTTCACAGAGGTGACATTTCAGTTGGGTGTTAACTGATGGCTAAGAAGGTAGAGAGATGATCATATGCAAACATGTGGCAGTGAGATAGAGCATGGCATGCTCAGGGAATGGCTATGGGTTGGCAAAAAAGAGAGTTTAGAGGATTGGGGAAGAAACAGCTGAGGGTCTGGGCCCTCTTAGCTAGGGCAAGAGTTTGAAGTGGACTTGGGAAATTGAAGGTTTCCAAGGAGGCTGAGGCATAGATTCACTGGGAAAGGGGTGCGAGAGGTGGGATGAAATCCCAAGGGGATAACTTGTCCTACCCAATATCCAATCCAAATACAACTGGACAAATCTTTGCTGAAAGAAGGCCCAAATCTAGTGATGAATAGTACTGGTTTCAGCTATTATCTCTGGAAAAAGTCATGGCTACTGTTTCTTTTATAGACCAGAAGAGAAAGAAAGCCCTCTCCTTTCCATTCACCTGGATACACTAGCCCTCTACATACTCTGGTCATCTTTTTTTCTCTACAATCTCACTTCTCCAGTGCATCTTCCACACTGCTATCAGAGTTTCATCTTAAAACACAACTTAAAAACCTGGTTTCTCAACGGCTATAGAATCTGAATCCCCAATTCTTTAGTACTCTTAGCTTTTCCTCGTACAATATACCTTTCATTTCTACATTGCTGTGCCTTTGCTCATGTAGGAATGACATGCCTTTCTCCCCTATTCTCAATGTATCATATTCTACTTGTCCAACGAAGTCTAGCATAATGGCCACTTCCTCAAGGAAGCTCCCTTAATTCTTCTCATCATCATTATATCTTCCTCTGACCCATATCATCTTGCTGGTTCCAGCTAAGACCCATGAACTCTGCCTTGTCTTTTAGATGATCTGTGGGAAGCTTCTTAGAAGCAGGCCTCTTAATTAGGTGGAAAGGAAAGAAGGGAGACCAGAAGGGAGGAAGAAGCTTGCTTTTGAGTAGACAAAATAACTGACTCTTGGACAAGAATCAGGTATTCAGAGTCAGTTGAACAGTAAGTAAGTAAAACAAGGTTGAAGGCCAAAGTAGATTATATTTTCCAAAGATGACCTCAACAAAATTTCCTAAGCTCTTCTATAGGTAGCCTCGCATCAAGAAATGGAGCCTAACTTCTCTCCTCTTGCATCTGGGATGGCCTTATGACTGCTTGAAACCAACAGAATGTAGCAGGACTTTTGAGGCTAGATGAGAAAAAAAAGAGGGCTTCCTCCTTGTTCTCTTGAAATTCTTGCTCTGAGGGGAGGCAGCTGCCATGTAAGATATCCAACCACCCTGAGACTAAGGTGCTGGAGAGACCACATTATGTATTCCAATAGATAGTCCCAGGTGAGCTCACACTTCCAGCCACCCCTACCAAGGTACCAGATGTGTGAGTAAAGTCACCTTAGAACCGCTCAGCCAGCCAAGCTAGCAGCTGGGTACCAATAAGTGACCTTAGTCATCTCCAGGAGGAACAGTAGAATCACTCAGAGGAGGCTTGCCAAACTGCTGGCCCACAAAATCCATGTTTTAAGTTACTAAGTTTGGGGGTAGTTTATTACACAGCAGTAAATACTGGAAAAGCCAGAGAGTGAATTTTTTACTCTGCTTTTTATTCCTAAAGCTAACCAGTCTTCTGAAAGAGTCAAAATCACTGTTCAAGATTAAAACTTTTGGGATCTCTAGAAATCATGTAGTTGCTTGGTGAGAAACAGGGAGTGACCTGGGTCCTAACTATGAAGATGAGGCCAGAAGAAACTGGAGGCCCAGAGGTTTGTTACCAGCAAAGGGCACTATTGCTGACCTAACCATAGACAGCAGGCAGACAGACACAGGCCTGCAGATGCTCACTGCACTTGGCAGAAGCACAAATTGGAGGTCAGAGGCATGAACAGATTCTTCATTTCTGATAGACAGTACAGTCTAGAGGTCTGATATTTGTTGTATGAATCCACTGCATCTGGGGACTGTCAGCAATATTGGTGGTAGTGTTTACTGTGAGGCAATGGGCCACTAAGGGGTCACAGGTGCTACATAACTGGATATGTGATCTGGACTCTCCTTCCTTCTGAAACATTGTAGTGAGAGAGCTCAAAGGCTGCAGAGTTGGAGCTAGTCTGCCAGACTCTCCATGGAGGGACTTTCTGGGGATTCTGGCTGGGAGTTGTCTGTCTTGGTTCATAAGGAAGCCCAGGCCTCTGTGCCTGCCCTGGACATCTTGGCTTGAAGATTATACTTGCTGCTCACACAATGTTACATCTCACTTAGCAGCATTCCATGGAACTCATTTGTTAAATGTTAGCACCAACATGTCCTCCACTAGTTTTCAACCATTCTTTTGAGCACTAAATGGAACATTCCTCTTTTCTGAGTTCACAATAGCTTCTTTTTCCTAAGGACCATCTTTAAGATCTCTCACAGTGATTTAGATCTATTCATGCCTGAAAGAGAGGCCAGCTCAAGACCAATGTACAGGCCCTCGTAGTTTTCCTAAAAAGGAAATTGTAAGAGTTTTTTTTTTTTTTTTTTTTTTAATCTCTAAAGCAGCTTTCTTTTACTGGGAGAAGAGATCAGTATCATGTCCTATACTTTCCAAAGACCTCTAGTATTCTTATTCAATGAATATTTTTAAAGCCAGAATTCTGACTGAGAATGTGCTTTAAGCTAGATTTTTATAAGAATAAGATTTTGTGGTGATTTTTAAATGACTGGAAATTGCATAATTTTCAGGATTATAACTGTGTATATTTCCCTCATGTAAATATTAAGATTCCTTAGTCTCCTGGAGAAGTCTTAACTTTGTCTCTACTTTTAGAATAAAGTCAAGGATTTATTAACTGCACTGCAACTAAAATATTAAACAGAAGGGCCTTTCACACACAGATTCAGCGTTAAAAAGCCTCAAATCAAAACAAATGGAGAAATTGGCTTTAAAGCCAGAAAGAATCAATTGTTTTTGGGTCAGTTTTGGTTTGGGGAGCCTAATGAAGACTGATTGCTCAACAAGGGCTGTGATTAGTGCACTGTCAGTCATTGCTAATCACTACAGTACCTCACATTGCCTGTCCTGAATCAAGACACCTTTGCCTGCACAGGCATTTCTCAGTACTCTTGACTACTAGCATACATGTTAATAAGTCTATTAACAGGCAAATGCATACTAATTAACATGTACATTGTTATTTAAATATTTAAGAGGGAGTGCTAAGTCCCTTTTTAAATGTCATATTATGCTCAGTTATGACATCATTTGAAGCTAAATTAGAGAAACCAAGCAGAGCATTTTTCAGTAGTTTATCTGCCTCCTTATATCCTAAGTTCTTTGAGGGCAGGATCTGGGTATGATTCATCTTTAAATGCTTCTTGGTGCCTGGCATAGTGCCTTGCACACTGGAGTGGCACAGTAAATAGTTTTGGAATGAACAAAAAGAAAGAAACCTCCTTGAATAGGAGATAGTGGATTCGACTTGAACATATAGACTGGTTCTCTGACAACCACAGGATTTAAGGAACATTTGTACAGCATTGTATAGTTGGCAAGCACTTCCATACATTTATCGTCTGTCAGCCAAGTGTCAATAAGTTTAGTTCACTATTGAGTAAATTGTCCTTAGGAAGGTTACGGGATTCATCCCAGATTTTTTAATTCCCTACTGTATGGAATTACTATATTGTGTGCATACATGAACACAAACACATACACACAATCATCTGCCAAAAATTCCTTCAAGAGGCCTGTGATTTTAACATGTCCTCATCTACTCGCCTCATTATTGTCAAAGCTATATTTGCAGGGGAGGGATTGAACAGCATATCTAAGATATAAATTTCTTCACTCGCAGCCAGATATGCCCACACCCATGCCTACAGAATATTCAGAGTGGCTGATCGACCCAACTTCTCATGAATGCACAAAAACTCAGTGCTTGGCTCTGCAAACACTCACAATTAATCATCAGGTATAGTTTAGGAAGATGACAAAAAGTCAATTTGAACTGGTAAAACCTAAAGGTCTGGTCCAGAAAAAAGCTGAAATTGAGGATTCTTGATCCAAAATGTTTAGGTCTTCCTTGCAATAGTAGCAATATGGCAGTAAGGTAAAATTCTCCATGCTTCTTATTTTGACATGTTTTTAAGCATTATATAAATACACTTTCTATCAAAATAATTTAAAGGCAGTCAGCACCCAGGACAGGAAAATGTGCTAACCATCCTCCCTACCCTACATTTCTGCAACACAGATATGAGTGGCGGGTAGAACAGAAGGCACGAACAGGCTGGGGAGTGCGGCCACCGCCACCACCACCGCCGCCGCCTCCTCCTCCTCCTTCTCCTCCTCCTTCTCCTCCTCCTCCTCACCCTCCTTCTCCTTTCCCCTTCCTCCTTCTCCTCCTTCTCCTCCTTCCCCTGGGAACCAAAGCCAAAAAATGTTCCTCATTACTGCTGGTTCTTTGATCTCTTACTCTCTATTTTTAGAACACTCCTGTCCAACATCCTCTGCCCCATTGCCATGACCTTTCATGACATGCTTCTCTTCTCCTGGTGGTTATTTTGGGATCATATTCCTTTCCCAAAGTATTACTACAGCTAGGATTAATGTATGAGGTAGATCACCACAAGTCCTTGCTTGAAAATGTACCCAAAGCACATGTTCCTACATGCGGGTGAGAAAGCGGCTGTACGAAGGACACGTCATCTGTATTTTTAGTCATCAAAGCATTCTAGAAGGACTGCTTAATGAGGTAGATACCACACTGTCACAAGACAACATTATCTAGATGCAGAATTTGCGCACGTGGAATTAGATAATGTGTCCAGCACAGCTAAAGGTGTGTGTGTGTGTGTTGTTTAAGGGGTAGAAAAAAAGGAGACATAATCATAAAGGAGATATAGGATTTATTACTTTCAAGTTTCTTTCAGAGTTTACATCTCCCTAAATCTACCAACCACGTATAACAAGAATCAATGCTTTCAATGAGGGAAAGTCAGAGAGATCAAACATGCTTTGACTGTTCAGTATCCCTTAGAAAAGTATTTCTATACAGAATTTTTTAAAGTAGAATAAAAGTGGCTGGGCATAGTGGCTCACGCCTGTAATCCAAGCACTTTGGGAGGCCGAGGCGGGCTGATTACCTGAGGTCAGGAGTTCTAGAACAGCCTGGCCAACATGGTGAAATCCTGTCTCTACTGAAAACACAAAAATTAGCCAGGCGTAGTGGTGGGCACCTGTAATACCAGCTAATCAGGAGGCTGAGACAGGAGAATCACTTGAACCCAGGAGGCAGAGGCTGCAGTGAGCCGAGATCATACCATTGTACTCCAGCCTGGGTGACAGAGCGAGACTCTGTCTCAAAAGAAATAGAAAAGAAAAGAATAAAAGCTTCCTCACCAGAAATAAGACCAACATCTAGATTCAGGGGAAAATCTCTCTTCAGTGAAGACAGGAACTGTCTTTTGCATTTACCACTATATCTCCTGTGTTAAGTACAGTGTTAAATAGCTACACAGATGAGATAATTTGATATAACAGTAACAGCTAATCTTTATTGAGCACTTAGTGTATGGCTATGTGACATGCACTATTCTGTGAGTTCTGCATCAATTAAATAATTGAATGCTTACAACAATGTTATAAGATATGTGCTTGTGCCATCCTCATTTGAGAGATGAGAATACTGAAGTGTAGAAAGGCCAGATATCTTGTTCAAAGTTGGACAGCTCTTAAGTGAGAGAGCCAAAATTCAACAACAGACACTTTTGGATTCAAAACCTATGCTTGGAAAGTAAAGAAATTAGCTTTTTTTCACTGTAACATGCATGAAAAATTTAAAGAGAAGAACCGAACTTAGTGTTATGGGCTAAATTGTGTCTCCCCGACCCCAAATTCATATATTAGAGTCCTAACCCCCAGTATCTCAGAATGTGATTGTATTTGGAGATAGGGTCTTTAAAGAGGTAATTAGGTTAAGTGAGATCATTCAGGGGGCCCTATTCCAATATGACTGGCATTCTTACAGGAAGAGGAAATTTGGACACAGACATGAATAGTGGAAAGAGTATCTGAAGACACAAACAGAAGGTGGTCACCTGCAAGCCAAGAAGAGAGGCCTCAGAAGAAACCAACTCTGCTGATACCTTGATCTCAGACTTCTAGCCTCCAGAATCATGAGAAAACTAGTTTATGTTGTTTAAGCCACCCAATCTGTGAGACTCTGTTATGGCGGCCCTAGCAAATGAATACATTCAGTGTTAAGATGTAAAACAGGAGACAAAGAAAATGCACTTGGTCCAAACCAGTAAAAAAAAAAAACATCAATCTGGTTGGGTGCAGTGGCTCATGCCTGTAATCCCAGCACTTTAGGAGGCCAAGGCAGGTGGGTCACTTGAGTTCAAGAGTTCAAGACTGGCCAACATGATGAAACCTCGTCTCTACTTAAAATACAAAAATTAGCTGGGCCTGATGGCGGGCACCTGTAGTCCCAGCTACTTGGGAGGCTGAGACAGGAGAACTGGGTGAACCCAGGAGGCAGAGGTTGCAGTGAGCCAAGATCGCACGACTGCACTCCAGCCTGGGCGAAGGAGCAGGACTCTGTCACAAAACAAACAAACAAAAACCAAAGTCAATTTAAGACATATAGCTGTTTCTGTTCCATGGATATAAATTGACCAGTTATACAACTTTTGCAAGTTCCATTAGGTGGGATGCCTATCAGGACATTCTTTTTGATGGCCCAGACAACTCCATTATCACAAAATGAATACAGAAACAAAAAAGTGACTCCAGTTCTAGTTTGTGATGGGTCTCTATGTTTTTTGATTTTATTGCCCTCAGGTATTTTCATGTTCTGAGTAAAGCCTCTTTCTTTTCTATATACTCATTTATCAGGTGCCTCATGTTTTTAAAATAAAAGTTTTAAAAGTAATAATGCTAAAAGTAGTATATAAGTTATACTAAAATAAAATAAAATAAGAATATGAAAATCATTCATAATCTCATCATCTGGAGATAAATGCTATTACCAAAGAATACATATTATCTTTATGTCAAAATGGGATCTTGATGTACATAGAATTTTTTGCTCTGCTTTTGTTTAATTAACATTGGTTTGAGAGCCTTTTCTCAAGTCATTAAATAGTCTTCAAAAATCATGCTTCTTAATGGCTGCATAATTCCTCCCAAAGGATATACTATAATTTATTAAATTCAATACTAACAAGGTTATTATGAAGCAGGCACTTTTCTAAACTGGTAGTGGAAGTATAAACTGGAAAGCAGTTTGACATTATATATCATTATTAAAAGAATTCATACCCCTGACTCAGTAATGAAAGGTATAAGAAAGGTATTAATGTGCAAGCCACCATTTTCACAGTGAAGTCATCTCTGACCATTGCTTTTGAAATTGCACACCTGACTTTTCACTTTGACTAGTAGAGAGCCCTCAGTGTCATCCTAGGTCATTCAGTAGAGACACCAGCAGAGTCACATCTTAGTAGTAGGACTGAACTATCTCTTGAGTGAAAGTTATTCTAGACCTGCCCTAGAAATATATTAAAATAGGCCTCGAATGGGTCAAACTGATCTACATGTAATTTACTCCCCAAGACAAAGCTCAATACTATTTAAAGAATGACAACAAATCCCCAACTCAACAACATAATAGCCATAATACTCAGCTTTCAGTTAAAAATTACTGGACATACCAAGAAGCAAGAAAATGTGATCCAAAAGAGGAAAAAAATCGATCAATAGAAGCAAACTTAGAAATGATGGAGATAATGAAATTAGAAGGTAATACCATTAAAACAACTATTATAGCTATGTACTAGTATTTAAAGTAAAACATAATGTGATGAGAAGTGAAAATCTTTTTTTAAAGAATCAAATAGAACTTCTAGGGATGAAGAGTATAACATCTAAAATAAAGATTTCACTGGATGAGTGTAGAAGCAGATATGACTCTGCAGAAGAAAAGACCAGTGAACATGAGGGCATAGCAAATTAGAATATACCCAAAATGAAGCACACAGAAAAAGACTGAAAAAAAAAAAATGAACAGAGCTTTTTGTCTTGTGGAATAATAGCAAGCAGTCTAACACATGCAAACTTGTCCACATGGAGAGAAGTAGGAGGACAGAACGAGTATAAATTATGGTGAGAAAATTTCCCAATTTGATAAAAAGAATAAACCCACAGATCCAAGAATCTAATTAAATCCCATGCAGGATAAAAAATGAATGACACCAAGACAAATCATTGAAAACCAGTGATAAGGAGAAAATACCAAAAGCAGCCAGAGAGAAAAAGACTAATTACCTACAAGTAATCAAGATGAAATAAACAGCAGACTTTTTGTCAGAAATATGTAAGCAAAAATACAATGGAACAACATCTTTAACATGCTAAAAGAGGCAGGGGAAGGGAAAGCCTGTCAATCTACAATTCCGAACCCAGAAAAAATATTCTGCCTAAATGAAGGCAAAATAAAAACTGTTTTAGAAAAATAAAAGCAAACAGAACTTACTGTTGGCAGACCTGAACTATAAGAAATGTTCAAAGAAGTTCCTCTAGTAAAAGAAAAATCATATGAGAGAAATTTGGATCTATACAAAGGAATAATGAATGTCAGAAATGATAAACATGTGAGTAAATATGAAATACTTTCTTTAAAAGATAATTGAAGCAAAAATATTTACAATGAAGTATGGCGTTTGTAACATATATAGAAGTACGATATATGATGCAATAGCACAAAGACTCTTGGGGGAAAATGAAAATATATTATTGTAAGGTTCTTACATTATATATGAAGTAGTCTAATACTATTTGAAGAGAGACTAGTAAGTTTAACAATGCATATTGCAAACCCCAGAGCAATCAATTAAAAAAATAAGTAGCATTAGAATGATTTTAACATTGGAAGTATATAGAAAATAATAAAAAAGAATAAGGCTTAAATCCTTTGGAGAAACTAAGTATCAATTCTGACTGAACTGATTATTGCTTATAAGAAACTGGCAACCTATTTTGAAAAAGTGTATGTTATCTAATGAGAATCTTTAATGTGTCTCTAATTAATATTAATGTATAAACATTAAGGTTTTTTTTCCTATTGATTCTACATTTTTTGATGGAAAGTAAACAAATTAATGAGCATCTTTAACACAAAATTAACTGAAATTTTTAAAAATGTATGTTCTTTGTGTAATAAAATCTATATTATGTTATTCTACATCATTAAATATTTGTTTACTTTTCCTCATACGACTTTAACAAAAAGATAATGTCATTCCATTTCAGGGAGTGTATCCTAGTGGTTTACATATAGACTTTAGTATCTGACTATCTGGGTTCCAACCTTAGCTTGACTATTTACCAGATACATGACTGTGAGCATGTTACTTCATACCTTTGTATTGTAGTTTCCTGTAATGTAGGGAAAATAGTGCCTACCTCAAAGAGTTATTAGGAGGATCAAATGAATTAATATATTGAAAGCATTTAAAAACATACCAGGAAAATAGCAAGTACTATAAGAGTGTTAACTATAATTTATAAAAATTACTATACTATGGCTAGAGGACTGAGATCCAAAGAGATAAAAAATACAGATGTTGTAAAAAGAAAAAACTACTTGAGAACTATTAGGTTGGTGCAAAAGTAATTGCACCAACCTAATAGAAGAGCTACTTTAGTTCTACCCTATCACTAACTAGCTGTGTGGCCACAGACATGATGCTAAATGTCTCTGGGCCTCATTTACTCATGTGTTCTCTTCTCCCTCATATCCTACTGTGATCTCTTACATAATATTAAGAATCTAGTGTATTATATTGTGTTAAGTACCAAGATAGTCTCTCACGGTTCTTACTGGGGAGAAAGTCACATTTAAAATTAAAGTCACGTTTAAAATTAAAATTAAAGACACAATTAAAATGGTATAACATGTTAGGTGTAATGATGGAGACCAGAGAACTGCCTGCCACTACAGAAAGCCAATGAATCCATGGGCATTACTAAACTCTTGTCACCCAAAGGAAGGTCAACTTAGAACGTATACTTCTATGGCTACTGTTCTAATTTTGACCGTGCTTCTGCCATTGATGATACTAGCTCACGGAACTAAACTTTATTGGATGTTGGATTAGTAGGTGAATGATTCCTTTTGCAGTTTCTTTCTAAGAAGAATTTGCAAATGGCATCAAGGGTCACCCTGTTTGACAGAGTTGCTTCTAATCCCTCCAAATAATGAAGCCAGAATTGACTACACATTTTTATTCTTAGGTAAGAAGCTACTTTTAAGATAGCATCATAGCAGCTAATTACTACAATTTTAAGTTTGAACCCCTTCTAATCCCTAATAATCCAAGGTAGAACAAAAGGCCAAAAAATATACAATGGCTTTATTAAAAAAAAACAGAAAATATGAGAAATTTTAATGCAACAATCTCACTGTATTAACAAATCATATTTAAGAAAAGATAGATATGAAGTTGATTTAGAAATTATTATGACTATCATAAATACTTGAGGATATTTAAAGATAAACTAATAATGCAGGGCATTTTTAATAGTTTACCACAAAGACCAGTCATGTTTGTTCCCTTTAAAATATGATTTAATCAAAAAGAAGAATAAAAGTTTCTGTTATGGGTTGAGTTGTGTCCCCCAAAAAGATAGGTTGAAATCCTAAGGCCTAGTACCTGAGAATGTGGCCTTGTTTGGAAATAGGCTGTTTACAGATGTAACAAAGTTAAGATGAGGTCATACTGAATTGGGATGGACCTAATCCAATGACTGGTACCCTTCCATAGAAAGAGGAAATTTGATCACAGAGACACAGGCACATGGAAGAGAAGCCATGGAAAGATGGAAGCAGATATTGGAGCGACGCATACACAAACCAAGGAACACTGAGAACTGCTGGAAGCCACCAGAAGCTAGAAGAAATAATTATTTTCTATAACCATTGAAGGTAGCATGGCCCTGCTAACACCTTGATTTCAGACTCTCAGCCTCCAGAACTGTGAAAGAATAAATTTCTGTTGTTTTAAGCCACCCAGTTTACAGTACTTTGGTATGGCAGCCCTCAGGAATTAATACAGATACTCCAGCAAAATTCCAATGGCAGGACTTCTACTTTCAAGCCAAAATGGAGGAACAATGATTTTCCTGCCTGAAACAAATAATAAAACTGGACAAATTATATAAAACAACATTTTTCAGACATAGGACATCAAACTGCACAGTATAGTGATTGCTTAGAGTGGGGAAATAAGACAAGACCTACAATTATCCCAGCTTACTGCTTGAAAAGAAGATCTAAGCTGTAGCACAGGCAGGGGGAACCCAGGCAGTCTAGCAGTCTCCCTGGGTTGATGAGAGCTAGTTTTTTGGTGAAGCAAGTATGTCTAGAGATAATGGGCAGAGTGCTGGACAGGAAAGAGCTACACAAAGAGAGCTCCAGAGATCTGAAAAGGGCACCCCTTATGTCTTCAACTAAGTTCTGTTCAGTACATTCAGATGAAGAAATTATCCCAGGCTGGGGAAAGAACTGCCTAAAAGGAGCAGAAGAAACAGTTCTTGCGACATACAAAGAGCTGGGAATATTTTGTGTTCTCAGCAGCCAGAGTGGAAAACTTCACAAATTATGGGGCAGCAAGTGGGATATTCAGAAAGGTTTTGCCTCAGTCCTGGGGACAAATCAGCCCTAAATTAAATGCCACTTTGGTCTCTACAAAACTTAAAAGTAAGACTTGAAAGCATTAAACAGTTTCCAAGTAACTGTGTTCCAAAACAAAATTCAAGAATATTTTAAGGAATATAATATCTAGCACCCGACAAGGTAGAATTCACAATGTATGACATCCACTCAAAACTTACTAGCATGCAAATAAGCAGAAAAACATGATCTATAAAATTAGGAGAAAAATTAATCAATGTAAACAGACTCAGAAATGACACACATGATAGAATTAGTAGATAAAGAGATTAAGAGTTATTATTTTAACTATATTCCATATATTGAAAAAGGTCAAGGAAAGATTAAGCATGCTAAGTAGCAACATGGAAGATATTTTAAAAGACCCAAGTCAAGCTTCTAGAGTTAAAACTACAATGTCTAGAGCTGGGCGTGATGGCTCACGCCTGTAATCCCAGCACTTTGGGAGGCCAAGTTGGGCAGATCAAAAGGTCAGGAGATCGAAACCATCCTGGTCAACATGGTGAAACCCCGTCTCTACTAAAATACCAAAAATTAGCTGGGCATGGTGGTATGCACCTGTAGTCCCAGCTACTCGGGAGGCTGAGGCAGGGGAACCGCTTGAACCCTGGAGGCGGAAGTTGCAGTAAGCTGAGATTGCACCATTGAGCTCCAGCCTGGCAACAGAGCAAGACTCCATCTCAAAAACAAAACAAAACAAAACAAAACAAAACTACAATGTCTGAGATAAAAAAATATATATAATAAATGTGATTAACAGCAGATTATATACCTCCCATAAAAGATTAATGAACTTGAGATATAGCATTAGAAACTTTCCATAGTGAAAACAGGGAAAAAGACTAAAAGTAAAAAACAAAGAGAGTTCCAGTGAGTTGGTGAAAACTTTGAATGACCTAATACATATGTAATTGGAGTCTTTGAAGTGCAGAGAGGGGTAGTGGTGAGGCCAAAACACATTTGAAAAAATAATAGCTGAAATTTTTGTTTAAATTTCGTGAAAAATTTAAACTCACAGATCCAAGAACACCAAGTGCAAGAAACATGAAGAAAACTACACCCAAGGCACATCACAAATTGCTTAAAAATGGTAATAAAGCCAGGTGCAGTGGTTCATGCCTGTAATCCTAGCACTTTGGGAGGCCAAAGAAGGCAGATCACTTGAGGTTAGGAGTTCGAAACCAGCCTGGTCAACATGGTGAAACCCCATGTCTACTAAAAATACAAACAAATGAGCCAGGCATGGTGGCGGGTGCCTGTAATCCCAGCTACTCAGGAGGCTGAGGCATGAGAATCACCCAGGAGGCAGAGGTTGCAGTGAGCCGAGATTGTGCCACTGCACTCCACCCTGGGCAACAGAGCAAGACTATGTCAAAAAAAAAAAAAGGAGAAATTCTTAAAAGCAGCCAAAGAAAAGATACATCGTGGCCAGGCGCAGTGGCTCACGCCTGTAATTCCAGCACTTTGGGAGGCCAAGGCAGGCGGATCACGAGGTCAGTAGTTTGAGACCAGCCTGGCCAACATGGTGAAACCCCATTTCTACTGAAAATACAAAAAAAAAAGATTAGTTGAGTGTGGTGGCACACACTTATAGTCCCAGCTACTCAGGAGGCTGAGACAGGAGAATCACTTGTACCCAGGAGGCAGAGTTTGCAGTGAGCCGAGATTGTGCCACTGTACTCCAGCCTAGGCAATGGAACGAGACTCCGTTAAAAAAAAAATGCATAAAGAAGAACAAATTTTTGAATGTCAGCTGATTTCTCATCAGAAACAACATAAGCCAGAAGCAGCAGGGCTATAATGCAATGAAAGAAAATACTGCCAACCTAGAAGTCCAATATCCAGTAAAAATATCTTCCAAAAATTAAGGTGAATATACAAATGAGTGCATAAAACAACGGGTTAAAACCTTATTAAAGTCTGTAGTCTAGTTATTAGTATTGCTCTCATGTCAATTTCCTGGTTTGATATTGTACTAGTGATAAGATGCCACTCTTGGAGGAAGCTGGGTGAAGGGCTCATTAGATTGACTCTATGAACTATTTTTGCGACTTCCTATGAGCCTATATTATTTCAAAATAAAAAGTTGAAAAAAAGAAAATAAAAAAAAGTTTTTCAGATATTCAAAAGCTAAAAGAATCCATTGCCAGCACACCTGCTCAAGAAACATTAAAAGAAGTGCTTCAGGCAGAAGCAAAAATAATACCTAAACAAAGGAATAAGGAGCACCAGAAATGGTAAATATAAAAGACTTTTGTCTCATTTTGTATATCTTTCTAAAGATAATTGGATGTTTAAGGCCAAAATATTGGCTGGGTGAGGTGGCTCACGCCTGTAATCCCAGCACTTTGGGAGGCCAAGGTGGGTGGATCACCTGAGGTCAAGAGTTCGAGACCAGGCTGGCCAACATGGCAAAACCCTGTGACTACTAAAAATACAAAAATTAGCTGGGTGTGGTGGCACGCGCCTGTTATCCCAGCTACTCGGGAGGCTGAGACAGGAGAATCACTTGAACCCAGTAGGCGGAGGTTGCAGTGAGTCGAGATCACACCATTGCACTCCAGCCTGGGCAACAAGAGCAAAACTCTGTCTCAAAAAAAAAAACAACCAAAAAACAAAAAACCAACAACAAAGAGTTATAGTTCATCAGCCAATAAAAAAGGAAATACAACAGAATAAAACAATTCAATCCCCAAAAGGAAGAAAAGGTAGACAGTATTAAAAAGTAGAGAATGGGCCATGTGAGGTGGCACATGCCTGTAATCCTAACACTTTGGGAGGTCAAGATGGGTGGATTGCTCCAGCCCAGGAGTTCAGCCTGGGCAATATAGTGAGAGCTCATTTCTACAAAAAATTATCTGGGTGTGGTGGTGCACACCTGTAGTCCCAGCTACTCAGGAGACTGATGTGGGAGGATGGCTCGAGCCTGGGAGGTGACAGTTGCAGTGAGCCAAGATCGCACCACTGCACTCCAGCCTGGGTGACAGAGCGAGACCCCATCTCAAAAAAAAAAAAAAAGAAAAGAAAGAAAAATAAAGTAGTAGAGAATGTCACATTGAATAAGAAAGCAAAACCCAAACTATAAGAAACCTAATTTAAATATAAAGACACAAGTAGGTTAAAAGCAAAAGGATTTTTCAAATAGCATATAAATACTAATCAAAAGAAAACTAGAATAGGGATTAGATTTCAGAACAAAGAATATTACTAGGGATAAAGAAATTGTATTAGATTAGTTATGGTTCTCCAAAAGAAACAGAACCAGAAAAATGTATGTATGTATATATGTGTGTGTGTGTGTACATGTGTGTACGTGTGTGTATGTGTAGAAGTAGAGAGAGATTTATTATAAGGAATTGGCTTATGTGAGTATGGAGGCTGACAAGCCCCAGGATCTGTAGTTGGCATGCTGGAGACCTAGGGGAGCTGATGGTGTAGTTCCAGCCTGAAGGCCAGCAGGCTTGAAACCTATGAAGAATCAATGTGTCAGATTGAGACTGAAGGCAGAAGAAACCTCCCATCTCAGCTCAAAGGTAATCAGGCAGGAAGAATTACCTCATACAGAAGAGTCAGTCTTATTGTTCTATTCAGGCCTTCAGCTGATTGGATGAGGCCCACTCACATCAGAGAGCACCATCTGCTTTACTCAGTCTACTGATTCAAATGTTAACCTCATCCAAAAACACCCACACAGACACACTCAGAATGTTCAACCAAACATCTGGGACCCTGTAGCCCTGTCAAATTTAACACATAAAATTAACCATCAATGATATGGTTTGGCTCTGTGTCCCCACCCAAATCTCATCTTGTAGCTTCCATAATTCCCAGGTGTTGTGGGAGGGACCTGGTGAGAGATGATTGAATCATGGGGGCGGGTATTTCCCGTGCTATTCTCATGATAGTGATAGGTCTCACAAGATCCAATGGTTTTAAAAATGGGGAGTTTCTCTGCACAAGCTCTCTTTTTGCTTGGTGCCATCCATGTAAGATGTGACTTGCTCCTTTTTGCCTTCCACTGTGATTGTGAGGCCTCTTTAGCCATGTGGGACTGTAAGTCCAATAAACTTCTTTCTTTTTTAAATTGCCCAGTCTCAGGTATGTCTTTATCAGCAGCGTGAAAACAGACTAATTATGAAATGAAAGAGTCATTTCAGAATCACAGATGAGTCAATTTATCCAGAGGATATAGCAATTCTAAATGTTTATCCATCTAACAACAGAAGTTCAAAATACATCGAGCAAAACCTAACAGAAGTAAAAAGAAAAATAGACATATTCATAATTGTAGTTGGAGATTTCAATATTCCTCTCTCAATTATCCAAAGAATAGGTAGACAAAAAAATCAACACTATCAAACAATTTTGCCTAACTGACATGTATGGATCACTCCACCCACAATAGCAGACTAGACATTCTTTTCAAGATGGACTATATTCTGGGTCATAAAACCAGTCTCAAGAAGTATAAAAGAATTCAAGTTAAACACAGTTTATTTTCTGACCACAATAAAATGAAGCTAGAAATAAATAACAGAATCATACCTGGAAAATATCCAAATATCCTAAATAACACACTTCTAAATAACCTGAGTCAAAAAAAATCAAAAAGGAAATTAGAAAGTCTTTTAAACAGATTAAAAATAAAAACATGTCAAAATATGTGGGATGCAGCTGAAGCAGGAGTAGAGGGAAATTTATAGCATTAAGTGCTTATAATAGAGAGAAAATGTTTTCAACCAGTGACCTCAGCTTCCATATTAAGAAACTAGACAAATAAGAGAAAATTAAACCCAAAGCAAACAAAGGAAAGGAAATAAAGACAGATGGCATATCATGAACGACAGTGGAATCAAATAAAACAATATCCCAAAATGCCACTAAATGTAATGGAATCCTGGAGCACTGTCATTTTACCCAATATGCTCTCCCTTCTTATCCACTGTGCCCACTGCCTAGGGAAGGGCTTCAAATAATCAGGCTCACCTTTAACACTATACAACAGAAACCTCGCATCATTTCAAGTAAGGCCAAGAATATAATTCACACATTCACTAGCTATCATTAGAACACCAGAAACACACGTTTACCCAAAAGGCTATGCACATTAGGAACCCTAGATTGCTTACCAAAGGGAAGTGCAAAGACATTTAAAATAAAAATATGCAATTCCTTATGAATGAGAGTTCATAATTAAAGGATCCTTATTAAAGGATCCTCAAGTCTTTGCTGATACTATGTCCAAAGCATAATAAATTATATCCAAGCAGAGAAAAACACAGCTTGCCCTTCCAAGCTTTATGGAGGAAGCTCTGGAAGTCTCAAGAGCAGCACCATCCAGTGTGACAAGAAGACTTCACCCCAGTGTGGGGCAGTGTTCAGGCAGGGCTCCTAAAGCAGCTCATGTATACTGCACCTTTATGAAGTCACTCATTATATACACACTATTTATGCAAGCTCTCCTCTAGACTGTGTCATCCTCAAAGTCAGGGACCACATCTGTCATCTTTGTATCCCCAAACCCTAGTATGGTACGATCATTTCACAAATGTGCTTTAAAAGGCCTGTGTGAACTCCCCAAGAATCTACTGAGTTGTAAATAACACCTGATGCGATTGCCTGAAGACTGAACAGTAAACAAAACAAGACTTCAGATCCACATTGAAACCAAAGAACAGAGGCTTATGTCTCCTTTCTGAGTTCAATTAGATTTTTAAAACATTCTTTTTAAAGTCGATTTGTTTTGTTTCCAGTCTACAGTAAAAGTTTGAGTGGGTCCAGGTTTTATCTGAAGCAGTCTGCCCATTCTTTTCCCATGATGTTCTGGAGGAAAGCAGACTGCTGATGACTCACAACTCAGCACACTTGTTAGTTCCTATGTACTGACACCAAATTGTGTTCCAAAAGAGAAGCCTTTACAAAGGATCAAAACCTGGCCCTAGGATGTGGTTCATGTTCTAAGCTTTCCAACATGGTGCTAAATTAACTGCATTTGGTTCCAGGTGGGTTAATGACTAATAGCTGGACAGGTGATTTCAGGCAGAAATTGTCTCAATTCTCACTTTCTGTCACTTTAGAAGTTTTCCCTGAGTTTGTTTCCAACCCCATCTTCGTCCTCCACCTCCTTCTCTGGCCCCAGCTTTCAGGGCTGCAGCTCTTGGAAAAAGCATTTGCAGGATGGCCCAGCTATGCACGCTGGCCCTTTCTAGTTGCTTCTCCTGAACTGGGACTCAAGGACTTCTCCTCTATTCAAAATAGCAGAGCAATGAAAGTGCAGGAAGCCCAGAGGAAAGAAAGGTGGAGGGAGTCTGGATCAGTGGTGATAACAAGAAATGAATCCACGAGAATGTCCTAATTCACGGTTGCTCTTCAGCTTCTCTTGTTTCCACAACCTAGTCTTGCTAAGTCAGTTCTTCCTTATCACTCGCTATACCCCATGCTCACAGTGACTGCTGACTTTCTCTATTCACCACAGAATGTGACCCTCCCCTCCCAAAGGCTCTCCAGGAGCTTCAGATTTAAACCAAGCTGACGCTGATCACAAACATTTGGAGGGCACATCTCAGTTTCTGGAGAGCTGAAACAAGACTTCATTCAATCCTCCCAATAATTCTTGAGATATTATTATTTCTGTTTTACCACTGACGAGACTGAGACCCCGTGAGATTAGGTGGTTAACCTGAGCCGCACCATAGCAAGTGTACCCTCTGACCCCTGCATTCTTTCTTGCTACCACGTGGCCTCAAAGCCTCTACAAAGAGTTCAGCCTTTCTTCTCCTGATGCCTGATATTTTCTATTTTTGTTTCTGAGCCTTCTCTCCCTTGCTTATTCCATACCTTTGATCCTTAACCTCCCTTCTCCAGCACACACACTGTCACACACACACACACACACACACACACACACATCTCAGTGCACTTATCTAACACCTTCTTCATATAGTCATCTAACTTCCTTCTCAAAGCAGTCTTCCAGGTTACAGCATAGTACTCTAGTGCAGCCTCAGACTGCCCGTGGCAACTCCCAACCATTTTTTAAACACAAAATAAGAAAATCATACTTCCTTAGTTATTTTTAATTATACTGCACCATTTCCTCTGGAATCTGTCATCTGTCCCTGGAAAACAGAGATTCCATATGTCTAAATCATTCTGCCCAGTGCCTAGCAAAGAAGCAAAGATAAGTGCAGGCTATCACCATGCCTGTTCTCTGATCAAACCGATGGTGACAGGAATGTTCACGTGATGGCAATGATCCCATTCACTTTAATCTGTACCTCCTTTTAAAAGCTAGAGTCATCAGTGGCTCAAAGACTTCAAATCAGTGCACCTGAAAGTGCTAAGGAATGTGTAAAGGGCTGGCTCTATAAAGGCGAAGTGGTGGTAACAAAAAAAAAAAGAGAGAAAAATGGCAAACACTCATACAGGGAGTGAAAACTCAAGGAATTAGGACTGTGTAGCAGAAATGTAGAAAGAGGACGGAACTTGGAGTCAGACAGGCCTGGATTAGAATCCTTGTTTGGTCACATTCTAACTGTCTGATCCTGGACAAGTTGCTTAACTTCTCTGAGCCTTCATTCCCTAAGCTTAGAAAGATGTCAAAAAGCTCATCTCAGAGGGCTCTCCTGAACATGAACCTGTAAGGCGTTTGGCCCATGGCGGTGCCCTGTAAATGTCACTTCCCTTCTCTTTCCCCTTCTGAAAGAAGGATCCATAATGATAAGAATTTTCAATAGCACCCAAAGGGTCGGTCCCATCTGTAATCAATGCATTTTAAGAGGCTCACCTGAAAGTTCTCACTTTTAGATGTTTTCTAATCTCTCAGGAATGTGCACATTCCTTGCAGTTCCCAGCTTCAAAGGGAATGTGTATGTTAGGGAATAACTGTGCCCAATCCCTCTCATCCATAAAAATGTACACACTAACAAGACCTCACATCTTTAAAGGGTGAGACTCAGAGTTGGACATCCCTTGTCTGTACTCCCAAAGCTGCACGGCTTCTAGAGCTTTAATCCACAGTATTGTATTATCTGTTTAAGCATCTGCATCTCCCCTAGGCAGCTAGAGCCATGAAGCAAAGTCCATATATTATTCCTCTTTGCATTGCTGCCTAGCATGCAGCATGCCATACATGTTATGTTTATTAGAATGAACTGAATCATCTATCTTCTGGGTCTGCAATGCTTTAGCATATAGTCTACACTTTCTAATTCTCCCAAAGACATTTTCCAGAGCCTTGGAAATTTTAAGCATACAATACATATTGCCTTTGTCCTTTTAGAATGAACTGTTTATAAGCTTTTTTTTTTTTTTTTTTTTTTTTTGTCTTTTGAAAGCCAAAACCTAACTACAAAAGAAGGGGTAAATGATTTCAGAGAAGCACCTGGCACTATGTTTTTTCTTTATTGCTATAACCTTGGGCAACCCCCACCCCACCCAACATTCAATGCTCAGGGACACCTTGCGTAAGGCACATGCAGGGTGCGCTTGGCAGGGGCCTGGAGGGCTCCGTGCTTAGTAACTCTGTTGTGAGGATAACCACAGGCTGTGGGAGGTAGCAGCTCTGCCTGCCTCAGGTAACAAAATTGATGGTGATGACTAAGTTACAGTAGACGGATCTCTCAATCTCTGAGAAGTTCCACCTCTGTTCTGACACATCTCTTTCTTTTTTCCTCCCAGAGGAAATAGAAACAAGCTCAGGCAAGGGCCCTAAGGAGAGAACCCTTTTTCATTGTTTAACTTGTTTATTATCAGACTCTCATTAAGAAACTGTGGGCCACAGTTACTGAAAACACAAGCTAAAGACACATTTAGAACAATATTTAAGTGACAGATTCACAGTCAGTTGTTAAGGGGAAGTCAAGAAGTTGCAGGCAACTTCCTGAACTTTAAGGCAGATTTCATGAAGGACAAATACCATGCTCTCCCCGAAAGGAATGGTCTTTGAAACAGGTATTCTGCTCTACCTTAACAACCCTGCCCCCTTGCACCAATTACTGACATCTAGCAAAGCTTCAATTTTCTCATCTTTTTAATGGAAATAAAATATTCATCCTACAGAGTTGTTTATAAAGATCTGATGAGATTGTGTATACTAACCATTTAGCCAATGGGAGGCAAAGCCCAGGCCCCATAGATGCTTCCAACTATTCCTATGTCTCCCAAGTGCTAAGGCCAAGTGTCAGCCGGCACTAACGCTCAGGCATGGCATTTTTTACCTCTCTGATTCCTGGGGCACTTGAGTGTACCACTCCTGAGCTGGTGCAATCCTATCATCTCATAGATGAGGAAACCAAAGCAAAACATCACATGGCTCACCACTGCCTGTAGGCAAAGTCCCAGTGCCATGAGAGGTAAGCCCATTTGAGTGGTTTTTTAGATAGTCACTGGTGTCTCAGTGCAGCCAGAATACCTGGCTGGATGGATCCTTTTAATCATATCATCTATATACCATATACCAAAGAATTTTATTGATTTTATAACTAGAGTTCTAAAGAATAGAAAGTATTCTCTAGAGAATAAGACTAGCTCATTCTATGTTAATTGCAGTGAAAGTAAAGATAATGATGGTGCTTGGCAGTAGGAATAATTGTAATTAAGCACTTACTATGTGCCAGGCATCAGGCTGAGCAGTAAATATGTCTTATGTCTTCTTTCACATAGTAAGTCCAACTGCTTGAATACTCCCTTACACTCAATCCCCAAGACTTGCAAAAATTTGTCACAAATAAATCACTTCAATCTCTCTGTAGAATCTGTGTGCTCATCTACTGTGCCCAGAGCAAATCCTTTCTAAATTCTGGATGTGCTACGTGTGATGTTAGTGGTTGGTTAAGAGACAGGTATCTCCAGAAATAAAACACGAAAGGCAGAGGTTAATTGCTGATTCTCTCAATCTGGAGCCAAGCCATTTGATAATGACTTACAATTATTATATTTCATATTGCTCAATCATCTCTAGAAGATGGATTGCAGGGTGTGGTGGGAGAGGTGCCTTCCAGTCCTTTCCAATAAAATGTTTCTGTGTTATCACAAAACAAGAAGTTCTGTAAGGTAAGGGAGTTAGGAATGCTGGCTTCCTGTGGATAGATGCCAAGTGGAGAAAATAAACAGATAAGAGTTCCCACGGGATATGGATGCCCTAAAAAAGTGTTTCCTATCATATTGCCAAGGCAATGCCAGCTGCTTACATCATCAATTCAGGGGGACAGGAAGGAGGGAGACAGAGTAGTGGCTGGAGAGTGGATGAAGTAGAAAATTTGTAAAAAGCCAATTCCAATTTTCTTAATAGGTTATAAATTCCTACAACCAAGAGGTAAGTAGCAGCCCTGACTCTTAAACAAAATAAAGTCTAGTCAACTTGACAATTAAATGGAGCCCAGGGTGCTGTTCCCTACAATTTCACAGGTGGCTGGGAGTTATAGAATGCTGGAGCAAGACAGATTCTTAGAGATATTCAGTCCAGAGATCACAAATGGCACCCACAGACATTGTCTTCTTGGGTTTTCCAAGGATTAGTCTAGATGGCATTTTAACATTGTAATTAATTGCCAACATTTTAAAATTTTGAAGACTTCACATAAAAATTCAGATCTCTAGTATCTCTTTTTAAAATGAGAAAATATGCAAACAGTGAACCTACATTTTCACCTAGTAACCATTCAGCCTCTCATAGATGGTTCCAGTGTCCCCATGGTTCCCAAGGCCAAGGCCAAATATCAGCCAGCACTAATCCTGAGTCATGGCATGGTGTTACCTGGCTGAATCCTGCAGGCACTTGAGTGTGTGTCCTCTGAGCTAGGAGAATCCTGTTATCTTATAGACAAGGAAACCTAGGCAAAAAGCTCACATGGCTCACTCTGCAAAGTTCCAATGCCATGACAGCAAGGCCATTCGCAGATGGTCCCAACTGACATCTCTTGCCAGTTTTCAGAAGGAATCCTATGGTCCAGTGCATCAGACTGATTGTTATGCCCAGTCAAGGCCTTGTTCCCTTCCTCTCAAATGTCCTGCCCTGCTATCAAACTCCTGTTCATCCTTTCAGCCCCAGATTAGTCGTTCCCCCTAACTCCTCTCAGGCAGTGAAGTATCCACACAGCATTTATGTACCCACTTCTGCAATATGCCTTACAGTCCTGCGGGGGACGTTCAATATTAAAATCCTCTTTCTCATGTCACCAGTACCTAGCACTATGCCATGACACATCACAAGCTCTGAATAAATCTGGGATTCAGGGAAGGGTAAATACATTGTCCTCAAATATATGGGTAATTAGTCCAGGCGCTATGGCTCATGCCTGTAATCCCAGCACTTTGGGAGGCCGAGGCGGGTGGATCACTTGAGGCCAGAAATTCGAGACCAGCCTGGCCAACATGGTGAAAACCCATCTCTCTCTCTCTCTCTATATATATATATATGTAATTAATTATAACATAGTTGGGGAGAAAACGGGTTAAAAACAGACGGGGAGCCTGGTGCAGTGGCTCACACCTGCAATCTCAGCACTTGGGGAGGCCGAGATGGGCAGATCGCTTGAGCCCAGGAGTTTAAAACCAGCCTGAGCAACATGGGGAGACCCCATCTCTACAAAAATTAGCTGGGTGTGGTGGCATGAGCCTGTAGTCCCAGCTACTCAGGAGGCTAAGGCGGGTGGATGGCTTGAGCCCAGGAGGTCAAGGCTATGGTGAGCCTAGATCATGCCACTGCACTCTAGCCTGGGTGACAGAACCAGACCATGTTACAAAAAAACAAAACAAAACAAAACAAAACAAAACCAACAACAAAAACAGACTGGGTCCACAGTGAACACCCAGACTGATGAACCATCAAGTAAGTGATGCTGAAACCTTTATCTCAATGACAAATTCAACTCCTACCAGGCCAAGCCTTATTCCAGAAGTAGGGATTGCCTGAACAATGTGGCTTATGAGGTGTCAAAAGAACCCCAGAGGTCCTAAACATCTTCCCCACCAGCCTGCCAAGGTGCTTAAAGACCACTCTATATATGTATCTGCATTAAGACCTTTTCTGTTAAAATACAACACTCCTTTTCTCCCTCCTTCCTAAGAGCCAGTACATTACGCAATTCTCAGGGGTTAGCACAGCTTCAGGTAATTTATCAACTATTTTTTATATCTGATGCATTTCACCTAGACTATTTGGGTAAGCTGTGATAGAGTTAAATAAAGGTAAATTTCCAGGAGAAGAGGATGGGCCTGAATGTCTGAGGTAAGAGATAGAGAGTAGGCAGTATAGCACAGTAGTTAAGTGTGAGACCTTATGATCTGGGCCCAAATCCAGTTTCGCTGCTGGCTAGGTGAGTGACCTTGGCTAGTCACTTACCTTCCATGCCTCCATTTCTTCATTTAGATAGAAAATGGTGTTACTCAGGAAAGGGAACATCACACACTGGGGCCTGTTGTGGGGTCAGGGGAGAGGGGAGGGATAGCATTAGGAGATATACCTAATGTTAAATGATGAGTTAATGGGTGCAGCACACTAACATGGCACATGTATACATATGTAACAAACCTGCACGTTGTGCACATGTACCCTAAAACTTAAAGTATAATAAAAATAAATAAATAAAATTTAAAAAAAAAGAAAAAAAAAAGAAAATGGTGTTACCAAGATGACCTGCTTCAATGGGGCATCTGAGAATTAAACAAATCAATATATAGAAGGCATTTAAAATGATGCCCAACCTATGTGAACCCTATATAATGTGTTAATTTCTGACTAATTTATTAGAGGGGATGACATGAGATTTGGCCCTGAAAGGAGCTGCTCTGGCTTTACTACTTGCTGCCTCCTTTCCCAATTTACTGAGAAGCAGGCAAGGTCCCGAGAGGATGAGCAGCGTCCCCAAGGCCACAGCCTACTGATGGCAGAGCCAGGACTTCCTATCCAGGGCTCCCCACACGCGGAACTTCTCGAGGAGGAAGAGGGGAAGGGGTCGTGGGAGGCCAGGAGAAACCGAGAGCCAGCTTTACCATGTGTCCCTTCTGGGGATAATGGAATCCAGGCCCTTCGGGGCTTTTCCCCAGAGCTGGCTACACGTCCCGCTCTCGGGTGCGCTTGGTGTCCACGCAAACGCCATCCTCCGAACATCCCCCCGCCCACACACACACATACACACACAGCCCCACACCCTTGCGCCGGACGCACCCTCTACGTCTGGCACAGCACGGCAACTCGCTGCCCCGCTGGGAGGACTAGTCAACAGGGGGGCGGACGGGAAAAGTGACACAACTGGGCCGCGGCGCCCTCCGCGCCAGCCTCCCACGCAGCGCAGGGCGGACTTCGGCCCTCAGAGGGGTGAGGACTGGGGCCAAACTGCCCGGGTCTACCCCGCCGCCCGCAACGCTCCGGGGTCCCGCGCGGAGGGAGGCCTGGGCGCGGGCCGCCGCGGCGCACTTTTCAGGAACGCGGCGGCCGCAAGCCTGCCAGGCCGGGTCGCAGGACAGCCGCCGCCGCCGCCACCGCCACCGCCACCGCCCCCCGAAGCTAGATGACGGAGTCTTGAAAGACTTTCACCAAATATGGGCCGGGGCTGGAAACGTCCTGCGCCGCGCGCCGCCGGAAACCTCGATTCTTGGCAACCGCGGTGACTGTGGGCGCGCGGGCGGGGTGGCCGGCAGGGGGCGGCGGTAGCAGCCGGGCAGGCGCGTCCGGATGCCTCGCGTCCCGCACCCTCTCGCGGTGCGGACCCTCTCCGCTCCCTCCGCAGGGGTCCCGGAGCCGACCGCCCTCTCCGCGCGTCGGCCACCCAGTTCCTGCCGCAGCCACCAGGATCCTGGCTTCCTGGGGCTCTCCTGGCTGTCAAGCCAAGGGGATGGGGGCGGGGAAATGGTAGAGGAGAGAAATGGGATGGTACGGGGGCGCCACCTTAAAGCCGGTCTTTTGCAGACACCATTAAGTTCTGTTCATTAAGGTGGCTTTGAAGAGTGGAGTTGTGAGGTTGGGTGTGCAGCCGAGGATCTATGAAGACACACACACACACCCCTACTACAGGCACTCCGGTCGTCCAGGGCAGTGGTGCTCAGGGTGTGATCTCCGGACCAGCAGCATCAACATCACCTGGGGACTTGTTAGAAATGTAACTAATCAGAAACTCTGGGGTGGGAACCCAGAGAACCATTCATTAACTAGCCCTCCAGGCGACTCGGATGCACGCTAGTCTGAGAGCCTTCCTAGGGCTAGGAAACTGGAGTCGCCAGATTTACCGTTATTATTCTCGGTTGCCGCCAGACAGTGAGCCCTTCATTAGGTAACCTAAAATTCCCTGGCAGCAGCGGTTGAGAGACGTCCCCATCTCTCAGCCCGAAGCCAGGAGCTGCAGAAGACAAGTAGCCCCTTCTCCGTGGATTGCAATCCAAGGCAGCCCAAGGAAACAAGGCAGTCCGTTATTTCCTCCTGGGGCACCCGTATGGGGAGGGTGAAGGAGAAACTAGCAAAAGAGCCATACAGAATTAGCACCCGAAGCAACACTTACCCATAAACATTTGCACATTTCGCCTCCTGTCCGTCAACTTGGACTGATCTGCGGCTCCCAGCGGAGGCGGCGAGAAGGCGACGGGAGGCTGGGGTTTCTGGACGGTCTTTGGGCAGGACTTGAGGAGCCGCTGTTTCTCTTGCCTAATGTCGTCGATTACTAGCAGGCGCAACAGCACATGGTATATGGAGAGGCTGTGCACATAGGTTACTCTAGTGTCTCCCGCTCCCACACCTCCTGGCCCTGTTGCTCCAGCTTCCCACCCCCATCCCACAACACACCCCCTGCTTTAAATGGGCAGCTGACGGTAAGGTTCTCTAAATTTCTCTTCTGGGGCAAACTCATCCTCAAGATTCCCCAGTTGAAGTCCAGAAACAAACCCACACACCCTTGTTAAAAAAACTTTAATGTGATTTTAAAGGAATCTCTGGAATGGCGTGTGTTTGAACGCAGTGCGGCAGACTGGATCTCTGCCGTCCCCCATCCCCAACCTCCAATTAAGGTATATACGGCCAGTTGGATGATCCACTGTGCTTTTATTTTAAATCATGATGGACAGATTGCGTGAAAAACAAGGAATTCCAAAGAATTTCCTGCTCTGGGAAGAGAAGTTAAATCTATATTTAACAACATTTGAAGCTGTCAAGAATGCTTTGTGGTTGGATAACAGAGGCAGAAAAATGTTAAAAACGCAGGCTACTGCTATACCCAAATATGGAAATATTGTTACGTCTGGTGTCTGATTCACCATCTGGAAATACTTACAACCATGAAGTCAAATAGAAAAGACGCCACAACAGAAGCCAGGAACCCTCCTCTCCATTCTCTCTCTAGTTCAACCAGTACTGTCCCTGCACCCCTCCTCCCCCCTCCCGCCCCCCGTCACTTCATTAAGAAGGAAACAATAATGAAATGATAAGGCAGGAAAAACAGTGTTTTGTAAATAATAATTGATGTATTAACCTGTGTACGTGTTGGGCCCACACTTTCCTCACTGTATTTGCATAACACCTGACAATCCATTGTCTTGAAAAGTCTCCCACCCCTAACCCTCTAACAGAGCTTTAGAGATCCCACTCCCTCTAGCAAATGCTGCTTCCATTTATGAAAGGGCACTTTGGAATGAATGAAACTGAACTCCTTCCTGCAAGAATTCTCTTCACTGGAGTGTGTTTTCATCCTGACAGATTCTCATTGTGCTTATCAGGAAAGTCAGCATTAGCACTAAGGGCCTTTTCAAGCAAGACTGCTAAATTATGAAGTCTGAATAGCCTTAAACATTAAAAAGGATAAGTAGTTATCCTAGAGCATATGAGTCTTACATGATAATTTTTATTAAAATTATGCAAAAAGTTTTTGAAACTTGCAGGGAAAGTTTATCAATCACACTAATGGTATTGGTGATGTTCAAGTAAATTGTCTTGTGGTGGGGTCTTCTACTGAGTGTGTTGCAAGTAGAACGGGATCTTAAAATCTGCTGACATTTTTACTGCAAAATATTACATCCTAAATCTCTTTTCTGTACTTGGAGAGAAGGGCATTGCAATTCATTTAAAATGGGAGGCTTCCAGTGGTCCCTAGGAAAGGAGTTAAAAACCCCACAAAATGTCCAGCTTGAAGGAGTCTGCTTTTCCCAGAGATTCATAGGGCACAATGGTCCTGGAATCTGGTTTGGCCTTGCGGTCTTTGCAGGTGATGATTTCAGGCCACTCCACGGTGGTCTCCTGCACTTCTGGCTGGCTGCTTGGTTAGCATAGCCTCCTGCCCGCGGAGGGAGGCGGGAAGGGCTTACCCCGTCTCCTGCATCCGTGAGGAAGTATAAGTCAGCCTCCCGGAGAACTCCCCGCGTTCGTTTCCTCTCGGACTTCCAACCCAGGCAGTGGGCTGGAACTAAAGTGGGAACCTCCAAAAACAAACAAGTACAACATACCCAAAAGAGGGAAGGGCTGGAGGAGTGGGGGAGACCTCTGCCTGGGAATTTGCCAGACGATGGGCAAGTTTCCCCCCGCCCCACCCCCCCCCCGCCTTTTCATTCATAAATGCCACTGTGGGTATTAATTTGCAATTCACTGAACTTTGCTAATAAACATCATGCCAAAGCTTTGGGACTTGTTCCGAACACGCCTCTTTGAAGTCCACAAATATTCCTGACTCAGAGACACACTCCTCTTCCCCGTTCTACTCTTTCAACAGATAACTTGCCTCTCACCTTCGCTGTAAAAAAGCAAACAGCTCACTGCCTTCCCGGGTGAGGGCTTCAGTGGCTGCCCGGTCAACTCGCATCACCAAACAAAACGACTTTTGTTCCTCCCTCTCAGGTCCTCCCACCCACCCAGTCCAGGCAAAGTTCTGAACTGGCCCCCCTCGCCCCTCACGACCCTCCAACTACCATCACCACCATCACGCCCCAAAGAACCCTTCCCAACATAAGTCGTAATTTAAGGTGGAAAAAACGAACTGTTTTCTTGACGGGTCTGGGACACACACACACACACACACACACACACACACACCCCCCGAACTGTTTTCTTGACGGGTCTGGGAGACAGACACACACACAGACACACACACACACACACACACACACACACACACACACACACACACACACACACAAAGGTGCAATGGAGCCAGGGGAGGCGCTTGGCAGCAGCCCGCGCCAACCAGCATTCCTGAGATGTTTGAGAATTCTGGAACGCGCAGACAGAGCCGACGTCACTGCAACACGCGGCGCCTCCGCCGGCCCGTATAAAAGGCGGGCTCCGGGGCGCCTGGGCAGACCGCGAGCGAGAGCGCCCCCGAGCAGCGCCCGCGCCCTCCGCGCCTTCTCCGCCGGGACCTCGAGCGAAAGACGCCCGCCCGCCGCCCAGCCCTCGCCTCCCTGCCCACCGGGCCCACCGCGCCGCCACCCCGACCCCGCTGCGCACGGCCTGTCCGCTGCACACCAGCTTGTTGGCGTCTTCGTCGCCGCGCTCGCCCCGGGCTACTCCTGCGCGCCACAATGAGCTCCCGCATCGCCAGGGCGCTCGCCTTAGTCGTCACCCTTCTCCACTTGACCAGGCTGGTGAGTTGGACTCTCCTTTTGCCACCTATTCCCCGTCCGCTCTCCAGCCCCTTCCCCTGGTCCCAGATTGCCCACGGCAGGAAAAGTTAAAAAGTTCGCGATCGTTTGCGGGTAGCCGTTTCTTTAAGCACTCTCCCCCTCCCCCCGAAGACGTGTCGGGACCTCTTGGTGGGAGCAGCCTTCCGAGGTGGCCGGGCTGGACGAGATCAGAGGCTCCCCGTCGATAGGGTCGGAGACCCCCGTCCCTCACTGCGGCAGCCGCGGCGCCCCTCCTGCGCACCGCGCCGAGTCTCACGCGTATCTTCTCCCCCTTCCAGGCGCTCTCCACCTGCCCCGCTGCCTGCCACTGCCCCCTGGAGGCGCCCAAGTGCGCGCCGGGAGTCGGGCTGGTCCGGGACGGCTGCGGCTGCTGTAAGGTCTGCGCCAAGCAGCTCAACGAGGACTGCAGCAAAACGCAGCCCTGCGACCACACCAAGGGGCTGGAATGCAACTTCGGCGCCAGCTCCACCGCTCTGAAGGGGATCTGCAGAGGTAAGATGCTTGTGGTTTGGCCCCTTTAAAAAAAATACTAGTCCCCATAGTCCAGAAGTTTAGTAATTCTGAGACCATGTATGGTGATGCTTTGTTGTTGGTAGCTTGGCAGAAAGGCACATGATTTCAGCAGTCTGGAATGCAATTCAGTGTGTCTGGGCCCAACGAAAGCGCATACGGAAAAGTGATTCCTGACTAACTTATTGTTCTGGTCTGGAGTCTCCGGGGAATTGTAGGGAACTTTACCATAAATTGAATTTAACAGCAGAAAATATGTATGAGTTTCAGGCGGTGGTTTGGAATCTTAACTTTATCCCCTTCTACCTTTCTCTTTTGGTGATCTTTGCAGCTCAGTCAGAGGGCAGACCCTGTGAATATAACTCCAGAATCTACCAAAACGGGGAAAGTTTCCAGCCCAACTGTAAACATCAGTGCACATGTATTGATGGCGCCGTGGGCTGCATTCCTCTGTGTCCCCAAGAACTATCTCTCCCCAACTTGGGCTGTCCCAACCCTCGGCTGGTCAAAGTTACCGGGCAGTGCTGCGAGGAGTGGGTCTGTGACGAGGATAGTATCAAGGACCCCATGGAGGACCAGGACGGCCTCCTTGGCAAGGAGCTGGGATTCGATGCCTCCGAGGTGGAGTTGACGAGAAACAATGAATTGATTGCAGTTGGAAAAGGCAGCTCACTGAAGCGGCTCCCTGGTAAGTGGAGACTGAGCACTTCAGACACTGTACTGAGATGCATTTCTGGTCTAAATCTTTGTAGAAATGAGTGCTTGAGCCTGTTTGTGTCGGTATGCCTCTGAGAAGTCTTCCCTCTTATATGTCTCTAGTTTTTGGAATGGAGCCTCGCATCCTATACAACCCTTTACAAGGCCAGAAATGTATTGTTCAAACAACTTCATGGTCCCAGTGCTCAAAGACCTGTGGAACTGGTATCTCCACACGAGTTACCAATGACAACCCTGAGTGCCGCCTTGTGAAAGAAACCCGGATTTGTGAGGTGCGGCCTTGTGGACAGCCAGTGTACAGCAGCCTGAAAGTAAGTTCCTTCAGGGACGTGTAGACTGTTGCCTGGCAGGTGGGTGGGATGTGAACATCTTTTTGAAGAAAGAGAAATATCACCCCTAACTTTCCTTCTCTCCTTTCTCTTACAGAAGGGCAAGAAATGCAGCAAGACCAAGAAATCCCCCGAACCAGTCAGGTTTACTTACGCTGGATGTTTGAGTGTGAAGAAATACCGGCCCAAGTACTGCGGTTCCTGCGTGGACGGCCGATGCTGCACGCCCCAGCTGACCAGGACTGTGAAGATGCGGTTCCGCTGCGAAGATGGGGAGACATTTTCCAAGAACGTCATGATGATCCAGTCCTGCAAATGCAACTACAACTGCCCGCATGCCAATGAAGCAGCGTTTCCCTTCTACAGGCTGTTCAATGACATTCACAAATTTAGGGACTAAATGCTACCTGGGTTTCCAGGGCACACCTAGACAAACAAGGGAGAAGAGTGTCAGAATCAGAATCATGGAGAAAATGGGCGGGGGTGGTGTGGGTGATGGGACTCATTGTAGAAAGGAAGCCTTGCTCATTCTTGAGGAGCATTAAGGTATTTCGAAACTGCCAAGGGTGCTGGTGCGGATGGACACTAATGCAGCCACGATTGGAGAATACTTTGCTTCATAGTATTGGAGCACATGTTACTGCTTCATTTTGGAGCTTGTGGAGTTGATGACTTTCTGTTTTCTGTTTGTAAATTATTTGCTAAGCATATTTTCTCTAGGCTTTTTTCCTTTTGGGGTTCTACAGTCGTAAAAGAGATAATAAGATTAGTTGGACAGTTTAAAGCTTTTATTCGTCCTTTGACAAAAGTAAATGGGAGGGCATTCCATCCCTTCCTGAAGGGGGACACTCCATGAGTGTCTGTGAGAGGCAGCTATCTGCACTCTAAACTGCAAACAGAAATCAGGTGTTTTAAGACTGAATGTTTTATTTATCAAAATGTAGCTTTTGGGGAGGGAGGGGAAATGTAATACTGGAATAATTTGTAAATGATTTTAATTTTATATTCAGTGAAAAGATTTTATTTATGGAATTAACCATTTAATAAAGAAATATTTACCTAATATCTGAGTGTATGCCATTCGGTATTTTTAGAGGTGCTCCAAAGTCATTAGGAACAACCTAGCTCACGTACTCAATTATTCAAACAGGACTTATTGGGATACAGCAGTGAATTAAGCTATTAAAATAAGATAATGATTGCTTTTATACCTTCAGTAGAGAAAAGTCTTTGCATATAAAGTAATGTTTAAAAAACATGTATTGAACACGACATTGTATGAAGCACAATAAAGATTCTGAAGCTAAATTTGTGATTTAAGAAAACAGCGCTTCATGTTCATCAGAATATAAAGCCTAAGGGTCTCCATCACTCTGTGAGATGGCTATAATAATTTATTATTTTAATCACCAGGTTAGTGGGCATGCCACTTTAGTAGAGTAGAGAAACCCTTTAATGAAAAGGGGTAGTCCATAACTCAGGCTGCCCACATCCAGACCCATGGGCAAGATTGAATATAATTAATGTATTCTAAAGACTTGCTTGTTTATAACTTTATATTTTCCCAATACCGTTCCTAAAAATTAGAACTACTTAGAAATTTACCCTTGGCTGTTATGAGGAAAAATCTGAGTCTATAGGAGTCAGTTTGTTTTCACTAAATGAGCTTGAAGCATGACTTGTGTTAATCCTAATAAGCCGGTGATTAGGTAAACATGCTGTTAAATGCAAAGGAATGCAAGGAATTTCAACTACTTTTCCAATAGCGTGAGGGCCAAGCTACCCCATCCCCCTTTCCTTTTTATAATATACGTTATATTGATGGGGGAGGGAGCAGTTATATAGAGTTGGCTATTCAGAAGGTCAAAGGTCCAGAGCATTCCTAAAAGAAAGGGACCCAAATCATAGGTCTAGGAGAGGTTGAGAAGGCTGTGTCAATGTTTGTGAAAATGTCAGTAGTCTGTTTCAGAAGCATCTTCATCTTTAGAAAGCGCTGACAATAAACCTTTTATAGGGAGAAGTTTTCCTTTCATCATCACTGTTGGCTCCTGTTCAAATCCATAGTGAAATATTTCAGTCCGCACTTAGTTAAGAGAGTACTTGAGTTTTTAGGCAGAAGAGAAAGTGCTTTTAAAAGGAATGGAGGAGGACAGCTCCTGGGATCCTGAAGGGATTTTTCCAAGTAGATTAAATAAGATCCATACTTTAATGAAGACCCACAGAAAAATACTGCCTAAGAAATGGTTTTAAAGCCTTATGGAAATGCATAGAGGTTAATATAAATGCACTAGTAAAATCTATGGCCAAAAGCCTTCACTTCTGATTTTGACTTGCCTGAAATATTACAGCTTGTGCCTTCTGAATAGTCAGGTTTCTTGCCTGAGACATTCAAATGTTAAGGTATTTGAGAATTTAAACATCAGCTGGCCCAGTCGTGGATGCAGTTAAACTTGTCAGTGCAATGTAACGTGTGAAACATAATAAAGGTGTGAGGCTTTTGTGGTGCAATCTTGTTGAACAGACATCTAAATCCATAGGCAAGATTTACACATTCCCAAGCATCAACCCTGAAGTATTGCTCTCCAACACTGGAGTCCAACAAATTGCTTCTTATGCAGAGATCAAGGAGCAATATTTTACAGATCCTTTCAGTGTGCAGGGAAGTAGTATTTGTCCAAATAAGCTCAAATGTGAAACAGAACCTAGTATGGGAAAACACTGAATCTTTGGGTTATTAATTTCATCCTAGTAAATATAATGAGGGTGATTGAAAGTGCCAATTCCATTTACAATAAGTGTGTTCAATTAATAAAGAAGATGAATACAAGCAAATTATGTCTTTTGTTTAGCTATAGAAAAACCTGAAGAAATTAAAAGTAGTGGAGAATAAAATTATGATATTTAGAACACGTAAGTTTTACCTACATCCAGAATGGAGCTCTGCCCACTTTAAATATTGAGAAAACAAACCAAAAATTATGCATCTGCATATATGAAATAGAAGTTACATATAGAAATATTCATTATAATATATATGTACCTTCCCATGCACAGTAAAGACCTTGGGTTGTTCTTGCTTTTCAATCCAAAAGATCCTGGTGGTCTTGAGCTATTTTTTGGTAGAGATTTTAGAACTGAGAGAGTGATCTCAGAATCTTAGGCATTCCACGAATTTTAAGAAATACTCTATGGGACATTGAGCAGCACAGCAAGTAGTCTCACTATGACTATTTTTTCATATGAACATATGTGTTGTCTGCTCCACAAAGAGATGCAACTGAGTCAAAATTAGCAAAGCATATTTTAGAGTTATGTTTTCCAACAGAGGGAACAGACTTGGTTTGTTCACAACCTCTTCTTGCAGCCTTCTGGCACTACTTGAAAGTCAGTTGAGCAATAGCAGTGGTTCAGTATGACCACAGTACAGAGCAAAGCTATGCTCTGGGCAGAATGGCAGGTGATACAGTGGAAAGAATCCCATGGAATCATGTCTTTTAGCACCAGCTCTGCCATGAATTCACTAGGTGACTCTGGGCAAGTTTCTGTTTCACTCCCTCATGTTAAAGTAGGAAAATAGCTTTCAGCATTTTTGTCACCCCAAAAACCCTTTCTCATACACCCACTTCGGTACATTGGCTCTCATACCTTAAAACTTTTATCTCCTCAAGTAACCACATGTGTGAACTGAAAACTGCTCAAGGCTTTCTGTCATCAAATGCACTTGTTTCCATGAAGCGTTTGAAAATGTATTGTGGCTAGACCCCTTCCCCCCCCTTTACTTTCTAAAGCACCCTTGGTTAGAGGACACAGCAATTCCTGGATCTCAGAGTCTACAGGTCCATACTTTAACCTCACTGTATAGCCCTATCCAGGCCTCATTAACTCCTTGCCCTACACAACTGATGCTTTAAAACAAAGCATATTCTGAAACATGACAATGATCCATTTGTCCTACAAATAGATTAGATATAGCTGTGACTTTCTCCATTGGTGGTGGGCAATATTCATCCATGTAATCTTATAAACTACAATTAATAAATACTCAGATGCATTTGTTACTGCTTTGCTGTTTCCATATATTCTGTTCATATATTCTGAATCTACCCCTTTCTCATCTCCAGAGCAAACCTCTAGATGAGACCACCATCATCCCTTGTCTGAATTACCAGAATGGCCTCCTCATTTATAGCATATTGTATTTTCCAAAGGTGGCTGCAGCAATATCTCCCACTCCATGTGCCCTTCTGCAATGTGCCTCTGTTGCTCCCCCATTAATGGGGGGGTCTATTTCTCCACCCTCTTGGATGTGGGTGAGCTCTTGACCTGTGAATGTGGAGGAAGCAATGCAATGTGGTACAAGTTCCACATGCAGTACTGGCTAGGAGTTCCTCCATCTTTTCTCTTAGAAATGAGCTTCCATGTAAGAAGTACAACTACTCTGAGACCAGCAGACTGTGAGAAGCTGAAGCCACATGGATAGGCCTTAGAGAATGAGTTGCCATGTGGAGAAAGAGAAAGGACCAGGAGCACTTGGGCATTACACCTGTCCATGAAGAAACCATCTTGGAAGTGAATCCTCCAGCCTCAGCCACCCCAGCTGATGTCTTGTGAATCAGAGATGAGCTGCCCAGCTGAGTCCTTCCCATAGTTCCTGACCCACGAAATAGTGGGCAAACCAATACGGTAATTATAAAGAAATAAGTTTTGGGTTTGTTTGTTACATAGCAATAGATAACCAAAATATCATTGGTTTCCATTCTTCCCCTTTTACATTTTTAAACTGACTCTTTAAAAATGTAAATCGGACTATATGGACCCTTGGGTTAAAGGCTCCAATGGTGTCCCACTGCTGTCAAAGTAGAGATTTAGCTTCTTACTTGGCACCCAGGTCCTGGACCCTGCCTACTTCTTACCATTCACCCTCATTCACTATACTTCCACTTGCCTTTTCTTCTTCTTTGAAAAAGCCAAGCAATTTCCCCTGCAGGGCCTTTGCACTAGCGTTCCTCTGCCTCAAATGCCCCTTCCCCTGACCTAGGCTTCTTCTTGGCATGTAGGTCTCAGCACAAATGCTACCTTCTTAGCAACCTTTCTTCACCACCCAGTCTAAATTATTAATAGTTCCTTACACCAAGAAGTTTTTTAAGGGGCAGAGCAAAAAGGTGGAATAAAAATCCCCAACAATCATCCCCACTGCAGGAACACCAAATTTAACAACTACCTACACAAAAAAGAACCTTTACAAGAACCAGAATTCAGATGAGCACTCACAACCAGTTTCTAACTTCATATCGTTGAAAGAGGCACTGAAGAGTGTAGGAAAGACAGTCTTGAATCACTGCCACCACCCCTCCCCCATTCTCTGGCAGCAGCCACATGGTGCAGAGAATCTGTGCTCTTGGGAGAGGGAGACTACAGCAACTAGGAGACTGCCTGGAACGCAGTGCTGCCCTGTCACAGCAGAGATGCCCACCTATGGAGGTAGCATTCAGACCTGTCCTAGCCAGAGGAGAATCACCCATCCCAGTGGTAAGAGCTGGAGTTCTGGCAAGCCTTACCACCATGGGCTGAAGTGCCTTGGGGACGTAAATAAACTTAAAAGGCAGTCTCGGCTGTAAGGACTGCAAGTCCTGGCACTGAGCTGGGCTCAGAGCAGGTGGATTTTAAGGGCATGTGACTTACTGAGATACCAGTTGGGGCAGCTAAGGGAGAGCTTGCATCACCCTTCCCCCAAACCCAGGCAGCACAGCTTGCGGCTCCAAAAGAGACCCCTACCTCCCACTTGAGGAGAAGAGAGGGAAGAATAAGGAGGACTTTGTCTTGCATCTTGGATACCAGCTCAGCCACAGTGGGATAGGGCACAGGTCACAGTTGTGAGGCCCCTATTCCAAGTTCTAGCTTGCCAACCACATTTCTAGACACATGTTGGGCCAGAAGGGAACCTGCTACCTTCAAGATAAGGACTCGGAGCTGGCAAGAACTGTTACCTGCTGACTAAAGAGCCCCCGGGCCCTGAATAACCAGCAGTGATACCCAGATAGAATGCTGTGGGCCTTGGGTGAGACTTTGAGATGTGATGACTTCAGGTAAGACTCAGCACATTTCCAGCTATTGTGACTATGATGAGAGACTCCTTCTGCTTGAGAAAAACAGATGAAAAAGCAAAGGGGACCTTGTATTGCATCACAGGTACCAGCTCAGCCACAGTGGAGTATAATACCAAGAGGGGTCTTGGGGCCCCAATTCCAGGCCTTGGGTCTTGAATGGCACTTCTGGACCTGCCCTGGGCCAGAGAAGAGCCCACTGGCCTGAAAGGTGAATCCCAGGCCTGGCACCATTCACCACTAGCTGACTGAAGAGCCCTTAGGCCTGAGAAGAATATCAGTGGTAGCTTGGCAATACTCCTCTTGGGTCCGTGGTGGTGGTGGCTACAGGGTGAGGCTCCTCTTCCTCTGAAAAGGGGATGGAAGAGTGGGAAGGACTGTGTCTCATGGTTTGAGTGCTAGCTTAGGCACTGTAGTGTAAAGCACCAGATAGACTTCTAAGGTTGTTGACTCGAGTCCCTGGATCCTGGATGGCATCTCTGGACCTTCCCAGGGCCTGGGGGAACTTGCTGCCCTGAAGGGAAGGACACAAACCTGGCTGCTTTACCACCTGCTGATTGTAGAGCCCTAGGGCTTTGACTCAACACAGATGGTACTAGGTAGTGGTTACAGGGGGCCTTGGGTGAGACCCAGTGCTGTGTTGTCTTCAAGTCTGACCTGGCACAGCTCCAGAGGTGGTGGCTGCAGGGGTGTTTGTGTCACCCTACCCCCCAAGCCCCAGGTGGCTCAGCACACACAGAGAGAGACTCCATTTGTTTGGGAGAAAGTAAGGGAAGATAACAAAAGTCTCTGCCTAGTAACCCAGAGAATTATCTGGATCTTATCCAAGACCAACAAGGTGGTACCTCTATGAGCCTGCAAGAACCACAGCATTCTTGGGGTTGGGGTGCCCCCTAATACAGATATGGCTTAGATCACAACACCCAAGTCCTTTTGAATACCTGGAAAGCCTTCCCAAGAAGGATAGGTGCAAACAAGCACAGACTGTGAAGAGTACAACAAATACCCAACTCTTCAATGCTCAGACAAAGCTGAACATCCACAAGCATCAAGACCATCCAGGAAAATATGACCTCACCAAACAAACTAAATAAGTCACCAGGGACCAATGCTGGAGAAACAGAGATATGTGACCTTTCAGACAGAAAATTCAAAATAGCTGTTTTGAGGAAATTCAAAATAACACAAAAAAGAAATTCAGAATTCTATTAAGTAAATTTAGCAAAGAGATTGAAATAATTAAAAAGAATCAAGCAGAAGTTCTGGAGTTGAAAAATGCAATTGGTATACTAAAGAATGTGTCAGAGTCTCTTAATAGCAGAATTGATCAAGCAGAAGAAAGAATTAGTGAGTTTGAAGATATGTGATATGGTTTGGGTCTGTGTCCCCACCCAAATCTCATCTTGTAGTTCCCATAATTCCCATGTGTTGTGGGAGGGACTTGGTGGGAGTTAACTGAATCAGGGGGTGGGTCTTTCCCATGCTGTTCTTGTGATAGTAAGTTTCATGAGATCTAATGGTTTTAAAAATGGGAGTTTCCCTGCACAAACTCTCTTCTCTTGTCTGCCACCATCTGAGACATGACTTTCACCTTCCACCATGATTGAGGCCTCCCCAGCCATGTGGAACTGTAAGTCCATTAAACCTCTTTCTTTTGCAAATTGCCCAGTCTCAGGTATGTCTTTATCAGCAGCATTAAAACAGGCTAATACAATATGCTATTTGAAAATACACAGTCAGAGAAGACAAAGAAAAAAGAATAAAAAAGAATGGAGCATGCCTACAAGATCTAGAAAATAGCATCAAAAGGGCAAACCTAAGATTTATCAGCCTTAAAGAGGAAGTATGGAAAGAGATAGGCTAGAAAGTTTATTCAAAGGGATAATAACAGAGAACTTCCTAATCCTAGAGAAAGATATCAATATTCAAGTACAAGAAGGTTATAGAATGACAAGCAGATTTAACCTAAAGATTACCTCAAGGCATTTAAGAATCAAACTCCCAAACGTCAAGGATAAAGAAAGAATCCTAAAGGTAGCAAGAGAAAAGAAACAAATAACATAAAATGGAGGTCCAATATGCTGGGCAACAGACTTTTCAGTGCAAACCTTACAGGTCAGGAGAGAGTGGCATGACATATTTCAAGTGCTGAAGAGAAAAAACTTTTACCCTAGAATAGTATATCTGGTGAAAATATTCTTCAAACGTGAAGGAAAAATACTTTCCCAGACAATTAAAAGCTGAGGGATTTCATCACAACAGACCTATCCTACAAGAAATGTTAAAGGGAGTACTTCAATCAGAAAGAAAAGGATGTTCATGAGTAATAAGACATCATCTGAAGGTACAAAACTCACTGAGAATAGTAAGTACACGGAAAAACACAGACTATTATAACGGTTTAACTGTGGTGTGTAAACTACTCTTATGTTAAGTAGAAAGAATAAAAGATGAGCTAATCAAAAATAATAACTAGGCCAGGCATGATGGCTCATGCCTGTAATCCTAGCACTTTGGGAGGCTGAGGCAGGTGGATCACCTGAGGTCAGGAGTTCAAGACCAGCCTGACCAACATGGTGACACCCTGTCTCTACTAAAAATACAAAAATTAGCCAGGCGGGATTGCTTATGCCTGTAGCCCCAGGTACTCGAGAGGCTGAGACAGGAGAATTGCTTGAATCTGGGAGGTGAAGGTTGCAGTGAGCCGAGATCACATCAGTGCACTGCAGCCTGGGTAACAGAGTGAGATTCCATCTCAAATAAATAAATAAATAAATAAATAAATAAATAAATAATAATAATAATAATAACTACAACAACTTTTCAAGACACAGTACAATAAAATATAAATGGAAACAACAAAAAGCCTTGAAGTTGAAGTGTAGCGTTTTTATTAGTTTTATTTTTGCTTGTTTGTTTATATAAGCAGTGCTAAGTTGTTATCAGCTTAAAATAATGGGTTATAGGATAGTATTTGCAGACCTCATGGTAATCGGAGGTCAAAAAACATGTAATAGATACACATAGAATAAGAAGCAAGAAATTAAATCATACCATCAGACAAAATTATCTTCACTAAAAGGAAAGAAGGAATAGAAGATGACAAAACAACCAAAAAACAAATTACAAAATAGCAAGAGTAAGGGCTTACTTATCAATAATAACAGTGAATATAAATGGACTAAATTATTCAATAAAAAGACATAAAGTGACTAAATGAATAAAAAAAACCAAGACCCAAGGAGCTGTTGCCTACAAGAAACACACTTCACCTATAAAGACACAAGTAGACTGAAAATAAAGGAATGGAAAAAGTTATTTGATGCCAATGGAAACCAAAAAAGAATACCTATACTTATATCAGACAAAATAGATTTCAAGACAAAAACTATAAGAAGAGACAAAGAAGGTCATTCAATAATAATAAAGGGGTCAATTCAGCAAGAGAATATATTATAACAATTGTCAACATATATGCACCCAACACTGGACCACCCAGATATATAAAGCCAATATTATTAGGGCTAAAGAATGAAAATACATGATGATCTCACTCCAACTGGAACTCTCTCACTGATTACTTGATAACAATAAAATATCTGATATTCTGCAAAAAACAAACAAACAAAAAACAAAAACAAAACAAACAAAAAAAGAATGAAATAGATCTTAATACAATAAATGTTAGAGACTTCAACACTCCACTTTCAGCATTGAACAGATCTCCCAGAGACAAAATCAACAAAGAAACATTGGACTTTCTCCACTACAGACCAAATGGACCTAATAAATATTTATACCCCAAAGAAAGGAAATCATATATTCATTTCCATGTTTATTACAGCACTGTTCATAATAGCCAAGATTTGGAAGCAACCTAAGTGTCCATCAACAGATGAATGTATCAAGGAAAAAAGTGGTACATATACACAATGAAGTTCTATTCAGTCATAAGAAAGAATGAGATTCTGTCATTTGCAACAACATGGATGGAACGGAAGGTTATTATGTTAAGCAAAATAAGCCAGGCACAGGAAGTCAAACTTTGCATGTTCTTGCTTATTTCTGGAAGCTAAAATTTAAAGCAATTGAACTCATGGAGATAGAGAGTAGAAGGATGGTTACCAGAGTTTGGAAAGGGTATTGGAGGGTTGAGGAGGAAGTGGGGATGGTTAACAGGTACAAAAAAATAGAACAAATAAGACCTAGTATTTGCTAGCACAACAGGGTGACTATAGTAAAAAATAATTTAATTATACATTTTAAAATAACTAAGAGTATAATTGGATTATTTGTAACACAAAGGATAAATGCTTGAGGTAATGAATACTTAATTTACCCTGATATGATTATTATGCATTGCATGCCTGTATCAAAATATCTCTTGTAGTCCATAAATATATATACCTTCCATGTACCCACAAAAATTGAAAATAAATTTAAAAAGTTTTATGTTCCTCGTAGCACTTAGCACTATCTGATATTTTCTTGTTTATTTATTACATCTCTCCCTTCAAGAATGGGAGCAGAAGTTTCCCTGGACAACATGGTGAAACCCTGTCCCTACTAAAAATACAAAAATTAGCTGAGTATGGTGGCACGTGCCTGTAATCCTAGCTACTTGGGAGGCTGAGGTACGAGAATCGCTTGAACCCAGCAGGTGGAGGTTGCAATGAGCCAAGATCGCACCACTGCACTCCAGCCTGGTGACAGAGCAAGACTCTGCCTCAAAAAAAAAGAAAAAAGAAAAGAAAAGAAAAATTGCTTTACACTGTGCCCAGCATAAAGTAGATGCTCACTAATTTATAGAACATATGTTGTCTTATGCTGAAGCTAAATTAGAAGGCACCCACTCACGGGCACAACGCTTTCCTTCTACTTCACCTTGGACTTTTTTCTAGCCAACTGCTAACCATTCTTTCATTTTTTTCTTGCTTTCATACATCCAGTCACTAGACACTTATCTGGTACCTCTATATTTCAGGCATAGGGCTATGCAGTAGTTAAAGAAGCACCACAGTTCCTTTACTTTGTGGTAAGGGAGGCATATCTGTAAGCAAAATTGAGTTAAGATTAGGTTCAGCTATAAGTAACAGAAAATCCAAATCATAATGGCTTAAGAGGTGGGCATGGTGGCTCATGACTGTAATCCCAACAATTTGGGAGGCTGAGGCAGGAGGATTGTTTGAGGCCAAAATAGCCTCTGCTATTTTGTTGCTTCACCATGCACGGCCTCTGTTCCCTAGTTTGCCTCATGGCACATGGCCTCGCTTAGCTGCAGGGAAGGGTAGGAAATGTAGTTTTTACTCTAGGTTGCTATGTACTTACGTGAAAATTAGAGCTCCTGATACTACAGAAGGGAGAACAGGTATTGGGGGACACCTAGCAGTCTATACTACATAGCCAAAAATATTCTGTAACAAATCTAATGAGCACAGAGGAGGCTGGAGGAGAGTTACCAACTGCCTGGTTCTGGGATCAAAGAGAGCTTCCTGGAGGAGTTGTCACTTCAGCTGTTTTTTAAAGATAAATAGATTGGAAACTATTTAAAAGCCTTGGTTAACAGGTTGAAAATTTCTGAAATAACCAGTGATACTTTCCCCATTTCAGCCATAAAGAGAAATCAAAGACAGCTGTGCCACCTGGGTTTGGAGTCAAAGGCCATTTGTATTTGAAATAGTTTGTGTTTTTGCTTTAGGTTTAGAAATATCATGACAGGTGTACCTGTATTAGGGTTCTCTGGAGAAACAGAAGAGAGAGATTTTAAGGAATTGGCTTATGCAGTTGTGGGGGCTGGCAAGTCCAAAATCCTTGGGGTAAGCCAGCAGGCTGGAATTCAGGTTGGAGTTAAATCTGCAGATCAGGCCAGGTGGACTGGAAGCTCAGGCATGGTTTCTATGGTGTAATCTTGAAGTCAAATTCTTTCTTCTTTGGAAAACCTCAGTCTTTGCTCTTAATGCCTTCAATTGAATACATGATGGCCACCCTACTATGGCAGGATGCTTTGCTTTATTCAAAGTCTACTGATTCAAATGTTAATTACATGTGAAAAATACTATCACAACAATATCTAGACTGGTGTTTGGCCAAACAAATGGGCACCATAGCCTAGTCAAGTTGACATATAAAATTAACCATCAAAGTACACATCTAGTGGAACATTTTCAGAGGCAGAAATTCTTGCCCACTCTCTAAACTAGAATGAATTTTAGCAGAGTCAGAAAAGCAGAAGTTTTGCTGAATTATACCTAGTGTTCCCCAGCCTTGTCATTGTGCCCACAGAAGTGTGGGGAAGGGCTCCAGCATATATTTTGCATTAACTAGATTCAGGGGATACCTCAAAAAGGCTCCTGGGCCACTGACCTCAAGCTTCATGCAGAACAGCAAGATCTAGCCACCTCTCAGTCAGGATGGCTATGGGGTGGAAGACTGTAGGGAGAGCCTCCTAAGAGCTCTAGAGAAGGGCCCTCTCCAAATCTGCATGGACATGGCAGGCCACAGCCCAGCACTTGCACAATTAGTGAACCTTTCTCTGTCCTTTCATACAAATCTCCATTGTAGCAATGATATCGCCCCACTGTGATTGTCTGCTTAACTGTTTCCCCACCAGATTTTAAACTCCCTGAAGTTTTGTCAATGAGTGAGTACCAAGTAAGAATAGATTGAAAGGAATTTGAGAGCTATCTTACAGCACCTCCAGATCTCCTTTGGAGAAGAGAGAACAAGTTTGTTCTACATTGCCCCAGGGCAGAGGTCCAAGGCTAGTGGTCCCACTAGAATCTGACAAATAGACATGTTTTGTTCAGCATACATGGCATTTATAAAACTGGATTGGGCTGGGCACAGTGGCTCATGCCTGTAATCCTAGCACTTTAGGAGGCCAAGGCAGGAGGATCTCTTGAGCCCAGGAGTTCAAGAGCAGCCTGGGCAACAAAGTGAGACTCTGTCTCTATAAAAAAATTAAAAAAATAGCCAGGCATTGTGGTGGATGCCTGTGGTCCCAGCTACATGGGAGGCTGAGGCAGGAGAATGACTTGAGCCCAGAAGGTGGAGGCTGTAGTGAAATAGATTCATACTAGTATACTCCAGCTTGGGTGACAGAGTGAGACTCTGACACACACACACACACACACACACACACACACACACAAACTGGCTTGCTGCCAATGTTTGAAAACTGGGAGTTTTTTTTTTTTTTAAAGTAAAATTTCTAGCTTCCTTTGAAAAATTTACACATATGAGCAATTTGTACATGGTGGGAGCTGAGTTGCAGCTCTCTCCTGAGAGTGGGTGCTCTGCAGTTCACCAGCATAGAGACTGATGGAGAACAGGCTGGGCGTGGTGGCTCATGCCTGCAATCCTAGCACTTTGGGAGGCTGAGGGGGTGGGTCACTTGAGGTCAGGAGTTCAAAAACAGCCTGGGCAACATGGTGAAACCCAGTCTACTAAAAATACAAAAAAATTAACTGGGGGTGGTGGCGGGCACCTGTAATCTCAGCTACTCGGGAGGCTGAGGCAGGAGAATCCCTTGAATCCGAGAGGCGAAGGTTGCAGTGAGCAGAGATCGCACCACTGCACTCCAGTCTAGGTGACAGAGCAAGACTCTGTCTCAAAAAAAAAAAAAAAAAAAAGAGAGAGAGAGAGAGATTGATGGAGAACAGGTGTGTGTGTGTGTGTGTGTGTGTGCCCGCGCGTGCACATGCACACACATGGTCAGGGGGGTTAAAGGGCAGGAAGAGATGATCTTTAAAAATTCAGATTCTTTCTAAAGAAAGCACAACCTGGACCACCCCTTTTACTGTGGAAGTACTTAGAAAAATAATTTTAGGCATGGAAATGCTGTTATAAATTCAAGAAAGAATAGAGACCATCTCAAATCACCATGCTGCTGTAAACATGCCGCACCGCCCAGCCCCGCTTCCTTCTACAATTCCAGTCTGTGTATTTTTGTGGGGAAGTGTACCTATTCCATTTATAATACCATGTCATATTTTCCAACCGACACCGGATAAGTTAATCAAAGATATACACTGCATCCTGAACGTCTGCTGAATTTAACCATCTATTTTTATGGTAACCAAAGAGACTTCCCAGGGGCATTGCTGCAGATAGCCAGGGGGTTGGCTCTAAAATTTTTTTAATGACTCAAAGTCCTTATTTCCAGTGCTATCAAATAAAGAATACTTATATTTGCAGAGGCATTCAATGAACTCCGAGAGATAGAAGACTTGTCCAAGTAGTTATAGTTAGTTAGCCACTTATGAAGTAAAAGGTAGACCCCAGAGGATTTACTCTCTGACTGTCTCCCTGACAAAGGCATTTGGGGCACAGGAAGGCACTTGGGTCACAGGGAGGTCTGTCTAGGAGACAGGGTCTTGGTGTCAACCGGGCTCCTGGGAAGATTTCCGCCCATGGATTTCCTAGAGGTGAATCAGCACCACCAACTTCCCATAACAGAGGTAACACCTTTCTCTAGCAAACGGAGATTGATCTGAGTGGTAAAAACTCAGCTCTTCTGTTAAGAGTATTTGCTGGTTAAAATAAAGGAGCTCATCCACAGTGGGAGTTTACATTCTGGGCTCCTAAGGGAAACTTTCAGACAGGTCCCTCTTATCCTCCAAATTAGTTTGTTCTTGGAAAAGAGCCCATGTCTTGAGTTGACCTCTTTCATTTAAGACGAGACTTGGCCATTTAAGATATTCTCTTTAATGTTTGAGTTCTGTTGTTGTTGGTTTCCCTTTAAAAGCAGGCATACTTATACAGATTCAGTATTACAAGAAATACAGAATGTCAAACATGAAGCTTCCTAGTAAGCCCCCCGTCTTTCTCTCTCTCTCTCTCTCTCACACACACACACACACACACACACACACACACACACACACACACACACAGCACGGAGAGCCACTTTTAAGCATATAGTGTATATTCTTACAGATTTGGGGGGTGTGTCCACTTGCCATTAACTAATAATTAATTAATAAATAAATAAGATTAGAATACACATACAGCTTTGCATTTATTATACCTTGAAAGGCATTTAATGTTGATCCATGTAGTTTTCCCTCAGTCTTTGTAATGGTTTCATAGACTTTCATTCCATTATTGAAGTCCCATAGTTATTTAAATGCTGTACCTGCTGTGCCCACCGAAAGGCCATACCCCATCTCCTTGACTCCTCGTCAGCAAAGCCTCAGATCTGTCTGGGTGTTCTTCCTCCCATAAGTTCTGGGAAGGCAATCCCCTGTCTCCACCCTCAACCAAAGGATAATATCAGGACTTGCATGATGATCTCATTTCGTTTTCAATGATGGGTTGTAACTCATTATTGATCAATGATACTGAAGGAGAAATCTTCTGTGGGGAGAGAAACTTCTGAGAAAGGAAATCCTTGATAATAAAAAGAGATCAGTAGAAGAAATTCCTTCTTCTTTGCTGAACATCACCTTTCCTGAGCCAGGAAGGAGACATGACTGACACACTGGAGATAGTGGAGCAGCAAGGGAAAAACCTCCGGGTCCCTAAAGAGATCCTTGAGCTGCTGGATTACCTGGCCGTGGACCCAGCTGCCATGCAGACCTCTTGTTTGGTGGATAATAATCTCCCCACTGTTTAAACTTTTTTTGTTAAGCTGTTACTTGCAGCCAAAACTATCCTAACTGATATACTTGGGTCTTTATTTGCCTATTGACTTCATAAATAATACAACAATGGCTACCTCCAAAGGAGAAGAAAGTACTTTCTGAGATGTGAATGAATGAACAAACAAACAAATATTTGGCAGGAGTATAATTCTTTCATTCATTTACCTATCATTTGCTGAGTGTATATAGTGCATGACAGGCCACAGGCCAGCCAGACGAGGTGGCCAAACAAAGAAATAATAAGACATCGTCCGAGCCTCAAGGATGTCACACCTAGCAGAAATGTCCATGTATAAAAATAATCCTGGTACACTGTAACAGTGCGAGAGAACCTAGTAATATGAGAGCATAGAGGGTAGTCAGAGAAAGCTTCACAGAAGACAAAACATTTGGAGTGGGTCTGGAAGGATGAGTAAGAGTTTACTATTTGGGGTTAACTCCCGAAGTGGAAAACACCACCATATTGGAAGCCTTGGGGTACTCTCAAAGTCAGCAAATTTATAGCCTCATGCAAGATCTGAGTAGTAACAGCCATTTTGCATCTTGTTTTTTATGGCTAATAAGAGAAAAAGCAAAAACAGGGACCTATAGGAGATGGGAGATGTGCCCTGGTGATGCGGACAGGCCTGTCCCTTCCATGGGAGGTATCTTTGGAAATCCCCCATCTCCACGGTAATACGAGCTGCCAGCCGGCAGAGGGTGAATTAGCACTGGCACCATCAGATACAAGCTGGACACAGCTGAGTGCAGACAGGACACCACATCATCTGGGACAAGAGAGCAGACTGCTATGACAGGTTGGTCTCAGGCCGACAGGACCCAGCCTGGGCCTGACCCACTGGTGAGTCACCCAGGACAGCCCCAGTTGACTCCTTGGACCCAACAGCAAAGGCAAAACAACCAGAGAGAGGAAGCCTGGATGACTTGGTTACTGCCACCTGATGCTCTTGCGTCTGTGCCACAGGTCAGATTCCCGCAGGAGGCCAGCTCCTTAACAGCTTCCGGTTCCTCCTGGAGTAGTGTTCCTACTTACCACTAGCTGTGCACAGCTCTCTCGTCCAGGATTTTAAAGCCTGCAGCAATGTGATAGGTAAACAAAGTGCCACAGAAGCAGCTCCATTCTGGCTCCTTAAACCTCACCTATTCCCCAGGTGCAAAAGAACTATTATTGCTACACTTGCAAACAAAGTGCATGTCAAAAAAGGTATAAACAGCAAGTGTCTTAACATTCTGTATGGGCAAGAATGATAAAGCAGTTCATAGTCTCTATGTGCCATATTAATAATGATAACTGAATTAAGAATTTGGATTATATTATTATGTCAATACACTTGGTCTAAACCATTTCAGGTGTTTGCATATCCTAAGAACGTATTTAATTCCTGTGGTTGCTCTCAGTGTCTGCTAGAAGCTGTACATTCTCCTTCTGCTCTCATAAGTTTGAAGCCAGGTCCCTTGGCATGCTATGTAAACACAGCCATTTAAATAAATAGAACATGGCCACGGTTCAGCACCAGCAACAGGAGCCACTGCTTTTTTGGGTGAGGAATGGTGAAGCCAAAAAAAGAAAAGGAAGAAATCCCCTGTAACATTAGACAGATTGCAAGGAATTTTTCTGAATTTTGGCCAAGAAGCTAAGATTAGAAGTCATATTGCACCCTTTTTATAATAAACTTTTGGCCTCAATCACAGAAATTCATTCATTTGACATACATCTATATATCGGATATGGTTTGGCTCTGTGTCCACACCCAAATCTCATGTCGAATTGTAATCCCCACTGTTGGCAAAGGGACCTGGTGGGAGGCAATTGGGTCATGGGGGTGGATTTTTCCCTTGCTGTTCTTGTGAGTTATCCTGAGATCTGGTTGTTTGAAAGTGTGTAGCAAGTCTTCCTTTGCTCTCTCTCTCCTGCCACCATGTGAAGATGTGCTTGCTTTCCCTTTGCCCTTCTGCCATGATTGTAAGTTTCCTGAGGCCTCCCCAGCCATGCTTCCTGTACAGCCTGTGGAGCTATGAGTCAACTAAACCTCTTTTTACATAAATTACCCAGTTTCAGGTAGCTCTGTATAGCAGTGTGAGAACAGACTAATATAATATCTATCTATATCTATATCCATATTTATATATCTGTACGTCTATATCTATGCTCATATACACACAGAAATGTCTTTTATATTTCTGTTACAGGTTAAGCACTGGGAGGCACAGATGTATGAGGACTTGCCATCTAGGAGTCAGAGAATCAGCACATATCTTGTCATGTCATAGCTGAAGAGCTGCCACCTAGACCTGTTCCTGCTGCTTCACTCTGGTTTTCCCATGGCCCATATGGAAGGGAACCAGGGTTGGGCTACCACCATTTTGTGCTCCCAGATTGGAGGATGGGTGAGGCCTCTCCATCCCAGCTTCCCTGGATAACTTAATTTAAGCTTATGACACATATTCTCTGAAAGGCAAACCCATGAGGTGTATTCACAAAGAGGACATCAAATCCCACTTGGAGTCTTGTGTCATTAAACCATTACAGTCAGCCCTCCATATCCCTAGGTTCTGCATCCATGGATTCAACCACCCATGAATAAAAAATATCCAGAAAAAAAAAGTTGATGGTAGTGTCTGTGCTGAACATGTTCAGACCTTTTTTGGTCATTTTTCCCTAAACAATACAGTATAACAACTATTTACATAGCATGTAGATTGTATTAGGTATATATAAGTAATCTAGAGGTGATTTAAAGTATAAAGGAGGATGTGCATAGGTTATATGCAAATAGTATGCCATTTTATATAAGTTATTTGAGCATTTCCTCTATGGGTTTTGGTATCCATGGAGGTCCTGGAACCAATCCCCCACAGATACCAAGGGACAAGTGTATTTAGCATTTTCATACACCCTGTTTCATCTGCATAAGACCCTGACGATTTCAAGATACGCTATCTTTTTACATACCACTAAGAAAAACCAGCCAACTAGACTATGGCATGCCATCTGCAGTAAGATGGATTCTGATTTCAGAACTGTTAAAGGATTTTTTGAAAAGTACTTTCTAGAATCAACAAAATCCAAAGGCTTTCTTCTCCAACTAGACTGTGAGTTCCTAGAGGGCAGAGAACATACTTATAATTTTCTGTACTTTGCAGTGCCTAGCACAGTGTCATACACATAGAAAATACACTGTAAAACACTCTAATGAATGAAAGAAAAGTGAATAGTTAATATAAATCCTATGCTCTCTCAACAGAAAAGTGCACTGAGTAATCAACCAGCCCACTCAAGTAGAGGCAGGAAGGTCCCGATTGGGCCTTGTTCTTCCTATTGGGACTAACATTGGAAACAGCCAGACTCGCTGAGTCTGATGTGCCCTGGAGCAGGCGGGGAGGGAGCTTCCGAACTACAGCTTCTCCAGCACTTGGAGCAGCTCGAGGCCTCTCACCTTAAGGCCTGGTCAACCAGCTGCTGGCCAGACACACTGCAATGCTGGGCTCCCTGGGAACCTATTTATGTTTCTCCTGAAAACCAGTATGTAATATCAAACTTCTGAAAGTAAAATCACAGTTTAAGTGGATTGTGGGAGCTGGCTATTTCGGGGAACCTTCTGGTGAGTTCTCTGGTAACGTCAATAACCACTCCCTGATTTATCTATTTTATAACTTTGGATTTTTGCGTATCCTGTTCCCTTAGAACAAGGCACACCCTTATATTGGGTTTCCCCACAGTAGAGTCTTTGTGCTGGGTCAGTGGCTTGAAGGGTTTTTGCCTCTCTCCCTTGAGGGTTCCTGTTCTGCTCAGGCCCCAGTTAGACTAAACCTCTTCCCCAGGTGCCAGGGCTTCCCTGCTGTGAAAGTAGTAAATGGAAACCACGTGTTGCTTTATTTCACTTTATTTTAGAATAAAGTTACTTCTGACCAGTTTCATTCCAACTTTTGAGAGATGGACCACAGAGAGATGCACGCTGCACACAACAGGGCATCAGTGGGCATGCCACATGTGTGCAGGGGCAAGGAATGTGCTTCACACATGCTTCACACATTCAACCCCTGTGTACTGAGCAACTGAGGCATCCCAGGTTCTGTGCCAACTCTTTTGGGGACTGCAGAGATGCCCAAGACTCAGCCTCTGGCCTTGAGAAACTCAGTCTAGTTACAGTAAGCTCTGCTGCATGATACCATGCAGGTCGGAGGCTGCTCCTTCCTGAGAGAGTTGGGGAAGGTTTTACCTGGGGTAGAATCTGGAAGTTGGGTGTTGGGAGAAAAGGAAAGGGCAAAGAGTCACCAGGTAGTGAGGCAACATGTACAAAGGCACAGGTGTGTGAGACCACGGGGACCAGGGAACGGTCAGACAGAGGGCGCTCTGCAGCCTCCCCCTTTACTCCTACCCTGAGTCAGTTACGGGGAGGCTGAAGCCTTCCCTTGCCTGGGCCCATAATTGCAAGGTCTCCAGAGAAATCTAAACTTGATCTCCCAGATCTCCTGTTTCCCACAAACCTCTGAGCCTGCACTCCTCTCTTTTGTCCTGCTGCTGCTGGTGTTGCAGCACCCACTGACAGGAAATGGGGCCCCTGAAAAGATCTTTGCTCCTGTAGTTTTGCAGGCTAGAAGGCGAGAGAAGCAGGAGAGGGCCAGTTAGGAGCACTGAGCATGGTCCCAGCACAGGGTTGTGATACCCACTTAGAAATGACCAATGACGTCCTGATACTTGCTTAGTCCCCTTTCCTGGTCCTTCCTAAATTGTCATATGCTTGAGAAACCTGGATGTCCATATGTGCCTGGCCTGTTTCTCTGCATCTGCCCCCAGGGTATGATAATCCCTGGAATACACAAGCTCTCATGACCCCTTCAAAGTGGTGAGAGACATTAGAGGCAGTGCCCATGTGTCTCTCTGAGGCTTCAGTCATCTTATCCCTAATCTCTGAGCTCAGTCTCCTGGGTTCAGATATCAGGGCTAACTCCTTAATCCGTAATCTCCTGGGCTAACTCCTTAGGGCTAGAGCTGAGTCCAGTCATCATCTGTGGACAATTCTCCCACTCACGATAGGCAGGCGGGGCCACCTGTTTTACTTCTTAACACTATTTAGTCGGGATAAGGATGCTATAATTCATGGGGTGAACTGTGAGACCTTACACTTGGAAGTGACTTGGAGGTCCCTGGCTCCACCGACTGCCAGACCCCTTTCCCACCTCCTCGGCCAGAGGTGGTCCAGGCCTCTGTCACTGATGGAGTTGGTGCCTGCTCTGCCTCTTTCCACAGCTCATACTCCAGAAGTGTTAGCCACTCTTCTGACTATTAGCTTGACATCCATCTCCTTATAGCTTTCAGTAACTGTTTAGGTTTTTCCTTCCAGCATTCCTCAGAATGAATTTAATCCTCTTTCATATTGCCATATTTAAGACCTCTAAATTAGGTGCTTCTTCCCCACGTGCACTCTCAACCTTTTATTTCTTTCTAGGATAAACACAGCAGCTACAATTATTCTTCACATGATCTGTCTTCAGGACTTTCATTTCCCTGGTTGCTTGCTTCCAAATACACCTCAGTCTGTTAAGGTCACTCTAAAACTGAGATATTGATAGGGTAACAGAACCCTCCAGGTCTTCCCTGAGTGCCAACTGCAGCAAGTCTATTAGCTCCTGTAGGATCCTGAAGTGGACTTCTGTTTACAAATCCACCCTCCCTCCTGAACCATGAGCACTTACTTTCTTGCTCTCTTGGTCCTCACACCCCCAACCCCCAATCCCCAAGCTGAATTAAAGGGCAGATGTAAATTTCAGAATCCAAGAGACAACACAGTATAGGAGAATTGTTTTAACTTTCTTGGTATTACTAGCTCCCAGCACAAAACCTAGGAGCCAGCAGGCACTCAATAACTGTATGGTCAATCAACCAGTACATCTGTTTAATGTAAGTACGGTAAGCTTGCATGTAGTTTCTTAGCAGTATGTCAATGTTTATGGTTAACTGCAATCTCATGGTCTATTTCATGTGACCTTCTATAAGAAGAATCTGTCAGTTCTACTTGTAGTGTTGACTTTCCTTAATGTAAATTTAGGACCTGACATTTATGTAACAAACCCTTCCAAAATTGGGTGGCTTAAAACAACAACAATTTATAATTGTCACAATTTTGTTGGTTGATGAAGTTCAGCTGGGAAGTTACTCATGCGGTCACTCATGCAGGTGGGAGCTTGGCTGGGGCTAGAATGTTCCAAATGACTCCTCATCCTCTGGGGTCTCTCTCCTTGTGGCTTTTCATCACTCAGTATTCTACCCTGAGTTTCTTTACAGCCAAGGGGCTGGCTTCTAAGAGGGAGTGTCACAAGAAGACAAGCCTCGATGTACAAGAACCTATTAAGCCTCTGATTGCTCCAAACTTACTAACACCTTGTTGGTTAAAACAAGTCACATGATCAAGCCCAGCATCAAGGTGGAAGGGAACTATATAAAGCCATAGACACTGGGAGGTAGTTCACTGGGGACTGCCAATGTCACAGTCTACCACATTTATCCTTATTAGATGTCATTGTTACACTTTTGAGAGGGAAGATTTTTGCTCACATCTTTATAAAAATTCAAATTTTTCAGGATATGGGCTCCATGATGATGGTGATGACAATGATACATCATTTACTGTCTACAGTATCCTAGGTTTTTCTTTTCATGATTAAAATTTATATAAAAATCCCAAGGACAGAATTATTGCTCCCACTGAAGAGATAAGAAAAATGAGATTCACAGAGCCTCAATAAGTTTCTTAGTCTCAATCTTAGCTGAAGGCAAGATTTCAACCTAGGTCTCTTTAATTCCAAAGGAGGTGTTTTTTTCCACTGTACCATACTGGCTCTGAGTCTACTTTTGACTCAAGGAAACATATAATTCCCTGCAGAAGAGTGTTTTTCAAATTCTAATAAGGAACTCAAATAGTTAGACAATGCAAAATCACTTTTCTTTCTCTGGAGTTCTTTAAGTGTTTAAATTTCATTTTGTTCTAGGGTATTTTGGTTTCTTTTGCTTTATATAGTGAGTTCTCCTGACTAGTGAAGGAGCCCGAAAGTGCTGATCATACAGTAGGGCTGGGATGTTTAAATATCTGGATGAAGGTTCTGATAAGACTTCATATAAATAGCTATAAGGCAGGGTTCCCATACAAAAAAAAATTGAGTTTGAACTTGAAGTTAGTCTTAACTCCATCTATACTGTCTGGATTGCCAGTGTAATTGGCCTCCAAGTAGAGAACTATGCTTTTTTCTTTATCTACTCTGGTAAATTATTAAAAGGCTCTTCTGCCCAGGGGATCATTAACTACCTGGGAGGTCTGGCAGGTGCAGCAAAGTGAACCAGGGCAGCTCTGGTTGGGATGGCAGGACTGAGCTTCCTCAGGCAACTTCCACTGCTCAGCCAGAATGAGGGAAAGACCAGCCCTGGGCAGGGCTGCAGGGATTGGGCTGGTGGGCAAGAATAGAGGTAAAGACGGGATGGAGGAAGAGGACCTCCCTGTCCAGCCTGAAAGTGGACTTCCAACTCTTTATGTCACTCAACTCCCATTTGCCTGATGGAATGTGTGCCGTGTGCACCTGCATTTACCCACATTCCCTCCTTCCTCTCTTGGAGGGTGAAAGTGGAGGCAAGGACGAGTCCCAGATTGGCCAATGCAGAAACAACATTTGTGTGGATGACACAGGAGAGCAGGGGAGGTGAGCAGGAGTGACAAAACCTCAGTTAAACCCGTCATCAACCCAATATCTTCACTATCCACATGAAGTGACACGGGAGGTTATACGACACGGCCAAGCCCACCAACTTCCTTAGCACCAGAGATGGCATGGCACTAGATGGCACTAGAACCCACACCTGCCACCCCCAGGCAGGGCTTTTTCCTTGGCACTGGTGCAGTCACCAATCTCAGTAGCTTTCACGAGCCTACAATTGAAAGCACTTTTCTCTATGGCTTTACATCTTGGCCTTTAGGGCAGTAACCCACAGCCTAGTTAGTTCTACTTCTTCTGCCACCCTTCCCTTGTTTCTGTTGGAAAGTGGTGCAGCTATTGGAGGATGTGCTTGACTGAATGTGCTCCCTCAGCTTTTCAGTCCATAGGATGGGCCCCAGCTATACCCTTTCACTCCTTCCCTGCTCAAAGATCATGGAAGAATTCCTGAGGTAACATTTTCATCTTGGGTGAGACTCATTCTTTACAATTCACCCCTGTGGTGAGCTCAGCCTAGTGCAGCCTCTCGTTTGCTCTGTTCACACACACACACACACACACACACAGTCATGCATGTATGCACATACGCACGCACACATGAGAAACACAAGAAAGCACCTTTAAAAAAAATTAGCGGATGATACTTTCCCTTTGTGGATGGTTGCACCTCATACCAATCATGGGTTTAAGCTTGGTGAGGAAAGAGATGGACGGAGATAGAAGCTGGGGAGAAAGATTTGTAATTATTTAAACTTATTGAATAGCTATGTGCCTGCTCCGCTCTGAAAATAGCGCCTGGGTTAAAAGTCTCTGTACCTCAGAAGGTCACCATCTGTAGGAGAGGTAGATCAAAACATATCATTTTAATCAGGAAGAGTTTGAGGTGTGGGAGGTTACAAGGCCCAGGCCTGAGATGGAACTAGCACCCACATCTGACACCCCCGGCACAGGGCTCACTCCTCAACCTTGGAGCTGTTGCCAACCTCAGTAGGTATGAAGAATGTATTGGGCACACATGTTGAAAGCAATGTTTTTCTAGGGCGTTTAGGAGTGAGAGAAGCAAGCGCAATTCCCTGTGGTGTCCCAACCACAAAGCCTCTTCTACCTGTAGCAGACAGAGGAGGTGACACATGAGCTGAGTCTGGGATGACAAGCTCACAAGCATTTGGGGTCAAGCATTCCAGGGAGAGGAGTCAGCCTGGGCAAAACCAAGGCAGCGCTCTCGGTAGGCCTGGGCCTCTGGCTAGTGGTTTCCTTCAACCCACACACTGCGCATGGAACCACAGAAGGCAGCACAGCAGAGCATCTGCCCTCACGTTCTTCCTGGTGGGGGGCCTCCCAAGGACATTCTGCCTCAGGTTCTTATTGTCTGAGGTCACTGAGCCTCCTGAAAGTATTTCAGGAATGTGGAGGCCTGACTCACTCTCTTCCTTGAGTTCACAGTCTGAAGTTCATAAAACCTCTTCCCCCTTTAGTCATTCTTATTCAAATACCGGCCCACAAGTTTCACAGATGGAGCTGGCAGGAGGAATCTTGGGAAGCATTTTTTTGCTCAGGATGTGAAAGTATATGAAGAGTTTGGGAGATCCAGGAGCAATCATTCACTAAGAGCCAGACCCCTGTGGCAGGCGCTGGCTAAACGCAGAGACTGGCTGGCTCGCTCACAGAGTGGAGATCACTGGCAGAAGAGAAATGCCATGAAAGCATCCACTCTGTGCCTCAGTTTCCTCAACTGTAAACAGAGACAATAACCACACCTTCTTCAGAGAACTGGATGGGGAGTGAGTTAATCCACATAAAGTAGTTAGAATACAGCCTGACACATAATAAGTGCTCAATAAATACTAGTTTATTGTTCATACTATTGCTTATTGTTGGCAGAGTGAGTTGTCTACACACTAAGTGGTGTGGGGAAGAGGAGGCATTCCTGGAATAGGACTGCGTGGGATAAACCTGAAAGGAAAATGTCCAATGCCGTGGGTGAGTGTCCAGATGGGGAGGCCTTTAGACATCACACACACACAGCAGGAGGGGCAGCTTGGGAGAGAAGAAACCCGAGTGGCACATCTAGCCTGATGCCAAAGTATCAATTCATGCACTTCTTCCGGTTGGAAACAGTTATAAAAATGTCCAGGGAATTAACAAAGGGGATGCAGGAGAGATATTTGGAGTACGGGATGGGCATACACATAGCCAAGCATGGGGTTTCAAATTGGTGTTATTCACCTTATTTCTCCTGCTGCCGTGCAGGCAATGAAATTCTCAGTGAGGCAGGCCACAGACAGATCAGATGCTCTGTTTTCCTCCTTTCTGACTGTAGCTCAGTTTAGAGGATTGAAAATGCTAGGAGACATCTAGCCTACCCTCTCCCTGCTCACACCGCACCTTGCCTCAGAGCTGGTTTTGACATCTGTCCTAGAAGACATCATCCATTGCCTTGATTCATGGGTATGAGTCTAAGCAATCTTAACCACTGCTGGGATTCCATTTGGACAAGGAAAAGCTTTCTCTGCTTTTCAGAACACTCTACAGAGAAACCCTAACTTTAGTAAGGCTCTGGGGACCCCAGGGGAGATCCAGAGAAGTAAAGCACCCAGCCCAATGGAGCTTCCAGAATGCATTTTGAGGGACAGTGCTTTAGTTCTTCCTTTGACCTCAGTCTCTTTTGGTCATTCCTTGTCCCCATTCTACTCCAACTGGAAAGGCTGAGTAGCTGCTCCTGCATATGTCTGTTATTGCAGTGACCCAAAGTAAGAATCTTAAATGAATTTGAAATCCCTTAAAAAAAGAGTAAAAATAGTCCTAGTGGAAAAGATGGTTCAGGAGTTTCACAGAAGGGAATTAGAAGAAGCCATTACTGACTCAAAGAAAAAGATTACTGAATAGATAGCAGAAGGTAACCTCTGCCCTACTTTCAGACCAATGAGTAGATATAAATGACATTACACTCTCGCTTCATGAAAAGTAACTGGAGAGTTGAGATGAGGTGATTCTTGAAAGAAGGAAAGGCTATTAGATTTCTTACTATTAATGATTAAGGTTCCTCAATTTTTTATTAACCAGCCTTTTTTTCTAATGACAAAATACATCCTTATGGTACATAATTCAAACTGTAGAGAAGGGAATAAAGTAAGAAGTAAAATTCCTTTTCTCCACTCCACACCCTCCTTCCCACACCTCCCTGAATACTTCCCTGCGGAAACCACTATTAACAGTTTCTTCTCCATCTTTCTAGAATTGCCTATGTATATTCCAACCTCCTCTGACAATCCTCTTTTTTACTCACCCACAAGAGGCCTTCCAACTTGGCATCTCACATCATGATACCGCCTTTGTCTGGGAAGCTCTTCTCCTCTTTGCATGGCTCCCTCATGGCTGCTACAACCTTCTCGGAATTGTCAACTACTCAGAGAGGTCTCCTGTGACTTCTCTATTTAAACAACCCCACCACCATCACCATTCTCCACCCTGACACCACCAGTGTCTGCCCAACCCTTAGCACAATGTCCAGCACACAGTATTTGATCAATACATGACGGATGCGTGAGTACATTAGGTACGTGCGCATGCACACATATGCATGTATTCTCCCCACAAAGTATAAAGGGGATGGTATTACAGAGATAATTCTGTAATTTGCTTTCCTACTTCACAACATATAATAAAAAACAATAATGATAATATTTCTTAAGCACTTATGTTCCAAGGACTATTCTAAGCATTTTACATGTATTCTTTCATTTAATTCTTACAACAGCCCCTTAAGGTGGTACTAATACTACCCGACTTGCCAGATAAGGAAACAAAGAAATGGAGACATGGGGAGGTTAAAACACAGCTTGCAAGTGGTAGAGCCAATACATAAATTTACACTAATCGTAAAATGGCTGTTTAGCCTTAATTCACATATTAAAATATTTTGTGGCAAAATATACTCAACATAAAATTTATCTTTTTAATAATTTTTAAGTGTACAGCTTAGTGGCATCAAGTATATTCACATTGTTGTGCAACCATCACCACCATCCATCTCCAGAACTTTCTCATCATCCCAAACTGAAACTCAGTACCCATTAAACATTAACTCTCCATGCTCCCCTTCCTCCAGCCCCTGGCAATCACTATGTTATTTCCTGTCTCTATAAATTTGAGCACTGTAGGTCCCTCATAGAAGTAGAATAATATAGTATTTGTGCTTTTGGGATTGGTGATGGGTTTGTTGCACTTAGCAAGTCTTCCTTATTAATTAATTAATATCTAATGAATAATTTTATTGAGTAAAATATTTGAGTGCATGATACAAAATTCAAAAGGCATAGAATAAAAGAGCAAGTTCTCCTTCTACCTCTGTCTCTAGGTACCCCAGGGGCAACCACTCTTCCTAGTGTCCTTCCAAAGATGTTCTATGCATGTACAATTACATTATTTGTATGAGTCATATATGTATAATATATGTATAGCATACTATACATACTGTTTTGTTTCTTGCATTTCCCATTTAACTCTATACCTTGGAGATAGTTACATGTCAATGTACATGGAACTGCCCCTCAGTAAACATAATTTACATAATGTATCCAGCTGTACACTTATAGTATATTCACTTTGTATGTATGTTTCAACAGAAACATAATTTACAGTTCAAAACATAAATTATGTTTTTCTTGAAATATACATACAGAAAGTGAACAGCTGGATACATTTTCACAAACTGAACATACCCCTATAAACAGTACCCTGAAGAAGAAACATTACCAGCATTACTAGTTTCCCAAGTCTCTCATTTTTTATTCCAGACGTTACTCACTGTCACCAATGGTAACTACTCTCCTGACTTAACAGAATAGATTAGTTTTGCGTATTCCTGTAGTTTTGTTGTTGTGGTGGTTTGTTTGTCTGTTTGTTTGTTTTTTAGAGACAGGATCTTGCTCTGTTGCCCAGGCTGTAGTGGCACAATCATATCTCACTATAACCTCCAACTCCTGGGACTCCTGGGCTTAAGTGATCCTTCTGCCTCGGCCTCCCAAACTGCTGGCATTAAAGGTGTGAGACACTGCACCAAGCCCTGTTCATGTAGTTTTTATGAAAATAATCCTGCTGTATACACTCTTATGTTTGGCACATTTCACTCATCCTTACACCTATGAGATTCACCCACGTCGCTGACCTTCAGTTGATCCTTAACAACATCTTTGGATAGGTGAAGGCCCTTGCAGCTGTGGATGAGCCCAGCTGGCATGAGGTCTTACATGTCATACCCACCTTCTCTCAGTCTTGCCCTCACAACCTTTGAATTTCTATAAAGTGCTTTGTAAATGCCTTAAAGAGTCCACATGTATCCAAAATTCATCTCCAGATGTATCTAATGATGAAAACCAGCAGCCCGGAGCTGAGGTTTGTGTAAAGTTACATCAGAGTGAGGAGGGGGGAAGGAGCACAGCCTTCCCATTCTGATCAGTGTCTCTGTGGCCACAGCTCAATAAGACTTGCTTTTTGAGGCCTCATCCACTCAGCCCAGAACTCAAATCTCAAATTCCCCAAACATGAGGAATCATGACAAAGCACTGGTTTGCATTCTCTTGGCAAATGTTACTTTAAAAGTAGAGTCAAAACTACTTCCAAGTAAAGAGCAAAGCAGCTTTAACCAATATCAGCAAAGGGTCTAAGAAAAAAGATGTGGCTAATGTATTCCGTCTGTTTGTTTGCTTTCTTGTGCCCTAAGACTCAGGAGAAAATATCAGTTTGGGAAAGAAGTCATAACACATGGGGCAGGAACAAAATACCAACAGAGCGAAGTTGCACACGCTGTCCAACCTGGTGGCCTGCTTATGAATTTGAAATCCCAGACCTTCACATGAGTCCCCAGCCTCACCCCATCCCTAGCCTGGCACAGACAGGAATATCTATTTCCAGATATGAGCTGTTACATAGCAGAACCAATCTGTACATCCGTGTGGGGCCAATCGTCAGTGCTCTGATTGGCTCATCAGCCAACATGCAGGGCTGCATTCCTGTGGTTCACCCTTCCAGAAGGGCCTTTCCCAACACCACATGCTGCCTGTGCTGTGTCCAGCAGGAGAGGGGGAGGCAAATGATGTGTCTCATGGCACCACAGGCTCTGTTTTACCAGAATAATACTGTTCTTTGGCCCACTGCATCCGTTCTCCCCACATGGGCCTTTTCCTCACGTGGACCCTAAAAGACCACTTCTCTATTTACCTGCCAACCTGTAACAGATAATTATAGTGGCTGCCAGATATCCCTTCAAATTGGTCATGATCTCATTCGGTTATTCTAGCAGCAAAAAAGTTACAGAAAACCCAAGATAATATTAAAAAAAGAAAATCATCCCCTGGCTTTCACCTTTCTTGTGGCAGGCAAGAAAAGGTAGGAAGAATAAGCATAGGAAAAGAAAAGTAAGAGCTTGTGGGGCAAGTTGAAAACAAACCTTACCAAGTCCAGAAAGAATTTTCCATTTAAATGCTTTATAACAATTTTCTCTGATGAGTAGTAGAATGCTGAATAAGACATGTTACTTTTTAGTGACTTTTCAATCTGGCATCTATTGAAAGGTGTTTTATACCCACTGCAGCCAAGAGGAGAGGGTGCAGGGGAGATCACATACTCTCCCAGCAAGGCAGGGATAGAAAGCCCCTGTCACCAGGGGCTGCCGTTTCTCTGGCCCAGGAACCTGTGGAGGCTACTCCTGGATAACTACACACTGTTCAGCTGTATTGCATGCAATTATATCACATTCCTTCCTGGAAACTTCTCCAAAAAGAGAGCAGAGATGAGAAACACTCATAGAGAAAGCTTTCACTGGGGCACACAAGCTGAACTGGCAGGAATCTGAAGAAGGCAAAGCAATGGAATGTTAACCTCGAATGAGTGAACAGGAGATAAGAAAACATCAGCTGACAGAGCAAACACCCCGGAAATGTGACCTGCCTACCCTGGGAATGGCTAGAGCTCTTGAACTAGCCTTTAAATGGAAAGTTCTTCCTGACTCGGGTTTTGAAACCAAGACTGAGCAAAAGCCTCAGTCTTCATTCCTGAGATGAAGTTTAGAGTGCAAAAGATTTCGAATGCAAAAGATTTTGAGAGTTGGTTAGAGCCCGAGGACAAGCCTCTTGTGAACAGAAGTTCCAAGAGTCAACAGTAGCTGGCAGCAGACAACCTCTTCAGGCTGAAGGGTGGCAGAACCCAAGATGGCTAGTGCAGAAGACATCTGAGAGATGGCCCAAGGCTGTCCTTTGCTTTTCAAATGAGGAAAAGGTCCAGAAAGGGCTGTCTAAGGTCACATAGCTGGTTAATGACAGAGCTGGGAGTAGAGCCACATTGAGCTAAGTTGTATTCCTACATCTCTACCAATGTGTAACCCAAATCAAAATAATTGGGGGGCAGAAGAAAGGGGAAAAGTTATGGTCTTTGAAAGTCATTAGTAATCCTATCATTAGACACATAATTAATATCATTTGCCAAGATACTAATGTCTTAAATGTGAGAGGCAATGTCTATTGCACTAATGAGGTGACTGGTACCATGGCCATTTATGGCAGATATATTTTTTCAAATTTAAGACTTTAGCATACACATATACATATGGAGAGAGAAAGAGAGAGTTGATTTACATATATATTTCCCATCTAAACACACACCTTGACCATTTTGCCAGGAAAATAACCAAACAACTTCCATTGAGGTATACAAAGAATGATGACAAAGTTACGTGGCTTATAGTTTAAAAAGAAAGTTTAGGCTGTGTGCGGTGGCTCAGGCCTGTAATCCCAGCACTTTGGGAAGCCAAGGTGGGTGGATCACCTGAGGTTGGGAGTGTGAGACCAGCCTGACCAACATGGAGAAACCCTGTCTCTACTAAAAATACAAAATTAGCTGGGCGTGGTGGCACATGCCTGTAATCCCAGCTGCTCGGGAGACTGAGGCAGGAGAATCACTTGAACCCAGAAGGCAGAGGTTGCAGTGAGCTGAGATCGCACCACTGCACTCCAGCTTGGGCAACAAGAGCAAAACACAGTCTCAAAAAAAAAAAAAAAAAAAAAAAAGAAAGACAGTTTAAAAACAAAATTGCTTGGGTCCCTCCACCTTGCCTTTTCACTCTCTATTAGTTTTTAAAGAGTGGCTTGAGTCACAGTGAAGGTGGAGAAAAAGCAGAAGCAAAGACAGAAGCCCATTCAATCAGGACTACATATGCCCTCGCAGGTGAGGAACAGTTGGCCCAATTGTGAAGTCTCCAGGCTGGGGCAAGGAGGGAAGGCATGCCCAGGAAAAGCATGGGTGAGCTGGGATAGTTTCTATGCTTATTTCTGAAGGCCCATCAAGGAACCAAGAGAAACTAGAATGTCCTGTTGAGGGAGGATGCAGACTTTTTCCCTCATTGTTTCCTAATGTAGGTTAGAACACTGATGGTCTAGAACACTGAAAAAGATCTTTTGTATTCTATTCAAGATAGATGAATGACAGTACAGTCACAGCCAGTTAGAGCTAGAAGGACCTCATAAGTCACCTAGTCTGACATCTTCATTTTCCAGATCAAAAAATGGGGTGCAGATAGATCTAGCAACTTGATTAAGGTGGCCACAAGCTCTCAGAGTGTGTTTTGCCAACCTCTAGTGGGTATATTGGGGCTGGGGGGTGGGGTGCACAGACAGCAAGCACTCCAACAGGTCTGTAGATCTTTCAAAATGCAAGCCAAAATGCACAAAGGTGTGTGCAGAGTACCTCCCTGGTTGGTTTCATAAATTAACTTGAAAATTAAATTGTTACAATTATAATAATTATCCAGTCTTCCAAAAGTATTCATCTGGAGTGTAAGCACTTTAAACATGATCTTCTGTTCTCCTAAAGGTGCTGGAGCATGGGAAGGCTAGCCCGCTGCCAGCCACATGGAGTGGGAGGATCACGGAGCCTGAAGCTGAGAGGCCACAGCACTGCACCTGACATATATTACCAACTTGCCATGCAACTTCATCTCATTGACTCCGCATTCCCATTTTTTGGAGTGGATCACCTGCAGTTCCCTTGACAACTGAGTGTCTGTATTTTTCTGTATCGTCCAGTGTGATGACAACTGTCTACACAACCAAGTCTGGCCAGCACTGAACACACTCAGCTTCCCCACAGTGCTCCAAGTCTCAAAGCCCAAACTGCAGCCAAATCTTGGCAGTGTTGTCCTCTGGTCAGGCCAGAGCACCTTTCTGAAGGACCTTTCTGAACATTTTTAGACCATTCGATGAATGACCCTAAATTCTTGGCGCATAATTGGGACTGCTGCCATCACGCCAGAAACATTTATTAAGCACTTACTGTGTACAGTGCTCAAGACCTGCCATCTTGTTTCCATCTTGACAACAATGATGCACAGTAGGGGTTGTCATTCCCCGTTTCAGAGAAGAGTAAAGCTCAGCAGTGGCCCAGTAACTTGCCCAAGGCCACACAGCTACTGGGTGGCAGAACTGAATTAAACCCTCCACTTTTTGACTCTAACACCTTTGCCTCCCTCCTTAGGGCGCAGGCACACCCAGCCAGGCTGAGAGGCACTCAGGCACTCTCGAACTTCATGTTTGTCATGCATACATATGACTTCCTTCGACTTCTCTGCAAATTTCCACCATATGCATTTCCATAGCAACATTGCAACACAAACACGGTGTAATCTTTGTCCACTGCAGTACATAGCTTGAAAGGTTTTTTTGTTTTGTTTTGTTGTTTTGTTTTAAATAAAAAGGAGCTGCATATGTTTACAGCTGACCTAGATCCCATGGCAACAAATAACAGATATAAACTTGGGTTCTTTTCCTTTCCTTTCCTTTCTCTAAATCTTTTTATTCTTTTCTCTTGTATGGTAATAGTTTAGAACATCAAAAACTGGGTTGCACCATTTGCGATTAAGCAGGGCCCCTATTCGGTGACCGCTGCGCCGCCAGCCTGGCGCGGGCCTCCTGCAAGACAATGGCCACGACCTGACGCGCGAGCGCCAGCCCCAGCCCGGGAGTCACGCCGCTGGCGCTTGACGCACGCGGAGACCCGGGGGCCGTGCCCCAGCTTTGTGGAACCTGAGGGCGGCTCGGGTCAGGTCGGTCCCCGCGGGAGGACAGGCGCGACCCGTCCCTCAGGACCGACGGCGTGTGGCTGCGGGGGCATGGGGTGCCCCTCTCGGCCCGGTCGCTCCAGCGAGGGGACGCTGGTAAGTCCCACCCCTGCCATCGCCGCGGGCCTCCTGGGCACGCCCGGCCGCGGGCCCCAGATTACCCTCCCGGCGACCCTCCAGGCGGTATTGCTGTCAGACACATTTTACAAATGCAACCCTCCAGCCTAACGAAGGCCAGCACCTGGCCCACGCCCACAGGCTGGGAAGGGAGAGTGCAGGGATTAGAATCCAGCACTTTTTAAAGATTTTGTTTCACTCTACTTCCCGTGGCTCCTCGCCCCAAGGGCACTGTGGAACTATCTCTGCCCAGGATCACTTATCTGAAGCCGGTGTTATGCTTCCTTCCCGGGCAGTCCCTGGGTGCAGCTTCCGGACGGGCTAGCTTGGGAGGCATTCCTTTCCCTGGCTGATGCAGGAAGGTGGGTTTGTCTGTCTGTGGTCCCTGGTTCTCCCCTCTGATTCTCCCTCTTCCCAGAGCCCCAGCTTTTAAAGGCTTCATATTCCTGACAAATGGAGATCCACTGACATGAAGAAATTCTCAAGCAACTAGGCAACTGGGATTGTGCAGGGGCTTGCCCCTGATCCTATAGTAAAAGGTCCAGCCCTCACTAGCTGAAGGTGAGGAGGAATTTCATTGGGGAAATGTCATTCTTTGTTTCACTGTCATGAATCCAGTGAAACTTATTATCACCAGAAATGCCCCTTGGCTGCTTCCTCGCTGAAATTGTGCTGAGGTATCTGATGGCCCACTGAGGTAGTGGATAGGAGGTTGGACAGCCAAGTGGTGATAAGAAAACCTACCATTTCGGTAGTACTCACTCGGTGCCAGGTGCTCTGAGCAGCTCTCTATAACACTGCCTCCTCACAAACCCCAAAGGCAGGATTATTATACTATTATATAGTCATAATATTAATATGAATATGATACTATTAATAATAAATTTATTCTTGCTTACCACGTGAGGGATCCAAAGCTTGAAGAGGTCACCTATCCTGTCTAGATCCCACTTCCGACTCTAGAGCCTGTCCAGGAGTGATTTCCCCATAGAAGGGAAAGGGGGCTGCTCAGCAGAGAAACAGAAATAAGATTGTGCCAGGAGAGATCGCATTATTCCTCAGACTCAAAGGCCGATTTGCACACCTTTACGATAGGTAGAGGGAGAAGAGTGGAAACACCCCTATCTCTTTGTCCAAACCCACAGCGAGATCCAAGGCTCAGTCAGGAAGGCTCTTCATTTAGTCAATTGTTTTCTGTTTTCAGAACTAAAGTGGAAATGACCCAGTGAGGAAGGAAAATAAGCACAGAATAAGCATGATCTGCCTTGGTCACACAATTAAAATACATAACGCTGCTAAAGGTACACCACTCTTCCACCCACCCCTTCAGAGTGAGAAAGGCCCTTTTTGCCCTGGAAGCCTACTGAAGCATTCTACTGGGGAAGTATTCTACTGAAATATTCTAGTGGGGAAGTCCCTGCCGCTTCTGAAGGAACACTGAAAGAAACCTTATTCCTTAGAGTACAGTCACCCAGAGGGTTTATTCTAGAAATGCAGAGAGGCATTAGAGATGGTATGTGAACAAAAGCAGGGCAGAGGATGCACGCCCAGATGCTGTCTTGGCCAGGTTGCAATTCGAATGATCTAATGTTTTCTGGCTTCTTATTGCTTTGCTTTTCCAATTTGGTTTGGATATTTGCATTACTGTATTATTTTCCCTGTACAATTGCTGTTGTCTGTACACAATTAGGTCATTTTCACAGTTGGGTGAGGACACACTTCAGAAGTGAGATGAGCTACAGCTGCTAGCTGGCTCTCTCCTGGGATGTGTACTTAGATCCCTTTCTTGTTGGTCCCAAAGACTACCTGTACCCAGGACCTGAAAATTTTAATCTAAGTCATCTAATGAGTGGAAAGAACTACAGCATCCCCTTGTAATGGTAGGTAAGAGATATCTTGTAAGTTTTGGGTTGATTTGCTGATCAATGGTTCCTTGGGCCTAACCCCATATTGTTAAGCTCCAAACAAAAGAAAGGACTGTTTCCCAGTTGCTTGTGGCTTCTTGGTCCATGAAGTTCTGCTGAAATGGACCCTGGGCAAGGAAAAAAAAAGGGAAGTTATAGAGCGGAGGAAGCGTAAGCTGCCCCTAGACGTGAGCCCAGAATTTTACAAGCAAGTATAGAAGCTGGCCTTTGAACAAGGACCTTGAAGAGTGAGAAAAAAGGGATCCCAAAGGAATGGAGGCTTATTGTGCAGATGAATACTGATTATGGCCATGTTCACAAAGTACACTGCAACACCTCAACAGTGTAAAATCTCACTAATACATACCCCACTAATTCAGCCTTCTCAACTCTCTGGAATATGTGGCCTTTTGGGTAAAGCCAGGGCTAAAATTCACTTTTGTGCTATCTCCAAAAATGAAGTTGGGCTAAACAAATAGAAAGGACAGGCTGCTATTAAAGTCACTGGGGAAGCCCGTGACTCTTTAAGTTCATAATCAGACATGATAGTATCCACCTCATTAAATGCCCCATTATGGGCAGGACCATCTCTCTGGCTCAGCTTGTTTCCTATTTGCTTCCTCTCGTGGTACCTTAGGTCTGCATCTATGACATTGACCTTGTTTCTCCTCTCCTCTTTTCTCTCTCTCTCTTTTTTTTTTTTTTTTTTTTTTTGAGACAGAGTCTTGCTCAGTCACCCAGGCTGGAGTGCAGTGGCGCTATCTCAGCTCACTGCAAGATCCGCCTCCCAGGTTCACACCATTCTCCTGCCTCAGCCTCCCGAGTAGCTGGGACTACAGGCACCTGCCACCACACCCGGCTAATTTTTTTTGTATTTTTAGTAGAGACAGGGTTTCACCATGTTAGCCAGTATGGTCTTGATCTCCTGACCTCGTGATCTACCCGCCTCAGCCTCCCAAAGTGCTGGGATTACAGGCGTGAGACACCACGCCCGGCTCTTTTCTCTTTTTATCTAAATTATTCATTCATCATTTATGCAATAGATATTGTGCTCCTTCTATAACTCAAGCATGTGCTAAATGCTGGAGTTACAACAAGTAAATACGGAACGTTTGCTCTCAGGGAGGTCATAGTCTAATGTGGAAAACTGATGATAAAGTGTGATGGACATGGAGACCCACATCCAAGCATGAAGTGATGCCTGAATGATGAGGCAGCTAAGACTCAGAGAAACTGAAGACTTTTTCCAAGTTCTCTCAGTTGGCTGATGACAGGGTTGGAACTGAAGAGATCAGTCAGAACAAAAGCCTGGTCTTCTGCCACTACCTCCTTGAGATTTCCCAGACTCCCACGTTTGGGGGCTTCTCCTCTTGTTCTTTCTATCCAGTTGCACGTAGTTCATACTCACTCTTTTCCTAGCACTGATCTATTCCTACCTCAGTAGAATTCACATTTATCACTAAAGCCAGGCATCTGCCCTACCTCCCTCTAAGGATTGATGTGCTGATAAATTGAGCTAATCAATGTAAAAGTACTTTAAGAAGTACACTGCAACACAAACCTAAGTCCCAAAACCACAATCTAATTAACATATTAATTTAATCAATGAATCAGTCAAAATATCAATCACAAATTAATGCTAGGTTCTGTGGGAGATAAGGCATGTCTTCATATACAGCATGGCCCCATCCCTAAAGGAATTTATGGATGAGTTGGTGGTAAAAAGTTAAAGAAGAAAGAAAGTAGGCATTTATTGAGTGCCTATCATGTAGTATGCACTGTGCTATCTGCTTTTCCTTATATTATCTCACAATAATCCTCACAACATTCTAGGAGGTAGTCATTATTTTCTTCAATGTTTGGATAGAATGTTTCGATAGAATGCCCTCCCCCAATGCCTCTCTGTTCGAGCACAACATGGCATAATAGCTAAAAAGCCTTGGATCAGGGCTCAAACTGAATTTGTATCCAGGCACTGCCAATTACTTTCTGTATACTCTGAGGAAATTGCTCAAATTTTCTGCACCTCAGTTATAAAATCAGGAAGATAAGAATAGTACCAATTGTATGCTTTGTTGTAAGGATAAGGTGACCATATATGTTGACGTATTTGCCACAGTGGCTGGTCCAGAGTAAGCACTAGATAAAAGCTAAGATATTATTATTACTATCCAGCTCCAACTCCTTTTTATCTGCAGTCTTCCCAGATCTCCTATCGAAATTAGTCTCTTTTACCTCTGTATCTTCACATTACTATAGGCATGCTTCTCATCATGTTCATATGTGTACCTGATTATTACTGCTTAGCACAGAAAAAATAATAAATGTAGGTGATTAGATGAATGTCTCCCAGAATGACATCACATGCTCATAGAAGGAAGGAAGTATTGTGTTTCTAGCTATAAGGCAGACAAAATGCCTGGATATTATAGATAAAGTATACTTTCAAATGCCTAGTCAACTCTCATGTAAATTGGAGAAACCCCCAAGGGGACACACACACACACACACACACACACACACACACACACACGAGGGATTGGAATCCAGCACGGTAAACAGGCACTAAAGCTACTGCTGCTCTGGAAAGTCTATCTTATTAACTTTGAGGCTCAGTTTAAAGGGCATTATGGAGAACAGGAGCCAAGGCTTAGTACCTTCAAAAAATGGAGAGTTGGAACTGAGACCCCTGCATAAAAGTGAGACTCACAAAGAAATATGTACTCAGTGAAAGGGTAGACTAGGAAAAAAAAAAAAAAGAAAAAAGGAAACCTGCTTATCTGCAATAAAGAAAAGCAGGGAAATATGTTGGCCTTGGCCTGGGCTCATAAGATGTTAAAATCACAGATACACCTCCCTAACCACAGGTTCAGGGTTTGAATTTATACTACCTACATGATCTTGGAAGTCTCAGTTGAAAAAATCAGTTTAAACTGGCCTCAGGTTGATACCACCCCAGGGTACCTGGCAGAAGCAGATCTTATCGGAGGGACAGCCACCCAGGCCTCATAGGAGTGTAACAAACAAAGCCCCACTGAATACGAGATCACAATTTGAAATTACAAACCATACTAGGAAACAAGCTACCATGAGTGAGAGCCAGCAGAAACCACAATGAACAGAATTAGACTTTACATAACAGTTATTCTATATAAATTGTTTTAAATTTAAAAGAAATATAAGAGAAATACGAATATGGAAAAGGAATAAATAACATATAAAAAGACCAAGGAGAATGAAGAAAGAACCAAATACTACTTACAGAAATCAAAATATACAATCATCAAAGTTAGAAACACAGCGAATGAGTCTAAGTAGAGAAGACACAGGTAAAGAGAGAATTAAGGAAATGGAAGATAAATGTGAAGAAATTACCCAGCAAAAGGGCAGAGGCACAAATAAATGAGAAACATGAGATGTTAAGGGGACAGGAAGAAAAAACCCAATGTGAAAAAGGCAATATTTAGAGATAATGTTTCCAGAATTAAGGATAAGAAGCTGATTAGTTTGATCTTTGAAACTACAGCACCTGGCAAGTGCCTGTTAGATGCCTAATAATGTTCTTTGAGTTGGATTGACACAAGTCCTTTAGCATTTGCTTGTCCTTTACTTCATATATTTATTCGTTTTAAAAAATATTCAGTAGAAATACAGAGGTGAACAAAACAAAGTTCTTCTTTGAGTTTGTGTTCTGGACAAAAATGACAAATAATAAACAAATTTACAAATTAAAATGAGATACTTTTGAATTATAAGAAGTGCTATGAAGGAAATAAAAGGGCTACTTAATAGCAACTTGGGAATAGGATTTCACTGAAGAAGTGAGACCTCAGTAAGAAGTGAAGTGAAAGTATTCCAAGTGAAGATACAGCACATACCAAGGCCCTGAGTGAGAAATCACTTGGTGTTTTTGAGAAAAAGAAGTCAATGGGTCTGGGCTGAGTGAGTGACATGGAGAGTGGTATAAGATGTGGTTGGAGAGTGGTATAAGATGTGGTTTGAGAGGTAGGCAAGAACAATGGGATTTTTTTTTATTTTTAAATAAATTTGAGAGCAACAGAAAGTCATTGGAGAGTTTCAGGCACAGGAGTGATGTGCTCTGTCACCCTGGCTACTCTGGAAATAGAATGTAGTGGGGGCAAGAATGGAAGCAGGGAGTCTAGTTAGTAACTTCAGTTGTCCATGCAAGAGACAACAGCAGCTTGGGCTAGGGTGATAGCCATGAGTATGGAGAGAAGTGTATGGATTTAGATATGTTTTGAAAATAGAAACATTGTATTTGATGGAGACAACAGAAAAGATGAAGGAAAGGGAAGGAGGGATCAAGTATCATTCCTGTTTTCTGGATTGAGCAGCTGGGCAAACAGTGGTGCCATTTTCCAAGATGAAGAATAGAAGAGTAACGCTTGGGTAGGGGTGGGATGGGAACATGAAATAGGAGTCCTGTTCTGGACATGTTAAGCTCAAGATGCCCATTAGATGTTCAGGTAGACAGCTGTATATGGCAATATGGATGACCTCAGGAAAATGAGCCCTAAACCAAGGAATGCTCATATTTTGAGACATGTGTTTCCTTCAAGATCCACCTGTGTCATAGGCTTGAACAGGGGTATGTGTAGGGGACTGAGCACTTCCAGCTACAGATTCTCTGGGAAAAGGGCCAGTGTAACTCTTGAGTTCAAGAAACGCTGCCTGTACCCCTGCCCAACTTAGAAGTGGAGCTTAGGTTCTTCCAGGCCTGCCTAACCCTGATGCTTTTGGTAGCTGATGTAGTTTTAAGCCAATGTGCTTTCTGAGGGATGCCAAAAGAATGAGTATGGAAAATGACTTGGTGACAAACCCAGGCAGCTCTTCTGTGGGGAAGGGTGGAGGAGTCCTCATGCAATCTGGCTCCCACCCATTCCCACCCACCAGCTGAGGGCATTGTATCCAAGAGATCCAAGGGAGTAGAGTCAAGAAGATGACGCATCAGGAGGTACAAAGAAAAAGGAGATCCCAGATGAGGTAATGACCAAAAAATGCCATAACCCATTACATAAGTGAAAGTGAAACCTGAGGAACAAATAAACAAAGGGTATCAGATTGATGTAAAAATACAAGAAGCTCACTCTGTGGTTGCTGACATACATCATTGTGGAAACAAAATCATGTCCAAAATGACTATGGTTAAACTTGGAACCACATGACAGGAGTTTTAGGAAGTTCCAAAAGAATCAAAAATAACTTGAACAAAGTAGCATTCTTCCCTGGGCTTATGGCTTTGAGAAAGGACAAGTGCCCCTCTGGAGAGAAGAACAACAGTCCACAGGGGACCAAGTGGCTCAAGGGAGTTCATGTGAATGAAGGAAACTACTGTCTTTGGAATGTATTGGAAAATTGTCTGACACCTGATATTAGTCAGGATTCAGTTCTCAAGTCCATTAGATTACAGTAGGATAGTTGTTGTTGTTGTTGTTTTCTCAGCTGAATATATATATTCAGACCCACTGCAATTTCTCTCCTTTCATTCCTCAAGAAAACCAAGAATGTGGCCAGGCATGGTTGTTCACGACTGTAATTCCTACCTTAGGAGGCTGTGGGTGGATTACTTGAGTCCAGGAGTTCGAGACCAGCCTGGCCAACATGGCGAAACCCTGTCTCTACTAAAAATACAAAAAATTAGTAGCAATAGTAGTAGTTCCCGCTACCTGGGAGGCTGAGGCACAAGAATCGCTTGAACCTGGGAGGTGGAGGTTGCAGTGAGCCAAGATCACGCCACTATACTCCAGCCTGGGTGACGAAGTGAGAGTCTGTCTCAAAAACAAAACACAAAACCCAAAAAACTAAGAATGTTACTTTACACTTGTACCTAATAACGCACTTTGCATTGGTCACTAGGAAACTCAGAACCAAATTTGTGGACTACCCTTAATGTACTAAGTACATAAAACTTTAGGTAGCATATATCTTGTGTGTTAACCTCATTACTGGCTTAATCTTATTTCTATACCCTATTTTTCTCTTATCCCCATTTTCTTTTCTTAAAAAATAGTGTATTGGACATATTATGTGTTTTGAAACAAAGTAGAATACAAATAAACAAATAAGTCGACTTTCTGTCCAAACAAGACAGCATGAAAAGCAGGAACTTGGTGGTGGTATGACGTTTCAATGAACCAAAGAGGCTCTGATTACCGTCTGTAGACACCCACGGCACAATTATTAAGTTCATTAGACAGAGAGGAATCTGGATTCAGCTGTGACAGGACAGCAAATTAAATATACATGGACAAAAGGAGGAGGCATTCAAGGTAAGATGTGCAGAGCCAACAAAAACAATCAAATGCGTAATTCTAACTCCTGTATGGGTTGATTTCCATGTGGGCCAGGGAAGCCTTCCAGGACAACCTCCTTTGGCCTGCCTGGGTGGTTACCTCTTATAGAAACTCAGCTGTATCTTGGGCATGGCTGGTCTGTCAGCTTTTACCCATGGGGAATAGCCAAACTCTTGTCTAGATGAGTGGGTTAAAAACCACCTCTGATCTCTGGAAAGGTTACTTTGCCTACCTTCTGGTCATTTATTTACATTTCGTAGTCTTCATTATTTATTTATTTATTTTTACAATTACAAAAATAATTAAAAAATAAAACTACAGCAGTAATATAAAGGCAATAACAATTCAAATAATATCAAAATACATAAAATATAAAATCAAGCTTCCCTTTCTTTCCCTCTATTCTCCCATTCCATTGCTCCTCTCCCATTCCTCACGAGTAACCACTGGCAGTTGTTCAGTATGAATCCTTCTGGATCTTTCCTATGCACATTTAGACGTATTTACACATACACATACCATAAAAAGTCTGTGTATAGCTTTGTTTTTTAAAAAAGAATTTTTCTACTCACATTTTTCTGTAACTGGTTTTTGTAACTAATATATTGTAGATTCTACTTATATACAGACCAACCACACTCTTTTTAATGGCTGTAGAGTGAATCATGAAATCATAGTAAAAATATACATTAATGTATTCAGCCTAGTAAGTAGCATTTACATTGTTTCTAATATTTTGATAGAATAAATTAATACTGCATCAGATTCTTATGCCTGTGTCCTTTGGCTCTTATTTCTAACAGTAGAACAGCTGAGTTAAAGAGTATACATGTTGAATTTTGATAGGCACTGCCACACTGCTTTCCAGAAAGATTGACCAATTACCATTCTACCAACAAAGATTGTCCTTTGTTCACATTCTCACCAACAGTGGACACTGTCAGTGTTTTTAATTTTGACAGAACTGATTGGCAAGAGCATGCTATTTATTTTGATTTATAGTTACCTGATCAGTAGTAAGATTGAGCTCATTTTCAGTCTCTCCTTTTACTATGGCTACAATAAAAGAGCTGAAAGTGTGGTTTTTGATTTATTTCTTTTAGATATAAATGACCAATCCAAATAGTGATATTTTGAACTACTAATTTCTAAGAAGATTCACATTGGAATGTTACATATCTCCATATTAGGAAAATCAGTCATAATTGAACTCCCAAAGTCAAATTACATCTGATGTTTATTCTGGGATTCATATAATTGTTTTTGGCCAAAAGTATTGAAAGATGCCAGAACTATATTCTTTTTTTACTTTTGTTTCCTTTATTTCTTCTAAAAAAAAAAAAAACAACAAACTTAGGATACATGTGCAGAACATGTAGGTTTGTTACATAGGTATACGTGTGCCATGGTGGTTTGCTGCACCTATTGACCCGTCCTCTAAGTTCCCTCCCCTGACTCCCCACCCCCATACAGGCCCTGGTATGTGTTGGCCAGAACTATATTCTGTTGATTTTGTACCAAATTTATCACACTAGGAGTTGCAAGTAACAGAAAGAACTGTGACCAAACTATGGAAAAAGAAATTTATTAGGAGACTATTTGGAGTCCATTGTTGTGCTAATTAATGGGTGACTGGTCACCAGGAACCACTACCGCAGTCTCATAGCAGGCATGGTATGGCTGGTAGGTCACCTCCACACAGCAAATGTTTTAAGTTTCTTGGTCTCTGTGCTCAAGAGTTTAATTCTAGGGGGAAAGCATTTGATTGGCCTAATGTGGGCCTCAAGGGAAGGAAGGCTTTTAATGACAGCCCCCAAAGACTAAATCCAACGGGAAAGAGATCTTCCTTTAAAAGGAAATTGGGGTATTGTTAGGACGTGAAATGGATGCTGGTCAGAAAAAACAAAACAAACCAAACCAAATTATCCCTACACTAAACTTACCAATTGCCTTTTCTTCTCTTTACCTTGTAAACCTGTCAGTGCCCAGTCACTGTAGACAACCTCACCGGCAACATGCTGCCCACACCTAGAATAGGAGCCCATGGGGCAGAATAATGGAGACCGTCCCATTCCTTACAGTTTGTATAATGCTTGCTCAAGTATATTGAACTCTGCCAGTCCTGGAATCAAAACATTTTAGTCTTAGAACAAGAACTGAGAGGTTTTCATACTGACTTTCACTCATTCTCCATTCTCCTTAATTCTCCTCAAATGCATAGAAATCCTGTGTTTCATGTGTTCATTCATTCTTCTATGCAACCACTATTTATGGATGGCAACCCTGTGCTAGACATTGTTCTAGGTGCTGAGGAAACAAAAGTGAAGTGGAAAGACATATCTGCCCTGGTGAGGCTGGAAGGAGCAAGCAAGGCTGGAGTTGGACTTTAGATCTTATCTGAAATGCAATAGGAAGCCACTCAAAGCTTTTGGGCAGGCAAGAAACATGATCAGATCATATTTTTAGACACATTATGCAAACTGGTATATAGAGAATGGACTGCAAGGAGAAATGAACCAGGCCAAGAGGCCAGTCAGAGGACCAGTGTAGTAGCTAGATGAAAAAAAAAGATGGTAGCCTGGACTAGTTTGGTGGCCAAAGAGATAAAGAGATGTGGACAGAATGAAGAGATATTTCTGAGGCAAAATGAATGGGGTGGGGTAGGGGGAGTGGTGGTAGTACAGGAAAGAAAAGAGTCAAAGATAACTGATTTTTCTGGCATGAGTGACCAAGTAAATGGTGACTACAATGGGTAACCCAAGAGGCCTTGGCTAGAGGGCAAGCAGAGTAAAGGATGAATTACCTTTGGGTCAGTCTGAGCACATGTGCAATTCTCATGTCAAGTATGGAGTAGACTGTCTAAATCTGAAGCTCAGGAGAGAGATCCAGCATGTGAAGTCACCAGTGGCTACAAGGCCAAGGAGTTAGAAGACACTGCCCAAGGAGAGTACAGATTGAACAGAGAGGGATATCAACACTGGACTTACATATTTTAAATGAAGAAACTCCGGAATATTTTGCCTCAAAAACTGTGACTTCTGTATTCCACGGACCACTACATTAATTTTTCTCTTCTATTGCAGCTTTTTATAGTCTTCAACAACAACCAGTCCCTACATTTAAGAAGGTTAATAACTGAGACAGCCTTCCTGGTGGATCCATCATTTGGCCCAGCTTGTAGAAAGATTCCCAACTAGCTCTAATTAGTTCCATCTTATTTGGAGGCAGAGGTATTCCTCATCATACCCATATCCTCATATAAATTGTCCAGGTAAGTTGCCCACCTTTATTTCAAGGGCTTAGAGATATGCAGGGCCACTGGACCCAGGACTGCACAGGGTATGGGGTGGTGATGGTGGTAAGGTGGAGCTTACCTTTAAAGACAGCCCAGCCCTGACTGAGTCCCTTCTACTCTATTCCTTATTCCTCATGGCAGATTTAAGGACCCCACTCCCTCTACCCAGTCCTCTCTGGTCCTACTTGCCCCTCTCCTGGCTGTCTTCCTTACCCTAGGGCTAAATTATACAGTCATTGGATATGGAAAGATTGTACTTTGAGTCTTTATTTCTGTTCCCATCTGAAGTGCCCTAGGTACCAGGGAGAAAGAAGACGAAGAAGGACATATACCAGAAGCACATTAATAGGCTGCTGAAAAACTCTGCCACACTTTCAGATGACAGGTCACCTACAGATAAATGATTCAAGGATCAACCAAGTTCTGAAGTTTTTTTTTGTTTTTTTTTTTTGGGATAGAGTCTCACTGTGTCACCCAGGCTGGAGTGCAGTGGCGTGATCTCAGCTCACTGCAACCTCTGCCTCCCGAGTTCAAGTGATTCTCCTGCCTCAGCCTCCCAAGTAGCTGGGATTATAGGTGCCTGCCACCAGGCCTGGCTAATTATTTTTTGTATTTTTAGTAGAAACATAGTTTCACTATGTTGGCCAGGCTGGTCTTGAACTCCTGACCTTGTGATCCACCCGCCTCAGCCTCCCAAAGTGCTGGGATACAGGTGTGAGCCACCATGCCCGGCCAGTTCTTAATACTGCCAGGAGTGCTTTAGAAGGCTGGGAATATGGGGCGAAAGATTAGACACCCAAGCTGTTGAAAACCACACAGAGTTTCAGTAAATATATGCACAATTTGAAAAATATATTTGCAAAAATCTAGGTGTCTCCGGTCTAGTCCTTCCTATTAATCAAATAAATTACCGAGCTTCATGGCCCAGTCTATGATCCTAGTTCTGACCGCTGCTGCCCGTAAAGGCCTCAATGAATTCCTCTCTGAGCTTCCAGACTTCCTTGGCTGGTGACTTGTTCCTCTTGGGACAGCTTTTGCTTGAGCTGAGCAGCCTGGCCCCCAGCTGTGCAGGGCCCTCTCTCCGGTGAGAGGAAACGCTTTCAGCTTAGTCTGTTAACACAAACATTCAAAAGCAAACATTCAAAAGCCACAGATCATGTTCGCATAAATAAAATAGGATTGAGAAAAGCTTTGCCCCAAGAAACCAAAGGGGTGTTTAAAAAACAGCTCTTGCTTTCCAAGTAGGCAGGCAGCAAAGCCACAGCAATTCCAAAGGTTTGTGTGCTTGGTAGAGCTGGGTGGCTGCAGCCGCAGGCCTTTGAAGAGGAAATGCCATCCCTGGTACAGGCAGGCGGCCAACCCATGAGTCCTGAAAGTACCAGAGAGAAGCAGAAAGCAGGGGAGCACAGTTAGGAAGTGAAAAGGGAGAGGAAGGCACCAAGGAGATAAATGAGGAGACTCTTCTTATCTAGAGTTCCCACCCCAGACCTAAGAGCTACAGGACAGAGGAACTCACTGTGCCTGACAGAGCTGGGGCCTGGTGAGTCCTAGGTGGCGGGCACAGCCCAGAGTGACTAAGGCTGTGAGGAGGGGTGTGCGCCGTCACTGAGGGGTGGAGAGGGGTGGTGGTGTCTGGGCTGGGAGATGCCTTTGCTTTGAAAGCTTTGGAGGAAATTAACTTTACAAGGTGCCTCCCTGTCTCCCAGAGTTATTAAAAGAAAGGAGGGAGCAAAGAAGAAATGGAAAAATGGTAATACCTCAGGAAGGGCTGTGTGATCCCAACTGGAGGAAATGGGAGGCAGATGAAGTGACGAATGTGCAACCTCTCCTAAGGGAGGAAGAGCTCTGAATGTGACCTTGTGCAAATGGAAAAAAAAAAAAACAAACAAACAAAAACACACACAAATCCAACAAGAGCCAGTGTGACTAACGAGAAAACACACACACATGCAAACACACACACATACAGCCCTTTGAAGATCTAGAAATGAGTGACTAATTAAATAGCCTAAAAACCTCCAAGTGCATAAAGTTTCTGTCAGTACTCCTGTTTCAATAAAGCAGCAGTGAAAGCCCATAGAATGGCAGGAGTGGATGAGTTACTATAAATCATGGGGTCACCAGAAGGTATAAATCTGGGAGTCTTTGAGAGTCATTATAGTTTGGGCTCATAGATAGATATCTAGGCATTGATTGCTCTTTCACCGATAAAGAAAACAAAGTACTGGATCTAAAAATTCTTCTAAAAAAAGAGAATTCAACTGAAGCTACATATTTCATGGAGCATGAAGCCAGCTGTTTTCCTGCATGTTAAAAAATAAGTATTTAATTAAAAAAAAAAAGACCTCTTGCCTGACCATAACCAGATCAGGCAAGGCCACCTTGCCTATGAAGGCTAGAGTGTCCGTTATGACCTTGCATGTGTTGGTTTGCGCAGTTTCTGTTCTGAGGTATGTCAGTGAGGATACTCAGTGGTGTTGTCAGGACAAGGTTAGGACACTGTATTTAAAAGTTGAATAATTTCCTAAATATCTTTTAATCTCTCCTTGATCCATATTAAGCTCACTAATATTTTCAGTCTATATCAATCTCTTGAGTACTAGGTTCCATAAGGTTACTGCTTCATTCACTTTCTACATTTTTGTGTATCCTGAAGTTACTTTAGCTACATTTCTAGAGAAGCCCTCATGCTCTACCATTCTCAGATTTAATAAATTGGCTGATAGAAACAAGATCCCCCCAAAAATCTCAACAGACTGGAATGATAAAAAGGATTAAGAATAAATTAGGAATTTTGAACTGAGGTTCAGTAATCAGCCAGTTAACTATGGAATGATGGTAAAAAAAAGATGGATGCTGCCACTTAATGGTCAACCATGGGATGTGGTGATCTCAGGCTGCTTTAATGGAAACATAAGGTCCAGGACAAATGGTGGATAGCGCCAGCTTAATTCTACCTTTCAAATATATTAAGTTATGTTCCAGACACAAAGCTTTAAACGGTACAAGGACATTTGAATATTACATCAAAAAAGAATGATGAGAACATGAAGTGATTAAAAACCATAGTCCAGGCCGGACGCAGTGGCTCACGCCTGTAATCCCAGTACTTTGGGAGGCCGAGGTAGGCAGATCACAAGATCAGGAGTTCGAGACCAGCCTGGCCAACATAGTGAAACCCCATCTCTACTAAAAATACAAAAATTAGCCGGGTGTGGTGGTGCACACCTGTAGTTCCAGCTTCTCGGGAGGCCGAGGCAGGGGAATCGCTTGAACCTGGGGGGCGGAGGTTGCAGTGAGCCAAGATCGTGCCACTGCTCTCCAGCTTGGGCAACAGAGTGAGACATTGTCTCAAAACAACAACAAACAACAACAAAAACCAATCAAACAAAAAAAAAAAACCGAGTCCATGAAAATAGACTGTATGTCTGTGTGCGTGTGTGTGTGTTTCTGTAGGGAGAGGTGGAGAGGGTAGAGTAACTGTCTTGACACATTTGAAGGTGAGGAGTGGCTTCAGTGGGAAGAACTAGAAACAAATGAAAAGAAATTTCAAGGAACTCAGTATAAGGGGAAACTTTTCTAACTATCAGAACTGCCAGAATGGAATGTACTGCCTCAAATGATAAGTTTCCCATCACTGCGGGTATTGAAGTAGAGGCTGGATAACCACTTGAGAGAGATGCTTTGGAGAGAATTGTGACACTGAAGTCGTGGAAGGGTGGGGAGGTGACTTCATGATCTCTAGGGTCCCTTCCAGTTACAAGATTCCATATTTAATATCCTCACCCTTCATTCACCAACTGGGCAATCCCTAAAAAAGCCATTTATCTCTTTAAGCTTTAATATTCTTTTCAATAAAAACATTACCTGCGCCTTCACAGGTTTGATCCTTTCAATGAAAGTCAAAACCTGTGACTTCACAGGTTTGATGTGAAATACTAGTTATATTCTTCTAGGACTCATAATAATAATGTTTATTAAAATAAAAAATGTTAATGAAACACCTAAAAATCAATTTGCCTGTCTCCTGACGCACATTGCGAGGCCCTGACTAATTGATCTTTATGGTTCTTTTGGTTCTAAAAGTCTACAGATCCTGTGGTTCTGCAGATTTCAATTATAGAAGACAGGACTTTGGAAAACATGAAAAGACCACTTAAAAGAGGTGCTCATTTGAATTTCCTCACATCATCTATATCACGTGGGAAACTTTGTTGTTGTTGCAAATGAGAGAAGAGCATTCCAGAATGACTACAAAATACGAGCAAAATGTTGTTATTAGGATCCATCTCTCAGCTCTGCTTCTAGGTTGATTTTCAGGCTAGCTCTCCCTGTGGCACCAAAAATGATTACAGTAGTTCTAAAGCTCACGTCCCTCCATATAAGTAAGCCCAATGAAGAAGAGAAGGTTGAGTTCTAGCATTTCTAGCAAAAATCTAAAAGCTCTCTTTGGTATGGATTTACATTTCCACCCCTGAATCCATTACTGTGGCTAAGAAGACAGAAATGGAAAGGGGGGTATCAATCCAACCAAACAATATAGTTGAGAATGAGTGGAAGTGGTTCTCAAAAGAAATTTTGAATACCAGATAGAAGGAGCAGGCAGTGGTGAACAACAGTCTAGCCTTTGGCTGCCTAACATCAATCTATAACTTCCACACATACAACAGTCATATTCCTTCCCCAAAGGGAAATAATATGAAATCTCATCTGGTTACTGAAGCTAGATCCAAGTCCAGTATTTCTATGTTGATGTGTAAATCATGTCAAGTGATTCTTTGTCGTTCAGTGATATGTGGGTAAATAATTTTAACCACACCCTATATATAATAAGAGAGAGAAGACAGAATTGCAATAAAAATTCCTAATTGCAAAGAGAAGAATGTGAAACATCCAATGGCCATCAGTCCTTGTACATACTACAGTCTTTGTGGACATAAATGGCCAAGACTTGCGTTTTGCAGTGACATGAAGAACTGGGGCTGTCTTGCTTTCACTCTCCTAGAGGATCTCCCTTGTCTACTATTATTTCTGTGTGAGAGCCTCTTCAGAGGGCTGCACGGCTTCAGCAGCCCGCTGCTTGTTGGTGTAAATAGAGGTATATGTATGATGGGGGCTAGGACTCTGAGGACTGATTTAGGGGTTGGGCAATCATGGAGTATTGTTTTCAGAGTTGGGGGTTTCTCCGTGACAGAAATCCCTCATGATTTTAGTTGGCTCCCATCTATATGTTTCTGGTTGTGATGGTTAATTTTATGTATCAACTTGACTAGGCCACAAGGTGCCCAAATATTTGGTCAAGCATTATTCTGCGGTTTCTGTGAGAGTACTTTTGGAAGATATTAGGATTTAAATTGGAAGACTGAGTGAAGCAGACTGCCTTCCCTAACATAGGTGGGCCTCATTCAAACAGTTCAAGATCCATATAGAACAAAAATGCAGACCATCTCTCAAGTGAGAGGATTCTTCCTTCCTGACAGTCTTTGAACAGAAACATCAGCTCTCAAGGGTCTCCAGCTTGCCAATAAACCCTCATCTTGGGACGTGGTAGCCTCCATAATTGTATGAGCCAATTCCTTATAATCAATCTCTTTCTCTCCATATATATAAATCTTATTGGTTCTGTTTTTCTGGAGAACCCCAACCAACACTGGTCAATTTGACGGGTTGGTAATAAAAGTTAGAGATCTACTTGATTTTATTTTAAAATTATTATCTACAATACAGGTTTCAGATGGCTATTAATTAATGGCTCCATAGTGGCCTCTGTTTCAGGTCAATACAAAACAAAAAGCTGGAGAGGGGAGGAACAGCTGCTTTCCCTTTGCTGGAAGGCTACAGGCCAGCTGCATCTTTTCAAGGGGCATGGATGTCCCATTTGACAGGGTAGAAGGGTATAACAAGAGGATTACAGAAGAGACCTGGGGGAAATCACACTTATCCCAGGCGCCCATCTTGCCTTACTGCACTTCTCCCTTCTCCCTCTTTTACTCAAATTAACTTAACTTTAGGAAGGAATATGGCTTTTCCATCCAGTCAAAGATTCAGATCACTGCTCTCAGTCAACTTGGATTGTAGGATACAGGAGGAAAGTGCTTCTCATAGCAAACTTGATTTCATTCTTTTTTGGATTTTACAGGCTTCAGTTTCAAAGTAAACCAGTCTCTTGCAAGATTTACAAAGGCTTCATACTGTAACCAATATGTTCCTATGGTTTGAATGTTTTGTCCAAGTCCCTTAGTGCTGCAGCCTAGGAGGCATATGGGTTGAAGGCACTAATTATACATTAGACAGTAGAATAACCAACCATTATACTGCTACAAAATAACAACTGCCAATGGCCAACTGTGGTAAAGACTATTACTTGTCCTACAATAAGCATTTAATACTCCCCCTTAGTAAGAAGATCCACATTTTTTAGTTAGGCACATTGCTATGCAGAATAGAGTTCTTTCCATTCCCTTGCAAGTAAGTGTGGCCACAAGGCCAAGTTCTACAAATGGGATGTAAAGAGAATATTATAAAGTACAGAATATTATAAAGTATTTTTGGGTGAGCTAAGTTACAGGATTTTAAATAAAGTACTTTTTGATGGGCTAAAGTAGCTAAGAATTAACTTGTTTTCCATCACATTCCTCAGGAACATATATATTGGTCAGGGGAAAGGAGAATTTGATAGCTTAAAAAATAAGACATCAAACCAATCCTTACAGATGCTCTCCTTGCCACTTAGAAAAGTGAGAAAAGAACATCTGGATCGTTCTCTCCCTTTGGTCCACACACAGGTCAGCTGCAAACAGTAGCTTCCTTCTTACAGAGTCCATCATCTGAAAGACTGGATGCCCACTCTCACTTGGCTTTCCTCATCACCTCAAGCTTTCCATTTCCCGTGCTTGGAAGTTTTGTTTGTGAGGGTCCAAAAGTGGCAGAAACTATTTACAGGCTTCCAAACTGCATTAGCTACAGAGGCCAAGGATGTTGGCTGAACAACTGACCAACCTTTCCAGGGAAAGATCTGAAGCAGAGAATTTGAAAAACACCTTCCAATCTGTCAGGAACATGGAAAAAGTTGCTGTCTCTTTTTTGTTGGCAAAAGCCCTAAAAGCACAGCATCACAGCATCTGGTTAACCAACCACCAATACTTCAAGCCTCTACTGTTTTTCTTTAGGAACACAGAACGGCACAGTCAAGTGTAGGACCACAGGGCTCTAGGAAAAATTGGAAGTTATTGGGCTTTAGGGACTGTCTTTGCACCAGAGATTCATACCATATGGACTTTAACTAGAATCAACTGTTGAAGAAGCCAAAAGAAATTGTGATACCAAGAGGTGGTGTGTGACAATCTCTTCTCACAGTAAAAATAACCCAGAGTGCTTAGCAGAAACTTGGGATGAGTAAAATTTTCTGAAATAAAAAATGAAACCATTACTTGATAGTCTCCGTACTACCTGAGGGAGACAGGCAACTTCCTTTTTAAACAATTACATGGCCCAGTTTACTTCTCCTTTGTTGTATAGTTCAGAGCATGAACACTTGCTTCTATCCCATGAACTTAAGGCTCACATTTTTCAAGGCCTTTAATTTGTCTGCTTTGGTGTTTTCATGGATGTTCTCCAACCACTCCATTTCCATTTATGAGGGTATGCCCAAGATTTCCAACAGGTCTTATTTCCAGTAAGAAATTATACTTCTCATGTGGTTATCGTAACTCACCCCCCGAGCTAGACTCCCTAAATTTGTCCTGCCCAACAACTACAGGTGAATTCACCAGCATGCCAAACACATGTTCTTACTGCAGCTCAATATAATGTCAACGTGATAGTCATTAACAGTGGTCTTTGCATCCTCATATCCTTTCCATGTGGGCCCCCTTCACCAGGTAATCCTGGATAGCTATGTTACCTGAAGTCTGCTGCAACAGCTTTGAGGAGTACTCAATTCAGCAGTGCATAACTCACAATGGACAATGAAACAAACTTGATACTAATATCCTGGAACCCACTGAAAGACACTCGTGTTAGCATTATCAGTTGGTTTCAAACTAATTGAAGTAAGTGATTGAAGCTGTTATGCCCAAACCACCAAAGTATGTAAAATGCATAAAAGATTCAAGACAGGAGCTAAACATGCTAGGAGAAACAGCCTGCTGTCCACCACTGAAGAGAAAAGCCTCTAAGAAAAGCAACTTCACAAATTATGAAGAAACCACCCTTTTACAAAAAGTTAGAATATTAAAATAATTATTTCAATTTTAAATGGCAGTAAACTATGGCATCCACTCAAATTATCACAAAAACAATATGAATTCAGGATGGCCTAATGACTGGGATAGAGCCCACCCAGGAGGCCATGCAGCCTAACGATTAAGGTCTTGATATGGTTTGGATCTGTCTCCCTACCAAATCTCATGTCGAGATGTAATCCCCAATGATGGAGGTGGGGCTTAGTGGTAGGTGATTGGATCATGGGAGTGGTCTTTCATGAACGGTTTAGTACCATCTCTTGGGGCTGTTCTCATGACAGTGAATCTCATAAGATCTGGTTGTTTAAAAGTGTGTAGCACCTCCACCCCCAGCGCCCCTTGCTCCTGCTCTGGCCACGCATGATGAGCCTGCTTCTCCTTCGCCTTCTGCCATGATTGAAAGTTTCCTGAGGCCTACCCAGAGGCCAAGCAGATGTCAGCATCATGCTTCCTGTACAGCCTGCGGAACTGTGAGCCAATTACACCTCTTTTCTTTTTAAATTACCCAGTCTCAGGTACCTCCTTATTAGGTATTTCTTTACGACCCCTGAAGCCCAATTTACCTAGGTTTAAATCCTGGCTTACTGATTACTTTCCATGTGACCTTGAACACATACTTTAATCATTTTGGACCTGTTTCTTTACCCATATAAAATGGGTATGATGGTATTGTACCTAGTTGACTCTAGAGCTCCCAATTTAACATCTTTAAAATCTTTGGAGTCTTAAAATTGCTGTTGGCCAGTCCACAGTCATGACGTAGTTGACATTGCTTGGGCCTATGTGAAGAACTGGTGGCTATTTCTGGTGGCACAACTGGACAACTCCAACTCTTCAAAATTTCAGTCCACAAACCTTGTCCTGATGGCTGACCTAAACCCTTCTATTAATACCATCTGACTAAGGAAACACCAGCATCAGGACTTGCTAAATGGATGGCAATAACTTAGAATAAAATCTCAAGAGACAGTGGTGGAACACTTCATTGAGAACTGAAGCACCAGATAACATCAGCAAGATGGCAGAATGGAGGTCCCTGGCTCTAGTCTCCCATGCCAAAATCCTGATTAGTAACTATTCAGACAAGATTGCCTTTGTGAAAATCCCAGAACCTGAGGGTGAAGATGAAGCACCTTCCTGGAGCATAAAAATCAAGAAAACAGAGCATTAGAAGAATAAGAGGAGTAATTTTACTTTGACAACACTGCCCCTCTCCCAGGCTGGCACATCACCACAGAGAGGGAACCCGTATGCCTACAGTTTCTCTGGTGTGAAAAAAATCCAAAGGCTGACATTCAGCTTTCCCAGCATTCCAGGGTGCTTCCCATGAGGTGAGAAAGAAGTGGGCCCTGCTTAACCAGGGAGCCTAGCCAGCAACCTTGCCCCACCAGGAACACATCCAATCATCGTGCCTAGGTAGGTGGGGAACCCAGCTGGTGACCATGCCCAACTGCAAGGCACAGCATGTGGCCCCACCTAATTATGGAACCCAGCCTGTGTTCCTACCCAACTGTGAAGCATAGCCCACAGCCCCACTCAATCATAAGAGCCCAGCTAGCAGCACCACCTGTCCAGGGAGCACAGCCTGTAATCCCACACAAGAACAGGCAATTGTGGAACCCAGTCAGCAGCCCTACCTGGCCTCAAAGCATGGGCAGTGGCCTTGGCTGACTAGACACTGCAGCAGTAAGTGCCATTTTACCTGCAGATGCTACCAGCTGGCCCATCCAAAACCCCAAGCTGGGGTGACTGGTGTAGGTCTTTCTCTGAAGAAGCAAACCTATGAAGGCTGGATGAGGTGACCACTACATCTGACACACAGACTTCAATAAAAAGATACAAGGATCATGAAGGATGAAGGAAACATGATACTACCAAAGGAAACTAATAAAGCTCTAACAACTGACTCTAAAAAAATGGAGATCTACAAACTGACAAAGAACTAAGAATAATCCTCTTAAAGTTCAGTGAACTATAAGAAAACACAGATAAACTACTAAATAAAAGTAGGAAAGCAACACAAGAACAAAATTCAATAAAGAAATATAAATAATAATTTTAAAAAACCTAACAGAAATCCTAGAGGTGAAGAATACAATGACTGAACTGAGAAATTCAATAGAGAGCTTCACTAGTAGACCAGATCAAGTAGAAGAATCAGTTAACCTGAAAACAGGTTATTTGAAACTATCCAGTCACAGGAGAAAAAAGAAAAAAAGAATGAAAAAGAGAGAAGAAAGGATAAGGGACTTAATCAAACACCATCAAGCAAAACAATGTATGCATTACAGAGGTTCCAGAAGAAGAAGAGAGAATGGAACAGAAAGTCTATTTAAAGAAATAATGACTGAAAACTCCCCAAATTTTGGGAGAGAATTGAACTTCCAGATTCATGAATCTCAAAAGTCCCCAAATAGGTTGAACCTCAAAAGGCCTACTTAGAGACACATAATTGCCAAAAGCCAAACACAAAGCATTTTCAAAACTGCAAAGTAACTCATCACATACAAGAAAGCCCTCATAAGACTATAAACAGATTTCTCAGCACAAACGTGGCAGGTCAAAAGAGAGTGGGATACATTCAAAATAATAAAAAAAACAACCACCAACCAAGAATACTTAGCAAAGCTGTACCTCAGAAATGAAGAAGAAAGATTTTCCCACACAAACAAAAGCTGAGGGAGTTGGTTAGCACTAGACCTGCCTTACATGAAATGCCAAAGAAAGTTCTTCAAGCTGAAATGAAAGGATGGACACTAATTAGCAATGTAAAAACATGAATCTATAAAACTCACCAGTAAAGGTAATATATAGTCAAATTTAGAATTCTCTAATATTGGTAAATTTGATGTGACATGTAAATCACTTTCATCTCAGTATAAAGTTAAAAGATAAACATATTAAAACAACTGTAACTATAATAATTTGTTAACAGATATACAATATTTTTAAAATGTAAATTGTAACACCAGTAACCTAAAATGTGGAAGGGGGGATGGTGAGTATAAGTACAGATTCTTTTGGTATGCAATTGAAGTTATTATAGGCTTATAATAGTTTGTTATAACCATAAGATGTTTTATGTAAACTTCATGGTAATCACAAAGAAAAAATTGTGTAGTAGATGCCAAAAAGACTAAAAGAAAGGAATCAAAGCATACCACCACAAAAATCATCAAGTCACAAAGACAGCAAGAGAGAAAGCAATGAACAAAGGAGTTACACAACAGTAAGAAAACAATTAAAATGGCAATATTAAGTCCTTACCTATCAATAATTACTTTAAACATACATGGGTTAAATTCTCCAATCAAAAGACAGAATGGTTGAATGATAAGAAAACAAGATGCAACCACATGCTGCTTACAAGAGACTCACTTTAGCTTTAAAGAAACACATAGGCCAAAAGTGAAGGGATGGAAAGACATTTCTTGGAAATGGTAACCAAAGAGAGTAGGGATGGTTATTACTTGTATCAGACAAAATAGGCTTTAGCTCAAAAATTATCAAGAGAAAAATGAAGGTCATTATATAGTGATTAAAGGGGTTGACAGGAAGAAAATAGAACAATTTTATTTTATTTTTTATATTTTATATTTTTGAGACAGAGTCTTGCTCTGTTGCCTAGGCTGGAATTCACTGGTGCAATCTTGGCTCATTGCAACCTCTGCTTCCTGGGTTCAAGAGATTCTCATGCTTCAGCCTCCCAAGTAGCTGGGATTACAAGCATGTGCCACCACGCTTGGCTAATTTTTGTATTTTTTTTTTTTTGAGATGGAGTTTAGCTCTTGTTGCCTAGGCTGGAGTGCAGTGGCGCAATCTTGGCTCATTGCAACCTCTGCCTCCTGAGTTCAAGCGATTCTCCTGTCTCAGCCTCCAAGTAGCTGGGATTACAGGCACCCACCACCATGCCCAGCTAATTTTTTGTATTTTTAGTAGAGACAGGGTTTCACAATGTTGGCCAGGCTGATCTCAGGTGATCTACCTGCTTCGGCCTGCCAAAGTGCTGGGATTACAGGCGTGAGCCACTGAACCCGGCCTAATTTTTGTATTTTTGCTAGAGACAGGATTTCACCATGTTGACCTGGCTGGTCATGAACTCCTGACCTCAAGTGAACTGCCCACCCAGGTATTCCAAAGTGCTGAGATTATAGGCATGAGCCACCGCGCCCGGCCAGAAAATATAACAATTTTAAACACAGGACATCAGAAAACCTAAATATATAAAGCAAATATTAACAGAATGAAGAGAAATAAAGAGCAATAGAATAATAGGGTACTTTAGCAGCCCACCCTGCCTCAATAACAGAGAGATCATCCAGATAATCAATAAGAAAACAGCAGACTTGGACAACATTATAGACCAAAAGGACCTGTATAACAGACATACAGAACATTCCATCTAACGGCAGTAAAATACACATTCTTCTTAAGTGCATATGAAACATTCTCCAGAACAGATATGTTAGGCCACAAAAGAAGTCTTAACAAATTCAAAAAGACTAGAATCACATCGAATATCTTTTTCAACCATAACAATATAAAAGTAGAAATCAGTAACAGGAGGAAAAATTGGAAAATTCACAAATATGTGAAAATCAAACAACACACTCCTGAGGCAAACAATGGATCAAAGAAAAAAATCAAAAGGAAAATATAAAAACTTCACAAAAACAAAAATGGAAATACTACATACCAAAATGTATGGGATGTGGCAAAATAAGTTCTAAGCAGAAAGTTTATAATGATAAATACCTACATTAAGAATGAGATGAGAACACCTCATGGTTAACAGCATAAAAAAACAAACAAACCAAAAAAACAAAAACAAAAACAAAAAACTTCCAACAACCTAACTTTAAATCTCGAGGAACTAGAAAAAGAACAAAATAAGCCCAAAGTTAGCAGATGGAAGGAAATAATAAAGATTACAGCAGTTTAGCAAAAGAGAAAAAAAACCTACAGTTTTTTTAATAAGATAAATGAAATTGACAAACTCTTTAGCAAGACTAACCAAGGAAAAAAGAGGACTCAAATAAATAAAATCATAAATGAAAGAAGAGATACTACAACTAATACTAAAGAAATACAAAGAATCATAAGAAAATACTATGATCAATTATACAGCAACAAATTGCATAACTTAGAAGAAATGGATAAATTTCTAGAAACATATAACCTAACAAGACTGAATCATGAAATGGAAAACAGAAACAGACCAATGCAGGTAAGGAGACTGACCCAGTAATAAAACTTTCCAACAAAGAAAAGCCAAGGACCAGATGACTTCACTGAATTCTACCAAATAATTAAAGAAGAATTCATACCAATTCTTCTCAAACTCATCCAAAAAATTGAAGAGGAAACACTTCCAAACTTATTTTATGAGAAAAGTATTACCCTGACAGCAAAGCTAGATAAAAGCACTAAAAGAAAAAATTAAAGGCCAATATCCCTGTTGAACCTAGACACAAAAATTCTTATTTTTGTATCTTATTTTATGAGAAGAGTATTACCCTGATAGCAAAGCTAGGTAAGAACACTAAAACAAAAAATTCAAAGGCCAATATCCCTGTCGAACTTAGATACAAAAATTCTCAACAAAATACTAGCAAACTGAATTTAGCAGCACATTGAAAGGATCATATACCATGACTAAGTGCAACTTATCCCTGGGATACAAAGATGGTGCCACATGCAAATCAATACATGTGATACACCACATTAACAGAATGAAGGATAAAAATCATATGATCATCTCAACAGATGCAGAAAAAGCATGTGACAGGCTGGAGCCAAGATGGCCGAATAGGAACAGCTCCGGTCTACAGCTCCCAGCGTGAGCGACGCAGAAGACGGGTGATTTCTGCATTTCCATCTGAGGTACTGGGTTCATCTCACTAGGGAGTGCCAGACAGTGAGTGCAGGACAGTGGGTGCAGCGCACTGTGCGTGAGCGGAAGCAGGGCGAGGCATTGCCTCACTTGGGAAGCGCAAGGGGTCAGGGAGTTCCCTTTCCTAGTCAATGAAAGGGGTGACAGACGGCACCTGGAAAATCGGGTCACTCCCACCCTAATACTGCACTTTTCCTACGGGCTTAAAAAACGGCACACCAGGAGATTACATCCCACACCTGGCTCGGAGAGTCCTATGCCCACGGAGTCTCACTGATTGCTAGCACAGCAGTCTGAGATCAAACTGCAGGGCGGCAGTGAGGTTGGGGAGGGGCGCCATTGCCCAGGCTCACTTAGGTAAACAAAGCAGCCGGGAAGCTCGAACTGGGTGGAGCCCACCACAGCTCAAGGAGGCATGACGGCCTCTGTAGGCTCCACCTCTGGGGGCAGGGCACAGACAAACAAACAGACAGCAGTAACCTCTGCAGACTTAAATGTCCCTGTCTGACAGCTTTGAAGAGAGCAGTGGTTCTCCCAGCACGCAGCTGGAGATCTGAGAACAGGCAGACTGCCTCCTCAAGTGGGTCCCTGACCCCTGACCACTGAGCAGCCTAACTGGGAGGCACCCCCCAGTAAAGGCAGACTGACACCTCACACGGCTGGGTACTCCTCTGAGACAAAACTTCCAGAGGAACGATCAGACAGCAGCATTGATGGTTCACGAAAATCCACTGTTCTGCAGCCACCGCTGCTAGTACCCAGGCAAACAGGGTCTGGAGTGGACCTCTAGCAAACTCCAGCAGACCTGCAGCTGAGGGTCCTGTCTGTTAGAAGGAAAACTAACAAACAGAAAGGACATCCACACCAAAAACCCATCTGTACATCACCATCATCAAAGACCAAAAGTAGATAAAACCACAAAGATGGGGAAAAAACAGAACAGAAAAACTGGAAACTCTAAAAAGCAGAGTGCCTCTCCTCCTCCAAAGGAACGCAGCTCCTTACCAGCAACGGAACAAAGCTGGACGGAGAATGACTGATGAGTTGAGAGAAGAAGGCTTCAGACGATAAAACTACTCCAAGCTACAGGAGGAAATTCAAACCAAAGGCAAAGAAGTTGAAAACTTTGAAAAAAATTTAGACGAATGTATAACTAGAATAACCAATACAGAGAGGTGCTTAAAGGAGCTGATGGAGCTGAAAGCCAAGGCTCGAGAACTACGTGAAGAACGCAGAAGCCTCAGGAGCCCATGCGATCAACTGGAAGAAAGGGTATCAGTGATGGAAGATGAAATGAATGAAATGAAGCGAGAAGGGAAGTTTAGAGAAAAAAGAATAAAAAGAAACTAATAAAGCCTCCAAGAAATATAGGACTATGCGAAAAGACCAAATCTACATCTGATTGGTGTACTTGAAAGTGACGTGGAGAATGGAACCACGTTGGAAAACACTCTGCAGGATATTATCCAGGAGAACTTCCCCAATCTAGCAAGGCAGGCCAACATTCAGATTCAGGAAATACAGAGAACGCCACAAAGATACTCCTTGAGAAGAGCAACTCCAAGACACATAATTGGCAGATTCACCAAAGTTGAAATAAAGGAAAAAATGTTAAGGGCAGCCAGAGAGAAAGGTCGGGTTAACCACAAAGGGAAGCCAATCAGACTAACAGCGGATCTCTCGGCAGAAACTCTACAAGCCAGAAGAGAGTGGGGGCCAATATTCAACATTCTTAAAGAAAAGAATTTTCAACCCAGAATTTCATATCCAGCCAAACTAAGCTTCATAAGTGAAGGAGAAATAAAATACTTTACAGACAAGCAAATGCTGAGAGATTTTGTCACCACCAGGCCTGCCCTAAAAGAGCTCCTGAAGGACGCACTAAACATGGAAAGGAACAACTGGTACCAGCCGCTGCAAAATCATGCCAAATTGTAAAGACCATTGAGGCTAGGAAGAAACTGCATCAACTAACGAGCAAAATAACCAGCTAACATCATAATGACAGGATCAAATTCACACATAACAATATTAACTTTAAATGTAAATGGACTAAATGCTCCAATTAAAAGACACAGACTGGCAAATTGGATAAAGAGTCAAGACCCATCAGTGTGCTGTATTCAGGAAACCCATCTCACGTGCAGAGACACACATAGGCTCAAAATAAAAGGATGGAGGAAGGTCTACCAAGCAAATGGAAAACAAAAAAAGGCAGGGGTTGCATTCCTAGTCTCTGATAAAACAGACTTTAAACTAACAAAGATCAAAAGAGACAAAGAAGGCCATTACATAATGGTAAAGGGATCAATTCAACAAGAAGAGCTAACTATCCTAAATATATACGCACCCAATACAGGAGCACCCAGATTCATAAAGCAAGTCCTGAGTGACCTACAAAGAGACTTAGACTCCCACACAATAATAATGGGAGACTTTAACAACCCACTGTCAACATTAGACAGATCAACGAGACAGAAAGTTAACAAGGATACCCAGTAATTGAACTCAGCTCTGCACCAAGGGGACCTAATAGACATCTACAGAACTCTCCACCCCAAATCAACAGAATATACATTTTTTTCAGCACCACACCACACCTATTCCAAAATTGACCACATAGTTGGAAGTAAAGCTCTCCTCAGCAAATGTAAAAGAACAGAAATTATAACAAACTGTCTCTCAGACCACAGTGCAATCAAACTAGAACTCAGGTTTAAGAAACTCACTCAAAACCGATCAACTACATGGAAACTGAAAAACCTTCTCCTGAATGACTACTGGGTACATGACGAAATGAAGGCAGAAATAAAGATGTTCCTTGAAACCAACGAGAACAAAGACACAACATACCAGAATCTCTGGGATGCATTCAAAGCAGTGTGTAGAGGGAAATTTATAGCACTAAATGCCCAGAAGAGAAAGCAGGAAAGATCCAAAATTGACACCCTAACATCACAATTAAAAGAACTAGAAAAGCAAGAGCAAACACATTCAAAAGCTAGCAGAAGGCAAGAAATAACTAAAATCACAGCAGAACTGAAGGAAATAGAGACACAAAAAACCCTTCAAAAAATTAATGAATCCAGGAGCTGGTTTTTTGAAAGGATCAACAAAATTGATAGACCGCTAGCAAGACTAATAAAGAAGAAAAGAGAGAAGAATCAAATAGACGCAATAAAAAATGATAAAGGGGATATCACCACCGATCCCACAGAAATACAAACAACCATCAGAGAATACTACAAACACCTCTACGCAAATAAACTAGAAAATCTAGAAGAAATGGGTAAATTCCTCGACACATACACCCTCCCAAGACTAAACCAGGAAGAAGTTGAATCTCTGAATAGACCAATAACAGGCTCTAAAATTGTGGCAATGATCAATAGCTTACCAACCAAAAAGAGGCCAGGACCAGATGGACTCACAGCCGAATTCTACCAGAGGTACAAGGAGGAACTGGTACCATTCCTTCTGAAACTATTCCAACCAATAGAAAAAGACGGAATCCTCCCTAACTCATTTAATGAGGCCAGCATCATCCTGATACCAAAGCTGGGCAGAGACACAACCAAAAAAGAGAATTTTAGACCAATATCCTTGATGAACATTGATGCAAAAATCCTCAATAAAATACTGGCAAACCGAATCCAGCAGTACATCAAAAAGCTTATCCACCATGATCAAGTGGGCTTCATCCCTGGGATGCAAGGCTGGTTCAATATATGCAAATCAATAAATGTAATCCAGCATATAAACAGAATCAAAGACAAAAACCACATGATTATCTCAATAGATGCAGAAAAGGCCTTTGACAAAATTCAACAACCCTTCATGCTAAAAACTCTCAATAAATTAGGTATTGATGGGATGTATCTCAAAATAATAAGAGCTATCTATGACAAACCCACAGCAAATATCATACTGAATGGGCAAAAACTGGAAGCATTCCCTTTGAAAACTGGCAAAAGACAGGGATGCCCTCTCTCACCACTCCTATTCAACATAGTGTTGGAAGTTCTGGCCAGGGCAATTAGGCAGGAGGGTATTCAATTAGGAAAAGAGGGTATTCAATTAGGAAAAGAGGAAGTCAAATTGTCCCTGTTTGCAGATGACATGATTGTATATCTAGAAAACCCCACTGTCTCAGCCCCAAATCTCCTTAAGCTGATAAGCAACTTCAGCAAAGTCTCAGGATACAAAATCAATGTGCAAAAATCACAAGCATTCTTATACACCAATAACAGACAAACAGGGAGCCAAACAATGAGTGAACTCCCATTCACAATTGCTTCAAAGAGAATAAAATACCTAGGAATCCAACTTACAAGGGATGTGAAGGACTTCTTCAAGGAGAACTACAAACCACTGCTCAATGAAATAAAAGAGGATACAAACAAATGGAAGAACATTCCATGCTCATAGGTAGGAAGAATCAATATCGTGAAAATGGCCATAATGCCCAAGGTAATTTACAGATTCAATGCCATCCCCATCAAGCTACCAATGACTTTCTTCACAGAATTGGAAAAAACTACCTTAAAGTTCATATGGAACCAAAAAAGAGCCTGCATCACCAAGTCAATCCTAAGCCAAAAGAACAAAGCTGGAGGCATCACGCTACCTGACTTCAAACTATACTACAAGGCTACAGTAACCAAAACAGCATGGTACTGGTACCAAAACAGAGATATAGATCAATGGAACAGAACAGAGCCCTCAGAAATAATGCCGCATATCTACAACTATCCGATCTTTGACAAACCTGAGAAAAACAAGCAATGGGGAAAGGATTCCCTATTTAATAAATGGTGCTGGGAAAACTGGCTAGCCATATGTAGAAAGCTGAAACTGGATCCCTTCCTTACACCTTATACAAAAATTAATTCAAGAGGCATTAAAGACTTAAACGTTAGACCTAAAACCATAAAAACCCTAGATGAAAACCTAGGCATTACCATTCAGGACATAGGCATGGGCAAGGACTTCATGTCTAAAACACCAAAAGCAATGGCAACAAAAGCCAAAATTGACAAATGGGATCTAATTAAACTAAAGAGCTTCTGCACAGCAAAAGAAACTACCATCAGAGTGAACAGGCAACCTACAAAATGGGAGAAAATTTTCGCAACCTACTCATCTGACAAAGGGCTAATATCCAGAATCTACAGTGAACTCAAACAAATTTACAAGAAAAAAACAAACAACCCCATCAAAAAGTGGACGAAGGACACGAACAGATACTTCTCAAAAGAAGACATTTATGCAGCCAAAAAACACATGACAAAATGCTCATCATCACTGGTCATCAGAGGAATGCAAATCAAAACCACAATGAGATACCATCTCACACCAGTTAGAATGGTGATCATTAAAAAGTCAGGAAACAACAGGTGCTGGAGAGGATGTGGAGAAATAGGAACACTTTTACACTGTTGGTGGGACTGTAAACTAGTTCAACCCTTGTGGAAGTCAGTGTGGTGATTCCTCAGGGATCTAGAACTAGAAATACCATTTGACCCAGCCATCCCATTACTGGGTATATACCCAAAGGGCTATAAATCATGCTGCTATAAAGACACATGCACACGTATGTTTATTGCGGCGTTATTCACAATAGCAAAGACTTGGAACCAACCCAAATGTCCAACAATGATAGACTGGATTAAGAAAATGTGGCACATATACACCATGGAATACTATGCAGCCATAAAAAATTATGAGTTCATGTCCTTTGTAGGGACATGGATGAAATTGGAAATCATCATTCTCAGTAAACTACCGCAAGAACAAAAAACCAAACACCCCATATTCTCACTCATAGGTGGGAACTGAACAATGAGAATACATGGACACAGGAAGGGGAACATCACACTCTGGGGACTGTTGTGGGGTGGGGGGAGGGGGGAGGGATAGCTTTAGGAGATATACCTAATGCTAAATGACAAGTTAATGGGTGCAGCACACCAGCATGGCACATGTATACATATGTAACTAACCTGCATATTGTGCATATGTACCCTATAACTGTAAGTATAATAATAATAAAATAAAAAAAAAGAAAAAGCATGTGACGAAATTCAACATCCTTTCATGATAAAGACTCTCAACAAATTAGGTATGAAAGGAATGTATCTTAACATAATAAAGGCCATATGTGTTAAGGCTATAGCTAACACCATACTCAACAGTGAAAAGCTGAAATCTTTTTTTGCTAGGATCAGGAACAAGACAAGGGTCCCCACTCTCACCAGTTCTATTCAACATAGTACTGGAAGGCCTAGCCTTAGCAATCAGTCAAGAAAAATAAAAGGAATTCAAATCAGTAAGGAAGAAGCAAAATAGTATGTTTGCAGGTGACATGATATGGAAAACCCAAAAGACTCCACCAAAAACTGTTAGAACTAATACATTCAATACAGTTGTAAGATACAAAATCAATATACAAAAATCAGTTGTTTCTTTTTTTTTTTTTTTTGAGACGGAGTCTCACTCTGTCACCCAGGCTGGAGTGCAGTGGCATGATCTCGGCTCACTGCAAGCTCCGCCTCCCAGGTTCATGCCATTCTCCTGCCTCAACCTCCCGAGTACCTGGGACTACAGGCACCTGCTACCACGCCTGGCAAATTTTTTGTATTTTTAGTAGAGACGGGGTTTCACCATGTTAGCCAGGATGGTCTCGATCTCCTGAACTTGTGATCCACCTGCCTCGGCCTCCCAACGTGCTGGGATTACAGGTGTAAGCCTCTGCGCCTGGCAAAAAAAATCAGTTGTGTTTCTACATGCTAACAATAAACTGTTTGAAAAAGAAATATCAAAAACAATAGAATACTTAGAAATAAATTTAATCAAGGAAGTGAAAAATCTGTTTACTGAAACCTACAAGCCATCGATGCAAGAAGCTGAAGATACAGATAAATGGAAAGATGTACCATGTTCATGAATTGAAAGGATTTTGTTAAAATTTCCATACTACCCAAAGTAATCTACAGATCCAATGTAATCCTAATAAAAATTCCAATGCCTTTTTTTTTTTTCACAGAAATAGAAAAAGATGATTCTAAAATCTGATGGAACCACCAAGGAGCTTGAGTGGCCAAAGCAAAAAGAACAAGCTGAAGGCATCACACCACCCAACTTCAAAATATATTACAAAGCTATAGTAATCAAAACAGCATTGTTCTCCATAAAAAGACACATAGACCAAAGGAACAGATTAGATCCCAGAAATAAACCCATGCAACTATCTTTGACAAGGCTACCAAGACATAATGAGGAAAAAATAATCTCTTCAATAAATGATGCTGGGAAAACTGTATACCCACATGCAGAATGAAATTGGTCCTTGATGTTTTATGTGACTGAAGCAGTTTGAAAAGGAGAGTGAATGAGAGAGTAAGCAAGCTGTAAAATTAGGTTGGGACCAAGTCAGGGGTTACCAAATATCAGGCTGAGCTTTGGTACTTTATTTGGCAAGAAAATAAAACTGGAAATAGAATTATATAGCAGCTCATCAAATGCTAAAGGATGCATTTGGTTCTAAAGTTCAAAATGAGTACAGTACATCACACTCCAGTATGGAAAATGTTCATGTTATAGGTCATTTTAATGAACACATGCACACACACTTTAGTTTTCAAAGACCAAAGTTTAAAGAAAATACTTTTTAGTCAAGTACAGATCCCCAAAGGTTTATTTAAAGCCAATTTTTATTTAAGTAGTCTTCATTTTTGAAGCATTTTCCCCTAGTACTCTAATTTCAAAATCAGTATCTCTCAAATGCTGATGCCACTGGGAAAAATTTCCAAATTGGTAATGGAAACATATGCTATGTGCATCTGCTCAAACTAGCAACAACATGATGTCAAATAAAAATGGATGGCATTAAAAAAAAAATCCAAAAACCTATAATGGCAACTCAAAGCAGCAATAATAAGAAGAAGAGATTAAAATCTCTAGTTAAAAACAATCAAGACTTGCAGATTAAATCTGAACTTTACTCCTTCTGTTAGTACAAATCAGAAACTTCTTGCTACTCAAATTCAAACAGGGTGCAATGAATGTGTTACTTTCGTATTCCCAGTAACTACCTTTCCTCACCTGCTCCCTACATTCTGGCTTTCTTCTAAAAATTTCCCCCTCCTTTGGGTGAATTCCTCTCTTGATTAGCTCAGGAACGGAATGTGATCCAATCTGGGCAAAATAAAAGTACTTCTCCAAAATTTTACATAGCTTGCTTTATAAAAGCTTTCAGCCTTGTTATGCTAAGGTAAGCTGAAAATGTCAATTGCTGTTATCCACCATCCTCTCACCTCACTGTTCCTCATCCCATACAGAATATCCCCAAAGGGAAAATCTGAAAAGAAAACCAATCCATAAAGAAGAAAATAATCAGAGCCAAGTGTGTAGGATGGCAAGATGACTGCTTTTGACGTTTGGACCCAGGACCCAGTCATTGCCTGGACTTCCCTGTATATAAGCCAATGAACTGCCCTTCATGCTGACACTATTTTGAGTTTTTGTCACTTGCATATAAACAACACATTTTAATGCAACAGAGTACAGCTTAGTCCATTTTGTGTCGCTATAATAGAATATCTAAGACTGGGTAACTTATTTTTAAAAAGAGTTTTATTTGGCTCATGATTCTGGTGGCTGGAAGGCTCAAGATTGGGCAGCTGTATCTGGTGAGGGTCTCATGTTGCTTCCACTCTTGGTACAAAGTGAAAGGGGAGTAGGTATGTGCAAAGAGATCACATGGGAAGGCAGGAGGCAAAAAGGAGAAAATCAAGAAAGCCAGACTCTTTAGTAACCCTTGCTTGTGAGAACTAATCCATTCCCACGACAGCAAGAATGAGAACTCACTCACCCCAGTAGGAGGGCATTAGTTTATTCATGTGGGATCTATCTGCCCCCATGACCCAAACACCTTCCATTAGGCTCTGCCTCCCAACACTAGCACATGGGGAATCTAATTTCAACATGAGTTTTGGTAGGAACAAACTATATTCAAACCATAACAGTATATGATTAAATAAAAATAGACCAGCATCTTTATGTAAAATTTAGTAACATGAAATAAGGTACAACACAAAGTATATGTCAACATAATTAAACAAAAATGTATAAAGAAAATTGTTGGCATTATAGTTATGTGATTAACATTTTAATTATATGTCATGAAACCCAAATCCCACTACTTGCTACAGGGAAACAAACTGGATCAACTACATTTTGGAATCTTAAATATCTATTTTTAATAACTTTTTTTTTTTTTGAGGCAGAGTCTCATTCTGTCACCCAGGCAGTGCCCAGGAATGCAGTGGAACAATCTCAGCTCACTGCAAACTCTGCCACCAGGGTTCAAGTGATTCTCGTGCCCCAGCTTCCTGAGTAGCTGGAATTACAGGTGCCTGCCACCACGCCTGGCTAATTTTTGTATTTTTAGTAGACACAGGGTTTTGCCATGTTGGCCAGGCTAGTCTCAAACACCTGACCTTGTGATCTGCCCGCCTCAGCCTCCCAAAGTGCTGGGATTACAGCTGTGAGCCACTGTGCCTAGCCAATTCATATTTATAAAAGGAATAGGTACAAGTTTTATTTACTATAATTTATGACTATTAATCCTATATGTATAATTAGCAATTATGAAAGGCCTATCTTCTCTTTGAAATCACTGTTTAAAAAAATAAAGAAAACCAGGTGGAGCTTTTCTCCTTTTAAAATGTGATTCATGAACAAAATGCAGGATGCTGAACTTAACATGGGTCAAGGAGTTTGTTTACACACCAGAATTTGACAATAAGCTAACATGGAGAGGGCCTCCAAAAAGATATTGGGTCTCAATGCTACAAACATCTAGGGTTTTCAGTTAGTTATTCCAATTTCATTCTCTCCAAGCCATTGGTAATTCACTAAAACACACGTGTATTGTAAATCTTACGGGAAAAAATATGCATATTAATCAAATGAGTTGATAATTATATTTAGGGGAATTCTAAGAGTTATATTCTTTCCTAATAGCCTATAATTGAAAAGTCTAATAGAATTCTAGAAAATAAAGATGGCAAAGATGCATTAGATAATATAGATTTCTTTTTTTCCTCCTGAGCAGTGGAAACTACAGGATAGTTTGTTTTCTGTCCAGGTTTCAATTTAAATTCAGAAGGGGGGATGGAACTCAAGACTTTTCTTGGAAATGAGACTACATCATAACAGATTTCACTGTCAAAAAATTCCTATCCACCCTCATATTCAGATCATATTCAGATCGCAAGTTCTTTTTGTATACGTTATCCCACTTCTCCTAATAACAACACGTTTCACTCAATTCATCTATTTCTTGCTGGTTTCAAGAAGACACATTTCACTTTTGATTATAAATGAATTCCTTGAAATCTTATTTGTCTCTCCAATAATACTGTGAACAACGTAATTCTACACAAATTCTTTATCATATATTAGAAGATTCCTGATGTTGCTTTAGAGATTATAAATATATATGTATGTATGTTTCTCAAGTTGCAAGGACTCACTTTCTATGAACTTTCTATGAATCACATTCCATTAGTACTTTCATACCAAGGGTCCTTCTGGCATTATTGTTTTTCGATTCTCTTCTCCAGTTTCTACCCCAAGTTATACTTGTGTCCCACAAATTTATCTTCTGCTCATCTTCTCATTCTCTTTTCATATTTCAGATCTTTTTAAGTCTCCTTAACTAACGTCTCTGGTTTCTTTTTGGTAAAAAACTTATTCCAACTGTAACTAAAAATCAATTTCATTAATGTCCAGTTTTATCATTGCTTTTTAACCATTAAGTACACACATACAATATAGATGTAACAATCTTTTTACTCTCTTACAGTCATATTGCAGTTTCACAGTGGTATAAACTCCAATAAAATTAAGAATTTTTTTTCAGTACATGAGATCAAACTGTATACAGAGCTGCCATAACGTATAAGTTAAGCCATGTATATACATTAATACATACATATATGTTCCAATAACATGTTGAAGATTTCCCAGGTTTTTTTTTCTTTAAGTTATTGCTAGACATATCAAAACACAGTATAAAACTGGTCATCACAACACCCTTCTGCAGTAATGATGAGAGTGGGCTAGGAATGTGATGAAAGGCACAGAATTCATAAGACTTGAGTAAGTAGATCCAAATTTGTTATCACTAATGGCTCAAACAATGTGGAGCCACTGATTTTCTGAAGTGAATATAAGAAACAGTAGTTAATAGTATTTATCCAGGCTTCTAGTATAAGACATTGTACTAGGAGTTTCTCAAGTAGAAAACTTGTCTCACAAGGGTAAGTTACATAAAAACTCCAAAGAAGAAAGGGCAACTGATAGAAGATTAGTTCTCCTGTGGCTAGACGGTGCGTTGTACAGCCTTTCCGTTTAGTGAGGTTCTACTAAAGGGAATGCCAACTTTGTGGTTGACATGGGTGATCCTTGGGTTTCGTCACGCATGAAATTAACAAATAAAAAATGTTCAAGGCCAGGTGTGGTGGCTGATGCCTGTAATCCCAATGCTTTGGAGTCTGAGGTGGAAGGATTGCTTGAGGCCACAAATTTGAGACCAGCCTGGGCGAAAGAGCGCAACCCTGTCTCTACCAAAAAAAAACAACAACAAAAAACTTAGCTGAGTGTGGTGGTACCAGCCTGTTGGGAGGCTGCAGTGAGAGGACCATTCGAGCCCAGGAATTTGAGGAAGCTATGCTCATACCACTTGCACTCCAAGACCCCATCTCAAAAAAAGAAAGAAAAAAGAAAAAAAAAGTTTTCAGTTTATGGAATTAAGCAATTAAGCATATTAAAAAGCCAGGGCCTAATAAGTACTATGCTGATCAAGTGCAAAGGAGAGTTCTTAATATGAATAAATGGGTCTTACAAGTCAATTAATTCAAGAGGTTATAAAATACATTTTTTAAAAGAGTTAAGCTTATTTTTCATACAAAGAAAAAATTCCAATCACCCATTGACAATACCCCAATCAGCCAACAGCCCATCAATGCAGAGTCTGCTGCAGTTGTCTGGAAGTTTTCACTTTCTTCTTCCAGAAAAAATGCTCAATTTTCATTGCCAACGTTCTTGGTAGATTCACTCTTCACTAGAAAAAAATAAGTAAACATACAGTCAAGTGTTTATATTTTTCTGTTTAGGTTGCTCTGTCCCTCTTCTCTCCCTCCTTCTGATGTACAGCAAAAGCACTGCTCACAGGGACACACAAACCGCGTCATGTCCCAGGCAGCTAGGATATACAATTCTGGCCACAATAAATAGAGAAATGATGTCTGAAAGTGGCAATTATATTTTGTGAGGTAACATCCTTCCTGACTCTGTGGAAGACTTAGGAATGGTCACTTCACAATGTGGTTATGATCCATATTCATGCCACTGAATAGATCACTATTATCCTGGCCAGCCACTTGTGGTTAGAATAAATTTTTTCCATGATTTTTTTTTAAACTTAATTGAGGGTCAGTATATGTTGAGTGAATGTGGAGTGACAGAAGACTAGCTAATCGCCATCTCCTTCCTTTCACAGGAAAGAAGAATAGAAATGGAGCTCCTCTGACACCCCTGTCTTGCTTAGAGCAAGCAAGACTAACTATGACTCACTCACTAAACTGAGAGTTCCTGGAGGACAGAAACTCGACCTTTCTTCTCTGTATCTATCCTCACAATTTAGAGTATGTTTGCTGAATCAATGTAACTGCAAATCATTCTGCCTTTTAGTGTTTTTTCCCTAAATCTGCAAAATGGGAACCGGAGTAAGTGTTCTATTTCATGGTCTTGTGAAGCTAAAAGGAAATAATAGGTAGTAACTCTTTAAAAATTGTCATGCTAAAATATAGGTTATTTTGAGGCTTATAGCTGTTATCTCCACTGAGTAGATAAGAAAAATAAAGCTCAGAGAGGCAGAGCAAATGCTCAAGGGACCACAGCTTATAAAAGCTGATGCTAGAAGCACACACCTGGAACTGCCTCATATTCCAACTGACAAGTTCCCTGGGGTTTGCTGTTGTACCTAGACTTCAGATTGTACCAGCAACCACAATGGTGTTTACTGAGCCCTTTCTAAGAGTAAGGCACTGAAATAAGTTCCATCCAAGATATCATCCCAATCTTTGTGAAATTTTATGAACTTTAGCAGTCCATCCAGTGCCTCCATGATATTAAAAGTTTTTTTCCTTCTCTGGCTGTCTCTGTACTTCAGGTAAACTCTATTTTAGCATCTATTGTATAATAAGTTTTACATGCGTGTTCCAGTGCCAAAAATCCTCCTCTCTCTCCCTGCAAAAGGAAAAGAAAGAAAAGAGAAGTAAGGAAGAATGAGGAAAGGTGAGCGAGGGAGAATGGATGAAAGATTTACTGGCCCAATAAGAGACTGATATATGAGTAGCTGCTATGCCAGGTATTTTCACTAATTCCAGTAATCAATTTTGGGTTGGATTCCTTCTCTAAAGGCTGAGGCATTTTCTAATCTTGAGTTACACTAGAACATCAAAAAGTTTATTTTGCTGACATTTCTAAATTAATAAAGATTTTTAGCAGTATGGGACATTTTCCCCTTTCTTTGCCTATTGAAGGTGCCCAGTTTTCTTCTTTGAATAGGGTTCCATTCTTTTTTCCTTAGATTGAAATGCAGCATGCTTTTCTCCCTCATCTAAATCTGCTAGTCTAATAACAGCCTGTGAAGCAAGTTACACCATTCTGAGCACTTCCCACTGGACTGATATAAGGTAGGTAATCAGCACTTAGCATCTCCAATCTAGTGGAGTATCTAAATAGCTCTATCTTTTCCAGTTAACCTTTTCCATTACTGAAAAGCAACAAACAAACAAAATCTTGGCTACTGCTGATTAATATAGGCAGACTCAAATAATTATGGCAATCTACAATCATAACAAATATTAGAACAACCATCAGGTGTGGGAACTACTGAATCCCAGACCAGAAACACATGTACCCCCAAATTAGGAAAGAGACAACTTGTACTATAAACTCAGGATCAAAATCCAACTTTTTTACCTCCAGAGAGGGAAGGAATTTCAAGGCTTTCCAAAGAAAATGCCCTCTTCTTACATAATCCCCTTCCCTCATCAAGGTATCACCCTGCAAAATATCTGATGCTGTGAGAATGTATAAAGAAACAGACACCTTGAAGTACTTACAGAAAGAAATGCATGTACAGGAAGACCTGGGCATTACTTTTAAGGTGTGTGTACTTACGATGTGACAAAACTGGTATGGTTTTAAAATCCTGTCAGATACTTTTAGTTCTTTGCTAACACAGTTCTAAATAATCCTCTGTACTAAAAGCATGAGTCATTTGTGTTCCTGTAAATAAGTCAAACATCATATATCCACCAGAAAAATAGCAAATTTTACTCAATAAGGCTCCCAGTACGCTAGTAAAGTAGTCTTTTCTTATTGCTTCATTACAGGAAGCCTTACTTGAATGTACATTCCTAAACAAGGTGAAAGGAGAGCTGTGTGTGCTGTTTATTTATACAGAAGATGTTTGCCCTAGCTACTAACCTACATTACTAAACAACTTTTCCCAAAACCAACATTTGAGAGAGCACTGTGAATTTATTAAGAAAAAAGCAACATAATACAAAGCTTAAACAAAGTGAAACTGGCCATTTAAAACTAAAATTCCTAATTTATTCTGAGAAAAAAATTCTCAAATTGTGAAAAATATTAATGTCAAGAATAAAAATAAGATTTAGAGGCCCATAATTTATTATTAGAAACATCATGTTTGCTAACTAAAATCTGGTTTCAAGTTGTAGCACTGATACAATTTTGGCCACTTTGGAAAACAATTTTTTTCTATTAATTTTTGCAAAGAAAAAACACTACGCACAACAGAGAATACCTTACAATATAGGTTACTGCATCTTACAGCCTGTAATGCTGGTATAACAATAAAACTTAAACTACCCATTTCAAATACTACTTAAAAAATAGTATCAATCCAAGACAAAGATTCTATGCTCCTCTGGAGTTTGTTACAACAAAACCTGGCCTGTATCTGTAATTCTTTTCGTTGAAAGTGCTATGTAATAGTTTTGGATTAAGGTGGGTAATCTTCCTCACTTCTTAAAGGTAGTGACTAAATTTTACTCATCCTCTAAAATCTTGCATTCAGAAGCACAGTTAGTTTACTTTAATCAGTAGTTACAAATATAGATGAGTCATTTTATGTACTAAACTTTTATGTACATTTTTTCCAGTTCTAGTACTTCCCTATATCACAAAATCAGAGAAACAAAATCAGAGAAAATAAAACCAGTGGGTTTAGAAAAGGAGATAAAGGGTAAAGGCAATGGCATTAACTTATTCTAAATGCTGCCAAATTTTTAAATATAATGTTCCTTGCAACATTTTCTCCTTCTATAAGGTAGGATACTAGGCTTTTTTTTTTTTTTTTTAACCATTCAACATTTTCATTGTCAACTAAAAATGTTTTGTAATCCCTCATTTTAGAAATGTCTAAAGTCTTAACTATGGAGTAAATGTACGTGATCATGGACAGTTACTTAAAGACTATTAGCTTAAAAAAAGACAAAAAAATACATAGAACCCCATGCTAAAAAAAAGTCCTTTTATAGCCATTCAATTTGATTTATTCACTTAAAATTGGTTTTATAAGATTATACGCTCTTAGAAACAGAAGAGTAGCAGCATTGCATTTACCTGGTTCTTCACATTAACTAGCTATACAGTAGATCCTGTAAGTGTGTAAATATAGTGGGAAAACACATATAAAGAAATAAGGGTGGACATATTTTGCTTTGGTTTCTCTAAAGCTATTCTAAGCATTACAGAAACAAATTTACACTTACCTTGGTGAAGAACTTTCATGTCATTATTGGATCCTTTCAATACCACATGTAATGTTGGATACTCAATGATCACTTTGTTCCTCAAATTGTCTAGGAGACTTTTATAAGGATCTAGTTCATAATATCTTATTAATAAAAAAAAACAAAAAACCAGGAAACACTCTTAATATTCAAAATTACTAATAGATAAATATATGAGAGTATTTTACATTAAAAATTTTTTAAAGGTGATGACAATTCAGTAGTTACTTCCTTATAGCATAGTAAGTTTAATACCTTCTAAGAAAGGCAGGTACAAGAGCTATTATTATAGAGGTTCTAAAACTAAATAAAAAAAAATCAAATATTCTGACATTAGGAAAGCTCTAAAACAAGTTACTAATTTTCTTTTTCTTTTTTTGATATGGAGTCTCGCTTTGTTGCCCAGGCTGGAGTGCAGTGGCACAATCTCGGCTCACTGCAACCTCCATCTCCCAGGCTCAAGCGATTCTCCTGCCTCAGCCTCCCAAGTAGCTGGGACTATAGGTGCGTGCCACCATGCCTGGCTAATTTTTTTTGTATTTTTAGTAGAGACGGGGTTTCACAGTGTTAGCTAGGATGGTCTCGATCTCCTGACCTCGTAATCTGCCTGCCTTGGCCTCCCAAAGTGCTGGGATTACAGGCGTGAGCCACCATGACCAGCCTACAAGTTATCAATTTTCATACCAAGAAATAGTTAAAGACTCTTATATAATATTTATGTTGGCCGGGCACGGTGGCTCACACCTGTAATCCCAGCACTTTGGGAGGTCAAGGTGGGTGGATCACCTGAGGTTGGGAGTTTGAGACCAGCGTGACCAACATGGAGAATCCCCATCTCTACTAAAAATACAAAATTAGCTCGGCATGGTGGCACATGCCTGTAATCACAGCTACTCGGGAGGCTGAGGTGGGAGAATCGCTTGAATCCAGGAGGCGGAGGCTGCAGTAAGCCAAGATCGTGCCACTGCACTCCAGCCTGGGCAAGAAGAGTGAAACTCTGCCTCAAAAAAATAAAAAAATAAAATAATAATAATATTTATGTTGTTATTTTTCTTGAATAAAAGAATGATGAGCTAACTATTTGAATTCCTCAAATATATTTATTTTGAGCCTTAAAGACAACCAATCACCTTATGACAATTTCTAGTAACATGGCAATAAAATAACTGGTTACAAAATTGGCTTTTGGAAAAAAGTCAATTATTCTAATTATAACTGGTTTCCAGAAATTTATATTGCCATGTAAAATTTAAGAAATACAGAGTTTATCGTGACATAGCTGCCAAATGTGTCACAGGTAATTAGATGCTAATGGTCATTAAAGCATGAAATTCTCAAATCATTACTTTAAAAAAATAAGTCTGAGGTGGCTGAAAATGCATCCCCAGAACATTCATTCTTGCTTGCTTTCTGGGGTGGGAGTGAAAGGGGTGGAATTCTAGCTAGCTCACTAGCGGGTACATATGAGAATATGTTGGCATGTTAATGTCATTTCATGTCAAAGAAGAAAAAGCTGAGAACATGTCAACCAGTCTAGTGCAGAAGTTCTCCAGCATTTTTATTCATCTCTACCAATGACAGGTGATATTCACATGCAAAACACATATCTCATGAGATCCAGCCTAATGGCTGTAACTCCATCCTTTTATCTCCTGCTCAAAAAAGCACACTGGAACACAAGTGATCAAGAGTGAGGTTATCATTGGGATACATTTAAATTTGCTGTAATTTTAAGAGTAAATCATTCACAAACTTTGGTATTTCTTAATTAGTAAAAAATTATCTGCACCATAATCATAGCTGAGTAAGACATGCAGGACACTCATTAAGAAATGTGATGTAGTGATTTCTCCATGTTCTGAGTTTGTCTCACGCAATCGTTTTCAAATCAGGAAAAATATAAAAGTGCTTAACAAAATGCAGAGCCAAGCTTACTAAAGTTAGAGAACAACTGTAAAACCAAAACTTTACTTATGCTTCCCTGACCACACACCCCAGCCTGGAATTATTCTTTTTAAAATTGCAGAATATTCTTTATGTTGAAAAGAAACTTGAAATGCAAAATACTGTTTTTCTAAACCAGCCACCTTAGTGCCCACAGATCATAGAATTCATACATTCTTTTCCCTGTGTGTAATGTAATACAGATGTACTTACAATACTTTAAAAGTGTTTCCAGCATTCAAGGATTAAATGCTTCACATCTTTTAAACATTATTTCTCTTTGAAATAAGCAGTGTTTTTTTCAAAGTTAGTAGCAATTATATAAAAAAGAAAAATGAGATTATATCAGATACCCAAGTAAAAGATTAACTTACAAAGTAAAATATAAAATGGTGATAACTAAATTTTTCTTGGGAGGAAATAAGACCTGGACTCTCAAACAGGAACTTTTCAAGTGGCATCCTACAAGCACTTGGCAATAACTTATCTTCTGTGCATTTTAGCTAAATCATAAGGCTTCTAATGAAAGGCATTTTTCAAATAAGGGAATGTTTTTTACTTGTTTCAGTTTTTGGTAAATAATTTTCAGTGCATATTTAATGTTTTAGGTATCTGATTTCTTTTTGTAATATTAAATCTTAATTGGGTTTCTCTAGATTTCCAAAGCTGAAACCAAGAAGCAACAAAAAGAGTTCTTCAAAGGCCACATGAGAATCAGAGCCTAAAATTATTGCTGATATAAAATATGTTCCTAGCAGAGGAATGTTCAGAGGTACATAAAAATTACTATGCAACAAGTTAAACATGCTTTGGATCCTAAAACTGTAATGATTACACTTATTTGGATCCTGAAACTGTAATGATTACACTTATTTGGATCCTGAAACTGTAATGATTACACTTACTTGGATCCTGAAACTGTAATGATTATACTTAAAAAAACTTGGTTCCTGTTTTACATGCTAAGCAGGCACTTAAAAAGCACTAAGGATGCAAAGATTTATAAGAGGCTTGTCAACTGATAAATTATTTTAAAAATATTTTATGCAATGAAAATCTGGTATGTTGTGTGGTTTTGATTAGAATCAGTGGATTTTATTTAGTGTTTAGCCTAAAATGTTGCAAACTTCTAATCAGCAATACGCTATTGAGTGTCAGTAAGCTTCTGGGCCACAGCTTTCCAACCTGTTAAATGAAGCGTTCAGATTTCACTAAATAATCTTTTAGCTGAAATTCTGAATTTCTTAGATTTTTCTACTACAAGTGGTTACTCTTAATCTACCATTAATATTTATCAGTAATTTAAAAGTAAATTTTGTAAACTGTTCATAAAGAAAGCCTATCAGACACATATGGGGTTAATATTTTATGGACTTGGAATTTAGTTAAATGAAGCAATAACTTTTACTGGTTGTTTGGGTTTGGAGTTTAACGCTGAGTTAAAGTTCCGGCTCCATCATTCACTGGTCTGTGATCCTGGACAAGTTACTTAAGTTATTTAATCCTCAGTTTCCATGCTTGAAAATGGGGATAATGACAGTATCACTTCAGAGAGTTACTGTGAGGGCTAAATGATAAAACACAGAAACTGCTCACTCATTTATTTAAGCCCTAAGCACATGTGTTTGTTTTATATTTTTATTTACCAAAAATAACAACACTTTCCTATAGAAACTCTAGTTCAGGACAAAGTCACTGGATTTCATTAGCAGTGAACATACTGCCTTTATGTGCATTTTGCATTTTAAATGTAGCCTTACAACTTTCTGTATGACCTTCAAATCATTATTTTATTGTCACATTTACTTCCAAGAAGATAAAGGTACTTTGAATGTTTCTGTTTCCACTATCTTGAAGCAAGTTTTAAGAGCCCAGCTTTGCACTGCCTAAAACACTTAGGTTTAGCTCCTTTGCAAGCCATTAAGCTACTGAATCCTAAGGGACAGCTTTATCTTTTTGAAATTTTCACAAACTCTGGTATTTCCATTAATATAATGTCTCTGCTACCATAAGACAAACTACTTAGGTTTGGAGGAATTAAGATACTAACATTTGTCTTTTCTCTTGCCCTCTGGGACCCTTCTTAGACATTTCCTCTTGTTATTTCACTTGCTCACCCTCACAGGTTCACTGGCTGACCCTGCTCTGGGCAGCCTCATGGGCGCATTATGAGGGCAGAACGGCTCAGTGGGCCAAACAGGTGTTACAGTGACATATATAAATAAAAGTTGTCATGATAATCAAGGGTGTGCTTTTAATCTTGACTCTGTCACTAACTTTCAAAGAAACAGGCCAAGCTCTTGAACTTCTTTCTCTGTACTTTATTAGCAAATTAGTGTGCTTTAAAAAAAAAAAAAAAACCTCCTCATAACCACAAAAGACAAGTTTTTAAAGAAACGAAATCACAAACCACTTTATGTCCCATCTGATCACTGACACTCCATGGATCATCGCCCCTTCCACCTGCTAAAAAATACCAAAACTAAGTTTGAATTTCTCCAAATTTAGCAATCTAGTAGCAGGCCCTAGGCCACAGTATTTTTCCACTAAAATAAGATCATTGAATTAGGTGATCACTAAGATCCCTTCAGCTCTAAATTTCTACAATTTTTGATACTTAACTATATTTTTTCACAGTTGTATTTATTTCTCAATCTAGGTTTCTAGATTAAAAGTTCAACTAAATTATTCCAAAAAAGTTTTAATTCTTCTTTTATTTAAACTTTAAAAGGTATTATTTAAAATTTCTCCAAATAATACTTCTGTGTAACAATTTTTGCAACTCCTAATGTTCAAGTCATATAGAAAAGGATTTTGCCATAGTTAATCTTTTTCTCACCCAATCTCTCTTAGTTTTCATATTTTAAAAATCACAGTAGTTAAGTTAGTGGTTTGATGCACTTTGTTTTGGGATTTTTATATATCCACATAAATGAGGACGATACCTGCTTGACATGGAGAGTAGATCATGAATTGTGTAGTACAGACATATGTCTTAATTCAGAAAGCTCACCAGTTCAGAACTGCATTTGGTAAATTATCCTATTCTAACCATGATATTTAAACTATGGATGTGGTTAAATAAAATGGCCAACTATATATTTTAAAACCTGTTTTAAAGAGGGGCTTACAAGGCTCTGACTTGTTCTAGATATTATTTCTTTGAAATCTTTTCTGATTTTCGCTGGTAAATTCAATTACTTTTAAATCCACAAGGCTTGAGTTCCAGTCTTATCACTGGTCCTTATGAGCTATAACTCCACAAGGAGACTCAGTTTTGCCCATCAATATAATGGTAGGAAAGATACCTACTCATGGGTTAGTTTGTAAGGACTATAACAGGTGAAAATGTTTCCAAAGTGTAACTTGCTAAGCTAGCATCAGTAATAAGATTTTATACTCCAAAAGTAATTTGGCACTCCTAGCAAGGAAATGACATACTTATCAGGAATTATATTTATGATTTATGACAGAGACAGAGACTAGTTAGTAGAAAAAGCATGAACTGAACTCTTGACAAACAGGTCTGAGTCCAAATCTTAGCCTTATAAACTGTACAAACTTAGTTTCTTTGGGTAAGTCAATTTTTCAGAGCCTACGATTCCTAATCAGGTAAAGTAGAGAAGACATAGTACATACTTTATTAGAATTAATGCATGTGAAAATGTTATAAGCATTAGCCTGGCATTTATTCTTCAATTGATTGCTCAAATATTTACTTAGTGTCTACTATGCACAGGTAGTCTGCTAGGTAATGGAAGTTCATAGAAATAAACCTTGCACTTTATGGGGGGAGGCAGACAAACAGCTATTGCATTCATTGGCACAAGTATCATGATAGAAATGTAAAGTGACACTGGCTAGTAATGGTTTTTCCTTTCTATAGTTAGTACTCTTTTCAAGATCTCTTGTAAGGCAGGTCTGGTGGTAAAAAACTCCCTCAACATTCGCTTATCTGAAAAGAATCTTATTTCTCCTTTGCTTAAGAAACTTAGTTTAGCTGGAAATGAAATTCCTGGTTGAAGATTTTTTTCTTTAACAATGTTGAATATAGGCCCCCAAACTCTCTGGCTTGTAAAGAGTTTCTGCTGTTAGCCCGGTGTAGGTGATCCGTCTCTGTAGCCACTCTGTAGGTGACCTGCCCCTTCTCTCTAGCTGCTTTTCATTTCATTCTTTCTTTCATTTCGACCTTGGAAAATCTGACGATTATGTATCTTAGGGATGATCTTCTTGTGGAGAATATTGCAGGGGTCTCTGTATTTCCTGAATTTGACTGTTAACCTATCTAGCAAGGATGGGGAAGTTTTCATGGACGATATCTTAAAATGTGTTTTCCAAGTTGTTTGCTTTCTCCCCATCCCCTTCAGGGATGCCAATGATTCGTAGATTTGGCCTCTTTACATAATCCCATATTTCTCAGAGGTTTTGTTCATTCCTTTCATTCATTTTTCTTTATTTTTGTCTGCTTTATTTCAGAGAACCCATCTTCAATTTCTGAGATTCTTTCCTCAGCTTGGTCTAGTCTGCTGTTAATACAGTGATTGCACTGTGAAATTCTTGAAGTGTATTTTTCAGCTTTGTCAGATCTGTTAGGTTCATTTTTACATTGGCTATTTTGTCTGTCAGCTCCTGTACTGTTTTATTGTGATTCTTAGTTTCCTTGGATTGGGGCTTGCCATTCTCCTGAATCTTCATGCATTATCCTTAGCAAACTAATGCAGGACAGAAAACCAAATGCCACATGTTCTCACTTATAAGTGGGAGCTAAATGATGAGAACTCATGGACACAAAGAACTAGGAACTAGGTGAAGGTGGAGGGTGGGAGGAGGGAAAGGAGCAGAAAGAATAACTACTGGGTACTAGGTTTAGTACCTGCGTGACGAAATAATCTGTACAACAAACCCTTGTGACATGATTTTACCCATATTACAAATCTGTACACGTACCCCTGAACCTAAAAGTTAAAAAAAAAAAGTAAAGCTAAGTAGATCCTCAGTAAATATTCTCTCTCGTTCTGTTGTTGTTTTGTTTTGTTTTGAGACACAGTCTCGCTCTGTCACCCAGGCTAGAGTCCAGAGGCACGATCTCAGCTCACTGCAATCTCTGCTTCTCGGGTTCAAGCGATTCTCCTGCCTCAGCCTCCCGAGTAGCTGGGACTATAGGTGTATGCTGCCACACTCGGCTAATGTTTGTATGTTTAGTAGAGACAGGTTTCACTATGTTGGCCAGGCTGGTCTCAAACTCCTGACCTCAGGTGATCTGCCTGCCTCAGCCTCCCAAACCTCTCTTGTTCAGTACCAACATCCAAATGTCCTTTGTTCTTGCAGGCTGCACAGGGTCTTCACTATCTAGGTAATTCAGTTCCTAACCCTAGCTAACACCTCTCCTTAATTGGTTCATATTCTTTTTTTGCTCAATTTTATTGAGGTATAATTGACAAATAGGAATTATATATATTATTTAAGGTATACAATTTGATTTTTATTTTTTTTTGTAGAGACAGGGTCTCCCTATGTTGCCCAGGCTGGTCTCAAACTCCTGGGCTCAAATGATCCTCCTGCCTCAGCCTCCCAAAGTGTTGGGATTACAACAGGTGTGAGCCACTGTGCCGGCCTCAAGTTGATATTCTGATGTATGTATATGTTGTGAAATAATATCATAATCAAGCTAATTAACATATCCATCACCTTACATAGCATTTTTTTCTTTTTTCTTGTGATAAGAACACTTAAAATGTACCCTCTTAGCAAATTTCAAGTATACAATACAGTATTGTTAATTATTTGTTTCTTAAAATTCTTTCTCCTCCATGCACTTTTTTCCCCTCTAATTAATGTAGGGATTTTAAATCTTAATCTTTAGTCTTAATCTTGCTAACAAAACATACATTTCCTTTGAAGCTAAAACTGAATGCAAGTGTCTCATCAGTACAGACTCTTACATCTTCAGTCTTTATTAGGATGTATATTACCTTGCAAAATATGATTAGGTTCCTCAGAGAAACTTTTGCTTAGAGGTTCAACAGTCCATGAATTAACTACATTATAGAATGGTATTATTTTAGAGTTGGCAGGAACTTACAACCCAGTCTTTTTTGTCTTCCAGTTAAGTATACTGAAGCCCTGAGAAGTTAAGTATCTTACTCAGGGTCTCTCAAGAAAATGGAGAGTTGGGACTATAAAGCCAATTTTGTGATTTCTTTCACTCAACTGTGTGCTTGTTCATTCATTCCTCATTCAACAAATATTTACTGAGAGTCTACCATGTTCCAGACACTGTTCTTGGCACTGGGAATACAATGGTGTACTATAAGGAATTTACTAGAGGTGAAAGGACAGACTTTCCAGGAAGAAAGTATATGTGTAAGGTAAAGATAGGAGGAGAGAGCTAGGTCTATGGAACTGGGTAGAGAGCGGATATGTTTAAAGTACTGAGCAGAGAATGGGTATTGGAATACACATAGAATTCACAGTTTTGGTGCCTAACATTTAAATTGGTCACAAAATATTCTATAACATAACAAGGATAGGTAAGTTTAGTAGATTAACATTACGCTAAAATATCACTTGTTTTTAGAGAAAACTCACATTTTATATTTCACATAATTTCCTTAACCAAGAATCAGAATAGAATATATTTGAAGTAAGATTATCACTATAGAAATTGTAGGCTTACAATCTGCCAAGAATTTGACCATCACATCACTTTGGATCACTTCAAATACAGGCTCTCAAACTAACCTTCTCAGGTTGAAAGCTACCGAGACCTCAATAGTTGAGCTTATATCTGTCCGGTAAACACTCACCGAACTGTGCCAACTAGCTGAGCTTCAGCTTTCTTAAAGCTAAGTTAACAATTCTTATCATAAAACTGCTTTAACAAGAATACCACATATGAAGCCCATTCCATCACTGGAAGAGTATCATCTTTGAGATGATAAAAAAAGTTTAGCAAACCACTTGACATATTCCCTTTCTGTGTGTGGACATTCTTCAGGTTAACTCTAACATTTTCTAATCCTTAAATGATGATTCCTTTGTTCTGTAATAGAATACAGAATTGCTATAATCCTTAAATGATGCTTCCTTTGTTCTTTGTTTTATTCTCGCTTTCTTTTAGAATCTATATCCAAAACGTGGTCAAAAGTTAATGCCATTCTGAACACATACTCATCTTGACCATGATTACTTTGAAAAATAAACAACAATCCCAAAAAGGTATAACAAAGAACTGTGGTTGGGTTTCACATAATCTGAGAACATGCATTATGATTATTTATGGTGCTGAGAGGCATATACTATATTGCAAAGAACATACTAAGGCTTTGAGTGCAGGCAGACCTAGGTTTGGATCTAGGTTCTACCGTTTAGTGGTCATACAGCTGTAGACGGGCTATCCATTTAATAATAATACAATTACAATATGTACGAAGTGCTTACCAGAGTACCTAAATAATAGTAAGGCACTCAATAAAAGTATGTCATTCATACTTACTATATTCCATAAAGATACATATTAGCCCCCAGATTTAACCTTGATTTTAAATAACTCTTGCAGGAAACAATTCTTGTGTGTGTTTGGGAAAACTTATTCAGGGCCTTCACATTGTTTTGCTTAAACATAACCTAAAATAATTGTGAAAAACAATGATACTTTTGTACATTCTTAAATTGACATCCTACAAGTTTAAGTAGATGCAAAGAACATAATTTATGGTGTATTGTGAATATTGATGTTTTAAGATGAAATATATCACCCTTAAGGAAATTCACTAGACTGTAAATATCATGGTAATTTAACATCAATATCATCCATTAAAAAAAAAAAAAAAGAATAATGGCCATGTGTGGTGGCTCACACCTGTAATCCCAGCACTTTGGGAGGCTGAGGCAGGCAGATCACTTGAGGCCAGCAGTTTGAGACCAGCCTGGCCACTATGGCAAAACCCTGTCTCTCTACAAAAATACAAAAATTAGCCAGGTGTGGTAGTGTGTGCCTGTGATCCCAGCTACTTGGGAGGCTGAGGCACGAGAATTGCTTGAATCCAAAAGCCAGAGGTTGCAATGAGCTGAAATTGCGCGACTGCACTCTAGCCTGGGCAACAGAGTGAGACTCATTCACTCACTCTCTCTTTCAAAAAAAAAAAAAAATATATATATATATATATATATATGCTCTGCTTTCTAAGTTAGAAATCTTACTTGTTCTGTTTTTCCATTCCGATTCTCTTGCAGAATTTTATACCAAGTAGTATGTTTATACCTGACCTTCTCTGCAACAAAAATGTAATGTAAAGTAAAATTTAATTTCATTACCTATGACCTTTACGTTTTAAATAATAAAATTTCTTCTGAACTGAATAATTTTAACTATTATTAACATCAAATTGATCAAAACATCACAAATATATTACAAACAAATTAAGTTATTTTTGAAAAACATCTCAACATGATGGACGAGCACTGATGATGGCATCTTCTATTAAAGGCATGGTTGTTCACTATTGATTCTTAGATTAAATGATTTTCCCCCATTTATCAACTTGGTATCCATTAACAGAATCAAATTTCAAAAGGAAAACAAGAGGAAGTTTACGTAATCCCATCTAGAGAGCAAGCTCTTATTCTTCACTAATTCTTCAACAGTTATTTTCAGGGGATCTTAGGCAGAAATGTCTCTGGCTGTTTACATAAGAAAAGACATCTGAAAATAGTTAATACTGTTCTTAGAAATTCTGGAATTTCTTCAGTGTTCTCCAGTATATACTTAATTCTGCACTATTCTCAAAATAATTTTTAAGTTCTAACTTTTAACACACATCTTATAAATTTCCTATTTAGAGTATCTTCAAAGTATATTTTTCAATTATTCACTGTAAGTCTAAAACAAAGTCATCTAATTTTCCATTTCTAGTTCAATTAGGCAAAGAGCACAGACTAATCTTTAAGGAGGTAAAATGTGATTTTAAAAAAATCCATTCTAATATCAATTGACATGTTTCTTTATACAACTTCAACAACTCAACTGAATATATCTACCAAAAACTTGTCACATGTTAGACATTGTGTGGGAACCAAAAATGTCCTCAAAGAGTTTACCAACCTGGCCAGTGTTTCTCAAAGTGTGGTCCCAGGAAAAACTTATATCATGGTCACCCTTGGGAGACAGAGATTGTAAAAAAAAAAAATGTAGGTTTCTGGGTCCTATGTAAGATTTACTAAACCAGAACCCTAAGAGAGTGGTTTGGAAATCAACATTTTCAACAACTGCCCTAGACTATTATTATGGATACTGAAATCTGAGAAGCATTGTTCTGAAAAGAAATACAGGTTACATGTTCCACTGGGGAGAGGTTTACAGGAAGGAAGAATAACTGGCCAGTAGTGAAAGGGGGTCTTTTCTTGCTAGTGAGTGGGTGCAAGCCAAAAGAGGTCAGGTGGGGCTCACCTGAGGCCTTTACACAGGTAAAATCAATTTCTCAAAAAGGAGATAGGAAAAAGCATTTTACCTCTTCACTTCACTGAAAACGATTTTAAAATATTTTAGATTAAAGATCCATAAAGTTCCAAGGAAGGTAAAATAGCCTTAGTTTTTAAAATTTAAAAACATCCTCTCAGCATGGAAATAAAATCATCCAAGAGAAATAGCTCATACTTTTGCTGGTTGCTTTTCAAACAAAAAGCATTCCAAAATTATTAACTAAAACCAGCACAGGAGGAAACAACTAATAGGCTCTGTGCAAGTACAACAGGATAATATGCGCATGAACAGTAAAAATTTTTGTGATATCCATGAAATCAAAGCTTAGGTAATACTTTAACCTGGGCTTGGGTTTAAATCTAAATTCTTGGCTTTACAAGAAAAATTCTGGAAGCAAAGTGAAGGCAATGGTTTATCTTTCCATCAAGAAATGATTAAGTCTGGAGTGTCCATGCAAAGATGCCCATGCCCTCCACTGGGCACCTTTTATGCCTTGTATTTTAAGTATCTATCTTTTGCGGTATTTATCACATATCATTCTTCCCACCTAGCTCTTTGAGGGCTAGTCTTGTAGATGTCTATATATCCCTAGGTATTAGCACTGGGCTAGCACATGGAAGGGGCTCAATGAAAATTAACTGAATAAATGAAAAATACAGACCTGATCAATCTTAACTGATACTTTAGGTCAGGTTCATGTATCAAAAAGCCTGACCCTGAGCAGGTACTACACTTTCTGAAGTAACTTTTAAATTATACTAGGCCCTTGTTACAATCTTCTCTCTCTCTCTTCATTGAGAATTGAAGCCCCCAACTGTTTACATGATATACAGATATCATGTAAACCAATAAAAAAAACCCTTTAGAGCAGGAATCGGCAAACTACAGCCAGGAGGCCAAATCCAGCCCACTATCTGTTTTTGTAAATAAAGTTTTACTGGACCATATTCTAGTCATGTCCATTCGTTTAAGTGGTCTATAGTTGCTTACGTGCTACAATGGTAGAATTGACTAATTATGACTAAATGGCCCACAAAGCTGGAAAATATTTACTATCTGGCCATTTAAAGGAAAAGTTGCCCAAGCCCTGCTTAAGGGTATTAACGTGGCATCAATACCTAGCATACAGCAGGCATATATACATATATATACACACATATATATATTTTAATGAATTAGCACACTGATTAAAAAATTAAGACTGAACACTTACTGTGGAAAAGTCACTAACACAACTCTGCAGGAAATATAAAAATGAAGATGCCTACGGCAACCACTGTCTTCAAAAGAGAGTTAATCATCATGTGATTTAAGTTTTATTGGGATAAAATAAGTCAAATTTATAGAAACCTATGAGAAATGCAAAACACTTTTAAGGTTCTAAAGATACAGAAATTATATCCAGTTTGGGGGAAGGAAATGAACTCTGTTGCAGACACTGGTAACTAATAGTCTACATAAAAGGAATGGAGAAGAAAGGACAAATGGAAGACTCATTGTGGATGTCAATTACACAAGGTAAGGTGGCAAGGTAGAAGTCAAGAAGTAGTTGAAGATGCTGAGCTGCAAGGTCTTACGCCTGGCTTACTAGAACAACAGTGCCAGTAATAGAAAATGCGTACCAACATTTGTTGACTGCTTACTCGATGCCAGGAACAGTCAGTCCATTAAATTCGAAACACACACATCAGGAAGAAATAGATGCAGTGTAATGAAATCTAGACATGTTGAGCTTAAGATTTAATGAGATGTGTAAATGAAGATAGCTGGAAACCAAGATTTGGAGGTTGGGAGAAAGGTTAAAACTATATCTAGATTTGGGAGTAATTTCTACAGAAATAAGTTGACAATATCTTAAGTTCCTGAAATCTCTCATATTCTTCCAATATCCAATTATGTCAAAAGAAATGTTAACAAACACAACTGGTTATCTGCTCCCTTGTGTTTAGTGGTGAGTGGCCTGTTGGGAATGTATAGCTAATATTACATTTGAAGTATATCCCAGAAGTATAAGAAATTATATGGCTGATGCATGCCTAGGGCCTCAGCTATGCAGGAGGCTGAAGCAGGAAGATTTCTTGACCTCAGGCGTTCAAGGCTGCAGTGAGGCTATGCTTGTGCTACTGCATTCCAGCCTGGGCAACACAGTAAGACCCTGTCTCTTAAAAAAAAAATTTTTTTTTTTCAAAATGAATTTGGTCAAAAGAAGCTGTTAAACAAATAAACAAAAAAAGTAATACACGATACAGTTAACTACTACCAGACATGTGGAACTTAAACACCTCTTACGTTCATTGAATCATTTCAGCATGATGTTCTAGTTGAAACTCAAAATACTTGAATAATACACAGGAGTGATTTTCTGGGTGCCAGGCACTGTATTCAGTAGCTGACAAATATTAACTCAAATTAATCTTTACAACGATGCAGTATCATTTCTGTTCTGATTCCCACTTTTAGATGGGAAAACAGGCTTAGTAACTTTCCAAGGTATGTATCAAATTAAAAACACAATTTTGACTTTACAGCAAATCTCTGATGTACATTTTTGCATAAGAGCAAAAAGGTTATTCTGGAAGTTCTCATGATTTGGTTTAGGCTTAGGAAGCAGTTACAATAAACTTTTATTTATTATAATAAATGTACTATTTGTAATGGTGAAACTTTTGGTCTAAAAAGTCTAGTCTAGAGCCTCATAAAGTAAAGTAAGGTATACTACACAGATTATGTATTCTGGAAGGATAATATTACTATTTTTTACTAGTATACAGTTTCACTCTGAAGATATCCTAATAATTAGTAGAGTAAGGTCATTCTTTTCAAAAGTAGTGTTCCTGAAAATGATGCCACCCCTACATGAAACTCAACATGCTCTTAGCCTCTCCAGACCTTACTTTTATCTCTCTGTAAACAGCAATCATGCCAGAAACTGTAGTCACCTTTGATTCCTATTTATTGCTCCCTATAGCCAACTTGATCACCAAGTCTTACTGCTTTTTTTTTGCTAGATTTTTACAGTTTTCTACTGCCAAGGAGACCAGATCCAGACAGCGTTAGTATTGGGTCTTGAACTAACTCTTCAACCTTAACTTTTAAAAAAAAGTTTAAAAAATACTGCTCTGCATACATCTATACACTCCAACCTCCTCAAATCACTTACTTGCCTTGTTTATGACATACCATGCCCTTGCACTTCTTAAGGCCCTCTGTACCCTCTCCTAGTCATAGGCCATTCACCTTTAATAAAAATCAAACATCACTTCCACAACAAAGCCTTCTGATGACATGAGGATACCTGCTACCTTCCACATCACTTTTAAGACTTAGACATAGGTTTCTTATGATATATACAGTGTGTCTGTTTTCCTTACTACAACAGAACTGTATTTTATTCATTCTTGTATAAACTCCAATTTTTATTTATATGCCTAGAAGATTAAATGTACTTAATGGTTTTTTTTGAATAAATTTGGAAAGGATCATCCTATAACTGCTTAAATCACAAAAAAAAAAAAAACCACGAAGATTTACAAGTATCAAAGCAGCAAAGTAAACATAAAAAACAAAATGTATCTAAATTTCTTTCTGGTAAATAATTCCATAAAAGTAAAATCCAGGCTTAAAATTTAATAGATTTGGAAAACTGTACTTGAATAGACAAAGTTGGTTGTTTTATAAATTCTTCAGTCAGTAGTAACTTAAGTGGGCAGTAATACAACAGCTGCCCTCTGATAGTGCCTGACATTTAGCAACATAGGCTTTTCTAGTCCAAAACCACTCATTTACTTTCTGAGAATAGAAAGTTGGTAAGAAATAAGGCGGCAAAGGGCAAGAATGGCTTTACTAACACAAGCATCTTACATGAATGATCTTCTCCACAGGGGCAGGAACACTCTTCTTTACTGCCATAGCCTCAATGTCTAGAACAGCATCTAGACTTTGGCATACTCACTGTTTGCTGAATGAATAAGTGAATTTATTTAAAAAGCTATAATAGCTTTTCTAAGAGATAAATTCAGACCCTATGTATTCTGGAAAGAAAACTCCCAAACAGATCAGTAGCGAATTCCTTAGATTAGACATACATTCTAGGATCGCAATTTAAAAAATAAGTCATGTATGGCAAAGCTAAAACCTGGAAAAAACTTAAGCATGCTCTAGCTGACCAGGTATATCTATATCATGAGACAATTGCTATATACCTTCCAAGAATGGAAAGTAAAACCAATGGAAACTGGCAACATCAAGTATTTGGTAAAAAGACTTTACTCTGAAGTTACTGTAATGCTGTAAATGTAGAATTAAACAGCCACAAAGAAACTACATGTTTCTGATTTCTAAGCACTTTTCAGGAAATTAATAAAATGGTTCTATTTAGAATGCTTATCTTAAATTAGAGCTTAACATTTATAACCTATAATAATTTTCCTTAGATGTTCTCTGAATGTACTTTCCTTTAAGGATGTAACTGTAATGTACTTTCCTTTAAGGATGTACCAATCAAATGTAAATGCTCATCTTAGTCCATTCATGAGTATGTTACAGAGAACATTATGTTTTAAAAATCTGATAAAAAATAAAAATCTACGCCTAAATATATCTCTATACTATCTAACTTCATTACTTATGACTACAAAATACTTATAAAATTGAGGTTCTTTAGAAATTAGCATAACTATGCTTTGTGGCTGACCTAATAATCAGAAATATAAAGATGCCCTATGCCAATTTAGGTCCAACTTCAAGAAGAAAGCTACCTCAACAGGAATTTCTGACATTATTATTGCTGTCAAATGATGCCATCACTACTCAAGGCTAAACAGAATGGCAATTTTTAAATTGGACCTGGGACATAACCTTTTCCCCCTTCCTTTGCTTTGATAGTATTTTCATATATTACTTAGTTCGAGTCAATAGCAAAAATGGGGGAATTTGGAAGATAAGCTTTCTCCACAGATAAGGTAGAGTGAAAGTACTTTCATGTTCCTCAGACTGGCTCAGGTTTATCTTTTTCTTTTTTTTTTCGGAGACGAGGTCCTGCTATGTTTCTCAGGCTTGTCTCAAACTCCTGAGCTCAAGCAATCTGCCTGCCTCATCCTCCCAAAGTGCTGGGATTACAGGCATGAGCCACAGGCACCCAGCTAGGCTCAGGTTTAGTATCAAATCAGTCTATTCTAGGTATTCCTTATAGTCAACACCACTTACTTTTTACTTTATTAATCTACTATTCCCTTCACTTTGGCGATTAAAAAGGTCAGTTTTGTTTAGTAAAATCCTAAAATCAATTCCACGTAATTCATGTTTAAACAAAATAATTTACATTGTTTCCTTGGAATTTACCTCTAGTCAATCATTACATAATTCTTTTATTATCTGTTTCATCTTCTAAATTCAGTTCCTTTCTTGCCATGTGCCATATTTTATCTAATTAGTTCATTTAAATGTTACTCATGTTTTAAGCCATGAGACCATGGCTTTAGTCTCACAAGCCTACTAAGAGAATATCTCTGAGGGCTAATGTGTCCACTCACCTAAGCCAGTCAAACTTGACTCTGACAAAATAGCCTCTTCTTCCAAAATTCAAGGAAATCAGAATTCTTGGTAATAAAAGATAAACAGGGGATACTGAGTATTTTAAAATTTATAGTATAGGACACACTGCTTGGGCCCAGAGAACAGTTATTTTTTAAGTTGGAAATGTGTACTGTAAGTCCATGAAGAGCCGAAGTGGATGGAAATCTCTTTGTCCTAGCATACCAGGGTTTTTGAGAAGAGCTGCAGTAATGCCCGTAAGATGTTATGTCCCCAAAGGGAGCAGTTAAGGAAACTGCTCTCATGCCATTGCATAGAAAGGAATCAGGATACCCAGAGACCACAACTCAGAAAGCTACAAGTCAAAACATTAAGACTTATTTTAACAAAGAGCCAAATGGGATAAATCTAAACAAAAAATACGTCAAAGAAGTATGCTTAAATGAAACTCACATGACCTAGCTCTAGGCATTCAACTCCCCTGTGCTTCATTTTCCTTTAAGGTCCTCACTCTAATGTTATAACTTTCCTTCTTTAGAGTCCCAAAGAGGATCGAAGTTGTCAATAAGCAGCAATGTTTTGAAAACAAACTTTTTTTTCTGAGCAGTAGACTTAAAATATTCAGTAAACCATGCCATAAACAGATGTGCTGTCATCCAGGCTTTGTTGTTCCATTTACAGAGCACAGGCAGAATAGATTTAGCATAATTCTTAAGGGCCCTAGGATCTCTGGAATGGTAAATGATCACTGGCTTCAACTTTAAGTCCCCAGCTGCATTAGCCCCTAACAAGAGGGTCAGTCCATCCCTTGAAGCTTTTATGGCAGGCATTTACTTCCCCTCTCTAGCTAAGTCCTACATGCCATCTTCTTTCAATACAAGGCTATTTTGTCTACATTGAAAAATCTGTTTAGTGTAGCCACCTTCATCAGTTATCTTAGCTAGATCTTCTGGATAACCTGCTGTGGCTTCTACATCACCATTTGCTGCTTCACCCCACACATAACCCACAGGTTATAGAGATGGCTTCTTTCCTTAAACCCCATGAACCAACCTCTGCTAGCTTCAAACTTTTCTTCTGCAGCTCCCTCACCTCTCTCAGCCTTCATAGAGTTGAGAGTTAGGGCCTAGCTCTGGATTAGGCTTTGGCTTAAGGGAATGTTCGGGCTGGTTTGATCTTCTATCCAGACCACTAAAACTTTCTCCCTATCAGCAATAAGACTGTTTTACTGGCCGGGCGCGGTGGCTCACGCCTGTAATCCCAGCACTTTGGGAGGCTGAGGCAGGCAGATCACCTGAGGTCGGGAGTTTGAGACCAGCCTGACCAACATGGAGAAACCCCGTCTCTACTAAAAATACAAAATTAGCCGGGCGTGGTGGCACATGCCTGTAATCCCAGCTACTCAAGAGACTGAGGCAGAAGAATCGCTTGAACCTGGGAGGCGGAGGTTGCGGTGAACCGAGATCACGCCATTGCACTCCAGCTTGGACAACAAGAGTGAAACTCCGTCTCAAAAAAAAAAAAAAAAAAAAGACTGTTTTACTTTTTTATCATTCTTGTGTTCACTGGAGTAGCACTTTTAATTTCCTTCAAGAATTTTTCCTTTGCAATCACGACTTGACTAACTAGCAGGAGAGGCCTAGCTTTCAGCCTATCTCGGCTTTCAACATGCCTTCCTCACTAAGCTTAATCATTCCACTTTTGATTTAAAGTGAGAGATGTGACTCTTCCTTTCACTTGAACACTCACAGGCCATTGTGTGGTTATTAATTGGCCTAATTTCAATATTATTGTGTCTCAAGGAATAGGGAGGCCTGAGGAGAGTGAGAGAGATGGGTGAATGAGTGGTTGGTAGAGCAGTCAGAACACACACATTTAAGGCTGCCACCTTATATTGTGGTGCACCCAAAGCAATTACAGAAGTAACATTAAAGTGTTACTACTGTATCACAGGTCACCATAACAGATATAGTGCTAACGAAAAAGTTTGAAATATTGCAAGAAATACCAAACTGTGACACATAGACTTGAACTGAACATGTGCTGTTGGAAAACTGGTGCAGATAGACTTGCTCAATGCAGTTACCACAAACCTTCAATTTGTAAAGAATGCAATACCTGTAAAGCTCAGTGAAGTAAACCACAATAGAACAAATAAAAGAATGCTTATATTTTAAAATATTCTATTTCCCCTATATCAGTTGACGGAAAATAAAATATTCTAACCAGGGTGATTTTTCAACCCAATTTATCCTATAAGTCTGATTATTTTGAATTTGACTTGAAAGTTGAAAAGTAAAAGTCATGTTCATAGCTAGATAATTAGTTTAATAACTTGAGCTAATCAAGCTACTTAATTATATTACAGAACTAAAAAATATTTAAAGAAATGGGGAGGGGAGCAATTTTACCTTACTAAATTTTGCTGCATATATTCAATCTTCATTAAAATCTGAACCCCAGTCTGAGAGCGAATGTAGGCTTTCAACCTGAAATAAAAACATCATATTGAAGGAAAAGCTGATTTTTAATATATTTCAAGATAGTCTTATGGAGACTAAGCATTTGTACCTAATAATACTTAAAAGTTCATGTATTTAAGCATAGAAAAGGAGATAAAGATGTTTTCTAACCAGAAATCTGAAAAGAAAATAATTTTTTTCCTTTGTTCAATTAAACATCTTAAATTTTAAAACACCTGTTTCAATAAATTAATCTGGCTATATAATTTTACAAAAATGTATCCTATTCAGTGACATTTTGTCTTACTGGCAAATATATGACTAATGATAATAACTAGGTTACCAGTTATAAGGAAAGAAACTCAACTATCATAGCTATTTTAAAGACTGCTTGATATGTGACATGGGTCTGGTTCAGTCTGGGCATGACCTTTTATCAAAAGCAAAAGAATGAGATTCAATTAGAACTGGATTAGACATTTTAGAATCCACCCAGTCTAAATTTTAAATACCAGGTTATTCTGGAACCAAACCAAGCACTCATTCACATCCCAAGCAAGTACCATCTGGTGAAAATAAAGTCAACCGGGTTTCTGCCCAGGAGCACTAATAACTCACACTCTAATAACAATCTCCGTTTTCGAGTAGTGTCTACTATATGCTAGGTCCTGTACTAGGAATTTCATATATGCTATTTCTTTTAAGCTTTGTAACAACCCTATCTAGGAAGTGTTATCATTCTTATTTCACTGATGAGAAAAAATAAGGCCTGGAAATTAAGTAACTTGCTCTTAATCACACAGCTAATAAGGGACAGAAACAGCTATTTTAACCCAGATATCCATGACTGAATCTTTCCACTATGTTATGTTAACCACTTTTGTCCATGCTGTATTTCTGGACAGGAGGCAGAGTGTACTTTACTTAGTTCTAAGAAGACTTGGCTGAAACAGGATTTCCTGTCTTTAAGTTACTTGGAAACTTTTCATTTTCAGAGTTTTTCGTTCAACCTCAAAGGTAGTTTAGTTTAAGGGTTAAGAGTAAAGACTTTGACTCCAGACTGCCTGGGTGTGAATCCTAGCTTCCCTGTTTACTAGCTATAGGATATTACTTAACCACTTCAAGGCTCAGTTTCTCCATCTGTAAAATGGGTATAATAATAATCTACTTTTCAGAGTTATTGTGAGGATTAAATGAATTAACACATTTATTACTGTCTGCTTTGAAGAGTGTCTGGAACATAGGAAACAATGAATGTCAGCTATTTCTACAGACAGACCTTCAGTAAACACCAAGAAAATGTGATAGAAAGTAAATTGTACTACACATCACATTCTAATAGTCATGGATGACCCTAATAAGTACATCAACATTTTTAATTATTTCAGAAAGTTACAATATTTTTGAAGCATACCTTTGACGAATTACAGGATCAGACTTTTCAGGATCAATGTAAGGTTTTAGGATTTCATTAATAGTTTTATCATCTGGTACTCTTTACAACAAAGAAAAAAAAACAAGCTATATTAGTATTTATAATTTTCTACTAAAGGTGTTAATTTTGAATTATTAAATATTGTGGCTTTTTTGGTTTAAATAACTGAACAAAGACCTTTTATATTACTCTTGGCAAAATAAAATATCATTTTAAGCAAAAATTACTTAGGAAAAAGCTCAAAAAGAGTTCTTGGACACACTTAAGGTCTTAAAAAACAACATTTTGAGAAGTTCTGTATAAATCAATTATAAAAATATGAAGCCTCTTAACACACACCTGTACTCAAACATGAAAAGACGAGGTCAGGATAAAATATATTTGAAACTAGCAGAAATAATAAATCTGAAAAAAGGTTTCAGATTTCAGTGCATGTTCAAATTTACTCATTCTAATTTATAAGACCAAGTTAAAAAATTGATAGTAATTTCCTTGGAAACAAAACATTTTAAGTTTTCCAACTTTCTTCCATATATGCACGCTGTTTTAAACTTATCTATAAAGCTGTATAAACAAAATTAAGACACTGTTTTAAAACAGTAACTTTCCTCAACCATTTATACATATTCATATATACTATTGGCTACATACCCCTAGATGTAAAATAAGTCTTTTCCTTGTATGCAACTCCAAATAACAAAGTTCTTCACTAAAATCCCTTTGACAACTACAAAGAGAGGATATTTATGTATAATATAGGAATATGCTAAATATACTACTTAAAGAGCAACTTTAAAATTTTCCTAAATCAAGGAATGAAATAGTTCACAAACATTAAAATGTTTTTTTTTTTTTTTTTTAATTTTTTTGTTGTTGTTGTTGAGACAGAGTCTTGCTCTGTCGCCCAGGCTGGAGTGCAGTGGCATGATCTTGGCTCACTGCAACCTCCGCCTCCTGCATTTAAGCTATTCTCATGCCTCAGCTTCCCAAGTAGCTGTGATTACAGGGGTGCGCCACTTCCCCCAGCTAATTTTTGTATTTTTAGTAGAGACGGGGTTTCACCATGTTGGCCAAGCTGGTCTCTAACTCCTGGCCAAAGGCAATCCATCCGCCTCGACCTCCCAAAGTGCTGGGATTATAGGTGTGAGCCGCTGCATCTGGCCAACATTAAAATGTTTAAATGACACTTGAAAATGTTTATAGGCTGGATGCGGTGGCTCACACTTGTAATTCCGACATTTTGGGAGGCAGAGAGGGGAGGATTGCTTGAGGCCAGGAGTTTGAGACCTGCCTGGGCAACATAGTGAGGCCTTGCCTCTACAAAACTAAACAAGATTAGCTGGGCGTGATGGCCTGAGCCTTTAGTCCCACCTACTTGGAGGCTGAGGTAGGAGGATCACCTGAGCCCAGGAGGTTGAAGCTGCAGTGAGCGGAGGTCCGCACCACTGCACTCCAGCGTGGGCAACAGAGCAAGATCCTGCCCCCACTCCCCTCCAAAAATAAAGAAAAAGAAAAGAACAAGTTTTAATATGAAACAGTAACACAAAAACTTTATGCAAATTAATTCCAATGAGTACACATATATACTTCTAAAATAATGTATTTTCTGAGTGATACACTATAATGTTAATAGTAGTAATCTTTGCATGGTAGAATTTTGGGTCATTTTTCACTTCCTTAACAACCACCCAGCTGAAGAAATAGGAAACTTTCAGCCGTCTAATTCTCCTCGGATCCCTCTCCTCAATACTTGCTTTGCTGCTAAAGAAACCATCATCAGGATTTCTATGTTAATAATTTCCCTTAGAGTTAGTTCTATCACCTTTGTAGGTATTCCCAAAAGTACACTATTTAGTTTTCTGGCTTTTTTCCCCCATATTTACAATCATGTTCTCTACATTCTTCCTTAACTTGCTTTTCTTATATTATTTCTGAGATTCATCCATGTTGATGTGCATAGCTGTAGTTCATTTTTAGTGATGTTTAGCATTTCATTGTATAAATACACCACAATTTAGTTATCCATTCTACTACTGACATTAAGTTAACAGTTTATTTTAAATACACAGCCTTCAAATTAAAACAAATCAGTGATTGAAAGATAGCAGTGATACCTTTTTTCTATGTACTCAGCTTGACTTTGAGGAAACTGGAGCTTCACATGCCAACAAAACTGTTGTTTTCTAAGAGAGAAAATAATCATGTGAGAATCAAGGTAGATAATAAAAGTCTGGATGCAAATTGAACTTTCTAAATTTTCACTTTAAGATAATTCCAAAATTATTCTTAGACTTTAACATATATTTTCTATTAAGAGCTAATTTCTCTTGCAAGGGTTATTAAGAAAGAAAAAAAAGGGAAGCAGTTCTAAATTCCAAGGACTTCACATTTCTGAATCAGAAAGCAATTTCTCATAGTTCAGGGGCTTTTGGGAGCAGTGTGCTACTATTTGAAGTTTACAAATAAATTTCCTCATGACTAAATACAATGAGCTGATGTCTTTGCTTGACTAGTCTGGAAATTAGGTGAATGAAGTATTGTCCGGTTGAGTCCAGCTGGCTGGAGATACACTTCTGAGGCATGAGTACGTGCATTCAGTAGCAAAACAGGAGACAACAAGCTGGTTGCTAAGCAGAATGCACTTTGAGCTACAGTCTTTTTGCTTTCAGGTCTAAACTTTGGTTTGACATAGCATCAACAGCAATAACTCACTAAATGTCTGATTTTAGAAAAATGACTATATTTAATATATCTAAATTTAGAGACATTGACATGATTCCTTCTTTAAAAATTCTAATGCTCAAAATATTGAATCCAATACAGAAATTTAAATGTCTTCACTACATGATGATTTTACACAATGTTTTCCTTACTTAGAAGAAATTTCTAACAATCCATTAGAGCAAGTTAATGACTACCGATATCTCCTTAAAATCTATCCCATAGCAGTAGGACCCCAAAATCTAAAATAATTTTCTTTTAATACAATCTATCTTTCACCAAACATCTATATGATTTAGTAGAATTTCTGTCAGAAGACAAAGAACATAATTTTATTGAGAACAAAGTTGAAAAGTACCCTTTACTAATCTAAAGGACAGATGTCTAAAATCTCAGAGGAAAAAACATTTAAAAATTTGAATGCAAAAGCAACAGTTACTAGTTTTAAATAAATAATTCTTCCAAAATAAAACATTTTGCAATATTCATTATCTGTGAAATAGGAATACCATAATAGCATTATCACAAGGCTGACTTTTTTTTTTTAATAAGAAATAAACAGATTTTGTTCATCTTTTTTTTTTTTTTTGAGACGGAGTTTCGCTCTGTTGCCCAGGCTAGAGTGCAGTGGCATGATCTCGGTTCACTGCAAGCTCCGCCTCCCGGATTCACACCATTCTCCTGCCTCTCTCCTGAATAGCTGGGACTACAGGTGCTCGCCACCACGCCCGGCTAATTTTTTTTTTTTTTTTTTGGTATTTTTAGTAGACACAGGGTTTCACTACGTTCGCCAGGATGGTCTCGATCTCCTGACCTCGTGATCCACCTGGCTCGGCCTCCCAAAGTGCTGGGATTACAGGCATGAGCCACCGCACCCGGCCTCATTTTGTTCATCTTAATGCATAATATAGTTTCTTCCTAAATGTATGTTTTTTCAGGTTAACTTAGGGAAAAAAAGGATTACCAACTTGCCATCTTATGGAATTGTAAACCATACTCAATCACCCCAATTCTTGCTTGAGTAATTTCAAAAACCATTCGCCTTTTAACATTTAATACACCCTGAATACATTCAGAAAGCACTTAACATTCCAAACACAGAGAGAAAAGCCCTCGGAAATCATTTTATTTGTTGTAGTTAACTAGCTCTACTTATAACAAAGTCATTCATTGCTATACATTGCCAAATTATTGATAAAAATATTTCTATATTTGGCCTCAGCTCACACATGAACAAATCTGAAAAGTACACTAACTTTTAAAATGTGATCTTCCAATATTTCAAAAACAAAGAAAAACAGAATAATGTAAAGAACACTCAATGCACCCATATTCAGATTTAACTCATTTACAAATTGCCGTATTTTTGAGGTACTTTTATTTCTTCTAAGAAATAAAGGGCTATTGATAACAGTAGATGATTCTTTATATGTACTTTAACCCAAGGTGGGCAAACAGAAGTTGAAGGGTGTTGTATAAAGAACTGCTGGGGATGGGCGCAGTGGCTAAAGCCTGTATAATCCCAGCAATTTGGGAGGCCAAGGTGGGCGCATCGTTTGAGCCCAGGAGTTTGAGATCAGCCTAGGCAACATGATGATACCCCATCTCTACAAAAAATACAAAAATGAGCCAGGCATGGTGGCGTATGCCTATAGTCCCAGCTACTCTGGAGGTTGAAGTGGGAGAATCACCTGAGCCCAGGAGATTAAGGCTGCAGTGAACTGCGACTGCGTCACTGCACTTCACCTGGGTGACACAATGAGACCCTGTTTCAAAAAAAAGAAAAAATTGCTAGGCCAGGCAAGGTGGCTCACGCCTCTAATCCCAGCACTTTGGGAGGCCAAGGTGGGCAGATCATGAGGTCAGGAGATCGAGACCATCCTGGCTCACATGGTGAAACCCCGTCTCTACTAAAAACACAAAAAATTAGTCAGGTGTGGTGGCATGTGCCTGTAGTCCCAGCTACTCGGGAGGCCGAGGCAGGAGAATCACATTGCTTGAACCCGGGAGGCGGAGCTTGCAGTGAGCTGAGATTGAGCCACTGCATTCCAGCCTGGGCGACAGAGCAAGATTCCGTCACAGAAAAAAAAAAAAAAAATTGCTGAAATGGGTGAGTTAATTTTCTCTAAAATGGTTTCCAATTCTTCAGTATTGCTGAAATTACTGTAAGTCCTGACATGTGTTCTTCTTAAGACTGAAAGAATTAAGCTTGTTTCTCATTTTTTTATAATTATATATACAAATATATGTCCCACTTAAAAAAATATACATACATCAAAATCCTAGCAACATTACTTGGATTACTTTCTAAAGCTAGATTCCAAGAAGTACAATCACTAAGACAGAGCAGGGTTTCTCAATCTCAGCAGTGCTGATATTTTGGACTAGATAATTCTTTGCAAAGGACTTGGTCCTTTGCACTGCAGGACGTTTAGCAGCATCCTAGGACTCCACCCTCTAGATGAGTGTTCCACTAGGAACACTCATACACCCAGTTGTGGCCACCAAAAATGCTCCCAGAAATTGCAAATGTCCCCTGGAAGCAGAATCATCACTGTTTGAGAACCACAAGGATAAAGGTTTGAACATTTACAATTACTCCTAATGCATTAGAGCTACTGTTCCCTAAATTCAACAAAATGCCTTCAACTACAATAATGTCACTATACCCTTGGCATATCAACGTTCTCAAAAATGGTATTACTATACCTAGTATATTCTAGGTAACTTAGGGACTCCAAGATACCATGTTTAGAGTTGGGTGATAAGACTGGTGGAGTAATTGTGGCAACTTAATCCTTATGTTCCCTTCTGGACAATCTGACAAAGCAACAGAAACACTAACCTCTTCTGAGTCCTATGAAACCCAAGTAACTATTCATGCATAGCAAAGCTGTTTCCCTCTCCTCCTCTAAATATCAATACACACATGCATTCTCAATGAGGGCAGCATGGCCCCAAAGAGGGCAAAAACTGGTTCTCTGAAGGGCCAACAAAATCTTGCTATTTTAATGCTTGTGGCCCTACAAAGGGCTACTGTATGCAACAGATATACAGTGTATCTATGGTATCAAAATATCACGGCAGAAAGCTCCTTGGGAGGCAATAATAAAAAAAAAGTTGAAAAATACTTAGATGGCACTTGTATTAAATGAGGAAAATAAATATTTTATACTCATTTTCAGTGAGTTAATACAGAGCACTTATTTACCAACACTTGCTTACTAGAAACTGTTAAGGATCAGTCTCTCCGTGGCCCATTTGTTTACAAAAATAGAAAGAAAAGGGATCATTCTCTCCCACAGTTTCAAGAAAGTATGTGGATGAACACACACATTTAAGGAAAGAGGTTCTATAACCATAATCTAAATTATTCTTTTGACTTCATAACTTCAAATTGCAAATTTTCGTATGGGGAATACTACCACAATCCCAAGGAAAAAGATGCAAATCAAAAGTCATTAGGTCCTTTTAAATGGCACTGCTCTAATGTCACAATAAGATGTTCAAATTCATTAATAACCAAAGAAATGTATATATAAATAAAATATTTTTCCTTTTCAGGTTTGTAGAAATGTTTTTTAAATTAGAAATACTAAGGAAGTGTGGCAAAAGTGTGGCAACTTCATTGCTGACAGGAATATAAATTGGTGCAAGCTACTGGTAGTTCAATTTCATAAAAGCTATAAATAAAAATTTGTAATTGAAAAACTGTATATTTTTGCCTCAATAGTTTTATTCCTGGAAATGTATCCCAAGGAAATAATTGGTCAAGTAATGATATATATATAAAATGTCCACTGCACCACTTTATATAATAGAAAAAAATTAGAAACAACCTAAATGTACATCATCAGAAAGTTGATTAAATAAATCATGGTACATCTACATAATGAATTTTAAGTAGTCATAAAAGATGAGGCAGAACTTTATGTACTGATGTAGAAAAATGTGCATGTTGAATGATAGCCTTTATATTTAAAACACAGGTTTATACATATATTGGCAAGTATGAAGGCCATACCCCAAACTTTTAGCTATGATTATTTCTTGACATTATAAAAGGACTTGACTTAATTTTTACCTACGAATATGTCTGTATTATTAAATAAATCTTCCACATAATGATTTGTGGGCTTTTTTTTCCTTTTTTGAGACAAGGTCTCACTCTGTCGCCTGGGCTGGAGTGCAGTGGCCAAAAAGGGTTTGCTGCAGCCCTGACTTTCTGGGCTCAAGTGATCCTCTCGCCTCAGCCCCTGCAAGTAGCTACCACAGCTGGCTGTATTTTTGAATTTTAGTAGAGACAAGCTCTTGCTATGTTGCCCAGGCTGGTCTCCAACTCCTGAGCTCAAGTGACCCTCCTACCTTAGCCTCCCAAAGTGCTGAGATTACAGGTGTGAGCCACCGTACCTGGCTGATTTGTTACTTTTCATAATCAGTAAAGTCAAAGATGCATTCATGGGCGCATACAGGATGGCAGTGATAGAAAGAACAGGAATAATTTTAACATTCTTTTTTTTTTTTTCTTTTTTTTCTTGAGATGGAGTCTCGCTCTGTCGCCCAGGCTGGAGTGCAGTGGTGCGATCTCAGCTCACTGCAAGCTCCACCTCCTGGGTTCACACCATTCTCCTGTCTCAGCCTCTCTAGTAGTTGGGACTACAGGTGCCCGCCACCACACCTGATTAATTCTTTGTATTTTTAGTAGAGACGGGGTTTCACTATGTTAGCCAGGATGGTCTCAATCTCCTGACCTTATGATACGCCCGCCTCGGCCTCCCAAAGTGCTGGAATTACAGGTGTGAGCCACCGCACCCACCCTTAACATTCTTTTTAAACTTAAACATATTTCACTATTAGAAGTATTCATTTAAGAATTCTCTTTTGCCCCCTTTGAGAAAAAAAATATATATTTCTCTTTTTTATCTTAGAAACTAGTACTGAACCAGAACGAGGGTTACCTATCTCATCATTTTGATGGTCTCAAGGCTATCTTCCTAAGAAATGTGCCACAACTAAGAGTTACAAACGGAGGCTAAACTCAAAGAATGAAGATTTCTAATACAAAGTTTAAAGAAGCTTGAATATTTCTGTTCTTTTTTTTTTAATCACCAATTCTCATCCCACTCCAACACTGATTAACCAACATATACCCAAAGAACACTAACGAGAGCTCACTAGACATTAAGGACAAAGAGACCAACAAGGAGATGAGTCCAACACGGACTTCTTTTTAGGGCAGCAAGTCAATCACCAATGTTGGGCACTGCATTTTTCCCTCCATTTCACAATTTTCATATGAAAGCTTCCTGTTCTTTATTGACACTGTACATAGCAAGAAGGCTCAATATACTATAAGGTCCAGAGGTAGGATGGGGGAGAGGTTAAGTGGACTTTGCGTTTGAATCCCATTTTAATAATTTATTTCTTAACATGTTCTTCAGCAAGAGACAATCTCTCTGTACCTCAGGCTTCTCATAGTAAAACAGGGATAACAACGGTATTTCTATCACAATTAAATGAATAAATAATATATCAAGAGTTTAGAGGCCGGGCATGGTGGCTCATTCCTGTAATCCCAGCACTTTGGGAGGCCGAGATGGGTGGATCACTTGAGGTCAGGAGTTCGAGACAAGCCTGGACAACATAGTGAAACCCCACCTCTACTAAAAATACAAAAAACAAAAAAAAATTGCCAGGATTGGTGGCGCTCAACTGTAGTCCTAGCTACTCAGCAGGCTGCGGCAGAAGAATCACTTGAATCCAGGAGGTGGAGGCTGTAGTGAACTGAGATTGTGCCACGGCACTCTAGCCTGGGTGACAAGAGTGAGAAGACTATCTCAAAAAACAAAAAAAAAACAAAAAAAAAAAACAATTTAGAACCCAGTACTCAAAAATGTTACTATCAAATACCGACAGTGTCTTTAAACAGAGTATTTTGCCGTGATTTCATAAGCAAACTCTATTCACATTAAACTTAGTGTTTAGTGGCTAGAGATGAAACTAGACACATTAATACCAGATTATAAAGGGCCCTGAATGCTCTGCTAAGCAGTATGGATTCTATCTTGTAATTAATGCACCATTAACAAAGGTTTTAAAAAACAGTGAATTGAAGGGCTTACAGGGAGATTCATCATCCTACTACTTAACTCTCCTAATAAGTGTTTCCATAGTATATTCAGGACATTAACTTTTTAGCCCTTGTTTATAGTTATTAAGAGAAGTATTTCCAACTACTTTTGAGAATCACATTGACATATCATGTCAATTCAAATATGCTTAAAATTTTTACTTCTGATTTTTAAACACAGGTGACTCCATGAGGTAAGCTAAAGCTAGACATTCCACATGTCTGTTTTCAGAATACTGTATCACTAATTACATTAGAAATGTCTACAGGTTCCATCCTGGCCAACATGGTGAAACCCTGTCTCTATCAAAAATACAAAAATTAGCTGGGTATGGTGGCGTGCGCCTGTAGTCCCAGCTACTCGGGAGGCTGAGGCAGAAGAACTGCTTGAACCCCGGAGACAGAGGTTGCAGTGAGCCGAGATCGTGCCATTGCACTCCAGCCTGGTGACAAAGTGAGACTCCGTCTCAAAAAAAAAAAAAAAAGAAATGTCTACAGGTTATAAAAAACTACCAGTAAACTGTTTTACCAGAGAGCACAGCAAGTAGCAATAGTAAATAACAATAGTTTGTTTTAAAAGCTTTTAATGTCAGGCATGGTTCTAAATGTATGTATTAACTCCTTTAATCCTTATAATTCTATGAGGTAAAATATTATTATTTCATTTTACAGATGAAAACACTAAGGTAGAGAAAAGAAAGTCACTCCTCCAAGGTCATTATTCAGCTGGAAAGTAGCAGAGCTGCTGGGATTTGAGCCCAGGCAGTGCTTCCTCTTAACTCTAGAGTCCATACTCTGATCTGCTATATTATTACGAGCTTTCTAGAATTGAAAGTTCAAAAATAAACTATGTATTTTTCTGTACTGCGAATTCAAGTGTATCTCAGTTACTTTTTATTTTAAATATCTGCCTCCATATTTTAAAATCATTTTTAAAAGGTATAGTAGACATTTTGACTATTTACTTCGCAATCGTTCCCTACCTCTCACCACCATCCTTCGTAATCCATAACCATACCTTAATGAATGAACTCTATGCCTACCCTCTAGGGGTGTACATTATGACTTAAGAAAATCAACATACTTTCCTGGACACAATGGCTCCAGACTGGGCAGATTACGTAGGCAGCCTAATCATGGTGAAGTTCAGGTTTTCTGTTTAGTAATGTTGGGAGAGAAGCACTCTGTCTGGATATTTACTATAACCCAAACTGTTACCAGCAATATCCTATGACTATGAGGATTACATGGACACCATAAAGGACACAATAAAGAATCAGAAAAAAAAATGGGTCCTTGATGATATAACCAAGTTGCTGTAATTGAAGTCCATCTACCTCTGAACATTCAGTTATGAGAGTCAAAATGTCCTCTGTATATAGCTCAAATCTGTTTAAACTGAGTATTCTATTTCATGCAACTATAAAGCAACCTAACTGATACAAGGGATTGATACAAACATTTCTGCTATGTTTCTCTTTCATTTATAAGCAATAGAAAAAGAAGAGACACTAAAATTGTCAACTTGTATGACATCTGGAAGCAGCGAATAATACCTGATGAAATTTCAGGAAAAAAATTTGTTCTACTGTCAGCTATAAAATCTTAATTTAAAGCTGAAAGAAAATATAACAAATTTTGAACTCTTCAAGAAAAATACAAAATCTATAAAATACCTACATAATCCTTCATTCACAGGCATTTAATCTTTTAAAATGTATTCCAAGGTGAAAATCTGAAGTCTCTCAAAAATAAATGGAATCATTCCTTATAAAAATAATCTATTTTATTAGGATTAGTACCATGATAAGTGTTTTTTGGAAGTATGAATACAAAGAATCTGTTTAATTATTTGGTATAGATTAAATGACTAGAATTTGGGAGAATGAAAACCATAATTTTATGTCTCACATCATTATGTAAATACTTTGGGAAGTAATAGTTATATATTTTTGTCCTTTTAAAAATTAGTACCACTACTGCATGAAAATAATAGGAAAAAGGTTAACTATGTGGTATTGGCTTTAGTAGAAAGTATATTAAGAAAATGGATATAGCAGGTGAAGACGGAAATGAAATGAAAAAGAACCTTTTTACTTCCAAAAATTGATGAATACTTGAGTACTTAAGCAGTTCTCAACTGGGAGGGCTGGGAGTATGGGGACAGTTGGAAATGGCTGGGCAGTTTTGGTTGTTCCAAGACTAGGGAGCACTTGAGGATTTAGTAGGTAGGGGGCAAGGAATGGGAAATTCCTACAATGTATGGGAAAGCCCCACAAAACAAAAAAACTGTCCCATTCAAAAATGCCAATAGAGCCCCTACTAAGAAACACTAGAAAGTAGAAAGGAGACCAGATATATGCATACCAAAAATGAATACCAGCACTAAATGCTAGCATCTGTTTCATATTAACTGCGGAGAAAATATGTACTATAGGAACCTAGGTAAAAGAGACATAATGGAGAAGATAAGCTATCATGTGTACTCTCACAGATGGCTAGAATATATGGAATAAAAAGACATTCTAGGATTTAGAATGGTGACCAGCCTGGGAACATTTAGTTGAATACATTAGGAAATAAGGTGGAGAGAGACTATAAAGATCCACATTCAGATATGGATCACTCGTACGAACAGGAAGATTTCCTGCTCAAAGTATGACTCTACCTAAACTCCCTGGCATGGCAGAGTGGGCCTCTCTCCAGCCTCATCTCCTATCGCTCACCAAACCCCCACTGGTTTTTAGGCACACCAAATTACTTACATTGTGCTAACTTTGCTACACTATGCTTTTGCTTCTGATATTCTCACCACCAGAACCATCTTTCCCTCTGTCTAGATAAAAACCTAGAAATAAAAACTATTTCTCATCCTTAAAAACATGCTCAAATTCTATCTTCTCTAGGAAGTCTTTCCTGTTCCCTGCTCTCAGTGAGTAACACTTCCCTCGAAAGGCTGGGGCAGGGAGTCCTCCTCTGTGCTACCATACCCCATGAGTACTCCATCACAACACTAACTATACTATGTTTTAAGAGTTTGCAGTCTTGTCTGCCCACTGACTGAACTAATTGAGAATAAGGTCATTGACTTATAGGCACACAGATCAGTGGTTTTCAGGTAGAGGTAAACATCAGAATCATCTGGTGCTTTTTAGAAGTAAAGATGTCCTTGGCTGGGCGGGGTAGCTCACACCTGTAATCCCAGCACTTTGGGAGGCTGAGGCGAGCGGATCACTTGAGGTCAGGAAGTCGAGACCAGCCTGGCCAACATGGTGAAACCCCATCTCTACTAAAAATACAAAAATTAGCCAGGCGTGGTGGGGCTTGCCTGTAATCCTAGCTACTCAGGAGGCTGAGGCAGAAGAATCACTTGAACCCAGGAGGTGGAGGGTGCAGTGAGCCGAGATCGTGCCACTGCACTCCAGCCTGGGTGACAGACCGAGACTCCATCTCAAAAAAACAAGTTCTGCTGGTCAAGCCCGGGTATCTATTCTGCATTTTGAAATTGCCTCACAGTTAATTCTGGCATGCACTATAAACTGAAAACCACTAGTCATAAAACTGGTACTATTACTGTCTCCATCTTACAGATAAGGCAATAGGCACAGGGAAATAAGTAACTTGCCAAGAAAACTTCCTCTCAAAGATTAAATAAAATTTGTTATGTTTAATAAAAAATAAACATTCAAGAAATATTAACTATATTGTGATTCCTCCTTTAAAAAGCAAATACAACGAAGATGACTTACTCTGTTTTGTTTAATGAGGAATACTTGAAATGAATTATATTTCCAACTGTCTGGGAAGTAGCAACTTCAAATGAGAGGGGGATAAGAAGGAGTTAACCTCAGGCTACGGAATGGAGTACAGACAGTACAAGACTCAAAAATGAGATGACAAATTTCATCTACTGGCAATGCTGCCTCTGGCCAATTGAGATATCTCTGAGCTAATGACTTTTGTGGGCACAGAAGCTTAAAGGATTCTAAGTAGCTGACCATTATGGTGAGAACAAGTTTTAGAGAGGTGTATCTAACAGATAGGCTGGGTACACTGGCTCACGCCTGTAATCCCAGCACTTTGGGAGGCCGAGGCAGGCGGATCACCTGAGGCCAGGAGCCTGGCCAACACGGTGAAATCCCAGCTCTACTAAAAATATATAAATTAGCAGAGCGTGGTGGTGCAAGCCTGTAGTCTCAGCTCCCTGAGAGGCGGACGCACAAGAATCATTTGAACCCAAGAGGCGGAGATTGCAGAGCGCTAAGATCACGCCACTAACTACAGCCTGGGTGACAGAGTAAGACTCTGTCTCAACGCCGGGTATGGTGGTTCATGCCTGTAATCCCAGCACTTTAGGAGGCCAAAGCGGGTGGATTACCTGAGGTCAGGAGTTCAAGACCAGCCTGGCCAACACGGTGAAACCCTGCCTCTAGTAAAAATACAAAAATTAGCCAAGTTTGGTGGCGCGCACCTATAATCCCAGCTTCTCAGGAGGCTGAGGCAGGAGAATCGCTTGAACCCGGGAGGCAGATGGGGTTCTTCAACAGTCCAGAGTGAGGTAAGAAGGGCCTGCATAGGACACTACAGCTGATAAATGCTGCGGTCAAGGAGGCAGTAAGAAAGGGACACATTTTAGAGGCATATCACAAAGGATGGACTTGGTGACTGGGAAAAGGCTTCCTTAACTGAATCAGTTCGGGAACCTCAAGATGATCGAGTGTTTGGCTTTACATTTCTATGAATGCTGGCTAATTATTGCTGTGGAAAGTTACACCCTCTGTGATGCTGTGTCACAAGAACTCCCTTACCACTGTCTGCATGGCTGCAGTAAGTAGAGGCCCAATTGGGGAACCATTAGGATTCTATTCTTCCACACTATTTTTCTAAATCCTTGCTGTTGTTCTGAAATTCTTCCATCAAACCATATCAAAGCTATTATGGCAGAGAAACCACAGAGCTGTCAATCAGTTGACAAGTCTGTACTGGGCACCTATTATATAATCCCCCAAAGCTCACAGCAAAATCCACTTGTCTCCTCATGACCACAACTGCTAAACCCATCATTTCATTTTCCTTTACTCTTTTCTAAAGCCAATTTGCAGCAAAGTACAAACCTATACTACTTATATTTATAGGATACCATGTTAAAAAAAAAAAAAAAGTCCTGTGCTTTTAGAAGTACATTACCACATAACTGTTTAAGGAAAAAAGTGCTACTGACATTAATACAGGGGTAAATAGGTATATTACTGCAATATAATAAGGATGATGTAATTTTATCCAAAGAACAAAAAGTAATTTTTTGAATTCATAAAAGCTTTGTTATTTCTTTACAAGAGGGACACCTAGTGGCTTGCTTCTAAAACAGATTGAAGCTCTTAAATATTAAGTTGTTTAGTAATAGGCGCACCTCTATTATCTTCATACTGTAAGTAAAAGACAGACACACAAACACAGAGCTAAAGAACCCTAGTTCAAAAGAATAAATTGAAAAGTTAAGGACTTTCAGTTCTAAGCTGTTAGTGGTAGAAGAATGGTAAGCAGAAGAACTGGATTGTTAAGAACTGAGGGCCAATATCATTTGGAGACAAATGTGGGGATAAGAAGGTCAAAAATTGGGTCCATTTCTGAGGAAATGGGTGGTTAGTCCACACAAAAGAGTCCAAGCAGACAGCAGTACCAGACTTACACAACTTCAGATACTGGGATTATTTACACAGATGAGAAGTGTTCTAAATTACTGAAGAAAAAAAGGAAGCTTACAACGTGAGTGAGTAAGTAATACAATTCTGTCTAAAAGATGAGAAAGATTTGGGAAAGAAACAGAGGTTCCAGGGAAAAATAAACTAAAAAACAAACAGTGCATAGACTAAAAATATGATTAATTAGACAACTGAGGAGGGAAAGTGACTTGGACAATATAGCTGAACAAGTTACTTGGAATGTAGCAAAGACAAAGAAATTAAGATAACTTACTACTTTTCCAGAATTGTCATATTTAGACAGCAGAACAAATCTCAAGGAATAAAAATAAAAAGAAATAGCACTGCAACACACATCATAGAAACTGCAGAACTCCAAAGACAATATTGAATATTTTCAAAGCAATCAGAAGAGAAAAGAAGGAAGACTATGTATAAAACAACACTGTTCTCAATAGTGGCAAAAGAAGTGAGAAGTCAACGGAATATATAAATTAACTGAGTTCTAAAATAAATGTCAACTTAAGATATTTCATATGAAGCTAAACTATCATTCAAAAGGGGCTGGGCGTGGGGGCTGATGCCTGTAATCCCAGTACTTTGGGAAGCCGAGGTGGGAGGACTGCTTGAGGCCAGGAGTTCAAGACTAGCCTGGGCAACACAGCAAGATGCTGACTCTATTTTTTAAAAAGTAAAAAACAGATAAACAAAAAACAAAAGTAAGAGTGAGCTGTCTGACTATATATGAAATTTTAAAACAGGCAAAAGAAATGTACAGGGGGAAAAAAGGACAGGCTGTCTCTAAGGAAGAGAGGAAATGACAAGAAAAGTCTTTCTGGGGTGATGGTAATGTTCTATTTATTCACAGGCACTGGATTATACAGGTGCATGTATTTGTCAAAACTCAGCAAATGTACATACTTAAGATTTGTGCATTTCATTACGTGTAAATTTTACATCAACAGACAAAAATGCAAACTACGGAACTCTAGTTAACGATGCTTAAGTATTCAGGGCCCAGTAGAGGGATGCCTGCATTTAATCTGAAATGCACCAAAAATAAAATGGGTTAATGGATGGATAAATATCTGATAAAGCAATTATTGTAAAATATTGATGACAGAATTTAGGTGATGGATATATAAGCATTCACTGCAAAATTTTCAACTTTATGTTTCAAATTTTTCGTTTTTCTTTTTTTTTTTGAGACGGAGTCTCGCTCTGTCACCCAGGTTGGAGTGCAGTTGCACAATCTTGGCTCACTGCAAGCTCCGCCTCCCAGGTTCACACCATTCTCCTGCCTCAGCCTCCCGCGTAGCTGGGATTACAGGCGCACGCCTCCACGCTCAGCTAATTTTTGTATTTTTAGTAGAGACGGGGTTTCACCATGTTAGCCAGGATGGTCTCAATCTCCTGACCTCGTGATCCGCCCGCCTTGGCCTCTCAAAGTGCTGGGTTTACAGGCATGAGCCACCACGGCTGGCCTCAAATTTTTCATAATAAAATATGGGAAAAAACTTTAAATAGGTAAAACTAATCTATAAAATTCAAAGTTAGGGGAAATAGGAAACTTGGGAGGAGGTGGTAGGTATTCCCATAGGGGGCAGTAAAGACTTCTGGGGTGCTGGTAATGTTTTTGATCTTGGTACATTAATGATTTGTGTGCTTTTTTGGTATGTACTGTATTTCCATTAAAAAATGAAAATAAGATGGGCACAGTGGCGCACATCTGTAATCCCAGCACTTTGGGAGGCTGAGGTGGGTGGACTGCCTGAGCTCAGGAGATCAAGACCACACTGGGCAACATGGCAAAACTTCCTCTCTACTAAAACACAAAAAAATTAGCTGGCATGGTGGCAGGCACCTACAGTCCCAGCTACTGGGGAGGCTGAGGCAAGAGAATTGCTTGAACCCAGAAGATGGAGGTTGCAGAGAGAAGACTGAGATTGCACCACTGCACTCCAGCCTGGGTGACAGATGGAGACCCTGTCTCCAAAAAAAAAGATGAAATAAAGATATTTTAAGACAAAAACTGAAAAAGCATATTTTTATGAGACTGTCACTAAAGAAATCTTAAAAAGGAGAACAAAATGATCCTAAAAAGGTCTGAAAAAATGTTTAAAAAGGAACAAAAATACTGGTATATATGTGGGTAGATTATACTTTTGTCCATTTTACTGATGAGGAAAATGAGATATAGAGTTAAAGCCACAAAACTAGTAAACATCAGAGCTGGCATTTGAAGCCACTATATTTTGTTCAGCTTCAGAAAAAAACAAATAATTGATTAAAAGAAACAGAGATCAAAGAGACATTTCTCCCATGGTTATATACTTGGAGACCACTGGTTAGAGTAACATGTAATGCCCTTAAAGAAAGTTCAGCAAGATTCTAAGAGCTATTTCTTAGCATGTCCTTAATCAACATTAACAGCTTCAGTCCAAACTCTACTACCAGAGGGGACAAAACAACATGGTTCAGGCCGGGCGCGGTGGCTCACGCCTTTAATCCCAACACTTTGGGAGGCCGAGGCGGGCGGATCACAAGGTCAGGAGATCCAGACCATCCTGGCTAACAGGGTGAAACCCTGTCTCTACTAAAAATACAAAAAATTAGCCAGGTGTGGTGGCATGTGCCTGTAGTTCCAGCTACTCGGGAGACTGAGGCAGGAGAATGGTGTGAACCCGGGAGGCAGAGATTGCAGTAAGCTGAGATCGTGCCACTGCACTCCAGCCTGGGTGACAGAGCAAGATTCTGTCTCAAAACAAACAAAAAACAGCATGGTTCATCTGTGAAGTTTTTCTTATCTAACAGACACAAAGTATATATCAAATAGAACTCATATTTAAGCTGATTCCCAAAGGGATTCAGATCCAAATAATCGCTAATTTATTAACTGCATTTTTTTTTTTTTTTTAGAGACAGGGTCTCACTCTGTCGCCCAGGCTGGAATGTAACGGTGCAATCATGGCATTCACCATCACACCTAGCTAATTTTTAAATTTTCTGTGGAGATGGCATCTTGCTTTAGAAACACCAATTTAAAGTGAGCTTCCTAATCTTTCAGACAATTGTTTTAAACTCCAATTCTTTTTTTTCACTGAACATGTCATGGATAGTATTCCATGACAATACTTCTACGTCTAATTGTTTTTGCTTAATGGCTGCATGGAATTCCATGGTATGAAGGTGCCATCATTTACTTAACTCAGTCCATACTGAAGGATACTTTAGGTTGGTGCCAGTTTTTACACTACTAAAAACAATACTGCAATAGATATATGTGTACATATATCTCCTGACTATAGATCATCTACAAATACGTTTGTAGGCTAAATTCCTTGAGTACTTACTTATAACATTTTAAGATGTAATATACATTTTATACAATAAAATATATAACATTCTGAGAAACATTACCAAATTGCCTTCTAAAAATGACTGTACCAATTTAACTATCAACAATGGAAGAGGAAAATGGCCTGGTTAATCCATACTTTCATTATATTAGATATTATTATAATGTTTATCAGCTAAATACCATGTATGTACACATATCTTTCTATGACCATCTATTCTTTTTTTTTTTTTTTTTGGAGACAGAGTCTGGCTCTGTCTCCCTGGCTGGAGTGCTGGAGTGCAGTGGCGCAATCTCGGCTCACTGCAAGCTCCGCCTCCCAGGTTCACGCCATTCTCCTGCCTCAGCCTCCCGAGTAGCTGGGACTACAGGCGCCCGCCACCACGCCCAGCTAATTTTTCGTATTTTTTTTTTTTTTTAGTAGAGACGGGGTTTCACTATGTTAGCCAGGATGGTCTGGATCTCCTGACCTCGTGATCCACCTGCCTCAGCCTCCCAGAGTGCTGGGATTACAGGCGTGAGCCACCGTGCCCGGCCAACCATCTATTCTTATCCTCTGCCCCTTTCCTAATTAGTTGCTAGTCTTTTTTTCTTAATAATGCATAAGCACTCTGTGTCATATATGTTAAAGACTTTTTTGGTCCAGTCTTTTCACTTTATTATGGTCTTTTTTGCCATGCAAATTTAGTTATTATTTTCCTTTTGGCTTCTGGATGGGATGTTTCTTCTCTTCAAATTATGAAAATATTCCAGTATTTTTATTTCATTTTAAGATTTTGATCCACCTGGATGTTATTTAGTAAAAGATTCAGCATTTCCTCTCAAATGGCAAGCTGTTTCAACTCTATTTATTGAATAAGCAATTATTTGTACTAATTTGAAATGTTACCTTGATCATATACCAGCAAACCAAATATACTATTTATTTTCTATGATCTAGTTACAGATTTCTAGGCCAACACCATAAAACTACTATAATTTCATAAATTTTAATGAATCCAGCCTCATCATTCTTTTTTCAGATTTTTCCAGGCACCTCTGCCATGTTATTCTTCAAAATAAACTTCAGTTATTTATGAACTGTCTTATTAATAAATAACAACAAACAAAATCCCATTGATATTCTGACTAGGATTGCATCAGACTTAAAAGATCACTTAAGAAACAATATTGAGCTTTTTAAGAATATGGCACTTTTTTCCATTTATTCAAATCTTTTAAGTCATTCAGGAGAATTTACATTTTCTTCATATAGGTCTTTCATATTTCTTTCAACAGATTTGATTAGTACTGGGTGAAAGTGAACATAAAGCTATAGACCCTACAAAGAGGTGAGGTAAAGGAATTACCTCTGAAAAAGCCACTATTTTAAAGTAGCTTGGGATCTACTCCAAAATAAGGAGGAGAGCCAACATTTCCTTATCAAGCTTCTCTATTTTTAACAGAGAATGTCAACCTTGCTTGGGCTCAACTTACATAAGCCTCCCTGAACTGAACTTTATTGATTACAGCTATCCACTGTGGTACTCCTGCAAATTCCTCTAAAATAGTCCTCTAAAATTCATCCTCATTGCATCTATTTTTGACTTCACAGACTTCACCTCACTTTGACTATTCAGTGAAAATTGCAGTACTTATTCTTAGAAAAATTCACACATCACATAATTTCACATATAATTTTAGGAGAGTCAGTGAAAATGCCTGCCATAAAGGGTGTCTGGATTAGAATGAACCTATCCCAGTCAGCTGCTACAATCACCTTCTGATAGGTCTACAGAGTAATTCAGGTACAATGGCACATTCATCACACTTCATATACGGGCTTTTACATTTAAAACTTTTTTTAAAAAAAATAAATGTAGACTTTATAGAAAAGTTACAAAAACAGTACAAAAGATTCTTCATTCAGATTCCTCAAAAGTGAAAACATGTAAATTTTAAGCGACATCAACTTGAGATTTTGACTATATTGCAACTCAAGTTGCTTAAACAAGCAATCAATTTAATACCTAGGGAGTATTAATAATCTTAGGACAAGACCAACTTCTCATATCAACAATTCCAAAATCTCCAAAACTGAAAGATTTTTAACTCCTTCAGCAGCAAAACCTAACTGAATAAATCTATAGTCATTATTTACCCATTATAAGGTAAACATTTATAGGTTTCACTGCACAAATAGTACTGTTTGATTACACAGTGCTATCCCAGACCTATGAGGGGTGAATGGAATATACAGTAAATGTGGCATATTCCTAAGGATTTCAGTGAAGGGAATGTAAATTTTCATTGTCACTGTATATTATTTAGTATGTGCCAGGTACTACTTTAGTTGGTATTAAAATTTCATTTAATCCTCTCAATAACCTGGTAAGTCAGATTTTGCCCAAGGTCACCTAATGTATAATCAAATAGTAGAGACAACATGAAAATTTACATTTATCAGAGTCAAAGCTATAACCAACTTTTGAAAAGTTAATAGAAAAAAGTATTGAAAACTAGTCTCTTAGAATACTGGGGGCATGGGAGCTGAACAGAATTCTTTGAAAAAATTTCATTTCCCCTTCTTCCCTCTTTCCAGCAAATACCATTGCAATCATCTAAAACCTTGCTCATTTTCATATGAACAGCTGATAAGACACAAATATCTCAAACAAAGTAACTCTTAAATGTCTATTTTTTCCTCTTAAAGGTGAAGTATAAAACACCAGAATCCTGATTCTGTCTACATTATGTTAATTATCTGGACCAAGAAAAGATTAGAACTATACATTCAATAAGTACATCTTCTGTATTTATGTAAATCAGTGCTTTTCAAATGGGGGTGATTCTGCCTCCTGCAGTGGACATCTGGCAATGTCTTAACAAGAAATTAAAAATCCAAGAGCTCAACCTCTCTAATAAAGCTGCCCACAAAAAAATTTGGTAATATTCAACAAAAGTTAAGGTATAACTAAAATAGGCACTCATACTTTCTTGATGAAAGTACAAAGTGGTAATGTTTTATGGAGACAATGTAGAGTTTTTCTCAAAAGTTTAAATACATTGTACTCTCTAATCCAGTAATTCCGCTTTCTAGGAATTGATCCTACAAAAAAAAGTCAGGTAAGCACACAAAACAATTTGTTCAAGGCTGTTTAATACCGTGTTATGTATAATAATTAAAAACAAGACATAAAATAAATGTTCATGAATATCGGAATAATTAAATGAAATGAGATATAGTCAAAGGTGGAATACCCTATTTAAAAAGAATGAGGCAGATTTGCATTAACAAGAAAAGAGGTTCACAATGTATTGCTAAATGGAAAATCTAGCTGCAGGAAAAAAGGAGGTGCATTTATTCATAAAAAATTAATGTTTAACTTGAGCAGAGTCATGTCACTTTATATAGTTTTAAGTATTTTATATTATGTTTTACTTTATTAGATGAAAAAAGGAGAAAACATGATTAGAAGGAAATGTTACGAAATTTTATTAGTGGTCAACTCTAGATAGTGGAATTATAGGTGATATTTTTCCTTTAAACTTTTTAATGATACAGATGTATTATTTTTACAATAGCTACTATAAACTGATTCCTTCCCACATGCCAGTTACTGCCTATGTGAATTAATACACTAAAAGGCCACAACTCTACAAGGTAGCTATCATGAGCTCCATTTTGCAGACGGTAAAAGACTAAGAAATGGATTCTAAAGCCTATTAGTACATACTATGTTGCTAATCTCCTCCTGGGAAACACTAAAAATGTAAGAAAACTGATCACAAATCTCTATAAATTTATGAGCAAAAGACTTATGCAAGAAGAATCTGATTTGCCATTTCAGAGACCCGGGGAGTTTCAAAACAACCAAAAATATATTAAACCTGGAAAATATACTGAGTGTAATATTCTCGGTAAAAACTTCCCGCATACATTCATGTACCTACAGACACAAAAATGTTATACTTGAGGCCATCTGCTTTTCATTACTGAGAACTAATCTCTGATTACAATCATTCTGAATAGTTTCTTTCATAAAACAGGAACACATTTTGTATTTGAGAAAGCACTAACCAGTTACCATAAACTTCTAACCAGTTACCATAAACTTCAAATTATGTCAATTTCTAAATATGCCAGTTTCAAAACGCACAAAAGAATCATCTCACATTTGATAAATGCAAGACATTACTTTACTTTTTTTTTGAGACAGGGTCTCATTCTGTCACCCAGACTGGAGTGCAGTGGTGCAATCTTGGCTCACTGCAACCTCCGCCTCCTGTGCTCAAGGGATGCTCCCACTTCAGCCTCCTGAGTAGCTGGGATCACAGGTGGGTGCCACTGCACCTGGCTAATTTTTGTATTTTTAGTAGAGACGAGGTTTCACCATGTTGCCCAGGCTGGTCTCAAACTCCTGGCCTCAAGGGATCCACCTGCTTCAGCATTACTTTACTTTTCGAAGACAACCAGGAAAAACGAAAAACCATTTTTACAAATGTTTATGTCTTATATAAAATAAATGGAAAACGTCATCTTCTAATTATGATAACAGCTTTGAAAAGATAGAAGCTTCACTAGAATAATGATAATTCTGATGGCTTTGTCTTTTCAATTTTTGGAAGAGTACAACTGGAAAGGCTCCGTAGTTTACCCGGGTCAACTCCCCACATCATACAACTGGGGCCCAGAGAAAGGAAGTTGATTTGTTCAAGGCCCCACAGTTACTAAGAGGCTGAAAAGGGAGGGACTCCCTCAAGTTTTTAAAAATTCTAAATCCAAAATCTTGACTTCTGAAAGGTATTATCTGATAATTTAGTTGGCTACTTAAAGAACTTTGGGATCCTGTTCTCTTCTGTACTCTTGGGGCCTTTTCAACCCAACATTTTCAGACAGCAGCAAACTAATCTCTGTTATATTATCTGTACTCAAGAGTTCAAAGTCCCCTTCTTCTACATTGACAGCTTTTAATTGAAATCTTATTTGGAAACCCAGTGGAGAAAGAAAATAAAAGCAGAGCTGCCTTGATTAAAACAGTACAGGCGTCCTGTTTTTACTCGTTTTGTCCTGGAAGCCCCTGAAATACTTTCTTGGTATCTTAGTTCTCAAAGAAACAGTTTATTTCTAATGTATGAGAGTGTTCCAGGGCGCTGCTACTCAAAATATGTTTCTCAAACAATGAGCATCATTGAGGAGCTTGTTAGAAATGCCCAATATCAAACTCCAACCCAGGCCTACTGAAAAATCACAACAAGCATACTTAACAAGATGCCTAGGTGACTGGTATGCACATTAATGTTTGAGAAGCTTCTCAAATGATATGAAGACACACACACACACACACACACACGCACACACTGCAAACCCAAATTTTTATTAGAGTTACATGACATACAATTACTACAGTTATCTTGTCATGGACCAATAACAAACAGTTTACAGAACCACACTTGGGGTAGCAATGCTCTATAGCAACCAAACCTTAAAGAATGATCCTGATCAAATCAGAATACCTGATATACTAAAAAGTTAGAAACTTACTTCTTATCAAAAAAGGTTGAATTCTCCTTCCTCTTGGTGAATCCATTGGGTAGAAGTTTTAAGTTAATACCTTGCCTCCGGGCACGATTTTTCATAAAGTACATCTAACAACAAAAACCAAACAGACAAATTAATTTTTAAATTCCTTAAATTTAAAAAGTGAGTAAAACAATGTTCAATAATAGTTAAGATTTACTGAGAACCTAAGTGTTACAACAGCTCTAAGCAGTAATCTCATGTAATCTTCACCATGATACTATGAGAATAGGTACTATCATCTCCATTTTAGCAATAAAAATTAGTGAGATCCCAACATCATACAGCTATCCCAGAGAGATAGAACCTGTATTCAAACCCTGGTCTGTCTAATTCCAGAGCTTGTGTTTCTAACCATATGTTCTGTGAGCCAAAGAAGAATTTAATGGAGATTAAACAAACAAAAACACAGGTCATTTGGCAATCACGGGGGCTACCTACACAATTCTTGATTTCTTTTACCGATGGTTTTACCAGTTAGCTGTATATATATATCACTGATTTTATTACTAGACAGCTCACTCAAGGGAAGAGCCAAGGCATTGCCTAGTACAAGGCCTAGCTTAAAGTAACCACTGTTGTGGGAAGCACAAAATGGGATATGAGAACATTCTGGCTCTGACATGTGTTATTACATTGACCACCTGGGTTGATTAAGCTAAACTGGGCAATTCCAGAGTTATGAAGGAAGTAATACCAGATTTTTATTAAGTCAAGGAAGAAGAAAGATCACTCAAATAAGAGGCAAAATATAAACGCAAGTTTTTTGTTAAGTGAATAGGGATCTAGAATTTGCAATGTAAACAGTCAGAATCAAGTCCATAAGCCAAGGAAAGGATGGGTCAGCTATCATTGGCTAAGTAGGAAACTGTTTTAAGAAATTACATGTAATTTTATAATTTAGAGGACTTTAGTTTCAGTAATGGTAGTGATAATTATAATAATTCTAATAGCAGTGACCAACCCTCCTAATATACCTTCAGGATAAGGGTGAACCAGAAACAATCTCTACTTTTAGAGCAAGCTAGGAAACTTGTATGGTTACACTGAAACAGAGGAAAAAAGAAAAAAAATCCATTAGCAGTTATGGCTATGGACCATCCCTTGCTTAGATTTGCAATTATTTTGCCTTGAAAACAGCACTGAATAGCCATACTCTAGAAAAAAAGTGGGAGGACTTAATCAGATAACAAGTTTCAGTAAAAAACCACAATAATTCAGAGAGCATAGTATTGGTGCAGGATATACCAGTAGGCCAACAGAATGGAAAAGACAAGGCCACAAAATGACCCAAGCATATAGGGATGCTGATATATGACAAAGGTGGTCCTACAGAGCAATAGGGAAAGGATGAACTTTCCAATAAATGGTGCTGGGAAAAGTGGATTATCTATATGAAAAATTAAATGGGAACTCCTCTGTATATGATACCAAAAATCAATTCCAGTTAAAGACATAAGTGTAAAACACAACAGTATAAAGCTTTTAGGCAATAACTATAAAAGAATAACTTCCTAACTTCAAGGTAGAGATGGATTTCTTTATAAACATATAAACCTACTAACTATAAAGGAAACAAATGATAAATTTGACTACATTAAAACTAAGAACATCCATTCACCACAAGACACTATAAAATGAAAAGACAAGACAAAGACTAGAAGAAGGTATTTATAACATACAACCAACTTGCACTAGCATCCAAGAAATACCAAGAATTCTCACAAACCAGTAAGAAAAATAAAGCTGACCAATGAAAAGATGAGCAAAAGACTTGAACAGGCACTGCATAAAAGAGGAAATCCAAATGGCCAATAAAGTATTTGAAAGGTGGTTCAATCTCATCAGGAATTAAAGAACTGCACATTTAAAACCACAATAAAATTACAAAGCCAACAGATTGACAAAAATTTTTAAAGTCTTACCAAACTAAGTATTGGCGAGAATATGACAATAGGTACATTCATACACTATTGGTGAGAGTGTAAACTAGTACAATCACTTTGGAAAATGTTTTGGTAACATCTAGGCAAATTGAAGATATGCATACCACACAACAAAGCAATTCTATTCCCAGGTATAAACCCTAGAAACACATGTTCACACACATACTATAATTCATAGACAAAAGTAGTGGCATTGTTTCTAAACTGTTTTTTATTCTTACAGAAAATCCAAAATCCATTAAAAAAATGCGTAAACAAATTGTGGTACAGTCCTAAGATAGAAAAAAATATAAAGAAATGAGAAAAGATCAGGGAAGGGCATAAAAGGGTGGCATGGAACTTCTGGGAAGCCAGTAATGTTCTAATTCTAGATTGGGGTGGTAGTTAAATGAATATTCATTTTATAATTATTCATTATACTGTGTATTTCCATTTTGTGATGTTTAGAAAATATACTTGCTATATTTCACAATTTAAAAAAAAATTGTAAAGTAATTTATCTTTAAGTAGAATTTTAATTATGCCTAATTAAGTTTGAGGAAAAATAAGAGTTGCTATATGAATAATTTTCTTTCAGATATGTGTAATGTAATTATGTCTGTACCAATAATACCAATAAAATAAGGTGTTTAAAAGGTATTAAAATTCTGCAACTCCAATACTAAAATGAACACAATTCCAGGATACGATTTAATCACACCATAAACAAATTTCTACAACACCAGTTGCCAAATATTCCAAATATGTAAGCTTTAATTTTGCATAGTATTTAAGGAATTAAAAAAGGAATGCAAGAGTATGAAAATTAAGTGTATTAGAATAGCAAGTCTTGTTAGCTCTTCCTTCAAAATCGCAATCTAATCCCTTCCCAATAATTCAAACAGTACACCCAAGCCACTATTATCTCACAAGGATCATGGGAAGAGCTGCATAATTGGTCTCCCTGCTTCCAATCTTCCATTCTTGCCCCGCTAAAGTTCACAAAGTGCAAGAGTGGTTTTTCAAAAGGCAAATTTATGTTCAAAACCCTTCCATGGTTTCCATTTGCACTTAGAATTAGAAACCCTCACCAGTTTCTTTTCTTTTTTCTTTTGAGACAGAGTCTCACTCTGTTGCCCAGGCTGGAGTGTAGTGGCGCAATCATGGCTCACTGCAGCCTTGACCTTCCTGGGCTCTGGTGATCCTCCCACCTCAGCTTCTCAAGTTGCTGGGAGTACAGGGGCACGCCACCACGCCTGGCTAATTTTTGTATTGTTTTATAGAGACGGGTTTTCACCATGTTGCCCAGGCTGGTCTTGAACTCCTGAGCTCAAGGAATGCTCTGGCCTCAGCCTCCCAAAGTGTTTGGATTACAGGCATGAGCCACTGCACCCAACTCCTCACCAGTTTCTCTAACTTCATTTTCAATACTCTCCTCCTCACTCACTATGCTTCAGTTACCTTGCAAATCTTTTAATTCCTCAAACCAGACATCCTTGTTTCTGACTCAGGTCTTTCCTTTTACTTTTGTCCCTACCTGGGATAATCTGCCTCCAAATGTTCACATGACAGCCTCTTTCTCAGCACTCAGATCACTGCTTACACATCATCTCTTTGAGAAGCTTCTCCTGACCACTGTATCGAAAATAGTACCCTGACAATCTCTCCCCAACAAAGACCATTTTCATTCTCTCTTTAATCTCTTGAGCCTTCTTTATTTTCTATATGAACTTAACTCTATCTGAAATTACATTTGTTCCTCTACTTATCTCCTATATCTCCCACTAAATACAACTCCACGAGGGGACGGACTTTGTTTGGGTCACAGCCATATCCTTAAGTAATCAGAATAGCTCTACATCATGGTAGCCACTTAATATATTTGGTAAGTTAAAAAAAAAAAAAGAATCTAATTGATTTGAAGGACTTCTAACTGGAAGAAATTAGGAAAAAATCTTACATATTTATTGCTTATTGGTCTCTTCAAAAAAGCATCTCTAGAAATATGGTCCGCTGTTCTTGCCACATCTTCCAAAAATCGATAATCTAAAAATTTCAAAACAGAAGAATAAACAAGTGACATATACCAATGGCCAGGAAGCCTCAATTTGCTATGCATAAAGTGGCTTACCACTTAGGAGATTCATTTCAGTAAACTGTTGTATTGAAATGTATGCAGTTTTATCTCGAACTCCATTACATGTCAGTTCTGCTTTGTGTTTCTTTACACAGGGCAAACTGAAAAGACAAAGGGGAAGTACTTTTATATTTTAGGGTAAGAAAGGTACAGATACAGGTTAAAAGGTAGGAAGTTACATGTATACCTGCAGGAATATCGCATACAACGTGGACATCTGTACTTTGCTTCTTCTGTACCACAAGTCTCACACCTACAAAAGCCCACATGTAACATTAAATTATCAAATATTAATTGTATTTATTTATAAACTTAGAATTCCCAATCAATTTATAAACTCAGTGACAAGTAACTGATAAAATATTTGATAGCTGTTGAACATCATTTGAAAATTCTTCTCTATGAAACCTTCCCAAAACAACTACATTTCCAATGTTGTTAGTGATATGTAACTCAGGAAAATGTATTAAAATTTTTAAAACCCATCTCGCTTTTGACTTCTTTTTCTACTATAATCAGGGAATGAGATTATTCACTGATATTTTAACTTGTGATTCCTGGAAATGTGGTAATGATTGTATGTGTGTGTATCCAGAAGTCCAATTCATGAGCTATGTTTAGATATTTTTAAAGCACACACCAGACAAAGAATATAAGGCCAAGTGAAATTTAGAGAGTAGTAGTAGCACCCTTTTTCCTGAACTCCACGCCTAATCTAGAATGAGCATCGAAATAATCTAGAAATGCCATGTAACCCATCATCTGTCCTCAACTGCTCTTCTATGCTCCTGGGATACTGACAACCAAACTACAGTTACTTCTATTTAGCCCACTGTGTTCTAGACGGGAATATTCTCAAGAATCTGACTACTCTTATTTCCTTTGTCACATGATCCACACACTAAGGAAATTCAATCAAAAGCAATAAATATTCACAGCACCCATGAAGAAGCTTGATAATTGAGGTCAAGTGTATTTTTGCCTAGTTTTAACTTAATCTACTTTGTCATTGTTAGTTTTATTAGACTTTCTCATCTCTATTCTCTCTCAAAGGAATACCGAGTAAAGAGCATATTAAGTCAAGCCAGATCCAGTTCCAACTGATCTTTTGGTCCCCAGAATTTCCACTTTCCTAACTTGACCATTACCCATTGGACACTACTAATTTCATGTATTTTCACTGAATTTGTTGTGTTGTCATGTACAACACCCTCCACTTCCCAACCCACCCCCGCGAACGCCGTCTGACTCCAGAAACCCAAACTTGTGCTCATTTTTCATTATTCCACCTTCTCCTGATAGTGTGGTTTCCTTCACTCTAGACATGAGGACTCCACAGCTTTATTCCCCTAAATGGAATCCCCCATGCCCTACCTTGACATGGCCAGTTTCCGCTTGCAGCCCACCGGGTGATTTATCGGAGGCTCTTCTTTCACCTTTGTATCATCCACGATTTCTTTCTTCAGGAAATCCTTCTCTTCTTTTACACACTCTCCATGCATCAATTCCTCTTTTATGCATTGACCAACAAACTTCTCCTCCTGTTTTATCTCCAAGTTATCCTTCTCTTCCTTCACTTCTGACCAGTCCATTACCTCTTCCTTTACCTTCTCTTCCTTTACCTCTGGTTCACCCACCTTCGCTTCTTTTACCACTAAACTACTATCCGTCTCCTGCTTCACCTCCAATACGCCTGCGTTCTCATCCTTCACCTCAGGCCTATCCTCCACCTCCTGTTCTACCCACTGGCCAGCCAACCTGCCTTCTGTACCTGGCCAGTCTATAATTTCCTGCTTCACTACCGTTAGGTCCATCGGTATTTCCTCTGGCCTTTGTCCACTTCCTTCCTCTCCATCCCCTATCTCCTTTATCCCTGTCAGCCCTGTCCCCTCCTCTCCGCCGCCGAACTCCTCCGCCCCTGCTAAGTCCCTTACTCCCTCCCTGCCAGGCTCTGGACTTAGCCGCACCCCCTCAGCTACGCTGTGGAGACCTCCCCCAGACTTCCCTTCATTTTCAGCAGCAAACTCCATCAACTCACGATCCTTGGCCTCTGCTGCCACTCTATCCTTCAATGTGGCTGCTGCACACCAATAGGAGGAATTACCGGTCGGAATACCTACGGCGGCCCACGTGTGGAGCCAAGCAGCCACAAACCCGGAATAGCCTGCTTGACGCGACTGCTCGAATCGCCGTAAAGCTACGCTTTTGCGCCTCGCCCCTTCACGACTTGTAGAGCTCTTTACGGCTCTGCGGAGGCCCTGCCGGATTCTCTGGGCGAACAAGCGTAACTGCGTGACTTGCCCGCTGGGGTTCTCGTCTCCTTCCTGGTTTCCACCACCCTCTTCCCTTAGAGAAGCCTCCTGGGCCACTCCCTGGGCCACCCTCCACGCCCTGCTGGGTGTAAAGAGTGTAGGAGACCGGCAGAGGGAGAGAAGCGAAACCCTTACACTCTGGAAGTGGGAAAACCCACCCTAATCTGTGTTAACCATTAAATCCAATCTTGCATGAAAATGGAGGACACACCTGATGTTATTAGGCCTTTCCAAGCTTTAGTTTCTTAAAGCTATAAACTAGGGACCATGGTATTATTAATATAAATCTCCCAGTGTCATTGCAAAGATTATATGAGATCATGCATGGAAATCAACTAGCAGTGACGGACACAAACTCGATATATAACTGGGAATCCTGATGGGCTTCAAACCGCCTGGTTTCCACCACCCCCTTCCCTTAGGGAAGCCTCCTGGGCCACACCCTAGGCCACCCTCCACGCCCTACTGGGTGTAAACAGTGGAGGAGACCGGCAGAGGGAGAGAAGCGAAACCCTTACACTCTGGAAATGGGAAAACCCACCCTTATCTGTGTTAACCATTAAATCCAATCTTGTATGAAAAAGGACACACCTGATGTTACACCTTTGCAAGCTTTAGTTTCTTGAAGCTATAAACTAGGGAGCATGGTATTATTAATATAAATCTCCCAGTGTCATTGCGAAGATAATATGAGATCATGCATAGGAATCAACTGTCAGTGACAGACACAAACTCAGTGTATAACTGGGAATCATGATGGGTTTCAAGTAGGAAAGAGGGCATTAATTTTTCTTTCCATTCTTTCTAAGTAACAGCCTGCGTCAGGCTATTCCCCATTCCCAGCATTCTGCAGGATTCTCTCAGAGAACATCATAAATATATTAGGCGAAAGTGCCTAATGCCCGGTATTGCTGAATAACATTGCATTGTATGAATGTGGCACGTTTTTTCATGCATGTACCAGTTGGTGGGCATTTGGCTTGTTTCCAGTTTGGGCTATTACGAATAATTCTGCTTCCACATTCATATGCAAGTCTTTGTGTGGACATGTTTACATTTCCCGTTAAGTAAATAACTAGGAGTGGAATTGCTGGGCCATATAAATTTATGTTAATTTTTAAAGAAATGCCCAAACTGTTTTCCAAAGTAGCTATACCATTTTACATTCCTACTGGCTGAGGGTTCCTATTTCTCTACATCCCGGCCAATTCTTAGTATTATCAGTTATTTGATTATAGATGTGTAGGGGTACGTCATTGAGAATTTACATTTCTTTAATGACTAATGATGTTGAACATCTTTTCATCTGCCAACTGGCCATTTGGATATTTTCTTTAATGAAATGTTTATTCAGATCTTTTGCCCATTTTTAATTGACGTCTTTTATTATCAAATTGTAGTAGTTCTTCATATATTATGGATATAGGTTTGTGGTAGACAAGCACCAGTATGTTCCCCAGTGATTCTCCACCCCCACAGTGTTCAGACCAATGTGTAGACTGCTCCTGCATCATCCCAGGATTGGTCTGTGTCACTGATAGCATACAGCAGAAGTAATACGTTACCTCTAAGATTAGGTTTGGAGAAAGGCTGTGGTTTCTGCCTTAGGCTCTTGCTTTTTTGGTCTCCTTCCTAGATCATTCACTCTGGGGGAAGCAAGCTGCCAGGTTGTGAGTACCAAGAGGCCCATGTGGTAGTGGGCCGAAGTTACTGGCTCTTACAGGCTGAATTGTGTCCCCTCAAATTCGTGTGTTAAATCCGTAACACCCAGTACCTTAGACTGTGAGTATATTTGGAGATAGGACCTTTAAAGGTGATTTCGTTAAAATGAGACCATTAAGGTCGGCCCTAATCCAATCTGACTGATATCTTTATAAGAAGAGGAAATTTGGACACAAAAAGAGACACGAGGGATGCCTGCAGAGAGAAAAGACTATACGATGATACAGTGAGGTGGCCACCTGCATGCCAGCGAGAGAGGCCTCAGAAAAAAACAAGACTGGTGACAACTTATTTTGGAGTTCTAGCGTCTAGAACTGTGAGAAAATAAATTTAAGTCACTCAGTCTATGCTAGTTCATTATAGTGGCCTTGGCAAACGAATGCACTGGCCAACAATCAGCAAGGAATTTCAGCCTGTCAATAGCATATGAATGTGTTTGGAGGAAGATTCTCTAGTCTTAGTCCAGCTTTACATGACTGCGGCTCTGGCCAACAACTGAACCCAGATTCCGGACACTCAGAAATTGTGGGAGGGGATAAATGTTTCTTGTTTTAAACTGCCAAATTTCTGGATAATTGATACAAAGCAATGCATAATTAATACCAATTCCTTGTATGGTTCGCAAATATTTTCTCCCAGTTTGTGGCTTTTCCTTTTCTTAGTTGTATCTTTAAAAGAGCAAAAATTTTACACTTCAATTAAATCCAGTTTATCAATTTTTATTTTTATTTTTTGTGATGGAGTCTCGCTCTTGTCACCCAGGCTGGAGTGCAATGGCGGGATCTCTGCTCACTGCAACCTCCGCCTTCTGGGTTCAAGTGATTCTCCTGCCTCAGCCTCCCGAGTAGCTGGGACTACAGGCAGGTGCCACCACACCTGACTAATTATTTTTGTATTTTTATTAGAGATGGAGTTTCACCATGTTGGCCAGGCTGGTCTCGAACTCCTGACCTCAGGTAATCCACCCACCTCCCAAAGTGCTGGGATTACAGGAGTGAGCCACTGCACCCAGCCTCTCAATTTTTAAATGAATGGTGCTTTTTGTGTCACACTAATAACTTTTTGCCTAGCCCAAGGTTGCAAAGAGATATTTCTCCTATATTTTCTAGAAGTTTTATAGTTTTAGCTTTTACATTTAGGTCTGTGATCCATTTTGAGTTGGCTTTTGTATCTAGAGTCATCCCTCTGTTTCTGTGGGGATTGGTTCCAGGACCACCACAGATCTGAGAACGCTCAAGTCCTACAATCTGCCATCTGCATCCATGGTTCCACATCTGTAGGTTCCACCAGCTGTGGAAATTTGATCCATGGTTGGTGGAACCCACATGTGGCAGAACTAAGGATATCATCCATAAGGTGGACAAGGTAATGGTTTAAGTTTCTTTTTTTTAATATGGATATCTTATTGTCCAAGCACCAGTTGTTGAAGCCTATTCTTTTTCCTTGAATTGCCTTGATATTTAAAAAAATCAATTGACCACAAAGATAAAGATTTATTTCTGGACCTTATATTCTGTTTTACTGATCTATATGTCTATCCTTACACAAATACCATACTCTATTATAACTTTATAGTAAGTCCAACTTTCTTTTCTTTTGAAAATTGTGTTGGCTATTCTTGGTTGTTTGCATCTCTGTGTATTTAGTGCCAGCTTGTCAATTTCTACAAAAGAACTTGTGGGATTTTCATAGGGATTGTGTGGAATATATAGATAAGTGAGGGGAGGATTGTCATCTTAACAACATTGTGTCTTATCCATGAAAACGGAATGCCATCCATTTATTTATATTGTCTTTAACTTCACTTAACAATGCTTTGTAGTTTTCAGTGTACAAGTTTTTACATATCTTTTGCTAAATTTATTCCTAAGCATTTTATTCTTGATGTGGTTTTTGTTTTTTTTTAAATTGACACAGGGTCTCCCTCTGTCACCCAGGCTGGAGTACAGTGGCAAAATCATGGCTCACTGCAGCCTCGACCTCCTGAGTTGAAGCTATTCTCCCACCTCAACCTCCCAAGTAGCTGGGACCACAGGCGCATGCCACCATGCCCAGCTAAATTTTTTTTGGTATTTTTTGTAGAGATGGGGTTTTGCCATGTTGCCCAGGATGGTCTCAAACTCCTGGGCTCAAGGGATCCGCCCACCTCAGCTTCTCAAAGTGCTGAAATTACAGGCGTGAGCCACCACACCTGGCCTTGATGTGATTTTGAATGAAATTACTCATTTAATTTCATTTTGGATTTTTCATTGCTAGGTTGCAGAAATACAATTGATTTTTGTATTTTGATTTCATATCCTGCAACCTTAATAAACTCAAATGTTTTATAATATCTCTATATAATTGTATTCAATTAACTTACATTTTGTTTAGGAGTTTTCGTCTATGAAGGATGTTTATTTATCTGTAGTTCTTTTTTCTTGTAATGTTAGGTTTTGTTATCAGAGTTTTCTGCATACCTTTTAACTTTTATGTTTCCCATCTCTTTATTGCTTCCAGATACTTTCTGGGAGAGTTCCCCAAGTAATTTCTACCTTACTATTTTGGTATTTGATGGTATGCAATCTGTTAGTCAACCTATCCACTAAGCTCATTTCAGTCACTATGTTTTTCATAACCATTGTCTGTAGCTTATTTTGCTTCATATTTCTAATATCCCTTTTTATCTCTCTGAAGGTAGTCCTTTAACTCGTTTTATTTATTTATTTTTTTGAGATGGAGTCTCGCTCTGGTTGTCCAGTCTGGAGGGCAATGGTGCTATCTTGGCTCACTGCAACCTCCGCCTCCCAGGTTCAAGTGATTCTCCTGCCTCAGCCTCCCCAGTAGCTGGGATTACAGGTGCCCACCACCATACCCAGATAATTTTTGTATTTTTAGTAGAGACAGGGTTTTGCCATATTAGCCAGGCTGGTGTTGAACTCCTGACCTCAGGTGATCCACCCACCTTGGCCTCCCAAAGTGCTGGGATTACAGGCGTGAGCCACCATGCCCGACTTTTGACTCTTTTAAAAATCTTCAGTTTTTTGTCCATTAATTCTGTCCCTCCAGTATAAATTATCCAGCTTAAAAAAATCTTTTAGAATTACAGTCCAGATTTTATAATATTTTCTCTGGTGAGCTCCTATTCCTTTGAGAGTATTAGCAAGCATAGTTGTAATTCATATTTGAAAGGTAGGATCAAAAGCATAGGATTTGGATTGCAACTCTTCTGGTTATTCTTTTCAGTGTGGAGGGTAAGCAGAAGAGTGGATGAGCATCATGGTAGAAAGCCTCTGGTGTTACAATCTGGGCTGCACTAGCCCCAGTCTGCCCTCCTATGAAGAGCATACGCCTCTCAGGTTAACTTCCAGTACTCCCACATTGCCATCCCATTTCCAAGAGCTGCTGTCTTCTGGGTAATCATCTAGACTTTTGGGTGGAGGGAAGAAGACAACTGTTCTAAACCAACTGGTATACACAGTTATCAGCTTTCCTGGTGTTCTTCTGCCTCCTTGGACACTTGCTGGGCTAACTTTGTGTTTTTATAAGCATCTTGAGTTGAGGTGGGCCACGATCCACCCAAGCTAATGTAGGGTAGAAAAGGGAACAATCAGAGATTCTATCCTTTCATCCACCCTCTACCTCCATTAGTGTCCCTCTTTGTCCCTCCAGGCTTTCCTTTCTCCACCACAATGGACCCAACTCCCTTTCACCTCCTAAGGGTTTTCAGAGTTTCCTAGTTAGGCTCATTATTTATCCCCTCCCCCCCATATATGTGGCATCTTCAGGAATGGATTTGGAGACTCCAGGAGACAATAGCTTTGTTAGTTTGCTATCTTTTCAGAAACAAGAAGTTACCAGATTGAACTTTTTATTTAGCAATACTGTATGGTAAAGAATTTGTGAAATTATTTGAGGGATATCCCAAATATCCTTTCTTCTGGGCTTCCCATGACACTGCTATCGGGGGAACCAGCCCCCAATATTTCAATGTAGGTTCTTTTCTATTTTCCCTAAGTGTTGGCAGGTCTGAGAAATAAAGAGAAAGAGTGCAAAAGAGAGAAATTTTATAGCTGGGTCTCCAGGGGTGACATCACCTGTCAGCAGGTTCTGTGATGCCCCCAAGCTGCAAAACCAGCAACTTTTTATTGGCGATTTTCAAAGGGGAGGGAGTGTACGAATAGGGTGTGGGTCACAGAGATCACATGCTTCAAAAGGCAATAAAATATCACAAGGCAATTGGGGGCAGAGCAAGATCACAAGGCCAGAGCGAAATTAGAATTGCTGATGAGGTTTCATTTCCCACTGTGCATGCATCGTCACTGATAAACATCTTAACAGGAAACAGGGTTTGAGAGTAGACAACCCTTCTGACTAGAATTCATCAGGCCAGAATTTCCTAATCCTAGCAAGCCTAAGGGCGCTGCAGGAGACCAGGGCGTATTTTATCCCTTATCTTCAACTGCATAAGACGGACACTCCCAGAGCAGCCATTTTAGAGGCCTCCCCCTGGGAATGCATTCTTTTCCCAGGGCTGTTCCTTGCTGAGAAAAATAATTCAGCAATATTTCTCCTATTCGCTTTTGCAAGAAGAGAAATATGACTCTGTTCTGCCCGGCCCTGCAGGCAGTCAGACCTTACGGTTAGCTCCCTTGTTCCCTGAAAATCGCTGTTATCCTGTTCTTTTAGGACGCACAGATTTCATATTGTTCAAACACACATGTTTTACAAACAATTTGTACAGGTAACACAATCATCACAGGGTCCTGAGGCGACGTACATTCTCAGCTTATGGAGATGATGGGATTAAGAGATTAAAGTAAAGACAGGCATAGGAAATTATAAAAGTATTAATTTGGGGAACTAATAAATGTCCATGAAATCTTCACAATTTATGTTATTCTGCCATGGCTTCAGCTGGTCCCTCCGTTTGGGGTCCCTGATTTCCAGCAACACACTACTCAAATTTTTCCAGGATGCCTAAATGTTTCATTATATTCACAACTTTGAGGCAATGCAGAAACTGCATATGCTTGTCCATGGACCGTTGCATCAGCATCACCTGGTGTACTTAATCAGAAACAGATCTCTGGATCTCTCCCTAGAGGTATTTAACAAAATGGAGAGAGTTGCTGGGAAATTTATATTTTTAACAAGTGTATCTGAGTGGTACTTTTGATGTATAAACAGCTTTGGGAACCATTGGGCGAAGTTATTAAAACTGCACTTTGCAATATGGTAGCCATTAGCCACAGTGACTACTGAGCACTTGAAATGTGGTTATCTAAATTGAGATGTGCTGTAAGCGTAAAATACACACAGGATTTCAAAGACTTAGTATATTTAAAAAAAGAATGTAAACCATCTCAATAATACCTTTATACTGATTACATGTTGAAGTTATATTATTTTGGATATATTGTTATGTATATTGTTAAGACTAATTTCACTTGTTTCTTTTTATTTTTTTATTTTTTTGAGACAGAGTCTTGCTCTGTCACTCAAGCTGGAGTGCAGTGGCGCCATCTTGGCTCACTGCAAACTCCACCTCCCAGGTTCAAGCGATTCTTGTGCCTCAGCCTCCCAAGTGGCCAGGATTACAGGCATGAACCACCACACCCAGCTCAGTTTTGTATTTTTGGTAGAGATGGGGTTTTGCCATATTGGCCAGGCTGGTCTTGAACTCCTGGCCTCAAGTGATGTGCCCGCCTCAGCCTCCCAAAGTGCTGGGTAGCCTGAGCCACTGTGCCTGAACTCTTATGTTTTTTAATGTGGTTATTAAAAAATTTGAAGTTACATATGTAGCTCATATTATATTTCAGTTAGCGTTATAACAGAAGTGTATTAAAATTCAAATTTCAATTAGTTGAGATTAACATAGTCAAGAACTAGCATATTAGTTAACTTATTAATATGTTAACTTAGTCAATATTTTTCTTTTCAATTAATTCTCCAAAGTACACTGTGAACATTGTTACAAATCAAAGTCTGATAATGTCAATCATGTCCTTAAAAACGTTCAATGCCTAATTTTTGCTTTTAAGATAAAGAACTAAATCCTTATTATGGTCTTGTGAAGATCCCTCATATTCTGGCCAATATTTTCTCTCCAGTTTTATCTCTTAATTACTCATTCTTCAGATGGCAAGTCAAGCACTACTTTCCTTAGGGAAGCATTTTTGACCTCTCCTCCTCCCCTATGCTCAACCTAGATCATGGTTTTTTGTGTGTGTGTGTGTGTGTGTGTGTTTAGAGAACTTATTTCAAGTTATAATTATGTATTTACTTATATTATCACTTTATTAACATCAGTTTCTCCCCCAGACAGTAAGCTTACAAGGACCCTGCATTTTTTTCTCAACAACTCAGAGTGCAGTGTCTGATACACGACAATAAAATGTAAAAATATGAAGGACTTCAGCACCTATTATGCATCACACAATGTGCTGTGCTGTGCTGTGTGATTATAAGTATTAAAATCTACCATTTGCCTACAAGGAGCTCACAGTTCAGTGAAGGGAGATAAACATGAAAATAGCAAAAATGAAACACTGAAGCAAGTAATTAGAATATTGAATGTGATCTTAAGTGTAAGTAGCATGTATTCCTGTGTGGGGAAAGTTAGGAAGATTTTTCTGAGGAGCTTGAAGAATGAATGGGAGTTGGCCAGGAAGACAGGGCAGGAGAGCTTTCCAGATGGGAATGAGAAAGTAGAATATGTTCAGGGCACATCAGAGAGTCTTGTGGTTTGAATGTGTACCCCAAAAGTCCATGTGTTGGAAACTTAATCCCTAACCCAACAGTGTTGAGAGGAGGGGCCTAATAAGAGGTGATTGGTTTAAGAGGGTAGAACATTCATGAATGGATTAATCTTAGCATGAAAGTGGGTTAGTTATCATGTGACTGAGTTTTTGTAAAACAAATCCAGCGTGGGATAACCCTCACTAGACACTTGCACCATGCTCTGGACTTTCCAGCCTCCAGAACTGTGAGAAATAAATTTCTTCTCTTTAAAAAGTACTGAGTCTGTGGTATTTTATTATAGCAACAGAGAACAGACTAGGACAGATATTTAAATATGGTGGGAGAGTGCTGACTTTGATAAGAAAGGAAAGAGAAAATGTTGACAAGTGATCAAAAATCAGGTCACCAAGGCTTTGTAGGCCTTCCAGAGAAGCTTGCACTTCTTCATCCTGCAGGTGATAAAGAGCCAGATTCACTTCCTGAGCTTGGGTTCTAAGGTTGGGGCACAGAAGTAAGGTGAGGGAAGAAACCACAGATTGGTTCTGGGTATGATTATTCTTAACAGGGGATAGTGACTTATACCATGATTTGGATGGACCTATTATGACCACACAAATAACTGTTTCCAAAGAATTGCCTGGATTGATTACTGGCAAAGCATTATTTGGATCAAACAAATACCTCATACATTTAGGTGGTTCAATCATAACTGATGTTCCTCTAGAAGGATCCAATAATTGGGTAATTACTACTACAGAAATTCAGGACCTGATACAGAAGGCATAGTATTTGCTGCAGAGACGTATGTGAAATTTATTTCTAAAAAGATTTTAGAATTTTTTTAAATTTCAATTTATTATTATTATTTCTCTTTAACACAAGGCCTAAAAGGAGCAAGTTTTACCAGCCAGAATAATATTTGGCTATAAAAACCAAGCTAAAGAAATTCTGATTGTTTTAATTTCTCGCTTCCAACTATCAAACCAAAAACTTGCTAATGTCTACTAATTTAAAGATTTCTACCAAGTTGTTTTTTCATTGTATGAAGTCTTGAAAAAAAAAACAGTATTTTTTGGAGTGTATTGAATTATGTGGAAAACATTTGGGAACAAAAATTATTTTAACTGTGAATGTTTTATATAGTATCTTGGAATTTGCATTATTAGTTAAATGAGAACCTCTTTTATACACTGAAAATGCTCAAGTGAAAAAATTAAATGTAATATCAATAAAGTTTAAATAAAGTTTTAATTTCCTAGTAGTTGAGGAAGATCCTTATGCCTTCATGAGGAATGCCCTTTTCATGAGGAATGCCCTTTTCATGAAACTGGGTTTCAACTATTTGCTTCAAGAAGTGAAAAATTGGCCGGGCGCTTGGCTTACACCTGTAATCCCAGCACTTTGGGGAGGAGAGGTGGGCAGATCACCTGAGCTCAGGAGTTTGAGACCAGCCTGGCCAATGTGGTGAAAACCTTTCTCTGCTAAAAATACAAAAATTAGCCGGGTGCTGTGGCAGGTGTCTGTAATCCTAGCTACTCAGGAGACTGAGGCAGGAGAATCGCTCGAACCCGGGAGGTGGAGGTTGCAGTGAGCTGAGATCGCACCACTGCACTCCAGCCTGGGTGACAGAGCCAGACTCTATCTCAAAAAAAAAAAAAAAAAAAAAAAAAAAAAAGAAGCGAAAAATTTTCTTGCATTTCAACGGTAAATTTGTTCTGAACTAGATACCTAATAAAATGCAATTATTTTTAATGGATTGTTACTGAGATTATTTTTTGTACTTGTGTGCAGTTCTAAAATTCTACTGCTACGCACAGCCAAGATGACAGCTCAGATTCCCCATCAGTTGCTCTTCTCCAAAGAGGTATCATTTTTCTAACTTGGCTTTAAACAATGCTAGGACTCTGAATCCAAAGCACACAGATTGCATAATTGTGTACCCAGGCTTAGGTGACAACAACTTCATCATAGCTCACATAGCCAATTAATATATAGATAATGAGGAAAAAGTTACACCCAACAGGACATACATTGAAGGCTTAGCTCACACTTATTTTTGAAACTATAAAACCTGCCAGTCTTGCGTAGGAGGGCCAAACTCTTATATTTTGGTCAGGACATGAGATCTGCCAAAGTGCCTCCTGCCAAACACCATGTTTCTACTGCTCAGGTTGTTTCTGTGCCCCTAGAAGTGATCCTCCTCTTTATTACAAAATCATCAAGCACGCAAAAAACTCCTTTTTGCTTCCCATGAAAAGAACTACATTTGTGTTTCATTCAAGGTGAAAAGCAGGGGAAGATCTAGGTTTTGCGAAGCCTGAAACTCGTTCAATTTATGCTCTTCTATGTTAAAAAGAACCAAAAATTATTGTACTTTTATAAACTTTACAAACATGGAGGCCCATGTGAACACATTTTGAAGGCCATTTCAGGGATTTAAAGCTTACATTTGTTAGCTTCATGGCAACTCTGCCTCTATATAAAGAATATTTGATAGAATTTTAAAATTAACTTGTTCTACCTTTTAGGCTTTAGTTTAATGAGCCAAACTATTTTGTCAATGGGAAAATATGTTTACAGTGTAATTTGTGAATTTAAAGATTTTACTTTTGACTGATGGTTACCTCAATCTATGTGTATAAGTGTTGTGATTTGAATATTTGTGCTGTTAACTGTATGAGAATCAATATAATACAAGACAATATACATGAAAAATGTTGCACTGAGATGATATAGAGCATTTTAGACCTGAGCTCAACAAGCCCCAAGTAGGATAAATATAAGCACAGAGGTATTCATAGATAAATTGCTGAAAGCCAAAGAAAGATAAAAGGATATCTTGAAAGAAGCAAGAGAAAAATGACGTATTACAGATGGAGAACAAATAATGACTAAATTATAATAACAAACATTGGAGGCCAGAAGACATTGGACTGATATATCCAAAATGCTGAAAAAAAATGCAGCCAAGAATTCTACACCTAGAGAAAATATCTTTTAAAAATAAAGGTGAGGTCTGGGTGTGGTGGCTCACGCCTATAATCCCAGCACTTAGGGATGCCGAGGCGGGAGGATTGCTTTCACCTCAGGAGCTTGAGACCAGCCTGGGCAACATTGTGAAATCCCATCTCTACAAAAAATAGCCAGGCATTGGTAGCTTGTGCCTGTAGTCGCAGCTACTTGGGAGGCTGAGGCTGGAGAATCACTTGAACTCTGGAAATGGAGGCTGCATTAAGCTGAGATGTGACACTGCAGTCCAGCCTGGGTGACAGAGTGAGACCTTATAAAAAAAAAAAAGAAAAGTGAAATAAAGACAAAAACAGAGAAAATTAATCATCAACTGACCTACATTATAAGAAATGATAAGGGAAATTCTTCAGATGAAGGGGAATGACACCAGATGGTAAGTTGGGCCTACAGAAAAAAAAAATTTATATATTTTAAATTTCCTTCTCATAATTCAAAAATATATACATGTTTAAAGCAAAAACTATAACCTCATATTGTTGGATTCATAATATATATGGATGTACTATACATGACAACAATAGCACAAGGATGAAGGGATTAAGTAGAAGCATACTATTCCAAGTATACAAGGTTCAAGTATGCTTTTTTGAAGTAATTCAGTATGAGCTTTAAATAGATTGTACTAAATTAGAACTATCATAATCCCTACAGCGACCACTAAAAAATGGAATAAATAGCAGGAATTATTCTCCCTTTTTATAGATAAGGAGTTATGATGGAACTGCTCATACCAGAGCAAACATGCTGCTAAGAACAATTATAAAATCTGAATAAATATAAAAAATAACTGTTTGACAGCATCAATGATCATCCAAAGCAGCCAGGGTTAGAGGATTAGTAATGAAGAAGGAAGTATACTGAGGTAAACTGGACCTTCTCCAGCACTTTTTCCCTGGGAGAAATTGCTGGACATAAAAACAGTATCCAAGAGCTTTTGGAAGTTTTCAAGACTAGTGAGATGGGGAAGTGGAGAAAAGGTGAAAATGAAACTTGGTGTTCAGGGGCAACAAGGGAGGACAAGATCTTTGTAACCACCCGAGGCATTCAGTTGAGACACCTAAAGGGCTACCCCATAAAACTAGAAATAGGGCAGCTCTCTGAAGGCCTAAAGTCCAGTCTTGAACTATCTCAATCACTGATTGCATCCAACTGCCTGCCAAAAGGAAATTAAATCCTCTTGGGAAGGAGTTATTGTCATTCAGAGTTTCTGCAATTTTTTGTGCATATCTTACACTTAACAAAAAAATTATTAAATACACCAGAAGACAAAATCAAGTGACTGGAAACTAAAAGGAAAAAATAGACAATATAAGTAGATCTTTAGGACATGCAGATGTTGGAATAATCAAATATGGACTTTATGTCAATTGTGATCATTATGCTCAATAAGTGATAAATAGGATGGAAGATTTCCATAAAAGATGACATGAAAACATTACAATTGAAAAAATTACAATTTCTGGCCATGCGTGCTGGCTCATGCCTCTAATCCCAGCACTTTGGGAGGCTGAGGAGGATGGATCAGCTGAGGTCAGGGGTTCGAGACCTGCCTGATCAACATGGCGAAGCCCCATCTCTACTAAAAAATACAAAAATTAGCCAGGTGTGGTGGCACAGGCCTGTAATCCCAGCTACTCGGGAAGCTGAGGCAGGAGAATCACTTGAATCTGGGAGGCAGAGGTTGCAGTGGGCTGAGATTGTGCCACTGCACTCCAGCCTGGGTGACAGAGCGAGACTGTCTCCAAAAATAAAAAAAAAGAAAAATTACCATTTCTAATATTAAGAACTCAAAGGTGAGTTTAACAGCACATTAGATATAGCAAAAATAGGGTCAGTGAACTGAAAGTTAAGTCAGTAAAAAAAAAAAAACATAAACTGAAGCATAAAGAGAAAAAAGATGAAAAGTATACAGATGAGCATAAGAGATATATGAGACAAAGTAAATATATTTCAAATATGAGTGTGTAAAGTCCTAGAAGCAAAGAATAATTGAATCAATAGCAGTAATATTTGATGAAACCCTCAGCAAAAATTGTCCAAAGCTTACAAGAGAGATCAAGTCACATGTTAAACAAGCACTTTGAATCCCAAGCAAATAATTACACAGAAATCTACCCTAAGTACCTCACAGTAAAACTATTCAAAACCAAGGACCAAAACCAAAAACAAAAAACAAAAACAACAACAACAAAAAACACTTAAAAGCAAAGAAAAAGACACAATCTCTTCAAATGAGAAAAAAAACTTTGGCCAGGCATGGTGGCTCATGCCTGTAATCCCAGCAATTTGGGAGGCTGAGGTGGGCAGATCACCTAAGGTCAGGAGTTCGAGACCAGCCTGGCCAATATGGTAAAATCCTGTCTCTACTAAAATTACAAAAATTAGCCACATGTGGTGGTGGCCACCTGTAATCCCAGCTACTTGGGAGGCTGAGGCAGGAGAATCGCTTGAACCCAGGAGGCAGAGGTTGCGGTGAGCCGAGATTGCACCACTGCACTCCAGTCTGGATGACAGAGTGAGATTGTCTCAAAAAGAAAATAAATTAAATAAATAAATAAATAAATAAAACTTTAAGCTGATATTTAAACAGAAATTATGGAAGTTAGAGAACAATAGAATAATATCTTTAAAAGAAAACAAATGACAATCTGCAATTCTATACCCAGTAAAAATATCCCATAGACAAAGGAAATAATTTTCAGACAAAAAAATGAAGGTAATTTTTTACCAGTAGATTCACATGAAAAGAAATACTTAAGGAGGTTCTCTAGCAGAAGGCAAATTATCCCAGATGAAAGCATGGTAATGAAGGAAAGAAAAGCATAGATTTTTTGAGTAAGACCTCAAAAGCAAAGGTAACAAAGCAAAAGTACACAGATAGGATTACATCAAGCCTAAAAGCTTCTGTGCAGCAAAGAAAACAATAAACAAAAAGTGAAGAGGCAACTCACAGAATGGGAGAAAATATTTGAAAATTATCCATGCAAGAAGGGACTAATAACCAGAATATTTAGGGGATTCAAACAACTCAATAGCAAAAACAAACAAACAAACAAACAAAATAACACAATTTAAAAATACACAGATGGGATTACATCAAGCCTAAAAGTTTCTGTGCAGCAAAGGAAACAACAAAAAGTAAAGAGAGACATCCCACAGAATGAGAGAAAGTATTTGAAAATGATCAATCCAACAAGGGACTAATAACCAGAATATTTAAGGCACTCAAACAACTTAATAGCAAAGAAACCAATGATCCTATTAAAAAATCAGCACAAGACCTGAATAGATATTTCTCTAAAGATACACAAATGGCCAACAGGTATATTAAAAAATTCTCAACATCACTAATCATCGGGGAAATGCAATCAAAAGTACAATGAGACATCATCTTATCCCATTTAGAATGGTTATTATAAAAAAAAAATAAATGTTGGCAAGGAGATGAGGAGAAAGGGGAATGCTCATACATTGTTGGTGGGAATGTAAAGTAGGACAGCCATTATGGAAAACAGTATAGAGGTTCCTCAAACAAGTAAAAATAGTAGTTTCCAACACAAAGGAAAAATAAATGTTTGAGGTGATGGATGTTCTTATTAACTTATTTTGATCATTACACATTGTATACATGTATCAAAATGTTATATGTATTCCCCAATAATACATGTATCCCCAAAATATGTACAACGGCTATATATCAATAAAAATGTTTTAAAAAACAACAAAAAAGAAAGCATAGAAAAGGATAAATAGGCAGAAAAAACTAAATGGTCAGTTTAAAATATTTAGAGTTTTAAATGTATGTATAATAAAAATACAGAGAGTAATGCCACAAAATGTCAGGAAGTGATAAATGGAATTAAAGTGTAGTAATATTATTGTATTATCTGAAAAGTGGAAAAGCACTAATTATTTATTTATTTATTTTTGAGACAGAGTCTCACTCTGTCACCTGGGCTGCAGTGCAGTGGCATGATCTGGGCTTGCATTGTCTGAAAAGTGGAAAAATACTATTTTTTTTTTTTATTTTGAGATGGAATATCACTCCATCACCCGTTCTGGAGTGCAGTGGTGTGCTCTTGGCTCACTGTAACCTCCACCTCCTGGGTTCAAGCAATTCTCCTTCCTCAGCCTCCAAAGTAGCTGGGATTATAGGCATGTACCACCACACCTGGCTATTTTTTTTTTTTTTTGTATTTTTAGTAGAGACAGGGTTTCACCACATTGGCCAGGCTAGTCTTGAACTCCTGACCTCAAAGGATCCATCTGCCTCAACCTCCCAAAGTGCTGGGATTACAGGCATGAGCCACCACGAAAAGTACTAATTTACATAGCCCCTACAAAGTCAAGGATATGAAGGTGACCACTGTAGTCTCTAGGGTAGCCACTAAAAGAAAATAAAAATATGGCTAGTAGCTAAAAGAGGAAATATAGAATAAAAATATTTTACCACTCAAAAGGAGGGCAAGAAAGGAGGAAAGAGGAAACAAATTAGAGATGAGATAAATACACAATAGTAAGAGAACAGGTTTAAATGTAAATGTAACGGTAATTACATTAAATGTAAACAGACCAAATACTCTAATTAAGTCTAAAGTTGCCAACGTGGATTAAAAATAAAAATAAAACTACATGCTGCTTACAAGAAACACAATAAAGGAACGGATGCAAAAAGGTTAAAAATAAAAGGATGGACAAATATATGCCATGCAGACACTAACAAAAGAAAGCTCATATAATTATACTAACAATAGAAAAAGTAAACATTAAGTTAATCAGCAGAAAAGGGATATTTCATAATGACAGAGTAATCATTCTAACAGGATGACATACCAATGGTGGGCTAAAGCCAACTTGGACTAGCTTGTTAGACCCAACGTGTTATCTCTTCCTATCTTCATGTTCTGTAATCTATTTGTAGCTTGAAATCAGCCATGGTACAAGTATTTACACTATAGAAATGGGCAAATGCTAACAAATTAGGGATTGTCTCTTTCTTTCCTCTTAGTGAGCTGGGTGTTAAACATTGGCCAGAACACTACAGGATATACCAACTGTGAATTTGAATGCAACTAATTACATGTGTAAGCAAGAAAAAGTGAGAAACAAAAGAAGAAACAGGCAAACCCACAGTCATGGTTGGAGATTTTAACACCCTTCTCTCATGTAATTGATAGGACAAGCAGACCAAAAAAAAAAAAAACTTGCCAATATAGACAAAAAAAAAAAAACACACACACAAAACTCTATATACCTACCTACTCTCTCTCTCTCTCTATCCCAATACAGATAATAACAGAGAATTAGTGACTTATCCAAGTACTGCAAACCAATAAATGGGAGAGTTGAAACTTGATTTATGTTTTCTGCCTCTAAGTCCAATATTCCTTTTGCTATGGTTTCATATTACAGAAAATGTCCATGATATTTACTTTGTAATAATCACTATAATTTTTTTTTTTTTTTTTTGAGATGGAGTTTCACTGTTTTCGTCCAGGCTGGAGTGCAATGGTGCAATCTCGCTCACTGCAACCTCCGCCTCCTGGGTTCAAGTGATTCTTCTGCCTCAGCCTCCTGAGTAGCTGGGATTACAGGCATGTGCCACCATGCCCGGATAATTTTTTGTATTTTTAATAGAGACGGGGTTTCTCCATGTTGGTCAGGCTGGTCTCGAAACCCCGATCTCAGGTGATCCACCCACCTCGGCCTCCCAAAGTGCTGGGATTACAGGCATGAGCCACCGTACCCAGCCAAACCACTGTAACTTTTACATTAGTACATAAAAATGGGGAGAAAAGCAAAACACTTTTCTTAATTGTATATATTATCTGTTGCACTTGATTTTTAGAAAGTCTTTATATTTAATAATTAATAATTATAATACATAAAAAATCTATATTTATACAACAAAATATGGGGACAGCATGGCTTTAAAGCAGATGAATAATTTTATTGAGAGATTTAGCATAAACTTCTTTGGTGATAATGATCATAGAACTATTAAATCTTTAATGATGATGATGATGATGGCAATAAAGAGCAGCGACTAATGTTTATGGTGATTACTTTGTGCCAGACACTGTTTTAAGCATTTCTCCATTTTCGAATCCACTCAACAACCAAATGAGGTAAGTATTTTTATTATCACTATTTTACAGCGAAGAAACTGAGACAATGAACCTACAATGATACACCCCAAATCACAGTGAATCCTCAGAGCACTCCTAACTACTATACTGCCTATGATTAAGTTGATTGAAATTTGCTTTAAATTCGATAATTCAGGAACACACTTAAAACATAAAGCAAGCATTTCTGTCCTCTATATGTTTCTTAAATGATCTCTAGAAAAATCATGTAAGTCCAAACTAAGTTATTATTACTTTTTGGAACAGAATGTATAGCGTGTAGACTGAAACTAGATTATAGGATATGATTTCTTTAGTTTACACTCAAACTTTGTGCTCCTTTTAAAAACATTTTTATCTTCTTCAAATGAAAACACAGACATCTTTGCCAAGTCCCTATTTTTAAAAGTTGGGGTAAAATATGCATAACATAAAATTGACTGTTTTAATCATTTTAACGTGTATTATTCAGTAGCAATAAGTACATTAACATTGTTATGCAACCATCTTCATTATCTATCTCCAAAACGTTGTCATTCCAAACAGAAACTCTGCACTCATTAAAAAAAGGATAGTTCTCACCTCATTCCCACCTCCTCTGGCCTCTGGTAACCTCTATTCTACTTTTTGTCTGTATGAATTTGTCTATTCTTGGTACCTCATATAAGTGGAATCACACACTATTTGTCCTTTTGTGTCTGGCTTATTTCACTTAGCATAATATTTTCAAGGTTCATCCATGTTGTAACATATAACAGAATTTCATTCCTTTCGAAGCCCGAATAACATTCTATTGTATGTATATACCACATTTTGTTTATCTATTCATCTGTTTATCAACATTTCGGTTGTTTATCCATTTTGGCTATTGTAATAATGCTTCCCATAAACATTGATATACATATATTTATTTGAATCCCTGTTTTCAATTTTTTTGGGTATATACCTAGATGTAGGAGAAGTGCTGGATGATATGGTAATTCTACATTCAGCTTTATATATATATATATAAAGCTATATATGCATATACATAGTTATATACGTGTACATAGATACACACACACACAACTTTTTAAAAAGTTATTTACTTTTTTAAGTAACCACCAAACTATTCAGTGCAACGGTTGTACCATTTTGTATCCCCACCAGCTATGCATAAGGCTTTCAATTTTCCACATCTTTGAGAACACTTGTTATTTTCCTTTTATTTTTAAAATAGCCATCCTAATGGGTGTAAAGTTCTGGGGTGTTTTCCAAAACTAACAACCAGTTCTCCAATTCTTCAGACACCAATTTGGATGTCCAACAATTCAAGTCAATTCTGACACTGCCTGAAATTGCATCACATTCCACAGATAAATGGGTTCAGTACCCACTTCAGATGCCAATTGCAAGTCCCAGGCCATCGGTAATTCTGACCAACCAACTACAAATGGTAGGTTCCCATGACGCCCCTCCTCATGTTCAACAGTTTGCTAGAATGGCTTACAGAACTCAGGGAAACACTTTACTTATGTTTACTAGTTTATTATAACTTAGGAACAGCCCGCTGGAAGAGATGCACAGGGCAGAGCATGGGGAGTGTAGTGCAGAACTTCCATGCCCTACTGGGCGTTATCACCTTCCCAGCAAGTTAATGTGTTCACCAAACAGAAAACTCTCTAAATCTCACTGTTCAAGAGTTTTTACAGAGCTCCATCTCCAGGGCCTGCCCTCCCCTCTTCCCAGGGGTCAGTAGGTGGGACTGAAAGTCTCAACCCTCTAATTACTTGGTCTTTCTGGGGACCAGCTCCATCCTGAGGCTCTTTAGGGGCCCCACTCTAAAAAACCTTATGAACATAAACTCAGGTGTGATTGAAAAGGGTTCATTATAAATAACAAAAGACACTCCTTTCACTTAGAAAATTCCAAGAGTCTTAGGAGCCCTGTGCCAGGAACCAGAGATAAAGACCAATATATTTTTGCATTATACCACAAAATTGGTACCTCCTGGTGGTTTTGATTTGCATTTACCCAACGACTATTGATTTGGGGCATTTTCTCTTTTTTTTTTTTTTTTTGAGACAGGGTCTCACTCTGTCACCCAGGCTAGAATGCAGTGGTGTGATCATGGCTCACCATAACTTCAACTTCTTGGGCTCAAGCGATGCTCCTGCTTCAGCCTCCTAAATAGCCAGGACTACACATGTGTGCCACCATGCCTGGCTAATTTTTAGAAAATTTTTGTAGAGATCGTGTCTCACTACGTTTCCCAGGCTAGTCTTGAACTCCTGGACTCAAGCAATCCTCCCACGTCAGCCTCCCAAAGTGTTGGGATTACAGGCATGAACCACTGTGCCCAGCCAGCATCTTTTTATTCATTGGCCATTTCTATATCTTTGGAGAAATGTTTATTCAAGTCCTTTGCCCATTCTTTAAACCGGGTTGCCAGTTCTTCTATTGTTGAGTCACTGGAGTTCTTTATATATTCTGGATATTAATCCCTTATCAGATATATGATTTGCAAATATTTTATCATATTCCTTGGGCTGCTTCTTCATTTTCTTGATGTGTTCTTTGATGCACAGAGAATTTTTAATATTGAGAGAGTCCAATTTGTCTATTTTTTTCTCTTGTTGACTGTGCTTTCGTTGTCATTCCAAGAAATCATTGCCAAATCCAGTGTCATGAAGGATTTTCTGTGTTCTTCTAAGAGTTTTATAGTTTTAGCTCTTTTGTTTAGATATTTGCTCCCATTTTGAGTTACTTTTTGTATGTAATATAAGGTAAGGGTTCACCATCATTCTTTTGCATGTGGATATCCAGTTTTCCCAGAACCATTTGTTGAAAAGACTGTCCTTTCTCCATTGAATGGCATTGGCGCACTTGTTGAAAGTCATTTGATGATATATGTAAGAGTTTATTTTTGTCATGGAAATAGGTCCTATAATCCTTTTGCAGGTATATAAAAGATACTTCTTAACAATATAAATATACATAACACAGAAAGGCTATGCCAGAGGGGCTATCATAAATAATAAAAGCATATTGTAACAAAAGAAGAAAAACAAATACCACCCAAAATTATTTAAAGCACATTTTTATTATAGATAGGTTAAGTGTGGTTTGCTGTGGCTAAAGATATATTTATAATGGATGAACAAGCTTTTCTAGATACCAAGAGGTATAATATTTTTCTTTCAGTATTGAACTAATATTTCTCTGATAACAAGGAGACATTGAACTGGCTGAGCCTATTTTAAATGGGAAAAGACTTTTTTTTTTCTGGATGTTGCTTTAAAGACTGGTAAATTAAAAATTTTAAAGTACTAACACTAAATTTAAGTACAGTGAAAGAAAATCAATGAATACTACAAAACATATAATTTCTACAAAGCAGAAATATAAAGGTTTTATAATTTAAAACAGCAGCAATTTCAAAAAATTTGCTGAATTAAAACTTTACAAAATATATATACACTAAGTATCATTCCAGATGATCATGAACTTTAAAAACAGTATGGCACAACCCCCAATCTGTACCCCAAACCTACTACTAGATGTAGCTGGCCTATAATAATTTTTACAACAATTTAAAAAATAAAACAAAAACAAAGAAATCTAATTCTTTTGCGTACAAGCACAGGTTACAATGTGCTGGCTTTGATTCCAAATACACAAAGAGAATTTTAAAATAAAACAAGGACTTCACATAAATAGTTTCACGTGTTATTAAGTGTGTGACCAAACAAATTAAAATAAGTACTAACAACCAAAACATATCTTGATGTAACCAGTACATACACTTTTAAAGAATGACAAAGATGAAAAAGGAAATAGTCTATGAAAGCCATAAGCACCTTGTTTTCGAAAGAGCACCAAGCAACACAAAGAGGCAACACGTAAGAGGTAGTGTATCACCGGCTAAGATGTATATGCCCATCGGGGACCTGAATACAGCTTAGTGTTTTGGAAAATAAGACATATTAGACTGTGGCTTGTAATTTTTAGACAGAAGCAGTGCACATCTGGAAGCATTAGCCAGTATTGCTCCATAGTGCTCTGCATCTCCAGCTGTCTAATGGGTACTACGCACTCAGTCAAAAATATAAGATACCCTGAAGAATTCCATATTTATAAATTTTTAGTTCTAGGGAATTCTCTAAGAAAGCTGAGATGAATATAATTTTTAAAAGAATTAAATACTTTATCAATCATAGTCCTTTAAAAATGCCTTTTCTCCTTCTTAGGAGGAAGTCTGTTCTTCCTGAGATTCTTTAAGATTTAGCCAATGCTTTATTACATGCATTTCATAATGACTGTATCTGTCTGTCTTATTTCTCCCTCTGCAGCAATTACCTGGCCAACAGCCTGAATTCGGAACTAATTCAGAGACTTTACAGAAAGCATACAGAACTGCTGTCAATGTAATACTTTCGTTCAGTTTTGAGATGAGGAAGTTTTTGTACTTCAATCACTGGAAGTTGATTAGGTTCCTGGGTGTGAAAAAGAAATGTTGCCTTATGCCAGCTGCCATCTTGAATCTGTAAAATAAGAACAAAATGCTTTCATACGCATTTCATTAGCAGTCACTTTCAGTAGACAATGCCTTTCACAGATAATGTGAACTTGTTTTAAGGATTAGAGATAACGAATAGAAAGTGCCTAGAACAATGCTCAATAAATGGTAAAATTACTATTATTAGTTGAAAACCTGGACTTATTCCTTTCTCTAGAATGGCACTGTCTGTTCTAATTTTTCACTTCCAGAGGCTAAGGCCAGGCTTCTGCTTCAACTGTCTGTGAATTATTGGACCAGATATGAATTAAAAGGCTGCAATACTCCTAATATGAGTAATAACCATCTGTTCTGTATTCCTTTATTTGGGACTGATACCTCAGGATGGATATTTTTCTTTGATAAAAGGGAACGAGCTATTTCAACCTCTGTATTTTAGGTAGAAAATAAACAGAATCACCTCAGTCAGAAATAGTTAAAATTATAATTATGTGCAATCATCTTTTAGGTCTCTTCCCCCCCGCCCCATTCTGTAGCTCTCTATTTATACAGTTTCCCTCTTTCTTCTCTTTTGTGTCTAATAAACTCTGTGGAACAAAAACATATCATAAGATATCCTGTGATTAAGATTCAACCAGACACAATAGAGAAAAACAATTGATGAGTTTTGTGGAGCTGTTATTTAGGAGCTAATTCACTTATTCACAGAATTATCATGATATAAATTTTAAATTTTGAAGGAACTTTAGAGATTATTTAAGCTATAAATTTTATTTTAAAGTTAAGGCAATTGAAGCTCATTGAAAATAAGTTACTTGTCTAAAGTCATAAGCTTGGTATGATAACAAGACCTAAAATTCTGTGTGTGAGGCACTGTTAGATTCATTCATTAAGTCTTTTAAGCAATATTTATTGAATACTAAGTATATTTAGCATAGTTGAATAAGATGTAACACTTAGTGTTCTTATAGTGCTTGTGAAATACACGATGAATACAATAGTTCTGGCTTCTAAATGCTAGTGGCTTATAAATCTAATTGAAGAGAGTAAAAACATAAACAAATAACCACAACAAAAGACCATCTATAGAAAGTACAATGTAAAAAATGTAGATAGTTAGTAAATTCCACATTTCTAACTAGAGTACTCAGGGAAAGCTTCATGAAAAAATTTGGAATATAGATGGGCTTTAAAGTATGCCTAAAATTTCCACTTGATTAGTGAGGTACAGAAAGGCATTTCAGAGAAAATGAATGGCTTAAGCTGAACACCCATACATATACACACACACAACAACCACCACAAAAAACTAAAAAACAGAAGGGCAAGTAGAAAGTGGCTGTGAAAATTAGCTTAGCATGGCGTTTAAATTCACGGATTTGACCTGGGACAGATTTTGATAGAAATTCTGGTACTCTCACTTTCCCCACATATAAAATGGGAATAATAAACACCTACCTCACAGGCTTGCGAGGATTAAATGAAGTTTCAATCAAAAGTCACTAGCAGTACAGTAAGGCCTGGGCTTTGGAGTTCTCCATGCCTGGGATTGATTTCTTTTCTTTTCTTTTTTTTTTTTTTGAGACGGAGTCTCACTCGGTCGCCCAGCTGGAGTGCAGTGGTGCAATCTAGGCTCACTGCAAGCTCCGCCTCCCAGGTTCACGCCATTCTCCTGCCTCAGCCTCCTGAGTAGCTGGGACTACAGGTGTCTGCCACCACGCCCGGCTAATTTTTTGTATTTTTAGTAGAGACGGGGTTTCACCGTGTTAGCCAGGATGGTCTCGATCTCCTGATCTTGTTATCTGCCTGCCTTGGCCTCCCAAAGTGCTGGGATTACAGGCATGAGCCACTGTGCCCAGCCATGCCTGGGATTGATTTCTTGTTCCTCCTCTAATTAGCTGTATGACTGCGATTATCTAATTAGCTGCATTACTTTAATTTTTATTTATTTTTTACTTTAATTTTTATTTTACTTATGCTAATTTTACTTACTTGCGAATTTATTTTTAATTATGCTAATTGGCTGCCTTACTTTGCTCAAAATAACCTTGAGCAAGTTCTCTGTGCCTTTACTTTCATACCTATAAAATAGGACCAATAATATATTCTTTACAAAGCTGTTATTATGAATAAAATAATTAATGTAATGCATGGTCACTTAACATATAATAAAACTCCCAATAAATAGTAGTAGGAGCTGTTGATATTATTATCCCTATTATTATTGTAACAGATGAGTTTGACCATAGTTTACAACAGACAGCCAGTGAAAGCCCAATCTAGAAAAGCAGGCTGGGGTCTGGTTGTTGTAAGCACTCAATGGAGTTGATAAGTTTGAATTGTGTCTCAGAGGTACTAGTGAGTCACTGAATGTTTCTGGGCCCAACTGTACAAGTTAAATAAATTTGTTGATGATACTCATCTCTTCAAATATAGATAATAAAATATATATACTTCTATTTGCTTATGATTTTTCAAGCACTATTTTCCTGGAAATAAAATGTTATGAAAAAGTAGAGTAACTTGGAAATGTTGAGATACTAAATCATGGGTTTCATAGTACACAAAGATAGGAAATGAAGCTACTTAAAATAATTAATGATACATATATAAAGTGTACAACTCCATTCTCTAAAAGAGGGGTCGGCAAACTCTTCTCTAAAGGGCCAGATAGTAAGTATTTTACATTTTGTGGGCCCTGCAGTCTCTGTCATACTTACTCAACTCTGCCATTGTAGTGCCATAACAGCCATAGATAATAAGTAAATGAATTAAGGATGGCTGTGTTCCAATAAAAATTTATTCACAAAAACATGGAGTGGGCCCGATTTGGTCTGTTGAACATAGTTTGCCAACACCTGCTCTAAGAAATAGTGTTTTAAAATTATAGATTTTTCATAGTAACTGTCATTTAATTTTTTTTTTTTTTTGAGATAGAGTTTTGCTCTGTTGCCCAGGCTGGAGTGCAGTGGCACAATCTTGGCTCACTGCAGCCTCTGCCTCCCAGGTTCAAGCAATTCTTGTGGCTCAGCCTCCTGAGTAGCTGGGATTATTGGCGTGTGCCACCATGCCTGGCTAATTTTTGTATTTTTAGTAGAGACGGAGTTTCTCCATGTTGGCCAGGCTGGTCTCAAACTCCTGGCCTCAAGTGAACCACCCGCCTCAGCCTCCCAAAGTGCTGGGATTACAGATGTGCCCCCACAGTGCCTAGCCCCATTATTTAATTTAATTTAATTTAATTTTTTTTTTTTTTGAGACAGAGTCTTACTCTGCTGCCCAGGCTGGAATGCAGTGGTGCGATCTTGGCTCACTGCAACCTCCGCTTCCTGGGTTCAAGTGATTCTCCTGCCTCAGTCTCCCAGGTAGCTGGGATCACAGGTACCTGCCACCATGCCTGGCTAATTTTTGGATTTTTAATAGAGACGGGGTTTCACCATGTTGGCCAGGCTGGTCTTGAATTCTTGACTTCAAGTGATCTGACTGCCTCGGCCTCCCAAAGTGCTGGGATTACAGGCATGAGCCACCATGCCTGGCCCCACTATTTAATTTTAATGGAAAAAAAATAGGCCAGAATTCAAATACTTACTGGTGGGGCCAGTCAATATGTAATTATACCCATATTTGGTATCAGGTACAGGGATTGACAGAATGAAATAAAACTCACTTGCCTCTATAACTTGCCTTTTATGCAATAATGAGATGTAGAATTACAGCAGTGAAAACACATGAAAATATTTATCCAAATACACTATCTATTTATCATTTATCTATCTGTCTATCTATCCATCCATCCATCCTGGTATAATTATTTCATATAGGGAATAAAAATTAAATTTACATCTTAACACCTGTTTTGCATGCAAAAATCTAAGACCAATTGGTATGACACAAGTTGATAAGGTATTATATAAACAAATGATTGATTCTAGAAAATGCAGTTACAAGTCAGGCACATTAAAACTTACTACCCTTCTGTATCTGCAGTTTGTAATTAAAGTCTTACTCTAATTATCCTAATTTTATGGTTTTATCAATTTTAAGTTAGTTATATTGAACAATTCTAAAAGTGCCATTTCCTTACCTTGCAGTCATCTGAAAGCACTTTAGGTTCAAGTAGAGTGTTTACTTTAAAAATCTGGCCATTCCATCCCTTGAAACCAATAGGCAATCCTGGGCCACTTGTTTGTGTGCTTGTCCACCTTGGGGTGTTTAGACAGTGAATGGTGATGATATGGGTGGCTTCCGAACTCAGTAAATGAAGGAAGTTCATCTGGACTTTCCCAACTCCAAACTCCAACTAATGTCATAGAAATGATATGCAGGTTATAACATGGCAATTGAGAAACTTAACAGTTCAGGAAAACCTGAGGAAAAGTCCTTCAAAGGCAGCCTCCAGAAAGCTCCTTTCCTTGGAACTGAAGTGCCAGTCAGTGGTGTGCTGGTAAATGTTTAACCACTGCTTCTTGGAGGAAAAACCATGATTTATAGTATTTCCTGACTCCTGTGGTAGAAGCACTCCCAAAGTGCTGGGATTACAGGCATGGCTGAATTCAGACTACCAAGGTGAGGTCACTGAACACGGCAATGGGAAGAAATGTTAACAAGTGGCTTTCCTGAGCCTATATGAATTGGCTCCAGCATACCATCAGGCTACTACATATAATATCAATAAAATAAAGATAATTTTCACAGTATATAAAGTAACAATTTGCTTTTGGTTAATGCTTTAATACTTTTTTTAATAAAAATCTGAGATTCTGTCTCTGCCTTCGAGATTTTTTTTGTGAGAGTTTCCAAAGATGAGTTACAAGCTGTAACAATAATTTGGTTGAGTAATTTTAACTTTGAGAGCCTTAACGGACTAGGACAGAATCCTATTCTTTGTGTTACCAGCCCTTAATGTAGTTTCATTCACACAGTGAATCGTCAATAAATATTTATTGAATGAATGAATGAATGCATAAACAAGTATTAACTAATATATATATTAGTTAATATATAGGACAATATCAGACTTAAGAAGACTGACTGCACGTTTCCCAGGCTTGAACAGGAAGGCAGATTTTCCTATAGCTCTAGACATGATTATTATTATTTTAGCATTATTCAAGCAGGGATATGGTCATAATGTAAGTGAACAGAAATAGTTCCTACTGAGGAATTTGTACTGATTTCCAAGCATAAAGTTAGAAAAATATCAGTTATGAGGTAATGTAGAAGAAAAACAATAACAACAAAAAGAAAAACAGAAAGAAAAAACAAAATGAGAGGAAAGGCAAAAGAAGGGCATACACATGGAAAGATAATAAGGAACATTAGAATTTAAGTAATTCAATTCCTTCATTTTACAGATTAGAGTCAGAAACTTGCAAACAATATTTAAGCTTTCTGAGCCTTAATTTCCTTGTCAGTAAATTCGGGTATAACACTAATCTGGCATGGTTGTTATGAGGATTAAAAATGACAAATGTAATTTACCTAGCATTGTTCCTGGCACAGAGCAGGCCCTCTGGTGGATCACAGTTTTATTCCCTAGGTTCATAGAATAGAGACTAGAACCCCAGTCCCTGATTCCAAGTCTACTGTTCATCCCAGTACTTCTCTGGTCTTCCTTGGGTTGAGTTTATGAATCAAAGAAATTAGAGAAGTGATTTGGTCATGGAAACAACTAGAGTCCGCTTCCCCACTGCTCCTATTTCCTCTGCACAGTTCACACAGCCCCATCTTCTTTCCTTCTATGATAATCCTATGCCAACTTCCACTGGAATGAGGATGATGATGTGGATATTTTGGAAGTAGGACTATCATGCTGCTCTTTATTAGAGGTTCATGATTCCCTAGGAATGGAAGGATCCTTCCCTCTTCTATTTCAGGGGTAATAATGGTGAATGCCTATTAAGATAAATTGATGGAATGCCCTGGTTAATGAAGAGAGGTGTTTTAGGAGGAGAGGGCGGTTCAATAAGAAGCAGCTAAAGAGATTGAATTTTATCTGCTGTCTTTTTATGATGAACAAAACACACAATAGGCACATGTATCAGTTCTTTGTCAATGAGAAATTCTTGATCATATATCAAGCTGGTTTAATCAGAAAAAGAAAGAAACATAGTTTTGGTTTCAATATATGTTATAGGTACAGCTAGGATTTAGGTTTTATAAATATTTGTTATAACTCCCAGTGTTATAATATATGTTAGTTTAACAAACTAACATGCATTCGTTCTAAACGTTTGATTTATAGAATTATTCATGAAAGAAGTTTTTAGTAGTATTCTGTGGATGTTTAAGAAAGGTTATTATGTGCCCAATAACCATAAATAGCAAGATTTTGTGGCAAATTCTTTTTTAATGATTATAATATAATTTTCAGCAAAACTTCAGGTAACTGATTACTGGTTACAAACACTAGCTGTTTAAGAAATTTCTAATGTGTGTGTATGCATAAAAACATAGCATATGTTGCACAATTTTAAAAGGAATTTAAAAAACATGATCAGTAGGGTAAGGCAAACTAAGCCAAATAATAAAAAGACACAATCAAAATGTCAAGATTTACTGTGATTAACTAGTTTTAAAAAATAACATATTTATTTCTCATACACAATAGAGAATAATCTTTGCTTTCATTCTTAAAATTCATAATTATTTAAAATGATAGAATTTTAAACATAATTTTTCACTGATACTGTGCAATATAACGACATGTGTTCTAAAATTCAGTAACATACCTTTGTTACAGAAACAGGAGGTAAGCATGTCTGGCCACCAGCACTGAAATTGCAGAAAACCTCAATGGCATCTGAAGGACAGCCAAGATTTGGGTCAATCCAGTATTTTCCTAATAATTTATAGTAAAACATAAAGTTAAAGTTATTAAATGCCATAATCCTTATAATTTCTTTTTTTTTTTTGAGAGAGAGAGTCTCATTCTGTTAGCCCAGGCTGGAGTGCAGCGGTGCGATCTTGGCTCACTGTAACCTCCGCTTCCTGGGTTCAAGTGATTCTCATGCCTCAACCTCCTGAGTAGCTGGGATTACAGGAATGGGCCACCACACCCGGCTAATTTTTGTATTTTCAGTAGAGATGGGATTTCACCATGTTGGTCAGGCTGGCCTTGAACTCCTGACCTCAAGTGATCTGCCCACCTCCACCTCCCAAAGTGTTGGGATTACAGGCGTGAGCCACTGTGCCCGGCCACATCCTTATAAATGGTCATGGTACTTTAAATACATATTATCACAGTTTCACCTGTTAAAAACTTAGAAGATTATATATTTACATTTAGTGAATGAATGAATGCTGCATTATGTAAAATTGATACTAAAAATGCTGTATTTTTCACATAACTATCAATTTCAGAGTGTTTCATAATTTTAATCAATTATGATTAAATTATGATAAAATGATAGAATAGCTGAATTGATTGCTTCATTCTACAGATAAGAAGATGTGCTCAGCAACTAAAAGTGAATTGTTTAGTTACATAGTTAACAAAAAAGTTGAACTTAATGAAGTATATGTGTATATTTCTGTTATACATCATTACAGTGTTTCAAACGAACATTTTGTTTTATAATAGAAACAACTTCCATCTCTTGAAGGAAAAATATATCTTTATGTATAATACTGATAAGTAAAATAAAAATATGAGAACATTTTTGTTTTCACAAAAAAATCATACAATTAAATGTTTATCATTTTTGTACTCTTTCAGATTTTCCCACTATCACTCAGTGGGAAAAACTGAGGTCCCTATAGCTAGTGAAATTCTACCAGTCTTTGCTCCACTGAGTGCCCAAGAGAATAAAACTGGGCCTAAACTCAGACTACAGAAAATACTTAGACTGAAAAGCAATGGCCTAGCATCTTAATTCCAGACTAATAGACTGAGAGTATTAAAATAGCATCTTATTCCAAATACAAAGGACAGGAATTTTTGAATAAGGCAGCCCTGTTTTCCTGCATTAAAAACGCAAGAACATTCAATGGTTTTTGTTAAATGTCATTTTTTCTACAGTAGGCAGAAGTCCTTGTTCATTCCACTTTTATTCCATAGCAAAGATTCCTCTAGCTCATCCTGAGTTTCCTCTAGCTTCTAAAACATCCTCAAATATTCTCCTCTCTACTATTCTACTAATCCCTCTAAATGCTTACTTGCTTAATTGGTAGCTCAAAGGGTAGAAATGGTCCTCAGCTGCAGCAGTGTTCAAACTTTAGTGTGCATCAAACCATCACTAAAACACACATAGCTGGGCCCTACCCTTGAGAGTTGCTGATTTATTAAGTCTGGGGTGGGGCTTAAGAATCTGCATTTCTAACAGTATCTAATTCTGGTCCAGGGATCACATTTGGAGAACCACTGATATATTGAAATACAGAAGAAAGGGGTGAAGGAGGTCAACCATTCCTAGTCCCTTATCTTCAGAATTTTGAATATTTCATAAAGTTTTTAGAAAGTACAGCTGAATTTTTCATCAGAATCTGATGAGGGCTTCCAGTCTTACCTAATGGAGTAAACATATATCTTCTTTCACCTTCTCTTGTCTTCCAAGAAATACTATCCTACTACTATATGAGCTAATAATAAAAAATTCTTTATAAAAGGTTTTCCATCAAGCAAATTTTATTTTTATATGGGGTGAAATGCTTTGAATTCAGGTGTTATATTCTATTTGGGTAGGGGCTCCATAATTTCTTTCAAGGTATGCCAAGCTAGAGATGAAGTCCTATACCATGACATATCTTTTGTGAGCCTAAATGTTCTGACTCAAAACTAGCTCTTCCCTGAGGACACTGCTTCTCTTGTAGCCTCTACAGTGTTGTGCCCGAAGGTGGCAAGGCATCTTTCTTGCTCTTTGTTGCTACTTACAGACCATTCTTTGCATTTTCTCCCTGAAAACACTCCATATTGAAATTACTATAATCACATTATATCATTCATTAGTTCCTCCTGGTGTAATCATTTACTATTTTTCTATGACAATTTTAGCTTTTTATCACTTTCAGAAAATCTACTTATGACCTAATTCTTGGTGATTTTAAAGCCACATAGATGATGCTTTCAACATGTTGGTCTTCAGTTCCTTGAATTGTATCCTCCCCAACCCTCTTACTTTTCCACCAATGATCTTGTACCCTCCCCCTACCCTCGTACCTTACTTTAACCATTAACTTCCAAGGCCATATCCTAGCTTTTGTTATTACCAACAACTGCATCTCCTCCATAATTTCATTTCTCTTCTCTTTCCAGTTCACTCCCTCTAGTGTCCTAACTCCAATAATTCTTCACTTTCATCGGGACCTACTATCACTTTTTCATTGCCCCTAATGATCATATGTTCACTTCCCTTCTTACCCAGCTTAAAAATCCACAGTCCTTTACTATAGTAATGTCCTTATAAACTTCCTTACACCCTTGCCCTGCCTCATTTCACTCTACTTGTCTTATAAATCCCCAATCCTACGTAAGTTTCTCCCTAACCTGTGCCTATACCTGCACAGAAAAAAGTGGTAGGAGAAAAACACAACTGTTGTGATGGGCATCCTTCAAATTCAAATGTGTCTGTAAAGCTGCTAGACAGTAATATGGTGTTTCCAGAGTTTATTCCCTCTATCACTAAGATAGTTAACTATCTTACACCTATTCATTCGCTCTTATCCTCAACTGATAAGCTTCCAATTTCAATGAGACAACTGAAGGAATCTGAAGAAAATTTATGTAACTTATATAAACTCCCACTATCATATCTACCCACATGTCTGTGCTTGTACACATATATTCTACCTTCTCTCTCTTTTTGAAATAGGAATTTCTCTCTTGCTCTGTTGCCCAGGCTGGAGTGCAGTGGCATGATCTTGGCTCACTGCAACCTCCACCCCCTGCAGGCTCAGGAGATCCTCCCACCTTAGCCTCCTGGGTAGCTGGGACCACAGGCACATTCCACCATGGCTGGCCAATTTTTCTATTTTTAGTAGAGATGAAGTTTCACCACGTTGGCCTGGCTGTTCTCAAACTGATCCGAAAAAAATGTTGGCCTGAAGTGATCTGTCCACCTCGGTCTCCCAAAGTGCTGGGATTACAGGCATGAGCCATTGCACCTGGCCTGCCTTCTCTCTTATTATAGTGAATAAACTGTGTTCCTATAGAAGAATTATCCTAAGGCCGGGCACGGTGGCTCACGCCTGTAATCCCAGCACTTTGGGAGGCCGAGGCGGGCAGATCACGAGGTCAGCAGTTTGAGACCAGCCTGGCCAAGACGGTGAAACCCTGTCTCTTCTAAAAATACAAAAAAAAAAAAAAAATTAGCTGGGCATCGTGGCTGGCGCCTATAATCCCAGCTACTTGGGAGGCTGAGGCTGGAGAATCGCTTGAACCTGGAAGGCGGAGGTTGCAGTGAGCCGAGATCGAGCCACTGCACTCCAGCCTAGGCACAGGGGTGAAACTCTGCCTCAAAAAAAAAAAAAAGAAAAGAAAAGAAAAGGAAAGAAAGAAAGAAGACTTATCTTGTTCATTATACTTGCAGATTTAAATTCTACTTCTTTTCTCTCTTTTGAGTCTGCTTTCGTTGTCTGCTGTTTCTACTAGTTCTCATTCATGGTGTTGTGTCAACTTGTGTGTTTGGTTGTTGATTGTGTGCTGGGCACTGCATTTTTGAAATTATTTGTGGAAATAGTTTGAGTTCTAGGAAAATGTTATCTTTTATAGAAGATTTTTGTTTGTTTCTGACAGTATGTGGGAGTTCCAGCAGTTTGGAACCATTTTAATACAAGTTCAAAGTTTGGGATTTTCTGAGCTATCCAGATGATGTGAAGCAAAGCTACAGTCTGTATGAATGTTCGTTTTCTTCCAGTTTATCTTTACTACTAGAATGCAGGCCTTTGAAAGTCTAAGTCCTCACCTTTGGTGGGCCACAGATTCTAACTTTTGACCCCTACCTCCTGAAGCCACCAAGCTTCTCAACATACTGGGGGCAAAAGTAGCTCCAAATGTTGGGTTCACTTTCTGCTGTCTCCTTTAAAGTCTCAGCTTGAAAGTTCATTGCTGTTTGTTATTTATTTTATGCTTTTAACTTAAAAAATTAATTTAGCCAGGTAATATGAATTATGTGCTTCGTTACTGGGAATGAAAAGTTCCTAGCATTATCCTTTTCTCTTAAAATCTGATAAGGTTTTAACTACTACCATTCCTCTAAACTGCTCTTGATGAAGGTCCTTAATGATGTCTGCATTGCTAAATTCAGTAGTCTTCCTCAGTTTTTGCTTTACTTAACGTGGACCCAGTTAATCCCTTCCCTCCCTCCTCCTCTGGCAAACATTTTCTTTGCTTGATTTTCAGGACACCACATCCAGTTTGCCTCTTATCTCAGTGATAGCTGCTTCTTAGTTTTGTTTGCTAGTTCGCCCTCACCTTCCTGATCTTTAAACATTAGAGAACCCTAGGATCCAGTTTTTAGACCTCATTTCTTTTTTCTTTTTTTTTCTTTTGAGACAGAGTCTCACTCTGTGGCCAGGCTGGAGTGTGGCGGTGTGATCTCAGCTCACTGCAATCTCGGCCTCCTGGGTCAAGTGATTCTCCTGCCTCAGCCTCCTGAGTAGCTGGGACTACAGGTGCGTGCCACCACACCCGGCTAATTTTTCTGTATTTTTAGTAGAGATGGGGTTTCACCATGTTAGCCAGGATGGTCTCAATCTCTTCACCTCATGATCTGCCCACCTCTGCCTCCCAAAGTGCTGGGATTACAGGCATGAGCCACTGTGCCCGTCCTAGACCTCATTTCTTCCTTTACTTACTATCTATGTAGTCTTAAGCAGTCTTAAGGCATTAAACACCAATTAAATGTAAATGATTTCATAATTTTTACCCTTACTTAGGATCTCCTTCTTGACCTTGAACTTGAGTAGTCAACTACCTACTTGACATTCTTACTTGAATGTCTAAGAGACATCTCAAAGTAAATATATCCAAAATTTTACTCCTGATCTTATCTCCAAAATTGCATCTCCTGTTAACAACATCCCACCCTTTTACAGAAAAAAAAAAAAAACCCTGAGAGTCATCCTTTACCATTCTAGTTCTCTCATAACCCACATCCAATCTATCAACAAAAACTGCTGGCTCTACCTTAACCCATTTATTCCTGAGGTTGTAATTTTTTTGAATTTTTGCAATCAGACCTTGGTGATGACCTTAAGAAGTAGGATATAAATGACTCCCACATGCTTAGTGTTCCAATAATGGAACGCTAAGCATAAAGCATATTCAAGAATCTAACCACTTTTTACCACTTCCCCTGCAACCAACTCTAGTCCAACCAACCATCATCTCTCCTGGATTATGTCAATATCCTTCTCAGTGGTTTCCCTACCTCTACCCCTGTCTTCCTGATTGTATTTGCAACATATTAGCTAGAGTAATATTTTAAAAATCTGAGCCAAATTATGTCACTTCTTCGCTCAGCAATTTCCAATGGCTTCCCATCTTATCAAGAGTACAAGCTAGAGACTTCTGAGTAGTCTAGAGGGTCTTGTATAATTTGACTTTTTGATATCTTTCTAATTTAATTTCCTATCATTCTCCCCTATATGCACTCTCTTCCATTCATACTGGCTTTCTTGCTAATTCTAAAACTTGCTAGGTATACTCAAAGACTCAGGGCTTTTGCATTTATTCTTTGTGCCTGGAAAGCTCTTTCTCTAGATTTCTTGTGGCTTGCTCTCTTACCTCCTTCTGATATCACCCAAGTGTCACATTCTCATAGATGCCTTATCTGATCATTCTATTTAAAAATTGTATCTTGTGCTCCACTTCCTATCAAATCTCCCTACCCTGCTGTTTTGTTTTTCCTTATAGCACTTATGATATCCTAGTGATGAAAGTATTTGGGGGGCGTAAAGATTTTTTGAACACTGCACAATCCACACCATTTAGCTATTTCTCTTATAAGGAAGGTAGACTTTGAATTACATTTCATACTAATTTTGTATGTCTTACAAGATCTTTGTTCCTTTCAATTCTACAGAATTACACTTTAATGCCCTCAAATATGGGAAAAAATCAAGCTGAGAATTATTATAGGCAACTACAATTTTAGTATTATTTTAGTTTTTATATTAATCTAGGGCAGAAAAATATCTTTAGAAGTTAAGTGTTTGATTAATGTAAACAAAATGAATGTTTTCATTGAAGTTCTAGAACGGAAGCAGATGTTTTGGACATGTGTGTATGTGCGTGTTTGTGTGTGTGTGAGTGCATGTATGTGAGATGTGTATGTACAAACAAAATTAAAATGACCACAGAATAACATAACATAGCTTTTTCAAATCAGCATTTTTCACATCAGCACTTTTCAAATCATACATTTTTTTTTCAAACATGTCATTGTGTTAAAACTAGAGTTTGTAGCAGACAAGGTTTCCCCTGTTTAACTGATGACTTACTCCTCTTGATTTAAAACCTTTCCTTGGTTGTTCTAATCTAAATTCATTTTTGCACCTCTGGCTAATGAAATCGGGGCATCTGTGTTGAGATTAGACACTTCCAAGAATGACAAACCGCTCCCATCTTCATGGTCATCAATTCTAGAAGGCGACATTTAAATTCCATTTTGTATTAAAAAAAACCCAGACTTTTAGGGAGTATGGTGAAGGAGATGCTATAATATATTTATTTATGTTGCTAACTTTTGTAGTCCTGACTTACCAAGTTCTGATGAGTACTACTGTCTGTTAATGCAAAGGTCAGGCCTACCTTTCTTAATTTTTAATATGAATATGCTGTATACCAAGTACAAAATATAAGCAAATGATATAGCTAGGGGTGGATGACATCAGAATCATGTCTCCCTCATAGAGAATTTTATTCTTGATGACATTAAAATGGCTTCTGCCAGGGTTTTATCAAACTAACTATGATTTGGAGTGAACACATTACAAATCTCAAACACACTGAAATGATGAAATGAAATTCACTATCAGAGTTTGAGGTAACCAAGAACTTACCATCTGATACTTTTTGTTCACAGTTAAGTAAATCTTTGCAGATTCGTGCTGGGTTATCTCGTGTGCCAAGAGGATTCTTGATGCTGTGCAATAAATTGCTAAGGTAGTTCAGGGTTTTGAATATCTCTTCACTGTGGTCAATTAAAGTCACTTCAGTATTCTGGTAGCTCTGCCAAGTCATCATAAGAATTATATAAGCAAAAAAATCCTGAGGACCAACATGGGCCAAGGCAGGAGAAGAATGTGTTTCCATTATGTGTAGTAAGTTGTGAGTAGAATGTAAAGAACAGTTTATATTTAAGCATAGGCATATGTGTATGCTTTAATAACCTTAATCTTTTAAAGAGGTTAAATTCACATTTGCAAGTTTAGTTTTCAAGCTAACATAAGAATTGCTATGTCTACTGTATTATGTTTTTTAAATTACACATTGAATCATTAGAGTTTAAATAAATGAGTAGTGATAATATATATATCTCATTTTAAGAAACATGGCTAACCTCATTTAACTACTTTCTTGGATAGTACCAAATTCCTTACAAATAACAGTACTAAATTTTTGATTTAAATGTTTTCCTTACAAAACATCCTACGCATATATTTCTGTTTAATTATACCAAAATCACTTACTTTGTTCTTGAGAATGGTTTCACATTTTCAATCTGTTTTAAATACAATCTTTGAGATAATGTCACATTTTGGCCTCCAAAAATTTTCTCTGTTTAATTGGTATATTGAGAGACAGTGCCAATATAAATAAAACCAGATATGTTACCTCCATCTGTAGGGCAGTATTTGATTCAATCAAGGCTTGAATAGCAGCATTGATATCCATTTGCTTCTGTGTAAAACAAAACCATTTGAGATTAGCAATAAGATCAACACTGAGTGCCCTAAAGTAAAGGCTGTAAATTCTGAAAGCACTGCTGTTAAAGTATACCAGACTTATTATCTGAAGGGGTTCTGTAACTCTTACGGTTAGACAGATTTTGCAAATATTGCCTGGATATCTGAAAGGACAATATGCCACCTTCATCCAAATCTCAAACGTCTCCTAATTAAAATAGGACCAGAGTCTACAGTCCTCAGATGAAAAACTATTTGTTTCTGTTGCCTGAAAACACACACACAAAGTTCCTCAAATGGAAGAGAATAAAATATGATCCTCTCAGTTAATAAATTGTAAAGTGAAGAATAAATAACTGTAGCAATTTTTAACAGTTACATTCTTGGAAGGAGTAGAATAAAATACTACTGTCCTGAGGTAGTCACCACATTAATTTAATCTGATACTTCTGCGGTTTTAAAAATAATTTCTGAAGTTGGAAAATGTACCATGAGTCCCAAAAGAAATAATACAGAATGAAATCAATCTCCTCTTGCATTTAATAAAATATATTTTTAGAAAAAGACTGAGCACAACCATTAGTAAAAGTCTTTTTTTTTTGTAATTCTTTTAAAAAAATTATCTTAGAACAATGAAGCATGAGTTGGGAGAAGGTTCTGGGAAATGGCATCTGTGTAAGTGAAACAAGCAATTTAATTTCTTTCAGTCATTGTACTGTGAAGACATCTTTTTACTTGAAGGCTGCATAATAGAAACTGTATTCAACAGATATCTCATAGCTCATGGTTGGTAGTTTGAAAAACTATTTGAAATGATGGAATAATCAATAAAATGTACTCTCCCTTGCTTCAGCATGTGTTGTTCATACTGGAAAATAATTGACTCATTCTGCATATATATACTGCCAAACACTGTGATATATATTGAGGATAAAATGGTAAAGAAAAAAGAAACTTGCCCTTATGGAACTTAAATTTAGAGAGGAGATAGGCAATAATTAAATTATCTCAAAAATCCTAATTACCAATTGAGATACATGCTATGAAAGAAAAGTGCACGAAACTATGAGAGAAATTAGAGAAATTAATCAAATCTGGAAAATGTAAGAGGTTGGAAGGAATAGGTCAGGGAAGGCTTCCCTGAGGTAGTAAAATTTGAACTGATGTCCAAAGAATAAATAAGAATTGTTAGGAGAAGGGGTAGGAGAGCTTTCCAGGCAGAAGCAGCAACCTGGCACAAAGGCCATGAGACAGAAGGAGCATGGACTATTCAAGTAGCAAAGAGGGTAAACCTAAAATATTCTCTGCAGATTAAATAATTATGACCATCCTGCTTGCGTGAATGAGCAGATTTTGGATATGGGTCACACAAAAATATTGGCACTAAATATGGGAAACTGAATTAAGGGCTAAACCATAGCCACCTTTATGTTGTTCACTTGGTCCCCTGCTGGTGATTATGGGTTTTAATTAGAAAACCTAGCATAGTGGTTCTCAAACTCTTCAGAATCAGAATCCTTTTGCACTTTTAATAAAGGATTCCTTTATTATTAGAGGCCTTACAAATTTTTTGTTTATGTGAATTATAACTTTTTTTTTTTTTTTTTTTTTTTAATTTGAGATGGAGTCTCGCTCTGTCACCCAGGCTGAAGTGCAGTGGTGCGATCTCGGCTCACTGCAACCTCCGCTTCCCAGGTTCAAGCGATTCTCCTGCCTCTCAGCCTCCCAAGTAGCTGTGACTACAGGCTTGTGACAACACACCCAGCTAATTTTTGTATTTTTGGTAGAGATGGAGTTTCACCATGTTGGCCAGGCTGGTCTCAAACTCCTGACCTCAGGTGATCTGCCCGCCTTGGCCTCCCAAAGTGCTGGGATTACAGGTATGAGCCACCGTGCCCGGCCAACTTTTGATATTGACTATAGTAGAAACCAAAATAAATTTTAAAACTATTCATGTGTCAATTGCTTTAAAATTTCAACAAACCCATTATATGTTAATATAAATATTTTTATAAAAATTAACTATATTTTCCAAAACAAAAAAATTAATGAGAAGGGTCACCCAGTTTTACACTTTTGTGCATTTCTGTAATGTCTGGATTAATAGATTACAGCTAAATTCTCATATTTGTTTTTGTATTCAATTAGTTGTGAAGAAAACCCAGCCTAATAGAGATATGTAGTAGGAAAAAAGAAAAGTATTTAAGTCGTGTTTTTCAAATAATTATGGATTTTCTTCTTTCATATTATACCTTATACCAAAACTTGATAAGTGGTAGTTTCTTAAAGGTTAGTTTTTGTGGGAAAACTGAACCCACCTCAATGAACGTTTTGTACTTTTATACTAAAATCCATTGGTCTGTTTTATACTTTCATAGGTCTTTTGCTTATACATGATTTTATTAACATAATATATTGATCATTCTGAAAATACTGATTTATGGAATTATGCAGGTCTTCCAAACACAGATACAGCTCATTCCTTAATGTCAAAAATTACATTTGTTAACATCATTAGGAAAACATAATGTTACTTATCAGGAAAACATAAGTACTGGGAATCTGTCAAATCCTCAGTGATAAATACATGTTTTCCCTAATTTTTATTTTTGCTTGAGAGCTTGAAATTTCTCACTGGCATCAAATTCTGTCAGTTGTTTTCCTTGAAATGGAAGGCTAACTTCATTCATTTTCAAGAAAATATCTGTGAACTACTCATGTCTTAATAATGCTGGTAGTCTGTCAATAAAAAATGGTACTCTATGATAAAACTGGCTAGTTGGGTTTGCAACTCAAATAGCTGCACAGTGCTTTTGAAGCAATCACTACAGTGTGCACTATATGTACTTTATATGTCCTTCCATTTCATCTACGAAATATTAAAAAGATATTTAAAGAAGATAAGAAATCTAGGAGACAGCAAAAGTGGTGGAATAATAGCCTTCCAGAATTCTCTCTTAGGCAAGTTAAAAAATGAAATAAAACCATGTCTTTAGAACTAAAGGACAGAGGGAGGAGCCAAGATGGCCGAATAGGAACAGCTCCGGTCTACAGCTCCCAGCGTGAGCCACGCAGAAGACGGGTGATTTCTGCATTTCCATCTGAGGTACCGGGTTCATCTCACTAGGGAGTGCCAGACAGTGGGCGCAGGCCAGTGTGTGTGCGCACTGTGCGCGAGCCGAAGCAGGGCGAGGCATTGCCTCACCTGGGAAGCGCAAGGGGTCAGGGAGTTCCCTTTCCGAGTCAAAGAAAGGGGTGACGGACGCACCTGGAAAATCGGGTCACTCCCACCCGAATATTGCGCTTTTCAGACCGGCTTAAGAAACGGCGCACCACGAGACTATATCCCACACCTGGCTCAGAGGGTCCTACGCCCACGGAATCTCACTGATTGCTAGCACAGCAGTCTGAGATCAAACTGCAAGGCGGCAACGAGGCTGGGGGAGGGGCGCCCGCCATTGCCCAGGCTTGCTTAGGTAAACAAAGCAGCCAGGAAGCTCGAACTGGGTGGAGCCCACCACAGCTCAAGGAGGCCTGCCTGCCTCTGTAGGCTCCACCTTTGGGGGCAGGGCACAGACAAACAAAAAGACAGCAGTAACCTCTGCAGACTTAAGTGTCCCTGTCTGACAGCTTTGAAGAGAGCAGTGGTTCTCCCAGCACGCAGCTGGAGATCTGAGAACGGGCAGACTGCCTCCTCAAGTGGGTCCCTGACCCCTGACCCCCGAGCAGCCTAACTGGGAGGCACCCCCCAGCAGGGGCACACTGACACCTCACACAGCAGGGTATTCCAACAGACCTGCAGCTGAGGGTCCTGTCTGTTAGAAGGAAAACTAACAACCAGAAAGGACATCTACACCAAAAACCCATCTGTACATCACCATCATCAAAGACCAAAAGTAGATAAAACCACAAAGATGGGGAAAAAACAGAACAGAAAAACTGGAAACTCTAAAACGCAGAGCGCCTCTCCTCCTCCAAAGGAACGCAGTTCCTCACCAGCAACAGAACAAAGCTGGATGGAGAATGATTTTGACGAGCTGAGAGAAGAAGGCTTCAGACGATCAAATTACTCTGAGCTACGGGAGGACATTCAAACCAAAGGCAAAGAAGTTGAAAACTTTGAAAAAAATTTAGAAGAATGTATAACTAGAATAACCAATACAGAGAAGTGCTTAAAGGAGCTGATGGAGCTGAAAACCAAGACTCGAGAACTACGTGAAGAATGCAGAAGCCTCAGGAGCTGATGCGATCAACTGGAAGAAAGGGTATCAGCAATGGAAGATGAAATGAATGAAATGAAGCGAGAAGGGAAGTTTAGAGAAAAAAGAACAAAAAGAAATGAGCAAAGCCTCCAAGAAATATGGGACTATGTGAAAAGACCAAATCTACGTCTGATTGGTGTACCTGAAAGTGATGTGGAGAATGGAACCAAGTTGGAAAACACTCTGCAGGATATTATCCAGGAGAACGTCCCCAATCTAGCAAGGCAGGCCAACGTTCAGATTCAGGAAATACAGAGAACGCCACAAAGATACTCCTTGAGAAGAGCAACTCCAAGACACATAATTGTCAGATTCACCAAAGTTGAAATGAAGGAAAAAATGTTAAGGGCAGCCAGAGAGAAAGGTCGGGTTACCCTCAAAGGAAAGCCCATCAGACTAACAGCGGATCTCTCGGCAGAAACCCTACAAGCCAGAAGAGAGTGGGGGCCAATATTCAACATTCTTAAAGAAAAGAATTTTCAACCCAGAATTTCATATCCAGCCAAACTAAGCTTCATAAGTGAAGGAGAAATAAAATACTTTATAGACAAGCAAATGCTGAGAGATTTTGTCACCACCAGGCCTGCCCTAAAAGAGCTCCTGAAGGAAGCGCTAAACATGGAAAGGAACAACCGGTACCAGCCGCTGCAAAATCATGCCAAAATGTAAAGACCATCGAGACTAGGAAGAAACTGCATCAACTAACGAGCAACATCACCAGCTAACATCATAATGACAGGATCAAATTCACACATAACAATATTAACTTTAAATATAAATGGACTAAATTCTGCAATTAAAAGACACAGACTGGCAAGTTGGATAAAGAGTCAAGACCCATCAGTGTGCTGTATTCAGGAAACCCATCTCACGTGCAGAGACACACATAGGCTCAAAATAAAAGGATGGAGGAAGATCTACCAAGCCAATGGAAAACAAAAAAAGGCAGGGGTTGCAATCCTAGTCTCTGATAAAACAGACTTTAAACCAACAAAGATCAAAAGAGACAAAGAAGGCCATTACATAATGGTAAAGGGATCAATTCAACAAGAGGAGCTAACTATCCTAAATATTTATGCACCCAATACAGGAGCACCCAGATTCATAAAGCAAGTCCTGAGTGACCTACAAAGAGACTTAGACTCCCACACATTAATAATGGGAGACTTTAACACCCCACTGTCAACATTAGACAGATCAACGAGACAGAAAGTCAACAAGGATACCCAGGAATTGAACTCAGCTCTGCACCAAGCAGACCTAATAGACATCTACAGAACTCTCCACCCCAAATCAACAGAATATACATTTTTTTCAGCACCACACCACACCTATTCCAAAATTGACCACATACTTGGAAGTAAAGCTCTCCTCAGCAAATGTAAAAGAACAGAAATTATAACAAACTATCTCTCAGACCACAGTGCAATCAAACTAGAACTCAGGATTAAGAATCTCAGTCAAAGCCGCTCAACTACATGGAAACTGAACAACCTGCTCCTGAATGACTACTGGGTACATAACGAAATGAAGGCAGAAATAAAGATGTTCTTTGAAACCAACGAGAACAAAGACACCACATACCAGAATCTCTGGGACGCATTCAAAGCAGTGTGTAGAGGGAAATTTATAGCACTAAATGCCTACAAGAGAAAGCAGGAAAGATCCAAAATTGACACCCTAACATCACAATTAAAAGAACTAGAAAAGCAAGAGCAAACAATTCAAAAGCTAGCAGAAGGCAAGAAATAACTAAAATCAGAGCAGAACTGAAGGAAATAGAGACACAAAAAACCCTTCAAAAAATCAATGAATCCAGGAGCTGGTTTTTTGAAAGGATCAACAAAATTGATAGACCGCTAGCAAGACTAATAAAGAAAAAAAGAGAGAAGAATCAAATAGACACAATAAAAAATGATAAAGGGGATATCACCACCGATCCCACAGAAATACAAACTACCATCAGAGAATACTACAAACACCTCTACGCAAATAAACTAGAAAATCTAGAAGAAATGGATACATTCCTCGACACATACACTCTCCCAAGACTAAACCAGGAAGAAGTTGAAACTCTGAATAGACCAATAACAGGCTCTGAAATTGTGGCAATAATCAATAGTTTACCAACCAAAAAGAGTCCAGGACCAGATGGATTCACAGCCGAATTCTAGCAGAGGTACAAGGAGGAACTGGTACCATTCCTTCTGAAACTATTCCAATCAATAGAAAAAGAGGGAATCCTCCCTAACTCATTTTATGAGGCCAGCATCATTCTGATACCAAAGCCGGGCAGAGACACAACCAAAAAAGAGAATTTTAGACCAATATCCTTGATGAACATTGATGCAAAAATCCTCAATAAAATACTGGCAAACCGAATCCAGCAGCACATCAAAAAGCTTATCCACCATGATCAAGTGGGCTTCATCCCTGGGATGCAAGGCTGGTTCAATATACGCAAATCAATAAATGTAATCCAGCATATAAACAGAGCCAAAGACAAAAACCACATGATTATCTCAATAGATGCAGAAAAAGCCTTTGACAAAATTCAACAACCCTTCATGCTAAAAACTCTCAATAAATTAGGTATTGATGGGACGTATTTCAAAATAATAAGAGCTATCTATGACAAACCCACAGCCAATATCATACTGAATGGGCAAAAACTGGAAGCATTCCCTTTGAAAACTGGCACAAGACAGGGATGCCCTCTCTCACCGCTCCTATTCAACATAGTGTTGGAAGTTCTGGCCAGGGCAATCAGGCAGGAGAAGGAAATAAAGGGTATTCAATTAGGAAAAGAGGAAGTCAAATTGTCCCTGTTTGCAGACGACATGATTGTTTATCTAGAAAACCCCATTGTCTCAGCCCAAAATCTCCTTAAGCTGATAAGCAACTTCAGCAAAGTCTCAGGATACAAAATCAATGTACAAAAATCACAAGGATTCTTATACACCAACAACAGACAAACAGAGAGCCAAATCATGAGTGAACTCCCATTCACAATTGCTTCAAAGAGAATAAAATACCTAGGAATCCAACTTACAAGGGATGTGAAGGACCTCTTCAAGGAGAACTACAAACCACTGCTCAAGGAAATAAAAGAGGACACAAACAAATGGAAGAACATTCCATGCTCATGGGTAGGAAGAATCAATATCGTGAAAATGGCCATACTGCCCAAGGTAATTTACAGATTCAATGCCATCCCCATCAAGCTACCAATGACTTTCTTCACAGAATTGGAAAAAACTACTTTAAAGTTCATATGGAACCAAAAAAGAGCCCGCATCGCCAAGTCAATCCTAAGCCAAAAGAACAAAGCTGGAGGCATCACACTACCTGACTTCAAACTATACTACAAGGCTACAGTAACCAAAACAGCATGGTACTGGTACCAAAACAGAGATATAGATCAATGGAACAGAACAGAGCCCTCAGAAATAACGCCGCTTACCTACAACTATCTGATCTTTGACAAACCTGAGAAAAACAAGCAATGGGGAAAGGATTCCCTATTTAATAAATGGTGCTGGGAAAACTGGCTAGCCATATGTAGAAAGCTGAAACTGGATCCCTTCCTTACACCTTATACAAAAATCAATTCAAGATGGATTAAAGATTTAAACGTTAGACCTAAAACCATAAAAACCCTAGAAGAAAACCTAGGCATTACCATTCAGGACATAGGCGTGGGCAAGGACTTCATGTCCAAAACACCAAAAGCAATGGCAACAAAAGCCAAAATTGACAAATGGGATCTAATTAAACTAAAGAGCTTCTGCACAGCAAAAGAAACTACCATCAGAGTGAACAGGCAACCTACAAAATGGGAGAAAATTTTCGCAACCTACTCATCTGACAAAGGGCTAATATCCAGAATCTACAATGAACTCAAACAAATTTACAAGAAAAAAACAAACAACCCCATCAAAAAGTGGGCGAAGGACATGAACAGACACTTCTCAAAAGAAGACATTTATGCAGCCAAAAAACACATGAAGAAATGCTCATCATCACTGGCCATCAGAGAAATGCAAATCAAAACCACTATGAGATATCATCTCACACCAGTTAGAATGGCAATCATTAAAAAGTCAGGAAACAACAGGTGCTGGAGAGGATGTGGAGAAATAGGAACACTTTTACACTGTTGGTGGGACTGTAAACTAGTTCAACCATTGTGGAAGTCAGTGTGGCGATTCCTCAGGGATCTAGAACTAGAAATACCATTTGACCCAGCAATCCCATTACTGGGTATATACCCAAAGGACTATAAATCATGCTGCTATAAAGACACATGCACACGTATGTTTATTGCGGCACTATTCACAATAGCAAAGACTTGGAACCAACCCAAATGTCCAACAATGATAGACTGGATTAAGAAAATGTGGCACATATACACCATGGAATACTATGCAGCCATAAAAAATGATGAGTTCATGTCCTTTGTAGGGACATGGATGAAATTGGAAACCATCATTCTCAGTAAACTATTGCAAGAACAAAAAACCAAACACCGCATATTCTCACTCATAGGTGGGAATTGAACAATGAGATCACTTGGACACAGGAAGGGGAATATCACACTCTGGGGACTGTGGTGGGGTCGGGGGAGGGGGGAGGGATAGCATTGGGAGATATACCTAATGCTAGATGACACGTTAGTGGGTGCAGCGCACCAGCATGGCACATGTATACATATGTAACTAACCTGCACAATGTGCACATGTACCCTAAAACTTAGAGTATAATAAAAAAAAAAATTAAAAAAAAAAAAAAAGAACTAAAGGACAGTATGAGAAAGATGTCTTACTAAGTAGAGAATATAATAAAAGCACATAAATTATAGAAAAAAGAACCAAATAGAAATTCTGAAGTTAAAAAGTACAATAGCTGAAATAAAAATTTACTAGATAGGCTCTACAGTAGATTTCCATAGGCAGAAGTAAGCACCAGTTAACTTGAAGACAGGTTTATTGAGATTATCCTGTTTGAGGAGTGGAAAAAAAAATGAAGAAAAGTGAACAGAGACTTAAGAGATCTGTAGGACACTGTCAAGCTTATCAACATATGCATGATGAGAGTCTCAGAAGGGGAGGAGAGAGAAAAGGGGGCACAAAGAATATATAAAGAGATCATGGCTGAAAACATCACAAATCTGATGCAAAAATATTAACCTACACATCCGAGAAGTTCCACAAACTTTCCCAGACACATCATAATCAAACTATCTAATGCTATAGACAAAGAGAGAATTCTGAAAGCAGAGAGGAAGCTCATCATGTCCGAGAGATCTTCAACCAGATTAACAGCTAATTTCCCATAAAAAACCATAAAGGTGAGCAGGCAGTAGGATAATATATTCAGGGTGCTAAAAGAAAAGACAGTCAGCCAAGAATTCTATTTCCAGTAAAACTCTCCTTTAAAAATGAAGGAAATATTAATATATTCCCAGTTAAATAAAAACCAAGACAATTTATCACTAACATACCTTCCCTAGAAAAATATTATAGGGAGTCATTCAGGCCTAAAGTAAAGGATACTAGGCAGAAACTTGAATCCACCTGAAGAAATAAAGAGCAGTAGTAGAAGTTACAATATAGTAAATATAACATATAGTATAGACCCCAAGTAGCCAAAATAATTTTGAAAAAAGAAGTTGTTAGAGGCATCATGTTTCCTGATTTCAAAACTTACTATAAAGCTGCTGTAATCAAAACAGTTGGTACTGTCATAAAGACAGACATAAAGAATGAAATATAATAGAGAGTCCAGAAATAAACCTTCTCATTTATGATCAAATTATTTTCAACAAGAGTGCTAAGACCATTCAATGAAGAAAGGATGGTCTTTTCAACAAACAGTGCTGGAAAAATGGAATATCCACATGGGATAGAATGAAGTTAGACCCTTAACTTACATCAAGTACAAAAAAACTTACATCATGAGTTATACCATGAACTCAAAATGAATCAAAGACTTGAACATAAGAGGTAAAACTATAAAATTATTAGAAGCAAATAGGAAAAGCTTGATAACATTTGATTTTGCAATGATTTCTTGGAATGATACCAAGAGCACAGTCAACAAGAGAACAAAGTAGATAAATTAGACTATATCAGAAAAAAAAAAAAACTTCTGTGCATCAAGGGACACTATAAAGAGAGTGAAAAGGCAACCCAACGGATGGAAAAAAATAACTGCAAATTGTCTTTCTGGTAAAGGATTAATATCTAGAATATTTAAAGAGCTTCTACAACTTACTAACAACCAAAAAAAAAAAAAAAAAAAAAAAGGCAACCCAATTCAAAAAATGGGCAAATAACTTGAATAGACATTTCTCTAAAGAAGAGGCTGGGCACAGTGGCTCACACCTGTAATCCCAGTACTTTGGGAGGCCGAGGTAGGCAGATCACTTGAGGTCAGGAGTTCGAGACCAGCCTGGCCAACATGGTGAAATCCCAGCTCTACTAAAAATACAAAATTAGCCAGGCGTGGTGGAGGGCACCTGTAATCCCAGCTACTCAGGAGGCTGAGGCAGGAGAATCACTTGAACCTGGGAGGCAGAGGTTGCCGTGAGCTGAGATCGCACCACTGCACTCCAGCTTGGGCAACACAGCAAGAGTCTGTCTCAAAAAAAAAAAATACAAATGTCTAATAAACACATGAAAATATGCTCAACACCACAAATCGTTAGGAAAATGCATGTGAAAACCACAATGAGATACCGCTTCATAACCATTAGGATGGCTGTTATAGAAAAAATAAACCAGAAAATAACAAGTGTTGGTGAGGATGTGGAGAAACTGGAATCTTGTGCACTGCTGGTGGTAATGTAAAGTGTGTGGCAGCTATGGAAAACAGTATGGCAGTTTCTCAAAAATTAGACATAGAATTACTACATGATACAACAGTTTCATTTCTAGGTATATACCCAAATGAATTGAAAGTGAAGACTCCAACAGATATTTGTACAGCAATGTTTATAGCAGCATTATTCACAATAGCCAAAAGGTAGAAGCAACGTAAGTGTCCATTTGGATAAACAAAATCTGGTATATGTATTACATGGACTATTATTCAGCTTTGAAAATAAATAAAATTCGAATATACGCTTACAAAAGAGATGAACCCTGAAGATATTACGTTAAGTGAAATAAGCCAGTCACAAAAAGACAAATATTGTATGACTTAACTTATATGAGGTACCTAGAGTAGTCGAATTCATAGAGACAGAAAGTAGAACGGTGGTTGCAGGGGCTGGGTAAAGGGAGGAATTGAGAGTTATTACTTAATGGGTACAGAGTTTCAGTTTTGGAAGACAAAAAAAGTTCTAGGCATGGGTAGTAATGGTTGCACAGCAATGTGAATGTACTTAATACCACTGAACTCTACACTTAAAAACAGTTAAAATGGCAAAATTTTGTTATGTATATCTTGCCAACATTAAAAATAACAAGTAAATATGCTCATTATCCCTTAGACCAAACTATCCTACTTCTGGCAATTTGTCCTCTAGGTATTCTACAAAATGATATGTATATGGACAGGACATTTGTACTATGTGTAATTAAAAAAACTGAAAAAAAGATGCTCACCAACAAAGGGCAAGATGAATAAATCACAGGATATTCTTAGTTGGCAACACTATGATTTTCTGTGTGTGGCAGTAAATAATACAATGACTATTAGTAGATTAGTAGTGTAGAGTTTGATGCTTTAGTCATGCTAAGGTACCAGCAATTTTAAACACCATCAGTGCAGGCGACAACTCAATAAAAAGGCATTTTTTTTCCCAACAGGTATTAGAAAGAAAAGAAATTTCATAACACTTGGCCACTCAAAAATTTTCTTGACAATCTCCATATTCCTAGAATCCCCAAGGTATTCACAAAGCCTAGCTCATGACTGGCACATAGCAGTCAATCAATTTGTTGAATTTATTGACTTTTTCCCCACAGGCAGACTTTAAGAAAGGCAGGGTCAGAGAAATTGTATTAAGAGGATTTGCCTGGGAAGTCATTCAGTCACATCTAAGTGCCCACATCGAAGTATAAATCTCTCATTAAGTGCAGTGAGGGGATCAAATAAGGAAAAATAACTTCTTCCAGGCACTCTAGTTAGAGAGAACATATTCTTACATGGAAATCACTCAATATTTACAAAAACATGCATGTAAAATAGAAAACAGAGAATAAAGATTGATTATATGTTGTGACTAGTGAGTGTGAAATAATGAGGGGAATTAGACAGCAGGATTCATTATACTTTGGGAGAATGTAATCTTCATAATTCTCTCCAAATCATTCGAGTGAAGAGCAGATCTAGTCTAGGCACCTCAGTATTTTGAAGAGAAGCGTTATTTTTTCATATGTCTAAAGTTTCAAGATCACTGGATGGTGAAAATGCTGACCAAATAGGAACTCATTTCAGGTCACACCCCTCTTTATGATAGAAGTTTTTGCTGATTCTAGAGAACCAGTATATAATAGCAGCAGCCACTTCTTAATTCACCAATCCAGGTTCTACAGTTGACCCATTAATTGGAATACATCAGTTGGGAATTCTTTCTCTCACTTAATGATTTTTAACGATTGTTATTTCCATCATATACACCAAACACAGACACATATAGACACCCTGTTCTTCCCTTTATTCTACTAATCATTTCTGGTTAACTTTGACATCATATGGCATACTTCTGTGTTCATTTCTAAATACCTTACCATACACACTGAGGTCTGGTCATTACCCTATCCTCACATTCAAATTCACCATCAATACATATTCCTTTTCCTGAAACATTTCCTTTTAGCTATTCCACTTTAGAGAACTGAGCAAGTTACTTTAGTTTCATAGGTCTTATAAAGATGTGGCTGGACTGGATTAGAAGTTTTCATACTTATCTTGACCCACAGTAAGAAATACATTTTTACATCATGACAAAATTCACACAAACATACATATATTCAACCTTAAAAAGTTCTGTAAAACCATATTTATTCTTACTGATGATGATGTACTGATTTTTTTAAATTGAGGTAAAATTTATATAACATAAAATTCACTATTTTAGTCATTTAAAAATATACAATTCAGTTGTCTTTAGTAGATTCACAACGTTGTTCAACCACTACCATGATAGAATTTCAGAGCATTTTAATCACCCAAAAAGAAACTCCATATCTATTAAGCAGTCCCTCCCCAATATTTTTCTATTCTATTTCATTTGCTCTAAAAATAATCCTGAATGAGACTCACTAAATTGGTCTTATGATCCGCTGACCAATGAATCCCAACTCAAAGTCTGAAATAACTGCTTAATAATTACTGAGAGGACCTCTAGTTCTATGAGTCTAATTTTTTATAGACATTGTTTCTCTCCAAGTGAAATCTAGTTTAGAAGATTCCCACTAAAATTTCCTGAGATGTTGCCTTTTTTGTATTCATGCAAGCATGCACTCAACATTTATTAAGAGCTTAAATGGAAGGAGAATTTAAAAAGTAGTCTCTGTCTTCAGAGGGTTCACAATATAATAGAAAAGACAAACATGAAAATAAATGAGTATGAACAAAGAAGGGGAAGTGATCAGTTCTATCTTGTAGTGTGATGAGGGAATGGAATTAAGAAAAGTTTCATGGAGGCTGACTTTAGAAAGAATGTGTAGGTGTCTTATTGTCATTTAGATGTCTGCTCTAGAAATCTTATCCTCAATGTTATTTTCCTACAACGGACTCTGCAAGTTCCAGGAAAACAGCATTATATATGGAAATCTGTTTTCATATTGGCCAAGAAGGAATACAGAAAGGAGGAAAAGGGAGAAAAGAAGGAAACAAAGAAACTAGCATTTATTGAGTAGTTATAATGTATTCAACACACGTATTTTCTTACTTAATCTTCCTGATTAATTTCTCAAAGTGTATACATATTTTAATCCACATTTTGCTCTGAGCAAAAACCTCTCATGTCTTACTCTATTTTGGCTGTGTAGGAACACATGTATTTTCCAAGTGAGACAGGGATATGTGTCACACAGTTTGGCACTTAAATGTGAAAATTTTCACTAAACATTTCTTTAATTTGCCAATGACGTATGATCCTTTAGAACTTGAACTTGTTCTTTCTTGAGAAGGGAGCTATGATATATCAAAGTCATTATAATTTGGGAAGGCAATTAATGAGGGTACTTGTAATCCATGCATTGTGGGGATCCAGGAGGAAAGGAAGAATAAACAAGTGGAAAGTGATTTGAAGACTTGGAGAAAGACATTGTTTTTTTTTTTTTTTTGTTTGTTTGTTTGTTTTTTTGAGACAGAGTCTTGCTCTGCCAGGCTGGAGTGCGGTGGCATGATCTCGGCTCACTGCAACCTCTGCCTCCCGGGCTCAGGTGATTCTCTTGCCTCAGCCTCCTGAGTAGCTGGGATTACAGGCATGTGCCACCATGCCTGGGGTTTTGCCATGTTGGCCAGGCTGGTCTCAAACTCCTGACCTCAGGTAATACACCCACTTCAGCCTCCCAAAGTGCTGGGATTACAGGTACAAGCCACCATGCCCGGCCGAAAGACATTCTTATTGATGTCCACACAGGGAGAGTTTCCCTCCATGTTAGTCAGAAGGCCAGAAAGGGGAAGTGATTTTTTAAAATCACAGATAAATGGGTCTCTTGTTTTCAAGGGGATAGTCTTCCTTGTGGCACTTTGCCTGGAAGTTATTCCTTGCCCCAATGAAAAGCTGAGGGAAATGAAGAGTTCCTGATCTGCTGAGAGTAGACCACAGGAAACCACCACCTAGAACTAGCAGAGATCTAAATGACATCAGAGCAGCATGTGAAATAAGAAGGCTTAAATGGCATAGGACTGACTATTGTTTGGGATGGTGTAGCGAACAGTAGATCCATGTTAGGCAGAAAATGTGACCAAGGACCACTGTATTTGACCAGGAGGCTGGAGGAGTGGGGTGTGGGTGAGGTTGCAGATGGAGAGAGACCTTTCATAGGGAGCAGAAAGACAAACAGACTGCGGAATATGAGAGTGGATACAAAGCATAAGGAAAATCAAACTTAGAATATCAGAGGGCATGAGAATAGCAGAAGCAACATAAACATTGCCTCAGAGATAAGGGTAGCAAGTTTTGGGTCATAGTAGTTAGATAATAAGCAAACATAAGAGAAGTCTGATGGCTTCCAGAGTTACCAGCAACTGAGAAAGATTTGATTTACTTCATGTAAATCAAAGAAGTGGATAACCCTGGCTGGCAAAAAGAGAACATTTAAAAAAGGAGAGTGAAGATGTAGAATTAGGAAGAAATGGAGATAATTAGTTTTTCAAGTGCTTATTATGTATTATACAATGTGCTGCATGCTTTACTTCTTACTCAACACTTGAAACCACCCAAGAAAGCAGGAGATACCATCTCCATTTTATAAATAAGAAGTCTGAGGCTTGGATTTCATGTTTGTGTAGCTGGGCCAGCCCTGTATCAGGTTAGCAAAAAAGAACAGAGGTATCCAAAAGGGATACCTTTTAATAGAGAGTTAACAGAAGGATATTTAAAAAGTTAATATGACATACTAAGATAAAACAAAACAAAATCAAACCAAGCAAACTTACTCTTGGGCCTGGTGCTCCAGGTGGACCCTAGAACACAGCAAATTAAAAAAAATACACATTTATTTAGTAGACATCTTAAACCAGGCAAACATATAAGCATCAATGGTAAACAGATATAAATGAAAACCAACTCACTGGAGGCCCTGGTTGACCTCTTGGTCCTTGAGGACCCTGGAAGAAATGGAGACAAACACAAGACCTATATATTATACTTTTGGTTGGGTATAAGCAAGATAACTAATATTCAACCTCTGTAACTGCCTTTCGTGCCAGGCAAGTCATACAATTTAAAATTGTTTTAGTATTCTAAAGTTATATGCTGTGGTACTTAGCAATCATCCATATTCATAAACAAGCTGGATATTTATTTTCCTGTTTATCGATATTATTAGAAACTGAATTTACTCATTTTAATAAACTATTATAAATGTAACATTTTAAAATATTAGTATTGTCTAAAGATGTTTTTCCTGTTATTTCTAACTACCATCCACCTAATCATCAAATATAGAAACTTCGGTGTTCTTAGACACATTAATTTCCTTTATCTACCTGTAAACTGGTTACTAACTCCTGTTGAGTTCACCTGAAAATCTCTCCAAAATAATACTTCTCCATTTTTATTGATAATTAAATGAATGAATGATGTTAAAATTAATTAGTATTAATTTAGAAATTAGAAAAGTGAAAAGGTGTATCGCAAAATGTCAAAAGTTATGTTGACATTTTTCAAAGCGAAGCAATAATTACTGTTAAAAATGCTCAAAGGCCCTGTACATCTGTTCAAAAGTAACTTAGATGTTCAGCTAAATGTTAAGACTATATTGAGTCAACTCCAATTACGGTTAAAAGATGGCAAAGCAACACTTATCTTCAGCTAAGTTTTGGATAATGTTGACACCATGCTTGACTTAGTATTAAGCATCTTGTATTGCCAAAGCTGTTAATCCTAAATATACTGTGATAGCTAGAACAAACAATACATAGTAACTTGAAAAGATCAGAGTACTCCAACACTGTGCCTGCTAGACATGTCTCAGTTTATCTGGTTTATGATTACAAGTTTAAGCAGAGAATGTACAAAACTTGTACATAATTAAATGAATGAATGATGTTAAAATTAATACCAGTTAATTTTAATACTAGTCAAAATTAATACTAGTTAATACTAGTTAATTTTAACATCATCCATTCATTTAATTATCAACCAATGCATATATCTCAGAAGCTGCAGGGTAGCTGACAGAAATGTCACATTGGAGATAGCCTTTTAAATATACAGAAGCTCAAAGTGAAATTGGTTATGTCCGCTTCTCCATTTTGGATCAACAATGTAAAAATAATAAACAGTTGCAATAGTCCATTCCACTTAGCAAGTTTTTGACATTTGGAAAATATCACTGATGGTTCAGTACAAAATACATATGTTACCTTTGACTTCAAAAGAGGAATTTATCATAGAAAAATAAGAAACAATTTCTACTGCTGATTTTATAAAGTTCACTTCAGCTTATTATTCAGAACAAGTCAGATCACAAATATGATCAAACAAAATACTTCAAACCCACCAGGATAGGGCAGGGCAACTCCAATGTAACCACATAGAATAGGGAAAGTAGCCAAGTTAAAAAAATATGATTCCAACAATATAACATTTTATTAGTTCTTTTTTATTACTCTAGCTAATACACCATTAAGGTGAAGTGATTCACTGTCTATTCTATATAAAGCTGTTTATAGGCCAGGCATGGTGGCTCACACCTGTAATTCCAGTACTTTGGGAGGTCAAGGCCAGCGGATTGCCTGAGCTCAGGAGTTTGAGACCAGCCTGGGCAACATAGTGAAACCCCATCTCTACTAAAATACAAAAAAATTAGCCGGGTATGGTGGTGCACTCCTGTAGTCCTAGCTACTCGGGAGGCTGAGGCACAAGAATTGCTTGAACCCGGGAAGCAGAGGTTGGAGTGAACCAAGATCACGCCACTGCACTCCAGCCTGGGTGACAGAGTGAGACTCTGTCTCCAAAAAATAAAATTAAGTAAGTAAAGTAGTTTATAACAACACCATGATTGTCTCTGTTAATTTTCTTTTACTTTCTTTTTTTTTTTTTTTTTGAGACGTAGTTTCGCTCTGTTTCCCAGGCTGGAGTGCAGTGGTGCGATCTCGGCTCACTGCAATCTCTGCCTCCCAGGTTCAAGTCATTCTCCTGCCTCAGCCTTCCGAGTAGCTGGGACTACAGGCGTGCGCCACCACTCCTGGCTAATTTTTTTTGTATTTTTAGTAGACATGGGGTTTCATCATGTTGGCCAGGCTGGTCTCAAACTCCTGGCCTCAAGTGATCCACCTGCGTTGGCCTCCCAAAGTGCTGGGATTACAGGCATGAGCCACTGTGCCTGGCCGTCTATGTTAATTTTCTAAAGGGGAACCAAATTACTCTGAATGGTTATGGTGGTTATTTGGCTATAGTAAAAACACTTCCTATGAAAACAAGATTCTCTTTTCACTTTATCCCAGAATTTACATACGATCCTCCAAAAGTAACATATTTTATCAGTATACTTTAAAAATACGTGTAAGTGCATATCCTTAAACTTGAGTATGTTAGTCTTCCTTTTTGTAAATTCTTTTATTTCATTTCCTAATGTCATTTCCTTTATGTCATTTCCCTTATGTAAATGCAATCTTGATTTAGCTTCATGATCTTTATTTTAGGCTGGCTCAGTTGCACAGAGCTTCCTTTTCTCATTTATAAACTGAGGAGCTTCCATTGTAGGATGTTTAGCAGCATCCCTAGCTTCTACCCACTAGATGCCACTGACATCTCATTCTTTTCCCCCAATTGTCTCCTAGGGTGGTAGGGGGACAAATGGCTCCTGGTTGAGATTCATTGGTTTGAAAGGAGAATTTAGTAATATTAAATAAGATTAACTAGATAGTAATGTAATTAGAATGGAATGAGTGAGCACCACAAGTCATAGGGCGTGACTGCAAATAAGAACATAAACTCTTCAAGTTGTCATGCGGGTGACAGCTGGGCTACTCTTGATCTAGGTGGAGGATACACACACACACACACACACACACACACACACACACACACACACACACACCATATTCCTTACCAAGACCTCCTAACCCTCTTTTTCTGAAAGGCACTATAATTTATAGAAAAACACAATCATATAGGAATTGGGAATCTGGGCTCTGGTTTTGTCTTTGTAACTTAATTTGCTATATGGTCTTAAGTGAACTGCTGCACATTTGGACCTCAGATATCTAAATTGTAATATAATAGGTCTAGTGAAGATAATCTCCAAGGTTCACTTTAGAATTATGATTTTCAAGACTTTTATCAATTTTCTTCCTGATGTGTGTTTTTTTAATTTTTAAATTTTCTTTAAAGACGGGAGTCTTGCTATGCTACCCAAGCTGGCTTTGAACTCCTGGGCTCAAGCAATTCTTCTGCTTTAGGATCCCTGAGTAGCTGGTACCACAGGCATGTGCTTCTGCATGACCTACCTCATGTTTTTTATCTGGATAAAGAAGGTGTACACAAGCATACAGATTGGGAATTTAAAATTTAAAGTCTGTACAAATGTAATGGTAAGTGTTCTTGAATTTAAAAAGTTTGATACTTTTAAATGAATGATTTATACTATTTATGAATTTTAAAAAGAAATACATACATATATATGCTTTAAATGCTTACTGTGTTAATATTTAGGACCTATTTCCCATATCCTAGTTTTTCCTTCTAATGCAGAAACCATCCTTCTCACTTTCAAATTGGAGGCAAATAAGACAACTGCTAATCAAGAACTGTGAAGACATATTAACTTAGAGATAATATTAGAGAAAATGTCAATGGGATGTTTCAATATTTTATGATTTCATTAAATAGTATATTATAAATATGAAGCAGCTAATCTGAAAATTCATGCTGAGATTGTTCTCTGTTTTTTTTTATTATTTCTATAGCTGTAAGTTATATGATTCAAGTTGTTACATTTTGTCAAAATTATTTTCAGGTCAGGTATAGTGACTCATGCCTGTAATTCTGGGGCTTTGGGAGGCAGAGGCCAGAAGAATCACGTGGGGCCAGGGTTCGAGGCCAGCCTGGGCAACACTGGGAGACACTGTCTCTACCGAAAAAAAAAAAATCATTAAATAAATAAATAAATAAATAAATAAATAAATTAGCCAAGTGCAATGACACGCACCTGTAGTCCTAGCTATTTGAGAGGCTGAGGTGGGAGGATTGCCTGAGCCCAGGAGTTCGAGGCTCCAGTGAGCTATGGCTGCACCACTGCATGCCAGCCTGGGTGACAGAGCAAGACTCTGTCAAGAAAGAAAAAAAATCCTTTGCCGATATCTGACACTAGGATATCATTTCTGCTATAAGTTAAAATTTTACTTAGAATTTTACTTAAGTTAAATTTTTACTAATTGTATCCCATTATTTCCAGCAGTCGTCTTTGCATTACTTACTCTGAAATTTACTCAGTTGTGTTTTAAGTGTTTCAGGTCTCATAGAAAGTAGGAAATTTTGTAAACTTTCAGGATTTATTTGGCAGTAACACAACAGTTTTGAAGTAGAGGAAGAGTAGAGAATTCTACATGTTATCTGCTAGGTTTCCTTAGGATGCCATAAAACTCTGGCTCTGTTTAGAATATATATATATGAATAGGACTGGGTGCGGTGGCTTATGCCTCTAATCCCAGCACTTTGGGAGGCTGAGGTGGGCAGATCATCTGAGGCCAGGAGTTCAAGACTGGCCTGGGCAACATGGTGAAATCCCGTTTCTACAAAAAAATAGGAAAAAAATTAGCTGGGTGTGGTGCTGGATGCCTGTAATCCCAGCTACTCAGGAGGCTGAAGCACGGGAATCACTTGAACCAGAAGGTGGAGGTTGCAGTGAGCTGAGATCTTGCCACTGCACTCCAGCCTATGCAACAGAACAAGACTCTGTCTCAAAAAAAAAAAAAAAAAAAAAAGAAAGAAAGAAAGAAAAAGAAAAAGAAAATATATATGAATCTAGGGACTCATTTTAAAAACAGTCCATAGGCAGGCAGACCGGGAGCAAGTATAGAACAGAAAGAAAAATAACTCTTTCATAAATGGCCATACAGAATCAGCTCTCTCAGTGGTGGAAAGGACCTACTTGGGATCAATACTAGAGTTTACAATGTTAAATTACAGAAGACATGAAGTTTTCTAATCAAGAAACCCAAATTATAATAAAGGAGTTACTTTTCATGTATTGTATAATGAGCTATAAACTTATTTGCATTTTTTTAAAGTCACTGAATCATGCTTTGGTCATTTTTTTGGTTATATTTAGGTATAAAACTTGGTAAGGAGAGCACAGTTTAATAAATTCATAGTTTAATAAATTTTCCTCCATGGAAAATTTTAAAATAAGATTGAGGCCCAGCGTGATGGCTCACGCCTGTAATCCCAGAACTTTGGGAGGCTGAGGCGGGCAGATCACGAGGTCAGGAGATCAAACCATCCTGGCTAACACAGTGAAACCTCGTTTCTACTAAAAATACAAAAAATTAGCCGGGTGTGGTGATGGGCGCCTGTAGTCCCAGCTACTCAGGAGGCCGAGGCAGGAGAATCGCTTGAACCTGGGAGGTGGAGCTTGCAGTGAGCCAAGACTGCGCCACTGCACTCCAGCCTGGGTGACAGAGTGAGACTCCGTCTCAATAATAATAATAATAATAATAATAATAATAAGATTGACAAACCAATTTGATAGATTGTTGTGATTCTGATCTTTGTGCAAAGACTTAAGTCTCTTACTTGTCTCAATACAATAGGTCTTAGCTAATAAAATCCATTCCAAAAATGCACCATTTACTAGCATTTTCTGAGAATGACCTCCGCGAATGTATTACATTCTGAAAGACAGTAACCAATTAGGCGTCTTTAGCCAGTCAATTATTTAAACTGCCTCCTTAAAGAAAACAAACTGGTAGAATGTACTGAAAAATTCCCAATGAAAAGTGTAAGAAATGTTACCAAGCTTTTCCATAAAACAAAGGAGAAAAGGTTTAACGGCACATTTTATGGATTATGATAATTGCAGAATGATCTCCAGGAATTAAAAGATTAACTTTATAAAGCTCCTTAAATTATAATGGAATCAAAGGAAAAGAAGTGATTAAAAAGGTATTTAGTATCAGTTATCAGTTACTCAACAATAAAACAGAATAAACTCATAATTGTAATGTGCCAGTTAATCCTTTTTTTTTTTAAACAGCATATTTAGTTGCCTACTCTAAATGCCACTGTGCCTATTTCCCATCTCCCTTGGGTACTGGAAGTTTGCACCTTATTTATGAAGAGAAGCATGATAACCCACAGACTAAAAACTCTAAAAAGCATGTTAATTCAGGAAATGCTACTTTACCAGGCTAGAACTGGAAATAGTGTTTCACTTTTTAATTTTAGGGCATATTATTCATTTATCAACTATTACCTATTACATGGCAAGTTCTGTTCTAGACACTGATAACCTGTGTACCACACAAAGTTCCCTACTCTCATGAAGTTTACATTCTAGTGGAGGGGACAGGAAATAATTGCAATGAGTGCTATTATGAAGAAAACAAAACAAGATACAGTGAAAGAGAATGACCGGAAATGATGAGACAGAATGGTCTGAGAAGACTTCTTTAAGATGGTATTTGAGCAGAGACCTGAATATTGAGATAAAATTAGTCATTTGAAGAGTATATGAAAGAATTTCCTAGGTTAAAAAAAGGCATATTCCTAAGAATAGAAAGGAGGTTAGTGTAGGTGGCAGGTGGAAAATGGTACATCAGGACACTGGAGAGGCAAACAGGGGCCAGTTCATGTAGGGCCTTGTAAATCAAGGCAAGGAAGCTTAGATTTTATTCTAAGTGCAAGAAGAAGTCATAGGGAGGTGTTTAAAGAGGAGAATGATATAATTTGATTTATTCTTTAATAATATCACTCTATTTGCTATGTAGAGAATAGATCGTAGTGGGGGAAAAGTGGAAGAAACGACAAGAAACCGGGAGTCCAGGAGGGATATCATGATCACCTGCACAAGGATGCCAGTGAGGAAGAATGAGAGATGGATTGAGAATAGGATTTACAGCTGATGGGAATTAATCTCTAAAGAACTCTTTATGTTCTATGGCTTTGTTAGTTCTTTTGTGCGGGGGGAGGGCTTATTTCTTTTTCTTTTATGTAGAATCACACATATTCAGATCTGGAAAGAACTTTATGGGTATCTCTTCTAATTCCCTACTCAGTGCAGGAATACCAGTCCAGTAACTTGGGGAGATGGTCAGTAGGCTTTGGTGAAAGGTAGTTATTACCTTGCAAAATGATCTTTTTGTGTAGTTTTCATTATTATATTAGACAGCTCATTATTACATGGAGCTGAAATTAGCCTCAGTATCCTATTAACTTTGTCACTAAGTTTTTATTGTGTTAATTATGTATCCGGTGCTATAATAGACTGGGTACTAGGTGGTAACAACGATGGTAGGTAGGTACTAGGTGGTATCTAATATATTTCATGCCTTCATGGAGCTCACTTTCTCTCAGGGAGCTGAGCACAGAATTCAATAAATTCAAACAATTCAATAAATAAGTCTTTTAAATTTTATCCTCTAGAGTTACTCATATTGTATCTATCCTCTCTTATATAAGATAACCTTTCAAATATTTGAAGACAACTATTATGTTCCAACACCTCAATTTTGTCTAATTCATTTACCAATAATTCATTAAATATTTATTGAATGCCAACTATAAGAGAGGCACTGCCAGGTGTGAGGGACACAGCATTAAAACAAAAATCAACAGTTAAAATGTTTGTGTCTTCAAGGCTACATTCTAGTGAGGAAAAATATAATAACAACAAAAAACAAATAAATATGTACTATGTCAGTTGGTAGAGGCACAGGTAGAAGGAATATAAGGCGTCTCAGGAAGGTGGGGGCACTGCTATTCACACAGGCTAGTCAGGATAAGAGGACATTTAAGTACAAAACTGAAGAACACGTGCCAGGCATTGTACTAGGTCCTGAGGGCTAGGTATTATGTCCAGGGTGGGAGTAGGGTGGGGTCAAAACATTAGCATGCCTGCCCCGAGAAATGTTCATTAAATCAAAATGTCAAGATCAGCAGGAGCTCTCTACCATACATAAAGGGTATGGTAGAGAAATAACAGGTACAAAAGCCAGGAAGTGCGACGAGAGAAGAAAGAACAAGGAGAGAGATGTAATCAGGCTGCAGAATCTGGTAGAGGCTAACCATCCCAGATATTTCAACTGGTCCTACCAGGACATAGGTTCCCCCAGATCCTTCCCCTTCTCTGAATGTGCTTTAATGTTGTCCATGTTTTCTTTGGGGATAGCATGACTGGTACCACTACCTGCTTTATACTGCATGCCATATTTCTATCACTACAACCTAAGATGGCAGTCCTAATCTATTGCATTTGTAATCCATCACAGAGCCACTCAATTTTTTTTTCATGTGAAATGCTTGTGACATTGCCATAGGTACTTCAGGCTTCCTAATCCTGATGGAAACTATGTCCCAGCCACAGTACTTGGAGAGGATACTGGGGAGGCATGCAGAGCCACACTGATATGGAACATGGGCTAATTCCAAGTCTCTCTGCTTTTCCCTTCCCTCTTTCACTCTTCCTTGGAAATATAGCTTCACTGTGTACATATGCTCTTGCTTCCTGTTACAATAAATCTGCTGAGAAAAGGTGAGGATCACATTTCTACAAATTGAACACATCGATTTAAATATCCTTTTGTGATTCTTAGGCTATCTGAAATAACATAATTTCTCCTTTTTAGCTAGTTAATATAACTGCAACTTAATTATTCTGAGTCTCAAGCATACCCTAAGATGAGAAAAAAAAAAATCTCAGCTGTGACTATGTAATCTCATTACCTTCTAATCAAGACTTTACTGCTATATTTAAGTTTATTCTCATGGGCCTTATGTACTTGGTTTCAATCTCCCTCATTTTATTCCATGTCTGTCCTCTGTTTATGGTGCTGCTTTAATAAGTTTGGCATGGATCACATGCTAAGTGAGTAGATGTTAGCTTCTCTTGCAATAAAAAAAAAACAAAAGGATGGGTAATCATGTGAGATGAATATGTTAATTTGCTTAAAAAATTACTTATAATCAAATTACTTGCTTATAAATAACCTTTTTACTATCTATATGTATCCTATAACATCATGTTAAATCTATACAATAAAAAACTTATTAAAAAATAAGCTTAGCATGATCTCTGCTGAAGAAGTGGCCCCTTTACAACACATCTTCTTTAGCATGGAAGAATTGGCATCCTAGAAATGAGGGAAGTAGGGCCAGTATAAGCTACTTTGGTCACAAAAGTGCTGTGTACCTTTTGCCCATCCTCTCATCATTGTCTCTAACTGGCTGATATGCAACTAATGATTTGCCTCTGCATTGCAGATCTCTTTGGTGCTGACTGGACATAGTGGGTATATGCCTAAAGCGAATTGGCAGTCCCTTTGTTCTGCCACTGGTGAAGAAAACCCATATCCCATCTCCTGATGCCTGGCAAGGCAAATAATCCATTTCACACAGTGATCCGGGAAGAAGTGATTGGCGGGTTCTTAAACATCTTTAGGGTTTATCAGATTTCACTGCAATCTACCACATAGGGTTTTTAAATTATTATTATTATACTTTAAGTTCTGGGTTACATGTGCAGAACGTGCAGGTTTGTTGCATAGGTATATTCGTGCCATGGTGGTTTGCTGCACCTATCAACCCATCACCTACATTAGGTATTTCTCCTAATGTTATCCCTCACCTAGCCTCCGACCCCCGACAGGCCCCGGTGTGTGATGTTCCTCTCCCTGTGTCCATGTGTTCTCATTTTTCAACTCCCAATTATGAGTGAGAACATGTGGTGTTTGGTTTTCTGATCTTGTGATAGTTTGCTGAGAATGATGGTTTCCAGCTTCATCCAGGTCCCTGCAAAGAACATGAATTCATCCTTTTTTATGGCTGCATAGTATTCGATGGTGTATATGTGCCACATTTTCTTAATCCAGTCTACTACTGATGGACATTTGGGTTGGTTCCCAGTATTTGCTATTGTGAATAGTGCTGCAATAAACATACGTGTGCATGTGTCTTTATTGTAGAATGATTTATAATCCTTTGGGTATATGCCCAGTAATGGGATTGCTGGGTCAAATGGTATTTCTAGTTCTAGATCCTTGAGGAATCGCCACACTGTCTTCCACAATGGTTGAACTAATTTACACTCCCTCCAACAGTGTAAAAGCGTTCCTATTTCTCCACAACCTCTCCAGCATCTGTTGTTGCCTGACTTTTTTATTTATTTATTTATTTATTTATTTATTTTTATTATACTTTAAGTTTTAGGGTACATGTGCACATTGTGCAGGTTAGTTACATATGTATACATGTGCCATGCTGGTGCGCTGCACCCACTAACTCGTCATCTAGCATTAGGTATATCTCCCAATGCTATCCCTCCCCCGTACCCCCACCCCACCACAGTCCCCAGAGTGTGATATTCCCCTTCCTGTGTCCATGTGATCTCATTGTTCAATTCCCACCTATGAGTGAGAATATGTGGTGTTTGGTTTTTTGTTCTTGCGATAGTTTACTGAGAATGATGATTTCCAATTTCATCCATGTCCCTACAAAGGACATGAACTCATCATTTTTTATGGCTGCATAGTATTCCATGGTGTATATGTGCCACATTTTCTTAATCCAGTCTATCATTGTTGGACATTCATCATCACTGGCCATCAGAGAAATGCAAATCAAAACTACAATGAGATACCATCTCACACCAGTTAGAATGGCAATCATTAAAAAGTCAGGAAACAACAGGTGCTGGAGAGGATGTGGAGAAATAGGAACACTTTTACACTGTTGGTGGGACTGTAAACTAGTTCAACCATTGTGGAAGTCAGTGTGGCGATTCCTCAGGGATCTAGAACTAGAAATACCATTTGACCCAGCCATCCCATTACTGGGTATATACCCAAATGACTATAAATCTTGCTGCTATAAAGACACATGCACACGTATGTTTATTGCGGCGTTATTCACAATAGCCTGACTTTTTAATGATCGCCATTCTAACTGGTGTGAGATGGTGTCTCATTGTGGTTTTGATTTGCATTTCTCTAATGACCAGTGATGATGAGCATTTTTTCACATGTCTGTTGGCTGCATAAATGTCTTCTTTTGAGAAGGGTCTGTTCATATCCTTTGCCCATTTTTTGATGGGGTTGTTTGTTTTTTCTTATAAATTTGTTTAAGTTCTTTGTAGATTCTGGATATTAGCCCTTTGTCAGATGGATAGACTGCAAAAATTTTCTACCATTCTGTAGGTTGCCTATTCACTCTGATGATAGTTTCTTTTGCTGTGCAGAAGCTCTTTAGTTTAATTAGATCCCATTTGTCAATTTTGGCTTTTGTTGTCATTGCTTTTGGTGTTTCAGAGATGAAGTCTTTGCCCATGCCTATGTCCTGAATGGTATTGCCCAGGTTTTCTTCTAGGATTTTTATGGTCCTAGGTCTTACATTTAAGTCTTTGATCCATCTTGAGTGGATTTTTGTATAAGGTGTAAGGAAGGGGTCCAGTTTCAGTTTTCTGCATATGGCAAGCCAGTTTTCCCAGCACCATTTATTAAATAGGGAATCTTTTCTACATTGCTTGTGTGTGTCAGGTTTGTCAAACATCAGATGGTGGTAGATGTGTGGTGTTATTTCTGAGGCCTCCGTTCTGTTCCATTGGTCTATATATCTGTTTTGGTAACAGTACCATGCTGTTTTGGTTACTACCGTCTTGCAGTAAAGTTTGAAGTCAGGTAGTGTGATGACTCCAGCTTTATTCTTCTTGCCCAGGATTGTCTTGGCTATGTGGGCTCTTTTTTGGTTTCATATGAAGTTTGAAGTAGTTTTTTCCAATTCTGTGAAGTAAGTCATTGGTAGCTTGATGGGGATAGCATTGAATCTATAAATTACTTTAGGCAGTATGGCCATTTTGACGATATTGATTCTTCCTATTCATGAGCATGGAATGTTTTTCCATTTGTTTGTGTCCTATCTTATTTCCTTGAGTAGTGGTTTGTAGTTCTCCTTGAAGAGGTCCTTCACATCCCTTGTAAGTTGGATTCCTAGGTATTTTATTCTCTTAGTAGCTATTGTGAATGGGAGTTCACTCATGATTTGGCTCTCTATTTGTCTGTTATTGGTGTATAGGAATGCTTGTGATTTTTGCACAATGATTTTGTATCCTGAGACTTTGCTGAAGTTGCTTATCAGCTTAAGGAGATTTGGGGCTGAGATGATGGGGTTTTCTAAATATATAATCATGTCATCTGCTAATGGAGACAATTTGACTTCCTCTCTTCCTATTTGAATACCCTTTATTTCTTTCTCTTGCCTGATTTCCCTGGCCAGAACTTCCAACACCATGTTGACTAGGAGTGGTGAGAGAGGGTATCCTTGTCTTGTGGCAGTTTTCAAAGGGAATGCTTCCAGTTTTTGCCTATTCAGTATGATATTGGCTGTGGGTTTGTCATAAATAGCTCTTATTATGTTGAGATATGTTCCACTGATATCTGGTTTACTGAGAGTTTTGGCATGAAAGGCTGTTGAATTTTGTCGAAGGCATTTTCTGCATCTATTGAGATAATCATGTGGTTTTCGTCTTTGTTTCTGTTTATGTGACGGATTATGCTTATTAATTTGCGTATGTTGAACGAGCCTTGCATCCCAGGAATGAAGGCGACTTGATCGTGGTGGGTAAGCTTTTTGATGTACTGCTGGATTTGGTTTGCCAGTATTTTATTGAGGATTTTTGCATTGATGTTCATCAGGGATATTGGCCTAAAATTCTCTTTTTTTGTTGTGTCTCTGCCGGGCTTTAGTATCAGGATGATGCTGGCCTCATAAAATGAGTTAGGGAGGATTTCTTCGTTTTCTATTGATCGGAATAGTTTCAGAAGAAATGGTACCAGCTCCTCCTTGTACCTCTAGTAGAATTCGGCTGTGAATATGTTTGGTCCTGGACTTTGTTTTGGTTGGTAAGCTATTAATTATTGCCTCAATTTCAGAGCTTGTTATTGGTCTATTCAGAGATTCAACTTCTTCCTGGTTTAGTCTTGAGAGGGTGTATGTGTCCAGGAATTTATCCATTTCTTTTAGATTTTCTAGTTTATTTGCATAGAGGTGCTTATAGTATTCTCTGTTAGTGGTTTGTATTTCTGTGGGATTGGTGGTGATATTCCCTTTATCATTTTTTATTGCATCTGTTTGATTCTTCTCTCTTTTCTTCTTTATTAGTCTTGCTAGCGGTCTATCAATTTTGTTGATCGCTTCAAAATACCAGCTCCTGGATTCATTGATTTCTTGAAGGGTTTTTTGGTGTCTATCTCTTTCAGTTCTGCTCTGATCTTAGTTACTTCTTGCCTTCTGCTAGCTTTTGAATTTGTTTGCTCTTGCTTCTCTAGTTCTTTTAATTGTGATGTTAGGGTGTCAATCTTAGATCTTTCCTGCTTTCTCTCGTGGGCATTTAGTGCTATAAATTTCCCTCTATACACTGCTTTAAATGTATCCCAGAGATTCTGGTACATTGTGTCTTTGTTCTCATTGGTTTCAAAGAACATCTTTATTTCTGCCTTTATTTCGTTAGGTACCCAGTAGTCATTCAGAAGCAGGTTGTTCAGTTTCCATGTCGTTGTGCAGTTTTGAGTGAGATTCTTAAACCTGAGTTCTATTTTGATTGCAGTGTTGTCTGAGAGACAGTTTGTTGTGATTTCTGTTCTTTTACATTTGCTGAGGAGTGTTTCACTTCCAATTATGTGGTCAATTTTAGAATAAGTGGGATGTGGTGCTGAGAAGAATGTATATTCTGTTGATTTGGGGTGGAGAGTTCTGCAGATGTCTATTAGGTCCGCTTGGTCCAGAGCTGAGTTCAAGTCCTGGATATCTTTGTTAATTTTCTGTCTCATTGATCTGTCTAATATTGACAGTGGGGTGTTAAAGTCTCCCATTATTATTGTGTGAGTCTAAGTCTCTTTTACTGCATCGGTTAATTCTACTTCCTGACAACTGCAATTTTATTTTTATTCTACAAGTATCAGAGACATAATAATGGATAACTCTAACAGGGTCCTTGCTTTCATGGAGCTTATAGCCTAGTGTCAGGGTTACTATAATCACAAATTTAGTTAAACTTACAGTTTCACCTCTAAAGCCCTTTTCACCTCTGGGTCCCTAAAAGAAAAAAAAAAGATGTTAGTTCATTGTTATTGATAGTTACGTATTAAATGTAGCTGAGGTCATTATATGTAGAAACATGACAATTTATATTTTTGCTTTTTCTATATAGTAAGACCTGTTTTGTTAAATTGTATAAGTTCTAGTGTTCTTTTCCTAAATAAAGCAAAGCAAACAAAAAACCCTTAGTGATTCATGTTGTCTGCTTTGCTGTTCCTAGTTCTAACCTTAAGGTGAGACTGAGATAACTACTTATTCATTCAATTAAGTCAAAACAGCTTATCTGACAATCATATACAAAGCAATTTAAAAAGGAAATTCTAAATTCAGGTTAAATTCTTCTAATAATTGTTTTTCTTAACTTTTGAAAACCCTGTTTCTGGGATGGTTTCCCTTCTCTTTCTTGCAAATTTTAATATGTTGTATATGTTTCCGTGCAGTTCAAAATATTTTCTAATTTTCTTGGAGACTTGCTCTTTGATCCATGGATTATTTAGAAGTGTGTGATTTAATTTTCAAGTGTTTGGAGATTTTCCTATTATCTTTCTGTTATTGATTTCTAGTTTAATTCCATTGGCAAGAGAATATACCTTCTATGACCTCAGTTCTTTTACATTTAGTAAAATTTGTTTTATGGCCCATAACATCTTCTATTTTGGTGAACGTTCCATATGCACTTGAAACGAATGTAGTTTGCCATTGCTGGGTGGACCTACTGCTTTTAAAATGTGTTAATATTTTCCTGTTCATCCTTTTGAAAATTTTATATGTATATATATGTAAAAAATGAGATACTATTCATCTTTTCTGTAACCTGAATTTACACCTTCATAAATATAATATGAATGCTCTTCCATGTCAATATACATTCTTTTAGATAATTAAAATATTTAATAATCTTACCTAGTATTTAATATACTATGATAATATTTTAAATTTGCTATTATTAGACTTTTTGCTAATTTTTGTCATTGTTAGCAGTGTTGTGAGAGATACCCTTACAGTCTAAAATTTTTGTTAAAGACTGTCTTCCAGAAAGTTAGTTTGAAATTACATACACACCTGCAAAAATGGAAGTGTACATTTCTTCTGATCTATGTCATGTTCTTTGTTAATTTGCAAGCTAAGAATACTATCTTATCATTTATTCACCATTTATATTACTTCTGTGTTTCTCATCTTGTCTCAATTCATTTTAAACCAGGGTATTAACTTAAAAAAAACTTATTTATTTATTTACTTATTTTTTTTTTTTTGAGAAGGAGTCTCGCTCTGTCACCAGGCTGGAGTGCAGTGGCATGATCTCAGCTCACTACAACCTCCACCTCCTGGGTTCAAGCGATTCTCCTGCCCCAGCCTCCTGAGTAGCTGGGACTACAGGAGCATACCACTAAGCCCAGATAATTTTTGTATTTTCAGTAGAGATGGCGTTTCACCATGTTGGCCAGGATGATCTCAATCTCCTGACCTCGTGATCCGCCCGCCTCAGCCTCCCAAAGTGCTGAGATTACAGGAGTGAGTCACTGCGCCTGGACCCTGATTTTTAAGATATCTACACAGCACTTTAAAAAAATATATACACCCTTTTCCACACCCTACCCAGTATTAACAACCTGGTATGTATGTTTTCATACCTTTTTCTAATCAAATATTGACAAATACATTTATGTATGTATGAGAAATATTGCTGTTTTAAAATATTGGAATCATATTATATACTCTTCTATGCATCGCACTTAACAATACATCATGAAATAACTGAGTCAGCCAAACTAGATATAATAAATTCTTTTAAACAATTGCATAATATTCCATGAAATGGCTAACCTATAACTTACTCAATCATTCCTTTAGAAATGAGTATTCACGTAATTTCAATTTTTTTTCCAATAAAAGTAGTATTACAAAAAAAAGTCTTTGCAAAATTTCATTAGTGTATTGGGTGCTTTTATACCTATGGGATAAATTCCTCCAAGTGGAACTGTTTTGTTAAAGAATATGTACCTATATTTAACAAATCTTTCCATAAAGTCTGTAATTCACATTTTTACCAGTGATCAATGAGAGTACTGTTTTCTCCTATATTCCCTTCTGAGAAGTTAAATGTAATATCTTATTTTACTTTAATTTGCATTTCTCTGACTTAAATTTAGGTGAGTGTCTTTTTATTATAAAACAATAGTTGAACTTTTGGATTTGTTCTTTTTTTCTCCGCTGGCTACTTTTTTGATGGAATGCTTTTCATTTTTCTATTGAACTTTCTTTTTCAAACTATAAGAGCTCTTGGTATATGTGTGTATATGTCTCTATCTCTATCTATCTATCTATCTATCTATCTATCTATCTATCTATCTATCATCTATCTCTAGATACATACACGTATCCATAGCAACAGATAGGTAGATAATTTTTTATTTTTAAATTTTTTTTGCCCAGGCTGGAGTGCAGTGGCATGATCATGGCTCCCTATAGCCTCAACTTCCTCAGATCAAGTGGTCTTCCCACCTCAGCCTCTTGAGTAGCTGGGACTACAGGCATCTGCCACTACGCCAGGCTCATTTTAAATTTTTTTGTAGAGATGGGATCTCACTATATTGCCAAGGCTGGTCTAAACTTCTGTGCTCAAGCAATCTTCCAGCCTCAGCCTCCCAAAGTGCTGGTAATACAGCCGTGAACTACTGTTCCCAACTGAGCTCTTTGTATATTAACCTGTTATATATTGTATGCTTTGTAAATATTTTTCCCAATCAATAGTACTTTTAAACTTTATTCATGGAATCTTTTTTCCATACAAAATGAAAAAAAAATTTCAAGTATTCAAATATACTTTCTGTTCTTTTACAGGTCTCCCCAATCCTTAAGCTACATGTTAGTTTTCTAGATTATTCTTCAATTTTTTTTTTTTTTTTGAGATGGAGTTTCACTCTTATTGCCCAGGCTGGAGTGCAATGGCATGATCTTGGCTCACTGCAACCTCTGCCTCCCAGGTTCAAGAGATTCTCCTGCCTCAGCCTCCCAGGTAGCTGGGATTACTGGCATGTACCGCCACACCCGGCTAATTTTGTATTTTTAGTAGAGATGAAGTTTCACCATGTTGGCCAGGCTGGTCTTGAACTCCTGACCTCAGGTGATCTGCCCACCTCGGCCTCCCAAAGTGCTGGGATTACAAGCATGAGCCACTGCGCTTGGCCTCTTCTAAGATTTTTATTGTTTTATTTTTTACATTAAAGTCGTTAAAAGTTCATCTAGGAGTAAAATACTTTTGGCAAATGGGGTTCCAATTTTTCTTTCTTCTTTTTTCCTTTTTTAAAGAGATGGGGTCTCACTCTGTTTGCGCAGGCTGGAGTGCAGTGGGTGCAGTCAACTCACTGTAGCCTGGAACTCCTGGGCTCAAGCAATCCTCCCATCTTAGCCTCCCAAGTAGCTAGGGCTTATAGGCATGTACCACCACACACAGCTAATTTATTTTTATATGATGGGGGTCTCACTATGTTGCCCAGGCTGTGTTCCAATTTCTTATAGCAGGAGGATACTCAAAGTAATTCCATCTCTCTTCCCTGTCACTGACGTAGGAGTGAACATCTGGCTGAATGCTAGACAATTAGATATGAAAAAAATGTAATCGGAGACTTCTAAAAAATTCTTATTTTTGCCACAATAGTACTTTATGTCATTTTTTTTTTCCTTTGGATAATTATATCTGGATGTAGTTCTTGAGAAGTTGTAGTCATCTTGCTATAAGCCTAATTATGAAGCCAACATTCAGGATATTAGAGTAGAGACATAGAGATATAAGAGATACATAAGAACCTGGTCTTGGATGAGATAATTGAGTCGCCAAATTAACCAAATCTGAAGGCTTTCCTATAATGTGATACAAATTTTCTTATTGCTAAAAGTACTTTGGTTCAGGGTTCCTATTATTTGCAGCCAAACCTTCCTCAATTATATGCCATTTTTGTTGTAAGTAAATTCCTATATATACTTAAGATCAAATTCTGGGCTCTAGTCTGTTACACCGATCTGTTTATTTCTTTGTATTACCATATAGTTTCATTTACAAATTTCCAAGCCTGTCACCCCTCACTGGTATTTTTTTTCCCAATGCTTTCACCAATCTGAAATGCTTATTCTTTCATAATGAACTTTTCTTCTCAGAATGGAAAAAATTGAATATGGAAAAATTGATGTACATGCTGAATATTATAAGGGTCTTTAAGAACTATCTATAAACAAAACACAGTAAGATATTTTAATTAAGTAATTTTAAAATTACATTTTCCTTGACCAATTAATACATCATATTTTTGACAGAGGAGAAAAATCATTCTGTAATCAGAACAGTATGTGTCCCTTAGCTTGCTGAAGAACCACTCACTGAAATATGAGAATTCTCCCACTTACAATCTTATATAGCTCCGAGTGGCAAATGTTGAAAGTCTACAGAAATACTGAGTTATACATTTTACTTCTTTTGTTTACATATCCAGTAACTTTGGTGGTTTCTTCTCTAAATTTATCAAAGAGAATAGTGGTACTAAACACTTGAAGCATTCTATTTTTATATTTTTTAATTGTCTGTGTCTATAAATAACTTTCAAATAATTCAAAATATTAATTCCCTAGATAGAATGAATCTTTCCTCTCTAAGTCTCAATTTGACCCTTTCTACTGTGCTCCTTGCTTGTTTATACTATTATCAATATTGGAAAACTTTCCCAACATCACTTGACCAATCATTGTCTCATTTTTATGTTTTATTTCATAGCCAAATTTCTTAAAGCACTGGCATATAATACCTCAATTTCCTCTCCAGACACAGCTTGAATGGAGTGGAAAGAGCGCTGGTCTTGAAGAAACACCAGCTATGTAATCCACGAGGTCTATCACCTTGAATGACTAGATGAACCTCCATAAACCTCATCTGTCTCCTCATCTGTTAAATGAAAATAATATCTACTGCAAAAGTTTGTTGTAAGAATTTAAGGAACATTATTATTAAACATTTTCCCCTACTTCCTTCATCACTGTAACCTGTACTGTATCTTCTACTGCAATTTATTCTCTCAAAGATTACTGTTGACTACTCCTTTCTTGAAACACTTGCTATTCTCTCGAACGATTCTTTCCTTCCTTTATAGTGGGTACTTCCAAAAACTCAAATGTTGGATGTCTGCACATCTTTTGCTATCTATGTTCTTTCCTTCAGAAGAAGAATTTATTTTTATTGCTCAGGAGTTCATCTCTATGTTTATAACACTCTCCCCTTCCTGACTCAGTTCTATTTTCTTTTCTCAACTCCAATTATAAACACTTACCTACTTAGTTACACTGTCTTCATTACACATATGGTCCCTAACTTCTCAGGAATCATTTTCCAGAAGAAAATGTATATCTATTTTTTCCATTTTCTTCTCAAATACCCAGGCTAATTCTTTGTAGAATATTCTAGAAATAGAATTAAAGAAAAAAAAGAGTACAAAAGACTTGTATTATGATAAACTTACAGTTCTACCTGTTGGGCCTATTATACCTTCTCTGCCAAGGGGACCAGTGTTTCCCTGTTGAGGTAAAAGAAAAACAGTCTCACTGTTAGTATAATTAAAAAAAAAAAAACTCCACAGAATCTCTTGTACAATGGTAAAAGAGCCATGTCTACATAATTATCCTTTTTAGTATAAAAGCTTACAGTATTAGCATAAATTACAATAATCTTGGTTAACAGTATGTGACACAATTCTGCATATTATTAAAGTCTCTTATCAGGAGAGTTGCATCTGTATAATTTCTAAAAAACTGATGAATTAGCATTATGATTTTTATGTGGTGATAACTTCAAAGATGCATTTTACATGTATGTTATATAACAAATAAAACTACTTTATATAAAAAAGAATAGAATGATGAACTAGGTTTTGAATAAATTTCTGTGCAGATGTTGAAAAAGTAGATGTTTGGGTAACATGAAGCATGAAATAGAGAAAAAGTACAGTAAGGAACCAGAGAACAGCATATGTGACCAACTAAACTTCAGTTCTTCATCTGTAAAACAGGAATAAGAACATCTACTTCATAGGGCCATTGTGAGAATTAAATATGAAAAGTGCTTTTAAAACTTTAAGCTATTATTTGGTTATGAAGATAACCTTGAATAAGCTGGATTTCTGGTCAATTCCTCCCAAAGTAGGAAGAGAGTCTATAATTTCTCAGTGAATACAAAATGCCCATTTTAGTTTTTTCCTACAAACTTCAGCTTCCGTGGTTCTTCAGAAATCATGAAAATAACTAATATATTTATAGCTGAAGAAATATTCAGAAAGGTCTTTAAACAATTACCATGATAATACTCCTCTTTGCATTATTTTTTGAATTAGTATTGTTTTAACTGAGATGGAGTCTTGCTTCTTGCTGTCGCCCAGGCTGGAGTGCAGTTGTGCCATCTCGGCTCACTGTAACCTTTGCCTCCTGGGTTCAAGTGAGTCTCCTGCTTCAGCCTTCCAAGTAGCTGGGATTACAGGCATGTGCCACCATGCCCAGCTAAATTTAAATATTTTTATTAGAGATGGGGTTTTACCATATTGATCAGGCTAGTCTCAAACTCCTGACCTCAAGCAATCCACCCGCCTTGGCCTCCCAAAGTGCTGGGATTACAGGTGTGAGCCACTGCATCTGGCCCTTTTTGCATTTTTTAAAATTATACTTTAAGTTTTAGGGTACATGTGCACAACGTGCAGGTTAGTTACATAAGTATGATAGACTGGATGAAGAAAATGTGGCACATATACACCATGGAATACTATGCAATAAAAGATGATGAGTTTATGTCCTTTGTAGGGACATGGATGAAGCTGGAAACCATCATTCTCAGCAAACTATTGCAAGGACAAAAAACCTTTTTGCATTATTGACAACAATTTATTGTAAGAGTTAGGAAAGCGGTATAGGATTTTAGAAGTTTGACTTTCATTTAATAGTTATTTAAGATACCTTTATCCTACATCTGCACTGCTTCCCTTTTTCCTCTCTCTGCTCTTTCAACACTTGCCCCTGCAGCTGCTATTAGTCATAGAGATGCTACTACCACAGCCAAACCATTACTTGAAGTTTTAAATTTTTTTTCAGCTTTTTTTCAGTTTTATAGAACATCTCATCAATTAGAAAGCTTTGATTAATAAAAACTAAAAACAAAACAAAAAACTAAAAACAATAATCAGTAAGCACTGGTGGCTTATTTGTCCTATTTATATTCTCTACAATTTGCAATTACAAGCACTCATTGCTAATTGGAGTTCTTCAGACCCTGCTTTTTGCAACTATTTAAGCGGTTCCTCATCACTCTCTTGGGATACCTGCCCCTGAGCTGGGAAAACACAGCTATTGGGAAATATTTTCAGTCTGGTCTGAAGAGCTCTGGTCATACACAAGCTTCTTCCAGGTGGTGCATGGAGGTGGTCTCTGGTTGCATTAATGCTTATAACGTGAAATTGCTGTATGTTTTTGTTCCTGGCGTGAGTTAATACATTATCCAGTCTTCACAGTAATTCTGATGATTCTTTTTTTTTTTTTAAGTAAGACTAGGAAGTACGGGTGGTCTATGAGGTATTTTGCTCAAACTAATATATGAACTGCAAAAGATTGAATTCTGCATGTGCCCTTATGAGTTTCTACCTTAAAAGTCATTTCATTAAGTTATTTACTTGAAGTACATTACATTTAGAGCTCTTAAGCCCTGCAGTAAGCAAAGAACCACAATTTCTGGTAGGCAGAATGACTTTACACTTACTCTGTGTCCAATAGGACCTTTAGGACCTGATATCCCAACAATGCCAGCATCCCCTTCAGGACCCTAGACATACAATAAGAAACAAAAAGATAAAATTTGTAGCTCTATATGAACATTTTACAAAACTATATAAATCTATCAAGAATTGCTCTTTTAAAAATGGAATATAATACTGTTGTGCATGCTGAAGAATTCAGAAGGAAGTGTACTGAGGCCTACAATTTACTTAGAAATACACCAATGAAGGGAGAGAGGGATACGTAGATGGATAAGCACAATAATGCCAGCAGGGTAAAATGTTAATGGTAAAATTTAGGTAATGGGTATAGGCATTTACTGTAAAATTTTCTCAACATTGCTGTATGTTTGAAAATTTTCATAATAAACTGCTTGGGAAAAGGGATGAAAGAAAACAAAATCATATCATATACTAAAATTTCTGGGAAAATGTATAGTTACATAATTTTAAAAACAGATGTATTCGAAACTCAAATATATAAATATGTACCAACTGAAATTTTACAGATTTAAAAAAGCTCAAGTTACAGACTATATTATTTCAACAGCTCTTTTATTTCTAGATAGCTAGAAGACTAGAAGAAAGTATGTAAACATACTTTAGGGCCTGGGAATCCTTGGAAACCTGTCAAACCTTGAACACCATATTCTCCCTGCAAAGTGAATTGACATGATAATAATTATTGTACAATGGCAGCCTGCTCTGTAGAATAAATGCTTGGTGAATTTCTGAGGTGGTACATACAGGCTGCCCTTTCAGGCCAGGGTCTCCACATGGTCCTTGATCACCTTGTGCTCCTCGGTGACCTCTTTTACCTTGAATTCCAGGTTGACCAGGTAGCCCTTGTTCACCCTATGGGTAGAACAAAGAAAAGCGATCTTTACATCAGAACATATAAACATATTGGCTTTTGAATGAAACCCAAATACAGGCCCATCCTTAGGCCCATTCCATAAATACAAGGCACTGGGGAAATCAAATTTTGCATGTTCATCTTGTTCACCAATATTTTCCACACAAGTAGTATTTAATTATAATGTACCAGAAGAGTAGCAGTGGGAAAAGGAAATTCCAGAGATTGTGGTGATGTGTGGAAAGAAGAGGGAAGGGGGAACCTATAAAACTAGTAGGATAGTAAGGCTTGAGAGGGGATAGTGAGGGTGTGGTATGTGTGGGTGTGTTTATATGTGATGGAACTTATATTTTGTTTATTTATTTATTTTATTTTTTATTAGAGATGGGGTCTTGCTCTGTTGCCCAGGCTGTAGTGCAGTGATGTGATCATGGCTTACTGCAGCCTTAAACTCCTGGGCTCAAGCGATCCTCCCAACTCAGTCTCCTGAGTAGCTGGGACTACAGGCACACATCATTGCACCTAGCTAATTCTCTATTTTTTTGTAGAGACAGGATCTCACTATGTTGCCCAGGCTGGTCTTGAACTACTAGCCTCAAGTGATCCTCCTGCATTAGCCTCCCAAAGTGGTAGAATTACAAGTGTGAGCCACTGTGCCTGGCCAGAACTTGTATTTTGAATTGATATCATTTTTCTGTGTTTTCCCTACCATCCAGAGATGATTCAGCTATCTAATACCAGAAAAAGAGTAGTCTCCTGAAGTGTAAACCCTGGTTTTAGCCATGATTATCTTTTTAATTCCATCAATAAAAAATTTCCATTATCTGTCTCCCTAGATTCCTTTGATATGAACTGTCTTTATCCCCTAAAAGTCACTTTAAGTACATACTTAATCAACATTATTGAATTTCTAAAAGTCAAGTCTTTTTTCATTGATTTTTATTTTTGAAATGAGAGTTGAAATATCTTTCACACCATTTCTAAAAGTAAATTTAGGAATCAGGTGGATTTTAGAGATAGGTTAATGAAAAACGATGCTTGGTAGACTTTGGCCAAAGCTTCTTTAAGATTAACAAATTATCTCTCACTGTCTTGAGACAAAGCTATACAATTTTGGGGTTTGACAAATATGGATCTTTCTTATTGCAAATTCAAGCCTAAAACATGGGATCTTTACTTCTTTTCCTGGCTTTAGCATTTGCTTAGCTGCTTTGAATTTTAGCACAAAGGAATATTCATGGTATAAACATTAACAGAAGACTAATATTGTAAACAGTAAACAAGTAGGTCATGATTTTCAGTTTACCCACATGGGTCAGAAATCTGAAAATTCTTTAGAAGTGGAACTGGGAAAATCAGGTTAAGAGGTAATAATGGTAAGGGTGCCAATGTCTTAGTCTTAGGCTTTTATGAAAGAGCTTTAGATGTTGGACTAATTTCTAAGTTGTCTGGGTCAATCCTGTATGAGATATTTCTAAAAGAGGTTTTGTCTGGAAAGTCTATTGACATGTGACAGACTCCACACAATAAATGCAATATAAGACTTAGTTACTGTCACATTAACTCTAAGAAACAGTCTGTACGGTTATCAGATTAATTAATTGGTTGGTTAGGTTCAGAGTCAGAAGAAAAGGAATTGTATTTGAGAAAGTATTTATCTGGAAGTAAATAAGATTTCCCTGTTTTGGAGGAGAAGACAGATGACAGAGAAGGAAAAAGAACAAAAATGAGTCAAAGACATAGCATTTTTTAAAGCATCACTAGTCCTGGGTCAAAGAGTTGTTATGACAAATTACAGGCACTGTGGCTATCATGGGAGATGGATATGTCAAAACTACATACTTTCTCTTTTCCTAACGTGCTTTTACTATTAGCCAAATTCTATTAAAAACTATTAATCTTACCATTCTGTGATCTAGCCAATGAACTCAGGGCCAGAAAGGATGGCCAATACTGCTTACCCATTGGAACAAAATATTAAAGTACCTTTGGGCCTTGAATTCCTGGGCTTCCTGGCAAGCCTGATGAACCCTTTACTCCTGGAGGACCTGGAGCCCCAGCAAGACCTGTTCTTCCTGGGCCGCCTCTGATGCCCTAAATAACACAGATAAGAAATGAAAACTGGGAAAGTTTCTAAAAAGTCAGTTTAGAGGCTCAATAAAATGTAGGAAGAGTTGTGCCCCGAAAGGCGTCTGTTAACATACTGCCCAGGAGTTATCCTGGGCTTCTTTCCCAGAAGATGAAATGTTTAAATACTTTTTTAGGAATACTCACCACTCACTTGAAATTTCTATAATTTATGCAATGATCTTGGGTTTTTAAAATGAAAACACTAAAGCAATACGAAGTCCACCAGTACCTTCTTACTTATAAAGCCTAGGTGTGAAGTATGTTTGTTGTGTTCTAACTTTTGTATTATACTCTGGTGTACATGGCAACTCTAATAACTGCTGAAAGTCTCCTTAAGAAGAAAATTCTATTCCTCAACCATACATGATTCCAGAAAATTTGCTAAAAATTGTTTAACTGGAAATAAAGTTAAGCAAGCAAACAGTATATCCTTAAAACTAAATCCTAAATCAGGTTGGCAAACTACACTTTGCAAACTAAATTCAGTCCATCACCTGTTTTTGTAGATCTCATGAACTAAGAACAGTTTTTACATTTTTAAACATTGAAAAGAATAATACTTAAAGACATGGAAAAATTCTATGAAATTAAAATTTCAGTATGTATTAAGTTTTACTGGACAGTCATGCTCATTCATTTACATATTGTTTAGGGCTGCATTTGCACAACAATAGCAGAGCTGAGTAGTTATGGCAGAGTTTTTTTTTTTTTAATTTCATTTTAAGTTTCCGGGTACATGCGCAGGATGTGCAGGTTTGTTATGTAGGTAAATGTGTGCCATGGTGATTTGCTCCAGCTATCAACCCATCACCTAGGTATTAAGTCCAGCATGCATTAGCTATTTTTCCTAATGCTCTCCCTCTGCCTCTGTCCCACCTCCACCAACAGGCCCCAGTGGGTGTTGTTCCCCTCCCTGTGTCCATGTGTTCACATTGTTCAGCTCCCACTTATAAGACCATGATATGTTTGATTTTCTGTTTCTGCATTAGTTTGCTGAAGATAATGGCTTCCAGCTCCATCTATATCCCTGCAAAGGACATGATCTCATTCCTTTTTATGGCTGCATAGTATTCCATGCTGTATATGTACCACATTTTCTTTATCCAGTCTATCATTGATGGGCATTTGGGTTGATTCCATGCCTTTGCTATTGTGAATGGTGCTGCAATGAACATACGCGTGCATGTATCTTTATGATAGAATGATATATATTGCTTTGGGTATATACCCAGTAATGGGATTACTGGGTAAAATGGTATTTCTGGTATTCCTGGACTTTGGTTCCTTAAGGTCTTCGAGGAATCACCACACTGTCTTCCACAATGGTTGGACTAATTTACATTCCCATCAACAGTGTAAAAGTGTTCCTATTTCTCTGCAGCCCTGCAAGTATCTGTTGTTTCTTGACTTTTTAATAATTGCCATTCTGACCGGTGTGAGATGGTATCTCATCGTGGATTTGATTTGCATTTCTCTAATAATCAATGATGCTGAGCTTTTTTTTGATATGTTTGTTGGCTGCATGAATGTCTTCTTTTGAGAAATGTCTGTTCATGTCCTTTGCCCACTTTTTATTTTTTTAATTTTAATTTTATTTTATTATGTTTTTTGGAGACAGAGTCACGCTCAGTCACCCAGGCTGGAGTGCAGTGGTGCGATCTCGGCTCACTGCAAGCTCCACCTCCTGGGTTCATGCCATTCTCCTGCCTCAGCCTCCTGAGTAGCTGGGACTACAGGCACCTGCCACTACATCCAGCTAATTTTTTTGTATTTTTAACAGAGATGTAGTTTCACCGTGTTAGCCAGAATGGTCTTGATCTCCTGACCTCGTGATCCGCCCATCTCGGCCTCCCAAAGTGCTGGGATTATAGGCGTGAGCCACCGCGCCTGGCCCTTTGCCCACTTTTTAATGAGGTTGTTTTTTTCTTGTAAATTTGCTTAAGCTCCTTGTAGATTCTGGATATTACACATTTGTCAGATGGTTAGATTGCAAAAATTTTCTCCCATTCTGTGGGTTGTCTGTTTGCTCTGATGATAGTTTCTTCTGCTGTGCAGAAGCTCTTTAGTTTAATTAGATCCCATTTGTCAATTTTTGCTTTTGTTGCAATTGCTTTTGATGTTTCATCATGAAGTCTTTGCCCAGCCTAAGTCCTGAATAGTATTGCCTAGATTTTCTTCTAGGGTTTTTATAGTTTTGTGTTTTACATTTGTCTTTAATCCATCATGAGTTAATCTTTGTATAAGGTGTAAGGAAGGAGTCCAGTTTCAATTTTCTGCATATGGCTAGCCAGTTCCCCCAGCACCATTTATTAAAGAGGGAATCCTTTCCACATTGCTTGTTTTTGTCAGGTTTTTCAAAGATCAGATGGTTGTAGGTGTGTGGTCTTATTTCTGAGTTCTCTATTCTGGTCCGTTGGTCTATGTGTCTGTTTTTGTATCAGTACCATGCTGCTTTGGTTACTGTAGCTTTGTAGTATAGTTTGAAGTCAGGCAGAGTGATGCTTCTAGCTTTGTTCTTTTTGCTTCAGATAGTCTTGGCTATACGGGCTCTTTTTTTGCTTCATATGAATTTTAAAAAATAGTTGTTTCTAATTCTGTGAAGAATGTCAATGGTAGTTTTATGGGAATAGTATTGAATCTATAAATTACTTTGGGCAGTATGGTCATTTTCACAATATTAATTCTTCCTATCCACGAGCATGGAATGTTTTTCCATTTGTGTCCTCTCTGATTTCCTTGAGCAGTGTTTTGTAGTACTGCTTGAAGAGGTCCTTTATTTCCCTTGTTAGCTATATTCCTAGGTATTTTATTCTCTTTGTAGCAATTGTGAATGGGAGTTCACTCATGATTTGGTTCTCTGCTTGTCTGCTGTTGGTGTATGGGAATGCTTGTGGTTTCTGAACATTGATTTTGTATCCTGAGACTTTGCTGAAGTTGCTTCTCAGCTTAAGAAGCTTTTGGGCTGAAAAGATGGGGTTTTCTAGATATAGGATCATTCATCTGCAAACAGAGACAATTTGACTTCCTCTCTTCCTATTTGAATACCCTTTCTCTTGCCTGTTTGCCCTGGACAGAACTTCCAATACTATGTTGAATAGGAGTGAGGAGAGGGGGTATCCTTGCCTTGTGCCAGTTTTCAAGGGGAATGCTTCCAGCTTTTGCCCATTCAGTATGATATCAGCTGTGGGTCTGTCATAAAAGGCTCTTATTATTTTGAGGTATGTTCTGTCAATACCTAGTTTATTGAGAGTTTTTAACATGAAGGGATGTTGAATTTTATTGAAGGCCTTTTCTGCATCTACTGAGATAATCATGTGGTTTTTGTCTTTAGTTCTGTTTACGTGATGAATTACATTTATTGATTTGTGTATGTTGAACCAGCCTTGCATCCCGGGGGTGAAGCCAACTTGATCATGGTGGATAAGCTTTTTGATGTACTGCTGGATTTGGTTTGCCAGGATATTATTGAGGATTTTGCATTGATGTTCAGCAGGAATATTGGCCTTAAGTTTTCTTTTTTTGTTATATCTCTAGCAGGTTTTGGTATCAGGATGATGCTGGCCTCATAAAATGAGTTAGGGAGGAGTCTCTTCTTTTCAATTGTTTGAAATCGTTTCAGAAGAAATGGTACCAGCCCCTCTTGGTATACCTCTGGTAGAATTCAGTTACGAATCCATCTAGTTCTGGGTTTATTTTTGGTTGATAGGCTATTTATTACTGCCTCAATTTCAGAACTCATTATTGGTCTATTCAGGGATTCAACTGTTACTGGTTCAGTCTTGGGAGGGTGTATATGTCAATGAATGTATCCATTTCTTCTTGATTGTACAGTTTATTTGCATAGAGGTGTTTATAGTATTCTCTGATGGTTGTTTGTATTTTTTGTGGGGTTAGCGATGATATCTCCTTTATCATTTTTTATTGTGTCTATTTGATTCTTCTATCTTTTCTTCTTTATTAGATAGCTAATGATCTATTTCATTTTTTTTTTTCAAAAGACCAACTCCTGGATTCGTTGATTTTTTGAAGGGATTTTGTGTCTTGGTAGAGATCTTATATGGCACTTCCATTGCTTTGTACTGTTGCTTGGTGTACTACAAATTGCAGTGATGCAGTTATAGTGTTTCAAGTGGAACATATATTACTGTGACACTTTATTTTACGTATTACCAGTGCACATGCTATCATATCAAAGCAAGAAAAGAAAAGTGGACTTCGAATATTGTATTTTTAGGCACCATGGAAAATGAATTTTCTTATTGAATTAGATGGCAAAGCCTTGTATTTACTATGTAATATTACTATAGCTATGCTTAAAAATTATACAGTATATATCAACATTATCAGACTAGGCACATAATATAATATTTCTACCTCACAGGAATGCAACAGTCAGAAAAATTGGAAAATGTAACATGGAGTATTTTATCACAGCAGAATTTCTTCACAACAAAATGAAAATGAGGCTGCAACTGAAGTAAGTTTCTGAGTGTTCACTTCATTTGTTAGCCCAATAAGGAAAATCCCTTATTGATGACTTAATTAAATCACATAGCAAAAATACACTTATTTAAGATTGTTAGCTTTTTGGCAAGAATAGCTGCTTGAAATGTTGAGGACACTGGTACAGCATCAACAATCAATTAAAAAAGAAGGTTCTTTCTTTTTTTCTTCTCTCCCTACCAGCACGGCCTGTTGGTTCTTGATGAGTCAATAGAAATTAGCAATACTGCTCAGTTGCTCATTCAAGGAGTCAATGCTGAGTATGGGAAGGAGTCAATGCTGAGATGGAAGAATTGTATAAATAGTCTGTGGGGTAACTGCAAGTGAGAATATTTTCAAAGAAGTTTAAAAAAAACACTAAATCAGTACAATCTTCTGTGGATTCTGCTAAGATACAATACAACTGACAGCTATGGATCAAAAAAAGAATTATTGGATAAATTTGGAAAGCATATGGTGGGTAGATTTTCTGAACTCAAACAGTTTCAGTAGCATATCTTAGACCTAGATGCAATAAATTTCCATATTTCAAAATCGATTTGACTGTGCACTTGAGGAGTTTCCACCTAGCTTACAATTGGAAATGATTAATCTACAAGGAAATGACATGCTAAAAGGCAAAATCAAGAGAACCTAATAGAATTCTGGATATTGTTTTCAAGCAATCAGTATATTCAATGAAAATCATACGCTCATGAATTGCAGCATTTGGCAGTACCTATCTGTGTGAAAAAAATTTTCAAAGATGAAATATGTGAAATATGCAAAGTCTCATTACAGGCCAATATTAACAGCATTAACAAGTGCAGAAAATTCTTACAATAGGGAACTGTAATAAGATCACTTTACAGGAAAGGCAAGCTTTAAAAACAAAATTCTTATGTATAGCACCCTCCCCAATAAAACAGAAACAGCTGAAAACCTAAAGAAACCCACAGAGAAAGCAGATTTTAATAAGCTAAGTGTTATCCTATACAAAGCATGACATTTTTCTCATTACTAGTCTTGCATTACAAAATTTTTACTTAATTATATTTTTAATTTCATGAATAAACATTTTGTGAACAGTTTCTCTCTTCTTACATAAGTTCACAAGTAATACCCTTGAGTTTGCTTCCTGCAAATACTAAAATTTATTCATATTTATATGAATATTTACAGAAATATGTTTTCATATTTACAGAAAAAGTTTGTTGACTTCTCTTCTAGGAATAACTTATTTTCTGAGTTGATTCCTAGGATATTAAATTGGGTTATTCAATAGTTTCTCCATGTATTCAACAAATATTTATTGAATATCATCTATGCATAAGGAAGCTACCATGGGAATCCCTTTAAAAATATAGATATAAATAATATATGGTTCTTGTTTTTAAGAAGCTTAAAATTAAATGAAAAAGATGAGACCAGGTGTGGTGGCTCATCCCTGTAACCCCAGCACTTTGGTAGAGGCTAAGGTGGGAGGATTACTTGAGCCCAGGAGTTTGAGACCAGTCTGGGTGACACAGTGAAACCCCATCTCTAAAAAAAAAAAAAAAAAGAAAGGAAAAAAGTAGTTACCAGGGCATGGTATTGTGAGCATCTGTAGCCTTAGCTGCTTGGGAAGCTGAGGTGAGAGAATCGCTTGAGCCCAAGAGTTCAAAGATGCAGTGAGCCATGATCATGCCACTGCACTCTAGCCTGGGCAACAGAGTGAGACCCTGTCTCAAAAATAAACAAATAAATTAATAAGAAAAAGAAAAACAAAAAACGAAATGTGATGGAATGTACTATATAAATAATTATAATGACAGCAAAAGTTTTAAAAAAATTCCTAAGAAGAGAGATGTAATGTAAATACCTGAGAGGTTCTGAGGAGGGGAAGTTACCTTTAGTGGTAATCAGAAAAGAAATTAGTGAGAAGAAACTGGATCATGATCATAATATAAAGATATTGCCCTTAAAGTTATAAATGTGGTGGGAGAGATGTTTTGGCTCAAGACAGACTAAAGCCATTTCTGTGGAAGGTCTGGTTGAGAGAATGGTATTTAAAAAGTAAAGTCAATTTTGAATTTAGTACCAAAGCATTTTTTCCTTTTTTTTCAAATAACATTTTCTTCATATTATGTCATCACATATTTTATTATTTTCTTGCTTATGGTAAAAGATAATTAAGTATATTTTTAAAAATTATCCTTTCTAAGTAGATTTTCCTCACATTCCAAAACTCACTAAAATAATGTATTTTGTATCTAAGGTTCATCTCCAATCCTGGGTGCTTACAGGGAGGTACATATAGGATATAGGTTCATGTTCCTCAGCTTGACCTTTAAGTCTTTTTTTGTCCCAACTATCTCTCACCATTTATCTGCGTTAGTGGGGCTCAATATTTTAAGGAACAAATTACAAGGGCAAAATCCTCACAGAAGGAGAAATAGAGGAAGAGAGAGGAAAAGAAAAAGGGAGAAAGAGAAGGAAAGAGAGAGAGAGAGAAGAGGAGGGAAGGAAAGAGAGGGGAGAGAGAGAGCGAGAGCGAGAGATCCATGCTGTGGACTTAGGATTCAGGTGATGTAGTTCTTCCAAGTTGCTTGTGCCTCATCCTAAGTGTATTATCTTATCCTGTTTCTTTCCCCTGGTTTCTATGTGTTTTATATTTGTTTTAATTTTCCATGAGCCTTTCTGTTCCATACCTATGGGATACATTATCTGGTAGTGTACTTTGCACATGAATGATGAGAACCCTGGAGTCATGAGATGGTGCCATTTTAGAGATCATCAATACAAATGATAGTCATCTGAGACTTTGGGATTTAAATTTTCAAAAATGTTCAGAAAAGACATAGGTGTTATACCAATGACCAGGTCTCTAATGGGGATATGACTTAACAGGAAAGGCAAATTTTAAAAACAAAATTCTGATGAATAGCACCCTCCCTAATAAAAACAAAAATAGTATAAAGACCTAAAGAAACCCGAAGAGAGAGCAGATTTTAAAAAGTCATATATACAAGATGAAAGAAAGGGCATGTAAGCAGCAAAAAAAATAAAGTAAAAAACAAAGTAACTTCAGAGTTAAACCAACTGAAAAGTTAAGTTATAGATGTAGATCGTGTGAGAATTTTTTTAAAAAGCATTAGGTTGTCTTGCAAGTTTGTGAGCCTCTTATCTCCAGATATTTTATAGAGGTAATGGATATTTTAGGGAGACGCATCATTAGAACTGATTATCCTAGATGATTTTAAGATACCTCAAAATTGCATAATTCTAAAATAGAACCATTTTGCCTCACTTTACTTATAATTCTAGGCAATTTTAAAGTTCTTCATTTTCTAATATAAAAAATGTATCTTTCAGGTGATACATGACAATGGACATTCAGAAACTACTGACCACTCTTGAAGTCAAGATGTACTTTTGACTGAGAATAATAAGGAGCACAAAACTTGTCATTAGGGTTAACTGTAAACTAGCAACTTCATTTTACTTGCAGTGCCATCAGATATTTAACCCAGTAGAATGAATATAGTCCAAGTCATTTACTATGCTTGTTGGTTTCTTAGAGAGAAATTTGAGGATGATAGCAGAGTGTTCTGTTCAACGTTCCAAACAATGTTTCATACAAGTAAAGAACAAACATTTCTTATTACACAGATGGCTGATTAATTTTGTTTGCAAGAGAAACAGATGCTAACCCTAGGCATTCTTTCCAGTGTCTTCTAAATGATTTGTCTAAAACAATTCAGCCTATGTTAAATCATTCTGGGTAAATTTTAAAAAGTAAATATAATTATAATTATTATTAACTTTGGTCAGAGATGCCAAAAATCAATGAACAGCTTACATGTGTATTAAAAATTAATATAATTATAAGAGTACATGGTGTCGCATGACCAGAGACTTCCTTTATTCTCAGATAGGAGCCAGTCTCCCTACCGAAATAAGTTTTAAACCTAGCAGGAAAGTGTTGTCAGTTTTGACAGGACTGAAACCCATGGCTTCCTAAGCCTTTGGACTCTAAAGAAACAAGTACTTCGATCAGTAATGACAACAACAACATCAACCACAACTGCAAGAGTTGCTTTTTATTGAGTGCATTCCATTTGTCAGAAATGAATAGCATTATGGTTTGTATTATTTTATTTGATCTGGTGTCAGTTAAGGAAAGAAGGCATTGCTTTTCACTTTGACTTCCCTCTGGGAAAAGGAAGAAATTGTTTTAGTGCAAGTCTGCCTTCATTTTAGAACTGAATGGAAAGATCTGGGAAGGAAAATGGTGCTATATGCACACATTTAGAAAAAAGATACAGAGACAAATTTTGGAATGATGATTACTTATTTGTACATAATAGTGAAACATACCAAAGAAAGTGTCACTCTGTTATTCCCCCAGCTCCTTGGCTTAGCCGTCATATTCTCATTAGGATTGAAACAAATATATTAAAAAATAAGCAATAAAAAATAAAATTTGTTAAATCCAGGCAACGATAAAAATCTACATTCTAAAAATAGCTAAAAATATTATATTTAAAGTTATGCTGAGTGAAATTACAAATATTTCGAATATCAATTTTATTGATTTCTCATAGTAGAATGACAAAATGACACTGAACTTCATATTGGTTGATATTTTTCTTTAAAGTACTACCTTAACATTTTTCTAAAAAAAGTTTTTTCCTTTCTCTTCTGCCAGGCACCTTATGTGTACAGAGCATTATGTTTATATAGTTATTAACTATGTGAGAAGATAATAAGAAAAATTAATTTAAAATTAATTTACTTTCTGTAGTACAAATATAATATCCTAGATTATTAGGCAATGTAAGTACTATTTTTTTTCTTAAGCCAGCAAACCCAGAAGTTATATAAATAATACTTTACTTCCTTTAGTCTGAGCAACTCAAAACACTTCTGTTTAAGTAGGAATTTCTCGTTTTATTTGGTTTACTAAATATATCCCTTCCTGCAAAGGATTGGTGTTTAAAAATATGTGGGATGGTAATTATTAGGTGATTATATGCAAGGCTACATTTTACATAAATAATGTAGCATTCATAATATTTTCCTGCCGTGCCAATCATAAGTAATGTAGCCAATTGCTAGAAATAAGATTTATGAATGAGCTATATACTAAAGTTAGGAGGTAATTTTAGTTTTGAATTTCTAAACATATTAAAGCTTATGGAACTGAGAGTACAGCTGAGGCAGGTCGTAAGGTAGTGAAGACAGGTCTGTTTGACTCACATCAAGGGTATACAATCTCTTGCTCAACCTTAATGAATACAGGTATTTCAACATTGTTTTACTTCACAGAAATTATTTACAACTGATGTTTTATCAATCCTAAAAAATAGTGCAAATGTCACTATGATATTTGACAAAATAAAGGTATTTTATGAAATCTCCTTTACCCAGGTCTTGACATCCAATCACAGGACTAACAGGGACTGAAAGAAGATGTTTCATCTATACTTTGACTCTTAGATATGTCTGGGTTCACATCATTATAGAGAAATAAATGTCTATCCTTTTATTCAAAAAATTACAAATAATCTACTCATACTATCTTATTTGATTCTCCCACAACCCTGTGAACACACCAAACTCCATGAGGGCAGTTTTTTGACCATGATTAACTGCTATATTCCCTAACTCCTGGCTCTTAGTAGGCACGAAACAAATTATTTTTTGAATGAATGCATGTAAGCTTAACCATTTATATTTATTATTATGAAAAGATGATACCCAATAAATACATGCAGTGTACTATGCATTTTACATACAATATTTCATTTGATTCTTATAAAAACCATATGGATTAAGTATAATACTATTGTACTCATTTTATAAATGCTGCTTAAGATGTCAAATACCTATCGCATCTAGATTTTAAACCCAGGTCTCCAAGATCCTAACAACTATGCAAAGAACATTCAATTCCTGGCCGGGCACGGTGGCTCACGCCTGTAATCCCAGCACTTTGGGAGGCTGAGGCGGGTGGATCATGAGGTCAGGAGATCGAGACCATCCTGGGTAACATGGTGAAACCCCGTCTCTACCAAAAATACAAAAAAAAAAAAATTAGCCAGGCATGGTGGTGGGCGCCTGTAGTCCCAGCTACTCGGGAGGCTGACGCAGGAGAATGGCGTGAATCTGGGAGGTGGAGGTTGCAGCGAGCTGAGATCGCAACTACTGCACTCCGGCCTGGGCGACAGAGCGAGACTCCGTCTCAAAAAAAAAAAAAAAAAAAAAAAGAACATTCAATTCCCAAATGTTTATTGATCTTCTCCTATGGGCCTGACATGGTGCTAGGTGATTCTACAGGACTCTTTGGAGAGAAAGAAAGACAACATCCATGCTCTGATGGAGGCAGTGTACTGAGCATCCAAAAGTTCAGAGCAGACAAGCTCAACTCCGACTAGAAAGGTGAGTGAAGGAGGTAATAGTTCAGTTAAGTCCTAAAAGATCACCATAAAGTTAGAGGGAAAAATGGAAGAGCTTTCTAAGCAGTGGAAATAAAGTACACAAAGGCCAGAAAGTGGGGGAAATAATAGAATTTTGGGGGCTAAGTAAATAGGCATACTTGAAGAAGCATAGCTCTGAAACTAAGATGCCTGGTTTGAATTCTGATTGGATTACTTGTTGTCTGTGTGAACCTGCGGAAGTTATTTAGTCTCTCTCGGTCTCAGCTTCCTTTTCTGTAAACTGGATATAACAGCTGTCTCTACTTCATGGAGGTTTTGTGAGGGTTAAATCACTTAATACACATCAGCACCTGGAACAGTGCCTGGGATACAGTAAGCGTTTAATAACTGTTAGCTGTGATTATGACTGAAATGCACAGCACACATCAGAAGCAAGGTAGAATATATGTCTGGAAATGTCAACAGAGGCTAGACCACGAAGAAACATCATTCCATAAAAAGTATAAACCAGCCGAGCATGGTGGCTCATGCCTGCAATCCCAGCACTTTGGGAGGCCGAGGTGGGATAACTGCTTGAGCTCAGGAGTTCAAGGCTAGCCTAGGCAAGATGGTGAGATCTCATCTCTACAAAAATAAAAAACAATAAATTACGGAATGTGGTGGTGCATGCCTGTAGTCCCAGTTACTTGTGAATCTGAGGTAGGAGGATCACTTGAGCCTAGGTGTTCAAGGCTGCAGTGAGCTAAGATCACACCACTGTACTCCAGCCTGGGTGACAGAGAGGGACCCTGTCTCTATTAAAAAAAAAAAAAAAGTATGAACTTTATCTGATCAGGAGTCATGGAAAATTCAACTAAGAAAGTTAAATCCTTTAGCAGATATTTCGTTTTGTTGCCAATACGCTGCCAAATACACTGAACTTTGTTGCTCTGGAAGAGTTCCTAATGAGTAGAAAATGGGCCAAAACAAGCGGCGGGGTTGGGGGTCGGAGGGAGGGAAGAAGTACCAATCAGGATAAGCCATAACTGAATAATCAACCTCTTAATAATGAGATGACAGGATTTGCTAAATGTAGGTCTGGACAAAGAATGTAGGTCTCTTTCTCCAAAATACTGTGAAGAAAAAAGTGTATCTTCTTAGAAAGAAAAGTTTCTTTCGTGTGACTAGCCTATGAGAACACACAGCCCAGATGGGTGGCAGGGTAGCTGGATTTCCTAATAGAAGCTTCGATGGTGGTCCTACTACAAAGGTGCTGATGAAGTGTGTTTTTCTTCCTTATACTGGACACAATCCACAAATGGAAAATTCAGGATTTTCAATGTTCCTTTAAGACAAGAAACTCATTTTAGACAACACTTATGCTTGTGTTCACCTGGAAAACTGCAAAGTCAAGATTGAAAGGCCTTGATTTGTCCTTAGTCAAGTCGTTAGTTTTATTTCTTTCCCTCTTTTCCAATGACCAGTTTTATTAGTTACAGCAATAAAAAAATAAAAAGACTGGTAAGCATTCCTTTTGGTGATAAATGGATTTATGATATTTGCAAGGAAAAGTTGTTTTGCTTTTTCCTAAATGACTGAGGTACTATGCTTGTACAGAAGTTGAACTCGATGAAAACATCATGGTAGACTCATTTACTACAGATGTGCTAAGTTGACTGGCCTCAAAACACTCATTTTCACAGAAGGAAATTCACACAGGCAACGGTGAGCCTCCCCTGTACTGTCCCTCAGTTACAGTCACATGATCTTGAAAAAACATTGAAACTGCAGAGTGAATATGCCAAGAATTCTTTAATTCCTTGGCCACATAAAAGAAAGAAAGAAAGAAAGAAAGAAAGAAAGAAAGAAAAGAAAAGAACATTGTTTAGGAAAATCAGGCAGTTGCATAATGCTAAAAATCCCAGAATAAATATTTTTCTCAGTGGAAAAACCCAGCAGTCTTTAAAGGTAAGCCAAGGAACACCATGGTGCCATGACTAAAAAAAAAAAAAAAAAAAAAAAAAAACCAATGGAAAGATGTCCTTATCCTCGGTTGAAAATATTCCAAGGAACTTGCTAGTATTTAGAAATGGTCTTATTTCCTCTTAAGTAGTTTTTCTATTACCACAGTAGGTTTGAGAAATACTTCTCTTAGAAATCACTTTCCCTAATGCCCAGTTAGCCATTACTACCTTGTTTCACTGAACAACAGAATGATTCCTTATAAAGCACTATAATTCTAATTCCATATCAAATATTCCACAGAGAGCAGAGACATTTATAGAAAAGATTTCCATGTACATAAATACCAACTGCATGTGCAAACCTTGGGGTTACAAAGGGATCCTCAAGAGAAAATTATTTTATTTTTATTTTGATGGATACAAAACATTTCAACACATGACATCCTAATATTCTAAGTATGCATGTAAAATTTGTCTAACTTGTTCTGTGAAAATGCTAAAAAGTAGCAGATGATGACTTATGATCTGGTAGTTAATTGCTTGCTAACGGCAACATTAGTTACCATTCAACTTCATGGCCCTAGGAGGTATGTTGCAACAGTATTTAACATTACTGTAATCCATTTGTTTCTTTCAAAGTGCAATGAGCTTTCTGTACCAGTCGTACATAAAGGGACAGAATCTGTTCTATGGCTCAGAATCTGTTTTTATAAACAATGGTTCCCAATTAGAGTAACTTAGGAAGAGGAGCTAGAATATGCAGGTTTTGTTGTCTAATTCATACTCAGATTTTCCCTTCCCTTGACTGTCTTCAACCTCTCCATATTTACTAGGTCCTTCTGATGAGCATTTAAATGTCAGGATTCTCACATTTAAAAATAACTTTCTACTTTAAATTTATTCTCTGGTCATTGCCCTATTTTCTCCTTCAGAACCAAATGTCTCCATTGAGTGGTTTGAATATCCTGATTTTCTCACTGTCCACTCTCTCTCCTCAGGAACGTCAATCCTATTCCTGCCCCCAACCTGACAAGATTCTTTGCTAAAGTTACTGATGACCTCCACTTACTAAAATACATGAACATAATTTCATTTTATTAGATCTGCATATTAGTCAGAGTTCTTACTTGCAAATACCAGAAACTAATACTGGATAATAAAGGCAGAACAGACATTGAAAACACATTTGGTAGCTCATATAATCACAGATAAACCTGGAGAATCAGGTTTGGAAAATGAGCAGAATTAAAGTGATGTCAGGAAGCCAGAATTTGAACACTACAGCGTGTACTACATCTGCTGTTGGACATTGAACACTATTACTGATGCAACCGTCATCCCTGGAAACTGGGAGCTGTTGATGTTACTGCCACTGCCACCACAACAGACTCTCCACTGTCCCCGCCTCTGTGTATCACTAAATCCCCATTTGAAGATGAATATAACTAATTGATCAGGCCTAGGTCAGAGCATGCATCCTTGTTTCAAGTGACAAGGAAGTAAAAGTTTGGAACTTCTGGCTACTGCAGTAAAAGCTGGCCTTTCACCAAAACTCAAAAAGAGGGATTTTTAAATTAAAAAAATGGGATAAAGATGCTGAGTAGCAAAACAAACACAAAATGCATCTACAACATCAACACAAAAACCCCACAAAAAACAAAATTAATAAAACAAGTGTCCAACACAGTTTCTCGAGATTATTAGATATGTTGATGAGGTTCTCCTTTTTGAAATATTCTTTCTTAAGTCTCCATGACACCACATTCATTTTTTTCTTACCTATTATAATCACTCCTTTCAGTCTTTTTCCTCCTGTATCTGACTGTTAAATGTTAGAGTTCCTCACAGCTTGGTTCTGGACCTCCTTCCCACTGTTCAACAAAATTTGTGTTTGTTTTCTTTCATTTGCTCCCCAGATCCATTTACCACCCCTTCTCTATCTTGCAACTTGTCCTGCGAATCTGACTTTCAATGCACTGCATCGCTGGGGTTCTCTTGACCTCTGGCTTCCAGTTGGGGTTGGCCAGTGTGATGCACCACTAGGATATTGAAAAGTGAGAGGAGAGAAAGGTAATATATTTATTTCTCCCATTTCCTTCTGTCTTTGGCATTCCATAAGTGGTTGGGTTATTCTCAACTATAGCTCCTGTCAGATGCCTCTTTCCAGCAGTTCCTGATCTCAACTTGATTCTAGTAACATCATTTCTTCCCTTTACCATTTCAGGTCTAAGGACAGTAATGGCTTCCTACTGTTGACAGTCTCTGGGTTTCCCAGCACTCTTTGTTGACTTTTTTAACCCTTTCTACATTTCTGTAGGTAGTTTCCTCAAAATTCCAATTGAGCATTCCATCTGCTTCCTAACAGGACTCTGACTAAAGCATGCATGTGCTGATGACTCACAAATTCATATTTGACCTCCTCTCTCAGCTCTAGCTGAGGATATTTAATTGCTAACTTAATATCTCCACTTGAATGTCATAATCTTGCTCACAAAATTTAGGCCTCCTATAATATTTGCTTTTTCAGTGACGGGCAGACATCACAAGGTATTAAGTTGGAAACTTGTGCAAGTTAGAAATTTGGAAGTTACCCTTGATATCTCTCTCTCTCCCTCATGTCTCCCAATCAAATATCAAGTCCTACTAAAGCCACCTCCTAAATAGTACCTAAATCCATCCACTTCTTTCCATTTACACTTCACCAGTCTAGTTCAAACCGTGAACACCTATAGCCTGGAGTACTGCAAAAGTAGTCTTATTAGTCTTCTGCATCTTGTCTTGTCCCCTTCCAATCCATTTACTATACTGAAGCCAGAGGGAATCCATTAAAAATGTAAAATTGAATTGGATAATGTCTCTCCTGAGCTTAAACCTCAATGAGGTCTACTCTCTTTAGATAATGCTCAATTACCTTAATACGTCCTTCAATAGCCTCCATGATGTGGTCATTGTATACCTCAACAGCATCAAACCATATCACTCTACACCTTGCTCACCAAACTTTAGCCGTACTGGTCTTTTTTTGATTCTTTAAGCACATCCAGTTCTTCCTAACTTTGCATATGCTGTGGTCTCTGCCTAGAATGTTTCTTTCCTGCTTTCTCCACCTATAATTATTATTATTCCCAATTTACAAACTCCAGTTATCTTTTGGTATCATCTCTCTCCTCCTCCCCACTCATATAATATATGAATTTATATATGTAGATAAGATATTTATCTCTATATACCTATTTCACTGAGTATAATTGACACGAAGTAAATTTCAAAGTATATAATTTGATAAACTGGCATAATAAATATACCTATTAAACCATCACCACTATCAAGATAACATATCCACTACCCCTAGAAGTTTTTCCTATTCCTTTGTAAACCCTCCTTTCCACACCTCCCCACATGCACTTCTATCTCCTGAAAACCCGATTAGCTTTTTATCATTACAGATTATTTTGAAATCTCTACAATTTTATACAAGTGGAACCAAACAGCATGTATCTTTTTGTCTGTTTTTTTCCCCACTTTGAGATTCATTCATGTTGAAGCATGTATATAATTCTTTTTCACTGAGACTAATATTTCATTGTATACATGTACTAGAATTTATTTAGCCATTCACTTTTTGATGGACATTTGGTTCATTCCTAGTTTTGGGCTATTACAAAGAAAGCTGCTATGGCCATTCATGTGCAAGTTTTTGTGTGGATATATGCTTTCATTTCTCTTGGCTAGGAATAGAATGGCTGGGTTATATGTTAGAAATATGTTAAACATTTTTAGATACTACCAATATATAAGATAATTGACATCTTAACAATATAGAGGCTGGGTGCAGTGGCTCATGCCTGTAATCCCAGCACTTTGGGAGGCTGAGATGGGTGGATCACCAGGTCAGGAGTTTGACACCATTGTGAAACCCCATCTCTACTAAAAATTTTAGTTAGATATGGTGGCATGCACCTGTAATCCCAGCTACTCAGGAAGCTGAGGCAGGAGAATCACTTGAACTCGGGAGGTGGAGGTTGCAGTGAGCTGAGATCATGACACTGCACTCCAGCCTAGGTGACAGAGCAAGACTCCATCTCAAAAAAAAAAAAAAAACCATAAACAAACAAAACAAAACAAAACAAAAACAACAATATAGAGTCTTATGATCCAGAGACATAGTATATATACCATGTATTTAGGACTTCTGTAATTTCCCTCAGCAATGTTTTATAGTTTTCAGGATATAGGTTTGCACTTTTTTTTTTTGGTGAGAATTATCCCTAATATTTCACATTCTGATACTACTGAAATAATACTGCTTTAAAATTTTCCATTTCTGATTGTTAATTGCTAGTACATAGAAATACAATTAATTTTGTATATTAATCTTGCAACTTTGCTAAACTCAGTTTTCCGTAGATTTTGGATATTCTACTAGACAATCATGATTTCTGCAAATAAAGACAGTTTTACTTCTTCTATTCCAATCTAGACATCTTTTATTTCTTGTTATTACACTGGCTAGAACCTCATTGAATTGGCTACAACCTCATTGAATTGACTAGAATTTCCAGTACAATATTGAATATGTCATATAAATATGAGAAGGTAATACATATATCTGTGGGCATATAAGACATCAGAATGTTTGCCTCACAAAGACCTACATTAAAAATAATTTTTGGAGAAAGCATTGAAATAATAATAGAAAAAATTCAGGAGATTCTGCAAAGAATATTGAAAGTATTGGTTATCAAATAGCTTAATTAAGTTTACTATTTAAAAAGGAGTCTAGAAATAACAGAAATAAAAGGAGAAAGTAAATGAATAAAGACTAAAAGTGAAAAATTGAGGCAAAATACAAAAATGATGAAGGAGAGGAGTGGTCTATAAAAACAAAGGGATATGAGAATATGTGAAAGTGTTTTGTTAGAGGGAAGATACAGGTAGTGATACGTTCAACAAATCAATAGATTTAAATAAATACACACTTGGTTATTATGTTCAGCAGAACTGCACAAGAGGAACAACAAAAGAAGTAATTTTTAAGCCAGCAGAAGAAACTTTAGTCATCCAATGGAAATGAGGAAAGAAGGAGAAATAAACCCCAAAAGGATAGTACAGGTGCATTAGTCCATTTTCACGCTGCTGATAAACACACCTGAGACTGGGCAATTTACAAAAGAAAGAGGTTTATTACAGTTCCACATGGCTGGGGAGGCCTCACAATTATGGTGGAAGGCAAGGAGGAGCAAGTCACACCTTGCATGGATGGCAGCAGGCAAAAAGAGAGCTTGTGCAGGGCAACTCCCGTTTTTAAAGCCATCAGATCTCATGAGACCCATTCACTATCACGAGAACAGCATGAGAAAGACCCACTCCCACAATTCAGTCATCTCCCACCAGGTCCCTCCAACAACATGTGGGAATTATGGAAGCTACAAGATGAGATTTGGGTGGGAACACAGAGCCAAACCATATCAACAGGGCAAAGGAAATACAGATTTCAGATGGCAAATACTCTTTTTTTTTTTTTTAGGATTTTGTTTTGTCACCCAGTCTGGAGTGCAGTGGCATGATGATACTTCACTGTAGCCTCTAACTCCTCATATCAAGCAATCCTACTTCTTCAATCTCTTGAGTAGCTATAGGCACATGCTACAACACCCAGACAATTTTTAAATTTTCTGTAGAGACAGGGTCTTGCTATATCGCCCAGGTTGGTGTTGAAGTCCTGGCCTCAAGAGGTCCTCTTGCCTTGGTCTCCCAAAGAGCTGGGGATTACAGGCATGAGCCACTGCACCTGGGTGGCAAATATTCTTAATGAAGAAATTTTAGATGTATTCCCTGTAACATCTGGAGCAGTAGAAGAATTTCTACGATTGCTGCTATTGTTTAAAATAATATTCAAGGTCACTTGCATGGAAAGTGAAATGGAAAGAAAGAAATACATGGAAAGAAAAATAAATGAATCTAAGGAAAGAGATAATGTAAGGAAGGAAATAAATCTGCCATTATTTGAAGATGATATTATCTACCTAAAAGCCCAATAGAATCACAACAGCAAATTATTTGAAATAAAAAATTCAGCCATATTAGACTATAACTGATACAAATCAGTAGTGCTTCTTTAAATCAGTAATAACTACCTAGTAAATAGAATAAAAATAAGAATATAAAAAGCCTTTACTGAGTGGCAATATTGCAGATTTATAAAGACAAAAAATATGGAGTTTTAGACTGCCTTTGTCGTTATGTGACTGTAGAAATTACTTAATTTCTCAGTGCCTCAATTTCTGCATCTACAAAATAAGAAATATAATTATGCCTACCTCATGGGGTTGTAAGGATTAAATTTGTTAATACATTAAAACACTTATGGTACGTGGGCAAGTTCTAAGCATTGTATGAATTTTGCCATGACTATTATGAAGAAATTCTATTAGAAAATGATAGAAATAGGCCGGGCGCGGTGGCTCACGCCTGTAATCCCAGCACTTTGGGAGGCCGAGGTGGGCGGATCACGAGGTCAGGAGATCGAGACCATCCTGGCGAACATAGTGAAACCCCGTCTCTATTAAAAATACAAAAAAATTAGCTGAGCGTGGTGGCGGGCACCTGTAGTCCCAGCTACTCTGGAGGCTGGAGCAGGAGAATGGCATGAACCAAGGGGGCGGAGCTTGCAGTGAGCGGAGATCGCGCCACTGCACTCCAGGTTGGGCGACAGAGCGAGACTCCGTCTCAAAAAAAAAAAAAAAAAAGAAAATGATAGAAATATATATTTCCTCCTTTTATATTAAATAACTAAAATGATAAGATACAAATTTTCTCCAACTAAATCTATAAATTCAAGACAAATCTAATAACAATTCAACCTTTGTTTTATTTTTAGAGAAACTCAACAAACTGAATCTCAAATTATGTGGAGGAATAAAAGTCTGTAACTAGCTAATCAACCTTAAGAAAAGAATTTAAATAAGGGAGACTTGCCCACTACATATAAGAACATACTACAGAGCCATAGTAATAAGAATAATGTGATGATACAAATAGACCAGAGGTCAGCCAATGTTTTCTGTAAAAGGGCCAGACAGTAACTCTGTTAGACTTTGCAGGCCATATGGTCTCTGTGTGAATTATTCAGTTCTGCTGTTGTAGTGCAAAAGCAGCCATATGTAAATAAATTACTGTGGCTGTGTTCCAATAAATTAATTTATGAATACCAAAATTCAAATTTCATATGTTTTTCACAAAACATTCTTCTTATTTCTACTTTCTACCACTAAAAAAATGTAAAAACCATTTTTAGCTCATGGGCCATACAAAAACAGGCTGATTTGTTCACCAAATGTGGTTTGCTAATACTGGAATGGACTGCTGATATTGACTCATGCATAAATGAGAACTGTTAAACAAGTTGGCTGGATTTTATCTGTTTGCCTTTTGAGATCCAGTCTCCACCCTGCTCTACGACCCAGCAGGCTCCTTTACTCTAGCTGTTGGCCAGTGCCTTACCAAAGGGGTATGAATGGGAATGAAGTCCCCTGTAGTCACAAGGCAGATATGACTGAGAACCCAACCCACTGTAAGGCTTGCAGAATTTGCATATTAATACATCTTCATCTTCAACTAGCCAGATTCTATGCTAAGATAAGAGCACTGGTGGAGAAAGAGAAGAACTCCAAGACAAGAAATGGGGACATTTGAACAGACATGGGCAAGACTAAGAACTCTGAACCTCTAATCCTGCTTAACCTTCCTGGCTTGTGGAGGCAGCCCCTACTCAAGTGCCTGGGAACACCATTAATAGTCCAGTAGATTGGCAATTTGAAGCCTGGACTCGATTGTGGCCTACAGTCAATGAGGTTGAAATGCTATAACTTCCCTCACAATAGAAAGGGGTTCAAAGGCCCAGGAAGATGAAAATGTGGAGATAACTCTATTATTGCAATCGAATCAGCTACCCTCTAACCACAGCCCCTGGAAGGGCTCAAAGAGCATTCTTTACCACAGAGTTAAGAAACATCATTGGAAATAGGTTCTCTGATATAAATGGGAACACTGGAATCCCTGAGTGGTAGAATCCAGGTCATAGTGCTTTGCTATCAGAGAAAAGGTAGGAGCAATTATCACAATAAGCTACAATGATGGAGTGGAATCAGACTGTTTTGCACAGATCTGTGGTGATGGTTAATTGAACATAGGAGACATAGGAATTGAATATACCATAGTGTACTAGAATATATTAATATACAGGTGGAAAAATTGTAGGTCTTATAGATATAAATCTTACTTAAGTCACTGTGCTTGGGATTCATGTACTCTCACTCAGTTCTCAGACTCAAGCCAGTTCCTAGATCAGAATCCCTTGATTGAGAAGGAGGTAGGTTCTCTTTGAGAAAAAACACTGCAATGTGGTCAGAGATGTATACTACAACTCCTCCCCTAAGTATTCTTGAGAGAGACCTATGGTCATTTACTAGGTGACTGAACACTGGGAAAAGACAAATTCCAAGTCTTTCTAGAGCTGTTAAGATACTAGTTATAACCTGATGATAATCCCTGGAAATAAACACTGTGGTCAGAGTGGAAGCTTACGAGGGTCAAGTGATAAATGGAGTTTTCATCCAATTCCATTTCCAAGTGGGTCCAATAAAGACTGTGAGCTCAGTTTTTATTTTCTCCCCTCCAATCTCAGAGCATAGTGAAACTTCCTAACTATAAAGGCTACTACTATGGTAAGATGGGAAGACACAAATGAATGTTCCTACAACTATCCCTTCCTGTCCCCTCCTCACCAATATAAATCTAATGTAATAACACATCCTTGTGAAAAACTGTACATATTACTCCCATCCCTGTGGAAAATTGTACATATTATTGCCATAAAGGCCTGAAAGATACAGGGGTAGTGATTCCTACTATATTCCCTATCTGTTTTACTCATGTGTTTGGCTAGAGCAAACAACAAATAAACCTGAAGAAAGTGGTAGTGTATTACAAACTTAACGGGTTGGGGGATGATGCCAATTACAGCTGCAGGTTCTGATATGGTATCTTTACTAAACAATATAGCCACTGGCAACAACAGCTACTGACCTAGCAAAAATATTTCCTATCCACATTCTTATCAGTAAAGATAATTGGAAGCAGTTTTCTTGCCTTCATGTGGCAGGAAAAGCAGTATCCCTTCCCTGTCTTAGCTCAGTGCTATGTCAACTCAATTTGCTTCTCTGTCATAAAACAGACTGAGCAGATATCTTTATATTCTGGATATCTCACAAAATATCATTCAGGTCCATTAAACTGGACTTGGAGAGTAGAAAAGAACAAGCACCCTAAAGGTGTACCAGAGGATAGAATTTAAAATTTCAGGGGCTTGATAAATGGGTGTAATCACCCAATGGGTTCTCCCTGCCCGTTGCACAGACAAAAATAAATTCACTGAGACTGCAGCATTGCAGTAGAGTTTAATTGATGCAAGGCTGGCCCACATGGGAGAACTGGAGTTATCATTCAAATCAGTCTCCCTGAAGGCTTAAAGGCTAGGGTTTTTATGGACAATTTGGTGGGCAGGCAGCTAAGGAATGAGTGCTGCTGATTGGTTGGGGATGAAATCACAGGGGTGTGGAAAACTGTCCTTGTGTGCTGAGTCTCCCTCTGGATGGGGCCACAGGATCAGTTGAGTCATGATTCATGAGTCTGGTGGAGTCAGTCAGAAAGGTATCTCAAAAAACCCAATCTTATGTTCTACAATAGTGATGTTATCTATAGAAGCAACTGGGCAAGTCGCAAATCTTGTGACCTCTGGCCATATAACTCCTGAGCAGTAGGGATTATAGAAACTATACCTATCTTGTAATCTTGGCCACATGACTCCTGAGCAGCAAGGAATTAGAGAAACTAAACCTACATGTTAGTAGAGTTCAGGTCTCTCCCATAATCCTATTCTTGTGGGCTTTAATTAGTCTTACAAGGCAGTTTTCATTCCCTGAGCAAGGAAGGGGTTAATTTTAAGGTGGGACTATTGTCATTCTTGCTTTCAAGTTAAACTATAAACTAAATTCTTCCCAAAGTTAGCTTGGCCTTTGCCCAGGAATGATCAAGGACAACTTGGAGGTCAGAAGTAAGATGGAGTCAATTATGTCAGATTTCTCTGACTGTCATAATTTTGAAAAGGCAGTTTCATGGGTGAAGTTCCAGGAATAATAGTTTGGGGGCACATCAGGATACCTCCTCCAAAGTAGAGATAAATTGTTGTACTTTGCACTGACTGACCATCACAATAAAAGGGGCACAGTTCTGGTGAGCCTCTGTGGACTTTGGAGTCAACTTATATCAGATTTGGGTGTTCTGCTCCAATCCATTTTCTTAGTAACCTGTAAGGTTGCTGTTTTTTTTGTTTTTATTATGGAGATATATATATATACACACACACATATATATAGTATATAATATTATATATAGTATATAATATTATATATATATAATCATTTTAACCATTTTTAGGTATGCATTTCAGTGGCATTAGTACATTTACATTATTGTACAACTGTCACTACCATTTATCTACAGAATTTTTATCTTCTTTAACTGAAACTCTATACTCATTAAACAATAACTCTCCATTATCCCCTTCCACCAAACCCTGGCAGCCCCATTCTACTTTCTATCTCTCTGAATTTGATTATCCTAGGTGAGGAAGGAGGTCAGCAGCACTTGTTTTCCAAGAACTGGCTATGACCCCTGCTGATCAAAACAGGATCTGGCTAAAATAGGGTGCAGTAAAGAAACTGACCAAATACAGCTAAAACCAAAATGGTGAAAAAAGTGACCTCTAGTTGCCCTCAGTGCTCATTATACACTAAGTATAATATATTAGCATGCTAAAAGACACTCCCACCAGCACCATGACAGTTTAAAAATGTCATGGCAATGGTTGGAAGTTACCCTATATGGTTTAAGAGGGGAGGGGAACCCTTCCTTGGTTCCTGGAATGCCCCATCCCTTTTCTAGAAAATTCACAAATAACCTGCCCCTTATTTAGCATATAATTAAGTAGTAGCTATAAATATAGCTAGCCAGCAGTCTATGAGGGCTACTCTGCCTATGGGGTAGCCCTGCTCTATCTATGGAGCAGCCATTTTCCTATACTCTGTTGCTCTGATAAACTTGCTTTGTGACATAGTTTGGATATTTGTCCCTGCCCAAATCTCATGTTGAATTGTAATCCCCAGTGCAGGAGGTGGGGGCTGGGGGAGTTGTTTGGATCATGGGGGTGAGTCCCTCATGGCTTGGTGCTGTCTTTCTGATAATGAGTTCTCACAAGATGTGGTTATTTAAATGTACATGGCAACACCCCCTCTACTCTCACTCTTTGTCTCTCTTGCTTGTTACTGCTTTCACCGTGTGATGTGTCTGTCCCCACTTCACCTTCTAGTCTCCTTAAAAGCTGAATAGGTTCCAGCACCATGCTTCCTGTAAAGCCTGAAGAACTGTAAGCCAATTAAACCTCTGTTCTTTATAAATCACCCAGTCTCAGGTATTTCTTTATAGCAATGCAAGAACACCCTAATACTCTTTGCCTTCACTTTACTCTGTCAGCTCCCTCCTGAATTATTTCTTGTCTTCCTGGAAGACAAGAACCCTCCCTGGCTGAGCCACAGTTTTGGGGTTTGCCAGTATCATAGGTCTTTCATATAAGTGAGATCACAATATTCATCCTTTTGCGTCTGGTTTGTTACATTTAGCATAATGTCCTTCAAGTCTCATCCAGGTTATAGTGTGTCAGACTTTCATTCCTTTTTAAGGCTGAAAAACATTCCATTGTCAATTATTCCAATATATTCCAAAAATATTCCAATGTCACATTTTGTTTATTCATTCAATCACTGATAGACATTTGGGTTGTTTCTACTAACTATTATGCATAATGCTGCTACGAACATTGGTGTAAAAATACCTTTAATGATGAATACATTAATTTGCTTCACTCTAGTCATCTTTTTACTATCTATATGTATCCCATAACTTCTTATTGTATATCTTAAATTTATACAATAAAATTTATTTAAAAAAATCTTTTACATTCCTGCCGTCAGTTCTTTTGCATATATATATACCCAGAAGTGGACTTGCTGGATTATATGGTAATTCAATGTTTAATTTTCTGAGGAACTACCATACTGGTTTTTACAGTATTGTGTCATTTACCTTCCCAACAGCAATGTGCTTGTGTTCTAATTTCTCCACCATCTTGCTAACACTTGTTATTTTCTGTTTTTGTTTGTTTGTTTATGTTTGTTTTATAATAGCATCCTAACATGTGTGACGTGATATCTCATTTTGCTTTTGATTTGCATTTCCCTAATGGTAGTGATGTTATATATCCTTCCATGGGATTACTGGTCATTTGTAAATCTTCTTTGGAGAAATGTCTATTCAAGTATTTTGCCAGGTTGCCAGTTTTGAGTGGACCCTGAAGTAAGAAAAGGCTCTGCAGCAGATTCAGGGTGTAAGTTACAATGCTATTAATATTTGGACCTCATGACTGAGAAACTCTAATTATATCAGAAGGCTCTGTAGCTGGTAGAGATGCCATATGAGCCCTTTGGTAATCTCCCATAAGAGAAACCCTGCTTATATCTGTAAGATTTTGGAGACAGGCCATGCCCTCTCTGTCAAATGCAATTTACCATTTGGAATACAGCTATGAGCTTGCTCCGATTGAAACTGAATGACTGAACCTGGAATGTCAAATGGCTACGCTCTCGTTCTCTGTTTTGCCCATTATGAACTCGGTAATAATCGAATTCACTGAACCATAAAATTGAATGTATACCGCAGCACTCTATTCTTAAATCAAAATGGCATGTATTGAAACTGGGCCCTAGCACGTCTGGAAAGCACAGACAAAATGTGTAAGCAAGCAATTCAGATTTCCATGACACCCGTTCCCATTGCTTTGACATTGCTCCTTCAGCTTTCCTAGAGAATTCCCTTTACCAGTTAATGGAGGAGGAAAAACCTCAGGCCTGATTTTTGGATAGATCTGCATTGATTGTCAACATCAGCCAGAAGTGTACAGTTTCAGGCTGCATTAGAGCTTGAAAGATGTTAGTAAAGTGAACTCTTTCCAGTAGGTAGAACTTGAGGCAATACATATAGTTAGAAGGAGAGATGGCTTGAGATACGGATCTACATTAATTCAGAGAGCACTGGCTAAGAGTTTGGCCAGCTGGTCAGGCACTTGGAAATAATGGGTTTGAAAGGCTAATGATAAGAAGGTCCGAGGAAGATAAATTTAGATGAACTTCTCAAAATGAAATCAATGTAGAGTTAATTATATTCCATGTAGATACTTAACAGACAGCATCCTCTATAGAGTAGGTTCTCAATAATCAGGTAAACAAGATGGACCTTTAGTGGATATCAGTCAACATTTTTCCATACTAATCATAGTGGTTGCTCAATGGGCCCACTAACACAAATCCAACAATATGGACTTTTCTTCACCAAGGTTGATCTGGCTACCACCCCTGGTGACTGCCAAACCTGCCAAACGTAGAGGCCAACATTGAGCTCCCAACAAGGCAATGCTCCCTGGGAGATAAGTTGGAGCTATAATAGCTGCAATTGTTCTCACAGGGGTAGATACCTATTCTAGACATAGATTTGCTATTCTACCAAAAGTTCTTCTGGTAGTTAAAATGTAGTTGATACACAGCACGAATTATATGTCAGAAGAGAGAGAGCTGATATACCTATAGCAATATGAATGTATCTTTAAATCCCAGTGCTAAGTGAAAAAAAAAAGATGCATGGTCTAATATCATTTCCATAATTAAAGATATGCATAAAAACCTGTAGTATATTTTTGGGACAGCATACAGATAAGAATATACATTAAAACATATAAAATAGTGGCTATTTTAGGGGGAGGGGAATGAGAGTGGGGATAAAAAGAAGTCAGCCTAAGAGTAGGTCCATGCAAAAACTGAAGGATGACAATATGCCATAAATTCATTAATATGATTATCCCAACAACTGTGTACCTAAGGTAAAAGACAGAGGGAGTGGAAAACCTTAAAGAAAAAAAAAAAAGAAGCCAAAGCTGAAAGACCTTTTTTTTTGCCTCCTTTGGCATCCAGGACTCTGGCAGGTGACTTAGGTCAAATTACTAGAAAATCTCATTCAGGTCTTTTTTTTTTTTTTTTTTTTTTTTTTTTTTTTTTTTGAGACGGAGTCTCGCTCTGTCGCCCAGGCTGGAGTGCAGTGGCGGGATCTCGGCTCACTGCAAGCTCCGCCTCCCGGGTTCACGCCATTCTCCTGCCTCAGCCTCCCAAGTAGCTGGGACGACAGGCGCCCGCCACTACGCCCGGCTAATTTTTTTGTATTTTTAGTAGAGACGGGGTTTCACCGTTTTAGCCGGGATGGTCTCGATCTCCTGACCTCGTGATCCGCCCGCCTCGGCCTCCCAAAGTGCTGGGATTACAGGCGTGAGCCACCGCGCCCGGCCTCATTCAGGTCTTTGAATCTTGAAAAAGTGGCATGAAGATGCATGACAGTTTAGAAATTATTCATAGTGCAGTAGCATTGGCACTGAGAGTCCAATGGTGGCCATGTTGACTGGTGCCAATGTCATTGGTGGCACCCTAACTAGACTACTCTTTGCTTGGGGTGTTCTGTTGCAAGAAATCCTTAATTTCAGACTGTTTTCTGACCCTGGATTTTGAGCTTTTTAGCTGATTCTGTAAGCAACCCAGTCACTATCTTATAATTTGTTTTCTGCTTAGGTTAGCCAGAGAAGATTTTTGTTTAAAACCAGTCAGACTTGGCTGATATCCCAAAGTCCTAATTGGGTTATAGAATGCAAATAGCCTCATCATCTGGCCTTAAGACCCCTTCATTCTTGTGTATTCTAGATAGAGCCAGTGTTTCGATTTCAGGCATGAGCCTTTGCCCACACAGAAAATAAAACTAGCATGACAGATTCTAGGAATAAGGTTTAGAGTGGCATTGAACGGAATCAACATTTTATTTGTGTTAACTCAGTATTTTTTGTATTGGCTTTCTCTTAGCCATTAAATTACTATCCTTTAAATATTACCTCAATATTGAAGAAAAATGTAGAGTTGTTAGAAAACGTCTATTTTCTTGCTAGAAACAAGCAACAGATAATCAGTGCCACATTGCAATTTTCCTAAATAAAAATGGCATATATTGAAACTGGGCCCTAGCAGGTCCAGAAAGCACAGACAAAATGTGTAAGCAGGCAATTCAGATTTCCATAATATCTGATCTCAAGAGAAAATGGTCCATAATTTTATAATCCATATCAATGTTTTCATTCCTTAAAATTTTCTGTCCTTCCTGAGGGATCTCTAGGTATTACATATTGCTAGAAAGAAGTTGTTTGTCATAATGAACCAGTAAATGACTTGAGTAAAAAGTAATTAATGACTTTGATATGTCACTAATGTCCTGACGAGTATCTCATAAGCTGAACATCTGAAATTGTTCTTAAACTCATATATAGGATACTGGTTTCTATTATCCACATAGGGAACTAATATCTGGATTAGTAGTATTTTAGCCTGAGAACAAATGACTTCCTGGTCCTATTAATAAGTTAATTACTACTAATATATTATTAAATAAATTCATTTGCTACTACTAGTACTTTTACAATTCACTATTTAGCCTTATAAACTATTGGGTCCATCCACCCCACCTCCATGATTATACCTGTGTATAGCAGCAACAAATATGACGTATTTTCACATGTGGTTTTCCTTGTTTGAATTCTCAAAAATCTTATTCAAAGCAACAGGAAAAGATTCACTACAATATTTCCCAGTAAAACTTAATCCACAAAAATACAGACTCTCAAACCAATTCAAAGGGTTTTACTGTTGTATTTTTAAAATTTCACAATCTCATTATAAGACTATCACATGGTGAGTCCGGAGATTAGCATGAAGATGGAAGCCCAGTGCATGAGCTCCCTTTAAGACTGGGATCTCAAATGAGTCTCTTTTAACCAGACTGATACTACTAGCAAAAGTCTATACAATATTTATTTTAATTAAAAACTTTGGCCTGGCTGTTAAAGTTTCGTAGGCCGTAACCTGATGCCATGAGGCTCTGATATGTTTCTTCCAAAACAAATAGAAACCATGTTAGGACTTCTTAACAGCCTTCATATTTTCAGAGAATCTGACTAGATATTTATTAGTGACATAATTATATTGGTTAAGTTATCATTTCATTTTTTTAAACAAATGAGATAACTCATTGTAGTGAAAAAGAATATTAATTTGTATTTAAGTTTAGGTATAGCACCATACTAGATTTGAATAAACATTAGAATTGACTTATTACCTAAGAAAAGAGCAACAAATCAATAGGTAACCATATCCAAATAGCAGAAATTTAAAAGGGTAAGTTTTACTGTATTCTTAAAAGTGTGTGGTTAATTCGTCTAATGTTTAAAGTAAAAACAACCTGTGGTAAAAATGTCTCAATTAGGATGACATTAGGGAAGGAAAGCGGGAAAATGGTTAAGCAAAGACAAAAATGTGATTTTTAAATTTCTGATCAAATAAGTAAGATAGAAATCTGCATAAAAATAAGAATGAATCTACATTATTGCATTACTTTTTTCCCATAACTATCACGGTGGTTGCTCAATGGGCCCACTGGCACAAATCCAATAATGTGGACTTTTCCTCACCAAGGCTGATTTGGCTACTACCCCTGGTGACTGCCAAACCTGCCAAAAGTAGAGGCCAACACTGAGCTACTAACACAGCAATGCTCCTTAGGGGATTAGTTCGAGCTAGCTGTGATTGTCCTCACAGGGGTAGACACATATTATAGACATGGATTTGCTATTCTACCAAAAGTTCTTCTGGTAGTTAAAATGTAGTTAATATATAGCATGAAGAATTACACATCAGAAGAGAGACAGCTGATGGACCTATTGCAATGAATGAATTAGATGAACACAGAGAAAATATTCACACAATTCTTGTAAAATACTGAGGCTATAAAAGTAAAGGGAAAATGATTTTTCACAGAACCTACCTTGAGTTACTGCCAAGACCTAAATGTTCCAAAGGTGGCTTAAAACATTTGATGAACTCAAAGTACAGCCAGGTTGTGTAGTCCTTAAGCTTTTGCTTCTTTATAGGTCTTCTTTAACAGATTTTATATTTTTAAAATGGCATGAATTATTAACACTATGAGTTATTAGATATAAAATACTGAAGAGAATGTACCTATTGACAGTTCCTGGAAATCCTAAATACAACTGCATAATAGCTATTAGAGAAATGAACTGGCTTAATCTGAGCCAATGCCAAAGCTAAAATAGATAGCCAAAATATCTATGGTCTAGCAAGGAGACACATGCATAGGAAATAATGAGCAAAGAGATATCCGTACTACTCACAGGAAGTCCCTGTTTTCCTGGTGGCCCAATTTTTCCAGGGTTTCCTGAAATGCCATCTGCTCCATGGTATCCTTGTATGCCTTTTGGCCCAAGTAGGCCTTGAAGTCCCTTGATAATTAAAAATTATTTGGATTGTAGAGATGCTGAAAAGATGTTAAGATGACAAATACTTTTTTATTTATTGAGCTGGAGAAGTTTACATTTTTATATTTTGTTCTAGGACAAATTTTCCTGTTTCCTGGATTCCTTAATGATTTACTATTTGGATTCAACAGATAACTTTAAAAGTTTAAAAGCCTTTAAAAGTTCCCCAAACAAAAATGCCAAGCTGATCAGCAATTTACTGTGTAACTTTTGCGCCTTAGTGTAATTCTCTGGTGTTTCTTATTGTGTCAACCAATATTTTATATAATTGTGGAGAAAAGATCAGCTATATGCACCTGTCAGCTTAGGATAGAGGTTATCATTTCCCATCTGCCAAACCTTGTATTGTGTTATTTTCCCAAGAAATAAATTATGGCTATTCAGCTGCCACTTTGAATCAGATAATTATATGACTGAAGTAAGGTCTGAACATTTTGTTTCTACACTTGGGCAACTAAATTTCATATGCAAGGATCTCTGATCTGAATGTGCTTATAATTTACATTCATTTTCTCTATTTTTTTTTCAAGCCAATACAAGTCACCCAAAGCAGGCATCTAATCCTTGGCTAGGGGACACCAGTAAAGTCTTTGCTAAAGAGCCAGTCAACACTTATCTGCCTGGCCAGGAGAGGAAACTGATGGTGAGGTAAAAGTTAATCTTTGTGATGAAAAGATTAAATTTTTTTTCCTAAGACTTTTTATTTGTCTAGAGAATGAGAGGCTGAGTCCTCTAAAATCTAGCTCATGTCATTTTAATTATGCTTGAATATCTCTGGCCTTTGTCACCATTCATTTTGTTACGATTCTAAGTTCTCTGTTTTTCAGTGGTTCACCGTCAGAAGCATGAGTCCACCGGGAGGGCTTCATAACCAGGAAAATAGCATCCTTCAACTGCAGGGACTTATATTTAAACAGCAAGTTTGGTTTTGAGTTAATGGTCATATTTTGTTCCCTCTGTGTTCCAGCATGGGTTTAATTTTTTTAAAAGACAATCTGATTTATCCAACATGATGACACAATTGGCCCCAAACTTTTCTGCTTGCTAAAGTTGCCAGTTCCATTTAGAAAAGCAAGAAAGATGAAAGAGGCCTGTTACTTACAGGAATCCCAGGTTTCCCAGAAGGACCAGGAGCTCCTTTTTTCCCCTTATTACCCTAAAGATGGAAAGCACAGTTGTCAATTGACTGTAATAATCTTACTTAAACTGAAGCCATAGAAAAGGACACTGAGACCTGGACGCTGCAGCAAGAACTAGCACGAACTAGTTGTATATCATTAGGATTGCCATTTAATTTTCCTGGGAGTCAGCTTCTTCATCTGAAAATGAGAAACTTTGACAAGATCATCTAGTAATTTCCTTGTAGCTCTCAATTATATGATTTAAGAATTTAAACTGTACTTCTAAAAGGGACCTGAATAGATTATTTAATAAATGTCCCTACTTTCAGGAAGGGCCTTGATCTCCTTTTGAAAATGCTACATATTTACTTAATTCAGTAAACATTTATTGAGTATCATGTATCAGGGACTCTGTCATGCGCTTGGAAGGCAAAGGCAAAGTTCCTCCTTACAAGGCACTTACAGTGTGGTAAGAAGAACATGAACTGATAGCCTAAAATGTGCTTTTCTGGAAGAATAGAGAAGAGCATACTTGTGATTCAAGGAAAAGATATTTATTTCCCACGGAACTGTTTGTTTTTCCATGTGTGAGATGTTTTAAATCATAATTGATTCAGCAGTAATGGGTCTGCCAGGATAGTTAGGAACTTTGCTCTTGCAAATCATGCCATTGTTCTGATGACATTCTAAAAGTATTTAAAGAAGAAAATGTGGAAAAGGTGACTTGGTTCACAAATAAGAAAAGGAATCATGTTGTCATTACCAGACACATTTCTCAGAAATCATCAGAAGTTCTCACAAACAGGATAATCCCACTAAAATGGGATGTTAAATCATTCAATTTTGAAGACAAATTGTGCTAAAGATTCAGTTTAATAATAACAACAAAGAAACAACTTCAAAAGATGTTACTTTTTTGACAACCAGCTTAAACATTTTATGAAGAAATAGTATATGTTGTCACAGAGAAAAAGAGCATCTTCTCTAAGAGATAAAAATCCAACTTTTGCAGGATTTGACAATGGGGAGATATAAGGATCATGGGTTGTACTTCCAACTTTGAAAACTATTGTACTTGTCTTAGAAGTCACTAATGCAAAATGTTTCTAAAGATGAGGAAACCAGAAAATGGGATAGTTAGTGACCTGGGTTTAATTAAAGTATACACATTTCTAGAGCATATGATCCCTATAAGTAAAATATGTTTTTCCTAACACAATAAAAAAGCAAAATAAACAAAGACTATTTTAAATAGTGGAAAAAAGTTGTGATTTCAGTCATCTTGAAATACTTATTAAATAGCATATGAATCATAATATGCAATTATGTTAATCAGTGTGTTTTTTCCTTTACAGTATTTCTTTTTATGCAACGAGATATATCTGTTCTATACTTTTGATTTTTCAAAATAGACTTTTCCTTGGCTTTTGAATTTTAAAATAGTCCAATGAAACTCATGGTGGGGGTAACAGTTTGAAAAAAATATGTTTTCAGTTTCAAAATCATGTTTTTTAAACACAAAAGCCTGACTCTTAAATATTAAAAGTCTATCTTTGAGTTAAAAACCAAGGTTTGTTATAAAGGACTCAAGTCATAAAATTTATGCTATAAAGAACAGATTTAAAATAATAATAATAATGTAACAAAGAGTTTTTCCCATGAAAGGGGATAAAGATCCTCAAGCTGGGGAAAGGGAAAAGAAGAAGAAAAAGAGAAGCGGGACTGTTAGACACTGACGGCAATCTCTGAAAAGAGCCCCTTGCCCCTCATCCTACCCTTGAGTCTTTCTCTTTTCCTTTTTTTTTTTTTTTTTGAGACAGAGTCTCACTCTGTCACCCAGGTTGGAGTACAGTGTCATGATCTCGGCTCATGGCAACCTCCACCTGCCAGGTTGAAGTGATTCTCCTGCCTCAGCCTCCCAAGTAGCTGGGATCACAGGCATGCACCACCACACCCAGCTAATCTTTGTATTTTTAGTAGAGACGGAGTTTCACCATGTTGGCCAGGCTGGTCTTGAACTCCTGACCTCAGGTGATCTGCCCTCCTCGGCCTCCCAAAGTGCTGGAATTACAGGCATGAGCCACCATGCCTGGCCTGCCCTTGAGTCTTTCTTAGGGTGGATAGAAACACTAATGCTCCCAGATAAGTTTGGGGATCTGGGCACAAAGATGATGCCTAGGGAGACTAAAGTCCTCATTGAGAAGTCCACATAAAGTACATAGAGTAAAAATCTCTGCATGACATGTCTAGGACAGTGGGATTAAGAATGTCTTTCTGAGTCCTCCAAGTACCCTGTATGGTGTGGGGAGCAGAGAATGTTATTTATATGTGGCCAAGAACAGAAGAAGATGGCCCTGAGAGGCCTGAGGAGGTCTTGTACCTGAGATGAGCAAATAGCTGCACATGCCAGCATAGGTCAAAATACTTCTGGCAGGAGGGCCAAGGTAGATGCCAATACGGTGAGACAATAGCAACTGTGGGCCAAAAGTGATGATGTGCATTTCAGGGGACACTAGTGTGAACAGATGATGACTGAAGACTAAACTTATTTTCCACCTGCCTTCCCTACCATCTGTAACTCCAAATTTGAAAAGAGTGAGTGGGGAAAACTCTAAATCAAATGTAGGATATTTGAGTGAATGGGGTTAAAGGCAGTCAATGGATTAGATTTACAGTACATATAAAATTGTGCTTTCTTTTTGCCTGGCCAGCACTGAAAAATAGGTAGAGTGGCCCATTTGAAATCAGATCCATTTTGAAAGGCTTCTGTTCATTGGGACTGTGCTGGTTCACAGACTACTAGAGAAAGCAGTCTGATTCTTTTGATAAGGGAAATATTTTTTAATATGCAACGTTAATACAAACGCTTGTTTTTTGTTTGTTTAAATGAGGCTGAAGGACAGTTATCTAGATACTTCACTAGTTCTAACACTCTTTAAGAAGGCAGCTTTATAAAGCAAAAATAGATTTAGAGAGTTAAGCAAAAATTATTCTTTCTTTTTTCACCAAGAAATTTCAATTCATTGAAATCTGGAATTTTGTTTTGGGAGAACAAATATTTTGGCTTGAGTCTTGGTCTTTGAGAGTCATTATAGGACAGTTCACTCACATTTGCATTACAAAAGTCTTTTAAAAAATGTTGGTTCTGCAATTGGTTTTGACTTGCTCTAAATTTTTCTTTATAGCTGCCCACAGTCTTATGCCCAATGAATGAATTGGTTGGTTAGGTTAAATTAATCATATTTTACTTAATTTTTAAAAGATTACAAGTAATAGGCTTCTTCATAATAACAGGAGCTAGGAAATAAAGTTTCTAGTGTTGTTTCTGTTGCTAATTAGTTCTGTGATTTTAGGTAACTCATAATCTCTCTGGGATTTTAATTTCTTCATTTGAAAATTAAGAGGGTTATCCAGATAATTTTAAAGGGTCATTTCCAAATCTAAAAAATAAATTTAAAGCTTTGCAAAAACAAGATGACAGCAATTGGACAGGACCCATCTGGCCACTGAAGGTGTCCCTAGTGAATAATACACAGTCAGTCATTATTCTTGTAGCAATTAATACTATTTTAAATTCTAAGAGGCTTTTTAATGTGCCCTTGGGTTGTATGCCAGCATTACCCAAAGCAGGGAAGAACTAGCTTGCCTGGATTATACAGAATTTAAACTATGGCTTCTTAGCACCTTTTAGCTCCAACACGCAGGGATTGTTGACCATGTAGGCTAGAGAGGCAGTTGACTAGTAAAAGTATTTGATATTCATTAGCCTAATTTTAACATATACTAATAAGCATCAGAAAATGTCTTACTCCTGAGACCTCTCAAGATGGAAAAAGAAAGCCTGCAAATATGAAAGTATTAATTGTAAAAAAGTAGATACTTTCGGATCAAATGTTGGACAGAACTTGCATTCTTAGGCACTTACTGCAAATATAAGGAAGTAGCATGACAGCAGTAGCAGTATTCTAGGTTCCCAATGTTTTCTATGACTTTTTCCAATTTGAGTATTAAAAATTCTAAGTGAATGACTTAACTATCTTCTTTCTCTGCTTGTTTAGGCTTATCTTCGATATGATATTTTTATTTATTAATATTATTTATTGGGGAACCTAACAGAAAGTTACTGAATAGATGCCAAGACTATACAAAATGGGTTCTAGGTAAGTGAATGCCTATTTAACATATCTGATTCAACCCCATTTTATTACTTACTCCCATAAGTGGAAAACACAAATATGGGTGAAGGCTGCTTAACAAATCAGGAGAAACACAATCTCAAATCATTACTTTTTATTCATTCTCATCTAATTTATTATTAACAGTGTAGTGCATTTTCTTAAGAATTTAATTTGAAATCAATAGCATGTGAAGTCAGAATGCCTGAAAAACAGGGCAGCAATGAATTGAAGGTGCAAATGACAAAGTTGCTTGCTATTTAAAGTTGAGGCAATGTCTATCTGGCCACATGGAAAGAGAAGACTAAATTCAGTAAACCAACAGATTTTTAGTTTGCTTGATAAGATTTGCCTTATGAAAAAACAACTTTCAAACCAATTATGAGCCTGTGTTACATAGTCAAACTACTTTTTCCTCTCTTATCCTATGACAATGATTCTTTGCTTGGTCAAACTTTAGTCAGGCTCCTGAACCTTCTAAGCCCTCCGTGTACTTCCTTGTAAAATCCAGTTTTAGCAACGAACCCTGCCAAGTCGGTTTAGCAAGAACCTTCACCCTTGATATCTGATCACCCTTGATATTTGATATCTAACTGGGTTCCTCATCCTCTACCATCCCCCAGTTGATGTCTGATTATCCCACAGTTGATGTCTGGTCACCTTGGCCTGTCTTCAGCAAAATTCTTGTTAGGTCAGTTTAACCAAAATTCCCCTGGCCCCTGGTGTTTCCTCTTAAGTAATTTTCCATTCACTCATACTCAATCTGCTCCTTTGTTATAAATTCCTACTTGCCCATGCTATATTTGGTGTTGAGTCCAATCTCTCTTCCCCATTGCAAAATCCCATTGCAGTGGTCGCTATACCTATTGTAATAGTCATGAACAAAGTCTTCCTTACCATGCTTTAACAATTATCATTTAATAATTTTTTCTTTAATGCTTTCTACAACAATTATATAGGTTTGACTGATTTTTTTTACCTTATAATACTAGTTTTAAGGTTTGCTGGTATTTCTGTTTGAAACCTCAAGAACATACTATTAATTTGAGACAACTGAGGCAATTTTCACAAAGCTAGAATAGGCTTCTGGAAAAGAAAAATTTGGATAATAGTCAAAACAAATGACTCAATCAATAATTTTGTATTAGCACAATTATTGAAAAACACCCTACTTAGAGGCCCATAGTGATCCATATTCTACAGTGATAAATGATAATTTGAATTACAATAAATAGTAACTCCTTGTGCTCCTGCTTTCTAAAATTGCTAACAATACATCTCAAATTGCCTTAAATAATTTCAACTTACTTCAGATCCTCTCTCTCCTTTTAGTCCTTGTTCACCCTGGTCACCTGGTTCGCCCTTTAGTAGAAACCAAAATAAAAATCACATATGAAGCAGAGACCAAATAAGTTATATTAATGTTAATTTTTAGAAATAATGCTTTCAAAACATACTGGGGGTCCTTGTTGTCCAGTGGCACCTCTTAGTCCTGGTACACCCACATGGCCCTAGAAATAGAAAAGATTACATTATTAGAGTAAGTAGAGACATGTGACTTAAGAGAATAGGATACTATCACTTAAAATGGTAGCAAAGTGTTGCAAAGCTCAACTTAAATGTCGTAGAGATTATGATTCTTCTTGGAAATAGAAAAGAACATAATAGCTGTTGGATATTATGGTAGCTGAAAACAAGTTAGGGTTTTCTTTCTTTCTTTCTTTCTTTTTTTTTAATGTGAATTAATGTAGCAGGCTGAATGGTGGCCTCCCAAATGTTCGTCTATGTCCCAATCCCCAGAATCTGTGAATGTGATCTTGTTTGGAAAAAGGGTCTTTGCAGATGTCACTAAGTTAAGGATCTCAAGATAAGATTATCCTGGATTATCCATGTGGGCCCTAAATCCACTAAAGAGCATAAGTGACACAGAGGTAGACTGACACAGACAACAGAGGAGAAGGCCAGGTGAAGACAGAGGCAGAGATTGGAGAGATGCGGTCATAGGAATGCTGACAGCCACTAGAAACTGGAGGAGGCAGGAGTGTGGCCCTAGAGCCTCTAGAGGGAGCGTGGCCCTGTTGATCCCTTGATTTTGGATTTCTGGTCTCTAGAACTGAGAAAATTACATATCTATTGTTGTAAGCCACCCATTTTGTGGTAATTTGTTATAGCAGCCTCAGGAAACTAATATAGTCAATAACCAAAGGAACAGAGTTTGAGAATACATTTCTTTTTCAACCTCTTCCTCCTCCGAAAGTGTACTATGGTCTCCATTTTTACAAACTAACTTCACAACTATTTGGACGGTAGATTTACTGGGCTGAAGACTGGGAGCAGTTACTGGGAGGTATTACTATAATACCAAGAAACACCACATGACTCTGACATTCGGCAATCTGTCGTCACCTTAGTTCTCCTAAGAAGGAATGCTGACCTACCACATTTCCCTTTTCAAGTGTGTAAATAGAAACTAGCAACAACCCAGAAGCGTGTCAGATGAGAGTTATGCAGGAATAATTCTGCGTGTAAATTCTTTTATCCCTTTTCCTACTCAATCAGATTTCTTTCTCCCTATTTTCATACGTTACAGAAAGAATGCCTTAGGAAAGAGTTATCAGTCCCATCTCCTGGGCTAGAAGAAGAGATTGCATACATAGGCTAACAATATTTATTCTTTTATTATTATTATTATTATTATTATTATTATTATTATACTTGAAGTTTTAGGGTACATGTGCACAATGTGCAGGTTAGTTACATATGTATACATGTGCCATGCTGGTGTGCTGCACTCACTAACTTGTCATCTAGCATTAGGTATATCCCCCAATGCTATCCCTCTCCCCTCCCCCCACCCCACAACAGTCCCCAGAGTGTGAAGTTCCCCTTCCTGTGTCCATGTGTTCTCATTGTTCAGTTCCCACCTATGAGTGAGAATATGCGGTGTTTGGTTTTTTGTTCTTGCGATAGCTGACTGAGAATGATGATTTCCAATTTCATCCATGTCCCTACAAAGGACATGAACTCATCATTTTTTATGGCTGCATAGTATTCCATGGTGTATATGAGCCACATTTTCTTAATCCAGTCTATCATTGTTGGACATTTGGGTTGGTTCCAAGTCTTTGCTATTGTGAATAACGCCGCAATAAACGTACCTGTGCATGTGTCTTTATAGCAGCATGATTTATAGTCCTTTGGTTATATACCCAGTAATGGGATGGCTGGGTCAAATGATATTTGTAGTTCTAGATCCCTGAGGAATCACCACACTGACTCCCACAATGGTTGAACTAGTTTACAGTCCCACCAACAGTGTAAAAGTGTTCCTATTTCTCCACATCCTCTCCAGCACCTGTTGTTTCCTGACTTTTTAATGATTGCCATTCTAACTGGTGTGAGATGGTATCTCATTGCGGTTTTGATTTGCATTTCTCTGATGGCCAGTGATGATGAGCATTTTTTCATGTGTTTTTTGGCTGCATAAATGTCTTCTTTTGAGAAGTGTCTGTTCATGTCCTTTGCCCACTTTTTGATGGGGTTGTTTGTTTTTTTCTTGTAAATTTGTTTGAGTTCATTGTAGATTCTGGATATTAGCCCTTTGTCAGATGAGTAGGTTGCGAAAATTTTCTCCCATTTTGTAGGTTGCCTGTTCACTCTGATGGTAGTTTCTTTTGCTGTGCAGAAGCTCTTTAGTTTAATTAGATCCCATTTGTCAATTTTGGCTTTTGTTGCCATTGCTTTTGGTGTTTTAGACGTGAAGTCCTTGCCCATGCCTATGTCCTGAACGGTAATGCCTAGGTTTTCTTCTAGGGTTTTTATGGTTTTAGGTCTAACATTTAAGTCTTTAATCCATCTTGAATTGATTTTTGTATAAGGTGTAAGGAAGGGATCCAGTTTCAGCTTTCTATATATGGCTAGCCAGTTTTCCTAGCACCATTTATGAAATAGGGAATCCTTTCCCCATTGCTTGTTTTTCTCAGGTTTGTCAAAGATCAGATAGTTGTAGATATGCGGCATTATTTCTGAGGGCTCTGTTCTGTTCCATTGATCTATATCTCTGTTTTGGTAACAGTACCATGCTGTTTTGGTTACTGTAGCCTTGTAGTATAGTTTGAAGTCAGGTAGTGTGATGCCTCCAGCTTTGTTCTTTTGGCTTAGGATTGACTTGGCGATGCGGGCTCTTTTTTGGTTCCATATGAACTTTAAAGTAGTTTTTTCCAATTCTGTGAAGAAAGTCATTGGTAGCTTGATGGGGATGGCATTGAATCTGTAAATTACCTTGGGCAGTATGGCCATTTTCACGATATTGATTCTTCCTACCCATGAGCATGGAATGTTCTTCCATTTGTTTGTATCCTCTTTTATTTCATTGAGCAGTGGTTTGCAGTTCTCCTTGAAGAGGTCCTTCACATCCCTTGTAAGTTGGATTCCTAGGTATTTTATTCTCTTTGAAGCAATTGTGAATGGGAGTCCACTCATGATTTGGCTCTCTGTTTGTCTGTTGTTGGTGTATAAGAATGCTTGTGATTTTTGCACATTGATTTTGTATCCTGAGACTTTGCTGAAGTTGCTTATCAGCTTAAGGAGATTTTGGGCTGAGACAATGGAGTTTTCTAGATATACAATCATGGCATCTGCAAAGAGGGACAATTTGACTTCCTCTTTTCCTAACTGAATACCCTTTATTTCCTTATCCTGCCTAATTGCCCTGGCCAGAACTTCCAACACTATGTTGAATAGGAGTGGTGAGAGAGGGCATCCCTGTCTTGTGCCAGTTTTCAAAGGGAATGCTTCCAGTTTTTGCCCATTCAGTATGATATTGGCTGTGGGTTTGTCATAGATAGCTCTTATTATTTTGAGATACGTCCCATCAATACCTAATTAATGGAGAGTTTTTAGCATGAAGGGCTGTTGAATTTTGTCAAAGGCCTTTTCTGCATCTATTGAGATAATCATGTGGTTTTTGTCTTTGGTTCTGTTTATATGGTGGATTACATTTATTGAATTGCGTATATTGAACCAGCCTTGCATCCCAGGGATGAAGCCCACTTGATCATGGTGGATAAGCTTTTTGATGTGCTGCTGGATTCAGTTTGCCAGTATTTTATTGAGGATTTTTGCATCAATGTTCATCAAGGATATTGGTCTAAAATTCTCTTTTTTGGTTGTGTCTCTGCCCGGCTTTGGTATCAGGATGATGCTGGCCTCATAAAATGAGTTAGGGAGGATTCCCTCTTTTTCTATTGATTGGAATAGTTTCAGAAGGAATGGTACCATTTCCTCCTTGTACCTCTGGTAGAATTCGGCTGTGAATCCATCTGGTCCTGGACTCTTTTTGGTTGGTAAGCTATTGATTATTGCCACAATTTCAGCTCGTTATTGATCTATTCAGAGATTCAACTTCTTCCTGGTTTAGTCTTGGGAGGGTGTATGTGTCGAGGAATTTATCCATTTCTTCTAGATTTTCTAGTTTATTTGCGTAGAGGTGTTTGTAGTATTCTCTGATGGTAGTTTGTATTTCTGTGGGATCAGTGGTGATATCCCCTTTATCATTTTTTATTGTGTCTGTTTGATTCTTCTCTCTTTTCTTTATTAGTCTTGCTAGTGGTCTATCAATTTTGTTGATCCTTTCAAAAAACCAGCTCCTGGATTCATTCATTTTTTGAAGGGTTTTTTGTGTCTCTATTTCCTTCAGTTCTGCTGTGATTTTAGTTATTTCTTGCCTTCTGCTAGCTTTTGAATGTGTTTGCTCTTGCTTTTCTAGTTCTTTTAATTGTGATGTTAGGGTGTCAATTTTGGATCTTTCCTGGTTTCTCTTCTGGGCATTTAGTGCTATAAATTTCCCTCTACACACTGCTTTGAATGCATCCCAGAGATTCTGGTATGTTGTGTCTTTGTTCTTGTTGGTTTCAAAGAACATCTTTATTTCTGCCTTCATTTCGTTATGTACCCAGTAGTCATTCAGGAGCAGATTGTTCAGTTTCCATGTAGTTGAGCAGTTTTGAGTGAGATTCTTAATCCTGAGTTCTAGTTTGATTGCACTGTGGTCTGAGAGATAAGTTTGTTATAATTTCTATTCTTTTACATTTGCTGAGGGGAGCTTTACTTCCAAGTATGTGGTCAATTTTGGAATAGGTGTGGTGTGGTGCTGAAAAAAATGTATATTCTGTTGATTTGGGGTGGAGAGTTCTGTAGATGTCTATTAGGTCTGCTTGGTGCAGAGCTGAGTTGAATTCCTGGGTATCCTTGTTGACTTTCTGTCTCGTTGATCTGTCTAATGTTGACAGTGGGGTGTTAAAGTCTCCCATTATTATTGTGTGGGAGTCTAAGTCTCTTTGCAGGTCACTCAGGACTTGCTTTGTGAATCTGGGTGCTCCTGTATTGGGTGCATATATATTTAGGATAGTTAGCTCTTCTTGTTGAATTGATCCCTTTACCATTTTGTAATGGCCTTCTTTGTCTCTTTTGATCTTTGTTGGTTTAAAGTCTGTTTTATCAGAGACTACGATTGCAACCCCTGCCTTTTTTTGTTTTCCATTTGCTTGGTAGATCTTCCTCCATCCTTTTATTTTGAGCCTATGTGTGTCTCTGCACATGAGATGGGTTTCCTGAATACAGCACACTGATGGGTCTTGACTCTTTATCCAATTTGCCAGTCTGTGTCTTTTAATTGGAGCATTTAGTCCATTTACATTTAAAGTTAATATTGTTATGTGTGAATTTGATCCTGTCATTATGCTGTTAGCTGGTTATTTTGCTCGTTAGTTGATGCAGTTTCTTCCTAGTCTTGATGGTCTTTACAATTTGGCATGTTTTTGCAGTGGCTGGTACCGGTTGTTCCTTTCCATGTTTAGCGCTTCCTTCAGGAGCTCTTTTAGGGCAGGCCTGGTGGTGACAAAATGTCTCAGCATTTGCTTGTCTGTAAAGTATTTTATTTCTCCTTCACTTATGAAGCTTAGTTTGGCTGGATATGAAATTCTGGGTTGAAAATTCTTTTCTTTAAGAATGTTGATATTGGCCCCCACTCTCTTCTGGCTTGTAGAGTTTCTGCCAAGAGATCTGCTCTTAGTCTGATGGGCTTTCCTTTGTGGGTAACCCGACCTTTCTCTCTGGCTGCCCTTAACATTTTTTCCTTCATTTCAACTTTGGTGAATCTGACAATTATGTGTCTTGGAGTTGCTCTTCTCGAGGAGTATCTTTGTGGCGTTCTCTGTATTTCCTGAATCTGAATGTTGGCCTGCCTTGCTAGATTGGGGAAATTCTCCTGGATAATATCCTGCAGAGTGTTTTCCAACTTGGTTCCATTCTCCCCGTCACTTTCAGGTACACCAATCAGACGTAGATTTGGTTTTTTCATATAGCCCCATATTTCTTGGAGGCTTTGCTCATTTCTTTTTATTCTTTTCTCTCTAAACTTCCCTTCTCGCTTCATTTCATTCACTTCATCTTCCATCACTGCTACCCTTTCTTCCAGTTGATCGCATGGCCTCCTGAGGCTTCTGCATTCTTCACGTAGTTCTCGAGCCTTGGTTTTCAGCTCCATCAGCTCCTTTAAGCACTTCTCTGTATTGGTTATTCTAGTTATACATTCTTCTAAATTTTTTTCAAAGTTTTCAACTTCTTTGCCTTTGGTTTGAATTTCCTCCCATAGCTCGGAGTAATTTGATCGTCTGAAGCCTTCTTCTCTGAGTTCATCAAAGTCATTCTCCTTCCAGCTTTGTTCTGTTGCTGGTGAGGAACTGCGTTCCTTTGGAGGAGGAGAGGCGCTCTACTTTTCAGAGTTTCCAGTTTTTCTGCTCTGTTTTTTCCCCATCTTTGTGGTTTTATCTACTTTTGGTCTTTGATGATGGTGATGTACAGATGGGTTTTCGGTGTGGATGTCCTTTCTGTTTGTTAGTTTTCCTTCTAACAGACAGGACCCTCAGCTGCAGGTCTGTTGGAGTACCCGGCCGTGTGAGGTGTCAGTCTGCCCCTGCTGGGGGGTGCCTCCCAGTTAGGCTGCTCGGGGGTCAGGGGTCAGGGACCCACTTGAGGAGGCAGTCTGCCCGTTCTCAGATCTCCAGTTGCATGCTGGGAGAACCACTGCTCTCTTCAAAGCTGTCAGACAGGGACATTTAAGTCTGCAGGGTTACTGCTGTCTTTTTGTCTGTCTGTGCCCTGCCCCCAGAGGTGGAGCCTACAGAGGCAGGCAGGCCTCCTTGAGCTGTGGTGGGCTCCACCCAGTTTGAGCTTCCCGGCTGCTTTGTTTACCTAAGTGAGCCTGGGCAATGGCGGGTGCCCCTCCCCCAGCCTGGCTGCCGCCTTGCAGTTTGATCTCAGACTGCTGTGCTAGCAATCAGCGAGACTCCGTGGGCATAGGACCCTCTGAGCCATGTGCGGGATATAATCTCCTGGTGTGCTGTTTTTAAAGCCCGTCGGAAAAGCGCAGTATTCGGGTCAGAGTGACCCGATTTTCCAGGTGCCATCTGTCACCTCTTTCTTTGACTAGGAAAGGGAACTCCCTGACCCCTTGCGCTTGCCGAGTGAGGCAATGCCTTGCCCTGCTTCGGCTCGCGCACAGTGCGTGCACCCACTGACCTGCGCCCACTGTCTGGCACTCCCTAGTGAGATGAACCCAGTACCTCAGATGGAAATGCAGAAATCACCTGTCTTCTGCGTTGCTCACGCTGGGAGCTGTAGACCGGAGCTGTTCTTATTTGGCAATCTTGGCTCCTAACAACAATATTTATTCTTACAGCAAAGTCAGTTGAAGGCTTCTTTGTTTGCATTCTGAGGCAAATGTTTACGGTTTAAGTTTCAACTTCCCGATAAAGAAAATGAAATCTGTTTAAGGAAGTGAAGAGTGGCAAGAGAGAAAGGCTAGTCTTGAGAGCTTCTATATAGCCCATGACCACACTAACGGAAAAACCATGATCACACACGAGCCTTAGCAAAACATGAGCAGAGCCAGCAATTAACAGAATCTGGTCAATCAAGACGGAGTGTGGTACAAGTAAATGTGACTACTTGAAGGTCACTTATCAAACAGGATTCAGGAAAGAAGTGGCTGGTGAAAAGCTGGAGGTGAAGTAAGAGTGAGAATATGAGCAAACTACAAAACTCTAAACCATCATGCCCAATTATGGCTTTTCCACCATCCCTGTATGTAGTTCTACAGAAATATTTTCAGAGTGATCATAGAATAGCCAACTGCCTCTCCTGGCTTTGTGAAGTATGACTGTAAATCTCACCAAGACAAACCTGCATTCTAAGAGTTTTGTTACAATTACTTTGGTTTATCACTCTAAAAATTGACTATGACCATTTTTCTGTATTGGTAAAAATTAAATGTGCCATAGAAAATGTTATTACAAAATTATTCAGGAGAGGTTATGGAAAGTGATGGAACTTGTCAGATAATATTAGTGGTGGGATGAGTTGAATGGCCAAAGGAACTTACAGAAGATTTTATAAGGGAAGTGATAAGTTCAATCTTGAAGAATGAGTGTTCCGGGCAGTAAAGTGAGGACATTCTGGCAGAGGCAATAGCATGGGAAATAAAGGGATGCATCTGACAGAACATGTTAGGTAGAAAATGGATCTGAGAGGGCTATGACTGGAGACAGGAAGTCTAGTTGGGAAGCTATTGAAATAATTTTGGCAAAAAATGATGAGAGCCTGATGGTAGTTTCTTTTGCTGTGCAGAAGCTCTTTAGTTTAATTAGATCCCATTTGTCAATTTTTGCTTTTGTTGACATTGCTTTTGGTGTTTTAGACATGAAGTCCTTGCCCATGCCTATGTCCTGAATGGTATTGCCTAGGTTTTCTTCTAGGGTTTTTATGGTTTTAGGTCTAACATGTAAGTCTTTAATCCATCTTGAATTAATTTTTGTATAAGGTGTAAGGAAGGGATCCAGTTTCAGCTTTCTACATATGGCTAGCCAGTTTTCCTAGCACCATTTATTAAATAGGGAATCCTTTCCCCATTGCTCGTTTTTCTCAGGTTTGTCAAAGATCAGATGGTTGTAGATATGTGGCATTATTTCTGAGGGCTCTGTTCTATTCCATTGATCCATATCTCTGTTTTGGTACCAGTACCATGCTGTTTTGGTTACTGTAGCCTTGTAGTATAGTTTGAAGTCAGGTAGCGTGATGCCTCCAGCTTTGTCCTTTTGGCTTAGGTTGACTTGGCAATGTGGGCTCTTTTTTGGTTCCATATGAACTTTAAAGTAGTTTTTTCCAATTCTGTGAAGAAAGTCATTGGTAGCTTGATGGGGATGGCATTGAATCTGTAAATTACCTTGGGCAGTATGGCCATTTTCACGATATTGATTCTTCCTACCCATGAGCATGGAATGTTCTTCCATTTGTTTGTATCCTCTTTTATTTCATTGAGCAGTGGTTTGTAGTTCTCCTTGAAGAGGTCCTTCACGTCCCTTGTAAGTTGGATTCCTAGGTATTTTATTCTCTTTGAAGCAATTGTGAATGGGAGTTCACTCATGATTTGGCTCTCTGTTTGTCTGTTATTGTTGTGTAAGAATGCTTGTGATTTTTGCACATTGATTTTGTATCCTGAGACTTTGCTGAAGTTGCTTATCAGCTTAAGGAGATTTTGGGCCGAGACAATGGGGTTTTCTAGATATACAATCATGTCATCTGCAAACAGGGACAATTTGACTTCCTCTTTTCCTAACTGAATACCCTTTATTTCCTTCTCCTGCCTAATTGCCCTGGCCAGAACTTCCAACACTATGTTGAATAGGAGTGGTGAGAGAGGGCATCCCTGTCTTGTGCCAGTTTTCAAAGGGAATGCTTCCAGTTTTTGCCCATTCAGTATGATACTGGCTGTGGGTTTGTCATAGATAGCTCTTATTATTTTGAGATACGTCCCATCAATACCTAATTAATGGAGAGTTTTTAGCATGAAGGGTTGTTGAATTTTGTCAAAGGCCTTTTCTCAGAGTGAACAGGCAACCTACAAAATGGGAGAAAATTTTCGCAACCTACTCATCTGACAAAGGGCTAATATCCAGAATCTACAATGAACTCAAGCAAATTTACAAGAAAAAAACAACCCCATCAACAAGTGGGTGAAGGATATGAACAGACACTTCTCAAAAGAAGACATTTATGCAGCCAAAAAACACATGACAAAATGCTCATCATCACTGGCCATCAGAGAAATGCAAATCAAAACCACAATGAGATACCATCTCACACCAGTTAGAATGGTGATCAGTAAAAAGTCAGGAAACAACAGGTGCTGGAGAGGATGTGGAGAAATAGGAACACTTTTACACTGTTGGTGGGACTGTAAACTAGTTCAACCATTGTGGAAGTCAGTGTGGCGATTCCTCAGGGATCTAGAACTACAAATACCACTTGACCCAGCCATCCCATTACTGGGTATATACCCAAAGGATTATAAATCATGTTGCTATAAAGACACATGCACACGTATGTTTATTGTGGCACTATTCACAATAGCAAAGACTTGGAACCAACCCAAATGTCCAACAACGATAGACTGGATTAAGAAAATGTGGCACATATACAATATGGAATACTATGCAGCCATAAAAAAGGATGAGTTCATGTCCTTTGTAGGGACATGGATGAAACTGGAAACCATCATTCTCAGCAAACTATGGCAAGGACAAAAAACCAAACACTGCATGTTCTCACTTATAGGTGGGAATTGAACAATGAGAACACTGGGACACAGGAAGGGGAACATCACACTCTGGGGACTGTTGTGGGGTGGGGGGAGGGGGAAGGGATAGCATTAGGAGCTATACCTAATGCTAAATGATGAGTTAATGGGTGCAGCACACCAGCATGGCACATGTATACATATGTAACAAACCTGTACATTGTGCACATGTACCCTAAAACTTAAAGTATAATAATAATAAAATTTAAAAAAAAAGTAAATACAAAAAAATGGTGAGAGCCTGAACTAAAGTAGGACAAAGTAACTAGATTCCAGAAACATTTAAGAATCAAAAGAAGTGGCTGACTGTGAGACATGAGTAGGGGTATGGGGAAGAAAAAGAGATTCATAGAGACAGAGTGAGTGAGTGAGAGAGAGAGATTGAGAGAGAGACAGAGAGAGGGAGAAAGAAAGAGAAAGAAAGAGAGACAGAGGATTCATCTACTGGTTTAGACATCTGAATGGCTGGTGATACTATTCACTGAATTGAGGACATAACAAGAGGAAGATCAGATTAAATTTGGAAAGGATGAGGTACTATGGTTTGGCACTTACTGAGTTTGAGGTGCCTGTGATGATGTCCAATAGCTATTTAGATGTGTATGTCTGATGCTAAGGAGTGAAGGCCAAGTTGGGATTTAGTTATTTCATTGTGTGTAAAAATTCTATGACCATTGCCAGCCCCCCTCCGCCCACAGCAAAAAGAACTTTGAGATGCAACATAATTTATTCAAAGTATTTCTGGGACTTCATCTCTCCTAAGTTTAGCTTGAGTTAATCTTGGCTATTTATGTTTCCATTTATACCTTTAAATAAAGTGTTTCCATTTATACCTTTAAAAAGTGGCTGTTGCCAGGATAATACATTTATTCCCTCCATGTCCTCTGGCTCTCAAGCGTCAAATAAATTTATCTTGATCTATGTGATGTACAGTTTTAGTACAGTTTATAGCAGGATGACAGCTATAATTGCTTTTCCTTTTATGAAATAACATGAAATAGCTGTACATATTTTATAGCTAAAATTCACTATGTTTATTTTTATACTGATTAAGTGTTCTTATTCTCCATGTTTTTTATATATATGATGTCCATGGGGGCAGAGACTGTGTCTGGGATGTCCAATGTAATATCCATGGCCCCTAGCTCTTCTCCTGGCCCATGGCAGACACTCAAATACAAGCTTAATGACCAGAGACATATATATATATATTTTTTAGATGGAGTCTTGCTCTGTTGCCAGGCTGGAGTGCAGTGGCATGATCTTGGCTCACTGCAACCTCTGCCTCTGCCTCTGCCTCCCGGGTTCAAGTGTTTCTCCTGCCTCAGCCTCCCGAGTAGCTGGGACTACAGGCATGCACCACCACACCCAGATAATTTTTTGTATTTTAGTAGAGATGGGGTTTCACTATGTTGGGCAGGATGGTCTCGATCTCCTGACCTCGTGATCTGCCCACGGTGGCCTCCCAAAGTGCTGGGATTACAGGTGTGAGCCACTGCACCCGGCCCAGAGACACAGTTTTTAGAAATGTTATCATACATAACACATAAAGTATGTCAGTACAACTAAGTATTCGTTAATAATAATGAGCAGGACCCTTGACTTTGGTCAAAGATGTTTGTGACTATAAACATGTTTTTTAAAAGCCAGGTGATTATTCAGTCATAAAGACAATAAAATATTGATATATTTTATAACATGGATGAACTTTTAAAACACTGTGCCAGACACAAAAGGCTACATGTATAATTCTATTTATATGAAATATCCAGAATACAGAAATCCAGAGACAAAAAGAAAAAGGTTTCCAGGGGCTTGGGGGAATAGGGAGTGACTGCCTAATGAGTATGGGGCTTCCTTTTGGAAGTGTTGAAAATGTTTGGAACTAGACAATGGTGATGGTTGCACATGATGGCGTTCAAGACACACTACCCCAAAATATGGCATCTCGGAATATTGAATATTTTAAGCTGAAGCAATCTGAGGAATGGCATGTGCAGAGAGGACTTTCTTACCTTCCTTTGATGCAGGTCATAAGACACATGTGAGAGGTGTCTCCCTATACCTGGAGGAAAGGAGCATCCTCATCTCCAAAAACGAAGGGACACAGAGAATAATCTGAATGAACAGTCCTTGCTAAGTTTTCCCCAGTTTACTAATCTTAACCCATACCTTTGCCCTATCACATTCTTCTAAGACTTCCTCATCAAACCTAGCATAAAAGTATTCAGGTTTAACTGTTTCTTTGGAGCTTTATTTCTTTATGAAGGCTCCCGTGTTACGTATAATTTATATGAAATTAATCTGTATGCTTTTCTCTTGTTAATCTGCCTTTTGTTACCAAGTCCCCAGCCAAGAATTCAGAAGGGCAGAAGAAAAGATATTTTTCCTCCCTTGCCCACTAACAATGTGAATGTACTAAATGTCACTGAATTGTAAAGTTTAAAATGGTTAAAATGGTAAATTTTATGTTACATGTATTTTATCCTAATAAAGAAGCTTGGTGATAATGCTAACCATCAGTTTAGCAGAGTGAAATCATAGCATATACAATATCCATATAGAAAAGCAAACATTTTAAAATATCACCTGAAGCTATAATAAGATAACCTAATTCTAAATAAAGCGTGGTTCCTCTGTATAAATCAAACTTGTGCTAGGAGAAAACTTGGTGAGGGAGAAAGGTGGATATTTCATGATTTTGAGCTAAGCAATAAAAGTAGCATGGTTGTCTGGCACAAGATGGCTAACTGTTTAGCATAGAATCATCAATAAATAAAATGATCCCTAAAGCCTAAGGACTTAGGAAGAAATAAGACAGAAAGGAAGACATGGATCAAACTAGTTTATACAACATCTACAGTTGAAAAATTATCAGGGGTATACAAGGAAGGGGAAGGAGAAGTAGATTAGACAGTGAACCTAGGGAAAAGTGAATGACTGATTGTCCAGAAAACGCCGGCAGGGCTTTTCTTTGGCTAGCCAAGTGAGGAAATTCTTGTCTCCTTTCAAGCGAATAGTTAACTGCTCATTTGCTGGTAAATATACTGATTTAGCTACTGAATGTTCTGTAGCTGGTAGAGGCCAAAATGAGATATTGCAGGAATCTGGTTTTCCCGAGACTGTGTGAAGAAGTCATGCACAGAAAAAGCTGAGGAACTTTAAGAGGCTTCTCAAATTATGCTGGAAGCAGTTGGGTTGGCTTCTCAACTCGGAGAAAAGTAAATTTCAAATAAATCCACTCAATTCCTTGGGTTAGGAAACACTTGTAGATACAAATGTTATGTAAATTGGAAACAGAACACATATAACCTGCTAAAAATGTTTCTTTGAAAACAGAAAAAAAAATGGTAATCGCAACAATTTCACAAATATTTAGAACTATTCTCAACATCTGCTTCAAAGAGAGTTTTAGGGAGTGAAAGTTAATTTTTCAGATTCCTCTGGCTTGAGAAAAATCAACTTATTAATGATAGTTATCTATCTATCATCTTGTCCATTTAGTTTGGGTAATATAAATCTGCATTTCAGACATGACCACAGGAATTTCATCTTGACAGAGATGTATCAGATTAATTAACCCATCAACTCATTATTAAAAGCTTATTATGTACAGGGATTAGAACTAGACGTTGTACAAGAAAGAAAGAAGACATATGCCAAGTGGGGGAGCTAAGACACCTACACATTAAAAATAATTAGCAAAATTAGCAAAAAAAGAATAGCAACAGAATGTGGTAAAATGTTTGTACTGAATGACTTAAATAAATAATATTATTACAAGACTACAGGAGAGAGCAAGATTACCGTTAGTGGGTCAGGGGAAAAGGGAATTTGAGTGAAATTATAAAGGATTTATGTAAGCAAAGATTACATAATATTATAGGCAAATAGAGAATGCTATGAGCAAAGGAATAAGACAGGAACTATAGGGAGACAGGAGACAACCTCTAACTCTGTAAAGCAATTGGCAATGTAAATAGAGGGAAGAGATATAAGGCAGGAATACAGAACATCCTCAAAAACAAATGTGATATTAAAAAATGACACTGAATACGTTCTACACACAGCCTAATTTTAGCTAAGTTGGTCAGATAATGTCCCTCTCAGGAATGGAAGAGGATAAGAATTGACTTAAGCCTTGAGAATATAAAGGTATTTAGCCACCTACTTGACACCTCTTTATTGAATTCCTACTATATACCAGGAACTTTGTGTTCTAGAAATTGGGGGTATAATGATGAAAATGAGAGACAAGATTTTTTTTCTCATGGATCCCACATTTTGTTGGGGGAAGACAAACAATAAACAAGGAAACAAATATATTTAAAAAGTGACAAGATAATATAGCATAAAATGTCATGAAGGAAATCGAGTAATATGGTCCAGAGTGATTGTTCTAGATCTATTTTAGATAGGGCAGTTAGAGAAGGCCTCTCAGGAGGTAACATTTCAGTTGAGATCTGAATGATGAGAAAAAGCAGAAGTAAGAAAAGACAAAGATGATTCTAGGAAGGAGGAACAGAAAGTAGAAAGACGTCTCTTCTAGGATTAAAAACATAAGACATTACTAATTATCTCAATAATGGAATGGAAAAAATGGAATAGAAACACAGAGAACCCTATTTAAATTCATTAGTAAGGGGTATAACTTGCAATTACCTTATATCCCTCTGCTCCAGGCTCTCCTCTCTCTCCTTGGTCCCCCACTGGACCCTACAGAGACCACACACAAAACAATCAGTTTTACAGCTGGATCAAAGTATATGCGAATGCAGGTGATAAGATTAGTGTTGTTTATTCTTTTGTCAAAAATATAAAACCAAATATATGATTTGTTTAGTTCCATTAAATAATTTCAAAATATTGAATTTCAATGATACCAAGAACAACATCAAAATACACCAACCAGTGAATTATATAAAGAGAATCTCATAATGATTCTACTAGGAAAAATATTGAAAACTGAAGCCCAATTAAAAATATGAATATTTTCACCAAGTGTGGTGGCTCACACCTGTAGTCCCAGCACGTTGGGAGGCTGAGGCAGGAGGATCCCTTGAGCCCAGGAGTTCGAGACCAGCCTGGGCAATAACGTGAGACCCTGTCTCTACAAATAATGTAAAAATTAGCCAGGCATGGTGGTATGTGACTATAGTCCCAGCTACTTGGGAGCTGAAGCAGGGGGAACACTTGAGCCCAGGAGGTCGAGGTTGCAGTGAGTCATGTTTGCACCACTGCTCTCCAGCCTGGGCAACAGAGTGAGACCCTGTTTCAAACAACAACAGCAGCAACAGCAACAACAAAACAACAAAATGTTTCAATTAGTACAGTATGTTATAAATGATGCCCAAATAACTTACTTTTTTACTAAATATTAAAATGATTGAAAAAGATTTAAGCAGGACAGTTCAGTACATAATTCCATTAATTACAAAAGATTATATTTAAGTGATCTTTTAAAAGGGATTTAAATAGTAAATCCTACTTTACCATTCTTCATGAGAAAGTCTACTGTTGGCTGGGTGTGGTAGCTCATGCCTGTAATCCCAGCACTGTGGGAGGCTGAGATAGGAGGATCCCTTGAGCTCAAGGGTTTGAGACCAGCCTAGGCAACAGAGAGAGACCCTGTCTCTAAAAAAAATTAAAAAATAATAAATAAAAATTAGCTGGCCCTGGTGGCACGAGCCTGCAGTCCCAGCTACTTGGGAGGTGGGAGGATCACTTAGCCCAGGTGTTTGAGGCTGCAGTGAGCCAGCACTCCAGCCTGGGCAACAGAGGGAGACACAGTCTCAGAATAAAAGTCTATTGTGAAATTTTTAATTTTCAAGACATAAATTAACCTAAAAAATTATACTTATTAATTTTAATCCTTAAGCCAAAAATTATCTAATAAACTCAGACTTACTTTTCCTGAATATTTCTAATAGAAAATCTTTAATATAATAAATCATCAAATTATCTACTATAAAATGAAATAGAAATATCAGCACCCACTAGGACCTACCATCTGAACAAAAACTTAAATTGAAATTAGTTGGAAAAGCATAGGATTTATTATAGAGCATTAATTGACAAATTTTAATTTACTCTTACGTGGACAAAGGTAAGAGACATGTCAACACTACAATCTCTGACTCTGCTTTAATTATTTAGAATCTTTGTGGTTTAAGTTTCATGCCTGTCCCGTGTCTACTGGATAAAACTACTATTGTTATGCTAGTCTTTTAATATATTTATTACATTTTAGGTGGCATTCTTTGATCCTGGCATACCTAAATCTGGGAAAAACAACCACTACTATACTCCTTTTGCCAAGTTTTTTCCATTTGCTTTAAGATTTTTACATTATTTCCATATATTTCCCTCTCTTAGTGGTTTAGAGAGACTAGAATATTATTTAATAAAGAAACTTACATATTCCTTTAGATACCTATATATCTATTGCCTCTATATGAGATGGCTTGATTTAATCAGAAAAATTAGAATCTTTCTTGTCTATTTCTAAAACAAAGTATAACTTTCAACCATCTCCAAAGAGCCAGGTCAAAATATCAGGAGTGACTACATATTCTGATCCTTGTGCCTTAAGATTGTTTTACTCTATATAATACTATGTGAGAAATGGAAAATATAGCCAATTATATAATATTTATTTCTATGGACTAAAAATTTTCATTTAATCCATTTAATTTACATATGGTCTTTAGACATTGTTTTAGTCAAACATGAACACAGAGACAGTTATTCAAATAAAGCTATAATAGCTACTTTTTAGAGACCATGGTTATAGTTAACCCTTAAAATGTTTAATAAGAAGGCTATAGATCAGTAATCTTTAAAGGTTATTGGTTCTAATAACTCCTTAGAGGGGTTTTGAAATCACTTGGCAACTGTGTGTAAACTGCTATAAGAAGTATATAGATAAGATTTTTTTAATATTTAGAAATAAATCTGAATGTGATAATTACAGAAATATGTATCCTAAAATGTCTAGAGTGTATAAGTTTTCTGACAATCTTTGTAAAAGTTGTTATCATGCCTTCAATGCAGAAAGTTAGATTTGGGAAGTCACTATATTAACCCTATATATTATGCTAAAATATGACCTGCATATTTTTCATATTAAAGACTTTAATATCATTTAAATTTTGTGACCATAAATATCACCCTCCTATCAAACCATGTTATAAAACTAACAAAAGAAAACTCCTTGAAAAGATTTAATTGGTGTTGTGAATCTATTATATAATTGTGTTTTATCTTGAATAACCAGAATTATTTCAGAAAAAGACCTACTGGTTCACCTCGAGGCCCAGGTGGTCCTAGGACTGTGCTATCTTCTCCTGGGTAGCCCTAAAATGAAATAATGATTTATAAACAAAACTCAATAAATAAAATAAACATCAAAAACACACAACCTACTATTTTTAAGTATATTAGAAAATGCAGTTTGATGTTATCTTTTTTTAAGTGGAAAACTTTGATGTAAGAAACTAAGCCTATGATATTTTATACAGAGTTGTAATTTGTACAGGGTTCTTCTTGGAGGTATCAATCTCCTTTAATTATATAAGAAGCAGCTCAGGAATTTTCTTAAAGTGTCAGATTTCAATGATATTGTAAATTAAGAATACTGCTGTAGTTATTCCTAAATCATCAAAAAATTTTAATCTTTAATATAAATGAGCCAGGTGCGGTGGTACTCATCTGTCATGCCTGCTACTTAGGAGCCTGGGGTGGGAGGATTGCTTGCTTGGTTTGAGTCCAACCTGGGCAACAGTCAAGATCACTTGATCCTGACTCTCCTGCCCCAAAGACTTTAATATAAATGTACTATAATTAATCATTTAATCTAGAGCCTTACAATTTCTTTAAATAATTAATTTTACTCTTACAAAGCTCTACAAATATTTTCACATATATTATTTCAGCTCAGTCTTGAAACAACCCATGGAAGATATTTTAATAATTTATTTAAATTTTAGCTCCTTGATATTTATTTTTTTCTTCCAGAATTAGTAAAATTTTCAACTTTAAAAGTGCTTCTTTTATTCCTTGAAAATTTTTCCATGCAGTCTTTCAGGAATAATTCATGAACTCAATGTTTAACTTTAAGATTAAAAAGCCAATATATACACAAACCTTTTCTCCTTTAGGTCCTGGCAATCCAGAGGGTCCTGGTTGGCCCTGATGGCCCTACGAAAGGACAAGTAGACATTTATACATGCTCTACCTAGATATTAGATATTGCATTATTCTGAAAGGAAAAATAGGATTCACTGTCTAGGAGGATGAGACCTAAATATGTTAGAAAGGTTTATCAGAGAGATTTCATCTTAATTTGAATATTTGGGATATCATCTTTAATAAAAATGTTTTCATGTGAATATATTTTTTCAATTATAAATACTTACCCTGTACCCTGGAATTCCTGGTTCTCCATCAGGTCCCATCAATCCTAAATGTCCCTGAAAAACAAAGTAAATATTAGTGAGAGAGAGAAAGTAAAGAATTGTTTAAATCATTAGACTTCTACTCCTATTGTTTAAATTGTTACCTTTAGATTTTTCATGGTTGAAATTTACCTAGTTTGAAATAGGAAAGCAAAAAATAACCCCCCAACTTTTGTCTATTTTTTTTTCTGAAACACAAAAAGTTCTGCAACAAATGTCTTTTTGGTTTACTTCTGATATAAATATCCTTAATCATATTAAAAAAAATACTTTCAGTTGTCAGAATCCTGCTGCTCCCTAACGAATTATTGGAAATGTGGTTTACATCTGTCAAAGTTTGTGCCAGATGTGGGTCACTGAATATTAGAGAGTGCAACCTGAGAGTTTTTGACATTGTCACTACGGGATCCAGAACTCCATACTCATTGTTAGTTTCAGATGCTATGATGAATATGGTTTTAGTCCTGGTCAAAGTTATTAAAAGGGAAATGGTTGACAACTTACATGTAATAGTTACCCTATGATTACTCTTATTATCAATATTTTATAGATGGTGAAACCATGTAAGCCAAAGACTAATCAGCAAATGCCCTTAGCCTACTGAATAGATTGCTCAGACAATTGAAAAAGTAAAACAAACAAACAAACAAAAAAAACCTGAAAAAGTCCTATATTTCATATTAGCAAAAAGATTCCATATTGACTCTCCTATTTGAGTCTCAAAACAAATAGAAGATGGGAAAATTAAGGCACAGAATAGGTATGTGACTTGCCAAATGTCATACTAGAACTAAGTCTCTTGATTCTGCATATATAGTATTTCCCATTTAATCATAGTGCTTCACTATATTTGATGATTTCTTTAAATTCCCAGCTCTAAAAATGTTCACATTGCAACTATTAACCATTGATTAGTAAATTTAGACTCATCCAGATAAGAACAAGTTTCAGTCTAAAAAAGGAATTGCACAAAATTAATTTTAAAACATCAATAAGAATTCAGCCATTACCTAGGTGAATAATCTAGAATAGAATGTAACTACTCAGTATTCATTAGCTCAAGATGGCTGAATGACATATGCTTGCTTCAATAGTCTCATCCAACAAAAAAGAGAGAGAGAAAAGAAAGGTATTTATTTGTAATAACAACACTGGAAAATAAGTAAACATCATCAGTGGACCAAAATTTTGTAATTTGAGACAGAAAATTAGGGCTGAAAATATGCAAAGAAAAAAATCATTGCAGATGTGCAAGTAGTCTCAAGGAAATTTCAAATGCTGAAATCAAGACATTGAAGGGGCAGGATAGGTTCAGGTGACTAACTGGGGAAAGGAGTCAGGTATTCCTATTCTACTTGTGCTGGGTAACTGATGATTGCATTTGCCTAGAAGATAAGTGAATGCGTGTGGAAACTGTTGCCCCAAAAGCAGGCAATGCTAAAGGCTGCTGCTGACTCAAGTGACTCTAGAGCCAACATAACAAGAAATAAAATATGCAATTCATAAAAGAAAAAATGAACCTTAATGTACCTAAAATATATATGCAAAATATGTAACCTCCCAAAAATAAGTGGGGAGAAAATGTGATGAACAGATCTCAAAATCTGTTTTCAGAAATCAATGACTCAAATAGCAAGAAAAAAAACAGTAAGAAAGCTATAAGGATTTAAGTAGCTTAGCTAACAACTTGATTTAACAGAAATACTTAGGACTGTTTATTAGCCCCAAAAAAGGAAAAGAAAGAAAGAAAGAAAAGAAAAGAGAAAAAGGAATCTTTTGACAAAATTTGAATATAGTAGTCCTCAAAGAAAATTTTAGTAAATTTCCTCAAAGCAGAAATCATATAGGTCACATCCTCTGGCTATAATGCAATGTAATTAAAAATGAGCAATAAAAATTAAAAATCTACTTAAAAAGAAAGATCCTTTAAGATAACTCTTGTTCAGGAGAAAATAAACTCTGAAATTGCAAGCTATTTATAAGTAAATGATGGTAAAAACACAAACATAAAAATACGGGAATATGGCCAAAGTGGCACTCAAAAGGGAACAGGTAGCTTCATAATGCATTTATTAAATAAATAAAATAAATGGGCCAGACATTTAATTCAAGAAGAGATTAATACTGAAGCAGAAATTAGTGAATCAGAAAACCATTTTAAAAAGTTGAGTGAAAAACAAAGTAGACACTTTGAACTGACTAATAAAAGAGCAAAATATTTGGCAAATCTGATCACCGCAAAGAGTAAACACGATAAAACAACATTAGAAACAAGAAGAACATAACCAAAGGAAAAAAAATTAATTATAAGAAAATAGTCATTTCAAGTTTCACTTACTAAATATGAAAATCTAGTTGAAATTGATACTTTTTGAGAAAAAATTTCAAAAATTTATTCCAGAAGATACAAAATTTGAAAAGAAAGCCAAAGATCTACTGCTAATAAAATAACATTTGGCTCAGATTGTTTTAATAGCAAGTTTTATAAAACCTTTGGAGAACAGACACAATATCTATGTTCCATACTGTTACAGAGCACAGAAAAATATGAAAAATTTACCAACCCATTTTATATGACTTGCTTAACACTTATGCCTAAATCCAATCAATGATAGCATACATTAAAAAAGGATGGAATGAAGAACGATGGAATGAAGAAATAGGCCTACTTTGCTTACAAATACAAATGCAAAACTCTTAAGGTAAACTACATTCAATAAGCTAAAATAAAACTCTTAAATAAAATGTTAAAAAATGAAATCTATTTGCATTAAAATAATAATATAATTAAACCTAAGTAAGATTTATCCTAGGAACTCATGGTTGATTCAACTTTTGGAAATCTATGAAGGAATTTTCTTATATTTACAAACAAAGGAGAGAAAGCATGGGTTTATCTAAACAAATGTTGTAAAAGGATTTGATAAAATTCAACATCTACTATGGGATTATCTAAAAAAATGTTGTAAAAGGATTTGATAAAATTCAACATCTACTCTTGGTCAAAACTCTCATTTAAGAATGAAAATAAATTTCTTTAAACAAATAAATGGTATATCTAAAAAACAACTGTAAACAACACTTGATATTATAAGCATTAGAAGCATTTTCACTAAAGACAGGCCCACAAGACAAGGTTTTCTTCATCATGACTTCTATTCACTGCTATAGTAGAAGTTCTAATCAATGTAGTAATTCAGAGAAGCAAATAAGGGGAGGCAATATTATTTACCTGAAGAATCCCTATGAGAATCATCTACATTCGTTAAAGTGGATATAAGATCAAAATATAATAGCACCAACAGCACCACTAAGTTGATGTAACAGAAAAAGGATTATATTAACACTGAGAATAAAACTCAAAAGCAAAGCAAAACAAAAAAACAAAAATACTAAGAATAAACTTAACAAGAAAGATTAAAGAACAGAGATAAGGGAAATATTTTATTGATGAATATGTAAGCAGATTTGAGTAAATAAAAAGACATATGGTGTTTATAGAAAGATTCAGCATTGAAGGAAATTGAAAGTTCACATGAAAGAGGAAATCATAGCAAGAGTCAAACTTTTTTGTAAAATGAATTATGAAGTATTTGCCCTAACAGAAGGTATCACAATAGTATAGTAAGTAAAATAGTGTGGTATTGACCCAGAAATAGACTACTAGATTCAGAGAATAAAGTAGAAGAAAAACAGACTAATGAATATTTGAGAATTCAGTTTATGGTAAGGGAAGCATTTCAGAAAAGCAGAAAACAGACTGACCACTCAATAAATAGAATTGGAACAACTGTCTATAAGTTTGGAAAAAATAAACTTAGTCTTCTACACCTTATATAAAAAAATACCCACAAAAAAACCAAAAACCTCCATACATCTTAAAGAGTTAAGGTAAAAATAAAGTTATAAAAGTATTAGAAGAATATGGAAGAATATTCTTATATACTTTAGGTAGGGGAGGCATTTCTAATAAAATAAACACAGAAACTGAAAGGGAAAAGACTGACAAGTTTGACTATATAAAAATTAAAATGATCTATACAGCAAAAGATATACAAAATTAAAAGATAAATTGCAGAAAGAAAAGCATTTGTAATATATTTTGTAACATATTTAACAAAAATATATTAATATTTTAAGCATATAAGGAGTGATTGCAAATCAATAAGAAAAAGGCAACAATCTAATGTGCAGTATATATGAACAGGCAACTTCCATAAGAAAAAAGTGCAATTGGGAAAGTGTAAATAGAAAAAATGCAATACACATTCTCACTTATCAGATTGGCAAACATCAAAAGAAGTAATATGAAATGTTGATGGTGGGAGTGCAAATTTGATGAAACCTCTTGGGAAGGTAGGTTGGGAACGTGTCAAATTAAAAAATTAATAACATTATAAAATGTTTTTGTATACAGGTCAAAGACAGAGAAATGCTAGTAATTTAAATGAAAGAAAGTAAGAAAGGCCTAGATCCCAGTAAGGAATAGAATACCGAAAATAAGCCTGAGGCAAACTTTCCTCAGACAACAAATGGATTATGCAATGATCTCTAAAAAGCCTTAGTGAAAAGTCTAGCACTTGTGACATTTAAATGGAGACTACACTAAATGGAAATACGCATGCATTTTGTAAAAAAGCCTATGAAACAGAAGACTCAATTAGATAATCTTTTAAATATTTTGCATCTCTTTCATGCTGACTTTCAGAACAGGTCTAAATACATTCGCAATATAATTTTCCTAATATAAGAGTTCATAAGTATCATGCTACACTTGTTCCTAACATCATGCAAAGTTCCTGAGAAAGATGAAAGATAAAATTAGATGTTAGATTTATCACAATTGGTTAGAAAAATAATATCCAAATAAAGCAGGTTTGTTTCCAACCAGAGAAAGAAAATCCATTTCAAGTAAACCTAATTTTCAAAGCAATTTGTCAACCATGACAGCATAGTTTTATACAGATACTAAATCCCAATTTTAAGTGCTGGCCATATAAAATTTCCTAGTTTGGTTAGGAGTTATAATCTTACTTTTTAAAACCTCATTTCATATTTTATTTCCATTTTCATTTTTTTCTCTTTCCTTTTTCATGTCCAGAAACCACTAAGCCGTTTAAGTACTGTGGAATGCTTACAATTCTCCACATCCCATGGAGGTAGATTATTTTCAATGGAACTATTGCTTTGTCTGTAAAGCTAATCAAGGGATGAAACTTTAAGGGCATGGATACGTTTCTTTCCCATCCACAGTGACTCAATTCTGGAAGCAAGTCAAATACTGACCACAGCACCTCTAGTTCCTCTGGCACCCTTAGGACCACTTTTCCCAATTTTTCCAGGAGGACCTCTGCTTCCAACTTCTCCTGTGGGTCCTATTTGTCCTTTATCACCCTGTGGATGACATTATTAAGAGAGAAAAGCAAGAAAAAAATTTATACTTAGATTAATTAACTATATCATATTCCTGAATAGCTCCTGAGGATTATCTGGTTAACAGTATTACAGATCACTATTAACAACAATAACATACCATCACTATATAAGTTATTTTAAAAATAAAAGTAATTTTGGAAAAAGATAAAATAAAAATTTTGACCAAACAAGCAGGGGGCATCTGGTGCTCATGTTGAATCCAAATAACCGTTTTTTACTTTTGAATTTTGCTATATATGTATGTAAGTATGCATGTATGTGTTGTTACTATAAGAAATCATAAGCTCTTTGGAAAGTCTGTTTCTATAGAGAATTTCAATGCAACAAGGTCTGTTCAATACAAAAAGAGCTCCAGTGTGCAGTTCTGTACATTCAGGATCATCACTCATTGGCTTGGAGTATGCCTTGAAAAATCTGCAACATTTTTACATCACTTTACATCTTTCAGAAAACTAATTATCTTCTGTTTTCTATTAGACACACTGACCTTTCTTTTTTGTTGTTGTTTTTTTTGAGACCAAGTCTCACTATATCACCTAGGCTGGAATGCAGTGGCAAGATCTCAGTTCACTGCAACCTCTGCCTCCTGGATTCAAGCGATTCTCCTGCCTCAGCCTCCCAAGTAGCTGGGATTACAGGCACCCATCAACACGTCCAGTTAATTTTTGTAGTTTTAGCAGAGACAGGGTTTCACCATGTTGGCCAGGCTGGTTTCGATCTCCTGACTTCAAGCGATCCGCCCACCTCGGCCTCCCAAAGTGCTGGGATTACAGGTGTGAGCCACTGCGCCCAGCCAACAAACTGACCTTTCTTTAGCACCAAAATATAGCTGTTCTTAAACAACATTGTGTTATTCTTCATTTTCCTAAGTGAGAACCAACCTGTTCTATTATTGATAAACAAGAAGATACAAAGAAAAACTACTGTGAACACAGTTGGACAGGAAATTTTTGGGATTCATAACAGCTAAGAGGCTTTATTTTATTTTTCCAGGGGTGCAGGTTGTTATTATACAAAGACTTGCACTGTCTCACTATGAATGTTGATTTTAGTAAAATATTTTTAGTAAAATATAAAGTAAGCAAATAAAAATATTCTTGATTTGTAGTTCTTCATATATGGAAAAAATAAAACCAACTTAGAAAAACACATTGACAACAAATAATTATAGTTACATTCTCTTCCCTCAAATACTTTACTAAAGTTGTCATTGAAAAGCACAAATGGTATAGTATTTTCCTTTTATCTTTCTTCTTGCCCATGGTCTACTAAAAGAATTTTTGGCAAACAAGAGAAAGAAGGAAAAGCCAAGATTTTTTACAAACTACAAAATGGAAAATTTGCCTTCAAATAATCACGATAATAAGTACTCCTAACTGAAATTAAATATTAATTTATATAAATGTATCTTTTAAAGCAACATTTATAATTCTTTACTACTTTACTATCTAGTCCAAATTAAAAACATTACAGCAGTCTATGGAGTTCTGGGCACATCAGAAGAAAGAAAACCTGCATAAGAAGATGTAAAAAATTACCTTTTTTCCTGGACGACCTCTTTGCCCTGGAATTCCCACAATTCCTTCAGGTCCCTAAAATATTCAATATAAAAAAGGAAATAAATGGTTAAAGAAAAGATGAGATGGAGTATTTGAATACTTCTATCAGATAATCACTGGATTGGATTGGACGAGAAGTAAAAATGAGGGTTAATTTTCACATTATTAGGTTTGTATCATTTAAAAAGAGGTCACAATGACTTAGAGGTGTAGCTGTTATTAGCTATAAAGTTCACATGCACAAACTGGCCAAGAGAGTCTTAATTACACTGTTCATTATTCTAGGTGGAACATTACTTAGATTCAGTATACCCATTTTAATTAGAGAGAATGTAATTAAAGTTAACCCATGCCTTCTACGTCACAGGCTGTAAAACACGTTTAACTAAAATAAAAAAGTATAAACCCAAAGGCATCCATCTCAGCATTTCTATCAGCTACTGGGAGCTCAGCATCTTGTGGAAAGTACAGGACTTCTGCCTATCCAATGAAGTCTCCACACACATATGAAAGAAAGTACAGAGTATAAAATACATCTAGTACATGGTCAAGGAAAATTTCAATGTGTCTAGTACGTGGTCAAAGAAAATCTCAAAATCTCACTGGAGTAGAAAGAGTTAAAGAGATATTCGTTGATCTGTGGGAAAAAAAGAAGGAAATACAGAGAGAAAAAGGAGGTAATCATATAAAACTTAAAAATAATATTTTCATTTCAATTTGTCCTTTGTGTAGCTAAAAGTATATTAAAAGTTTTCAATATACACTTTTTTTTAAGTAAAAGTGGGGCACTATATGAATTTTCAGGTAAACAATGGTTAGGCTTAAGTGAGTTCCACAGTAAGCCAGGTTGCAAGTTCTAAAATGGCTAATAATTAATCACAACATTCCCTGCATTCGCTGGAAATGAAAATAGAAATCTCAAATTTGTGTCCCAAAAGCTTGGCAAATTGCAAAAATGATGTAGACAAGAAATAACTTGTGGTTTACCACTGTGCTATGTAGGCTCTAGATAAATATTTGTTGAACGAATAAACAGATACCTAAGGAAATGACTCATACCCTATGCTCCTGAGAAAATGCTCTTCTAGCCTCAGAAAATCACTGAATTTAGAGGCCAAAGCTGTTGTGCTCTATTGCTGTAGTTATAGCTGCATCCAGAGGTAGAAATGGTAGTTGCACTAACCTGAGGACTTCTTTGAAGTTAATGAGGCCTTTCAAAAAGAGGCTGATTAATCTTCATAGAGATTAAAGGTGTGAGCTTTTAAAAGTCAGACTGCTCCCATTTCATATTCTGGCTCTGGCACCTAACACCTACCTATACAGCCGTAGGTAGATTATTTAATTTCTAAAGGCCTCAGATTCCTGTTAAATAAAAGAGGTATAAAAGAACATCTTCAAAGACTAAGAGCAAATAAGAGAATGCATGTAAACTTTAGAAAGGACTAGACTTATGATGAAGAGCTCAAAATATGCTAGTCGTTATTAACTTCTGCTGTTTATTAAAAGTGTATTACACAATATTTAAGTACATGTAAAGATGTTAAAAGGTACAATGAAAGCCCGTTTACCTACATCTACTTTAAGAAATAGAACCAATATATGTGTATGTCTATGTGTGTGTGTGTGTGTATATATATATATATATATCTACATATATATATACATATAATTGAAGCCCCACATTAAACATATACTTATCCAAACTCATCACCCTTTTTCCCTACTCAGGTGCAATCATTGTCTTGAATTTTATTGTTCCTACACATTTCTTAATAATTTTACTCCATTTGTATCCCCAAGTAATATGTATTTTGTATCTTTAAAAATTTTTAAAAAGCAGTATCATACTTTATGTGTTCTCCTGAAACTTCTTTTTAACACATTTTTGTTTTGAAATTACTGTGTCTTTAATTCATTTACTTAAAAAAATGCTACAGGATTCCATGTTATTATCAAACCACAACTTAAGTATTTTTCCCGTTGGTTAATGTTTTGGTGGCTTTCTTTTGCTATTACAGACAATGCTGGAATAAACACTCTGTACTTGTCTCTATGTGCTCATGTCAAGAGTTTTTATAGGGTATGTACCCTGGAATTGAATTGCTGGGTTGTAGGATACATGCATCTTCAAGCATATCAGATATTGTCAAATTGTTCTCCAAAGTGATTTTGCCAATTTACATCCTCAATGGCAATGTTTAAGAGTTCCACTTACTTCATATTTCCTATAATGCTTGATCGTATGAGACTTAAAATGGGTGCAGAATGATGTTATCATTTCAATTTATGTTATTGGTTATTATGGAAAAACGTATAGCTACTCATAAAGTTATCGGACATCTATATCTCTATGTGAATTTCTGGTTCCTATCTTGTGCCCGTTATTCTACTGGGCTGTCTTATTTAGTTACATGTATATGTTTTTATACATACTTATATTTTGTTCATTCCATATATCACAAATCTCTTCTCCCAGCTTGTATCTTATTTTCTCACCTTGTTTATTACGACTTTGGACTAACACAAGTTTGCAATTTTAATGCAGTCAAAGTCATTAATATTTTCTTTCTGTTTCTTTTAGTGCTTTGTTTTAAGAAATCTTTACTGCTTCCCCTTTCCTTATAAGGTCATAAAATATTATCTTAAATGTTCTCCCAAGAGTTTTAAGATTTTGATTTTAACAGTTAAGCCTTTAATCAATTGGAATGTAATTTTGCGGGGTGTGTGTTTGTGTGTGTGCGCGCACGTGCGCATTTGTGTGAGGGAGAGTATTTTTTTTTTCATTTGGATAACCAATTGTACTGGTATCATTTATTAAATTGTTCATTTCCTTATAGATCTGTAGTGCATAATCAATTTATCAAAAATCAAGTTTCAAAATATACTTATATCTGATTCTACATTATCTTCAATTTCCATTGGTCTGTTTGTTTATTTGTGAATGAGTATGGCACTAACTAACTTAATTACTCTAGCTTCAATAATAAGTTATATCAGATAGGTCAGATTCTCTCTTCCACCTCCTCCACAACCATCCCACCTCTGCACAACTTATTCTTTAAAGTTGTCTTAATATTGGCCCTTTGGTTTTCCACACAAATTTTTAAATCACTTTTTATCAATCAAGTTTTATTAAAAATCCCATTGGGATTTTGGTTGAAATTGTATTAAGTGTATTCATTAATATAGGAGAAGATTGATAATTTTATAATATTGAGTTTTCCTATCATGAATATAAAATAACTGTCCATTTATTTAGTTCTTTAATAAATGATTATAATTTCTTTAATTGCAAAAATTTTCCACACCATTTTTACAAATATTTTGTTTAGATGTATTGCTAGGTACTTAATTTTGTGGCTAATTGTGTTGGAAATTGCATTTAAAAATATCTAACTGCTCATTGCTGGTGAAAAAGAATGGAACCTATTTTTGTATATTACTTTTATTTATTTATTTAGAGACATTGTCTTGCTATGTTGCCCAGGCGGGACTTGAACTCCTAGGATCAAGCAATCCACTCACCTCAGCCTCTCGAGTTACTGGAAGTACAGGCGCATGCCACAGTAACCACAGTATTATGTTTTATTTTTTCTATCTAACTTTTATTTTAGGTTCAAGGGGTACATGTGCAGGTTTGTTATGTGGATAAATTATGTGTCACATGGATTTGGTGTACAGATAATTTTGTCACCTAGGTAATTGGCATAATATCTGATAGGCAGTTTTTCAGTCCTCACCCTCCTCCCACCCTTCACTCTCAAGTAGGTCCTGATGTTAATTGTTCCTTTCTTTGTGTCCATGTGTACTCAAGGTTTAGCTCCAACTTAAAGAGAACATGTGGTATTTGGTTTTCTGTTCCCACATTAATTTGCTTAGGATAATGGCCTCCAGCTGCATCCATGTTGCTGGTTAAGGACATGATCTTGTTCTTTTTCTATGGCTGCATAGGATTCCATGGTGTATACATACCACTTTTTTTTTTATCCAGTCCACTGTTGATGGAGATCTAGGCTGATTCCATGTCTTTGCTATTGTGAATGGTGCTGCGCTGAAGATAAATGCGCATGCATCTTTATGGTAGAACAGTTTATATTCCTTTGGGTATATACCCAGTAATGGGACTGCTGGGTTGAATGGTAGTTCTTTTAAAGTTCTTTGAGAAATCTCCAGACTATTTTCCACAGTGGCTGAGCTAATTTACATTCCCACTAGCAGTGTATAAGTGTTCACTTTTCTCTGCAACTTCACCAGCATGTTATTTTTTGACTTTTTAATAAAAGCCATTCTGACTGGTATGAGATGGTATCTCATTGTGGTTTTGATTTGCATTTCTCTAATGATTAGCAACATTGAGCATTTTTTCATCTACTTGATGGCCAAATGTATGTCTTTTTTTGAGAAGTGTATGTTCAAGTCCTTTACCCATTTTTAATGGGTTTGTTTGTTTTTTGCTTATTGATTTAAGTTCTTTATAGATTCTGGATATTAGACCTTTGTTGGATGCATAATTTGCAAAAACTATCTCCTGTTCTTAGGTTGTCTGTTTACTCTTTTGACAGTTTCTTTTGCTGTGCAGAAACTCTTTAGTTTAATTAGGTTCATTTGTCAAGTTTTGTTTTTGATGCAATTGCTTTTGGAATCTTTGTCATGAAGTCTTTGCAAGGGCTGATGTCCAGAATAGTATTCCCTAAGTTCTCTTCTAAGGTTTTTATAGTTTTAGGTTTTATATTTAAGCATTTAATCCATCTTAAATTGATTTTTGCATGTGGTAAAAGGTAGGGGTCCAGCTTCAATCTTCTGCATATGGCTAGCCAGTTATCCCAGCACCATCTACTGAATAGGGTAAACTTTCCCCATTGCTTGTTATTATCGGCTTTGTCAAAGGTCAGATAGCTGTAGTTGTGTGGCTTTATTTCTCGGTTCTCTAACCTGTTTCATTGGTCTGTGTAACTGTTTTTGTACCAGTACAATATTGTTTTAGTTACTGTAGCCTTGTAGTATAGTTTGAAGTCAGGTACTTGTGATGCCTCCAGCTCTATTCTTCTTGCTTAGGATTACTTTGGCTACTTGGGCTCTTTTTTGATTCCATAAGAATTTTAGAATGGCTTTTGCTAATGCTGTGAAAAACGTTCTTGGTAATCTGATAGGACTGGCATTGAGTCTTTAAATTGCTTTTGAGAAGTATGGCCATTTTACCAATATTGATTCTTCCTATCCATGAGCATAGAAGGTTTTTACATTTGTTTGTGTTGCCTCTGATTTCTTTCAGCAGTGTCTTGTAATTCTAATTGTAGAGATCTTTCACCTCCCTGGTTACTGTATTCCTAGGTTTTTGTTTTTTTTTTTTGAGATAAAGTCTCGCTCTGTCACCAGGCTGGAGTGTAGTGGTGTGATCACAGCTCACTGCAACCTCACCTCCTGGGTTCAAGCGATTCTCCCGCCTCAGCCTCCTGAGTAGCTGGGACTACAGGTGTGCACCACCACGCTCAGCTAATTTTTGTATTTTTAGTAGAGAAGGGGTTTCACCATGTTGGCCGGGATGGTCTTGATCTCTTGACAGCGTGTTCCACCTGCCTCGGCCTCCCAAATATTCCTAGGTATTTTATTCTTTTTGTGGCTATTATGAGTGGCATTAAACTCTTGATTTGTTTCTCAGCTGGGATGTTATTGGTGTATAGAAATGCTATTAATTTTTGTACGTTGATTTTGTATTCTGAAACTTTGCTGAAGTTGTTTATCAGATCTAGGAGCCTTTGAACAGAGACTATAGGGTTTTCTAGGTACAGAATCATATAATCTGCAAAAAGAGTTTGACTTCCTCTTTTCCTATTTGGATGCCTTTTATTTCTTTCTTTTGTCTGACTGCTGTGACTGAGAGTTCCAGTACTATATTAAGTAGGAGTGGTGAGAGTTCCATCTCTCAAGGGGAATGCTTCCAGCTTTTGCCTATTAGGTATAACATTGGCTGTGGGTTTGTCATAGATGACAGTTATTATTTTGAGGTATGTACTTTCAATGTCAAGTTTGTTGAGGGTTAACATTGAGGCACGTTGAATTTTATTGAAAGCTTTTTCTGTACCTATTGAGATGATCATGTGTTTTTTGTTTTTAGTTATATTTATGTGATGGATCACATTTATTGATTTACATATGTTGAACCAATCTTGCATCCCAGGAATAAAGCCTACTTGATCATGATGGATTAGCTTTTTGATGTGCTGCTAAATTCAGTTTGCTAGTATTTTGTTATCGATTCTTGCATCTATGTTCAACAGGGATATTGACCTGAAGTCTTCTTTTTTTGTTGTTGTATATCAGAATGATGCTGGCCTCATGCAATGAATAAGGGAGGAATCCCTCCTATTCAATTTTTTGGAATGGTTTCAGTAGGATTGGTACCAGCTCTTCTTTATAGCTCTGGTAGATTATGGCTGTCAATCTGGTCCTGGGCTTTTCTGGTTGGTAGGTTTCTAAGTCACTGATTCAATTTCAGAACTCATTATTGGTCTGCTCAGGGTTTCAGTTTCTTCCTGGTTCAATCTTGGGAGGTTGTATGTTTCCAGGAATTTATGAATTTCTTCTAGGTTTTCTGGTTTGTGTGCAGAGAGGTGTTCATAATAGTCTCTGAGGGTTTTTTGTATTTCCGTGGTATTGATGGTAACATCCCCTTTGTCATTTCTGAATGTGTTTATTTGGATCATCTCCCTGCCTGTTTTTCTTTATTAGTCTAGCTAATGGTCTATAAATCTTATTTATTCTTTCAATAAATGAAGTTTTGGTTTTGTTGACCTTTTGTATGTTTTATTCTCATCTCCATTTTGTTCAGTTCAGCTTTGATTTTGGTTATTTCAGCTTTTGGGTTTGTTTTGCTCCTGTTTTTCTAGTTCCTCTAGGTGTGATGTTATGCTGTTAATTAGATATTTTTCTAACTTTTTAATGTAGGTAGGTATTTAGTGCTATAAACTTCCCTCTTAACACTGCTTTAGCTGTATCCCAGAGATTCTTGTATGTTGTATCACTGTTTTCATTAGTTTCAAAGAATTTCTTGATTTCTGCTTTAATTTCATTGTTTACCCAAAAGTCTTTCAGGAGCAGACTGATTAATTTCCATTTAATGGTATAGTTTTGAGAAATTTGTATTCTAATGATTCCCTAATTATATCACCTGTTCTCACTCCATCACTGACTTTCTGATTACCCTACCTAATGATAGCTCTTTGCATTTGTATTTGGTATGTTAAACTTTACGCGTCCAAAACCAAAGTCTCTAAATCCCTCCTCCTAACCCTAAACTGCTTTCCTCCTACTCTTCCCCACCTCCACTGTAATAAGGCAAAATTTGAAAATTAGTAAAATGGTTTTCTTTCTTGCCTCTTTGAATATGAGGAGTTTGCCTGTTCAGCCTCAGGTGTCTGTACGCCCAAAGGCTGAATGCCTTAAAATAATATTTTTCTGTTTTCCTTGTTTCCAACTTTTAACATTTCATGAGTTGAGTCTGGAGCACCTAGCACACAAAGCTGTCCTGTGATAGAGAAGACACTTTCCATGTATTACCATAAGGCTTTTACTAGATGATAGAAGGATGAGGATATGACATAGGGGAAGTAAAGAGAAGCATGGAGGTTTTGTTTGTCTGTTTGTTTTGGCTCCAGGAGAATGTGGGAAGGCAAAGGAGGAGAGAGAGACATATTTTCCTTTTTCTGAGTTTTGTCAGAGAGAGATCTTTTTTGCAATTACTCATTTGGAATTTGAAAGGTATCTTTTGTAGATATCACCTGGTGGGTAGCCCTGTCAATATGGTTACTCAACAACAAAGTCAAAATGAGGAAGACCATATGGTTAAATTTTCCTGAGCTACTCTTCGATTCCTATATGATGTAGATGGCAACTCAGAAACAGCTGGGAAGTTTGTGGCAGGGACAGGGTGATCACTACTCTAGGAATATATAGCTCTACAATAAGGGCTGGAGAGCAGGTTTCCTTGGCTAGTACTGAATAAGGACCACAACAGACCTCAGAGACATCTATAGAAATTAGTGGGACCTGATGTGAGACCAGTTCAGCAAGGGAACCCTCTTCTCCAAAAAAAAAAAAAAAGAAAAAAAAAAAGACAAAGAAAAAAATGAAAATTACTAGATGTAAACATCATCAGCAGAAACCATCAGGGTAGGCGGTGAGGGAAGATTACCCTGTCCCAATTAGCACAAATAACACCTGCATCAATATCCAAGGCATCCTCATCCTTGCAATCACAAGACACACAGACTCAATGTTGGAAAGGAGTAAAAGAGAGAGGTCAAGGACTGATACACTTGAGAGACTAAGCATCTTGATAGTCTGAGCACCTGAAGAAACTACTACTTTATATGATTAGATTAAGTTTAAGCATTCAACTGAGTCAGATTTTAAATTTTCTCTTTGCCTGCTGCCATCCCCCGCAACCCCAATGCATTCCACTAATCAGTAAGTAGGAGCTTGTGAGGAAAACCAGATGAGCCAGAAATAAAGAAGTTACATATTTGCACATCTGTAAGTACAAATTTGTTGCTCTGTTACACATTTAATGGCATGATTATCCACTCAGTTGCTCAGGCTAAAATCTAGGGTTTATTATTTATTACTTTATCCCATCTTCTCAACATCTAAACCAGGAGCAAATTCAGTTAGCTATGCCTCTAAAATATGTCTTGAATCTGATCATTATTCACTATCACTGTGTTTTCTCATTCCAAGCCACCAACATTTTTCATCTAGACTACTGCCAAAGCTTTATAAGTGGTTTGGTCCACTTTTAACCCCATAGCTCACTTCTTCACAATAGCCCAAATAATCACTAACAATTTTAATCATACCCTTCTGCCTGTTCAAAACCTTCCAAATGACTGTCCATTGCAATGAGAATAATCACCAAACCTCTTATCATGGTCTATAATTCCCTATGATCTGGCTCCTACCATTTCTCTGACATCATGTTTTCCAATTATTTACTATAATCTAGATACAGGGCTCTTTTTCATTTTTTTCTTTTCTTTTTAAAACCCCTTCTGCCTTAGGGCCTTTGCGTTAGATATTCCCTCTATTTAGAAATCTCTTTTCCTCAGATAATCACATAGGTGGCTTTCTCTATGCTTAGGTGCCTGGCTCAATGCAGCCTCAGGTAGTACTTCTGTGACCACCCTAAATAGGTAACCCCTTTACCTGGTCACTCCACATCCCAATAACATATTTTCTCCTTATTTTCTCCCTCCTTCCTTCCTTCCTTCCTTCCTTCCTTCCTTCCTTCCTTCCTTCCTTCCTTCCTTCCCTCCGTCCTTCTTCCCTCCCTCCGTCCCTGCTTCCCTTCTTTCCTTCTTTCCCTTTCCTTTCCTTCTTTTCTTTTCTTTTCGGACGGTCTTGCTTTGTCACCTACGCTGGAGTGCAGTGGCATGATCATGGCTCACTGCAGCCCCGACCTTCCAGCAATCTCAAGCAGATCCTCCCACCCTAGTAGCTGGGACCACAGGTGTAAGCCACCACACCCAGCAAATTTTACAAAATTTTTGGTAGCGATGGGGGTTCTTTATGTTGCCCAGGCTGGTCTTGAACTCCACGGCCCAAGTGGTCCTCCCGTCTCAGCCTCCCAAATGCTGGGATTATAGGCATGAATCACTGCACTCAATCTTTATTTCCTTCACAGCACTTATCACTACCAGAATTATCACTCATGTTGAAATTGTCTTCCCACATTAGAATACAAATTCCTACAAATTTCATGACAGCATGAACCTTGTCTGTTTTGTTCACTGCTGTAACATTAACATTCATAACTGTGCCTGGCTTAATAAATATTTAATGAATGAATAAATGAATGACAGAATGTATGCCCAAAATTGAAAATAATTAGCCCTAATCAGACAGTAAGGTAGTCTATTAGGTATTCACTTGTAAGAAAATAACATTTTAAAGAACATGCATTAAATGTTGAAAGTAAAACCAAAGTTTATGAGTAAAAGGCAAAGTAGAGTGAGAGATTTTCATAATATTTTTTAGCTTCTAGGGAACAGAACATATGAATCTATTAGGAATTTTTTGCACAGTAAACTTCTGCACATATTTAAAGAACCCATTATATGTGAGAAAAGGGGTTGCGTTATTCTATATTGTATTTTCTTGTTATTATAATCAGAAAGGTCCCCCCTGGTTATTTGTTCAGTATTTTTCTCTTCAAGGATATGTTGTTGTTATATTTTTTTTAGGAGGAAGTGTAAATTTCCACTGCTAGTAGGCTGGTTTATTTTAGTGCTTTTCCTGAAATGTGTAAGTAATATTTTGCTCCAAAATGTTGGCTTTTAAAAGTTAACATTGCCCACTGCAACCCATTTGTGTATCTAGAGGTTTGCAGGGCATATAGGAAAAATAGCAACTTTTTTTTACTATGTACATGTTAAAATGGATTTATTCAATAATTACAGAAAGAAGAATGCTATTTTTTTGGTGTGTGCCTATAGTCCCAGCTATTTGGGAGGCTGAGGCAGGAGAATTCCTTGGGTCCAGGAGTTTAAGTCCAGCCTGAGCAACATAGCAAGACCGCATCTCTTTAAAAATGCTATTTTATACAATTTATATATGTCATTTATCTATGTCATGTTGATTGAGAATAGTCAGCTTGGTGTTGCTTACTAATAAAATAGAGGAACCAGTTGGGATTCCCTATTTTAGACTTTGTGAAAGTAGCTATTTTGTCTCAGAAGTATCACATCATATCTATTTTTAAAACAGATTTATTGAGGAATAATTAACATTTACATATGTGATAGTTACATGATACTATATACTCATACATGATATCCACGTATCATGTATATGAATTATGTGCCCATTTAATGTGTACAATTAGATGATTTTTAGTATATTCACATAGTTGTGTAACCATCACCAAAATCAATTTTAGAACATTTTCGTCACTTCCCCCCAAAATCTCATTATCATAAGAAGTCACTCCCCATTTCTTTCCAACCCCTCTAGCCCTAGGCAACCACTAATCCACTTTCTGTATGTATAGATTTGCCTATTTAGGACATTTCATATAAAAGTACAATATGTGGGCCAGGCACAGTGGCTCACGCCTGTAATCCCAGCAGTTTGGGAGGCAGAGGCGGGCAGATCACGAGGTCAGGAGATTGAGATCAACCTGGCTAACACGGTGAAATCCCATCTCTACTAAAAATACAAAAAATTAGCCAGGCGTGGTGGTGGGTGCCTGTAGTTCCAGCTACTCGGGAGGCTGAGGCAGGAGAATGGCGTGAACCTGGCAGGTGGAGCTTGCAGTGAGCCAAGATCGTGCCACTGCACTCTAGCCTGGGCGACAGAGCAAGACTCTGTCTCAAAAACAAAAAGAAATAAACAAAAAACAATTCAATATGTGGTTTCTAGTGAATTGCTTCTTTCATTTAGCATAATGTTTTCGAGGTTAATCCATGCTGCACCATGTACTCGTACACCATTCCTTTTTATTGTCAAATAATATTTCGCATGTTATTTATTAATTCATCAGGTGATGCCCATTTGGGTTGTTTCTACTTTTTCGCTCTTATAAATCATGTGCTGTGAAAATTCATGTACAAGCTTTTGTTTAAATGCAATTCTCTTGGACATACGTACCTAGAAGTGGAATTGCTGGGTCATATGGTAAGTCCATGTTTAACATTTTGCAGAACCGCCAAACTGGTTTACGAAGAAACTGCAGATTTTATATCTCATCAGCAATGTATAAGGGTTCCAATTTCTCTATATCCTCATTAACACTAACCATCCTAGTAGGTATGAAGTGGTATCTCATTGTGGTTTTGATTTGCATTTTCCTGATATTTGTAATGATATTGAGCATCTTTTCATGCACTTATTAGTCATTTGTATATCTTCTTTGGAGATATTTAAGTCTGTCCATTTTTCACTTATGTTAATTATCTTATTATCAGATTGTTAATATATTCTGGATACGAGTCCCTTATCATATATGATTTTCAAATATTTTCTCCTATTATGTGGGTTGATCTTTTACTTTCTTGATTGTGTCCTATGAACCAACAATCTTTTAATTTTAATGAAGTCCAATTTATCTTAGAAGACGTACTCCCATGTTTTCTTCTAAGACTTTTACAGTTTTAGCTCTTACATTTAGGTCTATGACTCATTTGGAGTTCATTTTTTTCTGCAGTAGAAGGAAGGGTTCAACTTTATTCTTTTGCATGTGGTTATCCAGTTGTTCCAGCACTATTTGGTGAAAAGACCATTCTTTCTCTCACTGAATTGTCTTGGCGTATGATGTGCTTTTCTAAGTGAAATTTATTTTGTTCTTTTCCTGTAATTCGTTTCATTTCTTGAGATAGCCAATAACACTAACCACACTTTGAATAAAACCCAAATTTCTTATCATAGCTTAAAAAGTCCTTCATGATCTACTTCCTACCTATTTCTTCAAGCTCATCTCAAACAACTTTTCACTATTTATTATGCTGCAGCTGTAATACCCTTTTAGTTTTCTAAAAATACTCAGCTCATTCTCACCTCTATATCTTGGCCATTGCTGCTTCATCTATCTTGAAGGATCTTCCCACAGTTCTTTGCTTGATGGGTTCCTTTTTACTCTCCATGTCTCAATGTAATTGTCCCCTATTCAGAGAAGCCTTCTCTCACTACCCTAGCTGATATATGTTCTCTATCTTTAACTAGTTGGCTTTTCTACCCATAATCAGTTATTCTCTTTCATTAGTATGTTTATTTCCATTATTGCATTATCACAATCTGCAGTGATCTTTTAATCTTTCAGTCTTCTTCATTAGATTATAACATTTGAGGATCAGGAAACTTGGTAGTCTTGTTCCCCACTGTATCCCTAATGTTTAGCAGAGTTCTTGGCTCATAGAAGGTACTCAAAAACTTCATCGAATTCACAAATGAACACAAATATTTTATAGAATCACAGTCTGTAAGGCTGAATAAAAGTTTAGAAAATCTAAGACAATGAATTTTTTTAAAGCCTTAGAACCTTTACTTCCAAAGAAAATCTACGTTAAAAATCTATGTTAAAAAGACATACAAGGACCATTCCTGACTGATACAGGAATAGAAAAAATGGGGCCCTGCTAACTTAGCATCCCTCCTGACACAATCATCTTGGGAAGTTCTGCATAGCTCCAACCCGTTTGTTTTGTGTCATGTGTGAACATATAAATCAAAGAATGACTCACTCAACAATGTACAGCTCTTTAGTGGGAGATGAGGGACACAGTGGTCAGTGCAGGGCTTGCTATTTGTGTTGCTTTATGATGAAACTGTTCAGAATAAACAAGCCTAACACCAGAGTCACAGAAACCATTCAGATGATAAAGAGTTAGATAATCATTTACTCCATAATGCCACTTAATGCTGACCCTAAATTCCCAACTGATTGTTTCCAAGGAAACTATGTTAGAAACAAGAAACACTTCTGTGAAGAAAGTCAATGGTAGCTTGATGGGGATGGCATTGAATCTATAAATTACCTTGGGCAATATGGCCATTTTCATGATACTGATTCTTCCTATCCATGAGCATGGAATGTTCTTCCATTTGTTTGTGTCCTCTTTTATTTCATTAAGCAGTGGTTTGTAGTTCTCCTTGAAGAGGTCCTTCACATCCCTTGTAAGTTGGATTTCTAGATATTTGATTATCTTTGAAGCAATTGTGAATGGGAGTTCACTCATGATTTAGCTCTCTGTTTGTCTGTTATTGGTGCATAAGAATGCTTGTGATTTTTGCACATTGATTTTGTATGCTGAGACTTTGCTGAAGTTGCTTATCAGCTTAAGGAGATTTTGGGCTGAGACGATGGGGTTTTCTAAATATACAATCATGTCATCCACAAACAGGGACAATTTGACTTCCTCTTTTCCTAATTGAATACCCTTTATTTCTTTCTCCTGCCTGATTGCCCTGGCCAGAACTTCCAACACTATGTTGAGTAGGAGTGGTGAGAGAGGGTATCCTTGTCTTGTGCCAGTTTTCAAAGGGAATGCTAGACTTCAATGTTAGATCTAAAACCATAAAAACCCTAGAAGAAAACCTAGGCAATACCATTCAGGACATAGGCATGGGCAAGGACTTCATGTCTAAAACACAAAAAGCAATAGCAACAAAAGCCAAAATTGACAAATGGGATCTAATTAAACTAAAGAGCTTCTGCACAGAAAAAGAAACTACCATCAGAGTGAACAGGCAACCTATAGAATGGGAGAAAATTTTTGCAATCTACTCATCTGACAAAGGGCTAATATCCAGAATCTACAAAGAACTCAAACAAACTTACAAGAAAAAAACAAACAACCCCATCAACAAGTGGGCAAAGTGAACAGACACTTCTCAAAAGAAGACATCTATGCAGCCAACAGACAGATGAAACAATGCTCATCATCACTGGCCATCAGAGAAATGCAAATCAAAACCACAATGAGATACCATCTCACACCACTTAGAATGGCAATCATTAAAAAGTCAGGAAACAACAAGTGGGGGAGAGAAGGATGTAGAGAAATAGGAACACTTTTACACTGTTGGTGGGACTGTAACCTAGTTCAACAATTGTGGAAATCAGTGTGGCGATTCCTCAAGGATCTAGAACTAGAAATACCATTTGACCCAGCAATCCCATTACGGGTATATACCCAAAGGATTATAAATCAAGCTGCTATAAAAACACATGCACACGTGGGTTTATTGCAGCACTATTCACAATAGCAAAGACTTGGAACCAACCCAAATGTCCATCAATGATAGACTGGATTAAGAAAATGTGGCATGAACACACCATGGAATACTATGCAGCCATAAAAAAGGATGAGTTCATGTCCTTTGTTGAGACATGGATGAAGCTGGAAGCTATCATTCTCAGCAAACTATCGCAAGGACAAAAAACCAAACACCGCATGTTCTCACTCATAGGTGGGAATTGCACAATGAGAACACTTGGACACAGGAAGGGGAACATCACACACTGTCGTGGGATGGGGGAGGGGGGAGGGATAGCATTAGGTGATATATCTAATGTAAATGACTAGTTAATGGGTGCAGCACACCAACATGGCACATGTATACATATGTAACAAACCTGCACGTTGTGTACATGTACCCTAGAACTTAAAGTATATATATAAAAAATAGACATTATAAACATTTGCTATTAAAAAAAGAAACAAGAAACATATATCTTATCATTCTTTTCTAACTATTGATAATCTTCTCATCTTTATGACTTCACTTTTAAGATCTTATTTAAAAAACTTATTGGAGAAGGTCACTTTATTTCATTTTATCTTCCCTTAAGATATTTACCTCTACCTAATATCATACCACCTTAAACAGATAGTAAAAACCACATTTCAATAAATCCAACCAAATTTTGTCCTAAACATATAAAACAGGACAATTTCATTTTAATACATCCAACTTTGGAGTTTATAGTTGCAAATCTGTTCAGATCTTAGATAACACAGTGGTAGATTTTTTAGCATAGATAACAGACCGTAAGTCAGGCAGATGTTTCCTTTCAGATGCTTCCCAATTCTTTTCTCATGCAGAGTTATGCATTTAGGCAACTGAACATTTTAGCACAAGATTCAAGCATAAAATATACAATTTTTTTTTCTGTTTAAAGAAATCTAACTCCTGGATTTGGAATTCATTACTGATGCTTCCCTTGCTTTATTTTTCAATCCAGATCTCATTCTGCAGTCCTCTAGGAAGTAAGGAGATCTTTTCTTTTCTTGAAAAAAAAAAAAGTTTTATTTCTTTCTCTCACTCTCTTTCTTATTTATTTTGTAGGAATCCAAGGTAGCATCTTTGTGACACTGTCTAAGGAAGAATTTTTAAAGTGCAAAAATAAATCCAGCATTAGGGTGCCTGATTAAGCAATAGTTCCTTGGATTGCAAAATTCTTTTGAAAAAATATGCCATGGTATTTTTATTGAGTTTACAAGCTGAAAGCCATTTAAAATTCCAAGGAGAACAACAAAAAGAATAAAAAAACACACATGTGGTGTTACTAAAAAAAGGCACCAAAGATGTGTACTAGGCATGATTTTTCCTGGGAAAAATTATGAAGCAGATGAAATCTGTGTTTATCATTTTTCCATGCCTTGTTTTGAGTCCCATTTCCATCTCTGCTCTACTCGTCACCAGCTGTCATACTGTATCATTCCTCTTTGGGATTCCTTGCTGTGGTATTCTACGGTATATGTTTAGACTTTCCCTTTTCTTAATTCTGTTTTTTCCCTCTCTACAAACTCTTAGGATTCTGCTAGAGAACTATGCTAGTTGATTTTTTAAATATACATACTAAAGTATGAATAACTGTTGGTGGTTTTTTAACCTGAAAACAAATTTGACAAGAATGATCAGGAAGATAATCACACTTTCTTGGCATTTGTTACTTGGCTTCTCTGTGGGTCCAGGCCTGACACTAATGGAAGAGGGATGAGTCCTCTAACAAAGATGAAAATTATTAAGAACTCTAGAAAGGAAAAATATGGGGCCAAAGCTGGTTAACCCATGGGTAAGCGAGGCTTAGAAAATAAAGAAATTTCTTTAATGGCTGGGTGTAGCGGCTCATGCCTGTAATCCCAGCACTTTGGGAGGCCAAAGTAGGGGGATCACTTGAGTTCAGGAGTTTGAGAACAGCCTGGCCAACATGGTGAAACCCCATTTCTACTAAAAATACAGAAATTAGGTGGGCATGGTGGTGGGTGCCTGTACTCCCAGCTACTTGGGAGGCTGAGGCAGGAGAATCACTTGAACCCGGGAGGCAGAGGTTGCAGTGAGCCAAGATCGTGCCACTGCACTTCTGGGTGAGAGTGAGACTCTGCCTAAAAGAAAAGATTCTTTATTAATAATTTCTTTAGTGATTATTCTTTAGTAAATAAATAAAGCAGTGCCATCTGCTATATTATCTTGTACAAATCTCTTAGCTTTTTCTAAGTTTTTTCCCAGTTGTAAAATAGGGAATAATAACATCTATAGGTTATTGGGAGGATTCTATGACAGTATATAAGTGAAATTATATTGTTTAATGTTTGGACTAATGATGTTTAAGATAATTTTGGGAGCTGGGCATGGAGGCTTACACATGTAATCCCAGCACTTTGGAAGGCCGAGTCCGGTGGATCACTTGAGGTCAGGAGTTTGAGACCAGCCTGACCCACATGGTAAAACCCCGTCTCTACTAAAAATATAAAAATTAGCCTGGCATGGTGGTGCGTGCCTGTAGTCCCAGCTACTCTGGAGGCAGAGGTAACAGAATCTCTTGAACCCGGGAGGTGGAGGTTGCAGTGAGCCTAGATCATGCCATTGCACTCCAGCCTGGGTGACAGAGTGAGACTCTATCTCATAAATAAATAAATAAATAAGATAAGTTTTTGGGATTCCTAAGTACTTTGTATTTGCTGTGCTGGAACACCCATCACAGTTCTCCAGGTCTGAGGGAAGGACAGAGAAGAAATGGGCACTTACCACTGCTGTAAAACTGAAAAGAAAAAAGTTGCCATTTGCCAGTGCTCAAAAATAATCTTATACTTCTGGTTTATCTTCATTCTTCAAATGTTACTTTGAAATATGCTATTATTTGGGGGTAGATGTGTTATAATATTATTTTAATTGCTGCTAAAGGAATTATAGTCATTGATAAAAATGAATGGTAAGACAGCTAGTTTGTGTTTCATTTAAGATATTTGTTGTTTTCTTCCAGATAGAGCTTTCCTCTTAGTCCTGCAAACCTAATTGAGCTGATTGGGGCAGGGCCCATTCAATGATCTGCAGGTTAGAAACCAGAGGAAAAGAGAAGGACAGAAAAAAAAGCTGAAAATTATAAACACTGTAAACCACTACTTTGTCTTCCAGCCTGCCTGCATGATCAGTTTACTCATAATTAGTTCCTCAGTCTTTACTGAGCCCCAATGTGGAAATACTGGAGCACAGAAGCACTGTGGTTTATGGGAAGGAGTAAAGACAGAGCATCTGGTTTTGAAGAGCTATGTTTTCTCTTGGGGAAGAGACCCACATGCTTAAATGCTGTAATCTTTAAAAGGCAGAATAAAACTGCCAGAGTACAGAAGAAAGAGAAACCATTTTCTGGTAGGGTCAAAAGGGATGACTCCCAAGATAGGACAATACCTCCAAAGGCATGAACATTTACAGAAGTAAAGACAATAACTTTGAGGAGAACCCACGTTTAAAGATATGAGACAAGAAAAAGGGAACAGTAAAATGAAACAATAGAATGACCAGATAGGCTGTATCTGGAAGACTATAATAAATTAAGCATTTAAGCAAAAAAGATGCTATTTTCTCTCTCTCAGTCTGTCTCTCTCTCTCTTTTTGAGATGGAGTCTCACTCTGTCTCCCAGGCTGGAGTGTAGTGACACGATCTTGGCTCACTGTAACCTCTGCCTCCTGGGTTCAAGCGATTCTCCTGCCTCAGCCTCCTGAGTAGCTGGGATTACAAGCACGCACCATGGTGCCCAGCTAATTTTTGTATTTTTGGTGGAGAAGGGGTTTCACCATGTTGGCCAGGCTGGTCTCTAACTCCTGACCTCAGGTGATCCACCCACTTCAGCTTCCCAAAGTGCTGGGATTACAGGCCTGGCCATTACTCTTATTATTTATTCACATCTTCCACTTGTCTTGAGGTGAGAGAATTTGTTCAAAATGATGTTTAGAACTTCCTTTGAAGTAATAACAAAATTCAGGATCAGATCTGATAGCTCATATTATGCTTGCAAAGAATTTCTTGTTTCATCCTGGAGCTGCGATATTACTCTACAACAATAATGTCAGTTATAGGAATAAAGATCCAAAATATTTAATCAAACTCAGTTTGAGACAACATAAAACATTCCTTTATAAATGCTTTATGACAGAAGTTACATGGCTTATGGAAAAAGTATCTTTCCTCTTTGGATCTTAGGAGGGCTGATAATCAGTCCTTGACTTTTCCTTCTCTCTAGCCACAGTTTCACATATACAATTATCCACTGGATATATAAGGAGGTCAGAGTGTGTGTAGGTTTGTGCATGTGTACACATACAGGCAGTGAATTCACTTAGTATTTGAAAGTGAACCCAGCAGTACTTACCGGAAGGCCTGTTTGGCCTGATCTACCCAAGGGTCCTATAATTCCTGGTAAGCCCATCTCTCCTTTTTCTCCATCCTCTCCAGGAAGTCCCCTTCCTCCTGGTACTCCCTGTAATGCAATAAAAAAGTTTTCTATAAAGGAATACAGTGAAATAATTATGCCAATAATAAACAGGTTTTTGTCACACAAAAACAATGATGTCTAATATTTTAAAGATTTTACAAAACATCTATTTTATATATAATCTTAAAAGTATAATTTACCTTTAACCCATCTTTTCCCTGGAGACCTTCTTCTCCAGGAGCTCCTGGTTCACCCTATTTTGTAGCAGAAAGAGTATGATTGAGTTTTTTTTTGCTATATCATTTATCTTATTTTATTTTTAGCCCATAGTATATATGGAAAATAGCAAATTTGTGTTCACTTATTTCTACTACTTTATTTCTAAAGAGGATTTGACAGTAAAATGAGAATGATTTAATTTGCCTTGAATAGCTCTGAAGATGATTTCATGATTCAGAGTGTCATAAATTCAAATATAAGATGATTCCAGAATATTAATAAATTTTAGATAATTAAAGTAATATATATCCATTTGGTAGCTCTAGAATTTTACATAGCTAGACTTGTGTTTCTGAGTTCAAGAAATGTAAATACTGCATCTCATAAAGTTATAGTGCTTTGCTATATTGTATTTACATGGGTTAATAAAACTTGATTCAGTTATGACCACTCTACCAGATTTTTAGAGTTTCCATATTTTCTCCCTTTAAGTAGAGAGGTAAAGATTAAGGCTCTGCAACGTACAAATTCAGGAAATACAGAGAACACCACAAAGATACTCCTTGAGAAGAGCAACTCCAAGACACATAATTGTCAGATTCACCAAAGTTGAAAAGAAGGAAAAAATGTTAAGGGCAGCCAGAGAGAAAGGTCGGGTTAACCACAAAGGAAAGCCCATCAGACTAACAGCGGATCTCTTGGCAGAAACTCTAGAAGCCAGAAGAGAGTGGGGGCCAACATTCAACATTCCTAAAGAAAAGAATTTTCAACCCAGAATTTCATATTCAGCCAAACTAAGCTTCATAAGTGAAGGAGAAATAAAATCCTTTAAGGACAAACAAATGCTGAGAGATTTTGTCACCACCAGGCCTGCCCTACAAGAGCTCCTGAAGGAAGCACTAAACACGGAAAGGAACAACCAGGACCAGCCACTGCAAAAACATGCCAAATTGTAAAGACCATCGATGCTAGGAAGAAACTGCATCAACTAATGAGCAAAACAACCAGCTAACATCATAATGACAGGATCATATTCACACACAACGATATTAACCTTAGATGTAAATGGGCTAAATGCTCCAACTAAAAGACACAGACTGGCAAACTGGATAAAGAGTCAAGACCCATCAGTGTGCTGTATTCAGGAAACCCATCTCATGTGCAGAGACACACGATGGCTCAAAATAAAGGGATGGAGGAAGATCTACCAAGCAAATGGAAAACAAAAAAAGGCAGGGGTTGCAATCCTAGTCACTGATAAAAAGACTTTAAACCAACAAAGATCAAAAGAGACAAAGAGGGCCATTACATAATGGTAAAAGGATCAATTCAACAAGAAGAGCTAACTATCCTAAATATACATGCACCCAATACAGGAGCACCCAGATTCATAAAGCAAGTCCTCAGAGACCTACAAAGAGACTTAGACTCCCACACAATAATAATGGGAGACTTTAACACCCCATTGTCAACATTAGACAGATCAATGAGACAGAAAGTTAACAAGGATATCCAGGAATTGAACTCAGCTCTGCACCAAGCAGACCTAATAGACATCTACAGAACTTTCCACCCCAAATCAACAGAATATACATTCTTCTCAGCACCATATCACACTTATTCCAAAATTGACCACATAGTTGGAAGTAAAGCACTCCTCAGCAAGTGTAAAAGAACAGAAATTATAACAAACTGTCTCTCAGACCACAGTGCAATCAAACTAGAACTCAGGATTAAGAAACTCACTCAACACTGCTCAACCACATGGAAACTGAACAACCTGCTCCTGAATGACTACTGGGTACATAACGAAATGAAGGCAGAAATAAAGATGTTCTTTGAAACCAATGAGAACAAAGACACAACACACCAGAATCTCTGGGACACATTTAAAGCAGTATGTAGAGGGAAAGTTATAGCACTAAATGCTCACAAGAGAAAGCAGGAAAGATCTAAAATTAACACCCTAACATCACAATTAAAAGAACTAGAAAAGCAAGAGCAAACACATTCAAAAGCACACCGAAGGCAAGAAACAACTAAGATCAGAGCAGAACTGAAGGAGATAGAGACAGAAAAAACCCTTCAAAAAATCAATGAATCCAAGAGCTGGTGTTTTGAAAAGATCAACAAAATTGATAGACCGCTAGCAATACTAATAAAGAAGAAAAGAGAGAAGAATCAAATAGATGCAATAAAAAATGATAAAGGGGTTATCACCACCGATCCCACAGAAATACAAACTACCATCAGAGAATACTACAAACACCCCTATGCATATAAACTAGAAAATCTAGAAGAAATTGATAAATTCCTGGACACACACACCCTCCCAAGACTAAGCCAGGAAGAAGTTGAATCCCTGAATAGACCAATAATAGGCTCTAAATTGAGTCAATAATTAATAGCCTACCAACCAAAAAAAGTCCAGGACCAGATGGATTCACAGCCGAATTCTACCAGAGGTGCAAGGAGGAGCTGGTACCATTCCTTCTGAAACTATTCCAATCAACAGAAAAAGAGGAATCCTCCCTAACTCTTTTTATGAGGCCAGCATCATCCTGATACCAAAGCCTGGCAGAGACACAACAAAAAAAGAGAATTTTAGACCAATATCCCTGATGAACTTCAGTGGAAAAATCCTTGATAAAATACTAGCAAATTAAATCCAGCAGCACATCAAAAAGCTTATCCACCATGATCAAGTGGGCTTCATCCCTGGGATGCAAGGCTGGTTCAACATATGCGAATCAATAAATGTAATCTAGCATATAAACAGAACCAAAGATAAAAACCACATGATTATATCAACAGATGCAGAAAAGGCCTTTGACAAAATTCAACAGCCCTTCATGCTAAAAACTCTCCATTAATTAGGTATTGATGGGACATATCTCAAAATAATAAGAGCTATTTATGACAAACCCACAGCCAATATCATACTGAATGGGCAAAAAACTGGAAGCATTCCCTTTGAAAACTGGCACAAGACAGGGATGCCCTCTCTCACCACTCCTGTTCAACATGGTGTTGGAAGTTCTGGCCAGGGCAATCAGGCAGGAGAAAGAAATAAAGGGTATTCAATTAGGAAAAGAGGAAGTCAAATTGTCCCTGTTTGCAGATGACATGATTGTATATTTAGAAAACCCCATCGTTTCAGCCCCAAATCTCCTTAAGCTGATAAGCAACTTCAGCAAAGTATCAGGATACAAAATCAATGTGCAAAAATCACAAGCATTCTTATACACCAATAACAGACAAACAGCCAAATCATGAGTGAACTCCCATTCACAATTGCTTCAAAGAGAATAAAATACCTAGGAATCCAGCTTACAAGGGATGTGAAGGACCTCTTCAAGGAGAACTACAAACCACTGCTCAACGAAATAAAAGAGGACACAAACAAATGGAAGAACATTCCATGCTCATGGATAGGAAGAATCAATATTGTCAAAATGGCCATATTGCCCAAGGTAGTTTATAGATTCAATACCATCCCCATCAAGCTACCAATGACTTTCTTCACAGAATTGGAAAAAACTACTTTAAAGTTCATATGGAAACAAAAAAGAGCCTGCATTACCAAGACAATCCTAAGCCAAAAGAACAAAGCTGGAGGCATCACACTACCTGACTTCAAACTATACCAGAAGGCTACTGTAACCAAAACAGCTGGTACCAAAACAGAGATATATACCAATGGAACAGAACAGAGCCCTCAGAAATAACACCACATCTCTACAACCATCTGATCTTTGACAAACCTGACAAAAACAAGAAATAGGGAAAGGATTCCCTATTTAGTAAATGGTGTTAAGAAAACTGGCTAGCCATATGTAGAAAGCTGAAAACGGATCCCTTTCTTACACCTTATACAAAAATTAATTCAAGATGGATTAAAGACTTAAATGTTACACTTAAAACCATAAAAACCCTAGAAGAAAACCTAGGCATTACCATTCAGGACATAGGCATGGGCAAGGACTTCATGTCTAAAACACAAAAAGCAATGGCAACAAAAGCCAAAATTGACAAATGGGATCTAATTAAACTAAAGAGCTTCTGCACAGAAAAAGAAACTACCATCAGAGTGAACAGGCAACCTACAGAATGGGAGAAAATTTTTGCAATCTACCCATCTTTCAAAGGGCTAATATCCAGAATCTACAAAGAACTCAAACAAACTTACAAGAAAAAAACAAGCCCATCAACAAGTGGGTGAAGGATATGAACAGACACTTCTCAAAAGAAGACATTTATGCAGCCAACAGACACATGAAAAAATGCTCATCATCACTGGCCATCAGAGAAATGCAAATCAAAACCACAATGAGATACCATCTCACACCAGTTAGAATGGCGATCATTAAAAAGTCAGGAAACAACAAATGCTGGAGAGGAGGATGTGTAGAAATAGGAACACTTTTACACTGTTGGTGGGACTGTAAACTAGTTCAACCATTGTGGAAGACAGTGTGGCGATTCCTCAAGGATCTAGAATTAGAAATACCATTTGACCCAGCAATCCCATTACTGGGTGTATACCCAAAGGATTATAAATCATGCTGCTATAAAGACACATGCACATGTATGTTTATTGTGGCACTATTCACTATAGCAAAGACTTGGAACCAACCCAAATGTCCATCAATGATAGACTGGATTAAGAAAATGTGGCACATATACACCATGGAATACTATGCAGCCATAAAAAAGGATGAGTTCATGTTCTTTGTTGGGACATGGATGAAGCTGGAAACCATCATTCTCAGCAAATTATCACAAGGAGAAAATACCAAACACTGCATGTTCTCACTTATAGGTGGGAAATAAACAATGAGAACACTTGGACACAGGAAGGGGAACATCACACACTGTCGTGGGGTAGGGGAGGGGGAAGGGATAGCATTAGGAGATATATCTAATGTAAATGAGAAGTTAATGGGTGCAGCACACCAACATGGCACATGTATACATATGTAACAAACCTGCACGTTGTGCACATGTACCCTAGAACTTAAAATACATAAAAAAAAAAGACTAAGGCTCCGGTACATTAATTAGTTGTCTTTTAGATATGGAACTTGCAGAAATGTAGAGCCATACTTTATGAAGCTATTAAAGTAGGACTGGCTCTCTTGATACTAAAATTATTTAAAAGTAAATTAATTAGTGCATATTTATAGTTGCTCCATCTTTCCCATTCACCCCACCCCACCCAAAAAAGAGAAAGTAAAAAGGAAGAAGCCAGATGCAAAATATATCTCCCTACTTTGCCTTTTAGTGAATAAATGTCTGTTAAAATTATCTTGGGCCCTATTATCTTAGGAAAAAACTCCTTACCACAGCTCAAAATAAAGGCTGTCTATATTAGCATAACGTCTCAAAGCTATCTAATTGCAACAATTTACAATTATGTCCTTGCATCTTGTTAACTTTGCATGATCATAGGTTTGGTTTTTTTTTAGAGCAAGTTAAATCTATAAATTAGATTTCAATCTTGTTAGGTCAGGAACTATTCTGAGAGTTGTTCACTGGTATTTGTGAATTTCTTCTTAATGCTAACATTAGTGACAATCACAGTGACTCCACATTTTTGGTAAGGGTTCTGCAAAGTATACCTGATTTTGAGAAAAGGACATATGAGGTTAAGACTGTAAATACTACTAAATTAGAATAGGGACAAGGTTTGGGATGCAGCTTTTGAAAGTATGAAATGAAACCAAACATTTTCTATAATGTATCAGAAAGGTTTATTATCCAATTTTTTGAGTGTTTCGAATAATAAGTTTTGAGCCTCTGAAAGAAGTGGGTTAGTGTATTAAAAGAGTTTCAAGGGGGCACTCACCCGTAAACCTGGTTCCCCAGTTCCTCCAACACTGCCAGCAGTTCCAACATCTCCCTGAAGAAACAAAGGGAAAGATTAAACTCTTTTCTACTAAGACTGCATGGCTAATTATGGAGGGCATGCCATACGGCACAGTTCCCCAACGCCTGGGCCGTAGAGGGTACCTGTCCAAGGCCTGTTAGGAAATGGGCTGCAAAACAGCAGGTGAGCAGCTGGTGAGCCAGCATTACTGTCTGAGCTCCACCTCCTGTCAGATCAGTGGCAGCATTAGATTCTCATAGAAACACGAACCCTATTGTCAACTGTGCATTCGAGGGATCTGGGTTGCTCAGTCCTTATGAGAATCTAATGCTTGATGATCCGAGGTAGGACAGTTTCATCCTGAAACCATCCCCTGCTCTGCTTCCATCTGTGGAAAAACTGTCTTCCATGAAACTTGTCCCTGGTGCCAGCCAAATAGGTTGGGGACTGCTGTCATAAGGAATAGGAGTTCCAAAACATTTCCTGTTTTTATCTGGGGGCTTCCACCTGCTTTCAAGTTAGCAAATATAGGGGATTCAATGGTAGCAAATGTAGGGGGTTCAATGGTGAAAGTTTAGAGATTCTCCTTTATTTTTTAGAAGGTTACCTTTGCACCTGGTTCACCTTGCAGACCAGACTCTCCCTCAGTGCCTGGAGGTCCCTACAAGAGAATAATTTAACACATTACAAAGGCAATAGCAATCTCATGAGAAGATGGTGGTAACACTGAACTCAAGGGTGAGATACCTGTGTCCAAAAGGGCATAATTGCTGTCCCTTTATAAACTTCATAGCATAAGAGCAGATTCTTTCTGACACCCTTTAATTGTTTAAATGTCAAGACAACTTCGTCTAAAATTAGGACTTTTAAGATCCATTTCTTCTAATCCTTTCTCTCATCCTTTAAACCTCATCTAAAGGGATTTGTTCTTCCTTTCCCTTTCTGTAGTGCCTTCAGGAATCTACTTACTTAAAAAATTCACTTTTCCTTATTGGTTTCATAAAAATATCATGCAAATAAGAGATAAATTTATTCACATTATAAAAGACACACACACACACACACACACACACACACACACACACACACACACACACAGAGCTTCTTTTCCAGCCTTCTTTCATGGTGGGTCCATTTTTGTTGGGAAGCTTTCAGTTTTCTTTACTTTGAGAACATAGAAGTTCTTGCAACCTCTGGCTATTTCCAGGCCTAAAGTTCCTACTATTGCTTGATGTTACAACTATTTTTGTCTCCAAGAGATATTTACCTTATTTATAAACATGCTATGTGTGCCCCTCCCTTCCCTTTAGGGAAGAGAAGAGTTTTATTGGGGACACGGGTGAACAGGTCTGCAGAAATTAAATCATGTAAACCATTACTTATCATGTTAAGAAATTGGCATTTTATCCTAAAGGCCATGAGAGCTCTTGAAACATTTAAAGGAAACGAATGATATAAGAATGATAAACCGGCAACAAGTAGAAGATGGAATTATAGGAGTTGGAGGAGACATGGCATGAGAGTGTAGGGGCTATTACACTGGCAATAGGGATAAAAAGGAAAGGGTAGATTTAAGAGAGAATGGGCAGGGGCAGGCCTATTCAAAAGGAAATGGTCACTGATTTGAGAGGATTAGGTAGAAGAAGGAGTCTAGGATGACTCTTAGTTTTGGGTTATTGGGTATAAGGGATATCTTTCATTGAGATGGGAATTAAACAGAGGAAGAACAGTGGGACAGTAATGGATTTGGTTTAGATATTTTGAATTGTAGATGTCTGTGGGATATCTAGGTGGATGTTTAAAAAGATAACAGGAAATCAATAATTGGATCTGAGGAGAGAGGTATAAAATACAGCTACCAAGTTGAGAGCTATCAGAGTAATATTGGTACTTAAAGTCACTGTGATAATATGATCACTAAGCCAAGGAAGTAAAAGGGCAACTTCAGGTCAAGACTGAGAAAGGCTAATGAGAAGGTGAAGTGACAACAGGAGAGAGCAGTTTCACAGCAGCCAAGGAAGGAAAGAATTTGATTTATTTAGTGCTAAAGTTACAAACAATGGAAATAAAATAATTGGATATTTATAACAAATTTGGCTTATAATTCCAAAATATATCCCAAATTGGGTAATGTCTCAGTATTCTTCTATACAGGGCATATAATATCTTAGGATGAAAGGTTATCAAGTCAACTTTAAATCAGTGAAGGGAAAGCTCTATCTACTTTTTGTTCTGTCATTTCAATGAGGTAATTATTAGAGTAGAACTTTATATGTATAAAATTAGACATATAATAATCATCTCTGCTTTTAATGGAATTTTAGTTTTTTTCTGAATATGAAACAATACTATAGAATTATTCCTCATAGTATATATTTAATTATTAATTTTACCTTAGAGTCTTACAAAAAGTAGAATATTTATGAAGAAGAACTAGCCACAAAAAATTTACCTCCATGCCCATTTCTCCAGGAGGTCCAACATCACCTTGCAGTCCTCGCAGTCCCTATATTAAAATAAAATTTAAGATATGAGAATAAAAGTTTACTCTATGTCAGTAAATGTATTCATCTGGATATGGGTTTTATAATATAACACATAACACATGATTATGTAAATACATAATACATTTATCAGCATATTACTTTACTCTGTATAAACAAAATTATATCTTTAATTGATTCATGTATGTGTGTGTGTTTTTGTTTTTGAGACTGAGTTTCACTCTGGTTGCCCAGGCTGAAGTGCAATGGTGCAGTCTCCACTCACTGCAACCTCCGCCTCCCAGGTTCAAGCGATTCTCCTCCCTCTGCCTCCCAAGTAGCTGGGATTACAGGCAATTGCCACCACGCATGGCTAATTTTCATATTTGTAGTAGAGATGGGATTTCACTATGTTGACCAGGCTGGTCATGAACTCCTGACCTCAGGTGATCCACCTGCCTCAGCCTCCCAAAGTGCCGGGATTACAGGCATGAGCCACTGCGCCCAGCTTCATGTGTGTTTTTAAAATAAATTTACTAAGCTATGCTTATATTAAAAAGAAAAGAGTGGCATTCATTCTTTTATTCTTTAATGCACTCATTCATTCAACATTTATTAAGCACCTCATAAGTATCATATATTGTGCTAAGCATTTTGACAAGGTATCTTATCTAATGTATGTGATAGTCATTCATCTACTTAAAATTCCTAGCAAATATGTGACAAACAAATTTGCATCTTAAAGAAGTAAATATATGATCTTTTTTTTTACTGACTGTACAGTTTTACCCCTCAAGAGTGTCATATAGTTGGAATCATACAGCATGTAACCTTTTCATACTGACTTCTTTAACTTAGCAGTATGCATTTAAAGTTCCTTTATACATTTTTGTGGCTTGATAGCTCATTTATTTTTAATGCTGAATAATATTCCATTGTATGGATATACCACAGTTTGTTTATCCATTTATTCATTGGACATTGTTTTAGTTCACTCAGGATTCTATAACAAAATAGTATAAATTAATAGCTTATAAACCACACAAATTTATTTCCCACAGTTCTGGAGGCTGGAAAGTCCAAGATCAAGGTGCTGGCAGATTCAGTGTCTGGTGAAGGCCCACTTGCTGCTTCATAGATGGTGCCTTCTAGTTGTGTCCTCACATGTTAGAAGAAATGAGCTAGCTCTCTCGTGCATCTTTTACAAAGACACTACTCCCAATCATGAGGGCACAGCACCTCAAAGATCCTGCCCTATAATACCATTACCTTGGGAATTGGGATTTCAACATATGAATTTTGGGGAAACACGGTCCAATTATAGCAGACATATTGGTTCATATTGGTTGCTTCAAATTTTTTGCACCTATAAATAAAGCTGCTATAAACATTCTTGTACAGGTTTTTGTGTGGACATAAGTTTTCAACTCATTTGGGTAAACACTAAGGATTGTGATCACTGGATCATATGTTAAGAGTATGCCTAGCTTCTTAAAAAACTGCCATACTGTCTTCCAAATTGGCTGTACCATTTTGCATTCTCACCAGCAATGAATGAGAGCTCCTGTTGCTCCACATCCTTGCCAACCTGTGGCATTATCAAAGTTTTAGATTTCAGCCATTCTAACAGATGTATAGTGGTATGTCATTATTGTTTTAATTTGTAATTTACTAATGACATATGATGTTGAGCATATTTTTACATTCTTCTATGCCATTTCTATATCTTCTTTGGTGTGGTGTCTGTTCAGATTTTTGCCAACATTTTAACTGGTTTTTAAAGAAAATTGTTGAGTTTTAATTTTTTTTTCTATATTTTGGATACAAGTCTTTTATCAGATATATGTTTTGAAAATATTTTCTCCCAGTCTGTGGACTGTCTCTTCATTCTCTTAACAGTGTTTTTTCAAGGCAGATTTAAAAAGATGTTAATGAAGTCCAACTTACCAGTTTTTTCTTTCATGGGTTGTGCTTTTGGTGATATAGCTAAAAACTCATCAACAAACCTCAGGTCACATAGATTTTCTCTATGTTTATATTTTAGGAGTTTTATGGCTTTGTTTTTTACATTTAAGTCTATGATTCATTTTGAGGGTGTGTGTGTGTGTGTGTGTGTGTGTGTGTGTAAGGTGTAAGATCTGCATCTAGATTCACGTTTTGCATGTGGATATCTATTTGTTCCAGCATAATTTGTTGAAAAGACTATCCATTGTATTGCCTTTGCTCCTTTGTCACAGATCACTTGATTTTATTTGTGACTATATGTTGTGTATATTGTGTAGAACAAAGAGTATAACTGTTCTATTTCTGGGCTTACCACTCTGTTCCAATGATCTACAGTCGACACTTAAAACAACATAAGGGTTACAGTGCCAACCTCCTGCAGAGTTAAAAATCTGAGTACAACTTTTGACTCCTCCAAAATGTAACCACTTATAGCCTACTGTTGACTGGATGCCTTACTAATAACATAAGCAGCTGTTTAACACATATTTTATATGTTATATGTATTGTATACTGTATTTTAAAGTAAGCTAGAATAAAGAATACTGTATTCTTAAGTGGAAGTAGAGCATCATCAAGATCTTCATCCTCATTGTCTCCATGCTGAGTAGGCTGAGGAGGTGGAAGAAGGGAAGGGGTTGTTCTCACTGTCTCAGGGGTAGCGGAGGTGAAAGAAAATCCACAAATAAGAGGACCTTTGCAGTTCAAACCCGTGTTGTTCAAGGGTCAATCGTACTTGTCTATTCTTTTGCCAATATCACACTGTCTTGATTACTGTAGTTTTACAGTAAATCTTGAAGTCAGTGTCAGTTCTCCAAGTTTGTTCTTCAATATTGTATTGGCTATTCTGGGTCTTTTGCCTTTCCATAGGAACTTCAGAATCTGTTAATATCTACAATGTAACTTGCTTGGATTTTGATTAGAATTGAATTGACTTGATAGATCCATTTGTGAAGAACTAATATCTCAACAATATTGAGTCTTTCTACCCATAACCATGAAATATCCTTCCATTTATGTAGATCTTTAATTTCTTTGATAAAAGTTTACCTCATATAGATCTTGTATATATTTTGTTAGAGTTACAACTATTTCTTTCTCTCTTTTTTGGTGCTAATGTAAATAGTATTGTGTTTTTCATTTTAAATTCCAATTGCTCATTGCTGTTAATATAGAAAAGCAATTGACTTTTGTATATTAACTTATACCCTGTTATGCTACAATCTCATTATAACTGCTTATTAGTTTCGGGAGTTTAAAAAATCAGTTCTTGAAGATTTTTTACACAGACAGCCATGCCATATACAAAGAAAGACAGTTTTATTTCTTCTTTCCAAATTTGTATACTTTTTCTTTTCTTTTCTTATTGCACTAGCTAGGACTTCCAGAACTATGCTGAATAGGAGTCAAAATTTAACAAAGGAGGAACATGTTTTCCTTATTCCCTTGTTCTTAAAAGAAAAGTATCTAGTTTTCTCACCAGTAAGTATAATGTTGGCTATAAGGTTTTTTAAAAAATATGTTTTTCAAAAAGCTGAGGAAGTGCCCCTTTATTCCAAGTTTGAGAGTTTTTTTTTTATCTTGAATTGTTGTTGGATTTTGTCAAATTATTTTTCTGCATCTTTTCATATTACATTTTCATTTAGCTTATTGAGGTGATGGATTACATTAATTGACATTCTACTGTTAAACCAGCCTTGTATACCTGGAAAAAATTCCACTGGGTTATGATGCATAATTCTGTTTATACATTGTTTGATTCAATTTGCTAATATTTTGTTGAGGATTTTACATCTATGTTCATGAATGATATTGGTCTATAGTTTTCTTGTGATGTGTTTGTCTGGTTTTGTTTTTAAGGTAATGCTCACATAATGGCCTCATGTGTGTGGCCTCACATAATTAGGAAATATTCTATTGTTTCTATTTTCTGGAACAGCTTGTACATAATTGGTATCATATGTTCTTTAAATGTTTAGTTGAATTCACCAATGAGATAACCTGGAACCAGTACTTTCTGTTTTAGAAGGTTATTAGTGATTGATTCTATTTCTTTATCAATACAGGTTGAGGAAGATATTGATGGATATCAAATCAAATCAAATCAAATCAAATCAAACCTATTCAGGTTATCCCTTTCTGTTTATATGAGTTTTGGTAAAATACGTCTTTTAAGGAATTGGTCTATTTCATTTAAGTTATCAAATTTGTGGAAATATTGGGAGGCCGAGGCGGGCCGATCACGAGGTCAGGAGTTTGAGACCAGCCTGACCAACCTGGTGAAACCCCATTTCTACTAAAAATACAAAAAAAAAAAAATTAGCCAGGTGTGGTGGTACGCACCTGTAATCCCAGCTACCCAGGAGGCTGAGGCAGGAGAATCACTTGAACCCAGGAGGTGGAGGTTGCAGTGAGCTGAGATCACGCCACTGCATTCCAGCCTGGGTGACAGAACGAGACTCTGTCTCAAAACAGAAAAAAAAATTTGTGAAAATAGAATTGCTCATAATATCCATTTATTGTCATTTTAATGTTAATGAGATCAGTAGTGATGGCCTCTCTTTCACTTCTGATATTAGTAATTTGTATTTTCTCCTTTTTTTCCCCTTGGTTAGCCTGGCCTGAGGTTGATTAATTTTGGTTGCATTGATGTTCTCTATTGTTTTCCTGTTTTCAATTTCACTGATTTCTGCTGATTTTTATTACTTATTTTCTTCTGCTTACTTTGTATTTAATTTGCTTTTCTTTTATAGTTTCCTAGGATGGAAGCTTAGATTACTAATCTTAAGTATTTCTTCTTTCCTCTTATTCAGTGCTATAAATTTCCCTCTAGGCACTGCATCCCACGAATTTTGACAAACTATATTTTCATTTAGTTCAAAATATTTTTAAATTATTCCTGAAACTCCTTCTTTGACCAATAAGTTATTAAAAGTGTATTATTTAATCTCCAAATGTTTTGGGATTTTCCAGCCATTTTCTGTTACTGTGGTGTGAGAGCAAACATTGTATGATGTCTAGTCTTTTAAATTTGTTGTTGGCCGGGCGCAGTGGCTCACGCTTGTAATCCCAGCACTTTGGGAGGCTGAGGCGGGCGGTTCACGAGGTCAGGAGATCGAGACCACGGTGAAACCCGTCTCTACTAAAAATACAAAAAATTAGCCGGGCATGGTGGCGGGCGCCTGTAGTCCCAGCTACTTGGAGAGGCTGAGGAAGGAGAATGGCGCGAACCCGGGAGGCGGAGCTTGCAGTGAGCCGAGATCGGCCACTGCACTCCAGCCTGGGCGACAGAGCAAGACTCCGTCTCAAAAAACAAAAAACAAAAAACAAAAAACACACGAATAAAAAAATTTGTTAAGGTGTTTTATGGCCCAGAATTTGGTCTATCTTGGTGAGTGTTCCATGTCAGTTTGTGAAGCATGTGCATTCTACTGTTGTTGGATAACATATTTTATAAATGTAAATTAGATCTAGTTGACTTACGGTACTAACTCTCTCTTGACTAATTTTCTGCCTGCTGGGTCTCTCAATTACTGATAGAGGGGTGTTATTGTCTCCAACTATAATAATAGAGTCATCTATTTTTCCTTGAAAATTATCTCAGCATTTGCTTCATGTATTTTGATGCTCCGTCGTCAGGTGCATTAAGTACTGTTATCCTAGCTTGGAGAAATGACCCTGCTATCATTGCACCATGTCTCTCTTTACCCTGACAATTTTCCTTGTTCTGAAGTCTGCTTTCTCTGAAATATAAATATTTCCAGCTTTCCTTTGAATAGCGTTAGCATGGTATACTTTCCTTCATATTTCACATGGATTTCTTGAAGACAACATACAATTGGGTTTTGCTTTCCTATTCACTTTGGCAATCTCTTATTTCTTAAGTGGTATACTTAAACCATTGACATTTAAGTGACTATGATATCATTGAGTTAGTATATATCAACTGTGGACTGCGTTAGTTTTCATTTGTTGTCTTTATTCTTTATTGCTTCTTCTTCTTTCGTCTTCTTCTTCTTCTTTTTAATGTTTTTGGCTTCTCATTTTATTTTATTTTAATTTTTATGTCTATTTCTTTTTTGAGATAGAGTCTCACTCTGTCATCCAGGCTGGAGTGTAGTGGCATGATCTCGGTGCACTGCAAACTCTGCCTCCTGGGTTCAAGAGATTCTCCCACTTCAGCCCCCTGAGTAGCTGGGACTACAGGAGAGTCCCACCATGTCCAACTAATTTTTGCGTTTTTTGGTAGAGATGGGGTTTTACCATGTTGTCCAGGCTGGTCTCAAACTCCTGACCACAAGCAATCTACCTGCCTCGGCCTCCTAAAGTGCTAGGATTATAGGCATGAGCCACTGTGCCCAGTCTGGCCTCTCATTTTAATTAAGCGTTTTATATGATTTCATTTTCTTTCCTGGTTTAGCATACAAACTATACTACTTTTAAAACTTTTTAAAGTGGCCACTCTAGAGTTTGCAATACATATTTACAATTAACCCAAGTCCATTTTCTTTCTTTTTTTAAAAACCCTACAGCACGTGGTATTCCTAGGCCATCTCCAATCCCTGTACTAACCAGTCCTGACCCTGTTTAGCATCCAAGATCAGATGAGATTGAGAACATTCAGGGTGCTATGGCCATTGATCAAGTCCATTTTCAAATAACACTATACCACTTCATGAGTAGTGCCAATACTTTATAACAATTCCTCCCTCTTGTTCCTTATAACATTTGACTTATCCATGAGATACAATACCGAATACACTGTTGCTATTATTATTTTGTACAAATTGTCTGTTAGATCAATTAAGAATTATAAAAATATTTTATTTTACCTTTATTTATTCCTTCGCCAACACTCCTTTCCTAGATGAGTTTCTTACCTATGCCACTTTTCTTCTCTCTGAAGAACTTCTTTTAACATTTCTTGCTGGTCTGCTAGTGACAAATTCTTTAAATTTTTGTTTGAGAAAGACTTTATTTCTCTTTCACTTTGAAATTCCCAGTTTCATAATTCCAAAATGTCTGCTATCCCTGAGTCTGTTTCTGCTTGTCTCTGTAGACTGTTTTTGCCTTTTACCTTGCCTTATAATTTTTTTTGAAAGCCAGACATGATGTAAATGTAAATGAAACCAAGGTGAATAGGCCTTTAATGTGATATTTGATATTATCTGGCTGGGGGTTAGGCTGTGTTTACTGGTTGTTGTAGCTATGGTGTCTCAGGCTAAAATGTCCTCTAATGTCATTGTTTTTTACTCCCCTGTTTTATTTAGCCTTTCTGAGGGACTCTTTAAATAGGGTTTGTGGCACAGTTCCTTTAGCTATAATCTGTTATTGCACAGGAACCCCACTGATTTGATTGTAAGGTATGAGTGTAGGAAGGGCATTCTATAGTTCTACAATTAGGTCTCAGTCTTTTAGTGAGTCTGAATTGGATATTACCCTTCTTCCACATCAAAGGCCAGAGGGGGCTGGAGTGGAATATTTCTCTTCCTCCAGCTGAAGGCTAGAGGGAGGTGAAATTAGGTTTTCCTTTCCCAAAGGTCAGTTAGTCTTTGGTAAAACACCAGTTTATTCTCTGATAAATAATTTCCCTGGAGGGCAAGAACTGTTAAGGAGATCAGAGAATTCTAGGTGTTTTTCAAAATGCTTACTATCCCTCTCCCTCTGCTGGAAGTCAGAGGGAATTTTTCTCTATCTTTAAAGTAAGAACCTGTTAGGGCTCTGGGAGGAAGTAAAACTCAGGAACATGTAGGGGCCTCCCAAAGACTGGGCCCTCTCTGAGTTTTTTAACACTCAAGCTGGTCTACACTGAGTCTCCAGTAATTTGCTAATTATAGTTTAAAGTGTCCCTACTGTCCCGGTGTGGGCTATGTAGTTGCCTGTCTGTCTCTCCATTTTGGGGGCAGTAGTTTGTCTTGTAACCTTAATTCTCTGACAGATCTAAGAAGAGTTGTTGATTTTCAGTATGTCCATCTTTTTTTCTTGTTTTGAGGATGGGAGTGATGACTTCCAAATTCCTTACATTTCATACCAGAAAACACATTTATTTATTTACTTATTTAGAGGCAGAGTCTTGTTCCGTCACCCAGGCTGGAGTGCAGTGGCGCGATCTCGGCTCACTGCAACCTCCGCCTCCCAGGTTCAAGTAATTCTCCTACCTCAGGTTCCTGAGCAGCTGGGATTACAGGCACCCACCACCATGGCTGGCTAATTTTTGTGTGTATATATATATATATATATATTTTTTTTTTAAGTAGAAACTAAATGTTGGCCAGGCTGATCTCAAACTCCTGACCTCAGGTGATCCACCTGCTTTGGCCTCCCAAAGTGCTGGGTTTACAGGTGTGAGCCACCGTGCCCAACTCAGAAAACACTTTACTATTGTCAACCTAAATGACAAAGAGAAAGAGGCTCTCTAAAATAAATAACGAATTTATTTTGGAATAGAGCATTGCAATGGGAATATGCATGCCATAGTAAGCTATGCACATATTCAGGGAGATAAAGGAAGGTAATGGTTTTTAAAGGAAAAATGAGGATTATATAATTGTTTTGAAATGATTATCCTTGGCTAAAAATATCAACAACAATGGTGACACCAGTCCAAGGCTGGACAGGCTGTTGCTGGGCAGATGTCTTTTCAGAAGTATTTTTTGTATATGGGTGCAAATGTCCTTTGGGCAAGGTTGTGATTTTTGCAATTTTTTGTGATAGTTTTTGTTATCAGGCATCTAAGAATGAGAACTCTGTCTTTATGGCCTTCAGCTCTATTTGTCAGGTTTTTCTTTTATTTTCTTAACATCAGTGACTCCATTTTGATTCTGACAACTTTCACATTATGATTTTTAAATCTTTTTTAGGGGGGAGACTGGATTCAGCTAGAAGCCAAATTGTGTTCCACACACAATAACTTTTTTTTTTTTTGAGATGGAATCTCACTCTATCACCCAGGTTGGAGTGCAGTTGTGCGATCTTGGCTTGCCTCCTGGGTTAAAGCAATTCTGCCTCAGCCTCTCGAGTAGCTGGGACTACAGGTGTGCACCACCACATCTGGCTAATCTTTTGTATTTTTAGTAGAGGTGGGGTTTCACTATATTGGTCAGACTGGTCTTGAACTCCTGACCTCAAGTGATCCATCTGCCTCGGCCTCCCAAAGTGCTGGGATTACAGGCGTGAGCCACCGTGCTTGGCCCCCATGCGATGATTTTTAAAGAATCAAAAATGGTTGGCTGGATGTGGTGGCTCACACCTGTAATCCCAGCACTTTGGGAGGCAGAGGCGGGTGGATCACAAGGTCAGGAGATCAAGACCATCCTGGCTAACACGGTGAAATCCTGTCTCTACTAAAAATACAAAAAATTATTGGGGCGTGGTGGCATGCACCTGTAGTCCCAGCTACTCGGGAGGCTGAGGTAGGAGAATCGCTTGAACCTGGGAGGCGGAGGTTGCAGTGAGCCAAGATTGCACCACTGTACTCTAGCCTGGGCGACAGAGCGAGACTCTGTCTTAAAAAAGAAAAAAAAAATGGTTGCTAAATTTTAGACTACTTGCTTTTGTATTTCTCATTATATCTGTGATATATTAATAGATTTCTTAATAACAAACTTTTCCTTGATTGTAATTCTTCCTTTTACTTCATTAAGGTGGATAATTCTTTATATACATGGTTAAATTTTACTTAATTTTTTGTTTAGATTTTTACAATTACATTTGTAAGTGAAATTCATCTGCCACTTTATTTTGGCTGCTCTCTTTGTCTGACTGAGATGCTGATATAGAGTACTCTTATCTTTTGTTTCCGAGACTGTTGCCACTTTATCTTTACAAGTGATCTAATGAGGAACTGAGTGAAGTTTTATTATACACTTTTAGTTAACTTGAGAATCCTGTTAACTATTTTTTGAGGTAAGTGGAAATGACTTCTGGTATCTAAGAAAGAGTAGCTAGAAAATAATATTTTAAAATTTACAAGGGGATATTATAAAGCAAGCTTATGAAGAGTTAATTTTAGAGTACAGCATTCCCCTTGTTCCCTCTTTAAAGTCAGTTTTCAATAATTAACAGATATTAACTATATTTATTTAGGTCAGGAGATTTTTTTTCAACTTGTCTTCTGAAACGGAAGAATAAATGAACAAAATAATAAAAGAGAGAATGGACAAATATCACCATTCTCCTCTTATTGAAGGCGATTGGGTACAGTTGTGCAGGTTGAACACTACATAAACCAAGGGACATTATTTGTTACAAGGTTTGCATTGATTAGACATTTTCTTTCTGTACGTGTGTGATTAAAATCTACATCAGGGGTCAGCAAACTTTTTTTTTTTTTCAAGGGCAAGACAGTAAGTATTTTAGGCTTGTGGGTCATGTGGTCTCTGTCAAAACTTTTAAACTTTGCTGTTATAGTATGAAAGCAGCCATCCATACATAAGGGAATCGTTGTGGCTGTGTTTCAATAAAATTTGATTTACAGAAGTATAACTGGACTGAGGGCTGTAGTTTACCTATCCTACTTTATGCCTACGTACTTCTAAGGGGATCTAATATTATCATGAAGATTTTAAGATGGGTTATGTTTATGGCTGAAACTCCTAACTTACATGTCTGATTTTCCTCTTATTCTCTCAGTTTCTTGTGCAGTTTCAACCTTTTCTGCCAGCGTTTTGTAAATGTTGTAGTTCTTTAAGCCTCAGCCTTAGATCTTTTTCTTTTCTCACTTCTATACTCTTTCCATAGGCAATGAATCCAACATTTTTTAACTTCAGTGTATTCCTCTACTCTGAAGCCAACTGCCAACTTCATGTTTCTCAAAGACACCTGAAATTCAACAGTTAAACTGAATTTATAATCTTCCATTCTCAAACCTACTTTTCCGTGTTTTTTTTTGTTTCAGTGAATAGTATCATCAACTCTTTAATACAATAAGCCAGAAATTTAAGAATTATACTTCACATACAGAGTCTTTATTACCTATTGGTTTTATCTCCTTTTGAATTAGTCTGTCCACTTCTTTTCCCTGCTCATAAAAAAGGTCCTGCCATTTTTTATCTGGATTATTGCAACAGCCAGCCATTCTTGGCTCCCTCCATTTTGTAATTTGACTGATGTTTACAAAATAGATATCAGATAATAAACTAAATAATCTGATAATAAAGCTAGCCCGAGCCCTTTAATAACATCCTTTGTTCTAAGGATAAAAATTAAAAATGTTGGCAATAGCCCTCATAAATCTATGAGTGTTTTGTCACCTGCCTCATTTCTATCCCTATCTGGCACTTACTTATATATACCAGACATTATACCAGGAAAGGGGATTACAAAGATAAAAGAAATGGTCTCTGATTTCAAGCAGTGTACAGACTTTTTAGGGGATATACTTAAGTAAATAATGCTAAAGAGAGTTGCATTATTTTAGGTCAGATAAATATCAGAATTGAAATGGCAGGTTAAGATATACATAATAGGGAGAAAACCAAGAAGGATTTAGCTTAAAAAATCAACAACATATCTAAGATTCTTTATTTGGAAAGAACTATAAATACTGTCAAATCTTCACTTATTGTTTGAGAGCTTATATCACAGATTAAGTATATAAATGAGGAAAAAGCTAAGGTAAGAATAGCTCTTTTAGTGTTAGAATTTTCCATTTGCTACTAACTAAATGAATTATACAAAAGCCACCTGTAAACCTTTGTGTCAACCGATAATAAAATCAATGCAGTTGTTTGAAAGACTATATTGTATTGTACATCTTAGAAGCACATTATAGCACATTACATCTGACACTATTAACCAGAAGAATGACTTCATTGGCAAAAAAGAATAAATTGTAAGAAAGTAGGTGTGACAGGTCTTTCCTTTTCACAACGTACCGTCCATGGAAACTCCATAATTGAATCATATTTATGAAACTATTTCATAATGATTTCATAAGTTTTTGTATTGATGCAAGCTTTTGTACTGTTGATGTAACTGCATTTCTGTCATGTTTGCACATTTTGGCCCATCAGATGTAAAATTTGGCTTCTCTCTGTATGGTCTTCTAATTATAGAAATTGCCTCATAAATGTGATTGTGCGTGTGTGGCAACATAATAATTATAAGAACAGCAAGCCATTCAGAAAGAGAATTTCTGAGATTCAATAAAACAGAGTTTTATTTGTTGAAAATAGAAATATGCTCAGATTTAACAGCTCCAGAAAAACAGCACCATATTTGACTATATGCAACCAGAAAGGCACTATAAACTATTATTTTTCATTCTATGTGATTAGTCTATGGTGTCTATGATAAATGCTGCTTTCTAAAACATACCAGTCACAGCACAGCAGAGCAATAATGGAAATGTAAATGTATTTTATGAGAAAGACACAATTAGAAAAGTATAAAGATAAACTTACTGGCTCTCCTGGAAGTCCTCTGTCACCTGTACTTCCAGGCAATCCCTGTAAACCCTGGACAAATAAAGGCAATACTTGTAGGAAAAGTGGTGTGTGAAGATGTTTTAGACACTTTCCTTACCTTAGCTTTCCTATGGATCCTTCCACCCAACTTTTCTGTCTATTGCTATTCTTTTTTTTTTTTTGCTTTTGTGGTAAGATACACACAACATAAAATTTACTATTTTAACCATTTTTAAATGTAAAGTTTGTGGCAGTAAGTGCATTCACAATGTTGTGTAACCGTTACCAGAACTTTTTCATCTTCCCAAACTGAAACTCTGTACCCATTAAATACTAGCTCCCCATCACCCCTTTTTTTCTATTTCCTGGCAACCACCATTCTATTTTCTGTCTCCATGAATTTGACTACCCTAAGTACCTCATATTAGTGAGATCATACAATATCTGTCTTTCTGTGACTGGCTTATTTCACTTAGCATAATGTCTTCAAGGTTCATCCCTGTTGTAGCATGTGTCAAAACTTCCTGCTTTTTAAGATTGGGTCCACTGTATGCATATTCCACATTTTGTTTACCTATTCATCTATCAAAGAACATGGATCACTTCCAACTTTTGGCTATTGTGAATAATGCGGCTATTAACATGGGTATGCGAGTATCTGTATGAGTCCCTTTTTTCAATTATTTGGGTATCTACCTAGAAGTGGAACTGATAGATCATATGGTAATTCTCTGTTTAACTTCTTGACAAACCACCAAACTGTTTTCCACAGCAGTTCCCCTATTTTATATTTGTACCAGTAATGCACAAGGGTTCTAATTCCTCCACATCCTTGGCCACACAAATTTTCTTTTTTTTTTTTTAGAACAGCATTCTAATGTTTGTGAAATAGTATCCCATGGTGGTTTGATTTTCATTTCCCTAATGACTAGTGATGTTGAGTATCTTTTCATGTGCTTACTGGCCATTTGTATATCTTCTTTGGAGAAATGTCTATTCAAGTCCTTTGCTCATTTTTCCATCAGGTTGTTTTTTTATTCTTGAGTTGTAGGAGTTCTTTATATCTACCCCTATTTTTATTTAATCCTCACTCCTATATTGTGACAAATAATTATCCAAAATTATTTTAAATCTGAATTTCTTTATAGTTTTAATATTCATATAAAGTTTCCTTTTTCCAAAAATAATAATCCTTGTGATGTGTTAATAAGTATGACTTTTGCCTTTAAACCCTGGCAAGGCACAGGAGTCTTGGAACCTAGATAACTGGAAATAACCATACTGGACCTGTAACTTCCTTTTTTCCCCATCTTTACACTCTTTGTAGTACCATAAAAGAGCATCTCAGATATGAAGTAGATAGAACACTAAACCAAATTCTGAGTCTTCTCTGACTCAGTCAAAGATTTATTGAGCATTTACTGTGTGCGAGGCACTGATGACCACTGACAATACATAACATGTTGATCCTTTTGTAAATTGCATCTTTTTTTCTTTTTTTTTTTTGAGACGGAGTCTCATTCTGTCACCCAGACTAGAGTGCAGCAGCATGATCTTGGCTCACTGCAACCTCCACATCCTGGGTTCACGCCGTTCTCCTGCCTCGGCCTCCCGAGTAGCTGGGACTACAGGCGCCCGCCACCACGCCCGGCTAATTTTTTTTTTTTTTTTTTTTGTATTTTTGGTAGAGACAGAGTTTCACCGTGTTAACCAGGATGGTATCAATCTCCTGACCTCGTGATCCACCCGCCTTGGCCTCCCAAAGTGCTGGGATTACAGGCGTGAGCCTCTGCGCCCGGCCGTAAGTTGCATCTTCTACATTATTGATCTCAGGAAAGCTGATAACTATACAGCTAATCACAAATACCATTTTACCTTAAAAACTAAAAGGTATAAAAATATGACATTAAATTAGAAGTAAAGATATTCAAAGTTCTTAGCAACACACTATCTTCTAAGTTATAATCTTTAATGCTATGTTCAGTTTTTCTGGCTAGGGAAAGGGAAATATGTAAAATTATGGACTCCCATCTGGTTGAGGCCCTGTTTCAGTCATGTAAATGATATGGTGCCTATTTACTCCAGGATCCTTAATTAAGAGAGAGGATCATTATAAGGAATCTCTCTGTGCCTAGTACACCAACTGAAATATACAGAAAACTTCAGAACTTTAAATAATGTCTGCCCAATTTTCTTTGTAAAGTATGTTTAGACATAATATCAAGCTTATCATGTACTTTTAATGCTGTTGATACTGCATAAAAGCTCTTTTGCAAAGCTACGAAATAATTTAAGTGGACTCTGTTTTTATTGGGGATAAAGAGGAAAAGCACAAGCTGGAATAAAATAAAAATTATCTTTAAGGCTTTTCAGAACTCCCTTCTCTATGACTTCAACCCAGTAACTATGATAATGATGACCATGAGGATAATAATGACTATTTTGGTTGTTATTTATTAGAGCCTGTGCCAGGAACATAATAAATATCATTTGTTATACATTTATTATGACTATGAAAGATTTCCTATATCAAAGATAGAGAAACTGAAGCCCAGAGAAGTTAAGTAATTTGTACAAAGTCAAGACTGCTAGTAAGTGGCAAAACCAATATATGACTTCCAATATGATTGATTCCAATAAAATATAATGATACATTATATGCAAGGGATTAATTTTATATATATATAACTGTGGACTACTTATCAGAAATACCAGCGGCCAAAAGAAAATGGCAAGTTATCTTTATAGTGCTGAATGAAAACAAAAAATCCCCCAAAAGACTCTGTCAACCTAAAATCTGATATCCGGTGAAAGTATACTTCAAAAGTAAAGGAAAAATAAAGACATTTTATAAACAAAAACTAAGAGAAATATGTACTAGCAGACTTTACTACAAGAAATATAAAGGATGTTCTATAGGTTACAGGAAAATGACACCATTTGGAAACACAAATCTTCAGAAAGGAATGAATAACATCAGAAATGGCAAATATGTGGGTAAATGATAAACATTTTTTCCCCATTAAACATCTCTAAAGTATGTATTTCATTTACATCATGAAAATATTTTATTTATATTAAAGCAAAAATCATAACTTTGCAATGCGTAGTTTAAAATATATGTAGATGTAATACATAAAATAATTATAGCATAAAAAATATTAGTAAATGGACCTATATTGTTGGCAAGTTTCTTACACTTGTGTTAAGTATTTACATAAAATACTTATTTTGTGGCACTTCACAATAAAAGTTTGCTGTCCCTTGACCTAGAATAACCATGGAAAATTATGAGAAGAAATAGAGCTAAAAATCCAACAGACAGATTAAAATAGAATTCTCAAAATTATTCAATGCCAACAGAAGACATTGAACAATAACAATAAAAAGGACACAAAGAAAAACAGATCATTAAATGGGAGACCCAAATCTAACCACATCAATTACGTATCAATAATTACATTAAATTGAAATTGAACAAATGCTCAAATTAAAAGGCAGAAATTGTCAGAATGAATAAAACACAAGGTCCAACTATAAGATATTCACTTTAAATATCAAGACACAGATAGGTTGAAAGTAAATTAAGGAACAAGATATGCCATGTAAGCAGCAAGCATAAGAAAGCTGGAGAAACTTTATGTGAGTATTAATATCAGATAACATATACTTCACAACAAATAGTATTACCAGGAGTAAAAAGTATTACCAGAGATAAACAAGAATATTTTTTAACAAAAAAAGGATCAATTGATCAGGAAGACATAATAATTATAAATGTGAATAAACTTACAATAGAATTTAAAAATACATAAAGAAAAATTAGAAAGAATTAAAGGGAGAAATAGAGAAACACAAAAATTATAGTTGAAGAATTTTTACACCCATCTCACAAACTGATAGACTATCTAGATAAAAAAAACCTCAGTAACGTATGAGTTATGATAGTTTTTATATTATTTAGAGAACCTAAAATAGTGATCCAGGCCTTAACACCTTAATAACACAATGGATTGTGGTCTTTCTTCCTGATTTTCTTTTGAGTCAGATGTATGGGAGGCAAGTATTGTATAGGAAACAGTGTTGGTCCACGGACAAATATACTTTTACTAGTTATCTGGATTACCAGAGCACTATATGTTGCCAGTTTTCATTTAATTCCTGGCTTAAAATTATGAAAATTTAGAGATGGAGAGGGTCTTAGAGCTCTTATCCCAACCATTTTTTAAAATTCATTTTAAAAATAAAAAATATGTATTTTTAGAGATGGGGGTCTCACTACATTGCCCTAGCTGGTCTTGAACTCCCAGGCTCAAGAGATCCTTCTGCCTCTGCCTCCCAAAGTGCTGGGATTACAGGCATGAGCCACCATGCCCAGGCCTAACCAATTTAAACAAAGTTATATGGTTTTTAGGAGCATACACTAGACCAAAGGACAATCTGACCTCGAATTTATCTTTCTAATATACAGCACTGCCTGTTTGTTGATAGTGCATAAATGACTAAAAACGCTAAGACTGTGCTGAAGGATCAAGTGAACCTTTGGGGCTTGTCTGGCTTTTTTCAGTTGACTTTTCCCAGCTTCTCCAAGATGTCAATCCAATCCCATCATGTCAATCCAATCAAGGAGAAGGAGACAATGTAGGTATAGAGCTAAGTAAACCTCAACAACTATTATAAATTCATATTTAATGTCCAACCATGTCATACACTAAGGTAATTTAATTCTTCCAGGAGTCTATGAGACATGTTTGCCAGGTAAGGTTACAAACCAGGGTAAGGTTACAGAATGATTCTAGTATCTTTTATTTAATTGAGAAAGTCAAACATGAAATATCATGTTTATACAGGCATACATTGATGGGCTGAAAATGAAGGTAAAATTCTAGGGAAGGTCAACAATGAATGACCTATATTTTTACCTTTATTTTCAGCTCATCAATGAATACAAAATGAATAAGTAATTTTATTTCTCTGGGTCTCATTTTTTTTTTAAATGAGAGGGATGAACTTGACCTCCAAACTTTTCCACTCACTGCAATGTATCAGCACTGTATAAAGTATATCAAAGTAGTCATAATCTATACAAACACCATTTATATCAATATAATAGAAACTCAGGTGATGAATATTAAAACTCAAGTAATATTCTTTGAGGATAACGTTAATCAATAATACAATGCCACACACAAGTTCTTTCCTAGACATAGTCATTTGTTTTCTGTCTTAGGTCTCTGGTATTTTAGGTTGGATCACTGTTAAATACAATGTTATTGTGGGAAACAGCGGGCAGGGGGCAGCAGATTTCAAAAAGGAACAAGCAAATGCAGTGACATTTACTACATAGACAATTATTAATACTGTAGCGGCTAAAACATTTTTATTCTATCCTTTTCTGTCTCCCGAGCTGCAATCTATTTATATTATCTATTTTTATAACTTTATATTATACATATATGTGTATATAACAAATCAAAATGTCATCATTAAAAATTAAAATTCTGAATGAAAGTAAAAATATCCATATACTTAAGCTTATGTGCTCACATACATGTACTATCTTACATGTCTATGTGTAAGTATGCATGTGTGGGTAAATCTTTAACATTTTTTTCCTCTTACTTAGTGATGATAACCATAGAACTTGTTGCCTCTCAGGGAAAAAAATGTATAATTCTGGTAAGATTTTTGATGGTAGGAAAATAACTAGTATTATAAAATATTAACAACTCTTAAGCAGTGCCATGGGAAGGCATGAAGACACACACAGCTCTATACTCCAAAGGCCTAAAAGGAATTCAAGTTGAGTTAAAAGAAAACTAGGCAAGAGGCCTGAAAAAAGTTAGTTATTATGTTAGCTTTATTAATGTCTCATTATATTTATATGTCACACCATTTTATTTTGAAATGGGTTTTACAGTAAAAGTAATTTATCATAACTAGAGTGAAGTAAAAGTAACAGTTATAACCACCAGTTATGGATAGGTACAACCCAGGCCCAGAATGGGTAAGCAACTTGCTCAAATAAAACAATGACCCAATGATTAAAGGAGAAAAAGAACTTATATTCTTTTAGTCCAACATATTGAATACTAAACAATAGTTGTATTAGAGAATAAAGCAGATAAAGGTAATCAGCTCATAATTTATACATATATCAAAATATCACATTGTATACTGCAAATATATATAATTTTTATGTGTCAAAAAATCCCCCAAACATTGTTTGAGCAGCCCCTTTCCCCCAAAAATGCAGATAAAAATTTTTCATAGCATGATTTTTTAAATTACTTACTGGTTTCCCTTGAAATCCTCTTTCTCCAGGGTTTCCAGTCTTACCCTACATGAGAAAGAAAATTCTTGAGTCAAGTAGTCCCCTCCAAAAAGATTAATCATACTAAGAAAAACAAAAAAGACTTAAAATGTTCATCTTTAATGTGAAATGTTTTATTACTTACAATAAGACCATGAGGCCCTCTTTTTCCTTGATCTCCTTTTTCACCCTAACAAAGTATCAAAGCCAGGTGAGTTAGTAAGAATGTGAATTATGGTCTTACTATGCTAGCATATGCTAGCATACACTCACATACAAAAAAGACAGTAAGTATATAGTTCATTATTGAAAAGAAAACATCTCTGCCTGTGTAGTAAAAACTTTATGCGTTTCATACTTAGACAAAGAGAAAACTTAGAACCATACTTTTGTAGGGAAATATATTGTTTTTTAGACTAGTAGGACATATGATCTCAATAAAATTTAACTACATATGAAATGAGAAAAATCAATGATTACCTTGGCACCTTGTATACCTTGTTCCCCTAAGAGACCATCTGGTCCTCTTGATCCCTAGAGGTGAAAAAAATATCCTGTTGTTAATTTGAAATGTTCCTTTTTTTTTCTTAACAGTTATGTGTCCTCACAGATGAACATGTTGATGATTTTTTTTTTTTGAGACGGAGTCTCACTCTGTCGCCCAGGCTGGAGTGCAGTGGCGCGTCTCGGCTCACTGCAAGCTCCGCCTCCCAGGTTCACGCCATTCTCCTGCCTCAGCCTCCCCCTGAGTAGCTGGGACTACAGGCGCTCGCCACCACGCCTGGCTAATTTTTTTGTATTTTTAGTACAGACGGGGTTTCACTGTGTTAGCCAGGATGGTCTTGATCTCCTGACCTCGTGATCCACCCGCCTCGGCCTCCCACAGTGCTGGGATTACAGGCGTGAGCCACCACCCACCGCGCACGGCCAAGATGTTGATTTTATGCCCTGACAACAGAAAATAATACAGCTGGGTATATGGCTCAACCTATCTGCATGGGAGAATCAGCCCATGTTTTTAAGATTTAATGACAAATAGTAAGTCAAATGAGCACAAAAATAGCTAACACAGTAGTTGAGGTGGTTATAATATAGGTGTGTTATTTGGGTATTTCGTTCACTTTATAATTTACTCAGCAGCCAGCCAGAATTTGTTCTTAATCAACTCTAAATTAAAAGTGGCTGGATTTGTTTCTCTAAGCAGTCTCCTTAAGTTTAATATTTTTAAATGGTGCTCTTCTCTTCACATTATTAGAAAATGATAGCAATGCAGGAACAGAAAACCAAACACCGCATTTTCTCACTTATAAGTGGGAGCTGAATGATGATAACACATGGACACATGGTGAGGAACAACACACACTGGGGCCTGTCAGGGGGCCTCGGGGGAGGGAGTGTATCAGGAAGAATAGCTAATGGATGCTGGGCTTTATAACTAAGTGATGGGATGATCTGTGCAGCAAACCACCATGTCACATGTTTACCTATGTAACAAACCTGCACCTCCTGTACACGTACCCCTGAACTTAAAATAAAAATTGAAGAAAAAAAAAGAAATAAAGTTTAGCTGGAATAAAAAAAAAAAGAAAGAAAGAAAATGAGTGCTGACTGCATTGTACCTGCTATGCAACTGCTTGTCAGGAATTACTGGGAGATGGCAGGGGCACAGAAAAGGTAGAGAAAATACTACTGAAAATATTCGTGTAAATTTAAAACTTCTCAGTGTTCATTCAATAATTAGTTGCAAAAAAGCCGTTGCAAAAGTCATTCTATAAGAAAATGACAGAATAGTCTTCCATTAAATTATAACTTTCTTTGGAAGATCTTAAAGTCCTTGTTCAGGGACTTGATTCAATTCTACAGACTCTAACTGAATACCTGTGGAAAAGGAATTATGTTAAGTGTTACAGTGATTTATAATTGAGAGAAAGTTTCTCTACTATACAAATATACAAAAGACAATAATATACAGAGAGATAAGACATGCCAAGGACCAAAACAAGAATTCAAAGAGGGAGACAAACTTCACATTTGTAATGGGAAATAAAGATATTTTTAGCAGCTGGAGGTCAAGTTCTCATAGACTTATTCAAAATAGAAGAAACTCTACAATGAGGGATAGTATGTGAAAAAAATATAGAGGCATGAAAACAGATACTCAAAGAATAAAAAAGTAGTTTGTTTGGTTAGGCTATTGATTACATGTTGAGAAATATTAAGATGTAAGTGTGGAAAAGAAGACTGGGACTTATAAGGTGAAGGTCTGAAGTTCACTTACAAATAATTTGGCAGAAAACTGATGCTAAAGATTTCTATACAGAACGGTGATACAAATCTCCCAGGACAACATACAGATTTGAAGGAGTCCTTTAGGCTTCAGAATCTTCTCTTGTATCCCATCTGAGATAAGCTTTGGTTTAGCTTTATATTATTAAAAGCTATTTACTATAATAGGACTCTCTTCTTGGGAACTCTTAGGGTAACTGCATTCCTTGATCCTCTGAGGCACATTCAGGGATTTGGACAGAACACACACTTCATGGAGGATCTGTAGCTCCACTGATCCTGATAAAGCCATAGCTCCGGCCCTACAATTTCTAAGTCTATATTCAAGGTACTCCATAATCTATTCCCAACTTTCTTTCTGCTCTATTTTCCAATGAAGGACTGAAAAACTGAACTACAGTCTTACTGTGCAAGACCTTGAAGATCAAGTTGAGGAGCATGGACTTAATTTCATAGATCAGTATTTTTTAACATGTGTTATTCATTCAGCAGATGTATACCGAGTGCCTACTATAAGCCAGCATTGTTTTAGGTCCAGAGGACATGGTAGAGAGAAGAGACAAATCCCTGAATTCATAAACAAGCAAATAAGTACGTAAAACTAAATTATAAAATGAAAATATGTAGTTAAGTATAATGAAGAAAAACAAAGAACTAGAGAGTATCCAAGGTGGGGAGGACTATTTCAGATAGGGTGGCCTGAAAAGTCTCTCTAAAGTGACATGTGGGTAGACACCTAAAAGAGGTAAGATTGCAAGCTATACAAATAATTTGGGGAAGATCACTGTAGCAGAAAAAACAGCAAGTGCAAAGTTCTGATGAGGGGTCATGCTTAGAATATTCAATAATTGAGTAGCCGAAGATGAAAAAAGAACAGTGTTCAAAGGATGACTCAAGTTTTAAGCATGAAGGTCCCTCAGGAATTTGCTCTAATAATCACCCTCAACCCTCAAGATGATCTTGAAATTTTAGCCGTCTCTATTGATTCTTTTTCTCTAGCACCTTCAATGCCTAATTCTTCTCTTTTTGCTCCAAAAGAAACACAGCTAATTTTTTTTTGAGTAACAAAAGAAGAAGGCCAAAAGACTGTGAAAAGGAATGAGTGGTCAACATTCTAAAATACTATAAAAAACAAGTAAGGTCTAAATTGAAAATGTGTCCACTGGTAATTAATTGGGCCCTTAAAACTCCTTTACAACCTAGAATTACTATGTATTTCTTTGATATTTTATTACTGAGTAATTGGTAGAAGATAACAGCATCAATAGAAAACAAATTAGAAATGTAGGTTTGCTTAGGGTGGAGAGGGAGGAGTAGTGGAAGATAAGGAGTTTGACTCTAGATGATCAAGCCCAATGAAGTAGATATCTCCAAGGCTAGTGATAGAGAGTTAGAAAGTTAGAAGTCATTCTAAGTTTACGTGGTGGCAGCCATAAGCATTAAGCTTCAAAAGGCCCCTGGACACATAGTTGTATATTTAGAATTTTATTTAAAAAGATTGTTTGGTCCAAAGATAGAAAATACATTTCATTTCTTGGATAAAATCAGATTAAGTGGCTGCCTAGATACACGTAGAAAAGGCTGCATCTAGCTGGAGTAAGTCTCATAATTAATTGCCAGTTTCTTGTTTGGGCACAGAAATCACCTACTGCCATAGCTGAACTAGTCCAAATCCCACTTTTTAAGATGAAGAAACTGAAGTCTGTAGATGTTAGGTGAGTAGCCTGACTCCCACGATGTCTAACTGTACAAAGACTGAACGACTGTGCTTTATTAAGTTTATAATATTTTTTCAAATGTTAAAAAGAAATGAGGTTAATCCCGTCAGCAAGTGAATTCAGACTGGAAGAGAGGACCTGAAATTTAGAAGTTTACAAAATGAATATTAAACATTCACAAGTAAAGTGCTGATTGGTATTGCAAATCAAGGAACTCCCTCTAAAATTAAGGAATACATATAGTAATAATAACCACTCATTTTATGTTTTACATTTAAAAAATACTTTTACTACTCAAAGCAATCTAGAGATTCAGTGCAATCCCTATCAAAATACCAATGTCATTTTTCACAGAGATAGAAAAAAAATCCTAAGATTCATATGTAACACAAAAAAGAGGCTAAATAGCCAAAGTAATCCTAAGCAGAAAGAATAAAGCTGGAAGCACCACACTACATGACTTTAAAGTACACTACTGGGCTGAGTATGGTGGCTCATACCTGTAATCCAACATTTTGGGAAGCTGAGGAGGGAGGATCACTTGAGCCCAGGAGTTCAAGATCAGCCTGGGTAAGATGGCAAGACCCTGTCTCTACAAAAAATTTAAAAATTAGCCAGGCATGGTGGAATATGCCTGTAGAACCAGCTACTTGGGAGGTTGAGGCAGTGGGATCATGTGAGCCCAGGAATTTGAGGCAGCAATGTGATATGATCGCGTCACTGCACTCCAGCCTGGGTGACAGAGTTACACCCCATCTTTAAAAGATAAAATAAAATAAAATATACTACAAAACTATAGTTACCAAAACAGCATGGTACTAGTATAAAAACAGACACATAGACAAATAGAACAGAAAAGAGAGCCCAGAAATAAATCTACACGTTTATAGCCAGCTGATTTTTGACAAAGGTGCCAAGAGCACACAATGGGGAATGGATGGCCTCTTCAATAAATGATGTTAGGAAAACTGTATATCCAGATGCAGAAGAATTAAACCCTTATTTAGCACCATATACAAAAATCAACCCAAAATGTATTAAAGACTTAAATATGAAGACTTGGAACTATAAAACTTCCAGAAGAAAAAGGGGAAAAGCTCCATGACATTGGTCTGGGCAATAATTTTTGGGTTAAAACCTCAAAAGCACAGGAAACAAAACCAAAAATAGACAAATGGGACTATGGTAAACAAAAAAGCTTCCATACAACATAAGAAACAATCAACAGTGTGAAGAGACAACCTGTTGAATGAGAGAACATATTTGCAAACTATTCATCTGACAAGGAACTATATATCCAGAATACACAAGGAACTCAAACAACTCAGTAGTTAAAAAATAATTCTATTAAAAATTGGGGAAAGAACCTGAGCAGACATTTCTTAAAAGACAGACAAATGGCCAACAGACACATGAAAAAATGCTCAACATCACTAATTATCAGGAAAATGGAAATCAAAACCACAATAAGATATCATCATATCACAGGAAGAATGACTATTATTAAAAAAACAAAAATCAATAGCTATTGGCCAGGATGCACAGCAAAGGGAACTCTTATATGCTGTTGGTGAGAATGTGAATTATTACTAATTCCATAGCCACTATGGAAAAGAGTATGGAGATTTCTCATAAAACTAAAAATGGAGCCTGGGTGTGGTGGCTCATGCCTGTAATCCCAGCACTTTGGGAGGCCAAGGCGGGTGGGATCACCTGAGGTCAGGAGTTTGAGACCAGCCTGGCCAACATGGTGAAACCCCATCTCTACTAAAAATATAAAATTAGCTGGGCATGGTGGCTGAGTAGCCTGTAATCCCAGCTACTCAGGAGTCTGAGACAGGAGAATTGCTTGAACCTGGGAGGCACAGGTTGCAGTGAGCCGAGATCATGCCACTGCATTCCAGCCTGGGCAACAGGGTGAGACAACAGGATGAGACTCCGTCTCAAAAAAAAAAAAAAAAAAAAAAAAAGAACTACCATACAATCCAGGAATCCCACTACTGGGTATTTATCCAAAGGAAAATAAATCACATATCGAAGGGACTTTTGCACCTATGTTTATTGCAGCACTATTCACAATAGCAAAGATATGGAATCAACTAAGTGTCCTTCAATGGACAAATGGATAAATAAAGTGTGGTATATGTACACAATGGAATAATTTGTAGGAACATGGATGGAACTGGAGGTCATTATATTAAGTGAAATAACCCAGGCACAGAAAGACAAATGCCACATGTTCTCACTTGAAGGAATGAAGGACATACCATCCCAAAATATGTCATGAAAACACTGGAGAAATTGTAGTTTCCAAAAGGGTGAGCTGATCTGTCTCCTTCTGCATGCAGCAAGCAATAAAGATCCCTCTGGGAGGGCTACCTTCTCCATACCAGTATGAGAAAATAGCCCTTATCACCAGAGTCTTACAATTGAAGGCTGCAATGGACCTGAATAAACACACTTTAATGAAGTAACTCATATCTTCCACCTGTTTTACACCCCCTCGCCAATATATCTCTTAGTGACTTCCCTAGAAATGTTTACCACTTTAGCTAGATTTTCTTTGTCCTGTCACTTTTTCTCAAATGTATCACTCTTTGTCTAAGAAGTATAAAAGCATCTTGTTTGGGGCACTTCAGACTTCACTCTCTTGTAAAGATCCCCATATACACACAAAACTAATATAATTTGTAACTTGTCTCTTGTTAATCTGCCTGGTGTCAATCTGGTTTCCAGATCCTGCTGAAGAGCCCACTGAGGGCTAAAATGGGGGCTGGAGGTGATCTCTGGCTGCCCTACACACTCATATGTGGGAGCTAAAAAAGTTCATTTCATGGAGGTAGAGAGTAGGACGATAAATACCAAAGGCTGGGAAGGGTGTATGGATGGGAGAGGGAGATAAAGGGAGGTTAGTGGGTACAAACATGCAATGAAATAGAAATAAGTTCTTTTGTTCAATAACAGAGTAGGGTGACTATAGTTAGCAATAATTTATTGTATATTTCAAAATAACCAGAAGAGTGGACTTGAAATGTTCCCAGCACATAGAAATGATAAATGCTAAAGGTAATGAATGAAATACCCTAAATACCCTGACTTGCTTACTATTCATTCTATGCATGTAACAAAATATCACACCCACCCCATAAATACGTACAAATACGTATCAATAAAAAAGAATGCTTCCTTAAAAAAACCCATTACTTAGAAAAATACTTTTACTTTATTATTTCATTTTATAAGTCAAGACAACACAGGGAATGAAGAAAGAGAAGTTCTGTGCCCACAGTGATGATAACCACATTTAGTTTAAAAAACAACCTGAAGGTGTAAGTAATGCAGTTATATTAATTAAAGGTAATAAAGCCTAAAGTTGCTAGTTAAGAGTTTAAGGCTGGCAGAAGAACTCTAGGAAAGCTTGGTACTCTCTCTGTTTAAAGCAAGAGTAAGCTAATTAACTGAAAGCTTAGCTTTATCAACATCTTTAAATTTCACGCTGATATTGGTTATAGAAGTTATCCCATGGGTTACTGTATATGTCTGCTTTGACTTCTAAGACAAAATAAGCTTTACGACAGGCTGTAAGAAAGTCAAATAGCATTATAATAGGCACCTAAATTTGGCATAGTTATATATTAAAATAACCGTTTAAAAATATCTCATGGATATTCTCTTAGAGTAACTATGCTGGCTAAAGAGAAAATCTAATATTTACATTCTTAGGAAAATTAAAGTTGGCTGCACTGAGCTGTATTAGTAAGTTCTCATAGCAGAAATAAAAATTTGATAGCTTAGCTACATAAACTAAGCATGTTTTATAAAATAAATACTGCTTGAATTATGGGCAATAACTAAATTCATAAATGATCAATTTACAGAACCACTACTTCGTATGATGTTAACATTACTCATGTGCCTAACTAATTAGGCCTAGCAGTCTTTTCTGGCTCTTGATTTACACAGCTGAAACAAAACGTTCTATTAAACAAAAACTAACATTATCAGTGATTTTAAGGAAAAAAATATTTTGATTCTATTCTTGTTATAAACTATTTCAGGAGAAGAAACCACAGAGGAGCTCTGCCTTATCATTTGGAGTGCTTCAGGTATTGAATCTAGCTTTGAATCTAAATGCGAAAATTGAGGACTGCTTCCCCCTATATGGTAAGCATTTCCTTGAAAGGGACAAATTTCAGAATTTCTATAGGCAGATCAATTTTACTTCCTCCATAGAAAACCTTAAAACATTACATATTTTTAATAGAGTTATTTTAATCTTTCCCTCCCATTTAAATCTTAAGCAGCATAGTCTGAATAAAAATGCTCAGTTGTATGCCTCTATACTGCCCCTCTAGAGAAAGAGTGCAAACTTAAACATGTCTCATGATCCTTGCCAATTCATAATCAAGAAAAAAGATGAGGTTAACTTCGCTCTGTGTCATCTCTCCTGTTTGGGTAGCTGGACACAGAGGCGTATAATGGAGTAATACCAAGGGATCAGTTGCCTAGTTCTGAAGAGTTCCATGTGCAGCTGATGTTGTGCTGATTTCTAGTGACCCAAGAGGCTAAACCACTATCTTTCTGGTACTGAATTAGAGAATCTGCTAGCTTATATTGTCTACACAAGGGACATGATTTTGTATATTATACTAATTAGCTTTGGTATGTTAAACTATTTCATTTTATTTAATTATTCTTCAGCTAAACATGCAGGTAGAAACAAAGCTTAGAGTATGTAGGATAAATAATAATACTTTAAAGTTTATGCCATGTTTCTTATCTAAGAATCTCTGTAAGAATGATATTTTTAGTCAATCCTGTTATCTTTTTCAGCTATATAAAAGGCAAGGTTACTTATTTCTTGAGATGGTAGGACATTATTATTTGTTTGGGGTTTTCCTGTCCTTTGGAAAAATTTCAATACTGCATGGTACTTCAAAAGCCATCAGACTGTAAAATCTATGCAGTTTAGATGTAAGAGATAATTAAGTCTAGAATCCTCCATGGTATTAATAGTGTTTGACAGGTTGCAGGGAATCAGTAAATGTTAGATAGCTGTAAGGTGGATGGATGGGCAGGAGAGAAGCAGATAGTAAGCAGACTCTTTGGAGTAGTCCTACCCTTCATGATGGTCATATGGCCATATGTTAACAGCATCAATCACAGTCAGAACAGCAAGAGAGTATAACTACCAGTTCCATAATGAAAATTCTCTGTGTGGTCTCTGTGCAAATGTACTTAGGGCAGAGCTTCCCTCCAACATGCTATGACACGTATTTTCCACAAAGAGATTACAGGTATGCTGAAAATAGTGCCCTCCTCAGCCTTTGGGGTGGCAAGGAAAAGCCAGACACAGGAATCTGCAGCTAGGTCCCCTTTTCATTTATCTCAGTAGGCTGGACCAATATTCTCATTTTTTGTGAGTGAAAAACATTGGGAAGAATGGGTCTAGAGTATTGGGATTACAGCCCTAGTGGGGAATGGATTGAAGAGAGAAGAGAGTAAAAATAGGAATATATCAGTGGCTACCAGAAGGGAACTTCCCAATGCTATTTTCTTTCTCAAATATTCTGGTCTTCGGTATGTTTTCTGTATGCCCAATGTCCATTGTTTACCTAAAATAGTAGTTCAGTAAAGAAGGCTCTCTCTCTCTCTCTCCCTCTTTTAAAGCCCTTGTTTCTAAACAAATCTTCCTTGTCTGGATACTGGGTAAAAATTTTAAAAATGATGAGGAGCCATTTCGGGAGAGAATCAGTAAAATGTATTTGAAGGATGTGAGGAAAATAGATCCTTGGGGAGGTAGGAATTGATGACAAAGTGACAAATCAGGAAACAGTAATAGGATCATGGTGAAGTTAGAAAACTGCAGAACAAACGAACTTTCCATATGACTTAATGAGACAGCACAAAGTGGTTTAGGAAAAGACTGTGCTTAGATACACAGCTTGTGCTTAAGGACTCAAATTACTTAATTAACAAAAGGAACAAGTAAGTATTTCTTCTTTTTTTCATCTGTCACAAATTGGTTGAACTTTCCCATTATGACTTATACAAAGTTGAATAAACACATTTGACCTAACTAAATATTGAATGCTGGCAGGGTACTAACCACTAAATGGCAGTTTGGGTACAAATCATCTATCATCATTTTTTATTTTATTTTAAATCTCATTTGGGCTAATATATTAGAGATGTGACCATAGAGTATAAATCTGTAACCCAGGAAGGAAAATAGTTTTTCAGAAAGGAAACATTAATAAAGGCAAATCTGCTCTCTTTCTTCAAGCTTCACCGAAAACACAGGATATGACTTTGAAGTCATTACTTCAAACTGGGAATTCATTAACAATTTTCTCCCATTTGCCAACTGGAAAACTGCAAGGTCTTTTTTTTTTTTTACCATGGTTAGGTAGAGGATATTTTTAGAATTTTAAAATATTTTCTTCATAAGCTCTAAAACTTAAATCAAAGTAAGGTCAAGGCATAACACAGAATCCTTAAAGCCCACATATCCAAATTAATTTAAAAAATACTCCCTGATATTCCATATGGTATTGAATAGCATGGGCTTTGGAGTCAGACACACTAAGGTTTGAATACTGCTTGTGCCATTTCTGTGTGTCTATAGAGGCCGTATACTTAAACTTTGAGAGCCCTGGTTCCCTCAACTATAATAGCTAAGATATAATATTTTTCTCTCTCTAGTGGTTTTGAGTATTGAGATAATATATGAAAGAGTGCCTGGCATGTGACAGGCATGCAATAAATAGTGGCTCTTATTTCTTTAAAAAGGATTTAATGTTTAAGATACAACTTAAAGAGATGAAGATTTATTATTTAATTCTGTATACATGATTATTAGACAATGATGATTATAATAACTTTGATTTACAATTAATAAGCTCTTATTCATCTTGTGTATCTTTGTTCCACTTCTTATTGCTTTTATTTTGTCATGATGTTATTTTTCCTTGCTATGTAAGTCTGTAGAGAAATAATTCATTTAAAGATCTTCACATTTACCATTCTCTCAAAGAATGGAATTGGAGGCTGGGAATAAGAAACAAGAATTCTATATGAGTTAGTGATACATGTAAAAATTAAAATGGAAAAATGTGATTTTATAACTACAAAAGATTATGAGTTGTATTTCAATTAACATAGGGCATTCATCTAATATAATGAAAATAGAAAAAACCTGACAAGATCTAAGCAGAATTCTAGAAGGTATGATGCTATTTTTGTTGCACATTTTCCACTATTTATGAAGTAATTTTGGGGGGGTTAATGTACTTTTTTCCTTAGATTACTTACTCTTTGTCCTTTAGGACCTTGACTCCCAGGTGGTCCTCTTGCCCCCACATGACCCTATATGTTGTAAATTTAAAGTCAGTTGTAGAATTTACAAGAATACTATCAGAATAATAGCCATAATCTTTCTTATAACATATATCCTTCTCCCAGGACATTTTTACAATTGATTAGTCTTCCTTAAAAATATGCTTTAATCACACTGCCCTCTACCAATATTCTGCTTTTGAAATATTCTACTATTTGGACAAATTTAATGTCTGGGTGTTTACACCCTGAATAAAAAATGGAGAAGCTTTTAATATTCACTGACCAAGTCGTTTTCAGAAGGAACACATATGGAGTGATGGAGGAAGGAGATATCCATTGAGCTAGACAGACCGGTCTAATCTGCCTGGCCCATCAAAAAAGCAATGGCTATCATGGTAATATTTCTTTACTATTATTCTAGATATTTATGCCAATCCCATCACATAAAAATAGTTTTTTTGTTATAAAAATGCCACAAAATGTTCCAAATTACTATGCTATAAAAATAGCCTGCAATGGAGATTAAGTTGCTATTTATTATTAAGTCAATTATAATGAATTATTTTTATAGCTATAGTCTTTAATTAAGACTCAACTGGAAAACAAAATTTATTTATCTATTAACCCAAGGTAGATAAAAATGAAGTAAACTTTAGTATTTCAAATTTATTTATTATTTTATGTGACTAAAGATATTAGTAACTGTTCTTGAGACTACTCTTCCTAATTTTAAAAGCCAACAACATATTTGCAAATATACTAGAAAATTGGGCTTATTTTTAAAACAGAAGCTTCACAAATAATAAAAGTCTTCACTGATAAGAAAAGTTCTGCTCAGGGGATCCTAAAGGCCGATCTTGTTCATATTTTAAGTTCATAATAGCTGTCAGATTCTGATAAGCAAAATTAATTTAGGGGAAACACTTCATCATCTTTTTGTAAACAAATGGAATATTTTCAATACTACAATTTTTGTTTAATAAATACATATTTTTATGAATTTTATCTGGTTGTGATAATATTTACAAATTTCTGAGAAAAATATGTTGAAGCTTACACTTGTAATTTATTTATCCAATTGGTCTCACTTCTAATCTTAATAATCCTGTTTCCTTATATGTGGTTATTCAAAAGAAACTTCAAAGCATTTTAGTTTAGGTTGCAGAACTGAAATTGATTGTATACCAAGTAGAGGTGAGGCAGTTCAAGATATCATGACAAATTCAAGAGTGTTTTGTATAGTTGGGAGAGAAGCAGTCTCCACTAGTTTACACATGACTTACTTTGAATAAAAACCAACAATAAAGCATAACAATTTATGAGTTTAAATTAAAGTAAACATTCCGGAAGGAATCATAAAGTCTTTCCTGTACTTACAGGTAATCCCAATGGACCGATAGGTCCTGGAACCCCAGGAGGACCTGGATATCCCTATAATTTAAGGAAAATATAAAAGAAGTAAAATATTCATGACTTTAAATTATTTTCATTGAAGACAAGCCAGTAAATTATAAACAATAATAAAAAGGGATAATTTGACACAATGTTTCTTTTGTAACCAAGATATGAAAGGCCACAGGAAATATTCTGCAGATAGACCATAGAAATAAAAAAAAATTTTCTGTAGTTTTATTTACATAGAAACTATATATCCATTTATTAGAAGGTTTTTGCCTAGAGAAGAAAATTGCTAGCTAGAATCACATACTACAGCCTATTTATAAGAGAACATTCATTTCATTTTTCTGAAGATCATGTTATCTTATCCATGGATATATGTTGTGTTATATAGGTTATGAAACTATATCCTTTTCGGAGAGGTCCAGGAGCTCTCTAATTAAGCAATGTAAATGTGTACAAATATTCTAGCATTTCAAACTTTAGAAGGACCACACACTTTATGGTATTAACACTGATTCAAAAAATGCGTTAGGAGGTAATGATTCTTGAAGTTGATTAGTCTTACAGGCATGCTAAATTTCCTAGCTGACAGCAACTGGAAATTGCATAGCTTAAAAAACAAAACAAAACAAAACACTTATAGGACTTTTCTGATAATATAGAAGTTAGTTAAAATCAATTTGTAGACAGTATTATGTGCCACCAGATCCATTACAAGGCATTTTCTGTATGGAATATCCTTTTATTGATAATAATTATTCACTCCAGTTCCTGCCATACTTAGAAAACTATTTAGTAAGTTAAAAAGATGTAACCCAAATATAAAATTTGTCAGCTATTTCCTATATTAAAAGTGTAAGAGAATAAGATGAATTCTGGATTCTAAGCTCTCATATGTCAAAAAACTACATCATGACCACAAACTCATGGAAGAATGGCAGTGCTGATATGTGTCATATCAACAATAGGCTGTAGAAGAATAAGTAGAACTCTAATTTTAAAAGGTGAAAGATTTATACAATCCGAAGAGAAATCACAGTATGTAGAATTCTAATTGAATTTTCTTCTTTATCTTTTTTAGCAAATTGTGGTGGTCAAATTCCTTTCCTAAAACTAGAATCATTTGACTAAGCCATCTCATTTACATGCTTTTGAGTACCTTAGTATCACATAGCATTCTGGGAGATAAACCATTTAAAAATAAAATTCTATGGGAAATTTAACATTTTTTACTCAGTTAAATTCCAGCCCAGGCAATTCCATCTCTGGAACGACTTGCTTTTATTGCATTCTTTGGAAACATATTTTTCAAATCACTGAGCTCTTACCATAACACCTTTTTCTCCCTGCGGACCTAGTGGGCCTGGACTTCCACGTTCTCCCTTTTAAGAGAACAAAGAAAAAAGAGTAACATAGAGGCATATTAATTAGTCATGACTGAGCTAAGCCTAGAAAGAAAAACTGTCATCCAGAATCATGTCTTACATGCATACATCATTTTTATTTCCAATAATTTTTAAATTTACAAATTTGGCGCTTTATCTTAAAATTATTAGACTTTTAATAAAATAGAATTATCTTAAGATGTTTTTTGGAGAAAAATATTAAAGTCCTTATTAAAATGAAGAAAATAGAAATTATGGATAAACAAGACTTAAAAGTGAGCACACATCATATGTTAAAGTTTTGTAAGAAATGCTTACTATTTTATGAGACATACAAAATATGAGAATAGTGAAAGTATCAAAGCATATTAAAATGTAACAAATCTGTGTAACCATTTAAGAAAATTTTATTTTATAGTCTGCCTACCACAATTAAGTGCCATAAGAAATAAGTCTGGAAGATCATGATAATCAAATCTGTCATAGCAGCTTAAAAAGACTAAACTGATTCACATTAAAATTCTCAAGAGTATCAACATTTTAGTACAGAAGATTTAACTCAGCACAGAAATAACTAATTGGGTGAAAAAAATTATAATGCAAAATTTTTTAACTGCACTCATTTTGTTACATTGTTAGTAAAAAATCAATAAGTATATATTAAGTATGTAGTATTTAAGTAATTGAGAATGTAGTACATGAGAGTTAGAAGAGATATTTAAAAAACTAAACTTAGATTCTACCCTCAGTAACTGCAGACACTGCAGACATGATATTAACAGAGATGAAACAACCAGAGAGTAAGTAAATTTTGACTATGTGGTACTATTCTAAGTCCAAGAAGTGAAGAAATTAGGAAGGATGAGAGGAGTCTGTGGACTTCATAGAGGAGATGGGAATTCAGCTGAGTCCAACAGTTTGGTTTTGAAGAAACAGAGGGAAGGAGAGAGGATATTTTAGTTCAAGAAAATAGTAAGAATGGAAATAGGAACAAGCTCAAGCACAAGATGGGGAGAGAGAAAGGTAAAATGGTAACTTATTCTTCTTTTTCAAAAACTGCTTTCTTTCAAGCCTCTCATAGAAGGCTTGCTCTCATGAAGTCGATTTACATAATATTTTCTAGTCAGAAATCTAGACTGTTCCATCTTTTCTCTTCAGATCACATCTTTATAATCAAAAGGGTACTCTGCCCTTTAAAAATTAGAAACCTACATGCTGTTAGCTATATTTCAATATATTTAAGATATTCAGTATAGGTAATGTGCTAAAGTTATAAGTGATTTCTAATTAACATAAAAGATCATATGAAAGTCTGCCTTTTGAATTTAGCCTAGATTTCTTCCTATAAAACAAAATAATTCTTAAAAAATTACCTTTTCGCCAATGCTTCCAGTCATCCCAACTTCTCCAGGTAAGCCAACAGGTCCCTTTTAGGAAAAAAAAATAACAGAAAATACACACATATTGTATTGCTATTGTAGTGCCTGGGTCTTAAATCACCTGTAATCACTATGTTTCTTTCTAACTTATCCTAAATGTTATCTTGGAGTAAAATTCCTCCTTGTATAGCTATGCAGTCTGTGACTTCATATCAGAATTAATTTATTCAGTCAGTCAACAAAAATATATCAGTGCCTAAAATATAACAGGCACTACGCTGGGAGGCAATGAGTTTCAAATCCACAGTCGCTGTCCATGTGGAACTGACATGCTACTAGATTTTATAAAACCCCTGACGTTTTCATACCTGTTTGATGTGGATATATTCGTTTAAGAAATCATTTCTGTAACTACCTTTTTTGAAAGCCCCTCAATACACAAGCGGACAGAACATGCCTATCATTCATTCATCCACTCAAGAAATATTTGGTGCCTACTCTGTGCCAGGCACTGTGATGGTTGCTAAGATTTCATTACTGAGGAAGACAAATCTAGACCCTGCCCTCTTGAGGCAAAAAGTCTCATAACAGGGAGACAAAAGCAACTAAATTAAAAGTTAAATAATTATAAATTCTGACATAAGCTCATAAAGGAAACAATAATATTGCTGAAGAGGAGAATAAAAGAGAAGACCTATTTTAGCACAGATGGTCAGGGAAGACTGAGGCCTGACATTTAATATGAAATCTGAATAATAATAAGAGGCCAGCCAGCCAAAGAAGGGAGGAAGAATATTCTAGGTAGAGTAAATAGCTTGAGTAAGGAATGAATTTGATTTGCTAGAAGATGTTAAAGAAGGTAATCAGTTACACCATTTCAGAGTGAACACGTCTCAGGGTTTTTCCATCTTTGTCTTTACGGATTCTCAATTATTTCTCCTTCAAACAGTACAGAAAGCAAAAAGAATAACACAGAACAAGCTTGACAAGAACATAATCTCTTTCTTGTCTTAAATCATAAGCAGTTACTTTCTACTTTTATTTAAAGACAAATGAAACTTTTTTCAATAGCTACCATGCAAAGACCTTGTTTAGATAGATTCTCATACGATAGTATACATTAGCATACAGAAAGCACTGACTCATGAAAAATGACTTGTCATTTATCTAATGCATTGAGCATGATTTTACCCTTACAGATCTCTATCTATCTAATGATCCCATATATATAACATATATTAAGTGTTTTCTATGTGCCTGATTTAATCTTCACAACCAGCAGATATAGTATTATCATCATTCCCCTTTGACAGATGAGGCAGATGAATTAAACAGTTTGCTGACACAGATGAGGTTAAATGGTATGGATGAGTTTAAGTGGCTATTGAGCACTTGAAATGTGGTTAGTGCAAATTGACACATACTGTAAATGTAAAAGACACCAGATTTTGAAGACTTATAGAAAGAATGTAAAATAGCTAACTAATGATTGCTTACATCGATTACGTATTAAAATGATACTGATTTGATATATTGGTGTAAATGAAATATTACTAAAATCAGTTCACCTCTTTCTTTTTATCTTTTTTAATGTGGCTACTAGAAAATTTAAAATTATATATGTGGCTTATAATTTTGACTTGCATTGTATGTCTATTGGACAGCCCTGATGTATACTTTTAGGCACTATGCTAATATTATTGCTTAAATCTAGTTGGAAGTGATTTAATAATTTGTTTCTGTGGTTTTTAAGTGTAAGAGACTGAACACTTTCATTCTGAGACAATCTATTATCAATGTTCATGTGCATGGAATTCACTGGTCTCACTGTGTTCTCCACCATTCTGAGACAGCTGGTTTGATAAAACGGTGAAATGGCATTTTTAAGACTCAGTTACAAGGCCAGCTAGGTGACAATACTTTGCAGGGTTGGGGCAAGACTTTCCAGAAGGCTATATATGCTCTGAATCAGTGTCCAATATATGGTGCTGTTTCTCCTATAACTAGTATTTTGGGGTCCAGGAATCAAGGGGTGGAAATGGGAGTGGTACTACTCACTATTACCCCTAGTCATCCACTAGAAAATTTTTTGTTTCTGCCCATGCTCTGCTGGACTAAAGGTCTTAGTTCCAGAGGGAGGAATGCTTCCACCAGGAGACACAACGATGATTCCACTGAACTAGAAGTTAAGACTGCCATCCGGCCACTTTGGGCTTCTTATGCCCCTGAATCAACAGCCAAAGAAGGGAGTTACTGTGTTGGCTATGTTGCTTAATTCTGCCTTCCATAGGGAAATGGGACCTTCACAATGGAGGTAAGGAAGAGTGTGAATAAAATACAGGAGATCCCTTAGGATACGTCTTAATATCACCATGCTCTGTGATTAAGGTCAATGGAAAATTACAACAACCCAGTTCAGGCAGGACTACTTACTAGTGACCCAAATTCTTCCGGAATGAAGGTTTGGGTCACCCCATGTCTTAGTCCATCCAGGCTACTATAACAAAAATATTGTAGGCTGGGTGACTTTAACAACAAATATTTATTTCCCACAGTGTTGGAGGCTTAGAAGTCTAAGATCAAGGCACCAGTAGATTCAGTATCTAGTGAGGGCCTGCTCCCTGGTTCATAGATGGCAGAGCCCTCATGACCTAATCATCTCCCAAGGTCTACACCACCTCATACCTTACATTGGTCATTAGAATTTCAACATATGAATTTTGCAGAGGATAAAAACATTCAGTTCATAATACCCCACCAAGTACAGATCCCAACTAGCTGAGGTGCTTGCTGATGGCAAACGGAATAAAGAATGGGTAGCGGAGAAGGTAGTTTTAAATACCTGCTATGGCCATGTGACCAGTTACAGAAACGAAGACTATAATTGTCATGAGTATTTCATCGTTATTTTGTCATGAATGTGTGTGTGTGTGTGTGTGTGTGTGTGTGTGTGTGTGTGCAGCAAATATCTTTGGTTCTTTTCTTCTCATTTCTTTTTTTCTTTTCTTTTTTTTTTTTTTCTTGAGATGGAGTCTCACTCTGTCACCCAGCTTGGAGTGCAATGGCGCGATCCTGGCTCACAGCAACCTCTGCCTCCTGGCTTCAAGCGATTCTCCTGCCTCAGCCTCCTGAATGGCTGGGATTACAGGCGTGCACCACCATGCCTGATTAAATTTGGTATTTTCAGTAGAGACAGGGTTTCACCATTTTGGACAGGCTGGTCTTGAACTCTTGACCTCAAGTGATCTGCCCACCTTGGCCTCCCAAAGTATTGGGATTACAGGTGTAAGCCACTGCTCCTGCCCTCTCATTTCTTTATCATATAACATAAGACGTATTGACCTTATAACAGTATCTAAGTATGGTTAATTTTACATCATAGTATTTAAGTTACAGGTTATAAAGGAGAAGAGTAAACATCACTCAAGGACTTTACATCCTCTTCTGGAAAAGAGGTTAGTGAGTTTTTGGTTACATGCAGGATAATGATATCATGTTAGGCAGAATTATGATCTTATTATTGTCTTTATTTGAAGGTTAAGTATGGTTTAAAGAGATGCATTTGGGGGCAAACTTGACAATGGGGAGGGCTGTCACGGTTAATTTTATGTGTCAAGGTCACTGGGTTACAGAGTGCTCAGATATTTGGCTAAACATTATTTCTGAGTGTATGTTGTTTCTAGGTGAGATTAACATTTAAATAGGTAAACTGACTAAAGCAGATTGCCTTTCCCAATGTGGGTGGGCACTGTCCAATCTGTTGAGGATCTGAATAAAACAAAAAGGCAAAGGAAAGGAAACTTTTCTCTCCATCTGACTGCTTAGGCTGGGACATTAGTCTTCTCCTGCCTTTGAACTAGGACAGCATTGACTCCTAGTTCTCAGGCCTTTGGACTTGGAGTAGAATTTAAATAATCAGTGCTGTAGGTCTCAGGCCTGTGGACTCTGATAGAACTTACACTGTCAATTCTTGTGGTTCTCAGGCCTTTGAACTCGGACTGGAACTATACTGGATTTCTAGGATCTCCTGTTTGTGGATGGAAGACTGTGAGATTTTTTTTTAGCCCCCCACAATCATGTGAGCCAATTCTTTATAATAAATCAATCTATCTATATCTATATCCTGTTGGTTCTGTTTCTCTGGAAAACCCTAACTAATGCTGTCAATCAAATCTGAGCAGGAAAAATGAAATAGAGCTATCTGTTGTGAGACAGTAAACAAAATAACAGAAACTGAACACAGACTAGTCAAACTATTCGGAAAAAATCATTTTTCTTTTTGAGACAGAGTCTCGCTGTGTCGCCTGGGCTGGAGTGCAGTGGTATGATCTTGGTTCACTGCAACTTCAGCCTCCTGGGTTCATGCAATTCTCCTGCCTCAGCCTCCTGAGTAGCTGGGACTACAGGCACAGAGCACCGTGCCCGGCTAATTTTTTGTTTTTGTTTTTAGCAGAGATGGGGTTTCACCATGTTGGCCAGGCTAGTCTCGAACTCCAGACTTCAAGTGATCCACCCGCCTTGGCCTCCCAAAGTGATAAATCCTTTTTCTAAGACATATGATCTAGGGGAGTGAATGCAGTAGGCTCGTTTAGCTTATCCCATGTGCACCAGAACAATATAACCTACAAATGTATTCTGCTTAGCCTATAGCATTTACTAAACTGAACTAGGTAAAAACATTTAAAAATCTGGAGATTTTACATATAAATACTTTATATATAAAGATTTATAAAATTATTAGCTTCAGATGACCTAGCAAATGTAGACAAACTTTCTCAAAGGCAAATATTGGACAGAACTAAGTAACTGTTGTACTGTTGAGATCCAGATGCACTCTTTACTTTGCTATTCCCTATTGTCTCTTATACATGGCCCATTTTACTTATTTATACTATCTGCCTGGTCCCAATAGGGCATCTGAGTTTTTTACTTCATGTAAGTATTAAAAGGTGCAGTCAGTCAAAAGGGCATAATTGGAAGATAGAGGTTCTCACTAAAAAGTAGATAGTTCACAGGGTTCCGGCCATGCCCATGGATATCTTTAATAAAACTTAAAGTTGGAGAACATAAATTAAAAATGGTTTCCTTGCAGCCTAGGCAACATAGGGAGATCACATCTCTATAAATAATCTATACATAATAATAATAAAATTAGCTGGGTGTGGCAACATGTTCCTGTAGTCCCAGCTACTCATGAAGCTGAGGTGTGAGGATCGCTTGGACTCAGGAGGTCAAGGTTGCAGTAAGCCTGAGTGACAGAGCAAGACCCTGTCTCCAAAATACATAAAAAGAAAAACGTACTATTTCAGTACCTTAAAAAGTCTAACCAAAACATATGTCAAATCTGATAATACCACAAGTGTTGGCTAGAATGTAAGGAAAGAAGAACTCATACATACACAGCAGGAAATAGCAGGAAATAGTATAAATTGGTACAATCACTTTGGAGAACAATTTATTATATATAGTAAAATTGAAGATGCCCCTAACTTACAACTCAGCACTTCTAGTTGTTCACATGGAATTCTACTTTCACATGTATGTACTAGGAGACATATAGAAAGACGTTCATTGCTGTATTATTTAAGTACAAAAGTAGAATCATCGGCATTATCAGTATGGACACAGATTAACTAAAATGCATTCATACAATAAAGAAAACTCTTGAATGACCAATACTGAGAAATAAACAGAAAACCTCAACACCAGCTAAAATTAATAGACCAGATCTATATGTATCAACATGGATAAACATTTTAGGAATATAATGTTGACTGAGAAAACAGCATAAATCCTTTTCAAAAGGATACATCATTATGTGTTTTGTGCAAAATTTTAAAACGCATACAATAATCTAATTTCTTACTGGCAGAAGACACATGGGAATTATACACACAACTTTAGGATAAGGGCTAATGTCTGTATATAGAGTAGTGGCTCATTATTTTTTTATTTTGAATTTCTCTGATAACTAGTTTCTCTGAGTCTGAACTTCTCTTCATTTATGTGTTCATGTTTTGGACTTTTTCTGCTTAGTTCTTATCCATGTCCTTTGCTCAACTTATTTTTTCCCATTAAGATTTCCTAAATTTTCTTGATGATTTTCAGGAATTTTTATATATTTGAAGTATAAACTTCTTATTGGTTTTATTTTATTTTATTTATTCATGTTTTGGGCTTTTTCTGTGTAATTCTTTTCCATGTCTTTGCTCAATTTATTTTTTCCCATTAAGATTTCCTATATTTTCTTGATGATTTTCAGGAATTTTTATATATTTAAAGTATAAACTTCTTATTGGTTTTATTTATTTATTTATTTATTTGAGATGGAGTCTTGCTCTGTCGCCCAGGCTGGAGTGCAGTGGCATGATCTCTGCTCATTGTAACCTTTGCCTCCCAGGTTCAGCTTGATCCTGCCACCTCAGCCTCCTACCTCAGCCTCCTGAGCAGCTGGGACTACAGGCATGCACCACGACGCCCAGCTAATTTTTTTGTAGTTTTTAGTAGAGACGGGGTTCCACCATGTTGGCCAAGCTGGTCTCGAACTCCTGACCTCAGGTGATCTGCCCGCCTTGGCCTTCCAAAGTGCTGGGATTACAGGCATGAGATACCGTGCCCAAACCTTATTGGTTTTAGATGTTCTAAATTCCTTCTTGTGATAAATCACCTGTGAAATTATTTTTGATATCTTTCATTGACAAGAAGTCCTTAATTTTTATGTGGCCATATCCAGTGTGGTTTTTGTTTTTTTTTTTGGCCTTATGATTTGTATTTTCTGGATCTTGTTTAAGAAAGCTTTCCTTATTTCTATGTCATTAAATAATGGGCATTCTTTTCTATTGCTGTTAACTTTTCTATCTAGAAAAGTTTCTTTAATCCATCTGGAGTTCAATTTTCACGTGGTATAAGATAGGGATCCAGTTTTAATTTTTTGCATACAGGGACCCAGTTTTCCAAATGCTATATATTCAGCACTATTTCTTACCCACCTATTGGTTTATGGTGCCATTCTTGTCTTATACATGGCTTATTTCTAAGCTTTCTAGTCTATCTTATGATGATTTGTCTGTTTTTCTCCCTTTGCAAATTTCTCTCACTCCATTTTTCTAATGTTTTTATGGTTGTCTCTACTACAGACTGAAAATAAGCATGCCAACAAAGGTTTATATCAGTGGTAAGGAATGTGAACATACAGGCTTTAAATCTATTCAGTCTTTAAGTCTATATTACTCTTTGAAACTGTGTACACACTTGGAAATAATAGATGAATTAGACAAAGGTATTTAAAGCTGAGGTCTGCCAAATTTCATGGAATCTAAGATATCATGGATTGTAAGATACACCAATATTTTTTAAATCTCTGAATAGAGAAAAAAATCTCCCAAGCAATTGTAATTTACCACTGATCATGAGAAATATCTCAATTTTTAAAATGTGAAAATGTGAAAAGAAAAAATGGTATAGCAGATTGTTTTACTGTTTGAAATATTCACTGCTCCTTTCTGTGGAAGGATTATACCTCCCTATGCTACTGATGTCAGACTTGGCCATATAATTTGGAGTGCCCGTCACCATGGGAGGAATATACCCCTGCATCTTATTAATGTCATTCTTCTCTATGTAACTTCAAATAAATAGAAAGTGATATGTACCACTTTTTTTTTAAGTCAGTTTCTTTTTTCCTTTTGCCATGAGACTAAACATGTTCCACACAGGCACTGCTCCTTAAGCCTGAGTCTCCGAATGCAGATAACATGTAACAGAGTCACAGCCAACCCACAGTGTATAGAGTGCAAGTAAGAAATAAACTTTTATTATTGTAAACCACTAATATATTCAGGCTGTTTCTTTCTGCAGCATAATTTAGCCTAAACTGACTGATGCAATATGTCCTTTTAAGCTGATATGACATGGCAATTATTAACAGGAGAAGCATGTGGTTTTCTCTAATTTTATCCCAAGTGCTAATGACCCTAAGAGATAGATGGAGCCACAAGAAAGAGGGGGCCTGGGCCAGGCATGGTGGCTCATGCCTGTAATCCCAGCACTTTGGGAGGTTAAGGCAGGAGGATTGCTTGAAGCCAGGAGTTCAAGACCAGCCTGGGCAACAAAGTGAGACCCTGTCTCTACAAAAAAGAAAAATTAAAAATTAGCTAGGTTTGGTGGCCCGTGTCTGTAGTCCCAGCTACTCAGAAGACTGAGGCGGGAGGCTTGAGCCCAGGAGTTGGAGGCTGCAGTGGAGCAATGATTGCATCACTGCACTCCAGTCTGGGTGACACAGTGAGACCCTGTCTCTTAAAAAATAAAAACAACAACAACAAAAACCAAGAGAGAGCACCTGGTTTTCTTAATCAACTTGTAGGGGAGAGCTACTTAGGAACACCTTCACCAGACAATTAACATGGGCAAAAATAACTTTCTGTTGTGTTAAAACAACATAAAATATTTAGGTTTACTTATTATGGCAGTTAGTGTTATCCTAAAAATACAGTGAATTTACGTATTAACATAAAATTGAAAAACTGTGAAATCTAACTCAATTAGTTTATTTGAAAGTTAATCTCACAGAAAGTGCACTGAATCAATTTCCAGTTTAGTACAGTTGCAAATCAATTTCTTCAATAAATGCAAAATGAGGTGAAGAAAATAAAATTAAGCATATTTATTTGTTCATGTAACAGATCCTGTGCTAAGATTTAGCTGGAGAGGATATAGAGATGAGTAAAATATACTAAGGAGTTCAAAATCCAGTAAATTGGAATAAGGTAAACGTATATTTTCTAAAAGTTAATAGAAGAAGAAGTAAAATAATATCTAACACAAAGGCAGAAGAGATTATATCTGGTTGAAAACATGAGAAAAGACTTTACAGAGAAGGCAGCATCTCAGGTATGGTTACATGTTGACATGATGAAATGGTGAAAGTGTATTCCAAGCAGAGGGAATGTTTTGAGCTAAAGATGGGAGGGAGCAAATGATAAAACATTTGCAAACACAAAGTTAATCCACATTGTCTGGGACACAGAATATGTGTAGGGGAATAGGCTGGGATAGATACATTGGTTATATACTATAGACGGCTTTGAATACCAAGTGAGAAATTTGTGTTTGTGGTATCTGCAGAAGAGTGTGTGCTTGTAGAAGAATCACTATTGGTTTTCAGTAAAGGAGGAATATAATCATATCTAGACTTGAATGGGTGGTAATTTAACATCACTGTGTTTAATGTGTAGAAATGGGAAAAATAGAAAATAGGACAAACAAATCATTATAATAGTCCACATTAAATGTAATGACTGGTATGAGGACAATATCATCATTAAAAAAAAACAGTAAGCTCAGGAGAAAAGCCACTGTTAGAGGAAAAGTGACGAAGTAAGCCAACAGACAGTTGTGCTTGTAAAGAATCTATCTTGAAATACTGATTTGTGTCTCCATAGAACAATCAATTGTTGAAATAATAAGAATGATGTAGTACATACGCTGATGATAAACCAGGAACAAGAAGGGAATCTAATGAAGATTCATTGGAGGCAAGAGGTAGAAAAAAAAAAACAAAAACAAAAGAAAGAGTCACAAAAGAAAGAGTCAAATAGTCATGTTCCAAGATGGCCAAATAGGAACAGCTCTGATCTGCAGCTCTCAGCATGATCTGCATTTCCAACTGAGGTACCTGGCTCATCTCATTGGGACTGGTTGGACAGTGGGTGCAGCCCATGGAGGGTGAACCAAATCAGGGTGGGGCATCGCCTCACCTGGGAAGTGCAAGGGGTTGGGGGACTTCCCTTTCCTAGCCAAGGGAAGCCATGACAGAATACACCTGGAAAATCGGGACACTCCTGCCCAAATACTGCAGTTTTCCAACAGTCTTAGCAAATGGCACACCAGGAGATTATATCCTGTGCCTGGCTTGGCAGGTCCCATGCCCATGGAGCCTTGCTCACTGCTAGAGCAGCAGTCTGAGATCGACCTGTGAGGCAGCAGCCTGGCAGGGGGAGGGGCATCTGCCATTGCTGAGGCTTCAGTAGGTAAACAAAGTGGCCAAGTATACAGGCAGGTGCCCCTCTGGGATGAAGCTTCCAGAGGAAGGATCAGGCAAAAATATTTGCTGTTCTGCAGCCTCCACTGGTGATACCTAGGCAAACATGGTCTGGAGTGGACCTCCAGCAAACTCCAACAGACCTGCAGCTGAGGGACCTGACTCTTAGAAGGAAAACTAACAGAAAGGAATAGCATCAACATCAACGAAAAGGACATCCACACAAAAACCCCACCTGTAGGTCACCATCATCAAAGACCAAAGGTAGATAAAACCACAAAGATGGGGAGAAACCAGAGCAGAAAAGCTAAAAATTCCACAGAGTGCCTCTTCCCCTCCAAAGGATCACAGCTTCTCAGCAGCAACTGAACAAAGCTGGGCAGAGAATGACTTTGATGAGCTGATAGAAGTAGGCTTCAGAAGGTCAGTAATAACAAACTTCTCCGAGCTAAAGGAGGATGTTGGAACTCATCGCAAGTAAGCTAAAAGCCTTGAAAAATGATTAGATGAATGGCCAACTAGAATAAACAATGTAGAGAAGACCTTAAGTGACCCGAGGGAGCTGAAAACCATGGCATGAGAACTACGTGACGCATGCACAAGCTTCAATAGCTGATTCGATCTAGTGGAAGAAAGAGTATCAGTGATTGAAGATCAAATTAATGAAATAAAGCAAGAGGAGAAGTTTAGAGAAAAAATAATAAAAAGAAACGAACAAAGCCTCCAAGAAATATGGGATTATGCGAAAAGACCAAATCTACATTTCATTGGTGTACCTGAAAGTGATGGGGAGAATGGAACCAAGTTGGAAAACACTCTTCAGGGTATTATCCATGAGAACTTCCCCAACCTAGCAAGGTAGGCCAACATTCAAATTCAGGAAATACAGAGAATTCCACAAAGATACTCCTTGAGAAGAGCAACTCCAAGACACACAATTGTCAGATTCACCAAGGTTGAAATGAAGGAAAAAATGTTAAGGGCAGCCAGAGAGAAAGGTCAGGTTAACCACAAAGGGAAGCCCATCAGACTAATAGCGGATCTCTTGGCAGAAACTCTATAAGCCAGAAGAGAGTGGGGGGCCAATATTCAACATTCTTAAAGAAAAGAATTTTCAATCCAGAATTTCATATCCAGCCAAACTAAGCTTCATAGGTGAAGGAGAAATAAAATCCTTTACAGACAAGCAAATGCTGAGAGATTTTGTCACCACCAGGCCTGTCTTACAAGAACTGAAGGAAGCACTAAACATGGAAAGGAATAACTGGTACCAGCTGCTGCAAAAAACATGCCAAATTGTAAAGACCATCAATGCTAGGAAGAAACTGCATCAACTAACGGGCAAAATAACCAGCTAACATCATAATGACAGGATCAAATTCACACATAACAATATTAACCTTAAATGTAAATGGGCTAAATGCCCCAATTAAAAGACACGGACTGGCAAATTGGATAAAGAGTCAAGACCCATCAGTGTGCTGTATTCAGGAGACCCATCTCACATGCAGAGATACACATAGGCTCAAAATAAATGGATGGAGGAAGATCTACCAAGCAAATGGAGAACAAAAAAAAAAGCAGGGGTTGTAATCCTAGTCTCTGATGAAACAGACTTTAAACCAACAAAGATCAAAAGAGACAAAGAAGGCCATTACATAATGGTAAAGGGATCAATTCCACAAGAAGAGCTAACTATCCTAAATATATATGCAACCAATACAAGAGCACCCAGATTCATAAAGCAAGTCCTTAGGGATCTACAAACAGACTTAGACTCCAACACAATAATAATGGGAAACTTTAACACCCCATTGTCAATATTAGACAGATCAACAAGACAGAAGGTTAAAAAGGATATCCAGGACTTGAACTCAGCTCTGCACCAAGTGGATCTAATAGACATCTACAGGACTCTGCACCTCAAATTAACAGAATATACAGCCTTCTCAGCAACACATCACACTTATTCCAAAATTGACCACATAGTTGGAAGTAAAGCACTCCTCAGCAAATGTAAAAGAACAGAAATCACAATAAACTCTCTCTCAGACCACAGTGCAATCAAATTAGAACTCAGGATTAAGAAACTCACTCAAAACTGTACAACTACATGGAAACTGAACAACCAGCTCCTGAATGACTACTGGGCAAACAACAAAATGAAAGCAGAAATAAAGATGTTCTTTGAAACCAATGAGAACAAAGACACAACGTACCGGAATCTCTGGGACATATTAAAAGCAGTGTGTAGAGGGAAATTTAGAGCACTAAATGCCCACAAGAGAAAGCAGGAAAGATCTAAAATTAACACCCTAACATAACAATTGAAAGAACTATAGAAGCAAGGGCAAACAAATTCAAAAGCTAGCAGAAGGCAAGACATAACTAATATCAGAGCAGAACTGAAGGAGATGGAGACACAAAAACCCTTCAAAAAATCAATGAATCCATGAGCTGGTTTTTTGAAATGATCAAAAAAATTGATAGACTGCTAGCAAGACTAATAAAGAAGAAAAGAGAGAAGAATCAAACAGACGCAATAAAAAATGATAAAGGAGATATCATCACGGATCTCACAGAAATACAAACTACCATCAGAGAATACTATAAACACCTCTAGGCAAATAAACTAGAAAATCTAGAAGAAATTGATAAATTCCTGGACACATACACCCTCCAAAGACTAAACCAGGAAGAAGTTGAATCTGTAAATAGGCCAATAACAAGTTCTGAAATTGAGGCAATAATTAATAGCCTACCAACCAAAAAAAGTCAAGGACCAGACGGATTCACAGCCAAATTCTACCAGAGGTACAAAGAGGAGCTGATACCATTCCTTCTGAAACTATTCCAAGCAATAGAAAAAGAGGGACTCCTCCTTAACTTATTTTATGAGGCCAGCATCATCCTGATACGAAAGCCTGGCAGAGACACAACAAAAAAAGAGAATTTTAGACCAATATCCCTGATGAACATTGATGCAAAAATCCTCAATAAAATACTTTCAAATTGAATCCAGCAGCACATCAAAAAGCTTATCCACCATTACCAAGTTGGCTTCATCCCTGGGATGCAAGGCTGGTTCAACATACACAAATCAATAAACATAATCCATCACATAAACAGAACCAACAACAAAAACCACATGATTATCTCAATAGATGCAGAAAAGGCCTTTGACAAAACTCAACAGCCCTTCATGCTAAAAACTCTCAATAAACTAGGTATTGATGGAACATATCTCAAAATAATAAGAGCTATTTATGACAAACCCGCAGCCAATATCATACTGAATGGGCAAAAAACTGGAAGCATTCCCTTTGAAAACTGGCACAAGACAGAGATGCCCTCTCTCACCACTCTTATTCAGCATAGTGTTGGAAGTTCTGGTCAGGGCAATCAGGCAAGAGAAAGAAATAAAGGGTATTCAATTAGGAAAAGAGGAAGTGAAATTGTCCATGTTTGCAGAGGACATGATTGTATACTTAGAAAACTCCATCGTCTCAGCCCCAAATCTCCTTAAGCTGATAAGCAACTTCAGCAAAGTCTTAGGATACAAAATCAATGTGCAAATATCACAAGCATTCCTATACACCAATAACAGACAAACAGAGAGCCAAATCATGAGTGAACTCTCATTCACAATTGCTTCAAAGAGAATAAAATACCTAGGAATCCAACTTACAAGGGATGTGAAGGACCTCTTCAAGGAGAACTACAAACCACTGAACAATGAAATAAAAGAGGACACAAACAAATGGAAGAACATTCCATGCTCATGGACAGGAAGAATCAATATCATGGTAATGGCCATACTGCCCAAGGTAATTTATAGATTCAATGCCATCCCCATGAAGCTACCAATGACTTTCTTCACGGAATTGGAAAAAACTATTGTAAAGTTCATATGGAACCAAAAAAGAGCCCGCATTGCCAAGTCAATCCTAAGCCAAAAGAACAAAGCTGGAGGCATCACACTACCTGACTTCAAACTATACTACAAGGCTACAGTAACCAAAACAGCATGGTACTGTTACCAAAACAGAGCTATAGATCAATGGAACAGAACAGAGCCCTCAGAAATAACGCCGCATATCTACAACTATCTGATCTTTGACAAACCTGAGAAAAACAAGCAATGGGGAAAGGATTCCCTATTTAATAAATGGTGCTGGGAAAACTGGCTAGCCATATGTAGAAAGCTGAAACTGGATCCCTTCCTTACACCTTATACAAAAATTAATTCAAGATGGATTAAAGACCTAAATGTTAGACTTAAAACCATAAAAACCCTAGAAGAAAACCTAAGCATTACCATCCAGGCCATAGGCATGGGCAAGGACTTCATGACTAAAACACCAAAAGCAAAGGCAACAAAAGCCAAAATAGACAAATGGGATCTAGTTAAACTAAAGAGCTTCTGCACAGAAAAAGAAACTACCATCAGAGTGAACAGGCAACCTACAGAATGGGAGAAAATTTTTGCAATCTACCCATCTGACAAAGGGCTAATATCCAGAAACTACAAAGAACTTAAACAAATTTACAAGAAAAAAACAAACAACCCCATCAACAAGTGGGCAAAGGATATGAACAGACACTTCTCAAAAGAAGACATTTATGCAGCCAACAGACACATGAAAAAAATGCTCATCATCACTGGCCATCAGAGAAATGCAAATCAAAACCACAATGAGATACCAGCTCACCCCAGTTAGAATGGCGATCATTAAAAAGTCAGGAAACAACAGATGCTGGAGAGGATGTGGAAAAATAGGAACGCTTTTACACTGCTGGTGGGAGTGTAAACTAGTTCAACCATTGTGGAAGACAGTGTGGCAATTCCTCAAGGATCTAGAACTAGAAATACCATTTGACCCAGCAATCCCATTACTGGGTATATACCCAAAGGATTGTAAGTCATGCTACTATAAAGACACATGCACACGTATGTTTATTGCGGCACAATAGCCAAAACTTGGAACCAACCCAAATGTCCATCAATGACAGACTGGATTAAGAATATGTGGCACATATACACCATGGAATACTATGCAGCCATAAAAAGGGTGAGTTCATGTCCTTTGCAGGGACATGGATGAAGCTGGAAACCATCATTCTGAGCCAACTATCACAAGGACATAAGACCAAACACTGCATGTTCTCACTCATAGGTGGGAATTGAACAATGAGTACACTTGGACACAGGGCGGGGAACATCACACACGGGGGCCTGTCATGGGGTGAGGGGCAGGGGGAGGGATAGAATTAGGAGAAATACCTAATGTAAATGACAAGTTAATGGGTGTAGCAAACCAACATGGCGCATGTATACCTATGTAACAAACCTGCACGTTGTGCACATGTACCCTAGAACTTAAAGTATAATAATAATAATTATAATAATAATAAAAAGAGTCAAAAAGGAGGAGAACCAGGAATGCACAAAGAAAGATACAGAAAATAAAAGTTTCAAGAAGAGAGAAATCTGTGTGATGTGGGAAGGTTTAAGAAGGATGAACATTAAGACAAATTCATAGAATTTAGCAATCACCAGGTTGATGGTAACCTGTAGGAACAATTTCAGTAGCTTTTGTGTGTTTGGATATGTTTGCCAAAGGGTTAAGAATGTGTGTAGGGGGAGGAGGAGCCAAGACGGCCGAATAGGAACAGCTCCGGTCTACAGCTCCCAGCGTGAGCGACGCAGAAGACGGGTGATTTCTGCACTTCCATCTGAGGTACCGGGTTCATCTCACTAGGGAGTGCCAGACAGTGGGCGGAGGCCAGTGTGTGTGCGCACCGTGCGCGAGCCGAAGCAGGGCAAGGCATTGCCTCACCTGGGAAGCGCAAGGAGTCAGGGAGTTCCCTTTCCGAGTCAAAGAAAGGGGTGACGGACGGCACCTGGAAAATCGGGTCACTCCCACCCGAATATTGCGCTTTTCAGACCGGCTTAAGAAACGGCGCACCACGAGACTATATCCCACACCTGGCTCAGAGGGTCCTACGCCCACGGAATCTCACTGATTGCTAGCACAGCAGTCTGAGATCAAACTGCAAGGCGGCAACGAGGCTGGGGGAGGGGCGCCCGCCATTGCCCAGGCTTGCTTAGGTAAACAAAGCAGCCAGGAAGCTCGAACTGGGTGGAGCCCACCACAGCTCAAGGAGGCCTGCCTGCCTCTGTAGGCTCCACCTCTGGGGGCAGGGCACAGACAAACAAAAAGACAGCAGTAACCTCTGCAGACTTAAGTGTCCCTGTCTGACAGCTTTGAAGAGAGCAGTGGTTCTCCCAGCACGCAGCTGGAGATCTGAGAACGGGCAGACTGCCTCCTCAAGTGGGTCCCTGACCCCTGACCCCCGAGCAGCCTAACTGGGAGGCACCCCCCAGCAGGGGCACACTGACACCTCACATGGCAGGGTATTCCAACAGACCTGCAGCTGAGGGTCCTGTCTGTTAGAAGGAAAACTAAAAACCAGAAAGGACATCTACACCAAAAACCCATCTGTACATCACCATCATCAAAGACCAAAAGTAGATAAAACCACAAAGATGGGGAAAAAACAGAACAGAAAAACTGGAAACTCTAAAACGCAGAGCGCCTCTCCTCCTCCAAAGGAACGCAGTTCCTCACCAGCAACAGAACAAAGCTGGATGGAGAATGATTTTGACGAGCTGAGAGAAGAAGGCTTCAGACGATCAAATTACTCTGAGTTACGGGAGGACATTCAAACCAAAGGCAAAGAAGTTGAAAACTTTGAAAAAAATTTAGAAGAATGTATAACTAGAATAACCAATACAGAGAAGTGCTTAAAGGAGCTGATGGAGCTGAAAACCAAGGCTCGAGAACTACGTGAAGAATGCAGAAGCCTCAGGAGCCGATGCGATCAACTGGAAGAAAGGGTATCAGCAATGGAAGATGAAATGAATGAAATGAAGCGAGAAGGGAAGTTTAGAGAAAAAAGAATAAAAAGAAATGAGCAAACCCTCCAAGAAATATGGGACTATGTGAAAAGACCAAATCTACATCTGATTGGTGTACCTGAAAGTGATGTGGAGAATGGAACCAAGTTGGAAAACACTCTGCAGGATATTATCCAGGAGAACGTCCCCAATCTAGCAAGGCAGGCCAACGTTCAGATTCAGGAAATACAGAGAACGCCACAAAGATACTCCTCGAGAAGAGCAACTCCAAGACACATAATTGTCAGATTCACCAAAGTTGAAATGAAGGAAAAAATGTTAAGGGCAGCCAGAGAGAAAGGTCGGGTTACCCACAAAGGGAAGCCCATCAGACTAATAGCGGATCTCTTGGCAGAAACTCTATAAGCCAGAAGAGAGTGGGGGCCAATATTCAACATTCTTAAAGGAAAGAATTTTCAACCCAGAATTTCATATCCAGCCAAACTAAGCTTCATAAGTGAAGGAGAAATAAAATACTTTATAGACAAGCAAATGCTGAGAGATTTTGTCACCACCAGGCCTGCCCTAAAAGAGCTCCTGAAGGAAGCGCTAAACATGGAAAGGAACAACCGGTACCAGCTGCTGCAAAATCATGCCAAAATGTAAAGACCATCGAGACTAGGAAGAAACTGCATCAACTAATGAGCAAAATCACCAGCTAACATCATAATGACAGGATCAAATTCACACATAACAATAGTAACTTTAAATATAAATGGACTAAATTCTGCAATTAAAAGACACAGACTGGCAAGTTGGATAAAGAGTCAAGACCCATCAGTGTGCTGTATTCAGGAAACCCATCTCACGTGCAGAGACACACATAGGCTCAAAATAAAAGGATGGAGGAAGATCTACCAAGCCAATGGAAAACAAAAAAAGGCAGGGGTTGCAATCCTAGTCTCTGATAAAACAGACTTTAAACCAACAAAGATCAAAAGAGACAAAGAAGGCCATTACATAATGGTAAAGGGATCAATTCAACAAGAGGAGCTAACTATCCTAAATATTTATGCACCCAATACAGGAGCACCCAGATTCATAAAGCAAGTCCTGAGTGACCTACAAAGAGACTTAGACTCCCACACATTAATAATGGGAGACTTTAACACCCCACTGTCAACATTAGACAGATCAATGAGACAGAAAGTCAACAAGGATACCCAGGAATTGAACTCAGCTCTGCACCAAGCAGACCTAATAGACATCTACAGAACTCTCCACCCCAAATCAACAGAATATACATTTTTTTCAGCACCACACCACACCTATTCCAAAATTGACCACATAGTTGGAAGTAAAGCTCTCCTCAGCAAATGTAAAAGAACAGAAATTATAACAAACTATCTCTCAGACCACAGTGCAATCAAACTAGAACTCAGGATTAAGAATCTCAGTCAAAGCCGCTCAACTACATGGAAACTGAACAACCTGTACCTGAATGACTACTGGGTACATAACGAAATGAAGGCAGAAATAAAGATGTTCTTTGAAACCAACGAGAACAAAGACACCACATACCAGAATCTCTGGGACGCATTCAAAGCAGTGTGTAGAGGGAAATTTATAGCACTAAATGCCTACAAGAGAAAGCAGGAAAGATCCAAAATTGACACCCTAACATCACAATTAAAAGAACTAGAAAAGCAAGAGCAAACACATTCAAAAGCTAGCAGAAGGCAAGAAATAACTAAAATCAGAGCAGAACTGAAGGAAATAGAGACACAAAAAACCCTTCAAAAAATGAATGAATCCAGGAGCTGGTTTTTTGAAAGGATCAACAAAATTGATAGACTGCTAGCAAGACTAATAAAGAAAAAAAGAGAGAAGAATCAAATAGACACAATAAAAAATGATAAAGGGGATATCACCACCGATCCCACAGAAATACAAACTACCATCAGAGAATACTACAAACACCTCTACGCAAATAAACTAGAAAATCTAGAAGAAATGGATACATTCCTCGACACATACACTCTCCCAAGACTAAACCAGGAAGAAGTTGAATCTCTGAATAGACCAATAACAGGCTCTGAAATTGTGGCAGTAATCAACAGTTTACCAACCAAAAAGAGTCCAGGACCAGATGGATTCACAGCCGAATTCTACCAGAGGTACAAGGAGGAACTGGTACCATTCCTTCTGAAACTATTCCAATCAATAGAAAAAGAGGGAATCCTCCCTAACTCATTTTATGAGGCCAGCATCATTCTGATACCAAAGCCGGGCAGAGACACAACCAAAAAAGAGAATTTTAGACCAATATCCTTGATGAACATTGATGCAAAAATCCTCAATAAAATACTGGCAAACCGAATCCAGCAGCACATCAAAAAGCTTATCCACCATGATCAAGTGGGCTTCATCCCTGGGATGCAAGGCTGGTTCAATATACACAAATCAATAAATGTAATACAGCATATAAACAGAGCCAAAGACAAAAACCACATGATTATCTCAATAGATGCAGCAAAAGCCTTTGACAAAATTCAACAACCCTTCATGCTAAAAACTCTCAATAAATTAGGTATTGATGGGACGTATTTCAAAATAATAAGAGCTATCTATGACAAACCCACAGCCAATATCATACTGAATGGGCAAAAACTGGAAGCATTCCCTTTGAAAACTGGCACAAGACAGGGATGCCCTCTCTCACCGCTCCTATTCAACATAGTGTTGGAAGTTCTGGCCAGGGCAATCAGGCAGGAGAAGGAAATAAAGGGTATTCAATTAGGAAAAGAGGAAGTCAAATTGTCCCTGTTTGCAGATGACATGATTGTTTATCTAGAAAACCCCATCGTCTCAGCCCAAAATCTCCTTAAGCTGATAAGCAACTTCAGCAAAGTCTCAGGATACAAAATCAATGTACAAAAATCACAAGCATTCTTATACACCAACAACAGACAAACAGAGAGCCAAATCATGGGTGAACTCCCATTCACAATTGCTTCAAAGAGAATAAAATACCTAGGAATCCAACTTACAAGGGATGTGAAGGACCTCTTCAAGGAGAACTACAAACCACTGCTCAAGGAAATAAAAGAGGACACAAACAAATGGAAGAACATTCCATGCTCATGGGTAGGAAGAATCAATATCGTGAAAATGGCCATACTGCCCAAGGTAATTTACAGATTCAATGCCATCCCCATCAAGCTACCAATGACTTTCTTCACAGAATTGGAAAAAACTACTTTAAAGTTCATATGGAACCAAAAAAGAGCCCGCATTGCCAAGTCAATCCTAAGCCAAAAGAACAAAGCTGGAGGCATCACACTACCTGACTTCAAACTATACCACAAGGCTACAGTAACCAAAACAGCATGGTACTGGTACCAAAACAGAGATATAGATCAATGGAACAGAACAGAGCCCTCAGAAATAATGCCACATATCTACAACTATCTGATCTTTGACAAACCTGAGAAAAACAAGCAATGGGGAAAGGATTCCCTATTTAATAAATGGTGCTGGGAAAACTGGCTAGCCATATGTAGAAAGCTGAAACTGGATCCCTTCCTTACACCTTATACAAAAATCAATTCAAGATGGATTAAAGATTTAAACGTTAAACCTAAAACCATAAAAACCCTAGAAGAAAACCTAGGCATTACCATTCAGGACATAGGCGTGGGCAAGGACTTCATGTCCAAAACACCAAAAGCAATGGCAACCAAAGCCAAAATTGACAAATGGGATCTAATTAAACTAAAGAGCTTCTGCACAGCAAAAGAAACTACCATCAGAGTGAACAGGCAACCTACAACATGGGAGAAAATTTTCGCAAGCTACTCATCTGACAAAGGGCTAATATCCAGAATCTACAATGAACTCAAACAAATTTACAAGAAAAAAACAAACAACCCCATCAAAAAGTGGGCAAAGGACATGAACAGACACTTCTCAAAAGAAGACATTTATGCAACCAAAAAACACGTGAAGAAATGCTCATCATCACTGGCCATCAGAGAAATGCAAATCAAAACCACTATGAGATATCATCTCACACCAGTTAGAATGGCAATCATTAAAAAGTCAGGAAACAACAGGTGCTGGAGAGGATGCGGAGAAATAGGAACACTTTTACACTGTTGGTGGGACTGTAAACTAGTCCAACCATTGTGGAAGTCAGTGTGGCGATTCCTCAGGGATCTAGAACTAGAAATACCATTTGACCCAGCCATCCCATTACTGGGTATATACCCAAATGAGTATAAATCATGCTGCTATAAAGACACATGCACACGTATGTTTATTGCGGCACTATTCACAATAGCAAAGACTTGGAACCAACCCAAATGTCCAACAATGATAGATTGGATTAAGAAAATGTGGCACATATACACCATGGAATACTATGCAGCCATAAAAAATGATGAGTTCATATCCTTTGTAGGGACATGGATGAAATTGGAAACCATCATTCTCAGTAAACTATCGCAAGAACAAAAAACCAAACACCGCATATTCTCACTCATAGGTGGGAATTGAACAATGAGATCACATGGACACAGGAAGGGGAATATCACACTCTGGGGACTGTGGTGGGGTCGGGGGAGGGGGGAGGGATAGTATTGGGAGATATACCTAATGCTAGATGACACATTAGTGGGTGCAGCGCACCAGCATGGCACATGTATACATATGTAACTAACCTGCACAATGTGCACATGTACCCTAAAACTTAGAGTATAATAAAAAAAAAAAAAAGAAAGAAAGAAAAAAAAAAGAATGTGTGTAGGTGAAGAGAAAATGTAAAAAACTTGTATAGTTTAGATGATTATTTTAATAAGTTGGCAGCAAAAATGAGGAGGCATGAAAACTGCTAAAGGATGTGGTTGCAAAATTACTCTATTCAGTATCTAATTTTTGCTGTCAGCCAAATAGAGTTCATCGGCAATAGAAAATGTACCCTTCTGAACAGAAATAAATTACATTAAAAACCTACGTTTTTGCTGTGTTTCACAGAATAATTTTTTTTAACACACTATTATTATGGCCTAATCTATCACGATTGGTTGGGAACCAACACACTGTAACAGGAGAGAAGATGCTGGCAGGATTAATCTTCTCCCAAAGACTATTTCCTAGCCAGCTCCCTACTTCTAGATAGCTTTCCTACACTTGGAATGCTCCATCCAGGGAAGGCATGTATTGTGCAAAGGTGCCATATAACCTCTTCCTTCTTAACAGAAGTACTTTCTGAAAGGCAGACTAAGGTGCTGTGACTTATTCTCATTTTTTTCCATGAAACTTCAAGTATCATATATGCTAGTGAGAATCAGACAAATGCAAGTGAGAATCAAGGGCAAAATTATATTTTCAATTGTAAAGTTGTCAAAGGCAAATTATGTGCATGTGGAAATGGTCATAATTTATTTATATTTACTACTATAGCTCTTTAAAATAGAGACATGGGTGAATTCTGGTTTGTTCCTATTTATTCTTCTTCATTTTAAAACAAATGTTGAAATATTATGTATTACTATTTTAGTTGTCTACTGCTGCAAGACAAATTACCCCCAAAAGTTAGTGGTTAAAATAATAAACATGTATTATCTCACAGTTTCTGTGAGTCAGAAATTCAAAGGTGGCTTAAATGGTTAGTTCTGGCTGAGGATCTTTCATGAAGTTGCAGTCAAGATTTGGCATTGGCTGCAGTCATCTGAAGGCCTGACTGACCAGAAAATCCATTTCCAAGAAAGCTTATTTCCTCAATCCATAGACCTGAGGACATAGTAGTTGGCTTCCCCCAGATTAAGTGATGCAAGAAAGAGAGTGAGAAAGGAAGAAGCTGCAGTGCCTTTATGATCTAGCACACATTGACTTCTGCCATATCCTACTCATTAGAAATGCATAACTGAGTCCATCCTGCATTCAAAAAGAGCCAAAGTAGACTGCACACTTCAGATGGAGGAATAGAAAAGAATTTGTAGATATATTTTTAAACAATCACAATGATTTAAATTCTATTCTTGGCTTGATTTGATATTTTATTAAGACTTTGACTCCTCCCAATAGTTTTCTTTAGTTTCTTGCATGTATTTTTAAGTTATACACTTCTTTGTGAACACTCTAAATTAGTGTTGTTGGAATAATGTACATTTTCCTACAGATGAAATGCATAACATTTCATTCTTATTAGTTATTATCTATCATGAATAAGGTACTATAGTAGTCAATTTAGACATCACTAATAACTAAAATATAAAGTAGATAGCCAAAAATGCCAGAAGATGAACTACTATAGAATAGCAGATAAAACAGGAATGAGCAATCTATGGCTCTGATGGCTGGCTGCCTGTTTTGTAAATAGTTTCATTGGAACACAGACTTGCCCATTTGTTTACTTATTATCTGTGACTATTTCCACATTATGCAGGCAGAACTGAGTAATTTCAACAGAGACCATATGGCCCACAAAGCCCAAGTCATTTCTGCTGGATATTTAAAGAAAACACAAAACAGTCACTGAGCCATAGCCAGAATTATTGTCAATATATACCAAGAATTTACATTAAAAATATTTCAAAACACTGATTCCACATCTAACACACAATTAAAAAAAAAACACCAAGCATTTAGCTAGAATATGCTGTGTTTCAAGATCCAGACAACCATATAATAATTGAAAACATTTCACTTTTGGCAAAATAGTATATTTTGCAAAATGGTCTATAAAAACTTTAAAACTCTCTCCTAATATTTTTTAAAGTAACTATATCCTATTTATTAACTAAAGACTGATTTAAATTAGAATATTTCCTGTTTGAAACTAAAAAATTTTTAAACATTTATTTAAAAGTTCTTATGCTTAGATGAGTCACCAAAGAGAATATGTAGAACAAAAAGAGGAAAAGGCTACGAACAATAACATTTAGAGAGTTGGTTCGGAAAAAGAAAACTTAAAGTTGACTATGCATAGGAACAAAGTGAACTGTCAATAGGAGAATACTGTCTATTTTTTTCCATAGTGTTTCTTCAGACCTTTTCATTGGAGGGTAATACTATGACTTGACAAGTAGGAATGAACACTTTCTGTTTATTTATAAATACATCACTGTTTCCAAATAGCTAACCTTTGGATCACTTCACTCCTATTTTCAAATGAAATCTGTAAGCTAAGTATTTATTTGACAGCATGACTTGTAGCAAGTTACTTTAGCTCACTGTACTTCATCCTGTACCATTTAGGAAGATGTGACTTTAAGTTCATTGGTCTATATGCTCTGTAAAGCAGGGATGATGTCTGTATTATCTTCTGTATCCCAGGCAGTAGGCATAAGGGATACAGTATCAGACTGAAGTCATCTGAAGGCTTGACTGACAGTTTATTAATTCGGGAGCACTTTCCAAGTATCAGACTGTATCCCTTATGCCTACTGCCTGGGATACATAAGATAACATACGTAGAATGAATGAGTGAACAACTTAGAGCAGTAGTGGTGGAAACAGAGGTGAGCCACCCACATTCCCTTTTTATGACATATCTTATTAACCCTGCAATAAGCTCCTTCAAGATTTAGGCCTTAGCAGAGAGGCCTATATCCAAAGCCTGATTAAGGCGGGGTATAAAAGTCTGGCCATTTGGGCCCAATGTCTGACTACTCTGATGGTCCAAACATTTGGTTGGTCTCTTCCCTCCTTCTGGGGGATTGCAGAGAAGATTGGGTAAAAGCCAGGATTTAAAATCAAAGTGACCAAATTCCAGAGAAGGTCCAACTCCTAACCAAGACAAGTCTGTTATGCCAAAGTCAGGGTCTTGGTTAGAAAAAAAAAAATGGAACTCTGATACTTGTGAAAACAGTATCTGGGCAGAGGTCCCTGAAGATTTTGAACTGCTAGTCTCTGAACTCTACCAGCTTACACAAGTGGCCTACTTCTTATTATAATTTAGCATTCTCCCCTAACATAACCTCTCCCCTGTAAGAAAACGTAACCCAGTTAGGATTCCCACCACCTCCTCTTCTAGCCATTATGCCAATAACTAGGGTTAAATCACAGCATAACTTGCTGCACCTGATATAGGCAGAAGGGACTATGACCCAAGGGGATAAAAGATCTCGTCAGTATGTACTGGTAGGAGAAGGGGGCATATATGTGGATCTGATTGCACAGGTATTTGATCAAGAGAACCATAATATAACATAAATAACATAAAATTAGATACGGAAAAGTTTATTAATTTGGGAGCACTTTCCAAGATAGAGGAATTAACACTCTGGCAAGGACCCCAGGAGGTTGCACAAGCTCCTACAGTGGGTCCAAGCTGTGAGGCAAGCAGTCCTGTACTTTGGGCCACATGACCTGGCAGACCCTACGGTATTAGAGGAATCAATGGTGGAAAAATAAGTTATGCAAAGCCTATGTTAAGCCTTGATGGGAAGATCACAGTGCAGGCTCCTGAGATTTTGTATCAAGGCTCTGCCACCTGCAGCAGAGATTTAAACACATTTTGAAAAATGAATTCCAGCATACCGGTAGCCTTAGTAGAGTCTGGGCACTTAATCACAGGACACCAAATGACTACACATCTGAATCTCCTATAAGCTGAGTTCCATCAGATTCATCAAGTCATAAGGCCAACCAGTTCCAGTGCATTCTGGGAAGGAATATGAGCAACACAGAGGCACAAGCAGACTGCATAAGCAAGTTGTCCATATTCCCAGCCAGTACCTCTTCTTTAGCTGACACCTTTGCTCTCTGGGGGATCCCTTACGACCAGCTGTCAGAAGGAGAAAGCCCAAACTTGGTTTATGGATAGTAGGCTTCTTACGTAGGTGCAAACTGAAGATGGATGGCAGCTGAGCTACAGCTTCACCCAGAAGTGCCTTAAAAGGCAGTAACAGGGAACATCTTCTAATGAGCAAGTCTCAGGCAGTGTACCAGATCATTCACTTTGTGAGCAAGAGAGGTTGCTTGAGGTTAGAATAGGTACAGACTAATGGAAATTTGTGAGTGACCTGGCTGGTTGATTAGGCACCTAAAAGGAAGAATATTGTAAGACTGGGGCCAAGAAGATGTGAGAAACAGGAATATGGGAGGACATACTGGAGTAGGCACGAAGTGTGAAGATCTTTGTATCACATGTCAATATTTACCAGAGGGTCAAACATGAAAGAGTATCTGCAGGTAGATTTAATGACTCAGAAAGCTGACATCAGCAAGCCTTGATCATCAGTCACTTCAGTGCTGGATGATGGATATATGAATGGAATGGACATGGTAGAAGAGATGGAAGGTATGCATGAGTCTGACATCATAGGGTGCAATTCAACAAGGCTAATATAAATACTGCTTCCACTGAATATCCAAACTGCCAACAACAGAGAACCATATTAAGCCCACAACATGGTACCATTCTTTGAGAAGCCCAACCAGCTAGTTGGAGGCAAGTTCATTCTGGAAAGGCCAAAGATTTATTCTAGCAGAAATGACATATGCTTTGAAAATGGGTGGCCTTCCCCACACTGAGGCCTCAATTAGTACCAGTATTTAGTAGCTTAAAAAGTGTCTAATTTACCATATGGGATCCCCAAAATATTATGTCAGAGCAGGGGACTCATTTTATGCAAACAGTGCAGAAGTGGGCCTATGACCATGAGATCTAATTGTCATATTACATCACATCAAGAATTTTCCAACTTGAGAGAGCATTGGAATAGCCTGCTAAAGGTACAAACTAAAGTGCCAGCTAGGAGGTGATGCTTTATGAGGATGAGGCACTATCCTATAGGATGAAGTATATACACTGACTCAAAGACATTTATATGGTACTGGGTCTCTAATAGGAAATATGGATGGGTCTGAAACCAAAGTGTGGAAGCAGAATTAGTTCCACTTACTATCACTCTCAATGTCCCAGTGGAGGACTCTGTGCTTTCCATTCCCACAAAATGTGAGCTCTGCAGACATGGAGGCCCTCGTCCTCAAAGGGAACACATTTTCACCAAGTGACACAGTGAGAGTCTCACTGAACTATAAGCTATGGCAATCTCTTGAGCCCTTCAATTTCCCTGTGTCCACACCCCAGCAGGCAAAAATAAGTCACCATCTTGGCACAGTTAATTCACCCTGATCATCAGAAGAGGGAGAAGATTAATATCACTGAAGTCTTAAAATCAGCTGCAGTGCTAGGGGCTGTAATTTGTATGACTGATTCCTCTTCTAAGCTTCCCTCAGGAAGAGAATCCACTAGAATCCTAGGACAGCATCTCCCTAAAAGGATATGAAGAAGTAGATCCAAGCAGAACAAGGAGTAGACTGTGGTGAACACCAAGATATGCTTCCAAGGTACTCCTTCAAGGAAGAACTTGTGTGGCCCAAGCTGTCAGTAGCTTCATGGTTTGCCTTAGTTCCAGAGAGCCTTCTTGACCAAAGGTACATATACCTTTCCCAGGTTGGTCCATATACAGTGACTGCTTGGAGTAAACTATAAAAGCCCAGTTACTTAAGCCTAGCATGGGACTACTCAGATGGGTCATAAAGGATTTAGAGCTTCTTGCGGGGGTGGTTGAAACTTAGTAGGGTCTGTGTCACAGATTGACTTCTTCCTCTACCCAATCCTGTTTCTTCCCTGACTCTTTCTACAACTGTTGCTTCCTAATAAATACCCTGTAGCGAAATGCCATCTCAGCAGTTTGCCTCTAGAAAATCCAATGTGTGCTCACAGTTTTTCTCTAACTGTGGAACTCAATCCATTGAGGGCCATGGAAATACTGAAAAGTGTCACCAAGGTTATATACAGCCACTCAGAGTAGACTAGATACATAAAACGTATCTACCGTAAATGATCCTCATTCTTGAGAACATTGGAAACAACTAAGATAGAATCTCTTCTTAACCAAAATCTGTGGTTATGGAAAAAATGGAATTTATACCTTTATTCAATGTTCACTTATGCTTGATGGACACAACAACTATCATACCTAGCAGTGTGGCTCCTAATGTTCACTGTAGTTTCAATGTCTGGGTAAGAACTGTTGCTATCCTTAGGAAACACAGAATGTTTTATCCTGCCTTCCTATAAGGAAGAAAATTGTTCATTACATATATATGGTTTCTGGGGATTGGCTCCCAAGTCCAAAGTGTAAGAAAATAGCATTTGGTATGTATCCCAAATCCAACCTAATGGAGATTCTCTGAGACAGCATCTGGAGTGAGATACTCATTCCTCCTTTTCCTTCATACTAAGTAATAAATCTTTTCCTGATGATTGGCTGGAGGAGAAAACTTATAGAGCTCACCAAAGACTGAAGACACTTTGACAGCAAAAGCTATAGCTTTTTATAAGTTTTTTTTGGAATATTTACCAAAAAATTTCTTTAAGTCTATTTCTGTTTCATTATGTGCAGTGTGCTTATATTATGTACTTGCAGAATTTTACTATGCCAGTATCTAGTGCCTAAGGAGTTCAAATAAACCAGATGAGGAAATGATGTAGCACAGAGATTATACTGAATCATATCTGTTACTGAACATAGGATATATACTGCCCTCTTAATTTCTTTTCTGGCATGAAGTAGTAGTATAAATAAATAAAAATAATGACTACTCACCTGTGCTATCTACTTACTGAGTCAGTCTTTGAAACTAAGACTGTGCCTAGTATGTCTTATTAAGGTTTCCAAAAGTTGAAGATAAACTATCTACAAACACTGGGGATGAATTGAAGAAAAAGCAATTTTATACAAACCCTGCATTCATTAACACTTTTAAAAAGTGCCATAAGGGCCGGGCGCGGTGGCTCACGCCTGTAATCCCAGCACTTTGGGAGGCCGAGGCGGGCGGATCACGAGGTCAGGAGATCGAGACCATCCTGGCTAACACGGTGAAACCCCGTCTCTACTAAAAATACAAAAAATTAGCCGGGCGTGGTAGCGGGCGCCTGTAGTCCCAGCTACTCGGGAGGCTGAGGCAGGAGAATGGCGTGAACCCGGGAGGCGGAGCTTGCAGTGAGCCGAGATCGCGCCACTGCACTCCAGCCTGGGCGACAGAGCGAGACTCCGTCTCAAAAAAAAAAAAAAAAAAAAAAAAAAAAAAAAAAAAAGTGCCATAAGATATATTCAGCCATTTATTTAGTCAAGAAACATATTTGAGAGCATAATACATGCAAGGCATGCTAAATAATGTAAAATGTTTTATATTATCGATTACATTTAGAATATAAGACAAGCACTTCATGATTATGGAGGTTCCTGATTAGACAATAGTCTACTTTGGAGTCACAGTTCCTCCACTTCAGACATTTGGATACATAAAGTTTTATAAAACTGAATGGTCTGCTTAGTATCCAAATAGGGATTTCAGCTTCTAACGTTTCCCTAACAACTATTTGACTCTTGGATCAAAAATGTAGTAATAAAATAAAAGTTCAGAACAAAGTTTTGCCCGAGGAAGGTCTGGCAGTGATCAAGAGAATATGCCTGGAATGTCTACTCAACAGATGCTTTTACTCTCACATTTATGTTATGGTAAACTCAAGAATAGAAAGGCAACTTGTGCTGTACTCCCTGCACTAAATTTGCCTGGCAATGTTGTTCACATAGCCTGCCCTTTTGAATGAGTCTCTTGGTAATAAATCAAAGGTGATAATGTGAATATCATCCACCTAACTTGGTTGAACTTAAGGTGTTATTAGTTTCAAAAAAAGTAACTTGGATGAGAAATAAGAGGAATTCTCTTGCTATGACACTTGTATTGCAAAACATCTGAATTGCAAACTCTTCCCAAGACTCTAATAACTAGCAGGAATGTTAAGAGAATGTTCAGAGAATATATGCTTATATGCAGAACATTATTTTCACATGTAAATTGTTAAATTAGTTCTATATTTCTTCCATGCAGACCTCATAGGTGTTGTGTTTTCTGAGGATTATATCTAAAGACAAACTCAGAGTAAGAAAATCTACCATCCGATGCCTCCCCCCACTGTCAATATTCCCTTCCCCTCAAATCACTCTAACTACAAATGAGGAAAATAGCAGCATGGTATGGAGGATTATTAGTCTAAAGACATGAATTCCAGCTTAGATCTTCAATTCTGAAGCAAGTCTTTGAACCAATTTGGGTTTCACCTTCCTAATTCAAAAAACAAAAAGGATGGGCTAGATAATTCTGTTCATATTTTTAGCTCTAAAACTCTACGATTTTAACAATAAGAGATATGAAAAGCATTCAGTTATTTAGAGGGTATTTAAAATCTCTGGACAGGTAAGAACGAGACATGTACTTTTTTTTAAAAAAATGGAATCCTTTTATTATTTCATAGTGAAGAAGGTGTTTCCAGCATTCTGAATCCTCAGTACCACTAAGAAACTATTTCCTGACATATCTACAGGAAGCAGGCTTTGTGACCACTCAGAGCTTACTTTATTTTTTCATTAATCCTAAAAACTTGTCTAATCTTTTAAACTTACTTGATCTTCTAAACTCATGTGTGCTCTTTTGAGTGTAGGGGCTGTGCTCCATTAATTGTGATGTTCATCTCAATGCTCATCTCATTGTCTAGCAGCATACTGGGCACATAGTAGGTGTTCAGTAAAGATATATAGAGTGATTGCACAGCATAAATTAGATGCTGGTTTCTAAATTAATATATTGAAATTACAGAAGTTCCCACAGTGTACTTAAACATAGGAACGTTAAAGTATTTACTTGTTTAAGTTATGAAAAAATAAAGAAGGAAAAGTGGAGATCATATAGGGAAAAAGATGTTTTCAAGAGACTGCCTTTCTTCTCTCTTTAGGCAATAATAAATCTTTTTGAAGTTCTCTGCCAGCTAGTTAGACTATGGTTTTTTGAAATACCATTTGATAGACACATATGACATTTTTAGAGCTCAAGTACAGGATAGCATCTTTGAGATATGCTGCAGAAAAACCTAGAAAGTTTTCCTGAGTGGTGAAGACATCATTGGTCGGAATGAAATGACAGAGGGTCACATTTCTCATTTCTTTCTTGTATTGTGATTTCCTCTTGTATTACTTATTCCTGCTGGTTTTGAGTATCTATCCTATATGGTTTTTGCCTAAGTGATTGGTCTTTCCTTGGCTTTATACTGTGCCTTCCAAGTTAGTATTATTGGTTATTTGGAGTTCTTGAATTTTGGCTTTGCTACATTGTAGAATACGCTAGGTAAATTAGTAATCTCATTACATTAGTTAGTGCCAATCATAATCCCCAAAGACACAGTCCTGAATGTCATAATCTGGAATGTTGAAATCCAAAAGATCAAAATCACAAAAGTTCAAAATTCCTAAAGTCTAAAATTCCAAAAATCAAAATCCTCAACATTAAAATCCCTAATGTTGAAATCCTGAAAGTTGAAGACACCTGGAGAAGGGATTAGTGTGTCTTCAGTTGCATGCAGGATAATTGCATCACGTTAGTTACATCACATTACAGTGGAACTACTGCTTTGTTACTGTCTTTATTTGGAAATTATAGATGGTGTGAGGGGATGCTTATGGGTGCCAAATTGATGAGGGGTAGACTCGACTTAATTTTAGGTGTCAATTTGACTGGTATAAGGAATACCTAGGAACCTGGTAAAGCATTACTTTGGGTGTGTCTACCAGGGTGTTTCCAAAGGAGATTAGAATGTAACCCTGAGTGGACTACTAGCTGGAGAAGATCTGCCCTCAATGTTAGCAGGGAGTATCCAATCTCTCAGGGCCTGGAGAGAACCAATACAGAAGAAAAATTGGTTGCTCTCTGAGAGCTGGTACAGACTTTTCTTCTGTTGCCTTGGACATTAGAATTCCAGGGCATGCCAGCTTTTGGACTCCAGGACTTACACCAGTACCCGCTATGTCCTGTGGCTTTCAGCCTCAGACTGAGTTACATCATTGGCTTCCATGGTCCTGAGGCCTTTGTACTTGGACAGAGCCAAGCTACTGGCATCCCAGGGTCTCCAGTTTGCAGATGGCCTATTGTGATAATTCTCAGCCACCATAATCATGTGAGCCAATTCTCTTAGTAAGTCCTTTCTCATATATCTGTATATAACCTTATGGTTCTGTCCCTCTGAAGAATCCTGACTAACACAAATTTGGTATGGGAAAGCTGAGTATCATTCTTTCATACTGTATTCCTTACAACACAATGAAAGAGATCTGTGAAATTGTTCTCCCACCAAAAAGTTGTGATAAGTTAAGTGAATGAGGCTACTGAATAGTGAAAGAGAAAAGTTTAAAAGTTAATTACTACTGATACTGTGAAAGCAGAAAATCACTTAATTGCAACAGTTGAGCAATAATGAGGCTTTCGAATAGACAACATATGTTTATAAAATGTGTAGACAACAACCACTCTTTAAATACGAGTGCAGCAGGTGTTTCAAAGATTACAGAAGTGAAAATGCAGGTTGAAAGTCCAAGAAATCTGTCCTTCCAAATTATGCAATAATGTGTGACTTCTACCCCTTCACACATAGCACCAATTTGCTGCGCTATGTATTTCAGCTTCATATCATTCCAGACTGGAAGTATAAATTATGAAAAGACTTTTAGAAAGTTCTAATTCATTTTACGCATTTTTTTGCAAATTTGACTCCATGAAAGTGCATTGTCACAATGCTGACAGTGTGTGCAGGCACTGTGTGTATATGTTAAAACATTGAACTTTCCCAGTAAATGAAGAGATGTCCTTTTTGTACATTCGCATTTGTGAAAGATAAAATTTCTACAGATCTCAGCTCTTTGGAAAAGATTATATGGCTATGTGCATATGTAGTAGTGACTCACTGCAGCTTTTGTATTGATCTTGTCAAAAGACTTATGTTCTCTATTACAGTATTTCAGATGAGTGCAGTTATAAAGCTGGGTATAGACAATTACCAACCATAGGTGACATAAGTTTTTATATATTTCACTTTTTGACCTATTTATTTATGAATATTGTTCATCTGCTTATAACTGATATGCAACTGTCACTAGAATATTTGAGTGTTTATGCTTGCAAAAATATGTATGTTATCATTGCCTATTTTATTAAAGTAGCCTAGGAAGTGTTCTGTTGTGTTTTTTATGTTTCTCAAATACAGCTTATTTTAACAATGTAAATAAATCTTTTTTAAAAAAATTTTAAATTATTCTTTCCAGAATTATATTTTCGGATTTGATCTTATGAGATCATAGCCGAAATCCCTCATTAGTACTTCACAGGTAGGACAGACACTTCCTCTGTGTAGAGAAGAGACTCTTTTTTTTTTATTATTATTATACTTTAAGTTTTAGGGTAAATGTGCACAATGTGCAGGTTAGTTACGTATGTATACATGTGCCATGATGGTGTGCTGCACCCATTAACTCATCATTTAGCATTAGGTATATCTCCTAATGCTATCCCTCCCCCATTCCCCGACCCCACAACAGTCCCCAGAGTGTGATGTTCCCCTTCCTGTGTCCATGTGTTCTCATTGTTCAATTCCCACCTATGAGTGAGAATATGCAGTGTTTGGTTTTTTGTTCTTGCGATAGTTTACTGAGAATGATGATTTCCAATTTCATCCATGTCCCTACAAAGGACATGAACTCATCATTTTTTATGGCTGCATAGTATTCCATGGTGTATATGTGCCACATTTTCTTAATCCAGTCTATCATTGTGTTTTTTTTTTTTTTTTTTTTTTTTTTTTTTTTTGAGACAGAGTTTCCCTCTGTTGCCCAGGCTGGAGGGCAGTGGCACAATCTCGGCTCACTGCAACCTCTGCCTCCCAGGTTCAAGCAATTCTCCTGCCTCAGCCTCCTGAGTAGCTGGGACTACAGGTGTGTGCCACCATGCCTGGCTAATTTTTTGTATTTTTAGTAGAGATGGGGTTTCACCGTGTTAGCCAGGATGGTCTCCATCTCCTGACCTCATGATCCGCCCACCTCCCGGCCTCCCAAAGTGCTGGGATTACAGGTGTGAGCCACTGCGCCCGGCCGAGAAGAGATTCTTAAATATAATAATACATAACAACATTGTACTGAAAATCCTGAAGCTTAAGGATGCCCTGACTGACTGAAAAGTTGAAACAATTTTATTAAAAAATTATATGTGACTTCTTCAGTTAAACCTTGAGTGTGGTTTTGTATGACCTTTCTCTTGTACTGGAGTTCTGTAGCATATAGAGCAGAAAGCAAGCATATATTCTCATCCTTGAGAATACTGATGACTGAGACCTTAAGACCATCACCAACTGACCTGCTAACTACTGCCACAGATGCCAGATAGGTTGGTCTAATTATGTGGCAACTAGATACATACTAAGCTAGATCTTGGAGTGGGGTGAGTGGCGGGTGCTTCCAATTTCAGGTGGTTCTGGATTTTAAGAGTGAGATGAAGGGACCCACCTTCAGACTTCCTATAGGCAACTTAAGTGACTATCTACATCTTTCAGTCTCTGAAATGTTCTTGAGAGGAATATTAATATAGTTCTTTATGACTTATTTGGTAAATTACTGGTTACTTGGAAGATACGATATAATTCCTCAAATAATGTCTCCTATGAACATTTCATCTGCACATCTGGGCAAAAAGAGTTAAGAGAGCAGGCTTGAGTTTGCCATCTTTAAAATGGCCTGCTTACAAGACTGGCTCTTGGCTGATGTCTGGGGAATTTGGATTTGGGGACAGTTCCCAGCATTTCCAAAACTGGCAAGAGTGGTTCATTGTGCCTCAACTGTTTGTGCAAACAATATAGTTTATGCTAAACACTTGTTTTCCCTCTGAGAGTTTGGAATTTTGCTACATGATAGCCAGAGGGTAGCTATGTGATCAACCCCCAGTAAAAATCATGAATACTGAGTCTGTAATGAGCTTTCCTGGTAGATAATATTTAACATGTTATAGCTCACTTCCGAGTTGAGGGTATTAAGCGCATACTGTGTGACTCCACCGGGAAAGGACTCTGGGACACCGCACCGGGTTTCCGCGGGACTTCACACCATGTGCCTTTTGCCTTTGCTGATGCTCTGTATGCTTTCACTGTAATGAATCTTACTCATGGGTAAGATTCATTCATATGCTGAGTCATGTGAGTCTTACTAGTCAATAATTGAACCTGGGAGTGACTTGGGGACCCTCAACACAGTGTCCTAAGGTATCTCCATGAGAAACCTGGGGAGAAGGAGAAATGTAACTGCCTTGTTATCCTTCTCTTTGTGCAGTAGTAGCAGTAGTACAATAAATACAACCATCACCATTTCTTAAGCACCTTCTATGTGTCAGCTTCATCCAAGGCAGTTCTTATTTTCTACCCCTGACAATAAACACGGTTAAAAGGCATTTACCCTAAGTGGAAGTAGAATTAGAAATCCAGGATCAGAATTCAAATATATCTTACCTCAAAACCCATGTACTTTCTAAAATAACACATTCATTCCTTCTCCTTCTTATGTAACAACTATTTAATGAAAAGCACCTCATTTTTATATGGCAGTTTGTTTAATTTTCAATATTCAAACTGAAACAGAACTACTATTCTGTTGAAATTCTTAACTGTTCTGTGTTCTATATATACACCGACTAGCCAATATGGGAAATTAGTGACTACAAAAAGAAAGAAATCCAGTCAGTGTGTACTTCATGCTTTTTGCACAGGACAAAAGGGATAATTCTGAGTTTCGAAACCTTAGGATTAGATGAGATATTAAATGTAAAATAATTAGCACATGGCATGAACAGATGCTTAATAAGTATTAGTCCCAATTTTCTTATGGGTTACAAATTATTTTGGCAATTAAATCAATGCCTTAACATCCTTGTCCCCATTCCCCTATGTACTGTTTTAGATTTACCTACTAAAACTAGATGAGCACAAAGTGGTCTTGACAAATACATGTAGAACTCAACTGATCCTAGTTGCTACCAGATTGACAAGTATTTCAATCCAAGACTTATTCACTAAATTTCTGCCATATGCCAGGAATGTGTCAGATAATCAGGAAACAAAGGTGAACCCCCATTTACAATCTAGTGTCCGCAGTCCAGTGGAAGAAATGCAGGTTAGTTATAGGTGACATGGAGAAGGGAAATTGAAACCAACTAAATTGCCTTATTCGGAACATGCATATTCTTTCAGTTTCATCTATGCTATTCTAACTAGAAACTTAATGAAAATAAGTTACTATTGCACATATTTTCATGTTGGACTTCTCCTGTAAGTATATCTATTGATACCAGTGAGAAAAAAATAACTGATACTTTAACAATAAAGAGCCTCTGATAATTCTGTTATGGGCAACAAAATATTTGTTTTAAAAAGCTGACTTAAAAAAATCAGTGTAACTGATTGAACTTCAAGTGGCATGTATCACATTACGAAGACTTTACACTATACTACTTCCTAAAATATAACATTCTAATCCAGGCTAATAACTATTTGTAATTTTTTTCTCATATTATTAAAATGAGAATAATTTTAAGGATAGTTCATTTCTGTCAGCAGTACATGGAAGCCCCTCAACCCCCGACAATTTCTCCACCACAGAAGTTTTATGGAATTTGGCAGCCATGCATGTATGCTATAAGAATTTATTTCATTATGTTTTCCCCTCAGGCCATTGTATTTCTTTGAAATACATTCAATTTCTTTGAAATTGGTATTTTTGAAACAGTTTATTCCTTTTTTCCCTGCATCCATCACTTTCTGTACTGTTAAGATATCAATTACTCCATGAAGTCTCATGCATATCTCCTGATGAAAACAATCAACTTATTCTTACTTTGTAAGGGATAGATCAAGTCTCAACTTTTTTCAAGAAGGCTTCTTGACTATTTTAAACCACTATAAGCTCTCATTACCCTTATCCTCTTTAGTAACTAAATTATTTACCATGAACTTTTTGGTAACTAAAGAAACCATTAGGCCGGGCGCGGTGGCTCACGCCTGTAATCCCAGCACTTTGGGAGGCCGAGGCGGGCGGATCACGAGGTCAGGAGATCGAGACCATCCTGGCTAACACGGTGAAACCCCGTCTCTACTAAAAATACAAAAAATTAGCCGGGCGTGGTAGCGGGCGCCTGTAGTCCCAGCTACTCGGGAGGCTGAGGCAGGAGAATGGCGTGAACCCGGGAGGCGGAGCTTGCAGTGAGCCGAGATCGCGCCACTGCACTCCAGCCTGGGCGACAGAGCGAGACTCCGTCTCAAAAAAAAAAAAAAAAAAAAAAAAGAAACCATTAACTCTTATCCTGTTTCTTATATTATAAATATTTACTTTTTGAGATTTGATGATCCTTAAGGAGAGCAATGTCATCATGTGTTTCTGTATACCAACACAACTTAGCAACACCAAGGAGTCAAAAAACTATATTTTTGAATGACTCCTCCCTAACTCATTCTATGAGGCCAGTATCATCCTGATACCAAAACCTGGCAGAGATACAACAAAAAAAGAAATCTTCAAGCCAATATCTTTGATGAACATTGATGCAAGCACATGTACCCTAGAACTTAAAGTATAATAAAAAATATATATATATTAAAAAAAATCCTCAACAAAATACTGGCAAGCTGAATCTAACAGCCCATCAAAAAGAGATGTACAACATTAAAAAATACAAAGAATTGCCAATTACTTAATCTTTTTGAGGTTTTCTGAAACTTTTGCTTAACATTCTTTCCTGACATACTTTTGACAATTTTTCATCTTTTCAGTATCGGTTATCGTGACATATTGGTATCTTCTACTATACTATGAAAGCAATCTGGTCTCACAGTCCTTACTCTTACCCGTTTTGTTATATTATTCTAAGATATTTTGTTTCCAAAATCATAGTTAGACATGATTGTCACTTTTTCATTCAACAAATATTTATTGAACAACTGATAAGTGAAAGAGTCTTGTGCTAGGCAGTATGAGGAATATAAATAGGAAGGGAAACACAGATTCTTCCCTAAGACATTTATAATCAAAGAGCCTAGGGATATAAATATCTAATACACAGGAAGAAAGTGCTAAAAATTACAAAAGACTACATTTTATCAAATTTAACAAGAGATAAAGTTTATTTTCAGCTTGGATATTTAGGGAAGATACAAGGAATAGATAAAATTTGGATATATATACAGAGATGGAAGTCTAGGGCATTTCAAAAGAGAACTGAAATCAAGTTGATCCAAATCATTAATCTTTGAACAAATGTTTATTGAATATATATTATGTGCCAGGTACTGTATATAAGATATAGTCCTTGAGTTTATGGAGCTTTTACTCTATTTCCTAAATATCTTTTATAACTTTCCCCTTCATTGCTGCCCAAGTTGAAGCATTTCGCTGTCATTTCTCCTTAATATTACTGCAATAACTTTGTTATTGGTCTCCCTTTATCTCCAATTCATCTTTTATCTTGCAGCTGCAAGATATTTCTAACTGGCAATATGACTGTTTCAAAATATTACTATAAATTCAATGATCTCCTTACGCTACAGGATACAATGTTAATGACTGTAGATGGCATATATACAGGGTTCCTCATTATTTCATCATTGTCTACTCCTTGTTCAGACCCTTTCTTTCCTCCCTCCTCCCTTTTACTGTATGATCCAGTGGTATAAAACTAACTGTTATTCAGTATATATTGGTTCTCTCATGATTCTCAGCCTCTGTACATGTTCTGTTACCTAGAGTGATGCCTAAGGCCTTCTTACATTTTTAGGAAAACTCCTCCACATTATTCAAGGTCCTGCTCAAGAGCTGACTCTTCTTCAAAGCCCTCCCCTGGTTATCCCACAAAAAAAATGCTGTGCTCTTTTATTATAGCCATAAAATATTGTATCATAATGGATTTTTACTTGTCTCTCACGAACACATAAAAAGCAAGAATTTTTTTTAACTATTTATCTGTAACACCTAACGGTTATGTCTGACAAACAATTGGTATCCAAACAATATTTGTGGAATAGTGACAGACTCAAAAAGCCAGTGGATTAAGGTTGTAAAGAATGGATGCAAAACATATTACGGATGTAGAATTTATAAAAGTAACTCACTGAAAGTAAGTACAAAGGAAAAGAGGGAATATAAGAAAAAAATACTGAGCTTTCATCACCTGGTAACTGGAGAGTGTGGTACCAATTACAGAAAATACTAAGAGGAGGGGGTGAATTGAATTTTAGAAGAAAGGTGATAAGTGTGGGTTTGAACCCAGTAAGTATTAGGCTTGAAAACCTGAAAACAGCCTCAAACAATGGCATAAATAAGTTTTAACTTTACTAAAAACTACAGATCAGGGGAAGTGTTCAGATTTAACTTCATCTGTCATTGATTTCACAAACAGAAGTTACCCTTCATGATTTAGTTTTTGCTTCACGAATCATGGCGCTTAAAGGACTTAAGGTCCAGAAGGGAAAAGACATATTCAAATAAAAAATGGCAAGAAGTGGTAATAGAAACATGTATAAAATACAGAGGATACTTGATGTGAAGTATAGAAGTGATACTGGCATTGACTTGTAGAAAAAAAAGTATTTGTAAACTCAAGAAGTTGGGTGGGACATTACAGGCAACTAGTAGAAGCCAGGTGAGCTGTGACTCATTGTGCCTTACCTACCTCCAGCTATCATGAACTGCTTACAGTACAGTTCTGCAAACGCTCCAGGTCATTTCATGCCTTCATGTTTTATTCTCATGCTGTTGTTCCCATTGAAATGTCCTTCCTTATTCCGACTGCTTCACAAGAATCTGTCGCATTTTCAGACTTAGATTAAGCACACTAATGTCCTCTGAATATACAGACAGTAGCAAATAAATTTTAAAAATTACCTTTCATTTCTTAATTTATCATAGTTCAACATACACATAGTGTCAATGTACAAAAATAAGGCATGTGGTCACTGCTGTAGAAGAGCTTTCTGTATGGATAGTTCAAGTAAAAAAGTTACTGTGATATCAAACAATGAATGCTAAGAACCGTAATAGTGTAGATGAAAGTGCTGAAAAGGCTAAAGTAGGAAGAAACGGAATCTAACTGGGCGTGGAGATTAGAAAAGACTTCATGGTTGAGAAGGTAATTTAAGATGGATCTTGAAAGTTGATGCTTGGTGGACAATGAGGGTGGGAAAGCGAAGGTCTTTAGAGGTGACAGAAACAGCCTGAAACAAAGGCATAAATAAGTGAGTGATGTTTAATGAATATTGAGTGGCCAGATCATAGGGAGTAAGTTGGAAAGTGTAGGAATAACAACTGTAAAGGTAGGTGAGGAATATATTGTGGGTGATCTTAAAAGTCAGAATAAAAATTTTTTACAATTTATATTCTTAAAGCCTCTACAGACTCATTTTCCCCCTTATAATCTACTATGTCCCATTCCCCTAGCATTTTTTGGAGGCATTTATATCATCTTGGTCTTTTCTGATTTTAGTGACAGCAAATTGATTTTATCAACATACCAGAAAAACATAGATTCCAAAACTCATTAATCAGAAAAGTGCTGAGCATAACAACCTTGTATCTCAGCTGTTACTATTTTTCCATTTTTAACTGAAAATGAAAAGGTTATATACTTACAAAAAGTTTTCTACAAAACACAAAGGTGGCTATATTTGTGGTTAAAATAAAATCCAGATTTCAATCAATTATTTTTCTTACAGTCAAAAGTAGAGCATTCATATATTTGTGGTCAAAAAATGCAATGCTGCTCCCCTCATCGGGCTGCTTAGTACAATTAATGAAAAAAGAGACATTTCATAAACAGAAGATAGAGTCCAAATTCAAAATATCTCAACCTGATAGGAAATATAAGTTTAATGACATTCTCTGATAACTTTTTCAAAATAATAAAATGAAAAGTCACTAAAACTTAAAATGTAGAAATGCTTTGATCTGTAAAGCAAGACTTCAAAAAACATGTAAAGTGTTCAGAAAAATGTTTCTAGTGAACATGCGCACATAAAGAACAGATTTCACTCCTCTTGAAAATATTTTCTGGTAAGATTCTTAAGTGTTTGTTAAGGAAAAAAAATGATACATTCCATAAAAGTATTTTAGACATACATGTGGTGTACATGTAAATGCAAATTAATTCATTATGTTCACACTACACAAAATAAATATGTGAGAGCAACACAATTTGTCTGCTAATTTGAATCTGTTTTCTGATTTGAGAGTAAGAGTTGAAGAAATCATCACATTTGTGTTTAATGTTTCTTAATGATAAAAGACAAATTAGGCAGAATCACATATGGTAGATTCATTTAACAAAATCTTGTACATCTCAAATAAAGTATAACCTTCCAGGACAGGAAAGGGCAAACTACAGCCCGTAGGCTACCTCCTGCCAGCTGTCTGTTTTTGTAAATAAAGTTACTGGGAACAGAGCCAGGCTCAATCATTTATGTATTCTCGATGGCTGCTTTCATACTACAACAGTTGAGCAGCTATGATAAAGACCGTATGGCCTGAAAGTCTAAAATATATACTCCCTGGCCCTTTATAAAAAAGTTTCCTGACCACTATTCTATAATGTTTGTAACTTTTAAGTTTTAAAATTTAGTATATTGATTACATAGTCCTTAATATTTTTTTAGAAAAATCAGAACCACAATGATTTTTCACTATTTTTACTCTCAGATTATAATTCAGCCATCACCTTCTCTAAGAGTGGTATTGTCAACAGGTGGCCCAAAGCAATGCCTTTACCTTTGCCCCTTCCATTATTTCCATCAGTCCTTCCCATTCTTTAATACCAACAAGCAATGTATTCTCCATTTGATATATCCTGACCATAAAAGTATCATTAGAACCCTTTGCTATTTTTACTGATTTGTAAATAAAAATAAGACAGAGCACTACTAATAAATGCAAACAGTATAGTTTTTATGCAAACTAGCTTCAGGGGAAGTCCCTTGACAGCCTCTTCCAACCAAAATGCCACCCCTCGACCCCTTCTATATAGAAAGTTAGAGCTGCCATTTCCTCGAAAGTTGTGATTAACACTTTATAATATCCCTACCTAAGAGAATAGTAACATGTTTTTAGCAAAATAAAGCCAGAGTTTCTCTATCAACACCTATGTCCTTATGATAGCTGCCAAAACAATTTTTACTTCTTTTTCTTAGAGTATCTTATGAAAGAGGACTAATGTTTTGGCAAAATTATGTGTATAATTCTTTTCTCATTTTCTAGATCGTATACTACTTAAAGATCAAGTCTTACTTTACTGTTATCTCTAGCACACATTAAGTGTTCAGTAAGTGTCTTCTGAATGCTAGAATAAATAAATGAGAAAAATACTAGTTTTTAACTGTATCTTTCTTTTGTTTGGCTATAAAAATCACAGTATCCTTCTAAAGCACAGAAACATAAGTACACGATGAAGAAAAACATGAGACACACATATTTGTAGACAATGAATTTACTTCAAGTCACAGAATAATGTTTAACCCTATTAGGATTCTAAATATTAATGTCACAGGCACATATACAGAATTACATTGAATGTGATTTTTAAAAAATAATCATTAGGAGTAAATCCTTAAAAATCAGAGGTTATTAAAAAATATTATTTCTATCAATTCTAAAACAAGTAAGGTGATCAAGTTTACATTTCCTTAGTCTGAAGGCTAATGGGCTAATTGCCTCTGGGCAGTAAGCATGTTAAATACTCACATCTGAAAAAGACTGATGCTATTGGAAAAGCAAAGTTCCATTTTAATATCTCTTTTATTTTTATTATTTTGAAGAAGTAATTTATTGTTTTTACAATTTGGGCAATCTGAAAAATTTTATTAGACTAAGAAGGGTACTCTCTTGTTTATTACTCTTTAATATGGCACGTATAATAACTAGCTTGTTTTCTACACCAGTACATGAATGCTAGGTCTAATTCTTTTTCAGTTTCAAAAATGATAAATATCAAATACATGATCCTAAGACATAATAATTTTACATGTCCGTGGTTTTTCAGAATAGCTTCTCAAACCATAATATGGTACATGTGGCCCCATGACCTCTAACTTCATGCAGTAATAACAGGATTATACTTATTCATTAGAAAGACAATTGAAAATCTTCAGCTAATTGCTAAGAGGAAGCAGGATGATGGGGAGAAGTTAAAGATATCTCCTTATCAGTCCCAGCTCTGCTGCTATATGACCTGACTTTGGACAAGTTTCTTGACTTCTCTGAAACATAAGTTTCCTTTTGTATAAAATAGGAATAATAATCATTATTTTCCAGGGTGTCTATGAGGATTAAATAATATAATATATGCAAAGTATCTGGCATATTATCAGTTCTCAATAAATGGTAGCTATTTTTTTATCATATTCAGGTAAACATCCTCCTGATGATGAAATGTATCATGGATATACATTTCATATAAATTTCCATTGCCTGAGAAAAATTACTACCCCCTATTACATAGAAGGTATACAACAGCTTTATTGCTGTTTTATAGATACGAGTAGCCTAAAAACAGGAGGGGTCGATGACATTCTTTAAGATAAAGGCACTGAAACTGCAAAGGCCCTAGCTAGGCATAGTTGTAGAGTTATACTACAGTTCTTCCTGCATGGCTGAATGGTACCACCAGTATCTGGGTCTTTCCCTCAAGGAAATATGACTTCTTATGATTTAGGTAGGTCCCACTAAAACTAGCAGTCTCCTATTGATACGGAAGTGCAGGGTAGGGAAGGGCTGGGTAACTGGTGAGGGCTCCACCCTCAGGCCTGTGCCTAGGATGGCCCACCATGCTCCCCATCCTGTGCCGCTATAAGCCGGATACAGACACAGACACAAATGGGTGGATGATAAGAGAAGCAGAATAACACAACAACAGACACCAGCAGGCCATCTACGGGGAGACCACATGGAATTCAGTTGGTGTAGTTGGGAGAAAAGTCCAGCCACTGGGTGGCCTGACTCCAGGGGAAGACCACCTTCCCATTCCATCCCCTTTTGGCTCCCCATCTGGCTTGCTGAGAACAACCTCCATCACTCAGTAAAACCTTGCACCCATCCTCCAAGCCCACATGTGATCTGATTTTTCCAGGACACCAGGGCAAGAACCCGGGATACAGAAAGCCCTCTGTCTTTGCGATAAGGCAGAGCATCTAATTGAGCTGATTAACACAAGCCGCCTGCAGACGGCAAAGCTGAAAGAGCACACTGTAACACATGCCCACTGGGGCTTTGGGAGCTGTAAACACTCAACCCTAGATGCTGCCGTGGGATTGGAGCCCCAAAATGCTACGCACTACCTGCCTGTCTGCATGCTTCCCCTAGGGGTTTGACAGCGGGACACCAAAGAAATGAGCCACACCCCTATTGCACACCCTGCAGGGGGGATAAGGGAAGTTTTCCCATTTCATTATTAATGAAAGAAAAAATTGGAAATAAAATAAAACCAACATGTATCAAGCTAATTTCATGGTAATTCTACCAGAGGGTAGCAAAACCAATCACTGTATCAAATGAGGTTTTGTGCTGAGCACTTCTACGATATTTTTTTCTGGCTCTTTCAAAGTCTTTCCTATTTCTATCACAAATACATTAAGTTATATTTTCATAATTCTCAGAGGCAAATAACATTTGACAATATTTTTAAAAGTAAATTGCCAGCTTGGCTTAAGATATTACAGAGCAAAATTTTATTTTACCCTTTTTCACATCTCTTAAACATTAATTCTCAAGGATGCACTTCAAGTTTAAAAACAGGACAAATTGATGATTACCTGATGCAGAAAAGAGAGACTTGGAACGGAAGATAAAAATTTTGGATTTGAAATCCAGGTCTGCTACTTACTCACTGTATGAATTTGGATACATTACATAACTTCAATAAATTTCAGTTTCCTCATTTATAGAATGCAATATGAAAACTTATTTCATAAGAGTTGTTTAAAGACTAAATGAAATTAACAGGCCTTCAATAAATATATTTATTTCTTTTTATTTCCTCCACTGACTCCACCTCTTTTTGCTTCTGAATGAATTCGTTATAACCCAGCTCAGAATCAGTCATGAGAGGGTTTATGATTATAAAGGTTTTGTAATGAGAAACAGAGTATCTGATTTTGAGGATTATCCATGCCTTTCTCTTCTTCCTCTCTGCTCATCGGTCATTTATTATACATTAGCACACCAGACAGGAGGCAGAAAAACAGAGAGGACACAGTAGATTTCTCATGAAATCTTACTTTGTTCACCAAAGTCTATAAGTAAAGGAATAATTGTGGTAAATCAAATAAGTTGGGTTATGTTTTAAGAGATGAAACAATGTGGCCAGACTACTGGACAATCATCTGAAAATCTTCACGTGGGGCAGAAATGTGGCAACTGAAACTTAATGTAATCAAGGAAACTGTGAAAAAATAAATCCACATTTTACATATAAAATATGAGACCAGAAAATGACCCTAGAAGTCCCCACCGATTATTTGCCAAAGACATCCTCAGTTTCCTGTTACAGGTAAAAGGCTTGCTTGATTTAAGTATCATCAACAGTAAAGAAAACATAATAGGAGTCATTATCCTACTCATGAAGAAAGCTGTGAAGTCACTGCCTCTAAAATACTTTAGTTTTGTTTGCTCCAACATCAGAAAGACATAATGAAACTAGAAAACGGCCAGAGAAACTTAGAACCAACCCAAATGCCCATCAATGATAGACTGGATAAAGAAAATGTGACGCATATACACCACAGAATACTATGCAGCCATAAAAAAGAATGAGTTCATGTCGTACCATCATTCTCAGCAAACTAACAGAGGAACAGAAAACCAAACACTGCATGTTCTCACACATAAGTGGGAGTTGAACAATGAGAACACATGGACACCACGAGGGGAACATCACACACCAGGGCCTGTCAGGGGATGGGGTGCAAGGGGAGGGAGAGCATGAGGACAAATACCTAATGCATGCAGGGTTTAAAACCGAGATGACGGGTTGATGGGTGCAGCAAACCACCATGGCACATGTATACCTATGTAACAAACCTGCGCATTTTGCACATGTATCCCAGAACTTAAAGTATAATTTAATAAATAAATAAATAAAATAAAAGGGCCAGAGAAAAGAAGTCAAATTTGCAGGTGAGAGGAAGACTAGAAACATCAACATTCTTAGAAAGAAGTCATGGATTCTTAGAATTGGAATTATCCTGAGACAGTCTATATGCCATTTCCTTGTGCTTCCAGAATATTCCTGATAAATCCTAAATAGTTTAGTTATCAAAGGCCTAATTGCACACTGGAGACTGACTAGGATCCTCCCCTGATTTGCAGCCTACCTCCAATCTGTTATCTCAAATATCTTCCAAATATATCCACTTCTCTTTATCTCCACTGGTCTAAATCATCTTTCTCATTCATATAGACTACTACAGAAGCATCCTCATTGGTTATCCTCTTCTACTTCTGCTCTTTACAGCCATGCTTCCCAATCCATTGCAATAAGAGTGATCTTAAACCTCAAACTAAATCATAACATTGGCTTACTTAGCATACCTTTAGCGATTGTTCATTGACCTTACATTCAAGTGCAAAGTAATAAACATGGTCCTAAATGATTGGCTCCTGCCTCCTTCACTAGTATCATCTCACATACCTTCTCCCTTTGCTCATCAAAGCTTATCCACACCAACTTTATTTCAGTTCCTCAAAAGAGCTACCATCACATATAACAATAACCTCCACCACAACAGCTAACATTTATCAAGTTTTTACTACATGACTGGCATTGTGATAAGTGCTTTATGTGCATTATCACTTTTAATCCTCATAAGAAAATCTATAAGGTAGTTATTTTCATCGTTTTACTGCTGAAAAAAAAACAAATATTTAGAAACATTAAGTATTTTTTCCATAGCAAGGTAGGTGGCAAAGATGGAAATTATGTTATATTGCATATTCCAGGGAAGTTTTTTCCCCACCCCTTCCCTGGCTAACTTATATCATTCTTTATGATTACTACTTATATGTCATTTCCTCAAAACAGCCTTCTCTCATCTATTGATCTAAAATTGGCACCCTTGTCATAGTCCCTTGTACTATTTTTTATAGAATGCATCACAGTTTACATATTTCTTTCTGTGACTATTTAATATCTGTCAAACCTCCAATAGACTGTAAATTCCATGAAGGTAGGGACCATATGTTTAAAAATGTGCCTGCTATAATCAATAAATATCTGCCTAATAAATGATTGAAAAAAGACATCAAACCTTCCAATAATAAGGTGTTGGATCACTCTATGGAAGAACCTATTTGAGTGTTAGAAATTCTATTAAAATATTCTTGCCTACATTAAACCAAAAGCTGTTCCCTTATAATGTCTATCCACTGATCCTAATATTGGTCTTTTGGCCAATAGTGAAAAAGAACATGTTTTTTTCTTTACAGTTCTTCGAATACTTTCAGCCTAGAAAGTTTAAGACAGAGAGGACTGGTAATTATGGTTAGATAATTCTAGATTTACTTCTAAACATCTGAATGCTAGAATATGGAAGATGAGAGGGCATCTTTTGAAATTAGAGACTCATCTGGGGCACATTTATGGAAATTAAGTCTTTGTATACTATAAATAATTGCAAGAGGTAGACATGAAATATAGGTGGGACTGCTGTGCTTCACACACTCTATCACAAATTGAATTCTAACTGGTATAAATCTAGAAACAAACAAACCTGGAGGAGGGCCAGTTAAAGGCAATTAATGACTATACAAAAAGATTGAACAAAGTAAAAATCAGCTACTACAATTACAAGATAGATGTCATGAAGTGCAACCATATCTTCTCCTATCTCTCAAGAATTTTCTTGGCAACAGAACTCTGGATTAGATGAACTATATTTCTAAGATTTTGAAATTAGAAAGACAAAATGAAAGCCAGAATTACTGAGAGCCAAAAATAAAAATATTCTTTAGACATTTTATATATTTGAATAAACTTGATATAGGCAGTAATTTTTTAAAGAAGGCTTCATGTGCCATCCTTAACAAGAAAGATAGAATCTCAAAGTTGGAAAGGTCTTTTTGTCTAATAACTTATCAGATGCTTAAAGACTCTCTACAACATTTATATGAGATAGCTATTGAACTAATATTAAAATATCCAAGCATGGCATAATGCAAAGATTTGGATTTTGAGTTTGGAGCTTTGGGTTTAAATCTCAGTTCAGTAATTTATTAGCTATGTAACTTTGAACTGGTTACTCAATGTGCTCCAGATTCCTAATTTTAAAACCAGAATAACAAAATGTATCTTTTAAAGCTGTTTGAGAATTAAATGGAATACCGTAATATGAAATGTCACTTGGCACTATACCTAGTACATAGCAAATGTTCAATAAATGTTATTTTCCCTCCAGTGACAAAAATCTACTACCTGCCAAGATAGTCTGTTTCCTCTTTGGAAAGCACTGGCAGTGGGTTCTTATACTATGTGGAATTAGTCCAAAACTATTAAGTAAATAACACTTAAAAGTTTAATATGTAAGATATTACTTTAAGAAAATATGTTCTTCATTAGCATTTTAACTTCGGATGCCAACTTTATATATATTTCTTAAGCAATTTGTCACTCAGAAATGGCAGAATTTGAGTAATCTTAGAGAAATATGTTACAATCATATTTGACTAGAAGCCTTTAATAACCTAATTCATACAAATACTTCCTTGAAACTTTCCCAGAAAAAGCAAGAACAAAAAGTTCTCCTTCTAGTGACTCAGGATTAATTAGGTATGGCAATTATCTTTTAGGACTACACAGATACTCTTCCTATTTTTATTAACAATTAATAACAAAAAATGGGCATCAGAAATGTTTTGTTGTTTTGTCACAAGACCAAGATTTATAATTAATTATTTAAGCCTATAAAACAACCATATAGAAGAAAATTTTTTAAGTCATAAGAAATAATATTATCTATTTTGTGACAATTAATTTAGCACACTCTGTAAACGAATTCACTTTCCTGGTGTTAATTTAATTTTCCACTTTATGTATGTTATGTAAGTTCATTTGTTAGAGAATATTTTGGCTGGCTTTCTTCATTGTAAAGAATAAAATTACTTCTAACAAATCTGATTCAAATACAACATGAAGCCTGTTCTTCCACAATAATATTAATTTGAACAACTCAAACTTTATTTGAGGAACACAATTACACTTTCCAGCTCAATATCTCTTAATTTACCTCAACTTTTCAAACCTAAAGAAAAACTATCTTCAAGCTATTAAATTATTGTATAATTTAATAAGCTTTTTAATAATGAAAAATGGCTGAGTGCAGTGGCTCACACCTGTAATCCCAGCACTTTGGGAAGCTGAGGCGGGTGGATTACTTCAGGCCAGGAGTTCGAGACTAGCCTGGTTGACATGGGGAAACTCCATCTCTACTAAAAATACAAAAATTAGCTGGGTGTGGTGGCACACACCTGTAATTCCAGCTATCCCGGGAGGCTGAGGCAGGAGAATCGCTTGAACCCGGGAGGCAGAGGATGCAGTGAGCCAAGATCATGCCACTGTGCTCCAGCTTGGGTGACAGAGCAAGACTCCATCTCAATAAATAAATAAATAAATAAATAAATAAATAAATAAATAAATAAAATAGTGAAAAATGTTAAGGTCAAATTAGATTGAAGCTATCAGAATAAAATTAAAAACCAAATATTAGAAACAATGTTTCTGAGGTCACAAATATACTTTATATTGGATGAAAATGTCATCAATTGTGTTTTCTCTCTTTTCTCTTTTGTACAATAGGTTTTATTTGCCAGCAGAAACATCACAAGTAAGTTTAAATTTGTAGTGGATAAGAATTATTCTGATTCCGAGTAACTTGACTATAGCAAACGTAATCATGGCTAATATGATTCCTAAAAATGCTTACAGCTGATTAAAAAATAAGAGCATAAAATAAGCTTACTGTTTCACCAATTTTTCCAATATTTCCTTGATCTCCTACTTCTCCCTGTCAAAAAAGAATATAAAGTTGCAAAAACAGTTATTTTTCAAACTAGATTATTCATGACAGTTTCAATTTTCCTTTTTAATGTAATTATCTAGTCATAACCTAGAAAAAGGCAAAGGAAATTTCAGTTACTTAAAACTTTGTTATAAGTGGAGCAAACCACCATGGCACATGTTTACCTATATAACAAATCTACACATCCTGCACATGTACCCCAGAACTTAAAATAAAAATTTTTAAAAACTCTGTTATAGTATTTCTATGAAATGTGGCCTACCCTCTATTTTCATTCAAATAGTAACGTATCAGTCTGTTCTCACACTGCTATAAAGAACTACCTGAGACTGGGTAATTTATGAAGAAAAGAGGTTTAATTAACTCACAGTTCCACGGTTTAACACCAAGCATGACTGGGAGGCCTCAGGAAGCTTACAATCATGATGGAAGGTAAAGGGGAAGCAAGCACAACTTCACATGTTGGAGCAGGAGAGAGTGAGAGCAAAGGGTGAAGTGCCACACACGTTTAAACTGTCAGATCTCGTGAGAACTCACTCGCTATCCCAAGAATAGCAAGGCGGAAATAAGCCCCAATGAGCCAATCGCTTCCCACTAGGTCCCTCCTCCAGTTTGACATGAGAGTTGGGCAGGGACACAAATCCAAACCATATCAGGTAATAATCTATTTTCTTAAAAAATATTCTCCTATTCGTGACTTTTAATCACTTTTATCAATAAAATTTTTAAAAATAAAATCTTTATTGAGGTGTACTCTGTAAAAGGCAGAGTAGTAAGCACTGTGAAAGATATTAAGAAGAATAAAATTAAAGTCTTTCCCACAGGGATGTTCTATTTGCTCAAATAGAACAGAATACATGCCACAGGTTAAGTACTAAAGGAGGTCTTAGGAGCAGGCACCCTGTGAACTGGAGCAGCTAGAGCTGGCATCACTGGAGAAGTAATGCATGTTCATAACCTCTGAAACAAAATTTTGCAATCCATAAATCTCTGAAAACTCAGTTTTCCACAACTCATTTGGTGGCAAACTTGACCTAACTTGGATTGATTTGGCAGTAAAGCTTATTTTGTTCTGAATAAGGCCATTTATAGTCTTGATTTATTCCAATTAATCTAAACGTCCTTACATTTCACTACAGAAATATTAATATATCTAATTATGGTATGCTGTCCCACACCCTTCTGGTAGTGGTAAATAAAATACAGCATATGCAACATATTACTTTTCAAAAATCCAAACATTAATGATTTCAAATAATGGATTATGAAACTGTAAGTGGGGCCCTGAAAAATATGTGATACTTAACACTGGTAATGAGAAAGCGTCATTTTTAGTGGTGAGGAATGGCATCAGCAAAGGTATAGATTAACGAAAGGTAAAAGATTAAGTTCAAAGTACAACAGAGACTGACTCTAAGAGCAATATACATTTAGTGTACAGAAACAGATTAAATATGTTATGTCTAAAAGTAATCAATTACTGTCTAAACAGTAATAATTATATTCCAGTGTAGAACAGTAAGATGTTAAGATACTGAAAAATATTGTAGCCAATAATGACATGTGGCTACTGAATATTTGAAATAGGCTGGTCTGAATTGAAATGTGATGTAAGTATAAAAAATACATCAGACTTCAAAGACTTTCTACAAAACAAGAATAGAAAACATCTCATTAATAATTTCAATATTGATTACATGTTGAAAGGATATAATATTTGGATATCTTGAGTTAAATAAAATATACTATTAAATTAATTTTACTTCTTTCTTTTCACTATCTAATGTGGCTCATATTTGCAGTTCATGTTGCATTTCTATTGAATAGTGGTGATTTTAAGCACTGAAACCTAATATTCATCATGAGTGATCACTGAAATAAACTTTCAAAGTCTACACAAATTTTCTTTTCAGTTTCTGTATGTATTTAGATAAATAGTAAAGAATGAAGCACAGCAGTAGGTTTTAATAACTAATTTTAACAGGCAGTTCATTAGACAGCATTTATGGAAAATTTATGGAAGAATAATATATGAATTATTGGTTTTCTAGTATTTTTCCCTCCTTACCCATAAGTTACCCTTCTTAAATTCCAAATTTGTGCTACTTAGTTTTAAGGGAGGTTTGTGTTAATAGTCAAAAAGCAAAAGTTGTTTGCAGATTACTTGCATTCTTACTTTAGTTTTCAGAATCTGAAGGTAAGAAGTTACTTGTCTTTGACGACAATGAAAGAGAGAGAGAGAAGCTATTTCCCCAGGCCTAGAAAGAAAACACAGATCTAGGGTTCTATGAAGAGTGTGTCCCTTAAGCAACTCCCCCAGGCAGTGCCAGGTCCGAGTTAATAGCTACATGATGTATTGAAACGCAAATTTCAGTGACAGCTAGGGAGGAATGAACATTACAAAATTTCCTGTGTTTACTAGGTAACACAGAAGCCACCTAGATTTTGGTGTGATTCTAGGGAGAGAAAGTATATACATAAATGAGATTCCGTTTCTTGCCAGTTTCACTGGATGGTAGCTCACAGTTGGATTTCCTAGCGCTATTTGGCAGTCTAGTAAAGGAGAATTGTTAATCCCAGGCAAGGAGAATTGATTAAGCCTTTTGTTTGTAAATACTACAATCCTATTTTTCAGAGGACTTTTATATGTAACTTGAGAAAGAGTCAGGTACACATATTCTGCCCCAGGATAACTTTAGCCTCATACATACTGATATATTAAAACATACTTCAGCTCATATTTCTTTATCAAGCTTGAAAAGTGTTGTTTAGCTTTTCGTTAGGTTCCAGCATCATAAAAATGATACATTTAATACAAAAAAATAGCTTCAGGAAACGTAGTAATAATGCTGTGACTATGTCAATTCATAGTTAAATTTTCAATTTGCAAAACTTACCAATTCTTATAAGCTAGTTTCTTTCAGGTCTCAATTCTGTATGTAATAAACCATTGCATTACTTTATATTTGTTGGTGTTATAAAAATTATCCAAGACCTTGGAAATAAAGTAAATAGTGAGAGATATATCTTTTTAATATCATAAAGTGATGAAGGTTACCCAGTGATTATCTAGTGAATATTACTTAGACTCACTGTTTACTAGTGATTAAAAGATCCAGACTTAGTAATGTTATAGAAACTTGCACATTTCTACCCAGTAGAATTGAAAACCCCAGCAGTTATGGTTTATTGCCCTGTATGTAACACACAAATCTTATCCTAACATTTCTTTATTAAATCACATACATAGATATAGATACAGATACAGACATAATCACAGATACACAGATTGAGCATCCAAAATCTGAAGATCTGAAATCATAAATGTTCCAAAATCTGAAACTTTTTGAGTATCAGCATGACACTGAAAGGAAATGCTCATTGGAGCATTTTGAATTTCAGATTTTTGGATTTGGGATTCTTAACTTGTAAGCATGTATAATGCAAATATTTAAAACTCCAAAAAAATTGGAACTCTGAAACACTTCTGGTCCCATGCATTTCAGATAGGGGATACTCAACCTGCATATAAATAGATACAGATATAAAGATATAGATTCTCAGTTGCTCTTTGTAACAGTTTTAACATCTCACTGGTTCTTTTTAAGTTGATGTGTTCATTTCACATTTGTATGAAAGTCATAATTTTATCTTTCTGAAAATTATATTTTAAAACTGATAATAAAGTCAGTTGCTTTACCTTTAAGCCTTCTGGTCCTGGTTCACCTGCATACCCCTTTTGACCTGGTTTTCCCTAGAAGAGAACAGCATAAAAGAAGAAAGTATATATGTTTAGTCATTCTCATTTTTGAAAGTTTCCTAAGATATATGAAATTTAGACTATTCTTATAAATTTAAATACTTTAAAATTATTTGATAAATGTATTTCATCATACTCATTTGCCATTCATTCTACAAATATCCAACTGTCTACTATGTGCCATGAACGGTTCTAGATGCAGAGGATCGAGGACTGCACTGAACATACCTGCCCTCATAGAGCTTGTATTTTAGTGAGAATAACAATGTTTTAAAAAATAAGTAAAATATATAGTATGTTAGGCAGTGGTAATATGTAAGGTAACAAATCAAGCAGGGAAGGGATATATAAACTGTTGTGGGAGTTTTATTGAAAGTGTTTGTAAGATTCCAGGAAAGAAGCCCTCACCGAAAAGTTCTTTGCAGATTACTTGTATTCTTACTGTAGTTTTCCGAGAGTCTGAAGGTAAGAAGTGACTTGTCTTTGATGACAATGAGAGAGAGAGAGAGAGAAGCTATTTCCTCAGGACTAGGGAGAGAAGAGAGATCCCAGGATTCTGTGAAGAGTGTGACCCTTGACCCCTCAACCAACTTCCCCAGAGAGTGCCATTTCCTGGGGGAGTTGGCAGTTTGGTGGCATTTGAGTAAAGACCTAAAGAAAGGGACAAGTTAAATGGATATCTGAAGGAAAAGTGTTCCAGGCAGAGGAAAAGGGCCTGTGCACAGGCACTACAGCTAAAATGTGTGTAGTATGTTGGAGGAACCAGGAGAAGCTGAAGAATTGAGAGAAGACCAGTAAAGTGATGAGGTCAAAGGAAATGGGGGATGAGAAGTCAGGTCATGTAGGGCCTTGCAGGTTGCAGTTAGGACTTTGACTTTTAACTGAGTGAGATAGGAAGCCTCAGACAACTTTAAGGAGAAAACTGATGAGATCTAAGTTTTAACAGGATCACTTTGATTCCAGGGTAGAAGAAGAGAGTCCAAATAAGCGTCTAGTACAATAATCCAAGTGAGAGATGATGGGGATGTGAATCAGGGTGGTAGCAGAGTGGTAAGATTCTGGATATAATGTGAAGGTAGAGCTTCCAGGAACTGCTGGCGGGTCATGTGTGAAACGTGGGAGAAAGAGAAGACTCAAAAATGAATCTCAGGTTTTTAATGTAAGAGTAGCAGACCAAATGAAATGAAGAAGACTGAAAACAGGTTTGGAGGGTAAATAAGAAGCTAAGTTTTGGACATGTTAGTTTGATATGCTTGTTAGACATCTAAATGGAGAGATCTTGTGGTAGTTATTTATACAAGTCCAGAATTTAACTGGATCAGTTAAATTCTTTCTAATCAGTAGAAAGATCTGACAGGAAGAAATAATCTTAGAAACCACCAGCATTTTCATTTTGATGGTATTTAAAGTCCTAGGGTGGATGACCTCATTTAGCCAGTGAGTATAGATAGAAATGAGAAATCCACAGGCCAATCTTTGGGGTACTCCAAAACTTAGAATTTGAAGAAATTAGAAAAATATTTAATTTGATGCCAGAAAGTGAGGAGGAAAATCATGGAAGTAAATAAATTGTTTCTAGGAGGAGAGAGTGATCTTGTCAAATTCTGAAAAATAGAAATATTGAGTAATAAGAGGACTTTGAGGATTGAGAAATGATAATTGGATCCAGCAATACAGAAACCACTGATCGTATTTATCAGATCATTTGTATTGTAGTGGTGGGAACAAATGTGGTTTAAGCAGATAGAGGGAAGAGAAAAACTGAAAGAGCATGTATAGACAACACTTTTGAGGAATTTTACTGAAAAGGGAAAGAAAAAATAGGGTAACACCTGGGAGGGAAACTGACACCAAAAAAGTTTTGTTTTGTTTTTAAGCTAGAAGAATAACAGCAGCTTTATATGCTGATAGGAATGATTCTGTATAGAGAAAAGAATATGTAGGAGAGACAGAGGGAATTGTTGGACCAGTTATCTTGAGTAGTCAAAAGGACAGGGTATGTAGTAAACAAGTGGAAGTTTTCCTTAGCTTGAAAAATGGCCTGTTCATCCACAACAACAGGAAAGAAAGCAGAGTATAGATAAAAGAAGGTGGGTAGATGCAATGTCAGAAAACTGTAAGTTCTCTTCTGGTTACTTCAATCTTCTCAGGGAAGTAGGATGCAAGGCAAAGGCTAAGAATAAGGATGAGAGATAACTGAAAGGAGTTTGAAGAAACAGAAAGTATAAAGTAATAATTTAGAAAAGCAAAAGAATAAATAGGCTTGAAGATAGAATTCAGAATGTAATCAAAGGAATAATTATAATGTTTTAAGCAGGATGAGGAATTTGGGATCATAAAGGAGACAAGACACAATGGAAAGGCAGCAGAATCAATGCACTGACATTCCTATTGGGGCTATTAGATTGGATAATAAGAGAGAATGTATTAGAAAGAAAGATGGTGGTTGGGGAATGAGAAGTTCAAAATTGAAAATGAGAGGTTGCTATCACTGGTAATGACAAAGTAAAGGGTATGACTGTAGCAGTGAGTAGCTGAAAAGAATAGAGGATAAGATCACTGGGGGAGAGCAAGTCCACAGACGAGGTAGCAGGGTATGGTTTCAGGATGAAACTGGTCCACCTCAGAAGATCATCAGGCATTAGATTCTCATAAAGATCACGCAACCTAGATCCCTTGCTTGCACAGTTCACAATAGGGTTTGCGCTCCTATGAGAATCTAATGCTGCTGCTCATCTGACAGGAGGTGAAGCTCAGGCAGTTAGATGGTCAATACTTAGTGTCAACTTGATTGGATTGAAGGATACAAAGTATTGATCCTGGGTGTGTCTGTGAGAGTGTTGCCAAAAGAGATTAACATTTGAGTCAGTGGGCTGGGGAAGGCAGATCCACTCTTAATCTGGTGGGCACAATCTAATAAGCTGCCAGTGAATATAAAGCAGGCAGAAACATGTGAAAAGGAGAGACTGCCCTAGCCTCCTAGCCTACATCTTTCTCCCATGCTGGATGTTTCTCTGCCTTAGATCATTGGACTCCAAATTCTTTAGTTTTGGGACTTAGACTGGTTCTCCTTGCTCCTCAGCTTGCAGACAGCCTATTGTGGGAACTTGTGATCGTGTAAGTTAATACTTAATAAACTCCCCTTTATATATATCCTATTAGTTCTGTCCCTCTAGAGAACCTAGACTAATACAAGTGGTAACGCTCACTCCCAGTCCATGGCCTGGGGGTTGGGGACCCCTGCTATATTGGATTTTATTGCTGTTGTCAATTAAGACATGCTCTTATATTTTTTCTTCTTAAAGTGAAACAGAACAACTCTCTGGCTCCCATTCTGTTTTTACTACACATAAAAGCTTTAGCCACTTACAACTATATTTAAGACTTCTAGTCAAAACATTCTAATTTTTGCTTTTGACTGCTCTAAATTATCGAATCATTTCCTAACAAGCAAAAAGCAAAGCAAAGAACTGAAAACCATCCTATTATTATTAAATATCAATTGTTCTCTACTTAATTTAGATATACAGAACAAGAAATATAGTTAAGAACCTGAATTATTAGATTTTTTCTATGATATTTATAAAACCAATTCTATTTTTATTTCCACTGGTTGGTAAGAGCCTTAATGAGTCATTCCTTTCATCTTTAATAATACTCTTTCAAGCACTGTGTAGTACATTAAGATAGAGTTATACATATTTACATTATGGAAAGAATCTCACTGGAATCTGGTATCAGCACATTTTCAAAGTCTTTGAAATCAAGCATTTCAGAATATCAGTAACAGAATCATAACTTCTTGTCCTACTTAAATTCTATCATATTGTATTGATTTTGAGAGTGTTATACTTGAACATCTAATACTAAAATCTTATTTTCACATCTAAAAATAGGAACGATATCTTGCAAAGTTGTTTTCAGGATTAAAGATGATTCATATACTTATAGCAATACTAGGTCCCAAATTGATATTCAACAAATAGCAACAACAATAATAATTAATATTAAGACTGTGTAGACCAGAGTTGAATATGGTTCTCCTGTTTTCGAAGGAAGTAAATTTTAAATAAGATCAATTTTATTGGGCTCAAATACCAGTTTTTCTGTTAAATAATTCTCACGAAAAATAAAATGAAAACTCTTTTTTTTCCCCCAATGGGATATAGCAATATATGTGCTAGTAAGGTAAAAATGTGAAAGAAATAATCACAGTCTTTTTAAACGTAAAAGCATTTTAAGAACCAGTACTTTGGCCAGGCATGGTGGCTCACTCCTGTAATCCCAGCACTTTGGGAGGCCGAGGTGGGTGGATCACCTGAGGCCAGGAGTTCAAGACCAGCCTGATCAACATGGTAAAACCCCATCTCTACTAAAAATACAAAAATTAGCAGGGCATGGTGGCACATGCCTGTAATTCTAGCTACTCGGGAGGCTGAGGCAGGAGAATTGCTTGAACCCAGGAGGTGGAGGTTGCAGTGAGTCAAGATCACGCCACTGCACTCCAGCCTGGATGACAGAGTGAGACTCTGTCTCAAAAAAAAAAAAAAAAAAAAAAAAAAAAAAAGGAAGAACCAGTACTTTATGATGTTGTCAAGAAAAGAAATGAGATGTATTTCATGTGAGTCTAATGCCTCTTAAAATAAATGTAACACATATACCTTAATTATTTCATAAGGTAAACTTTGATCATGTATACCAAAAATGTTTAAATAATTCATTTCTAGAACTTGAAAACAAATAATTAACATATTACCCATGGTATTATCTGATGAAAAAATTGGCAGAAAATACATCTTATTAGCCTTCCATAATTTTACTAACACATTTAGAAAACAGGAAATCTCAGAATATTACTAAAATGGCTAAAGTATTTAGCTTCCTATTACATTTTGAGAAATTTATAAATAATTTGCACAAATTACTAAGTCTACAGACCACTGAAATAACAAGTAACTATGTAGTAGGCATAACATCATTCAAAATATATTTGGGACTTCCAGTTATTGGCCTATTTTATTTTGGGGCATTTTATGACTTTAATTTGTTTTCATTTTTGTCCTTTACTATAATGTAAAATGTTATGATGTTAAAAACATTTATAGAACAGCTATTTTCAAGAAAAGCACTTATGGAAAATTATTTATATGATACCTACTCTTGGCCCCAGTTCCCCAAAGGCTCCAATTGGTCCTTCTTCTCCCTTAAAAAAAAAAAAAGTCAGAACATATTATGGCCTAAAATGAGTATTTAAAAATGTAAACTCTTATTTTCTCTATTTATTCTAAAATGTGAAGCTCATTCTGAGATGTGATGAAAATAATGCTGTTATTTTCTTGTACTTTGAACTCCATCACCCCACAACACTTTAGTTTTTTTGTGTGAACCTGGTGCATTCGTGTAGGGACCAAAAACTATATGGGTGGATAGAGACTGAAGATGAACATAGAAAAAAATTAAAAGCTTTTATTCATAATTCTCTAAAAGAAAAAAAGGCAGTAAGTGTTTTTACTCCATTTATAGACATATTTACTAAATATACTGATTTACCTTTAAAAAATAGATGATTGTTTTCTGAATAATACATACAGACCTCCCTAGAATCATATAGTATATGTTATTTATTTGGTAAATATTTTGCTCAATTCACAATTCAATTAAAATATAATTTATTGGTTCAAAAATATTAAGTAGTCACAAATAGTAAATATAAATTCTAGTATATATGAGTGAGATTCTGGGTTCAGATTCTTCAGACATTCCATTGGAGACCACTAACATAAATCATTTAATGAATTCAGAACACTGTAAAATGATTCTTAATTCTATTCCATAACTGGCAAAATAAAGTGTTAACTTGAAGGCTGGGTGTAGTGGCTTATACCTGTAATCCCAGCACTCTGGGACATTTAGGTGGGAGGACTGCTTGAGGCCAGAAGTTCGGCCAGCCTGGGTAACATAGCAAAACTGTGTCTTTACAAAAAATACAAAAATTAGCCAGGCATGGTGGTGCACCTGTAGTCCCAGCTACTTGGGAGGGTGAGGCAGGAGGATTGCTGGAGCCCAGGAGGTCGAGGCTGCAGTGAGCCAAGATAGCACCACTGCACTCCATCCTGGGCAAGAGACCAAGACTCTGTCTAAATATATAAATAAAATGGTAACTGGAAATCTGATGGTGTTTAAGCAAAAACTGAAGGCCCACAATAAATAAAAAGGGAAAATTTTAACTAAAAACCTTGCTGAAGCTGACTGGATATCACTTCTTCCATACCTGAGTTCCTTTGAGACCAGGAGGTCCAGGAGGTCCTCTATTTCCAAGGAGTCCCTATAAAAGCAATATAAATGCACACAATAGAAATTTTAGATCAACTGACATTTTGATAAATCAGCATTAATGTGGAGATGGACAATACTCTTTGAAACCATTCATTTCCCATTAAGAAGTCCTCAAAATGGGTTGCAGTATGGGCAAACAGAAAACTACTGGGCATCTAAAAATATAGGATAAACTTATTTTTAAACAGTAAGTTAATATTCAAATAATCTGCTCAGTATTTTATTCTTCAACCTCCAGACACCTTTTCAGAAAAAGTATTTCTAAAACGGAAGCAATGGGTCCAAATGTTAAACTGATAAGAGTACAGTAAACCGAATAGAGTGTTCACAAAGTCTGAAAACAGATGGAGGAAACAAACAGTGTTTTAATATCTATTAAGAGATCTGCAGAGTCTGGAACTCAGTATTCGTTAGCTGAAGAATGCATTAGTTCTTCATTACTCATTAGTTGAAGAATATTCTTCAACTTATTTCCCTTTTTGATACAAGATGATAAAAAGAGAAGAGGAATTTGCAGAAGAAAGTGAGTGTGAATTTGAATAGAAATTTCAATACTAAAAAAGTATTTTGTTAAACAAAATACATGTTGTTAAAAATCGATTGCTCTCTGAATGAAAACTCTTTCAAAGTTAATTATTTTTAAAAAGTCTTAAATCAGAAAACACTATACAACATCTATTCAACATGGCAACATTTTCTTAATAAGTTCTGTTCTCCTAATTATTCAAGATGCCAGCAAAGTTCTAAGTCTCTTTTTAGAATTATAGTTTGAATGATTGCTTTTAGTCATTTTATAACCATTAAGAAGTTTTATCTAATTTTTAACTGTACTGACATAATTTTTAAATAACTATACCAAAGAGCAAATCTACTCAGGTCACTTTTATCTTGTTCTGAAATGCAACAGAGTGACAAACTACATGGGAATCTTTCCTTCATGTTATATTTTGCTCTATACTTTCTATACTTTAACACAATAAAAAAAAACTCTGTCAGTTTAAAAGTCTATAATATAGTATTGTAAGCTTATTACATAAACAGCACCATTCAAGAAACTGTATTACTTTAGACAATAACCTAACTTTTTAATGAAGCTTTCTTATTTTTAAAAGTAAGATATGGATTAGATTATGGAAATGGGCACATTGTGTCTTATGCCAGTCCAATGTATGTTAATCCTTTTTCAGGCAAAAGCACCCTAATTTTCCTTAAGGAAAAACTCTCTTCACTTTTAGTGCACGTTGTTTGAGGGGAGGTGACTCCACCTTCGACTGTAACTGTGAACATGTGACAGACATCTAAGTCAGTCAGTATATTGTGCATCCCCAGAAAAAATGACTGGTCCAGGAATGAGTAAGGGACCCAATTCAGCCCAACTGAAGCACGTTTCAAACTTCAGTGGCACTGCTGGGAATAGCATTAAGAATGAGGTAAAACTGAACAGTGGGAAACCATCCAGGGGACAGCCTGAGAATGAAATCAATGAATTACCAAATGGAGAGAGTTGGAGTGACTGGGCTCTTCTGAAATTGTTTAGAGTCCTGAATTCAGTTGTGATTGAATCCCTGAAGTTTTCATATATTTATGTAAGCCTGTTTAAGCTGGGTTTCCACCACTTACTGAAATAATCCTGATTGATACAATGATTTAGAACTGCCTTCAATATCTGAAACTGCTCTTTCAGAATTCAAAGTGAAAGATTTTAAGTGTCTACACTGACTGGAGGTACAGAATTAGAATGTTGTGATATTTGCATTCTACCACCTGTCAGCTAGTGTTTAATCACTTAATTCATCTGTTTGTTCATTTTTCATCTGAAATTTTATTAATTTTCTACTATGTATAAGGCTCAATTAACAGCACAATATTAGGCCCTAAGTATATAATTATCAGTAAGACAGAGTCCCTGTTCCCAATGAATTCATAATTTATTATGGCAGATGGTCCATTAAAATAAAAATTATTACATTAAGAGTTGTAACAGAAGTAGAGGTATATGCAAAGTATAAATAAGAATTTAGAAAAAGGAGCAAAATCCTTTCTGGGAGGATTAGCATATTTTTAATATGTGAAAATAATTTTGTATTGAGTTATGATAGGCTAATAAAAACTTGTAGATAAAAATAAGCATACAATAAAAAATTATAAACAACTTCTGTTCTGGGGCTCAAAAGGCTCTAAGAACATACAATATTAAGATAAGGGTGTGCATGAAAGAAACAGGCTCAGCTCCATAGCCAGAGTGTAACCTGCAGACGGCTGACCGGTTAAAGGGAATGAGGTCCCCCTAACTCTCTCATTGAAGCTATTTACTCGAGATGGAACCACTTATCCAGAACCAGAAATAATCCTTTCGGTGAAGCAGGCAAATCTAGGCTACTTTTTCTCTCTTCTTTCAAAACCAAAATTATAATCTTAAAGGAAAAATAAAAGTTGGGTTAAGAGAAAAAAAATCTAGTTATATGCCATTTATAAGAAACACACCTAAAATATAAAATATGCAAGGCATTTACCAGCCCAAAAGAGCTGATGTAATTACATTATTATTAGATCTAGCAGACTTGAAGGTAAACTACATTGTTTAAGTGTGTAACTAAATAGTGATTAAAGGTTATATTCATCAAGAAGATATAAAAACCATCATTTTTTGTGTATCTAATAACATGAATTCCAAGTATAAAAAGTGAAAATTGATGAATATGTAAATAGAGTTGGGCAAATCCACTATTAGAGAGGGAAATTTTAAGACATTTTTCTCCAGAAGTCAAGCAGATAGAGACCACAAGAACAGAGAAAACTTAAACACTAATATTAACAAACTTGATCTAGTGGTCATCTATAGAATACTGAATCCTCAAATGGGAATTTACATAGTTTACAGGCGCACCTGGAGTATTTGTGCAAACCAACCACAAGAAAGGCCATATGTGTTTATCAGCAGTAGTATCAATTAAAAAATTATAGCACATCTATATAGTGGGTTATACTATAAAATGTAAATTAAGAATGAACCTATAATTACATGTATCAACCTGGATTAAGATGAAAAGACAAAATTGAATGGAAGAAGAAAGTCACTGAAGAATATGCATAGTAGAATTCCATTTACATGAATTTACAAAACACGCAAAGTACCAGATATTGTAGGAGTATATTTATAGATGGTAAAAGCATGGCAAAAACAAAAGAACATTTACCTCTAAATGCAGAGAGGGAGGAGGTAGACACAATTAGAGAGAGACACACAAGGGGCTTCCAATGTTCTATTTAATATCCTTAATAGGGTTTGTTTTATCATCATTGTTTAAGCTGTGCACATATGTTTCATATTTATCATATGTTAAACACAAACTTTAAAAAAGTTAAAATGTGCAGAACTGGAAGTAGAGTGCAGATTTGAAATCCAGTTCTGCACTTTACTAGAGATGTAAACTATTTCTTAATCTATAGAATCATGTTACCATCAGCATCATAAGGTTGCTGTAGGAATAAATAAAATGATACATAGAATATAACAGGAACTTAATAAATATCAGTTTCCTTTCTCCTTTTATATCAGACATTAATTAGTAGACATTTCTCAAAGGGAGACATACAAGTGGCCAATAAATAAATGAGAAAATGTTCAACATTGCTAGTCATCAGGGAAATGCAAATCAAAACCAGAATAAGATATCATCTCATTAGAATGATCATTATTAAAAAGACAGAAAATAACAAATGCTGGTGAGAACACAGAGAAAGGGTGATTTATTGGTGGGAATGTAAATCAATACAGCTAATATGAAAAAAGTATGGAGTTTCCTCAAAAAAATAAAAATAGAACTACCATATGATTTAGCAATCCCACTACTGAGTATATATACCAAAGAAAGAAAATCAGTATATCAGAGAGATAATCTGCATTCTCAAGTTTATTGCAGTGTTACTCACAATAGCCAAAATACAGAATCAACATAAGTATCCACCAACAGATGACTGGATAAAGAAAATGTAGTATATTATACACAATGGAATATTATTCCACCATAAGAAGAATGAAATCCTATATTTGCCACAACAAGGCTAGAATGGGAGGATATTATATTAAGTGAAATAAGCCAGACACAGAAAGACAAATGTTGCATGTTCCAACTCATATGTGGAAGCTAAAAAAAAATTGATCTCATGGAGATAGAGAATAAATTGAATGGTGGTTAGCAGAGGTTGGGAATGGTAGTAGGGAAGGGGCTTCCACTTGGACAGAACAGTGTATGGAGACTCACATCATGGACTTTTGCTCCAAGAACCACTACAGTAAAGTACCAGGAAAACTTAAGGATTTCATAGATCCTCTGACAGAAATGGCATGCTGCTACAAATTCTGCAAGACAGCAAAAAAACTGTGAGTTCCCAAAGTGTGTGAGGGGGAACACCTGCCTCCAGACACACATCCCCACTGGGGACCCTGAAAACCCAGATTACAGGAGAAGGATTTAACCTTACCTAGAGCTGAAACTGATTTAGCGTGAAACATAAAAGTAGAAGCAGCAGCAGGAAGAGCATTGTAGGCACTCCCATTCTCCAGCTCAAGCCAAGGGAAGCCATCCTTGACTATATCTCACTAGGGCCCTCAGGGAAGGCAGCCGGCAGAATCTGGGAGGGGTCACAGGCTGAAAAAAGATTCCAACTGAACTTTGTAATAATTTTGACTGAATGCAAACTCTCTAGAGCAGAATCTGAGGGTGAAACGGAACTGTTGCAGAGAGTAGCACAGGAGCCAAGGCCAACAGTATTTGAAGGCAGGGAGGGGCGAGGCCTGAAAGCCTTGCTTGCTTTCTCAGCAGGGAAGCTTATAGCCTGGGGCAAGGTCTGAATGCTGAGCACAGGCTACCTGGAGACAAACTCAGTGCTGTTAGTAGGGCACATTGTCAGGGGCAAAACCGACCTCTACATGGGAGCTGGGTAAGACCTAATGCTACCGGCTTTCCCCTACTTCTCTGATGACAGAGGGTATTATGGAACAAAATGCCCTCTGGAACATAACCCCATTGGCCCAAGAACCACACCCCCTCCCCCACAGGAGTGTGGCAAGCCCTGCCCAAGGAGAGAGTCTGAGCTCAGACTGGCGTAACCCTGCTCCCACCTGATGGTACTTCTCTACCCGCCTAGTAGCCAATCACAAAAGACATAAACTCTTGGGAGCTTTATGGCCTTGCCCATCACCTGAGAAACCCAAATACTTATTCTGGCCAACTTAGGGCAAGCTTATATCCCCCTTCCACTACTGCAGCTGGTGCTCTCTTGAAAGCAATACCTCCTGGCTGGAGGCCAACCAACTCAGGATATTATGGCAACTCATGACAAAATAACCTGACAAAATAACCCTACTCCAAGGAAGTACTCAAAAATAACTCATGACAAAATAACCCTACTCCAAGGAAGGAGAAAACAACAGCTAATTCCACTGACTGCAACACCCTGGCTAACCAGAGGTCCTGAGTCTGTTCACTGCTAGCATAACCAGCATTTGAGAAAGCCAGCACGTGAAACGTATCTACAACCAAGGACTCTTACAGTCTACTTCACTCCCCTGCCACCTCCACCAGAGCAAGTGCTGGTATCGACAGCTGAGAGACCTGAAAATGGATTACATCACAGGACACTTTGCAGACAATCTCCAGCACCAGCCTGGAGCCTGGTAGCCCTGCTGGGTGGCCAGACCCAGAAGAGCAATAACAATCACTGCAGTCCAGCTCTCAGGAAGCCCCATTCCTAGAAGAAGGGGGAGAGCACCACATCAAGGGATCACCCCATGGGACAAATTAATCTGAACAGCAGCCCTTAAGTTCCAAATCTTTCCACTGAAACAGTCTATCCAAATGAGAAGGAACCAGAAAAGTAATTCTGGTAATATGACAAAATAAGGTTCTATTACACCCCAAAGACCACACTGGCTCCCCAGCAGTGGATCCAAACCAAGAAATCTCTGAATTGCCAGATAAAGAATTCAGAATATTGATTATTAAGCTACTCAAGGAGATACCAGTGAAAGGTGAAAACCAACTTAAAGAAATTTAAAAAAACAAACAATACAGGCTATAGATGAAAAATTCTCCAGAGAAACAGATATCATAAAAATATAATCACAACTTCTGGATATGAAAGACAAACTCAGAGAAATACAAAATGCACTGGAAAGTGTCAATAATAGACTAGGACAGGTAGAAGAAAGAACTTCAGAGCTCAAAGACAAAGCTTCCTAATTAACTCAATCAGACAAAGACAAAGAAAAAAGAACAAGAACAACAAAAAAAGAAGAAAGCCTCCACAAATTTTAGGATGGTGTTAAATGGCCAAACCTAAGAATAATTGGTGTTCCTGAGGCAGAAGAGAAATCTAAAACTTTGGAAAACTTATTTTAGGAAATAATCGAAGAAAACCTCCGTGGCCTTGCTAGAGATAGAGACATCCAAATATAAGAAGATCAAAGAACAGCTGGGAAATTCATCACAAAAAGATCACCACCTAGGCACACAGTCATCAGGTTCTCCAAAGTCAAGATGAAGGAAAGAATCATACGAGCTGTGAGGCAAAAGCATCAGGTAGCCTATAAAGGAAAACATATCAGATTTACAGCAGATTCCTCAGCAGAAACCCTACAAGCCAGAAGGGATTGGGGTCCTATTTTTAGCTTCCTCAAACAAAATAATTACCAATCAAGAATTCTGTATCCAGCAAAATTAAGCTTCATAAACAAAGGAGAGGTAAAGTCGTTTTCAGACAAACGTGTGAAGAGCATTCACCACTACCAAGTCAGCACTACAAGAACTGCTAAAATGAGTTCTAAAGCTTGAAACAAGCCTTAAAATACACCAAAATAGAACCTCCTTAAAGCATAAATCTCACAGGCCTATAAAACAACAACACACACACACAAAACCCACAAGATATTCAGGCAACAACTAACACGATGAATAAAATGGTACCTCACATCTCAATATTAACGTTGAATGTAAATAGCCTAAATGCTCCACTTATGGCAGAATGAAAAAAAAATCCATCAATTAAGTATCTGCTGTCTTCAAGAGGCTCACCTAACACATAAGGACTCAAATAAACCTAAGGTAAAAGGGTGGAAAAAGGTATTTCATGCAAATGGAAACCAAAAGCAAGCAGGACCTCAATAACAGTTAAAAAAAAGACAAAGAGGGATATTATATAATGATAAAAGGATCAGTCCAACATGAAAATGTCACAATCCTCAATATATATGCACCTAACACTGGAGCTTCCAAATTGATAAAACAATTATTACTAGACCTAAGAAATGAGACAGATGGTGACACGATAATAGTGGGGGATGTTGATACTCTACTGACAGCACTAGGCAGGTCGTCAAGACAGAAAGTCAACAAAGAAAGTGAACTTCATCTATGCCCTAGAACAAATGAACTTAAAAGATGTTTACAGAACATTCTACCCAACAACTGCAGAATAGACATTCTTTTCATCAGAGTATAGAACATTCTCCAAGATAGATCACATGAGAGACTGCAAAACAAGTCTCAATAAATTTAAGAAAATAGAAATTATATCAAGTACCCTCTCAGACCACAGTGGAATAAAACTGGAAATTAACTCCAAAAGGAACCCTCAAAACCATACAAACACATGAAAATTAAATCATCTGCTCCTGAATGATCTCTGGGTCAACAATGAAATCAAGATGGAAATTAAAAAATTATTTGAACTGAACGATAATAGTGACACAACCTATGAAAACCACTGGGATACGGCAAAAGCAGTAGCAAGAGGAAAGTTCATAGTATTAAATGCCTATATCAAAAAGTCTGAAAGAGCACAAATAGACAATTTAAGGTCACACCTCAAGGAAGTAGAGAAACAAGAACAAATAAAACCCAAACCCAGCAGAATATAAAATAAATAATAAAGATCAGAGCAGAACTAAATTAAATTGAAACAAAAAATACAAAGATAAATGAAACAAAAAGCTGGTTCTTTGAAGGATAAATAAAATTGATAGGCAATTACTGAGATTAACAAAGAAAAGTAGAGAGAAGATCCAAATAAGTTCAATAGAAACGAAATGGGAGATATTACAACTGATACTACAGAAATACAAAAGATCATTCAGCCTACTATGAACACCTTTACGCACACAAACTAGAAAACTTAGAGGAGATGTATAAATTTCTGGAAGTATACAACCCTCCTAGATTAAACCAGGAAGAAACAGAAACTCTGAACAGATTAATAACAAACAGAAAGATAGAAATGATCATTTAAAAACTGCCAAAAAAAAAAAAAGTCCAGGACCAGAGAGATTCACAGCTGAATTCTATCAGACATTCAAAGAAGAATTGGTACCAATCCTATTGACACTATTCCAAAAGACAGAGAAAGAGGGGATCCTCCCTAAATCATTCCATAAAGCCAGTATCACCTTAATACCAAAACCAGGAAAGGACATAACAAAAAAGAGAAACTACAGAACAATATCCCTGATGAATATAGATGCAAAAATCCTCAACAAAATACTAGCTAACCAAATCTAACAGCTTATCAAAAAGATAATACACAATGATCAAGTGGGTTTCATACCAGAAATGCAGGGATGGTTTAACATATGCAAGTCAATAAATGTGATACATCACATAAACATCATTAAAAACAAAAATCATATGATCATTTCAATAGTTGCAGAAAAAGCATTTGAGAAAATTCAGCATCATTTTATGATTAAAACCCTCAGCAAAACTGGCATAGAAGAAACATACCTCAAGGTAATAAAAGCCATCTATGACAAACCCACAGTGAACATTATGGTGAATGGGGAAAAGTTAAAAGCATTCCTGCTGAGAATTGGAACAAGACAAGGATGCCGACTTTCACCACTGCTATTCAACATTGTACTGGTAGTCCTAGCCAGAGCAATCAGACAAGAGAAAGAAATAAAGAATCGGTAAAGAGGAAGTCAAACCATTGCTGTTTGCTGATGATATGATTGTATACCTATAAAACCCTAAAGTCTCATCCGAAAAACTCCTAGCTCTGATAAATAGATTCAGTAAAGTTTCAGGATACAAAATCAATGGAGACAAATCATTAGCACTGCTATACACCAACAACGAGCAAGCTGAGAATAAAAATCAAGAACTCAACCCCTTTTACAATAGCTACAAAAATAAAAAATAAAATACTTAGAAGTATACCTAACCAAGGCGGGTGCGGTGGCTCATGCCTGTAATCCCAGCACTTTGGGAGGCCAAGGCAGGCGGATCACAAGACCAGGAGATCGAGACCATCCTGGCTAACAAGGTGAAACCCCGTCTCTACTAAAAATACAAAAAAATTAGCCAGGCATGGTGGTGGGCACCTGTAGTCCCAGCTACTTGAGAGGCTAAGGCAGGAGAATGGCATGAACCCAGAAGGCGGAGCTTGCAGTGAGCCAAGATCACGCCACTGCACTCCAGCCTGGGTGACAGAGTGAGATTCCGAGACTCCGTCTCAAAAAAAAAAGAAATATACCTAACCAAGAAGGTAAAAGACCTCTACAAGAAAAACTACAAAACACTGCTGAAAGAAATCATAGATGACATAAGCAAATGGAAACATATCCCATGCTCATGAATGGGCAGAATAAATATTGTGAAAATGACCATACTGCCAAAAGCAATCTACAAATTCAATGCAATTCTCATCAAAATACCATCATCATTCTTCATGGAACTAGAAAACACAATACTAAAATTCCTTTGGAACCAAAAAAGACCCTGAATAGCCAAAGCAACACTAAGCAAAAAGAACAAATCTGGAGCATCGCATTACCTGACTCCAAACTAGGCTATAGTTACCAAAACAGCATGGTACTGGTATAAAATTAGGCATGTAGACCAATGGGCCAGACAAGAGAACCCAGAAATAAAGCCAAATATTTACAGCTAACTAATCTTCAACAAAGCAAACAAAAACATAAAGTGGGGAAAGAAAGGACACCCTATTCAACAAATGATGCTGGGATAACTGCAAGCCACATGTGAAAGAATAAAGCTGGATCCTCATTTCTCATCTTACACAAAAAATCACCTTAAGATGGATCAAAGACTTGAACCTAAGACCTGAAACCATAATATTCTAGAAGATAACACTGGAAAAAAATCTTCTAGACACAGGCTTAGGCAAGGAAGTCATGACCAAGAACCCAAAAGCAAATGCAACAAAAAGAAAAATAAATAGATGGGACTTAATTAAACTAAAAAGCTTCTGCACAGTTAGAGAAAAAAACAACAGAGTGAAAAGTCAACCTACGTAATGGAAAGCAATATTTTCAAATCATGTATCTGATATGGGGTTAATATTCAAAATCTGTAAAACACTCCTATAACTCAATAGCAAACACCAAATTACTGGGCTAAAAATTGGAGAAAGGACTTTGGAGTATTCATCAAAGCAACTGAAAACAGGATCTCGCAGGAGTGCAAGTATCCTGTTTACATCAATGTTAACAGGATAAAAACTGGATATTTATATCTTGTTGATATAAACAGGATATTTGCACTGCTAGGTTCATTGCAGCTTTATTCACAATAGCCAAGAGGTGTCAACAACCCAAATGTTCATTGACAGATGAATGAGTAAAGAAAATGTGGTATATACAAACAATGGAATATTATTCAGCCATAAAAAGAAGGAAATCCTGTCATGTTACCAGATGGATGAACCTTGATGACATTATGTGAAATAAGTCAAATAAGCCAGTCATAAAAGAACAAATGCATAATTCCATCTATAGGCGGTATGTAAAGTAGCTAAACTCATAGAAGCAAAAAATAGGATGCTAATTGCCAGGGGCTGTGGGGAGGAGGGCAATGAGAAGCTGCTGTTCAATAAATATAGAATTTCAGTCATGTAAAATGAGAAATGTCTACAGATCTGTTGTACAACAGTGTGCACACATTTTGTTACAATACTGTAAACAAATCAGTAAAACAAATTTACTAAGGGGGTGTATTTCATGTTATATGCTTGTTCTTATTTAAACCCTTTAATTTTCTATTTAAGATCTGTCACAATCTGCTTTCTACCTTTTTTTTTTTAAGTCAGGTAGGTTTACTTCTGCTCTCCATTCCAGTGTTCATTTTGTATCTCTCATCCCTCGGCTCCACTTGGCCTGATCCAACCAATCTGACTAAAATCCCAACTTCTCTATTTTCTCAGAAAAATGATCATACAGATTATCCTCTCCTCTGAACTCCCTCCTACTCACTTATCATATGTTGCCCAGTTATTGTGCTTTTTACCTTTTCACTTATGAAGGGCTCATGTTTCCAGAGAATTACAAGTTCCTAACAAAAAGAAGACCATGTTTTAATTTTGTTTTTGAGTCACTGCTTAAACACAGTACCCTTCCCATTGTACAAACTCAATAAATATTTCTTAGCTGACTAAATGTTACCTGGAGAATAAATGTCTTATACAAGAAATCTGTGTATAAAATCCTGTTATAGTATATAGAATGTAAATCTTCAGGACTGGGTCAAAGTAATCTTAGAAAACTGTGTAGAGTTATACATCTTCCTCTTACCAAGTTAGCTTACCTCTCTACAGATAAATACATGACATACTGTAATAATTCAGTGCAAGAACTATTTCCATATATTACACAACATAATCCCACAAATAGTAAGCTTTCTATAAAAACTTATCAGGTCTGCTATGCAAAAGACAATAACAGCCTCTTTTAGCATCCCTAATTCCATAGCCAAAGTAAAAACACAAACCTTTATAGCAACAAATAAATTATTCCTCTGTTTACTGGAGAATAGAGAATATTTATTTGCTACTCTTACCTTCTGCAGTAAGCAGCAAAAGATCTGGTTTTGCTAATGTTACGGGATTCTTGAAAGCGGATTCCCAAACTGTGTAGTTCTCAAAAAGGCTTACTGATGTATGTTTTGTATCTTAATACAAATATACACACACATACAAATCCACAATCAGTAGAACTATAATTAACACAAGTTTCCATTCCTACTTTGAGGTTTTTAGTGAACTGGCAGAAAATGAACAGAAAATAAAAGCCTTCTTTATTGCTGTGCCAAATTGCTCTGGAAAGAACCCAAATTGTTTGCAAATAGGGTAACCATGTATTTCAAATACAGTGCACATGATTTTCTCGATGACCACATTGTATAGCCTCAACAGAGCTTTAGCAGTTTTTATCATTCCCATTTGCCAAACAAGACATGTATATAAAAATGAAAGAAGTTTCAAGATGCTTGCTTCTATGATACAGTACACCCAGCTAAAGAAACACATCATGTTAACAGGGTCAGTATGTTTGGCTGTTTTTCCCCTCTGTTTCTAGAAACAATTTCAACAAAAATGAGAAGGACCAAGAAGATAGACAAAACCAGATCCTTCTCAATCTACAGAACAGAAAATTATTATTTTCTTGTTCTTTTGATAAAATCATCCCAGGATATTCTTTTAAAATTCAGTGATGTGTATAACATCAATTAGTCTCATGATGTTGGTACTAATGACTCTACATACTCATGTTTATTAAATAAACTTAGATAATGGTTGAATTTCCAGTGGGTAGTAAGTACTAACATTGTTGTTCATTAAAATGTCTAGCTTTCAAGTCTTTTGCCCCAGTTTTGACATTCTAATTTCAAGACTAAAAGAATTAGTGAGAAGAAAGTTCTAAAGATCACTGTCATAAAAGAAAATTAAATAGGTCAGTTGGCTTTCTTCAGTTCTCTGACACTTAAACTTCAAGAGAAACAAAATTCCCAAACTGAAGAGAACTTTGAAAGTTCTCTGGTTCTTCACCTAGTATGATATGCACACTTAAAAACATTAAGTTCTATTATTACTTCCACCTGAAGTACATATTTCTCAATTACCCAGGAGAGAATCTATTGCTCAATTATCTAGGCTCTCAGAGCACTTCACCAACTCTTTTATATAGAACTTCTTATATTTCTTAATTATGATTATTTTTTATCTCTCCCACTAAATTGTAACCTTATCTGGAGGAGGGATGAGAGTTTAGAAATCTTTATAATCCCACATTTATTACTTGGTCTAACACAGAAGAAGCTCAACAAAGGTTGAATAAATAAGTTATTGAATGAATGGATAAATAAATGTATTTATATAATGTATAAAGTTCAAGTTCCTATGTATGCACCAGGTGAAGGGCTAAAGTTGGCAGGAAAAATCCGCAACTCCATTCTCTACACTATTTGTCTCTCTCAACTTCCTTCATACTTCTATTTCTGCTTTTCAACCTGGTTTACCGCGAACTATTAATTATTTCTACCTCTAGATGTCAAACGGTACCTCAAACTAAATATAACCAGAATCAAATTTCTTATCATCCCCATCCTCCAAAACTGCTCCTCTTCCTGAGTTGCCTATTTAAGTTCAATGACATCAGCAACCCAAGTCAAAGGCTGCTTTATCTTTGACTTCTCTTTCTTCCATCACCTTCTGTTAATCAGTTACCAAGTTGTTTTGTTTTTATTTCCAAAACACTTTTTAAATGGTCATTCAATTAATCATCCATTCAACCACTATTCACTGAGTTATTTATATGTGCTATCCATATTATAGTTATTATGATGTATATAAAATCAATTAATCTTTCTCAAAAAGATTACAGTCTAATAGACACATAAGCACATCAGAAGTTATAATACATAAAGATAAGTGCTTGATAGGTTTTTTTTCAGGAATATAGGAAAAGAATATTCCAATTAGATTTGGGAGGAACAGAAAAAGCTTCCTGGACATGTTGCATGTGATGTGTAGGTATTAGCTAGATGCAGAAGGGCATAGGAACATATATATCCAGACAAAAAATATGGCATGTAAGAAGCTGTGAGATTTGAGTAAGTATGGCATGGTTTGGCACTCTAAATAGTTTGGCTGAAGTGATGCTTTTGGAAGAGTGATGGTGGATATGACTGTATAACTACAGAATTATACAGAGAGGGTTTGGTCATAAAGAACGTTGTATAAAAAGTTAAAAAGTACAAGCCTTAACATGGAAGTTGTGGAGGTCACTGAAGGATTTAAGCAAAAGAGTGACATGATGAGATCTATACTTTAAAAGATTATTCCATCTGCAGCTGGAAGGTAGATAGGAAGAAATGCCAGATTGGAGGCAGGAAGAACAACTACTGAAGGACAATTACACTATCCTGGTGAAAAATAAAGGGTGCCTAACTACAAGATTGGCACTGAGAATGATTTTAAGGGTAAAGGGGAAATTTCTATCAAAGGAGAGATTGGGATAAAGGTGATAATTGATGGCATGAGGTCATTGAAGAGTCAGGGGAGGATTTGATGCAAAACATATGCAGAACTTGAAGAGGTGAATGAATGCTTCTGTGGAGACAGAAAGGAAGTGGGAAAGATCCCTGCATATAGGTATAAGTTTGTAGGTGGCAGGTGGGGTTGCCTGATAAACTACAGGATGCTCAATTAAATGTGAAATTCAGATAAACAACAAATAACTTCTATTATAAATATTTTCCAAATATTGCACCTCCACCTTTTCACAAGTTTCTTTTTCCTGAATACCATACATCCCCTTGTCTGCTTCACAAATTCCTACTCATTCATGTAGGTTCAAGTGCTATCTTCCCTGCAAAACATAATTTGACTTCCCTGACCCTGTGCTCTCACAGTATTGCTGATTATATATTATTCATTATGATTATTATTAAGGTTTTCCTGAATATCTTTCTCTAGATTTTAAGTTTCTTGAAAACAGGGATCAGGACTCTTTTTTTTCTTGAAAGTAGGGATCTCTGTAGCCTTATGGTCTAGCACAATGGCTGCCATGAGAGGCAGCCAATATCTGCTGAATGAATGTCCTGTTTCCAATCTTTATTATTTATTGCCTAGTTTTCCTGTCTTCAATTTCTCCCCTCTTTAAACCATCCTCCAAACTGACATAAGAGGTATCTTTTTAAAATATAACCATTGAAGATACTTTACTACTCAAATATCTTTGATTACTTCAAGATGCCCGTCTGATGAAGCAGAAACTCTTCAGCATGGTATTGAATGCTCTACGTAATTTACTATCAAAGCTAAGGGTATTAGAGCTCAGACTTTGAAATCATATCTGTGTTAGAATTCTGGCTATATAGCTTAAAGTTATGTGACTTCAAGTGAATAACTTAATCATCTGTAAAATGGGAATAACTACCTCATAATGCTGTTGTGAAAATTAAATGAGATAATGACTATAAACGAGATAATGTCTATGAAGCATTTACTAGAGTACTGTGCTGCTCAATATTAAGAACACTAACAAATATAGCTATAATCAAGATCCTTTCCAGCTTCATCTCCTATCATTTCATCTCTCTCTACTCCCATTGATACCTCCATAGCAGCTACATTTCATAACTTGCCAATTCTCCCAACTTCAGGCTATTTCATCCTTACATGTGAATTCATAATGCTTTATTTGCTTACAGTGCCCATTCTACATCAGCTTGCATGGCAAATCTTGGTAATTAAAATTTTGCTAGGGATATTTCCTAGTATACATACAAACCAGTAAGTTTGTATATATACCATAGTGTTAAATAAAATCTGTGCTGGGAAAAGGCCTAGAACGTTGCTTTAAAATGGTTAGATTAAAAGCATTGCCGAAATAATAAATTAGTATGTGAGTCATCATGATGAGTTTCAATAACGGTAATAAGCTAATAATTGTGGTTTCACTTGTAAGTTAAAAATGCTTGGGTTTCTTCAGGTCTTTTGTGCTATGTAGAGGTTCATGGACACCACAGGCTTTCTTTTATTTCAATCAATGGATATCTTATGTCCCCAAAAGATTTTTTTAGTGGTCAGGGAATTCTCATCCATTTACTTATTTTCAGCCTTTTATACGCTATGACTTTTTAGAGTTTTTTCTCCTCATCTCTTCCAAAAAAATCCTTCTGGGTGATTTTGCAAATATTGTCACCCTTAATCTCAGTTCATATCAAACTAGAAAAATCATTTGCAACTATCTGAAACCTAAAGTTTATTAAATGTACCTGAGACAGCTTAAAAATATCCAGAAATGTTCTGATATTCCTAAAATATTTTTCCCATTTATTGAGAATCAGGAGCTCTAGATAACCATAATTGTTTAGTCTCTCTCTTCTTCTTCTTCTTACCTTTGGTCCTTCAGGGCCGTTTTGTCCAGGAATCCCAATATCTCCTGGAAAACCCTAGGGAATATAAAAATGTAGCGTTTATTCCATAGAAAATTACTTTAAATCCATTTAGCATATAAAATTCCCTTTGCTATTCCTCCATATCCAGTTAAAGCAATTTATAATCCTCAAAAATTCAATATTGAAGATTAAGTTAGGCAGTTGTTTAACACTGGAATATAAAACTTACAAAGTGTACTAAAATAGAATTTACTCCATCAGTGATTCACAAACAATCCTGAGGTCCTCTAGTTCAGTTTAAGAGAGTAGAAGTCTCAGTCCAAAATTATCCACAATGTGGAAATAAGGCAAAAAGGTGTATGACATGTTCTTTCAACATCATATGGGATATAGGGCTACCAAAGATTAGGTGAATGTACTTTGTTGGACTCACTATTTACTAACTACATGTTAACTTATAGATTTTTGTTAGGCAGAGATGCAAACAACTTCTGTCTGATAAAAAAAAAAAACAGCACCCAAAATTATGGCTTAATATACAGGATTAATCAGTTTTGTATCTAACCCAACTATCTTATTCTAACATCCCCATATTTAATTGTCTATAAATACTTAAGTCCTCAAAGGCTCTATGAACCATTATCTTACAAGTTCCATCATTAATTAATAAATTGAATAAAATCTTTGACCTGTGTTTACTTTAAATTTGCATGAGAATCATGATTTTACTTTTTTGGAAATTATATTAGCAGTCTAAAATACTTGGCTCAAGAAATGAAAAAGAAATAGAAATGGATCACAGTGTTAAATACAATCTATGCTGGGAAAAGGCCTAGAATGTTGCTTTAAAAGTATCAGATTAAAACTCTTGCTGAAATAATTAGAGTGTGATTCATCAAATTATGATTCAATAATTGTAATAAGCTAGTAATTGTGGTTTCATTTTATTGATTTTGTCATAGATTATTTTCCATTGACATTAGTGAAGGAAAAAAGTAAAAGAAGTATAAGAATCAGCATCTTTAAAAGTAAAGAAGGCTGAAATTAAAACGTGAACATCCACAAGAAAAGGTAGTTCAGTGAAGGGATAAGTTGTAATGGGAATAAAAAATATGAAGTAAGATGGAACAGCAAAGTTGTTTCTGGGATATTCATTCTGGAAAGAAAAACAAATAATAAGAAAATGATACCAACGTATCCAGTCTGGATTAGGACACGAATGCCTCGACTCAGATTTAAAGCTTGGATTCTGTGAGGAAAAATATAATTTGGGGACATTTCTGGCAAAAGAAAAAGCAGTGGCAACAGAAAGATGATCACAAGATCAGATTTCTGAATGTTCTGGAATAGTTTAATACAGATATGTTTAATACAAACTTGTTGATTGCTTTACTAATCAAAGAAAATCAGGCTCACCTATGCTATTATTTGTATATATGGCAATTTTTAAAAAACTAGATTCTTTTCCTGATAATTTTACACCCTTTCTCTAGAACACACCTTTTGTTAGTATGTTTTTTTGTGGGGGGGATTTCTTGTGGACTTGAATCAAGACACTTCTAGCTCCTGCTGTAACACTAGCTAGTCTAAAATTGAACTTACTACCTTCTCCATTATGTTCCTCCCTCATCCTCTGTTCACTATTTGAGTGAATGTCACCTTGAGGTAATCCACCAGTTTCCAAGCCAAAAATCTGTATAACAGATTTTTCATATGCTTTGAATACTTTCATATTTTTGATATACTCTGAATACTTATTTTTCCCTCCCCACCACCACCACGACCATCTTCCAATCATTTACTAAGCCCCATCCATTACATCTCCTAATTCACTGTCAGTCTGAACCACTTTTCTACAAACCTCCCTCCACAACCCTAGGGCAAGTCACTTTCTCTATTTTCCTATTGCTTATTCATGTTCCTATCCCCTGTAAAATTCATTTTCACTCCGTAGCCAGACTGATCATTCTATGGAATCTGAGCATGCCACTTTGTTACTGGCCTCAGAATAGAATCCAAATTCTTTAATACACAGTTTACAGGGTCTTTCGTGATTTGGTGGTCTCTATTTATCTCTCTTCTTTACTCTCTACCACCCAGCACTTCAGTCACTGAACAATTTTCATACTCTGATAATATATACTCTCTTTCAATTCTGGGCTTTTGCATATACTGTTTCCCTCACCTTGAATAATGTTCCCTTAAGTTTCCTCACCTAGAACACTTATGTTTTAACTAGACGACTGAATAACATTTTACTTGCAAACTTTTCTTTGACCTCCATACCTTGAATTAGGTTGCTTCTAAGAACTCTCACACCATCCTGGGGTCCTATAAGGTCCCTTAATGTAGTGTTTTGGCTTGTTTTGTTTTCCTAATCAGATTGTAAACTCTTTGAGTGCAGTTTTATGTTATTCACTTCCATATTCTCTGCAACTAGTACAATGCCTGATACACAGTAAGTGCTTAAAAAATGCTTTGTCGTTGTTGTAGTTGCTGCTGTTGAATGACTGGTTTGTTTTTTCTTTTCTTTTCTTTTTTTTTTGAAAGAAAGTACATGTTTCGTGGCTTGTTGTAGCCCCTCAGTACTGGCTTTCAGCCAATTTAGAGCATTTACTCATAGCATCTGCATGGATAAATCAATAAATCCTGTCCATCCTCCAGATAAGCCTGGAACACACTATCACAGCAGTCTCCAACCTTTTTGGCACCAGTTTCATGGAAGACAATTTTTCCATAAGATTGCGGCATGGAGGATAGTTTCGGGATGAAACTGTTCTGCTTCAGATCATCAGGCATTAGACTCTCATAAGGAGCATGCAACCTAGATCCCTCACACGTGCAGTTCACAACAGGGTTCGTGCTCCTATGAGACTCTAATGCTGCCGCTGATCTGACAGGAGGTGAAGCTCAGGCAGTAATGCTTGCTCACCTGCCACTCACTTCCTGCTGTGCAGCCCAGTTCCTAACAGGTCACAAACCAGTACAGGTCCACAGCCCAGGTGTTAGGGGCCCCTGCAGTATCATGCCAGAAAACAAGAAAGCTTTCGAAGGTATCAAAAGTAGAGTCATATTAAAAACGCTTAGTAGGTGCTTGAAGAGGATCCCCTCGGCCAGATATGGGACAATATGAACTTCAACAAGGATAAGAACTACAATGGATTGAAACACATCAAATATGTTTAAGTTCATAAGTTCATAATGATACAACAACAAAAACTGTCCACGTTCAAAGGATGAAAGGAGGCTCACTCATTATCTTGAAACATGGTAAACAAAGGTGAAGAATCAAGAATTTGTTCTGCCTTAGTGTACCACTAGTAACCAAACAGTAGATGAAGGGATGTATTCCAGCCAGTAAGTGAAAAAGAAAGAAGAGGATTAAAAAAATCTCCATTTTGCAATGATACAAATAATCTAATTGATCTAGGCACTGAGCATCAACTATTACTAACATCACACACACAAAAAGAGATCACCAGACATTATGTGCTTCCTGATAAAAGAACAGAATACCACTGATTGTCTTGCCAAAAACAAACCTGAATATGGTAAGGTCTCTATATGTGACTACCAATTTGCAGGAAACACACAGGACCAAGAAACAGGCAGAACTACACCATGAGACTATAATCAGCAAAATCCAGACTGTGGGAAACTACAGATCAAATGATTGGGGAGCTTCAACAACTAAATTTTAAGGGGGAAAACAGGGAATAGAGAGAGAACTTGTAGAGTGAAAGACATAGGAAATAAAACAAATAAGCCTAAATTATAGTTTTTAAAGATGCACACTTGTGTGATAAACTATGTTTTAAAAAGGAGGAACTGCTTACTTTTGGGAGGAGAGCTGGGCTTGTGGTTTCATGGGGCACATAATGGCTTCTGGTGGTAACTGTCAGTTTTAGTCTTGACCTGTGTGGTAGTTACAAGAGTCTGTCTTATAATTGTTTGTGATATACATTTGTTTTGTATAGTTTTATGTGTCTATGTTTTACTTTACAATAAAACGGTAAGAAAAAATTTGCTGGGGTGACTTCTGGGTAAACATGCAACACTGAATATACGTGTGAATCTCTGCTCCTTAAAACGTCATTAAAGTATCAGTGGAGAAATATTAAAAAGACAAAGTGGTAAGGTCAAGGATAATAGAAGAAAAAGATGTCAACACAGCTGATCTCATAGTATAGTCATACAAGCTGAATATTTTAAAATTGAAACTTTATTGAAAAGCTAACAAATATATAAGCACAAGTTTATTTTTTATTTTTTATTTTTATTGGCTTGTATTTATTTATTTATTTTATTATTTTATTATTTTTTATTATACTTTAAGTTTTAGAGTACATGTGCACAATGTGCAGGTTTGTTACATATGTTACATATGTAACAACATGTGCCATGTTGGTGTGCTGCACCCATTAACTCTTCATTTAACACTAGGTATATCTCCTAATGCTATCCCTCTCCACTCCCCCCACCCCACAACAGGCCCCAGTGTGTGATGTTCCCCTTCCTGTGTCCATGTGTTCTCATTGTTCAATTCCCACCTATGAGTGAGAACATGCGGTGTTTGGTTTTTCGTCCTTGCGATAGTTTGCTGAGAATGATGGTTTCCAGCTTCATCCATGTCCCTACAAAGGACATGAACTCATCATTTTTTATGGCTGCATAGTATTCCATGGTGTATATGATAAGCACAAGTTATTAAAAGGAGGAGAAAGATCTCTATTTCCTTCCCACATAGGAGAGCTTAGAACCCTGGCCAAAGAAACTTTTCATTATTTTAAAAATTCATACCTAGATTACTACCAAGTAGAGACCTTGCCTTTTAAATAATACATTTCAATATGTTAAAACCAGAGTTAACTGTATCAACTGAACATTAATGATAACGTACCTATAAAGGAAACCTTTTTTTTAAACACACTCAAAATGTACATCAAATAACATGGACATCTTTGCCAAGTAGCAAAATTTCAGAAAGCTTACAGATTGAAAAATAAAAAGTACGTCATTAGAGTCCATACTTTTCATTTCTAAAAACTACATTAGCATGAAACGATACAGGAAGAAAAGTAAAAACAAAAATCTGATAAAGATGCTCTAATTCATTTTTATAAATTTAAAATAATTTAGAAAACATTAATAAGTCCAAACATTTTCTCTCACAATGTGTTTTACCACCTCAGTTAAGTCATCCTATCAGAATTTAAAATATAATACCTTAGTGAAGGAAAGAAACAGCAGTCTGGCTTCTGGTGTCTTCTTAATAGAACTAGTCTGACCACCAATTTTTACCAAGAAGCAGAAAAAAGAAGTAGTTTTAAAAATAGTATGTGAAAATATGTCTTCTGTTTTCAGACCCTTCACATCTGTTTGCCGTACTGAGAAGAGTGACTCAGCATTCTCTCCAGTAAAAACAAAGTTTTATTATTCTATAATCACTAGAGGCTGGAGACTAATTCACATGCATTTTTTTTTTAAAGCAAAACCTGGGAACCGAAGCACTAGCAGATTCCATTAGTTTCCTGGGAAATCATAAAAGTAAAATATTATCATTCTTATTTGGCAGTAGCCAGAAGCTTGGAAGCTAGAGTGTCCTAACAGAATACATTATATTATGCGCTACATACATTGAGCACTTTAATAGTTTTCCAATAGAAGTGTTAGAGTATCTGTTTTCTATTGAAATATATAGTCCCTCAAGTTAAAAAATGGTAAGTGGATAAACTTATACACATATACACAAACTAATTACAATATATCCATAAAACGAACAGCCTAGATGTGGCAACCTAGACGAATCTCAAATGTCTTATGCTAAGTGAAAGAAGCCAGACAAAAAAAAAAGAGTACATACTATGTGAGTCAGTTTATATAAAGACTTTAGAAAATTCCAATTAATCTCGAGTGACAAAGAGCAGATCAGAAGTAGCATGGAAAGGGAGAAGACAAGAGGAACAGAAATAAAGTATTATATAAAAAGTGAACAAGTAAATTACTGGGTTTGACAGATATGTTCATTATCTTGATCTTGGTGATGGTTTCACAGGTTATACATATGTCAAAAATTATCAAATTGTAAAATTTAAATATAGGCAGCTTATTATATGTCAATTATACCTCAATGAGCCTGTAAAAAGAAAGGTATTTAGTATTGGGTATTTTAGATAACCATATGCTTTATGGTAGGCAACATTTTTTAAGGATTTAAAGATCTTTAGAGAGAATATATAATATATTAGTTGAACTAGTTTTCAGATAAAATCAGTGTTGCTCAGATTTTGGCTTGTTTTAGAGGTAATAGCATGTTAAATTATAATAACAGCTTTAAAACAAATTACATATTTTGGAAAATTGAAACTTTTCTGATATTTTGCAAGGTAGCTTTAAGATGTCCTGTTGTTATAGATAAGAGTGACACTTGGGCCATTTAACTCCCATGGAAAATTTCAATTATTGATTTAATATCCACTGTGCTTTAAATATACAAGAACACAGCATAGTTTGGCTTAAATGTATCTTCTGAGTAGTTTATAAGTCTGAACAAAGTAGAGATGAATATAGCCCTTGGAAAAACAATCATTAAAAAAAGCTAAAAGATAAAATTAATAAAGGCAACATGTAAATTATGAATTCTTGAGGGCAAAGTTATGCAAAGCCTTGGCTGGTGTTGTGTATATATAGTATTATTGAATATATAGTTTATATTCAATAAACATTCAATGGCCTGAATTGATGACCAAATTAAAAATAAATCCTATTTGAATAATAACTTTTTCAATTAGGCAGTTTCAAAGTTATCCTGAAAAAAAAAAAAAAACTAGCCTAGCTTCTACAGACAGGACTGAAATTTTACATATTCAAACGAGTAAGAATGTATGCAGAGGGAGAGAGGTTTTGTAAGAGGATAATTTGGTCTGAGACAAGGATGCAGGTTACACTCACAAGATTTTGTTTTCTAACATTTATGGAAGCACATGTCATGTCAGTAATATGATGAGTCCAGGTAGGAAAGTAATAATAAAAAAGAAAAACATTAAAATAGCCTTTACTGAGTGAGAATAACCTATCCAAAAGTTAATGCCAAAAAAATTTCAAAAGGCAAATGTAATAAATTCACTTTCCCAGTAATCTATAGAAACTAAACTTTAGCACAGGGAAGCATGCAAACTGCAAATGAAGGAAATATTCTGTCTTCTGAGGAAACCACAAACAGAAAATACAGTTTCTTGAAAATGCAAAATAATCCATCTAGGTATCTGCCTCTCCTTCATTTTCTTTTGCTGTTTTAGATCTAAAAGCCATCAAAACCAGGTATTTTCCATCATGATACTGCTGAGAAATTTAGTGACTACTGCTATTCATATATTTTCCCTTCTGTAATTCTATGTATTTGAGCAGAAAATATAGCACAGCTCAATTCCATATGTGCAGCATCCTGAAAACTCAACAGAGAAAATCCACAAAACTACAAAGACAATAAAATTCCTTATGACAAAACATATATTCTGTGTTCCAAATAAGACTTTTGTTTAGATAGTATTTACAGTATTTTTTTTAAAAAAGATTGATTCTTGCTCTGTCAATCAAGCTGGAGTACAGTGGCATGATCACAGGTGTGTGCCACCACGTTCAGCTAATTAAAAAAATTTTTTTTTTTTTAGAGATGTGGTCTCGTTTTGTTGCCCAGGCTGGTCTTGAACTTCTGGCCTCAAGTGATACTCTTGCTTCAGACTCCCAAGTAGCTAAGATTAGAGATACAAGCGATCTGTGCCCAGATATTCACAGTGTTTTTAACATCACTTTTAAGGGAAACTACAAAGTTAGCTGGAAAGTCTACTTTTAGTCTTCTAAAGTCCACATAAAATTATAGTTAAGTTATAATTCAAAAATAAACTATTCTGGCCATTATTTGATATTTAGGTTTGGATAATCCATAGTGACAAAAAGCAGATCCCCCCATGGTACCCTGAGGAGGGAGGGGGGAAGGAGAGGCAGAAAAGAAGGATTACAAATGTAAACAAGAAAATTTGGGGGTTTGATGGGTGTGTTCACTATCCTGATTTTGTTCATTGATATGGTTTGGGTCTGTGTCCCTATGTTGGAGGTGGGGCCTGGTGGGAGGTGACTGAATCATGGGGGCAGATTTCACCCTCAGTGCTGCTCTCATGATACTGAGTGCTTGCAAGATTTGGTTGTTTAGAAGTGTGTGGCACCTCTCCCTTCTCTCTTCCTCCTGCTCCGGCCACGTAAGATGTTTCTGCTTACCCTTTGCCTTCTACCATGGTTGTTAAGTTTCCTGGGGCCTCCCCAACCATGCTTCCTGTACAGCCTGCATAACTGTGAGCCAATTAAACCTCTTTTCTTTATAAATTACTCAGTCTCAGGTATTTCTTTATAGCAGTGCGAGAATGGATGAATACAGTGATGGTTTCACAATTTATACATATGTCAAAAGTTATCAAATTTTACCACATATAACTTTGTTATATGTTAACTATACCTCTATAAAGCTGCAACAAAAAAAGGTAATTGGTATTAGGTGTTTCAGATGCTCCTTTTTGGTAGGCAACAGTTGGTAATAATTCGAAGATCTTTTGAGAGAAAATAGAAATTATTTATTGAACTTGTCCCCAGATAAAATCAGTGGAGCTCAGATTTTGAATTGTTTGAAGGTAACAGCATAACCATTATTTACTGCATATTTTTGGCTAAGTATAATTATAGGTACTCAATATCTATATATCTGTCTCAGAATTCTTATAAATATCTTAAGAATATCAATTCGGCTGAGCACGGTGGCTCACACCTGTAATCCTAGCACTTTGGGAGGCCGAGGCGGGTGGATCACCTGAGGTCAGGAGTTTGAGACCAGCCTGACCAACATGGCATGGTGGTGGGTTCCTGAAATCCCAGCTACTAGGGAGGCTGAGGCAGGAGAATTGCTAGAACCCTGGGGGCGGAGGTTGCAGTGAGCTGAGATGGCGCCACTGCACTCCAGCCTGGGCGACAGAGGGAGACTCCATCTCAAAAAACAAAACAAAACAAAACAAAAAACAAAGAAGAATATAAATTAACTTAGTCAAGACAAGACGTAGTTACTATGTATCAGGCACTGTTCTTGCACTGATCACATACTAGAAAACAAACAAAAAGATTCCTTGGTTTCATAGAATGTATATTCTGGAGACTGTTTATCTCAGAGATTCTCTCCCTTTCAATGTGTGTATGTTTGCAGCATGGAGTGGGAAGTTAGGTGATTAAAAAAGATTTATATTGTTATGAGGAACTGGCATGTCTCAATTACCTACTTTTGTTTTAGATACACAGCTATGGGTCTATGGTCACTCTATGTTGTTTCACATTCTCTCTTTCTTCAAATGGGATATCTTGTTTTCTTTCATATATATATGTGTGTGTGTATATATATATATATGTGTGTGTGTGTGTATATATATATATATATATATATATACCAGTTAGTAGAAATGTATACAGGTACTTAGGCCTCATTGAAAATAATGCATCTTACCCTGAGAACTTGGCCTTAGACATGTAAGCAATAATTGGCCAGTACCTTGGGGTACTTTCCTTTGGAGAAAGGAGAGTGCATTTTCAGCTGTGTAGGTGCCTGCACTATGTTAGGCAAAGGCACGTTTAAAACTGTATAAGTAGCAAGAGGGTATAAGTAGATATTGGGCAATAAAGATGTGAAATGTAGAGGACATGTCTTCAATCTGCTAAAAATCTCTTTGGGGAAACATTATTCCCCATTTCTCAGTCCATGTACTCTCGTCCCCATCCCAGTTTCCAGGGGTGGGAAAATGACCTAAATCTTGCAAATTACAGTATTCCTATTCCATTGCTATTGCAATTGATTGAAAGATGATCATGTGGGCCGGGCGCAGTGACTCACACCTGTAATCCCAGCACTTTGGGAGGCCAACTTGGGTGGATCACAAGGTCAGGAGTTCGAGACCATCCTGGCCAACATGGTGAAACCTCATCTCTACTAAAAATACAAAAATTAGCTGGGTGCGGTGACATGCGCCTGTAGTCCCAACTACTCAGAGGCTGAGGCAGGAGAATCGCTTGAACCCAGAGGCGGAGGTTGCAGTGAGCCAAGATCGCGCCACTGCACTCCAGCCTGGCTACAGAAAAAAAAAAAAAAAGATGATTATGTGGTCAAAGCCTGATTGGCTGGAGTCTCCTAAGAACTTTTGCTAGAGATATAAGGAAAAAAAGAGTGCTTTCTTTTTGCTTAGATTGCTAAATCTGAGGGCAACAGAAGCCTAGAGTTGCCAATGACCACTTTTTCTACAGTGTGTTCCTGTGAATGTAGCCAACAGAGAAATGCCAGGATAAGATTTACAGAGTGTCTTGGTTATATTCATCAAGTTCCTGTACCTAGCCAAGTCTCTAGACACATACACTCCTGGACTTCCTGATTTTATTTGCCAATTCTGATTTTTTTAACTTAAAACTGTTCAAACTGAGTTTCTGTCACTTGCAATGGAAAAAGACCTGACTAAAACATTGAACTATTTGCAGTTTTCTACATACATCTAGCTTCTTCACACATCTGTGCTTTTACAAATGCTGTTTCCTCTGGCTGGAATGCCCTTGCCCTCTGTTTCTACTTGATAAATCCCTACTATTTCTTCAAGTCACTGCTCAAACACCCATGTACTCCATGCCCCTGGTTCTTGCACCACGTAACTTGTTACCCACTCAAATGTAATATGATCTATGAAAACTTTCACAATCCACCTTAGTCAGAATCAGCACTGATTATTTTATATCCATACACAACTCTGTTAATATGGCTAGTTAGCATTATTCATACTATACTGTAATTAAGGGCATGTTTCTCTATTCCAATAAAATGTAAGCTCATGCAGGAAAAGGAATGTATCTGACCCATTTTTGTACCTCCAATATTTAACTTCACATGTCACTGGGAGATAATTCTTCATTGGTCCCTTGCATTTCCACACATTCTGCAAATGAGGTATTGACTTTGCATTATTCCAGTCACTCTCTTCAGAGATTTTTGCATTGCTTCCTGAAGCAAAGGGCAGGAAGGAATGCGTACTGTCCAAGATAACGAGATAATATCTCTCTGGAATACATTATCTTTTCTGACTGCCCATTATAAAAGATTTAGGCTCCTTAAACTTCAGATTCCTCTTATGTAATGCAACCTACCGCATATGCAAGTATCATCTAGCCCTCTTCTTGTCACCCTGTGGGAAGTGGGGCTCAGTGAATCAGTGCAAAAAAGTTGACACTCTGGAAAGTGCTTTTGCCAAGAGTAATAAACTATCTTTTGTCATTGTTCTAGGAGCTTGTGTCTTTTACCAGAATCATTGAAACTGTCAGGCTAAATTGTTGGCTTGCAAATGGAATAAAATCTCCGATTCTGACAATTTTGGTGATGAAGATGGGATACTGATAGAGACATAGCTTTCTGGAGGAGGAAGTATTAGGGCCTCACAGATGATTAACAGGATTTGAGAGAAGCCCATGGGAAATGGCAATGAATATGTAAACCAAATATATGGTCAACCAGGCAATAAATGGTCCTCCACTTTATTGCCTGTTTAGAGGAGGTACTGGGAGAGACAGCTTCAGGCCAAGTACAGGGAAATAAGTTCAAAGGGCAGAAAGACTTCCTCATCAATCTGGTGAACAGTTTCAGGTTTGCAACATTGTAACAACTAGTACTAAGATTCCAGCTGGGGGCAGTGGCTCACACCTGTAGTCCCAGCACTTTGGGAGGCTGAGGTGGGCAGATAGGCAGATAGCTTGACTAGCCTGGGTAACACAATGAAAACCCATCTCTACAAAAATAAAAAATAAAAAACTTAGCTGAGTGTGGTAGTGCATGCCTGTGGTCCAAGCTATTTGAGACGTTGAGGTGGGAGGACTGCTTGAGCCTGGAGGCTGCAGCTGCAGTGGCCGTGATCACGCCACTCTAGCCTGGGTGGGCAACAGAACAAGACCCTGTCTCACTAAAATAAAATAAAGTAAAATAAAATAAAATAAAATAAAAAAGAAAAGAAAAGAAAAAAAAGATTCATCCTGGGTAGGCAGAAGACTCTATCTCCTTGTAGATAATAGTTACAGAGACTCCCATCTACAATGAGTATAAAAGGATGAACATTTGTGACCAGTATGAGCAAAAACCAGGCAAAGAAATAGAACTTTGGTTGGTTCACCTGGGAGATGAGAGGGGGGTCTCATAGTTTTTCACAACACAAGAATTGCAACATTAGCCCACATTGCCTAACCACTGAATATGCTGCCTCTGACATAGCTTGAAATATAAGGTCTTATACAATTTGATGCCAACCTACTTTTACAGCCTTATTTGTCACTCTGTGCCAACACACAAAAAAACTGTATCAGCTAGCCAGTGTCACCCACTCCTGTAAATCCACCATGCATTAACCTAGGTCTCTAGGCTCTGCTTATATGGTTCACTGTGCTTGGAATGCCCTCCTCTTTTCCTGCAATTTATTAATAAACAATCTAATTCAAGGTCCATCATTTCTGTAAACCCTTCCATCTTCTCTATGAACCCTTCTCTATCCTTTCATTTTATGTTAATCTATCTCTACTAACACTGAACTATAACAACTCCTTAATTCTCACATGATGCCTTCACCATTACCTAACAGTTTACATATAGATTTCGTTCTTCCCAACTAGACTAAATTTTCCTAAATTATTGATAACATTTTATTTTTTAATATATCTTACAGTGATTACTAGGCACATATTTGCACATAGCAGAAACCTAATACTTTTTTTATTGACTGATTTAATCACACGTGCTCTTTCAGCATGACTTAAGTGACAATTAAAAACATGAAATTTCTCATCCAAATCCAAGTCATAAAAGATATCAAAGAAGTAAATTGTTTAGGCAAAGGGATTCCATTACATTCTAATCAATTAATACAGCTGGCCACAGTCTAGCTTATTCCAGTTAAGTCCACTGAAGTACTAAAAATGAAGTTTAAAAGCATGCTTTTACTTGATATAGCCAGATTTTTGAAACTCACTTCAGTCTTTGTCTCTAATGAAGACCACCCTGACGGAAAAAGAGGACCCACTGTTTGGCCACTTCTGGCACTGCTGTGATTAGTGGTCTTGATTCATTTTTGTCATAAACAATTGGCTCCATATACCAAGTACATCATCCAAAATTCAAATATTTGGCAATCTCTGTAGCCCAGGGGGCTTAATAGCTGAATCAACAAACATTCCAACCATCCTGCTACCATATAAGAAGGTGCTCTGCTGCCAGAACTGAGAGGATACATGGGATTAGTGCTCAAAACTGATATGACTATGCTTAAAGAAATAGAAATGATTCCTGTAGAGCATTTTCCATATGTTTTTATTAAAAGCAGACAAAAACCAGTATGGAAAAAATAAATCTATGTATTAAGGCAAGTGATGTTTTATCTTGGAACACCTCTAATATTTACAATTCCATGAAAAGCTAAATGCACTGATCTTTTCACTTCATTGTTACAGCATATGCAAGTATCATCACTGTCACATTGCCTAGAATAAGTAAAACATTAAGAAGAGAAAAAAATCTTTGAAGTGGTTTGAAGTCACATTTGCTCAGCTGGTCTTTAATGATGAACAGTTCTCTTCAATGCCAATGGCAAATAGCATTTACAACAAAAACTTCAGAGTACTTTGCTTTCACCAACTCTTATGAAGATTTGAGTTTCCTAACTAGAAGTCACTAGCAAGAAATGGTGGCCAGTCCTGTCCTGCCTTTTTAGTTGAGTAGATGACCATTTGCATGGTATGGTTAAGTTGAGAGGTATGAAAGTTTCTAGTCATCCATAAGTTTTTCCCTGCTCACTAAATGACACCCTAAATTCTTTGATTAATGACATTTTGCATTAGTTTCAGGTTTCTGTTCATTGCTGAAATGTAAATATCCTTGAAAGAGGAATACATTGCAGTTAGCTCATAATCATTTACTGCTGGGACTGAAATATATTTATCAGGTCTTTCCATGAAAACAGGCTTTGATGGGAAGGGCAAATTATAGGGGAAAAAAAAGAGCACACCGATTGTTTGAGATGGAAAAGAACTCATGCCCAAGGGAGGAAATATATATACACACACACACAAAGGAGAGACTAAGAGCCTCAGGAAAAAAAGTTCTTCAACAATTTACAACTTTCTCTGAGGACTGCACTGATTCTAGACTTTCAAGGGATGACCTGATTTTTAAGTTTTAATTTTATCAAACCTAATCAAACCTGATGTCTGGGAAAAAAGACAGACAGAGACAGTAGAGGCTTTGACACGGAATGATAATTGAATATTGACTTCTTGACTATAAGCTCCTGAAGTCAGGACCTAATCTTATTCACCTCTGCACTTTTTTTCTTAGTAATTGACATATATAATAGATATCCCCAAAGATCTGTTGAAAATGAATAATAAGAATTGGATTGTCTAAAGAGGAGCATAAAAGGCAGAGATATTCCCATAGGTGGATCTTTGGGTTCTGATGATCAGCCAATCACTTACATCTCTATGACTGTCAGTCACATTGTGTGTGGGGGGATGTCATAGATTAGTGCCACCATTAAAAACCTAAAAGATTTAGGGGTGGTGGTCCCTATTACAGCATCGCTGAATTCACCAGGCGCACCCCTGCGGAGATCGCATAGATTCTGGAGGGTGACTGTAGACTACCACAGCCCCAGTTACAGCTGCTTTGTCAGATGTAGTATCATTGCTAGAGAAGATTACTAAGTCTTCCCATAAATGGTATATAGTCACCAATTAAGCAAATGTAACTTTTTCCTTTAAAATTAAAAAAGATAATAAAAAACTAGTTTGCATTCATGTAGGATGGACAATAGTCACTTACAGTTTTCCTGTGTTCTCCTGCCTCTGTCATATGATACAGGTTCAGTCTGAAGAGATCTGAACCTTCAGTGAATACCACAGAACATCACCCCAATCCACTACATACGTGATGTCATGCTGATTGAACAAGATGAGCAAGAGATGGCTAGTACAATAGAGAATTTGGCAAGACACATGCACTCAAGATGGTAGGATATACACCCTTCAAAGATTCATAAGCTGGCCAATTTTCTGAAGATTTAGGATCCCAGTGGTTAGGGATATACTTGAATAGCCCCTCTAAGGCAAGAGCAAATTGAGAGTCTTACATACTCCACCACAAAAAAAGGAAAGGCACACCTTTTGGGGTCTAAGGAGCAAACCATTCTATACCTAGGAATACTACTCTAGCCCATATACCAGGTGACACTGTAGGCTGCTAGCTTTGAGCAGCACCCAAAACAGGAAAGGGCAACATCATAAGTCTAGGACATGGTACAATCAGTCCCGCCACTTGCATATTTAATCCAGAAGACCCTTTAGTATTGGAGGTATTATGGTGGGAGAAGATGCAGTATGGAGCCTATGGCAGTTTGCAGTGAGAGAAACAAATGCTGCCTCTGGAATTCTGGAGTAAGGCCATGTCATCTGAAGCAGAAAATACTATGCTTTTTGAGAAACAGTTTTTGGTGTTACTGGAACCTGGTAAAGGAAGGACACTTGACTATGGGACATTAAGTAACCACACACTTAGAACTTGCCATTATGTCCTGGGTTCTGTCAGGCTGCCAAGACATAAATTCAGATGGGCACTAGCAGCAATCCATTATACTGGAGAAATGTTATATACAGAATTGAACCCAAGTGGGACCGGGGGAACAAGTAAGCTGCATTAATAGGTAGCCCAAACCCCAATGTCACCTTCACACTCACTGCAGTTACCTTCTCCTAGCTTATAACTACAGGAATATGTGTTAGGGTGAGAAAATAGCTCCCATATGACTAGCTGGAGGAGGAGAAAAAGCTTCAGCTTGATTTATGGTTGGGTCAGCTTGGTAGGCAGTTCTAGCTGAAAATGGATAGCAACAGCAAAAAAGGTACACTTATGCATACTCTGAATAACAACAGAGAAGAAAAAAGTCATCCTAAGGGGTAGATCTGTGAGCAGTGTACCAGCTCATCATCTTTTGTGTGGCAAGAGAAGTGACCTGAAGTGAGGATATATAGATTCCTCGGCAGTAATCAATGGCATGGCTATCTGGTCAGGGGCCTGGGAGGAAAAAAAAATAGAGGAAGAGAGATCTGAGACAGAGTCACATGACTAGACACATGGGATTAGGCAAAGAGTATAAAGAGTTCGCCCTCACACATTAATGCCCACCAGGAAGCATATACCATGAAGGAGGTTATAAAAAACCAAGTAGACAAAATGACTTGGCCAGTTGACATTAGCCAGCCTTCATCTTTGGTCACTCCCAGATTGGCATGAGTATCAAATGAATGGAGAAGACATGGTAGTAGAGACAGAAGTTATGTATGAGCCCAACAGCATGTACTATCACTTACCAAGGATGTTCCAGCTTCTGCTGCCTCTGAAAGTTCCATTTGTCAGCAAAAAAAGACCAACAAAGTCCACATTATGTCACCATTCCACGAAGAAGGCAACCAGCTACTCGGTGGCAAATTTCTTACATTGGGCACCTTCCAACCTGGAAGTATCAGCAGTTCATCATCACAGAGACAGATATTTATTTGGGTAAGAGTTTGCCTTTCTTGTCTCTAAAGTTCTACTAGCACTACTATCTAGAGGCTTACAGAATGCCTGATCCACAGACATGAAACCTCACAGAACACAGCATCCAAAAATGGAGACCCTCTTTACATTGAAGGAGGGGCAAGGAGTAGGCCCATGATGTAATCCATTAGTTTTAATCCTGCCCAATCTAGAAGCATCCAGCCTCACATAACATTGGAATTTCCTTCTAAAGTTATAATTGATGTGCCAGTTAAAAGAAAATAATGTGAAAAAATGGTGTACTACCCTTTAGAACACAGTGGATTTGTTAAATCACTGACCCATATGGAGTTTTGTCCCAAATAGGATGAACATTTGGGTCTAAAGACCAAGGGGTGGAAGCAGGTATGGTCCTATTTACCATCACTCCCAATGACACACTGTATTCTGTGCTTCCTTCACCACACCCTGAACTCTACAGGGCTGAAGATCTTGTTACCCAAAGTGGGGGGTCTCTCTTGACAGAAGACACAACAAAGGTCTTAATAAACTAAAAATTATGACTGCTACCAGAGCACTTTGGACTTTTTGTCACCAGGTCTGAACAAATAAAAAGAGAAGTCACCACACTGGCATGACTAATTGACCCTGATAAACAGAAGGAAGCAAGACTGCTTCAATCCAATAAAGGCAGGAAGGAATATATGTGAAACTCAGGTGATACACTGGGCACCTTCTTGTACTCCTGTCAAACATACATGCTCTTCAGCAATGAAGGTTTAGGTTGTACTACCAGATAAGCTACCAAGATCTGCTGAGGTGATAGCTGAGGGTGAGGGGAATGTAAAATGGACAGTGAAAGAGTGAGAAAAGTACCAGTTGTGGCTCTGAGAACAACTGGATTGACAGAGGCCACAGTTCATCCTATTAACACAGTCAGATCACGTAAAACAAAAATAAGTTAAGATACAGCAAATCTAAATAACATAATCAATAAGGAAGGGCAAATCACTACATACCAAACTTTGCACCTGATAATAAGAATATACCATCTTGTCAAGAAGACATTGAACATTCACAAAAGGTGAACATATATTAGGTAAAAAAGAAAAAGATCAGTAAGCTCCATAAAGTAAAAAAAAAAAAGTCTCTGATCACCATGCAATGAAACCAGAAATTATTAACAAAATCAAAACTGAAAAAGCTCTCCCACTTGAAAATTTAAAAATTGCCTATTTAAATAATTATTGGGTGAGAAGGGATATACAAATTGAAATGACAAAATACCAAAAAGTAATTTTAATAAACATACTCCATATGGAGTCTACTGAACACATTTAAAGTAATGATCAGAGAAGAAATAACAGACCTTAATAATTTTATGAATAAAAATAAAAGAATAAAAAGAAATTAGAAAAGGAACAAAGCAAGAATATCCCCTCTTATGACTCCTTGTCAACATTATACTGGAAGTCCTAGATAATGCAATATGACAAGAAAAAGAAAAACCATACAGATTGAGAACAAAAATATAAAGCTGCCTTTGTCACAGATGACATGATTGGCTATGCAGAAAAGCAGAAAAAAATGAACAAAATCCTCCTGGAATGAATAAGCAGTTATAGCAAGGTTGTAGGATACAAGGTTAATATACAAAAGTTAACTGACTTCTTGTATACCAAGAACAAACTAATGAAATTTGAAATTAAAAACACAATACAGCACCAACTGTATTAGTTGGTTATTAGCACCAACTAATACTTAGTTATGAACCTAAGAAAATAAGTACAAAATTTATATGAGGAAAACTATAAAATTATGATCAAAGAAATAAAAAAGAAGTAAATTCTTCCCAATGTGATCTATAGATTCAATGCAATACCAAACAAAATCCCATAAGTTATTTGTGGATACTGACAAACAGATTCTAAACTTTATACAGAGAGGCAAAAGACCCAAAACAGCCAACCCAACTTGAAAGAGGACAGAGTTGGAGGACTGATACTACTGGACCTCAAGACTTACTATAAAGCTACAATATTCGAGACAGTGTGGTAATGAAGAAAAAAACAGATAAGTAGATGAGCGGAACAGAATAGAGAACCCAGAAATAGACCCACATAAATACAGTCACCTGATCTTTGACAAAGGAGCGAAGGCAGTACAATGGAGCAAAGATAGTCTTTTCAACAAACGGTGCTGAAATAACTGGACATCTACATGCAAAAAAGAAATGAATTTAGACACAGACCTTACACCTGTCACAAAAATTAACTCAAAATAGATCACAGACCTAATGTAAAATGCAATATTATAAAATCCTAGCAGATAATACAGGAGAAAATCTAGATGACCTTGGGTATGTTGTTTTTAGAAACAACACAAAAGACACAATCCATACTGAACTTCATTAAAATTTAAAACTTCTGCCCTGCAGAAAACAATGTCAAGAGAATAAGAAGACAAACCACAGACGGGAAGAAAATATTTGCAAAAGGCACATCTGATAAAGAACTGTTACCCCAAATATACAAAGAACTCTGAAAACTCAACAATTAAAAAAAACATTAAAAAAAGGCCAAAGACCTTAACAAACACCTCACCAAGGAAGATATACAGATGGTAAATAAGCATATGAACAGATGCTCCACATTATATGTCATTAGGGAACTGCAAATTAAAACAACAATGTGGGCTGGTTCTGGTTGCTCATGACTTTAATCCCAGCACTTTGGGAGGCCAAGGTGTGATGATTGCTTCAGCCCAGGAGTTTGAGACCAGCCTGGGCAACATAGTGAGACCTTGTCTCTACAAATAATAATAATAATAATAGCTGGGCACAGTGGCACATGGCTGTGGTCCTCCCTACTCAGGCGGCTGAGGTGGGAGGATCACTTGAGCCCAGGAGGTTGAGGCGACAGTGAGCCATGGTCACTCTACTGAACTCCGGCCTGAGTGACATAGTGAAACTGTCTCAAAACAAACAAACAAACAAACAAACCCACCACCACCACCACCACCACCAAAACCCAGTGTGGTGCCACTGCACACTCACTAAAATGGCCAAAATCCAGAACACTGACACCAAATGCTGGTGAGGATGTGGAGCAAAAGGAACTCTTATTCATTGCCAGTTGGAATGCAAAATGGCACAGCCACTTTGGAAGACGGAGTTTATTACAAAACTAAACATACTTTTACTGTGTGATCCAGAAGCCACATTCCTTAATTCTACCCAAAGGAGTTGAAAATTTATGTCCACACAAAACCCTGCACATGACTATTTACAGCAGCTTCATAACTGCCAAAACCTGGAAGCAACTAAGATGTCCTTTAGTCGGTGAATGGATAAACTGTGGTATATCCAGACAACAGAATATTATTCAGTGCTAAAAAGAAATGAGCTATGAAGCCATGAAAAAACATGGAGGAACCTTAATTGCATATTAATATGTAAAAGAAGTCAATCTAAAAAGGCTACATACTGTACGATTCCAACTGCCTGACATTCTGGAAAAGGCAAAATTATGAAGACAGTAAAAAGATCAGTGCCCATAGGTTGCTGAGGGCAGGGAAGAGGAGGGATGAACGGGCAGAGCACAAAGGATTTTTAGGGCAGTAAAAATACTCTGTATAATAATATAATGGTAGATCATTATATATTTTTCCAAACCCATAGAAAGTACAACTTCAAGAGTGAACACTAACACTAATGTAAACTATGGACCTTGGGTGATAGTTATGATGTGTCAATGTAGGTTCATCAATTGTAACAAATGTGCCACTCTTGTAGAGGATAATAGGATCACTACAATCAAGTAGAATATATTTCAAGAATGCAAGTTGAGACAATAAAAAATCCATTAATATACCATACACATAGATCCAAACAGAAAAAATACATAATTATCTCCATACATGTAGGAAATATAAAACCTTTAATCAAGTATATATATTTGACAAAATATAATAATGATCCCTGATTTAAAACATTCAAGAAAATATTAATGGATATTTCTTTCTTTTTTTTCAGGGTCTTGCTCTGTGGCCCAGGCTGGAGTGCAGTGGTGTAACCTCGGCTCACCAAAACTTCTGCCTCCTGGGCTCAAGTGTTCCTCCCACCTCAGCCTCCTGAGGAGCTGGGACTATAAATGCACACCACCATGCCAGGCTAATTTTTGTGTCTTTTTTGTAGAGATGGTGTTTTGCCATGCTGCCCAGGCCAGTATTGAACTCCTGGGCTCAAGCAATCCCCGGCCTATTTCTTTAATGTAATAAAATATGAATATTTTAATCTTCATGCCAGCATTTACTTCATGAGGAATCACTATAATGTTTCCACTAACACCAGGAACAGAGCAAGGATGCTCACCACTTCTTTAACATTGTACTAGGGGTATTACAATACAATTAGCCATGAGAATTAACTTAAAGGTTTAAGAAGTGGGAAAGAAGAACTAAAATGATCTCTATTTGAAAATTACATGATAGCATGTCTAGAAAACTCTGGAAAATCAATGGCAAAACGAACTAAAAAAAAAGAAACCATTAAGGTAACCAGATATAAAATTAACATTGAAAAATCAACAGTCTTTGGACACATAAACAAAAATCTATTAGAGAATATAATGGCAGACAAAACCCCTTTTACTATAACAACAAAAAAATAAAATGCTTAAGAAAAAAATTTAACAAAAAATGTGCAAAACCTAAGGAATGTTAACACAAAAATAGATCTGAACAAATGAAAGACAACCGTTGTTGTTGAAAAGACTGAGTCAACATCATAAATATCCCAGGGCTCTCTTAATTTATAAGTGTAAGTTGAAGCCAAGAAAAATACTAACAATATTTTTTAATGAAGCTAGATAGATTGATGTTAAGGTTTATATGGAAAAACAAGAATGCAAATGTAGCCAGGAAAACACTGAAAAAAGCTCAGAGGACTTAAAACCTTTCCAGACATCTCAACACACCATAAAGTTTCTATCATTAGAACAAGGTAGGACTTGTGCATGAACAGACAACCACTCAGATGGAATAGAAAATAAAGTACAGACATAGATCCAAGAAGTAGAAATTTAGTACAATCATGTGTCACTTAATGATGGGTATTTGTTCTGAGAAACATTTTGTCAGGCAATTTTGTCATTGTGTGAACATCATAGAGTATACTTCCACAGACCTAGATAGTATAGTCTACTACAAACCTAAGCTATATGGTATAGCCTATTGCTTCTAGGCTACAAACCTGTACAGTATGTTACTGTACTAAATACTGTAGGCAATTGTAACACATTGGTATTTGTGTATCTAAATCTATATAAACATAGAAATGGTACAGTAAAAATGTAGTATAAAAGATAAAAAATGGTACATCTGTATAGGGCACTTACCATGACTGGGGCCAACAGGATCAGAAGTTGCTCTGAGTGAGTTAGTAAGTCAGTAGTGAGTGAATGTGAAGGCCTAGGGCATTACTGTACACTTTTATATGACTGACAACACAGTAGGTTTGTTTACAACAGCATCACCACAAAACATGTGAGTAATGATGTTATGAAGGCATTATATGACATCACCAGGTGATACAAATTTTTCAGTTCTGTTATAATCTTATGGGACTAGGGTTTTATATGAGGCCCATCGTTGACCAAAACAATGCATGCAGTGTGTGACTGTGTATGATATAGGTAGCATAGTTTAAAATAAACTATGATACTGAAGCAAAGACAGATTGTTTAACGAATGATTCTGAGAAAACTGATTAGCCATTTAGAAAAATGTGAAATGAAATACATAAATCACAACATTCACACACACAAAAAAAACTTTTAATGTATCAGAGACCTAAATATAAAAAAGGAAACTAGTCAAGAATCAGAAGAAAACATAGGTGATTTCTTTAAAATCTGGATATAGGAAAAGGTTCTCTAATGATGACTCAAAATCCAAATTCCCTAAAAGACTGACAAATTTGGCTATGTAAAATTGTAAAGCTGCTTTCTGTCAAAAAACACTACAAACAAAGTCAAAAGACAAGTGACAAATTGGGAAAAAATACTTGTAATAGTTATCAAAGGTAAAGGGCTAATTTCCCTAATACCCAAATAATTCTTAAACATTTAGAGTAAAATGACCAAATACCTAGTAGAAAAATGGGCAAAAAACATAAACAGACTTTTGCAAGAAAGATTATAAAACAGTCCTCAAACAAAAAAAAGATGTTCAGTGTCACTTATAGTGAGAAAAATGTCATAATTAGAGAAATGTTGATTGGAATGCAATTCTTTCAGAGAGGAATTTGGCAATATCTAACAATATCTTCTTTCGACATAGCAATCCAATTCTAGCAATTCACCATGAAGATACACCTCCAACCGTATAGAAATACATAAGAAGCACAAGTTTATTCACTGCAGGAGTGTTTTTCATTGCAAAATGCTGGAAACAAACTAAATTTCCATATGTAGGAGAATGATTGAATAAACTGATACATCCACACAATGAAGTACTATGAAGCTACAAAATTACATAAAGAGCTCCATGAATTGATATGATTTCCAGGATATATTTTTAAATAAAAAAAGCAGAGTGTCAAAAAGTATCTGTGGTATGTAACCTTTTATGTAATAAAAAAGTGTAAGAAAATACACATACATCTGCCCCTTAAACAAGCAAAACATACACACATACACAACTCACAAGAAAGATACACCAGAAACTACTGAGATTGGATACCTCAGGGGGCAGGTGAGAACACTGAAAAAGAATAAGAGGATGAGGACAGGACAGAAAGGTAGGGAGGGTAGTACACTTATCTAACTTTGTCCTATATAGCTTTGCCCTGTAGAATAATTTCTCTAACTTTTCTGGAAGAAAGTACAGTTAAAATTAAAGTTTAATATAATTATACTTTTAATATGAGTTTCCTTACATGGTTTTAAAGAAAAAAAATATGAATTATTTTTCTGCACCTTGTAGTTATCCATGAATAAACTCAGCTTAACCACTGATTACACTACTCTAAAGTGGTAACGGTGGTGGCTACTGAGGAAGGCTTAACCTCTGATTTTAGCCTTATAGAATTTAACCTAATTACTCGGTGGAAATAATAATGATTAATAAATACAATTGCAAGATATTTTATGACTGTAAAATATCAACATGTATAATTAGTTCACTGGGCTAACTCAGATTATTTTTTCTGTCTGTGAGACTATCTTCTAAGTTACCTGCCCTTCTCCTACTCTTATCTCAGGCTCCTTCATATGCTCTTGGTACTATAAAACTTGTGCTTTTGAATCACATTCACCCTGTACTGCAAAGGCAATCCAGCTCTCCTTCTCTGTTCCAGCTCCTGTGCAAATTAAATGTCAATGGAAAAAATCCATAGCAAAGCTTATTAGTGTCTTTCTTTTATCACTTTGTTTTTAAAAACATTTATAGAATGCTATCTCTGTGCCACGCTTTGCTGCAGTAAATAGTAGTAATAATTTTCCCAGGCTGCTAAAACAGAATCAGATGATAATTTCCATGCAGAGAACAAGGAGAATGTTCTGACTTCTTTTGTGATCTTATACCTTACTGGGTTGAAAGCACTCTCATTCTATTGGATAAAGGTTCTGCTGCCATAAAGAACAGAAAAATAAGATGTGGTTCTTTATTATTGCTGTTAATCACCTGTGGAGCAACCCCCAATGATTCTGATTCAACATTTTTGAGATTGGCCCTGGCAATCTGTGTGTGTTTTTTCTTTTTAGTAGAGACAAAGCCTCACTATGTTGCTCCAGGCTGGTCTTGAACTCCTAGGCTCAAGCAATCTTCTCATTGTAGCCACCCAAAGTGCTGGGATTACAAGCATAAGCCACCATGCCCAGCCTTAAAAATAAAAAAAATAAATAAAAATAAATTTAAAAAAAGTTCTACAGGTGATAGTGATGCCCAGTAAAGGTTAATAAATCACTTTCTATAGCTGGCAGTTTTATTATCAAAAACTAAAATTACTATTCATTCAAATAAGTTCTCTGCTTAGATAAGTAAAATAATCTCCTTAAATCATTGCCCTACTGGCCAGGTGCGGTGGCTCACCCCTGTAATCCCAGCACTTTGGGAGGCCGAGGTGGGCAGATCACGAGGTCAGGAGATCAAGACTATCCCGGCTAACACAGTGAAATCCCATCTCAACTAAAAATACAAAAAATAAGCCTGGTGTGGTGGCATGCGCCTGTAATCCCAGCTACCTGGGAGGCTGAGGCAGGAGAATTGCTTGAACCCAGGAGGCGGAGGTTGCAGTGAGCCGAGGTTGCACCACTGCACTCCAGCCTGGGCAACAGAGTGAGACTCTGTCTCAAAAAATAAAATAAAATAGAAATAAAAAATCATGTCCCTACTTTCAGCACTGTTTCTCCCCACAGTCTTATGTTCACACAGCAGCCAGAGTAACCTTTGAAAAGCATAAATCAGATCAGATCATGCCTCTGCCCTATTTAAAGCCTCTCATGGCTTCCTGCTGCACTTAGAACCAAATCCAAACTTCTCACTATCCTCTATGAGGGCATACATGATATATCTCCTGCCTACTTTTCCAACTTCATTGTATACCACTTTCCTCTTCATTCATTCTGCTCACTCCAGTTACATTGGCATTCTTTCTGATCTTGAACTGGCCAGGCTTTTCTGCCTTAGGTCTAGACAATGTGTCCTGTCTTCAATTATGGTGGTGGTGGTGGTGGCAGCTAATACATACTGAACATTTCCTATTAACTACATGCTGAAGTGTTTTACATGTATTAATGTGTGTAATAAAACAACTTTATGAGGTTGGTACTATTAATATTTCTGTTTTACAGATGAGGAAAGGCCCAGGGAATTGAAGTAATTTGCTCAAGGTACTCAGACTAACTCCTCAATTCTCACTCAGAAGATGTTAACCCCAAAATTCTGTAATTTTCAGATATTAACTTAAACCTTTTATCACCCAGTTATTAACAAAAGCTATCATAGAAGTATATATGTAGGTCTCATCATTTTGGCCCCTAATAGAATTACTTTCACTGAATTATGCTTTCACATTGTAACATCCATCTATACTGAATAGTGGAAATGACACAATACAATGAATTGCTACCCTCCTTTTGAATAATTAATATGTTCTAACCCAAAAGAAAGGAGAATCATATAACTGATCATGTGTCATCCTTTTGGCAGTGGGAAGATCGTATTCAAATCTGAAATCCCCTTACAACAAAATGTACAGAGCTTTGTGACTATATTTCAGGCAAAAGCCTCTTACATTTCAAACTAACCAAAAACTGGGCCAGACATGGTGGCTCATGCCTATAATCCCAGCATTTTGGGAGGCCAAGGCAGGTGGATCACCTGAGGTCAGGAGTTTGAGACCAGCTTAGTCAACATGGCAAAACCCCGTCTCTACTAAAAATACAAAAATTAGCCAGGTGTGGTGGCAGGCACCTGTAATCCCAGCTACTTGGGAGGCTGAGGCAGGAGAATCGCTTCAACCTGGGAGGCAGAGGTTGCAATGAGCCCAGACGGCACCACTGCATTCCAGCCTGGGCGAGAGAGTGAAACTGTGTCTCAAAAAAACATAAACAAAAACAAACAAAAAACCTTATCCAAAAATTACCTTAACCAACAACTCAGAAATTATTTTATTAGTCCGCAGTCACTCTCTCACTTACTTTTCAAAGAACTCCTGCAGCTCCTTTCTCCTGCACAGTCCCCTTACTCTTGAGATTTAGTTTCAAGACTAAGAAAACAGAGACTATCCTATCTGACCTCTTTCAACTTCTTTCTTCTTTTGAAACAAATCCCTACAGTTATGCTGTGTATAACTCATTTATTTTTTACCTTCCTTGCTTTCAAGAGAAATGAATTTGTATATAAGTTGTCCTCTAAATGTTGCTTCAGCTGCAACACTCAAGTTTTTATACTGATTCGTTCTCATTCACTTCTAAATATTTTCTAATTTCCATTGTGATATTTCTTCTCTCCAGACCATAAGTTACTAAGGAATGTATTTTTCAGTTACCAAAATTTATTTTACTGACTTTTTATTATCAACTTAAAACTTAACTGCACTGTAGACAAAGACTGTAGACTTCTAGGGGTGAGTTTCCAGGTGTAGTATTTTTAAACTTTGTTTTAATTCATCTGTTACATTGCTTCATCTAATACCTTTATGCAGATGATTATATAAATATGTATCTCTAGTCTACTTTTCTGAGCTTTAGGCCTACAGTTTTAAGACTCTTATTAGACTAATTTTCTATTTCTCCTAAAGGCCTTTGAACCCTAACAGATTCAAAGCCAAAACATTATTTCCTGCCACTCTGAATCTCTTCCTTCTCCTCCTCCTCCTTTTCCTATTTTCTATTTTTGGAATGATGATCCACATTCTACCCAACTTTTCAAGCAAAAAGTGTTCAAATTGCCTTTTATTCCTCTCTCTTACAATTGGAATGAACTGTTTTATGTATTGTGAATTATATTTTCTAGTTCTCTCTTTAAGCTATCCTTTCCTTTCTATTGTCACAGGACCTCATCATCAATCCCCTGCTCTGCTGCACCATCCTTCTAAATAACCTTTAGTTCATCTCCTTGGCACTCCTCCTTCCCTTCTTCTCTTTTATCCTTCCCCCTGCTGCTTTGCATAAAGCACAACTCTGATAATTCCTTTCTCTTGCTTAAATATCTTTGGTTAACGCATACAGGATAAAGTCTGAATTTAGCACAATGCATAAGACCCTTTACCTGAGTAAAATTCATCCACTATACAAGCAGAAAGTTTTCAGGCTTGGTTTGCTACCAAATATACTATTTAAAATTCTTGGACCTGCAAGTTTATTAAAAGCCTAATGTTGACAAGGATTTGGATAAAAGTGTTGTCTCACATATAGTTGCCTATGTACTATATTTTTATGATCAAGAAAAAGTTATGCTCCTTGAATTAGGCCCCATTTCCCAAAACAATCTAGCATCAGTTCTTGACAGAGTACAGGTTACATTTTTAGCCCCATGAAAAAACTTAATACAGGTGAAGAGGAAGGATTGGTACTCTGAAAATGCTGGGGCTCAGGACCTTATATTAGTGGTGCTAAAATCAGAGATAATGAGATAATGTTTTCAGTGTTGATGGATATTATGAAATTTTAAAGGGAAGAGAGAAATAAATAAACATCTTTAGAAGACCAAGTAGTAAGTGAAAACATGGCGCATGCATCCTTTAACCAAGCTTTATGAGAAAGAAGAAAAATGACTCAAAACCATACTTATAGCAAGGAGGTAACATAGCCATTTCTAGTGTACATATCACCTGTAACTGCAGTAATAATAGGACAATACAGTCATAATAATAACCTTTAAAGATAATGAAAATTAAAATAGATTCTGTATCCTCAGTATGACAAGGCAGTAAATACTATTCATTCCAGGAAAGCTTTCATTAAAAATGATTAAAATAAAAATTGTAGGCTCATATGGAGAAGCTTATACTAATCTGAAGTTTTAATTACTCAATTTCCTTCCTATCAGAATGCTGAGATCAATATACTACTGTATTTTACTTCCTATTACCTCTCTATTGGTAAAACTAGCTACAATGAAGTTTTGAAGACTCTACTTTTTCTTTTTTTTTTTTTTTTTTGGAGACGGGGTCTCATTTTGTCACCCAGGCTGAAGTGCAGTGGTGCCACCCCAGGCTCAAGTGATCATCCTACCTCAGCCTCCCGAGTAGCTGGGACTACAGGTGTGAGCCACCATGCCTGGCTAACTTTTAAAACATTTTTTCTTTTTTTTTTTTAGCAACAGGGTCTCACTATGTTGCTAGGGCTGGTCTAGAACTCCTGGACTCAAGGCGATCCTCTCACATCAGCCTCCCAAAGTGCTGGGATTGCACCATGCCCAGCCTGCTTTTTAGATTTTTGAACTGTCAATACCCAATGTGTTTTGAAATCATACAGTAAGTAAGAATAGGCATTTTCTAAAGAAATCAGCCAACCTTGAAGGACAGCTGTGAAGTAAGAAGTAGATCTTATGGTTTACAAAGAGAGGGAGACAGCATCAGTACAGCAGTAGTCTTAGAAACTCTGCCTACTACTCTGACACTATGACATTATTGCTCTAACTTATTTATTCTGATGCCAATTATTTTCTCAGCCTTCTGCTGAATCTATGACTCTAAATTAAATATGTATGTACACTGATATGTGTGTGCTTGCGTGTATGTGTGTGTGTGTAGGCACACACAGGCACACACATATCAATATGGGCATATATTTTTGAAACTAGAGTGAGCTTCAGAAGTTTCATCTCCATGTAGTATATCTTTGACTCATAGGTCTGACTCATAGTAGGATTTTTTAAAATCCAAATGTTTTATCTCAGAAGCTTATGTTCTATATAGACTTTTAGAAAAGAAGGCCACTGTATATCAACCATTAAACCAAAGTCAAAAATTTTAAAGTATATACAAACAAATTTGATATATGTACTACAGACTTAATTGTATTTATTTTAGAATACTGTATGAGATTTAAATGATATATGGATATAGCAATAATTGGAAACATTTTGCATTAATAATTCAGTGGAGTTTCTTTCCTGAAATTTGGTTCCAAGCCTCAAGTACTTGTTATTAATAGCTGTGCAGAACAAATAAATCAGCTGTGATCCTAATCAGTGTGAAAATGTGGCTAATGCACTTTTCTGTTTCCCTAGGATCCCTGTTGCATACCTCGTGACATAACAGAAAAAATGTAGTCCAAACTATTTACGGAGATCTAAACTTTAAAGAGGATCTTTCTTAAGCTTGCTATGTTGAAACATGTTTTATCAAACAAGTTTAATTTCCACCATTTTGTTTCAAATTTATTAACTTTCCACCAATATTTTACCTCTGGTCCTGGAGGGCCAGATGGTCCTTGGAGTCCTGGGTCACCTGTTTGGCCCTAAAATGGGGGGGGAGGATCAAAGTATAAACATAAACTTAATAAACACAATTAAAAGAAGAAACAGGCATATGGTAAACAAATAGCAGTCAGTCATTATATTATCATGTCAAACAAGGTTGTAATGACTTTTTAGAAAAATTTGTAACCATCATTACTGTAAAAGTTTTTAAATAAGATGTTTATGGGTTTAATATACATTCACTCAAGTGTTAAGTGATACAAACAAATTAATGAGTCAAGTGCTCAAATCAAGAAAAGAATTGTATGTTTATATGTGTTTCACAGAGATAAGACAATAAAGCTGGACTCAACAAGATAGGGAATTCTAGAGGAGAAACTGCTTTTATAAATAACCACAGTCCCAGGGCTGTCTCTGAAAATTCCTCTCTCCTTTGATACTGTAAGTGGCCTGAATTAGTAATTAAGACTCACCTGGATTGAAATCCTTGTTGCTTAATCTCTCTAAGCCTCAGTTTTCTCATCAATAAAATAGAAATAATAATTATAGTACTAACATTCTCAAAGAGTCATTGGAGAGTTAAATTAGATAATATATGTAAAGTGCTAAGCACAATGTCTGACATATGAAGTACTCATTAAATGTCAACCAATTTTACAATCATTATTCCTTCTCTTCACACCCTTTCTGCTTTCCTGGCTCACACATAGAATTCCTAGACTGTTTTCATCCTTTAATTGAAGTTTTAAGGATTCAGTTTCAGTATCTCTGAAGCTAGTTTCTGACATTCATGATAAAGATGTGAAATCAGGGTTAAAGGAGAAAGTGACAGGAAAGAGAAGTAGGTATAAAGCCTGAAACTAGAGAAGGCTAGCAATGCTCTCGAGAGATGAAAGTTTGGAAAGGGAGGACAGTAGTCTGATATATCCATTTTCATAAGAAAAACTATTGCATTCATTATTTCTGTCATATTAAGTTTCTATATGAGCTTCAAATTTAATTTAAATAAGCCTCAGATCACCTAAACTTGCAAGTTACAATACGGGATTGCCCATTTTCCAAAACCTAAAGCACAGTTTCCAATATGCACTTAATTCATTCTCAGTGCTGAGGTATCTGGACATAAAACAGGACACCATAAACTACTGCAATCAAATCCAGAGAAAGGCAGTGAAATATTATGGAAAGGCTCATTTAAGTTTCCCTTTCCAAATAAACAAAAACAAAATCTGTGATCCATCAGAATCAGTATACTGAAGTTCTTAAAATGACAAGCATCTCTCTTTAAAGAGATAGAGAAAGGGGCGAGGGGCTCTCATTGGAGCCCTCTAGTGGCAAAATCCAACCACAAAGCTAAATTTCTAAGCAGTGAGGATAAAATAGCAATACCCTAGGGCTTTGTTTTCAGAAAAGCTGATTGACAATCACATATTTAAAAACAGAAATTGTGTAATGATTTTATTTGATCTTCAGAATAATTCTTTGTTTTGTAAAATTTTGATTGCAAATTTCCTATGAATGTCAATTTTTCTTTATAAAAGCTGACATTTTAAGTAACTTATAGATAACTAATATTAAATAAACCTCTACAAATGACAAAAATCCCTAGCTAAAAAATGGATAGGGCATAACAATTGTGTTTGTTTTCTTGGTCTAAAGGAAAGTGTATTTACGAACAACCTCAGAGTGGTAGTTTTCTCTATTTTTTTTTAAAATACTTGTAGAGCAAAAGCTTCCCTATTCAAGAACTGTAACAACTTTCCAAATCAGGACATTCCTTCTTATATCTTGAAAATATTATTTCATGTTACAACTTAGATCTACTTGGAAACAATATTAGTTAGTAACACCAACCTCTTAGGTAACAGAAAATTAAAAGTAGGATCTATAAAATAGGGAAGACATCCTTATGATGTTGGCATTCTTTCCACGACAGTAAACAAACATTTTAGATAGGCATTAACTTATATAATTGAATGTGGGAGTTTGTTTCTTAATATAATAACTGATTCTGCATAAGCAACTTTTCATCAAACAAGTGTCTCCTTCTATAAGAAGGAAAGGTTTCCTGGTCAAACACCTACAGTTTTTCTATTAATAATATATACAGCCAGGTGCAGTGGCTCACACCTATAATCCCACATTCTAGGAGGCCGAGGTAAGAGGATTGCTTGAGGCCAGGAGTTTAAGACTAACCTGGGCAACAAAGCAAGACCTGGTTTCTACAATTTTTTTTTTTTTTAATTAGCTGGGTATGGTGGTGGACCTGCAGTCCTTGCTACTTGAGAGGCTGAGGTGGAAGGACCACTTGACCCCAAGAGTTGGAGACTGCAGTGAGCTGTGATGGCACCATTACACTCTATCCTGAGCAACAGAGGGAGGCCCTGTCTCTAAAAATTTTTTTTTTAATTAAAACAAAAAGATACAAACAAGTAATAAATACAACAAGAGACAAAATACAAGGCTATCTCACTAATTTTAATTCATGAATGCTTATCTTATCTTCGGCCCAAAGTAGTTTTCAAAAGTTTGATAAAACAAATAAAAAAAAATCAATTATCTCCCTACCAAAGTAATTCCTGCTGACATTAATTTTCTTTATTAGAACAGTACAGAAAGGTGTAAAATGAGTAAGTAAAAGCCTCACTCTCACTGTCTCTTGCTCCCTGCCCTAAAAGAACATCATTAGCATTTATTGTGACTTCTTTCAGGAAAAAAATACTAAGGGCTTTAAGATAATGTGTTAAAGGTGAAACAGGCTCTCTGCCTTTTCTTTAGCTTACACTAGGAGGAATATTAGTAAGTACTATGTCTAAAAGAGAAAAACATCATAATCACAGGACTATAAGGAACCTTACATATGATATGGCCTAAACTTTCTTTTTTCATTCTTTCTTTTTTTTTTTTTTTTTTTTTTTTGAGATGGAGTCTCACTCTGTCGCTCAAGCTGGAGTCCAGTGGCGCAATCTTGACTTACTGCAACCTCTGCCTTCTGGATTCAAGCGATTCTCCTGCCTCAGCCTCCTGAGGAGCTGGGACTACAGGTGCCTGCCACTATGCCTGGGTAATTTTTGTATTTTTAGTAGAGACAGGGTTTCACCATGTTGGTCAGGGTGGTCTCGAACTCCTGACCTCGTGATCCACCCACCTCAGCTGCCCAAAGTGCTGGGATTACAGGCGTGAGCCACCGCACGTGGCCCTAACTTTCATTTTAAACATGAGAAGCTGGTACCATGGTGGTTAAATACCCAAGGTGATAGCCAGTAGGTTAAGTGCCAGAGCTGGGACCAGAATCCAGGTCTTTGTCTCTCTAGCCAATGATTTTTTTACTCCCATCAACATGTTATAAATATAAATTTAATCAAAGAGTAAGGAACACTAAAATGGTTTGCCTTGTGTAAGCACGATACTTGACTCTAGTTTTCTCAAAAAATTAATTGTAAAGCACAAAAAAATACTTATATTATTTATTAGTTAATAGTGCCCTTAGAGCATGTATTGTATCATTTCATCCTATTTGGTCAAGCGCTAGAAAAATGTCACATTATTTAAAAAAAAGAATATGTAAAAAGTATCTTATTTTGCCAATCACTGCAAATATCAGAGAGTCTTTATATGGTTTAGAACCATCCTTGAAAAACAGAAGTTGTTTGTTAGCTTCATGACCTAGTCTCATGATCCAATTTATGCACTCTAGAGTTTCTGAGATTCAACTCAAGGGTACAAGGGAGGGTACACGGCTTATTAGGTTAAGCCCTTATGGCAATAAGCCCAGGGCAAAGAACTAGTATAAGCAAAGGTCACCACTAACATTTCATCGAATAGATGCCAAAAATTGTTCTTTGGGTTAAATAATTCCTAAGAGATGTATATAAAATACTGTCACTGTTAGAAGTCACAAAGAATGGGGTAAAGTTCTGTAATTTAATACTGCTTCCTGAGATTAAAAAAATAAATAATCCTGAGATGGAAGGGTAGAGTTAGAGGGAACACAATGAACTGCTCAGGAACATAACACAATTATTTTTTAATGTATATTTTAATGTGACATTAATAAATTATAATCCTATATGTATTTTTTGTATGTATAATCATCTCTACCTTTTTCATAGAATTGAATCCTATATCTAATTTTTTCTATCTGTAATCACCTTTACCTTCACAGAGTTGTAATCAATATTAAACTCCTAAAACCATCTTAAAATATTAAACCCTAAAACAGTATGGCACAGTAGCTAAACGCATGAGCTCTGACATACCTGATTGCCTAGGTTTTTCTGAATGGTCACCTACTAAGTAGGTGGCCACCCAGGTGACCTTAGATGTTTTCTAACACTGTGTCTCAATTTTCTTAATATAAAAAATAGGAATAATAATAGTACCAACTTTGTAGGATTGTTGTGAAGATTAATTTAGATGTATAGTCCTTAGAATACTGCCTGGTATTGTGTAGATACTCAGCAAATGTTAGCTATAATAATTATGATTTTTAATATTTAGAAATATATTTTCTCAAGTTTTAACCATTTTATTTAAATAGCTTTAATTATTAAGTAATTTTAGATTTATAATTTTTTGAGTTTTATGTTAACAGCAATATAAGGTATCTTTTTCTTTCGTCTAATTGATGTCCAAGGGTCAGGAAAAAAAATAAGGATTTAGAATATTTTGGTCCACAAGAGAGTGCAAACATGCTACCTTTTCTTCAGACTGTTTCCTTAATAAAATTGATATTTTGAAAAGTTAAAATATTATTTAAGGTGCTTTACATTTTCTGGCTTCAAAGCCTATTGTTTTAATTTAAATATTGTCTATATTAAATTATTCAGTAGAATAATATGACCAAGATCTTTAGGACTCTCAGAAACTTGGCTTTGGCCTAGGGTTGGGAGTAGAGGGAAGTCCAAAAGTCTATGGAATGTGAACTGAATACCTGAGGGATTTGCTATATTCTAAAACTAAGGAGACAAATGCTCAGTAGGCTTATACCCTACTTAGATCAACAGTGTCGAGACTCATGCCATGACATGCACTCTGTCAATTACAAAGAGCAAAGCAAAAGTTCAAACCTACTGAAGGCCCTGACTTTCCTCTCATCCCTGGTGGTCCTGGTAAACCAACAGCACCCTAAGAGAAGAGAATAACAGAAGAGAAAGTTATTATACCACAAAAGGCAGACATACCACTATTTACAAACTGCTAAAAAATTTCATAAAGTATGCTAAAATATTGAGACAAAAGTTTCAAACAAGAACTTAAAACCATATTGATACCACATTCTAACACAATACATGGATAAAATAATAAGCAGTTCTTTCTTTTGAATTTACACTTTTTCATATTTACATAAAATTAATGGTATAAACATTACCTTGTCTCCAGGATACCCGGGTTCTCCTAGCTCTCCTGCTGTGCCTTGTTCACCCTGGAAAGCACAATTTCATGCAAAGATACTTATGTATCACAAACATGGCAATATTATAAGAAAGCAAATATTCATTGTAGAAGAATAATTTCTCTATTTTTCTTACTTCTGAGGAAAACTAATATAATTGATACTACAAATTAGACTCCATAAAAACAAAATATTTCATAAATTGTGTTGACTGAAAAGTAAAAGACAAATGTGATAAAAATTATTTTTATAATATTAATATTTAAATCACCTTATCACCTTTGATTCCAGGTAGTCCTTTATTCCCTGAAAGGCCCTACAAAAAAAGGTGACATTTTGTGATATCATAGACAGATTAAAGGGAAATATCCATTATACAAATAGAACCATACCATTGGGCCAGGAATTCCAGCAGGTCCAATTGGTCCCACAGGGCCAACACTGCCCTGGAAAACAGTAAGAAAGAAATGCATCATTAAGCATTCATTAGGATTAGAAAGAAAATGTGGCAGAATTAATAAATTAATGAACCCAAAACAGCCAACTCACTAAGCTCCTACACGTGCCTTGTTCTTCAACAACTTATTTTTCTCTCCACATTTATAAATCATACCAATATTTCAAACCTTAGTGAAGTCCATCATTTTTCTGAAACCTTTTCATATTTGTCTAGTCCACAGAGATTCTTTCCTCCTTTGAGCTCCTATAATACTGTCCATGACATTCATCTTGCAATATTTCTCCAACTAGATGAGACCTTTAAAAAATATTTTAGTGCCATATTCCCAGGAACTAGTCAACAGATACTTCATTTGATTGTCTTAGAGTTTTATTTCACCCACTTATTCAGCAAATATTTTTTGAGGAGTTACTATGTGCCAGACATCCTAATGATTTGATTTTATAATTTCAAATTTGCAGAATGAGAAAATTTATCATAATTTCAGGGATAAACTCAGAGGCAAACAAAAAGCTCTACTCTTCTGGGCTTATCTCGTTTATTCATCATTTAATATTTACTAAGCATAATATGTACGAGACACTGTTGAAGAAAAAAAGAGAAAAAAGACATAATCTCTAACATCAAGGTTCTCAATTTAATGCTCTAATTCTTCAGAAACATTACCACTATTATCTTCTGCAAGCAAGAGACTTAGAAAAAACTTCAATATGTCATCTTAGAAGACAAAGGGCAATAGCAACATAAGGGTATGAAAGAAAAATTTGAAAAACAAAATGGCACTTCTTGGTGGTTTGGGATCAGTTATAATTTCTGTGTCACTGAGGTCTCCTTTTTCTTCTTTTTCTCACGATCTTTCTTTGCCTGGCTTCCTTACTACTCTTTATAATGGAAATCCAAGTTAGTTCAAACTTCTCTTTCTAGTTTCTAAATATTAAGGAACTCTTAAAGTTGCATTTGTGAAATGCTAAGAATGTTACCTCTTGTAGTTAGAATTCTAATTTCTTAGGATAGCATCCTAAGCCCTCTCTATTAGGCTTCCATCAAACTTTCCAGTCTCCTTTCCTTCCATTGTCCTCATTTCCCTTCCACTTTACTTCTCCCTCCCCGAAATCCTCCATTCTAGCTGCAGTGGACTGTCTTTCATTTTCTGAATAGCTCTCCCTTACCAAATGCTCAGAACCTTTGACAAGACAGTTACCAGTACTAGAATGCACTTCTACTACGCTACTTAGTACATGGCACTGTACTTTTTTTTTCCTGCCTTCCTAGTCTGTGCATTTTGTGACAGCGGAAACACGTTTCATTCATTTTTTTTATTTCCCAGACCCAACATAATAACTGGCAGATAATGGTTCTGAAATAAAGTGTAGAATGAATACTGAAGGGATTAATTTGAAATGGTGATTTCTAGAGCTCAATATCCTAACATAACAGCATTTCTAATTGTCTACATTTATATAATACAAATTTCAGAATGGAAAATAAGACATCATATGGATGAGTCTTAAAGTCTGTGAAATACAGCTAAGATAAATTATTTCTAACATGTTTAATCCTGAAATATATAACACCGTTAGAGGCAAAGGGTAATACTTTCCAACTTAATAGATATGCAATATTAATACATGATGCTTGTAATTTCAAATTATGTCAATAGGAAAACTTGTGCTTATGATTACAGTGGCTAGTTTATTCAAAGTTCATAGCTTTAAAACTTATGATAGGTTAGAAAAATACAAAAATATCTCTGTTTGGAAATTATGCAAAAGTAATCCAAGTAAGTATGGAAAGGACTATCTTAACAAACACACACACAAATCTTTCTTTGTGTCCTTTTGTTTTCTTCATAGATAAAATAATATTCTTAACTTTTTTCAGTAAGTATATTACTAGCATCTTCAGATGAATGTACTTTGTATATATAATATCCTATTTTACTTTTCAGTGACTCTACATGAAAAAATCACATAACAGTAAGTATTGGGAGATATGAAAAATATATTATAATGAACTTAGAAAAATAAAGAACTATAAAGTAAAATTGAATACTATGGAATTGAAATTTCCAAGAAACAGCATGTCACAAATTGAGTGGAAATCCTAGTCCTGAGAAACTATAGCCTTCTGAAAGCAACTCAGTTCTCAGTTCTACCAAGGTAACCTGAAAGTCCTTCAGCATTCCCTAACTACCAACTCATCTTCCATAAGAACATGGAACAGACAGAAGAAATACTTTCATGCGTGGGAGCCTTGTTGAGGGTGTTTGGGATATGGCATCAGAGACAGAGGAGCCTCCCACACAGCTCCTCTGAGAACTTCTGAGTTAAGTCAAAGAAATAGAGAGACCCAGAGGATAAGTTATTTGTATTAAAAAGAGCAGTCACTGGCCAATTAATAAGGGTTCATATGGTATACTGTAGAAAGGACTGTGAGTTCCACATGGTGCTTTTAAATCACACCCACCATACTCACACGTGATACACATTGTCACTAGTCTAAGAAAGCATATAACAATGACAACCAACTGCATGGAAAAAATAATTTAGATAAAGCAATAGCATCTCTTATCAGAAACTATACCTGCTGGAAGGGAACACCTGAGAGATAAAGCAGAGGCTGCTGCTCCGGGCAAGCAGACAAGTTGTTTACTATGCAATATAAAGGGTCTTCATAATCCTTCCCAATTACTTTCAAAACCTCAATTCCTTCCATTCTGCTCCCAAGCCCTTACTTCCTATGCTACAATCCCACTACTCCTCTTTCCAGTCCCAAACATTCATTTTTCCCCATCTTCTGTGTATTTGAACACAGCATTTTTGTACCTAAAGAAAGCTTTTCCCCCTTTCACCCCACCCCATTCATATACAATCTTCAAGATATAGCTCCAAAAATATCTCCTTTGTGAAGCCTACTCTGACTTTCTGAGATAACAGAAATTGCTCCTTTTCAGTGGTTTTACATTTAATCAATTATAGCAGTAATCACAGTATATGACACTACTTATTTTTCCTTCTATGCCATTAGATTGTAATGTTGCCAAAAATAGGAATTTTAACTTGTTCATATTATTAGGCCTAGCAGTTAGTTCAGCTATTTAGTAGGTGCTCACATTGTTTTAATTTTAAAAAGTAATGAATGTAAAATGGAAGTAACAATACCTGCTTTATCTACTTTACAACTCATTGAGGAGCAAATAAGATATGTATATAAAACTACTTTGAAAGGTAGAAAGGACCATCTATATCAGTTTAGAAGAGATGAGGACTACAAAGATGACTCTTACTATCTGATATGGTTTGGGTGTGTCCCCACCCAAAATTTCATCTGAATTGTAGTCTCCATAATCCCCACATGTCAAAGGCAGGACCAGGTGGACATAATCAGATCATTGGGGAGGATTCCCCCATGCTATTCTCATGATAGTGAGTGAGGCTCATGAAATCTGATGGTTTTATAAGCATCTGGCATTTCCCTTGTTGCACTCACTCCGTCCTGCCACCCTGTGAAGAAGTGCCTGCTTCTCCTTTGCCTTCCAACATGACTGTAAGTTTCCTGAGGTCACCCCAGCAATGCAGAACTGTGAGTCAATTAAATCTCTTTCCTTTATAAATTACCCAGTCTCGGATATTTCTTCACAGTGGTGTGAGAACTGGCTATTACAGTAAACTGGTACTGCAGAGAATGGTTGCTGCTATAAAGATACCTGGAAATGTGAAAGCAACTTTGGAACTGGGTAACAGGCAGAGGCTGGAACAGTGTGGAGGGCTCAGAAGAAGACAGGAAGATGTGGGAAAGTTTGGAACTTCCTAGAGACTTATTGAATGGCTTTTATCAAAATCCTGATAGTGATTTGGACAATGAAGTCCAAGCTGAGGTGGTCTCAGGGTAAGATGAAAAACTTCCCAGGAACTACAGTAAGGGTGACTCTTGCTATGCTTTAGCTAACAGACTGGTGGCATTTTGCCCTGCCCTAAAGTTCTGTGGAACTTTGAACTTGAGAGAGATGATTTAGGATATCTGGCGGAAGAAATTTTTAAGCAGCAAAGCATTCAAGAGGTGTCTTGGATGCTCTTAAAAGCATTCAGTTTTATGCATTCACAAAGAGTTTGGAATTGGAACTTATGTTTAAAAGGGAAGCAAAGTATAAAAAAGTTCAGAAAATTTGCAGCATGAGAATGCAATAGAAAAGAAAAACTGATTTTCTGAGGAGAAATTAAAGTCAGCTGCAGAAATCTGGGTAAGTAATGAGAAGCCAAGTGTTAATCCCCAAGACAATGGGGAAAATGTCTCCAGGGAGTGTCAGAGATCTTCACAGCAGCCCCCTCCTATCACAGGCCCAGAGGCCTAGGAGAAAAAAAAGGTTTTTGGGCTGGGCCTAGAGCCTTGCTGCTTTGTGCAGTCTCAGGACTTGGTGCCCTGAATCCCAGCTGTGGCTAAAAGGGGTCAACACAGAGCTCAGGCCGGTGCTTCAGAGGGTGCAAGCCCCAAGCCTTGGCTACTTACACATGGTGTTGAGCCTGCAGGTGCACAGAAGTCAATAATTGAGGTTTGGGAACCTCTGCCTAGATTTCACAGGATGTCAGGAAATGCCTGGATGTCCAGGCAGAAGTTTGCTGCAGGGGTGACACCCTCATGGAGAATCTCTGCTAGGACAGTGTAGAAGGGAAATGTAGGGTCAGAGGCCCCACACAGAGTCCCCACTAGGGCACTTTTTAGTGGAGCTGTGAGAAGAGGGCCACCATCTTCCAGACCCCAGAATGGTAGATCCACGAACAGCTTGCACCATTCACCTGGAAAAGCCACAGGCACTCAATGCCAGACCATGAAGGCAGCTGGGTGGGGGTCTTTACCCTTTAAAGCTACAGGGTGGTGCTGCCCAAGGCTGTGGGAACCCACCTCCTACATCAGTGTGACCTGGATGTGAGACACGGAGTCAAATTGAGATCATTTTGGAATTTTAAGTTTTAATGACTGCCCTACTTGATTTTGGATTTTCATGGAGCCTGTAGCCCCTTTGTTTTGGCCAATATCTCCTATTTGGAATGGGAGTATTTACCCAATGCCTGTACCCCCATTGTATCTAGGAGGTAACTAACTGCTTTCAATTTTACAGGTTCATAGATGGAAGGACTTGCCTTGTCTCAGATAAGACTTTGGACTTAGACTTTTGGGTTAACGCTGGAATGAGCTAGAACTTTGGGGGACTGTCGGAAAGGCATGATTGTGTTTTGAAATGTGAGGACATGAGATTTGGGAGGAGCCAGTGGCAGAATGATATGGTTTGGCTATGGCCCCACCCAAAATCTCATCTTGAATTATAATTCCCATAACCCCCACATGCCAAGGGCAGGACCAGGTGGACATAATTGGATCATGGAGATGGCTGCCCCATGCTGTTCCCATGATAGTAAGTGAGGCTCACGAGATCTCATGGTTTTATAAGCATCTGGCATTTCCCCTGTTTGCATTCACTCTGCTACCCTCTACAGAAGGCACCTGCTTTTCCTTTGTCTTCCACCATGATTGTAAGTTTCCTGAGGCCTCCCCAGCAATGTGGAACTGTGAGTCAATTAAACCTCTTTCCTTTATAAATTACGCAGTCTCAGGTATTTCTTCATAGCTGTGTGAGAATGGACTAATACAGTTATCATTAGCCATTTCCTTTTCTGTAGAATCTCTTCCCATGAACTGAAAGGTGAATGGAGAAAGAGAAAATACAGAAGATCCACTTATTTTTACTGAGTACTTTTATGTGCCAGACAGTGTGCTAAGTTTTGGAGCAGAAAAGTAGAGATAGAGTGTTTCAGGTAGACAAACATGTGCAAAACCTTGTAGCAAAGATGCTGCATAGCATCTGAGAATTAACAGCTTTGCTAGTATACAAATAGTATGTCATGGACATGTGGGTAAGAACTAAACCAGACTAGATATCTTGGGCCATATTTAAAAAATTTGGTCTTAATCTTGACAGTAACAACAGAAGCTTTTTAGCTAATCAACTCCATGCTAATAGATTAAATAAAAACTGCATGAAGAGCATCTTTGGAATCTAACTCCTTTTGCCTACTTCCTTACTCTACCCACTGACTAATATCTACAGGTTTAACCCTATTCTAAGTTCTCAGGAAAAAAAAAAACATCACACAGAGTTTCTCAGAAAGGACTAAAGAAATCTCATAAGGTAGATAATATACACATAAGGGAGTATAAGTTTTAAGGAGGTGGTACAGACCAACGAAATTCTGGACTCTGGATTTAGATCACCTGGCTTCAAATCTGGGCTCAAACACTTATCAGCTAAATAGTCATGGGTTGGTCTGAGAATGGAATGACTTAACAATTGTGGCTAGTCCACTGAAAATAGTAAACAAATGTGAGGTGCCCTCAGTAATTTTATTATTACTACTACTACAAATCTTACCATTATGTTAGAGAAAAGTTTAAATGTTTCAGACTCACACAGGTTCTTTGACTCTAAATCCCATACTCATGTTATCCCAAGATGGCAAGTTAAAGCTTATGCTGACTTAAATTTTACCACAGTTCCAATAACTAAGCTCCTGACTTATTTATTTTTATTTATTTGATTTTTTTTTTTTTTTTTTTAGAGAGATGGGGTCTTGCTTCATCACCTAGGCTGGAGTGCAGCAGCATGATCATAGCTCACTGCTGCCTCTAACTCCTGAGCTCAGGAGATGCTCTCACCTCAGCCTCCTAAACAGCAGAGACTACAGGTGTGCTCTACCTCACTTGGCTAATTAAAACATTTTTTCAGCTTTATTTTTATTTTTTTCAACGTTTTTTATTTAAATAAGGAGAATTCTTCCCTATGGAAAGAGCTAGCACAATCACATATTTGAAAGGAGAAACAATAGGTACTGAACCGGAGGGAAAGGGCGAAGGCTGAGTGTACCAGCACCAGCCTGGAGAATCCACAATTCCACTTCCTATCCAAGGTAAGTTTCCGAAAATAGTATATAAACAAGTTGCACATTATACCTTTAGCCATCATCTGCCCTTTCAAATATCTGGTCTACATGAAAAGAGAAAGAGGAAAGGCCAAAACGAAAACAAAAGGAAACAAAAACAAAACGCAACCCTCTCAAAAACAAAAGAAAAAAAAACCCAAAATCTTTTTTACTACACAGAGCATAAGGTCAAAAACTTACAGTACCAGTGTCCCCTTCAAGCCATGGAAGAAAAACATCCACATAAAGCCTTAGCAAGAATTTCCACTCTGAGGCTTTGTAACATGCTGAAGACAGGGCCCTGGGGGTGCTGCTGCCATTTTGGAGGCCACCAACTGGGGTGGAGAATCAGTGAACAGCACGTCTCATGCACTTGGAAGATCACCAGCCAAATATGCACTGGTGGCCTGGTGGAGCATGGCTAGGTGACTGCCTACCCCCAACACTGAACCACTCCTATCCTGGATGACCTACTTCTTAGGTCTGTCTCACATTTCACAAAAGAGCTGGAAGTCTGCATTTCTCATTCATCACAAAACAGGACAAAGCACACACACTCTAGTATCTTTGGTCATCAAAGGCCATTTCCAACAGACCCTCAAACCCACGTTTGCTTTGCAAGAAGTGAAAAGGGACAAATGAAGATTTGAAGGGCAGCCTGCAGCCACTTGGCAGAAGGAAACTAAATGGCAGGGAGGGGGCTCCACCAGAGCTGCCATGCTGCCACAGTGGGCCAGGCTAATTTTCTTTTTTCTTTCTTTTTTTTTTTTTTTGTTGTTGTTGTTGTAGCATTGGGATCTCATCATCTTGCCCAGGCTTGGTCTCAAACTCCTAAGCTCAAGTAACCCTCCTGCCTTGGCCTCCTAAAGTGCTGGGATCATAGGCATGAGCCACCATGCCTAGCCGTGACTTCTTTGACCAAGCTGTCACCTTGTGCTTTGGGACAGCTAAAGGTAAGGGAAAGAAGACTGAAAGAAAGGCTATCAGCATACTGAACAGATATTTGCACTCCCATGTTTATTGCAGCACTATTCACAATAGCCAAAATACAGAATCAACTTAAGTATCCATCAGTAGATGAATGAAGAAAATGTGGTACATACACACAATAGAATATTATTCAGCTATAAAAAAGAATGAGATTCTGTCATTTGCAACAACAGGAATGGAACTGGAAGACATTAGTGATATAAGCCAGGCACAGAAAGGTAACTAACACATGTTCTCACAAATATGTGGGAGCTAAATATATGAGAAGGGTAGGAGTGGGGGTTATAAAAGGTATGATAAATAGGTACAAAAATACAGTAGAAAGAATAAGATCTAGTATTCCACAGCACAACAGAGTGGCTATTTTTAACAACAGTTGATCACAGATTTCAAAATAAAAGAGTGAAATTAGAATGTTCCTAACACAAAGAAATAATAAGTGCTTGAGGTGATACAAGCACCAATTATTCAAATTTGATCATTACACATTTTTGCTTGTAACAAACATCACATGTACCCCCTTAATATGTACAGCTATTATGTATTGAAAATAATTAACAATTTTTTAAAAAGGAAAGAAGAGGGTCTTCTATGTCTTATGCTTTTGAGGAAACTTTGTCTTAAGTATCCTTTAGCGCACAGGTACAAATACATACATATAGGTCTATAAAAATATATCATTATTTTTTCTTATCATAAAATACAATTAATTTTTTGACTTATACTACTGGTCTAATTATTCATATCTGGTTGAAAAAAATACATTTAATCAAGGTTGATAACCAACAATGACAGTAAAACCTCTCATTTCCCTAAGTTTCAAAAACACATCTAACACATATAAATTGCACAATAAAATATTTTCTTAAGAATGATGATATTTAGTGATACTCACTCTAAGCCCAGGAAACCCCGGAGGACCAGTGCCACCTACAAGTCCCTATTGTAAAAGAAATTTGCAATACTTATTAAATTTGATTCCCAACTACTAAGGGTATTTCTGAAGATAAACACAAAACTTTCTAGCTAAGAATACATCAAAATGTACCTTCTACTATAGCTAACTTCTGAAACTCCCCTAATCTATGCATCCTCCTGAGAAGCACAAACCTATGGTGGCCATTTATGTTCTTCACAAGTGCCCTTGGCTAAATGCTTTTGGATGCCAGGACTACCACCTAGCTTAAGCAGAGTCCCCTCTGCCTCCTATGTATTTAACCAAGGAAGTAAATCCTATCAATAATCAACACTGTACACTTAATTATGCTATCCATTCTATGAAAAGACAGGTGGTCAGCACGTAGGGTTAGAAAAACATTTTCAGACGGTTTAAAACACTATGGACTCTTTTGAAGTACATTATTTAAATTCTCTAATCTTCATTTTTCTCATTAAAATAGAAATACCAATATTTGTTCTCACTGTAAATATCACAATGAAATTTGTCATATGTAAAGGCACCATAAAAATGTATAAAATTTTCAATACTGTTAAATTATTTATATAAGTATCAGATTTTTCATGATCATTATTAATTTTTCCAGCTGATTTGTGATTGGTCTTTTGAACTCATTGTCATTACACTTTATAGTCTTTAAGATAATTCCTAATTCACTTTATGTCACTGTCACATTATTTACAAGGCACAAAGTACATGAATGTCCTTCTTTTTTTGCATTTCAAATTCTGTTTGGAAACAAAGGCAGAGAATATACTATAGAGAATTATAAACCAGTAAACTAAATATATCCAGTTGACTATTGTATTTTAAAGATTTTAAAAACTCAAAATGCTCCTGAAGAAATATTATTATATTTTAAATGAAGAGCAGATTTCAAAAAAGAAAACTTTAAATATTCTAGGAGTCTTAACAGACTTCATGGATAGTAACTGACAAAAAATTATGTAAAATGGCTTCACACTAGGTACACAAGTGCACAAATGGCATTAAAAATAAATAATGTCTACTTTATTATGCTTGAAATGGGAAGCTCCTCAGAATCATATGCAAGAAAAATGGTAAACATTCCACTTAAAACAACATTCAAGTTTTTAACAATTTATTTGAAAATCAGTTCTACTTTTATCTGCTATGCCTTGTAACAAATGCAGTCTTGGCTGAATTCACTGAATGAGCTAATATAGTTTTAATTTGGAAAAGAGAAGTAAAAAAGAAGAAAAATAAACTATTTTAAACTCTTCATGCTAGTGATTTACTTACGTGTAATTATTGGAACTATTCCCAATTTAGGCTACAGAGATTTTGTGTTTTTTTCTAACTCACTTTAAAATCTTATGAAAAGAATATGTGAATGGCTTAAGATTGGGGAATAGCTATTGGATGGTTTTTAAGAGCAAAAACTAAAGCTTTTCTACCTAGCGCCAAAAAATAGCAATCCATCATCATTCTTTGATGATATAATTAAACTAATTTTAGAATAGTAACTCTTTCTCAATCTGAACATTGACAGCTAAATAATCCCAAAGTAGAATAATTTTCTATAAAACACTAAGAAGTAAGGTGGATCAATGACAGGTTTGAGTCCAAAGAGCAATCGCTGAGTGTAAAATTTTTATATAAGGCTTGTTAGTACTTTCATGTATAAGAGACAGTATTGTGATCACATATTTTTAATATTTTACTTAAGCAGTTATACTTAACATCATCAAAATAATTAATTTAAAGATTGAATGTCATGATGAAATTTGAAATATTTTTGGTTAATTTCCTAAGCTGAAAAATCACAAACTGGAATGTGCACAGTGGTGTGGAGATTGTTTTTCCAATAGTGTTTATTCACAAATATGATAATAAGGACTGTAAGTGCAGTGCTATGAAGTATGAATGATGTTAGAATGCAAGGCTGAACCAACATAATGTACTCACAGGACTGCCATCAAGACCAGCAGGGCCTCTGTCTCCAAAGTCACCTGGAAAACCCTGTCACAGGGAAAGAGGAAGAATGCCAACATATATAAATAATTCATTTTTGCTGTATTTTCTAACAAAGAATTTAGTAATAGAAAATATTAATTTCCTAACTCTTAAACTGTAATGCAACAAACATTCTTTTGCATAACACGCTTAATTGATTTTAAATACAATATTTCAAAAAATAAAAAACGAAATACAGTATTTCTATATGTTATAAAAATTATTTTATATGCCACATAACATATACAGAAAACAAAATTGGAGAAGTTTGTTCATCATACATAAAAAATCACCAAATGAAAGGAAAAACAATGAAGATTTCTGGCTGAACAATCTTCAGTTATCTCTGCTATTCCAAACTATTCCTATACTCACCCCATAGAGAATAAAATAGCTAGTATTATTAAGCACTTGCCATGTGCTAAAGGGTTTATGCACATAATTATATATACACACTTCATTTCATCTTCATAACAGGTCTATTCAATAGATACTAATATTCTCACATTGTTGTTGAGGAAGTTAAAGCACAGAGAGTGTAGGTCACTTGCTCAAGGTTAGACCATTAAAAATGGGTGGGACTGAGATGTGAATGGAGGCAGACCGATTCTAGAGTCCATGTTTTTCAACTATGCTATACTGAATACTTTAAATCATCATTCCAAGACATACATGTAAAACAAAAAGTCCTTTAAGTACAGTTTTATTAAGGAAACGAATAATACACATAAATACTACAAATTTAAAATGAGGTGAAAATTAAAAGCTTCCCAAATGCCTATTGAGAATTCTGCATGGTAAAACTATGAAGGATGGTAAAATAACAAACCTTCTCATTATAAATTCTATTGTAAAATAACTCAACGCTCAGCTACTCTTACTTTACAATACTACATTTTTCTCTAAAGATTTACCATTCCTCAACTTTAAAGCTCACTTTTTAAGAGGCTATTTTATAAAAATGTTTATAAGACTTACTATTGTAAACATTTTCATAATATTCATTTACAAAAACTAGGAATAACAAAAATAAAAATCTATCATTAGATTCTTATAATCTCTTTACATAGGCAAGTCAGTATTAAATATTATGTTTAACAGACTGCCAAAAATTACTGGTTCCCAGAGCAAATATGAATAGGTTAAACTTAAAAGATAGTTTAACAATGGAAAAAATGTACAATGTTTCTAAAATATAGTTAACTCCTACTAGAAGCACAGTTTCTCTTATTCTGTAATCAAAGGATAATGTAAAAACCATCTGTGTAGTCAAATATATTGTAGCCATACTCCCTTCAAAGTCAGCTGAAGCTCAAGCATTTTACTTTCGTTGTCTTTGGAAGTCAAATTTTCTTGTCAACAACTTGCAAATCTGCAATATATTATCCTATTCAGTATGAGCTAACATGGATACTTGAAAGTACTTATGACACACAGGTAATGGAAAAAGTAGAGGAAATATACTACAGTAAGTCTGAAACATAAGAGATGATTGATTTTTTTTAGATAGATCATTAGTAGGTTTTCCAGAAACCCCAGTGAAATAATAAAGTGTAGGGGACACACTGCATGATTCCATTACTGTGTAATGTCCAGAATAGGCAAATCCACAGGGACATAAAGTAGATTAGTGGTTGCCTACGGCTGGTGATGTGGGGGAGGAATGGAAAGTGATTCCTAATGAGTACAGGATTTCTTTTGGGGGTGATGAAAATGTTATAAAATCAGATACTGTGATGGCTGCACAATTCTGAATATACTAAAAACTGCCAAATTATATACTTTAAAGGTGAATTTTATGGTATGTGAATTATATCTCAATAAAGTTGTTCTTAAAAAACAACCTGAACAAGGAGTGGGATTGCTGAAAAACCTTTGGGAATTCACTCAGGATTGCCTAGAGAATGTGCTGTTCTCCCAATCCTTCCCAGTCCCTTGCATCCAGTGGGAGAAACTGTTCTCTGGCTCACCTTCCCTCAAAATGAGTAATTTTTCCCCACCTAGGAGAGGGAAGATGAGAAAGAGAAGAGGGGAAAGAACTGTGATCAGTTCTTCCCTTATCACAAAATACTTACTTTCTACAACCAGCAGAAAAATAATGCAATATTCATTAATTTCAACTTCTTATTCTTCCAGTAGTTCACAAACATGTGTATTGGTTGTTCACCTTGACTTTGCCCCTGAAATAATTTAATTGAATATCTACTTTAAATTTTTAATGTATTTTTCTTTATTATTATTATTATCGTTGTCGAGATGGGGTCTCACTTTGTTGCCCAGACTCTTCTCAAACTCCCAGCTTCAAGTGATACCTCCTGCCTCAGCCTCCCGTAGTGTTGGGATTACAGGCATAAGCCACTGTACCAAGCCGTTGTGTATTGTTTCTCTTCTCACTTTATTACTCATTAAACATTTCATTTTAATTCTCTATTCTTGATAGAGATAATTTATTCTTTTAATCCCTCATATGTTGATCATGTATTATCAATTTTTGAAATAATTTCTATGAAATCTAGACACTTCTTGTTTTATGAAATATTGCACAGTTAATACCACAAAGGCATTATTTGGCTCCTTATTAGACACATAATATTTTCTTTTAAAGAACATCATACCAATGTTTTATATTGTTGAATATTTCCTTGCTTGTTTAATGTTTATTCAGTTGTTTTTCAATGCTAATAACTGCATTAATATTTTAATACAGGTGAGGTTCTATATTCTTTTAATCATGAACTTAATGTTTGCAGCCACATAGCTTCATTGCCAAAAAATGGTCTTCAAGATTGGTTGTGAAATATGGAACAGTAGTGACAAAATACATATCTTTCCTTTAATTTTATAATACAAAAGACAGTCTCTATAATTTCTTTCTCCAGTTGAAAGAATGTTGAAGAATGAAATATTTTGTTATATTTTCCTGGTAGAAAATTATTATCATTAATTTAAATCAAATTGTGTTTTCCTAAAAATACTCTCACGTTGCCAAAGGACAAAATGGCCATTTAGCAGGATTATCATGCAACAGAGATAGGAAAGCTCAAGAGTTTTGCTTTTCTTGTTCAATTTGCCAGTTTCACAAATGTTAACTTTCATCTTCTAATGAGCATGCCAGAGTCACATTGTTGCTTCTGTGTTGTATATAGTTCTCTTCTTCACATTTTGATCAGTTAAAATATTTTATGTGATGAAGAATATGATGTTTCAGGAATTTCAAAAAATCTCTTCAAGTTGTAAATAATTTTCTATTTTCTCATTTATTTCCAGTGATCAGTGTGGTGGACAGTTTAAAGGATCTCCAAAGATTCCCATTTCCCAGTGTTCACACTTTTCTATGACATCCTCCCTTTGAGTGTAGCTAGCACCTATGACTTGCTTCATCTAACAAATAGCATATAGCAAAGGTGATGAGATATCACTGCCATGATTATGTTACACTATATAAGACTGTCTTAGCAGCCTGGAGCTAGAGACTTCTCTTATGAGTTTGATGAAGTAAGCAGCTGTGTTGGAGAAGTCCATGTGGCCAGAAACTGTGGGTGACTCTGCAAACTCTGGACAGTCTATAGGACCTGAGAGTGGCCCATAGCCAAGAGCCGGCAAAAAGCCAGAGCCCTCCATTCTACAACCTCAAGGTAATAAATTCTTCCTACAACCTGAATGAGTCTGGAAATGAACTTTACCCCAGTCAAGCTTCCAGATGATAATGCAGCCTGTCTGACACTTTGATTGTAAACTTATGACCAGAGCAGAAGACTCAGTTAAGTAACACCTAGATTCCTGACCCATGAAAACTGCAAGATAATAAATGAATATTGTTTTAAGCTGCTAAGTTTGTGGTATTTGTTATGTATCAATAGAAACAGAAAACCAATTAAATTGGTAATTAAATCTTCTTTAGAGAATATATAATGTCTTATTTCCAAATTTTACCATAGGTAATGTTCAATATAAGTCTACTGTTGTTTCTAGTTTTAAAAAACTTAGATCATCTCTGAAGATTTTCTACTGCTGTCTACTTTCTATTACAAATTATAATAACAAAAAGTATTACAATTTTTATATTTACTTTTTTGAAAATTTGACTTTATCTTGTTAAATATCTGTATTTTAAACTTTATCATTCCAGCATTTTATGTCCACCTGTCGCCAATGTAAAAAAAATCTTATCATGCTTCATGAATTTTGTCTATACTTATGTAAAGACAAATTTAATAATAATATGCATTGTTTAATAATGGAAAATGCTTGTCAGTCTCCAATTGCAACTGTTTGCAAATATCACACTAATTCTATTACCTCAGGAAGAATAAATCATAATAGAAAGAAAAGATAATAGAAGCTTAAAATTACCAGAAAACAGTATTTTTATTACGTAAGATTCTATTGCATTCATGCTGAGAGAAAAATTAGATAATTAATTTCTCTTTCCTTTTATCAAAATGCTTCTACTGCCTGCTCGAACCCTTAGCACAATCTTGAGCAGTTTCTGTCTCCAATGTCAGCAATGGTACCACTTAAAAACCTTCATGGCATTCAGACATGAAAATACAGGCAAGAGATGTGGAGAATTTCTCTGAAGCCTAAACATTATTAAACTGTGGTACCCAGCCTCAATGATGGACCTCAGTGATCTTTGATTCCCGGTATTCATGCTGTTATGTAGTCCAGACGCACCCTGAATTATGTGGGCCTATGTGACCAAAAGAATATAGAAGTGACAATGTGTAATTTCTGAAGCTAGGTCATAAAGATACTACAGCTATCACCTTGCTGTAGTATCTTTACACCACTCACTCTGGGGGAAGCCAAAGCTATGTTCTGAATACATTCAGCAGCACTGTGGAGAGGTCTCCATGGGGAGGAAGTGAGGCCTCCCATCAACAACTAGCACCAACTTGGCCAGCAAGTGAGCCTCCTTAAAAGCAAATCCTCCAACCCCCAGTCAAGCCTTCAGATGACAGTAGCCCTAACCAAAATCTTAACCATAACCTCATGAATTAGAACCACCCAACTATGCCACTACCAAATTCCTGACCCACAGAAACTATAAAAATAATACATATTTATTGTTGTTTTAAACCACCAACTTAATTTGTTTCATAGCAATAGATAGCTAATACATAGTAACAAGAGTGACTGTCTAGGATTATGGGGCATGTGATGCCAGTGCTAAGTGCTGGATCCTGAATGACAGAGGCACTCAAGTATTTTAAATGTATGATATGCAGGGGCCCTCTAAAGCTCAGAGCCCAGAGCAAGTTTCTCTGTTGCCTGGGTCTAACAATGGTACTGTTATCAAACATGGTAGTTATTAAACACTAAGACCAAAAGAAGTTTGTTAGACTTGATAGGCCTGAATACATGTATGTGATATTAATATTTTAGATCACTCATAGATACTACATTTGGTAGTCTATTTAAATATGTTTAAACAGTGGAAAACTTCTTGCTTAGCATGTCCAGTAAAAGCATTATTTTCCTAGCTCCACAAATAATATGTTTAAATGTATATAAAATAACTAGGAAAATAAGAGGACCAAGATAACCATAAAATGGTCACAATGACTATATTTACAGAATTTTTAAAAAACAAAAGCAATACAAAAACCCTTCTGGAGAACATATTTTGTTCTTTCTAGAGGAAGGTTTAGAAACAACATATTTAATCTGAAGTAGAAATGAATAAAAATTATCATAGAAGGTTATATACTAAACAAGCATTAATAATCATAACAGAAATCATTTGTTCCAAAACTAAGCATTGAAAACACAGGATCAGACTAACTTGTCTAGAATTAGAAACACTAAAATTTAACCTAGAAGTTATTTTTACACATTCTGCATATGAATACATATTACCAGGAAATTCTGTTATTTTAAAATCCCTCAAATATAAAACAAGATCACTACAGGAAGAGGCTGGAGTGTGAAGTATTCTGTGATGATCTAATCTTTTCACCCTTCTTTTCCTCACAGCAAGGACAATTTGATCCACACTCAGGGTCAACCCTATCCTCATAATTGAGACTAATTCTAAACTTCATCAGAAACATGAGTAGGTTTGGCCCAATTCATGGGGGTTTGGCCCAATTCATGGAGATTTGGCATCAAGGCAGGCTTAATGCTAACCTGGGCCTCAGTTCCCAGATTCAAGTTCCGGCCTTGTTCTTAAAGACTGAATACCACGTTGTGTCCTTTTTCTTGTGTCCAAAAACCAGATGTGGTATACAACATCATGTTCTGTCCCTCAATAATAAGAGTCCCACCTTATTCTTGCCATTTGCCCTCCTAGAGAATATAATCCCTGAGCCCAACCTAGGCCTAACTGCCATATATGCACTCACACTTCTGATTTTGATAACCTACAAGGCTCTTTTTTTTTTCTTTTCTTAATTTTATTTATTATTATTACACTTTAAGTTTTAGGGTACATGTGCACAATGTGCAGGTTAGTTACATATGTATACATGTGCCATGCTGGTGTGCTGCACCCACTAACTCGTCATCTAGCATTAGGTATATCTCCCAATGCTATCCCTCCCCCCTCCCCCCACCCCTACAAGGCTCTTTGAGTTGTCCCTTATGTTATCCACCCTGAAGATAATTGCCATATTCCCATCCATTGGTGTCACATCTCTATGAAATCAATTATGTTCTGCCTGGACTTCCTCCAAATTATAACATGTAGTTCATTGGGTGTCCTTCTTCTTAGTGTCTATGCCAACCCTGTGGTGGGGTTAATTCAAAGTCCTGAAATCTTCCATACACCCTGTCATACTACAGTTAGCCAAATATAGCTACTACAGACTATGCCCAGTAAAGTAGAATCCAGAAAATACATTTTTCCTGAAGGAGGCAGAATCCCTTAAGAATTAATAACAACTTTTTCATAATGTTCTAGCTAGAGTTGTACTTTATGATAGAATTAACTGCATTCTTTTCCTAAAACAAAAACAAAACAAAATAAAAAACACTGTCTCTAAATTCTCCACAAAATGTATGTATCTGAGATGCTACTATGCAATATGTATTTAAGACTGTCTTGGGCTAAAGATAAAAACTAATAACAGATGTCCAACACCAGGATTTTATATTCTGAAATTCTAACTCTAGATTTAGAAGCCAAAATACAGTTTACTTCAAATACACTCTTCTAACAGAAAAACATATGAGAAAAGAGGAGCAGGCTCTCCTTTCTATAGTTAGAAAAGTAAACATCTCTGAAGTCTGGGTGCCTTAAGGGTGTTATTTTGCCCACCATTCTAGGCTGTGATATTTTTATCTTCAGAGGAAGAAAACTAAGTACAGTTTTGCTCTTTGTCAAACTTTAAATGTAATGTGATTTGATTATTTATAATCCATTCTAAGGGTCTGAAAAATTCCTTGAAAAACATCAGCATTCGGATAGCAGTTTTCTAGGTGTTGTTGAAAGCAATTCCCATCTCCAATTTCATGTTTATTTTCAATCCTGGCAAGTCAGTTCTAGCATAAATTTTTTAGGTCTGTGGAGCCATATAAATTTGCATGGCTAACTTGGTACAAGACAGAGACTACTGATTAAATCAAGCTGAGAGCTCTGTAAATGCTTTTTTTAAAAGCAACTATAGAATTTCCTGATTGTAGCACTACAAAATAAACTTTGGAAACTTTGCACTAAAAAGGAAGCTACTTGGAGTGAGGTATAAGAAATCTAAAGTTATCAAATACATAACAAATCCCCTCTCCCTGCCTCCCCTATTTTTTTTAAACAGGATTCTTCTTTTCTGTTATGAATCAGTGTACTTAGGCTTTTAAAAAATCTGGCTCACATCAGATATGTTCCAAGAAGATTCTCAAATAAAGACATTAAAGCATGTAAAACAAAACAGTAGTAGTTCTATGGTGTTTAAAGGCTCCTGACCAATAAAGGTTGTCCACTGTCTTGTCTTTTCCTGAAATCTCCAGAGAATGAACTTGAGTTGAACTCAAATATCCACAGATAGAGAGCAAAAGGATGAATCAATAATAGCCTCTTGAGCTTCTCTATCTTCAACAGTTAGTTTTATTGAAGGCACAGAGAGCCCCAGGGTATCCTCTAATATTAATTAATAATAAGGGTTTTGATCCAATTGTGACATGTAGGGAGTGCAGGAGGGAAGGAGAGGAAGAAGTCAGAACTACACCTCGCTATCCAAAAGCATGAGTATACACATACATTGACTAATATTAACTGTGATTACAGGAAGTCTTTAAAAATAATTGTTGTGGTTAGTAAGTACTTATGCTAAAATCCTGAAATCAAAAATGGCTTAAAATACAAGGAAGAAAAAAAACATTTCGAATGCCAACAGTATAAGACCAAGGAACAAGTGAATTTGTTAATATAACTATTTTTAAATAATCTTTGGTTCTAAAATATACCAAATTCCTAACAAAAACAATTCTCCTACTTCAAACTAATGGCCCTTATTGAAGAAAGAAGTGTGTTACAAATATCAATTAAATCTAATAAACATAACATTTCATTTTGGGAAAAAAGAATTTTCTGGGAAATAAGATTTAAGTGGAAATAAATTTTAACACAAATGTTAAATTTGAACATACCATTATGAGGCTAAATAATAAATAATTTTCTCTTTTTAAAAAATAATTACCTCTTGAATAACCAAAGTAATATGCTATTCTAAAATGTGTCCATTTCAATTGCATTCATAAAATATTTATACTAAGAGAAGATAGCTCTTATTTGTAAGTCTATAAGTTCATTAAAAGAAAAATACAGACACCACTAAGCTCATTCATGACAACTTAATTCCGTGCTTTGTGTTTACTCAGGGAAATAAGTGATCATTTGGTTAGCAGTATGAGCACGTGATTTATAGTAACATCTTCCCAAATGTAAAATTAGTAATGTTACTAACTCATTGGACAATTTTAGACAAGACTTTTAGTCCATTTCTGTGCTATATGTATATATAATATAAGTACTATTTTTGCAAACTATTCATATGAAACATGAAGCTTTACTGTGTAGCTGAGAATCCAATTCAGTAGTCCAAAGAAACTGACCCTGATCAATAGGTAGAAAGACCTGAACTCAGATTTTGAAGTTTTTCATGGCTATTGCTTTCACTGTATTGACTGTTAGACTGTTTCATATAATACATAAAACAGAAAGTCAAGTCATTTACTAATTTCTGGGCTTAAATTCAGAATCTTAAAAAATCTAAGTATAAAATGTTAATAAAACTTTATAGATTTCTCTAAAAATATCTACTATTGTTCTATAAATTATATGTTGTAACTATTTAAAACTGAATCATACTCCATGCTCATAAGACTGACTATATCGCTCTACCTAAAATGTAAGGAAACCAGCTCATTTAAAACCCAGAAATCAAAACATATCGTGTACCTAATAATTATATACACCTTCTATCACCCACAAAAATTAAAAAATAAAAAAATTAGAAAAAAACAGAAATATTAATTTAAAAAATTAAGGGTAATAGTTGTGATAAAGTACATCTTCTAATACGATTCTACTAATGATAGTAAATGAAATAATATTGCATCTACACAGCAGCACTACAATGAAACATCAATCCAAACTTCTTCTTTTTATTTTTATTTTTCATTTTTTTTTTGAGATGGAGTCTCGCTCTGTTGCCAGGCTGGAGTGCAGTGGCACGCTCTCAGCTCACTGCAACCTCCGCCTCTTGGATTCAAGCGATTCTCCTGCCTCAGTCTCCTGAGGAGCTGGGACTACAGGCACACACCACCACGCCCAGCTAATTTTTGTATTTTTAGTAGAGACAGGGTTTCACCATGTTGGCCAAGATGGTCTCGATCTCTTGATCTCATGATCCGCCCGCCTCGGCCCCCCAAAGCACTGGGATTATAGGCATGAGCCACCATGCCCGGCTCAAACTTCTAAATAGCTCTCAAACCAGCAGAAAATTAAAACAGTTTTTGACTTATGCAAAACCAAAAGTTTCTCAGATACTGGCACGTTCAGATTTCAGCATTTCCAGGTTTCTATCACATTCAAATGTATAGGTGTCATCCATCTACTTCATAGTAGCCTGGAATCTTTTAGTTCTGTTCTGTATTTCACAATTGATAGTACACATAATTTAATAAATTACCAGGAGAACATGACCATATTCATCTTCTACACACCTACTTTTTTCGACATCAAAGAGAATGGAAAGATTATCAAAAGATCTTTTCCTTTTACTGTTATTAAAACAGTAATAAATGACCATGATTCTCATGGAATTTTAACCATCTAAATTGAAGTACAAGAATCCTATGGTGCATAATACCTTTTGAAGATGATTTTATTTATAATAAACAGAAAGAATAAGGGGGCCATTTATACATAGGATAACATATTCTGGGACAGTCTCTAAGGTCACCCTTGCCATAAGTTGACATGTGGCTATAACTGTATTTTATTCTAAGTATTCACATTTTCCTTATAAATATAGACAAATGATTTTACAGTAAAAATGAGAAAAAGTACATATAGCATACATAATATATTACGGTACTAGACAGACTTTAAAATAAACATTAGTCAGAAAAAATGAATATTATGTGTTTTTCAAATACAATTTTTCTAAAGATCTAAATCTATTACAAATGCATATATTTTAAAAGCAATAAAACTTTGAAAATTTTGTAATAAGAAGAACAGTGCAATCAAACAAGAGCCCCATAATCATTTCATTCACTATTTTTCAGCTGTCTTCTTAAACTCCTTTTTTAAATTCAATAGACTCCTGTTGGATAATTTCATAATTCCCTATGGATTACAAAACCAGAAGTTGTCTATAAAGGTCTCTGAATAATTTTATAATTCATTATAGTAGGAATAGAAATTACCTGTACATTGCCAAAGCCAAAATCAAGTTGATGTCTACATGAGATCAGCAATATTATCAAATGAAATAATTGGTGGTTATCTAAGTGATATATAACAAGGGTTTTGAGAAAATACTCAATTTGCTCATCAATGTCTAAAATTCCACCAATGCAGATTAGTTATTTTTTCTTAAGACTATTTTATTTTTAATTTATTTTTATTTTTGTTTTTATTTTTTGAGATGGAGTCTTACTCTGTCACCCAGGCTGGAGTGCAGTGGCACGATCTCAGCTCACTGCAACCTTATTCTCCCGGGTTCAAGTGATTCTCCTGCCTCAACCTCCTGAGTAGCTGGGATTACAGGCACCCACCACCACAGCCAGCTAATTTTTGTATTTGTAGTAGAGATGGGGTTTTGCCATATTGGCCAGGCTGGTCTCGAACACCTGACCTCAACTGATCTGCCCGACTCGGCCTCCCAAAGTGCTGGGATTACAGGTGTGAGCCACCGCGCCCAGCCTTCAGACTGTACCTACTTAGTAAAGGGTAAGGTAGCATTTTAAGCATTGGAAGTAATTCGTGTATTATGGCAGATGATTTTATTGGTCCTTTTATTAATAGCATACATTGATAGGAGAAGGGTGAAAATTTGAAGATACAGAATGGAGTAAATAAGACTAAAGAAAACAAACCACCTATTGTTAATTTTTAGAATTTTAGATTAGAAATTGGATACCCAATAAATAGAAAGGTATTTTCTGTTGGGATATGTGTATGAGAGCTAAAACATAAAAAAAAAAATTAACACACCAATGTATTCAAGTGTAACAGAGTATAGTTAAATGAGATGGCATACAAAATACTTATCACAGTGTTGAGAACTTAAAAAGGGTGATAATAGCAACGGTGATGGCAGTTTCTACTGTTATAACCATTATAAGATTAGCTTCTACGTTCAATGTAAATGCAGGGAAACAAAATGTTTGGCTTATTTTGTATTTCTTGACAGTTTGGTAAGTTTATCTTAATACACTAAAATCTTTAAACTTTAAAATAACTGTATCTCATTTTGGCCAGACGTCATGAAGAAACAATTCATGCCTCTTCTAAGCACTGTGAGTAGAAGACAGAGCAGAAATATCTAGGCAGTAAGGAAAAGGATTCTGGATTTAGATTCAGTGGAGCTTTGCTCAATTACTGATTTTACCACTTTTAACTATCTGATCTGAGCAAGTCTTTTAACATCTCTAAGCTTTATTTTACTCACCTATATTATGGTGACATTAACACTTACTCTATTTTCCCTTCAAAGAATATTGCAAAGCTTGAAGGATAAATGTTACAAAATGATTTGAGTATTCTGGTGAGAGCTGCAGTCCTTTAGTATTATCATTAAGATTTTATTCAGGTACACAAAATTTTAGAAAAGTTGTAATGAAAATCTCACTTTTTATCTTCACAGACTATACTAGCTTAACAAGAAGAACCTCAGGATGCCTCTCTGGACCACATTTTTCTCATTTGTTAAGCAATGGGGTACTGGATGATGTCACAATTTCCTCCCATCTCTGAAATTATTATATTACCTAGTAAAATTCACTTTCCTGGATTTTTTTTAACCTGAAAATATGAGAAGCTGTTGCAAACTAATCTCTGAATTAACAGCTGAAGCACGCATTTTAAAAACCTCCAGAACATGAGATTGAACCTCTACAACATCTGGTCATGTAGAGTAGGTTAAGAGTACTACCATTTGTGTTTTAAGTTCTTCACGTATTTTCTGTGACATTTTAGCTCCTTGCCGTAGAGATAAGGGTTTTCCCACTGGTATAGTGAAAGGGTTAGAAGTGTTCAAAGTTCAGTTATTTTTTAATCTAAATTTTCCTTTATATCCTCAGGTATTATTTGATACACTATTCAAGAGGCAAAAATTAAAATGGAATGATTATAAACAACAACAAAAAGCAAAAAGTATCTTCACATTTTAATAAGTAAGAACACATAACCAGGTTATATTGCTGTAAAATAAACCTCAAAAAACACAAATTAAGATACCTGTCTCCCCTTAAAACCCTTCTTTCCACGGATCCCAGGAATGCCCTAGAATATAGAAAAGAAAAAGGAAATATTTGTTGAATGAATGAATTAGGTACTATAGATCTTTTTCTCCCAATATAAAGCAATAAAGTATGAAAAAGACAAAAACAAATTGTTCTATAAACTGATGTGATATTCAGAAAAGCCTCAATATATTAATTTAACTGAGGCAGCCCCTTTCCTTCTTCAAAACAAAATTCTGCTTTTATTCAGGAATCTATCCCATCTATACTTCCAAATGGGATCTTGACATTTCCCTGGTGATAGCTATTTGTCCAGAGACAGGCATATTACCAAAGTTGGCACAACTAGATGAACACGAAGGTCTTATTTTCCACATCTAAGGGACAACGCCCTCCTCTCTGCCTTCCCCTCTCTATCTGGATATAAACAAGGACACATTTAACCTGTGCACTGGCAATCTTGCAATCATATAGGAAATAAGCCTTAGGGTAAAGACAACATTAGAAAAGGTAAAGCAGAGAGATGAATCTACAGCCCACCTAACCTATGGATTTCTGGTCATGTAAGAAGCAGTAGGGTACAGTACTTAAGTACCCAGGCTTTGGAGCCAGACAAAACCTTGTCCAAATCCTGGGTCTGCTCTTACTTCCTGTATATAGTCTAAGACAAAATACTTCCTCTGTGTGTGCCTCATTTTCTTCATCTATGATGAGAAGAATAACAATACCTATCATTCAATAAATGGTTTTATTTATAAAGAAGTTAATTCATGTATATATACACACATATATATGTTTATTAAAATCTTCATGTATATATACATATATAAATAAAGAAGTTAATTCATGTATGTAAAACCATTTATTAAAATTTTTTATATATATGTACATATATAAAACCATTCAGTAAATCATTTGCTATTTTCATCATCATCATTAAAAATATCTTTATATTTAAGCCAGTTTGAATTGTGGTTTTCTGTTACTTGCAGATTAAAGCATCTTACTTGATACTATCACTTTGAGATTTGCAGACTAAGCAGTCTGTCACAACCATGTAGCTTGAGATTAATAGTACATACAGGTAAGTTAGAAGACATCACTGGCTGAAACAATCCATTCACTTTCAAGTCAACAGTGTTTAAAAAATACTCATGTATCTGATCATCAAAAAAGAGTTCATAGGTGAGCAAGAGGACTCATTTCATTAAGACTTTATGTATATTTACATAATACAAACAATCTTTTTTAAAAAAATAGAATAATTATTTCCTAAATTTTCAGTAGCCTCCCTAAATCTCATCAAGAAGCCAAATAATGCAGACAGAATTATATAAGCATTTTTCATATATATACATGTATATATGTGTACATGTTTCATATGTGTACATATGTGTATACACACAATATGCATGTAATGTACAATATTGACTCCCAGAAATGACTTCTTTCCATTTGTTTTCAGCAATAGTTAGCATTACTCTATCTTATTTTCTTCTGCTTTTTTGTACTTAAACATTTTATAACGTAACACCCTTTTAGCTACATCATTCACAGTTTTAATGAAAATTTTGACATAGCCAAATAATATTAGGACACAGTACCCGTGAGGGGCCCAATATCACAAACTGATCTTGTGTATTTATATGTTAAGACAGGTCTTGATTTTTTTTTTTTTTGAGATGGAGTCTTGCTCTGTTGCCCAGGCTGGAGTGCAGTGGTGCAATCTCGGCTCACTGCAAGCTCCACCTCCCAGGCTCATGCCATTCTCCTGCCTCAGCCTCCCAAGTAGTTGGGACTACAGGCGCCCACCACCAGGCCCGGCTAATTTTTTGTATTTTTAGTAGAGATGGGGTTTCACCGTGTTAGCCAGGATGGTCTTGATCTCCTGACCTCATGATCCACCCGCCTCGGCCTCCCAAAGTGCTGGGATTAGAGGCGTGAGCCACTGTGCCCGGCCAGGTCTTGATATTTTCATATAGACTGCTAAAAATTAGTGAGTGTGATTACAGCAATGTGCCTATTGATGGCCAGTGTCAACACTGGGCTTAAGATCATTAAATCCAAGATGACAACATTTTACAAGGACATATAATTTTGGTTTATTAAATAATTTACAAGAAATAAGCTCATGTCAAAGGATCAGAAAAGGATTGTTATCACGAACAGCAGAGTAATTAACAACGTAAACTGGAACCATTGGGTCAAGAAGTAGCAGATCAATTCTCTGCGTGATCGGTGAGATACATCCTCCGTTAGTTTGCTGTAGTACATGAAGGTTAGGTGGCTTAGTTGTGGAATTATGCTTAAGATGTTTTTTGCTATTGAACAAAACAACTTGCTATGTTCACCAGGGGAAAATCTTTACCTCATCTCACCAAAGATGGCTAGACATTTTGATTGTCATTACAGCATATTTAAACTCTTTGATTATTTCTTCTCTGCAGGGGCATTCACAAGTAATTACAAGAAAATATAATTTAACTCACTCACTGAAAACTATTTATTTGAAAAATTCATTTAGCAATGAATCTGGTTCACTTTCATTTGCAAAAATCACTTGCCAGAAATGAAAATTTTGGCCTGAACTACATTCTTATAATGATAGGGGTGAAGGCTGAATGACTCTCTAATTTCAAATTCTATGACAATCTACTAATATTGTTCAATTCTACTGTTTTCAATTAATACTGGCAATGTAAATGAAGGAATACAAAGATAAATTACTGCATACAGATTGCATATAGCACTGAAAACTAGATATGATGAAGCTGCAATGCCATAACTCCCATAATTAACTTCATTAATCTTTTTAGTATAACAAACCATTTTGCAAAGGTTCTATCTTTACTTATAAGTACCCATATTTATTAACAGCTATCTCCCATTATTAAATTAAACAAAAATATATCTTCTGAGGCTAAATTCTTTACTGTATATTGCTCTCAAAATCAAGACCTGTCAAGAATTTATACTCTTGACATATACTTTTGTAATTCATTATAATGAATTACAAAATAAAAATTTCATAATTAGATATTTTAATATTTTGGTGTATTTTCAAAAATTTGAACTTAAAGTACAATTATATTTCTATCATGCTATATTACTTTCCTTTAACAAAATTCAGTAAGATTTTCAAAAGTCAAATTACATTTCTGGCAGGTGATTTTTCTTCAACCTGGCTTGCTAACTCAGTAAGATTACTTCCCTGACATCTGATTTTATGACCCCCATTGTACATTATCACAAGTATATCACTTTAGAAATACTATTTGAAGGGAATGGACTTACCCGTTCTCCTTCAGGTCCCAGTTGTCCCGCTTCTCCAGGAGAGCCAATAAAACCCTTAAAACAAGAAAATAGTCTGTATATTAGTTCATTTGAATATTCTCCCCATAAGTGATTCTGAATAGAAGTACTTAAAATTTTATTTGTAGTAGTACGAAATTACAAGACTTACAAGTGCGAATAACTTCCCCTCACCTAATTGCTTTTCTTCCAGAAGTTAAAGATCAATCTTCCCATTAAAAATTATACAAAATATAATTTAAGAAATGGTGGCTATTAAAAATAAGCCCAAATAATTTCCTTCACTAAATTTTATAGCGGGCAGAAAATATATGTATATGATTAGCTAAAATTTAAGACAGAATGGAGGTATCAAAAGAATATAAGAATATAAGTATAAGAAGTACAGTGGAGGAAGAGATACATTTCAATGTGGCAGGAGGCAAAGGCAATCAAAGAAGGCTTCAAAGGAGATTACCACTTGAGATAGGTCTAGAGAATAGGTAAAATCTTGGTAAATAGAGACATAATAGGAAGTCTTTGTTAATGGTAACAATTGGGGAGTGTTTGTAAATAGTAATTGATCACATTTTATACATAATATACTTTGTGTGTAAGATGGTTTTATATGTTAGCTTTATGTGTAAGACCCACCCTGCCTTAATAAAGATTCCAATCTGATCTGAGAAACAAGGGATACATATAAATAACAATGCAAGGCACTTTATTCTAATGTAACTTAGTTATATCTCACTTGTGGGAAATAACCCATTTCATCAATTTTACAGATAAAGTGTATGGTAGTTTAGGGGCTAGATTAAGGAGAGTCTTAAATTTCAGAATAAAAATTTTAGACTGTATATATTAGACAAATGGAAGCTACTGATTTTAGGGAGTATGGTAATGCACTGATGTTATGCTGTATTTCTAAAAGATTAATCTGTTGATAGGATACAGCATACAGCCATGACAGGAAACACTGAATATAGGCCAACCTGTTAGAAGGCTCTTTAAGTGGTCTAAATTTGAAGGTTTACGGGTCCAGATCACTGGTTCAACAAACATTATTTTAGTAGCCATTTTGTGTCTATAAAGATTTGGGGTTTATAAAGATGCATATGAAAATCAATGCCCTCAAAAAGTACATAGTTTATTGGGAAAGAGGGTCATACAAATAAATAACTGTAACATCATTTGATAATTGTTACATGATTATGCAATAGGTGATATGACAAATAGACAATGGGAACTTTGGAAGCAGAATGACCAACTTTGCCTAGAGAGAAGATTAATGGTGCTTTGCTTTACTGAGGAAGCAACATTTGAGCTAAGTCCTGAAGAAAAGAAAAGGCAGGGCTAACAATGTGCCATCAGTCAATCAATCAGAATGAAATGACACAGCATTTGCAAAGAATTGCAAATAGTCTGTGTGATTGGTGGGCAAGAGGTGAGTTTGGAAAGGGTGGCAAGGGGTCATGTCATGAAGAGTCTTTTTTGTTATGATGGAAAGTCTGCAATTTACACTGTGAGTCATTAAAAAAACTTAAGACACAGTTTTCATATAATCATATTTTCACTTTATAAATTCACTTGGATTACAGTGGGTCACATAGGTCTCTATCTGTCTATAAGAATCAAGAGAAAGATGACTCTAAAGTTTACAGCTGGACTGATAGACAAATGTTAACCACTGATAGAAATATGGAAAACAAATAGAAAACCTGAGTTTGATATAAAGAGGATGAGTTTTGTTAGTTATTTTGAATTTGTGATTATAATGAGATATTCAAATGTAATTATCATGGCAGGGAGTTGGGAGATGTGGGGTTCATAGAAAAAGCTCATAGAGAAAAAAAGTCTGAAGGACAGATATGTCTGAAGTCTTAAAGACAGACTAAAGCTTTGAGGAGAAAATATTAGGAAAAATTATCACTGATCAGACAGAGGGTGAAATAGGGGTGTGAGAGAAGAGTAGTTTTATGGATGCAGAGAAAAGCCAAAGTTTAAAAGAAATTGAAGTAGAGATACAGTAGGTCAATTTTACTAAGTTCTAAATAAAGGTTTCTTATTTTGAATCACAGAATGGGTGATTTTTCAGAGTAAATACTTCCATAATAACAAATACTGAAGAATTCAAGCATTAAAAAAGTAATTGTTATTTCTATACCCATTCCAGCATTATTCACAATTATCAAAAGATAGAAGCAACGTAAATGTTCATTAACAGATGAATGAATAAACAAAATGTTGTATATACATGAAATGGAATATTATTCAGCCTTAAAAAAGAAGGATGCTGATAACTGCCACAACATAGATGGACCTTAAAGACAATTACGCTAAGTGCAGTAAGCCAGTCACAAAAGGACAGATAGTGTATGATTCCACTTGCATGATGTACTTATAGTAGTCAAATTCATACAGACAGAAAGTAGAATGGTGGTTGCCAGGGACTGGGAGTGGAGAACGGGGAATTGTTTATTGGGTACAGAGTTTCAGTTTGGGAAGATGAAAAAAGTTTTTAAGATGGATGGTGGCAATGGTTGTACAACAATTGGATGTACTTAAGGCCACTGACCACATACTTTAAGAGGGTTTATACATGGAAAAAATTTTATGTTATATATATTTTATGTTCTTTATTTTAAAAAGAAAGAGATAAATGTCTCAAGAATCATATCTAAGTTGCCTGGAATAAAACTTTTGGAAGGTTTTATTTCCTTAGAATTTAGTTAAGTATTGCCATTAAAAAAGTTGCCACCATCCATCTTGAAAACTTTTTTAGGTGTTTTTCCTTGTCAAAGGTGCCTGAAATTGCCTTATGTTCCACAGATTGTATGAACAAGCAAAAATTAAAAGAAAAGAGGGAGAGAGAGAATTTGTTCCTTTATACATAACTTTAATAAAGTGAAACATCTATGATTTTCTTACTTGAAAGCCAAGCAGTTGGAGAATGGGAAATGTTTCTTTTAAAGTGAATCATACAAAAGTATTTCTGATACTAGAGCATTTAGGATTATGATGACAAGCTGTGTACATTTTCAGAATCATCTGTTGATGACTTCAAGTGTAAAGTCAGCTAACATTTGTTTTAATATATACAACAGGAGTTTTGGTTATAAATAAAAAGAAAAGACACTCTAACTGGTATATACTTATCAGTGAACTAAATAATCAATTGATAACTCAAGAACTGAAGTCAGAACTCCAACATAGCCTGTACAGAGTGTAAAGGGAACATTTTACAATTAGATATTTTAAATAGAATAATGTTATAAGTAATTGCTTAGGTGTTTCATAGAGGTTTCTTGATCATCATTACACTGATTCTAACAGAAATAAGATGTCAGCAGTACCAAAGAAACCACAGAGTTGAGGTCATTCTCAAAATACCACCATGAAACTAGAGTTTACCGTGTAATGAAACAAAGAACATTAAAAATAATAACACATGTTTTTGCTTTTTGGTTTGAAGGTTGTAGATCCAGTTAGAAGCAATTTTGTGTCACCAGCAGGACCACCAGAAGGTCGGGAGAGGTTCTATATACTTTTACTTTTGGGGGCAGCTAGCACATTATTACATAAGGAAATGCCAAAGAAGGGTTTAAAAATTATGATGTGTTTTAAACATTTACATTTGACAAAATATTTCTGCTAATACCAAAAAATACCAACAAATAACTGCCAATGAAAAGCTAATTTATCATGATTCATGAAAATATTCATGTACAATGCATAACATTTAGAATTTACCAGTAACAGGACACAAATTAAGTGAAAAACATGTATCCTATGAGTGTGTTTCTATGATTTTTGCCTTTTTAACTAGATTTTAAGTTAATGCTAAAAATCTATACTTGATAAAGCTGCACCCTACTACCCACTGATCTTCGACAAAGTCGGCAAAAATAAATAATTGGGAAAGAATACCCTGTTCAATAAATGGTGCTGGAAAACTTGCTAACCATATGCAGAAGAATGAAATTGGACTCCTACCTCTGACTGAGTTAATATATAAAAATTAACTCAAGATGAATTAAAGACTTAGTATGTAAGACCTCAAACTATAATCCTAGAAGAAAACCTAGGAAATACCCTTCTGGACACCGGCCTAGGCAAAGAATTTGTGACTAAATCTTCAAAAGCAACAAATGTAACAAAAAATTTGGCAATTGTAACCTAATTAAACTAAAGGTCTTCTGCAGAGTAAAAGAAACCATCAACAGAGTAAATAGACAACTTACAGAACAGGAGAAAATATCTTCAAACTATGCATCTGACAAAGGACTAATATCCAGAATCTACAAGGAACTTAAACAAATCAATAAGAAAAAAACAAATAACTTTATTAAAAAGTGGACAAAGGACATGAATAGACACTTCTCAAAAGAAGACATATAAGCGGCCCCAAAACATGAAAAAATGCTCAACGTAACTAATCAGAGAGATTCAAATCAAAACCACAAGGGGATACCATCTCACACCAGTCAGAAGAGCTATTATTAAAAAGTCAGAAAATAACAGATGTTGATGAGGTTTCAGGAAAAAGGGAACACTTATACACTGCTGGTGGTAATGCAAATTAGTTCAGCCCCTGTGGAAAGAAGTTTGGAAATTTCTCAAAGAACTAAAAATAGAATTACCATTTGACCCAGCAATCTCATTACTGGGTGTATACCCAAAGAAAAATAAATAATTCTACCAAAAACACATCTGCACTCATATGTTTATTGCAGTACTATTCACCATAGAAAAGACATGGAATCAACCCAAGTGCTCATCAACAGTGGACTGCATGAAGAAAATGTGGTACATATAGACCATGGAATACTACAGTGCCATAAAAATGAACAAAATCCTATCCTTTGCAGCAACATGGATGCAGATGGAGGCCATTATCCTAAGCAAATTAACACAGAAACAGACAACAAAATACTGCATGTTCTCACTTATAAATGGGAGCTGAACATTGGGTATACATGGACACAAAGACAGGAAAAATAAACACTATAGATTCCCTAAGGAGGGAGGGCCAGAAAAAGGCAAGGGTTGAAAAACTACCTATTGGGTACTATGTTCACTGCTTTGACAACAGGATCACTAAAAGCCCAAACCTCAGCATTACACAATATACCCATGTAACAAAGCTGCACATATACCCCTAAATTTCAAATAATTTTTAAATCTACATTTGAGACCCTTTATGAATGTGAAATTCCCTCCTTATTCCAATCACACTCCCAAGTGTGAAACCTAACTAAAGTGTGAAAACTTAACTAAAAGTACAACTTAAGAGGGTTACAGCCTAGAAAACAATTTTCAATACAAATGGGAAAAGGAAAAAACAAAAGGATGTATAATACAATGCAAAAATGGTACATGGAAGAACACAGTTATATGGATCACTGAAGCAAGATGACAAAACGCAGTAAGAGTAAGTTGTACAGTGCCAAATATATTTTGCATATATTCCTTGGAGTTACTAGTTATTGAACAGAAGACACTCTCAAATTCAAATAATAATTATAGAATCTATATAGTAAATACATGCATACACTATGCCCTATACCTTAAGAATGCTCATCTTGTTTAATTTTTCACAACTACCTGAAAAGTAAGTTTCATCATGACCATTTAATAAATAATGAGATAAGAAAAATGAAGCACAGAGAGACTGAATAACATCAAAAGTCACAAAGCTAGTAAAAGAAGTATTAAGGGGCTGAGCACGGTGGCTCACACCTGTAATCCCAGCACTTTGGGAGGCTGAGGCAGGCAGATCACAAGGTCAGGAGTTCGAGACCAGCCTGGCCAATATGAATCCCCATCTCTACTAAAAATACAAAAATTAGCTGGGTGTGGTGGCAGGCGCCTGTAGTCCCAGCTACTCAGGAGGTTGAGGCAGGAGAATCACTTGAACCTGGGAGGTGGAGGTTGCAGTGAGCCGAGATCACACCACTGTACTCCAGCCTGGGCCATAGAGTGAGACTCTGTTTCAAAAAAAAAAAAAAAGCCTATCTAACTCCACAGCCCATGTTCTTGACCACTAATCTCTTCTGGCTTCCCAAATCCAAGTCAACATGTGTTTTCAGTGCAATTTCTAATAAAAAGTACATGACTTTTCCTCATTATGTGATTACTTAATGCAAGAACAAAGACAGCATGAGCTCATGAAAAGAGGTCAGGGCTAAAGGTGAAAAGACATTGGTTCTAGTTCTAGCCAGCTATAACTTTGCCAGATCAAGTAAGTTCCTTAGCTTACTATTTTTCTCATCAGTAAAATGGGGATGACAGGCCTGTTCTCCTACATCACAGGGCTGATGGCAAAATAAAAGAATAAAATACATATGAAAGTATTTGGAAATGTTTAATACTTTTTTAAAATGTAAGACATCATTATTGCACATATTGTTTAAATACCTTATGCTTTACTTCTTTTTAAAAGGCATGTTAGGCCGGGCCTGGTGGCTCACTCCTGTAATCCCAGCACTTTGAGAGGCTGAGGCAGGCAGATCACAAGGTCAGGGGTTTGAGAGCAGCCTGGCCAACATGGTGAAACCCTGTCTCTACTAAAAATACAAAAATTAGCCTGGTGTGGTGGCACGTGCCTGTAGTCCCAGCTACTTGGAAGGCTGAGGCAGGAGAATCGCTTGGACCCGGGAGGCAGAGGTTGCAGTGAGCCTAGACTGTGCCATTGCACTCCAGCCTGGGCAACAGAGTAAGACTCTGTCTCACCAAAAAAAAAAAACACAAAACAAAAACAACAACAACAAAAAATATTGCATTTTAGATAATATAAGGCACAAATGTAGACTTTGAAAAATATTTGGCTATTAAAAATAAAGAATTTTAAAAACATATTTTTTATTTTATACACTACATATATGATATGGTTTGGATGTTTGTCCCCTCCAAATCGCATGTTAAAATATGATTCCTAATGTTGGAGGTGTGGCCTGGTGGGAAGTGACTGGATTGGGGGGCGGATCCCTCGTGGATGGTTTAGCATCATCTCCTTGGTGACAAGTGAGTTCTCAACTCACATGAGATCTGGTTGTTTGAAAGTGTCTGGGACCTTCCGTTTTTCTCTCTTACTCCCACTCTCGCCTTGTGACATTGTCTGCTCTCCCTTCACCTTCCGCTGTGACTATAAGTTTCCTAAGGCCCTCACAAGATGCAAATGCTGGAGCCATATCTGCATGGACTGCACAACTATGAGCCAATTAAACTTCTGCTCTTTATAAATTACCCAGCCTCAGGTATTTATAGTGATGCAAAAAGTGACTAATACAATATAATATAGAAATGTTTATTTTGCTTCCTTAGTGAATAAAAATGGCTAACATTTCCTTTAATGGTTTGGGAGTGAAATGGGATGTTCTGGATACAATAAGGTTATTTCTTTCTTTGTAGATATTTCTTTACTCCTGACAGTTTTTGTATAATAAAATGATCTCAGCCTTGAACTACTATGAATTTCTTTACCTCTTCATATTTTTTCCATGATGACTTCCTTAGGTCTGTATCCATTCATATATAAATAACACTACAAATGTTTACAGAGCACATTCTAACATGCCAGACATTATGCTATGGAAATAAATATAAAATAATGATGCAAAACCTACCACAATGAGACTGTTTTCTGTCATCATAGAAGTGAAAGCAACTGCAGTAAGCAAGTATATTCAGGCTACATTTGAATTAAATTCAAAGCTACTAAGAGAGTGTAAAAATGCTAAGTGTTTTATATATTTCATTCTACTTTTAGGCAAGCATGCTTAACAGAATGATGGAAATGCCTACTTACTTGTGCACCTTTAGGACCTGGATTACCTTCTGGTCCAGCTAAACCCTGGTGTAAACAAAAGACATTGTCATCATACTACAGTACTTTTTAAAGAGTTAATAAATAGATTAATAAAAAGGCCATATAAAGAGCTATCATTTTCAAAACTATAGAATTCAGAACTCTGTATAACTAATGAAGATTACCAATGTTCAAGGAATTTTAGAATTTCTGAATCAAAAGAGGCACTGGAAATAATCTATACACAATATATTTTAGATATATAAATAAAGTACATTAACACATTGTCAGATTTTTAAAATTTTTTTCATTACATTATTTCTCATTGGAAGACTGTGTTGTTTTAAAACATTTCTAATTAACTTATTCTAAAAGATAGGCCCATAAATTTTTTTTAAAATTTATTTTAAACTTTAGATCAATGTCCATATATTTACATATTCATGTTTTATATTTATTATATAACATATATTATCACTTGAGAGTAAGAGTCTAATATAGAGTACCTCTAAGTGTTTTTAAAGTCCTAAAAAATGGAATTTTGTTAACAATTTTTTTCTTATTTCCCTCATTCTTGAGAATAAAAAAGATAAATGTAACTTTATACATTTAATTAATTTTAGAAGTAATCAATTCATGAAAACTTATGAAAGAAAGCTTGTTCTATTATTAATCTACATGAAGTACAGAAAGTTAGAAATTATAAGGGAATACATTTAAAATGATTAGAATGCATTTTAAAAATAGTATACAAATAACTGAATTCAGTTCAGATAAAAGTGTTTGGTAGTGGTATACTGTTTCTCAAATTTTTATAACTGTGTTATTAAAAAATGATGTTTATTACAGAGAGTCTTAACTCTTACTATTACTTCATTTTGTTCAGTGACAGTATTGTAAAATCACAATCAGGACTGTTTTAAGAACTTATTAACACTTGTGCATTTTAATTTTGAAGGTTCCATTGTACATCACATCAAACATATTTAAAATCCCCCTTCCAATTTTAAATAAAACTTTCTGAAGAAAAATTGTAATGGATTTCTACAACTTTGATTTTGAAATTATTTCTCTATGAGTTATTCATTATTTAATAAAAAAACTATTTGAACATTAATTCTCAAAATCAGAAATACAATGTATTAATAAATAGGAACACAAAGAGAAAAGTCTAAATATAGTTACTGCACCTGCCTGCCAGGGTAACCGGGTGAACCAATATTACCAGCAAATCCTGGAATTCCCTGAAATAATAAATAAAATGAACAGTATAGCAAAGCCAAAGGAAACAAATTTGGTATATTTACAATACACAAGCTTGGAAATAATTTTTCCCCATAAAAATACGGAGTCCTACACATGGCTTATGTAACTGAAATCACCTACGTGAAGGAAAATGGACAAAAATTGCTAAATAAAATCAGTAAACTATTAGATTAGGGCCCTAAATGATATATGATCATTAATAATCATAAATCTAGGATGGAAAAATCCATACTAAAACAGACATTTATTCTAGAGGAAGAGCTGGTATATTTCTTAATTACCAGTAACTTTTTTACCAGTAGATTGAATTCTTTCTTGTTTCGATCATCCTACAACACTCCTTAACAGTCTGAGCATGAGCCCCAGAAGACTAAGAGGGGCAGTAAACCACAAAACCAACCTCTACTTCTTTCCTAAAGTAAACTTAACCTTACAGTGAGTCTGATTAAGTAAATGAATATTAAGTGGCAAATACCGTTATCATGACATGGGTCTGATCCAGTAAATTTGAATGGTGCTGTGGACTGAATGTTTGTGTGCCTCAAAATTCATGTTAAAATCCTAACCCTGCTGATAATGCCTAACAGCATTAGGAGGTGGCTCTTTGGAAGGTAATTAGGTTGGAGCCCTCATGAATGGGATAAATGACCTTATAAAGAGGCCATGTGAGAATACAATAAAAAGTCAGCAGTCTGTAATCCAAAAGATAGCCCCCACCAGAACCTAACCGGGCTGGCATGCTGATCTCAGACTTTCAGCCTCCAGAATTGCGAGAAATTTCTGTTGTTTATAAGCCACCCAGTCTATGGTCTTTTGTTATAGCAGCCCAAACTGACTTAGACAGATGGTAAACTCCTTTGGAATTTGCAATCTGTATTCTTGATTTAAAACAAGGTTTGCTCAGGGAAGGCTGATAGATGGAGACCCAAAGGCTTAAGAAAGGAAAACTGCTACAGAACTGGGTGAAAAAGTGAGACAAAATATTATAACTTTTTTTTTAAAAAAGACTCTTTTTCATTGATACATCATTCATTCCTTCATTTACTCATCAGTTTATTCAGAGTTTGGGTCTATTAAATAATTCTTGACACAAGGAAATGTCAGAAGAAAGTGTGTTGAGCTGATGACAACAATGTTTAAGTTGGCTAGATTTCTTATTTATCACCTAAAATTTCTTTCCTGTTTGTTTATAAATGATATAATGGAAGATAATTGCACTTTGTCCTTCTGCTCTGAAGTAGATAGAAGAGTGTTACCTTCACTTTAAGTACAGATATGCTAAAACTTCTAAAAATTTGGAAAATCTAGAGAAAGAACAGACCAAGGAAATGAAAAATAGAGGATAATAGTTGAGTTTCTTCTCTCTACTTTTTTCAGAATTCATCTCTCACTTTTTTCCCTCTCATTTCTATCTCTCATTTCCTCTTCCCTTCCCTTGATCAAAATTAACATTTACTGAGCACTTTTTATTTGCTAAGCGTTTTACATCTATGAGATACACTTTTCTTCATTCTACATTTAAAGAACCTAAGATACACAGAAGTATGACAATGGACAACTGAAGAGAATGTGAATAAACAATGGCCTTCTGAGGATTACAGAAGAAATTCTTGTCTATATGTAGAGAGATTATATCCTATGAATTTCAGAAACCATATGTATGTATTAAATGTTCCCCTATTGATATTAAATATTATATATTTACATAATATTTTATTCCTATAACATTTATTGAGCACTTATCATGGGCCAGGCACTATTTCAAGTATTTTATAGATATTATCTTATTCAATCTACTCAAAAACCCTATAAGATAGATATCTTTATTCCCATATGAGAGATGAGAAAAAATGAGACATAAGGTGTTTATGTCACCAATGGGAGGATACTTAGCTAATAAGTAGGAAGTCAGGAATTAAATCAGCAAGTCTAATTCCAGAGACCACCATTCAAAGGCCCGTCTCCCTAGTGTGAGTTTGAAGTGCAAAAAACATCCAATAGCACTCCAAGGAAAGTCCTCTAATTATGAGATTTGCTCTAGTATATTTACAACCACCTTCCTATATGCCCCATCCAATTCCAAAACACATAGGCCCACATTCTAGAGATTCACAAAACCTTATATTTAGGTATGCCAACAGAAAGGAGTAAGACAAATGTAAAAGGCTGTTTTTATTCTGTAGGCCACTATCTATCTGGCTAATGAAAACCACCATCCCTTTTCCATTCCTTTCCTAGTCAAATTAAGTTAACTAACCTCGATAAAAAGTCAATCTGTTATAGAACATAAGTGAAATCCTATTTCGAATGGATTGTCACAGAGGGTGTTAAAGCAACATGTAGAGATCTAGCTAACACATTTTAGCTATGCAGAGAAAGACACAAAAGAATTCCACTCAATGTCTAAGTTCTGCTATACTAGAACAGCAGTAAACAAAATAAACAAGTAAGACTTCAGCATAATCTTTATATGGCATAAACGTATTCTGAGCCAACCACACCCTAGAATCACTGAGACAACCACAGAAACTCAAAAGAAACTCAAAACAAATATCATGACTTAATTCACTCTGCATTTAAAGATAGATTTTTTTAAAAAGTTGGCTCACTCAGATCTGCAGATTGGATGGAGTAATAGAGATACAGTTATATCAACAGCCCCTTGAGAAAACAGGAACAGAAAATTAGGAAGCCTGCCCTAATCTCACTTAAAATACACATTCTGAGTCAGTTAGACTTCATTCAGAATTCCGGCACTGCTCCAGCACTGCTACTATAGTTTCTCTGTTTTTTCATTAGTAAAATAGAATAACAGCACTCATTTTGTGGATAAAATAGAACAATGCGTAGAAATATATTTAAAAGTGGAAGTAACTGTAATAACTCTTAGTATTGGTGACATTAAGTTAATTAACATATGTAAAACTGAATAATTATACTACTAGAAGTTGTAGTTAATAGTAATATAGTTTGGCAAATAATAAGGGCTGTAAGTAAATGACAGCTCTTATTACTAGAGCTCACATAAATAATATAATTGCCTTTCCAAATGTTTGCTGAACAATTTGAAGATATTTACAAATTTTCAAGACAAATGTCTTCCAGCAAGTCAGCTATGCTCCTCTGAATGTCCACAGTATTTTCACAATTAAAATGCAAAATTATTTTAGCTGTTTCTCATAGTTAACACAAATTTTGCCTGTTTTTTTTTTCTGGAAACAAATAGAATAGAAAGGAAGAACTGACTACAATATACATTTTCTAACCTTTAAAATTGGTTTTAGACTGTTCTAAAAAGTATATTACCCTCAGAGATAATATATACACCACCAGTACTAGTTTATGGAGCAGTTTTGAGTGAACTCGTCAGTAATGACACATGGCCAATTTTTCACTTGTGAAGTATCAGGTTTCCTCCATTGGAATCCACGTTTCTGCCAAAGCAGTAACCTACAATTTTTTTCTCCCCAGGGACTAATCCCACTCACCCTTCTCATCTTTTTCTCCCATAAATGCTCAAATGCTTTTCAGTACATGTTTGATTTGCAGGAAACTGATATTACATGTGTTAGAGATACATATATCACTTCGCTTGCCATGTCTAGTAATTAGCAATCTTGAAAAGTTGTGCTTCAGGGACTGAACAGAGTGTACTGTCTAACTTAACATGAATGAAAGGGAAAATTGGCTTTGTTTCTTCATTTATAGCTTTCCCTCAGGTACCAACCATCACATTTCTTCCTGGATCTCCCTTTAGGGTTTCCTGAGTCTCTGTGCTGATTCTTTAATAACGGTATCCATCACCTTAGTCAGTTTCTAATATCTTACCCTTTTCACTGTTATATTCATATTATATTTTCAATATAGTACACACCATAAGACATATGACTTTATTTTTTTCTGTGACATAATGATATATTATTTTCTGATGAGAGAAAAGCAATAACATGATCAAAAACTAAATAGTTCCAAAACTATTTTGACTTTTAAATATTGTGTATGTGTATTATGGACAATGATATATGTACCATTCTAATTTGGACTGTTATTGAAATTTATTTGCATTTCCTCAGGAAAAGGTCAGGGAACAAACAGCTATGGATTAGGCTTTAGTGAACTGGTAAGTTCCTGACATTGTACAAAAAAAATTAAGTCTCTCTCTCTGTGTGTGTGTGTGTGTGTGTGTTTGTATGTGTATGGATATGTATATTTTCTGGGAAAGGATTCATAGTATTTATGAGACTCTCAAAGGGGTCTGTGAACTACAGAAGTTTAAGAGCTACTAGTCTGAAACATATGGGGCAAAAGTAAAAAATGATTAACAGTGAAATATTATGTTATAGTTTTTTAAATAAAAAGATCTACAGCTAATCAATTAAAAGGTTGTCCTGCACTAAACAGAGTAAAAAATCACTGAGAAGAAAAATTGAAAAAATGGGGGAAAATAATCTCTCAAAGGAGTTCTCTAACATGTGTCTTTTTCACACATGATACAAGTCTTATAAAGGAAGTACCTACTTGTTCACCTGGAAGTCCTGGGAGTCCAGGATGTCCTTTGAGACCCTGTAAAAGAATAAGTGGAGACATGCTATGAAAAGTAAACTCATATAAGCCAAATAACGAAACATAGGTTGCAAGTTGCCTTATATCCCAACTTTTGGTTGCCTCATCAATACAAATTTAATTGTTACTAATTTATTTCTTATTAAATTTAATCTTCTTTATTTAATAAGAATTACTTTTTTATTAAATAAAAAATTAATTCTTATTAATAATTTAATCTTGCATGTTATTTTAATGACTTGTTATTATCAACTAAAATGGTAGCATAGTACTGAATAGAGACTAAAGCACAGTATCTTTTATAAAAGGCTCATATCTAGCAATGGATATGTTAAGTTTGCTGAAGCTTTTAAAAAGTTAGTTTTAGTTGAATAGTGCTAAGACAAATGGCCTCAGACATAATCTGTTTGTAATTATTGAAAAACTGGATCATATCCAGGCAGTTCCTCTAACCCAAATCATTGTCATAACACCCCATGAATGAGGTAACTCAAAAAATCATGAGGCTGCTTACAGGTTCATCAAAAGGGGTTCTATAAAGTTGTCTAGGGAATTAGTAACAAAGAATATTTTCCAAATAATAGAAGCAAAAGAAAATCTTAATCTCTATAAATTAACACCCAAAGCTATAAAACAGACAATATCCTTCTTCCTCAAGAAAGATATAGGAGCAAAATGAAGGAAACTAAAAGAAAGGATGGCAAGAATGAAATAAAGAAAAATTTTGGAGCTTATTTGTACAGTTCTACATAAAAATCAGTGGTTTGATCTACTGTTTACCAAAGGATTTTGGTGCATATAAAGAACAAAAGAAATTCCTTTTCTTAAGGACTTAAAATATAATTCAAAAGCCTGAAATAAATCATAGTTTATGAATATCAAAAATTTCCAATTAATATACTGCAAACTAAAGACAAATTTCCTGGGTTTCAGAATATAGCCTAATGGAGTGAAAGAATTACTCAGTATTAATCACTGAGGGTTTATCAGAAGAGATGAATTCGGATTAATGGATTAGAGAAGGGAATGACGCTTTGGTTGAAAAACGTCATTTAGAAGAGGTGCCTATTTGAAAACTAAAGGAATGATTTCAACAGCTTTTGCGATGTTAAACTTAAAACAGTTTAACTGTTTTTACATTTTTAAAGGGAGTTCAAGATTAGCCTAATTACATAACATATTACATATTGTGCTCAGTTGCCCAAATGTTTACACAAAATTCCACAAGTAAAAATATCCACAAAGCTAAGTTTTTTCACTTTTTACAACAGGAGATAAGAAACATCCTCAGCGCTAAGACAGTGGTGGTGGCTCCCTGGGATGAGGCAGCAGCTCTAGGAGGGTGTGAGCTGGAAGTTTCCTGGAGGATGACAAATAAAGAGCCAGGGTAGGAGGCTCATAGGTTACAGAGACTCTGCCATGAGCCTATTTCCTTTTCCTATTTTTTTAAAGTGTGTGTTTATTTATTTACTTATTTTAAATTCTGTGAATCCTTGAGCCTAGCTACATGCTTGATTTTCTTTGGCCAACACCTGTTTTTCAGATCAGAGTTAGTTTCCTCCCTAGCCTATAATGAAACAAAATGCAATCGTGGCACAATTTTATTTTAGCTTATTTTCCCCAAATCACTCCATAATAGTGAACTATGTGTATATATGTTAATCATGGTATCTTTTTTATGCACACTTCTCTTTAAAGGGATTCTTCTTCATTCAGAGACCCTGACAAGGTGGCAGCACCATGCAGTCATGATCTGTTTTTTATGAACTTACTCCTTCCCCACCTCAGCCCCAGGACTTGACAGTTAATCTAAGGGAGGACAATATAAGTCAGGCCAGTAGCCTATAAAATGACTTGGAATAAAGAGTTTTATTTAAATAAAAACAAGCTGGGCCAGGCAAATGGCATTCCTGTAGTCCAGCTACTCAAGATGCTGAGGTGGGAGGGTTGCTTGAGCCCAGGAGCTAAAGTCCAGTCTGAGCAATATAGCAACCTCTAAAAAAAAAAAAAAAAAAGAGAGAGACAAGCTGGGCCAATAAAAATCTCTTTTTTAAAAAAATGAAGTTGATTAAAACAACAACAATAGAAAAATGCAAGTACTTAACAGTGGGGGTAGGAGGGAGCTGGAAAGATTCACAAAGAAAGACTAAGAGGAAGAGTAGGGTCGCTGAGATGCTACAGGAAGCCAAAGTATACACAAAAATTAAAATTGAAATTATGTTAAGACAGTTGTCAGAGGACAAGATAACACAAAAAAGCAGATGCAGAGAAAGTAGATAAGCACTGGTAGAAAAGTACAACAAAAGATTCACAAACTAATGCTGCTAAGATAAGCTGCTTTGAATCAGTGTGTATGTCAGACCAAGTCATATTACAGTACCTAGTTTTAGATTCCATGGGATCCCTGTTTCCTTATTGCTGCAGACAGGATTGAAATAACTCACTCTTTTCCTTGAAATATCCTAAGTCTCCTTTTTTTTTTTTTTTTTTTTTTTTTGAGGCAGAGTCTCGCTCTATCCCTCAGGCTGGAGTGCAGTGGCACGATCTCGGCTCACTGCAAGCTCCGCCTCCCGGGTTCGCGCCATTCTCCTGCCTCAGCCTCCGGAGTAGCTGGGACTTCAGGCGCCCGCCACCATGCCCGGCTATTTTTTTTTTCCTGTATTTTTAGTAGAGATGGGGTTTCACTGTGTTAGCCAGGACGGTCTCGATCTCCTGACCTCGTGATCTGCCCGCCTCGGCCTCCCAAAGTGCTGGGATTACAGGCGTGAGCCACTGCGCCCTGCTAAAATATCCTAAGTCCCCTTTCTACGCAATCCGAAGAGCCTAAGTAAAGCAATTTTTGTTTGTTTGCTTTACTGATAATAACAATGAACAGATCAAGCCATCTTGATCTGTTCTAGATCCAGTTTTACCACAAACTAGCCATATTGTGAACCTCAATGTCTTATTTTGTAAAATGACAGCATTCAATTAAATTATTGCTAATTTTTTATTGCTTAAATCCTGTGAATACTGGAATCTATCAGAAAGTAACTACTTTTTTCAATGTAGCTGTCACTGAATAAAAAACAAAGCAGATATGAGTTACTTCAGGAAGGCCGGGCGCAATGGCTCACGCCTGTAATCCCAGCACTTTGGGAGGCAGAGGCAGGTGGATCATCTGAGGTCAGTAGTTCCAGACCAGCCTGGCCAACATGATGAAACCCGTCTCTATTAAAAATACAAAAAAATTAGCCAGGTGTGGTGGCGTTTTCCTGTAATCCCAGCTACTTGGGAGGCTGAGACAGGAGAATTGCTTGAACCCAGGAGGCAGAGGTTGCAGTGAGCCGAGATTGCGCCACTGCACTCTAGCCTGGGTGACAGAGCAAGACTCCATCTCAAAAAAGAAGAAAAAAAAAAAAAGAGTTACTTCAGGCTTGGAGACATAGGAAGGAAGAATTCACGTAAGGTCAGTGGACATATCAGGCTCCCACGGGGCACTTCTTTAATGCTCTAAAACAAAGATGGGACTCTGGAGTGGGCAAAATGGAAGAGAGTGGGTTGGGTAGGAGGCTAGTATGACAGTCTAGGTCAAAGATAATTATAAGTTAGCCTAGGATAGTAGAGTAAAAATGATACCTAAGCCCTTGAAAAAGCTTAAGCTTAATTTAAGTTACTGTACTCACTGTGGTGTCCCCAGTGCCTGGTACATAGTTGTTGCTTATTAATTAACTGGTGGACAGACATGGATGGATGAATGAATGAATGGATGAGTGAATGAAAAGACTTGGATGAATTTAAGAATCACTTAGGTAGAAAATAGATTCTATGTATTTAATATGGTAACTCTATTATCCGAATGTTGAAATGAAAGGTGATAAATAGAATAAAGACTTCCTTTTTGTTATTTTAAAATATATATTTGTAATATACTGAAGTTATCTCCACTATTATATAAAGACTTTCATTTATTCCCATATGCCTCATTTATTTTCTACTTAAAAACTAGTCTGTAAAGTTTTTAAAAGCAAAGGGGATACATTCCTTGGAAAACTGCCTACATGCAAGCTTTGGCATAGCTCCAATCTAGGGATTTTATTTTAAAAACTAGTATTTGAGTCATTATTTTCTATACTCATACAGGAAGAATAACAAAAAAGTTTCCATAACTAGCATATGATTTTTCTCTGATTAGCATTCTGAAAACTGAATACATTCCTTAAGGAATGACAATAGGAAAATTTACAAATTGTTTCAATTCAGATTTAAAACACATTACAATGAATTACAGAATTGTCTTTAATTTTTGTTGTAATATAAAATCAGTTTACAAAGGAGGGCAGAGCAAGATGGCAAAATAGAAGCTTACGCTATTCGTCCCCTCTCCAACACTGGAACATCAAATTTTAACAACTATCCACACACAGAAAACCACAGTCACAAGAAGCAAAAATCAGGTGAGCAAGAGCAATCACAGTACCTGGTTTTAACTTCATATTGTGGAAAGAGGCACTGAGGAGGACAAGAGATACAGTCTTAAATAGTGAATGCCACCCCTCCCCCATCTCCCCTGGCAGCAGCCCTGCAGTGTGGAGAGAGAATCTGTGCACTCTAGGAAGGGAAAGCCCAGTGACTGGGAAACTTTACATTGAACTCAGTGCTTCCCTGGCACAGCGGGAGGATTTGGACCAGCCCTAGCCAGAAGGGAATCGCACATCCTCAAGGAACTTGAGTTTCTTGGCAAGCCTTACCACCATGGGCTGAAGTACTCTGGGGTCCTAGGTAAACTTCAAAGGCTGTCTAGGACACGACAACTGCAAATCCTAGGCTATTCCTAGTGCTAGGCTGGGCTTACAGCCAGTGAACTAGGGTGGAATGTGAACTAAGGAGACAACAGCTGGCATGGCTAATGGAGTGTGAGCACCATTCCTTCCCTAAGCCCAGGCAGTGCAGCTCATAACAAGGAAAGTGACTCTTCCCTTCTGCATAAGGAGAGAAGAGTGAAGAGTAAAGAGGACTTTGTTTGGCATCTTGGATACCAGCTCAGCCACAGTGTAATAGAGCACCAAGCAGAGACGTGAGGCCCCCATTTGAGGCCCTAGCTCTGGGATAACATTTCTAGATGCACTCTGGGTCAAAAGGGAACTTCCTGCTTTGAAGGGAAGGGTCTAGTACTGGCAGGATTCATCACCTGTTGACCAAAGAGCCCTTGGGCCCTGAATAACCACCAATGATACCCAGTGAGTGTGCTGTGGGCCTTGGGCTCTGAAACATGCTGGCCTTCAGGGGTGGTCCAGTACATTCCAGCTGTGGTGGTCACAGTGAAAGACTCCTTTTGTTTGAGAAAAGCAAAGGGAAAAAGAGACGGGATTTTGTCTTGCACCCTATGTACCAGCTTGGCCACAGTAGGGTAGGGCAATTAGCAGGCTCTTGGGGTCCTTGAGACCAGGACTAGGATCTTACACAGCATTTCTGGACCGTCCCTACTGTGCTGAAGGATGAGTCACAGTCCTGGCAGCATTCAACACAAGCTGATGGAAGAGAGCCCTTGGCCTTTAAGTAAACATTGGTGAAAGCCTAGCAGAAACCCCCATGGACTAGTGGTGGTGGCCACAGGGAAGGACTCATCTGCCTGGGGAAATTGCTGGAAAGAGTAGGAAGGACTCTGTATTATGGTTTGAATGGGAGTTTAGCCATAGTAGAGTAGAACAGCAGGTAAGTTGCTAATGTCTTTGACTTCAATCACTGGCTCCCACACAGCATCCTTGGACACACCCTGGGCCTGGGGAAAACTCATCACTATGAAGGGAAGGGCTTTGGGTGAGGCCCAGTAGCTCATGTCTGACCCAGCACAGTTCCAGTGGTGACGGCCACAGGGTGCCTGTATCTCCACACCCACAGTTCCAGCTGGCCCAGCAAAGAGAGAGAGAGAGAGGAGAGACTCCATTTGTTTAGAAGAAATTAAGAGAAAAGAACAAGAATCTCTGCTTGGTAATCCAGAGAATTCTTTCAGATTTTATGTAAGACCACCAAGGCAGTACCTCTACAAAAACCACAGCGATATTGGGCTTGGGGCCCAAGTCCCTTCAAACACTTGGAAAGCCTTCCCAAGAAGGACAGGCACAAACAAGCCCAGACTATGAAGACTACAACAAATACCTAACTCTTCAATGCCCAAACACCAATGAACATCTACAAGTAACAACACCACCACAAAAACATGATCTCACCAAATGAACTAAATAAGGCACGGGGCCAATTCTTGAGAAACAGAGAAATATGACCTTTCAAACAGAGAATTCAAAATAGCTGTTTTGAGGAAACCCAAAGAAATTCAAGATAACACAAAGAAGGAATTCAGAATGCTGTCAGAAAAATTTAACAAAGAGATAGAAATAATTAAAAAGACTCAAGCAGAAATTCCACAGTTGAAAAATACAACTGAATGCTGAAGAATGTATCAGAGTCCTTTAAAAGCAGAATTGATCAAGCAAATGAAAGACTTAGTGAGCTTGAAGACAGGCTATTTGACAAAACACAGTCAGAGGAGACAAAAGAAAACAGAATAAAAAACAATGAAGCACACCTACAAGATGGAAAACAGCCTCAAAAGGGAAAATCTGAGAGTTATTGGCCTTAAAGAGGAAGTAGAGAAAGAGATAGGGGTAGAAAGTTTATTGAAAGGGATAATATCAGAGAACTCCCCAAACCTAGAGAAAGATATCAAGATTCAAGTACAAGAAGGTTATAGATCACCAAGCAGATTTAACCTAAAAAGACTACCTCAAGGTATTTAATAATCAAACCCTCAAATGTCAAAGATTAAAACATGATCCTAAAAGCAGTGAAAGAAAAGAAACAAATAACATACTATGGAGCGGAAATACATCTGGCAGCAGACTTCACAGTGGAAACCATACAGGCCAGGAGAGAGTGGCATGACATATTTAAAGTGCTGAAGGAAAAAAACTTTTACCCTAGAATGGTATATCCAGCAAAAATAGGCTTTAAGCATGAAGGAGAAATAGACTTTCCTAGACAAACAAAAGTTAATGGATTCCATCAACACCAGACCTGTCCTACAAAAAATGCTAAAGGGAGTCATTCAATCAGAAAAAAAAAAGAATGTTACTGAGCAAGAAGAAACCATCTGAAGGTACAAAACTCACTGGAAATAGTAGGTACACAGAAAAACACAGGCTAATATAGCACTGTAATGGTGGTGTGTAAACTTCTCTTGAATTAAGTGGAAAGATTAAATGAAAAACCAATAAAAAATAATAACTACAACTTTACAAGACATAGACAGTATAAAAAGACAAAGAAAAACAACAAAAAGTTTAAAAATGGGGAAATGAAGTTAAGGCATAGAGTTTTTATCAGTTTTCTTTTTACATGTTTTTTGGTTTATGCAATCAGCATTAAGCTGTCATCAGTTTAAAATAATGGGATATAAGATAGTATTTGCAAGCCTCATGGTAACCTCAAACCAAAAAAACATACAACAGATACATAACAAATAAAAAGCAAGAAATCAAAGCATACTACTAGATAAAAATCACCTTCACTAAATGAAAAACTGGAATGGAGGAAAGAAGGAAGAGAAGACCACAAAACAACCAGAAAACAAATAACAAAATGGCAGGAATAAGTCTCTATTTATCAATAATAACATTGAATGTAAATGGACTAACCTCTCCAATCAAAAGACATAGAGTGGCTGAATGAATGAAAAAACAAGTTCCAATGATCTTTGCCTATAAGAAACACACTTCACCTATATACACATAGACTGAAAATAAAGGGATAAAAAAAGATATTCCATGCCAATGGAAACGAAAAAAGAGCAAGAATAGCTATACTTATATCAGACAAAACAGATTTCCAAACAAAAACTATAAGATGAGACAAAGGTCATTATATTATAACAAAGGGGTCAATTCAGTGAGAGGATACAATGATTGTAAATATATATGCACTAAAGCACCCAGATAAATAAAGAAAACATTACTGGAGCTAAAGAGAGAGATAGACCCTACTACAATAATTGCTGGAGACTTCAATACCTCCACTTTCAGCAAGACTGGGACTGGTTAGTCAGTGGGTGCAGCCCATGGAGGGCAAGCAGAAGCAGGGTGGGGTGTTGCCTCACCCAGGAAGAGCAAAGGGTCAGGGAACTCCCTCCCCTAGCCAAGGGAAGCCATGAGGGACTATGCCTTGTGGGACAGAGCTATCCAGCCAAGATACTATGCTTTTCCCACGGTCTGTGAAACCTGCAGACCAGGAGATTCCCTCGGACGCCTACACCACCAAGGGCCTGGGTTTCAAGCACAAAACTGGGCGGCCATTTGGGGAGACAACGAGCTAGCTGCAGGAATTTTTTTCATACCCCAGTGGCACCTGGAACGCCAGTGAGACAGAACTGTTCACTCCCCTGGAAAGGAGGCTGAAGCCAGGGAGCCAAGTGGTCTAGTTCAGTGGATTCCACCCCCACAGAGCCCATGAAGCTAAAATCCACTGGCTTGAAATTCTTGCTGCCAGCACAGCAGTCTGATATCGACCTGGGATGCTTGAGCTTGGTGGGGAGAGGGGTGTCCACCATTACTGAGGCTTGAGTAGGTGGTTTTCCCCTCACAGTGTAAACAAAGCTGCCAGGATGTTAAAACTGGGTGAAAGCTGCTATTGCCAGACTGCCTCTTTAGATTCCTCCTCTCTGCGCAGGGCATCTCTGAAAGAAAGGCAGCAGCCCCAGTCAGGGACTTATAGATAAAACTCCCTGGGTCAGAGCACCTGGGGGAAGGGGTGGCTGTGGGTGCAGCTTCAGCAGACTTAAACATTCCTGCCTCCTGGCTCAGAAGAGAGCAACGGATCTCCCAGCACAGCACTCGAGCTCTACTAAGGGATAGACTGCCTCCTCAAGTGGGTCCCTGACCCCCGTGCCTCGTGATTGGGAGACACCTCCCAGCAGGGGTCGACAGACACCTCATACAGGATAGCTCCAGCTGGCATCTAGTGGGTGCCCCTCTGGGACAAAGCTTCCAGAGGAAGGAGCAGGCAGCAATCTTTGCTGTTCTGCAGCCTTCACTGGTGATACCCAGGCAAACAGGGTCTGGAGTGGACCTCCAGCAAACCCGCAGCAGAGGGATCTGACTGTTAGAAGGAAAACTAACAAACAGAAAGAAATAGCATCAAAACCAACAAAAAGGATGTCCACACAAAAACTCCATCTGAAGGTCACCAACATCAAAGACCAAAGGTAGATAAATCCACAAAGATCAGGAAAAACCAGTGCAAAAGGGCAGAAAATTCCGAAAACCAGAACGCCTCTTCTCCAGAGGATCACAACTCCTCGCCAGCAAGTGAACAAAACTGGATGGAGAATGAGTTTGACAAACTGACAGAAGGAGGCTTCAGAAGGTGGGTAATAACAAACTCCTCCAAGCTAAAGGAGCATGTTCTAACCTAATGCAAGGAAGCTAAGAACCTTGAAAAAAGGTTAGAGGAATTGCTAACTGGATTAACCAGTTTAGAGAAGAACATAAATGACCTGATGGAGCTGAAAAACACAGCACAAGAACTTGGTGAAGCATAGACAGTATCAAGAATCAAACCAATCAAGCAAAAGAGGATATCAGAGATTGAAGATCAGTTTAATGAAATAAAGCGTGAAGACAAGATTAGAGAAAAAAGAATGAAAAGGAATGAACAAAGCCTCCAAGAAATATGGGACTATGTGAAAAGACCAAACCTACGTTTGATTGGTGTACCTAAAAGTGACAGGGAAGATGCAACCAAGTTGGAAAACACTTTTCAGGACATTATGCAGAACTTCCCCAACCTAGCAAGACAGACCAACATTCAAATTCAGGAAATACAGAGAACACCACAATGATACTCCTTGAGAAGAGCAACCCCAAGGCACATAATTGTCAGATTCACCAAGGTTGAAATAAAGGAAAAAATGCTAAGGACAGCCAGAGAGAAAGGTCAGGTTACTCACAAAGGGAACCCCATCAGACTAACAGCAGATCTCTCAGTGGAAACCCTACAAGACAGAAGAGAGTGGGGGCTAATATTCAGCATGCTTAAAGAAAAGAATTTTCAACCCAGAATTTCATATCCAATCAAACTAAGCTTCATAAATGAAGGATAAATAAAATCCTTTATAGACAAGCAAATGGTGAGAGATTTTGTCACCACCAGGCCTGCCTTACAAGGAGGGAGCATTAAATATGGAAAGGAAAAATCAGTACCAGCCACTGCAAAAACATACCAAATTGTAAAGACCATTGACACCATAAAGAAACTGCATCAATTAATGGGCAAAATAACCAGCTAGCATCATAATGACAGGATCAAATTCACACATAACAATATTAACCTTAAATGTAAATGGGCTAAATGCCCCAATTAAAAGACACAGACTGGCAAATTGGATAAAGAGTCAAGACCCATCGGTGTGCTGTATTCAGGAGACAAATCTCATGTGCAAAGACACACATAGGCTCAAAATAAAGGGATAGAGGAATATTTACCTAGCAAATGAAATCAAAAAAGGAAGGGTTGCAATCCTAGTCTCTGGTAAAACAGACTAAACCAACAAAGATCAAAAAAGACAAAGAAGGGCATTGCATAATGGTAAAGGGATCAATGCAAAAAAAGAGCTAACACTTCTAAATATACATGCACCCAATACAGGAGTACCCGGATTCATAAAGCAAGTTCTTAGAGATCTACAAAGAGACTTAGACTCCCACACCGTAATAGTGGGAGACTTTAACACCCCACTGTCAATATTAGACAGATCAATGAGACAGAAAATTAATAAGGATATTTAGGACTTGAACTCAGCTCTGGACCAAGCAGACATAATAGACATCTACAGAACTCTGCACCCCAAATCAACAGAATCTACATTCTTCTCAGCACCACATCACACTTGTTCTAAAATTGACCACATAATTGGAAGTAAAACACTCCTCAGCAAATGCAAAAGAACAGAAATCATAACAAACAGTCTCTCAGACTACATGGAAACTGAACAACCTGCTCCTGAATGACTACTGGGTAAATAACAAAATTAAGGCAGAAATAAATAAGTTCTTTGAAACCAATGAGAACAAAGACACAATGTAACAGAATCTCTGGAGCACAGTTAAGCAGTGTTTAGAGGGAAATTTATAGCACTAAATGCTATAGGGAAAGATCTAAAATCAACACCCTAACCTCACAATTAAAAGAACTAGAGATGCAAGACCAAACAAAGTCAAAAGCTAGCAGAAGACAAGAAATAACTAAGATCAGAGAAGAACTGAAGGAGATAGAGACACGAAAAACTCTTCAAAAAATCAATGAATCTAGGAGCTGGTTTCTAAAAAAAGATCAACAAAATAGATAGACCACTAGCCAGACTAACAAAGAAGAAAAGAGAGAAGAATCAAATAGACACAATAAAAAATGGTAAATGGGATATCATCACCGATCCCACAGAAATACAAACTACCATCAGAGAATACTATAAACACCTCTACACAAATAAACTAGAAAATCTAGAAGAAATTGATAAATTCCTGGACACATACACCCTCCCAAGACTAAACTAGGAAGAAGTCAAATCCCTGAATAGATCAATAACGAGTTCTGAAATTGAGGCAGTTATTAATAGCCTACCAACTAAAAAAAAGCCCAGGACCAGATGAATTCATAGCCGAATTGTAACAGAGGTACAAAGAGGAGCTGGTACCATTCCTTCTGAAACTATTCCAAACAATAGAAAAAGAGGGACTCCTCCTTAACTCATTTTATGAGGCCAGCATCATCCTGATACCAAAACCTGGCAGAGACACAAGAATAAAAGAAAATTTCAGGCCAATATCCTTGATGAATATTGATGCAAAAATACTCAAAAAAATACTTGCAAACTGAATCCAGCAGCACATCAAAAAGCTTATCCACCATGATCAAGTCAGCTTCATCCCTAGGATGCAAGACTGGTTCAACATACACAAATCAATCAACGTAATCCATCACATAAACAGAACCAATGACAAAAACCACATGATTATCTCAATAGAGGCAGAAAAAGCCTTCAATAAAATTCAACAGCCCTTCATGCTAAAAACTCTCAGTCAACTAGATATTGATGGAATGTATCTCAAAATAATAAGAGCTATTTATGACAAACCCACAGCCAATATCATACTGAATGAGTAAAAGCTGGAAGTATTCCCTTTGAAAACCGGCACAAAACAAGGATGCCCTCTCTCACCACTTCTATTCAACATAGTATTAGAAGTTCTGACCAGGGAAATCAGGCAAGAGAAAGAAATAAAGCATAATCAAATAGGAAGAGAGGAAGTCAAATTGTCTCTGTTTGCAGATGACATGATTGTATATTTAGAAAACCCCATCACCTCAGCCCCAAATCTCCTTAAGCTGATAAGCAGCTTCAGCAAAGTCTCAGGATACAAAATCACTGTGCAAAAATCACAAACTTTCCTATACACCAATAATAGACAAACAGCCAAATCATGAGTGAACTCCCATTCACAACTGCTACAAAGAGAATAAAATACCTAGGAATACAACTTACAAGGGATGTGAAGGACCTCTTCAAGGAGAACTACAAACCACTGCTCAAGGAAATAAGAGACAACACAAACAAATGGAAAAACATTCCATGCTCATGGATTGGAAGAATCAATATCATGAAAATGGCCATACTGTCCCAAGTAATTTATAGATTCAATGCTATCCCCATTCAAGCTATCATTGACTTTCTTCACAGAATTAGAAAAAACTACTTTAAATTTCATATGGAAACAAAAAAGAGCCCTATGGCCTAGACAACCCTAAGCCAAAAGAACAAAGCTGGAGGCATCACGCTACCTGACTTCAAACTATACTATAAGGCTACAGTAACCAAAACAGAGGCCTCAGAAGTAACACCATACATCTACAACCAGCTGATCTTTGACAAACCTGACAAAAACAAGCAATGGGGAAAAGATTCCCTATTTAATAAATGGTGTTGGGAAAACTGGCTAGCCATATGCAGAAATCTGAAACCAGACCCCTTCCTTACACCTTATACAAAAATTAACTCAAGATGGATTACAGACTTAAATGTTAGACCTGAAACCATAAAAGTCCTAGAAGAAAGCCTAGGCAATACCATTCTGGACATAGGCATGGGCAAAGACTTCATGACTAAAACACCAAAAGCAATGCCAACAAAAGCCAAAATTGACAAATGGGATCTAATTAAACTAAAGAGCTCTGCACAGCAAAAGAAACTATCATCAGAGTGAACAGGCAACCTACAGGACAGGAGAAAATTTTTGCAATCTATCCATCTGACAAAGGGCTAATATCCAGAATCTACAAGAAACTTAAACAAATTCACAAGAAGAAAACAGACAACTCCATCAAAATGTGGGCAAAGGCTATGAACAGAGACTTCTCAAAGGAAGACATTTATGCAGCCAACACACATATGAAAAAAAGCTCATATGGTCATTAGAGAAATGCAAATCAAAACCACAATGAGATACCATCTCATGCCAGTTAGAATGGTGATCATTAAAAAGCCAGGAAACAACAGATGCTGGAGAGGATGTGGAGAAACAGGAAAGCTTTTACACTGTTGGTTGGAGTATAAATTAGTTCAACTACTGTGAAAGATAGTGTGGCAATTCCTCAAGGATCTAGAACCAGAAATATCATTTGACCCAGCAATCTCATTACTGGGTATATATCCAAAAGATTATAAATCAGTCTACTATAAAGACACATGCACGCATATGTTTATTGCAGCACTATTCACAATAGCAAAGACTTGGAACCAACGCAAATGCCCATCAATGATAGAATGGATAAAGAAAATGTGGCACATATACACCATGGAATAGTATGCAGCCATAAAAAAAGATGAGTCCATGTTCTTTGCAGGGACATGGATGAAGCTGGAAACCATCATTCTTAGCAAACTAACCCAGGAACAGAAAACAAAACACTGCACGTTCTCACTCAAAAGTGGGAGCTGAACAATGAGAACACATGGACACAGGGAGGGGAACATCACACACCAGGGCCTGTGGGGGTTGGGGGGCTGGGGAGGGCTAGCATTAGGAGAAATACCTAATGCAGATGACAGGTTGATGGGTGCAAACCACTATGGCACGTGTATACCTATGTAACAAACCTGCACATTCTGCACATGTATCACAGAACTTAAAGTATAATTTTAAAAAAATTAAAAAAAGAAAACTGCAGGCCAATATCTCTGATAAATATTGATACAAAAATCCTCAACAAAATACTCACAAACTGAATTCAACAATACATTAAAAAGATGACTCATTATGACCAAGTGGGATTTATCTCAGGGATGCAAGGATGATTCAACACACACAAATCAATCACTGTGATATATCATATCAACAGAATGAAGGTCAAAAACCATATTATCATTTCAATTAATGCTGAAAAGGCATTTGATAAAGTTCAACACCCCTTCTTGGTAAAAAAAATACCCTCAAAAACTGGATATAAACGGAATATACCTTTTCATAATAAAAGCCATATATGATAGACCCACAGCTAGTATCATTCTGAATGGGAAAATACTGAAAGCTTTTCCTATTAGATCTGGAACACGACAAGGATGCCCACTTTCTCCACTGTTATTCAACATAGTACTGAAAATCTTAACTAGAGCAATCAGACAACAGAAAAAAAATAAAGGGCATCCAAATTGGAAAGGAAGAAGCTAAATTATCCTTGTTTGCAGATGATATGAAGTTATAGCTGGTAAAACCTAAAGATTCCACCAACAAAACAAAACCTATTAGAACTGGTAAACAAATTCAGTTAAGTTGTAGTATACAAAATCAACATACAAAAATCAGTAGGATTTCAATATGCCAATAATGAACAATTGGAAAAAGAAATTTAAAAAGCAATCCCATTTACAATAGCCACACATAAAATAAACTAGGAATTAACCAAATAAGTAAAAGATCTCTATAATAAAAACTATAAAACACTGATGAAAGAAATTGAAGAGGACACCAAAAAATGGAAAGGTATTCCATGTTCATGAATTGGAAGAATCAATATTTTTAAGATGTCCGTACTGCCCAAAGTAATCTACAGATTCAATACAATCTGTATCAAAATACCAGTAATATTCTTCATAGAAATAGAAAAAAGCAATCCTAAAATTTATGTGGAACCACAAAAACCCAGAATAGCCAAAGCTATCCTAAGCAAAGAGAACAAAACTAGAGGAATCACATTACCTGATTTCAAATTATACTGCAGAGCTACAGTAACCAAAACAGCATGGTACCAGCATAAAAACAGACACACAGACAAAAGTAACAGAATAGAGAACCCAGAAATAAATCCACACACCTACAGTGAACTCATTTTCGACAAAGTTGCCAAGAACAGACATTGAGGAAAAGACACTCTTCAATAAATTGTGCTGGGGAAACTGGATATCCATATGTAGAATAATGAAACTTGATCCCTATCTCTTGCCTTGTACAAAAATCAATTCAAAATAGATTAAAGACTTAAATCTAAAACCTCAAACTATGAAACTACTACAAGAAAATATTGGGGAACCTCTCCAGGACATTGGTCTGGGCAAAGATTTCTTCAGTAATACCTCACAAGCACAGCCAGCCAAAGCAAAAATGAACAAATGGGATTGCATCAAGTTAAAAAGTTTCTACACAGCAAAGGAAACAATCAATAAAGTGAAGAAACAACCCAGAAAATAGGAGAAAATATTTGCAAACTACCTATCTCATGAGAGATGAATAACTAGAATGTAGAAGGTGCTCAAACAACTAATCAAGTAATCCAATTAAAAATGGGCGAAAGATTTGAACAGATATTTTTCAAAATGAGACAAGGAAATGGTAAACAGGCATATAAAAAAGTGCTCAACATTATTGATCATCAAAGAAATGCAAATCCAAACTACAATCTTACCCCAGTTAAAACGGCTTATATCCAAAAGAATGCTGGCGAGGATGTGGAAAAAGGAGAATCCTCATACACTATTCATGGGAAGGTAAATTAGTACAACCATTATGGAAAACAGTTTGGAGGTTCCTCAAAAAAGTAAAAATAAAACTACCACTGGATTTAGCAATCCCACTACTGGGTATATACCCAGAAGAAAAGAAATCAGTGTATCAAAGAGGTATCTGCACTCCCATGTTTGTTGCAGCACTGTTCACAATAGCCAAGATTTGGAAGTGACCTAAGTGTCCATCAACAGATGAATGGATAAAGAAAATGTGGTACATATACACAATGGAGTACTATTCAGCCATACAAAAAATAATGAGATTCTGTCATTTGCAACAGCATGGATGGAACTGGAGGCCATTAGGTTAAGTGAAATAAGCCAGGCACAGAAAGACAAACATCACATGTTCTCACTTATCTGTGGGATCTAAATATCACAAAATTGAATTCATGGAGACAGGCAATGGAAGGATGGTTATTTGAGGCTGGGAGGGGAATAGGAGATCAGGCGGAGGTAGGGAAGGGAGCATAGTTAATGAGTACAAAAGAATAGTTACAAAGAATGAATAAAACCTAGTATTTGCTAGCACAACAGGGAAACTATAGTAAATAATAATTTAATTGTATAATTTAAAATAAATAGAGTATCATTGGATTGTTTGTAACACACAGGATAAATGTTTGTGAGGATGGATATCCAATTTTCCATGATGTGATCAGTATGCATTGCAGCCTGTACCAAAATATGTCATGCACCCCATGAATATATACACTTACTATGTACCTACAAAATTAAAATAATAAATAAATAAATTGCCTCAGCAAGAATTCCAATAATAAATGAAGCCTATAATCTAATTTTATATAGACTTCAATTTTAATAAATATGTTAACAAAAATTTGAGCCCTAAAAATATGTTATCAATACGTTACCACACAGGACAAATAAAAAGACACAATTGAATCAAAATCAGAAATATTAGTGGTTACAAAATAAATCAGTTTCAAACTACTCCCAGTAATTAAGATTTGAATATATAAATAAAATGTTTAATCATAAGGAAAACAGTAGTATCATTTATACACAGATCCTCCTCACTTTGCACTATAGTATAGGACCATAAAAATAACTGTGCAAGCTGAAATTGTACAATGCAATCTTAATAACCAATGGGAAAATTTACAATTGTTCCATGACCTTTAAATATTTTTGTTAAAGTGTTAAAAACTCTCTTACTGTTGGTTATAGTTGCACGGGGAAATAAAAAAATTATAGTAGTATTAATTTAGCACAGTATAATTGAAAACATTAGAAATTAAAGCATCATTTATTTGAAAAAAATTATCAAAATTAGTTTGAAAGTGTTTGCCTTCTTGTTGTTGTCTAAATTATCACACTAAGCAAGCATATTTCCTATGCCTTGGCAAATTGTCATACTCGCTTCTAAGTATGGATCAATTCCCAACATTTTATCCTTTGCACTTTCAATGTCATGAAATATTTCCAAGAATTCTTCTAATGTGAAGTTTTTTTTTTTTGAAAGTGTCACTTCCTCTGGAACATCCTTGTCCTATTCATCACTACTACTTTACTCATTTATGTCTAAAAGTTCACCTGCAATAAATTTCCCTGGCTGCATATGTAGAATCTTAAATGTCAGCAGTGTCTCATGTCCAGCTATTTGTTTTAAAATTCCTATGTTATCACTACTCCTTTATTTGCTGTTCTTTCATCTTTGTTAGCTAATACTTCTTTTGATTATTCATCTGTGTAAAATATCACATAGGTTTATCACTGCAAAACAAGGAAGCAACGCAACTTTACTGTCTGTACATGATTGAAGAATCACCAACAGACTGAATGAAATGACTTGTCTGGTAATTGGTCACGATGCACTCCATTACTTATGTAGTGATTTGTGGACTAAAGGGCCAGTAGCAAAGTCTGTACTTTATGTAGTTAATCATACTTAATATACTGTGGCAAATGAAATATGAATTGTGTTGTTCGGGAACTGACGCTATGTAATTAAATTGTGGTAACCAAAATATATGTATATTGGAACCAGACAAAGTAAGGACTGCCTGCATATTTATATAATGTTGAGAATTATTCTCAATGCCCTTATGTTATTAAGTTTATATATCAATGGTTTGCTCCTTTTAAAAGTTTCCTCTTCTCCCATTAAATGGGAAGAACTTATATTCATGGGGATAAAGACTTTTCCAACATATGAGAAACTATTCTACATAGCACAAGGCAGCTTCTGTATAATCACCCCCACTCTCTATCATAAGCCTCCTTTCACAAACTTTTAGGTTTCAGAAATGTAGAAGCATATCTCTCGAACTCATAAAAATGCTAAAGAAATTCTGGAGACTAAAGGATTTGCCTCTGGCACTCCCCTTCTTACAATCCTGTAGTACCTCTCTACTACATAATAATATACTCTACATGCTTTAACATGGCCTATAAATCCCTTTATAATTTAGTCCTTCAATACTCCTCAAGCTTTATCTCTTGACACCTCCTCCCTCACACTTCATGATTCATGAACAAAGAAGTGCTTCTTACCTCTCAGCCTTTGCTTATGCATTATCTATGTGTAGATAGCATACTTGTCCACTAGGTGCAGTATCATTAGGATAACTTCTGCTCATCCTCAAGAATCATCTTAGATGTCACCTCTTTCCCTGATTCCTGTATCCATCCACCTTTCACCTCCAGGAAGTTTATGTGAACCTCCACTATGTACTATAATAATCCTTTCATATCTTCATAATCACACTTGCCATAGCATAATTTATTTACGTAATATATAAATATAATAATTTGTATATATTTATATAAATATATAACATATATTTATATATACTGTAATAATTTATATATTTACATAATACATAAATACAATTTACATATTTATATAATATATAATAATTAATTTATTATAATACTTTAATGATTTACTTTTGTATAGGTTACATATCCCTTGCCTGAAATGCTTGGGACCAGAGTGTTTTGGATTTTGAAATTTTTCAGATTTTGGAACATTTGCATTATACCACTTGAGACTCCCAAATCTGAAAATCTGAAATCTTAAATGCTCCCAGTGAGCATTTCCTTTGAGCATCATGTGGACGCTCAAAATAATTCGGATTTTGGAGCACTTCGGATTTCAAATTTTTAGATTTAGGATGCTCAGTCTGAATTTTAAAGACAGTAAACTGGCCGGGCACGGTGGCTCACGCCTGTAATCCCAGCACTTTGGGAGGCCGAGGCGGGCGAATCATGAGGTCAGGAAATCGAGACCATTCTGGCTAACACGGTGAAACCCCGTCTCTATTAAAAATACAAAAAAATTAGCCAGGGGTGGTGGCGGGCGCCTGTAGTCCCAGCTACTCGGGAGGCTGAGGCAGGAAAATGGCGTGAACTCAGAAGGCGGAGCTTGCAGTGAGCCGAGATTGCACCACTGCACTCCAGCCTGGGCGACAGAGCGAGGCTCCGTCTCAAAAAAATATATATATATAAATAAATAACCTACTTGAAGGCAGGAACTATATATATCATATATATAGTTGATATATATATATATCAACTCTGTATCATATATGTATATCATTTACATAATAGTGGTTTGCTGAACAAATTTCAGGACAAAAAGATGTGACTAAAACAACTGCAGAATTTTAGGGTTAGTTACAGAATTTATCTGAGGAAGAAAACTGCCCTTTTGTTTGAGGCAACTTTCCTGGATCTTTTGCCTCTGTCTAGTCTTGGGAAGCTGAGGCAAAGGTGGACTAACAATCGCGCATAATCATGTAAAAGGCAACATCACTGAGTGATGAGTAACAGGTTAACTAGTTCTACTTAGCTAACCTGAAATAAAATGATAGGTGGTTGGAGCCAGAGGATCAGTGAAAATAAGACAGCAGAGAGGAGGTGGTGCTTTGAGAAGCAAGCCAAGGTGAAGGGGCACAGTAAACTGAATTTAAGAGCAACATTTTCATTCATTCACTCATAATATGTGCTTGTTACATGCCAGACACTGAACTGCAATACCACAGTGAATGAAATGTAGTCCTTACATTATACTTAAGCAACTTATACCATATTTCCTAAATCCATATATTTTCCCTTAGCCACTGTTACTGCATTGTTGTCTAAAAGCCAACATTAAATTTTCTTTCTCTGCAGTGTAATATCCTTATTCTACAAATTAGGTAACTACAACTCTCTCGTAAAGTTTGTCAAATATTACAGGACTCATGTCACCAATGCATTGAGGAATACAACAAAGGCCTATAACCATGGTTTGACCAAAATAACCAGAGAAAACTATGGCAAAATTGAGAAATAGTGATAAAATAGGATGGTATAGTTATCAAAAAAAGAATCCCTAAGCAAGAATTGAGAACAAGATGAAAATCAACAACCAAAATAATGTAAGCACTTCTTGGGGTAAGTTCATAAACTTCCTAATGTTCTAAGAATAGAGATTTTAATTATTTTTCTAAAAAACATTAAATAAAAGAATAATCCCAGATAGCTGGAGAACTTTGGGAGACTTAAATTATAGGATGAATACAACACAAACCTCTCTATTCTGTCCACCTTCTCACTTAGAACATACTTCCCTCAGGCATACAACAGACTCATGCCAATGTTAGTCCCAAATTTCTCACAATATTGACTTGCTAATCTCTTTAAGTAGTACTTGGCTTTTTCCTTGGTCCCATCGATCCCTAGTATCTCTCAACTAGCTCTCACACAGAAAAACAGTATGATAGATGAATTCTTGAAATGATGCTAAATCACAGATAACAGCTTATTCTAAGAACACAGAAATATTTTAAAAGACTTCTGGAAACTGAAATATTTTTAGCCAAATGAATTTGTCATTAATGTTGGAATTTCAATCATATGAGCCAGACTGAGGGAAATATCTTTGGACACAGGGAAGTTTTCAAAGTCCCCAAAACTACGCCACTTTGGCAACCACTGGCTTGCCTGTTGGGGAGTTCAGCACTGTGATACCTTGTTCTCAGCTTCCCCTACCATTAGTGGGAATGGCAGATTGCAGAGATGGTAACAGTGGTGGCAGCACAACCCCCAAGCAGCGGCATTTGTATTAGACTCAGTACTGCACTTGAATTGGGAAGCAACTCAAAGTAAAACACACCTCTGCAGATTTTTATAGGAATAATAAGCCAGTGAGAGATGATCTATAGAGCTGGCTATAGAACAGTAGAATTCTCCATTATCTTTCTTCAGGCACTGATTTTTATGCCAACTCTGATTTTTTTGTCATTGTGCTTATCTATATTCAGTATTAATATAGCTCCTTAGTACTATCCTTGCTTTAAAAAGTTTATGAAGAACTGCATACTTTTGGGGTGACTGATAAGTCACAGTGCATTCCACTTGATGCTTTTGGTTGTTTATTCCTGTCCAACTTTATACAGATACTTACTGTGTACCTCCTATGCAATGAAAAGATTCTTTTAAAAAATAATTGAACAAATTCTCTCAAAATAAAATAAAAATTCACACTGATTTATAATTCTCACTAAACTGAGAGGATTTTTCAATATTCAGGAAAATATTGCCATATATTATTTATAAAAATTTGTTTTAAAATGTGTGCATCATATTTCACAACTGCTCTGAGTTGTGGTAAGAGGTGCTTAACTACTTCAATATGGCTTATCTTCTTGAACTTAGAAAAACTGTTTCAATTAGATTGCTAATGTTCTTACAATTATAAATAAAAGGCTTCCCATTCTAATATAGCAACTGATTGGCTATATCAAATAATTTAAAAATCCATCTTGATTCCAAACGCAGAATTAGGACTCTTGTCTTCCATTCAACCAAGCATGCACTCTGGATCAAACTTACCTGTTTTTTGGCAAAAATTCAGACACTCAGTAAGAACTAAAAATATACTTCAGTTCCTAGTAAAATAAGAGTTACATGAAGGTAGCTAAGTTAAGGCAAAATAACCAGTCAATCTAGGGAAAACATATTGCTTGTTAAAAATGTTAATACTGGTTTCAAAAAATGGGAATGGATGGATAAAAGGGGAAAAAGAAAGAAGCAAACCAAAAAATCTATGAAAGACTGAAGAGAATACTGCTGCTAATTTGCTTGCCTTCTCTATCTCAATTTCACTTTCAGTTTTCAAGACTTTTTTTTTACATTAATCTTCTCTTTATTTACCTCAACAGTTTTTATGAGTTGTTAGTGTATTTCACATAACTTTCTTGCAGACATTTTAGCTTTAAGGATTACTTGAGTTTGGTTTATATTAGACAAATTTTAATATTTACAGGTACTTTCCAGAGAAAAAGAAAAATGAAGTCACTGTTATCTGTCATCCAAAACTATATTTGTTTCCTTGGCTTTCATGAAAACCAGTATTTTACTTCCTCTTGCAACATGCTAGAGGTACACAGATATACTTAAATACCACTGTCTAACAAATATCGAATTAACGTGCTTCTGGCCAGAGTAACAGACCCATAGCCCCAAACCCAGCTCCAAGTTGGCTGACCTACCATGTGCATGCACATGTCCCTGACCTGAGAAACAGCGTGGCAAGCCCACCCCTGACAAAGCCTCACCACCACCACCAGAAACTCTCTCAGCCTAGGCTACTGAGACACTCATAAATGTCACCAGCATGGATTACACCTGAAGAAACTACATGGAGACTACATTACTGTGTTCACCTAGAACCAAAGCCAATATATCCCACCAAAACAACACCCCAAGACTTATTCATATGAATAAGTCTTTCCCTAGGAAACCTACTCCATAAAATTAGAAGAGGTAATTTTTCCACCAGATGTGTAGAAATCATTGTAGGAACACATCAAACATGAAAAAGCAAGGAAACATCAAACCTCCAAAGGAACAGAATAATTCACCAGTAACAGGCATCAATCATAAGGAAATATTGTATATTCATATTAAAGTAAGACATACCATAAGGAGTATGACACAAACTTGTCCCAAGCCTGCGAAGTGGAGAATTAGTTTAGGCTTAAATGGAGCCATTATATCCTTTTCCTAGTTATACTTGTTTTTCAAAAATCTGTATATAGTTTCCATTAATAGAGACACTCTGAAAAGGGGGAAAATATTCCAAGAAATATTACAAAATAATCTCAAATATTTCAACGCTATTCTGAACTACTGTCAAATCACAGTGAACCAGGGATTCTTCCTTTATCAGAAAGTAAGTCACTTTCTAAATACTTTCAACTAAACCTTATCTCAAGAAGATCCTGCAATAGCTCTTAATTGATAATACGCCAAGATCCCTGACTTCTATCAGGTCTATTTCTATCAGCTAATACTAAAAGCCAGATTGAAAGCTTTTTAAAAAATCTTATAAGAGAAACAAGAAATCTGTGAAAGATATTCAATTCATGGCCCAGTATGTTTAAAATAATGCTGTTATATGACTTTACTAGAAAAAAATAATTCAAAATAATGTTACATAGACCAAAAAGAATATATTCTTACTATTTTAAAATACTGATGGGCCATATAACATGTACACGGGTCTCTGAAAGTTAGTAATTCTGCTTTAAACAAGTACAACTTCAAAGTTAAAATGATAATCTGCTCTAATGGTTAAAATCAAAGTATTTTTTGTCTATGAATAATATTTACTCCCAGAGACTGCATGTCATATACTCTTCTATACAAAAACTACTCAACATTTACTTAATGTGTCCTTTTCTGGAGTGCTAATTTCATGAACCACAGATATCATTTAACTACAGAAAGTAATGAGTAGTTTATTCTTCTGTCATGTACAGTGTCACTGCATAGGATGCAATAACTGTATATTTAATATCAACTAAAGTAATTGAGATCATATCCATATTATGAGGTCTTCTTTGATGATATATGTCAGTACAATCTCCTAAGAGATATGAGTAGTCAGATGTATACTCAGTAGCATAAAATAAACAGGTTCATGACTGTATATCAAGATCAATTCTGTCAGAAAAGATCACTGCAGTTTCATGTCTCCTTGCGGGGGCAACCAACAATCTCAAGGGAATTACCAGATTCTAACTAAGGTCTAGGATGAAGACTAGTCTGAAGGACATTAAAATAATGGTGTGGTCACTCAAGGTAAAATACTCTCATGAGTACCTTTTCATTATTTTACAATTCAGCACTATAGCAGGGGTTATGAAGGAAAGCAAAAGAGGCCAGCATTATTTCCAAAACCAGATAAATAGCTGACGGTTTACATTTATTAAGGGCTGACAATTTATGTGACACGGTGTTGCAAGGATTATCTCATTCTGTCTTCTCCCAAACTCCCTATGAAGTGGATAGTATTATCTTCACAATTTACAAATGAGGTAACTGAAGCTTAGAAGTTAAGCAACCTGCCCAAAGTTGATGGAACCTACAAAATGGCAGTTGGGGTTTGAACGAAGCAACCAGGGCCTGAATACCACTTGCAACCTAAGTCTCCCAATAGGAAAGGAATATGGAACACTAAGACAACAACACAGCTCATTATTATATGTATTTAGATATCCATATCAAGTCAAATACTGCCCTACAATATTTTGGTGCTTTTAACACCTTAAGAAGAAATTTTTTATTTTCCTCATTCCCTGTAGAAAATCAATAACTTAGTGTTTGGGAAAAAACAAGCTGACCAGGTAGAAAAGAAGTTATACTTCTGTTAATCCAGGAAACTAAAAGATATATTTTATAAAATAAATATTGCAACTGTGTCAGTACTCCTTTCTACCTCACAAAAAGCTTAGTCATATGAACATGACTACTGTTTTTCACTAGCTGTCCCCAATCCTCACGTCACTTCCATCCTACCCTTCAAGCCTCACATCTGTATATACCTCAAGACAGAGATTATTATTTCCCAGTAAAATGAGAACCCCTTAACAAATCCATATGTATTACCTATAAGCAAGTAAACCTCACTTTGGGCATATAAAAGTCATAAAGTGACTTCAAGATCTCAGAAGTAGGTCATTTCCCTAATATAGTTTTAAAAAGGAAAGCTTCAATATTCTATCACTGACTTTCTCTTGCATGTGAATTCTGTGCCCATTATTAATTGAAGGGTCTTCTTTTATTTTTCATAAGATTCTGCCTTTTGTGGGCACCAGTTTCCGGGATGATGATGGCATCCTAATTTTCTTTTGCTGAGAAAAGGAATTTTAAAACATTAGTTTTAGGGTCAACTTCAAAATGAGATCATAGTCACTGAAGACCTCCAAGATCCATATATCATCCAATTATGTTTCAGAACAGGTATCCCTGAAGAAAAAGACAAAAAAAAGAAAAAAAGAAGAAAAAAAGAAAAGAAGTAAAATTCCAACTTACCTTATCACCTTGCATACCAGGGGGGCCCATTAATCCAGAAAGGCCTTGATCACCCTATAAACAAAATACAGACGTTTAATGTCATGAAAGAGAACTGAAAATTAGAATTCTCTTGAAAATTAAAGCTCCTTTTAATTTTGGACATCAGCTCTTATTACAATCATTTCCAATCTTCACAATCTTTGAGCCTGTTTCTGAGGCTTCCTGCCTTTCCTTATCTCTTCCAGGGCTTAATAACTGAACTGTATTTTCCCACCTCCATATCCTTGCTCCGTTTTCTCTGATGTTCTTTTCTGTAATAATGCCCTTGCTGTCAAACTTCGCCTCAGTCCAAGGTCTACCATGTTTTAAAAATTGAAAGTAGGGCTGGGCGCGGTGGCCCAGGCCTGTAATCCTAGCACTTTGGGAGGCCGAGACAGGTGGACTGCTTGAGGCCAGGAGTTCAAAACCAGCCTGGCCAACATGGTGAAACCCGTCTCTACTAAAAATACAAAAAACTAGCCGGGCATGGTGTCGGGCACCTGTAATCCCACCTACTCAGGAGGCTGAGGCCGGAAAATCACTTGAACCCGGGAGGCAGAGGTTGCAGTGAGCCAAGATCTCGCCACTGCACTCCAGCCTCGGCAACAAGAGTGAAACTCTGTCTCTGTCTCAGACAAAAAGAAAAAAAATTGAAAGTAGTTTCCCTAAAAAATCTACAAGTGCATTGTGAAACAGCTGTTGAGGTGTCACCCCTACTCCGTTTCTGTGAGCACCTGCAGCCTGGTAGGTCTCCCAGAGAGAATCTCACGGGCTGTGGTGGGACCAGCTAGGTTCACGTGACGCACAGGAGGCACTTCCGCTTCTGGAGCTGAGCTGGTGCCTTCCATCCTGCGTGCCAGCTACACAGAACGTCCCTCACCCCGGAGTAACGAGCGAAAATTGATTGGGAAGTCCATCATGTGCTTGGCTCGAACAGACTAGGCGTTACCGATTAGCGCTACCTTTTTTACATTTATTACTCTGATAGAAGGAAGATAAAACTGCACAAGGAAAGAGGAAACTAGAGGCTGGTCCTCTTCCACTAGCTTTAGTCATGAAGGAATCATTTAATTTCTCCTCAGATTCCTCCTCTGGAAAATGAGGTTGATAATGATGATGGTGATGATGATTATGTCAATGTCATCTCACCTGTCTTATGGGAAAGGAAAAACTTACACCATTTAAAAACGATCTATGCATGCTCTTTTTAAGCTCCCAAAGGGCTTAAAACCTTGTGTATGATCTATTACAGATGTTACTTAGTGGATGTTACATGGTGAAGTACTAAATCCTGCATTTATTTTTCTCTTTCACCATTGACCATACATTTATTGTTAAAAATGGCTAAATGGTTAAAATACAATTGTTTGCCCACCCCCTTCTACTTCCACCAAGTTAATGTTTATATTTTATTTGTATTCAGATTTATGTGTATAACCAGTTTCCTTTTTCCTCAGTATATTTGAATCCAATTTAATGTAAGTACAATTTCTAACAGATCATTTTTAAATTTTACCATTTTAGGAATACCTCTATTAATTTTAAAAGTTGGATTTTACTAAAGCTCTATGGCAATATACTATTAAATTTTATATCTTAATATGTTTCTGTTATAGTTTTAACCACAGTTAGTATATAAGTAACTCAAAAAGTGAAAAAAGACTAACATGCTTCCAAGTCTGAATTCCCATATTGAATCACCCTATATTTTGCTCAGAGAAGCCACAGGGAAAGATAAAACCAAGCATTTGATATAAATATGAATGTTTAATCTAGGGGTTTTACTTAAAATAGTCACCAAAATTGAGTGGGCCTCTAATTTCTAAATTTTAAGTTAAGAAATCAAATATATTATGTTTAGATATTTTAAAATATGGCACTTGTGTTTCTCATATTGCAGAATTTTGTCCTTGCAATAATTAAGACAGTAATGAAAATACTATGTTTATAGTAATAATCTATTCCAAGTTATTTAGACTCAGTGAACTCAGTTCCACCACAATAATAAAATTACTAAAATTTTAGATTTAAAACATGTTGAGTATGTACTCCCAAAATGTGTGTAACTATTGTATACCAGTAAAAAATTTAAAAACAAAATAAAATAATTTTTTGAGGATTTACTCTTTCATATAGTATCTGTAGAGTAATTATGTTTTTTTTTAAGTTTACAATTGTTTCTGTAAGCCAATGAAAAGATCAGATTTCAAACTTTATGATAGTTTCTGTAAGCCAATAAGATCAGATCGATTTTGTAACCACCAAAATTGTTCAGGGATTTTTAAAGTTTGTGAATGTATACTACATTAAAAAACACATCCCATAATTATATTACATTTATAAAGTGCCTGTCTAAACAAAACTTCCCAGATGTCCTCCTAAGACTCCATTTGTATTTATCCTCACTAGAAAACAGTATCCTTCTCCCAATAAAGTTTTTGTAGTTATCTTTGCTTTAAAACTAGTTTTTACTAAAATATGTATATGTTTGTATTGGCAGTGTTAGGATGAAATGAAAGCATACTGGACAAGAAGTCCAAAAATTTGGATATATCATCAACTCTGTCATTTACTGTCCATGTGATAAGTCAGTTAAAATCTATGAATTCTGTTTTCTCAATGGGAAAACAAGATAGTGGTGACCGCTTCTCTCACAGAGAGTACCATGGTACTTAAACATCATAAAGTATGTGAAACTATTCTAAAAATATGTAAATTGGCATTACAATTTATATATTATTGTGTACATATGTATTAACAGCAAAATGTCTGCAGTTAGGACCACATCCTGTTGTAATTTTTACCCCATCCACCCCCTCATTGGCAGATAGTACAGTGGCAGGCCACAGTAGACCTTTAATAAAAGTAATGTTAAGACTTAAATCAATAAGTGAAACTGGTGATAAAATTTACTTAATTCTTCAAATAGTTCTTCCTTCATTAAAATCCAACAATTAATTCTCATGTTTTTTTCCTGTCTGATACAGTAAAATCTACATTTAAAAATGCTTAAATTATTTTAAAATGCTTGAAATATATTACCATAATTTCATTTCATGGTCAAATAATTACCTTTTCTCCAGGAACAGGTTGACCTGGGGAAAATCCTGGATCTCCTTTGGGGCCCTAAATAAAATAGTTATAAAACAGTTGGTGAAGCATAAGTTGCATATAATGTGTCATATATCTTCAGGTATTTATTACCAGATGTTATATACATTATATGGTGTTAAATAAAATAATTTTACATTGAGATAGGCATTGGTTATTTCATTTTTTAATGTATATTTTTCTTAGCCTTATTTTTAAATGATGAGAAGATTCCTAAAAGTTCTCTAGACATAGTTGATTTTTTAATCTAATAAATTTAAAGTTATACTACTATTGAAACATTTTTCTTGAAGGACCTAGGTAGATTTATTATTTTTTCCATTTTTGTGACATATTGAGTTGTTATTCCTATTTTAGCATTGAAAGACTATTACTTTAGTAAAAGAAAACTTCTTATAATAATCCTTAAAATTCTAAGATATCATTCCAAGTTTAAATATTTTCCAAAATATTACAATGCACATGTATTACTTTTATTATTAAGAAAAATGAACATAAAAAAGATACCTCTAATCCACAAAATTCTTTTTATTCTGTTATAAAATTAGATAAGTTTCACAGTGTGGGGATCTTTATCTTTTACATTTCAAGATAAATATGACATTAGGTTTCAGCTAAAGTTTTTGGGTACAATATCAAAATATTTTTATGATGCATAGTAGCAAAGTAACTCTTTTTCAAACAATTTGTCATATCTCAAAATATAGGGGCCACAATGGAGATTCTTTAAAATTCAAATTCTGATTTTATTACCATTCTCAACTAAGAATAAATAATTCTCCTTCCTAGATACTTCTAAATACTATTTTCACTGGGAAATAGTCATATCTTCTTTACATATTCAGAGATGCTTTTAAATGACACTTAAGCTGACTGATGAAGGATGAAATACCAAAAGAAAAGTCCTGCGTGTCCCCCAGTAAGTATTTTCATTTTACAAATTAGAAATGAACCCTCACTGGCAGAGTCCTGTATTCTATAGTCAAAGAAAAATTCTACATTGTGTAAGGAAGGGGGGTCCAGTTTTAATGTTCTGTATATGGCTAGCCAGTCATCCCAGCACCATTTATTGAATAGGGAATCCTTTCCCCATTGCTCGCTTTTGTCAGGTTTTTCGAAGATCAGATAGTTGTAGGTGTGCAGTCTTATTTCTGTGTTCTCTATTCTATTCCATTGGTCTATGTGTCTGTGGATTAAAGACTTAAATGTAAAACCCAAAACTATAAAAACCATGGAAGACAACCTAGGCAATATGATTTAGTACATAGGCACAGGCAAAGATTTCATGATGAAGACACCAAAGGCAATCGCAAAAAAACAAAAATTGACAAATGGGATCTAATTAAACCAAAGAGGTTCTGCACAGAAAAAGAAACTATCAACAGTGTAAACAAACAACCTACAGAATGGGAGAACATTTTTGCAAACTATGCATCCAACAAAGGTCAAATACCCAGCATGTATAGGAACTTAAACAAATTTACCAGAAAAATACAAACAACCCCATTAAAAAGTGTGCAAGGGATATGAAAAGAAACTTTTCAAAAGAGGACATAAATGCAGCCAACAAGCATATGAAAAAAATCTCAACATTACTGATCATTAGAGAAATGCAATTCAAAACCACAATGAGATACCGTCTCACAACAGACAGAATGGCTATTTTGAAAAAGTCAAAAAATAACAGATGCTGGTGACGTTGCGGAGAAAAAGAAATGCTTATACACTGTTGGTGGGAGTATAAATCAGTTCACCCATTGCGGAAGACAGTGTGGCAATTCCTCAAAGACCTAGAGACAGAAATACCATTTGACTCAGCAATCCCATTACTGGGTATATACCCAAAGGAATAGAAATCATTCTGTTATAAAGACAAATGCATGCATATGTTCATTGCAGCAGTATTCACAATAGAAATGACATGAAATCAACCTATATGCCCATCAATGATAGACTGGATAAAGAAAATGTGGTACTGTATATACACCATGGAATACTATGCAGCCATAAAAAAGAATGAGATCATGTCCTTTATAGGGACATGGATGGAGCTAGAAATCATTATCCTTAGCATACTCACACAGGAACAGAAAACCAAATACCACATATTCTCACTTATAAGTGAGAGCTAAATGATGAGAACACATGGACACAGAGAGGGGAACAACAGACATAGGGTGGGAGGTGGGAGAGGATCAGGAAAAATAACTAATGGGAACCAGGCTCAATACCTGGGTGATGAAATAATCTGTACAAGAAACCCCTAATGACACAATGTTACATATGTAACAAACTTGCACATGTACCCCTGAACTTCAAATTTTTTTTTTTCTATAAGGAAAGTTTGTCTTCCAGGTTGACCTCTTTTTCATCATAGCCATCACTGTTTGCTCCACTATTAAGGCTACAATTTTAGGTCATTGGTTACAAGGTTATGAAACCTAAGAAATGGCTTTGGTGATATCTTAATATTTAAAAACTTAACTCATCATCAAAAAAGTTAATATACTTAGAATTTATAAGAGTAATTAGAGCTTATCTAGTAAAACATATTTTGTAGATAAAAGAAGCAATAAAGCCCAGAAGAGTTAATTGACTTGCTAAGGATTACTTAGGAAAGTATTGGCAAACAATGTCCATTTTCTTTCTTGTATCACAATGCCTATTACAAATCTTATCTATTGGTTTTAATATATTTTAATCTTTTATTATAAAAGCTAACTAGTTGATTCAAGGCTATAATTTACAAAGATTTTTAAAATAAGAAATGATAGCCCTTGAAAAGTTTAAATATAATAAAACCCTTTGTGGCCAATGTTTTTATTATAAATATCATGTTAAAAATTCTTACGTTTAGATCCTATTTGAATTTTCTATCATCTGTCAGCTTTCTTAATATCATCAAATAATTTAATGTTTAATCTCCACTTTAAAAATTGATAGAGTGGGCAAAAGTAATCAATTGAACAATAAAAATTAGATTTTAAAGGGTACTTTTTCTTCATGTGTTATACATCTGGGCAACACATTTGACACATATATGTCAAATTTCTCTTTGTTCTACACAAATATGATTGAGTTAATTGATCAACTCATGTTTTAGAATGGGAATTTCAAGTCAGTATGGAGGAAATGCTCTTAACTTGGCTAGTTGTGGGCTGATCCTTCCTAATATAAAATGCATGCAGCGAAGACTATTGAATAATGCCAACTTTATCTAAAATGTCAAGGAAGTAGGGCATGCTTCTCTGCATTGAAGGAGAAAACTCCAAAATTTCTTATTTTCTCCCTCATTTTGTATCAACTGTTGGACTCTTGACACACTTTTCATCTTACTTGATTAGTTTTTCAAATCCCCTTTGGAATTATATAAAATACTTATAAATTCATTAATTAATCATAACTGACTCTGAACCTCAGTACCGACTTCCACTTACTTCTGCATGACTTTTGTTAAAGGAAGTATATATCCTTTTGACTATGAGTAAGAGGAAAAGGAAATTGCCTATTCTTTGTTACTCAAAGTTCCAACTATCCCACTGATCTGCTAGAGTTTAAAATCATTTTTATCAGAGTAAGTCTTTTAGTCCATTATTGAATCTCCAGAGGGCCCTCGGTCTAGGGAGGGAAAGTCCCCAAGGTAGAGGACCCATTAACATGTTAGAACAGATTTATCTTAGATTAGCATCTGCTCAATATAATTGAAAGAGCATTGGGATTTGGAGTGAAAACACCAAACAATTCATTTAAACTCTCAATTTGAGATTTCTTCTCTGTAAACTCGTATTAATAATAATGAGCTTTAGGACCAAATTCTCTATGGATTATAAAGGTATTAGTAGTCAGTACTAAAATTAACAGGACTAAAAACAATTATTATTAAAATCACTTTTACAATTGTTGCCATCTTGGAAAGCAGATAACACAACTTTTGAGTGAATTATTAATGAAGCAGCAAAACTTTAATAGAGAATAATTTGGAATCTAAAAATTCAGAGTAGGAATGAACTAAATTGTGAGAATATCACAAAGGAAACACTAAATGACATGACCTTGAGGTAGCATCATTTGGATATTCTTGACTTTGACATTACTAATAACCACATAAGCTTCATAATCTCAATTACACTCTCCAACCAACACTTCCTATCTTTAGCCCACTCTTCATAGGCCTCCACAACTTTAACATTTATTTGATTCACTTTAACATTTATTTATTTGAAGCTGCTAATATGTGGATCCTACCACATTTTCATTGGTTCATCCCCCTTATGGCCTCGCTTTCCTCCTCAGCCTAAATACAAGGGTCTAACATAGTCACTCCATTGCATACATAAATGACCCTACTTCCCCTTTCTCTCTCTGTCTTATAAGCTTACCTGGCAATTCTTAAATCTAAATTCTATCTATTCTGCACCTGCCTAACAGCCGAATGTGACTAAGAGAAAAAATTCATGTTGACAAACTTCACTTTAAATTCATAACTTCTTTCATTGTTTGGTCTTTTATTTAATGTGTCCAATAATTGTCTTAGTCAATTCACATTCCCATTTTTATAGATGATTATTTCATAACTCCTTCTCTTTCTTTCCTCTTAGCTAGTGATCTTGTTTTTAATTTTTATAAGTTCTCACAACCAAGTCTACTACCTCAACCTAACTCTGTTCTAAAATGCTCTGCCTTCTCTCATTAAACAGACAAATCCACCATTCTTTCACCAGGCTATCACTGACGCTCTGTTTTTCCTGCATTATTTTAACTTTTACTTCTCTTCAGAATAATTTCTATATACCCAGGATAATTTCCATTACAGTAAACATACTTTAAGTTTTGTCATCTTAAAAAAAGCTTTCCTTGAGCCTACATGTCTCCTTTCTGCTCCTTATGCTATTCCCTTTTAGAGTGAAACTCCTAAGTTGTTTCTGTTAGCTAGGAGACCTCCTCTCCTTTTGTTCTCTCTTGGACCTACTCTACACAGACTTTTTTGTCCCTACCACTATCCTACTTCACTTATCATTCTTTCTCAATCTTGTTGTTATTGTATTGTTGTTGTTGTTCTTCTTCTCCTTCTTTCTTCTCTTTTCTTTCTTCGTCTTTCTTCTCCTTTTTCTACTTCTCCTCCTCCTTCTTCTTCTCCTCCTCCCCCCTCCTCTTCCTCCCTCCTCCTCCTCCCTCCTCCTCCTCCCTCCTCCTCCCTTCTCCTCCTCCCTCCTCCTCCCTCCTCCCTCCTCCTCCCTCCTCCCTCCTCCTCCCTTCTCCTCCCCCTCCTCCTCCCCCCTCCTCCTCCCTCGTCCTTCTCCTTCTCCTCCTCCTTCTTCTTTTTCTTATTCTTATTCTTCCTCCTCCTCCTCCTCCCCTTCTCCTCCTCCTCCTCCTTCTTCTTCCTCTTCCTCTTCCTATTTATTAAACTCTGGAGTACCCCCCATAAGGCTTAGTCTTTGGACGTTATCTGCATTCATCCCTAGATGATCTCATGAACTCTATATCTTTAAATTCCACATATACACTGATGACTGTAAACTGTATTTCTAGCTATGGCATGTCCCCTGAACTCCAGATCCAAATCCTATTTTTAAATCTCCACTTGGATGTTAAATAGTGATCTCAGTTGAATATGTCCAAGAAAGAGCTCTTGGAAATTCTCGTCCAGATAGTCACAGAGTAGCATGTATGGGATGAATCCTCCTGTAGATAATGATTACAAAGTCAGGATAAGATACATAAAACAACATTATGTGAGTATACAGGAGAGCAACCAAAAACAGGATACACTGGAGGGGATTCAACCCTTGAAAGGGAGACCCATACTTTGTGTAATACATATTTATACAGCTTGTCTCCTGAGGATACTCCCTAGTCTGCATGGAGTGACTAGAATTAAAGCAGAAATAGACCTTTTACTAATGGTGTCAGAGGTCAGAGTAAGGGGCTACCAGAATGACTGTAAATTGGGGAAGAAAATTAAAAGAAAGAAGGAAAAAGAAGAAAGGAAGGAAAGACAGAGAAGCAAGAGAAAGAAAGGAAAGGAAAGGGGAGGGGAGCAGAGGAGAGGAAAGGAAAGGAGAGGAAGAAAAGAAAGGAGCTTCCCCCAAATGCTGGATATAGATTTTTCATCCTTGGCTGACACTAACATGTGCTTATATGAGGTAGACTCCAAAGAGCTCAACAGAAGCAGGTGGAAGGCTGAAAGAATTGAACATAAATATCAGCTGCTGGTCACCACAGGGGAAACAGTTTGGGGGTTTAGCCACATCCTTTTAGAAGAACATGGTAAATACTTTGGTAAACACCTTTCCATTGACATTCAGGAAGGGCCATGCTTTAGAAGTAAATATGACATCCTTGGACTGAGACTCACACCAAGAGCAAAACTGAAACAAATCTGTCCTTTAAAAAGTTACCAAGCCCATAAGTTTAAGGTGACTCTTTTGGTAAAAAGTTACCAAACCTTTAAGTTTAAGGTGATGAACCAGTTATTTAACTATCTACAGAATAAAAATGAACAGTCTTCAATTCAAAGGACGTAACAGAATCTAACATCTCTTCAACGTATCATCCACAATATCCAGTATATACAAAATCTTCTAGACATACAAAAAAAATGGGGGAGGGGAAAATCTGACCTGAGGTTAACACTATCATTAACCACCATAATCTAATTGGCATTTATATAACACCACACCAAATAACTGCAAAATACACAATCTTTTGAAGTATATGTAGAATGTTGACAAAAATAGGTCACATATTGGGCCATAAAATGCCTTGGTAAATTTTAAAAGGTTAAATTCCACCAGTATGTGCTCTCTGATCAAAATGGAACTAAATTAGAAAAATAATAAAGAAAACAACATACTTCTAAATAAGCAGGTCAAAAAAGAAATTATATATTTCCGAGTGATAATGAAAATGTAACATATCAAATTTTGTGAGATGCAGTTAAATCTGTTTTTAAAGGAAACTTTATAACTTTAAATATTAGAAGAGAAGAAAGGTTTATAATCAGTAGTTTAGCTTTCCACCTTAAGCTGGAAAATGAAGAACAAATTACATATAAAATAAGCAGAAGGAAGAAAATAATAAAGAGTTGAAATCAGTGAAATATAATGTAGTCCATAGAGAAAATTAACAAAGCCAAATATTGACTCTTTAAAATGATTAATGAAAAGTTGTTATTTCCTACCAGGTGAAACCAAGACAAAACATACAAAGAAAAACCTGCAAACATGTTATTTCTCATTATAGCAGATAGGAGGTCCCATAATAGCAGCTGTTCAACTGCTCAAGCCTTAGCATTATCTTTGGCTCTTCTCTTTCACACTATATATGTAATCTACCAGCAAATCATGTTGACTGTAATTCAAAATGTATCTAGATTGTGACCACTTCTCACCACCTCAACTGCTAATACCTTTATCCATGCCATCATCACAAATGGCATGGACTAGGGATGACTAGCAGAGTAGACTCAACTGGTATCCCTGTTTCCACCTGTCTCCCACCCCAAACTATTCTCCACATGACAGCCAGAAGTATCCTAGAATATTACTGGATGATGTTATTTGCCTGCTTAGAACTCTTCAATGAATATTCAACACAATCAGAATAAAATCCGACCAAAATCTTTTTTTTAAAATTTTATTATTATTATACTTTAAGTTTTAGGGTACATGTGCACTATACCCAAAGGATTATAAATCATGCTGCTATAAAGACACATGCACACGTATGTTTATTGCGGCACTATTCACAATAGCAAAGACTTGGAACCAACCCAAATGTCCAACAATGATAGACTGGATTAAGAAAACGTGGCACAAATACAACCAAAATCTTTACCAATAGAATTGGCTCCTACTACCTCTCTGATCATATTCCTGACACTTAACCTCATTCAGCTATTCTTCAAAGATTGAATCAAGGCCTTTGGATTTAGTAAACTGTTGTTTTTCAATGTTTTCATCAGGAATGCCAAAGTAGTGATTTTTAATTCTAGCATTCTTTATTTAGTAGCTCTTTCTATAATAAGAAACTTCCATTTATCAACTATTTTGTTATCCTGAAGTTCAATTCTGTAAGGAAGGGAGGCAATTTTTAAAAGTTTGCTTCTTTCCTTTTATTTTTCTTCTATTTACCATTTTTTAAAATAATGATGTGGTATAATAAAATATATATATTTGGTTTTTGTCCCCAGTTCCTGGCATAGAGCTCCTAAACTCCTTGAAATTTCCTGAGTGATAGGGGTGTCTTTTGTTAGTCATAACAAGCCCCTTCTGACCACACCAGAGTTTATGCTAATAAGATGACACACGCTGGGATCCCTAAATAGCTTTCAGCATTGGGGTCTGGTCACCAGAAAGACACACAAATGATTAGAGAATGGGAACTTTCAGCCCTACTTTCCCCTACCCCCTCTGCCAGGGAGGGGAGAGAGGGGCTAGAAATTGGGTTATAAAAACTCTTGAACAAGATTTGAAGAGCTTCTGTTGGTGAACATGTTGATTTCCTGGGAAGGTGGTATGGTGGGATAGAGCATAAAAGCTCCACACTCCCCATCCCCAATTCTTTGCCTTATGTCTCTCTTTCATTAGGCTGTTCCTGAGTTGTATCCTTTACAATAAACTGGTAAAAGTAAGTAAAGTGTTTTCCTGAGTTCTCTAAACCATTCTAGTAAAATATTGAATCTGAGAGGATGGGTCATGGGAACCCCTGAGCTTGCAGTTTGTCCAAGCAGAAGTGTGCGTCTGGGCATCTCATTTTTGTCTGGCATCTGAAGTGTGGGAAGTCTTATAGGACTCAGTGTTAAAAACTGTGGAGATGATGCTAACTCTGGTAAGCTGTTGTCAGAACTGAATTGAATTGTTGCATATCCAACTGGTGTCAGAGGATCTGAGGATCTTACAGATATAATTACCCAGCATCATCAAAAGATGATCAATGACTTTGTTGAAGTTGTATATCAGCTTAAGGAGCTTTGGGTCCAAGACTATGGGGTTTTCTAGGTATAGAATCATATTGTCTGCAAACAAGGATAGTTTGACTCCCTCTCTTCCTATTTGGGTGCCCTTTATTTCTTTCTCTTGCCTATTTTGCTCCGGCCAGGACTTCCAGTACTGTGTTGAATAGAAGTGGTGAGAGAGGGCATACTTGTCTTATGCTGGTTTTCAAGGGTAATGCTTCCAGCTTTTGCCCATCCAGTATAATGTTAGCTGTGCATCTGTCATATATGGTTCTTATTATTTTGAAGTATGTTTCTTCAATGCCAGGTTTATTGAGAGTTTTTAACATGAAGGGGTGTTGAATTTTATCAAAAGCCTTTTCTGCATCTATTGAGATAATCATGTGGTTTTTGTCTTTAATTCTGTTTATGTGATGAATCACATATTGATTTGCATATGTTGAAACAACCTTGCATGGCAGAGATAAAGTCTGCTTGATCATAGTGGATAAGTTTTCCAATGTGCTGCTGGATTCAGTTTGCCAGTATTTTGTTGAGAATTTTTGCATCAATGTTCATCAAGGATGTTGGCATACAGTTTTCTTTTCTTGTACCTCTGCCAGGTTTTAGTATCGGGATGATGCTGGCCTCATTTAATGAGTTAGAAAGGAGTCCTTCCTCCTCAAATTTTTGGAATAGTTTCAGTAGGAATTGTACCAGCTCTTTTTTGTACATCTAGTAGAATTTTACTACGAATCTATCTGGTCCTGAGCTTTTTTTTTTAACCAAAAAAAGGCTATTTATTACTGATTCCATTTTGGTGCTCATTTTTGGTCTGTTAAGGAATGCAATTTCTTCTGGGTTCATTCTTGGGAAAGTGTGTGTGTCCAGGAACTTATCATTTCTTCTAAATTTTCCAGTTTTGGTGCATAGAAGTGTTTATAATATTCTCTGATGGTTACTTGTATTTCTGTGAGGTCAGTGGTAATATCCCCTTTGTTGTTTCTAATTGTGTTTATATGAATCTTTTCTCTTCCTTTTTATTAGTCTAGCTAGCAGTCTATTTATTTTACTAATTTTTTCAAAAAACCAGTTCCAGGATTTGTTGATCTTTGAATGATTTTGCATGTCTCAATCTCCTTCAGTTCAGCTCTGATTTTGGTTATTTCTTGTCTTCTGCTAACTTTGAGGTTAGTTTTCTCTTGGTTATCCAGTTCTTTTAGTTGTGATATTAGGTTGTTAAATTGAGATATTTCTTTTTGATATGGGTGTTTAGTGCAATACATTTCCCCTTAATACTGCCTTAGCTGTGTGGTAGAGATTCTGATATTCGTATCTTTGTTCTCATTAGTTTCAAAGAACTTCTTCACTCCTGCCTTAATTTCATTGTTTACCCAAAAGCTGTGCAGGAGAAGGTTATTTAATTTCAATGTAATTGTATGGTTTTGAGCAATTTTCTTAGCCTGGATTTCTAATTTTACTTTGCTGTAGTCCAAGAGAGTGGTTGGTATGAATTCAATTCTTTTGCATTTGCTGAGGATTGTTTTACATCCGATTGTGTGGTCAATGTTAGAGTATGTGCCATGTGGTGATGAGAAGAATGTATATTCTGTTGTTTTGGGTGGTGAGTTCTGTAGATGTCTATCAGGCCCATTTGATCCAGTGCTGAGTTCAGGTCCTGAATATCTTTGTTAATTTTCTGCCTCAATGATGTGTCTAATACTGTCAGTGGGGTATGAAAGTATCCCACTATTATTGCATGGGAATCTAAATCTTTTTGAAGGTCTCTAAGAACTTGCTTTATGAATCTGGTTGCTCCTGTGTTGGGATGCATATATATTTAGAAAAGTTAGGTCTTCTTGTTGAATTGAACCTTTTACCATTATATAATGCCCTTCTTTGTCTTTTTTGATATTTGCTGGCTTAAAGTCTGTTTTGTCCAAAATTGGGATTGCAACCCATGCTTTTTTTCTGTTTTCCATTTGCTTGATAGATTTTTCTTTATCTCTTTATTTTGAGCCTATGTGTGTTACTGCATGTAAGATGAATCTCTTAAAGACAGCCTAACATTGAGTTTTGGTTCTTTAGCCTGCCACTCCGTTCCTTTTCATTGAGACATTTAGCCTGTTTACATTCAAGATTAGTATTAATATATGTGGATTTGATACTGTCTTCATGATGTTAGCTGGTTTTTATGCAGACTTGTTTGTGTGGTTGTTTTAAAGTGTCACTGGTCTGTGTACATAAGTGTGTTTTTGTAGTGGCTGGTAATGGCCCTTCCTTTCCATATTTAGTGTTTCCTTCAGGAGCTCTTGTAAGGCAGGTCTGATGGTGATTAACTAACTCCCTCAGCATTTGCTTGTCTGAAAAGGATCTTATTTCTCCTTTGCTTACAAAGCTTAGTTTGGCTGGATACAAAATTCTTGGTTGGAATTTCTTTTCTTTAAGAACGTTGAATATTGGCCCCCAGTCTCTTCTGGCAATGTATGGTTTCTGCTGAAAGGTCTGCTGTTAGTCTGATAGGCTTCCCTTTCTGGGTGACCTGACCTTTCTCTCTAGTTGCCTTTAACATTTTTCCTTTCCTTTCAACCTTGGAGAATCTGACGATTATGTGTCTTGGGGATGATCTTCTTGGGAGGTATCTTGCCGGGGTTCTCTGTATTTCCTAAATTTGAATTTTGGCCTCTCTAGCTAGGTTAGGGAAGTTCTCATGGATGATATCCTGAAATATGTTTTTCAAGTTGTTTCCATTCTCCCCATCTCTTTCAGCAATACCAATGAGTCATAGATTTGGTCTCTTTACATGATCCCCTATTTCTCAGGGGTTTTGTTCATTCCTTTTCATTCTTTTTTCTCATCCTTGTCTGACTGTCTTATTTCAGAAAGCCAGTCTTCAAGCTCTGAGATCTTTCTTCGGCTTGGTCTGTTTTAACACATGTGATTGTATTATGAAATTCTTATGTGTTTTTTTCAGCTCTATGAGATCAGTTACATTCTTTTCTATACTGGCTATTTTGCCTGTCAGCTCCTGTATCATTTCATTGTGATTCTTAGCTTCCTTGGATTGGGTTTGCGCTTACTGCTGCATCTCAATGATCTTTGTTCCTGTTCATATTCTGAATTCTATTTCTGTCATTTCAGCCATCTCAGCCCAGTTCAGAACCTTGCTGCAGGGCTAATGCAGTCATTTGGAGGAAAGAAGGCACTCTGACTTTTTAAGTTCTCAGAGTTCTTGTACTGGTTCTTTCTCATCTTTGTGGGCTGATGTTACTTCAGTCTTTGAAATTGATGTCCTTTGAATGGTTTGTTTTTCTTTTATCCTATTTGATGAACTTGAGGGTTTTATTGTGATATAAGGCTGGCTCAGTCAACTGGCCTCATTTCTGGCAGATTTTAAGTGGCCAAGGCTCAACTCACAACTCCTGGACTACATGCTCTAACACTGAGGGACTGATATTGGGCCTTGACTTTGTTCTCTGGCCCTTCAAGGTTAGGATCCCACTGCAATGGGAGGAGCTAAGTTCCTGGACCATTGATCACAGCATTCCAATGGGTAGTGCTAGCCAAAGTGTTTCATAGGGTGGTAGCAGTGGGATCTGTCCTTGTTTGCACATGCCAGCAGCAGCGGCCGAGTGGCAGGATGCTAGCGGGTGCTGAGAGACCAGCCTCCATGCAGGTATTTACAGCAGTGGCAGAGGTAGCATGACTCAGGAAGGTGGGGGTCACACTGGTGGTGGTGTTAGCACAGGGACGAGGCACTGGCAGGTGCAGGACTGTGTGTGCCCTCCGTACATGTTCACACAGGTGGAGGTGGCTGCACAGGGTGGGAGAGGGTCCACTGTTCTTTGTGCCTAGTTTCACTCCAGTGGCAGTGTTGACACAGGGGTGGGGTGCTGGCAGGAGCAGGGCTGGAAGGCTGTGTACCTACCAGGGCTCCAGCTGCAATAGCGGTATGGCAGAGGGAGGGGAGGTGGAGTGCACACACACCAGCTACAGTGCTATGGCAGGGTTCACATGCAAAACCGGTGGAACAAGGAAGGCAAGATCTGCCTGCACACACATGCGTTAGCAAAGCAATACGGGGAGTGGCCATGGAACCTGGGGATGCTGCAGTGAGGGAAGGAACAGGTCAGCTGTTGCGTGTCCAGAGGGCCGCTCTGCTGGTCAGGCACAGTCCAACAGTGCAGGAGTTATGATGCGGGCCCCCAGGGCCCCAGTCTGGCTGCATCTGTTTGCAGTCCAGCATTGGGTGCCCTGGGAAAGGCCAGCAGATCAAGGAAAGCTCAGATCAGACCAGCCCCAGGTGATAGGGAAGACCACCCTGCAGAGTTTACATCTGGGCTAAAGTTCCCCTAGGGGAACAGTCTCCTATGGGAGCAAGTGCAGCCTAGGGGGATTGGCATTCCTGGCCATGCTCCACCACATATGCTCCTGTAACACACCCTTTGGGCTCCACACTGGCTGAGTGCTGCTCCTACCACTTATCTAAGCCGCTCTCCCTGTCAATGAAGTGGCTGTGGTGGTTGAGGGGTCTCCTCCTGCTGGGATTCCAGAGGCCTGTGGTGAAAGCAGGTTGCTCCTTGCCAGTTCAACTCACCTGTTCTCCAGGAGTCGCTGGGGTCCATGAATGAGTCCCGATGTGAAGTAGCCCCTGTGCAGAGTTCCCAGCTTCCTCCCTCTTCAGCCCAGCTTCTGTGTCTTCCCTCTGTCCACTCTCAGTGCCCTTTCTCTACAGATCTGTTAGGAGTGTGCCAGTCATCCCGATCTTCAGTGGCAGCTGTTCCACCTGGCTGTGTCTAGTCAGTCATCTTGCCCAGCTCCCATATCATTTTTTACATTTTCATAATGTTGGACTTACTATTTTTTATGGCAATCTGACCCACTACAAAATTCTTCTTGTGGGTAAGCATCTATACTTAAGATATTTATTTAATTCATATAGAAGGAAAAATTGTACTTCTAGTTAAGATAAATACACGATGGAGACATAGGAGAAGACAGTCATAACCAGGGATAGAACATAGCACTAAGATACTACTCTTTGGTGTTCAATACTTTATATATATACTAATATATTAAATATTATTAATGAAACATTGTTACTGTGGGTTATTAAGGCTAGATGTTTTCATTTAACTGGATTAAATTTGAAGGAACTATTGGCCCTGACTAAATTAATATAAGACATGAATGTTTGTAGGAAGGTTTTAGGCTTCCTCCAAGAGGCCTTTTTTTGGAAAAGAACTATCTTGACCACAGATTGCCTGGACTGGAATTGTAAGCACATGGTAGGCTGATGATACAGACTCTACGTGCATTCATCACTCATGTTCAAAGATCTACAGCATAATTTTACGTGTTTAATTAATAGCAATGAACATTCCCATCGCGCTGCAAATAAATAGAATACAGTTCATTTAATAGATAAATATGATAAATAATAGACCCAGGTGGCATTTGATAACAAGAAAAAAGCCATTCTCTCTGGAAAACAGGAAATGGAATTTAGTTTCTTATTTTTTTTAAGAAGAACATTGTTTCTACCATCAGTCTCCTGATTTCAGCCAATGATTTCAGCTAATGATCCCCATAGTCTTTCTCTATTTTAAATCATGTTAGTTTTACATGCTGAGAAAAATTGCTGCATATCCACTAAATTTGTGTGTGGCACTTTATATTTCTATTGTTTAACAATTTAACAACACAGTCCTCAGGGATTAGGAATCAGTTTCACTCTTCATAGAATTTCTATATTACTATCATTATCCACGGGATAACCTGGAACCTTGGAATATAACCACTTTGTTACTATTACTAAATAAATTCATAAAGTCTTTAAGTTAGGTAACCCCACCACTATCCTGCCTTCTTAAGGTGGTATTTTATAAAAGAATTCCTCATTGTGTTGGGAGAGACAACCTAGTGTAAGAAAAATACTAAGACATTTCCAATTTTGTCTCCCCCTCTACCACTTACAAACAGTGTTACCTTGGTTAAGCGCTTACTGCTCTCAAGTGTTTTCTTCTGTGCAAACCAGAAGGTAATAAAGCCTGCTCTCATAGTACTTATGATTGGGATAAAACTAAAGAGATATCATACATAAAATAAGTGGCAGATATTAGATAAAAGAGGATTATACAGTATAAAGCTTGAATGTTCTATTAATTCCGATTATTCTAGAAATGCATGTTAAGTACCTAAGAAAATCGGTTTCACAAAATCAAACACTACAAGCTTTATATGATACATTTGTGACACAATGGTAATTTATTTATTTATTTATTTATTTATTTATTTATTTATTTATTTATAGACGGAGTCTGCTCCGTCGCCCAGGCTGGAGTGCAGTGGCCCGATCTTGGCTCACTGTAAGCTCCGCCTCCCGGGTTCACGCCATTCTCCTGCCTCAGCCTCCTGAGTAGCTGGGACTACAGGCGCCTCCCACCACGCCCGGCTAATTTTTTTGTATTTTTAGTAGAGACGGGGTTTCACCGTGTTAGCCAGGATGGTCTCGATCTCCTGACCTCGTGATCTACCCGCCTCGGCCTCCCAAAGTGGTAATTTTTAATACTTGTCACAAATCTACTATCTTCCACAAATATATGCAGTTAAATCATGGTCAGTTTTAGCTAGTTTGGACACAGTTATCAAATTCTTAAATTAAATATGAATTAAAGACTATTGTTCAGGTTTATATGACTAAATCCCCAAGAGGCCTAAGTTTTTGCAAAATAAATGTAAGTTTTTAAATCCCTCATATGTGAGTTCATAAAATATCTTATTGGTGAATAGTTATAGTCAAAATTAAGTCCATCCTACTAAATATAATGTTAAAGAAGACTCTTGAGATTACATTTTCTTCTCTCCTAGGTCATTTTACCACAGACATATATTAATACTAAACAGTATTTAAAAACACTGTTTTTAATATTTTTAAAATTTATTTTTGATACATATTTTCTGGGTACATGTGATAAATAATTTGATACGTTCTTATAATCAAATCAGGGTAATTGGGCTGGATCTCTATTACAATGTGTTTAATCTTGGAACAGAGATAATTTTAGTTTGATACAAAGTTCTTCATTTTCTCAAATATTGGCTTCTCAATATTTATACACATTTTAAGAAGTCAATGAAATACAATACTTTCCACCATCTCTAGCTTTAACTCTCCTCACCCTATTTTCCCCATTTTTTCTTTGTATTTGCTTCTATTCTGAAACAGCAACAGAGCTTATTAAGAAAGGACTCTCGGGCTGGTCGCGGTGGCTCACGCCTGTACTCCCAGCACTTTGGGAGGTCAAGGCAGGTGGATCACCTGAGGTCAGGAAGTCGAGACCAGCCTGATGAAAATGGAGAAACCCCATCTCTACTAAAAAAAAAAAAAAAAAAAAAAAAAAAAAATTTTAAATTAGCCAGGCATGGTGGCACATGCCTGTAACCCCAGCTACTCAGGAGGCTGCAGCAGGATAATCGCTTGAACCCAGGAGGTGGAGGTTGCAGTGAGCCGAGATCGCACCATTGTACTCCAGCCTGGGCAACAGGAGCAAAATTCCGTCTCAAAAAAAAAAAAGGATTCTCTAAAGGGAGAGTAAATTGGTACTTGCCACTGCAGATTGAGAGTTAAATTACAAGAGCCTAACTGTTCGCTACTGGCTGAAGTATTAGGCTGGTGCAAAAGTAATTGTGGTTTCTGCCTTTTTAATGGGCAAAAAACAGAACTACTTTTGCACCAACCTAGAAGGGGGAGAAGAATAAAAGCCATGTGGAAATTCTGTCTCCCTGGGTCTTGTGGAGAGGAGGCAATTAGCAGGAATATAAACTCACTATAAATTCAGCCCTGTGGAGAAATATAATCTGAGCCCTTACAGCTACTTTAACCTTACTAAACTAATTATAAAGTCCCCAAATGAAGCTCGAAGGGCTATGAAACCACAAACTCAAAAAGAAATTCCTAATTTCTTTAGAAGCCATCTATCTTCTTCCCTATTACTTATCCAGACTTGATTTTAAAGAGTCGTTTTTCCTCTCTGAGGCACTTCCATTGAACTCAAAAAAATTTTCAACACAGGTGAGAAATTTTGGAAATTTAGATTTGAATTATCCTTGTTATATGCTATTATTACCTATTAATAATAATGATACCACTTATGGCATCGTAGCACCATGTTAAGAGCTTTACTCACATTAATGTATTTAGCCATCACTACAGCACTATGAGCAGGTAGCATGATTCTCCCCATTTTACAGAAAAGGAAAGAAGCTTAATGAGCCTAAGCAAGCAATTTGCTTTTAGCCATTCAAATTGAAAGAGTTAAGACTTGAACCCACATCTGTCAGACTCCAAAAATTCTATTCTTAACCCCAATCTATATGATTTCATGTTTACTTCTGAATGCGATCACTGATAAGCAGAGGGGTGAGACCCTCAAAGATTCATGAAGTTACTGGCAACCAAGATCCTAATCCTTATCTAATCTTCCCCCAACCTCTGTCATCACTCATATGCACACTTTTTTCTTTTCTTCTCTTCTTAATGCAATAGACTGAATGTTTTTCCCTTCAAAATTTATATGTTGAAACCTAATCCTCAGTGTAATGATAAGTGGGGCTCGTATAAATGGGATTAGTGCCCTTATAAAAGAGACCCCAGAGACATAGCTAGTTCCTTCCATTGTGTGATGACACATTGAGAAGGCTCTGCCTATGAACCAGAAAGCAAGCCTTCAGTAGATACTAAATCTTCTGGTGCTCTAATCTTGGACTTCCCAGGCTCCAGAACTGTGTGAACTGTGAGAAATAAATTTCTGTTGCTTATAAACTACTCAGTTTATGGTATTTTGTTACAGCAGCCTGAAAAAACTAAGAAAATATATATTGGGAATGGGAATATTTTATTTTATATATTTTAAGGGAATGGGAATATTTTATTTTATATATATTTAATAAAAATATATACACAATGGAAATGGGAATATTTCATTTTAGTGGGAAAGTATGGGAATGGAGATATCATTAAATATTTTATGTTTAGTGATATCTCCATTCCCATGCTTTCAAGGTAACCAACCTGTGTACCTGTATTCTTCCATACGTTTTCCTATGTTCTTACTATTTATCACACTGTTATCTATCATATTGAGAGGTGACAACATGCTAGCAGCCCTCGCTTGCTTTTGGCGCCTTCTTGGCCTCAGCGTCCACTCTGGCCGCGCTTGAGGAGCCCTTCAGCCTGCCCCTGCACTGTGGAAGGCCCTCTCCGTGCTGGCCCAGGAGGGAGCCAGCTCCCTCTGCTTGCGGGGAGGTGTGGAGGGAGAGGCGCAGGCAGGAACTGGGGCTGCGTGCGGCGCTCGCGAGCGAGCGCGAGTTCCGGGTGGGCACAGGCTTGGCAGGCCCCACACTCCCAGCGGCCCCGGGCAGTGAGGGGCTTAGCACCCAGGCCAGCAGCTACAGAGGGTGCGCTGGGTCCCGCAGCACTGATGGCCCGCCCGTGCTGCGCTCGAATTCTCGCTGGGCCTCAACCGCCTGCCCGCAGGGCAGGGCTCCGGACCTGCAGCCCACCATGCCCGACCCCCGCCCCCCACACCCCATGGGCTGCCGCGCGGCCCAAGCCTCCCCAGTGGGGGCTCCACCTCCTTCTCCGTGGTGCCTGGTCCCATCGACTGCCCAAGGGCTGAGGAGTGCCGGCAAGTGGAGTGGGACTGGCGGGCAGCTCCGACCGTTGCCCCTGCATGACATCCGCTAGGGGAAGCCAGCTGGGCTCCTGAGTATGGTGGGGACTTGGAGAACTTTATGTCTAGCTGAAGGATTGTACATGCGCCAATCAGCACTCTGTGTCTAGCTCCGGGTTTGCGGATGCACCAATCAGCACTCTGTATCTAGCTAATCTGGTGGGGACTTAGAGAACTTTTATGTCTAGCTAGAGGATTGTAAATGCACCAGTCAGCACTCTGTGTCTAGCTCGGGGTTTGTGGATACACCAATCAGCACTCTGTATCTAGCTAATCTGGCGGGGACTTGGAGAAGTTTTATGTCTAGCTAGAGGATTGTAAATGCACCAATCAGCACTCTGTGTCTAGCTAAAGGTTTGTAAATGCACCAATCAGTGCTCTGTGTCTAGCTAATCTAGTGGGGACTTGGAGAACTTTTATGTCTAGCTAGAGGATTGTAAATGGACCAATCAGCACTCAGTGTATAGCTCAGGGATTGTAAATGCACCAATCAGCACTCTGTGTCTAGCTCAAGGTTTGTAAACACACCAATCAGCACCCTGTCAAAACAGAGCGATCAGCTCTCTGTAAAATGGACCGATCAGCAGGATGTGGGTGAAGTCAGAAAAGGGGATAAAAGCAGGCTGCCCGAGCCCACAGGGGCAACTGGCTTGGGTCCCCTTCCACACTGTGGAAGCTTTGTTCTTTCACTCTTTGCAATAAATCTTGCTGCTGCTAACTCTTTGGGTCTGCACTGCCTTTATGAGCTGTAACACTGTGAAAGTCTGCAGCTTCATTCCCGAGGCCAGCGAGACCACGAACCCACCGGGAGGAATGAACAACTCCGGATAGGAGGAACGAACAACTCCAGATGCGCCGCCTTAAGAGCTGTAACACTAACCATGAACGTCTGCAGCTTCACTCCTTAAGCCAGCAAGATCAGGAACCCACCAGAAGGAAGAAACTGCGAACATGTCCGAACATCAGAAGGAACAAACTCTGGACACACCATCTTTAAGAACTGTAACACTCACCGCGAGGGTCCGTGGCTTCATTCTTGAAGTCAGTGAGACCAAGAACCCACCAATTCCGGACACAATATGACTATCATACAACTATGTACGCTCATATATATAGATTTTCAGGTTAGTTGTTTTCATAAACATTTGTTCATTCTTTAAACATCCTCGGTTTTTTTTCAGGTAAAAATAATTAGGGAAGTGTGGAGCAGGTAAATAATATTTTATTTCCTTGGTGTTTATTTACAAATTAAAACGACCTTAATTTAAGGTAAATTACTCAAATCATAATCTTATATTTCAGAGGTTTCCATACATTGCCATCATATTTTTGATAACAATGATTTTGGAATACTAAGCAGGCCTATACCTGATTTTACTACTAAGAATATAAATCCAAGTATGGTGGGCTTTCAGAGGAACCTAGCTCTCTGCCAGGCTAAGACAATCATGTTGAAGAATCATGCTCTGGAGGTGACAGAGATCCTTGATGTATCAAGACTTGCCTTAAATGTTAGGGATCTTCTTTTTAATATCAGGAAAATCAGGTGATACTCATTAGCTTAAGTTGCCTGATTAGTAGTCACTTACCTTTGGACCAGGTAATCCAGGTAAACCAGGATTTCCATGTGGCCCTGGTATGCCCTGCAAGTAACGAAAAAAGTCATCATTCTTGGAACATACTGGAATGGAACAAAGTACAATTGCTTACTTTCCTCTCAACATGTGTGATCCCTTTAAGCACTTGAGTTTTTGCTTATGTTATTATGTATGCCTTAAAGACCTACTTACTTCAGCTTATGCCCTATACCTACCCAAATTTTTCTTCAGATCTCAACTCATTTTTAAATCCTAGCCACAAGAACATGAAGCAATATCTCTCTCCTACTAATTTCCGTAGAAATTTCTTCATGTAAAATTCATTTACCAATTAATTGTATATTGCCTCAGGACATTTCTTATACTGTTCTAATCTGTTACTTAAATACTTTATTGCTGTTCTAACTGCCTTATGACATGTTCTATTTAGCCCCAGGATTATAAATTCTTTGAAAAGAGACTCTTAAAAATATTACTAGTGTAGCACTTAACACATTGAATGGTTACACTCGATTAATATTTAGCAATTTGATTTTGCATCACTGATAAATTATATAATCTGAATTCAAAAATTGATTCTATTTTCTGAGTACCTACTATGTGCTAGGAACTGTGTTGATGTTTTGTGTTTCTCATTACTAATCCTTATAACAATCCTGCAAGGTTATTATTTTTACTCCCATTTAAAAATCCGGAAACTTAAGCGCATACAACCAGTAAGTAGAGGAACAGATCACCCTCTCCAAGAAAGCCTTCCATGTCTCCAGGTTCCCTATGCTTACTTCAATTTTGTACCCTACTTCTGTGCTCTTCAGCCATACCTCCCTCTTAAGACATAACATATAGTTAATAATTATTTGTCTTTTTAATTCTGAATTAATAGAGCAGAATACTTCAGGAAGACAGAGGTGTCAGCAATGCAAATATTGAAAATGCATCTAGCAAGATGAAAACTAAAGAAAAAAGATTAAATTTTGGCTGGGTGTGGTGGCTTACACCTGTAATTCTAGCACTTTGGGAGGCCAAGGCAGGAGCATCACTTGAGCTCAGGAGTTTGAGACCAGCCAGGGCAACGCAGCAAGACCTCATCACTACCAAAAATCAAAAAACTTTGCCAGGCATAGTGGCCCACACCTGTAGTCCCAGCTAATCAGAAAGCTGAGGTGAGAAGATGGCTTCAGCCCTGGAGATCAAGGCTACAGTGAGCTATGATACCCATCACTGCACTCCAGCCTGGGTGACAGAGTGAGATCCTGTCTCACAAAAAAAAAAAAAAAAAAAAAAAAAAGAAAGAAAAAAATGGTTAGATGTTATGACTTATGTCATTGGTAACCTTCAAAAAGTACATTTTAATAAAGTAGATGGAAAACATCTATGGGGATTAATGAATAAGTTGCTGATGTAAAAGTAAGGACAATGGAATATAAATTATTATTTCACAAAGCTCAGTAGTACAAACAACAGTGAGCCAAAACAATAGCTTTAGGAAAAATTAATATCAATGAAAGTTTGGGATTTATAAAAGAGGGATAACTTGTTGGTTGTTGCCAAATAATATAAAATTTAGGGAGAGAAAAAATGTAAAGTTGCAACTTTTAAGTTAGATGAGGTGAAATTAGGAACACAAGTAAAATAACTAGCCTTGAGCAAAACACTCTTTCTTCCTTAAGAGAATGAGAATTGGACAAATAAATGGAAGATAAAAAGTGAATTAGGGAAGATAAAAGTAAAAAAGTAAACTGCCGTATTATGAGAACAGATGGAGATTCTGAACCTGAAGTTCATGCTGTTGAGAGTACAACCTTAGCAGTGGATAGGGAATAGAATTAGTATGAAAATTGGCCCAGTTTCTCAGAAAAATAGGATCCAAATTCTCACAGAGAGGTAGGAGGATAGGAATGGTTCATGGGCTAGAGGAGAACGAGCAAGGTTTAGAAGGGGCTATGGAAGAAATGTGATAGGTCATCAACTACAGAGAATTTTTTTTAATGCAAAACAGCTAGAGCCCAATGAGAATTCATCTTAGGCCTCAAATGGACAAGAGTTTGATGTGACTATGGACAACTTAAAGTAATATTTTAGAGTAATTTTTCTTTATAATCTTTGTATGTTAAATAAAAATCAGAATAAAAATAAAGTGGATTATATAAAAGGTATTTGCATTTGTCATACAATTCTTTTTCTAGCTCATTGAACAAAGATGTTTTGTAGTAAAATATCCACACTTTTTTTAGGTTTGAGAGAAACTAATTTTAACATAGCAATAAGTCTTTTGTTGGGCCTGTGTAACATGAAAAACTACTGCTGATCTTTAATGCAGCTTTTTTCCTCAGGGCAGTTATTTTCTAGTCAATAGCTTCAGAATTTTCCACTATGTAATCCAGGAATGTACTATTTTAAGGCAGCCCACCCCTCTTCATTTCCCCAAACAAATGAATCTCACCTTAGATATTGCGATCACTTTATAAGTAAGAATAATGTTACAAGTAGCACCAGAACAGCCACTAATTTACACATTTGATCATCTTTGTTGGACACGTTCACAGAGAATGCTTTGGCTGTGTGTTTACACTCAAAATAAACTAGGCTGCATGTGTTCTTAAGCTTCTCTTGAATTGGCTAAGGTAGGACTAAGTTTGAAGATCCAGGCAGGTTTCCAAAGGAAGTACATACTGTACAATACTAGAAAAAACATGTTAGAAAGTTACAAATTCTCACTGCCAGCAGGAAATATAGCCCATCTACTTACCCGTGGACCTCTCTTCCCTGACGGACCTGGGATACCTGCTGGACCAGGTGGACCCTTGGAAAACAAATGTCAAGACATTAGGCATGATAGTGGACACATTTATTTTCTTACGAGTCTGAATAAGATTTCCACCCAAAGACAACTCTTTTTCAGTCCCCAGTTCCCAGCTGGTGATGATTTTTAAGTAACACGAACCCCCTTACCCTAATCAGCAGGGGTGAGTTGAAACTCAAGTGTCCCCTTTAATCTGGCCAGAAATGGCAGCAGGAAGTCTATGACTTATGGTTACAGCCACCGTATCTGGTTTTTAAAGGGACCACAACTAGTAGTTTTGTGGGTAATTTTTTACCTAAATTTACTTTTACTATGGAAGAAGGAATTCAATTTAGGGTTTGGCGACCAACAACTACAAGTTTTTTTCAAACACAATTCAGAAGAAGATTTGCTTTGAAAAATGAAAACACTGGCCATTTTATGTACTTTTAAAAGAATTATACCAAGGATCTGTGTAATGTGTTAAACTGTTATAATGAAATCCTTCTTGTATATCCATTAATAAATCTGACTTATACCAATTGCAGCACACCAGGAAGTCACTAATAGAGTTAAATGATTTATAAAATAAAGTATGAAAGCAAAAACTGATCAATTGTTACAGTGTTCTGAGTTATTTAAATGTTAATTTTTAAACATATCAAATAAGAAATAGGACACTACTTCTTTACTTCTCCATATAATGTTTTATGTTGTCTTCTTCACTTACTTTAACAATCAACTGTGGAATAATAAATGCTCATTTGTGATATGGTTGAACACATATTCATTCATTCATCTGTTCATTCATTCAATTGTTACTGAGCACTCTGTGATATGGCATTGTTCTTGGTGTCTATAGAGCATACCATACACATATTCCACTTAACAAATATTCATTCATTATTGCAGTAAAAATAGTACACGATTTCAAATTAGACACATCAGGGTTAAAATACTAGCCTCACCAGTAACAAGCACTGTGACCTAATGTGCTTTATTTTTCTTTATTGTAAAATTTTTATATATCTATGCTGATTGCACATAAAATAAAGAGATGAATCCAGGTTAAATCATATGTACTTTCCAATATGTGACAGTTTTTTAACCTACAATTTCATAATTTCATACAGTTTAATCTGCAGCATGGCCAGGTACACCTAAAATGTACATTGAGTTTCAAAGGAGGAGAGGGAAAATGGATTGATGGGAAAGGATCATTCCAATTCAAAAACACAAGAGGGAAATGAGTAAATTATGTTGAAAAAAATAACAGTTATTTTGCATATTTCTCATCTCACATTTTTTGATATTAACTACTCCTTGAAACTTTCTCTTTTATTAGAGTCATTTGCAGTTTTCTGATATTCATTAGATATTTCAGACTGTCCATGTTTTTCCTTTAGTTGCACTTTTTTCTCTTACCCCCTAAATTTATAAAACTTTTCATGTATTTCCTAATATTGAGAGAGAAATGCTATTTCTATTCAGCCCCTAACTGAGGGCATTCTCCTTCCTCAGCTGTTCAAATATTTTAGCAGCCATTATCATATCACTAGCTTCCATCAAATCTTGATATTTTACTCATTGTCAAGAAAAATTGACTTTCTTTTCAAGTTAATTCTGGTCCTGTTGTTATAATTAAAAATTTAGCAGCTGTTGATTTGAATTTATGTCCCCAAAAATAAGAGCCAGTAGGAGAAATCGCAACTAAAATGAAAAAGAAAATGAAAAGTTTTCTTTAAAAATGTCTAGTTTGGTTTAGTGTCCTGTCTCACTACTTGTGACAAAAGAAAACACTATTCCATTCACATTGGAAAGGCAGTTTGCTATGGCTTGCGTTTGTGTCCTCCCAAAATTCGTATGTTGAAATCCTAAACAAAGTGATGGTAGTAGGAGATGGGGACTTTGGGAGGTGATGGGTCAGGGATTAGTGTCCTGTAAAAGAGGCATAAGGGAGTTAGTTCATTTTCCTCTTCCACCATGTGAGGACACAGCACGAAGGTGCCATCTATAAACCAGAAACAGGCCCTGGCCAACTACCAAACATGCCAGCACTTTGATCTTCAACTTCCCAGCTTCCAGAACTGTGAGAAATAAATTTCTATAGTGTATAAGCCTCCTAGTTTATGGCATTTTGTTACAGCAGCCTGAACTAACTAAGATGCAATTAACATTAGATACTGGGGGGAAAAAGAGGTATAGTTTATGTCATGATATAAATATTTGAATTGTTTGATAAGCACTAAATTAAAATCAATTCTCACATGTCTTCATAATTTTGTGGTTTCAAAATCTTTTACAACATAGTATTAATAGGCATTTTCTAGATACCAGAGAAGAATCATAATTTTTATAGCATGACATTTTTGAGAATAAATTATTTTCTATAAATAAGGTTAAGTACTAAAAAAGGCACTTTAACTTTCAGATTATTTGTTATTAAGAGAAAGTACAATTCCATTTAAAAAGTAATGGTTTTGCAATCATACAATGTAGATTCAAATCATGCCTCAATCATTTACTAGCTGAATAACCTTAGACAAGTCAGTTACTCTTTCTAAGCCTTAGTTTCCTCACCTTTAAAATATTGATGATAGAAATTTACCTTTCAGGGTTATTGTGAGTATTAAAGCTATTGTATATAAAATACCTGTCACTGTGCTTGGCAGTGATAGTAGTTAACCAGTAAACAGTAGTCTAATTAACTTTTTTTTTTTTTCGAGATGGAGTCTCACTCTGTCACCTAGGCTGGAGTATAGTGGCGTGATCTCGGCTCACTGCAACCTCCCCTTCTTGGGTTCAAGCAATTCTCCTGCCTCAGCCTCTCGAGTAGCTGGGATTACAGGTGCGTGCCACCATGCCCAGCTAATTTTTTTGTATTTTTAGTAGAGACGGGGTTTCACCATGTTGGTCAGGCTGGTCTCAAACTCCTGACCTTGTGATCCCCCTGCCTTGGCCTCCCAAAGTGCTGGGATTACAGGCGTGAGCCACTGTGCCTGGCCTAATTAACTTTTTTAAGGTATGCATAAGGCACAGCAATCACTGAGTAAATGTTAGATATTATTATTACTAGGATAATATATACATTAAGGTAAATCTATTCAATAGTCCAATACTTCTAAAAGATAATAATCCCTGGTCAGTTAATGTTGGAAATCCTGCATCTTACATTCCTTTTTTAATTTATTCATTCACTCACTCAATAAATATTATAAAGCATCAAGCCCTCCTGGAGTTTGCAGTCTAGATAAAAAGACATACATTAACAGATAAATACATAATTACAAATTTTACTTAGTGACATGGAGGAAAAGAAAAGGCAACCAAGAAAGAGGTTAATATGGTGGACCTAATTTATATTGTGATGTCAGAGAAGGCTTTTCTGAAGAAGTATTTAGTTAGACCTAAAAGATTAATGGGAGCTAGAAAAAAGAAGAAAATAAAATTTCAGAAGATAGGAATAAATGAATGAGGCCATGAGTAAAACAAAACAAAACTAATAAAAGACACAGTCATTTTGAGGAATTAAAAGAAAAACTAATAGAGCAAGGGGAAAAGTGGGGCAAGAGGCAGTTGCAGAGGTAAGCAGGGGCCATATCACATACCTGCACAGGTCAGGATACAGAGTTTGAGTTTAAGTGCTATAACCTTCTTCCACTGAAGAACTTAAGCTGATAAACAATGTTATCTGATTCATCTTTTTAAAAGAACACTAGAGAATTTTGGTAAAAGATGTCAGAGTGAGAACATTTTGCAGACTACTCTCCCTCCCTCAAAACCAGCTGTAAACAACAAAAAGCACCAAAAGAAGAAAACATCATCTCCAGTGAAAAACGAAAGGATCATAACCACAAACCACAAAATATGAAGATTACCTGCCCAATACTGAGAAACTTTGGAGCGAAGGTGTTGAGAGATAACCAAATCCAAAAAACTCCTCAGACCTCAAACCTTGGATACATATTAGTCTTGAAAATCCACTTTTTTGATTATGATAAGGTTTAAGGGAATGTGCAAGCCACAGGAAATATGATTCATGACCCAGTAAAAACCCAACTTCAAAGAGACAAGAGTAGAAAAGGTGGAGCTGAAGAAGAACATACCTTTTTTATGTTCTACAACCAGAATCCTCTCTGGTGAGAGGGGACAAAAGACAAGAAGAGCACAAATCCCCCTATCACTTCTGAGACAGCCTGTGATACAAAGGGTTTCGCAACAAATTGTGCATGAACATGAGACGACACATGCCTCTGGGTAGAAGACAAAACAAATATGGTAAGATGGTGTTTTAGGCAGCAATCTAAATTTGACTCTGTGTACCATTCCACCTTACTTCCCTATGCCTCTCCATATACCATTCTGAAACAAATCACCAAGATACAGTTGCCTTTATTTTAAAAATGAATAATAACCAGAGAGCAATCAGTAGAGGATTTATAAATAGATATTTGGAGGAGGGGAAAAGTGAGAGGACAGGAAAATAAATTTAAAGAACAAAGCTGGAGGCATCACGCTACCTGACTTCAAACTATACTACAAGGCTACAGTAACCAAAACAGCATGGTACTGGTACCAAAACAAAGATATAGACCAATGGAACAGAACAGAGGCCTTAGAAATAACACCACACATCTACAACTATCTGATCTTTCACAAACCTGACAAAAACAAGAAATGGAGAAAGGATTCCCTATTTAATAAATGATGTTGGGAAAACTGTCTAGCCATATGTAGAAAGCTGAAACTGGATCCCTGCCTTACACCTTATACAAAAATTAATTCAAGATGGATTAAAGACTTAAATGTTAGACCTAAAACCATAAAAATCCTAGAAGAAAACTTAGGCAATACCATTCAGGACACAGGCATGGGCAAGGATTTCATGACTTAAACACAAAAGCAATGGCAACAAAAGCCAAAATAGACAAATGGGATCTAATTAAACTCAAGAGCTTCTGCACAGCAAAAGAAACTACCATCAGAGCGAACAGGAAACCTACAGAATGGGGGAAAATTTTTGCAATCTACTCATCTGACAAAGGGCTAATATCCAGAATCTACAAATAACTTAAACACATTTACAAGAAAAAATCAAACAACCCCATCAAAAAGTGGGCAAAGGATATGAACAGACACTTCTCAAAAGAAGACATCTATGCAGCCAACAGACACATGACAAAATGCTCATCATCACTGGTCATCAGATAAATGCAAATCAAAACCACAATGAGATACCATCTCACACCAGTTAGAATGGCGATCATTAAAAAGTCAGGAAATAACAGGTGCTGTAGAGGATGTGGAGAAATAGGAATGCTCTTACACTGTTGATGGGAGTGTAAACTAGTTCAACCATTGTGGAAGACAGTGTGGCGATTCCTCAAGGATCTAGAACTAGAAATACCATTTGACCCAGCCATCCCATTACTAGGTATATATCCAAAGGATTATAAATCATGCTGCTATAAAGACACATGCACATGTATGTTTACTGTGGCACTATTCACAATAGCAAAGACTTGGAACCAACCCAAATGTCCAGCAATGATAGACTGCATTAAGAAAATGTGGCACATACACACCATGGAATAGTATGCAGCCTTAAAAAAGGATGAGTTCATGTCCTTTGTAGGGACATGGATGAAGCTGGAACCATCATTCTGAGCAAACTATCACAAGGACAGAAAACCAAACATCTCATTTTCTCACTCATAGGTGGAAATTGAAGAATGAGAACACTTGGACACAGGGTGGGGAACATCACACACCGGGGACTGTCATGGGGTGAAGGGCAGGGGGAGGGATAGCATTAGGAGAAATACCTAATGTAAATGACGAGTTAATGGGTGCAGCAAACCAACATGGCACATGTATACATATGTAACAAACCTGCACATTGTGCACATGTACCCTAGAACTTAAAGTATAATAAAAAAAAATTCTACTCAGTACCATTGTTTAAACATGAATTTTTAAAGCATTAATTCACTAACAGTATCCTTTTTTATTAGCACATAATAAAGAGAATAATCGTTAATGTGAAAAAAATTATTTACCAGAAGAGGAATTACTCCATACAACAGATAAAGAGTTCAGTTATATAGGTCACTACATATTCAAAGAATGTCAAGATGACATTAACGTACAAAAATAAAGTTCAAAGAAGAGTTGTGAAAGATTTAAAAAATATGAAAGAGCAAAAAAGAAACTCTTTGATGAAAGCCATGTCAGAGCAATAAAAACTGATTAAATATAATTTAAAAATCAATGAAGGGATAGGAATATATAGAATAAATGAGTTCACACAAAATGAAATGGAAAAGAGCAATCATGATGACACGGTTGTAGAAAAGATAATAAATACCATTCATCATCACAAATGACATTTAACATATGCAAACTTGTATGCCTGAAGAATTTAGAAAAATGGAACCAACCAATATTTGGTTATTATAAGGGGAGGTCTTTCTATAATCTTCAGATCAAAATAATCTTCTGATCAAAAGAGTATTCCCCCAAAAACCTGATTCAGAACCTAATAGGTTTAAAGAACTTCAAAGATAAAGAACTGCATGGGTATATAGGCAGGAAAAAATTGTTACTTAAAAGTAGGAAAAACCAGGCTGGCTTCAGGCTTCTGAGTCACATCTACTTCAAGAAGCAGTAAGGCAATTCCTACAAGTTCATTATTTTATCACCATTCAGTCTCTCATTATCTCTCTAAAATCTACCTTTAGTCTTCTACACTGCGCTGAAGTTAGGATTCTCAAAGTTCAACAATGACTTCTTCATCAAAATATCCAATAGATTATCGCTTTTTCTCAGTTCTCATTCTCTTTGACTTCTCTGTCTCTTTTGGCCCTGCTGATCAATTCCTTCTCAAAAGTCTCTTCTTTGGCTTTTTGATATTGCTTCTTTCATATTTTGATATCACTATTCTTTTCTCCTATCTCTCTGACTTCTCATCACATTTCTGCTTTTTCTTTCTATAACCAAAAAGCAAACATCCCCCTCATTTGACTGGTGACCCTATGCCACATTCCTCTCTTTGAAAATCTATCCAACTCTATAGTTTCAACTATAAAAGTCAATAGAAATACTCCCAAATCTATATCCCCAGCCTTGACATCTATTCTTTACTTCAGCTTCTTCAACTCTTCTAACAGCTTAATTACCAACAGCTCTTTAAATGTTTCATTTTTCTCTCCTAAAATTGACTTTCCCTCTTAATTACAGTTTTTAATAATGATATCACCATTCTCTCAATCTGCAGGCTTAAAATTTGATAGTCATCTTTTATTCTTTTCCTTTTTGCTTGGTCCCTAGGTCCCATTAATTTCCTAGTTCTACCAAGTCTTCCTACAAAATCTCTTGAATCCTACTTTTCCTTTGCATTTTCACTGCTGCCAACCTAGATAATGTTCTAGTCCTTTAACACCAAGATGGTAACAGAAACTTCGTATCCTGGACACTGTTACCAGACCGATTTTCCAATTAATACCTCTGCTTAGAAACCTACAAAATTCCCCTTTGAGAACAAGATAAAGTTAGAATGATCATTTGACAGTTAAGAATGCCCACAACCTGACACCATCAAGCTTGGATCTTTATCTGTCTGCTTTAGAGGAAGAAAACCTGGATTCAAATCCTGGCTCTATCATTTACCAACAATGTCATTGTGGGAAAGTAAATTAACTCTTTGGGCTTCAGTTTCTTCACCTGAAAAATGAGGATAACACTACAAACTTTACAAAGTTATTTTAAGATAATATATGTAAAGAGACTGGTAGAGCATCTTTCTCAAGGAACTCAATAAATGATAGCTATTATGCTATCATAAAAAAAACTCACCTACTCCTCTCACCTGTCAAAATCTTACCCATTCTTAGAGCCTAGGTCATAACTAACTTTGTCCACAAGATCTTATTCTGAATAGCTCAGCTTTAAGTGACCTTTCATAGAGACTCCATCAAAAAATACTATTTTTTTAACCTTTGAACATCTCTAGCCCATACACTTACTTTGCATCTCTCTGCAGCATTTATCCTACTTTACTACAAGATATATTAAATAGTTATAAATGTACTTCCTTTATCTTCATTATGAAATATAAGCTTTTTCTGAGCAATTACTGAGTTATACATACTTTGTGTTCCTGCTTTGCTTATAGCAGAGACTAAGTAAATATCTGCTGAATATTACTGCTTCACCTGCCAATACTGAATGACTATTTTTGAATTTACAGAAGAGATTAATGCTCATCTGATCAGACTGACTTTTTCTGAAGAAAGTAAATGGCTTCCATAACTATTTGCTTAATATTATATGTCCAGTGATTCAATTTTATGACCAATATGTTGATAATTAATTGTCATAGTTGAAGAGTTTATTTCTCTATAATAGTATAGTCTTCATATTTTATTTTTAAATGTCTAAACATTTACTCTAGCAAGAGTGACTCAATACCTATCAAATCACTTCTAGGAATAACCACAAAGGAAACACAAGCTAAAAGACTGGCTTCACCTTCTCCCATTCTATGATTTCTAGAGCTAAGCCAAAGACTCAAATTTTATTTTCATTAAATAAATACTTTAAGATATATTTTAATCTACTTGAAATTTTGAAAAAAAATAATTTCTAAAGACATAAAGGTAAATTTAAGTATACAAATATGAAGCATAAAAAGAATATTTCCAACACTGTGATTTTAAATGACTTTAAGTGGTTTTTAAATGATTTTAGAAATTTTTAAATGTTGATCTCTAATTCCCACCTATACAACAAAAGAAATTCAGGGCTGAAAAGTTCAGTTTATTATCTCACAGTTTTGTTTACATGATATTAAACAAGTGCCTTGGTTGTTTTTTTCCCCTCACTGAATTGACTGATAACTGGTTCTTTTTGTGTTAGGCAAGGGGAGCTTTAATTAACCCATAAACATAAATTGACCATATCACTAAAGACAGTCAACGATTCATTACACAATAATCTCTATCTAAAGTAAGTTTTACACTCTATTTTAATCCATTTGATGCTATTTTGCTGTAAGAATATTTAATGGATGTATTTAATGTATTTTTCTTTAACCTACCATATCTTTTATATACTTCTCTTAACATGACTATGCATTCTCCTATGGTTTTCAAAATATAAATATATTATCTATATTTAGCAGTTGAAATCCTGATTGAATTTCAACTGAACAAGAAAAACAAATAGTTTGCCCACTACTTCACCAGAATTAAGTCACCTTTCAGCCTACCAGATGAAGAACAAAAGCACGATATTTGAGCCAGGGTTACATTCTGGCAGATATGTTACAGCAACCATAAATTCATTTACTGTGCCAGAATGCATTTCCATGACAGACTTTATCTGTTATGTATTGTTTGGTCCAGAGAACTCTCTTTAAAATGTATTTTAAAGAGAGTTTAAAATGTAAGTTAGCATATTAGGAGATATTAAAAAAAAAAAAACTTACGGGAGGTCCAGTGTCTCCTTTTGGCCCTCTCAGATACTCCATTTCAAGCATTGTATTTAGATCCTCATAATAATAATAATCATAAAGCTCAGTTTCATAGCTATTTTCGATGGGATAAGTAGCATCAGGATAAAATTCACCTTCTTTCCTTAGATCAAGGTGATTATCCACAGATGGCTCATTTGTCACTCTATGCAAGCTTGTGTTTAAAATTGGTTGCATTTCCATGAGTTCGTTAGTGTGTAGATTTGCTGTGATAGCCTTCTTGAGATTAGTAATTGTATCTTGTTTAATTTGTGGAAGAATAGATGGCATCTTCTTAAACAGTGACAGACCAGTTACTCTATCATCATGTTGTGTGATATTGTCAGACATGTTTAGGAGAGAGCTAAATTTCTCTTTGGTATTCATTTTTGCCTCACTGATGCGATGAGTGGTCACTGACAGGCTGAAATTTGTCTGAGTATCTTCCTCAGTGATCATTTCTTTGGCCTGAATCCCATGGTTTGTGAGATCCACAGCAGAGACATTTCCTGACTGAAGAGAAGATAACTGAGATCTTGATATCTGGTGTTCTTGTCTTTTATACACGGTTTCAGAATCATTTTTTATGATATTTGGAATGCTTTTGCCTTCAGTAAATGTATCCTCTGACAGTACTTTTTCAGCAAATAGTTTGGGCGGGGGAGAGTGTTCCGGTATCTTTGTTGGTATGAGAGTTGTACAAGGAATGCTTGTTTCAGGTTGGTATTTGTCTGCTTGGCGACACTGCTGTTTCACATATCTGCAGTAGTCTGCAGATGCTTCTGCAGAAGGAATAATATCTAACTGACATACTATTCCTTCAAAATGGATAGAATTATTATTCATACTTCCTAAAGTAAACACACTATTAGAATCAAAGGTCTGAACTTCTGGAATAGTCTCTGTGCTAAAATATTTCTTTCCACACTCAACAAACATTGAGACACTTTGGTTTCTAATAGTAATGGCAAATGAGTGCCATTGCTCATCATGAACACTGTAGTTGAAAACTGCAGGCTGCTTTCCTCTAATGTGTACTACTAATTTTTTAGGTAGTAATTGTACTCCTAATTGCAGTCTATTTTTATTTCTAATGCTGAAGAGAAATGCATTGTTCACCCGATGTGACTGTAACCCAGTTAATATTGTAAACGGCTGCCCCAAGTTGACTGGTAAAATTTTCACGAAAGGTGTCTCGATATAAGCATCATTTTTAAAAATGACTCCTGATTCTGTTAAATGGACCCCCTGAGGTAACGGTGTAGATGCTGATGGTACAGCAGTCGCTGGTGATGAGTGTCTTACGTCTTTGCCTCCAAGGCCTAGTTGATGAAGAATATCTATGCCTGGAAATTTAAAAAAGAGAGAGAGAAAGAATCTTAATTTTATGGATTCAAGTGTTCATATAAATGTTTGAATATGATAAAAATCTTCCTTGTAGCAACAGTAGTTTCTAAAATAAGCATGTTCTATCAATAACTAATTATGGGTAATAAGAAATAGGGAGGGGGAGAGTAAGACATTATACTCAATAATTTGAATAAAGTACATGCCCCTCCCCCTACACACACACCAATCTCTAAACCCAAAACTTATTTATTATTAGTTTATTTATTATTTTAGAGACAGGGTTTCCATCTGTTACCCAGGCTGGAGTGCAGCAGCATGATTATAGCTCACTGCAGCCTTGATATCCGGGGCTCAAAGGATCCTCCCACCTCAGCCTCCCAAGTAGCCAGCACTACAACGGCATGCCATCATACCTGGCTAATTTTTGTATTTTTCATAGAGACAGAGTCTTGCTCTATTGCCCAGGATAGTCTTGAACTCCTAGGCAAAAGCAATCCTCCCACAGCACTGGGATTACAGGTGTGAACCACCACGCCTGATCTCCAAAATTTAATTAGTTTATCTCTCTTGTTTTCCATTTTACTGATTCTTATTTGTCACTTCAATGAATATACATGTTCAAAGATTCCCAGATCCCATTTGTTTCTTTGATTTAGAACTTAAAATTTAATGAAATCTGTGTTAAAGTGAAAGTGGAGTCATACTTCCAAAGATAATTGTGATTTGGAAAACATTTTATAAATTAGGTTCACACGATCCCTTAAAGTATAATTTTTCAGGCTGTTTTTCCTTCTAACCTTCTGGGAATTTACAAGTTGCATGGAAGCTTTCCCAATGCCTACTACCTTAAGTGTGTGCTACGCTTAAAGTATTCTGGTTACCAAAGTCCTTTGATAATTCCCGGACAAAAGAATTTAAATTCATTTTATTGGTGATCACTCTGGTTTTTCTGTCCCTTCCAAGCTTCTCTTTCTTCCACTTTTCCAGTCCTCCAGAGTAACTTTTATCCAACTTTTAGACTCTTTCAATATCTATTATGTAATACGCATTTTATATAATATGGATTTGATATAATTGTGGATTTCTCTGATTTATTATTCATCGTAATATTACCAATAGTATATTGTTTGTCTCCTTTACCCAATTAAAAGCTTCTGGAAAACTGGATATGTCTGATTCATTATTGGATCTCTTCAGCACCTTCCTTGCAAATAGTTCTATAATTTCAGAATGAATGAATTTGTCCCACAGCAATCTGACCAGGTCTCATATTCACCTCTGGAGTCATATAAATTTAAATATCACTTAAAAAGAATGACAAATTCTGTCTTTAAAATACAGAACAGCATAGTCAGCTGCATGATCTTTATTATTCTTTGGGTTATAAATTTCCCATCTGTATCTTTGTATAAATATAATCATCTCCAACCAGAAATGTTACAGAATTGTGATAAGTGAAAAAAATAAAAGTCTTTGAAGATTAGCCAGGAACGTTTGGCATCACCTTACTTTTTCCTTTTGTAGGAAATTAGTAGATATTTGATAATGCATGCTTATTACAAATAGCAAAAGATAGGAGAGAATCTCATTTCCCAAGTCTCACAACTGTGTACAACAATGAAATAATTACTGAATGCCATTCCTGTGTAATCTAGCAATGCAATTAAAATGTTTTTTAACAGAGATCTTCACAAAACACTCAAGTGTTTTATTTTAAGGTTAGAACAACCATCATTTTATCAATAAAATAGTTGTAATTTCATGACATTTTTAAAGGATAGCAATATTTGTATCTATGATATTGTATGACAAACTTTTCCACCAAAATATTCCTAACACCAGTGTAGAATTATATGCACCTCCAGGAATTTAGGGACATATTTCAAAGAGGCCCCACATAATCAACAAAAAAATACCTTTGACTTCTTATGTTTTATCATCATAATTCACACAAAATTTAAACTTTAATCCATAATATGGCTGGTTGTTTCAATATACAATATAAATTACTTATGAGCTAAATCAGCTAATTGTACTCATCCCCAATCTTCAGTGAAAATTTACACCGCCGAAACTAGCTATGTTAGTCTGTGACATTGGATATCCTCACCCAGGTTTACCTAACTCTAAAGGTATGCCTAGCTCAATCTGAGAAGTAAACTATGGAAGGAACCCTGCTTCTGTGGAAATCACAATGCTTAAATTTAAAGTATATATGATCATAAAGTATCTGAAAGCTATAATTCTGAGATACCAAATAAGCTACATATGTAAAAAATAATCATACATGTGGTATATCAAGGGCTGCACGCTGCCCCAAGAACATCTCCCCTTGCATTTATTAAGAACCCCTGCCATCTAGTGCTTCGAATTTCTGACCCTATTATACAGAAATATCATTGGGAGGAGTATTATTTGAAAACTTTAAAAAGCATATGTGTGTTTTCAATGTTTCTTTATATGTATATTAATATGCTTCCTCCAATTCTATTTTTAGTGGAGCTTTGATGACAAATAGCTGTTTTTTAAAAATCAAATGTGTTTGAACACTTATTACTGAATAAATTTCCTGTTATTGAACCATGATTGCATCCCTAAAATAAAATCTTATTAGTTTTACGTTATTCTTTTGGTATCTCACTGGATTATTGACTAATAGTTTTATGTAGAATCACTACATCAATATGTATGAGTTGACTGGTCAGTGTTTTTCTCTTATTGTCCTATATTTATCAGACAATAAAATTGAAATTTCATTATTTTCTATAGCCTAAAACAATTTCAGTAACCTTTGAAATTACATTTTTTCCCAAAAAGTTACAAAAACTCACCTATAAACCAAATTGATCATGTTGGCTCTTTCATTGATAGTGCTTCATTCACTTTCCTAATCTCTTCTATGTTAATTGATTTAGTCTAATTTTCCACTGCACCTTGAGACAATTTTAGAAATTTATATTTTTCTATGAAATAATAAATTTCCTCTAGGCTTTTACATGTATTACCCAGAAATCTTCACATAATAATCCCTTACAATTATTTTTGTTTTCCTATGTCTGTGGCCCTCTGTCTCATTTCTCTAATTTTGGTTATTTTGCTTTATTTATTCTTAAGTCTGTCATTATTGGTCATTTCAAATGTATACAGCCTTCAGATTTATTTATCTACTATTTTTGTTCATTTTCTCTATCATTAATTTTAGAATTTATCTTTATTAATTATCTCTTCCCATTTTTTTTTGTTTTACTCTTTTGCTAATCTCTGAAGATGAATAATTAGTCCTTTATTTTTCTTTTCTTGCTTGATAATGAAGGCATTTAAGTTATACATTTTCCTGAGTGCTGCTTTAGCTGCATCCCATAGATTTTGATATGTAGCATTTTCATTTTTGTTGTTTTCTGGAAAGTATTTTTATTTGTATTTTCTCTTTGACCCAAGTGGTTTAAGAAAAAAGTTTTAAATTTTCAGTTAGGAAGGTCTTTTTGTTTTCTGATTTTGTTATTAAAATCTAACTTAATAGTATTATGATCAGAGAATGGTGTCTAATCAGCACTTTCTTTTTCAAAACTCAATTAGCCTCATAAGTGGTCAATTTTCAATAACATTTCATAAGCACTCGGAAAGGTGTTTGAAGGTACAAAATTTAATACATACCAGTTAGTTGTACCTCATTGTTTATGTTATTTATATCCTCTATATTCTTGTTTATTTTTGTACAATTAATCTGCCATCAACTGAGAGATAAAGTATCTTACCAGTAGTGTGTCTATTTGGCCTTTTCTCTCTTGTGGTCTTTGCTTTATGAATATTGATGTCATGGTTTTTATGCATAGATAATCATGCAGTTCACATATTTATTGAGTACTGCACCTTTCAGAATTACAAAAAGACCTTCTATGTCTAGTTTATTGGGTTTTATATTTTTGGCATTACCTTAACTGGTAGTAAGACTAAGCTTCCCTCATCTGACTTTCTTTTTGTTTACATTTGTCTGATATACCTTTGCCTTTGTTTTTGTTTTCATCTACTGTGAAACACTATGTTTTAGGTAAAGACAAAGGGATTGTATTTGTTTTTTGATCCAGTCTGAATTGTTTTCTTTGAATGTATAAACTAAATCTATCTACATTTGCTAATATTATGGTTTGTTTAATCTGTTGTATTATTTTATGTTTTACCACTTTAATTTTTTGAAGTCTTTCACTATGTAGTTTGTTTCCTTTGCTTTGCTTTGTGTATGCCTTTTGAGATTTAGAAGGGTTTGTATTTTTATTCTAAGGGTTTCCTTTAAAATTTTAAATGTATATAATGCCCCCAGTCCTTTCATTACACATATCTATTAATTCTTTCCTTTACACAATGTTTTATTTTCCTCCCTTTAACCCTTTCCCATACCTTCTAATATTAGTCTATAGGAGTATCTTTCATAGTGTTTATCTTTTCATTCTTAAATATCCTTATATTTCTTTCATCTAATTTACCAACTGTAAAATATTTAATTCCCAGCTTCTTCAGATAAGGCAATCAGCAAAGTTAATCTACTCTTCCTATTCTTCCTCTCTTCTCCTACCATTTTTCTGTAATTGTACCATTCCTACATTGTTAGTTTGTATGGCATTTATATTTTTCTTTTTCCCACATTTTCTTTTGACAAATAGAGCCAGACTTTTGTAGTAGCTTCCCCAATCACTTCTCTTTGGCTGAAGTTTATCCTCTATTAGTTTCCTCAAGAAGGTTTACGGGAACAACATTTCCCGAGTGTTGGACTTTTCAGAATTGATTTTTTGTAGCCTTGTACCTTAAATTTCATGGGATATAAAATTCTTTCATGATACTTTATTTCCTTGAATATCTTGCAGCTGCTGTTCCATGGTTCTCAGGTAGTCTTTCTAAATCTGAAGTCAGCTAAATATTTTTCTCCTTACAAGTGACTCCGTAGTTATCAACATTCTTCAAGAGTTGTTCTTTATCTTTGAAATGCAGGAATTTTATAAGAATATGGCACCATATTGACCATTCTTGATAAATGTTTCCAGGTGCATAGTATGATCATTCATTGCACAGGTTCAAATTTTTTTTATTTACTTCAGCAAACTTTTAATGAATTGTATCCTTGAATATTGGTTCTATTTCATAGTTTTGGTTTTCTTTTTTATATATATACTTTAAGTTTTAGGGTACATGTGCACAATGTGCAGGTTTGTTACATATGTACACATGTGCCATGTTGGTGTGCTGCACCCATTAACTCGTCATTAACATTAGGTATGTCTCCTAATGCCATCCCTCCCCCCTCCCCCCACCCCACAAAGGCCCCAGTGTGTGATGTTCACCTTCCTGTGTTCATGTGTTCTCATTGTTCAATTCCCACCTATGAGTGAGAACATGCAGTGTTTGGTTTTTTGTCCTTGTGATAGTTTGCTGAGAATGATGGTTTCCAGCTTCATCCATGTCCCTACAAAGGACATGAACTCATCATTTTTTATGGCTGCATGGTATTCCATGGTGTATGTGTGCTACATTTTCTTAATCCAGTCTATCATTGTTGAACATTTGGGTTGGTTCCAAGTCTTTGATATTGTGAATAGTGCCGCAATAAACATATGTGTGCATGTGTCTTTATAGCAGCATGATTTATAATCTTTTGGGTATATACCCAGTAATGGGATGGCTGGATCAAATGGCATTTCTAGTTTTAGATCCCTGAGGAATCGTCACACTGATTTCCACAATTGTTGAACTAGTTTACAGTCCCACCAACAGTGTAAAAGTGTTCCTATTTCTCTACATCCTCCTCTCCAGCACTTGTTGTTTCCTGACTTTTTAATGATCACCATTCTAACTGGTGTGAGATGGTGTTTCACTGTGATTTTGATTTGCATTTCTCTGATGGCCAGTGATGATGAGCATTTTTTCATGTGTCTGTTGGCTGCATAAATGTCTTATTTTGAGAAGTGTCTGCTCATATCCTTTGCCCACTTTTTGATGGGGTTGTTTGTTTTTTTCTTGTGAATTTGTTTGAGTTCATTGTAGATTCTGGATATTAGCCCTTTGTCAGATGAGTAGATTGCAAAAATTTTCTCCCATTCTGTAGGTTGCCTGTTCACTGTGATAGTAGTTTCTTTTGCTGTGCAGAAGCTCTTTAGTGTAGTTAGATCCCATTTGTCAATTTTGGCTTTTGTTGCCATTGCTTTTGGTGTTTTAGACATGAAGTCCTTGCCCATGCCTATGTCCTGAATGGTATTGCCTAGGTTTTCTTCTAGGGTTTTTATGGTTTTAGGTCTAACATGTAAGTCTTTAATCCATCTTGAATTAATTTTTGTATAAGGTGTAAGGAAGGGATCCATTTTCAGCTTTCTACATGTGGCTAGCCAGTTTTCCCAGCACCATTTGTTAAATAGGGAATCCTTTCCCCATTTCTTGTTTTTGTCAGATTTGTTAAAGATCAGACAGTTGTAGATATGTGGCATTATGTCTGAGGGCTCTGTTCTGTTCCATTGGTCTATATCTCTGTTTTGGTACCAGTACCATGCTGTTTTGGTTACTGTAGCTTTGTGGTATAGTTTGAAGTCAGGTAGTGTGATGCCTCCAGCTTTGTTCTTTTGGCTTAGGATGGACTTGGCAATGCGGGCTCTTTTTTGGTTCCATATGAACTTTAAAGTAGTTTTTTCCAGTTCTGTGAAGAAAGTCATTGGTAGCTTGATGGGGATGGAATTGAATCTGTAAATTACCTTGGGCAGTATGGCCCTTTTTCACGATATTGATTCTTCCTACCTATGAGCACGGAATGTTCTTCCATTTTTTGTATCCTCTTATTTCAGTTTGTAGTTCTCCTTGAAGAGGTCCTTCGCATCCCTTGTAAGCTGGATTCCTAGGTATTTTATTCTCTTTGAAGCAATTGTGAATGGGAGTTCACTCATGATTTGGCTCTCTGTTTGTCTGTTGGTGTATAAGAATGCTTGTGATTTTTGCACATTGATTTTGTATCCTGAGACTTTGCTGAAGTTGCTTATCAGCTTAAGGAGATTTGGGGCTGAGACGATGGGGTTTTCTAGATATACAATCATGTCATCTGCAAACAGGGACAATTTGACTTCCTCTTTTCCTAATTGAATACCCTTTATTTCCTTCTCCTGCATGATTGCCCTGGCCAGAACTTCCAACACTATGTTGAGTAGGAGTGGTGAGAGAGGGCATCCCTGTCTTGTGCCAGGTTTCAAAGGGAATGCTTCCAGTTTTTCCCATTCAGTAGATATTGGCTGTGGGTTTGTCATAGATAGCACTTATTATTTTGAGAAACGTCCCATCAATACCTAATTTATTGAGAGTTTTTAGCATGAAGCGCTGTTGAATTTTGGCAAAGGCCTTTTCTGCATCTGTTGAGATAATCATGTGGTTTTCGTCATTGGCTCTGTTTATATGCTGGATTACGTTTATTGATTTGTGTATGTTGAACCAGCCTTGCATCCCAGGGATGAGGCCCACTTGATCATGGTGGATAAGCTTTTTGATGTGCTGCTGGATTCGTTTTGCCAGTATTTTATTGAGGATGTTTGCATTGATGTTCATCAGGGATATTGGTCTAAAATTCTTTTTTTGTTGTGTCTCTGCCAGGCTTTGGTATCAGGATGATGCTGGCCTCATCAAATGAGTTAGGGAGGATTCCCTCTTTTTCTATTGATTGGAATAGTTTCAGAAGGAATGGTACCAGCTCCTCCTTGTACCTCTGGTAGAATTCGGCTGTGAATCCATCTGGTCCTGGACTTTTTTTTGGTTGCTAACCTATTAATTATTGCCTCAATTTCAGAGCCTGTTATTGGTCTATGAAGAGATTCAACTTCTTCCTGCTTTCGTCTTGGGAGGGTGTATATTTTGAGGAATTTATCCATTTCTTCTAGATTTTCTAGTTTATATGGGTAGAGGTGTTTATAGTATTCTCTGATGGTAGTTTATATTTCTGTGGGATCGGTGGTGATATCCCCTTTATCATTTTTTATTGCGTCTATTTGATTCTTCTCTGTTTTCTTCTTTATTGGTCTTGCTGGCGGTTTATCAATTTTGTTGATCTTTTCAAAAAACCAGCTCCTGGATTCATTGATTTTTTGAAGGTTTTTTGTGTCTCCATTTCCTTCAGTTCTTCTCTGATCTTAGTTATTTCTTGCTTTCTGCTAGCTTTTGAATGTGTTTGCTCTTGCTTCTCTAGTGCTTTTCATTGTGAAGTTAGGATGTCAATTTTAGATCTTTCCTGCTTTCTCTTGTGGGCATTTAGTGCTATAAATTTCCCTCTACACACTGCTTTGAATGTGTCCCAGAGATTCTGGTATGTTGTGTCTTGGTTCTCGTTGGTTTCAAAGAACATCTTTATTTCTGCCTTCATTTCGGTATGTACCCAGTAGTCATTCAGGAGCAGGTTGTTCAGTTTCCATGTAGTCGTGCGGTTTTCAGTGAGTTTCTTAATCCTGAGTTCTAGTTTGACTGCACTGTGGCCTGAGAGACAATTTGTTATAATTTTTGTTCTTTTACGTTTGCCGAGGAGTGCTCTACTTCTAACTATGTGGTCAATTTTGGAATAAGTGCGATGTGGTGCTGAGAAGAATGCATATTCTGTTGATTTGGGGTGGAGAGTTCTGTAGATGTCTATTAGGTCCACTTGGTGCAGAGCTGAGTTCAATTCCTGGATATCCTTGTTAACCTTCTGTCTCGTGGATCTGTCTAATGCTGACATTGGGGTGTTAAAGTCTCCCATTATTATTGTGTGGGAGTCTAAGTCTCTTTGTAGGTCTCCAAGGACTTGCTTTATGAATCTGGGTGCTCCTGCATTGGGTGTATGTATATTTAGGAGAGTTAGCTCTTCTTGTTGAATTGATCCCTTTACCATTACGTAATGGCCTTCTTTGTCTCTTTTGATCCTTGTTGGTTTAAAGTCTGTTTTATCAGAGGCTAGGATTGCAACCTCTGCCTTTTTTTGTTTTCCATTTGCTTGGTAGATCTTCCTCCATCCCTTTATTTTGAGCCTATGTGTGTCTCTGCACGTGAGATGGGTTTCCTGAATACAGCACACTGATGTGTCTTGACTCTTTATCCAATTTGCCGGTCTGTGTCTTTTAATTGGAGCATTTAGCCCATTTACACTTAAGATTAATATTGTTATGTATGAATTTGATCCTGTCATTATGATGTTAGCTGGTTATTTTGCTCATTAGTTTACGATTTTCTTCTTTAAAAATTCGTATTATGAGTATATTGAATCATTGTTGTCTTCTATATGTCTCATATATCATTTCTCTATAATCCTTTTTATTATGTTCTTTAAATTCATTTTTGTTTGTTTGATTTTCTTATTTGTCTTTACTGTTTCCTACAAAGTATAACTTCCCTTTGTGCTCCTTCCCATTTCATCTTGATTTATGAGATAATTTTTGTATGACTTCTTTACTGACTTCTACAAGCTCACAATTCATATCCTTTTAATATATTGCCTTCTTTTACTTTTCCCTGAGTTCTTTCATTTCTGCCTTAGTATCTTTCTTTGTGTAGGTGATAAGGGGGACATATTTGGTCAGAATATTTGTCAGTTTAACAGCAACATTTTTTTGTGTGTACATTCTCATTTTTGCTGCTTTTCCTTACATGTTTCCTTATTGTATATTTCTACTTGTGCTGTGCCAACTCCTTTTGCTCATTAATTCCTAGCCTAGCAACTTATAGAAAGATGCTGGCAGAAGAAGAGGATGGGCTGTGACTTCCAAGTCTCAAAACCCAAAGGCTCTGCTCCGGTACTACCAGTTTCATTCTAAATGGCTTCTAGCCCCACCTTCTTCTCTAAACCAAATCTAGTCCAGGAGGACTTCTGCAGCCAGCTCTATATACAACCCTTCATTCTCTTTCCTCCATATCCACTCACATTGGTATATGCTTCAGAATGAATCCTTCATCTCAGTGAGTAGATTTTTGCATTTTCTGAGATCTGTCCCCACTCATCCATTTTAGCTATTATCTGTGCTTATTTATTATACTTTCCCCTTGGCAGCTTCTGCCTTCCCCAGACCCTGTAGCACTTGTGTACAAGGGCTAAATGTATATTTTGGGGTGTGTTTCTCACCTTCAGGAAGTCTGGTTTTGCTGGTGCTTTCTGAAGTCTCACTATTGACCTTATTCCATATGGCATCTGCTTTTCTGAGCACATTTTGGGGATTTGCAGATTATATTAGTCCCCTAGTTTTGCTGAAAGTGATTTTTAAGTTTATTATTTCATTCATTTTTTTCTATTGTATGATATCCAAGGCCAAAAATGGGAAGATAGTATCTCTTGGTTTCAACTTTATACTTAAAGTCTACACCCATTTCACAAATGAAAAATCTCTGAAGCACAGAGAGATTAAATAACTTGGTAAAGGTCACACAGCTGATAAATGGTAGCGATGCATTTGAGCCCAATCAATATGGCTTTAAGGTCTCTGACTGCTCCACCACACGACCTCTCAGCCATTATATTCCCCACACCACTCCACATATCCCTTGGCAAATCTCACTAATTAATCATGGCAGTATTACTTTTACCCCACAGAAATCTCAGTGGGGAATACTCTCTAGATAGCCACCAAAATTGGTACCTGAAGTGAAATCATCAAATTGTCATCCTAATTTTAAGCTTTCTTACCTGAGTATGAATACACTTAGCAAATGTGTTTGAGCAAGATCTTAAGAGAAGAGAGATTAAAGAACACTTAAGGGTAGAAGGCACATATGACTGGAGCTGAGGAGAACTGCAGACAAAAAAAATGGGGGTGGGCAAGAGAAGAAGAAGAAAGGCTTTCACTCAGAGGTCAGACTCTTTAACATGTAATTTATACCTGGACTTGGATATCACCAAATTACAATTAGGGGTTGAATTTAGATATTTCGTACCAATGTTTACAAGAAATAACTAAGTTGCCGGAAGTAAATTGCTTGTTTTGTGAGTGGCCCTATATAAAAAATCAATCCAGTTCATGTCACTTGGAAAATCAGTTACCATTTAAAGAATATTAATGATCAACCCAGCACTATATTAGGTGCTTTACATTTTTAAAAAATAAGAATTATAGCAGCATGTATTAAATTTCCATGTACCAAGCACTATTCTAAGAACTTTAATATTTTAAGTCACATAATTTGCATAACAACTGTATGAAGTAGGCACTGTTGTTATCTACATGTGAGAGTTAGGAAAAGTAAGTCATAGAAAAGTTAAATTATTTGCCCAAGCTTACCCAGCTAGGGAGTGCAGAGGCAGAATTTGCATGCAGGTCATCTAAGGCCAACTTCTTAACATGGTGAAATTTAGGAAAGGTTTGTGTTAAGTAACAGCAGAACTGACTGTATCTCCTTCCTTTATTTGCTTCTGAAGTGTAAAATAAATGGTGGTGTCACCAAGACAACGACTTGTTCTTTTTTCTATAAATACCAGGCCTAATGACTTCATCCAAACCATGGCTGCAACAACCACATATGCTGACTCACAAACCTCTCTTCTGGGCTTGCATATCCAATTGTCTATTGAATTTATCCAATAGAAATGAGATGTTTCAAAAGCATTTCCACTTCAATGTATTTTCCCCAAACCTCATTTTTCTTACTTGAGTGCTTCTCTCAGTGAAGAGTCTCACAACCACACAAGCAGGCAGAACAATCTTTTCATAGTGTAAAGTAGATTATGCCAGTCTTCTGACCAAAATCGTCCAATGGCTTTCCATGGTATAAGACACCTATGCCATTTATTCTCTTCTTATCTCTCTGATCACATCTCCTATCATTTTATCTTACCTAATTTTGCTCCAGCCAAACTAGTATTTTCCTTCATTCTTAAACCCACCCAACTAATTTTAAACTCATGGCATTTGTACTTACTGTTCTTTCTTGGGACGCTTTAAACCCGTGTATTGATTTTAATCTGTATCCTTAACTGTGAATATATTGATTTTAATCTGTATCCTTGTATTGATTTTAATCTGTATTCTTAACTGTGAATACAACACTTCAGTGAACTCTCTGAGTATAACGAATTTTGGTAAGTTCTGTGAGTCCTTCTAAAGTATTACTGAGGCTGAGAGTAGTCTTGGGGACCCCTTAACTTGAAGCTAGTGTCAGAAGTAAGGGTGGTCTTTGGGACAGCTCTCTAACTTTATACTACCCTGATATGGTTTGGCTGTGTCCTCACCCAAATCTCATCTTGAATTCCCACATGTTGTGGGAGGGACCTGGTGGGAGGTGATTGAACCAGGTCTTTCCCATGTTTTTCTCGCAATAGTGAATGGGTTTCACTAGATCTGATGGTTTTTTAAGGGGGAGTTTCCCTGCACAGGCTCTCTCTTTGCCTGCTGCCATCGAGGTAAGATGTGACTTGCTCCTCCTGGCCTTCCACCATGATTGTGAGGCCTCCCTAGCTATATGGAACTGTAAGTCCACTAAACCTCTTTCTTTTGTAAATTGCCCAGTCTTGAGTATGTCTTTATCAGCAGCATGAAAACAGATTAAGACATACCCCTTACTTATTTTTCTCTTCACTGATATATCTGCTCACTTCACAGCATTCTCCACTCTCTGTATGTACTCTTCCTTGAATTTCTTGCCATAACAAAGCTTATCTGCTTTTTTTTTTATCTCATCCCGTCAGAGCCCTGCTAAGTATATCCCTTCATGCCAATCTTTACTCATCCTGCAAGGCTCAGTTCAAGTGGTTACCTCCCCTTTAAGTCATCAGCGCAATTTTTGTTTGTTGTTGTTTCGTTAAACACTGATGAGAAATAGATCCTCTCTTAGTATGCTAATAAAATCAGTCTTCTAAGCTTACAAAGCTGACATACTATATAAACACAGACAGCCCAAACTTACTTGCCTTTCATTTGAAACTTGTAGAGTAAGCAGCACTGATGTTGTTATCACAAGTTAGAATAAAAGAAAGATGAGGGAGAAGGAGAAAGGGGGGGGAGAGGGAGGAGAGAGAAGTAGTAGATCGAGAAAGAGGGATGGAGAAAGAGTGAGGGAGAAAGGTGAAATTAAGTCTTAGTAGAGGATAAAACTATGACTCATAACCAAGTCTTTGACTCTAAACTCAGTGACTATATCAATTGACTCTGTGGGGGGAATATAGTATATGCCTAAAGAAATAGATATGGGAGATCCAATGGTTATAACTCATTTTACAAGTACAGAGAACCAAAGAACCATTAAATGTGTCAATATTCAGCGATAGTCTATCACAAATTGGAAGAAGAAGAATTGTACTATTATGTTTACTACCTCAAAATGGACAGATTTTTACATCTCTTAGTAATTGGTAGTTTAAAATACTTAAAAGAAAGTTACCAATTTTTAGATAAAAAGGAGTAATATATCGCTTTATAAAGTATAACAAGTTACAGAGTTAACTCTTAACTATTAAATAACTAAATTAATATAACATAGCACTTAAATTTAATGAATTCTCACTGTTTAAAATTTTCATATGTCTTGATCAGTTACATCCCAAAGCTATATTCTTTCCAGTTTGTAGGAAAGAACAAATATGACTGTTTAAAATAAAATCACCAAATTTGCAAATGAGAATGATTATAGACTTCGACACACTTTTCTTTTTCTTGCCAATTTACTTAAACTGACTAAATTAACTAGATAATTGCCCAATATTCATTTTGTATTATTTTTTATAGTCTCAGCTAAATAGTCAATATCAGAATCAAGACTCAAATACAGCTTCCTAGCTCCAGTTCACTGAATTAAGGAACTAAAGGAAACTGTTTAAAATAAACCATTTTATTTTATTTTTTCAATATTATGAGGATATGGGAAAAGAAAAGGATCTGGAGTATTCCCCTTCTTCTAATCAAAGTTATTGTATCCTTATGTAACAGGCACTGTGCTAAGCACTTTACATGTGTTATTTTATCCACACGACAGCCTTGTGTAGTAAGTATTACTATTTTCTTCACTTTAGCATTGTTAAAAATGAGGCTCAGAGAGTATTTAAGAAACTTGCTCAAGGTCAGTTAGCTAATAAATGGCGGAAACTGGGCTTAACTCTAAGATGCTGGCTCTGGAACACCTGTGCTTAAATACCACTGTCACACTGGGTATGTTAAAGGTGGCAATCGTTTCTTAGAAGTATTCTTACTTTAAATAGCACATCTATTCTGTATAAAGAGATAAATGCTAATTTATTTATAAAATGAGAAATGAAGCTCTAAGCTGTGTATAGAAGTTTTGGCTAAGTGCCCATACAAGTGTTTGTGAAGAAAGGACTTGAAGTTACTGCAGCTACAATGAACTGCTTCTGTTAACAATAAACACATTTCAGATTAATTTCTATGGGAAATTCTTCGAGATGAATATTCTACACAGAGATTTTTACACACGTGGTTTTCACACCTAGGGATCATGAACCTGAGAAAGATGTGCATGTTAAGAATTAGTTACACATTATGCATGGTGCAAGTCATTGTAGAGAAGTGTTGTAGCTATGCCAACATCTCACTGGCAGCCATCCCACCAACACAGACAAAGTAATAACAAAAATACACATATCAGGTAAGAAAAGGTATCTACATCTGTCAAATCCTCAGAAAACTCAGACTTACATAATTAATTTTTCTGGAGATAGAATCATTTATTCATTAGATTACACCTAAAACTTGGACATAAAAAATATACAATTTACATCTATTAATAAGGTACTTAAAATGTTTTTTCTTAGCTGTGTTAAAATTTAAGGGAATTTACTGAAACCGTGACAAATCACATAGATGCTTATTTCTTCTCATTCTTAAAATCTTACTCAAATGAGAATAAGGAAATGTGGTTTAGAACTACAGGGAAAAAGTTAATGAGTAGAAGAGACAACAGCAGACAAAATATATCAACAAATTTTTGGAAAATGAAAAGCACACGAAGAAATTACCAGAGCTGAAAAAACTGAACCTAAGGGCTTCAGAGGCAAATGCTAATGACAGGCAGGCTGATTCATATTGCAAAATCCTGAAAAGGCTCAAGAATTGAAGGCACCAAATCAATGAATTCAGCATTGAGGCTTCAAATTGGGGGTTGAGGATATGTGAGGGTGGAGGATTGAAAGTTTGTATAAGAAGTTTCCAGACTAAAGGAGACCAAAGGTTAATGACATAGAAGCATTGAATCAATCGTAGAGGAAAATGGAAGGGAAGCTCTGTATTGAGAAGGGATTTGGCTAAAATTGACATACAAAATTGTGAGACAATCCTCCCCCCATCAACCCAAGAACCTCTTTATATCACTGAACTCTAATAACAGTGGCAACCAGGATTATATTCTACAAGTAAGGTATTGGAGGATCCTTCTCTACATGCCTTAGACATGTGTAGCCTAACAAAATAGTCAGACAGGTTTCTACTTAATCATCCTCTATGTGAAACATCTCAGTTAACTAGCCTACCCATGCAAACAGTTGTTAAGCATATTTTTAGTGTCTTACTTTTTTTTTTTTTTTTGAGACAGAGTCTCACTCTGTCAGCCAGGCTGGAGTGCACTGGCACGATCTCAGCGCCCTGCAACCTCTGTCTCCTGGGCTCGAGTAGTTCTTCTGCCTTAGCCTCCCAAGTAGGTGGGATTACAGGCATATGCCACCACATCCGGCTAATGTTTTTGTATTTTCCAGTAGAGATGGGGTTTCACCATTTTGGCCAGGCTCGAACTCCTGACCTCAGATAATGTACCCGCCTCAGTCTCCCAAAGTGCTGGGATTACAAGCATGAGCCTCGCATCTGGCCAGTGTCTTACTTTTAAATGATAACAGAAATGTTGCATACTTATAAACAACTTCTCCAACATAAAAGACAGACCAATACAAAAATTTAGAACAAAGACAATGCAGAGAGCAGAAGAAAAGTTGAAAAAATCGTCATTCTTATCCTTACAGAGATAAAAGTAGACATTGCATCAAAGAAACGAGAACAGGATGAAAAAAAAAAAGACTAGTCTCAGTGAAAAAACCCTTAAAAATTTAAACACAGAGGCCAGGCGCTGTGGCTCACGCCTGTAATCCCAGCACTTTGGGAGGCCGAGGCGGGAGGATCACGAGATCAGGAGATCGAGACCATCCTGGCTAACACGGTGAAACCCTGTCTCTACTAAAAATACAAAAAATTAGCTGGGCGTGGTGGTGGGTGCCTGTAGTCCCAGCTACTCGGGAGGCTGAGGCAGGAGAATGGCGTGAACCTGGGAGGCAGAGCTTGCAGTGAGCCGAGATTGCGCCACTGCACTCCAGCCTGGACGACAGAGTGAGACACTGCCTCAAAAAAAAAAACAAAAAACAAAAAACAAAAAAAACAATTTAAACACAGAAGAAATAAGAAATTAAACAAAATGTTTGGAATAGTAAGTGATGAAAAATCTCACATAAAGTAGTACATAAAACAAAGACGGAAAATAGGATCTAAAAATAAGAAAATAAAGAGCCCAATACTGAAGATTTAATATTTAAAAGATATTGAAGAAAGAGGAAATAAATATATCAGGAAGAAAAACATAACGCAGGAAAATTCCCAGAAAATTAAGGATGCTTCCACACTGAAAAGGCCTACTAAGTGCCTAGCACAATGAATTGTAAAAAGACCTGTACCAAGACAGATTATTGTAACCTTCCAAAACATCAAAGATAAATAGATGATCTTAAGGGATTAAAAGGGAAATTAAAAGGTCACATATAAAGGATCAAGAATTAATATAACATCAGATTTAAAAAGTCTGCAAGCCAGATAAAAAAAGGCAAAAGATGAAAATATTTCAAATTCTGAGGGAATAATATTTACAGCCTAAAATTTTATACTCACCTGAACTACCTGTAAGACTGAGAATAAACACATTCTCAGAAATGGAATGTTGTAAAAAATGCACCACCCAAGTGCATATTCTCAGGATGCAACTAGAGGATGTGCTGCACCCAAATAAATAAGGAAATAGACTATGAAAAATGACATAAGACTTCCAAGAAACTCCATCTAACACAGATATCAGCTCTACTGGAAGCTTAGAGAACTACTGGTCCATAGCAGAGCAGAATTTTAGCATGCAGAAGGAATATCTCCAAGAAAAGAATCAAATTTCTGGAGTACTTGGTGCGTTTGGGGGAAAATATATTTCAAAATATCTGAGATTTAGTGATAGTGACATAGAACATAAAGCAAACAGAAAAGGAGGCAATCTTGTTAATTCACAAGAAAAAAATATAAACGTACATGGCTCAGTGATAAAAAAATATACACATGGTCATAATAAGCTGAATTGTGAATATTAAATTAACCAAAAATTGGATAAAACTATATTGAGAGAATAGAAGTAGGGAAAGGAGACACAGAGAATAGTAATGTTAAGTCCTCATCATTAATAATAGGAAGTCAATATAATATTTAAACATATTATAGTATTAAATATAGATGTTAAAACCAAAAGAAGGTGCTAAAAGAGTTTGGGCAGACAATAGTAGGAGTGGGTAAGGGGAAGGGACACTGCTTTTTGCTATATGTTTTGTCATACAATTTGGCCTTTAAACTTTGTACAGTACTTGTAATTCTTTGATATACTTTTTTAAGTTTTGAAAAATCTCATAAGCATACAAATATTTATTTCTGATAAGTCTAACTTAGGATAATCTCTCACTCAAACATATTCAGCAGTATTAATATAAATAATATCTGTGATCATATAAAAACACAATTTATCTGATAATGGTTTTCCAGTCTCCTGATTAGATGTTACAAATTGCATCGTGCCAATTTAATCAGAAAATTTCTTTTAGGAAAAAAGTGTTTCTAAGTTTCTGATAATATGCTATTTCCATTTCTTTTTTTGTGCTCAAAAATATTCAATTTTCTAAAGTCTGAGAGGTTTTCTAAAGGACTTTTCTTTTTGTTAAGAACTGGCAATAAAATTTTAGGTGTATAAAATTGAAAATTATGATGCTTGCCCTGAAATAAAATAACATATTTTACATTCCATAAATGAGATCTTAAGGGTGAGAGAAATATGTTGTTTCTTTCATTTATTCCTTTTGTTGGTTCTAGATTTTTAAAAAATAAGTTCATAAATATTTAATTTTCCCTATATCTTTCTTTGCATGGGTTTCTAATATTTTGATAATAATATCTTTGGTAAATTATTAAACTCATAATGCCAGTGGCTGGCAACTGTGAAGCTAGAGGACGTCTAAGGGAAAGAGTTTTGTCTTCAGAGACGGACAGACCTAGATTCAAATCTAAGCTGTAGGTGAGCCACTTCTTTGAGTCTCAGTTTCTTCATCTATAATACCTACTCTGCAGGTTCATTATGATGATTAGAATAATATATGTAAAGTACCAGCAAAAGAGATGATACAAAATATACATTTAATTAATAATTGTATTCTTCTCTTCCTTATCTTCTCTGTGGCTCTAGGAGCCTCAATTTTAAGGAATTTGTAGACTTTGCAGTCAAAATATGAGCTCAAATCTTGGTTCTTCCATTCATTAAGCTTTTACTTGGAGGTGGTTACCTATTCTCCTTAATCTCAGTTTCAGCAATTCTATCATGGCCATAATTACAAAACCCTGTGATGAGGCAGCAGTGAAGTAAATGTACATTCTAATAGCACAGTGACTAGTAGCTCATAGTAAGTTCTCAGAAACAGTAACCGTGATAATAACAATAAATTAAGAGAGAGAGTTTTTCTCCTCTTCATGGCTACTTCAAGCTAAATGAAGTAACATAAATGCCTTGGTTAAGAATAGTTTTTCATGAAGTTACATGTGACATGTGGCTTAATCATTTCCCATAAAAGAGATTTAGAAAATGTCTTCTAAGAAATATTTTAATTCATCTATGTGATATTTGAAAGAATATTTATCTGTATCTACTTGTCAATTTGGTCAACCAGAGTACCACTCTTCCTTTTTGCCCTCTCTCTACCTTGCACATATTTCATTCATAATTTGTTTACTTGTCTTTTTCTTACTGTTATTTGATCAATTGATCAAACTGACAAGGGGTTCATCAAACTGACCACTCAACTGAAAACTTGGTTCTGTAAGAATTAATGCTTTGGCAGCTCTGTGCAGAAGAGCCCTTTGCTACCTTTAAGGCAGAGGAGAAAAACAAACAAACAAATCTGAGGCCTTGGTAATATTATCTGTAGGTCCAGCACAGTTCTAGGATTTGTCTCTTTGACTTTGGTATGTTTTTTACCTTTGATAAAGGCATTTTTTTCACTTTGATGCTACAGACATTATCTTATTTACATTTCCAATCATTGGCAATAGGATATTACACAGGAAATAGAAGATGCATCAATCATGTTTAAATGAATGAATTAGGATATACATAGACTCCTGAAACTCTATCATCATACTACCAGAGTAATTAACTAGTAGGCACAAACAAAACAGGTTTAGGTTTATTTTCTAAACCTCTCCATTTGAATTACATAGAATCCTAAGCCCACTAGTATGCAAATTCCATTTTGTTTCTTAATGATGCAAATCTGGACGGAACATTTTTTATATGCTTTTGTTGTATCAAGAAGTGCAAAGGTAATTCAGTCACAGTTTGCCACCCCCAAGAACTCCCACTTAAAATGAAGTCACAAGCAAAGCCTTTTTATTGTACAAAACTTCTTTTTTATAGAGTTTGCTTAAAAATGTAAGCAATTTCACAGACGGAAGATATGAGTAATTTCTTAAAGGTCGTATTTCCCCTCAAAATTGGTTTCTTTAATCTTACATTCTCATGGTACTGGGTGGAATTTTTGTTATTGTTTAATGTTGAATTTACAGTTATAATGAGTTGAAAGTTATGTACTTTTGCTGTCTGGAAGTAGAATTTTTAAGTAAGCAAATAAATTAAAAGGTAATTTTCTTACCTTGTTCTTGTGCATGAACAACCACCCCAGCCACACATAGTACAATAAAATGAAGAAGTGATTTCCTAGGAAAAGAAAAAAGCATTTGGGAAAAACTTACTAGTTGGACATTTACAACCATATAGAATCCAAAACAGTCTATGCAAGATTAAGAATTAAGCAATTATTTTAAATAGCATGATATTTTAATATTCATAGTGGTTAAGACCAAAGGCTCTGAAGTGAAATTCCAGTTTTGCCACTTACTATGTGACTTGGGCACATTTTTAATCATTCTATGCCTTAGCTGCTTTATCTGTTAAACCTATCTCATAAGATTTTCTGAAGATTAACTTAAAAACTTCATGTAAAGCACAGAAAACAGTACCTGGCACATAGGAAACATTCAATAAATATGAACTAGTATAGGTGGTATTATTATCATATATTATGTTAAATTACCATATATGCAATTTCATACAAAGTAATAGAAATTTCCACAAAAATAACGCAAATTACAGTTGCTTAACTATAGTGATTATAAGTTAATGGAACCAGCTATTTATTTGTTTAATGGTTATATGTGAAAGCCATTTGAATATCATACTTAAATCACTCGTACTAGATTCATGATTTTTTGGTTTTGAAAATAGCAATGGCCTGTAGATGTCAACATTGAGCATTTTGATTAGTAGTAGCTATGAGCACAATACCCAATCACTACAAATTAAAATGTCCATTAGTATTGATAAGCTATCTAAGCAAAAATGTTTTGTGACATTGCTAGTATAACCAAACTTTTAATAAATTTTGTTGAACATTCTTCATAATTGGCTGTATCTACCTCCAAAATGAAAATTACAGAAATAATTTTGAAGAGAGATGATAAGCATGCTGAAAACAATACTTCATTACCTAATTTTGCTAATATAGACCCTGATTCTGTTTTTGATTCTAACCCAGGGACTGTTCAAATGATGTATTTGTAAAATGCAGTTCCGCAAGGAGTGATTATGGAGCTGTCTATAAACCATTAATTCCCTTTTATTAAATTCCTGATGTACTAGTAGTAATTGGTACATTTTCTATTTATTACTAATAAGATGTTTTTTACCTTTACCAACTAGTATAAGGAGCATCTTAATGTAAGAAAGATGATCTTTTTACAAAGCTTAAGCCAGCAAATATATAATTCGACTATTTATAATGGAACACAAATTTCATTTGTATTAAAATGGTATTTATCCTTTGTTAGTAATTTTAAAATTGAACATTCTATGGCCGTACTCAGTCCAGAGCACAGCTCTTATAAGACAAGGTTTCGATAGAATACTTAACAACTGTCACTAACTCTACAAACAGATCAACTGAATCATTGCAGAGATTTCAGCTGATATGGATAAATAACTAAACCATATATTCTAATGAGGCCTATGAAACATTCTTATATATGGCATTATTCATGTAGATGGATGGTTCCCAAATGTTAGACTCACCTGAGGAACTTGTAAAAAATGCAGATTTTGGGCCCTGACACAGAGATTATGATTCAAAAATTTGCGATGGATATGCAGGATGCATACATTTTAACTAGGTGATTCTAGTGCAGATTGTACGTGTGCCAAACTCTGAGAAAAAACTATTTAGAACATTCACTGTGTTTATATTTACAATGTTATTAAAATACATCTAAATTGATTTTACTTTTGCTTAAATCACATATATCTAATTTTATAACATGACATGACCCTAAAATATTATTTGGCCCTTTTAAAATCCTTTCCTACTGCACTAGGTCAGTGGTTTTCAAACTTTAGTGTGATCAGAATCGCATGAAGCACTTGTGAGCAATCACTGGGCCTCACCCCCAGAATTTCTAACTAAGTATGTCTGGGGTGGGGCTCAAGAATATGCATTTATAACAAGTTCCTGGGTGTACTGACGCTACTGATCTGGGACTACATTCTGAGGACCACTACTCTAAAATAAATGACCCTCAAGAGATGATATAAAGTCCTCCTGTTTGGATCTTTTTACCCCTTGGCTGCACACTGGAATTACCTGGGGAGTTTTGTTTTGTTTTTGTTTTTGTTTTTGCTTTCTTGAGATGGAGTTCGCTCTTTGTTACCCAGTCTGGAGTGCAGTGGAGCGATCTCAGCTCACTGCAACCTCTGCTTGCCAGGTTCAAGCAATTCTCCTGTCTCAGCCTCCTGAATAGCTGGAATTACAGGCGCCTGCCACCACACCCGGCTAATTTTTTTTTTATTATACTTTAAGTTTTAGGGTACAAGTGCACAATGTGCAGGTTAGTTACATATGTATACATGTGCCATGCTGGTGCGCTGCACCCACTAACTCGTCATCTAGCATGAGGTATATCTCCCAATGCTATCCCTCCCCCTTCCCCCCACCCCACAACACTCCCCAGAGTGTGATGTTCCCCTTCCTGTGCCCATGTGTTTTCATTGTTCAATTCCCACCTATGAGTGAGAATATGCAGTGTTTGGTTTTTTGTTCTTGTGGTAGTTTACTGAGAATGATGATTTCCAATTTCATCCATGTCCCTACAAAGGACATGAACTCATCATTTCTCATGGCTGCATAGTATTCCATGGTGTATATGTGCCACATTTTCTTAATCCAGTCTATCATTGTTGGACATTTGGGTTGGTTCCAAGTCTTTGCTATTGTGAATAACGCCGCAATAAACATACGTGTGCATGTGTCTTTATAGCAGCATGATTTATAGTCCTTTGGATATATACCCAGTAATGGGATGGCTGGGTCAAATGGTATTTCTAGTTCTAGATCCCTGAGGAATCGCCACACTGACTTCCACAATGGTTGAACTAGTTTACAGTCCCACCAACAGTGTAAAAGTGTTCCTATTTCTCCACATCCTCTCCAGCACCTGTTGTTTCCTGACTTTTTAATGATTGCCATTCTAACTGCACACCCGGCTAATTTTTGTATTTTTAGTAGAGACAGAGTTTCACCATGTTGGCCAGGCTGGTCTCGAACTCCTGACCTCAGGTGATCTGCCTGCTTCAGCCTCCCAAAGTGCTGGGATTACAGGCATGAGCCACCATGCCTGGCCCACCTGGGGAGTTTTAAAAACTAATAATTGGATCTTTCTCTCCTTGCCCCACAGAGATTCTGATTTTAATGTGTCCATAACACAGGCATTTTAAAACATTTTCCACTGATTCTAATGTGCAAACAAGGTTGAGGACCATCACGCAAGATTAAAATGATGTGTGGGCTCTCCAGGATGTATCCTAATATGATTTAGAGCTTGAGTAAGGAGGCTATTTACCTTTCAAATTTATGTTTCAACATATAACTGGCAGGATACATATCAGCGAGACTAGAAAACTGCTTACTTAGGATTACAGTCAATGAAGGATAGTGCATCTCAATTATGCTGTCTTAAGTATAAAGTTGAATGTGAATGGAAGCATGTCTCACCTGCCCAAGGTAATCAGCCTCACTCAGATGCATAGAAACAACCCAACAGGCACTTTTCCCTTAAAAATAACTAATGACAAGTACAACAGCCAGCACTACTCATTTAGCAATTCAACAAACTCATAAACTTCCCCAATGACCTCAGTGGAGAAAAATGGAAATAAACATGTTAACAAGTCCATTCCTGGTGTGAGGCAGGAAAACCTGAGCACATCAAGCATCATTCTTTAGACAGGTGATCCTAGGGGATTATGACAAACCAGTTGAGCCATACCTTGCATAAATGTACCTGTGTATGAAAGCTGATGACTAATGGACTGGTAGAGATCAATGACTGAAATAGATTCTCTTTCTCTTTGTCTAGTTACAACCAAAACAAATAGCGAACTGAAAAAGAACAGGTAAAGTTTCTTACAATGCATTCAAGACCCTTATTATTTAGCTTCAATTTCCTTTTTTAGCAGTATGGATCCCACTACCCCTGATATCTCCAAAGTTCCAGCCATACAAAGTTATTCTCCATCCACTGGAAAGACCTTGTATATGTCTGAAATGCCCTACCAGTCTCCACTTACCATTCTTAAGTACACCCAAAGCCTAATTAAATCAATACTTGCTCCATGAAGTTTCCCATCATCTCTAAAGGGGAATGAATCTTTCCCCCACCTCTGTACTTTTGATACATTAATTGTGACTTTGTTATACTCCTATAAGTCCTACCTTTTATGAAAGTAAATATCTGAGCAAGCAGCAGGTCTTCATTTTTACCTCTAGTGTACCCATGTGTTACATGAAATTGACAGTAAATACTTTTTAAAAGGAAATGATCAAAAGTATTATCTCCCAATGACTGAGGAATTCACTTTTTCCTTATGGACTTGATTCTTTTAACACTTGGAAAAAATAAAATAAAATACAGGCAATTTTAGTTAGATGTCCAAAGAAAGAGAAGGGAAATAGAATTTTTTAAATCTGCTATGGTAGCATATATGGTAGCCTTCTTCTTTTTTTTCTTAATTTTCATTTTAGCTTTCTTGTCTCTGAAGTGGGTACAACAGAGAAAGGATGAAGTTTCATTGACATAGTCAGTTTGATAAAGAGCCAAACCATTATTGTATATGGGTATTTAATGAATCCAAGATTCTTGGGAAATGTCTGATGGACTAGGTTTGTTTGTTTCTTTGGATTTTCCTCCTTATGATGTTACATTTATTATACATTTCCTCAACAAATAAAACTTATCAAGTTTCCACATTAGCAGTAGATGGTAGAGTCCTCTATGGAAGCAGCTGTTCTTTGTCCTTCTGGGTCTTAGCTGACTCATCTATCATGTGATGACATAATACAAATTTTATGTTTTTGTGTTTTACATTCCAAATGTAAAATCCTATAATTTGTGTGTGTGATGGGATCACATTAGTATACTGGCATTAAAAGACAAAAAGCAAATTACTTAGCAAAATGTTATATATATAGGTGTGTGTGTGTGTGTATACACATACATATATATAAAGGGTTTGTATATATGTGTGTGTGTGTGTGTATACACATACATATATATAAAGCGTTTGTTATTTAACCACAAAACTGTAACGGTCTTCCTATAGTTTTGGTCCAATACTATTTAAGTAACCTAAAATAGTCTACTAAGTTGTTAATTCATTCATATATTTAGTTTACTCCCACAAACAGTCTAGTTGGTATATTAAACATGAACAATTTTTGAATATTCAAAACATGTTTGTTTTCATTCACTGGTTTGTATATGTGGACCATGTGTCACTAATACAAAGTTATAGAGTTATAGTTACTCAGACATTTAACAAAATCAGACCATATCCAAAATAAATCAACAATATGGTAACAAACACTTCATAAAGGCTCAAAAAATATAACCCAAGATATTGATAGCTAACAAAATAAGAAACACTCTGCATGAGTCTGGCTGCTAGTCACATTTTCACTTTGACACCAGCAACAGTCCAAACATAACCAGACATGTGAGGGTAAAGGCCTAAAGAGGATAAGACAGAAAATAGATATCCAAAGACCATACTCAGAACATGTAAATGACTAATACCCATTCCAGGCATCGTTCCTAGATGATTCTTAGAGCTATTCAACTTCCTCTTTATTCAAAAGATCCAAGTTGCTTTAGGGGAATCCGAGGGATCTTTTGCTTAGGGTACCCCTGAGACTCTAAGGTATTATAACTTATGTCTTCAGGCTACTGATGCTCACTTCTACATAGATTCAATTTATAATAGTGGGAAGGACTTGTGAAATCTTGTGAATAGACAACTTTTTATGAGTTGGTGGCCTTCTTTTAAACCAATTGAAAATGGTGAACAAATCTGAAAGACACACACACGTGATATACATCAATAATTTCAACAATTTCCACCACGCTACGTTTACATGCCAAAAACTTCTCTAAGTCATGACAGCTTTACAGATTTTGCTCTTTACTAGCTACTAAGATCGAGAAATAGTAAAATTTCTGTTCTTTCCTCTCAAAATAACTGAAAAAAGAGTTTTCATCACAGCAGTGGACATAAAGTTGGATGATTCAGGGAGCAAAGTAGTACTGTCACTAACTTACTTGCAATTAATTTTTCAGACTATTAATTCAACTCAGGTGGTAGTTATATAGCTAAACCAGCATGAAGCATACTACAGGTTGAGCACCCCCAATCTAAAAATCCAAAGTCCTAAATGCTCCAAAATCTGAAAGGTTTTGAGGGCTGAAATGATGCCATACTGGAATCATTTTACACCTGACTTTATGGGTCACAGTCAAAACTTCATTTCATGCACAAAATTACTAAAAATATTATATAAAATTAACTTCAGTCTATGTGTATAAGGTATATATGATACATAAGTGAATTTCATGTTTTGACTTGGGTCCCATCCCCAAGATATCTCATTATATATATGCAAATATTCCAAAATCCAAAAAAATTCAAAATCCCAAACACTTCTGGTCTCAGGCATTTTAGATGAGCAGTACTCAACCTGTAGAGCTTTTGGTTAAATTCTAAGCATTCAAGCAATTCATGCAGTGCAAGGGAGATAAATGCTTAAGAACTTCATTTAATCAAAGTGTCTAGAGTCCAGTCAGTAGGAGGGAAGAAAAATACATCTAAACTAGTCTGTCCTAGTAATACCACAGAGAATGTTAAACTATTGCCTAGCTTAGTAAAGTTCCTGGCACATACTAGTGTTAGATAAAGATTTTCAAGTGAACTAATGAATCAGATAATCTTCAGTCAATGAAAGTATCAGGTGGTCTTGAGTTTCAACAAATACATAACTTATCTAGCATCTTCTACCTATACACTCATCCCAAAATCAAGAAAAGTCAAGTCTCCCCAACCTCTGCTTGTTAAACATGGTTTAAAGGCCTTTCCAAATCTGGTCTCTGTTTATCTCTCCAGCTCCAGCTCCAGTCACTGCTTCCCTAGAATGTGTACTCCAACCAACTTCATTTCTTTCAGGCCCTCAAATGCACTGTGCTGTCTCACTTCTGAGCTTTTTATTGTTCCTTCTGTCTGGTAAATTTCATGTTCTTTTCAGTAAGGTCTCAGTCTAGATTTCATTTCCTTTGGTTACCTTTTCCTTCCAGTATTATCCTTTCCTCCCCTACCCACCCACCCAAGACTGCTAGGTGCCCCTCATGTATATATCCTCCTCTCATTTCGTTATACTTGGTTGTTTCATTTGCTATTTCCTTTATTAGACTGGAGAGCAGCAACTGTGGATCTGTCATACTCAATCATTGTATCTCTGCTGCCTAGAACCACACTGGGCCCATAGTTGGAGCTCAGTAAACATGTGTTGAATAAATACGTTAATGAATGATGAATAAATGAATGACAGAATAATGTTAGCCTTTTATGAGAATGAAAATAAAATTGTCTTTACTTCTCATTAGAGTTACAAATTCTAAAATAAGTCATAGTTGGAAGGCATGGCAAGGAAACTAGCACAGCTATTCTAATTCCCATAATAACATTTACTTTTATTCTGCCGTTCACAAATTACCAAGTAGAATGTCTAAATGACACTCAAAAGTACTTTCCATAAATTAGATTTACTCTCCCTGAGACATCAGCTTATTTTAAAAATTTATTTGAACACAAATATAACTAAGCAACTTTAAAAAATAGAATTTCGTGCCATCTAGGAAATAGATCTTTATATTCCAAAATTCCTTTTTGGTTATAAAAGTCTTTAATTACCATAATAGCCTGCCTCAGAGACCTTCTGATAATATGTCAAATTAAGGTATCTAAAGCTGACTTTGAGATTTCATTAATTTTATTAATTCTACAAATTCACGTTAGGCAACCCATATAAAAGACCCCACAAAAGAAAGTGTCGTAAAGATCCACTTTTAAACTGGAACTGTTTTTGGGTGACTAATAAGAACTGTGATTTTAAAAAGCGCTCCCTCTCTTACAAAACATCACCACAAAAGGAAAATAAAACTCAGGGATTTCATCAGAGACTCTAAGGTTTAATTCAGTGGCCTGACATTATAAATCAGCTACTTCTTCCAAATCCAGCCCCCCCGCCCCACCCCGCCTCAAACTCCGAAGGGTTGGTGGCATTATTTTTCAAAGGGAAAAATTCCAAATTATTTATGAAAATTGGATTTTCTAGAAACAATTTTTTCAGTCCAATCATTAGCTATCTTTCCCAAGTTTGCATGTGTGGTTGGAGCTGTGAGTTCTGTAATCTGATGTAATTATGAATTACCCTTAATTCTCTGCAGCCCATCCCCAGTGGCCCCTGTAACAGAACAAATTGGATATTATGAGATAACCAAGGGCTGCAAGGCCTCTGGTGGTCATGGGAGACAAACACCTTCATCCAGAACCTGCTACTTATCCCCATGTCTCTGCACAAGGGTTCTCTTCCCATTCCACGTTTTATAATTTTTCTTCAGAAGTTCCTCCGGTGCAATCCATTCTATTTGGTTTCTCTGCCTCCCTCCCCCCAAATCATCTGGACCCAATTTACAAACCCCAAACTGCCCAAGAATTTATGCAGGGCCTTTTCTGGGAGCGTCTGGAAGGGAAGTGTAAACCAGACAAGACAAAACCCAGGAGCAGATCTGCTTTAACTCCGGTGGTTGGTCACAACTACCAAGGGGAGTGTTAGTCACCAGCGTGGGCCTCGCGCGGTGGCAGAGGGAAAGCCCTCGGGGCAGGAGCTGCAGGAGGGCCGCATGCGGAGGCTGGCTGGGCAAGAAGTGGAGGGCCTCACTCCGCCTCTCCTGGAGTCTCCAGGCTGGCAGGGCTAGAGCCTCTCTGCATCCGCCCCTGATCAGCGGGAAGATCTGTCAGTTCCGCAGGATCGGCTGCAACCCCCGACTCTCCAGGCTGGTCCACACAGAGGGATGTTTATCGAGAACAGTGGCGGGAAATCTTCTGCCTGGGAACCCCATGCGACCTGCGTGAGCCGCTCTGAGAAGGCAACCCGCAGAGCTTGACCTCTACTCGCTCCAGGGACTCCCCAGCCTCCAGCACCCCGCTGCCCGCACGGGGTTGAGGAGATTGGGAGGTTTCCTCTTCACTGTTGCATGGGGATGGGGGTGTGCGGGGAGGTGCATGTGGTCAGCTGGGAAGCCCAGCAGCGAGGCTTCCAGGGGTCGGAAGAGAGCGCGCGCGCGAGCCCCAGCCAGGCTGGGCTGCACGCGGCTGGGAAGCACATGTTCATACAAACACGACCACAAGGCGCTCTTTCTCCGCACCCTGCCTCCGCCTGCCCTCAGCTGACACGGTCAATTCTGTTCCTTGCCCTCCTCCCACCTAGCCTCCTGAGGGGCAGCCTCTCTGCAGAAGACTTCCACAGCCGCGTTCACCCTTCTCGCCCAGGGGCCAGAAGCAAACTTGTGTAACCCACTGACCTCTTCCAGGGGGACCAGGGCATCCAGCCAAAGCCGCGCAACCCCTGGTCCGAGCCCTTTTCCCAGGGAAGGCATGGGAGCAGGTACAGCGCCCAAAGGGGAGGTGGGGTGCCCGTCAGGACCCGCCCAAAACCTCCGCAGGAGGGGCAGGCCCGCCCCCGTGTCCTGCTCCCCTCCCCAGTCCCCGCCGCGAGTGCCACTTCCCCAGTGACAGGGCAATGATCAGGGCGCAGCCTCGGCTCGGATGGGCAACGTTTGTTGGCCTTCTAACCAGAGGGGATTGCCTCTGAGCCCGTGGGTAAAACAACCCCCCGACGCCCGAGGTTCTGCAGCCACCCCCTTCCCCCCGCTGGCGACCCTTCCTCACGCCTGAGTCCAGTGGTCCAGGCTGCGCACACTGACCCTGGGGGACCTCTAGCGTCACAGCAATCGCCAGGCTGGACGCCCTGAGAAGCACCTCGGGGAAGCAGGACCTCGACAGGGCCCTGCGGGAGGAGAAGGGGAGGAGGGCGCGAGGGCGGCGGGAGCTGGAGCCAGAGAGATCGTCGGAGCCCAGCTCTGGAGCTTAGGGAGCCGCTGCCCTGGACCTCGGGACTCGCGCCAGCGAGCTTTTCCTCTCGAGCCAAAAGATCGCTTTAGCATAAACTGTCTGAGATCTGCTGGCACGAGGCATCCTTTCAAACACGGTATTTTGCAAGCTGAGAAGACAAGGGGAAGATACCGCGGGTACTCGGCCGCTCCTAAAGCCAAAAAGTGCCAAGGAGCCGGACTTCAGATCTCCATCAGGCTCAGCAGAACCAGGGGGTGGAGAGAGGGGTTGGTCTAACCCCTACCCTACCCGGCGGGTGGGCTACTTACGTTTTTGCCGTGGGGGAGACTTTTCCACGCCTTGTTCTGTGGGCTCTTAAATGCATTTGTATGCATTTGTCCGTGCAGCAAAGCGCTAACGGAAAACAGAAGCCAACTCTGAACTGCTTAGGGTGCAGGTACTGTCCATGAAAAAGGGAAAAAACAATCACATGAAAACCATGCTTCAAACCCGCAACAAGAAAAAAAGGAGGGGAGGGGGTGAAGTCGGGAGGAGGTAGGAAATAGCACCCGAAGGGGAGGACAGGCTTCCTAGCTCTCTGGCTCGGTAACGAACGAGCCCAGGGTTGCGCTCCCCGGGGAGGGCGGGCGAGGAGGTAAACCTCACTGGGAGGCCTCGGGGCGCCGGCGGCAGCGGGAGCCGGGCTGCTAGTGCAGCACTCAAGTTCACTTGCGGTTCAAAGGCGACTCTGTGACTCCAGTGGAGTCCTCTGCTTTGGGCCTGGGAGGAGAAAGGGGTGGGGGTAGGGAAGGAGATGAAGTGGGGGAGGAAGTCCTTGGAAACAGCCCGCGCCCGAACGTTTGTCAAACAAGCACACACACCCACTTCGGAAATCAAGTCGGTGCGAGGGGGCCGGTGGCAACTGCAGGCGCTCGGCGTTGACTGCCGCCGGCTGCTTTGCCTGGAAGAAGAGGAGCCAAGCAAATCCGGCCGGTGTTAAATTTCACCGCTCACTGACTTGCAATGACATCACCAAACACTGCGCACACCTCCCCCTCTGCCCCCGCAACCTTCCCCGACCCAGCGTCCGGCCCAGGCGCCCCCGTTCGCCAGCCCTTCGGGGTCGGGCTGGGCCACCGCACCCCGGGCGCGCTCGCCTCCGCCTGGGTACGACCCGGATGGTCTCCTTTCCCACTTATAGGCAGCTAGTATCCTTCCTTCCATACCATGTTCATGCTCCATTCCCCATCTCAGCAGTCCCCAATTTGATGTTTCCCTCTTGCTTCTCTCTCATCCCCAATCTTTTTCTCTACCCTTTTCACCCACATCTTCTGAAATCACACTTAGAGGAGGCCTTCATTACCCTGCGACCTTCTTGCCTTCTTTGCAGTTAGGCCAGTGGCCTACGTGGTATTATTAAATGACTTTAACTGTCCTCATTTCTACCTTTCCTCCCTTTACTCCTTCCTTTCAGTCTGTCCCCCTTACGACCTTCTACTGACTTTTCTCCTGTAATTCACCTTTCTGCCTTTTCCTGTCTACAAGTATTACTGGTTCACAGCAAGAGCACACCACACACACTACAGTCACACAGTCTCTCTCTCTCTCACACGCACACACCACTACCTTAACAATTTGAATACCTTCTCCAACTTTTGTAGCAAATTTCTTCTTTTGATACAAGTCTCTATGCCCCCATGGCCTTATACTAAGAAATCCACCTTCTGATTTTTGCAAAAACAAAAACAAACAAACAAACAAACAAACAAACAGAAAACAAACGTTCTGATTTTATCTTCCTTATTAATAAGACTGGAAACTCCAAGAGGCCAGGAATCTATTGTGTTGTTCATAGTTGTGTTCTTAGCACCTACCTGGCATATCTGTTGAATGAATGCTGCATATCACTGAGAATCATTGCTCCAAATTTTTCTTGTCTAGCCTGTGTGCCTTCCAGAGCTAATGACCCTTCCACATGCTGAAAGGGATCCCACATTACACACACATTATAAAGGTTAAAGTGATCATATTGGTGAATGACAATGATTGATGTGACTCTCAAGCTTGGTAATTTTTTAAATGCAAGAATATAGAAATTCATTATGCCCCCCTCAATTTTTTGACTGTTTATTTTGAAATAATTTTAGATTATAGAAAGTTGCACAATAGTACAGAGTTCCTATATATACTTCCCTCAGCTTCCCCTAATGTTAACAACTTACATAACCAAATTACAGTTATCAAAACTGGACAATTGGGCTGGGTGTGGTGGCTCATGCCTGTAATTCCAGCACGGCAGGCCAAGGCGGGCAGATAACCTGAGATCAGGAGTTCGAGACCAGCCTGGTCAACATGGTGAAACCCTGTCTCTACTAAAAATACAAAAATTAGCCAGGCTTGATGGTGCACGCCTATGATCCCAGCTACTCAGGAGGCTAAGGCAGGAGAATCGCTTGAACCAGGGAGGCAGAAGTTGCAGTGAGCTGAGATCACGCCACTGCACTCCAGCCTAGGAACAGAGTGAGACTCCAACTCAAAAAAAAAATAATAATAAAAAATAAAAAATAAAATCCCTGGATAATCAACACCAATATAATGCTAATAACCAATCTATACATCTTATTAAATATTGTCAGTTTTCCCATTAATGACCTTTGTCTGGTCCAGGATTTTACTCAGGATCCTACACTGTGTTTAATAAACTAACACAGTGATTAACTGAATTATTAGGTTTCCTTAGTCTCCTCCCATCTGTGGCAGTCCTGTCTTCCTTTGTCTTTCACGAACTCAACACTTTTGAAATGCACTGAGCAGTCATTTTGTGGAGGGTTCCTCAATCTGGATTTGTGTGACATAGTCTCATGATTGGGTGCAGGTTGTGTATTTTGGTCATAAATAACATTGAAGTGATAGTGTGCCCTTCTCGGGGCATCAATCTCAGGTGTACATGATGTTAATATGTCACCTACTAGTGATATTCACTTTGATCACTTAGTTAAGGTGCTCATCTCACAGGATTTGCCATTGTAAAATCTTCCCCCAGTTTTTGTAACAAATAACCACAGATTTCTGAAATATTCCTAGAAATCCAGGACTGAGGGAAGGCAGCCGTTCTTAAATGCCCTTAATTTCTGTTTTTTCTGCTTTTTCCTACTAGTCAGCTAAAGAAGGACAGCTAATTTGGTTTGATGGAAAGAACAATAGATGAAAATTGAGTAGACTTAAGTAACTCAATCTCTGTCTCCATTTTTCCATCAGATACACTTCAGGAATAAAGTCTTTTTTTCTGTTTGCAATATTGAGTCTGAAGAATAGAATGCTGTAGGAAATGAAGTTTTTAAAATGTATTTCAGGTTGAGTATAAGAAGATGACAGTTGCTAGTTAGAGTTAGTGGAACCTTTATCATGCAGAAGATTCCAAAGAGCACACATACCTTCAGACAGAGTACTTTATTTGGGGAGAGGAGGCATTTGTCCAGTAAAAGATAAACAATATAAGTTTTAACTGCTATAGACATTATAGGATGATGGAGATTAGCATAGATCAATTGATCAAGACAGATTAAGCAGACACCTTGTGACTTAGCTGGTCCATGAAAAGCAAAAAGGATTTACAAAGATAGAGAGGAGAAAGGTGGTATGATTGGAAGTGGAGAGTAGATGACTAACAGCAAATGAACCAAGAAGAGTATATCTAAATTATATCCAGAGGAATGGAACAGACTCATCAGACTGGATTAGACGTTTGTGCATTGGAAGAGAGGTTGAAGGCAAACTATGAAAATCCCTGAATGTCAGGATAAGGGTTCATTTATCATATTACCAACTATGTGCCTAGAATTCTTCTGGGCACTGAGTTACAGCAGTGGACAAAATACATGAAAATCCTTCCCTTTATGGAGTTTAAATCCTACTGCTTAAGATTTATGCCTACAGCCAATAAAAAACTATTAGACTTTCGATTTCTCCATACTCCCATTTTAAGATGAGTCAGCATCAGATGCCAGGATTGAAAAGGGGATAAGTTAGGTGTAGATGTTGAGATAGGTTCCGACTATAATCGGAATGGTAGGAAAGCTAAATAAGAAAATCATTACTAAAATAAATCAATATCTGATAACTGGTTAGATTGGGAAGGGAGAAGGCATAGATGAAATTGAAAGCCTGAATGATAAAGAAATTATGATATTGGCCAATGTCAAAGGGTCAGAAAACTAATTCACACTGAGACATATTATATTATGTTTAAAACCATGGTAAGACATTCTTTTGGAGCTATTCAATAGAGCAGAAGAGAGAGAGTTCAGGAGAGAGGCCAGAACTAGAGTGTTAGATTTCTTCATCATCTGCACAAAATGGTATTTGAAGCCTTGACAGTAGAGTCTATTTTTAAAGAAGAGACTATCAAAACAGAGAATAGAGCACCAAAGATATAAACTTAGACTCCAGAAAGTGAAAGGAAACAGTACAGAACTAAAGGAGATAGAACAAGAGGCATATAACATTATTTAAATAATAGTATAGGGGCTCAAAAACAATATAGCAAATACTTCATAATGCTTACTATGCATCAGTATTTATTCTGCTTATTATAAACTTATTTTATCCCTTAAAATTCTATTAAATTAGATATTATTTATCTTCCTTATAAAGAGAAGAAAATAAAGGATTAAATAGCCTGAGATTATAAAACTGAATTTTTCTTTTTCTTTCTTTTTTGTTTTATTTTTGAGATGGAGTCTTACTCTGTTGCCCAGGCTGGAAGGCAGTGACAGGATCTCGGTTCACTTCAACCTCCACCTCCTGGGTTCAAGCAATTCTCCCACCTCAGCCTCCTGAGTAGCTGGGACTACAGGTGTGCACCACCATGCCTGGCTAATTTTTTTGTATTTTTTGGTAGAGATGGGGTTTTGCCATGTTGGCCAGGCTGGTCTTGAACTCCTGATCTCAAGTGATCCACCCGCCTCAGCCTCCCAAAGTGCTGGGATTAAAAGCAAAGAGTGAGCCACCATACCTGGCCTGATCATCAATATTTAAACCAATTCAGACTGGCTCTCGATGAAGTCCATGCTCTCAATAATTTCTCTCTCTCTCTCTCTCTCTCTCTCACTCACTCTCTCTCTCCTTATAAGGATATAAGATTCAGTATGTAATGAAGGTGGTATTTCAAAACTATATAGAAAGGAAGACCTGCTTTACAAATAGTGCTGAAACAATTCATCTTGAGGAGGAAAAAGTTATCACTACCTCATGCTGTATACCAAAGGAAACTCCATATACATTAATGGGCTACAAAAATATTAAATTCTGTAAAGATTTAGAAATAAATATATGTAAAAATTTCTTCTTTAGAGGTGAGGAAGTCTCTTTTAAGAATAAAAGCACATGACAAAACCAAAAAGATTATTTATATTTACTAATTTATCTAATATTTATGGGACAGCAATAGGTTCCAGACACTTTGCTAAAAACTGGGGATGAAAATCATCAAGCAGATTCATCCCTGCTCTGGAAGATATGCAGTCTCTCAGAAAGACAAAGCTGAATGCAGTGCAATTTAAAATTTCCAAGTCATAAAATAAAGAAACAAAAATCTCACACAATATAAACAAATGAAAAGACAAATGACAAACTGAGGTAGCATAAAAATGCTACCAACTTTAACAGAGAACCTAATTTATTTGTAGTACATGGCAGACAATTAACATCTTTAATAAACTTTTATGTTGAAATAATTTCAAATTTATACCAAAACAGTGTGAAAAATTTCTGTATGCCCTTTCCCCTATATTCAGCAATGTTAAGATTTTACCACATTGATGTTATTATATTCTCCCTCTTTCTCTTTCTCCCCGAAATGTTTGAGAGTAATCTGCAGGCATTATGCTGATTAACCCCTTCAGTATACACCATCTGTGTGTATTTCCCAAAAATAAGGATATTCTTTTCCACAACCACAGCTCAATGATCAAAATTAGGAAACTAATACTTACACAGCACTATTATTTAATGTATGGAGCTATTCAAATTTCATAAATTATTTCTGTTTCTCATAGGAAACTCCCCCTTCTTTTTCCTGCTTCAGGATCACATCGTGTATTTAGTTGCATTTAGTCTCCTTTGATCTGGAAAAGTTTCCAAGGCGGAGTGACAAACCCATCACTATTTGCCCAACTTTCCTGCTTTTGGCACTGAAAGTTCTATGTTTTGGGAACCCCACTCAGTCCCAGGCAAACTTGAATGGTTGGTTATTTCATGACCTTGACCATTTTTAAACAGTTCAGATTTTATTAATTATTTTTGTAGAATGTCAAGATCTTTAATATGTGAAGATTTATATATATATATATATTATTATACTTTAAGTTCTAGGGTACATGTGCACAACGTGCAGGTTTGTTACAAATGTATACATGTGCCATGTTGGTGTGCTGCACCCATTAAGTCATCATTAACATTAGGTATATCTCCTAATGCTATCCTTCCCCCATCCCCCACCCCACAACAGGCCCCAGTGTATGATGTTCCCCTTCCTGTGTCCCAGTGTTCTCATTTTTCAATTCCCACCTATGAGTGAGAACATGCAGTGTTTGGTTTTTTGTCCTTGCGATAGTTTGCTGAGAATGATAGTTTCCAGCTTCATCCATGTCCCTACAAAGGACATGAACTCATCATTTTTTATGGCTGCATAGTATTCCATGGTGTACATGTGCCACATTTCCTTAATCCAGCCTATCATTGATAGACATTTGGGTTCGTTCCAAGTCTTTGCTATTGTGAATAGTACCACAATAAACAAACGTGTGCATGTGTCTTTATAGCAGCATGATTTATAATCCTTTGGGTATATACCCAGTAATGGGATGGCTGGATCAAATGGTATTTCTAGCTCTAAACCTTGAGGAATTGCCACACTGACTTCCAGAATGGTTGAACTAGTTTACAGTCCCACCAACAGTGTAAAAGTGTTCCTATTTCTCCACATCCTCTCCAGCACCTGTTGTTTCCTGACTTTTTAATGATCACCATTCTAACTGGTGTGAGATGGTATCTCATTGTGGTTTTGATTTGCATTTCTCTGATGGCCAGTGATGATGAGCATTTTTTCATGTGTCTGTTGGCTGCATAAATGTCTTCTTTTGAGAAGTGTCTGTTCATATCCTTTGCCCACTTTTTGATGGGGTTGTTTGTTTTTTTCTTGTAAATTTGTTTGTGTTCTTTGTAAATTCTGGATATTAGCCCTTTGTCAGATGAGTAGATTGCAAAAATTTTCTCCCATTCTGCAGGTTGCCTATTCACTCTGATGGTAGTTTCTTTTGCTGTGCAGAAGCTCTTTAGTTTAATTAGATCCCATTTGTCAATTTTGGCTTTTGTCGACATTGCTTTTGTTGTTTTAGACATGAAGTCCTTGCCCATGCCTATGTCCTGAATGGTATTGCCTAGGTTTTCTTCTAGGGCTTTTATGGTTTTAGGTCTAACATTTAAGTCTTTAATCCATCTTGAATTAATTTTTGTATAAGGTGTAAGGAAGGGATCCGGTTTCAGTTTTCTACATATGGCTGGCCAGTTTTCCCAGCACCATTTGTTAAGTAGGGAATCCTTTCCCCATTTCTTGTTTTTGTCAGGTTTGTCAAAGATCAGATAGTTGTAGATGTGTGGTATTATTTCTGAGGGCTCTGTTCTGTTTCATTGGTCTGTATCTGTGTTTTGGTACCAGTACCATGCTGTTTTGGTTACTGTAGCCTTGTGGTATAGTTTGAAGTCAGGTAGCGTGATGCCTCCAGCTTTGTTCTTTTGGCTTAGGACTGACTTGGCCATGTGGGCTCTTTTTTGGTTCCATATGAACTTTAAAGTAGTTTTTTCCCATTCGGTGAAGAAAGTCATTGGTAGCTTGATGAGATGGCATTGAATCTATAAACTACCTTGGGCAGTATGGCCATTTTCACGATATTGATTCTTCCTATCCATGAGCATGGAATGTTCTTCCATTTGTTTGTATCCTCTTTTATTTCATTGAGCAGTGGTTTGTAGTTCTCCTTGAAGAGGTCCTTCAGGTCCCTTGTAAGTTGGATTCCTAGGTATTTTATTCTCTTTGAAGCAATTATGAATGGGAGTTCACTCATGATTTGGCTCTCTGTTTGTCTGTTATTGGTGTATAAGAATAATGGTGATTTTTGCACATTGATTTTGTATCCTGAGACTTTGCTGAAGTTGCCTATCAGCTTAAGGAGATTTGGGGTTGAGACAATGAGGTTTTCTAAGTATACAATCATGTCATCTGCAAACAGGGACAATTTGACTTCCTCTTTTCCTAATTGAATACCCTTTATTTCCTTCTCCTGCCTGATTGCCCTGGCCAGAACTTCCAACACTATGTTGAATGGGAGTGGTGAGAGACGGCATCCCTGTCTTGTGCCAGTTTTCAAAGGGAATGCTTCCAGTTTTTGCCCATTCAGTATGATATTGGCTGTGGGTTTGTCATAAGTAGCTCTTATTATTTTGGGATATGTCCCATGGATACCTAATTTATTGAGAGTTTTTAGCATGAAGGGCTGTTGAATTTTGTCAAAGGCCTTTTCTGCATCTATTGAGATAATCATGTGATTTTTGTCTTTGGTTCTGTTTATATGCTGGATTACGTTTATTGATTTGTGTATGTTGAACCAGCCTTGCATCCCAGGGATGAGGCCCACTTGATCATGGTGGATATGCTTTTTGATGTGCTGCTGGATTGGGTTTGCCAGTATTTTATTGAGGATTTTTGCATCGATGTTCATCAGGGATATTGGTCTAAAATTCTCTTTTTTGGTTGTGTCTCTGCCAGGCTTTGGTATCAGGATGATGCTGGCCTCATCAAATGAGTTAGGGAGGATTCCCTCTTTTTCTGTTGATTGGAATAGTTTCGGAAGGAATGGTACCAGCTCCTCCTTGTACCTCTGGTAGAATTCGGCTGTGAATCCATCTGGTCTTGGACTTTTTGGTTGGTAAGCTATTATTTATTGCCTCAATTTCAGATCCTATTATTGGTCTATGAAGAGATTCAACTTCTTTAGTCTTGGGAGGGTGTATGTGTCCAGGAATTTATCCATTTCTTTTAGATTTTCTAGTTTATTTGCATAGAGGTGTTCATAGTATTCTCCAATGGTAGTTTGTATTTCTGTGGGATTGGTGGTGATAACCCCTTTATCATTTTTTATTGCGTCTATTTGATTCTTCTCTCTTTTCTTCTTTATTAGTCTTGCTAGCGGTTTATCAATTTTGTCGATCTTTTCAAAAAACCAGCTCCTGGATTCATTGATTTTTTGAACGGTTTTTTTGTCTCCATTTCCTTCAGTTCTGCTCTGATCTTAGTTATTTCTTGCTTTCTGCTAGCTTTTGAATGTGTTTGCTCTTGCTTCTCTAGTTCTTTTAATTGTGATGTCAGGGTGTCAATTTTAGATCTTTCCTGCTTTCTCTTGTGGGTATTTAGTGCTGTAAATTTCCCTGTACACACTGCTTTAAATGTGTCCCAGAGATTCTGGTATGTTTTGTCTTTGTTCTCATTGGTTTCATAGAACGTCTTTATTTCTGCCTTCATTTCGGTATGTACCCAGTAGTCATTCAGGAGCAGGTTGTTCAGTTTCCATGTAGTTGAGCAGTTTTGAGTGAGTTTCTTAATTCTGAGTTCTAGTTTGATTGCACTGTAGTCTGAGAGACAGCTTGTTATAATTTCTGTTCTTTTACATTTGCTGGGGAGTGCTTTACTTCCAATTATGTGGTCAATTTTGGAATAAGTGTGATGTGGTGCTGAGAAGAATGTATATTCTGTTGATTTGGGGTGGAGAGTTCTGTAGATGTCTATTAGGTCTGCTTGGTGCAGAGCTGAGTTCAATTCCTGGATATCCTTGTTAACCTTCTGTCTCGTTGATCTGTCTAATGTTGACATTGGGGTGTTAAAGTCTCCCATTATTATTTTGTGGGAGTCTAAGTCTCTTTGTAGTTCTCTAAGGACTTGCTTTATGAATCTGGGTGCTCCTGTATTGGGTGCATATATATTTAGGATAGTTAGCTCTTCTTGATGAATTGATCCCTTTACCATTATGTAATGGCCTTCTTTGTCTCTTTTGATCTTTGTTGGTTTAAAGTCTGTTTTATCAGAGGCTAGGATTGCAACCCCTGCCTTTTTTTGTTTTCCATTTGCTTGGTAGATCTTCCTCCATCCTTTTATTTTGAGCCTATGTGTGTCTCTGCATATGAGATGGGTTTCCTGAATACAGCACACTGATGGGTCTTGACTCTTTATCCAATTTGCCAGTCTGTGTCTTTTAATTGGAGCATTTAGCCCATTTACATTTAAGGTTAATATTGTTATGTGTGAATTTGATCCTGTCATTATGATGTTAGCTGGTTATTTTGCCTGTTAGTTGATGCAGTTTCTTCCTAGCCTGGATGGTCTTTACAATTTGGCATGTTTTTGCAGTGGCTGGTACTGGTTGTTCCTTTCCATGTTTAGTGCTTCCTTCAGGAGCTCTTTTAGGGCAGGCCTGGTGGTGACAAAATCTCTCAGAATTTGTTTGTCCATAAAGGATTTTATTTCTCCTTCACTTATGAAGCTTAGTTTTGCTGGATATGAAATTCTGGGTTGAAAATTCTTTTCTTTAAGAATGTTGAATATTGGCCCCCACTCTCTTCTGGCTTGTAGAGTTTCTGCCAAGTGATCCACTGTTAGTCTGATGGGCTTCCCTTTGTGGTTAACCCGACCTTTCTCTCTGGCTGCCCTTAACATTTTTTCCTTCATTTCAACTTTGGTGAATCTGAGAATTATGTGTCTTGGAGTTGCTCTTCTCGAGGAGTATCTTTGTGGCATTCTCTGTATTTCCTGAATTTGGATGTTGGCCTGCCTTGCGAGGTTGCAGAAGTTCTCCTGGATAATATCCTGCAGAGTGTTTTCCAACTTGGTTTCATTCTCCCCATCACTTTCAGGTACACCAATCAGATGTAGATTTGGTTTTTTTCATATAGTCCCATATTTCTTGGAGGCTTTGTTCATTTCTTTTTATTCTTTTTTCTCTAAACTTCTCTTCTCGCTTCATTTCATTCATTTGATCTCCAATCACTGATACCCTTTCTTCCAGTTGATCAAATGGGCTACTGAAGCTTGTGCATTCACAATGTAGTTCTCGTGCCATGGTTTTCAGCTCCATCAGGTCATTTAAGGAATTCTCTACATTGGTTATTCTAGTTAGCCATTCGTCTAATCTTTTGTCAAGGTTTTTAACTTCTTTGCGATCGGTTTGAACTTCCTCCTTTAGCTCGGAGAAGTTTGATCATCTGAAGACTTCTTCTCTCAATTCGTCAAAGTCGTTCTCTGTCCAGCTTTGTTCCATTGCTGGTGAGGAGCTGCATTCCTTTGGAGGAGGAGAGGCGCTCTGATTTTTAGAATTTTCAGTTTTTCTGCTCTGTTTTTTTCCCCATCTTTGTGGTTTTATCTACTTTTGGTCTTTGATGATGGTGACGTACAGATGAGGTTTTGGTTTGGATGTCCTTTCTGTTTGTTAGTTTTCCTTATAACAGTCAGGACCCTTAGCTGCAGGTCTGTTGGAGTTTGCTGGAGGTCCACTCCAGACCCTGTTTGCCTGGCTATCAGCAGTGGAGGCAGCAGAACAGCGAATATTGGTAAACAGCAAATGTTGCTGTCTGATCGTTCCTCTGAAAGTTTTGTCTCAGAGGGGTACCCGGCCGTGTGAGGTGTCAGTCTGCCCCTACTGGGAGTGCCTCCCAGTTAGGCTACTCAGGGGTCAGGGACCCACTTGAGGAGGCAGTCTGTCTTTCTCAGATCTCAAACTCTGTGCTGGGAGAAACACTACTCTCTTCAAAGCTGTCAGACAGGGACATTTAAGTCTGCAGAGGTTTCTACTGCCTTTTGTTTGGCTATGCCCTGCCCCCAGAGGTGGAGTCTACAGAGGCAGGCAGGCCTCCTTGAGCTGAGGTGGGCTCCACCCAGTTCAAGCTTCCTGGCCGCTTTGTTTACCTAATCAAGCCTCAGCAATGGTGGGCACCCCTCCCCAAGCCTCGCTGCCACCTTGCAGTTCGATCTCAGACTGCTGTGCTAGCAATGAGCTAGGCTCCGTGGGTGTGGGACCCTCTGAGCCAGGCGCGGGATGTAATCTCCTGGTGTGCCGTTTGCTAAGACCATTGGAAAAGCGTAGTATTAGGGTGGGAGTGACCCAATTTTCCAGGTGCCATCTGTCACAGCTTTGCTTAGGAAAGGGAATTCCCTGACCCCTTGTGCTTCCCAGATGAGGCGGTGCCTCATCCTGCTTCAGCTCTTGCTCGGTGCACTGCACCCACTGTCCTGCACCCACTGTCTGACAAGCCCCAGTGAGATGAACCCAGTACCTCAGTTGGAAATGCAGAAATCACCCGTCTTCTGTGTCGCTCATGCTGGGAGCTATAGACTGGAGCTCTTCCTATTTGGCCATCTTGGAACCGCCTCCCCATCTTTTTTTTTTTTGAGACGGAGTCTTGTTGTGTCACCCAGGCTGGAGTGCAATGGCGCGGTCTCAGCTCTCTGCAACCTCTGCCTCCCAGGTTCAAGTGATTCTCCTGCCTCAGCCTCCTGAGTAGACTGCTGGGACTACAGGCGCCTGCCACCACGCCCAGCTAATTTTTGTATTTTTAGTAGAGACAGGGTTTCACCATATTGGCCAGGCTGGTCTCGAACTCCTGACCTTGTGATCCACCTGCCTTGGCCTCTCAAAGTGCTGGCATTACAGGAATGAGCCACTGTCCCCAGCCATAGATTTCTTATGTCAGTAAGAAAAGTGATGAATATAGATAGAAGTGTAGAAAATGCAATTTACATAGGAAGAAATAAAATTGGCCCAAAACATATAAAAATGTTTACCTAATTCAGTTCAAAAAATTCAAGTTAATACAATAAGCTCCCAGAGCAAATGACAAAGATTTTTTAAAATTATAACATCCAATGTTGGTGAGGGCAGAGTTAAGCAGGTACTCTTAAAAACAACTAGAGGGAAAGTTGCCAGTACTCAGTAAGAGCCTTAAAAATGTCATATTTTTTAAAACTAGAAATGCATCTTAAGTAAATACTAATCACATTCTGCCCATGAAAACATATGTATAAGGATGATAATTACAGTGTTATTATATTTCTAGATAACAAATCATAGTACATTCATACAATACTATGCAACTACAAAAAATAACATTAGAGAGACTATTTCTTAACATGAAAAAATTCTTATAATATTTTAGGTGGAACAAACAAGATTAAAAACTTATAAAATATATATGAGTGTCATAGTATATATTGTGTATCCTAGAAAAAAGACTGAAGTGAAATATACCAAAATATTAATAGTAGCATAAAGAGAATTTCTGGGTGGTAAAATTGGGGATGCTGATTTAAATTTTATCCCTTATTCATTTTTATTTTGCCATTTTTATTTTTTATAATAAGCATGTATTATTTACATAAATCAGAAAAGCACATAAGAGTTTCAAGATTGAGGGAAAGAGATTGGGCTCCTGAGGACTATATGGATGGTTTGGAATAACTAACATGGAAAAGATTCTAGGGAAGGAGCAAAAAGACATCGATAATGGATTAAGATGTGTTTGTGTAGCTAGAGGAAGACAGAGCCATAAATTGAGTTCGACTCTAGAGCAACCAAATAGGTAGATATGTAAACACTTGTATAGTCATGCCAGGGGAAAACTCTACATTTTTAATGCCACATTGAAAGTTTGTCTTCAAAAATCTCCCTATAATTGTCTCTCCATAACAAGTTAAAGCAAGCTGGAGCCCTCTACTGGATTAGTCTTCTAGGAAGGGTAGAATTTATATTTGAAATTATAAAATGACAGGTTGATATGCTTCCATTCAGAGATGGAGGTTTTTCATGTTCAGTGCTCCCAAGACTAATTTTCTACTAACCAGTTACTAATTTTTACAACATCTTCTAGTATAAGGGGAAAGATTATTCTTTTACTAATGAAAAGAAGAGGGTGAATGGAATTGGACTGCAGAGAATTCTCAATCAGCTGAGATAACTACACACAACTGACCAATGTTTTCTTGAATATCTATGGAATCTCATTTACAAGGTAACTGAAGAGAAGTAGGCTGAGATAAGAATATAATAGGACAAAAAACAAGATTTTCAGTTTCAAATGTAGGTAAGGATAAAACATAGTCTTTTTTTTAGAAAGTATTACAATAGGCCAGGCGTGGTGGTTCATGCTTGTAATCCCAGCACTTTGGGAGGCCAAGGCGGGCGGATCACCTGAGGTTGGGAGTTCGAGACCAGCCTGACCAACATGGAGAAAACCCGTCTCTACTAAAAAAAAAAAAAAAAAAAAAAAAAAAAATTAGCTGCGCGTGGTGGTGCATGCTATTTGGGAGGATGAGGCAGGAGAATTGTTTGAGCCCAGGAGGCAGAGGTTGCAGTGAGCTGAGATTGCGCCATTGCACTGCAGCCTGGGCAACAAGAATGAAACTCTGTTTCAAAAATAAAAAAGAAAAAAAATATTTCAATAATAGTTGCCATTTGGAATTATTAAAGGGCCAAATAAAATATTTTGCTTCTCTCATGTTTCATTATATCTTTGATTCTTTTATAATAAGGTTTATTTTCTCCATCTGTGATTAGCACCACAATTTCCCAAAGGCTTATTTAAAATGTTTTAGTATTTTTTACATGAATACTAATAAAAATGCTATCAACTTTAACAGAGAACCTAATTTATAGAAACCAGTGATAGACTAGCATCATCTAAAGTCATATGAGAACTGATTGTGGATAGTCATCTGCCTGAGATAACACATAAGAACACTGAGTCAATCTCATGATCCTCTATCACCACCTTTAGCAAAAATTCCTCTCACTTTACTAAGTACATTAGAAAATTCAACATGGGAAATTTATATTTTCTCTTTTCCAACAATTACAAAGTGAACTCAGGCCACACACTTTTTCAAAAAAGGAAAACAGACAAATGGTAAGAGTATTTTCTGAGGCGTAGAAGTGGAAGAAACTTTTCCATATTTTGGAATAAGATTCTTGCAACAATGGCAATATTATGAAAGATCATAAAAATATCAGTTTTTCCATGGAAGAGGAGGAAAAGTTAATTTGCACCAGGCCAGTCTCTGAAATTAATAGGGAGGCAATGAATGCCTGCAGATGCCACCACATGATTTCAAGTCTTGGCATAAAATGAGAAAGGGGGTATCCATTCCTGCCAAAGTAAAACTTCTATATAACCCATATCAAAATCTGTTTAGTTCCTGCAAGGAGATTTAATTCTCCTACAAGGAGAATTTAATAAAAATATGAATATTTTAGCATATGCAAAGTTCAAACAATCATATTCAAAATTATTATAGTGATGTCAAGATTGCTTAAACTCTAAACAGCAGAGCTCTAAGGGACACATGCGATTGTTTTCAGGTAGTCTGACTGCTGAAGAGAATTTGAGGAACAAAGGGAAGCTGGAGTAGGGAGACAAAGAGATAACTGATATTATCACACATTTCTGTGTCATGGGCACAGTTCTAGGTGGTTTACCTTATTTTACATAATCCTTACAATTACCCAGTGGGGAGACATTATTATATTCATTTTATAAGTAAGAAAACTGAGGCTCTAAGTGGTTAGTTTACTTTTCCAAGGTCATACAGCAAATAAAGGGTAGATTTGGAGCCTTAGCTCAGATCCCTCACTTTCTGAAGTTCATGCTCTTTGGAATCCAATGATTCTCAAACTTTGATGTGAATATAAGTCACATGAGTGGCTTTTTACAATTACAGATTCTTGAGTCTTATGCCTAGAGATTCCAATTAGGACTGAGGTGAGTCTTAGGAATCTGCATTTTTAACAACAGCATTTGTTAAAATTATTACATGTAATCATGATGCAGATAGACTGGTGATCTTATATTAACATGTTAAGCCATTCCTGATTTAGTTACCAACACAGTACTTACAGACTGCCTGTGAAATCTCTTTATGAGTAAATACTCTCGTTCATGTATATCTGGGAAGAATAAATGAATAAGAATAAGAATATGAATAAAAGAATAAGTGGCTTAATTGAAATTTCACTTTTAAATATTTATTGAATGAGTGAATGAATAACTAAATAAGGAGTTGCATGTCTAATATGTACCAGGCAATGTTCTAAGACCAGGAGTTGTAAAGATATATGGTATAATTATCACCCCTAAGGAGCTTGTAACCTGCAGGGACAGAATTTAATAAGAAAAACCAACTGGTATAGATGATAGAAAAAAATAAGAATAGCTAACTTGGTAATACAGGGCAGTTGGGGCACAAAGGAATAGAACACAGTCCTATTGTGGGTGAGTGGGAACATATAAAGCTCAGATTTTTATAAATAAGTAGGTATTTGCCAAGTAGACAAGAAAAGTCAAGCCAGTCTGGGCAGAGGTGGCAGTGTGGGCAATTGCATGGAAATATAAAAGGCCCTGGCACTCTTACTAGGGACATATAGCTGTAATGGCCACAACATAGAGATGAGGCTGGAACGGTCATGTAGGACCTTTCAGGAATCTGGACATAGCCTAATTTTCTTCTCTATTAGAGTAGAACATCTTGAAGGATTTTTTTTTTTTTTTTTTTTGAGACACGGTTTTGCTCTCACTCTGTCGCCCAGGCTGGAGTGCAGTGGCGCAATCCTCAAACTCCCCGGGCTCTGGTGATCCTCCCACCTCAGCCTCTGGAGCAGCTGGCACTACAAGCACATGCCACCACACCCACCTCATTTTTGTTGTTTTGTTATTTTTTTGTAGAGACAGGATTTTACCACGTTGCCCAGGTGCTGGTCTTGAACTTGGGCTCGATCTGCCCACCTTGGCCTCCCAAAGTGCTGGGATTACAGGCATGGAGCCACCATGCCCAGCCTAAGGGTTCTTTTATATTAGTGCAAATGGTAATGATGCCTTGGAAACTGATGAAACATTTGAGAGAAGCATGCTTAAATGTCACTCAGTTTAAAATATGGGTCTTGGAATTTAAGATTTTTTTTCTGTGTTTAGAACATAAGGCACCTTAGAGGCACAGACTTTATTAAAGTAACAAGGAATGCTGCCATAACTAGGTAGGGGCCCATGCCAATAGCTGAAAGGACTCTTTAGGGACTTTAAGTAAATGACAAAAAGAGTCATTAAAAATGGCAATATTCACTTTGGGAAGAGAACTACCTATATTTTGTCACATAGTTGACTCATACATGTTTATATAAAACAGATTACAAATGACAAAATATCGCAATTCCTCCTCACAAGGGAAACTGATGAAAACCTTTAGCTTGGTTGGTGAAAAAATTTTTTCAGTTTCTGACTCTGTTTAGATTTCCTCTCTTTTATTACTCAAACGTTGTTGATCCTCTTTGTTGTTACTGTTTTCTCCCTAAATCTGGTTATGCTAGAATATTTCTTCCTCTGTTGTAGGCCTTTATTCTGTCTCTTATAAATTTACTCAAATGTGTATCTAAAACAGTTTTCAGAATGATTTTCCTTTCTTGGTTTGCCTGGTCCTGGATCTAGTGAGCTCCACATAATGCGTTCTTCTTCCATGTGGATCCCCAGGGTCTTCTTGCTGCTTTGGGTCACGTGCTGCCAAAAAGGTGTTTGATTCTGAGTTTTTGTGGGAAGTGTGACATGTTGACTGGGACTAGACAAGAAAAAGAGTATTTCCCTTAGATAGAAACAGACCCTTTTGACATATTTGGCAGAGTACTAACAGTGAACCATTTCAATCCCATCAATCACTTACCTTTGAGCAGGATCTCAAGTTTATCGAGTTCAACAATTTCTTTTTCTTTTTTTTAACTTTTATTTTAGGTTCAGGGACACAGGTGGAGGTTTCTTATATAGGTAAATTGTGTGACACAGGGTTTGGTGTCTAGATTATTTCATAGTACCCAATATGTAGTTTTTCCATCCTCTGCTTCCTCTCACTTTCTACCCTCAGGTAGGTCCCAGTGTCTGTTGTTTCTTTCTTTGTGCCAATATGTACTTGATGTTGAGCTCCTACTTATAAGTGAGAACATATGGAATTTTGTTTTCTGTTTCTGCATTAGGATTTGCTTAGGATTGTGGCCTCAAACTCCATCTATGTTGCTACAAAGGACATGATCTTATTCTTTTTTATGGCTGCATAGTATTCTACGGTGTATATGTATCACATTTCTTTACTGGGTCTTCCATTTTGGGCATTTAGGTTGATTCCATGACTTTGCTATTGTGAATAGTGATGTGATGAATATACACGTGCATGTGTCTTTATGGTAAAAGAATTTACTATATTCCTATGGGTATATACCTAATAATGGGACTGGTGGGTCAAATAGTACTTCCTTTTAAATTCCTTAAGAAATCACCACACTGCTTTCCACAATGGCTGAACTAATTTAGTTTAGTCATTTTACACCTACTGTAGCCTAGCTTGCCTGTGCAAACAAAAGCTGGAATTGCCAGGAACTAAGATGAGCCCATTGTCTGTTAATTACTTACCTCTGCCATCCCAATTACTTGTTTCTTATTCTTCTTGTATGCTGTCTCACAATTCTAGCCATTTAGCCTAGATTCATACTGTTCATTTGTAAAGTGAACTAAATGGAGGGTAATAATGAATTTGAAGGCAACCAAACAAGAATAAACACCAAACAAGATAAATGAAAAGGGAAACATATGTACAGCAGATTGTCCCACTAGTTTATTTTGGTCTGCCCTTCAAACAAATGTGTATGTGTAAAGTTTAAGTTTAAAAATATTAAAATATGGCCACAGGGATGTTTGTTACAATGGGCACCATGCCTATATAGTAAAGTGTTACAGCGGCACCGTTCATACCGCTGAACTTCACGATCTGTCAGCATTTCCATTTTAAAACCCTTTCTGAATGAATTCCAAAAGCTACAGCATTACCAGAGAGCCCATTAATTTTAAAATGTATATATAAAGTTAAATTAAAACTGGTACTTTGGAATTTGCCTTTAAAACTTTGAGGATTTCTCCCCTGAGTCCCTCTTCCCATTAAAAAATAATTGCTACAAACAATATGCCCCTAATACCAGATGTAGTAGCATGTTGGAGACAGGGGAGAGACTGATTGCGGGACAACTCTCTACAGAGAGATATTTTTTTCTAAACCTTTTAGTGCATCTCTACCCAAATTCTTTTAAAGAACTATTATTATAGAGCAATTTATGGAAATAATAGGTATTTCAGGAGTGAAAGGAAATTTTCTACCCAGATTTACTTTTCCTGAATCTCCTCTGGCAATTTCCCTCATTTTTCATATGACAAAATTTTGTTCTAAAAGTCGCTGAAAAAAATTTTAAGGTTACATATTATAATTAGAATGCAATTTTTTCTAGATGTACAGAAATAAAACAATTTTCAAGTAATAGTTTGCAGATATGCTAACAGATAATTGAGGCACTTAGAATCATAGTAACACACTAAATGGTATTTCCTAATGTTAATGTTTTTTCAAGAAATGTATCTTTGGAAGAGAGTTAATCGTGTGTACATAAAATTTAAAGAACAATAGCATCATATAAGAAATCCTATATTATTAGTACCTTTGAAGGCTCTGTATGCCCTCCAGATCCCAAATCAGAGCTTTTAACATTTGAAAAATTTATAACAAGGTTTGGACCAAAATAATTTTGTTTTTCAGTATATGAAGAATTAATATTTACTTAAAGGTTCTTGTAAAAGAGCAGGAGTTATGATATTTCTTTCCCCACTGAAAATAAATCCTTTGGGTTTGAGCTTCGTACACTTCTGCATTTGTCTGGTCAGTCTGTCCATGCCTCCTCCAAGGCTAACCTACGTCTTTGCTTGTGAAGAGCTCTCCCATTTCTGATCTCTCTGTGCCAGCCCAATCTGTCTGCCACAGTTGTTTCCTGGCAGTACTGAAAATAAGAAGTGCGTGTGATTAATAACACGGCTCAATATAACTACACTTGCCAGGAACTATTGGCTTTCATCCAATAGGGAAAATGAATCCAAACGATTATATTTGACCCTCTTGTGCTCTAAAATAAGATTTCCAACATAGGCACACTTTTATTTATTCAAAGATCTCAAAGGCTTCAGATTGGCAAGAATTCCAAGATGAAATTTCTTAAATTTGCCCTCTGAATTGTGCCTTGTAAAATTATTTTTTCTGTCATACAATTCTTAGTTTACATTTACTATGATACAGTATTTCTCCCATCATTTCTCTAACCCAAATTGAGGTTTATACTAACTGTATAAGCTAATTATGTAGAGATATTTCCCTTCCTCTTGTTTTATTTAGTATTTGCACGCAGATTACTAAATCAAGATTGTTTTCCTATGAACCTGGTGTGTGTGTGTGTGCGCGCGCATGTGCACACACACACGTGTACAGAAACAGACACATAATTTGAGAACAAACTTATTTCTCTTTCATCACTGGTCTTTATTTCAAGTCTGTCTATTCAGCTCATAGTTCCACATTTTAATATAGGAAGCAAATTGACTGAAAGGCACTAGTTGGCTAACATACAAATTACTTCTGTCCTCAGAGGAAATCTTAGTCATGTTTAAAGGCTTTATAACACTTTTTTAAATTAATGGAATTAAATTGTTAATGGAATAATTTATGTTAATATTTACTAAAATAAAAAGAAATGTGAGAGCACCTTGATGTTTAAACCATTCCAAAACTAGGGAATTAGGATGGTAGCTGACCACTGTAATTACCAATCATTTTCTTCCCAGAGGATGTTTTGGTTTTTAAAAATTTTCCCATTCTCATAACCACTATATTTGATGTGTAAAACAAAATATCTGTAGCTTAGGACCAGAAAAATATATTTTTGGAATATATACTCAAGTAGAAAGTATTTAGAATTCCATTAGTGTCAGCCCCAAAGTATGGAGTATTACTTTGGTTAAAGAAATACTAAATGTGGATAGAAAACATTTAGGAAATACAAGAAATGGAAAGAATTAGAGTATGTCTTCGAGGGTAACCAGACTAATTCTAGGAGGATGGTTGTTCTTCCTAAAAATCTTTGGTTTAGACTTTGGTTTGAATAAAATGCAAGAGAAACATTTATAGACAACAGTAGCTAGGATGAATTTTGTTCCCTGAGTAGCATTTTATAAAAGAATGCATGTGAAAGGATTTTAAAGCTCATATACCAGATTGCATAAAGAACTGTTTCCATTATATGAAGTTAGGTAGCACTTGAATATCATGAATGAATACAAGCTTTGTGTGGAATGTTTCTTTTCAATGCAATGTGATATTAAGTACATTTATGTAAATAATGGGTGAAATTTTTAATATTATATAAATATTACCTTTGTTATGTGATACTTCTGGAAGAGTCTCTTAACTCCCTTACTTTTGACTTAAGATGTCAGTGAAATCATACAGGCTTTTTAGGAAATCCAAAGGAATGTATAAAATCCCCCTCCCACGCTGGATGATAGAATCAATGCTCTTTTCATGTATCTACATTTCTACAGGCAGTTATATAGCTAAACAGAAGTCCATGCACATCTATATGTGATATAGTAGAGTTGACTTAGCCCAGCGTAGAATCAAATCTTAACTTTGCAACTTAAAAGCTATGGGACCTTAGGTACATTATGTAATTTCTCTCAGCTTCAGTTTCCCTGTTTGTAAAACAAGGATGGTATTACCATGTTCATAGGGGTGATGGGAAGATTAAGTGAAATAATCTATGTAAGATGCCATACAGTCCCTGGCACACAGCACATGCTCAGTAAATGTTACTGTCTCCTAACTATACTTTCAGATCTGCAGTATAGATAATTTTAATCCCAATTTTACAAATGATGAAATAGACTTAAAGACAAAGCTATAGTTGCAGAGCAAGTGAATAGCAGAGTCACATTAGAAAGGCAGACCTTTCTGATGATAATGATAATAATAATAACTTTATCTTTACTACTACTAGGTAGTGAATTTCAGGCTGGTTGATTGATGACATTTAACTCTAAAACTTAACGTATTTCAGTAATAGTGGCAGAAATAGAAAGTTGAATCCAATTATTGTGACACAATAAAGAAATCATTATAAATCTTGTACATTAAGTAATAAACCCTTTTCCCCCCTTTCCTTTTAAATTTGCTTCTTACTTGCAACTCTTACGAAGCTTACATTGCAGGCAGGTAACAAACTATCCTCAGAGAGGGAAAAGGCACTCTTCCCCAGCTGCATGGTCCAAACCCAGGACAACCAGAAACAGCCTGCTTTCACTTGGAAACAAAACTTAAAACAAATGCTGCAATTACTTCAGCTATCAGTTTAAACCAAGATGCATCTGCCTCCAAACCTCTCCAAATGGTAACAATTATTGGTTTAATGTTGCTGACTTGCCACTAATCAAGACCTGTATTTATATTCTTATGAATAAATGTGTATTCACATAGCTGGTTTACATGTGAAACAGACATTTCTATGAATCCTTAGAGTTTGTGTTTGCTTCGGGCTCAGCCATTTCACCAGGTATTACCAGGTAGGAGCTCTGTGTTGGGGGAGACTCTTTCAGTAACACAAATCCTGCCTAATACTGAGTCACTGAATCTAATGTGGTCAGAAGAGGAAAATCCTTTTTCTTTTTATTAACTTCAATAATTTTGAAAACCTAGGAAATCTGTTGCAATGTGGGTACAGGGTAGAATATAATATTTCTTCATAAACAAATAAAAGTTGTTGAGGGGTTAATTGAAACAATTGTTCACACACACATAACACAAGCAGCTCTGAGCAGGTGAAGCCAGTGTGAGTTCACAAAGAGCAAGCTCTGACAGACTAATATCTTTTTTGGACAGGTAGGCAAAACTGGAGATCAAAGAAATGCATTTCAATACAGTGTATCTGGATCTTAGAAAGGCATTTGACTGGATTTTTATGACACTGTCATGGAGAAAACAGAGAAATATATTTTAGATAACATAAGCCAAAGAATATACTGCATTATTATTCAAGGAATGTTAATTAATGAATAGATATGAACTTTCATAAACATCTTTTAGTACATCGCAGAGCTCTGACGTTGATCCTTTCCAAATTGAAATTTTCAAGTTTTTAGATAAGGACACTTGAGAATGCTGATCAAATTTGGAAATGATATAATGTTGGGATTTGAGTGGAGTGACCAACTTTTCCCAATTTGCCTGAAACTTTCCCAGTTTGGACACTGAAAATCCTGAATCCTGGGAAACCGCTCAGTTCCAGGCAAACTGGATGGTTGGGCACCGTAGATTTGAGCAGCAACTAGAAGGAGGAGTAAAACATTGCCAGGCAGCACAAAGCACTGACTCATGAGAGCCTAGTGTGTTTGAGAAATTACAAGTGGTTCGGGGTTGCCAGACCACGTATTGGTAGACAAGAGCAGTTAGCCAAGAATCAGGTTCCATAGGATCTTTGTTTTTTTAATTGTGATAAAATATATATAACCTAAATTGGACATTTTAACAACTTTTAAGTGTATAGTTCAGCTTTAAGTACATTCACATCATTGTGCAACCATCACCACCATCCAATCCTGACCTTTTTTCATCTTTCCAAACTAAAATTCTGTACCCATTAAACATTAACTCCCTACAGCTCTAGCAACCACCATTCCACTTCTGTCTCTATGAATTTGTCTACTCTAGGTACCTCATAGAAGTGAAACCATACAGTATTTGTCGTTTTATAACTGGCTATTTTCACTTAGCACAATGTCTTCAAGGTTCATCCATATTGTAACATATGTTAGAATTTCCTTCCTTTTTAAGGCTGAATAAGTGTACGTATATGCCACATCTTGTCGATCCACTCATTCATCTCATTCATTCATCAGTGCACACTTGGGTTGCTTCTGTTTTTTTGTTATTGTGTGAATAATGCTGCTATACCCACAGGTGTACCAATATCTCTTTGAGTCCCTACTTCCAATTCTTTTTTTTTTTCACTGTAATAAAGTCACACCTACTTTCAATTATTTTGGGTATATACCGAGATGTAGAATTGCTGGATCACATGGTAATTCCATTTTTGAGGAACTACCACACTGTTTTTCATAGTGCCTGCACCATTTACATTCCTACAAGCACAGAGGTTCCAGTTTTGCCATATTCTCACTTTTCTTTTTTTGATAAGTAGCCCTCCTCCTAATGGGTGCAAAGTGTCTCATTGCAGTTTGATTAGGATATCCCTAATGATTAGTGATGTTAAGCCCCTTTTCTTTTCTTTTTCCTTTTGTCTTTTCTTTTCTTTTATTATACTCTAAGTTCTAGGGTACAAGTGCACAATGTGCAGGTTTGTTATGTATGTATACATGTGCCATGTTGGTGTGCTGCACCCATCAACTCGTCATTTAACAACAGGTATATCTCCTAATGCTATCCCTCCCCCCTCCCCCCTCCCCACAACAGGCCCCGGTGTGTGATGTTCCCCTTCCTGTGTCCATGTGTTTTCATTGTTCAATTCCCACCTATGAGTAAGAACATGCAGTGTTTGCTTTTTGTCCTTGCGATAGTTTGCTGAGAATGATGGTTTCCAGCTTCATCCACGTCCCTACAAAGGGCATAAGCTCATCATTTTTTATGGCTGCATAGTATTCCATGGTGTATATGTGCCACATTTTCTTAATCCAGTCTATCATTGTTGGACATTTGGGTTCATTCCAAGTCTTTGCTATTGTGAATAGTGCTGCAATAAACATACGTGTGCATGTATCTTTATAGCAGCATGATTTATAATCCTTTGGGTATATACCCAGTAATGGGATGGCTGGGTCAAATGGTATTTCTCGTTCAACATCCCTGAGGAATCACCACACTGACTTCCACAATGGTTGAACTAGTTTACAGTCCCACCAACAGTGTAAAAGTGTTGCTATTTCTCCACATCCTCTCCAGCACCTGTTGTTTCCTGACTTTTTAATGATTGCCATTCTAAGTGGTGTGAGATGGTATCTCATTGTGGTTTTGATTTGCATTTCTCTGATGGCCAGTGATGATGAGCATTTTTTCATGTGTCTTTTGGCTGCATAAATGTCTTCTTTTGAGAAGCATCTGTTCATATCCTTTGCCCACTTTTTGATGGGGTTGTTTGTTTTTTTCTTGTAGATTTGTTTAGTTCATTGAAGATTCTGGATATTAGCCCTTTGTCAGATGAGTAGATTGCAAAAATTTTCTCCCATTCTGTAGGTTGCCTGTTCACTCTGATGGTAGTTTCTTTTGCTGTACAGAAGCTCTTTAGTTTAATTAGATCCCATTTGTCAATTTTGGCTTTTGTTGCCATTGCTTTTGGTGTTTTAGACATGAAGTTCTTGCCCATGCCTATGTCCTGAATGGTATTGCCTAGGTTTTCTTCTAGAGTTTTATGGTATTAGGTCTAACATTTAAGTCTTTAATCCATCTTGAATTAATTTTTGTATAAGGTGTAAGGAAGGGATCCAGTTTCAGCTTTCTACATATGGCTAGCCAGTTTTCCCAGCACCATTTTTTAAATAGGGAATCCTTTCCCCATTTCTTGTTTTTGTCAGGTTTGTCAAAGATCAGATGGTTGTAGATACGCGACATTATTTCTGAGGCCTCTGCTCTGTTCCACTGGTCTAGATCTCCGTTTTGGTACCAGTACCATGCTGTTTTGATTACTGTAGCTTTGTAGTATAGTTTGAAGTCAGGTAGGGTGATGCCTCCAGCTTTGTTCTTTTGGCTTAGGATTGACCTGGCAATGCAGGCTCTTTTTTGGTTCCATATGAACTTTAAAGTAGTTTTTTTCCCATTCTGTGAAGAAAGTCATTGGTAGCTTGATGGACATGGCATTGAATCTATAAATTACCTTGGGCAGTATGGCCATTTTCACGATATTGATTCTTCCTACCCATGAGCATGGAATGTTCTTCCATTTGTTTGTATCCTCTTTTATTTCATTGAGCAGTGGTTTGTAGTTCTCCTTGAAGAGGTCCTTCATGTCCCTTGTAAGTTGGATTCCTAGGTATTTTATTCTCTTTGAAGCAATTGTGAATGGGAGTTCACTTATGATTTGGCTCACTGTTTGTCTGTTATTGGTGTATAAGAATGCTTGTAATTTTTGCACATTGATTTTGTATCCTGAGACTTTGCCTATCAGCTTAAGGAGATTTTGGGCTGAGACAATGGGGTTTTCTAGATATACAATCATGTCATCTGCAAACAGGGACAATTTGACTTCCTCTTTTCCTAATTGAATACCCTTTATTTCTTTCTCCTGCCTGATTGCCCTGGCCAGAACTTCCAACACTATGTTGAATAGGAGTGGTGAGAGAGGGCATCCCTGTCTTTTGCCAATTTTCAAAGGGAATGCTTCCAGTTTTTGCCCATTCAGTATGATATTGGCTGTGGGTTTGTCATAGATAGCTCTTATTATTTTGAGATACGTCCCATGAATACCTAATTTATTGAGAGTTTTTAGCATGAAGGGCTGTTGAATTTTGTCAAAGGCCTTTTCTGCATCTATTGAGATAATCATATGTTTTTTGTCGTTGGTTCTGTTTATATGCTGGATTACGTTAATTGCTTTGTGTATGTTGAACCAGCCTTGCATCCCAGGGATGAAGCCCACTTGACAGTCTTGCTATGTCGCCCAGCTGGAGTATAGTAGCGTGATCTCTGCTCACTGCAACCTCTGCCTCCTAGGTTCAACTGATCCTCCTGCTTCAGCCTCCTGAGTAGCCGGGACTACAAGCATGCGCCACTATGCCAGGCTCATTTTTGTATTTTTAGTAGAGACGGGGTTTCGCCATGTTGGCCAAGCTGGTCTCGAACTTCCGGCTTCAAATGATCCACCCACCTCAGCCTCCCAAAGTGCTGGGATTACAGGCTTGAGCTGCTGCGTGCCCAGCTATTAAGCCCCTTTTCAAGTGTTTATTAGGCATACATCTATCCTTGAAGAAATAGCTATTCAAATATTTTCCCCATTTTTAAGTTGTTTTTATTTTTATTTTTTTAGTTGTAGGAGTTATTTATATATTTTTGCCATCCTAATGGGTGTGTGTGTTGGATCTTTTATGCCATCAAATACACTAAGCTTATTCTTTCACAAGATGAAACCATTTAAAATTTTTAGAAGATGACGGCAAGAGATTTAAATTTTAGGTGGTTCAATCTAGAGAAGTTAAGGAGAAAGATTGAAGGAGGTGAGGCCAGAAGCAGGAATGCAATTTAGAACCTCTTATAATTGTTAGTCAAGAAACAACAAAGACCACTGGTAGTGGAGTTGGGCAGGAAGAAATATACATGAGATTTTAACAGGGCACTATCAAAAGTGATGGATGACTGGTGGCAAAAATCCAAAAAATTTTCTGGTTTCTGACCTAGGAGACTGAGTGGATGGTGGCATCATTCACCAAATTCAGGAGTCTAACGAAAGGTAAAACCAACTTTGGATAAATTGAACATGAGGTACCTGTGAGGCAGACAGGTAATATGTTGGTGATGAATATATTGACTTGGAGCTCAGCATGAAAGTGTGGGCTTGAGATACACTTCTCACTGTGAGCATGAACTATGAAACATAGATTGTCCAGGGATAATGTGTGAAATAAGAATATTGGTTTCCTAGGAACACCTAAATGGGCCAGGCAGAGAAAGAGAAGCTCACAAAGAAGAGCAAGAAAGACTATCCACACTGGTAAAATGTGCAGTAATACAATTTCAGATCAAAATAAGAACTCTGTAAAAATTAGAGTTGTCCAAAAATGGGGAAAAACCTTTTATTGAGAGTGAGTCCCCAGCCCCTGGAGTTGTCAGAAGCAGGACAACAACTGACTGACTCAATTGCATATCACAGGAAGGACCCATTCCCTGATAAGGATTTGGTTTCCATGCCAACAGTGCACTTCTTAATGACTACGAAAACTTACTGTTTCATCAGAACATGAGAATTTACAAATCCTTGGGAGCTCTTTGCTTGTTTAATATTTGAGCTTTCCAGGGCTGTTTGAATTCATTAAGAAGAAATACATGAGCCTTTTTTTAGTTTTCCAAGTCAAGGGCCAGGCATATCCCACTCAGAAATTGTTGCAAATATTTTGGGAATCTAAGCCAAAATAATAACAGTGATTGTCTCATAAATAATCCTTGCTGAAAGATTTGGACTTAATGGCCAAAACATTTTGGTTCCTGTAAGATAAGTAAAAGAACTTGCCAGTATCTCGGCAGATAACTCCTCCTGTGTCAAAGAAAGGCTCTGTTATAGTTCTATTTATAGTTATTAAATATGAATATGGGAACATAATGAATAAAGAAAATATGAATAAGAACATAAACCAGAATTACCCTTGTTCTATGTCCCTCATTACAAGGTTTACAGAATCCCAGGAAAATGGAAAGCAACGGAGTAAAATCTCTCCAAAGACCCACTTGATAAATGTTCCATCTTCTGGCTGGGAGGAGAGAGAAACCTTCGCCTGAGTCCTCTACTTGGGTCTCTAACTCATAATGAGGCCCACCTGCTTTAATATGCTGACTGACAGCACAGCTGCATTCTCTCAGACAAGGTCTGCTCCCAAGATACACCAGACCTGGATGAAGTTCAGATCACCAGTTACTGTAATCCCATTGTTGGTCTCCAAGGAATGGTAACTGGCTTTCCAAACAAATGGGAATAGTTTGGGAAACATCTCTGTAGTCTACACACAGGCAAAACTGTTTGGAGATGAAGGCAATGTATTCTTATTGTCTCAAAGTCTGAATTATTCATACTTAATGTCCCCCCATCCCCCACCATTCCTGCAAGGGACGAGAAAGGGAGCTTCTATAAACTGTACCATTCTAATATCCTTCGTTTAGTGTCAGTGATGAATTGAATTCTGCCTCTATCATTTATTAGCTGTATAACCTTGGATATCTTTGCCTCAGTTTCCTTATCTGCCAAATGGCAGTATTGTGAGGATTTATAATACATAAGGAGCTTAGAACAATGTGTGTACATAGTGCACAAGTGTATGTAAGATACAGATTTAGAGAATTCCTCAAACCAATTGATGTTATTTCTGAGCAGGCAATGGAGAAGGATCAAGGATGCTTAGTAAATTAACCTTTAGTTCAAAATCTAAACAGGTTGCCTCACTCATTGAACTACTGATATCTGGGGGTCTCTAGTCTGTTCCTTATAAGGAGCTATTTACAATATAATGACACTTCCAAAATCTTCAGCAAGGACCCCTTTGTGGGGTCCTTAGAGTTCCAGGATGAAAGGTTTGGAGGCAGGAGAAAGCCAGTTGCTAAGAGCTGATATCATCTAACTCAGTAACTCATTTTAACTAAAGCAACTTTCTATTTTAAACTATCACCATCATCATCAAATCATAGAATTCTAGAACTGTTAGGGGTCTTTGATTTTTACCAAATCCAAGTACTTAATTTTACATGTATATGAGGACACTGACAGACAAATGCTAAGTTACTTGTTCAATTTTTCTGAACCAATTAGTCGTAGAGGACTAAAATCTACTCCTCCTGGTCCAGTTCTCTCTCATTCATACTTCTGTCCAACAAAGATTCCTTAGACTCTTATGTTGTGCAAGACAATGAGAGTAAGGAAGTGAGTACAACAGTCTCAGACTTCAAGAATATTCTAATGTAGAGGAGAATTCTACCAAATAAACTGACAATTATACAGTGCAGTAAACATTAAATGATACAATGTTGGGTGAAAAGATGTCAGAGGGGCATGTTATACTTTAATAATAACATTTCCTCATCACTGAGGAGGACCTAGTATATGTCAACACTGTCCAAGGCTTTAGGGATATAAACGTGAAAAGGTACAACCCCTGACCTCCAACAGCTGTAAAACTCATCAAAATACAGTACAAAGTATCACATCCATGTTATGAGTGTTGCAGACAGTTTAGTGCTAATTGAGTTTAGGCAATGGAGAGCTCACTAAGGGATGGGGCAACTGGAGGAGATCAAATGTGACTGTCACAACAGGGTATTTTGTGTCCAGAATTTATTCCGTGAAGAAGAAATGTAATTCTTCTTTATGTCACTTCTAAATCAGATTCCTTCCTCCAGTATGATGGCTGCTCTCATGAGAGTCTTTTTCAGAAATTGCAAGAGAAGAACTGAAATGTGATGGACCTAGGGCATCCACACTTCTGCCAAATATCTTCTCATTATGCTTCCTAGCTTATCCTTTCTCGAGGATTCCTTTCATATTTACATGCATTTTCAAGATTATTCACCTATTCTTTTCTCTAGACAGCATCCCTTTCTAGCTGTCCCTCAATAAGTCCGTTGCCTAATCCAGCCTTTTAAAAAATATTTCATAATGGATTTTTTATATTAAACTGACATTTCCTAAACATAACTCAACTTGTAACTTTTAAGTAAAAAGTTTTCAAACACCAAAATTGTCACAATATTAAAATATTTTCCAGCCATATATGTGTGAATGTGTATATGTGAATTTTAAAATAAGTATTAAGCCTACTAAGTGAATAATAAGAAAACAGATTAATATTAAATTAGACATTATCTAAACTTGGACAAACTGGGTTTTTTTCCAAATTAAATATGAAACCATCAACCCAAGATGATTAGGAGGAAAATGATGTAATAAAATCAACTTTTAAATAGCTATAACATGTTGCATTTCCTAGGAATCTTCAAATGTTTGCTTAAAAATGGCCAAAACATTTGAAACAAAAGATAAAGTACCAAAACAACTTTTTGAAATCATATTTCTCAACATTTATAATTTCCCCATATTCTCTACATTTAAGGGAAAATTTACTTTCCCTGGAAAGAAACTTCATTTTTTCAAAAAACCACTCCGGTATTTTCCTTGCTAGGAAATAAGCCAGATGGTTCCAACACTCGGAATTTTTACTCAGGAAAAATTCAGAAATACAGGAAAACTTCATTAATTCTTTTGGTACTAACAGCCATTGTAATTTCTATAAGTTTTCTCTTTGATGAAAAAAGGCTAGTACTAAAACAGAAAATAAAGAATCTGATAACCACCAGCAAATAGTACCTGAGATCAGTATGACATTCTAGAAAGAGACTGGACTGGGCTCAAGATGCATGGATTTGCTGCTAGCCAAGGAGAAGAGAATATATTCCACAGATACCTTTTTCAAATGTTTTACTTTAGCTGTACCATTTGATGATTTTGACAAATGTACATACCTGTGAAACCATCACCCTAAACAAGGTATAGAACATTTCCATTAACTTAAAAGTCTTCTCATGCCTCTTTGCTGTTAACTCCCAGCTCCCTTACACACACACACGCACACACACACCACATCCCCGACCCTGGCAGCTACTGATTTTATTTCTAGCACTATAGATTAGTGTTATCTTTTCTAGGATTTCATGTAAATGGACCCATATAATACCCTCTCTGATCTGGCTTCTTTTTGCTCAGATGTTTTTGAGACTCATCCACGTTTTTGTGTGCATTGGTTTTCATTTTTCAGCAGAGTATATGCCGCTGTGTAAATATACCATAATTTATTTATCCATTTAACTGTTGATGGACTTTTTGGTTGTTTCCAGCTTGAGATTATTATAAATAAAGCTGCTGTGGATAATCTGTCATCTATTCTATTTATCTCGCTATTTGTTTTCCTTCTGTTCAAATTTTTCCAAATATTTTATTCCTCTCTTTCTCCTTTCCTGACGTCATTTGGGTTAATAAAATGTTTTTAGTATTTCTTTTGTTGCCTCTATTGGGTATGAAACTTCACCTTTTTGTTATTATTTTTAAGTGTTTTCTCTAGCACTAATAATAAATGTATTTATCAATGGCTATTTACAGTCCAATAATTTACCACTTCACTCTTTATACCTGACACTCATACTTCCCATTTGCTGCTTTTCATGTCACAAGTGTAATAATCTTACAAAAGTATAACTCCACTCACCTACCCTCCCTTTGTTATTGTTGTATCTTTTACTTTCACATAGCTACCAACCTCACTTTATATTATTTTTCTTTTAAATGATGACTTTTATACTTACCCATTCATTTACTATTTCCAGTGCTCTCCATTTCTCACTATAGATTGAAGTTGTGTATGGTATTATTTCCATTTAGCCTGAAGAATAATTTTTAGCATTTCTTATAGTGCAGGTCTTCACTATAAGAATTTTGAAGGATATTTCAAAAATACTTCAAAAACTGGATTGACAGTTCTAAAATTTTTATTTCAGCACTTTAAAAATACAATTCTATTGTCTTTTGCCCCTCGTTGATTCTGATGAGAAGTTAGTCATTTTTTTGTATCATTGTTGTCTTGTATTTAATGTGTCTTTTTTGTCCTCAGCTTTTCAGATTTTCTCTCTTTGGTTTTCTATATTTAATTATTATGTACCTACATAAATTGTTTTCTTTATGTTAATACTGCTTAAATCTTGGATCTAAGTCAATGTAATCAAATTTAGGGAACTTTCAGTTAGTATATTTTCAAATAAGTTTTCTCTACTCACTTTTTAGGACTCTATTACATATACCTTAGATCATTTGATATTGCCTGAAAGGCCCTGAGCCTCTATTCATTTTTCTTCAGTTCCTTTTCTCCTTTTCACATTGGGAAATTTTTTATCTTCAATTTTTTTCTCCATTCTTCAGTTTCGAAAGTTTACCTTCAATTCTTTTTCTCTGTTCTTCAGATTGGAAGACGCTTGGATCTTTCTTCAAGATCACCAACTCTTTTTTCTGCTATCTACAGTTTATTACTAAGCACATACAGTGACTTTTAAATTTTAATTGTAATTTTCCACTATATATTTTCCATTTGCTTTTTTTAAAAAAATAGCTTTTAGTTCTCTGCTGAGATATTCTATCTCTTCCCTCATTAAGACTATGTTTTCCAGACTGGGTGCGGTGGTTCACGTCTGTAATCCCAGCACTTTGGGAGGCCAAGGCAGGCAGATCACTTGAGGTCAGAAGTTCAAGACCAGCCTGGCCAACATGGTAAAACTTTGTCTCTACTAAAAATATAAAAATTAGCCAGGTGTGGTGGCACACACCTGTAGTCTCAGCTACCCGGGAGGCTGAGGCATGAGAATCACTTGAACCTGGGAGGCAGAGGTTGCAGTTAGCCGAGATCTTGCCACTGCTCTCTAGCCTAGGTGACAGAGCACAGCTCTGTCTCAAAAAAAAAGAAAAGACTATTATTTTCCTCTACTTATTTGAACACATTTTCCTTTGATTATTTTAACATACTTATAATGGCTGCTGTAAAGCCTTTATCTGCTAAAACTAACAGGTGAGCACTCTTGGGGCTGGTTCATATTAACCACCCTTTAGTTTTTTGACTATGAGATTTGTTTGCATGTCTAATAATTGTTGTTTATGTACAAACTTTGTGGAAAATTTATGGTGGAGACCTTTGATAATTATCTCCTTTTGAAGAGTGTTGATTTTTGTTCTAGAAGTAGTTCAACTGCTGGCCCATCAACTTGAATTTAGGTAGGCTTAGTCCTATACTTTGTTAGCATGGATCTGTGGAAATTCCAAGGTGTTTCCCAAGTCCCTACTATGTGGCTGTATTCATCTCTACATGAGAACAGTTTGGAGGCTGAGGCTTCATCACAGTGGGTCTTGAGTAGGTCTTATTCTGGAGGGTGGTCCTTGTTCATAAGTAGAGCCTTACTGGTGTTTCCATTGAATGACAGAGATATTAATGACATTAACTCAGTCCCTCCATTCTGGTTGGGGTGGAACTCTAAAGTCCTCCAGCATGTTTGGATATCAGCCTTGTACTAGGGTCAAGAAATTTTCCCCAGATAGAAGGCAAGAGTGAGCTTTCCTTCTCTCAGAGATTACAGTTTTGTGATGCCTATTGTCTAATGCTTAGAAATAGTTGCCTCATATATTTTATTCAGTTTTATAGTTGTTTGTGGCAGGACAGTAGTCCTGTGCCAGTTATCCAGTCTTAACCAGAAGCAGAAGTCCCCCATGGGTATACAATGGCTTTGGTTTCTGGCTTGGATGACTAGGTGGTAATGGCTCCATTAACTGCATAGGAAATCTAGGATCAAGAGCAAGTTTAGGAGGAACAATGATGAGTTAGTTTTTGTTCATGTTGCATAGAAGGTATGAGGGAGGCTCGTAGACATGACAGTTTTATGCATTAACAATTAACTTAAAATTGATCACCATTTGTGCATGTATAGAGTGTTTCTGTTATTTTACCTTTAAGTATTCTCTTTAAATAGTAAAAAAATACAAATAACATTGATTTTGACCTTTCCTTGAGTTATTTTATAATTAAAACCAAAGTTATAGTATAGAAAATGTTTGCAAAGACTTGAGAATTTTTTTCTTTTCCTTTTTATGAGGAGGGAATGAGCATCTATTTAATCTTGTGGTGAAACCATTTCTCTCCTTTTCTTCCGCCCTCCATGAGTATCATCTCTTGGCTACTGTAGACCAGATTTACTCTCTCTACCACACAGTGTTTCCATTGAAACAAGTCCTCCAATGAACCAACCACAAATGTGAAACTAAGGTACCAACTGAACTGGAAGAACATGAGCAATAATGATGAATGTATTTGCGTGTTCCCATGAGCTAAGGAATTGAAGCAAAAAACACTCTCATTGTACAACTCTGAGCCATTCCTGTTCCACTAAAAGTTTAAGTTTTCCACTTGTAGAGTAAAGGGCAATTGGGGATTAAACTGTAAAACTCCTTTAGCAGTTCAGGAGTAGCCACTGGCAAATAAAAATTATACCATTCCTATTTCTGCATAACTCCAGAAGACGGCTTCTTGCTTATATCCAGGTCATGGCATTCCTTGTTAGTAGCTGGCAACTAAGAGGAGCCTTAAGCCAAAGGTCCACAGTGATTTGTATCTTCAGGCTTCCCTTCTAAATCTGTTAAATGCTGGTCCTAGACAAAAGGAACATTTGGTGCTACAGGCTTACCAGTTTCTTCTTCTCCCTTCTCCTCTTCATTCCCTTTTCCCACCTCTTTCCCCTACTCTGTTTCTGACTATGTCATGTTCCGCTCTTGATGCTACACAGATGCATATTAATTTAAACTAATCTTGATTGCATAAAGACAAACAGCAGAGTGCTATTGCTTGCTTTGAGGGTTAGAGAAGGTGAAATAATTCATGATGTTTTAACATTCTTTAGCTATCTTGGCAACTATTAAACAGTAGGCTGCTCTAAAGTCTGTATTTGTTTACTTATTTAACTATTTAAAATTCTAGTGCCTAACCCATGGAAAATGTCCTTGACAAATCTTTGCTATTGAATGAACATCAAGGAAATACACCTGTTCCAGTTACTTTGGAACAGGGAACACTAAAGAAAGGAAACATATTGGCACACAACTGGGTAGGTTGGCTTCCTGCCTTAGTGAAATGAAACAGGAATTCTTTACCAAAGAAATAGATATTGAATCTTGGACATATCACTTACTACTCAGCTGCATGACAATGGACAACCTGCTTAATGTCTCTTGGTGTCAGTCTTCTCATTTGTAAAATGAAGGTAAACTTGTACTGACTTCATAAAATTATTGTTAAGATAAAAGATTAGCACTACATATATGCCAGACACGGTAAGTTCTTTATATATAGTTATTACTGTAATTATTATTGTCATTATCAAATCATTTTAAGAGAATAAATTAATAAGAATAATAATATTCATCAATACCAACCAGAAGGAGTAAATACACCTACTTTGGTTATTAACCAAAAATCTGACTTAGATCAAATTTTTCTTCTAGAAAATAATAAATTAGTTTTTGTAAAAGATTTTGAAAAACTTGTAAACCTATTCTCATGATGGAGGTAATATTCAGATATATTTACCTGATAACTGTAGTTGATTGAATTGTGTCCCCTGAAAAGCTATGTTCAAGCCCTAGCCCCTAGCACCTGTGAATGTGACCGTATTTGAAAATTGGGTCTTTGCAGATGTAATCAAGTTATGATGAAGTTATGGTAGATTAGGATGGGCCCTAAATCCGATAACTAGTGTCTGTGTGAGAAAGGAGAGGAAGATTCAGGCTTGTAGTCACAGATAAACAGAGAAGGTTGCCTTGTGAAATGGGGGCAGAGATTGGAATGACGCAGCTGCAAGCCAAGGAATGGCAAAGAACACCCGCAACCACCAGAAGCCAGGAGGAGACAAAGAAGGATTCTTCCCTCAAGGCTTTACAGAGAGCATAGCCTCCAACACCTTGATTTTGGACTTTAAGCGTCCAGAACTGCAAGAGAATAAATTTCTGTTGTTTTAAGCTGAGATATTTGTGGTGCTTTGTTTTGGCATTCCTAGGAAACTAATATAATCACTTCAGAAGCAGGGAACCATTTTTTCTCCATTTTTAAGTTCATTGTGAAACAAAGCTTTAAAAATATTTTCAGTTGGATTTTGTTTAAAATATATGGTTTGTAGGCAGGAACTTCACACTTCATTTTCCTTTTAAACTTTTTTGGAGGGGAATGATATTTATAAACTATGGAAAGACAACTACAGAAAGAGGTGTTTTAAACATGGGGATGTGGTTAAGTAGTGTTAGTGATCTTGAAGGAGTGTGAGTTACATTCTAATACTGTGGAAGTCTTTATAATGTTTTCCAGGAGACCATGTTTTTGAACTCTATGTGCAGGAAACCATTATATGGGGGAAAATATTGCTTTATGGGTCTCTGGCTGGGAATTATGAGTGTTATGTATGAGAAAACATTGAAATTGGGGAAAGCGAGAGACATTATAACAAACTGATCTTGTGTGCTATATTCCAAAATGTCAAATTATGAGAGTGTTCATTCAAATTCATTCTTATGCAATTGCTTTTGTTCACATTTTTGAAGTTGTTTTCACTTGCATTTTAAAACAAACACAAAACCTTTCACCCAAAAGCACACAGTGCTTTTTGAGATATCCTAGTTATACTTAGAGGGTAGAAGGCACAGGGCCAGCTCCCTAACTTATGAACAGACACTGAGGTCATTAAGTAGCACAGAGCATCCAAGATTTGGTCACCAGATAGTAGGGAAGAGAAGGAAGAGCTCTGAAGTTACATAGAGTCCAGATAGTTGTAGGATATTTTCCAATTCAGTTACATTTATTTTACCTTTTAATTTTCTTACCTACATAATGGAATAATTCTTACCTTGTTGATTCTTAAATGGATTATTTGAACTAATATATACAAAGTAGATAGAATAATACCTAACATAAATAGCTCAATAAATGTCTTTTCTTCTTCTTCCCTGTTAAATCTTTAACACACACCTGAGATCACCTCTCTGCCTTTATATCCTGGAACTGGGGAGGGGCTGGATGAAATGCCAGCATCACAGACCCAAGTGATGGTTCAATGACTAGGCAATTCCAGCATCTGCCTTAGCAGCATGGAACCTGTTAGATTTCCTTTGGATGGAGTGGAGGCTTTTCACCATTCCAAGCAGTGCCTGGGATTGTCTATTCTAGGTGTATTCACATTCTGTCCCAGCACTTGCAGAAGATTTCTGCTCACTTTGCAATTCTGGCATGGTGCGAAGGAAAGATTACTAAATTGGGAGCAATAAGAAATAGGCCAGGTAAATTTCCCTAATCTATCTGGTCCCTAATTCTGTCACCTGTAAAATAAGCAGGGGGGATTAGATTGATCTCTGGGATAATTTTGGAGATGTTTTAGCTAAGATATATTTTGGAGTCAGCCAGCCTTTGGATTGAATCTTAGCTCCATTCCTTAATAATCATTGGTCTTTGATAGGTCATTTAACCTCTCTGAACCTTAGCTGCTCCAGTTGTAGAGAAAGTATCTAATTTGAAAGGGTTATTGTAAGTTCAATGAGAAAAAAAATATTGGAAGCACCTGGAACAAATCAGACATTCAATAAACGTTACCTTTCACTAGATCAGTGGTTCTTTAACACGAATCAGAATTACCTAGAGGGCTTGCTTAAACACAGAAGTGGGCCCTCCAGAATTTCTGATTCAGTAATCAGGGCTAGGGTGGGACCCCCAAAATTCACATTTCTAACAAATGCCCAGGTATTGTTGCTGATCCAGAAATCATTCCTGGAAAACCACTCTCTGGACCAGGGTTTGGCAAAGTATAGCAAGTGGGCCAAATTTGTCCCACTGCCTCTTTGTGTAAATAAAGTTTTATTGGAACACGGTTATGCTCATTGGTTCACATATTGTCTATGGCTGTTTTTTCACTGCAACATCAGAATTGAGTAGCTGTGGCAGAGACTTTATGGCCCACAAAACCTAAAATATTTACTATCTGGTCCTTTACAGAAACGTTAGCAGTCTGCTCTAGACTGTCACATGGTATTCTTCCCGAGGAGTTTTGGGGGCTCTGACAGAGAACGAGGTTTTTCAAGCTTTTTAATTAGTATATGAGATCACTAAACATATTCATTGTGTGTTTATGATAGCAATGCAGCCACTTACTCTAAAATATATGATCACAAGTCTTGCTATCTCAAATGATTATCAAAAGCAAAGAGACAGAATTGCAGTTTTATGGGGGTGATTCATTAGAATTAATGACAAAACTAATAGGACCTTACCCAAATCTTTTCTTTTCCAACAGTCCTTTGTGGAGCCTGAAAGGCTTTTCTGAAGTGGGAAGGAGATCAAAGGTTCTTTAAATCAGAAAATCCAGCTTATCATACTAAGGAATCTCTGTGGTCAAGCTTAAATTTTTACCCTGAGTTGTTTGTCCTGAGTCTGAGGCTCTCCAGAAAAGTCTTAGGAAATGATAGGTTCTTTGGGGGATCTGTCATAGTGTTGTTTTGCTTGTGGAACTTTGCGTTCTAATAATATTTGAACTTGAGGCACCAAGCACACAATGATGAAATACAGACGCTCCCTTGGTGGCATGAACACGGTGCCAGTCAGCTCCACGCTCTTTCCCATCTTATTCCAATTGCACTCACTCTCATTCTATATTTTATCAACACTTTTTCCTTTTGCCTCTTAAAAGTGCAGTAGTCTTGGAGTCAGGCAGATCTAGATTCAAATCCTAGCTTTTTTTTTTTTTTCTTTTAGAAATTGTGGGCCTGGGCCTCCATTTCCTCTTTTCTAAAATGGGCTAATAGAATAAAATAGATATGGTGGACATGAAGCATTAGTGTCTGAAAAGTTCCTTGCAGAATTCCCGGTGCTTGTAAAGGCTGCATCAATGTAAGAGCTTTGTTTTCCACCCCCACCACACCCACCATTTTTTGCACTATGTAATGAGACTAGTAATCTGTCTTTATTTAGTCCTTTAAAAATGGTTTCCTAAATAATAAGAATCTGAATCCTTTAAGATGAATTGTAGCCCTCACTCGGGGAACTGCCATCAGTGAAAGAATCAAAAGCAGCTGGGAGCAGGCAAAGACTTTTCTTTAAAAGGCAGTTCAGGGAGCTGGAGAGTGCCAGAGGAATCACTTAGGCCAGGATAAATTAATTGCTGCTGGGGAGCAGTTAATTGCTGTGGGAGAAGCCCTGTGGTGCTAATGAGGCAATTTACACTTGGGTTAAAAATAGTCACTAAATTCAAGTTGAAACAGATGGGGTTGAAAGTAATGACAATAGCCTGGGGCGATTATAGGTAGCTATAGGTGAACACATTAGTATTTAAAGAAAATGAATTGCTGAATTAGTGAGGATACAAATAAGATTTTAAAAAAGAAACGCCATCTAAACATATTTGCATAGGCAAGAGATATATAGATAGTATTATAGTTTATTTTGATTAAACATGGGTGGATGGAGAGCTTATTCTTGTAATCTGTACATCTGTACAACTATGTCTCCTTTCTAGAAGTAAGTCAAGCTATCTTACCAATATTTCCCCAACGCTATATTTCCTGGCGACAGCCTTGTAATTGTTGGTGAAACCTCTATAAGCCTGTCCATCATTGCAATGGATCCAAAGTTGCTAAGCAAAACCATTTCTTTTAATCAAAACCAGACTCTGAATTTTAAATTTTGAAGGTAAACCTCTACAGTGCAACTCTCATTTCTCTTTGCTTCTCTGCTGTCAACCAGATAAAACATTTTCCCATACCCTAAGCAGGCACCCTGTATTTCTTGATTCCTATTTACATAAATTTGCTTCATTTGTTCATCCCAAACACTGCAACCCCCTTCTCCAACACACTTATAGAGCAGCAGAGATCGCCTTGAGTTTCAGTATTCCTGTTCATCCTGGTAGATTATTGAGAGGTCCTGCAAAAGTCTTAAAACTAGTACAAAGATGCTTACATGACAATCTGATCTCAGCAACATCTCACTGGTGCCTGCTGGAAACTTCATTAACAAGATTACAATGATGATTAAGACATGAAGTAATCTATTTTTCTCCCAAACAGAAAAGCTTTACAATCTGAGAGCAGAAATACTTTGAATTCGATGTTAATTTTATAGCAGATTTTTCAGGTGGTTTTACAGATAATGTCTTTCAAAGTTTCCTGTAACCTTTAAGTAAACAACTAGGACTTCTTAAAAGCACTGGAGAGCTGAATTAAGGATAAAAGGTTAAGATATGCTTTGTCTACTAGAATGTGGTAGTTATAGAAATTCATCTGGTTTAGAGTTTAAATTTCCACCCTAGTCTAATTAATCAAGAATTTAAATTTCAGAAGGCAAGGAAAATTTGAGTAGGTTGATTTGACCAAGGTTGGCCTGACCAAGATTTTTTTTAATCCAATTATTCCTAATTTATTCCAGAATCTTTCTTCCTGAAAAGGGTTTATGTTCAATTGCCTGTAAATAATAATCAATGGAGCTATAAGTTAACTTATTTATTGTTTAGATGTTGCAGAAACATTTTAGAAACATTCATAAAACACGAACAGTGACAAGAACAGTCACTTCAGAATTTATCTAGCATTCTCAGGAATTCAACTATGTCAGGGGACAGCTCGTATGGTATTGTGACATCACCAGATGAAAAAAGGCACCACTGGAGAAAAAAAAAAACAGCCACCATAGAGAAAGGAAATTACATATCTCCAGGTAGAAATATTCACTAAAAATGGAAAACAATTATTTAAAAAGGAAAAAAGGCACGGAAAAGCCACTGAACAGGACTAATGGGGAAGCATTCCTTCCACCACTGATGCCTTGCATGGCCATTAATTTGCAATAGTCATCTTTCAGTTTTTCATGATTAAAATCATGGAGGTCTAATTTCTCAGAATAACTGGATCAGTGGCAGAGAACTTATCAAGAGGGTCAGACAATTACACAATGATCTTAGGACAATGTGTAAAAGGCATCCTGATGATTACAATGATGTCTTTGTTTTATGCCAGATCATCTTAATTTTATTTGGCCTCCTTGATGCTGGCGTTGGAAATCACAAACAGCTGTTATTCATCAGTGCTCATTTGGTACATTCCACACAGCCCATCAGTTGTGAAGTGCAATCAATCAATCCCCCAATTTTTCAACAACCACAGGGCCAGATAAGATATGCTTTCTTAAGACAAAACAGTTTCTGCTCTAGCTAGCAGTGTTTTACACTAGCCATGTACCTTGTTCTTATCTATTAATATCATTTTTACCATTGCCCTTAACACCCCCATGACTAATAATACCATGTGCCTAATTTCAGGCCATGCCCTTGTCCTCATCTCAACTTTATTAGTTAACCCAAGTCTTGTTTTCTTGAGTGAGTGTCACAGATGGCAATCTTTTATAATTAGCACACTGGTCATACAGATTCAGTATTGTTTAGTGGATGGTAGGATAGACTTTTTTGTCTAGTGGCCCATGTGCACTCCATTTTCTCCCATCCACTCTGGGACCCCCATTAATAAAAATGTTATGTTCCTATGTTGAAGAAGCTGCAAAATATTTTTTTAATCATGCATATATGTGAGTAGGTATCCTCGGGGGAAAAATTGACTACATCAATCCATGATATCAATATTTTCATAAGGCATTATAGGTAAAACATTGTGAGGAACTCTTAGTGGCTTCCTAAAAAAGACTATTATAGTTAACAATGTATGTTTTAGGTAGTAAAATACCTAATAAATATTTGTTTATCAAATCCCATTTAAATTGCAGTGAGTAAAATTCCCTTTACTATAAGCTAAACTCAAGAAAAAATAAAAATTAATAAAATATTTTTGATATTAATTCTTCCAAATGCTGGTTAATTTGACATGATTTGACTAATTTATTTCTGTAACAAAATTAATGAAAAAATTTACAGTCTATGAACTTGGCAATAGGGAGGGGAAAAAAAAGGTGAGACTGAGGAAAAATTAGCATAAATTAAGGTACATGGGGAAACAATTGAGATGAAGCAATTTTCCAATATTGAAGAAATAGCATGCAGGCTGTCAAATAAACTTAAATGTACCTCCTTGTGCCAGACTTGTAAGGTGGAGAATGCTGACATTGCTACTGGAGAACTTAGCATGACTCAACTATGGCTACCAACCCCTGTTTTGTGGGAGAATAACATTCATTAGCTATTATTAGTGATATTGAGGACATGACATCTTTCTTCCATCACTTAGTTACTAAGAAAAATGAGATATTCTAAGCCAATTCATCTGTAATAATGTAATGCCTGGTGTTTTCCTAAATCCACACCACCTCAAGATTTACTTTCACCCTGTGGTGTTGGAGCAATGCTGTCTTTCATAAGGGTAATCTGAGAAGTTATCCTTTGAATTTAAAACTCCACTAATTGGGCTCAGATTTGGGCCCCTAAATGGCTCTATCTCCTAGTCAAGTTCATATCAGCTGTCTCCATTGGTAGCTGTTCCTCAGAGACCATATTTCTATCTTGATGCCAGCACTTACCTGGTCATAACTAAAAGAATTCTATTTCCTCACCTGTATCCCTATACTTAAATGAAAGAGATTTATTGTTTTTGATTGCTGAATCAAAAGATGGTTTAATTGCTCTTCTGATTGCTAGCAAGTAAAGAAAGGCTAGTGAATTTAGTTAAAATCTGAACTTGATGCAGCAAGCCAATTCAGAGATAGGTTTCTGCAATCAAAATTAACTGCAACATTGATTGGAATTAAGAAAAGGCATGGGAGTAAAGGTTAACATATCTTGAAAAGAATAAGAGTCTTAGAGGGAAAAGTACCTCCCCTCATCTATTTTCCCAAGACATCTTTCAAGGATCTTTTTGAACTAGGAATCAAGACCATTTTCCTTGTTACAAAAGGTCTATATTCCTAAGGCAAAGGGCGCAGTGGATCTTACATTCTAGAAGTTTATATTGACAATGCCAAGCTTTGATATTGTGTATGTAGTGTGTATGCTAGGCAATTTGAAATAGGCCCTGTGATCTCAACAGTTGTCAATGATAAAACTTTTTTTTCCTGAACTTCAGCATGAACTTCTGAAAACTATTTTTTTTTCTTACATCTACTGTCCTACTGCCTAGACTTTGTAGGATGATTGTCCCATCTGTTTGAATGAAAACCCTGACTTTGGCTGGGTTTGGATCTTTTATTTATTAATCTATTTTTGAGACTCAGTCTCACTCTTTTGCCCAGGCTGGAGTGCAGTGGCGCGTTCTCAGTTCATTGCAACCTCCGCCCCCCGGATTCAAGCAATTCTTCTGCCTCAGCCCCCTGAGTAGCTGGGATTACAGGCGCACGCCACCACACCCAGCTAATTTTTGTATTTTTAGTAGAGACGGGGTTTTGCCATGCTGGCCAGGCTGGTCTCAAACTCCTGACCTCAGGTGATCTGTCCGCCTCAGCCTCCCAAATTGCTGGGATTACAGGCGTGAGGCACTGTGCCTGGCCCGGATCTTATCTTTTCCCACCTCAACTCATCAGATGATACCCTAGCCCATCAAACCACAAGGACCTATCTGCTTCTTCCCAGACTGACTGACTTCCCCTTCTCTGATCCAGTTGGCTACCTGGGCTCCCAGTCTGGGATTTCCTATTGCTGCCTGGCCCATCACCATGAGTTATGAAAATGTGCCAAGTACTGCAATATATTAGACTTCAATTGCTAAGAATCCTGCTTCAGGACGGAGTGGGTCATGCTGATTATCTTACTAAGTGATAGATGCATTCATGGCTTCTGTCTCTGAGGAAAAAAATACACCACCTTCTTGTCAGAGCTAACAAGCATAAGTGAAATAAAAAGTTTGGGCCACATAATTTCAAAAATCTCTTTCCAATCTAAATGCTGGGTTTCACATTTTATATATAAGAAAACCGAGGCTCAGGCCGAGTGCGGTGGCTCACGCCTGTAATCCCAGCACTTTGGGAGACCGAGGCGGGTGGATCACGAGGTCAGGAGATCGAGACCATCCTGGCTAACACGGTAAAACCCCGTCTCTACTAAAAATACAAAAAAAAAAAAAAAAAAAAAAAAAAATTAGCCGGGTGTTGTGGCGGGCGCCTGCAGTTCCAGCTACTCGGGAGGCTGAGGCAGGAGAATGGTGTGAACCTGGGAGGTGGAGCTTGCAGTGAGCCGAGATTGCGCCACTGCACTCCAGCCTGGGCGACAGAGCGAGACTCCTTCTCAACAAAAAAAAAAAAAAGAAAAGAAAAAGAAAAAGAAAACCGAGGCTCAGAGACATTGACTCTCCAACAAAAAGAGAAAAAGTTAAGTTGCCTGTTACTAAAAGTGGAGGTACCCCCAGTTGTGTTCTGATAAATGTTTAGCTATCAGGTTTTAGGGGGAGAAAAGTCCTAATTAGTAGCATCTCTGAGGCGTAATTCTGCAGTGCTAATTTCTGTGTTGTAGATACTCCCATGATAGCTGATTTCAAATTACCAGTGTAAGCCAACAAGCTGCAAAGTTTCTTAAACTTTAACAGTCTCCTTTGGGAACTGGTATCAGTCATTTCATTTCCAACACACCCCTGACATAGTTCTGGTTTCATAGGGATAATGGAAGGACTACTTACTTGGTTTCATTGCCCTGCATTCTCTAACCTTTACAGGTAAGGTCACTTAACCCTAACCTGTAGGCAGGGCACCATTCCAGATTTGGAGACTAATCTTATCCTCAGACCGGGGGAGCATGAGGCCCCTAAGCTGGTGATTCACTGATTCAGCACTGAGTTCCAGGCTTCCTCACACCCGCCGTTCCTTGCCTTATTCTTTAGTTGTACCGTGAAAATATCCAGTCTCCTCGGGGACTGGCTTACTGCCAAAGAACGCTACTCACCTTAAAACGTGGGTTTTCATAGACGGTAACTAAAATCCATCCCAAGACACATTTATGAGTTTATTTTACTCTACTTTAATATTTTATCCAGTTGTGCAGGTGAGAAGTGAAACACTGTGAGAGGCAGCTGCAGCTGAATTGGGGAAAGCAGGGGTGAGGGTGGTTTGAGAAATACTCACAATGAATAAGCTTCCAGATTTCTAGCCACTGAAAAACGTGTTATTTCTAAAGACATTGAGCTCCTTTATCTTCTTTCACTTCTGACTTATAAAAGACTAAAAATGCATGAAAGCCTTTGATGCTGAGTCAAAGAAATATCAGATAGAATTGTGGACCTCCCTCTTGAATAAAAGACATTCCACTATGATGTCATCAAAGATATGTTGAATTCAAAATGTAGCCTAGGAAACTCTTCATGAATAGCTATGGTTTGGGTACAAGAATTTTAGAAATACTGACTCTGGCATAAAAATGAATGAATAGTCATACATAGCCATGACCGCAGATCATAGTTCACTGAACAACTTGTTAACAATTCTGAGAAAATCAGTCTAACAATAGAGAAATAAATAAATTATAATTCATCCAGTGAAAGAACTATTACACAAGCCTTTATTATAATTATGAAGAGCACACAGCACATTAACACAATTTGTTAAGTGAAAAGATATAAAATTGTGTGTCACTATGAGTATAACAAGATTTTTAAATGTGCATAGGGGAAAAAGCTCTAGGAGAAACTTCCAAATCATTACATTAGGGTCGATGAAATTGTTATTATTTGCTTTTTTGTCACTTTCCAAATTTTCTGCAATGTGGTTACATCGTTTTTATACTAAGAGAATACCTAAGTTAAAAGCAAATGATAAAATAAAAACTTCACAGGCATCCTGGAATCCTAACCAGGACCCTGACTACTGTTGTGAGCACTGAGAAAGCCCTTGCCCAGAACAGGACCCTCACTTCCCTTTTACAAGCCTTGTGGCAGCCCTCGTCACATCTCTGAGACCAGAAATACCACTTCAAATACAAAAACAAACAAACAAACTTGTGGCCAAGTTAGGACATTTGGGACTAGTAGGTGTCATGCATGCTCTTTTCTCAACTCCCTAAGGAAGGGCCAGGCTCCCTTCTTTGTCCTGCTCTTACTGCTCAGAAATGCCTCACCTCAGGTGCCATCTGCTATTGACTACCCCTTCTATTTTACTATGGTCTCTGGATCCTTTATTCCAATGCTGACTTCCTTACATCTTCAACCTCTTCAGACCTGTGAGCCAAGAGGAGGACTTGGCCCTCTCCTGGCTTCCCTCAGTGGCTTCCAAACCATTGATGATTCCCACTCTGGTAAAAGTTTATCCTTCCTGAGCCTCATATTGTTCCACAGTCCCATTTCTAGCCCTCCTTGGTAACATCATTTACTGTCTCCTGCAGACTTTCTGTCTTTCACTGAAGACTTTGGTATACAAATCATTATCTCCCTCTTCACCCTCACCAGTAGAACCCAAATCTGGATCAATGCTGCATCAGCATTCTCTATCCCTATGCCTGGATGGCTAAAAACTGATGACAAAGCAAATAGCTCTGCAAATTGGAGCCGCTGCAAATTCATGATCTCCCAGCTTAATTGCTTCCTCAATCCTATCCCATTAATCTTTACCAGAGATGGAAGAAAAGGTCTCTAGTAAACAAAGCAGCAAGTTGTATGGAGTCTGTGCCATTATCAATTTTTCCAAATCAAAGCTCCAAATCAGCCTCAATATATGCTCTGTGATAAAGCATTTCTCTATTAAAGTGAGCATGATATTAAGCTTTCTCACGAGAGAGCCCTGGAGGGATGTTGCAGGAAGAAGGGCTCTCCTGAGGCTTCGGGTTGTAGCCTGGTGGGTCAACAGTGTGGGTGTGGGGACATCTGGAGGTGCTTGGCCTCAGCCACTAGCCCAGAAGGCATTGTACTTTGGCGGCTTTGCAGCCCCAGTATGGCCTAGTGATCATCTTACTGCTGCCTTCTCCATACAGACACCCTGTGCTCCAGCCTCCTGCTGGCATTGGCTGCCTGGTTGCTTGCACTCACCCCAGTCCTCAGGTCCATCTCCCACAATCCTCTTGATGCTGTGCCCCTCTCAATCTCATTTTCCTTCCCAAGTGAACTCCAGGCCTCTTGCAGCACTAAGGCCCCACTCCTGCTGCATTGCCAGGCACTGGCCACCAGCTATGGCTCCCAGCCTTGCCTGCCCTCTAGCATATTCTTCCCTGCTCGTCCTGTGACTGCAGTTCTGACCAGCAAACCAGCAAACTTCCCTACCATCTGCTGAGTTCAACTACACATTCTATAATGAGATTTGAACCACAGTCTTGGGAAGGGTGCCACCTTCCAAGTTTGTGCCTCTCTCTCCTTCTGCTCTGAGCTGCCATATATAGAGTATTCTTACAGTCTATGGTCACTTTACTATCATATCTTAATCATTTTAATTCTTTCTGTTAAACTTCCTCTGTTTAAATCATGGTGTGGTTTTAATCTCCTGAAACAAGACTGCTAGATCTCTGGTCAAGGGAAGATTTGTCTACAGTTACTGCTTCCATTTCTTGATTTCCTATCCATTCTTTATCCTACTGCACTCCAGCTTCCACCCCTGCCATTTCACTGGAAATGTTTGCTCCAAGATCACCAACAGCCTTCTTGCTAACTCTAGTGGAAAACATTTTGGACTTCATCTTATTTGACTTATCTGCTCCATCTGACACTGATTGATTGCCTTTATTTTGTGACACTACATTTGCCTAGTTTTCCTTCTACTTCTTTGACAATCGTTTCTCAGTCTCCTTCAAAGACCTTTCTTCTCTTGGCCTATTTATTCTTCTGGTGTTTTTTAGGATTCTGTCCTTGATCTTCCCACTTTGTGTAATTCCTTAGGTGACTTCTTCCATTCCCATTATTTCGACTCTCATTTACATGTGGGCACATCTCAGATCTGTATGTTCAGAGCTCAGTAGTTGAGATCTCTGTTCTTAGCCCTATCTTCCCTCTGTCCATCTTCACCTGGATGATTCACAGGCAACTCACACTCAATGTGTCCAAATGACCATTTTCTTTGCCAAATCTGCTTTTCTCTTCCATTTTCTGCACCAGTGAATGATACCGCCAATCACTTCACCCAAGGCAGGCACCTGGAAGTTATCACATGTTTTTGTTTCTTCTCCCACTTCCAAATACATCAGTCACCAAGTCCTATTGATTTTCCTAAGTTGTTCTTGAATCTCCTCATTTCTTTCCATCCCCATGGCCCGTATGTTAGTAAGGGGGTGAAATCTGAATGAATACATAGAAAACTCATTCAGAAATAAGGAGCAACATAAGGGAGGGCATTCCAAATGGTGGTTACAGCTTGTACAAAGGCATGGAGGCATGAAACAGCATAATCTGAACCCATGTTGTGCTTCACCATACCTGTCATGATGTTTTATGTGTCAGCCTGGCTCGGCTATAGTCCCAGTTATTTAATCAAATACGAATCCAGGTACTACTGTGAAGGTAGTTTTGTGGATTTGTTTAATATCTGCTATCAGTTGACTTTAAGTAAATGAATCTACCCTCAATAATGTGAGTAACTCTCATCCAACAAGTTGAAGGCCTTAAGAATAAAAACTGAGGTTTCTCAGAAAAAAAGAAATTTTGCCTTAAGACTAAATTAGCGCCTGAGTTTCCAGACTGCCTAAAATTTTCAAACTTTACACACACCCACACACATATGCTTACACACATACACACATATACATACACATACATGCCCACACACACACACCACACACACATGCCCACACATACACAGCATATACACACACACAATGTACACACATATACATACACAGAGATGAACACACACTCATATGTTTCTCGGGAAGACTGATGGATACACCTGCAGAATTCCTGTACTTGGCCTCCTTGGCCAGAGATTCACTCATGGTTGTCTGGCTCCATAGGTGGGTCTAACTTAGAGTCTGATATTCTGCATTTAAATCCTTTTACCATGCAGCTGTATCAAAAGATATGAAAACCAAACATCATGTTTCTTCATATCTCATATATAGAATCGTGGTATTTGTAGTAAGAACTGTATTTTTTAATGGTTGGTAATAGACTTTGTTGAAATGTTTGTTTGTGAGAAAAGATAAGACAAAAACATCAGGAGAAAACCAGTGTGTTTATCAGTCAATAAAATGGCCTGACAGCTTTAGCAAAGATTAGTAATTAATTTCTCCTTTGGTTAGAAAAAGAAATAATTAATGAGTTTAGCACATAGATGGGAAGAAATCAAGAACTAAATTCCATTTTGGCTACTGTCTCACTCATTTTTTTAAAGAAAAAACAAAAACAAAGAGAAGCTATGAGAACAAAGAGGGAGAAGTATCTGCTTACTGGTACATTTCATTTAATTTCTGGTGTTGAGAACTAGTAGAAAAAAAAAGTCTTGTCAAGTTAGCATTTGTAGCAGTTAGGAGAGCCCAGTTATACTGAGTATCTAGTAATTTGAAGGAGGTTAAACACTCTTGAATTAAATTTACCTTGAGAAATGATCATTATCAGTATTTCTGCAATCCAAAGAAGTTTTCCTCAACTACCATGCTGAGATGTTACATCATATTTATATTAAGGGAGCATCCCCAAGCATGGGCTCCTTACTCGGGAACGATTCAGCAGAACCAGGGACCCCCAGAAATGATGCTGTGACTCATGCTAACCCCACAGTTCCTGCATAGAACTAAGAGGATTCATTCCTTTGTTCATTAGTCAGACAAATATTTTTGAGACTTGGTTTTTTTCCCTCCCAACTTCAGGGAAGAGATGAAGAAAAAAAGCACCAGCATACTTTTAAAGGATTTTTTTTTAGCAGAAACGAGTCAATTTTGAATTAAACTGGACTGAAAAACTTTGAGTTAAGAATCTAATATCATATGGCAGATTTTTAGCTTCCTGACAGTTCCTTGCACTTAGAATGTGCATTAAAATAATTATGGAAGGCATTACCCGAAATGCAATTCAATTATCAATTGAAAGGCATCAGGGAATCACAGAGTAAGCTCAAGGAAACCTTAATAATAGTATAACAACGGAGAGCTGACAATTTTGGGGTGGGATTTAAATGCATTAATAACTGTCTCAAAAAGGATCTTTAAAATTCAGTTTTCCTGTCTGAAGTTTTCAAGTAAAATTTGATTTGACCTTTCTCTTAAAGACCAAAATTTGCCAGACAACCAAGTTTGTAGATCCCCTGCTGGTCTTTATGACAAATTTCAGTCTTATATGATGCTAAGAGTCAGAATCTACACAAAAGCCAGGAACTTTTCTGGATTCTGTTGTGGAAATTTCCATTTCTGTGTCTCATCTTAACATTACCACCACCACACCACCATTTTAATGTTATAAATATTCTGGAAAGGCATAAGGAGTTGGTAAAATAAGGTGTCAAGCACTTTCTTAGCACTCAAACATTTTGTTCAGTTGAAAGAATAAGAATTAGTGAAATCTAGATGGTGATGGGAATTCTAAAATGTTTTAGGTAGAGGCACTAGATCATTATTCTAGCCTGAAATGCAGATACTATGAAGGCTATGATGCTATATACATTCAAATAATAGGCTTATCCCAAAGATTCCATTTATGGGATCTGATTCTACTCCAGATAAAGGCACACCTGCTTTCAACCTCAATTTGACATTTGTGGAAAGTAAGTAGTACTGTGAGAGATAAAACAAATTAATTAACTAAAAAAGATACAGTCTTAGTTACATTGTAAATGTTACAAATATTATCATTTAATATGAACACATACTAAGTCCTTAAGAATAGAATCTGACATATAATCTGCACTTGAATGTTTGCTAAAAATATTAATTAAATAAGCATATGATTGTTTTTATATAACAGGAAAACTTTCAGGATTCTTTCCTTATTTCGTAGTAGTTGGTCACATTTAACACACACAAAAAAATGCTATTTCAGTTCAGTTCAAGTCGAAGTAACTATTCAGTATTGGATATCCAGCCATGCATTGGTTTTGCATTAGTTATGCATTAACAGGAGACTATTTGGCAGTGGTGTCAATTCTGGACCCTCAAAGAATTTATACACTCTATCCATTGCTGAATTAAAAATGCTACAGATGGACTTGCAACAGAGAAACCCTCCCTCTCTTTTTATGACTCCCTCATCCCCAGAAGCTGCAGGGGCAGGATTTGCTTCTTGGTAGCAGCTGAACCCTTGCCAAGAGTTGGTCTCAGGAGTGGCTGCTGTGAGGACTAGTCATCACCACCGTTTGGGAAGGGGTGGGGATGGTGGCTAAGCTCTTTCCGCTTGGCTTGCATCCCAGGAGGAGGGAGGATACTGGAAGTGGAAGGAGTGGGATGGATGAGAATGAGGCAGACTGGCATGTAACTGTGGCTGTCAGCTCCCAAAGGTTGGGCTTTTCTCAAATGTCACCAAAGGAGCACTAAAGGCAAGGTTTGTAAACAACCACAGAGATAATAAGAGGCTGGGAAACAAGACTCAGTAAAAGGTTTAAGGAACCAGGATGATTTCTTCTAAAGAAGGGAAGTCTGAGCAATCTGTATCGGGGGCTGCTTTTGATTCAGTAGAAAGAAATAATTCTACAGTTTACTGAGCACTTACATAATGAGACAGGCATTTTGAGATATTGATCACCACTGTATCTTAATAGTAACCCTATAAAGGATCACTTTATGAATGAGGAAACCAAGGCTCTCACAAGTTCAGCAAGTTACTCAAATCACACAGATAATATGGATGAAGCTGGGACTCTTTCAGATCAGCCTGACCACCATGATCCTTACATGGCAAGGCCTGCTCCATGAAGTGTCCTACACACAGATGGATTTGGCTACAATCCTGGAGTTGAGGGTCTAGAAGGGTAGGATCATGGTCTGTATAAACTTCTCAGGCCTCTAGTTGTCTATCTTGTGTCTGCTAACAGCAACATGAATTTCATCTTTCTTCATCCCACCCTACTCAACAGATGCCACACTTGTTGTCAGCCAATAGGACTCCACTCAAATCTCTAAGTGACTCCAAGACATAATGGCAGTTTCTACACACACACACACACACACACACACACACACACACACCTCCCTCAATGCTTTAGGATTGACGTCATTTATTTAACTAAAACAGCCAATGCTTTCCAGTAAAGAAGTGTAGGAATCTGACTTGGCCAGTGTTTCCTGGAGAGTTAAACAGTGAAATGAAATGAAATAAAATAAATAAAATAAAATAGAATGTCATTACTATAAAGATGCTTCTGGCTGAAACCAACAATGTTATTTCAATAACAGTCCTTCCCCTGCAACCACATCCTGGGGCCATGGGTGGCACCATTACGAAATGATGTTAGTTTATGTCTGACATTCCTAAAACTAGAGAAAGGCAGAAAAGGACCTGGATCACCTGGTCCCGTTCTACATCACTCATGAGGAATATGCCACCAGATAATCTTGGTTCAGACACAACCAGGATTAGAATTTATGTTTCCTGACTACTCCAGGATTATCCCACTAGGCTCCAACATAGAAATAGATCTTCCTAGGTCCCAGAAAATGTTAAGACTCATTCCCATTTAGTCTTATATGTTGATTTTTTTTCAGGCCAAGTACACAAACTCTAATCTCAGTTACCCAACCTTTCTACTTCATCTCCCAGCTCTGGTCCCATGTATCCTACGCTCCAGCCTCACCCTACTCCGTGCTGTCTCCTGATTAGCCCGTGCATGCTTACAACTCTCAAATTTTGCTCATGTACTTCCCTGGACATGGAATTTACCTACTGCTTAAACTGGTAAACTCTTATTCATCATTCAAAGCCCAGCTCAAAATAGTCATTTCTGTGAAAACTTCCAAATCTTATGCTCAATTACAATTAATAGATACCAGTAGTGTGGTGTTTATCATAACGTATTGTATTTCCCACTTCCAAAGAAAGACATGTCTTTATTACATTCACTGATATAAGCACCTCTGCTGCTTTCCCATCTTTGTGCTCTCCTCCTTTCTCTGTTGTTTGGCATCAGGGGCATTTTTCCTTAGGAAGTACCCATAATTCTGGAGATGTAAGAGGGGTCAGGTGAAGGCTGGAGAGTGGAAAGCAGGATGCTAATCTATTGGGATTTGCTCTGGGTTTAAGATAAAGAAAAGTAATGGGGACCTTAGGTTTCTATGAAGATTATATTTCCCAGGTCATGGAACTTGGAAAAGAGGCAGTAGTTGAGTGCAGAAATCCTTTCCAGAAGTGGAAACATTTGTTTGAGCTGTGCTTGGAGTTCAACTGGAGCTTGCACGAGAGCAAAAAAACTTCAAACCCCTGCCATATAGTCGCACTTAATAAATATTTGCTCTGTTGGCTTGAACTGAGGAAAACTCTCTGACAATACGTAAATTAATTCTTCATCCAGACCTGGTGTTAAATATAGATAGGTTATGCAAACCCCAAAAGTTCCTCTAACCCCGCTCCATTAGATTCTTGGGACTAAGTCCCTGAATGGTCCCTGTCATATTAGGGATTAGGCTACTACCAACCATTACCACCATGGCCCTGATTTGTTTCTCCAACTGACTAGTTAGTTAGCCAGCATCTGGGGAATAATGAAAGTGAAATTCAGATGCTGAGGGAATATATTTGGAAATTCCTGAAATGCTGTGAAGGCGGACACCATGGGAAAATGTGCTGAGAAAACTTAATGGGAAAATTTTATAATGTGCACAGGTGTAAGGAAGACATTAAGAGTCTGGAGGTGACTAGGAAGAACGTGAGTTAAGAATAGAGGGAAGTGGGGAGAGCATCAGGATAAACAGCTAATGCATGTGGCCCTTAATACCTAGGGGATAGGTTGGTAGGTGCGGCAAACCACCATGCACACATTTACCTATGTAACAAACCTGCACGTCCTGCACATGTATCCTGGAACTTAAAATAAAATTTTTTTTAAAAAAAAGAAAAGATAAAAGCCAACAATTGAGCAAGCATGTAGATTGCCTTTGTTTGGATTCTCAAGTTCTCTCTGGGTGCAGCCATGTTCACCCCAAGTCCATGCCCCTAAACTGTTAGTCACCAGCCAGAGAATGGGACACATGACTTATAAAAGCCTGAAGAAGTCCACTGTCATCTAAGAGTCCATTATGTTCTTCTTCTGGAAGCTGACCAGGGATCACAGCACCACAGCAATTTGGAGCTGCCCAGGACCTGTTATCAGCTAGTCCAGTTCTCTTACAGAAAGACAAAATGCCAAATCTCAAAGAACTTAAAGAATGTTCTCAAGGTCACAATTAGGCCCTAATTCTCACTCTGGGCTTTTTGTGCACTGCACTGTCTCTCAACATTTTTACCAAACTAACTAAGAGATTTATATTAAAAATTATTTTTCTATAAATCATCATATTTTCAAGGATAGTATTCATCCTCTCAACTCATAACCATCTCTTTATAGGTCATAATCACCCTTTTGCCCCCCAAAAACCACCTCATCCTGAAATGCCCTAAGGAAGGTATTTTACTGGTTGTATCTATAGGCTTATAATGGGCTTGGGAATATGGTTTACTGCAGAGGTCCCCAACTTTTTCAGCACCAGGAACCAGTTTCCTGGGACACAATTTTTCCAAGGACCAGGAAAGGGATGATTTTGGGATGATTCAAGCACATTAAATTTATTGTGCATTTTATTCCTATTATTATTACATTGTAAATTATAATGAAATAATTACACAGCTCATCATAATGTAGAATCAGTGGGAGCCCTGAGCTTGTTTTCCTGCAACTAGACAATTCTGTCTGAGGGTAATGGGAGACAGTGACTGATCATCAGGCATTAGATTCTCATAAGGTGCCTGCAACCTAGATCCCTCGCAGGTACAGTTCACAATAGGATTCGCACTCCTTTGAGAATCTAATGCCAGGGAGCTCAGGTGATAATACAACTGATAGGGAGCAGCTGTAAATACTACGTAAGTTATCAGTAAGGCTTCCAGTCAACAGTAGGCTATTAGTAGTTACATTTTTGGGGAAGTTGAAAGTTACAGATGGATTTTTGACTGCACAGAGGGCCATCACCCCTCACCCCGAATTGCTCAAGAGCCAACCGTACTCAGTCTCAGGTATTTTGTTATAGCAGCACAAATGAACTACAAGAAGCTCTTTCTTTTCTGAGTACTTTTTACATAGATCATTTCATTGAATACTTACAATAGCCCCATGTAAGGACTTATGTACCATTATACAACTTTATAGGTGAGGAAACTGATCCACAGAGCAGCTAGGTAACGTTTCCTGAGTCATGCAGCTAAAAGGTGTCAGAGTCTGGGTTCATAACTACACTCTTGAGTACTATACAACATTGCCTCTTAAACAACACATAGCCTCTGCTCACCCTTTCTACCCCATTTTTGTCATTTCTAGCTTGCAAATTAAGTTCTAACTATACTAAGTCACTTACATTCCCCAATATCTATCCTGTTTCTCCTTGCTTCCTCTTCCTGAAATGCCCTTCTTCCGGCCTCTTCACCTGCATAATTCCTATTTCTCTTGCAGGCCTCAGCTCAGATAGTGTCTCCTCCTGGCAACGAGTCTTCCTTGCTATCACTCATCCCCAAAACAAAGCCCAGGATGACTCTGCCTTTTATGCATGCCCATGGCCCCTGTGCTTACTCCTCCTCACCCTTATCACACTGTGTAAGTTTGCCCTTTATTTATTTTTATGTTGCCGGGGACAGTGAGATGCCTGAGTGCAAGACTTCCATCAGGATGAGCTTGTGTTCCATGTGCCCAGCATCATGGCAGGCACATAGGAAAGTAAACAGAGATGAAGCAGGAGACCTGGAACTTATAGATGCTGTCCCCCATACTTAACTTCTAAAAGGATGTAAGTTGCTGAGTACAAGGACATTTGTCAATTTTATTCACTGATGTACCCCCAAGAACCTAGAATTGTGCCTGGCACGTGGAGAGTACTCAGTAACATTTGTTGAATGACATAAAATAAAATTTATCTGTATTTTTTAACAATGTCATTTAGTTGGAAATGTTATATTGAAAAGCATTTTTCTTTTTCTTTTTATTATTATTATACTTTAAGTTTTAGGGTACATGTGCACAATGTGCAGGTTTGTTACATATGTACTTTTCTTTGGGAGGCCGAGGCGGGCGGATCACGAGGTCAGGAGATCGAGACCATCCTGGCTAACATGGTGAAACCCCGTCTCTACTAAAAATTCAAAAAAATTAGTTGAGTATGGTGGTGGACACCTGCAGTCCCAGCTACTCGGGAGGCTGAGGCAGGAGAATGGTGTGAACCCGGGAGGCGGAGCTTGCAGTGAGCCAAGATCACGCCACTCCACTCCAGCCTGGGTGACAGAGCAAGACTCCGTCTCAAAAAGAAAAAAAAAAAAAAAAAAAAAAGAAAGAAAAAAGAAAAAAAGAAAAAAAAGAAAATCATTTTTGTGTTACTCTAAAGTTTTCTAATACCCAACCTCTTATTGGGTATATATTTAAATGTTAATTAGTTATTGACTTTATTTTTTTCTGTGGTTTACAAAGATGCATGCATGTTGACAGATTTTGCAAAATATATATTATTGTACATGTTTGAAGAATTTCCAAAAGGATGTTATTTATAATTTTTATTCAAAATAATACATGTCAAGAGGAAAAATTATGACAATAAAAACTAACGATAATCATCTTGCCAGGGTAATCACCAATTTTAACATTTGGGTATCCTTCAAGTTCTTACATTATTTTTGCCTTATCTCCCAGTCTATTAATAAACATGATATATGTGTAATATGTGTGGTATATATACCAAATATTTATGTACGGATTGAAAGAAAAAATATGCATGTGCATATATATGTATGATATACATATACTATATATGGTTTTCTAAGTGTATTATACATACTGTCTTCTAATTTCCTTTATTCACTTAACAATTTATTATGAATGTATTTCTCTGCCAGTAAATATTTCTCCACAGTGTCATTTAACCTAGTTTATGGATTTATCCTCTGTCAGACAGTAAGCAGCATGACTTATCTGATTCAATGATTTATACCATGTGAGATCTAGTATAGTAGCCATCAACAAATACCTGTTGAATGGATGAGTATTGTATTTAAGTCCCTAAGTGCATCTTTGGTGATTTCCACTGGAAACATTTTATTTTCAGGGCTAATGTCTCAGTGAAGCATCATTTACCTCAGAGGGGTGGACAGCAACCGGAGCAACCTTGGCCCATAGGAGGAGGAGAATGACAAGCAAACTGGAGGCAGGAGCCATTTCTGAGCCTCATGAGGCACTGGAATCTGGAAGCACAACTCTGGAACTCCATTAGTATCCTATTCTTGCTGCTCTAAGTGCCCGGCTTTATTCTGACCTCTCACTGAGAAGAGTTTTCTCTGCTCTGTGGACAAACAGAGCTATCACAGAACAGACCTCTCACGTCACGCATTTTTCTTCAAGCAATGAACAGAGTATAGCTAGCACGTTTAAGTCTCATCTCCATCCTCATAGAGAGAAGAGAGAATCTGATCTGCTCACTTGAGTCAGGGGTCCACATTGGGTTCAGTCTGCTTGTAGCAGGGAGACAGAACAAATAGGGACAACTCTTCAGTGAGAAAGGCAAGTGTCAGAGAAGGGGGATCATGAGCCAGTATTGTTAGAGGCAATTCAATAGATTAACCCCAGGTGTATGTCTTGGAGAGAAGTAGAAATGAATAGGAGTATAGATACTACTAGAATTGAGGCACACAACGATTTTTCCCCTAGCATTTCCAGCAATCATTTGTCTGATGGTTCTGTATCTCCAAGGACCTACCCTCTGCAGAACCGTGAAACAAGTCAGGTTTGTCATCTGTGCTGTGCCAGCTCAGCTCTCCTTCACAATAAATGCTTCCATTCCATGAATTATTCAGATTCAGAATTTCAGCTTCAGGTGCTTGGGAGATGGCTGGTCTCAGAGCTGGTGGTACAGCTACATTGTACCATAAAACTTATTCATATTAAAACTTATTTATATGTACCTCAAAAGATTAAACTGGGAGATAAGGTGTGGCATTTTTCCCCCTATTGTGACCCAAGGGACAAGTTTTTAAATTTTTATTTTTATTTCAATAGTGTTTGGGGTACAGGTGGTTTTTGGTTACATGGATAAGTTCTTTGGTGGTGATTTCTCCCTGCTGTGCAGAAGCCCAGACCCGTCCCCATCCCCTGGAAGCCCCCCACCAATGCTCATGAAACAATGCTCTGTTCCTTCAGCATACTGTTCACTTTCTGCAAACCTAATGAACAAAGTCTATACTAAGTTAGCAACTGTGGACTTATTTTTATATACTCCTCTCATTTCAGAGGGGATTAAGGGCAGCTTATGGGGATACCTAAAATAAAGCAAGATAGCTTAAGTAAAAGTAGGAAAGAAAAACAATGAAAGGAACATAAAATGACACCAGGGATAAGGATAATTTTAAACATGTTTCTTTCTACCCATGTGTTTTCTAAGAGTAGGTTATTATTTGTCTCAATGTTTTAATAACAAGAACTAAAAAAAAATGAATCAATTGCGCAATTCATAGTGTTTAGGTAAAAACTGACCTATTGCTTAGAAGTCATTCTTAGAATTAAGACTAAAATGGAATTGCTCTTATGTCCCTAATAAAGATGACACAATTTAATATCATAAAGATTCTTCTTAAAGACAAATTTATTCAGGCCATGGTATGGCTGATAATATCACACCGAGAGCTAAAGCAAGGGGCCAGCCTGCAAGGCACTTTCCTGGAGTGCTAGTTTATAAGAAACATTAAAACATTGTCTTTGGATCCTCCCCCTCCCCCTCCCCCTCCCCCTCCCCCTCCCCCTCCCCCTCCCCCTCTCCCTCCCCCTCTCCCTCTCCCTCTCCCCACGGTCTCCCTCTCATGCGGAGCCGAAGCTGGACTGTACTGCTGCCATCTCGGCTCACTGCAACCTCCCTGCCTGATTCTCCTGCCTCAGTCTGCCGAATGCCTGCGATTGCAGGCACGCGCCGCCACGCCTGACTGGTTTTGGTGGAGACGGGGTTTCGCTGTGTTGGCCGGGCCGGTCTCCAGCCCCTAACCGCGAGTGATCCGCCAACCTCGGCCTCCCGAGGTGCCGGGATTGCAGACGGAGTCTCGTTCACTCAGTGCTCAATGGTGCCCAGGCTGGAGTGCAGTGGCGTGATCTCGGCTCACTACAACTTACACCTCCCAGCCGCCTGCCTTGGCCTCCCAAAGTGCCGAGATTGCAGCCTCTGCCCGGCCGCCACCCCGTCTGGGAAGTGAGGAGTGTCTCTGCCTGGCCGCCCATCGTCTGGGATGTGAGGAGCCCCTCTGCCTGGCTGCCCAGTCTGGAAAGTGAGGAGCGTCTCTGCCCGGCCGCCATCCCATCTAGGAAGTGAGGCGCGCCTCTTCCCAGCCGCCATCACATCTAGGAAGTGAAGAGCGTCTCTGCCCGGCCGCCCATCGTCTGAGATGTGGGGAGCGCCTCTGCCCCGCCGCCCCATCTGGGATGTGAGGAGCGCCTCTGCCTGGCCGAGACCCCGTCTGGGAGGTGAGGAGCGTCTCTGCCCGGCCGCCCCGTCTGAGAAGTGAGGAGACCCTCTGCCTGGCAACCACCCCGTCTGAGAAGTGAGGAGCCCCTCCGCCCGGCAGCTGCCCCGTCTGAGAAGTGAGGAGCCTCTCCGCCCGGCAGCCACCCCATCTGGGAAGTGAGGAGCGTCTCCGCCCGGCAGCCACCCCGTCCGGGAGGGAGGTGGGGGGGGGTCAGCCCCCGGCCCGGCCAGCCGCCCCATCCGGGAGGGAGGTGGGGGGTCAGCCCCCCCGCCCGGCCAGCCGTGCCGTCCGGGAGGGAGGTGGGGGGGTCAGCCCCCCGCCCGGCCAGCCGCCCCGTCCAGGAGGTGAGGGGCGCCTCTGCCCGGCCGCCCCTACTAGGAAGTGAGGAGCCCCTCAGCCCGGCCAGCCACCCTATCCGGGAGGGAGATGGGGGGGTCAGCCCCCCCACCCGGCCAGCCGCCCCGTCCGGGAGGGAGGTGGGGGGGTCAGCCCCCCGCCTGGCCAGCCGCCCCGTCCGGGAGGGAGGTGGGGGGGTCAGCCCTCCGCCCGGCCAGCCGCCCCGTCTGGGAGGTGAGGGGCGCCTCTGCCCGGCCGCCCCTACTGGGAAGTGAGGAGCCCCTCTGCCCGGCCAGCCGCCCCGTCCGGGAGGGAGGTGGGGGGGTCGGCCCCCCGCCCGGCCAGCCGCCCCATCCGGGAGGGAGGTGGGGGGGTCAGCCCCCCGCCCGGCCAGCCGCCCCGTCCGGGAGGGAGGTGGGGGGAGGTCAGCCCCCCTGCCCGGCCAGCCGCCCCGTCCGGGAGGTGAGGGGCGCCTCTGCCCGGCCGCCCCTACTGGGAAGTGAGGAGCCCCTCTGCCCGGCCAGCCGCCCCGTCCTGGAGGGAGGTGGGGGGGGTCAGCCCCCCTGCCCGGCCAGCCGCCCCGTCCGGGAGGTGAGGGGCGCCTCTGCCCGGCCGCCCCTACTGGGAAGTGAGGAGCCCCTCTGCCCGGCCACCACCCCGTCTGGGAGGTGTGCCCAACAGCTCATTGAGAACGGGCCAGGATGACAATGGCGGCTTTGTGGAATAGAAAGGCGGGAAAGGTGGGGAAAAGATTGAGAAATCGGATGGTTGCCGTGTCTGTGTAGAAAGAAGTAGACATGGGAGACTTTTCATTTTGTTCTGCACTAAGAAAAATTCCTCTGCCTTGGGATCCTGTTGATCTGTGACCTTACCCCCAACCCTGTGCTCTCTGAAACATGTGCTGTGTCCACTCAGGGTTAAATGGATTAAGGGCGGTGCAAGATGTGCTTTGTTAAACAGATGCTTGAAGGCAGCATGCTCGTTAAGAGTCATCACCAATCCCTAATCTCAAGTAATCAGGGACACAAACACTGCGGAAGGCCGCAGGGTCCTCTGCCTAGGAAAACCAGAGACCTTTGTTCACTTGTTTATCTGCTGACCTTCCCTCCACTATTGTCCCATGACCCTGCCAAATCCCCCTCTGTGAGAAACACCCAAGAATTATCAATAAAAAAATAAATTAAAAAAAAAAAAAAAAACATTGTCTTTGATGAATTAGAAATTCAGTACCAGTTGACTCAGAATTTTATATGTGACTTCATACATATCTAGTAAAACAGAAATTGATCTTACCAAATGAGAATCTGCTGAAGAAATTGTCCCCTTGGGGACTCAGGAGGGAAGATGGGGAGGTGGATGAGGGATGAAAGACTACATATTGGGTACAATGTACACTGCTTGAGTGATGGGTACACTAAAATCTCAGAAATCACCACCAAAGAACTTACCCATGTAACCGAAAACCACCTGTACCCCAAACACTATTGAAATAAAAATAAAAATAAATTGTTTCCTTAGGTCACAGTAGAGGGAAAAATGCCACACCTTATCTCCTAGTTCAATCTTTTGAAGTACATATAAATAAGTTTTATGGTACAATGTAGCTGTACTACCAGCTCTGAGACAAGCCATTTCCCAGGCACCTGAAACTGAAATTCTGAGTCTGAGTAATTCATGGGATTGAAGCATTTACTGTGAAAAAGAGATTTATTTTATTCCCATTTTACATAACTCTACATGCCTCCCAAGAAGTTGTCTAGTTCCAGTAACTGCATGTTGTAAAGTTCCTATTTAAAACATAAAGTCAGTAGTGTTTTATTTCCAATATTGGAAAACCATTTTTCACTGTCTCCACTAAATAATTATTGAAAAAGTACTTTAAACACATTAGTCTGATGGGTGCTTCATTATTATCTTATCTAGGGCTTTCACCTTTCTCACTCCAGACCTAATTATACCAAGTCGATTCAATAAAAGCAGCTCTACTGGAATATTGATTGATGACTTAATGTTGTTGCTTCTCTCAGAACACTCTACACCAGCTGAAAGATGAGCGATTCCTATTGTGTGGTTAAATGCCCCCATATCTATTTAGCTACCAGTCCTGGAATCCAGGTAGAATGTAACCTGACCATGATCAAATATTACCAACCAAATGGGAACCTGCTATAGAAAATTATTAGCAGCTTGAATGGAGCCCAAACAGGAATAGAGACAAAACAGATAAAAGAGTAATGCAAAGAGAGCCTGGAATACTGTTTCTAGTGACTCTACATTTGGCTGTGTAGTTGGGGTCAGCATGGAATGCCTCAAGTCTACTAGCAGAAATCAGTCAACATTCATCAGCCCTTTATTCTTTACAGACTTCACAAATGCCATATAAGGAAGAGTGCTTATCATCCTGGAAGGTGTTCTGACTTCTTTGAAGAAAGATCAGATTGTTACATTTCAAAATTCACGGTGATACAATAAAACTATGGCCCACAGAGAACCTAGAAGTTCAGAAATCGAGTTTCATGTCCTCACTAATAACATTTTGATGACAGAAAAGTATTTCTGAAATAGAAGTAACTTCCCAAAATTTTCAAGAAAATGTAGGCAACTTGTTTCTAGTTTGTACACAAAAGAGTATAAATAAATATGTATATATTTCAAAGTATCAGACCAAAATACCTGATCTTCATCCCTGGAAGAATTTGAGGGCTCCTAAAATCTTTCAAAAAGTACTACCACTCTCTGGAGAATTGCTACCTGCAATAACATGCCCTATGTTTTCACGTACCAAATGCTGAGAAGAAAAACAAAAACATATGTGGCTGGGATTTCTTTTTTTAAGAAAAGAAAACCATATTTAAGGTTTCCTGTCCAGATGCATCAGTGAGACGCATCTTGCTTGTCTGCCTCTATCACATCCGGCCATGGTGCACAATTTTATGTCAACTGACAGATTCCTACCACGAGAGGAAGAAAGAAAAGCTCCCGAATTGGGAGTTAATTTATGCCACAAAATATATAAAGGTAGATTTAGGATGGTGACATTTTCCCCCATTTGAGTCTTATAATTTAATTTAATTTAAAATCCATCACAGTTCTTGTTTGGATAACAGGAAGCAATAAATGTGGCACTTTGGGCCCAAACTTGAGTGCTATTTTTGTCCCTGTCTCAGAGCCATTTAAGCAAATTTAAAAAGTCTGTTCTATTCCCTCTCTAAATTCTCTGAATAGACTGGTAACTAAGATTGTCCCTACAGGGTGCTTATGTTTCTAGGCTGTGAAAGTTAATGGTGGGAAATGACACAGCTCAGTATTTTAATCCTGGGCTTTGCAGTCAGACAGACCTGAGTTGGCCTCTGCTTACTGCTGTGTGACCCTGCACGAGATAGTGAATCTCACTAAATGTTGGATCTTCAACTGTAAAATAGGTTAATAATAGTACTGATCTCCAAGGTGGTGGTAAAAGTTGTATGAGACAAAGCACATAAAATGTTTAAATGGCACTAAGAACACTAAGTATTCACTATATGTTAGTTTAAAAATATGAAGTTACCAATAGAAGACTTTTCTCCCAGTAAAGAAGGACTAGATAATTTGTACCACCCCCCTAGTGATACTAACTAGGATAATTGGACAAAATATATTTTAAAAATTTCTTGAATACATTAGAAAGCTAATAACATGGTGAAAAACTATGGGAGTAATACCTGGAAGAAGAAGCAACTCCAGAGAGCTGAGACTTGCTTTGAGGGCCTTTTTTCTCCTAGCAGTTTCTTCCAATTCTGGAAGAAGTAGCTGAGAAACTGAGTAGAGCTTTTGTCAGCCTTATGGGGCAAAGGGGGACAAAAGCTGGAGTTCAAGGGCTTCCAAAGAGGGAGGTTTTGGATTAGAAACTAGGAGTAAGAGTCAACTTGAACTAGCCCTTGTAGTGATGAAAGCCCAGTTTCAAATCATCTCAATTACGAGTCTGTATTAGGTGAACTGGCATTGCTAAGGACCTTAGCTGCCTGCGACAAGGTACATACTCTTTGGGGGAATAAAGCATCACACTGGGCTTCACATTATGCCTATAGATTTTCATGTACAATCTCTGGTGCTTAATTAAAAATAACTAGACCTTCCTTCTTTCTTGGATAATTTAGTTCATAATCTATTACATGGGGCCTAGCAAGGTAGCTGCCTTTGAGGATAGCAGGGCATTGGTAGAGACTGAACAGGATGAGGAAGCAATCTGTGAAGCAAGGGAGATTATGAAGATGATAGGAGATTGTTACATACAAAAAGAATTTATCCAGTAAGTAAACATTGAGAATAATAGGAGTCAGGTTTCTCCTATCATAGAAGAGAGCTACAAATATAGAAAGAAAGAAAACTGGAATAAACCCTGTGGTACTGGGTTAGAATTCAGGGTTTCAGTAAGAACCTATGTTTTGCAGCGTATAGAGATTGATATAAACATAGATGTAAATTTGAATACACATACAGACATACACACACACACACACACACACACACACACACACACACACACACATATCCCCTAGCTCTATCCAATGGGAAGGCCTAAGAACAAAACACTCTAAGAGTATTGACACACCTAGCACTCAGGCCTTGTTTTCTAAATTCCATTCTCCACCAAAAGGTAGCAGAGATCCTTGGAAAAATGATTAATTCCATGTTTATTCAGAGAAAGTACAAGCGAGCCAGGAATGTCCTGTTGGTCATAAGGTAAGGAAGTGCTCAAATATTGATGGAACATGTTTAAAAAACAAGAAATGTATTAGTTTACTATTGCTACGTAACAAATTACCACAAATTTAGATGCTTAAAACAATTTATGTTTATTATCTTACGGTTTCTGTGGGACGGGAGACCAGGGTTAACTGATCTGGGTCTTCTGTTCGGGGTCTTACAAGGCTGCAATCAAGGTTATCATCTAGGCTGTGTTCTCATCTGGAAGCTTGACTAGGGAAAGAACCACTTCCAAGCTCCCACAGGTTGTTGGAAGAATTAATTTCTTTGCAGTTGCTGGACTGAGCCTTTAGTTTCATGCTGGTGGCCACTTTTAGTCCCTAGAGGCTACCCATGGTTCCTTTCTATGCAGAGCATTTACTTCTTGGTAGGCTACTTCTTTAAGGCCAGGAGCAGCACAGGAAGAGTCTGCTTGAAGCCAGCACACAAACTTGTCACCAAAACCTGACAGTGACGTTGCAAGAAAAAAAGTACAGTCCAATCTCACTCTTGACATTAAGACAAAAATCCTAAACAGAATACTGGCAAACAGAATCCAATAGTCTATAAAAAGGATCATACATTTTGACCAAATTTGATTTATAGAATTGCAAGATTGATTTAACATTCAAAATCTAAGTAATTTACCACATTAATAGAACAAAAGGCAAAAAAATGCATATGATTATCTTTATAATTCATATTTAAAATTTTGATAAAATTTAATATTCATTCATGATAAATACTGTTAGAAGCTAGAAATAGAAACTTTCTTAATTTGATAAAAGGTTGTTTACCAAAAAACCTATTGCAAACATTACACTTAATGGTGAAATGGTGGTGGTGTTTCCTCTAACACTGAGAATTTAAATATAGTCTCAACTACTGCTATTAAATATTATATATGAAACATTATATAAATGAAACCTTATAAATTTAGACATTCACTATCAAATGAAAAATTTTGAAATAATTCTCTATCTCTTCCAGTCATCTTTCTCCCTTCTTCAACGTGAATTCATGGGATGCCACCAACATCCTCATGCTATAATGTCCCATGAAGTTTTTAGGTTTTTCCCCAAACCTGTTATCTCTGTTGTAATTAGTCAGATCTCCCAGGTGACACCAATGGTTCAGTTCAACAACCATATATATTGACTATCTACTGTATTCTAAGAATCTTGCTTCAGCCACACTGAGAAAGGTTGTGTCCTATTCAACAGCACAGATATTAGGCTTTCTTCCATAGGAATTTCCTGGTGACTACATTGCTAAAGCTTATTTTGGGATTTTGCCTCACTTTATGGTGAACTCTAGAGTGACTGTTTTCACTTAAGAATTCAAACAAATTGGAACAGTGTTGTATTCTATATGTATGCATTTTGACTTTCATCTCTCACAAAGGGGTTGGAGGAGTAGGGTCAATGGGAAACATGAGAAACAAAAGGGAAATAGCGTGACTTTTGTACAGTTTATTCATGAAAGCATAATTGAAACCAAAATAATGAATGCATCAGCTTATACAAATGAGGCATCTGTCATTATAGCATAGCATATGTATAATAAGGCATAAAGAAGTAGCTGCATAATTTAATGGGATTAGAGCTAATTGAACTGGATGCCTCTTCACATAAATAACCTCCTTGTATGGCATAAAAATACTTCTGGAAGTTTCTAGATGCTGTAAGTAATGAATGTGAAAAGGAAACAGGCAAACATATGTTTGATTTCTTCAGGAAAATATCTTAGCATAATTAAAATTATATAACTTTGCAAGCACTGAATAATGTATGCCAGTGACTAGACCATTTGTATAACTTGATATAGACTATGAATTTCTGTAAGAAGTTATGAAACAAGTTTGTAAATATCCATATATAGCAAGTACAAGTGGTCAGATTAAAATTTTTGATGTAAAGCTACAGGAGGCTAATGGTCCCCAACAACATACATTAAATAGTAAAATGCCACCACAGACTGCTACAAGCCTGATGGCAGAAATGGTTTTTCCATTTCATTTCCTGATCTAACAATCCTGAGTTATATAACATGTTTAAAATGAATGAATTTGTCTCCTTGATGAATTTCCCAGTCTTCAGTTTTAAAGAGGAAATGGAAAAGACTGTGGTTGCTGCATTAAAAAAAAGTTTGTATGTGTAAGCTTCTCACATGCCTCATCTTTATTCAATCCAAAATAAACTTTGACCCTCTGATACTGTAGGTGGCTCCTTGGGGAAGGACTTCTGCACCAAACCAGAACATAATTGCAACATGTAAATGAATGCTCTTAGGCCCTTTCAAAACCATAGTATCGCCACCCCTTCTGCACAGTGCAGGTCAAATATCCCTATCTGAAAATACAAAATTCTTCCAATTCGTTTGCATCTCTTAATTAGGAAAAACTATACAAAATAATATATCCAGACCCTATTCGTAAGTAATCAGTAGTTGCTTTTTTAAAGGCTTCCAGCTTTTTCATATTTGAATTCTATAATCCAAAAATAATTTCAGAGGAATATTAATTTGGATTTTTTTCCCGTTTAGCTTTGTCTCACTTTATCTTCCTTTAGCATATGTGTATGAGGCTCATTAAGCTATAAATTTCATGGATGTCTATGAGTTATGTTCAATGTCAATTACCAGTACCATTGTTTAGAGTACTGTATTTCACTCCCAGAACATATCCTGGGAGATCTTGAACCACACCAAGGTCAAACTCCTAAACTCTCTTTAAATCACAGTTGCCAGCTTAGTAGCCTCTACCTCAGCATCCACTTCTCTAGGAAGGTACCCATTTTCTTTTGCAAGAAAATATCTAAACATGTCATTGTGCTAAGACACCATGAGACTACAGGGCCTTTAAAAGGAAATTAGTCTGATTAAATAAATCTATTGCTAATTTTCTTTTTCTTTCCTCATCTCCACCTTCCTCTTCTTTCCTGAATTCCTGAAAAGCAATGCCATCTAGGAAAATGCCCTTTCAAAGTGAAAGGACCCAAGACTTGACTTCTATGGTTGGTGCAAAAATAATTTTGGTTTCTGCCATTAAAAGTAATGACAAAGTAACTTTTAATGGCAAAAACCTCAATTACTTTTGCACCAACCTAACAGTTTTCTCAAGAAGTCTCAGGACATCCCAAACTAGCCAGAGTTGCTTAATATTTGATTTTGTTTGTTTTAGTATAATTACAATTATAATTATGATAGCAATAATTATAGCTAATATTTGTTGGGCATTTACTATATATGAAATAGATACTAATATTATTCCCATTTGACAGGTGAAGAAATGGAAGTTTAGTAAATTCAGCAACTTGCCCAAAGTAGCTTAACTACCAAGTTATATCATCTTACATTTTTTCTTCTTTTTTTTTTGCCTTGTTCTCACCTCGTTCTAAAACAAGGATTTTAGGTAGAGACATTATTTTCAGTATATCAGTAGCAAGTTGATTAAACTAGTGTTTTCTCCTATCTGTCCATCATAAAGATATATGAGAATGTTATGAATGGTTTCAGATGACTACTATCAGATTACTGGGTTTGAGTAAATTGTGGCAAGAAAAACAGGAGAAATTGTCAAGACTTCAGCTCTGGTTCCAGCTCTACAACTGCTTTTCTTGTTGCCTGACCATGGCTGCCTGAGCCGTGTGATCTCAGTCTCAGTTTTGTTATCAGTAGAGTGGATGATAGCAGCTGTCCTGACCATACTACAGATGTTGCTAATTATAGGAATATTATAGGAATATTTTACAAACTCTTAAGTGCAACCCAGTGTCTGTCAGATAGGAATGATTACATGTAGGGTCCTAGATACTGGAAAATCCCAGGAGGTCTTGCTTCTACCTTGAAAGGGCTAACAGTTCATTGCAGAGGGTGGAACATGAGGCATATTCTAAGTTACATATGCTCAGGATTCAGTTTATCAAACAGTGTGGGCACAGCCTGGGGACTGGGATTTCCTGTGGTTGAGCTGGCACGCACTGAACCTGATGTCTTGAGGGGCAGTGAGCCCCTGGGGACAGGGATGATGCCTTGTTCATCTTGTGCCCACAGCAACTGGTATGGTACGTCAAACACACTAGAAAAATGAAATCTGATCATGGATCCAGAGGGGAAAATTTTACTTTCTTCCCAAACTTACAAATGTGGAACCTGCTCATTCACTCTCACAGAAATGTTAAACTTGGCGGATTCGCAGAATTTTAAAGATTTGAGATTCTATTCCTGACTACTCTGTTGCCTTTCTCTCTAATTTGGGCCAGCATCATGCCAGAACAAGTCTGATATTTTAGCCTAAGCAAATATCAAAAATAGAAAAAGCAACTGTGGCAACACAGTTCCTAATGAATGTAACAGCAAGGCCGAAAAGGGAGCAGAGTAGTGTTAAGCTGTGGAAGAAAAAGAAAAAGTGATTGTGAGAAATCCTGGGAAACTGTCAAACCCACAGCTTCAATGAGGGCCAGAATTCTCCTTGTGAAAATAATGACAAGTGACACCCGAGCTGCCTTTTTACAGCTTTTTATACAAAAGGCATTTGTACCTCCTGAGCATAAGGGCTGAAAACATAGTCCAGGCAGTGCAAGAGAGGTAGATTAGAAAGTCATGGAAGGCCAATGCGGAGGCAGCTCCAGAGGCAAGAGGGCTCTGTGATACAGTTTAATATAGACTAATTCAGGGTGAGACTGGCTTGGTTTCCTAAAAGAGTTTGTCTCCACTTGACAAAGGCAAATGGGGTTTGAAAACTTCACCCAACCCCATAAGTTCCCTCTGAATGGACCAGGAAGTGTTTCAGAAAAGGTGATCCTGGAACAGTCCAGAACCAAATCAGCCTCTATCCAGCTCATGTTTTCCTTCCAATGGAGCTTGGGTTACTCAGTGGGGTGGAGTGAGGTAAAGGTAGGGCAGGGAGGAGAGGTGGAAAGACTGTCAATGTCTGATAAAGCATTTACCACATGTTTGATATTTGGGTAAACTCTAGAAAATTGTATCCAGGATGAAGAGTTTAGCAGACTCGAAATGTCATGGTGCTCTCTCTGTCAAGCACATGCTCCATGCTCAACATCTCTGAGAAACAGGAAAATTAAAACTGAAAGCAGAGAAACAGAAAATAAACACTGATTCTCTCCTTGGAATCAGCATTTTAAGCCTAGTGATAGCTCTCTATTTCATGCAACATTCGTGCATACTACCTGTTTGAATGTGATCTATATTCATATTTAGAACTATCCCTAAGCTTAAAATCATTTCAACAAGTTCATTTAGTCAATACACAAATATCAACAAGATGATGATTTATACTTTCTTACTCACCAAGGGCCTAAAATACTTTCTCTGACTTGCTCAATACAGAGTTGCCACAAAACTTCAATTTGCAAAAAAAAAAAAAAAATTAATTATTTGTGAAGGGCAACAAAGCAAAATACAATAAAATGAAGTATGCTTTAGAAGTTTTAACTTCTAAAGCTGTCTTAGAACAGCTGATATAATTTGAGTGGACATATGCAAATTCAGCACTACTGTTATGTAAATATCCTCCTCTGGTGTTCCTAACAATTTCATACACAGCTGCTTGTTACTCTTGAGGAAATCCTGGTTAATAACAGTGCTATGAACTGGATGTTTGCTTCTAATCTCCTCAAACTTGAAACATTTACCAGTGCTGAGGGACTTCTGGGCATAGATACTCTTTTCTAAGACCTTAGTGGTCTTTTTTTTCAGACAATCGGGTGAAAAAAAAAGTCTGGCAGTTTCTTTCTCTCCCACCTCTCTAATAACCTCAGAACCATAGTCAACTGGCTGGTATGTGAAGTGTGAATGCTTCTATCAAGGGGAGACATGACCTTGGCAAACAAATTGGAAGGGTAGATTTAAAAAAGAAAAAAGGCAGATACCTTCTGATTTCCACTGTAAGGCTAGCTCAGAAAATAGCAGAGTTGCATCCTTCAGCTTGAGTCCTTGGAAGCAGTAGCAAACATTAAGCCCAAGTGAATGGTCAATAACTCTCCATAAATATCAGTAGAGGCTTTGTTTTAGTCAAAAGCTTTGCACTATCACCACTGAATGGTATATGGCTCTTTTCCACATGATTAAACAAAGAGAGATCAATTGTGGGGAAAAGAGAAGCAGAGAACCCTGCAGAGAGAATGAGATATGTTTCATGCAGCTGTTTGTGTCCACTCCAGTAGAATACCATTAATAGAGAATGAGGGTCTGTCACTGAGGAAATAGTTTTCTTCTTCTTATCTCTAGTGTGGTTGCTGTGATCACTCACATAAGTGCTGTTATGGGTTGAGCTATTTTCCCCACAAGAAAGTTAAGTTGAAGTCCTAACCACTAATACCTCTGAATGTGAGTCTACTGGGAAAATAGGGTCATGGCAGATGTAATTGGTCAAGATGAGGTCATACTGGAGTAGAGTATGCCCTTAGGTTAACGGGACTAGTCCTTCTAAGAAGACATACCCACAGGGAGAATGCCACTTGTAAAGGCAGAGATTGGAATTACATGGCTGCAAACCAAGGAATGCAAAAGATGACAGCAAACTACTAGAAGCAAGGAAGAGGCAAAGAAGGATTCCCCTGTGGGTTTCAGAGGGAGCATGGACCTGCCAACAACTTGATTTTGGAATCTTAGCCTTCGGAAAGGTGAGACTTTACATTTCTGTTGTTTTAAACCACGCAGTTTGTGGTACTTTGTTACAGTACCTCTAGAAAACGAACACAACTGTTTTTAGGTTCAGAGGCAGTGCATTCAGCCTATCAGTATTGTGGTTTCTCGAGGCGAGAGGTCTCATTTTAAAGGCATATGCCCAATATGTATTGTGCTAGGATAGAAGCCCAGAAGTGTCAGCTTCCTAATGGACAAGGGTTATACTGAGCTGGGTCATCCCTGGGATTCAGCTTCCAAGGTCCTCAGGAAAACACAGTTCCCTTATGAGTTAGCCCCACTATTATTTTTACCAAATCCCTACATATCACAGTTGAAATAATAAAACTATCTAGCATACCTACCAGATGTTTTTATTTCAATTTGTAACATCTAACCTTTGAGCTATAAGTAACCAGCTCTACAGAAATCTAGGCAGCCCCACCCCAGCTTTTCAGTTTGTATTGCATGTGTGTGTTTATGATCATATGAGACTTTACTAAAAATTTCAAGGAGAAGGAATTTATACTATAGAAATATTATCTTAACAGGAATAATAGGGACACCAAGACATTTCACTGGCCTTCCCTGTGTTAGTCACTCTGAGGTACTAAAGCAACCTGGAAAACCCTCTGTTTTCCAAGACCCCAAGAAGAGACGTAAGGTATTTGGGGCCAATGCAGGCCTCAGATAAGTGGAGAAAAATATGCTATTCCTCTTTTTCTTAGGCCAATGTCAATTCAAGTTGCAGGACCTTATATTAGCAGAGCATAATGCTGTCCTTGTTTTCCTTAATCTCCCTTTTTTTTTTTTCTTTTTGAGACAGAGTCTCGCTCTGTCACCCAGGCTGGAGTGCAGTGGTGCGATGTCGGCTCACTGCAACCTCTGCCCCTGTGAACACCCCTGCCCCAGATTCATGCAACTCTCTTATCTCAGCCTCCATAGTAGATGGGATTACAGGTGTGCACCACCATGCCTGGCTAATTTTTGTATTTTTAAGTAGAGATGGGGTTTTACCCTGTTGGCCAGGCTGGTCTCAAACTCTTGACCTCAAATGATCCACCCACCTCAGCCTCCCAGAGTATTGGGATTACAGGTGTAAGCCACTGCACCCGGCCTCCTTAATGTCTTTAAACTCTGAGATCCTGACAGCAAGTTTTGTTTTATTTTTACCATTTCATCCAGCTTTGATTTAAGTTCACACTTCAGCAAATTCAAATGCTGGGCCAGCTGGTTCCTCTAATCTGCAATGTTTCTAAGTCTAAAACTGCCAACAATATTCTTTGGAGTTTTCTGGCTCCTTAGCTAAAATCATTTTCTTGCAAGGTCTCTCTGAGGTTGTTGACCCCAGGAGGGAAGTATTTAACACTGACACACACATTTTATGGCATCACCAAAAACTATTCTTCATACTCCATTGACCTCATTTTCCACTTAAAGCCAGTGCAATTAGATAAAAACCTTGAAGCTTAGACTCATATAGAGAGATGTGGCACTAATTTATTTTTTAATTTGGAAAGCTTCTTTTTGTTAATAATAGACCATACTCATCTTTTCATTTCTCCAAGCTGTTATTGCATTCTTTATGCTCCTCATTTGTCCTTAAAGTGGGATATTTCTTTGTGATGGTTTTTATATTAATTTTTATACTCTATCTAATTCAACTAACTATGTGCCAGATACTGTTCCAGATGATATAGATATAGCAGTGAATAAGGCAGCGAAGTCCCTGGGGTTTGTAGGACTTATAGGTCAAGGAAAATGTTGCAAATTGTTAAATCTAAATGCAGTGGTAAACCACTTGAAGCAGTTCTCAATCTTGGCTACCCTTTAGGATCACCTGGGAGATTTTTACAAATCTCAACGTAAAGACTTCTGGTACCAGACATGATGGAATAGCTTGAATTTGAGCAATCCTGTCACTGAAAATAACTTCAAAACTAAATGAAGCATACAAAACAACAGTTTCAAGGCATTAGAGAGTAACCAACTCTGATAGGACTTGAGGGGCTATGATTCCTGAGAGAAGTGAAACACAGCTTCATATTCACCCTGGCTTTTATTTATTTATTTATTATTTATTTATTTATTTATTTATTTATTTATTTATTTTCTTGAAAGGCAAAATCCCAGGGAGGTGAGAATTGCAGGAAAGCAAACCCGAAAGTCTTGTGCAGTTTCCCCTCAAAGTACTGGATGATTGCTAAGCTGTGCATGTACAGGGAAAGGCTCCAAGAAACTCAGAAAAAAAGCAGGAGATGAAGGGTAAATTGCTAAGCAGAGGCTTCAGCTGCCACATTGCGCTGGGGAGATAAAGGCTGGAGTTTAATCCCCACTAAGGTGCTGCCTTAGTGGAGAATCTCAGCATAAGATGGTTGAAACAGGAGGATTCATATGCTTTGGATTTTTTTTTTTAAAAAAGATTGCTGGCTCCTGTAGGAAGAATACATTGAAGAAGATAATGCAGAAGCAGTGAGATCAGGTAGGGTGATTTAGCACTCTATCTATGTGGTCCAGACAATAGATGATGGAGACTTGGTTGTGGTGAAGGATATGCTACAGGGCATATCCCATAGTGAAAAAATAAAATCTAAGGTAAGAAAAGGCCAGACACTACAGGACTGGCTGATAGATCAATGGAAAGTGGGGCTGAAAGAAGAAAGAAGATTTCTTTTTTAACCAAGGGATTCTCATCTAGGAGAAATTTTGCCTCCCAAGAGACACATGGCAAAATCTGGAGACTTGTTGGTAAACATCCTAAAATCCATTGGACAGCCCTGATGACAAATAATTATGTGGTCCAATGTGTCAATTGTACTGTTGTTGTGAAATCCTGGTTTAACCTCTTGAAAAGGTATGTCTTATCTCCACAAACTAGTTCTTCTCCTATGAATATCTGTGTTTTTAATTAAACTGTAAAATTCTAGGAAGTGGAGATCATATCTTTTGCTTCTTTATCTTCACCTGCACAAGGCAGTGCAGATGAAGATTTAAAAATTTTTTTTAAATTAATAAACTTTACTTTTTAGAGAAGTTTTAGGTTTATAGAAAATTGAGTGGAAAGTGCAGAGTTTCCATAAACTCCCTCTTCTCTCCCCATAGAGTTCTTTCCTATTATAAGTACCTTACATTAGTTATGCTTTTATTACAATTGATGACTAATATTAATACATTATTGTTAACTAAAGTCCATAGTTTACTTACGTTTTATATAAATAGTACCTGCTGATAAGTAATCAATTACTAATTTAATCATTCATCAAGGAACATGACAATAACGAGAGAGGAAGAAGGACTGCCAATGATTGAGCATCTATTATGTTCTGGCACTATACAATCAATTCATGTGTAAAGATATTTATATGTATATGTAATATTATTTTATATGTAACAATATCAATACCTGTGAGTTGCGTATTAAAATCTCAATCTTAAAGATGAAAAAATTTAGGCTCAGAAATTTCAAGTTATTTGCACAAAGTCACAAAACTTCTTAAATGGAGCAGTTTAAACACAATGTCAGGGCCCACATTCACATAGTTACACCAAATACTCCTCTTTTCCCTTTTCTTCTCACATGAGAAATCGTATGGCTTAGTTTTTCCTGTTTTAAAATGTCTTCACCTGCTGCTGGTGCACAGTCCTAAGGAGTGAGCAGTCCCACAAGTCTTTTCCAGCCTTGTCTCTCAGCTCCACCATTGGAGGTCCATGTGGTTTTGGGCTGTGCCAAGTGGCTGCCCCACCCCTGATACTTTTAAGCCAGGCTAACACACCCACACAAACCCATAAAATCAAGCTGCAAATGTTAACAGATGTTCAAGCTTCTCAGCTCCCACTCTCACCTCCCTTTTGATCCTTGCCTAACTGTGCTTGCTCTCACCATTCTAGTTCTAAACTCTTGGCTCTCTCTGTACCTGCCCCACACCCCAGATTTGGACTCTTACTGCCATTTCCTCAGAGACTTTTTCCTCTAAGTTCCCCTGCATGTTTCTTGGCTTTGTTTGAATATTCCACCTTGGTATTTCTCCTTGTCTCAGATGTGTTGGGGAAAGACAACTTTATTTTCTCTGAGTCCTAGGTCAGGTCTGGGATCCCAACTCAGGGTGAGATCTGAGTATCAAAATGTTATACATGTTAAGACTGGATAGGGTTGACTTATCGGATGAAATGCGGGAGGGGGCTGGAAGGCCTGGTCTAGACCAGAAATTGTTCATTAACATTCTCTCTGCCTTCAGCCTTAGGAGTCTCAGGAGGATGAACTGTCATAAACTATAAGCTGGAATTTAGAAACAGCCTACACCAGAGCACCAGTGCTTGAACATACTGCCTGGATAGTTCCATATTCCCACCTACTCTTTCACTTGTTCGCTTACATATGTATTTATTTTCTCCCTCTAAGTTGTAAATTCCTAGGGGACCAAATATCATTTTCATTTCTAACCATAGTTTCTTTTCCTTAAAATTCCAACATCAGTACAAATCTTTTGAATGTCTATAAAGCACACTGTTCTCTTCTGCTTCTTTTAAATAATATAGAAAACACTAATTTTTTGCCTCTGTCTATGACAGCATTTCACTGTAAATGAATTCACCACCATTGTCAAAAATGCTACTGAAGACACTACAGGAACTTGAGCATGGAGTCCCAGAGATGGAATCTTGTTTGTCTTCCTGTTCCTAAGCTTTTCCCTTGTCCTTTTAGAAACATTGACAGAAATGCAATTTGTCTAACAAAAAATTTCTTCTCATCAACTATAGGAATTGCTTTGATGTCATCTCAACTGAGCAGCAGTCCTTTGGGTTTTTCTTTCTTCTCTCCCTCCTCTTCTGTCCCTGTCCCTATCCTTTGCTTAACTTTCCTTCCCTTTCCTTAGCGCTAACTGGTGTACTCTTAAGGAGCAGGGGACTAGGTTCAGGGGAATGGTAGGTAGAGAAATCACAATGCTCCCGTGAGATCTCTCTTCTTGAATCTTAAGTTTCCATTTATTCTAGACATTTGATTCTTCTCATGAATCGCTCTCGTCATTTTGTACTACTTCTGGCAGCTCACATACTTGGGGAAGAAAATACATATTTAAGACCAATGCACTGGCTATTCCCTTTGCCTGAAATGCTACTCCCCCAGATATCCATATGGCCCACTTCCTTCAAATCATGGCTCAAATGTCACCTTCTCAGTGAAGCCTACCCTTATCATCCTATTTAATTCTGCAACCTATACACCCACTCTAATCTGCCTTAGCCTTCTCTTAACCTATTTTTTTCATAGAACTTATCACCTTCTAACATAGTAATAATTTAATAATTTATTACATTCTATTTATTTATTTGCCTTTCCTTGTAGAACACATGCTCCATGAAGGAAAGAGTCTTTGCTTTGTTTGAACTTGTATCCCAAGTACTTATATCAGTGCCTGGCATGTAGTGAGCATTTAGTAAATATTAGTTGAATGAAATGATACTAGAGAAATAGAACATTATCATTCATTTGAATTCCTCTATATGTCTCTCTGTGATCATACTCCTACCTACCCTCCTTTTAGGTAAATACACTGAATATCTTGTTAATTATTTCTCTGCTTTTCTTTATAGTTGAACCAAACTTTATATATCCTACAAAATATAAAATATATATTTAGTATATCCAGATTTTTAACTTTATATTAATTGAATAATGCTTATATATATCTTTCTAAAACTTTCTTATTTCCCCTCAACACTATAACATTCATCCATATTGATGCAGATAGTTTTAATGCAGTAATTTTCACTGATGGATGGGACTCCAGTGTATAAGTACACCATAACTCATCTATCTCTGTTTTTTTTTAAGAGATGGAGGTCTCACTCTGTTGCCCACGTTGAAGTGCAGTGCTCAGCTATTTTTTAAAAATTTTGTTAGAGATGGTCTATTTGTTTGTTTTCACACTGCTATAAAGAAATATCTAAAACTGGGTAATTTATAAGAAAAGAGATTTAACTGGCTCACAGTTCTGCAGCCTGGACAGGAAGCATGGCTGAGGAGGCCTCAGGAAACTTTGAATCATGGTTGAAGGTGAAGGGGAAGCAGATGTGTCTTAGATGCTGGAGAAGGAGAAAGGGAGCAAAGGGGGAAGTGCTACACACTAGTAAACAGTCAAATCTAACAAGCACTCACTATCATAAGAACAGCAAGGGGGAAATCCACTCCCATGATCCAATCACTTCTCACTAGGCCCCTCCTCTAACATTGGGGATTATAATTCGACATGAGATTTGGGTGGAGACATAAATCCAAACCATATCAGATGAGGTCTCACCATGTTGCACAGGCTGGTCTCAAACTCCTGGTCTCATGCAATGTTCCTGCCTCAGCCTCCTGAGTAGCTGGGACTACAGGTGCATTCAACTCAATTCATCTCTCTTTTATAGCACACCTATATTTAGGTTGTTTCCATTTTTGTTATAAGCTATACTGTCAGGAGCATACTTATGTACATCTTCTTCTACATATGTATAAGATTTTCTCCAGGATTTATACCTAAGGGTGGAATTTCCGGGTTGTTAAGATGTGCATATTCAACTTTATTGTGTAATGCCAAGTTGTCTTCCATAGAGTTATATAAATTTACTAGCAGTATAAAAGAGTTCTACAGCTCCATATCCTGGCTAACACTTGGTTTTGTCAGGCATTTTATAATAAAGATGTGTAGTGGAAACTCATTGTGGTTTTAATTTGTGTTTCTCTGTTCACCAAGAGACTGAGAATCTTTTCATATGTTTATAAGCTGTTTCTTATTCCTTTTCTGTAAAATGTGTGTTCATTTTTTAATAATTGGGTTGCTTTGCTTTCTCTAAGTGGTAGGAGCTTCTCAAAAACCACAATTTTCTTGAAGCATTAAATTTAGGGCCAATTGTACTGCACAACTTCATGGCCCCTGAGGACATAGCTATCCTAAAGCTTAACATAATCATTAATGTAGAATGATGATCTTGACTTACCAAGAAAAATTTACATAATACAGAAAGTCCCCGACTTGTGACAGTTCAACTAACAATTTTTCAACTTTATTATGGTGACAGAGTGATACATATTCAGTAAAAATGGTACTTGAATATTCATACAACAACTTTTTTTCATTTTCAGTAAAGTGTTCTGTAAGTTACACGATATTCAACACTTTATTATGAAATAGGCTTTGAGTTAGATGATTTTGCCCAATGCATGCTAATGAAAGTATTCTGAGAATGTTTAAGGTCAGCTTGGCTAAGCTATGACATTCAGTAGCTTAGGTGTATTAAATGCATTTTTGACTTCCATATTTTCAACTTACAATGAGTTTATTAGGATGTAACTTCATCTTCAGTTGAGGAGCAATAATATTCAGCAGAATCTGTTAAAAGTGTGTTCCTGGTTTAAGTTAATCAAATAAATAATATCTTTGAGAAAGATTTTAATTAAAAATCAGTAAAATGAAAATAAGAGAATGTGGATAAATTTCCCTGTGGAACTTATAATTTCCTTAAAATGTCTAATAAAGGAGGTTGCAATTCTACAGAACAATTGCTCTCATAAGTATAATTAGGAAAATATATGCTAGATATACTAATTTTTAACCCTAGTCTTTTTCATTCAGTTAGAAATACTTTTTTCTTTCACAGCTCTGAATAAAAATGATTAAAAACTGGCATTAATAAATATTTTATAAAGTAAATATCAACATTTTCCTGAGGGTTATATTCATGCACATTCCAGCAAAATTGCATTTACTTCAATTCCAAGTGCAAATCTAAGAATTCCTCAATTTTAGAGTGAATGGTGCCTATTCATTGCTAATATGTTAGCAATGCTAATGTATTGCTAATACATTATATTATATTATTATATAGGCTAATATTATATATTAGCAATATATTATAGTACCAAGAAACTGAGAAATAAATTTCATGACACTCTATTATTGGACATACCGTTCTCACTTGGGAGACATTTAAGCTACTCATGAATGTCTTTCATTTTGTTTGGTTGAAAAGGGATTTCCCAGTGGTATATCTATGTTAGAAAACAGGATGGGCCTTATTCATCACCTACCATAAATCAGGAAAGCACCTATTTTGTAACAGGTTAAAGAAACTTATTCCAGAAAATTTACTGGTTAAAGAAATTTTAACAGGTTAAAGAAAACTTACTCCAGAAAATTCAATGTGTCAATATTTGTTGAGAAGTGCCTATCCTATTCTCCTAACTCCAGCCACTTTATTCACTTATGATGTCAAGCAGTAATTCTAATGACAAAGAAAACAATATTGAAAGTGACTTTTCAATTTGTGACTTTAGAGCATGTTAGAATTATTACTTAAAGAAAATTATTTTAAGTAGTTAAGACTGCAAAGATGCATTTCCAATTTGAAAGACTCCACCAAGAAACCAGCATAATAAATGAAAATACATCCGCATAAGAACATATAACCGTGAACTTTCCAAATGCTAAAAATTTAAGTTTACAGATATTAAAACAAAACAAAAAACAGTTCACCTAGAAAGTATTGAAAACCAGAATAACATCTGACTTTTTAATAGCAACACTGGAAGCTGGAAGACAATGGGGTAATGCTTTAAAATCTGTAGAAAAATATTTCTGGTCTTTAATTCTATACCACAGTAAACTATCAATTACGCATAAGAGTAGAATAAAGACATTTTCAGATATGAAAGATCTCAAAAACAAAAACCATTATCTTCTTTTTAGAAAACACTCCTGGAGGATGTGCTTTTCTAAAATGAGTAAAAGTAAAATGGAGATGTAAAATCCAGGAAAAAGAGGGTTCATTACAGAGTGAGAGGAAGAGTATCCCAGGAAGGTGGTGAAAAGAGATAAATTTCCATGAAATCAGTTACATGGTACGGCTACAGAGCAACTAGTCCAGTTTGGCATAAGAGAATGGAGAACTCGAAGTGCAATTTATTCTACAAACTGAGAGATTGCCACATGTGTTTATATGCAGCGAAACAATATTTATACTTTTTGTAAAGCTTTTTGAATAAATTAGTGACACTATGAAGAAAACTAAACAAACAGGAAAGCAATAAATTTATAACCTTCAGGGAAACAAAAAAGTTGTGCAAGGAAAGAAATACAATTATATATAATTATATTTATAACCTGAGTTAACTGTGAACAATAACATAAATTTTGAATATCTAATCAAGATTTACGACATACAATATGAGAAGGATGGAACAGAAGGAGGTGTGTGTGTGTGTGTGTGTGTGTGTGTGTGTATGTGTGTGTCTATGACAGCAGCGTTAAATTCTTCTTTCCTATACAGGTATGTCAATAAATAATAAGACTGACAAAACAATCAAGAATACCACCGTAAGAACATTATTTAGATATGTGGTGGTAATTGCCAAAGAAATCGTTAAAAGTGTTTTGAAAGTGATCGGCTAAAATTAGTGGTGGAAGATGGAGAAGAGGACTAACTTTTCCATTATAAGACTCAGCACTATTAGTATTTTAAACTTACGTGTTCAACTTAGATAAAAGTAAAAGTTATTCAGTAATATAATCAAATAAAATAAAAGAAATACTATATAATGACAAGGTAGTTCTTTTTAGCAAGGGAGTTGCTAGAGCCTGGAAAGACGTAAGTCCAGCCTTGGAGATGAATAACTATCAGCAGGCTATTAAGAGGCTTTACCCAAGATTAAATTACTCACTGGATACAGAAACACTACTAAAGCCCCCATGTTCTGACTTTGGCTCAGTAAGCTTTTCTTATCTCACATTAAAAAGTTTTTAGGACATGATTAAATATTCATCCATAAGACTTTATTACTTGTGGATGCTGCTATATAAACTTTAGTGAGAAACGAGAATACAGCCTCAGAATTAACATTTTAAAAATGCCCACTATATGATATCCACTTAATAAATCTTAACTAGTTTAATTTACACAACTATCTAATGAAGTAGTAGTCATCACTATTTTATAGATAAAGCTGAAGTTTTGAAAGTCAGGAATCTGAAACTGCTTCTCAATTGAACAAATTGAACAAAACTGCGTGACTGGACCAGAATATCTAGTGGCTGCTTATTTAAAGAATTATATCCTTTTAGCAGAAGAGAAAAATTATGTTCAAATAGTTGAATGAATGGATGAATGAAGAGATAATGACTTTGCGTTATTTCAACAGAAGTATTTTTAGTTTGTTAGCCAACTGTGGCAGCACTGAACTCTTAATCTGCACGTTGACACTTTCTGATTGGAAAATATAACTCAGTGTGCCTAGTGTTTTTGTTCTGAAACAAATTCTGCTTAACATGAGACAGCTTGTAGGACCAGAGGGAAGTGATGGACAGGAATACATTCTATGGATGAATACTTCTGTCAGACAGGATTAGAAACTAAAGGAAAAACCAAACAAACAAGTAGGTTTTTATTTCCAAAGTAGAGAAATAAATAACATTCTAGTTTGTAATTTCAGTCCTTTCAGAGAACTGGAATTCAGAATTTCAGCAGCTTTCTACGTGGATGCATTAAAAACATTGATGTGCCATCAGCTCTGCTGTTTGACTTGAGAACATGTTGTGAAAACTTACAAGGCAATCAGAACTCTAAAACTGTTCTATTTGTTTATAAAGTCCACAGTGGTTTTCTCCCTCTAGTGACCTCAACCCTGTGTCGTGGATCATTCAAGAAGGAAAAGCCTGAGATCCTTTGGTTAAAAATTGGAAAGTCAGCATTCTCACATAGCAAGAAAGGAGTGGGCCAGCTACCTCCCTCCTCTTATTTGCACAGTTCATTCAACAACAACAACAAAAGAAAAAAAACCCCACATTTTTCCCATATGTAACCTTAGACATGACTATAGATTCCCAAACTGTTTACAACAAATGTGGAACAGTCTGCAAACCAGTCCAAATGTACATCGCCTGGATCATGTCAAGTCATATTCTTTCCCCACATGGAGCAGAGGCCCTAACTTAGCCTGAAGTTTGGCTTGACAGGTAGAATGGACTTGTTGCTCCAGCTGTGTCTGATAAGCAGAGACAAGATAAAATATTCACTTCATTTGAGTCCTTCACTAACGAGCAAAGTGTAGAAAATTAAAGGCCAACATGTAGAAAATGAACTGGGCCCTATATCTGCAATCTTGATTTAGGCAACAAAGAGAAATACTTTTTACTCTTAGGAAACCTGTGAAGTAAACTTCTAATTCTTCTTGTTTATAACCCATGATGAGTTATAAACATATTAAACGACAAAGTATCTCAAAGTCCTTGAAGATTTCTTCTAGAAATTGGGAATCTGGATGGTTTTGTTTTGTTTTGTTTTTGGCTTTAGAGTTATATACAGATCTAGTCAGAAATGAGATTAATTTTCTGATACTGAATTATTATTTACCAAATGTTACTATTTTTCACTAGGCTTTACATTCTGTAAAGCATTTTTGTATCCATTATATATTAGTCTATGTTCTCCAGAGAAACAGAAACAATACAATATATATTTATACAGAAAGAGATTAGTTGAAGCTAAGAAGTCTGAGGACTCACCACTTACAAGATAGAGGCTCAGGAAAGCCTGTGATATAATTTACGTCTAAGCCTGAAGGCCAGAGGATTGGGAGGCTGATGCTCGAGGGCAGGAGAAGACCAATGTTTCAGCTTAAGCAGAAGGCAAAGTCATCCTTCCTCTACGCTTCTGATCTGCCTGGCCCTCAGTGGACTGGATGATGCCCAGCCACATTGAGGAGAGAGACATTCTTTACTCAGTCTTCTGATTCAAATGTTATGCTCTTCTGGGAACATTCTAATGGAAACACCCAGAAATAATGTTTCACCAGCTATCTGGGCATCCCTTAGCCCAATCAAACAGACACATAAAATTAACTATTACATGTTACTTCTATTAATTTTTACAAACCTGCAAAGTGTGTGACAGTATGACATAGGTAGGGGATTTGTTTGGACTCTGAGTATAATACCAGCTGAATAGAGCAACCTGATGCAAGATACTTAACTTGGCCAAAGGACCAGTTTCTCATCATAAAATGTGGATTAATAAAATTTGTCATATAAAAATGCTGTGAGGATTACATGGGGTAATCTTTGCTAAACTGTTTTGTGAGTATTAGATAATTATATAAAGCTCTTATCACAGTGCTTGTCACATGGCACATGCTCACTATATGACCATTCTTACTATTTTTAGACTGAGCAGGATAGATTACTACATTTAAAGGGTTTAAATGATTGCTTAAAGCACATAATCAGTTATCCTATGCACAGGGGATTCAAACCTAGGCATTCTGCCTTGTATCCCTGTTTACTTTATATGTACACATGGAGCTTTGCTCCATGCAAATGGTACTATGCTAGATACAGAAAAGGATAAAACACAGAAAAAAGTTAGAAATACAGTCCAGACTTCCTCTTTGAGGCAAGATGAAGTCACAGGAACCAGATTTATTCTCCTGCCTGAAACTACCAAAAGATAAACAGAATGAATAAAACAATAGTTTGCAAGACACTAGACATCAGGCAACAAAGGATAGTGGTTTCTAAGCGATGAGAAGCAAACAAAGTGAGCCCTACAAGTACCCCAGCTGTCTGCAAAAGAGTTTCCAGGGTATGGGAAAACACAAGAGATGCATAAAGTACATCTTGAGTTGAGATGAAACTAAGGAGAGTAAGGCAATGAGGGTTCATAGGAAACAGTACCAGAGAAGAGACAGCTGCTCAGAGGGAGAACTCTGCAGCTCTGCAGAGGCTTCAGCTGAATACTGATCAGGCCATGTGTGCAAGAAAACCAGGAATAGAAAGATATCAATGACCTCAGCTTCTACCTATATAAACTAGAAAAAGAAGGGCAAATTAAACCAAAGATAAATAGAAAAAATAAAATTAGCGTAAAAATCAATAACACAGAAAACAGAAAATATAGAAAAAAATCAAGTAAACCAAGCACTCAAATTTACAAACCTCTGGCTGGGCACGGTGGCTCATGCCTGTAATCCCAGCATTTTGGGAGGCCAAGGTAGGTGCATAATTGGAGGCCAGGAGTTCGAGACCAGGTAGGCCAACATGGCAAAACCCTGTCTCTACTAAAAATACAAAAATTAGCCAGGTTGAACCCAGGATGTGGAGGTTGCAGTGAGCCAAGATCATACCACTGCACTCCAGCCTGGGTGACAGAGTGAGACTCTCTTTCTCTCCCTCTTTGTCTCGCTCTCTACCTCTAGGTAGACTGATCAAGAAGAAAGACCTAATTACCAATATTAAAGAGTACAAAGGTAACATCATTATAGATTTTATAGTTGTTAAAAGTATAATATGGGAATGTTATGACTTTATGCTAATAAATCGGCCAACATAGAGGAAATGAACAAACATATTTAAAGACACAAACAACAAAGCTTACTCAAGAAGAGATAGACAACCTGATGTGTACTTGTTAAATAAATTGACTTGGTAGTTAAAAACCTTACCCCAAAATAAACTCCAAGCCTTGATGGTTTCACTGGTGAATTCTACCAAATATATAAGGAAGAAATATTGTCAACTCTGCACAAACCCTTCCAAAAAATGAAAAGGAGAGAATATATACCAACATATGAGGTCACCATTAATCTTATACAAAAATGAGAAAAATACAACAAAACTACAAACTAGTAGCTCTCATGAACAACAAAACAATTTTTAGCAAATTGAATCCAATAATACATAAAAAGGATAATATATATGTTCCAGTAATACAACATTGGCTTAACACTTAAAAGATCAATCAATGGGCACGGTGGCTCACATCTGCAATCTCCGTGCTTTGGGGGATCTCTTGAGCCCAATAGTTTGAGACTAGCCTGGGCAAGATAGTGAGACCCTGTCTTTATACAAAATTAAAAAATTAGCCAGGCATGGAGGCATGTATCTGTAGTCCTGGCTACTTGGAAGGCTGAAGCAAGAGAATCCCTTGAGTCCAGGAGTTTGAGGTTACAGTGAGCTATGACAAGCCACTGCACTCCAGCATGGGCATAATGTAATTCACCATATTAAATTAAAAAGTAAAAACTATATGATAATCTCAATAGTTGGAGAAAAAGCATTTCGTAAAATCAACATTATTGGTCAAAACTCTCAGAGATCTAGAAATAGAACTTTTCAACCGGATAAAGGATATCTATAAAAATCAAAGCATTAAGTAAAAATATACTTAAACAGATAAAGGCAAAACTGGTTTGCTTAAGGAAAGCTCAGTCTCTCCTTCAAACCCTTCCTTCATGTAGAGACTAAGACAGTGCCACTACACTCTGAGGCTCCAGGGGCCATGACCTGAAAATCAAGGGGAACCACGGTCACTTGACAACAGGGATATATTCTGAGAAATGCATTATTAGGTGATTTATTCATTATATGAACACCATAAAATGTACTTACACAAACCTGGATGGTATAGCCTATGACACACCTAGGCTATATGGTACAGATATTGCTTCTAGGCTACAAACTTCTGCTAGTATATTACTGTACTGAATACTGTAAGCAATTGTAACACAATGGTATTTGTATACCTAAGCATATCTGTACATAGAAAAGGTACAATAAAAATATGGTATAAAAGATAAAAATGGTACACCTATATAGGGCACTTACAGGGCATGATTGAAGCTTGCAGGGCTGGAAAGTTGCTCTGGGTGAGTCAGTGAGTGAGTGGTGGGTGAATGTGAAAGCCTAGAACATTACTGTAAACTATCATTTTTATATAAACATTATACACTTAGGCTACATTAAATTTGTTTTTAAAATTTCTTTCTTCAATAATAAATTAACTTTAGTTTACTGTAACTTTTTTACTTCATAAACTTCAATTTTTTAACCTTTTGACTCTTTTGTAATAACATTTAGCTTAAAACACAAACATATTGTATAGCTGCAAAAAATATTTTCTTTCTCTATACCTTTATTCTATAAACGTTTTTCTATTTTTAATTTTTTTTATTTTTACTCATTAAATGTTTTTGTTAAAAACTGAGACTTGGATAAATTCCTGGACACATACACTCTCCCAAGACTAAACCAGGAAGAAGTTGAATCTCTGAATAGACCAATAACAGGAGCTAAAATTGTGGCAATAATCAATAGCTTACCAACCAAAAAGAGTCCAGGACCAGATGGATTCACAGCCGAATTCTACCAGAGGTACAAGCAGGAACTGGTACCATTCCTTCTGAAACTATTCCAATCGATAGAAAAAGAGGGAATCCTCCCTAACTCATTTTATGAGGCCAGCATCATTCTGATACCAAAGCCAGGCAGAGACACAACAAAAAAAGAGAATTTTAGACCAATATCCTTGATGAACATTGATGCAAAAATCCTCAATAAAATACTGGCAAAACGAATCCAGCAGCACATCAAAAAGCTTATCCACCATGATCAAGTGGGCTTCATCCCTGGGATGCAATGCTGGTTCAATATACGCAAATCAATAAATGTAATCCAGCATATAAACAGAGCCAAAGACAAAAACCACATGATTATCTCAATAGATGCAGAAAAAGCCTTTGACAAAATTCAACAACCCTTCATGCTAAAAACTCTCAATAAATTAGGTATTGATGGGACGTATTTCAAAATAATAAGAGCTATCTATGACAAACCCACAGCCAATATCATACTGAATGGGCAAAACCTGGAAGCATTCCCTTTGAAAACTGGCACAAGACAGGGATGCCCTCTCTCACCACTCCTATTCAACATAGTGTTGGCAGTTCTGGCCAGGGCAATTAGGCAGGAGAAGGAAATAAAGGGTATTCAATTAGGAAAAGAGGAAGTCAAATTGTCCCTGTTTGCAGACGACATGATTGTATATCTAGAAAACCCCACTGTCTCAGCCCAAAATCTCCTTAAGCTGATAAGCAACTTCAGCAAAGTCTCAGGATACAAAATCAATGTACAAAAATCACAAGCATTCTTATACACCAACAACAGACAAACAGAGAGCCAAATCATGAGTGAACTCCCATTCACAATTGCTTCAAAGAGAATAAAATACCTAGGAATCCAACTTACAAGGGATGTGAAGGACTTCTTCAAAGGAGAACTACAAACCACTGCTCAAGGAAATAAAAGAGGATACAAACAAATGGAAAAACATTCCATGCTCATGGGTAGGAAGAATCAATATCGTGAAAATGGTCATACTGCCCAAGGTAATTTACAGATTCAATGCCATCCCCATCAAGCTACCAATGACTTTCTTCACAGAATTGGAAAAACTACTTTAAAGTTCATATGGAACCAAAAAAGAGCCCTCATCGCCAAGTCAATCCTAAGCCAAAAGAACAAAGCTGGAGGCATCACACTACCTGACTTCAAACTATACTACAAGGCTACAGTAACCAAAACAGCATGGTACTGGTACCAAAACAGAGATATAGATCAATGGAACAGAACAGAGCCCTCAGAAATAACACTGCATATCTACAACTATCTGATCTTTGACAAACCTGAGAAAAACAAGCAATGAGGAAAGGATTCCCTATTTAATAAATGGTGCTGGGAAAACTGGCTAGCCATATGTAGAAAGCTGAAACTGGATCCCTTCCTTACACCTTATACAAAAATCAATTCAAGATGGATTAAAGACTTAAATGTTAGACCTAAAACCATAAAAACCCTAGAAGAAAACCTAGGCATTACCATTCAGGACATAGGCATGGGCAATGACTTCATGTCTAAAACACCAAAAGCAATGGCAACCAAAGCCAAAATTGACAAATGGGATCTAATTAAACTAAAGAGCTTCTGTACAGCAAAAGAAACTACCATCAGAGTGAACAGGCAACCTACAAAATGGGAGAAAATTTTCGCAACCTACTCATCTGACAAAGGGCTAACATCCAGAATCTACAATGAACTCAAACAAATTTACAAGAAACAAACAAACAACCCCATCAAAAAGTGGGCAAAGGACATGAACAGACACTTCTCAAAAGAAGACATTTATGCAGCCAAAAGACACATGAAAAAATGCTCATCATCACTGGCCATTGGAGAAATGCAAATCAAAACCACAATGAGATACCATCTCACGCCAGTTAGAATGGCAATCATTAAAAAGTCAGGAAACAACAGGTGCTGGAGAGGATGTGGAGAAATAGGAACACTTTTACACTGTTGGTGGGACTGTAAACTAGTTCAACCATTGTGGAAGTCAGTGTGGCAATTCTTCAGGGATCTAGAACTGGAAATACCATTTGACCCAGCCATCCCATTACTGGGTATATACCCAAAGGACTATAAATCATGCTGCTATAAAGACACATGCACACATATGTTTATTGCAGCATTATTCACAATAGCAAAGACTTGGAACCAACCCAAATGTCCAACAATGATAGACTGGATTAAGAAAATGTGGCACATATACACCATGGAATACTATGCAGCCATAAAAAAGGATGAGTTCATGTCCTTTGTAGGGACATGGATGAAATTGGAAATCATCATTCTCAGTAAACTATCGCAAGAACAAAAAACCAAACACCGCATATTCTCACTCATAGGTGGGAATTGAACAATGAGAACACATGGACACAGGAAGGGGAATATCACACTCTGGGGACTGTTGTAGGGTGGGGGAGGGGGGAGGGATAGCATTGGGAGATATACCTAATGCTAGATGATGAGTTAGTGGGTGCAGCGCACCAGCATGGCACATGTATACATATGTAACTAACCTGCACAATGTGCACATGTACCCTAAAACTTAAAGTATAATAAAAAAAAAAAACTGAGACACAAACATACACGCTAGCCTAGGTCTACACAGGGTCAGTATCATCAATATCACTGTGTTCTACCTCCACATCTTGTCCCAATGGAAGGACTTCAGGGGCAGTAACATGCATGGAGCTGTCATCTCCTATGATAACAATGCCTTCTTCTAGATACTTCCTGAAAGACCTTCCTAAGGCTTTTTTACAGTTAACTTTTTTTTTGTAGAAGTACATTCTAAAATAACAATAAAACTATAGCAAATATATAAACTTATAACACATTAACATTATCAAGTATTATGTACTGTTCATAATTGCATGTGTTAGACTTGTACACGACTGTCAGAGAACTAGGTTTGTTTACACCAGTATCACCACAAACTAGCAAGTAATGTGTTGTGCTAGAACATTACAATGGCTAATGACATCACTAGACAATAGGAATGTTTTGGCTCCATTATAATGTTATAGGACCGCCAATGCATACGCAATCCGTCATTGTCTAAAATGTTGTTATGCAGTTCATGACTGTGGTTACTGAGTCCTCACTACGTGTGGCATTTGTGCCATGAACATTACCAAAAATCAGCCTCTGAATGGTGGGGGCATATAACTCCCTAGTTCAAGACTACCATCTGGCTATGTGCCTCACATATAGTATGTGTTCTACCAGTGTTGGCTGGATTACAATGAATAGCTATATAAAGGATAAGGCCATAAAGAGATGACTCACGTATCTCAAACTGAAAAATATTACTCGGCACCAGAGGTGCATGAAGCTATTAAATAAACAAACACGGCACAGCCTGAGTTTTAATTTGACTTGAAGATTGGGGCAAAAGTTGTTTTGCTATACGAGATAGGTAGCAGAATACACTGTAAATTTACCTTTTTTTTTTTTTTTTTTTTTTTTTTTGAGACAGAGTTTCACTCTTGTTGCCCAGGCTGGAGTGCAATGGCATGATCTCGGCTCACCGCAACCTCTGCCACTCAGGTTCAAGTGATTCTCCTGCCTCGGCCTCCCAAGTAGCTGAGATTACAGGCATGTGCCACCATGTCCAGCTAATTTTGTATTTTTAGTAGAGACAGGGTTTCTCCATGTTGGTCAGGCTGGTCTCGAACTCCCGACCTCATGTGATCCACCCGCCTCGGCCTCCCAAAGTTCTTGGATTACAGGCGTGAGCCACTGCGCCCGGCCAAATTTACCTTCATTTTTAAAAAACAGTGAAATTTAAAAGAAAGTCAGACTCATGGCTGGTAGCCTCAAGCTCAGGGAACAGGAACTCATTTCCCTGTGATCAGGGGTTCCTAAATGAAGGTGTTTGAGAAGCATCAAATGATCCATGCATCTCCACATTGCAGATGAGGAAGCTCAAGCACAGATTGTGTATAAGGTTTGTTTGAGATTAGAGCTAGCTAGTAGATAGCTCTTCATGAAGTATCCTAGAGCCCACCCCTTCAAAAGTAGCCAGAAAAATATAGATATAAGGAGGAAAAAATTAGATTTAAAAACTTTTCATATACCAGCTGATGAAACTGGGGGTAGAGAGATTAATGTAGCCAGAGTTGGTGTACTTATATTTCCAGATTAATTAGGAGATCATGTATGCACATGTAAAGACTCACAATCAAGACCATACAAAATAAGTGCCACTGGAAAAAGAGAGTGCACTTCCAGCTAAGATGGAAACTTGCAGTTTGGTAGCTTCTCAATTAAAAAAAAAAATAGGGAGAGACTTCCATTTTCCTTAAAACATGCATAGCTCATTTGAAACACATCAAATCCCAAGAAGCACATATTCGGTATTTACTTACGCTGGAGGGATTTCATCCAGGTAGAATGGGGTTGTCATGCTGAGGACTATATTACATGACCTACTAGGTCCCTTTCAATTCTTAACTGTGTATGGTTCCACAGTGACATGAAACTGTCCATCCCTCCGCTATGTGACAGAAATTTACAGTGCATCTGCCTAATATTTGCCTTGTAAGAATTTGCTACTCTTTTAATTTAAAATGCAACCTTCAGTAAGTAAAGAGATAAACTCTGAGAGGCAATATACCTCTCATACACCTGCAAGTGAATACAAAAAAACACAATGCATAATAGCTCACAGAGGAAGGAGCGAAGGAAGAGCTCCTGCGGCAGGTGTGACATGGCCTCATTTGCAATACTCCAACAGGAACTGAAAGGCTTTTGTAATTCCCACACCAAGAAAATTATTAGGTTATCTTCAGGGGAAGAGAGCTGTTGGCCATATAGCCGAGTCTCTTGCTACCATGAAAATAAACCCTTTGTTAATCTAGATTTATTTTTTAAAGGGGCAAAAACACTTTCAATGAACAGTATTCCCCTGAGGGCTTCCGCTGGGCATCTTGTTCAGTGTTCTGTCAGGCAGATGTTCACTTGGTTAGCACTCAAGAAAGAAGCAGACAGATTCATTAAGAGACAGGCAGAGACACACATTCCTTTTCAGAAGATTCACCACAAATTTCCATAAGTGCTTGCCTTTTATGATAGCTGTCATGGTCATTTTGCTTCAGATTGCAGCCACGCCTCTTTCATTTTGAAAGCTACCAAGGGACTCACACGCCAGGCTTCCACAAGAAAAGCAGTGGGCAGGGTAGGGTTGAAGACAGCGAGAGAGCAAGGCATTCTGGTGCCTGCTGCCCTGTTACTACACTATATTCCATTCTTTCTGGCATTACCCACTTTACTCATGAGTTGTCATTAATTCTTTCCAGCTTCCACCCCAAGCAAATCCTACCTCCCTGATTACATTCTGGAACTAGTTTGCTGGGCCAGTGCCCGGCTTGGTTTCACATGGGTAGCTACTACTGAAACCTAATATTGCACAGTAGAAAACTGGATGCTGAGTTGGCTTTCTCATCTGTGGGCTGATGAGGCAGAGTAGAAGACTACTACCTTTCAACTAAAAGCTTTTGGTTTCTATTACAGTTTGAAGGGCTTCTCTGATTTACTCTTTAAGTCCGAAGGACAAAAATAAGGACTGGTAAGCCCACTGACTTTTCCAAACATCCGCACATTTTCCCCACAGATTCAGCAGACCTCTGCTTTACAGATCCTTTAAACTCTCTCTGGATGTAGTCATATTTTGTGTGACCTTAGTACAGAGTCCATACTATTTCATGGGCTGCTAGGAAGACAGGAGTAACCATTCATTGATGGTTATGGGATAGAATAGGGACACTTGTAATCCAAATCACAACACAATACACAAAATCACAAGGAGGTCTACCAGTCTGATATTCCAGAATCCTCTGGGCAGGGTTGTGGTACCAAGCAGTGTATCCAGGTAAAGCAAGAAGCTTAAGCCAACTCCTGGGGAATGAGGTCTAGAAAAGTAAGGCAGGCAAGACACGGAATACATATCAGAAAGCTGAGCAGAAACCCAGGAACACATGTACTACAGAGGACCACCAAGTAGTCTCTCGGGCACCTATGGACTCATGGCATGCTAGCTCTAGAATGCTTTTCTAAGTTCAGAAGTTGCTCCTTGTAATCTGCTGATGTGGTTTACACCATGCAGATCTATCACTATCATGGAATAGGATGGGGCAGACAGGTTCTGATAGCTATTTTTGCACTATTGGTCAAATTGTAAAATATATCAAGATAAATTTTTAAAAAATTTCTTGGGGCCATAGAAGAGAGGAAAAATTAGCCAGAGTAATCATAGAGCATTTAACTGGCTTGACTAAAATTGTTCAGTTTACAAGGAGCCATTTTTCCAAGGGCAGTCTAGGTCTGGTATTTTGAAACCTTTCCCAAGCAGTCTTGCTTGGGTTCCTTTCTTTGATGTTTTCCTTAGAAAAACATTGGCCATTTGAAGGGCTTTCTGAAAAAAGAAAAACAAATAAACAAAAACAAACTCTACTCACAGCCTGCAGACATGTTATCACTCTATTTCTCTTGCCATATCTCTGGTACCAGTTTTCAAGTTATTACACTTTAAAAAGATAGTTCCTTTCTGTCTTCATCAACCTCAAGCAGAAGCCCTTGATAGAAATAGATTTAATTAGCAGCCCTCAACATACCCTCACAACAACAGAAAACAGTATTTTAAAAAACATAGGTTTTTCTCTACAAGTTTGTGTACTAAGGGACAAGATGACTTGCGTTTATTATTTTTCTGTTTTAAATGGATTTATGAGGTGGCAAGAGAGCTGAAGATACATATGTTTTATTTTATGGATATATATCATGTTTATCTTTTCTGGATTATTTTTTTCACACGCTCTCTTACTAAGGAAGGGACTTCTCCAAAACATAATTTTAAGAAGAGATATGTATGGGCTATTTATGGAAAACAGGTTTGGAGAATGTTTTCTGAATAATTGGAGTGAATGTAGAGACTATATGACTGCAAAGCTTTGCACATGGCAGGAAGGTAATTTGGTAATTTGGAGATTCATGGGTTAAAAAAGCCCCTTGGAGAAGGCTTGAAGACACTCCTATATCCTCAAAGACCAACATTATATTTCAGGATTCCCTTTGGTTAAATTTCTGTAATTATTTATAAATGTTAAAGTCTTCTGAATGAGTCAGAATTGCAGATTATAAGGGTAAAGGAAAAGATGAGACTTCTGAAATATTTTGTTGGCTTCTGAGGGATCTGAACAGAAACGAGTGAAATAGAAACAGAAAACAACAGAGACAATCAATAAAACCAGAAGTTGGTTCTCTGAAAAGATTAACAAAATTTACAAATCATTAGCTGATTGACTAAGAAAAAAAAAGAGAGAAGACAGAAATTAACAAAATCAAGGATGAAGAAAAGGCACATCATTACTGATCCTACAGAAATGAAAAGGAATGACTTCATGCTAACAAATTTGACAACTTATTTAATAAAGTGGACAAATTCCTAGAAAGAAGCTACAAAAATCATTAAAAAAATAGAAAATATTAATATATTGATAACAAGTAAATAAATTGAATTAGCAATTAAAAATCTTGCGGCAGTGCGCAGTGGCTCACGCCTGTAATCCCAGCACTTTGGGAGGCCAAGGTGGGCGGATCACGAGGTCAGGAGATCAAGACCATCCTGGCTAACATGGTGAAACCCCGTCTCTACTAAAAAAATACAAAAAAATTAGCAGGGCGTGGTGGCGGGCGCCTGTAGTCCCAGCTGCTCCGGAGGCTGAGACAGGAGAATGGCGTGAACCCGGGAGGCGGAGCTTGCAGTGAGCCGAGATTGTGCCACCGCACTCCAGCCTGGGCGACAGAACGAGACTCCGTCTCAAAAATTAATTAATTAATTAATTAATTAAAATAAAATAAATCTTCCAACAGAGAAAAGCCCTGGTCCCTATATAACTCTATTGGTGGATGCTATCAAGTAATTTAAAAAGGTAAAATAGTAATCCTTCATAAACTCTAAGAAAACAAAGAAAAGAACACTTAATTAATTCTATGAGACCGGTATTATTTTAACACCAAAGCCAGAAAAAGGCATTTCAATAAAAGAGAACTACAGAAATTCCCACATAAACATAGGTACAAAATTTATCAAAGTGAATCCAGCAACATGTAAAAAAAATTCTACACCATGATCAAATGGGATTCATCTGAGAAATACAAGGTTGTTTTAACTTACGAAAATCAATTAATGTCATGCACCATATTGACAGAATAGAGAATAAAATCACATAATAATCTCAATAGATGCAGAAAAGACATTTGAAAAAAATCCAACATCCTTTTATGATAAAAGTTCCACAAATTAAGAATATAAGAACATATCCTTAACTTAATAAAGGATATCTACAAAAAACCCATAGCTATATGATTCCTAATGTTGAAAAACAGAATACTTTCTCCCTAAGATTGAAAACAAGGCAAGTACGTCTTCCATCACCACTTCTACTCAATGTCGTATTATAGATTGTAGTGAGTGAAGTAAGGAGAAAAATTAAGTATTCATATTGGAAAGAAAGAACTGTCATTATTTGCAGAAAGCATAATACTATATGTAAAAAATACCAAAGGGACCATTAAAAACCTATTAGAATTAACAAATAAGTTTGCAAGTTCGCAGAATGTGAGATCAATATACAAAAATCAATTACATTTCTATACTAGCAACAAACAATCTAAAAATAAAATTAAGAGAATAATTGTATTTACAATAGCATCAAAACGATAAAATAGGACTAAATTTAAGAAAATAAATGTAAGACTTTTACACTTAAAACCACAAAATATTGCTGAGGGAAATTTTAAAATATCTAAATAAACAAAGAGACATCCCATGTTCATCAACTTAAAACTCCATATTGTCAAGATAACAATCCTCTCCAAATTGACCCATGGATTCAAAGTAATCCTTATCAAAATCCCATTTGACATTTTAATAGAAATTAACTAGTTCATCTTAAAACGTATACAAAAATGCAAAGCATCTACATTTACCAAAACAACTTTGAAAAAAAATGAACAAAGTTAAAGGACTTATGCTTCCTTATTACCGAATCTCAAAATTTAAGTCCACAGCAATCAAGACAGTGTGGTATTGATGTAAGTGGGTACTCCCTGCACACAATCAAGACCCTTGCAAATATAATAGGCATATGAATCAATGGAACAGGATTGAAAGCCTAGAAATAAACCCTTACATGTATGGTTATTTGATTTTGGGCAAAGGTACCATTATAATTCAATGGGGGAAAGGGTAAACTTTTCAATAAATAATGTAGGGATAACTGGATATCTACATGCAAAAATATGATCTTAGATTCTTATCTCAAACCAGACACACAAATTAACTCAAAATGGATTATAAAACTAAATTTAAGACCTAGACCTATAAAACTGGAAGAAATAGGAGAAAGTCTTTGTGGCCTCGGGTGAGGCAAAGGGTTTTTAATTATGAAAGGAAAAGCACAATCCATTAAATCCATTAAAATTTATAAAATTAGACAAATTTTAAATTTCTATTTCAAAATTTAGAACTTTATTTTCTTAATGGTGTCTTTTTAAGTGCAAACAGCTACGGACTGTGAGAAAATATTTGCAAATCACATCTCTGATAAAGAATGTGCACCTCTAGCATATATAAAGAATTCTTACAACTTGATAATACAAAGACAAACCCAAGTAAGAAATGAGCAAGATATTTCACCAGGAAAGATATATGGACTGCTAATAAGTACATGAAAAGATGCTCTACATCATTAGTCATTAGGGAAATGCAAACTGAAACCACAATGAGATATCACTACATACCCACTAGAATGACTATAATGAAAAAAAATACAGACAATACCAAGTGTTGATGAGCATGTAGAGAAACTGGAATGCTTGTGCATGGCTGGTGGAAATATAAAATGGTGCAGAAACTTGTAAAACAGTTTGGCAGTTTATTAAAGTGTTAAATGTAAACATACCACACAATGCAGCAATTCTCCCAAGACAAATAAAAATATATGTCTAAACATAACATGTATATGAATGTATGCATAAACATTATTAATAACAGTGAAAAACTGGAAACAATCCAAATGTCCATCAACCAGTGAATAAATGTTAAAATGTGATCTATCCATATAATAGAATTCTATTCAGCAATAAAAAGGAATAAGAAACTGATATATGCTATAAGGATGAATCTAAAAAATGTTACGCTAAGTGAAAGAATCCAGATGCAAATGATGACATATTGTATGATTGCACTTATGTAAAATATTCAGCAAAGGCAAATATAGAGAGACAGGAAGCAGATTAGTGGTTACCTAGGCAGAGATCAATTTCAAACAGACACGAGGAAATTTTTGTGGTAATGAATATGTTTTGAATTTAAATCTGGATTGCAGTGATGGTTGTACATCTCTATAAATTTACAAAAAAAATCATTGAATTATACACTTACAGTGGGTGAATTTTAGGATATATAAATTATATATCCCTAACATTATTTTTTTAAATAGTAAAAGAAAAATCATTTAATATTTCTTAGCTATGACAAAGCTGAAATTTTCTGGACTTCTTCCAATTTATTGAACACTAAATAAAGTGGCAGGTACTGTTTAGATCTTTATGAAAATTGTTTTTATTTACTTATCACAATAACTCTCTGAGGTAGGAATTATTTTCCCATTTTACAGATGAAGGAACAGCCAAAAATCCAGCCAGCAAAAATCCAGGGTCACTCAGCTAGTAATCTGAAGAGCAGGAATTTAAACCCCTACTTGTCTGGTGGCAAGATCCAGGCTCTAATGACTATGACTTGGTGTCTTGTTTGTCAACTTCTAAGCAAATTAATTCTGACTTTGTCTCATATATGAAATAGACTAACTCCCTCCAGTTCCTTCCTTTAAGATTTTTGTGGGCATGTGAGTTTATTTTCCTCCTTCCTGCCTGCGTCATTTTCTTTTCCATCTATTTCTGTGCTTCAGTTTTGTAAAATTTTCAGCTGTGTTTCAGATGTGTTCTAATCTTCACTTGCATCAGGTAACTGCAGCAGGCTTGACATCTTGCATTAACAAAGCAGAAGACTCCAGGCTATGAGGGAAACTTCTTTCTTATTGTTTGGAAAAGCCAGTTTTCCATAGTTTAAATTTTGCATTAACAGTAGGCCTATTGAGTCCACTTAATATGGCAACTTTTTGGATAAATGCAAATTGATTGTACAGTACATATTACAGAAACACATCTGTCTCTAAATGGGTTCACATGAGACATAGTTTATTCCACAGGTTAACTTTCTAAATTAAATCCTTCTCTAAAGTCAGAACACTAAGAAGAACCAGACTTCATAAATGAATAATGAATTTTTTCATTAGTAACAAAAACAGCTTAAAGTTGAAAGGTCTACTGGGTAGGTCTGAAATGTGGGAACAATTCGTAATTGAGGACCTAATGTTCCACTGAAAAAAATTCTCTTTGAGGTATCATCAGACAAACTTAAAAATTCTCCACCACTGGCCATTTCCAAGTAAAGATGCCAGTTTGATCACACATTTTAAACATGTGTCTGGAGAATTTTATGTAGCTTCTTTTACAAACTTAAAGACAAATATATTCTCTGTTACCAGAGAAAATTGGTCTTTTGGGAGGATTTAGAAATGGAAAAAATGTAGAAAATAATCCACAAATAAATACTGGGGCAGTTTCTATTTGTACCTATGCCTGCACTAGTTACATGTTAGGCTCTTTTGAAGACTATACACACGTTATGCATAAACACATTCTAGAAGAAAGGTAAGAAGAAAAAAATCATGACCAGAAGTTGATATAATAAGAAATCTAGGCCTTTTCACTGCGTATTTGTTGCTAAAGATTATCTTCAGGTAAGACCACCATGTAGCGAACCAGGCCCCATAAAAGACCATATTCATGGCCACTTAATGGGAAAATAAACCACAATGGTGTTGTTGTAGCACAACTGTAACCAGAGATGTATATCTCTATTCAGATAGAAGAGGTGCTTATTAATTTTTGCTTTAATTATTAGATAATTCCTTGGTTTCCATTCTGTTTTTACTTAAAACCCATTATAATCATCTTTTGAACATATTTGTCTAAGGGTTTACATTAATTTTCCTCTTTCAGAGAACAGGGAATCCAAAAACAACAATCTTAGCTGTTGTTGGAAAATAAAAGTGACCGCTGGGACTGTGAACCAGAGGTACAGGAGCTGGTCCATGACCCAGACCACAGGTTGGCAGTGGCAAAGGGCCTTCATCCTGCAGGTCCACGCCTATGGCCCTAGCACCACCGCTTCTGGAGAAGGATGGGCAGGAATGAGGCAGTGATTGGTCCTTCTGGCACTGTCCTAGGTAGATACTGTTTTCAATGTTGTCTGGACCATCTGGAGGCAGGGGTGGTGGGCACAGACTACAGGGGAAGAATTCTGTTAGAGCCTGCATTGTGAGATAATTCTCCCCTACTCTAGACTAGTGAAAGAGGAATGGAGGATGTGGGCTCCAGGACAGTTTGGTTCTTTCTTGATCAGCACCCCAGAGTCTGAGTGTCTAGAGGGGCTAAGTGTGCGTCTGTCCTAGTGTGAAAGCCTAAAGTAACGCTATATACATCTCAGTGTGTTTTTCCCACCATGACCTGCAAAGTGGTTACAACTGTTAATATCCACATTTACAGATGATGCTTCTGAGTCACAGAGGGGGCAAGATGCCTGCCACGAGATGACGAAGCTAGGATAGAACCCTGTCTCTTCACCCCCACTCTAATGACCCCTATATTAAACCACACTGACTCTCTGAAATCAGTATTGCAAGAGGTGTTTACTATTCTTTCAAATGTAGTCATGGGAAGGAGACGGGACTCTAGTTAAGATAAGAAGAATCCTGTTGTAGCAGCAGCATACAAAACCCAACTCTGTACAGATGGTTTTAGCATTTCCCCTCGTATTCTTTCCCTGTTCTTTTTCTTGGTTGGTATCTCACTGTGTGTGTCCTTGGAGACCAAGGTAGAACTGCCAATTGCCACTCTGGCTGAGGGGCTCCATGGTTTCCATGCAGAGGTAGGGGTTATAACTCCACATTTGAAATTTAGTTTGGATTGAATTTTGGGCCACAGTTCTTATATCCAAAAAGAAAAAAAAAATTCTTTGCGAGGATAATTTTTTAAAGTTTTCAAGTTTAGGAAAAAAGTCACAAGTCCAAATTATAAATTATTATTATTATTATTATTATTATTATTTACTTTAGCCATATGTTACTACATGGAGAAATTATGATTATTTTTGGTTATGTTCATAAACATCTTTTTTCAAAGATTATTATTCTAATAACACAGGTCATGACTGTGGGAGCATTGTCAGGAACTGCTCTTCAGGAAACTGCTGAAAATGTGATATGGACATAGAGGAGCTCACATTTCAAGAGTATCTGTATTGTACTATTTTCCCAAAATATCTTCAAGGGACTAACCTGTCCTCTATCCATCTCCTTAGTGGGATTTTGCATACAAGAGGCTCTTGGGAGTGCACATAGTGATAACTACCTAAACAGAGCTTTCAATATTAATCATTGTTTTATAACATTTTGAAGCTTGAAAAAATGTTATGTATATATGCTATATATTAAAATGCTATATATAGATATATAGCATTTTTCAATGCTGTTTATTAAAAGCCATATATACACATGCATTTAAATGGCTTTTATTATCCTTGTTATATGCAGGAGAACTGAGGCTCAGCAAAGCAACTTGTCAGACTCTCACATAGCTACTAAGGGACAGAAGCAACTCACAAGTACAAGCTATATTCATGACATCCAAATGTGTCTCACAAATAATTCTTTATAAAATACAGTCTCTCATTAGTTAGATCTCTTTATTTGGATATGCAGTGCCATGTGGTACTAAAGCTGTTGAATTTGCCCTGTGCTGGATTTGGTACCGCCTGTAAGATGGAATGCAGATATTTCCCATCATGTCACAGTACCTGGGATGGGTTCTGTGACTTAATTTGGTGAAGTTATCATTCACCAAATTAAGATAGGTAAAAATATTGAATTGTACTTAAATATCTATTTCTCTAGTCTTCAACATGCCCTAATTTGCTGCTGAGAATGAGAAATGAATCAGAAATGAAGAATCAAAATTGTCTACCACCTGCTTCTCTCAAGTCTGCTGTGAGACTAGCACAAAGACAAGCTACTTTCACTCTAGCCTATTTTCTGTGAGTTAGAGGCAATTTACAGGTTCCCCTTCCTGCATCATCTTAGAACTTTACTCAAAATTTTTCACATAGCATATTTCGTATTCTATTATGATTTTTGTTTATACTATATTTCCCCACTATATTACGGCCCCTTCTGTAACAGAGACTCTTTATCATCTGAACAGCACAGCCCATGGTGCAGAGTGTAGACTTCACTGAGCATTCATTGAATAAGCATGACATAGGGAGATGCACCATATGAATAAATTCAGGGACTATGGAACATTTGCACTAAAGCATCCCCATGTGGCAGGAATCTGTCAGATTAGAGAGGTGTGCTGGTTAGATCCACTGCCTAATCTGTTTTTGGCTAGGAGAAAATGTTCTAGATAGATAAATGATACTTCTCTCCATTTAAGTTTTCCTTTTCATGTCAAAGAGAGTCTTTGTTTATAGATACGATGCTACCTTTCCATTAACTGGAGGGCAGGCACACATCTGTTTTTCCAAGAGTGGGAATGAACTGAATCAAACTATTTACATTTTCTTACCTTTCTCCTACCTGATAGCATTATTTACAGGCTGATAATCCCAGAGTAAAAGTGTAATTTGAGGTTAGCAAGCAAAAAAAAATGCTTATGATGAAAAGACTCCATCCAAATCAGGCTCAAGGACAGTGAAATACCTGTTACAGATGAGCATTAAAAGAAAAGGCTGTCACCATGATGACCAAAGATGGGCTAGTCTTTGGTCTCCAACGTGGATCTCCAATATTGTGAGTAAGAGGCTGGGATACAAGTATCTTATTGAAAAATCTAACATTCAGAGCCATTAAGAAGTGGGATGGGTCTGCTTTTCTGACTCCAGAGCCCATCACTAGCACTTCTACAGCACTTGCTGTTTTTAAAACACACACGTTTTCTTAATTAATCCCCATGGAGGAAGCGTAACACAGCTGTTAATGGTTCATGGTACAGGCTTTAAGTCAGATTGCCCTGGGTTAGAATCCCGGCTTCCACGTAACTTCTAGGTTACCTTGGGCAAAATTTAACTTCTCTGAACACCAGTTTCCATCCATAATGAAGATATAATAATAGTGCCTACCTCGAGGGTTGTTAAGATTAAATGAGATAATTACATAAAATATCTGGCCAAGGTGCCTAGCATCTAACAAGTGCCCAATAAAAGTCAGCTGTAAATGATGTAAATCATATTCTCATAATTTACAAAACATCTCTCTGCTTCCCCATTCCCAGAGAACAATTATGATAGGCAAATGCAGGAAGCAACTCCAAATTCAATGCTAACTCCATACCAGATCCTAAGCACGTTGGCTCAGAGCCTGACAGTCTCTCTTTAGTCATAGTTCCCACTGACTAGAGTCAGCCTCCTGCCTATGTTAGGACAAAGCCTGCAGTTTCTCCTCATCACATGACTTTTCTCAAAACTTTGTCTATCTCATATTCCTTCTCCTCAGCCCTGGGCAAGACATGACACAGGCCATTGGAGCAAGATGTTTCATGAAGTCAGCAAGGAAGACAGTTTTTCTTAGACTATTTTTTGGAAAATAAATTCCTCCTTTCAAGTAAAATAACATCGACTGAAATCACTAGCCTATGCCAGAGACATCAGGGCATTGTTAAAAGAAAAGCCTTGACTAAGCAATGTTTATAATTTCAGAGTTGTTTGGAGTTTACGGTATAATTTATGCCATGTGTTCTATCATTAACAGTTTTAAGACCAACCTGTTTTTTTACTCAACAGAGTACAAAACACCCACTTATGACATGGCATCTCCTATAGTATGGAAAACACACTCTTTCATTGGACTGGGAGGGTTCCTTAGAAAACCATTATTTGTTGGTTACCATTTCCTTTCAACCGTCTATCTGGCTGAAGACAATAAAAACAATTTAAAGAGAAAGGAGTTCAATTTCAGAGTCTACTTGCCCGGAATTCGTATTGTGAGTTGTCTGTTGTTGGATAGTCTGGCTTGCTGGTAGGAGCCTGCCTTGATTTGTGTTTAAGAACCTGGAACATCTCTGGTACCGAGTAAAGCCTCAGAAGAATCTTTTAAGAAAGCTTTCTGGGATAGTGAGGCAGTCTTTATGAGGAGCAGCAGGGAGGTCGCAGCTGTAAGGAGTTGAGCTCATCCTCCTATCCACAGAGTTGCCAGAAGTGCATTGTTGAGCCACCACAACACAGATCCCTGAAAGGGCTCAGTGCCTCCTCAGAAGTCTGTATGAAATATGGGCTGCATAGAATGAGGAAATTACTAAGGAATAATAAACTAGTTGAACATGTAAAGGACTTTTTAAAAAAATCTACCAACAAAATCCTTTGAAAATAACATAAGACACAAACACACACACACACACATACACACAGACAGACACTCCAAAAACCTAACCTCTGCCTTGGTTTCACTGAAGAGGAATAATACTTGAAATGTTACTTGTACAATGTCACAGATAACATAATTAGGTCTACAAGGTGGGACTTTGATGAAAGGAAACTATTTGTCCCTAACTTATTTCCACATTAGTGCTTCATATTCATGATGCAGCATGATCTCCAAAATTACCAACAGCTCATCTGTGTGCTGACTCTCTGGCTTTCGCAAGTCATGGAGGAAGTATGGGCTTTGGGAATCCCATGACAAATATTGGGACTGGGAGTGTGAAGGATGCAAGATAACAGACATCCAAACCACACATCCATCCCCTGAGTCATCCTCAGCACCTCCCCTCTTTTATACCCACATCTAGTTATTCACTGAGTTCTATCTGCCTCCTAGGAAATCCCTTAAATCCAGCCCCCCTTGCCCTATTTGGTGCCACTGCCATGATCTCTTACTGGAGTGTTTTAATAGCCTCCTCACTGATCTCCCTGACTTTTGTCCTTTTCTACTCTGTTGTCTGTACCACCCCTCAATGATCTCCCTAAAACACAAATCAGCACAAATATGATGAAAGTATGCTTTTGTTACTCCCTTGCCTGATAATCTCCACTGTCCTGTCATTGCCAACAGGATAGAGTTCAAATTCCTTCTAAGAGCCTTTCCAATAGTCTGGGAATCTCTCTCTCTCTCTCTGGGTTCTGTTATTGACGAGTGTTTGCCCTTAATCTCTCTGAGCTTCAGCTTGCACATCCATAAAGTGGGGTTAATAATAATACTGATCTCATAAAGTTGTCATGGGGCTGCAATGAGATACCATAAGTACAAGTCTCAGCATAACCAGACACGGAAGTGCTAAGCGAATACTGTTATTATTGTCCCTAGCACATAGCCTTTACCTTAAACAAACTGCTGTTTCTGAAAAAGGCCACGATGTTTTATATCTCAGAGACTTTGTACCTATTGTTTTATTAATTGACTGATTGATTATTCACTCATCAGATATTTATTGACTACCTACACATGTTGGTGGCCTCAGCACCAACAATTTACTGAGTGCCAAAGATACAACAATGAACAAGATAGGATATATACTAGCTCTTCTAATGTTTACATTCCAGAACTAAAGATCCAGGCAATAAAATAAATTATTTTTGTAAACAATGTAATATTATGGATTTAGTATTTAATACTAAGTAAATGAATATGAAAAATCAATATAGTTTTGTGCTTGAAGACAATTCAGGCTAATAGAATCTAGTGGCAATTTGAGCTACTCTTTTCTAGAGATGAGAGCAGCTTTCTCTGAGACAATGACAAGAAGGAGCCTGCTGCAAGATGTCTGGAAGCACTGAAGCTGCTATCTTCCAAGAAATGATGTTTAGTCAAAGCCAAATACATGTATAAAATCTTAGGTTGTATTTTTGTTTTTACAAATAGTTTGCTAACTCATTTGATATTCCCTATGGTCTTTACATATAATGCTCATAATGATAGTCTTAGTTGGATTGTGAAAATCATTTTCAGCAACATATTTTTAGAAATCAGCAACATTTGCTGTTTTTATTTTAATTAGCATAGATTCTTTACATTGATTGTACAATATGCCAGTTCATATATTTTAATTACAGGTATGAGTACAGGCAAAATAATTATATTCATAATAAATGTTATCGCTTATTGAGCTTCTACTCTCAGGCACTGTGCTAAGAACTCTATGATTATTATTTTAAAATCACAAAGCAATGCTAGGATATAGGTATTATTGGCCCGATTTTGCAAGGCTAAGAATAACTTGCCTAGAGTTATAGCTGGTAAGTGGTAATCAATATCTAAATTCAACTTTGACTCCAAGGCTATGCTATTGCCACTGCATTACAAAGGATTATATTCTAGTTAATGTTTAGCTTGTCGGTAAAGTAATGACTCATACAATATTAGTTAACAGTGATCATCTGATACCAAACATCATAATAAAAGGCTGTCCTCAACATCATTAACCAAAATGAAAATTCAAATTAAATCATGAGATATCACTATGAACCAGTAGAATGGCTAAAATTAAAAAAAGACTTATCATACCAAATGCAGGAGAGGATATACCTAGTCTGACATTCTCATACATCGATAGTGAGAATGTAAAATGGTACAAACACTTTGGGAAAGGTTGGCAGTTACTTACAAAGTTAAACAGGTACTTACCATATGACCTTCAATTCTGCTATTATGTTACTACCCAAAACAAAGGAAAAGCACATGTCCACACAAGGACTTGTATATTGATGTTCATAGCAGCTATATTCACAATAGATCAAAACTGGAAACAACCCAAATAGGCTGTCAATAGGTGAATGGAAAAATTGTAGTATATCTCTATTATGGAATATTACTCAGTAATACAAAAAGTTGAATCATTGATGCATGCAATAATATTGACAAATCTTTAAAAAATGTTGAGCCAAAGAAGCCTGACATAAATGAATACATACTGTTTGATTTCATTCATGTGAAATTCTAGAACAGACAAAACTAATTTGTAGGGACAGAAAGCAGATTACTAGTTGCCCAGGACCAGGTGTGGAGAGAAGGGAGAAGAAAATATTTGGAATGATAGAAATGTTCTATATCTTGATTGGGGTGATGAGTGAGTATATTTGTACACTTTCAATTAGTATGTTTTATATTGATGTAAATTTGAATTAAATAAAGTTGATAAAAAAAAGATTGTCAAATGTTTGATACCTCACAAAGACTGAATGCAAAGAAATCCATTACTTGTGTGAATAGCTAAAATAGCCAATTCAGTCATTAAAGTTAAAGTTAAAGATGACTTCACACTTTAAAGTGGGTATTTTAGTGTTTTAATTAATTAATAAATTTATTTATTTATTTATTGAGACAGAGTCTCACTTTGTCACCCAGGCTGGAGTACAGTGGCGCAATCTCAGCTCGTTGCAACCTCCACATCCTGGGTTCAAGCAATTCTCGTGTCTCAGCCTATGGAGTAGCTGGGATTACAGGCGTGCGCCACCACATCCAGCTAATTTTTGTATTTTTTTTTAGGAGAGATGGGTTTTGCCATGTTGACCGGCTGGTCTCCAAGCTCCTGGCCTCAAGTGATCCGCCCGCCTTGGCCTCCCATAGTGCTGGGATTAAAGGTATGAGACACCATGCTCAGCATGTTTTAATTTAAATTGAAATACAACCCAGCTAGTTTGAGACATTATCTAGCATTCCTGTGTGCCAAGGTCACTTAATGATTTCTTCTGTTACAAACAACGTACTAGACCTTTGGACAATGACAGTCTTCATGAAGAAAACAAATTTTTATTATTATTATTTTTTGAGATGGAGCCTTGCTCTGTCACCCAGGCTGGAGTGCAGTGACGCGATCTCAGCTCATTGCAACCTCTGCTTCCCGGGTTCAGGTAATTCTCCTGCCTCTGCCTCCCGAGTAGTTGGGACTACAGGTGCATGCCACCCCATGGCCGGCTAATTTTTGTATTTTTAGTAGAGATGGGGTTTTGCCATGTTGGCCAGGCTGGTCTTGAACTCCTGACCTCAGGTGATCCACCCGCCTCAGCCTCCCAAAGTGCTGGGATTACAGGCGTGAGCCACTGAGCCCGGCCAGAAGACAGATTTTTAAAAAGACAATTACAACATAGGGCAATAAGCATTTTAACAAAATTATTTACAAAGTGCTATGGGGCACAAAAGAAAAGTTACACAATGTTGGCTTAAGCAAATGGGTGGAAAAGGGGCAGACTTGAAGGAGATGATGAGTTTCATTTTGTACATGTGAGCTAAAGGTGTCTCTGATATAACAAGTGCGGATGTTGACTAAGAGTTTGGATGTAAAAATTTGGAGTTCCCTTGCTGCTAAGGGAAGAGATTTGTGACTTACCAGCACGCATGTGGTGGTTGAAGTCACGGAAATGGATGAGACTGCTAAGAGAAAGTGTAGGATGAGGAGAGAGCTGAGACAGAAATACGAGGGAGGAGGAGGAACCTTTGGAGAAGTCTGAGAAGGAGTAGCCAGAGCTGTCATGGAAACCAAGATAGAGAGAATTTTGAGTCAGAGAGAGTATTTCCTATGTCAACTGCTGCAAAGAGATCAAGGAAGATAAGGATTTAATAACTAGATGGACACAGATGAGGGCCGTGGAAGTGGGAGCAGAGGCCAGACTGAATAGCGAGGACGTGGAAGCAGTGAGCTGTAAAAGGCAGACGTAGCAAGAGTCAGAGAGGACCATGGGGTGGGAGTTTAATAAATACCGAAAAGCCTGAACCCAGAGAAGTGAATGGCTGACCTTTCTGATAGACTTGATTGTAAAATTCAGGCAAGCATGCAGATTTCATCTCTACTCATGAGAATTCAGTTAGCAAAACTAATTCAAATATAAAACGGAAAATCTTAGCTTGGACCCAGGTCTGGAGAACCACCCCTACAACTGCCCTTTGTTTCCATAAAATAACAGCTACCATTATTGAGCCCCTCCAAGTGCCTGGCACCGGGTTCATGACTTCTGTAGACTGGTCTTTGTGGCTTGTCTGCCTCTGGGTACCACAGTAAGTACAAACTCCAGATACTTTTTTGTTTGTTTTTTTTAAGTTATTTGAGGTGAAAGAAAAAGAGACTGAAATCAGAGGCCAAACACCCATTAGAAGAATGCTGTTCTTGGAAGGCACTTTGATAGAAATTATTTTCATGCAGAAACCTAGCTCCTTTTTGGTGCTGCCCATGCATTTAAGGTATCACACCAGTCCTGTAGCCCCAGGGCCAAGCCAATAGCTGTGCTGAATCGCCCCTTGCGAGCATGGAATTGCCACTGTGTGTTGCTTCCTGCTGAAGGTGGCCACTGTGGCCGCTGCTACTTTCCTTTTGGAGGCACGACATGCAAAAGTGAGCATTAGTCTGGAGAGTGAAACTGGCTCTATTTTATTGCATTTCAAATCCTAAGTAGAAGATTAAATGTTCTACATGCTCTGCTATTAAGACCCTAATTCCAATATTTATCACTCCTGCCAGGGTCTCAATTTCCAACTACCAAATGAAAGGGCACTGCATATTAACCTACATTTGGGAGCATTTGTGAGTACATGCCATCAAAATTCTATTTATGCTTCATAATCACATACATTGCTCAGTGTAATTTATATGTAGAGACTGTTTGCTTAATAAAAAGAGAGCTAACGATTTTTGTTTGACTAAAGCATGCAGTTAAAAAGATTTCCAAGGCCAGGCGTGATGGTTCATGCCTGAAATCCCACTACTTTGGGAGGACGAGTCAGGTGGATCACCCGAGGTCACAAGTTCGAGACCAGCCTGGCCAACATGGTGAAACCCCATCTCTACTAAAAATACAAAACTAGCCAGGCATGGTGTTGCATGTCTGTAATCCCAGCTACTTGGGAGGCTGAGGCAAGAGAATTACTTGAAACCGGGAGGCAGAGGTTGCAGTGAGCCGAGATAGCGCCATTGCAGTCCACCCTGGGCAACAAGAGTGAAACTCTGTCTCAAAAAATAAAATGAAATAAAATAAAATAAAAAGATTTCCAGTAGAGTCAGTTATCCAGCATGCTTTTAATTTAGCCCAATGCTACCTACTTTAATTTGCATTTGTTCTTTCAATGTGCTCAGTTAAAAATAAAATAAAACTATTATCTAAGATAATATCTTTAATTTAAGGTTTTAATGATTTAATGAAAGCAAAACTAAACAACAACAAAACCCTCAATAACAACCCAGTAAACATTTAAACCAAAAAGTTATAGACCAAAAAAAAGTCCTATTCTACTTAAGGCCAGGTTAGAAAAGAATCTAATCTAATAATCTAATGTACTATAGCTAATGTATATAAATGCAGAGTTATTCCTAAGCAATGTTTCTGTTGTTTTAGGGTAGATATCAATTATTAAATAATGTTGCCTGACACAATCATTCCTAGTGAATGATTTTTATGAAACTAAGTTCTGAGAGAACAAAGGAATTTTATTTTACAATAAAATATTTTAAAACATTCTTAGTTTAACAAAATAGCTACAGATATATTCTTTATTTCTTTATTTCCAAAGAATCTATAGTAAGACATAGGCACAAATTGGATCGAGAAAAAGCAGCAGATAAATTAGAAACCAGTTTACGAAGAAACTCAAGAAAGAACAGTGGTACTTTGCCTTTTCAAATGATTTGCATAAAATAATTCAAGCATGTCCAAGGTCTGAAGCAATTGTCAGATGTGCAGGACTCGGGACTCAGTGAAAATGAATCCAGCTCAAAGGAAAGAGGAAAGCCATGTGGGAGTCCATTAATGGACCCTCAAATTTTTAGTAAATGTTAATCTTTATGACTTAAGGAAAAAAGAAACCTTATAAGTGAAATAGTCTGACCACCAATAGCGATATCCTCTTGGCAGAATGGGCATAGGTTTCCGAAATAGTCTGTGCCATATTGTCTTCCTTTTAAATCTATTAGATACTGTGGATAAACATTAGGATGACAGCGTTTTAATGAACCTACACTGCAGTTCTATGACAGGCCCTCTGGCCTCAAAGACTTCTGAAGACCTTCTGTCCCTAGAATCAAAGTTTCTATCCTTGTTCAATCAAATTTTCCTGAGGAGTGAAGAGGAAACAGTGACCCCTTACTATACTCTAGGCAGTCAGATGTGCAATCTCATCTAATCCCCACAGGGTGCTTTGTTGAATATCTCCATTTCACAGATGAGGAACCTCAGTTTCAGAGGCATTAATTAACTTAACCAAGGTCACATAGCTGATTATATTGAAGGATCTCAATATGAATACCTTGGTTCTGTAGAAAACACCGGGTGAACTCCCAGGACTTCTTTATTTGATTTGGTAGATTTTTTTTTAAAAAATCATATACATGAGCTATCCTTTAAAAGAAGACAGGCCTGAAATGTTAATATTTTTGAAACATAAGAGAAGACCTTGGCCTCGGCACACATCCCCTGACCCTGTTTTGCTCCATGCAGCTATGCATCTAAAGAATCTCTAGAACATGCTGGCAATTCTTAGAGAGCGACTCTGAGACTTTGTATTCCCCAGATATGTCCAGGGACTGAGCAGGTTCAGATCATTTTCTGTGGCTTCAGGTGACAGCAAAAGAACCAGACACAGGGAAAAGTTGCCCTTGCTTGAAGCTGGGGAGAGAGACCACAACTGCTATGGTTCTCCGCAGATACTAGGTCAGTGGACACTTGTGAGTTTCCCTGGAGAGGCACATCTGCTTCCTAACTGCTCAGTGTTATTAATAAGAAACATACCTAAAAGGAAAGGACAAAGAAAGGGCAAAAATAAGTGACTATTAAATATATACTATGAATATACATGCAAAAAGAAAAAAAGTCACAATATTAACGTTAGACTAAATAAGAATTCAAGGAAAAAGAGGTACATTATGAAATGACAAGAGGCACAATTCAAAAAGAGATAACATACCACTTTTTGTGCCAGGCAATATTAGACCAAAGAAACTCATAGAAAATGAAGGACAACTTTAGAAACATAATAAACACAATAAAAATATTTATCCTACAAACAAAGAATACATATTATTTCTCTAATTATAATATTTGGTTATATATTTGGTTACAAAGAACCCTAATACATCCTAGAAAGCAGGAATGTTTTCAGGCCTTATTTTCTGACTATAACCTAATAACTAGAAATCAACAATTAAAAAGCAGTAAAAACATAAACACTGGAAATTAAGAAACACTCAAAATAATCTTAGACCGAAGTAAAAAACAAACTTTTTTTCATTGAGATTCTTGCTCTGCCAATCAGGCAGAATGGAGTGCAGTGGCATGATCATAGCTCACTGAAATCTTCAACTCCTGACTCAAACAATTCTCCAGCCTCAGCCTCCCAAGCAGCTGGGACTACAGATGTGCACACCATGCTTGGCTAATTTTTATTTTTTTGTAGAGATAGGGTCTCACTCTGTTTCCCAGGCTGGTCTCAAACTCCTGGGCTCAAGCAATAATCCCACCTCGGCTTCCCCAAATGCTGGGATTACAGGTGTAAGCCACTGCACCCAAACAAAAACAAACTTTTTAGAAAGTAACGAAAAGACCACTTTATATTAAAATATGTGAGATGTAACCAAGGCTAAATTCAGAGAAAAACTTACTTATTCCATACTTTATGATTAAAAATAAAGACTAAAATTAAATGATTTAACTTTAAGTATTAGAAAAATACCAAAGTAAACTAAAAAAAGTAAGAGACTTGAATTAATAAAGATAAAAGATTAAAATAATGAAGAAAATAGAAACTAGCAAAAAAGAAAAAAAATGGAAAGACCCAGTAAATCTCCTTAAAAAGAAGAGAAAACAAAAACATGTGAGATTAGCAATGAGAAAGATACCACGGATACCGAATAGGTTAAAAGAACTATAAGAAAATATTATGTGTTTCTGTATGATAAACAATTTGAAAATCTAGAAGAATTGTATGATTTCCTATAAAATATAAAGTGCCAAAGTTGATCCAAGAAGAGATTTAAAAAACCTAGACTCATAACTATAGACTACATTGGAAAGATAATTAAAGATCTCCCATTAAAAAAAGATATGCAGCCAGGCGCAGTGGCTCATGCCTGTAATCCCAACACTTTGGGAGGCCAAGGCAGGAGGATCACTTGAGATCAAGAGTTCAAGACCAGCCTGGCCAACATGGTGAAACCCCATCTCTACTAAAATTACAAAAATTATTGCCACCAGGCATAGTGGTGGGCACCTGTAATCCCAGCTACTCGGGAGGCTGAGGCAGAATTTCTTGAACCTGGGGGGTGGAGGTCGCAGTGAGCCGAGATCACCCCATTGCACTCCAGCCTGGGCGACAGAGCAAGACTGTCTCAAAAACTAAAAATAATGAAAAAAAAGAGAGAGATGCCAGATAAAAATGTAAGAAGACAAAAACAGTTTTGTAATTGGGTTAGATTTTACTCTTAAAATAGGTAATGCCTATATTATTTGTGTTACTCCAACCCATAGAAAAGATGACAAGCTCCCTGATTCATTTTAGGAAGCTAGCATAGCTATAATATTAAAACCTGATAAAAACAGTACAAACCATGAAAGCGAATATAAACCCACAAAAAGGATCAATGGGAACTATATTTGCAAGAAATATATGGGAATAATACAAAGATTCTCACTGTATAATTGCTGCTGCAGTGCTGAGACACATGAAGTGGAAGCACTCCTGTGTCCAGCTAGGAAATCCTTGGTCAAACCAAGAGACCATTACCTGGGTGAATATTAGCATTTCCAAGAGGAAGTGGAGAAGCTACCTCCTATTCAGAAGACGGCATTATCACTAGGAAAGGGAAATACATCTAAAGGCCTTCTGACCAATTGTTTTTGTCTTAGCTAAAACGTACTGAAAACTTACTATGTGTCAGACACTGGGTGAGGAACTTTTGCATTATTTTCTAATTTAATCCCCACAATATTCCTCTGAAGTAAGCACTATTATTATCTCCCATTTTGAAAATGAAGAAGCAGACTTCCCAATGTCACACAGCAATAAAGTGGCAGAGCCAGGATTGGAATCCTAATATGAATCCAGTCCTGAACCATTCTACGTAGACTCTCCCTAAGCCACCCTGCTGGCCTCTACCACCATCCCCGCTGTCTTTGTACGTACTACTCTTTTTGCTTGGAACACTTAACTAAAATAGTAATAGCAGTTGTAACAACACTAAAGGTTGGCTGCCATTGAATGATGAGTGTGTTCCAGGCATGGTGCTAGACGTGTTATATGCACGTCTCATTAAATCCTCCTAACAGCCCCATAAGGTAGTTATTATACAACAAAGCATGATGTATATTCAACAAACCATGATGAACTATGTATTCCAAAGGCACAGTGGAAGGATTTGGGAGGGAAGTGGCTGGTGAAAGACTGGTTCAAATCAGTGTTCTGAAAGAAAATATCTTGGTAGACAGCAACATGGTGTATCAGCCTAATATATTTCATAAGGAGAGTAGAAAAAGAAAAACCTCAATTTCTAAGATTACATTTTTACCTATAGTTTTGCTACCATTAAATGGTCATTAAGCAAGCTAAAAGAAGCTGTTGAAAAGTCTTGGTGGACCAGCATTAAAAATATTTCACATGTAGCTAGGAAGATATATGAATCAGCTAATCATAAAATAAAACCCTGCTTAGAAAAAGAGAGACATCCATCTTATGTGACCTCATCAGTTGTATCCTCACTAATTTCAGCATCTATAAATTTGGCATCTTCCAGTAAAGTTAGAAGCTGCTAATACAAAAGAAATCAACACTACATCTTAACTACTCAATATTCCAAATATATAATTGCTTTCATTTACCTATGTTTTTAGTTAATACTTACTCTTACTTGAGTATCATCCTTAATATTAATTAAGACCTCCCAGTGTACAATGAAGAAACTGTGATAAATAGATATGTAGTTTCAATGTGGAAAACACAGACAAATGCAATTTTTTGTAAGCTTTCGTTCAAAAATACTTAGGAAACACCACAGAACCTTGGTCTATTAGTATGACTTGGAGGAATACTTGGAACATTTTGGAGTGACTGCATGATTCTGATGACACATGGATTCCTGTCTTTCATCTTCTTTCATTTTTATCAGCTTTCCAGGCAATATGTAAAATTGCCAAGCCAGGAAAGGAGCAGTCTTGCTCCAAGCTTGTGGGGCACACTTTTGACCCCCTATTGATTGAAGCCAGGAAGCCTGAGGAGAGGCAAAAGCTCCCAGATCCTTGTGTGAAGTGGGGTGGAGTGGGGAATTTTCCACCCGTAAAGAGGGTTGGAGACATCAGGATTTTTGTTTCCCAGGTGATTCTTTGTGCAGCCAGTTTGAGACCACTGCTCTAGAGACTTTCTTTTCAAAGTGTGTTCTGTGGACCAACAGCATCAACATCACCTGAAAGCTTGTTAGAAATTGAGAATCTTAGGTTGCACCCCAGACCCATTGAATCATAATCTGCTTTTGAACAAGCTCTCTGGGTAATTCAAAAGCATATTAAAGTTTGAGTACGACAATGAGTGCAATGATCCAACAGGTAAGAGCTGATCCAATACTTTGATGCCATTTTACCTCTTGACCCTACAGCCAGTCTATAATAAAATATAGTTTTGTCTTGAAAGGACTCAGTCTTGAACTTACAGATGCCCTATTCTTCCAACTAGATAATAAGACTTTAGAGGACAAGGATCCTACCTAGTTTCTTCTGATAATTGCAGAATCTAGCATGGTGCCTCACAGGTAGTGAGTATATAATAAGTGTCTCTTGATCATGCCAGTAGAAGTAGTAGCACTTTGAAATTAGGAACCAGATTTTGTTAAGGAACCATAGATCTCATGGCACTAAATATAATATACCAGGCTTTCCTTGAAAGTTTGGTGAATATTAATTAGGAAAGAGAATAATTCTATTGGTTTCCTGACAAACTCTTGGCAGTCTGTGGACTTTTAGCAAACTTAATGGTCAGAAATACATTTCAAAATTCCTCCAAATCACCATTATCACCACAGCCACCAAGTGCCCAATTGTTTCTTTTATCCGAATACACTGAGGAGGCCTGTGGATTATTACTGTTTCATTACTTCTCTCTGTTTACAGTTTTAGAGTGCAAATTGAAACTGAACTTTAAAGAAAAAACAACTTCCTAAAACTATTCTGTAGAGAAAAGGCAATGAAAGGTGAGACAAATTGTGAGATAAATTTATTGATAACAAGATTTTTTTTCCAGTATAAATGACTCACTCATTCAAATATGTTGAAGATATGCCACATGAGTAAAGATTTTGTACATTTTGCTTCTTTGGGTTTGTTGTTGCCACGAATGCACTAATACAGCGTTCTGAAACCTCTTCCCTAGAGCAAATTTCACAGATGTCCAGCCAAATAAATTGCTATTTCTAGCTTGACTTTTTCTGGCAACAACAAGAATTTCACATTCTGAGCCCATAGTATAAAAATATAAAGAATCTTTATCATTTAGTGAAGCTTAAAATATGTCAGGCCCTGTGTTAAGTATTTTCATTCTTTGTTTCACTTAATTCTAAACAGCCCTATGGTACATATGTATCATGAACCCCACTTTTCAGGAAAAGAAACTGAGGCTTAGAAAGCTTAATTTAGTCGTTCTCAACCAGCCAACAGAGACCAAACTGTTCTCCAATACTGTTCATGGTTATTGAAGGTCAGAACGTTTTTTCCCAGTGACATCTCTTAGCCTGAGCTGGAATTCTGTGGAGCATACAGGGTGGCAGAAGCCTGGTCTATGGAGCTGCTGTAGCTTTAGCTTCTTCTTCTTGCCCAAGCAAAATGCCTTGTTGGCAGGATCATCTAAGTAGAAAATGTCGCTATCTGCTATCTGGCAGAGACTCCATACAGTACCAAAGATTTTTAGGAAGGAACCAACTTCCTGCTTCCAGGTTCTACCCCCTAACTCTCCACAATTCTTAGTCCTCTGAGAAGGAGATGGTGTGCAAGGAATGTTGCAGAAATTATTAATTTCTTAATCTGGATGGAATAAATCTCTTAATCCATCCCCTTTTAACAACAGCAAAAAAAAATCCAGACTTCATGTACTGTATTGCTTTTGTCATATACAGTCATTGCCTATTGCCAGAAATAATGTATGTTTGCTTAAGACTTAATAATCCTATAATTTTTAAAATTGTGTGAGTTCAGATAGTTCTTTATATTGTGTAAAAATGACAGAATTCTTTATATTTCCAAAGTTAGTTATGAAGATAAGATGACCTGTCTATAAAACGGATAACCAAAAATATTATTTAACACAAACAGCATGGAAAGCACGGCTGAAATGTAAAAATATTTTAGTCATTAGAGAATCCTGTGATCTCCATGCCTGGACAGGTCACATGAGCCTTACATTTAACATGCATATGTTAATGGAACATAGAAATGCCTCTCATTTCCACTTCAAGAAAGAAATCATCTGACTGAATGCATCGTCATTTATTGAGCCACTGTCTCACTTTTGAATATGCTCAGCTTTAGGCAAAAATATGTCTGCATAAACTCATGTGATTAGTGAACCTTAATAGATGTCTTTTTTAACTAAAAATACATAGTAAATCTAATCAAATTAAATACCTATGGGAAATTTTACTTCAGCCCAATAAGATTACATGTAGGAATAGATAAACTCTGTAAGACTAAAATTTAATAAAACATTTATTACTAATTTATGTCCCTTTCAGAAATAAGATTAGTAAAACTGATACTAACGTTTAAACTCAAGTTACTCTTTTTTTTTTTTTTTTTTTTTTTTTTTTTGAGACGGAGTTTCGCTCTGTCGCCCAGGTCGGACTGCGGACTGCAGTGGCGCAATCTCGGCTCACTGCAAGCTCCGCTTCCCGGGTTCACGCCATTCTCCTGCCTCAGCCTCCCGAGTAGCTGGGACTACAGGCGCCCGCCACCGCGCCCGGCTAATTTTTTGTATTTTTAGTAGAGACGGGGTTTCACCTTGTTAGCCAGGATGGTCTCGATCTCCTGACCTCATGATCCACCCGCCTCGGCCTCCCAAAGTGCTGGGATTACAGGCGTGAGCCACCGCGCCCGGCCTCAAGTTACTCTTAATAGGGCAAGATCAGAAATGGGTAAGCTCATCCAGAGACTGAAATAACCACCATTGCGTGAGTTTGAACAAACCGAATTCTCAGCTCCTCCAAGAGGAGGCTGATGTTCAAATGCAGGCTTTTAAAATTCTCTTCACCTAAAGAATTATTTGCATTTCCAGGAGGAATGAGTTCAGTTTGATGGGATGACAATAAACTGCCTTGGATCAGCACAAATTTGGGATGGTTCCTTTTCCACATTTTTCATGTTAGATATTATCCCTAGTGTAGCATATTTGTGTGTCAAATGGATGCTTGGAAAATGTCATCATCCACTGGACATCAGGAGAGTTTAACTTTGGCCCAATGCCAGTTTCAGTGGATGAATATACATATATTTCAGAAGAATTCTTCAAGTAAAATATCAATAGGAAGCCTGAAAATCAACATTTGTTTTCCAAATGTCCACATTGTCCATATGTATTTACTCAAGTCTTTATTGTTAAATTTTTGAAAGAAAAGTGATGAAGTTCTGCCATGCTACAGTATTACAAAACCAAAATTAAAAAAATTGATAGCGTGCTTAGATGAAAAAAAAGGGAGGGGGGTGTATCATGATTAAGAACACAAGCTTTGGGCCAGACACGGTTGCTCATGCCTGTAATTCTAGCACTTTTGGAGGCTGAGTCAGGTGGATTGCCTGAGCTCAGGAGTTCAAGACCAGCCTGGGCAACACGGTGAAACCCTGTCTCTACTGAAATACAAAAAAATTAGCTGTGCTTGGTGGCATGCACCTGTATTCCCAGCTACTTGGGAGGCTGAGGCAGGAGAATTGCTTGAACCCAGGAGGCAGAGTGCGTTGCAGTGAGCCAAGATCATGCCATTGCACTCCAGCTTGGGTGACAGAGCGAGACTCGTCTGAAAAAAAAAAAGAACACAAGCTTTGCTTTGTGGCTAGACCTCAACAAGGTCCTTGAGCTTTCTGCACCTACTGATGACATGGAGTAATTATACTCACCTCATGAGATTGTTATGAGATTACATAAGATCATGTGTGCCAAGTACTGAGTACATTGACTGACTCATTCTAGGAAATTCAATATTAACAAAATATTCTCATCAATAATTTTCATTATAGAAAATGAATGTGAATACTCAGTTTAAATTGTCTTTGTCACCTTCATGTGTGGTTCAAGGAAATTTCTGTAGACTGCTAGTTCAAAGGCCTTGAAAGCCTTGGAAACTAGAAGACTTCTTGTCCTATTCTCTCCCTACACCATAAATAATCTGAAGAAAAATTGAAAAGGTTAGAATTCTGCAAGACTGTTTCTGTTTGCAATCTCCAATTCAATGCTTGTGATAGTTTGTGTACATTAAACCTACTTCTAAAACATGGGTTCAGAGCATCTCTAAAGGGAAACAGAGGCTTATCCATTAGAGGGCATTTTGTCGGAATTTTAGTGGGTGTTCAAAATCCAATCATTGTAGACTAAGTCCAATGCAACAGAAATTTTTTTCCCAACTGGTAGGCCTATTTGAATAATAATCTAGTTGATTTTGAAAATCACAGTCAAGATTTCAAATACTATTTTATAACCCATTATTTTAAGGTGATAACATTCTTTGCATAAACAAATAAACAAAAGGAACACTAATAAAAACTCTATACTTTGACTCTCCCTGCTTTTTAACTTTTTGTTGTTTCAATTTATATCTTGCTGTACTATGGCTTGAAAAGTTGTAGTTATTATTTCTGATTCATTCAACTTTTAGTCTTTCTGTTTAAGATAAGAGTAGATTACACACCACAGTTATGGTGTTATCATATTTTCTGTTTTTCTATGTACTTACTATTACTAGTGAGTCTTGTACCTTCAGATGATGTCTTATTGCTCATTAATGTCCTTTTCTTTCTTATTGAAGTACTCCCTTTAGCATTTCTTGCGGGATGGGTCTGGTATTGATAAAATCCCTCAGCTTTTGTTTGTTTGGGAAAGTATTTCTCCTTCATGTTTGAAGAATATTTTCACTGGATATACTATTCTGGGGTAAAAGTGTTTTTTTTCTTTCAGCACTCTCTCCTGGCCTGTAAAATTTGCACTGAAAAGTCTGTTGCCAGACGTATTGGACCTCCATTGTAGGTTATTTGCTTCTTTTATCTTGCTGCTTTTAGGATTCTTTCTTTACCCTTGACCTTTGAAAGTTTGACTATTAGATGTCTTGAAGATGGGTCTGGTATTGATGAAATCCCTCAGCTTTTGTTTGTCTGGGAAAGTATTTCTCCTTCACGTTTGAAGAATATTTTCCTGGATATACTATTCTGGGGTAAATGTGTTTAACTTCTTTAAGTTAAATCTACACCAGTTAGAATGGCAATCATTAAAAAGTCAGGAAACAACAGGTGCTGGAGAGGATGCGGAGAAATAGGAACACTTTTACACTGTTGGTGGGACTGTAAACTAGTTCAACCATTGTGGAAGTCAGTGTGGCGATTCCTCAGGGATCTAGAACTAGAAATACCATTTGACCCAGCCATCCCATTACTGGGTATATACCCAAATGAGTATAAATCATGCTGCTATAAAGACACATGCACACGTATGTTTATTGCGGCACTATTCACAATAGCAAAGACTTGGAACCAACCCAAATGTCCAACAATGATAGACTGGATTAAGAAAATGTGGCACATATACACCATGGAATACTATGCAGCCATAAAAAATGATGAGTTCATATCCTTTGTAGGGACATGGATGAAATTGGAAACCATCATTCTCAGTAAACTATCGCAAGAACAAAAAACCAAACACCGCATATTCTCACTCATAGGTGGGAATTGAACAATGAGATCACATGGACACAGGAAGGGGAATATCACACTCTGGGGACTGTGGTGGGGTCGGGGGAGGGGGGAGGGATAGCATTGGGAGATATACCTAATGCTAGATGACACATTAGTGGGTGCAGCGCACCAGCATGGCACATGTATACATATGTAACTAACCTGCACAATGTGCACATGTACCCTAAAACTTAGAGTATAATAAAAAAAAAAAAAAAAAAAAAAATCTGCTTGGTATTCTATAACCTTCTTATACTTAGATCTTGATATCTTTCACTGGGTTTGGAAGTTCTCTGTTACTATCTCTTTGAATAAACTTTCTACCCCTATCTCTTTCTCTACCTCCTCTTAAAGGCCAATAACTCTTAGATTTTCCCTTCTGAGGCTATTTTCTAAATCCCACAGGCAAGCTTCATTGTTTTTTATTCTTTTTTTTCTTTTGTCTCCTCTGACTGTATATTGCCAAATAGCCTGTCTTCAAGCTCACTAATTCTTTCTTCTGCTTCATCAATTCTGCTATTACAAGGCTCTGATGCATTCTTCAGAAAGTCAATTGCATTTTTCAACTCCAGAATTTCTACTTGATTCTTACTAATTATTTCAACCTTTGTTAGATTTATCTGATAGAATTCTGAATTCCTTCCTATGTTATCTTGAATGTATTTTAGTTTCCTCAACACCGCTATCTTGAATTCTCTGTCTGAAATGTCACATATCTCTGTTTCTCCAGGATTGGTCCCTGGTGCCTTATTTAGTTCATTTGGTTAGGTCGTGTTTTTCTGGATGGTCTTCATGCTTGCGTATGTTCATCTGTGTCTGTGCATTGAAGAGTTAGGTATTTATTGTAGTCTTCACAGTTTGGTCTTGTTTGTTTGTACCTACCTTTCTTGAGAAGGCTTTCCAGGTATTTGAAAAGACTTGGGATTGTGATCCATGTCTGCATTGGGGAGCACTCCAAGTCCAGTAATGCTATGGTTCTTGCGGACTCACGAAGTACTGCCTTGATGATCTTGGATAAGATCTGGAATAAGTCTCTGAATTATCCAGCAGAGACCCTTATTCTCCTCCCTTACTTTCTCCCAAACAATTGAAGTTTCTCTCTCTGTTCTGAGCCACCTGGAGCTGGGGGTGGAGTAACACAAGCACCACTGTGGCCACCACCACTATGACTACATTGGGTCAGACCTGAAGCCAGCGCAGCACTGGGTCTCATCCAAGGCCTGTTATAACCACTACCTGGCTACTGCCTACGTTTACTCAAGACCCTGGAGCTCTACAATCAGCAGGTAGGGAAGCCTGCCAGTCTTACGTACTTTCCTTCAGGGTGGCAAGTTCTCTCAGGCCCCAGAGGGTCCAGAGGTGACATCTGGGAGCCAAGGACTAGAGTCAAAAACCTTAGAAGTCTACCCGGTATTCTATTGTACTGTGGCTGAGCTGGCACTCAACCACAATGTGCAGCCTTCCCACTCTACCCTCCCCTTTCCACAGGCAGAGGAGCCTCACTCAGTGGCCACCACCACAGGCCCATGGGGAGTCCTGCCAGGCTGCTGTCAGTGTTCCCTTAAGGCCCAAGGGCTCTTCAGTCAGCTTGTCATGAACGCTGCCTGTACTGGGATTCACACTTCGGGGCAGTGGGCTCCACTCTGGCCCAGCACAGTTCCAGAGATGCCATCCAAGAGCAGTGGCCTGGAATCAGGGACCCCAAGAACCTGCTTTGTGCTCTACCCTGCTGTGGCCAAGCTGTTACCAAGGGTGCAAGGCAAAACCCCCTAACTGTTCCCTCTGAGTTTCTCAAGCAGAAGGAGTCTTCTCCCCTTTAGCCACCACAGCTGGGAATGTGTGAAGTTTCACCTGGAGCCAGAAAGTCTCAGAGTCTCACCCAAGGCCCATAATATACTACCTGGGTATTGCTACTGGTTATTCCGTGCCCACGGGCTCTTTAATCAGCAGGTGATACGTCCTGTCAAGACTGAGTTCTTCCCTTCAAGGCAGCAGGTTCCCTTGTGGCCCAGGGTGTATCTAGTAACATTGTCCAGGAGCTAGAAAGGGGGCCTCAAACTCTGACTGGTGCCCTATCCTACTGTGACTGAGCAAAAAAGTCCTCCCCACTCATCCCTCTCCTTAAGCAGAAAGAGAAAGGGCCTCTTTTGGAGCCACGAGCTGTGCAGCCTGGGGTTGGGGGAGGGGTGGCGTACGCACTCCCTTAGCTGCCCCAACTACTGGCTCAGTAGGTCCCATGCTGCCCCCATTCATTAGCTCTGAGCCCAGTTCAGCCCTAAGGCTCTCCTATGAGTTGCAGTCCTTGTGGCCTAGACTACCTTTCAAGTTTATTTAATACCCCAGGGCACTTTAGCTTACAGTGGCAAGGGTTGCCAAAACTCAAGTGCTAACCACTGGGATGGGTGAGTCCCCTCTGGCTAGGGCTGGTTTAAATACTACCTCTGTGGCAGGAGTCAGCTGATTTCAGCATTGTTTTGCTTTCTGCTATGACAAGGCACCACTGAGTTCAGTGCAGCGTCTCACAATTGCTGCACTCTTCCTCTCCAAAGTACACAGATTCATTCTCCATGCCATGCAGCAGCTGCCAGGGAATACGGGGGGAAGAGTGGCATCAGTGATTCAAGACTGTCTCCTACCCTCTTCAGTGCCTCTTTCAGCAATATGAATTTAAAACTAGGTACTGTGGGTGCTTGCTTGATTTTCTGTTCTTATGAGAGTGCTTTTTTTCATGTAGATGGTTATTAAATTGGTATCCTTGTGGGGGTGGAGTGGGACACAGTGGAGCGTTCTATTCGGCCAACCTGCTCTACTCCTTTTCTTCCATAGTCAAAGTTTCAGGGACACACTGATTAGAGTCAAACTATCAAAATTCACAATATAAAAACATTTGATTCACAAGCTTTCAACACCATTGTGTTTAAAAACGTGTTCAAAAGTTAGTCCTGCTCTCAAATGTCCCATTTGGCAACAATTTTGTTAGGTCCAATAAAATTCCTATTCACTAGATTTTAAAGTATTTAAATATGGCTGCTTTGAATGTTTTGAAGCCACAGCTGGTGCCAATGTGTTGATAAAAATTATTCGGGAAAGCAAGTACAAGAATACGGATGACATTGATATACTTTCCAGGCAAGGTGTGTAGATCAAATGTCAAGCTATACTTGCCAGCTCTGATGAATAATTAGTGGAAACTTAGACATTTAGCACATGGCAGTATGTAGTTGAATAAAGAAAATTAAACACAATTTTAGAGTCTTACCATGTGCTGTCTTCCACTGGTTTCTATCACTGAGACTATGATATAAGTGGTTCTATGCTATTTTCTCCCCTTTACCTGCCACCAAACAAAATTAAATAATGTTACTCTCCTATTTGTTTAGTATTATACATCTTGTAAAGTACTTTTACATGCATTGCTAATTTAGCCCTCACATACAAATAAAACGGAGTCTGTGAAACCGGCAAGGAAGGCATTATTATTCATATTTTAAAAACTAAGAAAAGTGAAGTAACCTATGCAAAAATCAAGAAAAACAGTAAACCCATGAATTTTTTTGAAGTGCCCCAACTGTCAGTGCATCAACAAAAATTAACTCAAACACTCTGGAACTCATCAAACATTTAGAAACCTTTGGCTCACATCCTTAGGGGCCAGACCAGCTCCAGAGGGACCAAGGAACAAGAATGGAGTTGGAGTGGGCTTCAGAAGCCCACTCTTGAAGCTCTATGAGTCTATTCAAGATGAATGAATTGCGGGATCGCTCTTAGGATCTGAAAGGAAAAGAGGATATCAATTCTAGGATGTTGTGTTAAGTTACAATAGTATATTCTAGTGGGTGGAATTGAGAGTATTTCTAATACCCAACAGCGTTAATAATACTGATACTTCAACTAAAAAAAAAAAAAAATTTAAGCATCTGCCTTTGCTTATACATGGCTAGGTCTCAAATATTTCCAAACCATATGTGGATTTAACATGGATTTGATGATACTGTATAGCTGCTTTTTGATTTCTTGGTTGATTTTTTTGAGGTAGGGATTTTGGAAAGAGAACAGAAAAGGCCAAATGGAAAGGATTATTGCCAGAAAAATGTTTTAGTCCATGTTTCATTTCAAATTGTTGGATTTAAGAGTTCAATTTTGTTTGAGTTTATAATTTCCTGATGTTTTTGCTTAATTTACTTAAAGCAGATATATAACTGAATGTCTATAAGTTATTCTCATGATATCATCTATAAATTACTTAATTCATGATATATTTGTAGGTATATATGTAAAACGTAGAACTGAGACTAAAAAATGTGGAGATTAGAGCGGCATAAGAGAATATTAATATTGTATGCCCTAACATGGTAGAAATTATAACAAAAACATTGAAAGAGAAATGGGAAAGAAAGTGGGTAAAAAAGTATATTGATTTTCCCAGATGTGTACTATCTGGAGTAAAAAGATATCACTTAAAAGTGACACATAAGTAAATCTATATGAATATTTCACAATACAGCTGTAAATTCTAAAGCTAGTGACAGAGATGAGGTAGGGAAAGGAGGAAAAGTATGAAAGATCTCAATTTTTATATTTACTCATATAAGGGAACTAAAGATATGAATAACTAAGAATATTAAATAAAGCTGTAATTACAAAGGTGACAGAGAAAACAAAATTGCAAATCTTTTAAAATATCAGTAGAATCACATACAGAAAGCAAAGCAAAGCAAACAGAGAACAGGCCTTATGCTATACTGCCTTCTTTCTCCCAGCCTGCACCTATGGCCTTGTGAGTTCTCTATGATCAGCTGACAGAGGAAGGGAATGCCACAACTTGGTTTGCAGATAGCTCTGCATGACAGGCAGGAACCACCTTAAAGTGGACAGCTGCAGCACTACAGCCCCTTTCTGGGCAATTACCAATCAACAATGGTAAAGGGAAATGCTCCCAGTGGACAGAACTTTGGGCAGTGCACCTGGTCATGCACTGTGCTTAGAAAGAGAAATGGCCAGATGAACCATTATATACTGATTCCAGGCCTGTGACCAATGGTTTAGCTAGATGGCCAGGGACTTGGAAGGAGCACTATTGGAAAACTGGTGACAAGGAAATTTGGAGAAGAGGTAAGTGGATAGACTTATTTCAATGGACAAAAAACCATGAAGGTATTTGCGTCTCACATTAATGCTCACCTAAGGGTGACCTCAGCAGAGGAGGATTTTAATCAAGTGGATAGGATGACCCATTCTGTGGACACCAGTCAGCCTCTCTCCCACTAGCCACTCCTGTCATTGCCCAATTGGCTCATGAACACAGTGGCCATGTGGCAGGGATGGAGGTTGTGTTTGGGTTCAGCAATACAGACTTCCATTTACCAAGGCAGACCTGGCTACAGCCACTGTCACATGCCAGTCTGCTAGCAGCAGAGACCAACACTGAGTCCAAAAATGACACCACTCCCCAGGGTGATCAGCCAGCTACCTGGCGGTAGGTTGATTACTACCTTGGAACTTCTTCCATCACAGAAGGGGCAGTCTATTTCTTACTAAAATAGACTTAACTCTGGATATGGATATGCCTTCCCTGCATGTAATGCTTCTGCCAAAACCATCCATGGACTTACAGAAGTCTTATACACTGTCCTGGTATGCCACACAGCTTTGCTTCCAATAAGGAAAACATTTCACAGCAAAGGAAGTGCAGCAATGGGCCTATGCTCATGGCATTCACTGGTCTTACCATGTCCCCCACCATCTGAACAGCTGGTTTGACAGAATAATGAAATGGTCTTTTGAAGACGCAGTTACAGCACCAGCTAGGTGGTAGGATCTTGCAAGGTGGGGATAAGGTTCTCTAGAAGGCCGTATACACTCTGAATCAGTGTCCATTGTATGATGCTATTTCTCCCATAGCCAAGATCATCATCCAGGAGTCATTGGGGTGGAAATGGAAGTGGCACCCTCACTATTAGCCCTACTGACCCACTAGCAAAAATGTTGCTTCTGGTTTCTGCAACCTCATGCCCTCAGTCTCAGAAGGAGAAAGGCTTTCACCAAGAGACATAATGATTCCATTGAACTGGAAGTTAAGTCTGCTGTCTGGTTACTTTGGGCTCTTCAAGCCTCTTAATCAACAGGCAAAGAAGTGAGTTAATGCTCTGACCAGGGTGATTTGTCCCAACTACAAGGAGGACGTTGAACTGCTATGCCACAGTGGAAGTAAGGAAGAGTATGTCTGCAATACAGAAGAGCCCTTAGGGCATTTCAGGATTACCATGCAACGTGGTTAAGGTCAACAGAAAACTACAACAGCCCAATCCAGGCAACATTACACTACTAACATCTCAAAATCTTATAGAGTGAAGATTTGGATCACTTAACCAGGTAAAGAACCATTACCAGCTGAGGTGCTTGCTGAAAACAAAGGGAATACAAAAAGGGTAGTGGATAAAGGTAAATACTAGCTATGACCACATGGCCAGCTACAGAAACAAGGACTGTAGTTGTCATTAGTGTTTTCTCCTTATTTTGTTATGAACGTGTGTGACACACACACAGACACACACCTCAAATACCTTTGTTTTCTTTCTTATCATGTAAAAAAATACTGATTTTATATCATAGTATTTTTAAGTATTGTTAATTTTACATCATAATATTTAAGTTACAGGGTATCAAGGAGAAGAATAAACATCACCCAAGAACTTTTCTTTCTTTTCTGAGGAAAGGGTAGGTGCTTTTTTGGTTATGTAAGGTATAGTTGTATCATGTTAGGGAGAATTATAGCCTTGTTATTGTCTTTATTTGGAGATTAAATATGGTTTAATGAGATGCATTTGGGGGCTGACTTGACAAGGGGGAGACTTGTGATGGTTAATTTTATGTGTCAATTTGATTGGGTCAGGAGTGCCCAGATATTTGGTTAAACATTGTTCTGGGTGTGTGATAGATATTTGGTTAAACATTGTTCTGGGTGTGTCTGTGAGGGTGTTTCTGGATGAGATGAACATCTGAATCAGTAGACTAAGCAAAGCAGACTGCCCTCCTAATGTGGGTGGGCCTCATCCAAGCCTGAATAGAACATAAAGAAAGAGAAAAGAGCATTTACACTCTCTGCCTGACTGTGTGTGAGCTGGAACATTGGTCTTTTCCTGCCTTCAGACTTGTACTCAGACTGAATCTTATACCATTAGCTCTCTTGGTTCTTAGGCCTTTGGACTCACACTGGAACTAACACCATTGGCTTTCCTCAGTCTCCGGCCTTTGCACTTGGACTAGAATTCTATCATTGGCTCTCCTATGTCTCCACCTTGCCAAATGAAGATCTTGGGACTTCTCAGACTTCATAATCATGTGAGTTAATTTCATATAATGAATCTATCTATCTAACCTATTGGTTCTATTTATCTAGAGAATTCTTATTAATAAAGATTTATGAAGAACTAAGGATGTTAAATAAAGCTATAATTACAAAATAACAGTGAGAACAAAACCACAAACCTTTCTTAATATCAGTAGAATCACACACAGAAAGCAAAATAGAGAAAAACAGAAAAACAGAAAACAAAGCTTATAAAGATAAAAAATCTATAAATTCAGAAAACATAATATTGAATAATAAAACTAAGATTAAATATATCTTTCATATCAATAAGAGTAAGTAGGCTTAAACCAATTACAAAGAGATTTCAGATTAGTTTATTAAACCTATTCTACACTGTCTTCAAAGGATGCACTCTAGGATAAAGTATTTCAGAATGGCCAAAATGGGGGAATGACATTATCAGGCACATGGAAAAAAAAAGAGAGAGAGAAGGAGAGAATGTAAAGGTCACAGTCTAATATTACAGAATGTACAATTCATATTAACTGAGGTAAAGGAATGAACTTTATAATAATAAAGGTAATTCACAATAGTGATGTAACAGTAACGAAAATTTATGCTTCAAGCAATTAGAGAAGCTATAAGGAAAAACAGAAACTTACTAATAGAAGGAAACTTTAATTCACCTTTCTCAGGCCATGACAGATAAAGAGGAAAAAAGTAAGTCAGTCAGTCTAGATGACACAATGAATTAGGCAGATTTAATTATAAATATCATACACTGTATCCTGAAAAAAAGAGTACACATTCTGTTTAAGTGCCCATGATCACAGAAATTGATGATATATTAAGACTCAAAGAAAACTTAAATACATTACAAAAAGTAGAAGTGATATGGACAACATTCTGTGATCACTATGTAATACTAGAAATTAATAATTGAATTTAAAAATGAAAAACCAATAGCTCTTGGCTTTAACAATCTCACTTAAACAATTGTTGAACCAAAGAGAAAAATACAAAACTATAATTGCAAAGCATCTAACAAACAGTAATAAGAAAACTACAAATTGCTAAAACAATAGTGAGAGGAGAGGAAATAATACTTCCATTATAAACATGAAAGACTGAAAAAATGAATTTGACATTTAACTTTAGAGGTCAAAAAAGAAACAAAATAAAATAAAGGAGAATCAAGGTAAAAAATCAATAAAGATAAAAGCAGAATTTAAGAAGTTGGAGCACAAAAACTGAAAGCTGCTGCTTCGAAAAAAGTCAATAAACATAAATTACTAACTTAGTCAAGAAAAAAATATAAAAATGTGCTAGTAAAATGAGAAGGAATAAGAGAGGAAATTACCATAAAAATGAAAAAAAATCTTAATAAATTGGATAATTTTATACTCAAGCTTAGAAAAGACATAAAATCTAAGTAGCATAATTTTCATTAACAGAAACCCAGAAATTCATCAAAGAGCTACTGTCACCTCTTGCCCATTTTCCCTGGCCAAACACCAGGTTGAAATTGTTTCTCTGAGCAATTTTACAAGATCTTCAAAAATAATTCTAGATTAATTTTATAAAGCAAGCAGGACACTTATGGTAAAATCTGATGAAAACTATCTCCAATATCATATAGAATATTAAAGAAAACTCCTATATAAATCTAGCAGTACATTAAAAGAAAAATGTACCATTTCCAATAGGATTTATTACAAGTCTGCAAAGGAGGTTCAATGTTAGAAAATCTATTAATCTATTGATATCTACCAATTAGTAGGCATAAGGAAGAGAATCATATGATCACCCTTACCTTCATATATGCTAAAAAGATCTTTGACAAAATTTAATAACCATTCTTGATGAAATTCTTAAGAAAGTATTTATTAATGGATACATCTTTGAATGCTGAAATATAGTTATTTCACCTCCCAAATCAGTAGTACATTTCAGGGAGAAACACTAGGGCATCCCCACTCAGGAACAAGGCAAGAATGGTCCTATCATCACTATTATTTAACACTGTACCAGAAGTGCTAGCCAATGTGATTATGCAAGATAAAGAAATTAGAGATGTGAGAATTAACAAAGCAATAAAACTATCACTATATGTAAATCATATAACATATCTAGAAAATTCAAGGAGGTCAAATAAAAACTACTACAAACAAACAAAACATTTAGAAAATTAGCAAGGTACAAAATTCATATGCAAATTTTTTCATGTATACAATCAATATTCATTGAAAATATAATAGAAGAAGAAAAGACCCCATAGCGAGGTGATGAGCCTAAAAAGAAATGTTCAAGGCTGAGTATTCTACAGACTAAAACATTAAAACATTCTTTGAAAGATAAAAGGAAGTCATGAACAAACGGAAAGGCATTTTGGATAGGAAGAGTCAATATTATCAAGATGTCGAACTTCTCTAAGTTAATTTATAAATTTAATATGATTTCAATAAAAGTAAAATCTGGGTTTTTTTAGAACCAGACTAGACCAGAAATGATTTTAAAGTGTAGATGAAAGTAAGCCAGGCATGGTGATATGCACATGTAATCCCGGCTATTCCAAGGGAGAAGGATTGCTTGAGCCCAGGAGTTTGAGACCAGCCTGGGCAACAAAACAACAACCTGTCTCAAAAAACAGAAAAAGCTCATATGGAAATAGAAACAAAAAAATAGGAAATCTCTGCAAAAGAAAAGCACCAAAGGAAGATTTTTCTCTGTCAGATAAAGCCTCAGTGATTATTATTATAATGACATATGAATAGGCAAACAGACTAACACAACAGAATGTACAGTCAGAAATAGACCTAAATCCATACGGAGTTTTAGTATATAATAAATGTGGTATCTCAAATCAGTGAGAAAAAGAGGTGCTATCAACGAGTCATCTGGGAACTACCAGGAAGCCAGATGGAGAAAAAATGTGGTTTGATGTATGCCTCACACCCTAACCCACGGTAAATTTCAAATGGGCTAGGATTTTTCCTATAGATACAAACACATAAGAATGAAATGACATTTGGATATAATTCATTGAAGCACTGTTTATAATGTAACATATTGGAAACGATCTACAAGCTCACCAATAAGGGACTGGTTAAATACATTAATAGTATATCTATAAAATGGAATACTATAATTTTGTTTAAAAAAGCTTTTTTATCAATATATTATATCAAAATATCTCCATGCTATAGTAAGTGAAAAAAGCTCGAGCAGGAGGTAAAATGTGTACAGTTTCCTATTATCTGTAATTTGAAATGAGAAGAAAGATAATTATTTTTATTAGCTTTCAGATAAATACAAATTCTTATCAAGGATATGATAACCTAGATGTCACATTTGGCAGGTTTCCAAATTAATCCACCTGGGGGAGGTCTATGATTCATGGCTTACATCCTATCCTTGAGTAAAGAAACTTATCCTGAATCCCTGAAATCTTACAGTGGGTTCCTCAAACTGTTGATGTTCCATAACTAAGATGTAACTTAACTGATACTGAAAAGGACATTGATTGGTTTCTGAATGGTGAAGCTTTACTGATTGTCTTGCACATTGAAGATTCTAGCCTGTATGTTACAAAAGACAATTCCTGTATGAGAAGCCACTCTCCCTAAACTTCCCCATAGAAGCCTTCTTCTTCCTCTTCCTCCTCTTCTTTTTCTTCCTCTTCCTCCTCCTCTGCCACCACCGCCTCCTCCTTCTCCTTCTTCTTATTCCTTCTTTTTTTTTTTTTTTCAGACAGAGTCTCACCTTGTGGCCCAGACTGGAATACAGTGGTGCAAACATGGCTCACTGCAGCCTTGACCTCCTGGGCTCAAGCGATCTTCCCACCTCAGCCCCCTAAGTAGCTGGGACTACAGGTGTGCACCACTATGCCCAGCTAATTTTTGTATTTTGGTAGAGATGGGGTTTCTTCATGTTACCCAGGCTGGTCTTAAACTCCTGAGTTAAGCCATCCTCCTGACTCAGCCTCCCAAAGTGCTGGGATTACAGGTGTGAGCCATGGTGCCCAGCTACATTTTCATACTTTGTGTTTAAGCCAGGTAAATGAATACCTACTCAAACAATTTTGATACATGTTTTTAAGTGAAAAAAAAAAACTCCTAATCATAACTAAAGAGTGAAATAGGAAGGTTATGTAAACAATTTGCCAACTTGCAGAAATAAATTTCACTGGTAAATCTGTTCATAATTTTTGTATATACTTAAATATCACTTTAAGAGGAAAATGCATTTGTGATCTCTTCAGCCTAGGTCAAATTCTTCTGTCATATACTTATGACACTTATATCCATTTACTTATGACACATATCCATTTATACATATATCCATTTTGTACTTCCTTGGAGCACTCTTAATAATTAGTTAAATAATCAACTACCAAGAAATTAATCTTCCATCCTAGAATGAAAGCATCAAGAGGGCAGTGGCCAGGCCAGCCTTGCTGACTTCTATATCTCATAGTGTCTACACAGAGGATGCTCTACATTGGAGGAGGAGTTGGTGTTTCAAAATCTAAATGTTTTATTTCTAGTAAGAGGGTAAAAATAGCTATGGCCATCTCACTGCTACTTAGGTAGAGGGACTGAGGAGTACGCTTTCTGATCTTTCCACTGCTCTGCGGCTTCCTGCAGGTATTTTTGCTTTAAGAAAAGAGAGGGGAGTAAGAGCCCATTTGCCCGGGACAACTGAAGTCTCAAAAGCTGATGATGTCCTCTTGAATAAAGTTTTGGAATTTTTCCCATGTCCATTTCTCTTTTCTTCTTTTACTAAGAGAACACCCCATGCCCATCAAGTTTTGGCTAGATTAATGGCTACTCCAGTTACAGGTTACATTTTCCACATTCTCTTGAGAAGGCTTTGAGTTTGGGTTTAGCTTCTAGGTTTTATTTTATTTTTTGAGACAGGGTCATGCTCTGTCACCCAGGCTGGAATGCAGTGGTGTGATCATAGCTCATTGCAGCCTTGATCAGTGCTCAAGAGATCCTCCCACCTCAACTTCCCAAGTAGCTGGGACTACAGGCATGCATCACCACACCTGGCTAATTTATTTCATTTTTTATTTTAATTCTTGTAGAGAACGTATCTCCCTGTGTTGCCCAGGCTGGTCTTAAACTCTTGGGCTCAAGTGATCCTCTTGCCTTGACCTCCCGAAGTGCTGGAATTACAGATGTCAGCCACCCGCCGGGCCTAAGTTTTAGCAACGACTTCTGCTTTACGTTTTTCAAAATAAAGTTGTTTGCCCTTCATATTTTCTTTTGTTCCGTTCTGTGGCCTGGAATGTGGAACCAGTGAAGTTAATGATCACTGGAGAAAACACTTTTGACCTAGAGAGAAAAGCCAAATGTAGAAGATGGCAGAGTTGCCCCAGCAACCTGGGTATCTAGATGACTTTATGGAGCATGGCCCAGGTATTCATCTTGAATTGTGATATGAGAAAGAAGCTTCTAACACATTTAAGCCCTTGTACTTGGAGCTGCTTTTCCCCCCTTACAGTGGTTTAACTTATTCCCTAATCATGGCAACAAATACTAGTGGGGTTCTTAGTGGCAGGATCTGTTTTGTAGAGAACAAAAATCCACTCTAGCTAGTTTAAGAAGAAAGGGATTTATTGCAGCCGTTAGGGAGCTTATAAAACTTTTTGGAAGGCCAAGGAAACAATTTTGGATTATACACTGTCAGAAGTAATATAGTCAGCAGAAACATCTGGCTCACTACAGATTTATTCCAGAAGAAATCCCACTGTTGCCACTACCCTCTACAGAGCACAGCATCACTATTATCTATCTCCCTGGGTTATATGCTGGCTTGTTGATCTGCGAAGAGTATGGGAGCTGCCCATAGTGCTCTGCTGACTCGTCTCTCTGGATCATGCCACGGTGGGCTTGGGCCATGCCAGCGGAGACCCTGACTGTAGTTCTCTTTGCTTTCTCGCATTCACATCTCCTGTAAAGATGCTTTGTTTCAGTCTGTTGGAGTGTTCATTTGCTCTCACTGAATGGATGATTTCTTCTTTAGGAGTTCCTAGAAATGTGATGTTTCAAAAATTTTTGTTACAGGTTTAGCATGATAAAATGCTTTAAATGATAGATGTAATTTTCAGTAACAGAAGAGTCATACTGTCAGAATTCTGAGCCTAATTCCAGAATTGTCCTTGAAAGGACAAGATGTATTGTCAAGGAATGAGTTTAAGTAATAAAGTTGGCAAGTAGTCAACATAGATCAACTTTCCATTATTAACATTCTGAGCCATATGTGAAATGACTGGAAAACAGATCTTGGAGCCATAAGGCATTAAGACTTGTTCTTCCCTTCCTGTCAATTTAAACACAAAAAGCACTTTAGGAAACCAAAGACACATGCACATTCATAAAGGGAAAAGGATTGGAGTGAACCTTTCTATTTTGCCTCTAATGCTGGAATATTCTTTCACATTCTTTCCAATATTTTACTTAGTTTGAATCCAACTACTTTCTGTAATATTCAAGACTTTCCTCAAAAGCATTTCATTCTGGGTCAACAAGGTATGCCATCTAAATCAGATTTTCACATAACCAAGAACCATCTCTTTAGAGTTGAAAACCTTTTTCATCTTATTTTTGACATAAATCTTTTTGTAGTCCATACATTTTAACCTTACTTATTAAACAAAAGATGCTCTCCGTGGTTATCTCAATGAATAGTCATTACTAGATAATGCTTTCAGAGTGAAATTCCAGCTACTTTCCAAAATTCTTTTCACTTCCTGCAGTAATGATAATCACTTTTCACTGGGACTCCCTCAAATATTTTTATGTCCCATTCTCTCTTCAAATGTATTGTTTATAACTTATCAAGCTTAATTGAAATGTGCTAAGTAGAATCAAAAGGCTCTGCATGAGAGTTTAAAAGGTCACCTAGGAAATAAGGAATTTAGCCAGAGTGCTATAGCTTTGTCAAAGCCATTCCATCATGCTTTAAAAAAAATTCTGGATGCATATCTCTACACCAGAGAATTGAGGAGTATAGAAATCTGGCCTTCAGAAGAGAGTAGTTTTACTATCCTTTTAGATACAAACTTTTTAAAAATAAAACAGTTTTATTCAGGTATAATTCACATATAACAAGTCACGTATATTTAAAGTATACAATTTGATTAGTTTTGACATATATACACATTCACCAAACCATCATCACAATCAAGATAATGAACATGTCCATCACCCAAAAAAGTTTCCTCATTCCCCTCCATAATTTTAAAGTCCAGATGCCCAGGAAACTGCTGATCTAATTTATGCCACTCTAGATTAATTTGCATTTTCTAGAATTTTAAATGAATGGAATCACACAGTATGTATGCTTTTTTGACCTTTTAAATTTTACTCAGCATAATTCTGCTATAGCATATATCAACAATTCATTCTGCTTTATTGCTGAGAAGTATTCTATTACATAAGTGTAACCCAGCTGTTTATCTATTCATCTGTTTATAGACATTTGGGTTATTTTCAGCTTTTAGCTATTACAAGTAAAGCTGCGAAGAACTTTTATATACAAGTGTTTGTATGGTGTTAGGAACCAAAGAAACTTAGAAACTGTTTTCCAAAGTGGTTGTATCATTTTACATTCTCAGCAGCAGTGCCTGAGAATTCTAGTTCCTTTATATTGGTATGGTCAATCTTTTAAATTTTAGTGATTCTGACAATGAGTGGTGCTATCCATTGTGGTTTTAATTTGCATGTCTTTAATGACTAATAGTATTAAATATATTTTCATATGTTTGTTTTCTATTCATATTGTCTCCTGACGTGGTTTAGGTCTGTGTGCCCGACCAAAAATTGTGTCGAAGTGTAATCCCCAATATTGGAGGTGGGGCCTGGTGGCAGGTGATTTGATCATTGGGGTGGATTTCTTGTGAATGGTTTAGTACCATCCCGTTGGTGCTGTTCTCGTGATAGTGAGTTCCTGTGAGATCTGGTTATTTAAAAGTGTGTGGCACTTCCCCTCACTTCTCTTGTTCCTGCTCCCACCATGTGAGATGCCTCCAGCTGAGCCTCCCTGGAAGCCCAGCAGATACTAGCGTCATACTTCCTGTACAGCCTGCACAACTATGAGCCAATTAAACCTCTTTTCTTAATAAATTACCCAGTCTCATGTATTTCTTTATAGCAATGAGAAAACAGACTTATATATAATCTTTGGTGAGGAATCTGATCAAATCTTTTGCCCATTTTTTAATTAGTTCATTTGCCTTCTTACATTAAATCTTGAGAGTTATTTATATATTTTGGATACAAGTTTATTCAAATATATCATATAGATGATATATCAGATATATGATTTGCAAGTATTTTCTCTGTAGCTTGCATTTTCTTTCTTTCAAGAAATAGAAGTTTTTAACTTTGATGAATTTCAATATATCATATTTCCTCTATAGATCATGCTTTCAGTGCTGTGTCTAAGAAATCTTGGCCTAATCCAAAGCAGCAAAGATTTTCTTTCTATGTTTCCTTCTAGAAGTTCTATAGTTTTAGGTTTCAGGTTTAGGTCTATGATCCATTTTTGGTGAATTTGTGTAAATGGTGTTAAGGAATGGATTGAGGTTCCTTTTCTTCAACTTTTGCTAAAAAGACTTGAAATTAGTTGTTCAAAAATTGGTGGGTGTACTTCTGGGCGCTCCATTTTTTTCTACTGATTCATTTCTTTATCTTTGCACTAGTACCACTAGTCTTGCTTACTTTAGCATTATAATAAACCTTAAAATCAGGTAGTGTTAGTCCTCTAACTTTGTTCTTTTTCAACATTGTTTTGGCTATTCTAGGTCTTTGCATTTCAAAGTAAATTTTATAATTGTTTTTATCAATACCTACAAAAGAGACTTTCAGGATTATGATCGGAATTTCATTAAATCTATACATTAATGGAGGGGGCAGGGTGAATTTTCTGACCCATGAGCAAGACATTTCTATTTATTTATTAGTTAGTTTTTGTTTTGTTTTTGAGACAGAGTCTCGCTCTGTCGCCTAGGCTGGAGTATAGTGGTACGATCTTGGCTTACTGCAACCTCTGCCTCCCAAGTTCAAAGCATCCTCATGCCTCAGCCTCTTGAGTAGCTGAGATTACAGGCATGTGCCATTACACCTGGTTAATTTTTGTATTTTTAGTAGAGATGGGATTTTGCCATATTGGCCAGCCTGGTCTCGAACTCCTGGCCTTAACTGATCTGCCTGCCTTGGCCTCCCAAAGTGCTGAAATTACAGGCATGAGCCACTGCACTCAGCCCATATCTCTCTATTTAGGCTTTCTTTAATTTCTCTCACCACTATTTTGTAGTTTTCAATGTGCAAGTCTTTCACAACCTTTGTTAGTTCATGTTTTCTGCTGCTATTGTAAATAATATTTTTACTAGTATGTAGAGATACTTTTGTATATTGATCTTGTGTCTTGTGACCTTGCTAAAGTCATTAGTTCTAGTAAGTTTCTTTGTAGATTTCCATGGATTTTCTACGTAGATTATCATGTCTGTGAATTGTTGTTCCTTCCTACTTAGTCTGTCTGCCTGTTACTCTTTTTCTTGCCTCATTGCAATGGCTAGAACATCTAACCCAATGTTGAACAGAAGTGGAAGAAGTGGACATTGTGATCTTGTTTTTGATATTAGGAGGAAAGTACTCTCTGTAGAGGGAGAATATTTGGAGCTTACCTCCAGCCTCTCCAGATCCTTTTCTTTGAAGCTTTTGACTGTAACACATATCCTTTAATGCTGTCACTATGATGTATCCTTTTTTATATAGCTAACAATTTTCCTTTCGTCTGAAGGACACCTTTTAGCATTTACTGTAGTGCTGATGATCCACTGATGATGAATTCTTTCAGTTTTTTATATCTAGAAAGTCTTTATTTCACCTTTGTTTTTTAAAGATTTTTTTCTGGGTATAGAATTCTAAATATAGAATTTTAGGTTGACTTTTTTTTCTTTCAGTAATTTAACGATGTTGCCTCACAGTGAATTCATTTGCAATTTCCAATAAAAATTATACTGTCATCCTTATCTTTGTTCCTCCACATGTATCATGTCTTTCTTCTTTGGCTGCTTTTTATGATTTTCTCTTTATCATTGGTTTTGAGCACCTTGATTATGATGCACATGGGTGTAGTTTTCTTCATGTTTCCTATGCTTGGGGTTTGTTGAGCTTCCTGAGTCTATGAGTTTTGAGTTTTCATCAAATTTGGAAAATGTATTTTTAAGAGTTTATTTTTCTATTTCCTCTTTTCTCTTCTCCTTTGGAGACTCATTACACACACATTAGGATGTTTGAAATTGTCCCACAGCTCACTGATGCCCTTTCCTCTTTTTAATTCTCTTCTCTCTGTGCCTCATTTAGGATCATTTCTATTGCTATGTCTTCAAATTCACTACTCTTTTATTCTTCAATGTCTAATCTTCTGTGAGTCCACTGCAGCTTTTATCTTTAGAGTTCAATGTGTTTTGTTTTAATTTTGTTTTTCAAAATATCTTTCATGTTTCACCTTAACTTTATAAACATATAAAATGTAATTCTGATAACTTTAGTGTCCTTGTCTAATAATTCTAACATTGTATAAATTCTGAGTTGTTTCAATTGGGTGATAAGTTTTCCAAATACGGTTTGGATTTTCTTGTTTCTTTGACTTGTAACTTTTAACCGACTACCAGGCATTGTAAATTTTGTTTCATTGGGTGCTGGATATTTCTGTACTCCTACAAGTATTCTTGAGCTTTGTTCTGAGATGGTTGGAAACAGTTTTATCCTTTCAGGTTTGTTAGGCTGGCCCAGAGCAATACTCAGTGGAGAGCTACTTATTCTCCAGTGAGGCAAGACCCTACTGTGCACTGTAGCAAATGTCCTGTGAATTATGGGGTTTTCCAGTCTGGATGGTGGGAATGGGCATTACTCTCAGCCTTGTGTGAGCATTGGGCACCGGTTCCTCTAATATGTTTAGGGATTTCTTTCCTGAGCTTCACCCAGTTTCCTCACAGGCAAGTGGTAATCTGTACTCATCTGAATACTTGAGAGGAACCCTTTGTAGATCTCTGAAGTTCTCTCTCTTTGCAGGTCTCTGCTCTCCAGTACTCTGTCCTATGACTCTGGCCATCTTAGTCTCCCTGGACTCTCAGCTCTGTCTCCTCAACTCAGAGCCCACTGCACTCTCCTGCATTTCCCCTCTTAGCACTTCATCCTGGAAATTCCCTCAAGACAGTAAGCTGGGGCAACTGTAGGGCTCATCTTGCTTGTTTCCTGTCTCTTGGGGTTACTGTCTTTTTTTCCCCAATGTCCAGCATCCTGAGAACTATTGTGTCCTGTATGTTGTATGTTGTCCTTTTTCTAATTAATTAATTTTTTTTTTTTGGTTGTCACAGGTAGTAAGAAGAATCTGGTTCCTGTTACTCCATCTTGATTAGAAATAGAAATTCCCACAATCTATTTTGACCCCTGTTTTATAGCTTCAAGGTAATGTAAGTAATACAATTTTTAAATAAATGGTGTCATTGATCAAGATTTTTAGTCAAATTTTGCTATTCTCATTCTCTTTTTTTGTTTTTTTTTCGTTTTGTTTTTGAGACGGTGTCTCGCACTGTCGCCTGGGCTGGAGTGCAGTGGTGCTATCTCGGCTCGCTGCAGCCTCCGCCTCCTAGGTTCAAGCGATTCTCCTGTCTCAGCCTCCCAAGTAGCTGGGATTACAGCTGCCAGCTACCATGCCTGGCTAATTTTTTGTATTTTTAGTAGAGACGGGGTTTTACTATGTTGACCAGGTGGGTCCCGAACTCCTGACCTTGTGATCCACCTGCCTCGGCCTCCCAAAGTGTTGGAATTACAGGAATAAGCCACCATGCCCAGCCTATTTTTCTTATATTATGTCATTCAGGGACTGTGTCCTTTGATTCTAACCAATGCAGGATTTTTTTTATCCATATGTATCGAACAAGGTCAATAATAAAAGAAATGATTGAATTTGCATTGGAAAATAAATATTTCCTTCTCCTCATACTTCTTGGAGAATGTTTTAACAGTCTCCAGCCAAAGTTTGAAACTTCTTAATTTAAAACTTTTTCTTTTCACTCATTCTCAGTTTTTGTGGAGAAGTAGCAAATAGGCTTCCACTCATGTACCAACCCTCACTAATTTGGTGCTTTGGGTTTTTTTTTTTTTTTGAGACAGGGTCTCACTCTGTCACCTAGGCTAGAGTGCAGTAACTTGATCACAGCTCACTGCAACCTTTACCTACCTGGTCCCTGACTTATTTTTTATGGCCACCAGATGCTGTATGTTCTATATTTTTTTAGTACTATTTCTACCTTTTTATATTAATTTTTTTTAAATTTCTGAATTATAACTTTTTCTGGTATGAGAGATAATAGTTACTTTTCAGTGAATAGCCAATTGTCTAGCAATAATTATTAAATTGATGTAAATGTCAATTTTATCATATGGTGAAATCCCATAGATATGGCTATTTTGTTTTTAAACTCTTCTCTGTTCTACTGTTCCTCTTTTATGTAGTCAAAACTATATTGATAGTAATGATAAAAATGGCTTTAGAGTTATAATGTCTAGATTAGAATTATATTTTCATTGTTTACTGGCTATTTAATTTTTTGCAAATGTATCTTTTCTAGGCCTCAGTTTCTTCCTCTAAGTATTAGGTCTTAAAAATGCTATCTACTTCATAAGGTTTGGAAGATAATTAAATGACATCAGGTATGTAAAACATAGCACAGTGTCCAGCACACAGTAAGCCTTCAATAAATGTCATTAAAAACAATAATAGTAATAAAGCTTTATAGTGTGTTTTCATACCTAGTAGGTAAGTCCTCTCATGTTATACTTTTTCAAAAAAAAATTTATTTGCTTGTTTCACCTGTTACCAACCCCATTGCCTCTGTGTTAAGTAAGAGTGACTCTCCAAGATCCACCACAAGATTGCAGGAGAAATGCAGAATGGTGGGAACAGATCTTCCAGAGTCACTTTGTTACTAACATTCAGTCAACTGTAGGGAGGAGAGTGGAAGGGACAAATATAGTCTTTCTGTGATCGGTATGCCTTCTCTCACTCAAACAACACAGCTCACAATGATTAGCAACAGTTCTAGAAAAAAGTGGCCTTTTTTTTGACACGTCTTTTCAGAGAATGCTTTCTTGCTACTTCTCCCCAGCTTTGCAGTTAAATAATTACATTCTTCAGAAATCCTCTTGCTTCTATAAACTAAAAATAAAATCCTAAGTCCCTCAAACTGACTGGATGGACCCTGCCCCCTTGGCCAAGGGGACTCCGGAGAAACCTTACAAATTTAGTTCCCAGCCATGACAGGATGGGAGGCCCGACACCCCTTGTTACACCCGCCTCCTTTTGTGGTTTAGACACAACTGACCAGCAGTAATGTCAAAATAGATATCATATGACTGACAGAATGGACTTTTTGTGGAAATAAGATACCAGATTATAAATAGGACCTAAGGCCATGCCAGAGAAAGATTAAATCATACACCCTACAGTTAAAGAATAAACTACGTGCAAAGTGCTACAAGGTTTTTCTTTTTCTCTAGAAGCTAAACAAGCACTGGCCTTGAAATAAACAATATTAAAACAATTGCAACTCACCACCAGATGCTCACTAACTGACACCCTGTTCCACGAGCCTTGATTGGACAACAGACTGATTTCTGTAACTTTCTTCTGATGAGAGATCACTTATTATGAACTGGTTCTGGTGGGTTTTACAGAGACTGCACACTGGAATGCCTTCGTGTCCCTGCTTCACCTTTTGGCCTAGCTGTAATACATTTAAATGTTAATCTTCCACCCCTAAGTGAACATGGGTGGTGTGTAATATGCATGAGGACCACCTTCATGAATATTAATAGCTCCTCCTGTAACCTGTTGAATATGTATACTTGGCCAACCCATTCAAAAGGAATCCCTGTTCCATCCGCCTCTGCCTCAAAGTGCTTTTTTTAGATGGTGGTTGTGCTTCCTGCCTGGAGGTTGTAATCTCCTTCTTAAGAAATAAAGCTCATAAGCTCATCCAACTGAATGATGAGGAACCAAAAAAGAAAAAAAGGAAATAAATCTCTCTTTTTCTAAATTTATACATTGTTATACATAGTGATTTTTAAGTTAATACTTCTTATCATCCCTTTACTCTCATCATGTTTAGCACAAACTAGCCATTGTCTGTTCTGTCATTGCAGAATTACATACTATACTGAATAATTTGGAGAGAAATTTACCTCACCAGATCCTAGCTAGGAATAGGCACGTCTGTCCATTTATTTATTTTGTTCCTTAGCAAAGGTTTTTTTTTGTTGTTGTTGTTTTGTTTGTTTTTACTTTAAGTTTTGGGATACATGTGCAGAATGTGCAGGTTTGTTACATAGGTATACATGTGCCATGGTTGTTTGCTGCACTTAACCCATCATCTAGGTTTTAAGCCCCATATGCATTAGGTATTTGTCCTAATGCCCTCCCTCCCCTTGCCCCCACCCCCCAACAGGCCCCAGTGTGTGATGGTCCCCTCTCTGTGTCCATGTGTTCTCATTGTCCAACTCCCACTTATGAGTGAGAACATGCAGTGTTTGGTTTTCTGTTCCTGTGTTAGTTTGCTAAGAATGATGGTTTCCAGCTTCATCTATGTCCCTGAAAAGGACATGAACTCATTCTTTTTTATGGCTGCATAGTATTCCATGATGTATATGTGCCACGTTTTCTTTATCCAGTCTATCATTGATGGGCATTTGGGTTGGTTCCAAGTCTTTGCTATTGTAAATAGTGCTGCAGTAAGCATATGTGTGTGTGTGTCTTTATAGTAGAATGATTTATAATCCTTTGTGGGTATATACCCAGTAATGGGATTGCTAGGTCAAATGGTATTCCTGGTTCTAGATCCTTGAGGAATTGCCACACTGTCTTCCACAATGGTTGAACTAATTTACACTCCCACCAACGGTGTAAAAACTTCCTATTTCTCCACAGCCTTGCCAGCCCTTAGCAAAGTTTTAATAGTGCTCTAACTTCCCTTATCCCTTCCTTTCTCTCTCTCTTTCTTCTTTATTTCCTTTCTTCCATGTTATATAGAGTTAAATATTTTTTAATTTTTGTGGGTACATACTAAGCATATATATTTATGAGGTACATGAGATGTTTTGATGCAGGCATGCAATGTGAAATAAGCACTTCATGGAGAATAAAATACCCATCCCCGAAGCATTTATCCTTTGAGTTACAAATAATCCAGTTATACACTTTAAGTTATTTTTAAAATGTACAGTTGTTATTGTTGACTATATTCACCCTTCTGTGCTATCAAATACTAGATCTTATTAATTCTTTCTATTTTTTGTACCCGTTAACCATCCCTACCTACCCCCGGCCCAACCTCCCACTACCCTTCCTAGCCTCTGATAACCATCCTTCTACTCTTTATGTCCATGAGTTAAATTGATTTGATTTTTAGATCCCACAAATAAGTGAGAACATGTGATGTTTGTCTTTCTGTGCCTGGTTTATTTTACTTAACATAATCACCTCCAGTTCCATTCATGTTGCTGCAGATGATTAGATCTCATTCTTTCTATGGCTAAACAGTACTCCATTGTGCATATGTACCACATTTTCTTTATCCATTCACCTATTGATGGACACTTCGGTTGCTTCCAAATATTAGCTATTGTAAACAGTGCTGCAACAAACATAAGAGTGGAGATATCTCTTCAATATACTAATTTCCTTTCTTTTGGGTATATACCCAGTAATGGGATTGCTGGATCATATGATAGCTCCATTTTTAGTGTTTTGAGGAACCTCCAAACTGTTCTCCATAGTGGTTGTACTAATTTACATTCTCACCAACAGTGTACAATGGTTCCCTTTTCTCCACATCCTCACCAGCATTTGTTATTGCCTGTCTTTTGGATATAAGCCATTTTAACTCAGGTGAGATGATTTCTCATTATAGTTTTGATTTGCATTTCTCTGATGGTCAGTGCTGCTGAGCAGTTTTTCATATGCCTTTTGCTCATTTTTTATTGGGTGATTAAATTTTTCCCATATAGTTGTTTGAGCTCCTTACAGATTCTGATTATTATTCCTTGTCAGATGGGTAGTTTGCAAATATTTTCTCCCATTCTGTGGTTGTCTTTTTATTAATTGTATCCTTTGCTGTACAGAAGATTTTTAACTTGATATGATCCCATTTGTCTAATTTTGCTTTAGCTCCCTGTGTTTGTGGGGCATTGCTTAAGAAATCTTTGCCCAGACCAATGTCTAGGAGATATCCCCCAATGTTTTCCCATAGTAGTTTCATAGTTTGAAGTCTTATATTTATAAGCATTTAATCCATTTTGATTTGATTTTTGTATATGGAAAGATAGAGGTCTAGTTTCATTCTTTGGCATATGGATATCCAGTTTTCCCAAAATCATTTACTGAAGATACTATCTTTTTCCCAGTGTATGTTCTTGGCACCTTTGACAAAAATGAGTTCACTGTAGGTGTGTGGATTTATTTCTGGGTTCTCTATTCTGTTCCATTGGTCTATATGTCTTTTGTTACGCCAATACCATGCTATTTTGGTTACCATATCTCTGTAGTATATTTTGAAGTCAGATAATGTGATTCCTCCTGTTTTGTTGTTTCTGTGTAGGATAGCTTTGGCTATTCTGGGTCTTTCGTGGTTCTATGTAAATTTTAGGATTTTTTTCTATTTCTGTGAATAATGTCATTGGTACTTTGATAGGGATGGCATTAAATCTGTAAACTGCTTTGGGTAGTATGGACATTTTAACAATATTGATTCTTCCAATTCAGGAACATGAAATATTTTTCAATTTTTTGTTGTCCTCTTCAATTTTTTCTTTAGTGTTTTATAGTTTTCATTACAGAGATCTTTCATTTCTTTGGTTAACTCCTAGGTATTTAATTTTATGTGTGGCTGTTGTAATTGGGATTACTTTTTTATTTCTTTGTTTAGGTGGAGTCATTAGGTTATTCCAAATATAACATCATATCATCTGCGAACAAGGATAATTTGACTTCTTGTTTTCCAATTTGGACTCCCTTTATATCTATCTTTCTCTTGTCAGATTGCCCTAGATAGGGCTTCCAGAACTATGTTGAATAACAGTGGTGACAGTGGACATCTTGTCATGTTCAGGATTTTAGAGGAAAGGCTTTCAGTTTTTCCCCATTCAGTATGATACTAGCTGTGGGTCTGTCACATATGGTGTTTATTATGTTGAAGGGTGTTCCTTCTATACCAAGTTTTTAGAGGACTTTTATCATGAAGAGATGTTTAATTTTATCAAATGCCTTTTCAGCATCAATTGAAATGATCATATGGTTTTTATCCTTCATTCTGTTGATATCACATTTATTAATTTGCATATGTTGAACCGTCCTTGCATCCCAGGGGTAAATCCCACTTTGTCATGATGAATAATCTTTCTAAAGTATTGTTGAGTTTGGTTTTCTAGTATTTTATTGAGGATTTCTGCATCAATATTCATCAGCAACATTGCCCTGTAGTTTTCTTTTCTTTTCTTTTTTATTTTTTTTAATGTGTCTTTGTCTGGTTTTGGTATTAAGGTAATACTGGCCTTGCAGAATGAGCTTGGAAGGATTCCCTCACTCCTGCATTTTTCTGAATAACTTGAGTAGGATTAGTATTAGTTCTTCTTTAAATGTTTGGTAAAGTTCAACAGTGAATCCATCAGGTCTCCAGTTTTTCTTTACTGGAAGACTTTTTATTAAGGCTTCAATCTCATTACTTGTTATTGGTCTGTTCGGGTTTTGGATTTCTTCCTGCTTCAATCTTGGTAGGTTGTATGCATCTAGTACTTTGTCTATTTCTTCTAGATTTTCCAATTTGTTGGCATATAGTTTCTCATAGCAGCCACTAATGATCCTTTGAATTTCTGTGGTATCATTTGTAGTATCTCCTTTTTTATTTCTGATTATATTTATTTTGATCGTCTTTTTTTTTCTTAGTCTGGCTAAAGGTCTGTCGATTTTCTTTAAGTTTTCAAAAAACCGACTTTTTGTTTCATTGCTTTTTCATTTCAAATTCATTTATTTCCACACTAATCTTTACTATTTCTTCTACTAATTTTGGGTTTAGTTTGCTCTTGCTTTTCTAATTCTTTAAGATGCATCATTAGACTGTTCATTTGAAGTTTTTCCTCTTTTTTGGTGTAGGCAGTTATAGCTGTAAACTTCCCTGTTAATACTGCTTTTGCTGTATCCCATAGGTTTTGGTATGTTGTGTTTCTATTATCATTTGTTTCAAAAAAGTTTCCAATTTCCTTCTTAATTTCTTCATTGATCCACTGGTCATTCGGGAGCATATTGTTATATTTCCATGTATTTGTATAGTTTTCAAAATCCTCTTGTTACTAATTTCTAGTTTTATTCCATTGTGGTTAGAGAAGACACTTGATATTATTTCAATTTTTTAATGTTTTAAGATTAGTTTTATGACCTTACCTATGGTCTGTCTTGAGAATGATCCATGTGCTGGAGAAAACAATGCATATTCTGCAGCTCTTGGATAAAATGTTGTGTAAATATCTATTAGGTCCATTTGGTCTCTAGTGCAGATTAAACTGATATTTGTTGACTTTCTGTCTGGAAGATCTGTCCAATGCTGGAAGTGGGGTGTTGAAATCTCCATCTGTTATTGTATTGGAGCTTATCTCTCTCTTTAGCTCTAATAACATTTCCTTTATATATCTAGGTGTTCCAGTGTTGGGTGCATATATATTTAAAATTCTTATATCCTCTTGATGAATTGACCACTTTATCATTACATAGTGACCTTCTTCATCTCTTCTTATAGTTTTTGTCTTGAAATCTATCTTGTCTGATATAAGTATAGCGACTCCTCCTCTTTTTTGGTTTCCATTGGCATGGAGTATTTTTCCATCCCTTTATTTTCAGTCTATACATGTCTTTACAGGCGAAGTGTGTGTGTGTGTGTGTGTTTAGTAGGCAACAGATCAATGGGTCTTGTTTTCTCATCCATTCAGCCAGTCTCTGTGTCTTTTAATTGGAGAGTTTAGTCCATTCACATTCGATGTTATTATTAAGTAAGGACTTACTCCTGCCATGGAAACTCCTTCTGCACACATGCTTCTATAACCAGAATAGGGAGCAGTAGCGGTCTCCAGCCAGAAATAATTACTCTGACCTTAAAGGAAACACAGCATTTCTGGCTGCAACCTATTGGCTAAAACAAGCCACCTCAAATGTAAATGTCAAAGGGGTGGAATAGTGCAATCTATAAGATGCCTGGAAGAAGAAGAAGTGAAATATTCTGAATAGTGTTACTGTTTCTTTGTCTTATTCTTCACTTTAATGAGAAAGCCTCTAGGTTTTAGTACCAGGCATAATATTTGTTTTTGTAGTTGCTGATTTGTGTAAAAAGTCTTTTTTATCATAGTAAGCGAGTTATCTTTTCTTGCCATGTGTTTTTATCAGGAAGGAATGGCAAATTTTATATTTTAATATTTATAGAAATAAATATATTTTATTATATTTTTCCCTTTGAATCTGTTATATAGTTAATTATATTAATGGACTTCCTATTTCAAACTATTCTTGCATCACAGAGGGAAAACCCTACTAAATCACAGTTTATTATCACATTCTGTTATTTGTTAATGCTCTGGATTTGATATATTTAAAGTTTTGGGGGGACTTTTTCATCATCATATCTGAGATTGGGCTACATGCTTTGATATTTTTGTGCCATCTTTGTTGATGATCTATTATAGGAGTCAGATAAATCTACTGGATCTGGTACCTCTAAAAAGTAAATTTTAAATATTTTAAAATTCTTTTATGGTTATTGATTTATTCAGATTGTTGTCCTTTTCTTAATTTTGGTTAGCATAAACAATCTATTCCATCTAGATTTTTCTTGAATGCCAAAGTTGTACATGGTCATTTTACTTATATTTTTAATCTTTATCTATGTTTATGTATATTTTTTCACTCACAATATTTGCTTTTCTGTTCTAGATGAATGTGTATTAATTCTTCAAGACTGCTTTTGAGTAAATTTGCCAAAAATCAAACTGCAGAAAGCCAATTTTCCACAAGGACAGTTTGCCAAATTTTCTTCTTCCTTAGAACTCTTTATAAAGTTTACAGCAATTCACATTGAATGAGATCTTTTTAATAGCTTTTAAATATTTATGTAAACTTCTAGTTGATCAGTTTTTATTTTTTTTTCATAGCAGCATTTTAAGGAATGTTTAATTTATCTTTACCCAGCTTCCTGCTGCTGCAGCTGGAAAGAGCTGGGGACAGAGATAGGAGACCTCTGCTAGGGGCAAGATGGGAAGGAGGCTCAGCTCATTTGCTGATTCCAATAAGAGGGAGGATGTGGGTCATAAAGAGAAAGATACATTCAGAGAATACCCACTCATACAGAATATATCCCCAAATATAACCACTTTGCATAAATACATTCTTCTTAGAAATAAGAAGTAGCCCCAGCTTCCTCCTTGCTCTGTTTCCCAGGCATTCTGCTCCTAGTCTCTCGCTAGTCTCTTTTCTCCCTGCAAGGGCTGTGCTGTGTGCTGGTTCTGCTCCCCATCTCTCCCCCATGCACTCACTCCCCCCCTGCTCCTTCCAGCATAAGCAGCTAGGAGCTGGGGCAGAGACAAACTCCACATTCCATGAAACACTATTATGGAGACCCAGTGAGAATCAGGCCATCTAAACTAAATAGAGAAAAAAACAAGTACATTAAGACAAGCGGTGCATCAGTGATTTGGACTCTTTTTCTCTAGGACTTGAATCACATGACTGTCTCCTTGGCTGATTTGGTAGCTCCATTCTCTGGGGTCCCAGAGTGCCCTGCTGAGACCTCCAATACCTCACTCAGAAGTAATTTAAAGATATAAGCATTCTATCTCAGTTATTTGATTTCATTACCCGCTCAATTTCTAGACTGTTCATTCAATAACTACTTACTGAACAAAAATTTCATTAAACAAATGTCCATTTAATGAAGAAATGTGAGCTGACTGCAAGCTGGCAGTGTGAACTGACTATGTGCTGCAAAGTGGGATAGATGCTGGAGATTAAAGTTAAATAAAACTTGGCCCCAGTCCAGAGCTCACAGACTAGAGATAGCAGGGACCAAGTCTTAGATATCTTCATATCCATTCTGCCCCTCACATCATCGCTGTCATAGAGTCTATGCTCAATAGAAGTTCTAGGTGTGTTGAAGGCATGTTTCCCCTAAAAGAACTAGAACTACAAGTCCCAAGTACAGTAATTGGTGGCTGTAATTAACATTTTAAACAGCAGAAAATAGTCAAGTCCAAGAGAGTTTATGAGCTCTAAAGATACATTTTCTAATTTACCAAAATATTTTACAAAAATAGGACAAATTTAAAAATGTTTAGTGAGATACATGGTACTCAGAATCTTACAATAATGAACAAAGCTCAGATTGTCCTTATATTTAAAGTTTGGATCCCAAAACAAGCTACCTGCCTGTCCATTTAAACTTCAGCAATAATAATTCAATAGCTATGCTCAAGGTCAGGACATATTAAATGACCTGTTGGGTGTAAATTCATCAAAAAATGTTTATTAATTCAGCCTTAATCTAGCTCAAAGTGTAACCTATCAGTCCCAGGGTGATCCAAATTAAATAGTGTTGATTCACTCCAGATTCCAGGTCTTATAGCTTCCACATGGCTGATCAAAAACACCCAGAAACACATGATGATTTAGGGAGTTCAATAACATATACAGCAGAACCATAATTAAATTTCATTCAAATCCTACCCTCAGGATTTTTGAAGACTTGTAAATCAGTCTGGATATTTAAAAACAGAAACTGTGTTCTCAGATGTTCCCCCAAACAACTCTTTTTAAAATAAACTTCTTTCAAAACATGGTATTGGGTTGAGCACAGTGTCTCACACCTGTAATCCCAACACTTTGAGAGGCTGAAGCAGGAGGATCACTTGAGGCCAGGAGGTCAAGACTAGCCTGGGCAATATAGGGAGACCCCATCTCCACAAAAATAATTTTAAAAATTAGCTTGGCATGGTGGCACGTGCTAGTAGTTTTAGCTACTCCAGAGGCTGAAGTACACTTGAGCCCAGGAATTCGAGGTTACAGTGAACTATGATCACGCCACAGCATTTGAGCCTGGGTGACAGAGCAAGACCATGTTTCTTAACATAAAACAACAACAACAAAAAACACCTGGTACTGATTATATCACTATAGGTGTATGATAACAATTCAAAAAAAAATAAGTAGTCTTCCTTCTGTCTGTCATTCTGTAACAAATAGATAAAAAATAAGAAAATAGGTAGTAATTAGGATCGTGTTTTAGTGAATCCTCAGGTCGTGTATTTGTTAGGCTGAATAATGGCTCCTCCCAAAAGATATCCATGCCTTAATCCCTGGAACCTATGAATGTTACCTTATATCACAAAAAGTGCTTTTAAGATATAGTTGAATTACGAATTTTGAGATGAGGAAATTACCCTGGGTTATCCAGGGGGATAACCTTTATTGTAATTATATAGTTGTATTATAGTTATACTTTCTACATATAACTATTTTCTTTAGAGGCAAAATAGATTAGGGTAAATCCTGCAGTCAAGTTGATGTGGAAGACAAGATTACCTGGATAATAAAAGTCAACATTATCTGCTCCACATTGCCTGAATGAAACCAGAATTCTCTGACTCCCTACTTTTGCTCAAGGGCCAGACTGTACCTCCAGGCCATCACAACCGGTAACCATGCACAATTGGCTCATTGATTCCCGTAAAGCAACTCATATGCTCTGAGTTATGACTAGATCTATTTCAGGACTTGTCAGACTGTCAGGCCAGATTACCACAATACAACCCCTGAGCAGAGCCTCTAAAGATGGAGATTCCAAAGACCTCTTTTATCCTACTGAATGTACAAAATTTTTGGAGCAAGCCCTCTACCCTCCACCACTTCTTGGATAGTCGGGGAAGTTCTGAAAGGTGCAGCTTGCTTCCTGTGTTGCTTTGGATGATCAGACTGTCCATCAAATTCCCAGCTGTCCTCACCATCATCCACTCCAAAACTACATAGACTATTAATTAAATCTCAGGTAAAATCTTTAACTTTATATCTTTGTAATTAAGAGACATTTTTATACACACACGCATATTCCAAAACACTTTTTAATTAAAACATTCTGGGGGAAATATCCTTACTTTCCATTTTGGAGATGATGAGAAGTATTAAGAAAAGTTTGATTTTGCTCAGGGCACTCCTGTTTTAAATCAAACTAATTTTTCCATTGAATATTCTAAGAGTGATTTGCCCACCCTTAATATACCTCAGCCAGAAACTTGTTCCCTTTGAAATTAATCCCAGCTTGTGAACATTGAAAGGTGAAGACTGGAAGGAATGTAATTTCATATTAGTGGTTTCTGTGACTAGATAAACATTAATAATGTTTTCATACTGACCTAGAAAGTGACTTAATTTATTAAGTGCAGTGGACATATGGTACCCTGTTTGCATTAGCTATGCCCAGTACATGAAAAGAAATCACTAAGTAGAATTCAGTTACCTGCTTTTTTTCCCTAACTCACTGTATTTTATATATGAATTTGCCACTGGTAATGAAGAGCTCCAGCTAATATGAACAATGGCAAGAGAAGTTATACCATTAAATATATAGGTTCATAAATATAGCATATGAAAATGGATGATTTGCAATTCAATTCTACAACTATTGTGATCATACTATGTGACAGGACTTATAGCCTGAACTGGGGATGGAGGAGTGAATGAGCTAGATGCAGCCCCTGCCCCATAGACCTTAGGGTACCACTCTTTGCCAGAGCCATGGTGGGGGTAATAGCGCATCTAAAATGGATTGCCTTACTCAATATACATTCCAGCCTCCTTCCAGTACTCCTGAGTTTGGAAAGCTAGAAACTATATTTCCCAGACTCCCTTATAATCAGAGTTTAGGGTGTGATTTGGATTCCACCAATCAGATGCACTCAAAAGACTTGGATTGTAACTAAATTAAGTGGAGACAATGGCTTGCCACATAATTTGGAAGACCCAGTACAAAATTAAAGTGTGAAGACCTCTGTACGAAAGGCAGGAAAAAAACTTTTTCTTCCTTTCTTCTTCCCCTGGTCTTTCTCACCATCTATCAGGGTGTTTGTAGTCCCAGGAATGTGAGGATACTCAGGTATGCAGGTATGCGGGCAGATCCTCACCATTGCTTATAATCTGGCATATGTGCAGCCCACTGGCTATGAGGTTTCCCTCCTACCCGCTGCAAGACCAAAGGCTCCGGAAGTTCAATCAGGCATCTTTTTCTTTCCACTGGCCATAGCAACTCAAGGTTGTTGGGTGACCCCTGAGAGTATTATCACCTTCATGTATGGATAAATGAGACACCTGGATGGAGACAAGAGGTGTGCCCTTGCCAAGTCACCCACTGAATATTCCATGATGCTACCAGCCTGGGGCAAGGACTGCCACTGCCTTGCCCTCTCCTACCCTGTCCTGCATAGAGATGCTCTGGGAGCATGCACCTGACTCTAACCCCGATCTTCTTCCTGTCCATGCCTAGGGCTCAACCAGGGGTGGAGGGAGGCAGTGATTGGTGGATCATGCCCAGGAAGGGGAAGTGTGGGTTAGGGGAGCTGTTGGCTGAGAAGCTGTCACAGGAAGGTGGCAAGAAGAAGACCTAAGGTCTCCCAGTACATACTCTATTGTCCCAAAGGACATCACTTTTAAAACACAAATTAAAAGATAAATTTTTAAGAATTTCATGATGGTGGCCGGGCGCGGTGGCTCACGCCTGTAATCCCAGCACTTTGGGAGGCCGAGGCGGGCAGATCACGAGGTCAGGAGATTGAGACCGTCCTGGCTAATATGGTGAAACCCCGTCTCTACTGAAAATACAAAAAATTAGCCGGGCAAGGTGGCAGGTGCCTGTAGTCCCAGCTACTCAGGAGGCTGAGGCAGGAGAATGGCGTGAACCCAGGAGGTGGAGCTTGCAGCGAGCCAAGATCATGCCACTGCACTCTAGCCTGGGAGATAGAGCGAGACTCCGTCTCAAAAAAAAAAAAAAAAAAAAAAAAAAAAAAAAAAGAATTTCATGATAGTAACCACAGAGCACTAAACTCCATGCATGGGGGCCCTGAGAGAATGCACAGATCACCTGCTCATGAAGCTGGTGCTTAGTGGAAAGAAAGCATTCCATTTTATGCCTGCTGATTGTGGCATCAAGGGCCTCCTGTTATCAGTTTCCTGCCAAAATATCGGGAGGAGAATGTGAGATTTTTGGCCATGCAAAAGCTGGGTGATTTTGGAAATGGGGAGTTTTTCTTAGACGCGCAGCCTAGAGCCTGCTCTTTTAGCCACTTTAATGATTTTTTAAACCACCTAATAGCTGGTAATAATTTCCTTAATACTTAGCACAACCAGAAGGTCTTAATTGCAAATAACAGAAACCACAGCTGATAATTCTCTCTGGAGAGGCATGAAATAGATGTCAGAAGTAAATTGACTGTGGTGGTGGCCACCATTCCAAACACAAAAGAAAGCATTTGATATTGCCAAAGGTCATTCAGTGTTAGAAGAAAAATCATTTGTATTAAAGGAGAGGCATCATGGAAATGGAATAGCAGTGTCATTCCTAGCTGCCCTTTATATTCCAAGAGTTGGAGAGAATTCTTGAAGCAGACCAGTGATTAGGTTTGCAAGTGGGCACAGAAACAAATTGTGTCCTTGCTCAGAAAAAAGTAGGAATCATCCTTGTGATACAGTAGGAAAAACATGAGCTTTAGATTTATGTAAATCGAGGTTTGAATCCAGGCCATCTACTTTCTGTGTTACCTTTGGTAAGTAACTTCTCTAAGTCTCAATTTCCTCAAACTGTTCTTCTAGGGTAGTTAGAGATAATATATAAAAAGAACCTAGAATAATGTCAGGTTCACAGTAGATATCAATAACTACTGTTATCATAATAAAATCTGAAATTGGTACATAGGAAGATGTGGATGGCTTTCCCAGGGCACTATTGCATCTGGGTATATTGTCCAAGCAGAACTTTAGTAAAGCAATATCATCCAAAATCTCTATGGGATTTCTTGGCATCCATCTCCCAGTCTTCTACCTATCCATCTACCCCCAGTCAACTCACCCATACCGCCATCCCAAATAACCATCTACCCTCTCTCCCTTCTAAAATTGGCACGTAGAATTCAATATTAAGAATTCTCAAGATTAAGTAGTAGCTTTATCTATCAAATCAATCCACAAAAAAGCTTGAGTTTTCTTTCCCTGGTTGGTGTGATATATTCAAGGCTCACTTCATATTTCTACTCCTCTCTCTATCCCAGGGCCCCAAGACAGCAGATTTCACTCCCTTCATTACCAGCACAGCACCTTGCACACATCTCTACACAGCTCTTCCTATAGTGAATTTCAAGTATTTGTTTATATTTTGTCTATCCACATCTATATTTTGATATCCTTGTTGGCACAGACCATATCTTGTTTATGTTTCTTATCTAATGCCAGCTCAGTCTGATGCATAGGGGGGCCTAATCCATACTGAGTTAATCTAGAGCCTTAAAAGTAAGCCCAAGCCCTTTACTCCCAACTTCACCCTGTTGGCTCAGTCCAATGTTCTCCTCTTCAATTATGATCAGCAGCCCCAGGCATCCTTCCTTCTCTCACCAGCTCCACTGGATACCCAGTACCTCACCCGGTCTCAACCACCACTCATGCCTCTGTTCTGTCCTTTAACCTCAAAGAGACATATCCTGGCATTTAAAAATATGGGCAGAGGAAGGTGAGGAAAGGAAAAAAAAGAGCGTTTCAAGAAGAATGGCATGGTCAACAATGACAAATGTAGTACAAGATAAAGAGAATAGTTGAAATGTCTAATTTATTGAGACCTACTGTGCTCCAAGCTCAAAGGAGATGTAAAGGGGAGAGAAATCAACAAGGTAGAGGAGGCTCTTTCCCTCTACCTTGCATCCTACTATGGGGCCTTGCATTCTACCGTGCTATACGTGCTGCAGACAATCAGTGAGTAAATAACCAATGTAATTACAGCTCACAAAGATTGCCACAAAGGAAAGGAGGCAGGGAGATAAGATGATGGTGATGATGCCAGTAATAGTAAGAAGTTACCCACAGTTAGTCTGAAATAGCTACTATATGTCAAGCCTTGTTCTAAATGCTACCAGTATGTAATCTTGTTTAATCCTTACAAGCACCCTAGAAAACAGGGATAATTATTTTCTCCTTTGTAGATGAGAAACTGAAGCACAGAGAAGTTAAGTAACATCTTTCAATGGCTAGCTTTGTTTAATGAGCAACTCAGCTATATTTGTTAAGAATGAGAAAATCAAATCTGATGTGTCATGAATAAAAGTTTATAAATGAACTTGTAATAATTTCAAAAATCCTTTTTAACAATTTTGAACCTTCAAGTCATATTAAATTAAGTAATAGATACTTATTAAATGTCTGGGCCATTTCTAAGTCAGTTAAAACACTGAAACACTAATTATTAAGCATAAATTTAAGTTTATACATTTAATTTATTTTTATATGGTATGGAGAAGCTAAGTATATTTGGGTTTGTAAATAAACAAAAAATTTTGTTACGAGGAAACATGGTTCTAAAAATTATGAAATGGTTACCATTGACAAAATGTTGATATAAAACAGTTCAAAGTTGCTTATGTCCTAGGTTTTCATGATAAATTAAGGTTACTACAGTTTTAAAAATCTAATTAACATATGGTAATTAAAACAACTCCTTATGCAAGGAAAGTAAGACATGTTTTTGGTAAGTGAAGCTTACATGAAAGATGTGTTTTAGTTAAGGGAAACAAAAGGAATTTTTGTCTTGAAATAGGATGATTAGTTGTCCCAAAATGAAAAAGAGAAAAGGTTGTAGAAAGTTTATGAAAGATGAATCTTGTGAAAAGAATTTTATGTGCAATTAAGCTGGCTAAAATTGGAAGGGAATTATAAGTTTTTTCTAAAAACAGCATTACTATCAAAATTACACTAGTACGAAATGAGAATTTGGTTTTCTCCTTTAAACAAGATTTTTCTGGGGCATAGGTTCTCAGGACCTCCTGAGACTATATCATGGGGAAAATTTTTTAAAGATTTTTCTGTAATATAATAAGAGATAGTAAAAGATTTTTTGTTCACCTTTTGAGTAAACTGCAAAAGGTGAGAGTGGGAGGGGAGAGAAAGAGAAACAGATTTACATGCTTCATGATGTCTTTTGTAGGTCTTTTAATTATTTGGAAAATTAGGTCTTCCCTCTATCAAAGAGTAAAGGTTTTTGCTTTTTAAAACTTTCAATTATCAATTTGGCTAAATGAATGATTATTATTTCAGAGTGATCTGTGATCCTATTTTGATCAAGTATTTTAAACCTTTGACATATTTGACAGGCTTCCCAACATCAAATTTCAAAAGAAAAATTAAGTCTTTTTGACTTCAAACTAACCTTCGGATGCTACAGAGAGCCCTTGAAGCATTCAAAAGAGATATAATAAATAGGCTTATTTGATATGTTTAATTATATGGGAAGCATTGTCAAATAAGAAATGATGTTTAGCCTTTTTCTCAGTTATATTGTTTTCCAAAAATAGTATGAGATTTCTAAAATTCTGACATGTCATGGTATATGTTATCAGTCATGATACTATGGTTATTATGTTAAATTATTGTAGGCCACATAAAAAATTAAACTTTCTTGTCAATTATGTCTTTAATTATAACCATTTTAGGTCTTGTTGTCTCTAGTTAATTGATTAATTCTGCTGCCTTTTCTGAAAGCTCTTTACAAGCAATTATAATCCTGAAGTGTTATGTCTTCAAGGAGGTTCATGGAAAGGATGGAAAGGACCCTGACAAGCACTTTTGAATACAGGTTTCTGATTACTTTAGGATCATATCAGAACTCTAATGAAGAAACTGGTTTATGAAATTGCTTACCCAAGCAGACTAGAATTAATTAAATACCAAGGAAATATGTTTGCAGATTTTCATACTAAGTTTATAAGTACTGAAATTGTTAAGATATGCAATTCCAATAAACTCCATGGTCCAGGTCAAATTACCTATGATAACATATTTAACAAAGAGTGCTACACACCTAAGTTAGAGAAACAAAACTGGAATTTAAGAGGCTATAAACCCAATGTTAAGCATGGACTCATGGAGCCTGGACTGCTTCCTGAGTCCCTGAAGCTTCACTGTAAGCTTTCCACTCCATGACTCAACATGGAAGAGATACAATGATCCAAATTATGGGAAAAAATATTGGTGTGGTGACTATTCTAAATTTCTGTAATGGTTGATGATTAATTTTTGATTTGTCAAAGCCATAATCCTGATAAGACAACCAAAACTTCAGGTACATTTCTTCAATCTGTTGGGTCATTTATAAAGGGATTTCATTAAATTGCCATTTTCACTGCATGTTTTCTGGTTGTACAGAAGCTTTCCCATATAGGAAGGCTACAAGAGTAGCTAAAAAGTTATTAGAAAATGTGTTTCCCTCATGGCGTATTCCTGGAGAAAACTCCAGCAATAGATCTACTTGTTTCACTGGACAAGTTGTAAAACAGTTAAATAAGGTATTATGGATACAGTCACATTAAGTAAAGCAAACTGAATCAACTAGATTGCCTCAGTCAAAGATATTATAGATTGATTACAACCAAATCCACTTCCAGTGGGAAACATAAGTTGATCTCTTATGGAATAGTTACTGGAAGGCCTATTTCCCTAATAATAGAAACTCATGTATGTTCTGCTCCTAACCTCTGGTATGACTAAATGCTGCAAGGCTTTAATGCCTTATGCCAAAGTGTATTTTTACCAAGTAAAAGAAACTGTTCATGATCCACCAACTTAAGACAATCAAACCCTTCATAATCTACAACCTGGAGACCGGGTTTTCTGGGAATGATATTAGAGGAAGACTGCCCTTGCCACCAACACTGCAGCAAAACGCTGGGACACTGAACGTTGGGCCTGTAATCACACAACTCAGAGTGGCCCCTTCAGACTCTTGGAACTGTACACCTGTTGGAGACCTTAAGGTACAGCTAATCAGAGAAGTCTCTCCCCAGAAGCAGACAGCATCCTAGACATGGACAACTTTCCCAAGATCATGGATCAAGAATTCTCTGCCATCAGAAAACTTTTACCTCTCTTAATTTTTTACCTTTTCCTTGCTTATGCCTCTATGAACAATATAATTGGGAAAGGGGCCTTGGGTGCACCGATGGGGTATGCTTTTATTTGTGGAGGATTTTGCAGCCAACTTTATACCTGAGCAACTTATGCCCTGATGGATAGAAGATGAAGGGCCAATATGGGCTAGAAATTTTAATAGTACCTTTGTTGCTCCATCATCAGTCAGAAACAGAACATTTTTTCACTCCTCTTAACCTACATCTTAGGTTAAAAGAACATTTTCAGGAAGTCTTCACTCTTCTGGATGGGCATCATTTCTTAGGTCTCTTTTCTCATGGCCTGAAATAAATATAAATGAGGCAGTGCTTACAAATGTATCACTCATTATAGGCTCTACAGCAGGTTCAACTGCAAAGGCTATGGTTGCACAACAGACTTCTTTAAATTCTCTTTCTAAAGTTTTATTAGATAATAAAATTGCTCTAGATTAACTATGAAAAGAGAGGAATCTGTGCAGTTTTTGACACTTATTACACATAGATGAATACATCAGGTATTATAGAGACTCAGTCACAGGGGATTAACCAACAAGCTGCTTAGTTAAAATAGGTAGATTCCTCATCTGGTTCATTCTTTGATCTATTTGATTTTGATTGGTTTTGTTCATGGGAAACCTGGCTAAGAAGCATACTCCAAACTCTTGGTATTATCCTTTTGATAGCCATAATAGTAGTCTCCCTGATGTGCCGTATTCTCTCAAAAGTTTTAAATGTGTACATGCAGCCATCTGTAGAATGCCAAATGGTCCCTCTTCAGCTAGAACAACAAAAACCCAAAGACATGTGATCATGAGGACACTACTGTAACCTATGATTGACTTGTTGAGACTAGAACCCCAAAATGATGGTAACTAAGAATAGCAACAAAGCTCTAAGTTTTGGTCATGCTCTCATCTAACATTTGTTAAACAAAATTATGAGAGGCCACTGTTTTGAACTGAACTCATGCACTAGGCCCTAACACACTACACTAACCCAGCTTGGAGTCACTTATGCTATGTTCCACATAATCAAACCAAAGCCTTAAAGAAGCAAACAGATCTCAAAACAGATGGGAGCTGAGACCAAATAAGAATTATGAATTCTATACTGAGACCAAATAAGTCTGTTCATTTACAATAATGACAGAAAGTGACATTATGCTTAAAGTTTGTGGTATAATTAAGAGGTTGGAGGGGTCATTGTTAAATTCAGTTTGGCCTAAAGCTGCCTCCCTATGTATTTTAACTTTTGCCTAAAGGTTTCTCCATGCATAGTGAGCTATAACCTAACTTGATATGTAAACAGACTGTAACCTACTCTTGTAACAAGTAGCCAATCACAGGTAGCAAACTGTTCGAACCAGGTTCAAATAAGGCAAACACCCAGCTGTAACCAATCCAACTGTTTCAGTACCTCGCTTCCATTTTTTGAATGTCACATTCCTTTTTCTGTCCATAAAATGATCTGACCACGCTGCAGCACCAGAATTGCTCCAAACCTATTTTGGTTCTGAGGGCTGTCTGATGTGCAAATCATTCTTTGCTCAGTTAAACTCCATTAAATTTAATTTGTCTAAAGTTTTTCTAATAACAACTGAATGAGATCATGAATTCTGACAGATATGAAATTCCACTGGTGTAAAACATTAGTAAACATGTTTAATGAAACTCATGAAGAAAAAACATGTTCATTCCAAAACACTGGCCCACACCCTAAATATTGAAAATTCGATCTCCTTTGAGAAACTCTAAATGGTTGTGTTTCTCTTCATTAATAATAAAGATAAGAAGGACAATCTACATTGCATTGGATGGGTTACTTGCATCACTCAAAATGAGCTTAACAATTTACTCAGTTTTGAAAAGTAAATTCAGTCTTCCTATAAAAGGCTAAAATTTGTTGACCTATGGGTAATCATAAAAGAAAATTTTCTTAACACAAACGTAAGCTCTACTGGGCAGAAAAGACCATGTACTCTGAATTAAAGAAAGACTGTATTATGGTTAGAAAAAATTTAGAACAAAGTACGTTATACTAAAATACCTAAAGTTTATATATGGCAGGCCAGGCATGGCGGCTCATGCCTGTAAATCCCAGAACTTCGGGAAGCTAAGGTAGGAGGACTGGTTGAGGCCAGGAGTTCAAGACCAGCCTGGAAAACACAGAGAGACGTCTCTACAAAAATTAAAAAAAAAAATTACCTGGGCGTGGTAGCATTTGCTCACAGACCTAGCTACTTGAGAGGCTGAGAGGGGAGAACAGCTTGAGCCCAGAAGTCCAAGGCTGCAGTGAGCTATGATCATGCTACTGCACTCCAGCCTAGGTGACAGTGAGAGACGCTGTCTCTAAAAAATTAAAATAAAAATTATATAAGAGAACAATTACAGTATTCTTCTGATTATCTAAGAACTTGCTATTTTAATCTAGATGTTTTAGATTTAATCTATTTTACTGATCAAACTACTCTTGAATGATCACAAATCACTATGTTTTTACCACATTGCCAATCTGAAATATGAACAAACAAGACTGGCTGAGAATTGGGTAGAACAATTATGAAGAAACCATATGAAAAGGTGAAAAAAGAAAGCAGCAAGAAGGTCCAATAAAACAGGACACATTTTTCTTACAATGTTATTATATATTTAATCCATGTTTCTCATGATGAGATGCTTAAAGGCCTAAAAGTTACTTGGGAGTTTTGCATTACAAAATATCACAATTGATCCTGTTGCTAGATTTCTGCATTACAATTAAATCTAAGAGAAGAAAGTTGGTTTCTATTAAGTGTTAGGTTTTGTAATGTATTGTTGTAAAAGGGGAAAAAATAGGAGTTAATTTAGAAAAATTCTGGGTATATATTACCAGAGTTTGTCACTCAATTTGAAATCAGAATGGAAACTAACTAAGGTAGAAGACAACACATGACTGACTTAAAAAAGACATGACTTGTGTAGATTTCTTATTGGGCTTAATTAAATTGACTGAAGTTGGCTTTCAAAGCTTTTGTTTAACAGTGGTTTTTCAAATAAAATAACAACAAAAAATACATTCTTATTTCCATGTTTTGACAAATGTATCAGTTAGGGTTTCCTTCAGCTGCAAGCAACAGAAAAACCAACCAAGAGTAGACTGTATGATTAAGGGACTAACTTTTTTATGTTAAAAAATTTCTGATATGAGGTTGTTGAGGACTGGTACATGACTCCACGATATCATCAAGAACCCAGCGTCCTTTCAGTTTTCTGTTCCACCATTCTTGGCTTGTGGCTTTTTCTACACGGTCACAAAATAGCTGCTCTACCACCTCAAGGCTCATCTATATATAAGGCTGGGGCTTCTTAGTTTATCTCTTTAAAAATGACGTTTCAAAGTTTCATAACAACTGTTTTCATCTTACTGGTCGAGAATTGGGTCACAAGGTTACTTCTAATGGAAAGATGGTTGGAAACCTAAATGTTTTAGTTTTCAAGTTATGATGAAGGAAAAGACAAGAATGAAAGATTGTGAATGGCTTTTGAGTAGCTAGGCTACTGTGTCTGCTTCTGTGGGCAAGGGGATAAGGATGTTTATATAAAATATTAATATGTGATTGAAATCATTTCCAAATTACAAGAAGAGAATTTGTTTAGCAAATACTGACAATATGTGTTATTGTCTGGCCTTATTAAGGCATATCTAAATCTTTTAGTGAGTCCATGTAAAAGTCATTTTCTTACCACTCAGATGGTTTCTCTAAATTGCTGTGCTCCTGCTATGATTTGACCTTTGGCTGAGATGCTTTTTCAAATGCTTTTAGCTAAGCCCTGCATACATCTAGACACTCAAGCTTCAGGATAGTACAGATTTCAGCCCCATTACTCCTTTTCCAAGCTACAGCAGAAAAACCAAAACAAATATTGCAGATTTGTCCAGTTCTCTTAAGTATCAGCTAGGGAAGCAGGAAAAGTCCTCTCTATTATGTGGTGATTCTCCATATTAGAATCACCTAGGAATCTTTTAAGATATGCTGATACCCTAATATTTTTAAGGAGCTCTCTCTAGATGATTCTAGCGTGCAGCTAATGTGGAAAACTAGGCATTTGGAGAAAGAAGAGAAAAAGTTAGAAATAGCATGTAAAGCCTTGAGCATGTTATTGAACCTCTTTAAACTCACTTCTCTCATTGTTACTTACATGAATTAATCCAAATAAGTTTAGTTTGGTGTTTGGCTTACAGTAAACACTTAATAAATATTAGTCATTATTAATATTGTTTTATCAAAGTTCATATTTTTTCATCATTTTATTTGTGAGTAAATGGGGTTTCTCCAGGAAGCAAAAATATGTAAGACCACAGATCTTGAAAGCAGAGCTTGAAGAGAGCAAAATTTGGCATTCAAATCCCAGCTTGACCACTTAGTAGTTAATCTGACATTGAGCAGGCAAGCATTTGATCTGAGTCTCGGTTTTCTCATCTATTAAATGGGAGTGATACTTACCTCTCAGGTTGTGAAGACTAAAAGATACTATGTATGCTAAAGGATAATTTTCAAAAAAGTAAAATTATGACCCTTCTACAGTTATAAAAGAAACATATGTCAAAGATTTTATTTCAACTCTTTAATTACTGAGGGAACCACTAATATAGTAAGATCTGTTCAAATGAGAATTTGACTTATAGAGCTTTATAATCAACCAGTCAAAATTTGTTTGCTTTGGTATGAATAAGAATTTGCTGCATTGTCAGCAGTTTTCAACAATTTAACAGCTACCTCTGCAGAGCTGCAAAATAACCTAGTCAATAGAAAGTCAAGGTGTGAATTCTTGGAATCAGATAATCCAGGACTCCACTATAATGCCCAGCACTCCACTGAAAGACACCAGTGATCCTCTTTGCCCATTTCTGAGTCCTGACAAGTATATAAAGCACAAGGCAGAGTGTACTTGCCATGGAGTCAGTGATGATTACATGGTGGCTGCATTCATTATCCTTGAATAACATGATTATTTACCTAGAAAATCCAAACAAATCAACAAAATAAATGTATTATGACAGATAGGACAATTACAATCATTAAAATTTATCATTACTGTGACTCTTGAGTTCATGCTTCACATTCTTCCCTTCACTGTAAACATACCAATAATAACATTTTTAAAAATATATAAAGAAAAGTCATAGGCATATTCAAAAGCAGGATAATAGATCACATGCAGCACGATGCCAGAACTGAAGCCTCAGGCAGTGTAGGCAGCCAAGAGTTGGACTCACGTGGGGTGACAGAGCAAAGCGTTCTTCATAAAGCTGGAAGCAAGGACAGTGTTCCCTTTGCCAGCTCAGTGACTGGATCTCTAATATCCCCAAAGACTCCAAGCCACAGGAGTCCAAGCCACCAACTAAGACCATGCCCTGGTCTAGAGATGGTGGGGGGAGAGTTGGTGAAGGCAACCAAAAAACTGATATCCAAGGAGTCTTGAAGAGGAGGGAGATGAAAATTCCCACACAAGCTGAACCTGCAAACTAAAGCTTCGAAGAAAAGGAGAAAAATTAACCCTAAGAAAGAGCAAATAAACTTATCCAGGGCATTAATAGTTAACAGAATATGATGCAGAATTGTGGAAAAATAATGACATGGAAAACACGGTAAAAGAAGGGAAACGTTTCAAGGAAAGGTAAATGTCTTGAAGACTGATTTGCTCATTCGTGATTAGCTCTCAGCTCCAGTTCCACCCTATGCTTTCCCCCTATTGCAGGGAAGCAGAATCTGCTTACACCAGAGTCTTTTCCAAACCTTCCTTTCAGCTGTCTCTCAAAGAGAATTTGGCATTCTGGGAAGCAATGGGAGGCACTGGAAAAAACTGGAAATGAGGAGGATTTCTTCTCTTCTTGAAGTAGCTCTGATAAACATGGTGGCAGCAGTAACAGCAGCAGGCAAGCCTGAGCCCTGGACATCTGCTCAGGCAACATGGTTCAGACAGTAGATGCAGTAGCAGGTACCCCAACAACCTCAGTGGGACAGTTTCCCTAGGCTGCAACAGGGACAGCGGCTGATGACTTTTGGATCCTGGATACCTGTAGCATCAGCAAGAGCGCTAATTCCCTGCTTCCTGTAAAGCAGCTGCAGTGGGGTTCCAGCGGCATCAGGGGCACAATGACTGTGGGCTCTGGGTAGCAGCATCTTCCTTTCTGCTTCTCCTGCACTAGTATAGTGGTAACTTCTGGAAGTTACTATCTCTAGGTAACAGATCTTCCCTCTTTCGCTCCTCCAGCCCTTCCAACATGTTTGCAGCCAGTTTTCTGTCCTACATTCTGTCTGTTGATTCTGATTGCCTGAGGAGACACTGACAGAGTTGGCTATGCCTGCAGAATACGGATGACAGATGTGTTGAAAAATCAGAGAAGCTATGATAGTTAAAGAACTATAATGCCAGCAGGAATTGATCTGTCGTGCTAAAAACAAACAAACAAAAACATTACAAATGTATCCGCGTGTCTATAGACAGGAGGTTAGAAATGACTTGCTCTGGTTATGATTACAGATAATTTTTATTAGGCGAGAACTTCACAAATGCTAGAACTAGCCTATGTAAGCTCAAATCCCAGTTCTCCCAGCTTCTATCAGTATAGCATTGGGCAGATTTCTTAATCACTCTCTGACTCTTTTTCTCTAAATGCAAAGTGGTTGAAATAATATCTCAAAAAGTTATGGAAAAAAAGTGAGTCAATAAATTTTTTAAAATGGAGAAGAGAGACTGGTTCATGGTACTCTACAAGTGGTTTTCTAAAATGTTTTTCTTTATCCAGATCCTTACTGGTTAAAAAAAAAAAGAATGAGCATAATAATTTTTTAACCAATAAATAAATAAAATGTTTGTATTTATTTTCCAATTTTAATAAAGGATATATATATTACTACTGACCAGAAAATGTCATATATAAAAAGATAAACATGGCATTCCATAAAAAATGAACATAAATTATCTTAAAATTATTGCCAAATTTGTGATTTCTACAGTATTACAGGGTTGCAAAGCTTCTTGGAAGATAAACTAGACTCCTCTAACTTTTAGCAAGTCTATTCCTCTACTTTCTTCATATCAATAGCCAACATCCTGTCATGAAAATATTCATCTGGATTCACCTAAGTCCTTCTGAATATACGTTTTCCTCCTCTCACGCAGTTTTCAAATTGTATTTAGAACATTCAATCAACATCTTACATGTAACAATATTCTCTGTATTTAAACATTATGCTGTGCCTTTTCCTATTTATTGCCAGGTGAAATAGATTTTTCTATGGTTATTCACAAAAATCTCAAAGTAAAAATGAAATGAACTGATAAACTCATGAATTAATGTGTTATGTTAGGAAGAATACTTGTTTCAAATTGTAGGGGCTGCCATGGAGGGTGGAGTGGCTTTCCTGATTGATAAATGTACAGCTTGGCCCCTTCTTTGGGATCCTCCTTTCTGCAGAGAGTTCCAGTTTTCGTGTTCTCTTTCCTGAGGGACAGTGGAGGCCTAGGGGTAAGCTGGCTTCATTCAGGAAGATCACATTAACAGGCTTGTTCAAGCGGATTTTTCAGCAGTAAACCCTTTATTTTGATTTCTGTGTTTTATTCCTGCATCTTTTACTCTCAGTTTGTCCTAAAATCAGGTGGGGAAGAAAAGATAAATAGTGAAAAGATGAATAGTGATCCCCTCAAACTACAGCATGTTAACTCAGGCATATTACTTTAATTTCCACTTAAACCAGGGGCTCTTACCTGGGGTCCGCAAATGCATGCATAAACATGGATGGGAAAAGTAAATCACATCTTTATTTTTTCTAAATTTCTTTTTTTTTTTTTTTTGAGACGGAGTCTCACTCTGTTCCCAAGGCTGGAGTGCAGTGGTTCAATCTTGGCTCACTGCAACCTCTGCCTCCCGGGTTCAAGCGATTCTCCTGCCTCAGCCTGCCAAGTAGGTGGGATTACAGGCACCCGGCACCACGCCTGGCTAATTTTTGTATTTTCAGTAGAGACGGGGTTTCACCATGTTGACAAGGCTGGTCTCAAACTCCTGACCTCAAGTGATCGGCCTGCCTCAGCCTCCCAAAGTGCTGAGATTACAGGCATGAGCCACCACGCCCAGCCTATTTTCATTAAACTTCTAACTGACATTTAGCCTTTCCTTTCATTGTGAATGTAGACAGCAAATCACCATTGTAGGAGCAGAACAAGTCACCTTGTCACCAATAGTAACCACGGATATTTTAATCTCTTATTACTGTTATTGGAGATATCTCCAAATATCATTTACTTTCATCACTACTTTGAAATTATCATCCTTACTAGACTTGCCATTAAATTGCACATGACTGCAGCCTTCCTGTCTTAGATTCCTGTGTGAGGTAGCTGGCCAGCCATCTGAAACTGCCTCTTATTGGTGCTTAACATCCACGAAGTCACTTATTCTCAATTGGTGACCCAGACATCTACATTGCCTTCCAGTAAGTGAGATACTTTCATCGTTAGAGTTTTGCAAGACTGGACCACTTTCAAATGAGAACTCTTAACTCTCAATAAGAACATGCAACCTCATGTAACTCAAATAAGTGCAGGAGCTGCATGCAGACATGGCAAGTTCAAAGGCATCTGACAGTTTTCAGATCACTGCAGAAGTGTGAAGTAGCTTCCTATTATTGCTAACAGATACGTATCACACAGTGTTGTAAGATCTTGAGTAGCAGAATTCTTTTGTTTTTCTCTTGTGATCCCTTTTTGTACACTGGGTGTATTAAGAAGTAAAAGCATGTCTAATCAATGTGCCGTACCAGTGGTACATTACTGCATTACTTTTCTATGAAAATACCACACATTTTAAAAATAAATTCAAGAAAACCATCTACAATCCCAGAAATGAGAACTATTATTTCTAAGAAGACACAGAAAGCCACATGACTAATGCTGGAGAGAGTGCTAAGCCAAGATACAAAATTCTGTCAATTTCCTTGAAAAAAAGAGAGCTCTACAAAGACCTGGAAACTATTCAGAACATTTTCTAAAGTGACGTCAATTTTGATGGTATCAAAGTTAAAGCATTGTTGTGATGCTGTAGCGCCCTTAAGCTCCACTAGCTCTGTCTTCTTCTAGAGCTATACCTCATCCAGTGGCATGATCTAAATAGCATCTATATATTTTTATCTCAGTCTGTTGGCTCCCTTTAGCATGACGAGATTTCACAGCCAATGAAGCTTGATTTTGAAAGCCTGTATAAATTAGCCTGCACTATGAATCTCTGAGAAATTGATGACAGCTCCTCAATGTATTTCTCTAGCCCTGACCCCTCTTATAAGCAACGTAGTCAAATACCCAGTTGAGTTCTCTGATTACAATCTTCACATGAAAATATCAGATATTTCAAAACCAACAAAAGCTTTTGTCTCCCAAATATACTCCCACGCAGTCCTTGCTCAACTTATAAATGCATGTTCATCTACCCAATTGCTTAAATCAGAATGGTGGGAGTTATTTTTTCTTGAGTCTGCTTTTTCCCTCACTGCCTTTCCAGATGCAAATTTCCAAAGCATTATCAAGTTCTTCTACTGTTTCTACTTCCAAAATATAGTGCAAATCTGTCCACATGATTGCACCTCCACTGCCATCACACTGACCCAAACTATAGTCATTCTTGATTGACTCTGACATATTCATTCATTCACTTATCACACACTCACTCATACAGTTTCTATATATGCTAAGCACAACTGCCTCCTAGTTGTTCTCCATCCTCTTGCCCTATTATCTATCCTGCACCCAGCAGCCTCACAGATTGTTGTCAATACACAAATCATGATGTTGCCCTGCTTAGAACTCTCCAGTGGCTTTCATTGAACTTCTTACTGTGTCCTACAAAGCTTGGCCCTCCTACTTTGTTTCTAGCAATAAGAAGCCACCTTCAAGGAACCAGGCCCTCCTCCTATTCTCCTTCATTCATTGTGGTTCAGCCATAATGGCCTTACTTCAATTGCTTAAGCAAGCTAAGAATTCCCACCTCCTAGCCTCTGCACTCTCTGCATGCTCTGCTTGGAATAACCTTTACATTTCTGGCCTCTTCTAAGCATTCAGATTTCAGTAACAATGTTCCCTCCTAGCATAAGTCACTCTCTCCAAAATCCAGCCATCTTCATCCTGAGTCTATCATTTAATGGTTTTATCTCCTTCCCAATGATCAGCCCTATATAAAACTGTCTTATTTGTTTACTTGTTCGATTATTTGCCTCCCACACCAGAGTAGCAATTCCATGAAAGCTGGGATATTTTCTGACTCATATAAAGAACACTATCTAGATCACATATTCAATTAGTCAGTAAATAGCACCTAAACATTAAGAAGGCCAAAAAAGTTTTAATAGCAAACATATGAGGACATATATTTCAATATGAAAAATGTTACCAATATATATATAGGATATATCCATTTCCTATACCAAAATGTGTTATTAAAGAACTATAAAATATTTTTAAATTGAGTATTTTTAAAGCACATCATTTAGATACTATAATCAATCCATTTGTTTCTTAGTTCTCTATTGCTAAGTAATAAATCACCCTAAAATTTAGTGGCTTAAAACAACAAACATTTACTATTGAGGGTTAGGAATCTGAAAGGGGCACCACTAGGTGGCTTTGTCTCAGGGTCTCTTGTGAGATGGCCATCATCTGAAGGGACCACAGAGTCAGCTTCCAAGCTCCTGTTGGCAGGAGGCTCCAGTTTTGTACGATGTGGACCTTTCCATAGAGCTGCTCACATAACATGGTAGCTGACTTCCCCAGAGCAAAGAATCAGAGAGAGAGCACCCCAGCATATGTAACCTTTTATAACTTCAGAAGCAACAACCCTCACTTCTGCCACTTCCTATTGGTCACAGAAACTGACCCTGGTAGAGAGTGGAAGAGGAACTACACAAGGCGGAGAAGGAGGTGGGGATCATTGTGGGCCGTCTTAGACACTGTTCATCACAATTTGGAATATGAAGACCACTGTCATGCTTATTGCCAAATTTTTTTCCTGAGTCAGTAACTCATGCAGCCAAGAGTAACAGAAACCCAGCAAATGGTCATTTAAACAAGGAAGAGGAGTGTATATTTTATGCCATAAGAAGTCCCGAGTAGGAGGTCCACAGTTAGTACAGTAGGTCAAGAGCACCTTCAAAGAGTCTTCTGGCTTCTCAGCTCCACCACCTGGGGTGAATGAAGCAGCACTTCCAGAGCATACTAGAAAGAGACTGTGTGGTATCAGTGACTTTCTCTTTACATCTCATTGGCCAGAACCTTGTCAAGCAACTTTTATTTGTAAGGCAAACTGGGGAACTTTTAGATATTCCAACCTCTATAATAGATGACAGCAGGGAAAAACAAGGAAAACAGGTGTTGACTGAGGGCACAGTATGTGTCACGTTTCCTAAGTTCAGCTTTTGAACACCACATTTTTGGGAGGGTGGATCATAATACAATCATTTATTGGAGCTATACTGTAACACAAGAGAAGTACAGGGCCCTGTACATAGCAGGTCCTTATTATTTCTTGAATGAATGTATTATATACTAGTGTTTAATATATCTTATAAGCATTAGCCTTATACAAGCATTTCCTAAAATGACTTTGTATTGTGTTTGTATTAATTGGGAAAAACAGATTTTCCATTACTATGAAATGAAAATAGTAAAAAGCATAATAATTCTACGTGCCTTACTTTTTCTTAATTTCTAGATTTCTGTTCCAGGTTTTGATCTGTGCAGGAAACACTGAGCCCATTTACACTTCAGCTCTGTGATTCCTCTGCTTCCCCCTGTGCCCCCAAACCTTCTCCTCCTATCCTACAGCCCTGCCTCACACAGAAATTCTTTTTATTTCATTGTTCTTCTTGGTTCAGAATTTGCTTTTTTAAAATAAGATAAAAAAGACAAAGTGATAGGGCAAGTTGATTACATATATTCCCCTTAGAAAAAAAAAATTGATGTTATAAGAAACTAACTTTGTAAAAGGGACAACCCAAAAAACAAATTGCATTCTGAAAATACCAGGAAATGCCAACATAGCATTTTTGTACTTCAAAAAAAAGTCTTCAACTTTTATGCCAAAACAGACTTCAAAATTGAAGCTGTTAAAAATACACACTTAATTTAGTAGCTTTTAATTCACAGGGCTTTTTCATGGGTGGAGTTGCTAAGTGGTGAGTTGATTTTTGCCACAGAGGAGAAGACTGCCTCCATAAAATCAGACTTTTACTAAGAATAGACTTGTGGGCCACAGGATAATTAAAAAGTGCTTGGCATAATTGAAGTTCTGGTGAGGAAATGATTAAAGTCATGGTTTGCATGTTGGGTGTATACAAACTACTTTAAAGCTTGGATATTGGAATGTGTAGCCTTCAAAGGATCATATTAAGATGAATAACATTTAAAATACCATTGATAAACTATATTTTTCATTTTTAAATAGAACTAGGATCACTAAAATTACATATTGAAATTATATATTGATTTGACATGAATAGTGAAACTTGCTATATCTATTAGAAATATAGAAAAGCATGTTTTTAAAAGTGTAGCTTATGTTCTTATTCAAAACAATGAAAAAAAAGTTTACTTGGCCATTTTAGCAACGATAAGACAATCTTAGTGCTGCTAAAATTAAAAGGTTCAAACATTTTCAATACTATTCAGTATCTCTAGGTTAGTGAGTTATCAAAATTTAAAGGTATTGATACTTAGTTCTTGTTACTTGTAAGAGAACTAGATACTGTTTCTCCCCCGGGCTAAATTATTTAAAGTTAAAGAATTAGGCCTTCTTTAAAGGTTAAGCAATATGATTAAGCAACAATGAATAGTGCTTAATTTGGACAATGGGATCTGGGATGAGAAGCAGCTGAAGTAATATTTTCACATCATATTCTTTGGTATTCTTTGAATTTATTTTTAATTTAAAAATTACTACTTTTGTAATTAAATTATTAATGATAAACTGAAGTTGAAAACTTTATAAGATCAAAATCCCTAAAGAAACAAAAATATAAAGCATGAAAAATAATTGCCTTTATTGAAACTTGAAAAGTAGCCTTATATGTGATATGAATAAATAAGTTTCAAAACAGTAAGATCCAATCCTAAGATTTTATTAAGCCCAAATTGGAAAACTTTTAGATTACATATTATTTTTTGCTGTAGATTTTTTAGAAAAAAATCTATCCTAATAAATCAGGAAACCACAAATCCCTCTTCATTAAATACCAATGACTCTTGAGTATTTGGAAGGAAATACTGCCTTCTTTAGCTCTTTCACAATAATTCTGAAGTAACATTAACGTGCTTTTTTAACAGTCAAGTTCCTGGTATAAATGTGCATCCCTTCTTACGATTTACAGGGGATGTTTTAATTTGTCAATGAAAGAAATTTATAATAAATAACATAAATTTCAAATTTGGCTAATACTTTCTACAATCCCTTAAATGATTTAGGGTTTGTTTGGAATTTTTTTGTATGATTAACTTAGAGCCTCATCTAATTTCAAAGCTATTATGATTATGAGAAACTAGTGTAGGCACTTGTTTAGAACTGCAAAGGTTGACAGTGTTCTGAGTCTGTCCTAAATATGATTTTAAAATATGATAAATATTTACATCATTATGTAAATAATATAGACACTGGAAATAAAATTAACACATGAGCAACAATGCAGTAACAAAGAACACAGAAAAATTCTGTGACTTGTTAAATCAAACATCACATTCGTTCCCCAATAAACACACACAAATACACTGGAAAATAATTAGACAAACCCATAAGTTAAAATCAGACAAAAATATAAGCAAAATAATAATTTTCTTTTTCCTAATTAAAAAAAATAAAAGGAATCTGAAACAAAATTGGTCTCCCTCGACCCCACTTTTTCCTCGTGTATTTTAGTTGATGGCACTAACTGGTACCTGATCAGCAATCTGTGCATCCCTCCCAACAAAAGCCAATGAGTCACCAAGTCATGTGGATTTCATGTTATCAAATTTCATGACTTTATCCCCTTTTCGCTATTCCTACTATTGCTACCCTCCTTGTTGTTTACTAGACTATGACACAGTCACCTATTGGGTCTCCCAGCCTCCAGTGTTCCTTCTCCCTCTTCACCCATTCTCATCCTTCCCAACAACATAGTGATATTTCATGGTCACCAGAGTTATCTACATAAATGAAAATTTGACCACATATGTCCCTGTTTGGACAGAATTCTAGAAAAGATGGTGTCAGGCACATTTTCTCTTTCAAAAATTCTACTTTGACAAGGAGAGAATAGACAGACAGTAAAATATCTGGATCTTAAGTCAGATGATTTAATGACATTGATCCAGTGACGATAATGTTTAAAGGGACCTCTGGGATAAAAAAGGATCCAGGGAAACACAGCATAAACGCTTAACGCCACCCACAAAAGAAAAAGAATTTGAAGGCCTCAAACATTTCTTCCGTGGGTGTCAGAAGACAGGAAGTAACATCTACAGAGCTTTGAAGGAAACAGTTGTAACTCCAAGATTTTCTTCCCACTAAAGTTTCTGCTCAGGTTTCCACATGTAAATGAAGGCAAGAAGGAAATCATGAATATGAGAACCCTAAATATATTCCAAATACAGATAATTACTGAATAAAATGTTTAAAGCATATCCTAGAAAAATTAAAGGTAAAACAAAAATAACAATTGAGTGTTGATACCAAAAAGAACATGACATCAGCTAACAATATAATTATAAATTTAAATGATTATTTTATACATGGTTACAACCTTAATTTTTATTATTATCATTTTTAATAATAATTTAGCACATTCGTAGGTTATATAGTGATATTTCCATACATATAATATATAGTGATCAGATCAGGGTAATTAGCATATTGATCATCTCAAACATTGATCATTTGTTTGTGTTGGCAACATTCAATATCCTTTTAACTATTTGAAAGTATATATTAATATTTATTTTTATAAAAATAATAGAGAATTTTTAATCTCAGACTGGGAAGAAAAGATGGGAAAGTATCAAGTTCTTTATCTCCAGGAGAAAGTACTGAAACAAAATAACAAAGAACAATAGAAACAATGAAATTGGCACAATTTATCATACAAATATGAAGAAAAAAATATTTAGAGGTTGCAAAAGTATATAGAATAAAAATACTAGATATATAAGGAAAAATGGGCAGAAACACACTCTCTGTAGGAGAATTTACAGTATTAATCTATAATAGGTAAAATAGACACAATAAAGAAGATATAGAAAATTAATAATGGAGTAGAGAAAGATACTTAATAAATTCCCAACAGCAGAAATTATGAAGACCATATTTTTACTACACAATAGTTTACCCTTATCCTCAAGGGATACATTTTAAGACCCCCAGTGGATGCCCAAAACTGAGGACAGTACCAAACTTTATATATACTGTATTAGTCTGTTCTCACATTGCTATAAAGAAATACCTGAGACTGGGTGAAGAAAAGAGGTTTAATTGGCTTATGGTTCCACAGGTTGTGCAAGAAGCATGGCAGCATCTGCCTTGTAGGAGGCCTAGGGGAGCTTTTACTCCTGGCAGAAGGCAAAGCAGGAGCAGGTGTCTTACATGTTACAGGAGCAGGACCAAGGTTGGGGGAGGTGCCACACACTTTTCAATGATGAGATCTCACGAGAACTCGCCTGCTATCACAGAACTAGCACCTAGAGGGACAGTGTTAAACTATTCGTGAGAAACAGCCCCATGATCAAATCACCTCCCACCAAGCTCTAACTCCAGCACTGGGAATTACAATTTGACATAAGATTTGGGTGGGGACACAGATCCAAACCATATCATATATTATGCTTTTCCAATACATACATAACTATGATAAAGTTTAATTTACAAATTAGGGATAGTAAGTGACTAACAACAACAATAATAAAACAAAATAATTATATCAATATACTGTAATAAAAGTTACATGAATGTTGTCTCTCTAAAAATATCATATTGTATTGTACTCACCTGTTTTCTGACCATGGTTGACCATGAGTAACTGGAACCATAGAAAATGAAACCATGGATGAGGGGAGGATTGCTGTGATTAAAAAAATAAAGAAGGAATAACTTTAAAAACATAAATGTGAAATAAGAAAAATAAGAACAAACCAAAACCTCAAAAAAATGCAAACCACACACATGAATCTGCAACATACACACTCACTCTTAAGTGAAGTAGCCAAAAGTCATATGTCAAATTTATGAAGACTTTCATTATTAAAAAATAAAATAAATTACTACAGTGAATTAAAGTAGATGAAAAAACATAGATATATTTGTATATTCCATGTTCTGCAAGAATACACTAAAATTAAAACAAAACATTTTGTAGCTTCTGGAGGTTGCTACGAACTCACTCATTATTCTGCAAATTGAATCAAATATTCATCTTTTCCCTTATAACCTGTATGTGAGGATAAGCACAGTTGATGAAGGAAAGTTCTTTACAGAAAAATCACAGTGAATAAATGCAGAACAATGACAAAATTAGAAAAATCACTAATTTGATTCCTTAATAAAATAATGGATCTTGGCAATGATTATCAATGGCTGCTTAAAATCATTAGGTTAAAAAGTTGATCTATTTTCTCAAAACTTCTCACTTCATTTCATTCATTTGATCTTCAGTCACTGATATCCTTTCTTCCAGTTGAATGAATCGGCTACTGAAGCTTGTGCATTTGTCATGTAGTTCTCATACCATGGTTTTCAGCTCCGTCAGGTCATTTAAGGACTTCTCTACACTGGTTATTGTAGTTAGCCATTTGTCTAAGAAATGAGAAGAGACGTTTAGAGAAAAAAGAGTAAAAAGAAAGGAGCAAAGCCTCCAAGAACTATGGGACTATGTGAAAAGACCAAATCTACGTCTGACTGGTGTACCTGAAAGTGATGGGGAGAATGGAAACAAGGTGGAAAACACTCTGCAGGATATTATCCAGGAGAACCTCCCCAACCTAGCGAGGCAGGCCAACATTCAAATTCAGGAAATACAGACAACACCACAGACATACTCCTCGAGAAGAGCAACTGCAAGACACATAATTGTCAGATTCACCAAGGTGGAAATGAAGGAAAAAATGTTAAGGGCAGCCAGAGAGAAAGGTCGGGTTAACCACAAAGGGAAGCCCATCAGACTAACAGCGGATCTCTCGGCAGAAACTCTACAAGCCAGAAGAGAGTGGGGGCCAATATTCAATATTCTTAAAGAAAAGAATTTTCAACCCAGAATTTCATATCCAGTCAAACTAAGCTCCATAAGTAAAGGAGAAATAAAATCCTTTATAGACAAGCAAATGCTGAGAGATTTTGTCACCATCAGGCCTGCCCTACAAGAGCTCCTGAAGGAAGCACTAAACATGGAAAGGAACAACTGATACCAGCCACTGCAAAAACATGCCAAATTGTAAAGACCACTGATGCTAGGAAGAAACTGCATCAACTAACGAGCAAAATAACCAGCTAACATCATAATGACAGGAACAAATTCACACATAACAATATTAACCTTAAATGTAAATGGGCTAAATGCTCCCATTAAAAGACAAAGACTGGCAAATTGGATAAAGACTCAAGACCCATCAGTGTGCTGTATTCAGGAGACCCATCTCATGTACAGAGACACACATAGGCTCAAAACAAAGGGATGGAGGAAGATCTACCAAGCAAATGAAAAACAAAACAAAACAAAAGGCAGGGGTTGCAATCCTAGTCTCTGATAAAACAGACTTTAAACCAACAAAGATCAAAAGAGACAAAGAAGGCCATTACATAATGGTAAAGGGATCAATTCAACAAGAAGAGCAAACTATCATAAATATCTATGCACCCAATACAGGAGTACCCAAATTCATAAAGCAAGTCCTTAGAGACCTAAAAAGAGACTTAGACTCCCACACAATAATAATGGGAGACTTTAACACTCCGCTGTCAACAAGACAGAAAGTTAACAAGGATATGCAGGAATTGAACTCAGCTCTACACCGAGCGGAACTAACAGACATCTACAGAACTCTCCACCCCAAATCAACAGAATATACATTCTTCTCAGCACCACATCGCACTTATTCAAAAACTGACCACATAGTTGGGAGTAAAGCACTCCTCAGCAAATGTAAAAGAACAGAAATTATAACAAACTGTCTCTCAGACCACAGTGCAATCAAAATAGAACTCAGGATTAAGAAACTCACTCAAAACCACTCAACTACATGAAAACTGAACAACCTGCTCCTGAATGACTACTGGGTATATAATGAAATGAAGGCAGAAATAAAGATGTTCTTTGAAACCAATGAGAACAAAGACACAACATACCAGAATCTCTGGGACACATTTAAAGCAGTGTGTAGAGGGAAATTTATAGCACTAAATGCCCACAAGAGAAAGCAGGAAAGATCTAAAATCGACACCCTAACATCACAATTAAAAGAACTAGAGAAGCAAGAGCAAACACATTCAAAAGCTAGCAGAAGGCAAGAAATAACTAAGATCAGAGCAGAACTGAAGGAAATGGAGACACAAAAAACCCTTCAAAAAATCAATGAAACCAGGAGCTAGATTTTGAAAAGATCAACAAAATTGATAAACCGCTAGCAAGACTAATAAAGAAGAAAAGAGAGAAGAATCAAATAGATGCAATAAAAAATGATAAAGGGGATATCACCACCAGTCCCACAGAAATACAAACTACCATCAGAGAATACTATGAACACCTCTACACAAATAAACTAGAAAATCTAGAAGAAATGGATAAATTCCTGGACACATACACCCTCCCAAGACTAAACCAGGAAGAAGTTGAATCCCTGAATAGACCAACAACAGGCTCTGAAATTGAGGCAATAATTAATAGCCTACCAACCAAAAAAAGTCCAGGACCAGATGAATTCACAGTCAAATTCTACCAGAGGTACAAGGAGGAGCTGGTACCATTCCTTCTGAAACTATTCCAATCAATAGAGAAAGAGGGAATCCTCCCTAACTCATTTTATGAGGCCAGCATCATCCTGATACCAAAGCCTGGCAGAGACACAACAAAAAAAGAGAATTTTAGACCAATATCCCTCATGAACATCAATGAGAAAATCCTCAATAAAATACTGGCAAACCAAATCCAGCAACACATCAAAATGCTTATCCACCATGATCCAGTGGGCTTCATCTCTAGGATGTAAGGCTGGTTCAACACACGCAAATCAATAAATGTAATCCAGCATATAAACAGAACCAAAAACAAAAACCACATGATTATCTCAATAGATGCAGAAAAGGCCTCTGACAAAATTCAACAGCCCTTCATGCTAAAAACTCTCAATAAATTCGGTATTGATGGGACGTATCTCAAAATAATAAGAGCTATCTATGACAAACCCACAGCCAATATCATACTGAATGGGCAAAAACTGGAAGTATTGCCTTTGAAAACTTGCACAAGACAGGGATGCCCTCTCTCACCACTCTTATTCAACATAGTGTTGGAAGTTCTGGCCAGGGCAATCAGGCAGGAGAAAGAAATAAAGGGTATTCAATTAGGAAAAGAGGAAGTCAAATTGTCCCTGTTTGCAGATGATATGATAGTATATTTAGAAAACCCCATCGTCTCAGCCCAAAATCTCCTTAAGCTGATAAGCAACTTCAGCAAAGTCTCAGGATACAAAATCAATGTACAAAAATCACAAGCTTTCCTATACACCAATAATAGACAAACAGAGAGCCAAATCATCAGTGAACTCCCATTCACAATTGCTTCAAAGAGAATAAAATACCCAGGAATCCAACTTACAAGGGATGTGAAGGACCTCTTCAAGGAGAACTACAAACCACTGCTCAATGAAATAAAAGAAGACACAAACAAATGGAAGAACATTCTATGCTCATGGATAGGAAGAATCAATATCATGAAAATGGCCATACTGCCCAAGGTAATTTGCAGATTCAATGCCATCCCCATCAAGCTACCAATGACTTTCTTCACAGAATTGAAAAAACTACTTTAAAGTTCATATGGAATCAAAGAAGAGCCTGCATTGCCACGACAATCCTAAACCAAAAGAACAAAGCTGGAGGCATCAGGCTACCTGACTTCAAACTATACTGCAAGGCTACAGTAACCAAAACAGCATGGTACTGGTACCAAAACAGAGATATAGATCAATGGAACAGAACAGAGCCCTCAGAAATAACACCACACTTCTACAACCATCTGGTCTTTGACAAACCTGACAAAAACAAGAAATGGGGAAAGGATTCCCTATCTAATAAATGGTGCTGGGAAAACTGGCTAGCCACATGTAGAAAGCTGAAAATAGATCCCTTCCTTACACCTTATACAAAAATAAATTCAAGATGGATTAAAGACTTAAATGTTAGACCTAAAACCATAAAAATGCTAGAAGAAAAGCTAGGCAGTACCATTCAGGACATAGGCATGGGCAAGGACTTCATGTCTAAAACACCAAAAGCAATGGCAACAAAAGCCAAAACTGACAAATGGGATCTAATTAAACTAAAGAGCTGCTGCACAGCAAAAGAAACTACCATCAGAGTGAACAGGAAACCTACAGAATGGGAAAAAAATTTTGCAATCTACTCATCTGACAAAGGGCTAACATCCAGAATCTACAAAGAACTCAAACAAATTTACAAGAAAAAAACAAACAACCCCATCAACAAGTGGGCAAAGGATATGAACAGACACTTCTCAAAAGAAGACATTTATGCAGCCAAAAGACACATGAAAAAATGCTCATCATCACTGGCCATCAGAGAAATGCAAATCAAAACCATAATGAGATACCATCTCATACCAGTTAGAATGGCGATCATTAAAGTCAGGAAACAACAGGTGCTGGAGAGGATGTGGAGAAATAGGAACACTTTTACACTATTGGTAGGACTGTAAACTAGTTCAACCACTGTGGAAGACAGTGTGGCGATTCCTTAAGGATCTAGAACTAGAAATACCATTTGACCCAGCAATCCCATTACTGGGTATATACCCAAAGGATTATAAATCATGTTGCTATAAAGACACATGCACACATATGTTTATTGCAGCACTATTCACAATAGCAAAGACTTGGAACCAACCCAAATGTCCATCAATGATAGACTGGAATAAGAAAATGTGGCACATATACATCATGGAATACTATGCAGCCATAAAAAAGGATGAGATCATGTCCTTTGTAGGTAGGGACATGGATGAAGCTGGAAACCACCATTCTCAGCAAACTCTCACAAGGACAAAAAACCAAACACAGCATGTTCTCACTCATAGGTGGGAATTGAACAATGAGAACACTTGGACACAGGAAGGGGAACATCACACACTGGGGCCTGTTGTGGGGTGAGGGGAGTGGGGGAGGGATAGCATTAGGAGATATACCTAATGTAAATGACGAGTTAATGGGTGCAGCACACCAACATGGCACATGTATACATATGTAACAAACCTGCACGTTGTGCGCTTGTACCCTAGAACTTAAAGTATAATAAAAAAAAAGGTTGATCTAATTTTTTAAAGAATGAATCAGTCTGACATCACGTGAAATCACTGACCCATTTTCACATTAATAAAAGGGTAACAATCAGACATTACCATACTCTTAGCATGATACAATTGAAAGCATACGGTATCACCTATGAAGAATACTTGCCAAAAAAATTTTAGACCTGAATTCATTCAAGATCTTGGACGTAACTACTGGTTTACAGGAAATAGAGGAGATGGAGAAACATCTTAAAATGTCATGAGCCAAATACAAATTGTGGGAACTCTTACAGGGCAAATGATCAAATTTATCCATAAATAAATGTCATGACAATACAGGAGGAGGCTGCTATAGATTACAAGAAACATATCCACCAAATGAAATATGTGGATTTCATTTTGATCCCAATATGAACAAGTCATTTGTAAAGACATTGTAAACATTATTGATACTTAACAGTGATACAATATTAACAACATTGCTAATTACAACCTTAGGCTGCTTATTCAGAAAAGGCCAAAGAATCAATTGGAAAACTGAAAAAATTGATTAGTAATGTGACTAAATACAAGATAAAACTTTTACATTCATATATACTATTAATTACTAGAGGTTAATAATTCTTAATATCTACATGAAAATCCAAAATACTTTGAATTAATTTTACCAAGAAATGTGTGTAAGTGGTTTGAAGAAAACTACAGAATTTATAGAATTTATACTGATAATTAGAAATACTTACATAAATTGTCTTTATACTCTCTCTTCCAATTGCCTCAAAAATCATTACACATTAAGAATGCGCTTACCCATTTTGTAATACACTCTGTTCATTACCTTCTTACCAGTCTATTAATGAATAACATATTATAGGCAACTAAATTACTAGTTTATTTTAGTAAAAATGTCTTTCTTTACTTAGGAATCCCAAAATCATATACTGAAATATTTGGTTACAGGATTGTCTCATTATAAGAAGTTGGAGAATAACAATTGGATCATTTTGTCTTTAATGATTTGGGGTTGTTAATTCATTTCTGACTGTTCATAATTAGGAAGTTGTAGCCTCATAAAGTTTTATTATGGGGGTCATAGCCTTTACCAATTCCAATGGTCTCACCTCATTAAACAACATTCTGCTTGGCTAACGCTTGCTACTAACATTCCTATGCAAAGCTCATCATCTCTAAGGTTCCCACCACCAGTAGCAATCAGATGACTGTAAACCTGCCTACAGAATCTTGTTCTGGCTGTTCCTGTTACCTCAGTTTGAGCATTTATGTAATTACATTGTCCAACTATAATCTAATCCTAGTAAGAATTAATGCTGTGATCATAGACCATTGTTCTCTCTAAATATTTATGCTAGATAAAAGGATATCATAATTAATGAATTAAACTTTCATGTGTGAATATATTATGATAATCTTCTAAATCATCACTTGACTTGGTATCTAGCTAGGTATCACAGTAAACCCATCAATTAATTACATGTTCAACATTTTATAAATAAGTTTAAATAAAACACGTTTGTAAACTAGACATAAGTTCACATTTTGTATAAGTCAAGAGAGTTTTCTGAGACCTGTATAGAGAATTTGCATTCATCAACTGTAAAGAACTAAGAAAGTTATATACAGAATTAGGATAAAAACTATAATAATTTTAAAATAAGCATAAATTCTATGATTATATACCACTTTATGAAATGCTTACCTATCATTTTACTTCAGCCATATTCCCATTGCAAATGAAAAATTTTATCTCAGCTATTTCAAAGCCAAATTATACTGCACTTCATATAATGGAAATCATGTATCCCCTCTGGATGAGGAAAATGCATACTACATGGAGAAAGAACAGAAAACAGAAGTGGAGGCAGGAGGCAGAATAACAAGACACCAATTATTGCTTCCATGCAACAAGTTGTGAATAGTCTAGTTGCACCAAGATACCCAGATTGAGGAAGAACATAAGAAATCTAGCTCATGTACCTATCTCAGATCCAAAGGCATCTAGAGGAAGCACCAGTTCTCCCACCGGGAACATGAGATGTTCACCGGATCTTTTGTAAAAGAAAAGCTAGAACAAAAGAAGAAAGGCTGGTGATGGATTTCTTAAGGCACAAATGGATTACAAATATGGACAGATACTAATCTCAACTCATAAAGTGGAGTAACCTGGACAATATCTATGTTGGCTAGAGCCTTGGACCAGAATTTCTAGCTATAAGCAACTACCTCTTTTTACCATAGTTGGACATAACACGTATTATTTTCTACTGTGTCATGGTTTTCAAAATGTAGGGAAGCACTATTGCCAGGAAAAGAGTTATTACTCAACTTTGAATGTTCAGTATCAAGTACAGCATCTGGTACATCCTTACAAGTGGGAACGTGCTTTGAAAGCTTTGTGAAGTTCTGAAATCATAAATCTTTAATATTTTGTTTATATCAATATTTTGTACATAATTTAGAAGTGCTGTGGTTTTATATCTCATTAATATTTAATTGATGATATTTCAAGTAATACCTGAAGCTGATGTTTATTCCCATATACATGTACTTATTCAATTATCCATTTGTATTAAAATTATCTTAGGTTGCTAAAAATCAACAGTTAGGTCCCAGTTAGTGTAAAATGAATTCTGGATATGAGTCTTTGCTGGAGAAAAAATATATATATATTCATATAAATATATATATATATCTCCAATATTTTTATGTAATATTTTTCTATCCCTCTTTGTGCTACCTTTTCACTTTCTCAATTGTGACTTTTGATAAATGGAAGTTCTCATTTTAATTGCTAATCACAAAGGAAACACAATTTATCCAATTATAAATTTGGATTTATAATTTATATAATTTATAAAATTTATAAATCCAATTTGTCCAATCCTCTATGCTCTTTAAGAAGTCTTTACCTACTCCAAGCTATTGAAGATAGTCCTCTAAATTTTCCTCTAAAAACTTTGATTTACCTTCATATTATGTTCAATCATTCATCCTGAATAGATTCTGTGTATGGCTTGAACTAGAAATTAAGATTGTTTTCCATGTGCATATTTAACTGGTCTGGCACCATTTATTAAAACTACAATTCATTCCCAATATACTACAGTGTCATCTTTGTCATAAATCAGATATCATAAACCAAATGGGTGGATTTTGCCTCAAACTCTTTATTCTGTTTCATTGTTCTATTTGCCTTTGCTCCATTACTACTCTATTGTAATAAGTGTAGCTTCATAAGTTTTGATGTCTTGTAGTGTAAGCCCTTAAGCTTTGTTTTCCAAGATTGCTTTAACCATTCTTGGCCCTTTTTATTTAAATGTAAATTTTAGAATCAGGTTGTCAATGTCCATCTAAGAAAATAAAATGAGCTTTTGACTGGGATTGCAATGAATTTATAGATCTACAGATCAATTTGGAAAGTTGACTAAGATCTTTACAATTCATGGATATATATCCTTCAATTTTTTAGATTAGAAAAATTTCAGTAGTGTTTTGTAGTTTTCAGTGTAAATGCCTTGCAGATATTTTGCTTGTCCTCAGTGTTTGACGCAATATTACTTAAAGGTGGACTATTTTTTTTCATGCTAGTATCAATGGTATTTTTAAAATTTCATTCCTATATGTTTATTTCTGCAATACAGAAATAGTGTGATTTTTGGTATACTGACCTATTCATATATATTAATAAATTCACATGATTATAGGAGTTTATAAATTCTTTTGGATTTTCTATGTACACAATAATGTCATTTGCAAATAATGCCATCTTATTTCTCCTTTTCAATTCTTATGCCTTTCATTTCTTTTTCTTCCTTATTGCACTGGATAGGACCTCCCATACAATTTTGAATATAAATATGTGAGAGCAGATATTCTTGTCTTATTTGTAATCTCAGGCAGACACTTCAATAATTTGCCATTAAGGATGATGTTTGCTGTAAGTTTTTGCAGACATTCCAACGTCTATTCCTAGTTTACTAAGAGTTTTCATTATGAATGGATGCTAAATTTTGGAGAATAAAGCAAATTAAATTAATTCAATTTTAAATATTAAACCACACTTGTATTTCTGAAATAAATTCCCATTTGATAATCATATATTCTCCTTTTTGCATATTGCTGAATCCAATTTGCTAATATTCTGATTAGGATTTTTACATCTACATTCATGTGTGATATTGGAATGTGTTTTTCTTTAAAATGTCCTTGCTGTGTTTTAGTTATTGAGATTATGCTGACTTCATTAAAAAAAAGTTGAGAAGCATTTCCTCTTCTGTTCTTTGGAAGCTTTGGTTTATGTTACTTCTTACTTAATAATTTGAGAAAAGTCAGCAGTGAATCCTAAGATTTTAGAATGTATGTGTCTGTGGTCATAGTGGGGGGGTCTTGTAAGATTCTCCATGGGGCCTGAAGGCTTAGGGAGATGAATAACTCCTCCCTTCTCAGGCCCACTCCCAAGGCACAAGGCCACTTCTGTCAGCAGCAGGCATCAGCAAGATAGCAGAAGCAGGAAGAGAGCCTGCCAGAAGACACCTACCCTGGCGGGAAGACACGTACCCCTGAAGATTGAGAAAGAGGACGTCTGGGTACAATGTAGCAGTTACGTCAGACTAGGACACTTCCTGTTTACAGGAGTCTATAAAACCTTTTTGCCCTGTCCTCACTTGGGACTGACGCCACTGTAGGCCTCAGCCTGCCTGCACCCAGGTGTTCATTAAACAGCATGTTGTTCCACACTGACTCCTGCCTATTGGTGTCCTCGCAGGGTTCAAACTGATAAAAGAACCTTACATCTGGTGCTGAAACCCGGGAGGGGCTCCAGTCCATGTCCCTCATGGACCTACCCCTCCATTCCAGAGAGCAGACAAAGGAAGCTCCTCAGTCTCCAGTTGCCTCTCTGTGCATGCACCTCAGTCACTGCTCTCACCTACTGGTAAGTTTTCCCAGGAGCCCAGTTAACAGGTAAAAATCTGCACAGCCTCTCTTGGTTTCTCCAGTCTGAAAACCCAACATTGGTCCAAGAAGGCTCTGGCATGTGCCAGGCACTCGCTGATCATCTGGTCTTAGGGGGATGCCTCTAAGCCATTTGATCCTGTTCCAGGAGCAAAAAACGCAGTAGTAACAATCGCTCCTTTTATCGTATCCCTCCAGCCATCCAGGACAGTCTCCTTTTCCCTGTTCTCCCAAGCCTACCCTCCATTATGGGGAAACTCGCGGTCCTCCATTCCAAAAAACAGCCCTCTAGCCTGCCTCATAAAAAACCCGCAAACCTTAGGCCTCAGGCAAGATATCTACCCTAAGTGTCTTGTCATTTTTTGCAATTCAGTCTGGCCACAATATGAATTGGATAATGGGTCCAAATGGCCCACAAATGAAACATTCGACTTTACAGTTTTAACTGATTTAAGCAATTATTGCTGACGACTGGAGAAATGGGGAGAAATTCCTTATGTCCAGGCTTTTTTGCACTCAGATCACAACTCGACCTCTGCAATTCTTGCTCACCTGTTCAAATCCTTCTCCTCCATTCTTGCTGCCCTGATCACCTTTCTCTTCCTGACCCTACCTCTTTTTCCTCATTCAATCCAGCTGACTGCTGTCTACCCCTCCCAGCCCCTACCTCTTCCTCTCAACCGTCTTCTTTAACCCCCCAAGCCTCCTCATTATATTCTCAACCGCCATCTTCCCAGCTGCCCTCTTCCTAGCGGCCATCTTCTCAGTCAGCAGTACCCACTTTTTCTTCTGCACCATCCCCTCCTCAGGACAATTCTAGAATTGCCTGTACCCATTCTCCTCCCCCACCACCCTCTCCTGAGGCTTGTAAACCCATCCCAACACCTTATGCCCCTGTCTATCCTCCACTGCCTGTTAACTCATCCCCCCTTTCCCCTTCAAACACTCAGCAAGAACCACTTCCGGCTTCTTCCTTCTCTCCTGCCCATACTCACTTGGGTGCCATCTTTGGCCCATGCCCCACCCTTACTTCAGTGCAGGTGCTAGAGTGCCCACTTTGGGAAGCAGCAGGAACTGAAGGTGTTTTTAGAGTTCATGTTCCCTTCTCCCTCACTGATCTCTCTCAAATTAACAAAAGACTCAGTTCATTTCCAGAAGACCCTACCTCTTACATTAGAGAGTTTCAGTACCTCACCCAGTCTTATGAACTAACCTGGCATGACCTCTATGTTATCCTCTCTTCCACCCTCACCCCAGAAGACCGAGACCATATCTGGACCCTAGCTCCGTCACATGCTAATACAATTCATCACCAAGCTCCTGCCCAGCCTACTGGCACAGAGGCAGTCCCCAACCAGGACCCCACTGGGATTATCAAGACAGGACCTCTGGACACCGCCATTGAGACCACATGATTGTGTGTCTCCCTGCAGGACTCAAAAAGGGTGCCCATGAAGTGGTAAACTATAAAAAACTTTCAGAAATCACCCAAGGTCCTAATAAAAACCCAGCCCTTTTTCTCTCTGGTTTAACTGAAGCCATGAGAAAATATACCAACCTAGACCCAGCAAGCCCAGAAAGAACTACTATCTTAAACCTTCGGTTCATCTCCCAGTCCACCCCTGATATTCGGTACAAGTTTCAGAAGCTTGATGATGGCCCTCACACCCCAGAATGAGACCTTCTTAATTTAGCCTTCAAAGTCTTTAACAATCATAATGAGGAAAGTAAAAGGCAAAAACAGGCAGAGTTTTAAATGCTTGCTTCCACCATCAGGGGCCCTGCAGGCCCACAGGGTCGCAGCTCCACAAGGAAGCCTCCTAGCAATCCACCTCCACCTGTCTGTTTCAAGTGTGGCAATGAAGGCCACTAGTCCAGACAATGCCCAAACCCAGGTAAGCCCACCAGGCCGTGTCCCCTCTGTGAAGGACCCCACAGGAAGTTGGACTGTGAGTGGCCCCCACAAGGACTGCCCCTTCCTAAGCCGCCCAAAACCTCCCACTCGAATCTCATTGTCCTTGCTACTGAAGACTGATGGTGTCCTGGAACGGATGCCCCGGCAACTACCATCGCTTCATCTGAGCCAAGTGTAACCCTGATGGTGGCAGGTAGGCCAGTATGGTTTTTTTTTAAATTAATATGGGACAACCTACTCTGCTTTACCTAATTTTTCAGAACCCACCCAGTCCTGCCAAGTCTCTGTTGTGCGAATTGATGGACGAGTCTCCAAACCCCAAGCCACCCCTCCACTTTTCTGCTCCCCACACACCTTTTCCTTCACTCACTCTTTCTGAGTCCTGCCCTCATGCCCAACTCCGCTCCTAGGCAGAGACATCCTTTCAAAACTCCACACTATCCATTTCCACATTCCCCACAGTACCCAACGCATCAACCCAGACCCCTCCGGGGCTTCTTTCTTCTGCTCCTCCAACCTCCCACCTTAAAACATGCAACTTTTCCTTATCCCCCATCCGTAGTTAACCCCGCTGTTTAGGATACTTCCAGACCCTCAGTTGCAAAACACCACACCCCCCTCCGCATTACCTTTAAAGAGACCACCCAGTTCCTATCACAGAAGCAGTATTACATCCCCCAAGCAACTCTCATAGGCCTAAAGCCTATCATTTCTGGCCTCCTCGCCAGTCACCTACTCCACCCAACAAATTTCCCTTTCACACACCAATTCTACCTGTTAAAAAGCCAGATGGAACTTATCAATTAGTCCAGGATCTCAGGCTCATTAACCAAGCTGTACTCCCAGTATGTCCAGTAGTTCCTAACCCGTATACTTTACTCTCCACAGTTCCCTCCAATACCACCCATTTTTCTGTTCTAAACCTAAAGGATCCTTTTTTTCCCCACAATTCCTTTACACCCTGATTCCCAAAACCTCTTTGCCTTTATGTGGAAAAACCCTGACACCCACCTTTCACTTAAGCTCACCTGGTGCGTACTACCTCAAGGTTTTAGAGACAGCCCCCACCTTTTTGGAAAGGCCCTTGCTCGAGACCTCTTTACCTTATCCCTAAAACCATCCACTCTCCTTCAATATGTTAATAATCTGCTCCTATGTAGCCCCTCTCAAAGAGACTGCAATGCCCATACCATCTCTCTTTTAAACTTCTTGGCAGAACAGGGGTATCAGGTCTCCCCTAAGAAAGCACACATGCACCCCCTCAGTCACCTATCTAGGCCTAGCTCTTACCCCGCAAACCCGAAGGCTCACAACGGACTGCATATCCCTCCTCCAGTCCTTCCCGCTCCTGCAAACTCAGCAAGAAATTTTCTCTTTTCTAGGACTAGCGGGATATTTTAGGCTCTGGGTTCCCTCCTTCACTCTACTTGCCAAACTGTTATACCAAGCTGCTAAAGGCCCTCTCCATGAGCCTTTAAAACCTGCACAGCCTATTACCCAATCTTTCCGTCTACTCCAGAAGGCTCTCATCTCAGCCCCCGTCCTCTCTCTCCCAGACCTCGCCAAACGTTTCTCCCTCTATACCGACAAATGGCGTGGAGTTGCACTATGTGTTCTAACCCAGTCTAAGGGACCCACCCTCCAGGTTGTTGCCTACCTCTCTAAACAGCTTGAAGCCACAGTTCTCAGATGGCCTGCCTGCCTCCGAGCATTGGCAGCAGCTGCTATCCTCACCCTTGTGATTTGTCTGTTCTTATCTTTTGATATTTTATTGTTGGAAATCACATTTTTATTAATTTCTAAAAGTTCTTTCTATGTCAGGCAGGAAAAAGAAAGAAGTCTTTGAGTATCGAATATACCATACAGTATTGTGCTTGGTATTTTAACGAGTCATTTGAAATTAAAATTCTTATTTCTTGAAACGCTTACACTACCATATGTATACTGTCAGAAAGTCTTAAATAAAAAATTTCAAATTAAACAAGCTCAAAATAGTGAAATCAAGTTATACTTCTAGCCTGGAAATGCAAATTTATGAAGTTTTAAGGTAATTAACTATGTTTGTCTATAGAAGTTAAAGCAAATTTAATAAATATAGACAAAAATGAGTTTTAGGATTACATTCAGGTGACATTCTAGAAGTTTTCCTTGGCATTATTACAATGAAATTATTTCTTTTTTAAAAAAATTTCAATAGTTCTTGGGGAACAGGTGGTGTTTGGTTACATGGATAAGTTCGTTAGTGGTGATTTCTGAGACTTTGGTGCACTCATCACCCAAGCAGTTTACACTATACCCATTGTGTAGTCTTTTATCCCTCCCCTCCCCTCCCCACAACCCTTTCCCAGAGTCCCCAAAGTCCATTGTATCATTCTTTTTTTTTTTTTTTTTTGAGACGGAGTCTCGCTCTGTCGCCCAGGCTGGAGTGCAGTGGCGCGATCTCGGCTCACTGCAAGCTCCGCCTCCCGGGTTCACGCCATTCTCCTGCCTCAGCCTCCCGAGTAGCTGGGACTACAGGCGCCCGCTACCACGCCCGGCTAATTTTTTGTATTTTTAGTAGAGACGGGGTTTCACCGTGTTAGCCAGGATGGTCTCGATCTCCTGACCTCGTGATCCGCCCGCCTTGGCCTCCCAAAGTGCTGGGATTACAGGCGTGAGCCACCGCGCCCGGCCCATTGTATCATTCTTATGCCTTTGTGTCCTCATAGCTTAGCTCCCACTTATGAATGAGAACATATAATATTTGGTTTTCCATTTCTGAGTTACTTCACTTAGAATAATGGTCTCCCACTCCATCCAGGTTGCTGTGAATGCTGTGATTTTTTTTCCTTTTTGTGGCTGAGTAGTATTCCACAATGTATATGTACCACATTTTCTTTATGCACTCATTGGTTGACAGGCATTTAGGCTGGTTCCATATTTTTGCAATTGCAAATTGTGCTGCTATAAACATGCAAATGCAAGTTATTTTTCACATAATGACTTCTTTTCCTTTGGGTAGATACCCAGTAGTGGGATTGCTGGATCAAATGGTAGTTTTACTTTTAGTTCTTTAAGGACTCTCCATCCTATTTTCCATAGTGGTTGTACTAGTTTACATTCCCACCAGCAGTGTAGAAGTGTTCCCTTTTCACTACATCCATGCCAACATCTATTCTTTTCTGATTTTTTTATTAAGACCATTCTTGCAGTAGTAAGGTGGTATCTCACTGTGGTTTTAATTTGCATTTCCCTGACCATTAGTGATATTGAGCATTTTTTTCATGTTTGTCGGTCACTTGCATATCTTCTTTTGAGAATTTGTCTATTCATATCCTTTGTCCACTTTTTAATGGGATTATTTTTATCTTGCTGATTTGAGTTTGAGTCAGTTCCACAGGCTTAACAGGAAGCATGACTGGGATGCCTCAGGAAACTTACAATTATGGTGGAAGGCAAAGGGGAAGGAAGCACATCCTACCATGGCAGAGCAGGAGGAGGACTGAGAGAGTCGGGGGGAACTGCCACACAGTTTTAAATCATTGAATCTCATGAGAACCCAGAAAACAGCAAGGGGGAAATGCACCCCCATGATCCAATCACCTCCCACCAGGCCCCTCCCCCAACACGTGGGGATTACAATTTGAGATGAGATTTGGTTGGGGACACAGAACCAAACCGTATCACGTGTGTGGGTTTCTATTCCTTTCTCCATGTGCATACCAACATATGTGAACCTATATACAGAGAGGTTTTTAATTACAAAAATAAACATGACTTTGTGACTTTTTTTCACCTAAATATAACGAATAAACTGCAAGCCAGCAGATAGATCAAATTCATTCTTTAAATTGCTGTATATTTTTCCAGCTACAGACCCTGCTGTGACTCACTTTCTAAGAGGACTTCATTTGCCGTTTGCTGCAACAGACCTGCTGACCTCAGAAAACCTTGAAGGGGCTCTCTAGTGAAGGGCTTTCCAATCTTTGTAGTTGGGAAAGAACTGCTGCTTGAGACTGAAAAGGTCTGGGAGCAAAACAGCTCCTCATAGAAAGTTATCAGATGGTAAGAGGTCTCATAGGCCCATGAGAAATGAAGCCACCGCATCTCTTAACACTTAATTTGCTACTGCCCAAGAGATGTGCACAACAGGGTGCTGGCAGATGCTGAGGAAACCATAGCTTGAGTAGGCCAGGAAAAGTTAAATTCATTTATGGGGCATGGGAAGAAAGATGACCAGTGCAACAGAAATAAGAGAGATGTCTACTGAAGCAGAACCAATGGAAGAGACAGAAGATAATTTTAATGAAAAATATCATGGAATTATAGAACTAAAAATAGAAAAGATTTTCAGAAATTAAAAACTACCACGATTTCTTAATTAAAAGTTCAATATCCAACAGAAAAAGAGAATGACTGACTTTGAAAATAACATTAGTGGTCAGAAAAATCGCTGGAGGAAATACCTCATAAGAGACCCAGTGCAGATAACCTGAGGGAAAAGACCAAGAAGCATGGAGGTCAGATCCAGGAGCCAACGAAAGAGGAGGAAAGGAACATGAGAAGTAATAATAACATAGATAATGGAAGAAAACATTTACAACTTAGAAAGTATTGAGGGCCTGAATATCAAAGATAAAGGGAAAATCCTGCAGATCTTTTAGTACTGTGGGGAAATGGGCTTTCTGGCTCAAGGGCCTCGCTGACATTGAATTTAGGTCACATACCAGGTAAGCCCTAGGTACACACAATGTGTGTACCTAATGCTTCACATGGAAACAGTATTAAGCAGAGATTGTTAAATTCTAGCATTCAGCAACTTTCCTTTGTCATGTTGTCACTAGGAGCTAAATACCAACCTTAGGAACTTTGTGGTAGTCTTTTCCTTCCACAGTCTATCTAAAGCTGCAGGCACCAATTTTTAAATGCCATAAGCACAAATTACTTTGGTAACAATAAAAAATTAAAAATATGAGAAAGGAGGTATTCATGGGTAAGACAAATGCATTACTGTTATAAGAAACTACTATCTTTATTTATGAAATGGATACAGAGGTAGTATGGTGAGAGTTAAGAGCAGAGCAGAGACTCTGGATGTCTGCCACTTACTAGCTGTGCGACCTTGGGCAAGTTACCTAACCTTTCCATGTCTTAGTTTCCTGAAAATTAAATGAGTTAATATATTATCACAATTATTAACTCTGGCACATAGCAAGTGCTTAATCAATCATAGCAGCGCTGCTGCTGCGCTGCTGCTACAGTGGGAAAACGGCTCTGTACACAGAACTTTAATGTTGCAGACTTGAATTTAAATGCCAACTTTAAACAAGTTTCATACCACAGCCATGGTAATTAATCCTTTTTGCTTACATTTTTCATATCTAAAACAGGAGTACGAATACCTGCCTCTTTCAACATCTGTCCATCTATCCACAAACATCAACTGAGTGCCCAGATATTTATATGACTAAGATACATTTCGGCCCTTAAGGAGCTTACAGTTTAGTGAGTAAAACTCAAGAGCTTTGCTTTCCTTTCATGTGGGCATTTAAGGCTCCCTTTGCATTAGGAGGTAAAGAAAGGGCTGCAAGGGTCAAGCATGTTTTTAGTATGATGAGTACTAAGATTTTTTTTAAAATGACACTAATCTTGTTAGCAATTGTTGGGTAAAAAATGTGGCCAGTTCTGACACTCTGTATTTTGCTATTTTAAGAAAAATACTACGAACCAACTGGATCACTAGAAAGTAAGCATCTGTGAATGATATGACAGTCTTAAAAGTGAGGGGATCAGAGGGGACCAGGCCCCCATCTCTGATCAGAAAAAAAGCATAAAACATCTTAAAGAGATATTTCTGTTCATAGGCTGGAACTGTGTAGTTCACAACCTGCCTTTTTTAGTGATCTTTTAAGACCTGAGTGTTCCTCTGAATTAACAGCTCTCAAGTCATTGTCCAAGAGGAGTCACTATTACTTGATCCTTTGTAAACCACGTCATCCCCTTTTAGAGTATCCTGCCTTGGCACACACAGTGGGAGATTATAGCAAACAAGTTCTTTTTCAACTTGGACAACTTTATCCCAATACTAAAGACCTTATTTTAAAGCTTCTTGATGTTAAGAGTGCTTATTTTGATCATCCCCATGAGTTGGCCATGGAAAGGGTGGGATAAGCTGTTCCCCTTTAATCTTTTATTTAACTAAGGGGCTCTAGAATGTCTAAAATAATAATAATATCAGATAATCATTAGTATAAAACGAATAAAAGAGAGTACAAATTGAAGACAGCCTGAATATCTATTCTTTATAAAGAAATAATGCATGACCACGTTTTCATCTGTCATTAGCAGTTGGTACTTAATAGCGATGATTTAAAATTGTATACTTAAAACCTAACAGAAATTATAATGGCAACTCAGCATATACTTGAAACAATATTAAGTGTAGTATATTGAGACATTTAGTAGCTTTAGAAAGTATGTAATTACACCATTATTAAAAATTAAAATTCAGAATATTTTACATTTATATATCATAATATAAAACAATTATATATATTATTTAAAATCATATTGACCAAGACTTACTACAAATTCACTTGAATGGTGGCTACAAACATCACAAAGAATGAATCTGACTTCCATGTCTATGTGTGAGAAAAATATTCTAACAACCAATTTAATTTTAAAAGAAATTAAACCAAAGATAAATAAGAATTATCCAGCAAACAGGAATAGTAACAACTATCCTATTTTAAAGTTTCAGTTAGATAAATTATGTTTCAAAAATCTTTACATAAAAACCTCTAATACTACCACTCATAAATCATAAAATGTAACTGGTAGTATATTTATTTTTTTACCCAATCACATTTTAGACTCATAATAAAAATCTACTACTTAGAGAAAATAAATTTGACAATTTATTCAAACATTGTTACATAAGAAGTTTTAAGAAACTGTAAATAATTCTTAATACTCTCATTTTGATTTTCCGACTTCTCAAGACTATTTTGTACTTCTTTCAAACACACTTCCTGATGTTGTGCTTTCTAAAGAAAAAAGGAAAAAAATACAGATAAGCAATAATAGCATTCATTCCAAAGGACCAGAGTCATAATATTAAAAACATATATACAATAACTAGATAATTCTTTTTGATTTTTTAAAATAATACTCACATCTGATGTGTTCATTCTTAGAGCTCACTCTTTAAAATTAATAATTAAAGCACACACATGGTTGATCTTCACTGATATAATTTATAATATACATTCATTTAGCCCCAAATTATTACATATTTAACATGATTAACTTAATAGGTTAACAACTGTCATAATTTCACATGTAACATGATATATTTTCATACTAGTTTTTGCCATTTTCTGTCTAAAAATTCACATTTTATTCCAAAATAATTAAATGTCTTAAAAGTTGATAGAATTCTAGTTTTGATAATGTGAACATTTTCTTAGAATCTCTTAAAAAATAAAAAGAATTCTTCATATTACACTGGTTGAGGAAAAAATTTAAAACCACAATACATTTTTTTTAACTAAGGTGCATATGAATTCCTAAGTAGGTGAGTTCACTGACAATGCTTTAGATAAAGACAGGTTGCAAATATCATCTAGCCTCCAATTAAAATATAGACACCTAGATAGAAAAGAGAGAACTTTTACATCCTTCATATCAGGTGTTCAATGACACCTGATACCTTCTGAAACTGAGCAATGCCCAGCTCAGGAAATGAGGCAGGTAAAAAACAATGAGCTAGGCTGGGCAGTACAAAGTCACAGGATGAATACAATGAGTTTTACTCAACAATTTGGAAAGAAAAATAGTAACACATACTTATTTTGTAGGGTAGAATATAAAATGTCAATGGATTTTAGGATAATACATAAGACTTCAAAGACATTTCAGGCTTCCCGAGGGGTGCCTTGGATTAAGCTGCTGAGGTCATCCACAGATCTGTACATCCATTCTGCACCACCCTATTAGGGTACTTGGACAGAAAATACAAAAAGGCCTGCAGGTAAGCAGGGCACTGTGGGAGACACCAGGGATACAGACGACTATGAGACATGCTTTCAGAGTGCTTACAATTCAAATGGGGCTGAAGCAGGTATATTAAATAAATACTGCCCACTTAACTGTCCCCTGGAAGGCATAAAACACACAAACTCATTTTTCAGCAATGTTTAAATCTATGCTTAGAATTCTAGAATTTTACTAGTACAAAACTTATCAGGTTTAACAAAACATCAGATCTTTATTTTTTTTAATTTTTATTATACTTTAAGTTCTGGGATACATGTACAGAACGTACAGGTTGGTTACATAGGTATACACGTGCCATGGTGGTTTGCTGCACTCATCAACCCGTCATCTACATTAGGAATTTCTAATGTTATCCCTCCCCTAGCCCCCCACGCCCTGACAGGCCCTGGTGTGTGATGTTCCCTGCCCTGTATCCATGTATTCTCATTGTTCAACTCCCACTTATGAGTGAGAACATGCGGTGTTTGGTTTTCTGTTCTTGTGTTAGTTTGCTGAGAATGATGGTTTCCAGCTTCATCCATGTCCCTGCAAAGGACATGAACTCATCCTTTTTTATGGCTGCATAGTATTCCATGGTGTATGTGCCACATTTTCTTTATTCAGTCTATCATTGATGGGCATTTGGGTTGGCTCCAAGTCTTTGCTATTGTGAATAGTGCCACAATAAATATACGTGTGCATGTGTCTCTATAGCAGCATGATTTATAGTCCTTTGGGTATATACCCAGTAATGGGATTGCTGGGTCAAATGGTATTTCTGGTTCTAGATCCTTGAGGAATCGCCACACTGTCTTCCGCAGTGGTTGAACTAATTTACACTCCCACCAACAGTGTAAAAGCATCCTATTTCTCCACATCCTCTCCAGCATCTGTTGTTTCCTGTCTTTTTAATGATCACCATTCTAATTGGTGTGACATGGTATCTCACTGTAGTTTTGATTTGCATTTCTCTGAATGACCAGTGATGAGCTTTTTTTCATATGTTTTTTGGCTGACTAAATGTCTTCTCTTGAGAAGTGTCTGTTCATATTCTTTGCACACTTTTTGATGGGGTTTTTTTTCTTGTAAATTTGTTTAAGTTCTTTGTAGATTCTGGATATTGGCCCTTTGTCAGATGGATAGATTGCAAAAATTTTCTCCCATTCTGTCGGTTCCTGTTCACTCTGATGATAGTTTCTTTTGCTGTGCAGAAGCTCTTTAGTTTAATTAGATCCCATTTGTCAATCTTGGCTTTTATTGCCATTACTTTTGGTGTTTTAGTCATGAAGTATTCGTCCATGCCTATGTCCTGAATGGTATTGCCTAGGTTTTCCTCTAGGGTTTTTATGGTTTTAGGTCTTACACTTAAGTCTTTAATCCATCTTGAGTTAATTTTTGTATAAGGTGTAAGGAAGGGATCCAGTTTCAGTTTTCTGCATATGGCTAGCCAGTTTTCCCAACACCATTTATTAAATAGGGAATCCTTTCCCCATTTCTTGTTTTTCTCAGGTATGTCAAACAGCAGATGGTTGTAGATGTGTGGAGTTATTTCTGAGGCCTCTGTTCTGTTCCATTGGTCTATATATCTGTTTTGGCACCAGTACCATGCTATTTTGGTTACTGTAGCCTTGTAGTATAGTTTGAAGTCAGGTAGCGTGATGCCTACAGCTTTGTTCTTTTTGCTTAGGATTGTCTTGGTTATGTGAGCTCTTTTTTGGTTCCATATGAAATTTGAAGTAGTTTTTTCTAATTCTGTGAAGAAAGTCAATGGTAGCTTGATGGGGATAGCACTGAATCTATAAATTACTTTGGGGAGTATAGCCATTTTCATGATCTTGTTTCATCTTATTCATAAGCATGGAATGTTTTCCATTTGTTTGTGTCCTCTCTTATTTCCTTAAGCAGTGGTTTGTAGTTCTCCTTGAAGAGGTCCTTCACATTCCTTGTAATTTGGATTCCTAGGTATTTTATTCTCTTTGTGGCAATTGTGAATGGGATCTATTTATTTTACTAGCTTTAGCCAAGTACTAGGGACATTACAGCAAAACCCACCTCATTTATTTTTTCAGAGGCTTCAATTACACAAAAAAACAGCACACACATTTTACAATATCAGAAAGTCAAATGGTGAGTTAAAAAAAAGTTTAGAAATAAATGGAAGGCCTGTGCTAAATTAAAGGTGATCGACGTTTTGTTCTGACTAAGTTGTCATGAAACTTTTGATGGCAATAAAATCAAATTGTGCATGCCAAAAATCATTTAACTCTTGAATCTTTTAGGTTTTCAACTTTTTAGACACTTGGGAATTAAAAAAATAGATTTCATGGAGTCTCTGGATCCTGGAAAAAACACAGTATCATTATTCTCTATGTCATTATCTAGTAGACAGTTATTACGTAATTTAATCATGAGTAATGCTAGCTTTCAGAATATTCTATGCCAATTGACTGTTTCATGAGTATTCAGGAAAAAAAACAGAAGACTAATTAAGCACAGTCACTTTGGTATTTTCATTTCATGGCTGAGTGGACTAAAGCATCCATCTCACATGTATATCTAACAATACTGAATGTTTACTACAAAATTATAACTTTCTAAAACAAAATATTCATTATTCAAGACAGATATAAAACTCACTTGTAATAATAGTTTACACTGTGTTTATCTTTAAAAAATGAAAAATTCATATCAGGATGAAATCAAGTAGATTATATCTGTAATTTTCATTAAGCAGATGTCATTGCAAAAGTAATATGTAGGGAAAGTGCCTGATGAGATTTGATGGCAATGCAATACATGCCATCCAAAGAGGCAGAATAATAAATTATTTGGCATATCATAACATTTTTATTTGTTATGTCTTATATTGCTTGTTATTTTTAATATTATCAGTAAAACAATAGACTTGATTCACTCACTTTGTATTTTCTACATGGTAAGAATGTTAAATGTTATCTTTTATAATATGTTAAGCCATGCTAATACTTACACTGTTCATTTTGCAAACAAGTTGATTTTGTTCTTCATTTTTCTTTCTAAGCTCAGTTTCCAGATCTAATATTTTAATTTGTAAAGCACTCTCTCTAGATGACATTTTCTCTATTTCTTCAGCAACCTGTAATTTTTATCAAAAGAGTAAAATAAAGTGCTTTCTTTAAAATATGATTTAAAGCCTTGACAGTTATATTGTACCTTTTTTCTAAACAGATATTACTTGTATGTTATATCCAAGTTTAAAGATGTTCTATCTTGAAGAAGCATATATAGCGTAAGTATATACTATACTTATCTTCGCAGCACTAAATATCTGCAAAATTGGCTTGAGATGGAAGAGATGTATACATTTTCACTGCTCCGTGACTTAGGTAGGTGTTTTCTCCAACAGTATATTTTAAAAACAGACTGAGACCAATTACCATTTTTATAGCATTTATATTCACCAGGGTGTTAAGAGCAGTGATGGAACATAGAAATTTCTTGTTAAATACTCATTATACACTTGGATTAATAGAATTGGGAGCAGGAATTGGTATACACACTTCCTACAAACACACACACACAAACACAGAGACTGGTTCTTCATTCATTCACTTCCAAACTGGTCTGAATTTGAATTTTCATATTTCTCTGGTTACTTATTTTAGCAGGAAGTCTAGCTTAGTTATGTTCATCTAAGGAATCAGATATGTTTCCTTCTAAGGAAGCCTATTTGTAAGAATGCTGGGTTGGAGCCACAAGAATGAGAGTAGAGGCAGGGACTGATCCAGGAACAAGGAGCTAGTGGAAAGGACTGTCCTCCAACCTAATTCCTATGAACTCGGTTCTAAGTTATTATAAAGATTTCTTCTGTACATATTCCAAGCACAATTATGCATGAGAGATGCCAGTGTGAGCTGAAGCTATGGGAGAAAGGGCCTTTAGGACAAACATTGACGCCCTTGGCGCCGTCCCCTCAGTGTGGGCAATGGTAACAGGGCAGTGATGGCACTCTCACGTGGGCAGAAACTACAGATAGCCCCATATTCCACTGTAGCAGGAGAGAAAGGAGAGGGCAGACATACCTCTGGGACTCTGAACTCTTCCTTTCAGGAAGGAATCTGAGAGCATACCTGGCATTTCCAAAATGCACTTAGGCTGAACCCTACACCAGACTATGAGAGTGCTGAGAGCTAAGGCCAGGTCTTATTCATCTTTGCATCTCAAGCACTAGCAGATTGCCTGATACTGAAGTATTCGTTGAATGCTAACCTAATGGATGTAACTGAAATTTAATATTGTATGTATTTATCTATGCAACAATATTTGTCAAAAGGGACTTGAACTTTACAGCTCACTGAATCCTGATCAAAACAAAAATTTTCAATTATTTGCACATTCAATTTGGTTGTATATAAAAAAGGTACAGGAGGAGATTATGTCTTCAAAGTGTTTTCCATCTCTGCCCTTTCCCCAGCCACATTACCATTTATCTAGTGAAGTAGCTCTAGCCTAGCAATGTATCTGTTTTGCTTGAAAAGGAAGATAGTTAAAGAAGAAAAATGTAATTGCTCCCTTCACCCTGTCATCAGGACAAAAACAATAACTACAGGTTGCAAGATGTTTAAAAAGATGACTCTTTGGTAAATGAATTAAAAAGTTTCTAAATAAAGGCCATGCATACCTTTTGTCTTCCTTCTTCTAAAGCAGCTTCCAGTTGTCTGGCCAATGCTGTATACTCTGCAGATTTCTCTTTAAACTTAAGATTGCTGTGCTTAAGACATTCTTCTTGGTTTGCCAGCTTCTTCTCAAGCTCTTTATTTTCTGCGTCCATCTGTTCTAATTTTCTTTTTACAGAAAACATATATTTTAAAATGTTAATGTGCAGAGAAATATGCAGCAGCAATGTTAAGTAATTTAATACTTACTGTTGAAGGTTTTCACACTTCAGCTGAATAAGACAGTTTTCCTCTTCCAGAGAAAGCTTTGTCAGAAGATTGTGATTTCCATCAACCTAAAAGAAAAAAAAAAGTTTTCTTAGTCATTTTCTTCACAATCAACTTCCAAAGAAATCCATATAATTTATTGTTAGAACAACCACAAGCAACGAGAAGGTATAAATGTTACTACTCTTACACAGAAAGACACCAAGAAAATGTTATATTGTTAAAATGGAAGTTTTAAATTCCTGGTTAAATTTAAAGAAGTTATGTTGCCTGTATTGGAAAATAACCAACTAAAAAAAATTCAGGATGATGGCTATTAAAACACTTTGAACAACACCTTATTGAAGAAAGATATTTATTTTGTTAAGTTGAAATAGGAAAATTTTAAGCAGTATTAATCTCCTATTTTTGGATACCTAGGGTTTCTCTTATGGTTTTCTGTTTCACCTAAAAATACTGATTAATAATTGAGTATCTGTGAAGTCGAAACTGTAAATAAAATACATATTTTTTTGAGAAGCAAAGTGAACAAATCAACCAAAGACACACTCACCCATGCCAAGACAGAATATTCTTCCCACTGCTTCAAAATCTGCTCTAAATAATGTAAGAAGCTTTGATTCAAGGAAAAAATTTTTTTCTCATAATTTCAATTAGTAATTTAGGCTAATCTATGTCGTTTGACATTTTACTAGAAAAATCTCTTCTCAGGAATTTAAACTAAAATTTTGTCTGCATATTTTTATCTAACTTTTAAGTTCAGGGGTACAAATGCAGGTTTGTTACACAGGTCAGCTTGTGTCATGGGGGTTTGTTGTACAGATTATTTCATCAATCAAGTATTAAGCCTAGTACCTGTTAGTTATTTTTTCTGATCCTCTCCCTCTTCCCACTCTCCACCCTCTGAAAGGCCCCACTGTGTGTTGTTCTTCTCCATGTGTCCACGTGTTCTCATCATTTAGCTCCTACTTTTTAAGTGAGAAAATGCAGTATTTTTTTTTGCAAAATTAAAATCCAGATCATATTTGGAAGATAGACAGGGAATGCTTCCTAAAACTGCCTTGAAAGTAAAAGAAAAAAGACTTGTCACCATCTTTGGACTGCTCCTTTAAAAAAAATTTCATTAATTAAAAAAATATTGAGTGCTTACTATGTGCTAGGCATTGAGCTAGGAGAAGGCTATGTGGCTACTAACAGGATACACATGATCCATATTCTGATGGTATAAAAAGTAAAACAGGAAAAAGAAACAGACTGAAAAATATCCCAAAAAACTTGACGTACAATTCTAATTAAAATAAATTCAATTTTTGTAATGTAAGTTTCAATAATTTACCTTATCCTTACATCAAGGAACATATATGTAAGTATAACTTTGCTCCTTCTCTCATTCTATTACCATGTCTTCAAATGTCTATAGATTTGCATGAATAAACTAAAATAAGAATTTTAATTACCAATTTTTCACCATAAAATACTAAAAGAATAGCTTGCAAAACTGTATTATAGTATCTGCATGAAAATGATGTTTTACGAACTAAGTAGATGGGAATTTAAAAATCAAGCCCTGACATGAGTGCCCTCAACTGGTGAAATCATTCCAAAGCATTCTTTTAACGCATCTAGCAAAACTCAGAAGGACGGCTGGACACCTGGCCCTGAAGCTCCCTAATGGTGTGTTCCTGGTCTGCACACTTCCCCTTGCAGCACTGCAGACTCTCCTGACACTCGTGAAGCCTCCGTTCCGCCGCCGTCAAGGAATCGCAGACACGCTCTAACTCCTTCAGATGAGACTCCATCTGGCCTCTCATCTGAGTTGTGGCAGTAGGGAAATAAGTGCAAGATCACACATTCAGCATTAATATTTTTATTATCTTAAATACTAGATATGCTTATAACGTAAGTATTTTAGGTATAATGGCTTTAAATAAGAACACAACTGAATAAATATTAAACTCTGTTAAATAAGAATGTATAACTAAAAAGTGGGGTAGACTTTAGTTTTCAAAAAGTTTGTTGAGCACATAAATAGGGTAAATTAGCTGACAGGGTGGATGTTTAACTAATTTTTAAGAGCAAATTTTTAAAATCCTGACATTATATTCAAGCATAGATTATCACTAATAACCATTACTAATAAAGCCGTAATTGTCTACTGCCCAGCTATAGGTTCTAAAGGAATTGTCACTTTTAGTCATTCAATCTTATAACTCAGATACTTACTTAAATTAGAGCAGCTTGCTTCACTCATCTTAGCCAAAACTGATAGGGTTTACTGTATATTATTTAAAAATTGCTAGTATCATCAGTTCTCACTTGCCTTTAATTTGGCCATTAATGTTACTATCAACAAATCTCTCTAATTTCATCTACATTAATCTGTTTTGGCTACTGCAGTTCCTCGCTGCAGCACTTTCGTGGAGATGTGAAAAGCAGCAACCTTAAGAAATGTTTGCACTGCTAATTACAAAAAATAGCCAGACTCTTTCCCTGAGACAGGAACACCTAATAGTTTCTGTGTAGTATCTGGCATTCTTGATCAGGAAAGATAATGCAGTATTTTTTTTTTTTTGCAAAATTAAAATCCAGATTATATTTGGAAGACAGACAGGGAATGCTTCCTAAAACTGTCTTGAAAGTAAAAGAAAAAAGACTTGTCGCCATCCTTGGACTGCTCCTTTAAAAAAAATTTCATTAATTAAAAAAATATTGAGTGCTTACTACGTGCTAGGCATTGAGCTAGGAGAAGGCTATGTGGCTACTAACAGGATACACATGATCCATATTCTGATGGTATATAAAGTAAAACAGGAAAAAAAAAAAACAGACTGAAAAATGTCTGTTTTAAGGACACTGAGGGATCCAGAACAAAGGATCCCTCAGTGTCCTTAAAACATCTTAGAGGCCATGAGAAAACCAGGAGACTTAAAACAGTGAAGTAAGAAAAAGAAAAATTTCATTAAAAAAATAGTTGTCTTGTTAAATACTAGTTAGAAAACATTGTGACCTCACAGTATCTGAAAAAGACAGGCTCCAACCCTTTCCGTCATTTGAACAGGATTGTAAAATATGCTTTTATTTACAGTGCTGCCTAGCAGAAAAGGAGACATTTGCACTGGTATGTTTCATGAGAAAATGAGACCAAAAGACATGAAATGGTTTATTCGCTGGCCTGCTAAAAATAGGTGAAAAGTAATTCCATGAAAGCAGTAAGTTGTGCATTCAGTGAGCTATCTTTATGTCTGTATAACTGGAGGACGCTTGCTCTGGCTGACCTCTTCTTCACATTATTGCCTTGCTCTGACTTCTCAATCCTAAGATAGGGAGCAACCCAGAGAGAGTAACCTTATTAGATTCAGATGGAAGCGACCACTAACATCGCATGACCTCTGCTGCCAGGAGTCAGCATCCTACAACTTTCACTGCTTCTTTACCAAAACAACACAAAAAACCAAACAGAGATGCGGTTTCATTTAAAAATTTTAAAATATTCACAAAAACATCATAACTCGCCAACACTGGCCTTCCCTTCATTCTGTTGCAATAGAACAAATAAAAGGAAATGATCGTTTTTTAAAAGATATTATTTTTCTTCAAAAATGCATTTAGCAGATATTGGCTTTGCTTTTGTAGACGTAAAACATTTATAACCAGAAAAAAAGGGTGAGATTAAAAATGAGAGATACTTAGGTTTGTATACTTATGATTGATAACCATTTTTTGAGCTATTTAAAGTCTGCTCTTGCATCAGAAAAATTAAACATTTATGCTATTTTCCAAATATTAACAAAAAAGTGAAAAAACATTCACATAAACAAACAACATTTCCAGCCTGGAAGAAACATTATTTCCTTGGAAAACAAACTCTTACAGAGGCTAAGACTAGCCCTTTCCTAAGTATGAACTAGAGAAAATGACCAAAATGAATGAATTTGTGTACTATTCATAAAGTAAAAAATATATAAAATATTATTTATTTGAAATTCCAAACGTACCTTCTCTACATTTTTATTTTTGGTTTTTGTTATTTGGTTATTTTTATGTAGCAAATTTTCACATCTGCTTTTTACTATTTCAGCTGCTTCTTGCAACTTTTGTACCTGAAAATAAAGTATTAGAGAAACATATTATTTTTAGAATCATAACATGAGATAAAAATCTAAAATTTAAAATTTCATTTTAAACAAGTCATTATTTTCCTATCAATATCCTTGACTGGTTCATCTAATGTTATTACTTCTTTAAATATGGAATCACTCAGTGCTCTACTCTAACCCACAATCTTTGTCTGATTTACCTGTCTTCTCTCATCAATACTTCTAAACTCTCCACTTGAGCTTTGAAGACTACAAAGATTTTCATTTGCAGATCAATGTCACTTCAAAGAATCAGTCTCTGGTCCAAACTAGCTTCCATTTAAATTATTTTTCCCACCAAATCAAAATCTGCTAAAAAAAAAAAAAAAAATTCTAGGCCCTGCACCCAGAATATGGTCACTCAACCACAGTATTCCTGCTGAGGGATTAAACCCAAATAACCAGCTGGAAGACCCTGATGAATAACAAGTCCCACAGTCCACCACAACCTCCATTCCTACCTCAGACCTGGATGACTGAAATATTCTAACTGGATGTCTCAACTTAATTTTCCCATCTAATCCATCGAGATGCAGCCCCTTCCTACTTGCCCACACTTTGGCCCCCTTAAGCTTTCATCCTTAGTTCATTCTTTTTTTTTTTTTTTTTTTTTGAGATGGAGTCTTGCTCTGTTGCCCAGGCTGGGAGCACATTGGTGCAGTCTCGGCTCACTGCAACCTCCACCTCCTGGATTCAAGCAATTCTCCTGCCTCAGCCTCCTGAATAGCTGAGACTACAGGTGCATGTCACCACACCTGGCTAATTTTTGTATTTTTAGTAGAGACAGGGTTTCACCATGGTGGCCAGGCTAGTCTCGAACTCCTGACTTCAAATGATCCGCCCACCTCAGCCTCCCAGTGGATTACAGGTGTACGCCACTACACCCAGCCAGTTCATTATTCTTTAATTCAAACTCTCTCTGACCAGTGTGTTAACCATCATGCAAGGACCTGCATAAGTCCCATCTTATGAAGTTTTTTCTTGAATACTACATTTCCAAAAAAATAAAGGTTTTCTATAAATTACCATTGAACACATGGTCTATTTCATATATATTGTCATATGTTCTTTTCTTGGTCTTTCATGTGAATAATCTGAATTATACTTTATTTCTTGAGAAAGGAGGCATAATGAACTTTAATGACCCTAGAAGGGAGTCATTAATCTAAATCAATACCATTAAATACACATGATGACAAACAAATATAACCAAGATTAACAAGAATACATTAAGGGTCACATTATACCGATGTAATTCATTTTAAATCTACTTTTAGGAATATCCAGTATATCCATATGCAGTGTTTGAATCAGGAATCAGCAGAATCATCTATTTATAAAGATGTGTGGGACCTTAAGAAATATTTGAGACACACCATATTATAACCCACAATGATAGCCCCACCTCTCTTCAGTTCTATTTATTTAGATTACAAAGAAATAGTGTTTTAAATTGTCTACCAATTTTAGTAAACACTAAAATAAATGCAGTAGTCACCTGAGTTTTATACATTTCAATAAGGGTTTTCTGTTTTTTTTCTACTTCTTGCAATTCTGAGAGTTCATTTTCAACAGATACAACTTCATCCTTCAAAGCAGCAAGTGTAGTCTAGCAAAAAAGATATAGATTTTATAAGTCATTAGAATACATTTATACTCCAGTGCTACAGAATTATTATAAAAACATAACTCATGTATTAACAAAGTTGATAAAATAATTATTTTTTATTTCATGCAATACCATCTAAAATTTAGGAATTTCACAAAGCTAGTGACTAATAATTATGAACATCCTTATTAAGATTTACACAGGACATATTATTTTTAAAACTTTCTAAATTTACTGACAAAAAAACTTGGAAATGTGCCTAGATATGAAAAATCAATAGAATACAGAGGTTACTGGAAAAGAAAAATACACAAAAATTATACTTAATACATGATAAAGGTTAGATTTTTAAATCAATGGAGGAAACATGGACAACTAAATAAATGACAATAAGACAACTGTTTAACTATTAGGAAAAAAACAGGTTAACTACCTGCCTCAGCCCAACACTAAAGAAGCATCAAATGAATTAAATAAAAACTTTAAAAATTTTCAGACAATTCAGATAAAACTGTATTTCATTTCAGGATAGCAAAAGTCCTAAAGAGCATAAAATTAAAAGAAGATATGTAGAAATGTAAAAGTCTGAGATTTTATCTTCCTTGCAAGCTTACTAGTTAGTCTACTGCAATTTCATGGATGCTAACAGAAGGTACAAGATTCCTAGGTCAGAGACAGGGGACTTATTACTCACAGCAATAAGAGTAGCAAGACTGTCAGCATTTGTATCAGTTTGCTGAGCCCCAGTTCCCACAGAGCAACCCAGAGGCCAGATGGCAACTGTATATGCAGTCAAATGCATTACAGAAGAACAAACCTGAGTTTAGGGAACCCAAATTTCTTATAGCAGGCAGTGAGCATGCCTACCCATACTCCTAAGGGAGACACGGTTACCATATTCCAAGGATATCTACTATACAAACATCCTTCAAAAGACAGTCTACATGGACAATATCTTTGATTACAAGATGTGCAGAGCTGTGAGAGCACTCTCAAGAGAAGCCATTTAAAAAAATGTGTGTGCGTGTATCTCTCTCCAAAATTTCACAGCTTTCCAATACAGTTTAAATGGCAAACAAAATATGAAAAAGTATTAGCAAATGACAAATTTGATGTCTTGTCAAATAACATTTGTCATTAGAAAAATAAAACAAATATAAGATTAATATCCTTAATATAGTTATTATATATTAATTAGGACAAAAGACAAATATAAAAAATAATGAGTAGGTAATTCAAAAAGGCAGAAATGTGAATGATTGATGAATACATGAGCCAATATGTTCACTAGTTACTTTTTAAAATGCTGCAGGCACTGAAGGTTCTATTAGTGAACAAAACAGACGACATTCCCTTCCTCCATGAAGCTTACATACTGGAGGGGCAGACAGACAAAAAATAAGAACAAGCAGTAAAATACATCAAACACAAAAGCAGCTAGGAATGACATGTGGGCGAAGGCCTCCTGAGAAAGAGACTTTTGAGTAAAACTGATAGGAAGTGTGTCTGTTTAAGGGAAAAAGACAACAGCGGGAGGCGGCCTAGCAAGTTAGGGGAAAACAACAAGAAAGCCAGTGAGGTAGAAATAGAGAAAAAAGGGGAAGAGTGGAAGGAGATGAGAGTGGAAGAAGAAGAGAGGTAATAGAAAATGAGATGGTATAATGCCTTGTAGGTATTTACGAACCAAGATATCTCTGGGGGGTTCTGAGCAGGGCAGTGACACGATCTGACTAAATTTTTTTTTTTTTTACTTTTTAATTTGTATTTATTAATTTATTTTTGAAACAGGGTGTCAGGCCCAAGCTGGAGGGCAATAGTGTAATCATGGTTCACTGCAGCCTCAGCCTCTCCGGCCCAAGCGATCCTCCCACCTCAGCCTCCCAAGTAGCTGAGAGGCGCACACCACCACACCTGGCTAATTTTCAAAAATTGTTTGTAGACACGAGGTCTCAGTATGTTGCCCAGAGTGAGCTCAAACTTCTGAGCTGAGGCGATCCTCCCACATTGCCTTCCTGAAGTTGCAGGATGACAGGCATGAGCCACCGTGCCCAGGCAGTCAATGACCTTCAGTGAAGGACACGTCAGAACTCAGCACCTGGAATCACTATGAGGGCTCTTTGGAATTTTCTTTTCTTTTCTTTTTGAGGCAGTCTCACTCTGTTGCCCAGGTTGGAGAGCAGTAGTGTGATCTGGGTTCACTGCAGCCTCTGCCTCCTGGGTTCAAGCGATTCTCCTGCCTCAGCCTCCCCAGTAACTGGGATTACAGGTGCCCGCCACCATGCCCAGTTAATTTTTGTATTTTTAGTAGAGACAGGGTTTCACCATGTTGACCAGGCTGGTCTTCAAACTGAGCTCAAGTGATCCTCCCACCTTGGCCTCCCAAAGTGCTGGGATTACAGCGTGAGACACCACACCCAGCTGACTACATTTTTATAGAAACAACTCTACTGCTAATACTGAATGCTGCCTGCAGGGGCCAGGGCTGAAGCAAGGAGAATGATCAGGAGGTCACAGTAACGATGAGAGATGATGGAGGCTTGAATCAGGATAATGACAGTGGTGCTGGTGAGAAGTGGTCAAATTTTGAATATACTTGAGGTGGATTTGATGACAGACTGGAAGCAGCGTATGAGAGAAATGATGATTTTCCATTAACTGGGATGAGGAAAACTGTAGGATTTACTATTTTGGGAAACATCAAGAGCTCCATTTTGGACATGACAACTTTTAGACACCTATTAAATATTGACATGGAGATGTCAATCAGGCAGCAGAATATATGTCTGGAATTCAGAGACTAGGTCTAGATTAGAGGTATAAATTTGAAAGCCTCGAGCACATAGATGGTATGTAAAGCCACAAGAATAAATGAGATTATTTATAAAATTTGGAGAGATTTGTTTTAAAATTAGCACTTTTAATTACCTAGTATTGGAAAATGTATAGGGACTATTTTACTTATAGTAGACACATTTAATTTGGAAATATAGAACAATATTAAAAATGAGTCTCTCTTTTGACCATACAGTTAAATATATCCTAAGAAAACAGATAAGCAAAAAAGACTCAAAGAAATTATGTTTTTATTTACAATAGTAAAAAACTGGAAGTAGCTATTGGAAGTAGTGTATATATTACATATAAAATAAAAAATTATATATATGCTAAAATATTAACTCCAGTTATCTTTCAGTTATGAGATTACAGGTGATTTAAATTTTTTTCCTTTTGTGCTTTTCTGTTTTTCTAACTTTCTATTAGAAACAAATACAACTTTTTAACCTTCCAAATAAACTTTCTGTTGTGTTTAATAGAGGAGGTTACTCGGCCTTGAAAGCAGTACTCACAGTTTATTTTTCATTTGCAACTTTAAAATCTAAAACTATTCTAAAGTAATTAAAAGTAATAAAACACAAACATCTAGGCTGCAAAAAAAACTGCATTTACTCTGCAAATAACATGTGCCAAACTTATTTAAATGTTTTCCTTAAAAATCCAGAAAATAATGCATTAAAAATACATTTCTTAACTATTAATAGAATATGCTAAGATACAAATTTAACTTTATGACTTTTATAGTCTATATAATTTAAAATTAATTCATCATTTTATCAAAAACTAGTTTATAATATCTTTCTAATCCTTTCTCTCTGAAGGATTTCAAGAAAATAAGAAAATAAACATAATAAAATTGCTTTCTCTTTCCAAATAGAGCAATTTAAGCATTCATTCAATAAATATTCATTGAGAGTTAAGTATATGTCACACTTTCCCTGGGCAACCTGTATGTACACAAAGATAGGAGTTTACAAGGAGAGATTCATTGAGAAGACTTTGGGAGGAAGTAGCATTTGAGCTAAAATTTAAAGGAAAGGTAGGATTTAGATACTGAGAAAAATGGCATTCCAATGTGTAAGAACAGGAGAACTATAGGAGTAGATGCAGAAAACATAAAACAATTGCAGAAAATGAGTATTCATATTTGGCTACAGCTCAGAATAACTAGAAGACTACATTCCCTAGTCTCCCTTGCAGCTAGGCAGGGGTCAAGTGCCTAAGTAAGTAAAAGAATCAAGTCATATGGGAATTTTGGGGAGGCTCCTTAAAGGGGAGGAAATTTTTTAAAAAGGGAGGTAATGCATCTTTTTTTCCTCCATCTTGTTGCTTGAAACTTGACTATAATGGCTGAAGCTCCAGCCTCTATTCTAGATCATGAGAATGAGGGTCATGACCTAGGGATGGCAGAACAGAAAGCTAAAAAGCTAAAGAGCCACATCAGCTTTGAAGTGCCAACTCTGTACTTCTTCTACGTAATAAACATACATCTCTATCTTACTTAAGCCATTTAATTTGGATTTTGTTATATATGGTGAAGTTGAATCTTAACTAAGACTTGCTGAAATATAAAAGAAACTTCCCTAGTGCTGCTAGTGTATTTTGTTTTCTGGAATTTTCCAATACAATTTCTGGCAAACTTTACATAACTTAAAATGTGAGACAAATCAAATTTCTAATTATAAAATATGAACAATATTGTGTCTAGTATTTTTTCCTGTCTTCTTCCAAATTCTATTCTGGCTCTGCCACTAATCTAGTTGTATGATCCTGGCCAAGTTATTTAATCTCTCTGAGCTTCAAGGTATTCATCCATAATTAAGAAAAGTATCTTTACGATAGTATTGACATGAGAATTAGAAGTAAAAAAAGTAAAGTACTTATCAAGTGCCTCCTACATTAATGGTAATTGATAAATAGTAGCCATTACGGTTGCTACTCTCCAGAGTCATTTACTAAATGACTGATGTATTCTAGGCACAGTACTAGGCACTAGAAGTAATGGAAGGATAAAACAATCCCTGGCCCTGGTATGGATGGATGGAGGGAAGAAAAGCCCTCAGAGGGAGACAAATTATACAAACAAGTAAGTGTAATGAAATTCTACCTGCAAAATTAATATAGAGAGAATAAAACAGAATGAAAAATGGGAAGATTAGTAATGTGCCCTATCAGAGAGAATTTCCTAGGTTTAACTTCTGCTGGAGAACTAAACACATTGTAAAATCTCCCTTCATTCCCAAGACCAAACTATTATAAAGGAAAAAGAATGTTTGTAAGTCAACTTAATAAAAATAACAGACCAGGGGCTATCAAAGGACAAAATATTGTTAATGCTTCTGGAAAACTGATGACTGACTAATGAATCAGGAGTGGATTTAGCTAACGAGGAAGTTCATCTATCTGTAGAATCTAGAGAGGCACAGGGCTAAAGGCAAGAGTGAGACCTGGGTTTGAAAAGGATTAATTCAAAGTCTGTGACTAGAACAGCTAACTACCACTACCCTCCACCCCCTGCTCACACACTCAAGGCAGAACACCTGGAACTAGGAGTTTACTTCCCAAAAAACAAAGATAAGAAAAGTCCTTCTCTAAAGAAATTGAATGAACTGTTTGGGAATAACAGAGGGACGGTGCTGGCGACCCAGAGCAAAGACGCATGTATTTTGGCATTTTTAGGAGCCACCAGTAAACTGCTAGTTTCCCAACAGTTGAGAAAAGTGAAGTGAAACCAATCTAGTGGCAAGAACCATCCACATATCCATTTAGTTTTCTCCTGTTTCGTTAGTCTTTTTATTGTCTCATTTGTAAATTTTTAAATGTCACCAGACTTTCGGAAAAAGAGTATCACGAGAGAGATCTAAAATTTTTTTATATTAAAAAAAGGAAGAAAAAAATTGGGTTGGGCACAGTGGCTCACACCTGTAATCCCAGTACTTTGGGAGGACAAGGTGGGAGGATCGCTTGAGCCCAGGAGTTCAAAAGCCCAGGAGCCTAGGCAGCATAGTGAGACCCCACCTACACACACACACACACACACACACACACACACACACACACACATACACATACACATACACACACATTCACACACACAAATTAGCTATGGGCTGTGGTCCCAGCTACTTGGGAGGCTGAAGCGGGAGATTGCTTGAGCCTGGGAGGTCAAGGCTGCAGTGAGTTCTGATCGTGCCACTGCACTCCAGCATCAGCAACAGAGCAAGACTCTGTCTCAAAAAAAAAAAGTGCCAATTGGAAACAATAAATTGAAACACTGAAAAAAAAAATGAAAAAATTCTTATAGGTATTTTCAGATATTTGATGAAATGAACACTTGGGGAATACTTTTTAAAATTCTTGAAAATTAAACTTTTAAACGAAGGATTAGGAGATAAAAACCAAAGAAATCTGCCCCCAAAATTGAACAAAACCCAGAAATTGAAGACAGAGTATCAATCTAGGAGGTCCAACAAATCAATAATACAATCAGCAGTACACCCAGACAGAGAGACTGGAGAAAATAGAAAGGGGCAGGAGAGAGAGCATTACCAAAGAAATAATATAACAGAATTTTCCAGAGGTAAAGGACATGAGTCTTTGGATTTACAAGGTCTACAAAGTACTTAGCACAAAGGACTGGAAGACACAACTAGATGTGTGTGAAGTTTCAAAACACCAAGGATAAGGGGAATTTCTTGAAAATTTCAAGAAAAATTAAAAATGTCACTACAGAGGAACAAGTATCAGAATGGTGGCAGATTTTCTCTCCTAGCAACTCTGACTTATGGAAAACCATGGAGCAAAGCCTTCAAAGTTCTCAGTAAAAATTACTTTCAATCTAGGTTGCTATACCCAGCTGAAACCATTAATCATAATGAGGACAGAATAAAGGCATTTTTAGACATGTAAGACTATTTTAATGTTTACTTCTAATTTTCTCTGTCTTAAGGGAATATTAGTTGCAGATATATTCCAGTAAAAAGAAAAGGAAACACGATGTGGGTTCAAGGAAACATTGGAACCAGGGTAGCAGTCAAGAAAATTCCAGCATGGCATCTAGGCAGCAGGCCTAGAGACCAACCCATTCAGATTGAAATAAGAAGACAGAAGGCCCAAAGTAGAAGAAATCTGGGGAAAATAGGTTCTTCAGAGAATAGAGATAGGATGAAGAATTTCAAGAAGGGAAAAAAAAAAACAAAACAACAACAAAAACAAAAACAAGACAATGATAAGGGCAAAGAGTACAACAAGCAGGGTTTTTGGAAACTCCAGGAAAAATTTAAAAGTTGTACAAGAAAAAAACATTTATAAACATATTACTTGACTGTGTAGTGAAAGAGCAATTATAAGTCATTGCTATTAATGTTTAGAATCAATCTATAAAAAGAGCACTTCAGGTTATATAACAAATTGTCAATTTAACAACACTGGCAAAGTGAACGTGGGGAGAACAGACAAAGAACAGAAAATATCCTTATTTTCCAAATAAAAGGTGAAGATATATAATCTGTCCTATGTTTCACATTTCTGTCAAGTGAACCTCATCTTAGTATTGGTAAGCAGGGGAATGATGTATAACAAAGAAGCAACTTTTGTTCAGATGCCATTTTTTCTAGCTCATTAATTGTCTGAACCATGTAAAAAACATCAGCTGAATACAAAGTGCACAAACACAGCTGAACACGGCAAGCCACAGAGGTACACAGCACTCTACATAAAGCCCATATACTCCAAAATACACTAGCAGCACTAGGGAAGTTTCTCCTCCTCTTTCTTCTCTTTGATCATGAGCCCTATCTTGGAAGTGCTTATTGTATATTGCCCTTAACATTCATATCTTATGTCCATAAAAACCTTAACTCTTTTAGCTTCCTCTATCAAACTACCTTCACTTATTTTTTTGAAAGTATAAAGTTATATGTTTGTTGTATTATTTACTAGGAATTTAACATGTCTTTTAGTTGTATTAGTATTTATATTATCAATTATGTTAGTGCTCGACTAATTAGAAGGTTAATATAATTGACTAAATTTGATAAACCAAGGAGTATAATATATAATTTACAGATATGCAGATAACTATCAGAAGAATAAAAATAGAAATTGTTTAGAAATTTAAAACTAGCTCCTCAAAGAGTTACAAATTAAAACCATAGATAACATTTTTACCTGCCAAATTAGCAAACACTACAAATCAAAAACACATTTTATTTCCTGTGCTGATGAGGTATAGAGAACTAATGGCAGTATGAGTAATAAAATACCTTTTCAGAAGAAATGTAGCAAAGCATATCAAGAACAATCAAAATGTTCATATTCTTTGACTCAGTAATTCTACATGGGAATCTAAGCTAAAGACAATACAACAAAAAGTTTATGTATGAAAATGTTCATCAGAGCATTATTATTATTAAATGTTAAAAACATTGGGAATAACCTGAATGTCCAACAAATAGGGAATCACCTAACACTTCTACGTTGACTATATATTACAAAGTAATTTAAAAGGATGCTTATAAAGAATTTATATGTTATATACATAAATCTGTTTCCATTTTAAAGTGAACAAAGCAAGATATTATTTTAATAACAACTACGAAAAAACAGAAATATTACAAAATATAGTTATCTCCAAGGAATGTGAGGTCAATGATCACTCAGTTCTTTTCTTTTTATATTTCTATAGTTTCCAGTTTTACTGTAATGAGTATATATTCTTCACTCAAAAGATAATACTGAATAAATTGTCAGAAGTTGGAAGAACTATGTTCACTGAATAACTGAACTTCTTTTATTAAGAAAACATGAGTAGTTCATATTGCTTGAAGAACCATAAAGGACTTACAAAATTTCTTGAAGGAAAAAATTCTAATTCAGAATATCACAATGTCACTGCTAAAAAAAAATGGTATTAAGGTACACTGCAATTTTGATTTTTTAAAATCTTTCTTAACAAAAAGTAGCCGAAATAAGTGCATTACTAAATACATTAAAGGTGAGAAAAGAAGACCTTGCTACTTCCTATAACGTATATCACTTAGATTCCTATTTCCTCCACTCACTCTGAATGACCACAGCCAACAGGACTGGCAATTTCAAGTCCTGCATTTGAAACCAATCGAGTCTTTCCACCTGGAACAAAACAGACTTGAGATTTGTGAGCCTAGCTTTGTCCCATTGGTCTAAAGGAGACTGAAACTCAACATCAAGATGAGAAAAGTTACAACTTTGTAAACCTACAAAGGGAAAGAATCTTTTTGGCTTAGGCAATCTGTTGCCTTCTGTAATATATAATACACAAGCTTTAATTACTATACACTGTACTGCATAACACTATGTATCTCCCACAAAGACAGATCAGTACGTAGCAAACAGATTGGCTCCTGAGAAAATATGCTAAGACCTACAATGGATAAAATTCTCTTTTCAGGCCACAACATTTTAGACCTACATAGAAAGAAGGGTTTAGAAAGGGTAAAAGAGATTTGGATGTATCTCAAGTTTCCATCAGAAAAATAATCTTTTAAAATAACAATTCAGAACCTTAAAGCCTGGAATGCTATCATTTTATTAAAATAATTTCCTTTGGTGATGATTTTTAAATTGTGTATATTTTTTCTCATAAACATACTCATTTTTAAAAACCCACTGCAAGCTTTATATAATGCATAATTCTAAACAGCCAGTAATTATGTTTCCAAGAAACAAGTGCATTTCTAATGCAAAACAAACAAAGAAAAACAAACCTTAAATCAAGAAAAAAAAAAGCCTTAGACCTTCACTTCTCTTTTAATATTAAAGATCTTTTCTCTCAAGGACCACAGAATATATCTGCAATATCTCTTAGGAATTTAACATGTCTTAAGGACATCTTAATACATAGAATAAATGTATTATCATTTAGTTAATTCTAAATATCATTTAGTTAATTCTAAATAGAATTAAACTGTTATAAATACAACAAAACAATGTTAGATGCTTATATTACAAGTTTCTCTAAAATGTACTCTATGCTACTAATATATTATTTATCCTGTGCACATAAACTTTATTTCATGGTTTTAAAAGGTTCTTTTCTGTCTTCTATTTTCTGTCCTCTAAAAGTATTATTATGGAAGTGAAAATGATGCCATCATCTTTCAAGTTCCATCTGGTTGTATGTATCTCTGGTTGACTGAGAACTCAAATATCTTTTTTTCTCAGAAAATTCAAAAGCTTCTCCCCTGTCTCTCCTCTGGTACCTATGGAAAGCAATTACCCCTTGGATATGAGTAAGTTGGAAAATTCTTTCTGGTTATGAAGCAGCCAAGAACATACTTTCTGGTTTCAAACAGACCAGGCCTGAGGTTATATCCTATTGTAACCATGACATCTAGAAATAATCTTATGTACTAAAGTTAATGTAATTTGGATGATTCATTTAACTGCAAAAATGCATAGTAGTTTATTTTAAAAGTTGAGGCAAAGAGACAGTCAACTTCATAAATATTATTTAGTACTGCTGAAAACATAATATCCTGACAAGCATAGAAGACAGAATTATACAAGAGCACTGCTCTAAACATACTCTTTCTTCAAGCTATTTCTACTAAGTAGACTATGGTCATTACACAATACATGCCTGCTCAAACACTCATACATAGTACCTTTAATTTTGTATTCTCAAGATTCAGAGTTTCATTTTCATATTCAATTGAGTGAACTTTTCTAAGAATTTCTTCACATGAATTTTTTCCATGGTCTTCCATTTTCTTCAGATCTTCCAAAAGATTAATGATTTGCCTTTATAAAATCAATGACACATTTTATAAAAGTCATAAAAATTTTTATTCAAATAACACATTTTAAGTGTGTTTCTGAAATCACTTTGGCCGGGTGCATCGTTTCAAATAGGGAATATACAAAAAATAAATAGAACTCATAGAACAAGAAAAATAAGAAGAAGTAATCTAAAAGGGTACAACCAAAGTAACTCTGATTAGAAACAATTGCCCACTGATGATACCAACAAAAAATTATACAACATGCTCTTTGCTATTCAATAAAACTTCTAAACTATTATCCACAAGTATGCACATCTCTCTCTTCCTGTCATTCATACACATGCACACATATATACACAATTTTAGGGACAAGGTTAAAGAAAAGAATTAAGTGAGGCAATAAAACTAAACTTTAGAAATGAATTATATATGGTAGTTTTCAATGACAAAACTGAAGACACAGAAAACACTTAAAATCAAATATTCAGGGTTCATTATAGTGTTATCAGTAATACATTTCAAATAATAAAATATATGTATTTTTATTTTTCATTTTCTTTGTTATGCATTTAAGTCACTTTAAGGAACAATCATTTTTACGATTTTCAAAGCAGTTATTATAAACTTTTAGATATATTTTCACACATTCTTGTTTAAAAGAGAAACATCACCTCCATTTAAGAAAAAGTAAATATTAACATTTACTACAAATAATAGATGGCATACTGAAATATTGAATGATAATCTACAAGTTTAAAATTTCAAAATGTGGGCCAGGCGTGGTGGCTCACGCCTGTAATCCCAGCACTTTGGGAGGCCGAGGCAGGCGGATCACAAGGTCAGGAGATCGAGACCATCCTGACCAACATGGTGAAACCCTGTCTCTACTAAAAATACAAAAAAAAACAGCTGGGCTTGGTGGTGCATGCCTGTAGTCCCAGCTACTAGGGAGGCTGAAACAGGAAAATCACTTGAACCCAGGAGGCGGAGGTTGCAGTGAGCTGAGATTGCACCACTGCACTCCAGCCTGGCAACAAAGTGAGACTCCATCTCAAAAAAAAAAAAAAAATTAAAAATGTGAACACCAATTCACTTTTAATGAGCAATCATTTTAATTATTTTTAATAATAGAGTAAGAAAACTTTATTGAATTATAAATAGCAAAAATATCAAATCATATAGGTAGCACCTTTACCATATGTAATCTAAAAAAAATCAAAATACAAACAACTCAAAGAATTTTTTAAAAAGTGAAAACTCTTACTAAATAATAAAATATTCTAAATTTTTTCTTACTTTTTCATTGTTTCAATCTGTACTTCCAATTCGGTTTTTTCTATCACAATTTTCTCATAATGACTTTTCCAGGCATTGGAAGCTGAAATTGTTTCAGACAACTTGGCTTCCTAAAAAATACATAAAAGTATTCATACTATAATTTTAAAACATTTTTGTTTTGTTCAGATCTCTAAACACAAATACATTATAAACAGGGAAGCAATCTTCCAAAAAGTATGGAACTTCAAATATAGAAAACTATACATGCATGTTTATAGCAGTGCAATTCATAATTGCAAAAATATGGAACCAGCCTAAATGCCCACCAACCAATGAGTGGATAAAGAAAATATGGTATATATCCATCATGGAATACTACTCAGCCATTAAAAGGAACATCTGCAGCAACCTGGATGAAGTTGGAGACAGCTATTATAAGTGAAGTAACTCAGGAATGGAAAACCAAATATCGTATGTTCTCACTCATAAGTGGGAGCTAAGCTATGAAAATGCAAAAGCATAAGATTGATATAAAGGACTTTAGGAACTAGGGAGAAGGGAGGGAGGGAGGTGAGGGGTAAAAGACTACACATTGGCTACAGTGTACAGTGCTCGGGTGACAGGTGCACCAAAATGTCAGAAATAACCACTAAAGAAGTTGTCCAGGTAACCAGAAACGACCTGTCCCCTAAAAACTATTGAAATAAATAAAGTCACTGTACAACTTTGAATAGAAAAATTGTAAAGTAAATATCTATATTGCTATTATTTCATATACACATAGTGGAAGTTTCAACTTAAATTTTAAAAGATGTTGCAACTATTTTTAAACAATATTTCATAATTAAGATAATTTCTTTTCTTTTTACTGAACTTTCCATTTTACTTTTTTTTTTTTTTGCCCTGGCTGAAGTGCAGTGGCACGGTCATGATGGTTCACTGCAGCCTCCAACTCCTGAGTGCAAGGGATCCTCCTGCCTCAGCCTCCCTAGTAGCTAGGGCTACAAATGTCTGCCAACCACAGCCACCACATATATACACATGCATATATAAAATATATCTAGATACATATGTATATACTATATATATATGTTATACATATATATTGATATATATAACTACTCTATATATATGGTGTATATACTATATACTGTATATATATAGTAGAGACAGCATCTTGTTATGTTGCCCAGGCTGGTCTTGAATTAATTTCATGCTCTATAGAGAGAAGATGGTAACAAACACATAAGCATCAGAGGAGAAAGCCCCTGTGATATACACAGAAACTATCCCCAATTCCACAGCTCCATAACATTTGGTGATGTACCTTACTTGTCTTTGCTATAATGACGCCAAGATCTATTTTGTAGAGGTCACCCCATCAGCCTTCAAACACTGCTACCGTCCACACAGAGATACAAGTGGTAGTAGTGGCTTATTCATTTTGAATGTGAACTCCCATGAGGTAGGGATTTTTATCTGCTTTTGTTCATGGCTATATTTCTAGGGCCTTGATAGTGCCTGGAGCACAGCAAACACTCAATAAATAGCTCAAATAATTCTCTGCAGATCCACCTAAAGAGCTGTAGCCACTGTGCCTCCGCTCTACATTCTACATAAAAACACACTGGAAGGCCACAATGCCAGTAATTACAAATCAAAAAGCTTAGAAACAGTAATGACAACAATTAACATTTATTGGGTACTTCTTTCTTTCATCATTCATCCATTTACTGAGCAAGTATTTACTGAGCATGTATTACGTGCAAGACTTTTTTGTTTAAATTTTTTCACAGGAATATTTTGATATATTGAAGACTAGTATTGTTTTCATATTTTGTATAAAATAAGCTTTAATATAAATTATGAAGTATAAGTTTATAATATAAATTAAGATATTTAGAAGTTTTATCAGTAAGAAAAGAATTTATATGTTAGCAATATAATTATTACCTACTTCATCAGTATGGCATTCCTAGATGTTGAAACTAGTCAGTGATGGAATCACCTTCCTAGAGATTTTTTGAGTTGGCCTACCTTTTCTCTTTGCTTTAGAGAAATGGCACATCTAAGCCACGAGAAGCAAAATTAGGATCTAATTTTCAAAGAAGGAAATGGGTTAATTCTTCAGTGTGCAGAATTATAGAGCATTTAACATCCTGGCCCCTAGGTACTAAAAGTCAGAATCAGTGGTCTCTCGTACTTTCCAAATCCCCATTTCTCCTTTCATCTCTCCTTATAACATGCAGATAAAGCAAAATACCCCTTTTCACCTTTCCTTCCACTGCATTGAAACTGCATGTGAATTAGTAACTAGTGACCTTCTAATTACCAAAGACCACAGACGTTTACAAATCCTCCTTGTCCTTGATCTGTCTCTGTAGTCCTTGGCAAAATTTACGCATTGTGTAGATATGTGATAACATTTTGTTAAACTATTATTTAGCTCTTATTGCTGAACTGTTCATATTTTAGACTTAAGGTACTGTTTTAAATAATGGTACCCTTACCTTAGGTGAATAGGATAGCAAGCTCCTGCCTTCTGAGACTTATACTCAAGTAGAAGGAAACAGTTAAAAATAAAACAAAACACAACAGCAGTGATAAATGAAAAAATAAATGATATAGTTTCAGATTATAGTGAATGCTATGAAAAAAATTAAGACATTGATATGATTGTTTTAGAACTACTTCAAAAGAAATGGTCAAGAAAGGCCTCTCTGAAGAGATGTCAATTGAAAAGATACCTGAATGATTAAAAAAAGAAAGAGCTATTGTGAGCCAGGGAAGAATATTAAAGCCAGATGCAACAACAAACAAGAAAAACAACAAAACAAAGAAAAAAACTTCATGCATTACAGCAACAGAAAGGAGGACAATGCAAAAATATATTTTCTCATTTATCTCTCCCTACAAACACATGAGATAGGGAGTATTATGATGCCCTATTTTATACATGAGGAAATTGAAGAGGTTAAGTTCCTTATCCCAAGTCACAAGGTTAACAAAATACTACTTTGTTTGCCATAAACTTTTTATACAAGTCTGTTTTCATTTCTAAAAGCCTCTAATAATTCTATAAGCCTTAACATAAGTTCTTAAGAGGCAGGATATCAGTGAGACTTTTTTAAAAAAATTATTAATTAGTAATTGAATAAATATAATAATTTATCAAAAACAACAAAGCACTAAGGCCATTTTCAAATTTGTACTATACCAAAGATATATTTTACTTGGTGTGTTTATGTCAGCACATGGTTTTAAATGTATTACAGAGATTAAATTAGGTTAATTACTGAATAAAGTCATAGGGTCTAATAACATAAATCAGCATTTCTCAAACTAGTGTTCCTCAGAACCAGTTCCAAGAGTTGCTTTGTGCATAAAAGACTAGCTCTGTGGTTAAAAAAGTGTGGGAAACTCTTAGTTCAATACCCTTCATTCCACTGTTTCTGAAAGCCTTCTCAGAACCTTTAATTTGCTAACATAGACCACAATGTCCCAAGGGGAAATATGTATGAAGTATTACCCTTAGTTAGTTGGCCAATAGAACCTTTTTTTGTGTGTGGAGGCGGGGGGGACACACTTAATATTTCCTTTAAGTAAAGTTCCCAAGGAAATGCTGATATATTTCAATATGAAAATTTGACATTTTATGTAATATTTCAAAGTAAAAGATTAAAGCAAAAAGTGTAAGTTTTTTCTGGTATTAACAGCATTAAGAAAAGAATAAAATTACTATATTAAGCATCATGATATTAATTATATAAACTACGTACATAATAGATCTTTTAATTTTAAAAAGAATGCATTTACATACCTGATCTCTAATTTGGGAAGTAAGCTTTTCAATAGCTCCTGTAAAATGGTCAAGCCTTTGTTTGTAAACTTTAGATGCCTTTTTTAAAGCTACAGTTTTTTGCCTACTTGCTTCTTTCATCACTATAGCCTCATTCTTATTCATTCTTGATTGCAGGTTCCACTTGGCTATCTTGGTTTCTAAGCTCTAAAAAAAAAATTAGCAACAATTAAATTATTTCAGAACTCCAATGTTTATGTAAACATTGTAAAAATATGTACATAACTGATATGGTTTGTGTATTACTCCATTCTCACACTGCCATAAAGAAATACCCTAGACTGAGTAATTTATAAAGGAAAGAAGTTTAATTGACTCACAGTTCCACACGGCTGGGAAGATCTCAGGAAACTTACAATCATTGTAGAAGGCAGAGGAAGAAAGGACCTTCTTCACATGGCGACAGGAGACAGAAGAGTGAGGAGCAAAGGGGGAAGAGCCCCTTATAAAACCATCAGGTCTCACGAGAACTCACTCATTATCATGAGAACAGCATGGGGAAAACCACCCCCATGATCCAATCACCTCCCACCAGGTCTCTCCCTAGACATGTGGAGATTATAAGGATTACAATTCAAAATGAGATTTGGGTGGGGCAGAGCCAAACCATAGCATTCTGCCCCTTGCCCCTCCTAAATCTCATGTCTTCACATTTCAAAACACAATCATGCCTTTCCAACAGTCCTCCAAAGTCTTACTTCATTCCAGCATTAACCCAAAAGCCCAAGTCTAAAGTTTCATCTGAGACAAGGCAAGTCCCTTCTGCCTAGGAGCCAGTAAAATAAAAAGCAAGTTAATTACTTCCAAGAAACAATGGGGGCACAGGTATTAGGTAAATGTTCCCATTCCAAATGAAATAAATTGGCCAAAAAAAAGGGGGCTACAGGACCCATGCAAGTCCAAAATCCAGCAGGGCAGTCATTAAATCTTAAATCTCCTAAATAATCTCCCTTGACTCCATGTTTCACATCTAGGTCATGCTGATGCAAGGAGTGGGCTCCCACGGTCTTTGGCAGCTCCAGCCTTATGGCCTGCAGGGTACAGCCCCCTTCCTAGCTGCTTTCCCAGGCTGGCACTGAGTATCTGTGGCTCTTCCAGGCACATGGTGCAAGCTGTCAATGCATCTACCATTCTGGGGTCTGGAGGACTTGTGGCCCTCTTCTCACAGCTCCACTAGGCAGTGCTCCAATGGGACTCTATGTGGGGTCTCCAACCCCATATTTCTCTTCCACACTGCCCCAGCAGAGGTTCCCCATAAGGGCTCCACCCCCGCAGCAAACTTCTGCCTGGACATCCAGGCACTTCCACACATCCCCTGAAATCTAGGCAGAGGTTCCCAAGCCTCAATTCTTGACTTGTGTGCACCCACAGGCCCAACACCACATGGAAGTTGCCAAGGCTTGGGGCATCCACCCTCTGAAGAAATGGCCTGAGCTATGCATTGGCCCCTTTTAGCCACAACTAGAATGCAGGGCACCAAGTCCCAAGACTGTACAAAGCAGCAAGGCTCTGGGCCCAGCCCACAAAACCACTTTTTCCTCCTAGGCCTCTGGGCCAGTGATGGGAGGGACTGCCATGAAGACCTCTGACATACCCCAGAAACATTTTCCCCATTAATATTCGGCTTCTCATTATTTATGCCAATTTATGCAGACCACTTGAATTTCTCCCCAGAAAATGGGTGTTTCTTTTCTATTGCATGGGCAGGCTGCAAATTTTCCAAACTTTTATGCTCTGTTTCCCTTTTAAATGTATGTTCCAATTTCAAACCTTCTCTCTGTGAATGCATAAAACTGAAAGCTTTCAGAATCAACCAGGTCATATCTTGAATGTTTTTCTGATTAGAAATTTCTTCTACCAGATACCCTAAATCATCTCTCTCAAGTTCAAAGTTCACAGATCTCTAGGGCAGTGGCAAAATACCGTCAGTCTCTTTGCTAAAGCATAGCAAGAGTCACCTTTATTCCAGTTCCCAAGAAGTTCCTCATCTCTATCTGAGACCACCTCAGCCAGGACTTCATTGTCCATATCACTATCAGCATTTTGCTCAACACCATTCAACAAGCCTCTAGGAAGTTCCAAGCTCTCCCACATCTTCCTGTCTTCTTCTGAGCTGTCCAAACTGTTCTAACCTCTGCCCATTACTTAGTTCCAAAGTCATTTCCACATTTTTGGGTATCTTTATAGCAATACCCCACTCTCTGCAGTACCAATTAACTGTATTAGTCCATTCTCACGCTGCTATAAAGAAATACCTGAGACTGGGTGATTTACAAAGGGACAAGTTTTAATTGACTCACAGTTCCACATGGCTAGGGAGGCCTCAGGAAACTTCAATCGTGGCAGAAGGTGACAGGGAAGCAGGGACCTTCTTCACATGGCAGCAGGAGAGAAAAGAGTGAAGAGCCAAGGGGGGAAGCCCCTTATAAAACCATCAGATCTCACTCACTATCATGAGAACAGGATGGGGGAAACCACCCCCATGATCCAATCACCTCCCACCAGGTCTCTCCCTAGACAGATGGGGATTCTGAAGATTACAATTCAAGATGAGATTTGGGTAGGGACACAGCCAAACTATATAGGTTTGGATCTGTGTCCCTACCCAAATTTCATGTCAAACTGTAACCCCCAGTGTTGGAGCTGGGGCCTGGTGGGAGGTGGTTGGATCATGGGGGTTGTTTCTTATGAATGGTTTACAGCATCCTCTTGGTGCTGTTCTCCTGATAGTGAGTGAGTTCTTGCGAAATCAGGTTGTTTAAAAGTGTGCAGCACCTCCCTACTTGCTCTCTCTTCCTTTTGCTCCCACCATGTGAGATGCCTCACTCCCCACTTGTCTTCCACCATAATTGTAAGTTTCCTGAGGCCTCCCCAGAAGCTGAGCAGATGCCAGAATCATGCTTCCTATACAGCCTGTGGAACTGTGGGCCAATTAAACTTCTTTTCTTTATAAACTATGCAGTCTCAGGCATTTATAACAATGTTAAAATGGCCTAATACAATAATCCTCTACACATTGGGGACCAATGCTTCTCTATAACCTGTTAAAGGATGCAAATTTAAAACATATAATCCTATATCAAACTAATGCTACCATTATCAAAGATACTATAGTGATTATGGTACAAACACTAACTTCCTTAAAACTTCTGTGATTAACTCAGATAGTTTTTTTAGTTCACATCTAGAATATTATACATCATACTAGTTTTAAAAACTAGTTTAAAAAAACATAATTGAGCTAGAAACAATCCAAATATGTACCAATGTTCAAAGGAATTGGTAGCTCCCCAAATATATTAGGACTCTTCACTTTGAAAGACAAAATCTTAAAGATATGATTATAATCTTTAAGAAGGCTATAGACGAGATAAACAGATTTTTTTACCAAATTTTAATTTACTAGATTTAGGGGGCACGCCCTGACACTAGAGTTACATTAAAGATAATAAAATACTGCTTTATCCAATAAAGTAAATGTATGGAAGTCATTATTCCAAGACCAAACACAGGTTTAGATAAATTAATGACTATAAGAGTCATAAGATAAGTATTATTGAGGACATGTTTCTATCATTGAATGTGATTGTAACTAATTGGCATGACTATCTCTTTGGCATACCTCTTGGTGACATGATGAGAGACGGAATATTAGGCTGGGTAGATGAGGGATGTGATTTAATGTGGTAACTCAGATGCTTTTATTTCAAATTATTTTAAGACTGTGTACTTAAAGTATTTGAGTATTAAGTATCTATTAAAGACTTATGATTTTAATGTTTTTACATTTTCAAAACCTGTGTAATACTGAAATGAATGTGAAATTATCACAGAATAAGTTTTAGTCTCCCATTCCTTAGAAAGCCATTTTAATTTTTAAAAATTGCAAAGGAGTCACAGTACAAGCTAAACCTAGGACTTTTCAACTTAACTCTACAATCATCAAAATCTAAGCTTCTTAACTGCCACTAAAATTGAGATTAAGAAGTATATATTAAGATTTAGATTTGATTTTTTTGAAGAGTGACTAAGTAAACTAAGAGAAGGAGCAATACATTCTTAAATTGTTTTTAAAAAACAAAATCCCATAAAACATAAGTAGCTGGGGAAAAACAGCAGTACAGTAAGTCGACATAAGACAAAGGAACATCCCACAGGAAACACTGTTGTCATTCCTCTAAAAGTCCACACGGTGTCATCATCACACCATGAATAGTTGCTTTCTTAGGTTAAAAAACTTCTAAACATAGAAACTAAATTTTCTTTTTGAACATAGTTCCAGACACGATCTTCTCACCAGATTTATCAAATCCCACACTTATACACTATCAAGGAGTATACTGAAATGACAAATTATTTTTATAATTTAAAAATAACCTCTCATTTGCCAAATGAATGAACACATAAAGCTGATTATCTTCTTTTTCTATCTCCAAAGCAATGTCTGTATACATGTCACATTTTATACAGACAATCATTCTCAGTCTCTTCTGAAAATAAGAAAACGTTCTAATTCTAATTGCTACATAACAAAGATCTAGAAAGAAAAATTGGTGGAAGGCATCTGTGGGATGTTCCCAGAGGTTTATAATGTAAATTTTTAAAAGACTCAATACAACAAATTACTCAACACTAAAAAGTTGAGATTGATGTTGCCAAATTGAGTTCATTGGATTCATACTCAAAAAAAAAACAACACAAAAACGAAACAAAAAAAAACCACTGTCAAACCTAACTCAAAAAGAACTAAATTCTGAACCCCTTAATCACTTAATGCCTTAAATCCAAAAGTGTGTGAGAGAAAATGTAGAAAAATTCATAGACTCAGACAGTTTCTTTTAATCATTTCTTAACAGTAGCATTTTGGTAAAAGAATTTGAATTCAAATTATAGTTGAATTTCATAGCAAAATTTTAGGATTTTAGCCTTATGTTCTTTCTCCAAATTATCATGGTTATAAAAAATAACCACTACGCTTTAAGATAAATTGGGAAAGATGATTATCTAATATGTTCAATCATACATCAGATGTATTCAATCACATGTGTTCTCCTGTATTTACTATGACAGACCACTGCAATACCAAGTCCAGTTCATCTGCAGTGCCCTAGCATACAAAATTTATTATCCCCCATAAACCCGCATTATGTCCCTTTAAAGGAACACACACACACACACCCAAACTCGAGTATGGTTTTGAAACATGCTACAGGCTGCAGACATCTGCTATAATTCAGGAGTGCAAAACCAAACAGAAATCTAACTCAGAAGTCCTCAACACTCAATGGAGTTTGAGTCTCTGTAACCTCTCAAGGTGGGAATATTGCTTCTTTGCCTTTGGCGGAAAAAAAAAAAGAGTTACCTTATATTGTATGATATGCCACCTCAAATTCTTATCTCAAAGTGACTTTGACTCCAAAAGAATAATTAAACCAAAAAATTCCCCTTAATTATACTCCTACAAAGTTGTTTAATAAGGGAATTACTTAATTTTGTGAACATCAAAGTTGGGCTGATTTTAAAATTATTACGATTAGTAACAAAAAATAAACATCGTATTGACTGTTAAACGTGTGAAAGTATGTATGTATATATGTATAGATGGAGAAAAAAGATTGAAATAATGTACACCAAAATGTTAACAATGATTTTGGTATATTTAAATTTATTTTCTATAAATTTTCCACAGTAAATATAAATTAACTATAAAGTGGAAATGATTTTTAAAGTAATTCAATTCCATAAATCCTTCCTAGATTGGTATTAAACAGAGACAGCATTTTTATGTTGAAATTTGTACCCAAACCTTTAGTTAGGCCACAAATATTAAGATTTACCTTAAATATGTATTTCCCATGTCAACAACTGTGTATTTTAAAACCACCAAATTCTAGAACTAAGGAAGGCTTTATGGCCTTTCATTAATTTTATCACTTAAGCTATAAAAATGGATATATATTTATATATAACCTTTACATATTCTTTCAACTTATCGTTCTCGGCTTCCCTTTTATGAATTTGGATCTGTAGTCGTTCATGTACTACTTTTACTGATTGGGAAAAACGGTTTGCTTTCAAAGTATTTGCCTGTAACAAAGAGAAAGAGAAAACCAAAAAAATCCATATTATTTGCTGTATCCCCAGCCCAATATCTTTAATTTTACCCTGATTTAGGCACAATCTAAACAGCTGATAAAAAGCAAAGCACTACTTTACATAAACTGCCGCCCCTATTACAAATGTATTTCATGCCCAACCAGGGCTAAGTTTTATCCCCCAACATTTTTTATTTAATGGCTTTCTTTTTTAAAATTCCCATCTATCTTTCTAAATAAAGGTATGGGTATACCTAAAATGCTCCTACAAACACTAAAATTCCTTAATTTGTTCCCCAACTGAAACACAATACAAATTTAAAACAGTTCCTATATGAAGTGATTTATGCCAAGTATCCTGACAAACACCATAAAAACCCTAAAAAAACTTAATAAAATTAAGATGTTATATTTGATAGGTAAAACCTGTAAAATATCCAAATAATCTAGAATTTCAAAACACTTTTCTGTGTTTATTTCTGAGGAGTTGGGGCCAGGATGGGAAAAAAAAGGGAGTCAATATTAATATAATGAATTAAGCTCAAAAGCTCAAATTTTGCTTACCTTTTCACTCTGAAACAAACAAGAAAGTTCTTGGATATGGGCCTCCTTTTCAAATACCTTCTTCTTAAGATTCTTGAGCAAATATAAAATAAGAATTAGGAATTTCACAACTTGGATAATATTGGCTAACTTTATAAAACCAAGCAGCATGCAAATAACAATGACAGGAAGAATGGACACAAAGTAAGTGTGGAAAGACTTACAGTATTTTCACTTTCATTATCAGTTAGATTTTCTAGCAACATGCTGGATAAATTGTCTCCTGTCTGAGAAAAGAATGTTATAAATCAGTGATCGCAAATTATATTTCTCTATATAAAAAAGTAGGAAGTGAAATAAGCACTACTCAATAAATTAATATGACTTTTAATTCAGATTTTTAAAAGAGTTAACAACTGAAAAGATTTTTGCCCTAGTATTCCAAATTATTTTTGGTCTGCAATTTATGAAATTAGTTAATTTACTAAATTAATCTCAAAAGAATGCTTCAGAAAGTATAGGCCAATGACACTAAACTCACAAAAATCCTCTATACAAAAGAAGTTTGTATAGAGTTTGTATAGAGTATAGAATGCAACACAGTGCTGTTTACAAATAGGCAAAAATTATCAACAATCTAAATTCTAGCAATAAGAAATCTCTTAAAGAATTACAGCAAATCAGTAACAGAATTCTATATAGCCATTTTAAATGAGATCATAGAAGACTATTTACTCATTTTTGAGAGTCATACTTCTGCTTTAGAATGTGAAAAAGCTATCAATTCTTTTCACCCAAAACCACATATATATGTACATATAATGCAAAATTGTACACGGAATTTCAGAGGGTACATGGATTTCATAAAGGTCATCCTTGGATCCATAAGTGTTCAAAGAGCTCAAGTTAAGATTCCTTTCTATTCAAAAAATATTCAATACATGAGAAAATATTGATGATACAGTGTTAAGTATAAAAGTCCAGTTACAAAACAAAGATAGTAGTTTTACTCCATTTTTCTAAAACACCACGTATATATGCACACGTAACATATATAAAGAAACAAAATACTGCAAAATGTACACAACATAAAACTAACAGTTCTTAATAGTGATGTTTCACTAAGTGCTGAGATCAAGAGAATATTTCTCTGCTTATCACAATTTTCTATGAGCATGTAACTTTTTAATTACAAAAACTATTACCTAATATTAGATAGTTTTTACAATTCTGAAATAATTTTTATCATAGGAAAAAGCCAAAAGGGAGTCAGAAGAATAATTTAGGTGATTTAAAGGGATAAGCTTTCTTTTTGGAGTGATAAAAATGCTTTAAAATTGACTGTGGTGATGGCTGCACAACTCTGTGAATACAATGAAAACCACTGAATTTTATAATTTAAATGGAAGAACTGTATGGTATGTGAATTCTATTTCAATAAAGCTTTTACCAGATGAAGAATATATAGATATGTATAAATATAATGTACAAAGATCTTAAACTCAAAAAGTGTATATTTTATTAGAATCAGCTCAATTAAGTATGACAAAGTTTTTGAGATGAAAAATAAAAATACATTTTCTATAAAAACGTGGTGTTCATATACAACTACTTATGAAACACTAAAGGTGGGGATTAATGACTGACAAAATTCAAAGCATTATTTCCATTTCAAATATACCAATAATTTCTACAGTTTAAAAATAATGTATCCTTCAAATGAGAAATATCACTATTAAAATGAGTGCTTAGTGTTGATGCCTTACTTGTTTGTAGTCTCTCTTTCTAAGAAGATGTTCTAAAGCTAGTTTTACACTTTTGAAGGTGTCTAATTCTTTTATTAATATTTCCTTCTGTTCAGAAATCTTCAAATTCAATGCAGAAAGATTCGCCTGACAAATTATAAGAACCACATACACATTTTAAGACACAGCATTAAATAAAACCCTCTAAAATATATTATCAAACAATATTTTTTCCTACTAAACAAAATCATTCTTTTGTGCATAGTAATAATAAATGCTACGAAATTTGTCAATAGTAAATTGGATCTGTTATACAGTACATTAAAATAAAATGAAATCAAAATAAGAGCTTAGATTCTAAAAGCATTTTAGGCTTTTATTCAAATAAAAGTTATAGAAGATAATCTACTGTTTGTCCCTAATTTAAACTTTAATATGCTGAAATTTAAAAATAGTTATCTACTCCAAATAATACTATAGAAACAGATATATTTCATCTCTCAGAAGATTTTAGTTTAAAATTCACTCTTAAGAAAAGCTGATTTTCTAGTTCAACTCCGGGTAATTCAAACATCCAAAATATATTGTTTCTAGCTTAGCCTCTTATCAGGTGTATGCTGAGATTATCTTTCAGGAAAAGAACTGTAGTTAATGACACAGGAATAAAGAATTCTGATAAACCCTCATTTTTGGTATGAAATACTCATAAGTGAGCATACCTATATAAGATATGAGACCTCAGTTAATGCATTCTGAGTATTATACTAGCTTTTCATTTTATTATATATTCATAAGTCACTCACATTTTCAAAATTAATCTTTTCAATGGTGTCCTTAAATAGTGGCAAAAGCAATTCTACAGAATGAGTTACCAACTCCGCTTCCTTAAGTGTTGCTTCCAATTCAGTCTTTTCATTTAGAATGTCCTGCTTCAGGCTAATTACAAATGCACATACAAAATTTAAGTTAAATCCATTTCATTTAAAGATGCTCCTCAGAAATGCCATATCACCTATACAGTACTCTTAATAGCAAGGACAACTTTTAGTTCAAAAGTAGCTCGAAACTTGGACTTTGAGTGTAAGCAAATTTTAAGAATACTTTATTTTACTTATATTTTACTTGTACGTAATCACAAAAGTTATTTGGATTAAAGATGTACGTATAGTTAAGTTTGAAGGAGCATTTTCAATATTTATAAATAAAATTCCAAGTGATATGGAAACTCTTTAATTGGCAGCTTTTCTCTTTCTTTGTAAAACATAACGGCTCATTAACAACTGATGGCATCTTAGAGGCTATGTCAAAAATCTGTGTGTTCTTAAGCACAACTGGCTTAAAGTAATGAGCCTAAGAACATTCTATCTATAAACGACACCTGTCCCTTATTAAAAACCATGGGCAGAAAGTCAAGTGTGATTATAGATGATAAAATATTATTTTCATTCATAACAAATTCAACCAGAAGCTGGACTAAGCTATCCATACTGACAGTAATGGTATATACTAAGATTGCCATTTGACGGGGGGCAATATTTCATGTAAATAACAAGTGTATTCCCCACTCTAAAGAAGTATGACAAGTATTTGCTATATAGTAATATACCAAATGACAGTGATTTCACATTCATTAACTACATTTCTGATATCACATATTATATTTTCATTTATCTTAAATAGCTTTATTTTACAAATTCTTAACAGATGAGGTTTTCATTTTTTTTGTCTTTTTCTTTTTTGAGATGGAGTCTCGCTCTGTCACCCAGGCTCTGTCACCCAGGAGTGCAGTGGCATTATCTCGGCTCACTGTGACCTTCGCCTCCCAGGTTCAAGTGATTCTTCTACCACAGCCTTCCAAGTAGCTGGGACAACAGGCACACGCTACCACATCTGGCTAATTTTTGCATTTTTTCAGTAGAGATGGGGTTTCACCATGTTGGCCAGGCTGATCTTGAACTCCTGACCTCAAGTGATCCACCTGCCTCATCCTCCCAAAGTGCTGGGATTACAGGCATGATCCATTGCGCCCGGCCAGGTTTTCATTTTTAATTGCTTTCATTAAGATTCAAAAAAACTAGTTGAATTCTGCTAGATGAGTACACTTGTAATCAGATTAAATATATTTTAATAAATAAATACTAGATTTGGAAAAGATACTCTTAAAAGAATGCTGTATTTGATTCAAATAATTTATATTATAGACAAAACAGGAAATCCTAGAATCGGAAATTTAGATTTCCCCTGATACTGATGAGAATACCAGCTGAGATGACTTTCACTGGTACACCGTGGTAAATCTTCTTTCTCTGATATAGTTTTAAGATGGCAAAAGAGTTCTTCTGAATGACTTCCATCATTTACAGCCTTCTCCATAAATTCAGTAAATGGATTTATAGGTGGCTTCACAGCGACTTCTCCACATAAGCTGAAAGCTAGGAAATATTTTAGTTATTAAATTTATTTCAATAGAGTTTTTTTGTCATTACTCTCTCATAAAAAATAAAGGTTATAAGGATGTGTAAAAGAATAACATTTCAAAGACAAAATAAGAAGTATAACTGCTACTCATTGTTATAGTACTTCAAAATTGTATCAAAATTTCATAGCACAACCACTCAACAATTGCCAATTTCCATACACTGTTTCCAAAAGGCCTGATAATTCCTAAATAATCACAAGAGTGTAAAAATCTTTATTAGTCTATTTCTTGAAGTATTACAATATTTGAACCCAGCAGGACTATAAAACAAATATAAAAACCATGGGTTACCTATAGTCTGTCTTATTAGGCCCATGCCATAAGAAATGTATGTTATTTATGCCTAAATCTGTAGAAATTCAACTTTTCAAAGTACTTGGCAACAATAGCTACAAAGGATAGGATACTCAATTGCAAGTAGACTTTTCAAAATTAAATTCACTTACTTCTATTCCCAACTCAATCTAGAATATTATTGGTGATAGTGAAAAGACCAGACAGATGACATTACTTCCAAATTTTACCAATCTAATTGTTTTTACTCACACCTGTAGATGTCACTTTAAAAATGTGAATATTAATTTCTTCAAAACTACTCCAATTTAAGTAATGAGTTAGAGCTTTGGCAACCATTAAGGCTCTCTTTTCCCAACTCTAACAATATGTGGTAATGTCTTCCCTGACTTCATTTTATGTTTACACAAAATCAAAGGTTATATTTAAGGTTTTCTACATTTTTTTGGATATTTACCTCCTTGTAATTTAGTTTTATATGTCTGTATTACAAAACATATTATATTCAAGAATTTTTAACACTTAGAGTAGAAGTGAAATTACAGGTTGAAGATTATTTAAATTAGCCATTCAGAAACCTTCCAAAGTGTCCATAAAATGTATATATTTTATCTGAATGTTCTATATACTATAGAGACAAATATTTAGGAAACAGGCCAATGAAGTATGGTCACATTTTTTAAATACCAGAAAGTGAAGTCCAAAAAGAACTGCTGAGTAACCAACAGATAGTCTAGGATGATTCCCTTGAATGCTGCAAATATGCAACATCTATTACAATGGTATAACAATATTTCGAGCTATCTATAAACTAGAAGAATTACAAGTATACAAAATAAAATAAAAAACCAAACCTAAAAGTTAAGAAGAATATGCTCGGGATAAGTCACTGCAATCAAGAGAACCATCATCTACTAATTCATTCAGTTGCAATAGCTATCCCCATACAGAAAGCAACTGGTACCAACCCTTTTACTTGTTTAAATATTTGTCATATTTGTCTCTCTGTGGACTGGAATCTCAAGAAAGAATGTCTTTTTTATATTTGAATCCTCAGCACCTACAAGCCTTGTAAAAGCTAAGCAATAATTGAACGAAAACATTAAGGCTTAGAGCTTTTAAAGAATATAATGACTAAAGACTGCCTTTTTTTTTAAATTCACCCCTTGATTTGTCTTTTCAGGGATCATTAAAAGACAAATGGTTCCCATATTTGGAATAAAGGTTTAAAAAACAATGTAAGAAGATAGAAATTTTCAATTTGTAGAAAATATTTTACAAGATAACACTAGTTTGGTATCGGTATTTTATACACAACTTTTCTAAAAGTTTTATCATAAGATAAAGTCATAAAATTTTTCTGCTTCATCACCTATAATTGGTAACTGCCACTTATCTTAAAGGGTAAACAAATAAATAAAATCAACACACTGTAAAAATAGGAATTCAGAATGACTTTCTACCTAACATTCTAAAATGGAATCTACATTACATTTACTGATTTCTCAACACACAAGGAAGAGAACTATTTGTCTCAGGAATTTCCATGAAAATTATCAACAGTCATCTTCTCCAGGACAAATATTGTTCAGAGATTCCAAGGCACTCCACTGCTTTTGTGTTGTGATAATTGTGTAACAAAAAATAAGTGTTGAACAAAAATGTAATAATTTTATTTAGCATAAAAAGTCCTGCTTTATAAGAAATGCTATCATTTTATTGGACCAAATGTATTCTTGTATAGAAAAGCAGACATTTCACAATAAAATGTTTTCAGTAATGTGGAATATACTGTTAACTGACAAATGTACTTCTGTACAACTTGTCAGTGTTGGGTGCAACAAAGACACATATTCTGTATACATGTTTAAGGATCAAATCATTTTAAAGATAACTTAAAAATTCTTCAAACTGAATGATAAGAGTGACACTATCTATCAAAACCTCTGGGATACAGCAAAGGTGGTGCTAAGGGAAAGGTTCATAGCCTTAAATGCCTACATTGAAAAGTCTGAAAGAACACAAACAGACAATGTAAGGTCACATCTCAAGAAACTAGAGAAACAAAAACAAAACAAACCCAAACCCAACAGAAGGCAGGAAATAACCCAGATCAGAGCAGAACAAAATGAAACTGAAAAAAAAAAAAAATACAAAAGATAAATGAAACAAAAAGCTGGTCCTTTGAAAAGATAAATAAAACTGACAGAACATTATTAGCAAGATTAATCAAGAAGAGAAAAGATTCAAATAAGCTCAATTAGAAATGAAATGGGAGATACTACAACTGACACTACAGAAATACAAAAGATCACTCAGGCTACTATGAACACCTTTACACACATAAACTAGAAATCCTAGAGGAGATGGATAAATTCCTGGATACAACCCTCCTAGCTTAAATCAGGAAGAATGAGAAACCCTGAACAGACCAATAACAACCAGTGAGACTGCAATGGTATTTTAAAAATTACCAACAAAAAAAGAAGTCCAGGACCAGATAGATCCACAGCTGAATTCTACCAGACATTCAAAGAACAATTGGTACCAATCCTATTGACACTACTCCACAAGATACAGAAAGAGAGAATCCTCCCTAAATCATTCTATGAAACCAGTATCACCCTAATGCCAAAACCAGGAAAGGACATAACCAAAAAAGAAAACTACAGACCAATATCCCTGATGAACATAGATGCAAGAATTCTTAAAAGGCCGGGCGTGGTGGCTCACGCCTGTAATCCCAGCACTTTGGGAGGCTGAAGCGGGTGGATCGTGAGGTCAGGAGTTCAAGACCAGCCTGGCCAAGATGGTGAAACTCTGTCTCTACTAAAAATACAAAAATTAGCTGGGCATCGTGGCGGGTGCCTGTAATCCCAGCTACTCAGGAGGCTGAGGCAGAGAATTGCTTGAACCCAGGAGGCGGAGGTTGCAGTGAGCCACGACCATGCCACTACACTCCAGTCTGGCAACAGAGTGAGACTCCGTCTCAAGAAAAAAAAAATTCTTAACAAAATACTAGCTCACCGAATTCAACATCAAAAAGATAATCCACCATGATCAAGCAGGTTTCATACTACAGATGCAGGGATGGTTTAACATCCACAAGTCAATAAATGTGATACACCACATAAACAGAATTAAAAACAAAAATCACACAATCATCTCAATAGATGCAGAAAAAGCATTTGACAAAATCCAGCATCGCTTTATGATTAAAACCCCCAGCAAAATCGGCATACAAGAGACATACCTCAATGTAATAAAAGCCATCTATGACAAACCCATAGCCAACATAATACTGAATGGGGAAAAGTTGAAAGCATTCCCTCTGAGAACTGAAACAAAACAAAGATGCCCACTCTCATCATTTGTATTCAACATAGTACTGGAAGTCCTAGCCAGAGCAATCAGAGAAGAGAAAGAAATAAAGGGCATCCAAATCGGTAAACAGGAAGTCAAACCGTTGCTGTTTGCTGATGGTATGATTCTGTACCTAGAGAATCCTAAAGACTCCTCCAAAAAGCTCCTAGAACTGATAAATTCAGCAGTTTCAAGATACAAAATTAATGTACACAAATCAGTAGCAGTGCTATACACCAACAGTGACCACGCTGATAATCAAATCAAGAACTCAACCACTTTTACAATAGCTGCAAAAACAAAACAAAATAAAATAAAATACTTAGGAATATACCTAACCAAGGAGGTGAAAGACCTCTACAAGGAAAACTATAAAACACTGCTGAAAGAAATCATAGATAACACAAACAAATGGAACACAACCCATGTTCATGGATGGGTCAAATCAATATTGTGAAAAGGGCCATACTGCCAAAAGCAATCTACAATTTCAATGCAATTCGCATAAAAATACCATCATCACTCTTCACAGAACTAGAAAAAACAATTCTGAAATTCACTTGGAACCAAAAAAGAGCCCACATAGCCAAAGCAAGACTAGGTGAAAAGACATCACATTACCCAACTTCAAACTATACTATAAGGCCACAGTCACCAAAACAGCATGGTACTGGTATAAAAATAGGCACATAGACCAATGGAACAGAATAGAGAACCCAGATATAAACCCAAATACTTACAGCTAACTGATATTTGACAAAGCAAGCAAAAACATAAAGTGGGGAAAAGACACCCTATTCAACAAATGGTGCTGGGATAATTGGCAAGCCGCATGTAGGAGAATGAAATTGGATCTTCATCTCTCACCTTACACAAAAATCAACGCAAGATGGATCAAAGACTTAAATCTAAGACCTGAAACTATATAAATCTAAGACCTGAAACTATAAAAATTCTGGAAGATAACATCAGAAAAACCCTTCTAGATATTGGCTTAGGCAAAGATTTCATTACCAAGAACCCAAAAATAAATGCAATAAAAATAAAGATAAATAGCTGGGACTTAATTAAACTAAAGAGCTTTTGCATGGCAAAAGGAATAGTCAGCAGACTAAACAGACAACCCACAGAGTGGGAGAAAATCTTCACAATCTATACATCTGACAAAAGACTAATATCCAAAACCGACAATGAACTCAAATTAGCAAGAAAAAAAATCCCATCAAAAAGTGGGCTAAGGACATGAATAGACAATTCTCAAATGAATATATACAAATGGCCAACAAACATGAAAAAATGCTCAACATCACTAATGATCAGAGAAATGCAAATCAAAACCACAATGTGATACCACCTTACTCCTGCAAGCACAGCCATAATCAAAAAATAATAATAGATGTTGGCATGGATGCAGTGAAAAGAGAACACTTCTACACTGTTGGTGGGAATGTAAACTAGTACAACCGCTATGGAAAACAGTGTGGAGATTCCTTAAAGAACTAATAGTAGAGCTACCATTTGATCCAGCAATCCCACTACTAGCCACCTACCCAGAGGAAAAGAAGTCATTATATAGAAAAGATACTTGCACATGCATGTTTATAGCAACACAATGTCCATCAAACAATGAGTAAAAAAACTGTGATATACATATATATATAATATATACATGATAAAATACTACTCAGCCATAAAAAGGAATAAATTAACGGCATTCACAGCAACATGGATGGAATTGGAGACTATTACTCTAAGTGAAGTAACTCAGCAATAAAAAACCAAACATCATATGTTCTTACTTATAAGTGGGAGCTAAGCTATGAGGATGCAAAGGGGTAAGAATGAATCAGTGGACTTTGGAGATTCAGGGTGAAAGGGTGGGAAGGGGGTGAGTGATAAAAGACTACCAATTGGAATTCAGTGTACACTGCTCAGGGATGGGTGCACCAAAATCTCACAAATCACCACTCAAGAACTCACTCATGTAACCAAATACCACCTGTTCCCCAAAAACCTATGGAAATAAAAAATTTTAAAAAACCATTTAAAAATCCTTAAAGATGAGCAATTTTAAAATATTTTAAAATGTTTAAAGATTTAAATTTCCTATACAGAGACAATTTTGCCAGTCTACTGCCAAGAGGACATGTACTTAAAGCTTTTTCCAGGAGTGCTTGTAGGCTATGCTGATCCAGCTACATTCACTAAACTATGTTCCACTGTGGCCAACAGCAAGCATTTGGGGATAACTGCTCAGGGACCATGATGCTAGCCATGGTCAGAGAAAAAGGAAAATCATGGTCCATGACCTTCCTTAACACCTAGATCAGACTAAGTAAATTAACTAACTTCAGATGAATATGTATTTTAAAACAATATCTCTGAAGAGAATAGCATATGAAACCTGCACATTTTGTTTTGCCAAACACAAATTCTTAGAAAACTAACTTCCACTGGCTTCAAACACAGCTTCTACTGAAAAAAGTCACCATGGCATATTCAGCAAGGAACACAAAGTAGATACAGGAATCCTCTTTTTTTCCCCCTACTATTCTGGACACTAGTCAAACGTTTACTAGAGAGGTAATTGTATGAAAAAAAAAAAAAGGATAGGAATCTTGGAAACAGGCAAAAAGCTGGAAAATAAATCTTATGCGTAAAAGCTACCAAAATGGAAAAAACGTTTTCTGATACAGAGAGATTAGATTAGATAACAAATTAGTAATCCCTCTCTCCAATGAAAAAAGAAGGATGTATATTTAAAAGATGGGCTGCAGACTGGATAATATAGGAAGAAGAGTTGACAGCAAGAGTGACTGTTCTGTAAACACGGCATGTACTTCAAAGCCAACATTCCATTTCCTTCTCAAAGTGTTGCCCTGATTTCTCCAGCCCATCAAGAACTCTAAACAAAAGTATTTTCAGAATCATATAGTTTAGAATTTAACTGCTCCATAAATGCTCATATTTTAGTTCTCTTTTAAACTTGCTATTAACTGTGAGGACAAATAATACGCATCACTCTCTGCCCTAAAAAATTACCTAACACAGTGGGGAGCATAGATTAGGTTCTCAAATATAAGTTAGGGTGACTAAATTATTTACTGTTTAAACTCGGACACTTTTGAGTGTCCATATAGAGCCCAATTACCCGGAAAAAGACCTGGCCAAAGATGTTCAGAATATTGTCTAATCCCAAATAAAGTCACCATCCTGTACCAGACAAACATAAAGCATATTCCTTTCCTTCAACACGACAGCTGTTGCCATTTACTGAGCAGAGCACTGACTGACCTTATAAACATCATCTCACAAAAGCTTCACAAGGTTGTTATTAAAAAGCTATAAATAAGTAAATTAAATCTTAGAAGGGTTAAATAGCTTGTCCAAGATTACAAGTAAGGAATTGGTGGAACTCAGTTTTGAATTAAAAGCCATGAGATGGTGAAACCGCATCTCTACTAAAAATACAAAAATTAGCTAGGCGTGGTGGTGGGCACCTGTAGTCCCAGCTACTCGAGAGGCTGAGGCAGGAGAATCACTTGAACCCGGGAGGCGGACGTTGCAGTGAGCCGAGATCGCGCCACTGCACTCCACTGCGGCAGAGCGAGACTCCATCTCAAAAAAAAAAAAAAGCCATGAGATACTAAAACATAAATATAAAAATCTACAAAGCAAAAAGTAACACACAAACTTGCCTTTATTCAGTCAGGTTTTAATACTCATAAGTTCAATTTAGATTCAAAAGATGAAAACTGTTCTGGACAAGGAAATGAGTGATGAATGAGCTAGCTAAAAGCACAGACTACAATTCTAAAGAGAGAGAGCAGACCGCGACCAGATCACTAAATTCCATTGTTCTAAAGTTTGTCACAAGGAACTTTTGGGATAGAAAAACTACACTATAAATACACATCCATTGTGAAATAAGAAGATGAAAAAGAGAAGCAAAAAGCAAATCATAAACATGATCATGACATTCTTACTATAAGCAGAATATCAAACTAATTTCAAAAGCAGACAGGTTTTCTGCAGTTTGTTTCTTTTTCCTTTTTTTTTTTTTTTTTTGAGACAGAGTCTCGCGCTGTCGCCCAGGCTGGAGTGCAGTGGCGCGATCTCGGCTCACGGCAAGCTCCGCCTCCTGGGTTCACGCCATTCTCCTGCCTCAGCCTCCCGAGTAGCTGGGACTACGGGCGCCCGCCACCACGCCCGGATAACTTTTTGTATTTGTTTTAGTAGAGACGGGGTTTCACCGTGTTGGCCAGGATGGTCTCGATCTCCTAACCTCGTGATCCGCCCGCCTCGGCCTCCCAAAGTGCTGGGATTACAGGCGTGAGCCACCGCGCCCGGCCCGGTTTGTTTCTTTAACCTTAACTCAGTTGCACTTAAAACTCCAAGAACCTCATTCATTCAAAAACACTTGAAACCGTACTATGCGTTGCGTGATGAGGAAACTGTCTTCGAAATAGATTTTATCCCCAACAGCAGCCCCAGTATGGTTATTCTCAGTAAACAACAAGCACCACCACTCACTAACCACCTACATTCGGTGCCACCTTAATGGCCCTGCGTTTACTTAATCTCGTATTACAACCACCCCAAAGTGATGATTACTGTTACAGTTATCAGTAAGGAATCCAGGAAGGTTCAGTGACCTAGACAAGGCCACACAGCGGGTTCAGTGGCAGAGCTGGGACTGAACACAAGTCGGCCTTTAGCACTCTCCACGACCCTAGGTCAATCCCGCACTACAGGGGTCGCCTATAGGGGCTGGAACCTAGAGGAATCCTGGAGAAGGAATTATTTCCTGAGGATTCCTGTAATATACCTCACTTACGAAGCCCCCAGGGCTTCCTACAATCTGATATATCACATGATGGGCGATTAAAAACCAGCCCAATGATTAAGAGGTCACTATTTCTGAAAGAAATGCAACCATATCCAGGAACGGCCCGGTCAGGACTTCGTTCTGCACAAGCCCACCTCACGCTAACATTTGCCCTGATGTCCCGGGGACCACACCCTTCCTAAGAGTGAGTCTCGCCGCCCTTTTCCCAGGCCAGGTAGTCAGCCTGAGGGAGGTGGAGGGTTTGCGCGGAGGGGGCTGGGTGGGCGCGAGGGCCTTTTACTTCCGGGACCCACCACTGCCCTCACCTCCAGACCGCTAAGGGCTCCCGCGGTAAACGCCCAGCAGCAGCTAGGCTCCCCACAAAGTCGCCCCCAACCCAAAAGGCGTACTTACGCCCCCGCCGCTGCGTCCGCACGTCGTCGTGACGACAGCCCGCCGTCGCCGCGATATAAAAAAAGGGTCAGAGGCGCCACGGCTGCTGCAATGGAAACCGTGGCAATCCTTCTTGTGCTCTGAGTCGGCTAGGAGGGAGCGGGACGCAGGGGGCACTACAGTGGGTAGACTAGGAAGGAAGGCAAGGGACGCGAGGTGGGAACCAGGCGAATTCCTAGACCTGCTTGCCGCAGAAGAGTGCCCGCTCAAGTGGAACAAAAGCGCAGCTAGTAACCGGCTAGTGGCTTCTCTGGCAACGGCGGCCCCACCCCTCCCGTCAGGCCCGCAGCAGGCTGCCGATTGGTCCGGGTTAGGGACGGCGGGCAGCGCCTATAGCTATTGGAGAGGGTGAGGAACGGGGCAGGGAGGGCAGCTTCGTGTCTATCCTTGTTTCTCGGGTAAACATTTTTTTTTAAGCGTTTGTTTATGGACAAGGACAGCATTTGTGTACGTTACCGAAAATCATAACCGAGCCCAACTAGAAAAAAAGGAAATAAAGCCAATTCCGAGTTTTCTGGCGCTTGGCCTGGTTGTGCCCTGCTTTTGCTTTTTAAAGAGAAGATTTGAAAACGTGAAGGCAACTGCGACCGGAAGAAACCTCCTTTTAAATGTATAGTAGTATTTTTAGCTGAGATGCCTCCCTGGGCCTCAGGTTTTTTCCTGTTAAATGAGGAAGCCTGAGGATGTTCTGCAAGGTGCCTTCAGGGTCTCAAAGTCTTTCGTATCTGTGCCACAGCCAGCTGGTCTGGTTTATAAAGTCCTGAAGAAGCAAAGCAAGATTTTAATTGGAAAAATATCTTCATTCAATGCCTCTACTTAATATTCATGTTAAGAATCGTACACCAACCTATGAAGTTCACAAGTAGAGTAACTGTCAACTAAGCCATAACCGTGGCATGCTGCTACCTAAATAATTGGTTTCACTAAAGCACTCCAGCAATGTTTTTCCACCAGTACTGTAATTGTCCCTTTCATAATTTAAAGCGGGAGACAGAATTAGTAAATTTTTTAGTAAAGGGCCAGTGATATGGTTAGGCTCTGAGTCCCCGACCACATCCCATCTTGAATTGTAATCCCCATAATCCCCACGTGTCAAGAGAGAAACCAGGTGAAGGTAATTGAATCATGGGGGCAGTTCCATAATCCCCACGTGTCAAGAGAGAGACCAGATGAAGGTAATGGAATCATGGGGGCCGTTTACCCCCATGCTAGTGAGTTCTCAAGCTATCTGATGGTTTTGTAAGGGGCTCTTTCCCCTCCACTGGGCACTTCTCCTTAACGAAGAAGGTGTCCTGCTTCCCCTTCACCTTCCGTCATGATTGTAAGTTTCCTGAGGCCTCCCCAGCGACGCTGAACTGTGAGTCAATTAAACCCCTTTCCTTTATAAATTACCCAGTCTCAGGCAATTCTTTATAGCAGTATGAAAATGTGCTCATACAGCCAGATAATATTTTATTAATAGGTTTTGCAGGTCATATGGTCTCTGTGATACTATTTAACTCTGCCATTGTCTTACCAAGAAAAGCCATAGATGATACATAAACATAAACATATGAGCTCACTAAAGTACGTTTGTGTGCAGGATGCAACACTACAGTGTTGGGTAGAAATTGTGATTTCTATCTTCATGGCAACAAATGGGGACTAGAATGTAAAAATAGCAGGCAATGAAATAGAATAAAGATACTTGAATACAAATAATACTTCAAAATTAAAAAGCAACATTTTAGATAACCTGTTTGCAGAGGACAAACAGAAGGTTAAATGAAAGTGTGATGGAGAATCACCACCTTTACATCTTTGCACTCTTTAATAGTGCCACTAATCACTGGAATTCCCCTAGGACTATGGTATTGCCTTTGGTTTAATCTTTTAGTAGATAAGGGCAGTTCCAAAGGCTTCCACTTTGTCTTCCTATTATAATAGCCATGAGTCAAAAAGCCAATGTCAAGATGCTGTAAATCTCCTTTAAGGTTATGACATTCAGGTCTCTTCATTAGTTCTGGTAAATTTTTTGCTGTACAAATTAAGTAGAATCTTAGCAGACTATCCATTTCAATTATAGGGGCAGTGATTAATTATCAACTCCTAAAGATCCCCCTTAGTCAAACAATATGATACACCCTGCTGGTATCATGGTATCAACAGATATCTCATCTCTGATGGCTCAGTGGTATCACTTGGCCTCTATCACTTTGGGATCTTACTATTTCCATTAGGGAATTAGGGATTTCATGCAATGGCAGCATCTTTATCCCCAGGCTTATAGAATAGCAGCTACAGAGCTTTTAAAGGATTCTGGCATTCCCTATATTTTCTCAATGCTTTAGTAAAAAGAAGGTCCTTTGGCCCTCTCAGAACACCTTTGAAAGGAGATGACTGGGTAACATATGATAAATCCATTCATACAGTACTATTCCCTAAGTCTTCTTTAAAAATTGATACATACTAGATGTACATATTTTCAGGGTACATGTGATAATTGGATACATTTATATGAATGTGTAATGTGTAAAGATCAAATCAAGATAGTCAGGATATCCATCACCTTAAATATTTATCTTTATGCTATGAACATTCAAATTGTTCTCTTCTAGTTATTTTGAAATATACAATAGATTATAGTTAACTATAGTCACCCTACTTATCTGTCAAACACTGGGTCTTATTTCTTCTATCTAACTGTATGTCTGCACTCATTAATCAACCTCTCTTCGTTACCCCTTTCCCTAAGTCTTTTAATTCAATCCTCTAAAATCAAGAGATTTCTAACATCTCAACTTTATTTAGTTTCAATCAACCAACTGAGCAAACCTTGACAGCCACTCCTAGATGTTCAAAGCAAGAACAGTGAATTATGGTCTCTGGTAAATGTATTCATATTAATATCTTGGTCTCATCAAAAATATTCCTTCATCCCTGGTCTGCCACACTTGGAATTCATTATCATTTTCTATAGTCTTCTGCCAATATAAATAAGCAAAATCTTGCACTTTTTTGGTATGAAACCCTTCTCCCAGGTCAGATCTTTTATTATACCCTGGAACATGTTGGGATCTAACTTTAGATCTAGACCAGTGGTTCTTGACATTTTTTTTGCCACAGCCAAAGAGGAAGGGCAAGTGTCCTACTGGCATCTAGTGAGTAGAGGCTAGAGATGCTGTTAAACATCTGCAATGCACGGGACATCCTCCACAACAAAATGTCAACAGTGCTGACATTAAGAAACCCCGGTCCAATATGGAGAATACAAAGGCCACCAGCCACCTATAGCTATTTCAAACATTTGAAATGTGATGATTCTGAATTGAGACATGTTGTAAATGCAAAATACACACATTTTGCATATGAAAAAGAACATAAAATATCTTGATTTTCATACTGATTATGTCGAAATGATATTTTGGAAGGCAGCTATACTCACCACTATACCACCAATGCCACCAGAAATGATATTTTGTTTATGTTGAGTTAAATAAAATATATTACCAAAATTTAACCACAACTATTTCTTTTTCACTATTTTAAGAGTAGCTAGTAGAAGATTTTAAATTACGTATGTGGCTCACATTATATTTCTACTAGGTGATGTAGTCTAGAGGTATAAAGAACTGATAACAGTTGAGTTCTGAGAACAATCAGTTCTTCTCAATTGATTCACAAGGTAAATTCCTCAGATTAAGTTACTTCAGAATTTTCAAGGAGTACAAGACCAGCCCTATAGATAGGAAGGGAGGAGTTCTTCAGAAAGCAAAAAGCTCTGTAGTGTCTGCGTATTAAGATAATAGAGCTATCCGAATTCACCCAACCTCTCTATCACAACTCTAAAGATCCAACTCCTTCCCAATCAATGCCTTAATTTCTTACATAAGAGACCTGAGGAGTCTGTTTATTCAACTTACCTTGTAATTTAGCTCTTCACAGCATTAATACTTGATTTGGATGTGTCATCCCAGCAATTAATAAAGTTTTAAGGTAATCATAGAAGTTCTCTGGGCCTCTGAGCTTATCACATTTTTCTTTAAGCATCCTAGTACAGTCATAAATAGAAAAATCACCCCACAATCTTTGTATTCTTCATTCCTGCCATTCCCAACAAAGGTATGCCTTCAGTGACTACTTAATTCCTGAGGATTATAGGCCACTTTTAAATGGTTGTATAATTTATATTCAATAAAGTACATATGTATTAAATGTTCAGAGTATGACTTTTGCCAATTATATAATTATATGCACTCATGAAAATAATACCTAAAACAAAATTTAGAACATTTATGTCAGTCCAAAGTGTTTATTTGTATCTGTCTGTAGCTTGTCAGTTCACCAAAACTACCCTCATGCCTCTCCATCCTCCCCTAGCCCACACACAGAGAGACTACTACTTTCTAATTTATATGACTAGAGGTTAATATTGCCTATTCTTGGTGTTCATATAAATGGAATCACACAATATATATTCCTTTTTGTCTGACTTCTTTCATTCAAATAGGCATGTGTGTGTGTATATATGTATATATGTGTATATACATATATATACACACCCACATATTTGAATGAATATATATATATATATATAGCGAGAGAGAGAGATTGAGATTCATCCATGTTGTTGCATATTTTAGTAGTTTGTTCTTTTTTTTTGAGATTGAGATTCATCCATGTTGTTGCATAGTTTAGTAGTTTTTTTTTTTTTTTTTTTTTTTGGCTGAGTAGTTGATATAGTTTGCATGTTTGTCCTCTCCAAATCTCATGTTGAAATGTAATCCCCAGTGTTGGAGGTGGGGTCTGATGTTGGAAGTGTCAGATCATGGGGGCATATCCCTCATGAATGGTTTAGTACCATCCCCTTGATGATAAGTGAGTTTTGGTCTGAATTCATGTGAGACCTGTTGTTTAAAAGTGTGTTGCACCTCTCCAATCCCAACTCTTGCTGCTGCTCTCATCATGTGATGTGGTTGCTCCCCTTAACCTTCTTGTAAGCCATAATTATAAGCTTCTTGAAGCCCTCACAGAACCCCAGCAGATGTTGGTGCAATGCTTGTACAGCCTATAGAACTATGAGCCAATTAAACCTCTTTTCTTTATAAATTACCCAGCCTCAGGTATTTCTTTATAGCAACGTAAGAACAGCCTACTATATAGTAGTATTTCATTGTGTAAATATACCACAATTTGCTTATTAGTGCTCCTGTTGATAGATATTTAGGTTGTTGGCAGCTTCTAGTTATTAATGAATAAGGCTGCTATAAGCATTCTTTAAAACGCATTTTATTAACATATGCTTTCATTTTTCTTAGCTAGGAGTGGAATTACTGGTTATAGGGTATAAGTATGTTTAACTTTACCAGCAGTGTATGATGCTTCCTGTTGCTTCACATCCTTGCCAACATTTAGTACAGCAGTATTTTTTATTTTAACTGTTCTAGGGGGTGTGAGGTGGCAGCTCATTATGGATTTCAATTTGTGGTTTTTTTTGGTAATGAATGATGTTTAGCACCTTTCAGTTATTGACCGTACATCATTTATGAAGTGTTGTTCAAGTCTTTTACCCATTTTTTTGGATTGTTGTTTTATTGTTGATTTTCAGGAGTTGTTTACATATTCTGAAAAACGATTTGTCAGATATATGTAACTAATACTTTCCTCCTATTTCTCATATATTTTCTTAATGGTATCTTTTGAAGAGCAGAAAATTTTTATTTGAAACATCTAACTTACCAGCATTTTTCTTTTATAGTTTAATGTACCGCAACTCCACATTTGTGAAGTCGCTATGTTTTCTTCTAGAAGTTTTATTATTTGAAGCTTTTATAAGTAAGTATATGACCTATCTTGAATTAAGTTTTTTAGGAATGATGTAAGGGGTCAAGATTCACTTTGTTTTATACAGATACCCAATTTGGTACCACCATTTATTTAAAAGACTTTCTCTTCCCCATTGAATCAATTTAGTGCTTTTGTTGAAAATGATTAGACCATGTGTGTGTGTGTTTATTTCTGGACAATCCATTCTATTCTAATAATTTATAATCAAAACATTTGCCTACATGACATTCTCTTGATTACTGTAGTTTTATATAAGTCTTAAAATTGGCTAGACTCCATTTACTACAAAGACGGTTGTCCACAGGGCAAGTCAGACAAGAATTGAGCAAAGTCTTGGGGCAACAGAACAACTTTGCTTTACAAGATAGAGTATCAGCGCATGTCTTAGTTTGGAGTGCTGTAACAAAAATATAGACTGGGTGGCTTAAACAACAGAAATTTGAGAAGACCAAGATCAAGGTGCCAGCCAATTTGGTTCCTGGTGAGGGCCCTCTTCTTGATTTGCAGAAGGATGCCTTCTTGTCGTACTCCCACATGGTAGAGAGAGGAGGGAAGCAAGCTCTTTCATGTCTCTCCCTTTTATAAATAATATCTTTGCTTTGTATAGAATTATAAATTACAAACTATTATTTTGCTTAATCCTTTTAACCAACATGTGAGTCGGACAGGCTGGAGGATATTAGCTCCCATTTTACAGGCAGAGTGAAAACAAGCTGGGATAGAAGACCTGGGATTCCATACTCACAACTGCTTTTTTCCATGACTTTGTGATACATCATTTAAAAGTAATCTGATTTCACAGTGTTTTACAGTGTAAGAGTAACATCTATAGTATCTATTCCTGGCAGGCTAACTGTGGAGCCAACCAACCTAATTGATGGCCTCATAAGCTGGCATATTTTAAGGCATTCTTATACCTCTAACTCAATTTCCAGCTATATTTGAGGGCCCCATAAACCAAAATGTAGAAAGCTGTTCTGAAAGGATCAGGAAATACAATGGTTAAGCATGTTTTAAAGTTTAACCTAGGCCTGGCACATCCTTGTCAATTGCTCAGATGGCAAGCTGAGGCAATTAATTGAAGGGAGTAATGCGAGGGTCCACTTGGGGGTGGTCACTGATGAAAAACACAAGCAGAATCAGATCCACTGTTTTCAGGAAATCCCTGGAAGCCTTGTTGCTAGTTTCCTACATTATTACCAGCAGGACAAAGGGCAATACTTTTGGAGACTAGAATTTGCAAGGGAAAGGTTTATTAAGCTGCCTGCCTGGGGCCTAAAAAGCCAGACACTGCTAACTTTATCCAGGCCAAATGAAGAAAATGGTTCATTCCTTCCTGATCTGGGTTTTAAGGAGAGTGCTGATCATCAGAGAAATCAGGAAATTCTATCCTGAAGCCCAGGAGAGAAATGGTGGGCATTTCCCAGAGTTCTAGTAGGCACAGGGGGCAACACCATCTGCCACGTAAAGAGAAAAAGCTCTCTTGGTAAGCTTTGGTCTTCCACAGGACATGGAACCAGAAATGATCAACATCAGGGCCTGGGTGACCAGTCCTGATAAGAGCAGGACTTCCTCACATAAGGTGCATAGGTCCCTGAGGAGAAGGGTCTAAATACCCTAAAACTGCAAGCAAAATTTTGAGTGTGTGCATGTTTTTCTGCTGAAGAGGTCTTTCATTCTCAAATCCTGAGCTTTTAGAGAAAAAGGCTAAGCCAGTTGCAGGCTAGAATATAAAAGCCACCAGATATACTTGGAGTCAGCCAAGTCTGAGAGCTCTGAGAGCCACCACTGAAAAGTTGGAACATAGATGCACAGCAGAGACAACTGAGCAGTTCTTTTTGTGCCCTTCTTCCTAATTGTATTTCAAGTCTTTTAAAAATAAGGCCTTAGGAACTCCTAGATTCAAGTATACCCCTGGGCTTGGTGTACTGCTGCAGGAGTCTTAGGGTGTCTTGTACAAAATGCTTATTCACTCATGAATATTAAACCCCAGGATAGAAGATGCAACAAAGCAGGACTCCTTCCTCCATGGCATGTGCTGATTTCAGAGGATGTGGCAGCCAATATGGAGAGCATGGAAATGTTTCCTTAGAACTGGACTGTGCCGAGAGGTGCCTGCCATGAACATAACCTGCTGTCTTTTCCCTGACCCTTCCCTTCCAGTTTTTCACAATAGAGCAGGAAATAATCTTCTCTGAAGTTACTTGATATCAATTCTGAAAAGCAAAAGCACATACTTCCAATACACTAATACACTGTGCTTTCAAGTATTCTGGGTCTAGTTCAGCTGTGGATGAGCTCATTCATGCCTTCACTCTGATAGCCAGGTGAGCCCATTCCCTTGAGGAAGCCCACCATGTTATTCTTGGTAGCATGATAGGCCACAAGGAGGTGGAAAGGGTGCAAGAACAATGAGATCTCTTGGAAATACTTCCCCAGGAAGACAATTTCGTGAATGACGTCTTTTAAGCAAATAACGCCAAACCTCCCCAGGTGCTCCCCAATAACTGTGTTGTCTGCCAGAGGGACTGGTCTTACTTTTGACCTTGGCTTGCCCACATTTCAAGATGAGTTCCTGGAAAGACTTCAGATTTGAAAATCCCCAGGTCACGTAATGTTCCACTATATGCAGCATTTCTAGGCTGAGGGTGGAGGGGTGGGGAGGGGGTGACTTCTACAAAGACACCACTGAAAAATGTCTTCAGGCAAAGCCTTATGATGATTCTCTGCACCAGCAAACTCACATCATTAATCCTTTGGATGCATACAACAAAGGCCGAGGAGTGTTTATCTGGTTGTTCCAAGGCACAAGGTTTTACATCTAGTCATCTGAGTTGCAGCTTGTCACATTTATGCTGCCAAGAATCATATAGGAATAATTCCAGACACTTAAACCTGAGCCCTTTTCCTTTCCTCTGCTCCTTCTTTGCTAAAAGTGCCCTCTTTGACTGAGTGGCTTTGAGGACTTGATTTCCTAGGACCAAAGGAAATTTTATTTGGTCTTCTCCACCAACTTTCTAGTGCTGCAGCTACTGACCATGCCCTCCCCACTGTCATGTCTCTTCTTATAAGGGCAATAATCCCATCTTGAGGGCTCCACTTCTATAACCTAATCACCTCCCAAAGACCCATCCTTAAATACCATCACATTCAGTATTATAGTTTGAACATATGAATTTTGGGGAGTGGGGGATACAAACATTCAATCCATAGCAATGGACAACATGCTACCTTGAACCTTGAAAGGAGGTTCTTACCAGAAACCATCCAGAAAGGCACTAACTACCCCAGCACTACACTAACTAAACCTGTGGAGGTAGGGCTAAGTGTGGGCCTGGGGTGAGGGTGAAATGGGTTGTTACAATTACACAGTAATTAGTAACAAGGGCTCTGGAATGAGACCAACCTGTATTCATGTTTTCCACCAAGAAGCCTTGGGAAAATTACTTTACTTCTCTGAGGCTTCTCTATTAAAAAAAACTAAGGAATAATTCTACCCATCTGATAGGATTGTTGTGATAATTAAAGCCATATTTGTAGAATACATTGCCTTATCGCTGATAAATCATATGTGCTCTATAAGTGGTAGGTATTGACAATGATTGTTTTAAGGTGCAAAGTACATGACGCACAATCAAGAATGTTTATCTCTTTTCATCCAGATATTTTCCATGTAAGTTGTAGTCTTCAGACACGAGCCTTTTTTTAAAGGAGAGTAACAGTATATGTGAATCTAGTTTTCCCTCTAACTGTAAATTATTCCAGTAATTACCATAACCTGAAAAAAATCCAGGATGTTTGACCAGTTAAATAATTACTGTCAAACTTAGCCCACCTTGCAGCATATGTTCAATGTCTACAGTCAATGAAATTAGGTCAGGTATTAAACATTTAATGCATTATATTACATAACCAGCTTTTAAATCTGTTTATTTTAAATGCTATTCAGAAAATAACACTGTTTAACCTTGTATTTTAAGCTTAATACTCTGTCCTCTGGGACATCAGTGTTTCTCTGTCTGACCAAAGGAAAATGATGCTTGAGTATAAAATTTACCTTTTAAACTATATTATCACTTGGCTTTCATTAGTTATTAAGGGCTTTTTTAATGTAAGGTAATGTAAGCAACTTAAGTCTGATGCCATAAAGATGCTGTGTGGTCATAGAGAAATTGGACACTTTTTATTCTTGTATTGTTTGAAAATCCACTCGTATAACCAGAAATTAATTTGAGAGCTAGTGAACTATTTAAAGAACCCTCAGAAAATGATGGACTCCTAGGTGCCAACTACAAAGAAAAACATTTATAGGAAGACAGAAAGTGGTCCTTTGGAGACAGAAGCTTAATAATGCAGGGATACAAATATGAAATTGCCATAGTTAACACATGTATGGTCTAGCACACACTTTAAGAAAAGCTTAAATAACCTTAACAATTACTTTGCTTTTTCCCTTTTTCCTTTTTAACGTAGGCTTGTCTACTTTGGATGGATATTTTTCAATAGATCTTTCCCCCGATAGCTTATTAAGCTAAACATGATCCTTTTATTTGGAAAAGAAGGGCTGAAAATAAAATTAATTTGTTCATCAAAATGTTACATAGTTTACAAATTAAACCACTTTATGTACATGTTTCCAAACATTGATTGACACTTTTTAGAAATGTCAGTGCTATTTTCTGAAGTGCCTTTATCAATCATTATCAGCTTCAGCTGGAAGTAACAGGATCCCAACTGTTAAAGTGGCTTAAAGAATAGGGGCTTTCATGACTTCTCATAGTGAAGTCTGGAGTTAGATGCTCTTGTGTTGGCTCAGCAGTTACCAGTGTCATCGGGGACGCCAGCTTTCTCTACCTTTCAGCTCTGCTACCCTTTGCAAAAAGCAAAAAGACTGCCCTCACACCTTTTACCTGACAGTCACAGAGCCTCCCTGAGCTTCTGACGCCATGATAGGAAAGAAGAATGGGGGTTTTCCAGACTTTTCAGGGAGAAAAATCTTTTTTATAAATGATCCCAAAACCACCACCTCCTTCTCTTGCACCTCCCTCCTGCTAGCATATCCTATTGTCAGGTCACATACTCATGTTGCAGTATAAGGGAGGTTTGGAAAAATGAGCATCGGGTATTTGACCTCTGTCATGGAAGACAGGTTCTGCCAGCAAGAAAGCAGGAAGGAGAATGGTGATTGCGTAGGCATTAACAAAACCTAAGCAGAGGCCACACACATGGGAGACTGGCAATAAATTAATTGAGATTAATATCTATTAAACTCTTACTCTGGCCTAGTCATAGTTTTAATCACTCTATGTCCCACTTAATTATTACACCAATTTTACAGATGTAGCAACTGAGGCATAGAGATGTTTAATAACTTAGCTAAGGCCACACAGCTAGTAAGAAGCAGAGCTGGGATTTCAATCCAGGCAGACTAACTTCAAAGCCCAATCATTTAACCATTTATCCACTGCTTCCACATGATTGTGATAACACAGGATTAGCAGGTGAAGGCCAATGAAAGTCCATATAATGGAAAACAGAAGTGGCAGGAAATTTTGATATATTCTTATACTCTGGAATTTTATTCTTTTGGCTTTATTCCCTTCTTTGTAAGTAATCTACAATGTGTGACTCATTGCTATAATCTAGATTATGATAAGTCATTCAAATGGAGATAAAGCATGTGTGTGATGTAGTAACATTTAGGATAAGTTATGACACTAAAAAAATTACTCTTTTATTCTTTAAAAAGATAATATGCTTCTTGAAAGGTTTCTTTTCAAAAATGTGTCACTTACTCATAACCATTGTTTTTAAAAGACTCAATATTTTTGTAATATGAATATTTGATCTTGAATAAAATGTACTACATATTGTACACTTTTTGTTTTGGAAATTATTGCATTTTTAGTAACCAATTATAACATTACATCAAAAAATTGATTCATTTTCCATTTTCCTAGTTATCAGACTCTAAAAAATCTCTACTCAAAAATATCCCATTACTTTCTAATAGAGAAAAAATTAAAAACAGGTACATTGTGAAAGATAAATACTGATTTTTTTTTTTAACGTTGTTCCCAGCCGGGCGCGGTGGCTCATGCCTGTAATCCCAGCACTTTGGGAGGCTGAGGTGGGCTGATCACCTGAGGTCAGGAGTTCGAGACCAGCCTGGCCAACATGGTGAAACCCCATCTTTGCTAAAAATACAAAAATTAGCTGGGCATGGTGGAAGGTGCCTGTAATCCCAGCTACTCAGGAGGCTGAGGCAGGAGAATCGCTTGAACCTGGGAGGTGGAGGTTGCAGTGAGCCGAGATCATGGCATCGCACTCCAGCCTGGGGAACAAGAACAAGACTTCGTCTCCAAAAAAAAAAAAAAGTTGTTCCCTAGCCTTCGTGGGGAGTATAGAAAAAGGCAGAGGAGAAAGTACTCATATGAGAGACACTAAAAGAATTGGTGAGGAATGAGGAATGAGATCAAAGTGGTCTTAGTTTAAGCAGGACCTTCATTAGAATTTTCAAGCAAGCCAAAGCCAGACTCTTGGAATAATCAAAACAGGAGATTATTCAAGAAAACTGGGAACAAGTTAGAATGCTAGGCATGGTGGGATATGGGAAGAGCCCTGAGACCTTACTCTGAGACCTTGGCTATGCCCAGCTAGTTAAAGGGAAAATGGCAACTTTAGAAAATAGAGCTGACATGTCACAAGAAAAAGAATGTTAGAGGAGAAAATACTCTGACTTTGAATTCAGAAAAGAATATATAGAGGTGAACTCTAGTCCCTTTTGAAGGCCCCAGGAAGATGAGTGCCTTTGCCAGAATAGTCTTTGAAAGCTCTTATTGAAGAATCCCTTTTGGGGAGAGCAGTCGGTAAATGTCTGGGGTGGAGGGGAGCTCTTCTACTTCTCCTGTCTTGCCTGGGTTTTGAGTGAGTGGTGCTTAGGATTCAGAGGAGTAAGTCATGGGCTCTGTATGAGGCCAGGAAAGGCTTGTTTTGTTGATGGCTAGTTGGATGGTTTTACTTTTCAAAGTGAGGAAGAGAGATGAGAGATGAAGATCCCTCAAGATAGAAAGAGGCTGAGGCAAATTGGGAGCCAAGGAAGATCCACATTTGTGGAAAATTATTTAAAGAATGTTGCCAGCCAGGTGTGTGGTGGGTCACGCCTGTAATCCCAGCACTTTGGGGGGCTGGAGCGAGTGGATTGCTTGAGCTCACGAGTTCGAGACCAGCCTGGGCGACATGGCAAAACCCTGTCTCTACAAAAAATACAAAAATTAGCCAGGCATGGTGGTGTGCACCTGTAGTTCCAGCTACTCAGGAGGCTGAGGTGAAAGGATGGCTTGAGCCTGGGAGGTGGAGGTTGCAGTGAGCTGAGATGTCACCCCTGTACTCCAGCCTGGGCAACAGAACCAGACCTTATCTCAATAATAAATTAAAAAATAAATAAAGAATTGTCAGGTTCTAACTGAGGTCCGAGGGGAGTCAGTGGGTGAGTGGCAGGTAGCTAGAAAAACATTCGAGGAATCATAGGCAGTTTCGACATGGCTTTACTCTCTCTCTGGGCATGAGTGAACCATATGTACAGCGTTAGCAGGGTAATTAAACCTTTTTCAGACAATAGTGGCTCTGAGGCCTAATGCGCCTCATGTGGCATGGTTACATAATGTGTGGGGTTGTGCGCCTGCACTCCAAACCCACTGACTCATGCTGCACCAGAAGGCCACTTCAGCCTACTCCTGACTAAAGTGCAGCCATATCGCTTACACTCCACCCCCTAGGCTGAGGGCCTCCTCCAGGCAGGGACACGTGACCATAGGGTGGAGACCTGAATCCATATTCCACAACAACAATACAGACAGCAACAGCTCACTACTAGGATCCCAGCTATGCTACTTATGACTGTTAGGGCCCAGCACAGGCCAGAGCCTGGGGAATGCCACCATCTCTGCAGGGGGTCATCAGTAAGGCTCTCAACTGCCTTAATCTCTCATGAGACCCCTTACAGGGCTGCTGTTAAGTTCTGCTGATTGTCAGGGATAAAGGTACAATGCTGTGTTCCTAAAAAGACACAGGTGCCTCCTTGGGCAGCAGTTATTATGCCTAAGGCCATTCTGTTTTGCCACACCACCTTTCTGATCTGATCAACCTCATCCATTAACAGGAGGAGGGCCACTTGGGTGTAATTCAGAGCCCAAGTGTTGTGCTCTACAAGAGCAGTAACTTGTGCTTCTATAGTTATGACACCCACTCCAGGGATAGTCATTGCCAAGGGGTAGAACCACCAGGGGGCTCGTCGCATTTGCGAAAACAAAGAGCGTAGCACCTCCCAGTTACGCAGACATCTGGGCAACATGGAGAGAACAGAGGCAGGTACATAAGGCCACCCCCAGGTACAACATCCAATCCAGTCATCTGGTAGGTAAGGCCACCCTGTGTCCCCACAGACCCATAAAGTCTCAGGGGCAAAAAGTCCATTGGGCCTGACCTTGGTGGGGCCGCTTGTTCCATCCTACCTTTGGTGTGGTGACACATGTTATGTTTGCACAGGCCATGACGGGTACCCAACCCACAGTGGTGTTACCCCAGTGTTGCAGTGCCTGGGCCAGGGGTACTACATGTTCCCCCACTAGCCAGCCCCACCTGTCATAAACGCTACAGGCCAGCCAGGGGGTGGGTGCACCATGGGTCTTGCAGCATCCTTTGTCCAGAGCTTGCCACTTTGCATTCCAAGTGTCAGCTATGGGACCCCAAGTCTCCAACTATGTCCAGTTCTCTGCAGATGTGGAATGCATGTGCCAAGGCAAGCTATCCGCAGCTGCTGCTGGAAGGGTGGTGCAGACCCAACAGTTGAAAACATTGGTCACCTCAGCATAGGTCCACAATACAGTTGGAGCATGTTAACCTATGTCGAAGTGACAGAGCAAGCACAGGTACTAACGGGGGTAAGTCACGTCCCTCAGGCAAAATACAAGCTAACCTTTCATCCCTGAATAACAATGCAGCCCCCAAGCACTTTTGCCCTGGGCAATGGTACTACACCTTCTCAGCTCCCCATGGTTTCTTTGAGTCCTGTATCAGTGCCACAGTCACAGGGGAGCTCATAATAGGCCACACAGACAGTACATATGTGCCCCGGAGGAGGGCTCCTTCCCCGACCGCCCCACCATGAACAGCCAACCATGGGGGCCATGCATCAAACACCCAAGGAGCGACATGCAAGTCACACTGCAGGCCCTCCCCACAGGGAGCTATGATGGCCAGCCACCAGCAGTGGGGGACTTGGAGGGTCCACAGACACAGCCAGGTTTTCTGTTCTCCTGCCTTCAAGGGTGTTGGGGCAGGCAACAACAGGTTACCATAAGTCCCCATATCTGGTCAGAGGAGGTCATCCCTGGTATGTATCTGCAACTGAATGGGACAGTAGCCCAGTGTAACAAAGCCTCCACTGGGGCTGGGCCACCTTTTGGTGGTCATTCATTCAAGGTTTGGAGCACCATGTCCAGCCTGGAACTCCAGCCCTGCAAAGATGGGGGTGTGACATGCAAGCATAACCCATTCTTCAGGAGCCTGTTATATCCCTCAATCATACCCACAGCTTGTGAGTTGTATGGCACATGGAGTCCCCACTTTATGCCCATTCGTTGTGCCCATTTTTGTACCTGTTGTCCAGTGAAATGTGTTCCCCTATCACTCTCAATGGCCAGAGGGTAACCACACAGGGCACATAAGTGTTACAGGGCCTGAATGGTGTTCTGTTGGTTGACCACCCTGCAACGGTAGGGGAACAAAAGGCCTGTGGCCACGTCCACAGCCATTAGCACATGTGTATACCCTAGCAGCTTCCGTAGTGGCCTGATGTAGTCTACTTGCCACCTGGTCAAGGGCACTTGCCCTATCGTTACTGTTGTGTAACACTGGGCAGCTGCCTCTGATTAGGGTATGTCTGAGCACATGCTGGGCATTTCTGACAAGCGTCCCAAATATCTTGCATGGTCAGGGACAGATCCCAATCTATATTGACCTGTTGCATCAGTTTACCCCCGCATGTCCCAGTTTCTGGTGTAGCCACATGGCCACATCTCATGTAGGTGCCGACTCTAACCATCAGACCTTAGCCAAGACATCTGCCTCATCATTGCTGGGGGTAGCCAAAGGCCACTTATGTATTTTCCTTGTAGTTAACCACAAGGTTAAACCTTGATAGATCACCCAAATATCCATACAGATTACCATAGGTTTCACTTCCTTGGTGATCACCATCCATAGTGCTCTGTATTCAGCCCATTGGCTACTTTGTTCATACCCAGTTTCAAACCATATGGTGTCAGTACTAGGTTGGACTGCAACAGCGGTCCAGGCAGCAGTGGCACCTCAGCTAGACCCATCTGTGTACCATGCCACATCGGGAGTGGGGGCGACACCCTTCCTTAAATGAAGGCTGAGGGTCTAGGGGTGCCTCAGGCCTTATCTTGCATTAAGACTACAGGTCCCAAGACCTCTTGCAACTCTACTGCTAAGGGGCTTGTACTCAGCATACTCCACTGCTCCAAGTAGGCGCCCCACTTTGCCAAGGTGGATGTCTGTGCCATCCCAGTCCAGGGGGTCATTACCCATGATGCACCCATCCTGCTACTGGGTAAGTCATTCACACAATGACTGCAGCCGATCCTGTCACACTCTCACAAGCCTGAAGGGTGGCATATACAGCTGCTAGCTGTTTCTCTATCAAGGAATACCAGAGCTCAGCTCCCTTCCATAGAGATCAGAAGCCTGATAGCATTCTCAAGCACTCCTTGTGCTGCCACAGGTCCCAGCTGAAACCATCTGTGGTCACATGCACATCCAGCTCAAATGGGTACCCCTGGTCAACTACCTGTAGGGCTTCTGCTGGCTGAATAGCCTGCTTGGCTGGCAGGAAGGCAGTCTCAGCCACATCATCCCAATCCCAGGTAGCTCCCTTCTTTGTTATTCAATGCAATGGTTTTATCACTTTGAGCTAAATTGGGCACAAATGCCCACCAATATCCCAGGAGGCCCACAAAAGTTTGCAGGTGATTCACCGTGGTGGGGTGGAGATATGCCTGAATCTTATCAATGATAACCTCTGGGATGGCCTTTGTCTCACCTGACCAGATAACTCCTAATAATTTGGCAGATAATCTAGGCCCTTGGACCCTGGATTCATTGACAGCCCAACTGCATGCTGCCAAATGTTGCTGCAAGAGGGGCACTGCCACTTCTAAATCAGCAAGAGAATCAGAGGTTAACATAATATCATCAACATAATGAAATAGGTGGGCCCTTTCTGTACATTGCCAAGCAGCTAAATCTGTGGCAACTAGACCGTGACATTTGGTGGGGCTATGCACATAGCCCTGTGGCAACACTGTAAAAGTTCATTGTCCCCCGTCTCACATGAAGGCGAACCGTTCCTAGCTTTCTGGAGTGATGTCTGTGGAGAAAAATGTATTGGCCGAGTTCACTACATAGTGGTACTGTCCCAGTTCTGTCATCAAATGGTCCATCAAATCCATTATTGATGGTACAGCTGCATGCAAAGGGGATGTTACTTAGTTTAGTTCCCGATAGTCCACCATCATCCACCAAGTTTCATCAGGCTTTCTATCTGGTCATACTGGAGAATCGTAGGGGTTGTAGATGCCACACACTATCTGCACCTCCTCCAGCTTCTTAATTGTCTCAGTCATCTCTGTATGCCCACCCGGCAAATGGTATTGATGAATGGAAGTAACCCATTGGGGTTGTGGCAGGACCTGAGGCTGGCGATGCATATGTCCATGCAGCACTGGCTTCACCACATGCCCTTGGAGTCTGAATTACTTTGCCGTGGTTTGTAACACCAGGCCCTGTAAAATGTCCACCCCCAGAATGTATTCCAGTATGGGAGACACATACACAATATATAAGCGGAGAGCCAAACATCCCATGCCAAGGTACGATACAGGCTTCACTTTCATTGATCAGCCACCATAACTGTCAATGTAAGCAGGTTTGCCTGGAAACTTATCCAGGTTCCCATAAACAAGCCTGCAATCTGTGCCAGTATCCGCCAGCGCCAGCACCCGCTGTACATTAGTGGGGGAGCAGTGGATTGCTAATTCCATACGTGGCCTCCAGTTATCTAGTGTCCCTGCAAGCTGGGGACCTCAGCCAGTTCCCTAATCAAACAGAAAAGGCTCCACATTTCCACCCGGCTGAAGCAAGTAGTCTTTGAGCTAAAGTACCCAGGTGGGACCGGGTGGCACCGGGTGGCGCAGCAACGTCCTTCTCCCCCTTGGGCATTTTCTGGAATTGCTACTCTGAAGACAACTATCTTCACAAAGTTAAGAGTACTTCATTGGGCTGCTTATCAATTTTCTCTCATCCAATCCTGGCCAAAATCAAATCTATCTACATCTGTGAGCATGTCACTCATTGTGGCCCCCTTTTCTCCCATGGTGGGGACCCTATGGGCAAGACGTCTTCCCCTTCTTTACTGTGTGGAGCCCTTGGTCCCACCAATGGCCTTCTGCTTCTCCAAGAGCTGCCACAGCAGGAGTCACTTCATGTATGCAGCATCCTACGTATGGGGTAAGGACAGCAGCTAGGAAGCCAAAGGCACTTGGGAGCACAGAACCCAACATGAGATCCCTCATATGGGAGGTGAAATGTTCATCATCTGGCCCCTGGGTATTCAGGTCAAACATAGTGTGATGGCTAATACTGAGTGTCAATTCGCTTCAATTGAAGGATACAAAGTATTGATCCTGGGTGTGTCTGTGAGGGTGTTGCCAAAAGAGATTAACATTTGAGTCAGGGGGCTGGGAAAGGCAGACCCACCCTTAATCTGGTGGGCACAATCTAATCAGCTGCCAGCGAATATAAAGCAGGCAGAAAAACGTAAAAAGGAGAAAACAGGCCTAGCCTCCCAGCCTACATCTTTCTCCCATGCTGGACGCCTCTTGCCCTAGAATATTGGACTCCACATTCTTCAATTTTGAGACCTGAACTGGCTCTCCTTGCTCCTCAGCTTGCAGACAGAGTTTACTACTTAATAAACTCTCATATATATATACATATATATATGTATGTATGTATATGTATGTATCTCCTATTAGTTTTGCCCAAGAGAACCCTAATACACATAGCCTGCTGCATACCTATCTCCCAGCTGACTTGCATCAAATTGGCATACAACTTCCATTTACTCATGGTTTCAAGTATTTCACTGGTGTCGTTCCACACCGTCCGTATGGCTGCCCATAGCCACTCAATCAAGGTGTGGTCACCTTGCCCTTGTGTCAGCCACCAGCTAACCTGCAACCGCTGATGGAGGGAGAGGTGAGTCGTGATAGAGGCCATCTTTTCCATCTCAGAGGCAGAAGAGGTGATACTGTCTGCTCCCTCATCCCATAAATGAAGCATCCAGATGAGCAGAGTTTCCCCTGGATGCTGACGGCACTGCTTGCCTAACTCTCACAACTCAGTTGGGGTATGGGCAGTATTTGAAGTATGTTGCATTACAGTGGTGGGTCTCTGAGCCTATCCTTGGGGCCCCAGTGGCTGTTCATGTTCTACCTTCTGATGGGCCACTGGGTGAGCCCACAACAGGGGTTCTTCCTCCTCGGTATCTGACCAAGTGGGGGTCTCTGGCTGAGACAACAGACCCAGGCCTGCATTCACAGCAGCTTTTTAAATTTAATTTTATTTTCTTGAGATGGGGTCTCACTCTGTCACTCAAGCTAGAGTGTAGTGGCGTGATCTCAGCTCACTGCACCCTGCACCTCCCAGGTTCAAGCAATTCTCCTACCTCAATGGCCCAAGTAGCTGGGATTACAGTGGAGCACACCATGCCCAGCTAATTTTTGCATTTTTAGTAGAGAGGGGATTTCACCATGTTGGCCAGGCTGGTCTCAAACTCCTGACCTCAGTTATCCACCCGCCTTGCCCTCCCAAAGTGCTGGGATTACAGGTGTGAGCCACCCCGCCTGGCCCACAGCAGCTTCTAATTCCTTTTCCAAGTGCTGTAGCCAGGACTTCAGGCACCCTGCCTACACCTGGAGGTCCCCATTCATGGCAGCTTCTAACTCTTTTTCTGGGCTGTGTAGCCAGGCCTCCAGATGCGCTGCCTGCATCTGGAGGGTCCTTATCTGCATTGCATCCCTCAGGGACTGGGTGTGTACTTCTCGTAGTGCAGTCAAAAATGCCCATCCAACTCTGCCAGCAAAGGCTCGCTCCTTGGTGGTCTGTGTTTCCAGCTGCTTCAGCACCTTCTCCATGCTCATGGGGGACCCAACTACTGCCGCCCAGGTTTCCACCAGAACAAATCCAAGCAGAACAGCCACCAAGGGGTACCACAACCCATGTTGCAGCCACATGGCCAACCTGGAATCAGTGGGGGACCAAAGGCTCACTCTCCTCAGGATCCTGTTCATGATGCCAATTGTCAGATTCTAACTGAGGTCTGAGGGGAGTCGGTGGGCAAGTGGTAGGTAGCTGGAAAAACATTGAGGAATCATAGACAGTTTTGACATGGCTTTACTCTCTCTCTCTGGATGCGAGCAAGCTGTATATACAGTGTTAGCAAGGTAATTATACCTTTTACAGACAATAATGGCTCCAAGCCAAGCACGAGCTCACATGGGTGATCACCTAATGCACCTCGTGTCACGTGGTTACATAATGTGCAGGGTTGTGCCCTGTGCTCCAAACCCACTGAGTCATGCTGCACCAGAAGGCCACCTCGGCCTGCTCTTGACTAAAGTGCAGCTATTTCCCTTACAAGAATGTTGCCATTTTCACTGACTGCTTAAGTTTTATTTTTTTCTGTGATATAAATACCTCTCCAGTTTCCCTAAGAACTCTTTTTTTTTTTTTTTTTTTTTTTTTTTTGAGACGGAGTCTCGCTCTGTCGCCCAGGCTGGAGTGCAGTGGCGGGATCTCGGCTCACTGCAAGCTCCGCCTCCCGGGTTCACGCCATTCTCCTGCCTCAGCCTCCCGAGTAGCTGGGACTACAGGCGCCCGCCACTACGCCCGGCTAATTTTTTGTATTTTTAGTAGAGACGGGGTTTCACCGTTTTAGCCGGGATGGTCTCGATCTCCTGACCTCGTGATCCGCCCGCCTCAGCCTCCCAAAGTGCTGGGATTACAGGCGTGAGCCACCGCGCCCGGCTCCCTAAGAACTCTTTAGTAAAGTCTAAATTGCTGCAAACACAGTATATACATGGTTCTTTGAGAAATTCCAAATACTACATTTAAGACAATGTAGTGAAACACAGAAGCAGCAGGTGTGGATCTGGGAAGCAGGAGTTTTGAGAAATCAAGCATACAGCATAGTTGCAGAAATTTAGGAGGGGCTTGATCTTCCATGGGCCATGAAATTGACAGAGGTAAAAGCCAATTATACCTACTTCTCTGGGGAGCAAGAGAACTCCAGCTGACAGTACTGATAATTATACTAATTAATAATTACTGTAGAATCAGCTGCCATTTATGGAGCATTTATGGATGAGGCATTAAGAACCACAGCCTTATAAGCTTAAACTTGAACTACATTTTTGTCATTTGACTACCAATGACTATAGGTCTCAGATTATTTTTGTTGTTGTTTCTCATTTTATCTCATCTCTTGTCAATCAGCATTACATTAAGCCCATTTGGGCAGCCAAAGAAGTATGATCCTTCCTCTTAATAAGCCTATAAGCTGAAGGGCTCTTATTTCACCCACACAGCAACAGTATTTAATAGGGAGAGGAAAGGAAATTCCAGGAAAGCTGAACGAAGAAGACAACCCAACCTGCTGTCTGAGCTTTGTCTCCATTCCTCACTCGCATTACAGTTACACCCTCCAACTGGCCCCCACTCCACCTGCGGCCTCCGCCCATCGACTTTCAACTCAGCAGCCAGAGTGGTCCTTACAAAAAGAACGTCTGAAGGTCATACTATATCACTCTGCCAAATTTACCACTGAGTCCCCATTTTACAGAGTAAACTCCCATCCTTTACATAAAGTTGCAAGCTTTGCATGATCCGTGCACCAGAGGCCACCTGGATGCTTTAGCCTCTCCAGAGCCAGAGATTTCACCTCCTCTCTCACTCTGCTGTCCTGTGCCCACTCCACTGCAGCACCAGCCAGTCTCAGCCTCTTGCCCTTCTACCTGCTCTGTTTTACTCTAGGGTAGTTGCGTGATTCCTCCCCTCACTCCTGATAATCTTATCTGTGAGGCCTTCCTCATACCACCTAACACAAAATAGGAAACCCCAACTTCCACCTCTCATTGCCTCCCCACCTTATCTGATTTCTTGTATGGCCACTAGATATTACATTATATTTCTTTGTTGTCTCTCTCCCTTCTCTGGCATGCAAATTCCATCATGACAGGGATTTGGTTGGTTTTGTTCATTCATATCCAGCACGTAGAAAAGTGCCTGGCATCTAGTAGGAACACAGTTTTGTTTTTAACAGCTTTATTGAGATATAATTGACAGAATTTTACTTTTGAGTGAATGAATGAACGAGTGTGCAAAAAGAGAGAGTAAGAAAAGTTAAGGGAGCAGTCCTCTCCTGAGTAAGGCAATCATTGAAAATCACTTGTTAGAGGCTATGTGTTGCAGATCACTGAGGAAGCATAAGAAATTAAAAAAAAAGTGTCCATTAAAACAATCTTATCATGCCTCACATATGATCAATAAGAAACTAGACGGATTGAACTGGAGGCCAAGAGGGGCAGGGCAGGGTTTTAATAATAGAGAAGTGATTGTGAATTTTAGGATTCCAAAACCTACAGATCAGTGGGTTTTTTCATTTGTTTGTTTGTTTTTAAAAACAAAACAAAACAAAAAAACCCCACACAGTTCTTTGCAGTTGTTTCTTTACAAAGAATATTTAAACAATGGTGTCACCATAACTAACGCAATGTTTTTCTCCTGAGTTCTGAAGAATACACAGGCCTTTTCCATAGAAGGTAAAAATGTGTTTAAAGACTATAAAGACTACCTCTTTCTGGTGTAAAGGCTATAAACACGAAGTAAATCCCTAGACATTTCCCAGGAGCTTTCCTGACCCAGAGGTTACTTCAAGTATGGCCCAAGGACCAGTGGCTCCAGCCACATAAATACATTTCCAATATATATTTCATATATTAGGTTGAGTTTAGCGTAAGTTATTAATGTTTATCATAATGATTTATTTATTCTTTATGGGCAATCCTCACTTATTAAAGATGTCATTGATTGGCTGAAATTAATAATTCCCTGTTAATTCACAATTTATATTTTAGTGGTAACTATAAAATAAAGGCTGCATCAGTCACAAATTAATTTACATTTGTATTGGAAATGTAAGGGAGCATAATGGAAGTTTAATAGACATGTAGAATATTGGTCTCATCTTGACCCACTGAGTCAGAATCTGCATTTGAATAGGTGATTCTTGGGTATAATAAAACTTGAAAAACACTGTTCTGGACAGCTTTTGGTACATTTTAGAAGGGAGGTCTGTGCAGGCCCATTCTGTTGCTGAGAATTTATTTAGAGATTCATAGCCCCAGATACCTGCACCCCAAGAACAGAAGGGGGAGCCCTAATCCCCCAGTTGCCAGTTGAAAAACTGGTTATAGTTGCTTCCTGTTCTTCACAGGGCAGGTAATGTGAAATGGAGTATTAGAAGCAGCAGAAGTAGAGGAAGGAGAACAAAAAATACGTGCTACTCCTTCCCAGTGGGGTTGCGAGCAAGAGGAGAATCTGGCAAATCCCTGGGGTCTCAGAAACATACGGAGGCCACTGTCAGAGCAGGAAGCAATCAAGGGGAAACTAGGGAAGAACAGAGTCGAAATCTTGTTCTTCTACTTCTGTGTACTGTTCTGAGTCTCCCTGGTTATTTTTCATCTCTTTAATAAATTGCCTACACTTCTGCTTTCTCTTTTTTTTTTCTCTCAAAAGTAACAGTAGTAATAATGATAATATCTTATATCCACATGATGCTATATACTCTCTGGTATATAGTAGATATAACAGTCTTTTACGAAAGGCAAGTTTAGGCTGTTTTGCAAATGATAAATGTTCCATACACTTTCTCCCATTTTTAATTGGGTTATCATTAAAAGTATTTCTTGTTTTTCATTCATTTTGGCAAATTTTGGAGGGTTTCGGTGTGTTTGTGTGCACACAGGATAATTTGTTGAGTTATTGCCAAAGTGAATTGAATGAGGAAAGTGAGGAAAAATACTACCATTAAGTAGATCAACCCCCTTATTTTGAAGGTGACAAAACCAAGCCACAAGAGTTTAGGTGATGTGACTTGGATCCTATAGCAAGTGAATAAAACCAGTATCTCCCATTCTTTACATTCCACAGTACACTCTACTGATATGCATGGAATAAATTTTAGAGAACCTGTGAGCTAAATCTTAACCTTGTGTCCAAGACAGATCTCACCTAAATGGTCCTTTAAGAAGATAACTACTCTTACTATTCTTTAATTTCCACAGAAGCAGAATTTATAAGTTCCTGTGACTCATGAGATACAGTATGATTAAGAAGGGCTTTGAAAAGTGCAAAGCACCATACAAACATGAGAGATTGTTTCTAATAATGACCGGTGCCCATAAGCCTTTATTGCCGAGAGTGTCTTTACAATATCCAAACTCAGTGCCTCCTTCTGCAATGTGAGACAGTCTCTGTTTTGTTCAACTTTGGAATCTTTTCACCATCAGGTTCTCAAGCAGCTATCTCTGAAACCAACTGGCTTATCCTGACATGCTCAATTCTGAGTTTATGTTTCATTGTGTTTCACCTTTGCGCTTGATCTCCATGCTTTGACATGGTGGTGATTTGACAATACAAATGGCTTCCCAGACCCTATCTGGACCATCCACTTTGTTCCTTTGCTTTGAAAATGAGTCTAAATTTGAAGGAAATTGGATAAAGGAGGTAGGAAATGTACCATCTGGGCCCTTGGCAAACTGTGTTTTGTTTAAATTCTTAGTCTTGACAATTTGTCTCTCTTCTTTTCTGATTTATTTCACAGGGATTACATAAACTAACGTGGCCCATGAGCTGTGTAGCCCAACCGTACAGTGTACTACACTTTCCTCTTCTAAATGGGATTGTTGAAACCAAAGCCTGAGAGGAACTAATCCAAAATTTTCTTTGATTTCCCCAAAATGTCAAATCTCCTGACTTCTCTGACACCAATTGGATGTTTTATTCACTTAGACTGTGGGTCTATACCAGCTGACTCCATGAAAAAAATAGACAGGCCCTTCTGGGGCCAGGTTGAACTACAGAGTCAGACAATGAACAAAGATGTGCTTTAGATTCTTCAGTTACTGAAATTGAATAACTCTTATTTTCTTGAAAGCAGAATAAAAGCAAAGCAGATTCCTAGAGTTTATATAACATTGAAATAAACACTTAAAAACTGTATTCCTCCTTTCTTTTCCTTTAGGTATATTTCCTTTCTCAGATATTATAAAATCTAAAATCTATGGCTATGACCAGTTAATTTTTGTTTAATGAAAGGATAAAAAGTTCACTTTATTGACGAAGTCACACTTCACAAAAAGATGCTGTGCTCAGTATAATTTCTAATTCCTTTACTCAATTTCATTTTCTCCACCTTTTCAGGCTGTAAGGTCAGCCTGATGAAAGAAGAAGGCAGTAAAAAGAGACCTTCAGCTGGCCCGGTCCCAGGCCTGGTTGCTGATAACAAAAAGGGCTCTGAATTAGACGTTTAAAAAAAATCAGATAGATAAGAGTAGATATCATGCCTAGACTCTCAACCCGGGCTAAGCAAAGCCTGAGTGAGCTTGTTCAGGTTTCAACCCAAGTGAAGCTGGACAAAATTGTTCATTTGTAGCTGTTCTTTATAAAGTTGCATGCACTCTCTAGCCAATATTTTCCACCCTCACATCCCAAGGGAACCATAGTAATGATAAAAACAAGTGGAGAGAGTGCTGAATATCAGTCCTCAATCACTCCCTCCCATAGCAAACAACCTATACAAGTGTCATGAAAAACTTCCCTGAGTGTTGGCAAAAAGCCGCTCTTGCAGTGTGCTTACGAGTTTAGTTTTTGAGCATATTGGTTTATCGATGGGAATATTTGTATTCTTAAAATCACAAGAGGTTGGCATAAGAAAATAAACTGCCAGGGATATTTGAAATGAAGTGCATTGTTCTGCTCAATGAGTCACATTTACAGACAGAGCCTTTGGAGCTGCCACACCTCTGGCCTTCTACTCTGAAGACACAGTGAACAAGCAGAAAAAAACTAGGGCTGGGAATTCAGTTTGGGAGAAAAGGCAGCTAAGCTGACCTTTGAACTTTAGGGTAAGACCCTTGGGCAGCCACGTAATGACCAGCGCCATCCCATTCTTCAAGGAGAGCACCATACTCAAGCACTGCCTGTCAAGAGGGAGCAAGAGGGAAACTGCTCTAGAACAGAGGAGATGCCTTCTAGAAAACAAGGGTGGGGGAAAGAATTTTTACACTATAACCCGGGGCTCCTTCACTATCTTGTTTTATTTACTTCTCCTGACTCCATTCATTCAGTCATTCAACAGAGAGTTTACTGAGATAGGTGCTGGGGAAGTACTGAATGAAAACAGACTCCATCCCTTCCTTCATACAGCAGGAAGCTGACAATCAATTATACAATATAAATTTGACATTGTTACCATGATCATACTGCAAAGGTGAGTTATCTGATGCTATGGAAGCATGAAAGAAGGGAATTTGACTTAGTTATGGAGCTCAGGCCAGGCTTCCAGGACACAGCTGGAATTTGAAGGAAAAGCAGGTGAGAAGAAGCATGAGAAAATGATTCAAGCAAGACAGCAAGGGGAAAAAAATTCCCTCAACATCTGTCAACATTGCAGTGCAATATCAAAGCCCAAGTTCAGAAGACTCCAACCTTGCTGGGAAGAAGAGTGACATCACACTGCCCATGAAGATGTTGAAAACAGACAATGTTGGTGAAATCCCTGTTGAGAGCAGGGACAGACCGTTTCCTAAATGCTACACTCCCCTCCCCAGAAATGTTCCGAGACGGGGCCACAGCAGGGAAGAGTCACAGGTTTTGCTTGCTGTGGACCTCTGACGCTGTGAATAAAACTTTTTCTTTAGTTTTACAATAGATGTCACTGTGCGGCATTCTTAAACACAAAGAAGAGGGAGAAACGAGGTTACTAAGATAATTTAGTAACTAAGAGAGAACATGATATATTGAAAAACAGTGGAATTTGGAGTCAGTTGGTTCATTCTAGTACGATGATAATACTCCCAACCTTGAACAAGTTACTTAGATTTTTTTGAACATTAGTTCTGTCACCCATAAAATAGGCATAATAAAATCCATCACTCAAAAAATGTTAGTTTCTTCTCTCATTGGCTAATTTTCATAATCAGAATTTCCAAGACTCATTATTTTCATTTGAAAAGTACAAATTATACCTGCATCAGAGTATTGATATTTAAATGAGTTCATTTGTAAACTTTAAAGCATGAGGTAAATATCAGGTATTATGAATCAGTCATAAAATATTTGCGATGGTTACTATATATTAGATCCTGTTTTTGGTCCTGGAGAAATGGAGGGTTGACTGAAGCAGGGCCTTGCCCTTAGGAGAGAGCTGAAGGAGAAATCTATTCTTCTTCCTGAGGCAGAGAGAAAAGGTAGCAAGGCCAGAGGGAAAGGGCTGCACAGGCACCCAAGTTCCTGGCAGTTGGCCCTCTCTGGGGGATATCTGATATCTGACCTCCAGCCATCAGCTGAGAGCTTGCCCAGACTATCTGACCCAAGGGCTGTAGGGACTGGGCTGCAGAATGGATTTCTAAATCTTCAAAATAAACAGGCAAGGAAATCTTGCAACAAATGAAAAATGACTTGAGGGCAGTAGAAAGTACTTGTGCCAACTGATGGAGGAGGTTATGAAAAATGAGGAGAGGAAAATCACTATAGACTTCTGTGTTTCTACTGCAAGTGGATTGAACAGTCCAGATATACTGATTTCCAGCCCATATTTCCTGCTTTTAAGCTCCTTTGGTCTTATTTCCCTCTTCTTTCTGAAAAGTTATAAAATGAATGAAGGGCAGAATGTTTCTTGCCCAACCATGATTCAGGAGGCAGCTCAGCCACAGAACAGGCAAGTGTAGCATTGCCTGGAGGAAAAGGACTTGTAGAGGCAGGTCCCAGATGGATCCACCCCAGACTTTTCAAAGAAGACACCTCCTTCATCTTGTGTTCTAAAACCTTGCAAGTTCAGGAAGAAACCATCTGCATCCATATTGAAAACCTGACACAATGTATGCAGCAGGCTCAGTGTGAGTGAACTGGAGGCTTCTCTACAACATGACCCAAAGGAGCATTGCAGGTCCTATTTGCAACCTGAAGTTTGTGACTCTCCTGGTTGCCTTAAGTTCAGAACTCCCATTCCTGGGAGCTGGAGTACAGCTTCAAGACAATGGGTATAATGGATTGCTCATTGCAATTAATCCTCAGGTACCTGAGAATCAGAACCTCATCTCAAACATTAAGGTGAGTGGAAATTATGAAATTGATACTAGCATCCCATTTGATCAGACCTGTAGCCTTATTTAGAAGCTAACTACCCTGCCTGGTTTGTATTTGAGTAATACAGAGAACAGCATTTTTAAAAGATAGCGCCACAACGTTATGATTATGGCTAACTAAGCCAGTTTGTTCATCTAATTCTGTGTAGTCTCAGCTCACAGAGTGTTGATCTAGCCCTCTATTTTGTTATTGTTGGTTGCTACTAATTTCAGCTCTTTTGTTTTCCTACATGACTGTTTTTGGGGTAGCAACTTAGAAAAATAACAACCCATTGTGGCAACAAAGATTGAATATTTAACTGATGAATAAGCATGATAATGAGCATGCTTGTTAAAATCATATTGCTAGATTCCATCCTGAGGGTGAGAATTCTCAGGCAGAAAGGGTGAGAGTCTGCACGGTGGGCCAAAAAGCAAAATTATTTCTTTTCACTTGAATGTGCTGTAACATAATTGACTATTTTTACTTTAATATGGCAAGGGAGGATCATAGCTCTATGATGTAAGAGCCTCCATTTAGTATTGCTTTAGTGAAATCAGTAGCATCATAAGGTGTGGTCTTGAATGTGCCCACAGGTGTGACATGAAAAGGATTTGTTCCACAAAAGCTTAAAAGCCTTTCTCAAAATTGGGAAAACTATGAAGGCAAGCACAGACATATAATTAGTGTCCTAAAATCTTCCATATAATCATTTAAAGTTTTTTTAAAAATTTGCTCCTATGTTTTCCCAAAGTCTAGGGCTTTCTCTAAAAGAAATGGGTCTCTTCAAAATATTTCATTGTCTTTTATTACTGTTTAAGCATACCAGAAAACCAAAACATACAGGATTTACAAGTGGTAAAGTAAGTTTTTCTTTTGTCTGGCTGTAGGAAATGATAACTGAAGCTTCATTTTACCTATTTAATGCTACCAAGAGAAGAGTATTTTTCAGAAATATAAAGATTTTAATACCTGCCACATGGAAAGCTAATAATAACAGCAAAATAAAACAAGAATCATATGAAAAGGTAAGAATCCAGGATTTCATTCAATGATCTCAAGGGGAAAAAAAACACCAAAATATACTGTGCTCAAACGATAAAAGTGAGAAGTTAAGTAAAAACAAATCATCAGTATTAACAATGCAAATAATATTAATGGGCAGAATGTTATCAACAAAATATATGAGAATAAATGAATGCAAATTGTGCAGTAAAAAATGAGTCAAATGCCATAGCCTAAGTAGTTTCTCAGAAGATCTCTTTATTTTGTAACTTATGGAGTACTTTCTGAAAAGTTTGGTTGAGGATCAAGAACTAGTTTTATCCTACTGAGGATGAGCTGCAAAGGGAACAGTTCCAATTATGACTATACCCATTTACCATCCTGTCAGGAGCAATAAACATGCATGTCCAGACAGAAATATAAACCACCATGCATATAAAAATATGACTGCCATCTTATGCCATGGTGTAGATTATCAGAATTTCACATTAGCTCAAGTCCAGAATATTGTTTTAGGGGAATAAGGAGATTAGAAGGAAGGGAGGAAGGATGTGGGGATGTGGATGAGTAGGGGAATGGCTACCTTTTTTTTTCCACCTATAGAGGAACTTCACCTTGAAAGGCTCTCATAAGTTGCAGATCATGATTAAGCACCCATGATGATGTCTGGTACATACTAGTGTGCACACTATAAATAAATGATAAATAATATAAATGGTAAATCACTGTTTGAAGTCAACTGTGAACAAGAGTCCATTGCAGCTACCAGAAGGGCCAGAAGTAGAGGCATTGGCAACTTATCTCAGGGTTTCAGCAATGGAGTGGGTTTGAGATTGTAACTACATCTCTAACAGAATGACTCAAACATGTGGTACAGCTTTCCCCTTTCCTTATTTCTGACCCTCAGTATGAAATTTCCTAAGTCTGTTTCATTCTTAGCTCTCCTTCAAAGCTACTCTGTCAGAAATTGAATGGTATAGCAATCCAGATAGGTACCCCAATGTCCTGAAGAAGTTAAAGAGCCTGTGAAAAGCATTTGACCTATGACCAGATGAAAGCATTTGAGAATGCTTGCACATGAAGATAGGATAGGTGGGGGAACTGGGGTAAGCTGGGAAGAGTTAGTGTTTAAGCTCCAACTAAGTGCCAGGCATTTTACATATATTATTTAATTCTCACATAACTTAAAATTAGTTTCTGTGATCACAAATTAAAACACTGGGGCTTGAATAAGGTATGGACTTTGTCCCAAATCTAACAGCTAGTAAATTACAGAGCCATAATTTGAATGTCTATTTGCCTCCAAAACCCATGCTTTTTGCACTAAGCTTTGTTGTCTCTAGCTGTCAATAGAGATTTAATGCATCTATTGGGCCTTCAATAGAACTAAGAAGTATTGGAGACAACAAACACCAAAACCAGGTTGCCATAGGTAACACTTGATCCTAATGGAGGGGAGAGAAATAAGTAAAGCAAAAGTGAAAATATGAGTGAACGGAAAGACCAAAGGAAACAATCGTCCCTGGATGCTGTTCATTTATCTGTTGGATACCAATTCTTTAACCTCAGAATGTCAATTAAGCAAACAGTGAATGATCATTATGTACGGGACCACGCTAGGCACTTCAGAGAACCCAAGGACCAGCAAGGTAGTTCCTGTCCTTCCAAGTCTACAATGAGATGTAGGTAGGAATCATGGAAGGGGGAAAGGGTTAGGAAAAGTAGATAAGAGCTGAATTACTGTGGTCTATAAGGTATAAAGTAACCCCAAACAGCCTCTGAGTATTCCATTCCATGAAGGGCACTCTTTCCTTTTGGCCTCAGGACAAATTTTCAGACATAGGAATGAGGTTTTACCCAAGTGAGGACTATCCAAGAGTGTGACCTCTTCAGCCTTTTTTGTAGGTACTTCCTTGTAATGACCTTGGCTTGAATTCTTATCTTTCTAAAAATAAATGTTAATTATTATAAAAGTAATTTATACTCATTGAAAAAAATTAAATAATGTAGAAACATGGAAAATAAAAATGAAAAATTGTATTGTCCTCTTCTTCTCAGTGGCACACACACAGACACAGATGGACACACATACATACACACACACACACACACACACACACAAAACACATATACATATTGTACATAGAGTGATAATTGTGTATATTGGATCGTATTAGATCTATTTTTCTAAAATCAGCTTTTAAAAAAACTTAACAGCATATTTAACTTTTAAGTGCATATCCAGAACAATCTGTCATCTTTCTTCCCAAAAATAAAAGAAACAATGTTATATATAACATTTTCTTGTCTTGATAGTTATATGAGTGGATATTTCAGTTTTGGACTTAAAATCTGTTTTAGCAACAGTAATGGAAATGGTCAGGCCATAAGATGAAATATAACTTCATTGGAATGATCGTTTTGCTGATCTAATTGGTTACAGGAAAGAAAGGACAAATTTTCAAAGAAATAATGTTCTATTGTCTTACACCAATAAAATAACCCACAGAAAGTTGTTCACAAAAGGCTGTAACATTTTACAGCCTTCTGAATGGTTCTGAACGATGTATAAATGCTTTTAGAATTTCTTCAAATATTTTAATTGCATTTTATAGTGTTTTGTTATATCAGACTTTTACAGGATTGACTTTTGAGAATATTTTAATCTGGAATGTGGAAAGATCAAATGGAAGTAATTAGGTTCCATAAAAATTTGCTAAGCTTTCATAACATAGACCTTTTTGGAAATCCCAAGTGATTTTATTGATATGTAGCTGTGGGTGCATTTTAAACTCCATCCACAAGGTGTTTTTCTTCAATTTTGTTTTTAAATTGGGTTATAATTACATACAATAAAATGCACACATCTTAAGTGTACAGTTCAAAGTGCTTTAATGAATGTATACATTTATGTCACCAACAACAGAGCTGAGAAAGTATTACAAGGCATTTCTTTTAATTTAGGCAAATGTCATAGTGACTGACTGGTATGGGGCACATGGAGATGATCCATACACCCTACAATACAGAGGGTGTGGAAAAGAGGGAAAATACATTCATTTCACACCTAATTTCCTACTGAATGATAACTTAACAGCTGGCTACGGATCACGAGGTAAGTGGGACCAATAAAACAATAGCCATTGGACAATACTACTTATAATATTCTGTGCTTGGTGCTGAAAGGGACTCACTCACAAAACCTGAAACTTGTCAAGGACTTACCACTCAAAGGGGGAGATAGGTCATATGCCCATGCAAAGATGAGGGGCTAAAGTGAACTCGAAAGAGTTTAGCACCAGATTAGTGGCCCAGAGAGGAGTGCTATAAGAATTCAATCAAGGAAACGTCATTTAGAGTCAAGGGTGGTCAGAAATGTCCTCACAAAGGAAAAGGTCTTCAAGATTGAACATCATTTTGATAAATGGAAAGAAGGGAGAAAATAGTGGGAAGACTATGAAGAAAACTGTGGCAGCAGAAAAATTAAAGGCATATAGGAGAGACAGAGACCCTGATGATGGTGCAGGGAGACTGTGGGCAGTGGGAGAAAACGTTGAAACATACATGAGGGCCAGGTGATGCACTAAAATGGCCACATTTTCAAGTCACCACTCAAGGTTTCTAAGCACAGGAGTGACTCCATCAAAGCAGTGTTTTAAGATTAATCTGGCTTCCTCTGATCAATGAAGGAGAAACTGGATATCAGGAGAATAACTGGGAGAAGTCGAGGTATGAGGCCACAAGACTTAAAAATGGGTGGAGACAGTGAGATGGGAAGGATAGTAATAAGGACACTGAGGATTTCCTATGCGCTAGCCGCTCTGTGGTTTCCTTTTCAAATGTTATCGTACTTAATTCTAGCAACTCTAAGCGATGAGAAATACTCCAGAGATAAAAAACAAAAAGAGGTCTGAACTGCTGCAGAAGGAAAGGCAAGAGGCACGTGGAGACAGCATTAAGGAACAAGGCACACACCAGGTTTTTGTCAGACATGGAAAAAACCAGCTTCAAGAAGAAATCCCACAAGTCTGGATCTAGGCAAATTCATTGTGAAGAGCAATAGACTATGCCAGGGAAAGTGGTTCAGCCTGTGGTTAGATATTGATGGCTGGAGTTTGGGAGAGAAGTCAGGGTCATAGGCCTAGAGACTGGTATTTAGTGAGTGAGATCTGAGGGAGAAAATAGTAAGCACAGTTCGCCAGTCAAGGACTATCTATCCCAATCTTTATTTTTTGTTTTTGATTTAATGTAACAGTAGTGCCTTTCAAGTGATGTCTTAATTTTCTTTTTTATCCCTAGTTAAATCTAAACTAGGGTTTTGTTAACAAGGATTTTGTTATCCTCTGTATAGTTAGCAGGAAGTGGAGTGAAACACTCCATAAAATACACTTTACAAAACACTTTATAAATCTTTAGAAAAACGTAGTTTTTTTTCTTTCCTGGTAACCTTGAGATGCTGATAATCTCTGCTCAAGCATGATTTCATCAGCACTTCTAAATTTCATGAGTAGGCACAATCTTTCCCTCAACACTCACAGCTTGGACTGCTACCCTCCCTTCCTTTGCCTCGAGGTCCAAAAATTACACAATATGCCACAGCCTGAGTCAACTCAGCACACACTTCCTGAGTTCCCGGAACTTAAAATAATTCAGAAAAAAGAAATGTGTGCTTTGGGAGGGGAGTTCATCTGGAAAGCTTATATGGGAAAGCTGTGGTCTGAACTTTGAAGGGAATGTAAGATTTTGAGAGAGAGGAAGTTCTAAAGGATCTCATGCAGAGGATGGGGGTTTCCCTGACCTAGGAGCTGTAAAATACACATAAACATGGAGAATAAGGGATAAAATAAAAGAGAAGGGACCATCCAGGCTGGGGAGAACATTCTGCAGTCTCCTTTTTTGCTCCTTCCTCCTTCCCTAGCTCCTAGGTTTCAACTATTGCTCTAGATAGAAGAATTACCTGCAAGAAAAAAAGCAGGTCTGCTTGGATAGCTCAGACAGAAGATTAGGAAAGCTTTATTTGCCTATCTGGATATGCTTCTTTCCCTTTCTCCAAACCCTGAACTTAGAGGCCTCTACAAAGCTGAATAGAAACCTGTTGGGCAGCTTCACTGGGGAGATGAGAGGATGTGGGACTACTCACTAGCTTCAAATAGATGTGCAACAAGTAAATTACTGCATTTACAAGACCAAACATATTTTCATGCTGCCTTTTTTATGGTGGTAGGTGGTGGAGTAGGAGGAGATGGGAATAGGATAGGGGAGAGGAAAAGGGGAGAGAGGGAAGTAACTTAAACTCTTTGGTCATTCCAAAGAGTATGTGTGGTCAAGAAATGTTACGTCTTCACTAGTTAGCAAGGCACATTGCTGAGATTTTAGAAGCTCAAAAGCAAAAGTTCTTTCTTCCGCAGGCCGAGTGTTTGTCCATGAATGGGCCCACCTCCGTTGGGGTGTGTTCGATGAGTATAACAATGACAAACCTTTCTACATAAATGGGCAAAATCAAATTAAAGTGACAAGGTTAGTACTTTTTTTCATGTTATAATTCATTATTTATTTGACTCTAAAATTGCTTATAACTTAAGCAATTAAATAATTGCCTAATTTAAGCAATTAATTTAATTGCAGCTAAAACTTAGCTGATAAGAAAGAGATCCTTTCACTTTTCAGTTCTTAAGTTATATGACATTTTTCTTTAAATTGGTATTTATGTGGTTCAAATATCAAAACAATATAAAAAGTCATGCTTGTACCTGTCTTGCTTGCAGCACTATCTTCACTGTTTCCCCTCATGCCCTCTAAGTAACCACTTTGATTAGTTTCTTGTTTATTTTTTCAATATTTCTTCAGGCAAATTCAAATGAATAGAAACATATGTTTTTCCTCGCTCTGTGTTTTATAATTGCATAGTGTTCCATTATGTGACTATACCATAATTTATTCAACCAGTCTCCTCTTGGTGGACACACAGGTTGTTTCCCATCTTTTGTATTATCAGTAACACGCAGTTCATAGCATTACACATGTGTCATTTCTCATACGTGCAGACAGATTAACATATCAAATTCTTCCAACAATTACTGAGTCAAAGGGTGATTTTGGTAGCTATTGACTGATTCTTCTCCTACAATTGCCACTGTTTTACATTCCTATCAACAACATTTGAGATCGCTTGTTTAGGAAAGAATCCTGTTAAATATCATCATTACATGTTCATTATCTTTTTTTCCCCTGATACCAAGTGGAAATGAACTCAAAGGAGCACTGACCCAGGATCTTGCCACTCATGTCCTTCCTTGGGCTTCCCAAAGTCCATCTGGATTTCCTAGTATCTTTTGCTTTGACCCTATTTAGTTGTTAAAGCCCTTGTTAATACAGAACCCCTCCATCAAGATAAAATGCTTTAAAATAAAATAGAGTGCATTTCTAAATCAGTGAACTTTCTTAATGAAGCAGTTTTTTGTTTGTTTTTGTTGTTTGTTTGTTTTTTTGTTTGTTTTTTGAGACGGAGTTTCGCTCCTGTCGCCCAGGCTGGAGTGCAATGGCACGATTTCGGCTCACTGAAACTTCTGCCACCTGGGTTCAAGCAATTCTCCTGCGTCAGCCTCCTCAGTAGCTAGGATTACAGGTGCCCAACACCACGCCTGGCTAATTTTTGTATTTTTAGTAGAGACAGGGTTTCACCATGTTGGCTAGGCTGGTCTTAAACTCTTGACCTCAGGTGATCCACCAGCCTCAGCCTCCCAAAGTAATGGGATTACAGGTGTGAGCCACAGCACCCCGCCAGTAGAGCAGTTTTTAAAGTTTTGTATATATCTAGCAGGCTACAATCCTTGTAATAATTATATAAGCTAGTCAACAAGAAACATAAGTGTTTCTAAAATAGACCTAATTCCCAGTTTCTCTTTCCATTTTTAGGTGTTCATCTGACATCACAGGCATTTTTGTGTGTGAAAAAGGTCCTTGCCCCCAAGAAAACTGTATTATTAGTAAGCTTTTTAAAGAAGGATGCACCTTTATCTACAATAGCACCCAAAATGCAACTGCATCAATAATGTTCATGCAAAGTTTATCTTCTGTAAGTATGCCCTTGGAATGACACACTCTTGCAGGATTCCTTCTCTTCCCATGTTTCAAGTATTTAAATTATAAGATAATTAAGATGCACTATACTTTAGAACTTGGGGGACCCTAGAGTTCATCTAGTTTTTATCTACAGATTTAAAAATTGGAACCCCCAAGATAATTACCCAAATGATACCTTCAGGAAAGTGACTATTTGCTTTCCTGGGAGGTTTAACAAAGGGACTCTGGGGACCACAAAATAAACTGTTCTTATGGTGGTGTTCTTGTATTCTTTCATAAGAAATTACATTGGGTTAATGAGAGTGATATAACAAATGGTTATAATTCTCTCGTTTGAAGTAGCAGACCACTCTGTATTTGAAATGCCTTTCCTCAATCTCTTTCCTTTGTTTTGAATAGTCTAGAACTTAACAGTAAGGTATCACCAGGAGAAGTCAACCAACTCTGCTTTGCAGAAACCCAACCTTGTCAATATTCCATGCTAACTAACTGACAAGAGACTAGCATATAAATCCAGAATATTATTTTTTAAACTATTAATTAAAAAGAGTACTCTGTCATGGGCATCTCATACTTGCATCCTCTGGCCAACTTATTTTCTCTCTGGATGAAGCAGCCTGGAACAGCCAATTCTCACCAGATGCATAGTCAGAGAGCATGGAATCAGAAACGAGGGAGTTAGGTGATTCAGAGGTTAGTAGCATCAGCCTTCATGACCTGATATATCTCTCAAAGTTCACAAAAGCCTGTAAGTCACATCTGTGGGTCATCTCTTCACAGATCTGGGGGTACAGCCCACACATGCCTCTGTGGAGTTTTCTCTTTGTGTCCATGGCTGACCAATGCCCCTTGGATTGACATGCTATTTTATTTCATTCTGGTTTTAGTCAGGACTAGAAGTTATTTTGTAACTTTAAGACAATTTTTCATATTTCTTGTCCCATACATTATGTTTCTTATTTATAGCTTTAATATCTGATACTAACCTAATGCATTCGATCCACATTATTTATGACTAGGTACTATCTTCACGATGTTTTGAAAGACCTACTCATAAATATCTTGTCAGAAAAGTTTTACAATCCCATAACCATAGTCATGAAATGGAAGAAAAAGAGTTAAACAACGCAAAGCAAAACCAGATTCTGTTCCAGTCCCTGCACCTTCCTAAGAAACTCATGTCCTTAAGCAGTTATCAACCTTTCAAAGCTTCAGCTTTCTTTTCTATGAAGTTAGAGCTGAGACAAGAGAGGCTATTCAGTTGCTTCTAACTCTAAGTTTCCATGGCTCTGTTAATGGGAAGTATCGACTCTTTGTAGGAATAGAGCCACTGGGAATAGATGGTGATGCATTACTTAGCAATGCAAACCATATTTTTAAGTGGGGTATTGACATAGGTTCAGTATCATTTAGTGAATTATATCTATATTTCTGTAAATTATATCTATATTTCCAAATTGAGTGGGGGTGGGGGATCAGGAAGTAAATTTAAGTTGTTTATCCCCTTATCTATTTTTACAGAGATCAATATTTGAGGTAGAAAAATATATGTTGACTGATCAACAAATAAAGGTGCAGTGGTCATTAAATATTATTCCAAGGAGTAGGCTGATCATGATAACTTCTTCTGGCTGTTTTCCTAATACAATATTGTGCTAAGGGAAGAGGGAGATTGTTTTGTTTTGTTTTTAAGAGTAAGATTATGTATATATATACACATACATGGTTTGTTATCTAATACCAATAAACTTTAATAGAGATTGCTCTCAGAACCACAAAGATGCTAGTGTTCCCAGCAAGAATGCCAAGGTTTATTTGTAATTTGATGTCATTCTTGAAGGAAAGAGGTATATCACTGTACCACTTTTGATTTCTTTTCTTTCAGTTCACCTTTTCTTTTACCTATAGTTCCTTGAGAATGAGAACTATGTTTGCTTTGGGAGAAGTGCCTCTCTTTATTAAAGACTGTTTTTATTTCCAGGTGGTTGAATTTTGTAATGCAAGTACCCACAACCAAGAAGCACCAAACCTACAGAACCAGATGTGCAGCCTCAGAAGTGCATGGGATGTAATCACAGACTCTGCTGACTTTCACCACAGCTTTCCCATGAATGGGACTGAGCTTCCACCTCCTCCCACATTCTCGCTTGTACAGGCTGGTGACAAAGTGGTCTGTTTAGTGCTGGATGTGTCCAGCAAGATGGCAGAGGTAACATTTTGAACGAAAATGAATGTAAACATTTATCATTTTTTCTATCAGTTCTTTATTATCTCAATTTATTTTAAGTTCTGGGGTACATGTGCAGGACGTTCAAGTTTGTTACACAGGTAGACATGTGCCATAGTGGTTGCTGCACCTATCAACCCATCACCTAGGTAGTAAGCCCCGCCTGCATTAACTATTTATCCTGATGCTCTCCCTCCCTGCTGTCACCCAGGCTGGAGTGCAGTGGCACAATTTCAGCTCACTGCAGCCTCGACCTCTAGGGCTCAAGTGATCTTCCCATCTCAGTCTTCCAAGTAGCTGGGACTACAGGTGCAGGACACCATGCCTTTTCTATCAGTTTTTAATTATTTTTATTTTCAGGAGGTAAGGGTGAGAGTTGGAGGAGGCAAAAGGTTTGGAATAGTCAAGGACATCCTATTTTTTGGGGGTTGGGAGGAACAAATTCAGAATGTGGCCAAAAGTTGAGATAATGCAGATAAATGAAATCCACAGATAATTTCTAACCCTTATTTTTGCTACTAATTGAAACTCTTTCCAACAAAGATCCTTTTCCAAAATTCTTACCTATAATGATCGAAAATTCTTATGTATAATGAAAAGTTCCTGCTGGCTACATTCTACTCACTGGTAAATATCCCTGGTTGAGGAAGTAAACTGTGAATTTGCAGTGAAAGTGAATGTCCATTATATGGCTATTTTCCATGTCATTGTGTACAGAAGACCATATCTCAGTCATCTAGCAATCTAGCAGCCTCCAGCTGCTTTAACTGATTAAAGTCTTAGTCTCCACAATCAGGCAGCTGTGTTTTAATCCTGGCTGCTTCACTACTGTGTAATATGTCTTCGTTATAAAGAGCATGATGGCCCCTCTGAAGCAGCTTTCTCACCTGTAAGATAGGGATAATAGTGCCTACTTTTATGAGAGTCAACTTTTAAAGTTTTAGGAAATCTGCAAACCAGTAATTAAACATAGCTATTAATAACAATTAAATGATATAAGCTTACAATAAAATATATGTAAACGAATATATGAAATACTCAAAACTCATCACTTCTTAATTTTTCCTACTATTTTTTACTATTATCTATGCCCAGGGTCAGCAAACTATGTCTCACTACCTGTTTTGCATGGCTCACAAAATAAGGATGGGTTTACATTTTAAATGGTTAAAAAAAAAAAAGAGGCTTTTTCATGATGTGTGAAAAGTATATGAAATTCAAATTTCAGTGCCCACAAATAATAATTTTATTGGAATATAGCAATGCTCATTTGTCAACATATTATCTATGGATACTTTATTGCTACAGTAGCAGAGTTGGGGAGTTGCAACAGAGAACTTAATGGCCAGCAAAGCCTAAAATATTTACTATCTGGCCCTTCACAGAAAACTTCTGCTGATCCCTGAGCTAAATTCTTGAGGTTATTTCTGGTCTATTGCATCTGTATGGATGTGCTACTACAATTTCATCCCAACTGTGCACTCAGTGACATCACATTGACAGCAGGAAATCAACCATGGTTTCACACATGGAAGAGTATTTACCCCGCAGAAACTGGCAGTTGCTACGAATCAGGCCTGCCTGCCTGCCTGCCTTCCTCCCTCCCTACCTCCCTTTTCCCTTCCTTTATTTTATTCTTCATCAGAAAACTGTTATTAAACATTTACCAGTATACCACTGTCTACTTCATAGGGTTATTGAGAGGGGAGTAAATGAGATAATATGAAATTTTTAGTTCAAAATAAATAATAAGTGGTAGCTGTTTATTTTAATAGTACTTGTCCAAGGAGAGAATTTATCCCCTTGTGCTCTGTGGATCAATAGTCCTGGAATACTTGCCTTTTTGGCTGATATCTGAAAAACTAAAAACTCCACTAATATAGCCAGCATTTGAATAATTTTGTTATGTTGCATACCTGCAGTTGACTAGGGCATTTTGTTGTTGTTGTTGTTTTGGTTTTTTTTTTGAGATGGAGTTTTGCTCTCATTGCCCAGGCTGAAGTACAATGGCACGATCTCAGCTCACCACAACCTCCAACTCCCAGGTTCAAGTGATTCTCCTGCCTCAGCTTCCCTAGTAGCTGGGATTACAGGCATGTGCCACCACGCCCAGCTAATTTTGTATTTTTAGTAGAGATGGGGTTTCTCCATGATTGGTCAGGCTGGTCTCGAACTCCCGACCTCAGGTGATCCGCCCACCTTGGCCTCCCAAAGTGCTGGGATTACAGGCATGAGCCAACATTCCCAGTGGCATGCTTTTCTTAAACATGGTCTCAGAGTAATTTATATTGGCTATCTGCCTGTATTGAGCAAGAATGATGGAATGAAGAGGAAAGATGATGGTACTTGAGAGTATCATCTGAAATATGTAGAAGAGAAATAAGCCCAAAGTAACAAACTCATGGCAAACCAAACTTTCCTCCCTTTTCCTGCCAACAACGTCATTGAACCATTATTGCCATTCATTATCAGATGCCTACACTGCACTGGCCTGAGGGATATGGAGATGAGAAGAACAGCATCTCTGCTTTGAAATGCTTATAGCTAATGAGGGACACAGGACACACACATGTAAATAGATACAATACAATGTGACTAGGCTCCACAGAGATGTGAGTTACTATGTGAGCACTGAAGAGGCAGCACCTGGCGCTGTAGAAGAAAGTGGTCAAGGAAGGTTTCACTGAGAGAATCAATTTGGAGTTCAATCTTGAAGGATTCAACTAGGCGCTTGCTAGGTTGGGTGATGTAAGGAAAGAGAAGAAAGGAGGACATTTGTGGGAAGAGAAAAGTGTGTGCAGTGGCCAAGAGGCAAAAAAAGAAGGATTTGTTCAAGGGAAGGGCATTCATTTGTATGACTATAACTAACACTGGGTAGATCTGAGAGGTGGCGAATGGGATAGAGACATAGGTATGGATTTGAGAGAAATTTAAGATATTGAGTTGATGGGACCTGTTCAAGAATATGGAGGCTGGTAACAGAAATGGTAAGAGAGTCCTGGGTTGCTGGCTTAGCTAGCTGGGAGTAGAGATCAAGATTGGGAGTGATGATCTGATGACCATGAAGATGGCAATAGCTATTCTATTGTGAGTGCTTACTCAGTATCCATTTTGCAGATGAGAAAACTGAAGCTAAAAAAAAAAAGTAATTTTACTATGATCACATAATTAGCAAAAGTTGAAGGCAGAGTTCTAAGTCCTTGTTTTACCCCCTTTACAACTTACTTCCCAATATTGTAAGAGAAACAGTATTAGAATTCAAAGTGTAGAGTTGCCATCTTCATGGTTGTCAAATCATCACTCCCAACTAGTTAAGCCAGAAACCTGTGTCCTAAGAAGTGTGAAATGCAGGTCTAGATCCACCCAGGAAGATGCTTGAGTTGGAGATAGAGATCAGTGTCATCCCTGAGTGGGTGGTCATTGAAGCTCAGCTTGCTGCTCCTCTCTTTTCCCAGAGCTTTCAAAACAAGTTACCCTAGTGAATTAATCAATAGCATCACCTGCCCAAAACTGGTCACTAATATTACTTTACACCTGGTTAGCCCTTCATGGTATAACTGTACTGCCATATATGTATCTCACTTGATCCTCATGGCAATTCTAATTTCATAAACAAGAAAGCTATCATCCTCACTCTACAGATGAAGTACCCAGCCTAAGGTGACCACAATAGCAGAGGGTAGTGCCGGGGCAGATCATGGGTCCTCTGACTGCCACTCCTCTCTAGCAAAGGTCTCTTTGCAATGTTTTCTTTTACCTGGACTGCATTTTTAAAACAGCAGTTACAAATTTCGTCTCAGCTGGGTTCATGAATCTTTGAATTCTAAGTTGGAGTGAAATAGTGGGGATGATGAGAAACAGAGAGTGGTAAATTATGAGCATCTTGTTGGAGGCAGAGCCCCAAGCCACTCCCTCTTCCCTGAAAGCATGCATTTTTGAGCCTGCAATTAATCAAACAATATTCTAATATTATGTTACTCTTTAAAGCTCAAAAAATTATGATCCAACATCTCTAAAGAATTAGCAGAGATGTTTGCTAATTGAGTTACTTCATCATACTTTTGTCTACTAACCAAATGTTGCCATTTTCTTTTTTCCTTTTTGGGACATAGGCTGACAGACTCCTTCAACTACAACAAGCCGCAGAATTTTATTTGATGCAGATTGTTGAAATTCATACCTTCGTGGGCATTGCCAGTTTCGACAGCAAAGGAGAGATCAGAGCCCAGCTACACCAAATTAACAGCAATGATGATCGAAAGTTGCTGGTTTCATATCTGCCCACCACTGTATCAGCTAAAACAGACATCAGCATTTGTTCAGGGCTTAAGAAAGGATTTGAGGTACAGTAGAGCATCCTAAGCCTTGGATCACCATCATTTTCCTTTCCCTCTTTTAGTATACGAGGTTTCCTCTGATGATGGGCAGTTTGTTACAGGGTGGTCATAACAGCCTCAACTATGAAAGTAATGATGGATTATCTTTCAAGTCAGGAACCATGCCTTATTCACCATTGTACTCCTTGTGCCTAGCAAAGTACATAGCATACAATAGTTGCTTAATAAATACTTGTTGACAGAATAAGAAAATAAATGAATACAATGGACGAGACTAGAGGACCTAAACAACATCTGGGCATTTTCTAAACTGTTCCTAGCCATTCTGGGCCATTTTTACCTTTCAATTTTCTTGTCAAAATCAGCATGTCTAGCTTCTGTCTATAGTCATTCTAGACTTCACGCACATCAGAACCAATTAAGGCAACACATCACAATTAAGGCCAGAAGTGTGTTTCAGGAATGACAGAGTTTATTTAAATCAACACAAGTTTGCATTCAGCATCTGGGATGCTTATCTGATAGCAAACAAGACACATCAGCTATGGTTTTTGCTGCCCATGGTCTAAACCTTGGCTATCTATTGAAATCACCTGGGGATTAAAAAAAATACTAATGTGTGAGTCTAACCCCCAGAGATTCTGATTTAATTGATCTGGGATGTGACCTGACCATTAAAATTGTTTAAGTCTCCACATTTGATTCTAACGTGTAGCCAAGACTGAGAACCACTGCTCTAGGTGGTCACTTACTGGATCTCAGAGGCAAGCCTCTCACACAATAATGTATTCCACATCTTCTATGATGGATACAGTTCTAAACTATGGGGACACCTTGATGATTCAAGCAGGAAAAGTCCCTGCTCACAAGCAAACTGGCAGTGGAATGTAGGGTGACAAGTGCTGTGATGGGGTGAGGTAAAACTTGAGTGGAGATGGGCGTGGGGTGTAGGAGCTACAGTGGGAATTTGGATGAGAGTGAATTCTTTTGCTCAATAAAACAATTTGAACTACACTTCCTTCCAAGTGACTAATTCTCTATGTTCAGGTGGTTGAAAAACTGAATGGAAAAGCTTATGGCTCTGTGATGATATTAGTGACCAGCGGAGATGATAAGCTTCTTGGCAATTGCTTACCCACTGTGCTCAGCAGTGGTTCAACAATTCACTCCATTGCCCTGGGTTCATCTGCAGCCCCAAATCTGGAGGAATTATCACGTCTTACAGGTAATAAACTTTTAAAAACTTATCTTTTGGAGCATGTCCCTTTAACTTGACTATCCAAGACACAACTATGAAACTCATTATATGGCTTAATTGAAAATACAGAAATTGTTTTTAAAAAACGCACACACATATTGCTAGAATCTGTCAAAATTTTGCTGATTTTTTTTTTACATTTTCCCTAAAGGTTCCAACTATATACATCCAAAAAATAATATTTTATAATTCTGTGTTAAGCCAGTGTGAGCATGCATAATCATGGAGCTAAAACATATGTTTAAGATTAAATGCTTTGTGGGCGGGCGCGGTGGCTCACACCTGTAATCCCAGCACATTGGGAGGCTGAGGTGGGCAGATCGCTTGAGGTCAGGAGTTTGAGACCAGCCTGGCCAACATGGTAAAACCCCACTTCTACTAAAAATACAAAAATTAGCAGAGCATGGTGGCGGGTCCCTATACTCCCAGCTACTCGGGAGGCTGAGGCAGGAGAATCACTAGAACTCAGGAGGCAGAGGTTGCAGTCACCTGAGATCACGCTACTGCACTCCAGCCTGGGTGACAGAACGAGACCCCATCTCAAAAAAGAAAAAGATTAAATGCACTAACTTCTATAATAGGGACACACACAGTGTTTTAAGATACATATCTTTTTATACTAAATAAGGCACAGAATAATTTTATCTTATATTCCTTATTCAATAAAAAATGGGCATGCTGATTTGACAAATGAAAGGTTTTATTGAATTATCTTTAAAAGCAATGTTTTCAGAATATAAATGTAAACATATAGGGATGTAAATAGCAATTAACCTAAATTATCTTAAAATTACCTTAATCTGAAGACTATTCAATAAATATTTATTGAGTTCTTATGTACTGTACATAAGTTCTAGGCCCTGGCAATACAGTCATGAATAGAATAGCTGAAACCACTCGCCTAGGGCCACTTACCATGTGGTTGTATAGGATGTCAGGCAAAGCAAGTCAAGCACAGCTCCCATTTCCCCAAAACAAACACTCTAATGCAAAGAAAGCTTGTTGGAAAAGGCTTAACATTTTATTTTTGTTTTATTTTACCCATTTTAATAGTGAACACTCCTATCATGTATTTCAGGAGGTTTAAAGTTCTTTGTTCCAGATATATCAAACTCCAATAGCATGATTGATGCTTTCAGTAGAATTTCCTCTGGAACTGGAGACATTTTCCAGCAACATATTCAGGTCAGAATTTTCTCAATGTTATATTTCCAGGTGGGGAGTGGGAAGGGAGAAGGAAACAAGGGAAATCAACGAATTGTGCTACCTGCTTCATTAACCTTACTTGAATATGTAACAGCTGTGTATGGAAGGCTTTTAAAAGGCTGCTTGGCATCACCAGAGCCAGGCTTTCAGCCCTAGGAGCCATTTACCACAATTGCCACCTCAGCTTTTCAAAGTCTGCGAGTGGAGCTTGTTCCTTTCTTGTGGCTCAAGTGCAGATGGGGGTGTGGCAGAGGCAAGGTGCAGAAGAAAAATAAGGAACTGTGAATTTACTTTTAGTGTTATAGTAACTTTCTGTCAATCAGAATTCATCTTATTTTTGCTTCTTCAACATCTTTGAAGCTCTTCCTTGTATAAGGGGTATCAACTATTTCATTAAATTCTACCACAAATATCTAAATATCTCTTTGACTACCACAACTTACATGATTTTGCTCACCAAAGCTTCCTCTAGTTAAGTCCTTTTCATAGGGCCACTTTTTTTTTCTTTCCAAAGTACTTTAAAGATATTTTGGACATAACTGAATAATGTGTTGAACAAAATTTCATCTATAGTTTCCTCACAGATGGCAAGTGTGCCTGCCAAGTTAATGGCTTGATGTGACCAATGCAGCCTGTCAATTTATTTAACGTGAAGATTATATTTACACAGTGAAGGCAATAAACACAATTCCACAATAAGAAGTAAAAATGTGAATTATATATGACAATATCTAGTACAGATTAGGCTACAATTGGCTCTTCTGATAATGCTCAATCTTTATGCCCTGTGACTTCCTCTGCAACAATAGGGAATAAAAACAAATGTTTAAAGAAGTAAAAAATAAATTTAACAAAATATTACTCATATGGGATCAAATAAGCCTTAACGTTCCCAAACTTGCCCCCCTCCCGACAAGCTGTTGGAGTCATTAGCTCCATTGGAGTGAGGTGGGAACTACATGTAAATCTTCTTCAACAGCCCAGGGCCCAGCATAGCATGTGGCCCAGCCATCAGCAATCCATAAATATTTCTTAAATTCATTTGAACAAACAATTCACAATGTCTTTGCTGTTATCCACCAATATAATTTTACACGCTTTGCAGATTTGAGCAATTAACGAAGCATTACTAATGTGCTTATTTAATAAATGTAAATTTTCAAAGTTATTTAGAGACTTGTATCCATTGGAAATACGCAGTAATTAAATGCAGGGGCTCTGGTGTCAGGCCCACTGGGTTTTATCACGGTTCCATTCCCTTGGTATGTGACATCGGCAAATTACTTCTCTAAGCCTACTCTTCCCATCTCTAAAATGTGGATAACAATAGTATTTATCACAGAGGATTTTTATAAGGATCAAGTGAGATTGTGAAGCCTTTAGCATGGGGCCAGGCATACGTTTGTACTCTGTACATGTTACACATGTGTGTGCACACACGTGGCTTATTGTGAATGGCTAAATAATTTTTTTTTTTTTTTGAGATGGAGTCTTGCTCTTCTCCCAGGCTGGAGTGCAGTGGCGCGATCTCAGCTCACTGCAGCCTCCACCTCCTTGGTTCAAGCAATTTCCCTGCCTCAGTCTCCCGAGCACCTGGGATTACAGGCACATGCCACCACACCTGACTAATTTGTTGGTATTTTTAGTACAGAAAGGGTTTCACCATGTTGGCCAGACTAGTCTCAAACTCCTGACCTCAGGCAATCCACTCGCCTTGGCCTCCCAAAGTGCTGGGATTACAGGCATGAGCCACTGTGCCCGGCCTAAATAATTTTTTAACGTAGCAAAACCATGCCAAAACCCAAGATTTTATTTCTTATCGAAATATATAAAAGGATCTGGACAGATTATATACAAATTAATAAAATTTAAGCATATTCACAAATGAAAATTTTTAAAAGCTTGTCATTGTAATTGCTGATCTGAGGCCAATGTTGGTTTGGATAAGAGATAATATGAGGACAGCTAACATCTTTTAATAAAGAATAATGAAATGACACTTGCATTAACTACAACAAAATGTTTTATACCTACTGTACTTAAATAACATGCAATATTTTGCTTTGCAAAGTATTTTTTATGAAAAATGATGTATAACTACAGTACCTGTCAGAATTAAATTATTTTTATTTTTGCCAATTAATTGTTGTTTGTTAAAAAAGAAAAAGATGGAATGATTATGCATACACCAGAAACTCTCATATATATCTTCTCTTTAACAGCTTGAAAGTACAGGTGAAAATGTCAAACCTCACCATCAATTGAAAAACACAGTGACTGTGGATAATACTGTGGGCAACGACACTATGTTTCTAGTTACGTGGCAGGCCAGTGGTCCTCCTGAGATTATATTATTTGATCCTGATGGACGAAAATACTACACAAATAATTTTATCACCAATCTAACTTTTCGGACAGCTAGTCTTTGGATTCCAGGAACAGCTAAGGTAGGTGTTGTGAGTTTGTTCCTAAGGACAACGTTCAACCAAGTTTATGATTTTCAGCTGAATCACATGATTAAATGCATTGTGTAAAGAAAATCTTGTTTTAATATATCAAAAGTTTACTTTAAATTTATGAGGCCATTTTGTGAATATTAAAAATTTAAGAGGAATAACTAAGGTATATTCCCAGTTTTATATATTAGACACCAAATACTTCAACACTGAAAATTAGTATTTCCACTAGTATTACAATTAATGTTTTTCTAGCCTACATATTTCTTTACATAATCCATACAAACACACTTTTCTATATGCTTAGAAAAAAATCTCTACTTAGAATTTATAATATGAATACATGCAATGCATGTGGTTTTTAGCATCTACTGGGTGTGCTGGGTTTTGTTCCAGGTACTTTACAATAAAATGCCATGGTAAGAGCATGAACAGGGTACTATCAGAACATACAAGAGGGTGGAAGGAAGAATGCTTCCTGGAAGCAAAGACATCAAAATGGAAATATAAGGAATAACAGGCCAGAGGTGGGTATGATATTGTGGGCAGAGGAAACAGCATATAGAAAGACTCAGATAAAAAGAACATGGCTGTTCATAGAACTAGAGTAGTTCAATAGAGTAGGGTAATCTATAAGTTAGGGATGTAGGCAAAGGAAGGAGAGGGGAGTAGTGAGGCTAGACAGGTAAACAGGAGCTGTATTAGCAAGGGCTTTGCACAACAGTAAAGTGAACAGGGGCTTGAATCCTGAAAGTGAAAGGGAACCACTGATGGTTCTAAGGAGAACTGTAAGTTGATCAGATTCACTCTTGCACTGCCTGAATTCAGTGCCTCCTCACATGCTGCCCCACCCCCACTTTTGTTGTTGTTGTTGTTGTTGTTGTTGTTGTTGTTGAGATGGAGTCTCGCTCTGTCACCCAGGCGGGAGTGCAGTGGCACCATCTCAGCTCACTGCAACCTTCACCTCCCAGGTTCAAGCGATTCTCCTGCCTCAGCCTCCCGAGTAGCTGGGACTACAGGCACTTGCCACCATGCCTGGCTAATTTTTGTATTTTTTGGTAGAGATGAGGTTTCACCATGTTGGCCAGGCTGTTCTCAAACTCCTGACCTCAAGTGATCTGCCTGCCTCTGCCTCCTGAAGTGCTGGGATTGCAGGCATGAGCCACCGCTCCCACCACCTTCTTGACAGCCCCTTAACTAGCCTTCTTGACTCTGAACTGCCATCCCTCCAGTCCATTCTTTACCTCTATAAAAGCGATCCTTCTGAAGCACAAATCAGTCTGTCTTTTGTTCAAAACCTCCTTGGTGGTTTCAGAATAAAATCCAAGTGTTAACCTTTTTTTTTTTTTTTTTTTTTTTTTAGCTTAGAAGATTCGCATTTATTCCAGATGGGAGGCTGAATCTCTCAGTTGTAGATTTTGACACATTGGCACTATTTTTGTTTCTGATTTATTGCCTTGGCCATAAGGTCAAAGGCAACAATAAAGTGTACTTTCATTAATATCACCATGGACTTTCGAGTATTAATATGACAAGAAAAGACAACTATTCATTTTTTTTAAGGGGATTGGACACACAAACTTCAGGAGGGAAGAATCCCCTCTCCCATGGTAGAATCCTCTATCTTGATAAAATGGTTGCTTTATTGGTCAGATTTTGGACTTGGATCGTCTTTGTTATAATATTAATAGTACAGAGCATGTAAGATTTTCTGCATTCATTTGAAATTCCTAATACCAACCATCTTTTAATTTATAAAAAAATGAGGGAAACTTATAATAAAACAAAAAATACTACCCTCACAGACGATTAATAGCATGCAATCTATGAAATATTACACACATTAAAAGTCTCCAATTACTGTGTGCCTGGCTCATCACACAGTATCCTTCCAAGACGATCTATAGAATTCAAAACTGTACAAAAATTTTAAAATATGCAGAAAACCCAAAAGGTATTTTGTAAAACAAAGATCACACACACATTAGTACTAAATAGGGAAAAAAAATCAGCAGACCCATGGACTCCCCCTGCTCCCAACTGCAGGTCTTCAGTATAGAGGATTTCACCAGTGTCTTCTGCACTCCCCCAATCCAGTAGGGGTCCAACAGACCAGCTGCATTCCTCCTGACTGCCACCAACTCTGTTTTCTGCATAGTTGTCTTCTCTGCTTCTGTAGTGGTGAGCTGTGGGAACTTTTTTTTTTTTTTTTTTTTTTTGATGGAGTCTCGCTCTGTCACCAGGCCCAAGTGGTAAATCTTACATACCAGACCCTTCATGTTTTGGCTTCTACCCAAGCTTCTCTCTTAACTTCTTCGATGCTCTGCTCCTATTGAACTTTTCTCCAAATTCATCATGTTCTTTTCACACCTGTGTATAAGGGCCAGGGACACTTTACCTACTTCTTGCTCCCCTTGCCTGACCTCTTGGTCTGGATTAGATGCCCTGTATCAAAACATTTATTACACTCAGAGAACTTTTTGATGTGGAAGTTCCTGCCATGCATCTGTCACTAATGTTATGATTCAAAAAACAAAAACAAAAAAACATAGTCCTTGAATCATAACTTAATGGAAAATAGTGAAGCTCATGAATCCCAATGAAGAAAGATGGCTAGGGTGTGGTGCATCTGAACTCTCCACCCTGAGTTACGCTTCAACCCCTTGCTTTTCTGTTCTTCCTTCTGCTTTGTTGTGTTTCACTTGTTACTTCTGGGGGTTTGATAAGGAGCAGCAGCAGAAGTCAGGGAAAAGCAATATATGTATAGCTTAATCAAAAGGACGAATTTCTGCTATATTGTAATTTTAGTCTTTTTCTTTCAGATTTTCTTTTGTAGGTTTTTCCCAGGCAGATAGGCAAGAGTAGTGTTTAGCAGTATTTCTATAAATTACCCAAATTAGATATTGTATAATCCTGACCTATTAAAAATAGTAGGTCCTTTTCTTGGTCCCTAGTAGTGTATGTGTTTTTTGTTGATTGAGATTTCTGAGTGTGGAGTTTTTGGGAAGTGGAGTGAAAGAAGGATGTTGTTGCCTTTTTAGTCCACGGTGTCCACATAAATTATAATGGTCCAATTAATTTGATGTAATTTTCTCAGTTATGAAAAGAAATGAAAAACATTTAAACGCCTTTTTGGGGAAGGGGCTCAGATTAATATCTGTAAAGTACTTTGAAGCTGGACACTATTATTGTTATGTTCTAAAAATGGGAATCAAGATGTATCCTCCCTCACTCCAAATAAATTCGAGGTGTAATTCCCTAAAGAATTATCTAGAAATAAAGGTGACTTATGCTATGAAAGCCATGTAAATACAAATTTATTCATCCCTTAACCAATGCTACTTTTCCTGGCATCTTTTTGTAGTATTTTAAAAAGTGCAACATCAACAAAACAAGAGCAAAATTCTCCAGAAGTTTTGATGTATGCTTTAAAATTAGGGTTGATTTTTTTTTCACACTTTCCAAAACAATAAGACTTGTTTTACAGCCTGGGCACTGGACTTACACCCTGAACAATACCCATCATTCTCTGCAAGCCCTGAAAGTGACAGTGACCTCTCGCGCCTCCAACTCAGCTGTGCCCCCAGCCACTGTGGAAGCCTTTGTGGAAAGAGACAGCCTCCATTTTCCTCATCCTGTGATGATTTATGCCAATGTGAAACAGGGATTTTATCCCATTCTTAATGCCACTGTCACTGCCACAGTTGAGCCAGAGACTGGAGATCCTGTTACGCTGAGACTCCTTGATGATGGAGCAGGTAACAAGGAATGTCATGACATTTTATCATCTTCTCAACAGCTGTTGTGATATGATGCGGTAGTATCAATATTAAGCTTATCTGTAAGATTCCTTGAGTTCAATTTTTTTTTAATCTTACAATATTCTCAAATTCTTATAGAGTCACTGATATACTGAATAGCTACAGGTTAACATGGAAAAAGAGAGTCCTTGTGAGACTCCTCATAGTGTCTATGTTTGAGCAAAGGGTGGGAGGCAGCCGCTGGACACCTTGGTCCTGGCTTCCACTTGCTGAGGTCATACAGGAGCAGGCTTCTATGTCCTTATGACATACTTATATTCCTCTAAGAGTCACTAGCTTTATTATTCACTGAAGTAATCAGATTGGACTGTTAAAATAGCAAATGAAAATCAGAAGGGAGGTGCAGTGACAGCGAACCCACTTTTTCCCTTTGGACCCCAGTTATGAAGAAAAAATTGGAAACTGAACTTGTGACCTATAAGATGACCCTAGACCCAAGAGGCTGGGTTGAAGAGAGGGCACAGCTCAGTTCTAGCACAGCCAATGCCTTTTACGTGTGTAATTTGGTCCCAAGAAGACCCAGCCTGCAAGCCTAGTGGAATCAGAATAGAGAAAAGTTCTCATTCTGCACATACAGCATTCAGAGCCTCGTCATCATACATTATAGATGGTATAGCATCCAGCCAGGTAAACAGCAGCACTTGGGATCCTTTGAAAAACAAATTCCTTTGTTGTTCCATCTTTCCTATTTGGTTATTTTCCTAAATTACATTCTTAGAATGGCAGTAGACCTGCCTCTTGGCAGCCCGAAGTGTTTGATCTGCTAACAAAATTATATTCTTTTGCCCTGTTGTTTCAAAGTTAATCTTTTTTCAAGAGTCTTAAGTTTGGTAGCCCATCAGTATCTTGCCATGGCAATCATGTATGATGTGCAGGAAAACAAAAGTTCATTCAAAGGGTTTTGGTTCAAGTCCACCACTGGGGGATACCAGAGAAGTCTTCTTGTTTTGCCTGTTGGATTGGATCCAAATGAACTTCTCATGCTCTGATGGCTTATCCATGGTTGCACCTTTCATTTTTTGTTTATGGTCCAAAAATGTACTTTTGCAGAATGTTTCTCTCTTGCCCCACCCTGTGGGCCAGCCTGGAGAACAGAGCCTACTCCCCTAGGGAATATCGTCTGATTCAGCTCAATTGGCTTTTATATTATTCCTTGGAACTATTTTATTTGTTTGATATCTAAATGTATGCACTAAAAAAAGGAACAATAAAAAATACTGCTCAGGCATCAAAATGTAAATTGTTTCCCCTCCAATCAATACTTAACACGCATGTACATAGTTGTTTAATACTTTTATAATGGAAGCAGTATTTATTTGCTCAGTAAATGAACTGTAATAAAACTTATACCTCTGAAATGATTTACAATTTAAAATGTACTTTTTCATGCATACTCTCAAATAATCATCACAACAACCCTGCAAGATAAGTTATCTCCATTTTATAGATGAGAAAACTGAGGCTCAGAGACATGAAGCCTCATAGCTACTAAGTGACAGATGCAGGCCTTCAAATTAATTCCTCTGTCTCCCAAGCCAATGTTCTTTCCCCATTTCTTTCTGCCTCAGTTATTAAAAGAGGTGGCAGTGGTGACTTTAATATGGAGAGATTTTCCTTTGTAATTTCTCAACAAAGATAAACCTTATTAATCATTAAATCACTAAATACCAAGATTTGATTTCTTACAACAGACAAAAAAGAGTTCTAAATCTATCTTGATAATAAAATGTTTAGCACTTTTTATTTCATTTAAATATACTCCTGCTTTTCTTATGTTAAGGAGCCCTGCCTTTGCAGTGGGGAAGAGGGAGATTCTGGGGACACTTTAGCAATGATACACTGCTGGTATGCAGGGCTGTGTGTGTGGTATGAAAACTGAATTGACCTCTAGGATAGAGGACAAGCTGCTTGCCCACTATGGCCACCTGTACTTGAATGGCAAAAGTGATCTATACTTGGGCTAAGCTGGACTTCCCTCTGCTGCCCTGGGGTCTAGGCCTTCCTGCCATTGAGTCATGATTTTGGCTTGGAATTGAACTGCTCTCTGAAGATCAATTTAAAAAGAAGGAAGTACATCACTGGCTAACCTTTCAGAATGCCCCCTGAAGCAAGGCACAGTAGATGCTACCAAATTCTGTCAAACTCCAGGTCATCAAGTCCCCTAGAATCTAGAAAAACAGTTCCAGATACCCTCTAATGAGGAAATTAAGTAATTTCACACTATTTTATAAACTAACCAAAGTTTTTATTTATTAAAGGTCCTTAATCAAGTGACTTCAAGGCATTCATAAACCCTTGAAACTGTATGAAAATGTGTATATGTGCATATATATTTATTTCCTAGGGACAAAATAGCTTTTATTCATATCTCAAAAGGGTCAATGACTATAAGCAACCTGAAGAATGTGCTTGATTTCTAGAAAAAACTAGTATTATTTTCAATGATAAGTACAAGAATGTTAAAGGTGATGATTAAATGTTTTATTAGCATGGTACAACTTATTCACCTTTAGAAAATCATTTTACTGAGGTAAGAAATTACAGGGAGAAATTATGGACCCATTGGATTTTTTATCACCTGAGAATGTAAAAAGTAGATAAGAGCATGATAATATATCTTATATAGAAAGAATAAGGGGAGTAAATCTCATTTTTAATGACTTAAATATTAGTAATCTACTATAATAACAAGTGTTGACACTGTGTTTTTTATATATACAGGTGCTGATGTTATAAAAAATGATGGAATTTACTCGAGGTATTTTTTCTCCTTTGCTGCAAATGGTAGATATAGCTTGAAAGTGCATGTCAATCACTCTCCCAGCATAAGCACCCCAGCCCACTCTATTCCAGGGAGTCATGCTATGTATGTACCAGGTTACACAGCAAACGGTAAGAACCATTAGCACTGTTATTTGAGTAACATCATTTCATGTACATATCTCTGATGGGTATGTGTGTACTGGGGTGGCAGGGAGTGAGAGAAAGAGAGAATTTCAAAACTCTTTACGCTTAAGTCCATACATAATTTGTTGACTGTTTCTTCAATCCTCAGTGATTCATGGTAGGGGGGTAACAGGAAGGCGATAGGTAATGCCCACAGATTATACCTAACTTCATTTTAGTCATTATGTTGACCTCTTTCTTGTTTCATCAGAATTACTAATAGATAAAGAGATTTACTGGGTTTTCTCAGTTCCTGCTTCCGTGTTTCCTCTATAGAGGTTTAGGCAAGAGAAAGAGGCAAAAAGTTATTAGCAGTTGAAAGAAGGAGGCCAACAGCCCAAACAGTCCACACAGGAAATGAGTTCCTAAATAAATATGAGCTTGGGTGTTACAGGCAACTAAGTGATTCCTGAAGATGTTTTGCTTTTCTTCAAGAAAAAAGTTCAAAATAAATGGAAGATAGTTATCTTTTTAACACCATTATAATAGTTCCTGATAGGAAGCGGTGGTTAAAGCATAATAGACCAACAGAAATATATCATGCTACAGTCTTTGAAAACAATCTCAAAAAAGACTTCTAAGCATTTTTATTTCCAAAAATGCAGATTCTTTATAAATATTATTCATGTATTTTAGAAGTTATAACTAATCATTTGGACTATTCCACACCATGATTCTATACTTTTTGTTTACTTTTCAGTCCTCATTCTTCCTGACCTCACCAGTATCAAACACAGCCAAGATCCCTCCTTTGCCATTTCCTGGTTTCTATGATACCTCACTCTCCTGATTACCTCCTATTTTCTGGAATTTTTTATCAGGCTCTTTTTCCAGCTCCTCCTTTTCTACCAGGCCTCTAAATGTTGTCTGAGTCTGAACCTTCTTACTTTACCATCTGGAGCCACATTGCCTGGTTTTGAAACCCAGCTCCTCCATTTACTAGCTGTGTGACTTTGGGCAAGTGACTTAGCTTCTGTGTGTCTCAGTTTCATCATCTAAAAAAATAAGGGTAATAATTGTACCCTCTTCGTAGCCTTGTTGGGAAAATTAAATATCTGATACATGTAAGGCCTTAGAAAAGTGCCTGGCACATAGAAGGTGCTCAAAAAGTGCTACTTATCATTATAGTAATAATTATTATTAGTTAATCTCATTAATCCATATGCCTTTAATAACATCTATCTGTGTATAACCTCCAAATTCATAACTTTAAAATTATTAAATTTAGCTAAAATCTCTTCTTTAAGCTTAAAATCCAGATCTAAATGGCTCATTAACATCTTGAATTAGATGTTTTACAGGAATCACAAACTTTGTAATTTAATTTTTGTTCTTTTTCTCCTTATCCTGCTTCTCCTCCCAGCTTGCTCATTTTAGAAACCTGGAAGCTTTTTTTTTTTTTTTTTTTTTTTTCATTTTAAACCATGTTTCTTTTCTTCACCATTCTGTATTCATATCCATCACCAGCTTTTGTTTGACATCTGCAGAAGACATCTTGAACTGCCACTTTCTTGCCCTCCTCTCCACACCATCTCCCATCCCAAGCTGCTATCTTCTCTCATCTGGACTATTGAATGGCTAAGTGGCCGCCTTGTTGCTTGCTGTGCTTTAATTCATTCTACACCAAGCAGCCAGAGTGTCCTATTAGAAAGCAAATATAATTTTGTCACTTCCCTTCTTCCCTGCAGCATGTAACATTAAAATCTAAAATCACTTTGGACCATGAGGTCCTGTGTAAACTTCTCTCCTGCCTCATCTCAAACGACTCTCCTTGCTTTTAATTTAGCTTTTCTAACTTGAAACCTCTTTTTCACCTCAGGGTTTGCTGTTCCCTCTACCTAGAATGTTCTTCCCTCTCTTCTTTAGCTGGACAGTTCCTACTCAACCTTTAGGAAGCCTTTCAATGTTACCTCTTTGATACCACGCTAAATTACTGACCCACATTATTTTCTTTCATAGCATCCTGTCTTCTTTCCTTCTTACACTTATCATACTTTGTAAATATATGTTTATTAATATGATTAACATGACTATAAATTCCATGAGGGATACTGTTTTGTCTGTAATTATTGGCACAGCATATGCCCTCCATAAGTATTTACTGAGGCCGGGCACAGTGGCTCACTCCTGTAATCCTAGCACTTTGGGAGACAAAGGTGGGCGGATCACGAGGACAGGAGTTCGAGACCAGCCTAGCCAACATGGTGAAACCCTGTCTCTACTAAAAATACAAAAATTAGCTGCACGTGGTGACGGGCACCTGTAATCCCAGCTACTCAGGAGGCTGAGGCAGGAGAATTGCTTGAACCTGGGAGGCGGAGGTTGCAGTGAGCCAAGATTACACCACTGCACTCCAGCCTGGACAGCAGAGTAAGACTCTGTCTCAAAATAAAATAAAATAAAGATCTACTGAGTGAATAAATGGATGAATTAGTGTTCAAAGTATTGTACAAATACACTCAGTTATTCTAGAGATGTAGTAAAGAAAAAAAGGTTTAAGAAAGTCTCACTGTGTCAAGAACAAGCTATTCAGAAGCTTTGTAATTTGTCATTTTGCCTTTTTTTTTCTTTTTTGTCTCAGGTAATATTCAGATGAATGCTCCAAGGAAATCAGTAGGCAGAAATGAGGAGGAGCGAAAGTGGGGCTTTAGCCGAGTCAGCTCAGGAGGCTCCTTTTCAGTGCTGGGAGTTCCAGCTGGCCCCCACCCTGATGTGTTTCCACCATGCAAAATTATTGACCTGGAAGCTGTAAAAGTAGAAGAGGAATTGACCCTATCTTGGACAGCACCTGGAGAAGACTTTGATCAGGGCCAGGGTAGGTTTGCTCATTTCATTACCTATTTTTCCATAAGACAGCATTTCTAATAACTAGGTCAGGGGCTAGTAGAACTGAAAAAGGTACAGAGGATTGTTGTGAAAAGCTCTGAGTTGCTGATCAGGCTTTAAATCCTGGAGTCCCAGAAGGACAGTGTGTTGCCTACCCCTGGAATGAGGAGGCCCTGGCTAACTCACGGATACTAACCACTCAGAAACCTTGACTAGAAGCATAAACACCACGTGTTATGGGTGTCTGTTCAGTAGAAATGGGCTCTGCACTACAGAGCATGTGCTTCCCAGTACTGGAAGTGATTCATTTTCTGAAAGTTGGGTAGTAAATATCTATTCATATATTTATCAGTAGGCTTTGGGGAATTTTTTGCATAACTCATGCAAACCTTGGTGCATTTTTGTTTACTACTTCTGGCCATTATGTTTGCGAGGAAGCCTGGGACCAGTCCCCTGATTCAGGGCTTTCTTATTCTCGCTTGGGTAAACATTGACGGAGTACTTTTTCTACTTTCCCTTTTCTAAGGCTTATGTTAACTTTGAGGTTTCTGCCTCCATCGTCTTTTTCCAAATTTTTTACCCAATTTCCACAACACCACTTATTCAGAAATTGTATTTTTCCCCCATTAATTTGAATTCCACCTTTATCATATACTAAATTTCTGAATGTGTTTTGGCCTATTTTTTGATGTGTCTATTCATGCATCAGTAAGTACCACAGCATTTTAATTACTGAGGTATTATAGCATTTGTATATCTGGTAGGGTTAGTCCTTCCACATTGCTATTTTTTAGACTTTATATGCTCATTTTTGATTGCTTAATTTCCATATGAATTTACAATAAACTTGACTAGATAAAGCAGAAATGAGGCATTTTAAATAAAATCACATAACAGACCAGGCGCAGTGGCTCACGCCTGAAATCCCAGCAGTTTGGGAGGCCGAGGCAGGTGGATCACCTGAGGTCAGGAGTTCGAGACCAGCCTGGCCAACATGGGGAAACCCCGTCTCTACTAAAAATACAAAAATAAGCCGGGCATGGTGGTGCATGCCTGTAATCCCAGCTACTTGGGAGGCTGAGGTAGGAGAAGCGCTTGAACCCGTAAGTCATAGGTTACAGTGAGCCAAGATGGCGCCACTGCACTCCAACCTGGACAACAGAGCAAGACTCCATCTCAAACAAAACAAAACAAAAACAAAAACAAAAACATCACATAACATTTACAAAATAACTTAGGAAAAAATAACATATTTTGTGTTGAATCTTGCTTTTCAAAAAAAAAAAAAATCCTTGGATTTTAATATGAGTCCTTGTGTAGTGTTTTAAAGTTTTGCTTGTATTCATATTTCTCGTTATGTTTATTTCTAAATATTTTGACTTTTTGTTGCTGTTCTCATTAGTAATTTCTAATAAACTAGAAAATATACTCAAAGTGACTTAATTTTCCTATTTATATTTTTTAATTTCAGCTACAAGCTATGAAATAAGAATGAGTAAAAGTCTACAGAATATCCAAGATGACTTTAACAATGCTATTTTAGTAAATACATCAAAGCGAAATCCTCAGCAAGCTGGCATCAGGGAGATATTTACGTTCTCACCCCAAATTTCCACGAATGGACCTGAACATCAGCCAAATGGAGAAACACATGAAAGCCACAGAATTTATGTTGCAATACGAGCAATGGATAGGAACTCCTTACAGTCTGCTGTATCTAACATTGCCCAGGCGCCTCTGTTTATTCCCCCCAATTCTGATCCTGTACCTGCCAGAGATTATCTTATATTGAAAGGAGTTTTAACAGCAATGGGTTTGATAGGAATCATTTGCCTTATTATAGTTGTGACACATCATACTTTAAGCAGGAAAAAGAGAGCAGACAAGAAAGAGAATGGAACAAAATTATTATAAATAAATATCCAAAGTGTCTTCCTTCTTAGATATAAGACCCATGGCCTTCGACTACAAAAACATACTAACAAAGTCAAATTAACATCAAAACTGTATTAAAATGCATTGAGTTTTTGTACAATACAGATAAGATTTTTACATGGTAGATCAACAAATTCTTTTTGGGGGTAGATTAGAAAACCCTTACACTTTGGCTATGAACAAATAATAAAAATTATTCTTTAAAGTAATGTCTTTAAAGGCAAAGGGAAGGGTAAAGTCGGACCAGTGTCAAGGAAAGTTTGTTTTATTGAGGTGGAAAAATAGCCCCAAGCAGAGAAAAGGAGGGTAGGTCTGCATTATAACTGTCTGTGTGAAGCAATCATTTAGTTACTTTGATTAATTTTTCTTTTCTCCTTATCTGTGCAGAACAGGTTGCTTGTTTACAACTGAAGATCATGCTATATTTTATATATGAAGCCCCTAATGCAAAGCTCTTTACCTCTTGCTATTTTGTTATATATATTACAGATGAAATCTCACTGCTAATGCTCAGAGATCTTTTTTCACTGTAAGAGGTAACCTTTAACAATATGGGTATTACCTTTGTCTCTTCATACCGGTTTTATGACAAAGGTCTATTGAATTTATTTGTTTGTAAGTTTCTACTCCCATCAAAGCAGCTTTCTAAGTTATTGCCTTGGTTATTATGGATGATAGTTATAGCCCTTATAATGCCTTAACTAAGGAAGAAAAGATGTTATTCTGAGTTTGTTTTAATACATATATGAACATATAGTTTTATTCAATTAAACCAAAGAAGAGGTCAGCAGGGAGATACTAACCTTTGGAAATGATTAGCTGGCTCTGTTTTTTGGTTAAATAAGAGTCTTTAATCCTTTCTCCATCAAGAGTTACTTACCAAGGGCAGGGGAAGGGGGATATAGAGGTCACAAGGAAATAAAAATCATCTTTCATCTTTAATTTTACTCCTTCCTCTTATTTTTTTAAAAGATTATCGAACAATAAAATCATTTGCCTTTTTAATTAAAGAGTTTAAAACTTTATTGAAGAATATATATAATAATGTAGACTAGATCTAAATTTTATAACCAGGACCAATTAAGAATAAAAATTAGATTATGTTTTGGGGTGGTGGAGAGGGAAATGTGGGGAATTGGGACAGGAAGAAAGAGATAGCATGAAGCCCTAAGTGAGAGACTCAGACCAGTGCTGGGGAGAAAAACAACCAGCAAATCTCTCTACCCAGGCCACCTCCTTGCAGTTTATACTGATCCAGTGTCTGGCCTGTTACTTTCTAAGTCTCACAGTGCCTACATTTTCACAGATGAAAGCTTCAAGACACTTGCAGCTCAATTCCTAGCTGGCAGTCAATCCTTCCTCCCTCTATTGCTATTATACTTGCTAGCATGGAATTTGCTTCTCTCCAGTTTTAAACTGGGCTAGTGAAACACAGAGACGGATTGTAGTGGGTTTCAAGTTCTCGAATATTTTCCTCATTTTACAGACAGGAAAATGGAGGGTTGGGTGAGTAATTCAAAGTTTTATACTGGTTAATGGCAAAGCTATATTAGAGGTAGAGCCAGGTTCTCAGACTACTCCTTTTCTCCTATTTAAGGTGTGGGAGATGCCAGGGTTTCTACCTAGAGATATTTAACTGTTTCATGATAAGTTAGCAGGACAGCAGATCTAGCTTTAAAGAAACCTGGTGGGTTTTGTTGTTGATGTTGTTGTTGTTTGTCTTCCATTTTGTGGGTACAGGAATGGAACAAATGGACTTAAGTCCAGAAATTAGTGAGTATAAGAGGCAAAATTAAGGGGTTCTAATGATATTAAAGTAACAAACAAATATAACAGTATAGAAAGAGTGATCTCATGAAGTGCGTAGGGTAAACAGTGTTCAGTGGTTGTAAGGAGTGAAAATATTAAACAAAAAGAAAGATGTAGTAAATGTAGGAAAACACAGATTTAGAGATTCCAGCAGTCAATAGAACAGAGTCACAGTAAAGACCCTGTTGATTCCAAATACCTGATAAAAAAAATTGAAACAATAGGGCATTTGGCCAAAAAGAATGAAAAACTATGATGTGCTCGCTGGTCACTAGTGGAATACCATGATGTCAATACATGTGACATCATTAACAGTTTGACCCAAGATTGAAAGAGGAGGAAGACTGTGGGTTAGATAGACAGTTATCTGAGAGAGGGAAGAGAAGTCTATGGAATTAAGCAATATGGGCAGATATTATTTTTAAATTTCAGAATAGTCATTGTTATGTAGTGGATAGAAATTTGTTCTGGAAAGTGAAAAGAGCATTCCCCCATTTTTTGCCCTCTTCTTTTAGGAATAGTAGAGGAAGATTAATTGTCTCAATGGAAGAGAGACAAAAGTAGGGGATGGGAGATTTTTAAGAGCTGCTGATATAGCCTATGCACTGAGCAGGTCACTGTTTATGTGGACACTATTGACTTTCCCAAAAGTACGTTTGTACTTGCATGTTAATAGCAAAAAGTCTACCAAAAAAATTTGTGTATGCTTTATCTTTTATTACAATGCAATTATTCTTAGAAGAGTTAACCCCTAGATATATCTTACATTTAAAACTTAATGTGACACTGATGGTGAAGCTGCTCATATCAAACTAATCCTCTTACAAATAACAATTATAATTCTGGAAGAAAATGTAGAACACAATTCTTTAAGCAATGGATCCTGACAAAAGCAAGCAGAAACTGAAGGAGATATGACCCTTAAAAGGGGAGAATAAGTAGAGGTGGGATCCACATTTAACCAAATTTTTCCCCAAAGGATCTCCCTAGTTTGCTCAGAACATCTGGATAGAGCTCAAGCAGAAAGCAGCCATCATCCCAGATTGATAAGTCAGAAGTAAGCAATCTGGGGGTCAGATTAGTTGGAAATTGAGGAAGGGAATCCCAAAAAGAAGCAGCCACAAAGAGGAAAGTCCCCAAACCTGCATCCTCTCAATCTGAAAAAAACCCAAATTTGATTTAAACTATCAATCCACAGATCTCAGATGTTCAAGTGAGCCTAAAATAGGATCTATACAAAGAAAACACCTAGGCATATCATAGGAATGATGACTGACTACTCATCAGAAACAACTGAGGCCACAAGACAATAAAATAGCATTTTAAAGTGCTAAAAGAAAATCTGTCAACATAGAATGATTTCAAGCAAAAATGTCTTTCAAAATGTAGATAAGTAGAAGCTAATTTTTGCCAGCAAGAAATACCAAAGAAATTTCTTTAGGCTGAAGGAAAATGATGCCTGATGGAAATATAGATCTATAGCATTGAAGGGTTTTTAGAAATTATAGGCTGGGCACGGTGGCTCATGCCTATAATCCTGGCACTTTGGGAGGCCTAGGTGGGTGGATCACCTGAGGTCAGGAGTTCGAGACCAGGCTGGCCAACATGGTGAAAACCTGTTTCTACTAAAAATACAAAAATAGCTGGGCATGGTGGCGGGTGCCTGTAATCCCAGCTACTCAGAAGGCTGAGGTAGAAGAATCACTTGAACCTGGGAGGCGGAGGTTGCAGTGAGCTGAGATAGCACCACTGCACTCTAGCCTGGGAGACAGAGTGAGATTCCATCTGAAAAAAAAAAGAAAGAAAATAAAGAGATTATAAATAGGTACGTAAGTATCTATGCTGTTGGTTTGCTTTACCCAATTCCTTTAAAAAACAATTAACTATAACAGAAATAAAAACAATATATTGTGGTATTAATAACAAGAAGTAAGATATAAGATAATAAGCGCAGAATGAACATAAAGGTGACAAATGGAATTATAATATCAAAGGGTACTCTAATTATACATAAAGTGGTATAATATTAATTCAGAGTAGAGTGGGATAAATTAAGAACACATATTGTAACTCTTTTAGCACCCATTAAAAATAGAGAATTGAGGACAGGTATGGTGGCTCACACCTATAATCCTAGCACTTTGGGAGGCCTAGGTGGGAGGATTGCTTGAGCCCAGGAATTAGAGGCCTGCTAGGGCAACAAAATGCGATCCCATCTCTACAAAAAATCAAAAAAATTAGACAGGTGTTGTGGCACATGCCTGGAGTCCCAACTACATGGGATGCTGAGGCAGGAGAATCACTTGAGCCTAGCAGGTCAAAGCTGCAGTGAGCTATGCTCGTGCTACTGTACTCAGCCAGGATGACCGAGTGAGACCCTGTCTCAAAAATAATACATAAAATAAAAATATCTAAAATAAAAATATGCTAAACATCCTACAATGCACAGGACAGCCCCTGCTAGCAGCGGTTAATCAACATGGGTCTGCGGCAACTCAATTCTTGCCCCCTTGAAGGAAAGAATTTGACCGAGGGGCATAAGGCAGAGTGAGAGACTCAGGCAAGTTTTTGAGCGGGAGTAAGATTTTATTAAAAAGCTTTAGAGTAGGAACAAAAAGAGGGCCAAGGGGGCAACTTGAGAGATACAAGTGCCCTGTTTGACCTTTGACTTAGGGTTTTATACATTGGCATGGTTCCGGGGTTTGCATCTCTCCTCCCTTGATTTCTTTTCTTGGGACAGGCTGTCTGCATTCGCAGTGGCCTGCCAGCACTTGGGAGGGGAGCATGCACAGTATGTTTACTAAAGTTGTGTGCATGTTCATTTTAGGCATTTTTTTCCTTACCAGTCGAGTGTTGCTAGAGGAAGGTCATATACCAGTTAAACTCCACCATTTTGCCTCTTAGTGCACATGCTTGAGCCCACCTGCCCAATTCCTGAGATCTTACTGGGAAGCTGCTAATCACCAGCTTCAGGTGTTTTCTATCTGTTGGGAAACTACCTTCTCCTGGTGCTGGCTGCAACCAGTTATTATTTTAGAGAGACAGTTTAACAACTGCCTGACTATCACCTGGTGGCTGCCTGACATTCCTGGTGGAGGGTGGGGGGTCTGTCTCCAGTCCTACTCATGTCTGCCTAGCTACCTACTCTAATACCCCTACAACAAAGAATTATTCAGCCAAAAATGTCAATAATGTTGAGGGTGAGAAACCTTGCTTTCTAAGGAGGAAGAGAAAGAGGCAAGGATATTTGATACATAAAGAAAAGAAAAAGTGGCCTTACTGAAGGGAAAAACGGGACAAGAGTGTGAACCAGATCTAAATAAAGCTGATAAGATGAAAGAGAAGAAAGAATACATTTAAAACAAAATTAAGATGATCTATAATGGAGGATTGGATGTGTAAGACTGGTAGAAAATCCAACTCATGAAAAATAAAGATGGAATGTATATAAAGTTGGGTGGATGCTGCATTATGTGTTAAGATCTGCAAATGCAAAATGCAGGGAAACAGGAAGTAGAGGCAGAGGGAAGTCAGATGAGTAGCAGGCTCTGAAAGAAAGAAAAATCCAATTTCTTGTGTATATATTATAGGAAGTTTAATGCACAGACCTGGCACAAAAAAGAGAGGTGAAATAAGGTATGAAAGGGACACATCACAGAGTACACAGTGATAGAGAAACACACAAAGACATAGACACACAGGCATGGAGGTGATTAGAGCTTGCTCCCAAAGATCAAAAGCCATGCCTTGGTCCAAACGTCCCTCCTGCCCTTAGAATGAGTAGCTCTTATCAGCAAGATGGTTCCTGAAATGGGTGGAGAGTGACCCAGATGGTGGCCACTTTATTTCCCAGTCCCTCTCAGCTACAAGCTGCTGAGTCTTATCAAAAAGCTGCTTTCTGACAACTGTTGCCTCAAGGACCCAGGAAGGAGGAAGCTATCCAGTACAGTGGCCAATTACTTTCTATTTCCCTAGCTCTGTGTAGCAAAAGCAATATAAAAGAACAAACATCTAAAAGGAGTATGTTTTAAATTGGCATGATCTTACTTCACACCAACGTAGGAAAGAAGAAGCAAGAAAATGAAGAAGATAAAAGGTGGAGAGGGGACCGTGGTGAGGGACCCCAGAAGAAGATTGCCATTGTTGAAAGCACAGGCTTTTATAAGAAACCAATGAGGGCTGGATGTCTCATTTGCACAAGGCATGAATTTCTGGTAGCTCCGCTCTGTCCTCCTAGTGTGCATGTGGGCCCTTAGCTTGAGTTACTCCATATTGCTTTTTCCTCTTACTGCACATGTGTTAGTGGACAGAATTTTCCATTGCAGGCATGTCTGGGTAAGTCACCTGTGTAGCCTTTTTTATCTGTGCGGTTGTGGGCATGTCTTAGATAAGCCCCTCTGTGCAGGCTCCCTTATCTATGTCTGCCGGTTGTTCTTTTGTTTGAAAGGATTCAACCAAAGACCCACCCTAACTGCCTGCTTGACTGGTGTCTTCCTTCTCTCTCAAAACACCCCCATTGCCCTCTGAAGCTTGGCTGAAAAGTCAACTCACAAAAGGCAGATTAGTTGGAGAAATGGCATACAAATTTATAATGTGCACATGGAGAGAATCACAGAGTGATTGCCCACCCTCTAACAGAGTTCAGAAGCTTGTCTACCATCCTGGCAAAACAGATTATGAGACAGGGGAAAGAGGAATATAATATATTAGTGTATATATATATGTATATATATATATAATATTTATATTAGTACATATTAATACTACAGGGAAATTAAATTAGAAATCAAAAATAAATCAACTAGAGAATCCCCAAATGTCTGGAAATTAAGCAACATATTTCCACATAACTCATATGTGAAGAAAGAACTCACAATGAAAATTAGAAAACAGTTTGTAATCCCACCACTTTGGGAGGCTGAGGCAGGCAAATCACTTGAGGCAGGTAGTTCAAGACCAGCCTGGCCAACATGGCAAAACCCCATCTCTCCAAAAAATCAAAAATTTATCGGGCGTGGAGGCATGGGCCTGTAATCTCAGCTACTTAGTAGGTTGAGGCACAAGAATCACTTGAAACCCGGAGGTGGAGGTTGAAGTGAGCAGAGATTGTGTCAGCACACTTCAGCCTGGGTGACAAAGCAAGACACTGTCTCAAAAAAAAAAAAAAAAAAAAAAAAGCATATTTATATTCTGTCTGTATACACTCTGAAACTGTTTTTATAAGACTATTTCTTAGTTTCTTAAATTTCCTCCTGACTATTGCTTTAGCTTTGTCATATAAATTTTGATAGGCCATATTTTAATTATCATTTAGTTCCAAATATTTTCTAATTTTCGTGTGTGTGTGTGTGTGTGTGTATTTTGAGACAAGGTCTCACTCTGTCACCCATGCTAGAGTGCAGGTGGTGTGATCTCGGCTCACTGCAACATCCACCTCCCAGTTTCAAGCAATTCTCCTGCCTCAGCCTCCTGAGTAGCTGGGACTACAGGTCTGCACCACCATGTCCAGCTAATTTTAGTATTTTTTTGTAGAGATAGGGTTTCACCATGTTGGCCCGGCAGGTCTTAAACTCTTGACCCCAAGTCATCTGCCTGCCTCAGCCTCCCAAAGTACTGACATTACAGGTGAGAGTCACCACGCCCAGCCTCAGAATATCCTTGATACTGATACTTGGCAAGGACACTACAGGAATGGAAAAGTACACACCAGTCTTATGAACAAATATGCAAAAATCCTAAGCAACATATTAGCAAATTGAAAAGGACACTACATCATGATCAACTAAGATTTACTCTAGGAATGTAAGAGTGATTTAACATTGAAGAATCAATCATTGTAACTCATTACATTATCAGAACAAAGAAGAAAAATTATATACTCATCTTAATAGATATATAAAGAGCATTTGATAAGATTCAACACCTATTCATGATTTAACTACAACAAAAAAACACCTCTCAAAAAACTAGGAATAGAAAAAGACTTTTTTTTGTTGTTTTTTTAAAGACAGGGTCTCAAGGTCTCACTCTGTTCAAAGTGAGAGTGAGAGGCAGGATTGCAGGAGTACAGTGGCTCTCCTGGGCTTAAGCAATCCTCCCACCTCGGCCTCCCAAGTAGCTGGGACTACAGGACATGGCACCACAACTGGCTAACTTTTGTATTTTTTGCAAAGGTGGTATTTCACCATGTTGCCCAGTCTGGTCTCAAACTCAAGCAGTCCTCCTGCCTTGGCCTCTCAAAGTTCTGGGATTGCAGGTGTGAGCTACTGCACCTGGCCCAAAGAGACTTTCTTAATCTGATAAAGGTATCTACAAAATATCTCTAGGTAACAGCATACTTAATGGTAAAATATAGAATTCTTTAGAATGTTTTTCTCCCTGAGATTGGGAACAAGAAAAAAGATATCCATTATTTTCACTATTCAATATTGTACTCAAGGTCCTAGCTAGTCCAATAAGAGAAGGAAACAAAAATATTGGAAAGGAAGAATCAATATGTAATTACTCACAAATGACATAATTATATACATATAAAATCCAGAAGAATCTACAAATACTAGAATTAAGTGAATTAAACAAGTTCACTAAATGTAAGGTCCATACATAAAAATTTATTATATTTTTATATACCAGCAATAAGCAATTAGAAAATGGAATTTTATAAAAATACCATTTACAATAGCACCAAGAAAAACCCCTAAGAATAAACCTAATGAAAGATGCACAAGATCTCTATCCTGAAAACTATAAACCACAGTTGAGAAAAATTAAATAAAACTTAAAATGAAGAGCCATACCATCTCCATGGTTTGAAATACACAATATAATAAAGACGTCAATTTTTCCAAAATTGATCTGTAAACTTAATGCACCCCTATAAAACCCAGATATTTGTATGTGAAATTGACAAGCTGCTTTTAAATTTTATATTGAAATGCACCTAATGTAGCCAAAATAGTCTTGAATAAAAACAAATCTGGACTGTTTACACTACCAGATAATCAAGGTAAGGATAGTCACACAGACCAATGGAACAAGGAACAGAACAGAGAGTTCAGAAGCAGACCTGCACATCTGTAGTCACCTCATGCACAACAAAAGCACAACTGTAATTCAGTAGGGGAAATTATGGTCTTTTCAATAAATACTCTCAACTTACTGGCTATCACAGAGGAAAACAAAACAAAACAAAAACCTTGAACCTTTCCTCACACCATACACAAAAATATTTTGAGATCAATCAGTATACCTAAATGTTAAAGGTCAAGCAGCAAGGCTTCTAGAATCATATATTGTATAATATCTTCATGAATTTGGGAAAGCTGTCTTAAATATGACACAAAAACATTATACATAAAAGATTAAATTGGACTGTACTAAAATTAAAAATCTCTATTCATCTAATGATACTATTAAGGCAAGCTACAAACTAGGAGAAAATATTTTCAATATATCTTTCAATACAAAAGACTCAGTATCCAGAACATATAAAGAACTCCCATAAATCAATAAGAAAAGACAATTTAATTAAAAATTGTGCAAAAAAAAAAACTTGAAGAGATACTTCACAAAAGACCAATATGTATATAAAAAGGTCTTTAACAACATTAGCCATTAGGGAAAATGCAAATCAAAACCACAGAACGATATGACTACACTCCCAAGAAAATGGATAGTTAGAAAGACTGACAGTACAATGTACTGGTGGAAATGTGGAATAACTTGTACAACCACTTGAAAAGTATTTGGGAGATCAACATAATCTAGTATCAAAGAAAAACTTCATGCAAACACTTGTTAAAGATGGTAAGGGGTGGGAGGCATGGTGATAGGTACAAGGACCATTGCAAGGAGGTCTTGCAGTTGGGGAGAGAAAGTAGATTAACTCCAACTCCAATAAGGACAAGTGGGAATTTATAACCAAGGAGAAGGGTGGGGTCAGTGGATGAAAAATGCCTATGAGGAAACATCAAGGATAAGGAATGTCTGGCTAAACTGACTTGATAGGGTTATTGCTGAAGGCAGGCCATGGTGGAAAGATGCTGAGAATGGTCAGATACCAAACGTGGGGATTTTCCCTAAACTGACTTAGCAGGATTCTTGCTCAAACTGGATTCTGCAAGGACAGAGAGGGAAGCCCAAGGTCAGACCTAGTCAGAGAAGACTCAGGATCCTGACTTAAGTTTTGGTCAAAGGAGGGAGTCTTTGTCACTAGATAGATGTATACCCTGTCACCCAGCAATGTCACTCTTTGTATATTTGCAACTGAAATCAATGCTTACATCTATGGCATCTTCATTCATAATAGTCCCAAACTGGAAATAGTCCAAATGTTCATCAAGAGTGGGTGGTAAGTAAATTGCAGTATTTTTTACAGTGGAATGGAATGGAAAAAGAACATATTACTGCTACATTCAACAACTTGGCTGAATCTCATATAGAAAATGTTATGTCACAATAGCGAAATGCAAGAGTACATACAGCATATTTCTGTTTATATGAAGTTCAAAAACAGGCAAAATTAACCTATGTGGCATAGAAGTCAGAATAGCAATTATCTTTTGGGGGGATTTACTGGAAGGGAATGCAAAGGAAACTTCTAGAATGCTGGAAATATTCTTTGGTGAAAGGTTGTCCCTTAGGGTGCTAACTCCCTGCATCTCTGGTTTCTGTTATTTGGCCCATTTGGGCTGCCTCTGACAAAGCCAGATCCCAGTACCATGGTGCAGTGATTTATCTGAGCCAAAAGCCTCCACACATCCATTCAATCCAGACTTGGGAACGGGAGAGAATGGAGGAGCTGCCCCCACAATCTGCACAGTGAAGGCCATGCTAAACTAGGCCCTCTTCCTGGGGAAAGCTAAGAAGAAACACTGGTATTAGGAGATGTGTGAATTTTAGCAGCAGCCAGGACTCTCCACTGAGCAAGCAGCCAAGACCCAGCTTGCAGGGAATGCCAAGCAAATTTGGAGAGCACTTAAACTGAGTCTGTCACACCAGATGACCTCTGTCATAGGGAAATGCAGCAGCTGCAGCCAACAAGGGCAGGACAACTAAAGACCCCACTCAGGGATGAAGGGTGGGATTACCCCAACAAGAGAACAAACAATACAGATCAACCAAAATGCTGAGTAAAAGTGAGGGAAATAGGTGATAAAGGAGGGAGATTATAAAAGCCTTGAGACCAGCTGTAACAGCAGGCATTGCAATTTATTTCAATAACCTTCTTGCCTTATGCACTTGAGCAGATTGCAATTGACCACCACTTTGAAGGAGATTCTGTAAATGATTAAACTTGTACCTTCTCTCAGGGGAAAAGTGAGACAGCTAGTGCTCACACACACAGAAACACAAATCCTACATTATAATATTGGAGCTTGATATGATGAAAGTACTAGAGTGAATCTGAGCAGCTCAGAGTGAACTGTATCAGACTCTTCTTATTGAACCTCCTCAGATTTGCTTGGTTCCATCTGTCTACCGGGCACTCAGTCATTTGCTCCACCTCAGTCACTATCCACTCCTTGCAGGTCCAAGCAGTTCCACTGCCTGAGGTCAAGCTGCCACCTCTTGTAACCCCTGGCTCCTCACATACCACAAGGCATGGGGGTCTCTCTTTCTAAGCGACTGCCGAAAGGGCTGGATGACACAGCCAGGAAGTCTGGGGGGAGATGATCACCTGTAGAAGATGAGAAGGAGCCAAACGCTTTTCCTTCCTCTCTCCAAAGGGCTGCTCCAAGGCGTGGTTTCTTTGCACAGCCCCTTAGGAGACAACCCACACAGGAAGGCAAGGGCGCCTGTGGGCTGGCCTGCTGGGTGTCTCCATTGCAGGGCTTAGTAATGCTCCTCCTTTAGTTGCTTCCCAGCCTTCCCTGACTCATTTCCCCATTCCCTCATTCTCACTGCTCTGGGATTAAACTCTCAAACTCTTAGCACATATGCCTGCCTTAGGCTCTGTTTTTTAGGGAACCCAGGCAAAGACACATACATTTGGGGTCTGAGATATCTTGGAATCTACATTTTTAAATTTTGTATGAATAATAAATGTATATGTATTTTGATATAAAAGCATATTTTGGATCATCTGGACAACCACATTATAATTGAGCATTTCCACTCTATTTCAGTGTTTCCCTTTTAACTGCTTAAGATTATGCTAGATATAAAGGGTATTCAATTAGGAAAAGAGGAAGTCAAATTGTCCCTGTTTGCAGATGACATGATTGTATATCTAGAAAACCCCATTGTCTCAGCCCAAAATCTCCTTAAGCTGATAAGCAACTTCAGCAAAGTCTCAGGATACAAAATCAATGTACAAAAATCACAAGCATTCTTATACACCAACAACAGACAAACAGAGAGCCAAATCATGAGTGAACTCCCATTCACAATTGCTTCAAAGAGAATAAAATACCTAGGAATCCAACTTACAAGGGACGTGAAGGACCTCTTCAAGGAGAACTACAAACCACTGCTCAAGGAAATAAAAGAGGATACAAACAAATGGAAGAACATTTCATGCTCATGGATAGGAAGAATCAATATCGTGAAAATGGCCATACTGCCCAAGGTAATTTACAGATTCAATGCCATCTCCATCAAGCTACCAATGCCTTTCTTCACAGAATTGGAAAAAACTACTTTAAAGTTCATATGGACAAGATGAAATTAATGCTTATCACCATCTGAAGACCAAATGAATTTATGAACGAAGAGATATTTCAAGTATTTCAATACAAGAAAATGGGGGGCCAATTTGAGGTTCCACCTGAGGTTTGGCAAATTGAAAGAATATACACAGCCACTGACAGCCCATAATTCATGTTCCTAGGGACATTTAGTTTCAGCAAAATAATTTAATGATGTTAATTGGAATTTTATTGACTGGTAGGAGCTATGCAATAGAGAAAGCAGAAATCTGATGAGGAACTTGGAGTATGCTTTGCAAAGTAAGATATACATTTTATCTTTACTCTCCATTATAAAATAGTCAATAATATCTACATCACTTGCTAATGCTTTTGGTACAAATGGATGTGGAATATAATTGAATATTTTCTTGTTTAAGGGGAGCATGAAGAGGTGTTGAGGTTATGTCAAGGTAAACAAAACCACCATTGTGGTAAAGACCACCATGAGGGATAACTGAATATATGGCTTACAAAATGTTTACTGAATAAGCAGAACAGTCTGGATTTTCCTGGGCAGGAGGGGGTTGGGGGCTTTGGGTGGGTTGGTGTCCATGGCTTGGTAAACATTTCCAAGAAGTAAACAAACCTATCAGCGGCCAAGCTGCTTGTCACCTGTGAGTGCTTCCAAGGAACCGGATGTGGGCTCCCCCACCCTTACCCCAGCATCTGGCACAGCTGAAGGCAGATGGAAATATTTACAAGTACGCAATTTGAGACTAAGATATTGTTATCATTCTCCTATTGAAGACAAGAGCAATAGTAAAACACATCAGGTCAGGGGGTTAAAGACCTGTGATAAACCACTTCCGATAAGTTGGAAACGTGTGTCTATATTTTCATATCTGTATATATATAATGGTAAAGAAAGACACCTTCGTAACCCGCATTTTCCAAAGAGAGAAATCACAGGGAGATGTACAGCAATGGGGCCATTTAAGAGTTCTGTGTTCATCTTGATTCTTCACCTTCTAGAAGGGGCCCTGAGTAATTCACTCATTCAGCTGAACAACAATGGCTATGAAGGCATTGTCGTTGCAATCGACCCCAATGTGCCAGAAGATGAAACACTCATTCAACAAATAAAGGTAAGTTCATAGTAATTATCCATACTTTTTTAAAAATAGCATAATGTTGTGATAGAGAGAACATGAGTGCCCTATTCCAGCTGCACGACACTGGCATGTATTTTTATGTCTAAGTCTCAGTTTCTTCATCTGTAAAATGGAAATAATAACAAGTTAACCATTAGGATTCTTGTGTCAGATAAGATAATGAATGCAATGCACATAACTCAGAGTGATATACTGTTGGCAACTGATAAATGATAAATTGATATGTACTGCTGTGGATTATGTCACTGAAAATTATTTAGTTCTATAGTAAGGCAGAGTCAGCTACATTTGACAGATATTGTGAGATGCACAGATCCTTTGCCTGATTTTACCCTTGGCACGAGTCAGACTCTCCTTTTATTCTCCTAATAGGAACCCCCTTCCCTGTGATCCTAAAAGGAGCCCCAGATGCAAATCTCTGATATAAGAACAACCCTGACCTTCTGATGGGAGAAAACCTTGCATTTTATCAGTCCCAATTCAAGGGATCCTTTCAGAGATTTCTTGCTACCTCTTATGTAGCAGAAGGGAAAGGAAGAAGACTTCCTGTCCTGGCAGGGGTATCTATACCATTGAAGAAGGTCTTGTACAACAACAAACAGCTAAAACTAAGAGGGAAATGCTTTATAAAAGACCGCCCTGGAATCTGGCTGTAACACATCCAGAGGCAGTGCTGTACTAGTAACAGTATTAGTCTGTAAAATGGGAATAATAATAATAAATATCTCCCTTATCAGATTTTGTGAGGATCAAAGTTTAAAATGCATGCATATAAAGGGAAGCTGGGTGGAGTATGTAAGAATACGGTGCAATACTTTGCATGTCTTCTGTTCATCTAAATTTATCTCAGAACTTTAAAAAATAACTTTAAAAATGCATGCATAGTGCCTGGTACATAGTAAGAGCTCAATAAATGGTGGATATAGTCATTGGCTCTCTCTAGATGGAAAATTAATAGAACAAGGGCCCAGAGGGATTTCCCCAGAGATCCACTGCTCTAAGCAGAGGCAAATATAGAAAGATAATGTTTGGAAAGAAAACCATCTCTACAGTGTGTGGTTAGAGAATTGCAGCAGTAGGGGATAGGGATAGGGAACAGAGTGGAGGGTGTCACTCACCATAAAGCTTACCTACTTAACCCAAAGAGGATCAGGCTGTCTGTGGTAAAAGGGAGATTCAGACCTCTTGAATCTCTCAATCATCTAAAATGTTGAGTGAGTTTTTGATTGTTTCTAAATTTGGAAGTGGCATCAGCAAACATGTGACCAGTGTGTTTCAGTCTCTGGCTAGACAGTGGGGTTCAGCAATATGCCAGAAGGAGAATGTAGATGCCGTATTCATCTTCAGTGACCGTGGTAATTTGTATCTACAGTATATAGTGACTAGAGCTTTCAAAGTGCTTCTACTTCATTGTCCTTGGAGGTTTTCCTCCCGAGATACGTACTTCTCGCTACAATTATTAAATTGTCTTTCCAGTATGGATCCTAAAGTTGGGGGTGAGATAAGTTGGCTTCCATCATTTCCTTCTCTGTAACAAGAACACTTTAGTGAATAGAATGCTCAAAGTCCCTAACTCCTTCCTATTTGATGTTCCAGATCTGCAGAGTTGAGGGACCTCGTTGAGGGCTTGGCCACCTTTCCCAACCATTCCTCCCTCTACTCCAACAACCTTCTTGCTGATGAGAGACTCTCCCCTGGTGCCCCTGTGGGGACAGAAGCCCCTAACTCAGCTTTTAAAATATTTGCTTCAGCAGGACAGTCCCCAGATTTCCCCACCTACAAGAGCAGTTAATCGCTCTGCACCACTTCCATCCACTGCATTCTTGCTAATATTAGCAGGGGGAGTACACGTCACAAGATGAGGAAGGGAGAGTCAGAGAGAAACTCTCTCTTCCCCCGTCAAATATACATACACACACACCACACGCACAAGCTCGTGTGCACACACACACGCCCATGCACACACGCAGACATACACGCACACACGCACGTCAGAAGGTACACAGTAGGGTTATTTTGGAGTCTCTGCAATGCTCAGCACCCCAGGCACTGTGCCTGTCTTGGCAGTTCTATACCACTTTGCCATTTACTAAACCCACTTTATTTATCCATTTGTTTGTTTATTCATTCAACAAATATTTACAGAGCATCTAAATTATGTCAGGTACTAGAAGTCCAGTGGTCAATATACTGTCCCTGTCCTGAAGGAATTTCTAGCCCATTCTATAAACTGTCACCCCCAACCTTCTCTCAGCCTAAGAGTCTAAATATGTATTAGGATATGAGGTCATTTTCTGAAAATCTGAAACAGATGCCAAAACAAAGATCCCTTATTATTGTTTCTATTACAATGTGGAAGACAAGAGCATTTCATGGTACTTATTCTTCCTGGGAGACATTGGAAATTCACATTTCACAAGTCAAATGGTAAAACAATACTCTAATATATGAAGTTTTATACCTACTTTTCAAGTTTTTGGTGATCTTGGCTCATTTTTTAATTTTATTTTTTAAAGTGACATAATATTAAACTCTCCTAGTGAGTGTTAAAAATCTGGGAGTTTTAGAAGGAGAAAATGTAAATCATTAAGAACACTTAAAAAAATAGAGGCAACCATTATTATCACTATTTGAAAGGGAGAAATTGAGGCTCAGAGAAGTAAAATAAGTTCTTTAAGTTTACCCCTTAGGAAGAGGCACAGCAGGACTTACCCGTGCACTAACACCCAAGTGCTGCTTCCCCATAAAATGGTGAAGCATTTCTGCTCCTAACACGACCCCCACTAGGCAATGGAGTCTAGTCACTCTGGTCTGTTCCCGCAAGGACTTTGCTCCTGCAATGACCCCTTTTTCTTTTACATTTTTGTTTTTTTTTTCATTAGCATAGAAATATTTTATAATATAATATTAAAACAAACAAAACTGTCTTGTCCTGAAGTCCACTTCCAGCTGCTGCCTATTTCTCCATTCCCCTTTAGTTCACAGAAAAACTTCTGAACCTGTTGTTGTCTGTATTTACTGTCTCCACTGCCTCACCTCCCACTTTCTTGAAACCACTCTTACGGAGCTGCTGTATTTATTCCACTACTAGGGCTCACCATGCTGCCAAGTCCAGTGATCAGTTCTTAGTCCTCATATGAAGTGATGGCTCAGCAGTGCTTGACACCGATGATCACGCCCTCCTCCCTATAGCTCTCTCATCCCACAGCTCCTCATTTCCTCTGCAGGCACTGACTGCCCTTCTGAGGCCCCTGTATTGGCTCCTCCTCTTTCTACCTCTGAATGCTGGGGTCCCCCACATTCCCTGGGCTCAGTCTTCAGCCTCTTTTTTCCTCTGTCTATGCTCACTTTCGAAGCAAATGGTTTTCAGTCCTAACAGATACACTGCCCCCTTTCTATAACAGTATCTTCTATCACTCTCCCTACTCTCTCGTCATAACATATCACAGGGAATCTGCAGACACATTTATAATTTAACGCTGCAGCTATTTCATTTTAGAGAAGTAAAATTAGGTGTAATTTGAAAATATATAATTATGCTATTTTCTTATATCTCTTAGTACCACACTGCACAAAAAATAAATACTTCTATCAGCACTTGGCAAAGTTTAAAAAAAAGAAAAATGAATCAATAAATAAATAATACCACAACATTTAGTATTACATTTAATTTGACTTAGTATATAATCCCAAAATTATTACAGGAGTCAGCAGGTGTTAAAATCACATTCACTTTTTCTCTTCATTACTACTTGCTGTGAGACCTTGAGAATTATACTAAGTCTCAGTTTCACCCTCAAAGATTTGTGGATTCTCAAAGAAGCAAGTGAAACGCATAGCTAATATTTTATACTTGCTTGTGCGAAGTAAACACTGTTCCTAGCACATCATATGTTTCACTTTGTTCCTCACCACAACCTTATCAGCCAGTCACTATAATATAATATTCCATTTTGTTAATGGGAAAACTGAGGCTCAGAATTAGAAATTGCCGAATGTCCCACAAAAAGTGGTGCAGCCAGGATTAGAGTCTGTCTCCAGAGTCTGCATTGTTACTGATTACTCGGTGACACAGAATATTTGGTAAATGCTCTCAAAGCTTAGCTATTATTATTAAAAGGTATTTCTATATTTCTTCTTCCCATCTTAACAAATAACAAGTTTTTGAAAATGTGAAATCCAGATGTGAATTTGAATGACTGATAATTTAATTTATTTTCAGTCAATTGTTACGTATGTTTTCTTTTTCTTCCCAGGACATGGTGACCCAGGCATCTCTGTATCTGCTTGAAGCTACAGGAAAGCGATTTTATTTCAAAAATGTTGCCATTTTGATTCCTGAAACATGGAAGACAAAGGCTGACTATGTGAGACCAAAACTTGAGACCTACAAAAATGTGAGAATATCAAGTTCTTCTTTAAAATTCCACTTTCTCCTGTAACCAAGATTTTTTAAAATCAAAATATTCTAGAATCAAATGTGATTGTTTGAAACTTACTCCAGTACGAATATGGTTAATTCATTTGCTGAAACTTTGTGATGATAGAAACTTTTTCTTAAATTTCAGGCTGATGTTCTGGTTGCTGAGTCTACTCCTCCAGGTAATGATGAACCCTACACTGAGCAGATGGGCAACTGTGGAGAGAAGGGTGAAAGGATCCACCTCACTCCTGATTTCATTGCAGGAAAAAAGTTAGCTGAATATGGACCACAAGGTATGAAATATTCTACCATACTTCTCATACAATTTAACTATTTTATGTTCAAAGTGTATCAACACTAGCATTATCTTTGTGAGTAAGCATGTATAAGCCAAACAATTAGAGATAAAACATCATAGCATTTTTCACTTAAAATAGAACATGCATTTCACTTAGAATTTCCAGCATTTCTCAGCTATGAATTTAATTTACTTTAGATACATGTATAAATACGGTATTTTGAATTCTCGTAAATTATTATTATAGCATCATACTATAACTGTAAAAGAATTTAATTTGTATTAAGTTTCTATGGATATGTAAGGAGACAACGGAATTAAATCTTCTACCTGCAATTCATACAATAGCCACCAGATGGCGTATATGTGCAGTGCTCTCAGACGTGCATTCAAATTATATATGAATCTTGTTAAAATGTGGATTCTCCTTTAGGAGGCCGAGGCGGGCGGATCACGAGGTCAGGAGATCAAGACCATCCTGGCTAACACAGTGAAACCCCGTCTCTACTAAAAATACAAAAAATTAGCCGGGCGTGGTGGCGGACGCCTGTAGTCCCAGCTATTTGGGAGGCTGAGGCAGGAGAATGGCGTGAACCCGGGAGGCGGAGGTTGTAGTGAGCCAAGATCGCGCCACTGCACTCCAGCCTGGGCGACAGAGCGAGACTCCGTATCAAAAAAAAAAAAAGGGGGGGGATTCTCATTCATTAGGTGTGGGATGGGACTCAAGAATCTGCATTTTTAACAAGCTCACAGGAGATGTTGATTCTACCGGTCTGTGGATCACACTTTGAGTAGCAGACAGAATACCTTTGCAATTCATCTCTCAAAAACATGTAACTAAAGAAAAAACTCCAATGATAAATAAACTTTATCATTTGTATATGAGGTACATATAACAATTATTGGAGGAAATATTAAACAAGTAATGACATATATATAAAATGTACTTTCCAAGAATCAAATGTGACTCTTTACTAAATAACTAGCATTAGATTTCTTTACCTCAAAAAAGATTTGGATCCCCTAGAACCAGCTTGATTTTTTTTAACATATAAGGCACAGAAAACAAGCAAACAAAAGAACGCTATCCAAGCCCCATCCCCAAACACACTAGAGCGCTTAAAGACCTGGTCAAAAGGATGTGTCAAGCGTACCTCTTTGTTGTTCTACAACACATTTCACCTCCATAACAGGAACAGAACATTCTCAATGTATGACTCAACAAATAAGTGTTGAATTGATTGACCTGACTGCCTCATCCCACTCCTGAGCCCACTCCAGCCATCATGATCATATATAAAACCATTCCTTAATAGTGTTTCCTTTCTGTATTGTGACTCCACTCCAACTCTCTCACAATCATCTTTAAAGAGACCACCAATACCTACAGAATAAAGTCCCAATCCTTAGTGTGGGATACTGAGTTTCCACAGAATGCCCCACCTCACATAACCCTCCAAATTCAGCCTTCCTTGGAATTTACATTCCAGAAAAACTGAGCTGTACATAAGTCATTCACTCAAGTTTAACAAATATCACTGAATGCCTGCTAAGTTCTAGACACTATGTGCCCAGATATGACAGTGAAGAAGTCATATTGTCTGTCCTCATGGAGACAATTTTCTATTGTGGGAGACTGGCAAGTAAGTAGCAATGACTGTTTATCATTGTAAGTGCCTAATGGGAGATGGTGAAATGCAAACGCGGAGTACTGGGCCTAAGATGAGGATTTCAGGGCAGGCTTCTAGGCACATAGAAGCTTGATTTTCAAAGAAGAATAAGAGTTATCCAGACAAAGATGGGAAGGAAGTATTCCAAGCTAAGGAAACATAGGTAAAAAAAGACCAGAGTTGAACAAGAGCATGATATGACCTAGGAAAAAAAGGAGTTCAGGAATTCATCCTAATTCTAGAGTTTGGGAAGGGAGTGGAGAACAGCAAGAAATAAGGCTGCAGAGAAGAGCAGGCCTGAGGCATCAGGGACCTTGTACACCATGTTGAGAAGTTGGACTTACCCTGAAGGATGGAGACATGGAGGCCAATCTGGTGACTATTGCAGCAATTCAGGAGTAAGTGGCAATGGGCCTGGAAAGGTGAGAATGAATAAAAAAGACAGAGATGGAGTAAGCAGACCTTGAGGTCTGATGGGATAGGAGCCATGAGGGAGGAGAATTGGTTGAGGATGCTGCCCTGGCTGCTGTAGGAATGCCTGGGCTCCCATAGCCGCCTTTGCTGACCTCTGTCATCATACCTGTACCACCAGGCATTTTAGCTTCTAATCACACATGCCCTCCACTACACCAGGAGCTATGTGAGGATAGGGCAGCTGTTTGTGTCTGAATAACGGCTTGGCACTTACTAGGTGCCTGATTAACATTTGATAAGCCAAAATAAGTATTTATATTTTAAGAAAACGTACAGTTATATTAGATCTAAAGAAATCAAGTCTTTAATTTAAAAAATTAACACAGCAAAGCATAAATATTCCAAACATTGCTTTCTTCCAGTGTGAGAAGGTAATTTTGCCATTCTTATTGTAATCAGTTTTTTAAAATACTTTCTCACAGGTAGGGCATTTGTCCATGAGTGGGCTCATCTACGATGGGGAGTATTTGACGAGTACAATAATGATGAGAAATTCTACTTATCCAATGGAAGAATACAAGCAGTAAGGTATGTATATTTTGATTTAACTTGTTCCAAACTATTTTAAATTGCAACCTTTTTTTCTTGAATTGATTACTTTAAAAAATGTGTGTCCTGGCTTATTTTCTAATTCAAATTCATTCTTAGTGCCTTCTTTTTCAGATTTCCACAAAACTACCATTTTGTTTACTTTACAAGTGCTTCAGTTAATTGAATTATTCACTCTGCAGCTAGAAGTCATTTGCCTCCTTTTTTCTTTTTTTTTAACTGTACCAACTATAAAAAATCTACAGTTGCTGTGTTTAGTGTCTCCATCATCCCATACCAGCATCAGTGACGTAAGCAGAGCTAATGAGGCTCTTCGGTGCCTTCAGGGCAGAATAATAATATCTTCTTTTTTTGAGAAAGGGTCTTACTCTGTCACCCAGGCTGGAGCGCAGTGATGCAATCACAGCTCACTCCAGCCTCAGCCTCCCGGGCTCAAGCAATCCTCCCACCTCAGCCCCCTGAGTAGCCGGGACTACAGGCACACATTACCACATCAGACTAATTTTTATATTTTCTGTAGAGATGGAGTCTCACCATGTTGCCAGGCTGATCTTAAGTTTTCGTACAGGCAGGGTGTCCTTATGTTGCCCAGGCTAGTGTTGAACTCCTGGACTCAAGAGATCCTCCCACTTCGACCTGCCAAAGTGCTGGGACTACCTCTGACATCATGGTGGCGTGAGCCACCATGCCCGGCCCAGAATGGTATCTGTGTGGACTCTGTCAGTATGAATGGGCTTGGGAGGGACTGTGAAACTTATCTGAAAAACAATCCAAATATCAAAGCAAAACAGAAACTCCTCCCAGTTTGAATTAAACCTTGCGCGATGTCAGTAGAAATCAAGTACAACACTTGGAAAGAACGCTTGGCTGCCATGAATTTATGGGCTAATTCTTGCAGCCAGCAGTCTCAGTGCACAAAAACTGCTTTAGTGCAAACAGAAGTGATAGGGAACTTCCTAATTTATTTTAAAGAGTTAGTACAACTCAGATACTAAAACCTGACAAATGGAATGAAAAAATTCTGTAGCTACAGGCTCTCTAAAAAGATAGAGGCAAAGATTTCAAATAAAAGGATAGTAAATTACATCTGGCAAAATTAAGGGAAAAACAAACATATTAAAGCCAAGTAAGAATGTCTTCCAGAAATCCAAAAATGTTGTAATAGTAAGTAATGAATATAGTATATGAAGAAAAGAAGAAAATAAATGATTGTTCCAATAGATTCTCAAAAGAAACTTGATAAAAACGCACACTTATTCCTGCATTTAAAAACAACACCATCTTTTTAAGTAGAAGTTGGTACAACACCCTCTCCATGTCTGCTTCCGGTCTTGCTTGCCTGATGGCCCTTTAAGGAGATGCACTCGGCTTTGATTCCTAACTGTCTTGACCTAGTACAATTTTTTCAAAAGGGGCTCAGAACACAGATTTGGCTTCCATTTCTCGCACAGGACCATTACTGCTCTTTACTTTTCTCTTTCTTTATAACAGTCAGACTCTGTACACTTGGCCCATTTCCATTATATTATGCCTCATTGTTGGATCTCTTCAGGCATAAAGAGACATCAAGTGGGCCGGGCATGGTGGCTCACATCTGTAATCCCAGTACTTTGGGAGGCCGAGGCAGGATCACCTGAGGTCAGGAGTTCAAGACCAGCCTGGCCAACATGGAAAACTCCGTCTCTACTAAAAATACAAAAAAATTGGCCATGTGTGATGGCACACACCTATAATCCCAGCTACTCAGGAGGCTGAGGCAGGAGAATTGCTTGAACCCGGGAGGCGGAAGTTGCAGTGAGCCGAGATCACACCACTGCACTCCAGCCTAGGCAACAGAGCAAGACTCCATCCCCCCGAAAAAAAAAAGAGAGAGAGAGAGACATCAAGTGCACTGCTGCCTCCTAGAGCCATGCACAGCCTTCCTGATGCCTTCGGCCTGTACACTCTGCACTACATGGACCACAGCACAGAGGGGCTTCTCTGATGCAATCATACGTTGCTTTGACTTTTCAAACCCAGTGGGCACCATTCCAAACCTGATATCTCTTTCCCAGTTCTCTTTCCTAAGCTTCCAGCCAGTTAGACACCATATATTGCCTTGGCAGAAAGGGTGATTAGTAGTATTTCCTTCTAGAGATATTCTAGAAATGAGTACATATACAACACATTTTTCTTTCGACAGATAAGACATGATCGCCATGTCCTCTTTAAAACTTTTAATTTCAATATATTAATAATATGTATTGCTCATTATCTTCCAAATTTTTAAATTATTTTTAAGGCTTAGAAGCAATCACACAAATAACAGCACTGCCCAGGACAGGAGGTTACTTCATTCATATGATACAGAACATCTGTTCAAAGCTAACAATCTACCTCATATTTAATAGGGAAACACTAGAGACACTGCCAGGACTAAGAATAGCCACTATTATCACAATTATTCAATCTTGCTTAGGAAATTGTGGCCAATGTAATAAAACTGGGGATGTAAAAAGATGGAAAGGAAGAGAGAAAATCATTGTTATGCAGATGATCTGTGATCCACTTAGAAAACACAAGGAAATAAATTGAAATTAAAATTGACAAGGGAAGCCAATAAGGTGACCAAATACAAAATAAATATTCAAATTACTTTTCCATATATTAGCAATAACCAGTTCAAAAATATAATAGAACAATACTTCAAGACAGCAATGAAAGGTATGATAAAAGTAGAAACAATGCTAAGAAATGTGGAAGATGTATTTAAAGAAAACTATAAAATCCTTCTCAAGGGGTTAAAAGAAAACCAAGGTAAATTGGGAAACATTCAATTCATGGAAGATATAAACGCAAACAAAATTCATATATAGGGTTTATGAAACGCTAATCAAAAGTACATCAATTTTTACCTCATTAAAAAAATCTAAGAGTTCGTTGAGTAGATAGTAGCTAAGATCATTTTGGGAACAAGAAAGTAATAAAGGGAATTCTTACTTTTCAAATTTTAAATATGCTATAAAACTACATTAATTAAAACAATGTGAGCCAGGGCACAGTGGCTCACGTCTGTAATCCCAGCACTTTAGGAGGCCGAGGCAGGCAGATCACAAGGTCAGGAGATCGAGACCATCCTGGCTAACACAGTGAAACCCTGTCTCTACTAAAAATACAAAAAATTAGCCAGGCGTGGTGGCGGGTGCCTGTAGTCCCAGCTACTTGGGAGGCTGAGGCAGGAGAATGGCATGAACCCGGGAGGCGGAGCTTGCAGTGAGCCGAGATCATGCCACTGCACTCCAGCCTGGGCAACAGAGTGAGACTCCATCTCAAAAAACAAACAAACAAACAAACAAACAATGTGGGCAGACATTACACATATGATAATTTAGTTATTATAGGTAGAATTACAAGTCTGTGAAGAAAGATAGGATTTCTTGAGATAGACAATTTTTTAACTGTGTGGGGAAAAAATTAACAGACTCTTTTCCAATTGGATGGACTCTTTAAAGATAAAAAGCAGAATGATAATGAAAACTAGAAGAATGTTAATAAGTATCAAATCCCTAGATAACAAAACTCTTTCAATGCATTCAATCATTGAAAAATATAACTAAGAGAATAATAAATGTGGCTACATATAAATTAAAAATTTTGTTGCACACAAACCAAACATAAACTAAATAAAAAGGAAAAAACAGAAAAAGATATTTGCAAAAACAAAAAAGAAAGCCTTTAGAAGCTTAGTATTGTAGCACATAAAGAGCTTTTGAAAAATCAGTAAAACAGTAACATCCAAATAGAAAAATAGACAAAGGAGAAGAATAGATAATTTACAAAAGAAGAAATTAAAATGCCCAGGAGTTTGAGACCAGCCTGGGCAACATGGTGAAACCCCTTCTCTACAAAAAATACAAAAATTGGCCTGGCATGGTGGCACATGCCTGTGGTCCCAGCTACTTGAGAGGCTGAGGTGGAAGGATCACCTGAGCCTGGGGGTGAGGTTGAAGCTGCAGTGAGCCATGATCACACCACTGCATTCTAGCCTGGGCAACAAGAGTAAGACCCTGTCTCAAGAAAAAGAAAATTAAAGAAATGAAATAAAAATGTCCAATAATAAAAATGTTCATACTTACTAGTAATGAGAGATGTAAATTTGATAGGGATGAGATTCATTTATTGTCTAGTAAGTTATTGTCAGCAGGATGAAAGCTCTCACAGATGGTTGTTAGAGGCATAAATTCATGCAACTTTTCTGGAAAGCAATTTGGGTGACACATATCAAATTAAAAAAAGTCTTGATCCTGTGATTTCATGTTTAAAAATGCATTGTAAGGAAATGATAGAGCAGCTGTATCAACGGGCTTTAAAATGTTCAAACTTTTGGATATAGTAATTACTCAGGGAATCAATCACAGGGCAAACTTGGAAATACAGTCAAAATTGGATATGAAATTTTGTTTATTCATTGATGTTTTATTTTAGTACTGACAAATTGGGAGGGGAAACTAAGTTCAACAAGTTAGTCTGAATACATATGATAGTATTAAAAGATATAAAATTATTAAGATCACATTTTGAATTTTTTTTTCTTTTTTTTTGGAGACAGTCCCAATTGTGTCTCCCAGGCTGGAGTGCAGTGGCGCGATCTCAGCTCACTGCAACCTCTGCCTCTCAGGTTCAAGCAATTCTCGTGCCTTAGCTTCCCGAGTAGCTGGGATTACAGGTGCGCAACACCATGCCCACCTAATTTTCATTGTATTTCTGGTAGAGTTGGGTTTCGCCATGTTGCCCAGGCTGGTCTCAAATTTCTGGCCTCAAGCAATCCACCCGCCTCAGCCTCCCAAAGTGCTGGGATTACAGGTGTGAGTCACCACACGCAGCCACATTTTGAAAAATATTAAATAATAATATTAAAAAATTAAATATGCTAAGTTTTTTTTAAAGCAGGAAACAAAGCTATCTGTGCAGTGAGTGTTATGTTGATATATACAAAGTGAAAAATGCTTCAACTTGGTAACAGTAGCTCATTTCTGATGGTGAGACATGTTTTTTTCTTTTCTTCATGCTTTTTGCCATTTTCCAAATTTTCTATACCGGTCATGCATGGTTATATACTTAAAAAATACAATTAAACAATAAGGTGTAGGGGGAAAGCATTCCAACTATAATAGCAACAAAAGTCATAAATACCTAATACATGGAAACATTTAAAATACCTATGAACATACCAGAACTCTACAAAAACCATGTGAAATAAACTAATCAGAAAACAAACAAACAAGAAATGTCAGCAAATCTTTTGTGGGAAATAAAAGAGGGCTCTTGACCTGCTAGGGATGAAGGGAATAGATTCAAAGGTGCCTGAGGACTTAGTCTGTATTAATGCTAACAACAGCCCTAAGCCAGACTTGGCTTTTCTGCTGCGTAGAAATACATTCTGATACCATTTTTGCAATCCCCTCAGATACTTTCTGGCAAACAGAAATGACTCTGATGACAATTTAACACTTTTGCTATGATGGGATGTCCTTGTTTCTTGGATCATGAGAGGAAAATCACAGAAAGGCAATCTGTCAGAAACTGAGCATAGACTCTGACCCTTTGAAATGACGACATCACCTAAACATCTAACCTTCCTATATTTTCAGATGTTCAGCAGGTATTACTGGTACAAATGTAGTAAAGAAGTGTCAGGGAGGCAGCTGTTACACCAAAAGATGCACATTCAATAAAGTAACAGGACTCTATGAAAAAGGATGTGAGTTTGTTCTCCAATCCCGCCAGACGGAGAAGGCTTCTATAATGTTTGCACAACATGTTGATTCTGTAAGTACCTTGTTCTCACCCCCTCCCCCAGATTCTTATGAATTTAGTGAGGCTTTTACTCCAAGTGCTCCAAGGGAGAATCAAAGTTTAGAGAAATCATCAGTGAGCAGTGGATTATCTCTGGGACAAGCTGGGTGTGCAAGTCAAGGATAAAGTCCTGTCTTCCTTCCCCTTACCCTCCTCGTGTCCACGCTTTCTTCTCCATCATCTCCCTCCCACTAGTTTTTAGTTCAAGTGCTTAGGATTACTTTAAATACTCACAAAGGCATACAAGCACACACATTCTTACTTAAATAAGGACTTAACCCAGGGGGATTAGGCAGTTCCTTTTATTAGTTAATAAAGACATGATCAGTAGGCTCTTGATTTAACTTTCAGAGAGCTCTTTTCAGACTGCATGTTTGCTTTTGGTTGTTAACTGAAATTTTCTATCTTTTTAAGAGTGTTGGTTACATTAGGGAGTTTACACATAGTTTAAATAGCTTTAAATAGTTTTAAAATTCTTAATTTTTTTAATGAATAACTGGTCATAAAATGAACTTGGCCAGTTATTGATATTACTGCTAAATATATAAATCAGAAATTTTGCGCAAAATGAGATTGAAGGCATCAGTTAACTGACTTCAGTGGGAAGTCTCTCTTGTCTTCCAGTCTCATATAAAATTACATTTTCCTTTTGGAATAGAGGGTGCAATAAATTGCAAGAGTCTGTTCAACAGGAATGGAGCATAAGTTTTTAAAATGTGATGCACCATGGCTCACCAGGCCCATCGTCCTTCAATTTGGCATTGCAGTCCATTCCCAGGCCTATTCAGAAACTTCCAGGAGGAGGCCCAGATTATATATTTTAAATTAGCCACAGAGTTAAATATGATGCCTAGTCAGGTGTGGAAGCCTCTGCCTGGGGTTTACACAAACGTTTTTCAGGTCTGCTTCCTAAAAAGTATCCATATTGATAACATAAAAACATTACCGAAACACATGACCTGAAAAACGCACATAAAGAGAAAAATGTTGTACAACTAATGATTACTTTCTAAATTAATAGCATCCCAGATATTAGGATTTGTAATTGCATGATAATATTGTAAAGTCACTGAGAGGAGGAATCATGTTACTTTTCTTTTGTATACTATGCCTTAAAAAAAAAATCCCCCACAGGCGAGAGATATAAATACTAGCAAGTGTTATATGACATAAGAAAGGTAAAGGAACCATCATTTATTGGCTGTGTTAGTATTGACCTTAGTGCATATATTCTCATTTATTTCCTGCATAATAACTATCACTATTTTGTAGATTTAATAATTCAGGTGCAGAGAGGTTAAGGTTACTCAAAAAATAACAAAGTCATATTGAGTTTTTGTTATGTGTCAGGCACTAGGGCTAAATTTTGAGGAAGCAAAATTTAGTAAGCAGGTTTCTGTAATAGATGGTGTATTAATTCATTTTCACACCTCTATAAACTATATCTAAGACTGGATAATTTATAAATGAAAGAGGTTTCATTGACTCACAGTTCCACATGGCTAGGGAGGCCTCAGGAAACTTACCATCATGGTGGAAGGCGAAGGAGAAGCAAGGCACACCTTACGAGGTGGCAGGAGAGAGAGAATGCAAGGGAAATTGCCGCTTACAAAATCATCAGATTACGTGGGAACTCACTCAATATCACAAGAACAGCATGGAGGAAACCATCTCGATGATCCAATCACCTCCCACCAGATCCCTCCCTCGACACGTGGGGATTACAAATCAAGATGAGATTTGGGTGGGACACAGAGCCAAACCATATCAGATGGATTTACAGTCCAGTAAGTGCACTGCAATGTTAAAGGGGCCTTATTGAAATTTCTACAAGATATCGTGAAGCTATAAAGGGTGGAATGGAAATTCTCAGGAGGAAGAGTAGAAAATGGAGAAACATTTCGGAAGTGACTTTTTGGCTGAACATGAAGGTAGAGTTTACAACGTAGAAGACAGAGGAGGAGCAATAGAGATGCCAAAGGCTGGCAAGTTTGGGAACTGACAGGCTATAGTGGGGTAAATTAGAGACATGGAATACACAGCCAGAATGAGAATGGAGAATGAAGCAAAGCTCCAAGTCATAGAGTTTGCCATTGGTATATGAAGAGTGGATTGTAATGTATGAACAATTAAAGCAGAGGAGTAAGAGGAAAGACTCTCAGGCAGCTGTGAGGTGGAACAAACAGAGAGGAAACAAGATGGAAAAGTCACAAAGTAAACTGCAATCGTCTGAGGGAGGGACTGTGATGGCTTGGGTGATGGATATTTCATTGGAGATGGAGAAAAGATGAAGAAATTGAGATATAGTGAAGTGCACTGGTCTTGGGTACTTTTTAGGAGGGAAAAGGTAGGAAAACTTCCAGTTTCCTAATTTTGGTGATGGGGTGCATAGTGGTGACATCAAGTTAGGAAATACCTGAGGAGGAGGAGCAGATGGGAGAAAAGTGATAAGGTCAATAATGAACATGTGGAGTTTGAGGCGCATGTGAGACATCCAAGTGGATTTTGGAGAGAGCTGGAACATTGGGAGTTGAAGGTTAGAATATAGTGTGTTGGTAAATGAGTGAGAAGTAAGGAAGTGGAGTTTGGTGGTATAAGGGTGGAGAGATAAGATGGTTCCAAGAGAGGAATGCTGGAGAGGGTGCTATGGAGAGAGCAGTGATGGCTTGAAATGGTAAATTTGAGGAGTAGGAAGGAAACCAAAAAGAGGAGGTAAATGGATTGCTGAGGAGCACTAAGGGTCCAATGAGATTGAAGGCCTGGTTTAAGGTAGGAAATCTGCATTATTACTGTGATTTTCCCCAGCACTGTTCCACAGTGATTGTGCAATTGAGCCAAGGTTATGCATTAGCAGAGCAGACAGGTCTAACAAATTATTAAATATTCTACCACATAGTTTACCATTATCTATATAATTTCATTGACAATTTCAGATAGTTGAATTCTGTACAGAACAAAACCACAACAAAGAAGCTCCAAACAAGCAAAATCAAAAATGCAATCTCCGAAGCACATGGGAAGTGATCCGTGATTCTGAGGACTTTAAGAAAACCACTCCTATGACAACACAGCCACCAAATCCCACCTTCTCATTGCTGCAGATTGGACAAAGAATTGTGTGTTTAGTCCTTGACAAATCTGGAAGCATGGCGGTATGTTCAATGAGTCTTGGTCTTCTGGATGCTGGTCACAGATATGCATGTTCTGGACCCTGACTCGGAACTAGTTGCGAATAAACATAACCCGAGGGCCAGAATAGTTATAACTGTAACATTGTCTTCAGAAATGCCCACTTCAACTTTGTTCAACAAAGGTTCAGCATCAACTATCTCATTTGCCAAATTGAATTAATTTTCAATTTATGAACCAAGATCTGATGAATTATATGAGCTTAACATTTTTAATGTTTCACTGACAATATATAAGTCTATAGGTCCATAGTCTTATATATTAGTCTGTTCTCATACTGCTATAAAGAAATACCCAAGACTGAGTAATTTATAAAGGAAAGAGGTTTAATCAACTCACAGTTCCACACGGCTGGGGAGGCCTCAGGAAATTTACAATCATGGTGGAAGGGGAGGCAGGCATGTCTTACATGGCAGCAGGAGAGAGAGAGAGAGAGAGAGAGAGTGCGCAATGTGGGAAGAGCCCCTTAGCCCCTTATAAAACCATCAGATCTCGTCAGAACTCACTCACTGTAACGAGAACATCCTGGAAGAAACCACCTCCATGTTCCTCCCACCTCCCACCAGGTCCCTCCCTCGACATGTGGGGATTATGGGGATTACAATTTGAGATGAGATTTGGTTGAGGACACAGAGCCAAACCGTATCACCTGATACAGAACTTACCTAGAATTATTACTAATGCATTGAACTTTAATGATTATGTAATCTGTTTTTATCTTTTACTATTTATACTCTGGCCCTAAAATTCTACCCAAAGGTGCTGCTAAATATAAATAAGAAATTTTTCCCCATAGGATATGCCTCAAGTAAGCTTATGGTCATTTGCTCTACATTAAGGCAGCCACTTCCAAATTCCCTATGGCCTTTTCTGTTATTAGTCTTTCCATCTAAACGTAACCTGTTTTTCTTTTGCTTCTCCATTTAGACTGGTAACCGCCTCAATCGACTGAATCAAGCAGGCCAGCTTTTCCTGCTGCAGACAGTTGAGCTGGGGTCCTGGGTTGGGATGGTGACATTTGACAGTGCTGCCCATGTACAAAATGAACTCATACAGATAAACAGTGGCAGTGACAGGGACACACTCGCCAAAAGATTACCTGCAGCAGCTTCAGGAGGGACGTCCATCTGCAGCGGGCTTCGATCGGCATTTACTGTGAGATGTGTTTTTCTATTGTAGTTTGGAATGTTTGCAATTTATGTTGCTTAACAAACTTCCATTTCCAGTGTTTCCATACATGCCTAGGGTCCAACTGGATGAGATAACCAAGGAGCAATATTCCATATTTACTTGGAGACTGTTTAGCCACATGAAACAGAATAGGAGGTTGAAAGGGGCTGGCAGGCATAAGGTCTCAGAACCTTGCAGTGTCTTAGGCAGGTTTGCCCTAAGCCTGCTATTTGGGCACATCACACTCAATAGTGCTGTTCCAGTTTCCCATGTGGCAGCAGGAATATGTAGTTTCCAGCTCACATGGCCTGATGTGGACAATGGGCTTGACCATTTCCTCAAGTGCTTTCTGTCTCTCTGACCATTTTGGTCCACTTTGAATATCAGTTCCCTGAAAGTGGTTTCTATTGCATACACAGTCAGCTATGAAACACTTCTCCAGATGCCTGCGTGCATCTGTGTTTTATTACCCCTGTCACCCACCCAAGCTTTGACTAAGGGAGCAAATAAGGGAGGAAAACAGACAATGAAATCACTGATGTGCTGTACCAAACCCTTGCTGTGCAAGACCCTAGGGGAGATGACTAATGCCAGATGGCGTGGTGGTGAAGAGAGAACCTCTGATTCTGCATCTTCCATTCAGATGAGCGAGAGAGAGAGAGTGTGCAGTACACCAGTGGAATTTAGGATGCCCCCTGGGGTGGAGTCTGGGTGTGGGGTGGGAGAAGCTCATGTGGCTTCAGGGTGATGAGGCAAAGGACCTTGGATCTTATACTGTGTTCAAGATCCCTGCTAGTCCCTGCTGCAGGCCCTGGTCAGGTCTGCCCTGTGCTCCTTGCAGTGGTGTCTGCTGTGGCCATATTAGTTTGGCTTGTTCTCTTGGCTTGCTCAGGGCCCAGTAGTCCTCCTCCACTGACTCAGCCCCACCCTGGCTCTCCCCGTTGGAGCAGAGCCCTGAGCACCACCCTATCCTCCATCCAGCCTCTAGCCATACTGTATACTCCTCAGCCTCTGTGGCAGGATTATCCTTCTCTCACCTGCCAACACCCAACTCAGCTGTCTTCTGTCTCCTCTTTAGGATATGTGGCAACATTTGCCTGTTTTCCATGACACACAGCAGTTATGGGGAGTGCGACAAGAAAATCCAAATTGGGCCTCTCTGGCCTGCAGCTTAGTAAGGCCAAAGCCGTGATCACAGCTGACAGGCTTCTGGGCTCTGGGCTCTTTGACACAGCAACAGCAACAGTCACTGTTCTGTTCTCTTCTAGGGAGTCAAGGTAGCCTCCTCTAATAGCTGAAACAGTGAGTGAGGCGGAAACCTCCTCTGCCCTCAGCTTTCCCTTCCACCTTCAGAGGACGCCTTCTTTTCTGAGATTCTAGGCCTTTGGAAGATGCCTTCTTATCTGAGATTCTAGGCCACAGATGCTTAGGCTTGATTTCTTGTTTCCCCTAATTCTGGGTCTCTCCTTCCACTCCGTTTAGGGGAAGAGTGGACTCTTGCTTTCTCTTCTTAAATAGATAGCATTATTCTTTTATCTAATTTTCCTCCCGTCCTAATCTTATTCAACATTGGCAGAAGGAGTATCCTGTCTATACCATATAAAAAAATAAATAAATAATCCAAATATACCAGGAGTAGTTGAGACATAGGTGTCACAGAACAACTAGGAACTGAGAATTAATGGAAATGAAATGTTTTGCTTTAATCAGAAAGGCTGTTAAAAATATTGACAACTCATGTGACCTAGGTAATGACCAATCAGAACCAATGCCAGCCAGAAATAGCTGGTATTGTCAGACTGGTGAATATCATATAAGTTAAAGTCTGCCCTGGGTCTAATATCCCCCCAATATAATCCCCATTAAATGAGATGGTTTCTGAAGGCATCTTGGAAGCTCTGAAAGCCTATCAAGGAGAGACCAAGTGAAGGAAACTAGGAACACCTTCTTTGCTGTTTCCCCAGTGCTGTCCACCCCTAGAGTTGCCCTGCATCCCACACCGTCCCTCTCTGCAGCAGACCAGCCAAGGGGAAAGACAGCGGTCAAGTTCCATGAATGCTGCTGGGTTAAGATTGTATCATTTCAAGACAGACAGATATTTGGTCATTCCCAGACAATTTTGGTTATTCCCTCTAGAATTTCTTTTCTCCTTTCCTGTAAGCAGAATTTTCATAAACACTTTGGCCACCCTAAGTCTGATAACTCGTGCCCTAAATTCTGTCCTTAGGTGATTAGGAAGAAATATCCAACTGATGGATCTGAAATTGTGCTGCTGACGGATGGGGAAGACAACACTATAAGTGGGTGCTTTAACGAGGTCAAACAAAGTGGTGCCATCATCCACACAGTCGCTTTGGGGCCCTCTGCAGCTCAAGAACTAGAGGAGCTGTCCAAAATGACAGGTGAGGGATGATTTGCTGAGACCCCCGGTATTGTCTCTCCTACTGGACTGTGAGCTCCAGTGAACTGGGGAGTGGGGGAAAGATGGGATGGAGAGAGATAGGATAACCTAATTGGCTAACTAGCCACCCTTACCCCTGAATGACTGTTTAAGTGGACTCTGCCCATTTATTTTAAAGCTTTGTGTCTAGGACTAAGGCAGCCTGGAGAAGATGGAACTAGCACAGCACTCTAGTGAGGACTCAGGACCTTCTTCCCGGGCCAGGAACCACTCCTTTCCAGTGGCAGCTGGCCAAGAGACCTAGGGGAGACAGATGACAAGCCACTAACTACATAACACCATGGCATAAGTGCTATATTAGCAACAGAAAGTACAATAAAGCACAAATAAGGGAGGCTTTAACTTTACCTGGAGAAAAAGCATTCAAGAAACAGGAGAAGTAGCAGGGAAGAGCAAAGGGCATGTTAAACAAGGCAAAAGATCACTCCCAAAATGGAATACAATGCAGTTCCTCCATAAAACCTTCACGTATTGTGTGTCTAACTCCCATACACAGACAGATGGTTAAAATAGATTCCATGTGTCACCAGCTTCTTTAGCAGAGTAGGTGAACACATATTTTTCTTTTTTAACTTAGGGATAATATTGTGGATCTCAATTATTATACTGAGTTGCCTTCTGAGGCCACTAAAATGCCAGAGCTGTTTATTCCTAATACTACCTGTCCTAGGCTGGGTTTCTTAGAAGCAGAGCCTGAGACAGGGATTTGGGTCCATGCAATTTATAGGAGAGAGAGCTCTTAGGAGAAAAGGAAGGAGGAAAGGATAGGGCCAGGGAAGGAGCTAAGCACTGATGCAGACCTAGTCGGAGTCTAGCTGTGCCCACAGGGGACTCTGGAATGGAAAGTACATCACAGACTTGTCTCACCTTGAGACAGGAGGGTGGCCTTTTGCACCATTGTGTCTATCAGTCTTTGGCTGTGGACTGTCAGAACAGGGCAGAGGAGAGGGGCATGTTATTTCTCTAGGTAGGGTGGCCCCTTTTGGTAAGATAATTCCCTGGAAGAGGAGGCAGCTATAAGCCAATGCCTAGAGCAGCTGGGAAGAGATGCACTTGGCTGGGTAAGGGGATGTGCGTGGGGCATCAACAGCCTTACTGAAATTATTTCCTTAAGTTCAGATGGAATTATAATAGTTAAAAAGTGCTTTCACATCAACTAACTTAGTGACACCTATTCTAAATAGCCCAGGACTGCCTGGCCTGGTGTAAAATCCTGTTTTTATAATATACTATTCTGTAAGTGTCCCTTTGTCCACTGTTTTTTCTTGCTGCTGTCACATATGTGCCTTTCCTCATTTAGAAGAAAACTCTAAAGCCACGTTTGTTGGAATTATGTTTCAAATAAGAGTAAATCGATAGTCCTGGAGTACGGCTTAATGACTTCTCTCATGTAAAAGTGCAGGACCTTTAATATGTAGATTTTATGACATCAATTTATATCATAAATTAATATCAAATCATATCAGAGATTCATGGCTGCTTTGCAGATAGTTGAAGTAGCCAGGTGACTGAGATGTTGCTGAAGCTATTATTTACTAAGATTTAAAAATTAGTGGCTGGGTGTGGTGGCTCACTCCTGTAATCCCAGAATTTTAGGAGGCCAAGGCAGGTGGATTGATTGAGCCCAGGAGTTCAAGACCAGCCTGAGTAACATGGCAAAACCCATCTCTAAAAAAAAAAAAAAAAAAAAAAATACAAAAATTAGACATGTTGGCATATGCTTGTAATCCCAGCTACTTGGGAGCTGAGGTAGGAAGATCGCTTGAGCCTGGAAGGTGGAGGTTGCAGTGAGCCAGGATCATGCCACTGTACTCCACCCTGGGCAACAGAGTGAGAGCCTGTCTTAGAAAAAATAAATAGGTTAAAAAAATACTATCAAATTCTGAGTTAATGTAGGCACCTATTTGATGTTGATCTATTTATACTTTAATAACACAAAGGGATATTTATATTGTATGCTCTCTAAACAACAGCTAAAATGTTGCAAATAGTTGCTTTCTGGAAAATAATTTCTGAAAATGTAATTGCATTTTAGGAGGTTTACAGACATATGCTTCAGATCAAGTTCAGAACAATGGCCTCATTGATGCTTTTGGGGCCCTTTCATCAGGAAATGGAGCTGTCTCTCAGCGCTCCATCCAGGTTGGAGTTCTTAATCTTTGGTTTTTCATATTTACACATAATCATAGCCAAGATGGAGAATTTAATGGCTAAAAGTTTTAAGTTTTCCACTCTTCTGGTACTGAATTAAAATGAAAATAGAAGGTCCAGCTTGATATTAAACATTATTCCTAAAATGCAACACTACTCATTTAAACAAGGCAATTAGTGTCTACTTGTTTGGAAGCAATACCAAGTGAATTCCTCACAGAAGTCAGCAGATAAAATGTCATATGTCCAAGAATTCTTTTTTAACATCTCTGAACAAGCAACTAGAGCAATATAATTGGCTCAGAATTTTCTTCAGAGTAGATCATCTCAATTACAAATTTTCTGGGACAAGTGTCCAGGGATTACTTGCTTTATTTTTCCATTACATCAAATTTCTGTTGTTTGCCAAGATTTACATATAATGGACAGAAAGTGCTTTGTACTGTAAAAAGCCAGTGGTGTGAGTCCAGACCCCTGGATCTTGGTCCTCGGTCTGCCATTAACTATGTGACCTAGGCAAAGAACTTCACCTCTGTGGACCTTCATTTCTCCACCAGGTAGAGACAGAAAACTTCCAATGGCCCATCTGGTCTAAAATTTCAAGAAAACCAAATTGCCTTTTAAAAGTCTTGAAACTATTAAGAAAAAAGAAAAATGTATTTTTTCAATGCTCTTTTTTAGTAATTGCAGAAATTATTCACATTAATTTTTAAACTAGAGAGAGTGAACAATCAGCATTCACACTGGTGTGAATTATAATTTTTATGATGAAAGTTCAGATAAAGATAAAGGAAAACTGTAATGTCAAAGCCTAATAATGAGAGATTTTGAAACCATAGGCTTTCTGGCTTACCAATGGAGCATTTATTCAATCTAGGAAGACAGCAATTATACCCATCTGGGTTATTCTGGTTCAGATTTAGAAAATTAAATGCAAGGGCCTGCTTTGGAAAAGGGAGGAATGTCTCCTAGAAAAGTAATTAAAGTGATAAAAGGACAAGTTCACATTTAGGAAATTTCTGCCTATGATTTTTGTATTTAAGAAACCTAACAGAGAGAGAGAGAGAGATGGAGAAATGAGCAAGACTCATTCACCAGTGTGCCACAAGAACCAGATCTAATAGCCCTTCGCTTTCTCCACTTGCCAGCTTGTGATCTACCTGTGAAACTAGGAAATCTGGCTCTATGACCAGCCCACTCTGTCTTCTAATAGGTGCTAACTCTGAGACAATAACTACCTAGGAGATAATCCTCAAAATCACATTTTCTAAAAAAGCCTTGTTAATCCTTCCTTACCTCACTCCCACTCTGCAGCTCCCTCATTCTATTCCAAACAAGCTGGCCTTGGCTTATGTCATTTATCTCCACAGGGCCTGCAATACTACCTGACTTAGCAATTAGGTAATTCAGACAATCCATGCGTGGGTAAAAAATAAGTCACAGTGAGTCCCCTTAAGGGTTCATAGTCTAATAAATAAGATGAGCTTCATATACCAATAAATATAGGGCGAAGCACAATATGATGAATGTCGAAGGATTGATAGAAATAAAATCCTATAGGAGATCAGAGGAAGGGGAGATTTTTTACAACTGGTAAATGAGATGGACAGCAGAGAAACCTTCATGGAGAAAGTAATATTTGAATTTTGAAGGATGGGTAAGGCTTAGACAAACAGAGAAGACTAAGAAGGCTTAGATAAATGGAGAAGACAAATGTAAAGCCTTCTAGGAAAACTAAAGAGTACGATAATAAAGTCAAAGAGTCAGGGATTCACAAGGACCTTTGGGGAGTGGTCTTGTTTGGGTGGAGGATGGAAAATTGTGGAAGCTAAGGCTAGAAAGGTAACTTAGAACTGCATCATAATTGCTCCTAACACCAAATCAAGGATTCAGGCATCACTGAAGTCTTTTTAATGGCGCACTGGGGAGACAGGGGCAGAAGGGAAAAGATCATGTGATGGGAGCTGTATTCTCCAGAAAGTAAGAGCTGTTTTTCTTAACAGCTTGAGAGTAAGGGATTAACCCTCCAGAACAGCCAGTGGATGAATGGCACAGTGATCGTGGACAGCACCGTGGGAAAGGACACTTTGTTTCTTATCACCTGGACAATGCAGCCTCCCCAAATCCTTCTCTGGGATCCCAGTGGACAGAAGCAAGGTGGCTTTGTAGTGGACAAAAACACCAAAATGGCCTACCTCCAAATCCCAGGCATTGCTAAGGTATGGAGTCAGCTTTTTTTCTTTCTCATAATTCAACAAGATAAAATAAAGTTTTTACAGAATAATTGTAGCATTTTAAATGTTGGTGGTTGCTAAAAGGAGAGTCAGTATTGAATCAAAGAGAGAACGAGGAAAAAAAATCTCCATCCAATGAAAATCACTCAGTATGTCAGCAAGTAAAGACAAAGGAAATAGGTGATATTTTGTCCAGGTACTAAATGGAGAACCTTTAAATTACATAGTAATCAAGATGCAAAATGATCCTCGACATTTTGGGATCATAAAAGTTATTTCCTTTATCTCAGAGACTCATCTCTTATAAAACCAAGGCAACAATAAGCATATAGCTTTCAGACCTCACCATCCCCCTCCCACCCGCCGTGGAATTTTCTTGACAATGGGAATGATATAGTTAGTTCAAACACACTGAAGCTCCCCGTGGCTGACAGAGTATCAAACATGCACACCTCTTCTTAGATATGCTTCCAACATGCTTATATCAGAGGGTTTTCCCGTACGTGACATTGAAGTCAGGTCTGTGTCACCTGAAGTTATTCATTGGAAATGTTTACATGTGTTTTGGTCAGGTTGGCACTTGGAAATACAGTCTGCAAGCAAGCTCACAAACCTTGACCCTGACTGTCACGTCCCGTGCGTCCAATGCTACCCTGCCTCCAATTACAGTGACTTCCAAAACGAACAAGGACACCAGCAAATTCCCCAGCCCTCTGGTAGTTTATGCAAATATTCGCCAAGGAGCCTCCCCAATTCTCAGGGCCAGTGTCACAGCCCTGATTGAATCAGTGAATGGAAAAACAGTTACCTTGGAACTACTGGATAATGGAGCAGGTAATCACCCAAGAAATTGGAAGATATTTATTTCTTTTTCCAAGAAGCAACCAGGGAATGCCAAGAGGGCATGGTCTGGTGAGGGCAGTTAGACAGGCAAGGCAGCACAGCACTGAGGTCTGGTTGGGAGAGTTCTCCATTTCCCCACAATTCCTACATTTCAAAATGCTGGAAAACATGAGGGCTTCTGCAAGGCCCAAAACACATTAACAGCTCAAGCTCAATAGATTCAGTCTCTGGGGAGTTGCCATAGGGTATTCCACAACCCCCAAAAAAGGAAAAGAGGAAAATTAATAACCATATTGTGTTAGGTGCTTTGTATATACACATACATACATACACACATATGAGTGTGTGTGTGTATACACAAATACATATATACAAAGATGTATATAACCTTTGTTTTTATAATATCTTCACTGAGGCTTTCACATTTAGAAAGCAGCAGAGATAGATTCAAGCACAGTCCTATATGATTCCTGTATCTATGCAGACTCTATATTAGCTTGCCCCAAAAGTGAAAATTCTGCCCATTATTCTTGTCTTTAAGAAGTCTATCAGGGAGAGAGAGAAAGAGAATTCTACAGTTTAAAAAAAAAAAAAAAACATGTCTGCTTACTGTGAAGCAAGTAACCTTAATAGAATGAATCCTGTGAATGAATTTCCCACCTAAATCTACCCTGGGGAGAAGTGATGAATTTTATTAAATAATCATACAACATTTTTTTCTTCCACATTTGCATATAGCAGTTTAATTTAGTTCAACAGATACTTATTGAGTAGTTACCTTGTGCTACATTGGGTGTAACACAGAAACGATACCATCTTAGATTTCAAAAAGAAAGTCAACAATTCAAGAAGACAGAATGTATACATAAAACCACACACAGTGATAAAAGAAGTAAGCCTTACCCTCAACACACCAAAATCTTAAGGTCTCTTGGAGCTAATGCTGAATTTCTTGTTGCTTTGAAAATTCATAGCCTACATATGAGTTGGAAATATACAAATACCCTCCCCGTTACCTATTTATTAATTCCTTCATTCTTTATCAAGGTGCTGATGCTACTAAGGATGACGGTGTCTACTCAAGGTATTTCACAACTTATGACACGAATGGTAGATACAGTGTAAAAGTGCGGGCTCTGGGAGGAGTTAACGCAGCCAGACGGAGAGTGATACCCCAGCAGAGTGGAGCACTGTACATACCTGGCTGGATTGAGAATGGTAAGTAATTTGTAATAACATACCTGGCTTGTGCAAAAGCATTGGTTTCAAGAGGAAACTATTAAGCCTGTGGGGCAGAATGGTGCATGATTAAATCAGGGTTTCTCAACCTTGGCATTATTAAGATTTTGAGCCAGACAATCCTTTGTTGTGGAGGGCTATCCTGCACATTGTGGCATGTTTAGCAGCATCCTTAACCTCTATCCATTATTTGTCAATAGCAATTCCCTAGTCATGACAATCAAAAATGTCTCCATATGTGGTCCACTAACCCTTAGGGGGGCAAACTAGCCTCCAGCTGAAAATCACTGGATAGAACATAGCTTTTGACTGCCTTACTTCAAAGCCCAGCCCTCTATCAAATACAGTATTTTGTGTAATCTTTTTGTACTTCACTCTCCTCTGTTGTAAAATAAGGATAATAATGGCAGCTACCTCATAGGATGGTCACACAGAATAAATAACTAAACACATCTAACAAACTGTTACTGGTAAATAGTGTTTAATAAAGGTTTTATCATTATTTTAAAAACACTTCTAATGAAGTTCTTTCCATTGAAGCATTTCTAATTTATCCTAATGAATCTGTTCCACAGAATAAAAAAGTAATAATTTAGGGTTTGTTATCTACATCAATATCATTATCCAAGTCCACTGTCTGTCTTTCCTCTTTTCTCCTCCTGCTCAGGCCAGGGAGCATAGTAGATGAATTTCATGTGGGCCAGCACACTGAGCCCACGTGTAAGCAGGTGGGAAAATTATGTCCATGAAACAGACAGTCCCATACCACTTTTGGTTACAAACACTTGCCCTGGACTAGAGAAGGAATTGAGACCAAGTTTGTGTCCCAATGGGTTCCAGGACTAGTTTTCCATCAATCTCCACCCTGTCCTGGGCAGGCTTTCTCCTGAGGTTGGTGTGCGGGAAGGAGAAGAGCTCCTTTGAGAACCTTCCCACTGTCATCTTTACTTGGGTGTGTGCTTAGTGAAGAGAGGATTCAGAGACACATGGTGTCACTCATGCAAAGGTGATAATAGAGGGAAATGTTTTAAAAGATACCACTGCATTTTTTTTTTAGACAGTCTTGCTCTGTCACCAGTCTGGAGTGCAGTGGCACAATCTCAGCTCACTGCAACCTCCACCTCCCGGGTCCAAGTGATTCCCCTGCCTCAGCCTCCCGAGTAGCTGGGACTACAGGCACGTGCCACCATGCCCAGCTAAGTTTTGTATTTTTAGTAGAGACAGGGTTTCACCATGTTGGCCAGGATGGTCTCGATCTCTTGACCTTGTGATCTGCCCGCCTCGGCCTCCCAAAGTGCTGGGATTACAGGCGTAAGCCACCGTGCCCAGCCCATGCCACTGCTTTTTGAGTTAGGGGAAGGAGGCAGAAGGGGACTGGTTTAGTGGCTAGGTCTAGCCTTATGGCAGCATTTTACTTACAGTAATATATTTCATTCTTGTAAGTATCCCTTTTTAAAGATGGGGAAACAGAAGCTAGAGAGCTTATGGGTTCATATAACTAATAGTGTTAGTGCCTGGCATAACAGTAGAAGGCCATGTTCTTCCCTCTATCCCTCGATAAGCCTTAATGGCAGTCTCTACTGGTGCTTTCAACATGAACCCTGAACCTGCTAGAGCATTCACTTCATCTTTGCCAAGACCAGATTAATGGGTATGAAGATTAAACGGTCTTTAACAGATAAAAATTCTATAAAGAGGTAGAGTTTATGAGAAAACAAATTCTAAGTAATGCCATGTTAGGATCTTATGAGATATTTTTATTGAAAAGAAAAGAGAACCTGAGAACTCTACAGATTGAACAGACCAGGGTATTTTTTAAATTCCAGGATTACTTTTATACATGTCTTCAACAAGAATGTGAATGAAATTGGGATCACTACAAGAACTAGATTCCCATGCATTCACTGAGAAAATGAGAAGTCTTTCAAAAGCACAAAATTTTGGAACCCTAACATAAAACATTTTATTAAAAACTGAAATTTAATAAGAAAAATGAAATACAAACATCGAGAAAGTGAAAGAAATATGCATAAACAATCAAGGCATTCTTGAAGGTCCAGTTGATTAGTTGCCAAATAAATAGGAAAGATAATGAAACTCACACTATTATTTAGGAGGAATACATTTCTTGAGGCAGTCTGAGGTTTAAAACACTTAGTCTTTAGGCCCGGCACAGTGGCTCACTCCTGTAATCCCAGCACTTTGGGAGGCTGAGGCAGGTGGATCACCTGAGGTTAGGAGTTCGAGACCAGGCTGGCCAACATGGTGAAACCCCATGTCTACTAAAAATACAAAAATTAGCTCGGTGTGGTGGCACATGCCTGTAATCCCAGCTACTCAGGAGGCTGAGGCAGGAGAATCACCTGAACCCAGGAGGCAGAGGTTGTAGTGAGCCAAGATTGCGCCACACCAGCCTGGATGACAAGAGCGAAACTCCATCTCAAAAACAAAAACAAAGAAAGGAAGGAAGGAAGGAAGGAAGGAAGGAAGGATGGAAGGAAGGAAGGAAGGAAAAAACAGATGTAGTATTTAAACTGACCTTGTGGAAAGACAAGATCAGGATGGGCAAAAAGATGGGAAAATAAGCAATTTTAGGACAAATGTCATGAAAATAAATTCCAAAAGGTTATTCCACTAAATATCCAGGAAATATCTAAGAGATAAAAAAAAGAAACTGTGATTCTCTGTTTTCTCTTTTCCCTCTGATGAAACCGTATTTGTGGTCTTGTCTCCAAATATTTAAAATTAATTCTGTGTGTGGAAGGAAAGAAGCAGAAGTGGGGAACAGGAAGAGGGTGATCTGATAAGAAAACAGACGGAGGTGTCACCATTTAGTGATGTTGCTTACCATATTTTGAGTATTTTTTTAATGCAGATGAAATACAATGGAATCCACCAAGACCTGAAATTAATAAGGATGATGTTCAACACAAGCAAGTGTGTTTCAGCAGAACATCCTCGGGAGGCTCATTTGTGGCTTCTGATGTCCCAAATGCTCCCATACCTGATCTCTTCCCACCTGGCCAAATCACCGACCTGAAGGCGGAAATTCACGGGGGCAGTCTCATTAATCTGACTTGGACAGCTCCTGGGGATGATTATGACCATGGAACAGGTAAGCTGAACCTGGTGTGGACCCTGTAAAAGAGTTTACCAGCCAAGTAGAAGAGCAGAAGCGGGTGAGGCAGGCAGCCGTGTTCTGATACTTAGGGGGCAGAAGGCAGGAGGGATCTTGCCGGTCCTTTGAAATGAGGGATAAATGTATTTAAAGAAGAGAGATTTAAAACCTGAAAAACTGGTAAACTTTGGGAGTAAGAGGCTTCAGCCAGGAAGGGTAAACCTCACTTTGTTTCTGAAATCTTACCAAACTGTCCTTTGACAAACTCCATTTTCTGGGTAGCAGTGACTCCTGGGGAAGAACTGGAAATGGAGCATAGATGTCTGCAGAGCAGAGCTCTTTTGGAAGGAACCTCAGGTCCTACCAGACTTTCTCTCTCAAAGTGTGGTCTGTGGACTGCAGCATGTAGATACCATGAACACTTGTTAGAAAGTGTTTTCAGATCTGCATTTTCAGATCCCTGGGTGATTTGTACACACATTACAGTTTGAGAAGCATTGGTGCAAACTGCCTCTATAAATAATAAAACAATAAACAGTTGTTAAACAGTCTCTTCTTTCTGCCGGGCACTATGGCTAGAAATGCTGACCAAGGCTTTACGTCATGCCCAATCCAGTTTTACGCTTATCACTGTGTCATTATATACAAACAAGAATGTAAAAGAGATAGTAATCCTTGTAAACAGGACCATCAGTTCATTTATTTGGGAACCTTATGGGGTGATGATATAATTTCTCATAGACTTTTAAAGCTTTTTAAATATTTTTTAAAGCTCTACTGCTTAAGAAGTTTCTTTAATATTTCAGAATTAAAGTCACATTCTTCTTTTTTCTTTTTAGCTCACAAGTATATCATTCGAATAAGTACAAGTATTCTTGATCTCAGAGACAAGTTCAATGAATCTCTTCAAGTGAATACTACTGCTCTCATCCCAAAGGAAGCCAACTCTGAGGAAGTCTTTTTGTTTAAACCAGAAAACATTACTTTTGAAAATGGCACAGATCTTTTCATTGCTATTCAGGCTGTTGATAAGGTCGATCTGAAATCAGAAATATCCAACATTGCACGAGTATCTTTGTTTATTCCTCCACAGACTCCGCCAGAGACACCTAGTCCTGATGAAACGTCTGCTCCTTGTCCTAATATTCATATCAACAGCACCATTCCTGGCATTCACATTTTAAAAATTATGTGGAAGTGGATAGGAGAACTGCAGCTGTCAATAGCCTAGGGCTGAATTTTTGTCAGATAAATAAAATAAATCATTCATCCTTTTTTTTGATTATAAAATTTTCTAAAATGTATTTTAGACTTCCTGTAGGGGGCGATATACTAAATGTATATAGTACATTTATACTAAATGTATTCCTGTAGGGGGCGATATACTAAATGTATTTTAGACTTCCTGTAGGGGGCGATAAAATAAAATGCTAAACAACTGGGTATACATGCATAAAAACTATCCATTCAAACCCAAAAATTTAATAATCATTGAGTCTTTTATTAATGAATTTGAATACTAGAAAGAAACAGGGCTTGCATCAATAAATGGAAGTATGTTTTTATTTGTTTTAAGGAGCTTTGCCAGTTAAAAACAACATGCAATTGCAGAAATCTAACAGAGTTGCTAAAAGTTGTTTGATTTCTTTTGGTGAAGAAAAGCCAATCTAAATTATTTAAATATAAAAGACATGACTTGTTTTATAGGAGTTTTGGACCAGCATCACTAGGAATATGTCTTATTTTCTCTAAATTTGAGCAATGATGGTGCATTTAAGGAAGAGATGGCATTGAAGAAAGAAAGAACAGCACAATGAAAATTCCCTAGGCACAGAAATGAACGTTATGTGCATGAAATTACAAGAGTTAGTGATGCTTTAAGCCATGGCAGTGGGGATAAGGTGGGAAAGGTAGCTTCAGGCCAGGTGTGAAGGGAAAGTGATTGAGAAATAAACATTTATTGTGTACTTTGTCCAAGGGCCCAACTAATGCCTTATGTGCATTAGTTTATTTAATGTAATTCAGTTCTTTCAACAAATGTTCACCAGCTGCTTATTATTTTCCAGGCCAATGCTAGGTTCTAAGGATAGAAAGATGAGTAAGCATTGGCCTTTTTCCTGTATACTAAAAAGAGCATTTGAGGATTTATTTTTGAAATCAGGAGGCAGATATGCTCAGAGATATGCTTGAGAAGGGAGTCTTTAAGAACCGCACGAAGCCCTTAATAAGTGTGAGAAAGACCAGCAGCATAACAAATGAAAGGGGAAGGAGAAGAAGAGGAAAAAGGGTTGGAAGTGTAGGCCTAGCACTATGGCAGTCCTCGTGAAGGACTAGTCACAGATTCCAGTGCCTGTAGGTGTAGATAGTCCTGTGAAAATTGTTTCGAGTTCCCAGTTATTAGTACAATGAGTTCAAGATGTGGGTGGCTCTCTTTATGATTGAAAACAAAATATCTAGCATATCATTTCTGCGTAGACCCAAAATTTCTTTATTTGTAGACCTTTCTTATTTCAAAACCAGATTTGAGCCATCTTAGTGATACATGCAATAAACATAAAAATAAAGAAATAAAATATATAATAAAAACTAGAAGAAGTGCTCAGGTATAAACCTATAAAGAATACATGGGGGAAAAAAACTAGAGGGAAAACCACCACATCAAATGCATAATATAATGTTCTGTACAATTGCTACAGCCAAGTCACATATTTCACTTTGTGACAAGTAGGTAGGACAAATGAAGTGTATATAGTAACAAGATTAACAGAGTCTATAGTGAAAAGCAAGCCAGAAGCAGCTCAGGAGAAGCATGGCTTTTCCTAGTCGTGAGACCCACAAGAAGTTTTATCTGTGGATCCTCAGTTTATTAGGGCACTGTGATGTTAAGGGCCGCAGCCAAAGCAGCAACCGTATAGTAATCATAACAACAAGTTTAATATAGGGCTAATTACTTCCTTCACTGTAAGCCAAAGGAGTAACACCACAGCATTGTTCAGGAAAGGCAATTATACAGGGACCCAAAAAATGCGGGCCTAGCAATTAGCTCTTGAGCTTGCCCCAGAGGTAAAATTTGGAGTGAATGGATTGCATGTCCTTCAGGCTGTTTCCTAGGACCCGTATTTCTTACATATAAATTTGTTATAAAAACTGAACAGTAGAGAGTTCCAAGACTAGGAAGACCCTGATGTTCCCAAAGTCAGTACTGTTTATTGAGGGCACAACCAGTTGCTTTGCCAGCCAAATGGGCAGAGGGTTGTTGGGGGTGCATGGCAACAAATTCAAGCTTGTATACAAAGCATTTGAGGTCGGGGCATGGAAAAAGACGGAGGCACTGTGTGTATGTTATTTGTGCATGGAAATGTAACTCCTTGACCCTGAAAACAGGACAAGGAGTGGAGTGTGTCATGAGGAACGCTGAAAACAGCCTCCTGAGAATGTGGTTTGAATGCTTTTAGAAGGCCACAGGTGTGTCACGACCCGACCTCAAGAGGCCATCTAGTGGATGTTTGTAGTTTAACAAGCCCTTTCAATAAATACTTGGCGGATGGATTCTGGGGTGACACTCTCTCAGAAGAGTGGTCCGCCGCTCCGCTCAGCTGGAATTGTCTGAGAACTCATTCTGGGCGTTCACTGCAAGCTATAAACTCTACAAGTGGTGCGCCCGAAGTGATCGCCTTGAAGTTGCACGTGAAGGAGGAAAACTCCTTAATTTTTGGGGAATCCCAGTAAGGGACAGTCCTGATTGCCATTAGGAGGACGGGACCCACGCGTAAAATACCAGGGGTTGGGTCATCATGGGTCAGGAAATGACCAAAGAACAGAAAGTATTTTTTAAAACAGTGCAACAGCTACTTAAGGCTATCCAGTGCACTGTAGAGCCTGGAGCTCTACACAAGCTTATGCTTTTAATTCGGCAGGGATGCCCTTGGTTTCCTGATCAAGGAACCTTAGATTTAGAGTTATGGGAGCAGGTAGGTCGCTGCCTGAAAAGAGGATATGAGCAAATGTTACTATTTTGACCACCTGGGCGCGCTGGTACGCTCTGCGTTGTATCCTCTTTATCTGCCAGATTGCGGTGAGTCAGACCGCCCATTATCTCCACCTGAAAGGAATTCAGAAGATTTAAAGGGAGAGATTCCTCTCCCCTCTTCATTCCCTTCTATGGGGAATAAAGAAGAGATTTTTTCCAGTGAGGAAAAACAGGAACCAGAGCAGCAGGGGGGTGCTCCTCTCTCTACTTCATTCCCTTCCGTAGGACATGAGCAGGATATTTTTTCTAGTGAGGATAAGGACGGACCAGAGCCTTTTCCTCCCCCTATAGAAAAGCCATTGCCCTCCTTTCTTCCACCCTTAAAGGGACCTGCATTTGTTGGCCCCGTTCAGCCAACAGCGCCTCCCATCCCCCTTAAGGAGATTGGAAACTGCCCAAGGGACGGTTCTTAGATAAGACCCCCGGTCAGCGAACATCTGTATGATCGGGTGTCCGCTTCTCCTTGACAAACTTCCCTGCTGGAGGGGTGCCTCCAAGAGGGAAGGAAAGTGGCTGAGTATGATTGTCTTCCTAATACGCAAGTTCTCATTTCCTACTTCCAGCATCAGCCTTTCTGGCCTTGTCGGTTTTCTGTTTCCCTGGAGTATAAGGGGAACTTACATGCTGCCTCCTGGGTTTTATCCTAGATAGCTCTGGCTTTCTTGCTGCCCACAGAGGCCTGGGGCAGGAGAGTTGCTAAGATGCCATGGAGTGCCCATTTAGTCACTTGCAGTCTGGGCAGGTTGCCCCTTTCTGGGTTTGTGGTGATGGAGGGGAGGTCAAGAGGCACAGACCGAGTCCCCGGGTGGCTGCAGGCAGCTCCAGCCGGGTCCTGAGGATCCTCCTCACCATGGTCACGTGCCTTAGTAACCGTGCCCGGGAAGTGGCCTGCTGCTTGCTGTGCTGCTGCTTTTCCTACTTCTGCCCTTCCCTGCCACCCCTCGCATGTCTCAGTTGACAAGCAATTCCTTGTCTTCCCTGGCCCCCTAGGGAAAGGGCTAAGAAACAGTCCATGTGCACGCCGACCTTACTAGCCTAAGGTGGGCAAAGTAGTGCGGAGGAGCCTAGAGTACGGAGCCCTGAGGGAGGAGCCCGCTAATAAGGGACGCTCTCCAGTAGCCATATGCTAAATGCTAACTAGGCTGAGGTGGATGAGCTCTGCCAGCTGCTGTCATCGTCAGAAGATAAGACGCAGCAGTAAGGAATGTTTGTTTCGCTTTTTTATAAAATGTTTAAAAACACTGGGGCTAAGAAACTTCAAAGCAGACACTGCGCTGCCTGTCTGCTCCTCCCCTGAGCCTCTCTGCTTGAGGGTGGTAAAAATAATAAAAAGCGCAGTCTATTTTCAGTACCTTACCTAACAGGGTTGGCTTCAGGCGTAGGTGGCCTAAAAGATAAGCGGAGTGGTTTTCTCCCAGCCGGTTACCTTCTTCCCTCCAGCCTCTGCGCTTACACACGCACGTTACCACCCGGTCATTCTTTGGCCTCTTACTGCCACTTGTAGTCTTCCTTCCTTTCTTTCAGAGTAAGGGCAGCAACAAGTGGCAAGCTGTTAAAAACAGAAGCTGCCTAAGGAGCCCAGACCGAATAAAAGAAACTGGCCACAGCCCTACTTTCCCAAGCTCACTTCTAAGACATTCCATCTAAAGGCTGATGCAGGAAAATGGCCAACACCAAAGGACATTTTAAAAAGTTTTTTGGGGTTTTTTCTTTTTTTTTTTTTTACATACTTAAGCTAACTCAATGCAGGTTTATTATCCTGGCGACTTGCAGTCACATTCTAATGATTTTCAAGGGCCAAAATATAGTAATAATCATTTGAAATATCCATCGCTTCCATGCCTTAGTTTAACAGGTAGGCTTTATCTTTTGCCATTTCTGTATTTTACATCTGTTATGTACCTGTCTCATAATCCCTCTAAACATACACAAAAGACAACAGATTTAATAGCTTCTCTTCTCATAAAGGGACGCCAACGTTGCGTCCAGCTGTCAGGATATGACCCTGCTACTCTTTCCTACCTTTAAGCAAGGAACAATTTCATACTCTCTTAGCTCGTGATCTTGATTGGCAAGTAGCAATGGCTGACTTTATTCGTAATATCAGCTTCAATTTACCAGCCTCTAAGCTCCTGAACTTTTTACAAACTATGCCTGTGAAGTTTGTATCTATTGTTGTCTCTGAGCCTTTACTTCATGCCATCACTCTCTTTACAGATGGTTCAGGAAAAACTGGAAAAGCAGCTATAGTGTGGCAAGATGCCATGCAAAACTGGCAGTACAGAATCCAGGAGCATTTTAAAAACTACACAACAGGCAGAGTTAGGTGCCTTGATATTGGCCTTACAAATTTTCCTCACCAAGACGTAAATATACTTAGTGATTCCACTTATGCGGTGTATAGTATTACTCATTTAGATCTTGCACATGTGAAGGGCATTACTAATGAACCCCTACTAGCTTTGTCTCTTGCAGCGCAAGACTCCTCCTTGCCAGTCATCACCCTCTTTACATCACACATATTCGCTCTCATTCTGGGCTATCTGGTCCCTTGTCAGAAAGGAATGCTTGAGCTGATGCTCTGGTACGACCACAGATGTGGTTTGCAGATTCTCCTGCTTTTTTGCGAGCTCAAGCTGATCATGCTGTTTTTCATCAGAACGCCTGCAGTCTTAAACAACAGTTTCATTTGACACTTGCTTAAGCTCACATGATTATTAAAACTGTCCTGATTGCCAACAGCGTTCTCTTTCCCCTTTTTCCTTAGGGCTTAGTGCCAGCCTACGAGGTCTGGTGCCTAACACTATCTGGCAAACTGATGTTACTCAGTAACCATCCTTTGGAAGTTTTAAATTTCTCCACGTTACCATGGACACTTATACAGGCCTGACACATGCTACCCCCCAGACGGGAGAAAAAAACTAAAGATGCATTTGCTAATTTGTTTAACTCTATTATGACTCTAAGCTTTCCACACACTATAATAACTGATAATGGACCTTACTATCTTAGTGCTCAATTTGCATATGCATTGCAACTTTGGTACATACAACACAAAACTGGTATTCCTTCTAACTCAGCCAGTCAGGCCATTGTTAAATAAGCTCATCAAACTCTTAAAATATATCTTAATAAACAAAAAAGGGGGAATATGGGGCTCTGTTCTCGAGACTAGGACCTGTCGGAGAATCAACCAATAATGACAATGATGACTCAGAAGTCACCTAACATTACCTGGGGACAGCTAAAGAGATTGGATCAACAGGCATCTATCCTGCTTGCAGCCGTGGAAGCCCATGCAACTGCAGAGAATCGGTTTCTTATGTATCTGTGGCAACTGGGGAAACTTCTGAGAAAGTAAGACAGACATGGATGTTGGGGTGGCTGGTAATTCTTATACTTTGCCAAGTGGGATCAGCTCAAGAACATGTTTATTGGAGTCATGTTCTAAATCCCCGTGTTTTTAATGTTATTACATGGTGGGATGCTGACCCGCCTTTGTCATCTAATGACACTTCTTGGATAGGAGGTCGATGGATGCTCTTGTCTTACCCCTTAACTGAAAATTTGGGATGGATTAAACTTAATTACTCCTTGATTTTATTGTATAGCAATCCCCCTATTTGTTTTTCCACAATAGCACGTGATAAGTGTGTCATTCTCAATCTTCAGGAATATCTTTACCTCAGTCCAAAAGGGATACTAAGCTTGCAAACTTGACCTTTATTTCTGCTGTTACCACTAATCTTACTGAGGTCTCTAATGAAGCTACACAAGGGCCTGATCTTCCTATATGCCGTCTGAGTAGAGACTGGCAATATAAGTTTGATGTCGTCCAGTGTTCGCTGTGCAGACAGCCTGCGCCCCATCAAGGGCCTCTGTTTGATAATGGGGTCCCCATGGTAATCTTATGTGTGCCAATCAGACTACTGGATTTGGAGTCCTTCCAATAGTTTTGTCACCTGGTCAGAGTATGGGCTTTCAGGACCAATATTATAACTAACAGGGAAACAGGCTTTAAGCCCTGCTCATACCGAAATTTGGAGACTAGGACTTCCTTTTATTGAATGGGTTCTTTCACATGGTGAGTATATTACTAGTGGTGGCAACTATACCCTCTCTTTGCATAATAATGTTACTGACACAGTCCTGATTTGTACTATGCACCCCTATATACTTTTGTTTGGGCAAGGTGTTCCTAACATAGAGCAGAATCAATCCTTTTATAGTATTAAAGTCTCTTCCAGTAGTTAGTATGCTACATGATTGTCTCATCAAAACATTACACAGTTGAATATAACCTATGTCATGATTGTAAAATGGCGTGCAGAATTGTAGCTGCCCATAAATTTAACCAGGAGCTGGGAAGGAGATTCCACTCTGCAGCTATTTAGAAAAGCACTGTCTCATACTCAGAAAAAAAGATTTCTGGCCACTTTAATTGCCTTTTTAGTCTCAGCTATTATTATATTAGCAACTGCCGCTACTGTGGCTGTTTCTCTGACACAATCTATTCACGCAGCCTCAGTGGTGAACCACACTGCATATAATGTAACCCATGAATTTCAAGAACAGGTAAATATTGATAAAACTATTCTGCCTCACCTGGAGGCTCTTAAAGCCACTGTTAAATAGCTAGGGAATCAGCAGCAGGCATTCATTACCTGTCAAAATTTACATTGTGATTGGCAATATAATTCTATCTGTGTCACACTTCTGCCGTATAATAGCTCCCAATATGCTTGGGAGAGAGTGAACACACATCTGCAAGGGGCTTATCGCGACCATTTGTCTTCTCAAGTTTCTACTCCTAAGTGTGAGTTGAAGAAACAACTTGAAGAAAGGTCACAGCAATCACAAACAAGTACCCTTCAGCAATTTCAAGAAGGCTTTCAATGGTTAAACCCAAACACTTGGTTGTCTGGGTTAAACATGCGCATCTGGGTGATGGCCGCTATAGTTATTCTTTCTTGTATCTGTTTGCTAGACATCTGCAGATGGCTCTGTGCTGCTACCCAGCGCGTCGACAACCAGGGAAGAACGATAGAAGTTTACCTTGCATTGGATGACCAGCACGCTCTAAGAATTAAAGAAGGGGGAGACGTCGGGGGTGCATGGCAACACATTCAAGCTTGTGTACAAGGCATTTGAGGTAGGGGCATGGAAAAAGACGGAGGCACTGTGTGTATGTTATTTGTGCATGGAAATGTAACTCCTTGACCCTGAAAACAGGACAAGGAGTGGAGCGTGTCATAAGGAAGGCTGAAAACAGCCTCCTGAGAATGTGGTTTGAGTGCTTTTATAAGGCCATAAGTGCCTCACGACCCGACCTCAAGAGGCCATCTAGTGGATGTTTGTAGTTTAACAAGCCCTTTCAATAAATACTTGGCGGATGGATTCTGGGGTGACACTCTCTCTCAGAAGGGTGGTCCCCCGCTCCGCTCAGCTAGAATCGTCTGAGAACTCATTCTTGGCGTTCACTGCAAGCTATAAGCTCTGCAAGGGTCAGTTTGGAGTCCTTTTCTAAATGTTACAAAACCAAACCAAGCACTTAGCTGATGAGAAGGCCACTTTGTGACAAATGAGACTGAGGTCCCAACTTCGTAGAACATGGTTACCATGGATTTCGCCTGGAAATTTTTCAATAAGTCACTCACTGAGATTTTAATTTCCCATTTGGGTGAACTCAGTAAAATGTAGCATGGGATATGGTAGTAAACCAGAGATGCATACCATGTGACTTTGGAGAAGAAGAGGTAAATGTTAACATATAGATAAGATAGAAAGTAGAGAACAACAAAGAAAAAACATTCTTATGTACTCTGGGTTATAGGAAAGTTTATTGCGAAATGGATCTGTATTGTCATAGGTGATAAAATAAGCCAAATTTTTGCCTTATGCCATCATTGACCCACAATGGCCTTAGCCTCTGATAAGTCAATTAAGTGAGTGAGTAAATCTGGTAAATCTGTTCCAGATGTTGGTACTTCTCTTAATATCCAAGTATCCAGCATCAAAAGAGCGTAGGGAGAAATATTCTCCAAGCTCCCCTTTGCAACTTCCAAGCTAGGCTGTTACCCCTATGATCTAATGTGGTTTGTTTAAAGCTTCCATCCTATGTCATTGATCTATGCTGTTTTTTAATCCCTTCTCTTCACTGTTATCTACCACACTCACCCAAGTTAGGCACAACACTCTTCCCCCCTCACCTCTTAAAATCACTCTGAGTGGTCTCAGAATCTATATGAATGAGTCAGTTCATATCTCAGCCTCAAAATTCCTTGATCGTCACCCCACCTCCACTAAAATTGAACAAACTATTGGTTTGAATAATAAAAGTGTATTTTTATAAGTAAAAAATTCGAATATTGGCAATTGCATATGGTTTGAGCAAGTCTTGCTAAGGCCACATTTTGACCTAGTAATGACCTGAAACAACCGCACCTGTGAAATCTTAAAATCCAGTATCCTATTCTGGACACAACCTCCTAACCCTCTGTGCTGTTCACTTCCTATCCCACTGAACTGACGTTGTAATTTCATGATGACTCCCATCACTTGATTGTTTCTTTTTACCTGGTCCATTATCTTTTTCTTTATATGGCCCCTATATGCCTTGGGATGTCACTTCAAGTCCTCCTTTGACAATTCCTTCAACTTCCACCTCTTAAGACACCTGCCCTGAAATCCTTTAGCTTTGCATTAAGCATGTTGTCTGTGTGCTTGAGACATTCATTTATCTATTCAGCAAATACTTTTAAAGTACCCACATTGTATCCCAAGTCCCATGTTAGACACTAAGATTACAATGGGTAATGAGCTACATGGTTTCTGCCAACTAAAGTACTATCAAGCGAACAGGCACTTAACAATGCGCAGATCTATAAGGAGCTTAAATTTACAAGACAAAAACAACCCCATTAAAAAGAGGGCAAAGAACATAAACAGACACTTCTCAAAAGAAGACATACATGCAGCCAACAAGCACATGAAAAAATGTCCAACATCACTAATTATTAGAGAAACGTAAATCAAAACCACAATGAGATACCACCTCACACCAGTCAGAATGGCTATTTTTAAAAAGTCAAAAAATAACAGACGCTGGCAAAGTTGCAGAGGAAAGGGGACACTTATATGCTGTTGGTGGGAGTGTAAATTAGTTCAACCATTGTGGAAAGCAGTATGGTGATTCCTCAAAGAGCTAAAAGCAGAACTACATTTGACCCAGCAAACCCATTACTGGGTATTTACTCAGAGAAATAGAAATCATTCTATCATAGAGACACACGCATATGAATGTTAACTGCATCACTAATCACAATACCAAAGACATGGAATCCACATAAATTCCCATCAATTATAGATTGGATAAAGAAAATGTGGTGCATATACACCATGGAATACTATGCAGCCATAAAAAAGAACAAGATCCTGTCTTTTGTGGGAACATGGATGGAGTTGGAGGCTATTATCCTTAGCAAACTAATGCAGGAACAGAAAACCAAAGACCACATGTTCTCACTTATAAGTGGGAGCTAAATGATGAGAACTCATGAACATAAAGTAGAGAACAACAAACACTGTGGTCTACTTGAGGATGGAGGGTGGGAGGAGGGAGAGGAGAAGAAAAAATAACTATTGTCCTCTGATCTTTATACCTGGGTGATGAAATAATCTGTACAACAAACCCTCATGACACAAGTTTACCTATGTAATAAACCTTCACATGTACCCCCAAACCTAAAATAAAAGTTAAAAACAAACAAACAAAGCAATGCACAGTATGTAGGGTCTATTTCAGGGGAAGCACATATTATAGGAACTCATGCTTTGCATACCTAATCCACATGTGGTATCTGCCAGAGAAAGTGATCCTTTTACTTTCATGATGTCTGGGTATATGTATAAAATAAGAAGAGAAGAGAAAAGCAAGAGAAAGAAATGAAGCAAAATAACCCTAATCGAACCTCTGTTTCTCCAAATATTACTACATCTCGGAATTAGTCATGCTGGGCAAAATCTGCTTCCAGGTATACTCTGGAATTCCTCTAGGGATTGAATTATTTTTTAATTAATTTTTTGTTGGATATTGGCAAGTTATAATTGTATATATTTTATGAGGTACAAAATGATTCTTTCATATATATATATATATATATATATATATATATATGTACACACAATATGGAATGATTGAATCCAGTTAATTAAGAAATCCGTCACTTCAAATTCTTATCATTTATGCCTCCTGTCTGGCTGAAACATTATATACTTTGACCAACATCTCCCCATTCCCCTAACTCTCCAGCCTCTGTTAATACCCATTCTACTCTCTGCTTCTATGTATTCAATTTTTTTAGCTTCCACGTATAAGTGAGAACATATGGCATTTGTCTTTTGTATCTGGCTTATTTCACTTAGAAAAATGTCCTTCTGGTTCATCCATGTCACAACATAATCTATTTTTTTAAGGCTGAATAGTATTCTATTGTGTGAATATATAGATAGATACATAGGGTGTGTGTGTGTGTGTGTGTGTGTGTGTGTGTGTGTGTGTATTATATATATATATATAATATATACACCTGTATATGTATGCATATACAGATACACATACATTCATCCAAACAGATGGATAAAGAAAATGTTCTATATATGGATGGACACTAAGATTGATTCCATAACTTGGCTATTGTGACTGATGCTGTAATGAACATGGAAGTACAAATATTTCTTCAACATAGTGATTTTAAAACTTTTGGATATATACCCAGAAGAGGATTTGTGGATTATATGATAATTTAGTCTTTTGAGAGACCTCTATACTGTTTTCCCTAATGGCTGTCTTAGCTTACATTCCCACCAACAGTATACTAGGTTCCCTATTCTCTACATCCTTGCCAACAACTATTTTTTGTCTTTATTATAATTGCCATTCTGATAGGTGTTAAGTTATATCTCACTGTGGTTTTAATTTGCATTTCCCCAGTAATTAGTGACGTTGAACATTTTTTTCATGTATTATTGACTATTTGTATGTCTTCTGTGTTGCTCCGGCTCATTTATCAACTGACCCAAAAGACTGCCAGTTTTGAGGGGGGTCCAGAACAGAAGGCTCTGCAACAAATCCAGGCTGCTGTGCAAGCTGCTCTGCCACTTGGGCCATATGACCCAGCAAATCCAATGGTGCTTGAGGTGTCAGTGGCAGATAGGGATACTGTTTGGAGCCTTTGGCAGGTCCCCATAGGTGAATCACAGCTAGGATTTTGGAGCAAGGCCCTGCCATCTTCTGCAGATAACTACTCTCCTTTTGAGAGACAGCTCTTGGCCTGTTACTGGGCTTTGGTGGAAACTGAATATTTGACTATGGGTCATGAAGTCACCATGCTCCCTGAACTGCCTATCATGACCTGGGTGCTTTCTGATCCATCTAGTTATAAAGTGGGGTGTGCACAGCAGCATTCCATCATCAAATGGAAGTGGTATATAATGTGATCTGGCTCAAGCAGGTCCTGAAGGCACAAGTAAGTTACATGAGGAAGTGGCTCAAATGCCCATGGTCTCTGCTCCTGCCACCCTGCCTTCTCTTCTTCAGCCTGCACCAATGGCCTCATGGGGAGTTCCCTATGGTCAACTTACAGAGGAAGAGAAGACTAGGGCCTGGTTCACAGATGGTTCTGCAAGATACACAGAAACCACCCGAAAGTGGACAGCTGTAGCAATACAGCCCCTCTCTAGGACATCCTTGAAAGACAGCAATGAAGGGAAATCTTCCCAGTAGGCAGAACTTCCAGCAGTGCACCTGGCTGTGCACTTTGCATGAAATTAGAAATGGCCAGATGTGCAATTATATACTGATTCATGGGCTGTAGCCAATGGTTTGGCTGGATGGTCAGGGACTTGGAAGAAGCATGATTGGAAAATTGGTGACAAAGAAATTTGGGGAAGAGGCATGTGGATGGAGCTCTCTGAGTGGTCAAAAACTGTGAAGGTATTTGTATCCCATGTGAGTGCTCACCAACGGGTGACCTCTGCAGAGGAGGATTTTAATAATCAAGTGGACCCGGTGACCCATTCTGTGGACACCACTCAGCCTCTTTCCCCAGCCACCTCTGTCATCGCCCAATGGATCCATGAACAAAGTGGCCATGGTGGCAGGGATGGAGGTTACTCATGGGCTCAGCAACATGGACTTCCATTCACCAAGGCTGACCTGGCTATGGCCACTGCTGAGTGCCCAATTTGTCAGCAGAAGAGACCCACACTGAGCCCTCCATATGGCACCATTCCTTGGGGTGATCAGCCAGCTACCTGGTGGCAGATTGATTATATTGGACCTCTTTTATCATGGAAAGAGCAGAGGTTTTTCCTCACTGGATAGAATAAGTGTCTATCCGGAATAGACACTTACTCTGGATATGGGTTTGCCTATCCTACACAAACGGCTTTTGCCAAGACTACATCCGTGGACTCACAGAATGCCTTATTTACCATCATGGATTCCATACAGCATTGCCTCTGATGAAGGCACTCATTTTATGGCCAAAGAAGTGTGGCAGTGGGCTCATGCTCATGAAATTCACTGGTCTTACCATGTTCCCCAACATTCTGAAGCAGCTGGATTGATAGAACGGTGCAATGGCCTTTTGAAGTCACAATTACAAAGCCAACTAGGTGACAATATTTTGCAGGGCTGAGGCACAGTTCTCCAGAAGGCCATGGACGTTCTGAATCAGCGTCCAGTATATGGTACTGTTTCTCCCATAGCCAGGATTCATGGGTCCAGGAATCAAGGGGTGGAAGTAGAAGTAGCACCACTCACCATCACCCCTAGTGATTCACTAGCAAAATTTTTGCTTCCTTGTCCCATGACATTATGTTCTGCTTGCCTGGAGGTCTTAGTTCCAGAGGGAGGAATGCTGCCACCAGGAGACACAACGATCCATTATACTGGAAGTTAAGATTGCCACCTGGACACTTTGGGCTTCTCCTCCCTTTAAGTCAACAGGCTAAGAATGGAATTACAGTGTTGGCTGGGGTGATTGACCCGGACTATCAAGATGAAATTAGTCTACTACTCCACAATGGAGGTAAGGAAGAATATGAATGGAATACAGGAGATCCATTAGGGTGTCTCTTAGTATTACCATGCCCTGTGATTAAGGTAATGGGAAACTACAACAGCCCAATCCAGGCAGGACTACGAATGATCCAGGCCCTTCAGGAATGAAGGGTTGGGTCACTCCAACAGGGAAAAAACATGGCCGCCTGAGGTGCTTGCTGAAGGCAAATGGGATACAAAATGGGTAGTAGAACAAGGTAGTCATTGGTATCAGCTACCACGACAGGACCAGCTGTAGAAACGAGGACTGTAATTGTCATGAGTATTTCCTCCTTCTTTTGTTAAAAACATGTTTGTACATGTACACACTTGTACCAAGAAAATATCTTCATTTTTTTTCCTTTCTCCTTTATCATGTGACATAAGATTTATTGACTTCACATTAGCATTTAAGTATCGTTAACTTTATGTATTTGGGTTGGGGACTGGTGCATTTTGGTTGTATGAAGGATAGTTGTATTATGTTAAGCGTAATTATGACCTTATTATTGTCTTTATTTGAAGATTATGTGTGATCTTAGGAGATGTGTATGGCTTCAAGTTGACAAGGGATGGCTAATACTGAGAGTCAACTTGATTCAGTTGAAGGATACAAAGTATTGATCCTGGGTGTGCCCTTGAGGGTGTTGCCAAAGGGGATTAACATTTGAGTCAGTGGGCTGGGAAAGGCAGACCCACCCTAAATCTGGGTGGGCACAATCTAATCAGCTGCCAGTGCAGCTAGAATATAAGCAGGCAGAAAAATGTAAAAAGAAAGACTGGCCTAGCCTCCCAGCCTACATCTTTCTCCCGTGCTGGATGCTTCCTGCCCTTGAACATCAGACTCAAAGTTCTTCAGTTTTGGAAATCAGACTGGCTCTCCTTGCTACTCAGACTGCAGATGGCCTATTGTGGGACCTTGTGATCATGTGAGTTAACATTTTAAAAAATCCCCTTTATATATTCCATTAATTCTGTCCCTCTAGAGAACCCTGACTAATACATCCTCTTTTGAGAAATGTCTGTTTAGGCCGTTTGCTTATTTTTTAATCAGGTCGTTTTCTTGTTATTGAGTTGTTTGAGTTCCTTATATATTTTAGATATTCCCTCTTTATTGGATGTATGGCCTTGCAAATATTTCCTCCCGTTTCACAGGTTGCCTGTTCACTCTGTTATTTGTTTCCTTTGCTGTGCAGGAGCTTTTTTGTTTGATGTAATACCATTTGTCTATTTTTGGTTTTGTTGCCTGAGGTTTGGAGTCGAATCCAAAAAAATCATTGCCCAGAACAATATCAAAAATAAAGAAAATATAAACACTATAATCTTTAAATTATACTTTAAAAATACACCTGACATATGGCCTCAATAGATTTTCATTGCCTCCAAGTAATTCTACATGGTTTCAGACTTTTAAAGAAACGCCAAAATCTTTCCCAAAAAAATCTGTTAGAGTGATTCATTAAACTAAGAAAGAGAAGACAAATCAACAAAGCAGTGTTCAAGGAGGCTTACAGTAAAATTTCACATAGACAGTCAAATCTAACAACCCAGGTAAGAACTAAATAAAGAGGACAAGAAAGTCATTCAATTAAAAAGCCCAAGCAATGCAAAGTTATTGTAATTGAGAAAAATCTATTTAACTCGGTTCCTGAACCCACATGCAAAAGGAAAACATGTTAAATGCTTCTTCCTAACCTATTTTAGCTGTTTCTAGAGATAAAGCTTTTCCTAAATTTCAAAGAAGCTCAGAATTCTTAAGGGGGAGGGGAGACTAAAAATTAGTGATGACCTGTACAATGGACAGCACAAATCAAACTCCAGAGGGCACACTGAGTTCACGTGTGATTCAGGCAGGCACAGGAATGCACTACTCCTACTGGTAGGGCATGGAAGTGGGACCCCAGGCAGCACTTTAAGGATCAAGGCAACCAGTCCATGTAGAGAAAAGTCTCCCTCCTCAGACACTAATCTGAGGTTTGGAAAGCAAAATACTACCACCATCATCACACCAACTCGGGGGGGAAAGTGCAGGGTGAGGGAGAGGTGAGCAAAACTCAGGGCCTTGACAGAGAAGAAAATGGTGTGATATTATTATCATTATCATTAATTATTTTATCTGATAATGATAACAGCTACCGTTTCCTGGGTTTTTTGTTTTGTTTTGTCTTGTTTTACTGAGTGCCAGGCACTAAGTGCTTCACATCTTCACGTCTAGGTCCTCCACTAATATTTGAGTGTCCTGAGGCAAGAGGACAAATGTAGATCCAGATACCATGTGTCTAAATATGTAAACATTATAAATCAGGCCTACAAGCTGTTACAATGTGTTATCTCCGGTCTTGACAAATATACCTTCATAAGGATTTGGAAGTCCAGGTTCAAATTTAAAATTCTTGGAAACCTCTTAGTGTGATGGTGGGACATGACACCTCAGGAACAGATGGGCCATGATTCACCATCTTCCTATCTTTCTCTACTCCACAGTCCAAACCCCAGCAGGCCTCATGCATATGGGTGTGGCCTCATCAGCCCATACACCACATCAATAGCTACCCTTTGTCCATCTTTCCAACCTGGAAGTATACATATCTTTGTCACAATCTTCCCTAGGAAGAACTCCAAGTCAGTTGTGGCACACACAGACCATGGAAGCAGGATGAGTCATTTGTCAGGGAATTTCATGTTGGGTATGTTATGCAGGTTCTAGAAATGTGGGGCTGTGGGAGGACACACACTGGGTGTCACAACCCCTTGGTCCTGTGGACTCTACACTCCATCGGAAGAGGACAGGACACATTACACAATTTTGGGGACCCAGTACAAAATGAAAATGCAGGACCAAGGCCTTATTCAAACATCAGGAAAAAAGTGTAATTAAAGTCACTAAAATATAAAGCTTTTTTCTTTCTTCCATAGTGCATCTCAGCTTGTCACGGTGTTTTTTTGTTTGTTTGTTTGTTTGTTACTTTTTTGTCATTTAATGTTCTAAGTAAAGAAAAATTATAATTCTAAAGTATTCATATGAATTTCACCACATGAATTTCACCACATAATGCATCTACATTATGTGTTGCCAGTTTTAAACACAAATGTAAGAACTTTTAACTTGTATATTGAATACACAATTTGTATTTTGTAGCTTGTACATGCATACTTACTTTGTTTTGTCAAAACAATGAAAATACTGCATAAAACTGGCTCAAGTGTTTTTATTTCACTTAATATGTTCACATTCTACCAACACCCTCTACCTTCAGCTGACTGATGAATAAGAAAAGACTGAAAGGAAAAGGAACTATGGGCTGCCTCATCTTTCTCCTTCCTTCTATGTCATCATTTTCAGCACAAGTAATTGGCAAATACAGGGAAGTAACACAAATAAAAAAGGATAGGTAGAATCACGTGGTCTTTTATGTTTCTTAGAATGTCTTTGCCTTCTTTCTGTGTTTAAAGAAAGTTCTGGTTTGAACTAAAAGTGTGGTCTCAAGATGTCAGGGCACCTGCTTACTCAGTCCTAGAAATGGCATGCTTATCTGGCATTTTGAGTCTCACTGACTTTCCAAGCATTCTAGGCCTACCCAAATTCTTTGTGCATGAGCCATCAGGAACCTGTATGCAAATGGCACAGTAAGGAATGGCAGATACACATAATCACACCTATCTCCACTAGTTACACATGTTCTCTATTGTCCCATCAGGCTTCCCTTATAAAACACAAGTTCAAAGATAAAATTATTAAGAATTTTAAGACAACTGAAGCAGAGGATTAAACCAAGCACAGGACCCCTTGAGTGCAGGGCCATAAGTGACTACACAGGTCTCTCATGCCCTTGAAACTCACCCTGGGTCCACTAAGGGGAAGAAATGTCTTATCAAAAGGCTGTGTAGATGGACAACTAAGACTGAGAGCTAAATGATCTGCCTGCAACCTCACTTGGTAAGTGACTTAAGCAGTATGTAAATCACAGTTAGTCTGACTCTGGAAGCCAATCTCTTTCATCAGTTTATTATATTTCCTCTTGAAAGAAGCTTAGTTGCATGAACTGAGCCAACACTGTACAAGCCTCAGATGTTCAACAGCTTTAGTCCCTATAGCCAAGAAGCATTTTCAGGTTAATTCATTGGCAGGCTCACTCCAGAAACACAATTGCAATTATATTAATGCTATTCACAAGACATTATTTGCTGGATGAAGAAAGAAGTGGAAAACTACTTTCCTTATAGCAGTAACAGAATACTTATTAAAACCAAGAATAATAATAACAAAATTAGAATAACAAAATACTTATCATAGCTTAGTAATAATACTAAGAACTGCTAATATTTACTAAGCACTTTCCATGTGTCAAGCACTACTCTAAGAGCTTCTGCTATATTATCTCATTTTTCTTCACAGAAACCCTAGGTCAATAACATTATTATCCATATTTACAAATCAGGAAGCTGAGGCAAAGAGTGGTTCAACAAGTTGAGTAAGGTCATACTGTGTTAGTGAGCTCTATTTGCAGGCAGGTAGAACTAAAGCAATTGACCCAGACAAGATAATCCGTAAATATTTCTAGAGTAATAGTACAAGTAACTTCAGGAACATTTTAGTTTATCTGATGAACATCTAACATTAGCCATTTTTTTCTTGCATTTTACTTTTCAGAAAGGAATTTTAAATGCTTTCATTATAGATCTAATTTTTTATTGTGTAGTCAAGGTCCCATATGCAGGAAATATTTTGTATTTAATTCAATGTCCTGTGTGCCTTCCTTATCTATATTTCCACTAACCAGGAAATAAGGGGAAATTCCTATGGATTCAGGGAAGAACTATTACAAGGGACTATTCTCAACATAGCTATTGACTTTGGAATTTTTATGACTGTGCGTCCATCAAATTTACTAACTTAAAGTATGTAGTTAAATGGCCTAGCTTGCTTGTCTGTTTTGTTTTTCTGTTTTAACATTGGATAATGTGTGTCAATCAAATTTGCTAATTTAACATAACATAGTTGTCTAGTTAGTTGGAGTTTTTTGTTTTGTTGTTCTGTTTTACTGCTGAATAGATTCTTAAATCAGGAGAACTGACATCTTGCTAATCTTTGTCACTGTGGGCTAGATGGTTTGAGAACCTAGTGAGACTTTGAATCAGAATCCCAAAAGTGGCTTTAGATGCTTTAAATTCTTACCACTTTTCTATCTTTTTTTTTTTTAAATAACAGAGACAGGGATCTTGCTATGTTGCCCCAGGCTGGTCTCAAACTCCTGGCCTCAAGTGATTCTCCCACCTCAGCTTCCCAAAATGCTGTGACTACAAGTGTAAGCCACCTTACCCAGCTCGTTCTCTGTTTGAAAAGAAAAAAAAAAATCACCACCTGAAATGATTTAAACCATTAACCACAAAAAAGCTACTATAGAAAAAATATCTATCGTATTTTAATTTAATTCATCAACAATAAGTGACATAAACAATTCTGTGTAAAAAGTCAATATTCTTTGGAACTGTCCTTTAATCCTTTGGAAATATGTTGTAATCAACCTTCATTTTGACTAATAGCAAAGACATAATCTGATTTTTTAAAGCTCTGATATGCAGAGAAGATAAAAAGAATGGTTGATTCTTGAAAATGTTTTTTGCTCCACTCAACCAAAGAACAAATTCTTTACTGTCAAAAAGCATTTTCTAGACTTCACCTGGAATAAGCTAGAAAAAAGGATTGGTAAATTTAAGAAACCTGTTACTAACTTTATTTCATTTTTTATTTATTTAATTATTTCCTTTTTTTTTTTTTTTTTTTTTTGAGACGGAGTCTCAATATCATGTGGAGAAAACGTAATTAGTGTGAGGCCCAAAGAGGAAATAAGTCACTGGTATGGAAATAGGTATTTCCAGGTGCCAGTATTTAGTCTCTGGGGTGAATTTGTTTAAAAAAAAATAGATAAAATTTATTATAGAAATGATGGGAGAGTAAAGTAAGTTTGAATGTCTATTTCTTTGCATATATGACAAACTATTCCAGAGAAAAATAGTGAATATTTCTCTAAAATTTCTACCAAAAGAAAATTCCAAAACTTTTCAAGATACTGTTGTATTCTGTTTTAAACACAAGATTATCTCGCAAACATTTCCTTGAAACACCTCTTGCTACAACTTAAAACCAGTACTAATTTTCCCAGTCTCAGAAAAAATAGAGAACTGTCATTCCTGGTTAATGTGTTCTATGCCTCTTAAACTTGAGTGTGTACATGAATCACTTGGGAGCTAGTTAAAATGCAGATTTTGGTTCAGTAAGTTCAGGAGCCCAAGATTCTTTATGTCTAATAAGCTCCAGATGATGCTGGAGGACCTCATTTTGCATGTCAAGAATTGAGACTGCTCCACTTCTCATACCTTTGGCTATCTGCCTCTTCCCTTCTAGCTATCACCGATTCACCCTGGGTGGGTAACTGACTCAGAAGACGTTATCAGAGCTCTTCTCCAAGACTTATTCAACAGGAACCAGTGAAGAAGATCAATGTCTCTGACAAAAAAACTATGTGTTGTAAGGCTCGGGGCTCCTCTCTGCCCATTTTTCCCGCTGAAAGAGGGAAGCTGATATAAGAGGTGAGGCCAGTAGACCAAGAGACAGTCAGAACGCTGGCTACATTCATGTCCCCAGTTTTCCCGGTTCCCTTTGAACCTGAGCTGTAGGAGCAGCCTCACCTTTACAATGCTATTTGAGACAAGCCCAATATTTTCTACAAATACCGTACATTTAACTAACTTATTTGAGTTGGTTTTCTTTCACATGCCACCATCAGAGTGCTGCCTAAGTATAATACTCATACAGTACAATTAAATTTCAGAAAATAACTTGTTTACGTTAATTTCCTTTTTGAGCTAACTAAATCATTTACTGTAACCTTTGTATGCAGAACCTATTTCCTAAATTTTTGTTTCTTACCTCTTGGTCTGAGTCTAACACTGTCTAGCACCTGAGACATAGTATTTGTTGTCTTGGATTCATCTATTCATGGAGAACAATCTGTACCACATGGCAGGCACTGTGCTGGAGGCTGGGACCACGTGATCCCTGTTTTCCAGTAGTTTACAATTTAGTAGGGGATACGGATAAAGCAACAAAGTAATGTAATGTGATGTAATATAATGTCATATAAATATAGGAGTATAAAGGAGACAGTATCATGGAGAGGGTGGTACCTCCTCAAAGTCTTGATGGATAAACAAGGAAGAAGGAAATTCCAGCCAGAAAGATCCAAATAGGCAAAGGTACATAAATGAGAACTACAGTGCTTTATTTAGAGAAGTGCATATGTTTCATCCCAAAGCATGAAGAGGAGATAACAGGAGGGTCAAGGGTACAGAGGTAATAGGGAAGTAGCCAACATAAATCAAGAAAGGCTTTGAAAAACATGACAGTGATCTTGGACTTCTATCCTATAGGCAATAGATAACGATTGTGAAAAGCAGCAACAGGTGTGAATCATGTTTTTACTTAGACTGTGTTGCAGGACATATTGAGAGCAATCAAGATAGAGACAAAGAGTTCTGTAGAACAGAGTTGGCAATCTTTGAGCTAGTGAACTATTGAGCAAAGTTATAATGAGGCAGAATAAAATATTCTAGGGTCAACTGTTTTTTTCTTTTTCTTTACCTGTTACAAATATCCTTTCATACATTTTCTTTTACACGTAGGTAATTTGGGAATTGTTACATTATCATTTTAAGTATTTCTCTATGAACCTTATACTATTGCATCATTTAAAAATCTATACTGAGAGTCTCTCTCTTACTAAAAGTGAGTTTAATTCACAAACGTTTATTATTTATTTCTTGCATTTATCTCTTCCATTTTCTGTATTTCCTTTTTGTTTCTTCTGTTTCCCTCCTTTCCTAACATCTATTGGATAGACTGAGTTTTACTCTGCTGGTTTGAAAATTACACATGATTTTAGTCTTCTGGTATTTTTCTCAACTTCTGTTCTTATATTTAGTATTCACTGATTTATTTCCTACAGTAATAGAATTCTAAAGCTTGTCAGTAGCTATATTTTCCTTATCCCCTTCACTTTCAACAGAAATGCCTTAGTAAGCTCTTTGGTCTCTCTGGACTCCAACACCAACCTGACTCATGTTGTTGTTTTCTAAGTTTAAACATTGATAGACTTTTGTTGTCATTCATTACTTGTTTAGACAAGAAATTTTACTAAATTATTTACTGATATTTATTTCCTATATCTTATTTGCTTCTAACCGGATAATTTCCTCCAACAGTGCTTTTAACATGTGTGTTAGGTGGTCTGAGTCTTAGTATCCACTTCATGAAAATATGTAAGTGATAATTAAAAACACTGTTTAATTTTTTTCTTTAAACACTTTGAAAATTTATTCTACCACTTCTTGCACCTAGTGCTGCTGTTCAGAAGTCTGAGCTGGATGTGTAGTTGGTCATCGTCAGCATACAGAGGATAACTGAAGCCACGTGTGGGAGGGAAGATCACCAACTGGGACACAGATGCTGAAAAGAAGGCAGCCAAGAATGAACTCTGAGAAAAGCCAACATTTAAGGAGTGGATACGAGAAGAGGCATTGTGAGCTAGACTGAAAAGGAATGGCCAGAGTTTTGCAAATGTAATCAGAAGTGCATCATGAAAACCAACAAAGGGAGCAGTTTCAACAAATAGGGATGATCAGCAACAACCTAAAATATTACAGAGAGATCTAGCAATACAAGTATTTCAAATTGTTCTTCAGATGTAACAATATATCCAAGTTACTGCACTTTCTTTAACCTTCTAAGAAAGGTTTGTATCATTTTTCTATGTTGGTGGGTGGTGAGGGCCAGGGAGAGGAGTAGGAAACCAGTAGAGAAGAGGACATAAAAAAGAGAGGAGACAAATAGAACATCAAGGTATTTAGAGAGAATGGAAGATAAAGAGCACAAGTGCACAGACATTACCCTTTACAAACGTAATGAGCAGTGTTCTCTGGTGATTAAGGAAATAGTCATGAAGGCAAGCATTTAATGGAGTTCATGTCTAGGAGCTTCTATATTCTTTGTAAGTAGGAATCAAGGCCTTTCGCTGATCGACAAGGAGTGCAGTGAGTTAGCAGCGACAGTAGTATTGCAACTATTGATACCAGTAAATAGTACCAGTAGTACTGGTCTACTTGTTGTATGAGGTATCTCTTTGTATCTGGAACTGGTGGGTTCTTGGTCTCACTGACTTCAAGAATGAAGGCCCGGACCCTAGCACTAAGTGTTACAGTTCTTACAGATGGCATGTCGCAAGTTTCTTCGCACCGTGATCTCGCTGACTTCAGGAGTGAACCTGCAGACCTTCGCAGTGAGTGTTACAGCTCTTACATGCAACGCATCTGCAGTTGCTCGTCCCTCCCAGCGGGTTCCTCGCTGGCCACAAGAGTGAAGCTACAAACTTTCGTGGTGAGTGTTACAGCTCATAAAAGCTGTGCAAACCCAAAGAGCACGCACCAGCAAAATTCAGCACAAAGAGGAAAAGAACAACACTTACACACCACAAAAAGGAACCCCAACCTGTTGCAGCCGCTGGCTCCGGCAGCCTGCTTTTATTCCCTTATTTGACCCCACCCACATCCTACTGATTGGTCCATTTTACAGAGAGCTGATTGGTCCATTTTACAGAGAGCTGATTGGTCTGTTTTGACAGGGTGCTGATTGGTGTGTTTACAAACCTTGAGCTAGACACAGGGTGCTGATTGGTGCATTTACAATCCTCCAGCTAGACATAAATGTTCTCCAAGACCCCACCCAACTCAGGAACCCAGCTGGCTTCCCTAGGGGATCCAGGCGCTGGGGCCCTGGGTGGAGCTGCTTGCCCGTCCTGTGCTGCGCCTGCACAGGTTAGCCCTTCAGCGGTTGATGGGACCGGGGGCTGTGGAGCAGGGGGCGGTGCCTGTCAGGGAGTCTCAGGCTGCATGAGAGCCCACAGGGTGGGGGGCTCAGGCATCGTGAGCTGCAGGTCCCCAGCCCTGCCCCATGGGGAGGTGGCTCAGGCCCGGTGAGAATTCAAGTGTGGGGCAGATGGGCAGGCAGTGCTGGGCGACCTGGCGCACCCTCAGCAGCTGCTGGCCCAGGTGCTAAGCCCCTCACTGCCCGGGCCTGTGGCGCTGGCCCACCGCTCCAAGTGCGGCCCACCGAGCCCACGCCACCCAGAACTGGCGCTGGCCTGCAAATGCTGGGCGCATCCCTGGTTCCCGGGCGCATCCCCGGTTCCCGTGCCTCTCCTTCCACACCTCCCCGCAAGCCGTGGGAGCTCCCGTCCTCGACCAGCCCAGAGAGGGGCTCCCACAGTGCAGCGCGGGCTGAAGGGCTCAAGTATAGCCAGAGCGGACGCCGAGGCCGAGGAGGCATTGAGAGCAAAGGAGGGCTGCTAACACGTTGTCACCTCTCATCTTCTAATTAGACCAAAGAACAAAAACATTTGCCTAGAGTAAATAATTAGATTTCCCCCATTGATTCCCCATAATCAAAAACCAAAATAAACCTAAGAGAAAGTGTTGCTTCTATGTCCTTGAAAAGTTGTGAAAAGGAACCATAGTGCTTTAATTGCATGTTTAAGAATCTATTACATTTTCCTTTTAATGTTATGAGATGGAAGTTGTTTGATGAGTCTCTGGTTCTTTGGGGAAAATTGTGGTTCCAACCTAGATTTTTGTAATTCTAAACTCTATAATTAAGGCAAAGACTCAGTTAACAGAATTTTACAGTTAAAGAATGATCAGGGAGCAAAATTTTGGTCCCTGTATAGTTTCCTAGGGTGGCTATAACAAAATGCCACAAACATGGCAGAATTTTATTGTGTCATAGTTCTGGAAAATAGGAGTCCAAGATTAAGGTGTTGGCAGGTTGATTCCTTCCGAGTTTTTGAGGGCTGTGAGACAGAATTCGTTCCATTCCTTTTCCCCCCGAGCTTTTGCTAGTTTGCTGCAATCTTTGGCATTCTTTGGTTTCTAGACACATCACCTGATCCCTTGCCTTCATGTGTATGTGGTGGTGTCTCTATTTGAGGGTCTATGTCTAAATTTCACCATTTTGTAAGTACACTAGTTATACTGAAATAGGAGCTTCACCAGTATAATCTCTTAATTAATTAACATCTTTTATGGCCTTATTTTCAAATAAAGTTATATTCTGAAGTACTAGGGGTCCAGACTTCAACATATGAATTTTTGGGGTAACAAGATTCAACCCATAATAGCCCTCTTCCAAACTTCCAAAATCCCTTTCCAAACAGTCTGTTTCAAAGCTTTTTGGGTCGTGAAAGTGACCTAGGGTATTTCAAACTCTGTCTATGATTATTACCTTTGTTTTAGTTTTTATTTTTTCCCAGTTTTTCTGCTTATGAGAAGAAAAGCAAAGGTGAAAAGGAGGAAGCCATGTATGTGAACAACCTAGGAGAAAGGTACTGGCAGCCTAAAGAAACAGATGTGAGTGGAATTCTGTTCAATATAAGAAGTCTGACTGCCATTTAAAAATTCAGGATTTTAAAAAATAAGTTTGTTTAAACAACAGGGTCAAAAATACCAGCTAATCAATAATTGAAAAGAGTTAAGATTTAGTGAATGCCAAATCACTAAATGCACAAACTATGCACAAACTATGCATCTGACAAATGCACAAACTATGCATCTGACAAAGGTCTAATATCCAGAATGTATAAGAAACTTAATTCAACAAGCCAAAAACAACCCCATTAAAAAGCGAGCAATCACGCCTGGAAACCCAGCACTTTGGGAGGATGAGGCAGGTGGATCACGAAGTCAGGAGTTCGAGACCAGCCTGACCAACATGGTGAAACCTTTCTCTACTAAAAATACAAAAATTAGCAGGGCGTGGTGACGCGCACCTGTAATCCCAGCTACTCAGGAGGCTGAGGCAGAAGAATCGCTTGAACCTGGGAGGTGGAGTTTGCAGTGAGCCGATATCATGCCACCGCACTCCAGCCTGGAGTCAACAGAGTGAGACTCTGTCTCAAAAAAAAAGTGGGCAAAAGACATGAACAGATGCTTCTCAAAAGAAGACATATAAGCGGCCAACAAACATAGGAAAGAAATGCTCAGCATCACCAGTAGTCAGAAAACTGCCAATCAAAACCATAATGAGATACCATCTTACACCAGTCAAAAGTCAAAAAGCAATAGATGTTGGCAAGGCTGCAGAGAAAAGGGAACACATATATTGTCAGTAAAACGTAAATTTGTTCAGCCACTGCAGAAAGCAATTTGGAGATTCCTCAAGGAAGTAAAAATAGAATTATCATTCAATCCAGCAACCCCATTAGTGGGTATATAGCAAAAGGAAAGAAATGATTCTACCAAAAGGACACATGCACTCATAAGTTCATCACCACGCTATTTACAATAGCAAAGACATGGAATCAACCTAGGTGACTGTCAATGGTAGATCAAATAAAGAAAATGTGGAATATATACACCATGGAATACAATGAAGCCATAAAAAGGTACAAAATCATGCCCTTTGCAGAAATATGGATGGGTCTGGAGGCCATAACCTTAAGCAAATTAATGCAGCAACAGAAAACCAAACACTATATGTTCTCACATTTAGGTGTGAGCTAAACATTGAGCACACGTGGATATAAACATGGGAAAAATAGACACTAGGGAGGAAGAGAGGGGTGCATGAGTTAAAAAATACCTATTGTGTACTATGCCCACTACCTGGGTGATGGGATCATTCGTACACCAAAACTCAGCATCATGCAATATACCCATGTAGCAAACATGCACATGTACCCGTGAATCTAAAATAAGTCAAAATTATTTTTTAAAAATTAGTGAATGTAATCCTGATAAAATTAATAGAATTTTAGAGTTGAAAAGAATCTTAGGAATTATCTATTTTAATATCTTAATTTGCCACATCATATTATAGAAGGTCAGAGAGGTGGCAAAGTTAGACCCAGAAATCATTTCTCCAGATTTCTAATACAGTGGTTCTTCTTCTGTCTCTTATGACACCCAGTGTGTTCTACATGACAATAAATCAATCAGTAAATACCTGCTAAAAATCCTTAATTATGAAAGAAGGCAAAATATAAGGCATGACTGACGCTTCAAAGAAGCTTACAATTTTGTTAGAGAAATAAGACAAGTACACTATATGAAGATGATAGTAGGTAATTTTAGGTTATTGTCTTTCTGGATGAGAACTGCCTCCTGCATCCAGATCTCTAGGACTTTAGAACTTTTTTCCCATATGACCCCCATATTCTGGCCACAGGTGATTGGTTTAGAGATTGGCATGTGACCCATGATGGGCCAATTATAGTATCTCATCCCCCTCCCACTCTGGTAATTGACCAAGGGATGGGTATCTAATCCAAGCCAGGCCAATCAAAGTATTTGCCTAAGAAACTGAATGAATCCATACCTTTCCGGTGAGAGAAGCTTTAAAACATAAAACTCAGTTTCTGTTCTTGGCTCTGTTTCTTGTCATATGGACAAAGGTCAGCCTTCGTAATAGAGAATGGAAGTGACTAAAGGAAGTAGAAACAAAGGAGAGAGAGAGAATGTGTAAGTTCCTGGTTTCGACCGCTCTTGAAATTAGCTGTACCTTGACCTTCCCACACTTTCAGTCTTTACTGGGATCTAATAAGTATTTACCACATGTTAAGCACTAATCTAAGCATTTCACAATAAGAACCCATTTAATCCTCACAACAATCCTGTGAGGTAAGAATCATTACTACTCTGATATTACAGAAACTAAAAAACAGATTTAGTAATTTGCTTAAGATCACACTACTGGTAAAAGTAATCAAGCCTGGATTCAAATTCAGGCAGTGTGTACCAGAACCTGCTCTTTCAACCAGAATGTCATATATATTTCTGTTATACGTTGCATTGCACTAAGTTGCAGTCATTTATCTCCATGTCTGTCTTCCATGCTAATCTGTGACCTCACTAAAGTCAAGGGCTATATTTAACTTCTTTTTGTATCTTTAAGGCCTACTACAGCACCTGGTTAATAGTCAGTAGGGCACTCAGCAAATGCTTGTTGGACTATTGGTAACCCGGGAAAACTGAGGTTACCAGTACCTGACACCAACATACCTAATAAAGCTACCTAATAAAGGCAATAACACTGTGGTAAGTGTTTAACTCATTAACTTAAACGTGAGATAATAAAAAATGTTAAACCTTCATCCTCTTAAGTTTCTAAATTTTTCCTTATGGCAAAATATATATAAAATAAAATTTACCTTTTTAACCACTTTTAAGTACACAATTCAGTGGCACTAAATACATTCACACTTTTGTGCAACCATCACCCCCATCCATCTCTAGAACATTTTAATCTTCCCAAACTGAAACTCTACCCATTAAAAATAACTTCCCATTCTCACCTCTCCCCAGTTCCTGGCAACCACCATTCAACTTTCTGTCTCTATGAATCTGACTCCTATGGGTGCCTCATAAAAATTGACCCATACAATATTTGTGTCCTTTTGTGACTGGCTTGTTCCACATAGTATAATGTCTTCAAGGTTCATCCACGTTGTAGCATGTGTCAAAATTTCCTTCCTTCCTCTTTAAGGCTGAATAATATTCAATTGCACATATATATCACTTTTCTTATTCATTCATCCATCAATGAACACTTTGGTTGTTAACTGTAAATAATGCTGCTATGAACATGGGTGTACAAATATATGTTCAAGTTCCTATTTTCAATTCTTTTGGGACACACCTAGAAGTGAAATCGCTGAATTATATGGTAATTCTGTGTTTAAATTTTTGAAGAATCACCATACTATTTTTCAAGATTGCTGCATCATTTTACATTCCCACCAGCAATGCAGGAGTGTCCCAATTTCTCCACATCCTTGCCAACACTTGTTATTTTATGTTTTTTGTTTTGTTCGTTTGATGATAATAGCTTCCTAGCAAGTGTGAAGCAGTGTCTCATTGTGAAGTTTCTAACATTTTTGACCAGTGTTTATCTTTCTGGCAACTCTGCATATTCTAAATTTCATACTACTCTTGAATCCTACACGGAAAGAAAACTTCTTTGAAATCATAGAAATAAGAACACTTCCCAAAGGATAGTATTCATTCGATTTTATGCATACTGGTATGGAGGTGCTGAAATACTCTACATTTTGTGCTTAATATTACAAAATTCACACTTTTTCCCTAGTTAACCCTATGTTAGTCTTTGTCCTGTCTTTAATTGAGCAGTTCATTTAGACCCAATTGACCTTTATTCTGTTTATATCAGCTTTCCAATTTTTCAGTCATTCAAACTTTTTATCCAGTTCTTCAGGTAAGAGTCATCAACAAGTGAATGAAGAAGCACGTTATTTATTAACTGCATTTTCTAAAATCTAGGGGCACATTTTAAAACATTGTATGCTCTTTATATTATATATTAATTATTTATTTAAACATTGTATATTTATATTATTTTATATTACTTTATGAAGTATATTATTACTTTATGAAGTATATTATTACCTTATGAAGTTTTCTCCCTTAAAAACATATTGTCTTAAATAACCATCAAAAGAATTTACTTACAAAAAAAACAGAGCAAACTTTTGTGTTCATTCTTTTTTTTTTTTTATTATACTTTAAGTTTTAGGGTACATGTGCACATTGTGCAGGTTAGTTACATATGTATACGTGTGCCATGCTGGTGCGCTGCACCCACTAACTCGTCATCTAGTATTAGGTATATCTCCCAATGCTATCCCTCCCCCCTCCCCCCACCCCACCACAGTCCCCAGAGTGTGATATTCCCCTTCCTGTGTCCATGTGATCTCATTGTTCAATTCCCACCTATGAGTGAGAATATGTGGTGTTTGGTTTTTTGTTCTTGCGATAGTTTACTGAGAATGATGATTTCCAATTTCATCCATGTCCCTACAAAGGACATGAACTCATCATTTTTTATGGCTGCATAGTATTCCATGGTGTATATGTGCCACATTTTCTTAACAGAGCAAACTTTTTATTGACTTGTGTGGCAGGTACTTTGTCTAAAAGAAAATTAAAATTGATTTGCTCTGTGACAATCTTCTGAATAAAATATCTCAAAGTTTACAGAAACATTAAATTTCTATCTAGAGGGAAAACCCGTTACATAAACACTGTATTTCACTAAATAAGGAGCTCAATAATAACTTTCAACTTGCTTACTTTGAAGCACACATATGTAGAAAGAAGAAAAACAAGCAGCCCAAGCAATAATTAGTTGGGCAAGTATTTCATTGAAAGAGGGACCTTTCCTTCCAACCATCCCTCCCCCAGGTGTCAAGAGAATTGTCTAAGCAGGTTTTACAAGAATAATTCAAAAGCTGAAATAAGATATGAATGGCACAGCTGACTCTGTACCAAGAATGAAGGCCATGCCTGGTAGAGAAATGCAAAGATGTGAATGCCTAGTAAAGAAAGTAGATCAAGCATGAAGGATTATGTGCGTGGCAGTGCTGCCACCATAAGCCTATTTGACCGTAGCAGAGAAATGATTTATGATAATGCATTTACATTCAAGTCAAACAAATAAAGGCATAGTCTGGCCATTATAGTCAATATGGTGAACATCAGTGCTTCTCAAAATTTAATGTGCATATGAATCATCTGAGAATCTGTTAAAATGCAGATTCTGATTCAGTAGGTCTGGGATAATGCCTGAAACTCTGCATCTCTGACAAGCTCCCGCTGATGACAATGCAGCAATGCAGCTGGTCCATAGACCACACATTTTTTTTTTTTTTTTGAGACAAAGTCTTGCTCTGTCTCCTAGGCTGAAATGCAGTGGTGCAATATCTTGGCTCACTGCAACCTCTTTCTCCCAGGCTCAAGCTATTCTCTTGCCTTAGCCTCCCAAGTAGCTGGGATTACAGGCATGTGCCAACCACACTAGGCTAATTTCTGTAATTTTAGTAGAAACGGGGTTTCACCATGTTGACCAGGCTGGTCTTGAACTCCTGACTTCAAGTGATCCACCCACCTCAGCCTCCCAAAGTGCTGGGATTACAGGTGTGAGCCACTGTGCCCAGACCATAGACCACACTTTTAATAGCATGATGTACAGAATCAGAAGATATAGCGAATCAGTGGAAATTGAAATTTTCTGAGGCTCTTGGTGGCGTGTGCCTGTAATCCCAGCTACTCAGGAGGCTGAGGCAGGAGAATTGCTTGAACCCGGGAGGCGGAGGTTGCAGTGAGCGGAGATCATGCCACTGTACTCCAGTCCTCCAGCCTGGGCAACAGAGCAAGACTCCATCTCAAAAAAAAAAAAATTTTTGCTATTCTGATAAAAGAGCAGACATTGTTGGGGCCACCACAATCCTCTGTAGCTGCAGCAGCCATCTTATGATGAGTAAAAAGCCACCAATCCAAGGTTGGTGAAGAAGAAATATAGAAAGAACCTGTGCCCTTATTGCCATCATTAAGCAACTATACCAGCCCTAGGCTGCCTTATAAAGAAAATAAATCCATATTTGGTTCAGCCACTATTAATCAGGTGTTACAACTGGAAACACTCCTAATAAATAGATATAGGCTATAAGTACTAATGTGTCAAGTGTGGACAAACAAGCTAGCAGGACAGGGAGAGAGAGGAGGAGTAAAAGACCTGGGTAATCTGGCCGGGCGCGGTGGCTCATGCCTGTAATCTCAGCACTTTGGGAGGCCAAGGCAGGCGGATCATGAGGTCAAGATACCAAGACCATCCTGGCCAACATGGTGAAACTCCCGTCTCTACTAAAAATACAAAAATTATTCAGGTGTGGTGGCACATGCCTGTAGTCCCAGCTACTCATGAGGCTGAGGCAGGGGAATCTCTTGAACCCAGGAGGCGGAGGTTGCAGTGAGCTGAGATCGTGCCACTGCACTCCAGCCTGGGTAACAGAGCGAGACTCCGTCTCAAAAAAAAAAAAGACCTGGGTAATCCAAACTGAGATAAGCTTCTGTGAATAAGCAAGAATCCACTGTGGACTAGAAACCCCCAGTTTTTTTATAGACTTCATTTTTTTGAAGCAATTTTAGGTTCACAGCAAAATTGAGAAAAAGGTACAGAGATTTCCCATATATCCCAGTTTCCTACACCTGCATAGCCTTCCCCGTTATCAACATCCCTACCAAATATAGTGATATATTTGTTATAATTGATAAACCTACATTGACACTACATATAGTTTACATTAGGGTTCACTCTTGGTGTTGTACATTCTATGTGTTTTGAAAAATGTATCATGACGTGTCCACCATTATAGTATCATACAAAGTAAAAATTTGTGCTTTGACTTTTTATCCTCACCCTCCCCTACTCAATCTCTAGCAATCACTCGCCTTTTTACTGTCTCCAAAGTTTTGTCTTTTCCAGAATGCCAGAATGTCAAATAGTTGGAATTCTACAGTTTGCAGCCTTTTCAAATTGGCTTCTTTCATTTAGTAATATTTATTTAAGATTCCTCCATGTCTTTTCATGGCTTGGTAACATTTCTTTTTAGTGGTAAATAATATTTCATTGTCTGGATGTACCACAGTTTAATTATCCACTCATCTACTGAAGGATATCTTGACTGCTTCCAAGTTTTGGCAATTATGAATAAAGCTGCTATAATCATCCATGTGCAGGTTTTTGTGTAGACGTGTCTTCAACTCTTTTGAATAGATACCAAGGAATATAATTGCTGAATCATATAGTAAGAGTACGTTTAGCTTTGTAAGAAACTGTCTCCCAAAGTGGCTATGCCATTTTGTATTCCTGCCAGTGAGAGTTCTTGTTGCTCCAGTATTGCTATCATTTGATCTTGTCAGTATTCTGGATTTTGGCCAAATAGGTGTGCAGTGGTATTTCATTGTGGTTTTAATTTGCGTTACCCTGATGACCTATGATGTGGAGCATCTTTTCATATGCTTATTTTCCGTCTGCATATCTTCTTTGGTGAGTTGTCTGTTAAGGTCCTTAGCCCATTTTTTAATTAGGTTGGTTTTCTTATTGTTGAATTTCAGAATCCTTCATACATTTTGAATAACTGTCCTTTCTCAGATGTGTCTTTTGCAAATATTTTCTCCCAATCTCTGGCTTATCTTCTTATTCACTAGACATTGTCTTTTGCAGAGCAGAAGTTTTAAATGCTGATGAAATACAGCCTATCAATGATTTATTTCATGAATTGTGCCTTTGTACTGTATTTAATAAGTCATCACCATATACAGGTCATTTAAGTTTTCTCCTATGTTATCTTCAAGGAGTTTTATAGTTTTGCATTTCACATTTAGGTCTGTGATCCATTTTGGGTTAACTTTTTTGTGAAGGGTGTCAGGTTTGCGACTAAATTCTCTTTTGTTTTGCATGTGGGTGTCCAGTTGTTCTAGCACCAAACTATCTTTACTTAATTGTATTTCCTTTGCTCCCTTGTCATCAGTTATGATCAGTTAAGCATATTTCTTGGTCTATTTCTGGGCTATCTATTCGTGTCCTTGATCTATTTACCTATTCTTTTGCCAGTATCACACTGTCTGAATTACTATAGCTTTGTAGTAAGTCCTGAAGTCAGGTAGTGTCAATAATCCAATTTTGTTCTTCTCCTTCAATATTATATTGACTATTCAGGGTATTGGCTCTCCCTATAAACATTAAAATGAGTTTGCTGATATCCACAGACTAACTTGCTTGGATTTAGATTGGGGTTGCATTGAATCTATACATCAAGTTGGGAAGAACTGACATCTTGACAATATTGAATCTTCTTATCCATGAACATGAAATATCTTCCCATTACAGTTCTTCTTCGATTTCTTTCATCAGAGTTTTGTAGCTTTCCATATATAGATCATATAAATATTTTGGTAGACTATATCTATTTCTTTTTTTCAGTTCTAATGTAAATGATATTGTGTTTTTAATTTCAAATTCCTTTTGGTCATTGCTGGTGTATAGGAAAGTGATTAACCTTTGTATATTAACTTTGGATCCTGCAACTTTACTGTAATTATTTATTTGTTCCCGGAATTTTTTGTCAACTTTTTCAAATTTTCTACATAGACACTCAAGTCATCTGTGAACAATGGCAATTTTATTTCTTCCTTCCCAATCTGTATATCTTTTATTTCTCCCTCCCGCACCCTCCCCCCACCCACTTTTTTTCTTATTGCATTAACTAGAATTACCAGTATGTTGTTGAGGAGTGGTGAGAGGGACACTTTTGCCTTGTTTCTGATCTTGGAGGAAAAACTCTGATTTCTCACTATTAAGGAAAATTTTAGCTGTGGGTTTTTTTGTAGATATTCTTTGTCAAGTTCAGGAAATGCTCCTCTATCCCTGGTTTACTGAGAATTTTTATCATGAATGGGTGTTTGGTTTGTCAAATCCTTTTTTCTATCTATTGATATGATCATGTGATTTTCCCATTTTATCCTATTGATGTGATGATTAGATTAATTCATTTTCCAGTGTTGAATCAACCTTGTATAAAGGGATAAAAACCTAGGGTAAATCTTATTTGGTCATGGTGTGTAATTCTTTTTATACATTTTTTGATCCACTTTACTAATATTTTGTTGAGGACTTTTGCATGAGAGATATTGGTCTGTAATTGTCTTTTTCTTATAATGTCTTTGTCTGGTGTTGGTTTTAGAATAACATTTGCCTCATAGAATGAGTTGGACCCCTCTGCTTCTATCCTCTGAAAGAGATTGTTAAGAATTGGTTTAATTTCTTTCTTAAATGTTGGGTATAAATCACCAGTGAACCCATCTGGACTTGTTGCTTTCTGTAGGAAGTTATTAATTATTGATTCAATTTCCTTAACAGATACAGGCCTATTCCAATGGTCCATTTGTGCTTGTGTGAGTCTTGGCTGACTGTGACTTTCAAGGAATTGGTCCATTTCATCTAGTTATCAAATTGTGGGCATAAAGCTGTTCATAGTATTTCCTTATTATCCTTCTAAGGTCCATGGGATCTGTAGTAATATCCTTTATTTAATTTCTGATGTTAGCAATTTATGTCCTCTCTCTTTTTTCTTAGCCTGGCTACAGACTTATCAGTTTTATTGTTCTTTTCAAAGAACCAGATTTTGGTTTCATTGATTTTCTCTATTAATGTCCTGTTTTAAATGTTATTGTTTTTTGTTCTACTTATTTCTTTTATTCTGCACAGTTTAGATTAAATTTTCCCTTTTTTTCTAGTTTCCTAAGTTTTTTCTATCCTTTTACTTTTAAGCTTACGTGTCTTTATATTTAAAGGGAGTTTCTTGTAAACAATATCTAGATGGATCTTGTTTTTTGATTCACTCTGACAATCTCTGTCTTTTAATTGGTACATTTAGACCATTGATGTTCAAAGTGATTATTGATGTAGTTGGATTACTGTCTACCATATTTGTTACTATTTTTCTATTTGTTTTCCTTGCTATTTTTCTATTTGTTTTCTTTTGTTGCTATTTTTGTCTTCCTCTCTTTTCCTGCCTTTCGTGGTTTTAACTGAGGATTTTATATGATCTATTTTTTCTTCTTTCTTAGCATTATACATTGTGATTCTTTTATTTTTTTTAGTGGTTGCTCTAGAATTTGCAATATACACTTACAACTAACCCAACTCCATTTTCAAATAACACTACATCACTTCACAGGTAGTGTGAGTACCTTATAATACAAAATAATTATAATTCCTCTGCCCCATTTTTTGTATCATTGCTGTCATTCATTTCATTAAAATATAAGCACATATAAGCACATATATATGATATGTAAAAAGATATATGTTATATCTACATATGTAGATAGATATAGCATACATCTATCTATATAAATGATATATAATATATACCCATAAGCATACATAATCTAATCTATTGTTACTATTACTTTTGAACAACTGAAAATAAGATAAATAAAAGTTTTTATCTTCACTTATTCCTCCTTTAGTGCTCTTCTTTTCTTTATAAAGATCTGAGTTTCTGACCTATATTATTTCCTCTTCTCTAAAGAACTTTTTAAAACATTTTTTGCAAGGCAGGACTGCTGGCAATAAATTTCCTTAATTTTTGTTTGAGAAACTCTTGATTACTCCCTCATTTTTGAAGAATAATTTCACAGGGTACAGAACTCTGAGTTGATGGGGGTTTTTTTTGTCTCAACCCTTTAAATATTTTATTTCACTCTCTTCTTGATTACATGGCTTCTGAGGAAAGTCAAACGTAATTTTTTGTTTATAGGTAAAATCCTCACTGAGAATTTTTTTAATCTTTAATTTTTTGTAGTTTAAAAATGATAAGCCTAGGTGTAATTTTTTTAACATTTATCCCACTTGGTGTTCTCTGAGCTTCCTGGATCCATACATTAATTTGGGAAAATTCTCAGTCTTTATTGTGTCAAATATGACTTCTATTCCTTTCTCTCTTTCTTCTCCTGGTATTCCCATCATGCCTATGTTACACCTATTGTAGTTGTCTTGCAATCCTTGGACACTCTTTTCTATTTTTTTTCATTGTTTGTTCTCTTTGCTTTTCAGTTTTGGAGGTTTGTACTGATATAGCCACAACCTTAGTGATTGTTTCATAAATTGTGTCCAATCTACTAGTAGGCACACCAGAGTATCCTTCATTTCTATTACAATGTTTTTTTATCTCTAGCATTTTTTTTCATTCTTTCTTAGGATTTCCACCTCTCTGCTTACATTGCCCATCTGGTTTTGCATGCTATTTCCTTTGTCCATTAGTATATTAATCATTTTTGTTTAAAATTTCTGGTCTGATTCCAATATCCCTGCCGTGTCTGGTTCTGATCCTTCCTCTCTTTCTTCAAATTGTAGTTTGCTTTTTAGTATGCCTTGTAATTTTTTCTTGGTAGCTGAACATGATGTACTGAGTAAAAGGAACTGCCACAAGTAGACCTGTAAAAATGTGGTGGTAAGGTCGGGGGTGGGGGCAGAGCGAAAATGTCCTATCATCCTATGATTAGTCTTTCGGTGAGCCTATGCCTCTGGACTGGAAAATGTTACAAATGTGTCTCAGGTTTTTCTCCCTCCTTAGATGGAACAGGATGGCTACAGTTGGCTGGAGCTGGGTATTTCCCTTCCTTCAAGTCAGTTAGGCTCTGAAGAAACCCCAGCAGGTTAGGCTCTGGTTAAATAGCTTTTCCTGAGAGCAGGCCTTGTTAAGAACAGAGTGCTCTGACATATTTTTAAATAGTTTTTCCCCCTCCTGCTACTGGAAGCATAAAGTTTTTGTTTGTTTGTTTCTAGTATTTACTATGAGAACCTGGTCAGGCTTCTGGAGGTAAAACTTACATAAATGTTGCACCTGCCCTGCCGCGCGCCCATGGCTGGCTCACCCTGGAGTTTTTAACTCTCAGACTTGTCCACACTGAGCTTCCAGCAAGTAGTCAATTACAGTTCAGATTTCCTGCCTTGGCACTGGTTCTCATGGTGGTTTCCACTCCTAAGTCTATACACCAGTAAGCTAAGATCCGGTATTCACCTGTCTGCTCCTATTTTGGGGGCAGCAGTTTGCCCTGTGCCCTGTGTCCTCACCTCTCTTAGATATCTAAGAAGAGTTGTTGATTTTTCAGTGTGTTCAACATTTTACTTGTTAGAATGGAGTAGAAACTTCAAAGCTCCTTACCTGTGAAATGGGAAATGAGAAGTTGATCCCCAGCTTTTTCATAAATAATGTAGTATTTTTTTAATGTTAAAAGAATGTCAGGAATCTACTTCCCCAATTCACATACATAATAATAACAGCCTCTATTTGTTGAACACTTACTATGTGACAGGCAGTGTTCTAAGTGTCTCATATATATATATATATATATATATATATATATATATATAAAATACATATTTTTTAATTCTTCGTGTTGGAAGTTTAATTAGAAGTAGAAATATAGGACATTTTCTACCTCTGTGATTTTGACATCGCTTTTGAACACAATTCTGGTATGTGTTCTTCCTTCATAAAATATAGAATACAATAGTAAAATAAAATAAAAATAACAGAGTAAAATAAAATATTAAAATTCTACCAATTCTTTAAGACCTAGCTGAAATATCATCATTTTCTCACTCCATCACTAGCCCTGACTCACCCAGGGAATCCCTAGGGTCATGATTCCTTGTTCTTTCCTCCTTGCTATCATATAATTTTATTATGGCACTTATGAGATTATATCATAGGTCTTCACTGGGACATTGCCTTCACGAGATTATGGATTCCTTAAGGGCAACAACTTTTTATTTTCTCAGCTTATCACAAAGGAAATACACCATAAACATGTAAGGAATTAGTATAATCACTATATGACCTGCTAAATTTGTTTTTCCCAGACAAGATTTCTATTGCTCCCCAGTAACAAAAGTTAAAAGCTTCTGCATTAGAAAAAAGAAAATTGTAAAATTTGTCAGAATCTGGTTTTTGCACTGGCATTTTAATCATTTATTTTAATATTCTTCCTCAAATAGAGGGGCTGACTGACCATAAGTTGGTCTCCTTACCAGGGAAAATGACGTATCTTCAAGGAATGCAGCATAGGGGTTATAAGTGTGACTTGGAGACGGACCAGTGTTTCAGTTTACTTCTAACACCCAATGGCTGTGTGACTTTCAGCAAGCTATTAAAGCTGAGTTTTCTCATTTGTAAAATGAGAAATAGTGTCTGCTCTTGAGGTTGTTGTGCGGATTAAAAAAGTTAATACATATAAATAATGTAACATAGTGCTTAGCATACATACAATAAGTGCTTAATAAATATTATTTGTAAGACATGACACCCTATCTTAAGCAGGTTTTCCTGAAGTAGGTCCTGTGACAAGGATTTATGTACAAGTAATTCGCCAAATAAGTTCTCAAGAAAGAAAAAAAAAAGGGTACGGGAGGAAGTGGACAAGAGAAGAATCCAAGCAGGGATATGAGTACAGGCAAAGTCCCACGGGGGCAGCATCAAGCTTGTCCACAGGGATCTGTAGTGTGTACGTTACACCTCAGAACTGGTCCCAACCCAAAGTGAAGGCATTCAGATTTCATATCGCTGAACTGTCAGTCATTGGCTATGTACCACTTCAGAGGATGTAAAGTACCTTCTGGCTCTCTATGTAAGTGGGTAAAATAGCTCTCATAGTCTGAAGGCTGTCCTCCAAAGAAAAGTTGCAGGTATGGGCCTTTGCAAGCAAATGCATGTTATGCAGAAAGAAGAAGCACACAGGAACACTCAAAGAGATATGAGGGGATTTGGGCAGTGCACCATACTCCAAGGTATAACCAACCAGGCAAAACATAACTACCCATTGCATGGCATAAAGACAAATACACATAGGTTCAAATCCCATCTCCTCCCTTTTCCTGGCTATACAAACTTTGACAATTTACTTAATATCTCTGAGTATCTATTTCACCATTTATAGAAAGGGGATGATAATACCTATCTCAAAGACTGATTATGAAAATTAAATAAGTTCATGTAAAGTAACTATCAAAATATCTGAGAGTTACCAGGTAACTCTCAGAATATAGTTATAAGAATATCAGACATAGTTATATAGTTATCAGAATATCAGACATACTCAGTATGCTCTGTAAATATTAATTCTCCCCAATCTTTGTAGGATTTCTTATATATAAAAAAGAATGGATTTTAGACTATGAATTGATAAATCTATAAGTACTTTCTCCTGGCATAACATTCTTTGGACAAACTCTCTTCAAAGCAATTTTGTTCAAAGGCTATTTCTCCTTGTGGCTTTTTCAATTCTTCTGATTATACAAAGAGAAATATTTAAATGTAAGAGCCATATGTTAGAATATTTCTGTAGCATCCGCTAAGCTTACAGCTTCTAAGAAGAAAGGGATGCCTTAAGCTCAGGGCACAGCTGATGTACAAATAGCAGCAGCAGAAGCAGCAGCTAGAGAGAGTAAGGAGAGGTTGGTGCAGCGCTGGTGAGCAGGAAGCCATGAGAAGAGATCACATGGGGCTAAAAGTCAAATGTCTCCAGTTTAAGTTTTGCCATTAAGTCAGTTACCTTCCTTGGACATCAGTGTTCTCATCTGTAACATCAGTGGTTGAATTAGATGGTCTCTAAGGTATTTTCCAGCAAGAAAATTCTCTCATATGGATATTCAAAATCTCAACTCCTAAATCCTGGATCTAGAAGATTTCCTGTTATGGTAAAAAGGGTACAAAAGTTCAGAGAAGTGAAATGACTGGCTGAATTGCTCAGGGGAGTCTTCATAAAGAAGTAGAAGTTAAGCTGGATAGAATTAGAAAAATGAGTATGGTCAAGGGGATAATAGTGGAAAGTAAAAATAATTTTCCACAAATTTTGACTAGAGAAAAAGATTTATCATAGATAATATTGGGAGATAAAACTAGAAATTATAATCTGGAACTACATTATGATGAATTCTGAATAGCAAGTAAAGGATTGTGCCAACCTGAAGGTAATGATGAACTCCTGAAGAACTTGAGAAAGAAAAGTTAGTATTATACATTAGATAATTTGATGTTGTGCAAGATTGGACTGGAAGATATTGCTAAGAAATCTTTAAGAAGACTGCCAGATTGTCCAGTTATGAGATGAAATGAGGGTTTTATACCATTTTGTTAATCTGCAGAGAGGTTAAACAGAGCACAGTTCTCTAACTGTGGAATGGAATAATCTCCAACAGTTTATCTATACATAAAGAACCTGTAAATTTCCCTTTGTTCATGTAAGACTATATTGCTCTTTATACATATTATCACCTCCCCTTGATGGGTTTGAATGTGCAAGTTTGGGAGTAGGAGCAGGAAAGAGCTGAAGCACTACTTTGTAGAACAGAGAGAAAGTATTTGGATTTCCAGAAATTTAACAATCCTAGAAGGAAGGGGTAAAAATCAGAGAATGAGGGAAGGCGAGGGGAAAACTGGACACTAAGTAGGAAGAAAGGCAGGCCAATGAGAAATCCTTAATGGTGGGATTCCCAAGAATGTACAAAGATAGGTGACTTCACATTGTTTCCTGTTTAGTGTATTTAGTATATTGAAATGGTAAAAACAGGGCCAGGCATGGTGGCTCATCCCTGTAATCCCAGCACTTTGGAAGGCCGAGGCAGGCGGATCACTTGAGGTCAGGAGTTCGAGACCAGCCTGGCCAACATGGTGAAACCATATCTCTAGTAAAAATACAAAAATTAGCCAGGTGTGGTGGCAGATGCTTGTAATCCCAGCTACTTGGGAGACTGAGGTAGGAGGATCGCTTGAACCCAGGAGGCAGAGGTTGCTGTGAGCCGAGATCGTGCCACTGTACTCCAGCCTGGGCAACAGAGCAAGACTCTGTCTCAAAATAAATAAATAAATAAATGAATAAATAAAATGGCAAAAACAAAAATGAAACACAGCAAACCCTGCCATTTTCCTTTTCAGAGTTTGGAACTGATTTGGAAATTGACATAGGAGTCAGACAGATTATAAAAATATTAGCTCCATATATGCTGAAGCTAAATTAATAAGTATGGCTTGACCTCAAGTCACAATTGGGATTTCTAATGCTTCTCTCCAAGCGTAGAGCTCATAGAGACACTCCCTCTTTCAAAGATACCTGCATCTGACTAGGTGCAAAGGGAATCCCAACCTCACGTAAGTTGGCACTGGGAATAGGAAAGAGAGACTGGTTTCTGGATCTGCCTCTAGAAGGCAAGACATGACCCTGAACCACATGTGCTTAGCACAAGGAATCCAGAGCACAAGGAATACACACACTACAGATAGAGAGATCCAAAAGGAAAGAGGAAGAAACTAAGCCTCACATAATAAATTCCAACTTATTTATATCTCAGGTTCTGTGTTGATAGTGTATAGCTTATAATAATTAAAATCCAATGTTGCCTTCAGAAAATTGTATAAGGATAAGTAACTCAGTTTTTCAGTTCAAAAAGAGGCTCTTTTCATTTTTTTAAATAAAAAGTTTACACATATTATTTCTTCCAGAAATAAAAAATGAAATCATCGACCACACATCTACCTCAGTAAGAATCCAAATTTTCTCATAAAGAAAATGACTATTACTCTCTTAGCATGTAATTGACTCATGATTTAAAAGTCCAGTGACAGGAGACCTCTCTGTTGCCATGGAAATCAGAAGTCCTGACTCTCTCTGGAGAATTCATTGTTAATGGAGCTAGACAGTAGAATGATGATTACCAGAGGGTGGGAACATGGGAGGATGAAGAGAGGTTGGTTAATGGGTACAAACATACAGTTAGGTAGAAGGAATAAGTTCTAATGTTCAATAGCAGCATAGTAGGGTTACTACAGTTAACGATAATTTATTGTATATTTCAAAAGAGCTAGAGGCCTGGTGCAGTGGCTCACACTTGTAATCCCAGCACTTTGGGAGGCCAAGGCAGATGGATCACCTGAGGTCAGGAGTTTGAGACCAGTATAGCCAACATGGTGAAACCTTGTCTTTACTAAATATACAAAATTAGCCGGCATGGTGCACAGCTATAATCCCAGCTATTTGGGAGGCTGAGGCTAGGAAAAAAAAAGCTTTAAAATGTTTCCAACACACACAAAAAAAGATAAATATTTGAGGTGATGGATATTCTAATTACCCTGATTTGATCATCGTTATGCATGTACCAGAATATCACATGAAGCTCATAAATATGTACAATTACTATTTCTCAATAAAAAAGAGAGAAAAACAAATATGGTGTTATTCTGATAGTAGTATCTGTGAAAACACAAGCTTGTTATGTTGGATACATTTTTCTATTACACACTAAACAAATACATAACAACTGATTTTTTTGTAACTCTTTTTTGACCCAGTGACAGACAAGGAAACTCATACTTTTTGAGTGACTCAAGTGAGCCTGTTTGCCTGAGTTGAATTGAATCTAGGTTTGACTCACTTAGCACAGTCTTTTCTGATTTATGACAAGCCAGCTTCTGCTGGAATGTCTACCTGAGGTTGGGTTGATGGAGGCAGTGGCCCTTATAGCTGGACCAGCTGACCTGGAAACTGTATTATGTAGACTAGTAATGGAAGGGGGTGTCTCTGAGGCCACCAGAGCAGCTTCCCACTTTCCTCTTTTAGAAGAGTATTAGAAACTCAACCAGGGGGATAGATGGAAAACAAGACAAGGATATACATTTGTCTCCAATGTCGAGGTTCCTGTGACACCAGGAAAAAGTAGGGAGAGACTGTTATAAATAGGCACCTTTTTTCACCAGGCTGCATGTGCTCATTGCCTGAGGGGAGCTTCTTCTAACTGCTTTGGCAAAGAGGAATTCTCTCCCAAATGTATAACTCAGAGTTTCCTGAGTTTTTTAAGGTTATAATAGCACCTCCTCAAAATAAATACTCCCGCAAACAATAGAGGGGATCTAAGTCCATCAGGCTTCTTCAACATTTCAAAGGCCTTGGACAAGCTTCTGTTTAGGCATTGTGATAAGCTGTTATTTTGGTTAAAATGATAATCATTCATTTATTCATTTAGTCAACGAGTCAGAAGGGATTTCCTGAACACAAGTTCTATGGGATGGGATCATGCTTGGTTTTCTTGGAGCCACCAAAGCTGGAGTTCAGGGAGAAGCAGGGAGCAGGAGGAAGGGAGGGTCAGTGAGGGCAAGACTGCATAGGATGTATTTGTTAATACCCAGTCTATTCACTCCAGATAATCACAGTTTCCCAGAGCTGCTCCTTTTTATAAAAACTTACTACATTACTTGCCTAGCAAAACAGCATTGCCTTGTGATGGAGAGATTAAATCCATGGGCTCTGGGATAAGAATGCTGGGTTCAGATCCTGACTTTACCAGTTACTAGCCATGTGATATTGGCAAGTTACTTAAATCTGTGTGCCTCAGTTCCTCCATACATAAAATGAAGGTAATATGCATACTTGCCTTACAGAGTTGCAGTGAGGGTTAAGTGAGACAATCTGTGCTCTGGTAAGAACTGAATAAATGTAAACTATTAATGTGATTCACTCTGCCTCAATAGTAACCAGCAAACTACCAGATAAAGTTTTTGATGTGCTTGTATGGAAATAAATTTTATTATTTCTTTACTGGACAGTATTTTTTAGGTAAATAATTTGATTGCTAAATTTATCAAAGTCTTTAAAATCTTTAATTTGGACCTCAAACCCATCTTAACTAATTTGCTGTTATTTACATTTAACTATCTTATCTCTTCCATTATTTATACCATTGTAATGCTGATAAATTGCTTTGTAAAAATAGAAGACATTAGTATTACTGTATCTGTTCATTTTATTATGGATTTTTATTAATTTTCACATTCTACTCTACAGAAAATATAAAGTATATGTCTATGTTTAGGAAATTCATCAAAATTAGAAAGTATAGAAAATGTGTCCCCAACATACTTAAGGTAATAAAAGCCATCTATGACAAACCCACAGCCAACATTATACTGAACAGGGAAAAGTTGAAAACATTCCCCTTGAGAACTAGAACAAGACAAGGATGCCCACTTTCACCACTTCTATTCAACATAATACTGGAAGTCTTAGCCAGAGCAACAAGACAAGAAAAATAAAGGGCATCCAGATTGGTAAAGAGGAAGTCAAACTGTCACTGTTTGCTGATGACATGATCATATATCTAGAAAACCCTAAAGACTCATCTAAAAAGCTCCTAGAACTGGTCAATGAATTCATCAGAGTTTTGGGATACGAAATTAACGTACACAAATCAGTAGCTCTCCTATATACCAACAGTGACCAAGCTGAGAATCAAATCAAGAAGTCAACCCATTTTACAATAGTGCAAAAAAATTAAAATACTTAGGAATATACTTAACCCAGGAGGTGACAGACTTCTGCAAGGAAAACTACAAAACACTGCTGAATAAATCATACATGACACAAACAAATGAAAACACATCCCATGCTCATGGATGGATAGAATCAATATTATGAAAATGATCATACTGCCAAACACAATCTACAAATCCAATGCAATTCCTATCAAAAACCACCATCATTCTTCACAGAACTAGGAAAACAATCCTAAAATTCATATGGAACCCAAAAGAAGCCTGCATAGCCAAAGCAAGACTAGGCAAAAAGAAAAAACCTGGAGGCATTACATTACCTGACTTCAGACTCTACTATAAGGCCATAGTTACCACCACAGCATGGTACTAGTGTAAAAGCAGGCATATAGACGAATGGAACAGAATATAGAACTTAGAAATAAACCAAAATACTTAAAGTCAACTGATCATCAACAAAGCAAACAAAAACAAAGTGGGGAAAGGACACCCTATTCAACAAATGGTGCTGGCATAATTGGCAAGCCACATGGTGAAGAATGAAACTGGGTTCTCATCTTTTACCTTATACAAAAATCAATTCAAGATAGATCAAAGACTTAAATCTAAAACCTGAAACCATAAAAATTCTAGAAGACAACTTCAGAAGAACCCTCCTAGACATTGGCTTAGGCAAAGACTTCATGACCAAAAACCCAAAAGCAAATGCAACAAATACAAAGATAAATTGTTGGGACTTAGTTAAACTAAAAACCTTCTGTGCAGCTAAAGAAATAATCAGCAGAGTAAACAGACAACCCACAGAATGGGAGAAAATCTCTGCAATCTATACAGCTGACAAAGGACTAATATCCAGAATCTACAACAAACTCAAACAAATCAGCAAGAAAAAAACAAACAGTCCCATCAAAAAGTGGGCTAAGGAAATGAATAGACAATTCTCAAAAGAAGGTATACAAACAGCCAACAAACATATGAAAAAATGCTCAACATCACTAATGATCAGAAAAATGCAAATCAAAACTACAATGCGATACCTCCCTACTCTTGCAAGAATGGCCATAATCAAAAAATCAAAAAATAATAGATGTTGGCATGGATGTGGTGAAAAGGGAACACTTTTACACTGCTGCTGGGAATGTAAACTAGTACAACCACTATGGAAAACAGTATGGAGATTCCTTAAAGAACTAAAAGTGGGCTGGGTGTGGTGGCTTACACCTGTAATCCCAGCACTTTGGGAGGCCAAGGTTGGTGGATCACGAGTTCAGGAGTTCAAGACCAGCCTGACCAACATGGTGAAAACCTATCTCTACTAAAAAACAAACAAACAAACAAACAAATATACAAAAATTAGCCGGGCATGGTGGCACACGCCTGTAATCCCAGCTACTGAGGAGGCTGAGGCAGAAGAATTCCTTGAACCCTGGAGGCGGAGGTTGCAGTGAGCCGATATCGCGCCACTGCACTCCAGCCTGGACAACAGAGTGAGAGTCCATCTCAAAAAAAAAAAGAACTAAAAGTGGAGCTACCATTTGATCCAGCAATCCTAGCAATACCACTCCTGGGTATCTATCCAGAGGAAAAGAAGTCATATATGAAGAAGATACTTGCACACACGTTTATAGCAGCACAATTTGCAATTGCAAAATATGAAACTAGCCCAAATGCTCATCAATCAACCAGTGGATAAAGAAAATGTGATATATATATATACACATATACCTACATACATACACACACACCATGGAATATTACTTAGCCATAAAAAGAAATGAAATAATGGCATTTGCAGCAGCCAATTTCAGAAATGGAAAACCAAACATCATATGTTCTCACTCATGAGTGGGAGCTAAGCCATGAGGATGCAAAGGCATAAGAACGACACAATGGACTTTGGGGACTCGGGGAAAAGGATAGGAGGGGGAGGTGAGGGATAAAAGACTACACATTGGGTACAGTGTACACTGCTCGGGTGGTTAGGTGCACCAAAATCTCAGAAATTATAATTAAAGAACTTATTCATGTAACCAAACCCCACCTGTTACCCAAAAACCTATTGAAAAAAAAAAATCCCTGTTGTCAAGGAGCCCTTAGAATATCAACAATGACAACAATAAAGAAAACGTGTTCCAACAGGAAAATGTGCAATGCATTTTATAAAATGATCTGATTTATTCTGACTCTTAGTCACTTTTATGTAACATATAATTAAGCAATCAGGTGAATTAGTCATGTATTTTCTCATGTAATGTACCTTTATACAGTCAACATCCCATAATCAGCCAATACTGGTAAGTTTTAGGAACGTATATAAAGAGAAAGAAAAGAAAAGCCTCTTGAACAAACCAACATTTGAGCCAGGAATAACTAGAGAGGAACAATGGGGTTATTCAGAGGTTTTGTTTTCCTCTTAGTTCTGTGCCTGCTGCACCAGTCAAATACTTCCTTCATTAAGCTGAATAATAATGGCTTTGAAGATATTGTCATTGTTATAGATCCTAGTGTGCCAGAAGATGAAAAAATAATTGAACAAATAGAGGTAAGAACAAAATGGAATATCTTTCATTAATTTTTAGTTTTTTACTATTATTTTTAATTGACATATAATTGTACATATTTATGGCATACAAAGTAGTATTTCTATACATGTATACAATTTGTAAAGATCAAATCAGGGTAATTAGCATATTCAGCAACTCAAACATTTATCTTTGCATTGTGTCGGGAACATTATAATTATTCTCTTCTAGCTACTTTGAAATACACAACAGATTATCAGTAACTTTAATTTTCCTATTGTACTATCAAATACTAGAACTTATTCTGTCTACATAACTGTGCTTTTGTACACATTGACAAACTTCTCTTCATTTCCTTTCTCTCCCCTATCCTTTGCAGCCTCTAATAAGTATCATTCTACTCTCTATCTCCATAAGATACCCTGGTTTAGTTCCTGCATATGCATAAGAATATGTGGTATTTATCTCTCTGTGCCTGGCTTATTTCATTTAACATAATGTCCTCCATGCTCATCCATGCTGCCACAAATGAAGCAATTTCATTTTTTTCAGTGACTAAGTAGTATTCATTTGTGTTTATATACCACACTTTATCCATTCATCTCTTGATGGACACTTAGGTTGACTTCACATCTTGGCCATCATGAATAGTGCTACAATAAACATGGAAGTGCAGACTGATGTCTTTTCCCTTGGATATATACCCACTAGTGGAATTGCTGAATCATGTGGTCATTCTATTTTTAGATTTTTGAAGAACCTCCATACTGTTTTCCATAATGGCTGTATCAACTTACATTTTCACCAATGGTATATAATAGGTCTCTTTCTCCACATCCTTGTCAGCACTTTTTTTGTCTTTTTGGTAATAACCATTCCAACTGGGCTGAGATGGTGTCTCATTCTGGTTTTGATTTGCATTTCCCTGATGATTAATGATGTTGACCACTTTTTCATATACTTGTTGGACATTTGTTTGTCTTCTTTTGAGAAATGTCTATTCAGATCATTTGCCCATTTTAAAATATTATTATTATTATTACTTTGTCTTTGAGGTTTTTGAGTTTCTTGTATATTCTGGATAATAATCCATTGTTGGATGAATAGTTTGCAAATATTTTTCCCAAGAATTGGGATGTCAGCCAGGCACGGTGGCTCTCATGCCTGTAATCTGAACACTTTGGGAGGCCGAGGAGGGCAGATCATGAGGTCAGGATTTCGAGACCAGGCTGGCCAACATGTTGAAACTCCGCCTTCACTAAAAATACAAAAAATTAGCTGGGCATGGTGGCACATGCCTGTAATCCCAGCTACTCAGGAGGCTGAGGCAGGAGAATTGCTTGAACCCGGGAGGCAGAGGTTGCAGTGAGCTGAGATCACGCCATTGCACTCCAGCCTGGGCAACAGAGCAAGACTCCCTCTCTGGAAAAAAAAAAAAAAAAAAAAAAGAATTGGGATGTCTTCTGTTTGAATTATGGAGAAGAAAACAAAGTTAATAGTTAATAATTATTATGGAAACTTCTGAGTCCTTCAGGAAGTTAAAAGCAGTGTGGTGCAGTGAGGACAATATGGTAATGGGCAGAGGGAGATGAAGGTTTTAGACAGGGTTCTACACTGTGTCACCACAAGACAGAAGACAAGGCACAGGGCTCCCTGACACTGAGTTTCTTGATCTGTAAGTTAGCAGTTGGACTCATTTGTTCTTTAAAGAATTCTTTGTTGAATGTTTATGACATGCTAAAGAGCAGTAAAATTTTTTTAAAGCCTCTGGCACCATGCAGTGTATCTTCTTTTCAGAGATATAGTTAATAAGTAAATGGATCACAGGTCAGATGGTGGTAGTAGGTTGCTGTGGAGTAAAACAAATCAGGAAGGGGGATATGGAGTGTTAGGTGGGGCTGGATTGGGGGAGAATGTGGGTTGCTATTTCATGAGGGAAGTCAGGGAAGGCCTCACTGATGATGTGTCAGCACAGACCTGAGATGAGCGAGAGAAGAGCCCATTGAAAACTAGGGGAGAAAAACAGCATGGAGGTGAGAATTCGTTTGATGTAACCAAGGAAACAGCTATGAATGAGCAGGAGGAAGCATAGGGTGAGCTGAAGTTAGAGAGGTGGCAGGGCCTAGACCACCAGAAAGACTTTGACTTTGACTCTGTGATGAAAATCCATAGGAGGATTCTGAGCAGAGAAGGGTGTGTTCTCATGCATGTTCAGGAATCACTCTGACTGCAATATTAAGGACTGTAAAGAATTTCCACTTGTCACCCATCCTCTATAAACTCTGTGGCAGCTTACTGGTGTAGAAGGACCCCAGGTAGGAAACTCTTGCAGGTGGGCAGTGATGGTGACTAGGAACAGGGAGGTTGTGGTAAAGATTGTTAAAGTGATATGGTGGTTAAGATGTATAGGGGATAGGTGAGGGTAGGAAGGAAATATAATAAGAGTCAAGGAAGAATTCAAGAGTTTTGCTTGAACACTTGGATTGAGAAGGGGAAGACTGTAAGTGGAGAAAATTTGGCATTTGGAAAATCAAGAGTTAGTTGGTTGGGGCTTTTGGAATTTATGTTACTTCTGAAAACATCCATGTAGATGGAGGCAGGAATCTGAATTCATGATGAAGAATGAAAATTTGGGTGTAGATAACTAGGCAAGTACAGATGGAGAAGAGAAAGGCTCCAGGACTAAACCAAGGACACTGATTTCTGTTTCTTTCAAATATAACATTCTATGTAATATAGAGTTTGGTGGTGTAGCCACGTAAATTATTTTTCCCTCTCCCTGATATCAACATATACTAATTCTTTATATTTAATTTCTCCACTACTGTGTTCTGCTGCTTATGGTTGGACCCTTCTGCATGTTTTAATTACCCAGCAGAAGGTGATAGGCATGAACTAAGTTGTAATCAAGTGATTTTGTGGCTGCCATTTGTCATTCACTCTCTATAAACTCTGTTACATCACAAAGATATTTGCTTATAGGTACCTTTTAAATTTCATGAGAAGATAATAATTCATTTTACTAAAGATGTTTAAAGAACAGTTAATGCAGCTAATTCTGAATGATAGGTTTTTAGTGTCCAGAGGACAGTAAATCAGTATCAAACTTTTCTTACTCAGACATCACTATTTGAAAGAATTACTTGGATGGGCAAAAATTTTGTAAACATGGTCCTCTATAAGTACAAGCAGAAATTCAATTGTTTACAGGCATGCCCAGATTTTACAATGTTTCCTGACATTTCTCCCAGCCCTTCACAAAATCTTCGCGTTTAATATCTTCAAGAAACCCTATGAAATACTATAATCCACATTTTACAGAAGAAAAAACTAGGGGTCCGAAAAAAAAAATGATTTTTCTAAGATCATAGTAAGTATCACAGTCAGAGGTAAGAATCGCTTCAACCAAGGAGGCAGAGGTTGCAGTGAGCTGAGATCATGCCACTGCATTCCAGCCTGGGTGACAGAGCAAGACTCTGTCTCAAAAAAATAAAAATAAAAATAAAATTAAAAAAAAGTGCCTTTCATCCTTATATTTCCTCATGAGATAATAAGGTCTAGGGAGGGATCATTTCTTTTTTTTTTTTTTTTGAGACAGAATCTCGATCTGTCCCCCAGGCTGGAGTGCAGTGGTGCGATCTTGGCTCACTGCAAGCTCCGCCTCCCACGTTCACGCCATTCTCCTGTCTCAGCCTCCCGAGTGGCTGGGATTACAGGCGCCTGCCACCACGCCCCGCTAATTTTTTGTATTTTTAGTAGAGACGGGGTTTCACCGTGTTAGCCAGGATGGTCTCAATCTCCTGACCTCGTGATCCGCCCGCCTCGGCCTCCCAAAGTGCTGGGATTACCGTCGTGAGCCACCGCACCCAGCCTCTTTTTTTAATGTTTAAGAAAATGCAGTTTTTATCCAAAATGAGTTTGTGTACCAAATATTAATAGTTTAGCTAATCATTGTTATATTCGTTCATTATGTTATTTTTATTTCAATTCTTGCTTTTAAAAAACCCAAAACTTTAAAAATCCTTATGCCTTGTCTATTTTCTTTACCTTTGTTTTGTTTTGTTTTGATGGATAATTTTTTAATAAAGTGAGGTTTACATCACTGATATTTAAGAATGGCTGTATCCACAAAAGAAAACAAACCTTTTTGGCTAAGGGGTGAGGAAGTTAGAAAAAGCATGAGAAACAGGAAACACAAGAGGGGTGAGGCGGGGCAGGAGAGGAAGGTTGCAGGCACCTCCAGCTCACTCCCTGAGGCAGCACCTATGACCCTACAGATCAAGGGGCCATGAATGACAGGGATTCGGATTTCTTTCATTCTAGACTTCAGCCTTAACCTTTTGTTCCAGCACCAATCTAACAGAGCAGCACAGGCATTTCTAATCCAGTAGCAATGCTATTTCCTCAGCCAGGGCAGGTGCCTGGGCTGACGGGAGGCCTTCAGGAACACCGCCTGTCAGAAGGCACCACGGAGGGTCTCTGAGGTCCTGAAGACCAACTGGTGCCCGTGATCTCCAAACAGACAAATATTTGACCTTTGCCTTCAATGACATTTACACATAAATAGACATAAATAAAATTCTCCATAATTTATGCTCAAGTCTAGGAAGATGTGGCTCCCACAGTAGATTTTCTAATGACAAAAAAAATGTAGTAGCTGTGTGCGGTTTTTGAGTTTCACCCAGGTCTCACGGTAGCACAGAACATAATGGAGAAGTATTGCACGCACATTTAAAGTAAAACATGATACACTCACACTGTTGACAAGGACCGTAGTGATGCCCACTGCAAAAAAAATCCCTTATTTAAACCTGAAAAAAATGAAACACACCAACTACAATTGTTCAGGCTATAAAAGTTCTAATGTCGCAGCAAAGGATATTTATAGAAAAAATATACTTTTAAGAAAATAGCTGAAAAAATCTAAAGACATAAGGTATAAAAAGTTTAAAAATATGTATCTTAAGACAAAATATTGCCCAAAACACTTAAAACTGAATTGTAAAAAAATCACCTGTCTGAATGTAAAGGAGGTTGATGCAGCTGTGGTTCGCCGTCCTCTACAGTGGGGGACACAAAGAGAGACGAAGGGCCCAGGGCTGTAAGGACGTCAGGACCGGTCCAGAGAGGAGAAGTCTTCCAGGAGAACAGCCATCTCTGCCTGGCCCTCCACAGCGGGGAAAGTGAGTGGGACGGGCCTGGGGTTGCAGACCCTGCTGATGATGGTCTGTTCTGGGATTTCTCAGAATCAGCAGACAGGGCAGCAAGGCTGGGCAGCGGGCGGCAGGCGCACCCTCTACGGGAGCCAGTGCTCACGTGTCCACGCGTCAGACACAGCTGCGAGCGCTCAGGGCTCTGGTTCAGGTCTCCACCAGGATCTCCACCATGTGGTCCAGCTCGCCCAGATCGGACTTGCAGATGGAGCTGGGGCACGGGGTGACCGGAGCCAAGCCCTCGAGCCCTTCACAGGGGCCCGGCCCGGCACCCCCATCATGCCTGTCAGTACTGTGTCCAGGTTGTAGTAGGGGCTGTCCACGCCTGAAAACAGCTCTTCCATGTAGCGGGGGATTTTAGTCTCCAGCGTTTCATATATATCTGATCGAGTGATTTGCGAAAGCTTCCTCTGTTTTCTTGAGGGCCATCCATCTCCCAGACGCTCCTCCCTCTGCGGGTGCCTCGGCGTCTGTGCTGAGGTGACTGGGCAAAGGTTAGAAACTGAGCCCTGTGCGTGGCCGTCTCCCAAGCCAGAGGCAGGACGTGCCCCCTCCTGCTCCCACGCCGCGCGGCACAGAATCTCCATGAAGACCAAGTGGTCCAGCGGCGCCCACCCTGCAGCCTGGGGTGTGCGCCGTATCCCATCCTGCGTCATCTCCTCTTGGATCTGCCGGACCACGTGGCAATGAGGATTGAGCGGCACAGGTTGGGCTCCACAAGCATGTGGCAAAGCTGCAGCTTCACCAGGGACATGTCCAAGAGGGACTGCCGCTGCAAGCTGTACGAGGACACGGTCTTCAAGCCGGCCAGGGCTCCCTCCACGTCTTCCTGGTGGCCAACACGTTTCCCCTTCAGTCCTCGTGCAAACATTGTGTCTTTGAGAGAACGGTTATCTGGGTCCTGCCGTCTCGTGCATCCCACACGAAGGCCACAGAAGAGGCGAGGCAGCAGAGATCCTCTATTCCAGCAAGCTGTCGAAGCCTTTGTCACGACGATCCTGTCCGACCCGCGAGTCTGCCCGCTGGGTCCTCTGCTCAGCCGACGCCACCGCCGCTGCCGCCTGCTTCCCGCCGCTCAGGGAGGAGCGCCCGCCAGCGCGGGGCCTTTACCCTTTTAAAACAATCAACTCTGCTTAGGAAACTAGCCATAGTTTTACTTCCCATAAAAAGCTTATGTGTCGGCCCGGGCATGGTGACTCACGTCTGTAATCCCAGCACTTTGGGAGGCTGAGGCGGGTGGATCACCTGAGGTCAGGAGTTCGAGACCAGCCTGGCCAACATTGCGAAACCCTCTCTCTACTAAAAAATACAAAAATTAGCTGGGCCCAGTGGCAGGCGCCTGTAATTCCAGCTACTCGAGAGGTCGAGGCAGGAGAATCGCTTGAACCCGGGAGGCGGAGGTTGCAGTAAGCCAAGATTGAGACATTGAACTCCAGCCTGGGAGACAGAGCAAGACTCTGTCCAAAAAAAAAAGTTTGTGTGTCAATGTATGACCCATAGTGTCTTCTTTTCTTTTCTTTTTTAACTTTTATTTTGGGTTCAGGGGTACATGTGAAGGTTTGTTGCATAGGTAAACTCATGCCATGGGGGTTTGTTGTACAGATTACTTCATCACCAGGTATTAAGCCTAGTACCCAATATTATCTTTCTGTTCCTCTCCTTCCTCCCAACCTCCACCCCCACTCTCAAGTAGACCCCAGTGTCTCTTGTTCTCTTCTTTGTGTTCATGAGTTCTCATCATTTACCTCCCATTATAAGTGAGAACATGTAGTATTTGGGTTTCTATTCCTGTGTTAGTTTGCTAAGGATAATAGCCTACAGCTCCACCCATGTTCCCGCAAAAGACATGATCTCATTCTTTTTTATGGCTGTGTAGTATTCCATGGTGTATATGTACCACAGTTTTTGTTTGTTTGTTTGTTTTGAGACAGAGTCTCCCTCTGTCACCATGCCCAGCTAATTTTTGTATTTTTAGTAGAGATGGGGTTTCACCATGTTGCACAGGCTGGTCTCGAACTCCTGACCCGAAGTGATCTGCCCACCGCGGCCTCCCAAGGTGCTGGGATTACAGGTGTGAGCCACCATGCCCGGCCCTGTACCACAATTTTTAATCCAATCTGTTATTGATGGGCATTTAGGTTGATTCCATGTCTTTGCTATTGTGAATAGTGCTGCTACAAACATTCAAGTGCATGTGTGTCTTTCTGGTGGAATGATTTATATTCCTCTGAGTGTATATCCAGTAATGGGATTGCTGGGTTGAATGGTAGTTCTGCTTTTAGCTCTTTGAGGAATCACCATATTGCTTTCCACAGTGGTTGAACTAATTTACACTCCCATCAACAATGTATAAGTGTTCCCTTTTCTCCTCAACCTCGCAAGCATCTGGTTTTTTTTTTTTTTACTTTTTAATAATAGCCATTCTAACTGGTATGAGATGATATCTCATGGTGGGTTTTTTTGTGTGTGTGTTTCTTTAATGATCAGTGATACTGAGCTTTTTTTCACTTGCTTGTTGGCCACATGTCTATCTTCTTTTGAAATGCATCTGTTCATGTCCTTTGCCCACTTTTTAATGCATTGTTTGTTTTTCTCTTGTAAATTTGTTTACATTCCTTTTAAATGCTGGATATTAGACCGGTGTTGGACGCATAATTTGCAAATATTTTCTTCTATTCTGTAGGTTGTCTGTTTACTCTGTTGATAGTTCCTTTTGCTGTGCACAAGCTCTTAAGTTTAATTAGATTCCACTTGTCAATTTTTGCTTTTGTTGCAATTGTTTTAGGCATCTTTGTTATAAAATCTTTGCCTATGTCCAGGATGTATTGCCTAGGCTGTCTTCTAGGGTTTTTATAGTTTTCAGTTTTACATTTAAGTCTTTAATCTTAATCTTGAGTTGATTTTTATACATGGTGTAAGGAAGGGATCCAGCTTCAATCTGCATATGGTTAGCCAGTTATCCCAGCACCATTGATTTAATAGGGAATCTTTTCCCCATTGCTTGTTTTTGTCAGCTTTGTTGAAGATTAGATGGTGGTGGATGTGCAGCCTTATTTCTGGGCTCTCTGTTGTGTTCTGTTGGTCTAGGCCTGTTTTTATACCAGTACCATGCTCTTTGGGTTACTGCATCCCTGTAGTGTAGTTTGAAATCAGGTAACATGATGCCTCCAGTTTTGTTCTTTTTGCTTAAGATTGCCTTGGCTGTTCAGGCTCTTTTTTATTCCATATGAATTTTAAAATAGTTTTTTTCTAGTGGTGTGAAAAATGTTGTTGCTAGTTTGATAGGAATAGCAATGAATCTATAAATTGCTTTGGGCAATATAACCATTTTAGTGATATTGATTCTTCCTATCGATGAGCATGGGATGTTTTCCATTAGTTTGTGTCTTCTCTGACACAATTTCTTTGAGCAGTGTTTTGTAATTCTCATTGTAGGAATGTTTCACCTCCCTGGTTAGCTGTATTCCTAGGTATTTTATTCTTTTTGTGGCAATTGTGAATGGTATTGCCTATTCGATTCAGCTCTGGACTTAGCTGTCATTGGTGTAGAGGAAGGCTAGTGATTTTTGTACATTGATTTTGTATGCTGAAACTTTGCTGAAGCTATTCATCAGCTGAGGGAGCTTTTGGGCTGAGACTATGGGGTTTTCTAGATATAGAATTATGTCATAATCAAAGAGGGATAGTTTGACTCCCTCTCTTCCTATTTGGATGCCCTTTATTTATTTCTCTTGCCTGATTGCTCTGGCCAGGACTTCCAATATTAAGTTGAATAGGAGTGGTGAGAGACAGCATCCTTGTCTTGTGCCAGTTTTCAAAGAGAATGCTTCCAGCTTTTGCCCATTCAGTATAATGTTGGCTATGGGTTTGTCATAGATGGCTCTCATTATTTTGAGGTATTTTCCTTCAATACCTACGTTATTGTGGTGTTGAATTATATTGAAAACCTTTTCTCCATCTCCTGAGATAATCATGTGGTTTTTGTCTTTAGTCCTGTTTATGTGATGAATCACTTTTATTGATTTGTGTATGTTGAATCAATCTTGCGTCCTGGAGATGATGCTTACTTGATCATGGTGGATTTGCTTTTTGGTGAGCTGCTGGATTCGGTTTGCCAGTATTTTGTTGAGAATTTTTGCATCAATGTTCATAAAGGATATTGGCCTGAAGTTTTCTTTTTTTGTTGGGTCTCTGTCAGGTTTTCATATCAGATTGATACTGGCCTCATAGAATGAGTTGGAGAGGATCCCTCCCTCCTCAAATTTTTGGAATAGTTTCAGTAGGAATGGTACAAGCTCTTCTTTGTACATCTGGTAGAATTTGGCTGTGAATCCATAAGATCCTGGGCTTTGTTTGTTTGTTTGTTGTTTGTAGGCTCTTTATTACTAATTCAGTTTAGGAACTTGTTATTGGTCTGTTCAGGGAATCAATTTCTTCCTGATTCAGTCTTGGGAGATGTATGGGTCCAGGAATTTATCCATCTCTTCTAGGTTTTCTAGTTTGTGTCTTTAGAGGTGTTCATAGTAGTTTCTGATGGTTATTTTTATTTCTGAGGGGTCAGCATTAACATTCCCTTCATTATTTCCAATCCTGTTTATTTGGACCTTCTCTCTTTTCTTATTTATTAGTCTAGCTGGTAGCTAGTGGCATATATAGCTTATAAATTTTTTCAAAAATTAGATCCTGGATTTGTTGATCTTTTGAGTGGTTTTTTGTGTCTCATTTTCTCATTTTCCTTCAGTTCAGCTCTGATTTTGATTATTTCTGGTCTTCTGCTAGCTTTGGGGTTGATTTGTTCTTGCTCCTCTAATTCCTTCAGTTGTAATGTTAGGTTGTTAATTTCGGATCTTTCTAACTTTTTGATGTGGGTATTTAATGCTATAAATTTCCCTCTTAAAACTGTCTTAGCTGTGTCCCAGGGATTCTGGTATGTTGTATATTTGTTCTTATTAGTTTTGAAGAACATCTTGATTTCTGCTTTAATTTTATTATTTACCAAAACAAAAGTCATTCGGGAGCATGTTGTTTAATTTCCATGTAATTGCATGGTTTTTAGTGATGTTCTTACTCTTGAATTCTATTTTTATTGTGCTGTGGTTTGTGAATGTGTTTAGTATGATTTCAGTTCTTTTGCATTTGCTGAGAATTGTTTTATGTCCAATTATGTGGTTGAGTTTAGAGTATGTGCCATGTGGTGATGAGAAGAATGTATATTCTGTTGTTATGGGGTGGAGAGTTCTGTATAGGTCTATCGGATCCATTTGGTCCAATGTTGAGTTCAGGTCCTGAATATCTTTGTTAATTTTCTGCCTCAATGAAGTTTCCCACTATTATTGAGTGGGAGTCTATGTCTCTTTTTACGTCTCTAAGAACTTGCTTTATGAATTTGGGTGCTCCTTTGTTGGGCATATATATATTTAGAATAGTTAGAGCTTCTTGTTAAAATGAAGCCTTTACCATTACGTAATGCCCTTCTTTGTCTTTTTTTTTTTATCTTTGTTGGTTTGAAGTCTGTTTTGTCTGAAATTAGGATTACAACCCCTGCTTTTTTCTGCTTTGCATTTGCTTGGTAGGTTTTCTCCATCTTTTTATTTTGAGCCTATGGGTGTCATTATGCCTTTATAAGATGATTCTCTTGAAGATAACATACCATTGGGTCTTGCTTTTTTATTCAGCTTGCCACTCTGTGCCTTTTAAGTGGGGCATTTGGCCCATTTACATTGAAAGTTAATATAGACATGTGTGGATTTGATCTTGTCATTGTTTTGTTGGCTAGATATTATGTTGACTTGTTTGAGTGACACTGGTCTGTGTGTCTGGCTTTATAGTGACACTGGTCTGTGTGTCTAAGTCTGTTTTTGTATTAGCTGGTAACAGTCTTTCTATATTTAGTGCTTCTTTCAAGATCTCTTGTCAGGCAGGTCTGGTGGTAATGAATTTCCTTTGACAAGGAAACTTAGTTTGGCTGGATATGAAATACTTGGTTGAAGATTATTGTATTTAAGAATGCTGAATAAAGGCCCCAGTATTAGTCCACTCTTATGCTGTTAATAAAGACATACCTGAGACTGGATAATTTATAAAGGAAAAGATTTCATTAACTCACAGTTCAGCATGGCAGGGAGGCCTCAGGAAACTTACAATCATGGCAGAAGAGGAAGCAAACATGTCCTTCTTCACATGGCAGCAGGAAGGAGAAGTATGAGAGCCGAGCTAAGGGGGAAGCCCCTTATGAAACCATCAGATCACATGAGAACTTACATCATGAGAACAGGATGGGGAAGACCACCCCCATGATTCAATTATCTCCACCTGGTCCCTTCCACAACACGTGGGGATTATGGGAACTACAATTCAAGATAAGATTTGGATGGGGACACAGTGAAACCATATCAGCTTCCAATCTCTTCTGGCTTGTAAGGTTTCAGCTGAGAGGTCCACTGTTAGCCTGATGGGGTTCCCTTTGTAGGTGATCTGCCCTTTCCTCTCTAGCTGCCTTTAACACTCTTTTTTTTTTTTTCATTTCAACCTTGGAAAATCTGATGATTGTGTCTTGGGGATGATCTTCTTGTGTAAAGTCTTGCAGGAGTTCTCTGTATTTCCTAAATTTGACTGTTGGCCTCCTAGCAGGTTTGGGGAAGTTTTCATAGATGATATGCTGAAATATGTTTTCCAAGTAGTTTGCTTTCTTCTGGGAGGAACTATTTTTCTTATTTGTCCTTGTATGTGAGTTTATAGTTCTGAATATAAGGTGATATTATTTTCATATAGGTGGTAGAGCAACAGTTCTGTAATCAAAGTTTTGTCTCTACTATGGGTTTTTTTTCATCACACCTCCCACCCACACAGTCTCCCAACCTAGCTGCTTCTCCTAAGGTTGGGATGAGAAACCTCTTCAATGACCCATTTCTATAGAGTGTCCTCCTCAGTTTGCATCAACTAAGCCTGTTTTCTACGAAGATTTCTTATAAATAGTAATGATATCAAACAGTTTTAAGATTGCCTGTTTGTAGAGGACTTTATATCTGATTCCATCTCTATGCCAACCATACTGATAGATAGTAATAGTCCATTGAAGGATGAGGAAACTGAGATTCGGAGCATTGCATAAATCAACCAAGATCTGTCATCCAGAAGATACTAACATTAGTATTAGAATCACGTAAATGACTCCAAAGTCCATGTACATATTCCTATTAATCAATTCCTCTTAATGCCAAATACAAGCATTTGCCTTTTAAGGCAGGATTATAGAAGACTGAGGAGGCTTTCAACGTGCAGGAATAAGTGATGGTTTGGGGTTGACAGGTGGCAGAGTTAGAATAATGAGACAGAGACCCTACTCATCAGTCTGTTGCTTTTCTGTCCACTCTTAAGTTGGGAAATGCCTGTCACAAAACCCTGCTAATTTAGTTCACTCTAACTTCACCATCCTCACATATTTTTTCCTTTAATGACAGGATATGGTGACTACAGCTTCTACGTACCTGTTTGAAGCCACAGAAAAAAGATTTTTTTTCAAAAATGTATCTATATTAATTCCTGAGAATTGGAAGGAAAATCCTCAGTACAAAAGGCCAAAACATGAAAACCATAAACATGTAAGTGTCGAAATATTCTCTTAAAAAATTATATTTTCTGATATTAACCATTTTTGCCACAAATTATTTAAGAGTCTTTCTAACTGAATATTATCTTTTTTATTTTTGATGTTTGACAATCTTTTTCAACATTCTCAGGCTGATGTTATAGTTGCACCACCTACACTCCCAGGTAGAGATGAACCATACACCAAGCAGTTCACAGAATGTGGAGAGAAAGGCGAATACATTCACTTCACCCCTGACCTTCTACTTGGAAAAAAACAAAATGAATATGGACCACCAGGTAGAAATTTTGGTTAAAAAATAATTTTGCAGTGATTGCAGCATACAACTTTTTATGCAGGTTAAGTGTGCAGGCCATGGGGCCAAAGTCCCTAGAATCAAATCCTGGCTCCCCTACTTACTAGCTGTATGTGACCTTAAACAAGTGACCTACTGTCTCTGTGGTTATTCCCTACAAAATGGCAAAGAGAGGAGTTTCTACCTTGTAAAATATTTGTTCTACATTAAACTAGAGAATCCAGACAAATATACTCAGTACAGTGTCTACAAAAATATAAACAGAGAAAAGCAATAATAAATGTTTTTCTTAAGGCATGCTTTTTAAATTTTAATTTTTCCACTTCTCCATAGCTGGATATTAACAAATCACCAGTAAGCTACAAGAAAGCCAGATGTATAGTAAGCTGGAAAGAGTCATGTTGCCAGTTACTGGTCAAGAGAAAACACTCCTAGGCTATCAGTTGCTGATAATATCAATCTATTTCATTGAAACAGATGACATTGTCAGTAATTGATCATTTTGACCTATAAAAATGGCAATGTCATCTAGTTCAATCTAAATGCTAAAATAATTTGTCAAAACAACAAAAGTGCACTTTACAGACAAAAATGCAAATCATTGTTAAAGGAGGGCTCTACACATGTATCACTATTAAATGGGAACCTTGCTGAATCCGCATACCCCAGAATCACCCTCTTCTATTCCTGTTCATTGAACACTCGTTAAGTCTCTTGTCTCTGCCAAACATTCAGCTAGATCTGGTCCTATTCATTACCTGGACCAGTTCCCCTCTCCAGTCTTGAAAGTTCCATCATCTCCTCATGTCCCAATCTTACCTCTTCCCTGTAATTATCCTGACCACGTTTGTTTTCCTTGGCACCTCTAATCCTTTGTGCCCTTTTAGTTATACTTTCTTTTCACCTGGCATGTCCACCAAAGTCAGTCATTTCAACTACAAGTATAAATAGCTCAATTCTCTCACCACTCTTATCCTTATGTTTCATTCAATTTACTAAATCTTCTGAATTTTCCGTCTTCTTTATTCTTGGCTCCTGTTATGTTTTGAAGAATGGTGAAGAAAATTATAAAACTAAGTGACATGATTATAACAACACACTTTCCAAGCTCAGTGAAGCACTCAAAGCTACTCAACAATATTTTTACTCAGCTCTTCTCAACTCTCTTTCTCAATTCCTATAGCAGCTGTTCTAAAATGTCTACCAATTTTCTCAAGATCTCCAGGCACTCTTCTCAATCCCATCAATTAATGTCCTGATTGATAAAACAGAGGTCTCTACATTCTTCCTCTCTATTTCCAAACTTATTACCACCTACACCTTCTCTACCTGCACCTTTCTTAGAACAGAAAGGCTTCTCCAATTTGTAAGCTTAATGTCCCCATATCAGTTATTGATTTTTCCCGTATCCCACACCTCAACCCTATTCTATTACTGATAGGTCACCCCTTCTTCTTAGACAGATCTTTCTTCCTTTTCACAAATGCATAATGTGATATATGCATTTGTGTAAAAAACTCACATTCCTCAAGGTCCTAAAAAACAGTAAGGTTTTTGGATAAATAACATTAGTAAGAATCTTATGCAATTTTGTAATAATCATGATAACACCACCAACAATCACAATAGATCATTTAGATCACCTAGGCAAGCAATGCAGTATGGCCAGAGGCTGCCATAGCACATATTAAAAGTACACACACACACGACACACACACACATGGTGCAAGGAAGGGGAGAGAGAAATGTTACTAGAAATAGGAACAGAGATAGCTGGAAATGAGACAATGATGTAGACAGGAATGGAATTCTAAGTCAAAAGGGCTGCTTTTAAGGTGGGCATGGGAGGCAGGGAAACCTGAGAACGAATCAAGTCTGAGTAGACTCTTAAATTTTTCTTAACACGCACCAAATTCCTACTGCAGTAGCTGATATGAGGGCTTTTTCCTTTTCTACTGAACGTTCTAATTCTGCTCCCACAAACCTGGTTCCATTTGCCTAGGAAACCTGAAACCAGTGTTTTTAAAGTGCATTATGTAGAAGAGTAACTTAGGGACCTTGTTAATATGCAGCTTCTGATTCTGTAAGCAAAGGGTGGCCTGAAGATTCTGCATTTGTAACTAGCTCCCAGGTGATGCTGATGGATGTTGTCCAGAACCACAGTTTGAATAGCAAAGACTTAAAAAAGAAACATGACGGCTGGGCAAGGTGGCTGATGCCTGTAATCTCAGCACTTTGGGACGCTGAGGCGGGCAGATCACGAGGTCAGGAGTTCGACACCAGCCTGGCCAACGTGGTGAAACCCCATCTCTACGAAAAATACAAAAAATTAGCCGAGCATAGTGGCAGGTGCCTGTAATCTCAGCTACTCGGGAGGCTGAGGCAAGAGAATCACTTGAACCCAGGATGCAGAGGTTGCAGTGAGCTGAGATCGCGCCATTGCACTCCAGCCCAGGCGACAGTGCGAGACTCCATCTTAAAAAAAAAAAAAAAAAAGAAGAAGAAAGAAAAAGAAAAGAAACATGACTTCTTCATACTGTGGTGTATTTTCCTCCCATTTTCAGATTCATATGAGGTCGTTTGAGCTACAGAAACACACATTGTAGCAGAAGAGACTTTATTTCCAATCTTTCCTTCTCCATCTGTTTCCTCTGAAGTTTTTCCCAACATTGCTAAAATGAAAGTTCTACTTTCCTTCTTTCAGCATCTCAAGCTGTGGATTTACTTTTATTCCTCCATTTATTGTGAAATTCTTATTAAAAAAATTTTTTATTTGAACTCCCTCTCTCAAAACTTTCCCAAGTGAAGGACTAAATCTCACACATCTTTATATTTTTTAATACCTAGTATTGCATTGAATATATATATATAATTAAAAATTGTTTCATATAATTAATGCCTATGTGTCTTAAATACCATAAATGAATTCCTTCATTTTAACATCCCCATGGTTATAATTTGGAGAACCATAAACCATTGTACTAAGACTTTTTACCACCAAGAACCAAAACACAAATCCCAGTCCACTCAGCCCATAGCATATCCTCCCTTATTGTTTCATTGATTTAACATGTCGTGGAATAAGAAGATAATATATTACATAATATAGCATAATATAATGTAATTTAATGCAATAGGCTTTTTTATACACTGAAATATAAATGTTGATAGTTGTTGAAAACCGAAATCTAAATATATTTTATAATTGAAAGAGAAGCTTCTTAAAATATGATACAAAACGTGTCACTTGGATTATGATCATGTATTTGAAATGCTTTCCCACAGGCAAACTGTTTGTCCATGAGTGGGCTCACCTCCGGTGGGGAGTGTTTGATGAGTACAATGAAGATCAGCCTTTCTACCGTGCTAAGTCAAAAAAAATCGAAGCAACAAGGCATGGCTATTTAAATTTTCTAAACTGACTTCAGGCTTTTATCCATTCTTATTTTCCTACTTTGATTTCTTCCAAAATCATTCTTAATGCAGACAATATGTCACAAAACAATGCTTTTATTTTTTTTTAGAAAGTGTATCTTTAAGTAGTTGATTGCTATTTAAAACATACATAATTTCAATGGCAAGCATTCAGTTGACAATTTAACATATTTTATACCTCTCTACCATAGCCTCCAGAACTCACTTGCTTGGAGTTGGGCATGTAAATGGATATACAATATGCTGGGATAAGATCAAAGTTATTTACATTACACAAGAATGCACAAACATGGTTAAGTAGTGCTAAATGTGGACTGAGTAAGAAATCAAGCAGCTTCAAGGAGCCAAGCAGGAACTTCTTGGAGATTTATAAAGGTTATTTTATAATGCCGTCTAGCATCACAGTTAATAATAAACTCTCCTTTTGATTCTGTGATCAAAAGAGCAAAATAGTTGGGAAGAATCAATTTAAAATTAAAATTGGTGCTATCACCTCATCAATGTAGATGTCCTGCTGGGGCGTGGGACTTGACACTAATGTGAGAACTGAAAGGTATATGATTTCAATCAAGGTCCTTCCTCTGCCCCATTGCACCAATTTTCAGGCACATCTTTTAGAGAGTATTACATTTATTGCATTTGTTTATGTCATATTCCCCTTAGATGTACAACTGCTGCTGCAGAATATTCAGCATGATTTTCCACATAGATAGTTTCATCATGTCCACCTAGTTTGGAAGCAATAGAAGCATCGACATATTTATAAGACTCTCTAAATAGCTGAATAGAAACTATTCATCATTTCCTGAATTTGAACTGAAAGCCTATTGAAAAGACAAAATATGTTCACATCTCAGCATATTTGTTGTAATCACTGCCACCTGTGGTCAATTACATTCCATAAAACATAGGTCTAAAATGTCTCCATCATTTTTTATTCTACCATGGGATTCTTGGCAGCACCTCATCTTCGCTTCCAATCACATTTCCCTTTGGATAAAAATGCTCTTTGAGTAATAAGAACATTTGTGTCTATCCCATGTACTATTTTTTGGGAATATCTTCTTTGGAAGGAAATCTACAAAGAACTTCAAGCTAAAGTGGTACTCAGAGTAAATTGTCTCAAAAATTCTCTTATCCAGGTCCCTATAGCATATTTACCACCAAAAGTCCAGCAGGAGAGATGTCTAAGCTTTAATACAAGGAGAGAACTCATTAGAGGAGAGAACTCAACCATTGTGTTTATCTGGAGGCCCCACTTAAAATTTCCCTCTAGAATTTCTTAAAAAATAGATAATTATTTTGATTGGAACCCTTAAACCCTATAGCCAGGATAGGAAGTACATGGTACCATAGAAGAATAAACATCTTGATATAAAGTTCATCATGAATAGAACCACTTAAGATTTCTGTAAGTGCTAATGATTCAGTTGCCTCAAAGATTAACTGTCATATATTTTCAGGTGTTCCGCAGGTATCTCTGGTAGAAATAGAGTTTATAAGTGTCAAGGAGGCAGCTGTCTTAGTAGAGCATGCAGAATTGATTCTACAACAAAACTGTATGGAAAAGATTGTCAATTCTTTCCTGATAAAGTACAAACAGAAAAAGCATCCATAATGTTTATGCAAAGTATTGATTCTGTAAGTATGCTGATAATTGCTTCCAGAATTTATAATCAAATGACATATTGTCATGTTTTTAAAGTATCTGTTCAGGTGACCTGAGGATTATATATATTGATATAGAGTTCTTTGAACACTGGCTAACACATAGTATTTGCTGAACTAGTGCTATCTAGTGTTATCTATTATTACGTTACCATAATTCTTATTATGGTAAATCTACCTTATTGTAATATTGATGCTCAGTAAATGATATTTCATTCAACAAACAACATATCTGCAGAAGACTTTTAAATTTTTCAGGTTTGTAGTTTGATTTTTAAATGCATGGTATATTAAAATTATTTTTTATTTTATTAACCTTTTAGGTTGTTGAATTTTGTAACGAAAAAACCCATAATCAAGAAGCTCCAAGCCTACAAAACATAAAGTGCAATTTTAGAAGTACATGGGAGGTGATTAGCAATTCTGAGGATTTTAAAAACACCATACCCATGGTGACACCACCTCCTCCACCTGTCTTCTCATTGCTGAAGATCAGTCAAAGAATTGTGTGCTTAGTTCTTGATAAGTCTGGAAGCATGGGGGTAAGATCACTTTTTCTGGATATAGGGATGTAGGATATTTGAAGATCCGAGAACACACTGAACTCTGTCTGCACCTAGATTGTTCTAAATTGCATGGTGGCATAAAGTACCATCACTGCCCATGATCATGACTTCAAGATACTGCAGCAAAATACCATAGTAAAAGAAAGATGCCAGTATAATTAAAAATACCTAATCCAAGGGTCACTTCCTCCTTGGATTCCTCCAGAAAATGGACTGGGCTTCTAGGCTGGTTAAAGCCCTTCTACTGTTTCCCAACAATGTCCTGCGCATACCTCTGTTACTGTATATTATATTTATGTTACACATTTCTCTTCCACTAGCCTAGGAGATCCTCTAGGACTTGGAATCATGTCTTATTCATCTTTATCCCCATTTCCTAGAATAAAGTTAATCACATAGGAGTAATCAATAAATAATTGTTGAAATGAATGCACAGCAAACAAGTGGGTGCAATGTGATAAGAAACCAGAAGGATGGCACATTTAAGGCATAGTGAAGCATGCTGAAGAACAGGAATAAGGTCTTCAGCAAATGAGGGAGGTATTAAAAAGGGCAGAGAATGATAGAACTGAAGGAATTGAGCCACAACAATGCAGATAGTGGAGACAGCATGTAAAATGAAGATGTAGAAGTTTCTCATTGTGATTTGGTTCAGGGAGTTCAGAAGGAAATTTGGGCATAAATTGGCGGGGAGTAACACAGATCAGTAGGGTGATAAGGACTGGAGAAGACAAATGCATGAAAAAGCTTACACCTTAGACAATCCCCTCCGAAAGAGGGCTGGGTCCTGAGGGTTACCAAAGAGCCAATTCAATTAACCCATTAGTGGAAAGGGGGCAGTGAGAGGTTAGGAACAGAAGGAGAAAGTGGGAAGATAGGGCCTTGGCCTCTCCAAACTTAAAATGAAGCTTGGGTAAGTATTACCTTTTGGGCAGTCTAGTTTCCAGTGGATGGAGTGATTCCAGTCTCTGGTTGGAGTCTGCAACAGTCTGGTTTGATTTATAGGCTTGGGGGTATGGTTTTATCTGAAGACAACAAGCACAGGAGCTCCCAAGAGTAATTAGACAGTCTCTAAGATGTGTCTCCTCACCCCAATTTCAATGCAATCCCCACCCTACCTTCCACCTCTTACTTGGATACTCAGTGGTCAAGAATCAATTGTAAATAAAAACCTGCACTCCTTACTATACGTGTCCCATAATACACACCACCATTTTTTTAATGTTATCAATTAAAAATTTGATAATTGCTTCCTTTAACAACATCAATTACCATTCATAGAAAATGTTACCAATAAATTCTGTCCATTCATTTTATGTGATCTTCTATTATTTTCCAGTCAAAATCACTTGTTTGTTTTTCTTGTCTTTTTAATCTAGGGTAAGGACCGCCTAAATCGAATGAATCAAGCAGCAAAACATTTCCTGCTGCAGACTGTTGAAAATGGATCCTGGGTGGGGATGGTTCACTTTGATAGTACTGCCACTATTGTAAATAAGCTAATCCAAATAAAAAGCAGTGATGAAAGAAACACACTCATGGCAGGATTACCTACATATCCTCTGGGAGGAACTTCCATCTGCTCTGGAATTAAATATGCATTTCAGGTGAAAATCGTACTGCAAATATATTTTGGTTTTTGTTTCTTTTCAGGACATTTTCATGTTAAGTGGTACTGCACATGCTTGCTTGCTGCCTAATTTTAACATAACTAATCCTAAGAGGCACAGGACTAAGCATATAGAAAAAAGTTCTCTTGATGTTTTAATGGATCAGTGAATCAATGAACAACCCATGGGTGAATAAATGACTATCAATTTACCACTCACTTACAAGCCCAAGGAAGTCATGGACTTTGCTGTCTTGTTACCACGCAGTAGTCAGTGCTCGATAAATGTTAGTTAAATAAGTGTGCTTGGATGCAAAAGCCATTAACATTTGGGGAAATGACACAGGTGATATAGTATGATTCTACTTCAAGCTAGTTCTCATTTGAGTTTCTGTAACATTCAGCTAGGGCAAACTATTTATTATACCTCTTAAAGCAGATGTAGCAAGACTGTGAGTCATATTTAGGGTAAGCCATACGAGTTAGAGCATGAACTTTGACATCAGAGTACTGTATGTGCTACTTACTAACCAGGTAATCTTAGGCTAACCTTTCAGTCTCTTTGGACTCTTAGTGACTTACCTATACAATATAGGAAATAGGAATGCCTACCTCATAGAGTAATTATGAGGATTACATGAAATGATACATTTACATACTTAGAACAATATTTACTATATTATATAGTAAATATCTACTTCATATACTATATATACTAATTATATAATAATTTATTATAAGTGTATATTTATAATAATTAGTAAATATATGTATAATTATTATGAACATTATTTTTAGCCAAATGGTCATCTTGAGCCCACAATTAATATAAATTATGTCATTTTACTGTTTAGAAATCTTTACTGTCTCTTCACAGTCTACAAAATTGTCTCAATTTCTCAGTCTGATATTACTAAAAAGTCTCCCCCGCTCAGTAAAATTGTCCTCACTTATCTTTCCTGCCTTATTTACTCCATTCTCCCCTCTTGATGCTCTGTCCTCCAAACAACTTACTACACACATTGTTCTCCAAGTCCACTGTGTACTAACAGCCTCCAAACCTTTGCACATGCAAGTTCCTCTACTTAAAATGCTTCCTTTTCTCCCAACTCTGCATGTTAAAATTCTACCAACCCTTCAAAATCCTTTCTCCTTCATGTAGCTTCCCATTTACTCCCAACCCAATTGCATCTATCTCTTCCATGGATTGCATGACATTTTAGTTTAGGTTTGTAACATGAAGTCCTGCATTCACATTGCGATTGTCACTTATCAGGTTTGTGACCCTAAACATGATTCTTATCCTCTCTAGTCCTCAATTACCTCATCAGTAAAATAGGATAATTAAAGCTAGCACATAGGGTTGCTCATGTTTTAATTTATTCAAAATATGAACATGCTTTAATCTATTCACCAAGCAAAGCTTTTTCACTCTTATGGTACATGTATATAAGTGGGGAACAGATAATAAATAGATAAATACAAGAATTGCAGATTATGTAGATAGTGTTGTGAATAAACGAAACAGGGAAAGGAGAACTACTTTGGGTAGAGAGGCCAATGAGCCTTCTCTAAAAAGTAACATTTAAGCTCTGATTTGAAGGATGAGAAGAAGCCAGTGGTTCAGATAGAAAAGAAATGCAAAAGTTCCTTAAGGAAAAAGGTGAGAAAAAACTAGATTATTCTAAGAAATTATAGAAGCTAGTAGCAGTGGAGTTTGGCAAATGAGGGGATATGAAATGTGGTTGGAGAGGTAGACAATGACTAGATCTTAAAAAACTTCAAAAAATATGAGGCTTGTATTTTGTTTCAAGCACAACAAAAAGCTCTTGAAGGGTTGAAAGTATCGGAGTTTGATAATCAATTTATGTTCCAGGAAGATGATTCCAATTGCCCTGAATAAAATAAATTGTAGGCAGTAAAAGTGGTAATAGGAAGACATTTTGGGAGCTTGGAGATGGATTAAATTATACAATGTATAAAACACAGTTAATACATAGCGAATGTTCAGTAAACTGTAACACTACACTGTTATTTCTCTTGAACTATAGAATATTCTGTAGTAAATACATATTAGTTTTGTCTTCCTTGTTCATCTCTAGATCTCCTCAGTCTCTGACACAAAGCTCCATAAACATTGTAAAATTGAACCCAATTATTTATTAATATATGAATGTAGGAATGTAGTTCCTACTGAATCCCCAGCACGGTGACTGGCACATTGTAAATGCTTGGTAAATAAACTCATGCAAGAAAAGGAGAGGTGAAAGAGAGAACTCTGCTTCATCTTTGGATCTTCATTTTGTACTTAAATGCGTGGGAGAAGTGTGATGGAGATGCTACAAATGCCATAAATGTATAAAAGCATTTTCCTCTCTTTCCGTTCGGTTTCAAGGCATGTCAGAGAATATTTCCCATATATTGCAATATATATATTAGTCACTCTTTGCTTCAAAACATGCAAAAATTGTAATAAGCGTGGTCAATTTGTTCCCTGATACCAGCTTTCTTAGGGATTTCTACATTCCAAACCCTCTTCTGCAAATCTACACACACACCTTCACTCCATGCCAAAGAAAGTCACTGACAATCTGTCATTTTTCACCTCTTGGCCTGGAATCAAGGTCTCAAAATGGTGCTCCAAGATGCCACCACCAATTAAAACTGTCAAAGAAAATGAAATATGTTGTCATCCTGGGCTAACTTCTCTCTATACTCTTTTACAGGCACCTAGTTTCAAAACTTTGAGTTTCAAACTGTTTGGCATTTAGGAAAAGGATACAAGCTACAAATTGAACTTAATAAGTATAATTTTAATATATTCTTTAAGCATCACCAATATGCTTACTTCTGTGCCAGTTATTATTAGAAGTAAATGAAAGTTGCATAACAAAGTCCCTAACCACATGCTTAGAACTTTCCATATTTTTTCTTTATAAGCATACTGAGGGTTTACTAATTTGTAATCACTGACTTTTTCAAATGTTGAAGTGGATTCTTAATGCATCTAGCTTTAAATGCAAGAGACTTTATAAACTGAAGGCTTGTCTGTCAGAAGGTAGTCCAGTCAAAGAAAACATAACACTAATTAATGTCACATACTGTGATTATACCTTTGGTATCTGGTTGACCTGAGTTTCCCAGGTTGAGATGTTATTGTCATTTAGTCTAGACAGGATTTTCCAAAGCCTGGTCCCACCGAATTCCTTTAAATAAATACTACCTGCAGCTGGGAGTTAAAAAAATTCATGTTTAACTTTCCCCAAGGATTGTTGATTGAAAATTCTTTATTTTAAAATAGAGGTTATCTCTTCTATTCTGCATAACTTTGTTTATTTTCTCTGTAAATTTTTTCTCATTTCCCATTTGTCTATTTGATCTAGGAACATCTGTTGGTAACTGTGCTCTGCATTATGTTTGCAGGTGATTGGAGAGCTACATTCCCAACTCGATGGATCCGAAGTACTGCTGCTGACTGATGGGGAGGATAACACTGCAAGTTCTTGTATTGATGAAGTGAAACAAAGTGGGGCCATTGTTCATTTTATTGCTTTGGGAAGAGCTGCTGATGAAGCAGTAATAGAGATGAGCAAGATAACAGGTAAAACACGATCCATTTATTCCAGGCCTTCAATAGTAATGCATAAATGTAAAGGCTGACAGTTCAACAACGTCTCTTGAGTTTCTGCCTTGGAGGCACTGAAGCTGGGGACCAGACCCAATCTCTGTTCTCGTGGCACTTGGAGTCCAGTTGGCTGGAGAGACAAATAAAACTGTTGATGAAATAACATAATCAGATAGCATTCCTACATAACAGGAGGAATATAGAAAAATAAAGTTCTATGTGAGCAGAGGAAGCCATTAGTTTTACTAGAGTTGTATAGAGCCAGGGAAAGGAAGCATGCAAAACTAGCTGAATTCTGAGCTGGGCTTTGAACAGGTGGTGAATTTCTCTGGGAAGAAAAAGGGGGTAAGAAAAGATGATCAAGTCATGAGCAAAAAACATCACGTTGGGGTGACAATGCAAGGCGCATGGAGGGAATGGTGAAAACCCCATGAGACCAGAGCATAAGTTGTGGGGTGGGTGTATGTGATTAACAGAAGCTCAGACTGAAAAGATCTAAATAACAATGAAGTTTTTATATAAACATTAACTATGGTAGCTGTTATTTCAGACACACAGATGTGATGAAAATGGATTACGTGTTTCCAATACCTTCTTAAACATAGTAGAGAATATATAATTTATGACATGAGTATAAATTATGTTGAATTGGCTTCTAATGGTACTAAATATATGCTTGCTTTTTAATGCTTAGTTATACAAAATCACATCATTTCAAAGTCCTTTCATGGCCATTGTAAAATTTATTTCTATTCCAAGTAGCTCCTTAAAAGTAGTACTTTTTTGGATTTATCTCTCTTGCTTTCCAATTTTCTATCTGCTCATTGCCAGTTATTGTGAGAATACCTAAATATAGCAGCTCTTTCATCTTTCTAATTTTCTGATTTTGGTCTATGCTGGCTGAAATATCTGAAAGTCAACTTTGTTAGAACTAAAATAAAAGATTAACAATCTTTTAACAAAAGATTTCACAAATCTACACTGGCTGAAATATCTGAAAGTCAATTTTGTTAGAAATAAAAGTTTCTCTAAAAGGGCTGTGTAAAGTTTGTGAGCTTTAATACATGGAATTGTAACATCTTTCATATTCTATAATTATCATGCATTTTAGCTAGCTAAGATTTTGATAATGAGGTATTATGGTAGCTTTCATTCCCTAGTTATGACATTTTAAAATGAGCATTTCAGAATTAACCTGTACAACTATGTGCTTTTGGTCTATTTTAATAACACATACTGAAACTATGATTTTGTTTTAACTATTAGCTTAATAATCACTAAAATATATGTACTTATTTTCTAGAAAGCAGTCTAATTAATGCATTTACATTTTAGGAGGAAGTCATTTTTATGTTTCAGATGAAGCTCAGAACAATGGCCTCATTGATGCTTTTGGGGCTCTTACATCAGGAAATACTGATCTCTCCCAGAAGTCCCTTCAGGTCAGAGTTCTCATTCCTTGGGTTTTCATGTTCACTTTTGCCACAAGAAAAAACCATTTGGTGGTTATAAGTTTTGAGTTCCATATTTTTCTCAAAGTAAATTTTTAATTAAAATCTAAACTTTAATCTTAAATAGAAATTACCCTTAGCTATAGCCAAATTAATTGGTGAAATAAGAGTAAAATAAATGGTGAAACAGCAGACATACTGTTTCTTTTCCTATTGCCATGGGTTTGGTTAAGAAATGACATTACAATGTTATAATGTCAAATTTTTCACCAAAAATGGACCTTTTCCAAAATAAAGCACCCATTTTTCAATGAATGCATTTTAAAAGCTCATGCTTCCAAGCTTTCCCCATGCTTAACTTCTATGATATAGATTTAGAAACATGAACTCAAGAACCTGGCTGGGAAATGGAAGGAGTGTATCTTGGAAATAAATTAAGCAGGAGAAAGACGGGGTGAATAATCATTGTCTATCTACAAACATAGGGCTTCTGTCACCTCTTCAACCACTTTTTTCGGTGGCTTTTTTTTTATTCACCTGTCTTCCGAACTTAACACTTTTGCTCATCTGGGTCTTGATAGCACCACCATTTTCTGTTACTTAGATTCAAAAACTTTGAGTAAACTTTGATTCTTCTTTCTTCATGTCCCATGTGAACATAGCCAGTTTCTCTCAAAATATATTTTACAAAAATATTTCTCTTCTTTTCATTCCTACATGTCTATGTCATGTCACTTTATGCCAAGATTTCTGTCTGGTGTTTTCCAGCTCATCAGCTCACTGCCTATATTAAAACTTGCCATGATCCCTAAACAAATCTATTTTCCTCTACTTCTCAACAATGAAAAGAACAGAAGTTATGGGATGTGAGCTTAGAGTATGTACAGATTTGTTTGGACATCTTGTCTGCAGATATAACCTGCAAACAAGTTAAAAATTAGTGTGAGATATAGACTGCTAGTGTTTGGAGAATAAGCTGAAGGATAATAAAGGTCATTTCTGAGGTTGCCATCATCGTTGACTGAGAACATGATGATTATAGTGAGAAGTAAGGAGAGAGAACTGATTCTGAAGATACTATTTTGTGTTCTGTTTATTTTAAATGGATGGTAGGAACACCAAGAAACCCGCTATACAATATAGCAACTGTAGTTAACAACAATGTATTGTATATTTGAAAATCACTAAGTGGATTTTATGCATTCTCACCACAAAAATAAGTATGTGAGGTAATGCCTATGTTAATCTACTTGATTTAGCCATTCCACAATATGTGCATATTTCTTTGTCACTTTAAAAAATGAGTAACTAAACAAAAATGGTTGGCTCTTCTGGACTAACAGCTATCAACAAAAAGTTGAAATACTTTCTTTAAAGCTCTTCTCAAAGAAAGCTTCTACATTTCCTCTCTTCTCAGGATCCCAACCTTTATGTATCAGTTTGCCCTCTTGTTGAATATATTTACTGTCCAGTGCTACTCCCTCTATCTGTGTGAAAAAATTATTTCAAATTTCCACATCAGGAAAACATCCATGAATGCTTGCCAAGACAACCGGGAAAAAAACAGTAAGGTCATATTCATGACTGTAAAACCCTTGTTTCTGCTCTACATGTTTCTGCTCTAAGTCTCTTACTTCCTCACTTTTTAATTGATAACTGTCATATCATCACCAGCTTGCAGAGAGATCACAAGTCTAAGGTGGTCTGCCATTTATAAGCTTGTTCTCAGGCCAGAAATTAAAAACCATCTTGAAAAAAGAATAAAATTACTGTCTTCTGCAGTCATTAATTTTGAAATCTATTTAAACAGCTCGAAAGTAAGGGATTAACACTGAATAGTAATGCCTGGATGAACGACACTGTCATAATTGATAGTACAGTGGGAAAGGACACGTTCTTTCTCATCACATGGAACAGTCTGCCTCCCAGTATTTCTCTCTGGGATCCCAGTGGAACAATAATGGAAAATTTCACAGTGGATGCAACTTCCAAAATGGCCTATCTCAGTATTCCAGGAACTGCAAAGGTAAGCAATCAGCTTTTAGACTTCCTGTCAACATTTTTAAAAAACTGAACATAAATTGTTTAATGTCATAAATGTCAGTACCAAAGGCTGTATCAACTTTAAAATTAAGATAAAATAGTATGTACTTTCCATGCCTGTGTCCTTAAAACTATGATGGTAGGAAAAAAGAACTTATATATCAAGAAGAAGGAAGAAAACGTAGTCAAGACTGTCTGAGAAGAACTTTAAGAAGGAAATGTAGGAAGAGTCTATGCAAATTGGTGGGTAGAGAGCTACAGGGTCCTTCCTTATTCACCCTACCAGGATTGATGAATCTGTGGACTCTAAGGCCAAAACCAAGGCAAACCTTCTAAAACTTATTTTTTCCAATTGAGATGTAGCGAAGTGTACACATCATGAATGGTACTACTTGGCATGCCCTGTCTGAACTGCCTCAGCCCTTACCCATTTATCCTCAACATCCTTAAAACCTCTTTATTCTCTCCCCATTATATAATTTATTTTAGAATTACATAATGGAAATATAGAAAGTAGCTTGACTTTGGATACTTACTATATTTCTGTTGAAACTTTTAGGTGGGCACTTGGGCATACAATCTTCAAGCCAAAGCGAACCCAGAAACATTAACTATTACAGTAACTTCTCGAGCAGCAAATTCTTCTGTGCCTCCAATCACAGTGAATGCTAAAATGAATAAGGACGTAAACAGTTTCCCCAGCCCAATGATTGTTTACGCAGAAATTCTACAAGGATATGTACCTGTTCTTGGAGCCAATGTGACTGCTTTCATTGAATCACAGAATGGACATACAGAAGTTTTGGAACTTTTGGATAATGGTGCAGGTAATTCACAGGTTTTTATGAATAAGCCAATATTTTCCTAATTCAGCATGTTGTGAGTCCCTGTGGCATTGTGGAGCAGTAAGACAGGCAACAGAATTGATGCAGATTAAGGAGGAACAGCAGGAACAGCAGGAAATTTTATCTAGGTAAAACCTACAGAGTGCTTAGCAAATGTCTTGCATGTGGTAAGCACTCAATCAATGTTTTTGGGCTGGGCGCTGTGGCTCACTTATGTAATCCTAGCACTTCGGGAGGCCAAGGTGGGCAGATCACTTGAGGTCAGGAGTTCAAGACCAGCCTGGCAAACATGGTGAAACCCCTTTTCTACTAAAAGTACAAAAAATTAGCCAGGTGTGGTGGCACACACTTGTAATCCCAGCCACTTGGGAGGATGAGGACAGAGGATCACTTGAACCTGGGAGGTGGAGGTTGCAGTGAGCCAAGATCATAACACCACATTCCAGCCTGGGCAACAGAGAAAGACTCCGTCTCAACGACAACAAAAATACCCAATAAATAAATAAAAATAAAAACGTTTTTGGTTGTTGAATTTTTTTGTTTGTTTTTTTTGTTTTTTTGAGATGAGGTCTCACTCTGTCGCACAGGCTGGATGGAGTTCAGTAGCACCATTTCAGCTCACTGATGCCTCTGCCTCCCAGGCTCAAGCAGTCCTCCTATCTCAGCATCCCAAGTAGCTGGGATACAGGTGTGTGCCACCATGCTCAGCTAATCTTTAAATTTTTTTTGTAGAGAAAAGGTCAACAAAAGAGAAAAGGTCTCACTATATTGCCCCAGCCGGTCTCAAACTCCTAGGCTTAAGCCACCCTCCCACCCCAGCCTCCCAAAGTGCTGGAATTACAGGAGTGAGCCACCATGCCTGGCCATACATGTAATTTTTTGTCATCATTGTTGTTTATCATCCAGGCAACCAATGTCTGTCACCAATTAGAAAGGTCTCATTCAGGAGGCTGAGGACAGCATCAAGAAAGCCTGGCTAGAGAGAGGGTGAAGCACAAGCAAACTAAATGTGATTAAGTGATAGAGCTTGGGTCTCTGGCAGGAAAAGAAAGCAGGAGTAATCCTCGACAGCTGGAACAAAGTATAAATATAGTCCTGAGAACTGGGGCCCAGAGGCAGCTAGCACTGCCACAAAAGAGGAAGATTCATCACTGGGGCATCAGATACCAGGTCTGGCTGGTAGGAATCAAGATGCAACGTTGGCCATTATCTGTCTCCCTGGTCTGCACAGATGGGTGATGCCTAAAGACCCTTTCCCTAGATTCTGGATTGTTCTAGGAACGGAAGCTTCTGTTAAGAGGTTAATGAGCAAGGAAATAACTATATTGATAGGCACCCGAATTAACAAAATTTTCTATCAGTATATTTTGCAATGTAACTTATTCAATCATTTTATAATCATATCTTCAACTAGAGTTGCCCCTGAGAAAAACTGAGAAGGTGAAATTGTTCTTTTGTGTACCTCAATGCCTTCTTCAGATATATCAATATTTCCACAACTATCCCTTGCCTCTTTTTTCCCTTTCTGCAAATCTCTACTACATTAAAACTTATATGCACCATGTTTCCCTTCTCAACATTTTGCTAGATGACCATTTAGGTAATTGGGGAAATTTGCTAATTTGGAATGCCTTTACCTGAGATGGTATTAGTGATTAACAATGACATAGAGCAGACATTCTTTAGTCTGCAAATGTCTTTAGTCTGCAGACAAACTTTAGTATGCAAAGGAATCATCTCGAGGGTTTGTAAGAACACAGAATGCTGGGACCTTTCCCTAGGAAGTCTGGGAAATGTGTACCTCTAAAAATCTCCAGATTTAGTAATTTTAGTTGACTGTTGTGAGAATTAAATCCTACACAAAGAAAGGATTTTTCCTTAGTAGGGACCCTTTTGATTTAAACAGAGAGATGACATAGTGTGTTTAGAGAAAGCAAGCTGAAAGCAACCCAGTGGTGGAGAAATTGTAAGAGTACTATATGTAATATTCTGTATATGAATTAATAAGGACAGAAAGGTGAAGTATTTAGGCATTTATTATGCATACATAAATATCAGTGTGTGTGTATGTATGTTATATAGAAATAATAGATATCGAAATAGCTCAAGGGTGTCAATTCTACAATATATTGTTTTGGCAGAATATAATGGAAATATTCTCCAAAGGGTCAATCTAAAAATATTAAGCCTAATCTAGAGGATATGCTTGTAGAGGCCAATTGCTTGTCTTAGAAAATGCAAAATTTCTCTTTACAAGACTTTATTCCTTCATTTCTATAACAAGGCGCTGATTCTTTCAAGAATGATGGAGTCTACTCCAGGTATTTTACAGCATATACAGAAAATGGCAGATATAGCTTAAAAGTTCGGGCTCATGGAGGAGCAAACACTGCCAGGCTAAAATTACGGCCTCCACTGAATAGAGCCGCGTACATACCAGGCTGGGTAGTGAACGGTGAGTAACTCATGATATTTATAATCCAGTGATAGTTTGAACAATATTAGTGATTTGATATAATTAGGCTTCAAACAGGTTGATTAAAACTCAAAATATAGCTTTTCCCATTTATGGAATAAAGTTCTCAGTCATACTAGGATTTGCCTCTAAATTAATCTAAGCTTTGGTACAATGTCTGGCACCTAGTAAGCACTCAAGCACTCAAAAAAGGTCAATTATTCTTATTTTTTTTAACTTTCAGTTTAGGTTTGAGGGTACATGTGCAGGTTTGTTATATAGGTAAACTCGTGTCATGGCGGTTTGTTGTACAGATTATTTCATTATGCAGGTACTAAACCTAGTACCCAATAGTTATTTTTTCTGACCCTCTCCCTCCTCCCAAACTCCACCCTCAAGTAGGCCCTAGTGCCTATTGTTACCCTCTTTGTGTCCATGAATTCTCATCATTTAGCTCCCACTTATAAGTGAGAACACGCAGTATTTTGGTTTTCTGTTCCTGCATTAGTTTGCTGAGGATAATGGCCTCCAGCTCCATCCATGTTCCTGCAAAAGACATGATCTCACTCAAAAACATCAGTTATTATTATGTTAGTTTGAACATCTTATGTATATCAACAATAATATGCCCAGCTTTCAGCTCAAGATGAAGGAAACAGACCAATTTATGAACCTAAGCACAAGCCTGTGCAGAATTTATCTTTCAGATTACATATGCTGTAGAGTAAACACTTATTTAGAATTTTAATAAGTCAAAAAGAAAAACAGTGTGTGCAGTAAAGTGATGTAAGAATTAAGAATGCATTCTTTGCTAGCTTTCTTTCATCTGGTCCCTTGTGACTTTTAGGGGCTTTCTACTAGCAATTGGAATACAATCAGAAGAATTATTCCTTAGCACTTGCAGCATGGAGGGAGGGACCTAGCACAAGTGGGTGGAGGAGAACTGGCAATGATTTCCCCAGGTATATTCCCAGAGTGCAGATAATTCAAGAGGTAAAGCAATTCCTTTTTTAAAAAGGCACACATTGAATTATATAATATTTCTGTCACCCAGTGTAGGCTTAATTCTAAAGCAATTTGTTTTCTGATTCTGTCCTACAATATCCTACCAAAGAAAGAATTCTCTCACCAGTTGGGCGCTTATGATTGTCACAAAACTTAGTAAAAATGTGACTGTATATATTTTTTTAGAAGGAAAAGACAAGTGAAGAAGGTGATTCACTGAATTATAATAAATACCAGTAGTTTTGCCCATTATAAACCAGGAAATGTTTAATGCAGGGGAAATTGAAGCAAACCCGCCAAGACCTGAAATTGATGAGGATACTCAGACCACCTTGGAGGATTTCAGCCGAACAGCATCCGGAGGTGCATTTGTGGTATCACAAGTCCCAAGCCTTCCCTTGCCTGACCAATACCCACCAAGTCAAATCACAGACCTTGATGCCACAGTTCATGAGGATAAGATTATTCTTACATGGACAGCACCAGGAGATAATTTTGATGTTGGAAAAGGTAAGGATGAAGTGTCATGTGATTTTGACTTAAGTAAAAGGTGCTAATTGCAAAAACAGGGGTGTAAGGGTGGGTGGGGGGAGAATGGTTTTATATTGACAGCCTAGCAAAGTGTTAATTTTATAATCTGATATTTTTTAATCAATCAAATGACACATTTTAACGTGGTCCTACTTTTCATACAAAGAAGGTAGCAATTTGCAGAGCTTAAGACCAGAATTCAGCTTTTATTAAAAAATGAGTAAGGCTTTTGATCTATCTGCTTTGCATAACTAGACATTTTTGAGAATAAATAAAAAGGAATGAATATGCTATGCTGCAGTCTCTAAACTACATGTAACTTTTTTTTCTCAGTTCAACGTTATATCATAAGAATAAGTGCAAGTATTCTTGATCTAAGAGACAGTTTTGATGATGCTCTTCAAGTAAATACTACTGATCTGTCACCAAAGGAGGCCAACTCCAAGGAAAGCTTTGCATTTAAACCAGAAAATATCTCAGAAGAAAATGCAACCCACATATTTATTGCCATTAAAAGTATAGATAAAAGCAATTTGACATCAAAAGTATCCAACATTGCACAAGTAACTTTGTTTATCCCTCAAGCAAATCCTGATGACATTGATCCTACACCTACTCCTACTCCTACTCCTACTCCTGATAAAAGTCATAATTCTGGAGTTAATATTTCTACGCTGGTATTGTCTGTGATTGGGTCTGTTGTAATTGTTAACTTTATTTTAAGTACCACCATTTGAACCTTAACGAAGAAAAAAATCTTCAAGTAGACCTAGAAGAGAGTTTTAAAAAACAAAACAATGTAAGTAAAGGATATTTCTGAATCTTAAAATTCATCCCATGTGTGATCATAAACTCATAAAAATAATTTTAAGATGTCGGAAAAGGATACTTTGATTAAATAAAAACACTCATGGATATGTAAAAACTGTCAAGATTAAAATTTAATAGTTTCATTTATTTGTTATTTTATTTGTAAGAAATAGTGATGAACAAAGATCCTTTTTCATACTGATACCTGGTTGTATATTATTTGATGCAACAGTTTTCTGAAATGATATTTCAAATTGCATCAAGAAATTAAAATCATCTATCTGAGTAGTCAAAATACAAGTAAAGGAGAGCAAATAAACAACATTTGGAAAAAAATGAATTTGGTGTTGGTATTATTAAGTATAAATTGATGATCTCATATTCATCCAAAGCCTCCAACTGTACCCTACAATTGCCAAGGTTATGTTTACTACAGTTCATGGATATGGAGAAAACTAGAAAAAAAATCTAAATCAATTACCACCTGTCAAACTATAATTTTTCCTGATTTTATTTTGATATAAACATATATCTATCTCTTTTCATTTAAAAAGCCATACCTATCTGCATACTTTTTGTTTTATCATAGGAAAGAATTACTGAAACTACTATCTATTGCCCTTGTTTTCAGATAAAGAAAGCTAAATATTTTTAAAACAATATTTTCATTCATCTCTCAGGGTCACAACCGTATTGACTAATGAGATCACTTAAGGAGAAAATGTGGGTTGAAAGGAGTAGTTTTATATGGCAGACCATAGCCAGGTCAGCCAGAGGCCCTAATGATGTAAACAAAATGGAACACAGAGCATGTTACAATGGTGTAAGATGGTGCAGAAGGAACTTCCCCTCATAGGAGTAGGTAGACTTTGAGTCCAAGTTTACAAGCATACGGTTTCCTTGTACTTCCAATGGGTGGTTTTCTCATGTTTCACAGGAATTTTTATTACTATAACTCAGCATCCTGAGGAACTAGAGAGGACCTGAAGAACAGCATCCACTCATTTGCATTCTTATCTCAGGTAGCATTGTCAGGAATTCTTTGCTCTTTGGAAGTAAATGAAAATGAAAGCCATATAAGCTGAGTCCAGGGGTCACTTTTAACAATCTTCAAACATAGATCTTGACCTGGCATAAAGAATTTGGTGTGATTAGCAGGGCTGACAAAAAAGGCCTTGTAGTTTAAGTTGGAAGTAGTAAAGGAGCAAAGGAAGAGGAAGTAAGTGGGAGACTCCTGACTCTAGGAAGATTTGACTTCCTCTCAAAGCATGCAGAAGAAAATGTGCAGAGGAAAATGAGCTGCGCACTAGGGCATTTGGAGACTAAGCTGTTGAGGCAATGGGTCTATTGGCACTATTAGCTCCTCTAGCAGACTGGTACCTGTTTGGCCAGTTGCTAATGGCTAGGGATGTACAAGAGAAAATGCAGGAAAAACATTAATTGTAGAGCACCTGGCCTTTACCAAGAGGGGAATGAAGGCCTGAAATTCTATGTTGGCACCAGAAATATCATATATCAGTCAGATTTTCTTTATGTCCTTTCCACCCATTCACCCCATTACTCTGGAGGCAAAGCCTCCCAGCCTGGTTACTTCCCTCTCTGAGGTTCTAGTGCAATATCTAGGCTCAGGTGGGTCCCAGTAGTGGGCTCTCTCCTCCCAGGTCAAGCTCTGATTTCATTCTATTCCCAGGTCTGCATCAAGTAGTTATTTGTGAATTCTTAAGAATCAGAAAGATAACTAAATCATTACCATTGTTGTAGTCAATACAGGCTACATAATTTATGCTGCTCACTGAAAAATGAAAATAAGAGGCCTTTGCTTTAAAATTAGTAAGAATTTCAAGACACCAACAGCTAAACATTAAACCAAGTTCAGGGCCCTTCTAAGCAGAGCTCCAAGCAACTGCACAGATGGTATGTCCACAAAACCAGCCCTGGCTGTAGTCCAGGATAAACTAGCGATTGTACCTACAGTATGAAGTCTCTGTGTGGGTTGTCCATTACAACCACCTAGCAGCATTCATGGTCTAGTAGTTGATTTAGTTAATCATGAAAAAACTACCACATTTAGGAAGGTAAGTTTAGGCTCATTGCCTCTTGCAGGGAATCTGGCAACAGAAAATACACCTAAGATATTCCATTAAGGAAGAGAGGCAGCCCTGTATGGGAGAGGACTAACCCTCTACGGACCTCAGAGACTCGCATGTCTACAGGGTTCCTGAATAGAAAAAAACCTGTATCACTAGCTATCCAAGTCAGTGTTACTCCTTGGGGTGGGAAGTCTACAGTGTCACAAGCTAGGTCTGCCCAAGCTCTAGCACAGAGAGATGGTATGCATTCATAGTCACAGCTGCTCAGCTAGGACTGAGAGAACTACCTTTCCATGCTTCTATTCATGCCACTGAGATGGCTGCTGTCACAGGCCAGAGTGCCCCAGTACAGCATGTGTAAGTGTGGGGACCCAAACCACAGTGCCTGATGAACATTCACACCAGCATAAAATAGGACTAAAAGGAGTTCAACTCAAAGCAACACTGAAGTGATCCAGGCCTATTGCAGCCAAACAGAAAAGTATGGTAGCTAATCCCCAAAAATGTTTCCAAAGATCCACAATTCCAATTATTTGTAGCCTTATGTAGTTCTTTCTCACATTGGATGTCAGCTGGGTGAATGATGTACCTTAATTAACATAACACAGAAAAATGATAGATGTTTCCATTTTAGTGTTCTTGGGAACCCTGAACTACCATGTTAAAATACAGCTATGCTAATGGAGAGACCACTGGAGAGGTTCCAGGAATACATGCAGAATAAAAAGAGGACTAATTAACTCTCGCTGTTTCCCAGCCTCTAGATGACTCCATTTGCAGTCACCAGACTCTAAGCCTAACCAGCAAAAGAACCTCCCATTTAAGCCCAGACAACCAATAGAATCATAGAAAAAAGAAAATGATTGATGTTTTGAGCCACTAAGTTTTGGGATGGTTTGGTCCACAGTGCTAGATTACCCAAATAACCAATAACTGTACTGGTCAGTGTTCCATCAGGGAAACAGACCACCATGAGTATTACAGAGTAGGGAATTTATTTATTATAAGAATTAGGATGAGGAAGTAAAGCACTGAAGAAAGGAAATGGGAGATCAGAAAAAAAATCTAACAAGCCTCTTTGAAGTGCTGAAGTTTGTGTTGGGTGTTTAATGTCGGTATCCAGGCATGTCCAGGAACTGGAATGGGATCATGAAGGGGGCCACTGTAGAAGTCTGTGGAAGACTGTTAACTGTGCATAAAAAAACCTCTGTGGGTTTGTTGCCAAGAGTCTTGTGGTGGACCTAGGATCACTATCAGTCAGCAATGTCAGCATTCAGAAAGAAGAGTCAGAAATGGAGTAGAGAGGAGCAAGGATGCCGGCCCATCTGCACCTGTTTCCCACCGCCTTTTATCACTTCTCCTGCAAGCAGTTATGGCTGCTGTTTTACTTCTGCCTTCCACATTTCATGAAAATTATTTCTGACCAACTCTAACCCAGAATCATATGGTTTCTGAGAGATGTAGTTCCAATTTATCCAACTTGCCTCAGCAAAGCCACTATTATATTAAGTGAAATAAGCCAGACACAAAAAGACAAATACCATATGTTCTCATTTATATGTGAAATCTAAAAACATTGTACACATAGAAGCAGAGAGTAGAATGGTGGTTACCAGAGGCTGGGGTGGGAGGAAAAAATAAGTTTGAGAGACCTACTGTACATCATGGTGATTATAGTTAATAACAATATGCTCTATAATTGAAACTCACAAAAAGAATAGATTTTAACTGATCTAACCAAAAAAATTTTAAGAGCTAATGCATTAATTAAATAGCTTGAGTTATCCATTCCACAATGTATACATATACAGACATACCATGTTTTACTGGATTTCACTTTATTGTGCTTCACAGATACTGTGATTTTTACAAATTGACAATGACGATGCTAATGGAATTGGCCTCTGATGTTAGTAATTGCTACCCAGCGAAATAGAGGAACTCAGTAGAACACAGTTTGTTAAGGCGACTCAAAAAATTGTTTTTTCATGTTTATATCCTAGTGAATTGAGACTGTTCAATAAACTGCTTTCACAGCAGTTATACTCAATATCATCATCACTGCAAAAACTTCGTAAGTTTTTGAAAAACAAAAAACAGTGACAAACCCACTGCTATACAGACCTACTCTCTAGGCACCAAATTCCTAATTTGTCTTTCCACTTCCTTCCCTCTTATAGAGAACACTTTTGTTCACCTTACCATCATTCATTCTCCCTCCTTCCAGCAAATGTCTAGTCACTTCCTATGCTGAACTTCTTGGCAAGTCCTTGTCTTCCTCTCCAATCCTGTTCCTCTTACCATCGCCCTCTACTTTTCTGGTGCCCAGCATTGCTTGATCACTGGTGCCTTAGATAAGCCTGATTTCCCTAAAGTTCTGTCTTTTCCCTTCACATGACCATGAATATTATCTAGGGCTACCATATTACAGAACTCTAAAGGGATCCGTGCAAATCATACCTTGTATGAATGGTGCCCCTGGAGTTTCACAAGGCACAGTCTCTGCATCCTCATATGGCAGTCCTGCTCTTAGAGCTGACACATGAAAAAATAAGTATTCTTCGTAAATGATTCTATATTGTTCCATGAAACAGCAAGTTATTTTAAAGCCTTAGCATCTGTAATAGCATTTTAGTAAATATACCTGTTCAGATCATATTTGTTGCTAATTAATTATTTGATTTATCATCCCAATGCCCTGTTTTCTTTAATAATCTATGTGATGATCAGCAAATTAGTTCCTGATGCATTTGACCCCATGAGGAATGTAAGCAAAGCACTACATATTTTATGTCCTGCTGTCTGTCATCATGTGGTGTTTAGGAAATAGGAAGGTGTTTTAGAGGCATATGGAAAAGATTGAACAGTAGGAGTTTGGTGACATGAAAGTAGAACCATCACTTACTTTATCATTTGAAGTTCTATCTGGGCTTGGAACTAAAAACAATCAAAACTTTTTGCTTTTCTGCAAACATGCATCTATGTACAGCCTCTCAGATGTATTTAGAACCTTAATCAGGCTTCCTTTATAGAGCAAACCAGAACTCTCCAGACCCCAGAGAGCTCAGTGTCAGGAGATAATGCTATCTGAGGAAAGGAAGAAAGCCCACAATTGAGTATCTGTTGCTCCTTCAACTTCTGCTCCACCACCATGAACCTTCTCTCTCTCTCTCTCTCTTTCTCTGTCTGTCTCTGTCTCTCTCTCTCTGTCTCTCTCTCTCTCTCTCTCTCACACACACACACACACACACACACACACACAGAGAGAGAGAGTTTGAGCCAAGCAGGGAAATGTAGGTGGTTCAGAGCACTGTTTGGGTATAGGTTTGTCAATTTGGGTCGGGAAACAGTATAATTCTATAAAACTAAATTCATTCTCTTCACCTATACTTTCTTCCAAAATGTCCTATCTCAGTGAAAGAAAAGTATGTCACCAACCAGTTATTCAAACCAGAGACCAGGAGGCCATCTCTTGCTCTCCAATTTCTTCACCGTTTATGTCAAATCAGTGAATGAGTCTTGTTTGTGAAATCTGCTTAACCCTTATCTCTTCCCCACTCCTGTTCAGTGACTGCCTCAGTCAGCCTCCATCATCTTCTTCTGAAAAAGATGGTCCCTAATAGGTCTCTCTTTTCCGTCAATCCTTCCCAACCCATGTTCCCCACAGATTAATTTGAACAAAACCACAATAGTTCCCACACTGCTTTCAAGATAAGGTATAAATGCCACAAAGGCAGATACTTTGCCTGCTTTATTCATCACTTCTTGCCAGGCACCTTGCATGATGGCAAATATTTGTCAAATGAATGACTGTAAGGTTCATCATCATTTGGCCCTAGCTTCCACTTCCACATCTCTTATTACACCATCCCCACTGATCTCCCAGCTGTAATCAGTCAAAGATTTTGAGTTTCCCCAGAAGTGCACACAGTTTTATATTTCTGGGCCTTTGTCAGAAATGCCATACTTTACCATTCCTTCTTTTAATTCTTTACACCTTCTTCAGCCTCCCTTTCTGCCCCCTAACCACATTCCCCTTTTTCAAAATCCCATTTCTACTGCCTCCTGGTTCCCTCCCTCACACTCAGACAGAATAGAAAACTCCCCCATTTGTGTCCCATTCTTCATACAGAATTCTGACACCCAAATGTAGTTATTTGTTTACTATCTGACACAAGCCCTAACTCCTAATCCCTCTCAATTATACAGTGAACACTTTGGAAAATGGGGCTACATTCTGGGGAGACAGAGTAAAAAAGAGAGAAGAGGAAGGATGGAGTGCTGAATATTCTAATACACACATACTCATACAAATACAGAGATATCCCTATTCTTGCTTCTTTACTCTCTATATCCAGTCAGTCACCAAGTCTTGTCAATTCTTAATATCTCAAAAAACCCTCCACCTGTCTCTGTCCCTAGTTCATGCCCCCAGCATCTCTTACCTATATTCCCTACAAAACCCTTTTCCAAACAGCCATTGTGAACCATTGTGAAGGTTGAGCCCTGCCTGAAGACACTCAGCCATGGAGGGCAGGAGCGAGTGAGGCCTGAAATATAGTCCAAACTCAGCTCCCAGAATCAGGGCTGCAGGGGCACTACTGGATCATTAGTCTGCCCAGAGGTGGCACATTTTTCTAATTTACAAGTTGTTTTTCGAATTCACACAAGACATATATGCTAGTAATGCAAGCCTGTTTCCAACCACTATTCACTTTGCAGCCGAAGTCTTTCTAAAGTACAAATATGATCCTGTCGCACTCCTATTTAAAACCTTCTAATGACTTTCCTTTGCACTCAAGGTGATGTAACCACAGATCCAATTCAGTGTGGTTTAACTTTGTTAAACTTTGTGGTTTAAACTTTGGTTTAACAAAAGGACAATTTGCTTTGCAGTGCAACGGACCCCCAGGTTGCATATCATGTAACGTGAACAGGTCCAGATGAACCAAGTATGTCTGATTCGAGATCCCAGAGCCAGCAGAATAAAAAAGCCAACCGCAGGTGGAACCCAAGTACCATTTTCCTTCCCTTCCCATTGTTAGTCTCAGGCTATAAAACCTGCCCCCAGACCCCCACTTAGGGAGATGGATTTGAACTTGCCTCCTGTCTCCTTACCAGTTGATTCTCAATAAGGCTTTTTTCTTTACTTTTCTCAAAAGCCAGTGCCACAGTATTAGCTTCTATGAGCATCAGGCAACAAAACCATTGCTTGATTCCAGTGAGGTCCAAACCCTGTGGTATGATTAATGATGCTTTTCATCTTCCACATCCAGCTTATTTCTCCAGTTTCATGTCTCACAACTTCTCACATTACATACTGGTTCCATCCACCATGGACCACTTCTAGTTCTTTGAATACATTACAGGATCTGTCATTCCAAGGCTGTGAGGTGCTTTTCATTCTCTATAAATGCCCTCTTCTCCACTATCCCTCCACTTCCACATCCTGCAGTCACTGAATAACTCAGGCTCATTCTCAGGTCTTTGGAGTCACTCCTTCTGGGAAGCATCCCCTAATTCCTCCAACCTCCTGCCCCAGAGGGTTAAGCTCCTCTTACTTTCCCTAATTCTCACCCCTGAGTTTCACATTAACTCTCTGTGCCGCGTAACTGCCCATTTACTTGTCCTTTTTTCCCTCCAGAGGGTGAGATGCTTGAGGGCAGGAGACAAGCTCTTACTCATCATCATCTCCCCAATGCCCATCACCAAGTTCAATAAATGCTTATTAAATTAAAAAATGGAATCTTGTTTTCCCAAGCATCAGTTTTAATGAATCAATCACAGAGCTGACAAAAGGACCACAAAAAGGAACCACTAACAACTTTACTGTATGAGTTTAAGCAGAAAACATTATACCTATAGACAGGATTGCTGGGTCATTCCACTTAAATTAAGGCAAAAGTATCTTGAACTATATCCTCATTGTTACTGCAATAACTAACTTTGGTTTCACATTTCCTCTTAATCTCCCAATCAGCCTTTAGCCTCTATTTAGGTAAATTCAAATTTTACATGAATTTTCTTCTGCCTAATAGGTTCCTTCAGCACCAATTCCTCCAATGACCCCGATTATATCTGTCAAGGACATTAGTCTTTCAAATCAGTTTCAAAGATATCAAGGTCAGACTCATCCAAATGCACCTAAAAACTTACTTCACACTTGAGAAAAGCAGCCTTTTCCTATCCGGCTATATCAGCCAGTCACTCTTCCTATACTCCTACCTAAACATCAGCACTGATCTACCAGGTGCCTGCATTCAAACCCAGAAGTCATTTTTTCTTTGAAATTGATGTTCCCTCCACTTAATTATTAATTGCTGACTCTCTTTTTTCAGATATTCATTTATCTCTTCAGAGAGACCTTCTCTGTCAACCTAATCTTAAGCAACTCAGTCACCACCATATTTTTAAAAATCAAATTCTCTGTACAGCATTTAACGCTAGCTGATATTTTAAGTTTTAATGGAACATTAGAATGTTTATTGTTTATCTTCCCCACTGGAATATGGGTTCCATAAGAGCAGTGACCTGTTAGTTTTGCTCACTTCATGAACTAGAACTAGACCAGGCTATAATAAATGTGCAGTTAATAACTGTTGAATGAATGAAAAGATAATGGAAGAATGAACGAAATATTTTATCCATGCTGTCTTATATGGAGGCATAGAATCAGGCCAAGGAGAGTTATTTAAATTATTTGTTATATACTAGCTTGTTTATATCATTTTCTACCTTTTCCCTAGAGCTTCATACATGCAAACCTTGGCTTCTGTCATTTGCTAGATGAATTTTCACAAACCAAACACAACCATGTAACCAAAGTTGATTTCAAGAAAAGAACATTACCAGTATCCCAGATGCTCCCTTTCTGCTCTCTTCCAGTTATCACCTCCTATAAGAGATAATCGCAAGTTAAAGTCAAGTTATCTTGGCTTCTAACGGCAGAGATTGTTTTTGCCTGTTTACACACTTTAGAGAGGTGGAATCATATAGTACATATTCATTGGTGATTGGCTTTGTTTACTCAAATATGTATGTGAGATTCATCCACATTGCTGTGTGTAGTGGCATTCTGTTGATTCTCATTACAGTAGTGTACAACTTTTAAAGTTCAACACTCATTAACATATTAAAACATAAATTCATTTTTAATACTCATATATATAACAAAATTTATATAAGGAAATTTAGATTCACTTCAATTCTTTACTCTTTTAAAATAATGTTCTCTATGATGAACATTCTTATAGCAAAAAACTTTTTTTCAAGTTTTTAAATTCATATTGACAGCTTATTAACATGAAAGTATTAACAATTCATTTTATTATCAACTGTATGTGCCAGTATTTGCCTCCTAAATTTCTTCAGCAAATGTGGATATTACTGTCTTTTTAAAATTTGTGTCACTTGATAATTTAAAATATGATATTTTATTGCTCTTTTTATTTTAACTTCTTTACTTACTAATGAATGTGTGGTCTTCCATATGTTTATTGGCTGTCTTTGTTTATTTTATGAATGACCATTTACGTCTGATTCATCTTTTAAGTGGAGTATTCACCTTTTTTATTGATTGGTTGAGCAAAAGTTAATCTTTGATCTATTCAGGTTTCCAATGACTGGTTCCATTTTGATAATTTGTATTTGCCTAGAGAATTGTCCATTTTACTGAAGTTTCTTAATGAATGTGTAGCGGCATCTTGTGATTCTAATTTGCATTCTGCTAATGACTAATTCATTCAGACTTTAAAATGGATTAGCAACATTTTAAAATTCTGTTCTGAATCTGACATTAATTCTTGTGATTAAATTAGATCTTGTACACATAATTATTAGAAAAGCTTCAAGTGTTTACATATATACAGAATACATTCTGTGATCAAAAACTTTATTATTCATTTTCTTTCACTTAGAAAATAAAGTACGGATTAGAGAGCAATCTGACTTAAATGTGTCACTTTGCCCTTTTCATTTAGCTCATCCAAAGGACCATGCAAGCATTTTTGTGCCCACACTTTCTAACACCGTGAAAAGGAAGACTTTCTAACAGAGAACTGTGAAAAAAAAAAGACCTCTAATAGAGGTAGGAAAAGGAACGAGGTGTCAGGAAATGTCAGTGAAGGAGACAGACTGGTGGGACAAATAAAAAATGAAGAAGGCTTTGGAGCTTGAGACCAGGAAATGAGAATGTGGAATTATTAGAATGTTTTCCTAGAACATGAAACAAACAAAAAAAATTTACAAATAGTATTGTTGCTATTAAAATAAGCTTTTTAAAGTCCAGTTTTATTTACAAAATGGCATTGAACATAGAGGCAAGATTCTATTCTGCAAAATAAAGAATAAGATTTTAAAAATATATTATCATTGCATTTATTCTCAAGAGAGAAAATGGGTTTTAATTAGGATATATGTATGAAAATGAAGCCTCTTAAATACTGGAATGTATTACTTAGAGATCATGTGAAAAATTTTCTGAGGTTGTGATTGAAAAATTAAATCTGCTGGATGCAGTGGCTCACACCTGTAATCCCAGCACTTTGGAAGGCCAAGGCGGGCGGATCATGAGGTCAGGAGATCAAGACCATCCTGGCTAACACGGTTAAACCCTGTTTCTACCAAAACTACAAAAACAATTAGCCAGGTGTGGTGGCAGGTGCCTGTAGTCCCAGCTACTCGGGAGGTTGAGGCAGAAGAATGGCATGACCCCAGGAGATGGAGCTTGCAGTGAGCCAAGATCATGCCACTATACTCCAGCCTGGGCAATGGAGCAAGATTCTGTCTCAAAAAAAAAAAAAAAAAAAAAAGAAGAAGAAAAATTAAATCTGAGATGATTTAAAAGTGATTCGAGTTATAAGTGGAGGCTACAATGAGGGTGTTTTTCATTTTTCAAGTATAAATTTTAATTTTTCAGGTGAAGATGTTAAAGTTGTTTGGATAAGTGCTACTGGCAAAGTTGTTTTTTGTAATAGTTTTATAGAAAAATAAATATGTATCAATAAATGAATTAATAATCATTGATCCATGAATTCATTCATTGAAAATTTCACTATTTGCATTCAGCATGTAATCAGAAAGCATGTATTTAAATCTTAGAAGCAATGTTTATTAACTCTATGCCAGCTTTTTATTTAAATTTGTAAAGTAAGGAAAAAAACACTCATTTCATGGTATTTCGAGGATCAACATATAGATAACATATATAATTTCCTAGCATAGGACTGAGCAAATAGTAAATAAAAACATAAGTTATCCTTCCCAGTCTTCCTAACTGTAAAATTATGATAATACCTTTTTTTCAGAGTTGCCATGCAGAATACTGTGAAGTAGCTACTGTAATGTACAAGCACCTATCAAAATACCTGGCAGCTCAATAGTAAGAGTTCAATCATTCCTTCATTCTTTCCTGACTTTCTATCATTTAATTTCCGTATCAACAATATTTGCTGAGCATCTGCTATGTGCACTAGGTCCTGATCCATGAGGGTACATGAGGCAAATGTGATTCCTGCCCTCAAAGAATGTATAATCTTAGCTTGAGGGGAAGAAAGATTAATTAATTAATTAATTACAATTGATTGTAAGAGGAAGGAAGAAGCCTTCACTATGAATTCAGCTGACTTTTAACTCTGTCAATGCGGTGCTAGATACTGGGAATGCAAAAGTTAGGTGTATTTGCTTTAATTTGCTTTGAGAAATTGGCCCATTTACACATCTCAGTGACATTCTAATCCTGCCTCAGCCCCACCCATCATTTGTGTTCTATTGTTCATATATGGTTTTTATCCTTCTTGGCTTTCAGAAACAGGTGAAGGTCTGTTGATGACTATTTTGCTATAGCAATATTCACATTTCCAAAGTCTGAATGGTAAATGGTTAATTACTATAGTTCACGTATAAGGTTGCATTCATGGCAAATAGAATGTAACCCAATAAAAAGGAAATGATAATGTGTTAGGCCATTCTTGCATTGCTATAAAGAGATACCTGGGACTGGGTAATTTATAAGAAAAGAAGTTTAATTGGCTTACAGTTCTGCAGGCTGTTCGGGAAGCATAACACCAACATCTACTTCTAGGGAAACCTCAGGAAGCTTACAATCATGATAGAAGGCAATGGGGAGTAGGCATATCACATGGCAGGAGTGGGAGCAAGAAGGCAGGGAAGTGCCACACACTTTCACCGGATCTCATGAGAACTCACTCACTACCATGAGGACAGCACCAAGCCATGCAGGATCTGCCCCCATGACCGAATCAGCTCCCACCAGGCTCCACCTCCAACTCTGGGGATTACATTTCAACATGAGATTTGGCAGGGACATATATCCAAACTACATCATTTCACTCCTGTCTCCCCAAACCTCATGTCCTTCTCAAACTGCAAAATACAATCATGCTTTTCCAATAGTCCCCCAAAGCCCTAATTCATCCCAGAATTCACTCAAAAGTCACAAGTCCAAGTCCAAAGTCTCATCTGGAAATGAGTTTCTTCCACCTATGAGCCTTTAAAATCAAAACAAGTTATTTACTTCCATGATACAACGGCGATACAAGTATTGGAGAAACATTCCTGTTCCAAAAGGGACTAACTGGCCAAACAAAAGGGGCTACAGACCTCACACAAGTGTGAAACCCAGCAGGGCAGTCATTAAATCTTAAAGTTCCAAAATAATCTCCTTTGACTCCATGCCCCATATTGCAAGACACACTGCTGGTAGAGGTGGGCTACCAAGGCTTTGGGCAGCTCTGTTTTGTGGCTTTTCAAGGATCAGGATGTAAGTTGCTGGTGGCTCTATATTTCTAGGGTCTACAGTGCAGTTGCCCCCTTTCCACAGCTCTACTAGGCAATGCTTTGATTGAAACTGCCTTTGCAAAATTATGACTGAGACAGTCAAAGAGATCTAAGTTAATCAACTCCATCTTGCTTCTACCTCCAAGCTGTTCTTGTTCATTCTTGGGTGTAGCCCGAACTAACTTTGGGAGAAAATTAGTTTACAGTTTATAGGTTAAAACAAACACAATAACAGTCCTTTCACAAAGCAGACCTCCATCTTGCCTGGGGACTAGATTGCCTTTGTAGGACCAACATTAGCCACAAGATTAGAAATTACAGTTTAGTAGTCATGCAGCTGGAGGATACAATACTCTGACCCTTGCTAAACAGCTCCTGAGATCACGCACTTGAGGTATTTTGCAGAACCTGCATTTGATGGATCAGCTGGCACCACCCAGATTGATACTGGCTCATCTGATCTTGTGGACCCCACCCAGGAACTGATTCAGTGCAAGAAGATAGCTTAAACTCCATATGATTTCATCTGTAACCAATCAGCATTGCTGGTTCACCGGCTTTCACCCACCCACCAAGTTGTCCTAAAAAAATCTGCTCCCCAAATGCTTGAGGAGACTGATTTGAGTAATAATAAAACTCCAGACTCCTGCACAGCCAGTTCTGCGTGAATTACACTTTCTCTATTGCAATTCACTTGCCTTGATGAATTTGCTCTGTCTAGGCAGCAGGCATGGTGAACTCACTGGGCAGTTACAGAGTGGGGACACTATGTGGAGCCTTCAACCCCACATTTCCCCTCTGCACTGCCCTAGTATAGCTTTACTGTGAGGACCTCTCAGAGAAAATTGTCACAGAAAATTTCCTATGACCTCTCATAGAAAATGACAGGTCATAGAAAATGTCTCTCAGGCTTATGCAGCAGATTTCTGGCTGAGCACCCAGGCTTTCTCATACATCCTTTGAAATCTAGGTGGAAGCCTCCAAGCTTCCTTCACTCTTGCATTCTGTGCACCTACAGGCTTAAAACCACATGGAAGCTGTGAAGGATTATGGTTTGCACTCTTTGTAGTGGTAGCCCAAGGTGTACCTGGGTGCCTTTGAGCCATGGCTCCAGCTAGAGCAGCCATGATGTGAGCAACAGCCTCCTGGAGTAGCACAGGGCAGTGGCATCCCTGGTCTGTCCCCTGAAACCATTCAGTTCTTTTGGACCCCTGGGCCTGTGATGGGAGGGGCTGCCTCAGAGATCTTTTAAATGTCTTCCAGGCCTTTTTCCCATTGTCTTGGCTATTAGCACTTGGCTCTTTTTTAGTTATGCAAATTTCTCTAGCAAGTGGATGCTTCACAGCCTGCTTGAATTCCTCCCCTGAAAATGGGCTTCTCTTTTCTACCAAATGGCTAGGCTGCAAATTTTCCAAACTTATATGCTCTGCATCCCTCTTAAACATAAGTTTTGGCCAGGCACAGTGGCTCATGCCTGTGATCCTAGCACTTTGGGAGGCTGAGGCGAGCAGATTGCCTGAGCTCAGGAGTTCAAGACCAGCATGGGCAACATGATGAGACCCAGTCTCTACTAAAATACAAAAAATAATTAGCCAGGCATATTGGTTGGCACCTGTAGTCCCAGCTACTCAGGAGGCTAAGGCAGGAGAATTGCTTGAACCCGGGAGGTGGAAGTTGCAGTGAGCCAAGATCAAGCCACTGCACTACAGCCTTGGGCAACAAAGCAAGACTCTGTCTCAAAAAAAAAAAAAAAAATTTAGTTTTCAACTTTAAGTCATTTCTTTGCTCTCCCATCTAACCATAGGCGGTTAGAAGCAGCCAGGCCACTCCCTGAATGCTTTGCTGCTTAGAAATTTCTTCCACTAGGATACCTTAAGTCATCACAATTAAGCTTAAACTTCCACACATCCCCAGGGCATGAATACAATGCAGTCAAGTTCTTTGCTAAGGTATCACATGGGTGACCTTTGCTCCAGTTCCCAATAAGTTTCTCATTTTCATCTGAGACCTCATCAGCCTGGACTTCCCTGACTCTGTCACCATCAGCATTTTGGTCACAGTCATTTAACTAGTCTCTAAGAAGTTCCAAAGTTTCCCTCATCTTCCTGTCCTCATCTGAGCACTCCAAACTCTTCCACCCTCTGCCTGTTACCCCATTCCAAAATCCCTTTAACATTTTCAGGTATCTTTATAGCAAGGCCCACCTCCTTGGGACCAATTTGCGATATTAAGCCACTCTTATGTTGCTACAAAGAAATATCTGAGACTACGTAATTTATGAGAAGAGAGGTTTAATTGGCTCTCAGTTCTGCAGGCCTTACAGGATGCAGAGCACTGGCATCTGCTTCTAGGGAAGCCTCAGGAAGCTTACAATCATGGCAGAAAGTGAAGTGGGAGCAGGCATGTCACATGGCAGGAGTGGAAGCAAGGGGACAAGGAGGTGCCACATATGTTTAACAACCAGATCTCATGAGAACTCAGTATTATGAGGACAGCATCAAGCCATGGGGGATCCACCCACATGACCCAATCACCTCCCACCAGGCACCCCCAACAACAATATTGGGGATTACAATTCATGGCCTATGAGATTTGGCAGGGCCGTATATCCAAACTACACCCGTTAATAAGTCCTTCATCTGGCTACTGTCGTAGAAAATGTCTCTCAGGCTTATGCAGGTATAAAGCAGCCATTTACTTGCAGACATTTTTGGAACACTGTTTTCAGGCTTACCTGCTTATATAAACTTCCTTCTGGCTTACCTTAGACTTCCTCTTTCCTTCTAATGTGTGTACTTCCCATCGGTAAAGTCATTTCTTCAGGTTTAATTCAATAAGGCAAATATTTATTGAGCGTCTATTGTATGCATGTCCTCAGAAATAATGTTTTAAATGTTCCTGGCATGGGAACAAAGTTCTTAGCCATCTCATATTTGTCTATGAGAACAGACTTAATGTAATGTATTGGAGTATTCTCCTTGGATGAGCTATATCTGATTGGTAAAAACTCAGGACCCCAATTCACTCTGCCAAAAGGAAAAAACTTAAGCTGAAAGATGAATCATGCAAGAAACTGCCTTTCCATTTGTTACTAAGCAGATGGCTACAGATAAAATGTTAAATACCTCCACAGAGAGCTGCTTTTATCTGAGGTTAAGTGCTGTTTTCTTATGTTACATAAACTGCTGATTTACAGCGTGTGAGATGAATACGTAATTGACTATTCCTGTACCTGCCTGTTTTCCCTTGTATCCTGTAGATTACTAGACCCTCCCTCCTTCCCCTTCAGCCAGCTTTTCCCTTCTGAATATTGAAGCCCTCAAAATTATCTCTGGAGAAAGGCACAGACCAAAGATTGTTTCCTTGATTCCGTGCTTTCTTCTTCCAGCCATGTCCTTAACCTTGGCCAAATAAACCTTTAAATTGATTGAGATCTGTCTTAGATACCTTTTGGTTTACCGCAAGCTTTAATGACTAAGGAAAGAAAATGATCACTCCACATCTGTGTGATGTGGTGGACTGGGAAGGGCAGGTGGAGAGCAGTCATGGGACGGTTTTCCCTGAAGTAATGGAAACCTATAAAAGATGCTAAAAGCAGGAACCTCAGTAGAGGCCTTGCAGAATCACTGCACTAGGGCAATGAGTGTGGGTTAAGGAAATAAGAAAGGCCCTGTGAAGAGGTAGGCGTGGCTGAGCCCCAAGGAATATGGCAGTGCTCAGCAGAATAATGCTTCTTTTGATCTTGACTTCATATCTTTAAATCAAGAGCTAGAAAAATATTATGAAAGAGTCTCTGCATAAGAGAACAGCACCAATTGTTAGGCTAGGCTGGGAAGCTGCAAGTTCTTGTGTGGGTGTAAAACTGTAGAAGACACAACCCAGGGAAATTCCTGAGCTTCCAGTAATTCACCCCTTTGCCACCTCCCACCATTCTTGTGGGTCACAATTGCTCCCCTTGCTTCATTTCCAACTCTAACATGCAGCTTTTTGTTGTTATTGTTGTTTTGAGAGAGTGTAACTCTGTTGCCTAGGCTGGAGTGCAGTGGAATCATCTTAGCTCTCTGCAACCTCCGCTCCTGTGTTTAAGCAATTCTCATGCCTCAGCCTCCCAAATAGCTGGGACTACAGGCTTACACCACCACAGCTGGCTAATTTTTGTATTTTCAGTAGGGACAGGCTTTTGCCATGTTGACCAGGTTGATCTTGAACTCCTAGCCTCAGGAAATCCACCCACCTTGGTCTCCCAAACTGCTGGGATTGCGGGTGGGAGCCACCACGCCCAGGCTAACAGGCAGCATTAATTGGTGCTTTAGCATCTTGACTCCCTTGCTAGAGTAAACAACTATCTCTGGACATGCCAGTCATAGAACTCTTAACACCTTGGCCATAGAGATTGGTTCAGAGCGCAAGCACGTGGCCTAAGCCAATGTAACCATAGACCCTCACCAGATATTTTTAAATGAAATGGGAGACATATGCACTTTTTCTCAGGCTTGGAATATGTGAGTCTGGAAACATCAGTAGTCAAAGTTCCTGCCTTATGGAGAAAGTCAGTCTAAGAGATCAACACTGACATGAGGAGAAAAACAAAAGCAGAAACGGAGAGTGATTCCTGCTCTGTGGTTCCCCAAGTCAAATATTACCCTTCTTTCTAAAATGGTAATAAGCGTGGTGTATTCAAGGAACTGAAGCCAAGTGTGTAAGAAGAGAGTGAAAGTAGATGAGGTTGGAGATCTCAGAAATAATCAAATTTTTTGTAAGTTAATAGATCTCCATAATGGCTGAGGATAAAAATCACCTGGAAGATTTCTAAAAACATCACTATAGACTTTCATTTATAGTAATGGTAGATTTTGTAATTGAAAACAAACTTTGCCCTTCTATTCAACATTCTACTAGAGATTCCAATAGTGTAATAAAATAAGAAGAAAAAAAAAGCCATCCAGATTGGAAAGAAGTGTTACTTTGTCTTTGTTTGCAAATGACATGATCATCTATGTAAAAAAAAAAATTAAATAAATTCAACAGATTTTGCAAAACAGCTACTAAAACTAATATGTGAGTTTACCAAGGTTGAATATAAAACAGCATTCTGCAGAAGTTACTCAATTGTATTTCTATCCCCAAGCATAGAACTGGAAACTGAATTCTTTTTAAACATAACATTTATAATAACGTCAACAATATGAAATGTTTTGGGATAATATGACAAGTGTTTAAAAATTACACACTAAAAAGTACAAAACACTGCTAAGTTAAATATATAAATTAATGGAGAGATATATCAGGTTTATGAACCAGAAGACTTAATAACTTTTTTGGACAATCCTGCGACAGAATCAATAATGTAAAGATAGTAATTGTGCCAAAATTGATCCGTAAATTTGACAAAATCCCAATCAAAACTCCAGCAGGTTTTTTGATAGAATGTGAGAGGACTATTATGAACTTACGGGAAATTCAAAAGACCTAGAATGACAACAACAACAACAAATCTGAAAAAGAAGAACAGAGTTGAAGGACTTACACTAGCTGACTTCAAGGCTTCCTGTAAAACTACGGTAGTCAAGATAATATGGTATTTGCAAGAGAATAGACACATAGATCAGTGAAACAGAATAGAGCCTAGAAATAGACCCACAGAAATAGGGTTAACTGATTTTTGATGAAAGTTCAAAGGGAATTCAAAGGAAAAAGTATCACTTCATTGAACAGTGCTGGAAAAATTGGACATCCTTATCCAAAAAAAGAAATAATAACATTGTTGACACATATATAACACCTCATACAAAAATTAACTCAAAATAAGGAAAGACCTAAATACAAAATATAGATCTAAATACAAAATATTAAACTATGTTTCTAGGAGAAAAAAGTATAAGAAAATCTCTATATGTTTTCCATTTAAATGAGTTTTGAGAAATGACAACAAAAACATAATCCGTAAAAGAAAAATCTGAAACTTAACTTTATCAAAAATTTAAAACTTTGTTCTGTGAAAGATTTTGTTAAAAAAAACATGAAAAGACAAGCTTCAAAGGAAAATTTGCAAATCATATATCCAATTAAAAACTTGTAACTCTGGCCGGGTGAGGTGGCTGACGCCTGTAATCCCAACACTTTGGGAGGCCGAGGCAGGTGCATCACAAGGTCAACATGGTGAAACCCCATCTCAACTAAAAAAATACAAAAATTAGCTGGGTGTGGTGGCATGCTCCTGTAGTCCCAGCTGCTCGGGAGGCTGAGGCAGTAGAATTGCTTGAACTTGGGAGGTGGAGGTTGCAGTGAGCCGAGTTCGTGCCACTGTACTCCAGCCTGGTGAGAGAGCGAAACTCCGTCTCAGAAAAAAAAAAAAAAAAAAAAGACTTGTAACTCTAATAAAAATATAAACAACCCAGTGAAAAAAAAATAAACAAAAAGTCCGAACAGATCTTCAGCAAAGATACACAGTTAACAAAAATAAGCATATGAAAAGATGGGCTTCACCTGCAACAATTATTATGATGGGTTTTTTGTTTGTATATTGTTGTTGTTTGAGACAAGGTCTCACTCTGTCACCCAGACTGGAGTGCAGTGGTGCCATCATGGCTCACTGTAACCTCAACCTCCCAGACTCAAGCGATCCTCCCACCTCAGCCTCCTGGGTAGCTGAGACTAAAGGTATGCACCACCACAGATGGCTAATTTTTTGCATTTTTAGTAGAGATGGGGTTTCATCATGTTGCACAGGCTGGTCTCGAACTCCTGGGCTCAAGAAATTCACCTGCCTCAGCCTCCCAAAGTGCTGGGATTACAGGTGTAAGCCATCACGCACAGCATACTATCGTGTGTTAATGGTGATTTCTATGTTCTCATTTCTTCATTTATTAATTGCAATGCTTTTAGTAGGATTTCTCCTTTATAGACCCAGAGATATTTATTTTATTCTCTTAGTTATAATCCAATATTTTCATTATTTATTTTAGTGAATAAGGTAAAATTCACCACATAACATAAAATTTACCATTTTAACCATTTTAAAGTACAAGCCCTTAACTTTATATGGGAAAGGCAGCCATGTGGTAAGATTTGAGATTAGAAAAACCCTGTTGCCAGAGTTAATTCAAAGTAATACAGTGTCTTAAAAAGCTACCATGAAAGATATATTATTTTCTGCTTTTAAAACTAATATTCTAGCTGGGCGCAGTGGCTCAAGCCTACAATCCCAGCACTTTGGAAGGCCAAGGCGGATGGATCATGTGAGGTCAGGAGCTCAAGACAGCCTGGCCAACATGGTAAAAACCCGTGTCTATAAAAAATACAAAAATTAGCCTTGCATGGTGGTGTGTCTGTAATGCCAGCTACTTGGGAGGTTGAGGAATGAGAATTGCTTGAACCTGGGAGGCGAAGTTTGCAGTGAGCAAAGATCCGCCCTCTGCACTCCAGCTTGGGTGACAGAGCAAGACTCCATCTCAGAATAATAATATAGTAATAGTAATAATAATATTCTAGAATGTAAATAATGCTATTCACTGGCTTTTGGTACATTCACAATGTTGTACAATCATCACTGCTATCTAATTCTAGAACATTTTCATCACTCCAGAAAAAATTTTCATACCCTTTATGCAGTTGCTTCCCATTTCCTCTACCCTCACCACAGCCCCTGATAAGTACTATCTGATTTCTGTCACCATGTATTTGCCTATCTTGATATTCCATATAAATGTAATCATACAATATGTGGGACTTTTCATCTAGTATACTTCATTTGGCATAATGTTTTCAAAGTTCATCTTCATTGTGGCATGTATCAGTACTTCATTCCTTTTTATGGCTGAATAATGTTCCACTGTAAGGATATACCTCATTTGTTAAATCCATTCATCAGTTTACAGACACCGGCCTGTTTCTACTTCTTCCATTTCTTCAGGATTATAGAATTTTTAGTTGACAGTTTTTTCTTTCATAACTTGAATATGTCATTCCACTGCCCTTGGGTCACCATGGTTTCTGATAAGAAATTAGCCATTAATCTTATTGAGAATCCCTTTGCACGACAAATCACTTCTCTCTTGCTGCTTTTTTTTCTTTGCATTTAGCTTTCAACACCTTGACTATAATGTGTCTCTACAAAGATATCTTTGAAGTTACCCTACTTGTGTTATGTTGAAGTTGTTTTCTTCTATGATTTTTTATTTTTAATTTTTGTGACTACAGAGTGGGTGTATATATTTATAGGGTACATGCAATCTTTCCACACAGGAATGAATGTGAAATAATCTCATCATGGAGAATAGGGTATCCATCCCCTGAAGCATTTGTCCTTTGTGTTACAAACAATCCAACTATACTAATTTAGTTATTTTAAAATGTACAATTAAATTATTATTGACTATAGATACACTGGTGTGCAACCAAATAGTACGTCTTATTTATTTTTGTAATTATTTTTTGTACCCATTAACCATCCCCACTGCCCCCTGCCCAACTATGCTTCCCAGCCTCTGGTAACCATTATTTTACTCTGTATCTCCATGAGTTCAACAGTTTTTATTTTGAGATCTCATGAATCAGTGATACATGAGATGTTTGTCTTTCTGTGCCTGGCTTATTTCACATAACACAATAATCTCCAGTTCATCTATGTTGTTGCAAATGACAGAATCTCATTTTTTTTATGGCTGAGTAGTACTCTATTGTGTATATGTACCACATTTTCTTTATCCATTCATCTGTTGATGAACAATTAGGTTGCTTCCAAATCTTAGCTATTGTGAACACTGCTACAATAAACATGGGAGTGCAGATATCATTTTGAAATACTGATTTTCTCATGCCTGTAATCCCAGCACTTTGGGAGGCTGAGGCAGGCAGATCACAAGGTCAGAAGATCGAGACCATCCTGGCTAACATGGTGAAACTCTGTCTCTACTAAAAATAAAAAAAAATTAGCCGGGCATGGTGGCGGGAGCCTGTAGTCCCAGCTACTTGGGAGGCTGAGGCAGGAGAATGGCGTGAACCCAGGAGGTGGAGCTTGTAGTGAGCCAAGATTGTGCCACTGCACTCCAGCCTGGGCGACAGAGCAAGATTCCATCTAAAAAAAAAAAATACTGATTTACTTTCTCTGGGGTCTATACCCAGCAGTGGGACTGCTGGATCATATGATACCTCTATTTTTAAGTTTCTTGAGGAATCTCCAAATTGTTCTCCATAATGACTGTACTAATTTACAATCCAACAGTATATGAGGGTTCTCCTTTCTCCACCTCCTCACTAGCTTTGATATTGGTTGTCTTTTGGATATAAGCCATTTTAACTGGGGTGAGAAGATAACTTATTGTAGTTTTGATTTGCATTTCTCTGATGATCAATGATGTTGAGCACCTATTCATGTGCCTGTTTGCCATTTGTATGTCTTCTTTTGAGAAATGTCTATTTAAATCTTTTGCCCATTTTTTGATTGGGTTATTAGATTTTTTTTTCTGTAGACTTGTTTGAGCTCCTTATACATTCTGGTTAGTCATCCCTTGTCAAATGGGTAGTTAGCAAATATTTTCTTCCATTTTGTGGGTTGTCTCTTCACTTTGTTGACTGTTTCCTTTGTTAGGCAGTCGCTTTTTAATGTGAGTAAACCTATTTGTTTATTTTTACTTTGGTTGCCTGTGCTCATGTGGTATTACTCAATAAATTTTTGCCCAGACCAATGTCCTGGAGAATTTCACCAAGTTTTTTTGTAGCAGTTTCATAGTTTGAGGTCTTAGATGTAAGTCTTTAATTCGTCTTGATTTGATTTTTGTATATGGCAATAGATAGGGGTCTGGTTTCATTATTCTGCATACAGATATCCAGTTTCCACAGTACCATTCATTGAAGAGACTGTCTTTTTCCAAGTGTATGTTCTTGGCACCTTTGTCAAAAATGAGTTAGTGAACTCATCTCACTAACTGTAAGTGTATGGATTTGTTTCTGAGTTCTCTATTTTATCCTATTGGTCTAGGTGTCTGTTTTTATGTCAGTACAATGCTGTTTTGGTTATTATAGCTCTTTAGTATAATCTGAAGTCATGTAATGTGACTCCTCCTGTTCTGTGCTTTTTGCTTAGGATAGCTTTGGCTATTCTGGGTCTTTTGTGGTTCCATATAAATTTTAGGATTGCTTTTTCTACTTCTGCGATGAATGTTATATTAGTCCATTCTCATGCTGCTAATAATGACATACCTGAGACTGGGTAATTTATAAAATAAAGAGGTTTAACGGACTCAAAGTTCAGTATGACCTCAAAAAACTTATAATGATGGTGGAAGGGGAAGCAAACACATCTTTCTTCATGAGACCTCAGGAAACTTACTATCACAGTGGAAGGGGAAGCAAACATGTCCTTCACATGGTGGCAGGAAGAAGTGCTGAGCAAAAGGGGGAAAAAGCCCTTTATAAAATCATCAGATCTTCTGAGAACTCACTCACTATCACAAGAACAGCAGCACAAGGGCAAGTGCCCCCATGATTCAATTATTACCTCCCACTGGGTCCCTCTCATGACATGTAGGGATTATGGAAACTACAATTCAAGATGTAATTTGGTTAGGGACACAGCCAAGCCATATCAAATGTCATTTTGATAGGGATTGCATTGAATTTGTAGATTGCTTTGATTAGTATGGACATTTTAGCAATGTTGATTCTTCCAATTCATAAACATGGAATATCTTTCCATTTTTTGATGTCCTCTTCAATTTCTTTCATCAGTGTTTTATAGTTTTCACTATAGAGGTCTTTTACTTTGGTTAAGTTGATTCCTAGGTATTTAATTTTATTTGTGGCTATTGTAAATGGAATTACTTTCTCAATTTCTTTTTCAGATTGTTTGCTGTTGGCAGATATAAATGTTACTAATTTTTGTATGTTGATTTTGTATTCTGCAACTTTACTGAATTTGTTTATCACTTCTAATAGTTTTCTGGTGGAGTCTTTAGGTTTTCCCAAATATAAGACCATATCATTTGCAAACAAGGATAATTTGAATTCATCCTTTCTAAATTGGAAGTTCTAAATTTCTTTGTCTTGTCTGATTGCTCTAGCTAGGACTTCTAGTACTATATTGAATAACAGTGGTGAAAGTAGGCACCTTATTGTGTTCCAGATCTTAGGGGAAAGGCTTTTAGTTTATCCCCATTCAGTATGATATTAACTGTGGGTCTCTCATTTATGGTTTTTTTATGCTGAGGTATGATCCTTCTATACTTAGTTTTTTGAGAGTTTTTATCATGAAGGAATGTTGAATTTTATCAAGTATTTTTAGCATCAATTGAAATGATCATATAGTTTTTAATCCTTCATTCATTGATATCATGTATCACATGGATTGATTTGCATATGTTGAAACATGCTTGCCTCCAAGGGACAAATTTCATTTAGTCATGATAAATGATCTTTCTAATGTACTGTTGAATCCAGTTTGCTAGTATTTTGTTGACAACTTTTGCATCAATATTTACCAGGGATATTGGCCTGTGCTTTTCTTTTTTGGATGCATCTTTGTCTGGCTTTGGTTCAGAGCCATAGAATAAGTTTGAAAGTATTCCCTCCTCCTCTATTTTTTGGGGATAGTTCGAGTAGGATTGGTATTAGTTCTTCTTTAAATGTTTGGTAGAATTCTGTCATGAAGCCATTGGGCCCCAGGCTTTACTTTGCTGGGAAACTTTTGATTGCAGCTTCAATCTCATTACTTGGTACTGGTCTGTTCAAGTTTTGGATTTGTTTCTGGTTCAGTCTTGGCAGGTTGTATGTGTCTAGGAATTTGTCCATTTCTTCTAGATTTTCCAACTTATTAGCATATAGTTGTTCAGAGTATTCACTAATGATGCTTTGAATTTCTGCAGTATCAGTTATGATGTCTCCTTTTTCATTTATGATTTTATTTATTTGGATCTTCTCTCTTTTTTTCTTAATCTGGCCTAAAGTTTGCCAATTTTGTTTAACTTTTCAAAAAACCAACTTTTGTTTCATTGATCTTTTGTATTGTTTTTGTCATTTCAAATTCATTTATTTCTGCTGTGATCGTCATAATTTTTTTATTCTACTAATTTTAGATTTGGTTTGTTCTTGCTTTTCTAATTCTTTAGGATGTATCATTAGATTGTCTATTTGAAGTTTTTTCTCTTTTTTTGATGTAGGCATTTATAGCTATAATCTTCCCTCTTAGTACTGTTTTTTCTATATCCAATAGGTTTTGGTATGTTGTGTTTTCATTACCATTTATTCCAGGAAATTTTTAAATTTTCATCTTAATTTCTTCCTTGATCCACTGGTCATTCAGGAGCATATTGTTTAATTTTCTTGTATTTGTATAGTTTTCAAAATTCCTCTTGATATTAATTTGTAGTTTTATTCCACTGTGGTCAAAGAAGATGCTTGATACTATTTCAATTTTTTAAAATGTTTTAAGACTTGTTTTGTGAAATAACACATGGTCTATTCTTGAGAAAAATCCATGTGTTAATGAGAAGAATGTGTATTCCGCAGCCATTGGATGAAGTGTTCTGTAACTATCTATTAGATATATTTGGCTTATAATGCAGATTATGTTTGATGTTTCTTTGCTGATTTGCTGTCTGGAAGATCTGTCCAATGTTGAAAGTGGGGTGTTGAAATCTCCAGCCATTATTGTATCAGGGCCTGTCTCTCTCCAACTCTAATAATATTTGCCTTGTGTATCTGGGTGCTTCAGTGTTGAGTGTTTATGTATTTAAATTTTTTATATTCTTTTGCTGAATTGATTCCTTTATTATTATACAGTTACCTTCTTTGTCTCTTGTTATAGTTTTTGTCTTGAAATCTATTTTGTCTGATACAAGTATAGCTACTCCTGCTCTTTTTTGGTTTCCATTGGCATAGAATATCTTTTTCCATCCCTTTATTTTTAGTCTATGTGTTTATTTATAGGTGCAGTGTGCTTCTTGTAAGCAACGGGTCAACAGTTCTGCTATAGGTTGGTGCAAAAGTAATTGCGGATTTTGCCATTACTTTTAGTGGCAAAAACCACAATTACTTTTGCACCAATCTAAATATTTTCATTTATTCAACCACTCTGTCATTTGATTGAAGTGTTTAGTCCATTTACATTTAGTGCTATATTGATAAGTGAAGACTTACTCCTGCCATTTTGTTATTGTTTTTTGGTCTCTTCCTTCTCTCTTTCCTTCCCATCTTTTTTTAGTAAAGGCAATTTTCTCTGGTGATATGATTTAGTTTCGTGCTTTTATTTTTTTGTGTATTCATTGTATGTTTTTTTGTTTGAGGTTACCATGAGGCTTGCAAATACTATATTATAATCTATTATTTTAAGCTGATAACAACTTAATACTTTGCATAAACAAACAAGCAAGCTAAAACTAATAAAAATTCTGCACACTAACTTCATCCCCTCAGTTTTTAATTTTTTGTTGTTTTTATTTATTTATTGTACTGTCTATGTCTTGAAAAGTTGTTTAGTTAGTTTTGAGTGATTCATTGTTTAGTCTTTCTACTTAGGATAAAGCAGTTCACACACCACAGTTACAGTGTTATAATATTCTGTGTTTTTCTGTGTACTTACTACTACCAGTGAGTTTTGAACCTTCAGGTGATTACTTATTACTCATTAATGTCCTTTTCTTTCTGATTGAAGTATTCCCTTAAGTTTTTCTTATAGGACAGGTCTGGTGTTGATCAAACCCCTCAGCTTTTGTCTGGGAAAATCTTTATTTCTCCTTCATGTTTGAAGGATATTTTCACTGGATTTACTATTCTAGGATAAAAGTTTTTTGCCTCAGCACTTCAAGTACATCATGCCACTCTCTCCTGGCCTGTAACATTTCCAATGAAAAGTCTGATGCCACATGTATTGGAGCTCCTTTGTATGTTACTTGTTTCTTTTCTCTTCTTCTTTTTAGAATCCTTTCTCTTTGATCATTGGGAGCTTAATTATTAAATGTCTTGAGGTAGTCTTCTTTGGTTTAAATCTGCTTGGTGTTCTATAACCTTCTCGTTATATTTGTGTTTGGATATTGATATCTTTCTCTAGGTTTGGTAAGTTCTCTGTTATCTTTTTGAATAAACTTTCTACCCCTATCTCTTTCTCTACCTCCTCTTTAGGGTCAATAATTCTTAGGTTTGCCCTCTTGAGGCTGTTTCTTATATCCCATAGGCATGCTTCCTTGTTTTTTATTCTTTTTTTCTTTTGTCTCTTCTAGCTGTGTATTTTCAAATAGCCTGTCTTCAGGCTCACTAATTCTTTCTTCTGCTTGATCAATTCTGCTATTAAGGCTCTTACACATTCTTTAGTATGCCAATTGCATTTTTCAACTCCAAAATTTTTTCTTGATCCTTTTTAATTATCTCAATCTCTTTGTTAAATTTATCTAATAGAATTCTGAACTTCTTTGAGCTTGAACTTCTTTGAGCTTCCTCAGCTATTTTGAATTCCCTGTCTGAAAGGTCACATATTTCTGTTTCTCCAGGATTGGTCCTTGGTGTTTTATTTAATTCATTTGATGAGGTCATGTTTTCCTGGATGGCCTTGATGTATATGGATTTTCTTCAGTTTCTGGTCATTGAATAATTTGTTATTTATTGTACTGTCCTCTATCTGGACTTGTTTGTACCCATCCTTCTTGGAAAGGATTTCCGTATATTCTAAAGAACTTGGGTGTTGTGATCTAAGCTGTATCACTTTAGAGGCGCCCCAAGCCCAGTTATGCTGTGGTTCTTGCAGACTCGTAGTGGTACTGCCTTGATGGTCTTGGACAAGATCTGGGAGAATTCTCTGGATTACAAGGTGGAGACTCTTGTTCTCTTCCCTTACTTTCTCCCAAACAAAGAAAGTCTCTCTCTCTGTTCTGAGCCACCTAAAACTTGGAGTGAGTGACAAGCACCCCTGTGGCCACCACCACTATGACTGCACTGGGTCAGACCCGAAGCCAGTACAGCACTGAATTTCACCCAGGGCCTGCTATAACCACTCCCTGGGAATTGTCTGTGTTTGCTCAAGGCCCTGGGGCTCTACAATCAGCAGATGGCAAAGCCACCCAGGTCTGTGTCTTTCCCTTCAAGGTAGTGAGTTCCCTCATGCCCTGGGTGGGTCCAGAGGTGCCATCCGGATGTCAGGGACTAGAGTCAAAAACCTTAGAAGTCTACCTGGTGTTCTACTATACTGCAGCTGAGCTGGCACTCAAACCAAAAGATGCACTTACTTCTGCTTTCCAAAGGCAGAGGAGCCTCACTCCCACAGCTACCACACCACAGGCCACAGGGAGTTCTGCCAGACTACCATTAATGTTCCCTTAAGACCCAAGGGCTCTTAAGTCAGCTTATGGTGAATTCTGCCTGGCCTGGGACTCATCCTTTAGGGAAATGGGCTCTCTTCTGGCCCAGGGCAGGTCCAGATATGCTGGCCAAGAGTCATGTACTAGAATTGAGGACTGCAAGAGCCCACTGATGCTCTACCCCACTGTGGCCATGCTGGTACCTAAGTGGCAGGATAAAGTCCCTTTTACTTTTCTCTCTGCTTTTCTCAAGCAAAAGGAGTTTTGCCCCGTAGCCACCACAGCTGGAAATTTCTGAATTTCACCTGAAGCCACAAGTCTCAGAGTTTCAGCAAAGGCCCACAGCATACTACCTCACTACTGGTTATTCAGGGCCCAAGGACTCTTAGAAGGTGACGGGTCCTGCCAGAACCAGATCCTTCCCTTCAAGGCAGCAAGTTTCCTCTGCCCCAGGGTGTGCCTAGAAATGTCTGGGAACTAGGGTCTGGAACAGGGGTATGACCAGTGCCTTATCTGCTGTGGCTGAGCTGGTATCCAAGAAGTAAGACAAAGTGCTCCCCACCCTTCCCTGTCCTCTCCTCAAGCAGAAGGAAGGGGTCTCATTTGGAGCTATGAGTGGTACAGCCTGGGGTTAGGAGAGGGGTGATGCCAGCACTCCCTTAGTTGCCCAAGCTGGTTTCTCAGTATGTCACATGCCCCCCCAGTCCACTGTCTCTGGGCCCAGTTCAGCACTAGAACTCACCTAAGAGTTGCAGTTCTTATGGCCTAGACTGCCTTTCAAGTTTACTCAGAGACTCAGAGTACTCCAGCCCTCAGTGGTGAGGTTTGTGGGAACTTAAGTTCCGATCTCTGGGACCTACAATTCCTCTCTGGCAAGGGCTGATTTTAATGCTCCCTTCATGGGTGGGTGTCAGCTGAGTTTGGTCCAGTTTTCCTTTATGCTCTATCAGGACAGAACTGAGTTCAATTCCTCACAATTGCTATGCTCTCCTTCCCCCAGTGCCCAGAGACACTCTCTGCACCCAGCCACCACAGCTAGGGTTGGGATGGGGGTGGCATCAGTGATTCAAGATTGCTTTTTCTATCTCTTCAGTGCCTCTTTCAGGGATAATATAGTTAAAGCCAGGTACTGTGAGAGTTCACCTGATTTTTTGTTCTTATGAGGTGTTTTTTCTGTGTACCTAATTGTTAAATTTGGCTGGGCATTGTGGCTCATCCCTAGAATCCCAGCACTTTGGAAGGCCAAGGCAGGTGGATCACCTGAGGTCAGGAGCTCGAGACCAGCCTGGCCAACATGGCAAAACCTGTCTTTACTAAAAATACAAAAATTAGCGCACTTGTACTCACAGCTATTCAAGAGGCTGAGGCAGGAGAAACACTTGAACCTGGAAGGCAGAGGCTTCAGTGAGCTGAGATCATGACACTGCACTCCAGCCTGGGCAACAAAGTGAGACTCTATCTCAAATTTAAAAAATAAATTGTTAAATTGGTGTCCTTGTGGCAGGGATGATGGGTGGAATCTTTTATTCCACTAGCTTGCTCCTGTTGAGTTTGTTGAGTGTGTGTAAATTCATGTCTTTCATCAAATTTGGGAACCAAACTTTGGAAAATCATTCAGGATTATCTACTGTAGTTGAACATATGCATACTCAACAACCCAGCAATTTCACTCTTAACAGTATATCCAAAAATAACTTTTGCATATATGCACTAAAATACTTATTTTAAAATGTGCGTAGCTGTGTTACTCATAAGAGCCAAAAACTAAATAGTTCTTATATCATAAACAACATAATAGATAAATAAATTCTGGTATAGCAATAACATTTACCATAGCTTCAAAAACATGAAATACTTAGAAACAAATAAATCAAAAACATATGTGCAAGACCTGTACATTGAACATTACAAAGCACTGCCAAAAGTAATTAAAGAATAAATGGAAATATATACCATGTTCATAGATTAAAAACTCAATTCATTTTCCCAAATTAATCTATCTATGCAGTGCAAAGTCAAAATTGAAGTAGCCTTTTTTATAGAAATAAAGTTGATTCTAAAATTTGTATGAAAGAAACTTAGCTAGTTTCTGCATCTTAAGCCTTTTCTGCATCTATTGAGATAATCATGTGGTTTTTGTCTTTGTTTCTGTTTATATGATGGATTACATTTATTGATTTGTATATGTTGAACCAGCCTTGCATCCCAGGGATGAAGCCAACTTGATCGTGGTGGATAAACTTTTTGATGTGCTGCTGGATTCGGTTTGCCAGTATTTTATTGAGGATTTTTGCATCGATATTCATCAGGGATGTTGGTCTAAAATTCTCTTTTTTTGTTGTGTCTCTGCCAGGCTTTGGTATCAGGACAATGCTGGCCTCATAAAATGAATTAGGGAGGATTCTCTCTTTTTCTATTCATTGGAATAGTTTCAGAAGGAATGGTACCAGCTCCTCTTTGTACCTCTAGTAGAATTCGGCTGTGAATTCATCCGGTCCTGGACTTTTTTTGATTGGTAGGCTATTAATTATTGCCTCAATTTCAAGACCTGTTATTGGTCTATTCAGAGATTCAACTTCTTCCTGGTTTAGTCTTGGGAGTGTGTATGTGTCCAGGAATTTATCCATTTCTTCTAGATTTTCTAGTTTATTTGCATAGAGGTGTTTATACTATTCTCTGATGGTAGTTTGTATTTCTGTGGGATCAGTGGTGATATCCCCTTTATCATTTTTTATTGCGTCTATTTGATTCTTCTCTCTTTTCTTCTTTATTAGTCTTGCTAGCGATCTATCAATTTTGTTGATCTTTTCAAAAAATCAGTTCCTGGATTCATTGATTTTTTGAAGAGTTTTTTGTGTCTCTATTTCCTTCAGTTCTGCTCTGATCTTAGTTATTTCTTGCCTTCTGCTAGATTTTGAATGTGTTTGCTCTTGCTTCTCTAGTTCTTTTAGTTATGATGTTAGGGTGCCAATTTTAGATCTTTCCTGCTTCCTCTTGTGGGCACTTAGTGCTATAAATTTCCCTCTACACACTGCTTTGAATGTGTCCCAGAGATTCTGGTATGTTGTGTCTTTGTTCTCATTGGTTTCAAAGAACATCTTTATTTCTGCCTTCATTTTGTTATGTACCCAGTAGTCATTCAGGAGCAGCTTGTTCAGTTTCCATGTAGTTGAGCAGTTCTGAGTGAGTTTCTTAATCCTGAGTTCTAGTTTGATTGCACTGTGGTCTGAGAGATAGTTTGTTATAATTTCTGTTCTTTTACATTTGCTGAGGAGAGCTTTACTTCCAACTATGTGGTCCATTTTGGAATAGGTGTGGTGTGGTGCTGAAAAGAAGTATATTCTGTTGATTTGGGGTGGAGAGTTCTGTAGATGTCTATTAGGTCTGCTTGGCGCAGAGCTGAGTTCAATTCCTGGATATCCTTGTTAACTTTCTGTCTTGTTGATCTGTCTAATGTTGACAGTGGGGTGTTAAAGTCTCCCATTATTATTGTGTGGGAATCTAACTCTCTTTGTAGGTCTCTAAGGACTTGCTTTATGAATCTGGGTGTTCCTATATTTGGTGCATATATATTTAGGATAGTTATCTCTTCTTGCTGAATTGATCCCTTTACCATTATGTAATGGCCTTCTTTGTCTCTTTTGATCTTTGTTGGTTTAAAGTCTGTTTTATCAGAGACTAGGATTGCAACCCATGCCTTTTTTTGTTTTCCACTTGCTTGGTAGATCTTCCTCCATCCCTTTATTTTGAGCCTATGTATGTCTCTGCATATGAGATGGGTTTCCTGAATACAGCACACTGATGGGTCTTGACTATGCAATTTTCCAGTCTGTGTCTTTTAATTGGAGCATTTAGCCCATTTACACTTAAGGTTAATATTGTTATGTGTGAATTTGATCCTGTCATTATGATGTTAGCTGGTTATTTTGCTCGTTAGTTGATGCAGTTTCTTCTTAGCCTCGATGGTCTTTACGATTTGGAATGTTTTTGTAGTGGCTAGTACTCGTTGTTCCTTTTCATGTTTAGTGCTTCCTTCAGGAGCTCTTGTAGGGCAGGCCTGGTGGTGACAAAATCTCCCACCATTTGCTTCTCTGTAAAGGATTTTATTTCTCCTTCACTTATGAAGCTTAGTTTGGCTGGGTATGAAATTCTGGGTTGAAAATTCTTTTCTTTAAGAATGTTGAATATTGGCCCCCACTCTCTTCTGGCTTGTAGAGTTTCTGCTGAGAGATCCACTGTTAGTCTGATGGGCTTCCCTTTGTGGGTAACCCGACCTTTCTCTCTGGGTGCCCTTAACATATTTTCCTTCATTTTGACTTTGGTGAATCTGACAATTATGTGTCTTGGAGTTGCACTTCTCAAGGAGTATCTCTGTGGCATTCTCTGTATTTCCTGAATTTGAATGTTGTCCTGCCTTGCTAGATTGGGGAAGTTCTCCTGGATAATATCCTGCAGAGTGTTTTCCAACTTGGTTCCATTCTCCCCGTCACTTTCAGGTACACCAATCAGACGTAGATTTGGTCTTTTCACATAGTCCCATTTTTCTTGGAGGCTTTGTTCATTTCTTTTTGTTCTTTTTTCTCTAAACTTCTCTTCTCACTTCATTTCATTCATTTGATCTTCCATCACTGATACCCTTTCTTCCAGTTGATCGAATCAGCTACTGAAGGTTGTGCATTCATCACGTAGTTCTCGTGCCATGGTTTTCAGCTCCATCAGGTCCTTTAAGGACTTCTCTGCATTGATTATTCTAGTTAGCCATTCGTCTAATCTTTTTTCAAGGTTTTTAACTTCTTTGCAATGAGTTCGAAATATCCTCCTTTAGCTCGGAGAAGTTTGTTATTACCGATTGTCTGAAGCCTTCTCTCAACTCATCAAAGTCATTCTCCATCCAGCTTTGTTCCTTTGCTGGCGAGGAGCTGCATTCCTTTGGAGGAGAAGAGGTGCTCTGATTTTTAGAATTTTCAGCTTTTCTGCTATGGTTTCTCCCCATCTTTGTGGTTTTATCTACCTTTGGTCTTTGATTATGGTGACGTATCAATGGGGTTTTGGTGTGGATGTCCTTTCTGTTTGTTAGTTTTCCTTCTAACAGTCAGGACCCTCAGCTGCAGGTCTTTTGGAGTTTGCTGGAGGTCCACTCCAGACCCTGTTTGCCTGATGTCACCAGCAGAGTCTGCAGAATGGTAAATGTTGCTGCCTGATCATTCCTCTGGAAGCTTCGTCTCAGAGGGACACCCGGCCGTATGTAGTGTCAGTCACCACCTACTGGGAGATGCCTCCCAGTTAGGCTACTTAGGGGTCAGGGACCCACTTGAGGAGGCAGTCTGTCCGTTCTCAGATCTCAAGCTCCGTGCTGGGAGAACCACTACTCTTCACAGCTGTCAGACAGGGACATTAAGTATGCCGAAGTTTCTGCTGCCTTTTTTTCTGCTATGCCCTGCCCCTAGAGGTAGAGTCTACAGAAGCAGGCAGGCCTCCTTGAGCTGCAGTGGGCTCCACCCAGTTCGAGCTTCCTGGGCTTTGTTTACCTACTCGAGCCTCAGCAATGGTGGATGCCCCTCCCTCAGCCTTGCTGGCACCTCACTGCCACCTCGCAGTTCAATCTCAGACTGCTGTGCCAGCAGTGAGCGAGGCTCTGTGGGCATGGGACTCTCTGTGCCAGGCACAGGATATAATCTCCTGCTGTGCCATTTGCTAAGACCATTGGAAAAGCGCAATATTAGGGTGGGTGTGTCCCGATTTTCCAGGTATTGTCTGTCATGGCTTCCCTTTGCTAGGAAAGGGAATTCCCAAACCCCTCACGCTTCCCGGGTGAGGTGATGCCCCACCCTGCTCCATGGACTGCACCCACTTTCTGACAAGCCCCTGTGAGATGAACCCAGTACCTCAGTTGGAAGTGCAGAAATCACCCATCTTCTGTGTCACTCACCCTGGGAGCTGCAGACTGGAGCTGTTCCTATTGGGCCATCTTCACTAAAAAGCTGTAGGTTGTTAAAGGAAGAGGCTTCCATTATGTATCTGAAAGCAAAATCTGACTTTCTGTGTGTGCTAAGTAAAGAAGAGCTGTGTTTCTAGGCAAAGACTCTGAAGAAAACAAACTACTGATATATTTGATTTGGGGAAGCATAAAATCTTGAAAATAGTGAAAAACACTTAAGAGGGAGTAGTTAAAGATTGATTGATCATAGGATTGATGGCCACAGAAGTGTTGTCACTGGAGTGAGGCTATTGCTCCTCGGCCAACTTTTTTTTTTTTTTTTGAGATGGAGTCTCACCCTGTCACTCAGGCTGGAGTGCAGTGGTGTGATCTCGGCTCACTGCAACCTCTGCCTCTTGAGCTCAACTTATTCTCCTGCCTCAGCCTCCCGAATAGCTGGGATTACAGGCATGAGCCACCATGCCTGGCTAATTGTGTTTTTGTATCTTTAGTAGAGACAGGGTTTCACCATGTTGGCCAGGCTGGTCTTGAAATCCTGACCTTGTGATCCACCCGTCTTGGCCTCCCAAAGTGCTGGAATTACAGGCGTGAGCCACCGCGCCTGGCCTCCTTGGCCAACTTTTACAGGTGTGTGCTCTGGTAAGAAGCTGACATTGATCTATGAGATGAGTGAAATCTGTTCTGTTGTTACTTTTTTACTATGACCAAATGTCATTCCATCTCTTCCTAAGGGAATAAGAATTTATTATTGTTAACAAGGAGAGAAATGTTAGAGCTGTATTTAATATATGTCATGTTTGAGATACCCATCAGCCATCCAAGTAAAGATGTTCAGTAGATAATAGGTTATGTCAATCTGGAATTTCAGGTACACATCAAGTCTGAGAGTTATCAGCCTATAAATGGTATTTACAACTACAGATTGGATGAAAACACCTTAGGGAGAGAATGTATCTAGCTAGAGCCCTGGATGGGGAGAGGTCTCTAAACTTGGCAGGATACAACAAAGTTGTATGAGAATAATGATCAGGAGGTCCATAAATAATCCTAAATATTTCATGATGTATTGCATTTAAATACAGAAAAACATACAAGAACTTTAAAGGGTAAAATTGACCCAACTTTACTTGAAAATTCTGAGTATTAAACTGCAAATAAGTCATAAATAAAGGAAACATATTTATAAAAATGAAATTTAATGATAGCATTCAGTACACACTCCATGCCTCGCATTATATAAGCACTTGGAGAATGAGATGAGTGGGAAGACTTCTCTCATGAAGTTTTGAACTCATCCTTCCATTCATTCTATCAAGAAATACTTAGCCAATTCTTTTGAGGTAACTGATACATGCTTAAGTAATGGGTATATGTCTGTGAACAAGACAGACATACTTATGAAATTCAATGGAAAAGATAGCATTAATTGATAGCATTGATAGATGGATAAAAAAGATAGAATATACCACTCAAGTGCAAAGTATAGGATGCTATGGGCACTTTTATATCAGGGAGAACTAACATAATCAAGGAGTCATAGAAAGTTTCTCGGAAGTAAATTTTTAGCTAAAAATTTAAAGAAGGAATGAGTAGAGAGTCACCAAGAGTGTAGAAAATAATGCCCAAGGCAAAACGAACAGCAAGTGTAAAAAGTTTGAGAAGAGAGCCTCAAGCAGTTGAGAAATAGAAAGAATAATCTGACCAGAGTAAGAGATGAGACTGAAGAATTAAGTATTCGGGCTGTGATAAGGTGGGGTCCTTGCAAGTCTCACTAAGGATTTTAGACTTTATCATAAGGTAACTGGGAATAACACAGTAAGAACTTGTTTACCAAAGCTCACTACTGTAAGTGATATAATATATACAACTAAAAATGTCTGTAGAATCACAGAGGAGGGAAAGACCAACTGGTCAGGTGGGCTTCCCAAGAAGCAGCATTTTAGTCAAACTTTGAAGAATCTGAGAGATTCTACCAGGCAGCAAAAGAGAAAGGGCATTACAGAAAGAGGGAATGACAAGGACAAAGGCACAACTAACTTTAAAAAAAAAAAAAAAAAAGAGCTGGGCATGCTGGGAACAGGAGAAACCATAAAGTATAGCATTGTAAAGTGACATGAGCACAGTGAGAAATAAGGCTAAGAGGCACATTCCTAACATTTGTGTACAAATGGTATAATGTGGCACAAGGAACATATGTTTAAATATTTAAAAGTTATAAATCATGTTAACAAACAAAATTTGTTCTCCTCTCTACGTATCTTCAAATTCAAAATATGGTGGATGACAAGATGTGGAGTACAGGTAAATATGATAAATTTACTTTTATACAGGCCTTTAATTTATACTTAACAGTCCAAGTATTATATCTTTATAGGAGTTTAACAAGTCACTCCAGTTCTAAATCAAAGTTCATGAACTGTATTAGTCAATTTTCAAACTGCTATAAAGTTACTACCTGAGACTGGGTAATTTATGAACAAAAGAGGGTTAATTGACTCACAGTTCTGCATGGGTGGGGAGGTCTTACAATCATTGCGAAAGGGGAAGTGTCACCTTCTTCACAAGGCAGCAGGAAAGAAAGAGTGAAAGAGGAAGTGCCACTTTTAAAACCATCAGATCTTATGAGAACTCACTCACTAGCACTAGCACAGCACAGGGGAAACTGCTCCCATGATCCAGTCACCTCCCATTAGGTCCCTCCCTCAACACATGAGGATTACAATTTGGATTACAATTCAAGATGAGACTTGGGTGGGGACACAGAGCCAAACCATATCATGAACCTTATGATTAAAGTTACATAAATCTTATCAGAAAACAATAATTAACAGTAAACTTCTGGGTTCTAGGACCAGTCTTTTTAATGATTCCAGTAATTACTGCATATCTGATATGAATAATTAGATATGAACACAAGACTGTATAAGACTGGAAAGTTTTCAGACTCTATTAAATAGGTGAAAATGGAAAACTGCCACTGAGTGCGGTTAGCTCCACTAGAATCTTACAGGGACTTACAATGGTATCTAAACAAATTCTTTACTATGCAAATTCATTTATTTAATGTTTCTACTCCCTTATCATGCTGTTTTCCATAGCACAAAATTAGGTGTCCAGCTTTTAGGCCTTTTTGATGTTTTTAGAATGTTTTTGAATTTTTTATTGATATATCATAGTTGTATATATTTTTGAGGTACATATTTTCATACATGTATACAATGTGTAATGACCAAATCAGAGTAATAGGGATATCCATTACCTCAAACATTTATCTTTTATTTGTGTTGAGAACACTACAATTCTTCTCTCCTAGCTTTTTGAATTATATAATAAATTAATGTTAAGTATAATTTCTCTATAGTACTATTAAATAAAATAATTCATTCCTTCTATCTAAACAGTATTTTTGTACCCATTAACCAATTTTGCCTTAATTCCAGTCATATCTTCTTAACCTTTCCCTGAGTCAAAGTTCATTTCTCTCTCTTCTCCGAACACCAACTCACTTATTTTAACACTTAAATTAACTATTTATATATATAGTTTATACGTAAACTGTATATAAATAGTTATACATAGTTTATAAATAGTTTACATATAAACTATATATAATTTATTTTAATGTTAAAGTGAGTGAGTTGGTGTTCAGAGAAGGGAGAGAATACACTATGTGTGTGTGTGTGTGTGTGTGTGTGTGTGTGTGTGTGTGTGTGTGTGTGTGTGTGTATGGAAACTAAATTCCAAAAAGGGAAAAACTGTTCCTAGAGGAGGCATGGGCATAAAGATAGGGTGTGTTTTAAGCAGAGGAACTCTGCTAAAGTAAGGCAAAGCCAGCAGAACTTTTAACAACCATGCACACTGGTATGACAGATTGGAATCTATAGGAGCCCCAAATGCAGAGGTAATCCTGCCTACCTTTCAATTATCTCCATGAGACTTTTGTTGAGTAAGTAGCAGCACAACAGGCTGGTGGCTGGGCTGGAAAGCAAAAGTCTTAAAGCCCTTAGGTCTCAAAATCCTTTTAGAGGGGGAGCCCTGTAATACACACAGAACAGGTAACATTCTCTAGATATTTGAAACTAGAGGTGAACTGAAACTACCTAGAGCTGCAACTCAGCACTGACTCAGCTTGACTCCTCACAAAGAAAGGGCACACTTTTCCTGGGAGGAAATAATACTTATTTGAATCTCTATAATTATTTTAAAAACAATGAGGTTTAAGCATATAAATTTTAAAATGTCAGTATCAGTGCATGTAATTTTTTAAATGGGAGACATGTGAAGAACTGGGAAAATGTGAACCATAATTAAGAAAAAAATTATAAATATGTTAAAGAAATTGATGAAAAAATGAAGATTTTCAACAGAGAAATTGAATCTCTAAAAAAAAAATTCTCAAGGCACAGCCCACTTTTTATAAATAAGGTGAGGGAATAGGAGAGTTCAAAGTGTGGCCTTAGGCTACATCCTCTCTAGGTACCTCACGATTTGACAGCTTCTGTAGACAACCCCTTGGCAAGGACATCAGCATGTAGAAGTGTATGCCAGTCACAGTGTTTATGATAAAACTCACCTCCAGTGACTCTGAGGACAAAGTAGATGAAGGAGAGGAAGGATTTAGCTTCTATCATCTCAGACATGCGCCTGCAAGACATACCTAGAATCTTTCAGGGAAAACTACTTGAGACTTGAAGAAAAACTAGAGGTCAAGCTTGGAAAAAATGCAATTTAAATTTGAGTCATTATCATTAGTGTAATCACATTTATATATATGGTATCCTGCTCTTTTTCCACTTAGAATTAATAGGCTTATGATTAGGAAACATCATTTTAAACATACTACACATAAAACCCAATAAAGAAATCAGCTTTGGGAATCTTTTGAACTTACCTTCTGGCATACATCAGGCAGGAAATTGGAAAAGCAAATATCATAGGAAACAGATTGAAAAATAAGCAGAATAAGGTATCACGTGACAGTAGAAAACTTCTTGATATATGCCTCCTGATGACAAAATAAGTACATTTCCCACCATGAATTTCTCAACCTTCTCGATATGTACCGACATGCTCTGCCTTCTTACCTATTTCAAATGTTCCAAATTCTTTCCCATAGTGTCCTCTCTTTAGCCCTACGTCATCAAATGTTGTTTCTCCAGTGGATCATTCCCATCATTATAGTTGCTACAATAGTTCCTATCTTAAACTACCTCTCTCAGCTACTGACCATTTCTGTTTCTCTTCGCAGCAAAATCCCTTGAAAAGATTTGTCTATATTCACCATCCTGCTTTATCACTGTCCATTCTCTTCTAGACCTGTTCCTATAAGGTTTCTTCTTGTCAAGTTTGCTAATGATCTATATCTTGGCAATGCCAATAATACGTTTTTATTTAATTTCTCAAAAAGTTGACTACTCCATCCCTTCTCCTCCTAGCCTGTCTCATCTCAGTGAACAATAGTATCATACATTCAAGGATAAGGTAAAAAATCTAAGAGTTATCCTTGAGTCATCTCTTTTCCTCATACATCACACCAAATCAAGTCCTAATAGCACTACCTCCAAAATAAATTCAAAATCAATTCCTTACCTTTTCCATTGTATAACTGCAGCCCAAGCCTCCATGACTTCTCATATGAACTATTAAAAGAGCTTCCTAACTGATTTTCCTGACTCAGCTCTTGGCCCTCTACCACCTTTTCTTCACAAGACTATTATCCTGAAGCACAAATCAGGTTATAGCATTCTCCCTCTTAAGACCCTTTTAATGTCTTCCCATTATACTTAAAGTAAAATTCAGCTCCTTTCCATGACTTTCAAAGCGCTATGTGATCTAGCCTCTGCTTATATTTCCGTCTTCACTTCCCTCCTGCATTGCATTGCAGCCACATTGGCCATCACTATTTCACTCAAATATGAAAGCTCATTTTTCTCTTAGGGACCTTATCCTTGCTGCTTTTCTGCCTAGAATATCCTTTCCCTAGATATTCACACTGGTAACTCCTTCTCATCCTTCAAGCCTCAAGCTAAATGTCACCTATTGATTGAGGCTTTCTATGTTTATTATTCCCACTAGAATATAAGCACCTTGAGGTCAGGAAACTATCCAACTTGCAAATTACTTTATTTTCAATGCCTAGAATAGTGACTCACAGGCACTAGATAAATACTTGTTCATAAACTTAACTCCTTTAGAATATTTTGAGCATTCATTATAATTATAAAGGCCATCAACATATGTATATTAAATATTTATGTACCAAATCCTGTGCTTTGTGCTAAGGGTAAAAAGACAAATAAAATTCTATCTAGAGAATGACATCAGCAAGATAGTGGGATGGGAGGTGCCAACCCTCAACTCCCCAGAGAAATGCCAATTTTAAAACCACCCATGGATAAGAATACCTTTCAGGAGCTCAGGAGTCTAGCTGAGATGTTCTAGAATCATGGTGGAGCAAAAAAAATTCAATAATGTGTGCATTAAAGTAGGTAAGAACAGTTACATTTTATGCACATCACCCCCTACACAAGATGGCACAGCTCAGTGCCAAGGAAGAACCCCTTGGTTGATGATTTCTCCCACAGGTGGAAGTGAGGGAAAAGTGAGCACTCAGCTCTCCCAGAATTGAAGGTTGAATCCAAAAAACCCCGTTCTATCTTGTCCCATCCAGAACACTGAGAGGATTAGCACAACTGAATTGTCTGGCAGCAAGAAGCAGTGAAAAGGAGCAGAAGCTCAAAGCAGAGGGCACACAGATCTCAATAATTGGCCACAGATGTTACTGGCTGGCCTGTAGATATCACCAATGAACCCTGTGGGGATGTGTCACATGTGAACCCCCAAATTAACTGATATGTCAAGCACTCCATGCACATACTCCCACCACCACCACCATCATCAGCACCTTGCACTCCTCCACAGATGGCACCCCAGGTTCCCCTGAAGACAGTACATGTGCTCCCCTGAAGATGGCAAACATGAGCCTGCAAAGACAGTGCACAGATATCAACAGATAGCTCAACTCTGCTAAACGGGGAGAAGGTGCACAACTTTGATCACTCCAGATCACAGCCCTAGTGAGAGGAGGTGCCAGCTGGGCTTCCTGGGTCAAGTAGGGGCTCAGAAAGCTGTGAAACTCACTCATTCCTGCATCAGGACTTACTTCGGTCCTGGATGAATAATATTGAAGATATATGCTTAAAATATTCCTAACACCCAGATTTGTGCGTGTGTTTTCTTCCCCAAGAAAGCTATAAACAATGAAAATTTTGCTGTAAGCATCCCTGTGTCCTCTCTCCCTCTCTTCCTTCCCCTTCCCCCAAAACTAAAAAGAATGTTGACTGCCCATTTTTCTGTGACCAGCAGACTTTATCTATGCTCCCAATTCCAATTCCTTGTAAACATACTTTGTAAAATCCTATAAAATCCTGTCTCCTTTGCCATGCCACTGCAAGGTCATAAAGTAGATAAAACCTAAGCTGCAATTCCGGTTTTCCTCAAAATCTAAGACATGTCACAAAATAATTTACTGCCTTTGTTTCTCACTCTGGTAACATCTTCCCTCCGCATGTATTTCCCACCTTAAAGAGTTGAAAAGGCAACTGCATAATCTAACTCTGGCTACCTGTTTGGGACCCCTTCCACACTGTGGAAGCTTTGTATTTTCACTCTGCCCAATAAAGCCTATGTCTTTTTCTCTCTTTCGGTCCATGTCTCTATCACTCGCTGCGGGCAGCTGCCACACCAATTCTTTGGCATGGCTAAGGCAAGAACCTTTGGCATTACACTAGGAGAAGTAAATGGAAAGTTCTCACTACCTGGCCTGGTTTTATGGGATCAAGGGAAGGCATACAATCCTGACACTATCCCCCAAGAGGGAATAAGAACAGTAAGGGGATACATCAACTGAAATGATCTGAGACACCTCCAGATCTCTAGCCAGGCTGAATGGTGAAGATTGTTCTCTCGCAATGCCAGTAATCGAAGACTTGAGAAGTTTACTCCTTCTTCAAATGAGAAGGCAACAAGGCAAGGCTTCAAAGAACATAAAAAATCAAGGAAATATACCACCAAAATAATAATAATAAAGCTCCAGTGGCTGACCCCAAAGAAATAGAGATATATGAATTGCCTAAAAAGAATTCAAAATAATTATCTTTAAAAAGCTTAGTAAGCTACAAGAGGAAAAACTAATAGATCATGGTGGACAGGAGGCAGGACTAGATTGCAGCTCCCACACAGACAGAACAGTGTGTGGAGACTTGCATTGTGAACTTTTGCTCCAAAACTACTGCAGGAATAAACCAGAAAAGTTGAGAGAACCCACAGACCCTCTGAAGGAAGCAGACTGCTCCTGTAGGAGCAAGGAGACACCCCAAATACAGTGAGTGCCCAAGCTGTGGAAGTGGGAAAGGAGGATTGTCCATCTGCGAACACACACCCTCACTAGGGAACCTGAAGGTCTGGATCACAGGAGAAGATTCTTGCCTTACCTGGAGCTGAGTTAATTTAGAGAGTCAAGCTAAATACAGAGGTAGAGGAAGCAGCAGGAGAAGCCCTTTAGGCTCTCTAGGTCCCCTAGAGAGCCATTTCTGTCTTGTCCACAGAGGTCCTTGGAGAGGGCTGCCAGAGGTACTGGGAAAAGACCACAAAGAGAAGGAAATCTCCTGCTGAACTTTGTAACAATTCCAACCAAACACAAAGTTTTCTGGCCAGAACTCTGGGGAGGGCATGAATCCAGTATGCAGACTCCTCAGGTGGGAAGGCATGAAAGCCCTGCTTGCTTTCACACGTGGGAGGCTAGTAACCTGGGGCAAGTTCTCAGCCCTGCTCTTCCACTGTCTGGAAACAGAGTTGGTGTCTTTCGGGGGCTGGGGGCATGATGGAAGTGAGACCAGCCTTCTGGGTTGCTTGGGAGCTGGGTGAAGCCTGTGACTGCTGGCTTTCCCCTACTTCTCTGACAACCTGAATGACACAGCAGAGGCAGGCATAATCCTCCTAGGAACATCATTCCATTGACCTGGGAACCACAATTCCATCCCCCACAGCAGCCACAGCAATAGCCACCCAAGGAGAGTCTGAGCTCAGACACACCTAGCTCTGCCCCCACCTGATGGTCCTTCCTACTCACCCTGGTAGTTGAAGACTTCAGCATTCTATGAAGCCAGTATCTTCCTAGTACCAAAACCAAGAAAGAACATAACCAAAAGAGGAAACTACAGATCAATATCCCTGATGAACATAGATGCAAAAATCCTTAACAAAATACTAGCTAACTGAATCCAACAACATATCAAAAAGATAATCCACCATGATCAAGTGGGTTTCATACCAGGGATGCAGGGATGGTTTAATATATGCAAGTCAATCAATGTGATACACCACATAAACAGAATTAAAAACAAAAATCACATGATTACTCAATAGACACAGAAAAAGCATTTGACAAAATCCAGCATTCCTTTATCATTAAAACTCTCAGCAAAATCAGCATACAAGGGGCATACCTCAATGCAATAAAAGCCATCTAAGACAAACCCACAGCCAACATAGTACTGAATGGGGAAAAGTTGAAATCATTCCCTCTGAGAACTGGAACAAGACAAGGACGCCCACTCTCACCATTTCTATTCATGTCGTAGCCACAGCAATCAGACAAGAGAAAGAAATAAAGGGCATCCAAATCAGTAAAGAGGAAGTCAAACAGTTGCTGTTTGCTGATGATATGATTGTAGACCTAGAAAACCCTGAAGATTCCTCCAAAAAGCTCCTAGAACTGATAAAAGAATTCAGCAAACTTTCAGGAAACAAAGTTAGTGTACACAAATCAGTAGCTCTCCTATATACCAACAGTGACCAACCTGAGAATCAAATCAATAACTAAACTCCTTTTACAATAGCTTCAAAAATAAAATAAAATACTTAGAAATATACCTAACCAAAGAGGTGAAAGACCTCTATAAGAAAACTACAAAACACTGCTGAAAGAAATCATAAACAACACAAACAAATGGAAACACATCTTATGCTCATGGATGGGTAGAATCAATATTGTGAAAATAACTATACTGCCAAAAGCAATCTACAAATTCAATGCAATTTCCATCAAAATACCACCATCATTTTTCACAGGACTAGAAAAAACAATTCTGAAATCCACATGTAACAAAAAAGAGTCCACATAGCCAAAGCAAGACTAAGCAAAAAGGACAAATCTGAAGGCATCACATTACCCAATTTCAAGCTATACTGTAAGACTATAGTCACCAAAACAGCATGGTACTGGTATAAAAATAGGCACAAAGACCAATGGAACAGAATAAAGAACCCAGAAATAAACCCAAATACTTACAGCCAACTGATCTTCAACAAAGCAAACAAAAACATAAAGTGGGGAAAGGATACCCTTTTCAACAAATGGTGCTGGGATAACTGGCAAGCCAAATGTAGGAGAATGATATTGCATCCTCACCCCTCACCTTATATAAATATCAACTCAAGATGGATCAAGGACTTAAATCTAAGACCTGAAACTATAAAAATTCTAGAAGATAACATGGGAAAAACCCTTCTAGACATTGGCTTAGGCAAGGATTTCATGACAAACAACCCCAAACCACATGCAGTAAAAACAAAGATAAATAGCTGGGACTTAATAAAACTAAAGAACTTTTGCACGGCAAAAGGAACAGTCAGCAGAGTAAACAGACAACCCATAGAGTGGGAGAAAATCTTCACAATCTATACATCTGACAAAGGACTACTATCCAGAATCTACAATAAACTCAAACAAATTAGCAAGAAAAAACAATCCCATCAAAAAGTGTGCTAAGGACATGAACAAACAATTCTCAAAAGAAGATATATAAATGGCCAACAAACATGAAAAACTGCTCAACATCACTAATGATCAGGGAGATGCAAATGAAAACCAAAGTATGATACCACCTTACTGCCACAAGAATGGCCATAATCAAAAATCAAAAAATAATAGATATGGGCACGGATGCAATGAAAAGGAAAACTGGCTAGCCAGTTTTCCCAGCACCATTTATTAAATAGGGAATCCTTTCCCCATTGCTTGTTTTTCTCAGGTTTGTCAAAGATCAGATAGTTGTAGATACGTGGCATTATTTCTGAGGGCTCTGTTCTGTTCCATTGATCTATATCTCCGTTTTGGTACCAGTACCATGCTGTTTTGGTTACTGTAGCCTTGTAGTATAGTTTGAAGTCAGGTAGTGTGATGCCTCCAGCTTTGTTCTTTTGGCTTAGGATTGACTTGGCGATTCGGGCTCTTTTTTGGTTCCATATGAACTTTAAAGTAGTTTTTTTCCAATTCTGTGAAGAAAGTCCTTGGTAGCTTGATGGGGATGGCATTGAATCTATAAATTACCTTGGGCAGTATGGCCATTTTCACGATATTGATTCTTCCTATCCATGAGCATGGAATGTTCTTCCATTTGTTTGTATCCTCTTTTATTTCATTGAGCAGTGGTTTGTAGTTCTCCTTGAAGAGGTCCTTCACATCCCTTGTAAGTTGGATTCCTAGGTATTTTATTCTCTTTGAAGCAATTGTGAATGGGAGTTCATTCATGATTTGGCTCTCTGTTTCTCTGTTATTGGTGTATAGGAATGCTTGTGATTTTTGTACATTGATTTTGTATCCTGAGACTTTGCTGAAGTTGCTTATCAGCTTAAGGAGATTTTGGGCTGAGAGAATGGGGTTTTCTAGGTATACAATCATGTCACCTGCAAACAGGGACAATTTGACTTCCTCTTTTCCTAATTGAAAACCCTTTATTTCCTTCTCCTGCCTAATTGCCCTGGCCAGAACTTCCAAAACTATGTTGAATAGGAGTGGTGAGAGAGGGCATCCCTGTCTTGTGCCAGTTTTCAAAGGGAATGCTTCCAGTTTTTGCCCATTCAGTATGATATTGGCTGTGGCTTTGCCATAGATAGCTCTTATTATTTTGAGATATGTCCCATCAATATCTAATTTATTGAGGGTTTTTAGCATGAAGGGTTGTTGAATTTTGTCAAAGGCCTTTTCTGCATCTATTGAGATAATCATGTGGTTTTTGTCTTTGGTTCTGTTTATATACTGGATTACATTTATTGATTTGCGTATATTGAACCAGCCTTACATCCCAGGGATGAAGCCCACTTGATCATGGTGGATAAGCTTTTTGATGTGCTGCTGGATTCGGTTTGCCAGTATTTTATTGAGGATTTTTGCATCAATGTTCATCAAAGATATTGGTCTAAAATTCTCTTTTTTGGTTGTGTCTCTGCCCGGCTTTGGTATCAGGATGATGTTGGCCTCATAAAACGAGTTAGGGAGGATTGTCTCTTTTTCTATTGATTGTAATACTTTCAGAGGGAATGGTACCAGTTCCTCCTTGTACCTCTGGTAGAATTCAGCTGTGAATCCATCTGGTCCTGGACTCTTTTTGGTTGGTAAGCTCTTGATTATTGCCACAATATCAGAGCCTGTTATTGGTCTATTCAGAGATTCAACTTCTTCCTGGTTTAGTCTTGGGAGAGTGTATGTGTTGAGGAATTTATCCATTTCTTCTAGATTTTCTAGTTTATTTGCATAGAGTTGTTTGTAGTATTCTCTGATGGTAGTTTGTATTTCTGTGGGATTGGTGGTGACATCCCCTTTATCATTTTTTATTGCATCTATTTGATTCTTCTCTCTTTTTTTCTTTCTTAGTCTTGCTAGCGGTCTATCAATTTTGTTGATCCTTTCAAAAAACCAGCTCCTGGATTCACTAAATTTTTTGAAGGGATTTTTGTGTCTCTATTTCCTTCAGTTCTGCTCTGATGTTAGTTATTTCTTGCCTTCTGCTAGCTTTTGAATGTGTTTGCTCTTGCTTTTCTAGTTCTTTTCATTGTGATGTTAGGGTGTCAATTTTGGGTCTTTCCTGCTTTCTCTTGTGGGCATTTAGTGCTATAAATTTCCCTCTACACACTGCTTTGAATGTGTCCCAGAGATTCTGGTATGTTGTGTCTTTGTTCTCGTTGGTTTCAAAGAACATCTTTATTTCTGCCTTCATTTCATTATGTACCCAGGAGTCATTCAGGAGCAGGTTGTTCAGTTTCCATGTAGTTGAGCAGTTTTGAGTGAGTTTCTTAATCCTGAGTTCTAGTTTGATTGCACTGTGGTCTGAGAGATAGTTTGTTATAATTTCTGTTCTTTTACATTTGCTGAGGAGAGCTTTACTTCCAACTATGTGGTCCATTTTGGAATAGGTGTGGTGTGGTGCTGAAAAAAAATGTGTATTCTGTTGATTTGGGGTTGAGAGTTCTTTAGATGTCTATTAGGTCTGCTTGGTGCAGAGCTGAGTTCAATTCCTGGGTATCCTTGTTAACTTCTCTCTCATTGATCTGTCTAATGTTGACAGTGGGGTGTTAAAGTCTCCCATTATTATTGTGTGGGAGTCTAAGTCTCTTTGTAGGTCACTCAGGACTTGCTTTATGAATCTGGGTGCTCCTGTATTGGGTGCATATATATTTAGGATAGTTAGCTCTTCTTGTTGAATTGATCCCTTTACCATTATGTAATGGCCTTCTTTGTCTCTTTTGATCTTTGTTGGTTTAAAGTCTGTTTTATCAGAGACTACGATTGCAACCCCTGCCTTTTTTTATTTTCCATTTGCTTGGTAGATCTTCCTCCATCCTTTTATTTTGAGCCTATGTGTGTCTCTGCACATGAGATGGGTTTCCTGAATACAGCACACTGATGGGTCTTGACTCTTTATCCAATTTGCCAGTCTGTGTCTTTTAATTGGAGCATTTAGCCCATTTACACTTAAAGCTAATATTGTTGTGTGTGAATTTGATCCTGTCATTATGATGTTAGCTGGTTATTTTGCTTGTTAGTTGATGCAGTTTCTTCCTCGTCTCGATGGTCTTTACATTTTGGCATGATTTTGCAGTGGCTGGTACCGGTTGTTCCTTCTCATGTTTAGTGCTTCCTTCAGGAGCTCTTTTAGGGCAGGTCTGGTGGTGACAAAATCTCTCAGGATTTGCTTGTCTGTAAAGGATTTTATTTCTCCTTCACTTATGAAGCTTAGTTTGGCTGGATATGAAATTCTGGGTTGAAAATTCTTTTCTTTAAGAATGTTGAATATTGGCTCCCACTCTCTTCTGGCTTGTAGAGTTTCTGCTGAGAGATCCGCTGTTAGTCTGATGGGCTTCCCTTTGTGGGTAACCCGATCTTTCTCTCTGGCTGCCCTTAACATTTTTTCCTTCATTTCAACTTTGGTGAATCTGACAATTATGTGTCTTGGAGTTGCTCTTCTCAGGGAGTATATTTGTGGCATTCTCTGTATTTCCTGAATCTGAATGTCGGCCTGCCTTGCTAGATTGGGGAAGTTCTCCTGGATAATATCCTGCAGAGTGTTTTCCAACTTGGTTCCATTCTCCCCGTCACTTTCAGATACACCAATCAGACGTAGATTTGGTCTTTTCACATAGTCCCATATTTCTTGGAGGCTTTGTTTGTTTCTTTTTATTCTTTTTTCTCTAAACTTCCCTTCTCACTTCATTTCATTCATTTCATCTTCCATCACTGATACCCTTTCTTCCAGTTGATTGCATCAGCTCCTGAGGCTTCTGCATTCTGCACATAGTTCTCGAGCCTTGGCTTTCAGCTCCATCAGCTCCTTTAAGCATTTCTCTGTATTGGTTGTTCTAGTTATACATTCGTCTAAATTTTTTTCAAAGTTTTTAACTTCTTTGCCTTTGGTTTGAATTTCCTCCTGTAGCTCAGAGTAGTTTGATCGTCTGAAGCCTTCTTCTCTCAACTTGTCAAAGTCATTCTCCATCCAGCTTTGTTCCATTGCTGGTGAGGAACTGTGTTCCTTTGGAGGAGGAGAGGCGCTCTGCTTTTTAGAGTTTCCAGTTTTTCTGCTCTGTTTTTTCCCCATCTTTGTGGTTTTGTCTACTTTTGGTCTTTGATGATGTTGATGTACAGATGGGTTTTTGGTGTGGATGTCCTTTCTGTTTGTTAGTTTTCCTTCTAACAGACAGGACCCTCAGTTGCAGGTCTGTTGGAGTTTTCTAGAGGTCCACTCCAGACCCTGTTTGCCTGGTTATCAGCAGCAGTGGCTGCAGAACAGCGGATTTTCGTGAACCACGAATGCTGCTGTCTGATCGTTCCTCTGGAAGTTTTATCTCAGAGGAGTACCCGGCAGTGTGAGGTGTCAGGCTGCCCCTACTGGGGGGTGCCTCCCAGTTAGGCTGCTTGGGGGTCAGGCCTCAGGGACCCACTTGAGGAGGCAGTCTGCCTGTTCTCAGATCTCCAGCTGCGTGCTGGGAGAATCACTGCTCTCTTCAAAGCTGTCAGACAGGGACATTTAAGTCTGCAGAGGTTACTGCTGTCTTTTTGTTTGTCTGTGCCCTGCCCCCAGAGGTGGAGCCTACAGAGGCAGGCAGGCCTCCTTGAGCTATGGTGGGCTCCACCCAGTTCAAGCTTCCCAGCTGCTTTGTTTACCTAAGCAAACCTGGGCACTGGTGGGCGCCCCTCCCCAAGCCTCGCTGCCGCCTTGCAGTTTGATCTCAGACTGCTGTGCTAGCAATCAGCAAGACTCCGTGGGCATAGGACACTCCGAGCCAGGTGCAGGATATAATCTCCTGGTGTGCCGTTTTTCAAGCCAGTCGGAAGAGCGCAGTATTAGGGTGGGAGTGACCCAATTTTCCTGGTGCCGTCTGTCACCCCTTTCTTTGACTAGGAAAGGGAACTCCCTGACCTCTTTTGCTTCCCGAGTGAGCCAATGCCTCGCCCTGCTTTGGCTCGTGCATGGTGCGCTGCACTCACTGTCCTGTGCCCACTGTCTGGCAGTCCCTAGTAAGATGAACCCAATACCTCAGATGGAAATGCAGAAATCACCCGTCTTCTGCGTCACTCACACTGGGAGCTGTAGACCAGAGCTGTTCCTATTTGGCCATCTTGGCTGCCCACCCCCGCTTTTTCTATTGATTGGAATAGTTTCAGAAGGAATGGTACCAGCTCCTCCTTGTACCTCTGGTAGAATTTGACTGTGAATTCATCTGGTCCTGGACTTTTTTTGGTTGGTAGGCTATTAATTATTGCCTCACTTTCAGAGCCTGTTATTGGTCTATTCAGAGATTCAACTCCTTCCTGGTTTAGTCTTGGGAGGGTGTATGTGTCCAGGAATTTATCCATTTCTTCTAGATTTTCTAGTTTATTTGCGTAGAGTTGTTTGTAGTATTCTCTAATGGTAGTTTGTATTTCTGTGGGATTGGTGGTGATATCCCCTTTATCATTTTTTATTGCGTCTATTTGATTCTTCTCTCCTTTCTTCTTTATTAGTCTTGCTAGTGGTCTATCAATTTTGTTGATCTTTTCAAAAAACCAGCTCCTGGATTCATTGATTTTTTGAAGGTTTTTTTGTGTCTCTATCTCCTTCAGTTCTGCTCTGATCTTAGTTATTTCTTGCCTTCTGCTAGCTTTTGAATGTGTTTGCTCTTGCTTTTCTAGTTCTTTTAGTTGTGATGCTAGGGTGTCAATTTTAGATATTTCCTGCTTTCTCTTGTGGGCATTTAGTGCTATAAATTTCCCTCTACACACTGCTTTAAATGTATCCCAGAGACTCTGGTATGTTGTGTCTTTGTTCTCATTGGTTTCAAAGAACATCTTTATTTCTGCCTTCATTTTGTTATGTACCCAGTAGTCATTCAGGAGCAGGTTGTTCAGTTTCCATGTAGTTGAGTGGTTTTGAGTGAGTTTCTTAATCCTGAGTTCTAGATTGATTGTGTTGTGGTCTGAGAGATAGTTTTGTTATAATTTCTGTTCTTTTACATTTGCCGAGGAGTGCTTTATTTCCAACTATGTGGTCAATTTTGGAATAAGTGTGGTGTGGTGCTGAGAAGAATGTATATTCTGTTGATTTGGGGTGGAGGGTTCTGCAGATGTCTATTTGGTCCACCTGGTGTAGAGCTGAGTTCAATTCCTGGATTTCTTTGTTAACTTTCTGCCTCATTGATCTATCTAATGTTGACAGTGTGGTGTTAAATTCTCCCATTAGTATTGTGTAGGAGTCTAAGTCTCTTTGTAGGTCTCTAAGGACTTGCTTTATGAATCTGGGTGCTCCTGTATTGGGTGCATATATATTTAGGATAGTTAGCTCTTCTTGTTGAATTGATCCCTTTGCCATTATGTAATGGCCTTCTTTGTCTCTTTTGATCTTTGTTGGTTTAAAGTCTGTTTTATCAGAGACTACGATTGCAACCCCTGCCTTTTTTTGTTTTCCATTTGCTTAGTAGATCTTCCTCCATCCCTTTATTTTGAGCCTATGTGTGTCTCTGCATGTGAGATGGGTGTCCTGAATACAGCACACTGATGGTTCTTGACTCTTTATCCAATTTTCCAGTCTGTGTCTTTTAATTGGAGCATTTAGCCCATTTACACTTAAGGTTAATATTGTTATGTGTGAATTTGATCCTGTCATTATGATGTTAGCTGGTTATTTTGCTTGTTAGTTGATGCAGTTTCTTCTTAGCCTTGATGGCCTTTACAATTTGGCATGTTTTTGCAGTGGCTAGTACTCGTTGTTCCTTTTCATGTTTAGTGCTTCCTTCAGGAGCTCTTATAGGGTAGGCCCGGTGGTGACAAAATCTCTCACCATTTGCTTGTCTGTAAAGGATTTTATTTCTCCTTCACTTATGAAGCTCAATTTGGCTGGATATGAAATTCTGGGTTGAAAATTCTTTTCTTTAAGAATGTTGAATATTGGCCCCCACTCTCTTCTGGCTTGTAGAGTTTCTGCTGAGAGATCTGCTGTTAGTCTGATAGGCTTCCCTTTGTGGGTAACCCGACCTTTCTGCCTGTCATTAACATTGTTTCCCTCATTTCAACTTTGGTGGATATGACAATTATGTGTCTTGGGGTTGCTCTTCTCGAGGAGTATCTTTGTGGTGTTCTCTGTATTTCCTCAATTTAAATGTTGGCCTGCCTTGCTAGATTGGGGAAGTTCTCCTGGATAATATCCTGCAGAGTGTTTTCCAACTTGGTTCCATTCTCCCCGTCACTTTCAGGTACACCAGTCAGACGTAGATTTGGTCTTTTCACATAGTCCCATATTTCTTGGAGGCTTTGTTCATTTCTTTTTATTCTTTTTTCTCTAAACTTCTCTTCTCGCCTCATTTCATTCATTTGATCTTCCATCACTGATACCCTTTCTTCCAGTTGATCAAATCGGCTACTGAAGCTTGTGCATTCATCACATAGTTCTCGTGCCATGGTTTTCAGCTCCCTGAGGTCCTTTAAGGACTTCTCTGCATTGGTTATTCTAGTTAGCCATTCGTGTAATCTTTTTTCAAGGTTTTTAACTTCTTTGCCATGGGTTCAAACTTCCTCCTTTAGCTCGAAGAAGTTTGATCATCTGAAGCCTTCTTCTCTCAACTCATCAAAGTCATTCTCCATCCAGCTTTGTTCCATTGCTAGTGAGGAGCTGAGTTCCTTTGGAGGAGAAGAGGCACTCGATTTTTAGAATTTTCAGTTTTTCTGCTCTGTTTTTTCCCCATCTTTGTTGTTTTATCTACCTTTGGTCTTTGATGATGGTGACATACAGATGGGGTTTTGGTGTGGATGTCCTTTCTGTTTGTTAGTTTTCCTTCTAACAGGACCCTCAGCTGCAGGTCTGTTGGAGTTTCCTGGAGGTCCACTCCAGACCCTGTTTGCCTGGGTATCAGCAGCAGAGGCTGCAGAACAGCGAATATTCGTGAACAGCAAACGTTGCTGCCTGATCGTTTCTCTGGAAGTTTCGTCTCAGAGGGGTACCCAGCCATGTGAGGTGTCAGTCTGCCCCTACTGGGGGGTGCCTCCCAGTTAGGCTACTCGGGGTCAGGGACCCACTTGAAGAGGCAGTCTGCCCGTTCTCAGATCTCAAGCTCCGTGCTGGGAGTACCACTACTGTCTTCCAAGCTGTCAGAGGTTTCTGCTGCCTTTTGTTCAGCTATGCCCTGCCCCCAGAGGTGGAGTCTACAGAGGCAGGCAGGCCTCCTTGAGCTGCAGTGGGCTCCACCCAGTTCGAGCTTCCTGGCTGCTTTGTTTACCTACTCAAGCCTCAGCAATGGCAGGTGCCCCTCCCCCAGCCTCGCTGCTGCCTTGCAGTTTGATCTCAGACTGCTGTGCTAGCAATGAGTGAGGTTCCATGGGTGTAGGACCCTCTGAGCCAGGCACGGGATATAATCTTCTGGTGTGCCATTTGCTGAGGCCATTGGAAAAGCTCAGTATTAGGGTGGGAGTGACCCAATTTTCCAGGTGCCATCTGTCACCCCTTTCCTTGGCTAGGAAAGGGAATTCCCTGACCCCTTGCTCTTCCCAGGTGAGGCGATGCCTTGCCCTGCTTCAGCTCACACTCAGTGCACTGCACCCACTATCCTTCACCCATTGTCCAACAATCCCTAGTGAGATGAACCCAGTACCTCAGTTGGAAATGCAGAAATCATCCATCTTCTGCGTCGCTCACACTGGGAGCTGTAGACTGGAGCTGTTCCTATTCGGCCATCTTGGAACCACCCCCCCAATCCAATGAATATTAATGCCTCAGCTGTCTTAGAAAGTATGATAAATGTGTTCAGCATAATCCCCATTGCTACTTAGCAACTCCAAGATATTTTAGCAATTTACTATACAAACTTTATGCAAATATTTTGGTCTTGATTCAAATTCCTAAGTTAAGCAGATACATAAATACCTTTGGTACATTTCCAAAAGGTTTGTTTAACATGCAAAAATGGTGTTCAGTCTGAAGGTGATTCTCTTCCTATCCTTGCTTCTCTCGCCTGTATTGAAAAGCTCACTGGTAACTTTGAATAACAATGGATATGATGGCATTGTCATTGCAATTAATCCCAGTGTACCAGAAGATGAAAAACTCATTCAAAACATAAAGGTAAGGGAAAATTTTATTATCCACATATTTTTATTTCAATATGTATTTTCAACTCATGGTGCCTAGGTATACACATTCATTGAGTGATAACTTTCCAAAATTTCTTCAACAGTATTTACCATTTATATAGCATTTATCTAAACTGTCAGATTAATACCTGCTGAGTTTAAATGTGTTTTATTATATGTTAATACTATTGGCCATTCCCCAGTGAATTATTAAAAGGCTGAACTAATATTTTTTCAACTAGTTAAGCTAACAGAAAGACATTACAGCAAGTAGAAAATTATTCTCAAATTTTATCTTCATAAAGTTACTTTTATAAAGTTTAGCTAACTAGTCTACACTTAAGCTCTAGCGTTTTATCCTATACATTTTTTCAGTTGTTCATACTTGTTCAAACTCTGGAAAAGTAAAAAAATCATATGTATCTTATCTTAAAGAAAAAATTACACATTTTAAATTGATGTACCTTCTTTATTTGCATTATTCAGTATAATAAAAAACACTTTATATATCACTTTAATATATACTATCTTCTTTGATCCTCCCAATATCCCCATGAGGAATTCAAAAACAAGAATTATTACCCTTGTATAAATGAAGTGATTTGTCAAATCTCACAATAAGTGCCAAAACTGGGATCTGAAGCCAATGAGACCTATGTATTTCTATTTTCATTTCCACTTGGTAAAACTTTGCCTTTTATGAACACACTCCATATGAGAAGATAACTCAAAATAAATCTAGCAAAATTTTTTTTTCAATTGACATCAATTATAATAATCTACCAGACTTTAAACTCCCAATTAATCTAAACAACCAGAAGCCATTCTGTTTGATCAAATGAACAACTTTACCAACAGCCTCCCAGTCTTAATCACCTTAATCTCACCCAGCACCCTCATTTCCATCTCCAACCCATCATGCTGAATGCAGGTAAAAAATTTTAAAAGGTGGTTTGAGCATATGAAAATAAGGAGTTTACAGACTGAAGAGTTGTAGAAAAATTCAATCTATTTTTCAATTAGTTTTCCCAAAATGTTTGGGGAAAGGAGGCTTAGATTTGCTTCATCTAGTTATATATGTACTGTTATGTTCATTTCACTATGAAATTATTACCACAAGGTATTTTAAATTTTGTCAGGAAATGGTAACTGAAGCATCTACTTACCTGTTTCATGCCACCAAACAAAGAGCTTATTTCAGGAATGTAAGCATTTTAATTCCAATGACCTACAAATCAAAATCTGAGTACTTAATCCCAAAACAAGAATCATATGACCAGGTAGGCTATTTCTTCTAACTCCTAAACTGCTTCTTTCCTCCTGTGCTTTTAAAAACTTAATATCTGTAATTATTTAATAATTACTAATCACTAATGTAGTAATTAAATTAGTAATATAACTTTTCTTAATGTATATGAAAAAAAGTCCTTGTTTCTAAAATCTCTTGTTTCTATTGTTTTCAAAATTTGTTTTTGTTTGTTCTTTTTCTTTTTAGGCAGATGTCATAGTTGCTGATCTTTACCTGAAATACGGAGATGATCCCTATACACTTCAATATGGACAATGTGGAGATAAAGGACAATATATACATTTTACTCCAAACTTCTTGTTGACTAATAACTTGGCTACCTATGGGCCTCGAGGTAGAGATATCTATGATGTACTTCTGTTCTTATTTCCACTGGTGGAAAAAAATAACTCTATGTTTAATGGCATTTAAAAAAAAATTTTAAAGAAGCCAGGCACAGTGACTGACACTTGTCATCCCAACAACTTAGGAGGCTGAGGTGGGAGGATCACTTGAGCCCAGGAGATAGAGACCAGCCTGGACAACAGAGTGAGCCCCCAGTCTCTAAAAAACTAAAAGTAAATTTTAAAAACTAGCCAGGCATGAGAGTGCATACCTGTAGTCCCAGCTACTTAAGAGGCTGATGCAGGAGGATCGCTTGAGGCTAGGAGCTTGAGGCTGCAGTGAGCTATGATCATGCCGCTGCACTCTAATCTGAGCAACAGAACAAGAGCAAGATCCCATCATTCAAGAAAACAAAACTAAGAAGAGAAAAATAGGTAGTAAATAATACCTTTACGTGAAAACATGCTAGTTATGCTCCTAATTATATTTCTCTGTGTGTGTGTGTGTGTGTGTGTGTGTGTGTGTTTAATAATAAAATGAGTCGTTTATTGGCACCAACTCATTTCAACTTTTTTGGCCTAATAAAAGGCATCAATTTCTGGAGTACCTTGACTCAATTAAGTTGGGGAGAGGTTTAAGAGAAATATAGGAAACTACCTTAAAATATTGTAACTATAAATTTATAAGTGGCAGTATTCTCTCACAGGTAGAGTATTTGTCCATGAGTGGGCCCATCTCCGGTGGGGAGTATTTGATGAGTATAATGTGGACCAGCCATTCTATATTTCCAGAAGAAACACTACTGAAGCAACAAGGTATCATTGTATTGAGCAAATCTGTTTTCAAAATTTTTCACTTATGACTCTTTAATTTTCTATGCTAGGCAAACAAAGGCTATCTCAGGTAACTACCTGGGAAAGTTCAAACAGTTCATTGCAATATCCAACCTGCCCCATCATGTATGCCACCAATTAATTCTAGAGATTCCACCTTGGCATCAAGATGAATCAAAAACAGGAAATAATTTCAGTATTCACAGGGACTGTGCTATAACATGTTATGGGCAGAGGGGAAGGAAAAAGCTGTAGCCTAAATCCCAAGATATCTGAGAATAGGTGGTTCAACCCTACCCACTCTTTTGTTTGACTTGATTCATCACTTTTTAAGGTAAATCTGTTTCACTGAAATCAGTTAAGCTGCTAGAGCTCCTTTGTAAATATCATATTATACTTTTCATTTAATCTTGATCTTAAAGAAAGTACTTTTCGTAACAGTAAGGTAGTAAGTTGATTTTTTAAAAATATAATTCTAGGTGCTGCAGGCACTATTATGAATAGATGAGATGTTTACACTTAGTTAAAAATATCAAGCACATGGAGTATTTAAACAATATTGAAGAACAGTGGAAGTTAATGTAATAGGAAATAAGTCTTTGCGATGAAAATGTATTTGAGGAAAGAGGGGTAATGGAAAAATGCCTCTCATCATCTCCATTGTGTTGTTCGTTTGATCTCCGCGGAGCTGCCTGCAGTTTTTCACACAGACTGGGCTCCTCTCAGTGCAGGACACTCATTTCTCTTAACTTCACCTACACAACTCCTCCCTTACTCAGATAATGCCTGTTCATCCTTTAAGACTCAGTTTAAATATTTCTTACTTAAATGTCTTTCCTCTCCCTCCATTTGGGGTTAAATTCCCTTAAGAGTACTCCCACAGCATGTGTGGGCTTCTCTCACACGTATGTCACTGGGCAGTAATTGTCTATACAATTTTATTTTCCCCATTAGACTTTAAAATTCTTAAGAACTGCACATTTTTTTAATCCTCTGGTGTTGGACCTGGCATAAAGTAAAAGCTAAACAAAGAATGTATCAAACAACAAATTTTTGATAAATTCATGAAAAATAAATGAGTTTCCTTATAATCAGTCATAAAAATAGATATATTAGTAAAAACAAGTATCTAAAACATTTATTGAGCTCCTACTGTGTGTCAGGCACTTTCAAGCAGTGAAGTCTCATCATATGTAAGTTTAATTTTCAAGCTTACTCAAGAACTAACCCTCTGGAAAATATGACTCCTCATGTCCCTAAATCCTTGCAATACAAACTTATTAAAATGGATTAATGTTATGAAGTTTAATATTAACACAGAATGGGAGGATATCCTGCATATAAACAGAAACTTTAGAATCCTGTCCCTGTACCCTGACCCTCATTCCCTGCCAAGGACTTGACAATTATTTTTACCATAAGGACCAAATGGTTTGAATGCACAAGCCTTTTCATGCGGGGTTTAGTTTTATTTCTTCCACCAGTTTAGTGAAGTGGTGCTCAAGATATAAATTACAAAATGCTATAAACACAAAACCATGAATACCACATACAGAAATTGAAGAGGATTTTAAGCATAATATTGTCTTTCCCTTTCCTATTAATAAGCAATTCCGCTGTACCTTTTAACTCATCTAATCTTTACAACATCTCTCTGGTTAGGAATTACCATCTTTAGCTCAAAGTCACAAGGATAATAGATTTATTGATTGCAATGACCAATTAATGTTTAATAAATATGAACTGACAACATTGTATCAATTGAAATCGATTACAAATTGAGGTAGAATATTGTGCCTATTTCTGTCAAAATGTAATGTTTGGTACATGATCTATGGCAGTTGTCACTGAAGGAAAAATTTTAGGATGTTGGTCTTCATTCATGATTTGCCAATTCTTCGTATATATATAATCTAATTCTTTCATCATAGATGTTCCACTCGTATTACTGTTTACATGGTTTTGAACGAATGCAAGGGGGCCAGCTGTATAGCACGACCATTCAGACGTGACTCAAAGACAGGGCTGTATGAAGCAAAATGTACATTTATCCCAAAGAGATCCCAGACTGCCAAGGAATCCATTGTGTTTATGCAAAATCTTGATTCTGTAAGTACCTTTTTTCCAGTTTCTCAAAGGAATCCTTGGGGAAAAATTAATTAGAGAAGCTGGATTTTCTGCTGTGAAATTATGCGTACCAATAGAAAGGCAGAAAATTACTAAGGCAATTAATTAGAGGTCATTTTCTCTGGCATGTATCAGGGTGTCTCTGGAAATTACCCTGTCTTTTCTTATTAACCTATTTCTTTTATTCAAATGTAGCACTGTAGCCTTCTCATTAGAGTCACACAATAAATTCTTAGAACACATCTCTTCCCTCACTGACTTCTGTGGACTTCTGTATAGAGTTACAATCTTACTTTTAATTCCTTTTCTAAGTGTTAGCCATATTACTTTTCTAAAGAAATTTATAATGTAGCTTTGAAAAGGATTGACATTTTAGATTTTCCATTACCTTCACACTAAAGCATACCAAGCTATTGCAAAGTGATATTGTGAAAACACATAGGGCTCTTTCTCCACTGAAAAGACTTAAGAAAAAAAAAAATTCACAATTACCAATGTGTCTAACCAATTAAATAATAACACACCACAAAAAAGTTGAAAACTAATGTTTGACCTGAAATATCTGCTTTAAATATATAAAGCTTAGTGCATAAGAATAGGTACCTTGGAGTCAGATAGACCTGATATTGAAACCCAGTCTGTCATTTTAAAGCTGTGTCCACTGTGGGAAAACTGCTAAATCTGAGATTGAGTTCTCTTATCTTTTATATGGGAATTATAATACCTACTTCACATAGTCATTCGTGTTGGGTTTAAAAGAGCTAATATAAAGTATTAGCATAGTGTTTAGCACAAGTTGAATGCGCTATAAACTTTAAGTTTTTAATTTTTAAAATTTATTAAATATTTGAAAAATAACCAGTTGTTTCTTCCCATGGATAAGTCTAATCTTAATTAATACAAACATATTGTATTTACCTAATGAACATTTCTAAACATATAAAAATATTTTAAAATATGAAATATATGAAAGTTATCAAAAACAACAAATCAAAACAAAGTACACTACCTCTAAATAGTGGGACTAACTTACTTCAAGGAAGCAAATTTTCACATACCAAATTTTCAAAGGTATATGACATATACCTTTACAAACCTCTGCTATAGAAGTATTTGTTGGTAGTGATTGGTATTTTCATATACCAATATCAAAATACTTCTATAGACCGAGGTTTGTAAAGGCCCAGTATCTCTGATAAAATTTAAAATTCTCTTGGGCATTAATGATAAAAGGCTTGACTACATTTGACACACGAGTCAGGAATGTTCCCTTTAATCTGCTAAATCTGGAGCAACAAAGGCTAGCCAAAGAGTTATGCGTACAAATAGATATCAAATCATGTGACACAAGAGGATAACTAGAATACTGTATGTACTGCCTGATCCGTACCATAAATTCTAAAAGCATTTGACCATCAGGAGATAACTCACGCTGCCTCTGGGACATAAATAATAATGAAGAAGATTATGGAGCTGAAATATGGAGGTCAACTAATTATATAAGACATGGCCCAGAGATAAAATGATTCCATTTCCAGAATAACACTAACTTCTAATTATCATAACATAAATATATTGCATAGCATCTGTACTGAGGGCATGAATTCAGAGCTACGAAAGATATGATCTAATATGCTGAATAGTCAACTCCATGATTTTGTTTCCTTATTATTTATTATTCCTTACGCCTAGTATTTACTGCATTAAGAGCTGGGAACACACATATAATTAAAGATGACTGTTCTTGAGGAACTCAGTTTACGGAGAAAGAGATATGATAAAATAAGTACATATTATTAAGTGGGAAGACATATATAGATATGAACCAAGTTTTATGAAGCAGTAACCATTGCCAACTGGAAGTCAGAAAACAGTTTCTGAACAGTGAGTTTTGAGTGGGGATTTGAGAAAAGTGAGTATGTATTTGCCAAAGTGAGAAGGGGAAGAGTATTCTATACAAAGAAACAGATTTACAAAAGCAAAGAGTGGAGTAAGGCAGGGATGCTGTGCATGATTCTGGAAGTTCAGCATTGCCTAAATTATTTGCATCATGGTCATTCAAGATTTTAACACTTATTAGAACAACTTTCTGGCAGATAACAGTAAAATAACTTGAGAAACTGGTGCTTTTTTCTGATTTGCACAAAATTACCATTTGGGTTAGCAAAGACCCTAATGAAAGTTTCTGGCATATTCTAAGGATATAAAGAAATCCAGTATGGTAGAAGCAAATAATACATGGTGAGTAAGAGGCAGGAAATTAGGTTGAAACAAAAAATGGGGACATACAGAGCTAAGGTGTTTGAGTTTTATCCTCTCAGTTTTAGACTGGTGATGTGATAAGTTTAATTATTTCAGGAAAGTAATCCTACTAATTGTGAAGGATGAGATAGAGAGAGTTGATAGTGGAGGCAAGGGAGACCAGTTGGAAGGCCATAGCAACAGGTAGGTAAGAGGCCCAAATAAAGGCAGTGGCAGTGGTAGGGGAAAGAGGAACCAGGTTTGATAGGCATTTCATACCAGCAAGACTTGGTTATGAATCACTGCTTTGATTGCAAACTACATTTTTCTCCCATCCAATATAACCCCATTTGGGAAATGTATCATCAGAAACAAAGCAAACTCATAAAACTTAGATAAAAGGTATTCAAATGTAATAATTTAGTTCTTCTAATTCTGAGCTTACATTTGGATATTTTACTTTGGGAGGGCATTAAAATAATGAAATGACTAAAAATATTTCTTGTAAGCTGAGGCTCATCTTGCAGTAGCAAGATGAATTCCTTCTTGGAGACCACCCTAGTTTATGAGAACATTTTTCCAAGTTACTACGTTTTCAATATTTAAAAAATTTTCACAGATTCTATAGTAATGAAATATTCATTGGCAGAATTACTGGATACAATTCACCACTTGCCTCTAACAGACAAATAATTATATTTCCTCATTTTCTCCCTATACTTTCATTCCTTTTTCAGGAGTATTACTGTATGTCAAAATTTGCCAGAGCCAATAGCAATCCAGGTTGTAGAATAGCTGTCCTCAAGTTTTTGATCAACTATGAAGATATGGAACATACCTAGATAATTAAAGAAGGCCATTTTCTCTATACCATTTTTAGGAGGTAGCTAGAAATTACCACAAGCCCTGCCCCTTTTTCCTCAAACTTAATTCAAGGCTTGAGCTCCCCCAAAGTTTAGAAGGGAAAGTAAAAAGTTAACATAAGCAGTCGTGCCAGCTGCCACAATCCACCACTGATGTAACTATCTATAACCAAAAGAATCACCAAAAATCTTTACCAGTACATATTGATAGCTTTACCTTGCTTCCGTTCCATTCTGATATGCAAATGGATGTCAGAATGTTAGATTATAAAGTAGTTTTTAACTATCAGGAGATAAAATCTGTGGATGATATGTATGACAGATAACTACATATTTGATGCCTCACAAGTTATTGTAATCTTGTCTTCTAATTGATTTTTTTCCAGGTGACTGAATTTTGTACTGAAAAAACACACAATAAAGAAGCTCCAAACCTATAGAACAAAATGTGCAATCACAGAAGCACATGGGATGTAATCATGAGCTCTGAAGATTTTCAGCATTTATCTCCCATGACAGAAATAAATTTACCTCGTCCTACATTTTCATTGCTCAAGTCCAAACAGCGTGTAGTCTGTTTGGTACTTGATAAATCTGGAAGCATGAATGCAGTAAGATAGTTTTTGGTTAACTGTCTTAAATTATTTAAGTATTTAAGCTACTAGAAATATAAGTATTAAGTATTTAGGCTGATGGAAATATAATCTTAGGTTTAGTTTTGGTAACAAACATACATATGTATTTATGTTCTAATAAATTTTAGCACATAATCTTATATAGATAAGTACTAGAAGACAATATGCCAACAGAAAAATGTTGTAGGCTGGGTGCAGTGGCTCACACCTGTAATCCCAGCACTTTAGGAGGCCAAGGCTGGTGGATCACCTGAGGTCAGGAGTTTGAGACCAGCCTGGCCAACATGGTGAAACCCTGTCTCTACTAAAAATACAAAAATTAGCTGGGAGTGGTGATGCACATCTGTAATCTCAGCTACTTGGGAGGCTGAGGCAGGAGAATTGCTTGAACCCAGGAGGTGGAGGTTGCAGTGAGCCAAGACTGCACCACTGCACTCCAGCCTGGGTGACAGAGATTGGATTATGAGTCATTTTTATTCCTTAACTTTTAGTTCTAACTAGAAAAATTATAGCCAAGCAAGAAAATGAAAATCATCCATAATTCTGTCATTGAAAATATGATACTTTAGTCTTTTCTTTGCTAATGTATTTGTTTTCCCTCCTCAAAAATATGATTATATTTTATATAATGTTTTATAATCTGATGATTTTTACTTAATATATCTTTAATATTCCCCATGAAAAAAATGATTCCATGACATAATTTTTAATGGCTGTATAACATGCCCATACTATAATTTCATCAAGCAATCTCCTGTTGTTGGACAGTTGGGAGATTTTCACTTGTTATTTTTTAAATGAGCATCTTTGTATGCATTTATAAAATTATTTCTTTAGGAGAAATTCCTCAATATACAATTAAATAAAAAGGTATAGATTTTTAAGGCTTTTTCAAGTATAACTGAATTTTTAAGATTTTCTTTAAATTTTTTAAATAAAATGAAGAAGCTAAATTTTAAAATACAACCAATCAATTATTATCATGACCTATGGTCCATAAATGGTTTGCCGTTCATTAATCCATCAAGATTTGGAGAGTCTTGTGAGTTATTCACAAATCTTTTTCTTACAGGAAGACCGTCTCTTTCGAATGAATCAAGCAGCAGAATTGTACTTGATTCAAATTATTGAAAAGGGATCCTTGGTTGGGTTGGTCACATTTGACAGTTTTGCTAAAATCCAAAGTAAGCTCATAAAAATAATTGATGATAACACTTACCAAAAGATCACTGCAAACCTGCCTCAAGAAGCTGATGGTGGCACTTCAATTTGCAGGGGACTCAAAGCAGGATTTCAGGTAAAATAAAAATATTTTTAAAATATCATTTGCCATTTACTATTGCTTTTAATTTTCTCCAGTTACCTTTGAACAAAGGGCATGAGTTCATGGGCCCCTCAATTAATAATATTATGACCTGATCAAGGTAAATCATTTATGGGAAGAAAAAAATAGCCTTTCCTACTGTTTACAACTAGACCCTCTCTGAGTATGGCTATTCCAATGACATACTCCTGAGGTGCTAAGTTGCACTGGGGAGTGGTTAAGTAAGTGGGGAAAATTTCAGCCTGCACACAATCATGATTTTATTGGGGAGCTCCCCATTTTTCTAACACTCCCACAGTCTGAGTTTCAAGGATCAGAAAATAATGCCAATGAGGGGATTATGGAAAAGGGAAATTAGTAACATTTCCATATGATGGATAAGGAAAGCCCCAGTTTATCAAGTTAAATTGACATTTAAAAATCACAAAGAGGCTGGATGCGGTGGTTCACGCCTGTAATCCCAGCATTTTAGGAGGCCAAGGCAGGTGGATCACCTAAGGTCAGGAGTTCAAGACCAGCCTGACCAACATGGTGAAGCCTCATATCTACTAAAAAACAAAAATTAGCCGGGCATGGTGGTGCAAGCTTGTAATCCCAGCTACTCTGGAGGCTGAGGCAGGAGAATCGCTTGAACCCAGGAGGTGGAGGTTGCAGTGAGCTGAGATCGCACCATTGCACTCCAGCCTGGGCAGCAAAGCAAAACTCTGTCTCAAAAATAAATAAATAAATAAATAAATAAATAAATAAATAAATAAATTACAAATTTTAAAAATTAAAAAAAATTAAAAGTCATAAAAATAAGCCAGGTACGGTGGGTCATGCCTGAATCCCAGCACTTTGGGAGTCTGAGGCAGGCAGATCGCTTGAGCTCAGGAGTAGGAGACCAACTTGGCCAACATGGGGAAATCTTGCCCCTACAAAAAATAAAATCAGCCAGGCATGGTGGTGTGTGCCTGTAGCCCCCGCTACTTAGGGGGCTGAGATGGGAGGATGGCTTGAGCTCTAGAGGCAGAGATTGCAATGAGCCACGATCATGTCACTGTACTCCAGCCTGGGCAACAGAGTGAGACCCTGTCTAAAAAAAAAGAAAGAAAAAATAATCATAAAGATAGAGGTAGCTCCATACGCAATATAGTACCAAACCTAACAAACATAGATTGAAGTTTAATGTAATTAAAATTGTGAACTCAAAAAATTGGGAGCACCTTTGGAGCACTATACCCAATTGCCTCCAGTACTCATTTGAATTCCTTCCAACCTAACTTTCATTTAAGCCTATTTACTGTCATGTTTTAAGCCACAAAAACAGAAAACTACTTCCTTCACTGACCTCTCTTTGCCTCAAAATGGAGATTGCTAGTCTTATCCAGGCCATTGATTAATACTACATCTCAACTTTCCTCATAGTGTCTATTTGTGATGAAATGTGTTAGTTTAAGAAGGCAGGAAATCCTGAGTAAGAAGAACAGGTTTATTCTTATTTTAAATATATTAAGATATGGGCCAGGCATGGTGGCTCACGCCTAATCCCAGCACTTTGGGAAGCAGAGGCAGGCAGATCACCTGAGGTCAAGAGTTCAAGACCAGCCTGGCCAACATGGTGAAACCCCATATCTACTAAAATATAAAAATTAGCCAGGCATGGTGGTGGGCGCCTGTAATCCCAGCTACTTGGGAGGCTGAGGCAAGAGAATCACTAGAAGCTGGGAAGTGGAGGTTGCAGTGAGCCAAGACTGTGTCATTGCACTCCAGCATGGGCAACAAGAGCAAAACTCCATCTCAAAAAAAAAAAAATATATATATATATATGTATAAAGATATGACATTCTATAATTAATAACCTGGCTTTTTCATTATCAGGCAATTCCCCAGAGTAATCAGAGTACTTTCGGTTCTGAAATCATATTACTAACAGATGGGGAAGATTATCAAATAAGCTTATGCTTTGGAGAGGTAAAACAAAGTGGCACAGTCATCCACACCATTGCTCTGGGGCCGTCTGCTGACGAAGAACTGGAGACCCTGTCAAATATGACAGGTAAACCTTTGGCATATAGTTTGAATAAAAAATAAATTTCTAGTCTCTCCCATTCCAGGGGTTCTTTCTCTATAAATCTGCTCAAAATTTTCATATCCTAAAAATTAATCTTTGTCCCTTCTTCATCCTTCAGATTAAGTTCTTTTCCCTTTCTTCCACTTCATACACCAGTTTTTTTCTAATGTTATTTAACATTTGCTGTCTTCATTCCCCGCCCAGTTTCTGCCAATGCTACTAAACAGAAACTTATTTCTCTATGGTTACTCAACTGGAAGTCAAAAATTATTGCTTAATTCCAAAATACTACCCAATCACACAGTAGAGATTTTGACAATCTTCTTTTATAGATGAGGAAATGGAAACCTAGAGAGTGCAAATGATTTGCCAAAGGCCATAGAGTCCTGATTCTCAATTCAGAGCTCTTCCACCGTACTACCCTATTCTTGCTTCACCAAATCTTGCTAAATCTTCGTTTGGAACATTTCTGTATTTCACCTTTCTATACAATCCTTCTACCACTGCCATTATAATCCAGCCCTTACAATTCCCTGACTGGGATACTTCAATAACCTTCCAGCTTATTTTTCTGCCATTTATCAGTTCAATAAATATGTATTGACTGTTGTATTTGTGGCAGTCACTTGCGTTAATTCTTGCCCTCTGCAATCTATCCTTTCCTAACTCCTTACACCTAAGTAATCTCTCTCTTCATTAATTTCTACGTTATTTATTTCCTGCACTTAATTTTTAATTTATTGTAGACTGTAATTCTCTAATTGTTTTGGTGTACCTTAGACCCAACTAGAAGATAAACAGCTGGTTCAGAACTATCTTAAATTTCATTTTTATAACATTGTTTAGTGCTTAGACCAGCTTTACCAATGCGGCAGGCACTTACATTTGATGACTGATTGATGTAAAAACAATACAATTTGGCCTGTTCTTTAAAGTTTCTTTTATTCTTACTTATCTTTCTTATTTTGAGCAAGGTTTTAATTATTATTGTAGGATTACATAAGGGACACTGATATACTGAAAGTTCATAAAGTGCTGGGAAGTTCATCTTTTGTAAGTTTAAAACAAAATTTTAAAATAGATTTTAAAGTGTATTGATGAGAGCAAAATAACAAATATGACTTTTCCACTTAAAATTCGATTTTAGGAGGACATCGTTTTTATGCCCATAAAAACATAAATGGCCTTATTGATGCTTTCAGCAGAATTTCATCTAGAAGTGGCAGCATCTCTCAGCAGGCTCTTCAGGTCAGTGTAAAAAAAAACTATTTTCTTTCTCACAGTTGTAATAAATTTATATTATCCTAATTATTAACTCCTATCTCTCAAATAATTCTTTTGCCTGAAAATATTTCAGATATGCAGAAGAAAAACTTCCTTACTGAATTTGATTTTCCATAACACTTAAAGCCACATCTTCTCCCGAATTCTTCTATTCTTTAGAATTAGGTATCCTTTTCATTTGGAAAATTCTTTAAAATAACTCTTAGTTATTTTAATTGAAATCTTAAAAACAAACAAAATTACTCTAAACTGACTAAACTCGGAAATTTTATTAACTATGATAACAAATGGATTTCATGTGTTTGTTGTTTTTATTTACCGAACAGTTGGAAAGTAAAACTTTGAATATCCCAGCGAAGAAATGGATAAATGGTACAGTGCCTGTGGATAGTACAGTTAGAAATGATACTTCCTTTGTTGTCACATGGACGATACAAAAGCCAGCAATAATTCTTCAAGATCCAAAAGAAAAAAATATACTACCTCAGATTTTCAAGAAGGTGAACTAAATATTCGGTCTGCCCGTCTTCGAATACCAGGTATTGCAGAGGTAGGTCTATTATTTTATGTTCTCTAAGTTTTCTTAATCAATTTCTATTTTTAAAAGATAAAAATAACATAGATAACATCTTATACATTGCCAATATTAAAATGATGACAGATCATCTGTAATAAAGAAATCAAATGGAATAATTAGGGATTCATATTCATACTATTTACTAGTTTGTGAAATTCAATATTAAAAATCATGATTATTATTCTGCTTAAATTTGTAAATAATTTTGTATTCCAAACAAAAAGTAGGAAAATATTACCAAAGCTCTCAGACAGATTTTTTTTTAATGTTTCAGACAGGCACTTGGACTTACAGCGTTCGAAACAATCATACCAAATCTCAATTGCTAACTGTGACAATGACCACTCGAGCAAGAAGCCCTACCACACTCCCAGTAATTGCAACTGCTCACATGAGTCAAAATACAGCTCATTACCCTAGCCCAGTGATTGTTTATGCATGAGTCAGTCAAGGGTTTCTTCCTGTTCTGGGAATCAATGTAACAGCCATTATAGAAAATGAAGAGGGACATCAAGTAACATTGGAGCTCTGGGACAATGGCGCAGGTAATAAGAATCTACATCAACTTCCACTAAACTTAAAATCCTCCTACAGTTCTATGACCTAGAAGTCAATATTTCCTGTATTTGCTAATGAATCATATTTTTAAGTAAATGAAATTTAATCCTAATGTTTTAAAAACTTTTTTCTCAGTTATCTTGACAACTCATAGACATAGCACTTATGCCATTTTTAAATTTTATGAACAATTTTGCTTTTTCCATGGAACTTAAGAGCACAATTTTTCTCTATTTTCATTAATGTCAGTGTTTCATATATGCTTTCTTCAGTTGCTTTTTCTTATTTTGATAAGTATTTTTTATGAAATAATAGTAACAGCTAATATTAATTGAATCCCTTCCATGAATTAGACTTTTCCAAAAACACAGAGTTAGCAAGTGGCCCAAGCTTTCAACCAAAATAGTCTGATTCCAGAATTCATGTACTTAAAACGCTGTGCTACATACTATCTCCCAAATTACTAACATTATCAGTGTTCATAAACAGATATGACTGTCATTTTTACTTTATTGTATGACTAATTTTTACATTTCATTATCAAGGTGCTGATTCTGTCAAGAATGATGGCATCTACTCAAGGTATTTTACAGATTACCATGGAAATGGTAGATACAGTTTAAAAGTGCTTACCCAGGCAAGAAAAAACACAGCTAGGCTAAGTCAACAACAGAATAAAGCTCTGTATGTACCGCGCTATGCTGAAAATGGTAAGTAGCACTAAAATAGAAATGTGTCACTTGTTTAGATAAATTCCATACGGCAAACATTGAAAATATAATGTACTACAGAAAGCCCAAGTATATAACCTTGTAATCATCTGTATGTTTCAAAACCATGTTGATATTAGTAGACCTAGCATAGACCTATGTTTCCACATATTTTGTTCACATCTCCCTGAGTTCATTTCATTTACATTGAAAAAAAAATTACTGAGCACCTACTATGTTGCAAGCACTGTGCTTAGGTGCTAGAGCTACAAAGACAAAACATAATCCTGTTCCTCAAAGAATTTGCAGTCAAGTAGTAGAGACAGAGAAGTTAAAAGATAGTTTTAACATAGCATAATGTTTCCTCATCAATTTTAAAATATGAATAAACAAGTGTTTTCTCAGTAAAAACTGTTACTTTTTCAATGTCTGCCAATCAATATTAAGCCTCTACAGCTGCAAGATCAGCTTGCAAGATGAATAGGCACCGCTGCCGGGCGCGGTGGCTCACACCTGTAATCCCAGCGCTTTGGGAGGCCGATGAGGGTGGATCACCTGAGGTCAGGAGTTCCAGACCAGCCTGGCCTACATGGCTAAACCCCGTCTCTACCAAAATACAAAAATTAGCTGGGCGTTGTGGCGGGCGACTGTAGTTCCAGCGACTCGGGAGGCTGAGGCAGGAAAATCGCTTAAACCCAGGAGGCGGAGGTTGCAGTGAGCCGAGATCACGCCACTGCACTTCAGCCAGCCTGGGCGACAGAGCGAGACTCCATCTCAAAAAACAAAACAAAAAAAATAAAAAATAAAATAAAAGAGTAGACATGGCAATATGAAATATTACAAAATTTTTTCTTGGTAGGAAAAATTATACTGAACCCATCCAAACCTGAAGTCACAGATGATGTGGAAGGAGCTCAAACAGACGACTTCAGCAGACTCATCTCTGGAGGGTCGTTTACTGTATCAGGAGTGCCTCCTAATGGTAATCATTCTCAGGTGTTCTCACCTGGTAAAATTGTAGACCTCGAGGCTAAGTTTCAAGGAGATCATATTCAACTTTCATGGACTGCCCCTGGCAAGGTCCTCGATAAAGGAAGAGGTAAGTTTGACATTACGTTTTAAAATATACTAAAAGAAATCCCATTGGCTTTCATTTGCTAAGAATTTTCTAATGGCCCATTTATAAATAACATTTATGAAGTGTCTACTATAGGCCATTTTTAAATTATTTTCAGATGTGAAAACTAAAGCTATAAGAGTTGATTGGACCAAGTTATTTCTATATTTAGTAACTTACAATTCTAACCCAGTCATGTCAGATTCTGTTATGCCAAACTATCTGTCAGAAATTGAAGCAGCTTAGAAATTACTTTGAGAGGACAGTTAACAGCTTTCTGTTGCATTATCTTCTCCCCAAATTTTAAGTATTTCTGTACTTGCACAGTTTCATTCATTTATCAACCTTCTGTTGAGCTTTCACACTATTAGAATCCTAAGAAATGATCCATACTCTCAACAGTCAATTAAGTACAGAAGACACACAAGTAAACAGATAATTACATAAAGTATAATAAGACATAAGCTTTTATAAACAGAGAATTATGTGGCAACCCATAGATGGGCCACAAACCCCTAGTTAGAGGTTAAAATCAGAGTATATTGTAAAGCCTTCCCAGAGAAGACTATCACTGAGTATTGAAGAATGAGAGTAGTTACCCAAGATAAGTGAAGGTGTCCACAGAGAGAGATGTTCATGTGCACAGAAATTCACTAGTTTGAAAGATTTGTTCATGGAGTTTGAATAAAGTTCAAGGTCAAAAGATCTCATTTATTCAAAGTTCCTAATGATAAATGACCCTCACTCCAAAAAGTTTAAATTACTTCTGTCATTGCTTGAAATTTAACTGAATTCAATCAGTATTTATTGAATGCCTACCATATTCCAGTATTACATAGGTTAGTAGATTTTTATGGGATAACGCCAGTCTTGCTATTTTCCCTTTAAGATTGGGAAAATGAAAGCAATATGCAATTTAGATATACATAATAGCTCAGAGATTGCCAGTGCTAAAACACCAGTGTTCCAGTACTCTTTCTCCTGGATTACAATAAACCCCATTGTACACTCTCAAAAGAAAAGATGCTTCTTAATCTTTCACTCACTATATAGCATTTTAAAAGCTGCATTTCTTATTATCATTATTATACAAGGAGAATATCATTCTAAAGTCAGAGGAAACAGAATATGCACAAACAGAGCTTTTGTATTTCAATGTTGAAAATCTTATCATGACAGCTTTTTGCATACCTTATTTTCTCATGCTATGACCCTTAAACATATGGCAGAATCAAAAAAAGTGAAAAATACCATTGCCACTGAAAAAGCCACAAATGAAATTTCTTAACCAAATATTTAGTTCTATAGTGAATTCAGTAAAAACCAAGCTTTCAGTTCAAGATTGGGTTCATAATAAATATCCCTCATGCTGATTATAAGAACTAAAAGTAGGAGTAATGTATAACCACAAATGCCTAAAATAGGTGGCATCTAATCTTTGTCTTTCCTTAGGAAAAATAGGAAGAGGTATTGGTACCTGTTAAATGTTACCTGTAGATATTCCAAAGGTAAGATAGTAGCAGTATCTTAAAGAATAAATGAACGTCTATATAATCTCAAATGAAGCACTTAAATTACCTGGGACACAATTTCCTCACCTGTCAAATATACAAATTAGATTAGATTACCTAAAATTACTAAAACAAGTAGATATAATTCAAATTTTTTATGATTTTCTAATTTTATCATTTTGGGTGTCAACTTAACAACTGTATTGTTGGCCAAGTAATTAAGGAGATCAAATACATGTCAACACAGGACCAGGTACCCTGAGTGATACAAAGAGTAAAAAACATAGTCTTTACCCTCAAAAATAATAAGATCTAATCAGAATGAAAAGTTGAACCTCTACTAAACTATCTGAAAAACTCCACTCCATGAAACAGAAGTTCATGAAAGAGAGTCATCAGGGTGAATGAAATACTTGGACGGAACTTCATGCAGTTGGGCTTGGTTGGACCTTAAAGAATGAGTACAATTTGCATATATAGGGAGAAGGAGGTACATTTTGGAGAGAGAAAGAACAAAATTATATGATCAAGGTCAAGAAAGCAAAATTTCACAATGGAATATTCTAATTAAAATAAGAAATAGGTGGAGAGAAGAGAGACAGAGAGACCTACGTAAGTGGAACACAAGGTTTTTGTGAAGAGTAGTAGAACGGATTGATAAGGCCTATTTAAAAGGAAACTAAATGTTAAGCAGAGGATCTGAATTATTTTTAAAAATACACTAAAAGTTATTCACCACACACTTGAAATACCTTCAATATTTCATGGAAAAGTTAAAAATAAAGTCCTTACTCCAAAAAAAATCTGGTGTTTTATTTTTCATCACATTTCAGAATGTGAGAATATATTTCTACATGAATGGTAGATATCAAAAAGCAGTGTAGAAAGAAACATTTATGTTGGCATCTTCTTTTCCTTTCTTGATAAAATAACAGCCAATATTTCAAACATTTATTAATTTACCATTTATTAAATTGTAGTGAACATGTTTCATGCATTATCATCTATGATTCTTACCACTAGAATAGTAGGCACTCAATAAATATTTGTTGAATGATTTGAATAACTGAATCCCTATTTTAACAGATAAAAAACTAGAGATAAGGAAACTTAAGTCGGGGTGCGGTGGCTCATGCCTGTAATCCCAGCACTTTGGGAGGCCGAGGTGGGCGGGTCACAAGGTCAGGAGATCGAGACCATCCTGGCCAAAATGGTGAAACCCCTTCTCTACTGAAAAAAAAAAAAAAATTAACTGGGCATGGTGGCGCATGCCTGTAATCCCAGCTACTCGAGAGGCTGAGGCAGGAGAATCACTTGAACCAGGGAGTCAGAGGTTGCAGTGAGCTGAGATGGCACCACTGCACTCCAGCCTGGCGACAGAGCAAGACTCTGTCTCAAAAAAGAAAAGAAAAGAAAAAAAAAAGAAAAGATATCTTAAATAAATTTCTTTTTATGACACAGCTAGCAAGTAGTAAAATTAGGGTGCTACTCAAGGTTTGTCTAGGTCCTTAACACATATTTACTTTTATTTTTTATTTTCATATTTTTAAATTTTTAATTTTTGTGGGTACATAGTAGGTGTATATATTTATAGGGTACATGAGATTTTGATCCAGGCATGCAATGTGAAATAATCACATCATGGAGAATGGGGTATCCATCCCCTCAAGCATTTATCCTTTATGTTACAAACAACCCAACTACACTCCTTTAGTTATTTTTAAATGTATAATTAAGTTATTTTTGACTATTGACTATAGTCACTCTGTTGTGCTGTCAAATAGTAGGTCTTATTCATTCTTTCTAACTGTTTTTTTGTGCCCATTAACCATCCCCACCTTCTCCTACCCAGTCCCCCACTACCCTTCCCAGCCTCTAGGAACCATTCTTCTACTCTGTATGTCCATGAGTTTAATTGTTTTGATTTTTAGATCCCACAAATAAGTGAGAACTTGCGATGTTTGTCTTTCTGCTTAGCACGTGTTTAATTAGTACACATTCCAGTCTCTCTGCCTCCTTTTGCTGGTTATCCTTATCCCTGTTTCCCACTCCATTTATCATCTCTCTTTCTCCCCTGTCCTATTACTTCCTATTTTAACTTAATAAGAAATGACACAGATATAGGGTACTGAATATCTTCGCTATACTACAATACTATTATGTTCCTTGTTCTAAATTAAAAAGTAGATCCAGCTCCTTATATTTCTCTCCCTAAAAAGGAAAACACCAGAGTCTGACTTTTTAGTACCATATGATTTTGAATTAAAATTTCCTGGGATTAGAGAACTCTACATTTTAAGAAAAACTGTTCACACATTTGTCCTTACAATAAAGATGGAATAACCAGACAAAAACTAATGGGATTTCCATAACTAAAACCTAGTGTGCATTTCTGATAGGTTTCTAAATGTAAAGCAGTGTGGTGGTAGCAAGGCATCCTAGTGATTTTAATATATCTGAAGTATCTATTTGTTTTCCAGCTGAGAGCTACATTATAAGAATAAGTAAACATTTCCTGGACCTCCAAGAAGATTTTGATAAAGCTGCTTTAATAAATACTTCTGGTCTGATACCTAAGGAGCCTGGTTCAGTAGAAAGTTTTGAATTTAAACCAGAACCTTCTAAAATAGAGAATGGTACGACATTCTATATTGCAATTCAAGCCATCCATGAAGCCAATGTCACCTCAGAGGTTTCAAACATTGCACAAGCAACTAACTTTATTCCTCCACAGGAACCCAGCATTCCTGATCTGGGTACCAATATTTCTGCAATCAGTTTGGCAATTTTTGGATTAGCTGTAATTTTATCTATATTTTAAACTAGAAATTATATTAGAACTCAAATTCAATGTTATACATACTTGGTAAACATTTATTTAAAATTTAATTTACTATACTTATTGTCTATTATAAAGCTCATTATAATATAAAAGTGAAGTACAAAAGTTGTAAGTTTCCTAATTACTTGATTAATTAATACTATTTGAGTTATTAAATGTTAATCAAAATGAGTATATCATTTCCTGTCTTTGAATAATCCACTCATTAATTTTTAATATGAAAAGATATATATTTGTACTTGTAAGCATTTTAAGAAACATTTTTAAAGTGTGCTACAAATTCATTTGGTGTACTAACATCAAAATGTATCCAAGCCATTTAAAAAATATTTATATATACATAGTAGCAAATAGTTTTATAGATTTATTTGTATCGCATTTTTTATTACAAATGAATATTTCATGTTTATATAAGCTGTAATCAAAAAGGACTAGTAGTAGTAGTAAGGAAGTCAAATTTGTTTTTTTATCATTGATTATAAGTGGTATATTTGTTTTTTGTCATTGATTAAAAGTGATTTTAGCCCTAGGCCCGAAATGACTAGCAAATATCATTTTCTGTATGAATTGTGGAACATCACAATAAAATTATTTCTGTGCTGATGCTATCATTAGGTCCTAAGACTATTACCAAGAAGCTTGATTGAGACAGGGATTTTTCTTTTTCCTATTGCTGTATCCTCAGCATTTAGAATAATAATTGACACATAGAAGATATTCAATAAATATTTTTTAAATAACTTAGTGAATACTTTTATAACTTCAAAAAAATCCAAATTTGACCTCATTACATTAAAAAAATACCACAAACTATCATGTGCACTTGGTATTATGAGGACTTCATATAATGAAAACTAAATCCCTTAATAACATAGTTCAAAACCAACACATAAAGTTTCAGAAAGTTAACTATTAATAGAATTTAGAAGGTAATAAAAGGTAAATTGAGCTATTAATATAGCAATGGAGTGATTTTTCTTAGAAAGACAGAGAAGGACATATTGGTAGAAAATCCTTTGTTTACAGACAAGAAGGTTATTTAAATCTCTTTAAATATCTGAAAGGAAGATGCTGTATATATCTGGAAGAGTCAAGAAAAAAATTATAAATCATTAGCAAACCAAATCCAGAAAAATATATGAAAAATAATAATATATCATGACCAAGTTGAATCTATCTCAGGAACCCAAATGTGATTTAATACTAGAAAATTAAAGTAATTTACTACATTAACAGTTTTTGTTTAGTTATATGATTATCTCAATACATGCAGAAAAGTGTAATTCAACCATCATTCTTCAGTCAAAATGAAACCTATGAAAACTATTAACCTGATATTTTAATCTTAAAGTCAAAACCCTCACCTTTTAAAAATAAACAAAAAGGGCACTAAATCTTCAAGTAGAGATGAAAAATTATACATCAGAGGGTGAGAATTCTAAGTTCTAGGAAAATAAATCACTTAAGAGTCAACAAATAATAAAAAAATTATTGATTATGAAAGCCTCAAAGAGTCAAGAGATAGTTAACTGATTGTTAATACATGGTCACTATACTGAATAATTTATAGAGCTTTAGAAGTTAATGAGGGAAGATTCCTATGCAATAAAAAAAGAATAGAAGATACAATAATTTGAAAGAAAGATACGAAATTGTAATTTTGTACAGGTGAGATGGAAATCCAATAAAATCAACAAATAATTAAAATGAGAGAATTATGAAAAATTCCCAGATACAAGATCAATTTACTAAAAATCAATAGCACTAGTCTGATATATACAGAGCTTTGAAGTTGTCACTCCCCACCTCACAACAAGAAAAAAAAAGCTGAACTGAAAAATAAAGAATTCTTCGTAGTTTCATCAGAAAGTTGAAGTCACACTGCAACCTGCTACAAAAATATTGGAGAGGCAGAAAAATACAGAATCACAGCTTACCAGGAGCAGAAACCTATCAGTGAAGCTAATACCAGTAGGAACACAAACCGTAAACGAAGACATGCCAGAGGCTGAGTGTGAATAAGGCTGAGAGTTAAAAACTCTCAGAGGCCTTAGAGAGACCTCCATACTTCCCTGAGTTTTTCTTCCAAGAACCCCATGAAGTTTTCAGAGTGGGATTAAAGAAAAATCCCCTCAGACTCTCAACATCAGAGACGTAAAAGTAACCATTTTGAAATATACCAAAAGTGTCCTGTTCTTAGCAAAAGCCTGTCCTCAAGGGAAACTGTTTTACCAGAGCCTGACTAACTTAGGTTTTACAAGGGCCTAACCAACTTAGGGGAAGAGAAATACCCAACTCCAATCTCCCCTAGCCTTCCTTGTGGCAGAGGAAGATACTCAACTCCGGAGCCCTCTAACATTCCTATCTGATCAAAGAGGGGGAAAAAACAGACACTAGGAAGGGAACAACAGACACTGGGGCCTACTTAAGGTTTGAGGGATGGAGAACGGTGAGGATCGGAAAACCACCTAACAGGTACTGTGGTACTAGGTTTGTTACCTGGATGATGAAATAATCTGTACACCAAGCCCCTGTGGCACACAATTTACCTATATAACAAATATGCACATGTATCCCTGAACCTAAAATAAAAGTTAAAAAAAAAAAAAAGCAGAAAAGCATTTGTGAAGGCCACAGCCCAAGGAGACAAGCACAGTAAAAGACTGAGACCTATTCTGTTCCAAGATGGCCGAATAGGAACAGCTCCGGTCTGCAGCTCCCAGCATAACCAACACAGAAGGCGTTGATTTCTGCATTTCCAACTGAGGTACCTGGTTCATCTCATTGGGACTGGTTGGACAGTGGGTGCAGCCCACCACGGAGGGTGAGCCGAAGCAGGGTGGGGCATTGCCTCATCCAGGAAGCGCAAGAGGTCAGGCGATTTCCCTTTCCTAGCCAAGGGAAGCCATGACAGACTGTACCTGGAAAATTGGGACACCCCCGCCTAAATACTGCACTTTTCCAACGGTCTTAACAAACGACACACCAGGAGATTATATCCCACACCTGCCTTGGTGTGTCCCACGCCCATGGAGCCTTGCTCACTGCTAGCGCAGCAGTCTGAGATTGACCTGCGAGATAGCAGCCTGGCAGGGGGAGGGGCGTCCACCATTGCTGAGGCTTGACTAGGTAAACAAAGGGGTTGGGGAAGCTCCAACTGGTCAAAGCCCACCACAGCTCTGCAAGGCCTGCTGCCTGTGTAAACCACACATCTCAGGGGCAGGCCATAGCTGGACAAAAGGCAGCAGAAACTTCTGCAGATTTAAACATCCCTGTCTGACAGCTCTGAAGAGAGCAGTGGTTCTCCCAGCATGATGTTTGAGCTCTGAGAACAGACAGACTGCCTCCTCAAGTGGATCCCTGACCCCCATGTAGCCTAACTGGGAGACACCTCCCAATAGGGGCCAAGTGACACCTCATACAGCTGGGTGCCCCTCTGAGACAAAGCTTCCAGAGGAAGGATCAAGCAGCAATATTTGCTGTTCTGCAATATTTGCTGTTTTGCAGCCTCTGCTGGTGATACCCAGGCAAAGAGGGTCTGGAGTGGATCTCTAGCAAACTCCAACAGAACTGCAGCTGAGGGACCAGACTCTTAGAAGGAAAACTAACAAACAGAAAGGAATACCATCAACATCAACAAAAAGGACATCCACACCAAAACCCCATCTGTGATCACCAGCATCAAAGACTAAAAGTAGATAAAACCAAAAATATGGGGAGAAACCAGAGCAGAAAAGCTGAAAATTTGAAAAATCAGAGCGCCTCTTCTCCTCTAAAGGATCGCAGCTCCTTGCCAACAATGGAACAAAGCTGGACGGAGAATGACTCTGACGAGCTGACAGAAGCAGGCTTCAGAAGGTCAGTAAAAACAAACTTCTCCGAGCTAAAGGAGGAGGTTTCAACCCATCGCAAGGAAGCTAAAAACCTTGAAAAAAGATTAAACGAATGGCTAACTAGAATAAACAGTGTAGAGAAGACCTTAAGTGACCTGAGGGAGCTGAAAACCATGGGATGAGAACTACATGATGCATGAACAAGCTTCAATAGCCGATTTAATCAAGTGGAAGGAAGGGTATCAGTGATTGAAGATCAAATTAGTGAAATAAAATGAAAAAAGAAGTTTAGAGAAAAAAAGAGTAAAAATAATTGAACAAAGCCTCCAAGAAATATAGGACTATGTGAAAAGATCAAATCTATGTTTGATTGGTGTACCTGAAAGTGATGGGGAGAATGGAACCAAGTTGGAAAACACTCTGCAGGATACTATCCAGGAGAACTTCCCCAACTTTGCAAGGCAAGGCCAACATTCAAATTCAGGAAATACAGAAAACACCACAAAGATACTCCTCAAGAAGAGCAACACCAAGGCACATAATTGTCAGATTCACCAAGGTTGAAATGAAGGAAAAAATATTAAGGGCAACCAGAGAGAAAGGTTGGGTTACCCACAAAGGGAAGCCCATCAGACTAACAGCTGATCTCTCAGTGGAAGCTCTACAAGCCAGAAGAGAGTGGGGGCCAATATTCAACATTCTTAAAGAAAAGAATTTTCAACCCAGAATTTCATATCCAGTCAAACAAAGCTTCATAAGTGAAGGAGAAATAAAATACTTTACAGACAAGCAAATGCTGAGAGATTTTTGTCACCACCAGGCCTGTCTTACAAGAGCGCCTGAAGGAACCACTAAACATGGAAAGGAATGAGTACCAGCCACTGCAAAAACATGCCAAATTCTAAAGATCATTGATGCTAGGAAGAAACTGCCTCAACTAACAGGCGAAATAACCAGCTAACATCATAATGACAGGATCAAATTCACTTATAACAATATTAACCTTAAATGTAAATGGGCTAAATGCTCCAAATAAAAGACACAGACTGGAAAATTGGATAAAGAGTCAAGACCCATCAGTGTGCTGTATTCAGGACACCCATCTCACGTGCAGAGACAGACATAGGCTCAAAAGAAAGGGATGGAGGAAGGTCTACCAAGCAAATGGAAAGCAAAAAAAGGCAGGGGTTGCAATCCTAGTCACTGATAAAAACACTTTAAACCAACAAAGATCAAAAGAGACAAAGAGGGCCATTACGTAATGGTAAAGGGATCAATTCAACAAGAAGAGCTAACTATCCTAAATATACATGCACCCAATACAGGAGCACCCAGATTCATAAAGCAAGTCCTTAGAGACCTACAAAGAGACTTAAACTTCCACACAATAATAATGGGAGACTTTAACACCCCACTGTCAATATTAGACAGATCAACGAGACAGAATGTAAACAAGAATATACAGGACTTGAACTCAGCTGTGCACCAAGCAGACCTAATAAACATCTACAGAACTCTCCACCCCAAATCAACAGAATATACATTCTTCTCAGCACCATATCACACTTATTCCAAAATTGACCACATAGTTAGAAGTAAAACACTCCTCAGCAAAGGTAAAAGAACAGAAAACACAATAAACTGTCTCTCAGACCACAGTGCAATCAAATTAGAACTCAGGATTAAGAAACTCACTCAAAACCACACAACTACATGGAAACTGAACAACCTGCTCCTGAATGACTACTGGGTAAATAATGAAATGAAGGCAGAAATAAAGATGTTCTTTGAAACCAATGAGAACAAAGACACAACATACCAGAATCTCCAGGACACATTTAAAGCAAAGTGTAGAGGGAAGTTTACAACACTAAATGCCCACAAAGAAAAGCAGGAAAGATCTAAAATCGACACCCTAACATCACAATTAAAAGAACTAGAGAAGCAAGAGCAAACACATTCAAAAGCTAGCAGAAAGCAAGAAATAACTGAGATCAGAGCAGAACTGAAGGAGATAGAGACACAAAAAAACCTTCAAAAAATCAATGAATCCAGGAGCTGGTTTTTTGGAAAGATCAACAAAATTGGTAGACCGCTAGCAAGACTAATAAAGAAGAAAAGAGCAAAGAATCAAAGAGATACAATAAAAAAAAGATAAAAGGGATATCACCACCAATCCCACAGAAATACAAACTACTATCAGAGAATACTATAAGCATCTCTTTGCAAATAAACTAGAAAATCTAGAAGAAATGGATAAACTCCTGGATACATACACCCTCCCAAGATGAAACCAAGAAGAAGTTGAATCCCCAAATAGACAAATAACAGGCTCTGAAATTGAGGCAATAATTAATAGCCTACCAACAAAAAAAAGTCCAGGAGCAGATGAATTCACACTCAAATTCTAACAGAGGTACAAAGAGGAGCTGGTACCATTCCTTCTGAAACTATTCCAATCAATAGAAAAAGAGGGAATCCTCCCTAACTCATTTTATGAGGCCAGCATCACCCTGATACTAAAGCCTGGCAGAGACTCAACAAGAAAAGAGAATTTTAGGCCAATATCCCTGATGAACATCGATGCAAAAATCCTCAATAAAATACTGGCAAACCGAATCCAGCAGCACATCAAGAAGCTTATCCATCACGATCAAGTGGGCTTCATCCCTGGGATGAAAGGTTGGTTCAACATATGCAAATCAATAAATGTAATCCAGCATATAAACAGAACCAATGACAAAAACCTCATGATTATCTCAATAGATGCAGAAAAGGCCTTCAACAAAATTCAACAGCCCTTCATGCTAAAAACTCTCAATAAACTAGGTATTGATGGAACGTATCTCAAAATAACAAGAGCTATTCATGACAAACCCACAGCCAATATCATCCTGAATGAGCAAAAACTGGAAGCATTCCCTTTGAAAACCGCCACAAGACAGGGATGCCCTCTCTCACCACTTCTATTCAACATAGTGTTGGAAGTTCTGGCCAGGGCAATCAGGCAAGAGAAAGAAATAAAGGGTATGCACTTAGGAAAAGAGGAAGTCAAATTGTCCCTATTTGCAGATGACATGATTGTATTTTTACAAAACCCCATCATCTCAGCCCCAAATCGCCTTATGCTGATAAGTAACTTCAGCAAAGTCTCAGGATACAAAATCAGTGTGCAAAAATCACAAGCATTCCTATACACCAATAACAGATAAACAGAGAGCCAAATCATGAGTGAACTCCCATTCACAATTGCTACAAAGAGAATAAAATACCTAGGAATCCATCTTACAAGGGATGTGAAGGATCTCTCCAAGGAGAACTACAAACCACTGTTCAACGAAATAAAAGAGGACACAAACAAATGGAAGAACATTCCATGCTCATGGATGGGAAGAATCAATATCGTGAAAATGGCCATACTGCCCCAGGTAATTTATAGATTCAATGCCATCCTCATCAAGCTACCAATGACTTTCTTCACAGAATTGGAAAAAAGTACTTTAAAATTCATATGGAACCAAAAAAGAACCTGCACTGCCAAGACAATCCTAAGCCAAAAGAACAAAGCTGGAGGCATCACGCTACCTGACTTCAAACTATACTACAAGGCTACAGTAACCAAAACAGCATGGTACTGATACCAAAACAGAGATATAGACCAATGGAACAGAACAGAGGCCTCAGAAATAATACTACACATCTACAACCATCTGATCTTTGACAAACCTGACAAAAACAAGCAATGGGGGAAGGAATCCCTATTTAATAAATGCTGCTGGGAAATTGGCTAGCCATATGTAGAAAGCTAAAACTGGATCCCTTCCTTACACCTTATACAAAAATTAATTCAAGATGGATTAAAGACTTAAATGTTAGACCTAAAACCATAAAAACCCTAGAAGAAAACCTAGGCAATACCACTGAGGATACAGGCATGGGCAAGAACTTCATGACTAAAACACCAAAAGCAATGGCAACAAAAGCCAAAATTGACGAATGGGATCTAATTAAACTCAAGAGCTTCTGCACAGCAAAAGAAACACCATCAGAGTGAACAGGCAACCTACAGAATGGGAGAAAATTTTTGCAATATACCCATCTGACAAAGGGCTAATATCCAGAATCTACAAAGAACTTAAACAAATTTACAAGTAAAAAACAAACAACCCCATCAAAAAGTGGGCAAAGGATATGAACAGACACTTCTCAAAAGAAGACATTTATGAAGCCAACCGACACATGAAAAAATGCTCTTCATCACTGGTCATCAGAGAAATGCAAATGAAAACCACAATGAGATATCATCTCACACCAGTTAGAATGGCGATCATTATAAAGTCAGGAAACAACAGATGCTGGAGAGGATGTGGAGAAATAGGAATGCTTTTACACAGTTGGTGGGAGTGTAAACTAGTTCAACCATTGTGGAAGACAGTGTGGCCATTCATCAAGGATCTAAAACTAGAAATACCATTTGACCCAGCCATCCCATTACTGGGTATATACCCAAAGGATTATAAATCATGCTATAAGACACATGCACACGTATGTTTATTGAGGCATTATTCACAATAGCAAAAACTTGGAACCAACCCAAATATCCATCAATTATAGACTGGATTAACAAAATGTGGCACATATATACCATGGAATACTATGCAGCCATTAAAAAGGATGAGTTCATGTCCTTTGTAGGGACATGGATGAAGCTGGAAACCATCATTCTCAGCAAACTATCACAAGGACAGAAAACTAAACACCGCATGTTCTCACTCATAGGTGGGAACTGAACAATGAGAACACTTGGACACAGGGCGGGGAACATCATGCACAGGGGCCTGTCTTGGGGTTGGGGGGGAGGGGAAGGGATAGCATTAGGAGAAATATCTAATGTAAATGATGCGTTAATGTGTGCAGCAAACCAACATGGCACATGTGTATACCTATGTAACAAACCTGCACATTGTGCACATGTACCCTAGAAGTTAAAGTATAATTAAAAAAAAAAAAAAGACTGAGACCTAATCATATGATTACACAATGCTTCTCATTCCCTCACACCTTGCCAACACATTTTTAGGCTACTGAGTGTGAAGAGGAGATTATAGATGAAAGAACTAGAGGCCTCAGACCCAATTTGAGACAGAGTCTCTAGGGAAACCCAAAGACAACCAGGGTGTTAAATCAAAACATTAAAGAAAATTTTTGCCTCTGATGCAGCTACAGCAAACAGTGAACATCATCTAACTTCTAGCCAAGTAACATAAAACTTCACACTAATGGACTATTTATGACAATTTTTTTAGCCAATATATTATATCAGGCTTTAAATGAAAAATTACAAGCCATGCTAAAGACATAAAACAGTCTGTTGTACTTGAAGAGCATCTTTAGGAAAAAAAAAAAATCAGGACCAGATTCAGATATGTCAGAAATTTTGGAATTAACAGACGAAGAATTTAAAGCAATTATGATTAGGGAGGAGGCAGAGCAAGATAGCCAAATAGAAGCCTCTGGCAATCATCTCCCTCACAGGAAGACCAAATTGAACAACTACCCACACAAAAAAGCCCCTTCACAAGAACAAAAAACTCAGATGAGCTATAATAGTACCTGGTTTTAACATCACATTAAGGAGAGGAGCACTGAAGAAGGTAGGAAAGACATTCTTGAATCGCCTGCACCTCCCGTCCCCAATTCCCTGGCAGCAGCTTCATGGCACAGAGAGAGAATCTGTGTGCTTAAGGGAGGCAGAGCACAGTGATTACAGGATTTTGCACTGGAACTCAGTCCTGCCCTGTCACAGTGGAAAGCAACATGGGGCAGAACTCTGCCAGAGCCCATGGAGGAGGCATTTATACTAGCCCTAGCCATGGGTAAATCTTCTGTCTCAATGGTTGGGACCTGAGTACCAACAAGGCCTGCCACCGTTGGCTAAAGGGCTCTGGGTTTCTAAACAAATTTGCAAGGCAGTCTAGGCAACAAAGACTGCAATTCCTGGGCAAGTACTGGTGCCATGCTGGGATCAAAGCCAGTGGACTTGGGGAATATGTGACCTAGTGAGACACCAGCTGGGGTAGCCAAGGGAGGGCTTGTGTTACCCCTTCCCCAACCCCAGACAGTGCAGCTTATAGCTCTGGGAGAGACTCCTTCCCTCTCTCTTTGAGGAGAGAAGAGGGGAGAGTAAAGAGGATTTTGTCTTACAACTTGGATACCAACTCAGTCATAGTAGGATAAGAAATGAGGCAGAGTCCTGAGGCCCCCATTCCAGGCCCTAGGTCATGGAAACATGTTCAGGTAACATGGGCCAGAAGGGAACCTGCTGTCTTGGACAGAAAGAACCCAGTCCTGGCAGAATTCATAACCTGCTGACTAAAGAGTCTTTGGGCCCTGAATATTCAGCAGTGGTGGCCAGGCAGTACTCTGCAGGCCTTGGGTGAGACTCAAATCTGTACTGGCTTCACGTATGTCCCGGCACATTCTCAGCTGTGGTAGCTATGGGAAAAAAAAACTCCTTCTGCTTGAGGAAAGGAGATGGAAGAGTAAAGGGGACTTTTTCTTGCCGATTGCATACTAGGTTCGCCACAGTGGGTAGAGCAACAAGTGGGCTCTTGGGGGTTTCTGGTTACAGACTTTGGGTCCAGGATGACATTTCTAGACCTGTCCTGGGACAGAGGGGAGCCCACTGCCCTGAAGGGAGAGACAGGGTTTTGAGCCCAGCATGGCACCAGTACTTGCCCAGGAATTGCAGTCTTTGTTGCCTAGACTGCCTTGCAAATTTGTTTAGAAACCCAGAGCCCTTTAGCCAACGGTGGCAGGCCTTGTTGGTACTCAGGTCCCAACCATTGAGACAGAAGATTTACCCATGGCTAGGGCTAGTATAAATGCCTCCTCCATGGGCTCTGGCAGAGTTCTGCCCCATGTTGCTTTCCACTGTGACAGGGCAGGACTGAGTTCCAGTGCAAAATCCTGTAATCACTGTGCTCTGCCTCCCTTAAGCACACAGATTCTCTCTCTGTGCCATGAAGCTGCTGCCAGGGAATTGGGGACGGGAGGTGCAGGTGATTCAAGAATGTCTTTCCTACCTTCCTCAGTGCTCCTTTCCTTAATATGATGTTAAAACCAGGCACTATTATAGCTCATCTGAGTTTTTTGTTCTTGTGAAGGGGCTTTTTTGTGTGGGTAGTTGTTCAATTTGGTCTTCCTGTGAGGGAGATGATTGCCAGAGGCTTCTATTTGGCTATCTTGCTCTGCCTCCTCCCTAATCATAATTGCTTTAAATTCTTCGTCTGTTAATTCCAAAATTTCTGACATATCTGAATCTGGTCCTGATTTTTTTTTTTCCTAAAGATGCTCTTCAAGTACAACAGACTGTTTTATGTCTTTAGCAGAGCCTGTAATTTTTCGTTTAAAGCCTGATATAATATATTGGCTAAAAAAATTGTCATAAATAGTCCATTAGTGTGAAGTTTTATGTTACTTGGCTGGAAGTTAGATGATGTTCACTGTTTGCTGTAGCTGCTTCAGAAGCAAAAATTTTCTTTAATGTTTTGTTTTTAACTCCCTGGTTGTCTTTGGGTTTCCCTAGAGACTCTGTCTCAAACTGGCAGAATTCACTGCAAGCTGACTAAAGAGGCCTTGGGCCTTTAATAAATACCAGTGGTAGCCAGGCAGTACTCACCACAGGCCAGGGGCAATGGTGGCCGTAGGAATAGGCCCCTCTGCTTAAGGAAAAGGAAGGAAAGAGTGGGAGGGACTTGCCTTATGGCTTCGGTGCCAGCTCAGCTGCAGTAAAATAGGGCACCAGGTAGATTCCTAAGGTTCTCAACTCCAGACTCTGGCTCCTGGGTGGCATCTCCAGACCTGCGCGGGGCTGGGGGAGCTCACCACCCTGAAGGGAAGGACACAAACCTGGCTGGATGTGCCACCTTCTGATTGTAGAGCCCTTGGGCCTTGAGTGAATGTAGGCAGTAGCCAGACAGTGGTCACTGTGGGCCTTGAGCCACACTCAGTGCTGGGCTGGCTTTGAGTCTAACCCAGCACAGTCCCAGTGATGGTGGCCACAGGGCTGCTCGTATCACCCCTCCACCAGCACAGAGAGAGAGAGAGAGACTCCATTTGTTTTGGGGAGAGTAAGGACAGAGAACAAGAGTCTCTGCCTGATAATCCAGAGAATTCTTCTAGATCTTATCCAAGACCACTAAGGCAGTACCTCTACAAGCCTGCAAGAGTCACAGCATTACTGAGCTTGGGGTGCCCCTTAAAGCAGATACAGCTTCAGTGACCAAAGACTTACATCACAACACCCAGGTCCTTTTGAATACCTGGAAAGCCTTCCCAAGAAAGATAGGTACAAACAAGCTCCCAGACTGCAAAGACTATAATAAATACCGAACTCTTTAATGCCCACACATCAAAGATCATCCACAGACATCAAGACCATGCAGGAAAACATGACCTCACCAGACAAACTAAATGAAGCACCAGGGACTAATCCCAGAGAGATAGAGATCTGTGACCTTTCAGACAGAGAATTCAAAATAGCTGTTTTGAGGAAGTTCAACAAAATTCAAGATAACACAGAAAAGGAATCAGAAACACACTTCTATAAAGACACACATAGACTAAAAGTAAAGGGATGAAAAAAGATATTCCATGCAAGTGAAAACCAAAACAGAGCAGGAGTAGCTATACTTATATTAGATAAAATAAATTTCAAGACAAAGAAGACTATCTCAACACATTTAATAATCAAACCCCCGAAGGTCAAGGATAAAGAAAAGATCCTAAAAGCAGTAAGAGAAAAGAAACAAATAATATACAAAAGAGCTCCAATATGTCTGGCAACCGATTTTTCAGTTGAAATTTTACATACCAGGAGACAGTGGCATGACATATTTAAAGTACTGAAAGAAAAATCGTTTATCCTAGAATAGTAAATCTAGTGAAAATATACTTCAACAATGAAAGAGAAATACTTTCCCAGACAAACAAAAGCTGAGGGATTTCATCAACACCAGGCCTGTTCTACAAGAAATGTTAAGGGGAGTTCTTCAATCTGAAAGAAAATCACTGTAATGAGCAATAAGAAATCACCTGAAGGTACGAAACACACTGGTAGTAGTAAGTACACAGAAAGACACAGAATATTATAACACTGTAATTGTGGTGTGTAAACTATTCATGTGTTGAGTAGAATGACTAAAAGATGAAACTACCAAAAATAAAAACTACAACAACTTTTCAAGAATAGACAGTATAATACAGTATAAACAGAAAGAACACAAAAGTGTTAAAAGTGGGAGAATAAAGTTAAAGTGTAGAGTTTTTGAGTTTTCTCTTTGTTTGTTTGGTTTTTGTCTGTTTATGCAATCAGTGTTAAGTTGCCATAAGTTTAAAATAATGGGGTTTATAGGATACTATTTGCAAGTCTTATGGTAATCTCAAATCAAAACATATACAACAGATACACACAAAAAAATGAAAAGCAAGAAATTAAAACACACCACCTGAGAAAATGATCTTCACTGAAAGGAAGACAAGAAGAAAGGAAAGAAGGAAGAGAGAACTAAAAGACACCCAGAAAATTAATAACAAAATGACAGGAGTAAGCCCTTACTTATCACTAATAACATTGAATGTAAATGGACTAAAATCTCCAATCAAAAGACTGAGTGACTGAATGAAAACAAAACAAAACAACAATGAAAAAAACCCAATGACTTGTGGCCTACAAGAAACACAGTTCCCCTGTAAAGACACACATAGACTGAAAATAAAGGGATGGGAAAATATTTTCAATGCAACTGAAAACCAAAACAAAGCAGGAGTAGCTATACTTATATGAGATAAAATAAATGTCAAGACAAAAACTATGAAATAAGACAAAGTCATTATATAATGACAAAGGGGTCAATTCAGCAAGAGGATATAACAATCGTAAATACATATGCACCTGACACTGGAACACCCAGATATATAAAGCAAATATTATTAGAGCTAAAGACAGAAATGGACCCCAATACAATAATAGCTGGAGACTTCAACACCTCACTTTCAGCATTGGACAGATCTTCCAGACAGAAAATCAACCAAAAAAAACACTGGATTAAATCTGCACTATAGACCAAATGTACCTAACAGATATTTACAAAACATTTCATCCAACAGCTGCAAAATACACACTCGTCTCAGCACATGGATAATCCTTAAGAATAGACCATATGTTAGGCCACAAAACAAGTCTTTAAAAATTCAAAAGAAATGAAATCATATCAAATATCTTTTCTGACCACAATGGAAAAACACCAGAAATCAATAACAGAAGGGACTTTGGAAACTATACAAATACCTGGAAATTAGATAATATGTTCCTGAATGTCCACTGGGTCAATAAAGACATTAAGAAGAAAATTTAAAAATTTGTTGAAACAAAGGAAAATGGAAATATAACATACAAAATCCTATGGGATATAGCAAAAGCAGTACTAAGAAGAAAGTTTATAGCAATAAGCACCTACATCGGAAAAGCAGAAAAACTGCAAATTAGCAACCTAATGATGTAGATTAAAGAATTAGAAAGAAAAGAGTAAATCAAACCCAAAATTAGTAGAAGAAAAGAAATAATATCAGAGAAGAAATAAATGAAATTGAAATAAAAAATACAAAAGATCAAAGCAAAGTTTTTCTTACGAACAGATAAAGTGACAAATCTTTAGCCTGACTAAGAAAAAAAGAAAGAAGAGCTAGATAAGTAAAATCACAGATAAAAAAGGAGACATTACACTATTACACTTGATACCACATAAATTCAAAGGATAATTAGTGAATACTCTGAGCTAATATATATGACAATACATTGGAAAACCCAGAAGAAATAGATACACTCTTAGACATATACAACCTGCTAAGATTGATCCTGAAGAAATCCCAAACCAGAATAGACCAATAACAAGTAATGAGATTGAAGCCATAATAAAGTCTCCCAGGATAGAAAAGCTCAGGGCTTGTTAGCTTCACTGCTGAATTCTACCTAACATTTAAAGAACTAATACCAATCCTACTCAAACTACTCCAAAAAGTAGAAGAGGAGGGAATACTTCTAAACTCATTCTGTGAGGCCAGTATTACCCTGATACCAAAACCAGACAAAGACACACCAAAAAAAACTACAGGCCAATATCCCTGATGAACATTGATGCAAATATTATCCTCAATAAAACACTAGCAAACCAAATTCAACAACACATTAATAAGATCATTAATCATGACAAAGTGGGATACATCCCAGGGATGCAAAGATGATTCAACATATGCAAATCAATCAGTGGGATATATCATATCAACAGAATGAAGGATAAAAACCATATGATCATTTCAATTGATACTGAAAAAAACACTTGATAAAATTCAACATCCCTTCATGTTAAAAAAAAAAACTTCAAAAACTAGGTATAAATGACATACCTCAACACAATAAAAGCCATATACGACAGACTACAGCTAGTATCATACTGAACAATGAAAAAGTGAAAGCCTTTCCTCCAAGAGCTGAAACAAGATAAGGATGCCCATTTTCATCACTATTATTCAACATAGTACTAGAAGTCCTAGCTAGAGCAATCAGATGAGAGAAAGAAATAAAGAGCATGCAAATTGGAAAGGAAGAAGTCAAATTATCCTTGTTTGCAGATGATATGATCTTATACTTGGAAAAACCTAAAGACTTCACCAAGAAAACTATTAGAACTGACAAACAAATTCAGTGAAGTTGCAGGATACAAAAATCAACATACAAAAATTAGTAGCATTTCTATCTGCCAACAGCTAACAATCTGACAAATAAATCATGAAAGTAACTCCATTTACAATAGCTACAAATAAAATAAAATACCTAGGAATAAACTTAACCAAAGAAGTGAAATATTTCTACAATGAAAACTGTAAAACATTGATGTAGGAAGTTGAAGGTAATACAAAAAAAATGGAAAGATATTCCATGTTCAAGAATTGGAAGAATCAATATTCTTAAACTGTCCATACTACCAAAAGCAATCTACAGATTCAGTGCAATCACTATCAAAATATCAACAACATTCTTCACAGAAATAGAAAAAAAATCCTAAAATTTATATGAAACCACAAAAGACCCAGAATACTCACGGTAATCCTGAGCAAAAAGTACAAAATTGGAAGAATCACATTACCTGACTTCAAATGTACTACAGAGCTACAGTACCCAAAATAACATGGTACTGGCATAACAACAGACATGTAGACCAACAAAATGGAACAGTGAATCCACAAATAAATCCATACATCTACAGTGAACTATTTTTTGACAAAAATACCAAGAACATACATTTAGGAAAGGGCAGTCTTCAATAAATGGTGCTGGGAAAACTGGATATCTATACAATGAAACTAGACCCCTAACTCTTACCATAGACGAAACCAAATAAAAATGTATTAAAGACTTATATCTAATACCCCAAACTATGAAACTACTGAAAGAAAACATTGTGCAAATTCTCCAGGACATTAGACTGAGCAAAGATTTCTTGAGTAATACCCCACAAGCTCAGGCAACCAAAGCAAACATGGACAAATGGTATCAAACCAAGTTAAAAAGCTTCTGCACAGCAAAGGAAACAATCAACAAAGTGAAGGACAACCCACTGAATAGGAAAAAATATTTGCAAATTATCCATCTAACAAGAAATTAATAACCAGAATGCATAAGGAGCCCAAACAACTCAACAGGAAAAAATATAATAATCCAACCTAAAAACTGTGCAAAAGATCTCAATAGACATTTCTCAAAAGAAGACATACAAATGGCAAGCAGGTATATGAAAAGGTACTCAACATCACTGATCATCAGAAAAATGCAAGTCAAAACTACAATGAGATAGCATCTTACCCCAGCTAAAGTGGCTTTTACCCAAAACGTAGGCAATAACAAATACTGACAATGATGTGGAGAAAAGAGAACTTCCGTACACTGTTGGTGGGAATGTAAATTAGTACAACCGCTATGGGAAAAAGTTTGGATATTCCTCAAAAAACTAAAAATAGAACTACCGTATGATCCAGAATCCCACTGCTAGGTATAAACCCAAAAGAAAGGAATCAGTACATTGAAGAGATATCTGCACTTCCAATTTTACTGCAGCACTATTCACAATAACCAATATTTGGAAGCAATCTAAGTGTCCATTAACAAATGAATGGATAGAGAAAATATGGTAACTATACATAATAGAGCACTATTCAGCCAAAACAAGAAGGAGATCCTGTCATTTGCAACAACTTAGATGAAACTGGAGGTCATTATGTTATGTGAAATAGCACAGAAAGACAAATTTTGCATGTTCTCACTTATTTGTGGGAGCTAAAAAATTTTTAAAACAATTGAACTCATAGAGATATAGAGTAGAATGATGGTTACCAGTATCTGGGAAGGGTACTTTGCAGGGTTGGGGAGTGGGGATGGTGAATGTGTACAAAAATATAGAAAACCCCATTGTCTCAGCCCAAAATCTCCTTAAGCTGATAAGCACGTTCAGCAAAGTCTCAGGATACAAAATCAATGTGCAAAAATCACAAGCATTCTTATACACCAATAACAGACAAACAGAGAGCCAAATCATGAGTGAACTCCCATTCACAATTGCTTCAAAGAGAATAAAATACCTAGGAATCCATCTTACAAGGGATGTGAAGGACCTCTTCAAGGAGAACTATAAACCACTGCTCAATGAAATAAAAGAGGATACAAACAAATGGAAGAACATTACATGCTCATGGGTAGGAAGAATCAATATCGTGAAAATGGCCATACTGCCCAAGGTAATCTATAGATTCAATGCCATCCCCATCAAGCTACCAATGACTTTCTTCACAGAATTGGAAAAAACTACTTTAAAGTTCATATGGAACCAAAAAAGAGCCCGCATCACCAAGTCAATCATAAGCCAAAAGAACAAAGCTGGAGGCATCATGCTACCTGACTTCAAACTATACTACAAGGCTACAGTAACCAAAACAGCATGGTACTGGTACCAAAACAGAGATATAGATCAATGGAACAGAACAGAGCCCTCAGAAATAACGCCACATATCTACAACTATCTGATCTTTGACAAACCTGAGAAAAACAAGAAATGGGGAAAGGATTCCCTATTTAATAAATGGTGCTGGGAAAACTGGCTAGCCATATGTAGAAAGCTGAAACTGGATCCCTTCCTTACACCTTATACAAAAATCAATTCAAGATGGATTAAAGAACGTTAGACCTAAAACCACAAAAACCCTAGAAGAAAACCTAGGCATTACCATTCAGGACATAGGCATGGGCAAGGACTTCATGTCTAAAACACCAAAAGCAATGGCAACAAAAGCCAAAATTGACAAATGGGATCTAATTAAACTCAAGAGCTTCTGGCACAGCAAAAGAAACTACCATCAGAGTGAACAGGCAACCTACAAAATGGGAGAAAATGTTTGCAATCTACACATCTGACAAAGGGCTAATATCCAGAATCTACAATGAACTCAAACAAATTTACAAGAAAAAAAAAACCCCATCAAAAAGTGGGCAAAGGATATGAACAGACACTTCTCAAAAGAAGACATTTATGCAGCCAACAGACACATGAAAAAATGCTCATCATCACTGGCCATCAGAGAAATGCAAATCAAAACCACAATGAGATACCATCTCACACCAGTTAGAATGGCAATCATTAAAAAGTCAGGAAACAACAGGTGCTGGAGAGGATGTGGAGAAATAGGAACACTTTTACACTGTTGGTGGGACTGTAAACTAGTTCAACCATTGTGGGAGTCAGTGTGGTGATTCCTCAGGGATCTAGAACTAGAAATACCATTTGACCCAGCCATCCCATTACTGGGTATATACCCAAAGGACTATAAATCATGCTGCTATAAAGACACATGCACACGTATGTTTATTGCAGCACTATTCAAGATAGCAAAGACTAGGAACCAACCCAAATGTCCAACAATGATAGACTGAATTAAGAAAATGTGGCACATATACACCATGGAATACTATGCAGCCATAAAAAATGATGAGTTCATGTCCTTTGTAGGGACATGGATGAAATTGGAAATCATCATTCTCAGTAAACTGTCGCAAGGACAAAAAACCAAACACCGCATGTTCTCACTCATAGGTGGGAATTGAACAATGAGAACACATGGACACAGGAAGGGGAACATCACACTCTGGGGACTGTTGTGGGGTGGGGGGAGGGGAGAGGGATAGCATTAGGAGATATACCTAATGTTAAATGACAAGTTAATGGGTGCAGCACACCAGCATGGCACATGTATACATATGTAACTAACCGGCACATTGTGCATATCTACCCTAAAACTTAAAGTATAATAATAATAATAATAAATGAATAAGAACTGGTATTTGGTATCACAACAGGGTGACTATGGTCAACAATACCTTATTGTACATTTAAAAATAACTAAAACAGTATAATTGGATTGTTTTTAACACAAAGGAAAAATGCTTGAGGTGATGAATACCCCATTTACCTTGACGTGATTATTACACATTGAAGCCTGTGTCACAATATCCCATGTGCCCCATAAATATATATACCTACTATGTAGCCACAAAAATTAAAAATGAAAAAATATAAAAATAAGTTTAAAAAGGTAATATTGGGGGTAATAAACATGATTTCTCTGAAAAATAAATTAAAAAATAGGTATAATTAGGCCAGGTGCAGTGGCTCATGCCTGTAATCCCAGTACTTTAGGAGGTCAAGTCAGGAGGATTGCTTGAGACCAGTAATTTGAGACTACCCTGGGCAACATAGCAAGACTTTATCTCTACAAATAAAATAAAATAAAATAAAATGAAACTATTAATACGATAAATAAGAGCTTTAATGGAAAAGGAAACATGTGCAAGAACAGAAGCAGGGATAATACAAGCAGAAACATGGAAATCCTAAGAAAGAATCAAAATGAAATGCTAAAAATAAAAAATACTGTAACAGACATGAAGCATGTCTTTGACAGGCTCATCAGTAGACAGGACACAGCTGAGAAGCAGAGAAAAGAAACAGTATGCTTGAAGATATATCAATAGAAACTTCCAAAACTGGGAGAGAAAAAAAAATACCTTCCAAAACTAAGAAAGAGAAAAAAACAAGATGAAATGATGAAATAGAATACTCAAAAACTGTGAGACAATTATAAAACACGGGTCAACAAAACTCAAAGAACACCAACCACAATAAGTATCAACAAATCCACACATAGGGATATCATATGCAAACTTCAGAAAACAAAGATGAACTCAAAGTCTTGGAGAAATAAAACAGAAATAAAAAAGACCTTACCTATAAATAAACAATGATTAAGAATTACATCATACTTCTCTTCAGCAATCAGGCATGCAAGAAGAAAGTGGAGTACACATTTAAAGTTTTGAAAGAACCAAAAATAAATTCTTTTTTATTTTTTGGAGATGGAGTCTCACTCTCAGTCTCAGCTCACTGCAACCTCCGCCTCCCAGGTTCGAGCTATTCTCCTGCCTCAGCCTCCCAAGTAGCTGGGATTACAGGCACCCGCCACCATACCTGGCTAATTTTTGTATTTTTAATAGAGGCGAGGTTTCACCATGTTGACCAGGCTGGTCTTGAACTCCCGACCTCAGGTGATCCTCCCGCCTTGGCCTCCCAAAGTGCTGGGATTACAGGCATGAGCCACCACGCCCAGCACCCTCCAACATAGAATTCTGTACCTAGCAAAATTATTCTTCAAAAGTGAAAGAGAAATAAAGATTTTCTCAAACAAAATGAGGCATTTGTCTTGCAAGAAATGTTAAATGAAATTTTGTGGTGCCCGTCCTTCAAGATGGCCTCCAGTGATTCTTGCCTCCTGGTACATATGTCATTGTGTAGTTTCTTTTCCTAACTGCATAGGTCTTCAGATCAAAAGAAACTGTACTTAAGGAACTATACCGAAGGAGCTTCATCTGCCCCCAGGCCTAATTTAGATGAGATTTTGGACTTCAAGCTAATGCCATTATGGAATGAGACTTTGGGGAGCCTTGTCAGGAGAATGAGTAAATTTTGCATGTGGGAGGGGCATTAATTATTGGCAGCCAGAAGATGGACTGAGGCAGCCAAGTTCCAAGATGACCCTCAATGATACTTGCTCCCTTATGTAGTCCTCTCCACACTGAGGAGAACTGACTCGTGCAATCAATAAGATATTTCAAGAATGTTGGAGGGTAACTTCCAATGCTAGATCATAAATGACAAATGACATTGTAGCCTCCACTTTGCTGTCTTCTAGATCACTTGCTGTAGTGGACATCAGCTTCCATGTTGTGAGGATATTCAAGAAGCTCTACCAAGAGGTTTATATGGCAAGGAGCTAATGCTGCCAATTGCCAGTATCAGCTTGCCATCCATGTGAATGAACCATCTTGGAGAAGAATATTCTACCCACCCCCCATCAAGCCATCAGAAGACTATAGACCCAGGTAACATCTTGACTGCAACCTCATGAGAGATACCAACTCAGAACTACCCAGATACGGTACTTCTGAATCCCTGATTCACAGAAGCTGAGAGACAATAAATATTTGTTGTTGTTTTAAACCACTAAACCATGGTGTAATCAGTTATGCAGCAATAGGTAACAAATTCAGATTTCAATAAAAATTCTAGGACATTTAGCAACCATATCTTCCAAATTATACAAAATAAACCTAATTTGATTTTGAAAAAGATTAGTAAAATGGAGGAATTTCCTTCCCAAGTACTAATACAATCTAGAAAGCTATAGTAATAAATATAGCATTTAATTATATGGAAACAACAACGTAATGGAATAGAATAAAAATTCAGAAAGAAAAAAGTCTAATAAAGGAAGCACTATAAATCAATAGAGAAAAGATAAACAAATTTCCAGAGAGCATTAGGAAAACTAGTTCAACATATAGAGAAGAGTAAAGTAAGTCATGTGATATACACACATGAATTCCATTTGGAATAAAATGTTCAACTTAAAAGGCAAATTTTAAAATTTTAAAAATTTAAAAATTGCAAATTTTAAAATTCTAAAAATAATAGAAAATGAAGGAAAACATATGAGTGAGCTTAGAGCTAGAAAGACTTCTTAAGAAGGACCTAAAAGCACAAAATACTAAGCCCCCCAAAAACGATGGGTTTAATTACCCAAATTAAGAATTTCTGCTTGCAAAGGACACCATAAGCAAAATTAATGACAGACTAGAGAAGCTATTTGCTATATTTAAGGCCTACTAAGAAATTAATATTTACCAGGTATAAGGAACACCTGCAAATTAACAAGGAAAAAAGCAGGAAACCTCAATGGAAAAATGGATAGAGGATGTAAATAGGCAAATCCTTTAAAGGGAAGCCTAATGGCAAGTAAGTATTAAAATCCAAGAAATGTGCTAGTAATCAGAGAAATGACAATTGCAACAACAATTGAGATATAATTTAATATCCATCAGATGCACATAAACTTGAAAATCTAGAGGAAATGGATAAATTCCTGGAAAGACACAGCCTCCCAAGTTTGAACCAGGAAGAAACAGAAATCCTAAACAGACCAATAAGAAGTAGTGAAATTGAATCAGTAATAAAAAAAAACCTTACCAAATTAAAAAAAAGTCCTGGACCAGATGGATTCACAGCCAAATTCTACCAGATATACAAAGAAGGGCTGGTACCAATCCTACTGAAACCACTCAAAAAAATTGAGGAGAGATTCCTCCTTAACTTATCCCATGAAACTGATACCAAAATCTGGCACAGACACAACAGAAAAATAAAACTATAGGTCCATAACCCTGATTAGCATACATGCAAAAATCCTCAACAAAATTTTAGCAAACCAAATACAGCAGCACATGAAAAAGTTAATTCGCTGGAATCAAGTGGGCTTTATTCCTGGAATGCAAGGATGGCATAATTTATGCAAATCAATAAATGTGATTCACCACATAAACAGAATAAAAAACAAAAACCATATGATCATCCTAATAGATGCAGAAAATGTATTCAATAAAATCCAACATCCCTTCATGATAAAAACCCTCAATAATAAGAGCTGTCTACAACAAAGCCACAGCCAAAAACATATTGAATGGGCAAAAGTTGGAAGCCTTTCCCCTTAAGGAAAAAGACGGCCTGGTGCGGTGGCTCACGCCTGTAATCCCAACACTTTGGGAGCCCAAGGTGGACGGATCACTTGAGTCAGGAGTTCGAGACCAGCCGGGCCAACATGGTGAAACCCTGTCTCTACTAAAAATACAAAAATTAGCTGGATGTGGTGGTGGGTGCCTGTAATCCCAACTACTCAGAAGGCTGAGACAGGAGAATCGCTTGAACCTGGGAAGCAGAGGTTGCAGTGAGCTGCAATCGTGCAGGTTGCAGTGAGCTGAGATTACGCCACTGCACTCCAGCCTGGGCAACAAAGAGCAAAACTCCATCTCAAAAAAAAAAAAAAAAAAAAAAAAAAAAAGAACTGGAAAAAGACAAGGATATCCATTCTATCCACTCTCACCACTCCTATTCAACATAATGCTGAAAGTCCTAGCTAGAGCAGTCAGGCAAGAGAAAGAAATAAAAGGCATCCAAATAGGAAAAGAGGAAGTTAAATTATCTCTCTTCACTAACAATAGAATTGTATACCTAGAAAACGCTAGAGATTCCGCCAAAGGACTCCTAGACCTGATAAACAACTTCAGCAAGGTCTCAGGATGCAAAATCAACATACAAAAATCAGTAACATTTCTATACACCAATAACATTTAAGCTGACAGCCAAGTCAATAATGCAATCCCATTTACAATAGCCACAAAAAAAAAAAATACCTAGGAATACATCTAAGCGTAAAAGTGAAAGATCTCTACAAATGCAACTACAGCACACTGCTGAAAGAAATCATAAATGACACAAACAAATGGAAAAGAATTTCATGCTCATGGGTTGGAAGAATCAATATTGTTAAAATGGCCATACTTCTCAAAGCAACCTACAGATTGAATGCTATTCTAATCAAATTACCAACATCATCTTTCACAGAAGTGAAAAAAACTATTCTAAAATTCATATGGAACCAAAAAAAGTAAAAGAAAAATATTAACAACTCAACAAAAAAATGGGCAGTCAATTTCAGAAAGACGGGAAATTAAAAGGCCAATTACCTAAAGAAATGAGTCTCAATCTTGAAGATAATTAGAAATGTAGGTTTTCTTTAAAAATTATAAGTAGATACTATTTCCACTCAATTATAATATCAATCAAATTTTTGTGAAAATGGGAGGACTTTTTTGGAGACAGTTTTGTTGTATTTGGTAAAATTAAAAATATGCGCACCACATACAGCTATATCCCAATTTATTTGTGTTCCAGGATATGTGAAGAAAGACATTCACTATAGCATATTTTTTTTTTATTATTATACTCTAAGTTTTAGGGTACATGTGCACATTGTGCAGGTTAGTTACATATGTATACATGTGCCATGCTGGTGCGCTGCACCCACTAATGTGTCATCTAGCATTAGGTATATCTCCCAATGCTATCCCTCCCCCCTCCCCCGACCCCACCACAGTCCCCAGAGTGTGATATTTCCCTTCCTGTGTCCATGTGATCTCATTGTTCAATTCCCACCTATGAGTGAGAACATGCGGTGTTTGGTTTTTTGTTCTTGCGATAGTTTACTGAGAATGATGGTTTCCAATTTCATCCATGTCCCTACAAAGGATATGAACTCATCATTTTTTATGGCTGCATAATATTCCATGGTGTATATGTGCCACATTTTCTTAATCCAGTCTATCATTGTTGGACATTTGGGTTGGTTCCAAGTCTTTGCTATTGTGAATAGTGCCGCAATAAACATACGTGTGCATGTGTCTTTATAGCAGCATGATTTATAGTCCTTTGGGTATATACCCAGTAATGGGATGGCTGGGTCAAATGGTATTTCTAGTTCTAGATCCCTGAGGAATCGCCACACTGACTTCCACAATGGTTGAACTAGTTTACAGTCCCACCAACAGTGTAAAAGTGTTCCTATTTCTCCACATCCTCTCCAGCACCTGTTGTTTCCTGACTTTTTAATGATTGCCATTCTAACTGGTGTGAGATGATATCTCATAGTGGTTTTGATTTGCATTTCTCTGATGGCCAGTGATGATGAGCATTTCTTCATGTGTTTTTTGGCTGCATAAATGTCTTCTTTTGAGAAGTGTCTGTTCATGTCCTTCGCCCACTTTTTGATGGGGTTGTTTGTTTTTTTCTTGTAAATTTGTTTGAGTTCATTGTAGATTCTGGATATTAGCCCTTTGTCAGATGAGTAGGTTGCGAAAATTTTCTCCCATTTTGTAGGTTGCCTGTTCACTCTGATGGTAGTTTCTTTTGCTGTGCAGAAGCTCTTTAGTTTAATTAGATCCCATTTGTCAATTTTGGCTTTTGTTGCCATTGCTTTTGGTGTTTTGGACATGAAGTCCTTGCCCACGCCTATGTCCTGAATGGTAATGCCTAGGTTTTCTTCTAGGGTTTTTATGGTTTTAGGTTTAACGTTTAAATCTTTAATCCATCTTGAATTGATTTTTGTATAAGGTGTAAGGAAGAGATCCAGTTTCAGCTTTCTACATATGGCTAGCCAGTTTTCCCAGCACCATTTATTAAATAGGGAATCCTTTCCCCATTGCTTGTTTTTCTCAGGTTTGTCAAAGATCAGATAGTTGTAGATATGTGGCATTATTTCTGAGGGCTCTGTTCTGTTCCATTGATCTATATCTCTGTTTTGGTACCAGTACCATGCTGTTTTGGTTACTGTAGCCTTGTAGTATAGTTTGAAGTCAGGTAGTGTGATGCCTCCAGCTTTGTTCTTTTGGCTTAGGATTGACTTGGCAATGCGGGCTCTTTTTTGGTTCCATATGAACTTTAAAGTAGTTTTTTCCAATTCTGTGAAGAAAGTCATTGGTAGCTTGATGGGGATGGCATTGAATCTGTAAATTACCTTGGGCAGTATGGCCATTTTCACGATATTGATTCTTCCTACCCATGAGCATGGAATGTTCTTCCATTTGTTTGTGTCCTCTTTTATTTCCTTGAGCAGTGGTTTGTAGTTCTCCTTGAAGAGGTCCTTCACATCCCTTGTAAGTTGGATTCCTAGGTATTTTATTCTCTTTGAAGCAATTGTGAATGGGAGTTCACCCATGATTTGGCTCTCTGTTTGTCTGTTGTTGGTGTATAAGAATGCTTGTGATTTTTGTACATTGATTTTGTATCCTGAGACTTTGCTGAAGTTGCTTATCAGCTTAAGGAGATTTTGGGCTGAGATGATGGGGTTTTCTAGATAAACAATCATGTCGTCTGCAAACAGGGACAATTTGACTTCCTCTTTTCCTAATTGAATACCCTTTATTTCCTTCTCCTGCCTGATTGCCCTGGCCAGAACTTCCAACACTATGTTGAATAGGAGCGGTGAGAGAGGGCATCCCTGTCTTGTGCCAGTTTTCAAAGGGAATGCTTCCAGTTTTTGCCCATTCAGTATGATATTGGCTGTGGGTTTGTCATAGATAGCTCTTATTATTTTGAAATACGTCCCATCAATACCTAATTTATTGAGAGTTTTTAGCATGAAGGGTTGTTGAATTTTGTCAAAGGCTTTTTCTGCATCTATTGAGATAATCATGTGGTTTTTGTCTTTGGCTCTGTTTATATGCTGGATTACATTTATTGATTTGCGTATATTGAACCAGCCTTGCATCCCAGGGATGAAGCCCACTTGTTCATGGTGGATAAGCTTTTTGATGTGCTGCTGGATTCGGTTTGCCAGTATTTTATTGAGGATTTTTGCATCAATGTTCATCAAGGATATTGGTCTAAAATTCTCTTTTTTGGTTGTGTCTCTGCCCAGCTTTGGTATCAGAATGATGCTGGCCTCATAAAATGAGTTAGGGAGGATTCCCTCTTTTTCTATTGATTGGAATAGTTTCAGAAGGAATGGTACCAGTTCCTCCTTGTACCTCTGGTAGAATTCGGCTGTGAATCCATCTGGTCCTGGACTCTTTTTGGTTGGTAAACTATTGATTATTGCCACAATTTCAGAGCCTGTTATTGGTCTATTCAGAGATTCAACTTCTTCCTGGTTTAGTCTTGGGAGAGTGTATGTGTCGAGGAATGTATCCATTTCTTCTAGATTTTCTAGTTTATTTGCGTAGAGGTGTTTGTAGTATTCTCTGATGGTAGTTTGTATTTCTGTGGGATCGGTGGTGATATCCCCTTTATCATTTTTTATTGCATCTATTTGATTCTTCTCTCTTTTCTTCTTTATTAGTCTTGCTAGCGGTCTATCAATTTTGTTGATCCTTTCAAAAAACCAGCTCCTGGATTCATTGATTTTTTGAAGGGTTTTTTGTGTCTCTATTTCCTTCAGTTCTGCTCTGATTTTAGTTATTTCTTGCCTTCTGCTAGCTTTTGAATGTGTTTGCTCTTGCTTTTCTAGTTCTTTTAATTGTGATGTTAGGGTGTCAATTTTGGATCTTTCCTGCTTTCTCTTGTAGGCATTTAGTGCTATAAATTTCCCTCTACACACTGCTTTGAATGCGTCCCAGAGATTCTGGTATGTGGTGTCTTTGTTCTCGTTGGTTTCAAAGAACATCTTTATTTCTGCCTTCATTTCGTTATGTACCCAGTAGTCATTCAGGAGCAGGTTGTTCAGTTTCCATGTAGTTGAGCGGCTTTGAGTGAGATTCTTAATCCTGAGTTCTAGTTTGATTGCACTGTGGTCTGAGAGATAGTTTGTTATAATTTCTGTTCTTTTACATTTGCTGAGGAGAGCTTTACTTCCAACTATGTGGTCAATTTTGGAATAGGTGTGGTGTGGTGCTGAAAAAAATGTATATTCTGTTGATTTGGGGTGGAGAGTTCTGTAGATGTCTATTAGGTCTGCTTGGTGCAGAGCTGAGTTCAATTCCTGGGTATCCTTGTTGACTTTCTGTCTCGTTGATCTGTCTAATATTGACAGTGGGGTGTTAAAGTCTCCCATTATTAATGTGTGGGAGTCTAAGTCTCTTTGTAGGTCACTCAGGACTTGCTTTATGAATCTGGGTGCTCCTGTATTGGGTGCATAAATATTTAGGATAGTTAGCTCCTCTTGTTGAATTGATCCCTTTACCATTATGTAATGGCCTTCTTTGTCTCTTTTGATCTTTGTTGGTTTAAAGTCTGTTTTATCAGAGACTAGGATTGCAACCCCTGCCTTTTTTTGTTTTCCATTTGCTTGGTAGATCTTCCTCCATCCTTTTATTTTGAGCCTATGTGTGTCTCTGCACGTGAGATGGGTTTCCTGAATACAGCACACTGATGGGTCTTGACTCTTTATCCAACTTGCCAGTCTGTGTCTTTTAATTGCAGAATTTAGTCCATTTATATTTAAAGTTAATATTGTTATGTGTGAATTTGATCCTGTCATTATGATGTTAGCTGGTGATTTTGCTCATTAGTTGATGCAGTTTCTTCCTAGTCTCGATGGTCTTTACATTTTGGCATGATTTTGCAGCGGCTGGTACCGGTTGTTCCTTTCCATGTTTAGTGCTTCCTTCAGGAGCTCTTTTAGGGTAGGCCTGGTGGTGACAAAATCTCTCAGCATTTGCTTGTCTGTAAAGTATTTTCTTTCTCCTTCACTTATGAAGCTTAGTTTGGCTGGAAATGAAATTCTGGGTTGAAAATTCTTTTCTTTAAGAATGTTGAATATTGGCCCCCACTCTCTTCTGGCTTGTAGGGTTTCTGCCGAGAGATCTGCTGTTAGTCTGATAGGCTTCCCTTTGAGGGTAACCCGACCTTTCTCTCTGGCTGCCCTTAACATTTTTTCCTTCATTTCAACTTTGGTGAATCTGACAATTATGTGTCTTGGAGTTGCTCTTCTCGAGGAGTATCTTTGTGGCGTTCTCTGTATTTCCTGAATCTGAACGTTGGCCTGCCTTGCTAGATTGGGGAAGTTCTCCTGGATAATATCCTGCAGAGTGTTTTCCAACTTGGTTCCATTCTCCACATCACTTTCAGGTACACCAATCAGACGTAGATTTGGTCTTTTCACATAGTCCCATATTTCTTGGAGGCTTTGCTCATTTCTTTTTATTCTTTTTTCTCTAAACTTCCCTTCTCGCTTCATTTCATTCATTTCATCTTCCATTGCTGATACCCTTTCTTCCAGTTGATCGCATCGGCTCCTGAGGCTTCTGCATTCTTCACGTAGTTCTCGAGCCTTGGTTTTCAGCTCCATCAGCTCCTTTAAGCACTTCTCTGTATTGGTTATTCTAGTTATACATTCTTCTAAATTTTTTTCAAAGTTTTCAACTTCTTTGCCTTTGGTTTGAATGTCCTCCCGTAGCTCAGAGTAATTTGATCGTCTGAAGCCTTCTTCTCTCAGCTCGTCAAAATCATTCTCCATCCAGCTTTGTTCTGTTGCTGGTGAGGAACTGCGTTCCTTTGGAGGAGGAGAGGCGCTCTGCGTTTTAGAGTTTCCAGTTTTTCTGTTCTGTTTTTTCCCCATCTTTGTGGTTTTATCTACTTTTGGTCTTTGATGATGGTGATGTACAGATGGGTTTTCGGTGTAGATGTCCTTTCTGGTTGTTAGTTTTCCTTCTAACAGACAGGACCCTCAGCTGCAGGTCTGTTGGAATACCCTGCTGTGTGAGGTGTCAGTGTGCCCCTGCTGGGGGGTGCCTCCCAGTTAGGCTGCTCGGGGGTCAGGGGTCAGGGACCCACTTGAGGAGGCAGTCTGCCCGTTCTCAGATCTCCAGCTGCGTGCTGGGAGAACCACTGCTCTCTTCAAAGCTGTCAGACAGGGACACTTAAGTCTGCAGAGGTTACTGCTGCCTTTTTGTTTGTCTGTGCCCTGCCCCCAGAGGTGGAGCCTACAGAGGCAGGCAGGCCTCCTTGAGCTGTGGTGGGCTCCACCCAGTTCGAGCTTCCCGGCTGCTTTGTTTACCTAAGCAAGCCTGGGCAATGGCGGGCGCCCCTCCCCCAGCCTCGTTGCCGCCTTGCAGTTTGATCTCAGACTGCTGTGCTAGCAATCAGCGAGATTCCGTGGGCGTAGGACCCTCTGAGCCAGGTGTGGGATATAGTCTCATGGTGCGCCGTTTCTTAAACCGGTCTGAAAAGCGCAATATTCGGGTGGGAGTGACCCGATTTTCCAGGTGCGTCCATCACCCCTTTCTTTGACTCGGAAAGGGAACTCCCTGACCCCTTGCGCTTCCCAGGTGAGGCAATGCCTCGCCCTGCTTCGGCTCGCGCACGGTGCGCACACCCACTGGCCTGCGCCCACTGTCTGGCACTCCCTAGTGAGATGAACCCGGTACCTCAGATGGAAATGCAGAAATCACCCGTCTTCTGCGTCGCTCACGCTGGGAGCTGTAGACCGGAGCTGTTCCTATTCGGCCATCTTGGCTCCTCCCCTCACTATAGCATATTTTTAAGAGTGAAGACTGGAACAATCTAAGCATCCAGCAATAAGGAAATTGACAAATAAAATGTGGTATATTCATGTGATGGACTTCTATAAAACAGCTAAAAGAAATGAATTCTGGCCGGGCGCAGTGACTCACACCTGTAATCCTAGCACTTTTGGGAGGATCACCTGAGGTCGGGAGTTCGAGACCAGCCTGACCAACATGGAGAAACCCTGTCTCTATTAAAAGTACAAAATTAGCCAGGCATGGTGGCACGTGCCTGTAATCCCAGCTACTCTGGAGGCTGAGGCAAGAGAATCGCTTGAACCCGGGAGGCGGAGGTTGCGGTGAGCCGAGATTGCGCCATTGCACTCCAGCCTGGGCAACAAGAGCAAAACTCTGTCTCAAAAAAAAAAAAAAAAAAAAAAGGAATTTCATCTAATCTATATTAAACAGATTTGAAATATATAATACTGTGTAAAAAAATTACAAAATGATAGGTACAATATGCTATCATGTACATAAATTACAGCATAAGATATACTATATTTGTCTGTAAATATAAATAAGTAAAAGTATTTTTAAAACTGGGCAGGAAATACATTAAACTCTTCCTAGGGGAGGTTTTGAGTGAAGGGCAGAAAGGTGAATGAGACTGAGAGTGTTGATTTAGTTACCTAGATCTTAAGCTTAAACAATAATGTTTTAGCCCTTAAAAAAACTAAGTTATGATTTTAAAAATTGTTATTCCTATATGAGAAGAATGAAAGTTTTTGTTACACTATTATCTATATTTTTCTGGGTTTTTTAAATGTCTTAAATGTAAAAGAAAAATATATTTCACTCCAGCCCCATTAAATAAATTTACAAATATTTTCAAAATATAAATTGAATCAGGGACATTAGCTATTGTGCCCACATATCTCGATGCAGTTCTGAATACTTACAGGTGCATACTGTATAGTAAAAATGAGGAAATTAGCCTATGACATGGCTCTAACAAGAGTAGTATATATACTTTCCTTAGTAGGCAGATGCTTGAGCAAATTGTAATATGATTTGAGCTATATTTTTAGAAGTATTCATCTTGAAAACTTGTGTAAAGGAAAGTGAAATGGAGAGATAATTTTGGAGGCTATTAAAGGAGTCTAGGCCAGAAGTAATATGTTAGCATTAATAAATGATAACAAGTAATAAACATGGAAGGAAAAGAATGAATCTGTTTTCTCTCTCAACCTCCTTTACTATCATATCAAAGCACCAATGCTACTTTAAAAATGTTGATTAAGTGCAAGATATATTATCTTAATTCTTAACTCTTCCATGGAAATGTTCTCATTAATTTTGAGAATTAAACAATTAGTCTTTGTAAACTGTCCATAGATAAATTTTAAGCCATTCAAGTATGAATTTGACATTGCTATTTTGTATATTCATCTACCATGACCAAAATATGAGAGGTTTGTAACCCATAGTATTTACAAAATTAATATCTTCTGCTCTTAGATTTAGACATTTATAACAAAAATTTTTAAAACAAGATATATTGAACTATAACTTATCACATGCCAATCACTGTAGTAGCATTTTCTGTATATTTTTCTATTTAATCTTTACTTCAGCATAGCAAGGTAGACATTGTATTATAACCCCAATTAACTGGGACCTGAGCCTCAGAGATGTGAAATACCTTGCCCAAGTTCAGACTGAAGCTAGTAAATGGTGATGCTGAGATACAAACCAAGATCTAATTCCAAATTGTATGCTCTTTCCACTACCATCCTAATCTCTTCCGCTAACCAACATCATTTATTTATCTCATAAATGAAATCCCAAGTTCCACGTGCCGTGAATGTTGACAAGACTATTGTTATTAAAACATCTTTATGTTTTAATACACAGGAAGGGGAACATCACACACTGGGGCCTGTTGTGGGGTGGGAGGAGGGGGGAGGGATAGCATTAGGAGATATACCTAATGTAAATGATGAGTTAATGGGTGCAGCACACCAACATGGCACATATATACATATGTAACAAACCTGCACACTGTGCACTTGTACCCTAAAACTTAAAGTATAATTAAAAAACAAATAAATAAAAAATAAAAAATAAAAAATCTTTATGTTTTCAAAATAGGGAGTTACTTTTATTTAAAATGTTTTTATAAATAATTTTGATAGGTTATACTACCTCTTTTAGAGCCTTTAGGAACAGCTATTTAACTTTTTTAAACCCTAGTTTTCAAAAGGAGGTTAATAATACTATTTATCTCACAAAACTTTTATTAATGAAGACACTTTTAATTACTATCATAACTTACTAATGGAGATTAAATGAGATAAAACATATAAAGTGTTTATCAAAGTGTCTGATATATAGTTGGTGTTCAATAAATATTAGCAGTTATTATTTTTTATTATATTTTATAAGTATTTTATTATTGGGACAGTGCAAGTCTTTGGTAAGAAACCCAAAATATCTATAACCTTCCACAGCACAAGAGGATTATATCCTGGGTACTCAATATACAATCATGGAGCATCCATAATCTTAATTTCAAAGGTATCTACAAAAACATTACCTCTCTTCATCAAATTAACAACATGAGAATCATCTAACCAGTCAACTGAACACTGGAATCATACACAGTACTTTAATTTTATAACAAATTTTTAGGTTAGTCTGACATCTAGTGGAATTATCATAGTCATTCAAAAGATTTAAAATACATACTTTAAAAAAAGACTAACAACATTCTATTAAGTAAAAGACCAATATCTAATGTAATCTTTAAAATAAAAAAGGAAAATAAATTTGAGTAGTGCCTATGTGTCAGGTACTGTGCGAAAAGCTTCCACATACCTTATCTCACTCATTTGTTCAGAGTATTTAGTGCCTGCTATGTGCTAGGCTTGTATTATATAAAACATTTTTAAAAGCAGATATGATTTCTGACCTTTTTGAGCTTATAGATTAGTAGGGATTAAATTACACAAATTATTATATAAATGAATATAAATTGTGTTTAGAGACATGAAGGACTTACAAGGGAATCCCTAATTTAGTACGGAGTTTAGGAAGGGCTTCTCTGAGAAAGTGATGAGCCAACTCCTAAATAATGAGCAGCAAGAGAGATTTAAGGCAGCAGGAAAAGCATGAGTGAAGGTGCTGAGGTGGGAAAAGTTTTGTTATCTAAAGGAATTTAAATAAGGGCAGTGTGGTTACAGTTGTGAGTAAGGGAGACAGCTATACCAGATGAGTCGAGGAAGGTAGGTGGCAGGCTAAACAGGGCCTGGTGAAAGGGTTGGCCATATTGGGGATTCATGATTTTATCACTTTATGATAGGTATAATAGAAATCATTTGAAGTACAGTCATCCCTTAGTATCCACAGGGGACTGGTTCTAGGATGCCACTCTTCCCCCTTGAATGCTCAAACCCCTTATATAAAATGGCATAGTATTTATATACGCCATACCTATGCATATCCTCCTTTAAAGAGATGATACTTTAAATCATATCTAGATTACTTATAATACCTAATACAATGTAAGTGCTATATAGTTATTATACTGTGTTGGTTTTTATTTGTATTGTTTTTACTGTCATGTTTTTGTCTTTAATTATTCTTTTTTTCCACATATTTTCTATCCCTGGTTGGTTGAATCTGTGCTTTCAGAGCCCATGGATATGAAGGACCAATTGTAGTTAAACAAGGAGAGATAATGAGATACACGGTTTTTTAAAACACCCTGGCTCCTATGCAGAAACGAAATGGAAGAGGATGAACATGAATGTAGGGGGAAAAATTAGGACCATTTAGGAGAGTATTTCAATAGTCCCAACAACAGATGGTTTTGGCTCAGACTATCATGGTTGCTATCAGTAGATTCAGATCTGCTGAATATTGAATATTGGGAGGGAATTGAATTGAATTGAATACTGGGAGGGAGGTAAGGATGAGGAACCAGAGAGCATTGAAAATAGTCCCAGATTTTTATCTTGAACAACTGAGTCAATCGAAGTATTAAGATGAGTAAGAGTGGGAAATATTATCTTTGAGGATAAGATTAAGCTTTTTTTTTTTTTTTCAAGACAGCATCTTGCTCTGTTACCCAGGCTGCAGTGCAGTGGAGCAATCTCAGCTCACTGCAACCTCCACCTCCTGGGCCCGGCTAAGTTTGTATTTCTTGTACATATGGGGTTTCATCATGTTGCCCAGGCTGGTCTCAAACTCTTGCATTCAAGCAGCCTCCACCTGCCTCAGCCTCCCAAAGTACTGGCATGAGCCACCATGCCTGGCCCAAGCTTTTATTATCAAAGAATAACTGAGATATTTGGTTATTTATATGAAAATTTTTTTCACATATAGGGAAACACTCATTATACTGTTGTCAAGCAACAAGGGCAAATGCTTCACTTCTGAGAGAAAAAAAACTACAGTCTGGAAAGACTGAGTCTTGTTTGCACATTTTTCTTGGTAAACTGATTAGATGGCAGCAAAGAGGTCAGCCTAGGCAGTCTGTCCTTGTGAAGTTTGTCCAAGCGTAACAAAGAAGACAATTTCAATTGTATTTGATTATTCCCAAAACCTGCAAGTTTACTGAGGAGCATACTGGAATCGACTGTCTTAGGATTATGTCTATCAAGACCCTTCCATTCTCCAGCTTTGTTGAGCCAGGCCTGCATCATTTAACTCATCAGTATTTCTCAACTCCCTCCTTTTGGTCAAAACAAACTCCAAAAGATGCAAATTTTACAATCAAAGGTTCAGTACCTTTTGACTTAATATTATCCACCTGATATCAACTTAAAATAATCAATGTGAAATCTTTAGATTCCATTCATTGATCTAGGTGACTAGAGAAGCCAGGACAAACCATACAGGGCCTACAGGCCAGGATACAGATTTTGTTCTTTATCCTAAGACTAATGAGACATCACTAAAGGATTGAAATCAATAGAGTAATTTGATGAGAACCTTTATTTTAAATTTTCTAAAAAATTTTATGATAGTTATTAGACAATTGGAAAAGTGCTCTCTGGATATTTTCTAACATTAAGGAACTGTTGTTAATTTTATGTGTGATAATGATTTTGTGGTTATGTTTAACCAAACAAAAGAGTTCTTATCTTTTAAAGATTTACACGGAGAAATGTTAATAGATGAAATGAAAAGAAAATTGGAAGTCATCTGCGTATAAATAGATACATATAAATGGAGAAATTTTCTGTTTTAGAGTGAGAAGAGTTATGAAATGTATCTTGAGGAACTTTGTCAATTAAAGGCCAGAAAGATGGGGATGAGCAAAGAAACCAGACTATCTATTGAGAGGTAGGAGGAAAATCAGAGAAGTGTTGTCATGGAAACCAAAGAAAGAGAGGTTTCAAGAAGGAAATAATGCATACAAATTTAACGCATTAACACAGCACCTGGAATATGGCAAACATTCAACAAATATTGCGCTTATTATGAAGATGATTGAGAAACAAGTGGTACAGAATATCAAGTGATGGTAAGAGGTCAAGATAGTAATCACCAGTAATCTTAAAGAGAGTAATTTCTATGGAGTGGTAGGATAGGAGCAGAAACTACATTGGAGTGTTTCAAGGGTAATTGGGAGGTCCAGATATTGAGACAATAATTGGAGATAATTTTTTCAAGATGTTTCACTGGTACGGGAAGGAGATAAACAAGAAAGTGGCTGAAATAGGGTTGTGATAGTAAGTAGAAGCAATATTTGCGTTTGTGACAATTTGGGGGAGGAGAAGTTTAAAAATAAGAGAGACTGGCTGGGCGCGGTGGCTCACCCTTGTAATCCCAGCACTTTGGGAGGCTGAGGCAGGAGGATCACAAGGTCAGGAGATCGAGACCATCCTGGCTAACACGGTGAAACCCCGTCTCTACTAAAAATACAAAAAAATTAGCTGGGCATGGTGGTGGGCACCTGTAGTCCCAGCTACTCAGGAGGCTGAGGCAGGAGAATAGCGTGAATCCAGGAGGCAGAGCTTGCAGTAAGCCAAGATCGCGCCACTGCACTCCAGCCTGGGTGACAGAGCGAGACTCAGTCTCAAAAAGAAAAAAAAAAAATAGGAGAGACTGAAATGCCAGTAAAAATTCTGTAGAAAGGGAAAACATGAAAATATAAAAGGGAAAAGGGATAAACATATGTGTTTTAAGAAGGTGGGAGACATAGGATCCAGAACATACAGGGAAAGGACTGTTCTTTGATGGACAGAAAAACATCTCTTTTATTGTAACAGGAGAGAAGGAGAAATGATATGAGCAAATGTACGAAGGTTGAAAAGGTTCTGTTTTCATTCTCCCTTACCTGGGAAGATAGTTCTCTGGAGTGCCCTTTTAGTGTCCAAATCTGTGGAATTTCCTGTTCTTATTGTCTTGTGCAATATTTTATATTATAGATCATTACTTTTTAAAAACTCTCTCCTTTTTAAAATATATTTCAAGGAGACAAAACAGTCTAAAAATAATATAATAAATGCCCATGTATACTAGCTTAAAAGATACAAAGGAAGCGTCAATTCCTTTCTTTTTCTCTCATAAATAATCATTATTTTGAATTAGATGTTTATAATTCCCATGCTTGTTTTTATACTTGTATTAATTACATGTATCATATATGTATCAATAGTATATAATATACATGAATATAGATATAATAAATATATATATATCTTTAAGCGATGTAGAATATTGGCTGAACTATTTCAGTTTTCAGTGCCAGTTAGTCTGTAAGAGGTAAATTTTTTCAGTCTGAAAAGTGCCATAATTTGGTACTCTTAATTGATAGTTTAGTGGGCATCAAATTGTAGATTTATAAGTGTATTTGTTTTTCCTTAGCTCTATGAGGATACTATTTCCTTAACTTCTGGCTCTTAGTATTATTCTTGAGAAATCTATTATTGCTCTATTGCTGACCTAATTATTTCTTTGTAGGTAATCTATCTTTGATATCTGATTTCTTTCTAGATTTTATCTTTGTCATTGCAGCACTACAATTCACTGCTTTCACAATTTCAATGTGCCTAGGATGTACTTCTTTTTATTTATTCTGCTTAAGATTCTTTGACTTGAGATAGTCTTTCATCAGTTTGGGGAAATTATCAGTCATTGTCACATCAAACTTGTCTCTCTCTCTCTTTCTTCTTTCTTATCTTACTTTCTGAAAATCTTGTTAGTTAGTGTACTGAAGTTTCTCATTCTATCCTCATTTTTCTTAATCTATATTTTTCATTCCCTATTTCTCCATACTGTTTTCTGTATAATTTCCTCAGAACTATCTTGCATTTACTAATCTCCCTTCATTGGTATCTAATATGCCGTTAGTTAGTCCATTAAGTTTTCAGTTTAATGACTTTATTTTAAATGTATAGATGTTCAATTTTTTCTTTAAATTGAACTTTTTTTGTTTGTTTGAATGAGTGGAGAGTTTAATAGGCCAGGAAGAAGGAAGAAGGCAGAAGGAAGAAGCTCCCCTGTACAGAGACAGAGGGTGGGGGGGCTCCAAAGCCAAGAGAGGAAACCCCAAATGCAATAGACACCAGCCAGGTATATATGCAGAGGCTGGAGGAGCTGGTGTCCGATTTGCACAGGGCTCAGGAGATTGATTTGACTAGGCATGTCATTCACATAGCCCATGAAAAAGCTGGCGCTCCCATCCTAGCCTTTTAATATGCAAATGTAAGGCATCATGATGTTCTACACACGTGGGGATATGTGGGGGTAGGCATGTTGCCAGGAACATGTGGGGCAAGGGCAAGAAGGCTGCAGGAATTACCATGTTTGGGTGGACGCAGTTTCTAATAGCCTGTATTTGCATATCAAAGGTTGCCGGCCTGGCTCTAAGAGCGGGGGCTTTACAAGAAATATTTCCAGAGATGCTTTTAAAAATGAAAACTTCCCAAGGACCCCTTTTCCTCTCTATCTGCCTAAAATAATTTCTTAATAACTCCTACAACATTCCCCCCCACCGGGGAGAGGCCACACTAACTGCTGTTAGAGGGTTTGGAGCGATGACTTCTTCTGGCTACTTACGGCTGAAAAGGGGCATCGAATGGGGAACAGCAGCTAGGGCTCCTCCTGGGGTGGATCTAAGGGTCCTCAGAAGAATGGCGTGTCCATGTGGGGTTCAGTTTGCAGCACCATTTGGAGTTTGATTGCTTCTAGGTGAGAAGAAACAATTCGAGTTATAGTATTGAGTATACAGGGTCCAAATATCAATACAAGACATATAAGCAAGAGAGGGCTTAATAAAGGGGTTAACCAATTCCATAAAGAAGGCTGGAATTTATTAAAGAGGGATTGTAGCCATCTGGGGCTGAAGCTGGCATTTTCCCTGAGCCTGTCAATAATTTTGATTTGATCTTTAAGTACCTGTAGATTTTTCTCTACTTTACTAGGTGTTAATCATCACTAAACCCAATAAAAAGTCCTAGCAGACTCAGTGATAGTAAAACTTTTATGCTTCCTTTTTGTCAGTAACTATTATTCCTACTATAAGGATAATAATTAAGCAAAATACAACAGCAATGGAAACTCTGTTCAATATTTCAATTAGAAGGTGCTACCATGTATAACCCTATTGCAAATAGTAGAGTGAGTATAGCAGTTCCCACAAGTGTGGTGTAGTAGATAATTTCCATATAAAATTTTACTTGCCAAGATATAGAATTTCCCTTTGGCGGTCTGTGAAGCTTTGCTTTTATTTTCCCAAACAAAGAAAACTCCAGGTTATGGATACCCTACTTACTTTCATTACCTGGCAGAATTTGCAGTATAATTGCCCAGAGCTAGTGTATTGATTCAGATTTTTACGTTACCCATCCCTTTTTATTTCTTCCAAGCTGCAGAAGATTACCATTTTATTCACAGGAATAAGAAGGATTAGTTTAAAATGTAAGCAAAAATCTTAAAAACAATTGAGATGAGGATTTAATGACAAATGTATGATAAGCTTTGGAGCAAAATTTTTCTCTCCAGTTCTCATTTTTGGTCAAAACTAATCATGAATGAACTTTAGTCTTATACTTGGCTTGATTATTTGCATGAAGTGCAGTAAGAATAGTTATTTCTACATAGGTCTCTTGGATTGGCTTTGATGAAACTCTGTTCCACAAGGAATCTTAGATAAGACCTTTAAAGCCGAGCCCAGCAATGGGTCTGTATCCTCAAATACCTGTGAGTTGGGTGATCCTCACTTCTTGAGGTCCCAAGAGAAACTCCGAGCTTCCAGACCTGTTAGAAAGTGACATTCTTTATTGACTACAGGTTAGGAACCCTGTGCGGGGACTGTATAGACAAGGTATGAGGCCAGTTCTCCAAGGGGCTTTTATTGGCTCTGCATGTCAAGCTTGATTCCTTAAAGGGAAACACACCATTTCAGCCAAAGCCTTGGTAAAATAACCAGTTTATCCAATTGTGTCCTGTTGACAAAGAAAAATGCATTCTTATTGCACTGATGCAAACAACTATACTGCCATAAGTTAAGAGTACTTACAGGTAGTCTCCAAATTTTAGAGGAACCAGGTGGAGATAAATGAACATGCTCCAAATTTTGTTTACAGTAGTATACCTTACTCAATTATTAATGGCCATTAATAGTTTAAAATAAGTTTCCTTGACTCTGAAAAACAAAACAAGGATCAGCAATATTCCAAGCAAAAGTTAAAAAGATTACTTAAACTTTTTGAATGCAGTCCACTTAGTTAACTCTTGTTTTGCTTAATATTTGTGAACATGTCAGTTCTATAACTGTCTTTATTTTTACAGTGTCTTGCTGTTTTCTTCAGATTTTAATCTTCCTTTACTTTTCATTCTGTTTATCTTCTATTTCAAATCTTATTTATCACAGCCATGCAAATGACTCCAAAGTGTCTATCTTTAACCCAGTGTTCATTCCCAAGCTTTAATCACATATTTCCAATTGCTTTCTAGACATTATTAGACATCTTATGCCTCATGCTGTGAGATTTATCTGACTACTCAAATAATGTATCCATTCTGTGACTTATGATAGCACTCACCTCGCTTGATACTTGGCAATAGCCAGTGTAGGTCCTCTTTGCATGTGAATAGGACTGCATGTCTCTGAGTACAGGAATCATGTTTTGTGCTTCTTAGAAGACTTCTGGGTATCTTTAACTCTACCACGACCACTTGAATACCTCCCAAGCCAGGCTTTCTTAGATTCAACTTTCCATATTATCTCACGTATGCACATCGTTTAACAAAAAAAAGATTATATCTTATATTGCTGTCCTTCATGGAACTTAGCATAGGGGTTGCTCATAATAGGTGTTTGTTAGATGATCATATTGGTAAGTAACTGGCAAGTGGATCCTTTTAAGTTTTTCCTTGGTAACTTAAGAGCTTAAACTTATACCACATAATTTGGTGGCGTTGTCTCCTTACTCCCATACCTCAAAGCGTCAGTAAATACACTGATATTTACCTTTCAGGACAAGAAGCTAATTGCTAGTATGAGTCATATTAACTTAAATTCCAACAATGTGAGCCAAACTGTTATTTTACTTTTCCTTTTAGTCTTCATCTCAAGTCACAAGGTAATATCAGTAACTAAAGTATAAAATAAAATTATAGTTAAGCTTTATTTTAAAGTGGAATGAGCATTCAGTCCTCAAAGTAAAAACATGGGCATAATGGGAAAGAAGCTCTTTGAAAGAGAATAGCATTGCCAGTAGTCTAGCACTTTTATTCAAGATTGAAGAATGCAGTGAACTACATGATTCCAGGATCTTAAGTGTAATAGGAAAGAAATTATGTCATTTTGAGGTGAGGAGAAGTTTTGGTTTGTTGGCTAACATCTATGGCAAGGCATGCAGATTATGTCAAAAGCTAGGGTGTTTTGTTTTGCTTTGTTTCTCATCCGAAATAGAAAGCAGATTTGCCCATTATATCAATCATTAAACCAGAAATACTACCTAAAATTAGATTCCTTACACATATTGGAGAAGAGACTGTTTTTTCTCCTTTTCTCTGCCTTTTATACAACGTATACATTCCTGTTGTAAAACACAAAGGCAGATTTTCAGTATATGGGATTAAATATGAACTTTCCTCTTTACCTTCCCAGTCCTTTTCCTCTCCCCAATCTTTCTCTGTATGTATAATTCTGTATCAGTGTGAATGTGTGGATATATATTTATATTATTTCATAATAAAATGGAATCACACTGTAGGTATATTGTATGACTTTCTTTTTTCTCTTAACAATATAATTTAGAATTTTTTCCATTTCAGTACATATTTGTCTCCATAATTCTTTTAACTTTTCTATAGTATTTCACATTGCGAATGCACCATACTTCATAAAACCATTTTCTTACTGATTAACATTTCCAACTCTTTGGTATTAAAAACAGTGTTGCACAAAAGCTTGTATACTTATCTTTGTACAAATATGCTTTGGATAGATTGCTATAAGTAGAATTGCTGGGTCAAATTTAAATTTTACTTAATATGCCAAATTACCCTTCAAAATATCTTTATCAATGTGCACTTCCTCATATTGTGTTTGAGAATGCTTGTTTTCCTACATACTCCAATAACACTGGACATTACTGGTGACTCACTGCTTAACTCAAAGTAAAAATAATAAAAGCAATGTAAGTTGGTAGAGAGACAAATGCAAGACGAAAGAAAAAAATAAGTTCTAATTACCTCATCTTTAACATGGTAAGTTAATAGATGATGTCTAAGATTAAAACAGGTGATTTAGAAAAAAGAAGAAGGAAGAAGAAAACCTCACATAAAATGACTCCAAGAGGGGTCTTGTAGGATCTAATACCTCTGTGGGAAAGAAATAACATGAGGTTTATTCATTTTTTACTTGTTTTTTATTTCTGCTAAATTTAAATTAATTTAATTTAATACCTTTTATAACTTACTCTTTTTCTTCTTCCTCTGTGTATGTCTCTCACTCAATTTTCATTGTATTTCCACACATAAAGAGATATCACTGGCTATTTCTGGATAGTGGTACTTGGATTGCTGGCTGCTTTCTTCTTTGTCCCTTTCTATGCTGTTTGAATATTTTAATGAGTATCCATTATGTTTATTAAATCAACAAAGGTTTTACTATGAAATCTAAAAATAAAAACATGAAAGAAATGTTATACATGTGTGTATATCTACATATACATACACATGTTGTAAATCCAAGAAGTACAGAAAGATACAAAATAAAATGTGAAAGCTTCCTACCCTTCCCGCTCCTTACCCCATACCTTCTCCCCAAAGGTAACTGCTATATGTAGTTTCTTAAAATTATTTTTATTTTACAAGTTATGCATATACAAAGTACTTACATATATATATAACACATATTCCTTTTTATTTACACTCAATTACCCATACACTGTTCCATACACTTTTTTTATTAATATGGTATCTTGGAAATCTTTATACATCAGCACTTACAGACACATGTCTGCTGCTGTTCCTTGAGGCCCCATTCATATATAGTGTTTTCAATACATCTATGAGTAGTGAATTCCAGAAGACCAATGAGAGTACAAAGTAAATGGTTTTTTAAAGCTGCCAACCACTTACGCTGAACAGATGACAGAAGGAAAAGGCAACCCATAGTTTCTCCTCCTTTCAGTCCTTCCTTACTCTTCATCAGCAGGCCAAAAGTAGAGTATTGGTGGAATATGCACATATCAAGAAATAAAATTTTTAAAAATTGATTTAGTTTCATGCCGCATTTCCACTGTTTTAGTAAGAACAAAATACATATGCATGCGTGTACTGTGAAATACAAATTGTACAATTTCAATGATTCTACATACATCTTAAATGCTGTTATATTTGTTTTTTATCTATAATTTTTTTGTTTCAATAGGTTTTTGGGTAACAGGTGGGGTTTGGTTACACGAATAAGTTCCATAATGGTGATTTCTGAGATTTTGGTGCACCCGTTACCCGAGCAATGTACACTGTACCCAATGTGTAGTCTTTTATGCCCCACCCCCACACCAACCCTTTCCTCCAAGTCCCCAAAGTCCATTGAAACATTTTTAAGCCTTTATGTCCTCATAGATTAGCTCCCACTTATGAGTGAGAACATACGATGCTTGGTTTTCCATTCCTGAGTTACTTCACTCAGAATAATGGTCTCTAATTCCATCCAGGTTGCTATGAATGCCATTATTTCATTCCTTTTTATGGCTGAGTAGTATTCCAGAAAATATATACAACATTCTCTTTATCCACTTGTTGATTGATTGGCATTTGAGCTGGTTACATATTTTTGAAATTGTGAATTGTTCTGCTATAAACATGCATGTGCAAGTATCTTTTTCGTATAATGACTTCTTTTCCTCTGGGTGGATACCCAATAGGGGGATTGCTGGATCAAATGGTAGACCTACTTTTAGTTCTTTAAGGAATCTCCACACTGTTTTCCACAGTGGTTGTACTAGTTTGCATTCCCACCAGCAGTGTGAAAGTGTTCTCTTTTCACCACATCCATGCCAACATCTTTTTTTTTTTTTTAATTAAAGGCCATTCTTGCAGGAGTAAGGTGGTATTGCATTGCGGTTTTGATTTGCATTTCCCTGATAATTAGTGAGGCTGGGAAATGCTCTTATATTTGTTTTAAAACTGGCATTGTAGGGCCGGGCGCGGTGGCTCATGCCTGTAATCACAGCACTTTGGGAGGCCGAGGCAGGCAGATTACAGAGTTTGAGACCACCCTGGCCAACATGGCAAAAACCCGTCTCCACTAAAAATACAAAAATTAGCTGGGCATGGTAGCAGGCACCTGTAATCCCAGCTACTTGGGAGGCTGAGGCAGGAGAATCACTTGAACTCGGGAGGCAGAGGTTGCAGTGAGCCAAGACTGTGCCACTGCACTCCAGCCTGGGCAACACAGTGAGACTCCATCTCAAAAAATAACATAACATAACATAACATAACATAACATAACATAACATAACATAACATAACATAACATAACACTGTCATTGTACAACATGAAGATGTATGGTAAAAATCATTCTAATAATTTAAATTATAATCTTTTCTTTGCTTAGAATGACATTAAACAGCAAATAAAAAAATGACAAGTCAAAAGAGATCACAAAATAAAGGAAAAAGTTTTATTTTAATACCTTTAAACAGCACTTTCCTTTTGCTCTTGAACAAAGGGCTCCATATTTTCGTTTTGCATTGGTCCCTGCGAATTATGTAAGTGGCCCTGTTTATCAGTCTAAAAACTGAAAGGAAGTTTCAGTGAGCATGGGAGACTTTCAATTCTTGCCTTACAGCAGCATGGCAGACATTGATAGTTGCTTACCCTATAACTATTCTCTTTCTGCCTTGCTAACAGAAACCCCATTTTTGTTCAGGATGACAGTAAGTGCTGTTTAAGAAATAAAGAAAGATTTAAAAATAAAATACTAATTTCTATTATGATTGTATACTTTCAACTGAATTTATATGTATCTATATATAGATATATATAGATATATAGATACATATATATGTATTTTTGATATAGATTTTTTTAAAGATATAAAAAATTGAAATACTTATTTTTCAACAGGGCACATTTCATTTATCAGTCTCTAATGCATTTACGGAGAACTAAACGACCCAGTTCTAGCTAATGAGATGTAAACCAAAGTTTACTACGTGGGGTTTATGAAAAAGCTGTTTTCTTGATTTAAGGAGTAAGAAGTAGACTCAGTTGGCATGTACTTTTGCCTTTACTTTTCATCCTTTTTCTGCCTTAAAAACATATTTAATGCCTAGAATTACAGGAGCCATCTTGAGACATTAGGATGAAAGCTACATGATAAGAATAGAAAAACAAAAACACAGAAGACTGCCTACCTCTGAACTTCTTAGAGGGTGAGAAAATAAATCAGTATTTGGGTAAGTCACTACAGCTAGGTTTCTGTTACTTGAGCTGAACATAAGCAGTCCTTAATCAATACAGACTAGATAACATGAAAACTCTTCTACTACAAATACTTAGAAATGCTGGGTAAAATGCAGCAAAATAAATTAATTAATTAATAATAATGCATACTTGAGCTTACAAAAAAAAAGACAGGGAAATATTCAGGTGGCAAAAATAAAAAAAGAAACTGGACACCAGGGTCTTGAATACAGAATATGACCCTGTCTGGAGAGGAGAAAGGATTGAATGAGGATGGTGCTTGAATGTTTAAATCCATGAGGTGATAAATGGATTTTAAAAATGTGATATATGTATACAATGGAAAACTATTCAGCCTCTAAAAAGAAGGAAATCCTGTCATTTGTGACAACATAGATGAACCTTAAAGACATTATGTTAAGTGAAATAAGCCAGGCCCAGAAAGATGAATATTGCATGATCTCACTTAAATATGGAATCTAAAAAAGTTGAACTCAATAGAAGCAAAGAGTGGAATGGTGGTTAGCAAGGGCTGGGAGAGAGTGAGGGAGCTGGATGACGCTGGTCAAAGGATATACAATTTCAGTTACATAGGAGGAATAAGTTCAAGAGATCTATTGTACAACATAGTGACTATAGTTAACAACATGTTGTATTCTTCAAAATCACTAAGAACAGACTTTAAGTGTTCTCACCATAAAAATAAGTATGTGACGTAATACATATGTTAAGTCACTCAATTTAGCCATTCCAAGATGTATACATATTACAAATCAGGTTGTATACAATACAGTATATACAATTATCATTTGTCAATTTTCATTAATTTTTTTTTTAAGATGGAGTTTCGCTCTTGTTGCCCAAGCTGGAATGCAATGGCGTGATCTCAGCTCACTGCAACCTCCTCGGTTTAAGTGATTCTCCTGCCTCAGCCTCCCGAGTACCTGGGATTACAAGCACCCACCACCACACCCGGCTAATTTTTGTATTTTTAGTAGAGACAGGGTTTCACCATGTTGGCCAGGCTGGTCTTGAACTCCTGACCTCAAGTTATCCACCCACCTCAGCCTCCCAAAGTGCTGGGATTATAGGCATGAGCCACCGCGCCTGGCCTTTATAATTTTTAAAAATACACGGTAACTTGTGATAAGACCTTGGGCCCTTGGTGCAAACAGAAATCAGTTAACTGTGAGCACACCCTGTCCCCCAACTTCATGACCTCACACACACACATAAGTTAAAAACCCATGAAATTCTGTACCCTCAATGAAAGGGTAGACTAGATAGAAGCTTTTCTTCTGGCATAGTAAGAAGCTTTTCTGTCAAGGCACAAGCTCTGAAAGAGAAAAAAACAAGGAAGATCTCTCTCCCTTGAGAATTTGAATCATAGTTTGTACTCCCACAAATCTGGGTTCAAATTTATAATATCTGAATGATCTTAGAACTTCTAAGCCAAGAAAGAAATTCATGTAAAAATTGCTCACTAGCCAGTGATAACCTTAGGGGTCTCTGACAGAAGAAACATTTTTTTCTGTATCACTAAAAATGAGCCATAAAAAAAAAAGCTAAAAGGAATCAATGTACAAAGCAAAAGGAATCAATCCACAAACAAAAAGGTCATCAAATACACAAATAGAAGTATTAGACCCCTAAATGCAAAAGGATTTATCTATATGATATCATTTATGCAGTTTAAAAATATAACATAGTAGTACCATTCATAGATACATATAAATTCAGTGAAAGTACAAAAACATAACAGATATTAATCATACCAATTTAAAAATAGTGGCTAACTCTGGGGAAGGAATAGTGTCAAGAAAAGCCTGAATAATTGATCCAGACTGAAGGAGAATTGAGCAACAAGCTAACTGGATGCAGCACATGATCTTTCTTGGCTGGGACGTTTTTGCTGTAAAGACATTGGAATAATTGGCAAAGTTTGAGTGGGGTTTCTAGGCAAAGGGTACACAGAAGTTTTTGTACTATTCTTGCAACAGTTTTCTTAGTTTGTAAATTGTTTCAAGTTAAAAAATTTGTTTTTAAAAAGAGGATGAAAATGAAAAATAGGAAACAGTTTCAGAGAAGAAATTGCCAGGATAGACCAATTGGTGGTGGGAAATAAGAGGAAATAATCAAAGGGGACTCAGATTTCTGGCTTAGGTGATTTGGTGTGTATGATTCAATTTATCAATGTAGGAAACCCAAGAAAAGAAGAATTTTCAGGAAAAGCAAACTATAACAGACTTGCCACTGGAAATATTGAATCTATGGATAAATAGTTGGAAATTTAGGCTGGGGGTGATGGTGTCACAAAAGAGCTTAGCACTGTAAACATCTTGATTTGATTACTTTTTTCACTTACTAAATCATTTGGGAATTCACTATGTTGCCTGTGTAAACCATAAAATATATAAAAATAAATAGGAAACGGACACTGCCCTTAAGGGACTGATATCTGGTAAGAGAAGTAGAATCAGTCTGTAGGCAAAGGGTAGAGACTGATGGAGCAAGTTCTAGAGGGTGACAAATTAGTTCTCAACCTTGGTCACACATTAAGAACACCTAGAGGAACTCCTAAAACATCCCAATGCCCAGTCCACACTCTGGGACTGGATCCAGGCATCAGTGGTTGCTTAAACTCTCCAGGTGATGCTGATGTGCAGCCAAGATTAAGGGAGCAGTGGCTCTACTCAGAACACCTGAGACACCTATTCCTTTGAAACATTTGGCAATGATGCAGGAAAGAGTGTGGAGAGAACAGGAGGTGGAAATAAGGAAATTTGGTTGAAGAGGCTTCTGCCAAACAGAGTGATGATTTATATTTTCTCTGTAAAGAAAGCGAATCAGCTGGGTGCGGTGGCTCACACCTGTCATCCCAGCACTTTGGGAGGCTGTGGCAGGCGGATCACTTGAGGCCAGGAGTTCGAGACCAGCCTGGCCCACATGGTGAAACTCTGTCTCTACTAAAGATATAAAAAATTAGCCGGGCGTGGTGATGCATGCTTGTAATCCCAGCTACTTGGAAGGCTGAGGCAGGAGAATCCTTGAACCCAGGAGGCAGAGGTTGCAGTGAGCTGAGATCACACCATTGCACTCCAGCCTGGGTGACACAGCAAAACTCTGTCTCAAAAAAAAAAGTGTCAAAGGCTAAGAATAAGGATATATGAAAATAAGGTAAGTCTTTTATGGAGAATGGGGAAACAGGATTACAGCTACAGAGGGTGCAAAAGAAAGAAGTAACATTGTTGTTTTCCCAAGACTGGGAAGATTGAAACACTTGAGGATGAGGATTCAGGGACACCACTGTGTCCACCATTAAAGAATTTCCCCTTTAATGGTGGACACGGTGGTGTGATCCTTTTGTAGAGACGAGCATAGGTTATGGCAAATATACCTACTTTAAAAACAGTGCTCTGGGAAGAGAGTAAGTGCTTTTCCACATAAAGATCTAAAATAGACAATAAATGAGAAATAGGGTTTTTTATTATATATTCATTTTTCCATATTTCTGGAAAATGAAACAGACATGGAGTATTTCAAAGCTGGGAGAGATCATTATATTGGAGTTACCTTAGAAAGAGGGGGCTGTTTCTGCCACCACAACAAAGAATGAAACAACACAAATATTTACGTTTTCTTCTTGTCCTCATAATGCTTTTACTGCACTCGTCTTTCAACCTTTAACATCTACTGCATCTGTGACTGTTGTTTCAGTAAAACACGGAAGCTTGAATGTAAGCTCATTTCATTGCCTGCTGCACAACCACACAAAACAGCATTTTCTTATTCTTGAAATATGATAGCAACGTCTCCTTCCATGCTTGTACCTGTTTTAATTCCTTTCAAGCAGAGGCTGTATCGTGAAAGATGCTTAAGAAGTTACTTGGAACGACAGGATTTGGAACGGATGTCACATCATATTCTCATTTGTTATTAAAATTAGTCACGCTTAATTGTTAAGGACTATCCTGTGTCGCTCGCCATCTTTGTGTCCTCCACCTGGCACTTTGCTTTCACACAGTAGGCACATAGCGTTGAGGTCCCGGAAGGTTGTCAAGTAACCGGCCAGGAGCTTGAGGGCAGGACATTGTCTCCGACACTTGATTCAGTGCCTGGCACACAGGAGGTATTCAATTATGCTGAATGAATGAGCAACCGGCTCGGTGGGGGACAGTAAACCCAACCCTATTCCGCGAACGTTTGCTGAGCGGCATCCAGGCCTCAGGGACCAAGTGTGTCGCGCGGTGCCATACCGTGACCGGGACCTGTTATTTCTAATGTCCAGATATTGTAATTCTATGCTGTAACTCCTATATTTCCTCTTAAAACAAAAAGAGAAATGTGGGTCGTGTTCGCTCTGGGTTCTCGTTAAGTGCAAGCATACAGAGGCGCCGAGACCCCGCGGCTCGCCCTCGCCGCTTCCTCCACAGGAGCCGGGCGGAGCTCCCGGCGCGCCCCGGGGCTGCGCCGCCGCAATCCTCAAGGGGTCGCTGTTCCCGCGATAACCTCGAGAAAGGCTCCGCCCCGCGGCCCGCGCTTGTTTTTCCCTTGGGACCCGGGTCCACACGGCGGGGTCGCCCGTCCATCTCCGGCTCGCCCGCGGGGCCCATCGTCGACGTTAGCGGCCGTTCTCCGAGCCGACTGACCCATCCTTGGCGCTGCCGCCGCGCGCTTGTTCTCCTCCCTCGCCCCGCCTTCATCCTCCCCGTTCACGGAAACGACAGCTGCGGCTGCGGGGCTGGCGCCGCCTCCCTCCACCTACCACGTCTGCCCTCGCCGCTCTAGCCCTGCGCCCCAGCCCGGCCGCGGCACCTCCGCCTCGCCGCCGCTAGGTCGGCCGGCTCCGCCCGGCTGCCGCCTAGGATGAATATCATGGACTTCAACGTGAAGAAGCTGGCGGCCGACGCAGGCACCTTCCTCAGTCGCGCCGTGCAGGTACCCTGGTGCTGGGGGGAAAAGGGGTGGCGGCGCCCGGGAAGGTTGAGGGAGGGGACCGCAGCTCGACGCGGCGCCCCCGGGCCTCGCCGACCACCCAGCGGGCCTGCTGCAGCCAGAGGCCTGGGAGATGGGCGCGGCCTGGTCCCCTCCCCGGGCCCGGCGGCGGATTTCTGCCCCGCTCCTGCCCAACCGCCGCTCCCTGGGAAGCGAGGCGGGGTGGGGACGGGGCCGGGAGCTTCCTCCCACCCCTGGGGAACACTAAGGCTGCACTGTCCGCCTTTCTGATACCACGACGTCAGTGCTCCTGTGGCCTCCACCCCGGGGCTGGCGGAGGCTTGCGAGTCCTTTGCGGTAACCGAGACACAGGCCATTCTTGCACTACCCCCCACCCTTTCCTTTCGTCTCTCACCCTCCCCTCGGAGTCCAAGAAGGGAGTTTCCTTTTCCTGTCCTTCAACCCAGAGAGCTGCCAACACAGTTCCCTCCGGCCCTCTTTCTCCCTGAAAGGACTGTCCTGGGCTTGGCAGCCCGCGGGGGAAATGGAGATCGCCAGTTGGCGTTGAGACTTTGCCAAGACCACAAGAAACCTAGGGTTGGGGGGTTTTCACTCTTTTTCAAAATGGGAAGCACCAGCTGTAGATCAAGGAGAGATGCGGGGATATTGTTATGGCTGTAGTCACAGTAGTATGTTTTAAATATACTTTAAGGGGAAAAGTTGACTACCTCTCGATATTCTACAATCAAGGAAGTGTCAGTACTAAGGAACTTGGGCCGTTTCCCACAGTCATCACCCATGTTATGCCAACTCAGTAAATCTGTGAACAGATGTAAATTTCACAACATGAATTATAAACAATCTGGTGTTTACGGTCACGGTAGCAACAACATTCTCTTTTGTAAAAAGAAAACAAAAATAATTTTCTAATATGCATACCAAATTGGTGCTGAAATGTAAATCTGTTCTGTGGCTTTACTACTTTCCTTGCCTTTGCCCCAATTTTGTTGGCACAGTTGATCCTACATTGCACTATCCCTGGCAAAAGAGTAGTAGAGCTAGAGCAAGGTAATAGCTGCCTATATTATGAAAAACCTGTCAAGCACTTTGTAATGCATTTGACATATTATCTCCAGTCTTTTCCATAACTTTGCCAGATAGATGTTATTAACCCCTTTTATATATGTGAGGAAGCAGCCTTACTGAGGTTAAGAAACTTGCACAACTAGTAAATAACCAGGTGCTGTCTGACCTAGTACTCCCAGCTGCTTTTTCTTCCGGGATAAGCATTCCAGATTTAAGATAGCTAGAATAATAGAATGCTGTGGCCTAGAGAGACCTTAAAAATCATCTGGTTCAATCTGAGCATTTCCATATCAACAAGCAAGTAACACTTTAGAGATGGTAAATTCCTTCTAGCTTTTGATTTCTAAGTTCTAAAATCTGCATGGTGAGTAATAAGCTAGCTGCCTTAACCCTTTTCTTCCCTTCCTTCCCTAAAATATGATATATTGTAGACGTTGAGCCTTTATAGTTAAAATAATGTTTTGATTTAAATTCACTAGCTTCTAATAGTTCAAAGACAAGGTGCAAGAAGAATGAGTGATTGAGGGTGTGAAATGAATTTTGATGTGTGAGACACTTGTACACTTTTAACATTGACTGCAATAGAGGACTAGAGCCCTTGGTATTTTTGTTTGTCCTAGTGCTCATTACCTATAATTCTAGATGCTTATGAGGATTTGACACTGTATAATGCTACTCTTTTAAATACAGTTAAATATGTTTCAGACGTATAACTCACACCCCTTAAAGAGGACACATTTACTAGAATTTAGTCTGATTTAAATTGTGGATAGACTCAATTTAAAAAATTAAATCTAGCAAAGCTCTCAAAATGTGTACTTCCCAAAGAATTTTAATTCCTTGTTTCAAATTCTTTAGGAAAAAGTTTTAAATTTTATGCTAATCTGTTAGCCATCAAATAATTTTCTTTTCAGTTTTAAATATTTAAGTGTCTACTGCATGTCTGATGTCTGCTTGTGGCTACTGTGGACACTGGTGATACAGCAGTGAATAAAATCAGCAAAGTGTCTGCCCTCCTGAAGCTTACATTGTAGCGGAAGATAAGCTTGTAAATACATCAGGTGGTGATAAAAATCATGGCCAGAAGAATAGAATAACGCAGAGATGGTGGTTGTTAATATCTTTATTAGTATTTTCTAACATTAGTATCGTGTATAGATAGGATGGTCAGGGCAAGTCTTTCTAATAGGATGAAATTCAAGAGACCTCAAGGAAGTGACAGACCTAGTTTTTTTTGGAATAAAAGTATTTCAGGCAGCAGGAAGAAGTACAAAGACTGAAGTTTCAGGGGCATTAAGGAGACCAATGAAGGAGCTGTGGCCATAATACACGTAAAAGGCGATTGTAACTTAGATTACAGTGGTAGCAGTGAAGGTTCCAAATTATCCAGTATTGGCTGTTGGATTGGCTGTGAGGTATGAGAGAAAGATGAGTTAAGGATGACTCCAAGGTTTTGGCTTGAGCCGTTTATTAAGGGAAAAATTTTAGGAGAAACAGACTTCTTTAATGTGTCTGTAATTGTTAGAGATACATACTGAAATGTTTATGGATAAACTTATATCATATCTGAGATTTGGTTTTTACAGGGTATTTTTTTTTTTTTTTTTTTTTGAGATGGAGTTTGGCTCTTGTTGCCCAGGCTGGAGTGCAATGGCGCGATCTCAGCTCATTGCAACCTTCGCCTCCCCGATTCAAGCCAATCTCCTGCCTCCGTCTTTCAAGTAACTGGAATTACAGGCAGGCTCCACCACGCCCAGCTAATTTTGCATTTTTAGTAGAGATGGGGTTTCACCATGTTGGTCAGGCTGGTCTTGAACTCCTGACCTCAGGATCCACCTGCTTCGGCCTCCCAAAGTGCTGGGATTACAGGTGTGAGCCACCACACCAGTTGAGATTAGCGTTTGAATATTTCAAAAGAAAAAAACAGAAGTCGCTGAAACAACAGCAACGGAATGTTGATAGTTGTGGAAGGTTGGTTATGGGTTCATGAGGTTTCATTATACTGTTATACTTTTGTATGTTTGACATTTTCCATAATACTTTTTTAAAGATAAAATTTGTAAGAAAAAAAGGATGCTTCTAAAATAGAACATGTGAAATTTGGAATGCTGTGTGGTAGTTTTCAACAAAACACTGCTTTCTCATCTCAGTATTTATTTCATCACTGAGTTCCTACATTAAATTGCATTGACATCAGTATAATGCCAAAGTACCAAGTTTCATGCTAAGAATAGCTTAAGAGCTATGCCAATATCTCTTTATAAGCAGTAAGAACAGTAGAGAGAGAAACATTCACGTTTATAAATAATAATTTTCATTCAAATCAAATTGTACCGTAAGGAATATGCCATTCTTTGGTTGGCCAACGCCATACATTGTTTTCCATTTTACTTAAAAATTTCTAAGTTAAAAATTAAACATGTTTCTTGTTTTAAAAAAAGGTCAGCTCAAACTAGTAAAGCACATAGATGCGTCCCATCACCACTCCACTTCCCTCCTTTTAAAATTTGTTTATAAGCCTTGGTACTTTAAAAAGAATGTTAGACTAGAATGTATAAATGAGTAGGAATGTTTATTCTTAACTAGCCCATTTGGGTGCTTGTTTTTAAGTACCTCAAGATGGTAAAATACAAAAGTATCAGGTAATTCACCCTTGCTTAATTGTTATTTTACTAGAGTTTTAAATGCCATTTATTCTTAGAATCCATCTTTTTAGTCCAAACTTCTTAGTTGAGCATTAAATACTCCCTTACAATCTGGTCCTTTCTCTCACTTATATAAACACTGTATTCCAAATTATTTTTTAATTTCCAAAATATCTTCTACTTATTTTAGGCTTTTGTTCATATGGTTAGACTCCTCTTAAGTGTCCTGTCTGCCTATTCTTTCCTTTCCTTAAGATACAACTTTATTCATCTCCAAAATGGAGAGAGTAAAAAAAATTTTAAAATAAAAGTAAAATAAACTTTTTTTAAAGATATAGCTTCAAATCCATCTCAGCTGATAAGGCTTCTTAGACCACAAGAGCTTGCTGTGAAATCGTGAATCATTTTCAATTCCAAATGATGAGGTGGCACTTTTCTTCTAATGAACTGTTATGTTAGATCTCTTGGAACTCTAAAGTTCTGTTACTCTGACTTTCTTTAATAAGTTTGTATGTGCTAAGGCATCAACTCTGTTTCTTATTCCCCTCTTACAACATCTAACATGGTTCATCTTTTATATCATTTTAGCCAGGCAAATTACCATCCATATGTGAAGTTTAATCTTTGAAGGGCAACAATAAGCATGTTAAATAACAGTATCTTTATTAGTATTTTCTAACATTGTTTGCGGACCTTGAAGTTAACTAATACCAGTATAAATTGAGTACCTCCTAGGTGCTTGGCGTTGAAAGATACAAAGCTGAATGAGACCCTGTTCCTGCCCTCAGAGACTTCATAATAATAGTCTCAAACTTGTCATAAATCTTATTTGTACTAAATAGCCATTTTGTGAATAACTTTATTTGATAAATCTTTCAAGTGGATAAAGGAACAAGAGATGTGTTTTTAACTCAGAATTCTTATTGAAGCAAAACCTTGCTCACCATCATTAAAATAAGAGCAAAGACTTTCTAAAAAGAATTTTTCAAATCAAATTACTTAGGGAGGGAGTTCATTTTAATTTTCTAACATTTCCTCTAAACTGATTATTAAAGTCATACTATGAAATTCGTGAACACCAGCTATTTTCTAAGGAATATAGTTCTTAAAATATAGTTTTGAGCTTGGCCTTGATCTCCCATTTATTTCAGCAAGTGTCATGGTGTGTCTAAGGATGTAAAGATGAATATGATGTTGCCGTTCAATAGCTCCTGTCAGACCCTCCCTGGAGTTTCAGTTTGGCCAAACAACTCTCTCAAGCACTTCTGAAATCCTATTTCTTTTACAGAATTCACACCGTGACAACTTCACCATGTTTCTTAAATTCTAATAAATAAAATATGTCACATTCGAAATCCATACATTTTCTTGTTATATAAAAACTCTACATGTTTAGTGTTACTTAAAACTGTTTTCACATCCTTTGGTGCTATTTGCATTACTTTAGTAAAATAGATAGAAGATAGTTTGTTAACCTGATGTTAAAATTTACACTTATGTACTACATGAGTAAGGTAATTAGAAAATCTATAAAACTCTTTTAAATTCATCATATTTCTTGAAAGAATTTTTTTTTTTTTTTTGAGACGGAGTCTCGCCCTGTTGCCCAGGCTGGAGTGCAGTGGCACGATCTTGGCTCACCGCAATCTCCGTTTCCCAGGTTCAAGCTATCCTCCTTCCTCAGCCCCTCTAGTAGCTGGGATTACAGACACGCGCCACCGTGCCCGGCTAAATTTTGTATTTTTAGTAGAGACGGGGTTTCACCATGTTGGCCAGGCTAGTCTCGAACTCCTGATCTCAGGTGATCCACCCGCCTCAGCCTCCCAAAGTGCTGGGATTACAGGCATGAGCCACCGTGCCTGGCCTTTCTTGAAAGTATTTTTAAGGTAATGACAGAGCTACAAATTAATCCTAAACTCTTAACCACACCCAACTGATGTACTCCTAGTTGCTTTGCTACTATATTTAAAATGATCAAACACCTAAGTCAATTACTTTAATATTCTTTGGAGACCAGCTTACTGAAAGAACCTCAACACAGTTAATATATTTGAAGCAAAACTCCAGCACAGTGAAGTAACAGTAATAACAGCTGAAATTCCTAAATGGGCCAAAGAGGAAAGTAAAGTAATGCAGCATGCACTAAACCAAGCGATACATATTTAAATAGTTATGAATGAGTTTAGAACAGTGGTTCTCAGTCTTGGCTGCACTTAAAATGCTTGGGGAATCTTTATAAATGCCAATATATGAGCTACACCCCAGTCCAATTAAATTAGAATCTTAGGGGTTGGATCAGACCAGACATCAGTGTTTTCTAAAGCTCCCTCAAGTAATTCTAAAGAACAGCCAAAATTGGGAACCAATGGAGAAAGATGCACCTTACAGTTTACTAATACATTATTCAGAATCTGTGTTACATATTTTCCAAGAAATTTAAATTACTTTTAGAGTATTACCCTTTAGTAATACTGGTGATTAGAGTTTGCATTAAATAGATGTCTTTGATCACACACCCATTTTATTTGTAGTCTTTTTTTTTTCTAAAAGTAGAGTTTGGAATCCAGGCTCCTTATTTAATAATGTGGGTTATATGCCTATCCTGTAGTAAAAGAAGGATTACAGTGCCTGGTATAATGTAGCCGACTCAAAGACAATTCTTTCCGCAAAGCAATATTTAGAGAAAATATATAAAAGGGGATTAAACTTTTATTCTTATGCCACTTTGCCATATTACAAATGAAATATGAAAAAATTAGGTATCAAATTATATTTTAGAAAACATTGAGTTTAATGACTTACTAAGAAGATGCTTATTTACAGTTTGCCTTTTATTTTAGGTTGTTTACACAAAAGTTCTTAATTATTAAACTATACTGCCATCTATTCATTAAAAGATATGCTTAAAATCAACTAGTTTCTCATTAATACCTATTATCAAGAGATTACAAAATCAGTAATGATTTTTGACTTGAAGATGTTGAAAACTAAAATTTTTATGGGTTAATTTAAAATTTTTTGGTAACTAGGAAAGGGATCTTTTTTTAAAAGAAAGAATTAATAGGTCTTTTGCCCTTCTGAAAAGGTGCCATTATTATAATTTTGTTTGAGTCAAGGCAGTATTCTCCTAGTAGATCATAAAATCCTTGAGGGCAAGAAGTACATCAGATGCTGATCATCTTGCTGTAGAAGCCATAAATATTTTTGATTAGTAATTTAAATATTAATTTAGTTGAGATGACTCCTAGTGTCTGTAGTAGACGCATTATTTACAGTGCTTTAGAGAAAATGTATTAAATATTGTATTTGTTATCTTAATAAAGTGTACTTCTGATTAATTATGGAAAAATCCTTTTGCTTCCACCAATGATAAAATTTGGGAAATATTATGTCTTTTACAATTATATATTTAAGTAATAAGATTTAAATTTATAATTTCAATTTTAAAATATGATAGCATTAGCAATGTCCTTATTGTGTGTCTTCCTCCCTTTTATTCATTCATGATAGGATTTAGTTTACTAATTTTGGTGAATAATTATTGAATATCTTGTAGAAAGCAGAAGTGATCTGGGGGAGAAAGCTGTCCAGAGTGCTGCGAACAGACATAGGAGAAAGGAAGCACAGAATATGATTGGATAATAGTAATAGAAATAGAAAATACTAATTTTGGAAATCAGCAAGTATTTACTGGAAGGGTAGTATAGCATGATAAGACTATGACTCAAACAGATGTGAGATTGAATCCCAACAATGACACCTTGGACAAAGTGTTTAATCACCCTGAGTCTCAATTTATTAATCTCTACAATTATTCTTACTTTATTTTAAGATTCTTTCGAGTATTTGTTGTAGAATGCACAGCTTAGTTAATGGAATTTTTGAACATACACTAAGCCTTGACACAGAAGTATGAGAAAGATGTAAATGGATGTGCTGAAATGTGAAACATAGAAACATTGTCATGTGACCCTACAGTACTGCTATTTTCTAAACAGGTTTTCTGTAATTAGACTGTCTCACTCATGTGTAAGGGTTCCATGTATCTTCTGAACTAAAATAGTTAAAAAAAAAAAACCTACTAATTGTGTGTGTTTGTAGAATCTTTATCAGTTAACATATTTTCTTTCTTCCTCAGACTCATACAAATAAATCACTTGGTGCAAATACCCATCTTTGCTCTGTTATACTTTCATACTCTTTTCAAAAAGAATATATATTTATTGAGATACCTGGGAGGTAGTATCATGAGAGTCACAAAGAAAATGTTAAATAATTAAGCAAACAGGCCTTTTTACCTGAAGATTGAAGTGTTTTATTTTCCAAATAATTAACTTTCTAATTGCTGATTTTCCTGAAATACTGTCGGGAGAAAACTTGCCCTGAACCCCAGTTTGTATCAGATAAATTCAGTGACTATTTTATTTTATATTTATTTATTTTATTATTAACTTATTAATTAGAGATAGGGTCTTGCTGTGTCACCCAGAATGGAGTGCAGTGGAGTGCAGCTGGGACTACAGGTGTGCACCACCATACCTGGCTAATTTTTTGGATTTTTTTGTAGAGACGTGGTTTCGCCATGTTGCCTAGGCTGGTCTAGAACTCCTGAGCTCAAGTGATCTGCCTGCCTCAGCCTCCCAAAGTGCTGACATTACAGGCGGGGGCCCCTGCTCCTGGCCATAAGTACTGATTTTGAATTATTGATCTGTTGATTTTTCTATTAATCTATTCTTGGTTATTAACTATAAGTTAAGGATTTCCACAGAGAAATTAATATTTAATATGTGTGAGGGTGATGCTAATGAGCTTAAAGAAATTGTGCAACTGGAAGATAAATCATCAGGACTATACACTCTTTCCTTAGATCTTAACATAGTTCATATCATTCAGTCACAGGTCGTTTGTTACCTACTCAGAGATGCTGTTTCTCTAACTACCCGCATCTCACACTCCTCAAACTCCTGCTCCCCTTTCTAGGCCCAAGTTGCCCATCCCTCCCCCACTGAAGCCTTCCCTGATTCTCCTGCTCTCCCTCTTCCTCTCCCTGAAGAATGAATTCTTTCTCTGTACTTGGATTTGTATGTCACTCAGAAACAAACCAACCATGTTGGTCCGCTTTACCATCTTCATATCTTTATATCCTTATTATCAGATTATTTATTTATCTATTGTCTGTCTTTGCCATTAAAATGTAAGCTTCCTAAGAACAGAAACCTTATATGTTTTGTTGGCTGCTGAAACCCATGTGTTTAGAAGAGTGCCTAGCACATATGTAGGTGCTTAATAAGTATTTGTTGAAGGAATAAACAAAATGAACAAACAAATGGATAAACTTGCTTATTAAAGGGAAATTTATGCATGCAGTTTCAATTTTTAAGGGGCTAAGTGAATTTTTTTTAGATCACTCTTTATAGGTGATGTTCACCTGAGTGAAAGGTATTCCCTTTCTTCCCTTCCTATTGGTCACTTTATCTGGGAGTTATTTTATCTAGCCATTGGTGGTAGACTTTGAACATGTAAAAGTCTAGTAGGAGGTCTGTTGCTTAGAATCTTCAGGGATCTGTAAAGACTACGGGGTTCTCTGTTAAGAATGAGGTTGCATAGTTTATCCAGCTGGCCTTGGGATCAGGGTTTGCTTTTGCTCAGTGCCCAGTCCTCCAGCTACACTGCAAGTTTATGGGCTTAGGCAATAGCTTTGTAACTGCTATTTTTGGTTCTACCCACTAGGTCAGGGGCTGGCTATAGACCATTCTCAAAAAGACCCAAGGCTTTACAAAAGCTATTTAAGCTGTTATTTCTAGCCCCTAAACAGGAGCCTCAGTGGAGATTGTAACCAGAAGTCTAAGAATAGAATTCTAGAGGATCCTTCAGCTTAAGGTGTTGATAATAACCTGAAAGTATTAAACCAAGAAGAAGGATGCTGAAAGAAACAATAAAACTCAGAAAATAGAGTAGCAAACGAGATTTTTGAGAAACGAAAGGAGAGAAAGGCAAGGTGAACACTGTTTTGTCAGCCAGAAGTGAGTCATTACTGAGCACAGAATTAATGCTAGTGATATACCTGTGTTAAGATGGGAGGAAGCCACATATTCTAGAGGAAAATGATGCATGATAAACAGCTTGAGTCATCACCTCTAATGTTTAATTAAAAGTATCCAGAAGGCTGTAGATCTACACAGAATCTTTTTACTGCTTTATTATTATATAGGCAGTGCTACCTTTTCTCAAATACCAGTATATTCAATAATAAAAATTGATTCATTGAGTACGTTTAACCACATTTTATGACCTTTAAAAGATGTCTTCATAGTATGAATAGGATATGTTCCAAAAGTTAGTCTATAAATAAATTGCTGGAACATATCCTCAGCAGCTTAAATGACAGGTTTTATGGTATGTTCTGGGAAACTATTTATCTAACTAGGTGTGATTAAAGTGCTAATAAGACATAAACCACAATAAACATTAACAGCTCTTTCAAAACTTAATAATTACAAGGCACCAAACAAAGTGATTTGCATACACAATCATACTTAATCCCCCAAACACTATAAAATATGTATTGTCTCTCTTTTATAATAGAGGGTACTAAAGAAAAAATATTCAATACATTGCTCAGCTCACACAGCAAGGAACAAAGTTAAGATTTGAATTCAGATTCAACTGACTCAAAGCTCTTACTCTTTACCGTTATCCTAGTCTACCTAGGATAGGTAGTTGAAATAGTTGCATGCTTTATATACCAAGAAGTATACTTAGGTTTTCTGTAGAATTCACACCATACATTTTAGCAGAACTAAGGGTATGTGATGACTGTAAGGTAGGGTCATCCACAAAAGAAGTATGGATAAATTACCATAGGAGCAAAAAAAAGTATTCATAAGCAATGGCTTACAAAGCTGGAGCATGGTTATTTGTATGTTTAGGATTGTTTAGCTTTGAATTTGCTTTTTACTTATTGATATGGTTCCCTAAAATTTATTTGCAGTATATTTAATTTTTGTTTTACAATCAATAACAGTTCACAGAAGAAAAGCTTGGCCAGGCTGAGAAGACAGAATTGGATGCTCACTTAGAGAACCTCCTTAGCAAAGCTGAATGTACCAAAATATGGACAGAAAAAATAATGAAACAAACTGAAGTGTTATTGCAGCCAAATCCAAGTAAGAAACTCTACCTCTTGTGTACCTTAAGTACTATTAGTGGGTTTTTAAATGTTAAAAAAAAAAGTTTTAATGGCCATCTGAAAACATAGGATTTTTTTATTGTAGCTTCAAGGTCAGTGGGTTTTTTTGTGTGTGCTTTTGTGAAGAGGAAGTGATAAACAGCTATGTACCTAACCAATTTTAAAATGATATTTTTCAGTCTTTTATAGAATCCTTGTAAAAAATCTCAATTTTAGGCAGTGACTTTGAATTTTAATTTATGAGCAGCTGTGTATATAAATATGTTTTCCTTTTTCATCTAGGGAAGAATTGTCCCTAGATAATTAAGACAAAGTTATATAGTTGCTTAAGTAGGTACCATTTTTTATGTTTAAGTTTTTGGTGTGTTTTTTTGTTTGTTTGTTTGTTTGTTTGTTTGTTTTTTGAGACAGAGTCTCGCCCTGTCGCCCATGCTGGAGTGCAATGGTGTGATCTTGGCTCACTGCAACCTCCACCTCCCAGGTTGAAGCAATTCTTCTGCCTCAGCCTCCCAAGTAGCTGGGATTACAGGCATGTGCCACCACGCCCAGCTAATTTTTTTTTGTGTGTGTGTCTTTAGTAGAGATAGGGTTTCACCATGTTGTCCAGCCTAGTCTCGAACTCCTGACCTCGTGATCCACCTGCCTCGGCCTCCCAAAGTACTGGGATGACAGCCATAAGCCACTGCGCCCCGCCTATGTTTAAGTTTTACATTTTCACATAAATTATTTCATTTCATCTTCAGACAACTATGAGATTTTCAGATAAGTCAACTCAATAATCTTGCAGTTAAGGTGCATAATTGTTTAGTGAATGAAACTCATGAGTTAGCATCTTGTCAAATGTAGCATAGCTAATTAGAAGTGGAAATTGGACTAGAACCGGGTGTATGAACATCCAGTCTTTTCACTGTGAGCTTTGCATATCAAAACTGAAGAACAAAGGTACAATGTATGCTTTCCTTCTTTTTTCCCCAACTTGTTTGGGACCAAGTTGTGATATGACATATGCTTACTTTTAGATACTAACTTAAACTTCAAGCACTATATAAATATTAGCAGTTCTCTATCATTTTAGTTAAATAGTAGTGACTTTTTAAATACACCTTTTGGTTGAAAAACTTAACTGTTGAGTTCTGTGCTCAGTACCTGGGTAACAGGTTCATGTGTACCCCAAACTTCAGCATCATTCAGTATACCCAGGTAGCAAATCTGCATGTGTACTCCTTGAACTAAAATAAAAGTTGGAAATAAAATAAGCTTTTTGCACTTTGAGTGAGTCCTAATGTCTTTGGACACCATGTAATATTTTTTATTCATTTAAGGCCATTTAAATTCTACACTCTGGCACTTTTATTAAAAGTAATAGACATTTTTCCCCTTGTTCTAAACATATTTTTCTGAATGGGAAATAAGCTCATTCACAACTGGTAAACAGGGAAATAAAATACAATTTCCTCCTGCCCCTGTTTTGTGCCAGGAAGTCGTAATAATTGTTTTTGTTTTTTGTTTGTGCTGTGGTTTTTTTGTTTTGTTTTGTTTTGTTTTGTTTGAGACAGAGTCTTGCTGTGTCACCCAGGCTGGAGTGCAGTGGTGTGATCTTGGTTCACTGCAACCTCCACCTCCTGGGTTCAAGCGATTTTCCTGCCTCTGCCTGCTGAGAGTAGCTGGGATTACAGGTGTCCACCACCATACCCGGCTAATTTTTGTATTTTTAGTAGAGACAGGGTTTCTCCATGTTGGCCAGGCTGGTCTCGAACTCCCGACCTCAGGTAATCTGCCCGCCTCAGCCTCCCAAAGCGCTGGGATTACACGTGTGAGCCACCATGCCCAGCCTGTGCTCTGGTTATTAAGTTACATAGGTTTTGAGCAGCCAAACCTAACACTCCTTTTCTTGTAATTCCTATGTTGTTTTCAATGTATGATCTTCTGGAAATGGGTTTTTCAAAAATACGTTATGCAGAAATACATATTACATTGTAGCAGAGTTGCCTGCATATTTAAGATTTTATTATAACCTATTGAAATTAAACATTTATTAGTATTCCAAATATTTTATTAACTGAACGAAGTCAGCATAAGATTCCATTTTAAACTTTTGGCCAGATAGGTGGAAAAGCAGTCAAAATTAAGAATCAGAGTCAAAACACAAAGCTGTTTTTTTTTTTTTTTGAGACAGAGTCTCACTCTTTCACCTGGGCTGGAGTGCAGTGGCACAATCTCTGCTTACTGCAAGATCTGCCTCCTGGGTTCAAGTGATTGTCCTGCCTCAGCTTCCCGAGTAGTTGGGATTACAGGCATGCGCTACCACACCTAGCTAATTTTTGTATTTTTTTTTTTAGTAGAGACGGGGTTTCACCATGTCAGCCAGGCTGGTCTCAAACTCCTGACATCAAGTGGTCTACCTGCCTTGGCCTCCCAAAGTGCTGGGATTACAGGCATGTACCACCACACCGGGCCAAAATGAAGTTCTGAAATTTAACTAGTATCTTCTAAATGGTTATGTTTTAAAAAGCTCTTTTTGGTTTTAACTATTTAAAGGTATTTAATTTCTGCTTTAAAACTTCTGATTTTGTACTAGAATCTACCACAAAAGCAAGTATCATTGCTATACTCTATTTTATGTATTATAACTAAGCCTTTTACCAACTCCTGAAATGTTTCTGTTACTGGTTCAGCTCATTTTTTAAATTTTCAGTGCACTGTGTGAAACTTCCGCATGCGTAGGAATCTATGTGAGGTACTTAGAGGGAACCTATTTGACTTAGCTTCAATTTATGCTTAATCGTTGTTTCTGGAAACTTAAGCCATTTTTTCACTTGTCCTGAAATACCTCTAGGTTGGACAGCATTGTAAATGTTAATATCTTTGGTCTTAAGCATTTTGCTAACCAAGTGTTTATTCAGCTTTTGTTTTTTTCCCCTTTCCATTTATTCTAATGTTCTATTATTGCTTTAACCTTTCGTATTTTAAACTTATTTTTAATGATGAAATCTTTTGAGTGAATGCATGCTCAGAGATATACTTGTATACTTTAAACATAAACTAAAGCCAAGGCATCATATTGCTGATCTGTCTGTAGACTATTCCAAGCCTGGATTGTTCTATGCCTTAAGCGCCTGTGTCTATATTTAGACTCTAGGCAAGAAAAAGAGAGAGCAAATGCTCATGCTAAAGCTGTCAGATGTAAGTCTTTGGTTCTTCCAGGTACTTTATATCTGTATTTTCCTAGCCAGAAATCCTGATTTTGAAATTATGAATGTACATTCAGAGTAAAAATTAGAGTTAAAATGCTACAAACAGGGCAAAGACACCTTCAATAAATATTAAGTGAATTAATCAGTCCTTTTCTGGAACTTAAAATCTTGTAGAATACTCAAATAATAATTTTATTTTATTTTAAAATGCTTTTGTGCCAAGATATTTTATCAAATTTCTAAAATATAATTTTTTAGTTATATAATAGTCTAACATAAAATTTAAAAAATTATTTATTAAGATATGTGCTTGAATGAATGCTAACTTTAGGAGATGATAAATGGCTGCTGATGGGGGAAAAAAACAATCTTCTAATTAGTTTTGCTTTTTAGAAATCATTGGTAATTTTAACCTTTCTCCTAGATGCCAGGATAGAAGAATTTGTTTATGAGAAACTGGATAGAAAAGCTCCAAGTCGTATAAACAACCCAGAACTTTTGGGACAATATATGATTGATGCAGGGACTGAGTTTGGCCCAGGAACAGCTTATGGTAAGTGAAATGCAAAAAGTTCTAATAAGGGATATCTTTATGTTTAGATTTATTAGAGATGTCATTAACATATTAGTAGGCCGGGTGCAGTGGCTCACACCTGTAATCCCAGCACTTTGGGTGGTTGAGGTGGGCGGATCATGAGGTCAGGAGATCGAGACTATCCTGGCTAACATGGTGAAACCCCGTCTCTACTAAAAATAACAAAAAATTAGCTGGGTGTGGTGGCAGACACCTGTAGTCCCAGCTACTTGGGAGGCTGAGGCAGGAGAATGGCGTGAACCTTGGACGTGGAGCTTGCAGTGAGCCAAGATCACACCACTGCACTCCAGCCTGGGCCACAGAACGAGACTCTGTCTCAAAAAAAAAAAAAAAAAAAAAACATAGTAGTAGAATTGGTTTTAACTTCAAATTTATGTTAAAAATTTTTGATGAAGTGAGAAATATAGGCAAATATATACAGTTAAATGTAATATTTAATATATTCAAGCATATATTTAGTTATTCAGAGAATTCACATCTTTTTTAGTTCTAAAAAGTTTAATGAATTCTTCACTTGTTCTCCCAGTGATCTTACAATACCTATGTTATAATACTTGTGATATTGCAATTATTGTTTGCATATGTCTCTTCATTTTTAAAAAAGCTTTCTTAGGGCTTATTTTATGTTAAAGGTACTTGGCACGTAGTTCTTGAACAAATCAGTGCTTTTGTTATAATTTTGCAGTAATGTCAGTAACCAAAAAATATTAACAATTGTTATCTCTGGATATTTGGATTACATTTCATTTCTGTTTTTCTCTTATGTATTTCAAATTTTCTATAGCCGTGGTTTAGTTACACTCGCTTTATTAGTTGCTGTACAGACTTTAAATGTATAGCCCTGAAGCTCAAAGTTACATACACATCTTTATTGTCACTCTAATTTTCTCATAACATGAGACTGTTACAGATTTCAGTAGCTTCTTTTCCTGTTGTTTATGTCTAATAATAATTCTCTTTATACATCTGCAAGATACTGGTCTTTGGATATGAAATGGTAGGTAGATTAAATTAATTTCTACACATAGTTCTGATTTACAGAATGGTTTATAAATTCTAGGATTAAATGAATTTTAAGCTTTAGTAGTTATCTTTATGTCAGAAAGAAATAACCTAAATATTGTTGAATGCCACTAATCCATTGACAGGCTTTTTTAGGTACACAACTTTGAAACTTCTACATTGTGTTCTTCAAAATCTAATTTTTAAGTTTGAAAATGCTTAGAACTTCAAAATAAAATTATTTCTGAATTTTACTGTTAATTTTTAGAAAAATGTTATACATTAAACAGATGTTTTATTGCCTACTTGTGCCAAGCTCAGTTAGATGCTGGGATCATAAAGGTATGTGAAAGGAACCCAGCAGCCCCTTCCTTCACCAGGCTGAAGAAGGTTTTAGCAGAGCATGAACATTAGTAAAGGCTTCTAGATTTTCTTCCCTTTTAAATCTGCTTAATCTGTTTGCACCTCTAGTAATTCTAGTGAATGTACCCTGGTTATTAGAATTGGGCTTTGTGAACCTATTACCTTATTAGTAATTAATACTAAAAATTGAGTATCACAGGCATGGGCTAAGCATTATATAGTATATATATTTACATATTAATTCTCATTTATATCCTGCTTTTAAGATAAATTATATTACCTTCATTTTAAAGACAAGGAAACAGGTTTGGAGAAGTTAAATAATTAATCCACAGTCACAGCTAGTATAGTAATTCAAATGAAGATCTGTCTGTATCCAGTGACGGAGCTCTTAACTACTATCTGTATTACCTTCCTTATCAGTCAGATCAAAGCTTATCCTAACATGAAGGGATTAAGATCCTTAGAGCTAAAGCTTATTAGAAGTAAAACTAGGAGTGGAACCCTGATCTTGGGGCTTCCTTTCTTTCTACTCTACTTTGTACTGTACTTGCCCTATTTAAGTATCAGAGTATATGTATTGCAAAAGCATGGATTTTTTAACTTAAGATATCACTATGAACTATTACTTATAGATACTTCAGATGATAACTGCAAGGATGTAGAAACAGGACAAATTGTGACTTGATCTCTTGGAAGCATTATACTTTTATAAGTATAACCACAGTCACCCCTCGATATCCATGGGGGATTGGATCCAGGCCCGCCACCCTGAGGATACCAAAATCCATGGATACTCAGGTGTCATATAAAATGGCATAGTGTTTGCATATAACCTATGCACATCCTCCCTCGTACTTTAAATCATCTGAATGTAAATGCTGTGTAAATAGTTGTTATGCTGTATTTTTTAGGAAATAATGACAAGGGAGAAAAGTCTGTACATGTTCAGTACAGAGGCAACCATCTTTTTTTTTTTTTTTTTTTTTTAATAGTGACAGGCCCTGCTGTGTTGCCCAGGCTGGCCTTAAACTCCTGGGCTCAAACGATCCTCCTCCCTCAGCTTTGGAGTAGCTGGGACTGCAGACATATGCCACCACTGTGCCTGGCTCCTCAGCCATCCTTTTTTTTTTTTTTCTGAATGTTTTTGATCGTGGTTGGTTGAATCCATGGATGCAGAACCCATAGATACAGAGGGCCGACTGTGACCGTAAATATTTTGGGGTATATTTGCCCTCTTTAGTCCCATTGGTAGAATTGGTACAATTATCTATGCTACAATAGGAAGTTCATCTTTGTCTCCTTCATTTAGACACATACTCTTAAATTTACTTTTAAAATAAAACTACCTTAATTACAGTTAATTCTATTTGGTTTTACTTTAGCAAGCAAGTTACAGCTAACTTTTAAACAGACCAAATTGCTGATTTATCTTTACATGATTTTATTTTCTGGTATTACCAGACAATGATTTTTAAAAACATTTTTCCTTTGCAGGTAATGCCCTTATTAAATGTGGAGAAACCCAAAAAAGAATTGGAACAGCAGACAGAGAACTGATTCAAACGTCAGCCTTAAATTTTCTTACTCCTTTAAGAAACTTTATAGAAGGAGATTACAAAACAATTGCTGTGAGTTGAAAAATGTCCCCTTTATTTAGTAAAATCATTTAGATATATATACTTTTTAATGAATAATTTGGCCTCTTAATGACTGTGTAGATGTAGTGGATTACAAAATTAAATAATCTAGGTCAGTGCATGTTCACCAGAACACAAAATTAAACCAAAATAAAAGACTACTGAACATTTACTCCATTTGTGTGTCCTACAGTGTTATTGAGATGCCTTTATCCCTTTTCATTCATTACCAACGCTAAAATCTATAGAGAGGTTCCTGGAATGATTATGAAAATATGGTCTAAAATATCACCATAGTATATATACCGTGTAGCTCTTCATTTTTTAGGATTTTAACTTATTTTCTTAGTGATAGAGAATGAAAATTTTCTAAGAGTTTTACAAAGCTGCTCTTATAAATACTTCAAACTTTAATTTGCAGATTTCCTATTACAATATATTATAGAAACTTTGAATATGTTCACAATGGATTTGTCTCTGTATAAACAAATATTTGGCCTGAGACAGAAGAACTATCAAGTTAAAGTATGATTTAAAAGATATTAGCAGCCGGGCGTGATGGCTAACGCCTGTAATCCTAGCACTTTGGGAGGTCAAGGTGGGTGGATCACTTGAGGTCAGGAGTTTGAAACCAGCCTGGCCAACATGGTGAAACCCCGTCTCTACTAAAAATACAAAAAAATTAGCTGGGCATGGTGGCAGGTGCCTGTAATTCCAGCTACTTGGGAAGCTGAGGTAGGAGAATTGCTTGAACCCTGGAGGCGGAGGTTGCAGTGAGCCAAGATCGTGCCACTGCACTCCAGCCTGGGGGACAGAGTGAGACTCCATCTCAAAAAAAGTGAAATAAAATAAAATAAAATAAAAATTAGCTTATCAGTGCAATGAAATTTGACATATGGAATCTAAGATTAAAGCAAACTGAATTATAATAAACTTACATACTATACAGAAGCTTGAAATTCCCTGAAGAATTCTAAGATACTATACTAATGTTTATTCATTATTCTGTAAGTTTGAAATTCCATTTTGGAGTGGTTGGGTTGCATTTGGTGCTATGACACATTAAGTGCAGCCCACCCAATCCTTGAGGTAGGACACCAGGCGTCAAGGAACCCTTGCCCCAGGCGTATACTTCCTTCTTTCTAGGCACTTTCTGGATAATCTGTAACAATTTGAAAGTCAGTCTGGCCACTAATGACGTTTTGGGCTGCACAATTCCTTGTAAAGATAGACTGTCTTGTGGAATGTTTGGCAACATTTCTGGCTTCTGGCTAGCAGACTCCAATAACATCCCTCCACCAATTGTGACAACCAAAAAGGTATTGCCAAATGTTCCCGAGGCAGGGACAGGATCATAAAATATTAAAACTGATATTCCTTTGTTTCCATCATTGCCTGCCATCTTTCCCAGACACTTACAATGTTTCAATTATTTATTTTAAAATTTAAAACAGTAACAAGGGGGTGGGGGGGGGCAGATACATGAATGGTAACTTTATAGCCAATTTTGTAGTCATAGATCTTTATCAAGTGATACATATGTTTACTAGGGAATAATACTTTAAATGTGTATGCTCTTAACAGAATTTTAGCATCTTTAGCCCTTATTTTTTCTTTTCTATATTTATAGAAAGAAAGGAAACTATTGCAAAATAAGAGACTGGATTTGGATGCTGCAAAAACGAGACTAAAAAAGGCAAAAGCTGCAGAAACTAGAAATTCAGTAAGTAAATAGAAAAATATTTTTGATTAATAACTTTAAGATTTGTAAAATATTTTGCTAATAAACCATGAAAGATACAGACTATTAACTTTAGAGTCTTGTTTTTGTGCTTTCTAAACAAATTTATCAGAACTTAATACATCCAAATCACTGCAAAGTAGTCATATCAAAAAGGTGATATTCATGGCCAGGCACAGTGGCGCATGCCTGCTATCCCAGCACTTTAGGAGGCTGAGGCAGGCAGATGGCTTGAGCCCAGGAGTTTGAGACCAGCCTGGGCAACATGGCACAGCCCCGTCTCTCTACAGAAAGTACAAAAATGAACGGGCATGGTGGCACCCACCTGTAGTCCCAGCTACTCAGGAGGCTGAGATGGGAGAATCTCTTGAGTGTGGGAGGTGGAGGTTGCAGTGAGCCAAGTTTGCGCCACTGCACTCCAGCCTGGGCAACAGAGCCAGACCCTGTCTTTAAAAAAAAAAAAAAAAAAATATATATATATATATATATAAAATATATAATATATATGTGTGTGTATATATATAAAATATATAATACATATGTGTATATATATAAAATATATATATGTGTGTATATACACACACACACGTGATATTTAGCTATATAGCTGCTGCTAAAAAACAAAAATTATGGTAGCTCCTAATGTGTCATTTTTTTTAAATATCGTCAGTGGTCGCAAATATTTTTGGAGATAGATTTATTATAATTGGAAATAGCAGAAAAGATAGTAATTAAGATGAGACTCAAGTTTGAGAATACTTGTGTGTGACTTAAAAATTAGATCAGTTCCCTTTCCACACACTGCTCAAACTAACTAAAAGAATGTTCACCAAGAATAGTTCCAAAACCATTCAAACCAACAGTGGCAGTATGGACTTTCAGGCAACGATGTTGAATGCGAGGAAACTCATTTGGATAAATAAATTCTAGTATATATTCCAGAAAACCTCAGAATATTGAGTAGGTATATATTAAATATAATTAAATTTTTCTTTAAAGATTTATTTATAAGCTTTTTAGTTAATCCAAGTTATACTGTCTATATTATTCCAGAATTTGAAAATATCAGATTTGAATTGGAATAACTTTAAAATAGTATAAAATAAACCAAGTATGAATTTGTTAGAAGAAGCTAACAAGTTAATACTTAATTTGAGCTATGGTATGATAGTACCCCTGCCTTCTGTTTCCAAGTCACTACCACTGCCAACATCAAGAATCATTGCGTTAATGAGCATATTACCACAGTGCTGGTACTGTCTTATAGTTCTCTTGTTTGGGAGATAAAAAGGTTGAAAATTGGTTTAGAGTGAAATTTAAAACTGATTAACTTGGTATTGGATAGTAATGTCTTACGAGACTACCCTAATACCTTGTATGAGCAGAATAAGTTATTTTTGTCTATGGTTTTTTTCTTTTTTGGAGATACTGTATTAGTTACTGCTAGAGAAGAGCTATCTTTGATAAGACATTAATTCCAAATTTACTGGCATTTTCACTTCACAGTTTATCATTACATCATTATCACAAACAACAAAACTTCCCTAAACAGACTATCTGCAGCATCAGAACTTTGAAAATGAACACTATAGATAGCAGGAGACCTTGAATTCTTTTATTAGTTTCTAGTTGCTAATAATTAATTTGAAAAGTAAATTATAAACTAGTTTTTAAAGATAGAAATTTCATACTCAGGAAAAAAGGATCATTTGGAAATAGATATTTTAACTGGGACAGAATGTCTTTATTCAAGATGCCTATATGTGCCCAGTGATAATTGTGGAATAAAAATACTGTTACCAAGTTTCAGTACAAAACTTTGTTTAAAAAGCACTATTACAGGAATGACCGTCTGCTTTTCTACCTGGAAAAGTTCCAGAAAGCACACACATATAGATTTAACAGTGTACAAAGTCCTTTAATATTTCTAAATTATTTTACCACTGCTATTAAAATATATAGAACCTAAATATAATAGTAGACCAATTTTGAGAGATGTTTCCTTTTTGAGATATCTAGAAAAGATCTTGGCAATTTTTCTCTGCTGCGTATTTTTGAGGATAAAGGTTTTTTTTCTATGGGAATTTATGTTTAAAGTAAAAGATGATACAAATGATTTTATTCAGTTCAGCAATTTTATTTATACACAGCTATTCTAGAACTTACGTATTACATACAGCAAAATTTAACTATAGCCAAATACTATTTTTTTAGTCTAGACAGGAAGTTCGATTTCCTGATTTTAATTGTATTTTTCCCCTAGATAACCAACACATTTTTCTTCAAACTTTATAGCAGTTAAGTCTGAAATACTTTGGGAAGAAAAAGTTCTCTTAGTTTATTATTACATAAAGCCTGGAGGTATTCCTGTATTTGGTGATCCTTTTTTTCCCCCCTGTATTTCTTTGCATTTACTTGAAGAATCACTAGGAGTTTGCTTTTTTTTTCCTTTCTTTGATACATTTCCTGGTTCCTAGTTGGCAACTGAAGTGGTTAATCTGACCTTAGAATTACTTTGACTTCACGTCTTTATAAATTTCCATGGATTGTTTTGCAACTAGTTACTCTGCTAGTAAGGTTTGGGATCTATCCATATTGACACTTTTTAAGTAATTTACTTACTAGTTTCTTGTGACTCTTTTTAAGTTCTGTGTTTACTAAATGCTAATTTTGTGCAAGGTACTGTACTGAGGAGTTCATAGATAAATGATGTAAAATCTCTGCCGCCCTCAGTTCACAATCTGGTACAACAGATCATACTTTTTGATGATTTAGCCCTATCAGTAAAGAATTTCTGCTTGTATCTAATATTGCTGTTTTATCAGTTAGCATATTGAAGAATGGTAAAGCAACATCAAAGGCATTTCTCAAAAATATACCAATTAAGCAGAAAGAAAGCCCACTTTAATGTTTCACAATGAACAAAAATACAGTTTTGAAAAATAGATTGTGTATATGATAAAATATACCAGAGAAGCAAGAACAAAAATAATTACAGGTTGAATATCCCAAATCCAAAAACCTGAAATCTGAAATGCTTTAAAATATGAAGTTCTTTGAGTGCCTTTATGACGCTCAAAAGAAATGCTTATTGGAGCTTTTCACTTTAGGGTTCCTTAGCCAGTAAGTATAATGCAAATATTCCAAAACCAGAAATCTGAAACACTTCTGGTCCCAGGCATTTTGCCTAAGGGATACAAAACTGTAATGCATTTCAATTATAAGGCACCTACATTTACGAATCCAATTTTAGTCTAAATCTAAACTTAAAAATTATTTTACAGTTTTAGTAATGTTAAAGATAAAAATCAGCTGATTTCAAAGCTCTGCAGTATTTAGTGGTTTAGACCTCTGTTAATTTTGGGACATCCAAATTTGATGGAAAATATTTCTTTAACATCATATAGCAAACTTAAGCATTTCCACAGCAGTGTAAATCTTTAATCTGTAAACTCAATAAATTTAGAGCACCATCAGTATAGCCTTTAAGAACACATGTTTGAATTTAAGGTTTACTAGAAATGTAAGGATTGACATGCCTTTAAGACTTCAGAGTATGCCAAGACCTGGCTGAGGCTGATTGAAAGAGAATGTGGTTGAAGGCATCATAAATTCATAAAATAGAAATGATCTTTGAATAGGAAAATTTGGGGTTAGGTAGGACTTTCTTAGTGAAAATTTAATAAAAATTGTAGGTAACTGGCAGTTTTAAAAATGATACATTTTCCCTAAATGATTCTCATTTAAAGTCAAGCATCAACATATTTTGTTTTGAAAATTTGAATTTTGGGGAAAAAAATGAATAGGCACCACTATATGCAGTTTCACAGAACAATAAATGTAGTGGGGGTTTTTTAATAGAAAAAAATATTTGATTGGCTCTTTTACTTGTTTAATGTGTTATTTATTGTGAAGAAGTAATTTGTTTCACTGTGTTCATTGGTATAATGTGTTCTTTGTCTCTTACTATGCACTTAAGCAACTAAACTCAGCTCGCCTTGAAGGAGATAACATTATGGTAAATTTCTCTTACATGCTCAACTTCCTGCATGTAAAATGGCTGAAGGTTTGTTGGCCTACTGTGTTTTCTACATCTTGAATAAAGTGCCTTCTCTTGCTATTAGCCGCTTGTAAAATTTTGAAATAATTGGAACCATGTATTCATTTATCTTTAACAACAAAAATATAAGGAAAAAATACTAGCTGAAGTAATACTGGAACTTTAAAAGAAATTGTATGTTCTGATTGCCAAATATAGTGTTTATGCCAAATACAGATTTTAGAATATGAATTTATACATAAATATATAGTGCCTTTTTGCACTGACTAAAAGGTGCTAATTTAAGCTGGCATTTATATTTTCACTTTTGGCAAAGAAAATTAACAAAATATACTTAAAGAAAGGTGTAAGGTAAACACATTGCCTTTGCTGCTCAGTAGCTTCAAGATTTACCTTATTTTCACCCAAACTCAACATAGAATTAATTTTTTCTGCCATTTCAGGCCAAGACAGACCCCATTAGGTTAGGTACTCCTGTAATGGCCAGGCTTATTTTCCACCCAGTGCTAACTCACTTAAGAAAGTTTTGGTGGAATGGTGATAGCCTTGGGAAAGAATAGAGAATGCAGATTGTTTTATGGTATCCAATGTATATGTTGAGCTTAGTTTGAGAAAATTTTTGAGCTATTAGAAGTTTTTTATTTTAGTAAAATAGAAAGTTGTAAAATCTGAACATAGCCAACAATTTGTGCACATTAACCAATAAAAAGTATATAGTGTGTTTTATTTTATTTCTAGATATATTACTTCATTAGAAGTGTCAAGGGATCTGCAGTACAGCTAATACATTGGCAATTAATTGGCTGCTTTCATTCACTAGCATTAAACCAAAAGCAGGAAAGTAATAGGAAAGATTATTGTACAGAATATATAAAATGCATTTTTGTTTTTGTTTTTTTTTAAATGGTAATTACTGAAGCCCTGGCTGAATTAGGGCTTACCTTAGATAGCAAGAGAATGCATTAATGTGTTTCCATTGTCCTATCTATAGGTAAATGAAAAGCGTGAGGATATTTCAGTCATTGCTAATTTAAAATATAAAGCATAGCTTTTCTTTTTGTCTGAGGTAAAAACATAATTCTAAACAATTAACAGGACTTTGTTTCATTAATCATTTGTGTTTACTATTAATGTAATCTTATAGTAATATATATTTACAGCTGGTCATTTTATATTTATTATATCTCCAGCTTATTGTTTCTCTCCAAAAAGACTGTTTCAGCAGCCATTAATCCTTGCTTTGCTTCATTTCCTAAAATGTTAGAATTTATACCTAAATGAGAAATTTGAAATCATTTAGTCCAAATCTCTAATTTTCCAGATGAGAATACTGGAGCTAAGAAAGGTTAGGTGTTCTCAATTTGGGAAAACTGTAGATTTAACATAAGATTTTAAAATTGATAGCAATGATACATATAAAAGTCATACTTTCACAGTATGTTAAGCTGTACCGATTTAGTTACTACTGTGTTTAATCTATAAATATGATTCTGAAAAAGAGTATGCCATTTAAACAAATATTTATATTTTTCTATACTAAGTTGTAGAAAATAAATTCCAACTTTCATGCTTTATATTTTTCTCTAATTTTTAATGCTGGCTAGATTTGGGCAGAGGAGGTGACAAAAGTAAGTAAATTATTAAATACAGAACTATGAAACAAGAATTTAGTTGACGTTGATTCAGTAAATATGTATTGGGCAACAACCCATGGGTCCAGTCACAGTCTGTGTTAGTATACCTTATAAAATCTGAAAATGAGGGATATGTTCAGGTCTCTTTAGCTAATAGAAGCTCCACCAAGCAGTTGAACAATGCTGCAGAGATGTGGTTTGCACACACACTGATAAATCTTGGATACCTGTTATACTAAGTGGTAATCTTACAGTTCCTTACTATAGAAGGCAGGCGAAATGCTTGTTAATGATTTTTTTAATAACAATTTTTAAAATGTAAAATATAGTTAACACCATGTCCTGTATCTTCAGAGAATGGGATATATAATATTTCGCACAAATGAATTTTTTTTTTTTGAGATGGAGTTTTGCTCTTGTCGCCCAGGCTGGAGTGCAGTGGCACAGTCACAGCTCACTGCAACCTCCACCTTCTGGGTTCAACCGATTCTCCTGCCTCAGCCTCCCAAGTAGCTGGGATTACAGGTGCCCGCCACCACGCCTGGCTAATTTTTTGTATGTTTAGTAGCGGCAGTTTTTTCACCATGTTGGCCAGGCTGGTCTCGAACTCCTGAACTCAGGTGATCAACCCACCTTTGCCTCCCAAAGTGCTGGCATTACAGGCGTGAGCCACCGTACCCGGCCACAGATGAATTTTTTAGGTAACTGAAGCTTGTTCTCTCCAGCACCAAAGCTAATTTTTCCCAGTCACATTAGTTGAAAATATCTGTAAAAATGTATTTTACTGCTGCATTAAATATAGGATAGCAAGTATTTGATTTTACTACAGTTAAGGTCATTATTATGAATATTTATCATACTGTTAACAGTTGGATTTGTTGTTTTTCGACTATGTTGTCTCTTCCCTCAGTATCAGACTGTTGCTTCTAGAAGCTGTCTGTATGACTGCTGCTAGCAGTTCTGTCTGTGTTACCATTTCTAATCTTCTGTGGGCTGGGAAAGCAAGTAATTAAACAAGAATTTAAGGGATAAAATTATAAACTATAGTACATGCAGACTTGTTTCAAATGCTTTTTTAAGTCTTCAGAAGCATTTTTCATTTACTTCTTATGTTTAGGCCTACCAAACTCTGACATCCACATGAGGATAACACTGGGGACTGAGGACAGGTGATGATTTTGGCCCCTGACAATAGCTTTATAAACTTTAACTTTTATTTTCTGGCTTTGTAGGATTGATTTTACAGTCTGTTTTATGCATAGGTTATAGAGCTGTTGATTCTGTGACTTGGATCTCCAGTATGAAATTCTTACCTTATGCTCTTATCCCCCCTTTGTGAGTCTGTTCATCAGTTTAGTTACGGTTCCACACTGGCTTCTGATTTCTCTCTGAACTTCTAGCATGAAAAGGGGCAGAGCAACACAGAAGAGAATACAGGTTGAACAAAAAAACTAGAATGTCTTCCTCTTTGGCATAAAGATATGCCAGAAAATTTCTGACTTGATTTTGCAGTCTCAGCAAGTTTAGGAAATAATTGATACAATACATGGGAAGAAACTCATGAAACATATTATATACATATATATAAAAATCTAAAGAAACCTATCAAAATGGATTTCAGGGGTTTTTTTCTTCTACATATCTCACTTCTGACATTTTTATAATTAAAAATGTATAAATGACCAGGAGCAGTGGCTCACACCTGTAATCCCAGCACTTTGGAAGGCCGAGGTGGGCAGATCACCTGAGGTCAGGAGTTCAAAACCAGCCTGACCAGCATGGTGAAACCCTGTCTCTACTAAAAATACAAAATTAGCCAGGCATGGTGTCCCAGCTACTTGGGAGGCTGAGGCAGGAGAATCCCTTGAATTTGGGAGGTGGAGTTTGCAGTCAGCCAGGATCAGCCGTTGCACTCCAAGCTAGGCAACAAGAGCAAAACTCCATCTCAAAAAATAAATAAATGAAAATGTATAAATGTTAAGACTTTACATTCCTGGAGTATTTTAAGATTTTAAGCCATATGAATAGTAGTCAACACTGATCAAGATAGTCACAGCAAATGCCTCAGAAGCATTACCAAAATTTAGGGCTTACAGATACCCAATCTTGATATCGTGGGCCAACAGATTCTTGCCCATCTTCCAGTTACATTTTAGAAAAAACTCTTCTGGCTTACCTAACCTATGTTATGCTATCATGTAGTCTAGTAGCAGTTACTTTTAGCAGTAGAAGGTCTTCTCCCTAGAGATTTTTTAGACGACAGAATATCAGCCCTTTCTTATCTATCTTTCTAATGTGGATCATTTTCTTCCGAAGTAAATTGATTATGCTAAGCCTAATTTAAATTCCTTTAGCCTCTCAGATCAGTTATTATGATCAATTATATATGCCAGAAGTATAGATGATTTGGGACATTTGACTGTTTGAAGCCACCCAATATGCACTAAAACTTGTTCAAGAAATGAGATGCATTTTTCCCTATCATCTACCCTCTCTAAAGTCTAGATTGTACAGAAGGACCTCCTAAGCTTTGTAACATGGTGCCTTTCTTCATGATTAAATTTTACTCAAACCTAGAAGCCTGATCCCTCATCCTTAATGAGATCATTTGATATTTTTTATTCAGTGTACTTAGCATTAAAATATTATTTCTACTTCAGTCTCAATCTTCCCGGTCACCTTAATCTGCTACCTAGTTTACTTGCTTATTACCTTACCTAGAAATAATGTCAGTTAGTAGGATTTTTCTGCCATTTCTACTAAAGGCCATTAAATTAAACCGTACTTTGACAATCAAAGACCTATATGGAACTAACCTAGTTTATTTCTGAAGTGCATTTATTTTTGGTTTGCTGTATTTACTTCTGTTACTCAAAGCCTTTTGTATTCAACCAAGCAGAACAGTTAATAGTGCATATGTAATATTGATGTGATTGGTTTTCCTTAGTGCTCTCCTTAGGAAGAACATTGCTTCTTTTTTTCTTCTGGGACTTTTTTCTACTTCATACCAGCTTCCAGATGAAGCTTACTTTGTCCCTGCTATCAAAACACCATGGGTTCTGGTTTTAGTCAAGTAAATTTAATTTCAACTTCTGACTTACTAATTCAAGCTTATTTCCGTAAGTCCAAGCTAGAGGTCAATTATTAGTCCCCTCTGCTAGGTTTGTTGCCAGTGGGCTGTTACAGCAACTGATTATCTACTTTGCTGCTACTTCCTTGTAGACTGGTTTACTAGGGTAACTATTGCCACCAAAGGATGAGGAGAGGGAGATGAGGCCTGAAAGAAAAAAGTTCATACCTTGTTGGGTTTTTTTTGTTTTTCGTTTTTTTTACTTTTATTACATCTTGGAAATGTCATGAATCATTTGCATAGGTGGAAAATGCTATTTGTGCTGGAGAGGTAGTCAAACCTATCATTATAATGATGATGTAACCAATGATAATTCCCAATGGGAGAAAAGCTAACTATTCTGAGTAAGCTGTGAGGTTTTATTTCTCTTTCCCACTTATTAACAACCAACTCTGACTAAAGGTTTGAGAAGATGTTTTTTGCCACTATTTGCTATTTTTAGATCTTGTTGATTTTTCAGTGAACTGTTTTGTCGCAGCAGTAAGCCTCCTTTATCAGATGGTTGAAACCAGTAGTGGCATACTGTTATTTACATCTCTTCCCAGCTCCACAGTGTGTGACTTCACGTTAGTAGCTGGAAATCAGCTGTGGTGGGAGTATTTATATCATGAAAATCTGGATATGAGAGCTTTTTTTTTTATTTCTTGGGGAAGAATTTAACAGCACACTACTGATTGAAGTTCGATCATAACTTAAAAAGCTTTTTAAAACCCTAGTGTATCTTAATAGATAGTATTCTGCTTAAGACATTTTTTATGCATAGTTTGAAAAGAAAATTTGAAAGAAAGACATTTAAAATGTAGGACAAAGAATCCTTTGAATGAACCTAAAAACTGGTGCTAGCAACAAGTGTTTGGCAACTAAACGCAAGGTGAAAATCCTATGGCTTCACTCTAAAGTCTTTTGCATTTGAGACTGAAGACTCTTTAACTTCAAAGTAAAAACTGTAGTAATAATTGAGAATTTTTGCAGCAATATTACTTTATACTTGTAAAACTGGTCATCTTAAAATTTTGTAAAATAGTAAAATTTAGCAAAATTGATACTAGAAAATTTATGAAAATATCTTGGCTTTCTCTTAGTAGTTTTTGTAGGCTCTTAAGAGTGTATCATTAAGCTTTAGCGTAACAGATTCTTTTCAATCAAGTACTGGAATCAGTTGTCCAGGTGGAGTAATACAGAAAAGCTAAGGTCTAGAAACCAGGGGACCATTTTAGATACAAAGCAGAATTGCGGAATTGCCAGATTATAACTTGAGGTTTGTTCGGGGGATTTTTTTTAACCATCTAAAATAAATGTATATAAGATGGACTGAGTCTTCTAAAGAGATTCTAAAACTATATTCTTACTTAAGTCTGAACAGGAATTAAGAATAACTCAAAGTGAATTTGATCGTCAAGCAGAGATTACCAGACTTCTGCTAGAGGGAATCAGCAGTACACATGTGAGTATTCATTCATTGGAAATTCATTTGGAACAAGACTTTGGTAGTCCTAAGGCAATTTTGGGAGGAAAAACTGAACTTTTCAGTCATTCATCAAGGAAATTTAAATTGTTCTACTTTCCAATATATCCGAATAAATATTTTAAATTGTTGTTTACATCTTATCACCGAGTTCTCCCACCCTCATTAAATATACATGTTGTTGTTTATTGGCTAAGCAGAGTTTGCTAGTGTACTATTCACGAAGGCCAATCTTAATAAGCCTTGTAGTAAAATGTTAGATACTGGTGAGTCTACCTCAGTACAATATTGTGGTCTGTCTCCCCCTTGCATTTGCCATTTAAGTTGACTATACAGCTAAGAACTAACTATAATTTTCCTTCACAGGCCCATCACCTTCGCTGTCTGAATGACTTTGTAGAAGCCCAGATGACTTACTATGCACAGTGTTACCAGTATATGTTGGACCTCCAGAAACAACTGGGAAGGTGATAATTTACTTTTCACATGTAAAGAGGAGAAATTCAGATTTTTGCTTATGAACTAATACTAAGGATGAAGATTAGAGCAATTAAAGGTTCTTACTAGCTTTCTTAGAAATAGTTTCTTTTTTTTAAGGAAAGTAATTATCAGTTTTCTGAGGTAACAGAATATTTTGAGCTTTTCTGGCACAGAGGCATGTTAACAGGGATGAGAAAAAGTGAATACCTTTTCAGTGCTGTAAGGTTAAAAGTGTTTCAAGTTCACTTTTCTCCTGCTACTGAATACTTTTTGCTATTGGTTGAGGAAGATATAATTAAATTGACAGTTACCCTTAAAGATAAACTAATTTATACTTATTCATTACTCATCTGTTTACTATATTGAAAAAAAGTTTTAGAATATTTCGTAAGACCTCATATCTACCGATGTGATTATTTTGAGTATGTTAATATACTTCAAAGCAAAATGACAGTATGTAAAACACAAAGCTCAATCACTCATTCATCACGTATTTATTGACTATCTGCCATGTGCCAAGCACTGTTACATATTGTGGGGTAATATCAGCAAACAAAACAGGCAAAGATGCTTGCCTTTATGGAGCTCACATTATAAGGTGACACTGAAAATAAAATAATGTTTAGGGCAAACATGGTCTCTGCTCTCACAACACTTAGCCTAGGTAGAAATACAAAGCAAGCCGTTGGTAGACAGGCCATGTGGTAGGCAGAAAAGCAGAAGGTGCCTGGTATTGTGAAGGCATCTAACTGTGACTGAGGTACATCTAGCAGAGTTTCCCAGGTGAAGTTATCTTGGTAGGAATAATCTAGATGAAGAAAGGGACAGGGATGAATATTCTAAGCAAGGAAGAATATGTTTATAAAAAAGCCAGAAGAAAGAGAGTAGGGAAAGTTCGGGGAACTGATAGTAGTCCATTCAGGCTGGAGCATAGTGTTCAAGAATGGAATGGTAGATGAATCTAGAGGAGTTAAGCAGGGTCATACCATGAATGGCTTTTAAAGTAAGTTGTTGTAAGGAGTTTGGAATTTATATATTGAGGAACCATTAAAGCAGGGGAGCGATATGTAGCATTTGAAGGATGAATATCAAAAAATCGTTTCAAGGAATAAGGTAAATAAAGTCACTTTGGTGTTTGTTTCTGCACATTAACACTTCAAAACTTGGCCTAGAATAAAATTGAGCACGTCCATGAAACCAATTTTGAACCTCAAAAATGAATGGTAGCCTAATCATTAGTTATTTTAATAGAATATACAGGAGCATTTACATAACTATATATTTGAGGTTTTATTAGTGGTGTTAATATCTCAAGGCAGAACAGCACTTTATCTTCACATCATTATAACTATTTTAAGCCCAAGAAGCCTTAGTACTTTTTTCCACTTTATCCTGAAACTCTGGAAGTGCGGCATAGGGGTTGCTTATACTCGCATTCTACTTAAAGCCACACTATGCTTAGGACTTGGCCATTTAAACAAAATCCAGTTGTTGCGTTATTACTGCTCTTTGAGATAAGCTCCAGCAATACAAAGTAAAACCAGTGCTACTATTCTAGAAAAGAAAGTCTAGCTTGTCTCTCCACCCTCAATTATATTATTGCTAATGACCAATGACATTGGAGGAAGTTTTATCTCTTTAATTTGTTGCAGGTTATGCTTTTTAAGATAATACATAGAAATATTCAAATATAGAACTTGACAAATCATCCAGCTTCACACTAACACATTCAAAAACTATTTATGAAGAAGAGAACCAGATTGTATTGTTAATAGTTGCAATAACAGTACCAACAGGTAGTAGAAGTAACTGAATAACAGCCATCACTTTGGTTGAGCTTAAGTTGTGCATAGGTGCTCTTCCAGACACCTCATGTGTATTATTAACTTTATAATCCTCACCACCAAATGAGGTAGGTACTATTATTATCCATATTTTAAAGATGAGAAAGCAGAAGTACTAGTCACAAGATTAGCAATTTTTTTAATAATTGGAAGGCTTTTGCATTTCAAGCTCCAGTGGCTTAATTGACATTTTTATAGAATGAGTAATTGCTATGATTTTTTAACGTATCAATAAAAGTTCTTAGAAGGTAAAAATGGCCTTTCAGTTCATTTTTTAAATCTTTAACTCTGCAAAATTGACATAGGTACACTTCAGTGGCTAATCAAAGGCTAAAATCATACTAGTAGATTTGGAAGTAAAATATGGTTAGAGAACTAAAAAAGCCATGTGTATATACATATTCATATAAATAGAGCTTTTTCTTATCTTCAGAAATGTATGTATTTAATCCCTACTGAAGAACCGAGTTCACTGAGGAAAGGATACTAGGACAGGTGGTCTTAATTTTAGAGAGGAAAAGCTATATTTAAAACTATTTCACCCTTTATCCATCAGAGAAACATTTGCTTTTCATTTTTAAAATGTACTGTTCCAGATGTGGGGGATATAGTATATAAATAAAATAATCAAAATTCCTGCCTTCCTGGAATCTACATTCTATATGGGGGCAGAAGGGAGCAGAAAAGCAATATGTATATAAATTATATAGTATATTAGAAGGTGAAAATGGTGTACCGGAAAATATAGCAGGAAACTACTTTGATGGGAGTAGAGAAAGACGTGAGAAAGCACACATGCAGGCATCTGAGAGAAGATGCTCCAGGTAGAGGGTGCAGCAAGTACAAAAACCCTGAGGGCATGACATAGCTGGTATGGTCAAGGAACAGCAAGGAGGGCTTGGCTAGAGACGAGTAGAGGAAACGGGGAGCCAAAACATATAGGGCTTCGACTTTGGTCTTTACTCAGAGATGAGGCGCCTTTGGAAATTTTGAGCTGAAGAGTGACATAATTTTAGGCTTTAACAGAATCATTCTGGCTGCCACGTTGAGGATAGGTGTTGGGTGGAAGCTGACTGATCTGTTTCAAACTTATTGCAATAATGTAGTCAGTAATTCAGTCAGAAGATGGCAGTGGCTTGGATCAGGGTAATTGTGGTAGGTAGGATGGAAGTGGTCAGGTCCTGTGGGCCTGTGGGTGTTGTTTGTTTTTTGTTTGTTTGTTTTGTTTTGTTTTGTTTTGTTTTTTTGAGACAGAGTCTTGCTCTGTTGCCCAGGCTGGAGTGCAGTGGCGCAATCTCGGCTCACTGCAAGCTCCTCCATCTGGGTTTATGCCATTCTCCTGCCTCAGCCACCCGAGTAGCGGGGACTACAGGCACCCACCACCACACCCAGCTAATTTTTTGTATTTTTAGTAGAGACAGGGTTTCACCGTGTTAGCCAGGATGGTCTCGATCTCCTGACCTTGTGATCTGCCCGCCTCGGCCTCCCAAAGTGCTGGGATTACAGGCGTGACTGTGGGTGTATTTTAGACTTAAAGCCAGAAGGATTTGCTTGACAGACTGTATGTATATTGGACACAAAGAGGTCAAGAATTATTGCAAGGTTTTGTTTTGTTTTGTTTTAGAGACAGAGTTTCACTCTTCCAGTCCAAGGTGGAGTACAATGGCGCAACTTCGGCTCACTGCAACCTCTGCCTCCCGGGTTCAAGAGATTCTCCTGCCTCAGCCTCCCAAGTAGCTAGGATTACAGGTGTGCGCCACCATGCCCAGCTAATTTTTTGCATTTTTAGTAGAAAAGGGGTTTCACCATGTTAGCCAGGCTGGTCTTGAACTCCTGGCCTCAGGCTATCTGCCCGCCTCAGCCTCTCAAAGTGCTGGGATTATAGGCGTGAGCCACCACGTCCATCTGCAAGTTTTTGACCTAAGTAACTGAAAGAATGGGGAGTTGTAGATAGTTAAAATGGGGAATGCCAGAGGAGGCAAAGATTTCAGGGATGGAGGTCTGGGAAGTATGTCAGTTATATTAGAAGCCCAGTTTTAAATATGTTAAGTTTGAGATGTCTCTTAAACATTTAAGTGGAGGTATCCAATTTTAGGATATGCAGGTCTGGACTTGGATTGGGGGCAGGGTGAATTAGATAATTAGAGAGTTGTCAGCATATCAAAGATATTTAAATCTGTGAGACTAGATAAACCCTCAAAGGAGTAAGTATAGAGAAAAGGAGAGGATCAAGGACTGATCCCTGAAGTACTCTAGCATAGAGAGTTGAGGAACGAGGCAAGGAAGATGATAACGAGTGAGGCAGTGAGGTAAAATGGAAACTAAGAGTATGGCCTGGAAGTCAAGTGAACATGTGTGAAAGTGGGAGAGAATGGTCACTGCCTAGGTCAAGTGAGAGGACTACGAATTGACCATTGGATTTAGGAACATTAAAGTCATTGCTAACCTTGACGAGTAGTTTTGGTGAAACAGTAGGCGCAAAGTAATGTTTGTAATATAAGAGACTCGGAGGAGAGGAATTGTGACCGTAAGAATACGTAAATCTTTCAAGGGGTTTTGGTGTAAAGGGGAACAGAGGAATGAGGCAGTAGTCGGAGGAGAAAGTGGGGTCTAGCAATTTTTTGCTTGTTTTTTAAGATAGGAGAAATAAGGGCATGTTTGTAAGCTGATGGGAATGATACACTAGGTGGAGAAAATATGATAATGTGGGAGGGAAAGGGAAGAATTGCTAGAGTGATACCCTAGAGAGGCAAAAAAGGATGAGATTTTGTGCACATATGGAGGAATTAGCATCAGGAGCATAGACAGCTCATTAAAGAGTTTCCTGGCCAGGCGCAGTGGCTCATGCCTGTAATCCCAGCACTTTGGGAGATCAAGGTGGGCAGATCACTTGAGCTCAGGAGTTTGAGATTAGCCTGGTCAATATGGTGAAACGCTGTCTCTACAAAAAAATACAAAAATTAACTGGGTGTGGAGGTGCATGTCTGTAGTCCCAGCTACTCAGGAAGCTGAGGCGAGAGAATTGCTTGCTTAAGCCCAGGAAGCAGAGGTTGCAGTGAGCCAAGATTGAACCACTGCACTACAGCCTGGGCAAAAGGAATGAACTCCTGTATCAAAAAAAAAAAAAGGAGTTCCTGATTGTTCTTTTTTCCTCTCAGTTAAAAGGAAGCAAGCTCATCAACTGAGTGTAATGGTTATGGGGAGAACTGCTGAAATTTTGAGGATGGGCAAGAGGGTATGAAATAGTCATCAGGGGAATGAAAGTGAAAGTGAATGGAGTAGAGAAATGTAGTATCATTGCCAGGTGGCATGTGGACCCACTTGAGGTTCCTAGTCATAAATTGAATGTAAAACAAAGCTTTTCTGTGTTTCTCCTGTTAAAGTAGATGCATGGATACTGAATAGGTAAATAGGTTTTTACCAAATCAGTACAATGAAGTGAGTGGCATAAGAAATGAGAGCATATCTAAGAGTTATTATAATAATTAACTATGGACATGAAGAAGGTGTTGGTAGGATCATAGACCCTGGTAGGCTTGTTGATGTGAGAGCACTTGAAAGAAAAAGGCGATGGTCAAAGAATGGGATAGTAGAAACTATTATTATTGGAAGGGTTGTGGTTACTGGAATTGGTAAGATCTAGATGTGACTGTGGGAATAGGTGGCTGAACTAGGATCAGGTATGAAGTCACTAGAAGAGAAGAGTTCGAGGATCTAAGAGGCTAAAGGGTTGGAAGAATTGTCCATTTGGATATTAAAGTCACCAAGAATTAAGTAAGAGATAATGTCAGTGAGCCAGGTGATAAAATCTTCTAGAAATGAAAGTAAGGGAATGAGGCATCTGTAGGTGATTGCAGTAAGAGATACTGGGTATCTCTTTTTTTAAAGAGTTGGGAATGATACAATAGATGGAGAAAATGTAATATGGGAAGGAAAGATAATATGATAAAATGTAATATGATAAAATATGATAATGTGGGAGGAAAAGATGATGTGCTATAGTTGAATAACATGAAGTTGAAGGATTGGCTAGAATTGTTTAGGGAAAAGAGTCTAAAAACAGTGATGAAGAACATAAGACTCCTCCATTGACCTCTAGGTTCAGTGATAAAAGAGGAGTATGGGAGATAAACGCTAGCACTGGAGGATGAAGGGAAGGTTTAGAGAAGAGGTTAAGGATACAGGGAATTTTGCTGATGACTGAAATGATTTCCAGATGGTATAGTGCTCGTGAAGAGAAAAGAGGACTTTTCTAGTTTAATGAATTTATTAAAACTTTGAATTTTTGTAGATCATTTTTTAGCTTAGAAATGGTTGAATTAGAATGATGTCAGACCAGCTATTTTGTACTGTTTTATATTTGGTATTATTGGGGAAACTAGCCTTAAAATAAACTGAAAATTCTAATTATCTTCAAATTATTTATGAGCACATTAATCACAAAAATCACTAATTTCTAATAGAAAATTTTTCTAAAAAATAGCACAAATGAACTTGTAAAATTTGTCCTATTCTACCATTGAGTCTTCAATTTCATTGAGATAATTAGCAGTCATATTATTTGAATGTCTACCTTCTCACTATGTGTATGTCCTTAAGGGAATAGTATCATTTCATCTTACGTCTTCTGCTTCTCATAGTCATGCTGAACATGTAGATACAAGTAAATAATACTTACATGTAAATGACAATAAATATTTTATTTGAATAGGAAAATGTGATTGGACCAGTTTATGAAAAAAAGGTTTAGTTATTCAAATATTTCTCAAAGAATTAAATTAAGAAAGCCTCATACTTGTAGTATCTAATATTTAAGTAGTTTTTCATCAATATTTTTATTTAGTAATTTATAAAGAAAAGATTAAGAAAACATTCTAATGGAAGTTTTTTGGGGAAAAAAGTATAGCCATTAATTTTAAGTTAATATTATAAGGACAGTTTTGAAACAGACTTTCAAGGATTTATATTTGAATACCACCTGAATTGTCTCTAGTATAATTGGCCCAAGAGGGAAAAGGAAGATAGATATACTTTGTCATTAACGTATTATTAATATCTATAAATCTTTTCCAATGTGAAGGTTGGTAGAAAGTAAACAGCGCCACCGAGTGGTGGTATTAAGGAGCTTTAGTCACTTGGAAATAAATAATTCGCTGCTTTCTTTTCAACAGTTTTCCATCCAATTATCTTAGTAACAACAATCAGACTTCTGTGACACCTGTACCATCAGTTTTACCAAATGCGATTGGTTCTTCTGCCATGGCTTCAACAAGTGGCCTAGTAATCACCTCTCCTTCCAACCTCAGTGACCTTAAGGAGTGTAGTGGCAGCAGAAAGGCCAGGGTTCTCTATGATTATGATGCAGCAAACAGTACTGAATTATCACTTCTGGCAGATGAGGTGAGTATTGTGGGTATGAGAAGGAAAATATATCACGAATTGACATACCTTCTAATATTATAACAAAATGCAAATTCCTCATTAGTTATTTGGAAATGGTTTCATAGATTACAGATAGTTATATTAACATAAAATTTTAATTAATATTCTTTAATAGAATATCATAGAAATATTTAAAACTTTTAACTGCCAAATAACTTGAAGATGTATAAAACTCCCTCCAATAAGATCCTTTATCTAGGCCAGACATGGTGGCTTACACCTGTAATCTCAGCACTTTTGGGAGGCCAAGGCAGTGGGATCACTTGAGGCCAGGAGTTCAAGACCAGCCTGGGCAACATAGCGACACCTCATCTCTACAAAAAATATGAAAAATTAGCTGGGCATGGTGGTGTGCGCCTGTAGTCCCAGCTACTCAGGAGGCTAAGGTGGGAGGATCGTTTGAACACGAAAGGTCAAGGCTGCAGTGAGCCGTGATCATGCTGCTGCACTACAGCCTGGGCAACAGAGTGAGACCCTGCCTCAAAAAACTAATAATAATAAATAAATCCTTTGTTTTTCAGCACAATTGATAATAACGTTTAAAGTCCTTTTGGTGAATAATTTAAACAAATTAAATACAAATCTGATTGGTTTTCTACTTGTTTATTTTTTTAATGTAGTTAATAACTGGAAGTATTTTATTTTGCAGGTGATCACTGTGTTCAGTGTTGTTGGAATGGATTCAGACTGGCTAATGGGGGAAAGGGGAAACCAGAAGGGCAAGGTGCCAATTACCTACTTAGAACTGCTCAATTAAGTAGGTGGACTATGGAAAGGTTGCCCATCATGACTTTGTATTTATATACAATTAACTCTAAATAAAGCAGGTTAAGTATCTTCCATGTTAATGTGTTAAGAGACTGAAAATACCAGCCATCAGAAACTGGCCTTTCTGCCAATAAAGTTGCATGGTAAATATTTCATTACAGAATTTATGTTAGAGCTTTCATGCCAAGAATGTTTTCTTACAAAATTCTCTTTTTATTGAGGTTTCACTAATAAGCAGCTTCTACTTTTGAGCCTCAACTTAAAGCAGAACTGTTTTCTACTGGATTTTTCATTAACAGCAAGCTTTTTCTTTTATGTAAAATAAATCTATTGTGAATTGATATCAGCGACTCATTTATTAGGTATAAATAATAGCCAAAGAATAAAATTAAAATTTATTTTAAACTTTCGGTCTTAAAAAGAGCTGTAGGATATAAACCTCTTTTGTGAAAAGTAGAATTTTCTGAATGCTTTCATAGACAAAAACGCATTTAAACTATGTTTACCTGGTTTTCCAACAGAAATCAAATGATTTTAATATTATGTTTTGATGGGTTATTTTCAGAGTTGTTTGGTTTTTTAAACACTACTGAATGGTTTCTTTTAAATTTAAGAACAACTAGTTCTTGAAAAGCAATACCGTATTTCTCTGATAAATTTGTAGTTAAGGTTCTAGAAAATCTAGGACAAATTTACTTCATTAAACATAAAGTTTTTAAGATTATTCAGTTGGCACAATTTAATGCATAATTGGGATTGGATCCATTTACTGTACTGTGGTACAGTAAAGAGAATGTGTTCTTATTGAACAGCAGATTTGTATACAAATACGGAATAATGCAACTACATTATAAATTGTATACGAACAAAATAAATTGGGTCACTCTGAGCTTACTATTAAAACATTGAAAATTTATTAATGAACACAGGCTATCTTGATGAGGATCTCTGCTTATGAAACACATACTAATGAAATTATTAGTGACACATTGGAAGCTAGAAAATTGCTGTTGGGGCCATTGCTATAAATCATTGTTTCCATGTTAAGACTTCTGTTCTAATTCATTCATTCAACAAACATTTGTTGAGGGCCAGATACTGTGCTGGTCAACTGGGGATACTGTCCTGAACAATATGCACACAGTTCTTGCCCCTGCAGAGCTTAAAGACCATTAAAGGATACAGAAAATTAAGCAATTATCCTATAGTAGGATTCGTGGTGTGATGGGGAAAATACAAGGTACTGTATTTGGGAGTCATGTAACTCCAGTTTTGGGAGTGAGAGAGGGTCTGGGGAAGAACTGTTCCAGATAAAAAGATGTGTAACCAAGATAGCATAGCACATTCTGACAACTAAAGCAATTTACTCTAACTTAAGCATGAAGTACAAAAGTATAGTTCATTTATTGAGGGAATGTTAAGCTATTAAAATGATACTTTTTGGTACTTTTAAAAAAATGAATACTTAAACACCGTTTTAAAATTTTGTGTTAAGAGCTCCTAATAAGAACTTGGTAAACATGTTGACAATTTAACTCACAGTCTAAACTTTAAAAGTAGTAGTTACCCTTTTATTTCTGTGCCATGAGACAAATTCTTCTGCAGTTTTATAGTTGTACAAGATGTTTTGACTCACTCTCAATTGCCATATTCTTAAAGAAACCCTGAAAAGCTGCTCAAGCTGGTCAGTTTTCTGTAAAACCAAGTAAATGAAATTTTCTCTCCCCTCAGAAAGGAAGTTCTACAGCCTAGAGTACCATCTATTGTGTTTTATAAGTCCAGATTTAGGCTTTGAAAGATCATACCAAAACTTCAGATCGACTTAAACAGCAACTATGAATTAGGTTTATGGGAAATGTAGTAATACAGGGGAAAGAATATCGGTAATGGAGTGAAATGGTCCTGGGTTCAAATCCAGTCTTCCTCACATATTGTGCTCTTTAAGCTTCAAATGAGATGTATAACTGCCTTTTCCTTACCAGTAAAATGAGGACAATAATTATGACACCATAGGGTGGTTGTGAGGATTAGCAAATGTTATCTTGTATTTCAGGTGCCTTTCAGGGAAAGGCTTGGCACATAGTAAACACATCCTGTAAATATCAGTTTCCCCTTGTTAGCCCCTGTAGCATCCTGACCTACCAAGTCTATAGGCCTTGCATATCACTGTGCACCAGAGATACCTCTTTTACATCTGGGCTCTGTTTTCTCTCTATCAATCCTATCCTCCACCCTCTTTAAATCAGACCCCAGGTTTAACCTTCCCACAGTCAGTATAAATCATTTTTCAGAACTTTCAGCTTTCCATCAAGTGAAAGTTGATTTTAGTTACCCAGTAATGTACAGAAACCTTCAATAATGTTAAGCTTCAAAGGCTTCTGGTACGTTTGTCTACCACAGAACCACCACAATATATATGCTTGTTCTTAGGTTTATTGCTTTTTATTTTAATGGGGTTTGGTTGTTTGGGTTTTATTTTGGTTTTGGCTTATTTTAAAGTCAAGTTTAGTTTTTACTCAGGTAAAGGCCTGAAGTTTCTTGGGCGTGGAAGAAAAAGCTTGGGAAGCCTATTAATTCATGGTGCAGTTCAGAATTGTTTAAATAAGCTCTGTGCCACTGAGCTTAATCTGAAAGTATAGTGACATGTGAAGGATGCACATATGAATGAAAAACTAAAATAATTGTAGGCTCTTCTATAAATGAAAAAAAAAGTGATTGGATTGTGTCTACCTTTTTCCTCAAAGTAATCTAACCTAAACGGTCATGGTGTTAAAACTTTTTATGGTGCTAATCAGAAAAATTGATGTTGCAAGAAATGAGGTCTCAAAAATGGGAATGTGCCTCCTCACTCTGCGTCACATGGGAAATAAATCCTGAGGCCAGGATCACCAGTGGGGTAGAGTCATCTTCATAGTCTCCTGTTATCCTCCCCCTGAACAAAGAACAAAGTGAGACTGGGAAGCTAGTGTTGGGGAAACATTTCTGGGATAAACTGTGGAGTGGAGAAGACAATGGAGGGCAAGGCAAAAACCCACAGACTTGTTTACCCATAGAGGCCCCACTCACCTCCATGCTGACAGAATTCCAGAAAAATTCCTTCCCTATCTCCCAAACACCTGAAATTCTGAAATATTGCCCTACTATTTAGCACTTTAAGCTTCAGTGAGGTGCTGTAATGGAGAGATAGCTTCATAGTTTAGCCTATAGCCAACTTTGCCTCAAGACCTCCAGATAAGATGAAGTGGCTTTTACCTCATGTGAGTCTCAAACGCTGGAGAGAGAGTTCCACAACCACCCCTGCCCTTTCTCCCATATTACGCTCATTAGAAAGTCTACTCAGGGCTGGGTGCCGTGGCTCATGCCTGTAATCCCAGCACTTTGGAGGCTGAGGCGGGTGGATCATCTGAGGTCAGGAGTTCGAGACCAGCCTGGCCAACATGGGGAAACCCTGTCTCTACTGAAAATATAAAAATTAGCCGGGCATGGTGGCGTGCACCTGTAATTCCAGCTACTCGGGAGGCTGAGGCAGGAGAATCACTTGAACCCCAGAGGCAGAGGCTACAGTGAGCCAAGATTGCACCACTGCACTCCAACCTGGGTGATAGAATAAGACTCTTGTCTCAAGGAAAGAAAAAATGTCTACTCAGTAGAGCAGTGATTGGCAAAGTGTGAGACCCCAGACCGGCAATATTGGCATCTCCTGGAGACTTGTTTAAAATGCTGATTACTATTTTCAAGAACTTTCTACCTTCATTTTTACTTATTTTTTGTTTTCAAGGGCTCATGGAATCAGTCTTCCATGTGACAGCTTTTTAAATATTTTAAGACAAAAACTGAGTCTTCTAATCTTAATTGTGTTCTAGCAGTAGTCATTGTAATTATAGTTATTTTTATAATTTATTTGTTTAGTGTATATCTGTCACTCTAGAATGTAGGCTCCCTGAGATAAAAACTATAATTCTTTTGATGGCAGTTACATTCCCAACTCTTAGCACAAGATCTAGGACATAGTATGAACTCAATAAATTTTTGTTGAATGAAAGAAAAATGCAAATTTATAAGCCTTTTCAGAGACCTACTGAATCAAACTCTGAGAGTGGAGCCCAGCAATCTGTTGTAAAAGCTGTTTGAGTAATACTGTTGCACTCTAAGCTTGAGAACCACTGCAATAGAACTAAGAGAACATTCATTTCACCTTCAGGCCTATTCTCTGACATCACTTGAAAAATCCTCTCTGCCTTCTGTAACCCTTAACCAACAACAGTGCCCTGTCCATGTAGGGGAAACTTCTGGGCTGTATTACAAGTGGGTAGGAAGGTATAAGGATATCATAGTGGGAAGTATTGCTTAGAATGCCAGTACTTGTTTGCTGTGGAAGGTTTCTAGGAATGGATTGCTTAGTCTAAAGTAAGCACTACCACCATCCACGTTTTCACTCAACACAGTGCCTTTTAATTGGTGACTAACATCAAAACACCTTGACAAACCGTTAAAACAGTATCAGAAACCATGTGTACATCCCTGTGCCTCTTAGATTGCTAAGTTCTGCTCTCATTCTTACTTCAAAGGACACTTTTTAAAGAATTGTTAATGCTTTTTTATAATACAAGTCATAGCCCTGTTGGCAAAAAGAAAAAAGATTCAGTGAGAAAGAAAAATCACTGATAATTCCATCATCCAGGGAGAACCACTGTTATTTAAGTATATGGCCTTCCAGACTTTTCTGTGCATTTATAGATATTTTTAATGGGATCAAAGTGTACATACTGTTTTGTAACTTTTTTTCACTCAACAATACCATGACTGTCTTGCTGTGTCAAGTATATTTCTACATCTCTTAATGGCTGCATGATATTCCATCATATGTGCCACATTTTATTAAACTACTGTTCAATTTTTAGGTTTCCAACTTTCATTAATAAAGTGCTTTAAAGAACATTGTGTTGCTAAATCTCGTATGTGTTCATATTTTCTCACGATAAATGCTTTGAAGTGGAATTGCTAGTGAAGAGGGTATGCCAGTTTTTAAAAGCTTTTGTTACTGCCATGTTGCCCCCTAGAAAACTCTAAGCAATTTATACTTTTATCAGCAGTATATGAGAGAATACTGTTTCTTTTGGAGGGCTTCCAACTAGAATGTTCTTGGAGTCTTTGGTTTAAAAATAAAGGGTAAGAGGGAGATAAAAAGATCCTGCAAAATTAAAGTCCAGTCTTAAATGTTTCTTAAATTATGACATTCATTTACTGTTCTTCCCTCTTTATCATATATTTTGTATTACTTTGGAAATGTTTGTAGTACTAGTTGCCTCTTGCTTTTATTCAGTCTCCTGGAAGCATTATTACCTTTCTGACATTTGCAAAGACAGTAGAAGAACAATCTTAAGTAGACTTGAATCTTGAGGTATCTTTGATGCAGGTGTACTGTTGATGGATTTAGGGAATGTAGCCGTAGTGGGGAAAGTAGGATTTTGGAAGGTAGGCAGAACAGTGGCTCTCCCACTTGTTTTCCTGGCCTTTTGTCAGTCATTAAACCTCTCCCACTTTGAGCCTGCTTACTCATCTCTAGAATTAGAATACTATAAACCTACCTTGTAGCATTGAAAGGATTAACCATATTATGAAGAGTGGCTGGCACCTAGTGGATAATATTATGGCTTACTAGGATTTATAGATGAGCATGTTAGAGCATTTGCTATTGTCAACCTCTGGAGTAAATATCACTGCCATTGCCAAAGAAAATCTTCCTTGAAAGCTGTCACAGTGAATGAGCATTGTCTTGTATATCCTTATACCTACGCAATCCTCATTCTTATGGAATCTGGCTCATTTTTTCCAGTCAGGTATTCAAGTAATGTAACCAGATAAAACTCTCAGACAAGATGTACAGTGGAAGATTTCAACATTACCATGCTTAACAACAGTGTACGAAAGTGGTAATCACAGTCTTTTTAAGTGGTAAACCTTGCCAAACTGCCCCTTCTGATACTCCCCCACCCTTGGCCCACAGCTGATCTCAGTGCTTCGGGGGGCTGTACCTCTATGTGAGAGCCTGACATAGGACAGGTGACTCAGCTCAGTAACAGTATTGTTAATTAGCTAAGTCTCAGTAGCATCTCCAGGACTGGAGATCACAGAATTGATTCATCCATAGTGAGAGAAATGTATTTAAAGAAGTATCTGAATTATAAAAGTTGCTCAGCAGTATTCAAAAAGATAGATGTCCCAGGGTTGAGCTGCAGTCATCATAGCAAAACCCCACAGACCAACCCATTTTAATATTTGGATGAACCATAATAAATTTAAATTAACATCTGTTGATTATAACTCAAACTGCTCAACCAATAAAGAATGAGTAGTAAGAGGACTTAAGGGGGTTGTAAGTAAGGAAGGCTATACAGGAAGCTTCAGGCTTACGAGAACAAGACGAATAGCTAATTGGAGGTGAGATGGACTACCATTATAAGCAACTTTTCTGAGAGTCTGATGCACCAGGGTTTAGGGCACATGTTTCTGCTCAGTCTCATGTTCTAGTAAAGTTCTCTGAAGCTTGAGCTGTAGTAGGCAGTTCCCAACAACCAGGCATTTTGATACCTGCTTGCCTTTTCTATGTATTTTCTTGTGTTCAGCTTCACCTGAAGATCCTCATTTGTCAAGAATAAGCTCAAACTCTCATTCCTCCATGAAGAGATTCTGGATTCCGCAGGCAGAATTGCATACACACACACAACTATCACATGCATTTTGCCTTGGATCACAATTACTTGCCAACTTGAAGGACAGGATTTTGTGTCCCCTGACACCTAGCACACCTAAAGCTGAGTTTTGGCAAGCTCATAGCTTGCTTGCAGCATTGTATTTGCAAAAAAATCTATTAATGATTCAAATTTGGTGCTATTATGTGTATTTGCCCTAAGAAACATTGGCTGTTTAGGACACCAATATTACAGAAAGCACATATCTACTTTTCTTGGAGAGTAATCCCCAGAATCTATCATCATGGTTATTACTTCATTGGCTCTGGTTAATTTTACGGTGCTCATCACTGACTCATACTTTACAAAACAGTAATTTGTTACAGCATGGACTTTTGCTGGCCACATCTATACTTCAAATTTAGGGTCAGTCACATCAAGGTTGGATGGGGGTATTTCCATTGTTGAGCTTTTCTATATAGATGTCTTCTGTAAAATGGGCTAAATTTCCTTCCTTTCTCCTTTTCTCTGCCTCTTTTCCACCCTTCCTTTTTTCCATTTCTATACATTCTCCCTCTCCCTTCTTTCAAAAAATTTACATGAGAAAATGTATAATAGAAGATCTTGATCAATTGATATTTGTGAATGACAAATCTGACCCAGATTTCTGAGAACCAAAGAAAGATGTATGATCTGGCTTCAGATTGACTGTTCACATATAGAAACATGCTGGTTGCTCAGGAGACAGCTACTCATAAAGAAGCACTCATAAAGAGAGCACTGAGACATCAACACCAAAGCGGAGTTAAGAGGCCACAGTGCTGGCACTGATTCATGGATTAAATTGTACATGACTGCTGCATTGAAGTTTTCATCAAACTGAGAGTATAAATGGGCACAAAATTATTCACATTAACACCCTGAAACACAATGTCGCTGAGCCGTGGCCTGTCCGATCATCAGCAAGTGGAGGATTCCCCTCGCCTGTGTATGTTTTAGAATCTCCAGAGACACATCCACAGTCAATCCTCTTCTTTCTACCTGCTAGTGAAGACAGGCCTTCTATCCCAGCTCACACTCCTAACCTAATTGCCTCAGAAACTTTCTGCGGTCACTGCCAGTGAATCTGAGGTTTAGCATGCTGAAAGTCGGTAAAATGGGAAGGTCACCACTGGCATCTGATAGCCCATTCTACAGAAGTGGGTATGGAATGCCTGCAATAAGGTTGCTCATCAAGATTCAAAATCTTACCTCAGTTACATGATAGAGTTTTCCTCACTGATACAACAGGGGCCCACTGCCTAGGCAACCACGTGGTGACAAGTATGTTACCCAGACGTTGTGTTTCTTGCTGACCTCTAACCCACCCCCTTCTTCAATGCTACCTACAGCCCACAGTGCTTGGCTCACTGCTGCCTCAGACAGAGAGGAAAGTCAGAGTTCTATGGCATGATGAGAGCCATTTCTTCCCTATTAGCACTCAATCGCAGGCTTCCCAGAAAGCACAGCTCTCTTTTAAGTACAAGAGCTCTTTAAATTTACACACACAAAGCCAGTTCTCCCAGGAGAAAGCCCTCACCAGATTGTCTGGTGAAGATAAATTCCACTGTTGGACACTTTGCAGTCCTGGAACCAAGGCTCCCCTTTGTCCCATAGCTCCCCTTGGTGTCAGGGAGCTGCTCACCTGTCTATTTCTACCTTCATGATAAAGTCCCTTTTAAGGGCCGTATTACTTTATCCCACACTCTGGCATTGATTAGTACCATCTCATGGCATCCATATGCTTCAATATATTTGGACCCCAGTGTTAGGAGCAATAGAGTCCTACTCTATTCCTGAACTATAAAATGTTACTATTCAGCCCAGACAGAATGTTTTATTGCAAAACCACCTAGCACAGAAATTGACTATAGACTTTGGAATCAAAAAAGCAAATTTTCAAATCTCAACTCTACCACCTTATTAACTGTGTGTTCAGTAAGTGACACAACCTGAACCTGTTTCTTCATCTACAAAGTACAGATTAAAATGCTTACCTCCTAGGTTTGTAGCAAACAGTACTTCTCAGACCAGCAGCATCAGCATCACCTAGAAATTTATTAGACATGCAGTCTCGGGCCGCTGCTGAATCAGAAACCCTAAGGATGGGTCAAAGCAATTTGCGTTTTAACAAGCCCTCGGGTGATTTGATGCATGCCAAAGTGGGCGAAACACCAGTTGCAAGGATTAAAAGAAATAATGCACATAAGGGCTGGACTCAGTAACTGGCATACAGTAAATACTTAACAATTTCTAACTACTATTTTGTCACTATTACAATTTTTAAAGTAATGAATGAACTACACACTTTTCAGGCAAAGTTTCGTATATATTTCTCATAACAAAGCTTTTCATAGACATTTGGCAGCTGAAGGCTGGAGGTTAAGATCTCAAGAATATGGAGTACAAATCCTTATATTTTAACCAATCATGTAGAAAATGAGTTTAAATTCTTTTCACTAAAAATTGACTGAAATCTATATAGAAAGTCACTCCATTTCTGAAAGAAAAAACAGTACTTGGAGAAAGGGTCAAGATTTTTCTCAGAAAACAGTCAAGGTCTGCTTCTACACATGGAAAAATGGGACAATTGAAGCTTCAATAATGGAGCTTCCAGCCCCATTATTGCCACAGCAACTGCCACATCATAGAATATCACCATGATCATATTCACCTGAAGTTTTTCAAAGCATATGCTTCCAATTGCATGGTGTGATTATAAAACAATTTCTATCATATACTCATAAAATGACCAGCTTTATTTCATGTAACTTCCTGATGAATGCCTCAAGATAAATTTGTGTTATAATAACCCTAGGAAACTAAATGAATTTACCTTCTACCCAGGCTGTTTGAATGTAAATCAATTACATGTTACAGAAGACTGAAATGATAGTGGTTTTATAATCGTCCACAAGCCATTCTTTCTGAGAGCATTTACCTAGCAAGTCCAGTAGAAATTAAATTTGTGGTTGCGTACCTTCAAGCAAATTGTTCACTTAATTTCTCAGCCCCACAGATTTTTTTATCTGTAAAATAAAAGGATTAAACCAGATGATCTCTAAGGTCCATCTAGCTCTTGCTTCCTAACATGTTCTAAACAAGCCAAAGTTGTTCATGTTTTAATAATAACTAATGTTAAACCCACAATTATGAATTAACTTGAACAGCATACACATTTCTACTGGCAGCTCGTTGATGGGGTTGTTTTCTTTATATTTTAGAGTATAAAGCTCTTCAGTCTGAGCTTTCTACAAAAGGCTGAATAACACCTTGTGAGAAATTCTTTAGAAATCCCTCTCTACCTGGACTGACTTAGACCTCAAAAGGACCAACTCTGTGCTCAGACATTCTAGTGAATTCTAATGAGTATATATGAACAGTGGCACTCACAGTCTTAGGCATCATTGGGCTTTTACATCCCCTTGAAAAAGTTGCTAACACTTATTGAGCACTTTATGTGCTTTACCTTCTTTAAACCTGGCAAGAAAGTATACTTTCCCCCATTCTACAGACGAGAAAACAGAATTTAGAAAGCCACACAACTAGAAAAATGGCAAAGAAGTCTCATTGCTTGCCTTCCCAACTCCAAAGCCCAAGCTCTTAATCAGTGTGGAACACAGACACCTATTTTTGGAATGTGCCCCCTACATATGGTCAATGGTCCATTATTTCCTGCACTCTTCCCAGGTTAGTACTTTTCTTGGGGCAGAAAAAGTATTGCTCTTAACATAAAGCAGCTATAAACTGCTGCTTAACCAACTAAAGAAACCTACAAAGGTCATCAAGCCAAGCAGGGAGCTGCCAGTGCCATCACTGCCACAGCTGAAAGTGCAGAGAAATCAGTGTTGGTTTAAGTCAGGGCTTCTCAAAGTGCAGGTCCTGGAATCTGTCAGGGGTGGGACTCTGCCATCTTGTGGTTCAATAAGCTCTCCAGATGATTCTGATGCACATGTTTGAGAGCCACTTGTTTACATATAGCAGAGAAACCACCTGTCTCTCACCTCAAAGCTGACTCACCTGCAGAAACAATGAAAGATGATAATGACAGCCCCCCCAAAATACCTCCAAGCTATCAAATGAAACTAAAATGTAATATCATTTTACTGACTCTATCCAATAAATAGACCACTCATTAATGAGTAATTTGGTAAGCACGTGAACATGCTCAGGATATAATTTTTCCAGGAACAGGGAAAAGAGTCCATGGATTGGAAGTTTATTTTGAAATTCAGCTGTAAGGGAATACGTTCTATGTATCTGTCTTTTATCAAGGTAAGACAGCAATATAATTTTATTGTTTCTTTCTAGCCAGTGTCTCAGTTTCCACTGAGGGGTTTATATGCCCTATTCAGCAGGACAAGAGCACATTATTTTAAAAATAGATGCCAATCATTGGCATTTACCACATGCCAGTCACTGTGTGGGGTGCTTTACACATTCTCTAATTTCATTCCTGCAACAATGCTGCGAGGTAGAGATTGTCCTTCCTCTGCAGATGAGAAAACCAAAGTTTAGATAGAGACATTAAGTGTAAATCTGCTAAGCTCATTTCAAGACTCCTGAATCTCTAGAGAAAATAGATTTCCTGAGTAACATCTCCCTTTTCTTCTTTCTCTCGATGCTAATGCAACATTCCTTTACCCCAAGACTGCCAGGCACAGGAAGCCAGTGCTCTAGACCTTCCTTCATGGCCCATTCCCACTTTTCCTTTGACTCCCAGCATGAGCCCACTCTAGCTAATTTTAACACCATTTTCTGCAAACTTGAGGTCCCCAACACCCGGATAGCTGAGCTAGGTGGGCTGCTGAGACTAAAGGATCTATGGGTCCTGGGGGAGGAAAAGAATGCCCCTGGAGGGAAAAGGAAGAAGGGCAGTAGGTAGCAGAAGGCGTGGCTTGGATGGGGGAAATGTGTCAACAGTGATACTGACCATGAACACACTGAACAACTAGCAAAGAGAATGGCTGAAAATATGACTGCTCAATGGAGGAACTAAGGAAAATATAGTCATATTTGTAAATAGTTTATCATTTCTGTTTCACTGCCATACAGCACAACAACTAGGATGCATATTATTAAATGGGTTGGATTAACTTTGTGGGTTTGGATTATTTTGCTGGAATAGTGACTTCTTTACTACTGTGACAATGCTATACTACAGAGTTTGCTGAACACACAGCACAGCTGTCTGTTCACTGCTTCAGAATTGGAGAGACCACTGGTCATATCTATATTTCCCTAGTTTGGAGAACATATATCCATACATTCCAATGCAAAATGCAAAAACAATGACCTGAGTTTGGTAATAGATCCAGAAACTTGTTAAGCTCTTATCAGCCATGTGTCTGTATTAAAAACCACCTGGGCCAGGCGCGGTGGCGCACGCCTGTAATCTCAGCACTTTGGGGGGCCGAGGTGGGCGGATCACGAGGTCAGGAGATCGAAACAATCCTGGCTAACACGGTGAAACCCTGTCCCTACTAAAAATACAAAAAATTAGCCGGGCGTGGTGGCGGGCACCTGTAGTCCCAGCTACGGGGGAGGCTGAGGCAGGAGAATGGCATGAACCCGGGAGGCGGAGCTGGCAGTGAGCCAAGACCGCGCCACTGCACTCCAGCCTAGGCGACAGAGTGAGACTCCGTCTCGGAAAAACAAAAAAAAAAAACAAAAACAAAAACAAAACCACCTGGCTGCAGTTGAAAGATCACCTTCTATTTGCGGTCATTCACTATATTTGCGGTAACTTCACATCACTGATCACAGGAACTACAGTAATGGGCAGGGTGGCTGAGCAGGGATTCCTTTGCCTGTCTTCCCCAGTCCGTTCCCCAGTTCCTCTCTCCCAAAAGTCCTATCAACAGAGACCTTGCAACTTGAGGCAAAAAGTGAAAGAATAATAGCTGCAGTAACTTAAGTACTTGCTGCATACAAGGCGCTGTGCTTAAAGTGATTTACATTCATTATCTCATTTTAACAACCTGAGAGGTAGGTATGACTCTTATCTGCGTTTTACAAAAGGGGAAGTGAAGGCTCTTAAATCACATAGCCTGGTAGAGTGGTAGAGCCTGGGCTTTGACCCAGGGCTCCCTAACTCCAAAACACTTGCTCTCAATGTCTACAGAGGACTCCCCAATGCACTATTATACCATTTAACTTGGCTAATGGCCAGTGTTTAAAATGGATAGGAGCAGAGACTTATCCTATCTATAACCAAGGTAGAGTGCAGCCTCTGAAATACAGCTGAGCAAACAACTCAAGCACAGTTTGATGTTCCTGCCCAGTGGGTGCTATTCCAGGAACTGATATCCCTTCCCTCATGTTCCTTAAACATATGTGACACCCACTATTATGGTATTGACAATGGGCTGAGAACCCCCTTCTCAGTGTAAGCAGGGACTCTTTCTAACCTCTCCCTGGTATAGGAAATGAGCACCTCTTCCATTCTGTCTCCAGTCTACTTAGCTCTGTCAGTAACTTGTCCAAAGCTTCTTTGGAAACTCAGTTGATTGGAAAACAGAGTACATTTTATATAATATAAATGGTGATGAGGCTCTTAGGTCAGTGCACCAAAGCCTACTTAATCTGCAATGTGCCTGAAAATTGATGGTGCAGCCGAACCCAGAACAGTGCAGAGTTGTTGAAGACCCCTAAATTTCTCCAAGCCCAGGCTTTTTTATGCTCCTCTAGTTCCAGGGCAGTAACCAGCATGTAGTAGGAAATAATACTAGCTCGTGTTTTTTGAGCACTTACAATGTGCTTGACGGCACTGTACACCCATGATCCCATTGGACCCCCAAGGCAGCTCTAGGCAGTAAGCACAATTGTTAGCCTCAAGTAACTGAGGCGTAGAGAAGTTAAGTGACTTCCCAAGGTCACAGAGGTGACAAGTGATGGAGGATTAGAACCCAGGCAGTCTGGATCCAAAGTCAGTGTGACCAACCACCTGTGGGCCTTTAGTTGCCTGAAAGCGGGGAAGAGGACCCGAGGCTGGGCTGAGGCTCTGCTGTGTAGTCAGCTCCCACAATGCACACATGGAAATCACACACACAAGCAGGTGGGGAGTGGGCTGGACAGGAGGTCTGGTGAATCCCTCCACAAAGGTGAGGGAGAATATGACAGAGACATCCACACAAGCTTCGGTGCCTCTAGAAGAGGAGGAGGTCCGTGAACAGGAAGGTGTCCGTGGGGTGGGCCAGGGAGAAGACAGAGCTGCTTGGACTGGAGAACAAACAGCTTGCTCCATTCTCCACAGTTTCTACTGCTGCTTTGAGGCATGACCTTGGGCAAGTTCGTCCCCTTCTGCGTAATAGTTCCCACCTCTAGAGTCTTTGTGCGGATTAAGTGAAATAACTCACTTTGCACGGTGCCTGGTGCCCACTCACTGAGAACATCCTCTTGTGATTAGGACCATTATCATTACATCAGAATGTCATTTGACTCTGAACACAGCCAAAGCCCACGAAAAAGCCTTTCGCAATTGGCCTTGCTAAGACAGGCTTGAGGGTAAGGAGGTTTTGCCCCCTACACTGGACACAGCGCTGAAAGGCAGCCGCAGGACCCCACCTCCCTTGCCTCTGCTGATGAGGGCCGTAGTTCCAGTTTCCTTTCCCTGCCAAGCCCTTACCAGCACCACCAACAAGAGGCGTAATAAACTGGCTTGAGTCCCACCTCTTCATTTCCGCTTCTCTACTCTCAGCAGCTAGGGCTAAGAAGCTGTGAAATGAAGGAATGCCCGTTGGCAAGAAGAAAATAGTCACCAAGCCAAGCAGGCCCTGAATAATCAGGCTGCAGAACCGGCCATAATTTACTATAAAACAGTCTCTACTGGTGACGAGTGGTGGGGCAAGAACAGAGGAGAGAAAACAGATGCCCCTTGAAGTTTTTCACCAAAAATCTAATAAGCCATGACTTATGAATGCGATGGTGTTTTGCAATCCACACTGCAATTCTTCACAATGTCTAGGTCCACAGCCAGCTCTCTGTGCTGAGAGGAAGGTTGCTATCTATACTACCACTGGCAAAACAAAAACAAACAAAACTAAAGGCAAGATGGTTGGGTCCTAAACTTAACACTTAGTTTCCCCATTTCTGTTATATATTAGCTGAGGAGGCATTTGGAAGACCCCACAAAGACATTATATGTAAATCAATAACAATTTTTGTTTTATGTTCAAACCATGAACACTGACTAGCTAATTTTCATGGCATCCCTATAAGTGAGTTTTATGATCCTGCTCCAGTTCAATTCTTCTTCAATACTATAATCAGCTTAGATGATTTTTTCATGTATTTCCATAAAATGATTTTTGCCAGCACCTTACATTTTCATCAGATTTTCTTGTCGTAGCTGGATACGGCTGGCACAGACAGTTAAGTGTTGTGAAATGGAGCGGACTGACAAGGATGGAGAATCAAACAAGGCATTGGCATGGGCCAACGTGGAGGGCTGCAGGGAGCAGGCAAGGGGGCATGACCTGGCTAGAAGTGCCTGGGAGAACAGCCTAGTGTTTGTCAGCACAATCTACAAAAGCAATAGCATAGATTAAAAAGCAGGAGCCCAAGCAAGGGTCTTAATAGCTGAGGATATAGGACATTTGACCGCTGTAGAGGATTGTCTCCAAAAAGTGGGTAGACACACCCCTTACTCTTACCTCTATGAGAGGAGTGTCCTTGGCTGCCCCATTGATGGTGGGCTCGGCTACATGCCTTGCTTGGTCCTATGGGATGTTGGGATGTTAGTAGGCATGATAAGCAGAGGCCTGTAATGTGTTTGCACAGTGGGGCTTGCCCTCTTGGGCTTCTGCCAGCACCATGAGAAATGTCCGCCCTGGTAGCACTAGTTCAAACAGGATGAGAGACCTGTGGAGCAGACCTGGATCACACTCACAGCTCAGAGCAAGCCCAGGTAAACACATTTATCAAGCATATTTTTAATGACTTCTTATCCTTCTAGTTGCAACTTACATGTCACTGTCTCAGAGGTCCCTGCCCTGACTCTCCTCCGGGCTAAATTATGCCCCTGTGTTAATTGTGTTTCAATGAAAGAAAATAATTAATTAGGAAGAAATTATTTGCTTATATGTTTGTTTCTTCCATTAAATTACATTCCTTGAAAGCAAGGAGCATATCTTATATGCTTAATATATTCTAGGGATTGTGCTAGAGTTCAATGAAGTCTATTAGGCTCTTAGTAAATATTTGTAGAATGAAATATAGAAAGCACTCCTGGAGGATGAGGCCACAACTACTACAGTGGTGACACAGAGCTCTTCTCTCAAGGAGCTTTGCATCTACAGGGCCAGACCATCAGCCACTGCACAGTGATAGGCTAGAGCTACTTAAATCCTTTCTCCCTGTGGTCAGAATTGACCTGAGAGACTGAGACAAGGTGTCCAGTTAGCTATTGCCATGGAACAAATTTTGACGAAATTTAGTAGCATCAAAGAACAATTACTATCTCTCAAGGTTTCTGTGGATCAGGAATTTGGAAAGAACTTGGCTGGGGCCGTTCTGGTTCAGCGTTTCTCATGAGGTTGTAGTCAGGTGGCAGCTGGAGAAGCTGGAGGCTGGCCATACATCTCTTTATTCTTGTAATCTGAGGGCTACTTCCTGTGGTCTCTCTGCACAGGTGAGTTGAGCTTCCCCCTAGCATGGCAGCCTCAGGGTAGTTGGACCATGTTCATGGTGGCACAGGACTCAAGTGCAGGTTTTAACAGCAAGCAAAGTGGAAGTTGTATCACCTTTTTCTTTTTAATGTGGTTAAAAACACATAACATTATCTGGGTGCGGTGGCTCACACCTGTAATCCCAGCACTTTGGGAGGCTGAGGTGGGCAGACCACCTGAGGTCAGGAGTTCAAGGCCAGCCTGGCCAACATGGTGAAACCCTGTCTCTACTAAAAATGCAAAACTAGCTGGGCATGGTGGTGGGCGCCTGTAATCCCAGCTACTCAGGAGGCTGAGGCAGGAGAATCGCTTGAACCCAGGAGGCAGAAGTTGCAGTGAGCTGAGATCATTCCACTGTACTCTAGGCTGGGTGACAGAGCGAGACTCCACCTAAAAAAAAAAAAATAATAAAAATCTTCCATCTTAACCATGTTTTAGTGTATGATTCACTAGTGTTATGTACGTTGACATTGTTATGCACCCAATCTCCAGAAATTTTACATCTTGCAAAACTGAAACTCTATGCACATTAAACAACAACTCCCCATTTTCCTCTCTCCTGAGCCCCTGGAAAACAGTGTTCTACTTTCTGTTTTTATGTATTTGACTACTTTAGATACTTCATACGAGCAGAATCATGCAGCATCTGTCATTCTGTGACTGGTCCACTTCATCCAACACAATGTCCCTGAGGTTCACACATGCTGCAGCACATGACAGGATATCCTTCCTTTTGAAGGCTGAATAGTATTCCATTGTGTGTATATGCCATATTTTCTTTATCTATTCATCTGTTGATGGACATTTGGGGTGCTTCCACCTGTTGACTATTGTGAATAATACTGCTATGAATATAGGTGTGCAAATATCTGTTCAATTCTTTGCTTGTTGCATCACTTTTTATGACAGCCTCAGAAGTCACAAAATAATACTGCTTTCAATGTCAGAAACCCACCCACATTTTAAGTGAGGGAGCATAGATCCCACCTCTTGATGAGAGGCACATCAAAGCCACATTATAAGAGGAGCATGTGGAGTAGGAGATATTGTTACAGCCATCTTTGGAAAATACAACCTTCCATGCAAGGATCCAGCTAGAAATGGAAGGGAGCAGAGGGAGAGATTAGGGAAGTGTTGTCAACCATCAGAGGTTGGCATTCAGACATCTGCCATACCAATGAAGGTCATGGCAAAGACCTTGCTGGCCACCAGCCTGCATCCTGTACAAAATAACACTCCACCACTTTCTATCTCCTTACCCTGCTTTATTCTTCATAGCACTTACCTTCCCCTCGGTACTTAATTGTTCAATTGCTTATTATATGTCCCTCTCCACTAGAACATAAATTCCAAAAGAACAGGGACTTTGTCTTTTTGTTTGCTGCCATACACCAGAGTCTAGCATGGCAGCTGACACAGGGTAGGCACTCAGTAAAATTTCATTAAATGAATGAATGGATTCAAGAAAGATGAAAATTTGATTTGAGTTCTGTGTTATAAAGTGGAATCAGGGTCATCTGGTGTAGTCAGACAAACCTGCACGTAACTCCTAGTCTCAACCCTTACTGTCTGTGTGGTCTTCAAGGAGCTATTTAAGAAGAGAAAAGGGTGGGTAGCAAGGTAGCTGATGCTGAAACTCATCATCAGTATAGTCACAGCCAACAGAAACATGGGGTCAAGTGACAGAATATTGACCAAGGGACCCCTCAGAACCTATGAAGTCCACCTCCCTCATTCAGCGGAGAAGAAAGCTGAGGCCCAGGGAAGTGAAGATTCCTACCCAAGACCACACAGAGGCAAGACTAAAACTTGGGGTCCCAAGTCCTCCGACTCATCAAATGATTGGGTCCATCAGAACTCAAAGTTGCAAATGATAGAAATGTATCCCAATAACTAGGCTAGGCACAAGGAGAAGTCTCAGCCCCACCCATGTTTTCTCATGAGTGTGGCAGATGCCCTTGTTGCCCTGCATCTCATCCCGTCACCCACACCTGCAGCTGTGATGGATAGTGTCACTTCAAGTGTACCCTGACTGTTCTTCCACCACAAGACTTTCTCAAAAGGCACAGGAGCCCACTCAGCCCACAATCATGTTCAGCCAGAGAGAGAGAGTGTAGTCAAAGCCCCCAGGGACAACTCTCAACCACAGAAAAACAGGAGCCATTAGGCAAATGCCCCAACCTTCTCTCCTATGGGTGGACAATTCTGGAGGCTTCAATGGTCCCTGCAGAGTTGAGCCCCTTTAGCCTAGAGCAGTGACCTTGACAATGCACACTTGATTGACTGTTTCCTTTTCCTTGTGCACTCTCCCTGTCCCCTCACACCTGCTTGCTGGGATCACCTCACAAATAACTACCTTCCTCTGTAAATCCTTGACTTGGGCTCTGCTTTAGGAGAAACCTAAACTAAGAGGTCAGTCTATTGGTGATGTAGCAAAAAATTGAATATGTCTTAGTTATGCAGATATTGATCTTTAGGGATAGGTACAGAAGGTAGAGGTTAACTGAGATAACATAAATAGTGCCTAGTCCCTAATGCCTAACCATCATAGATGCTTACTCAATGTTACCATAGTTTATCTATTCTAAGACACACCCTGTCTTTCACATTTCAACATTTCTAAAAACAAGATATACCTTAAAACCAGTGATATCTTACAACTATAATTGGCAGGTTTTTTTTGTTTATTGGGGATATATAAATATTGGATGCATCTTGCAATCATTGTCATTTTAGAGTCTTAGGTATTTTACAGTTCTCACTCAGTTTCTTCCTACCCCGTGAGTCAGGGAAAGGAAATGAATTGTCAAAGTACGAAGGCAATACGTGGAACAGAGCTAGTCAAGAGACCCATATTTCCCTAAAACATGATAAACCTGAAAATCCCCCAGCCAAGAGGGAAAGAGACTGGGAGAGTCTAAAGGTCATGCAGGTAGATGTTGAGATTCCGCTCCAAGCAAATCAACAGAGACTGCGTTTCATTCATCCTTAGCACCTGAGCACCTGGCTCAAGGCAGAGTCTTGCAAATGTTTGTGTACAGAAACAAAGTGAGTGGGATGCCGAGGTGGTCTGTCCTGCCCATCCCGGAAGCTCACATAGGAGGTGGAACAGGTAGGGCAAAGAACGGGGGGTAACTTTGGAACATCAGGAATATCAATGTGCTGGTCCAACTAAAGAGAGTGAGCCAGCCCGTCGGTACGGCCTCTCACACTGGGGAGGGGCTCTCACTTGAATGGGTACATGCTGGGGGCTACAGACCCCACAGGGCATAGCTAACTTGCATTCGCTTCATCGCCTACCCTTTTTTCTCACTTCATATGGCTCTGAGAGCTCCCCACACAGGGCTCCCAGTGCCTTTCTCTTTCTCCTCCTGTTTGCAGTCTTTTCGCCTCACAGGTTTATCTGACGAGCACAAGCACTTTGGAGCCTGGCCTTTATAACTTTTTTCTTCCATCAGCACTTAGTCACTCTGGGTCCCATCTGTTTAGGCTAAGACCACTCTATAACAAACCCGATGGATGCATCTGGCATTCAGGGTTGATAATGAGTTATCCCTGTGAAGAACCTTTATATCTTAGGGACTTTCTTTTTTTTTTTTTTTTTTTTTGAGACGGAGTCTCACTCTGGCGCCCAGGCTGGAGTGCAGTGGCATAATCTCTGCTCACTGCAAGCTCCACCTCCCGGGTTCACGCCATTCTCCTGCCTCAGCCACCTGAGTAGCTGGGACTACAGGCACCCACCACCACGCCCGACTAATTTTTTGTATTTTTAGAAGAGACGGGGTTTCACTGTGTTAGCCAGGATGGTCTCGATCTCCTGACCTCGTGATCCACCCGCCTTGGCATCCCAAAGTGCTGGGATTACAGGTATGAGCCACCGCGCCCCGCAGTATCTTAGGGACTTTCTATGCCTTAAGTTCATAATGACAAACATATACTAAGTATTCCGTAGTGAACTCACGGGGGCACTGTGGAACATTTTAAATTTTTTCAGGGGAAGCCCAGACACATCTGTCAGACCCTAAACAAATACTACTATTAAGTTATTTGGACTTACTTAATAAACAGAAGTGTTAGATATTTCTTTTGGCTTTTTTCATGAAAAAAGTGTTGAGACACTAAATGTGCTGTAAAATAAAAAAAGTTTGGGAACTTCTTTTCTTTCTTTCTTTCTTTATTTCTTTCTCTTATTTTTAAATGTGATAGGATCTTGCTCTGCTGCCCAGGCTGGAGTGCAGTGGCACAATCATAGCTCACTGCAGCCTCCACCTCCCAGGCTCAAGTGATCCTTCCACCTCAGCCTCCCAAGTAGCTTGGACTACAGGCGTGCACCACCATGCCTGGCTAATTTTGTATTTTTATTTTTTCGAGAGATGGGGTCTTGCCTATATTCCCCAGACCAATCTCAAACTCCTAGGCTCAAGCGATCCTCCCACTTCAGCATTCCAAACTGCTTGGATTACAGGTGTGAGGCACTGCGCCTGGACAAGTTTGGGAACTTCTACCTTAGACCAAAAGAGTCAGTAAGGGTAGCATTTGCAGCACCATAAAAAGCCTTGGGAAAATAATCTATGGGCCAAAGAACCCCTTCAGGAGCCCTAACTCACACCATGTAGGTAGGTATCCACTCTTCCTGTGGGTCAATATCCTCAGCCTTGTCACCAAATCCCTAGTCCCATCTGAGGTGACACCTAACTTCAGGACTATCTGTCCCTAAAAGTACAGCCTGACCATGACCCCATGAACAAAAAGTCATGTGCTTAGGGATTATGCACTTCAGTGGTCAGAGCTGGTAAGAGCCTGCCCTTTCAGCCCTTCTTATTGCAGGAAGGAGTGGAAAGCAGCCAGGTCCAAGATCCATTTCCATATGGCCTGGCCTTCCCAGACCATGTTAAATGACCTCCCCTTCCCTTCTACTATGCAAATCTTTTCTTCAAGATCCAGGTATATAACATATATATTATGTTTATTCTGAATCTGAATTCTTCACTAAAATGTAAGCTCCATGAGGGCAGGGACTTCATTTTTTTACAACTGTATAACCAGTACCAATAAGAATGCCTGCCAGAAAGTAGGCACTCAGTAAATATATTGAATAAATGAACTAGAGTCCATGAAAGAATTAAGCCTTAATGTGCCAATTATTCACTATGTGAATTAACTTTTCTACTATGCTTCATGAATGGCACTAGCTATGTACCATTTTTGGAAGAATCGAGAAGATAGTCATCCAAATCAATTTCTGTGTGCTATGGTTCAGGTGAGGAACCATTGTTGAGAAAGCCTGAGTTCATGAGCAAATTAATGGGTAAAAAGACCTACTTCTTCCAAGTAACCTCCTCTGATCATCCCAACCACATGATGTTGTAACTCTCCCTGCATCTATTAAATATGTCTTGGATTGGAAATGGTTAGGAGTGAAAGGCTCCTGCTTAATGACCAGTGTGCACTTAGTGATGCTCAACCATCCCTGTACGGTGACTTTGAGGACCCCACAGTTAATGGCTCTGTAAGCAGATCCAGCCTTTTAAAGGTTTCACAGAAGAACACTCCCACAATTGAGGCTGCAGTCTGAGTACTCTCTGGTACTGATAAGGCTGCCTGGGAACGCCCTGTCCTATCCCTTCCCCAAATCAAAAGCTTTTTGAAAGGCAGCCAAGCATTTGAGACAAACCAAGCAGTACTAAGTACATTATCTTGTCTAAGCAAAGCATGAGAAGTAAATTAAGATCCCTACTGACCTCACTGACTAAAGAAAAAAAAAAAACAACTCTGCTTTTACCTAATGTATGCTCATGGCCATAAAGAGAATCTCCTCCTTTCCATTAAAATTATATTTAGCCTAAGGAGATTCAGTACTCTCTGCAGTGTTATTTTATTTCTTTTTTAAATAGTTTCCACTTTTATTTTAGATATGGGGGCACATGTGCAAGTGTGTTACATGGGTATATCATGTGATGCTGAGGTTTGTGATACAAATGATCCTGTCACCCAGATACTGAACATAATACCCAACAGTTAGTTTTTCAGGCTTTGCTCCCTCCCTCCCCCTATATTAGTCTCCAGTGTCTATTATTGCCATCTTTATGTACTCAATATTTAGCGCCCACTAATAAGTAAGAACATGTGACATTTGATTTTCTGTTCTGGCATTAATTTGCTTAGGATAATGGCCTCCAGTTCCATCCATGTTGCTGCAAAGGACATGATCTCATCCTTTTCTATGGCTACATAGTATTCCATGGTGTATACATATCACATTTTCTTTATTCAATCCACTGTTGATGGGCATCTAGGTTGGTTCCATCTCTGCTGTTGTGAATAGCACTGTGATGAACATACGAGTGCATGTGTCTTTTGGTAGAATGATTTGTTTTCTTTTGGATATAAACTCAGTAATGGGATTCCTGGGTTGAATGGCAGTTCTGTTTTAAGTTCTTCAAGAAATCTCCAAACTGCTTTCCACAGTGGTTGAACTAATTTACATTCGCACCAACAGTGTATAAACATTCCTTTTTCTCAATAGCCTTACCGGTATCTATTGTTTTCTTGACTTTTTAGTAATAGCCATTCCAACAGGTGTGAGATGAAATCTCATTGTGGTTTTGATTTGCATTTCTCTAATGACTAGTGATGTTGACCATTTTTTCATATTTGTATGTCTTCTTTACAGAAGTGTTTGTTCATGTCTTTTGTCCACTTTTTAATGGGGTTATTTGTTTTTTGCCTGTTGAATTGTGTAAATTCCTTATAGATTCTGGATATGGACCTTTGTTGGCTGCACAGTTTATGAATATTTTCTCCCATTCTATAAGTTATCTATTTACTCTATTGATAATTTATTTTGTTGTTCAAAACCTCTTTTGTTTAACTAGGTCCCACTTGTCAATTTTTTGTTTTGTTGCAATTATTTTTGAGACCTTACTCAGAAATTCTTTCCCAAGGCTGATGTCCAGAATGGTGTTTCCTAGGTTTCCTTCTAGAATTCTAGAATATAGAATCTATAAAATATAGATTGAGGTCTTATATTTAAATCTTTAATCCATCTTGAGTTAATGTTTGTATATGGTGAAAGGAAAGGGTCCAGTTTCATTCTTCTGCATAACTAGCCAGCTATCCCCAGCACCATTTATTGAATAGGGAGTTCTTTCCCCATTGCTTATTTTTGTCAACTTTGTTGAAGATCAGATAGTGGTAGATGTGCAGCTTTATTTCTGGGTTCCCTATTCTGTTCCATTGGTCTATGTGTCTGTTCTTGTACCAGTAGAATGCTGTTTTGTTTATTGTAGCTTTAGAGTACAGTTTGAACTTGGGTAGTCTGATGCCTCCTGCAGTATCATTTAATAAGGACAATTCTGTTTCAACTTTCTCTGGTCATTTCTAAACCAATTAATAGCAACAGGAATGGGATTACTATAATTAGCTTAGACTTATTGACTTTATCCTAGGAACTGGGGATGAAGTCTCCTAAATCATATGAGGAAAAGGTAGATACCTGAAAAGAAAATGAGGGTTCTCTTGGCTGGGAAGCAAGGCATAGACTGACTATGCAATTAGTATGCATCGTGAAAGATTTAATAGACAGTACAGACTTTTAGGGTAAAGATAACAACTTTAATGTTGACCACATTCAATACTGAATGTAAAAAAAAATCTCTATTATTATCTCTGGACTGCTTTTTCAGATGTTCTCTGCCACCTGCAGTGGCCCAGTGGTTAAAAGAAGAAGAAAAAAAAAAACCTAGTTGTTTCTTTGAAGTGTTGCTTTTTAATTACTGCATATCATTTATGTGTGATTTATATATCAGACTTCATGCACCTAACAGCACAGTGGAAATCAGTGACAAATAAGTAAGGGATTATACACCAGATCGAAAGTGCAAAGCTACGGGCAAAGCATGATAGCGGACAGAAAAGAAAGTATTTACTTTCAGCTGGAGGGATTGGGGGATGTCTCCATTGAAGAGGTGGAGTTTAAGCTGATATCAGCAGGATTGGCAAGCATTTCATCCTGCGGGGATGACAGAAGCAAGAAGCACAAGGAAGAAAGCAAAGGAATATTTCTGTATAGGAGGAGGGAAGTGTGTTAGTTTTCTATTACTGTGCTAACAAATTGCCACAAACTTGGTGGCTTAAAGAATACGAATGTTTTGTATTACAGTTCTGTAGGTCAGAAATCTGACTTGGGTCACACTGAGCTAAAATCAAGGTGCTGGCAAGGCCACATTCTTTCTAGAGGCTCTGAGGGAGAATCAATTTCTTTGACTTTTCTAGGTTTTAAAGACTGCTTGCATTCCTTGGCTTGTGGCCCCCTTCCTACTTCTTCAAAACCAGCAACAGTGAATTGAATGCTTTTCCTGTTGCTATCTCTGGTTCTCTGTTTCTAAGGACTTGTGTGATTAGATTGAGTCCTGCACAATCCAGTGTAATTGTCCCATCTCAAATCCTTAACCTTAATGACAGCTGCGAAATTGCCTTTACAATTGTAAGATAACATATTCACAAGGTGGATTAGACATGGACATCTTTGGGGGCCACTATTCTATCTACCACAAGAAGGAGAGCAGCTGGCTCAAGAACTGGCCCAGCAGAGGGATTAAAGAGTGTGGAAGGAGATGGAGGTAAAATTTCTACATATGTGATACTTCTGGGTCTAGAGTTTTTGATAATGGAATTTTCTACACTTTCAATTCATATTCCCTTCATCCCGTAGATCTTATTGTTTAGCCTAGAGCTTCCTCAGAAACCATATGTGACTTGTGTGCTTCCCCTTTCCAGCTCAGTAATACAAAGAAGAAGCGTTCCCTCCACCAGCACTACCCCTCTGTCAATTAGAATAGGTTAAATTTTTCTGTGATAATAAATAGTCTCCAATTCTCAGTTGCTTAAGATAGCAAAAGTTTATTTCTTACTGATGCAACATGTCCACCACAGGTTGACCAACAAGCTCTGCTCCAAATCTCCTCACTCCAGATCCCAGACTGATAGAGCAGCCACTATTTCAAACATCACCAGGTGCCACAGCAGAGGGAATGAAAGTTCTGGAGGGTCTCACACCAGCTATTATATGCCCCAGCCTGGAAGTGACACACATCAATTCTACCCACATCTTATTACCTTGAACTCTTCACATGACTCTACCCACATGAAAGGTCCAAGAAGTATAAGCTTATCATGTACACACAGGCAAAGAGCTAGAAATGTGTGAGCAGCATTAATGATGCTACAACCCCCTACTTTAATTTTTATATGAATGGTACCCATATTCTTCCAATGTCTGGGGTTCCAAGCCTTGGTGACCTTTTTAACTGACTCTTATAGCCAATCAAATGTTAAGTCCTGTCCAGGCATGATGGCACACACCTGTAGTCCTGGCTACTCAGGAGGCTGAGACAAGAGGATCCTGTGAGGCCAAGAACTGCACTTCAACCTGGGCAACATAGCAAGACTCCAAGAAAGGAAGGAAAGAAAGAGGGAGGGAGGGAGGGAAAGAAGGAAGGAAGGATGGAAGGAAGGGAGGGAGGGAGGGAGGGAGGGAGCGAGGGAAAGAAAATGAAAGAAAGGGAGAAAAAGAGAAAAAAGAAAGAAAGAAAAAGACAAAAATGTCATGTCATGTCCGCTCTTGCTTCAAAGCGTCTCTCCCGTCAATCCTTTATTTTCTACTAGCACTATCACTACTTAGTTCAGGCATAAAAGTATACAGTACTTCATTTTCCAAACTTTTTCACTATGATCCATAGTAAGAAATGCATTTTACATTGAGACCAAGTACAAACACACACATACATGCCCACACACATAACTGAAAAGTTAGTAAAGTTACTCTTACTCTGTTCTATTCTCTTTTTATAATGCTGGTTATGATTCATGTATTAGAGTTCTCCAGAGAGACAGAACCAATAGGATGGATGGATGGATGGATGGATGGATGGATGGATGGATGGAGTGACGGAGGGATAGATAGATAGATGATAGATAGATAGATAGATAGATAGATAGATAGATAGACAGACAGACAAGAGGGATTGATTAGAGAAATTGGCTCTGTGATTATGGAGGCTGAGAAGTTCTGTGATAGGCCATCTGCAAACTGGAGAACCAGGGAAGCTGGTAACATGGCTCAGGCCAAGTCTGAAGGCCTCAGAACCAAGGAAGCCAAAGTGTAACTGATGGTTTGAGGCCGAAGGCCTAAGAACCTAGGGGGCCATTCTGGTGCAAGTTCCAGAGTCCAAAGGCCAGAGAACCTGAAGTTCTGATGTCCAAAATCAGGAGAAGGATGTTTCCGTTCCAGAAAAGAGAAAGTAAGAGAGAGCAAATTCACCTTTCCACTACCTTTTCGTTCTATCTGGACCCTCAGCTGATTGGATGAGGGTGGATCTTCCTTACTCAGTCCACTGATTCAAATGCCAGTCTCTTCCAGAAACACCCTTACAGACATACACAGAAACAATGCTTTGCCAGCTATCTGGACGTGCCTTAATCATAAGCCACTAACGAGTTGTGACCTACAGTCTCATAGACAACAAAGTAAAATTTCTATATACTTTAGAACTAAACTCGCTTCAGAAATGACTTCACAACTCACCACTTATACAAATTTAGGCATCATCTCCTCAGCTTTCAGACTACAACAGTGTTTCCTATCCCACAGGTGAGAATTAGCTTGATGACTAAAAGTCCTTGGTACCTAAAACTACTTAGCAGTATTAGTCCTTTTTTCCTAGTTTGTCCCTCTTCACCTTTCTTTTGGATTTCTTTTGTTCATTTTTTCATTCATTAATAAAAAGTTTATTAAGATCCCATTGCTTGAGGGGAAATGTGCTAGGCCCTGGGGCTACAAAGACAAATAAGACATAATCCATGTTCTGGAAACGTTTACAGACTAACAGAGGAGATCAACATGTAAACAAATGATTGCCATGACATGGCAATCCTATAGCAAAAGAATGGAAATGACTTTATGGAGATTCGGAGGAAGAACAACACACCCTGAGAGAAGATGAGAGAGATTAACATTGATTAAACTCTGCTTTGTTCGTGTGGCTTAAAATCTAGATTTCTTTATGGGGCTTTTAAAGCTTTTTCTAACTTGCCTTATTGCCCATTCACCTATTCAATCTGCCCTCTTTCTACTCCCCAGCAAGTGAGATATTAAATCTTTTCAGGCTAAGACAGGTGACCAGCGTTATTGTTCCTACCATTCCAATGGTTGTTGTCCTGAGACTAAGCTGGTCACATTACCATCTCTCCACTCATGTTTGGTACAACCTCAAGTTGTACGAAACACATTATCCTGTTGACACTAAATAAATAACCAGAGAGCCTTTCTCTGCCTTTTCACTTTGAACTATCTTACCATCCTCTAAAACCCAGCTCAGTTCTAGCACTTCAAGAAACCTCCTCAAATTGCTCCAGCCTAGACTAGCCCTCTAAGAATCCCTAATGCAGTTGTCAAATTTTCTTGTATATTTCCTTAAATGTTTTTGAAAAATAATCTATGTGCACTCTACACAATTTTAAACTAAAAAAATGTTAATTATAAGCTTAATTCCCAACATGTTCTATGATGCATACAGGCTCTGAATATATTTTTTTGTCAAAATCTTGGAACTGTATACTAAGATCAATTTATAGGCAACATCCACCATAGAACTTGGCAAACCTAGTCATTGTCAAATCAGTCATCTAAATCAGACTGACTTTCTGTCAGAAAAAGTCTTACTTCATTTTTCAATTCAAATAAGCATATTTATGCTCATCCCTGGGACAAACATCTCACTTTCAAATTCTAATTGAAAGATGGATGAGTGGATAGATGGATGGATGGATGGATGGATGGATGGATGGATGGATGGAAGAATGGATGAATGAGCCCTCAGAGCCTTGCCAAGAGTTTCCCTCTTGGATAAGAATAAAAAGTTCCCTTCAACATTTCCTTCTGGCACCCATGGGACTCCCCTCAGGAGCAAGGCATCCTGGAATTGTCCCTTCGCTTTGTGCCCTGGGAAATCCACATTAATAGGATTTAGAATGGATGAGAGGTTTGTTTGTCATTAATAAAAAAGGGAATTTTAAAAGGAGGTGGGAAGAGCCAACCAATCACAGACTTGGCAGATCAATCTTAGGAAAAAGTACAGTTGGAAATTGAGAATATAAAAATTAATTTCCTTACAAGAAATGTAAGGGCCTCATGGAAAGTCATTTGCTCTCCTCCCAAGGGTGGGCATTCCCGTTGGGTTGAAGACCACTGCCTGGAGGTCAAAAGTCTAATTTCACACATGGACTTGTGTGAGTCTAAGCATTAGAGCTTGCCAGCTTTCTGACCCACCTCTTAGTTTTAGGAGACTCCTTCGAGGTCATGTACTCAATTCCTCTCAGCTTTGTGTCAACTGTTCATTGTGGCCTATTTTCATTTTATTTCCTTTATAAAGTTCTAAATTTCTCTCTTTTTTTTTCAAAGTAAATAACCACTTTCATGCTAGTTTTCTGTGGTTATGTAATTGTAGTTTAGTTTATGTAATCATTTTTAGTTAAAATTTCTTATTGATACATGATTGTATATATTTATGAGGTGCATGTGATATTTTGATACATGCATACAATGTATAATGATTAAATTAGGGTATTTAGGATATCCACCACCTCAAACATTTATCCTTTCTTTGTGTTGGGAACATTTAAGTCTCTTCTAGCTATTTTGAAATATACAATAAATTATCATTAACTATAATCACCCTACTGTGAACACTACTGTGAATGGCTATCAAATACTAGAACTTATGCCTTCTATTTAACCTCAATTTCTTGAATGAAGAGGCTGTGAAAACTTATTTTAGCTTCTCTCCTCTTTCTCTCTCAAAAAAATTCCTGGCCTGGGCATCTTTTTCCTGGTTGAAAGGTGTCTAGATAACCACCTTGGTAGTTTCAGGTGGGTTGGTGAACACAGAAACTGGATTTGGAGTTGGATAGTCTTACATAAACCTGTGGAAACATCTTAGTAACTTTTCCTGCCCCCACAAAGACCACACACCCCTCTATAGAGACAGGAGTATTTTTAGTAAAATATGCTACTAGTTGCAGGTTGATTTTCAGCCTGCCATTTTATGAAGTCCTACTAGACTTGCTGGAAACTTGGAAAATGCTGTATCTGCTCTAGTCTACAGCAGTAGGACACCAAGCAGTCCATTGAGTTCAGTTCAGCCACAGTTATTACACTTTGTGCACCTACTAAACAAAAGAAAAACACAGTATTTCTGCCTTCGAAGAGCTCACAGATTACAGGTAAATCCAGGGTATATACACATACAATCTCAGTTATGATGGCTGCCAGGCTAACCACCTTCCTAGTGATTTAGGCTGCTGAAAGTCTTAGAAAAGGACTGTAAAATCTCCTAACATAAAAAGTGGCTAAAAGAGGTATTAGGAGTTGATCACTTGGCTCCCCTCTCTGGGTCTTGCCCAACTCTAGCCACAACGACAAGCATCCAAGTTAAATTCTCACTTCCAAATCTAATACCTGCTTGAAGAACTTCCCAGTTGCCTCTTAGCTTTGCTTCATGGCACATTCCTGGTAAATCAAAATTCTAAACAAATTTATCCTGTCAACAAGGGACTATTTACCACTCCATAAATCAACCCAGATTTTTCATCCTGCTCTACTATATACGATGGGTAAAGTATTCTAGGTGATCTTTGAGCATTTTATCTTTTTCTTGAGAGAGGCAGATTTGGGGCACGATTCTGAATCTTCTGGGGCAGGCAGGTGCTCTCAGACTTTGGTTTTGATGTAGTGGTGATAGCTGTGGTCTTCACTGCGCTACAGGCCAGCTGACAAGGATGTTGCTCTCCTTCCAACCTGGGGCTCTTGGTTATCCTTGAAGGAGAGGAAGTGAAATCTTCTTATTTTAATGACCTAATCAGAGGAGCTGAATCAAAACACCATTTGGCAATACCTCAGTACATGATTCTCTAAGGCTCACAAAAAAGTTTTGAAGGAAAGGGTAGTTTGTACTTTCTATCTAAATAAACATTTTCTGAAGTCACAGTACAAAGAGTAGACTACAAGTCCTAATGACCATGGATATCATATACAAAACAAGATTAGTACCTGAGCTTAGGAGGGAGTATTTGTACTTACAACATCTAAAATATCAAATTAATGAGTCAGAACTTTGGCCTTCATTCTATCTGCCTTTGTAAAACATATCTCAGACTTCTCAGGGTAAACTTGATCTGATTCAAACTGGAAACAAGGTATCTCCTGGCCGAGATCTTCTCCTTTCAGATTAAACAGTCTGAAAGGAAAAATGGGATCTTCCCCATTTTAAGAGAATAAACATGTGTCTCTGAGGGGAAAAGAAAATGAAAACATTCTATCAACCAGCACAGCACACTGAGGAAGAGCCAGGTGCAAGCTCAGGGCAACAAGACACGTTTTCTCATTCTCCTTCACTGCCACCATCCTTTCCCAACCCCTGCACTCCCTCTGTCCCCCTCCATCCCCATTAAAAAACAGCAACAAACCGCTATGATTAATGACTAAAGAATAAGAGCAGGTGTACAATCTTTATACATTTTAGATTTGGATCAAATTCACTCTTCTCAATTCCTCTTCCTAAAGCCCCACCAATAATCCTTTGCCATCTGCCCCTCCTCCCCTTTCCTTTCTGAGGCTGCTAATGAAAGTGGGGTGGCCAGGACTGAAGAAGGACTTGAGCTGGCTGTCTCTGATTGACTCCTAGCTATCTCATGCCCCCGCTTCCTGCTGGCAGAAAGCAATGCAAAGTGACTGCTGTAGGAGCAGCTGCTGAAGCTCATTTCCCTCCCCCGATGCCTGTCACATTCTTGGGCAATATTTCAGAAGCTTACTCATCCTGCCACTCACTTCCCCCGCCCCCATACCCCTGCCCCCAAACAAGACATTAGGAAGGAAACATGAGAGATTTTATTTTAGCCTAATTGAGCAACAGCCCTTACTTCATCTTGAGTAAGATAAATGGGCTGTCCAACTTCACTTCTCACTTTATCTGTAATGAGGTTTCTCTCTCAACTGTTTACCAAAGTATTAAAAAGCACTTTGTAGCGCCGGCTGGTATATTCCATCAAAGAGAGTCAATAGAACAGATGAAGACATATGAGAAAGTCAGGAGATAAGGTGCCTTTTATGAAAGTTCAGATTCCAGACCTATTAAAAAGAACCGCTTCCCCCTCTGTGAATTCAGGGACAAAAAAAACAACCTTTTCCTCTTTGGCAGTAAGGTGGTTTCTCATAGGGTAGGACAGCACCTGGCAGGTTTTCCCAGAGTCTGATCGAGGTGAATAATTAATTGTAGTCATTAATGTCCGGGTGGTAAGAAATTGCCAGAATTGTAAGATCCTAATAGGCCATTAGCATCTCTATACTGGATGCACTTTAGTGGACTCTTCCTCTGACCAGCAGCGATGAAACACTGTTCTGTTCTTGCTCAGGCTCTGTCTCCAGCTATTCTGGAAGAGTCGGTCACATTCAGATGTTGAAAGGTACAAGATAGGGAGTCCGAGGAGCAGACCCTGCTCAAGATTTTGACACTAAATGCTGTGTGACCTTAAATGAGCCATTAAATCTCACCACTATATAATTTCTTCCCTTACAAAGTAGGGAGGAACTATCTCATGCTGATAACTGTTCTGATAGGAAATCTGTTTTGATATATTGTGATTTTTACCTAAGAATTAAGTATGGATATTTTGTTGCATTATAGCCTCAGTCCTGTTTGTAGCTGTCATTCAACAGTATGAGGGCCTACTATGCCTGTACTTGTGGTAGGGAGGAAGACAAGACATATAAACCTGCAAAGTGAAATAAAAGGCACAGCCCTGTTGGAATGGGAAGCCAAATTTCTACTCCTCATTCAAAACCTCATGAAATATCTCTCCCTGACTGCCTCCCCAGCTATCTTGGCAAACAGTGCATTCCATAGAAGATCAGGGCCTTTATCACCTCGTGCAGTCATCTGTCTTTTCAACCTCCTCTGACAGCCTGTTATCTTCTAAAAGAAAGGACAGTGTCCTGCTCATTTCCTTATTCCCCCATCCCTAGCATAGTTCCTGAAATATGGTAGGCATGCAATATTTCTACATAAGTAAATGGATGGAGTGAATAATAAATGCCAAATACAGACCATAAGATACAAAAGAGAGGCAGCCATGGTGGACAGAGCCCTGAAATAGGAGCCAGAAGATCAGGGTGCAAATCATCAACTTATTATTCCATGAAACTCTGACTTTGGGCTCTCTGTGACCCAGTGTCCACATCTGAAAAGTGCTAATGCCCAAACCAAACAGGGTTATTGTGGGAATTAGGTAAAATGCTCTAAACAAAATTTAGCTCCCTTATCTTGTATTCCTTTTCCCTAAATAGTTGGAATACAACACTGGAGTCCAAGTTGCAACCCGAGGTGCAACTACAGGTTTCTAGGTTATCCAAGAAGGAAGAAGTTGTAAACCACAGGAGTAGATGAATTCTCAAGGAGAAAATGAAGAGAAAGAGGCTGATAACAATATCCAAAGGAATATACACAATTACAGGGCTGCAGAGATCATGAGCTAAAGAAAAGACTGAAGAAAGACGACATTGTATCATGCATCTAATTCAAGAACAGTATGGTGAAATCTACGGAATGTCATAACAAGGTCCAGGAAATAAAAGACTAATTCATTATGCATGATTATTTTGGCTTCTAGACCTTAAATTTTGGTCATGGTTTAAAGCTCTTCTAGTTGGATGACCATAAAAATTCTCAATGCATTTTCAACAGTCTTACAAAAATGGAAGACAAATTTTGTGAAGGGAAAGAGAACTTATGAATATATCCTTTTCCCTTTCTTCTTTCTTTTTTTTTTTTGTTTTTTGAGACAGGGTCTCACTCTGTCATCTAGGCTGGAGGGTGGTGGCATGTTCATGGCTCACTGCAGTTTCAACCTCTGAGACTCAAGCATTCCTTTCACCTTAGGCCCCCACAGAGCTGGGACTACAAGCATGAACCACCAGGCACCACTAGTTTTTGTAGAGACGGGGTTACACCATGTTGTCCAGGCTGGTCTCGAACTCCTAAGCTCAAGCAACCCACCCACATCACTTCCCAAAGTGTTGGGATTACAGGCGTAAGCCACCACGACTGGCCAAACATCCTTTTTAAAATGAGTCATATGAAGACTTTTTAGGCCCAGGCATGGTGGTGCGTGCCTGTAATTCCAGCTACTCAGGAGGCTGAGGCAAGAGAATCACTTGAACCCAGGAGGTGGAGGTTGCAGTAAGCCAAGATCGCATCACTACACTCCAGCCTGGGTGACAGAGTGAGACTCTGTCTCAAAAAAAAAAAAAAAGACTCTAGACCAAGAATGGACCAAAACAGACAATAGTGGTGGTACACCACTTGTCCTGGACACGCTACTTCTATTATTCTATTATTCCATCCTTGGGTTGCACTCATGTTTGTGGCAAACTCATTCTGGCTCATATTAAGTCTGTGGCTGACTAAAGCAACATTACTGCTTTTTTTTTTTTTTTTTTTTTTGAGACAGAGTCTCGCTTTGTCACCCAGGCTGGAGTGCACTGGTATGACCTCAACTCACACCTCCACCTCCTAGGTTCAAGCGATTCTCGTGCCTCAACCTCTTGAGTAGCTGGGATTACAGGCACGTGCCACCACACCCAGCTAATTTTTACATTTTTAGTAGAAACAGAGTTTTATCATGTTGGCCAGGCTGGTCTTGAACTCCTGACCTCAGGTGATCTGCCCACCTTGGCCTCCCTAAGTGCTGGGATTATAGGTGTGAGCCACTAACCCCGGCCGACATTACTTTTTTAAAGTGTAATTTAAGCCCAAATTTGCTTAACAGTCTACTCACCTAATTAATTATTTTGAACTTAAGTTAGGTTCAACTTGGACTTAATTGATTCTGTCAAAACATATTTAAAGTATTGATTCAGACATTCAAATTTGAGTTAGTCCTCCAAGATTTTTGTCACCTAAAAATTTGACTGTCATGCCTTCGCTGTGTTTCCTTACCATTGATTGTTTTTTAAGATTGAATAGCATTTTACTAGAAACAGGACCCCAGTTAACTATTCCTTAATCCATACACTTCTGTTTTGTTTTGTTTTTTTTACTTCTTAGAATTAATCTAAATAAAAATCCACTAAATTAAGGGCTCCTTGAGGGCAAGAACTGGGCTTATGTAGCTTAATATTTCGATCAACCCAAGGCCTGGCAGACAGTTGTATCCAGCTACATTTCTCTCTCCATGTCCCTCAGGAAGTGCCGTCTAACTCTCTGAAAGCCAGACCTCCTGGGTCTGCAACTTCCCATGGTCTCTAACTGGGCAACCAACATTTTTAGTAAAAGCATTACTAATTCCTACCATGTTCTTTCTGGCTCAGAGAGGTGCCACTTTCTTTTCTTAATTTTCACAAAACATCTATTTTTTAATCTCGCCAAGCTTATAAGTAGCTTAATACCTGTAGACATAGTCAAGAAATAGTTTGAAGAACTAGCCTTACTTCTAGGCTTTACAAGATTGAAACCATGTTTTTCTGGGATTTGTTTTCTTGCTTTTCCTAACGTGATTCAGGGTGGACCTAATCCCGTCATTCCTTACAGTTACATGCTCATCCTGGGCTTGCCCCCATGTCTGAGCAGGAGGCAGTGGCACACAGGCAGTTAAAATATGATGGATGGAGAGAAGAGAACCCACAGCACCTTGTTCTGCAGAGACCTCTCCTGGGGTTAGGTGGCCGTAGGGATGAGTGCAGACAGTGGTTTCACAATTCTCTCACTTCCATTTTCTGATTTTGCTGCAGAGCTATCCCAGTGCTTGGCTTCATCCCTGGATTCAGCCCATTAGCTCCCCATGGACACACTGAGTCTCACACCCTAAGCAGAGCTCCCAAAGGCAGGCACAGACTTAGGCACTTAAGTCAGGCCTCTTTGGGCAGCCAAAGAGTCTCGTGACCTAACAGAATTTCAGGCCTATCCTGGAGGCCTAGTCAGCATAGGCAGGAAGTGACTTTTTTCTGATCACAGCCTCTACCTTATTTTTCTTTTGGAAGTAGAAAGAATCATGTTCTGGTTACCTTCCAGAGATAAGAAACCATCATGACTCACATTTATACCAAGTGCAGTTTATAACACACTTTTGCAATGAATTCCCACAATAACTTCCATTTTTCAGTTACAAAAATGGCTGCACTACAAAGTCAATTGACTTACCCAAAATCACCTAATTGGTAAGTGGCCATGTAACAAACTCTGGTATGTTTGACTCCTGATGCCTTGTTCTTCCCGTTGCACTACCCACATTGCTATCTATTAAACAAGTATTTATTGGGCCCTGATGATGCCAGGCCCCAGGCCAAGTTCCAGGATATACTAGTGAACAAGTAATAGAACTTTCACTTACACAGGGAAAACAGAGAGTAAATAAACACATGCTGAGAAGAGCAATTATCACATAGTGGTTAAAAGTTTAGGTTCTGAACAAGATGCCTGTGTTTGAATTTATACTATTTTATTTTATCTTAAGGAAGTTAATTAGGTTTTCTATGTCTTAACTTCTTCATGGGGATATAATATTACTATCAATCTTACAGGTTTTGAGGACCAAATGAGTTAATACGTGTTAGCGCTCATAATTGGTGCCCAACAGTAGCCGTGATAACAGGAAGCTCTGAAAGAAATGGGGTCTCTTACCCTACGGGAATGCGGATGGGGTAGGGATTGCTGAGGTTTAAGAAAGTTTTCCTGAAATCAATGCAGTCTAATCTGAGGCCTGAAGGATGAGGAGGAGTAAGGTCTGCAGAGGCTGAGTGCATGTGAGAGAGAGAATGTTGAGAGGTGTGGAGGCAAGTGCAGGGTGGAAGAAAGAGCTGGCAGAGAACAGCGCGTGCATAGGATCCATCAGACTGTAAACTGAGCCCATAGTTGCTACATCTCAGGGCTGGCTCCATTCCCAGATCTTACTAAAACACTTGTCAGGGTAAAGGTGGGAAGTTTATCAGAAAGAGAAAACTTAAGGCTTTTAGCCTCTGTCTTATCTCAACGTCTCCTGCTCCTTCTCCCTCTCGCTTTCTCAGCAACATACAATGGGAAAAGCCCCAAATTCCAAAGGTAACACTGGACTGATGCTCTGGCTCCATTTCCTATACCCATGACCCTGGGCATTCCATGTCTTCTCTAGGTCTCAGATTCCTTCTCTGTAAAAAGTGGTAACAACAATTCTTCCTTCAAGTGCTCATAAAATATGAAAGTTGCACAAACCTACTCAGGTTGAATTCTCAACTTTGTTATTGTGTGACCTAGAGTAAGCTACTTAACCATTCTGAACCTCATTTTTCTCATCTGTAAAATGGGAATGATAAGAATAATGTCTCCTAGGGCTTATCTCCCCAACTTTTTATTTTGAAAAATAATTTTATAAAAAGTTTAAAGAATACCTGTATAACCTTCATATAGATTCACCAACTGTTGACATTTTGTCATATATTTGTTCATCCCCTGTACATGTATGTGTGTGTTGTGACATTGTGACATTTCCACTGTAAACATTCCAAGATAAATTTCCTAAGAACAAGGAAATTCTTCTACATATCTACCATACCATTATCACACCTAAAACATTTACCATTATTTAAAAATACCATCTAATAAGCGGCATATATCCAAAGTTACTCAATTATCTTCAAAATGACTTTTATGGCATTTTTAAAAACTCAGAATCTAATCAAGCTTCATGGACCTATTACCTATTATATCTCTTTTGTCTCTTTTAACACTCTCCCTTTTTTTTTTTTTTTTTTTTTTTTTTTTTGGGTGGGAGGTGGAGGTTCATGACATTGATATTTTTTAAGGATTTATGCTAGTTGTCTTTAAATTGTCCCCAGATTTATATGATTATTCCCTCATTATTAGATTTAGGTAAAATGTTCTTGGCAAAAAGACTGCGTAGGTGATGGAGTTACAGCAGCAAGACGGTAGAATGGGAAGCCCCAAACTTTATTCCTCCATGGAGACATTGATTTAACAACAACATACTGTCCAAAGCCTTTATGAAAACTTCAAAAACAGTTCAGAAGTTGCAATATCCCAGGCAAGCTCAAAACCAAAAACACCACATCCAAATGGTTAAGAAGAACCATTTCATTTCAGTTGCATCAGCCTTTCCCCCAGGTTGGCACAGCGTATTGTAACTGGGAAAAAGTATCCAGCTTACACCTTCTCCCTTGGGAGAGAAAGAGAAGATTGGAACATGTGTCCAACATTCTGGCTATCTAGATGGCTGGCCTACGATCTGATTTCTATCTATCTACCTGACCCAGAGTACTAACCAAATAAGCATGTGTTGGATACCTGAGGGCCACAGAGAACAAAGGAGAGATCATCAGCTTGATACAATGCCAGACAGTCTGCAATATTCCAGACAAACACCAGAGGGAACAAGATATTACAAACTCCTTCTTAAAAAGTGAGCAGGCAGGGAGCAGTGACTCACGCCTGTAATCCCAGCACTTTGGGAGGCCGAGGCATGCAGATCACTAGGTCAGGAGCTTGAGACCAGCCTGGCCAATATGGTGAAACCCCGTCTCTACCAAAAGTACCAAAAAAAAAAAAAAAAAAGATTAGCCGGGCACAGTGGTGAGCGCCTGTGATCCCAGCTACTCAGGAGGCTGAGGCAGGAGAATCCCTTGAACCTGGGAGGTGGAGCTTGCTGTGAGCCGAGATCATGCCATTGCACTCCAGCCTGGGCAACATGAGCAAAACACCATCTAAAAAAAAAAAGGGAGCAAATGTCTCTAATTGTAAAATTATACACACAAACTGAGAGAAGATATAACCCCACAAAAGGTTTCAGAGACCCCAGAATTGCTAGCCAGGATGATTGCTAAGGTTCTTCCCTTGCGTGAAACCAGTCTATAAGACCAGGAGAGGTGGCTGAGTTTTCAATTGCCCGAGTCGCAATTCCCTGCACCCCTGCCAGCCCCCACTCCAAAAAAAGGCACACAAAGAAACAGGGAACATGGTGCAATACACACACACACACACACACACACACACACACACGAAAATCTCCAGAAACTGAACCTAAAGAAATGGAGATTTACAAGTTACCTGACAAATAATTCAAAATAATCTTTAAGAAGCTCAGTGCTCAAGAGAACACAGATAGACAACTAAATAAAATCAGGAAAACTACACGTGAACAAAATGAGAAAATCAACAAAGAGAAACTATAAACAAGAACCAAACAAAAATTCTGGTGCTGAAAAATAAAATAATAGAGTTGAAAATTCAATCAATAGATGACTCGATCGAGCAGAAAAAGAATCAATGAACTCACAGATCACTTGAAACTATCAAGCCAGAGGAACAAAAAGAAAAATGAATGGAAAAAAGTGAAGAAAGCCTAAATAGCTTATATAACACCATTAAGTGGACTAATATACATATTATGAGAGTCTCAGAAAAAGAGAGAAAAAGGTGGAGAGCTTATTTGAAGAAATAATTGCCAAAAACTTCCCAAATCTGAGGAAGGAAATAGACATGCAAATTCAAGCAGCTCATAGAATTTCAAATAAGAAGAATATAAAGAGGCCCACACTAAGTGACATTGTAATCAAACTGTCAAAAATCAGAGTCAAAGAGAGACTCTTCAAAGCAGCAAGAGAAAAACCACTGGTCAAATACAAGTTACCGCTCATAAAATTTTCAGCAACTTTATCAGCAAAAACATTACAAGCCAGAAGTGAGTGAAATAATATATTCAAAGTGCTGAAACAGGCTGGGCATGGTGTCTCATGCCTATAATCCCAGCACTTTGGGAGGCCAAGGCAGAATTGCTTGAGCCCAGGAGTCTGAGACCAACCTAGACAACATGGTGAGATCCCATCTCTACAAAAAATTTTTAAAAATTGCTGGGCATGTTGGTCATGCTTGTGGTCCTAGCTACTGAAGAAGCTAAGGTGGGAGGATCATTTGAGCCCAGAGGTCAAGGCTGCAGTGAGCCATGTTTACACCACTGCAATCCAGCAAGTGAGCAACAGAGCAAGCAAGACCTTGTCTCAAAAAAAAAGTGCTGAAAGAAAAAAAAAACTACCAGCCAAGGATACTATATTCCCAAGAAACTGTCCTTCAAAAATTAAGGAGAAATAAGTTTTTTCCCAGATAAACAAAAGCTGAAGGAGTTCATCACCATTAGATATGCCTTACAAAAATTGCTAAAGGGAATCCCTCAAGTTAAAATGAAAGAGCACTAGACAGCAACATAAGAATAGGAAAATATAAAGATGATAATCCTTTTGGTCAAGTGTTGATGAAAAGAGAGCAGAAGTGGACATACTTTTATCAGGCAAAATATAATTTCATAAACAAAAAAATATTATGTAAGGATAAAAGGGTGATTTCACCAGAAAGATATAACAATTATAAATGCACCTAACCACAGAGCACACAAATATATAAAGCAAACATTGACAGAATTGAAGAGAGATATACAAAGTAAAACAATATCAGTATATTTCAATATCCCACTTTCAATAATGGATTAAATCAACCAGACAGACGATCGGTAGGAAAACAGATGACCTTCACGCCTGTAATCCCAGCACTTTAGGAGGCCGAGGCGGGCGGATCACGAGATCAGGAGTTTGAGACCATCCTGGCTAACACGGTGAAATACCATCTCTACTAAAAATACAAAAAATTAGCTGGACATGGGCGCCTGTAGTCCCAGTTACTCGGGAGGCTGAGGCAGCAGAATGGCGTGAACCTGGGAGGCGGAGCTTGCAGTGAGCCGAGATTGTGCCACTGTACTCCAGCCTGGGCGACAGAGCGAAACTCCTTCTCAAAAAAAAAAAAGAAAGAAAACGGATGACTTGACCAACGCTAAAGACCAATGGGATGTGACAGACATATACCAAATGCTCTAACCAACAACAGCAGAATACACAGTCTTCTCAGAAACATATATAACATTTTTTAGGATAGATTGCGTATTAGGCCACAAAACAAGTATAAAGAAATTTAATACCAAATTTTTTTTCAACCAAATATTTTTTCTAACCACAATGAAATGAAACTAGAAATTAATAGCAGAAGGAAAACTGGAAATTATATAAATATATGGAAATTAAGCAACACACACTTGAACAACCAATGAATCAAAGAATACCTCCCAAGGGAAATTAGAAAATACCTTGAGATAAATAAAAATGAAAACACAACATGCCACAACTTAAGGGATGCAGCAAAAATAGTACCAAGAGGGAGGTTTATAGTGGTAAATGCCTACATTTAAAAAAGAAAGATCACAAATCAACAACCTAACTTTACAACTCAAGGGACTAAGAAAAGAGCAAACTAAACACAAAGTTACCCAAAGGAAGGAAATAAATAAAGATTAGAGCATAAATAACAAAACAGGAAATAGGAAACATCAGAAAAAAGTCAATAAAACTAAGAGTTGGTTTTTTGGAAAAAATACAAAATTGACAAACCCTTAACTAGAATAACTACAAAAAAATACAGAAGACTCAAATAACAAAAATCAGAAATGAAAAATGAGATGTTGCATCTAATGCCACAGAAATAAAACAGATCATAAGACACTACTATGAACAATTGTATGCCAACAAATGGAATAACCTAGAAAAAATAGATGAATTTCTAGGAACATATGATCTACCAAGATTGAATGATAAAGAAATAAAAAGCTGAACAGACCTGTCACTATTAATAAGGTTGACTTAGCAGTCAAAAACCTCTAAACAAAGAAAAGCCCAGGATCAGATAGATGGCTTTACTGGAGAAGCAACAAACATTTAAGGGAAAGTTAACATCAATTCTTTCCAAACTCTTCCGACAAATTAAAGAGGAGGGAACATTTTCTTTTTCATTTTGTCTTTTTATTTTATTAATTTTTTTTTTTTTTGAGACAGAATCTTGCTCTTCCACCAGCCTGGAGTGCAGTGGCGTGATCTCGGAAGAGAAAGGAACATTTTCAAATTCATTTTATCAGGCCAATATTACCTGATACCAAAATCAGACAAAGATACTAAAAGAAAGGAAAACTACAAATATGCACAATGAATATTAATGCAAAAATCATCAACAAAATACTTGCAAACTAAATCCAGTAACACATTAAAACTATTACACATCATGACCAAGAGTGATTTGTGGAATATAAAGATGGTTCAGCTCTTTCCCTAAGCAGCCTGAAGTAATCTGTGAAAATGGTTCGCTATTCACTTGACCCGGAGAACCCCATGAAATCATGCAAATCAAGAGGTTCCAATCTTCGTGTTCACTTTAAGGACACTCGTGAAACTGCTCAGGCCATCAAGGGTATGCATATACGAAAAGCCACGAAGTATCTTAAAGATGTCACTTTACAGAAACAGTGCATACCATTCCGACGTTACAATGGTGGAGTTGGCAAGTGTGCGCAGGCCAAGCAGTGGGGCTGGACACAAGGTCGGTGGCCCAAAAAGAGTGCTGAATTTTTGCTGCACATGTTTAAAAACGCAGAGGGTAATACTGAACTTAAGGGTTTAGATGTAGATTCTCTGGTCATTGAGTATATCCAAGTGAACAAAGCACCTAAGATGCTCCGCCGGACCTACAGAGCTCATGGTCGGATTAACTCATACATGAGCTCTCCCTGGCACATTGAGATGATCCTTACTGAAAAGGAACAGATTGTTCCTAAACCAGAAAAGGAGGTTGCCCAGAAGAAAAAGATATCCCAGAAGAAACTGAAGAAACAAAAACTTATGGCCCGGAAGTAAATTCAGCATTAAAATAAATGTAATTAAAAGGAAAAAAAAAAGATGGTTCAACATATGAAAATCATCAGTATAATACACCATATTAACAGAATGAAGAGCAAAAACCACACGATCGTCTCAATTGATGCAGGAAAAGCATTTGACAAAATTCAATACCTTTCATGATTAAAAAGTACTCAAAAACTAGGAATTGAAGGAAATTAGCTCAACATAATAAAAACCATATATGAAAAGCCCACAATTAACATTGCATTCAAAGGTGAATAAATGAAATCTTTCTCACTAAGATCAGGATTAAGGCAAGGATGCCCACTCTTGTCACTTCTAGCCAACATAGTAGTACAAGTCCTAGCCAGAGAAATCAGGCAAGAAAAAGAATTATGAAGCACATGAATTGGAAAAAAAAGAAGTGAAATTATTTCTGTTCACAGGAGACAGATTTTGTCTGCAGAAAACCCTAATTTCACCAAGATTTCACCAAGAAAAAACTGCTAAAACTATTAAACTAATTCAGTAAAGTTATAGGATACAAAATCAACACACCAAAATAAATTGTGTTTCTATATACTACCGATGAACAATCTGAAAAGTAAATTAAGAAACGAATTTCATCTATGATAGCATCAACAGCAATAAAATGCTTAGGAATGAACTTAACCAGGGAGGTGAAAGATTTGTACACTGAAAACTACAAAACATTACTGAAAGAAATTAAAGACACATATAAATTGAAAGACATGCTGTCTACATGGGATAGAAGAATACACTGAATCTGTAGATTGTTCTGGGTAGCATGGACATTTTAATATTGCTAAAACAATAATGTTAACAATATTAAAATGTCCATGCTACCTAGAGCATTCTACAGATTCAATGTAATCTCTATCAAAATCCCCATGGCATTTTTTTTCCAGAAATAAAGAAGAGTTCTCAAACTCATATGGAATCTCAAAGGACTCCACAGCCAAAACAATACTGAAAAAGAAAAACAAAGCTGGAGGCCTCACAGTTTCTGATTTCAAAACATATTATTAAGCTACAAAAATCAAAACAGTATGATACTGACATAAAGACAGACATGATGAACAATGGAACAGAATTGAGAACCCAGAAATAAACCCTAACATATATGGTCAAATGATCTTTGACAAGGGTGCCAAGTATACATAATTAGGAAAGGATAGTCTCTTTAGCAAATGATGCTGGGAAAACTGGATATCCAATTGCAAAAGGATGAATTTGTACTCTTACCTTATGATATGTTTTGGATGTTTGTCCCCTCCAAATCTCATGTTGAAATGTAATCCCCAGTGTTGGAGGTAGGGCCTGGTGGGAGGTGTTTGGATAATGAAGGCAGATCCTTCATGAATGGCTTAGCACCATCCCCTTGGTGATGAATGAGTTCTCTGACCTCACACGAGATATGGTTGTTTAAAAGCATGTGGCCTTGTAGTCCCAGCTACTCGGGAGGCTGAGGCAGGAGAATGGTGTGAACCTGGGATGCAGAGCTTGCAGTGAGCTGAGATCACACCACTGCACTCCAGCCCGGGTGACAGAGTGAGACTCCATCTCAAAAAAAAAAAAAAAAATGCATGTGGCACCTCCCCACTCTGTCACTCCTGCTTTTGCCATGTGACACTGCCTGCTCCTCCTTTGCCTTCCACCATGATTATAAGCTTTCTGAGGCCCTAACCAGAAGCAGATGCCAGCACCACACTTCTTCCTGTATGGTCAGCAGAACCATGAGCCAATAAATTTCTTTTCTTTATAAATTACCCAGCCTTAGGTATTCCTTTATAGTAACACAAAATGAACTAATACAATTTATACTATATATAAAAATTAACTCAAAATGTATTAGAGACCTACATGTAAGATCTGAAACTATAAAACTCCAGGAAGAAAAAAAAATAAGGAAAAAGATTTATGACATTGGATTTGATAAAAATTTCTTGGATGTGACACCAAAAGCATAAGCAACAAAAGTAAGAATAGATAAATGGAACTACATCAAACTTTAAAACTTCTGGGAGCAAAGAAAACAATCAACAAAGTGAAAAGGCAACCAACAGAATGGAAGAAAATATTTTCAAACCATATATTGGACAGGTGTTAGTAGCTAGAATATATAAAGCACTCCTTCAACTCAGCAACAGCAACCAAAACAAATAATTCAATCTTAAGATGGACAAAGGACTTGAATAGATATTTTTCCAAAAAGATACACAAATGGCCAAGAAGCATATGAAGAGATGCTCAGTATTACTAATCATCAGGAAAATGCAAATCAAAATTACAGTGAGATATCTCACACCCATTAGAATTGTCACCATTACAAAAACAGGAAATAATGTGTTGGCAAGGATGTGGAGAAATTGGAGCACTTGTGCACTGCTGGTGGGAATTGAAAATGTGCAACTGTTATGGGAAACAGTATGGAGGTTCATCACAAAGTTGAAAATAGAATTACTATATGATCTGGTAATTCCACTTCTGAGTATATATCAAAAAGAATTAAAAATGGGATGTCAAAGAGTTATTTGCACATATGTGTTCATGACAGCATTATTCATAATAGCCAAGAGGTGGGAGCAATCTAAACGCCCATCACTGACAGATTAATGAATAAAAAAAATGTGGTATATACATAGAATGGAAAATTATTCAACCTTAAAAAGGAAGGTGATTTTATCATATGCTGCAGCATGGATGAACCTTGGGACATTATGCTGGGTGAAGTAGGCCAATTTCAGGATAGATACTGATGGTTCCACTTAGGTGGGGTATCTAGAGCAGTCAAGCTCTTACAAACAAAAAGTAGAATAGCGATTGCTAAAGGTTGAGGAGAGGGAAAAGAGGGAAGTTGTTTGTAAATATACAGGTTGGTTTTGCAAGATAAAAAAGTTCTACAGATCTGTTGCACAACAATGTACATATAGTTAATGCTATTGTACTGTACACTTGGGAGTGGTTGAGATGGTAAATTTGTGTCATGTGTTGCTTACCATTATGAAAAAGAAATACTGCATGGGTGATGTGTACTTCCCTTTGAACCACATCAGAAATCACATGATGCCAGTTTACCCTGTTATTGGTGATTCATTGTTTATTTAGCTTATTTTTAGGATTCAGTGAGTTAATAAAGGGAAAGAACAGTACAGTGGCAGTCAACCATGCAATAAGAGACAGCTGTTATAGTGATGATTATTTTTTTTGAACGGCCTTCCCTGTGCAAAACTCCTTATTTCTTTTCTTCTGTCACTGTGGTACAGTCTTCTCAGGAGAACTGCCCACAATCTTGTGGTTGGATCTGTCAAAGTCCCTAGTTTTTAGTCTGTGCATAGAGGCTCTGAATCATTCCGGTAACAAGATAACAGCATGTTCCCAGAATAAAGATCTCTGAACTATCTTTGGAGTTAGTCTGACCACTTCCCTATGGGAATAATTGATCTAGTAATGTCCTCATTTATCTGAATGCTGAGTAATTTTTTTAACATGAAGCAATCAGTCTTTCTTAGCCATCTAAATTTAGAATCAAAGACTTCATCAGGGCTAGAAAAGGAGATTTCTTCATTCCCTCAATCAGCCAACATTACAAGAACTGACCAGGCGCTGGCACTAAGACATGGTCTTTACTCCAGAAGCTTGCAGTCTCATGAGGGAGACAGGCTTCCAAGCCGGCCCTCATAGAGGAGTGCAATGCTGAGGGCAGTTCCGTGTGCACGGCATGGAGCTGTGGTACCGGGGCGGGGGACACAGGAAAGGTTTGTGCCCAAGTCAAAAAGCATCATTCACACCACTGTGCTAAGATTTGGTCCTTGTGTGACTTCTTTCTATCCCCTATTTAAGTAAATAGACTCAAGTAGGAAATAGACTAAAATAAATAATATCCAGTTAGCTAAAAGACCACTCACAGAAGTGAAAGAGTTGAATTATGTAGGTGCCATGAAAATTGGCAATAGAGAATGGGAAGGAAGAGCACAGAACCTGAAGTCAACTGAACTGTCCGACTTTACTGCTCTCTCAACCTTTCTGTGCTTCAGTTTCCTCATCCGTAAAATGAGACAATAATGGTACCCACTCACAGTTGTTGTGGGGGTTACATGAGGTTTTATGATAAAACACTTTCCCCCAGCAAGCATGAGCACTAGCAATGTTAGTTGATCTTTTCATTATTTGGGTATAGACATAGTCTTTTTTTTTTTCTTGTCAACCAGGCTGGAGTACAGTGGTGCAACCCTGGCTCACTGCAGCCTCATCCTTCTGTGCCCAAGCAATGCTCCCACCTCAGCCTCTCAATTAGCTGGGACTACAGGACCACACCACCATGACTGGCTAATTTTATTCTATTTTTGTAGAGTTGAGGTCTTACTATGTTGCCCAGGCTGGTCTCGAACTCCTGGGCTCAAGTGATCCTCCCACCTTGGCCTCCCAAAATGCTGGGAGTATAGGTGTGAGCCCAATCTAGACATAATCTTTAATTTATATGTAATTTAAAATATAGTAGTAAGGATCTGGCTTCCTATGGGGGCAGCTGGAGAATTTCTCCTGCTAAAATGCAGAGGCAGCCAACGCCTGTGTAGAGAGCCATGGCAGAATTCCCCAATGGCAGAATTCGAGTCATTTTATCCTTGATTCATGGATGATTTGGGCCTAATTTGCTGGTCTTTATTATCCCCTGTGGTTGAAGACAAAATTACTTTCCCCATACACCCCAGAAACCCAATTCAGTGGCTTTATTCTCCCCTGGAGTGGCATTTACGAAAATCTCACCACCATAGTATTCTAATTTAGTCCAGATTTCCTTGTGGTACTGTAATTTTGTTTTATCAAATTTTGCTTGAAATACGTAGACATGCACCAGAACCTGGATATCTTTTAGCTATTTGATTGTTCTGGTAATGAGGTTTGACCAGAAAAGAACTCACTAGGCCATATTTAAAAATCACAGATGTTACGGAATCATGGTGTGGAGAAAAGAAAGCAAATAAACTATTTTCTAAAAGAATTTTAGGCCGGGATCAGTGGCTCATGCCTGTAATCCCAGCACTTTGGGAGGCTGAGGTGGGCAGATCGCCTGAGTTCCGGAGTTGGTGACCAGCCTGGCCAACATGGTGAAACCCCGTCTCTACTAAAATTACAAAAATTAACTGGGCGTGGTGGTGCAAACCTGTAATCCCAGCTACTCGGGAGGCTGAGGCAGGAGAATCCCGAGAGGCGGAGGTTGCAGTGAGCTGAGATCGAGCTATTGCACTCCAGCCTAGGTGACAAGAGCTAGACTTCATCTCAAAAAAAAAAAAAAAAAAAAAAAAAAAAAAGGATTTTAACAATCACAGATCCGAGAAGGCACTTAAAATTATGTCAGGTCCATCACATTGCCTAAATGGTGCTCTCATCTTTTAGAAACTTTATCAGAAAAACTAACAAGTTGGACTTCATCAAAACTAAGAATTTCTGCTCTTCAAAAGACTATGAAGAGAATGAAAAAATAAGACACAGCCTGAAATATTTGCATAGCATACTGTATCTGATAGAGGACTTGTATTCAGAATATACAAAACACTTGTAAAAATAAACAACCCAGTTTTTAAAATGGGCAAAAGATTTGAACAGGCACTTCATATATATATATACACACACATATATATATACACACACATATATATACACACACACACACAAAATATACACAAATGTATACAAATATACACACACACACAAATGGCAAATAAGCATAGGAAAATATGGTCATCATCTGTAATCATTAGAAAAATTCAAATTAAAACCCAATGTGCTACTACTACACATCTATTAGAATGTCCAAAATTAAAAAGAGTAACAATATCAACTGTTGATGAGGAGGTAAATTGGAAGCCTCATACACTGCCGGTGAGAATATAAAATAGTACAACCCCTTTGGAAAGCAGTTTGGCCATTTCTTTAAAAATTTAATATATTCTGGGCCAGGTGCAGTGGCTTATGCCCATAGTCCCAGCACTTTTGGAGGCAGAGGCAGGTGAATCACTTGAGGCCAGGAGTTTGAGACCAGCCTGGCCAACACGGCAAAACCCCATCTCTACAAAAATTACAAAAATTAGCCGGGCGTGGTGGTGCATGCCTGTAGTCCCAGCTACTTGGGAGGCTGAAACACAAGAATGGCTTGAACCTGGGAGGCGGACGTTGCAGTCAGCCAAGATTGTGCCACTACACTTCAGCCTAGGTGACAGAGTGAGACCCTGTCTCTGGAAAAAAATAATAATTATTATATATTCCTACCACATGATCCAGCCACTCATTCCTGGGTATTTACTCCAGAGATCTGAAAGTGTATGTCCATACAGAGACTTGTACATGAATGTTTATATTAACTTTACTTACAATAATCAAAAACCCAAACAACACAATGCCTATTAACAGATGAACAGACAAATTGTGGTATAGCCATAACCCTACATTGACACATCATTATGGTGTAGAAGTGTATACATATGTCAAAACTTTTCAAATTGTATACTTTAACCACGTGCAATTCATTATATGGCATTTGTATTCCACAAATGGAATATTATTCAGCAATAAAAAGAATAAACTATTGATAAGTACAACAACATTTTCTAAAAGAAGTCAGACAAAAAAAGAGTACAGAATGTATATTTCATTTATATAAAACTCTAGAAAACATCACTAATCTTTAGTAACAGAAAGCCAATCAGTAGTCCCCTGGGGATGGGGAAAAGTGAGTGTGGGAAGGACTGGCCCTGGAGAGAAATGATTACAAAGGGTCAGAAGGAAACTTTTGGGGTTGATAATTCTGATTGTGGTGATGCACTTTTTTTTGTAAATCTTTTTTTAAATAGACTTTCTTTTTAGAACAATTTTGTGTTCACAGCAAAATTGAGAGGAAGGTAGAGAGATTTCCCACACCACCAGCACACACACATGCATATCCTGCCGGACTATTAATCTCCCCCCACCAGAGCGGTGCGTTGCTTACAACTGATAACCCTACGTGGACACGTCATTATGGTGATGGACTTTTTACAAGTGTATACATATGTCAAAGCTTCTCCAATTGTATACTTTAACCATGTGCAATTCATTATATGGCAATTACGCCTCAATAAAGCTGGTTTTAAGAAGAAAAATTATCAGAGGGCTTACACTATTTCAATTGGAGAATGGGCTTCACTGTGTTTTCCTTAGTATTCAGCCTCTTTTACCTAATGTCTAATTTACTATGCACCACAAATAGAAATAAACTCATTGCATATTTTTCTCTTCTTTATATTTCTGGTATTGCCCTCAGCAGTTAGTAACTACAGTTCTAGAAATCTGTTTCCACCCTCATAATACATCTCAGCAGCTGCCAGTGGATGGAGGCTACCCAAGCCCCATGGCAACTGTTCAAACAGCTGAGGGAAGCTTTAGGGTGGAGAGTGGCGCCAGGCCAGAGCCAGTGAGAGCCGCAGGCAGGTAGAGTGGCACGCACCTGCCACAGGACACCTGGCTGACACACAGCCCTGGGTACAGGAAGGGAGGACTTAACACACACAAAAACTCATCTTTGATGGCAGTTCAGCTCCTTCTCTCTCCTGTCCTATTGACCTCTTAGACTTTGTAATCTTTCAGGAGCCAGTTGTATTTATCTGTCTGCCATGGCTGAGACTTGCTCATAGACAAGGGCTGGTTAGCAAGCCTGTCCCTTTGTTCCTAAGAGGCAGAGAAAGAATCTTTGACCCTGATTTCTAAGCACAGTAAACAAAGGCCTTCTTGGCTGCCAGTAAGCTCAAAGTGTTCATTAAGCAAGAAGTTTTCTGGCCAGTGGTTGAAATGACATCATGCTTCCTCCTGGAATCCAACTAGAGATAAAAATCAGGTCATTCAATTTACAAAGAGAGAATGCTCCCTTCTGCTGCCAGCATTCAGGGGCTGCTGGCTTTCAAAGAGATCAAGGGCAAGAAGAGCCTATTTGAACCCAGGCTTTGAGATGGTCTCTGAAACTACCTCCACTTAATTCCTCATAATATGCAAAGAAATTCCACCCCAAATGTCCTCACGTCAGAGAGCAGCTTATCTTTGCTGATTTTTCAAACTGAGTGTTTAACCAGATGTGGCAGTGAGGAGGTAGGTCTTATTAGCTGATAATGGAATAGTCTTTCAGGCCCTCTAAATACAAGAGGATGGAAGAAATGGATTATCTTCATCTTTTGACACCATTGATCAAAATTTGAAGTGGGGAAGAAAAAAGTATTGTGGTCTTAAAGATGTCCATTGAGATTCTTTTCAGAAAAAAAAAAAAGTACATTTTTCAGAGGACAGTGATCTATGTCCTGTGTCTGTCTTTCTTTTTCTTTCTTTCTTTCTTTCTCTTCTTTCTTTTTCTTTCCTTTTTAAGACCACTGTAGGGCTAGTTAAAACAACCAATAATCAGCAATTTTTTAAATATCCAAATGAGGCCGGGCACGGTGGCTCACACCTATAATCCCAGCACTTTGGGAGGCCAGGGCGAGTGGATCACTTGAGGTCAGGAGTTTGAGACAAGTCTGGCCAACATGGCGAAACCTGCCTCTACTGAAAATAAAAAAATTAGCCCGGCGTGGTGATAGGCGCTTGTAAACGCAGCTACTCCGGAGGCTGAGGCAGGACAATCATTTGAACCCGGGAAGCGGAGTTTGCAGTGAGCCGGCGGAGATCACGCCACTGCACTCCAGCCTGGGCAACAAGAATGAAACTCTGCCTCAAAAAAACAAACAAACAAACAAACAAAAAAAAACAAATGAATCGGCCGGGCACGGTGGCTCACGCCTGTAATCCTAGCACTTTGGAAAGCCGAGGCAGGTGGATCACCTGAGATCAGGAGTTCGAGACCAGCCTGGCCAACATGGTGAAACCCCATCTCTATTAAAAATACAATAATTAACTGGATATGGTGGTGGGCGCCTGTAATCCCAGCTCTCGGGAGGCTGAGACAGGAGAATCACTCGTAACCGGGGGGCGGAGGTTGCAGTGAGCCAAGATCACACCACTTAACTCCAGCCTGGGCAAAAGATCAAGGCTCTGTCCCATCTCCCCCACCCCCACCCCGCCAAAAAAAAGATTCTAGTGTAACAGATGTTTTCCTAAAGATTCTTTCCCAGTAAGGAAAATCTGGACATCTGTAACCAGTTTCCAGATCCAGAATTTCCAAATAATTTCATCAAAATACTAGATACACTTAATAAAAACTAAAACAGAAAACAAAACTCCTACATGATAGAGAAACTTTGTTTTGATAATTTATGTTACATGTTTTATTCAATATCAAAATGTGCTGCATTTATAATTTTTAAAGTGTCTTTAAAACGTATTTTGTTGTTCCAAACAAGTGAAATGTTTCAAAACATATACAAACACACACACATTTCACAACTTACTGATCTGCCACTAAGAACGTCACATTCATTAGCCCACAGATTACTTATAAGCCACCATAAAAGTATCCTGTTGGCCGGGCACGGTGGCTCACGCCTGTAAACCCAGCATTTTGGGAGGCCGAGGCGGGCGGATCACCAGAGGTCGCGAATTTAAGATCGGCCTGGCTAACATGGTGAAACCCCATCTCTACTAAATATACAAAATTAGCTAGGCGTGGTGGTGCGCGCCTGTAATCCCAGCCTCAGAGACTGAGGCAGGAGAATCACTTGAACCGGGAAGGCAGAGATTACGGTGAGCGGGGATCGTGCCACTGCACTCCAGCCTGGGCAAAAGAGTGAGACTCAGTCTCCAAAAAAAAAGTCTCCTGTTGCTCCAAAAATGATTCCAAACTTGGAAATAAGTAAAAAAGATAACTGGGTGACCTTTGATCATGCTAAGCCCCATCTAATGTGAGTAGGGTCTAACATTGTTTGACTTACTAGTACTAATTAATCAGTGACCCAGACCCATTCTAGTCTATAAAATTAGAGTTCATCTCTGTAGAGTTCATCTCTGTAAGTTATAATGATATTTGTTCCTCTAAGTAATAACATAACTCAAAGGTTATGATGTAATTCCCCTGTAGGACATTAAGCAGTTTTACATCTAATATAGCAGTCTTATTTCAGCATTCCTTTTTTCACTGACTATACACATTGAATCAGCTTTCTTATCCTGCCAGTTCCCTCATAAATGAATTGAATAAAGCCTTGACACATGCATCTATTTGTATGAGAATTATCTTTATAGCAGTTTGGAAATTATGCCTTGATACTCTATCAGCATGTAACAGAATATGAAATAGCAGAATGATCCCATTTTAAACAAATGAGTCTGTCTTAGTTTGGTTTCCCAAGAAGTAAACCCTAGGACATAGATTTGAGTAGAATAGCTTATTTTAGAGGTGCAGGGACTACTAGAAGGGAAGTAAGGAAATGACAGAGGGAATAGCAGGCAGCCACCAAAGGGTGGTCATTAAGCCTGCTACCATCCTGGGCAGCGATGCAGCTCAATCCACAGGGAAACTGCAAGACAGAGTAGAAAATATGTGTGTCAGAATTATCCCACTCAAAACTGGGGGAGCTGGGATATTTATACACCAATTCCTATAAGTATTAATTGAAGACTGCTCCTGGGTAGTATCAATTCCCCAGCACTTCCTGCCACCTACATGGCAACTTTTCTCAGTGCTGGAGAAAGTTCTTGTGCATGAAGAGACAGACATAAGCCACGGGAAATCTTGGCATTTTCTGAAATGGTAGCATCCAAGGGATATAGACAGGATACTCAAGACCTTTTTAAAAAAACAAACAAAATAAAACATTTGCATTTAGTGGGAAATAATGTTATACTCAAGGTCACAGAACCCAAGTTCAATGCATCAACTTCCTCATGAAACAAAATAACTCTTTTTTTTTTTTGATGGAATTTCGCTCTTGTTGCCCAGGCTGGAGTGCAATGGCATAATCTCGGCTCACTGCAACCTTCACCTCCCAGTTGCAAGCGATTCTCCTGCCTCAACCTCCCGAGTAGCTGGGATTACAGGCATGCACTACCACGCCCGGCTAATTTTTGTATTTTTAATATAGACAGGGTTTCTCCAAGTTGGTCAGGCTGGTCTCAAACTCCCGACCTCAGGTGATCCATCTGCCTCAGCCTCCCAAAGTGCTGGGATTACAGGCATGAGTCACCACGCCCAGCCTAGGAACTCTTTTTTAACTCTTTTTTCTATGATAAAATATCCAGATTTGATTCTTCATCAAAGGACCTTTCCTCACAATTAGTCAACTGCAAAGTACTCAGAGCACAAGGCAGCTGCTTTTCTAAAAGAAATCTCTATTTCCAGACACTTGAGGGGTCTTGAGTAGTACATTTGCCATCAGAAGTAAATGTATTAACTATATAAGATGGTAAATGATCTTTTTGCAACATGAATGGAAATTATTGGTCAAATATTTCATTGTGTCTTCTTTAAGGTACATTTAGAACTTTTTATAATTAAATAGAAGCCTTTACAAAGTATTGGCCTAAATCCTAAATTATTTTCAAAAGTATTGATTTAACATGGTTTAAAAAAAAAAAATGGCCTGGCACGGTGACTCACACCTCTAATCCCAGCACCTTGGGAGGCCGAGGCAGGTGGACCACCTGAGGTCAGGAATTCGAGACCAGCCTGGCCAACATGGTAAAACCCCATCTCTACTAAAAATACAAAAAACTAGCCAGGCGTGGTGGCAGGCTCCTGTAATCCCAGCTACTCAGAGGGCAGAGGCAGGAGAATTGCTTGAACCCAGGAGGCGGAGGTTGCAGTGAGCCTAGATCACACCATCGCACTCTAGCCTGGGGGACAAGAGCGAGACTTCATCTCAAAAATATATATATATTATATATATATAAAATATATATATAATATATATAAAATATAATATATATAATATATAATATATATAATATATTATATATAAAATATATAATATATAATATATATAATAAAATATACATAATATATAATGTATAATAAAATATACATAATATATAATATATAATAAATATATAATATATAATATATAATAAAATATATAATATATAATATATAATAAAATATATAATATATTATATATAATAAAATATATAATATATTATATATAATAAAATATATAATATATTATATATAATAAAATATATAATATATTATATATAATAAAATATATAATATATTATATATAATAAAATATATAATATATTATATATAATAAAATATATAATATATAATATATAATAATATATATAATATATAATATATATAATAAAATATATATAATATATAATATATATAATAAAATATATAATATATAATATATATAATAAAATATATATGATATATAATATATATAATAAAATATATGATATATAATATATATAATAAAATATATAATATATAATATAATATATAATATATATACTAAAAAATATATAATATATAATAAAAAATATATAATATATAATATATATAATATATAATAAAATATATATAATATATGATATGTATAATAAATATATAATATATATAATAAAATATATATATATTTTTTTTCACCTTACAAGAGGATTTCTTGGCCTGGTACCATGGCTCACACCTATAATCCCAGCACTTTGGGAGGCCGAGGCGGGCAGATCACGAGGTCAAGAGATTGAGACCATCTTGGCCAACATGGTGAAAACCCGTCTCTACTAAAAATACAAAAATTAGCTGGGCGTGGTGGTGGGCGCCTGTAATCCCAGCTACTCGGGATGCTGAGGCAGGAGAATTGCTTGAACCTGGGAGGCGGAGGTTGCAATGAGCCAAGATCGCGCCACTGCACTCCGGCCTGGCGACAGAGCAAGACTCTGTCCCAAAAAAACAAAAAACAAAAATTAGCTAGGCATGGTGGCGGATGCCTGTAATCTCAGCTACTCGAGAGGCTGAGGCAGGAGAATTGCTTGAACCCAGGAGGCGGAGATCGTGCCACTGCACTCCAGCCTGGGCAACAGAGCGAGATTTCATCTAAAAAAAAAAAAGGAGGACTTCTAGATACCCAAAAAAAAAAAAGGAAGGAAGACTATGAGGCAGGAGAATTGCTTGAACTCAGTGACTCGAGATTGTGCCACTGCACTCCAGCCTGGGCAACAGAGCAAGATTCCATCTCAAAAAAAAAAAAAAAAAAGGAGGACTTCTAGATACCAAAAAAGAAGGAAGACTATGGACCACACCATCAGATTTATAAAAGAGAAACTTCCATGTTCCTGGGTTGCTAAAAAGCCCCATTGTGAGCCTGGGGGAACTTTATGAATGGTCCAGCTCAGCTGTGCTGCTCTGAGGCCTCTGAAGATCCACACTGAGGCCACACCGGCATGGTACTATGTCCTGTGCACTCAGAGAGTGAGCAAAAATACCTCCCCTCAAGTGACATGGGCACAAAATTAAAACTACTTCAACTCAAATTCTTGCTCAGGATGTTCTCTATTTGTTTCCTGAACACCAGATTATCTGGGTCAAAAACCAAGCCTCCAGCCTATAACTAGAAAATGAGGGTTCCTCAGAGTTCTACCCAAATCACAAGGGCATGATCTCCCACGCCACCTTCTTTGCATTGCTACATGCACATATGCAAACACATACACTGCAACCAGAACTCAGGATTTCCCCTTAAGTCCCCTTCCTCTCTCCCCAGGTATTTCTGAAATGGGAACTCCATGTAGGCCCATGCAACACTGTCAGCTGCAGGTGCCCACAGCAGCTACCCTGTTCTTCTGCCTGGCTCCCACACCATTTTCTGTGAGTAGCTGTCATCAGCCTCACCCCCTCCCAAGTTTCACAGAGAATCACTAGAAAATAATTCCTTTAGTTTCTTCTAACCAAAGAGACCAAGATGGGAAGGAGATCTATACCATCTATACCATTCAGCACTCCTCCTCCCGCTTCTTCTCCTTCTGCTCCTTTTTTTTCTCCCCCACCTCCTCTCTTTCTTTCTCCTGCTCCTCTCAACCTGGCCCTCAACCATAACTCTTCTCTCCTTCCTGAGTTACAGAGCTGAAGTTTCCTGGCACATCGAGGGATGCAAAGAGTTACAAATGGCAGTGGGAGAAAGAGCCTTTAATACATCTTTCAGCGGTGCTGACCTGCAGCCAGAATTTACCAGCCCTTCCTCTGTTCTAGTGCCATTGATCACCAAAGCAACAAGAAATATCTGAACTAGAGGGAGCCACTCCAGTTTATCTGATTTCTAAGTTGCTATCACTCAACAAAAATCCTAATATAAATCAGGCACTGTGTAATGTGGGTGTCCTAAGATCAACATAACTTTTTTCTTCTTATTATTATTACTACCTTAGTTCAGACCACCAACACCCCCTCTCACCTAAATTACCTCGATGCCTCCATTTTCCCCAACCCCAACATATTCTCATATGGTTCCCAGAATAATTTGTCCAACAAAACATTTGATGGTGTCAATGTTGTAAAGAAAAGCGAGTTATCTTTTAAAATCTTTAATACATTCCCTCAGAACTCACAGCAAAGTCCTAACATGGTAAAGCTTAAAAGACCCTTTGTGATCTACCTTCTGCTCATTTTTCCAGGCTCATCTCTTGTCCCTGGCCTCCCTGGAGATGTCCAGAGATGCCCCCTTCTCTCTACTCATGCTTCTCACAATTACAGGAATATGCTCTTCTCATCCCTTCATCTGTTAATTCTCATTAGTCTTCAAAGTCTTAGCCTAGGCATGAATTCCTGTAGGAAGCGTCCTCTGACTCAAGGCTGGGTTAGAGTCCCTCCTGGAGTTGACACCTTTGGAAGTATCTAATTAGCCCATGAGCCACACCTCCTTCTTTAAGAACTGAGCCTCACTTGCCCACTCCCCCAATTTACAGTCACTGGCCCCAGAGCCATGTTTTTACTATGACCTTGCCAATTAGACAAGGGTTAAACCCTTCATTGAAGGGGGACAAATTAGATTCCCCTCCCCAAGAATTTGGCATAGGGGCAGGCCATCCAGCCTCCTGGTCAGGCTTCAACATGTAAACCCAGGAATGAGCTGTGGGATGGTCATATCCCTCTGTGGGGACAAAGAAGCATGAGGCCAGGCTGCAGAGAAAAATGCAGCCCACCAGCAGAGAAAGACTACTTCTGGGGCTCCCAGTGGCTCTCCAGTTCCTGGTTCTATAATAGTCCTATTTGACATACTGCTACATTTTTATTTTTTTAACTCCTCTCTTTTGTTTAAGAGAGCTCAGTTGTTTTTTGTTTCTCTAAGCCAAAGTCTTAACTAATACATCCTTCTTGTGCTCATTTACCACATGCTTCAATGGCCTGTTCACTAGTTTGTATCTTTCATTGAAAGTTGTAACCTCCTTAAGGACAAAGATTATGTTTTATTCGTTATTGTTGTATCTCAAACACAGTGTTTGATACATCATAGGTATTCAAAAATTGTTTATTGAATCAAGGTCATAGTGAATACTTATTGCATACTGATTATGTACCAGGCACTATTGTATTCACTCATTCAATTCTCACAAGAAGAAAAAGTAATTACTGTTTTGTTTTGTTTTGCTGATGGACTCTCGCTCTATCACCCAGGCTGGAGTGCAGTGGCGCCATCTTGGCTCACTGAAACCTCCGCCTCCCGGGTTCAAGCAATTCTCTGCCTCAGCCTCCTGAGTAGCTGGGATTACAGGCATGTGCCACCACGCCCAGCTAATTTTTGTATTTTTAGTAGAGACAAGGTTTCACCATCCTGGCCAGGCTTGTCTTGAACTCCTGACCTCGTGATCCACCTGCCTCGGCCTCCCAAAGTGCTAGGATTACAGGCATGAGCCGCAGTGCCCAGCGCTAATTACTGTCTTTTTATACCTACTTTACAGATCAGAAAATTAAGGTGCAGAAAAGTTACTAGCCCAAGACCACAAAACTAGCAAATGGAATTTAAGTCTATGCAATTTAAGTGGGATTTAAGACAAGCTGGGAATTAAGTCTATGCAATCTGACTCCAGAGACCATGCTCTTAAGGAGGCCTCGCCCTGCTTAACAGAAATAAGAGAGAAGGGATGCAGGACACAGTGCCTTTCCCAGAGTAGCTTATAGCATTCTTTTCTATCTTTCCTATGGTTTTCATGGTTTCGTGACACCCATTTGGTACTGTATCTTATGCAGTCATGTTGTGTCTAGAATTGGTGGGTTCTTGGTCTCGCTGACTTCAAGAATGAAGCCGTGGATCCTCACAGTGAGTGTTACAGTTCTTAAAGATGGTGTGTCCGGAGTTTTTTCATTCTGGTGGGTTTGTGGTCTCACTGACTTCAGGACTGAATCTGCAGATCTTCACGGTGAGTGTTACAGCCCTTAAAGGTGGCCCGTCTGGAGTTGTTTGTTCCTCCTGGTGGGTTCATGGTCTTGCTGGCTTCAGGAGTGAAGCTGCAGACCTTCACAGTGAGTGTTACAGCTCATAAAGTTAGTGTGGACCCAAAGAGTGAGCAGCAGCAAGATTTATTGCAAAGAGTGAAAGAACAAAACTTACACAGCGTGGAAGGGGACCCGAGTGGGTTGCCGCTGCTGGCTAGGGTGGCCTGCTCCTTTATTTGGCCCCACCTACATCCCTACACCCTGCTGATTGGTCCATTTTACAGAGAGCTGATTGGTCTGTTTTGACAGAGTGCTGATTGGTGCATTTACAAACCTTTAGCTAGACACAGAGTGCTGATTGGTGCATTTACAAACCTTTAGCTAGACACAAAAGTTCTCCAAGTCCCCACCCAACTAGCTAGACACAGAGTGCTGATTGGTGTGTTTACAATCCTTTAGCTAGACAGAAAAGTTCTCCAAGTCCCCACTTGACCCAGAAGCCCAGCCAGCTTCACCTCTTAATCCCCCCCTAAACAGGACACCCCAACTGCTGTTGGGAATTTGGCTGATGACCGCTCTAGCTACTTCCTGCTGGATAGGGGTGAAGAAGGGGCCCTGCAGTTGTAGTGTCCTCCAGAGGGGAACTCTTTAAGCCAGTGGAAGGGCCAGTGGGTTGGTCCAGGGGTCCTCAGTAGAAGTTGTTAGTTGAACTCATTTGGGGTTCCATTTGTAAGACCATCTGTAGCTTGATGGCCTTAATTCTAGGGGAAACAAATTTGACAAGGAGGTTAAAAACACAGGGCCTGAAGGCAAGTAATAGCAAGATGGCTACCACGGGACCTAGAAAGGGGAGAAGCCATGTTGCCCAACTCCAGAGGTTGGTATAAGAATTGTGAAAGGTGTTTTCTGATTTCAGAAGCCTTTTCCTGTAATTGCTGGGCAGCATCTCATACTATCCCTGACTGGTTAATGTAAAAAGAACACTCTTCCCCTAAGAAGGTTCAGAGTCCTCCTTTCTCAGCAGTGAGGAGGTCTAGGCCTCAATGGTTTTGGAGAGTCACTGCTGCCAAAGAATCTATTTGGGATTGTAGAGTAAGGATAGATTTCATTATTTCTTGCAAACTGTCTGAGAAAGCCTTTGAGAGTGTGTGGTAGTAAGATAATGCATGTTACACTGTTAACTTTTAGCAAACTCTACTTTAGTAGAAAACCTTGTAAGTTTGGAATTTTAATTTTTCTTTGCTATTAATAAAACCTCATTCAGTCCATATTAACTTAGAATTGGTATAGATGTCTCCTTCCTGATTCTGTAAGTACTTTAAGATTTGGTTTAGTGCAAACAACTCACACATTTGAGCAGACCAATTATTAGGCAATTTTCCTAACTCTGCTTCTACAAGAGTTTCCTTAACATTTACTGAATACCCATTGTGTCTTTTTTCCTTAATCGCCCAGGAGGAACCATCTATCCTCCTGTCCTAAAGGGAGTTCCTCCTCTGTCTGGTCGGACCTTCAGATTTAGATCCCCTGTTAGGAAACCTGCTGGGTTAAGGATTTTTGATAGGAAGGCTACGGGTTGTCAGTGGCCTCAGTGCTTTCGGGCTACCCCCTTGTTTACACTAACAAGGTGGTATTGGAGTGTTATAGGGTCACAGAGAAGACCTTCAATTATCAATTATAGGTTTTAAATTTACCCTGGCTTTTAAAGGAATACGGTATACTGTTTTTTCTTTACTACTTCCATCTCCCTTTCTTTCTCTTTGACTTATTCATCTTTCACTTTCTCACTCCCTCTTTGTCTGTCTTTTCCTCTCTTTCTTTGACTTTCTATGTCTTTCTCTCGCGTTCTCTGTCTCTCTCTTTGACTCCTTCTCTTTGTCTCTCTGTTTCTTCCTCTCTTTTTTCTCTGTCTCTTTCTCTCTTTCCTTTCTGCTGGTCTTTCCCTGACTCTGCTAGCTGCTTATGCTGCTGTTCTCCCTTCTCCTTCCCCTTTTTGATGGCTTTGGCAGTGTAAGACTGCCAAATCCTTGGGTTTTTGCACTGTGTGCAATAACTCTGTGATTTCCTTGTGGTATTTAATGGGGGTCCTCCAGAGGTTAGGAACTCCCTTTCTTTCCATATTGCAGCATGGGCATCTAGGATTAGATAAGCATACTTGCTATCTGTATACACATTTATTCTTCTTCCATTTCCCAGTTCTAAGGCTCAGGTAAGTGCCACTAGTTCTGCTAACTGGATGCTGGTCCCTGGGGGAAGAGGCTTACTTTCAAGTATGTTTACATCACTAACTATGGCATAACCTGCCCTTCGTATCCCATTCTCCACAAATGAACTTCCATCAGTATATAGGTTAAGGTCAGGATTAGCTAAGGGGACTTCTAAGAGATCATCTCAGGTGGCATAAATCTGCACTATAATTTGTTGGCAGTCATGCTCGACTGGTTCCCCATCCTCTGGGAGAAAAGTGGCAGGGTTGAGGGCCATGCATGTATGTATTTGAAGCACTGGTCCCTCAAGGAGTAGTGCCTGGTATCTAAGTAGGCAGTTGTCTGATAGGCATAAACTTCCTTTGGCACCTAGTATGCCATTTACATCATGAGTAGTCCAGACAGTGTGATCCTTTCCTTGTATTATTTTGATAGCCTCTGACACTAAGACAGCCACCGCTGCAACTACCCTTAAACAGTGAGGTTAGCCTTTTACTACTACATCAGTTTCCTTACTTAGGTATGCCACTGGTTGTGGGGTTGTCCCACGAGTCTGAGTAAGGACCCCAAGAGCTATTCCTCCTCTCTCTGTGACATATAAAGAGTTTTTTCCTGTGGGAAGACTTAAAGCTGGAGCTTGTACTAGGGCCTGCTTTAAGGTTTTGAAGGCTGTTTCTGCCACTGGTTCCCATTCTACTAGATGAGTATTTGCTCTCTGGGTCTCCTTGATTAGAGTATAGAGGGGCCTGGCTATCTCGCTGTATCCAGGGATCCATAGTCAGCAAAAGCCAGTGATTCCAAGGAACCCCCACAACTGTTTTAATGTCTTAGGGTGAGGATAAGCCAGTATAGGCTGTATTTGTTCCTTGCTAAGGGCCCTGGTTCCTCTGGCTAAGATTAGGCCTAGAAATTTGACCTGCTGTGGGCAAAGCTGGGCCTTCAACCTAGATGCCTTTTACCCTTGATTAGCTAGAAAGTTCAAGAGTAGCCTGCTGGCATGAGGCTTCCCAACTGGTAGCCAAAAGTAAATCATCCATATACTGAAGGACCAGAGTGCCTGGACTTGAGAAGTGGCCTAGATCTTGGGCCAGTGCCTCACCAAACAGATGAGGGCTATCCCTAAACCCTTGGGGCAAGACCATCCACATAAGTTGGGACATGTGGTCTGTGGGATCCTCAAAGGCAAAGAGAAACTGGGAGCCAGAGTGCAGGGGAATACAGAAGAAGGCATCCTTGAGGTCCAGAACCATAAACCATTCTGCTTCCTCTGGTATTTGAGAGAGCAGGGTATAGGGGTTTGCTACAACTAGATATACAGGAATTACTGCCTCATTGATGAGTCTAAGATCTTGCACTAATCTCCACTGACCATTTGGTTTTTGTACTCCTAGAACTGGGGTGTTGCAGGGACTGCTGCATTTCCTTACTAAGCCTTGAGGTTTTAAATGTTTTACAATATCCTGTAATGCTTTATGAGCTTCAAGCCTTAAGGGATATTGCCTTTGATAAGGAAAAGTGGTGGGGTCTTTTAGCCTGATTTGGACTGGGCGGGCATTTTTTGCCCTTCCAAATTGTCTTTCCAATGCCCACACTTCAGGGTTGATTCCCTCCTCAAGTAGGGGACAACAAATGGGTAACTTGTTCCCCATATTCATGTAGATAATAGCTCCAGCTTTGGCTAATATATCCCTCCCTAATAAGGGTGTGGGACTTTGAGGCATAACAAGAAAGGCATGTGAAAAGAGCAAAGTCTCCCAATTACAACTGAGGAGGTGGAAGAAATACCTGGTTACAGGCTGTCCCAGGATTCCTCGGATGGTAATGGACCTTGAAGACAGTCATCCAGGACAGGAGATTAATACTGAGAAGGCTATGCCAGTGTCCAGGAGGAAGTCAATTTCTTGGTCCTCAGTGGTTAAACGTACCCAGGGCTCAGCGAGGGTGATGATATGGGCTGGTGCTTGCCCCGCACACACTCAGTCCTGTTGTTGGATCATCTGGTTGGGGGCTTCTGACCCAGAGAACCTTTGCACTCTGGGGCAGTGTGCCTTCCAGTGATTGCATCAGCATAGTGGACATGGACGAGGGGGCAGCTTGTTTCTCATTGCACAATCTTTTTTAAAGTGTCCTTGTAAACCACACTGATAACAAGCCCTACTGGGTGATTGGCCTGCTCCATATTCTGTCCTCTCTGAACCACCAAGGTTTGTTTGTCTGAGGGCCCTGACTAAGGCTGCAGCCTTTCTCTGATCTCGCTTTTCCTTTTGGGCCTGTTCCTCTTGGTCCCTGTTATAGAACACCAAGGTTGCCAGGTTTAATAATTCCTGCAGATTTTGTTCAGGGCCCAGGGCTTGCTTTTGGAGCTGTCTCCTGATATCTGCAGCTGACTGGGTAATAAACTTATCTTTTAGAATCAATTGACCCTCGAGTGATTCGGGTGACAGGGGAGTATATTTTCTTAAGGCCTCTCTTAGCCGCTCGAGGAAGGCAGAAGGCTTTTCTTCTTGTCCCTGAGTTATAGTGGACATCATTGAATAATTCATGGGCTTTTTCCTAATTCCCTTTAGTCCTTCAAGAACACAGGTCAACAGATGTTTATGACTCCAGTCCCCATGATCTGAGTCAAAGTCCCAGTGGGGATCCATAGTGGGGATGGCTTGCTGACCAGTAAGGAATTTGTCCCTTTCTTTGGCTGTCATTCTATCATTTACTTGACTAAGATACCAGGTATCTCCAAACTCTCGGGCTGCAGCTAAAGCTGCATTCTTTTCAATAAAGGCTAGGGTTTGATCTAACAATAGCATGACATCTCTCCAAGCGAGATCGAATGTTTGCCCTAGACCCTGTAGGACATCTTTGTACCTATCAGGATCATCTGAAAACTTCCCCAGGTCTGCCTTGATCTGCTTTAAATCAGAGAGGGAGAAGGGGACATGGAGAACTTTTGTGTCTAGCTAAAGGATTGTAAATGCACCAATTAGCACTCTGTCAAAATGGACCAATCAGCTCTCTGTAAAAGGGACCCCCCCAATCAGCTCTCTGTAAAATGGGCCAATCAGCTCTCTGTAAAATGGACCAATCAGCAGGATGTAGGTGGGGCCAAATAAGGGAATAAAAGCAGGCCACCTGAGCCAGCAGTGGCAACCCACTCGGGTCCTGTTCCATGCTGTGGAAGCTTTGTTCTTTCGCTCTTCACAATAAATCTTGCTGCTGCTCACTCTTTGGGTCCACACTACCTTTATGAGCTGTAACATTCACCGTGAAGGTCTGCAGCTTCACTCCTGAAGCCAGCAAGACCATGAACCCACTGGGAGGAACGAACAACTCTGGAAGTGCCACCTTTATGAGCTGTAACACTCACCGTGAAGGTCTGCAGCTTCACTCCTGAAGTCAGCGAGACCACGAACCCAACAGAAGGAAGAAACTCTGGACACATCCGTACATCAGAAGGAACAAACTCTGGACACACCATCTTTAAGAACTGTAACACTCACCACAAGAGTCCGCGGCTTCATTCTTGAAGTCAGTGAGACCAAGAACCCACCAATTCTGGACACATTTTGGCGACCACAAAGGGACCATCGCTTATCACCAAGTGGTGAGACTATCACCTATCACCTATCACCAAGCGGTGAGTACCATTGAACCCCTTTCGCTTGCTATTCTGTCCTATTTTTCCGTAGAATTTGGGGGCTAAATACCGGGCACCTGTCAGCCAGTTAAAAGCAACTAGCATGGCTGCCAGACTAAAGACACAGGTGTCAGGCTCTCTGGCAAAGGGCTCTCAAACAACCCCCAACTACTTCCCTCAGGTGGCCATTTTTCCCCATCAAAGAGAGAATATTGGGGCCAGGCCATAGTGCAGAAAAAAGTGAGCTGCCTCTTTTTCAGGGTTTGTGGGTCAAATTGGTCCCAATGTCTTACAATGCATTTCAAGGGGGAGCCCGTTGATGCCTGAGTGTTTCCCACCTGAAAGACAAAACCACCCACGGTTTTGGTTTGTTTTGTTTCTCCCCCTGCCCAAGAACCCACAACGGGTCCCTGGACCCTGCTGATTAGAATAGTTGCACTCACCGATGCAGTAGCAGAAACAACCCCTGCCCAAGAACCCACAACGGTCCCTGGACCCTGCTGATCAGAATAGTTGTGCTCACTGATGCAGCAACAGAAACATTAATTTTCCTCCCAGACCACAAGGAAGACTGAGGAAGGTCAGATTTTGTGGCTCTTACCAATGCATTCTCAAAAACCTGCACCCTTTCCTGTCCTCCTAGATCACAAAGAGGACTGAGAAAAATCAGATTTAGTGGCCCTTACTGATGCATTCTTGAAAACCTGTTAGAGTCCTAAGCATTCTCCTGTTAGTATTGGGACCTTACCCATGTCCTATAAAGATGTTATGCCCCAAAAATGAAATGCAGGGCCATACCCTGAGGGAAGGAAGGGCTCTCCAGAGTTGGAAGAGTGATGCCTTTTGTCCCCACTTGTATGAATAGGAAGGATACAATTTCTGAGGCTCCCCATATCCTAGCTTCAGGAATAGCTTTTGTTAGGCCTGCTAGTCTGAGGAGGGATCCTAAAATTCCAGATAGTCCCCCCTATGATGGGGCTTTGGGCAAAAATTATGTCTTTCTGATTGGTGAGCCCGGGTGCCCAAAGAAGGTAACAGAATCCTGGAGTTTATACTAGAAATCATTCTTATAGGAGAAACTAGAAAAGCCCAAGAGACAGGGAGTGGTTTTTTAGAAGCGGGACTAGCTTCGGAGAAGAGAGGTGAGACGAAGTTTGTCTGGCAGGCGTTAGGACCCAGGCAGCAAGGGTCAGGATAGATAGGAGAGATGGGTGAGTCTCGCTTGGGCAACATGCCTTTGAGAGTTCCACTCATGGCCACAGGGCCAACCAACTTGTTGGGACCCCGGAGCTGAATGGCTTTCCTCTCTGTCAACCCTCAGCTCAGCCCAGAAGTACAGGAAAAGCAGAAGCTGGTTCCAGGCAAACCAACACTCCCAACTCCGAAGAGTCGGGGATTGTTAGAGAGCCCTTTGCCAGAAAGCCTGACAACCATGACTTTAGTCCGGCAGCTGCACTAGTCGCCTTTAACTGGCCAACAGGTGCCTGGTATTTAGCCCCCAGATTCTAAGGAAAAATAGGACAGAATAGCAAGTGAAAGGGGTTCAATGGTACTCACCGCTTGGCAATAGGTGATAGTCTCACCGCTTGGCGATAAGCGATGTTCTCTTCATGGTCACCAAAATGTGTCCAGAATTGGAGAATTGGTGGGTTCTTGGTCTCACTGACTTCAAGAATGAAGCCGCGGACCCTCATGGTGAGTGATACAGTTCTTATAGATGGTGTGTCCGGAGTTTGTTCCTTCTGATGTTCAGATGTGTCCAGAGTTTCTTCCTTCTGGTGGGTTCGTGGTCTCGCTGGCTTCAGGAGTGAAGCTGCAGACCTTCACAGTGAATGTTACAGCTCATAAAGGTAGTGTGGACCCAAAGAGTGAGCAGCAGCAAGATTTATTGCAAAGAGCGAAAGAACAAAGCTTCCACAGCATGGAAGGGGACTTGAGTGGGTTGCCACTGCTGGCTCAAGTGGCCTGCTTTTATTCTCTTATTTGGCCCCACCTACATCCTGCTGATTGGTCCATTTTACAGAGCAGATTGGTCCATTTTACAGAGAGCTGATTGGTCTGTTTTGACAGAGTGCTGACTGATGCATTTACAAATCTTTAGCTAGACACAGAGGGCTGATTGGTGCATTTACAATCTTTTAGCTAGACACAAAAGTTCTCCAAGTCCCCACCCGATTAGCTAGACACAGAGTGCTGACTGGTGCATTTACAATCCTTTAGCTAGACAGAAAAATTCTCCAAGTCCCCACCTGACCCAGAAGCCCAGCTAGCTTCACCTCTCAATGTCTAATATCTATATTCTTCTTCTGTGCTGCTCTACTTATCCTATAAAAATGTCTCATCTTCCTAGCTATATTGGAAGCTCTTTCTTTGAGGTCAGAGGCTGAGATGTACATGTCTCACTATTGCCCTTACATTGGTTAAGGTACTTTTATTTGCAAATAACAAAAACACCAACTAAGACTGATTCAGATAATCAAGAGATTTTATAGATGTTTGCACTAAAAGGTCCAAAGGTAGATCTAGCCTAAGGTAAGGATTGATTCATGACTTCATATCACCAAGGACCTTGTTTCCTTTCTCCCCCTATTTCTGCCTTCCTCCGAAAGATGGCTTTTGGAGTGGTCCTCCAAAAATATCTGCCAACAGCAATAAAGACCCTTTTCTTCCTTACTCTTATTTAGCATAAATGAAAGAGAACTGGCCGGGCACTGTGGCTCACTCCTGTAATCCCAGCACTTTGGGAGGCTGAGGCGGGTGGATCACCTGACATCGAGAGTTCAAGACCAGCCTGACCAACATGGAGAAACCCTGTCTCAACTAAAAATACAAAATTAGCTGGGTGTGGTGGCGCATGCCTGTAATCCTAGCTACTCGGGAGGCTGAGGCAGGAGAATCACTTGAACCTGGGAGGCAGAGGTTGCGGTGAGCCAATATTGCACCATTGCACTCCAGCCTGGGCAAGAAGAGCGAGACTCCATCTCAAAAAAAAAAAAAAAAGAAAGAGGACACCAGTTTCAGTATTCCTAGCAAATTATTATGATTTACTTTAAAGGATATGCCCAGTAATTACTGAATCAATCACCATAACTCTGTGTGTGTGTGTGTGTGTGTGTGTGTGTGTGTCAGAGAGAGAGAGAAAGAGAGAGAGAGAGAGAGAGAGATGAGTTCATCGGTTTAGCCCAAGACACCTGGTGGGCCACATAGAATGTGCTCCTAGAATAATGTGTGGTGTTCAAACCAAAATGGAAGTGGTTGAGAAGCGGGACATAGAACCTCAGGATTGGCAGAGGCCTTGAAAGTTGGTCAGTACAGCCTCTCTTATAGTGCTTCTACCTCCTAGAATAATCCTTTTCTTTGAACAATTCAGTCTTTTAGAATACTAATATCTGAATCTAGACCCTAGTGGTAGGTCCAAGTTCACTTAGAATAAGCCTAATCTCTTCTCCATGAGGATGCTTTTTGCATTGGAGCATGGCTATCCTGCTTTCCTTCAGTGGTTCCAAGTGGCAGGGTTCACACTCTTTTACCACCTGTTTATTGCACAGAAGCCCCCAGGAAGCCCTAATGTTGGGAAAATTGGGAGCTCCCAATAGAATGAGCTTCCTTGATGACCCTGCCTACTCCCACTGCTCTGGGCCCAGTTCTTGTAGGGAGCAGGGACAGTTGTTTCTCACTGCGGTGGCCCATGAGGCCCTGTCTGAGGCTGCTGATCTTCCTACTGCAACACACCAGGGCTGGCAAGTGTCGAGCTTTCAGAAGTATATCTGTAAGTATTTTTCCCTCTAACTCGGTTTCTTGCTCTCTGGAGAAAAGGGAAGATGCGACCACAGTTCTTTATTTTGTTGACACCCTGGAACAGATAGAAAATGTCTAGCTGCTACAGAGAGTAATCTAAGGAAAGAAAGCCTTTTGTGGCTTCAGAAGCCATTTGCAGAGGGCATAAGTGTTAACACACACCGCTTAGATTCAAAAGCCCAATTTGGCCCCTAGTTAGCTTCTCAGGATTGTTTCTCCTCCCATGAGCGTTTCCTTGGCTGCAGTTGGAGAGAAGAGAAAAAGTAAAAGCATAGCCTCAGAGTGCCATGCAGTGCAGGGAAAGCAAAGTTCACCAGGAGAGGGGGCAGCTGTGTGCGGTGCCTCAGGGCCACTATTGATTTGCCAATGAGATTCCGTTGCTGGAAGCTGAACTTATTTTGGGTTCCAAAGCAGGTAAGAAGAGGAGAGAATGGGAGTTATCAGACTAAAGGAGACAGCAGAGGAGTTGTGTTTTGTTTGAAGCACCCTCAATCTTTTGCTTTTTAAAAACTGAAATACAACTGTTGAAGGCAAGAACGAGGTGCTAGTTCTTTTTGTCTGTTTTTGAGATGGAATCTTGCTCTGTCGCCCAGGCTAGAGTGCAGTGGTGTGACCTCAGCTCACTGCAACCTCCGCCTCCCAGATTCAAGTGATTCTCCTGCCTCAGCCACCCGAGTAGCTGGGATTACAGGTGCCCAGCTAATTTTTGTATTTTTAGTAGAGACGGGGTTTCGCCACCTTGGCCAGGCTGGTCTCGAACTCCTGACCTCATGATCCACCTGCCTCGGCCTCCCAAAATGCTGGGATTACAGGTGTGAGCCACTGCATCCAACCAATGAGGTGCCAGTTCTAACACCGAGCAACAGAAGGCAGGGCTCATCCCTTTTCACAGTGTGGAAAGCAACGAGATGGGGCCTTCCTTCTTGGTCCTCAGCATATTCAGCTCATTGGCTTTTTGGAAGGGGAAACTGAGGCATTTTGCACCAGTCAGTCTGCTGCTTAGGATTCACAAGCCAAAGCATTCCATCTTAAAGCAAACAATGACAGGGTTCTGGATGACGTCATGCTCTTTAGGAAGTCCTAGTGCCCAAACGTAGGCCCTCCTTCACTTAAGGTAGAAAATTGGATTTTGTGTGTGTGTGTCGGGGTTGGGGGGGGGATTGGTGATACTGTTCCCATCACCACCACTTTACTGTGTTTGACGCCCCCTCCCAGAGCCTTCACTCATTGTTCTGGAAGTGCCCATTTCTCCCTCTTTGCCCTCCATTGCATTTAGCATCCTAGCAGCTGAACTACATTTTCTAATTATTAGGTTGGTAAAAAAAGTAATGCAGTTTTTGCAATTACTTTTAATATTTCTCGTCACAAAACCTGTACGCTCTTGGAAGGGAGGGGCTAACATTTTTGAGCACTCCATGGGCCAGGCCTGGGGGCAGGTACTTTTACATCCACTTCTGTGAGATACTTACACCTACCCATATTTTACAGATGAGGAAAGTTCAAGTTGTTCACCCAAGACCCCACAGCAAATAGGTGTAGAGCCAGGATCCTTACCCAACCTCCAGGGCCCCCTCTCTGCTACACCAGCAGGCATTATCTTGTATTTGTTACATTCCTGTCAGCATGTGTTAGGTTTGGAGTAATAGTCACTGATTTTTTAACAGTACTTTTTAGTTTTTAATTTTTTTTAGAGACGGGGTCACACTCTGCGGTGCAGGCTGGAGTGCAGTGGTGGGATCATAGCTCACTGCAACCTCAAACTCCCCGGGGCTCAAGCAGTCCTTCCACCTCAGCCTCCCAAATAGCTAAGATTGCATGTGCACGCCACCACACCCAGCTAATTTATTTATTTTTTTAATTTCTGGTATTCTTGTTCACTTGGTTACATTTGTATAAAGTTCTGATTGCCGGTTGCTCACATAACAAGTAACAAGGCAGAATTCTTTAAAGCATTAAAGTTCCTTAAACCTAAAGCTAAATCTTGAATACATTATTGAATTCTTTAATATCCTGATGGCAAAGAGATTGATAGCTGCACATTTGGCATGCTTTGTTTTTTGGATTTTATTTTTCATCACAGATTTATTTGGATATGTTATAGTTAATTTTGTAAACCTGCATCAGGTTTATGAATAAAGAACCATTTAAAAATTTAAAAACAAACAAACAAAAAAACAAGTCTCTCTGTTGCCCAGGCTGGTCTCCAACTCCTGGCTTCAAGCAGTCCTCCTGCCTCAGCCTTCCAATTAGCTGGGATTACAGGCACAAACCACCTTACCAGCTCACTGCTTATTAACTTCATGTTTTCCATGTCTATCTGAAATCTGATTTGAAATTAACTAAGAGTAGAGGGGACTCTAGCCAAGATGGCCAAATAGGAACAGCTCCAGTCTACAGCTACCAGCGTGAGTGACGCAGAAGAAGAATGACTTCTGCATTTCCAACTGAGGTACCAGGTTCATCTCACTGGGGAGTGTCAGACAGCGGGTGCAGGACAGTGGGGGCAGTGCACCGAGCATGAGCCGAAGCAGGGCGAGGCATTGCCTCACCTGGGAAGCACAAGGGGTCAGGGAATTCCCTTTCCTAGTCAAGGAAAGGGGTAACAGATGGCACCTGGAAAATCAGGTCACTCCCACCCTAATACTGCGCTTTCCAATGGTCTTAGCAAATGGCATACTAGGAGATTACCCTCCAGCGCACCTGACTCAGAGGGTCCTACGCCCACAGAGCCTTGCTCATTGCTAGCACAGCAGTCTGAGATCAAACTGCAAGGCAGCAGTGAGGCTGGGGGAGGGGTGCCCGCCATTGCTGAGGCTTGAGTAGGTAAACAGAGCAATTAGGAAGCTCAAACTGGGTGGAGCCCACCACAGCTCAAGGAGGCCCGCCTGCCTCTGTAGACTCCACCTCTGGGGGCAGGGCATAGCAAACAAAAGGCAGCAGAAACCTCTGCAGACTTAAGTGTCCCTGACAGCTTTGAAGAGAGTAGTGGTTCTCCCAGCACACAGCTTGAGATCTGAGAACGGACAGACTGCCTCCTCAAGTGGGTCCCTGACCCCCAAGTAGCCTAATTGGGAGGCACCCCCCAGTAGGGGCAGACTGACACCTCACACAGCTGGGTACTCCCCAGAGGAATGATCAGGCAGCTACATTTGCTGTTCACCAATATTCGCTGTTCTGCAGCCTCCGCTGCTGATACCCAGGCAAACAGGGTCTGGAGTGGACCTCCAGAAAACTCCAACAGACTTGCAGCTGAGGGTCCTGACTGTCAGAAGGAAAACTAACAAAAGAAAAGGACATCCACACCAAAACCCGGTCTGTACGTCACCATCATCAAAGACCAAAGGTAGACAAAACAACAAAGATGGGGGAAAAAACAGAGCAGAAAAACTGAAAATTCTAAAAATCAGAGCATCTCTCCTCCTCCAAAGGAATGCAGCTCCTCACAAGCAATGGAACAAAGCTGGATGGAGAATGACTTTGATGAGTTGAGAGAAGGAGGCTTCAGATGATCACACTTCTCCGAGCTAAAGGAGGAGTTTCGAACCCATGGCAAAGAAGTTAAAAACCTTGAAAAAAGATTAGACAAATGGATAACTAGAATAACCAATGCTGAGAAGTCCTTAAAGCACCTGATGGAGCTGAAAACCACAGCACGAGATCTACGTGACACATGCACAAGCCTTAGTAGCCGATTTGATCAACTGGAAGAAAGAGTATCAGTGATGGAAGATCAAATGAATGAAATGAAGTGAGAAGAGAAATTTAGAGAAAAAAGAATAAAAAGAAATGAACAAAGCCTCCAAGAAATATGGGACTATGTGAAAAGACCAAATCTACATCTGATTGGTGTACCTGAAAGTGACGGGGAGAATGGAACTAAGTTGGAAAACACTCTGCAGGATATTATCCAGGAGAACTTCCCCAATCTAGCAAGGCAGGCCAACATTCAAATTCAGGAAATACAGAGAACGCCACAAAGATACTCCTCTAGAAGAGCAACTCCAAGACACATAATTGTCAGATTCACCAAAGTTGAAATGAAGGAAAAAGTGTTAAGGGCAGCCAGAGAGAAAGGTCAGGTTACCTACAAACGGAAGCCCATCAGACTAACAGCGGATCTCTCAGCAGAAACTCTACAAGCCAGAAGAGAGTGGGGGTCAATATTCAACATTCTTAAAGAAAAGAATTTTCAACCCAGAATGTCATATCTAGCCAAACTAAGCTTCATAAGTGAAGGAGAAATAAAATACTTTACAGACAAGCAAATGCTGAGAGATTTTTTCACCACCAGGCCTGCCCTACAAGAGCTCCTGAAGGAAGCACTAAACATGGAAAGGAACAACCGGTACCAGCCACTGCAAAAACATGCCAAATTGTAAAGACCATCGAGGCTAGGAAGAAACTGCATCAACTAATGAGCAAAATAACCAGCTAACATCATAATGACAGGATCAAATTCACACATAACAATATTAACCTTAAATGTAAATGGGCTAAATGCTCCCATTAAAAGACACAGACTGGAAAATTGGATGAAGAGTCAAGACCCATCAGTGTGCTGTATTCAGGAAACCCATCTCATGTGCAGAGACATACATAGGCTCAAAATAAAGGGATGGAGGAAGATCTACCAAGCAAATGGAAAACAAAAAAAGGCAGGGGTTGCAATCCTAGTCTCTGATAAAACAGACTTTAAACCAACAAAGATCAAAAGAGACAAAGAAGGCCATTACATAATGGTAAAGGGATCAATTCAGCAAGAAGAGCTAACTATCCTAAATATATATGCACCAAATACAGGAACACCCAGATTCATAAAGCAAGTCCTTAGAGACCTACAAAGAGAGTTAGATTCCCACACAATAATAATGGGAGACTTTAACACCCCACTGTCAACATTAGACAAATCAACGAGACAGAAAGTTAACAAGGATATCCAGGAATTGAACTCAGCTCTGCACCAAGCAGACCTAATAGACATCTACAGAACTCTCCACCCCAAATCAACAGAATATACATTCTTTTCAGCACCACACCACACCTATTCCAAAATTGACCACATAGTTGGAAGTAAAGCACTCCTCAGCAAATGTAAAAGAACAGAAATTATAACAAACTGTCTCTCAGACCACAGTGCAATCAAACTAGAACTCAGGATTAAGAAACTCACTCAAAACTGCTCAACTACATGGAAACTGAACAACCTGCTCCTGAATGACTACTGGGTACATAACAAAATGAAGGCAGAAATAAAGATGTTCTTTGAAACCAATGAGAACAAAGACACAACATACCAGAATCTCTGGGACACATTCAAAGCAGTGTGTAGAGGGAAATTTATAGCACTAAATGCCCACAAGAGGAAGCAGGAAAGATCTAAAATTGGCACCCTAACATCATAACTAAAAGAACTAGAGAAGCAAGAGCAAACACATTCAAAAGCTAGCAGAAGGCAAGAAATAACTAAGATCAGAGCAGAACTGAAGGAAATAGAGACACAAAAAACTCTTCAAAAAATCAATGAATCCAGGTACTGGTTTTTTGAAAGGATCAACAAAATTGATAGACTGCTAGCAAGACTAATAAAGAAGAAAAGAGAGAAGAATCAAATAGACGCAATAAAAAATGATAAAGGGGATATCAACACCGATCCCACAGAAATACAAATTACCATTAGAGAATACTATAAACACCTCTATGCAAATAAACTAGAAAATCAAGAAGAAATGGATAAATTCCTGGGCACATACAGCCTCTGAAGACTAAACGAGGAAGAAGTTGAATCTCTGAATACACCAATAACAGGCTCTGAAATTCAGGCAATAATTAATAGCTTACCAATGAAAACAAGTCCAATAATTAATAGCTTACCAATGACAAAAACCACATGATTATCTCAACAGATGCAGAAAAGGCCTTTGACAAAATTCAACAGCCCTTCATGCTAAAAAAGTCTGCAGAGGTTTCTGCTGCCTTTTGTTTGCTATGCCCTGCCCCCAGAGTGGAGTCTACAGAGGCAGGCAGGCAGGCCTCCTTGAGCTGTGGTGGGCTCCACCCAGTTTGAGCTTCCTAATTGCTCTGTTTACCTACTCAAGCCTCAGCAATGGCGGGCACCCCTCCCCCAGCCTCACTGCTGCCTTGCAGTTTGATCTCAGACTGCTGTGCTAGCAATGAGCAAGGCTCTGTGGGCTTAGGACCCTCTGAGCCAGGTGCTGGAGGGTAATCTCCTGGTATGCTATTTGCTAAGACCATTGGAAAGCGCAGTATTAGGGTGGGAGTGACCTGATTTTCCAGGTGCCATCTGTCACCCCTTTCCTTGACTAGGAAAGGGAATTCCCTGACCCCTTGCACTTCCCGGGTGAGGCGATGTCTCAACGAAAAAAATTGAGGCAATAATTAATAGCTTACCAACGAAAAAAATACCAGATGGATTCACAGCTGAATTCTACCAGAGGTACAAGGAGGAGCTGGTACCATTCCTTCTGAAACTATTCCAATCAATAGAAAAACAGGGAATCCTCCCTAACTCATTTGATGAGGCCAGTATCATCCTGATACCAAAGCCTGGCAGAGACACAATAAAAAAATAGAATTTTAGACCAATATCCCTGATGAACATCGATGCAAAAATCCTCAATAAAATACTGGCAAACCGAATCCAGCAGCACATCAAAAAGCTTATCCACCATGATCAAGTAGGCTTCATCCCTGGGATGCAAGGCTGGTTCAACATATGCAAATCAATAAATGTAATCCAGCATATGAACAGAACCAACGACAACAATCACATGATTATCTCAATAGATGCAGAAAAGGCCTTTGACAAAATTCAACAGCCTTTCATGCTAAAAACTCTCAATAAATTAGGTATTGATGGGACGTATCTCAAAATAATAAGAGCTATCTATGACAAACCCACAGCCAATATCATACTGAATGGGCAAAAACTGGAAGCACTCTCTTTGAAAACTGGCACAAGACAGGGATGCCCTCTCTCACCACTCCTATTCAACACAGTGTTGGAAGTTCTGGCCAGGGCAATCAGGCAGGAGAAGGAAATAAAGGGTATTCAATTAGGAAAAGAGGAAGTCAAATTGTCCCTGTTTGCAGATGACATGATTGTATATCTAGAAAACCCCATCATCTCAGCCCAAAATCTCCTTAAGCTGATAAGCAAGTTCAGCAAAGTCTCAGGATACAAAATCAATGTGCAAAAATCACAAGCATTCTTATACACCAATAACAGACAAACAGAGAGCCAAATCATGAGTGAACTCCCATTCACAATTGCTTCAAAGAGAATAAAATACCTAGGAATCCAACTTACAAGGGATGTGAAGGACCTCTTCAAGGAGAACTACAAACCACTGCTCAACAAAATAAAAGAGGATACAAACAAATGGAAGAACATTCCATGCTCATGGGTAGGAAGAATCAATATCGTGAAAATGGCCATACTGCCCAAGGTAATTTATAGATTCAATGCCATCCCCATCAAGCTACCAATGACTTTCTTCACAGAATTGGAAAAAACTACTTTAAAGTTCATATGGAACCAAAAAAGAGCCCACATTGCTAAGTCAATCCTAAGCCAAAAGAACAAAGCTGGAGGCATCACACAACCTGACTTCAAACTATACTACAAGGCTACAGTAACCAAAACAGCATGGTACTGGTACCAAAACAGAGATATAGACCAACAGAACAGAACGGAGTCCTCAGAGATAAAGCCACATATCTACAACTATCTGATCTTTGACAAACCTGAGAAAAACAAGCAATGGGGAAAGGATTCCCTATTTAATAAATGGTGCTGGGAAAACTGGCTAGCCACATGTAGAAAGCTGAAACTGGATCCCTTCCTTACACTTTATACAAAAATTAATTCAGAATGGGTTAAAGACTTAAATGTTAGACCTAAAACCATAAAAACCCTAGAAGAAAACCTAGGCAATACCATTCAGGACATAGGCATGGGCAAGGACTTCATGTCTAAAACACCAAAAGCAATGGCAACAAAAGCCAAAATTGACAAATGGGATCTAATTAAACTAAAGAGCTTCTGCATAGCAAAAGAAACTACCATCAGAGTGAACAGGCAACCTACAGAATGGGAGAAAATTTTTGCAATCTACGCATCTGACAAAGGGCTAATATCCAGAATCTACAAAGAACTCAAACAAATTTACAAGAAAAAAACAAACAACCCCATCAATAAGTGGGTGAAGGATATGGACAGACACTGCTCAAAAAAAGACATTTATGCAGCCAAAAGACACATGGAAAAATGCTCATCATCACTGGCCATCACAGAAATGCAAATCAAAACCACAATGAGATACCATCTCACACCAGTTAGACTGGTGGTCATTAAAAAGTCAGGAAACAACAGCTGCTGGAGAGGATGTGGAGAAATAGGAACACTTTTACACTGTTGGTGGGACTGTAAACTAGTTCGACCATTGTGGAAGTCAGTGTGGTGATTCCTCAGGGATCTAGAACTAGAAGTACCATTTGACGCAGCCATCCCATTACTGGGTATATACCCAAAGGATTATAAATCATGCTGCTATAAAGACACATGCACACGTATGTTTATTGCGGTACTATTCACAAGAGCAAAGACTAGGAACCAACCCAAACATCCAACAATGATAGACTGGATTAAGAAAATGTGGCACATATACACCATGGAATACTATGCAGCCATAAAAAATGATGAGTTCATGTCCTTTGTAGGGACATGGATGAACCTGGAAACCATCATTCTCAGCAAACTATCGCAAGGACAAAAAACCAAACACCGCAGATTCTTACTCATAGGTGGGAATTGAACAATGAGAACACATGGACACAAGAAGGGGAACATCACACACCAGGGCTTGTTATGGGGTGGAGCGGGGGAGGGATAGCATTAGGAGATATACCTAATGTTAAATGACCAGTTAATGGGTGTAGCACACCAGCATGGCACATGTATACATATGTAACAAACCCGCACGTTCTGCACATGTACCCTAAAACTTAAAGTATAATAAAAAAAAAAGAAATTAACTAAGAGTATTTATAAGTGGAAGAGCATGATAAATAATTTTTAAAATGTCTATTTTAGACAGTTCAGGCTACTATAACAGAATACACTGGGTGGCTTAAACAACAAACTTTTTTTCTCACAGTTCTGGAGGCTGGGAAGTCTAAGATCAAGTCACTGGCATCAAGGGGCTCTCTTCCTGGTTTGCAGATGGCCACCTTCTCATCATATCCTCACATGGCAGAAGTAGGTGGGAGCCAAGCTCTTGCATCTCTGCTTAGAAAGGCACTGATCCCACTCATGAGGGTTTCACCCTCATGACCTAATTACCTCCCAAAGCCCTGCCTCCTAATATTATCACACTGGTGATTAGGTTTGGTTTTTTTGTTTTGTTTTGTTTTGTTTTGTTTTTGTTTTTTGAGACAGAGTCTCACTCTGTTGCCCAGGCTGGAATGCAATGGTGCAATCTCAGCTCACTGAAACCTCCACCTCCCGGGTTCAAGAGATTCTCCTGCCTCAGCCTCCTGAGTAGCTGGGACTACAGGCGCGTGACACCACACCTGGCTAATTTTTGTATTTTTTAGTAGAGACAGGGTTTCCCCATGTTGGTCATGCTAGTCTTGAACTCCTGAACTCTTGATCCACCCGCCTCAGCCTCCCAAAGTGCTGGGATTACAGGCATGAGCCACCGCACCTGGCCATGTTTTGGTTTTTTAAGATGGAGTCTTGCTCTGTTGCCCAGGCTGGAGTGCAGTGGTGCGATCTTGGCTCACTGCAACCTCCACCTCCCAAGTTCAAACGATTCTCCCTCCTCAGCCTCCCGGGTAGCTGGGACTACAGGCATGTGCCACCATGCCCAGCTAATTTTTTGTATTTTTAGTAGAGATGGGGTTTCACCATGTTAGCCAGGATGGTCTTGATCTCCTGACCTCATGATCCACCCACTTTGGCCTCCCAAAGTGCTGGGATTACAGGCGTGAGCCACCACGCCCAGCCAGTGATTAGGTTTTAAGATATAAATTTGGGGAGGATACAAACACTCAGTCCATAAAAATGTCTAATGATATCTTGTAACTCATGTCATATTATTTAGTTGTCTTGATAAATTTTTATTCAATACCCATAATTTCTACAAAGCTAGTGTATTTCCAGTTCCATAGATGAAGATAAACTTCCATCTCCAATCTCCATCTTCTTTTAAGCTTTTATTTCAGTTGTACCTGGGAGTAATAGAAATGGCTCTTAACTCATTCTTCCCTGAAAATAATGGACAAACAGTAGTTTTGCCACTATGTCAATGACATATATTCTCTGTGTGTATGTGTGTGTGCATGTGTATGTGTGTGTAGCTAGAACTTAAAAAGCAGTTAGTATCAGCCATCCTAGGGGCTTCACCTTGATGTTGCCTCAGGGGTAAGTACTGTTGCTCCATTTAGTAGTTGGGGAAACTGAAGCTCAGATGATTTTGACTTGCTCAAGGTCACATAGCTAGGAAGAGGTCACACTGAGGCACAGACCAGGTCTGATTCCAAAGTCATGCTCTTAACCACTGGATATACTGCTGCCTCATTTCCCACAGCAGTGGTCAGCAGCCTCTTAAGAAGAAAGAGACTAAGGAGGATCAAAGATAAAGGATAGCATAACAAATAGAAGAGGTTGACAGACAGCATTTTTAAGATTGGGGGAGTGTAGAAAAACATTTCCCACATGTAAAACTATAAAACGACTTTCTGCATATTAAGCCTTGTACAAATAGTTTTGTGACAGCAGTGACTGATGGAAAACACATTAACATGGAGAACAAGCAGCAAGTTAATCTGAATTTTAAAGAGGCTTTTTTTCTGACAGATCAGAATCATCTTATAAATTTTTAAGAAATGTGAATAGTGTCTGACATGAATGATTAAAGGGGAACTATTTAGTATTGCAAAATGAATTAAATCTCTAAAATGTCTCCGCGCAATTATGGGTAGAGGCAAAACTGTTAAAACTGGAGTGATAAATTGGGAAATTGTCACTTCCAAAAAGAAAAGGAAAAATCTGAAAGTTATCCTTCTGCAAACAAAATGCTCTTAATGGGGATGGGCCCAGAAGGCAGGGGTCTAAGCCTTAAGGGTAGGCATTGATAGGATGTGCAGCCCGAGCCTCCTAACAGGCACTGTGGTCCGGCAGAGGGAAGGCAACAGCATCGTGACTGGTACCATGGCTTCCTCTTTCTCTTTCTCCTCCCCTGACTCCAGCTGTGCTCTTCCTTCTAGACATGCAATTTCTGTTGAGCACATTCACCGCTTCTCACAGGTGTGATGGCTCCATCATCATACATTTAATAGTTTTCCAAAATCAATACCTCTTCAACATAGTGCTTTTGAAGTCATAGTTCTCCACTGAAAAGTACTCATGATGGTCCGTACTTGATAATAACTTCACCCACCAGGGAACATATTATAAAGTGGGCTTGAGAGCATGGTTATAACACACGGTGTCCATTTTCTTCATCTGCAGCTAATTCTATGGTGGAAATACTGCTGACACCAAGAACTTCATTCTGTAATTTAGAATAGAAAAAAAATCCCGACTATCCGTATTTCTTAGGAAAGCATTTTAGGAAGGAACATAGGGTTTATTCACAGTTCTGAACTCATTGTGAGGGGCAAAAATTACAGATATTTGTTAATGTCATAATTTTTCTTTCCTCAAATGGTTATTCTTCATGGACGTGAATTTACTCAAATATTTGATGGAAAAGGAAATTGCGGTATTTCAGGCTGACAGTTTGAAGGAGTCTGGGAACTGGAGGGTTTGAATTCAACTCTAGTGAAATAAATGCCATGGTGGTTGATTGGGAGAGTGTTTAAAACCTTCTCACACTGATTACCTCTTGTTGTCCTCTCCCAGATACCTCTCTGAAGATAGAGCTTGTCCAATTTTGGATGGATGGTTTAACAAATTATCAACTAGCTACATAGTAGGAAGCCATTCAAAAGGAAGATGCAGATAAGCAGTTTTCAAGCCTTTTTAAACCAGCTAAAAATCTTCTGCAGAACCCAAAATCACAGAGGAAAGTAAAGAGAACGGCTTTGCTGTAATCCAAGAGGGGGACCTGAAACGCTGTCCATGTGTTCTCTTGGGTGTGGGCCAGACACTTCCATATCCCAAGTTCTCTGGAGCACAGTTTAAAAACCATATTATATGTCAACATGTAATCAATGGTTTTCTGTAGATGATGAAATTAATCTTTCTTTCATTTTTTTCTCTCTGTATTTTTTTAAATTTCCACAAAAATGTATTTTTATAAATAGCAGAAAATAACAATTGTTTTCAAGTGACATATATAAGGAAGCCGAAAAAAGTATAGAACTCAGCTTTCTGACTCTTACTGGGGAACAAATAAGTGACAAAATAAAGTGATCCATTTTGGGTTATGTGAGAACAGAGGATTGTAGGAGAGAGATATTTGGTCTTTCCTAATTCAAAGGCTCATGTTTACTTTTCCTTCACCTGGAGATAGCAGGGATTAACAGATGTTTATTTTAACTCTGCCCTAGACACCCTGCAATAGCTCCCAGCAGATACAGTGGCCAAATCTGCTCTCCCACTGTTTAAGATTGAAGAACAAGACTGACTTCATTTTGGGAACTCGGGGGGCTCTTGTTACTTAACCTAATGGGCACTGAGGGTGGTCACTTTTGAGAGAATGATGTAAATTACCTGCAGCATTTCTACCTGAAACCTGTTCCACCCTTTCTTTTTCTAACATGCCATCATCTCCTTTTAAACTCTGAATCTCTGCCAGCTCCTTTGTTCAAGTGCTTCTTATTCCAGTGCTGTTTCCTAGGCTGGCTTTCCAGTCTTCCTGATTTCCCAGCAGGCTACAGCCAGACCACATCTATCATTTGATGGAGTTTACACTGACAGTGAGTTCAAAGTCAGTGTAAGGCTGGGCGCAGTGGCCCATGCCTGTAATCCCAGCACTTTGGGGGGCTGAGGTGGGCAGATCACGAGGTCAGGAGTTCAAGACCAGCCTGGCCAACATAGTGAAACCCTGTCTCTACTAAAAATACAAAAATTAGCCAGACATGGTGGTGCACACCTGTAGTCCCAGCTACTCGGGAGGCTGAGGCAGAAGAATCACTTGAACCTGGGAGGTGGAGGTTGCAGTGAGCTGAGATCATGCCACCGCACTCCAGTCTGGGTGACAGAGTGAGACTCTGTCTTGGGGGAAAAGAAAAAAAAGTCAGTGTGATGGGGTGATCCCAAGAGCAAATAACCTACTAGTTATAAAAGTACCTGCTTTGGAGTCAAGCAGTCAGACAAAAATCCCTGCTCTGCCATTTCTATGCTGCATGACTTGTGCCAAATTACTTAATCTCTCTAAGACTCAAGTTTTTCATTTAAAAAATAAAAATAATAAATAAAACCTGCCTCACAGCATTGTGTCACAGGCTTGCTGTGAGAATTAAATGAAATCATTTATGTAGAACACTTGTCACAACTTGTGGCATATTTTTTAAGAATTCAAATGATAGCTATTAATTATTATTATTATTATATGCTTAATATTTCTATTCTAGATTCTGGAACAAGTGAGGTGATGATGGTGGGGAGGAAAAGATCATGGACTTGTCCAGGAGACCTCAGTTCTACTTGCTCAACCTCTGTGCTGTGAAGTGAAGCTACTGTACTAGGTGAGGATCTCACCAGACAGGGTCGCAGTAAGACACAGATGGTGAACTTAATGGGTGAATTAAAAGGAGTGTAATCAAGAGATTATGTACAGAGGTGTGGACAGGGTTAAGGGAGACCATGAAGCATCCAGGGATTCACATCAGCAAGGAGCCATTGCCACCCTTGATCCCCACCTGAAAGGAACAAGGGTAGGGAATGGTGTTACTAGAAGCTGGTGAGAGTTGGAGCCCTGGAAGAGAGCCAGCCCACAAGAGCTGTAGTTATGGAGGAATTCAGGCACTACAAAAATCCTAGCCCAGCAGGCAAAAGCAAAGGAATATATTCCAGATTTGTCTCTCCTCTGACCACTAATCACTGCTGGTATCTCGCTAGTTAAATCCATCAGAAAACCATAGTATGTGGAAGTCAGCGTGCTGCACAGGGCAGGGCAGAGAAGGGAGGGAGAGTAGGCACAGAGAGTAACCAGCCTGGCAGATTTATGATTCTGAAAGTCTCAGAGAGTCTGCTACACTGGCCTGGTCATCCTGGCCTGGAGGAATGTGTTAAATAGGTGCAATGGCTCAGCAATAGATGCCCTAACTCCTCCCAGGAAAAGTGAGAACCCAAATTGCTGATCTTAGGTTGGGAAATGGAGAGCTCAGATATACCTTGGGATGTGAACTATGGCTCTAAGAATGATCTGAGAGGCAGCTTCAAAAAAGCAAAACCTAAATTACAAACCAGGCAGATGATCCAAAAGAGGTGTCAGGCTGAAGGAGCTGCGTAGAGATAGAATTCTGGGAAAAGGATAATGCAGAACCCTCAAGTAACTAGTGATTGATGATGACGTTTGGAATACAAGTATGGGGCTGGGACTGGGGACTTTCTGAGACACTAAAGTGCATTCGTCAGAGCTCTTCCAGGGCCTCTGTGGTTCAGGAATAGAATGGTATGCAATTCATTTGCTCATTAATTAATTACTTAATTCAACAAGTATGTAATTTTTTAAATTGAGATGGGGGTTGGGGTCTCACTATGTTGCCCAGGCTGGACTTGAACTCCTAGGCTCCAAGCAATCCTCCCACCTCAGCGTCCTGAGAAGCTGGGATTTTTAAGTGTGTACCACCATGCCTGGCTCCAACAAGCATGTACTGAATTATCTTGTCTGTGCTAGGCAGGGGGCCAGGTGCTAAGGCTAGAACAATCAAAAAAACACAAACCCTGTCCTGAAGGAGCTCAACTAGATGATTCCTCAAATAGGGTCAACAGCCAATCACAACACAGTATGTATGATGAGTGGTCCTGAGGGATCACAGAAGAGGGACACAACACTAGTCTGGGTGGGTAAGGAGAGCTTCTCAAGGAAGGGACCTCTATACTGACCCTGAATGCTGAATTAGCCAGAGAGGACAGGGTCAGAGAGGGAGGTGGGAACAGCTGGAGGAAGCTCCCATGTATTTAGGGGACTGCTAACAGTTCAGTAAAGTTAAGTGGGAAGTGATGAAAGTTGAGGCTGGAGGGGTAGGCAGAGGCAGATCCTAATAAGCATTCTTTGTCAGGGTGAAGACACTGAAGTCAAAGGACAGGGGAGTGACATGATCAGATTTGAATTTTAGAAAAATCATTCTGGTTCCGGTGTGAAGGGCAGAGAAAGGAAGGCTGGGCACAAAAGACAGGGAGACCAGTAAAAAAGATGTTTCAACTACCTGAGAGAGAAACCATGATGTTTAGGTGTCCCTGAACCAGGTAGCACCAGTGGACATGAGTGAACAGACTCAGACACATTTAGTGGAAGAACTGGCCAGGCTAGGTGACTGTCAGGATATCAGGATGAGAAAGAGGGAGAACTCTAGTTTGGTCACTGGGTTGCTGCTAATGCCAGTCACTGAGAGTCAAGCCACAGATGAATGAGGCACAGCTGGGTAGAGGGCAATGTGGGGACAGTTTGATAAAGATGTATCTCTCTTTTTAGTGAGTCAGCATGCTTTATATGACTGAGAATAAATCATTAAACAGATTACACTTCATGCTATATTCTGAAAGTTTGTATTACCCCAAAATTCATATGTTGAAATGTAATCCCCCATGCAAAAATGACTGACATTATTAAGAGGTGGGATCTTTAGGAGGAGTTTAGATCATGAGAGTGGAGTCTTCATGAATGGGATTAGTGCCCTTATAAAAAGAGGCCCAAGGGAGCTTGCTGGCCCCTTCCACCATGTAAGAATACAATGAGAAGGTGCCATCGATAAAGAGGTGGGCCCTCATCAGACACCAAATCTGCTAGAGCCTTGATTTTGGACTTCCCAGCCTCCAGAACTGTGAGAAATAAACTTCTGTTGTTTATAAGCCACCTAGTTTATAGTATTTTTGTCATAGTAGCCCAAACATACTAAGATACTTCATAAATGTGTTAATGGTATTGCTGGGCTGGGGTCAGGCAAGTGTCCCCATCCTATAAGATTGGGAAACACTGAATTAAATGAAGCTAAACAGTTTTTGTTATCTCAGAACTTCTCAGAGTCATTAATAGCCTAGGGCCTTTGATGTCCTAAACAGGATATCACTTGCTGTATTTATCAAATCTATTTTAGCCCCATCCCCCCACACCACCACACAACACCTATTTATATCCCTTGTAAATGTATTTCTCAGAATGGTGTTACTTAAAGTGTAGCCCAAAGACCAGCTTCAGTGTGCAAACTATTATAGTCTATGACAAGGTAAGTACAGAAATTGAGACTGTTTAGAAAATTTTAATAGCAATTTTGTGTCTTTGAATCTAATAAAAAATCTAGGTTTGTATGTTGTGTCTGCTTTTTCATCTTATCTTTCTAGTGAGTTATTTCTTTGCTAACTGACATTTTTGTAAAATACAAAGGATTGAAAGTTAAAAGCAATAACGACCACACACACACACACACACACACACACACACAAAAAACCAAAGCTCATCCTTTACCACTGGTAGTTTGAGTGTCTCAGAAGACCCTATGGAAACATGCTAGCTCAGTAGCTCTCAAACTTGGCTACCTGTTTTCATATCCTGAGGAACTTATACAGATCCTGGGTTCCACCCCTGGAGAGTATGACGTAATTCATCTGGGAAGCAGCCTGGCACTGGGATTTGGAAAGATCCCTAGACGATTCTAATGTGTACCCAGGTTGAGAATCAGTGTGGCTCAAGGGAAAGCTCAGGTTCCAGGGTATTCTTGGTTGTACTCTCACACACCTGGACAAGGATCAAGGGGGAGTTGGGAGGTGTGGGGTGGGCCCTGGCTGCACAGAGGAATCATCAGGACTCTTTAAAATGGACTTAGGCCTGGGCCCCTCCTAAACCAATGAGATCAGAATCTTTGCTCATAGTTTCTGGGCACTGGTATTTTAAAGAAATGATTCTAGATCATTCCTAAGGCAGTCAGGGTTGAGAACGATTGGATTAGGAAGTCTAGTTGCAGATGGGACAGTGTGAAAGTAATCACAATAAAAATGGAGTCACTAATTTTTTTAAAAAAAACCTTGACAGGCCGGGTGAGGTGGTTCACACTTGTAATCCCAGCACTTTGGGAGGCTGAGGCAGGTAGATCACAAAGTCAGGAGTTCGAGACCAGCCTGGCCAACAGGGTGAAACTCCATCTCTACTAAAAATACAAAAATTAGCCAGGTGTGGTGGCGCGTGCCTGTAGTCCCAGCTCCTCAGGTGGCTGAGGCAGAAGAATTGCTTGAACCTGGCAGGTGGAGGTTGCAGTGAGCCAAGATTGCACCACTGCACTCCAGCCTGGGCGACAGAGCGAGACTCCATCTCAAAAAAAAAAAAAAAAAAAAAAAAACCTTGACAAGAAGCAAAAAGGCATGGCTCTTTATGCCTGAAGTTGTAGCCTTTGTGCTGAGCAATCACTTTCAGCCCTTGTGAAAGCTGTGTTTCGGCACGTTCCATTACTTCCTAATGTGTCCTCTGAAAGAGTCTAGCTGTTTATTTCCATCAGTCACTGAAACGGACGCCTTTTACTTGGGGAAAGCACAAATGCATTAGGACTTTGTGTCTAAGAGAGAAAAAGAGAGAGGAAAGGGGAAACACATGTAGTGTAAAGACTGGCTCTGACATTTGCTGGTAGAAGTTGGGGGCAAATGATTACAGCTATTTAACAAAAATTTGTAGGAGAGTGATGGGACAGGCCTGGAAGCAACTGAATATGCCCATTTTGTTGCCACGCTGCTAAGTATGATAACAGTGATTTCTCACAACGAAACTCTGGAACATACCATTGTCTTGCCTATGTGACTGTTATGGTCTGAATGCTTGTGACCTCCCCAAATTTGTATGTTGAAACCTAGTCCCCAGTGTGGTAGTATTAAGAGGTGGGGTATGTGGGAGGTGATTAGGTCATGAGGGCGAGTCCTCACCAGTGGGATTGGTGCCTTGTGAAAGAGGCCTGAGGGAGCTTGTGTGTCCTTCCTGCCATGTAAGGACACAACTATTAATAGAAAGCACAAACTGTGGAGCAGAGAAACCTCACCAGACAGCATATCTGCTAGAAACTTGATTGTGGACTTAGCCTCTAGAACTGTAAGCAATACATTTTACTGTTTATAAACGGCTCAGTCTAGGGCATCTTTTGTTATAGCAACATGAGTGGACTAAGACATTAGCCAACATCAATTTTACCAAATGCTACAGGACAGTAATATTTGAAATTGTCTTGAAATACAGCTTGGTATTGAAATTCTTAGTTCAAAAAAATCTATTTTAAACAATATGAAACTCCAAAACCAAAGAAATATTTAATAACAACAAAAGCTCAGTAAGTAAGATCTCTTTACCCCAGGGCACTCAGCCTTAGAGAACATAAAAAGGTGTCATAGTTTGGTTTCTAGTCTGGAAAGCTCACAGACTATTTGGACTATGTAAATACTAGTAATTGTTTATGTCTGTTGTGTTATAAACTGTTCAATAGTTGTAATTTTGCTATTGCTGTTTTACACAACCTAATCATTTATCCAAAACCTCAAGTACTTACAATGTGCTAGGCGTAAAGAGCAATTGTGTTAGGCCCTGGGTTTCAATCCATAAATGAGCAAAGCAGGCATGGTTGTTACCTTCATGGAGTTTTTCTTTTAGTGGAGAAAATAACCATCAAACAAAGAATTTATTACGATAGTGGTAAGAGGTCCATTAAAAATATACGTGACTGGGCTGGGTGTGATGCCTCACGCCTGTAATCCCAATGCTTTGGGAGGCCGAGGTGGACGGATCATGAGGTCAGGAGATTGAGACCATCCTGGCAAACATCGTGAAATGCTGTCTCTACCAAAAATACAAAAATTAGCTGGGCATTGTGGTGCGCACCTGTAATCCCAGCTACTCAGGAGGCTGAGGCAGGAGAATCGCTTGAACACGGGAGATGGAGGTTGCAGTGAGCCAAGATTGTGCCATTGCACTCCAGCCTGGGCGGCAGGGCAAGACTCCATCTCAAAAAAAAAAAAAAAAAACAAAAAAAACCTATGTGATTGGCCAAGTGCAATGGCTCATTCCTGTAATCCCAGCTGCTTGGGAGGCTGAGGTGGAAGGACCACTTGAGCTCAGGAGTTTGAGGCTGCAATGAGCTATGATCACACCACGGTACCCCAGCCTGGGTGACAGAGCAAGACCCCATCTCTAAAACTCTAAGAAAGTAAAAACTAGGCCAGGTGTGGTGGCTCATGCCTGGAATCCCAGCACTTTGAATTCTAGGCCGAGGTGGGCGGGTCATGAGGTCAAGAGTTCGAGACCAGCCTGGCCAACATGGTGAAGCCCCGTCTCTACTAAAAGTACAAAAATTAGCCGGACATGGTGGCGGGCGCTTGTAGTCCCAGCTTCTCAGGAGGCTGAGGCAGGAGAATTGCTTGAACCTGGGAGGCGGAGGTTGCAGTGAGCCGAGATCATGCCACTGCACTCCAGGCTGAGTGACAGAGCAAGACTCCGTCTCAAGAAAAAAAAAAGAAAGAAAGTAAAAACTACAGAAGTACATGATCATCTCTTTCCTTTCCTTCCCTTAGAAAAAAACTATTGCCTCCCTTTCTCCTTCTCCCTCCCTCTCTCCCTTCCTCCCTTCCTTCATTCCTCAAAAAGCCATTAGGTAGGCCCAAACAAGGCAGGCAGAGTGGAGGAGACAGGCCTGAGCCGGGATAGCCTATATAAGAAGGAACAGTAGTCCAGCAGGGCCAAAGAGATCAGCTAGAGGCCAGGCGCAGTGGTTCATGCCTATAATTCCAACACGGGAGGTCGAGGCGGGCAGATCACTTGAAATCAGGAGTTTGAGACCAGCCTGGCCAACATGGTGAAAACCTGTCTCCACCAAAAAGTACAAAAATTAGCCAGGCATGGTGGTGTGCACCTGTAGTCCCCAGCTACTTGGGAGGCTGAGGCAGGAGAATCGCTAGAACCCAGGAGGCAGAGGTTGCAGTGAGTTGAGATCATGCCACTGCACTCCAGCCTGAGCAACAGAGTGAGACTCTGTCTCAAAAAAAAAAAAAAAAAAAAAAAGAGAAAGAGAGAGACAGAGAAGATAGGCTACACACAGGAAGATTGGACACATACGTAAATATATCAAAGGTTAATCTAAACCAGATTTCTCACAAGGGAAGCATAAATATGGAAAGAAGAAAACTTGAACAAACCCTTGGGTGTTGAATTGAAATTGGAGGTATTGAAGTTCTTGGTTTTCAATATGTACAAATAGAGAAATAGAGATGTAAATGTGTGTGCATATACATGCATGTATTTTCCAGCTCTGTCAACTGAAAGGAACTGGGAGCAATGAGTACACCTACTACCCAGATGTTGGTTTGCAAACCCCTCTCTCCACCAAAAGGAACCAGGCCTCCTTGGAGAAATGGCTGATTCCAGGATTGGGGCAGGGAAATTACAAGATGAGTCTAGACTATCTATCTTTTTATGGCCAAAAATAAGGAGGTGTTCAAGCAAGATGAGGACATGTTAAAAGGACACAAAAGGCAGCTTGAAGGGGCTCCCACTGGTCAAATCTGCAACAATTCATACATCAAAAAATGCCAGTAGTAATAAAGCATAATCTATTGAACTAAATAAGAAACCCATGAGTCCACATTGGTATAAATAAATGAATTATTCCATAAAGGGGGAGGAGAGAAACTTCCTTTGTGTATTAGAAAGCCTACTAATAAATGTAAAAGGAGTTATAGAGTTAGAAAATCACCATTTGGCATCAGTAATAATTATAGCAACAATTAGGCAGGAAGCATCAAAGGATGCTAAAACTTACGTGTGAAAGTGGGGTAAGTAACAGGAATTTCCACAGTCTCAAAGTTGCTGAGGAGCAGAATCATAGCCCCTCAAAGATGTCTCCATTCAAATCCCCAGAACCTGTGAACAGGACAAGAGAGACTTTGCAGGTGTGAGTAAATTAATGATCTGGAGATGGGGAAGTTGTTCAGGTGGGTCTGATGTAATCACAGGGGTCCTTGTGAGTGAAAGACAGTAGCAACAGAATCAGAGAAGGAGATGAGATGATGAAAACAGGAGTCAGAGTCTGAGAAAGATTTGAAGATGCAACACTGCTGGCTTTGAGGATGGAGGAAGGGGCCAAGGAATAGAAGCTGGAGGAAACAAGGAAACAGATTCTCTTCTAGAGCCTCCAGAAGGAACGCAGCCCTGCTGACACCTTGCTTGTAGCCCAGTGGGACTCCTTTCAGACTTATGACCTTCAGAACTGTAAGATTATTAAAATTGTGTTGTTTTAAGTCACTAAGTTTGTGGTAATTTGTTGCAAAAACAATAGGAGACTAACACCATTACAAAAGAAAAAAAGTAAGTTTACAGTGGAGAAATCTTGACAGATACTATCTTAGTGAAAGTAACCAAAATTAACACCATCAGAAACAGTCCAATAAGGGTGTACTACCAGATAAGATAGTACAATCTTATTGTATGCAATGAAAAGACACAGCATCTGTTATATTTTAACCAAAAAATGCGTAATGAAAAGACACAGCATCTGTTATATTTTAACCAAAAAATGCCTAAACTGAGGCATAAGACAACATCAGACAAGCCCAAATTGAGAGACATTTTACAAAATGCCTGGCATGTAACTTTTTAAAATGTCAAAGTTATGAAGGTCAAGGATAGGGTGGCAATTTACAGATTGAAAGATACTAAAAACAAACAAAAAAAATGACAACTGGAGCAATGTATGACCCTGGACTGATTCTTTGCTACAAAGGAGCTGCTGAGGCAACTGAAAAAATTTAAATTGATACTGGGAGACGGATCAAGGGGAATTCTTTGTACTATTCTTATAATTTTTCTGTGTAGAACTGTTTCCAAAAAAAAATTTTAAGTGGATGATTGTCATGGTAATACGAGTCTTGCGCAAGCCTAATGGATAAAGGATGTCAGAGGATTGGTGGGAGATGGGCAGGGAGTATGAAACGTGAGGCTGGACAAGATAGCACATTTGTAGGATGGAGATAATGGCCTGAGAGTGTTTCTGATTTGACCGGTGAGGCCCTTGTTCCTGAATGGAAATTAGGCTGGAGCCAGCTTTGCCTGAGTCCCTGCGCAGTCAGAGCCTCATTTAGAAACTTGGAAAACATCAACGTGATGATTATTTTAACTTAATATGGCCAGCAGATGGCAGCAGGCAACTCAGGGAAAGAACAAGAGCGAGAGACCTGGAGATGGGAGGCCCTTGGTTGCTGCTTCAGCTCAGCCAGGAGAGAGCAAAGGCCGGCTGGCTCATTGAGTTGTTGGCCATCTTTGAATTAAAGGGTTCCTGCCAGGCAACAGAACCTCTGACGGCCCAACCTCACCCCCTGGACATCATGGCGGAAAGAGGAGGACTGAGAGAAATGTCTTCATTGTGTTTTAAAGAAAGAAACGCTTACTTTTTCCTAGTAATATAAAAAAGAAAAAGATAAGACATCATTTAATGGAACCTGAATTAGATGCGTCGAGAGACCCAAACATTAAGAACAGAAAGAGCTGGATTCACGAGTCATGGGGCCCAAAATGGCATCAAGTATTTCTGAGGCCGGGCGCAGTGGCTCACGCCTGTAATCCCAGCACTTTGGGAGGCCGAGGTGGGCGGATCACAAGGTCAGGAGATCGAGACCATCCTGGCTAACACGGTGAAACCTCGTCTCTACTAAAAATACAAAAAAAATTAACTGGGCGTGGTGGCGAGTGCCTGTAGTCCCAGCTACTCGGGAGGCTGAGACAGGAGAATGGCGTGAACCCGGGAGGCGGAGCTTGCAGTGAGCCGAGGTCACGCCACTGCACTCCAGCCTGGGAGACAGAGCAAGACTCCATCTCAAAAAAAAAAAAAAAAAAGTATTTCTGACAATGATAATAAAAATAGAGCCTCAGTTTATTTACCTGTAAAATGGGAACAGAGTATTTTGCAAATCAGATGAGTCAATATATGCAGAGTTTTTTATAATTTTTTTTTTGAAACAGGGTCTCACTCTGTCATCCAGGCTTTAGAGAGTTTAGAATAGTGACTGGCATGTGGTCAGTACTTAATAAAAATTACCTGCAATTATTATTATTTACTGAACACTTACTGTGGCCCAGGCATTCAGTTAAGTGTTTTATGTATGTTATATTATTTATTCCTTACAACAGTCTTTTACTATATATTTTATTAACTCAATTTAAAAATTTCAGACTCAGAAAATTTAAATAATTTACACATGTACCGAATGCCTATTAGGGACACTGTGCATTCAGTAGGAATAAGGACAGACATGGTCCCTGTCCTCCTGTAACAACCATCTGTCTAGTTGAGGGTCATATAGCTAGCCAGAGTACAGTCAGAATTTGAACCCCGGTCTCTCTAATTCAAAAGCCTTGCTCCTCTTTGGCTGCCTTCCATAATAAAAAGAGTGAATTGGCCGGGCGCAGTGGCTCACGCCTGTAATCCCAGCACTTTGGGAGGCCGAGGTGGGCAGATAACGAGGTCAGAAGATTGAGACCATCCTGGCCAACATGGTGAAACCCTGTCTCCACTAAAAATACAAAAATTAGCTGAGCATGGTGGCGTGTGCCTCTAATCTCAGTTACTCAGGAGGCTGAGGCAGGAGAATCACTTGAACCAAGGAGTTGGAGGTTGCGGTGAGCCAAGATTGCGCCATTGCACTCCAGCCTGGCGACAGAGCGAGACTCTGTCTCAAAAAAAAGTGAACTTTTACGGAATACCCATTGTGTGCCAGGAACTTTACATACTATGTAGTTTACATATTCCCCAACCAATGAAATAAGAATTATTGTCACCACCATTATACATATGAGGGGATATTCAGTGACTTGCCCAAAGACCATGCCACTAAGGAGCAAGCACAAATACGTTATGTATTTGAAGTCCATGCTCTTTCCATGGCAACACACTCTAGATGCTTCCTAGGGTTAGAAGGGATCTGCACCAGCATCATCCTCATTCTGTCCACAAGTTACATCAAAGTCCAACCCAGGCGGGTCATGCAATCAAAAAGATATCTTGGTAGTAAGGATCCTCTGAGATCTTCAGATTCAACTCTTTGAGCAACTTTTTTTTTTTTTTTTTTTGAGACAGAGCTTTGCTCTTATTGCCCAGACTGGAGTACAATTGTGCAATCTCGGCTCACCGCAACCTCCGCCTCCTGGGTTCAAGTGATTCTCCTGCCTCAGCCTCCTGAGTTAGCTAGGATTACAGGCATGTGCCACCTCACCCGGCTAATTTTGTATTTTTAATAGAGACGGGGTTTCTCCATGTTGGTCAGGCTGGTCTCGAACTCCCAACCTCAGGTGATCTGCCTGCCTTGGCCTCCCAAACTGCTGGGATTACCCACGTGAGCTGCCGCGCCTGTCCTGAGCAACGTATTTTAAAGTAGACACAGAAATCCCTATCAAAACTGGCACAGCAAACAAAGGGAATGTATTGGTTAAAGTAATAATTGGTTGATTGATGAAATACTCAAGGAATACTTCAGCTTCAGAAATGTCTTCATTAGGAACGAATTTCTCACTCTATCATTGGATGTCTTTCTTCTGTGCTGGCTCCATTCGCAGTCCATTAGAAAGAGAATTCTCGCAGCTGAGTTCTAACTCAATCTTTGCCACATTCAAACACAAGTCTTGGGTCTGATTCTCATTGGTCTAAATTGGGTCACCTGCTCATCACTGAACCAATCACTTTGGCCAATTAGGGCCTACCCTTGAAGCTGAAGATTGTCAACCTCTCTCACACCTGATGAGATTTAACAGCAGGGAGGGGTTATTCTCCAAATACAATTTGGGGCATCTTTCTACTCAAAGAATGAATGATTGTGGTGGTTGGATGACAAAAACAGCAGATGTCTCCCACACCTACATTCTAATCAAACTGAACTATTTTGTAGCGTCTGAGGCACATTCTCTACTTTCCTTCTGGCAGGCTGTTGGTCACATTCTTCTCTTGATTAGTACACATTGTTCTCTTGGAACACTTGATCTCCCCCTTCCAATATTTCCCAAACAATCCTCTCTGGCCTTCACAATTTAAATACTATCTCCTTATTTCCAATGGATATAATCCCTTCTTTCTCTGAGTATGAACACCTCTCACAGTTCTCTTATCTTCCCATTATATTTTAGTTATTTATATAAATATAAATAATCTTAAATTTTGAGTTAGATTCCTTATGTTAATGAAGAAGATGCTTATAATCTACAGAGGAAAGAATTATATTTAGAAATTTTAATCAATGGCAAAGATGAATACCTTAGTGAGTTCCTTAAAATCTACATCAGTAGACTCCAAATGAATGAGAATTTACTATAACTAGAGACAGATTACATTTTAACAGTAAAATTTATTTTCAGATTAACTGAAGTTAAGCACCACATTTCCATTGCAACCCTTAATGAAATATTTGACACTGGGCGATCTTTAATGCTGTAAGATATCTCAGTGTCTAAAAGTGAATCATTCTGGAAATGGGTATTCCTCCTTGAGTGAGTGCAATAGGTAAATTCCTCAGTTATTTGTCTTTCCCTCATGGGACTGTAAAATCCTTCACACATATGCTGGACTTATATCACTACAGCCAAACACAGTGCTTAGAATATTTCAGGCACTCCATAAATGTTTGTTAAATGAAGGAATGAAGGAATAAAAGCAACAATGATTGAGAAAAGTATGTGTTTATGTGTTTATCCTTTTAGATGTTTTGAAAAACAATCTCCAGATGTCAGTTTATTTTGCTGTCTTTTGCCCGCTCCTGCTGAAAAGGGAGCACTAAAATAATTTCCAATGAAGGGTTTTAGGTCATAGGTTGAAAGAATGCTAGTGCTAAAGGAAATATCCACTGCCTACTGTTCCTGGCAGTTAGCAGACACTAAAGTGGTGTGAGAATGGATATAAAAGAAGGATAGGTGACTTTTACTATGCATAAAACCATAAATCCTGAAGTCCTAACAGATTATACAGTCAAGGTTCTGATGGTCCACTTAAAATGGGTGGATGAGGAGTATTTAAGGAAGAAACTATTTACAAGGGTATAGACAGAAATTGAGCACATTTTCTTTTTCTTTTTCTTTTTTTTTTTTTTTTTTTTTGAGACAAAGTCTTGCTTTTGTCCCCCAGGCTGGAGTGCAATGGTGCAATCTCGGCTCACTACAACTTCTGCCTCCCGAATTCATGCGATTCTCCTGCCTCAGCCTCCCGAGTAGCTGGGATTACAGGCACCTGCCACCACGCCTGGCTAATTTTTGTATTTTTAGTAGAGACAGGGTTTCATCAAGTTGGCCAGGCTGGTCTCAAACTCCTGACCTCAGGTGATCCGCCTGCCTCGGCCTCCCAAAGTGCTGGGATTACAGGTGTGAGCCACCGCGCCCGGCCAATGGGGCACATTTTCATTGCAACAACAAAGCAAAGGATGGTGATGCACCCAAGGGCTACCAACAGTAGTGAGCCATTGTCATCCCCAAATCAGGTGGGACCAGAGAATGGAGCAGTTCCCCAAACTCAGAAAGAGCTGAAAAGGAGGGCCAGTGAACATGAGTTGGGGTCTTTGAACTCAGCCACACAGCCAGGGAAATTAATACCTAACATTTCTCTCCTTTTGCCCTTTGTTTTGCTGCTGCTCTAGCCTACGATGGGAAGCCATAGTACAGGGAAGCTGTTGATGCGGAGTCCATACAGGTCAGCCACCCAAGGCACAGAACAGGATGGAGAAAAGGGAGGATGGGTTTTGCAAGAGCAAGCAAAGAATATTGACAGAGATCTTGAAGATCTTCTAGTCTCATGGTTAAAAAAATTTTTTTTTTGCAGGCACCTTTATTTTTTATATATTAGACATAAGAAGAAGCCCAGTAGAAGCCAAGCATGGTGGCTCACACCAGTAATCCCAGCACTTTGGGAGGCCGAGGCGGGTGGATCATGAGGTCAGGAGATCGAGACCATCCTGGCTAACATGGTGAAACCCCGTCTCTACTAAAAATACAAAAATTATTAGCTGGGCATAGTGGCGGGCACCTGTAGTCTCAGCTACTCGGGAGGCTGAGGCAGGAGAATGTCATGAACCCGGGAGGAGGAGCTTGCAGTGAGCCGAGATTGCACCACTGCACAACTGAGCAAGACTCCGTCTCAAAAAAAAGAGAAGAAGCCCAGTAGAAAGCAATAGCAATGATATGATAAAATAAATGTGAAAGCCAGGTGCGGGGGCTCACGCCTGTAATCCCAGCACTTTGGGAGGCTGATGCATGCAGATCACGAGATCAAGAGATTGAGATCATCCTGGCCAACACGGTGAAACCCCGTCTCTACTAAAAATACAAAAATTAGCTGGGCGTGGTGGTGTGCACCTGTAGTCCCAGCTACTGGGGAGGCTGAGGCGGGAGAATTGCTTGAACCCGGGAGGCGGAGGTTGCAGTGAGCCAAGATCATGCCACTGCACTCCAGCCTGGCAACATAGCAAGACTCCATCTCAAAAATAAATAAATAAATAAAATAAATGTGAGGGAGCAATTTTGGGGTGTTCCCTTGCTCCCTATGGCAGACTCTAAGGCACTGCTACAGCAGTTGCTACACTCTATAGAGCATAGTTTGAAAATCACTCCAGATTAATCTGTTCATTTTACAGATGAGGAAACTGATACTGCATAAATTGAGTAAATAACTTGTTAAAAGTCATCCAATAAGTTAGTGACAGAGCTGTTCACTGGAACTCAGGCCTCCTGGTCCCCAGTTCCGTGCTCATGCATTATTCAGATGGTGAGAGTGTGGCGGGACATTCTCAGAAATGTGAGGCTCTACTAGGTTGGAGAGGCAAGACAGCATTGCTCAAGTTTGGAGTTAGGCAGAACTAGCTTCCAATCCTGACTCTGGGACCTTTAGGGCAAGTTTTTATTAAACTCATTCTTAGTTACCTCATTAGTAAAATGGAAATAAAAATGCCCAGTTTTTAGAGTTGTTGGGAGGATAAACAAGATAATGTTTATTAAGTGCTTAGCATAGTGTCTGGCACTGAACATCATCAAAAACTGGTCATTGTTATTAATAGTAACTGATTTAAGGGTCTGAAATCACACAAAGATCTCACTGATATGCTTTAAGAAATGTCCAAGATCAGAATGTGACCAACCAAGAAGTGGAGGGAAAGTTTTTATAATGGGCATTTGTTGTTTTGGCTTGCTAACATCCTTCCCCTTGGAGAACCTCTCCCTGATACTCAGTCCATGTGACTTGGCTTGGCTGACCCAACCCTAGCACCAGGGAAGGCATTGTGACGTAGGCCAAGCCAATCAGTGTGACTCCATTCTCCTTGCCACAAGACATCAAATCAAAGATAGGTACCTCACTGAAGTTGTCAGTTTAGAGTAAATGCAAGGACTTTTGCAAGAGTTACCAGAAAAGAACTGGTCTTTTTCACCTGGGATTGTTCGCAGAAAGGAATATCAACATGGGGCTGCTGTGGACCATGTAAAGCCTGAAAGTGAAGCCATCTCAAAGAAAGATCACAGCCAAGAGATGGCCAGAGAATACTGATGACATCATCTGAGCCCCTTGACCAGCAGCTGGCAAACTTTTTCTGAAAAGAGCCAGCCAGTAAATATTTTAGGTTTTGTCAGCTATGAGGGCTCTCTTGCAAGGACTCAGCCCTACCTTTGTAGCTTCAAAGCAGCCTTAGATAATATGTTTTTTAAAAAAAATGAGCATGGCTGTGTGCCAACAGCACTTTATTTACAAAATCAGGCAATGGGCTGTTGTTTGCCAATTCCTGTCCCAGGCCATGCCCAAAGCCAGAAAACTCTGGGACTTTTCAGTTAGGTTTGCTATTAAATTTCATTTTTAGCTTGGGTTGGTTTGAGTTAGATTTATATCATTACATTGGAAAGAGTACTGATGCAAGCCTCCATTTGATAAAATATGGCCTTAACTAGTCCAGTATGTCATAGATTGACTAATGGTTGAGAAATTAGTAATTCCTGTCATCAAATAAAAATTCTGGGCTGGGCGCGGTGGCTGTCGCCTGTAATCCCAGCACTTTGGGAGGCTGAGGTGGGTGGATAACTTCAGGTCAGGAGTTCAAGACCAGTCTGGCCAACATGGTGAAACCCTGTCTCTACTAAAAATATAAAAATTACCCGGGTATGGTGGCGCATGCCTGTAGTCCCAGCTACTCGGGAGGCTGAGTCAGGAGAATCACTTGAACCCAGGAGTTAGAGGTTGCAGTGAGCTGAGATTGAACCATTGCACTCCAGCCCGGGCAACAAGAGCGAAACTCTGTCTCAAAAAATAAAAAAAAAATCCTGGTGGAGGGGGAAGCCCCCCCTTTTCCCCTAAGTCCATTCTGCAATTGCTAGTTATTTGGGGTCATACGTTGCTGCCACAAAAGTTGAAGTTTAACTGGCATTTATCTCCTTCTTGCAACAAAGGAAAAACAAGTACCTCCGTAAGTCTTTGCCTTAGAGCAAGCAGTTCAATAAGAGACCAAAATACTCATTTGAATCTCTGCAGGACAAAATGATCCCAGAGGCTGTCATCCTCAAATATTTAAGAACCCCGTAGAAGAGTTCTTATTTAATTCATGTAAAAACAGGGCAAGGGTGTGTTGTGTGGAAGGGAAGGATGGGCTCTTTAGGAAAGACAGGCCCAAATGTTCCTGTCAAGGGAATTTATCACCCTTATTAGGAAATGACTTTGCTATATGGGAGATCTCATGTTCCTTGGATCAGGGCTGCTTGTTCTATTCTTTCTGACTAATTTCTTGCAGTTACTCAGACTTTCCTGGAATAAAGCTGATTTATTTGAAAGCTGAACACTGCAATCCTGATCTTTAAAACATGTGTGGAGCTTCTGCTGGAAAGGTGTTAGATATTATATCTAAGTGTCTAATTATAAGGAATTTCGGTATCCACTGAGCAACCATAGGTGCTAGGAGCAGCAAAGATCCTAACAGTCAACAGCATCTTTACCTGAATATTGAAAGAATATCGCCAATGTGGGATATAATCATAGGCTAAATTCTATAACACAAACTTGAAATGCCATCCCCATTAAAAGAGTAGATTAGTGTGGGTTAGAGAATTTGAGGAGGGCCTCAGAAGGACATTCCAGGTAGAGAGAATTATTAGGACAAAGACCCAGAACTGTGAATGAGGATTTCATTTAATTTAACAAATATTGGCCAGCCACGGTAGCTCATGCCTGTAATTCCAGCACTTTGGGAGGCCGAGGCAGGATTGCTTGAGCCCAGAAGTTCAAAACCAGCCTGGGCAAATAGCGAGACCCTGTCTCTAATATTTAAAAGAAAAATAATTAGGAATTTAAAAAATAAAAATTGTATAAACAAGTTTTAAATTTAAAAAAAATTTAACAAGTATTGACCAGGCACGGTGGCTCACGCCTGTAATCTCAGCACTCTGGGAGGCCAAGGCGGGTGGATCACGAGGTCAGGAGATCGAGATCATCCTGGCTAACACGGTGAAACCCCGTCTCTACTAAAAATACAAAAAGTTGGGCCAGGTGAGGTGGCTCACGCCTGTAATCTCAGCACTTTGGGAGGCCAAGGCGGGTGGATCACGAGGTCAGGAGATTGAGACCATCCTGGCTAACACGGTGAAAGCCCATCTCTACTAAAAATACAAAAAAAATAGCCCGGCGTGATGGCGGGTGCCTGTAGTCCCAGCTACTCGGGAGGCTGAGGCAGGAGAATGGTGTGAACCCGGGAGGCAGAGCTTGCAGTGAGCCGAGATCATGCCACTACACTCCAGCCTGGGTGACAGAGCGAGGCTCCGTCTCAAAAAAAAAAAAAAAAGTTAGCTGGGTGTGGCGGCAGGCGCCTGTAGTCCCAGCTACTCGGGAGGCTGAGGCAGGAGAATGGTGTGAACCCGGGAGGCAGAGCTTGCAGTGAGCCGAGATCATGCCACTGCACTCCAGCCTGGGCGACAAAGCGAGACTCCGTCTCAAAAAATAAATAAATAAATAAATAATTTAACAAGTATTTATGAAGCAGCTCCTTTGTGCCAGACACTGGACTTAGCCCCGTGAATACAATGGTAATAAGAGAAATATGATCTCTGCCCCTGCAGCACTTACAGGTTAGTGGGGTATACACGGAACATCAGAGGAGGAGATGGAATATATTTGTGTTAAGTGTTAAAGGCTAGTTGGAGGGAAAGGGCAGGCCAGTGAATTGGGGGAGGATGGATATGACGCGACTGCTTCCAGGGAGCACTTGATGGGAATGCATGGTATTTTTATCTGTGGTATACAGGGGAGCTTGAGGTAGGGGCAAGTGGAGGAATGGAGACCAACATGAGTGTGGGAGTGTGGCAGGAAAGCCTGAACTCAGGCCTTGTGCTTCCTTCTGTGTCTGTTTTCATCTGGTACTCCTACAACCTGAGTCCTCTTTTATTAATTAATTAATTAATTAATTAATTTTTGAGATGGAGTTTCGCTCTTGTTGCCCAGGCTGGAGTGCAATGGCCCAATCTTGGCTCACTGCAACCTCCGCCTCCCAGATTCAAGCTATTCTCCTGCCTCAGCCTCCCGAGTAGCTGGGATTACAGGCATGTGCCACCATACCTGGCTAATTTTGTATTTTTAGTAGAGAGAGGGTTTCTCCATGTTGGTCAGGCTGTTCTCGAACTCCCGACCTCAGGTGATCGGCCCTCCTCGGCCTCCCAAAGTGCTGGGATTAAAGGCGTGAGCCACTGCGCCCAGCCGAGTCCTCTTTTATTTAGTCAGCTTAAGGCAAGACTGTTTCACATGTTTAGAACCCTGCAAAATGAGGGACATTGGTTCTTGAGCCAAGCTGAACTGCCTCTGCTGAGCTGGCGATTACACATCATGAGGAAGAAGAAGAGTGATACCTTTTTAGTGTCAATGAAAAGAGTCAAACTCTGTAAAATATTTAAAGAGATTTATTCTGAGGCAAATATGAGTAACCATGGCCCGTGACACAGCCCTCAGGAGGTCCTGAGAACATGTGCCCAAGGCAGTCAGTGTTCAGCTTGGTTTTACACATTTTAGGAAGGCATGAGACATCAATCAAATACATTTGAGAAGTACATTGGTTTGATCCAGAAAGGCAGGACAATTCAAAGCGGTGTGGCAGGGGTGGTGGGGGTGGGGTGTATGGGTGGGTTGTTAGTGGGGAGGTTTCCAGGCTATAGGTAGATTTAAACATTTTCTGGTTGACAATTGGTTGAGTTTGTCTAAAGACCTGGGATCAATAGAAAGGAAATGTTCAGGTTAAAACAAAAAATTGTGGAGACCAAGGTTTTTTTGAAGTCTCATTGTGGCTGCCCTTAGAGACAATAGATGACAAATATTTCCTATTCAGAACTTTTAAAAGGTGATAGACTCTCAGTTAATCTCTTCAGGATTGGAGGGCCTGGAAGAAAAAGATCTAGCTATGTTAACAGAGATTCTTTACAGATGCAATTTTTCCCCTCAAAGGATGGCTTTGCAGAGCCATTTCAAAATCTGGCAAATAAACATGTTTTCAGGTAAAGTATTTTGATTTTCTTCTTTGTCCCATAATGTTATACCAGAGTCAGACTGGAAAGTAAGTCATGACATATAGGGTTAAATAAAACCCATCTCATGAGAATTTATGGTTTGCACGGCATGACTCCCCAGACCCCTTAGATAGGAATTTGGGCAAGATTTTAAAAATCAGAGCTTAGTCCTCATTAGTCTTTGCTCCAAGAGAAATTCCTCTGGTGTCTTCATAACAGCTTTTGCAAACATGAAAAGTACTGTGTGAGGTTGTGCATCATTTCGAGAACGTTCTCAAGCAAATACTTTCTGATTTTTTTTATGTTGTTTACTCTGTGCAAGAAAAAGCACCTTCAGATGTTGTGTTTTCATGCAGATTCTTTATTAAATCAAATTTTCTCATAGGAAAGTTGAACTTTAGTGAGAAAAGATGTTAAATAAATACATATTGCTGGTTGCTAAACCTAAGAAAATAATCTTTCAGCATTGCACCAGCAGAGCATAAAGAAATAAGATTTCTGGATGAAGAAGGTGAGTTCTTCCCTTCTTATAAGCCATGGTGATCACTTATGAACTCTGCATAAATGTCAGATATAACAGTGTAAGTAAACTCTTGGTGGGTATCACAGATGGGAAAGAACCTCAGAATGCAGGAAGGTGACACTTCTAAGTTAGAAAAACAGAAGGCCCTTTGGAAAACTTTTAAGATAAAAATGATATCACTAAGAGTAAAATGTTTGCATCGTATTTAGAAACAAATGTATAAGTGAACTTCTGGGGTAGCCTGTTTTACATATTAAAAGTAAGTCATGCGGCCGGGTACAGTGGCTCACGCCTGTAATCCCAGTACTTTGGAGGCTGAGGTGGGCAGATCACCTGAGGTCAGGAGTTTGAAACCAGCTTGGCCAACATGGTGAAACTCCCTCTCTACAAAAACACAAAAATTAGCTGGGCATGATGGTGGGTGCCTGTAGTCCCAGCTACTTGGGAGGCTGAAGTGGGAGAATCACTTGAACCCTGGAGGCGGAGGTTGCAGTGAGCCAAGATGGTGTCACTGCACTCCAGCTTGGGCAACAGAGCGAGACTCCTTCTCAAAAAAAAAAAAAAAAAAGGATATCATGTTGGGTGACTTAGGACCCTGAACTCGAATTCAGGAAGGATTACTGATGTATTCTGCAGAGGTTAAGTGGTACACAAAACACCCTATAAATGGGTCCTGTCCTTAGAGTCTTGGACAAGAAGACCTGGTTTCTGAGAACAGCTCTGTTATTAAAAAGACATACGGCTTAGTCTATAAAGTTTTTTGGCCACGATGGTATTTAAAAAGCTTTCAGTTGTAGGTGCCTTCATATGGGGTATGCATCTTCTCTTTGCCAGAGTCCCCACACTACCTATTAATTATATCTGACTTTCATTTTACCTACCTGGCCTAGTCCCTGCTACCATTTGAATTTCTGACACTTGACAGGAGGAGGGACAATGACATTAACCCTGGGACAACTGCAGCATTCCGGGGGTAGGTACAGGAGTAAGAAGTAATCAGTGAAGAAAGATAGAAGGTCACTAGGAAAAAAATGCTGTTTTGGAAACAAAAGGTCTTTCAATACAGAGGTGATATTGGTACAGAAACTTCAAATAGAGGCCAGGCACAGTGGCTCATTCCTGTAATCCCAGCACTTCAGGAGGCTGAGGTGGGTGGATCACCTGAGGTCAGGAGGTTGAGGCCAGCCTGGCCAACATGGTGAAGCCCCATCTCTACTAAAAATACAAAAAATTAGCCGGGTGTGGTGGCACGTGCCTGTAATCCCAGCTACTCGGGAGGCTGAGGCAGGAAAATCGCTTCAATCTGGGAGGTGGAGGTTGCGGTGAGCCGAGATCACGTCATTGCACTCCATCCTGGGCAACAAGAGCGAGACTCCGTCTTAAATGAAAACAAAACAAAACAAAAAACAACAACAACTAAAAGAAAGTTCAAATAGAATAAGAACAAAGCGTTGGCAATTAGGAGATTACTGGTAGTGAAGGAAAGTTTCAGTGGTACAGTTGGGACAAAAACCAGATTGAAATCATGTTAAGCAATGTGAGAGGTTCAAATACGACTAATAACTAGTGTAACTTTGACTATAAAGTCATGATTCAGACTTGGAATCCAGCCCTCCCACTGATATGTAGCAATCATCACCAAGCTAATGCATTTCCAGAAAAAATAAACTTTCAGTGATGAATCTTAGCTACATTATCATACTGACTCAGGTTGATAGAAGGATCTTAATGGGGTCACTGGGGAATATAAATGAGATGCCAAGTAGAAAACATGTTAATTTCTTGGCACAAGGAAGCCCGAGGTGTTCTGGAAGCCACTAATGCATTTTACATGATTGCTTAATTTCAGGAAATCCTGACTCACTGCCTCTATAGGGTAAGAAGCAAAGGCTGGTCTCAATTTACAATCCTACAAACCAGCTTTGAGTAGAGCTTAGATTATTCCTGGCATCAATATGTCTGCTCAGTGCCTATTTTAATTTGAAAATGTTTTGGTATATGTATATTCTATTTTCTTTGAGAAAAAGCAGGCTTCATTTGGAATGTTCTGAAAACCATTGTGACTAAATAGGTAAGGTAACACCTCCTCACTTAACTTTTGAATGGACATGGAGTGGCGTCATCATATCTACAGTCAGACCACTGAGCCATTGAAAAATGGTCCAGGTGAAGCTTGAATAAAGAAAAATAAGACGAAAGTTAGAACTAGCTTGCTAGCATTGGGTAATGAAAGAAGCAGAATGATACTCATAATGTCACTGAAAATGCACCCATTTTATTATTTAATGTTCCTGATAATGCGTTCATAGTAGTTATTATTAACCCTACTTCATATAGGCGAATAACATGAAAAGGAATAATTAGACAATTTAGCTAAAGTCACACGGTAAACCAGTGAAGATCCAGGGTTAGAATTCAAATAGGATCAGTGTCACTCCAGATTTGTCCTCCATCTACTCCCTCTCCTACCTTCCTCAGCAACAATTCCAAACCTTCCTTACAAGCCCATCACGCAACACTTAGCTGCTCTCTCAAATCCTGATGAATGGCCTTGTGTCCCACTTGGCTGAGAAAGCTGAGATCCTTTCCTTTCTGTGTTATCTGATTGTGTGCATTCCTACCCATCCTCATCTCTTTTCCCCTAGGCTCTCTTCCTTCCATGTGAAGCCAAGCACCCATGTGTTTGACCCATTGCCTCTCCCACACACCTTTTTTTTTTTGAGATGTAGTCTCTCCCTGTCACCCAGGCTAGAGTGCAGTGGCGCAATCTCGGCTCACTGCAACCTCCGCCTCCCAGGTTCAAGCAATTCTCCTGCCTCAGCCTCCCAAGTAGCTGGAACTACAGGCGCACACCACTGCACCTGGCTAATTTTTGTATTTTTAGTTGAGACAGGGTTTCACCATGTTGGCCAGGCTGGTCTTGAACTCCTGACCTCGTGATCTGCTCACCTCAGCCTCCCAAAGTGCTGGGATTACAGGTGGGACCCACCGTGCCTGGCCTCCTACACACTTTTATTTCCCCTTCTTAACTGGTATCTTCCCCTCAGCTTATCAATATCTTGAGTTTTTCCCAGGTTAAAAAGCTCTTCCTTTGATTGTCAAAGCCAATCTAGCTGTTCCCTGTCTTATTCAAATTTCTCCAGTTGTTTCTACTTCCCACCTCCCCATTTCTCTTCAATTCACTTATCTCCCCACTACCCTGAAATCTGGTTTCTTCTGAAGTGTGTCCCTCCACCCCCATCCCAAAATTATATGTTGAAGTCCTAATTTCCAACACCTCAGAATGTGACTGTATTTGGAGATAGGGTCTTTTTTATTTTATTTTATTTTATTTTGAGACAGAGTCTCGCTCTGTCACCAGAGTGGAGTGCAGTGGCACAATCTCAGCTCACTGCAACCTCCGCCCCCGGGGTTCAAGCGATTCTCCTGCGTCAGCCTTGCAAGTAGCTGGGACTACAAGCGTGTGCCTCCACGCCCAGCTAATTTTTGTATTTTTAGTAGAGACAGGGTTTCACCATGTTGGCCAGGCTGGTCTTGATCTCTTGACCTTGTGATCTACCCTCCTTGGGCTCCCAAAGTGTTGGGATTACAGGCATAAGCCACTGCGCCCCACTGAGATAGGGTCTTTAAAGAGGTAATGAAGTCAAAATGAGTTCACAAGGGTAGGCCCTAATCCAATATGACTGGTGTCCTTATAAGAAGCGATTAGGACACAGATACATGCACAGATGGACAACTGTGTAAGGCCATGTGAAGACGCTGAGAGAAGACAGTTACCTGCATGTCAAGGAGAGAGGCCTCAGAAGAAACCAACCCTGCTGACACCTTAATCTCTGATGTCTAGCCTCCAGAACTGCGAGAATGTAAATTCCTGTTGTTTAAGCCACCCAGTCTGTGATACTTTGTTACGGCAGCACTGGCAAATTTATCCAGGCAGTTTGAAAGAGTTCTTACTAAGGTCACCAATGACCTTCCAATTGTAAAAATCTAATGAACATATTTTCAGTCCTTATTCTACTGGAATTTTCTTCTGTATATGACATAAAAGACCAATGTATTGGTGTCCCTGATACTCTTTTGGGCTTCTTCATAGCCTTTTATTTGTTTCCTTTCTTTTCCACGGGTTCTTCTTTCCTTCTCAGACATTGACGTTCTCCTGGATCCAGTGCTACACCACTGCTCTTTTCATTACATTCTTCTCTAGGATGATCTCATCCTTTCTTATGGTTTTAATATAGCAGACTCAGAAATTGGAAGGGAGGCTCTAAAATTAGTGTGTAAGGCAAAAATATTGCATGTAAATTTACCCTTGAAAATTCCTTAGCAAAGTACTTAGAATTAGACATAGTACAACAAAGTGGCTTACCTGTTAGTGATGTGAGGAACTGAGATGAAATGAGGGAAGAGACTCTCATTTTCCATTGCAAACTCACTTTGGTGCATATGCTGAGTGGGGAAATTATTCTGTTTAGTTTGTTTTTCTCTCTCTCCATTTTGCCGTCTGTGTTTGATTGAATTTGCACAGGTTAAATGTACATGTGATGATGTACATTGTACTGGCATACTTGCTTATCCTAAACCTCTCTCTCTCAGATCTTTCTTCTGAGCTTCAGACACATACAGCAACTTCTACCTGAACGTCTCCCCTTGGAAATCTCAGACTTCTTAAGCTCAAACTCAAAAAAGATGCCTTCATTTTTCCCTTAATGGCCCTTTGTTCTGAATTCTCAGTGTGAGCATCCATGAGTCAGTTAAGTCATCCATGATGTTTCCCTTTTCCTCTTCATCGAAAAAAAGAGGTTGCAAATGGATCTGTGGGCCATCGTGTTTGGCTTCCATTGAAAGAATTTAAATTTGTTGCCACTATTTAAAAATGAGGATGTTTTGCATTTTAAATGCCAAATTCTAGATTCTTTTGAAAAACTAGAGTCTTTGGCAACGTTGGAGCCATACTCCAGTATAGCCAAGATCAGCCAGAAGAGAAAGGCAGCTGTTTTTTGTTTTTTTGTTTTGTTTTTTTTTTTTTTTTTTTGAGATGGAGTTTCGCTTTGTCACCCAGGCTGGAGTGCAGTGGTGCAATCTCGGCTCACTGCAAACTCCACCTCCCGGGTTCAAGCTATTCTCCCACCTCAGCCTCCCAAGTTGCTGGGACTATAGGTGTGTGCCACCATACCCGGCTAATTTTTGTATGTTTTAGTAGAGATGGGGTTTCACCATGTTGGCCAGTTGGTCTCAAACTCCTGACCTCAAGTGGTCCACCTGCCTTGGCTTCCAAACTGCTAGGATTAAAGGCGTGAGCCACCACACCCAGCTGCAGCTGTCTTCTTTAGATGGGGGCATGCCCTGTACATCTGTCACTACTTACAGTCTTTTCTTGAGTCTCTGCACTTGTTTATGTTACCTGACTAGCTCCTATAGGCATTTTAATTTAGAACTCCCAATATACTTTCATATTTATCTTCTCCTTTCAGTCCTTACTAATATCCTGCCCCATCTCCATCATTGCTTTCTTGGGCTACTGAAATAGCCTCCAAACTGGTCCTTCTTCCAGTTCATCTGCAGCAAAATCCATTTAAAATACATGTCTGATCATGCCACAACACCACACACTTGCTTGGGAGCCTTTAGTATCTCTCTTCCTACAGTGGTGTTTTTCAAAGTACCGTCTAAGGACTTTTTTTTTTTTTTTTTTTTTTTTTGAGACGGAGCCTCGCTCTGTCGCCCAGGCTGGAGTGCAGTGGAGCGATCTCGGCTCACGGCAAGCTCCGCCTCCCGGTTTCACGCCATTTTCCTGCCTCAGTCCCCAGAGTAGCTGGGACTACAGGCGCCCGCCATCACGCCCGGCTAATTTTTTTGTATTTTTAGTAGAGACGGGGTTTCACTGTGTCAGCCAGGAATGGTCTCGATCTTCTGACCTCGTGATCCGCCTGTCTTGGCCTCCCAAAGTGCTGGGATTACAGGCGTAAGCCGCCGCGCCCGGCCGGTCTAAGGACTTTCTATATCGCAATTACCTATGGTGCTTGGACAAATGCAGATTACTGTGTCCAACCCAGACTTACTGAACTAGAAGCTCTGGGATCAGGGCCTTAGATTCTGTACTTTTTAGTAATTTTCGTAGGGAATACTGATATACTCTAAACTTTGAGACCCACTGATCTATAGAGTAAAGCCCAAGCTTCTTAATATGCATTGATGAGTTCCTGAGAATTCCTTGTTAAATTTAAGCCATAGTTTAAACATATTAAATTTTGTCTTGTAAAGAAAATATGTGATGTGTTACTCTATAAAGAATCCCTTAAAAATGTAGTTCTTTTAACATTTTTTAGAAAGTGCAAGTGATATGATCTTTATGTGGGACAGACTCTAATACCAACAGCTGATAATTCATAGCAGTGGAAGAAGGGTACATTGAGAAGGTCAAAATCCGAATAAATTTTTAACTCATACTTGTAGAAATCTTAGAGGGCTTCCCCTGGACAAGAGCTCACAGCTCCAATGTGCTCCATGAGAAAAATCAACAAAATGCCAAATATTAAAAAGAAAGCACAGAGGGTCAACCTTTACAGATGACTGGCACTATGAAGTGTAAGATGTAGAGGCAAATTTATATCCTATTCCAGGACAAGGCACAGGGAGGGAAGAAATAAAAGTCAATCGCCAATGGAAAAAACGACACGGAATTAAAAGAATCCCCAAATGTTGGTACTCTTTTCTCCTACTCATGGCTACTTACCGCCAAGTACCATAGTTCTAGGCACAGTCATATCACAATGGAAACCTGAAGATGCCACTTGCTTTGCTCTTGGTAGTGATCTATTGAAAATGAACCCAGGAGGCGGAGGTTGTAGTGAGCCGAGAACTCACCATTGCACTCCAGCCTGGGCAACAAGAGCAAAACTCCGTCTCAAAACAAAAAAACAAAAACAAAAACAAACAAACAACTGAGAACAAATCCTTTAGCATTCTCAAATACACCCACTTAAGAACTGAGGTGTTAGATTATGTTTTTTTTTCCTAGTTTACAAGTAACTAAGTAATGTCAGACAGGATAAAATACCTGGCTACATTGAGGACAAATGACATCCATCACTTCCTCCCGTTCCAACAGACAAATAACTCTGTTGAAAAAAATTACATTAATTTGACAAGAGATATTTCTTCCAGAGCTATGCTGGTTTATTACTTGATAACTTTTCCACTTCTGTTTGCAAATCAATTACAAAACATATTTTCCCCACTCTTGTTCTGCCTTTCAGAAACTTCTGAACCAGTCAACATCACTGTTTATACTCAAAAGATACAGGTTTTTTTTCATCTGTTAAGTCTTTTCTTGTAAACAATGTTGAGTGACTCATTTAATCAGCTTTGAGGGTATATACTATGTACAGCTAAATGTAAACATAATCCCATACATTACTGCAAATGAGGAAACCATCACCATGTTGGCAATGGCACTTTGGCTAGGTGGAGGAGGAGACTGTCAAAATTTTGTCCAGTATCACAGACTGATTGTGTTAGTCCATTCTCGAGTTGCTACAAAGAAGTACCTGAGACTGGGTAATTTATAAAGAAGTTTAATTGGCTCATGGTTCTGCAGGCTGTACAGGAAGCATGATTCTGGCATCTGCTTGGCTTCCGGGCAGGCTTTCAGAAACTTATAATCATGGTGGAAGATGAAGCAGGAGGGGGCACTTCGAATGGCCAGGAGCAGGAGGAAAGGAGAGACGGGGGAGATGCTACATGCATTTTTTTTTTTTCTTGAGCCAGGGTCTTTGCTCTGTTGCCCAGGCTGGAGTGGAAGTGGTGCAGTCTCGGTTCACTGCAGCCTTGACATCTGGGCTCAAGTGATCCTTTTATCTGAGCCTCCAGAGTAGCTGGGACCACAGTCTTGCACCACAACATCCGGCTATTTTTTTGTATTTTTGGTAGAGATGAGGCTTTGCCGTGTTGTCCAGGCTGGTCTCGAACTCCTGGACTCAGGCAATCCACCTGCTGCTGCCTCCCAAAATGCTGGGATTACGGGCGTGTGCCACCATGCCCGGCTGCTGTGTACTTTTAAACAACCAGATCTCATGATAACTCACTCAGTATCGTGATAATAGCACCAAGGGGATGGTGCTAAACCATTCATGAGAATTCGTCCCCATGATCTAATCACCTCCCATCACGCCCCATCTCCAACATTGGGGATTACAATGGAACATGAGATTTGGGTGGGGACAAAGTCCCAAACCCTATCACTGATAGCCTCTGAACATAGGTTGTACACAGAGCCTCTGACAGTCTAGATTTACGTTGATTTTTTTCCTTGCAAATCTTTATAAGTTCAAGTTAATCATTAACGCACAGAATATTACGAAAGGTGAGTTCGTGCTCTCTAGAGAAACAGAGCCAATAGAATCTGTCATTTCTTTCTGTATCTAAATATATTTTAAGATTTTTTTTCTATTTTAAATAATTGGTTTATGCAATTGTGGGGACTGGGAAGTCTGAAATCTGTACTATAGTCCAGCAGGCCGGAAATGCAGTTAGGAGCTGATGCAGCAGCTTTGAGTCTGAAACCTCTAGGGAGGGCCAGCAAGCAGGAAGCTCAAGCAGGGTTTCTATGTTGTAGTCTTGAGGCAGAATTCTTTCTACTTTGGGAAAGCTCAGTCTTTATTCTTAAGGTCTTCAACTGATTGGGTGAGGCCACCTACATTATAGTGGTAATCTGCTTTTATAAATGTTAATCATGTCTAAAAATTACCTTCACAGCAACATCTACACTAGTGTTTGACCAACAGTTGGGTACCATAGCCTAGCCATGGTAACACATCACAAGAGGGAATGTCAAACTATTTAAAACAAATTACTGGACTCATGAATATGATGCTCATGTACACCACCTACAGATAAGGAGACCAGATATACAGAATTACTGACTTGTGTAGGGGGGTAGTGGGCAGGTGTCCTATACTAGTTCTACTTTAAGGTTGAGAGGGTCTTGTGTGAAGATAACTTAGAGATGTTTATATAGCATTGGCATTTTTTTTTTTTTCGAGACAAAGTTTTGCTCGTCTCCCAGGATGGAGTGCATGGCATGATCTCGGCTCACTGCAACCTCTGCTTCCTGGGTTCAAGCGATTCTCCTGCCTCAGCCTCCCCAGTAGCTGGGATTTCAAGCACCTGCCACCATGCCCGGCTAATTTCTTTGTATTTTTAGTAGAGACACGGTTTCACCATGTTGGGCAGGTTGGTCTCGAACTCCTGACTTCAGGTGATCCGCCCGCCTCGGCCTCCCAAAGTGCTGGGATTACAGGAGTGAGCCACCGCGCCTGGCCTGGAAAGTACCTTACAAAGCTGATGAAGTTGCTTTGCTCTAATTAGAAATCTAGGAGGCAAAAAAAAAAAAGAAATCTAGGAGGCAAATTCTCGTTTCCAGTTAAATCATTGATGTGCCTGACCAATGGATGTCACTCAGAATTTCTCAAACAGTCCTAAAAACAAGTCTGAAGTGAGAAAAATACCCCTTAAGGCAAAATAAACATATATTAAATATATATAAAAATCACCCAAATGCATTGAGCCGTAGGTGAGTAGGTGTTGAAGTTTTCAAACACGGCTCTAAGATTTTTTTGACATCCCTACATTCGGTCTATGTCCCCTTCTCCTGAATCTGGCCTTTGGGACTGCTTGACCCATAGAAGATGGTAGAAATGACACTGTGCCATTTCTGGGCCTAGGCCTCAAGAAATTGGCAGTTTTCACTTTCTGCCTCTTAGGATGCTTACTTTCTTACTTTTGGAACCCAATCACCATGCTGTGAGGAAGCCCAAGCTGCTTAATGAAAAGGAACTGACTGCCAGTGTCAGTGTCAGTGTCAGCTGTGTGAGTAATCCATCTTGGACAGGCATATGCTAGCCCCAGCTGAGCTACTCCAGCCAATACCTTGTAGATCACAGATAAGGGCTCCTCACTGAGCCCTGCCCAAATTAGATTTGTAACGCAAATAGATAATTGCTTTTTAAATTTTTGAGACAGAGTCTCGTTGTGTCGCACAGTCTGGAGTGCAGTTGTGTGCTCATGGCTCACTGCAGCCTCAACCTTCTGGGTTCAAGTGATCCTCCCACCTGAGCCTCCTGAGTAGCTGGGACTACAGGCATGCAACAACACAACCAGCTAATTTTTTATTTTTTGTAGAGGAGGGGGTCTCACTATGTTGCCCAGGCTAGTCTTGAATTCCTGGGCTCAAGCAATCCTCTCACCTTGGCCTCTCCCAAAGTGCTGGGATTACAGGTATGAGCCAATGCCCACCTGATGTTTTAAACCAGGGATGTCCAACCTTTCGGCTTCTCTGGGCCACATTTGAAGAACTGTCTCGGACCACACATAAAATATGTCTAATACATAAAATAGTCTAAAAATAGTTAATGAGCTAAAAAAAAAAATTGCAAAGGCTGGGCGTGGTGACTCACGCCTGTAATCCCAGCACTTTGGGAGGCCAAGGTGGGTGGATCACGAGGTCAGGAGATCGAGACCATCCTGGCTAACACGGTGAAACCCCATCTCTACTAAAAAATACAAAAAACTAGCTGGGTGTGGTGGCGGGCACCTGTAGTCCCGGCTACTTGGGAGGCTGAGGCAGGAGAATGGTGTGAACCCAGGAGATGGAGCTTGCAGTGAGCCAAGATCACGCCACTGCACTCCAGTCTGGGTGACAGAGCAAGACTCTCAAAAAAAAAAAAAATTCTTTAAAAAAAAAAATTGCAAAAAAACTCATAATGTTTTAAGAAACTATGAATTTATGTTAGGTTGCATTCAAAGTCATCTTGGGCCACAGTTTGGACAAACTTGTTTTATTTATTTGTTTATTTATTTATTTGAGATGGAGTTTCACTCTTGTCACCAAGGCTGAAGTGCAATGGCATGATCTTGGCTCACTGCAACCTCCACCTCCCGGGTTCCAGTGATTCTCCTGCCTCAGCCTCCCAAGTAGCTGGGATTACAGGCAGGCACCACCATGCCTGGCTAATTTTTGTATTTTTAGTTGAGACGGGGTTTCACCATGTTGGCCAGGCTGGTCTCGAACTCCCGACCTCAGGTGATCCGCCCACCTCAGCCTCCCAAAGTGCTAGGATTATAGGTATGAGCCACTGTGCCCGGCCACAAGCTTGTTTTAAACCATTAGGTTTAAGGGTGTTTTTTAATGCAGCAATAGAAACTAGACCAGAAGAGGCTTAACTGGGCTCTGGGCTGTGCCTGTGCAGGGTAAAAGGTTGATAGAGTGGATAGGCAAGGGATAGAGCTGGACAAGATTTCATTCCACATGGAGAAGAACTGAATCCTATATTGTTGGGCTGAAATGAAGAGATATGGACTTAAAGAAGACAAGTTAGGATGGGTGTGGTGGCTCACGCCTGTAACAATCCCAACACTTTGGTTTGCTGAGGTGGGTGGATCACCTGAGGTCGGGAGTTTGAGACCGGCTTGGCCAGCATGGCAAAACCCCGTTTCTACTAAAAATACAAAAAATTAGCCAGGCATGGTGGCAGGCGCCTGTAATTCCAGCTACTTGGGAGGCTGAGGCAGAAGAATTGCTTGAACCCAGGAGGTGGAGATTGCAGTAAGCCGAGATCGCGTCGTTGCACTCCAGCCTGGCAACGACAGAGCAAGACTCTGTCTTAAAAAAAAAAAAAAAAAGACGAGTTACTCATTGTTCATAGGAGAAGGTTAGGCAGGAAAATGTAGAAATCACATCAGTTTGAGCTATAGGTCAGTATCCAGATGTTCATGTTAAAAGTAGAAACACAATTCAGGCCAGGAGAATAGATTTTAAAAATCTGTTATGGCAAATAGGGTAGTCTACATGGGCACATGAGGATTCATGATCTGGGAGATCAGGCAACAGGAATCAGGGACTTAGGTGGAAAGTCTGAATGCAGGAGGAGGTAAAACCAGCCCCAAGAACCCTTTGTATTAGTTACAGTGGGGATGGGGACATAAAGTGAAGATCTTAGATAAGGATCAAATTATTCCAAGAATGGAGCTCCATGGTCTTTCATTGGGCCTAGAATTGAGATTAGTATTTAGCTCAAAGATGGGGGTGGGGGATAGTGGTAGAATCAATGACCAAGTATGGTGTGAACTAATAGGCACTTACCATTAGTTAACATAACTAGGGAATAAAGATCCTTTAAGCATATTTGAGAATATTAAAATGAACATTGGGATCTCAAAAAATTTAACATTTATACTTAGGTTTGTCTTTTTTTGTTCTCAAAGTAAACTGATGTGTAGTTTTAAAAAGAAAATTGTAGGCCGGGCACGGTGGCTCATGCCTGTAATCCCAGCACTTTGGGAGGCCGAGGCACAAGATGCTGAGTTCGAGACCAGCCTGACCAACATGGTGAAACCCCGTCTCTACTAAAAATACAAAAACTAGCCAGGCATGGTGGCACGCCCCTGTAGTCCCAGCTACTCAAGCGGCTGAGGCAGGAGAATTGCTTGAACCCGGGAGGTGGAGGTTGCAGTGAGCCGAGATACGCCATTGCACTCCAGCATGGGCGACAGAGCAAGACTCCATCTCAAAAAAAATAAAAAAATAAAATAAAAAGGCAAGTCATAGCTGGAAAGGGTAGCGGGGAAGTGGTCGTTGGGGAATTGGGGAGAGTTAACGGGTATGAAAAAAATAGAATAAGACCTAGTATTTGCTAGCGCAGCAGGGTGACTATAGTAAAAAATAATTTTTTTTTTTGAGACAGTCTCGCTCTGTCGCCCAGGCTGGAGTGCAGTGGCCAGTCTCGGCTCACTGCAATCTCCACCTCCCAGGTTCACACCATTTTCCTGCCTCAGCCTCCCGAGTAGCTGGGACTACAGGCACCCCCCACCACGCCTGGCTAATTTTTTGTATTTTAGTAGAGACGGGGTTTCACCGTGTTAGCCAGGGTGATCTCGATCTCCTGACCTCGTGATCCGCCTGCCTCGGCCTCCCAAAGTGCTGGGATTACAGGCGGGAGCCACTGCACCTAGCCAAAAATAATTATTGTACATTTAGAAATAACTAAGAGCATAATTGGGTTGTTTGCATCACAAAGGATAAATGCTTAAGGTGATGGATACCCTATTTACCCTGATGTAATTGCATGCCTGTATCAAAATAGCTCATGTAATCCATAAATATATACACCTACTGTGTACCTACAAAAATGAAAAGCAAATTGTATACTAGAAGCTCCTAAAGAGGTTAGTGGTCATTAATGAAAGCACTAGATAAAGCACTTTGTGTTTACATAGGCATAACTGAATATCTGCTGATTGTTCAAAACCTTTAGAGTTGATCTTATTAGATTCTGTCATTCCATTGTTTAAGGTTTTTTCCATTCTGGTTTTATTCTAAAAGTAACTTAGAATACAGCTAAATTCTCAAGATGGGTTGAACTGTATCCTCTTTGCTTACCTTTTCAATCTCATTTCCCTACCACTCTTGCCCCTGGCTCACTAGGTTCCAGACATGTTGCCCTTCTTTCAGGTATGTGGAACTGCTAGACTTTCTCCTAAGTCAGGTCATTGCACAGGCTTTTCCCTGAATGGAAGGCATTTCAGTTTACTCTTTCCCTGGATGGCTTCTGTTCATCTTTTAGGCCTGTTTAAATGTTACACCCTTAGACATCCCTAAACGCATTTATGCCCCCTTTGTAATTCTCTCCTAGTAACTTTTCTTCATTGCTTTTCATGTAACTGTAATTGTGTATTTGCACTTTAGGTGTTCAGTGGTGGCCACTCCCATTACAATGTGACCTCTACCAGATGGGAGGACATTATGGATTTTTTCATGACTGAAGCTCGGGCACAGGAAAATGAGTTAAAATCCAATAAAGTGAGAGAAGGCAGAAGAGGCAAATTGAGAGAATTAAAAACACCTTTCAAAGAATTGCAGTCTCACAACTTTTTGGGGGAGGGCAAAGTGCTTTATTACATCTAAATGGTCCCAGATTGAGTCTTCTCTTCATGAGCGATCAAGAAGCTCTAGGATGTGCAGAAGTTGGAGCCCTCATACCTTGCTGGTGGGAATGCAAAATGGTGTAGCCGCTTTGCAAGTTTGGTAGTTCCTCAAAAAGCTAACCAGCATGACTCAATAATTCCACTCCTAGGTATCTAACAGAAATGAAAACATTTGCACACAAAAGTTGTACATGAAAGAGTACAGCTGCATTCATAATAGCAAAAACAAAAACAAAAAAATCCCCAAATGTCTACCAAATAATAAATAAAATGTGGTATATCCATACAAGGGAATGTTGTTCAACTATAAAAAGGAATGAAGTATACGCTATACTAAGGATAAGCTGTGAAGACATGCTAAGTGAAAGATGCCAGACAAAAGGCCTAAGTGATAATTCATTTATACAAACTGTGCATAATAGGGACATCTAGAGACAGAAAGTAGATTAGTGGTTGCCCAGTGCTGGGGAAGTAGGTGTGAGGGTGACCATTAATAGATATAGGGTTTTTTGGGGGTGATAAAATGTTCTAAATTTAAATTGTGGTGATAGTTCCACAATTCTGAATATCAGGTTGAGCATTCCTAATCTGAAAATTTGAAATCCAAAAAGCTCCTAAATCTGAAACTTTTTGGGCATCGACATGACACTCAAGGGAAATGCTCACTACAGCATTTCAGATTTTTGGATTAGGAATGTTCAACTGATAATACACGTACCTCCAAATCTGAAATTCAAAACACTTCTGTCCCAAGCATTTTGGATCAGGGATACTCAACCTGTCTTAAAAAGTCATTGACTTGTACACTCCAAATGGGTCAACTTTTTATGTGAATTATATCTCAATAAAAATGTTTAAAAAGATGGCCAGGTGCGGTGGCTCACGCCTGTAATTCCAGCATTATGGGAGGCCAAGGCAGGCAGATCACCTGAGGTCAGGAGTTGGAGACCAGCCTGGCCAACATGGTGAAACCCCGTCTCTACTAAAAATACAAAAATTAGCCAGGCACGGTGGCAGGCATCTGTAATCCCAGCTATTCGGGAGGCTGAGGCAGGGGAATCGTTTGAACCCAGGAGGCGGAGGTTACAGTGAGCTGAGATTGCGCCATCGCACTCCAGCCTGGGGAACAAGAGCGAGACTTCGTCTCAAAAAAAAAAAAAAAAAAAAATTAACAAAGTGACAGATGACTCTTGTTACCTATGGTAAAGTCCTTGGAGCCATTGAAGTAGTGAATGCTGAACCACTGCTTCCAGGAAAAATAGAGAGGTTCCTGGGAGACTCTCATCACTGACTTCCGTCAGTCAACCAACATGTAACATTGTTTTTACGTTGTTTCTGTTTAAAGATATATTATTTTATATTAATATATTAAAATTGAATGGCCAATAGCACTGTAACTCATGCCTGAATAAAGCTATCTGAAACACTTATTTTTTCTGGGAGGTCTTCTTGTACTCAGAATGCCAGATAGCACTTTATTACTAAGCTTGGGGTCATTTTAAACAGTAAAACCCCAACAAAAAGGAGAAAAATGTGAAATATGTGGCACTAAATACTGTTAAAAGGACACTCATTTGTAGTATGAGAGTTGAAACAATGGTGTCACCTTGTTCGACCTCAGCTGGGAACATGTAGGTTGGGCACTCAAATATTTGGATGCTCTGTGCATACTGTGAATGACTATGGAAGTGCTGTATTATGGGGTTACAAAGACATTTTAGCAAACTGGTGAATTCAAAAAGGGAATCTGTGAAAAATGACGAAAAAATATATGATAAAAACCATTTCTATCAAAAAAAATTTTTTTTTTAAGTTCTGAATTTCAAGGTCTAAACTTCAACCTCTTCATACGGCTGGATAGATAAAATACAGTATTTGAGATACATGTTCAGGACTGGTTAAAAGGAAAAGTCTGTTTTAGAGACTTTAATCCTTAGTTTTATTCTTTCAGTATTTCTTCATAACCATGTTTCAGGCTGATTCCTGAGTCAAGGGACAGTTCAAAGGTTAAAGTGTTGTTTGTATTTCATCAGCAAAAGTCTATTTTGAATTTTTGATCACAAATGCAGGACCTATCCTCCCCATAAAGAGTCCTCTGCCACAACAGGATTTAATTAAAAGGCACTTTAATTTTCAAATAAAAGAAATACTTACATCTGATATGTAAGTATACTTGTATCTGGACTATATATATCTGTAATAAGTTGCTCATATCTGGAATCTGTACTCTTACTTCCCATGTATTTGTACATATTTTCATATACTAGCTACTACCAATTTTAATGTCTAAAGTTATTTGCAGTATTTGGTTTCAAAATTTTTATTAATTTTAGAATGGCTTTCAAGCCTCAACTCCTCTTAAAACAGAAAATGTCAGTTCTTGCTCATAGCTCCTTGTAAGAGGTTTTTGCCAAATTCAGAAATTTAGAGATAAATTAACTGCATTAGGTTATAAGTAACATAATTTTGGCAGGGGGAGCAGTCATAAATATCAAATGACTATTACACATCATGTTTGTGATTATGAATAAGCTTAATCAAATGTCTGACTTTGGCTACAAAATGGTACTTTTTGGATCAGTATTTATACCCCTTTATTGGTAATCAGCAGTTTTGTTTCTTTAAAAAGATGTTCTTTGATTATAATTGGTGAAATACAATTGGAATTGGCTGGTTAACTTGAACTTCCCAATTAAAACAGTGGGGCTTTGGTAGACACTTTTATTCATCAGCTTGAGAACTTGGAAGCACTAAGATACTGTGGGGCTCTTCAGCCTCTTTGATCTCTCATAATAACTTGAATACAATAGACTTTTTAGGCATCTCTTCACTTAAAAAAAAAAAAAATACAAACTCAATGCCAGATACTCATTCAACTAGCTCTTCCTGCCTAGAAACCAGTCCAATTAGTTCTCTATGCTAATCGCAGAAGTTTTGAAGTTTCATTCTTCAGTCCCACTATTCTTTTGTATGTGGTGGCAACTCCTCTCTTGTTGTTTTTTCCACTGTCTGTAACTAGCTTATTCTTCCTCTTGTTCTAAACTAGTAATAACCAGTGGGGATTAGTGGCACATTTAACCAGGGCCTTGTACTATCAAAATGATGGCCCTCTCCACTGCTATGGGTGATCAAAAGTAGACCACAGTCTGCCAGGATTTCTTATTTTATTTTGATTAGCCAAATTACTCAGGGCTTATATTCATTATCTTGCTGGCTTTAAAAATATATTTCTTAATTTTAAATATTACATAACACAAACTGCTAGTAAATATTAGTAACTCATCTCTATTCAAAATAAATGCTTTATAGGCCAGGCGTGGTGGCTCACGCCTGTAATCCCAGCACTTTGGGAGGTTGAGGTGGGCAGATCACCTGAAGTCGGGAGTTCAAGACTCGCCTGACCAACCTGGAGAAACCCCGTCTATACTAAAAATACAAAATTAGCTGGGCGTGGTGGCGCATGCCTGTAATCCCAGCTACTCTGAGGCTAAGGCAGGAGAATCGCTTGAACCCGGGAGGCAGAGGTTGCCGTGAGCTGAGATCACGCCATTGCACTCCAGGCCTGGGAAACAAGAACAAAACTCCGTCTCAATAAATAAATACATACATACATACGTACATACTTTATAAACATTCTCTGATAGAGCTGCCTTTATAGATTTCCAACTATCCTTCATTAAAATAATTTAATTCAAAATCAACAGCGAAGTTTCTAGATTATGAAGAATTTATCCTGAGGTAAAGCCGACATAATAGAATATTAGACCAATTTGATCTTATGAAGAAGTCACTTTGAACCACACAGAAGGTTAAGCAAAGAAAAATCATTTTTAATATAAAAATTCTATATCAAGAGATATTCCTTAAATAATATACCAATGAAAATGTGTTCATAAATGAAAAAACTTTGAAAAATAAAATCAGACAAATATAAAGCACTATTACCAACAATAAGATGTTATAAGTTTTAAATATTACAGCCATTTTTACATTTTGGCTAAAAAAAGGGCTTACATGAAAAAAATGCATTGAAAAACATCATTTTTAAACATGAAAGAACAAACCAGAAGAATTCCAAATTCAGATAGATTTTTGAAACTTTTTATTTATATTTTGGTCTTACAAATGATCACTTTTAAATGGACTTTTCTGTAAGAATGTAAAACTCAAAAATTTGCCAAGTATGTATCTGATCCACACAAATCCCTAGAAAGGTTTTCTGTGTAGTCTTCATTAACGCAAATCTTTGTGAATGTTTCACTCTTACTGTAGGATCTTGAATATGTTTTACAATAATGAAGCTACAAAGTTTTTATGCAGTGCATTCATTGTAAACTATAAATAACATTTGTATTAAAAAGAAAGCTGGGTAATACAAAAATAGGAGAGACTCTGAGGAGCAGGCAATCTGTTGAGGCTCAGTATATCTTATTTGCTTTGTAGTCTGCTGTCATTCCTTTCAAAGAGCACACAGCACATGAGGCATAGTAATCATCTGTCTTGTTAACCTCTCTAATTTAGAAATCTGTTGTTCGTAAAACTGGACCAATTATCACAAACTATCATTTGCATAATTAACCGCAAGTCTGTTACAAAGCATTTTGTTAGTGGTATCAACAAATGCAGGAGGATGGACATTTATAAAAAATGGGTTTTGTTAAGCTTGCCAACTCCTTAGATATCATGGACTATACTGCCATTTCACGATTTAATTAGATATTTAATGCCTCAAGTAAAAGACTGATCAATGGAAGCAAGCAAAACTAAATTATTTTCTAGGTGCTGTAATATTTCATTTGATAAGGTAACAAAAGGATAGGACAAAATTTAAGCAAGATTTATATGCGTTCCAACTTTTCACTCAGGAATTCTTCTACACTGTCTGTGTTCCATTTGAGAATGCTCAGTTCTTCAGCAATGTTCCCATTGTCGTCCAAAAGCTTTAATACAGGGTCTGAACCACGGACATACTACAAAAAAGAGGGACGTCATCATTACTTTCTGTTCAGAAACAACCTTCTCAGCCTCATCTAAGACAAAGCAATTCAATCCAGTTTAAATTTAGTAATTAAAAAAAGGCTTTTAGACATGACAATAAACAAGTCTTAAAGGAAATCTTTAAGGAGAAGAGTTTTACAGGATTTCGGAAAAAAAGGAGAATTAAAAAAATCACTCATTCATTCATTCATTCATTCATGAGAAAGGGTCTTGCTCTGTCACCCAGGCTGCAGTGTAGTGGCACAATCTCAGCTCACTGCAACCTCCACCTCCCGATTTCAAGTGATCCTCCCACCTCAGCCTCCCTGGGACTAGAAGCAAGTGAAATTACTTTACTTTTAAAGAGAAAAATATCTATTAGTAGCAAGACAGTTTATTGGGGATTTGAGCTTATTATTGAAATTAACAAGTATGTAATGCCCACATGATACTCTCAAATGAACTTAAAATTGAATGGAGGCAGACAAGTTCAAAATAGTTGAGAAAATGATGGTATAAGAGCAATGTTTTAAAATACGCTGTGCATATAAATTTGCAGACACAGAATCAATCACATACTGGATCATACATTTTTCTTGGCTTAACAAATCTAATGATTTTATTTGTAATCAGTTTAGAATTAGGCTGGGTTCCTGAAACTTCAAATCCATTAGTTGGGTCCAATATTTCTCCAGAGAGCTCTGAGAAATTCTAATTCTGGGTAAATGTGACAACAGCCATTCATTAAGAGATCAAATATCCAATTTTAAATTAAGTAGCATTGGATAACTAACAATGTAGTTATGTAGTTCGGCAGTGATGACAGAGTTCTTAGAACTTCTTCCAGAATTATGCTTCAGTTTATCTAGGGTATTCTGGGGTTGTGAACTCCAAAGATGGAGACTAGCTCAGATGTGATTATTAACACTTGGTATATTCCCAACCCATTTGTGGAGTTTAGAAAATAGGCCATCCAGGCTAATGAATCAATAATAACATTACTACTTAACCATTTTTGGTCAGGTTACTTTTTTTTTTTTTTTGGGATGGAGTTTCGCTTGTTGTCCAGGCTAGAGTGCAATGGCGTGATCTCGGTTCACTGCCACCTCTGCCTCCTGGGTTCAAGCAATTCTCCTGCCTCAGCCTCCCGAGTAGCTGGGATTACAGGCCCCTGCTACCACACCCGGCATTTTGTATTTTTAGTAGAGATGGGGTTTCACCATGTTGGCCAGGTTGGTCTCGAACTCCTGACCTCAGGTTATCTGCCCACCTCCGCCTCCCAAAGTGCTGGGATTACATAGGTGGGAGCCACCGCACCCAGCCGGTCAGGTTACTTCTTAAGTTAAGGATTTTTTTTTCTTTTTTGCTTGGATTTGAGATCCCAATATTTAAAAATGTTTATTTATTAAAAAACTTATTATAATCCCAAAAGGAAATAAGAAATTAGATATAATATAGTTGTAAAAATCCTCAACAAAATATTAGCAGTCAAATCCAGCAATGTGTATAAGGAATTATATGCCACAATCAGTTGCAAAACACCTATCTGATAAAGAACTTGTATTCAAAATATACAAAGAACTCTTAAAGCTCAGCTTACCAAACAAACAAACAAACAAACAAACAAAAAACCTCAATTTAAAAGTAGGCAAAAAAACAAAAACAGTAACAGGACCACTCAAACTTATAAACTTCAGTGCATCAAATGAAACAATGAACAGAATGAAAAGACAACCCAGAGAAGGGGAGAAAATATTTGCAAATCATATATATCTGATAAAGGTTTAATATCCAGAATAGATGGAACCTCCACAACTTAACAACAACAACCAAAAATCCCAATTATAAAATGGGCAAAGGACTTGAATAAACAATGTTCTAAAGAAGATAAACAAATGGTCAACAAAATGTTCAACACCATTTATTTTAAGAGAAATGCAAATCAAAGCCACAGTGAGACAGTACCTCATACCTATTAGGATGGCTACTACCAAAAAACAGAAAATAACAAGTGTTGACAAGGATATAGAGATATTGGAACACTTGTGCCCTGTTGGTGGGACTGTAAAATGGTGAAGTCATTACGGAAAACAGTATAGAGGTTCCTCAAAAAATTAAAAATAGAATTACCATATGATCCAGCAATTCCACTTCTTGGAATATAGACTCAAAAGAACTAAGAAAAGGGCCTTGAAGAGGTATTTGCACACCCAAATGTCATAAAAGCATTATTTACAATAGCCAAGGGATGGAAGCAACTCAAATGTCCACTGATGGATGCATGGGTAAAGAAAATGGGAGCTGGGCACAGTGGCTCATGCCTGTAAATCCCCGTTCTTTGGAAGGCTGAGGCAGGAGGATCGCCCGAGCCCAGGAATACAAGACCAGCTTAGGCAACATAGCAAGACCCTATCTCTATAAAAAAATAAAAAAAATTAGCTGGTCATGTTGGTGTGTACCTGTGGTCTCAGAATCTTGGGAGGCTGAGGTGGCGGGATTGCTTGAGCCTTAGAGGGTGAGGATGCAGTGAGCTGTGATCACATCACTGCCTTCCAGCCTGGGTGACAGAGTAAGACCATGTCCAAAAAAAAAAAAAAAAAAAAAAAAGTGTGTGTCTCTGTGTGTGTGTGTGTGTGTGTGTGTGTGTGTGTGTAGTGGAATACTATGCATTCTTAAAAAGGAAGGAAATCCTGTCACACAATACAACATGGATGAACCCTGATCCAAGTAAATCAGTCACAAGGACAAATACTATATGATTCCACTCATAGTAAGTATCTGAAGTAGTCAAAACTATAGAAACAGAAAACAGGTAGTTGTCACGGGCTGGCAGGAGGGCGGGGGTGGTGGTGGGCACAGAAAGATAAAATTAAGTGTTTAATGGGCGTAGAGTTTCAGTTTCACAAGATGAAAAAGTTATAGAGAACTGTTACAGAACAATGTGAAAATACTTAATACTGGACTGTAGTACACTTAAAATTGGTTAAGATTGTACATTTAATATTTTTTACCACAATTTAAAAAAAGAGGGCAAAAGATCTGAACAGACATCTCACCAAAGACACACAGATGGCAAATAAACAAATGAAAAGATATTCAAATCATGTATCATTAGGGAATTGCAAATTAAAATAACAATGAAATATCATCACATACTTATTAGAACAACTAAAATCCAAAACAGTAACAATACCTAAAGCTGGTGAGGATGTGGAGCAATAGGACCTCTTAATCACTGCTAGGGCAAATGCAACATGATGTCATCACTTTGGAAGACAGTTTTGCAGTTTCTTACAAAGTTAAACAATCTTAACTGTATGACCCAGCAATTGCACTCAGTTATTTACCTCAATGAGTTGAAAACTTATGTGTACACAGAAATTACACAAAAATATTTATATTAGCTTTACTCAAAATTGCCCCAAATTGGAAGCAATCAAGATGTCCTTCCACAGGTGAATGACAAAACTGGTAATAACGAGTAATATTCAGTAATAAGAAGCCAATCTGAAAAGGCTACATATTGTATGGTTCCAAATATATAACATTCTGGAAAAGGCAAAATTATAGAGATAATAAAAAAATCAGTGGTGGCCAGGCGCAGTGGCTCACACCTGTAATATTACCCAGCACTTTGGGAGGCTGGGGCAGGTGGATCACTTGAGGTCAGGAGTTTGAGACCAGCCTGACCAATGTGGCGAAACCCCATCTCTACTAAAAATACAAAAAAACTAGCTGGGCATGGTGGCGTGCTCCTGTAATAAAGCTGCTCAGGAAGCTGAGACATGAGAATTGCTTGAACCCAGGAGGCAGAGGTTGCAGTGAACCAAGATGGTGCCACTGCACTCCAGCCTGGGCAACAGAGCAAGACTCCGTCTCAACAACAACAACAACAACAACAACAACAACAACAACAAATCAGTGGTTGCCAGGGGGTGGGGAAGAGGGAGAGAAATGACCTGAACGTGTGAGGATTGGAGATTTCTTAGGGCAGTGAAACTATTCTGTATGATACTGTAATGGTAGATATGTAATATTATGCATTTGGCAAAACTCCTATAATTATACAACACAAAGAATGAATGCTAATGCGAACTATTAAATTTAATTAATATATCAATATTGATTCATCAATTGTAACAAATGTACCACACCAATGCAAGATGTTACAACAGGAAAACTGAGGGTGGGGGTGGGGGCCAGGGAGTATATGGGAATACTCTTTCCTTTGCATTCAAATTTTCATAAACCTAAAAGTGCTCTAAAAAAATAAAGTCTATTAATTTAAAAAAATTATTTTTCAGTGAAATTAAAAATTTAAATTGATACATAATATTTGCACATGTTTATGGGGGAAACCATTTATTCAAATATTTACTTTAATTATAAAATAAAGAAATTAAGGCTGGAAAAAAGAGATCTCCACTACAATCACCTTACCTTGATTTGCAGTCCTCTGAACAGTTTGGGTTTATCACTCCTAACAAAAGCTTATAAAAAAAGAAAAAAAGATTCAGTAGTTCACTTCCAAATCCAAGCTAGCTAAAAAGATTAATATAAAAGTGGAAATAAACAACAAATCAAACATTATATCCTATATGAAAAAACTAAGAAAATTTAAACATCTGTGGATAAATGGAGAGACATACCATATTCTCCAATATTTTAAGACACTAATTGTTTCAAATTAATAGAAATCCCAAATTCCAATAGGATTTTAAGGTTTGACAAAAGTGATAGACAGTACAGCTCAATTTTAAGAGTAATGTGTAAGAATAGTCAGGGCAGTTTTTAAAAAGATATGGAGAGAGAATTTGTTCCATTGTTATTAATATACTATGTGATACTGATACCAGAACAGATAAAAGAATAGAATAGGAAATTAAAAGAGATAAAAATGTCTGTAAGAATTTTTTAATGTGCTAAAGCTATCAAATCAGAGAGAGGGAGAGGGGAAGGGGAGAGGGAAAAAGAGATATATGTTTGTCTGGCAGTGTGTATGAGTTACTCAATAAACACTTCTGAGAAAGGTGCCAAACTGTTTATAGAAAAAAAAAATCACAGAACTAATGAGTCATGATAACTGCTAAAAAGGAGAGGTTAAAAATACTACCAAAGCCTACAGCACAGAGAACTTACATAAATATGGAACACAAAAATCTACTCCTAAGCATGACCCAAAAGGAAATGTTTTATAGATACGCCTATGTAAAAATGGAAACATCAGGACAGCAAAACACCACCATAAGCAAATTAAAAATAAAAATGATAAACTGAAGAAAATTATCTCTAACATCTAATATATAAAAGGGCTCTTACAAATAATTAAGAAAAAACACTATGTATAGCAATATGTACAAATATACAAATGGTCAATAAACATTTGAAATAAATGTTCAACTTCACATATAATTGAAGAAATGCCATAACAATGAGGTACTCACATTCGGAATTACAAAGATTACAAAGAATACTAAAGGTTAGAGAGGGAACAGGGACAGGGATTTTGCTGGGAATGAGCTATGGGAGGAATATAAATAGGCACATCCTTCCTGAAGGGTATTTAGCAAAATCAACCAAGAGTCTTAAAATGTACGTACTTTGTAAACCTGCAAGTACACTTCTAGGACTTTATTCTGAGGAAATAACTTATAAAAAGTCTCGCTAAACCAAGTCTGAAAATTTGGAAATAATCTAAATGTGTAAAACGATATTGGTTAAACAAATTAATATGTACCACATAATCATTGAAAAATTATGATCTATATTTAGTGACAAAGAAAACTTTTATGTGTAAAAAGCAAGGATTTTTCCTTTCTTTTTCAATTTGTTTCCTACTGTTGTTTTAAAAAGGCGAATATTTTCCCGTGCAAATGAAAAAGCTCTAAACAAATCTTAAAATATATAAAGTGGTTCAAAAAATGTTTACTGTTATTATTTTAATAGAGGCCTATACATGGGGCATTTATTTGGGAAAGTTTTAAATGAATATTTTCCCGTTTTGGTTGTTATCAATCTATACTTTACCAATTTTCAATAATGATCATGCCTAATTAATTCAAATTAAAAGGTGTGTAATACATCTTTCTTTCTTCTTTCCTTCCTTCCTTCCTTCTTTCTTTCTTTTCTTTTCTTTCTTTCTTTCTTTCTTTTTTTGAGACGGGGTCTCACTCGGCTGAGCGCGGGGTCAGCCTCGGTCTTGCCCAGGCTGGAGTGCAGTGGCGCAATCTCGGCTCACTGCAACCTCTGCTTCCCGGGTTCAAGTGATTCTCCTGCCTCAGCCTCCCAAGCAGCAGTGACTACAGACACGTGCCACCACACCTGGCTAATTTTTTTATTTTTAGTAGAGATGGGGTTTCACCATGTTAGCCAGGATGGTCTCGATCTCCTGACCTTGTGATCCGCCTGCCTTGGCCTCCCAAAGTGCTGGGATTATAGGCGTGAGCCACTGTAATACATTTTTCTAAAATAAAAACAATTGTTTCATTTAGATACTTGATCGTTAATACCAGTTATTGATCATTTGCATAATTCTCATCTTAGATTTTATAGTGACACACATGCTTTTGAGAACTTATTTTTACTTTAGAATTAGATAGCAATAGCACTATAGATTTGCTTCATTGTGAACGTCTTCACACATTTGACTCAAATATCTCACCTAATCCTCCCCTACAAAATTTATTTCAAAATGAAACCAATTATGCTATTCTGGCTTATTAAAACATCATTTCTATTAACTTTATCCTTTAGGATTTTTCCAGATATTCTGCAAACTCCTGAATCCCCAAACAAAAATGATCTTATGATTTTTATTGCCTTTTATGCTGTTCCTCTGGCAAATGCTATTTGCATGTCTGTGCAAAATACTATGTAACACGCAGTAACTGTGTCTACATGCCTTCTCTACTACATACGAAACCTTCTGGTAAAAGGACTATTTTTATACATATATTTTTGGATCCATAACAGAGCTTAGCATACTTAATAAATAGTTCACTTATTAAAATATTTTTTTTTTTTGAGACGGAGTCTTGCTCTGTCGCCCAGGCTGGAGTGCAGTGGCGCGATCTCGGCGCACTGCAAGCTCCGCCTTCCTGGGTTCACGCCATTCTCCTGCCTCAGCCTACCCAGCAGCTGGGACTACAGGCACCCGCCACCACGCACAGCTAATTTTTTTTTATTTTTAGTAGAGACGGGGTTTCACCGCGTTAGCCAGGATGGTCTCAATCTCCTGACCTCGTGATCTGCCCACCTCGGCCTCCCAAAGTGCTGGGATTACAGGCGTGAGCCACTGTGCCCGGCCAGTAAAAAGATTTTTTTTTTTTAACAGACTGCAATAAGTGAACAAATTTAAAAGGAATACTAAGATGAGTCACTAATTACTATTTTTCATCAGTTCTTTCCTTTTCTCTCTCTGCTAAACGTAGATCCATAGCTTCCTAATTTTGAATATCTGTTAAATACCTTGTAGCAGCAAATCACATTTTACAGGCAGTAAATAAATCTTTTAACAAATATTTGAGTACTCATTATATACACATGGCATTCGATAAGCTACATGAGAATATGAGGAAACTGAGTTCTTTAATGTCAATACATCTACAGTCTGCTTAAACAGATCTGCAACAAATAAAAAGATAAGGTGATAATAAAAACAATGTCGTTAATTTAACAATTGACAATAAGTACTCTAAGTTCAGAGCAAGGAGATCTTAGTATGTTAGAGTCATAAAGAAACAAGAAACAAAATAAGAACTGAGAATTTATGTTCACTTGAACATAAAACAGTCCTTCTTTTGACATAATACTAAAGGATTCAAAAGAATTTTCTCTTACTACTTCAAAATACTCCTAAAATTTGATATTTCTTAATAGTCAAAATAGCCCCAAAGTCAACTTCAAATGTTTTACTGAAGAAAGTAAACTGAAAAAGTATAATAAAAATGTATGCTAAGAAAGGCAACTGTGCTGGTGGATCTTCAGCCAGTCAGGAAAAACTACAGTTCCTCAAGTTCAAAGATTTTGGCCTCTATTTTATTACTAAACCTACCACTGTATTTAATTTCTCAATGTAAACATACATCATGGCTCATTTATGAATGAGAAAAAAACTCAAGATGTTTTACAAATTATAAGCAAAATAACGATGGTGAATTTTAAAATTGTATAAAAAGATTGGTATTTGAATACATAATATTATTTGTTGTATTCTTCTGACTTGATCACATTGTAATCACCTCATGTGCTCTATAGCTGCATGAGTCATTAAATATGCAAATAGCAAATAAAGTCCAAGAAAAGAAATAATGGAGCTTATGGCAACCTTAAAGAGACTTTTTTTTTTCTTTTAAAAGATTCTGGAGGAGGGCAGCTGGAATATTCTATTAATAACTTTCGGTATACAAGAAAAAATAGTCATCACCACCATTTACCATCTGGGTTCAGTGAACTCTGTTTATTTTTGTATTTTTAAATGATTTTATGAATAATTTTACAAAAGAAAGGGATAGTGAAAAACAAATCTATTCAAAAGTTTAGTGAGTATTAACCACATAAACGCAAATATTTATTCCGTATTTTCCTGATTTTGAAGGTAAATATAACCAAAATGAGCAATGTGCTTTGAATGCAACTAACTGCTCATTGACTATCATGCATGAAATGGGAACACAGCCAAGCTGTAAATACTGATTCCAGATTCCAAATACATTTCTAATAGGCTGTAACTTTTTACTCTGGCTCTTTTTTTGTTTTGTTTTGTTTTTTATTTGAGGCATAGTTTCGCTCTTGTTGCCCAGGCTGGAATGCAATTGCACGATCTTGGCTCACCGCAACCTCCGCCTCTCGGGTTCAGGCGATTCTCCTGCCTCAGCCTCCCGAGCAGCTGGGATTACAGGCATGCGCCACAACGCCCAGCTAATGTTTTTTTTTTTTTTTGTATTTTTAGTAAAGACGAGGTTTCTCCATGTTGGTCAGGCTGGTGTCGAATTCCCAACCTCAGGTGATCCACCCGCCTCGGCCTTCCAAAGTGCTGGGATTATAGCCGTGAGCCACGAATGCGGGCAGATCACCTGAGGTCGAGTTACAGACCAGCCTGGCCAACATGGTGGAAACCCCGTCTCAATACAAAAATTAGCCAGGCACGGGCCCGGCGTGGTAGCTCACGCCTGTAATCCCAGCACTTTGGGAGGCCGAGGTGGGAGGATCACGAGGTCAGGAGATTGAGACCATCCTGGCTAACACGGTGAAACCCCGTCTCTACTAAAAATACAAAAAATTAGCTGGCGTGGTGGCAGGCGCCTGTAGCGCGGCTACTCCGGAGGCTGAGGCAGGAGAATGGCGTGAACCTGGGAGGCGGAGCTTGCAGTGAGCCAAAATCACTGCAAGCGCCACTGCACTCCAGCCTGGGCGACAGTGTGACTCCGTCTAAAATAAATAAATAAATAAATAAATAAATAAATAAATAAATAAATAAATAAAATAAAAAATAAATTATCCAGGCACGGTGGTGCATGCCTGTATTCCCAGCTACTTGGGAGACTAAGGTAGGAGGATTGTTTGAACCTGGGAGGCAGAGGTTGCAGTGAGCCGAGATCCCGCCACTGCACTCCAGCCTGGACAACACAGCGAGACTCCGTCTCAAAGAAACAAAACAAAACAAACAATACTATTATTTCCTTTCTGACCTTGGTAATATATTGTTTACTCACTCTTGATTTCTGAGAAAATTCATTCAGGATATTGTCAAATGAGGTTTCAGAGTCTGAGCTTCTGCTCATATGATCAATTTTACCATCATTAGAGTCTAGAATAGGACTTTCTAATAGAACTTTCTGAGATAAAGGAAATATTCTTCATCTGTTCTTTTTGGTATGGTGGTTACTGACCATCTGAAATGTAGCTAGTGTGTCTAAGGAACTGAATGTTTAGTTTTATATAATTTTAAAAAATTAGGCTGGGCACGGTGGCTCATGCCTATAATTCCAGCACTTTGGGAGGCTGAGGCAGGCAGATCACCTGAGGTCGAGAGTTCGAGACCAGCCTGACCACCATGGAGAAACCCCATCTCTACAAAAAATACAAAAAATTAGCTGGGCGTGGTGGTGCATGCCTGTAATCCCAGCTACTTGGGAGGCTGAGGTAGGAAAATCACTTGAACCCAGAAGGTGGAAGTTGTGGTGAGCCAAGATTGCGCTGTCGCACTCCAGCCTGAACAACAGGAGTGAAACTCCGTCTCAAAAAAAAAAAAAAAAAAATTATTTAAAACAGCCATGTTTGGCTAGTTGGTCACTCCAGGTCTAAAGTGTTATTTTATCTCTTTGCATTCATTTTCTGATCCATTTAATCATTAGAAGCGTTTCTCTCAATTTTCTTCTCTACCATTATGGGCAGAAAGCAAAAAATTCCAAATTCTCAAATGTGTTCAATGAAAGCTTAAAAAAAAAAAGACTAAAGAAATGGTGTCATACTATGTGGGTCACACAATAAAAAAATCAAATAATGATTCCCTGCTAATTTTTTTTTTTTGTATATTTAGTAGAGACGGGGTTTCACCATGCTAGTCAGGCTGGTCTCGAACGCCTGACCTCGTGATCTGCCTGCCTCGGCCTCCCAAAGTGGTGGGAATACAGGCGTAAGCCACCTTGCCCAGCCACCAATTTGGAGATTTCTAAAGAAAATCCAATCACTCTAATTTCCAGAAAATGTTCCTATGTCAATTTAATTATTTGTCACTAATAAAGGCAATTTTGTAAATAACACTCAGAGTGATCAAACAAACAGAAGTGATTTAAAGACAGATTAAATGTTTCAGTTTTTCCCTTAGGACTTAGCAAGTCATTCATGCTGCCCCCTAGAAGAGCTAAGTTTTGCTATACACACTGCTCAGAATGTCAAGGGATTTAGAGCTAACTTTAAGGAGTATTAAAAAGGAGTATTTTTTAAAAAAGTATTAAGGAGTATTAAAAAAAAAACCCCAAAACCCAAACCCACATCTGTCCTCCTCCTTGTTCTAGAAAGAGGGTATATGTGGAAATGGGGGGATAACAAAGAAGTATATGTTCTGAGGTTAAAGAAAAATGTTTGAATTATGTTATTTTCAAAATCACAAACACGTGAAAATATAAATGAAAAAAGAGACAAAATATACTCGGACAAAATATAATCCTGTTGATTAGAAATAAGTATATTTGAATTAGAACATACTCTAAATAACAATGTCATACCATATCCAGAAACATCAATATAGAGAATGGCAACAATAGACAACCTAATTCTCAACTGTGTTCAACAAAAGCTATTCAGTAATCAAAAAAGTATTTCTAAAACAGAAAATTGGCTGGGCATGGTGGCTCATGCCTGTAATGCCAGCACTCTGGGAGGCCAAGATGGGCAGATCACCCGAGGTCAGGAGTTCCAGACCAGCATGGCCAACATGGTGAAACTCCATCTCTACCAAAATACACACACAAAAAAGTTAGCTGGGTGTGGTGGCGCATGCCTGTAATCCCAGCTACTTGGGAGGCTGAGGCAGGAGAATTGCTGGAACCTGGGAGGTGGAGGTTGCAGTGAGCCGAGATCACGCCACTGCACTCCAGCCTGGGAGACAAAGTGAGACTCCGTCTCGAAAAAAAAAAAACAAAAAAGAAAAGAAAATTTACTATTATATACATCTGGACTGCAAAATTGTGTCATCCCATTAGGACAATTTAGAAGCACTTGAAAACAGAGAAGGGCAACTTAAGAGAATGTAGGAAGACTGGAGGTACAAAATGAAGACAAGACAAACTAAAAAATTATGACTTTTAGGAAAAGATGAGAACTTTTTATAAACGTTTGAATCCTGTAAATTCATCAAGGGCATATAACAAATGGAAACACAGGCTTTTCACCAGATTCTCACTTGTCAAAAGTGGGGGCATCCCTTGAATTAGATAAATTTAATAAATCAGTGCATTCATTCCATAAATATTTCAATTCCTCTTAATACCAGGTGCAATGTTACATAGATTTTGGGTATATCAATGATTAAAAAACAAAAAACAGAACACAAACTTTGAGTTCTAAAGACTTCTAGTTTGATAGAGGCAAAAGACCAGTACGCCAAATATAATCTTATGTAGGAGGTGTTATGGAACATAAAGAGAAAAGTAAAACACTGTTTAAACACCACCCAAAAACAATGCTGGAGCTAAATTTTGAATGAACTGGAATTTGCCACAAGAATTAGGAAGCAGCACAAGTTAGCAAGAATATTCAGTGTGTGCAAACACACAGAAGTCAGAGCTCAGAGAGTTGCACATAGTTTTGCATAAACTAGAGATGTGAATCTAGAAGAGAAACCATGTCATGGCGGGTCTTGTATTTGATTTTGTATGTGACAGAGAACTATAAAGGATTTTAAGCAAGAGAGAGACACAATCAGATTTGTTTTATGAGAAGGGTCTCTTTTGGTTGTTGTGTTGAAGAGGTAATGAAGTAAGAAAAGGGAAAAGAGGCAGACTAGATAACAAGTACCTAATCCTTTTGGATAAAGATGTTAAGGTCCTGATTGAAAATACAGAAAAGAGAAAGGGACTATGAAGGTTATTACTGAGGGAGAAGAGACACAACATGGTGACTAACTGGATATAACGTGTGAAAGATCAATCATGATTCTTGTGTTTCATGCTTATGCCTTTGCCTGATCATAATGCCATTTATAGAAACAGGGAAGATGGTATACTTTTAACAGAGAAGAGGATTAATACAGTTTTTGGACATGCTGTGTTTAAAGCCTTTGTATTAAAAATGTGGACCACAGTCTGTAGGACTGTAAGAAATATAGACTCTCAGGACCCATCCCAAATTTATAGAATTGTACTCTGTATTTTAAGAAGATCTCCAGGTGATTCTTATATGTATATTGGTTTAAGGTACCTATGAAATCATCTAAATGGAAATGTCCCATGGAAGTAAAAAAATATAAGAAATACAATTTCTAACAAAACTTTATGTAAAGATATAGATTGGTAGTCATCAGATAAGTACTGTAATTGAAACTGAGGGAGTGGGACACCATTCGGTAGAGTCAGAAGAGAAGAAAATCTCAAGATAATAGACCCTGACTAACAACAACGTTTGAAGTGCAGGCAGTAGAAGAGATGCCAGAACAGAAGAGAAAGAAATGTTAGAAGTAGCAGAAAGCTAGGAGATAATGAAGTCACACAAGTGAAGACAGTTTCAAAGGCTAGGGCCAAGTAAGATTTAGTAGTCAGGAGGTAAAACAGTAGAAAGAGAAGCCCTATTAGGGTACTTTGAAAAATGGCTAGAGGTCAATATTCAGAATATTGCATATGAGAAAGGCTGCAGTTATAATACATATTGACTTGAATGTTTTTTAAAGATGGCCAATATATGAGTATATAAATGTTTGATGGTTCATAATTGAAACTTATTATTAACCAAGGAGCAAATATAAGATACAATAACAATACTTACCATTTAACATCTTCATTACTGGAATAGTGATTGTCATACAGTAAGCATCAATAAATATTTATAGAATTATGGAATGATTTACTCTGTTTTTGGTGGTGCCAGACACATACTAAGTGACTTACATGTTATCTCATTAATCCTCAGAACAGCCCTATAAGGTAGATATTTAACCTATTATACCTCATCTGTAACCCATTTTATAAACAAGAAAATCAATGAAGATAATGCTAATGGATCAGTATTCTTTCCAACAAAACTCCAATGAAGCACTGTAACCTTAAGCATGTCTACCAATCAATCATAGTTGGCATGAGCAGCAGGTTGAGTATCCTTAACTGAAATGCATGGGACCATAAATGTTTTATTTTTTGGATTTGGAAATACTTGCATACATAGAATGACATATCTTGGGGATAGGACCCAAATATAAACCTGAAATTCACTTATGTTTCATATATACCTTATACATAAAGCCTGAAGGTAATTTTATGCAGTATTTTTAAAGTTTCAGACTTCGGAGCATTCTAGATTTAAGATTTTTGAATTATGAGGATGCTCAATTTGTACTACATTATTTCAAAACTCCTTTTTGCGTCTGAACGTTTATGATTCTAATACAGAGGTTGCCAAACGGAGGCCCACGGGCCAAATCTGTCCTGCTTGCTTTTTTTAATAAAGTTCTACAGGAACACAGTGACGTGCATTCGTTTAAGAACTGTCTATGGCTGCTTCCATGCTATAATAGCAGAGTTCGATAGTTATGACAGAGCCCATGGTGCCTATAAAGCTGAAAACTTTTACTATCTAGTCCTTTATAGAAAGTTTGCCAAGCCCATACAAAATTAGGGACAAACCACATTACTTTCTGAGAGACAGCCACATTCTTAACACAGAAGACTCAAGCGAGAGAAAAAAAACATGATTACTTAGGATGTCACAAGTGAAGTGACAGAATACTAGACAAAATCTACTATGAGAAATTATTATAGACAGCCTTCTATATTTAAACAACTAGAATAAGGAAAAAAAGGTATTTTAGAAGGCATATTTGGAATTGACTAAGAAATATGATCTGAGATTTTTTTTTACACAACTGTGAGTGGTTTAATATAGGTAAAACATACCAAAATTTAAATCCTTCCTCCTGAAATAATTTAACATTAATTTACTCTTGTTTCATGAAATGGTTAATTTAAATTAAGTGACCTTAAAAACTGACAATGTATTATAAGCTAGAGTATAATGTAGGTTATCATGATAATCCCAGAAGCTACTTGATGTTGAAGATAAAGAATATGAAGCAGTGGCTGGGTGTGGTGGCTCATGCCTGTAATCCCAGCATTGGGAGGCCAAGGCAGGCGGATCACCTGATGTCAGGAGTTCGAGACCAGCCTGGCCAACATGGCAAAACCCCGCCTCTACTAAAAATAAAAATAAATTAGCTGGGTGTGGTGGCGTGCGCCTGTAGTCCCAGCTACTCAGGAGACTGAGGCAGGAGAATCACTTGAACCTGGGAGGCAGAGGTTGCGGTGAGCTGAAATTGCGCCACTGCACTCCAGTGTGGGCGACAGTGAGACTCTGTCTCAAAAAAAAAGAGAGAAAAGAATATGAAGCAGTGAAGACATGAAAGTTAGTTTGGTATTTGTAATTACTGTATAAATCAACAACTCTCCATGTTCTATTTCAGAATATCTTTAAGATGGAAATTCTGAGGGTGGGAATTTAATAATGGTTTTATCACAATTATAACAACTTTTCACGGGCTCAGAAAATACTGGTATTATACATAACAATATTAAATACAGTTACACATTATGGAATTAATAATTTTTATTTTAAGCAAGTAGATAATTAAATATTTACACAAAGCATTAAAATTCAATTGTTTTCAAAAGGAAAAGACAGTATGATATATATACCCAAGGTTTGATAATTTACATAAGAAATATATATTACGGTAGATAATAAAATCTGATATCATAACTAGGAAGGCCAATCACAGTATCTAAGCTACTCTTGATTCTCATGAAAATCTAAGTTATAAAATGTTGTTTTTAATAAAACAAGTAAGTATAAATAATCAATGCAGCTAAAAATCAATTGCTAAAACTTTCTAGAAATAAGAATGCTCACACTATCATTCAGAGAATGGATATAAAAAAGCCAAAACAACTGTGGTACAATTCTGAGTTTAAGTGTTTGAGGCAAAATAAATAAATAAATAAATCAGAGTAAGAAATTTTTTTCCCAAGCAAAAGTAAATATCTTCTTTGCTACATCAGAATGTGTTATTCTAACAAAGACTGTTTTTGATTAGATATGTATCTGCTTTGGGCCTCATTAAGTATCCCAAGTCAAACTACTATATTACATTTCTGTGCCAAATGATCAATATTTTATTATAAACAATTCTAGGTCAGCAATAAAAAGCATGTGCTAATACAGGCAATGTTATAAAATATTAAATCCAAAAAATTCTCTTGCCATTAACTAAATAAGGCAAGAAATCACGGGAATGTCAGCAAAAATCGAGGTAGAATGAGGTATGTAAATTGAATACTTATGTATTTCAGTTAAAAAAAAGAGAGAAAGCGTTATTACCTTCAGACAAGTTCAGTTTCATAAAACTGATTTTCAAAGTGACATGCAAGACAAAAGCCTTAGTTCAAGCCTTTCTTGGCAATGCAAAGCTCCTCATTACTATTGGATGTCAACCCAAAGAATATACCTTCACAATTATCCTTTAACATGTTTACCCAAAATTCCCTGTGAAGATATATACATATGACTTTCTCTCTTTTGTATTTCAAATTCTTTGGCAATTACTTCTTTCCTTGGTGATTTGTTATTTTGTACAGGTCTACTCTTAATGCAATTGTTCCACATAAATCAATTCACATTTAAAATAAACTACAGCGGTGTGCTACTTAAAGAAATTACACTTACATCTTGGAAAGGCTCCTGCAAAATTCCCACCCGGCAAAGGAAAGGCTCTTCTTTTAAGAAAATAACCCCTTCATGTGTTGTATTTTAAATCTGAATTTCTTTTTTTTTTTTTTGAGACAGAGTCTCGTTCTGTCGCCCAGGCTGGAGTGCAGTGGCGTGATCTCGGCTCACTGCAACCTCTGCCTCCCGGGTTCAAGTGATTCTCCCGCCTCCGCCTCCCGAGTAGCTGGGATTATAGGCACCCGCCACCGCGCCCAGCTAATTTTTGTATTTTTAGTAGAGATGGGGTTTCACCATCTTGGCCAGGCTGGTCTCGAACTCCTGACCTCGTGATCCACCCACCTTGGCCTCCCAAAGTGCTGGGATTACAGGCATGAGCTGAGTGTGACCCACCACGCCTGGCCTCTAAATTTCATATATTGTGTTTTTTTTAAAGTAACATAGCATTCACCAATTACTTTAACAAACCACTTCCATGAAAACAAATTGAAAAAAAAGCATATATTGTTAAGAAAGTATAATCCTAAAAATTCTTATTCCTGGGAATATATAGTGAAAACGATTCACATAAAATGTTGATTTTAAATGACTGAACAGTTTACTGGAGTAAATTTTATATACCTTGGACTTGAGGGAACCTTCCCAATTTTCATCCACAAACTTCAAGAATAGCTCCTGCATACAGCTACAAAAGGAAAAACAGGAATTTAAAAAACTGGTATAAATTAAAAATGTACTTATAAAATAAATATAAATTTTCACAGTATAAACATTACAGTTAGCAGATATATAGATCAAAGAAATGTCAAAGCTGGTTAGCCAGACAGGACCATGTAGTTCCAGTCTAATGGAAGAGAAGATGGAGGCCCAAGTATAATAAATGGTAGAGAAACTTCCAACCTACTTCAATTATTCTTAAACCTAGCCAAAAAGACCGAAGGAGATAAGGAGATTTGACAATAAACTTTAAATAGGTAAGATGTCCTAGGAAGCGCTACAAAATATTAAAGGTTTCCTACCTTTTTTTTAGGGTGATAAACTGAATATAGGTATATATCATCTATCCAAGATAGTTACTTAATAAAAATTCTTTCTGGTGGCTTTTAATATTAAGTGATCAAAGTTTTAAAATTAAAACAATCGTTATAGAAAGTACTATGTGGAGATATTATAAGAAAAGCAGTAAAATCTCATTATAAAGAACTCAAATGCAAATATTTTCCTTTAATGAAATTTAGCTGAAATGGATTCAATGGTAAGTATCTCTTTTCTAGCTATAGAACCTGCACATTCTCTTTATAGTAAAAGCTCATTATAAAAAACTCAAATGCAAATATTTTATTGCAATGAATTCAGCTGAAATGGATTCAATGGTAAACACCACTTTTTTTGTAGTTGCAGAGCCTGACTATTCTTTTTATAGGGCAGGAATATACTTGGAAATGCTGTGACCATAAGAGAAGGCTGGCAATTTTAAGAACGTATCATATCCATTTCATTTCTTCTTGGTTTTTAGATTTGTTTTTTATGGAGGTTCAAGAAAGATGGACTTTATTTTTTCAGGTTCTAAAACAGCATTTACTTAATTAAAAACAACAACAACAACAACAACACATGCCCTATGCATGTTTATTTAAAATAGTTTGGAAAATACAGAAAGGCATAAAGTAGTGATTAAAAAACTACCTTAATGTGACCTAAAAAGACAATGATTCTTAACAGTTTGATGACTTTGGGCTGGATCAATTCTTACGTTTTTGGGGAGTCACTGACCCTTCTGAGAATCTGATAGAATTTCGCTTTAATGCAGGCTGTTCATGGACTCTGAAACCAATGATGGATTTCAGATTAAGAATTCTGATGATCTCTAAGGGTCACTGCAGCAATAAAACTTTAAGAATAGGTTAATTTGGCCAGGCATGGTGGCTCATGCCTGTAATTGCCGCTCTTAGGGAGGCTGAGGTGGGCGGATCACGAGGTCAAGAGATAGAGACCATCCTGGCCAACATGGTGAAACCCCGTCACTACTAAAAATACAAAAATTAGCTGGGCGTGGTGGCGCATGCCTGTAATCCCAGCTACTCGTGGGGCTGAGGCAGAAGAATTGCTTGAACCCAGGAGGCGGAGGTTGCAGTGAGCCGAAGGTTGCAGTGAGCCGAGATCACGCCACTGCACTCCAGCCTGGCAGCAGAGCAAGACTCTGTCTCAAAAAAAAAAAAAAAAAAAAAAAAGAAAGAAAGAAAGAATAGGTTAACTTAATTTTATGCAATAAGTTGCTTTTCAAAAAGATATGGCTAATCTTGGTTAGACAACTCCAGAAAAAAAATCTTGAAAAATATAAGGCCATATTACCAATAAGCTAATGAAGGGATGGTCAATATTACTAGAGATTAGGGAAATGCATATCAAAACCACAATGAGATCCCACTTCACATCACTGGGATAGCTATTATTAAAAAAAAAAAAAAAAGAGATGAGGATGTGGAGAAATTGGAACCCTTGTACACTGCTGTTGGGAATGAGAAGTGGTCCAGTGGCTACAGAAAATGGAATTGCAGTTTTGCAAAAAATTAAAAATAGAATTACCATATGATCTGCAATTCTACTTCTGGGTATATACTCAAAAGAAGTGAAAGCAAGGCCTCAAACAGATATTTATACACCCATGTTCACAGCAACATTATTCACAATAGCCAAAAGGTGGGAAAAAACTCATGTGTTCATTAACAGATGAATGGAAAAACAAAATATGGTATATACATACAACAGAGCATTATCCAGCTTTTAAAAGGAAGCAGATTCTGACTGGGTGCAGTGGCTCACGCCTGTAATTCCAGCACTTTGGGACGCCGAGGTGGGCGGATCATCTGAGGTCAGGAGTTCGAGACCAGCCTGGCCAACATGGTGAAACCCTGTCTCTACTAAAAAATACAAAAATTGGCTGGGTGTGGTGGCAGGCGCCTTAATCCCAGCTGCTTGGGAGGCAGAGGCAGGAGAATTGTTTGAACCCAGGAAGCAGAGGTTGCAGTGAGCTGAGATAAAGCTACTGCACTCAAACCTGGGGGACAAGAGCGAGACTTGTCTCAAAAAAAAAAAAAAAAAATTCGGACACATATTACAATATAAACGAATCTTATTACAACATTAATGACATCTTGCTAAGTGAAATAAGGCAGTCACAAAAGGACAAATGTTTAAATGAGGTAACTAGAGTAGCCAAAAATTCACAATGGTAGTTGTCAGTGGGGGCAAGGAATAGGGAGTTATTGTTTCATGGGTGTAAGTTTCAGTTTGGGAAGACTCCGGAGAAAGATGGTTAACACAGTTGTACAACAATGCGAATGTACTTAATGCCATAGCACTCTACACTTAAAAATGGTTAAAATAGTGAATTTTAGTGTATATTTTACACTAAATAGTGTATAGTGTATGTACACTAGTGTATAGTGTACGTACACTAAATAGTGTATAGTGTACATACATAGTGTATAGTTAAAATAGTGAATAGTGTACATTTTACTATAATTAAAAGCATATAAGGCCATATTTAGATTTGGTTATTAGATTTATCTTTTGTTTATAAGCCTTTAGAAACTCTTGGTGGAGATTCCACTACCTTACCTAATAATATTTCTCTATACCACTGTTTCTTTATATCATGATACATGTGGGAAATGATAATGATTGTACGGAGCACTGCAGTAAAAGGATGAAGCAGCTTTTAAATGGGCAAGACTAGCCTGGGAGCCCTGCTTACCTCAGGCCCCACTTGGTTGTCTCAAGGGCTCAAGGACTCAGTATCTTACCACACCCATAACCCACTCATGGGAAGCTTGTCTCTGCACCACAAAATATCAACTGATTAACCAAAAATATTAGAAACATATCCTTTAATGAGCAGGCAGCTCAGATGTGACCTTTTTCAAAAAAACTTTTGTTGATTTCCTCGTCTCAGGTAAGGATTTTCCTAGTAAACTTTCACAGAACTTTGTTCTCATCATAATGTGCATCAAATAGCCTGTAACTTGACAGCAGACAGGAAATGTCTTAATTTCCCCCAGAATCAGACACAAAGCTTCTCAATATAGGTGTGCCGAAGGGAGAGAACTATTCATATAACAAAATTAAATGCCTCTTTTTTCATGACAAAACTTCAAAAATATTTCAAGTTCCTTTGACAAAGTTTGTAGAGTAGTTCCAGTCCAGGGTAAACAAAAGAAAATGGATGGAACTCAAAGTTGCAGAGCATTATTAAAAGTCAAACTCTAAAAGCATTAATCTGTGTTGTTAGCGGGCGCACATACATACACACACACACACACACACACACACACACATATACACACACATATATATACACGCACACACATATATATATATGATTTGTGGTGTTCACTGGAAAATATTTGTTTTTCATGGCGAATAAATAACTTAACTACAGATTGTAGTAAATTTAAAATGCCATATAATCCTAAGTATCTTTGGCACTACATACAAATTCACACACAATGAAATATATGCTACTTATAAATAGTAGAAATTCTCTAGTGCATAAAGAAATGACAAATAAAGTTAATTCCCTGATTTAACCAAGTTCCAACCTCAGTATTTTTACTTTTTAAAGTGACTAGCATACAAAATTTTTAATCTTCAAACATTTAGGGAAAAATACCATTACAAGAGAAAAATCAAAGAAGAAAGTCATATAACTTCTAACAGCAAGTTGGTAGGCCTTTTTAAAAATACGAATTAGAGGAGTCTTACTTGTACAGACAATCTAACTCTAGCCCATTATTGTATTAGGACTAGGGAAATGTAAGAAATCATTAGGAAAATATGAGAACGATACACAAACTGCATCTTTTCCCTTTGGAGTCTCTATTTCCATGTAACTTATGACCGTCAGATTTTTCTAAACTTCTGATATGGTTCTCTGGGTGGGGGAAGTAGAAATATCTAACTACCTCAGCTCTATCACTAATGTGCCTTAGTTGTAACAGGATTTTAAAATATGCGAATTTCCCATTTAAAAAGGTGATTTTTATTCATTAGTCTTCGGATAAATTCCAGCTTTGTGGTTAGTTGATGTTTTCCCAGTTTAAATATTTTAACTACTACAGGTACTACAGGTTGAGCATCTCAAATCTGAAAAAAATCTGAAATCCAAAACACTTCTAGTCCCAATAATTCCAGATAACAGCTACTCAAACTGTACTGAGATTAGTAAGGGGTTAAGTGAGGTTTCACATGTAGAAAAAGGCCACACTATTTTTGTAGCTATCTTTGTTATAATTAAGGTCCAACTAGTTGCCACAAAAATGTTCAAAAAGCTGGTCTATGCTGTTTCTCACCAGATAGCTAGATTCCAAAATAAGTTCATTTATAACACTGAACAAAGGTGACACTTGAGAATTACACACATTTTCTGAATTTTTTAAAAAGTGCAGTATTTGTTAACTCTTGTGCCATCATCATACCACTACCACCACCACCAGCACCATTACACATTTATAAACCTGTCCAAGTCAGAAATACTCTACTTTCCAATACGAAGCACTTAAAGTATTTTTGTTGGTAACAATAACCACGGCTCTAAAGAAACATGACCTTAAGAAAACCTTGATAAACTAATTATTTAAGTTGAGTCAAACTAAATATCAAATTTTCATACGGCATGGTATAGTGAAAAGAGTCCAAGCTGTCAAATCAAAGTTGTATGTGGTCCAGTTCTGGCTCTGCCACTTACAAGCAGTATGCCCCCTTGGGTAAGTCATTCACTGAGCTTCAGTTTACTGTCTCAACAAAAGGGTTATTTACTTCCAGAATTGCTATAAGAAGTCACCAAAAAAAGTGAAAAGCCTGGATTTTTTAGATGCTCAATATATAACATCTTTTATTATAAGATTAATACTTCCACAGTATTGGTTAAGTTCAAGTTGTGTACGTGAGGCCATTATCATGTCTACTTAATAGAATTTTCAGTTCAGGGACTATTCAGGGATATTACTCATTGTTCGTCTGTAATGAAAATGGCCACTCCAAATTTTCTCAAGCTTTCAAATTCAAACTACCTTAGAGCGGAGTTCTCAACCCTGACAGTACACTAGAATCACCTGGAAATATTTTGAACATTACTGATCCCTAAAACCTACCCCAGATAAACTAAATTAGGATATCTAGGGGTGAGATCCATGCATCAGTATTTTTAATTACTACTCAAATGATTGTAATGGGCAGGCAGGGATGAGGAATACTGCCTTATACTATGTTATATTAATAGGGCAAAAATTGCAAAATGGTAAAACAGTAGGCTCTTTGTTCAACAGATTAACTGCATTAATCTGAAAAGGTAAACCATAAACATCGACTGAAGCAAGACAAATGTTACAGTACTTTTTTTTTTTTCCCTTTCCTTATGAGGTACTGCTTGTAGCTATAGATTCTCATTTTGGAAACTATTTTATTTAAAATCGAAAGGTTAGTATTAAAGCAATTCCACAGTACCAACAGAAAAAAACTAAGATATTTTAAAACCTGTAATTAAACTTGGTTTTTATCCTCCTAAAGTGCTAGTTTTGTTTATATTAAAAGAAGTTTTTCAAACCAAGTTAATATAACCATTAGCATAATAATTATAAATGCTATGTAGCAATATGAAGAAAATGCTGTTAGGTGAACAAAAGCAAAAATTTTTACTGCTGAAGAGAATTCATATCTGAGGAATAACTGTATTTTATAGGTCTATTGAAGGTTTGCCTTTAAATAAAATGAAGGGATTTTAAAATAAGGAAGCATGGCTATAGTATGATAAAAGCTGAGCACTGTATTATTTAGATATTCCAATGAAAAATCAATTATGATACACTCAAATATAAATGAGTCACTTTTCCAAACACTAATAATATCCAGTATAATTTTAAAAAATCAACTTTATTCCTTTCATACAGCAGAAAAATACATCACACAGAAACTATTTTTAGCAAAATTTGGTCAGCGAATTCTCAGGGAAAATATTATCACCTAAACCATGTTTAGTGATCTACTGGTGTTTTAAATTTGCTGTTCATCTTCAAGTCTTCCCCATACTTTCTGATTAATGACACTTTCATACTCACTTTGAGTGATGGCATTCTTGCTTAGAAACAATGGATGAATACTGAGGATTAGGGGAAAAAAAATCAGCGTTATAATTTTAACAAACAAAGCTGGCAAATATAATTCTCCAATACTATATCTGAGATTAAATTACTACTCATCTTGGAGTGCTTTTTACTAAATTCTGAAAAAATACAAAGCAATGAGTTTATGCCTAAGGAAACTCACTAAGTTTAAAACTTATTTTACTATACCATTAAAGTGTTATTCCTTTTTGTATCTTTAGTTTCTGCCTTGAAACTGAGAAGAAAAGTTATAAAACAAGCAAGTAACATCTACCTTGATTTAAACTAGGCTCTACAGATGCTAAGAATACATTGGAGGAATCTTTCCATAAAGATACAATGTTGAACTAAAAAGCTCAATGAAAATATACAAAAAAACCCCTAAAAATGAAAATGATATCAGTGCATTCTAGGTTAGACCATTCTAACTATGAAACCTGAAAGAAAAAAGGATTAGGTTTCTTTCAATACTGTGATGACAAACAGGAGTTCTATATACACCTATAGAATTTACATATACACCTAAAATAAGGGGTAAGACTGTAATGATGAGACTCTCATTAGGAAAAAAAATACATCCCCAGTCCCCACCCCTATGTATACTTTAGCTACAAGTATGAATGATCCAGGGTCATCACTTGGGAACAGTGCATTCAGTTCTGCCAATACTTAGGAAATATCACATGATGAAAAAAAAAGTAACTTGAGGAAGTGAGAATGTGACCACTATATTTTCTGAGATCCAATATCCAAAGAATTGGTAAAAATGACTCAAAGCGGCCAGGCGCGGTGGCTCACACTTGTAATCCCAGCACTTTGGGAGGCCGAGGTGGGCTGATCACCTGAGGTCAGGAGTTCCAGACCAGCCTGGCCAACATGGTGAAACCCTGTCTCCATAAAAATACAAAAATTAGCCAGGCATGATGGCGGGTGCCTGTAATCCCAGCTACTGGGCAGGCTGAGGTGGGAGAATCACTTGGACCTGGGAGGTGGAGGTTGCAGTGAGCTGAGATCACCCCACTACATTCCTCCAGCCTGGGCAACAGAGTGAGACTCCATCTCAAAAAAAAAAAAAACAACAAAACCAAAACAGACTCAAAGCTTGAATACCATAGTAAGTGTTTTTAAATGAAACCAACTAGCCCCTTGGTAATACTAAAAGTATTTTAGAAAATGGAAAACTGAAAATGAAGGTCCTAATAATATATGGAAGCAAGGATGCCTTTCAGAAGAAATCTTTTTTTTAAAAATTTTTGTAGAGATGGGGTCTTGCTATGTTGCCCAGGTTGGTCTCAAACTCCTGGACAAAGTGATCTTCCTGCCTTGTTCTCCCGAAGTGTTAGGATTACAGGTGTGAGCCACCGTGCCCTGGCAGAAGAAATAATTTCTTTGCATCACTGCTGATATTATCCCTCCAATACTGAACAACCACTATTTGTCATAAAAAGAATAGTTATGATCAACATATATATATTTTTTTGAGACGGAGTCTCGCTCCCATTGCGCAAGCTAGAGTGCAGTGGTGCGATCTCGGCTCACTGCAACCCCCACCTCCCAGGTTCAAGCGATTCTCCTTCCTTAGCCTCCCAAGTAGCTGGGATTACAGGCGTGCGCCACCACGCCTGGCTAATTTTTGTATTTTTGCCATGTTGGCCAGGCTAGTCTTGAAATCCTGACCTCAGGTGATCCACCCGCCTTGGCCTCCCAAAGTGCTAGGATTACAGGCGTGCCTGGCCAGTTATGATCATCTTTAAGAAAGATTATAAATATCTGAAAACAATAAGAAACAAAGCTACTAAAACAAATTAAATTGTGGTATCTCCCTATAGATAGTAATCACCTAATACATTTGAACTTTAAAAAGATACAAAAATAAAGCTATAATAATCCAAGAGTTTCAATATTATACAAAATTTAAGAGCAGCAATATAAAACTAGAAAAAAAAGAAACGAGGCCATTCCACACATTTAAAATTTTTGCTTTACTCTGTCAATATACTATTTTAGAATTCATTATGGCAGCCAAATAAAATTCATGGCCTTTTAAATTAAAACTTTTTTGAAGAAAAAAGGTTTTCTTCAAAATAAATTTTTCTTCAAAAATAAAACTGTTGGCTGGGCGCGGTGGCTCAGGTCTGTAATCCCAGCATTTTGGGAGGCGGAGCTGGGTGGATCATGAGGTCAGGAGTTCAAGACAAGCCTGGCCAAGATGGTGAAACCCTGTTTCTACTAAAAATATGAAAATCAGCTGGGTGTGGTGGCACATGCCTGTAATCCCAGCCACTGGGGAGGCTGAGACAGGAGAATCACTTGAACCTAGGAGGTGGAGGTAGTAGTGAGCTGAGATCGCGTCACTGCACTCCAGTCTGGGCGACAGAGCAAGACTCCATCTCAAAAACAAACAAACAAAACAACAACAACAAAAAAACTATTTACAGCTAAGGGGTATGCTTTATTAAAAGTTATTCTGTTGCTGCCCCTTCTCCCATCCATTATTGCCTTAATGGGCCATCTTGTAACTAGCTGGTCTCTCTCCTGTGTTAGGGTTACCAGTTTCTCCAGCAAGAACACTGGGAAGCATCCCCACTTACCCCTTTTCTCTCCAATTCAGTCTAATAAATCCAAATAAATAAATTTATTGCCTAAATTGATTTCAAATCTGTCCTTTTTCATTTTCACAGCCAATGTGTTGGTTTAAGCCCTTGTATCTTGCCTCTGGAAAACGGCAAACTATTTTTCTGGCATAAGTATTCCCCTCCGCCTTATCAACTATTGTTCACACCAACAAAAGTTATTAAAATACAAATCTGATACCAGTTTACTCTTTATAATCCTTTAATTTTGTCCCCTGCATACAGAATAAAGTTCAACTTCTTATGAAGGTATATAAGGCCCTCTATTATTTGGCCCCTGCTTACCTAATCATCATCTTCTCTCATCATAACCCAGCTATCTGATTTATCTTAGATGGCCATACTCTCATGCCTCTGTGCCTTTCCACTAACTTTTCCTTTTGCGAGAGAAAAGGCCTTCTCTCAACCATTTGCCTACTTACTATAAGCATTAACTCCTACATAAGCAAGTGGTGATATTTACCTGACCTGCCAAGTGGTTATGCCCTCCTTCTAAGAGCTTTCATTGCATACATGTATGTTTTGTTTATAGCACATATCTCATTGAATTCTTTTAAAAAAATCAATGCATGTGGACATAATAAAAAAAGTATAAAAGGGTTATAAAATAAGAAGTAAACATTTCCTCTACCTTCTACCCTCTACTTAATAACTCTTTTTTTCTTTTTTAATTTGGAGACAGAGCTCGCTCTGTTACCCAAGCTGGAGTGAAGTGGTGTGACCATGGATCACTGTAGCCTCGACCTCCTAGGCTCGAGTGATCCTCCGGTAGCCTCAGCCTCCCAAATAGCTAGGACCACAGGTGTGTGTCATCACACCCAGCTTTTTTTTTTTTTTTAATTTTTTGTAGAGATGGAGGTCTTGGTCTTGCCATTTTGCCCAGGCTGGTCTCAAACTCCTGGCCTCAAGTGATCCTCTCGCCTTCGTCTTCCAAAGTGTTGGATGGGATTACAGGCGTGAGCCATCATGCCTGGCCTACGCATTAATATTTAAACTGTTTTTAGTTCTGTTGGTCACTTCCATAAAGATTAATATGGTTGTATCTATAGCTCATGAGATACCAGCTTTAAGAGCTCTTAGTTCCCCTTTCCTTCCAACTTTTATTTAATTTAATTCTTTTAGTGGTTACCTTCGTAACATTAGATATTATGTTTTCGTCCAACAAACAGAATATCATATCAACAGTATTCTGGCAGTCCAGCTTCCATGCCTATTTTTTCTTTTTTTTTTTTTTAGATGGAGTTTCATTCTTGTTGCCCAGGCTGGAGTGCAATGGCAAGATCTCAGCTCACTGCAACCTCTACCCCCTGGGTTCAAGCGATTCTCCTGCTTCAGCCTCCCGAGTAGCTGAGGTTACAGGCATGTGCCACCACGCCTGGCTAATTTTGTATTTTTAGTAGAGATGGGGTTTCTCCATGTTGGTCAGGCTGGTCTCAAACTCCCGACCTCAGGTGATCTGCCTACCTCAGCCTCCCAAAGTGGTGGGATTACAGGTGTGAGTCACCACACCTGGCTTCCATGCCTATTTTTTCTACTCCTTGAAGACAAGGAGTCTTATTTTTCTTTGATCTTAACCCAGGAAGAAATATTTAGTGTATAAATGGAAAGTTTATTTTGATTCTGAGGTGGGTATGTCTAGGAAATGCAGTTGTAAGGCAGTTTGAATTACTTTAAGGGTTTATTTTCGTTTTGAGCATTGCAGTCTGCAAATGTGGCAGAAAGTTGTAATATGTTTAGATAGAATCTGATCCTAATTTGTAATTATGTAAAAGAACTGACTGCATTTATATTTCATATTAAAAGCAGATATAAAAAAATTTTAAATAATATTTTGGGTTCAATTAAATAACTTCATAAAATAAACTTAAAATTCTGTTATACAAATACATGAAACATATATTGATACTTAATTCACTCTATGATCTTAGGTAAGATCTCTATGCCTAAGACTCAACTACGAAATAAAGATAATAATGGAATTTACCGAGTTGTTGTGAGGTTCTATAAATTCATTTAAAGTGGTTGGAACAGTACCTTCAGATAACAACTTAATGAATGTTAGTGGTTATTATTAAATAAACATTTATGTTATTATTTAGTTTTTTTTTTTTTCTAGAGATGAAGTCTCGCTCTGTTGCCCAGGATGGAGTGCAGTGGCGTGATCTCGGTTCAATGCAACCTCTGCCTCCCAGGTTCAAGCGATTCTCCTGCCTCAGCCTCTGGAGTAGCTGAGATTACAGGAGCCCGCCACCATGCCCAGTTAATTTCTTTTGTATTTTTAGTAGAGACGGGGTTTCACCATGTTAGCCAGGATGGTCTCGATCTCCTGACCGCATGATCCACCCCCCCGGCACGTTGCCTCCCAAAGTGCTGGGATTACAGGTGTGAGCCACCACCCCCGGCCTATGTTATTATTTAGTATTACTGCTACTCAGGAGTCTTAGTGATTCTTACATTGAATGTGAACTGTTGCCAAACATTATTCATATGTTTTAAAAAACCTTCTTTGTGAATAATGCTTTTATATTATAATTAGAATATGTTAAAGACATTTAGATTTTTGCTTTGAAGATACCAGTCCATGTACTGATGCTTACAGACACACGACAAAAGTGAAGCTATTTTAAGCAACTGTGAAATTTCTTTAGTGACTACAATTTCACGCAGTTAGCTTAACCTCCATTTCATCCTTCTATGTTTTACACATCAGTAGCATTCTCTTTCTGACAGCCTGAAGCCTAAAATTTGCCATTGTCTTAAATAATGCTGTTTAAGCTGACTTATGAGTAACTGCAACTGGCTACACAATAGCCACGCAAATTGAAAACAACTAAATGTTTTGATGCTCTTTTACCGAATTAAGAAAAATTACATGATTTATATAAAATATTATCTGGCTGGGCCTTAAATAAAGCCCAATTTGGGAACATATTCTTGAAAAACACCAAGTGACAGGAGCCATTAAAGTCTGTGGTAAACTGAGAAATAAGGATTTGGTAATTTTAAATAAAAACTAGTAACGAAATTCTATTATTAATATTGTTAAGTACAAATGGCAAAAGGGGCCTTCAGAAAGACAGCCCAGTGTTTTATATTGAACTCATTCAACTTCTTAAAGTAACTCCGAAGCAGGTCTTACTATTAACATTTTCAAAATAAAAGGTAAAATAGCACAGAGGTTTAAAAACCTGGGGGCTCTAGAATCAAATAGACCTGAGATAAAACCAGGTTTTGGCATCTAATCGCCAGTTAACGGTAGGCAGATTATACCCTAGTTTCCTCTTCTATTAAATAGGGATAATAGTATTTACATTATAGGGTTGTTGTGAGGATTAAATAGATAATGTAGGTAAAACACTTAGCGTATAACCAGTGTAAAATAAACACTAATGTAAGGTAATGTAATTATGACAAAATTGAAGATCCTGGAGTAATGTGCTAGCTCAATCACAAAGTCAGTAAGAAGCTGAGATGAAAATTAAACTCTCGGCTAGGGTATGGTGGCTCACGCCTGTAATCCCAGCACTTTGGGAGGCCAAGGTGGGTGGATCACGAAGTCAGGAGATCGTCTAGACCATCCTGGCCAACATGGTGAAACCCCATCTCTACTAAAATACAAAAAAAAAAAAAAAAAAATAGCCGGGCGTGGTGGTGCACACCGGTAGTCCCAGCTACTCAGGAGGCTGAGGCTGGGGAATTGCTTGAAACCGGGAGGCAGAGGTTGCAGTAAGCCAAGATTGCACCACTGTACTCCAGCCTGGTGACAGAGCAAGACTGTCTCATAAATAAATAAATAAATAAACAAACAAATAAATAGAAAATTAAACTCTCTCAACAATTCTTATAAAAAGAGAGAAAGAGGTAAGCTTCTAATGAGGTATACATGTTAATTAATATTACTTCTGTACTGTCTCTGGCCTGTTGGAGTGCATGCAAATATCAAGGCAGAGTGTAATACATATAAAAAAATGATAATGCTACTATATAAAGCAGGTGACTTAAATTAGTCTAGTTCCAACTAGGAAATGGGAGTGGGAAGTGGAGGGCATCCAATTATATTCATAAATTTATGTTATACACTGCTTAGGTCCACTTATTCAATTCTAGTATAATAAGATTAATATTGAAGATAAGTGTTTTTATTATTTTCCTATTATCTGGAAAGTAGATCTTTAAGTGAAAACAAAAGGCTTTTATCAAATCCCTGACCTGCTGAATTATTTGCCAGAAAAAGTAATGGCATGATTTGGTGATCTGCAGCCTATGCTTCTACTGGTATTTTGTGAAGGGGACCAAGATGTTCTAAAACTCAGATAAATCTCTTCTCAACCTGGAGGTTTTTTTTTTTTTTTTTTAAGTATTACTTTTAAGCTTTTCTCTTCCCAATTTTTCTTAAGCCTTTGAAATCTGTTACCAGGTGATAGGTTACACATATAAATAAGAGAAGAATATTAGTAGAAAAATTTGAAATAATTGCGATTTGTTTGATAGCTTGCTTTGTTTTTTTATGAAATAATTATTTTTATATTACAAACATATAGCTCAATTTATTTTCTGCTATAATGTTACTTCTAATTTTAAAAATATCATGGTTTCCTCCTGATCTGTCATCTGAATAGTAAAAACCAATAAATAATATATTTTATTCTAAACTGACTTTAAAATATGAGTCTCCTTCAATTTTCTGACTAGGTTTGTCATAGAAAATTGAGCTCTACCTGGACAACTGGGTGTGTTGGTTTATGCTTGTAATCCCAGTGACTTGGGAGTCCCAGGGAGAGGATAGCTTGAGGCCAGGAGTTCAAGACCAGTTTGGGCAACATGGTGAGACCTTGTCTCTACAAAAATAGAAAATTAGCTGGGGGTGATGACGCATGTCAATAATCCCAGCTACCTGGGAGGCTGAGGCAGAAGCATCACCTGAGCCCTGGAGTTGGAGGCTGCTGTGAGCTATGACTGCACCACTACATTCTAGCTTGGGTGACAGAGGGAAACCCTATCTCTAAAACAACAACAACAACAACAACAACAAACAAACAAAAAAACCAAAGAAAATTAAGCTCCACTTTAACATTGGTCTTGAGACATTTTTTATTAGCACAACCTTTTTTCCTCCAAATGCAATCTTTCATACATTTTCAAGTGATCAAAACGGCACACATTTATAAAGTGGAAAATTTGTAGTATTTTCCTTTTTAAAATGTGTCAGTTGAAAGGACTTAAAAATTTGAAAGTAGGATTGTGTTTGACATAATTTATTTCTGTATTAGGTTTCATACAAGTAGTTATAAATAGTAAAAATTTTCATACTAATTCTGTAAGAATATATTTCCTCTTGATTCGACTAATCCAGGAACTTGAAAGTGGAATAAAAGATACTGCTCCAAATTTTAACACTGGCAAATCTGATAGTTTATATTTCATATCTATTTTCTTTTACCCTACTTTGTCAATAGCAATTATTATCATGCTATTCTGAGTTCTCCAAATTTTCTGTTCTTTCTGGCTTTTATCATCAGCAAACCAGATTACTACTACTACTATTACTGCTGCTGCTGTCATCGCCACCTGCAGCAAGTATTTACCTACTACTTGTTATATGCTAGACACAATTTTAAGCAGTGCATGCATATTAACTTATTTAATCCTCATAATCACCCTATGAGACAGGAACTATAATTATCCCCAATTTATAGTTATAAAAACAGACACACAGTAATCAGGTAATTTGTCCAAGAACACTCGCTGAGTAGCAGAGAATATCTGAATCTAGACAGTCTGGTTCTATAGTCTATCTTAACCATTAGTCTAAACTTCTTTGTTTTTAATCAAAACTGAACAATAAATTAGGCTGAAATAATTTGTTTATTATTTCACACAGATAAGCAATTCAGCTAAGTGAATTCTTATCTCCAGAGGTGCTCTGGTTTGGTACCAGCTTGACCTTCAGAATAGTAGTTCAGAAATAAGGCAAGTGTAAATGCAAAAGACTAAAAATGCTAAAACCAATTATATCAAAATATTTTGAAGGAGGAAGAAAGAAACTACAAGGACCTTGGGAAACCAAGATCTAAAAAAGAAAAGGTACTAACTAAAGAAATAGTGGGATATAGGCCAGGCGCGGTGGCTCACGCCTGTAATCCCAGCACTTTGGGAGGCCGAGGGGAGTGGAACACCTGAGGTCAGTAGTTTGAGACCAGCCTGTCCAACATGGTGAAACCCCATCTCTACTAAAAATACAAAAACTAGCCGGGTGTGTTGGCAGGTGCCTGGAATCCCAGCTGCTTGCGAGGCTGAGGCAGGAGAATCGCTTGAACCTGCAGGAGAATTGCTTGAACCTGGGAGGTTGCAGTGAGCTGAGATCCTGCCATTGCACTCCAGCCTGGGCAACAAGAGCAAAACTTTGTCTCAAAACAAAGAGGGGGGGAGGGGGAGGGGCGGATATAGTTAGGGAAAAAAAAGTTCTAAAATAACATCTCAAAGCAGCTGAAATCATTATTAAGAACCTTGATTAAGGAAATAATGAAAAAAAGCATCCAGCAGCCATAAGCAAGTTCAAGTGCACAGAATTTGCAAGATTATAAAAAGATGAGAAAAATAACCCACTTATTTAACCCACTAAAATACTACACTTAATCTTACAGATCTTAGAAAATAGTGAATAGTTCAAAAATTCTAACAGAAAAAATATTTATATGTATCCCAAGAAAATCCCAGGAAACAATTTTAATCTGATGGTCATGTATACTTTGAAAAAATACCTATTAAGGTGAGTGGTCAAATTGGAATCACTAAAAAGTTGTGCTAAATAATTAACATTATCTCTTTTTAGATAGATTTGGGATGCTTATGGCATCCTTGTAAGTAAAATGTAGAAACGGGAGATCTATATTTGTAGTTAGATAATTATAACCAAAGAGTGTTACCAATGGCTAACTGCCAACATGGAGACAAGTTTCCTTATTCTTTCAGTTTTTAAAAATATATTTCAGGATATAAGTGAAATATATGAAAAAGATATTTATCAAGTAGCTATGAAGTTATGTATATTTTCAACATAGCTTTTAAAAAAATCACCTTTTCCAACTTGTTCTTAGTAAAAACAGCCTTATTCAAGGGCAAGAACTTATGAAATACTGTGTGCTAAAGGCTGGAGATTCATAAACATTTAAAAAAAAAATCAAAGAGCAGGCCGGGCACGGTGGCTCACGCCTGTAATTCTAGCACTTTGGGAGGCCGAGTTGGGTGGATCACCTGAGGTCAGGAGTTTGAGACCAGCCTGGCCAACATGATGGAACCCTGTCTCTACTAAAAATACAAAAAATTAGCTGGGCGTGGTGGCGGGTGGGAGGCTGAGGCAGGAGAATCTCTTGAACCCAGAAGGTGGAGGTTGCGGTGAGCCGAGATGGCACCATTGCACTCCAGCCTGGGCAACAAGAGTGAAACTCCGTCTTGGTGCAGGGAGGGGTGGAAAAAAATCCAACAGCATTATTTTTTGGGAGAGAAAGAAAAGCAAAACAATAGATATAATATAGTGTAAATCAAAGTATCCCTAAGTGTTTTGGGAATACAAAAGTGTAGCTAACATAACCTGGGAGTGATACTGGTGGTGTGTAAGGTTGGGGAGAAGTCTAAGAAGATGGGAAGCTGAGCTAAATCTTCTAAATCATCTAAAGTAGAAGTGGTTTACTCTAGTAATTGAGGAATAAAGATATAAAATATCTAGGGGACTGCTTACCTAGTACCTAGCTCTGCTCTTTACCTGAGAACTGCTTCATCTGTCTGCTTTCCAATACACCATTCTACATAGCTACTATGCAGCTAACAGGTTCTTGCATTATTCCACAACCCTAGCTAATAAGTGGTTAGTGATCCAACTAGGACAAACAACAATCCTTGTCAAAAATTTCAAAAAAATTTTTTGAAAGCCAGTCAGTAGTGAGACAAAGAATATGCCAAAGCAAAAAAGAGGCTGCAAGAGCCTGTCAGTCTCCAATTTTTAGCTGCTCCTTCCTCCCAGGTTGCTGCTCAACTGTGGAGTCCATGAGTCAAAAGATTAACTACTTTCCTTAAACCAGCTAAAATGGTTGGACAAGGAAGTTCATAAACAAGATCAATGGGAAGAGTTATACTCAACTGGACTGGGTATCTTTACCCTTCTAAAGATTCAATATATAAAGCTGAAGTCACTTATATTCCTTAGTAAATACTAACTGTACAAAAACAGTACTAAAATTTAAGTACGTTTTGTTTCATTAGTTTACATTTTCTTCAAGCTACAAATTAGTTATGATTTTTACAATAAGTCAACATCCTTACCAATAATGTCTGTAAATTATACCCGGGTTGTGAGCAAAGCCATTTAAAACAGTAGTAAAATAACTGATCAAAAATCTCATTCTAGCTTGTATTTGAGACGCTGAGTAGGTCTTTTATGATCAAAACTGGAAGGGAGGGAGACCAAATAAAAATAGTGGAATATCAATCAGCAGAATGACAAGGGGTTTCAAAGACATTTTCTGCTTCTTTGGGAATAATTTCTAACAAAAATTTTATGCCTCTGGCTATCAAAGTCTAAATTCAGTTTGTTGAAAAAGTGACCATTACTAAAAATGAGTCTCATCCTTAGATAGACCTATATAAAGCATCCAACTAATTAAGAACCAAAAATGAATGTCCTGGTAACATTTTTTTATTATGTACAAATAGCTAAAGCATTCTATATAAACTCTGACTTTCTCTTCTTCTTTTTTTTTTTTTTTTTTTGAGACAGAATCTTGCTCTGTCGCCCAGGTTGGAGTGCAGTGGTGCGATCTCGGCTCACAGCAACCTCTGCTTCACGGGTTCAAGCGATTCTCCTGCCTCAGCCTCCCAAGTAGCTGGGACTACAGGTGTGTGCCACCACACCCAGCTAATTTTTTGTATTTTTTTTTTGTTTGTTTGTTTTTTTTAATTTTCATTTTTATTTTTATTGATCATTCTTGGGTGTTTCTCACAGAGGGGGATTTGGCAGGGTCATAGGACAATAGTGGAGGGAAGGTCAGCAGATAAACAAGTGAACAAAGGTCTCTGGTTTTCCTAGGCAGAGGACCCTGAGGCCTTCCGCAGTGTTTGTGTCCCTGGGTACTTGAGATTAGGGAGTGGTGATGACTCTTAAGGAGCATGCCGCCTTCAAGCATCTGTTTAACAAAGCACATCTTGCACCGCCCTTAATCCATTTAACCCTGAGTGGACACAGCACATGTTTCAGAGAGCACAAGGTTGTGGGGTAAGGTCACAGATCAACAGGATCCCAAGGCAGAAGAATTTTTCTTAGTACAGAACAAAATGAAAAGTCTCCCATGTCTACTTCTTTCCACACAGACACGGCAACCATCCGATTTCTCAATCTTTTCCCCACCTTTCCCCGCTTTCTATTCCACAAAACCACCATTGTCATCATGGCCCGTTCTCAATGAGCTGTTGGGCATACCTCCCAGATGGGGTGGTGGCCGGGCAGAGGGGCTCCTCACTTCCCAGTAGGGGCGGCCGGGCAGAGGCGCCCCTCACCTCCCGGACGGGACGGCTGGCCGGGCAGGGGGCCGACCCCCCCCACCTCCCTCCCGGACGGGGCGGCTGGCCGGGCAGAGGGGCTCCTCACTTCCCAGTAGGGGCGGCCGGGCAGAGGCGTCCCTCACCTCCCGGACGGGGCGGCTGGCCGGGCGGGGGGCTGACCCCCCACCTCCCTCCCGGACGGGGCGGCTGGCCGGGCAGGGGGCTGACCCCCCAACCTCCCTCCCAGACGGGGCGGCTGGCCTGGCGGGGGGCTGACCCCCCCATCTCCCTCCCGGATGGGGCGGCTGGCCTGGCGGGGGCTGACCCCCACCTCCCTCCCGGACAGGGCGGCTGCTGGGCGGAGACGCTCCTCACTTCCCAGACGGGGTGGCTGCCGGGCGGAGGGGCTCCTCACTTCTCAGACGGGGCGGCTGCCGGGCGGAGGGGCTCCTCACTTCTCAGACGGGGCGGTTGCCAGGCGGAGGGTCTCCTCCCTTCTCAGATGGGGCGGCTGGGCAGAGACGCTCCTCACCTCCCAGACGGGGTCGCGGCCGGGCAGAGGCGCTCCTCACATCCCACACGGGGCGGCGGGGCAAAGGTGCTCCCCACATCTCAGACGATGGGCGGCCGGGCAGAGACACTCCTCACTTCCTAGATGGGATGGCGGCCGGGAAGAGGCGCTCCTCACTTCCTAGATGGGATGGCGGCCGGGCAGAGACGCTCCTCACTTTCCAGACTGGGCAGCCAGGCAGAGGGGCTCCTCACATCCCAGACGATGGGCGGCCAGGCGGAGACGCTCCTCACTTCCTAGACGGGGTGGCGGCTGGGCAGAGGCTGCACTCTGGGCACTTTGGGAGGCCAAGGCAGGCGGCTGGGAGGTGGAGGTTGTAGCGAGCCGAGATCACGCCACTGCACTCCAGCCTGGGCACCATTGAGCACTGAGTGAACCAGACACCGTCTGCAATCCCGGCACCTCTGGAGGCCGAGGCTGGCGGATCACTCGCGGTTAGGAGCTGGAGACCAGCCCGGCCAACACAGCGAAACCCCGTCTCCACCAAAAAAATACGAAAACCAGTCAGGCGTGGCGGCACGCGCCTGCAATCGCAGGCACTCGGCAGGCTGAGGCAGGAAAATCAGGCAGGGAGGTTGCAGTGAGCCGAGATGGCAGCAGTACAGTCCAGCTTCGGCTCGGCATCAGAGGGAGACCGTGGAAAGAGAGGGAGAGGGAGACCGTGGGGAGAGGGAGACCGTGGGGAGGGGGAGAGGGAGACCGTGGGGAAAGGGAGAGGGAGAGGGAGACGGAGACAGAGACGGAGACGGAGACCGTGGGGAGAGCAATTTTTTGTATTTTTAGTAGAGATGGGGTTTCACCATATTAGCCAGGATGGTCTCGATCTCCTGACCTTGTGATCTGCCCGCCTCGGCCTCCCAAAGTGCTGGGATTACAGGGGTGAGCCATCACACCCGAGTTGACTTTTAAAGAATTTATGCTCACGATGATTCCACACACACAGAGCTATGTTTAAATATATGTATCTTTTTTGAGTCAGGGTCTCTCTCTGCTGCTCAGGCTGGAGTGCAGTGGCATGATCTCAGCTCACTGCAACCTCTGCCTCCCAGGCTCAAGCTATCCTTCCACCTCAGGCTCCTGAGTAGCTGGTACTATAGGCGTAAACCACCACACTTGGCTAATTTTTGTATTTTTTGTAGAGACGGGGTTTCACCACGTTGCCCAGACTTAAATATTTTTAATGTAAGGCACTAGTCTACATATTAGACTTTTACTTTTATTGACAACTAAATTAAACTGTGATTTTAAATTAAGCCTTAAGCCAGAGTTGAGTGACACAGAAAAGTATATTATATATATTGTGTTATCCATGATCATGTACCAAAAATCCAGAGAACAATATTGCATAGATTAAATCTAGCACTATTTCTATACTTGCATGTGGTTTGCATCTAAATGGGAGGATTGCCCAACATACCATACTTTTATATTTCCAGTAATATTTTTTAAGTGTTTTTTGCTATGTTTTGGTTTCACTAGTCTTACTAAAAAAAAAAAAAAAATTCACCAGTTTTGTGCAAAGAGTGCTAGTCAATGCTAATAAAAAGTACATCTTAGAGATTAGGGGCTAGGAGCAAAGTTAAAAACACTGGATTCAGTGTAAAAGATGCATTAAGACAGGTTTACTTGTACTTAGATACGATAATCACTCCAGCTTGTAATTAGCTGGGCATATATTAATTGGCAGATCTACTTTTATTGCTGAGCTGCAACTGCTGAAATGTGTCAAGATACAACATATAGCTCCATTAATAATGAAAATTGAATAGGAATATAATTAATTTTAGAGGTTTGTGGTGCAAGTTTGGTTCTACTAAAATTATACCAAAAAACTGGGGTATTATGAAGAACTACTAAGAAAAGGCAGTAAGTAAAAATAGCTTTTACATGCATTTGGTTTACAGTTTTGGCATATCTGTTGTCAAATAGCAGACCTCTCAATTTACCCTAATCACAAGGGGGTGTGTGTGGTAAACACTGTTTATTATAAAATGCCCCTTGTTCTTCAGTCCTTCTGAGTTTGGTGTTTCAGTGAAAAAGGATGTTGGTTGAGTAGTAGTACAGCCCATAGAACAGCTTAAAGATAAGGAGAGGATGGCTCATACAGATTTATTCAGCAATTTGTCCCATGTGAATACCTCAGCAAAAAGAACAGAGGGGCAGCAAAAGGTCTACTAAACTAGTTAAGTTGTATGTCTTAAATCTATTTAAAATCAAGTTTTAAAAACTTGTTTAGATTTTATTTACATGCAAGAAAAAGAATAACTTATATGTAAAGAAATCTTCTAAACATTAAAATGTTTTACTGGTATATGTGAACCAGTAAAGTGAAAAACATGTAAGGCTTTGCAAGCCATTTTTGAGATACTTGGAATTTCAGGTTCAGATACAGAGAAATCAAGGGTTAAATTTTGGCTGAATACTAACATTTCAAAGCTTGCCTGCTTGTTTTTCTTTTAGAACTCCGAAAATGCACTTACTGTTAAAAACAAACCTTTACTACCAATAATAATAACACATCATTATGCCTGAAAGCTTTACAAACCATAATACTTCAAACAGAATTCAGCATGTACAAGTCAAAGACAGTACTGGAAGGAAACAACAGAAATATGCTAACATTTTTTTCTCACTACAAACACAGGTATCTTACCAATTTAGTTTTAACTGGACAACTCAAATGATCTTTCCAGTCTACTTTATAATTTAAATAAATCTAAGAGTTTTGATGAAAATATTTAAAAGATGAGCAAGTTCACTATTAATTTGTTTGAACAGCAGGTTTTAAAACATAGTAGGTTTACCTGGAGAGACTGAACTACCTATCCTTGGCTCTGTTTTCAGATGTTAAAGGTGAGGTTAGGTGTCTCAAATTACTAGCAATAGGTGTGTAAACTAACAGTCCATATTCTTTTTAACCAGATTTCATGTTACAATTTATTGTAGACAATTAAGTGCCAGGTATTATGTGCTTTACTTTCATTTCAAGTTTCATCCAACACTGGGTTCTTACTATAAATGAACAAAAGCACCTATTATTTTTTGGCTTCATTTGGCCAGAAGTTAGGAAGACTGGAGAACTACAGGATCAAAGCATGTTATAGGGATTCTACTTCCCCTTTGCTTGACAATCATGGTGGAATGGGATCCTGGTATGCAACCATACTTCTCCTTCATATTTGCTTTGATTGAACTAATAGGCCAGACAAGAAATCAGTTGAGTTTTACTAAAAAATGTAAAAGCTTAGAGGCTTTTTTACACTTAAATTGATTAAGCAACTTACATTTTTACCTTATCTCAACTAAACCATCCAATGGAAGGAATATACTAGAAAACAGTACCTTTTTGGTTTCAAATTGTGCTTCCTCCTGACAGCATCCTCTGCAATCAGGATCCAGCTGAAGCAGGTTGAACTGTCCGAGAAGATCACAAGAGCTGCAAAGCAAGTTGCTAGAAAAGCCTAACTCTCTGCATGCCTCCGATGAAAACTCTGCCCCAAAAGCAGACACCTGAAAATAAAAAATGGGAAATAAAACACAATTCCATATTTATACTACAAAGCTTTCCAAAAAGAGAACACGGGGTTGTCAAAAACTAACACATTGAAGACAAGTTACTGAAATGTTTCATTTGGAGATAAATTCTTTTAAATTTTAATTTAATTTTATTTTTTTTTGAGACGGAGTCTTGCTGTCGCCAGGCTGGAGGGCAGTGGTGCAACCTCGGCTCACTGCAACCTCTGCCACCTGGGTTCAAGTGATTCTCCTGCCTCAGCCTCCCTAGTAGCTGGGATTACAGGCGCATGCCACCACGCCCAGCTAATTTTTGTATTTTTAATAGAGACGGGGGCCACGATGGTCTTGATCTCCTGACCTCGTGATCCGCCCACCTTGGCTTCCCAAAGTGTTGGGATTACAGGCATGAGCCACCTCGCCCAGCAATAAATTCTTTCTTAAACTCTGTAACCTTATGTAATAGTCTGGTTTCTCCCACCTCCCCTACAAGCTTTTTTTCTTAAACATCCATCATCTTTCAGCTTAGCTAAAATATGGATTAAGAAGAAAAGGCATATCATTGTTCATGATGTTTATCACATAAATATTTTCTTAAAGATTTATTGTTTTAAAAAGGAATTTTCTTATAAGAAAAAATAATTTTTGTTTCATTTTAAGAACTCAACATCTGTTCATATGGGTCTATGGAGTAAGATTAGCTGTAGGGTTTATCTACAGTCACATCCAGCAGAAGAAGGACGGGAAAGGGGATGGTGCAGGCAAGAGCACGCCAGAATTCAAACTTTTGGTTTTAGGTAATAGTGCCACCAGTTACAAGATTCGTGACCCTGGGCAAACTATCCTCCCTAAGCTTTAATTTCCTCACTCATAAATTAAGGGGCAATACTTCCTACATAAAACAGATTGCTATGGTTACCTTACATAAATCGTTACATTAAATCAGAGATGATTTAATCAATCAGAATGGCTGACAAAAGCAGGCTTTCAACAATATTCCCTTCCCTCATCCATTCTTTTTTACCTATCAGTGAATGTGGTATACCTCCATTTGTCTAAGGCCAATCCCTCTACTTCCTCTTTGGATTCTATCTTAACAGATACTTCATTTCATCAATACTTCAACCTTTAGCTATATTTAAGCCCTATGGTCCTAACTGCTCTTCCCACGTTCTGTCATTTCTGAATTGTTACTATAACTTGGTTTCTATTATCTTTATTTTTTCCTAACACCCCAAACTCATTAATATAGCCTGGTTTCTGCTCCTACTACTCCACAAAATTTGCCCAAAATTACCAAATGCAAAGGCATTCAAAACTGTTCTGCTTCAACTACCCCGTCCAAAGGCCTGTCCTCCTTTACTTTTCTCTTCTATGCATCTCTTAAATGCTATTGTTTCCCACAGTTCTGTTTTTGGCTCTCTCTTAGCTTTACATGCCTTCTATTTATTACTGCATATTTATCCATGGCTTCAGATATGCATTTATTGAAAACTCTCAAGTATTTTTCTTGAATGTCAGGCTTCCAAAGCCAACAGTCCACTCAATATCACATTTAGGTGTTGAATATGCATTGCAAGTTCAAAATCTGCAACACTGAAACTTATATTTTTCTTAAATCTATTCTTCCTAAGGTATTCAGTATCTTAGTAAAATGGCATCATTTCTCTGACAAGCTAGTTGCCCAGATCAGTCATCCTACTGACCTACACTCCATATTCTTCACCATTCTCACAACCAATTAATATATTTTTATAATTCTCTTAAAAAGCTCTCAAGTCTTTTCCTGCCTCAGTGGCTTAAATGCTCACTGCCAAGGCTACTTCTCATTACTTCCTCAATTCCTCCTGCTATAAGGAATTCCTATAGTATCTTGAAGTATAAAAGCCCTACTCAAACACACTTTTGCTCACAGTCTCCCCTATATTTAAGGTTCTGTTTCCACTTCTTCACCTTGTAACATCTTACTTATTTTCAAGAATCTAATCAGTATTAGTCTTTTAGGAAGCTTTCACTGACCAAAAAAATCAGATCTCAATCATTAGCCAGAGTACTTTTCTTCTCCGAGAAACTTGTGCACAGTTGTAAAACAGTACCGTTCGTGACACTGTACTATGTAAATCTGACTCCTCAACAATACTATGAACTCTTCTGAAGGCAAGCATTAAGTTGTTTCTCTGTCTTTCCCTCACTTGTGACAGTTTTCATATATCTGTTGGATAAATAAATCGCACAAAGCCATAGCGTCAGGTAGGGGAAATTTCAGATTGACTGCAACTGACTGATCTTCTAGACTAAGGGTATGCAAACTTTATGTGAAGGGCCAGATAATTTTGTTAGGCTTTTGTGGCCATATGGTTTCTGTACAACTATCTAACTCAGCCATGGCAGTGCAAAAACTAGTCACAGATAACACATGAATGAATGAATGTGTCTGTGTTCCAATGAAACTTTGCTTCATTTTGTTATGTTAATTTGTTCTACAAAAACTGGGTTGACTGAATTTGGCCCACCAGCTGCAGTGTGTCAATCCTTTTCTAAACTCACCAGGTAGATTAATATCCAGTGGCATTTCCCAATGAAAAGAAAATTTAAGTACTTGTTGGCATATTCACCCAAAATGCTGACGTGATATTTTATACATCTTTAATCTTATCTCTGTAATAATGTCATATGTATAATTTTTCAAAACAGATGAGACATCCCAGCCTAGTGGGAGGGAACTGTGACTTTATTGGTTAATTTGTGTGTTTGATCTCTCTAGTTTAACTATAAGACACTTGCTACCATACTAGTACTTTGGGTAATTTCTCCATCAGTAAAGTGATCTGCCTCATTTATTTCACAGGATAATTTGAAAATCAAATGTAACAATGAGCAGATTGTGTTTTCCAAAGACAAGACAATCAATATGTATCAAAGGCTGCATCAATGTGTACATATCATTTCACATGTTCTTACAATGTTAGTCCTCCACTGAGAAGTGGGGTCTATGTTCCCTCCCCTTGAATCTGGGCACGGGCCATGACTGTTCTGAACAACAGAGTTTAAAGGAAGTTATGTGATTCTGAGGGTAGGTCGTAAAAGAGCAAACAGCCTCTGCCTGGCTAGTATTCTTTCTTTCTAGGAACATCAACTTTGGAACTTAGCCAACCTGCTGTAAAGAAGTCTATACAAGAGAGACAACATGGAAGGGCCCATGTAGAGAGCAACTGAAAACTCCAGCTGACAACCAGTATCAGCTACTAGACATGTGAGTAAACCACCTTCAGATTTCAGGCCCTAGTGTTTCAACTGAGGTCTGAGACATCATAGAACAGACAAGCCATCCCTGCTGTGCCCTGTCAGAATTGCTAACTCACAAGATTTGAAAGCAAAATAATCAATTGTTTTACGTCACTAAATTTTAGGGTAATTCTGTTTTGCAGCCATAGTTACTGAAAGAGGCAATAAGAGTGAAATCACTTTGGAAACTGTGAACTCGTTAACAAACGTATAAAACTGTTACCAAAACCTTTTAAACAACAAAATAAGAACCTCAAATGAATAATCATGCAATTATACTATTTGGTTTTATTCTGGCATTTATGGAGCACCTACTGACAGGTAGCATGACTATGCAAAACATCATGTATTTCAAAGTCTTAACACACATCTAGATTCAAATGCCATCACAGAGCTACCTTATTTCTAAACAGGGAGTATTATCATTTATCTCGTGGAATTCTGAGGATTAAAGAAGCAAGTGCACAGAAAGCATCTAGCATCCCGCCCAGTACACAGTAGGTACTGAATACATGTTGGTATTAGGCTCACCTTCCACTGTGAAAGCACACTTAAAAATTACAAAACACTATATAAATGTTTTTATCACTATACTAGACATGGGATAAAAGATAAGTATAGGGGAGATACAAAGTATCGAGTTTCTTAGGTAAACTACTTTTTTCTAGCTGTTCTATCACTGGTTTTGCAGACTTAAGGCTTTGAATTTAAGGACATCAGAAAGTATTTTTAAGTACCTGACAGATAAATGCTAATATATGAGAGTTTGATATTATTCCTGCCATCCTTTTATTGCCAAAAGTAACTGATTGGCATTTAAATTTGCACATTAAGATCAAATATTAAATTTTAGATTAATTAGCCACACTTGTAAGAAAGACAAAGATTCTAAGGACAGGGTTCCTGGCTAGGATAACCATTTAGCTTTCTCTATTTCAAAGCAGAATTGACAAATTAAGAGGTTCAGCTGGATGCGGTGGCTCACATCTATAATCTCAGTGCTTTGGTAGGCCAAGGTGGGTGGATCACCTAAGGTCAGGAGTTTGAGACCAGCCTGGCCAACATGGTGAAACCCCGTCTCTACTAATAATACAAAAAAAATTAGCTGGGGTGGTGGCGCACACCTGTAATCTGAGTTACTCAGGAGGCTGAGGCAGGAGAATCGCTTGAACCCGGGAGGCGGAGATTGCAGTAAGCTGAGATTGCACCATTGCACTCCAGCCTGGGCGGTAAGTGTGAATCGCCATCTCAAAAAAAAAAACAAAAAAAAAAACCAAGGCTCTATTCCCTCCTTCTCCATGCATTACTCACTGTTTTATTTTTCCAGTATTAATGAGTTCCTTCTAGATGAGAGAGTTGGCAGCAGAGAAACTGGGTTAACTGTACTATACCATTACCTTAAAAATCTGATCTAGCTATATATTTTGTTACACTTACACCTACATATTCGTTGTCTCTTCACTGGTCTTTATAACTTTCAGGAAACTCAGAGGTTTCTCATGTAATTCTGAGCAAACTCCAAATCTGAGACAAAAGCAAATAGATGGGATTACAGAATGAACTCCATGAAAATGAATACCAGAAACATGGCCATTACAGCAAGCTTTTATAAACCAGCAGATATTTTGTTAAGTACTTTACATTATTATTCCATCTAATCTAAACCATCTTGTGAAAAAGGTATTGTTATCACCATTTTATAAAGAAAGAAACAGGTTTAGGATAGTTAAGGTAATTTGTCTAAGACCACACAGGAAACAAGAGATGACAGCAACAAGATTCTAATTCTGGCCTGCTCTCTATGCCCCTAACCACTGTTACTGACTACCATATTTCACAGAATCCATGATACACCATTATCGTATGTACCACTAATAACAAAAGCACCAACGATTTTAACTGTGTGATCCGTAAGGCCCAGCGAGATATTAACCTGTGAAGAAATGGAGTGGGGGGCATCTCAGAAAGAATGATACACAATTATCATTCTATACTGCTTTTTAGTGTAGTGCCTTTTTGAATGAGAAAATATTACACATGATCTGAATGAAGGATTGAATATCATCACTTAGTTCTGGGGAGCGTTAATAAACAGCTCCCTAAGACTGTACTAAAATATCACTTTTCTATTGCTTATTTAAGCATACTCGATGTATTTTCAGATTAAATCACTTTATATCCAGTTGTTACCTCACTGAAATATTGACAAATATGCAGTTATTAACTTGAAATTAAAGCTATTCAGAGGAGTAGACAGTGATAAAAACTCAACTTGTCAAGTATAAGAAACTCAGAGGTATCAATTAACAAAACACGAGTGCAGTCCCAATGACAGTTTTATCCATAGCAGTATCTCAATCTCAAAGTGTCAAGAAATTGTTCCCTCATCCCCCTTTAATTCCTATGGAAGTTTCCAAAGATTTCACTACTGCCAACTACTTATGCCACCTGATCTTTTTTTCCCCTTGGGCTAACTGTGACATATGCAGTTTCCAACTTCTTACTGTTTTTTCAACAATTATCTATACTCCTTTTCATTTTCAAGGTTTTTCTTGCTTTCTTTTCTTAAAAGCACTAGTTACTACAGAAGAGACATGAATAAACCTTAGGGAAGTTATAACAGTTCAATAAGGGTGAATTGTCCAGCACTCTCTCTTTTCTGAGTCATTTTTGTATTTTTGAGAGTGGTTGGGCTTCCTCACTGCTCTACACAAATTGCAAATATCCTGATGACTTTGATGGCATGGAGCAACAACACAAATGAACTGGGGCCATTTACGCTTCAGAGGGATTTAAATGTACAAATACATATGAGACACAACGAAGGGAATATAAAATAAAAATGGTCCCTGTATTCTCTTTGGCTACATTCTAATTGGCACGGGGACAGGAGGAGTGGAGGGATACTAACACACACACACACAGAGCTATGATTTGGTTAAGACCATGTGGATTTGTGTAATACAGTATAAAGTATGATGATACAAGGCCAGGGGTGGTGGCTCAAGTCTGTAATCCCAGCACCTTGGGAGGCTGAGGCGGGTGGATCACAGGGTCAGGAGTTCGAGACCAGCCTGGCCAACATGGTGAAACCCCGTCTCCACTAAAGATACAAAAAATTAGCTGGGCGTGGGGGCGCGTGCCTGTAATCATAGCTACTCGGGAGGCTGATGCAGGAGAGTCGCTTGAACCCGAGAGGCGGAGATTGCACCACTGCACTTCATCCCGGGTGACAATGCGAGACTTCGTCTCAAAAAAAAAGTATGATGATACAATATGCAAGGGAGAAATTACATCTAACTTTGCAAGTCTGGAAGTGGAATGTGAGTTAAGCTTTGCATTCTATTGAAACATCTTAGTTCAGGGAGAAAGAGATAAAGAAACAAAGGCCAAGAGTAAATTAATTTGCCTTAGTCAGTTATTAGAAGTTAAAACTAAAAAATACATTTCGTTAAAGTAGTGTACTTCCCACTAAATTATACGTCATGAGTATGAATTCAATAGGCAGAGTTTGAGAGAAAAAGGCTGTGTATGATGGCTGTCTTTGGGAATATTTGGTGGAATGGTGTGGCTGTGGCTGATCACCCAGTAGTTTTATTTGATGGTAAGTTAGGATGTTCCATCCTGTGGGGGTCACATTCACAAAAAAATGAGTAAGTTGATTCCTGCCTCAAAAGGTTTCAGTCTGGCTGGGCGCGGTGGCTCACGCCTGTAATCCCAGCACTTTGGGAGGCTGAGGCAGGCAGATCATGAGGTCAAGAGATCAAGACCATCCTGGCCAACATGGTGAAACCCCGTCTCTACTAAAAATACAAAAATTAGCTGTGCGTGGTGGCGTGCACCTGTAATCCCAGCTACTTGGGAGGCTGAGGCAGGAGACTGGCTTGATCCCGGGAGGCAGAGGTTGCAGTGAGCCGAGATGATGCCACCGCACTCCAGCCTGGCAACAGAGCAAGACTCCATATCAAAAAAAAAAAAAAAAAAAGGTTTCAGTCTAACATGTACTTACCAGCTAGAGTTGCACAGCTACCACAAATTTTTGAATCATATCTAAGGCAGAGTCCAAGCACATGTATTTTTTAATCTCTCCTCCTCCCAACAATTTTCATCTACACACCTCCAGTTGGGATCACTGATAATAGAGCTCTATGAAGGTAACTGAAGCTGATTTTAATAGTTTCCAAACAGATTTCATACTTCCAGGTTTTCAGACCTTTGCTTGTGGATTCTCTAATTCATTCATCAAACATTTCACTTATACATCAAGTATAGTACTACTCTGTATATGTGTCACTAGAGATAAAACAGTCAACAGGAAAGACAGGGTACTTCCCTTTGGGAGTGGGTAGGAGAATGCCAAAGAACAAGAAATTATTAAAGAAAACTATGGAACGTATCTCAGAGAATAAATATTGATCACCACTGGAGCACACAGAAAGACTCTTAATCCAAACTTGAGGGATAGCGAAGCTTTGTTGGAGGAAGTGATTTCTCTACTAAGAACAGAAAGAGAGTAAGTAGAAGACAGCCATTTTTGTTGTAGGGTAGGAGAAAGGGAGGAAAGGATGAGACGCTGGGAAGCGGCTTGTAGGTAATGAAAACACCATGCTCAAAGGTCTGGTGAGGGAGAATACAGTATGTGAAATAAGCTAAACAAGTGATGCCAATTCTCCACTTGTACCTTTCTGCTCTCCTAATAGAAGTAAATGTTGGGGAATAAGCCTGGATAGACAAACAAGTGCCTCCTTAAGGAACATTGAGGAAGACAGACTTCACCTTAAAAAACAATAAGCAGCCACTGAAGAGTTTTAATCATGACAGATTTAAATTTTAGGCAGATCACTTGATGCACTGTAGAGATTGGAAATGAAATAATGAGATGGGAGACTAGTTAAGGAAGCTGTTGTAATTCTAGGCAAAGATAGTAGCCTGAATATAAATACTAACTGTGGAAACAAAATTATTAAGTGGACTGGCTTAGAGATTTTTAAGGCTTTAACGACTAATTGAATTCAGACAGTGAAAGGAAAGAGGATTTAAAATGACTATTTTTTTTTTTTTTTTTGAGACAGAGTCCTGCTCTGTTACCCAGACTGGAGTGCAATGGTGCAATCTCGGCTCAGTGCAACCTCCGCCTCCTGGGTTCAAGTGATTCTCCTGCCTCAGCCTCCCGAGTAGGCATGCGCCACCACGCCCAGCTAATTTTTATATTTTTACTAGAGACGGGGTTTCACCGTGTTGGCCAGACTAGTCTTGAACTCCTGACCTCAGGTGATTTGCCCACCTCAGCCTCCCAAAGTGCACTGGAATGAGCCACCACAACTGGCCAAAAATGACTAATTTTTGGCTTGGGCAATTGGGAAGCTGACAAAGGCAAAGCCAACCATTTAGATTCTGAATACAGCCAGGGATAATTCAAACGGTGAACCAAGACGCTGTTATTTCTGAGGAGAGAGATGTTTATGGCCTGAGTGATTAACAATAAGTGGATGGATTTGAGATACTTAGGAATTAAAATCAGTAAGTTTCAGTAATTCCCTGGATATGATATATGTAAGGAAAGGAGTCAAACATGACATCCAAATTTCTAGTTTGGATTCTGTGCACAGTCACTGTGGTACGCTGTTTAATTAATTCCTATCATTATTACATATGGAATTAGTTAATTCCATAAATACCTCCTATCCTGGTATGCACACTTTGCAAAGTGACTCTGTCATTCCTCCCATGTAGAGATGAAATCTATTTCTCCATCCCTGAATGTGAACTAGTCTTGTGACTTGCTTTGAGAAATATGTGATGGAAGTAATATATGTGATTTCCAAGGCAAGGCTTTAGAAGGCATTGTAGCTTTTGCTCTTTTGGAGTGCTGCCCTGAGAGTGCCATGAAAAGAAGTTGGTCTAGCCGACTGGAGGATGAGAGGTCACACGGAACAGAACCAAGTCCTCGAGCTGACAGCACCAACTATAAACAGTGGTAATCCTGGAACCTTTCGGTTTAGCTGACCTACTAGGTCAACAAAAAGCATAAATGAGGCCAGGGGAAAACCAACATAGGTGGAGTAGTTCTACTCCACTGACCCAGAATTATGAGAAATCATTGCTGTTTTAAGCTACTAGGTTTTAGGGCGGTTACACAGCTATAGACAACTGACAGTCAAAGACAGAGGGAGATCAAAAAAAGACAACCTGAAATGTTATCTCGAATGACCTAAAGATGTGCAAAAACCCTTAAACAGTAGAAAGTTTAGGGAGAGGTGATCCAGTAATTCCTAGCACCAAATGCCTGAATAACAAGATAATTGGAATGTTAATTACAGAAGTTAAGAATCTACCTTTTGGTTAAAGTAGCCAAAGCAAACAGCCAGGATGCTTTCAAGCTCTTTGAGAAAGGTAAGTACAGGTGTTCATAGAGGACTCCGGTGTAGTCCCTTAACACCCTCAACCTTGGATAAGTAAATTAAACCAGGTCTCCTTATTAGAGACTACCCGAAGAATTAAGCTAGGATAAAAAAACGTAAAAGCTTTCAGCACTGTGCCTAAAATTTTACTATTCACACAGCAGAACATGGATATGAGAAGAAATAAGTTAAAAGTACACTTTTCCCATTCAAAGGTCACCCATCTATTCTGCCAATAGAGAAAAATGAAATAAAAAACGCTGCCTTAAAGAAGACAACGAACATCATTTAAAAAACTAACTTCAAAAATGAATTATACTTTGGTATAGATAACTCCTTTTACTCCAACAACATTGTTTAAAAGCACAAATCGCACTCAAGCGCAGCCAGCCGTATATGAATAGCAGAGGAGAACGGAAGTTAAGAGACTAACAGAAGTAGTGAAAATGAGAGAGCACGCGCGCGAGAGAGGTAAACACAAACTGTTCGCCTGGACCAACGACTTGAAGACTTGCCTCTAAGAGTTGGAAGTCTCGTCATGAGTCTCTTGCATTTCTGTCCATTTAAAAACAACCTCCACTTCTTGCCAAGCTTTATTATTCCCCCCTCCCACCTGGTGTGGTTTACAGATTGTTTTTAGCAAGAGCCGTATAAGAGAAGCTACGTACCCAAGACAATCTGAAATCAAGAGAAAACTGCTGCTAGAAACCCAAGGCGGGGAAGGAGAAGGATCAACCGAGAAATTAAGCCACGTTGCATTCTGGCCGCAGCAGTCATTAAGGAAGCGCAGTCCTCCCCACCCTTTTCAACCAGGACCGAATGTTGCGTCTTTCTCAGCTGCAATCACTCCTACTCTCCCTGTGGCAGCTGCGAAGGTGATCTACACTCACCGCTTGAAGCACAGTCGCCAACAACAACCGTAGCCCAAACGCCGGCACCAGACACCCACTCGGCCCAGCCGCCATCGCTACCATTTTCCGCAGGTTTCTGGCTGCCTAGAAGGACCCCTAAGCTAGGGGCGTCCACTCCAGAGCCTGATCCAAAACAGAACGCTAACGGCCGTTGCCCTTACATCTCTCATTTGGAAGTGACAGGTATTAAATAACGGCATATGAAAGCTTAAAAGTCATCAAATACAATCACTGGGTGCTTTCGATTACCCAAATCAGGCACTTGCCTAAACTCCCCACTTCTTTACTTCTGCGGTCTCCTTTCTTTTATTCACGACACTTCGTCAAGCAGCCAAGAAGCCACGCCTTCGCCAGTTTTAGCCCCGCCTTCTTCTCCAAGTTTACCCAATTGAATGTCGTCTTGATTGAGCTCTGTGGCAGAGGAAACCAACCGTAAACCGAACCAAGAGCGAAGCGCAGGGGCTCTTCCGTCCAATAAGCGGACCCGAACGGGGGGAGGGGCGGGGCTTCTGGTTGCCGAGCAGCGTACGCGGATGCGTGCGCGTGGTGGCGGAGGGGGATGGGCGGGGGCGGGGATGAGGGCGGCGCAGCCGCAGCGCCGGTGGAGGGGCGCGCGGCCGCGAGCAAAGGAGGGAGGGAAGGAAGGAAGAGAGGGAGGCGGGCAAGCAGGCGGGCGCGGGGGTCGGGGACTGAGGCAGTAGAGGGAGGCGAGAGCCCGGCAGCCGCTTCGCGCTGTTTGCTGCGCGGGCTTTTGGAGGGGGCGGCCGTTTAGTCGGCTGAGGAGAAGCGGACACCAGCGGCGTTGGTGATAGCGCCTGGGGGAGGGGGACTGGAGAGGCGAGAAGGGGGGTCGCTGCGGTGGTTCTCTCGCTGTCGCTCTCTCTTTGCCTCGCTCCCGGCTCGGCGGGCTCCTCCCGGCGTCTCTCTCGCCTCCGGGGTCCCGCTCCCCGCCCCCCGCGGTATGTCTTGATCCCGAGCAGCGGGTTTCATGGGGCTCCTCAGGATTATGATGCCGCCCAAGTTGCAGCTGCTGGCGGTGGTGGCCTTCGCGGTGGCGATGCTCTTCTTGGAAAACCAGATCCAGAAACTGGAGGAGTCCCGCTCGAAGCTAGGTGAGGAACTGAACTGCCCCGGGCTGAGTGCTGTGGAAGGGGCCGAGGAGGCGCTGCCGCCGGAGCAAGTGGGCGTTCATCTAACCTGGGGTCTGGCTCGGGGGCTGAAAGCGGTTTCAAAGAGAACCGGGAACAAGGGGCAGCGAGAGCACGAGCTCCAAGAATGGGTTGAATTAAGCTTGAGCGGCGTGCTGGGCTCGCGAGGTCACGGGGCAGAGGTTGCAAGGTTGGGCTTCCCTAGCCAAAGGGTAGCCCCGAAGTAGGCATTCCGCGGAGAGAGAGCGAGAGAGAAGACCGAACTCAGTGGGGAGCGTGTGTTGCTGGTCTCCGGAGACAGAAGCGCTTAGCATCGCGTGTTCTCTTGGAAGTCGTACAGGAAGCCCTGGCAATGTCAGATGAGGGGTATTCTAATTTGAGCTATGGGCATCTGGATACGAATTCTTTTGGGGGCTCATGAAGGGATAGGTGCGCAGAAATGGGAGGAGATGCTGGGATGACGGAGAGCAACATGTGAACACTGTAGCGAGTTGCACTCTTGTGCTCCGGGCAGCAAAGGACCTTGTAATTGCCAGCTGAGGGAGGCTGGCCGGGTAGTGCGGGAACGCGAGTGCAAAGCTTCATCGGAGTACGGAAATGAGGGTCCGGAGATTTAAATTCTTCTTTAGTGGCGCTAAACTGATGAATTGGGGCTTGAGAATAGGGATGCCTATGTATGTTGCTTCACGGCAGTGTTGATGTGAATTTCGAAGAGGAGGGAACGCTGAAGGGGAATTATGTAGTGAAGTTTGTGTTTGTTAAAGGAAAAGTAGGATTATGCGGAAAGCTAACCATATGGTTAAATACCTTAAAGGGTTAACAGGTGCTTTAATGGATGAGGGGGTCTAAAGTACAAAAAGTTGGTGTGAAGTTGTGAAAGACAGGCCAGAAAAAAGCACAGATAATAGGTACTTTCGGATTAATAGGGCACTTTGGCATTTGGAAGAGCTCAGCATGGAGAGCGAGAGTTAAAAGAATGACAGTGATAAATTTTGATTTAAAAATGTACATGGCACTTAAAAATCAGCTCAAGAGGATGTAATTTGAATATGGAAAAGTAATGTGAAGTGTTTTTTGCATACTCTCACCTCAAAATCATTTTAAATACCTTTTGAGAAGCCAGCAAAAACAAAAACAAAAAACCCTCAGCAGTGTAATTTAGACTAAGAAATAGATGTTACTGTGAGTGGATGATTAATTTTTAGGAAAAATGTACCAGAAAATAATTGTAATATTATGTATAGTAGCTATTTTGGTACAAGGCTTTGCAAAAGCCTTGACATTTTAAAGAGCCTTGAAAGAAAAACCATCAAGTAAATCTGAGTGAAGTGCAACTAAAGTTGGAGGAAAACTAGAGTTACTTCCAGCCCTCAATTCTAGAGTAAAATTTGAAGAGATACTCAGTTTATTTACGAATTCCTTTATTAATATGTATCTTGTGTGGTGGAAAAAAATGTCCACTTTAAATATTGAAGGTTATCCAGTCTGGTTTTTCTTTTCTTTTGGATCCATTTAGCGACATTCAGGGTCATATTCTGGCGTTATTAATGATCCAGCTCTACAGAAAAAAAGACTCCTCTTGAAGTGGAAAGTTATATTAAAATTAAAATTTGTACTTATTTTTTGTTTTGTTACTATTTGGAATTGTCTGGAGTTGATTTCTTAGACACGTTACAGTGGGTTAGAATGACTTAAATTTTTGATTTTCCTCCTTTCCTAACATTTCTTTCCCCATATACTTGAAAATTGCTTCCATAGACACAATCTGAATGATTTTTAAAAGAAAGTTATCTGAAGATGTATAATGCCACAGTTAAAATATAAAGTGCTTTCTTGTGATACAAGAAAGAAAATTTCATAAAAAGTAGTAAATATGCATCAAAATCCTCCTGGGACTACAGATGGGTATACCTGGGAGTACAGGTGGGTGTTACCATGCCTAGCAGAGGAAACCATATTTTGACAACCATATTCTGTACTAGGCACTTTTCATCGTAGATACTCGTGTTTAAAGTAAGAACACCATTTAAAGCCATTTTTGACCAGACACGGTGGCTCACGCCTGTAATCCCAGCACTTTGGGAGGCCGAGGCCGGCGGATCATTTGAGGTCAGGAGTTCGAGACCAGCCTCGCCAACATGGTGAAACCCTATCTCTACTAAAAATACAAAAATTAGTCGGGCGGGGTGGCGGGCGCCTGTAATCCCACCTACTCAGGAGGCTAAGGCATGAGAACCGCTTGAACCTGGGAGGCAGAGATTGCAGTAAGCCAAGATCACACCACTGCACTCCAGCCTGGGCAATAGAGTGAGACTCAGTCTCAAAAAAAAAAAAACCAAAGAACAACAGAAAGCCATTTTTGCAGATGCAGGAACAGGCTTAGAGAGGTTATATAACTTGCCCAAGACCACATCGCATTTAAGTGGCAGAGCCAGGATTGCAACCCAGGTATGTATGATTCCAAATCAAGTGCTCCTTTAATTATGTCCGGCTGCTTAAGACTTTATATTGACATTACGCTGAGATTTAGGTATTTGAATAGAGTTTTAAAATTGTAATATCAGTGTTTAATTGCATTTATTGCTAAGAATGAATATCATTCAGAGAAAATTGAATTTCTGATACAAAGGAATTGGTTTAATGTAACGTCTGCCCCTTGTTTAGATTCATGTAATGAACATAATTATGTTACCCAATGAAACAACTGAATTAGATAGCTTATTTTTACTATAGGAAAGAAAAATCTAGCTGTTTTCCATACGTGCAAAATCACAATGTTAAAAAAGCATTTTTATTTTGGCATAAAAAACCTATTAAACATTTTGTCCTTAAAAGTAGTTATTATCATTTTCATTGTAGAAGATTCCAAAGGATAGTATTGTCTGATAGTGGCTTTAATATACCTTGATTTGAGAGTACAGTATTTTGATGGTGAGACTTCTAATAGAGCAATAGATGTATTCAAAACTGAGGTGTACTCATTGACTACTTGGGAAATTCACTAATTAGGAATTCCTAAAAAAAAAAATTCAGTAATACAGCTTTTTATTTTTATTTTTTAAAAAACAAATATGGCATTGTAGTCCACATATTACAATGCGGCTTGCTTTTTTTGCCTTGAATGTTATACACATCTTTCCAGGTCAGTACATATAGATGTGACTTACTCATTCTATTAATAATAGCTGTATAATATTCCAAAGTATGCATGTATCATAAATTATTAAGCCATTATTCTAGTAACGGACATTCAGTTTGTCCCCCATCTGTCGTGTGTGTGCGTGTGTATATATACATATATATATAATTTTTTTGAGTGTTTCTTTTCTTTCTTGGTATTATAAACAATTATAGGAAACATCCTTATGTGTCCGTTTAACTCATGTTGATGTCATTTTGTGCTAGGATGAATTCTGTATGTGAGATTGCTGGGACAAAGAATATACATATTTTATAATTTAACAGATTTAAAAATCTACTTTTCAACATTTTTTTGTTTTTCAAAAGATGTAGTAATCTACACTGCCAGCACACATTCATTAGCACTAGAAGATAATCAGCTTTTAATTTTTGCCAGTGTGAAGCTGTGAAATGATATATTCAATTAATTTACCTTCTAATTTCTAGGTAGGTTGAACATCTTTACATGTTTATTGCCCTTTTATTTGTTACTTTTTTCTATTTTTCTATTGGGTGGTTTACTTTTTTTTTTAAATATTAGAATTAGTAATCCTTTATCTATCCTATGTCTTTTTTAAATTTTTTTTATTTTTATTTATTTATTTATTTATTTATTTTTTTGAGATGAGCCTTGCTGTCACCCAGGCTGGAGTGCAGTGGCACGATTTCGGCTCACTCCTGCCTCAGCCTCCCAAGTAGCGGGGATTGCAGGTACGTGCCACCACGCCCAGGTAATTTTTGTATTTTTAGTAGAGACAGGGTTTCACCATGTTGGCCAGGCTGGTCTTGAACTCCTGACCTCAAGTGATCTGCCCCCCTCTGCCTTCCAAAATGCTGGGATTACAGGCATGAGCCACTGCACCCGGCCTCTTATTTGTTTTTGTCCAAGTTTGCCATTTGTTTCTTGACTTTATGGTGTGTTTTGCTCATATAGAAGTTTTAAAATACACACAGTTAAATCTATCAATTTAGGGAAGTCGTTTTCATATTTTGCTTAGGAAGACTTACCCAGAGCCAGGATTGTGTACATTTTCTGTATTTTATTATAGTATTTTATAGTTTATTACATTTGGCTCTTTAAACCATTTGTATGTTTACAGAGATTTATCATGATTTTCTCAGTAAATCATTTTTTCCAACTGTATGTTAACATTCCTTCTTTTAATCACATACTAAGTTTTCATATGTTCTTGGATCAATTTTGGATGCTATTTTCCATTAATCAGAGATTCTTTAAACCTCGGGGACCCATAAATAGGCTTCAAGGTATCAGTGAATTCCCTGAAATTATATACATAACTTTCATCAGATTTGCAAAGGAGTATGTGATTCCTTTAATGGCAAGGATCACAGATTTATAGTAGATGTTTCATATTTAGTGGACTTTTTTTTGTTTTTAGTAACATAACGTGCAGATTGTGAGTTAAATTTAGGAGATAAGCTTATTACCTGTGAAAAAGAGAAGTTTTTCAACTTCAAATGAAGTTAATACTTCATTGTATTAAAATGTAGACTTAATTTTCTAGTGAGAAATGGAAAAGGACAGGGAATCCAAATGAAAACTATTTAACTGTGACTCGTTACTATAAAATGTCAGAATTTGTGGCTGGTAAAAAGTAGTTCTTCCCGAATTTCAAGAGCGCACTTGTTGCTAATATTGACTGGTCGAACAGTGCAGTGAAATATTTTCTCACATAAGTGATAGAACTATGTGCTTGGTAACTTTATTTTCTATAGGGTTTTAGCATTGTAAATAATATTTGTTGACTGTATTCTTACATCTCTATATGGATTTATGAGCACATTAGGAATAATCTTTTACATGGGGAAAATAATTGAGAATGGATTATGTAATCATCCATTGGTGAGAATTAATGTTAGTCATTATGTTCTTAAAACTCTACTAGACTAAACAACTAATTCCAGGGCCAAGGTTGAGACTGCTTTTTGGAATTTGGTAGTTTTTACAAGTAAGTTCCTGAAACCATGCAGCAATACCTGTAAGATGTTCCAGAGAATGCTAGATTTCCTCACTTCTGAAATCATTTGGAAAACCTCATAGTAGCTACTGTTTTGAGGACTTTGGGTTAATAGGAATACAGTTATTCTAGAATTGGTAATTGGTGCCTCACTTAGTCTTGAATAGGATGTCTAGTGCCATGGAGTAGTCACCTGAAATAGTTGATCTCAATTAAGATAATTCCAGGATGTCTGTCCACCACTCTGGTAGGCCTTCTAATAGCTTTTTGGCACTTAGAGAAATTGAAATAATAATGAATGTTCAAAGATTGCTCTCCAGAAGACCATTTTTGAAGGATGTACTTATAGATGAACTTCATAATCATGGTTCACTATAGCCTAGTTATTTTTAAGATCTACCCACCTACCAGTACCTGTACTTACGTATTCTGCCTTTCTGCCTGTTAACAATAGATGGTAACTGTCAGTGCTCCTGTTCGGTCATTTGTGCACCTGATTCTGTTGCCTCACTTACCTAAAGACATGGTTCCCGAAGCTTTCCCTCATTCTCCTGTCACAATGTATTCTTGAAAATTGCTAAGAGAGTGGATTTTAAGTGTTTTCACCATACCAAAAAAAAAAGTATGTGAGGTAATGCATGTTGTCTTAATTAGCTTGATTTAGCCATCCATGATATATACATGTTTTAAAACATGTTGTACATGATAAATATATACAGTTTTGTCAATTACAAATAAAAAAAAACTATCTTGGTAAATGTTCCAGGTGAACGTGAAAAATATGTATTCTGTTGTTATTGGCTGAAGTATGCTGTAGATGTCGGTTGGTAGTATTGTTATGGTGTTTTGTATTCTTGATTTTTTTCTGCCTCTTCATCAGTTATGGAGAGGGGTTTTGAAATCTTTGATAATTGTGGATTTGTCTGTTTTTCTTGTAGTTATGTCACTTTTTGCTTCATGTATTTTGAAGTGCTGTGATTAAGTATATGCACATTTAGGCTGTCATGTCTTCTTGATGGACCAACCCTTTTTTTTATACAAGATACCATCTTTATCCTTGGTAATATTCTTTGCTCTGAAACCTACTGCTGTGGTGTTAATGTCTCCCCCAAAATTCACATGTTGGAAACTTAATCTCCGATGCAACAGTATTGGGGCGGGAGGTGGAGGGTGTTTAGGTGATGAGGGCTCTCCCCTCATAACTGTATTAATACTGTTATAAAAGAGCTTGTGGCAGTGTGTTCTCTTTTTTCTACGTAAGAAGACAGCATTTGTCCCCCTTTTGCCATTTCTACCCCCAACCATGTGAGGATGCCACAAGAAGTCCCTCAACAGATGCTGGTGTCTTGATTTTGGACTTCTCAGTTTCCAGAACTGTGAAGAAATACATTTCTGTTTTCTATAAATTACCCAGTCTCAGGTATTTTGTTATAGTACCACACAATGGACTATGATACTTACTTTGTCTAATACTAATACAGACACTTCAGTTTTCTTTTGATTAGTGTCAGGTGGTATATCTTTTCCCATCCTGTTAATATTAACCTACTTGTGTATTTATATTTAAAGTGGATTTTTGGTAGACAGCATCTAATCTTTCATCTAATTTCACAATCTCTTTTGTTAATGGAATGTTTAGAACACTTAATGTGATTATTGATGTGGTTGGGTTTAAATTCGTGAGTTGCTATTTGTTTTCTGTTTATCTTAACTGTTCTGTGATTCCTTTTTTTCTGTTGTCTTTAGGATTAAAGGGGTATTTTTAAATTCCATTTTTTAATTTGATGACTTACTAGCAGTGCTCTTTGTTGTTGTTTTTTTTTTAAGTGGTTGCTTAAGGGTTTATGGTATACATGATAGAATTTCATGTGTAGTATAAGAACCTTAATATATTACCACTTTTTTCTGGGTTCTTGCTATCGTCATTATACATTTTACTTCTATACATGAGTCCTACAATACATTATTATTTTTGCTTTAACTTATATTTTAAAAATATATAAAATGTTTAAAAATTTTTTAAAAATTTGCTGACATATTTACCATTCCCAGTGTTCTTCATTTTGTGTGTGTGTGTGTGTGTGTGTGTGTATGCAGATTTTCATGTGGTACCATTTTTTTCACTCTGAAGAATTTCTTTTAACATTACTTACACTTAAAAATATACTGGTGATGAATTCTTTTCATTTTGTGTGTCTGAAAAAGTCTTTATTTGCTATAGTGTTTGAAGGATATTTTTGTTGGGTATAGAATTCTAAGCTGACATTTTTGTTGTTTCAGTACTTTAAAGATATTGCTTCATTGTCTTCTGGCTTGCATTGTTTCTGATGAGAAGGTTGCCATCATTCTTTGTTCAACTATATGTAGCGTGTCTTTTATTTTTCCTCTTTTGCCTACTTTTAAGAGTTTCACTAGGTTTTTAATTATTTAATTATTAAATTATGTTTCTTGTGCCCTTGTATTATGTTTCTTGTGCCTGGGGTTTGTTGAGCTTCTTGGATCTGTGAGTTTACAGTTTTTATTACATTTAAACATTTTTGGCTATTATTTCTTCACGTTAGTTTTTCTATGCTGCTTCTCCTCTCAGGAACTCAAAATACACTTACATTAGACCACATGAAATTGTTCTACAGTTCAGTGATGTTCTATTCATCATTCTCAGTCTTTTTGTGTGTGTGTGTGTTGTTTTAGATAGTTTTTACTGCTAGGTCTTTAATTCACCAATCCTTCTGCAGTATGTAATCCACTTTTAATATTACCCAGTTTATTTTTTATCTCAGGCGTTGCCTCCCACTCCTCCCCCTGCCCTTCTAGAAGTTTAATATAGGTCTTTAAAAAATTATGTATCATTTCTTTCCTTAACATCCTGTATTAGCCCGTTTTGACGCCCTGAGACTGAGTAACTTACAAAAGAAAGAGGCTTAATTGGACTTACAGTTCACATGGCTGGGGAAGCCTCACAACTGTGGCAGAAGGCAAGGAGAAGCAAGTCACATCTTATGGTGGCAGGCAAAAAATGAGAAAGCTTATGCAGGGGAACGCCTTTTTTTTTTTTTTTTGAGACAGAGTCTTACTCTGTCACCCAGGCTGGAGTGCAGTGGCGCAATCTCGGCTCACTGCAAGCTCCGCCTCTTGGGTTCACGCCATTCTCCTGCCTCAGCCTCCCGAGTAGCTGGGACTACAGGTGCCTGCCACCACGCCTGGCCAATATTTTGTATTTTTAGTAGAGATGGGGTTTCACTGTGTTAGCCAGGCTGGTCTTGATCTCCTGACCTCATGATCCACCCACCTTGGCCTCCCAAAGTGCTGGGATTACAGGTGTGAGCCACTTCGCCTGGCGGGAATGCCTCTTTTTAAAACCATCAGATATTTTGAGACTTATTCACTATCATGGGAACAGCATGGGAAAGACTTGCCCCCATGATTCAGTTACCTCCCACCAGGTCCCTCCCACAACACAGGGGAATTCAAGATGGGATTTGTGTGGGGACACAGCCAATCCATATCATTCCACCCCTGGCCCCTCCCAAATCTCATGTCCTCACATTTCAAAACCAATCATGCCTTCCCACAGTCCCCCAAAGTCTTAACTCATTTCAACATTAACTCAAAAGTCCACAGTCCAAAGTCTCATCTGAGACAAGGCAAGTCCCTTCTGCCTATGAGCCTGTAAAATCAAAAGCAAGTTAGTTACTTCCTAGATACATTGGGTAAATACAGCCATTCCAAGTGGGAGAAATTGGCCAAAACAAAGGTGTTACAGGCCCCATGCAAGTCTGAAATCCAGCGGGGCAGTGAAATCTTAAACCTTCAAAATGATATCCTTTGACTCCATGTCTCACATCCAGGTCACACTGATGCAAGAGTTGGGCTCCCATGGCCTTGGGCAGCTCCACCCCTTTGGCTTTGCATGATATAGCCCCCCACTCCTGGCTACTTTCACAGGCTGGCATTGAGTGTCTGTGGCTTTTCCAGGTGCACGGTGCAAACTGTCAGTGGATCTACCATTCTGAGGTCTAGAGAACAGTGGCCCTCTTCTCACAGCGCCACTAGGTGGTGCCCCAGTAGGGAATCTGTGTGGGGGCTGCAACCCCACATTTCCCTTCCACACTGCCCTAGCAGAGGTTCTCCATGAGGGCCCCGCCCCACAGCAAACTTCTGCTTGGGTATCCAGGTGTTTCCATACATCTTCTGAAATCTAGGCTGAGGTTCTCAAACCTCAGTTCTTGACTTCTGTGCACTCGCAGGCTCAACACCATGTGGAAGCTGCCAAGGCTTGGGGATTGCACCCTCTGAAGGCATGGCCCGAGCTCTACGTTGGCCCTTTTCAGCCATGGCAGGAGGTCTGGGACAAAGGGTGCCAAGTCCCTAGGTTGCACATAGCACGGGGACCCTGGGCCTGGCCCACGAAACCATTTTTTCCTTCTAAACCTCTGGGCCTGTGATGGGGGGGCACTGACATGGAGACCTCTGACATGCCTTGGAGACATTTTCCCCATTGTCTAGGGGATTAACATTCAGCTCCTTGTTACTTATGCAATTTCTTCAGTGGGCTTGGATTTCTCCTGAGAAAATGAAATTTTCTTTTCTATTGCATTGTCAGTCTTAAAATTTTCCTAACTTTGATGCTCTGTTTCCCTTTTAAAATTGAATGCCTTTAATGGCACCCAAGTCATCTCTTGAATGCTTTGCTGCTTAGAAATTTCTTTCACCAGAAACCCTAAATCATCTCTCTCAAGTTCAAAGTTCCACAGATCTCTAGGGCAGGGGCAAAATGCTGCCAGTCTCTTTTCTAAAACATAACAAGAGCCACCTTTGCTCCAGTTCCCAACAAATTCCTTGTCTCCATCTGAGACCACCTTAGACTGGACCTTATTGTTCATATCACTATCAGCAATTCAGCAAGTCTCTAGGAAGTTCCCAAACTTTCCCACATTTTCCTGTCTTGTTCTGAGCCCTCAAAACTGTTCTAACCTCTGCCTATTACCCAGTCCCAAAGTAGCTTCCACATTTTTGGGTATCTTTTCAGCAATGCCCCACTCTATGATACCAGTTTACTGTTTTAGTCCGTTTTCATGCTGCTGATAAAGACATGCCCAAGACAACAATTAACTAAAAGACGTTTAATAGTTCTACATGGCTGGGGAAACCTCACAATCATGGTGGAAAGCAAGGAGGGGTAAGTCACATCTTATGTGATGGTGGCAGGCAAAAAATGAGAAAGCTTGTTCAGGGGAACGCCTCTTTTTAAAACCATCAGATCTCATGAGACTTATTCACTATCATGAGAACAGAATGGGAAAGACTTGCCCCCATGATTCAATTACCTCCTACCAGTTCCCTCCTGCAACACATGTGAATTCAACATGAGATTTGGGTGGGGACACAGCCAAACCATATCACATGCTTTTCCTAATTTTTTTTGAACAAGTGGAATATTGTTATAATAACTCTTTCTGGTGCTGTTGTCTACTAATTCTATCATCTGGGTCATTTCTTGGTTGCTTTCTATTGATTTGCTTTTCTCTACATTATGGGCCATATTTTCTTCTTTACGTGTCTGGTAATTTTTAACTGGATGGCAGACATTATTTTACCTTGCTAGGTCCTGGATATTTCCATATTCCTATAAATACTTTCAAACTTTGTTTTGGGACATACTTAAGTTATCCAGAGACAGTTTTGTCTTTTTGAGGCTTGCTTTTAAGTTTGTTTGATGGCACCACAAAGCCTTTAGCCTAGGACTAATTTTGCTCCATTACTGGCAGTCCCTTGTAGTGCCCTTCAGAGTATTCCACCCAGTGCCCTGTGTATTACAAGGTTTTGCCACTTTGGCTGAAGGGAACACTGGTTGAGTGAATTCCCAAAATTGTTCCACCTGCCCATTTTGAATGGTTCTTTTTTGGCCTCAGTTTCTTAACACATATACACTGAGAGGTACTCTGCTGAAAATTCTGTTTTTAGCTCTGTCCTCTTCAGTGCACTGCCCGGCAAACTTCAGCCGCCTTGTCTTTCCTAAAACCTTGATTCTCGCTCCTTAATTCAAGGAGAATGTTGGATCCCTGAATTAGACTGAGTTCTCTCTCCCTGTGCTATAGCCTAGAAACTCTCTCAGGCAGTCATAAGACTCACTTCATTTCCTTTTTCTCAGGAATCCTCATACTATGCTGATTTCCTGTTTAATGTCCAAAGTCTGAAAATTGCTGTTCTCTATTTTATCATTTTGTTTTGTTGTTTCAGGTAAGAGGGTAAATTCAGTCTCTTTTACTTCATCTTGGCTAGGGGTAGAAACTGGGTGAATCTTTGATTGTGTGTCCCCAAGTTGACTGAGGGGAAAGTAGTGAAGTTGGATCATTTGAATTATACTTAGTAATTAAAACTAATATTGTAAATTCAGGGAAAGAATCATGGTTTTATTATGTCTCTTGATTTCTTCATAATCTCTAGCATGGTATTGAGCACAGGCCTTAGCAAGTTGTTAACTGAAAGTTAGGCGAGACTTATCCATGATAGTCCCACCTTCCTCCTTCCTTATAGAAGTTTCAAGCGTATGTTAGTTAATTCTTTGAAGTGTTATCAATTTTATTCTGATTTTAAGAAACCAGGCCTTTTGTATCCCTTTAGATACAGCTGAGTCTAAGAGGAAGACTCTTTCAGACTGGCTGATGAACCATCTGGCTCCAGAAGAGGTTTTTGCTTTTCCTGTTAGTATGGTTCTTGAGCTAACTGGTCACATTCTTGCTGGGTGTGGCTGGATAAATAGTTCTGTTCAGAGGCTTCTTTCCTGTATTCCTTCCAGAATACCTTTATACCAAGCTAAGTAATGGGGAAGAGAATCAGAGGGATGGTAGTGCTAATAGTAGTTATATTCAATATGTTGCATGTATAGAAAATGCATATAGTTTGCCCTATGGTGAATATTATCATTATAGTCCTCAGATCTTCAACGTGGCATGGCACAATTCTTGCTAAAGGTAGTTAGGTTGTGCTGAACCTGTGAGTACTCTAAAGTGTCAAGGAGAAGTCTTTTAAATTGTAACTCTTGGCTTCTCCTGTGGGAAGGTAGTGATTTGAAAATGGTGAATTGATTTGCTGCTTATATAGCAACTTAAAACTGGATTTAGAGGGAAAGTAATGTCCACTTTCCTAAATTCCAGCACAAGTTAGGAATAATCCATTAGTATCACCTTATGTTTTTCCATTATTTATTTTTAAATTCGTGACATAGCTAGAAATAAGTGATTTGTACAGGTAAGCACTCAGAAATGACTATAAAGAGTGATCAGATGATGTCAGTTGGGAAAGGAGAGTTGTGTTGAAAACCCTTCGATTTTTGCTTGGTATGGTTAAGGATTTGAGGTTAAGTGGCTATGCAAGTGCAGACTAACTCTTGGCATATTTATTTCTAATTACAAACTACTTTTGAGTTGGGCTTAATGAATGTAATTTAGAGATGTTATTGGTTCATTGATAAGCTTCTGCTATGTAGTCCCTGTATGCTGTGAAGCAAAACACTATAGGAAATGGGCTAATCAAACTAGTTTTATTTTTTTCTGCTGCTTAAGTTGGTAGTCTGAGTCTCCATAGCTTGTCTTCAGACAATGAATTGTACATCAAATACTCTGTTACTATCATGCTTTCAAAATAATGCTTTATTACAGTATGTCTTTGTTAATAGTAACTTAAAAATTGAAATCTTTAGAAGAAACTAACTGCGCAGCATAAACATTCAAACTAAAATCTTGCTGCAAACCTGAATTTTTATAGTGTATTCAGTAGAGTTGTAAATTCTGCCCTATTTTTGTTCTAAGACTTTGATGATTAGGGCTATCTGCGTCTTTCAGTTTCTAAGGTGTGATGTAAAAGGACATTATCGTAAGTTTTCAGTGATAAAAAATATACTATTTTAAATATAGGCAGGAATATTAGAGCTTTGAGTGAAATTGAATTACTGGATTAAAATCAATAAAATCCTTCTTCAACCTTGCATTTGATTAACTTGTTCAAATTTTGTCCATGACAAACTGAAACTGGCTCAGGAGTGAGGTTTGACACTAAGATTCTTGAACTATATTTAGATTTGATCTGTATTTAAGATTCTTGATTTATATTCTGTATTTGGGTGTTAAGAAAGTGCCTCCAATTGCCAGTATTTTTATTTCAACACAGTCTTATTGCTTTTCAACACACCCACCTCTTATTAACTGTTGGATGTTCCCAGAATGTTATACACCTCTGGCAGAAAAACTCAGTTGTTTCCTCTATAGAAAGGCTGATTAGAAAGACTGGCTTAACATGATTTTAATGTATTTTAATAGATAGTTTCTGCATTTTTAAAAATAAAATAGAAGAAAACATTCATCATTGTCTTCTAGGACATAAATTTCTTATTTTCCTTCCTACTTTGAAGGTTAAAACAAAAAAGCAAACAAAGTTGTGTGATGATATTTTAGTGTCTTGAAATGGATTTCTCAGCCATTAAAATAAGGGATATGTATGACTTTTGCACCTCACCTGGGATTTGTCAGTGATACTCTCTGACTTGATATGTACCTTTTCAGGTTTGTCTTATAGATAAGATGCCATCGTGTGCCCTTTTTCTTTTACCCTAGGTTGGAACTTTGTGTTTAATTAGTAAGCCATCATGACCTCTGAACCTTCATTTAGACAATAACTAACAGTTATGGAGTACTTACTGTGTGTTTATAAGTGTTTTATGTGTATAGTTTCATTTAATGTAAATGATACTTGTTTTTGCTTTCTTCAGAGAATTGCTGTGAAGTTAAATGATGTTCAAATGAGATAATGAATGTTTGTACAAACACTGTAGTTATAAATTGTTATTAATAATGACAATAATATCTAACTACTTTCTCTTTGCCATTGTTGTCTTTAAGGTTTAATATAGTCTACAGCCTACATTTTTTGGTGCTGTAGTTTTTCCCAGTGCCTCATCTCATAGGATGACACTTGTCTGATAAGTCCTCAGATAAATCACATGATGTTACATGAGTTATAGATTTGACATTCAGATTAGCTTTTTATTCTTTCCTTCCCTAGGAAGAAGTAATAATCACTGGCAATTCATATTGTTATTTGCCTCCTTAAAGTAGAAATCTATTTGTTTTCATATAAATTCTAGAAAAGCTATGGCTTTTTGATGTTACTGGACTCTCTTCACTCTTTCCTATTAATACCTGTGAAATTGACAATTTAAAGATAGATTTATAAAATGCAAATTAAATTTAAATTGTGATGGAGTTTTTGCATGTGTATATGTATGTGTTTATGTGCGTATACATATATAAAATAACTCTTTGGCCTCTAAATTTTTAAAGGATTAATGATAGTCAAATTAATGAAAGAAGAAAGAACCTAAGCCTATTTCTCCATTTTAGAAAAAGTTTTGTGTGATAGTTGCTTTATTATATTGTCAGTTTTCCCATGGTGATTCATTGTCATATCTCAAATAGAGGAATATGTTCTGTATCCTTTATTTAAATTAGGAAAGTTCAGTTTTTCTTACCTTTTTCACTCAAATACAGAACAGTATAGGCTGTACATTAATATTTATTGCCAAGATTTTGAGGATGACTTTAGAAAAGACAAAATTCTTGAATCTTACACAGCTTCAAACACTATTAACTCAGGTAAATAGTTACTTGCCATTCTACAATCAGAAATTTTGGTAGACTGAAATGGTGGACTATGAGAGGTAAACTGTGTTGTGATCACCTCTTTTATCATATATATTGCTGCTACTTTTTTTCAGGAATTATAGCATTATTCTTAAGTACAGGTCAGCCTTACTGTTGAATTTAACATGTAGCTGTTGTGTACAATTTGAAGAGTAGAGCAGTGATTTCATTTGCGTATTATAATGTTTTATGTTTATGGATATCTTTAAAATTTTTCCTAATTAGCAGTGAAAACATTTTGAAAGAAATGCTGGATTTGTTGGAAGCTCAGCTTGCATTTTAGCTATACCTTTAAAACTTTAAAAAATTCATTTCTTAATGACTTTACCAATCTAGAATTGAGAAAGACAGAATGGAGAAACAACATGAACCTTTTACATTTCACCTAACCTTCCTCTATCCCCACATGAAGCGTAATACCCCATAGGTGGAAACTGTCTTAAATTTTATTTTGTTTCCAAAAACTTAAGCATACGTTAGTCTGGGCTTTTGGGAGTTATCTTGTAGAATAAGATTATTAAAGGACCTTACCATTTTCTAAGTAGATTTTATCCTAAATTTATAATTGCATTGGAAAAGTGGGCTTTTTAAAAAAATTTAACCAATGTCATATGACACCATCCTCCCCTATTCCTCCCACCCTGAGTTACCAGTTTAATTTGAAAACTTTGAATTTCCCACATATCCAAGTATGCAAGATTTTGCATTGTCCTCACATAAATGAACAAATCTTCAAAGCACGAAAAGTTGAGTATTTGTTTTATGTGCTCTTCATCTAGGTGCTTGTAGTAATGTTGGCACTTACAGGAGAAATTAAGAGATGAGGCAGAGAGGTGAAGAAAGGAGTCTTTAAAATAAGTGATTAAATTTTGGGCATTTATAGTATGTTGTGTGAGTACTTTTTGAAAATGACTAGTTAGTGGGGGAAAGTAACATTTCTACCTTTAAAAAGAATGTTCTTTGAAATGAGAAGTAGTTTTAAAAGTTACTTAAATAAGAATGGTAGGTTATTTTAGTTACAATCTCACAAAAATGATGTTGTAGTATGTGACGTGAAATATAGTAGGTTTTGAGAGTTTTGACTATGTACATGACGTTGAATGTAGTCAAAAGTTGGCAATGTAATTTTTAAATTGAATTGTATTATACATTATTTCACATTTATTATTCAGTTTAATTCTACCTTGTCCTGAAAAAGAGTTGAAGAGATACACAGATGTGTTTGTGTAATGCGGAATGGGTAAAAAGGCAAATGAGGTAGGAAAATAAGTCAAAGTAAAGTATTTGTATGGATATTAAATAACTTATTTTAATTTTGTAGCCCATTTTTTTTGTTTTGTTTTTGTGGGTAGTGAGGTATTAAAGTACCAAAAAGATCTCTATATGTAACCCTTACTTCAGATTCTGAGGTAATTTGGAGTGATAGCATTTTTGCAGCCTTTTATTTAAGGAGCCAGGAAAGCAGATTTCATACTTGCATTTTGGTCACAGAATAAAAGTGAAAGTTTTATTAAATAATAACAAGGATAGTTTGGGAAGATGAGGCATCTAGTGATAAGAATTGAGTTAGGATTTTGTGCCGTACATGATTTATGATAAAGCTTTTCTTACTATGATACTAAAGGCTTTGATTGTAAGTTCAAGTAGTTTTCAATGCAGAATCCATCAGTGTGGAACCTTATATAATGATTGTTGAGCACATTTTGACATAATTTAACATCATGTTATTGCTTATTTAGAAAAAAATGCTTAATACCAGTAATCTTTTTATTTCTTCTATCAAGTATATTTTGTTTCTGAGAGGATTAAAAATAACACGGTGCATTGAAGTGATATTTCTTGGTGGTTTTTAATTTAAGAAAATCTGATAAAGTAGTTTATAACTTTTCTTTCTTCTTTTTGTAGAGACAAGGTCTTGCTTTCTTGCCTAAGCTGGTCTTGAACTCCTGCCCTTTAATGATCCTCCCATCTTAGCCTCCCAAAGTGTTGGGATTACAAGCATGAGCCACTGTGCACAGCTAGATAGCTAAGAGAAATATGGATTAAGTTGAGTATTATAAGTTATGGTTTTCAAATATGATTTAAAATAAATATTGTTAGACTAACATTAAGGGCTAAAGTGAAATTACCAAAGCACGTATTAAAGACAAATTTGGGGCGATATCACATGTTCTCACATATGTGAGAGCTAAAAAAATTTGATCACATGAGAGTAGAGAGTAAAAAGATAAGAGACTGGGAAAGGTGAGTGTTGGGGAGAATGAAGAGAAGTGGGTTAAAGGGTACAAACATGCAGACAGACGGAATAAATTTAATGTTATAATTCTCCTGGTTGTTCATGATATACCATGTACCATTTCATATAATTCATGTAATATACCCTCTTATTTTATAGGCAAAGCAACAGCAGCCTAAGTCTTGCTGGGGGATAAAAATATTTCTGAATAAATAAAGTGATACATAAATCATATAACTTTGATTTTAGGCTAGGGTCATGATCAAATACATTGATTTGTTATTTGTAAAATTAAAATTACTGATTTAATAAATAGTGGTACCTGTCTTTTTCTCTGTCTGTATTAGAACAGCATTAGTAATAGGAAGCAAGCAGGATAGTCACTAAAAGCACATGCAGTGTCAGAAATAAGAAGTGGGATCTCTTTTCAAGGGGAGGAGACAGAAGAAGGCAGGAGAAGTACAGCAATCCAGGTTAGGTTATTGTGGTAAACCTGTCTTTCTCAGAAGCTTCTGAGCACAATTCTGAAGAAGGTAACATAATTATAATGTGCTCGTAAAATAATGGGGCAAAAAAATATTCTTCAAAGTAGTTACCTTGAGGAAGTTATACATTAGAAAATATAATTGCTAAAATATTTTGAAATTCTTTATGAAATTGGTTTCAGAACCTTTTAAAACTGCAAGATCATTTTTGTAGCCATAGATTAAAATTATAATTAAAATTTTTAAATTGTAAAAGTAATTATAGAATATTTAGAGAACATGAAAAGTAACGCTTTTTTCACATACTAATAAAACCATTGTTCTTTGCAAAGTTTTTTCATATGGATTCTTTAGATAAAACTTATTTTAATCTACTCAGGTGTAGATTTTTTGGTGTTTATCCCTCTTGAGTTCTTTGAGCTTCATGGATCTGTAGTTTGGTGTCTGTCAGTTTTGGAGAATTAACCACCATTATTCACATATTTCTTCTGTTTCTTTTCTCCTGATATTCTCATTATCCATAGTTACACCTTTTGTAATTGTCCAACAGTTCTTAAATATTCTGTTACTTTTTAAAAAAATTCTTTTTGCCTTTCAGTTTGGGAAGTTTCTATCAACGTATCTTCAAGTTCACTGATTGTTTTCTCTGCTGTGTCTAGTCTGCTGTTGAATCCGTCAAAGCATTCTTCATTTCTGTTACTGATTTTTGTTATTTCCATTTCAGTTTGTCTTAGAGTTTCCATGTCTCTGCCTACAGTGGGCATCAGTTTTTGAATGTCGTGTAGTTTTTTCCATTAAAGCCCTTAGCACATTAATTATAGTTACTAAATTCTCACAGTGATGATTCCAAAATCTCTGCCATATATGAGTCTGGTTTTGATGCCCGCGTTGTCTTTTCAGACTCTGTTTTTTGCCTTTAGCATGCCTTGTAATTTTTTTTTTTTTTTTTGATAAGCTGGATGTGACATAAGGGGTAAAAAGAACTGAGATAAACAGGCCTTTAGTGTGGCCTAGAGGCCTATCTGGCTAGGAGTTAGGCTGTGTTTACTGTTTGATGTAGCTTTGGTGTCAGAGATTAAAATTTCCTCTCGTGTAACTGCTTTTGTCTCCTTTGTTGTCTTTGGGTTTCCCTAATAACTCCTTCATAAGTAGGTTCCGAGGCTTGTAGTTATTTAAGCTGTAAGTCCCTGTTATTACACAGGAGCCCTATTGATGTGGTGTGTGTGTGTGTAAAAGTGTTCTATAATCTTATGATTAGCTCTTAGTGAGCCTGTGTCTTTGGACTGTGACCTTCATGAGTGCTTTTTAGCTCCTGCAACCTTTACCTCCCAATACTTAAGTGAGAAAGTAGGAAGGCTGGGAGGCGGCTGGAGTTTTGTATTTCTCTTCCCACAAGTTGGTTAGTTGGTGGATAACAAACTGGAATGTGAAACCTCGGATGAGGGGAGGCTACTGTAGTTTCTTTTGAGGACAGGTCTTTGTTATTGAGAACAGAGATCGCTGGGCAATTTCAGAATGGTTATTTTTTCTCTCCTATTGGAAGCTAGAGGGAATTTTTCTTTGATCTTCACTTGTGAATCTCTGATGGGGCACCTGGAGGTAAAACTCAGGAAAGTTTCCTCTGTCTCTCCCCCAGCCAGACTGCCCATCCCCTGAGCTTTTAATTCTCAAGCTAGTCCACGTTGAACCTCCAGCAATTTACATTACAGTGTTCCTATGGATACTGGCTCCAGCTGTTTGTTTCTCTTGCTGGGGTTTGTGATACCCGTAGCTGTGGTTTTCTGTAGTCACATCTCTCTCCAGTTTTGGGAGCAGCAGTTTGCCCTGAACCTCAATTCTCTATTGGGTCTAAGAAGAGTTAACTGATTTTCGGCCGGGCACGGTGGCTCACGCCAGTAATCCCAGCACTTTGGGAGGCCGAGGTGGGCGGATCACCAGGTCAGGAGATCCAGAATATCCTGGCTAACATGGTGAAACACTGTCTCTACTAAAAATACAAAAAAATTAGCTGGGCGTGGTGGCGGGCACCTGTATTCCCAGCTACTTGGGAGACAGAGCCAGGAGAATGGCGTGAACCTGGGAGGCGGAGCTTGCAGTGAGCCGAGATCCTGCCACTGCATTCCTGCCTGGGCGACAAAGCCAGACTCCATCCCAAAAAAAAAAAAAAAAAAAAAAAAAGAGTTACTGATTTTCAGTTTGTTCGGCTTTCTGGTTGTGAGGATGGGAGTGATGACTTCCAAGCTCTGTCCACATCAGACCAGAAATCCTTAATGATATTTCCTTTTCTGTACCTTTTTGACTGTTTCGTTCTTTAGTCTATCTGGAATTTAGCTGTGTAGGGATGCAGGGAATAGGATATGTGTCTAGACCTTCTGATTATGCTACTTTGTCTAATAGTTCTTGTGTTAGGATTATACTATTTTAAATTTTTATAGCATTAAATTCTTTAGTATCTGGTAGGGCTAATCTTGCTTTACTTTCCTATTTATTGTTGCATATGAACCTCAGAATTGTTAAGTCATTAAAAAAAAGAAGTAGAATTATAAATAGAACTGCTTAAAATTAGTAATATAATTAGAATGATAGTGTTATGATGTTTGGACTTCTCTGGAAATTTATTTCTCTTTGTTGACTCAGATCTTCTTTTATGTTTTGGAGGTTTTGTAATTTTCTTTTTCTCCTTTTTTTTTTTTTTTTTTTTTTTTTGAGATAGAGGCTTGCTCTGTTGCCCAGGCTAGTGTGCAGTGGCACAATCTCGGCTCACTGCAACCACTGTCTCCAGGGTGTAAGTGATTCTCGTGTCTCAGCCTCTTGAGTAGCTGAGATTCCAGGCGTGCACCACCACTCCCAGCTTATTTTTTATATGTTTAGTAGAGATGGGGTTTTGCCGTGTTGACCAGGCTAGTCTCAAACTCCTGGCCTCAAGTGATCTGCGCACCTCGGCCTCCTAAAGTGCTGGAATTACAGGCGTGAGCCACCACACATGGCCTCATAATTTTCTTTGTCTCATTTACAGAAGTTTCTTGTGAGGTGTATTTTCTGCATTTTTAAAGCCTTTTTATTTTGAAATAATCTTTAATTCACATGAAAGTTGCGCAGATAGTACAGAATTCATGTGTATCCTTCACCCAGTTTTCCCCATCATGACAGCTTATGAAACCGTAATACAATTATCAAACACAGGAAATCGATGGTGGTATGATACTATTAATTAAACTATAGACCTTATTTAGATTTTACCAGTTTTTACCTGTACTTTTTTTGTCATATGTATAGTTTTGCTATTATTATTGCAATGGCTTTCTACTACATTTCTCTCTGTCTCTTTGCCTCCTTCCCTGCCTTCTGAAGAGTAAAAATGGTGTTAATTTTCAGAAGCTGCTTTGCTAATAGATTTTAAATTCTGAGTTTTTAGTTGCTTTCATTGAATGTTTTTTAAATTTTTAAATTATTTTTAAATTTTTTCTCTTCTTTTCAAAGGTACTGATCATTGAATTTTTAGGGATGTAATTTTCTCATTTGCTAAAAATGTTATTTTTGTTTCTATAACATGTCATTGCATTGGCTAGGCTAGATTTCCAAATTATACTTTTTGTGCCTAATTTTTGTATAATAGTCCTCGAGTTTCCCTTTAAGAGAAAAATTAGCTACTGTGTACATTATTAGTTGATTTCTCTAATATCTGACATTAAAATTAATCATTGATATGCAATGAATGCTTTACCAAGTTTCAGGAGTTATAATCATTTCAAATAAATCATGTAATTTAACCCTTACAACCTCCTAAGATAGGTGTCAATATTATTCCTGTTTACAGGTGAGTAAATTCAGTTGGGTTAAATGATTTATTTGTTCAAGGTCACATAGTTTAGGTAAGAAGCTCAAACCTGAGTTTTAGGTTTCTTACTCATTTTGCATTTAACCGTTCTTTTATATTCTCTTCTATTGCAATAGAAAAGATCAATTGTAAACTATTCAGATGAATTTCATTCTACAGCATACGTTTATTCCATGGAACTGGCATTCCAGAATGGAGTGAATTAGGGCATGGTGGCTCAGGCCTGTAATCCCAGCACTTTGGGAGGCTGAGGTGGGCGGATCACGTGAGGTCAGGAGCTTGAGACCAGCCTGGCCAACATGGTGAAACCCCGTCTCTACTAAAAAAAAAAAAAAAAAAAAAATTAGCCGGGCATGGTGTTGCATGCCTGTAGTCCCAGCTACTTGGTAGGCTGAGGCAGGACAATCGCTTGAACCCGGGAGGTGGAGGTTGCAGTAAGCTGAGATCACGCTACTGCACTCCAGCCTGGGCAACAGAGCAAGACTCTGTCTCCAAAAAAAAACAAAAAGAATGGAGTGAATTAATTTCATAAAGAAAATTCAGGTTAAACACTATTTGCAAACTGATATTCCCGAATTTAAATAGACTTATCAAAATTGTATGTTTATATTTTAAAGGATCAAAATACTGAGCCTGCACCTTCCTCCCTCCTTCCTTCCAGAGGTATTAATTAAGTATAGCCCCTATTGAGAACCTAAATATGTCAAAATTTACCTAGGTGGATATGGAATTAAGTGTGGGAATACAAGGAAATTAATATTTTATATTTAAATATGAAGGACAATGTATAGTTAGCTTTTTGAAGAACATCAAATATTAACTTTTCTATCATGCAAGTTGTATGCATTCTTTCTTATTTGTGATAACTTTAAGATGATGTCAAAGTTTCACTGTGACTTAAGAGTGAGTAAATTATAAAACAGTAGAATCATTTATTTGAAAGAGGCCTTGGTTTTACTCAGCTTCCTTCCCATTGTGGGAATGCCTTCCTCTCCTACATTTTTTCAGCATCTTATTTGGGAGAAAAGGTTTAATTTTTTATTCCTAGCTGCAGTCTTTAACAGTTTTCTTAAAATATTTATTCTTTTCAGATTGCCTTTCCTTCTACCTTATATATATATAAAATCCCTTTCTAATCTGAGCTAATCAGTCTTTTTTTTTCTTTTTTTTCTGGTAGCTATATTGATTTCTTTAGGTACCTTTATCTTCTGCATTGGCATTCGTTGGTACCTTCTCTTCCACCTGTCCTACTCTTATTTCAGTAATTTAGATGAGGTAAAATTTGTAAAAATCACACTTGCGCTTACAGATCTTAACTATATAATAAAACTTTAAAAATGCATTATATTTTTGTCATTGCCCTTTATTACATGTGTACTCAGACAATAATCATTGTCTGATATTTAACTAGAGCATGTGTTTAGCATGAATACCTAGCACTGTTCTATTACTGTAACATTCATATTCTGAAATCCTCTGGAAGGAAACAGTAAGATTATATGTTGATTTCTTCTTATTTAAGGAAAGATTCATTGGTTGAACATGGTTTTATGTTTTGTGTTTGGAGATGGACTGTATTTAGAGACATCTCTTTTTCCCCCAGAAGTTCTGTTTTAAATTAATGAGAAATTGGGTGAACTTATTTTCTTGCTGAGGTACACAGCTTGAAGTTTTGGAAGTAAAGTATACATAGTCTTTTCTATATGGGAATGGTGGAATTTTCTAGACTTGATTAAAGTACTGTTGTTTAATTTTTTAATGAGAACCTTCTTTCCCAATACTTACAATGTCAGTACTTTCAATTAAGTTGCTGTGAATAATTCCTCCTGCCCATTTTTTCTTCAGCTTTTTAATTTTTCCAAGTTGAGTTTTGAATTTTTGATCTCTTTTGACAGCCTTTTTTTCTTTTTGGCTAGGACTCTCTACATAACTTTTTTGATAGTTATGGAAAACAGTGGGATAGATGTTCAGATGTTATAACTTCTCTTTTTTGGCTGGGATGGGGTGGATGAGTAAAAAGAAAAAATCAATAAGTCAGTGAATGTTGGCAGGTGTTCAGAGATTTTTTCTGTGTGTCATTCACCGTGGCACAGTTAAGTAACTGCTTATGATTAAGTTTTTCACAGTCTCAGAAAATAAGGAGTTTCAAATAATAATGTGGGTAACTGATTAGTATCCAACTAGTAGTGGTGTTGGATGGATTAATTGATTCTTAGAGAGTCTAGGAAATGTCAGAACAGTATACATTCAAACTGCTATTACGACAAAGTAAAAGTTACCTTGAAAAATAAGTAATTCAACTGGTAGAAGAAACTTTAAGGGACAGACTAGATTTGGTTTTCTATATGGTCTTTCATTCTGAATACTAATTAGTACTTGAACATATATAAAGCTCAAGTGTTGTTTTTTTTAGAAATACAGTTGTGAAGTGGTTATGCAAATAAATTCAATTTAAATTTCTTGTCATGTAAAATGTGTAGAAGGACTTACTGAGGTTACTTTCAGTCTTGTTTTTTTCTCAGATAGCGATGAACCATTTTCATCATTATTGTTTGGACTTTTATTATATTTAAGGACAGGAGTTAAATATAAGTCCTGAAGAAAAACAAATGTTTCATATCACACTTACTTTAGAGTAAAGCTTAGTTGTAGCTGTGTACAATAATCAGTTGTAAAAAGGTGTTTCCATTCTTCCATTGTCCTTTTGGCTTATTTCTCTTGTCTTATTCAATTTGCTGTGGATTTGTTTTTGTAGTGGGAAAATTAATTTGAGCTGAAGTGTGTCAGGATTACTTAGCAAAAAATTACTGTTTGTTGTCCCACAAAAAAAGTAGATACTACTTAACCTTTTTTACTCCATGTCATGGATGTACTTATGTTTTCACCTTGTGGAATACTGAATCAAGTTTACACTCTTAGGATCTTAGAATAGTGGTTTTCGCTCTTGGCTACATGTAGGAATCATGTTGGAAGATTTAAAAAATGCTGGTGCATGTGTCCCACCCTTGGAAGATTGATTGATTGCCTTAGGGTGTGGCCTGCGCCTCAGTTCCTATGTGCACTAAGGTTAAGAGCCTCTAGAGACTCATGCACAATAACACGTGTTAAAATTGGCTCCTAAAAATTGTCATATAGTCATAAGATTAATATATCATGAATGTGTAAAATGATATTCTTGAGTTTGCCATGGTCTTCTAAAATGAGCAGTGTTAATAATACTACACATATTTTGAGAGGAGTTTACCACATTTGGCCAAAAGACCAAAAAGCTCAGCAATTAACTGCCTAAAGTAACAAAGCAGGTAGAGAAATAATGTTTTCTTAGTTAGCCTAATAATGTATCTTTCAAGGGGATGGATAAGATTCCAGTTAAACTATTTACTGTTAGCAATATTTTTTTGTAAGCTATTTTTGTAAATCCACAGTGTGCCTTCTAGGTTTTTTTTCTCTTACTCTCAAAACTGAAATAGGCTTGGTACAGTGGCTCATGCCTATAATGCCAGCATTTTGGGAGGCCAAGGTGGGAGGACTGTGTGAGGTCAGGAGTTCAAAAGTTCAAGACCAGCCTGGACAACAAAGTGAGATTCCCCGTCTCTACAAAAAATTAAAAAATTAGCCAGGCATGGTGGTGTGTGCCTATAGACCCAGTTACTCAGGAGACTGAGGTGAGAAGATAATTTGAGTCCAGGAGGTAAAGTCTGCAGTGAGCTATGGTCTCGCCACTGCATTCCAGCCTGGGCAACAGAGCAAGTCCCTATTAAAAAAGAAAAACAGAAACCTGAAACAGATGATCAAAGTTGCATGTATAAACGTTATTAAAAAAGATTCATCATTTGAATATTTAGTTACTATTTACTAAAGCTGCATGTTTAAGAGTTTCTTTAGGTGACTTCACATATATTATTGTCATATTCATTAGGCTATGGTAGGAAGTCCAGTTAGATTTAAACTGATACTTGTTCTACTCAGAATAATTTATGTCACCTGAAGAGAGGCTGATGGCTATATTCTTATTTCAGCATATTTGGATATGGGAAAATTAATTAAACTAAAATTCTCATATGACTTTGGAAATGACTATTGAAAACACACTGGCGACTGGGCACAGTGGCTTACACCTGTAATCCTAGCTAGCCCTTTGGGAGGCTGGGGCAGTAGGATTGCTTAGGCAAGGAGTTCAAGACCAGCCTGGGCAACATAGCAAGACCCCATCTCTACAAAATATACAAAAATTTACCATGTGTGGTGGCATGTGCTTGTGGTCCCAGCTACTTGAGGGGCTGAGGTGTCAGGATCACTTGAGCCTGGGAGGTGCAGTCGGGTGAGATGGTGCCACTGCACTCCAGCATGGGTGACAGAACAAGACCCTGTCTCAAAAAAAGAAAAAACACATTGGGAAGTAGAAAAGCTACTCATGAGCCATCTAAGTGACATGTAGTCCAAACATCTGTAATATGCTGTAGAACTGGAACAAAATGATATTAAGGATAATTTTAGAAGCATCTTCGTGAATAGTTACTGATGTAGGCCAGTTCTTGGCAAAATTATGTCATTGGTTTGTATTTGGTCCTTGCCTGTTTTCTGGAGACCCTCCTACTCTGTCCCTAGTGCTGTGACACTTTCCCTTTCATTCTTCTCTGAAGTATCTGGATTTGTCTTCCTATAAATTATATAATATTCCTCATTTTTTCTCCTCCTTTGACCAAAATCTTTTCTTAGCCATGGAGTTTTTATTCTTGGGGAGGGGCTGCCAGGTTGAGAGACAAAGCAATTATACCATTTTCTCCCCAATTATTTACTTAACCATAAATCTGTGTACCTACTACTTGGCTTTATTAAATATTAATGTACATCTACATTTATAAAAAAAAAATTACAGCCGGGCACCGTGGCTCACACCTGTAATCCCAGCACTTTGGGAGGCTGAGGCGGGTGGATCAGTTGAGGTCAGGAGTTGAAGACCAGCCTGGCCAACATGGTGAAACCCTGTCTCTACTGAAAATACAAAAAAATTAGCCGGGCATTGTGGCGGGTGTCTGTAATCCCAGCTACTCAGGAGGCTAAGGCAGGAGAGTGGGCTTGAACCCGGGAGACGGAGGTTGCAGTGAGCCGAGATTGCACCACTGCACTCCAGCCTGGGCAACAGAGCAAGAATCCATCTCAAAAAAACAAAACAAAAAAACTACAGCTATATCAAAGCCCCTGGTACCTGCTACTGAACCTGTTTTCCTCTGTTCTGCTCACAGGTAACTGCCAAGTAGAGTTTATCTTTTTCAGAAACATTTTCAGAAACCAAGTCAATCTTTTAAGTAATAAATCAAAATGAGTGAAATTTAGGAGGGAAATGTTTATGAGCAGAAGCTTAATACTGTACTTAGAGGTTATAAATAGTTGATAAAACCAGTTCTGCATCTGGATTGTTTTCATCCTTCTGTGTTTGACTATTCAGAGCTAATTGTTTAAAGACTTTCCTAATAAAAATTTGAAAATGCTTGCAAACCTAGGCTATAAGGAGACACAAAGGATTAATTCTACTTTGTTAAAATCTACTAATGTGTGTTGAAATGTGATTATGGCTTGTCGACAAGGAACCATTGGATGAACAGAATTCAGTGTTTATAGAACTAGATTGTTGGCAGGCACACTTAACTACTGCCAGCATCACTCAAACCAGCCAACTCTTTCATCTTTAGTAAATACTTTGTCAAATAAGTTATCAGTCTCTTTAAAATTTAGATAATGAATAGAATTCATTTAGATGTTAGTTAACAGTGCAGTTAAAATAGGCTATCTTAGATTATCTTTGTTCTTCTGTTCTATTTGGTTTAGATTAAAAGTGCTAAAGGAATGCTGAAGAGGGTGGAACAACAGCATAAACATTTTTGAGAGGGTGGAATAGAGAACATAAACATTTTTGGAGTTCTAAATCTAAATAAAATTATTTCAGAAATAATGAAAATATTTTGTATTATTTCTGAGGAAAATCAGCTTTTTGGGGGGTACTTTTTCTGCAGCACTGTTTAGCTATTTTTGGCAAATGAAAAAGGTATTGGGGTAGAGACAGAGATTTCCTATTTGAAGTTGAGGCAATGAATAACTCCTTTCCCCTACTCCAATCTCCTTAAGAAGAAATAAGCTTTTCTTCATTGATAAGGTAAAGTTAGTTTTATACTGTTTATTTAAAACACCACCACCACCAGCATCTCAACTCTTCCCCCAAATTAGCTTTGTGTCTGAACTCTACTTTAGTCAATGATTCCTTTATATTTTTATATCTCTTAGGCTTGAAAACTAGGAGTCATCCTTGATTTTTTTTCCCCCCTTATCTACAATCATCAGACTTTCTGGCTCTGTCTCCTTGGGGCTTGCTTTAAGCTTTACCCTTCATAACAAACATGATATGTTAGTAGTTTCTTTCAGCTTTAAAATATTATGACCTTTAAGATCTAAAATTAAATGTTGAAATGTAAAATTTAAAGGCTTATTGAAAGAATGTTAATAACTTTTAAAAAAAGTATTGGTTTAAGATTAGATTCTCCTAACTAAAAGGATCCTAAAAATTAAGAGTAAGATATTTAGAACTTTGTACTAAGTGTAAAGTCTTAGTATTACAAATAAATCATTGGGTATTTATTATTATTTAAATGTCTGATACTGAGCTTTGCATCTTATTATGGAGAAAAACTTTGGATTCCAATTGAAACGAGAAGAAATTATTGTTATATCTTAACCAGCGTCTAGGCAACTTGGACCCTTCAGATACTGACACTGAGAGAACTTAATCCCAAAATAAATAAAAATTTTGAATTAACATTCTTTTTAGTCCGGGTGCAGTGCCCCACGCCTTTAATCCCAGCACTTTGGAGGCTGAGGTTGAGGCTGGTGGATCACTTGAGCCTAGAAGTTTGAGACCAGCCTGGGCAACATGGCAAAACGTTGTCTCTACAAAAAGTACAAAAATTAGCCAGGTATGGTGGCAGGCACCTGTGGTTCCAGCTATTTGTGAAGCTGAAGTGGGAGGATCTGAGCCCTGGGAGATTGAGAGTACAGTGAGCACTGATTACACCACTGCACTCCAGCCTAGGCAGAACTAGACCCTATCTCAGAAAAAAAAAAGAAAAAAAAAATTCTGGCCAGGCAGGGTAGCTCACACCTGTAATCCCAGCACTTTGGGTGGCTGAGGCAGGTGGATTACCTGAGATCAGGAGTTTGAGACCAGCCTGGCCAACATGGTGAAACCCCATCTCTACTAAAAATGCAAAAATTAGCTGGGCATGGTGGCGGGTGCCTGTAATCTCAGCTACTTGGGAGGCTGAGGCAGGAGAATCGCTTGAACCCAGGAGGTGGAGGTTTGCAGTGAGCCAAGACTGCGCCATTGCACTCTCCCTGGGTAACGAGTGAAACTCTGTCTCAAAAAAAAAAAATTCTTTTAGAAGTCACCTTGAAACATTTAATGTTGTTTATTTCCTTCATGGTGGGTAGGGGGTGATAAATTGCAAAAAGAGATAATGTATAGGTTGGTCTTATGCAAATACCCTAAAATTAAGAAAAAAATTATTCGATAGTGGAAGTTGTCCAGGAGAATTAATAGGAAGCATAAACAGTTTTGAAGACAGGGAACTTCTGAGGGTATAACTTTTGAGGTAGAGTGGGTGATAAATTTGAGTAGATAACTTAGAAAATGTTAAATGCCAGAATGACATAAACGTTTTTTGGCCTAGTGATTTTTAAAAATTGACATGTTTTTCTTTTTTATTTTTTTGAGACAGTCTCATACTGTTGCCCAGGCTGGAGTGCAGTGGCGTGATCTTGACTTACTGCAACCTCCCCCTTCTGGGTTCTAGGAGTTCTCATACCTCAGCCTCCCGAGTAGCTGGAATTATAGGTGTGCACCACCATGCCCGGCTCATTTTTGTATTTTTAGTAGAGATGGGGTTTCACCATGTTGACCAGGCTGGTCTCGAACTCCTGACCTCAAGTGATCCACCACCTTGGTCTCCCATAGTGCTGGGATTACAGGCGTGAGCCACTGTGCCCTGCCAAAATTGACATGCTTTTCTGAATGGTGTCTTGCTATTTAGGAAATTTTATTTTTAATGGTAAAAGCATATTTGCTTGAAGAAAATGCTGTGGTGTGCCTTTTTCTCTACTAAACTATCCCCGTTCCTAAATCTGCATAGAACCATGAAAAATATTATTTTTAACTTCCTAGGCCTTTTTGCTTATGTTCATTAAGTCAACTCAAATTGTCATGAAGCAACTCCTGGGTATACTAGATACTCCGCTGTTTTTACCCCACTTCCATTGTACGTTTAGCTTCAAACATAAGATTCATTCCTTTGGCCTATTTCTAATTTGCAACCTGCTGTATTCTACTTTCTATGAAACTAGTGTGTATTATCTCTTATATCCCTCTAAATTTTCTTGACGGTTAATAGTATGTTTCCCTTTGATCACCACCAGCAAGCTTCGGGGGTCAGACTGACTCTGAAAGTAGCAGATATTTGAAGTTCTCTTGAAGGAACATGGGATTTTATTAAGGATTTTAAGAATGGATAGGAATTTGATGAGGAAAATTCATGCAGAGAGGATGGCATGATCTAAGGTGTGAAAATGGAGTGCTCAACATAAGAGATGTGATATGGTAGAAATATAGAATATTATTGGGATATAGTAGGGGATATCATTGGGAAGATGGAGAAAAGATCATCGAAATGAGTTTCTGGTCGTTTAGTAATGTCTGTCATTTATTGAATGCTTACTGCATATCCAACTGTGTTAGGCTCTTTATGAAAAATCTAATTTAATTATGACAACAGTTTTGTGTGGCAGATATTATTCTCTGAAGAAATTGGGATTTAGACAGACTAAATAGGTTATAAGACTCATGGAGCTAATAAATTAGATTTGATTCCGCATCTCTTTTAAAATATGCTGCCATCATAAGCCTCTTTAATTAATCTGCTTTGCAGTGATCTCTAGATTCTATTCAAGAAGAAATTTGCGACAATCTTGAACTTGTACTTATAGACTAGGTGATTACTTTAACAGGGAAGAACCATGATTATGAATATGCCAGGCATCGGAAGAACTTCAAATATAAATCTACTACAGGAATATGAACTGATGGCCTGAAAAAGACTGCATTTATTTTGGATAACAAAATAATTTCTTGGCCAGGTGCAGTGGCTCATGCCTGTAATCTCAGCACTTTGGAAGGGCGAGGCAGGTGGATGGATTGAGCCCAGGAGTTTGAGACCACCCTGGGCAGCATGGCAAAACCTGGTCTCTATAAAAATAAAAATAAAATAACCTTTATCCGAGGCTCTTTAAAACAAAATTCAAGTCTCCAAAACAAATACTGAAAGCTGTATGTTCAAAGAGGTTTTCATCGCTCTTTCTAAGTCTTAAGTATTTGACAGTTTAGGTCTGGGCGAAATAAACATTGGGTTTTACTAATAATATGGTTGCCTATTTTGGCACCTTAAATTTAGAAGTTGATTTTTATGTGTTAAAATTTTTTTTAATCCAAACGTAGCATTGTTTATACCTTAAAAGAATGCCAGACTGACGTATTTTTGTTATTATTGTTTAGTTTGGTAGGACAATAATGTTTTCCATTGAACTGCAACATTTACTGCAACTGGTAGCATGTAAATTAAAGAATTTTAGAGTTGAAAGGATCTTAGTGATTGTCCAGTGAAGTCTTCTTGCTGTACAGATAAGGCAAATGAAGCACTTTTGAATTAGATGAATGTGGCTCCAGTTACTCAATTAATGCTATTCTAGGATTAGAACTCTTTTTACCAAACTACACTACTTCCAGTGTTTATAAGAGGGTATATGTAGATCACCACCATAACAGTACATGATTATGTTACTGGTTATGAGGCTGGCTTGCCTGAAGTAATGGTCTTAGCTGGGTAAGATATAGATGGTCGCATAACAGAATCTCTTAGGATTCTTTTTACAAAATACATATACCAACCCCTCTTTGAAATCCGCTTGGCTGAAGAGACTGTCAGTTTAAGAGCATCTTTAATCAGTAAGCATAGGCCCCCCTGGCAACAAAAATAGGCAAAATATTCTTGTGCTTTGGAAATAGGTGTCTAGAAAATATGTAGCTTAGTAACCTAATTAATGCACATAGCATTGCAGATGTGTACCATAAAGCTATCCTTTCCACTGTTCACTAACAAAAGACATTTGACTCAGTTACCATATATGTTCTGAAAAACTATTAGTAAAAAACTTAGACTTGTGAGACCTCTTATTTTTTCATATTATTATTTTTATGGATGTACAAATTCTCCTTGTCAAGAATTGTGAAGGGTCTGAGATTTTATTGCAGGCTAATAAATTAGCCTACTACAGGATAGTAATTATGGATAACTGAAGGTAAAAAGACATGAGTATCAGCATGTTTTGCACCAGTTTCCTGAGCTCTAGCTACCATAGAATGACATGAAGTGGGCTGGATGATATCTGCACATGCATGGGATGCAGACAGGAACCTTAAGTTGAGGGAGCCCACATTTTTGCTCCAGAGGGAGACATACTTTCTTTATCTTCCAAGGTTTTTGCTAAGTGACCACCCTTGAAAAGATAGTCTGAAGCAAAGAGCATGTTTGCAGCTTGCAGGACAGGCAGAAATGTGAGAGAGCAATGGAGAATTGTCTCCTAATAGGCATTATATTATATTAGACCAATGAGACCATTATTTATTCTCAATGTAAATGAAATATGTTCAGAAATTCTTAGTGTGTTAGGAATGTGACCTCTGTGCACTTTGTTTTTAATTCCAGAAAAATATCTGTTGTTTGCGTATTACTTGCCCTTGTTTAGTATAGTAACATGAAAGTTAACTTGCTTTAGTTTTGATGAAGGGTGTTCTGGTTAATTGGATTTTATTTTTAAATATTTAAATTCCTTTATGCCAAATGGACATACCCTGTTCCTTTGTCCCTTCTCCTTTTTTTTTTTTTTTAAAGTGAAAACATTTATCCTCCATGTTTTAATTTCAGCAAATACTTAACAGTGTGCCTATCATAGGCCAAATTCTGAATGCTAGCCAGGTGTATAGATAAGAAAGATTGTGCATTCATTTATTCAGAGTTATTATATGCTGGGTGTGTTTATATTTATTTAATCCTCTCACCAAATGTGTGCCGTTTGAGGGAAGGAGACACAAGGTAGGCTAAATATTAGAATGATGTTCCTGGGAGAGCAAATAGTATGTGCAAAGGGTTTGGAGAAGATGGTATAGGCAGAAAAGCACATCCCAAGAAGAAGAGCAATATATATGGAACATTCAGAAGAGAGAAACAATGTAGGTTGTGAGTACTTCATGATACTGATATTAACCTATTTTTAAAACTGAACTTCCAAATTTAAACTGTTGGGGTTCTTGCAAAGTATACTGTATCAGGGAGTGAAGTTTGGATTTCATGGATCTCTGGTTGTGCTTACCATATATGAAGCTTTCCATGAAGACTTCTCAAAGCTCCAGAAACAAAAAAAAAACAAAAAAGACTTCTCAACTCTTCTTTGGGAGTGCAGGGGGAGAAACATCTCACTATATATCTTTTAGGTTTAGAATGCTACAGTATAAGAAGTATATTTTTTGAGGAGACTGCATATGAGTTTGCTGGGGCTTTTTTCATTAGTTACGTTTATTTGTATAGAGACTAGGTCTTGCTATGTTGCTGAAGCAGGACTGCAGTGGCTGTTCATGGGCATAATCATAGTGTACAGCAGGCTGGAATTTCTGGGCTCTAGTAAACCTCCCACTTCGGCCTGAGTCTAGCTGGGCCTACACGCCTGTACCACTGCGCCTGCCAAGTTTGCTGTTTAAAGCATAGCGTTCATTCATGTGTAGTTGTTAGTAATGAAATTTTCAAAGTAGATTTATTTAACCAGGCCTCTTTTACTTAATGACCAGAATTGTGGTTTGTTTTTCACCTGAAAAATTGATCACTTCTTCCAGTCACAATATGGTCTATATTCTTAAGCTGTCCAGTGACATTAGAAATTAATGTGCCATTTATTTTTAATTAGAATAGTAAAGGTGTTGCTACATTCAAAAAATAGTCTAACAATTAGAAGTTTCCATTAACTATTGGTTCCCTCTAACTTAACGGTTTTAGGATCTGTTATTAAAATTTTTAGCACATAAAAATGTAGATTACATTAACATTTTAAGTGGCCCTTGTTTTTCTAAATGTACTTTGTTCAAGAGAGCTCTGCTATAATTAATTACAAGGGTGATTTCATTATGAAAAATTTCTTAAAAAGGTTTGTTTAGAGTCATAGCAAGGCTTAAATGAGAGTCTGTGTAAGGTACCTGTTATAAAATTTGGCCTACAGAAAGTTCTCAAAGTAATAGTTACTACTTCTTTTACCGTATTATTATTTTAAAAAGCTGATTAAGTTTCTGTTACATGTATTTGCATTTAGGTAGGAAACTTTCCTTAAAAAATGATAAAAAATTTATTTTATTTTGTTTATTTATTTTAAGATGGAGTCTTGCTCTTTCGCTCAGGCCGGAGTGCAATGCTGTGATCTCAGCTCACTACAACCTCTGCCTCCTGGGTTCAAGTGATTCTCTCACCTCAGCCTCCCGAATAGATGGGATTACAGGCACATACCACCATGTCCGTCTAATTTTTGTATTTTTAGTAGAGGCAGGGTTTCGCCATGTTGGCCAGGCTGGTCTCAAACTCCTGACCTCAAGTGATCTGCCGGCCTTGGCGTCCCAAAGTGCTGAGATTACAGGTGTGAGCCACCATGCTCACCCAAGAATCTTCACTTTAAATTTTTTATATTTTTTGGCCATACATCTCTACAGAAATAGAGGCTTAAGCAGGAGAATCACTTGAGCCCAAAAGGCAGAGGTTGCAGTGAGCTGAGATAGAGCCACTGCACTCCACCCTGGGTGACAGAGCGAGACTGCATCTCAGAAAAGAGAAAAAAAGATTCTCTAAGCTTACCCTGTCCGATACAGTAGCTACTAGCTGTATGTGGTTGTTTAAAGTAAATTAAAAATTCTGCTCTTTGGTTCTATTAACCACGTTTCAAGTGCTCAAATAGCCATGTGTGGCTAGTGGTTCCTGTCGATGGTGCAGAACATTTTCATCTTTCCAGAAACTTACATTGGACACTGTTGTTCTAAGCTATGTTTTCAGTTTTACCCCCAATAATTAGACTCCTATTATCATAACATTTTAAATAGAATACCATATAAAAAGGTAGTGAGATGCAGTTGTGCTTTTCAGGAGATGCAAAATCTACTTCATTTAACCTCCCCATGGCCTTCAGAACACAGGGCTTTTAGGACCCTAGTTGGCCATTTGTTCTTTGTTTTAAACAACTAATAAATGTAGAAGGAATTATAGAAAATCCATAAATAGAAAAAGCACTATAGAAACATTTGATTAAGATAAGATGCTGAAACCATTTGGTGAAAGATTGTTGGGATTGGATTCGGAGAAATCTGACCAGTTTAACTTAATGCTCTAACTTAACATCAACATTATGGGACAAACTGACGTTACGTATTCCTTGATATGGTGCGCTGAGAAGAGTACAACTTCACCTGTTTGGTACTTAATGCCATTTTTTTCTTTTTGCCAGAACTTGTTGAAGAAATAATAAGGCAGTTCTAAATAGGAAATCTTCATGTCTTGGACCCTTCAAAAATGCTAGTAGTTGGTATCATGAAAGACTAGATAGATACATGGGTAGATAGATAGGTAGGTAGGTAGGTAGGTAGATAGACAGACAGACAGACAGAAAGTTAAAGGCGAGACATGGAAATTAACTGTGTTGTGCAGTGGATCCTGCATTGGGTCTTGGACTGGAGGACAAAACAGATCTAAAGGACATTATTAGGGTGACTGGAGAAATTGTAGAATGGATTTGAATGGTGTAATATGAATATTAAATTTTCTGAGTGATAATTTATTCTGATTACATAGGAAAATACTCTTCTTCTTAATGGGGTACATGTTGACATATTTAGGAGTGAAATGTCATGATGCTGCAAGTAACATTCAAATTGTTAACCAAAGAAAAATTGTGTCTGTGCAAGTATGTGTAAAGAGAGAAAGGAAATGTGGCAAAATGTTAACAATTGGTCAGAGACTGAATAATTTAGATGAAGAAGGAAGAATGTACTTCATTGTATTTTTTTACGGCCTTTTAGTAGGTTTGAAGTTTTCAGCATAAAAAGTGGGTAAAAGAAATGACCTCTTTATGCTGTCTGCTTAGCAGACAGTTCCAGGAAAAGCCCCTCCCTCTTTCCGGCTACATGATTGCAATAGAATGGATCTGTCAAGTTTCTACAGTCCTTTCCAGAGAAATTGATGTGGAGCTGAACCTCTGATAGAGTGTTCAGTTGGATTAGTAGGAAAGCAGGCATTTAAGGCAAGGAAACACATAAGTAATACATCTTAGTAGTTTGTAAGTTTCAATATTTGTTTCAGCCAGAATTTATTAGCAGTACATGCTTCAGATTTATTCTTTCCTTTTAATGGCAAATTGGGAATGCATATGAAAAACATTTACATATCAGTTCTCTAGGAGCACTCTCCCTCATCCCCCACCATGCATAGTCTCAATGTCTTAAAGCTAGGCAACTGTAGGTAGACTCAATTGGAGACTGCCTGTTTCTGCCTTCTTAACATTCTGGTGACCACCTGGATTCAGATATTTGTTATAAAAACAGGCGTATCTCAGAAATATTATGGGTTCAATTCCAGAGCACCGAAATAAGGCAAATAGTGCAATAAAGCAAGTGACACGAATATTTTGACTTCTCAGTGCATGTAAAAGTTATGTTTACACTATGCTGTAGTCTATTAAGTGTGCAGTAGCATTATGTCTAAAGAAACAATGCACATATCTAAATTAAAATGTACTTTATTGCTAAAAAAAATGCTAACAATCATCTGAGTCTTTAGTGAGTTATAAATTTTTTGCTGATAGGAGGACCTTGTGTTGATTTAAATGACTGCTGACTAATCAGAGTGGTGGCTGGAGGTGGGGGTGACTGTGGCAATTTCTTCAAATAAGACAACAGTGAGGTTTAGATTTCTCTGTAGCACGGAGTGCTGTTTGATAGCATTTTACCCACAGTAGAAATTCCTTCAAAATTGGAGTCAATCTCAAACCCTGATGCTGCTTTATCAACTATGTTTATGGGATATTCTATGTCCTTTGTTGTCATTTCAGCATGTTCACAGCATCTTCACCAGGCATAGATTTCATCTCAAACCATTTTCTTTGCTCGTCCCTAAGAAGCAACTCCTCATTTGTTCAAGTTTTGTCATGAAATTGCAGGAATTCAGTCACATTTTCAGTCCCCGCTTCTAACTCTAGTTCTGTTGCTAATCCCAGCACGTGTAGTGACTTCCTCCATTGGAGTCTTGAACCCCACAAAGTCATTCATGAGAGTTAGAATTCTTCCAAACTTAATATTGATATTTTGAAATCCTTCCATGAATCATGAATGTTCTGAATGGCATCTAGAATGATGAATCCTTTCTAGAACGTTTTCAGTTTACTTTGCCCAGATAGAGGAATCACTGTCCGTGGCAGCTATAGCCTTACAAAATGTTTTTCTTAAATAATAAATACTTTTTTTGAGATAGAATCTCGCTGTGTTGCCCAGGCTGGAGTCCTGTGGTGTGATCTCGGCTCACTGCAGCCTTTGCCTCCTGGGCTCAAGTGATTCTCCTGCCTCAGTCTCCTGAGTAGCTGGGATTACAGGCACGTACCACCACGCCCGGCAAATTTTTATGTTTTTAGTAGAGATGGGGTTTCACCATGTTGGCCAGGCTGGTCTTGAACTCCTGGTCTCAAGTGATCTGCCTGCCCTGGTCTCCCAAACTGCTGGGATAACAGGCATGAGCCAGCATGCCCAGCCAAATAATAAAACTTGAAAGTCAAAATTACTCTCTGATGCATGGGTTGCAGAATAAATGTTGTGTTAGCAGTTATGAAAACAACTTTAATCTCATTGTATTCTCCATCAGAGTTATTGGGTAACTAGGTGTGTTGTCAATGAGCAGTAACATTTTGAGAGGAATCTTTTTTCCTGAGCAATAGGTCTCAACAGTGGGCTTAAAATATTCAGTAAACCGGGTGGTAAACTGAGGTGCTATCAGCTAGCTAGTCTTTGTTGTCCCATTTATAGATCACAGGCAGAGTCGATTTAGCATAATTCTTAAAGGCCCTAGGAATTTTCATATGGTAAATGAGCATTGGCTTCAACTTAAAGTCACTAGCTTTCTTTAGTTCCTGGTAGAGTCAGCTTGTTCTTCGAAGGCAGGCATTGACTTCTCTATAGCTATGAAAGTCCTAGATGCCATCTTCTTCCAGTACAATGCTGTTTCATCTACATGGAAAATCTATAGTTTATTGTAGCCACCTTCATCAGGTATCCTAGCTAGACGGGGATAACTTCCTACAGCTTCTGCATCTGCACTTGTTGCTTTACCTTGCACTTTTATATTATGAAGATGGCATGATTCTTTAAACCTGTACTAGCTTCATACTTTACTTCTGCAGCTTCCTCACTTCTCTCAGCCTTCTTGGAATTGAAGAGAGTTAAGCATTTGCTCTGGGGTAGGCTTTGACTTAAGGGAATGTTGTGGCCAGTTTGATCTATCAAGGTCACTTAAACTTTCTCCATTTCAGCGATAAGGCAGTTTCGTTTTCTTATCATGGTGTGTTCACTGGAGTGGCACTTTTAATTTCCTTCAAGAACTCTTCCTTTGCATTCTCAACTTGACTCTTTGGCACAAGAGTCCTAGCTTTCAGCCTGTCTTGGCTTTCAGCATGCCTTTGATTTAAAGTGAGTGATGAGGGAGTAATGGCTCATGCCTGTAATCCCAGCACTTTGGGAAGCCAAGGCAGGCAGCGGATCACTTGAGGTCAGGAGTTTGTGACCAGCCTGGCCAACATGGTGAAACCCTGTCTCTACTAAAAATACAAAAATTAGCTGGGCATGGTGGTGGGTGCCTGTAATCCAGCTACTCAGGTGGCTGAGGCAGGAGAATCGCTTGAACCTGGGAGATGGAGGTTGCAGTGAGCTGAGATTGCACCACTGCACTCCATCCTGGGTGACAGAGTGAGACTCCCGTCTCAAAAAATAAAAAAATTTAAAAATAAAGTGAATGACATGGGACTCTTCCTTTCACTTGAGCACTTAGAGGCCATTATAAGGGTTATTATTAGGCCTAATTTCAATATTGTTGTATACCCAGGAATAGGGAAGCCTGAGCAGAGGGGGGAAAATGGGGAATGGCTGGTCTGCGGAACAGTCAGAAAACACACAACTTGTATTAAGTTCACTGTTTTATGTGGGCATGGTTTGTGACGCCCCAAAACAATTGCAATAGTAATAACAAACATCACTGTTTTTTTTAAAAAAAAAAAAAAAAAAAAAAAAAAAAAGGCCGGGCTTGGTGGCTCACGCCTCTAATCCCAGCACTTTGGGAGGTCGAGGCGGGCAGGTCACGAGGTCAGGAGTTTGAGACCAGCCTGGCCAACATGGTAAAACCCAGTCTCTCTAAAAATACAAAAATCAGCCTGGCGTGGTGGCACACACCTGTAGTCCTAGCTACTTGGGAGGCTGAGGCAGGAGAATCACTTGAACCCGGGAGGCAGAGGTTGCAGTGAGCCAAGATCGTGCCATTGCACTCCAGCCTGGGTGACAGAGCAAGACTCTGTCTCCAAAAAAAAAGGCAGTATCTGTGAAGTGCATTGACGTGAAGTGCAATAAAATCTGTCTGTAATATTTGGTTTAGGTTCTTGAATTAAGATTTATGATAAAAAAAGACGTTGATTTGAGAATAACTTATCCATGCTCAATATGAACACATTGTAATAGGCTTACCAAATTGTTTAATTATACATTGTTCAACTAATTATAAATATCCTGTATAGGATCAGTAACCAGTGTGAATTTTATTTGAACCATTAATGCCTTTCCTCTGGGAAATTGTTGATAATGATTCATTGGTTAGAATTGGCTAAGTCAAAGCACCAGTCTGTTTTGTTCCACTTTCTTCTCATGTATGTTACAGGGCATTTTCAGGTTTCTTCTGAATCTCAGTGGGGAAAAATAGGATCAGTATAAAATATATATTCAATGAGAAAAGAGTCAAGTTTTTTAGCATCAGGACAAAATATATATCAGAATAGAAAGGCCAGATGATAGGAACATTAGAGTACATATGCTATCTCAAGAGTCTGAAATCCACTTGAGCCCAGGAGTTTGAGACCAGCCTATGCAACATAGTGAGACATCATCTCTACAAAAAATAGAAAAAATTAGCCAGGTGTGGTGGCTCATCCCTGTAGTCCCAGCTACTCAGGAGGCTGAGGTGGGCGAATCACTTGAACTGGGGAGATCGAGGCTGCAGTGAGCCGTGATCGTGAGGTGAAATTTTTTATTTATCTAGAGTGAAATGTACAAATCTTAAGTGTACAGCTTGATAAATTTGAGCTATGAATTTGGTTCTGCATTTCTGTGTCTAAAGACAAAAATAATTTCTTAGAGGAGATTAAACTTTTCTTAGTGCTTATTTCTGAAATAAAATTTTTGAATGAGACCTCAATATAGGGAATATTGAGTCATGTAGTGTAGGAGTCCCCAACCCTGGGGCCACTGACTGGGCCGCACGTGAGGTGCAGGCCAGCATTAGCACCTGGCAGTGGCATTAGATTCTCATGGGAACGTGAACTCTATTGTGAATTGCGCTTGCGAGGAGGGATCTAGGTGGTGCTCCTTAAGAAAATCTAATCCCAGGTGGAACAGTTTTTATCCCGAAACCATTCCCGCCCACCCCCTGTGGAAAAATTGTCTTCCACAAAACCCGTCCCTCTTGCCAAAAAGGTTTTTACAGTATACCAAGTGAAATCTCAGGTCATGAAGCTGAGGTGCAATTTTTAATGGGAGTGAAGGGTGGGGAGCTAAATAAATAATCTTCATCCAAAAATAAAACCTAGAGTATATAAAGAAATTGGACACTTTTTGGCTTCTTTTGGTTTTCTTGTAATTGAAATAAAAACAAAAACAAAAAAATGGCCAGTGCAGTGGCTTACACCTGTAGTCCCAGCACTTTGGGAGGCCAAGGTGGGCGGATTGCCTGAGTCCAGGAGTTTGGGACCAGCCTAGGCAACATAGCAAAACCCCCTCTCTACCAAAAATACAATAAATTATACGTGCATGGGTGGTGCACGCCTGTGGCCCCAGCAACTCAGGAAGCTGAGGTGGGAGGATCACTGGAGTCCTGGAGGGGTGGAGGTTGAACTGAGCTGTGATCCTGCCACTGTACTCCAGCCTGGGTTGCAGAGTGAGACCTGTTTCAAAAAAGATAAAATAAAAAAAGGAGAAATAGTTGATCTGCATATTCTGTAAATAAAATAGCTAAATAGCTGTCTCTTCATACATATATGTGTGTATATATACATAAGTGAATATATGCACACATGTGTAATTTCTTTGAACATATTTGTTAAGAATTAGGCATGGAAAGGACTTCAGCAACAATTTTTTGGGGTTATTTACTGGGGTGGATCTGCTGCTTTAAGGAATAAGTAAGCAAGTGATAATATTGACTCCTTTTCTGAAAATTCCAGATTAAAAAAAGATTTCCTTTTGATTCCAAGATTGTCCCACATTCAGAGGAAAGAGTAATAGAGAACCTGCAGGCAAAGCCAGGATTTTTCTGAAGGAACAATTCTGTGTTTGATTCAGTGCCTGAAAAGGAATCAGTTAAGTCCTCAAAGTTCTTTAAAACAGAGCATGGCCTAGATCCTTTTAGCTGGAAAGATAGCTTAAAACAAATGTTTCCACTTGGTCACTATGGCTGTAGAAAAATAACAGTACTGCTCCCATGAAAATCTGATTTTCAGCAGTGTGAACCTGCCCAGAAGGAACTGATGGTGAGAGGTACTTTTTTTCTTCTATAAATTCTTTGTGATGCCTACCCTAAATCACTTTCTGTGATCTGACTTTTTTGGCTCTCCTACCTTGATTTTATGTTATTAGAAAACCTGTAGCTTAGTTAGGGGAGGATTGACTTCTTTATAGGTTGCCACCAAGAATACTTTTCACCAGAAAAAATATATTACCCTATGGTGCTCGATGCATCTCTGTTGTAACTTACCCTGCATTTAGAGAGGTTTATACTTCTACATGGTTTTCTCTTTACACTTTGAGTAACATGTTCTTGCTAGTTGAATTTAAGGAGTTAGTAGCATATATTCAGTAATTGCAAAACAGACCTTCTTTCCTCACCCCTGAATCTTTGGACAGTAAAAATACATTATATAACATTGAAATCATTCACAATTTAGTGGTTTGAAATTCCAGATGGTAATGCCATGAAAAGACCTGTCATATTTTGTACCTTATATTATGAAGAGGGTTATATTAATCACAATTAGCAAGTGAGTTGTGGGCTTCAAGTTGTCAAGTGAATTTTTAGGTAATGAACAAGTTTCTAGACATTTATAGTCTAAGTTTCAGGACATTTATAGTCTAAGTTTCTTGAATAAATTTTGTCATTTTAAAGAGCAAGGATAAATGATTGAAAAAGAATTTCTGAATTTAAATTTTTACATGAATTATTTAATTTGACAATTTAATTCTTACATGGGTAAGTAATGTTAATCATCCCATTTTACAGAGGAAGAAACATGACTCTCATAGGACAAATGGCCCATCACATGTTTAGCAAGTGATGGAAACCAGATTTAAACTCCAGCAGTCTTATGCTTAACCACTTTGCTGTGATTCTCAAAATGTGTAGAATAAACACAATTGCAACATGTGATGTCTCAGCTCTCTCCTAAGACTGAATTGCTAAGGTCTCTGCTCTTTTATTTTACTTCTCTTTTTACTTCCTAATCCCCAGTTTTTGCTTGTTTTAATAATAAAATCTAGAGGAAATAGAACTGCTACAGTTAAATATACTTGGATTGAAAGACCAGATCTTTTATTTATTCATAGCTACATGACAAGTTACTTCATTTGAGCTCACTTAAAAAAAAATGTAATAATGTACTAATAAGGGAGTTAAAAACATAATGTTTTGTTGTGAATAGTACACAGGTATAATTTTTAAAGTATTGAAATCATTACCTGGAAGATATTAGAGGTTTTTTTAGATTTTTTTTTTTTTTTTTTGAGATGGAGTTTCATTCTAGTCATCCAGGCTGGAGTGCAATGGTGTGCTCTCAGCTCACTGCAAACTCTGCCTCCCGGGTTCAACGTTTCTCCTGCCTAGCCTCCTGAGTAGCTGGGATTACAGGCATGCATCACCACATCCAGCTGATTTTTGTATTTTTAGTAAAGACGGGGTTTCACCATGTTGGCCAGGCTGTTCTCGAACTCCTGACCACGGTGATCCACCCGCCTCGGCCTCCCAAAGTGCTGGGATTACAGGCATGAGCCATCACACCCAGCTAAGGGGTTTATATATAGGTAGCTACAGTTGACCCTTCAACAATGAGAGGATCAGGGGCATCAGCGCCTCTGCTGCACAGTGGGAAATCCACATGTAACTTTTGACTTTCTAAAAAACTTAACTACTGATAGCCTACTGTTGACTGGAAGACTCACCGATAACATTAACAGCCACTTAACACAAATTTTGTGTGTATGTTATGTGTATTCTGTACTGTATTGTTACAATAAAGTAGCTAGAGAAAAGGTTATTAAGAAAATCACAAGGAATAGAAAATGTATTCCTGTTTATTAAATGGGAGTGAATCATCATAAAGGTCTTCATCCTTGCTGTGTTCACATTGAATAGGTTGAGGAGGAAGAGGAGGAGTTGGTCTTGCTGTCTCAGGAGTGGCAAAGGTGGAAGAAAATTCTTGTGTAAGTGGACCTGTGCAGTTCAAACCCATGTTGTTCAAGGGTCAACTACAGTGTTATTTTGTAATTAACATTATGCATATTATTACCTACATTTCTACTTTAAAAGCTAAATGTTTTATTTTAAAAAATCTCCCTGATTCTACTATGCATTTAAGGAAGAAATTATACCAGTTCTCTACAGTCTCTTCCAGAAAATAGAAACAGGGGGAATACTTCTTAACTCAGCATTACTCTTAATACCAAAGAGTACCTAATACCGAAGACCATACAAGAAAGGAAAACTAAACTACAGACCAAAATCTTTTGTGAATATAAATGTAAAAATCCTCAACCGAATATTAGCAAATCAAATCCAAAAATGTATAAAAAGAATTACATACTATAGCTAAGTGGGATTTATTCCAGGTATGCAAGGCTGGTTCAACATGTGGAAATCAATTCATGTAATCGATCACATCCACAGTCTAAATAAGAAAAATCATATGGTCATATCAGTAGATGCAGAAAAAGCATTTGATAAAATCCAACATCCATTCTTGATTAAAATCTCTCAGGAAACTAGGAATGGGGGAAAATTCCTCAACTTGATAAAGAAAATCTACAAAAAACTTACAGCTAACATCATATTTACTAATGAGAACATAGATCCTTTTCTATTATGATTAGGGAAAAGGCAAATATGTCCCCTCTCACTACTCTTCAGCATCATCCTGGAAGTCCTGGTTAATGCAATAAGACAGGAAAAGAAAATAAAAGGTATACCGATTGAGAAGGAAGAAATAAAACTTAATTCACAAATGACATGTTGGTATATGTAGAAAGTCCCAACAAATCACAAGTGCTCTGGAACTAATAAGTGATTATAGCAGGTTGGGTGCAGTGGCTCACGCCTGTAATCCCAGCACTTTGGGAGGCAGAGGTGGGCGGATTGCCTGAGGTCAGGAGTTTAAGACCAGCCTGGCTAACATGGTGAAACCCCGTCTCTACTAAAAATACAAAAATCAGCTGGGCGTGGTGGTGCACGTCTGTAGTCCCAGCTACTCGGGAGGCTGAGGCAGGAGAATCGCTTGAACCTGGGAGGTGGATGTTGCAGAGAGCTGAGATCACGCCACTGCTCTCCAGCCTGGGTGACAGAGCAAGACTTTGTCTCCAAAAAAAATAAAAGACTATAGCAGTGTTGCAATACCATTTATATTAGCACAAAAAAATTAAAGTCCTTAGATATAAATCTTGCAACATAAGTACAGTACAAGATCTATATGAGGAAAATGACAAAAATAAAAAATCGAAGATCTAAATAAACAGATATTCCATGTTCATGCTTAGGCAGACTCAATATTGTTAAGATGTCAAGTTCTTCCCAACGTGATCTATAGATTCAGTGTAATTTAATTCAGAATCGCAGCAGGTTATTTTGTGGCTATCAGCAAAGTTATTCTAAAGTTTATATTGGTCAGAGACCTAGACTAGGCAACACAATATTATAGGAGAACAAAGTCAGACTGACACTATTGTACTTAAAGACTTATGAAGCCACAGTAATCAAGACATTGTGGTATTGTTGAAAGAATAAATAGATCATTGAAGCAAAATAGCGCATAGGTAGACCACGAATATAGTAAATTGATCCTTGACAAAGGAGCAGAGACAAGGAAAAACGGTAATTTTTTCCACAAGTGGCACTGGAATAACAGGATATCTCATTCCCCTCCACGCCACCAAAAAAAAAAAAAAAAAGAATCTTGACACAGACTTTATACTTTTCACAAAAACTACCTCAGAGTGAATTGTAGCCTTTAATGTTAAGCACAAAAATGTAAAACTCCTAGAAGATAATAAAGGAGAAAATCTGGTGACCTTAGGTTTGGTGATAACTTTTTAGACAAAACACCAAAAGCATACTCCATGAAAGAAAGACGTTGTTAAGTTGGACTTCGTTAAAATAAAATATGTACGTTTTGTGAAAGTTACTGTTTAGGGACTAAAGAGATAAGTCACAGACTGGGAGAAAATCTTTGGAAAATACATACCTGAAAAAGAACTGGCATCCAAAAATATTCAGAGAACCCTTATAACTCAATAATAAATGAACAACACAATTAAATGGACAAAAAAATCTGAACCTCCTTGGAGAAGATATACAGATGGCAAGCAAGCATTTCAAAAGATGTTTCCACATATCATTAGAGAACATGCAAATTTAAACCACAGTGAGATACTATACACCTATTAGAGTGATGAAAATTCCAGACACTGACAATACCACATGCTGGTGAGTATGTGGAGTAATGGGAATTCTCATTCATTGCTGGTGGGAATGCAAAATAATAACCTTCAAAAGACACTTGGGCAGTTTCTTTAAAAGCTAAACATATTCTTACCATATGATCCAGCAGTCATGTTCCTTGGTGTTTATCCAAATGAACTGAAAACTTTAAGTCCACATAAAAATCTGCCGATACATGTTTGTAGCAACTTTATTTGTAATTGCCCAAACTTGGAAGCAACCAAGATGTCCTTCAGTAGGTTAATGGATAAACAAACTGTGGTACATCCAGACGATGCAATATTATCTAGCCATAAAAAGAAATGAGTTATCAGGCCATGAAAAGACATGCACAGAGTCTATTTAATAAAAAAAAAAAAATCTACTTGGAGATTGAGGTTACAGTGAGCTATGACCACACCACTGTACCCCAGCCTGGGTGAACAGAGTGAGACTCTGTCCATTAAAAAAAAAAATTCCTTGAACTATACAAGCAATAAAATGAACTACAGATGTGATGAATATTACAAATACAGTGGTGAGTACAAGAAATCAAGGGAAAACATATACTATGATGAAATTTTACTATATTGTTTAATATTGTTTGAATAAGAATATATTGTTGATAAAACAAGAAAAGCTAAGAAATGATTACCGGAAGGATAGTTTTTATCTCTGTGGAAGGGAGAATCAAGAAGGAACACTTGAGAGATTTCTGAGGGTGGTGGAAGAGTTTTATTTCCCATCATCATGGTGGTGTGTTATTTAAGTACTCATTTTCTAAGTCTTTAAATTGTACATATTTTTCTTCAAATACATTCTTTTAATTGAGGTGAAAATCACTTCACAGTCAAATAATCATTGTCAAATGTACTTTTCTGTGTTATTTAGTGTATTCATAATGTGCAACCAAAACTAACAGCTCTTTCTAGTTTCAAAATTTTTTCATCACACTCCAGAAACACCCTATACTCCATTAGGTAATCATTCCCTAACCTCCCCCTAAGCAGGTCCCCTCATAACTTTTAATCTGCTTTTTCTCTATATGGATGTGCCTGTCCTGAATGTATCATAAAAAGGAATCATACAATTTGTGACCTTTTTTGTGTGGCTTCTTTCGTTTAACATAATGGTCTCAAGATTCATCCAAGTTATAGTATATATATTTGAGTTTTTTTTATGACTAATATTTCATTATATGTATGTAACTGTTCACCCACTTATCACTGATGGACATCTGGTTTATTTTCATATTTCGAGTATTGTAAGTAATGCTGCCATAAATGTTCTATACATCTAGTTTAATGTATTGCAATATATGTAAGATACATATTGTGAAAAAAATAAGAAGGAAAAACATCTTGTTGGGACCGTGTGCATTACCAATAGTGGCATGTTGCTAAATATTGACAGACACAAAGATAAATTAAGCATGATCCTTACCCTCAAGGGTATGTACGGAATTTTGTTGTGGAATTACAAAAACAGTAATCTAACATTGCATATTTTAGAGCATCATTGTAGAATTGAGGCTCCCCCTTGAAGTAGTTTTAAGGTAATACAAATTGAGATAACACAGATAATTATAAAATATGAAGTTTGTACACGGATGATTAAGATACTTGGATCCTTAAGCATGATCATGATTAAGCATAATCCTTACCCTCAAGGGTATATATGGAATTTTACTGTGGAATTACAAAAACAGTAACCTAACATTGCACATTTTAGAGCTTCATTGTAGAATCGAGCCTCCCCTTGAAGTAGTTTTAAGGTAATACAAATTGAGATAATGCAGATAATTATAAAATATGAAGTTTGGACACATGATTGGGTAAGATACGTGGCTTGCCTGGATGCTGTGTTCAGCTAGACAGCTGTGATTTACAGGTGAATTACAAAAACCAACAACAACAACAAAACAAAACTACAGCTCTGAGATTCCTAATGATCATTGAAAAGAGAGGCTAGTCTGTACAATAAGATTTTTTTTTCAAAGTAAATATAGGTTATAGGTAGTTGTAGATAAGTTTTTGGATTGGAACATACAGTTTTATTTTTTTCCCAAGCATTCTCTAAAAGATATGAAGTCATATATCCATTGCCTAAAGTCAGTAAGTTCCATAAGTGAAAATAATTGATTTCTTCAATTGATAATTGATTTCTTCTCTTCCAAGGTAGTGATTCTCCTCTAGTCTTCAACCCCTAGAAAAAGGTGGTAGTATAGAAAGAGGTGGTATTGCTGTATTTATTTTTGGATAAGCTAAAAGCAGGGGGCTAATTCTCTATTAGTAGCTAAAAACAAAAAGTCCTGAGAAAGTTCGAATTTTTTTTCATATTTTTCTGTCAGAAGGTACAGAAAAATTGTGTTTATTAAATCTTTTTTTTTGTATTTTTTTTTTTTAATTGATCATTCTTGGGTGTTTCTCGCATAGGGGGATTTGGCAGGGTCATAGGACAATAGTGGAGGGAAGGTCAGCAGATAAACAAGTGAACAAAGGTCTCTGGTTTTCCTAGGCAGAGGATCCTGCGGCCTACCGCAGTGTTTGTGTCCGTGGGTACTTGAGATTAGGGAGTGGTGATGACTCCTAAGGAGCATGCCGCCTTCAAGCATCTGTTTAACAAAGCACATCTTGCACTGCCCTTAATCCATTTAACCCTGAGTGGACACAGCACATGTTTCAGAGAGCACCGGGTTGTGGGTAAGGTCATAGATCAACAGCATCCCAAGGCAGAATTTTTCTTAGTACAGAACAAAATGGAGTCTCCTATGTCTACTTCTTTCTACACAGACACAGCAATAATCTGATTTCTCTATCTTTTCCCCACGTTTCCCCCTTTTCTATTCAACAAAACCGCCATCGTCATCATGGCCCGTTCTCAGTGAGCTGTTGGGTACACCTCCCAGACGGGGGTGACAGCCGGGCAGAGGGGCTTCTCACTTCCCAGAAGGGGCGGCCAGGCAGAGGCGCCCCCCCCCCCACCTCCCGGACGGGGCAGCTGGCCGGGTGGGGGCTGGCCCCCACCTCCCCCCCTGGACGGGGCGGCTGGCCGGGCGGGGGCTGCCCCCCACCTCCCGCCCGGACGGGGTGGCTGGCCGGGCGGGGCGGCTGGCCTGGCGGGGGCTGCCCCCCACCTCCCGGACGGGGCGGCTGCTGGGCGGAGACGCTCCTCACTTCCCAAATGGGTCGGCTGCCGGGCGGAGGGGCTCCTCACTTCTCAGACAGGGCGGCCGGGCAGAGACGCTCCTCACCTCCCAGACGGGGTCGCGGCCGGGCAGAGGCGCTCCTCACATCCCACACGGGGTGGCGGGGCAGAGGCATTCCCCACATCTCAGACGATGGGCAGCCGGGCAGAGACGCTCCTCACTTCCTAGACGGGATGGCGGCCGGGAAGAGGCGCTCCTCACTTCCCAGACGATGGGCGGCCAGGCAAAGACACTCCTCACTTCCCAGACGGGGTGGCGGCCAGGCAGAGGCTGCAATCTCGGCACTTTGGGAGGCCAAGGCAGGCGGCTGGGAGGTGGAGGTTGTAGCTAGCCGAGATCACGCCACCGCACTCCAGCCTGGGCAACATTGAGCACTGAATGAACGAGACTCTGTCTGCAATCCCGGCACCTCGGGAGGCCGAGGCTGGCAGATCACTCACGGTTAGGAGCTGGAGACCAGCCCGGCCAACACAGCGAAACCCCGTCTCCACCAAAAAAATACGAAAACCAGTCAGGCGTGGCGGCACGCGCCTGCAATCGCAGGCACTGGGCAGGCTGAGGCAGGAGAATCAGGCAGGGAGGTTGCAGTGAGCCGAGATGGCAGCAGTACAGTCCAGCTTCGGCTCGGCATCAGAGGGAGACCTTGGAAAGAGAGGGAGACCGTGGGGAGAGGGAGAGGGAGAGCTGTGTTTATTAAATCTTAAAGCTAAATATCTTTAAGAATATTCTTTAGTAATTGCTTCCTTTCTACACACAGACACACATGTATATTTATTTATCATGAGTAAGTGACAGGTGATTCAGTGCCAATCTGAGTTCCTAAAGGTTACACAGTTCAATTTATTTGTTTTTATTGTTTTGTGATTAGCAGCAATAATGTTAGTAATAGTAGATACACTCTCTTCATATGTGAAGACTGATGATGTCCCGTGTGCTTAGAGCTATTTTTCTAGTAGTCATGGTAGATTTGCACTAGTTTACTCATTCTAGATCTCCTTTAAACATTATACATTTGTAGTATTACTGATAATGTGTGTAAATGACTGATCTGCTAGCCAAGATTAGGTGTGTCTGGGTCATATTTTAAGTGATCCCCTTAATTTCAGACTTGTTTCAAAAAGGATTTTATGCATCTTTCAGTAATAGAGTAAGACAAAGTAATTAGCTAAGGAAATCAGGATGACTGGAAAATGAGCACAATTGAGTGGCATTTTGTGCCTGGTACTTTTCTGACCATCTACTGGCTCTCTCTTGTTCCTTCACCTTACCCTGCTTGGGGGCTTATCTCTGCTTGGTTCCTTACCATTCATTCATTAGTTCCCACTTGAGGCATGGCATTTATCCCAAAATTCTTGAACCTCGGTGGGCTTTTCCCCCCTCTGCACAGCTCCTAAGGGACTAAGGTACTAGGGCATCTTATTTTTTCTTTTGTGGCCTTCCAGAATAGTTCCTTGCTGCCCTCTTCTGGCTGAGACCTTAGGGTGTTGTTGAGCAAATTTTGGTTTTTAATCCTTTAAATTCCAGCAATATTTTGGATAAACCAGTGGTTCTCAAGCCTGGCTGCGTATTAGAATCACTCTGGGGAGTTTTAAGAAAACTACCACTGTGTGGGCCCCACTTTTGGAGGTTCTGATTTAATTGGTCTTGGGGTGGAGGTGGGAGGCTGGTTTTTTTTTAGGGGATTAAAATCTCTAGCCAGTGATTAAGATCTAACCACTAGGATAAATGACCCTTGGAATCCTGAAGGGCTTGTGCTACTTAGATATAGTCCTCACATTTTTAGATATCATAATGGATTTTTAAAAAATAGCATTAAAGTTAGAAATACAGGAGTATTTCTACCCTCTCAGGAAAAGAATAGTTTATACAAGGAATGATATGAATAAGCAATAGGATCTAAGGTCTTTGTAGTGTCTACTAATACCAGAAGAGATTTTGGGAAGATACTTTGTGTTATCATTTGCCTGTTTGGTTTTCTGTTTCTCAATTTTCATTTCCTCTGTTTCTGTTTTAAGGGCCAAGCCACAGGCTTCTGCATGAGTTTGGCCATTGACAGATACTAGCGGAAGATTGGAGGACAGGTAGAAGGGAGAAGCCAGGGTATTTTTTGGTTGTCATGTCTGGTAAAGGCTATTTCTCTGGTAGGGGCTTCTTGTCCTTTGTGACTTTAGCTCTTATCAGAGAGCTCCTCCTTCCATGGTCCAAATGTGTGCTGGAAAATTTCCTGTATTAGTAGCTATGTCTTCTATTAAATATATGGAGAGGTTTCTGTTTTTTTGATTGGACTCCTATTTGATGTACCCTGTAAATACTACAATATGCTTCTCTTTCCTCTCTTCTGTGTTTCTACCTTTCCTCCTATCTGTTCTTTGGTACTTTTCCTACTCCGGTGATAGCCACCTGAATTCTGAACAATATTTATAACAGTTAGGGTTAGGGGGCATTGCTCTTAAATTGGAGTCTCTAATTTTATGGAATGTTCTTTCTAAGTTTTACTTTTTTACTTTCTGAAACTTGTAAAGCATTCATACGATATTATTTCTTAGTTGGATTAGAAACGTGATGGGAAATAAAACTTTAATATGAACTTGTTGAATACAGTTTGTTAGTAGATACAATTTGTAATCATCCTGTTTTGTTTGTTTGTTTGAGGTAGAGGTCTTACAGCCCAGGCTGATCTTGAACTCTTGGGCTCAAATGATCCTAACCATTGAAACCTCTTGAGTAGCTGGTAGATTACCAGCACATGCTACCATGCCCAATTTATCATCTTTTTAATAATGCTTTTTGTTTGTTAATTATTTTGTTAAGAATACTGTTGCAGCTACTTTGTTTTTAACATTTTGACCCATGATACAAATCTCTCTTACTAAACTTTAGTTTGGGTCATTTAAAAAAATAATAGAGTGCATTCCTTTTTTTTTTTTGAGGCGGAATTTCGCTCTTGTTGCCCAGGCTGGAGTGCAATGGTGCGATCTCAGCTCACTGCAACCTCTGCCTCCCAGGTTTAAGCGATTCTCCTGCATCAGCCTCCTGAGTAGCTGGGATTACAGGCATATGCCACCATGCCCAGCCGGTTTTGCATTTTTAGTAGAGATGGGGTTTCTCCATGTTGGTCAGGCTGGTCTCGAACTCCTGACCTCAGGTGATCTGCCCACCTTGGCCTCCCAAAGTGCTGGGATTACAGGTGGGATTACAGCCACCATGCCCGGCTTATTTAGTCTTTGAAGGAGTATTAGGATCTTTAGTTTCTAAAAGTGGCGTATTAACTAGCTCTTTATTATGTAACCATTTGTACTATATTTCTTATTTTTTAATTTTTAAAAATTTCAAGAGCTTTTGGGGTACAGGTGGTTTTTGGTTACATGGGTGGATTATATCGTGGTGAATTCTGAGATTTTAGTTTGCCTCTCACCAAAGTAGTGTACATTGTACCCAATATGTAGTCTTTTATTCCACATTCCCCTCCCCTTCTCCCCCTACTGAGTCTCCAAAGTCCATTACATCACCCTGATTGGTTTTGCATACTCATAATGTAGCTCCTACTTATAAGTGAGAACATAGGGTATTTGGTTGTCCATTCCTGAGTTACTTCACTTAGAATAATGGCTTCCAGTTCCATCCAAGTTGCTGCAGAAGACATTATTCTGTTCCATTTTATGTCTGAGTAGCATTCCATGGTGTATATATACCACATTTTGTTTATCCACTCATTGGTCATTGGGCACTTAGGTTGGTTCCATACCTTTGCAGTTGTGAATTGTGCTGCAACAAACATTTATGTGCCTGCGTCTTTTTCATATAATGACTTCTTTTCCTTTAGGTAGATATCCAGTAGTGGGATTGCTGGATTGAATGGTAGACCTACTTTTAGTTCTTTAAGGAATCTCCGTACTGTTTTCCATAGAGGCTGCACTAATTAACATCTGCACCAGCAGGGTGTAAGTTTCTGTTTTCACCACATCCATGCCAACATGTATTGTTTTATGACTTTTTAATGGCCATTCCTTCAGGAATAAGGTGATATCTCATTGCGGTGTTAATTTGCATTTCCCTGATGATTAGTGATGTTGAGCAGCGTTTCATATGTTTTTTGGCCATTTGTATATCTTCTTTTCAAAAATGTCGTTTGCCCACTTATTGATGGGATTATTTGTTTTCTTCTTACTGATTTCTTTGAGTTCCTTGGAGATTGTGGATACTAGTACTTTGTCAGATGCATAGTTGGCAATTATTTTCTCCCATTCTGTGGGTTGTCTGTACATTCTGATGATTATTTGTTTTGCTGATTTGCACTATATTTCCTTTGATGTGGGATTTATTTATTTAGATGTAGGCTTTGCATGATATCCAAAGCATATATATGTATTTGGTAACACAGTTTTTGAAGTCTTGAGTTTTGTGTGGTTTTGGCTTAGGTAATCTTTGGATTACTTATTTCTCCAATCCTTTTTTTTTTGAGCGAGGTCTCACTCTGTTACCCAGGCTAGAGTGCAGTGGCACAGTTGAACCCTCCAGGCTCAAGTGATTCTCCCACCTCAGCCTCCCGAGTAGCTGGGACTACAGGTGTATGCCACCAGGCCCAGCTGTTTTTTTGACTTTTTGTAGAAATGAGGTCTCACTATATTGCCCAGGCTGGTCTCGGGACTCCTGGCCTCAAGCATTCCTCCTACCTCCGCCTTCCTAAGTGGTGGATTACAGGCATGAGCCAGCACACCCAGCCTCCAGTCCTCATAAGTGGTTCTTCTAACTTTCTCTATTATTGTAGACGGTTTAAACGTCTTTACTTTAATCATTTGTTTAAAAAAAAAAGCTTCATGCTGCTAGATTTAAGATGCCAAGAAATCATATTTTTGGGAATTTAACTCTGTTAAAAATGAATGTTGTAAACTAATTTTATTCTCTCATATTTGTGTGGAGACATAAGATGAATCATTAGTACCATTCAGCTGAGTAGTGTAGAAAACGGAATTGTTTTTCTTTGCTGAAAGAATTGAATAAAAATATTTTCATGAAGTTATTCTTTGTACCAATTCCATGTAAGTAAGGTTGCTACAAATATATGATTTCTTGACATATATGCATGTCAAAGTATGTACTAAATATAAAGTGTTACTTTTCATACTTAATACTTTATCTTAATACTTTACCTACAGAGGTTTTCATTTAAAAGCCTGTTCTTAAAATTACATTAATCTTTCAGGCTTAAAATTGCCTTTCAGGTTTAAAATTTTACTTCTTAGTTCTAACCTCAGTTATAAGTCCCTGGTTAGGGTTCTTCTGAAACCTCAATTTGGATTTAAGGATACATTTTCTTTCTATGCCCTTTTCTTTCTGAAGCACACATTTTTAACTTGTTTATTGAGCCTTTTTCTCTACTTGTGACTTATGGAAGTAGCTTTATAAACGTGTGTGTGTGTGTGCGCACGTGCCTGTGTGGAATTGCAGCAGAAGTCATTCCTTCTCAGCTAATTTCATGTAATTCATTTCAGCGTGAAGGTTGGAATGATCTAATGGTTTTCTAAGAGCTAGACTTTCATAATAATGTTACACATTAAAACACATAAACACAGTTGTATAGATGTTACTGAAACTTAGAATTATGATCATATGAAGTAGAAGAGTTAATTTTACAAATTTATAAAAACAATTTGGAGTTGGCTTTTTACTTCTAGCTGTAACTTGTTTACTGACAAGACTGAGTTATATAAAATATTTTAATTAAGTATAAAATAATTTAAATATTTTAATTAAGTTATATAAAATATCTTAATTAAGAGTTGGCTTTTTACTTTTAGCAGTAACTTGTTTACTGATAAGACTGAGTTATATAAAATATTTTAATTAAGAGTATTTAGTTGGGGCCGGGTGCGGTGGCTCACGCCTGTAATCCCAGCACTTTGGGAGGCCGAGGCAGGTGGTTCACCTGAAGTCAGGAGTTCGAGACCAGCCTGACCAACGTGGAGAAACCTCGTCTCTACTAAATATACAAAATTAGCCAGGCGTGGTGGCACATGCCTGTAATCCCAGCTACTCGGGGGGCTGAGGCAGGAGAATCACTTGAACCTGGGAGGCAGAGATCGCGGTGAGTCAAGATCGCGCCATTGCACTCCAGCCTGGGCAACAAGAGTGAAACTCCATCTCAAAAAAAAAAAAAAAATGAGTATTTAGTTAAAGAGACAACTTTAACATTTTATAACAGAATGATTTTATTTTGTTTTGGTTATTCATCCTAACAATGCACATTTTACAAGTAATAATGTATTAATGCAAATAAACATGATTAAAATAGTTTCCTCTGTAAGCCATAACAGTGCTGGGAAGAATCCACAAGAAGTATAGGTCAGTTGTGAATAAAAAAACTGAATGAAAAATCTGCTTAATGAAATATAAATTAAAAGATTTTAAGCATAATTTTAATTTATAATTTTTTTTTTGAGACAGAGTCTTGCTCAGTTGCCCAGGCTGGAGTGCAGTGGCATGATCTCAGATCACTGCAGCCTCCACCTCCCGGGTTCAAGTGATTGTTGTGCCTCAGCCTCCCAAGTTGCTGGGACTACAGGCGTGCACCACCATGCTTGGCAAATTTTTGTTTTGAAATGGGGTTTCACCATGTTGGCCAGGCTGGTCTCGAACACCTGACCTCAAGTGATCCACCCTCCTTGGCCTCCCAAAGTGCTGGGATTGCAGGCATGAGCCACTGTGCCCTGCCTGTAATTTTTATTTAATTTTTCCGGTGATGGCATGAGTGAATGTCCACATTTAAAGTTATTTTGGTTCACACATGGCCTTTGTTTATTATTTATGAGAAAAAATTATAGAAATAATTTAAGGGTGGTACAGAAATGCAAATCTAGAGGACTTAAAATGTACATGAAAACTCCATTTGATATGACAAATAATTTACAGGTCAAATATTTTAATATTTATATATATAATAGATGCCAGTTAGCACAATTGACAAGTTCTCTTTTACGGAAAAGGCCCCAAAATGTCTTCTACTGATGCCAGATCAGTTGATTATCTAGGGATAGATATCTGAAATAAGCTAGGCCAATTTGATTTTCTCACTCAGGAATTACTTTATTGACTAATTTTATTAGTTCATTCAGTCAGCAAGTATTTATTGAAGGCCTGTTACATGTTTGGTTGCTAGAGATACAATGATGGAAAATTCAGATAAAGTTTCTGCTCAAACAAAGAAATTAAATTGGCTAGACATGGAAATAGTGGCATCCAAGAGGGAAGGTCTATACATTAGTGCTGTTAAGGCCTATAGAACTCCTCTGATTCCTGTCATTATTTAAAAAACAAAACAAAACAAAACAAAACAAAAAAAAACCTTGGCGGTTTAGTTATTTCTTCAGTTCTGTGAGCTACCCAAGCATCCTTCCAGTCTTTCCAATAAAACGGACCACCTCCTTCTTACTCTTATTTTTAATTTCTTAAATTTGTTTTAAGCCAAAAAACCCTAACCAATATATAAATTGGACCTAGGGTGGGGTTTTATTATGTACTCAGCTTAGGTCAGATGGTTAGATGTCTAGTCTTATATCTAACAGATTGGCTATGAAGATGTGGAATTTGAATAAAAGTGATAGCTTCTTTACACGTCCAATCTTAGAGTAGGGAAATGAGCATTTCACAGCAGAAAGTTTTGTTCTGAACAAAACAGAGTCCCTTGTAGTGTATATCTATCATATATACTGCATTATGTTTGGTTAGGACTTGAAAATTTTATTTCATTGCATCATGTTTTTGATCAAGAATTTGTAGGAATTTTGTGCAACAAGAGGTTATAATGTTAATACGTATTAATATTCTGACCGAGGTTGAAGTCTTCATTCTTGAAAGAAAAAAAAAATGCAAAAGTATTCTGATCTCAGAAGATATGAAAACTATCACTCTTCAGAATTACTGGCTTTGTGTTTTGAACTAGCTCTTTCAATAGTTTAACCTTCAACTTTTTATACTTGTCATAACTTGTTTATTAAATGAATCACTATGTCACCACATTCTATACTGATTTACATAGAGAAGATGTTCAGTAAAAGTTGGCATGATTTAAATTTTACAACAATTAACCATAGAGTTTCATCATAAGATTGGTTTAAGTGCATTCATTATTGCAGTTGCAAGGTTATGAGTTGTTAATGTTTCAGAAAAATTTTTAAGGACCCCTTTTAAAAAACGTTTTGTGTTTACATATATACATACCTCCTTCATCCTAGGTTTCACTTTCTCTAGTTTCAGTTAGCCAAGGTCAACCTTGGTCTGAAAATTGATGAGTACAGTATAATAAAATATTTTGAGAGGGAGAGAGAGAACATTCACATGGCTTGTATTACAATGTTATTATAATCTATTTAATAATTATTTTTTTTTAAGAGATGGAGGTCTCATTCTATCGCCCAGGCTGGAGTGCAGTGGTGTAATCATAGCTCACTGTAGCCTTGAACTCTAGGGCTCAAGCCATCCTCCTGGCTCAGCCCCAAGTAGCTGGGATTACAGCCAAGAACCACCACACCTGGCTATTTTATTATTGTTGCTGTTAATCTCTTATTGTGCCTAATTTGTAAATTAAACTTAATCATAGGTATGTATAGGATAAAACTTAGTACATATGTAGTGTTCAATATTGTTTGCAGTTTCAAGCATCCACTGGGGGTCTTGGGGCGCATCCCCTGGGGATAGGGTGCTGGGACTACTGTGTTCCTTACACAGTTTCATCTAATGTTAACATTTTGCATAACCATGGGACAGTTATTCAAACTAGGAGGTTGACATATATGTTATTAACTGCAGGCCTTATTTGAATTCCACGTGTTTTTCTTCTAATGCCTTTCTTCTGATCAGGATATAATCCAGGATTGCACATTAGATTTAGTTGTCTTTATTCTGCAGTCTATAATAGTTCTGCAGACTTTTTGTCTTCTATGGCTACACTTTGAGTTTGTACAATGTGCTCTCATGATTGGGCCAGAGTTATGCATATTTGACAACAATATCACAGAAACAATATGTCTTTTGTCATGGGGTTCACGATGTATGTCTTCTTTACTGGTGATAGCAACCTTGATCACTTGTTAAGGTGGTTTCTGCTGGGTTTCTCCACTGTAAAGCTATCTTTCCATTTGCAGTTAATACATTTCTTGGGAGACACTTTGAGACTATGCAGATAAAATCTAAGGATCTTTCTTTGTTCTTAAATTTTTTTTTTAATTTGTGTAAATTTATGGTCTTTTTTTTTTTTAAATCTAACTAATTACCAAGATCTATGGATTTATCATTCAAAATCAATCTTTCCTTTTTTTTGGATCAAGTTTAGATCAGTTTCCTTAAATTCATTTTATCATTCAATGATCAAGTATGCTAAAATGAAAAACGCTAGGGATGCGAAAATGAACAAGATGTAAATCTTGTAGTATCACCTAATAGTAGGCCTTGGCATTAGACAGATCTGATTTCAAACCCTAAATTCTAATCTTGGAGTCCTGTGAAGTTGTGCAAGTTGCTTACCTTTGTTGGGCCTCAAATTACCTCACAGAATTATTAGTAAGGGATAAATATGAAATTCTAGAAAGGCAAAACTAGTCTACAATGCCAGTACATTGTTGATTGCCTTGGGCTAAGAGTGGGAAGTTGACCCAAAGGGAGCTGAGGAACCTTTTGGGATGAAGGAAATATCTTCTATCTTAATTTTTTTCCCAAAACCTTATAGTGTACATTTGAAGTGAGTATATTTTATTGTAGGCAAATTATATTTTAATGAAATTGATTTGAAAACCAAGGTGGTTCTCCTTGAACCCAGTTTTCCATTTAATGGGATAAAATATGATATGTAGAATTCATAAGTCTTAAGGTTTTAGAAATCAGTCGTCTAGCTCTCCCTTATCCAGAGGAGTCTTGTGACAATTTAGCATTTGCAGAGCAATTTAAGAGTTTAAGTCTATAGTTGTGACAGAGTAAGAAATATATTTTTGGTCCTACCCCCAGTTCCTGACACAGAGAACATGAAAGCCCTTATAATTTCCTGAGTTGTAGGAGTACTGTCCTATATTCTGTTTTAATATTTGGTCATTGACCCTGGTTCCTGTCTCAGAACTCCTAAATCCCTTTAAATTTTTGGGGTGATAGTAGAGTCTTTTGTTCTAATGGGGTGACACTTGGGCTCCTGCATAGCTTCAGAATGGGGGCTGGTCACCAGAAAGTCCACACCATAATTAGAACCTTGGAAATTTCAGCCCCACTCCCATCTTCTGGAAAGGGGAGAGGGACTGGAGATTGAATTAATAATCGATTATACCTACATGATGAATGCTAAAAATTATTAAACTGTGGGATTTGGAGAGCTTCTAGGTTGCATTGAAATGAGTCCAGAGAGGCCATGGGAGTTCTGTGCACCTCCTCTACCTTGCCTTACACATCTCTTCCATTTGGCTGTTTCTGAGTTGCATTCATTATAATAAACTGGTAAATGTAACTAAAGTGCTTTCCTGAGTTTTGTGAATTGTCATAGTAAATTATCAAACCAAATGGAGGATGTCATGGAAACCTCTGATTTATAACCAATCCAAACAGAAGTTTGTGAATAACCTGAGGACCCTTACTTGGAACTGGCATCTGAAGTGGGAACAGTCTTGTGGGACTGAACCTTTAAGCTGTGGGTTCTGCACTAACTCTGAGCAGAATTGGGTTAAATTGTAGGACAGTCAGTTGGTGACTGCAGAGAATTGGAGCATTGCTTGGTATGGAAAACCCACACATTAAGACCCACTGGTGTTTCTGTGTGAGTATAGGAGAAAAACAATGTTTTCATTTAGTAGTCATCGCATTTTGGCATGTCTTTAGGTCTGAGACTCTCAAGTTATTCTTTTTCTTAAGTAGATTCCAAACTCAGGATCTTTCTGATCTCTTTTGGTCTCTTTAGAATCTTTTAAATTGATTATCTATGGAGTTTGATTACCTAGAGGTTCAAATTGACTGAAGTCAACTTCTTGGGACTCCTTTGAGTACAGAATTTTATTCTTCCCTTTGCAACCACAGAACTGGCTGGATTCTGGTGAGCTCCTGAAAGTTATTATTTGGTAATCTGTAGTTTTTAAGATTTGTTCGGTTGGCATACCCTTATGTATCTACATGAACCTTAAATTTAATTTATTCTCTTCCAAAGTACTCAAAGACTTTGGTAGAGAAAAAAGTTTTATACGCATATTTTAAAATCATGTTACTTTCCATGTGATCTAAAAGTCATTTTCTGTGGAAAAGAGATCAGTGTTTTAAAATTATAGCTTTTTCTTTTTTTTTTTTTAAGCTTTTCCTATTTTGGTGGTAGGCAAAGGAAGAAGTACTGTTGTAATTTATAGTGCTCAAAATGCTAATTGGCTGCATAAAAAAAGGCACCTTAATTTTTCTTTTCTCTGATTGAGATAAAATTATTTGGTAGCTCTTAGAAAGACCAAAGGCTGAGGGGAGGAAGCTGAAATGATGACATATAGCTATGTAGCTACTAATATATGTAAATAGAAATTCTGAATCTGTAGATAATCTAAATGAGACTGCTTAAAGGGAATGGCAGAGCTTTTGACTCACATGTAGTTAGTGTAGTTAATAAAATTTTGTTGATATCAAGATGGCATTAAACTGTTGGATAAATTCTAAATATGTGTTCAATTTAAATCTGAGGTAATTTTTACAGTTTAAGGCATTGTTTATTTTATACCTTTTACCAAATGCTATGATATGCTTTTAAATGTAACTGATGGCATTTAGTAAATCTTTATATGTATTTAAAAGCATTATCAATGGAAAAGTTTATAAATTTTGTTCTCTGGTTATACAACTGTGAGAGCCTATTTTAAGGGTGAAGTACAGGGGCTAGTAACTAAAAATCACGACCTTTCTACTGGCTATTTCTACAGGCTGTAAATTTTGGCCAAATACTTTGGAGGATTTAAATAGTTCTCATGAGATTCAGCTTTACAAATCCAAATTTAAAGTGCCATGGCAAATGTATCTTTGGTATTTTTTGTCCTAATTATCTAGCATAAAACCAAAGTGTACATTTATTAAATGCATTATGATTATTAGACTGAATTGCTGCAATTTACGTATCTATAGCAGAAACATAGTTTGGAATAATAGATTTAAAGTTTCTGTTTCTATTCAGTGGCAGATGTTAACACATTCTAAGTTGGAAACCCTCATGGTAATAGATTTTGATTGAGAACTTGTCAGTCATTGTAGCAGCTGCTTTAGACCACATTTATATTTAAATAGGAGAAAGTGATCTGTTTAGAATTTTTAAAGTTGTTGCCATGGCAAAGTAACTTGCTATTTCATCTTTTTATCTGCCATCGAAGTGATCTGTCTGGCTGCTTATTCCCAGGAGTAGGGGGGATGAACTGTTCTGTTGGAAAGCTTATATTAGGACAATGCTGAATGCTTCCTAATGGGATATAAGTTAGAAAGACTAAAGCTTTCAGAAACCATGGCTTTGGTTAGGTATAATTAGAATTGATTTTTTTCTCAATTAAAAACAGGCAAGATAAAGCTAAAACATTTTTTAAGAAGAAAAATATGAGCTTAATTTAACACCACTTTTGACAAATTCAATGAATAACATATTCAAATTAAATGCTATGAAAAAGAATTTCTTTGAATGAGTCTATTATTTCTGTAGCATGAAACACTTTGTAAATCCATCTTTTCTTTATAAAATTGTATATATATATATATATTTTAAATGCCCAGTGTCTCCTGCTGCCCATTTTTTTTTTACTTGTTCTCTTGAAAACCATGGCAGTGGGCTGGGTGTGATGGCTCATACTTGTAATACCAGCACTATGGGAGGCCAAGGCCAGAGGACCCCTTGAGGCCAGAAGTTCCAGTCCAGCCTGGGCAGCATAGTGAGACTCTGTCTCTACCAGAAATAAAAAATGTGCCTTGTAGTCCTAGCTACTTGAGAGGCTGAGGTGGGAGGATCTTTGAGCCTGGTTTTTCAAGGATACATGAGCTATGTTCACACCACTGTGTTCCAGCCTGGGCAACAGAGAGAAACCTTGTCTCAAAAAACAAAACAACAACAACAACAAAAACCATGGCATCATAATCTGATTTGGTATAAATGATTTTGTGTTTCATATTTACTTTGATTACATTAAATTTCTTAAAAGGAAGAATATTAGTGCAGTTCTTTTCAGGCTAATAATTACCTACATGATGGATATTAACTCCATACTAAAGCTTAATTTTTTTATTTGTTTATGTCATCAGACAATGTATACACTAGTAGTCAAAGCCACACAAATTGAGGGTGATTGGCAAGTGGCAAATTGTCATTTGCCAACAAAGTCCTCCCGAATAAAAGAATTTGACTTTCAGAGGCACGCACAAGGGAGTGAGAAGATTTGCACCAGTAGTTGTATATTGTAAGGCTGACATGTCTTTGATTAACTTGAGATATTTTGTATTATATTGGCTTGGCAGCTTTAAGGCATACTGCATATTTGTAATGTCATATGCTAAAATAATGTGACTATTGTGACATTTACTGAGACAAAATTATGATTTCTTGGTCATCTGAGCATATGGAAGACCATCTAATAAAATATCAAGTCTTGTACTTAAAAGGAAGATACTCACTTAATACCTAAGCAGCTTTTCAAATAGGAAAGGACTTTTAACCTCAAGCCCAAGAGAAAGCAAGGCAGTGTCAAATTTATCAGGTCTTCTTTCTATTCTACTGGCTATTTGGTAATGCTTTTATGGCTAACTACTTGAGAGAAATGAGTACATTAGCTGAAGGTAACACTTATTTTGTTTTTCAGAGATGCAGAAATATAAAGATACGGAGAACATGAGAAGTTAAAAAGCAACTAAAGGAAAGTTTGGGTCATTGATTTTGTGGTTTCAGTACAGTCATGTACCACATAAGGATGTTTTAATCAACAAACAACTGCATATACAATGGTGGTCCCATAAAATTATAGTAAAGCTGAAAAATTCCTATCTCCTAATGACATTATACCTGTCATAACTTGTATTGCAACACATGATCTTTTCTATGCCTAGATACACAAGTACCATTGTGTTACAATTGCCTAAATTTAGTACAGTAACATGCTGTATAGGTTTGTAGCCTATAAGCAATAGGCTATAGCATCTATTAACAGGTTTGTGTAAATGCACTCTGATGTTCGCACAATGATGAAATCACTGAATAAAGGCGGTTTTCAGAACATCTATCTGTCATTAGGAGATGCATAACTGTACACATATAAAAGCTAATAAAAATCTTACAGAACCCTAAATATTTGTAAGTTTTAAGTGAATTTTAAGAATTTATCATGTATTATGCATGTTTTAATCACTTAAATATTGGGCAGTGTCTCAGAGACAAATTCAGATATATCTCTGCTAGGTAAGTTTTACTCAAAAAGGGAATACTCATGAGAAATTTTTAAAGAGGCAGTTTTCTATTTAGTAAGTCTGGAATACCAGTTTTGAAATCCTTAATAAATGTCCTTTTTCTTGAATCCTCATATCCATATATGGCCACAAATTAGACTCTCTGTATTTGAATAGACTAGCATCTAAATTATCAGATGATACTGTGGTTAAACATTTAGTAAGTTTGTGGTTGTATAATTTGGCATGTTGCAGAAGATCTGAACATTGAGAATATATAGTTCATAATTACATTCCAACTGAATAATTACATATAATAATAGAAATGGAATTTTAAAAATTAAGAATATAATATATTGATAGTGGTAAAATAGATGCAGGACTGTATCTCAGTCCCTTTTGTCTAAAAGGAGAAATATTTTATTTGAAAAATACTGATTCCTGATTCCTAAGGGTTTTTACTTGTGAATCTTTTTTTTTTTTTTTTTTTTTGAGACAGGCCCTCACTTTGTCACCCAGGCTGGAGTGCAGTGGCATGATCTTGGCTCACTGCAGCCTCTACCAGGACTCAAGCGATCCTCCCACCTCAGCACCCCAAGTAGCTGGGATTACAGGCACGCGCCACCACACCTGGTTAATCTTTTTTGTAGAGATGGGGTTTTGCCATGTTGCCCAGGCTAGTCTTGAACTCCTGAGCTTAAGCAATCCGCCTGCCTCAGCCCCCTAAAATGCTAGGATTATAGGCGTGAGCCACTGCCGCTGGCTGTGAATCTTTATTCTTATTTGCTTTTCAATTATTTTTCATTGTAATAAAATATACGTAAAACTTGTCATTTAAAACAATTTTTAAGCGTATATAGTTCATTAACATTACGTTCATAGAGTTGTGCAACCATTATCACTATCTATTTACAGAACTTTATCATCATGTCAAACTCAAACTCTGTACCCATTAAACAATAACTTTCCATTTTCTCCTTCCCCCAGCCCCTGGGTAACCACTGTTCTATCTCTGTATGTGAATTTGACTATTCCAGATATCTCATGTAAATAGTCATATAGCACTGGATTTTGTGTTCGTATTGTTGTGTCTTTTTTCACTCAACATAATGTCTTCAATGTTTATTCATGTTATATAGCATGTGTGGAATTTCATTTTTAAGGCTGAGTACTATTACATTGAATGTATACACATTTTGTTAATCCATTCATCTATTCACGGACACTTGGATTGCTTCTACCTTTTGGCTTTTTGTGACTAGTGCTGCCATGAACCTGGGTGTACAAATATCTGTTTGAGTGCCTGCCTTTACTTCTTTTGACTGTAGACCCAGAAGTGGAATTGCTCAGTCATACGGTAATTCTATCTTTCACTTTTTGAGGAATCATCATACCATTTTCCATGGCAGCTGCATAGTTTTACATTTCCACCAGTAATGCACAAGGATTCCAGTTAATTCACATCCTTGCTAACACTTGTTATTTTCTTTCTTTTTTTAGTAGCCATCCTAAAGGTCATGAAGTATATTCTTATTTGTTTTTACTTCTGCATAAGATTACCCTGTCTTCACTGGATATGCTATTTCTTCTTTGGAAAATCTTGCTCAATATAAAAGACAAATTACTTAGATAAGGTATGGCGAGAAAAAGCTCAATGTATTTGTTACATTAAGGAGGAATTATCTCTAAAAAGAGAATTGCTAAATAAGTTCATTCATTCATTCAAAAATGTGTATTGAATGCCTGCTCACTCTATGTTGGGCAATGTGCTAAGCATTGAGTATACAGTGATAAATGAGAAAATCATGGCCCCTGCTTTGAGGGAACTTGCATTGTAGTGGGAGAGACATATGACAAATTAATGAATACAAAATTAAAATATAACTGTCATGAAATTTATATGACATTGTGCCTTCAAAGACAATGTATACAATATTCAGTGAAAATAGTAATATTAAATAAAGAATATATATTGCAAGATTGTATTTATACCAACTATAACCTCATTTTTAAAAATGCTTGTGAAAGAAAACAATGTCAACAAAATGCTAACAATGGTTCTAGGATGATCCAATTCATTGATTTTTTTTTTCTTAACTAAAATTTCTTCAGTGTGCATATATTGTTAATTTAGAAATTGCAAATAATTACATAAACAATAAATTAATAATTTAGGGATGATGTTTAATTTGACTTTCCTGTTGCCAGTGGTGACCAAAAAGTGCTAAGTATTATTGAACATTTTATCTACCTTAATTATGCCAAGTAAATCCAGGGCTTATTGTGATTTATACCAAGTAAATCCAAGGTTTTTTATGATTGAATGTTAATTTTAGCTCTAGGAAGGTAGTTCTTATTTTTGGTCAGTTTGCAATACTATTAGGATATCGGGGACAAAATGGAAAGTATGATTTTAAAAACTGCTCAGTATTTATTAACGGAAAATTGTCATTTTTATAAGAAAGAAATAGTGGAAAATTCACTATAGTTCTTTCTGGCTAAAAAGTGTGTAATATATGAGTATATAAAATATGAATTAGTCTGTTTTCACACTGCTATAAAAAACACCTGAGACTGGATAATTTATAAAAGAAAGAGGTTTAATTGACATACAGTTCCACATGGCTAGGGAGGCCTCAGGAAACTTACAATCATGGTGGAAGGCGAAGGGGAGGAAAGCAAGGTATGGTCTTACAAGGCAGCAGGAGAGGGGTGGGGAACTACCACTTTTTAACCATCAGATCATGTGAGAACTCACTATCACGAGAACAGCATGGGGGAACCTGCCTCCATGATTCAATCACCTCCCTTGCTCCCTCAACATGTGGGGATTACAGGTCCCTCCCTCAATACATGGGAATTACAATTTGAGATGAGATTTGGGTTGGGATGCAAAGCCAAACCATATTCCACCCCAGACCCCTCCCAAATCTCATGTCCTTCTCACATTTCAAAACACAATCATACCTTCCCAACAGTACCCCAAAGTCTTAACTCATTCTAACATTAACCCAAAAGTCCAAGTCCAAAGTCTCATCTGACACAAGACAAGTCCCTTCTACCTGTGAGCCTGTAAAATGACAAACAAGTTAGTTATTTCCAAGATACAGTGGGGGTACAGGCATTGGGTAAATGTTCCCATTGCAACTTGGAGAAATTGGCCAAAACAAAGGGGCCATAGGCTCCATGCAAGTCAGAAACCCGGCCAGGCAGTCATTAAATCTTAAAGCTCCAAAATCTCATTTGATTCCATGTCTCACATCCAGGACACACTGATGCAAGGGATAGGCTCCCACGGCCTTGGGCACTCTGCCCTTGTGGCTCTGCAGGGTATAGCCCTTGTGGCTGCTTTCCTGGGCTGGCATTGAGTGCCTGCAGCGTTTCCAGGTACCCAGTGCAAGCTATTGGTGGACCTACCTTTCTGGGGTCTGGAGGACGGTGGCCCTTTTCTCACAGCTCAACTAGGCAGTGCCCCAGTGGGGACTCTCTGTTGGGGCTCCAACCCCACATTTCCTTTCCACACCGTCCTAGCAGAGGTTCTCCATGAGAGCTCTGCCCCTGCAGCACACTTCTGCCTGGCCATCCAAGTGTTTCCATACATGCTGTGAAATCTAGGCAGAGGTTCCCAAACATCAGTTCTTGTCTTCTGTGCACCCACAGGCCCAACACCACATGGAAGCTGCCAGTGCTTGGGGGCGTGCACCCTCTGAAGCAACGGCCTAAGCTGTACCTTGGCCCCTTTTAGCCACAGCTGGAGCTGGAGCAGCTGGAATGCAGGGTGCTCTCCTGGGGCTGCACAGAGCAGCAGAGGCCCAGCTGATGATACCACTGTTCCTTCTTAGGCCTCTGGGCCTATGATGGGAGGGGCTGCCATGAAGTTCTCTGACATGCTCTAGAGACATTTTCTCCATTGTCTTGGCCATTAAATTTGGCTCCTTATTACTTACACACGTTTCTGCAGCTGGCTTGAATTCCTCCCCAGAAAATGACTTTTTCTTTTCTACCACAAGTCAGGCTGCAGATTTTCCAAACCTTTAGACTCTGCTTCCCTTTTAAACAAAAGTTGCAATTTCAATTTCTTTGTGAACAATATGACTGAACGCTTTCAGAAAAAGCCATGTCACCCCATTTTTGTTTTTTTTGAGATGGAGTCTTGCTGTGTCGCCCAGGCTGGAGTGCAGTGGCGCCATCTCAGCTCACTGCAAGCTCTGCCTCCCAGGTTCACGCCATTCTCCTGCCTCAGCCTCCCGAGTAGCTGGGACTACAAGCGCCCACCACCACGCCCGGCTAATTTTTTGTATTTTTGTTAGAGATGGGATTTCACCGTGTTAGCCAGGATGGTCTCAATCTCCTGACCTCGTGATCCTCCCACCTCGGCCTCCCAAAGTGCTGGGATTACAGGCTTGAGCCACTGCGCCTGGCCGCCATGTCACCTCTTGAATGCTTTGCTGCTTAGAAATTTATTCTGTCAGATAACCTAAATCGTCTCTCTCAAGTTCAAAGTTCTGCAGATCTCTAGGGCAGAGGAAAATGCCACCAGTCTCTTTGCTAAAGCATAGCAAGAGGGACCTTTGCTTCAATATCCAATAAATTACTCGTCTGCATCTGAGACCACCTCAGCCTGGACCCCATTGTCCATATCACAATCAGCCTTTTGGTCACAGCCATTCAACAAGTCTCTAGGAGGTTCCAAACTTTCCCTCTTTCTGTCTTTTCCTGAGCCCTCCAAACTGTCCCGGCCTCTGTCTGTTACCCAGTTCCAACATCACTTCCACATTTTCAGGAAGCAAAAATGATTTCACTTTCACATGATCTCTATAGCAGTGCCCTACTCCTGGTAACAATTTTCTGTATCAGTCTGTTTTTACACTGCTGTAAAGAATACCTGAGACTGGGTAATTTATAAAAGAAAGAGGGTTAATTGTCTCTCAGTTCCACATGGCGGGGGAGATCTCAGGAAAATTAAAATCATGGCAGAAGGTGAAGGGAAAACAAGGCATGTCTTACATGGTGGTAGGAGAGAGAGTGCAGGGGAAACTGCCACTTTTTAACTATCAGATCTTGCGAGAACTCACTCACTATCACGAGAACAGCATGGGGTAAACCACCCTTATGATCCAATCACCTCCCTCCCTCGACACATGGGATTACAATTTGAGATGAGATTTGGGTGGGGACACAAAGCCAAACCATATTAAAATAGTACTGAATTTTGAATAACTGTAATTGTGAATTGATGTTAAAATCTGATTGAAAGAGTACATCTTAGCACAACAATACGGTATATTGCCTAGTAATAGAATAATGCTTCAAGAAGGAGCTCTGGAGAGGGGACGGGGTGCTTATTTAAAAAAAAAAAAAATTTGGCAAGGCAAGGCACGGTGGCTCACGCCTGTAATCCCAGCCCTTTGGGAGGCCGAGGCGGGTGGATCACAAGGTCAGGAGTTCAAGACCAGCTGGCCAAGGTGGTGAAACTCCGACTCTACTAAAAATACAAAAATTAGCTGGGCGCGGTGGCGGGCGCCTCTAATCCCAGCTACTTGGGATGCTGAGGCAGGAGAATTGCTTGAACCCAGGAGGCAAAGGTTGTGGTGAGCTGAGATCGCGCCATTGAACTCTAGCCTGGGTGACAGAGCAAGGCTCCATCTCAAAAAAAAAAAAAATTTCAACTTAGTAATAACCATTTATTAGATGCCTGATATTTATCATACATTGCATGAGGCATTAGCATGCAGTATTTCTAACCTTGTAAAAGTAGGTAGTATAGATGAGAAAATTGAAGCCCAGGAGAGTCAGTTAATTTTTCCAAAGTCACAAATTAATATGTATATTTGGAGTGAAAAACAGTTATTAAGAGAGAAGCTGAAGGTGATTTCCAATAAGCCCTAGAAATGGATGTTTCCGTAGGATTCTGATGTCTGATTCAGAATTACTAGCTACATAGTAATCTGACCTGCCCAGTTTACAAGATAACTAGCTTGGAATTCATTTGGTTTCCTCGACGCTTTCTAGCAGGAAGCTTTTCTCAAGAAGCAATCCCTGCATTGAAGTGAGAGAAAATGGAGGTCAGGTGACTAATTAGAGTTTGGATGTATAAGAATTCAATAAAAGGAAGGAAAAGTAGATATTATTTAAGATATGCTGAGCTTAATCGTGTTTTCTTATGGGATTTAAGTAGCTTCTTGTGATTTAAATGTTTAAAAGAAATGTAAGGCTGGATGCAGTGGTTCGCGCCTGTAATCCCAGCACTTTGGGAGGCCAGAGGTGGGCAGATCACCTGAGGTCAGGAGTTGGAGACCAGCTTGGCCAACACAGTGAAACCCCATCTCTACTAATAAAATACTAAATAAAAAACTAAAATACTAAAATAAAAAATTAGCTGGGTGTGGTGGCATGCACCTGTAATCCCAGGTACTAGGGAGGCTGAGGCGGGAGAACCTGGGAGGCAGAGGTTGCAGTGAGTTCAGATCACGCCACTGCACTCCAGCCTGGGTGACAAGAAGAAATCTCCGTCTCAAAAAAAAAAAAAAAAAAGTTATGCCGTTTCTTACAGATAGGAGTTGAGTCTAATTGAATAGAAGAATTATTCATTAAAAAGTATCCTGTTAGCATTTATAGGAAATTAAAAAGATATATCAGACTCCCATAGTACCCTAAACGTTTATATCCATTTATTCTGTTTTGGCCAGGCGCGGTGGCTCATGCCTGTAATCCCAACACTTTGGGAGGCTGAGGTGGGCGGATCACGAGGTCAGGAGATCGACACCATCCTGGCTAACACGGTGAAACCCCGTCTCTACTAAAAATACAAAAAATTAGCTGGGCGTGGTGGCAGGCGCCTGTAGTCCCAGCTACTCGGGAGGCTGAGGCAGGAGAATGGCGTGAACCCAGGAGGTGGAGCTTGCAGTGAGCCGAGATCGTGCCACTGCACTCCAGCCTGGGAGACAGCGAGACTTGTATCAAAAAAAAAAAAAAAAGTATATATATATATATACACACACACACACACATATATATACACATATATATACACATATATACACACATATATACACATATATACACACATATATACACATATATACACATATATACACATATATATACACATATATACACATATATATACACATATATATACATATATATACACACATATATATACACACACACACACATTTCTAACAGAATCCCAATTTCAATCTTGGTATACATTTAAAATAGATTTTTGGAATACATTTGAGGTTAAATTTCCTTAAAAAATAACAACAACCTATGTTGTTTGCTTGAAAAATACCTGGCAGGAGCATAAATGGCAATCTTACTCTCCTTAGTTTAGAGAGATTTCATCTGTAAGAAAAAATTTTCAAAGGCCAAAACTTCTAAACCTTTTATGATATTTTTACTACATGCTTGTTCCCCCTTACTGTACCTTAATTCATGGTACTTAAAATTTTAATCTACAGCAACCAGCCAAAGAAACCAACAATTTCTGTTCAACTAGAAGGTAGGAATTGACACCTGTGTTTTTGTTTTTTGAAAAAACACAAATTATTCTTCTTTTATAAAATCACCTAAATTGTGTGAGCTTTGCTTGACATGTTAATGTGATCATTACCTGTTAGTAATACACTAATGAGCTTGGCCTCTTTTTTTTTTTTTTTTTAATCTCCCACATTTTCCAGAACAGCCCCAATTTGTTACAATCAGGATTATTTTATCTGCTGTATTTGCTAAGTATTATTTTACTCTCCTTCTTAATTTATTTTATTAAAAGTGATTTTCTTAAGTATGTGATTTAAGGTTTATCAGTGGGTTTTATTTTCAAGTAACTTCTTATATAAATATTTATCTATGTAAATTTATAACAGAAAAGGCCTTTTCTGGACTGTGTTTTGTTACAGTTTTCTTAGTTATACTTTGTCAGCTTCAGGGCTGCATTAAGTTCCACTAGGTTGGTATCTTATTGCTTGAAAATTGTTCTATCGAAACGTGCTATTAACCAGCCAGTCTTCCGATTCTCTCACTTGTAGTAGGCAGAATAATCCGCCTCCCTGCAAGATGTCTGTGTCCTAATACCTGGAATTTGTGGATATATTAATTTACGTGCCAAAGGAGAATTAAAATAACAAATGACATTAAGGTTGTTAATTAGGTATCTTTAAAATAAGATTATTTTGGATTATCTACATTGCCCAGTGGTAATCACTAGCATCCTTAAATTGTGGAAGAGGGACCCAAAAGTGCTATTTGAGAAAGACTTTATTAGCCATTGCTGGTGTTGAGGATGGAGGAGTGGGAAGCATGAACAAAGGAATTAGGGCAACATTTAAAAGCTGGTTAAGGCAAGAAAATGGATTCTCCCTCTAGAGATTCCAGAATGAAACAGCCCTGCTGACATCTTGATTTTTGCCTAGTGGGACTCGTTTTAGTTTTCTCATCCCCAGAACAGTAACATAATAAATTTGTTTTCCTTTAAGCCACCAAATTATGGTAATTTGTTATGACAGTCATAGAAAAATAATAACACCACCTAACTGTCATGACCTTTGCATTTTGTCACTCACCATAGGCCTGGGTAGATACTCCCTGTTCTGCCTGGGACTGCTTTTTTCCCTCCCTGATTTCAGAGCTACTGTTACACGCTTTCCACCACTATTAAGGTTGTGATAGCCAGGTTTTTTTTTTTTTTTTTTTGAGATAGAGTCTCACTCTATTGCCCAGGCTGGAGTGCAGTGGCATGATCTTGACTCACTGCAACCTCCACCTCCCAGGTTAAAGTGATTCTCCTGCCTCAGCCCTCCAAGTAGCTGGAATTACAGGTGCCCACTGCCTGCCGCCACGCCGGGCTAATTTTTGTATTTTAGTAGAGACAGGGTTTTACCATGTCATCCAGGCTGGTCTCGAACTCCCGACTTCGTGATCCGTATGCCTCGGCCCCCCAAAGTGCTGGGATTACAGGTGTGAGCCACCATGCCTGGCCCAACTAGGGTTCTTATTTGCAGGCAAAAGAATTTACTGTAGCTAGTTTCAGCAAGATTTTAAAGCATAGAGAATTGTTAGGAGGGCTAAAGGAGCAGGTTGAGCTTCCAGGAAAGGTTCTCAAAACCATACTGCAGAATCAGCCTAAGGAGGTGATAATAATGCTTTGTTCTGAAAGCCACAGAGTCAGGTAGCTCCTACCCCAGGTTCCAGATCATTTTGGAGATCTGGCTGCAGATTATCTTGCCTCTTCCTTGACCTAAATCTTCAGTGGTCCACACTGCAATAGACTGTCTGACTCTGCCATTACCTTTCTGATCTTATCTCCTGTTAGTCTGTCTCTATTCACTTTGTTCTAGGAACATCATTGTCTTGCTGTTTACAAGTCAAATGGCCCTGTAGCAGGAACATGCCTGTAATTCATGACACTTAAAATTTTAATCTACAGCAACCATTCAAAGAAACCAACCATTTCTATTCAACTAGAAGGTAAGAACTGACACCAGATATTGTAAGAAATTGGGGCTGTTTTGGAAAATCTTCCCTTTTTACCTTTTTTGTCTGTGGCCACTGAATCACCATTCATTTTTTCAATTACAATTCATATGTCCAGGATGAGAGAGACTCCTCGTCCATGCTGATCCAAATAAAGGTTGCTGGTCTCTCTCACCTCAGCTCCATTTGCAGTGGGGATGAAGATCTGTGGGAAAATGAAAGGGTTTTCTTTTTCAGTTACATCAAGAAGATGGAAAGTAAGTTTTTTTAAAAATAGCCTTTTCTAAACTTTCTGATGACTGATGGAGCCATCATTTGCTCAAACAAGGAAAGATGTAGCAAAGGGAAGACTTGTTATGTAAATTTAAGCCACCACTGAGCCCAGAACACCCAGAACTTTGGAAATTGGCTATTGCCATGTCTGGACTGCGAGTATGGGAAGGGGACACTGTTCTGTCTGTTGTCCCCGCTACCGTCCCTCTCTCTCAGTATCAACGTAGATCCAGACATTCTGCTTTGCTTACCTCCAACCTGACTGTTCCCATACAGAGTTGTGTTAAGCCTCCTTACATGCTGTTAGTGGGAAATACCAAAATTTTGACAAACTGTCCAGTGCATTAATTGTCATTTATACACTTGTATTAACTCTCATTTTGACTCCACAAAAAGTGTAATGTTGGTTCGAGCTCGAGAAGGAATCTGGATTCTGGTAGCTTTGCCCAGACCTTGGGAATCCTCCTCCTCAATACATTTAATTAATGAAATGTTACAGCGAATTCTAAAAAGAGCTAAGAGATTTGTTTTCACTTTAATCGCTGTGATCATTGGCCTAATTACAGTCACTGCACTGGCCACTACTGCCGGAATGGCGTTACATCAATCTATTCAAACGGGTCATTTTGTTAATGATTGGCAAGCCAATTCCACCCAAATGTGGAATTCTCAACAAGGCATTGATCAAAAATTGGCTAATCAAATTAATGATTTAAGACAGTCTGTTATTTGGCTTGGAGATTGGGTAGTGAGTCTCGAACATTACATGCAAATGCAGTGCGATTGGAATACTTCGGATTTCTGTATCACCCCGTATTCCTATAACGAGACTGATCATTCATGGGAAACGGTCAAAGACACCTTCTGGGCATGTGATCTTAATGGTAAGAGTTTCACTACTCAGTCCTCCCTTTCTTTCTGGTGCGGAGGCAGACACCCTTAAAAATGGAGATTTCCTTTATAGATGTAGATTTCTTTTATAAACATGTTTCAAAATAGCCAGCTAAAAGACAGAAAGGTGTATTTTAGAGACCAATTTAGTTCAGTAGACAGTCTTTATAACTTAGCTATGGTTTTTTAACTAAAATGACTGAGCTTAGGGCTAAGCCCATTAACTAATAGGGCAAAGAAAGTATTCTCTCTACCTGGACTCCACAAGGATAGCTCTTATAAAGAAGCAAGCCTATTTTACCTGAGGGCTTACCTTCTATTAGCAAACACTTTATCCACCTTTATTTTCACATTCAGGACAGTATAGTAATTTAGCCAAAAGATTTGCAGATTCAATTTTTTTAAATCAACTAGTTCCTTAAGCTTTTTATTTGCTTTTTATAAAGAGGCTTTCAAAAGAAGCAATAAAAATATTGCAACATTTTTAGAAGCTTCTGCACATCAATAGGCATCCTTGGGTCAGCCAAATTCAGGAGAACTTATTTATTTATTATTATACTTTAAGTTCTGGGATACATGTGCAGAACATACAGGTTCGTTACATAGGTATACACGTGCCATGGTGGTTTGCAGCACCCATCAACCTGTCATCTACATTAGGTATTTCTCCTAATGCTATCCCTTGCCTAGCCCCCTAGCCCCCAGCAGGCCCCAGTGTGTGATATTCCCCTCCCTGTGTCCATGTGTTCTCATTGTTCAGCTTCCACCTATGAGTGAGAACATGTGATGTTTGGTTTTCTGTTTTTGTGTTAGTTTGCTGAGAATGATGGTTTCCAGCTTCATCCATGTCCCTGCAAAGGACGTGAACTCATCCTTTTTATGGCTGCATAATATTCCATGGTGTATGTGCCACATTTTCTTTATCTAGTCTGTCGTTGATGGGCATTTGGGTGGGTTCCAAGTCTTTGCTATTGTGAACAGTGCCGCAGTAAACATGTGTGTGCATGTGTCTTTATAGTAGAATGAATTATAATCCTTTGAGTATATACCCAGTAATGGGATTGCTGGGTCAAATGATATTTCTGGTTCTAGATCCTTCAGGAATTGCCACACTGTCTTCCACAATGGTTGAACTAATTTACACTCCCATAAACAGTGTAAAAGCATTCGGAGAACTTATTTTTAAATGCAGTTCTTAAAATGCAATGTTGTTTATTTGGAACATTCCACAGTAATTTAAGATTGTTGTTTGTATGACTTTGCCATTTTTTGTGAACATTTGCTGCTTCTGGGGCCTAAACGTTCTATGTGTAAATGTAGATGTAGCTAGAAGGTAGAGTACTCAGTTCTTCAGAAATTAAGCATCACATTTTTACGTTGAATCTTGGTTTTGCCTCTCAGATTTCTTTGATCAGCTTAGCCAGTGATTTTTCCTACCTAAGCATGCAAGAAAAAGGATCAAAGGGGATAGAATAAATAAATCCCTGTGAATTTTCAAAAGCTAGAGTTTGTAACCCCTGTAGTATTGCCATTTATCGCCAGTTTTTGTTTGACCCAGTCAGATATTTAAGGCCTCTAGCCAGATTCAATCCAGATAATTATTGGATCCTGTCCAGTTTCTTTTTTTTTGAAACGGAGTTTTGCTCTTGTTGCCAAGGCTAGAGTGCAATGGCATGATCTTGGTTCATCGCAACCTCCACCTCCCAGGTTCAAGCGATTCTCCTGCCTCACCTCCCGAGTAACTGGGATTACAGGCATATGCCACCATGCCTGGCTAATTTTATATATATATATATATATATATATTTTTTTTTTTTTTTTTTTTTTTAGTAGAGATGGGGTTTCTCCATGTTGGTCAGGCTGATCTCAAACTCCTGACCTCAGGGGATCCGCCTGCCTGGGCCTCCCAAAGTGCTGGGATTATAGGCCTGAGTGCCCAGCTGGACCCTGTCCAGTTTCTGTTGTGACTTCTGAACCAAGTTCAGATAAAAAATTTACTCAAACCTGTATAGCTCAAAACCGCAAAATCTTGGATTCTGAAGCTCCACTGAGAGAACTTACCCACAGTCTCTGGTTGTTGTGAGAGAGGAATGGACAGAATGGGCCCAGTGGGTATTTCTCTTGGTCACTGGCTGCTCTTGGGGCTTGCTAGATGCTCCACTTCATGTCCCACTCTGATGCCATCTGTTACAAAAAAAGACTTTAGACGAATTTAACAGAGTTTAATTGAGCAAGGAATGATTTGCAAATCTGGTAGCCCCCCTGAACATGAAACATGATAGGTTCAGGGTGACTCTAGGGTTCCCACATGGTCAGATAATATTTAAGGACAGAAAAAGGAAAATGCGTACAGAAAACAGAAGTGAGGTACAGAAAGTGCTGTATTGGTTACAGGTTGGTGTTTGCCTTATGTGAACAGGGATTGAATAGGTAGCCTCCTGTGATTGGCCAAGCCTTGTAATTGGTACAATAGTAGGTTATAATGTATTTACACATCTACTTAGGTTATAGTTCACTATATCCAGAAACCTTTAGGCTGAACCTAAAATAGGTGAGGAGGCAGCTTCAGGCTATGCTTAATTTAACAACATAAAGAGCTTATATTTGAGTTAAACATACTAAGCTTATATCTCAAGTATGCCACTTCCTTTGGTAAGAAGCTTAAACTTTCCAAGGCTCTGTTTTCTCATCTGCAAAATGGAGATAAGACTTGTACCTCACAGAGTTGCTGTGTGGATTAAGTGAGAAAATGTATGCTTAGTGTAGTTTGGCTCTTTACTACTCACATTAACATATTAATAGAAGAGGATAAAGTATGTACAAAATGCTCTTTCTAAGAAAGAAGACACATTTTAGTAATCAGAATGGCTTAAATATACTTTAAGCCAAGGGTCCCCAACCCCAGCGCCACGGACTGGTACTGGTTTGTGGTCTGTTAGGAACCGGGCTGCACAGCAGGAGGTGAGTGGCATTATCGCCTGAGCTCTGCCTCCCGTCAGATCAGTGGCAGCACTAGATTCTCACAGGAGCTGTTAACCCTATTGTGAACTGCGCATCTAAGGGATCTAGGTTCCACTCTTTAAGAAAATCTAATCTGAGGTAGAACAGTTTCATCCCAAAACCACTCCTCCCACTCCCCATTCCACCACTACCCCCACCCCCAAATTCCCCCACTCCTCCACCCCTGTTCTGTGAAAAAATTGTCTTCCTCAAAACTGGTCCTGCTGATTTAAGCCTTAAAAAGAGTAGGTTTTAACATTCTCATCTTGAATAACTCATGCGCTGAAAATTTGGGTTACTTGGAGTTTGTAACACTTTAATTTTCTCTTTCTTTTTTTTTTTTGTGTGTGTGAGATGGAGTTTCGCTCTTGCTGCCCAGGCCTGGAGTGCAATGGCATGATCTCGGCTCACCGCAGCCTCCACCTCCCGGGTCCAAGAGATTCTCCTGCCTCAGCCTCCCGAGTAGCTGGGATTACAGGCATGCGCCACCACGCCTGGCTAATTTTGTATTTTAGAGACGGGGTTTCTCCATGTTGATCAGGCTGGTCTCTAACTCCTGACCTCTGGTGATCTGCACGCCTCGGCCTCCCAAATTGCTGGGATTACAGGCATGAGCCACCGCACCTGGCAAATTTTTTGTTTCTTTTATGCACCGTATAGGGGAAGAAAAATATCTTTTTCTTTTACCAGTCTTGGATTCATTGGCTGGGGCCCTTTACAAGACAGATGCACAAGACAAAACCGTACAAATTTAGTTAACGTAAGTTTTATTTGACACAGGAGCCTTCATAAGGAAATGAAGACCTGAAGTAGCTGAACCTGAGTGTTTTTATTCTAGTTTTGATGAAGGGGAAGATTGTAGAAGAATTTAATAAGATAAAAAGTATGAGCTAACTGTAATAAACTGGGGGAAACTTAGCAAGGCCTGTTTGTTCACATTCTTCTTGGCGTCTGTGTCTATGTTCCTTTCCTCCCAGTGTGGGGAGGGTACCTCTCACAGAAGAGTCTTATGACTGGCATCAGGGGAAGGTCACCAAGTCTTTCCTGTACATGCTGTTTATCAAATTCATTCATCTCGAAGTATTCAGTATGCCAGGTACTGTATTTTGGGGTAGCATGTCCTAAACCCTCATCAACTGACTTTCATTTCAAAAGCTTTTAAATCCCCTGTGATAAAAGGTACAGTTTGTAATGTATGCAACCATACTTAGAAATCTAAAAACTGATAATAGGATTTGGCAGGGGGGTACCCCATATTGATTACATATGTTTATCTAGTGCTTTGATCAAAATTGTTTCCCTTTGAAAAATACAGCAGTGTTGACTTTGGTGGGGCGGTGGGCGGGGGGTTGTTCCTGCTTACATGTCTGCTGAAGCATAGTATTTTAAGGTTTTGTTTTCTTTATTTATAGATAATTTAAAAGCTGACTAGTTACCCTCTCCTTAGAGGCTTTGTAAGTGCATTCTTATCAGTAAGATACATGTTTACTATATGACTCAGCTAGATTCTATATAGATAGTGTCCTTGTATCATTACCAGTACCATATAAAAATACTATATGGATATATAGGGTTGAAAACATAATTTATTTTCTTTCCATTTTTAGATTTTTAGTTGAGACATTCTCTTGAAAACAAAAGTCAGATTAACAAAAGAAAAAGAAGTTTATTAAAGTGTGCTGTACCTATCACTTGGGAGAGGCCTCAGTTCAAAAGTGTATCTCTTTCAAGGCAGTGGCATGGGGGACTTGCTTAAATAGTATCTTAACAAAAAGCCAGAAATTCTATATAGTGACAAGACAAAAAAGATTTATCTTCAGGCTTCCAAAAGGTGGGGTAATATGGGAACACATATTTACTACTGCTGTCTCTGAGCTGATAAGCAGTGTTGCAAAAGGGGCCTAGCTTTAGGTGAGAAAGGCAGCGAGAAGGGGTGGGCAAAGTGTGCCCGTTTTGTTAAGCTTTTAACTTAAACTAAAATCCCCAGTATTTTAGAGAGGAAAATTTTGTTTTCCTCCAGATACTTAACAGTTTATAAATCTAGTGTTCTAAGAAGTATGTTAAAAAAAACACCTTATTCCTGCTTCCATGTGAATTATATTACCTATGAAGCATCATTGTACATTTATGTAAATTCACATTTGCTAAATCACACTGAGGGAAAGCTTAATATAATCATTTCATCATTATATAATCCATTCAGTATGATTGCATTTCCTCCTGATGCAATTTGATAAACTTGTGTTTGTATAGCTGCAAGATAATGTTCCACAGATAATGCAGTTTTATACATTTTATTTTCAATGCTTTTTAGTGGGTGTATGTGTATGCTATGTAGAGAAATTAGATGAAGTTTCTCTTAACTTCATTATGGGCAACAAAATTCCTTGGCTTTGTTACAGTTTACTAGGCCCCATAGTGAAAACACCTCTGAGTGTAGGCCAATTCTAGAATACAAAATTACTTGTGATCAGAGCTGTAATATGAGATTGAAATTTGTTACACAAAGAGGTTACTATCCTTTTTTTGAGGATAATTAAACAATTTGTTTCTTTAAAACAAATTAATAGTGATTGTTTCAGGATAGTATAAAGTACAATTTAATCTTTAACAGTGAGAGAGGCTTTGTAGTGGGGTCTCAGTGGTTAAGTCCAATTCTGGGACAAGTAAAAATGTTTTAGGGTCTTATTACAGAATGAAAACTATATTGTTTCTTAAGGAATTTAATGAACTAAAAAACATTTTTGCTTAACACTCTTGATTTGTAGTACATCGACCAAGTATCTTCATTTAACAGAAAGTACATACTTTTGTTAAATAATGAAGTTTTCTGGAAATCTGTTAACTAAGGGTACTTAGAGTAGGAATGTGAATATTTCAAATTTCAAATCATCCTTTTCTTATGACAAAACTCTTTTTGTGGCATTACACTGCTTTAGAATAAAGTTCATTAATGCTTGCTTAAAAAAACATAAGGGGTACTGTATGTGTCAAAAATAAAAAGTTGGAACTTCATAAAATTATAGGATTTTTTTCTTCCTTTCCCACCTCTACTGTTTTGTCATTGCTCTTTGAGATGAAAGAGTCTAAACCTGTATGTTTATTTAACTGTTGGATTTCTTGTTTCTCAATTAGGAAATGAAAGCAAAAATCTACACTTGATTTTATAATTGACCTATTTGTTTTCAAAAGTATGCACATAAATGTCAAAATTTAAGTCTAATGTAAGCTATTTACCCTAAGCATTAACATATCTGTGTAAAAATGGTTACCCATATTGCATGTTTAATTACCTTGGTGTTTAAGAGCTCTGATGAATATTAATAATTTACCAGGATTTGATCTGGAATTATTTTCACTCTGTGATATTAGAAAACTCTTAAAAACACCAACATTATGTTTTATTTCTGTCACTACATAGCAATTCCTGGGCAACATAGAGGTGACATGAAGAGTAAGAGAGAAAGGGGATTAGATGTCGACACTTGGGATTGAGCTGTTAGAAATAGTATGTTTGTCTAAAGAGAGGAAATGAAATTTTTTTTCTTTTTTCTATGCATAAGAAATGAAATTTTGTGGGGTAGGTGAGGAGATCTCTGGTTTGTGATCTTCTTTATTGACTTAATGCATTCTTTCAATATCTATAGGAAGTTATGTCAGTAACTGGTAGATAAATTCTGGCATTACATACCAAACAGGAGAGACAAGCTTCTGCCTTCATTGGAGCTTATATTCTCTTTAGGGATAGCAAAAAAAAATAAGTAAATAAGACAATTTCATTGACTAGTAAGTGCTATGCCAGAAATAACAGAGGGTAGAGTGATAAAGAATGATTGGTGGAGTGATTTTAGATTCAGTGCTCTGGTAAGGTCTCTGAAAAGGTGATAATTAAGATGATGAGAAAGCACCAAGTGGTGGCTGGTTTCTTAAAATGAGGTATTAAATTACCTAGATCAACATATTGGATAAAATATATAATATTTAAATGCTTTAAACTCTTAAGCTCTAAAAAGATAGCCATTTTTTTAATGATAGCCTGTAACTAGGTAGGGACAGTAGATAAGGATGGTTTAATGCTGTGCAGAAAAGGAAAACGAAATGGAAAGAGATTTTTAAAAGAAGTACCAAAGGCCAGGTACAGTGGCTCATGCCTGTAATCCCAGCACTTTGGGAGGCCGAGGCGGGCGGATCACTTGAGATTGGGAGTTCGAGACCAGCCTGATCAACATGGAAAAACCCCGTCTCTACTAAAAATACAAAATTAGCTGGTCATGGTGGCACATCCCGGTAATCCCAGCTACTCGGGAGGCTGAGGCAGGAGAATCGCTTGAACCCGGGAGGCAGAGGTTGTGGTGAATTGAGATCGTGCCATTGCACTCCAGCCTGGGCAACAAGAGTGAAACTCTGTCTCAAAAAAAAAAAAAAAAAAAAAGTAACAGAAGTATGGCCATAGACTGCCTTTCATAAGTATTTGTGTTGCAGGTACATGTAGCCCATCTTGGCTGGAGATGGTCCAGTCTCATACTGTCCCCCAAAGCAAATGTAAGCCTCTACAGATGAGACATATTATCCTAGACCTCAGTGAACCCCTACAATTACATTTTCCAGCAAGTAGTCAAAGATAACAAAGCATATGGAGAAACAGACAACTGAAGGAGAACCAGCAAAAAGAGACAGCAGAATTGGAATTCCATAGACTTGGGATATTAAAAATATTAGACACATATTTAAAATAACTATGCTTATGAATTATAATACATATGAAGATATCTCCAAGGAAATCACAAAAAGCAGCATAGCAGATTTGAAAAGGAACCAGACAAAACTTTTGGAAATGAAAATCCCAGTAACTGAAATTTAATAAGCCTGGTTTTGTGTTGAGTACTTTGTATCAAATGAATTCTCCTACTGAAACCTTATAAACGTTAGGCCATATATATATATACAACAGCTATTTGAAAGCCTTGGAGAGCAGCCGGTGTAGGTTCGACTTGAGGGTCTGTGATTCTTGAGAAAAGAGAAGCTCATGAAGTGATCTCCATATTTATTCTGGTCTTTTCCTTGAGGGAATTTTCTAATTCTCAGTGCCAGATGGAGATCAAGCAAAAAGAAGGAGTTTTACATGGCTAAGGAGCCCAGAGAGGCTGGTAACGGAGGCCTAATCGTGGGGGTTGGGGGTGAGAGGAGAACTGCAGAGAACTGAATATTCTGCACATAATATCTGCATATAAGTTCTCCTTCAAGTATGGTAGTTTAATCACTACCCAGGCCCAGGGCAGGATTTCTGGAAACCCATCTGATAACAGTGACTTTGAGGCTTAAGAGCTGAGCAGAAATTTCAGCAACTTTGAAATACAGATTGAGTTCGAATGCATAAGATAACTAGTAATTGGTACACTGAAGCCATTATCTAAAAAGTATATCCTTTATGATATATTCACCTGTGTAAATTGTGTTCTTAAAAGCTAAAGATGAGAGAATTTGTTTAAAGAAATACAGTAATAGGCTAAGTTCTGTGATCTTTATCTTATATGGAGGAGTAAGGCTGTGTCCCAAATGCAAATACAGCTTCAGGTATTTGAGATTAAATTAAGAAAATACAGTAGTCCCCTCCTTATCCATGGGGAATATGTTCTAAGACCCCCCAGTAGATGCCTGAAACCACAGCTAGTACTGAACTCTATGTGCAGTGTCAGTTAATCTGATAAAAGTGACTGTGTGGGTGGGGAGGGAAGGGTAGCACATACAGCATGAATGCACTGGCAAAGGAACAATAATGTCCTGAGTGGGACAGGGTGGTGTACGATTTCATCACACTACTCAAAATAGTGTGCAATTTAAAACTTTTGAATTCTTTATTTCTGGAATTTTTCACTTAATATTTTCAGACTGTGGTTGACTGTGAATAATTAAAACCATGGGTCGTGAAACTGCAGATGAAGGAGGCCTACTGTATTACACCTTTGATCATAATTGTCCACTATCTGAATGAAGCAATATATGATTCTTACTAACTTTTCACTTGCTGTACCAGATTGCTACAGAAGGTAAGACCTACTTAGAGGTCAAGGATATCCTTGTGTTGGTCCATACATAATTCTTTAAGTCATCTTTGTTTTTATCTTGCTAAGGGTTTCCAATATATCTTTGTTCTTATATATAAACAGCTTTTAAATGCTTAGGAAAATTTGATGTAAGTACTAAAATGTCCTCAGGATTGACCAGTACATTTAATGCATGACCAAATACATTCAACATCCACAGGAACATACAGCATTCAGGAGCTTGTTTTTTATAGGTCATTGAATTTTCTACAGAGCTACTGCTGAGAATTATTTTTTAAAGTAATATGCTTGTCTCAAATATGCTTGTCTAAGTCAATAAGTCCATTTCACTAGAAAGTTTCCAGGCAGTAAATAAAGCAATACACTGAGCGAATTTTTATTGTCTCGAGTGACATAATGTCTCTAGTTTTCTTACAGTTCACAGTGGTTTTACTACAGAAGCACAACAGTCATTCCTGTTCTCTTAGTGGAATTATTCATGGCTTTTAATAAGGTAGATTTTATTATGTTTCAAGATCTTGAATTTTTTTAGGCTTCTGTTTCCATACACACACGTACACATTTAATATGGCTTTCTGAAGTACCTTTAAATCAGAATTTATCTTACTTTTGCTGTGTTTAAAGCATTTTCTATTGAACTTTTCAATGAAATTCAATAAATGTAATATTTTTCAACTTTCCCAAAAATTTAATATTAAGGCTGATTTATAGAAATTCATCTAAAACTTTGCTACTCAAACTGTGGTTCATGGACTAGCACTCTTTGGCCATCACATGGGAGCTTATTAGAAATGCAGAATCCTCCTCCTCCCCCATGCTGTCACTTACTGACTCATAATCTGCATTTTAATAAGCTCAGGTGATTCATATACACATTTAAGTTTGAGAAGTGTAGATCTACAGATCTAAAAGCTTATTTACTAGTGCTTATACTTCATCTAGTTAACCCTCAAAGGGAAAGAGCCCTGTGTTTTAGAAAATGTATACCACAGCATGAAAGATCAAGGTATTTTAAAAGGTTTCTAGGAATATCTTAGAGGCTGATATAATCTGTTCTTTTTGGAAACAATAATTTTTATTTTCTTTTTCTTTTTTTTTTGAGATGGAGTTTCACTGTTGTTGCCCAGGCCAGAGTGCAATGGTGCGATCTCGGCTCACCGCGGTCTCTGCCTTCTGGGTTCAAGCGATTCTCCTGCCTCAGCCTCCCAAGTAGCTGGGATTACAGGCATGCACCGCCATGCCCAGCTAATTTTGTATTTTCAGTAGAGGCAGGGTTTCTCCATGTTGGTCAGGCTGGTCTCGAACTCCCGACTTCAGATGATCCACCCACCTCAGCCTCCCAAAGTGCTGGGATTACAGGCGTGAGCCACCACACCTGGCCTTTTATTTTCTTCTTAGTGGTTTTACCATGTCATTTGTTATATCCCTTTCTTTTTGTTTATCTATTAATAATCTAGGTACACATCTTCAGTTTCAGCTCTTTTCTGTAGACTTTTAAAACCAATGTCTGTTCTCTCTCCCATTTGACTCAATTTATATTTCTGACATTTTCCATATCCAAAAAGAATATATCGTCATTCTTTTCAAATTATGCTTTCCCCCCCAACTTACTTTTGTTAATCATACATCTGTTTTAGGCCTAGTAAAGTCAAATATTCTGCAAGAGTCTTTTCACAGCTTTTCTAATACACAGTGATTTTTCCTTTCTTTGTTCCTGTAACCCTAGAGTAGGTATGGAATTCACGTCATTAACCCAACTTTCTATTTCCACGTTATTTGTACTTCTGATAATAAAGTTTCTGACAATAAAATATGTTCTTGGAATGCCTCTTTGTAAATGGCAGTAATATTCCAAATGATTAGTTATGCCAAAAAAAGGGAGAAAATAGTTATGCCAGCAAGTACACCTTGCCTGTTGGTTGAATGTAAACATTAATTTTTTTGTTTCTGTGTTTTCAGTTAACAGGGTTGGTTATGTAGTAACCAACTCCTAGCAAATCTTGACTCATTAAAAAAAAAAAAACTAAATGAAAATCCCAAAAGTAGTACAGTTCTTATAAAGCAAATAATGAGTAGTCTTACCTTTAAGTACATAAGAAGTGGACTTAAAATTGATGCTTGAGACCTTATCAAATGTACAGGTAATCATTTCTTAAAGCTGTATTGGATTATACAAATGTAAACTAATGGAATACTAACTTAAAAAACACAATTTTAAGACTAAGGAACATTGAAGATTATCATCCCCTTATTTTAATGTAATGGAAACTGACACAGCAATTAAATGCCTGTTTCTAGTATTTCTTACCAAAAAGTATGTAGAACATATCTCTCAGCTTTTGAGTTTTAGTCTAAAGTCCAGAAGCTCCAAGATGATAAATTTCCAAATTATGCCCACTTCAAATAGGGAATAAAACTTGGACTAAGTGGCGTCTGGCATCAGACTGCATGTGAATAGTTTTAACGCAAAAGACTTCCTGTTCCAAAAAAATGATCCAAAGAGTAGAATGTAGTTGGTAGTTTGCCCTAATCAATTGTTGGGGACATCTAGAGTTGTGCATTTGAAAGCTTGTAAGACTTTGCCCAGTTTCACTCTATGCATGTTTTCTACTATTGTTTTCTTTATAGGGCATGACAGTCATTTACCTTTTATAGCTTTTGTATGCTTCAGCTATGTAGCACAGTGGGAACATACACAATTTTGCACTTGGGAAAGTACTACCCTGTTTTCTGGGTTATAACTACTGAAACAATTTTACCAGTTCTACCCTCAGTTTCTGTTGAGGAGTAGCCAAACATGCCTACTGTTCTAGAGATATTTAAGATACCAGTCCCTCAGAATCAAAATTAATGCCTGCAGTATATTGGTTTCCAGGGTTTGTTGCTTTGTAGTGGTCAGGTATCCAGAAGCTTCATCTTAAGTATAATGGAAGAAAGCTTTTGTTTTTATACAAGTGGATATAACCCTGATAATGTTGTATATCACTTTGAGAAATAGGAAAAATAGCTGAAAAATGAGAGCAAAAATATTTTAAAATCTTTATTTTTCCAAAATGCCAAAATGTTGTGTGGAGATAATCAGGAGAAGAGAGGTGCTGTATGTGAATACCTTTGGATTTACTGTACACAGGCTACTCCTCATAATCCATTGCTTATCTTTTTGAACCAAGTTCCTATCTCCCCAAAATACCATGTAATCTTCGGGTTAAATTTTGTTAATATTATAAGTTTCAAATCTTTATTTACTTTTGGGGGATAAAAAAGTCTGTTGTAGTGGTTGTTTTCCAAATTTTCCTTGCCCTGTCATTTTTTATGTGGGCTATCTGCGAAGGAGAAAATTTGTAATCTAAATTTAATAAAACTTCAAATATTTAAATGGTTTCTAAAAGTCCAAGACAGTTTTCCTCTGAAAATTAAAAGAGCCTTCTAGAACTTTAGAGCTCAGAATTAAAGAACTTTAAAAATAAAGTATTACTTTTAAAAAGACTGTTTATGAAAAGTTGTTATTGTGGTATTACTATTGTAGTTTTTTTTGAGACGAAGTTTCACTCTTTTTGCCGAGTCGGGAGTGCAATGGCACGATCTTGGCTCACCACAATCTCCGCCTCTCGGGTTCAAGTGATTCTCCTCCCTCAGCCTCCCGAGTAGCTGGGATTACAGGCATGTGCCACCACACCTGGCTAATTTTGTATATTTAGTAGAGACCAGGTTTCTCCATGTTGATCAGGCTGGTCTCAAACTCCTGAACTCATGTGATCCGTCCACATCGGCCTCCCAAAGTGCTGGGATTACAGGTGTGAGCCACCCCCATGCCAGGAGTATTTTTTTTTTTTTGAGATGGAATCTTGCTGTGTTGCCCAGGCTGTAGTGCAGTGGCGCGATCTCGGCTCACTGCAAGATCCGCCTCCAGGGTTCACGCCATTCTCCTACCTCAGCCACCCGAGTAGCTGGGACTGCAGGTGCCCGCCACCAAGCCTGGCTAATGTTTTGTATGTTTAGTAGAGATGGGGTTTCACCGTGTTAGCCAGGATGGTCTCAATCTCCTGACCTCGTGATCCACCCGCTTCAGCCTCCCAAAGTGCTGGGATTACAGGCGTGAGCCACCGTGCCCGGCCGGACTATTGTATTTTTAAAATAACAACTGCCTCTAAATTTTTTGGTAGGTGAGATAACTTTGTATGTAGCTACTATTTAGACTGTTAAATGTTAAACCTAGCCAGGCGCCATGGCTCACGCTTGTAGTCCCATCACTTTGGGAGGCCAAGGCTTGCAGATTGCTTGAGTCCAGGAGTTCCAGACCAGCCTGGGCAATATGGTGACACCCTGTCTTTACAAAAATTACAAAAAAATTAGCAGGGCATGGTGGTGTATGCCTGTAGTCCCTGTTACTTGGGAGGCTGAGGTGGGAGGATCACCCAAGCCTGGGAGGTTGAGGCTGCAGTGAGCTGTGCTGTGATTGCACCACTGTACTCAAGCCTAGGTGACAAGAGTGAGACCCTGGAGACTTTGTCTCAAAAAAAAAAAAAAGAAAAAGAAAAAAAAGAGTTAAACCTCTGTGTCTCATTCACTATGTAGTTTGTTTTTTTTACACAAAAGTCTATTTTTTTCATTGCCCTTTTGACCAAAAAGTTAAAAATTTTCCCCCCCGCTGACTACCTTGTATAGGTCCCCTTTTTGGTCACCTACAACCCTGAAAATCCTTGACTCCTGATCGGACGTTTTGGGAGTCATCTAAAGCCATTTGGGAATCATTGATTAGTCTAGAATGTAGATATGGAACAATGGCTCTTGCAACTTTTTAGCAGTGGAACTATTTAATTAAAATCTGTCATAGAAACTTAGGATGTATAAATGTACAACACATAAGTGAACTACTCTTCTCTCGAAGCAATAGGTGCAGAGGTTGGATTTGGGCCCTATCTACTTGTATAAGCAAGGGGTGCGTGTGGCCCACGCCCTGATGGCTCCACAGATCCCAGTCCAGACTAGAAGATGGCGTCTGTAATAAGTGATGAATCAGGTGAAGAAGGATCTTTGAACAGGGAAAGCAAAGTATTGGTGCCTCATAAGTTTTGAAGAAACCCTTGACTGGCTGTGATTAAAGTAGAACATAAGATTAAGTCAAAAGCTCTTTAAGATGCATTTTATCTGTTTTGTGTTAGGTATGAAATTAGTTTAGGCTAAGATTCAGGAGAAAAAAATAGAATAATGTTTACACATTGTTAAACATTAGTATTCATACTAAATGGGATTTTATGTGCAGTTAACTAAAGCTAAAAAATAATTTTTGAATGTATACAGTATTCATGAACAAAAACCAGTTAGTTTTTGTTTTTATGAATAGCATTGTAAAGTTCAGTGCTTACGTTACCATTAACCTATTTAATCAGATGCACTTAGAGTTGCATATTCTGGGTTTGTGTTAGAACAAAAAGCGTCAATTTTTGTAATTTCTTTTATGCTTCTCTCTTGAATTTTGTTTGATGCTCTTTATAGACCCTGTCAAATACAGTCAGCTCCCTGTACCCATTGGTTCCGTACCTGGATTCAACTAATCACAATAAAAAATATTCAGAGAAAGGATGGTTGCTTCTGTACTGAAGATGTACAGACTTTTTTTTTTCTTGTCATTATTCCCTGAACAATACAGTATAACAACCATTTACATAAAATTTTCATTGTATTAGGTGTAATAAGCAACCTAGAGATGATATAAGTATACAGGAGGATGTGTGTAGGTTATATGCAGATATTATACAATTTAATATAAGGGACTTGAGCATCTCCTCTGAAGTTTGGTATTTGCCAGAGTTCCTAAAACCAATCTTCTGTGGATACTGAGGGACAGACAACTCTATGTAATTGTTTGTTTTTTAGTCCTCAGCTAACTTGTTACATTTTTTAACAATAGGATTCTCAATATGTGGCTAAGGAAAATGTTTATGCCACCAAACAGCTTCTGAATCTTTTTTGTTGTTCATTTATTGATTCAAAAAATATTTACTGAATACTGGCCGGGCGTGGTGGCTGACACCTGTAATCCCACCACTTTGGGAGGCTGAGATGGGCGGATCACCTGAGGTCAGAAGTTCGAGACCAGCCTGGCCAACGTGGTGAAACCCCATCTCTACTACAAGTAGAAAAATTAGGTGGGCATGGTGGCAGGCACCTGTAATCCCAGCTACTTGGGAGGCTGAGGCAGTAGAAGTGTTTGAACCTGGGAGGTGGAGGTTGCAGCGAGCCGAGATCACGCCACTGTGCTCCAGCCTGGGCGATGGAGGGAGACTCTGTCTCAAAACAAATGAACAAATATATATATAAGCCTGCGTATCTCAATCACTATGTAGTTTGGTTTTTTTACACAAAAGTCTATTTTTTTCCTTACCCTTTTGACATATATATTTATATATAACATTGTTAAGGGGCTGTTAGAGGAATGCATCATACAGCAAGTACTGTTTATAAGCAGAGAAATATTTACTCTGTATTAGAGTCACTGTCATCTGAAGAATGACAAAGTAAAATTTTTTGTGCCAGTTTGAGTGTATTCCCTGAACTAATTCCATCCATAGTTTGATACGAGAATATAAAAGACAAAATATCCTTTCTAGAAATATTCACAGTGCACTCATGGTGAACACTAACACTAAAGGTGCTATAGAGCTTCAAGTTTTTTGAAGAATATTAAGAGTGACAAGGAGGCTTAGGAGTCATATAGTGCATATTCTCAACCAATATAGAAATCCAGGCCATATCGTTTTTGATATCAGTCCCCTGCTTAAAATTTCTACAAATGGTAACATTAGTAAAGGACAATCTATTTCATTTTTAATTAGGTCATCCTTGGAAATAATAGTTTGAATAATTAATTGAACAAAAAGTGCCTGTTATTTTCCATTCCATGGTCCCAGTTTTGACCTCTGCAGTTAAAAGTTTAAGCCTAATCAGCTTTCCACAGGATGGCAGTTGCATGTTTAAAGATAGTTATCATGTCCCTCTGGTAAGATTTTTTTTTCTTTGTATCAATATCTTTTAAAGTTGATATCTTTTGCTATGAATCTCAAATTGAGAAGGGTTGCTTATCATAGTGTGAATACCCTTTTGCCCACGCAGAGGCAGAATCCTCTTCTGTACATGTTGGTTTTGTTATTTTTCTTGAGCTTTCAATATTTTGTCTTGTTAGCTCAAGGTTGGTGTACCTTATCCTCCAATTTTCCTAAATTTTCAAATAAATCAATCCTGGTACCTTTTTAAGCAAATAAAATATTTAATCTATTTTTGTTATTTTAACTAATTGACTCTTAAATCATTATATTAAATTATAAAGTAAATAAAGGTATAGCCAGTGAAAAAATTAACTACAATAAAAGACAAAATTGAGTGACATTAAACATTTAGTGTATAAATAAACATCAGTGATTTACATTGTTGGCAAAATAATAACACTGTAAACATCTCTGTAGCAATTGTGGATTCAATAATTAATGATTAAATGAATGTATACATTTTGAATGCTCTTCCTTTATATATCATCACTTGTTGGATACCTAAGTATTCAGTTGGCCTTCGTGGCATGTTTAAGAGATTCTCTTTTACTAGGTGAACTGAGATGCTCCTAAATTATAATTACATAGTGAAAGACCTCACATGCCAATCCTTGTTCTCCTCAGTCATATTACCAAAATTTGGTGTACTTTGAAGGATTCGCCTATGATAAAATAACTTTTTAGAATTTTTTTAAGAATCAGTGTGATGGAAGAAAACAGTGGATTTCTGTTAGTATTTTGTGAGAAATGGAAGATTACGTTACTGTTGTCTCTACTTCTTCCATGTAAAGAAAATATCCTCATTACATTTTTGAGTGAAAAGAAAGATTTATTTCTAGAGCCATATTTTTGTATAAAATTAGGGTTTTCATAACTTTCTAAATATTAGGTAGAATAAGAGAAATTCTTGTCTAATCTGTTATGAAAACAAAACTTTAATTAAAAAATTTTTGTGAAAATCTTGAAATACACTGGTAAGTTTTGTATAGGCTGTTTAGCATTCCAGTGCAATTTGGGGAAATGCTTACTGTTTTCCTTGTAATGTTTTCCATTACCTTAAAATGCAGTAGTATTGCCCAAGGATAGTAGTGAATTAATGAAACAATTTAGCATTGACATGACCCACTCAGCTTATTTTTTGTTGCCAAAAGGTTCAAAAGAAGACATTTAGTAATGCTGTGAGCCATGGGAGTTGCTGTGCTAGTTTATTATTACAGCACAACCCAGACATGCAAGATATCCTTAAATAAAGGGCATTGAGGTAGATAATGCACACAGAGCACTTACTAGTCAACAGGACTTGGTTTGCATATATAGGCAATGCCTGTCTACTGATTGATGAAGCCTATTATCATGAGATTGTATTTTTATTAAAGGCAACACTTAGTAATTCTGTGCACAGATGATTAATAGCCAAATGGTTATAGATTTTAGTTAATTAGAATGGTTAAGATGAAAATTCTGAATGAAATAAATTGAATCATTTCTTTATATTGATCCATTATACATGAAATTATTAAAGCTTAAGATTGCCATGTAAAGGTAAATCATGCTATGAGTATTCTAACTAAAGTTTGAATCATTTTAGTCATTTCTTCTCATAATATAAACATGCTATGATTAATCTAAAATTTATTTCTAAATATTTGCTAACATAAGATAATAGCTTAATCCCTTTATTAGCAATAATTTTTGTTCACTAGCAGCTGCTGAGTTAGAGCGATAAGGACAAGTCACTGTTAACTTTCTGTTGTAGAATTCTTCTAGTCCTTTCATTATACGGCTGCTAGTACTTTTTTTCTCTACAGAATGGAGTGAGTGAAATAGCAGTCTTATAAAAGAGAAGATATTTTAGACTAAGTGAGTAATGCTGTCCATTGCAGTAGGAAGAAGGGTCAATTTTTTTTCTTACAATAGCATAAAGATTTTTTGGTCAACAAGTTCTGTATAGATTATACCTAAATAACCTCTTAATTTCTTTTCTTAAGCCCTGCAGTCATACCAGAAGCAAATGAAAATCATTTAGAAACTCAGATTTATCAGTTTATGATACTACTTGTTCTAGTTTTTTTTAAAAAGTTTATATTCAAGAATATAGTTCATACACGTACTTTCACACACACATATTCATATAACATCCTAAGAGATCCATGTATATGTGTACATGCATTTTCTATTTATCTTTATATTTTGTGATGCTTGGCTTCCTAACATATGATTAAAAATATCTACCAAATATTTAATTTGTAGCTCCTGCCACCATTTCTACAATGGTGGGAATACCTAGAGGCATGGCCCCTAAGTTATTATAGAGGATGCATAGAAGGACATACACTCAAGCACTGTGAGAGCATTATATTGGTAATTATACACTCCCAGCATAGCAAGGCTGGTTAAAATGTGATAGGAGAAACCACCTCCTGTTTCACTTCATACCTGTTACTTTCTACTCATTTTTTTTCCTCTCAAAATACTTTGCACTCCTCTGACATTTCTCCAGTAATTCACATCTTTACGGTATTTTTTTCATTCTAAGGCTACTTCATGACACTTGACTTTACAGTATTTGCAGTGTGACATAGTTTATCATTTATGCACAATGCTAATGCAGAATACCATTTCAATGCTTGTGTCCTTGTCTGTCTTTCATTAAAAATAATAGCATCAAATTCTCCTTGAAGTGCTGTGTTTATTATTTTCTGTATATTCCTGTGCATCTATTTTTAAATCTGTCAACAGTCTCAACTGTGTAATCTTAGTTTTCAGTAAAATAAAATGGTAAAAATCTATCTTCTTATTTGCAAATTAAAGTAAAAGTTATTTTTTTAAAAAATTTTATTTGTAATTTTTGTGGGTATATAGTGGGTATAAAATAATTTTAAATTGTAGCATATAACTAAGAAAGGTACTCAGATTTCGGAATTGTGAGGAAAGAAATAATATTTTAATAGAAAATTACTTACATTGGGCATCTTGGACACTGCTTTTGGTCTAGTCTTCCTGACAAATAATTTAAGTAGAATGTTTCCTGTATTAAATCTCAAGAGAAGCAAAGTCAATTTACCTGAAATTATATTGAGATATAATCAATATGTAGAGTGACTTAAAAATAAGAAAAGTCCAGTAGGTTATACAGAAATTAGTCTCATTACTTTTCACAACTCGTTCTTAGGGCAAAATAATGTATAACATATACCATCAGTTAATGACTCATATTTAGAGTTTGATAATTAAATTATATCTAACACTGAAGCAGAAATGAAGACTGATTGCTTGTGTCATGTATTGACAAAACATTTATACACTGTAATATTTTGAAACATAATTACTGAGCAACAATGACATGAATGTTTTACTTAATTGCATTTGCTTCAGTATCAGTTATCCAGAAACTCCAAGGCAGTTCTTAAGCGAACTTTCTAAATTCAGTAGCAAGTAACCTTTTAGTCCAGCTCATAAATTAATGTTTTGACAGCCATTTAAAATGGCAAGTAGGTAAATTTATTAGGAAACAATGCAGGATAAAATTGAAAAGACTTGGAGTGGGTACAACTGTTTGTGTTTGACTGGCTCAAGAAGGTTTCACAAGCCCCATTACAGTAAAAATTCCTCATAAGCAGTATTTTAAAATATTAAAATCTACTTGCTAATTCTCTAGCTACCAAGCTACGAAATTCAGAAGGAGTTGTGTTGTGTTGTTTTGTTTTATTTATTTATTCGAGACAGGGTCTCAGTCTGTCACCCAGGCTAGAGTGCAGTGGTGCAATCATGGCTCACTGCAGCCTCGACCTCCTGGACTCAAGTGATCCGCCTGCCTCAGCCTCCCAAGTAGCTGGGACCACAGGTGCATGCCACCACACCCTGCTGATTTTTGTAGTTTCTCTAGAGATGAGATTTTACCATGTTGTCCAAGCTGGTCTCAAACTCCTGAGCTCAAGCGATCGCCCACCTCGGCCTCCCAGATTGTAGGCATGAGCCACCCCATACTGGCCCAGAAGGAGTTTGAAATTAGAAAATTACTGTGGACAATATTGCGAATTCCTAGCTTGTCACTATTACCTCTGTTATGTACAATGTGTATTATGTGTTTACCTTTCTCCATCCCTTTAAACTGTGTATAAAACAGTAAGTGTGATAATTAACCTTCTTTCCAGTAATCTTTGGAAAGAAGTAGGAAAGGTGAACAGGCTCAAATTAAATGCAATCTCAGACATTGAAGAGATTTCCAAGAAAATGGGAGCAACTGGTCTTGTTATTTATGGTAGTTCCCTGACATACAACTAGCCAGTTAGCCAGTACTAACAAACACAGAAATGGACTTCATGTTGAGTAGTTGCCATAGGTATATACCATTTGACTGTTTTTAACATCTGTATTGCTTACGATATTGGACATCTCTCTCACTCCCCACATATCATGGTTTATTAGTCAGCTTTTGGTAAACCGTGATAGCAAACAACTCCAAAATTTTAGTGGCTTATTTGTTCTCGTTTACTGTGTGAATCTGCTGTGTTCTGCTCTGTACCCGCTTATTCTGATAACCTAGGCTAAAGGAGAGAGGAAGGTGTGATAGCAGGACCTGTGTCATGGCTCTTAAAACTTCTGCTTGAGGCCAGGTGCGGTGGCTTATGCCTGTAATCTCAGCACTTTGGGAGGCCGAGGCGGGTGGATCACGAGGTCAGGAGATCGAGACCATCCTGGCTAACACGGTGAAACCCCGTCTCTACTAAAAATACAAAAAAATTAGCTGGGCCTGGTGGCGGGCACCTGTAGTCCCAGCTACTCGGGAGGCTGAGGCAGGAGAATGGCGTGAACCAGGGAGGCAGAGCTTGCAGTGAGCCAAGATCACGCCACTGCACTCCAGCCTGGGCGACAAAGGGAGACTCTGTCTCAAAAACAAAACAAAACAAAACAAAAAAAAAAACAAAAACAAACTTCTGCTAGAAACTGGCACATAGCACTTTCACATTTCATTAGTAAAGCAGGTCAAATGAAAGCAAGAAATGTAAGCCTTCTATAGGAACAGGCTCAGTAAGGGAAAGGCAGCTCATATTAGGACTGTAATACTGTTTGTCACATAGGAGTTAATATTTATATCTCCCAACTGCACCAACCACTGCTCCATCCCTACTGTTTATGGCAGAGAAGCACAATTTTTTTTTTTTTAGCTTTTACATGATTCTTGATTTTCTTCTTAATTACTATTTACATATTATAGAATGTAATTAGGAAATAACAGTAAAATCAGTGACACTGGTGAATGTAGAGAGATTAGTTTACAAAACGTATTATGTCATTTATATCCATACTGGTAACTTCTTACTGCAAAAATAAATTGGCAATAATGTAGGAAAAAAATATTATTCCCTCCTTGTTTTTTTTGTATAGAGTACCATTCTGGTAAAGGAGCCAGTAGAGAAATTTGGAGTAACAAATTAAACATTTTTATTTTTCATGTTAGATATTTTCATATGTAGACTAATACTAGATGTTCTGCTCTTATATTCATTTGGCTATAAATTTGAAATATTTTGAAGTACCAAAGGTTTTAAAGTAATATTTCTTATTTATTTAAAACACAATAAAAGCATATAAAGACACAAATAGATTTTACTGTTTTGTTTTGTTTTGTTTTGTTTTGTTTTGTTTTGTTTTGTTTTGTTTTGAGACAGAGTCTCTGTTGTTCAGGCTGGAGTGCAGTGGCATGATCTCGGCTCACTGCAGCTTCCACTTCCCGGGTTCAAGCGATTCTCCTGCCTCAGCCTCCTGAGTAGCTGGGACTACAGGTGTGTGCTGCCATGCCCAGCTAACTTTTGTATTTTTAGTAGAGATGGGGTTTCACCATGTTGGCCAGGCTGGTCTTGAACTACTGGCCTCAGGTGATCGGCCTACCTCAGCCTCCCAAAGTGCTGGGATTATAGGCATGAGCCACTGTGCCTGGCCTCTTCACATTTCTTATAGAAAAATATTCCTATGAATGAGTAGCAAATAATTCTGAACATAAAAATTGAGATTCTGAATTTCCTTCCTGTCAAATCAAAAAGCCGTCAGTTCCATTATGTTTTTGTTCAGTTATAATTCCTTTTACTTTTTACCAAAATTTTTTCCTCTGGCATTCTTTTTATTATTATTTTTTAAATTTTGCCCAGGGTGGAGTGCAGTGGCATGATCATAGCTCACTGCAGCCTTGAACTCTTGGGCTCAAGCAATTCTGCCTCTGCCTCCCAACAGCTGGGACCACAGGTGCACACCACCACACCCAGCTAATTTTTTAATTTTTTTGTAGTGACAGGGTCTCACTATGTTTTCCAAGGTGGTCTGGAACTCCTGGGCTCAAGTGATCTTGAGCCTCAGCCTCCCAAAGTGCTGAGATTACAGGCATGAGCCACTGTGCCCAGCTGTTCCCCAGTATTCTTAATGCCACTTGAATGATTGATTTTATAAATGGGTTCACTTTTCTTTTCATTCTTTAATTAACTCATCAATAATAGAATTAGGGCATTGTATATTGTTATTTTATAGGACAGCCATCTGTCTTACCTAACAAAATCAGCATAATTTAAATCTTAATTTCATATTGAGCACCTCTATTAGGGTAGGCAAGAATTTTTCTTATTTGGTAGCACTACAGTCCAAAGCCAAAAGTACTTTGTCAAAGTGACAGATTTAGGTCTAAGATATGTACCTTGAGGAATTGATATTGTAACTTTCTTCTTTATGCATGATTTTGGAGATGGAAGTAGCATAGCTAGGACATACGGTTTTATTTATATTGTTTAGTGGCTAAGGAAGGTTAACATGAAATCTTGTTCAATTTATTTTTTGTATTTGCATAGTAACGTAATTATCAATTCTCCTTCAGTATGCATGCAATGCATTGATTCATAATTAATTGATTCCCCTTTCCACAATATCATCTTCCAGTGCTTTCAGAGGATAGAAATGTCCACTAATGCTTAAGGTGTTCTACTTTTTTTTCCTTCATTTTACGGTTACTTCCCCATCAGCATTTCACCTTTTTCTAGCACTTTTATCCAAATCATAGATTTTCTATCACTGTCAATATTTGTATTAGTCTGTTCTCACACTGCTAATAAAGACATACCCGAGACTGGTAATTTATAAAGGAAAGAGGTTTAATGAACCCACAGTTACACGTAGCTGGGGAGGCCTGACAATTATGGGGGAAGGTGAAGGGGAAGCAAGACACGTCTTACATGGTAGCAAGCAAGAGAGCTTGTGCAGGGGACAAGCTCTCATGAGACTTATTCACTATCATGAATAAAACAATCAGATCTCGTGAGACTTATACACTATCATGAGAACAGCAGAGGAAAGATCCACCCCCATGATTCAGTTGCCTCCCACTGTGTCCCTTTCACAACACATGGGAATTATGGGAGCTACAATTCAAGATGAGATTTGGGTGAGGACACAGCCAAACCATATCATTCTGCCCCTGGCCCCTCCCAAATCTCATGTCCTCACATTCCAAAATGAATCATGCCTTCCCAAAGTCTTAACTCATTCAGCATTAACTCAGAAGTCTACAGTTCAATGTCTCATCTGGGACAAGGCAAGTCCCCTCTGCCTATGAGCCTGAAAAATCAAAAGCAAGTTAGTTACTTCCTAGATACAGTGGCAGTATAGGCATTGGGCAAATACAGCCATTCCAAATGGGAGAAATAGGCCAAAACAAAGGGGCTACAGGCCCCATGCAAGTCCGAAATCCAGTGGGGCAGTCAAATCTTAAAGCTCCAAAATGATCTTTTTTGACTCCCTATCTTACATCCAGGTCACGCTGATGCAGGAGGTGGGCTTCCCCATGGTCTTGGACAGCTCTGCCTCTGTGGCTTCGCAGGGTACAGCCTCCCTTGTGACTGTGTTCATGGGCTAGCTTTGAGCATCTGCAGCTTTTCCAGGTGCACAATGCAAGCTGTCTACCATTCTAGGGTCTGGAGTACAGTGCCCCTCTTCTCACAGCTCCAGTAGGTAGTTCCCCAGTGGGGACTCTGTATAGGGGCTCCCACAGAGCATTTCCCTTCCACAGTGCCCTAGCAGAGGTTCTCTATGAGGGCCCCACGACTGTAGCACACCTCTGCCTGGAGATATCCAGGCATTTCCATACAACCTCTGAAATCTAGGTGGAGGTTCCCAAACCTCAGTTTCTGACTTCTGTGCACCCACAGGCCCAACATCACTTGTAAGCCACCAAGGCTTGGTGCTTGCACCCTTTGAAGCCACTGCATGAGCTGTACCTTGGCCCCTTTTAGCCATGGCTAGGAAGCAGGGCACCAAGTCCTGAGACTACATAAAACAGCAAGGCTCTGGGCCTGGCCCAGGAAACCATTTTTTCCTCCTAGGCCTCTGGGCCTGTGATGGGAGGGGCTGCCATGAAGACATGTCATGCCCTGGAGACATTTTCCTCATTGTCTTGGTGATTAACATTTGGCTCCTTGTTACTTATGCAAATTTCTACAGCTGGCTTGAATTTCTCCTCAGGAAATGGGTTTTTCTTTTCTATTGCATTGTCAGGCTGCTGATTTTCTGAACTTTTATGCTCTGCTGCTTTTTTAAACTTAAGTTCTGATTCCAAACCATATTTTTGTAAGTACATAAAGCTGAATGCATTTAACAGCACCCAAGTCACCTCTTGAACACTTTGCTGCTTGGAAATTTCTTCCACCAGATACCCTAAGTTATTTCTCTCAAGTTCAAAGTTCCACAGGTCTCCAGGGCAGGGGCACAATGCCACCAGTTTCTTTGCTAAAACATAGTAAGAGTCACCTTTATTTTAGTTCCCAGAAGTTTCTCATCTCTATCTGAGATGAGCAGCATTTGAACAAAGCCATTCAACAAGTCTCCAGGAAGTTCCAAACTTTCCCACATCTTTCTGTCTTCTGAGCCCTCCAAACTGTTCCAACCTCTGCCTATTACCCACTTTCAAAGTAGCTTCCACATTTGTGGGTATCTTTACAACAGCACCCCACTACCTCAGTAACAATTTACTGTATTAGTCTGTTCTCATGCTGCTAATAAAGACATACCCGAGACTGGTCATTTATAAAGGAAAGAGGTTTAATGGACCCACAGTTCCACATGGCTGGGGAGGCCTCACAATCATGGTGGAAGGTGAAGGTGAAGCAAGACATGTATTACTTGGCGGCAAACAAGACAGCTAGTGCAGGGGAACTCCCCTTTATAAAACCATTAGATCTTGTGGGACTTATTTAATAGTACAAGAACAGCATGGGAAAGACCTGCCCCCATGATTCAGTTACCTCCCACTGGTTCCCTCCCATGACACATGGGAATTATGGGAGCTGCAATTTGAGATGTGATTGGCACACAGCCAAACCATATCAGTATTCATTTTGCAAAATGAAATTTTAGAACAGCTATATAGTGTAAAAGTTGTCAAAGTCAAAATGGAATCACTAATGTTAAACAAACAAACAAAAAACCCTGACAAATAGAGCTGGAGGAGGCTGTGAAGAGAGGGTTCTCATGCTTGCACGCTTGATAAAAACTATCATAAAAGACTCCACAAAAACCACAACCATGTACAAAGGCCATCACAACTTTACTCAATAAATACTTCTACCCAACACATCTGCCCAGCAACTGGCTGTCCAACCTTTGACTCGTGTCACTCTTGTTATTGATCTTTATAGCCAAGGATAATCATTTTAAAACATTTATCTTATCCTCCTCACTTTTCCTTTAAAAACTATTGTCTTCCTAACTTCTATAAATACACACATTGTTTACTATGACACAGGTATTCTCATGAAAATGCTCTTTCCAAATAAATATCTTTCTTTTAGAGAACCTTTCTCAGTTTGTTATTAAGGTTGACAGTAACATGCCTTTACTTAGCAGTAACTTTGTGGGGTTTTTTAGTTTTTTGTTTGTTTGTTTGTTTGAGACAGAGTGTCGCTCTGTCACCAAGCTGGAGTGCAGTGGCGTGATCTCAGCTCACTGCAACCTCCGACTTCTGAGTTCAAGTGATTCTCCTGCTTCAGCCTCCCGAGTAGCTGGGACTACAGACACGCCCCACTAAGCTCAGCTATTGTTTATATTTTTAATAGAGACGGGTTTCACCATGTCAGCCAGGATGGTCTCGATCTCTTGACCTCATGATCTGCTCGCCTTGGCCTCCCAAAGTGCTGGGATTACAGGCGTGAACCAACGTGCCTGGCCCTGTTTTTTTTTTTTTTTTTGAGACAGAGTCTCGTTCCGTGGCCCAGGCTGGAATGCGGTGGCGCAATCTCGGCTCACTGCAAGCTCTGCTTCCCAGGTTCACACCATTATCCTGCCTCAGCCTCCTAGTAGCTGGGACTACAGGTGCCCCACCACGCCCAGCTAATTTTTCGTATTTTTAGTGGAGACAGGGTTTCACCGTGTTAGCCAAGATCGTCTTGATTTCCTGACCTCGTGATCTGCCCGCCTCAGCCTCCCAAAGTGCTGGGATTACAGGCATGAGCCACTGTGCCCAGCAAGCCCTGTTATTTTTTATGTTGAGTGTTTCCTTGAAGGGCATGTGGAAGAAAATGCCATAAGGTGGCCCATCTTACTTTACATTTCTGGTTTAGAGTGATATTATTTTGAATTTCTACCATAGAATTGAAAATTATAGCCAATGAAAAGCAATGTAGCTCTTTTTCTTTCTTTTTTTTTATTTTTATTTTTTGAGATGGAGTCTATCTCTGTCACCAGGCTAGAGTACAGTGGTGCCATCTAGGCTCACTGCAACCTCCAACTCCTGGGTTTAATCGATTCTCCTGCCTCAGCCTCCTGGGTAGCTGGGATTACAGGCATGCACCACCACGCCCTGATAATTTTTATATTTTTAGTAGAGACGGGGTTTCACCATGTTGGCCAGGATGATCCCGATCTCCTGACCTCATGATCCGCCAACCTCGGCCTCCCAAAGTGCTGGGATTACAGGTGTGAGCCGCTGTGCCCGGCCTTAGCTCTTTTTCTTAATGAGAATGAAGGGGTTTTCGTGTTGTTGTGTGTTTGCTTGTTTGGTTTTGGTTATTATATCTTTATTTAACTCAGAATTTAAAGTCAAAGGTGCTAATCCACCCTGGATAGACCCAGTTAAAAGCAGAGTGACTTATCTTCCATGAATCTTGGTTTATCATCAGGATATTTAACCTTGAGCTCATTACCTCTTCACCTCCCATTAGAAACCTGGATGGGAGACATCAGTTTTGGAGAAGATAGTCTAATGCAGTTTTTTTCCAGGTTAATCAATCAGTCAGTGAATTAATTAATTCTTTACCCTTTCTTGCTTTCTTTCTTTTCTCTCTTCCTCCATTCCTTTCTCTCTCTCTCCTGGCTTCCCTCCTTTCAGTAGAATTCTTTCTCTAATAAAATTACACAGAAATAACACAATCTATTTTATTACATTGTTTATTTCAGAAAATAATTTGGGTTATATGTAACTGGTAAATAAGGGAATAGCATCAATATAATATAGAAGTGAAGTTGGTTTATAATAATAATTCCCAGGACTTCCAAGTTGCAGCAGCTATACATAAAACACACTAAATTGAATGTAGCAACCAAGTGCCTGTGTCCCATTCACCCGTGCCCCCATTCTACCTTTTGGCTCTGTTCAGCCGTATCCTCTGGACCTGATACCTGTTGGAACAGAGAGTTGCTATAGGATGGTGGAGATTTTTGACCGTCAGTTTCTTTAATGGTTATTGGGTTTTTTTTTTTCAGGTTTTCACTTTCTTTTTGGGGTCAATTTTTATGACATTTTAAAAGGAACTTGGTTGTTACATATGATATGTTATCTTTAGGGTGCCTTAGGCACCTTAAAGCTTGAAAATTCCAAGCTAATTTCCAAGATTAGCTTGGAAATGAAGATTTAGGTGTTAACATGGGACTGAATGAGGTTTCTAGGCTGAGGCTGTAAAATTAAGAGTGCAGGGAATGAAGAACAAAATTTGTGTCTAGTGTAGCAGCCTTTCTCTCTCTCTCTCTCCTTTCTTTTTTGCGACGGAATCTCACTCTGTCACCCAGGCTGTAGTGCAGTGGTGCCATCTCGGCTCACTGCAACCTCCGCCTCCCAGGTTCAAGCGATTCTCCTGTCTCAACCTCCCGAGTAGCTGGGACTACAGGGATTCACCACCATGTCCAGCTAATTTTTGTATTTTTAGTAGAGAGGGGGTTTCACCGTGTTGACCAGGCTGGTCTTGAACTCCTGACCTCAGGTGATCTGCCTGCCTCGGCCTCCCAAAGTGCTGGGATTACAGGCATAAGCCACCACACCCGGCCTCTCTCTTTTTAAAATTACCATTTTCTTCATATTTATCATATGCCATAGTCTAGCCATTATAACCATATGTTATATATACATAGCAAGGAGAAATGTTCTAAGTATTAGCTAATCATGCTTGATAGGCATAGTAAGAGAAGACAGCGGGCACAGTCATTCGTCTTTTGTTTCAACAAGAGTAAACTTGTTAAAAACAATTGGCTGAAAACCCCCCAGTTATTTACATATTTGATGCTTTTTTATTTTTGATTTTTGATATATGTGTCCTTTCTTCTGGTTTAGGCCTATGTTTGCTTTTTTATTTTTGATTTTTGATATATGTGTCCTTTCTTCTGGCTTAGCCTATGTTTGCTTTTTTATTTTTGATTTTTGATATATGTGTCCTTTCTTCTGGCTTAGCCTATGTTTCCGAGGGAAAACAGGCCCCAAATCAGAATATTCAAATTTTGTATTTTATCCATCTATCCCCCACAAAAGTGTCTTGAATATGAATGGTTGTTCCCCTTTTTTAAAATTAGGAAAACAGGTTTAAGGAATTGATTTTACCTAAGGTTTTCTCATCCTTGACTCATTGGCTTACATCTTTATTTTCCATTTCCCAAGGTAAAACATAGCAGTTTGGAATTCTAGCTGAGTGTCCTACTCATCAATGTAACTCTCACCTCTTTATTTACCCTTCAAAGATAAATAAAAGCCACACACACACACACACACACACACACACACAGACACACACACACACAAAGAAAAAACATATTTACCCTTCGTTTACTGCCCTGGGAAAATGGAGATGAATCCTTTAAATATTTTTCCTTTGCCAGCTGGCACAGTATTAACTTTTGTCAGTTAAGGGTACTGACACAATGCCATTAAAGGAGGAAGGGAGCTTCTTTACTAGTTTTTGAGTGCTTGCAGCTTCCCTGGCTCCTAAAGTGCAAAATGGTCATCTGCACTCAATGGCCTGTAGCTTCTTGCAGAACCCTATACCCTATCCACCCACGAGGCAGTTTTGTAGCAGAGTAACTCTGCTGCTTTTGCTGCTTGTAGCAATAGCGTTTGGCTCCTGCAGTGCATGGAAACCAGCAGCACCTAGCAGCCAACATCTTCTGGGTGGTTTTATAGTGGAGTGCTTCCAGTGAGACACCACCCATGAATAGCTTTTCATGACGCTCTAAAGGACAGATTTCCAGCAAGTTCTGCTTATGTAGCACCACAGCATCTTCTGTGCCATCCAGTGAGCCATAGCTGTGACCTTTCCAACAAAATCTGGATCTTAGTCTGGGGATATAGTAGGTATTCTTTCTTGGCCATTCCGTTTTAGTTCTAAGGGTGGTGGTTGCGCCTTATCATGTTCTAGAGTTCTCCTTACTTCTTAGTAGCCAATCTCTGGTTATTCCAGTACTCTGTTTAGTTATAATAATGATTCTTTATGTTGAATTTTCCCTGTTCAAACTCCTGTGTGATTTCTAATTTCTAATTGGACCTTGACTGATATATTGTATGTTTGTAAAATGCATGGAATATAAATGGCTAATTATGATGTTTCTTTAGATAGGCATTCTTGAGCACATGTGTCTGGAATATATTTCACTATAATGTTAGTTTTGATGACTGTATTGATTTTCAAAACTGTCAGTTTAGAAACTAGAATTTTAGATTTATCAATCAGCAATGTGGTGTTATGTGGCTAATAGATTAGACATTCATCTGTTGATGAGTTAAAAAGCTCTCCCTGGAATTAAAATTGCTTATCACTGTATAGTACTTTGCATACATTTATTAATTTCCTTAGTAATTTTATGAAGCAGGTTGCAGGTATCACATTTCTGTAAGAAGGAATTAAGTCTTTAAAGTTCAAACGGTATTCCTTAATATCCTTGGATATTTCTTAACCATCATATACTGAGTTTACTAGGACATATAGCACTTGATCCGTTAAAACTATTACATGCAATGTCAGAGTTTGTATGTTGTAGATGTCTTTCATGTCACTCCTTCTCTGGGCCCTGCCCCCATCATAAACTTGAATAAATTTGTGAAATATCTTTTTAATATTTACTTTTTTCCCCAAAAGTCACAGTACATTAAATTGAATGCATTTATATTCTTATGTCACATTAGCATCACTTTAGCTTACTGGATAGTATTTTGTTTTTAGTTGGTTGCAAGTGTTGATTTTTCCTCTTTCAGTTTGCAAAACTATATGACAGGAAATCTGTAGCTAAATATCACTTTATGATTTCCATCTGTTCAAGTACAATAGTGTTTATGGCACAGTCCAGATTGCAATGTGATAGAAATATCCTATTATAGCAGATAGAATTTTAAATGATCATTGTACATTCTAATGAGAAAACATTTTTAAACAAGTACTTCACTTAATTTCAAAGCAGAGTAACTGAATAATACTACAATTTGATGACAGCATCTGTTCTACAGAGTGTGTTTGTGCTGTCAACAATAAAAACTTTTTCTGACTCCCATAGAAATCTATCAGTTTGCTCAAATCTGTACTAATAATGGAAGCCAAGTGGGCAGGGAGATTATTGTATAAGTCAATTTGAATAACCTTAAAATTTTTTGTTTCTATTAGCATGGAGAGTATCTCTCATTATTTTCTGTGAAATGACTTTGGGAGTAGAGCTGGAGATGTTATTTTGGCCTTTTTATTACGTGACAGTAAAATTTTTGCTAAATTATATTTTGAGAGTATTAACATTTACTAAATAAAAACAAACCCCTTTATCACAAGGAACTCTGGCCATTTCAAATCTTGTTGGCTCTAAAGTTGAGGGATACAAGAAAGCAGATTAAAATGATGGCTCCTGGAGTGTCAGGTGTTAGTAATTCCAAGGTTTTTAGTTCTCACAGTGTATATTTGCCTCTATTACACTGATGCAAATGCATCTTTCATGTCTGATCAGCTACTATTTGGTCATTCACTTTTATGCTTCCTATTCTAGTACATGCAGTGCTGAAATGAATGGGAAAAACCACTTTCCCACATGAATGCTCTACTGCACTTTTATCTCAAAAGGAGCATTGTATTTCTTGAGTTTCCAAAGGATTTTAGATACCATTCTTAATTTAATTATTTTATGGCCCTTTCTCTTTAGGTCTGTATTAGTTTGTGAGGGCTGCCATAACAAAGTATGACAGACTGGATGGCTTAAACATCTGACAGTTTTGGAGGCTAGGAGTTTGAGATCAAGGAGATCAAGGTGTTGGCAGGGTTGATTTATTTGAGGCCCCTTCCCTTGGCTTGTAGATCATCTTCTCACTGTGTCTTCACATAGTCTCTGTGCATGTCTGTGTTTTAATCTCCTCTCCTGTGAGGACATAATTACCTCTTTAAAGACCTTGTCTTTAAATACAGTTACATTCAGAGGTACTGGGGGTTAAGACTTCAACATATGAATTGGGGGTCAGGGAAACAATTCAGGACATAACAAGATCTTTAGCCCTCATCTAAATGAACCATGACCATAAACAGTTCTGAGCCTCATTCTATAGGTACATCAGTTTTCTTCTCTACCTTTGGTTATCAAATTCCTTAGTACCCCAGCTACTCCTCTTTTCCCATTTAAGATGACCTTTCTCCTATTCCAGACATTGGCTGGGAAGTTAGTCAAGAGGTAACTTAAGGAATTTAGTGCAGGGTGTCTACCTTAAGATTTTCACTGATTTGCCTTAAATCATGTTCTTCCATTACATATAAAAAAAATTACCAGCAGGCCTTGTCCTTCAGGTGTGTTTCTCACTCCCAGAATACATGTTGACTCCACTTGTCCTTCAGGTGTGTTTCTCACTCCCAGAATATATTTTGAATTTGTAAGAAGTACGCAGTTTAGACCTTGTTCAGAATCCATACAGTATTCATTAGTTCCCCCCTCTAGTCAATATTTGTAGGCCCTACAAACATTCCATGTTCTTCCATAAATCCCTTCTTGAGATAATAAAGAAGTATAGCCTTTTAAACCAGCTACTCAGCTTGCTTGTCAAATTCATATTTTCCAAACAAAAATTAAATAAGGCTTATCTGATAGTTGGTAGTTGACAATATTATTGGTGGTGGTGGTGTTATTTATTTATTTTGAGACAAGATTTCACTCTGTCATCCAGGGTGGAGTACAATGGCACAATCACTACTCACTACAACCTTGAGTTTCCGGGCTCAAGGGATCCTCCCACCTCAGTCTCCTGAGTAGTCGGAACTACAAGGTGCATACCACCACACCCAGCTAATTGTTTAATTTTTTATGGAGACACAGTCTCACTTTGTTGCATAGTCTGGTCTCAAACTCCTGGCCTCAAGTGATCCTTCTGCCTTGGCCTCCCAAAGTGCTGAGATTATAGGCATGAGCCACCAAGCCAAGCTGACAGTGTTATTTCATACCACCGATGATACTTCAGAGACCCATCAACTCTGACTATACATTTCAACCAAAAGTTTTGTTCTCATTTATTTTATGCCAAATTAGAAAATTATTTCCTACTTCTTATGTAGTTTGCAAGATCACAGAAGAATCTGAAAGTAACACAGTATTGTACTTTGAGTTAATTTCTATGTATGGAGGTATCAGGTATACTGTTTTGACCCAGAATTCCCAAAATTCTTTTGAGAGATTAGAAAGGAAAATTAGTAGAATGGGTGAAGTCAGCAGGTCTGTGTTGACAGAGATTATTTTAATTTGAAAAAAACAGTCGGCTGGTATTATTAAGTGGAAAAAATGTGGATCCTTTCATTTTTTAAAGATAATTTTTCATTACATTAAAAAATTCAAGTAAAATGCAAGGTGACCCTTAATAAGGTAGCTTTCTTACCTGTCATATTAGTAAGATTTACAAAGCTGCCAACACACCATTTTCACAGTTATGGGAAACAGACATACTCATATATTGTTATGAGCGAATACAGTCAGTTCTGCCATAGTTCAACATATATGTTCCTTGGCTGTGTTAGGCAAAATTGCACCATAAAAAACACAGAGCTTGTGAGAAAAATGAGATTAGGAGCACAACACTCAAAAACTTCATCAGTGACACAAAATTTAAGACCCTAATAAAAATTGTGGCACAGTTTTTAAAATACATGTTAAATGGCTAAGTACATGAATGGCTAAATAAAATAAACATGGTACTTTACCTTGAAAAAGACCTGAACTTTGCTTGTGGAAGTGGGCCCTAGAAGGGTTGCACCTTGTGAGTTAATAAGGTACCTTTCTTACCTATCATATTAATAAGATTTAAAAAGCTGCCAACACAGTGTTTTCATAGTTATGGGAAAACAGACATATTCATATACCATTATAAAGGAATAGTCAGTTGTGCTATAATAAAGAAGAGATAGTTCTTGTCCTCCAGGAACTCAAAGTCAGGCATATGCAACTCAAAATCTTCCATATTGGAAAGTGGTAGAGAAAGGTTATTCAAAATGGGTTGGAAACTTGTAACAATGAATGTGAATGGTTGTGGCTTGTGACACATGTGAGCTCATACCTCTGTAAGCTGAGGTGGATGTAGGAGGTACGTATGATTTGTATATGCCTACCCTGCTCTGTTTAGCTAGGTACAGTTTTCTACATTTATCTGCTTTCTTGAGGATAAAATCAAGCATAAACAAATACAAAATTTGTGTTATGTCCAAATTGTTCCCAATATGTCAATTGTGTTGTAACAAATTCAAATTTCAAAGTTAGTGTAATAGCAGAACTAATGAGTTGGTATAACTTTTATGGAGAATAATTTGGAAAAAATATACAAAATTTTAAATGTACATGCCCTTTTAAAAATCTGCAAACTCTAGTTATCCTAAAGATAAATAACGACTTATGCAAAATGATGTATTTACAAGGATATTCATTGCAGCAGTTTTTTTTGTCATAAAAAAAGATCATAAGCATCCTAAATGTCTATTCATAGATGAGTGGTAAAATAAGTTCTGGTTCATGCATTCTGAGAATTACCGTGCTGCTGTTAAAGAAAACCACTTATACAAACTGATGTGTAATGTTCTTCAAGATATGTTAAAAAAAAAAAAAGTAGGGTTTAGAATAGTATGTATAACATGCTATCACTGGCACAAAAATATAATATATCCTTGTGTATCTCTATGAACAGATTAACACTGAGGCATATGCTAGTATCTTGATATGCCAGACTCTGAGTTCCTTAAGGACAAGAACTGTATTTTATTTATCACTCTGTCTTCAACAGGTAGCATAGTGCCTAGCTCATATTAGGTGCATGATAAGGATATATTGAATGGGATAGATGAATGTGTCTTAACATTCATGTCTCAGAAAATATGATAAACACAATTCTAAATGTAAAATTGAGGATTATTCTAAGGTATCGTTTGTGTTACTATTTTTTTTCAAGCAATGACTTATGCTTAGAACATTACTGCATTTTCAGATTTTGATTTAAATATATCTATTGAGGTCATGCCGCCACTGGGACATATCCATAGTAGAAAACAACTGATGAAGAGCCATTGGAGAAAGGGCTAACAGGACAAAGAGCAGAGTTGGCATTAGGAGGCATTATTTAAGTTCTGTGTTTCTCCAAAGGACAAAAATAGAACTAATGGATGTAGAAGATATAGGGAGACAGATTTCAGCTTAATATAAGAGCATACCAATAGGTATTAACAATTTAAAGAGCAGTGTCTTAAAGACTTTTGGTGGTGGTTATGCAGAGATTGCTATCAGGATTAATGGAAGGAGGAAGCATGGTGAAATTGAGAGATCAGTAGTCATTTTTAAGAATCAGGCAGATCTGGCTGGGCGCAGTGGCTCACACCTATAATCCCAGGCACTTTGGGAGGCCAAGGCAGGCAGATCATGAGGTCAGGAGTTCAAGACCAGCCTGATAAATATGGTGAAACCCCCGTCTCTACTAAAAATACAAAAATTAGATGGCGTGGTGGTGCACGACTGTAATCCCAGCTAATCAGGAGGCTGAGGCAGGAGAATCTCTTGAACCCAGGAGGTGGAGGCTTCCGTGAGCCGAGATTGTGCCATTGCACTTCAGCCTGGGCGACAGAGTGAGACTCCGTCTCAAAGAAAAAAAAAAAAAAAACAGGAAAAGAAAGAATCAGGCAGATTAGGTTTGAGTGCTCTGCCACTTAGGGACTATTGTGACCTTGAGCAAGAAACATAACCTTTTAAATTTCCTTAACTATGAAATAGGGATAATTAAATGTATCTCATGGGATTGCTGTAAGGATTGAGAAAAGGTAAAGTACCCTACTTCATGTTATGTTAAGCCCTCAATAAATGGTGACAATTGCCATTGAAATAGGAATACTTTTTTAGGTAGAAGGTATATGGTATTTGGTTTCTAAGGTCCTTTTTCAACCTGATATTTCCTAAGTTTTATTTTACCTATTTTAAGTAAGAAACATTTATACATCTGTGTTTCAATTGTATTATACCAAAAATATAATTTCTGAATTGTGAGAAATTGTTTATTAAATGCCTATATAACAATCATGCTTAATGTATGTTTTAATTATTAAGAGATGATTTGCATTTAATTATCTAAGGTCGACTACCACAGTAGAGACTGTAACAGCCATGATTCCTTCAGTAAAACAGAAATTCACTATGCATTTCAGTGAGGGACTATAACATAGAGAATTGGTTACATAGGTGTCAGAGGATTGAATGAGCAAAAGTGAGAGCTCTGAGGTAACTGAGTGATAATAACTGCTGAAAGCAGCTAACACTTCTGGAACTGGAGAAGTGAAGAACAGGGGACCTGCAGACTGGGACTCAAAGACCTGAGGAGATGGTCCTGCCTGGCGGCTGTTGCTACCTGTAAAGAATTAGTATGAAACTTGAACCTGGAACCCAACAGTTGTGGCCAAGGGCAAAGTATTGTTGCTTGTAGGACACCTACAGCAATATCAAGTAAACAGGGAACACATTTGTCATGCTTTCTAGTCTCCCTCTAGTGTTCCTTATTGGCAGAACCTAGCAGGAAGCCAGATGGCAAATGGGAAATACAGTTTTCAGATCCTCAGCCCTAGGATCACAAAGCAGAGTATAAAAGGGTAAATTTGGAATTAAGACACAATAGCTTGACAAATGCACAGAGACATCTGTGTAGAATATCTCATATTTTAACACCAAATTTATGTATTTTTCATATAGAAAATTTGCATTTTAAAATGTTTTTGTCTAGAAGGAATTTGCGTGTACATATACTTTCCATCAATAATTTAAGATGTGTTCCTTTCAGAAAGGATGACTGAGTTCACTAAGAATTCCACATAATTTGCTTTTCTCCCCACAACCCCCAACTCTTGCTGAAAATTTGATATAAACCCTCATGAATCTCTAGGAAACCTTTTCCTTCTTTATTGCATGTGATTCTTCCAGGAATTAAGATTTGCAGAATGTAACATGAATTAAAAATTAAATTTGAAATATTTGCAGTCATATGTTTATTGTTACTGAGTAAAATTGCTAGTGTGGCTTCAGTTTCTTGCAGTTAAAGCAGGGTGGACTTGTAGAGCTGAGGCTGTTTCTATGATTTAAAAGATACTGTGTTAAAAAAATATATTCTTATTCTTCTTTGCTAAAGTGAGCCAATAGATTGCAACTGTATTTTTGATTAAATATAGTTTGATATTTTTGCAAATTATTTTTTTAAAAGATACTAGTATTCACAGCAAATGTGCAGACGTAACTAAGACATCCCCACACCTCTGTTACAACTAGATATGTTCATTCGATTTTGGTAGTTATACAGTTCCCAGTGAAGTCACCAATGTTTATTGGCCCCTTCCTTCACTGAGATACGTTCATGGGTTCTGATGAGAAATACTTGTAATTATTCTAAGAGCATGCTTTAGCATGCAACCTTGGTAAAAATATGGTAGGATCATACTCTTAAAACATCTTTTCTTTTGTCTGAGTGCAGGCATTAGGTAAATTATGTCACACACAGCACTGCAGTGATTTATAGAAGTTAAATAAATGTTCGTAAGTAATCTTAATACCTTTAAAATATTTTGGGAGGTAAGGTTTTACATTATGAAAATATTCTGAGCATTTTATAAAATTATTCAACATTTATACTTTGGTTATAGTTTTTGTTAAATAGGAAATATCTAATTATATAAAAAACGGGATATATTGGCAGAGTTTCTTAATAGGAGTTCTTTTTGATGTTTCCTTTCATCTCATTAGTTACAAGGTTTAAATTCTATGCCCTAAGTTCATTGGCATTTCACAGGTAGACTTTTTGCTGCTATTTTCCAACTTTAGATGTGTGAAGCCTGTACTACAGCCTCTGGATGAATGGCAACATAAAACTAGGGTCTTCAATTACCAGCTTAAAAAAAGAAGATATTAAATATAAATATCAGAAAACTTGATTATAAACACTATTGATGGGAAGAAAAAAAAACTTGATTAAAATATCCTGAATTGTAAGGGGACCCATTCATTAAGATATTGATTATAATAGTGAAATTTAAAGTCAACTGGTTTTTCTAATTTATGTTAATCATAATTAACCCTCCATAACATTGTAATACATGTTGGTAATAGTCTGAAGCAGACTGTTGTATGTATAGAAACAATTTCTTCATATTTTTAACTACCTGAAAATATGAGTAAGTTAACAGTAGTTGAGAGTAGTACAGATTTTTGGTTTTGAAATACCATTAGAATAGCAGTGTCACTTTTTAAGCACTGTGCAGCTTCCTGTGTTATTCCCTTCTTTGTCCAACTGTTACTTTTTCTTATGAGAGGCTTCCACACCCTATTTGGTATCCACTTTCTTTTTATCAAATAAAGATAATTGCATAATGAAACTACTGTGATTTCATGCCCTAACTTATTCACTGTCTTTGAGTTTCATAAGATAAGCACTATAATTAAAGTCATTTTACCAACAATTAGTGGGAAGGAAGCATACAGTGGACAACATGTTTTAAAATCATAGAAAGGAGGAATGCATGATTTTAGAAATCTGAATGAGAACTCATAGCATGTAGAGCTCAAATTATTCTTCCTCAACTAGCAGCAGATCAAAATAGGTGGTGGTATAGTTTGAAAAAGCATATTTAACATTATCACATAATTTTATACTGGGAAAATGAAAATAAAAAAGATGATGTTTTGTAATACAGTCCACATGAGTAAGGTTTGATAACTGGTGGGAGTGAGTAGTTACAGATTCTCAACTGAGAAGGGTGGCAAAAAAAAGGCTTTTATATTTATCAGAATGGGACATAGATGTTTTTTCTTTTTTTGAGACAGGGTCTCACTGTCACCCAGACTGGAATGCAGTGGCACGATCTTGGCTTACTGCCAACCTCTGCCTCCTAAGTTCAAGAGATTCTTTTGCCTCAGCCTCCCTAGTAGCTGGGACAACAGGAATGGGCCACCACACCTGGCTGATTTTTGTATTTTTTAATAGAGATGGGGTTTCACCATGTTGGCCAGGCTGGTCTTAAACTCCTGACCTCAAGTGATCTGCCCGCCTCGGCCTCCCGAAGTGCTGGGATTACAGGCATGAGCCACCACGCCCGGCTGGGACATAGAGTTTTAAAATGTTAAGAAATGCTACCTTAGATTGTATCTGGATATCTTCTGGTATTAATTGTTGCCTCCCTTTCCTGTCTCACAGGTCTGTCATAAGATTTATTTTAAAGTTTAAACCAAGTTCTAGCCTAACAATAGAGGGTAACTACTTTAAGTAGACAATTTCACGTACACTACTAGACAAGTGATTTTCATGTCAGGAGAACTCCAAACTGAGACTCCCATCTAAGGTACATCTGGGCCACAATTTCTAAACTGTGTGCCAAGAAACTCAAATCCTCACAAAGGTGACTCAAGGCCAACTCAGAGCCAGGGGAGAAGCCTGCTGGTCTTCCAATCGCCCTTCAAATAATTTATGTTTTTTACTTAGTTTTCAAAAGACTTTACTGGGAGAAGAAAATAGTTTTACTGTCTTAAAAAAAATAATTTGGGTACCCATTGAAGAGTATCCCAACAAATAGCACCATTTTCTTTCTTGTGGCTGGCATAGCCAGTTGAGGACATTCTGTTTTTTTAAAAGAGCGTTTCTCACTGTTTTCCCACATGAGACTGACAACATTGTTTTATTTACCAGGCTGTGAATAAACTGTAGAAAATTAGAAAGTGGATTAAAACCTTATTTTGGATATTTTAACAGTGGGTATATACCATATGTTAGATACATGTATACACACACGTTTTTGCAAACTCTAAATTTTGGGAGAATAGCAACATATTCCTAAAGGAATTTCTAAAGAGCAGGTACTGGATAGTTGAAAAGAATTACAGGAAATGACTAGTGTAAAAACGGAAAAGCTGATATTTTTGAAATTTACTGCCACTGTTCTGTTATTATATTTGTACTAAAAATAAGTTTCTTCTAAAAAGTATAGTTTCTGATTTTTGTTTTTAATCTCTACTGAAATCAGAGCCTACTTTATACAAAGGTAGTGAAACAAAGTTTGCCCTAGTGTTCTATTCCTGGTTGAAATAACCAGATGCACTTAGTTTTAGACATGAGGAACAAACTTTCCCAAGTGTTATCTTTTTATCTTAATATTTTAATAAATAGTTATATAAATATTAGCAAATCTAATCCAGCAGTGTTTTAAAATAATAAATCTGGACCAAGTAGCATTTATCCCTGGAATGCAGGGATGGTTTAGTATTAGGAATTATACCTAATATAATTTAGTAGATTAGCAGACTAAAGAAAATATTATGTGAGTCATAAACCATGTATGGGCACTTTTGCCACATAGGTGCAATGTTTTAACAGTCAAAAATAACCACCTTCTTTTAATAGTGTCATGTGAATTATTCTTTTTTTGCATTAGAATTTCTACACATGGTTTCTGTTACTATTGTACTGTTATTCTAAACATTTGTTTGATTTTAAGTCTTTATATCTTTTCTTAATGTCATTCAGCAGGGCGTCAATAGTAATTCTGAAAAATATTGTCCCAGAAATCAGTAACTTTGGGGAAAAAGTTAATTATGGTAAAATGTAGTGAAGAAAACCAAACAAATTGATGTTAAATGAGAGACAAAATTGTACAAAATATTAGTGATAAAGCTGAGAAAAGGCAACAGTAAAACAAAAATGTTGCAGCGATTATAGATTTTTGTGCTCTCACACCATGTCATGTACAGTTTCTTTTTCCTATGGGAAAATTAATACTCAATACTGAGTTTTGACTTATGTGAAATCTACAGGAATAAATACTTTTCATACAAGAACAAAAAGAAGAGGTACCTAATTTAGCTAGAGCAGGACAGGAGGATGATGGTAGGGAAAATGACTAGAAAAATTTATCCAGATGAGGAAGTCAAAGCTTCAGAAGGTGAATAAACATATTCAAGGACACTTACAAATGGATAAAGTCGAAGTTTAAGTGTGTTGGTCTTAGGAGTAGAATTGAGTATGACTCTATAGTATGCTTACTACTTATTTTGGTTTCTTGCCCAGAAGAAAGGTATTTCGGTAAAAAGGAAAGCAAATTTGTATACAGTTTTCCTTTCAAATGCAGAAGAAGCAAAACACGCTAGCACTTACAAATATTAATTTCAGCTTGCTCTTATCTGTGTTTTTGCCAGTTTGTAGGACTTGCTAAAAAAAATTACACAGCCCTGGGGTCCTTAGCTAACCAACACATTCTTGTTACTGACCAGGATATGCTGGTTGACTGTTTTACCATGTGCGTTAAATTAGGAGAAAAAGATATACAAGTTCATTTGGCTTTTATGTGCACAGAATCTTTTCAAATTGTAAAAATAAAATTACCTATCCACTGGAGGATATCTTGGGCCAGGAGTTCAAGACCAGCCTGGGCAACATAGGAGACCCTATCTCTACAAAAAGTGTAAAAATTAGTCAGGTGTGGTGGTGTGTGCTTGTAGTCCTAGATACTTGGGAGGCTGAAGCAGGAGGATCGCTTGAGCCCAAGAGTTCAAGGTTACAGTGAGATATGATCATGCCTCTGCACTCCAACCTGGGTGACAGAGTGAGACCCTGTCTCATTCATTCATATACACAGACATGCATGCACACGCACACACGCACACACACATGCCTCTCCACTTGAAATAAAAATAAGTTAATTCAGTATTTTGAAGAAATCAGAGTATTTGACTTAGTAATATTTCTTTCCAGATTTTTTCTAAGTAACAAAGAAATTTATTTGTATATTGTGATATGATTAATCCTTCAGTTAATCTAAGTTTAGCCATATAATGCTTTCTTTCTACTTTGTCTCTTACTCGAATAATAAGAAAGAAAAAATTTCACAGACAAATATTTCTGTTCTTCCAGTGTCCTGAATACAGAGTAGGACTGTAAGAATTTTAACTAATTCTTATTATGGGGTATTATGCAAAGCAAAACTATACTGAGAGTCAGTTGTTTTATTCTCAGGTTCTGTAAACTGAGACTAAGTTGTTTGGTTCTTTAAGTCTCAGTATTGTTTTGTGTTTCGTTTTGAGATGGAGTCTTGCTCTGTTGCCCAGGCTGGAGTACAGTGGCCTGATCTCAGCTCACTGAAGCCTTGATCTCCTGAGGTTAAGCGATCCTTTCACCTCAGCCTCCTGAGTAGCTGGGGCCATAGACTCACGCCCCCACACCCAGCTAATTTTTGTATTTTTTTGTGGTGACAGGGTTTTGCCATGTTTCCCAGGCTAGTCTTGAGCTCCTGGCCTCAAGCAATCTGCCCGCCTCAGCCTCCCAAAGTGCTGGGATTTCAGGCATGTGCCACGTCACCTGGCTAAGTCTCAGTGTTCTTATCTCCAAAATGGGATAGGCCTATATCCGTGGAAATACTGCTGCTGCAGCCCTATTCCAGACCAACTAAATCAGAGTCTCTAGAGGCAAAACTCAGATATACATGTTTTCTAAAGTTTTCTGGATGATTCTCATGTTGGGAGTCATCGTTGAGAACCACTGAACTAGATTATTTATAAGATTCATTCTACTCAGAGTGTGGTCCACGGACTGGCTGCCAATATACCAACTGTTTATTGCCAGTCCTCAAGTACATGTGCAGCTAGCTTGTGCCAAAATGTAAATCAGCTAAAGCACTAGTGTGCTATTTAGTTTGGTTGCATTCTTTTTTTGGTAGCAAGACTATTGATTAAGGAAATAGTAAATTTAATTTACACTTTGGTACAAGCTCCTTATTTGGTTTCAGACCAGCAGTTGGAGTAGCACTTCTTTGAGTTCTTTCCTAGTTCTTAAATTCTGCGACTGAATATATAATATATGGTTGTTTAAAATCTGCTGATCTACAATGTTATTGCAATACTACTGAACATTATAATAAACAGAAGGTTGTTATTTAGATAATGGAAATGGAAGAATTTGGAAGGTTAAAAATGTTGGTGACAATTTTTTAAAGAAAAAATGAAATGTTTAGGTGCCAGTCTTCTAAAATGGAAAAATGTTTCATTCAACCACCATATTATGACTAATATTTTATGGCATAATTTACTGGTTCAGTGCACCATTCTTTCTTTATTGTTGCAAGAGATAATTGAATTACACATGGCTAATTATTAAAAATGATTGCAGGGCAGTTTTAAAATGTAAAAAATTCCATGTGATATTTAATAGGACTTCAATAGTGGTAGCTGAAGAAAATTAAGAAAATAATTGCTCTTAAATATATCAGTTAATCAGTAAACACTGTTCTGCAAATAATTCATATGGAAAGGATTGTTTATGAGTAGACTGATAATACCAGGCTCACGAGAAAGTTTTGACTATTATAGAAAAACATTTAAAATTCATGGTATGATGTGAAACTTTTAACTTGTAACCTTTATTTTTGAAGACAGTAGTATTAAAAACAGTGTTGGGTGAGAATTAATCTATTTTGGATATGTGTTTGTGTCAGGTCTCTTTCCCAGCCTTGTATAACTTTATTTGTTAAAGGACGAAAAAGAGACCTGAATATTATACTGCTGATTTAATACAAAGTTCATTCTGAACCCCCACTGTCAAAATAAATTAAGGTCAATTTTGATTTCTCTCAATACGTTTGAAACTCCCTTTTTTATTATTATGATTTCATTTATAGAATATTATAGGAAATTATTTGCTTTAAAAAGTACCTCAGGACAAGTATTCACAGATTGTTCCAGATCAGCAGTTACAGCTCTTTACTATCAGAGATTAATTTACAATGTAATCAGGATTCTCCTTATTCATAGTCCTGCTTATTATCTACCTTGAGTTCTTGTTCTTAGTAAAAATGCATTGTTCTTTTTTCAATTATTTGGACAGTGAAGGTAAGCCTAATAACAGATATTGTTGGCCTAAAAAAACTATGAAATGTATATATGGAACCCCAGTATAATTAAAAGTTTTGAATAGGCTATATGATGGGTTGACTCCACAGATTTTCTGGGTAAACAGCTGACTCAGTTAGACCATGTGTGATTACTGTCCTTTGCAAAAAATAGTTTTCTTCCCTTTCATCTGACTCATTCTTAGTCTTTGGTTTTTCCTAATTCATTTAGTGTGTTGTAAACCCCATCTTCCAATCATGATGAACCTCCAGATTAAAAAATAATAATGATAAATGCCATTGTTTAAATGTTTTAATAAATTGTAGAACCTGAGATTATATATATTTATGAATTGTTATGGATATTTTCAAAATATACATAAGTAGAATAGTAAAATATATCCCTACGTATTTATCACCAGGCTACAGAAATTACTGACCCATGTCTAATCTTTTTCCATCTGTACCTTTCCCCACTGCAGTATATTTTAGACATGATTCCATTAATTCATAAATATTCCTCAAGGGAATTATCAAAACATAGTTGGTGAACTAGAATGGATGAGCTCCAAGAACCCCATTAGGTAATGAGGAATCTTTGCTAGAAAGAAATACGGAATTTCTGTTAGAGTTCAAAGACCATGTCACATAATAACTACATTACTTAGATTCTGTGCAGTGTATGAAATGCCTTCACAGCAGCTCCATAGTAAGAACCTGAAATTATCTTCTTTCTCTAATTCTTCTATATAAATTTTTAAAGTAGTGTTTTTTTGTTTTTTTGTTTGTTTGTTTGTTTTTTAAACTGAGTTTCACTCTTGTCACCCAGGCTGGAGTGCAATGGCAAGATCTTAGCTCACTGCAACCTCCGCCTTCCGGGTTCAAGCAATTCTCCTGCTTCAGCCTCCCCAGTAGTTGGATTACAGGCGCCTGCCACCACGTCCAGCTGATTTTTGTATTTTTAGTAGAGACAGGGTTTTCACTATGTTGGCCAGACTGGTCTCAAACTCCTGACCTCAGGTGATCCACCAGCCTCGGCCTCCCAGAGTGCTGGGATTACAGGCGTGAGCCACCGCCCCCGGCCTTAAAGTGGTAAATTTTTTAGTTTGCATAATACTTTGACTTTTGTTGACTTAAAATTCCTTATAGTGAATAACAGTATACCACCACAGTGAGCAATGATGAGCTTAATGAGGGACAGGAATGGAAAAATTACAGTTTTACTGGTTTAGAAGTTCAGACACAGTAGCTAACATATTGTCTAATGAGTAATATTTTGCAAATATTGAGGATTATTAATTTTTAAATATAAAGATGTAGTAATAGTTCTTTGGTAAGTCTAAAAAATAAGTAGACCATCTACCCTTTTATTTGTTTCAAAGTGTCAAAACAAAAATAGAATCAATGGTGAGAATGGCTTTGATGAAATACCAGTGAGGAAGGTCACAGTAAATTATTATTTCATGACAAACAAAAATGTAAATTCTTTTACATTGCAAATATAATATTACAAGAGAATAGCAAATTTACAGTATACACTTGGAGAATCATTCTAAAGCAGTTGAAGTCTCCCCAACACCACACTTCAATTTTTTGTGATCTGTGGTCTCCAGAGTAACTATTATAAGTGGTTTTCCCAGATTCTGGAGGGGAGAAAATAAATTAACAATGGATTGATAACTTTATTGTTCAAGCTATAGTAATTCTTTTCACTGTGAGATTTTACATAATTCACTAAAATTACCCTTGTTTTGTAAATATGGAACCATTCAACGAACTACTTTTGAAAATGCAAATATTGTACTCTAGCTAGTACAATGAGCTCTAGGAAATCAGAATCACATTTTGAAAGAATCTTGAGGTTTCAAAGCCTTTCAAATTCTCTCAGTTGAGAAACTGTTACAGTGTAAAGTATATGTACGAAGCTTTCCCTTTTAAAAGACAATAAAAAATAGTTTTGAATTGAAGAGTAATAGGATTAGTAATCTTTATAAAATTAAAGAGCCAGATATGCCCATTGTTTTCAGCTAAATAATGGTTCCTTAAATATGTCCATATCTTAATCCCCAGAACCTGTGATTATGTCACTTTATATGGCAAAAAGGACTTTGTAGGTGTGATTAAATTAAGGATCTTGAGATGGGGCGATTATCCTGGATTATGTAGGTAGTCTCAATGTAATTTCAAGTATCCTTATAAGAGGGAGGCAAGAGAATCAGAGTCCTAAAGAAATGTAATGACAGAAGCAGGAGTCTTAGTCAGTGAGAGAGAGATTTTAAGATGCTGTGCAGCTGGAGGATGGAGGCTCAGTCCATGAGCCAAGGAATGAATGCAGGTGGCTCCCAGGAGCTAGAAAAGGATTTTAGGGAATGTATTTTCTTCTAGATCCTCCAGAAGGAACATAACCTAGCTGACACCTTGATTTTAGGACTTCTGACCTTTAGAACTCTTAAGATAATAAATTTGTTTTCCTATCAGCTAGTCATTTTGTCGTCATTTGTTACAGCAGCAGTAGGAACTAATTAACCTATGAACAATTTTTAACCTATCGGTATTGTAAGTAGTACTTCTAATTATTCTTTTAAATATATCTTTCTTTGAAAAACTTATTCTTCTTTAGGATTCAGACTTTTCATGTACTCAGGGAGAATAAATGAGTCCTGTTCTAAGTTACTTTTTTCTCTTGGAGATATCACATAGTTGAGTTCATGGCCTAGAAGATTTTCTGATGTTTGTACATGCCCATGGGAGAATGTGTTATCATAATAATTTTTAGTATGCAGCCTCTTGACTTGATTTTTCACTTATAGTGTAGACCATAATATTTGTCAATTTCTTATGCATCTACTGTGTATCCAGCATTGATATAGACATCTTCTGTACATAATACATTCCACAATAACCTTGCAAGTTTGGTATTATTTTTATTTTATAAGAAAGTATCCTAAGTATGACCCATTAGTTTGAAATAAATTAGTATTTGTTGTGTAAATCTTTACCTCCCAGTATTGTTGTTTAAGAATTAAAACAGGTTGTTCAGAGAAGACGAAAGACTTTTTTTTTTTTTTAATTATTACTATACTCTAAGTTCTGGGATACATGTGCAAAACCTGCAGGTTTGTTACGTTAAGTATACACGTGCCATGGTGGTTTGCTGCATCCATCAACCCATCATCTACAATAGGTATTTCTCCTAATGCTATCCCTTTTCTAGTCTTCCACCCCCTGACAGGCCCCGATGTGTGATGTTCCCCTCCCTGTGTCCATGTGTTCTCATTGTTCAACTCCCACTTATGAGTGAAAACATTGGTTTTCTGTTCTTGTTAGTTTGCTGAGAATGGTTTCCAGCTTCATCCATGTCCCTGCAAAAGACATGAATTCATCCTGTTTTATGGCCACATCATGGTGTATATGTGCCACAGTTTCTTTATCCAGTCTATCATTGATGGGCATTTGGGTTGGTTCCAAGTCTTTGCTATTGTGAGCAGTGCTGCAGTAAACATACATGTGCATGTGTCTTTATAGCACATGATTTATAATCCGTTGGGTATATACCCAGTAATGGGATTGCTGGGTCAAATGGTATTTCTGGGTCTAGATCCTTGAGGAATTGCCACACTGGGAGACCAAAAGACTTTAAAGCACTGTTAATTTAATTGGGAAGATAAGAAATACTATTCATATTATAGTTGAGATTTGAGATGGGCTTTGAAGGATGAATAGGTTTTTTGACAGCAATTGGAGGGAGGATATTCCAAGTGAAATGAATACTGAGCAAAGACTCAAAGATGAGAAAACATGGACTAGGTTATAGGAATGTAACAGTTTGGCTAGTATATTTGTGTAGGGAAAAAATAAAAGATATGCTGGAATGAAGTGAAAAGGTGTTTAGATATTTCCAATTTTGTAGAATTTTATTTTTAATTCAGTTGGTGTACTAATTGTAAAATTACCTTGACCAAACTGATATCAGGATGACAATGTCAACATTGCACACTCTTTGAAGACAGTTCTCATTTGCTGAATGAATGAATGAATGCTGACCCACACATTTTCAAGGAAAACCTTGGTTATGTTCAATACATGTATTTTAAAACTGAGGGAAGTATGTCCTTTCTGAGAGATTGTCATCAACATGGATAACTGAAAGGTTTTGATGCTTAAAAGGATAAGCTCCAAATATCTGGAACATTCACTTGCATATATCACTACATTTCCCAATAGTATTTGTTAAATTAAACCTTAGGTAATAAAGTGCTAGGGTTCTTTTTCCTGTTCTAACGAAGTGAATATCATAAATCAATTCATTTGTTTTGCTGATTTATCACATTCATGGGTGCTGACTTTTTTTTTTAATCTGCTCCCAACTTTTGCTTTATCGTCATTGAAATATGCTTTTCTTCTGGTGGTGAAAGTAGTATGTGAATGTTTAATATGTAATTCTATAATACTGTGAATTCTGCATATCTTGTTCTGTTTTGCTAAAAAAGTGAAAAAATATTTCCCTGTGATGTGAAACAGCCATTGAAGTTTGGTGAGTTTATGAGTTGGATAACTATTATAATTACTCAGTGTATCTTGCTGTTGAAAAGCATAAGTTAAAATGTTTTCATTTATTCTACTTGGTTGTAGTTATAAAATTATATGGCCCAATAAATCTGTACAATAAATGGCCTTTTAATATATATATTTTAATTTTTAGAAATTAAAAGATTACAGAAAAGTCCAAAGGTTATGTCAGAATTATCAAACATTAATATTTTTGCATATTTAGCTATCCTTCTAAAATTACATCAATAATATGTCTTTAAAAATAGAATATTTCAAATAAAGTTGAATTTTTTTTTTTTTTACCACCATCTCCAATTCTGATCCTCTGTCTTGTATAAAGTAACCTATTATAAATTGGGTATGTATGTTCCTAGTACTTTTTTGGTATTTTTACTCATTTGTGTAACCATACATTTTTAAATTTTTTATTTGAAGAGATGGTTATCATAGTGAATGTATTCTACAACTTGCATTTTTTCACTCAATAATTCTGATATCTAGCCATCTTGATACTTCCAGACGTAGTTCATTCTTTTAACTGCTATGTAGCATATATCTATAATATATCTCTAACAGATTTTAGATTGTCTGCAGTTATGAGCAGTTCATCTGTGAACATTTTTCTTCATATTTTCTTATACATTCAAGCAAATGTTTTTCTAGTAGGTGCCTAGAAATAAAATTGCATGGCATATGACAGTGAAAATCTTTATATTGTTAATGATTAATGTACTTTAACCAATAGTTTTTTAGTCATAAATGACTGTAGACTCTTACTTAATATTATAGTTTTTAAAACTTGTCAAATTTTATTTAGTTAGGTCACAACCATCTGTTTTATCAAGGTGGATTTGGTCTGTTCTATGACAATATGCTGTGTTCTTAACAATCAGCAGTTATCTCATAATCTTATAACTACTGAGGAAAGCAGTGAAATAAATGGATGGATGCACAGATGGGCAAAGTCTATCACTACCACTGAAATAATTATTTTAAGTACATGCCATATTTAACTGTGTCAATACATTTTATTTTGAGTTTGGGGATGCCATCCTAGAAACTGAATATACATGTAAATAATTAAACTGTTGTATATTATTCCAACAAGTACATTTAGGGTACTGTTGTAAAACATTTTCAAAATTAAATGTCAAATGGAAATTCAAATTCAATAAAATTAAGGATTATAAAACTAAAGCTAAGCATGTTGTATGTAACAGAAGTTATTCTGGAAAGTCCTGCAAAAATTAGAATTTGCATTCATATTGTGAATTACTGTACTGCTTTAAAAAGGAACAAGGAAGGTATTTATGTTTTGATGTAGAAAGATCTTGAAGATCTATTTAAGTTACATAAAGGCAAGACAAAGCAAAGTACATATTGTCCTAATATTTGTGTAAAAATGAAGTATTTGTTTTAACTTACATATACGTGAAGTGATCTCTGAACCAAAAACTAATAATAGTGATTATGTGTTGTGAAGGTTGGGAATTGGGCAGATAGATACAGAACAAGAGAGAAACTAAAAAAAAAATGGATTCTGACAGAGAAACTTTTTACATACCTTTTTAAAAATACCTTTTCACATTTGAAGCTTTGAGTATATTGCCGTTTTTTTAAAAAAGTAATCTATAATTTTAATATTTCTATTGTATACAATTGAAAAGTATTTTTAAATTTCCCATGTATATGGAAAAAATAAATTAGTAAAAACAATCATGAGCCAAATGACAACTTTGGCTGAACCCTGTACTGATATGGAAGGTAATAATGATACGTGGGTTAGTAATAAAGCACCTCTCCTTTGGTAATTGTAAGGGTTCTAGTTTTCAAAATGGCAGTTCATGACTTTCCACAGCCTCTTCCTGTGGTGAATTTCTGGCCAGTTGGATGACAGAAATACAGGGCTTGCTAAAAGTTAAAGTATCTTGGCAGTTCTGGAAAGAGACCATCTAAACCACCAGCCAATGCTACCTCAGCAATATTACCAATAACCAGTTGTTCACTAAGAACCGGTCAGGGCGCGGTGTGGACCATAGGTATCTTTGCTATTCTGGACTGTTAGTTTGCTTCCTGATGTGCCTCTGCTTATCTTTTCTTCCTCTCAGTTTCATTGGGATCCTCAGCTATTGAGTTCTGTCCTGGTGCATTCCAGCCCCACTGCAAAAGAATAGGAATGAGCATCTAACACATCCATCTCTGAATGCAGAAGAGGTTGAAGTATAACAACCTTATTCATTATTATTACTTGCTTAATGAATTTCTGGATTTTTATTATCTGTCATTAAATATCCAGGACAGGTGTCATCCATTTATCCTTATATCAGTTCAGTAATCTATTCAGTGAATATCAGAACTGGGTGACATCCTGATTTTACCACTTACTGGCTCTGTGGCACTGGCTATGGTTTTATCCTCACAGAGCTTCAGTTGCTTCATCTTTAAAGTTTGACCAATAGTAACTAATTAAACAGGTAGGTGGAAGATACCATACGTAAAGTTTCTAGACTAGGTGCCAAAGCATAGGAGTCGCTCAAGAGATGGTAGCTGAAAAAGGAAGTTTCTTACAGTTTTTGATGGTGTATGGAGTGACAGTATTCAATGCAAGTAGTGTCTAATTTGTGTAGTCTAATTAGTGGCATTTTAAAATCCCATTGTAGGCTTTAAAAAAATCTGAGGGATTGAATGTTGTTCTTCTTACTATATTAGAAAAGAAGATTAAGAAGGAACAAAAGTAGTTTCCTTTTAATAGATCCATTAATGGAAAACAAGCAGATTTCTTTGGAATGAAAAATAATGGAAAGTTCATAGGCAAATGCTTGAAAAGCATTTTTCCCCACAGAGGACAGTTTAGAGATTTTAAGAAATAAGAGTCTCATGTTTGTGGAAAATTAGAAATAATACCTCCTTATTCTGATATAATTGAGCAAGAATTGAGGACTGAATTTCCATCTCTGTCTCCCCCTCCCCGCTCCCTGAACAGAGAGATTTTGCCTTTCAAGGTCTCAGTCTGAGGATTTTTGCTTGATATAGGACCTGTATTCTTTTCTCATTCTGTTACTGTGATATTTTTAGAAGTATCCATTTTCCTTCTAATATGCCCATTCTGCCCGTCTTTGAAGTACCTATATCTTTAAATGATGCCTGTATTCACCAGTCTGAAGACTCTTCTGACTGGGTTTTGCAGGGAGCTTGTGGTGCATGGGGCATGGGGCATTGACTCCGCCAAGGTGCTTTGCAGGCTAGGCATAACTTATCCAGGTGAGGACAGGTACTAGAAGGAAGTGAGAAGAATAATGTTCTGTGGCCCTTTCAGAACCTCAAGAATACCTTGGCAGATCCAAGCGTTCTGCTTATAGAATGTTAGCAGTAGTAGAGCATTATTTCTGTAATTAGGCACATAGGCAAGAGTTAAGTAAAAAGTCCGGAATATTAACCTTAAAAAGGAAGACTTGGTAGCACAGAATATCTGTGTCTCAGGGGGAAAAAAGCCAGTAGGCATGTTCTGTGACACCTCAAAAAACTGTAAAAGGTGGAAAGTAGTACAATTTCCAAGAATTAGTTAGCTCTTCAAGGAGAGTGAGTTCCCCACCATTGGTGTTACTGAAGGAAAAAGAAGGGCAACCACTTTTCAGGGTTATTGAAGGAATTTACCCATCAGATTCATTTTGATGTCAATAACCACTAAGCTCTCCTCTGTCTTAAAGATTAAATAATTTTTCAAATTAGATTCATTTTTTACCTTTTATCCATTGGACAGTTTTTACATCAGTGTTTTATTTAGCATCATTCTGATTGTTGTTTACTTTTTAAAGGGGAGAAGGAGAAAAGGGGAGAGGAAAGGAAGACCACATTAAATTCCCAAATAAAAGAAGCAATACAATCTGGGAAAAATAGCGAGACCTTGTCTCTACTAAAAAAAAAAAAAAACAAAAAAAAAAAAAGTGTGCACCTGTACTCCTAGCTACTCCAGAGGATGAGGTGGGAGGATTGCTTGAGCCAGGTTTTTGATGCTGCAGTGAGCTCTGATCATGCCACTGCACTCCAGTGTGGGTTACAGAATGAGATCCTGTCTCAAAAAGTATATATAAATTTAAAAAAAGAAGAAATAAATTAAATTTTAAAAATTAAATGTAAAATGTTATGAACCTTCCCCCGCCCTTAACAAAATTTTAAGTGTATAGGACATTATTGTTAACACAACTTTAAGCACAGTGTTGTACAGCAGACCTCTGGAACTTCATCTTGCATAACTGACACTTTATACACATTAACAGCAACTGCTTCCCCACCTCAGTTCCTGGCAACCATCATTCTACTTTCTGCATCTATGAGTTTGACTACTTTAGACACTTCATCAGTGGAGGCATGCAGTATTTGTCCTTCTGTGACTGGCTTATTTCACTTGGCATAATGTTCTCAAGGTTAATCTGTGTTGTTGCATACGATGGAATTTCATTCTTTTAAAAGGCTGAATAATATTTTACTGTGTGTATATCACACAGTAAATCCATTTTATCCATTCATCTGTTGATGGACATTAAAGTTGTTTTTACATATTGGCTGTTGTGTACAATGCTTCATTGTACATATGGGAGTGCCACTATCTCTTAAAGATTCTGACTTCAGTTCTTTTAAAAAATTAAACACAGAACTACCATATCCCAGAAGTGGGATTGGTAGATCATATGTTAGTTTTGTGTTTAATTTTTTTTAAAAGCATTTTCCTTATTATTGTTTGGATATGCATTTCCCTGATGGTTAGTGATGTCCAGCATCTTCCTATACCTGTTAGTCATTTGTGTGTCTTCTTTGGAGAAGTGTCAATTCAAGTCCTTTGCCCATTTTTTAATTGAGATATTTGGAGTTTTTTGCTATTGAGTTATAGCAGTTTCTTATATGTTACAGCTGTTAACCCCTTATCAGATATGTGGTTAGCAAATATATTCTCCGATCTTGTAGGTTGCCATTTCATTGTTTCCTTTGCTATGCAGAAACTTTTTAGTTTGATACAGTCATGCTCCTTGTCTGTTTTTTCTTCTTTTGACTGTGCTTTTGATGTCATAGCCAACAAATCGTTGCCAAGACCCATGTAATAAAAATTTCCCCCTATGTTCTAGGAATTTTACAGTTCTGGGTCCTTTGTTTCAGTCCTTAATCCATTTTTAGTTGGTATTGCTTTTTAAGGAAGCCATTATTTTAAAAATAAAAATGAAAAACCCATCTCCTTTTTATATATACCTCCTCTTGATATTTTTTGGATAGATATACCTTCACTGTGCTAACTAGAGAGAGGAAGTACTCTTTTGCAATGCCTGCGAGGCATAACTAAACATAAAGGCCCTTTTCTTTCAGAAAAAATTGACTTCCTGATGAAAAGATCCTGTATTATTTAGTGTTTCCAGAATATCAAGATGATAAATTATCACTGGAAATTATACATTTCCACAGTCATCATTGGATAGATTATAATTGGCGATATTTTGTAATTCTGTATGTCTGGGAATATGTTAACTGAAATACTTTGTAAAAAGTATAAGACTCATAGGAATTTACTTTTCTGACTTTTTGTTTACGAGCTTTACACCACATAAAATTAAGTTAAATGACTACATGCTTCCTATAAAGCATGTCTGAAACCCAGCCCTCTCTAATCATGGTAGCCATTTAAAGTGAAGCTGAAGAGGAGCCATGCTATTATTCTTCCTTTCCCCCAGCCGTTTCAAGATTAGATTTTGCCAGAGAAATAACAGACACATCTGGTATAGGAGACACTTATAACAAATCTTTCTATGTAGAGAACCGTTTTATTAATTGTGCCTTCTAATTCAAAATATACTACAAAGTTAAATAAATGTGATTAGAAAGGTTCTTTGTGATAATTTTAAGTACTGTTTGATTGGGAGATGGGCTGATGGAGAGGGGAAATAATCTAGATTTATTTCATCAGAATTAGTCCTACATTGATTATTCTGGGTAAAAAATAATAAATTATGTAAGTTTAAGAACTATTAAACTTTTAAGATTAACAATGTAGAATACAGGATCATTTTGTAGGTGGCTCTAAATTAAGCCTTTAGATTGAATCATTTTATGAGACCAAATAATCAGTTTAAAGTACCTTATGCTTTACCTGATTTAATAATCAACAAAACATTTTATTCTAAATTTATTGTAAAGCAAGATAGTAATTGGATTTTTTATCCCCAAGAATCAACTGCTGGAGGTATCTTGTTTACTATATTCATGTAGCCAGAAGTGAAAAGTAACTGAAGACTTTATTGTTACAGTCCTGTCTTATATTCTATGTATGTCTGCACCCTGCCTTAAGTGTGGTTGTTTGGAACCGAAATAACATCTTTCTTGTTGGAAAATATGGATGTATATGTCTTATGTGCATTAACAATGCTTCTGAAACATGACCTTACTAAATATATCAAGCCTTTCCATATATCAGCTTTAGTATTTATCAATAAATATATACAGGAAGCTATGAAATATATGTATAGAAATAAATATTTAATATTTAGTTGGGTGACTATATTTGTACCATATTTTGTGAGAATAAATTTTCTTTGGATTATAATAGTAATGTTTATTTTAGAAAATTTAGAAAAATGCTTTTGTATTTGAAGTCTCAGAGCAAGTAAGGTAAAATGCTGTAAAATTTATATAACCATTGAAATGTTAGGCTCACAACAAATCTTTGATAATCTATATTCAGTTCAGCAGGCCAAGACACTGGGGAGGAGAAAGGGTCTGTGGTAGTAAATACTAGCACTATTTAGTCACATAATTTTGAAATGCGGCATTATTTTTGTTATGTAGATCTAGAAAATAGGAAAATAAAAATCATTAAATAAATAGCAGTAACAGTACCGACATTTTTGGACATTACAGCTCTACCAGTTCTTAGCTTTCTAGTTGACACCATTACTATTTATTTATTTATTTAATTTTGTAACAAGAATGCAGATGCCATTTATTTGGTCCATAAGTATAGCCATTGAGTTTTACAAAACATCAACTATAAATAACCTGAAACTATAACAATACACAAAAATTGGCTTCATACACAGACATACCAGGCAGTACAAACTGAAAACGTGAGTAAATTAACATTGTTTTACATTAATATACATAGTGCCATTTAACATTTAAAAACAAGTTTCAATACATAGCATTTGATACTTCTTTGAATCTGTTTCAGTCAGAGTATGAAAATGGTTAGAGCTAGGCTAAAATTAATTTTTCTAGCCAAAAATAAAGGCATGATATTTATAACCAGGTATCAACTTAACCACAATATTTTGAAACTGTTAATGATACCTAAGGGTATTTACATTAAAAAGGCAACATGCATTGTGTTGTTTTATCTCATGACTGGTTATGCACATACTTTGTTCAAAGGGTTTTTAAAGCTATATTCCTACTTTCAGTATAGCATACTGCAGTGTGTCTAACAGTTCTAGCAAAATGAATGCTTTCAGAGGGAGCAGAATCATTTTCAAGTCACTGGTGTCCATTTTTTCCCCTTTGGAACAAAGGACATAACAAATAATCTGGTTCTGCCTAGATAAACTAAGTAGTAAGAGGGCTCTGTTTAGAGGCATTTCTGTTCAATCTAATGCTATGACATCATCCAGCTCTTCCTTCTGTTCTATACGTGACCTCTTTGCACTGAGATTCTCTTTCTCGTCTGATTTCCTCTTGCGGCTTCTCTCTTCTTCACTGACGTCAGCATTCTTTGAAGAATCTTCTTCATCCGAATCAACTGTGAGAACATCATCTTGCTCTTGAGCTGTGGAGGTGGAAGGCTGACCTCCATCATTACTGCCATTGGTTATGCTTTTGGCAGCATCTTCAGCTTGTTTTGGCCCCACTTTTTCTGGGGCATCACCAACACTTCAAATTCAACATCCTTTCCTAGGTCTTCACTATGAAGGATGTTGATCAATAAAGTATAGTCCTGGAGGAAGTAATCTGCTTGAAGCCAGCTGCAATTTCTCATTCCAAATTCTGACAACTTCTTGTGATTATTAGCTTCTGTCTCTCCCTTTTCAGAAGATATTAGGATTGTTCCTTTCCCATCTTCAATTTGGACATCTGGTGCTACCATAGCAAATTTTTGTTTCACTACCTTGTCTCGTAAGGTGAGAACAGTCACTTTATGGACATTCAGCCGTACAGTCACCTGGCTTGCTGGCACATATGTAACAATTGGGGTTGGGAGGATCCAGTGCACAAGGCACAAGAAACTTCTTTCTTGGATTTGCTTGTTTATTCAAAACAATTGTTCTGCAGTGGTCTATTTTTCCTGATAAGATCTTCAATCTTTCCAATACTGTCAACCCAGCAATCACTGCATTAGTAGTAGCAATAGCAGGAATAATATTCCCTGCCACTGATTTGATATCAAATCTACTCTTCATATTCATACTGAAAATATGCATCCTGAGGTTTGTAGCAGAGGTAACAAAATCCATTGCATATGGGTCATCCTTATCCCATGTGAGCTCAGCTCCATCCCCCTTTTCTGCTAAATGAACTCTCAGAGTCTCAGTGCTGTGAGCTCCTTAAGAACCTTGTGCTCACCGGCTTCTCCCACGTCGACCTGATTGATCTGGTTACTATTGATGTCAGCAACCTCAACAGTTTTTGTTTCAAAAGAAACATGTTGGAAGATCAAAGGCACAGGTTGCCAGGGAAAGTGCACTGCAGTTTTACCTGAAAGCTAATATGGTTGCCTACCATGACAGCATCATGAACCCTGACTATAATGTGGCATATTTTTGACAGTTTATATTGGTTATGAATGCTTTAGATAACAGAGCTGCCCAAAACCGTGTTAATAGAGTGTGCCTGGCAGCTGTTGTTCCTCTTATTGAAAGTGGAACTGCTGGGTATCTTGGACAAGTAACTACTATCAAAGAGGGTGTGACCAAGTGTTACGAATGTCATCCTAAGCCAACCCAGAGAACCTCTCCTGACTGTACAATTTGTAACACACCTTCAGAACCTATACATTGCATCTTTTGGGCAAAGTACTTAAGAAGTATCTCCTGACAGAGCTGACCCTGAAGCTGCCTGGGAACCAACAGAAGCCAAAGCCAGAGCTAGAACATTCTAATAAAGAAGGTGACATTAAACGTATTTCCACTAAGGAATGGGCTAAATCAACTGGATATAATCCAGTTAAACTTTTTACCAAGCTTTTTAAAGATGACATCAGGTATCTGTTGATAATGGACAAACTATGGCGGAAAAGGAAACCTCCAGTTCTGTTGGACTGGGCTGAAGTACAAAGTCAAGGAGAAGAAACGAATGCATCAGATCAACAGAATGAACCCCAGTTAGGCCTGAAAGACCGGCAGGTTCTAGATGTAAAAAGCTGTGCATGTCGATTTTATTTATTTTTGAGATGGAGTGTAGCTCTGTTGCCCAGGCTAGAGTGCAATGGTGCGATCTTGGCTCACTGCAACCTCCGCCTCCTGGGTTCAAGCAATTCTCCTGACTCCGCCTCCCAAGTAGCTGGGATTATAGGCACCCACCACGCCCAGCTGATTTTTGTATTTTTAGTAGAGACGGGCTTTCACCATATTGTCCAGGCTGGTCTCGAACTCCTGACCGCAGGTGATCCACCTGCCTTGGCCTCCCAAAGTGCTGGGATTACAGGCACAAGCCACTGCGCCCAGCCTATATGTTTAACTTTTTAAGAAATTGTCCAACTGTTTTCCATAATGGTTGTCTCATTTTATATTCCCACCAGCAGTTCATGAGAATTCCAGTTACTCCACATTCTTGACAAGTCTCGGTATGACCGGTCTTCAGTTTTAGCCATTCTTACAAATTTTTGTGTTATCTCATTGTAGTTTTCCTTTTATTTTCTCTAATGACAAACGTCTTTCATCTTCTTATCTGCATATCTCTTTTTTGGGGAAGTGTCCAAATCCTTAGTTCATTTAAAAAAATGGACTGGCTATTTTCTCATTAGGTTGTAAGATACACATTTTTTGTTGATATGATACAAATCTTTTGTTGGCTATACATTTCACAAATTTTTTTCCTTTATGTGGCTTTCCTTTTCATTTCTGTATCTTTTAATTTCAGTGAAGTCCACTATATTGATGTTTGTTTTTGTAGTTCTTGTTTACTGTGTCATATTTAAGAAATCTTTGCCAAACCTAAAATTACTAGGATTGTTTCTTCTATAAGTTTTATAATTTTAGCTCTTATATTTAGGTCTGTGATTCATTTTAAATTCATTTTTGTATATGATGTGAAGAATGAAGAAAGAATGAAGATTCCCTTAAAAAAATGGCTATCCAGTTGTTCCCATACTATTTGTTGAAGAGGTGATCATTTTCTTCATTGAACTATCCTACCAAGTTTTTCTAAAATCAATTGATCATATTTGTATCCAAGTTTTTCTAAAATCAATTGATCATATTTGTATAGTTATATTTCTGGATTCACTATTCTGTTCCATTGATCTGGATGTCTGTCTTCATGCCAGTACTATACTGTCTGGATTACTGTAACTTGATAACAAGTCTTGAGATAAAGTGGTGTAAATCCTTCAATTTTCTTATTTTTCAATTTGTTTTGCCTATTCCAAATTATTTACATTTCCATATTAGTTGGTCAATTCATACCAAAAAGTGTCCTGGGATTTTGATTGGGATTGCATGGCATCTGTATATAAATTTTTGGAGAATTGACATCTTAACAGTAGTCTTTCAATCATGAATGTGGCATATCTATTTAGATCTTATTTAATTTTTCTCAGCAGAGTTTTATAATTTTTACTGTATGGTCTTGTACATCTTATTGCAAATTTATTTATATTTTTGTGCTATTTTACATGGTATTTTTTATGTGAATTTCTGATTATCTGTTATTAGTAATATACAATTGATTTAGGTATATTGATTTTTATATCCTGCAACCTTGCTAAACTCATTAATTCTCGTAGCTTTTTTATTAGATTCTTTTGGAATTTCTACGCATTCAGTCATGCTGTCTGTGACAAAAGACAGTTTTACTTCTTGCTCTCTAATCTGTGTGCCTTTCTTTTTCTTGCCTTATTGCACAGGCTAGAGCCTCCAAGACAGTGTTGTGTAAAACTGATGAGGGTGGACATCCTTGCCTCATTCATGGTTTTAGGGTGAAAGTATCCAGTCTGTCTTTCAGTAAAGTATGATACCAGCTGAACATTTTTACAGATATCCTTTTATTAGTTTGAGGAAGTTCCCTTCTATTCCCAGTTTGCCGAGATTTTTATCATGCTTCTAGTCCCAGTTTGCTGAGATTTTTATCATGCTTCTAGTCCCAGTTTGCTGAGATTTTTATCATGCTTCTAGTCCCAGTTTGCTGAGATTTTTATCATGAATTGATGTTGGATTTTGTTTATGTGCATGTATTAAGATGAATACGTGGTCTTTAGCTTATTTAATAAGGTAAGTTACATTGACTTTTGCATGTTAAACCAATCTGTATCCTTGGGATAAACTACATAGGTATGATAATTGTCCTTTCATTTCACTAAATGTTGTTAATTTTTGCCTCTATAAGGGATTTCATGTCTGATTTTGGTATCAAAGGCTGGCTTCAGAGACTCAACTGGAAAGCGTTTTCTTCAAGAGTTTGTGTTGATGTTTTCTTATGTTGGTATTTTTGGTATTGGTATTTTTTTTGTTTGGTAGAATTTTCTAAAGCCATTTGGGCCTTTTGTTTATCTGTGAGAAAGATTTGTTTTCATTTTTTGTGCGAAGGTTTTTTATCTATACATTTAATAGATTTAAAAGGTTATTCTGTTTAGCTATCTGTGAGCTTCGTTAATTTTTGTGTTTCAAGGAATTTAGCAATTTATCAAGTTTATTGGCTACAGTTGCTTATAATATTCTTTTATTGTCTGTAGTATTCTCTCCTTTGTCATTTCTGATATTAATAATTTGTATCTTCCCTTTTTTTTTCTTATTAGTCTGGCTAGAAGTTTATCAGTTTTATTTTTATTTATTTATTTATTTTTGGCACAAAGAACTAGCTGTGGTTTAGGTCACTGGTGTTAGAACTGCCTTCTTTTCTAATATGATCGTGTAGTGCTGTATGTTTCCCTAAAAGCACTGCTTCAGTTACATCTTACAATTTTGATGTTTTTGTTTTATTAGGTTCAAAATGCTTTTCTACTTTCCTTTTTGTTTTTTTCTTTGTCCTGTGGGTTACTTGAAGTGTGTTATTTAGTCCAAGTATTTGTGGACATTTCAAATGTCTTTTCTGTTATTTTAAATTTAATTCTGTTTTAGTCAGAGAATATATTTTGTATGATTTGAGTACTTTCAAATATTTTGAACCTTGTTTTATGACTGAGAATATGGTCTGTCTTATCAAATGTTCCATGTACACTTGAAAAGAATGTGTATCTGCATTCTGGATGGAGTGGTCTCTAAATGCCAATTGGCTAATTAGTTGATGATATTGTTCAAATTTGCTGTATCTTAGTGATTTTCTGTTTACTATCAATTGTTGTGAGCATGATGGTGAAATCTTTAATTATACTTGCAGATTTGTCTGTTTTTCCTGTGAGCTTTTAATTCATATGTTTTTAAAACTCTCTTATAAAGGTACAAAATTGTTTAGGATTGTTATGTCTTTTTGATAAATTGACCCCTTTATCATTATGAAATGATCCTTTTTATCTTTGCCAGTATTCTTTACTCTGAAATCCATTTGTCATGAATATGGCTACACCAGCTTTTTTTGATTTGTGATAATGTGATATATCTTTTCTCATCCTTTTGCTTTTAAGTTATTTAATGTTTCTCTCATTTAAAGTGGTTTTCTTGTGGTCAGAATATAGTTGAATCTTGCTTTTTTATCTAGTCTGACAATCTCAGCCTTTTCTATGGTGTGTATGGATCCTGATAATTAGTACATTATCTTTTAATGTGCAAATATAAATGTTAGTAATTATAAATTAAGATTTAAGAATTTGAATAATTTGATAGATCCCATCAAGTAATCTTATTCCTAAAATTTCTATTTTCTTTATTTTTCGAACTTTGTTTTATTTAGACTTATTATTTCTAGGTTATCTTAGGCCACCAAGAAAAAGCCAAAATTGGGAAGTAAACTGGGACTACATTAGAAATAAAATGGCCTCCAAATATGAGAGATTATGCTACAGAGACTCCTGTAAAATTTTAGCTATAAAAGGGTAAAATGGAGAATGGTACCCACAGGGTCACAAACCAGAGTCAACAAATGTTGACTCCAGTGTTGCTTTCTAATATCTTCTGTTTGTTATTGATTTTAGACTACTTGCTCTTATATCACCTTGGGAGCTTTTAAGAAATACAGATTCCCCAGTCCCATGGAATTTGTTATACCCTGTAATCTATTTTAAGGTAATGTAACTTTCCATGTGATTCTTAGATTACTCTAGGGTCAGAAATCATGGTCCTGCCCTACTTATCTGACCACTTTAATCTCTGACTTTTCTGCCACTATCACTTTCTCCTACAGAGTCTTGGCACCATTACAGGAAAAAACCTCTGAGGATTAGTCAGGTGTGATATACCTAGAATATTATACTAAACAGTCTTGACATGTATGGAGCTTTAGCTTTGACTGTGCTATATGTAACATTAGGTTAGTAGAGATCAAATCACCTCAAACCTTCACTTTTAACATTATCCTTCACTTCCTTTTAATATTTCTTAGATTGTGGAGTGAAGAACTCTGTCTCCCATATGGTTTAATTTAGTATGCTATATTATTTTTATTAAGCAAATTTGTGTGTCTGCTGTATACTGGGTAATAATGGTCATCACCTTTCTTTCAGAGAAAGAAGTAGCTTTTAAACAAGTTATGCTCTCCTCCCCCAAAAAGTCACGTTAATTCTACATGATTTTTTTTTTTCAGTTTTCGTGGTTTGATTGGTTCCAGTGTTCAATTAGAATGTACTTAAATTTATGTTGCCTAATTCAAATAGATTAATGGGGATGAGGCAGAGTAACTCACAATAGAACAAACAGTTTTGAGTTACTTTGCCTTATCCCCATTAATTTTATCAACCCATACCTTTTCATAATGATCATAATTTTATTTCTGGCATAGGAAAATAAGCCAAAAATATTAATGGATTTAAAAAGCTAATATATAGGGTATGTAAAGATCAACAAATTATTTTAAAGTAGATATTAAAATGTCTATTGTATAGTAAATGTTCAGTAGTCTGCAAAATAAAGAATATTCTACTTGAGAATTTTTTTCTTACACTTGTTTCATATGATTAAAATTCAGTAAAACACAATTAAAACTCAAATTATGGTCAAGCATTAGTTTTTGTCGATTGATAACAACTGTCCAGCATTTTACTGGTCATTATTGAGAATATCAATTATCATTGCATTGTGGGCATGTTGAAGTGTCACTAGTAAAGAATTGTAGTTTACAGGATCCTGAATAATGGTTCTTTTTTGTTACACAAGACAAATGCAAAGGAAGACAGTTTTTGGAAATCGATGTTTAAAAAAGAACATCTTTAGAATATTAATACCTGTGACTAATTTTTAAAGATTCATGAAAAATACAAATTCAACTGAAAAGCTATAACAGTTTCTCAGAAGATACAAAGCTGTAAAATATAAAAAGTTTTAGGCCAGGTGCAATGGTTTACACCTGTAATCCCAGCATCTTGGGAGGCTGAGGTGGGCTAATCGCTTGAGCCTAGGAGTTTGAGACCAGCCTGGGCAACATGCTGAAACCCTGTATCTACAAAAAATACAAAAATTAGCCAGGCATGATAGCGCACACCTGTAGTCCCAGCTACTCCGGAAGCTGAGGTGAGAGGATCACTTGAGCCTGGGAGGTCGAGGCTGCAGTGAGCCCTAATCATGCCACTGCACTGCAGGCTAGGTGACAGAGCGAGACCCTGTCTCAAAAAAAATTTTTTTTTAACTCACTTTTTTAGTCTTAACAATGGGTAGTGTACAATCTACTTGAACTTCAGTTTTTAACTAGTAAGCCAGGACTGGAACTTGTAGTTTAATCAGAATTTCTTCATATATACGTGAATGTTCCTAGATGAATATCTTTAACATGGTTCTTGAATTCTTGGTTGTACCCCAAAAATGGTTTCAGTTTAAAAGGGTGTGGGGCAATGACCATGATTCAGAATTAATTAATGTTGCATTTTCACAGGGTTTTGTAACAGTTTATGCTCAAGAACAATGTAAACATTTCACTTGTGCTTTCCATAATGATGGTACAGCATGCTTTAAAGAGGAACTGACTAGCCTTAGGAGACGTAGTGGTTGGTGGCGAGCAGTGAGGAAGATGGGAAATCCAGTTAGTCCAATAGAATCAGTGCCATGAGTTAAAGGGTAATGGATGTGATGACCAGAATACCCTCACAACTAGTTTATACCATTACGTTGTTTTTCACAGATCTAAGGTACATCTAAAATTCCAATTAATGGGGTACAATTAATTAGTTACATGGAAAAGATAATATTCTATATCTGTCTTCTTAATAAGCCAACAGAAATGCCCTCTAGAACACCGATTCTCAAAGTGTTCCTGGACCATCATATCAGCATTGGGAACTGGACTGGCAAATTCTTAGTCCTTGGAATTAGTAGCTAGGGAATGTGGGAAGGCAGGAATTTGTATTTTAACAAATGCTCCAAGTAATTCTGATGCATGCTCAGTTTGAGAACCACTGCTTTAGAATATGATGCATATCAAACTCCAGTAAAATAATAGCAAGTTTTCAGCATTGCTAATTCTAATTTTCAACAGCTGCTGCATTAGGTTTTCGTTAATGATACCCAAACCCAGCTGGAGTTGAATCCTAGTTACTTCTTATTCTTTTTACTTACTAGTGAGTGGAGCACCAGGTGCAGTTGTTGAAGTGTGAAAATAATTTAGCTTTGTAGACAGTTCTGGCATTTCTTGATTTTGAAAATGCTTTAATCTTCTTGGTATGATATTTCAACAATCAAAGCACATCTATTTTAATGGCAGTATGGACTTGTGCTAAGAATTTAAGGAAATCTCTGAATTATTCCTACCAGTTTAATATCAAAATTAATATTTTAGCTGAATTACAAAGCTTATATATAATTTACTCCTATTTTATTTTTCCACCAGTATGTGCATTAAAAATTTTTTAATGTCTTCCTGAATAATTTACTTTCAACCTTTTTCACATCTTCTACAATATTATGTTTAGTTTTACTTTGGAAAAAAATGCTAGCAGAGATTTTAGTTAAATGCATTCTTAGTAGTAAGGTCCAGCTGCGTGCTTTGTGAGTTGCAAAACTCATGAGTCCTTCAAAAAACATTTTAAAGGCATGTCAGTAAGACATGAAACTAGCATTTATCTGCTGCAGTATACTTTGAGTATCTACAAGTGGACAACATGGTCAAAAGCACTTAAAATGTTTAATAGATTAGTACATGATCTTGCAGTGATAGTGCAGATTTGTTTTTGGTTGTATTGCACATATGTTATAGGTAATGTTGGTAATACAGATATTTAGAACCAAAAGCTGATGAATTCAAAATTCTCTTTTGATGTTTAAAAATAAAAATAAAATTCTCTTTTTTTTAACTGTGTACCTTCATGATCTCATTTACTCCTTTTACATCAGCTGATGCCTTTGTGTTGTGACTCTTAATTTCTATCTTTAGTTCAGAACTTTCTCCTGAGATGTATATCTTCTGTAACCTACATATTACTACCTGGATGTTCCATGGGCACATGAAACTCACTGTGTCTGAAACTGATAATCCAAATCTCTCCCTCATACTAACCCTGTAAATACATATGGAATCAGAGTTACATTAATAGCCTATTTTTCATTATTATAATAGGTCAAATAGCCTATTTTGGCCATTACCCTAGATGTTTGCACAGGGCTTCATTCTCCATTGAAATTCCTTTCTAATATTTCTGAAACTCTTCTAGAGATATCTCATGTGGGTTTTTTTGTTTGTTTTTTAAAAAGCAGACTCCCCTCTACCCATAAGAATCTGCTTGGTTACTTCCTTGTCCATAGAACAACTATCTCTAATCAAGCATCATCATCTCTGCTGCTTCCCCAAGAGGAAATGCCAGAAAGTATGGGAGCCTTCATGGTGCTAAGATTGATGTCACATTTCATGTAGAAATGGAGAAAGTTCTCTTATGTCCTCAGTAATGTCATACTTTATCACTTGTGAACCTGCTTTATGTGCCTGTGTGAAGAAATGGCAAACTATATACCAGCTATTCATGCATTTCTTCCTCTAGTATGTTTTTATTGCTAGGAAGCAACTGCCCACCAAGGATTAAATTTCTCACCACAACCCCTGCATCTAGGTAGGGCCATATGACTAGTGTTTGCCAAGATAATTAAGAAATGGTTGTGCTTTCTGCACTCTATCGGCCAGCTGGATCAAAAGACTTCAAGGTACTGTGGAGAATGGCAAAGTCAGAAGAGGAAAGGAGCATAATTCCTTGAATTACTGCATAAAAGGCTGTCTGCCAACCAGAAACACTCATGTTGGTACTTGAGCAAGAACTAAACTTCTTGTGTAGTAAACAATCGAGATTTCGTTACAACAGCTGATGTTTCCCTAATTAATACAGTGCCCCCTTTATATTACAAAGCCCTTCTTTGAAACAGCTCCTTAATCATTTCCCTGCATTCCCTTTCTCTAAAAACTCAAACACATAAATATCTGGAAATTCATGGGGCTGGGAGGGAACAGATGCCACATTACATTCTAATCCAGAACTTTTCTGCCATTGTGCCCTCCCCATCCTATTCCCTAGACCTGTTAGGCTTGGATATTGTTCTTACACAAGCTTGAAATAAAGCCTTATGAAAATGGGCTCTTCCACAGACCAGCTACATACTTGATTTCTCAGTTTGAACTTCAGTGTAGACTACAAACTATCCTGAATTCCTTTCTTCATCCCCATTTATTCTTCCTTCCCCAATTCTCAAATTCACTGAATGGTACCATCTTCCTCCTCAGTAAAGAAGCCTAGAGACAGTACCTTAGCCACTTCCAATTCCGTCTTCTACTCTTGTCACCTAAGCCTCTAACCCATTAACCTATCTCCTTCCAGTCCCCATGCTTCTTCCTTACTGCAGTTGCTTTCCTTCAAGTCTTAATCCTCACTATGTCTTCAGGCCATTGATACTCAACTGTAAGCGTTATCACTCTATAAAATCTTGCATTGTAGAAGTCCCGCGTGGGTTACTTAAAACTCTTTAAAAAAATGGCTCTTTATCGCTTATAGAAGTTGTTCTGAAAGTGCAGTCCATGTACCATAGGGATGCTTAAGACTCCTTTAGGGCTTTCACAAAATAGTTCACAATCATTTTCATAATAATTCTAAGATGTTAGTTGCCTTTTTCACTAGTTGACATTTGTCCTTATGGTAAAAAGCATTGGTGGTACCAAACTGTACTAGTAGGCATTGTGTTTTTTGCTGCCTTTCTCTAACAGCCCAAACCCTCAAAAGCCATTTTCACATAAGAATGTCCGTCAGAAAGCAATAACTTTATTAAATATTGACTATTTTGTGTATGTCCTTAATATTCTGTCACAATATATAAAGTACATCAAGCACTTCTGCATACCAGAGTACAGAGGTTGTCTTGAGGTAAAGCACTTGTGTGATTGAGTTGTGCTGTGGTTTGAATATGGTTTGTCTCTACCAAAACTCATGTTGAGGCTTGGTCCCCATTGTAATGGTGTTGAGAGGTGGTGGGACCTTTAAGAGGCATTTGGATCATGAGGAATCTGCTCTCATGAAAGAATCAGTACAGTCTTGAGGGAGTTAGTGAGTCCTCACTCTCTGAGGACTACATTAGTTACAATGAGATCAGGTTGTTATGAAGCAAGATTGCCTCTCGTGTTTGCGCTATTTTCTGCATATGTCAGTTTCTCTTCTATTCCTCCATCATTTTTTGATACAGCATGAAGCCCTTACCAGAAGACAACAGATGTGGCTGCCCAGTCTTGAACTTGCCAGCCTAAAGAACCAGAAGCTAAAGAAACTTCTTTATAAACTACCTGGTCTCTGTCATAGCAAGAGAAAATAGATTAAGACAAGTTGCAAGCTCAACAAGGCAATTTTTTTCATAGAACACTGTTTTTACTTGAAAGAATGATCAACACACAAACTATGTTTATTCAGACTTGTGTAGTTGGGAGATATTTTCTCAAAAATGAATGAAGTGAACTTGTCGCTGTAAGGAAAATAGTTGACAGTATTAGTTGCCAATTATAAAATTCAAAAAAACTTGTATCTGCCGCTATGAACATAACAGTTTCCCAATACTTAGACTTCTCTGAGATTGGTGGTGTTATAATGAATGTGATTTTTTAAATTGTATAATTTTTATTATACAATTCTAATGTATTAATATTTGGAGGATCTGCATAACTCCGTATACCAATATTTTTCAAATGACAGTGCAAAGTATATCAATATAACAGTATATATTCACTGATATGAACTTGAATAGTGTATATTCATTAATATGGTTTTCTATCACATTGCAGTTAACTTTTAAGAAATTAACACTAGGTTTTAGTGTAGAATTGAAAAAGAATATTTCCAATTATTTGAAAAGGCTACTAAAGTACTCCTTTTCCAACTGTATCTATATGAGTCTGATTTTCTTCATTGACTCCAACCCAAATAATATATGGTAATATTTTGAATGGAGAAGCAGATATGAAAATCCAGTTGTCTTCTATTAAGCCAGACACTTTATAAGATTTGCAAAAATATGTTACACTAAATTTTTTTGCTTTTGGAAAATTTTTTCACAAAATCATGTCATTTATGCTGACATGTCATATTGTTATTTTAAAGTGAGTTAATAAATGTTTCTCAATTTTAATTACTAATGTGCTGTTGCTAGATGTAACCCACATAAACCAAAGCTCTTTGGTGTCCTTAACAATCTTTAAGTGTATAAAAGGTTCTGAGACCAGCAAGTTTCAGAATGCTGGCTTATAGGATATGGTTCATATTCCTAATATGGTGATTAAGACACTGTGATCTGGCTTCTGCCCACTTTTCTGCCTTATGTTTTACCTTGCCCTTAATTTTTCTCCTATCTTCTAAGCTTATTAAGAACCACTTTTAGGGCCTATATGCACTCTACAGTGTTGTGCCTCCAAGGACTTTGCTCATGCTTCTTCCCTTTGCCTGGAAGGTTTCTTTGTCACCCAGAAGGCACTTTTTTTTTTTTTTTTAAAGACAAAGTCTCACTCCCAGCACTCTGGGAGGCCGAGGCAGGTGGATCACGAGGTCAGGAGATCGAAACCATCCTGGCTAACACGGTGAAACCCCATCTCTACTAAAAATACAAAAAATTAGCCAGGCGTGGTGGCAGGTGCCTGTAGTCCCAGCTACTCAGGAGGCTGAGGCAGGAGAATGGCGTGAACCCGGGAGGCGGAGCTTGCAGTGAGCTGAGATCATGCCACTGCACTCCAGCCTGGGCGACAGAGCGAGACTCTGTCTCAAAAAAAGAAAAAGAGAGAGAAAAAAAACTGTATTTTTTGTCTTAAGCTAAACAAATACATCTGGGTGAAACTGAATAAAATAGGATTGTGGGAGAATAAGTAGGCATCCTACTCCCTTCCTCCCACCCAGTTGTTACTGGCCTGCTTCTCTCTCTATTTCTGCTTCTTTCGATTTTGTTTTAGCCTCGGGGTGAGTGGGTGGAGGGAGTCCAAAAACACATCTGTACTGTAGAGGAGAAATTGATAGCATAGCTTTATGGAACTTATCTCAGGGTTATGCAATCCAGAGGTCCCCTGATTTCAGCTCTCATCAGTGCAGGAATCCTTTTTCCATCATTCTTTGACAGGTCCTCATGCAACCTCTATATGAGTATCTCCAGAGACTAATAACTTACCACCCCCTAAACTGCCTGTGTCTTTACTTTGCACTACTAATTATTTGAAAGCCCGTTCTCTCTTGAGCCACAGTCATATCTTTTTTTCTGGAGTAATGCTACAAAAAGGATTCTGCCTCTTTTTCACAATAACTTTTCAAGTATTTCAAGAGACTGTTAGTCATTTTTATGGATTTTCTCTTAGCTAAGTGCACTGTTTTGTTTTGTTTTTTTTTAAGTTTTTTATGTGGCATGATCCATCCAGCTCATTCCCATTCTGGAGTACTCTAGCTTTTAACGTGTGCCTGAAATGACACATAATAGCCCTGTGTGACTAAATACAAATTTCTTAGGAACTGTTCCTTCCTGTGACTTGAAACATTAATTACTGTGTTTTGGTTAGGAGTATAAGCTTTGGTATCAGACAGATGAGGGTGTGAATTCTGACTTTTTTCCCCTGTAATTCATATCTCTGAGTCTAAATTCCGTAATGTTACCATATAGGATTATTGCAAGAATTAGGTGAAGTAATGTACATTTAAACATGAACCGTTGGCTGGGTGCGGTGGCTCACGACTGTAATCCTGGCACTTTGGGAGGCCGAGGCGGGGAATCATGAGGTCAGGAGATCAAACCATCCTGGCTAACATGGTGAAACTCCATCTCTACTAAAAATACAAAAAATTAGCCAGGCGTGGTAGCAGGTGCCTGTAGTCCCAGCTACTCGGGAGGTTGAGGCAGGAGAATGGCGTGAACCCAGGAGGCAGAGCTTGCAGTGAGCCGAGATCACACCACTGCACTCCAACCTGGGCAACAGAGTGAGACTCCGTCTCAAAAAAATAAAAAATGAATAAAATATGAAGCATTGTTCCTGGCTCACAGTAAAGGCTCAAAGTAGAAGCACTTGTTACACTGATAATTATATACCTATTGGCACAGCCTAAAATTGCCATACGTTTTTTTGCAGCTGCTTCACATTACTGTTAATATTATAATCATTATGCTAGTATATTTGTTGTTTATCAGCTTGTGCTACTACTCAGGCTTTTATGCCTTCTCCAATTAGCCATCCCCACATCTTGAAAGCCAGCTCTGTCCTTTTAAGGCTGAACTTACTCAGTGTATTTTCCAGAAGGTTTTTCTCCAATTCTTGGATCCAGAAGTATTTTGTTCTTACTTATGGCATTTGTTACAGTGGCATTTGTTCAATTTTGTACAAGATAGACTATGAAAATAGGAACAGTTCACTTGAGAAATTTATAAAGAGATGAGGGATGATGAGATTAATGTCTTAATAAAGCTCAAGAAAAAGGAAAAGCATGTATAGTTGGACTCCCCATTTTGTATCAGCGTACTTATTTCAAGTGACTGAAATGAGTAAAGAAAGAAGCCTTGAAGTCAGCTCACCTATGATTTTTAACTATGATATTTTGTATTTTAAAAATAGATACTTGGTGCAGGTGTTATTGGCAGACAGAAGTAAGAGGCTAGGGTGAACAGGCTATGGGCGTCTGGTAAAAGAATTTTTTTCCCAAAAATGCTCTGGGAGTTTCATTCCCAAAAGATGGATGCAGGTAAATCTGACTCTGGTCAGTACAATCAAGGCAAATTGGTGTTTTTCTAAACTGTGAATTGGGAGAGGATTCTACTTACAATTTGAATAATAGGTCTCATCTCTATACTTATTCTGGTACATTTAAAGAAAAACTTAGGCCCTATATTGGACCTACTTCAGACCTTACAATCCATATAGTAACCCATAAATAAGTAAAACCTTTGTATGTTGTGATTTTTTTTCCCTATTCAAGAATGATACCTAGAATATTATACAATTACTAATTTGGGGAATGATATCAAGAATTATGTTGTTTTTGGCTTTGGTTGTGGTTTTTTATAACTTTAAATTTTGAGATAATTATATATTCACAGGAAGTTGCAAAGATAGTACAGCATGTTTTTCTTTTAAGCACCTGGAAGACAACCATCTTCTGTCCCTCTGTTTCACTTATTTACCATGCCTATTTCAAAGGAATGTTGCAGGAAACAATTGCAAAATGCTTTTGCAATCCCAAAATAAAATATATCAAATAATTTTAAAAGGCATTTGCAAAAAAAAGGTAGTTCTATAATATTGTAGTGCTGTATTTAACTATAAGGCTCTACCTCTTCCTATAATAGAAATAGACAAAATCTCAGACAATCAGTATAATGTGGAACATGAGCTCTAGAGTCACATTGACCTGTAATGGTATCCTGACATCAGTAAACAGCTGGTGATCACTTAAAGAGACTCAGTTTTCTTATTTAAATGGGGATAATAATTCTGCCTCTCATGATATGATGTATATAAACCACAACACAGCATGGGTGTAACAGATGATATACATAAAACACTTAAAGCATAGTGAGAATTCAATGTTAGCTATTACCAATACTATTTTTTCATGTAGGTGATTAGTGTATTTCTCAGATTGATAATAAAAGAAGGTTATAACTTATAAGGATTTCACATTGTTAAATTAATGTAATAACTGTAGAAAAGTATAGCCATAGCCAAGCTTGGCAAGTACATTTAGTAAAATATAACTCATATTCCTTTAACGTAGTAACCTTAGCAATAACACAAAAAGAAAAGAATTGGTGTTTTTTGGATTGATGGGGTATTTAATAATTACTTTAATGTTTTTATCTAATAGATCATCTCAGGAGCATTAACTCCAATATATTTTTAGTGAGAACCTTATCACAGATGAAGTTGTGAAAGAAAATTTGATATTTATTTTGTAATGTATTTTCAGAATGTTAAGGATTAACATATATTTAATGTGGAAGCATTATGTTTGTTTAAAAGATGTGTCTAATAAGGGCCTACAAAAATTTATTGTACATGAAGATACTCAATAAATATTGTTAAATTGAGAATAAATGACTAATTTATAAACAGTTAAATATTTTATAATTTGTTTTTAATGTTATTATTAAAATGAACCTGTATTATAAGATCTCAATATTTGGTAATTTTTTTGAAGTGAAACAAACATAAGTTAGCCATTTTACAGGGAACAATTCACTGGCATTTGGAACATTCACAATATTGTACAAGCACCATCTCTATCTAGTTCCAAAACATTACTCCAAAGGAAACCCCATCACCGTTAATCGGGTGCTTTCCATTTCTCCCTCCCCCCATTCCCTGGCAACCACCAATATATTAATATATACTGTTTCATTTTTACCTATTCTGGATATTTCATATTAATCTAATTATATATGACCTTCGGTATCTGGCTTCTTAGCATATTTTTGATGTTCATCTATATTGTATTACTAACATATATGAGTACTTCATTCCTTTCTATAGTTGCATAATATTCTATTGCTCTGTATATAGTACCACAATTTATTTGTTCATTCATCTGTTGATGGACATTTGGATTGTTTCTACCTTTTGGCTATAGTGAGTTAGTGCTTTAAACATTTATAAGTATTTGAGTACCTGTTTTCAGTTCTCTGGGGTGGTATATACCTTGGAGTAGAATTACTGAGGTATTTGGTAATTCTGTTTAACTTTTTTGAGAAACTGCCAAACTGTTTTTCATCATGACTTCACCATGTTACATCCCCTCCAGCAATGTATGAGGGTTACAATTTGTCACTTCCTCACTAACATTTGTTATTTTCCTATTCTTTTCTCTTTTTTTTTTTTTAAGTTTTTGGTTTATCTGTTTTTAATTATAGCCATCCTAGTGTGTATGAAGTGGTACTTTGTTGTGGTTTTGATTTGCATGTCCCAGTGACTAATGATGTTGAACATCTGTTCATGTTTGTTAGTCATTTGTATATCTTCTTTGATTATTGATTAGAGACTGTTCTTTTCTAAAGTCTGCATACAGTGCTGTAAATTTCCCTCTCAGTCCTGCCTTAACTGTGTCCCACAAATTTTGATTTGCTTATTTTCATTTTCATTCATGTCAATGTATTTTTAAAATTTCCCTTGACATTTCTATTTATTTGTCTTCTGTTCTGTTTTTTTCACTTCTGTTTTCTCTTTCTGCATTCCTGTGGGTTACTTATATTTTTTTTTAGAATTGCATTTTGATTTGAGTTTAATGTCTTTATATAGTCTTTTTCATGCTTGTTTTACATATTTTATTATATAAATGTCACCTGTCAGTTCACTGGTATCATTTTACCAATTCAGGTGAAGTATAGAAACCTTACCTCCACTTTTGTCTTTTTATTCTCCCTCACTTACAATGTAATTGTCTTAAATATTTGCTCTGCCTTCATTTAGAGCCACATCACAGAATGCCGTAATAATTTTGCTTTCTCTGTCAAACTTGCTTTTGAAAACTCAAGAGGAAAGGGAAAGTTTATTGTATTTACACATATTTTTACTCTCCATTTTTTTGTTTGTTCTTTCTGATGTTTTAAGATTTCTTCTTTTATCTTTTCCTTTTTGTTTATTTATAGAGTTTTTTTAGCCAGTCTTTTAGGGTAGGTCTACTGGCAATAAATGCTAATTTTCTTTCATGTGAGTTACTTTCCCTTTCATTCCTGAAAATTATTTTCTCTAGGTATACGATTATTTTATTTCAGCACTTGAAAAACATTGTGCCACTTCCTATTGGCTCCATGGTTCGTGATAAGAAATCTGCTGTTAATCCAGTTTTCTCTTGTAGGCTTCATACAGGTGCATTCAAGACTTTTTTTGTCTTTTGTTTTCAGAAGTTTGATTATGATATGTCTTGACATGGATATCTTTGGGTTTACCTTATTTGGAGTTTGTTCAGCTTCTCTATCTAAATGTTTATGTCTCTTTTTAAGTGTGTAAAGTTGTCAGCCATAATTTCTTTGAGCACTTTTCAACCCTGCTTTCTTTCTCCTATTCTTTTAAGACTCTGTGACACCAATGTTAGATCTTTTGTTCTAGACCACAGTTTCTTGAGCTCTTGTTTGTTTTTGTTTCTCCTTTTCTTGGTCTGTTTTCCCACTGCTGTTAGGTTCAGTAATTTCTTTTGTTTTTTCTTTCAGTTCATTAAACTTTTCTTCATCTCTTCCATTCTGCTGTTGAACCCATTCACTGAGCTTTTTATTTTAGTTCGTGTATTTCCATTTGGTTCTTTTTTGAGACAAAGTCTCGCTCTGTTGCCCAGGCTGGAGTGCAATGGCGTGACTTCCGCTCACCGCAGCCTCTGCTTCCCAGGTTCAAGTGATTCTCCTGCCTCATCCTCCTGAGTAGCTGAGACTACAGGCATGCACCACCACGCCTGGCTAATTTTTGTATTTTTGGTAGAGACAAGGTTTCACTCTGTTGGCCAGGCTGGTCTTGAACTCCTGACCTCATGATCCACCCGCCTCGGCTTCCCTAAATGCTGGGATTACAAGCGTGAGCTACCATGCCCGGCCTGGTTCTTTTTTTGTATCTTCATTTTCTCTACTGAGATTGTATTTGCTGGGGCTTTCCATTTTTTTCGTTTGGTTCAAGCATGTTCATAATTGCTCATTAAAGAATTTTTATCGTGGCTGCTTTAAGTCTTTGATAAATTTTAACATTCCTGTTATTTTGGTGTTGGTCATTTCTTGATTGTCTTTATTCATTGAGTTTGAGATCCTGCTGGTTCTTGGTATGATGAATAAGTATTTTATAGAAACCTGAGCATTTTTGTATTATAAGACTCTGGGTCTAATTATAATCTTCTGTTTCCTTGCTTGGACTCCACTGATACTGCAGAGGTGCCTTGTTACCTGCTGTCTGAGATGAAAGTCCTGACCCTGTACTTGGCCTTCTCTGACATCACCCCATCAGGGATATTGGGCATTGTGAGGGTGGAAGTCTAGGCTCCCTACTTGTCCTGTACAGTTGGTGGGGGGGCCGGTTTTTCCTATGAAATTGGCTACTGTAGAGTGGTTATTATCTAAGCTTTCTATCTTGCTATGCTGTTCCTTTCCTGGTCCTTTGGCTACAGAGAATAGGTTTTTGTAGGGATTCTTTTGTCTGTACCTGTTTCTAGATTGCCAGCTTCTATAGCTCCAAGTCTGGAATGTATGAGGCATAAATAAAACTTAGGGCAACTCAGCACTTTATTGTCCTTAGGTCCCAGGGGTTCCAGTAGTCTACTGTCTTCTCTTTTAGAGTCTTACATTTGTTTCATGTATTGTGTGCCAGTATTTTAGGTGTACTCAGAAGGGGCAATAGTGAAACATAAGTCTACTCCATCTTCCCTTAAAGTGGAAGTCACTGTTAGCTCTTTTTTATAGGATGATTCATATAACCATAACTTGTAAGTTTTAATGGTACCATATGCATCCCTGTTGACTATCTGGAAACCACACAAGAAAGCATTTGTCAGTGTTCAGAATCTCTCTACCTTGCATATAGAAATTTATTTTGTTAGTCCCCCATGGTGATTGTGCTCAGGGAGACTGATTCAAGCTAATAATACTCTTTTTGAGACAGGGGCTTGCTCTGTCATCCAGGCTGGAGCGCAGTGGTGTGAACATGGCTCACTGCAGCCTCAAACTCCTGGGCTCAGGCAATCTACCCACCTCAGCTTCCCGAGTAGCTGGGACTACAGGCATGCACCACCACACTCAGCTAATTTTTAAAAATTTTTAGTAGAGACAAGGTGTTGCCGTGTTGCTCAGGCTGGTCTTGAACTCCTCAGCTCAAGTAAGTGATCTTCCTGCCTTGGCTTCCCAAAGTGCTGGGATTACAGACATGAGCTACCGCACCTGGCCAGGCTAACAATACTCTTAAGAAAATAGTGTATACAGTCAGACAGTCAATTTACTTAATTCTCAGTGATTACAAAACATTACTTCCATGAGGATCAGATGGTGTTTGGCTGGGCAGTCAACTCACAGTAAGTGATGCTGAAGCAAGAATCAGTTAAATAGCCTCACAACAGCTTTCTTTTGGTGCATCTGTATTGCTCACTATTCCTCATTGTGTATTCATTTTATGGGGAATGAGTTACACGTCAGAGCAGTTATTGGAGATGCACACAGCTCAAGATTCATTCCTAGAAAATGCAAAGGATCCAATTTAATTCAGACATTTAATGGCACTGAGCTTTTAGAGCCTAGCTTATCTAGCTCTACAATAGGCATACTTGCCAGGAGGATCTGACTAGACAAATTGATATGCCAAGGCTCCTCCACCCATAGACAATTCTTGGGTAGACCCTGCTGGTTTCCCCTTTGATTTCTACTTGCCTTTGATCTTTACTTACGAGTAACCTATTTTTTCTGCATACTTACCAGTGTCTTTTGTTAGGTTATCATCAGGCCTCATTGTCCTAGGAGCTGTTTTGTTTTTAAGGGTAGTTAATCTAGGGTCATAGACCCCCTTGCCTGTGGTTGGGCTCTAAGAGGAAGCCCTGAAATGCACAAGCCAACCTTGTAAGAGAGCATAATTTTCTCATCATATTCTCAAAGGAGTCCATGATCCCAAAATCATTATGAGCCACTAATGTGTAGTGTTGCTCTGCTCTGTTATGCATATATAGTTCAGTCTCTTATAAATCACCTTAGCTTGTCATTACTGAAGTGTTATTATTGCTGATTTCTGTGTTTTCTTACTATAGTTAAAGATATGAAAATTTGGTCTTTTTTGTTAATATTTTTTGCTTTGGATTTATTACTTATCTAGTTGTTATCAATGTATTTCTTTTTTATTTTAACACTAGAAGTTTCAGTATTTGAGGGCAAGACAATTTATTGCTCTTTCTCTTTGCTGTTTCTTATATCCCTCTCGTCCTAAAATGTTACCCATAATATAGAACTATTGCACGTTTTCAGTTCTCTTTTCTTCAGTTATCCTGCAGTCTGATACAGAATACATCCTTGTCATTTTAATGCTGTGTAGATTTTAGTTTAATGTAATGTTTTATACTTAACTAATCATTTTATTCTGTTAATAAATAAAGTCTTTAAGGGCCTGTCAGTATGGAAATAGGTAAATATTACTGTTACCTTTTAAAAGAATTGAGTTTGTTGCTAATCTGACACGTGGAAAAGCATCAAGCTCAGATATGTGCTGCCTTCATCAGGAGCCTGGAAAAACTAGAATTGCCATGGAGCTAAGTGTCCATCTTCAGTTGGAAATAATAGTGCCATTGGTGCCTGGCCTGCCTGCAATTTCATGACTCCTACATTGCACCCCGTGTGATCTGTAGGCTATACATTTCATGGTGAACCTGAGATAGCTTGCATAGCAGATTTTCTATACATTTGGATCTTGAACAATGTGGGAGCTAGGGCACCACTCCCCACCCCTGTGCCATCAAATCTGTATATAACTTTTGACTTCCCAACAACTTTTTTAAAAAATTTTTATCTTAAAAAATTTTTTTTTATTATTATACTTTAAGTTCTGGGGTACATGTGCAGAACATGCAGGTTTGTTACATAGGTATACCTGTGCCATGGTGGTTTGCTGCACCCATCAACCCATCATCTGCATTAGGTATTTCTCTTAATGCTATCCCTCCCCTAGCCCCCATCCCCCAACAGGCCCCAGTGTGTGATGTTCCCCTACCTGTGTCCATGTGTTCTCATTGTTCAGCTCCCACTTATGAGTGAGAACATGTGGTGTTTGGTTTTCTGTTCTTGTTAGTTTGCTGAGAATGATGGTTTTCAGCTTTATCCATGTCCCTGCAAAGGACATGGACTCATCCTTTTTATGGCTGCATAGTATTCCATGGTGTATATGTGCCACATTTTCTTTATCCAGTCTATCATTGATGGGGATTTGGGTTGGTTCCACATCTTTACTATTGTAAACAGTGCCACAGTAAAACATACGTGTGCATGTGTCTTTATAGTAGAATAATTTATAATCCTTTGGGTATATACCCAGTAATGGGATTGCTGGGTCAAATGGTATTTCTGGTTCTAGATCCTTGAGGAATCGCCACATTGTTTTCCACAATGGTTGAACTAATTTACACTCCCATCAACAGTGTAAAAGTGTTCCTATTTCTCCACGTCCTCTCCAGCATCTCTTGTTTCCTGACTTTTTAATGATTGCCATTCTAACTGGCGTAAGATGGTATCTTGTTGTGGTTTTGATTTGCATTTCTCTAATTACCAGTGATGATGAGCTTTTTTTCATATATTTGTTGGCTGCATAAATGTCTTCTTTTGAGAAGTGTCTGTTCATGTCCTTCACCCACTTTTTGATGGGGTTGTTTTTTTCTTGTAAATTTGTTTAAGTTCTTTGTAGATTCTGGGTATTAGCCCTTTGTCAGATGGGTAGATTGCAAAAATTTTCTCCCATTCTGTAGGTTGCCTGTTCACTCTGATGATAGTTTCTTTGGCTGTGCAGAAGCTCTTTAGTTTAATTAGATCCCATTTGTCAATTTTGGCTTTTGTTGCCATTGCTTTTGGTGTTTTAGTCATGAAGTCTTTGCCCATGCCTATGTCCTGAATGGTGTTGCCTAGGTTTTCTTGTAGGGTTTTTATGGTTTTAAGTCTTAGTTTAAGTCTCTAATCCATCTTGAGTTAATTTTTGTGTAAGGTGTAAGGAAGGGGTCCAGTTTCAGTTCTCTGTATATGGCTAGCCAGTTTTCCCAACACCGCTTATTAAATAGGGAATCCTTTCCCCATTGCTTGTTTTTGTCAGGTTTGTCAAAGATCAGATGGTTCTAGATGTGTGGTGTTATTTCTGAGGCCTCTGTTCTGCTCCATTGGTCTGTATTTATGTTTTGATACCAGTACCATGCTGTTTTGGTAGTGTAGCCTTGTAATATAGTTTGAAGTCGGTAGCGTGATGCCTCCAGCTTTGTTCTTTTTGTTTAGGATTGTCTTGGCTATGCGGGGTCTTTTTTGGTTCCATATGAAATTTAAGGTAGTTTTTTCCAATTCTGTGAAGAAAGTCAGTGGTAGCTTGATGGGGATAGCATTGAATCTATAAATTACCTTGGGCAGTATGGCCATTTTCATGATACTGATTCTTCCTATCCATGAGCATGGAGTGTTTTTCCATTTATTTGTGTCCTCTCTTATTACCTTGAGCAAAGTTTATAGTTCTCCTTGACGAGGTCCTTCACATCCCTTGTAAGCTGGATTCCTAGGTATTTTATTCTCTTTGTAGCAATTGTGAATGGGAGTTCACTCATGATTTGGCTCTCTATTATTGGTGTATAGGAATGCTTGTGATTTTTGCACATTGATTTTGTATCCTGAGACTTTGCTGAAGTTGCTTATCAGCTTAAGGAGATTTTGGGCTGAGACGATGGGGTTTTCTAAATATACAATCATGTCATCTGCAAACAGAGACAATATGACTTCCTCTTTTCCTAATTGAATACCCTTTATTTCTTTCTCCTGCCTGATTGCCCTGGCCAGAACTTCCAATACTATGTTGAATAGGAGTGGTGAGAGAGGGCATCTTTGTCTTGCACCGGTTGTCAAAGGACTTCCCAACACCTTTAAACTTAACTATTAATAGCTTACTGTTGGCCAGAAGCCTGGCCAATCAATAAACAGTTGATTAACACATATTGTATATTGCATGCTGTATTCTTGTAACGCTATATACTATATTCTTACAATAAAGTAAACTAGAGAAAAGAAAATGTTATTTAACATACAAGAAATAGAAAATATGTATTTTTTATTTTTTTATTTAAAATTTTTTTTTAAGAGATGGGGGTCTAGCTGGGTTGCCCAGGCTTGTCTCAAACTCCTCGGCTTAAGCAATCCTCCTCCCTCAACTCCTGAGTAGCAGTAGCTGGGACTACAGGTGCACGCCACCAGGCCAGGCTCTGAGAAAATATGTTAAGTTTTCTATTTGTTAAGGGGAAATAGATTATCACAAACATCTTCATCCTCATCATCTTCACACTGAGCAGGCTGAGGAGGAAGAGGTGGGCCTAGTCTTGCTGTCTCATGGATGCCAGAGGCAGAAGAGATAAAGGAGGTAGGAGGCAGGAGAAGCAGGCACACTCAGTGTAAATTTTATTGAAAAAGAATCCACGTATTGGACTCATGCAGTTCAAATCCATGTTGTTCAAGGGTGAACTGCAATTTATTACTCAAAGATGAAGAAAACATTACGACAAAATGTATCCTAAGTATTTTGAATATACTGCCTACATTCTAAGTGCACTGCAAATGTGGCATAACTAGTTAACTTTCTTCAGTGATTTAAGAAAGCCTCACAAGAGGCTGCACTAACTAGATGTAGAGCATCTTTGCTAAAAAAAAGAATTATAACTATCTAATACTTACTTAGTAAATAAAGAAAATGACCATATTGAAAACACTGATTGATTTTAAGTATTGCCACAGAAGAAAGATAGTAATTTATCATCAATAATAGTTACTGCTGTTCAACTGAGATGTGATTTAATATTACTAACAAAATTGTTCTTAATTTTCCATACATTTTTTATCTTTTTATGTAGTTTTAGGCCTAACATTATATTAATAATTGTCCTATATATTTAAGCAAAGTAAAAACACTTGAAAAATAGAAAATGCATGTAAATACTATTTGAATGAGGAAAGTAGTGATGCCAATATTTCTACCTTTTCATAATTTAAGACATTTCTAAAATTGTATGAAATACACAGTTTATATGATTTAATACATATAATGAACCAAGAATAATAATTACTTTTTAAAAACATATTTGTTTCATGGCCCTGCCGGAGGTGTAGCAAAGTTGATGAGGTAATTTTAAAACAATTTTGCAGTTTGTCTCATGTTTTTTATAGATAAAATAGATACCTGCTTATGAAATAACACAAAAAATCTTTTTTTCCAAGTATTTGATTTGAAGAAAAAACTAGTGTGAGTAAATTCAGCATTGTTGATTGTAAGTGAATCTTTTTTTTTCTTTAGCGCAAACTCCTACTTGTGTGAGTGGGTGAATCTTTTAAAGGCAATTTCACATATGTCTGTGTTGCTAGAGGAAACCTCTCACGCTTCTGTCAGCGCTTAAATGCCAACACCACTGTTGTATTTCCCTTAGTAGAAAAGGGGAGGGTGTTTGGACGTAACATTACCATAATAGTTTTGAACTGTTTAGAAGATAATGTTCCTTTAAAATTGTTGAATATAATAATGTTCAGGCCAGGTACAGTGGCTCACACCTACAATCCCAACACCTTGGGAGGCTGAGGAGGGAGGATCACTTGAGCCTGGGAGTTCAAGACCAGCCTGGGCAACATGGTGAAACGCCGTCTCTACAAAAAATACAAAAATTAGCCAGATGTGATCATGTGCACCTGTAGTCCCAGCTACTTGGGAGGCTGATGTGGGAGGATAACCTAAGCCTGGGGAGGTCGAGGCTGCAGTGAGCCATGGTCACACCACTGCACTCCAGCCTGGGTGACAGAGTGAGACCCTGTCTCAAAAAAATAATAATAATGTTCATAGGTTCTCAATACAAATTAGTTGAATTTAATCTAAGACAACTTCCAAATCTTGTATGGATGCTTATCGTATGTTACCTTGATTTGTAGGTTTATTTATAAAGCACTATTGATTTAAAAAATAGTATGGTATGTGCTTCTTTAAAGTCTCTCCTGGCTCTTTTTTCTTTCTTATTCTTAGTTTATTTTATGGATTATCTTTTCCTACTTGCCTTTTAAATATTGGTATCATCTAAGATTCTATCCTAGGGTCTCTGTCTGTGCTACATACTGTATATTGTCTAGGCAGCTGTCTATCTGCTACTTGAACCTTTATTCTCAACTGTACACCTATAAACCCAATTATCTTATATCTCCTGGATGACCCAGGCTATCCAACAGTGTATTCAATATTAAGCTCATTATGTCTTTCTCTCTCCATTTTCAGTTCATACCTTCCCCCAGAATAAAAGAGTATGTATATTTGCATATAAATATATAACACATACGTATATCTCTCATATATGTACTTCTGTTTTGGAAGGCCCACTGCTAGTAAGCAGCAGGCCTGGAATTTTTAATTCTGGTTTTTTGAATGCAAATCCTCAGCTCAGAGTGTATTCTATATAACATGGTGTCCATATCTTTTCAACCAAAATCAAAGATGCATGCTCTGACAATATTTGAAGTCTGCACTTGTTGCTGTAATTATACCACATTGCTTTTCATCTTACTTTATTAAGTTGTCAGCATCATAGGGGACACTAATAACCACACATACAATGTAAAACTGCAATTATGATAAATATAGTGAGACATGTAGTATAAGATAGATGAATGTATATTTTTTAAAAGATAGCCGGGCGTAGGGGCTCATGCCTGTAATCCCAGCACTTTGGGAGGCCGAGGCGGGTGGATCACGAGGTCAGGAGTTCAAGACCAGCCTGGCCAAGATGGTGAAACCGTGTCTCTACTAAAAATACAAAAATTAGCTGGGTGTGGTGGCGGGTGCCTGTAATCCCAGCTACTCAGTAGGCTGAGGCAGAGAATTGCTTGAACCCAGGAGGCAGAGGTTGCAGTGAGCCAAGTTCGAACCACTGTACTCCAGCCTGGGTGACAAAGCGAGACTCTGTCTCCGAAAAAAAAAAAAAAAAAGATGATTTGACCTAGTCAGAGCTATCAGATGCTTCCCTGGGAAGCAATTGAGTTGAAATGTAAAGGTTGGGTGGGGAAATGGAAGATTGTTCAAGATAGGTGAGATAGCTTGCACAAAGACTTGGGGGTTAAGAGAGTACGTGCTATATGTGTAACTATCCCCGTGCAAAGTATTTGCAATCTTGCTAGAGATTTCACGCTCCTCATTTCCTTCTTTCCTCTCCTTTTCTTGCATCCTTATTCATATATATTTATAAAAGAAAAAATATATATTTGAATGTATATTAGAATGTATAGATATTTGAATATATATATTTGAAGCTGAAGTTTGCATTAAATAGAGAATACTAGAAAGCAAAATGTAACTGCTTTTGAAACCACATAGCAGATAGGTAATTTTAGAGGAACCATGAAATTTAAGTGAAAAGCATAGCCATGTGCTAAACATAGTTTCTAATGCAACACCAAAAAGAAAAAGGATTTATGGTAGTATTGTTTCTACCCTTCTAAGTCATATTGTTTCTACTCTTGTTAAGTCATATTAGCATTTATAATCACTTTATAATCACTGTCCTGTTACAGTTTTTTAATTTATAATTTATAATCACTTTATAATCACTGTCCTGCTACATTTTTATAAACCAGAGAATAACTAAATCGGGTAATAAATTTCAAAACCTTTTCTTAAATTATAAGTAATTTCTCTTTTAAGTGCATTTTTATACTGTGAAGTTTAGTATTCCATGCAATCTTTGTGTGTTTGAGAATTAGTTCAGGCTGTAGGAATTCTATTAGAATGTAAAGTGACTTTTGAACTGCACTGAAGTACTCTGTGGTCTGTGCTATTCTGCATTTGTTGACTCTTTATTCCTTTTTGTTCTTGATATACATATGTATTATCCTTCATAAGGAATTCTGAAGCTTTGGTCCTCAAAACATTTCTTCAACAGCTCTTACCTAGTTCTTGAATAGGAAGATTATGTTCCAGGCTGTACAGCTGTTTTAGAATCAACTAGATCCTCTTAGAAACCCAAGCAATTTACCCATGTTTTCCATATCCCTTGGTTCTTTGCTTTTGTTTTTTGTTTTCTTTTTTGTATCTTTTCTAATCATGGTCCAAAGTTCAGTGTTCATAACTTCCTTATAGTGTCCTTAAAAACTTAGTTCGTATCTGTTTTTCTTTCCAGAAAGGGCTATTGCAAGACACGAAGTCCGAGAAATTGAGCAGCGACATACAATGGATGGCCCTCGGCAAGATGCCACTTTAGATGAGGAAGAGGACATGGTGATCATTTATAACAGAGTTCCCAAAACGGCAAGCACTTCATTTACCAATATCGCCTATGACCTGTGTGCAAAGAATAAATACCATGTCCTTCATATCAACACTACCAAAAATAATCCAGTGATGTCATTGCAAGATCAGGTAATTACCACTTAAGGAATGCCCAAATATTTTCTAATACTTCCTCACTCAAATTTTCTAGCTCAAGGGGATAAAGTATTTTAAAGGGATGTGAGTGCTGATCTCAGTGGATCATAAGCCTTTTAGGGGAGAGGGCCAGCTAACTTTTGTATAATTTTACTTGACAGTATTTGACACATTTCCTTGCATATAGTATGTACTCAAATATTTGTGAAGTAAATGAATTAATGAATAGCTTGAATTTTTGAGAAAACTGATGTTCCTGAGCATAGTATCCTTTTAAAAATATAATTTTGGCATGATACCCTGCAATAAAAATTATTGTCTCAACTTATGATGGAGAAATATTTGATGGATACTTGTATTCAATTTTGTGACCAGCCCCTCTTTACTAGATAGAGATAGAGATAGATACAGAGAGAGTTTATATATACATTGCTTATAAATGTATATATAGTTTAGTTGTGGCTTCTTCAACATAATCTTACCTTTTAAATTCTCACGAAGTTTTAGATAAACAGATGAATAAATAATTTTGTGAAATGGTTTTAAGAAAAGTAGAGGAAATTATCTTATGAAATAAAATTTGCTCATCTCTTTAATAGTAGTAGCATACATTTCTCCCACACCTGGAATTTTGACTGCAATTATAAATAAAGTTCTCTCTATAAATATGGAAGGGCATGGGAATTCCACCCCATGAGAAGGAAAGATAATGTTTGCAAATACTACTTAGGATCAAATACCAAATTGGAGTAGGCTTATTAGAAAGATATTTGTGATGGTCCTGTAGTTACAATGATATTTATCTGTTTGAAAGCAGTGAACTTGTTACAGAATTGACTGTCATCTCACTATTTAGCATAACTATAATCCTTACACTTAAACAAGAGAATTACATTGAGACACAAGACTAAGGTTGGCTTTCTTGCTAGAGAGCTGTTTGTAAAGGCTAGTAGTATATGGTATGTCATCTGCCCATGTAATTTTTGGCTCTTTGCAGAATCCTGGAGTACTCTTTTTTGTAGAACCAAAATTCCACATCTGTCGGCCAAACCAAATAACTCTTCTATGAATGAGAAGAAACATGAGTTGTTTTTAGCTATGTGTGTCATAAAAACTATTCATTATGTAATATTGTGTATCTCAAGGACAAGTATCCTAAATATTCTGTTTTTATACAGTGTGTAGTAGGTTTTAAATCTTTTTGCATTACTGCTTTTCAAAATATGCTTTGGTTTAAAAGGAATATGTATTCATGCTTAGATAATAATTTCAGATTTATTCAGTAGTACTTTTTAGAAAAATAATGTTAATTTGTTTGTTCAGCATTACAAAGTCCTGGTAACTGCAAGATGTCTGGCAATGACATCAACCATTATTTTCATGAAATATAAATCTGGAGGAGCTCACCACATATGACATTTATAGGCATCATGTAGTAGTATATTTTCCCAGTTGCATTTGGATGAGATAAAGCTTCTGTTTTTCTTTTAATAACTTGTTGGTTATGTATAGGAAAAAAAAAACAGCAGGAGAGAAGCATAAATGCTATCTTAAAAGCAATTGGATTGCATAATGACCAACACTTAAAAAATGTTTGTGTGGGGCAGCGCAGAAGAATAGTCTTAATCATTAGCTGACATACTTCAAAATTATCAGCTGGTAGTCCAAAACCTGATCTTAATTAAGAGTAACTTACTTAACAAATGTTCTTTATATACCCTATCTCCAGTTTTGTGATCTCTTGTTCTATGTAGACGCAGTTCTTCAAACAAGTTATATTTACTGCTTCCCCTTCTTTTGTGTGACATGTTTTCATGTTTACTTCACTTTTAATCTAGTAAGCTTCATCTAAATGTAAACTAAAAATTGCACTGTATTTCTTAAAAATAATTTTTAAATATTCCCTGAACCCCATCTGATATAACACACTTTTATTTTAATAATATCATATTTTGTTGTCTCTGTGTACTGTTCTCAGCTACCTTTTTTTTTTTTTTTTTTTTTTTTGGAGACAGGGTTTTGCTCTTGCTTCCCAGGCTGGAGTGCAATGGTGCGATCTCGGCTCATTGCAACCTCTGCCTCCCACGTTCAAGCAATTCTGCCTCAGCCTCCCAAGTAGCGAGGATTATAGGCATGCGCCACCACGCCCAGCTAATTTTTGTATTTTTAGTAGAGACAGAGTCTCACCGTGTTAGTCAGGCTGGTCACAAACTCCTGACCTCAGGTGATCCGCCCACCTAGGCCTCCCAAAGTGCTGGGATTACAGGCGCCTGGCCTCTCAGCTGCTTAAATAAGAATTAAATGAACTATTTTGCTCTTTTTTCTTCTCTAAGAAATAGTTTCTAATCAAGTACAACTTAAAAGATGAGATCTTTCTTAAATCTGTTGTCTCCAGCTTCCGTGTAAAGCTCAGTTTACTCATAAAAATATTTTGAGATATGTTACCTGACCATCCTCTTTATTCCCTCACCTTCCAATCTTAGTTCAGTCTGCTTGATATCTGCCTTTAGCCCCAGCTTTCCTAGACATTTTTTGTACATACTATATTAGGTATTGTTCTAAACTGTTTACCTGCTTAATTATTTGTCTCAAAAATTTTAGAGGCAAAGCCCAAATATTTTTAGTCTGGTATAAAACCACTCAATGTATAATAGTTATATATATTCTGCTATCCTTAGAAATAGTTGTCAACTCTGCTTTTGAGTTTTTCATTTATTTGTTGTGTATGTAATATACACAAAGGTTGTACTACATTCTTTGGGGAAATAACAAAGAAATAGAAAGCATGGCCACATCCTTGAAGGAGCTTATTTAAAATTTACTTGGGAACATAAAACATAAACACAGGGGCTATGAAAACAGTTAAAATAAAACATCAATTTGTGGTGATCTCACTGAAATATTTAACCAAAAGTGTTCCCTACCAAAATGTTTGATTTGGACCTAATCCCGAGAAAACAAATTAATGTAGAATATTCTACAGAACAACTGACTTCTAAAGTGTCAGTATCATAACAACCAAAAAAGTTGGAGGGAGGCTTCTCTAGACTAGAGAGACATGGAAACCAAATGTAATGTATGGTCTGTGATCAGATCCTTGATCAAAAATGATATCTTTGTTCATAGACATAGTACATGCTGAGGTAATTAGGGGTTAAATATGAATGACAACTATTTGCTTTCAAATAGGTCAGAAAAAATTGAGTATGTATGTGCATACATAGAGAAAAAAGATAAAAGTGACAAAATGTTAATAATTAGTGAATCTAGGTGAAGAGTATAGAGATGTTCACTGTCCTATTTTTTCATCTTTTCTGTAGTTTAGAAATTTTTTTAAATAAAAAAGTTGAAAAGTTAAAAGAAGGATATTAAAAGATAAACATTTGAGAATATAAGGTATGAGAAACTAAGCAATTAGAATAAGGTGTGGACTCAGTCATTAAAGATACATTTTTGCGATGGGCTTTACTTAGTTAATAGAGAGGAATTGGCAAGAGATAGGTAATCAATCAACTCTTCTAGTTGAAAAATGGAGTTTGCTTTGCTGTCATGTGTTTAGCCATACCATATATGTGATTAGCCACATCTTTTATGATTTTTCAAAAAAAGAATTCTTTTTTGCTCTCATATGTTTAGGTCTATGATTATATATAACCCCTTTTGTTAAAACATTGGAAATACCTAGAATTTGTATTCTCTGAAGAACAACATGAATTTTTTTCTTTTTGAAATTCACTCTCAAGCCAACTTTAGGTTATCTGCGTTAGAGCCCACAGTTCACCAGGAGTTGCAGATACTTTTCAGAGCAGCACTTTAGATGAATTTTCTCCACCTATAATGTGTATGCTAATCACTGGTTAAAATGCAGATTCAGATTCAGAAGGACCAAGATGGAGCCCAGTTTTCAATTTTTAAACAACTCCCACTGGATGCCAAAATTAATGCCGCTGGTCTTTAAACTGCAGTTTGAGTAACAAAGATACAGATGATGATTCTCAGTAGGGATATGGGAAGATGAATACTTTAGTCTTCCCAGGATGGTAGGGTACTTATCTTTAAATTGTTATTCCTACCTCCCCTACAAAATCCACATTTCTTACATAGACCAAGAGGCCCTTTTTAATCTAGCCCTTGTGTGCACCAACTTCTTACCCACTAGCCACACTGGCCTTGTGTTTCATTGAATACGCCAAGCCTTTCCCATTTTAAGGCCTCCGCACTTATCCTTTCCTCTTAGAATGCACTTCTCCTGGCTTCTTCCAGAGTTGGCTTCATGTTATCCATTTAAGGTTTAATGACATCCTCTTAGAAAAACCATGCCTGGCCATCCTACATATTAATTACCTCTTCTAAGTTACTGTGTACTGTATCACTCTTGTTGTGTCTTCTCTGGTACTAATCAGCTTACTAACTTATCTTATATATTGGTTTGTTTACTGCCTGTCTTTTCCTCTATTATAAGATCTTTAAGGATAGGAACCTTGTCTGTCTTGTTCACTACTATATCCCTTATGTTTAGAATAGTGCCTGAGACATAGTAGAAACTATACATTTTTTGTTAAATAAATGATGAATGAATGAACAAATGGACCAACATAGATTTTGATAGCGGTAGATGATAATAATTACTGGCAGAGTGAGCACCTCTGATTGACAGCAGTATGATCTATTCTTATCTCTCAGGTGGATTGGGAACCAGCCCCCTGCCCTACACTCCTAAAACAGGTTGAACAGCACAGCTCTGAACTTCAGTGAAGATATGTTCAATTACTGCAAACTTTTCTTATATTTTTATCCAACCACTACTTTGTTTTCCTGTGAGTGTAGAAAACTTTCTCCCTGGCTTAGTCTCATAAAAGTACCCACAGCCATACAAGAAATGTTTAAGTAAATGCATGAGTGGGAGTTTGGTAGATAGTAATTACTCAAGTTAATAGTAGCATTCATTCAACAGATAGTAATTACAGAGTTGGAATTTGGCCAGAATGTTCAGGATGACATTCCTGCTCTTTTAGATAGTGAAAACAAATGCTTTTGTTATCACAGATAATCATAATATTGAGGTTGATCTATTAAGAATATAGGTCAAGACACTACTGTTAGTGAGAAGGGTGCTTCTTAGCTTTTTCCTGTAACATCAGTTTAGGTCTGATTCAACTAACAAAAAACCCCAACACCATTACCTATATTGTTTGTGTTTTTCCTTAAGGTCTCTTCTTATTACTTGCTAGCCTGACTTGAGTCATCAAATCCAACAAAAATCACGGTTTACACTCTGCTTCAGGCTAGCTGCGTTTCATGTACTATATCTGACTACTACATCTGAAACATTCTTCTTGGTAGCATATTTCAGTCAGAGTATGAAAATTTTCTATGACTAAAGTCACTGTAGTGGCCTTATTTCTTCTCCCCAAGCCAGAGTTTTCAGTGTCTTCAGTCTCCTTAACTTCAATTGATACTATTAAGTTTTGCTCCTTTTTTGGCCTATCACTTTACCTTTCATTTGTGCCAAGTATAGTCAGTAAGAATCCATAAAGTGAACTGAGTAGAAGTTTGCTTACCTAATCTCAGTGTCCTCTTCTTACTCCTCTGTATTTTCAAACCTTGTCTCAAGGTCTTAGGCAGCATGCCCAAGAGAAATACCAGAAGAAAACAAACTGAAAGACAAAGCAAGTGGTGCAGGGAGGTGAGAAGGCAGATCATGATAGAGCAGAACTGGGACTAGACTGATGAGAGAGAAAAGATGAAGGTGAAAGAGTAGAGACCAGGAAAGTTCTGGAGAACTAAGGATAAATATTAAACTGTAAAAGGAGAAGTGGCCGAATTAATACTTTAAAAATAAAACTTTTAAAAGTACTGTTTTTCAAAGGGAGTTACTCATATTATTTCCTTGGAGAACAGTTTTGAAGAGGAGATAAAGATAATATGGAATTTCAGCAGTATGTAAATGATACTTTTTTTTTTTTTGAGACACAGCCTTGCTCGGTCGCCCAGGCTGGACCAGGCTGGAGTGCAGTGGTGCGATCTAGGCTCACTGCAACCTCCACCTCCCGGGTCCAAGCGATTCTCCTGTCTCAGCCTCCCGTGTAGCTAGGATTACAGGCATGAGCCACCACGCCTGGCTAATTTTTTGTATTTTAGTAGGGACGGGGTTTTACCATGTTGCCTTGGCTGGTCTCAAACCCCTGAGCTCAGGAAGTCCACCCGCCTCGGCTTTCCAAAGTGCTAGGATTATAGGCGTGAGCCACTGCACCTGGCCAACACTTTCAAATGCTCAGACTGTTTTCTAGATTAGTGTGAACCATGTTAGCCATACTGACATCATTTATTTGCTTCACACTTTTTTCTTCGTCATAAAGAGAAGGTAAACCTCAGTTCAGCATCTTTTGATTCATTGTAAATTTTAAATCGGCCACAGCTATGTTAATGAAACTTTAACATATTGCCTTAGTTAAATGCTGATGAGATGAAAGAAAAATACGTATGCCAGATATATTACATGTCTAGCCTTTAGTATGCTTTTAGTTTGAGCTTAGAAAGAGATTCTGTGTGTTTTGAGGACTTTAACAATAGTAGAGGCCAGGCACAGTGGCTCAGGCCTGTGAGCACTTTGGGATTCTGGGAGGCTGAGGTGGGAGGATCACTTGAGCCCAGGAGTTTAAGAACAGCCCTGGTAACAACTCTACAAAAAAAAAAAAAAATTTTTTTTTTCTTTAAATCTTGGCTTGGCATGGTGGTGTACTCCTGCAGTGCTGGCTACTTGGGAGGCTGAGGTGGGAGGACCACTTGAGCCCAGGAGTTAGAGGTTACAGTGAGTTATGATCATGCCACTGTGCTGTCCGGCATGAGTGACAGAATGAGATTCTGTCTCAAGAAAGAAAAAACAAATAGATTCTAGAGAATTTTAAAGCAATAATAATCACCTGAATTTACCTCAGATAGCATGGATTTAGGAAGTAAAATTCAAAATCCTACATAGATATTTAGATGTAGTCTCTTGGTTTCAACCAGGAGTACTCAGCAATCCCAGTGGTTACCCAAGATAATAAAAAGACAAGGGAACAAACGTCAAGGGTTATTGTTAAAATGGTTGTCCGGTAAAGAGAGTAGTGATCAGGGTGAATGGGAAGTTGATATGACAATAAAGTTGATGAATGAATTCATAAGGAAATAAACAATTGAGAGAGTTATATCAACAGAGCTTTGAGATGTTGGAGAGATGGAGTAGTTTTGAACGACTGGATCTGAGGGATTGCCTTAGTAGTGGATAGAAGTTGAGATTTTCAGTGTCCAATTTGTTAAAGCAGAATCATGATATGGGGGAGGAAGACAGAGCAATATGGCCAAATAGAAGCCTTCAGCAATTGTCCCCCAGCAGGAACATCAAATTGAAAAACTATCCACACAAAAAAGCACCCCCATAAGAACCAAAAATCAGGTGAGCAATCATAGTACCTAGTTTTAACATATTAAGGAAAGAGGCACTGAAGAGGATAGGAAACACAGTCTTATATCTCCTATACCACCCCTCCTCCATTCCCCCTGGTAGCTGCCACATGGCGCAGAAAGAGAATCTGCACCCTGGGTAGGGGGAGAGCACAGTGATTGCGGGACTTTGCGTTTGAATATGGTGCTGCCCTGTCACATCAGAAAGTAACAAGGGGCAGAGCTCAGCTGGTGCCCACAGAAGGAACGTTTAGACAGCTCTAGCCAGAGGTTAATCTTCCATCTCAGCAGTTGGTATTTCAGTTCCAGCAGCCCCTGCCACCATGGGCTAAAGTGCTTGGGGGTCCTAAATAATGATAAAGGAGTCAATTCAGCAAGAGAATATAAAATTTTTAAACATACGTCTGTCCAACACTGGAGCATCCAGATATATAAAGCAAATATTACTAGAGCTAAAGAGATAGATAGACCCCAATACAATAATAGCTAGAGACTTGAAGACCCTTCTTTCAGCACTGGACAGAACACCCAGACAGAAAAACCACAAAGAAATATCATACTTAATCTGCAGCTTACACCAAATGGACCTAATAGATATTTACAGAACATTTCATGCAGTGACTGCAGAATACACATTCTTCTCCTCAGCATATGGGTCATTGTCAAGGATAGACCATATGTTAAGTCACAAAACAAGTCTTTAAAAGTTCAAAAAAAAATTGAAATTATATCAAATATCTTCTCTGATCACAGTGGAATAAAACTAGAAACCAATAGCAAGACACATGGAAATTAAACAACGTGCTCCTGAGTGACCAGTGGGTCAATAAATTAAGAAGGAAATTTAACAATTTCTTGAAAGAAATGAAAATGGAAATACAGCCTTCCAAAATGTATGGGATACAGCAAAATCTGTGCTAACAGGAAAGTTTATTGCAATCAGTGCCTATATCAAAAAAGTAGACAAACTTCAAATAAACAACCTAGTGTTGCATCTTAAAGAGCTAGAAAAGCAAGAGCAAACCAAATCCAAAATGAATAGAAGAAATAATGATGATCAGAACAGAAATAAATGAAATTGAAACAAAAAAATACAAAAAGATGAGTAATCTCAGCATTTTGGGAGGCCGAGGCGGGCAGATCACGAGGTCAAGAGATCGAGACCGTCCTGGCCAACATGGTGAAACCCCGTCTCTACTTAAAAATACAAAAATTATCTGGGTGCTCTAGTCCCAGCTACTCAGGAGGCTGAGGCAGGAGAATCACTTGAACCTGGAAGGCGGAGGTTGCAGTGAGCTGAGATCGTGTCACTACATTCCAGCCTGGCGACAGCAAGACTCCGTCTCAAAAAAAAAAAAAAGAAAAAAAAGAAAAAAAAAGAAGGTTTTTTTGAAGAGATAAACAAAATCAAGAAACTTTTAGCCCAGGATAAAAAGGGAGACCTTACAACTAATACCACAGAAATTCAAAGGATCATTAGAGGCTACTATGAGCAACTATATGCCAATAAATTGGAAAACCCAGAAGAAATGAGAAGTCTTGCAGTAGTGTAGACATTATCCAGCTTCCTGGGCTTTTTTCACTTTGTGTTGAAGGGTACACATTGGATGAGATATCATTCATCCTCAGGAGAGGGTTTAGTTTAATATTGACCATCCTTAGGAAGCTTTGTTGGAGGAAAAAGAATACTTGAATTTGTACCTGACTCTTACTTCTGCCCACGTCTTTCACTACAGTATACTCCAAGCTTGTACTATATGATCTTCCCTGCTGTTTAGTTTATATAACACTGTTTTTTCAGACCTCAATGTAGCATCTTTCATTTCCCTCCTACATCACCATGTCCACATTAAATCTCAGCTTCTGGAAAACAGAGGTGAGTTGCTAAATATATCTTAAGCTCACTTTAGCCACCATCTTCAATGCCTTATTCTCTTTGCCTTCTTTTTTCCTCTCATTTTTGGCTGAAATACTAGAACTGATTTTCATAGAACCAAAGGTTTATAGGAAATAATCTACCATTAAGTGGCAGTTATAAAGACTTTTCATATTCAGCATGTAAAGTATGTTAAAGATGCAGGCTCTGGATTATTTAATTTTATATTTTGTTTCTGTTTCATTTGCAATTTGGTATTTTCATTCTGTTTGATGCCTTAGTTGAAGAATTGGAAAGAACATGAAAACCTCAAATCACATTTATTTGGCTCTTTCAGTTTCAGTGGGGAAAAAAATTGAAAATATCTGCTAAAATGACATTGTATACTTTCTAATGCAAACTAATTTTTATCTGCAATTCATTTTTCAGATTTTAATTTAAGGATGTATATGTGTATTGAGAGGCCAAGTAAGGCATATAACCATTTCCATTCTAAAAGCTTCATAATTTCTCTTAGTATGTGAGTTATTAATGCTTCCCCTAAAGATAAATTATCCCAGAACTCTTCCATTTTTCTCTAGTTCACATTCTCTGACATATAGCTATATCTGCACTGTTTCCCCTCCCTCACCTACCAATAGGCCTTTAACAGGAGGCAGCTATCATCATTCATTGATATTATTGAGTGTAGTGTAGTATGAAGTGTTCCAGAATATCTCCATGTGACTACCCCTATTCTATGATGTAAGTGAAAGATTGATAAGTTGTCAGAATTATGCAATTGACAGTTCTGTGTTTGAGAGGCTGAAGTCATAGCTTGCAGATGGTTTCGGTGCGGTACAGGTTGGTGGACCTCACTGCCCCCACTTTCTGCACTCTATCTAGGTTCTAAAAGAGATTCTTAACCACTTGCTATTTATCATGCAGAGATTTGCTTATCAAAAATGTATACCATTTTCCATTGAGAAATTGTATATCACTGCTTTGCAGCTAGTGATACTTAGGTTTATCAAATTCTATATTAACCAGTTTTAGACATATTAAAATATACTTATATAATTTTTCATATTAATTTTTGTGTACGTTAATTCCAATAAGTTAAATATTTAGAAATTTTAAATATTTTGACCTGTATTACATCTCTAATTTTATTAATCTTTTTATCAACAAGCTTGTGATATCTGCTCTTAACTCTTAAATATCTTCTGATAACCATCACCTTTTTAAAAATCATTTTGGTTTTAAATATTACTTTTTATTTGTTGAGTCATTAATAAAAATAAACTTTTATGAACAGCAAGCCTCTGAGAAGAAAACATTTGATATGCTGGAATGTTCCTGTATTGCCTGCTTTAGCATGTGTGTTGGCAGGGTGTAGATACATACACCCCCACAACGACCCTCCTCCCACCCTATGTAAATGTACTCACTCTACAGCATTGTAAAGGATTTCATTGTGCCATTTTGTTTTCAGAATCATCTTTCACTCTTTTGTGAGTATAATGATAGTAGCTGTCTCTATGATGAATTTTAATAGTTACAGATTACAGTATACTTTCCTTAGTCCAAACCTGTGTTTCAAGCTCTGTAAAAGTGGTTTTAGGTTTTTAAATTCCTATCTTGGAAATATTTTGCTATCATCAAATTTCATTTTCTTTAAATTGTATATAATGAATGTGTTCTCCCTTTTTAGGTGCGCTTTGTAAAGAATATAACTTCCTGGAAAGAGATGAAACCAGGATTTTATCATGGACACGTTTCTTACTTGGATTTTGCAAAGTAAGTTACACTGAAATGACACGCTAAAGAATGCTTTGTACTCTAGTAACCTAAAAAGGAATAAATTCATTAAATTGTTATGATTTTCTAATAAAAGAATGTACTGTCTTGCCTTTGCCAGTTTTAGATCTGTAATTTAAATATACCTTCTTAGTGTTTTACTGCCCTCTAGTGTTCATAAATTGGCAATTCTTATATTAATTACATATTAGTTATTACTCTTTAAAGTTTATTATTATTGTGTGTATATGCCTTGTACAACCAGAATGACACTACTTCAGGAGAGCTCAAGTTATAACCTAGAGGCCAGATTATGACTTACCACATCATTGAGAAAGCAAAAAAGCTCTCACTAAGTTATTGGTGCTCCAGTGTGTCTGCTTCTCACCCAAGACATACTGAAGTGTACACTTTCCCTTGGGCTACCTTATTTTAGCTTTAAAATTATGATGTATTACGAGGCTTTTTTAAAAAAAATTCATGATTTCCTCTCTCACCCCCCCTCTCCTTCTCCCTCTCTCCCTCTCTCCTTCTCTCTTGCTCTCTCTCCCTCCCTGTCACTCACTCACTCACTCACTCACTCACTCACTCCTGGACTCAGGTGATCCTCCTGCCTCAGCCTCCCAAAGTGCTGGGATTATAGGCATGAGCCACTGTGCCCGGCCTCTGTCATATTAATAGTTCTCTCAAGAAGGGTTCAGAAAACTATATGCCTACTCACAGTATTCAAGTACTATGTGGCTTTCTGTACAGTCTGTGCCACATTATTAATCAGAAAATTAATTAAACTTAATATTCCAAACATAACAGTCTTATGGATACATTTGAACTTTTTTGGTAGTACACATAGTACCATTGTAGTAAACCTCAAATCCAAATGTTTTCCCTAAGATTCTGCATTAACTTCAAAAACACTAAAAAAATTTTTTTTATTATTTAGCTTAGACATGTTTATTCAGTTTTTAAATTAGCTATTATGATTTCAGAGTAACACACCTTGATATATTGGTCAACTTTAAAAGGCATTTTTTATAAAATTTAAAATAAAAGTGATATCCCACTCTCAGTTTTACTTAATTTTGAAAAGAAAAAGTAGAATGAAGTATTACTGATTCAAACTGATAATCTTAACTTTTTGGGAAATCATGTAATTAAAAAAGAATCACCCAAATATTACATACATAAAGTGATATGTTCCTATTTCTAGTTCCTCTCATAGTACTCAAGATCTTTCAATCAAATTGTAGCTCTAAAGTTAGATGTATGTTTTTCTATAAATAATTCATACTGCAATATTGAAAATATTTTATAGGCAGCTTTAAAATAAACTAATTATTTTTTTCTTTGCATAGGCATTGAACCAATTTCATAAGCTTCGTTCATGTGCATATTTTCCCTCAGGGCTGCATTATCCTTGAATTGAATGTTTGTTACCCTTTCACCTAAATGATTTATTCTTTCCACACACAGCTTGGTTTCTAATAGTCTAGGTTTTCATTATTAAAATTATAAATTGAGTGCTTTTGCTTTTGGCAAAGTCTTATACTTAGAACAAAGCTCTGATATATGCTGAGGTTCTTGTAGTTGAAAAAATAAGGCTTTTTGAAGAGATTAATCTCATTTATTAAATGCTGACATGAATTTTTAAGCGTTTGAATATTTTCATAGTGAGTCTTATGTTATTTGAAGGGAAAAGTATTGTGAAAATTTTTCATAGATTTTTCCAAGATTTTAAATACCTAAACAAAATCAGCCTAGGTGAAATGTATTTTGATGTATCTATGTAATCAAGAACTGTTGTAGATGTAACTAGTATCCTCAAATATCTTTTAGCTTAATAGCCATATGCTCCATAAATGGGGAAGGAAAAGGAAAGAAACATCGCCTTACCAATTTTTTAGATTACAGTCGTTCCTGGGGTATGTCCAGGGTATTGGTTCTCGGACTGCCTGAGTATATAAAAATCGCATACTCAAGTCCCTCCGTTGGCCCTGTGAAACCCACGAATTTGAAAGTCACCCCTTGTACACGGGTTTCACATCTCTCAAGTACTGTATCTGTGTGTGGTTGAAAAAAATCTATGTATGCATGGGCCTGCACAGTTCAGACTCGTGTTGTTCAAGGGTCAATTGTGCTTTACTCTTCAAAACAATATTCTTGACTGGCATAGTACTTTGTGGAGTCCAGTAAAATACTTGCTTTCAGGAGAAAGTGGTGAATTTGGCAAAATACTTATTTAACACATAGTTTTTTTAAACTTACCTTATCAGAGACATTAAAACGAATGTAAGCCCCAAGAAACCTAGGAAATAAGATAGAGAAATAAAAAATGAACGCTCCTTTCTAGTTTAGCCCGACCACGAAGAAATACACATTATATTTGCAAGCTTGTCTACTCAAGCCATGTTTTGATTACATACATTTGTTTTTTACTGAACTTTAGAATAATAACAAAAATATCTTTTTTACATTTTTGCATTCCTATCCCATCTTGCTCCTTTTTGTCTGAATCTTATTCTTTGATTTTTTTAAAGTATATTTCCTAGTTCTTCTTCCTTTCCATTTTTCCCTTTAATGTTAGGTTATGTTTTGTTTTCTTTTTAATTGGTGAATGATACAATTTTAAGATAATGTAGATATAAATTATTATAAATTTGAAAATTTTCCAGTTTAAAATTGTATATAGGTTGGACATTTTCAAAATGTCATAGTATGCAGGAAATATAAAGTTGAGTAAGTTGCAGTTCTTGACCTTAATGAGTTCACTGAAATCTTTTTTTCTGTAATTACCAGTTCATGAAGTTTTATTATAAACAGTAAAAATATTAAATATTCCTCCCCTTTTAAATGTGCACTATTTATTTTTTAATAGCATCTATTAGCCCATTTTGATTTTCTTCAAACTTTAGAAAATTAAAATGTTAGAAGTCTCTTTCAAAAACACTTCTTCAGCAATAAACATTTTCATTTATAATGAATAATAGCTAAAAGAACACTTTTAATGCTGTACTTTCTGTCAGACTCTGCTAAGTTTTTTATGATCTAGCTACCTCAGTGTCACATGTCAGCATCTGTCTTGAGAGGTATTTGAAAATTATTTTTGATATAACAGTTTTATTCAGGCACGTATCAGGTATGTACCTTTGTAGTTGTCCCTAGAAATGAGAATGAGTTTTCATTGCTGCCATTTTGGTTCCTCCATATTGCCGCTAGTATCATTTTCAGAACAAGTGAGGTGAATCAGTAAAGAAGCAGCTATGTCACGACAAGAAACAACTAAATGCTTCATTAGGTCTGAAATTCTAAACAGTAATCAAGTGACAACATTTTAGGCCTAAATAGAATTAGTTAATATATAGAGTCATGTGAGATTGTCCTTTCTACCTAATACTTCTCTGCTAAACCAGTTGACGTTTGCCCCATTTTCTACAACTTTTAACAAATATGTCACAACATTGTAGATACTTTAGAAAATTATTTTAATCATTCCAGACAATATGTGGGAGTTGCGTTTTTATTAACCTTGTACTACTAGCTCTTTCTACAGCATTGATCCTGTAGACTGCTAAGAAGCAATCTCTGAAGTCTGTCTCTAAAGTCAGACAGATCTGCCATTAAATCCACTTAGACTCCTTGCTAGCTGTGTGATCTCACCCACATTGTTTCAGATCTTTGAGCTTCAGTGTCCTGTTTTTAATTTGAGAATAATTAAAGTAATTACTTCATGGGGTGGTGGTGAGGATTAAATGTGATAATGTAGATGGAGCACTTAGTTCTGTGCCTCACGCAGAGCAGTATGGTGATTCTTTTTAAAATTCTGTCTTCTTTCAGTTACCATATTGTCTTAACTGGTGTTTTCTTCTTCTCCTTGTCTGAATCTCTGCTGGTCCTTATTTCCAACTCTTAATTGGGCATTGTATAAGACTCTTAGCCTCCATTATTCTCTTTTGGAAGGTTTACACATTTTTGTCTGTCATGACACCCAAACAAGAAACTTTCAAGTAATCTTGGACAACTTTTTTTTATCACCACCTATATCTTATCAGTCATCAAGTCTTTTGAGTGTCTTCTTTCATTTAACATGATGCTTTTGACATTCATCTAATTTGATGCACATATCAGTAGTTAGTTCCTTGCTAAGTAGTACTTCATGTATGGGTGTACTTCGATTGATCCATTCACCAGTTTCTGGATATTGAGGTTGTTTATGGCTTTTGGTGATTATGAATAAAGCTGTCAAAACATTTGCATACAGGTTTTGTGCGGACTTATGTCTTAACTTCTCTTGGATAAAAACCTCAAAGTGGGATGGCTGGATTGTATGGTAACTCAATAAGAAACTGCCAAACTGTTTTCCCAAGTGATTGTATCATTTTGCCACCAAACCAACAGTGTTTTAAGAGTTCCAGCTGTTGTGTATCCTCACTAGCATTTGAAATTGTTAGACTTGCTCTTTATTACAAAATGTGAGCCATTCTAATAGGTGCACAGTTGATGAATGCCCCTTTTTAAGACATAAATTACTTTAAAAATATTTATTTACACTATCATCAGTGAGACCAACAAATACCAACAGGTCATTCACTTTTTTGGATACAGGACAGTGGGACCTTGCCACTAGGATTAGAAAGTTTCTATGAAGCTTTAGGTCTGAGAGAGTCCAGAATAACTATGTACAATGTCTCCAGCAAGATTGTTGCCTAAGTAGAGAAGTTAAATTTAGTATGAAGCAGAAAGATTTCAAAACATAATGATTCCCAAAGGCCATTCAGCCCTCTTTCAGGTTCATCACCTCCTTTTTTGACTTTTTCCAGCCAGTTGACAAGGTTCCTTACAAATGTTCTGAGTGTGCAGTTGATCTTTTAACCATTATTGTTGTTCATTTGCATATTGATACTGTTCACTTGATAGGCTATTGATAGAATGTAATTGTAAAAAAATGAGCCTAGTTTATGTTCTTGCTTTGTCACACTTCGTATGCTGACATGGCAAGAATGAAATTCCTAAAATATCTTTTTACCAACCTGCTGCTCAGATTATATCTTTTCGTTTCTGATTTTCATCTGCAGATTCCTACCAAATATGCTCTTCTTTTCCCAGGAAGATCGTGTTCTAACAGGTCAACAGTAGTTTATTTTCTGCTAGTAGAAATGGGTTTTTATTCTTCTACCTGAGCTTTGTTGAGAAATAGCTGAAATGATTGACCAGAGTTAAAGGTGAGGTCTGACCACAGACTTCCTATATAAACTAGCTCCTATAGAAACTAGCTGGTTGGCAAAAGAGTAAAACCAGCAAACCTCGTTAGCTCTTGTTTTCTAACTGGCTGAGCTGTGTGGTCCAGTTGCTATTTTTAATCATGCCCATTATCTGTTATAATCCCTTGCCTCCAGCCCTTCGTGTCTATATAACTGTTCCCTAAGTTACATATCATAGTTCATATCCATTTTCAAAATGAGTTCACAGATTATATCTCATTAAAATCATACTTCCTAATAAATGCCACCCAAAGCCATTCCACACATAGATAGTCATTTTCCTGGACAGCAAAAAGAGTTTTGTAAAATGCCATATTCCCTTTTACTGCTGCCTGGTAATTGCTGTCTGCTCCACATGTCAGGGACTAGGGGAAAGGAGGAAACATTGGTAGGAGATGTTCTTCTGCGAGGAGATTATTCTCAAAGGAATGGCTCAGGATGGAGCAGTGGCTAATAATGGAGAGGATAGAGAGGATTCCCAGGAATCTCAGTCTTAAGAATGGAATCACTAACCCATTGTCCTGTAATCTCTCCTTGTAGTTTCCTATTAAAAACCTCTCAGCTCTGTGAGCTAAGGGAGCAGCAATATATTGCTGTTGCCTCCTTACTTTCTTACTACTCAGTGTACTCTCTGGCAGGAAGGCTTTTGTTAGTGGCTAATTCACAACGGTCTCCTCAACCTAATTCTATTAATATTCAGCACCTGTGTGTTGGGCACAGTGCTGAGCATTAGTGATAAAGCCATGAACAAGAGAGAAATGGTCCCTGCCCCGGTGGAACTTCTACTCTAATACCGAATGTGACAGTGCTATGTATTTGCAACAGTACTGTCCTTCTTTTAAAAAAAACTGTGAAAGAAAATTTTACTGCACTATTGGTACTATGCCTACCCTCAGGTGACTTATAATGCTGTTGGGGAGAAAGACTTACAGGAGAAACACTAGTAGGATAAGCTAAGAGTTAAGTTGCTTGATAGCTCTTAGGTGCAGGATGTGTCAAATGAAAGCACATAGAACTGTATGCTAGAGTCATCAGGAAGAGAGGTCACAAGATTTTGTTGTAGCCCCTCTGTTTATTCCAAAACAGCAGCCAATGACCTTTTAATATGAGTTGTGTCATGGTAATTCTCTTTTTAAATCTTTCAGTGGCCTCCCTCCTGACTCTGTATAAAGTAATGCTTGTAACAGTATAGAAGACCCACACAGTCTGCACTCACTCCACCTCACCCCCACCTCTCTTATCTTCCATGGTATTCCCTTTTTGATTCTACAGGCAGCTTGATCTCCTTGCTGTTCCTCAAAACACCTGGCACTTAGCTGCCTCAAGGACCTCTTAGTTGGAAATCCCATCTTTCCAGAACACTTTCTCACAGATGTTTGCATGGTACCTTCCTCATTACATAAGACTAGTGATGTCTTCCCAAAAAACACAATTTTGAATTGTATTCTCCCTCACCTCCCTAGCACTCCTTATTCCCTTTCACTGAATTATTTTTCTCCTTTGCACTTTTTACCATCTGTTATATATGCTTATTTGTTTATTGCCTATCTGTCCCAAGTAGAATGTTAGCTCTAGAAGGACAAGAAATTTAGTCTTTTTGTTCATTGCTGTATTCCTAGTACCTAGAATAGTATTATATCTGGCAATATTGGGTTCATACAAAAAGTATTTTTGAAGGAATTAATGTAGAAAAAAGAAAAATGAGAGCGGCACTCAAGGAAGACAGAATAAGCAAAGATATATAAAGAGAAATAGAATAAGTATTGATATGGGAGGAGATAAAAGAGGCCAACCTAACTATAACAGATAAATGGTTTCTTGTTTGAGGAGAGTTAAAGAAAAAGTTAGATCAATAAGGTGGTACCTAAGACATAAGGTAAAAGAATCCTAAGACAACCAGCAAAGGAGTTTGGGTTTCATATCGATAAATCAGTAGAGTTATTTCAGATTCCTAAGAAGAGTGATTTAACAAATGATGTTTAGGAACATCCTTTGAGAATTGGTATGGAAGATAGATTGAAAGGGAGAGAAACTGAATGTTAGAAAACTATATTCTTGCAGTAATCTAAGCAAGCACTGAGAAAAAGGGAAGTGGTAAAGAGAAAGAATGATGAAGACAGGTCACATCTGCGAGAAAGCTTACAAAACAAATCAAAATGACTTTGAAATTTTATTAAATGAAGAATAATGGAAAAGTAAGAATCAAGATAGCTGTAACATTTTAAGACTGGGACAAGGGTGTATAATAAAACAGGGAGCCAGTTGTACAGTTCTAGGGTTTGCAAGGGTTGCTAAAGTAAAATTCTTCAGTGTTCCATCAACTCTTTATCATTCCCTAAGGAAATAATGCTGAAAACCTAGTGTCTTTCACCTCTATCTTGTCTTTAAAATCAGCAACAGAAGGTAGATTGACATGTTCACACTTGTGTTCACTAATGCTGTATCCATTGATGGTGTTCAAAAAACACTATCAAATCTGGCTAGTGTGATGAGCCAGAAGTGAGAAATCATTGCTACATAGTTAATGCAGATTTGAAACTTTCTGTAGCAGCAGATGATTTATTCAGGAATGTAATAAAGCAATTTTTAAAATAAGTTTGCTTAAAAATTATAAATATTAAATTCTTTCCTAGTAATATGTGGGTACTAATTTGAGAGGGGATTTTCTACTTGGACTTAAAGTATAATGAAGGCATAGAAATAAAATGTTTTATATAATTCTTGCTGGTAAAGTTTAAAATTATTTTTCATTCATTTTTATCTCCTTTATCTTCAGACATAGTTTTTAAATTCATATTTCTTGTTTACTTTATTCTGACATGAATAATCATGAAATAGTTCCCAATCGCCACATACACATACACAAATTATTTAAATTAATTCATGTTCTTTTTTCCTTATAGGACCAGTACTTCAGACTTAAACATGTAATTTCAGGGCACTCCTAAACAGATTGAAAATGTTGATTTCACCTTTGAAATTTTGTTGTATTTCAGATTTGGTGTGAAGAAGAAACCAATTTACATTAATGTCATAAGGGATCCTATTGAGAGGCTAGTTTCTTATTATTACTTTCTGAGATTTGGAGATGATTATAGACCAGGGTTACGGAGACGAAAACAAGGAGACAAAAAGGTAATATTTTAGTTTTAAGATTTTTATAAAGATAATTGTTTATGAACTGCAGTGAGCAATGTGCTTTTAAAATTTGTTGTTAATTATAAATTTATTACTTGCTTATTGTGGAAATTTTGAAGAGAACCCAAAATATAAAGAAGCAAAATGAAGAAAATTATATAGCTGATATATTGTAATATACATTTTTTTGTGATTTTTAAAAATATTTCTTTTCCAGGGCGGAATCGTGTTTTCTTTATGGTTCTATTAACAATTTTCTGTGCGATTATTGTAATTATTCACTAATATGATATATTTTTGTGTATTTTTTGGTTCTCTAAGTATTGATGGCAGTTTATATTTGTGATCATCAGTTTAAGGACACTATTTTGCTGAAGCAGCTATTTTTTTCTGGCAAGAAGAGAATAATGGCTCAACAAAGTTCTTAACAGGCTCAAATTTGGGTTGTCTTCCATTTCACTGCATTTTCTAGAGTATCACCAGAGTTACATTTCTAAGAAATCAAACTGATTTGTCACTTCTCTGGTGGAAAACCTTTACTGGGACTTCATGCTCATGGATTAAGACATAGGAGACACAACTGGACACGATCTCAGACCTAGCTCTCCTGTCTGATTTTCCTTTAGGTGTCCAGTGCTTCGGCCACATGAAATGTCACCATCCTCTGAACTTATTGCTTAAGTTATTAATGCTTCATACTTTTTTACACATGTATTATTCCCTATATTGAGAATGCCTTTCCTTTACTCTGGAAAACTCTTTATCCACCTTTAAGATCTAGCTCAAACATGACCACTTCCGTAAAGTCTTTTCTGATGCCTCCAGGCAGTGAGTCATATCTCTTTCAGGGCTCCCAGAGCACTTCATTCAAAGCTCTCTTTTAAGCATTTATTTTGTGATATTTGGATTACCAGTTTACCTACTGTCTTTTCCAAAATGTGGTGAATTTCCTGAAGCATATATTTAATTCATCTTCGTTTCCTCAGAATTTAGCATCATACCTAGGTTACCCGTAAGTGCTTAACAAATGGTTGAATGTGTGAATTCTGCACATTTTAAACCTAAACTATTACACAGTAGTGATGCCAGATACTTGGTATGTTAATGATAATTAACATCCAACAGTATTTTTTTCTAAGTTAGTTATACCCTCTGTGTCACATGATGGGGGCAGTGGTTTTTTGTTTTGTTTTCCTTTTTAATGATTTCTAGAAATTGCTGTTTCTTTAGTCTCAAAGCTTTAGGCAGAAGATACTGATCCAAACACAGATAACTAACCAAATCTGTTTTCTTAAATAATGCTATCTCTCAGCATTATTTAATCTTCTAGAAATATTTATTGTGGAGATTCTGCGAAGTTTTATAAAATCTATTAGTATAACTCTTATGACTTACTACTTTAGAATTTATTGATATTTATTTCTAAATTCACTTGTGCGCTTTCTTTTTATTTTTTATTTTAGCCCTACTTACACTAACTCTTGACTCAGTAAATGTTAGTATCTGTCTCCCTCCTTTGACCAAAGTAATATTAGCGTCGGTGTTGGAAAGGAAAAGATTGCAGTCATGTAGGCCCCTATATCCATCATTTATCATTGTCAGCCCTGGATAGCATGGTTTTGTGGTTCCTAGCCTGTGTAGTTTGGGGGATTGGGTAATAATAACTAATAATAATTATTAACAGTAATAATAGCTCACATTTACTGTGCACCATACCAAGCAGTGTTTTAAGTTATTTTATATGTATTTTTTCAGGTAGCTTGCGCAACAATTTTATGGGGTAGTTGCTGTTATTGTCCTCATTTTACAGAAAAGGAAACTGTGGGGCACAGAAAGGCTAAGTATTTTGCACGGTGTCATTCAGCTAGTAAATGGTAGAGCTGGAATTTAAAACCAAGCACTCTAATTCCAGAGCCCATACATCTTACATCCTTTGAAAAGAAGAGAAGAAATGCAACATGTCACTCGACATTTTTCTGTGAAACGTGATCCAAAGTTGCATATTCAATATTCACAAAAAAATCCAGGCAGCATTTTAACATCATCTCCCTTTCATGTTTGAAAGTTTTAGGTAGATAGGCCATCCTGGAGCTTTATCTGTTCTTCACCCTGACTATAATAAGGCCTGGGGTTTTGTTTTTTTATTTTTTAACTTCGTTATAAAATACACATTAATATGCCTGCTTATCTAGATGTAGTGTTGATAACATCAGCAAAATACTATTGCATTGTCTTACTTCTTATGAGGACAGGGCTGTCTGTAAATAATTGATTTATAAAAATAAGAAATTACTTTGTTTTGTGCTAGACAGAATGTACCTTTTCAGTCTTGAAACATATTGGTGATTAGACATTTTTAGTAATTTGGCTTGTTTCTTATGATACACATGTTGGTAACCTAATGCTGATACCCTAATGAGTTAAGTGGTGTTTATTGCAAATAACTCCTTAATATCTTTAACTAGCAGGAGTTTTCATTAAACTCATCTGTAAAGTTGATAAGACTGCATACATATAACATTTCTAAAGCTGGACAGGTTTTAGAAAGATATTGGGTGTTAAAGGGTGGCCATGATTATGTTGGAAATACCTTGTAATGGCGCTTATTCTCAAAAATGTGTAGATAGCTTTATTTCTATAAAATTCTAGATTCTTTGCACCTCAAGTGATATTTTGAGGTGTATTAAACAGTATTCAGTTCAGCACTTATGGCAACTATTATGTTTTAAACTGACGTACTCTAGTAATCTGAACTGCTCCGTGGTTACACTTCAAACACATTTTAGATATATGTGCACCTGCACCTAGGATAGCTTTCACTTGATCTTGTAAAGAATGGAAGGCTTTTGATTTGGGAGATTTCAAATTTGCATATTTTAGAACTAGAGTTTTATTTAATTTAACCTTTGCCCAGTACCTGGGAAAATAGGGATATTAAGTAATCCAAAGATGAGCATTGAATAACTATATCAATCAAATCAGTGGTTCTCAAACTTTTTGATATAGGAACTCCTTTTATACTCTTAAAAATTATTAAGGATTGCCCAAAGAGCTTTTGTTTTGTTTTGTTTTGTTTTGGGTTATATCTATTGATATTTACCAATATCAGTAAATTTGCCATTTACTGAAAAAATTTTAAAATATTAAAACAATAGTAAAGCCATCATGTTAACATAAATTATATTTTAATGCACATAACTATTTCTCCTCCGACAAAAAAATGAAAAGAGTGGCATCGGTTTACATTTTTGCAAATCTTTTTATCATCTGGCTTACTATAGACAGCCGGTTTTCTTTTTTTTTTTTTTTCATTTTCTGTTTTTTTGTTTTGTTTTGTTTTGAACCCTGAGAAGCTAGACAGCTGATTTTCATATTTGCTCCTGAATTCAATTTGTTCGAAATGTTCTTTTGGTTGAATTGAGGAAATCCAGCTTCACACAGATATATAATTAGAAAAGAGAGGATTTTAATAGCTTTTCAAAAAATTGCGGCTATTCTTTAATAAACACTAAAACTTGACAAGTGGTAGTTTCAAAAGTTAGTTGCAATGTAGAATCTGAAACCATAGCAGTGAACTTTTTATACTTTGCTACATTAAAATCTATTGATATGTTTTACACTTTGAATGAATCTTTTAACCAAGCATAATTTTGAAACATCATACATTGGTCATTTGGAACATACTGGTTCACTGAGTTATGTGGACTTTTCAAATGTTAACATATTTTGTTATACAGCGTTAAAAACTCATATACATTAATATCACCACTAATCTCATCAGAAAAGTCTTTAAGTATTGGGAGACTGTCAAGCTTATGGTGGCAGATACAAGTTTTCCAAAATTTTATTTTTTGCTTGAAAGCTTAATTTTTATCATTGGCCTATCACAGGATTTCTCAACCTCAACATTATTGTTGTTTTGGGCCAGATAATTCTTTGTTGTGGGGGGCTTCTTATACATTGTAGGATGTTTACCAGCATCTCTTACTTCTACCTGGTAGCATCCCCCATACCTCAGCTGTGAGAACGAGAATTGCCTTCAAACATTGCCAAATATCACCTGAGGGTCAGAATAGCTTCCAGCTGAGAACCCGTGGGATATCAACACTGTCAGTTTTTCCTTCAAGTGACAGGCATAATTTATTCATTTTGAGAAAATATCACCAAATACTCAAATTCAAATAGCTATAGTTTGGGATATGGTAGGTGCATGGATATATAAGGTTTTATTTCTTATTTCTTCTTATGAGCTACAAAATCTGGCACAAATGATAATAAAACCACTTTTTAGAAAATGGCCTAGGCTGGCAAATCTAAGACCATCTAGAAAAATTCAGAAATAATATCAAATGCCTCATGAAAATATTTTATTTCCTCTGTCTTCACCTCCACTAGAGCTATGCCTTTAATACCCATGTAAATCCCCAAGGTGCAGTCTTTTCAGTAGTCATTTACAAATATTAATAGTGCAAGTGGTTTATATAGCACTATTCTATATGCTCTGGAGGACACAAATGCTACTGCTTGATCCACAAATGCTACTTCAGGAAGTTTTCACTGTAGTTGGAAAGACAGAACATAACACATAACACATTTAAAAAGCATATGAAACAAGTTATGTAGATAAAGATATAGACAGACAGATCAACCTATCCTAAGATTCTAAACCAGATCCTAAGAGCTGCCTGTTACAAGGCAGTATGTGATTTTGTTTTGTTTTGTTTTGTTTTTGTTTTTTTTGAGACGGAGTCTTGCTCTGTCGCCAGGCTGGAGTGCAGTGTCTCCATCTCGGCTCACTGCAGCTTCCACCTCCTGGGTTCAAGCGATTCTCCCGCCTCAGCCTCCTGAGTAGCTGGGACTACAGGCGCGTGCTACCACGCCCAGCTAATTTTTCTATTTTTAGGAGAGATGGGGTTTCACCATGTTAACTAGGACGGTCTCGATTTCTTGACCTCGCGATCTGCCCGCCTCGGCCTCCCAAAGTGCTGGGATTAAAGGTGTGAGCCACCGTGCCCAACTGTGATTAATTTACATGACTCCAAAAAAAATAAGAGTGTCTCATCCCACCTACTCTGGCCCATTTATTTAATAATTTACCACATTAGATATTTGATAGGTGAGACTTGGATTTATGGCTTACCCGTGCTGCTTTGTCTTTGTTCTAGACCTTTGATGAATGTGTAGCAGAAGGTGGCTCAGACTGTGCTCCAGAGAAGCTCTGGCTTCAAATCCCGTTCTTCTGTGGCCATAGCTCCGAATGCTGGTAGGGGAGATAAAGTTGGCTCAGATTGATTATCATCCTTATTATCTCTGTAATCTGTGTTTCATTTCACAAGGGCTAGATATAGGGAAATCGGTGAAAGACTAGACTAAAAATAACATGTAATTCAGTAATATCTAGTTTTGCAGTTACTTTTAAATGCATTTAAAAGATTCCTCATGTAGAGTGATATCCTAATATCCTTGCATTGTTTTCTGAGATGCCGGTTTTTAGTATTTCTTATTTTTGGTGTTATGTTTTGCTGTATTCCAGCAGAGCTCTTAGAGACTGGGGGTGGGGGTGGGTGTCATAAATCTTATTTTGTCCAAAGCTTACTGTTTTAGCTATTCATGTTAAATTAAGAAAAGGCTTAGTGGGTTAAAATTCACCTGGTTTTACTGTTAAACTGATTTTGACTTTAAGAGAAGCCAAGGTTATGGCTGTGGTTTAGTTTGCTAGTAAATATCAAGTGGAAAATAAAGATACTTTAATAAGAACTGTATTTCCTCAGAATGTGTTGAGTTTTCAGTTTTTAAAAATAATTTTACGTATTTATTTGTTCTATTCAATCATTTTAATAGGAGAAGTAGGAGAAAAAAGGAACATATTCAAAGTTTCTTCCATAAACCATAATGAGAAATACAAGGAATGTCTTCATTATTTGAGATAATATTATTAGATTGCTGTGGAGTTTAAGGTCCTACTCATTAGATTACATCAAAGCCTCATAATAGTATAAGAATTGGAAGCCTATAAAGAATGCCTTCTCAATTTTTAACCATTTCTTTAGAACAGGGATTGGCAAACTACAGGTTGTATCCTGCAGACCCAGTTTGGCCTTTCACCTGTTTTATTTTTTATTTTTTTGAGACAGAATCTCACTCTATCACACAAGCTGGAGTGCAGGGGCACAATCTTGGCTCACTGCAACCTCCGCCTCCTGGGTTCACAATTCTTCTGTCTCAGCCTCCCGAATAGCTGGGACTACAGGTGCCTGCACTACCCTGGCTAATTTTTGTATTTTTAGTAGAGATGGGGTTTCACCATGTTGGCCAGGCTGGTCTCGAACTCCTGACCTCAAGGGATCCACCTGCCTCGGCCTCCCAAAGTGCTGGGATTACAGGCATGAGCCACCGTGCCCAGCTGTGTCACCTGTTTTATAAATAAAGTTTTATTGAAACACAGCCACATACATTTTTTTACTTATTGCTTGTGGCTGTTTTCACACTGCAGCAGCAGAGTTGAGTAATTGTAACCTAAACCATGTGTATTAGCTGTTCTTGCATTACTGTAAAGTACTACCTGAGACTGGGTAATTTATAAAGAAAAGAGGTTTAATTGGCTCACTGTTCTGCAGGATGTACAAGCATGGCACCAACAAGGGCCTCAGGAAGCTTACACTCGTGGCAGAAGGTGACGCAGGAACAGGCATATCACATGGTGGGAGCAAGAAAGTGGGCAGTAGGGGTGGGGGTATGGTTCCCAGACTTTCAAACAACCAGATCTTACGTGAACTGAGCGAGAGCTCAGTTATCACCAAGGGGATGGCACTAAACCATTCATGACAGATCTGCTCCCATGAGCCAATCACCTCCCACCAGGCCCTACCTCCAGCATTGGGAATCACATTTCAACATGAGATTTGGAGGGAACAAACATCCAAACCATATTATTCTGCCCCTGGCTCACCAAATCTCATGTCTTTCTTATATTTCAAAATATATTCATCCCTTCACAGTAGTCCCAAAGTCTTATTCCAGCATTAACTCAAAAGTCCCAAGTCCAAAATCTCATCTGGAGATGAGTTCCTTCTACCTATGAGCCTGTGAGATAAAAAACAAGTTATTTATTCCCAGTAACAATGGTGGTATAGGCATTGGATAAACATTTCCCTTCCAAAAGGGAGAAATTGGCCAAAAGAAAGGCGCAGTAGGCCCCACACAAGTCTAAAACCCAGCAGGGCAGTCATTAAATCTTAAAGCTCCAACATAATCCTTGACTTCATCTCCTGCATCCTGGTGCAAGGGGTGGGCTCCCAAGGCCTTGAGCAGCCCTGCCCCCATGGCTTTGCAGGGTACAGCCCACATGGCTGCTCTCATGGGTTGGAATTGAGTGTACCTGTAGTTTTTCCAGGCAAAGCGTGCAAGCCGATGGTGAGCCAACCATTCTGGGGTCTGGAGGGCATAATCACCTTCCCACAGCTCCACTAGGCAGTTCCCTGTTTGAGTCTTTGTGTGGGGTGAGGGCTGCAGTGCAACCCAGTTCTGAAATCTAGGTGGAATCTGCAATCTAGGTGGAATGCAAGCTCCTTCATGCTTGCATTCTGAGCATCTGCAGACTTAACACCACCTGGAAACCACCAATGTTTACAGTTTATGCTCCCCCAGAGTGGTGGCCCAAGCTATACCTGGACTCCTTTGAGCTGAGGCTGGAACTGGAGTGGCCGGGATGTGGGGAGCAATGTCCCAAGGCTTCTCAGGGCAGCAGGACCCTGGGCCTGCCCCCTTAAATCATTCTTCCCCCCAAGGCTTCTGGGCCTGTGATGGGAGGGGCAGCCTGGAAGATCTCTGAAATGCCTTTGAGGCCTTTTTCCCATTGTCTTGGATATTAGCAGTTGGCTCCCTTTTAGTCATGCTAACCTCCTTAATAAGTGATTGCTCCACAGTGTTATTAAATTCCTTCCCTATTCCCTGCCCTATTCCCTGGAAAATAGGCTTTCCAGTGGGAGTGGTTGCTCATGCCTGTAATTCCAGCACTTTGGAAGACCAAAGTGGGAGGATCACTTGAGCCCAGAAATTTGAGACTAGCCTGGGCAACCTCATCTCTACAAAACATAAAGTTAGCCAGGTGTGGTGGCATATGCCCATAGTCCCAGCTACTTGGGAGGCTAAGGTAGGAAGAACACATGAGTCCAGGAGGTTAAGGCTGCAGTGAGCCAAGATCCAGCCTGGGTAACAGAGCAAGACCCTGTCTTTAAAACAAAAAACAACAAAAAGAGGGGGCTTTCCTTCTCTACCACATGGCCAGGCTGTGAATTTTCCAAATGTTTATGCTCTGCCTCCCTTTAAAATGTAAGTTCCAACTTTAAGTCATTCCTTTGCTCTTGCATTTGATTGTAGCCTCTTAGACACAGCCAGGCCACATCTTAAATGCTTTGCTGCTTAGAAATTTATTCTGCCAGATGTCCTAAGTCATCACTTTTGTGTGTGTGTGTGTGTTTTTTGTTTTTTTTTTTTTTTTTTTTTTTTTTTTTGAGGCAGTCTCACTCTGTCAGCCAGGCTGGAGTGCAGTGGCACGATCTCGGTTCACTGCAACCTCCGCCTCCCGGGCTCAGGCAATTCTCCTGCCTCAGCCTCCTGAGTAGCTGGGATTACAGGCGTGTGCCACCATGCCCAGCTAATTTTTGTATTTTTAGTAAAGATGGGGTTTCGCTATGTTGGCCAGGCTGGTCTCGAACTCCAGACCTCAGGTAATCCGCCTGTCTCGGCCTCCCAAAGTGCTGGGATTACAGGTGTGAGCCACCGCACCCGACCAGTCATCACTCTAAGTTCAAACTTCCATAGATCTCTAGAACTTGGACACCACATAGCCAAGTTCTTTGCTAAGGCATAACACAGGTGACCTTTACTCCAGTTCTCAGTAACTTCTTCATTTCCCTCTGAGACCTCATCAGCCTGGACTTCTGTCCATATTTCTGTCAGCATTTTTATCACAATCATTAAACCAGTCTCGACTTAAGAAATTTCAAAGTTTCCCTCTTCTTCCTGTCTTCTTCTGAGCCCTTCAAATTCTTCCAACCGCTGCCCATTACCCAGTTCCAAAGCCACTTTCCCATTTTCAGGTATCTTTATAGCAACACCCAACTCCTTAGTACCAATTTTCTCTATTAGGCCATTCTTACATTACTGTGAAGGAATACCTGAGATGGTAATTTATAATGAAAAAAGGTTTACTTGGCTCATGGTTCTGCAGGCTGTGCAAGCATGGCACCAACATCTGTTTGGCTTATGATGCAGGCCTCAGGAAGCTTACAATCATGGCAGAAAGTGAAGTGCGAGCAGGCACATCATATGGCAAGAGTGGGAGAAAGAGAGTGAAGGGGGAGGACCCAGTCGTTTATTATTATTATTATTATTATTTTTGAGACAAAGTTTTGCTCTTGTCGCCCAGGCTGGAGTGCAATGGTGTGATCTCGGCTCACCGCAAACCTCCACCTCCCAGGTTCAAGCAATTCTCCTGCCTCAGCCTCCTGAGTAGCTGGGAATATAGGCATGCACCACCATGCCCAGCTGATTTTGTATTTTTAGTAGAGATGGGGTTTCTCCATGTTGGTCGGGCTGGTCTTGAACTCCCAACCTGAGGTGACCCGCCCACCTTGGCCTCCCAAAGTGCTGGGATTACAGGTGTGAGCCACCGCACCAGGCCCCCAGTCTTTTAAATAACTAGATCTCTAATGAACTAACTGAGCCAAGAACTCAGTCATCACCAAGGGGATGGTGCTAAACCATTCACAAGGGACCTGCTCCCATGATCCAGTTACCTCCCACCAAGCCCAGCCTCCAACACTGGGAATCACATTTCAGAATGAGAGTTAGAGGGAACAAATATCCAAACCATATCACTATGTAGTCTGCAAAACCTAAAATATTTATCCTCTGGCCTTTTATATAAAAAGTTTGCCAATCCCTGCCTTAGAACAATAAAGACTTGCTCTATTGGGCATTTTTGAGAAGTTAATTGTATTTCTTTAGTATGTTTCATAGATTCACAGAACTGGGAGGGTTCTTAGAAACCAATTAATCACTGTTCCCCTCCCCCTCTTTGTTTTTTTTAATAGTTTGAGAAAACAAAATTGAGAAAGGTGAAGCCACCAGCTCAAGATCATACTGCTACTTAAATGCAGAGCTAGAATTTGGATTAAGGAATATTTGTGCTAAAAAGAACCCAAAAGTATAGTTTATTTTGGATCAAATCTCTGTTAATAGCATTAGCTGACAATGTAAATTAAAATAAAAATAAAAGATTCTTAGCAGAGCCATTATCTATTTTCTGTTCCTCAGAAATTTCAGAAAACACTTAGCTCACAAAAACCCGAAACTCACACAATAAGCAGTAAACACAAATTGTTTACACTTTGCTAGAGAGCTCTTAACAGAATTTAGAGTAGTTTAAAAAAGTTAAAACACACACTAAATCATATGGGAGGGGTGTATGTTTCTTATATCCATATACATTTTTAAAGTGCCCTTAAACTAAATTGCTCATGTTAAGAGTCCTCTGGTAAACTCTGAATTAGCACTCATAGTTGAGCAGAAACTGGAGATGGAAGCAAATGAAATTGGAAACAGGTGTGCCTCCCACAGGATGGTAATAAAGAGGCATTGAGGCTTTGGATATACATGTGTTTATCTATTTTCTCTGTAATATATGGTGTCAAAGGCACCAGAAACACTCAGCAGATTTCACAACCAGGTTTTAATTCCTTTTCTTTGGTTTCAGGAATGTGGGAAGCAGGTGGGCTATGGATCAAGCCAAGTATAACCTAATTAATGAATATTTTCTGGTGGGAGTTACTGAAGAACTTGAAGATTTTATCATGTTATTGGAGGCAGCATTGCCCCGGTTTTTCAGGGGTGCTACTGAACTCTATCGCACAGGTATATAAAGGAAGGGTTTCTTTTTAAAGCTTTCTTTGGTTTGGTTTTTTGGTTTGCAACTTGTAAATATGTGATTTGAAGTTTCTTCAGTGAAACACAACAGATAGCTCCAGAAAGGCAGGTATCTTGTCGGTTTCTGCTCACTATTTTCAATTGAGTAACTGTGAATTAGGTGAAAATTAGAAGGCACTGTAGAAATAGTGGAATGATACAAAGTACAGAACCAGCCATAGAAATGTATGGTATTCAATAATGCCAGATATCAAACATTAGGCCTGTGTATAAGTCCTGCCTACTACCATTTTGAAGTAGAGGTGTGATAGGGGAACTGAAGTATGCCTAAGCCATGTTTTAGCAGCCTCAGCCGTATTATCATGTGTCTGAAAGTGATAAGCTAATTGTGTTTTTGTTTTGTTTCGTTTTTTGCTATTGCTTGATAAGATGCAGTCATAGGAACTCTTCTCCTTGAGGATGCATATGCCCTAGCTTCTAACACATAATTTTAGAGAATACAGATTATGAGAAAATAGAATACAGTTTGACAATAGGTATTTTATCAAAAATAAACTAGTCTCAGAGCACCAAGCACTTGAGAATATAGTGTGTGAGGTGACAGCCTACACTTTACTGTGTGCCAATCCTTACATTGACTATTTGACATTTCATTAAGTCTTTACTAGGTTAAGGATTAACATTCTAAAGGACTGAATCATGGCTCTAGTTTGATCAAGGCTCCGTTTTTACCTGAATTATATAAGACAATTATGTTACCTGTTCTTAATGTGTCATATTAACCACCTCTTCAAATAAAGAGGCATTGATCTTTTGTGTGTTCTCCAAGAATTATTTACCTTTCCTTTTTTTCCCCCTTTGTAAGTAGGAAAGAAATCTCATCTTAGGAAAACCACAGAGAAGAAACTCCCCACTAAACAAACCATTGCAAAACTACAGCAATCTGATATTTGGAAAATGGAGAATGAGTTCTATGAATTTGCACTAGAGCAGTTCCAATTCATCAGAGCCCATGCCGTTCGAGAAAAAGATGGAGACCTCTACATCCTCGCACAAAACTTTTTCTATGAAAAGATTTACCCTAAGTCGAACTGAGTATAAGGTGTGACTATTGGATTCTTGAACTAAAATTTGACCCTGTCTTCACCTTTGTTCTCAGCTCCACAGTCTGGATTGCTGACAGTAGGTGTATATGACAATTTGTATTGAGCCAAATTAGGAAACAGACAGTAACGTCAAGGAAGTAGATACTGGCTGGCATTGTCAGTGTTCTAAGTTTCAGGCATTTTTATTTTTCCTGGCTAAACGTTGGTGAAAGTTATAACCTCCTGCCTGGGAGAAAATATACATCACCTAAAATGAACTTATGGCAGGTCTAATCAAAAGGCTAAATACAATTTCAGAAAAGGTTCTGATACTCTTGTTTTTGATAAAGCATTTTTTCAACTAACCATGAATTAAGATGAGTCCATTTGCCTCTTCTGCCTTCACTGAGGGTTTGGGTTATACACCTCTACTGAATTGTGTTAATAACTGTTTGGCAGTGTGTACTTTGTTTTTGTGAGTCATGTCTCATGAAATTTATTGGAATGTTTAATCATATTTGCTAAGAAATGTTTCTGCTGTAGTTGGATTTGCCCATATTTATGTAGGTGGTTTTAATTTTTTAAATGGTGATTAGTGTTAAAAATCAATTTAAATCATGACTAATATGGTAAAAAGATAAAGCATCAAAGCAGTATTTCTCATTCCTGCCTCCTCAATATCTAATACTGGGAAGATACTTCAAAGAATATTGAGATTGTCTGAAGTTTTAGTTAAGATTTTCACACATTAATATCAAAAAAGTAAGTTTAGTATTTGTTTCTCCATGGGTTATTTGTAAAGCTGTAAACTGAGATATCGGTGACTCCGTATTATGACTCCATTAGTGAGCTGTGGTATGGGTAGGATTTTCCTACTTCTTCTGTACTTTTACCTGTAGACTATTTTTACTAAGGTGCTTTATAATGTGTTTTAAAGCATTGCATTTACAAAACAAGGAAAATGCTGTAAATATTGCATATTTTATGTATTTGGACCAAAAGGTTACAAGTAATTAGACAAAAGTGGTTTTGCACCAATTTTATGTCAAGTAAAACCATCAGACCTACTGTTCTTGTATTTCTCATTTAACTTTACTGTTAAGACATCACTGAAATGAACTTCAGTAAGCTTTCAATTTTGATACACAGTTCATTATTCATAACTTGAGGCAGTAATTACAGTGGAATGAGTACTGGACAAGGAGTCAAAAAACTTGATTTCAGGTCCTAGCTCTAGCACTTACAGCTGTGTGATCTTGGGCAAGTCACTTAACCTCTCTTTGCCTCAATTTCCTCATCTTGAAATGAGGATAATAATACCTGCTGTACCTACCTCACAGGGCTGTTGTGAGGATTAAATGAGATGGCATGTGAAAGCACTTTGAAAATTGTAAAGCGCTATGTAAATGTAAGGTATTATAGAAACATCTTTAACATATAGTTTCATACCATTCATTTTTTAACAAAGAAAGGGAAAAGTCTGCTTGTAAGCTGGTTGAAAAAGTTAATCTTGATATAAATTTGTGTTTGATAAATATCCTCTCAGTGTTTTATCTTCCATGTTTCAACAACTATTGAAATATGAAATGCCTGTGAACTCTTAAAGCTTCATGAGCAGCTGCTTGAGTTCAGGAAGTTCACTGTTAGAAATAGGCTTTGTTAGCTGACTAGGGTCAGGGAAACTTTTCTCTTCAAATTTGAAAGCTGTTTCTGTTTTCATTTTACATTATTATTCAGAAATGGTAGCTATTCTATACCTATGGTTTAAGTAAATATTTCTGAATAAGGCTTCACCATACTGTAAGCATTTTAGGTAGATTGCCTTAAAGGTTATGGGAGGGCATGAGGGAACACTTCTTATGAGAAAACATTTATAAACAAAAGAAACATTTATAAACTAAAGAAAAACTAAAAGAATGACAGAACAATCATCTTAGCACCCTTTCCTCACAATAATATAAAAATATTAAAAGAACATAGGCAGGCTTTTTTTAAATTTGGCTTTTTTCTTTCCTTTTTTCAAATTGACTTTTATAGGTATTTCCTGAAAGTGTATACAAATTATTTCCTCGCCCAAAATAAAGCACCACTTCAAGGTGTGGTTTGACATTACATGCTAATGAACAAACCCAGTATGCAAGTTATTCTTGCACCACATGCTCAAATCTTCTTGAGGTGCATTAACTCTTTTAGGTAACTAGAGCAGTACTTGGTGAACTAGATCAGGAGGTCAGTAAACTTTCTGTGGAAGGGCCAGAGAGTAAATATTTTAGGCTTTGCAGCCCATACGGTCTCTGTCACAGCTAGTCAACCCTGCCATTTTACCACAAAAGCAGCAATAGACATTATGTAAACAAATGAGCACAGTTATGTTCCAATAAAACTTTATTTACAAAAACAGATGACATCCCAGATGCAGACCATGGGCAACCAACCATTGCACTGGCCAAATCATTATTTATGGAGAAATCCTCTTTGTGTCTCTACTCTAGATGCCTAAAAGAGTTTATATACTTCTAAAAGCTCCTAACTTATATCCAAAGAATTGCTTTCTGATTCGTGTAGTCTCTCCCACAGATTCATAAACTTTTATGACTTATATTGTTTCCAGGTGGGCATGGTTTATTTCCCAGTTTAACAGTTCAGAATAGGGGCATTTATTTTATCATATTTTAGGGTGGGTTAGGAGTATCCTTTCTGGAGACTGAGAAAGGGGTGTATTTAATTCCATCAGGTCCAGTACAGTACTAGGAGTCATAATACTTTATAATCAATTAAATAAATAGAACCACTGAGACAATAATGTATTTTTTTAAAGTGGCAAATGTGGTTTTCTTTTTTCAGCCTTTGCGCTTTTTCAGTATTTTGACCATAGGGAGATAATTTTTTTATAATACAAAAGTAACCACTTGGAATTTTAAAGATAATGTTATGTGTGTATGTGAAATATATATACATATATATATATATGTTTATTTCCTAAAAGAAGAAAAGATACCTTTCTGTTCAACTTGTATCAACTCCTCTTTTCTAATTGCTGTGAAATGGCAACTGTTGATAAATTATTGTGATTGTTTTAAAATCTAATGGGAAGTAAAATATATTTTGATTTTACCCAGCTTAATCTGTAAAGTAGCACTTAAATATATCTGATAGCAACACTTAAGATATTGCATGGGGATTACTTTCCTATCATCCATATGCATTTGTGCAACTTCAAACATATTGGGTGCTTCTGAATTCCTGATGATTGGATTTAAGCTATTGAAAATTGGATAATTTAAACTTAATGATTTTTATAATTTTCTGATCTTAAAATTTGGTTAATGCCTATAATCTGTTGCTTTTTCTCAATATGTGTCCTATTGGAAATTCCTCAAATCGTTGGTGCCATCAGTGATTTACAAACAATATTTTGATATTGCAGATGACTTGCTTACTGTATTTGCATTGTTAGAAAACAGTTTGTAGACAATGATTCTTTTTTAATAAAATCAAATAATTCTAAAAGTGCTAGAGAATTTAACTAAAAGCTGGTTCCCAAATGCATAGCTGGCATTTTAATTTAAATTCAAATCTACATAGAGAACATCTGTGTAAATCATCTAACTGGATTTTTCCATTGGTCATTCCCAAACACACCTATGGTCCTAGAATCCTTAAGAGAAGCACCCTGTAACCTTTTATGTGGTTTGCCTTTAAGAGGCCCAGGTGCTTCTCCTTTATGATTTGAGTTGGCCTCTTCATAAATTAGTGCTGTTTACTTTCAGAGGAAGCAGAGAAGTTGCTGTTATGTTTTTGCATCCGTTTACCCTATGCAAAGTTGCTGTATGATGCCAACTAAACTACTCTTTAGGCAGCCTTCTGAGGAGAAAAGCAACCCTGTTTCAAATCCACTGCCAATTCAGCTCCTCTGGAGTGGAGCTTTCTGATTTCTTGGAGCAGGAATTTTAGAGATTGAAATGAATGATCATTTAGTCAGATTTATCCTGTAATTTCATGCAGCTTTGTGGCCTTTGCAGTACTATTTATAAAATGGACCCTGATGGTGATGAACTCTTTAGAACGCATTACTGTTAAGCCTGTGTTGAGACATTGATGCTGTCTATCTCATTTTTTAGACAGTTTTTGTAGCTTTCTATTGAGAGTCAGGTATGTGAGCATCTCTGAAGCAGTGTTGAATGTAATTTTCGGAAACATGGATTGTGTATTTTGACTTTTATTTTATAAATACACAGCTCAACAGTGCCTTTTTTTTCCCTCATAGTCCTGTTGGAAGATGCTCACTACTTTCTCTCTTCTCTCTCCCTGCCCTCCCCCACTCCATTCAGTTGATTCATTTATGCAAATTCTGTTTCCAACTTGAAACCATTTTGTCACATCTGTTGGAGAGATAATCACTCCTTTTCCTTAACATTCTGCCAGCTTTCTGATGTTGAAGTGTTTCAGTTGACTACCTGATGCAAAAGCTATAAAATAAACAGTGGGAAGGGGAAAAATTGGTGTCCTGTTTTAATATTTTCTTTTGTAGCCTTGACACTGATGGACATTTTCCAAGCTGACTCAGTGTTCAGTGTCAACTTAACTCTCAGATAGTGTTGCCATCAAGAAAGCATGCAACATCATTGGTTTCTAATGATTTTATGGCTTGTGACAATATTTTATCTGGACTGACATGCCTCTGCTGCTTTTGCTTTGTACTTCATTGCTGGTAATAAAATTTCAGATGGAAAACTTACAAAATATATACTTAATTAGAAGAAAAAAATAGAGAAAGGGCTATTAGAATTAAAAAAATTTGAAAGTAACTTAATCTAACATTTATGGCACAGTTTGGACATATCCATAATTTTTTTTGGGAACACACATTTCTGATTTTTTTTTTCCCCCTTAAAGAAGAAAGTCTCAATTCCATTGATTTTCAATTCTTAGCCACTGGCTCATTGCTTTGAGCAATGCTTGATTGATTCTATTTATATTATATGATATTGGGTTGATAAAATACCAGTTCAATGATGAGTTTTCTTAACAGAATTTGGTTTGTACTTGCAGTGGCTGAACAAAGAGCATGGCTTGAGAATCAAAGGGATCTGCATTTAGCAATGTGATGTCAGTAAATGGACATAACAGGATTGTTGTAAAGGTTGGGCATGATGTATGCAAAGTACTGGCCAGGGTAGACTAATAACTGATGGCATTTATATGCTGTGCTGGAATATTGTTACCAAGCTGATGTGCCGTTCTCACCCTGCAGAATACTGGTTTTGTCATTTCATAAATGATATTTTTATAAATATTTTTGAATGACTGTACTTTTTACTGATTATCTTAATACCGCCTCACTTATGTACCTGTAGCATAAATATTCCTGGTTCTGATTCTTGCTGTTCTTTCCACATACAAATCACTCATTTGTACAGATTAAAGGGGGGAAACGCTGACTGTTCTAAAGAAGATAGGACTTGCTTATTCCAGAAATGACTGAGTTCATATCTTAGTATATTTGAACAGTAAGGACTGCTAAATAGTACACACATAAAATTCAGGATCACAGGAATGAAATGATTTGCACTCTTTGAACAGAAAGGACAGCAGCAGTGTAAGGAATAGGCTCTCAAGCTAAAAACTGAGAACATGAAAACCTCTGAGGACCTGACTGCAGTTGTCAAGAAAAGTAGAGATAAGGTTGGGGAGAAGCAGACAGATCTCAGGGCCAGAAACGCCAACATTTGGTGACAGGTGGGATATAATCAATAAATGGGGAATGAAGGCATTAACTTGGGTTTGTAACACAATGCATCTGTGCAAATTTTCAGCACCCCTTGCTTTTGCCTCAATTAGGCAATGATGATTACTTCCTGTGTCAAAGCTTATAAAACAGACTAGTGTTTTCCCAAAGAACATAGGATCACAAAGAAAGAATTCACTGTCTCCCTATCAGATGTTTGGCTTCCTTGCCTCTTTTGCTCTTCCAGATTTTGTGACCTGGGTTAGAGTTTAGAAAGAACCCCCTAGAAACTTTTCTGATGTTCTCTGGTTTGATGATGAAGGCGTCTAATAAAACACATCAACTCTAAGCCTCTACCTCTACTTCTCTAAACCTGAAGTTTAGAAATGAAAGTCATGCCTGGAAATGTTTCACATCATTAGCACTGACAGCGTTTACAGGGAAATAGAGAAAACGTATATGGATTAATTTTCTTTTAGATCAAGGGTGTGGGCAACTAGATTTCTAGAGCCTTCAGCCTGTCTATCGGTGATGCTGGAAAAGGAAGAGGATGAGCTGTAAGTGCAGTAACTGACCCCTGTCTAGGTTTTCTTGCTAAATACGCCCTCCATGAAACAGACAACATAAGTATTTTGAACTGTAAGAATGTTAAGAAATTTCTGTCCCTGAGCAGCAGATCGAAGAGTGATTATTCTGGGATTCTAGAATCAGTTCATTCTTTTCTTTCTCCCTCTCCCTCCGCTCTCCTTTCTTTCCAGTTTAAAATCACTCAGTCTCTTAGTAGAAATTTAACATCAAAGAACTGTCAAACTTGCTAATTTGTGATTTTTTAAGCATGTGCCGCCTTAAACTATCAAAGCTTTAACCTGTATCTAATTAAATGTTAAAATCTGGCAAAGAGTAGACCTACAGTCCCCAAGTGATCTGGTTTCTGAACTTTGTTTTGCTTTCACAAATGTGAGCCAATTTGCCCTAAATCTGGGTATTTCATGTAGCATCTTGAGAGATGTATTTAAAGTGCCTGTGGCAATAACATTTCATTTGTACCCATTTTGATGATTCTGGGTGCCCTCTTGATAAGGCAGCCAGGTTGTGCTGTAAAAAAAAACAATGTAGAGGTTTCAGTCTTAGGTGTTTGAAACTGTTGGATCTCTCAAAATTGATTAGCTGAAATATACCTTTTCTGCGTAACTGAATTCACCAGTAATTCCATTTGAAGCGGGCAGAGCCTTTCTGAAAATGGATGATCAGAAATGAGTGACATTTTATTCAACCAAGAGTTACCAGAGACATATTTTTTTTCCTTTAAAAGTAATTTAAAATTCGCCAGAGGATTACTAATTAGGTCTCTTGGCATAGCATGGTTATCTGATCAGACTGTCATGCCCATAAACAGTAAAAATGCAGCATGTTGATCCATTCATGTCTGTTTTTAAAGGAGGCTGTGGACTTTAAACTCCTCTCTCGCAGGCTTGCTCTTTGTTTCATGTGGGGGCTCTTTGAATAACACCTTAGATGAGAACAATGTTTAAGAAATAGGCCAGTTATATTTTGCTTTTCTATTTCTACCATGCTAATGGCTCTCTACTTGATCGTTTAATCACTGATCCAAATCCAGATGGAATTAGATGCTCCTTCCTGCTGTAGTCCTGCAGTCAGACAGTCTGTAATGTTTGATACGGATCTTCTGAGTGGACAAGATGAGATTAGATTAGTCTCTCTGGGAGCCAGCCCTATTCATTTTCTAAGAAAGTTATACTGGAGGCCTGAGGACTGCCAAGAGCAAAGTGGAAACAGAGCCCAGCCTTTTCCTCTTATCAAGATCCACAGTAGTTCCACATTAAGTAGTGGAGATTTGAATAATATTGGATCAGAATCCAGGAAGGAGGTCCTTGCCACCCACGATTGAAATGTGAACTTCATGTGTTACAACTTTATTACCTTTTCTTATTTTAATATATGACAAAGACTGAAATCTCTGGCATGGAGTCAGTGGCAAATTTTACTTTTGTGGGTTTTTTTTTCTACATTTAGTATTTATTGAGCCCCCACTGTTTGCCAGGCACTGCACTACAGGCTCTCTCTGCACCATGAGCTTAACCTTTCAGTAATCCTCATATTCAATCCTTTACAACTGTTTAGAACTTTATAATTTACAAGGCGCTTTCATTTCACATTTATCCTCTCATTAGATTCTCACGTGGAAGGGTAGATACCATTATCCTCGTTTTACAGTTGAAACTGACACAGCTAGGAGGTGGAAGATGGGCTCCCCAGCCCTCAAGATTCCTAGTCCATCAAACCCTGATGCCCTTCCTGATATGTGCCTGTCTCTCAAAGTCAGCAAGGGCTGTAATACAGATTAAACAATTGCAGTGGTTCTTAGGCTATAATCCCATCTCTGGACCAATAGTGTCAGCATCCCCTAGGAACTTGTTGAAAGGCAGATTCTTAGGCCCTAGCCTTCTGAGTAGGACCTAGCACTATGTTTATTAATAAGCTTTCAGGTGGTTCTGACCAAGACTAAAGTTAAGAACCACTGGTCTAGAGCACCAGTTTACAGATGAGACGACTGAAGCTCTAGTTGAGCTTAACCTAGCTGGTTAAGTAACCTAAGGCTTCTCATAACAAAAGTTGTGAACTAGGATGTGAACCCAGGTCAGTCTGGCTCCAACACCATCTGTTTTCTACATTGGACTGCGTTATAAACTATAGTGTATCTTATATATTTCATTATTGGTAAATTCCTCTCTGAAATATCGTTTTGGGGGACCACAGAGCAGGTCAATAAGAAGAAAAAAGTCCCAATGTGCTCTTCTGGAGTAAGGCAAACAATGCCACCCCTTCTAATGAGTTTCTGTTTTCTGTGTGAGGTGAATGTGGGGGCTAAACCTCAGCGTGGCTACTAGTGTGCTCAGGAAATTCAGGGACAGAGCCGAGAATCCAAAATGGCTACCCAAACTAAGTGCATTTCATCTGGACTTTCTGGTCCCAGTGTTCTTTGGTCATACTTAATAGTTTACTGTGATGGATTTAATGGCAAGAGGGCTCCTTGCCCTGGCTTGGCAATATCTGTGGAGCCATGGGTTGACGTAGTGTGGGAATACTTGTGGCTACTTGGAAATCCCTGTTGCTGTCATCATTGGCAGTGCTTCCCAGCCGAGATTCTTAGTCTGTGGTCACGTGTGAACTCTTCCAGTCATGCAGCTTAAACAGAAGTGCCCACTTGTTTCTCACAAATTATATCTGCATTTTTTTTTCTCCTAGAAGCAAGAGCCCAGACCAAGGGTTAGTCGATAGCTCAAGGGACTTCCAGGGAAATCAGAACTGATCTTCGTGCATAGCAATGCTTATAGGCTTCCTTCCACACACACTGAGAGATCAGCAGGGCAGTGGACTGAGCCTTCGGGTGCAATGCATTTCCTCAACACATTCTTTTTGAAAGAGGAAGATTGTTGCCCATGTATAGTGTACTTCTTATGTGCCGGCACTGTACCAAGTGCTATGCATTTGTTAACACTCATTTCATCCCCCCTTTTTTTTTAAGAGAAAGAGGATCTCACTCTGTCACCCATGCTGGAGTGCAGTGGCACAACCATGGCTCACTGCAGCCTCGAACTCATGGGCTCAAGACTCAGCCTCCCAAAGTGCTAAGATTACACGCTTGAGCCCCCATGGCTGGCCTCATTTCATCCTCTTAATCCTCTGAGGAAGGTACTACTAGCAGCCCCATTTTACAGATGAGAATGAATTAGAAGTTCAGATGCTTTCTTACAGTCACACAGCTAGAAAGTGGTGGAGCAGGATTCAAATCCAAGTCTAGCTACAAATTTTCTGCTCTTAACCATCCTGTTGCATAGGCTCTGACAGCTGTGACAGGCAGTAGTGGGGGGTTGTTTTGAAAGTCTTGCCATAGGCTGGATGCAGTGGCTCACACCCGTAATCCCAGCACTTTGGGAGGCCCAGGTGGGGGGATCACCTGAGATCAGGAGTTCGAGACCAGTCTGGCCAACATGGTGAAACCTGAGGTCAGGAGTTCGAGACCAGCCTGGCCAACATGGTGAAACCCTGTCTCTACTAAAAATACAAAAATTAGCCAGGTGTGGTGGTGTGCGCCTGTAATCCCAGCTACTCAGGAGGCTGAGGCAGGATAATTGCTTGAACCCAGGAGATGGAGGCTGTTGTGAGCCGAGATCACGCCACTGCACTCCAACATGGGTGACAGAGTGAGACTCCGTCTAAAAAAAAAGTCTTGCCATGTCTTTTCTGCCTCTTTTACACAGCCCCACAGGGCTTGGCAACAGGAAAAGCATGACCTAGGGCTATGGCAGTCACCCATGTGGGCTATAGCTATGGCTGCAACTCAGTGCGGCCTCCAACGACGAGGACTGGGAGTTTGGAGGGGCAAATTTAGGCCATTTTGTTTTCTTGAAATGCTTCCTCCTAGTCCCTAAATTCAGTCCCAGGTCAATAAATGGCAGTTAGTTATTCTCGGTGGTCGTGGTGATGTCTAAAGACTGACAGGATTCCCAGATTCAATGTTGGGAAAATCACCTTGAGTCCACTTTTCAATGTGCTGGGGAGTGAGTACAGGCCAAGTTCAAGTCATCAGTTCCCAGCGGTTCAGCCAGCGTGTCTTGTGAATTCTCCCAGGGCTCTCTGGTTTTAGCAGGGTCTCCATGTGCAAACCTTGCCTTTGCACAAGAGCCACCATGGCAGGAGGTTGACCAAGCTGTTCTGGGGAGGTGAAAGGTGCTGAGAAGTTGATGCTTCCTCCTAAGTGCTGTATGGAGCAGGCTTGGCCCAGATCCAACATGGGCACCCAGCAAAGACTGGTTGTCTCCTGGTGTCCCTGCAGCCCTCCCAGCCATCCCCTCACTTCCCACTGTGGCATGCTGCTTACAGCTCTCTCCCTCCACATGCCTGAGGGCCTTTCTGCAAAGAGGGGTTCAGAGATATCCATGACCAGCCAGTCTAACCTTTTCAGGGTGGGAGGGCAGAGCAGAAGTTTTACAGTGGATACGAGGCCTGAAGCCAAAGGAGTAAAACCTCTGCCTCATGGGAGTCCAGGCATGCTTAGGCAGGAGGGGTGGCAGGTGGGTAGGACAGCCTCTTGACTCCAGAAATCTCACTTCATAAGTGGCACCTGCTCTGAGCTCTCCAGATATCCCTGAATTTGGTTTTACCCTCTGTTCTTGCCTCTTCCTGTCTCCCTCCTCCTGCTCAGTCCCTCACCACAACATTCCTTTTGTGTTTAGGGAGATTTCCTAGCACCTCCCTGGCTAACAGATCAGATCCATCTGAGTCACACTGAGCCTCCCATTTAGTAACTTAGGACTCTGGAGTCCGGGTGGCCTAGGCGTCATGCCAAACTCACTACTGCTAATAGTAATGCTATTATAATGGCTTTTATACTTAAATCTCCTTTCTTCCAGGAGCCCCAAGGTCTTTAACAAATGCAAGAATTACACTACTCTCCAAAAAATAGAAACTGAAGGAAAATACATTCCTTATTCCAAGTCTACTCCTTCATGGCCTTACATAGTTGCTTTGAAGGATGGATCTTTAAAGATTCATAAGCTTTGGTGGGTGAGTGGGGTGGACAAAGGAGATAGGCTTTCTTATTGCCTGAGGCCCCACCAGTTTCACCATCTTATCTTTCGTTGGTTTTGCAGCTCAAAGACCTTGAAACTACATCTGGATGAGTCTAATAAACTGGTATCTTAGAAGAAGAGATAAGGTTCAATACGAAGATGTTTGGCTCTCATACCCCCAGAGGTTATGGGCCCAACAGATGCTCACTGAGCTCAGCTTGTCATTGCGTGGTTTAGGACAGACAACAAGGAACCTTGAAGGATGGAGTCAGCTTAAAAGGCAAGCATTAGGTTTGGCTACACACCCCTATCCTTAGCACCTGTGAAGATCTCAGAGTGCAAAGAGAAATACAGATCATGGCCCACTCCTCTATGCCTGGCACTGCTGGGTGCAGAGGAAGGGAAGAAGCACCAGGGGTGGGCTTGGCCAGGACGTGCCCTCCTTTCAAGGGTCCAGCCACCTTGTTTAATGTAAGGGAAAGAGAATTCATCTTGATGCCAAGCAACATAGCTTCCCGTTCTGACTGCACCTTTTCTCACCTGGCATTCCCTCAATGTCCACCAGGTTGCTTTCTTTCTGTTGGAGGAGAAAATGCTATCTAACTTTAAGTATTAAGATCTGATCTCCTGATTCAAACTCATTCTTCACACTGATGCCAGAAAGAAAGTTTCTGTCTTCCAGAGAGAAAGTTCATGTTGCTTCTTCCCTCAGAAAGTCTCAGTGGCTTCCCACCCACTGTGGGAAGAGGTGCGGCTCCTTTAAGGTAGCATTCAAGACCTTCTATGCTAGGTCCCTAACTTCCCTTTCAGCCTTGTTTATCACCACAGCTCTCTGGTAGCCTGGACCAACCAGGTCACTTATGCCTGCTTTCATACCTTTCTCCCTGTTCTTCTCCCAGTTCTCTATGGAAATCTTTCTCACCGTTCAAGACCTAGCTCAAACAGCATCTCTCTGGGACAGTTTCTTTGATCCTGAAAGTCAGAATTTACTGTTTGTCACTACACTCACAAAGCCCATTGCTTGTTCCTATGTTCAATAATAGTGACATGGGAAGCACATGCTTTTTGAATAAGACAGACGTGAATTTAAGTCCTGGCTCGCTCACCTGTCATGTGCCTTTTGGAAAATCACTAATCTCTAAGTTTCCTTGTTCTACCAAAAGTAAAACCAAAGCCAACTTCACCTTATGTGTTGTAAGAATTGAATGAGGTCATAGCTCTAAAATCCTTGGGAGAAGAACATTGTGGGTGAGCTGAAGGCGTCAGCGTTCCCTAACATTTTGTTCTTGGTATTGTCCACCTGCACTTCTTCCCCTTAGGTGGCAAACTCCAGGTGAGGGCCTTTTCTGGCTCTTGATGTTGGCCCCATCCAACTCCAACACCATGTCTTGTATAGGGACACTCACTAAACATTTACAACATTGAAAGCACTTAATTTCTCAGTTCCTCAGTTTCTCTATCTGGACAGTAGTGAAAAAGAATAGCAAAAAAGAACATTTTGGGCTCTGAAGAAAAACTCCCCATATGCCCCTCCCAGGACGGAGCCTATTGTTAATTGGAAAATAAATAGTTCTCAGCTGAGCATGTCTTTGCCTTTCATGGGGCCCCCTGCGATGCTGTTTGGGAGACAGTTACAGCTACTTTGAGGATAATAATGACTGCCCCAAACTCCTGTGGAAGAATGTTGGGAAGATAAATGAGATAATCCACCTGACAGCTCTTTGAGCTCTTATGAAAAAGATACCCTTGAAATGTAGGATACAGGTGTGCCTTGCTTTGGTAGGTGAATTTTGGAGATTTTATAAAAATCTGAACCTACAAAACAGACAAATTAAGGGGTGAAAATTAGCATCGCAAACAGCCTCTTGGTTTGACAGAAAGATTCACAGCAGGGTCCCTTTAAATAGCCAGCTCCCCTGGTGCATCTAAAATATGACTCAATCTATAAAGAATTTGATTTACATATAACCAGTCAGGAACACTTCTACTACAGAGGAGGAAGCACATATGTTTTTTATAATAAAAATCGATAACTCTGGGGTTTTAAAAATATAAAATATTTCTTTCTTCTCATCATCTTTAATCCTGCAGTTAACACTTCCACTGCTAGGAAGTCGCCTAAAAAACAACTGCATGTTCTGCAGAGGCCGGGCCCTCACGAGCACAGCTCCAGGAGTGTGCAGGTAGAAAATGGCTGTTCAGCTGATGCCCATCACATCTAAATGCAACTTGCTGTTCCTAATTGGGCTAAAGCTTTTTTTTTTTTTTTGAGACAGAGTCATGCTCTGTCACCAGGCTGGAGTGCAGTGGAATGATCTCAGCTTACTGCAACTTCTGCCTCCCGGGTTCAAGCGATTCTTCTGCCTCAGCCTCCCAAGTAGCTGGGACTACAGGCGCGTGCCACCACGCCCAGCTAATTTTTGTATTTTTAACAGAGATGGGGTTTCACCATATTGGCCAGGATGGTCTCGATTTCTTGACCTCATGATCTGCCCACCTCAGCCTCCCAAAGTGCTGGGTTTATAGGTGTAAGCCACCGTGCCTGGCCCATTTATTTTTTTTAATTTTTTTGAGGTGGAGTCTCACTGTGTCACCCAGGCTAGAGTGCAGTGGCGCAAGCTCAGCTCATTGCAACCTCCACCAACTGGGTTCAAGCGATTCTCCTGCCTCAGCCTCCCAAGTAACTGGGATTACAGGTACGTGCCACCAAGCCCAGCTAATGTTTTTGTATTTTTTTAGTAGAGACGGGGTTTTGCCATGTTGGCCAGCCTGGTCTTGAACTCCTGACCTCAGGTGATCCACCTGCCTTGGCCTCCCAAAGTGCTGGTATTACAGGCATGGGCCACTGCGCCCTGCCGGCTAAAGCATTAACTTAATGTAAGATTGAAAGCAAGTGGTAGACCGCTGACATCTGAAAAAGTAAAGCCCAGCCTTATTTAGAAGCGGGACGATATTTGGCAGATGCAGGAGCTTCTAGAAATGAGTGAGCTCATTGTTCAACTTTCCTCTTTGGGAGTCTCTCAGGGGTGTGTGTGTGTGTGTGTGTGTGTGTGTGTGTGTGTGTACATGCATGTATGCATAACAGCCAGTGCTTGGAACAATCTCCCAAAGATGTCCACATTCCTAATTCCCAGAACCTTCACATATGCTATGTTACATGGCAAGGGGAAATTAAGGTTGCAGATGGAATTAAGTTTGCTAATCACCTGACTTTAAAACAGGAAGATTTTCCTAGATTATCCAGGTGGGCCTGGATTATCTAGTGTAATCACAAAGGTCCTTAAAAGATGGAAGAGGAAGAAAAATCAGTGTCAAGTGATGCCATGTGAAAAAGACTGGCCTGTTCAGTACTGGCTTTGAAGATGGAAGTGACACCAGCCTAGTGAGACCCATTTGGACTTCTGATCTCAAGAACTGTAAGGTTATACATTCGTTTTGCTGTGAGGCACTAAATTTCTGGTAATTTGTTATAGCAGCCATAGAAAACAAATCTGGTAGTAGGGAGGTGGGTGGTAGCAGGGGTTATTGCAGCTTCACTGCATATTTCATGCTGAGGAGGCCCGTGTAAAATCTCTGATTGTTTTTGTAAACATGGATGCAAATTCATATTCAATTGCTACAGGCCCCATGTGTCTAGAACCACATTCTAACCAACAGGCGAGATGCAGGGGAAAACAGAAATATTGTGGGCTGGCCCTTGAATCATCCTGTGTGCCACACAGGAGAAGACGTAGAATTTCCTCTAATGACAATGACTGCTTTCTTCTGGTTAACTTCCCACTTGTAGGTTACCCCACAAAGCCAATGGCACAAGTATGAACAATTCCAAGTTCCTCCCTTCCTCAAAATTACTGTGTCTCTAGGCCCCTCCTCTGGCTTCAGCAGCTCCCTCTCCATGCAGAGCCCTGGTTCTAGCCGACCAACCATCTTGGAGCTCCTCTATGCCTCCCAGCCCTTCCCTTAGTCCCTCCAGAGCAAGAGGATGTGGTAAGCTGGCTGGCCTGCCTGAGCATATCCTAGAAAACGGTTTGTGTTGGAGGAGCAATGGAACACTGCTCTGCCTTTGACAGCCTCCTGACCCCTGAGGGTTCAACACACTTGTCTCCCTCACCTGCCCCTGGTGGGTTGCCCTCTTGCCACTTCCATTGATGACCCCTTTGCACCTTCAACTGAAGTCTGCACCCACTCCCACCTCCTCTCACAGCCTCAGCTCATCCCTGATGACTCAGATCAAGTTTCCTTAGGGTGAAATGAAGTGGGGTGAAGCTTTGTCTGCTTCTTAGAGTTCAGGGAATACCCAAAACAATCTAACAGTCACACCACCTGACCAACTTTGTGACCTTATCCACATGAGGAGAAGGCAAGAATCTCAACAGCTGAAGTGTGCCAGAAACATTATGTTTTGTTTTAGTGAATCCGTTACAAGTCCCCATTTGGCTTGCTGATTGGCAATTTCAGTTACTGCTGGATAGTCTTTCTCTCGCTGGGGGTTGTGTCTCCATTGTAGGTGGCTTATTACTATCACAACAGCCTGTGTGTGTGTGTGTCCATGCATGCACAGAGGGGCCCTCTGACCCAGGTTGTCCATCCACACCAGCCTCCCAGGTCTGTATCACCCCATCCCACCCTTGATCACTGATACCCACAGGTTTGTGGCTGCCCTCTCTCACCCCCCACTGCAAGGTCTGTGCAGATTTGACTCTTTCTTAACTACTCCTGTGCCCCCTTTTGAGGGCCTGTAGGGAATTCTGCTATGCCTCTGCCCCATACCCCACACAACTACTCTAGGGCTGTGGGAATTCTATGGGGCTGTCACAGGCCTCTCGATCTGGGCACACCCGGAATCACTTTCTACTCTGCTGCTCCTGTCCATGCTGGGCACCCAGGAAACAGACAGTGGTGTCTTTGCTCTTCCATCCCACAACCTCTTTTGTTGTTCTCTTATTCCCCTCCATCCTCCAGGGGGCAGCAGTAATGCAGCTCTTTCTCAGGGACCCCACTGAGGAGTCCTCTCTTTCCTTCTGCTCTCCTTTGGAGACTCCATCTCATCTTGGGTGGCAAGTGGGGTGGATACACCAAATCTTTTATATCTTAGTCAGACTTCACTTTTGAATCTCAAAACTCAAACAGTTGGATCTTGGGTGCTTTAGTTCCACTGGGACAACTTTTCTTTGACCTAGAAATGCCACATGTGGGAGGGTCACAACACAACAGTGACACTAGTGAATATATCTCTGCGTTGTCCCCATATGCGGCAAATGGGTGCAAGATGCTGCCTGCCACTCACTGTGCAAAGACTACCCACACCAGGAAAAAGCAGAGCCTGTGCTCCATGAATCTGCAATCACGGGCATCTAAGCTTAGAATATCCCACTCTGTTGCAAGTGAAAACATGTAGGTGTATCTCTTTGGCCCAACTCAAAAGGTAGATGTTTTCTCCCTTTTAATACAGTCACTTGGCAGTTTCAGCTTTCTATGAACATTCTTCTGGAAAAGAACCTCAGCTCGTTGTGTAGTTAAATTTATTCAGCATATAAATCTCTTAAAATCCATGCCCTTAAATGTTTATGGTCATGTGGGATATTATCAGTGTCAGAGATGGGCAGGGTTGAAGGAATTTGGGGTCAGACTACTTTCTTTTAATCTTCTCCAAACATTTTAGGTTTGGCAAAACTTGAATTGCATTTTGCCAAGCCCCTGTGCCTGTAATTTGTAAACCCCTGTGTATTTTCAGTTAAATGTAGTCCATATGTTTCTGATTGATTTACACTTAACTCATCTAAACGTTGTTTTGTTAGTGTTATTTGATGTCCAAAGGGCCTCAGAGCCTGTTTACATCTGTCTAAGCTGCTCGTTTTCCTCCCTGAGACTCAGGAAGATCTGTTTTGCCAAGAGTAAACTAAGTCGAATACTGCACCGCCCCTCCCCGCCTCCACCCCCTAGGATTGGATCAGACTTGGGTAGAATCTGACAAAGAGCTGAGGAAGTTGCACTGGGCTTTGAAGTTGACCAAACACTCTACCCTACATTTCACCAAGAGGAATCAGAGCGCAAAGCCTCCCCCTTGGGGACTGTGACCAATAACACGAATACAGAGACCAGATCCTAGGCCAGGCCAACTTCCCAGCCTGGCCCTTTTCCTTATGGCACTGACATTTGGCTGCAACTAGCCACCACCGACCTCAATAGGCCCGTCCCTTACAACTCTTTCATCCAAGCTTCAGTGGGAAGGGTGGAATAGATTTTATACAGTGAATGAAAGCAATCAGGCCTCTTGCTAGATCTGTGGTAACAATCTCATAAAGCAAGAGTGTGGTTTTAAAATGAAACAAAAGAAATCCTTAGCTAGTGCCCCATTTCACTGAACCTTAATTTTAGATAGCTTGCATTTGCCTTGCAAATGAGTCCACAAATTACCAAGCCACAAGCATTTAAAACCATCCTGCCCACTGCCAGAAGGAGTATGCCTGGCAGAACCAATGAGGCTGGCCCCCTACTGCTCCACCACAGTAAAAGTGAGTTATAGGAGTGATGCTTGAACTGAGATGGCATCCCACAATTTTGGAAACATGGTAACTAGGGATGGGGACAAACTGCAACTTTATGATTCAACATTGAGGGAAATGGCGCTTTGTTTTGAAAGAAGCGCAGTGGCTCACGCCTGTAATCCCACCACTTTGAGAGGCCCAGGAGGGCAGATCATGAGGTCAGGAGATGGAGACCATCCTGGCCAACATGGTGAAACCCCGTCTCTACTAAAAATACAAAAATTAGCTGGGTGTGGTGGCGCATACCTGTAATCCTAGCTACTGTCGGGGCTGAGGCAGGAGAATCACTTGAACCAGGGAGTAGGAGGTTGCCATGAGCCGAGATCATTCCACTGCACTCCAGCCTGGCAAAAGAGCCAGACTCCGTCTCAAAAAAAAAAATAAAATAAAATAAAGCAGCACTTTAATGTGTATTTGGTCGTGTTCAAGCAAACTCTATTTGGAATGGAGGTATTTGAGACAAAGAGGAGCCAAGTAACTCTGTAAAATACTATGACGGGTTGTCTTCTCTATATGCAGAGTTGCATCTCAGAGATAATTATTTCATTGGACTTGGAGGACCCTCTGGGAGATTTCTCTCTTTTTTGGACCCCAAAATGTATCAGGGAAGCCAGATTCTAGGTAGAAGGAACATGGTCAAAGCATTTGGGGAAAAGCAGGCTGGCCCCTGAAATGAGGGACAAATTAGGAGTTAAGGACGAAGATAGTTAGGACTTCCTATCTCTGAGGTTTAACCTTTCTGTTTCTATTTTGTAATTCCCTTCTGCTATCTTTGAGCTTTCAGAAAATTTCGATCAATATTATAGTTTGGTCTTATGTTCTGGGAGACTAAAGGAGGGGTATGGTTGTATGCAGTGGGGGAGCCAGCGACCTGGAGAAGCCAAGGGTGACTTAGAGGCAGTGGAAAACTTGTCCATCCAGGGCAACCTGATGTGGCAAACAGGCCTGATCTTTGGAACGTGGATGCATTCCTGGGTGATTCTTAGAAACAACTGGGGTAGGAGAAGCTCACTAAAGACTGGCTTTCCTGCAGCCTCCTGGGATAGGAGCTAAGGTTGTAGCTGTTTGCATGTTAAGGGAAGAGTCGAGTCTTGAAGGCTGAAGAACTTGGGGACATGAGTATCACATCAGTGTTAACTCTGGTGGGTGGCCAAGTGGCCATATTTGCATGTCTCACTTTCAAACTGGGCAGCAGTGGTGCTATCACAAGTTCCCTCCTGCTGGAGCCTCTGCAGAAGGCCAGGCAGGCTGCTCTCCCACAGTCACGTGAGCAGATGTCCTCTCCTGCCTCCATGAACCATCCCGTTTGGTTACCTGGACGCCATTATATCCCCCTGCCCCACCATAGTGCTTTCTCTGAACTGCATTTTAGCGTGAAGCCATCAACCTCCACTGAAGGCTGAGAAATGCGTCTCCTGTAAGCATGTTGTTGAAGCTGCCATTTGCAACCTTAAACGTCTCCTTTTGGTGGAACTCTAATTAGAGAACTTCTTCCTCATCTTCGTATCAGAAGGAGAAGTAGTTCAGCTCCTCAGGGCCTGGCTTTTTTTTTTTTTCTTTTCTTTTCTTTTTTAAGTCATAACTTTTTAGAATTGCGGTAAAATGCACACGACATAAAATTTACCATCTTAACCGTTTTTATGTGTGTAGTTCAGTAGCAGTCAGTGCCTACACTGCTGTGCCACCATCACCACCATCTATTTCCTGAACTCTTTTCGTCTTCCCAAATGGAAACCTTGTACCCGTTATACAATAACTCCCCATTCCCCTTCTCTACACTTCCTGGCAGCCAGCGTTCTACTTTCTCTCTCTGTGAATTTGACTCCTCTGGGTACCTCCTCTAAGAGGAATCAGACAGTATTTGTCTTTTTGTGACTGGCTTATTTCATGGTTCTGGTTTGTTATGATCACTGAATTCTCTAACAAATCAGATGTCTCTCCTCCCCCATTTTTTGCTTTGCCATGGCAGCTAGAAAACAAAGCCAAATCTCTGCCTGATCCAAAATAAGCATATGTGCTAGAAATTTTTGATGTAGCTTCATCCTTTATTCCATTTTTTATTTATAGTCTTGTGTTTTTTTAAAAATTGCTGACCCACCTGTGATTTATTAAATAGTTCTTTATACAAGGCATCTTTAATCTTCTTTGTAATGAAGAAGAACGTACATTTAAAAATACAGGTTGAGTAGCCCTTATCCAAAATGCTTGGGACTAAAAGTTGCTGACCCACCTGTGATTTATCAAACAGTTCTTATAGAAGGCATCTCTAATCCTCTTTATAATGAGGAAGAATATATATTTAAAAATACAGGTTGAGTAGCCCCTATCCAAAATGCTTGGGACCAGGAATATTTCAGATTTAGAAAATTGTTGGGGATTTTGGAATGTTTGCATTATAAAATCTGACTCTGAAATGCTCCAGTGAGCATTTCCTTTGAGCATTTTGATGGCACTCAAAAAGTTTTGGACTTTGGAGCAGTTTGGATTTGGGATACCTGAATTTGGGATACTCAGTCTGTATTAACAAGTAGTTGATGGAGGGATTTAGGGGATTGGGTCAAGCACGTAGTGAAGTGGGTTCTCACAGCCGATGTGAGGCTCATCCAAACAATTGCACCCATCCTTGCCCCTGGACGGCACCTCCTGTTGCAGGTGCAGGCAGTGGGGCTGCTCTCACTAATCTCTTCTTCCATGCTGACCCCCTCCGCTCCAAAGTCAATGAATTCAGATTGCAAATTAGAAGCCCAGGAACTTTTCTTATAACTAAATGTACTGGTCTAAGCTAGTGGGTTTCTAAAAGTATTCTGTGTCTTGCCGCCAACACCTTAGTCTTTTAGGGACCCCAGTAAACACTTTCTCTTGGAAGTTCCTGGCATCCAGGAATGGGTTAGCCACTCTGACCAGTGGGCTTTCACGGGTGAGATTGGGCCTGAGGCTGGGCTTGGAGGTGAGGGATCTGGCTTGAAAGATGAGGACTTCTTATTTAAAGCCAATACTACCAAGCCAGGATCTGAGTGCTTTTCCTTGGAGTTATTTTTCCACACTGGAGAATTGTTTGTGACCATTAGGCCCTGAGGAGTCAGTTTCTTTTTGCTCATCCTTGAGTGACCACTTAAGCCTGAACTAGTGCTGGGTGGGGTCTGCCACTGGGCCTTCCAGGGGCTTCTCCTTCATAACCTTTACCACCTGGCAAACCCTGTTGTTACACTTAGCTAACTTTATTTTATTATTATTATTATTTTGAGACAGAGTTTTGCTCTTGTTGCCCAGGCTGGAGTGCAGTGGCATAATCTCAGCTCACTGCAACCTCTGCCCCCCAGGTTCAAGCGATTCTCCTGCCTCAGCCTCCCGAGTAGCTGGGATTACAGGTGCCCACCACCACACCCTGCTAATTTTTGTATTTTCAGTAGAGACAGCATTTCACCATGTTGGCCAGGCTGCTCTCGAACTCCTGACCTCATGATCCACCTACCTCGGCCTCCCAAAGTGCTGGGATTACAGGCATGAGCCACCATGCCCAGCCCACTTAGCTAACTTTAAGGAGGACTGGTCCGTGCAGGCCATGAGGGTTGAGTACCGTGTTTGCAGTCAGGAGACTCAAAACCTGTCCCTGCCATTCACTAGCAGCATGGCTTTGAGCTAACTGATTCACGTCTCTGAAACTCCATTTCCTGCTCTAAAAGAGGGATGATAATACCCTTCTTTAAGAGTTGTTGTCAGAGTAAGGGAGTAACCACAAAGTTAATAACATGTTGTTTTTACAATAATTATTATGGAGAAAACTGATTATTAGACATTATCCCCTGAATCCAGCTCTTTGCAGCAACTTTGTGCTTCCTCCCTTGACTTAATTTTTACAAATCTCAGAGAATTAATGCTGAAGGACTTTAAAAGGTCATCTGGACCACGGTTCCCAAAGCTGGCTGACATCAAAGTCACCTGCAGAGCTTTAAAAGGCATTTAAAGTGGAGGCCGAGGACTCCGTATTTTTAGGTGGCTTTCCTGGTGGTTTGGCTTTGTCTATAGACGTACGTTTGAGCTACCCCTGGTCTAGACCCTCTCTCTGCTATTTGCCAAGAACTCTTTTCTGCTATTTCAGGCAGGTAAAAACCCATCCTGTGTTTACAGTTTTCACTAAGCAGGACTCCACACCTTGCTGCAGAGTTCATATAGTGTCTAATATCCTCTCACGGCTCTACTCTTCCCTTTGCATTCTCTGCTTATGTCTCCAAAGATCTTGAATGGCTTGTGATGACTGTCCTGCCAGTTTCTTTGTCTCTCAATCTGGTTACTATCATGATCATCTCCTTTGGGAGATGGGTTCTACCATTTATCTCTTCTCGTTATTCTCTGAGGCTAGAGGTTTGCTAGACTCTAACTTCAACTCTTCATTCCTTCCCCACACTTTCTCCTGTCTGGAGTTTGGGTTTATTTTTCTTCCTGCCTAACTATTCCTAATATACTAAGTCAATAAACAGATTCTCTGTGGTTACATATGGCAAACAGCTGAAATTTACAGTTGAGAGTAAAATTTCCTCATTTGGGAAAAAAACCCATCATTTCACAGATTTAGAAAGTGGTCATTCTGATCTCCAGGGCAAATAAAAGTGTTTTATAACCTTCCACAAAAGCTTATGCCTTGATTAAATTTTTATTATGAATTATTAATTAAACCAAGGAAATGCAGAGGCCTAAACCGTTGCTTAAATTTGCTCCAGATTGAGACACAAACCAAAGGCGGCAAGAAACCCTGAAGGGGAGGTTTAATGATGAGCAACACATATAAAACCATCCGCACGCTTTCATCTGCCAAAGGCTCCAAACCAGCCATGTAAATGAGCCCATGTGCCCAGACCCGGACAGAGGCTGGCAATGGGCCTGGAAGAAACAGGACCTCCCTGGCTTCTCTCTCCTGGGGGTCTGTGTTTGGGTTGCATGGGGCACTGTGCCATTAGAGACACAGGGGCTTATCTACCTCATGGAGCAGCTGTAGTTAGAGGGAGTAGCTGGTAGTAGAGCAGAAAAGCAGCCTGGTGTCTTGGAAGCTGAGCCAGAGGTCAGGAGAAGTGGGTCACTGCTCTCTGGATGGAGTGATTGATCCAACCAGAGCCAACCAATACAGTTGTGCAGGTTACCTGGAGCCTGGGCCCAGTGGGTGCTGACATCCAGCTCATCTCCTACTCACCACGCCTTGCTCCTTGCTGTAGAGCTGCACCCACTATGAGGAGGGAGAACCTTTTTCTGACTTGAACAAGGGAGTCACATGGCCTTGCTTGGAGGCTGACAGTGTGCGTATGGCGTGAGTGGGAGGGATGGGGCTGCATTCTTCTTTTTCTTAGAACACAGAGGTGTTGTTTGGGCAAGTGGTAGCCTAGAACTGAACCAGTAGATACTGGGGATGCAAACCTGAACAAGACTCTCATTCAAAGAGCTCACAGTACCTTGAGGAAGCAGACAGATATACAGAGTATTCTAACACGTGGGGACAAGGTGTACAGGACATCTCTATGGGTACCCACCCAGATGGGACTGGACAGTGGGGAATCAGAAGCTTTCTTGGGGATGATGTCTAAATGAGTCTTGAAAAGTGGAAGGGGTTGGGATGAGGGTGTAAAGAGTGAGAAGGCACTGAAGGTAAACAGAACTGCAAGATCAAAATCATGGAGGATGAAGGAGCATGGTCCAAGAGCTCTCAGGGAAGACGTGGAGATCCTGTGGGGGCTCCCCACTTCATGTTGTTGCAGTTGAAGACATTTTCAAGTATGAGCAGTTATTCAAATATGAACTAAGCGGGTGATACCCATTCCCTTCCCCAGTGACCAAGACTGGAGGGCTTGAGAACTCCAAGTTCCCAGCATGATGCTTGGCGTTTGAATGCTACTTTCTTCCCCTTCCTCACTTCCTCCTGCCCTTTGATTTTTAATATGAAAACATTTTAATATGAAAACATAAAATATATACATCTGTGTATCTTTCATAACATTCAAAAAAGAGCTAAAAAATGTGAAGTGAAGGGTAATAGCATGATGCTTTGGCCATGGTCGGCTCCCCATGATTTTGTGTCCCCGCTTCTGGGCTGGCTTCTTACAGCGGATTGCAGCTGTGCCCCAGCAAGAAGCTGGCCTCTCTGGATCAATCACTCCAGAAGCGCAGAGGAAAGGGGAGCTTGCCTCAGTAAGCAAAAGTCACCATTATCTGATTATCTTTAGGGATTCCCTACTATCTGGATAGCTAGTCATGACTAGAGAAGATTCTGCATGGAGACAATATATCATTTATTTGGCTTTTATTTTTACTGAATTCAGTGCTCATGGAAAGTGGCACATTGACAACGCTGCTTCCTAGCATGACATCACATAAATAAGTTTGAAGATACTGCTTAATAAGAACCCTTTAAAGATAAGAGAAATGGTAGAAAGAATTGAAGGATGCTGTTTCCTTTTTAATATCTGCCATGAATCATAGTCCAGAGAGAAGACAGCCGAGGCATGCAGGGACAAGACACTAGCACAGGGGTCAGGAGATGGGCATTCACAGTGGGTACAGCTCAGATCCCTGCCTTTGCTTTGGCCTGAGGCTGGGCAGACAGGGACATGGAAAGCTATGGGGCTGGTCTGAAGGGTAGGGTGGGGTGGTTAAGCCTTTGCTGGCACATGGCTTTGCAATCTTGTACACTGAATAAATCCATCAGAGCACTGCATCCACTCACCCAATTAGCCTGCACCTCATGAACACCTATTGTGAGGCCAGCACCATGGGGAAACTGAAAGAACCAGATATTCTACCACCATGGAGGAATGACCTCACCCTGGGTAGTAACTCTTCCCTTCTGCTCATCTACCCAAAGGTAAAAGAAAGTGCAAGTTTCCTAGTTTACATTGTGTTTCTTGAGGGAGAAAAGGCTCTTGGTAAAACAATGCCTTATTCCTTTCGTTTGGAAGTTCTTTCTGCAGAATACAGCTCAACTGGGGGTCCCCAAAAGGCCCCTGAATAATTTAAAAAAAAAAAGAGGTGGTGTCAGGCAAGGGCTTTAGGACGTAGAAGGTCACTTTTGGTTGTTGTCCTGTTGATCCAACTGCTTTACTAACTGGAGCTATTGCTCAAGCTGGAGGGTGAGGGAATGGGTGGGGCTGAGGCTGGGAGTTGCTCAGTAGTTGACCCCAAGTGATCTTGTTTGAGGAAAACTCCTGTGATCCCCCATCAGAATATTTTGAAAGTGGAAGAGTCTGCTGGCGGGAAGGGAGAAGAGTGGGAGGAGGAAATAAGCAACAGGCAGCTTCCTTTCTTGACAGATGGAAAATAAAGGGCCTGTGCACAGCTCGGCGAACTGCTCCGTGGACCTCCCAGCGGGGCTGCTTTCTGAGGTGATGGTCTCCTCGCTCCTTAGCCAGCCTGGTGGAGCCAGCTACTGACGTTGGAAAGGAGTTGGAGGATGGAGGTTTGTGGCCGGCAAATGAGAGGTGTCGGGGAGGGAGAAGAGAAAAGCAAGCGGGCTGAGGAAAAATGTAAGGGAGGGAGATGGTTCTTCGATGAAACCTCTGGCCTCTTTTAAACCATAAAGAGGTCTGGCTGGTTTGATTCCAGTCCATAAAATGGCTCAGTAGGATCTTAGGGATTATTTAGCTCAAACCCCTGAGAGGTGAGGAAACTGAGGCCCAGAGGTCCCACTTGCCTTTGGTCATGGGGTGAGTATGTAGCCCAGCAGGGTCCCAGCTCCTGTGAGCTGCGATTCATGGTGTTATCTTTGCTGGGGAGGCCTGAAGTTCCTTTAGCTTGTCCATGTGAAACAGAGGAAGAGCCCACAAGGAACGCATTCATCTCAGAGTTAGGTGACCTTGGCTTTGGGATCTAGTTGCTCATTACTTCCACTTTCCTTGCCAACATCTTTCCTAAGCCTTCCAGATCAGGGCACAGTACCACTCCCTTGCTGCCAGACAGGTGGCCTGTCGTGTGGGCAGGAAGGGGAGTTCAAGGCAAGCAAGGCCCACTGTGAACCCCCTGCTAGAAGTGCTCTCCCCTTCCTTCTTTTGGAGGTGGCAGTTACTAGGCAGCATGACCCAGAGGAGGAGATAAGCTGCCTCTGATAGGAAGGTTTTATCTTTGAGGTTATTGCAAATATGCCTGACTTCTTCATCTGGTTCTGTCCGGATCTGAACTGGTAGCCAGATAAACTGTTGGCGGTCCCATTTCATGTATTTATCAAGTCTAAACAATTGTCAGGAGGCAATTATCCCCCAGGAAGCCAATGGCAGATAAATAGTGTCCCGCAGTCTGGTTCCAGCCATGGAATCTGTAAGTTGTCCCTCCTTGCCCTGTGCAGATTTTCTCCTCTGTCCCTGCTGCCCTAAATTTTAAAGGAGGTTTGATGTTCCAACACGTTTGCTTTGGTGTTCTTTGCCCACAGCCCCAAATAAAATCTAATGGTTTTTATAGGTGGATAAATCCTTTTTAAAGGCTCTTTTGTTATCACCATGGGGTTTGTGAGCACTAAAACTGGATTTTAAGGGATCAGTGAAACCTTAGAATCACGGTTTGCTGTATCTGGAAGGAACCATGACCACTTGGTACAGACCCTTCAAGCGGTAGATGAAGAGGCCAAAGCACGAAGGGATTTGATGGCTTGTGAAGGCAACGTGCTCTTCAGAGTCGGGCAGACGTGCAGCTGAAGCTTGGTCTGGCCACTGATCTGCTGCCCGGCCTTGGGTAAACTCCTGGAGCCCCTATTTCCTTATTGATTACATGGAGATACCAATCCAGACTGCACAGTATTGTGAGAGGTAGTAAAACTGTTTCCCTCTGGTCGAGGTCAAACAGACAACTGGGGGGCAGAGCTAATGCCAGAACCTTAGTATCCTGGCTCCCAGGTCTTTATCCTTTCCATTATTCTGCAGGAGGTCTTCAGGCTACTGTTAAATAAAAAGTAAAGCTTCTACTTCGTTCCACCCAAAATTCTAGTTCAGTGTTTCCCAGACAGAGCACCTCCAGCGGGTCTGAGGCTCAGTTCTATGTGGAGACTCATGTTTATACGATGACAGCATCTATATTTTTTCTGGATGAACTAATAATCGACTGGCCATTGTATTTAGGAAAAACCAGACATCACCTCATGGACGTCTCATTGAAGGGGACCGTCAGTTATTCCATTCATTCTGGCAAATTTTCTTTTTAGCTTTGGTTGCAGCAGGAAGAGAGAGACGTCTGGGGGGCTTTTTGCCTGTTGGAAGGGCATCACTCGTCCACAGCTGGAGCCCCTGGGATGACCCATCCCAAGGTCCCAGCCTAAGTCTGAGGTTCCAGGGCTGGTCGCAGGCCGTCCTTGCAGCCCTCGCCAGAGCGTTGTCTGCACCTCCGACACTAGGTGGCGCCATAGGAACATCCTCGCGGCCCGAGGCGCGGTCGCAGCCGGGGAGCACTCGCCACGGTGCTGTGGAATTCTCTGGTTTTTCACGCAAGGTCAGGCGTCCTGCTGGCGCCCTCTCGCCACCCTGCCCTCCCGTCAGAAGCCCGGCTCCTCGCCGGGGAAGGCCGGATGCTGGCCCGCCGGGACCTGGGACTTGTGCCACATGGAGTGTCGGGAGTCTCCATTGCCGCGAGTTCTACACCACAGGGCCAGGCTGTTTGCTCCCCATCGGTCGCTGCCCCCAGCACCCTGTTGTTATTAAGGACTCATTTGCTTGGAGCGGCATCATTACAAGGGTGTGGGGTACTACATATACTCCCTATTTTTCTATTTTCGAAAGGCTGCAGGCGCGATGCACAGTGCGCTTGCACGGTGGGGCCTAGTGCTAGCCCGAGGAGCGGACGGGGGCCGGGCAGGGGCGGTGGGCGCCGGCCTCGTCTCGGTGCTGCTCGGTCAGGCTGTCCCGGCGCGGCGGCCTCGGGAGGCCCTGCCGTCCTTCACCCCTGGAGGCGGGCTGGGGGGCGGGTGCGGGGCGCTTCCCCTCCTCAGGGCCCTCAAACCGCAAGGGGGTTTCCGCTTCCCAGTCGATGGTCGTCCTCTCCCATCCCCGGCTGCATCTCCATTTACCCGTCGCCCATTTCCTTTGCCCATCCAGGCTCCTTGGCTCCACTGGGGTCTCCGTTCCCTTCTCCCGGTCCCCCCTCCAGGTCGCGGCTCCTTTGTCCAGGACTACGCAGGGGCTTGACCCCAGGGCGCTGGTTTAGGCCGGATCTGGGGTCCCTTGTCACTCCCAGGCTTCTTCCACTTCCGAATTCTGGAGAACCGGGAATCAAGCCCTGCGCGTTCCTCTTCTTCCTCCTTCGTGCCGAAAGCACGCTTCATGTCTGCCAGGGCATCAGTTCTGAAAGTGAGCGGAGAACAAGGAGTTTCTTTTTCTTCCCCAGAAGTTGCCTTTTGTAAGGACTATGTCTGCGCCAGGGCTTGATACATGTTGCTACTCCTGGGAGTGTGAGACTGGGAAGCTGATGGAAATGTCAGCATTAGCTTTAATGGTGAGGCCAAAGGGAGGATGGACCCAGCATCAAGCCTGGGTAGAGGAGAACGGGAGAGGGAGGACCAGAACCAGGGGCCGCCTGTTCACTGCCTTGAGGTGTCTGAATCCTGCCTTTGCTGTTTGTGAGCTCTAGCACTATGGGTAAGTTGGTTAACTTTTTGAGCCTCAGTTTCCTGTTCTGTCAAGTGGGAATACAACTTCCTAGCTCACAGAGTTGTGGTGAGGATTATGAACTATTATGCATCTACAGTGTCCTCCTGGCAAGTGAAAAGGCTCAGTAAAGGGTAACTGTTATCATGGTCCAGTCTAAACTTCCGTGCTAGCCCTTCACCAAATTGATCTTACAGAAATCAAAAGGTTCCTGCTTTTCCCACCTTGTTTGGAATTAGAAAAAACTTCCCCTGCACTATTAGTGTTTTATAGGCCTCTTCTCTCCAAGACAGAAAGGAGGAGAGGGTAACGGGGCTTATTTTCTTCTCCCAGGACTCTTGAAGAAGGATTCAGGATGTGGCTGTGCCGCTGGGGATAAACGGTGTAACACTGGGGCAGGTCAGTTTCCTTGTTGGTACGATGGGACTCTTACACAGGCCCCTTCCTTTCCAGCACCAGATACTGCTACACCATCTCATCGGCATGGACCTATATGTGGCAGCAAGTCCATCTCATCGCTTTTGGTGAAAGTCAGTCCAGTTTGTAAAGATTCTCATTGTGAGTATGGCTAAACCATCCCTTTGACTAAAAACCAAACCAGATACTCCTTTACCTATCAATACCTCCTGCTGCTAAAAAGCAGCAGCTAAAAAGCAGCAGGAGGTATTGATAAGGGAAGTCCTATCTAAATTCCTGGTTTAGAGAATGACTATCCTCATTTTATGAGTTAAACATTACCCCCAATTAACACCTCTGAAAAACCCTCCCAACATGTTTATCTCATTAATATCACGGGGTTGGCAGGTCACTGTAGACGAGGAACTGGGACACCAAAAGGAGAAACTCTGGCCACGCTTGCACCCTGTTCCCAATCCTGGTCCAGTGTCACCCACAGATGGTAAGGAGCTCTAGAGACCTCACCAGCCCCTGGGATTGGTCACCTCACTCTTCTATGGACAGAGATTCCTGCTGGGATCCTTTGAGGGCAAGCAGACCCTTCTTCCAGCTCGGACTGTGAACTCCACTGCAGCCGTAAGGACTGTCTGTGACAGTGAGCCCGAGATGACTGGGCTCTGTGCTCCCTCCCGGCCCTCCAATCCTTGGCCTGCCACAGAGAACTGAGCTCTTTTATTAGCACCATGAATGTGACTGATACAGCTAGCCATTCCCTTGTGCGAATGACTCAGTTTATTAATGCTCTGCTAAAGATGGCTTCTTTGCTTGCCAGCAGCCTTAAACAGTATTTCATTAAAACTGGCTTAATTATTTTGAGAAGACGGCCCAATTAAAAGCTATACACTCCCTCTATGTGAGTGTTTATACATAGAGCTGTATATATAATACATATTTGTAAGTGTGTATATATATATGTGTGTATGTATGTGTCTATAAATATATAGGCTTAGCAATTTCATTACATGGGATAAATTGTTGGAAAAAATACCCAGGAGCTGGTCCCCTTTCTGTTGCTAGATTCAGAGTAGAGGCCACCCCTCCACTCTGGGAGAGGCTGGTGTTGGTGATCTCTCAATGACTCTGCAATGGAAGTCCCAACTGCACAGAGCCCTGCCCCAGTTTCAGGAGCCAGCAGCCTCGGAGAGGCGGATCCTGACCTCTGCTCTGCTCTTGGGATAGCCTTTCCCTTCCCAGCAGGGTTGAGATACTTGGGCCGGGAAATGTTGTGGCAAAGTGTTTGCCAAAGCTCAGGAGAGACACAGACTTGGGGCTTTTGTTTCTTGAGCTGGCTGTCTAGCTTTCCTAATGAGCAAATATGTTCTCTTTAAGGAAACAAACAAACAAAGCAAAAACACCAATTCATCTGGATTTTATTCATTTGTTTTAAATACAAACAAACAAAAGGAGAGTGGTTATTTCTGCACCAACTATTTCAAATGCAAGTTACTCCATCGCTCGGGGTGGTTGGATGGTGCTTGTCACCATAGGACCCACAGGGCTAGTTCCAACTGTTATTCGGTAAGGCTTTTTTCTTTCCAAAATTCCCAGTGTTCCTTTAAGGCCCATTTAGCTGCGGGTTTTGTTTATTCTCCCGGCAATCAGCATTTAAAATAAGACAAACAAGCATTTTTTCCTGGGCTGTGAATCCCCCCGGCCAGCCTCCACCTGCACACCTGAAGCCAGCATGTCCAATCAAATTTCTCTGTAACCCATATCCCCTTTAGAGACTTGCCCCCGTCGTATACCAGGCTGGAAATAGAGAACTTAAGCAGGGCAAATGTAATTTTAAGAATTGCTAATGATGCTAGAAATCTGCAATGCAATTAGCGTCATTGGATTTGGCGCTCCTCCGAAGGCACAAAACTCCTTGTCATAGCGCAGTGGCAGCAGCGGCAAGTGCCTCCGCATGTGCCGGGCTGTCCGGGTATGCTGGCAGCCGCTTTGCACTGAGATGTGAGCAGTTGGTTAGGCTTCCTCTCTTTCTTTCTCACAGATACTGACTTCTTTGTCTCTTTTCTGGGTTGCAGAGGGATGGGTATTTTCCATTGATTATTACTTTAGCATTTGACCCTCCAGTGGAGTCACCCTGTTTTTTTTTTAGAAAACTGAGACTCTCACTTTGTGAATTCACTGTGCTCTCTGGGATTTCAGTGCTGTAGTTCAACCACCAATCCCCCTGTCCTGAACTCCAGTACTTCTGATGCTATTAATTGGTTCCTCAACAATTGTGGCCTTTTCCATCATTGCCCACCATAGTATATACTTTTTCTTTCTCTCTCTTTTTTCTAATTTCCTTGTCTTCTTCACTCTCCATGGAGCCAGAGGTAGTATGAAGAGTTAAAAATAGGAATATAAAGAAAGCCAGAGGGACAGAGGGAGTGAGAAAGAAAAATTTTAAAAAGGGAGGAAATGAATTATTGGATTAAAAATAAACTTTTACTTTTTTGCAGAAAAATTATTTTTGCTCTCTGGGAAAATAACATGGGCCAGGCATAAAAAGCATGTCAGCTGGCTAAAAGATTGCAAAATCCAGAAGATGATCTCGATGTGTCTGTTCAATTTAGCAAGGGTATCTACTAGGGGATCCTCTTTTAAATATGGAGGCCCAAATCAGAAGCTTGTAGAGGGGAGCTATTCTTCCAAGATTCCAGATGTGTCTGTGAGACAACACGTTATGGGGCAAATTGATTTCACCCTTGGGAAACCAGGGAGATTTTCAAAGTTATGTCTGCAAAGCCAGCTAATGCAATTCCCCATTAGTGCATTAAAGTGCGCCCTTATTAATTCAAACATAAAGGCAACAAAATAAGCTTTTAAATTTAAAATATAATACATATATAATGAGCATGTGTGAAAGCCTTATTCAAATGAAAATACAGGAGTGTTTGAACTACTGAGGTATCTTTTGTATTGAATTATGAGCATATGTAATAGATTTAATTATTAATTTCCCCATTGTTCTATGCACACAGACAGGGTTCAAGGCACAGTCATTCTCTGGCTTTCATAGATCTAATTTGTATAATTATTGCCTGAATAAAAAATTGCTCCAATTCCTAGCTCTCTTTCTTTCTTTCCCCCTTCTAAATACTATTTCAATGCTGCATTCCAAAAGGGGAACACCTGCCACTTCTTCAAAGTCAGCTGATCATTTGGAATGATGGACGGCGCTGCTGCCGATGACGTCCCCTTTCAAGTCTCTTTGTCTAAGTGAATTATCGTGCATCCTTTTAATTTTATTGAACAAATTACATTTGTCAAGGTCTATCTTTGTAAATAAATGATAACTAGAGACACATGGATGCGTATTTCTGCTGTTCAAGGGCTCTTGTTCCATTTCTGGAAGCCAGATGAACATGGAACAAAGGAGAAACTTTCCTCTAAAAGCAATTATCTTTCTGCATTCCCATCAGTATAATTATATTGCAGGGAATTTTAAGAAGCTGTAGAAGTAGAATTGAATGCTTAAAACTGTGTTTGCTGAATTGCTATGCAAAAGTTGAACAGGCTGTATTGCATCACACAAAATAGTCTAACTCTCTCCTGGCCACATTTCTGTAAGTTTAGAATGTGCCTGAAGGGTGGAGATGGTGTGGGGGAGGCGGTGGGGATGGGGATGAGGTAGATCGCATTTAGGGTTTCCTGTGTTTCTTGAATGGAATATTTAATGACATTTCTGAAACCTGAGGGCTGTTAGCAAGGTGACTGGGAATGTGTCTAATAAAGCCACCCATTCCAGTCTAGTTGGAAAGCTTCTGATTTGCAGATTGCTCTCTGTCTGAAACAGTCCTGCTAGTTTACTAACTAATCCATGAATGGTGGTGGGATGAAGAGGGGACCGTTCATGAAATGATGGCAGCAGCAATTACACTGCTCCCAAAACAAGCCAGCAGCTGGCTTACAGAGATACTGAATGTGGTTTGTGTGGCTACTGTGTCAATACTGCGCATCAACCAGGATCATTCCTTTCTCATTGGCTCCCCCACAATTTAGTGAAGTAAACTGTTGCTGTGAGGTAAATTGTATTGTCTGATCACTGACAGCTCAATAACCTCATTCCTGCCCCTTCCCAATTTTTAACAAACTCCCTGATGAACATTCAGGAGGAAAATAAAGCACCAGTGAAAAGTGGCAACAGAGAATGCCATAATCATGGGTTAGTTTAGTATGGCTGGTAGGTTTTGAGTTACTGGACAATTGATGGGATAATATTATAGTCTAGAGATCTTGAAGAAAGGAAACCTACAAGAAGGATGACCTTGGATCCTCTCAGAGAAGTGAAGGGTGAATCAGGAGCCTGGCGATAACTCCCAGTTCACAGAGACTGCATGGAACAGCGGGATGAGCATGGGCTTGGGTTGGGATGGAGACAACCCCTGGCCCCTGCATTCAGTGTCTGCAGTGGTAAGATGAGGGATCTGGACCAGATGATTGAATAGCCTATCTTTAGATTCCGGGTCTAAGGTCATGAAACCCATTGTATGGGGCATTGATCACCATAGGAAAGTGGGGGAGGCAAGGTCCATGTACTAGGATTGCATTGTTAAAGCTTTATGAATGTGTTGAAGGGGAAAAATGATTTTTTCTCATAAGAAAAATGAGTCCAGTGCTTTTGATCTCTAATTTCTGTGGCTGAGGTTTGGTGATAAGCAAGAATGGAAACCCATGGGATCATTGCAGGTGACATGATCAGAAAGTGGTAGGCCCATAAAGTAGGTTTAAAATGGTGCCTTGGCCATCTTGGTGATTGAAAAGCCTCCTCTCTCAGGAGAAAGTGGCCAGTGGGACTGATTTGTTTGATTCAGATCATCTCACTAAGCAGGCAATGAAGGGAATTGCAGAGAACTAGCATGTCCAGCTTAGAGTTGAATTCAGTGCTCCCTGAAAGTGTCAGACCCTCTGCTGGAGCTAGGAATAGGTCATATGGTCCCTGTCATCAGGATCATGTTGCATACATATGACCGTGAAGCCAGGTAGGAACATCTGTGATTCTAGGACACAGTGATCGGGGCCATGACACAGTTCTCCTGGGAGGGAGCCTGGTGGGGGCTGAGGTAGTCAGGGAAGGCCATGGAAGGAAGTGAGGCTTGAGTAGACACAGTCAGATAAAGGTAGGGGTAGACAATGGTAACAGAGGGAAGAATACGTGACGAGCAGTGACGTAAAGCAGCAAGACATGTTCAAAAAGCTGCTAATGCTTCAAGATGGCCAAGGCGGAGGGTGAGTGTGGGTGAGCAGAAGGGGATGGGGCTGAGGAAATCAGCAAGTGCCAGACATGGGGGCCTAGCCAGGAGGCTCGAACTTTCTGCTCTGAGTTAGAGGAAAGGGGAAAGCACTGAAGGAGTGTCACAGGTAAGCAGTGTGTCAGGGTCAGAATTTAGAAGGGTCATGTTTACAGCTAGGACTGGATCCTGGGGTCCCTGTGCAAAATGAAAATGTGGGGCCATTTATTCAAAAACCAGGAAAAAAGGTGCTGTTAAAGGCATTAGAATACAGAGCGTTTCCCTTCATTCTGCAGCCTCTCAATCTGTCGTGGCATTTTTGTATCCTCTTTAATGTCACATCCCTCTGGTCCTCATGGCAGGACACTTGTGGGACAAGTACAGACTTTCACGGGAGCTGGAGCCCTCCCTAACACTTGGGACACATGTGGTCCACTGGCAGCTGGCTCCTCCTCTCCATAGCCATGGGACTGATGTGTCATGCTTCAGCTAGGGGTAGGAAGATGCAGCCAGGTGTCTCTCCTTCCCGGAGGCCTGGTGCTGTCACCCTTGGCAAGCAGGTAACCCTCAAGGGTATTGCAACTTCCCTGTCAAGATGTACTGGGCATCTTGGTTAAGGTTGAGCCTGAGGCTTCCTGTACCAAGTTGCCTGCTAAGTGCATGGTAGCGCTGACAGCCTGGGGTGAGGATGGCCACTGCCACACCCCTTGCAAGATACTGTGAAGCACGCTCACCAACCCTGCCCCTCTCCACCCTGCGCCCAACCCTCCACTGAAGTGGAGTGGACAGTGTCACTGGGACAGGTTGTGGGGGAGGTTGGGCAGGGCCCAAGGTGCCAGGGGCAGTGAAATGGGTAGCCGAGTACCTGTCCTGGGAGGCAGGGAGGTGGTAAGAGATGCTGCACATGAGAGCCAAGACCCTAAGCCCCCGGCCCATGTTCATGTGCCATGGACTTCACTTCCAAAATGGTAAATCATTAAGAATTTCAAGATGGCAACCAGAGAGCATGTGCCCTCAAGCATGGGCCCTTCTGAGCATGGATCCCTGTGCTTTGTGACTACAGGAATCACTCACCCTTCATGAAGCCCATTGGCAGCAAGGCAACTGTAGCAGAGCTAGGCTTAAGGCAGGGAACTCACCAGGAAGGGGCTGGAGCTATCTGGTAATGAGTGCTGAGAACCACAGTGAAGATACTGGTGGTGAGAATGGAGAGGAAGCAATGGAGGGAGATATTAGGAGGTAGAAGCTGTAGGATTAAGAGGCAAACAGGACGTAGCAGGGGTGAGTGAGGCCGTGGGATACAGGGTCACTTACAGGGTTCTCATATGGGTAACTGGTACTTTATGAAATACTTTTACATAATTTTATCACTTTTACATAAATTTTATCACTTAATCTGCAAAACATATTATTGTTACTTCCATCTTATTGGGGGGAAATAGCTGAAATAAGTGAGGTAATTCACTCAAACTCCTCTGGTCAGAAGACTTGGGATCAGCCCAAGGCATTTGATTTTGATGGCACATTCAATCTACCATGACTCCTCTGCTGCTCTGGATGAGTCTGCCTTGTTTGTTTGTTCATTCATTTATTTATTCATTGCTTCACTCAGCAAGTACTTATGAGGGGAGCACAAGGTGCTGGGCATTCGTCTAGGTGCTGAACAAGCCAGGCAAGCCTTCCGCTCTCATGGAGTGCACATTCTAGCAGGGCCCAGGTGCCAGATTTAATCAGAAGTTTCGCTCGGGCTTTAAGGGCCAGTGGAAGCAATTATTTATTTATATTTTCTGTTTCTTGTCCCAGTTTCTAATGAATTAGAGTTTGATTAGCTTCAACAGAGCGCTATGACTAGAGGGAGAATAATAAAGTGTCCTTTCATCCACCCCTATCCAAAAGCTGTGTGTAATTAGAGGAATCAAACCCTGTACTCTTCATCTCCACCTGGGTTGGCAGAGGTCAGTTTATTCTGTAGATATGTAATTATGTTGTTTTGCTCTTTCATTTAAAAAATATATTATCTCTTTCAATGAATCTTATAAATCTCAGGCTAGGAGACTGGATACCCCTGATAAAGAATAAATTTCTAGGTGTTACATTGTTGTCGTGCCAACAGCAATGGTTCTGAATGCTGATCAGATGACTCAACTGTACAGGTCAGAAAGGCATTCACTGGCAACTCAGCCCCTCCCAATGGCTTACACCATAGAAGACCATCAGTAATGCATGTGTTGAATGGTGTTAGGATGAACCAGTTTTCTTCCTTGGTGCACAGCCCCAGGGAACTAGAATGGCTGCCAGATGGCTCCGGGTGCTAGGGCATGAGCATTCATTGTGTGAAGGAAGTGTGGAGACTGAAATCCTTTTAAAGACAATGTTTCACTTGATAGGAAACAACATTACAATAAGACTAATCAAGACCACTGAGTTAGTAGTCATGGAGAACTAAAATCATTATTCTTGCAGCACAAATTCCTGGACCTGATGATACCTCTGTGGCCTGTCATGTGTCAGAGAGTCTGCAGGAATGTAACATGAAAACCTGTAATACCAGAGGTGTAGAGCACACTCCAGTCTATTCACTCTGGAATGCCTGGGGATGGCCCTTGGCTTCTGAGCTGATGGCCAAGAGAGGGTGGAAGAATAAGTGGAGGAGTTGGTCTTAGAAGGTCTGCTCTACAGTAGGCCTGGGGAGAGTGGTGGATCAAGAGGAAGATTCAAACCAAGTGCATTGAGGGATCTGAAGACCATACCCATACCAATCAGTACTCCCCTGGACCAGCGTCATCATCCTGGGCCCCATGTGGCTGCCCATCGCATACAGGAGGCCTAATTGTATGTCTGCTGTGTGTGGCATGACTCCTTCGAATGGCGTTCCTTTTCCCACCCCGTGGCATTGCTCTGCTCTCGCAGTCTCTCTCCATAGTAACAGAAGCTTCCACTGAGTTAACACCTCAACCTATTAAGCTTAAGTGCTTTTCAAAACATTTTATTATTGGCTGAGTGTTTGTGAAGCAGTTTACCTTGGACTCCGACTGGCTTCAAGAGGTTTGAGCCTGTCTTGTATTCCAGGGAAGCGTCATTGCAAACCCAGCACCCAGCTTTCCACCCTTTCTTTACCTCTCTCACCAAATGGTGTGAGGCCATTCATGGGAAGGCCACGATGAATTTTGATTTCAGTCGTTGTATCATTACTTAGCTAATTTAAAGATGGATATCGGCCCTTAAAATTAAAAATTGTATGTTACATGGAAGGACTCCACCCACCCAGGGTCAGGCAATGAGTATATGATTAGACAAATGAGGGAGTGGTGCTTTCCATGTTCCTCTGTTGAGTGAGGATCCCGGTGGACCATGTCCTGGGTCCTTTCTGGGACACTTCCTGGTGTCAAGTTCCCTAACTTCTGTGGGCTGCCAGGCACAAGTGTCAGCATTCATGTTGCAATCCTGATGCCATAGTGTGGCTACTTCAAGGAGATAGTATTCATAATATTGACCTCTTCTTAAAATTATTTAAATAGGCACCCCAGTGCTTCAGGTAAGCGCCATGAATCTTGAGCAAATTTGACTCATGAGGTAACTTCAGAGAACCATTTTAGCTGGTATGTGTGTGTAAGGTGGGGCAGGGGTAGGGTTGGGTATTAAACATCAAAAGGTCATGCTATGTAATACATGCAATATATAAAGTACTGATTCAATAGAACTATGGCAGGTGCTGTTGTAATTCTTTTTTCTGCATTATGCAGAATTTGCAATATAAAAATTAATGCATGTTATAAACTTAAGGTAGCTTCAGCAAATAGGATAAAGAACTCCATGATAACAAATCACAGTGTATATTCACCGCTGGTGAGATAAATTCCATTCATGAGGAGATTTTGATTTCAACCCCTTATAAGAGAATTGTAAGATAGTGGCAGCATCTAATCTTGAGGTAGGTAGATAGTGGTGAGATGGCTACTCATGAATAATTTTAAAATCAATCATCTGTGGCTAAATGTAGTGATTTCAAATCGCTTCACAGCTTTGGGCTGTGGAGGGGAAAAGCCATTGTGGTGAAATAGAGTAAGAAACAGGAGATGTAAAGCTTTCCTCATTTCTTGCTTCAATTCGATCCCTGTTCTTTAATTGCTCTGGGACTTAAGATTCCTTTTCCTGAAGCTACAGTGTGTTCTACATCTTCTCAGAGCTGGGTCCTGCCGCCCTCCTCACACAGCGGGTGAAGCTGCTCCCCTGCTTCCAGCTGCTGGTGGCTCAGCAACTTGGGGGAAGCCCAGTTTGCTACCTTTCTGGACATCCTAGGGGACCTGCAGTTCAGCCACAGCGAGGCCCAGGGAGGGGACAGCTGGTGTCCTGGCAGCTGGGCTTCTGCACTGCCCATGACTTTGAAGACACAGCATCAGAGAACAGAATGGTGCCTTAGGTTTCTGGAGGGTCCTTGAACTAAAATGTGATGAGAAAATCTGTGTCAGGAGAAGATGGCAAGGAGGGAAGAGTGGTCTTCTGGCCACAGCAGGACTCGGGGTGGTGCTGGGCCACAGATGTGTGCCCACCTCATTGGAGTGCAGGGCTTGTGGTGGGAGCTGGTGGGCATAGCAGCATTTACACTGTACAAAGTAGACACTCTTCTGCAAACCTTCCTCCCATAACTCCCTGCCCTCAAGTGTGGCCTAAACTGCATGAACCTAAAACATTCCAACAGTATATTGATGACAGCTAAACTGTCATAACACAACAACATGGTTATATTGAATGCTGCCTTTTAGCCATCCATGATGTCTCTGTATTGGTGACAAAATATTTTCCTACAACCACACATCTGTTTTCACTCTCAGGTCTTTGTATCATATCCTTATTCACAATTCAGGATGATGATGACGATGATGGTGATGGTGATGATAATAATAGTAGCTAACACTATGTAATATTAGGCACTACGCACATTTCATCTGTTAACTCATTTAATCTCCATAAGACCCACCTGAGGTAGGTACTTTATTATTTCTATTGAAGTAACATAAGGTCACATTTTGGTAAGTGGTAGAACCAGGTTTCAAATCCACGCACTCTGGCTTTGCTCTCTGTGCTCTTAACCACTTTGCAATGGTGCCTCTCATTTCCTCTATTCTTAAGTAAAGAGGAGAGCAACTCAGAACAATTACCTACAGTATTCAAAGGTTAGAAAATTTTCTGTTAGTTACAAAGTATCAGCAACCAATCCACATAGCCCAGGGAATTAGCTTTGCATTTTTGCATTCTTGCATGGGTGCATTCAGAAATTTATTGATTACTTACCACCTGCCAGACCACCATGCTGGGAGTAAGACCAAGGCAGACATGCTCCCTGACCTCATAGAGCTTCCACTCATTCTGGAAAGTTAACAAATTAAATAGGCATCACGGTGATGTGTGATGAGGATTATGCTAGATGAAAGTATAGAATAACAACAGCTAATATTTACTGAGCATTTTGCTATGTATTGTGTGATGGTTAATATTAGGTGTCAACTTTACTGGATTGAGGGATGCCTAGATAGCTGGTAAAGTCTTGGTTCTGGGTGTGTCTGTGAGGGTGTTGCCAGAGGAGATTGACAGTTGAGTCAGTGGACTGGGAGAGGAAGACCCACCCTCGTGGGTGGGCACCATGCAATCGGCTGCCAGCCCAGCTGGAACAAAGCAGGAGGAAGAAGGATAAGCTGGCTTGCTGAGGCTTCTGGCATTCCTCTTCCTCTTGTGCTGGATGCATCTGTCTGTTCCTCCTGCCCTTGGACATCAGACTCCAGGTTCTTCAGCCTTTGGACTCTTGGACATACACTAGTGGTTTTTCGAGGGTTCTCGGGCCTTCGACCACAGACTGACGTCTGCACTGTCGGCTTCCCCACTTTTGAGGCTTTTGGTCTCAGACTGAGCCATTACTGGCTTCTTCTTCCTCTGCTTGCAGGCAGCCTATCATGGGACTTTGCCTTGTGACCGTGTGAGCTAATTCTCCTCAATAAGCTCCCTTTCATATATACATGTATCCTATTAGTTGTGTCCCTCTGGAGAACCCTAACACATATTGCTAGGCACTATTCTCAGTGCTTTTAGTGGACTCATTCATTTAATCCTGATAGCTACCCCATGAGGTAGGTACTATTTTATTCCCATTTTACAGATGAAGAAATGGAGGCACATCAGGGTTATAGAAATGCTGAGTGACACAGCTATTTAACGGTGGAGCCAGCAGAACACATCGGGGAGGGTTAGCTTTGCCTGGGAGTTTGGGAGTCCAGTTTCAATCAATTGGTGAGCAGTACTCATGGAGACAATGAAAAATGGGAGGTCCTTCATTCAGTTGGTGCCTTTGTTCATTCAAAAGCATTTATTAGTAGGCATCTTTGATGTGCAAAGATCAAGGGAGTGGGTGGTGGTTGGTGGTAGATGGCTATAGAGTTGGGTAACATAGGGTGTTTACATTTGAGACATAATTCAGTAGGCAATACTGTATTAAGTATTTAAGGGTATAAAAATAAAGAATTGCTCCTTAGTCTCAAATTGATATATTTTAAATATATATATAAAATTATAAAATGATAAAATTATGCAAATATATTCATCACCTCACATACTTATCATTTCTTTGTGGTAAGAACATTTAAAATTCAAACTTTTAGTAATTTAGAAATATACAATACGTTCTTATTAACTATAGCCACCTTGCTGTGCAATGGAACACCAGAACTTGTTTCTCTTGTCTGACTAAAACTTTGGACTCTTTGGCCAACATCTCTCCATTACCCACTCCCTCCTCCCCAGCCTCTGGTAACCACCAGTTTACTCTCTACTTTTCGGAGTTCAGATTCCACATATAAATGAAATCATGCAGTATTTGCCTCTCTGTGCCTGGTTTATTTTACTTCTCAATTTAATATTCTCTAGATTTATCCACTTTGTCACAAATGACAGAATTTCATTCTTTTTTAAGGCTGAATAGTATTCCATTGTGTATATATACCACATTTTAAAAAATCCATTCATTCATTGATAGACACTTAGGTTAATTCCACCTTTTGGCTGTTGTGAATAGTACTGCAATTAACATGGCAGTGCAGACATCTCTCCAACATACTGATTTTAATTCCTTTGGATATACCCAGAAGTGAGATTGCTGGATCACGTGGTAGTTCCATTGTTAGTTTTGGTACATATTTAACAGAGGAGTTCAGGCAGATGAATTGGCTTGTGCTTGTAGGTGCACACAGAGCTTGATGGAGTGGAGAGTGTGGCCTTCAGATGGGAGCAGGCTCCACTTCTAGCCTGCATTGTCATACCTCTAGCTGTGTAACCTTGACCAAGCCTTGGACTTCTAGAACCTTAGAATGAAGACCCTCATTTTACAGATGAAAAAACTGAAGCTTAGAAAGTTGTCATAAGCTAGAGGAATATTTGAAAATGGACCAATTCTGATTCAAAAGTCCCTTTCAGCCCCGAGACATAGAAATCTTAACTTGTAAGTGATTGTTGAGTTTTCCGATACTCAATGTACACATTAGAGGCTTTAACAAGCTGTATATTTGGGAATTCAGTACTAAAGGAAGCCTTCCTAGAGTCAATGAGAGGAACTTCCAAGGAAGAGAGGAAAGCAGCACAGGAAACAAGAAGGAGATGCTCCCAGCATTTGGGGGTATCTTGGGTGGGAGCTTGGAAGTAACATGAAGGAGAATTGTGGGGCCACACAAAGCTAGACTTGGCTGGAATGAAGGAGGGCTGCAAGAAATGCTGTAGGGCCAGTGGTAGTATTGGGGAGGTTTGGGAAAGCAGAGGAGATAAGGACAGAAAGAATGTTTCCCTAGGTTGAAAACTTTGTCTTGTTTATCAACATACCCAAGGGACACTTGCGCAAGTAATTGACAAGAGGTTTCTGTGCTGGTTTCGGTTGCTTTGGGAAAATGGAAGGGAAGTGTTTAATTACAAGTTCAGGTGGTAGAGGATGAGGCCTTCAAAGCCTCCCACATGGGAGCAGGATAATTCTTCCTCTTCCTCCTCATCCTCCTTCTCCTTCTTCTTCTCCTTCTCCTCCTTCTTCCTCTTCCTTTTCTTCTTCCTCTTCTTCTTAGAGACAAGATCTTGCTTGGTCACCCAGGCTAGAGTGTGGTGACCCACTCATAGCTCACTGCAACACTGAACTCCTGGGCTCAAGCAATCCTTCCACCTCAGCCTCCCTAATAGCTGAGACTACAGGCACATGCCACCACACCTGGCTAATTAAAAAAAATTTTTTTTTTTGTAGAGATAGGGTCTTGCTCTGTTGCCCAGGCTAGTTTCAAACTACTGGCCTCAAGCGATCTTCCTGCCACTGCCTCCCAAAGTGCTAGAATTACAAGCATGAGCCACTGGGTCCAGCCCAGAATTTGTATAATCTACTTGCACAACCAGCCTTTCAGATTCACCTGAAGCCTTTATATCTTCAACAAGACCACTCTTTAGTTTGGCCCCATTCACCTGCTAGAGTTGGCGGGGGTGGGGTTGGGGGTGGGGGGGAGGTGGGGGAGGAAGAATGCAGACATAAAAGAGTTTCCTATTTCCTCTTAGACAGTGACTATATCATGGGCATCATCTAGTAATGGAGAGAGGAAAAAGAGGAAGAAATAGGAGAGAGAGAGAGAGAAGGTTTGAGGGGAAGGGGAAGGTACATAGCACTTGGTAGCTCCAGTTCCTTTGAGCTAGATGCTCCCCTGGCTGATGCTGCTTCGAAAGCCATGTTGATGTCGCTCAAGTCTGTATGTGATTTCTTTCCTCATTTTCTTCCTTTGCCAAAAAAACAACTATGGCTCTTATTCCAAGTATAGTCAATGAGCAGTTACCAAGAGGGTCCTAGAAAGCATGTTTCTGAAGAATGTCATCTCGGCAACGTTGTTCCATCTGCACCAGTCAGGGAGGAATGGAGGCAGAATGCCTCCAACACACACTTTAGATCTGGAGATATTCTAAGGTGTAAGGGAAGGATGGTCTCTTCTGGAGAACTTTGGTTTAATCCCTGAATACCTTCCCCCAGGAGTACAACATGGATATTTCCTCAGACTGCCAGAGCATTTTAGAGTGTTATTTGACCAGTATATAAGAGATATTTGCTGTAATAAAAGTTACACTGGGCTTGGAATCTGAAGACTTTGGTCTGCGATCTGGCCATTTTTACTTCCTAGCTACGGGTAAGTTGCCTTCTTCACAGCCTGGTAATGAAGAGCAAATGAGAAAAATGATGACAACACTTTGTAAACTGTAAAGTGGTGCAAATATTACTTGTTATTGTTACCTAGCAATACTCGGGGATTTTCCTTGTTTGGTTCCAGTTTAAGTAACCAGGGCCTGTGTTAGGCTTGGAAGCTTCAATTACAACTGAAGGGTGAAATTAGGTGATAAAGGCTTTAATATAGGTTTTGTGTTGAGGACCTAAGACAACACTAAGAGTGAACCCTGTATGAGTCCACAATCCTGAACAGTTGCTTTGGGTGGTAGCTAGCCGTTCCTTCTCACCAGGGATTGGTCATGTATTTAATGGCAGACTCTCCCTTCCCCTACCTTCCCTGCTTCCCCACGTTTTCCCCTGGGTGTCCTAAAGGCTTGGCACCCTTAACAGTGCCTTCTCCTCCCATGGGCTCAGCCACAGGTATTTCTTAGGAGTCTCACCTCCTCGGGTGACTTTTCCAGCCTGTCTTCCTGGCTCATCCCACTGCCTTGTCTGGGCTCAACGGCTGATGCTTTGCTCCATTTCAGTTCCCACTTTCCTTCTCCTCCCTTGACTTGATACTTCCTACTCCCCCTTGCTTCCCAGGGTCCCTTCCCCTCCCATGTTGATCACTTGAGAGGAGAGGTAGGTGACTGGGTTTCACAGCCCCACCTTGGGGCAGGTTGGAGGTCCTTCTGTTGGAGGATGTATTTGGAAGTGTTCTGACCAAGGGGTCTTCTCACGCTCCTCAGCATTTCCTAAAGTGCACTTTCTGATGGCGTGGGCACTCCACTTTCACTGTGGCTGCTGTTCTACTGTTGAGACACTTCCCTATTTCACCGGACAGTCTCTTTGAAGCTTCCACAGTTGCCCATTACATTTTGCTAGGAACAGGGAGTCACTTCTCTCTGGCTGGGAGGAGACCTCTGAGTCTAGTCAGGCTCCAGGGTCCCTGGATGACTGGCTTTTGCCTCAGTGGCCTTACTCTTCCTATGGCACACTCACTGTCCGCCTCTACTAACCTACACCACCTTCTTAGACTGCTGTTTGCATCTTCCCAAGACAGAGTTTTCCCTGTGACCACTTGTGCCTACGGATGAGTCTTAAGCCTCCAAGTCTTCCCAAGAAACTGACCTTAACTCAAGGATCACTTTGTTACACACCAGGCTACTTCAATCCTCTGGCCTTGTTTCCATTCTTGATCCCTTTGATCTCTGCTGAGCCTTGAGGCTTATGATCCTGTTTCAGGGCTTCAGTGATTCCCCTTGCTCCCAGCTCTGGGGACTGGTCTGCTTATCCTGTCTCCAGTCCCCATGGTTGGAGCTGCGAAGCAAGAGCTTCTGGGCAAGATGCCACTAGAAAGCCTGTCTCCCTAAGAACAACAGACCGCTTTTCTCTCTAGTTGTTCTGAAACTTACCCCTTCTCTCTCGCAGCTGTGTGAAAAGAAGCCAAATGCCCATTCTTAATGTGTGACAACTGAGGCTCACATGCAAACTGCTGTTATCTCAGCAGGAGAGCAATTTGCAATCATTTAAAATCCTTTCACTCTTCCCTTCTCCTCAGTGTATGGTTATACACACACCAGTCCATATTTATTAGTGCAGATGGTGAGAAACTCGTCATTGAAAGGGCTTAGAGCACAGAGGAAAATGGATTTTTGGCCTCACTCTGGCCTTATAAACAAGAAAGCTTAAATGATTTTAGGTTCCTGATTCTTGCCTCAAAAGAGCACAGTTTGCTTCTCTCCAAACACAAGAGGTTGTAAATTGGTAATTCATCTCAACCAAAGGCCACATGATGAGCAATTGTAGAAGTATTTTTTTTCTTGTTGTGCAAAGGAGGAACCAGACATCTGAGTATAGGTTCCAGCTGGAATTTGCCTTTCACCATTTGTAGCCTAAAGGCACTGTCTTGGCCAGCCCTGGGCTTCGTGCAGCTTCTGCCTCTTCACCTGCATCACTAACAGGGCGATCGCTATCACAAGGGTAGAAATCAGCTCAGCATTTCCATGTGACTTCTTTTTTTTTTCCCAGCTAAAAAATAAATCTGTTCTAATAAAAACATTTATACTATATTCTTTATTGTCAGCTAATCCTGCCCAAACTCATTAAATGGCAGTGTGTGGGTTATTTGCTGTCAGTGAAATTATCAAAGGCATTTTTCAGCTGGGGCACCAGGAAAACATATGCTTCAATGCCAACTAAAACAATAATGAGGAAATGTTATGATCAGTCTTGACCAGATGACCCTGCCCATTTTAGATTAGTTCTTAATTTCAGCACAAGGGTCATCCTGTGAATTCTTACAATAAGTCACTGCTCACCACTCACATGAAAAAGATGTGACTTATTAGAAAACTCACTGTACTCATTGCAGTTAATGAGATGTGGAAAGCTTTGTAATTTGATTTGCTGGGCCATATGCTGTAAAGGGATACTGCTGATTTCATTCCTCCGTATTTAATTTAAGCTGTATGCAATACCTTCTTCATATGGCTACTTATATAATAAAAATTAACTTGGGGTATAAAAAATACACCATTGTGGGGTTTATGACTTGGTGTGGTTCAGTTTCAAGTGTTTTGCATGGAAACATCTGTAAGTAATGTGTGCGGGTCTAATTTTAAATCCCGCCAAATATTTTCCATTTAACATTTGGTTTAACTGACAGGCTTGCAGAGGTGGTTTTCAGAATTGTCGGTAACAGATATGTACAGTATTCCCAAGGCCGTAGCCTTTTTTTTTTTTAAAGGAAGATAGTAATTCAAACTTGTTTTTTTTTAAATTTTTTTAATGTTTACATTTCAGTAGATACAAATAGCAGTTCAGAATATGGCTACTCCTGTCCCTTGAAGACCCAGCTGCAGTTAAATCTATTACCCCCTAAAAAGAGTTACCTTGGTTTTGACTTTTGCTTCAACATCTGCGAGCTAGGACACCTGAGGCTGACTGGGAAGGTTGACCGTGGGAACGGGACCCTTCAGGACAGGGTCCTGCCTCCACAGTGGAGAGAGACAGGGAGGGAGAGAAGAGGGTAGGACTGAGAAGGGGGGCAATGTCCAGGGAGGTCTGAGCCTCCAGAGAGGCTCCGAGAATCCACATTCGGACTATTTTCCTACCGTTTAAAAATAAGTCTCACCTAACTCTTAGGAGAGGCCCAGGCCCCCTGAACTATCCCGATCTGCTCAGAAGCTGAGCTGTAAAACCATAAAACAGAACCTCTCCTTTCTCTACTGGGTAGGATTGCCAGATAAAATAGAAGGCCCCGAGTTAAATGTGAATTTCAGATAGACCACAAATATGTTTTAGTACAAACATATCCCTTGCAATATTTGGGACATACTTATACTAAAAATGTATTTGTGGTTTATCTGAATTCAATCTTAACTGGGCATCTTGTATTTTTACTTGCTAAATCCGGCGACTCTACCGCCGGGGTCGGACGTTGTTTGCTGACTGCATTCTATTCGTGGCCGCGGAGGCCTTATTTCAGGTTGTTTGATTCCGGTGGCTGACAATATGAAACAGCTTGAACAGGCAGGCCGGTGGGCAGAAGCCATAAATAGCCACCTCGGGGGGGCCCCCCTGGTCGCTGGGAGCGCCACGCTGCTCTGTTAATAAACATGCGCTCGCTGGAGTCCTCATCCTGGGGCTCGCGGAAGCGCTGACTCAGCACCGGGGCAGGGAGGATGCGGGGACCCCCAGAAACATAATTAAACTGTTTCCATGACTGACTTGAAAATAAAATTGTGTGTGGGAAGAGAAACTTGAGGGGGAAGTTAAACAACAAATGGAGAGGTGTGGAGTGAAACCTCAGGGAAACTGTTGGTTTTGCTTCAAGGGAATTGAATTGTGAAACTTGCAGTTGTGAAATTTCACTCGGTTGATTCTTGTGAGAACCGAAGTTTGTTTTAATTGTCAATTAAAGCGAATGGTGCTTGGGTCCCTGGGATCCAGGGAACCTCAGGGCGGTGCTCGCCTCTGCCCGGCAGCGAGAGAGGGACCCGGTGCGGGCCCGATGACAGGGTCGACCGCTGGGGGTCAGGATAAGCTTGCAGAGTGGCCCCGCCGCCGTCCTGAACTTTCTCGGGAGGGGAAGGCGGCTGTGTACAGAACAGCACGCCCTGGGAAGCAAAGGCCTGTCGGAGAAGTTGATGAAAGATGCACCTTAGGTGTCCCCGAGCAGGGCCGCCGGCCTCCCCAGAGGTTTCCTTGGCAGCCCTTATTTGTAAGGCAAATCCAGGCCCGCGCACACGTTGCTCGAATGTCAGGTACTAAATTGCCTTTATGAGAGTCGAGCAGGCTTGCCGATGACAACACTCTGATAACAAAAGAAGTGTGGCCTCGTTGAAGATTTTATGTAAAAGGAAATGATTCATTTGAATTCAGAAGGAGCCTTAAAACAGGGCAGAGACAGCCAAACCCTAGATTTTCTGCCTTATGACTTGTTTCTTAAACTTGTTAAAGAAAAAAGGGGAGAAAACTTAAACAAGAAAAGCTACCCCAAATCGCCAGCCAAGGTTTAGATTTTCGTGGGTTGCTATTTTCTTCAGATCAAGGTTGCCTTCTTGTTAACCCGAGACTGCAGCCGCAGAAAATTAGATTCCCCCCACTCAGGGATTAACCACATAGAACAGTTAGGGAATGTGGAGGTCTGGAGAGACTTGAGATCAACGAGTTCGAAACGTTTGAAAGAAAAAAATCTTCAGTGGTTTGAGAGCTTCACTAAGATACTTTAAAAAAAAATCAAAATTGCTCTTATTTAAGAGCTTTGGAGATCCAAATATAAGTCCCTTTTCTTTTGCCAAGAAGGCCCTTATTCATTTTGTGTGTCTTTAATGCTCAAAAGAGATGCTGGGATTCCTAGTCAATTCCTAAACAGGAGTCTGACAACCAACTATATGATTTTTTTTGCAAAGACCTTTTTTTTTCCTTAAAGCTTCAAATTTCTGTTCCTTTTGATGATGATATGTTGAAGAAGGAATCAGTGCCTTTCTCAGTAAGTGAATGACAGAAAGCCCTTACATCTTTTGAGTGGGCCAGCGTTTGGGTGGCAGGGCTGCTTGGATGGGGAGCGATGTGACAGGGCTCTTGGACAAACTGCTCCTTGGCTTAGGGATGGTTTATTTTGAACATTCATTCATTCACTTATTCAACCAGTGTTTATTAAACATTCACGGCCTCTGTGCAGGGCTAGGTGTGAGGGCTACAGTGTCTAATAACACAGAGTCGTGGTCTTACCCTCCAGGAGTCTGCAGTCTGCTGGGGAAGCCAACAACATGAGAAGGTTATTCTGCTCTACTGGAAAAGGCACTGATCTTGTCCTCTCTTTTTCTTCCAGAAGCAAGAAAAAAACCCAGATTGGTCAACACAGTTTTATAAACAAGTGGTACTTTAGCAACAGCAACCAAAGTCCTATTTAATTAGCCAGTGGAAGGTATCCATCTGTGATGGCCAACTGTTTCCTTTTTCCAAGGGGCTCATCTTCTCCTTTGGTGACCCAAAATGCCTTTTACTTTGAGCCACACCCTCTGCCTGAAATCCTGCAGGATAAAATGGGGATGGAGGTAGAAAGCAAGTGGATCACTTGGTACTGTCTGACTTGATAACCAGCTGTTGAATGGCCTGCCATGGCTTCACTACAAGAATGGGGAAACTGTTCTTTTACGTCTGGAAGAAGGAGAAGCCAGAAGTTTATTTAATCTTTTCTAGGCAACTTATTTTATTGCATTTTTAATTTCCTCTCTTGCATTAACATGACCCTTTTCACTGGCTTCCCACGCCTGGTACTTAATTACTTATCATTAGCAATGTACACGGGGGCCTTGCTGCATATTTATAAATGTGATCATTAGTACATGGAAAGACAAAGGCTTCTTTAAGACTGTCATTAGTTATTCTGTTTTCATGGAAATGTTCATTAGGAGAAACTACCCACCTGGTTAAATAATTATAATTAAGAATTGGTAATCTCCTTTGCATTTTTAACTTGATCTTCCGTCTGTTTGTGTGAAGCTAAACAAGCCTTATTTGGCAAGTATTCTATCTTTCATTTTCACAAGAATTGTCAACAAATACGTACTCTTTGTTTTTAACCTATAGGTGCTGACTGATTTGCAGCATGATAAATATAATTTTTGTAATTCAGCAGTTAATCTCCAAACACGTTAACCAGCTGTGGAATGGTGAGTCAGTGAATGGAGTTAAAGGATCTCTGGTTGATTTTATTTTCTGGACTTCAGTCAGTGGTGCAAATTGGACTCCAGTCTCCCAGTCAAACTTTGCAAAGGGTCCCCTTTAACTCTTCAACCACAGAGACACCACGCTGGGTGGCCACTGGCCACTGCTCCTTTGGGTGTGCCAGGCAAGACAGGTGGCAGTTGGATGGCCCGAGTCTTTGTGTGTCAGCATCTGAGTCTTTATGTGTTTGTGACTAGGGGTAACCACAGCAGTGTCATAGCTGTGGCCCTGCCAATGGCTAGTCAAATAGAGTCCACAAGCACTGTTTGAATTGCTAGCAAATGGTCATGCGGCTCGTACGTGGTTACGTGTCAGCTGAGCTGAAACAAACGAGGTGACAGAAACACAATAAGGGAAGCTCGGTTATGCTGCCGCCCACTCCCCTCTGCCCAGACTGGTTCAAGCCGCCACCCTGGACTGATGAGAATATGCCAGGGATAAACCACAACTGTGGGAAATGCTGGGTGGGGGCATAAATATCATCTGTAAACAATTAGGCAGCCACTGCTCATTCAGTGCCGTTTTGAGAAGCTAAGGAAGTCCGCAATCAGTTATATCTCCAATTACCATAAAAATATATTAGCCATTCATTCATTTATTAATGATTCATCAGTTAACCACACATAATGAGCAAATAATTAGCAGTGCTGTACGGTTGCCAAAATTGAAGAAGTGTTGGCATTTTAAAGATGAAAGGTTGAATTTATGCAGAAGTCTGGTGATGATAAAGTTAATATGGAAGATAATTATAAAAGTGGCTGTCCTCTATTACAGGCTGAGGTACCACAAAACTTGCCTAATTGAACTGAAATTAATATTCTTCCAAAGTCTGTGTGTTGCCACACACAAACTGCTGAATTTCTCTTGAAGATCTCCCTTCAGTAAGGTGCACCGCACAATACAAGTTAATAAAATGCCAGACAGCTAGACTGTGTTCTTTGTTTGCTTGGTTCAGGGCCTCGTGGAAAACAATAAATTGCATTCATGTCAGCTGAGGCCCATCCCTTTGCTAATTACCGTTTGGTGCTGAAATGACTTCTGTGAAATTGGGAGCATGAGGAAACATACAGCCATACAAGGGAGGCTTTTCAGAGTTTTGCAGTAAATGTGAGATAGGCCTCAGGCACACAGATGTTAAAACAGCGAATTCCCCCACAGATTACACTAATGGAAACCCTGTCAGGGTAAGTCAAATCCGGGTCTGTGGTCAAAATCTAATTAAGGTTTCTGTACTTAAAAAGAATATGAATGCCTGGGGGTGGCGATGAATGTATAAGAAACTCACTTGTTTGTAAAATTGTTAGCATGAATAGTAAGTACCGTGGGGCTGTTACCTGCAATGTAACACCTGTTTTCTGAGGCTTTGCTGAATGTCTCAGGATGGGTTATTTCAGAGGTCAGCAAACTAGGCTCAGGCCATGGCAGCCTCCCATCTTTGGGGCCTGGGGCACGGCATGGTTTGAGGTCACAGATGCAAATGGATCCCTTAGAAGTTGCCCTGGAATCCCAAAGGATGCTTTACTTTGCCACATGAAAACCACCCCAGATGATCCTGCCCAACTGCCTGGCGCCACTGAGGAAATCGTTCTTGCCGAGGGTGTTGGACTGGCCAAATCTCCCCTACTGGGGAAACAAAGGGTTGTCTGCTCCCGGCTCGCCCTCCAGCCTGTCGGGACTGCCTCCTGGAACAGCTGCAGCGTGCAGGCGCAGCCCTGCTTCTAATAGAGGAAATGAATTTATAATGCTGCAGTCTCTTCATTTTCACCCAGCACAAATTTCCCCTTAAATACTTAAAAACAACACCCAGAGCTGGATATACCTTAAATTTCCAATAAATGAAACCTTAATCCAGTCTGTTGCTGAGTCTGAGCTGTTATTAAAGAAATAAATTTGAAACAGCAAGTGGTTTGAGAATTTTTGAATTTAATTATTTAAATCTACTTAGGGCAACTGTCACGCGCTATTTCAGTTTCCCATGGAGAACATGAATTCTGGGAAAGGTATCCCACGCAGGGCCCTGGAAATATTAACTTTCATGTACAACTGTGGGCTCAGCCATAGACAGACTGTGCCACCCTCCTCCCCGGAAGAGCAGAAGAAAGAAACTCAGATTTCTTTTTCTGTATGATCCAGCCAAGGGATACAGGATATATTTTTCAAAGAACGAGGGAAGCCAAGTCCTCTTCTTTCAAGTTCTGTGGGCCTCTTCAGATGCACTGTTTACATGGAGTTCGTTTGAAGCTCTTTGGAGAGCGACAGTTCATACAGTCATTCACTGAGCAACGTTAGGGAGCAAAAGGTAAAGAGAAAGTGTAACCTGTATGATTTAAGTGGCCGACAGCTAATTTAGGGTGTGCTCTGGCCTCGTGAGTGTCTGGAGCCTGATTTTTGACATTTGTGAAAATGGACCATCTGCTGTGACTGTCCCAAGGGTGATAGCACCAGGCTTGGGCTGGAGCACCTGAGACTTTTGGTGCCACTTCAGTCTTCAGGCTTGGAGAGAGTCTGCTTTCATGATTAGAGACAGATGACACCCTGGCCTTAGTTCTGAGAGCGCAGGATACCTTCCAGATATTAGCAATTGAGATTTTTAATGGCATCCACATTGGGATGTGGGCGGGGTAGAAGGTGAACAATTTAGGCACACACTCGTAAGTGTCTCCTTCTCCAGTTCACCGGGACTTTGCTATGGCACAAGATGGCTTTGTTTTGGACCCTGTACAAGTTGGTTAAATTACCAGATACCTGTGAAGCATCTCACTAGAGCATGATCTCACCAACACAGTGAGACCCCAAGACCTGAGTCAGAGAGATGCTCAATATCCAATTTGTTTCTCTTTTGTGCTAGCCATTTGATAGTAGTTGGGACCTCAGAGCCGCCAAGTGGAACTTTCCCACACCCAACCCAGACTACCAAGAGGATATTGACTTGGAGTGATTTCTAGATCCAGAGTTCTATTTTTCCTTCCAACATAAAAATCTTCATAGAAGCCAAAAATCTTTAAGAAAAGAGCAGCTCTTAGTGTGGGGCCCGTCTCAGCCTCTACCTTGTACCCAGTAAATGCAAAGGGCTGTGGAAATTGCACACAATTCACAGTGTTCAGAGGATGAGTGAATGTTTTACCATCTCAAAGAGGAGATTATGGGGTTCCACAGGAAATAAGGTCCAGTGGCTAGCAATGCCTCAGAAGTCAAGAGTTTTGGGGTTTATGTTTTTTAATAATGGTAGCAAAGACTTATAGGTAATGCTGGGTATTTAATTTAAAAAATCTATAAATATTTATGGAATAAAACTTCTTTCCAGGTGCAGTTTTGGGCTCTAAGACTTCAGAGAGAAAAAGTCATGGTTCCTGCTCTTGGGAGGCTCTCATTGTGTCTGGGGGAGCAGGCAGGCACCCAACAGCCTGAATCAAACTCCATGTAGCCAAATTTCTACATCATTACAATGCTTAGCATGTAGGAACCCAATAAATGTTTGTTGAATGAATGGATCTGTTAAAAAGGGAGTGTCACGCTTTCTCTCTTTCTAAGGAGTTATTGTGTGAATTAGAGGGTTAACATTTATAACACCTTTTATGCCCCTACATGCTATATAAGTACAAGTTATTAAATATCATAATAAACTAGGGTCCTAGGCAGTCAATTACATTTTCTTCTGAAGTTAGTGACATTTAGATTCTTTTGTTGGGCAGATGGTGTAATATTGCACCTGTTGGAAGAGTAGGCATTTTGGGAAGGGACCTTAATTCAGAACTATTTATAATATAGCAAAGCTCTGGCTTCTTAATAAATGTATTTGTATTGTTTCTCAAGGAGGTAACATAGCTGAACAGTCCGACTCTTTGAATTGGAACTTCTGAAATTGGAAGACCATTATTTCTTAAAACTCTATTTACTCTACATTTTCTCTTCACTTTCTTCACTTCTGATTTTCTTTTGCACTCTCTGGATTGGCTTTTAATACCCAATTTGTTTCCAGCCTTCTCTCTCCTCCACATGTCTCTCTGCTCCTCATTCCTCTCTCTTCGCTGTCTCCCTCCATCTTCCTTCCTTTCCCTCTCCTGCCAAGACATTCCATTTCTCTGGAATGCCCCTCAAGCCACTTTCGAGTCCAACTAAACTATGGTCTGTTGGGAAGTCCAGAGCTGCTGTTTCTGCTTGGATGTCTAAGCTTTCCATAATCCACCCACCTCCTAGTCTACTTCTGGGCAAGAAACACTGCAGCGGCCAGGCCGACTTCATCATTGCTCTGCAAATACCATGTTTGTTGGGCCTTTGCTCTTGTTAATATCTCATCTGGAAGCTGTCTTCTTCTGTTACACCTTTCTAAAGTCCATGTATCAATTGACTGTCTGCTCTTTGAAATTGCTCTTATTTACTTCCTTGATCTTTACCTCTTCTAAGCTCCCAGTGCCCACAGTTTAGCAACCCCTTTTGTTGCATCTCATAATTTAGTAGCTTCTCATATAGGCCCCAGGCTTCTTCTATCTAGAAGCTACAGTGTTCCTTATTATGTGCCAGGCTCTGATTAAGGTGCATTGCATTATTATTTCATTTAATCTCCATGACAACCCTATGAGGTAGACATTTTTGTCATTTCCATTTTACAGATCAGGAAACTAAGGCCCAGAGAATATGACTGACTTGCCCAAGGTCATAAAGTTAGTAAGAGCTAGAGCTAGGTTCTATGGAAGTCACTATTTGCTACCACCCAGATCCCCCTTCAGGATTGAAGCCTTACTCCTCCAGCTGCTGAGAGTACCATTGGCTGACAGCCCTCAGCTGTCTCCCTCTCTGCTCATTGCCCTCTATGTAAGTGAGCCTCTTCACTCAAGGTAACAACCCCTTTCCTGGGTTAGCCTGTGTCCAAAATCTTATATTGCAGGGCTATAAAGGTCTCTCCACTTCACCACAACTTCAGAAAACTCCTAAGTGCAAATCAGCTTCTGAGCTCTCTGTGAGGTTAACTGATGCCTTCTTTGTGACTGTATCACAGCCCAACTTCTCCCTTGACCCAGTCCTGTTTCTTTCCCTGTGCTTTCACTTCTATGAATGGTGATTTCCAAGGGCAGGCACTGATAAACTTTCTATGCAAATCCCTGATTCAAAGTCTGCTTCTCAAGGAACCCAGCCTAAACAGTTGGTACAAGGAGTGGTCCGAGAAAGGCAATGCTAAGATGGGATTCTGGAGCTAGATCACCTGCTGGCTACTGATAGTGAGGACCTCATCTCTGGGAGCGGGAGTGGGTGGAGCAGAGTAGATCCTGGCACAGGGTTGCAGTGATGATGTGGAATGGTATGCTGGTGAAAGGGGATGCACTAGTAGGTGAATGTACCAGGCACTGGAGAAATACGGGGAAATAGTAATGATAAGAGCAATGACAACGGTTGGATATTACTGGAGGCAATTAATGCATTGGATAAGAAGGCAATTCATAAGCAATTAGTATGTAAACCACAGGGCGTCACTACTGGATATCAAGTAAGTCTCATATCCTGTAGTTAGAAGCCAGAAAAAGTTGATATCAGGGCTAGGACTTAAACATAAGATTGAGAGAATTCCTGGGAAGGTTGAATTCTCAACCTAGGCATGTGCGCTGTGCCAGGCAAGGTTCTGATTGGGAAAGAACAAGCCCTTGAGATATTAGATGGTGACATCTGACTTGATGCACTTAAATATCTTGAGTCTCCAGATTCCCTTAAACTCTCTGGGCCTGCAGAAGTGGCCTACTCCTGTCTGCTAAAGGCTAGCATTACTCCTCTCTTGCTTGAAGAATATGCAGGGGCCTCTGCCTTAGAAGACAAATGTGTCCTTCCCACTTTAAGATCTGCCCCCACGGTCCCTTTCTTGGCAGCCAGACTAATAAATAGGGTTAAATCACAGCATTGCCTGGCTGGGGAAGTGCTGGGCCCACTAGCAAAGGAAAGGTACTGCAGGAACTGCAGGATGTAGCTAACAGGCACTGGCAGAATATCAAACATTATTTAAGGACTGGGTTCTGAGAGTACTGGATCAAGGTAGATGGAATGTAAAGTTATATAAGGGAAAATTTATCAATATGGGATCACTCTCTTGGGCTACAGGATTTAGCATCTGGCAAAGATCCTGGGATCCTGCTAATGTACTGCTAGGATGGCTCTCAGAAGCTTGGAGAAAGTAAGAGCTCACATAAAAGGAAGTAGAAATGAATTACTGTGACAGTTGGTGGGAGAAAGGACAAAAAAGCTCAGAGAAATGGGCATGGCAGGATGGGCCAGAAAACCCACCAAATGACTATGTTCAGTGAGAGGGTTCAAAGCAGAGGTTACACACATTTTGAAAAGCAACTCTTGGCATGCTTTGTGACTGTACCTGTTAGTCATCCAATGGTGATGAAGCCAGAACTGCCCATCATGAACTTCTTACTGTCAGACCAAATACATTATAAGGTTGGTGGGTGACCAGAAGTAATTCTTATAAGATGAAAAGGGTACATTTGGGACTGGACACGAGCAGGGCCAGAGGTCAGCAGTAAGTTGCAGGATCCAGTGGCTCAGACTGCCAAGTTTTCATCCACCACCATCATGTTACCTCTGCCTCAGTGCACACCTGTGGCCACATGGGGGTCCCTTATGGCCAGCTGATGGAACATGTGAAAGGTTGAGCTTGGTTCATGAGAAGGTTGGCTTGGTATGTGGGTACAAGCTGAAAATGAACTGCTGCTGCACTTTAGCCCTACTCAGGGTGACCTTGAAGTCACTAATTAGTAGAAATCATCCCAATGGGCATAGCTTTAAGTGGTGTACCTGCTCATCCACTTTGTGTGGAAAGAGAATATGTCTAAGCTCATGGGCAGTGGAAAATGGCTTAGTCAAATGGTCAGAGGACTGGAAGGAAAAAGACAAGGGGATTTGGGGAACGGGTACACATACAGGAGTGGGCATGAAGTGTGAAGAGTTTTGTATCACATGTTAACTAACACCCACCAGAAAGTATTCAACACAAAGATAGAATGACCAGGCCAGTTGACGTAAGCCAGCCTCTGCCATGGGTCACAGCAGTGCTGGCACAATGGGTGCATAAGCGGAGTAGCCAGAGTGGTAGGGTTGGAGGTGATATATGGGTCCACGGCATGGCTCATACTCACCAAATTAATATAGCTCTTGCTGCTGCTCAATCTCTGATTGTCAGCAGCAGAGAACAATTACCAACATGATACTATCTTTTGAGGTCAAAAAGAAGCCACTTGGTGGCAAATTAGCTACACGGCTAGAAGGAGCACCGATTCATTTTAACTTGAAAAAATGATATTTCACAATGGGATTGCCTTTCCCTGCTGCAGAGCCTCAGCCTGCGCCACCATCTAAGAGCTTAGAGTATTTGATATGTCAATAGGGATCCCACATCACATTGTATCATACCACAGGACTCACTTTATGGCAAAGGGGGTGCACCGGAAGAAATACAGCCAATGGTCCTATCTCATATAGCACCACATAGAAGAATCTGGTCTGCTGGAGTGAATGGCCTGTTGAAGGCACAGTGGAGGGACCAGCTTGAAGATGGTATCTGCGAGGATCAGGCACTATTCTCCAGGATGCAGTGTACACTTTAAATCAATGACCATTACCTGGAGCTGTTCGCCAATAGGCGGAACACATGAGTTCAGGAACCAAGGAGTGAAAGTCACTGTGGCTCTGCTTACCATCACTCCTGGTAACACACTTGGGGAATTTATACTTTCCTTTCCTACAATTCTAGGTTTTGCAGGCTTAGAGGTCTTGGCTTCCAAAGGGAGAAAGCTTCCACCAGGGGACACAGAAGGGTCCCATTGAACTCTAAGCTATGGTTACTGGTGGGGCACTTCAGATTCCATGTGCTGAGGAACCACCCTCTTAGCAGCACTATTTGATCCTGATCAAGAAGAGGAGGGCTACTCTTACACAATGGAAGCAGGAAGACCTATTTTTACCACCCAGGTGAGCCATTTGGATGTTCTCTTTGGATGGTCCCTTGCCCAGTTTTGAAGGTAAATGGACAAATGCTGCAACCATGGCCTGAGAAGAGGCTGAGAGGCTCAGATCCCTCAAGGATGAGGGTCTGGGTCACTCCACCAGTTAAGGCACACAGACAAAAGAGATGCCAGCTGAGGGTGAAGAGAATCTAAAATTTTTATTAGAAGAGAGAGACAATGATATCTATTGCAATATTGAGACCAGCAGATGTAGTCTGCCCCAGCCACAGTAGTAGGGGCTGTGTCTGCACAGCTGGAGCTGGTGGGGATACATATTGCTACTCTTAGTGACTCAAGTTCCTTACCTTCCAGTCTACACAATGATTTGGTTCAAAAATAGGCCTCCCATTTCTGATATACCACATTAGATGTGTTGGATGGTAGTTACCATTTTTCCACAGCCTTTTCATATTGTTTGAAGACGATTTTTCATCCAGTGAACATTTATTAAGCATCTACTGTGTGACAGGCTTTGTGCTTGGTACAGGGAATATGAAAATGACAGAGAGAAATAAGAAATAGCCCTTGCCCTTAAGGGCCTTGCGGTCAAGTGGAGCAAAAGATAATTAACTACTGTAAACATTATGGTGAATGCAGTGGTAGAGCTGAGCATAGAGGAGTGATGCCTTATGTAGTTGGAGAAGGATGGTAAAGGCAAGTTTCTAGGAGGAGTTGATACCTGAGCTTAGCCTTGCGGAATAAAAAAAGAGCTCAAGATATGGCAGGAGAATATTCTAGGCAGAGCAAAGGTACACGATGAAAAATGGCATGGATGAGTGTTTCTGTAGCATAGAGGACAAGGTCAGAGATACTGAAGGGTCAGATAATGAAGGCTCTTATAGCCCATGCTAATGAGCATAAACTTCACTGTGTGGATGATGTGGAGCCATTGACAGATGTTCAGTGGGGAGTGTGGTTCTCGAGTGTCCTTCAGTCTATTTTCTTCAGCTTCCTGCTTGCAGTCACCTCTGCTTGAGTGTCTTTTAGTCATTGTCTGTGGCATCTTACAAAAGCCCTACCTGAAGCATGTGGGGATGACGTGTTTACACTAACAGCAAATCTCAGTTCTGGCAGATAGCAAGCAAATCTGGCTGCTGAAAAGACATCCTTAAGGTCACTACCTATTGGTAGGGTCTTCAGCATCAGAGTTGCTGATGCCTTTTCAGCTTTTCTATATTGCTGAAAATTGCCCCTTTTCCCGCAAGTTATTTAAAATGGCAGTGCTCAAAGGCACAGCAGGGGAAGTTGGTGATTGATTATGGGCCCAGAGCTCCCAAAGAACACTGGTTTTTTGACATCGTCATCCAGAAGTTCCTGCACTTTGATAGTGCTCTGAAAGGCCTCATGTTGGCGTGAGCTACTTTGCTAAGTCATTAACATTCACTGATGATAGTTCTGAAGACAGAGACTCCATACAAGATCGTCACATCATCCTAGCCACAAAACCTGAGATGTCAGCATCCCAAGGGAGCTTAAAGCAGGCAATGAACTCTGATGATCAGACAATATGTTATCTAGTGATGACCTGAGGGGCATGGAAGGAAAAACAGTCAGGAAAGACCATTATGTATTAGGAGACAAGGAGACTTGGTAGCTATTTCCGCAATAAGCTCCTGACCAAGTTAAAGGTCAACATTGAATCGCAGGGTGAATCCAGTATTCCCTGTAGATGAACTTAAATATGAGGTAGAAACCTTTGGTTTCTTGGTTGTTTTCTTTGCTAATAACCATACAGAACACATATTGGTTGGTTAGAATAATCGACAATGAATTTGAGAACTACAGCCAGTCTACTGGGATAGAAACCATGTTTGTTTGCAGAAATGTGATATTTTTGAAAAATTATAATGTCAGCAGGATGTCCTACTTGGGCAACTGTTCTAAATTAGAGATCCATAAAAATCTCTAAAAACGGAACCATTTGTATCCTGGGTTAGTACTTGGTCTTCCCTCATTTCCCATCTAGTCCACATAGACATAAATGCCAGATGTTGTTCCAGCATAGCCCAAGGTGTCAACCTACATACTGCACACAGAGACTCAGAGTGAGGCTTTGCTACTGAAAATCAAGTTTGAAACCAGACATCATAATTGATGATACAGAGTGCCCTTTAGAAATTTGATAAAAGCTTAATGTAGCAAAGACTGTATAAGACAACAACGAAAGGTGAATGCTACAACCAAAATTGTGGGGCCAGCCTTTTGTGAGTAGTTTTTGTGAGCAAAACACCTGGTATAGATTGAATGTGGGAAAAGCTTTTAAAAGTTTTTTTTAAACCTATTAAAGCAACTGTTAAATTTAATTTAAATGTTTTAGATCTGCATAAAATGGTCATATTTCCAAATGGATGGAAGAACTGAGGATTGATAGTTCTCTAGGAGTTTCTAGTTTTCTAACCATGTCTCTTTCCCCTCCTTCAATCAATTGCTCCTCTCCTTCCTTCTCCTGTCGCTAAAGCTCCTTTCAGTCGCTAGTAAGTTGAATTCTTTAAGCCCAGTATAGTTTTCATCCTGTTTCCATTAGAAGCCCAGAGGTTCCCACAGTGTTTCACTTGGTTGCTCTGCCTAGAAGAGACTGAAGTATAGACATCAACTGCCATTGATTCTTGTTGAGCTGGGCTGAAAGATTGACTGAAAGGGAAGTGAGTGATGCTTGGTTCCCAAAAGACAATAGAGAGAGTAAAAGAAGCAAGCTTTCTTGGTGGAGAGAAGGACTGTTTCAAGGAAGTGATAACATTGGATCCAAATGGACTTTCTAGCCCTAAATTTGATGTGTCAGTTTCATCCATTTTTGAGTCATTGAAACCGAGATAAAGATGTGAAGTTTCTAGACCCAATTGTTATTAACTTTAGGACCTGGGTTTCCCTACCTGAAGCATGGAGGGATGATACAATGATCTCCAAGTTTCCTTTCAACTTGAAAATTTTATGAAAAAGAATCACATATGGCCCCCCGGCTGGTTATATTGCTACTGTTATGTTTTCTTTAAACCAAGTCTCAAATCCATTCAATATGAGGTAGATTAGTAATGGGAACCAGAAACTCGGGAGAGGCCACCCTCATATACAGGGAATTTACTGTCTTGCGCTTTGTGTTTGTGTTTATTTTTACAGACTCCTTGGTGACGGTCGATTCTAGGGAAGTAACATTGATATAAATCCAAGTGGAGGGAGAAGTTTTCTCCTTCATGTCCCCTTCCCAAACAACCTAGCTTAGTTCATCAGCTTCTGTTGACATTATTTATAAATGCTAATGAACTCATAAGTGCTAATTAATAACTCCATGTGCTGCTATTTACTAGCAAATATAGGAATCCAGGTGCAGTATAGACCTGTCCCCAAATACAGTACATTTCTTCATCTCTGAGCCAAGTAGCATGTCTGGGATGACTCTGTTCCAATACTGCCGAAGTCAGTGCCATACACACTTAAAAAATACACCCAGGAGCTACACTTAAACTCTCACAACAGCATCATCTTCTTATTACCCACTTAGATAAGAAACCAGGGTCAAGTCCAGCTGTATTAGTCAGGGTTCTCCAGAGAAACAGAACCAATAGGATATATATATATAGCTCTATAGAATGAGATTTGTTATGAGGCTGAGAAGTCCCGCAATCTGCTGTCTGCAAGCTGGAGGCACAAGAAAGCTGGTGGTGCAGTTCCATTCCAAACCCAAAAGCCTGAAAACCGGGGGAGCCAATGATGTAAGTCCTGGTTCAAGTCTGAAGGCCTAAACACCAGGAGTTCCAATGTCCAAGCTCAGGAGAATGTGGATGTCACAGCTCATGCAGAACAAGGGAATTCACCATTCTGCCTTTTTGTTCGATCTGATCACCCAACAGATTGAATGATGTGCCCACCTGTGTTGGTAAGGTGGTGAGGGAGTGAGGGAGATTTTTGTTTTGTTTTGTTTTGTTTTTTTCAGACAGGGTCTGGCTCTGTTGCCCAGGCTGGAGTGCAGTAGTGCAGTCTCAGCTCACTGCAGCCCTGAACCCCTGGGCTCAAAGAATCGTCCCACCACAGCTTCCCAAGTAGTTGGGACTACCAACGTCTGCCACTACGCTCAAGCAAATTTATTTTATTTTCTGTAGACATGGGGTCTTTGTATATTGCTCAGGCTCGTCTTAAACTTCTGGCCTCAAGCAATCTTCCCCCCTTGGCCTCCTAAAATGCTGGGATTATAGGCATGAGCCACCACCCTCAACCTGGGAGCACTTCTTTACTCAGCCTACCAATTTAAATGCTATGCTCTTCCAGAAACACACAGATAAGCCCAGAGATAATGTTTTCCCAGCCATCTGGGCATCCCTTAGGCCAATCAAGTTGACACATTTGGTTAACCATCACACCAGCAAATGGCAAGATTAGGTTGGACTCCCGATCTTGAGAATGGAATGCTCCAAGTCAGTGAACTCACCCCAGCCTGATCTGGAGCATATCAAGGCATTGTCTCCTTGCTACAGAGTGGGACAGGAATCCCATAGGGGCAGTATGGAATGCTCTGCAAGGTTGGACTAAAGAAGGTCTGTGGGGCTTTAAGGGGCACTGGATGCCAGTGCCTTTGCTCTCTTATGGGTGTAGCTGCGTCTGTCTCCTCCAATGGCTGGTAATCTCTGGAAAGCCAGGAGCTCAGTCTGTCAGGAGCCAAGCCTCCCTACACATGTGCCATATTGATATTGCTGATGGATGTGTGGACTTGTGGTCTTCTTTGGGAGACCTTGAACTTTCTTCAGCAAACAAGGAGATGAGGCCAGACCTTGGTTCTAGTGATCATATTACCTGGAGTTTATCAAACACGTATGATGTACCACTTACTATGTACCAACTTAGCATCAAATTCCCAAAACAGTGCTATTTTGTAGTTATTATTTATCACTGTTCCATTTGAGCATTTTGTAAGCTGAGACAGAAGGATAATGTAACTTGGCCAAGGTCATACAGCTGGTGAGTAGCAAAGCTGGGGTTTGAACTGCCTGGTCACCCTGAATGAAGCCCCTGTCTAGCCCACCGCCTTGGGTGCAGCTCCCAGTGTGACTGCAGACTCCAGCAATGGAGGCCTGTCCCTGCACAGGTGGCTCTGTGCTGTCGGCAGCCCTGCTCCCTGGGCGTCTTCCTTCCTCTCTCTTTCCAGGACCTGTTTTCTCTCCAGATTGAGGAATTGGATCCAATTCCCTTTCCCAGCTGCAATTTGCCTCTGAGCCCCCAGAACCCCTCCTGAATTGGAATCGCCCTTTCCCCCAGCAGCGCTCTCCAGCCCTCTCCTTTCCTCTCAGGGCCCAGCTCCATCCCTTAAAAGCACTGTCTGGGCTACATTTTAAAAGTCACTGTTAAATAAACTTAGGACCCACCCCCTCAGAGAGAGAGCCGTGGTTACAGGGGAGCAGAGCTGAAGGCAAACACTTGTATCCTTGTATTAGACCCAGGCTGGGGAGCAGCACAAGCTATTTCTTTTGGATGCGCCTCCTAGGAGTGGAGGAACTTTTCTTTGTAAAGAAAGAGAGGATCTTTATAAACCTCGGACTTTTTTCAAGGAGGCTTTATGGGTGGCAAGGATAAAGCTATAGAGGCAGGAAAAAGAGTTGCTAACTATATGCCAGTACAGCATACTTTTTAAGGGTGGGGTGTGGGAGGAGGTGGGGAGCTTCCCCTCAGCCGCTCTTTCCCTGGATGCAATGAACTCATGGTCCTTTGACACCTCTGCCACCGCTCCATGGGACAGCCTGACCCCCTCCATCTCTGCTCCTCACACTGGGTGGTGCTGGAGGGAGAGGGACCTGTGGCTGTGTCTGCCAGTCCCAAACGCCAGCAGCTGCACAGTCCTGCTATAATTGCTAATATCTGTTTCTTCTCCTTTCCAGGCCTTGGAAAGTGTTCCAGGAATGGACTTTCTGCAGTATGATGACCTGCAAAAGCAGCCCTTCCATTTACATTTCAAACTCCAAGTCAGCCGTGTCAAAGTTTGAACCAGAACTGTGGAGGATAATGGGTCAGATGCAATTAGCAGCCCAGAGAACCACACGTTGCAGTCTGATTTATTTTTTTGCCCATCAGATTCCAAGAATCCTAGTGCTTAAAAGCAACTAAACAATCGCTCTATTGTACTGAAATAAAGCCCGGTTAATTCAGAAATCAATTGCACCACCAGGTGGGGCACACTCTGGCCCCAAACAGATGGGGTTGAAAACTCCCCTCAAAATGCAGTCTTGTTAAATTAAAAACTTGATCCAGGAGTGGAACAAATAGGGAGCCATGAATGGAATGGAGTCAGGTCCACTCAGGCGGATTCTTTCTTCTCCCACTCCTTTTCCTTTAAAAAAGAAAAATTCCCCATTTCACTTTCATCAGTGTTAGCATCTATGCAGAAACGCAGCCATCCACCCTTTGCAGTTGAATGTGTTACTTTAATTAGTCTGAAAATTAAAGGGCAACTCCGGGCCAATGTGAATGATTATGAAAATACATGTGCATCCCATGCAATCTTCTCATTTAATTAATAGTCTTGTAAACTATATGGCTCACTTTAAGTCAGTCAAGAGGTATAACAACTCCATTTTAAATATCCACTTAATACTTAACAGGATGTGAGGAACACACTATAGCATACGGTCCCTTCTCAAGTTTCACTGTCTGAAATTTTTCAAAGCTGACCCAAGTCAACCTGAAAAATGTTTAACACCCTGGGCTTGAACACAAGAAACTCTGTGATGAACAGACATTCAATTACATTTTTTAAAAGTGAGAAGCATTTTTGTAAAATAGCGACTCTGGAAACTAATTGGCAGCCGCAAAACTTGTGAGCAAAGGCCAAATCTTGTGGGGAACTTTTACTACAGTAACACGACTCAAAGAAAATGTGAATAAAAGGCATCTTTGTTTCCCAGTCAAATTAGCTGATTAAGAAATAAAACATCTTAACATGTTTTTAAATGTAGAATTAATTATTTATATGAGAAAAATTAATGCCTGGTTATGTGAATTCTACTCTGTGTGTGAATTGAATGGGGCAGAAAGAGTAATCCGTGTGGATCCATGTCTTAGGTCATTAAGCAAAACTAAATATTAAGAGCTCCGGTTATGGAAAAAAAATCACATTCAGGTCACATGTTGTGCTCCCCATTTTGATTTTCAAAGTCCAGATTAGTTATGGTCTACATTGAAAATGTGATTCAGAACAAGGAAACTGCTTTGTATTGGCTGAGTACTGACAGTTGAGTGGAAGAAGAAAACACACAGCTATACAAAGAGCACAGCCAACTCCTGGGAGGGAACACAGGCCTTTTGCTCCAAAGGAACCTGGGAAAGATTCACAGAAAGAATTTGAACAGGCCATTCTTTATTTCCTAATGGTTGAGTTTGGAACTCATGAAAACAAGACAACCTAAGTTATGTGTCAGACTCAGAAAAGAAGTGGGCAGGTGACCTTTGACATCTCAGGCCCCCATGTCTCAACCCAAGCCCTTCGTTCCTGACCTCTTAACATTCCAATATCCTGAAGCCAGGCTCTCCCCAAACCAGGGCTGCAAATTATCTCTGCCATGTGGATAAACATTCACTGGGTCAGTGTTTTTCAAGGTGTGGTCCTGGGACCACCTGCATCAGAATTGCTTGCTGAGCTTTCAAAAATATAGGTTTCTGGGCCCCAGGAATTACTGGGTCAGATAGCAGTGGGGCCCAGGAGTGTGCATTTTCAACAAATCTCCTAGGATTCTGTGAGGATGTGAAAGTTTGAGAATCACTGCCCCCGTGTCTACTTAGAGATCACGAGAGTAACTTTCACTAAGTTTCTTTAATGGGTTTCCTTTATTGAAAGGCATTTACAAAAATGTCTATTAATCCCTCATTAAATAAAAAAAGGTCCTCCAGCCATTTTCTTCATTTCTCATGGTATCTCTTAACAGAGGGAGTATAGAAATGCTTTGTCCTTTAAAATAAGTTCAGTGAGTACTTGAAAAGTCATTTGGCAAGAGATGAGGGATGAGACAAAGGGGGAAGATTAATGACGAACAGAATCAGAGTCCTTGCTAAAATAAAAATGGATTCACACCCAACTTCTTCTGAAGGGTAAGACATATGGCAGCTCGTGTGGGAAGCGAGCGTGTTTAGTAGAGAGAGGTCCTGCTGCAGAGCTGTGTGACGCAGGGTACAGCTTCCTCAGCCAAAAACAGAACATCACATGCTATGGGAAGACGAATCATCCCTCCTATGTGATGAGAGGCTGACTTTCTAAAGAAATTTGAGCAAACGGTTGCCTGAATGGCTTTAACAAGTTTCTCAGAGTCAAGATGATCAGGTTTGGGCATTTAGACCTTAGTTTTGCTCTGATTTTTGGGTTTGGCCTGACAGCACAGCATTTTCTGTGACTGTCTGTGGAAGCTGCTGATGGTCTAAATTTCCGCATTTATAAAATGGAAGAACTGAAAGGAGGAAAGTGCTGGCCACTAGAAATTGTGGGTCAGAGCTTCAGCTACAAACTATGGGTGTACTGTTCTATATTCTCTTTTGAGATTTTTTTTTTTCAGTTTTACCAGGAAAAAGCCAAGACATACCTGCTAAGTTTTTTTTTCTTTGAATAGAAAAGAAGGGCAATCCATTTGCACTTCGTCATCTGTTATGTACCAGCGTTAAAGTAGCAAGTGCCCAATGATAGACCTCAGGATTCTGTTTCTAGGTTTCATTAAAAGCTATAAACGGGTATACAAAGGCCATTTACAAATGTGCCTGTGATTATGCTTATAGTAGCAGTGATGAGAGTTCAGTTTTTGTCCATGGAAAATTGCTGCTTAATAAGAACTTTCCCCAATCCATGTCTCCTTTGAGATAAAAATTTCCACACTAAATTTCATCGCCCTACTAGAATTTCCTTTGGAATGTTTGTGTTAAATTCCTTTCTCCCTGATTGAAGTATACAACACAAAATCTAGCTTAAAGACTTGAATACACTGAAAGGCACAGATTTATAGAGTAACTTGGGAGGAGACTGGAGAGGGGGAAAGCAGAGGAGATTTGGGGAAATGAATTAAAACCTCCCAATAATTAAGAAATGATTTACTTGGCACATTAAGTATTTGGAATGCTTGTATGGGAGGGTAGGGTATGACTTCCTCATATGCCATGGGCAACTTCAGAGACTCAGTTTTGCTGCAAGAAGTTTTGGCTTTGTTGTTGTTGTTATTTCCTGATTTGCTGTGTGCTGTTGTGAACTTAATTAACACACTAGTGATTCTGCACCCTCAGGGAAAAATGGTAAATTTTGTAAAGTGTAACTACAGAAACAAAAGGGAAGTCCTTTCCGTCCTGATCGTAGCTGTTTTTATTCCCTCTCTTGTATTATGCATTCGAAAAACGTGAAAGCCACATGAAGCTTCAGAGAGTCCAACCCTCAGACTCATAAGGCACAATACCCCAGGATTCCTCTAGATCACTGTTCTATCTTATAGACTATCCTAACTGCTTTTGTGTGAGAAAAAGCAGGGTTCATAGGTAGCAAAAGTTAGCCCTTTAGATGACAACGGTGCATTTTATGTGCTTTTTAAAAATCATATTGCTCTCATTTGGAAGTAGCTTGAACAATTCCATTTTGAATCAAGCTCTATAAATTTGATCAATATCATTATTTTCATGAGGCAAGTTTAAACCAATAAAGTTGTCTTGCTTTGTCCCTCTTCCCTCCCACCCACCCTCTTAAAAAAAAACAAAAAAAAAAAAACTAAGGAGAGTCACAACTTTGACGTGAAACTTGAGTGTGAAGTGCGGGTAGGGAAAAGTTTATGAAAGATGACATTTATAGATGGGTACATATATATTTAATTTCTTGTATGTGAGTGTGTATGTATATATATTTCTACTTCTGTTCATGGAGAATACAACATCATAATTAAGGACATTTTACTTTATCCAATGAAGAGTTTTTTCAGTTCCCTTTAATTGGTAATTTAATTACAGAGCTAATCAGGAACATAGTGGGTGTTGGGACTACAGTAATTGTCTTTAACTGGAAAGTCTTACCACTTACAAAGCAAGAAAGTTTTTAAATTATGGAACACTTAAATAATGGATTAATAAGTTAGTAAGTACAACTCCATGAAGGTAGATCATTCACATGCTTGTCAATTGACAAAATTTTTAATGCGAGTCTGATCTATTCCACTAAGTAATTATCACTCTGCTTTTCCAGCATACTGCGGGGGTCTATGCTGAGGCCCCAGGGAATTTATGTGCTAAACTCCGGGGCTGGAATTCCTGGACCAGAGCTGGGGCAGAAGGTGGAGCAGCTGAAAGTTGTTTGGGAGGAAATACAGTCCAATACTTAGAGCAAAGAGGATTTCTGTTATTAGACTCTGCCGCTCACTTATTGGGTCCTGGTGAAAGCTAAATGAGCTAGATGCATATAAAGTACTTATATGCATCAGCTAGCCCAGCCCTCTCTCTGCCTCAGTTTCTCTCCACCTATGCCCATTTCAGCAGACACCTATACCCCAGGACAACAGAGAAGCATTTGGAGGTGGTTGAAGATGGACTCCGGCAGGGGTGGCTTTGACACATGCCGGGTGGCCCTTTGGGCCTTGAGTCCTCTGGATGAGAGGGCTGAAGCTACGTGAGAAAATCCGTCCCCTGCAAATGGGGGACCTGTGAGATGAGGGCCCTCTGGGGAATGAGCTTAACCTGGGAGCAGTGGGGAAACTAATAATCCAACCAGAACATAGCCTCTGTAATTTGGGAAGAGTTGTGATTTTAGGAGGACAATCATTTGTTCTTTCATCAAACATTTCGCAGTATTCATGTGAAGGGCTACTATATCCAAGATGCACATTAAAAACACAAAAACATTGAATGTAAAATTGTCTCTGAGTAGAAAATACAAGGAATTACCTAGAGGGCCGATTTCCACAAGTGCCTGGAAAAAAGCTAGATAAGAACCCAATCTTCTGGGCCTCTTTCTGGGAAGATCTCATCTGAAAAAATGGGATCCCAGAAAGGCCAGCAGTTTGTAATGGAAAATGCTCAAGGTAATCAGGTTCAAAGGATACATTTGGTAAACTAAAATTTCTCACGTCACGGTGACTGCAGGGGGATGGTGTGAGGGAGACAGAAAGAGAAGAAGAGAGATAACTGGACTAAGTGAAATCCACAGAAAATCCCTAAACTTGATTTCAGCCAGTAGCTTCACTCAAACCCATTCTCCCCCAAAACTTGGACCATAATTACCATCTGTGAGCTGAATGGACTTGAGATTTGCTGGTTTCTTTCTGCTGCATAGCATGGCCAAGAAAGGCTTCAGTGGGCCTGGCTGGGAAGATGCACATACACAAAGCTAAGGCTGGATCACAGACCAGCTGTTAGCAACCCGGCTCCCCCCGCCAAAATAGCTACTTGAAAACAGACAGAAGCTTGAAAGAAATGAATTTTTAAAAGTTCCACCCTTAAAGATTATTTTTTCATTAAATTATTGAATTTACATTTCATCAGAACTTTTATTTATTAATACATTTACAAATATCTATCCAGGGTTTGTGATGAGTAAGGGTCATGTAATTTTAATCCCGACTGTCCTCTATGAGTTTCTAGTTAAATTGGAAAGCTGCTATGTGCACAAATTCTATTACATGAAAGAGGATAATAAATTCCACGTGTGAGCAACCTGTGATATGAGGCTTTTGAGAAGTCGGGAGAGAGAAAGCTCTCTTTCAGCTGGAGTGATCTGGGAAAGCTTCATGGAAGGGGAAGGTGGGATTCAAGTTGGGACTTGGAGCAATCTGATAGAGAGCATTGAGGGTAGGGCATTTCAGACAGGGGAAAGAGCTTACATTTGCCAGACACCTACTTTTAGCCAAAATTATGCTAAGTACTTTATATGTATCTAGCTCATTTAGCTTTCACCAGGACCCAATAAGGGAGGAATGATTATTTTTCCCTAAAAGCAAATCCTAACTTTATTAAGAATTTACTGTGTGTCAGGCACTGTTCTAAGTGCTTTAATGGATTAAATATTTTAATAGTCACAACTCGATGAAGAGTGTACTACTCCTACTATTTTTATTATTCCCATTTTCCAGATGAAGAAACCAAGTCACAGGGAGGTATGTAGCTTGCCCAAGTTCACCCTGCCAGTGTGTGGCAGAGCTGGGACTAGAACCCGGACTCTTGCTCCTGAGTCCCCCTTCACTTTTAATTTTAGTCTACTGCTTCTCATGGGAAATGACACAGAAGCAGGAAAAGCCAGGAAAATGTCTAAGAACGCAGTGCTTAAATTTCTTTGGAATGGGTTTGCAAAACTCACACAAATCAAAACATGTTTAATAGTGACCAACCTTGGAAAATATTTAAATTGCTACAGGTATGGCTCTGGAGGTGAAAAGATCATTTTCAACTCATGACTTCTTGCTTCTGCTGACTTAACAGAGCTGCGGAGGGTGGGTGGGGAGGTCTGGAGAAGCAGGTAGAGGGACAAGGAGAGGAGGAGGAAGAAATCTCTGTGGAGGAGGTGCTAGTGGGGCACTTTTCTAGCAATGGTGAACTAATTTTCTTTGCCCACAGTGGAAGCCTCTTTCAGGCATGGAGGGTGGGAGTGAATTATTTAGGCAAGGCATTTTGTGGAATTTGTTGATGCAGAAGGGGTGGACCTGGATGTACAGCTGAGCATGTCTGAGCATGTCTTCTCCAGGATGTAGCTTGTGATGTCTACAGTGATTTGGATGGATGGTACTAGCCAATGGGGCTCATAAGAGTGCCAGGTTCTGGTAATGAGCGACTGGCACTCTGCTGCTCAGTGTTCAATCATAGAAGCATGATCTTGATAAATCATTTGCTCTAAGAGTCACTTGAGCAGTGAAGGATTCAAATAGCATTCTTAAAGGGCAAGTGTAATTTTGTCTTCAAACCTTTGTGGAGTATTTTATAGTTTTCAATGCAGTTTCCCATGTACTCTATCACTAGATCTGCAGATTCAGCAGGGAGATCCGGGCATTTTACAGATAAGGAAACTGAAGTTGGTGAGTTTAAGTCAACGGGCTAAGGTCTCACTGTTGGGTTCAGGTCTGGCACTCTGCCTCCTGGTGCCTGCCCTTGCAGAGACATTGCACCTTGCTTACAGAGGTCCTTTTCTCACTGCTGACAAGAAGGGCCTGGAGGTGCGTAAATGGGGAGTTCAAACTTGATGAGGGCTGAAACTCCAGAGGATAAATATGACCAGCCTTTTCCGAGTGGACCTGGGGAGGGAGAATAGGACCAATGAAGAAAGAATTCAAAACAGAGAGGGCCGGGCGCGGTGGCTCACGCTTGTAATCCCAGCACTTTGGGAGGCCGAGGCGGGCGGATCACGAGGTCAGGAGATCGAGACCATCCTGGCTAACACGGTGAAACCCTGTCTCTACTAAAAATACAAAAAAAATTAGTCGGGCGTGATGGCGGGCGCCTGTAGTCCCAGCTACTCGGGAGGCTGAGGCAGGAGAATGGCGTGAACCCGGGAGGCGGAGCTTGCAGTGAGCCGAGATTGCGCCACTGCACTCCAGCCTGGGAGACAGAGCGAGACTCCGTCTCAAAAAAAAAAAAAACAGAGAGGTAGTAACTTCATTTTTTATTGGGAAACACTATGTAGAAAGCCCTGCATATAAAATCCTCAAGATAGATTCCCTAAAGCCGAGATTTTTAACCACCAGCAAAGCAAGGAACATAAGTGGGAAAAGAAACGAACACTCATACATTCATTTGACAAACCTTTAATAAGCAACCACTGTGCCCCTGGCAACAGGGACACTGAGATGAATTAGATACATCTTGTCCTTAAGGAACTCCTGGTAAGAGTGGGTGGGTAGACAGACATGTAAATAAGTTCTGACAAAGACTAATGAGGGCTCACCTAGAGAAACACTCTGGGAGTGCAGTGGGAGCACAGGGGAGGGGCAGCAAATTCCTATGTGGCCAACGCTTAGCCAGAACTTTCTAGACGCCATTGTCTGTGGTACCTCAGAGGAGTCTCACGTCATCGTGCAATTTTTCAGAAGTGAAACTGAGGCTCAACAAGGTTGAGAAACTTGCTCAAGGCGACATGGTTTAAGGGGTAGAGGAAAGATTCAAACACACATTTGACTGATGTTGAAGCTCACATTGTTTGAGATGTCCACATTTTGAGTGATCAAAGGGCCATGTCATTTTCATCTGTTCTACCTATGAGTACTTACAGTTTGGATGTGGCTTGTTTCTACCAAAACTCAGATTGAAAGTTAATTGCCCATATAATGGTGTTGGGAAGTAGGACCTTAAAGAGGTGATTAGGTTAAGATAGATTAATGTCTTTCTCACGACACTAGGTTAGTTTTCCAGGGACTGGATTAGTTCCTGAGAGAATGTGTTATTACAAAGTGAGGCTGCGTCTCCTACTTCCCTGTTTCATGTGCACCTGCTTCCTCTTCTGCTTCTCCGCCATGTAGGATGCAGCACGAGGCTCTTATCAGAAACTGACCAGGTGCCAATGTCGTGCTTCTTGAATTTCCCAGCCTCCAGAATTGTGAGCCAAATAAACCTTTCTTTGTTAATTACCCAGTCTCTGGTATTCTGTTATAGCTACACAAAATGGGCTAAGACCAAGACTATGCCCTGTTTTCTCCCTTGTCCATGCAAATGTGATGGTGGGTGTAGGGAGTAAAAAGGGGAGAATAGGAGTGAGCTTCAGGCAAATGCTGAGCAGATACATTGCAGAATGGAATTCACCTTGAACTCTGACAAAGAACTAGTAAACTCTGCAGATCCTTGAGCCCAAATCTCTGAGGGGCAGGCAGAGTCCTAGAAAAGAGAACTAACTGCATGCTGGGTTGTATTAAACAATCTGATGGTGGTTTCCATGCATTTCCTGTGATGTTAGGTTTAGGAAGAAGCAGAGAATAAGGCATGGATTCCCAAAGTCATTTAATCTGTCCTCCTGCCCTTGTTCAACTTTTTAAATACTCTTTTAAGAGATCTGTTGGCCTGAGTGTATTAAGAACAAAAAAGGCTCATTGGTTCAATGACCTTCATGGATAAGACATGACCAATTGTAGCCCACTTGTCTTCTGGAAAGGAGGCCTGTGTTGTTTAGGCATCCCATTCCATTGATTTACCACTGCAACACACATTGTGGGGCCCATGGCTAGGAGGGTGTGTGTGTGCAGAGAAACTGCTAACAGACATCTTGCCACCTGAGCAGGAGCACTCTGGGGGTTAACTCCAAAACAGTTTCCCACCTTTGGATAATTATTTTGTTGGAAATGAAACCTCTGGTGTTCCCTGGGCTCATTTCGCTACCTGCCATCCCTCCTTTCCCTCTTTGGAGTCCTATAGTAATGTCATTAAAGCCTCTGGAAAATGTCAGCTGAAACCAAGGTTTCTGTTGGTTATAAGCTATGAAAAATGTATTGGATTTAATATGTTTGGTTTGGGAAATCAGTTTTTGTCCACTATAACCAATTGTCCATAATAACCATGTCTGTTGTAAGTGGTGTGCACTGTAATAACCCTCACATAAAGGGTAAGATGAAAGACAAACCATTTCAGATGGTAGCTGGAGCCATATCAATATAGATCACTGCCTACGTATATCAAATGATTGATGGCCATTTTTAAGGCTTTTTCAATTCAATGCCAGTGCCGTCTAATGGCAGTAAAGCACACAGTATTTGCTGATACCCTTCCTGATAAACCATCTGGTTGCAAGTGAGAACAGCTTAAGGAATGAAAAGGCACCGGGAGCCATTTCTTTCAAATGATCCATTTCCAGTGTCCTGGCGGGAGGACAGTCGTCACTGCAGAAGATGGGAACTTCTGATGCTGCAGATGCTGGAAAGCAGGAAGCAGATCTGTGGCAGGACATGCCTCTGGCCAGGGAAAGGCTCTATTCTAAACTCTAGTCAGGTGCAGGTCGGACAAGGCTGAGCACTGCTGGTAAGGAGAGGCGTGAGAAGCAGCGTGAAGGGCGAGAACAATCCTGGCTCCCAACAGGAACAGAGTGTGTGTGACCTTCATGATGATAGCAAACACTCACATGCACAGTTGTAAGCACCTTATGCTTGTTAATTCATTTAATCCACAGATAAACCTCACGAGGTCAGTATTCCTATTAGTCCTACTTTACAGTTGAGGAAATGGAGACACACAGAGGCTAAGTAACTCACCCGAAATTGCACGGTTAGTGAGTGATCAAGCTAAGAGTGAGTCCGAAGTCTGAGCTTACAGTTGGTAAGCTAGTCTACCTTGTGGGCAACAGAAACATATGGGTACTTAACTGTTGGAGTAAATGTTGGCAGCTCATAAGGCTGTTTGTTGCTGACACCCTTTTCTTGAGGATGCCTTTAGTTGCTTCCAAGCCCTGCCTTACCCCCATGGTGCCAGCTGACAACTCCGCCCTTCCCCCAGGAGCAGGCACCAAAACAAGACTGTGCCAACCCGGCTGGTTTTCCCAGCACACATTCACATAGGAAGCTGCACAGTGCGTTCAAGTTTTACCCTAAACAATCATTTGCATAATTTTTTAAAAATAGAAGTCCTTCAAAATAGACTATAAACTGCTGGGGACAGAGATCATTTGTCTTATTCATTGCTATCCCTCCAGTGACAGCCCAATAATGAGCCTGGCACACAGTAGGATTCAAGAATTGTTAAAGAAAAGTAAAATGAATGAAATTCTTCCATACTGAAAGGAAAAGAAGGTATTTTATCTATCTTTCCTGCCCTTTATCCAGGATGAGAAAAGAGATAAATCTTCTTCAAAAGGATTACTTTCCTTAAAATATCCATGTCTCGGTTAAGAAAAGGAAATTCCACAAGAGCCAGGACCTTCCAATATGAAACCAGTGCAACTTTCAGAAGTCTTGCCTCCAGATGCACACGCATGCACACCCCCGTGTGCGTCCCATTAAACCCACCAAGCCTACACTGCTGCTCTTGCGTCCTCCCGCGAGGCTTCCTTCCTCCCGGGGAGCACGCATCAAAGGGGTTATCGCACTATCTCAGCGGAATCCTCCTGATGTTCACTTGCTTTGGGAACACATGCAGATACTCACAGTTTAGCACATGGGCCCTGTCTTTTCAGCTGTCTTTTAATCTTTGGTAAATTGAACAAGCGTGGAGAACTTGCAGGTGACAACCAGCTCGGCTGAGACTGCAGGGATGAAAACCTTGTCAGTACAGTCCCTAAAAGTCCTCCAATGTGCTTGAAGCATATAAAGAGAACCCTTGATCCTGGCTATCAAAGGGTGCAGAAAGATCAAGAAGAATTAAAACTGATGGTGTGCCAGAAACCACTTGCAACAGAAGGTCATTACTTCCCCTCGTTAAAACAGCCTCAGTTCTGGGGCCTGATCTGAAGCTTAATTGAAATGTTTCTAACAGTGGATTATAAGGAAGATGAGACGTCCCCTGCCCATATCATGACCTTTGCTAAGAAAGGCAGATTGGTAATAGGGTTAAAAAAAAAAATTCTGAGCGATTGCCTAAAGACAGCCAAGGCCTCTTAATGATATGAGCCAGGACACCTTTCTTGGTAAAGGAGAGCTCTCCAGGATGCTGAAGGGATAGGGGCAATCAATGTGAAGGCAGGAAGACCCAGGCCTCACGATCCCAGCCTCTCCCCTGGAATCTGTTTCTATGTCATCATTACTGTGACTTTTCCTTCCCTAAACAGGAATGGAGGAACCCCAGATGCAGCACTACCTCTGGGATAACTGTCTGTTGTTCCAAACGTTCTATTTGTGGTGCAAAGAGTGCATTCCTTGTCACGCTTCTTTTGCAATCTTTCTGTCTAACTTGGGTAACCACACATGACCCCCTTGATAGACGAAGATGAGGAAGGCCCTCCAGGTCTTCAGAGAATGGGACTGCATCGGGAGGGGGACTGGCAGGAGATAGCTCAGCTCCGATGCTATCAAATATCCTGAAAAAAAATCACAATGCTTCTGCCACTTAGGCTTTTCACATGATAATAAATTGCAAGTCATATTTGCCCGGAGATTTGAATGCCTTCTGGCTCTCTTCCCCTTTTTGGTATGATTATCTGTCCTGGCAATAAAGTCCATGTCTGAAGTCCTGTGATTATCTCAACCTCCAGCTGGCACGTTGTGAAAGTCACTGTTTTGGGGATACTGTTGCAGCAGCTGATATGAAAGCTTTACAGAAGTTCCTGCATCTTATGGCTATGTCTGCTTTCATCTTATGGCTATGTCTGCTTTGGACTCACCTGTCCTAACCAGATGCATGTTTGAAGTCTGTTAAATGAGTGCTCAGATGCTCGTCCTTGGGAATCCCCTGAGACTTCACTATGCAAAGCCTTGTCCACAGCACCAAGATCACAGTAGCTCTTGTTAGAAATGCAGAGTCTCAGGCCCCTCCAGGCACCATCTCCAGGTTATTAACATGCACAGTAAAGTTCGAGAACAACTTTGGAAGGAGGAAACTGCATTGGCCGATGGGTTTCAGGAATCAGATTGAGTGTTCCTGGGTGCAGAACACCTACTATTGGATTTAGTTGATCCAGTTACTGAGCAGGCCCAGAGAAACCCTTTGCTTCTCTTGCATGGTTCTAACGGAACACAGTTAATAAGTCCTTCAACAGCTGGAGCTATTTTGCAATCAAGGACCAACATAAAAAGACAGCAGGCCAGGCACGAAGGCCAGCCTGCCAGAGCTGTTGGATTAGAGCTCCTAACACAGCCTAAGAGAAAGTACTAGTTGTTCCTTCTGACTTTATTAAACTTTTGTGTGGTGGCAAAGTTTGTTTGAACTTCACTAAATCCTCCAAATAAAAGACTAGCTTAGACCATCTGGTTCACTAAGATGAAATAATTTAATTCAGAGGAAGCAATTGTCAATCACTGTTTTAGAATAGTTAAGAATGGAAACTCTTGGTCCCACCTGTTCTGTTTCCCTCCTGAAAGTATTTTTTTCCCAACAACTTTGAGTGGAGAATTCAACTAGGGAAATTAGTTTTATTTCTACATCTTGCTTTGGGTATCTGATTCTACCTCATTTCATCCTAATGTAGTGCTTCCTTCAAAATTTACTGCTTTCTTCCCCTGAACTTTGTTTTCACTATTTTGTCTACATTTCTCCTGTCTCTGGATTTCTCCTTTATTTCTTTCTTCCTGTTTCAGCCTGTGATACTTTGGGGTTCTCTTCATCATATTTAATACTCCTCCCAAAATCTTTCCCTGTTTTTCTTTCCCATTAGTCTCAGACCCACAGATATATCTGAAAAGCATTTATTAAAATGTCCAAAAAGGCACTTCTATTGAGATCTATATCCTGATGTAATTTTTTATAATTGTGTGCCTATATCCAAGAAACCCAATTTGTAATTTCTATCCTGTTACTTCCCCAGACTCCAGAGCTTTGGGGCTACTTTCGCAGGTTATATCCTCATTTGAATCTTTCTGTGACTGAGCAAGAATCAACATCGTTCACTGTGCTTTGGAGCTCTTGGTCCAGAGTTCCCAGATGATCACAGGAACAAGTCCCACAAGTCTGTCAAGTGGCTCATTTTTCTTGTCTGAAAAGGGAGGTATGTGCCACCTCCACATCCTCATGGAAATAAGAGGGCTAACGAGGGGGCAACAAAGGCTCTGAGCTTTTTCTCCATGGGGATGAATGCCCTGAGCCTAAAATCACGTTGAATGCCACACTGCCCTTCTGCTCCTCCCTACTCCTGTCTCATCTCCTTGTGCCCTTGCTGAACCAGGTGCTTCAGCACATGGAATCTTTATAGCTCCCTAAGCATGCCAGATTGTTCCATCCTGCTCATGTCTGTGTGTGCTTGTCCTTCTGTGGGATAAGCTTCCCCCTTGGCTGTGCTAGCCATCTTCTGAGATCTCCTTTCAGCAGCCTTCCTTGATTTCCCCAGGTGAGGCTCACCACCCTGGCTTTGTAACTCCTCTGTTCACTATACATTCCTTTATCATTGCATCTGCTGCCTACTTGGGGTATTTACTTACGTTGTGTGTGTTTTTCAAATGTATTTCTGTCTGCCCCATTAAACATAAGGTTTTTGGAGTTAAAGATTTTGACTAAGTCACGTCTGTGTTTTTAGTGCCTGGTTTGGCAAATGATTGTGAAATAAATGAATGCATGGCCTTTGAGACCAAGCTACATTTCTAAAAAGTATTTTGGATAAGGCTCTTGGGTTGCAAGCAACAGAAACAAACTTGATTATGCAAAAAGGAGGAAGTTTATTATAAGAATTCCAGGACATCTCATGGAGCCCAAGGTTAGGAATTTAGCCAGGATGTAGGATGAGAATGGACCTGAAAACTCCCTAAAAAGCAGGGATCTGATTTCTCATTTCTGCTCTGATTTATTCATCTGCCTTTTCCTCCTCCTCCTCTTTATTTTTTCTCTCCTTTCTTTCCTCTCCTCTCTCTCCTCTCCTCTCTCTCCTTATGGGTTTCTCTGCTTCTCAGATAACAGGAAGAGACTATATGTTACATGTCTTGGCTTCTACAGAGTCTGATAAATGCTCCCTTGATTCCCACTCTAAATACCCAGTAGAGAATTTGGTTGGCCCAGCTGGGGTCAAGTGTCCTGCTCTGGATTAATCATCTGTAGCCTGGGGGAGTAACAGAAATTCCCAGAGAACAGGGCAAGAACTGGCACCTCCCAAATGTGACCAGGATGATTACCTAATTGGAGAGTAATTTAAATGCCAAATTGGAGATGAGTTCAAATGGCTAAGCTATATATATTAAACAATGATTTTTGTAACCACATATAACAATAAATTTTATTAAAACATGTGCCTCTAAAGTTAATTTTCACAGGCATTTGGGGGTTCTTATAATTTTTAATGTGGTTCTTTGTGTTGATCTTTAAGTCCTTGATAATCACTTCTTAACATTTTTCTAGAAAAATATGAAGTAATACGCCACCTAAGGCCTATATTACTTATTTTATAGAAGTGTGGTAACTGTGGGTGTCTGGTATTCTTAGAACTGTTTGTTAAAGTTCTCACTTAAAAATTCACGGAAAACCTTCAAGCCAGGTCACTGCGCGATATTGGTTGTGATAGAAGACAACACAAGGACTTTATTGACACACTGACTTTCAGCTAATTTTTAAAGGAAAACAGTATGTCTTTGTCCACAAATTATGTTTTCATTTTCTTTCCAAATCTTTTATTCTATGGATTCCCACAAAGTGTAATCCCTGTCTAAAAGATGGCCGTTTTAATCTTTGTTCTCTGGAGGTTGGGGGACTGAGTGTATATTAACAATTGCTGATAGGATATCACAAAGCCTTCTGGGTCTGTGGCCTCGAATCGCAGTGTGCTTGGAGATGTTTGGACAATCTCCCAACTAGCGAAAATGATACTTTCACAAATAGAAGGGCTGTAATAAAAGGTGAGATGGGATCATCTATTGAGAGGTTTTCTTTTGGAACTTAGCCTTGCTGTATGTAGCTGAATGGAGCAGTAAATAAACAATTATATACCTTCAACCTCTGTTATTTTTGAATACTACCAGTGGATGTCCATTGTTCTTCAATGATGGATACTGGATTTTCAAAGTCATATTGTCTTACATGTAATTCTCCATTATAAGCATAATTATTATTTACAACTCGCCAGAAACAGGACTGGGAATAGACCTAGTACGTAAGTGTTGTTGATGTTTCTGTTATTGGTTCACAATGCAAAGAATGGTACAACAACAACAACAACAACAACAACGTTAACAATGACAACAATGCATTTCCAACAGTGCTTTATACTTTGGAGATCGTCCTAATGATATCATGAACATGAAAGCACTCTGTAATTCTACAAATCCTAGTCTTCTGTATTACTATCAATGATCTTTTGCTTCATTTAGGTCATTTGTATGTTACAGATGATGTTGTAGGAAATTTGGAAGGCAACGAAAACATTGGTCTCTGCTTTCAAGGAAGTTCAATTTTACCTAAGGATGTAGGAAAAATAGAAAAAATATAAAAACATCATGAACTTGTGAGATATAATCTATATGTTTGGCGTGTGTTCAGAAGAGATGAGGGATCAGGAGAGATCTAGAATATAAGTTCCATGAGGTCAGGGAATTTTTTTACTCACTCCCATATCCTTGTCACCTAAAACAATTTGTGGAGTAAAATAGGTGCTCAATAAACATTTGATGATTGTTTAATGAATGAGGAAACACTTAAGCATTGAAAGATGGATATACTTTGTATATGTGGAGAATAGAGGGGAGGGAATCTAAGTAGTAAGAGAAAACCATATATAGAAAAATAGTAATCCCAGCACTTTGGGAGGCTGGGGTGAGTGGATCACTAGATCTCAGTAGTTCAAGACCAGCCTGGGCAACATGGTAAAAACCCATATCTAAAAAAAAAAAAAAAAGAAGAAGAAGAAAAATTAGCCAGGTGTTGTGGCACATGCCTACGGTTCCAGCTGCTTGGGAAGCTGAGATGGGAGGATCACTTGAGCCTTGGAGGCAGAGGTTGCAGTGAGCTGAGATGGTGCTAGCCTAGGTAATAGAGTGAGACTGTTAAAAAAAAAAAAAAAGGAAAAATGGGCAATGAATAATATCTGGAGGAAAATCAGTATTGAAGGAGCAATTGTTTTGCAGTGACGCATGGAATGGCTCATAGACTGGAAACAGCAGACAGTGGAAGAACAGTTGGGAGCCTGTCAAAATAATCCCACATCGAATCGACTAGTATATCCTTTTAGTTTATCCTCTCATATACCTCCAGGTTGCACCAACATCTCTCCGTCACTACTCCCAACCTAGCTTTGTTAGTCTTCTCTCACCCGCAAACTGCAAACATTTCCTAACCAGACCATTGGCATCCACCCTTGCCCTTCCCCCATCCATCTTTCAGACACTGCAGTTGGAATATCATTTGCAAAATTAACATCTGATCATGTCACCCTTCTGCTTCTCATTGTTCTTATGATAAAAACAAAGCAGCTTGATGTTGAATCACGTTACCCCTTGCTTTTGTAGTTTCAATTGTAATGACCGTCTCTGAGTCTTCTAAATGTGCCACGCTTCCACCCACCTCAGGGCCTTTGCACACACTGTTCATTCTGCGTGGCAGACTCTCCCTCCACCTCATTCTTTGAAACTTTCCTAACAGTCATTTCCTCAGGGAAACATTCACTGACTTCTCCAGTTTAGCCTGATTTCTGTTATGTGTGTTCAGAATCCTACATGTATCTTATTACCATTCTTTAAATCTAATATTTATTTCCATGATTATCTAATTAACATCTGCCTCCTCTACTGGACTATAAACTCTATGAGGGAAGAAATAAATCTTTTTAGCTTACCATTGTATTCTCAGTATATATCTCTGCCTGGCACTCAATACATACCCTTTTTTTTTTTAGACGAAGTCTTGCTGTGTCGCCAAGGCTGGAGTGCTGTGGTGTGATCTCAGTTTACTGCAACCTCTACCTCCCAGGTTCAAGTGATTCTCCTGCCTCAGACTCTGGAGTAGCTGGGACTACAGGTGTGTGCCACCATGCCTGGCTAATTTTTGTATTTTTAGTACAGATGGGGTTTCACCATGTTGGTCAGGCTGGTCTCAAACTCCTGACCTCAAGTGATCCACCTGCTTCAGCCTCCCAATCAATACATATCTGCTGAATGAGCAAATGAATGGATGGCTGACTGAGGGTTGGATCAGTGACGGTGACACTAGGAACGTGAAGGATGAGATGGTTGCATGCAGCTTTGGGAAGATGATCAGTGCTGTGCACAGGAAGGAACGTGGTTTTGGTGTCAGAAAACCAGGATTTGAGTCCTCACTTTTCTACCAGTTGACATAAATTATTTTGAATCATTTCCTTAGCTATTTTTAGTCTCCATATCCTAACTTTTAAATGGAAACAATACCTACCCCCAAAAGCAGTGAAAATGAATGAATGTACACGGAAGTGCTTTTTAAAAATATAAAGCTCTTTAAAAATGTATCATTTTATAGCCAGAAATGATATTAGAGAGAATTTTGTCAGAACTCTGGCTTTATGGATCAAGAAGACGAGACTAAGTGAAATTAAATGACTTGTCCAAACTCACCTCCCTGCTTAATAAAAATACGAATAATGATAATGATATTAACATTTGTGAACACTTATTATATACCAGTTGCTTCACCAATATGTTCCTACCTTACCTAATTTTTGCATCAATTGATGAAGCAGAAATTATTTCTATTTTATAATTAAGGAAACTTGTTAAGGAGCTCAGGGAAGAATAGAGTTGGGACCAGAGCTTAGCTGTTCTGGCTTCCTGTTTTGTGACAGACTGTTCAATTCCCTCACTGCGGGGAGAGGGAAGAACCAGGCACGCCTTCAAGTTTCCAAGCTTGGATTGGCCACTGTCGGAGTTAGCTGAGGAACTCAAGGTGGGAAGAATCAGTTTTATCTTTGTGAAGATAAAACTGTGATATTTTAATAGAACTAATTTTTGATGAAATTATTGAAGTTTTCAGAGAAAGAAAGACAACCCTTGGGAGTTATTTAACTGGCATTTCTAGTTCTTGTGTGGGTTTTACTTCCACTTGTGGATGAGAAGAATAGAAGTGTTTATTATTGTGAGGTTCCTGTAACAAGACATTTTACAATATGAAATTTATAATTGTATTGCCATATTCAGTATAAAATGCAAGTAAATCTTGATTGTGAGTGAAGGAAAGGATAGTATGTTATTTTAAAAAGTACCACCTTTTTATCACAATACTGCAAGTATAGTTTCTAGCTTCCTCAATGATAGGACCCTATGTTCCTGCTCTCTCCCTTTTTCTCGTTCCTTTCTCCCTCTCTCCTTTCTTTTTTCTTCTATTTCTTCTTTATGTATCTTATCCAGTATGATTTTCTTCACCCAAAATGTGCCAGGCTGGTGCTAGGAGTAGCTATGAGCATTTCACTCATGTTGCCTTTCGGGGATATGGTGGGTGTTTCACAGCAGGAAGTGTTGCTGGGGGTTAGTAGCCTGGGAGTTCACTCACGCAACAGATATTTACTGGACTCAAATATTCTGTACAGTGATTAAAGAGGAAGGCAAAGCACAAGGTAAATAAAGGAGATGAGGGCAGATGAAGGGGTGGAATGGGAAATGGATGATAACCTTTTCCGCCCTGCAAACTACCACTGTACAGCGCAGTGCAAGAAGCCCTGCTCTCTGGTTTTCTAGTAGTAACCTCTATAACAATAGCTAAATCTTACTCCCATGGGCCAGGCATTGTACCATGTGCATTTTAATTATCATAATGACTTTATATCATGGGTCTGATTTACTACTCTAATGTGTCAAATGAACACATGAGGAAATGGAGGCACAGAGAGTTTAAGCCCAGTTGGCCCAACTAACAAGTGTTGCAGGGAGAGATTTGAACCTAGGTAATCTGACACCTGAGCCCATGCTTGTAACCCTGTTCTATGTTGCCCTGGGTACAAACCACATCCCTGAGCATCAAGAATATACTGGTCCTGGCCAGGCACCATGGCTCACGCCTGTAATCCCAGAACTTTGGGAGGCCCAGGTGGGCAGATCACTTGAGGCCAGGAGTTTGAGACCAGCCTGGCCAACATGGCAAAACGCCGTCTCTACTAAAAATACAAAAAAATAGCTGGTTGTGGTGGCACGTGCCTGTAATCGCAGCTACTCGGGAGGCTGAGGCAGGGGAATCGCTTGAATCTGGGAGGTGGAGGTTGCAGTGGGCCAATATTGCGCCACTGCACTCCAGCCTGGGGGACAGAGTGAGACTCTGTTTCAAAAAAAAAAAAAAAAAAAGAATATAGTCACCCTTTTTCAAAGAGAGTCCAGGGAAAGCAGGAGAGGTTAGGAGGCCAAACCCTGTCTGAATAAAACTGCTAACCCAGGCCTGTTTTCTGAAATGGCTGTCATTCTTAGCAGCCCTCCCTTCCCAGGATTTGAGATGGCCTGTCACGATCCACCTGTACTTTCGACCTGGAAATGGGTATGTTCATTATTCACCCAGCCTTTGATTTGAGAGAGTGATGTGTAGAGGGGGCTGTTGGGTGGCTTCCTCCTGCCAGATTCTCTGGCTATATTTAAAGCCATGTTTGTGCATTAATATTTTATACTTAGCTAAATTGCGTGCATTGCATTTAAGGCCAGGTTTGCCTTGTTTAAAAACATCCAAATTGGGATTAAGTATTCAAGCTGTAATCTCTTTAGTGGGCGTCTGTCTACTGGATTTGTATGATATAAAGAGGGTTATTGAAATACTGTAACTTTAATATTTTTTATCCTGTAGATAGAAATGAGTTCTAAATGAATTTAGAAACTAGGAAAGACAAAGAACAGAGCAGCCTGCATTATTTTTCAGACTAGTTATAGTAGAGACCACATCTGTGTAAGCTTCTCCATCCAGATTCTTCCTTTCAAGCAGTCTTATGCTATGCTCCTTGGTGCAGGACAGTAACTGCCCTTGGGGTCTCTGATATCTCCCTTCTCCCTGTCGCAATGGTGTTGTTCGAAGCTGACAGAGTTTCCCTTACTCTTTACCCCTGGGCTGCCAGAGAATTTGATTCATCCAAATTTAGACTATTTCCAGGAATGAGGCAGGGGTAGGGTGGAGTGGGGGTTAGGATGAGTGTCACGAAATTTACATATTTGTATCTAATTGAAGAGTGTGCAGCTCTAGTTAGTATTCTGCAAATATTGAATATGAATAATCAGATAAGACATGTAATAGTATAAAGAAACCAATAAATTTTAGTTTTGTGGTACATTAAAATAAAATTCAGATAAAAATTTTAAATCATAGCATATCCAGAATAACCATTTGATAGCTATATATAAATCTATTTTAGAGATGTGCAAGCACAAATTATGGAATGCCAGGGCAAGTTGATTTAGGCTGTTTTTTCTCTAATATAAATAATGCAGAGTGCCGCAAATATTCAAATACACTTAACTGAACATAATTAAAATATTGGAATATATTTTAAAAATAAATAATTAAGTAGTTAGAAGTATCTGCAATACTAATTCAAAGTGATAGTCATATGGTGATTATATTATGCAGTTTACCCAGCACTTTTGCTTTAAAGTGCAATAATAAAACTTGCATTTAATAAAAATTATGATTCTGTAATATTTGAGGATATGGGCAGATTATATGTCAAGTACAAAACACCACCCTTGTCTCTCTGATCCACCAACAGATGGACTGAGAACAATTTTCAGCTAAGCTGAGCAGCTTGCCTGCTGAGACATTGTTTTCACCCATTATCACGTTTTTTAATGCCATGGGGGAATTTTTGTTTGCCTGTCTCGCTTTCTAAATAGTCAGCTCCTTGAGGGTAGAGACCTCTATGTATCTTTGTATACTCATTGCTGAGTACAATGCTGGTGAGTAGTAGGTGCTTAATAAATATTGCTAAATTAATGAATCCAAGGGTGAATGTTTGTGCCCTTCAGCTCCAGGTATTTGCCTCTTGCTCTTCCCTCTGTCTGGAAAGCTCTTTTCTCTTACCTCCTGCAGTCTTTGTTCAAATGCCACCTTCTCCATGAGGCTTTCTCTGACTATTCTATTGTAAATAAAATTGAGCCCCCACCCATTCCCCCCCACCACATACTCTCAAGCTCCAGTGGAATTACTACAGAAGATACTTGTTATTTACTTGCTGGTTTTGTATATTACCTATCACTCTCACTAAAAAATGTAAGTTCCATGGAGGTAAAGGAGAGGAGGGCCAGGATGTGAGAGGAGAGGTTCTGGGGAAAGAATGTGCCTTCTTGTAGCCCCCTCGTTAGACTTGGGAAGACATAGCCCAACTGAAGACTCCATTCTCAAGCTAAGGGAAAGCTTATCTTTCCTTCTGCCCAGCAACCGCATCAGTTTACTATCAGTCATCTCAACTGCTCTTGCTTTCTTCAGCTTTCAACCCTCCGCAGTCTGTTTGCTGCTGTATCCCCAGCCCTCAGCACAGTGTTTGATTTAGTAGATGTTCAATAGTACTTTGTTGTGGGAACAAATAAATAAATGAGTGATTTGAAGGTGGGGAAAAGGGCATTGCCTTGAAGGTATAAGTTGAATAAATGTGACTGTAGCCTATGTTTAGTGATTTGGGGTTCACAGAATAGATGAGGCACACTTGCATAGCTTTCTGCCTCACCTGCCAAATGGCTCCTCAAGTGGAGATGGGCATTTTTATTTACTCAAAATGCTTGTGCAATGTTCCATCGACTCTATGATCTCCTCTGGAGATCTGAGTCTGCACTGAAGCCTTGGCCCAGATGAATAACACTTAATTCATCTATTCAGGACAGTATGGAGCCTTCCTGGGGACTTCATTCACTAGCCTCCTCCTCTAGCTGTTTATTGTCCCTGCCCTTGTCTTGTGACCCTCCCCACACCCGTAACTCCCTTATAGCCTTGAGTCCTCATTGCAGCATTATCCTTGTCCCACACCCACAGATCTGGAAGCATTAAGTCCTGTCAAAAATTCTGAGTCTGTTGCCTTTGTGTGACCTTAAGCAACAGGGTAGATTAGAGATGGTTGCAAATTTCTAGTTACTCTCTTTTTTTCAGAGGTGCTGTTGCATTTAGGCTGGTTTTGTGACTGGCTTTGACCAGTAGAATATGGTGGACATGCTGTCATGCCAGTTCCAGACTAGGCTTTAAGATGACTGGCAGCTTCTGCTTCCTTCTCTTCACAGCCCTGATCCCCCATGTAAGAAGTCTGGCTTTTCTGCTGGAGAGGGAGGGGCCTTACAACTACATAAAAAGAGAGTTAAGTCCTGGACTTCAGCATCCCAGCTGCACCCAGCCTAGTGGCTGTCCCTTGCACCAGTCATGTGAGTGACATTTAAGAGATTCAAGTGAGACCGTTGGGAAGAAATGTCTAGCTGAGTCCTAGTCAATCCACAAAATTGTAAGAAATAATCAATTATTGTTTTAATCCACTAAGTTCTGGGGAAGTTTGTTATACAGTAACAGACAACTGAAATAGGCAAGTTATACAACCTCTTTGAGCCTTTATGTTCTTCTCTAGAAAATGAAAACAGTTATCTCTACTTTGAGGGGCTGCTATGAGGCTGTAGGTAAGGCACCTAAGACAGCACCTGGAAAACATAATCATTAGTAAATATCAGTTTCCTTCCTTTTCCCTTCCCTGCGCAGGGCTGTAAGCTCCGGGCTTATCCTCCCAATTTTACTACTCATCAAAAACTTCCCTCTCCCTGCCCAGCCCATTTCCTTTTACAATTTGTTCTGAGGAAGACAACTTGAAAAACTCATCCCAGAGGATAACGGACAACAGCTTCATTTGTTAGTGCTTCAGGGCAATCTGTACTTAGGAGAAAGCCTGGTAAAGCACAGATCTTTTTCCCAAGGATTGAAACTTTCAGCAGATTCCAGGCACAGTGACAGGGAGGAGGGCTGGGATGTGAGAGGAGAGGTTTGGGGGAAAGAATATACCTTCTTGTAGCCCCTCATTAGCCTTAGGAAGAGATAGCCCAGTTTAAGACTCAAGCTAAGGAAAGCTTATCCTTCCTTCTACCCAGTAACCACATCAATTTACTATCAGTCATCTCAACTGCTCTTGCTCTTTCCTTAGCTTTAAACCCTCCACAATCTGTGCATTTTTGCAAAGTGTTGCAGAACCGGAAAGGAAGACAAACTTCATTTTACAACTAGCCCTCAAGTCTTCAGTTGTGAAGCCAAGAATTTTTTTTTTTTTTCCAGAGTGAAACGGAGGAAGAAATGGAAGAGGCTTGGGGTTGAAAATGACCCACCAAGCCACAACTGATTTGCTTATTTTTTTCCCCAGGCAGATTTTCTCTGATGTATGGCTGAGGAGGACTTTGGGAGAGCATGCACAGGGACATATCTACTTGGTAACCACTGACTTTTTTTTTTTTTTAATTGTTCAGGGATACTGTTTCTGCTTCGGAGAATATACATAATATTTTTTCAATTCCCACCCCCATTTTTATAAAACTGATAGAAAAATATTAAAGAAAACTTTCCCATACCCCCAAAAGAAAAATAATTCCCTTGATAAGGATCAAGATTTATTTTCAAGTTAAGTCAATGGTATTCAAATCTGATATGAAACAGGTTGTTTCCAACGTTGATTCTTTCTTCTGCTAGTGGGAGGGATGCATAACATGGAGAGATGAAATTCCCAGCAAATACCACAAACTTAGTGTACTTTTTTTTTTCAGTCAAAACTCTTAACAGGACGTATAGTAATGATGATCGAGGAAATTGGGAATAGTAAAAGAGTGGAAAACAAAAGGAAACATTAAAATCATTACGTAAAAGAACAGATTGTAAAAGGTCTGGATAATGCACCAACTACATAATTGGTCACTAAATAATAGTAAACTGGTTATTTCTAAAAGCATGTTTTTATAACTGTTCATAGTAGAGAAAGGAGTACAAAAGGTAATTGTTTAAGATCTCTTCAGATTACAGAAGAGTATTTTTGTTTTTGAACTCATAGTTCAGATCAAGCTATCAGGCTAAGAAAAAGGGATATTTTATTGGTTTCTTCCAAACTTTGATTAATCGAATTTATAATGGTTTGGGGATATGTGTGTGGTGAAGGTTGATGGCTTTCTCATTAACCTTATGGTCATTGAGTAAATAGAAGCTGCAGCCTTTTCATTTCCTTGCCTTCAGCAATGTAAAAATCCTGTCCTGTTATCTGAGTGTGATAAGGGAGTTAGGGTAACTGGGTTTAAGTCCTGGGACTTTTCCACTTAATTTTTTGGTGTGCCCATTTGATCATCTATGATGTGGAAATAATAATAATTCTGTCCACACCTACCCCAGGGAGATAATGTCTGCATAAAAACGCAACACACTTGAAAGGGGTGAGTCTTGCCATAAGAACCATCCTGTGGCTGGTGGCTGTCCCTGTCACCAATTAATATGGAAAGATGCTAGGTGGAAGCTGGCCACATAAAGTAGCCTTTCTACTTTCAACTGGGCCTTCTAAGAGCTTTCATTCTGCCACATGGCCTAGTTAGAACAGCCTGCCCAGTCAACGATGAGTTTTCCTTAGAACTACAGTGATTAATTCTAATTGGGTGGATGGCTCAATTTTTGTCAAAAAGAGATATTTCAAAATAAATCATTTCTTTTGGCCTTTGGAGATTGTGAAGGCACATAATCCAAAGCTTGAAAGATATTAATTTTAAATTAGAAAAATAATACAAATGCATGTAAAGAATGGTAAAGTGGGGAGTGCTATAAGATAACAAGCCACTCATAGGTAATAACTGTTAAAAGTGTTTAACTCTTTAGTTCTTGTCATAGTTACTGTTACAACTTCAAGTAGTGTACTTCTACCCACTAATTTATCAACTTTAGATCTATTGACTCCTTGCTATGCAACATGAAGTTAGATTAATTTACTTACACTTCCTTGTAATTCTTCTCTTTTTCTCCCAATTTTGATTAATTATGTCATTTTCACATTGTTAAAGTTTACATTTACATTTTTGGTGATTATATGTTTTCTGTACTGAGTTCATAGTTTGACTTAAAAAATTAAAAAACAGTCCTATGGTTATGAAATATTATTCACTACACAACCCATGAGTCTGTGTTTGGGTCTAAAGAATAAAAAATGAATCCTGGGTCACCATCGTATTTCCCTCAAGTGAGAATTCTGAGTGTTAAGGTCAAAGGGATTCTTTTAAAGTGCCTTTTTAGCTGTATTCATGTCTTCTGGCTAAACTGGACTCTTTTTAAAAAATCTCTCATGTTGTCTATCTTTGACTTCTTTGTTTGTTTGCTTTTCTGAGTAATTTTTCACATAGAATTGATAATGGCAAACTTTTTAGCCTTTGCAGTTTTTCAGATATCTTTATTTTATCCCATTTCTCTCTCTCTCTCTCTCTCACACACACACACATGCACACACACACCATTTAGTTGTTTCAGGGCTCAGAACACAATATCTCAAAATGTGGCGCTGTGGCATGCTGAGTACTTTGAACTGAAAGAGAAAGGAGAACTTCAGAAGCAAGGCCTTCCTGATCTCCCCACTCCCTTTTCTCCTTCTCTCATTCTCCCCAGAGATGGGTCATAAGAAACTAGAATTCCTCTTCCCCAAAGCAAGCCATAAAACCTAGAAAAATCACTCTCCAAAGTACCTCTTCTGAAAGTAGGTCATAAGGTCTTCATGTGACACATGTCCTACTCCATACCTGGAGGTAAGAAATGCTACACAGGCAGGCCAAGAAGAATCTGAACAAACAGGCCTTGTGGGGTTCCTCTCTCAGTTTGTTACCATTTGATCATACCCTTTTTGTCCAGTCATGTTTCTCCACAACTAGCCACTTCTTTTATCAGACTCAGCATAAAAAAAATACAGTTTTCCCTGAATTTTCAGGGAAGATTCAGGGAAAATCTGGAGGCTCCTATACCACATAAAACTTTATTGAATAAATTTGTTATGTTTTCCTCCTGCTAACCTGTCTTTTGTTATAGGAGTGTCTGCCATGATCCTTGCGATGGGTGAAGAAAAATATTACCTTTCCCTCCTACAGTTGAATACAGAATTCTAATTTTGAAATACTTTTTCTTAGGACTTTGAATGCACTACTCTACTTACTTTTTAGCATCAAGTATTGTTAAGAAATCTGTCAATCTACCCTTTATTGTGAATAGTCTATTTTTTCTCTATGGTAGTGTAAGATTTTCTCTTTATCCTTGGCTTCCTGAAATTTCATCAGGATATATCTTGAAATGGATCTTTCTTTTTCTTTCTTTCTTTTTTTTTTTAAATTCACACTGCTCATCATCTGGTCTGGCTTTTAAATCTGAAGACTTGTGTCTTCCACCAGAGCAAAAACTTCTCTTGTATTATGTCTTTGGTTATTTCTTTTCTTCTGTAGATTTTGTCCTATGTTTCTAGAACTCTGATTAGCCAGTTACTGACTCATAATCTCTATTTTTTATCACATTTACTATCTTGTCAGTTTGTGCCATATTTTGACAGATTTCTTGGAGTTTTCCAGATCTCCATTTGTCATCCATAGTGTATTCATTCAGATTGTCCATTAAATTTCTTATTTAGATATTATGTTTTTCTATTTCCAATAATTCCTTTTTGTTCTCTGAACAATTTAAGAAAAACAGCACCTTGTTTTTGGTTATTGAATATGTTGTCTTCTTGAATCTCTTCTGAAATTAATTGAATTTTTAAACAATGTTATTTTATTTTTTGAATAATCTCTGTTCCCTATAAGGTAAATTGTTCCTCCTTCTTTGCTTTCATCATTTCCTTAAATGTTTAGTAATTCTTGGAATGTGTCTCTACTATATATTCTTAGGAGCTGACGAGTCCTAAAATTTAAGAGAATTTAAAATTTGGTTTTCATTTTAGTGACAATCTTTTAAAATATCAGTTGCACATTCTGAAGTACCTAATATGACAAACATGTAAGAACCCACATTTGCATTTGTGTTTACTATGGCATCCAAGTCTTGTGTTGGACAAATGACGTGAGAACCCAATGTATGGATGATGATTTGAACAGACAGACAAGTCTGGGGAGGATCGAATCCTTATACAGTGCCTGGGCTTGGGTTTGAAAAATGTGGCTTCATTGTTTTTCACTCATGGATAAAGTGACTACATAACTTATAACTCAAGCTAGGATATATTTGAGAGTGAAAGGAAAAATGTTAATTGTGTGGAGATTATAACATAAACTGGAGCAATCTGAGTCACCCAGGATAACTGGTTATCTAATATTTAAGGCTGAGCCACCTTACATTTTACAGTTTTCTTCTTGGCAGCTGTTGCAGAAGTCCAGAATTCTCTCCAGCTCTACTCTGCTTCTACCTCAGTGCCCAGCCCCAGTACAGGACCCCCATCTAGGCAGAATACTCCCCTTCTCTAGGGAGAAATTCTTCTGGCTTTAACCGGAAGGCAAAAGCCACTAAATTGTTAACTGATCTGCAGGCACGGGCGAGGGGTGTGGGGAACATTTGCCTCATTGGTTCAGCTGTTCCAAATGCAGTTCTTTTAATTAATTGCTCCATGGTTTCTCACTCCCCACCCTGCTACCTCTCCCTACCCCTCCAGCTTTGCATTTGTTGAGCTTGGAACTTGTCCAGGACTTCCTTGCAGCTTCCTCAGTTCTCATTTCACTGTCATTCTAGTGTCATGTGCTTTGTGTTGTCCAGGAATTCCTCCATTTCTAGGCTACGTTGCATTCTACTTTTCTGGAACAGTTTTCGTTTCATTATTTTCAAAGACATCTTTTCTATAATTTCTATAGGATCTTTGGAGGAAGGGAAGGCAGATATCTGTGCTCAGAACATCATCATGAACCAGAGCTCTTTGTTCTATAATTTTGAATTTGTCTCTGAATATGGATGTATCTGCTCTCCTGGGTGTATGCACTACCTCGAAGTAAACAGTAGGAAAGACCCATGCAGGAGACTCCCGCCTTATAGTCTGTCCTCCCCTTTCCTAAATAAATTCCTAACCCTATACTCTATGAGGAAGTCAATTCTCAGGAGACAACTTTCTTAATTAGAACTCCACTCACTTTTTAGTTAACTATCTTTTTAGCTCATACTTATCCTGTATTAAAGAAGGAATAGTTAAGTGGTTTAAAATAGAAGACTTTTTTCTTCTAATGTTCTTTGGGTATATCAGAAAACAGCCAGAATTTTTTTTTTAATTAAACATTTGTTGAGAAACTATTACAATGTTGGGCTGAGTAACAAAGGGAAGTATAACAAACTAATTTCTGTGCTCATTATGTTAATTACCCAATGGAGTTGCAAATATATGCAGGGAAAATTAGGGGAAAACAGAGATAAGGTAGATGTCAGTACCTAAGTGCCAGGTCAGAGGCCAGACCTTCAGAGTCATGAATTCACAGGTTGGGAACTCTAGGATTAGGGGCTCAGGGAAGCCTTCTTATGTCTGTAGGACATAATTTGTCCTTTGAAGAAAAAGTAGAATTTTGACTGGTGAATAAGAGAGGCCAAATAATTGAGGCAAAGAATATATTATGGCCAAGAGTATATTATGGCCAAGAGGCAGAGCCTGCTGTATTCAGTGTTTGGTGGGTGAGTCGGAAAGCCAAGTGCAGAGTGTCCATGTGGTAACAGTGCAGGAAGTGGTCAGTTAGCAAGAGAGCTGGGAGCTTAGGGAAGTTCTGGAATACCAGCCAAGATAGTTGAATTATAGACTTGCCAGGAGATTAGGAGAATAAATACATAATCAGAGTTCTCCTTAAGAGGCTACAATGTGTTTAAGAAGCGTTTGTGAATCCAAGTTGTGAAGGAGGAAGAAAGAATGATGGTGCAAAGACCAGATAGAAGATTATTAGTTAATTATATCTTTGGTATTTATTAAAAAGTTACCATTTTTTGTTATAAAGTTAACAGAAGTCTTTGGAAAATAAATTAGATGACAATATCACCAATTGTTTTACACCAAGGTGTACTTATTAATTGATAGGGTTTGGCTATGTGTCTCCACCCAAATCTTATCTTGTAGCTTCTATAATTCCCACATGTTGTGGGAGGGACCTGGTGGGCGATAACTGAATCATGGGGATGGGCCTTTCCCATGCTGTTCTCATGATAGTGAATAAGTCTCACAAGATCTGATGGTTTTAAAAACAGGAGTTTCCATGCACAAGCTCTCTCTCTTTTTGCCTGACACCATCCCCATAAAATGTGACTTGCTCCTCCTTGCCTTCTGCCGTGATTATGAGGCCTCCCCAGCCATGTGGAACTGTAAGCCCACTAAACCTCTTTCTTTTGTAAATTGCCCAGTCTTGAGTATGTCTTTATCAGCAGTGTAAAAACACACTAATACAGTAATAAACCAAAAATTTTAATGAATTTAAGGTTTAAAATAAGCCTTCTTAAAGTTTGTTCCAAAATTTTTTGTAATGCCTGGGCATCCTGAGACTAAGGAATATAGCTTTCTCATATCATACCCCATAGGGATTCCAAAGGAACTTATTATTTAAAGATGTGTGTGTGTGTGTATGTGTGTGTGTGTGCGCACACGCATGCATTTGGCCAAAATTCTGTAAAGATGGACCAGTGGGTATGAGCACCACATTTATTGTATGTTGTGGTGCCTAATTCATTAGAAAAACTACAGGCATTTGGCAGATGACAAGAAAATGGGTAAGACCCACATTTTAAAATAGATTTTAAAAGCATTTTTGTTTATGTTAATGATAGGGCCTAAGAAGAAATACAAGAACTCCATCATTATAAATAAAGTTCTTCTGGAAGCAACGAGACAATGAAGGTGATGGCACTGTCTCTGAAATTCAGTAGCATATCAGATTTGGGTTTGCAGAATTAGATTTATAAAAACTCCAGATAGATTGAGGTACTTTAGTTCCAGCCTCTCTGTGCATCTTTGTTGTGCCAATCACTTTGGGAATAACAAAGTAGTTAAAGATAGGGTCCTTGTGCTCTAAGAGCTTGCCATTGAGTAGGGGCATAGAAGCCAAATTTTGTTATAATCTCAGAGTGGAATATTCTTAGGTTGTTAGCATATACTAACAGAATGGTCAAATAAAGCAACTCACTTACCATATTTCTTTACTTCCATCTGGTGAGAAACACAGGCATCTTGTTGATTTTCTGAAGCATCTCTCCTGTTGTCCTCTGCCTTGATAGAGTCCTGCTTTGTATATTTTTGCAATCACAGCATTGGATTGATTCAGGCCTAAGGAGGTAGGTGAGTGACCTTAGGCTCACATCTTGCCAGATCTAAGGTAAATTTAGGTTCCTTGTTTGGACACTTTATGGATTTGTTGAGCAGTCAAGGTGGGTTCTCCAAAAACCCACTGGTAGCCACTACTGCATTGGCTGGGAAAGCAAAACGGCAGTGGCCAGTGGACACTGTATGAACTCTTAGGCTTTTTAAAACAGGACATTGTGTTCCCTTGTCTAGAACTTAGGGTATTTGATTGGCACTCAGAGAATCCATTCATTCATATATTTAACAAATATTCACTGGGCATTCCCATGTGCCAGGTACCAAGGACAGATAATGACCAAAGCTCAGTTATATCCACAAGTAACTTTCAGCAGATGCAAGAGGCAGACATGTTGTGTAGTGAATATATATTGTTTTTGTTTATCTACTATCTTTTTTTTTTGGTAATAAGATTCTCTTTCCTATGGAGAACTTCTCTTTTTCAATTCCAAGTGGCTTTGGGAAGGGTGGCAATCATAGTAGTTCACCTCTACTCCCCATGACACTGTGGTGGGGGACAGGTTACAGACTTCATCTCCATACCTGCGGCCACAGTGATTAGCCCAGGAATAAACCTGCAAACTGAAGCAAGCTCAATGAGAGTAGTTCCCTGGGGTTTACTGTGTGGCTGCTGGGAGAAGGCAGCTCCATTTCCTTGGAGGCTGTTGTGATGATTAAACCCAGTATCCTCAAAGTCAGACTGTCCTCTAGCACTCTCTTCCCCCTTCTAGTTTCTGCTGCATAGAGGATAAGAAGCAGAACCACTAGGTAGAGAAAAAGTGAAAGAGAATGAGGAGAAACCAAGAGAGAATGTAAACCGGCCACATACTTTGAGTCCAGCTTTGCCCTGGCCATTGCAGATACCTGAGCCAATAGATTACCTACTTTTCTTAGCTTGAGTTGCTTCTCCATCACACATAATCAAAAGGGTCTTAACGAACACATAGTATAACTATCACTGATTGGAGTTAACATAGCTGCTGGGGGATCCAACCCTCATCTGGTCTCATGGAGGTAAGGGAGGACTCACTGAAAGCAGTGATATCTAAGCTGAGGCCAAGTAGCTTTCCAGGAAAACCAGAGCTGGAGGAGTGGGGAGTGTGAAAGTTGAAGAGTTCCAGGTAAAAGGAACATCTCATGCAAATACCTGGAAATAAGAGATAAAATGGTACATTTGTGGTATTACAGGGACTCTGGGATGCCTGGAATGGATTGTGCACAGTCTAGCTAAATGGCATTGAACAATCACTAAAACACTGCCTGTTCTAGGTCCTCATGGGGCAGAGATAGGTGAGAAAGATGGTCTCCACCCACAAGGAACCTATGATTTCCCTAGGAATATTGTACACAAATATCTACGAAGTTAAACAACAACATACATTTACCTAAGATGATATACCAGATCACTGACTGTAAAGTGGACAGGAGCTACGAGAATTCAAAGAAGACAACCATCACTGATGATTCCAGAGAGGAGCAAGCACTGGGCTGGCCTGAGTAAAGCGCAGGGTGTGTATGGATGTGGGGTCCAGTGCAGAGCAGAGCTGGTTTGGGGACCAGTGAGGACAGCAGCTAAAAGCTCAGCAGGGTTAAGTTGGGGAATAGTAGAAAATAAGCTTGGAATGGTAGCTGGTGGAGGGCTTGGGCATCAAGAGACTGTGGACTTTATGCTGAAGGCAATCAAAACTAGCTTTTGAAGATCAGGCAGGATGAGGTATTCAGTGGGTCAGGGTAGGGATGACATGACAGCAGCATGCAGAGTGACCTGGGCCAACTGTAGTCAGGAGGCCAGTGGCAACTTGCTTATGGCCTGTGCCAGGGCAGTAGCAGGGACAGTAAGAAAGGATGGAAGGGAGACCCTTATGAAGACAAAAGAAGGGATGGACTTGAGTTCTGGGATGTGGAAAAGAAAGGAGAAGGATGAGCAGGGCTGCGCACCTGTCAGACAGCATAGCCTCTTGCTATCCCATGGAGATGGGCTCTGCCACAATGATCCCTGCACGCCACGCGGGGTGCTCCACCACACTCAGTCTCTGGGGAAATATGCAGCTGCTCCCACAGTGGCGGCAGCAGCCTTGCCGAAGGACAGGGATGGATGACAGAAGTGATTATGCAGTGATGCATAACAATTGAATTGCTATAGGTTACACCTCCTGTGTCAATCTGCAGAACCGGTTTGACTGAATTCAGTGAAAAGAACACCTGAATTCAGGAAGACAACACATTTTCTGAAGTGTCAGCATGACACCAAGGACCCTGCCTAAACGTTTCAACTTTCTTCCTTTCTTTTTTTTTTAAAAACAAAACAAAAACAAACAAACAAAAAACAGCTCTATTGTTACCCAGACAAATAAGAATAGTTTGGTAGCATGCCAGGCTACCGAGGCCAGCTCACTTGCTATCTTAACATAGGTCAGTTAGCTCCCCATAGACTTCCCCCTGTGTGTCAGTACAATAAGTGTGCACTGAGGGCCTATAAGTGCCTGGCAAGTGCTAGTGCTGGGGCTACTGAAATGGATACAATAGGATTCCAGCCTCAGGGTGCTGAAATCATTGGGGGCAAGTGTGCCTCGTGGGGGCAGAAAGTCCTAATTTCAAATCCCAATTCTGCCATTTACTAGTTGCAGGACTTCAATCTTGTTGACCTTCAACTTCCTCACCTGTAAAATGGGGATGATAGTACCTCGGGTGAAAAGAGATATTTATGTGTGAAGTGCTTAGCATGGTGAGTGGCACGTGTGTCTTCAATAAAATGATGCCTATTTATCATACAATGTGGGCGATGGCGTTCCTGAGGTATGTGCATGATGCTATGGAAACACAGAGGGGGCACAGTTAGCCCAACTTTAAGGGGTTCTAGAAAGGCTACCTGGAGAAGATGACACCTGAGTGGAGTATTGGCGGTGGATAAGGATGGAAATAGGAGAGAGGAATTCCAGGCAGAGGACAAGCGGCGCCTCCTGACAGAGGCAAGTTGCCACCTGCTGATTAGTTAAGGCTGTGTGGCTAGCCCAGGGCCCACCCGCCACCTGGCTGGAACGGCAACTTCTGAGTTGTGCCTTGCTGAGTGTGAGTCTGACTTTCACCCTGGGTTCCAGGACCTGCAGAACAATAGCCGGTGACGCTGGTTATGTTTCATCCAATCGTTTACAATCAGCCAGGGAAGCAGCTCTGCGCTGCCCCAAACAGTAAACTAGCCTGTGTCTGTCATTGCACTCATCCCACTGGACTCCTGAGGTCAAGGGGAAGCATGCAGAAATTGTTTAGGGAATGTCCTCCAGTTGCCTGACCTAGGTTTAAAAACCGGAAATAAGGCAATTAGTAAAATGTCCTAGTGCTCACAGATCATGGCTTTCTCTAGGCCCAGAAAGCAACTCCCTTCTTTTATGTATGTCTTGCTATTAATGCTCTGTAGATGGTTTCTTCGGGACCACATTGTTATGCCCAAGTTCTAGATGGGACAATTAAAGACGGACAGTCGGGTTATTTTAGTTGCCTTTGGAAACAGAATTTACAGTGCTTGCTTGTCATTTTCAATTTTCCCCTAATAGAGCCGTTTCCTCCTTTCACCTTGGAGGAAGCAGCGCCTTGGTGGTGGAAGGAGCCTCTCACTGGGCTGGCTTTTGCAGGGGCCATGGCGTCCCTCTGGATGAAAGGCTCAGCGGAACTCTAAGTCATTATCGTGATCAAGGACGAAGGAATCGTTTCCGCGTGTAAATGCAGATGCTCTCTTGGTTTCTGTGATAGATGTGTTCCCAGTGCCAGTGCAGCAGTGTGTTGAATTCTTTTTAAAATCTGAAAGACCTGCAGGCTCTTCTCTCCTTTTCGTAAATCCATTTCCCCGTTGAGATGAAAAATGTAATACTTTTCAGCTTACTTTAGACTTTCTTCAAAAGTATTTCTGGAAAAGGATCCTTCATGTGGAGCATATGAAAACTGTCAGAGGATAGGAGAAAGCGAGGTTTTAAAAACACACTAATGGATAGCCATTATGCCGTGGGGAGTTCCCCCGGAGAGCAGAAAAATACGAGCTGGGGAAGTCGGGGGTGGGAGTGAGTGGGGAGCGGAGCACAGAGCCTATGGGTTAACAGACGAACACAATTTAGAGACAGAAAAAACTGGGTATGTACGTTAGTCCCCTTATCTGTGGTTTCGCTTTTCACAGTTTCGGTTACCCGTGGTCAACTGAGTCTGAAAATAGGTGAGTACAGTACAGTAAGATATTTTGAGAGAGAGAAGGAGGGGAGAGAGAGAGAAAGAGAGAGAGAGGCAGAGAGAGAGAGAGAATGAACATTCACATGACTTAACAGCATATTGTCATAATTGTTCTATTTTATTAGTTATTGTTGTTAATTTTTCACTGTGCCTAATTTAGAAATCAAAATTTATCATAGGTGTGTATGTATAGGCGGGAACATAGTCTGCATGGGGTTCAGTACTACTCTCAGTTTCAGGTATCCACTGGGGATCTTGAAGCGCAACCTCTGCAGATAAGAGGTGACTACTGTAATAAGATGGGAAAACATTAATGGCCAAGATAAAGAACGCTGTCAAGGTTTCCCTTTCAGAGCGCTAGAAAACATCAGTTTTGTAGTCTGACAGATGGAGTTCAGACGCTGACTTTTGCATTTGCTAGCCATGACATTGGACAAGTTAGGTTTTGTGTGACTCAGTTTCCTTGCCCAAAAAAATGGCCATAAAAATGACTTCTTCATAGGGTTTTGAGCTAATTAAACGAAGTAATGTATGTAGAGTGTCCATCTTATTCTCTGGTATACAGTAAATGTTCAGTAAGTGCTAGCTTTTGTTATTATCATTATGGTTATTCTCACTGACATGAGGAAATAGGTAGCATCATAGATAGCTTTCAAGGAGGTGGCCAGTCTCAATTCCCATCCAAGTAAATATGTGCATGCCTTTCATTTAGCTGACTGGCACCCTTCTCTCTGGCTGGCAGCGGATTAGCACACTGAATCCCATCCCTGAGATGTCCTGGCACACATCCTGGGCCCCTCTGTGAAGTGTTTGCCATGGCCTCGAGCCCCTCAGGTTGAGTGCACTTGTCTGCAAAGGGCTGTGTTCTACAGCAACGTGGGACCCACGAAGGAAGCCTTATGATTCATTTTTCATCTCATCATTACTCGCCTTGCCTGTATGCCAAGGCTGGGAAGCAATGGGCCAGAGGTTTGTGCTCTGAGCAATTCTGAATCATGTGGAGAATATGAAGGAAAATGAGAAGTTTAAAAATACTCCATAGGAAAGAAATGGTAAGTAACATGGTTTCTTTTAAACTTTCCCAATTCAACTTCTAGAAAAGGTGTCATAAACCTCTGCAGGGGTGACTAAGAGCTGGGACAAAGGCAAGTCTGTTACAGATGTCCCCGTAACTCCAGGAGCAAATCTCTTTCTTCCCCTCCTAAATAACTCCAGAACATTACATGGCATTAACAAGTTTCCCAGGACAGGAACTTCTAGTTTATTACTTGCTCACATTGTCATCAGAAATTAATTTTGTCCCTGAAAGACAAATTGGCTGGTAGCTTACGAAGTTAAATGGAAAGAACAAGTGCGCATCTGTTTCTTCTGCATTTTGTCTCCTTGGTGTCTTACATATAAATGAATCAGAGTGTTCAAACTTAAATTAAGATCTTTGGCTAGATAAACAGTTAAAACTGGTTCCCATAGCTACCTCTCACACATAGCTGTGATTGCATTATAATCCCCTAGTAATCAGCTCTAAATGAAAGAAAGATGATAAGGGTGCTCTTTTCAGTTTTCAGTACTGATTTTTATTAGCTCTCAATCAGTCCGGGACTACTCTGTCTTTCATCACATTGTGGTAGTGTTTGTAGAATCATTAGAGTAATAAAGTGTAAATCTTACTGAGGTGCATTTTTCTTGAGGTGTTTTATATAACGAAAACTCTGAAGATTACACTGGCTGGTACAAGGAAGATTTGTTTCTGCGACGAAAGTAAGAATGTAATGTATGCTATATTCATTTAATCTTTACCAGAGTCAAAACCTAATGAATTATCTGGCCTAGGTAAAGCAACTGCCGCAGAAAGCTCTTGGACTTAACGCGGCCAAGTATTGCCCTAATAGAGATTTGCATGTATTTGGCTATTTCCTAATTTGGCTTGTTATCCTTCTTCAACACACTTCCAGTGTAAAACCCTCACATCTACAAATGCATTACCCACAAAACCGCAAGCTTTGCTATTCCCAGTGTGATTTCTCTAGCAAACGAGTGTAATCCAATAAAACATCATGTCCCACCAACATTGAAGTATTTATTGTGGAATAAATTTCAGTTTAAAAAAGCGTGCTTGCCCCTCTTCCTTCTCATATATCATAGAGTGACCAGTCCTCTCAGCTTCCTTTGTGCTGGGGATCACTAAGTGGGGAAAAGTGGCAGCTGGAGATAACAGCTCTCTGATGCTCCGCTGCATTTGTTCTGGATTTTTCTAGGCCTGTCCAAGAGATGGTAGCATGGAAAGGAACTTGCAGTGACTTTTCCAAAATGTGGGATTTTTCACAGATTTTACAGGTGTGCTACACATTTGCAATGAACAGAATACTTAATCCTGACGTGCTTTTCCCTTCCCGTAGGCTTTATTATAGCTGGAATATGTGACAAGGCATCATACCTATAAAAATGCCTGCTTGTTTTAAATGTTGGATTTTATGCATTTTATATTTATATTAGGATGAGAGTGTCCCTATATTTTAGTGACAGACATTTACGCTCATCCACAGGGTAAGAAACAATATAATGTAGCAGTATGTAGTCTCTGCAAGAGTTTATAGAAATGTGGTGGTTTTATATTTAATTTTAAGTTACTATTTTTTAAAGAAAGATTTTGCCTGAGATAATTATTACAGTTCCCATGCTCACATGGTGATAATGCGCACCTTTGCAACAAGCAGAGTATCTGAAAGATTCAGGTAGTCAGAGAGTCAGTTGGTGGCACTGTGAAGATTTTTGCCAGGTATCTTTTTGGTTTATACCACTATATGTAAAAATATGTGTAGGATTTGACCTGCAGATAGAATTTTTAGAGAGCAAGAGGAAGAAATCACTTGATTTGGGTGGATCAAAATCATAAAGGAAATTTTGTTTTCAGTGTTCTTTTTTAACCCTTATATAGCCTTGAAAGAGACTTCATATGTTATTTACTATTATATCCAAAAATATAAAAGCCTGAATACATGCATTGGCTCTCTCTCTCTTTCTTAAAGAAAGCAAATAAAATATTTTGCTGATGATGGCGCTTTTTGTATGTGTTTGCATGTTGGTACTTAAATGCAATATGTCTGGAAGATGTTGCTATTTCACACTACACGCACAAGAAAGAGTAAATTGTAGGTCCTGATTATCAACAGATAACAAGACATACTGTATATAAATAAATGCTCAGCATCAAAACCCATTATTGGATTAGCTATATAATCATGTCTCAGGCTGTAAGTCTGTGCTGACAAATGAACACTTTTCATTTGGCTCAAGGTCCTCATCAGCAACGGAACTAATTTTACATTCTCACCCATTAAGTGAATAAGATGTGGAAAAAGCTGTCTGCTTTTTGAAGTGTAAATTTGCTGCTACAGGCTGTGCAGACCAAAGCGCTTTTGAAGCAGGCAAATGAGATCATCTCTAGGGACATGTGAACCTCACAAAGTTTAGGTCATTTCTGTTGAAGGGACGGGGCGTGCGTCTGTGTGTTCACCAATGTTCATACGATGTAGGTAGCTGTGTACCTTGGGCTGTGTGGGTGTTCTTGGACGCAGATGATGAATAGTTTGTATAAACCTGGGAGAGAATTTGGAGCACTGTCTTCATGTTCTCTAGAAACCAAGGACCCAGAGAATCTGTGTGAAGCCTGAGATGGAACAGTCAGGGGTTGGCTTGTTTGACAGTCAGGATCTCAGCCCTCTGAGAAGAATGACCAACCCTGAGAAGGAGCAACAATGGCTCTGCACCTCAGTTGTTCTTGGTGACTTTAATTCCTCTCTACACTCATGACTGCACATTTAAATCTCTAGAGCACACCTCTCCTTGGAGTTCCAGATCCTTATATGCAACTGTCTACTTGGTATAACTACTTGGCTGGTTCATACATATCTCAAACTTAACATTACCCAAATAAAACCATGGTAGTCTACCCCAAAACATGTCTCTATCCCCCAGTTGCTTTTCATCTCCTCAATTACATCAACATCTTCCTCCTTGCTCAAGCCAGAAACTGAAGTGTTATTTTTGCTTCACCCCTTTCTGTCACCAGTGAAATACAGTCTATCAGCAGTCATGCTGGTTTTAGCAACAAAATATCTCCTGGGACACCTAGCCCAGGCCCACATCAACTCTCACCTAGGCAGCAGTGACCCTAGTCTCCCAGATCTTGCCTCTGCACCTCCACTCCAATCACCCCTTCTTCCCATTCATACTTAGCAGAGACTAATCTTAAAATGTGGGTTTTATGGGTTGACTTGTGTCCCCACCCCAAAATTATACGAAGTTGTAACCCCAGTACCTTAGAATGTGACCATATTTGGAAATAGGGTCATTGCAGATATAGTTAGTTAAGATGAAGTCATGCGGAATTTGGGCTCCTACCCAATATGACTGTTGTCCTTATAAAAAGAATGCCACTTGGAGAGAAAGAGCCTTGTACAGAGAAAAGATGTTGAGAAGGCACAGTTAAGCACCGTCTACAAGTAGTGCCAAAGATTGCCAGCCAACCACCGAAAGCTAGGAGAGGGACCTGCAACTGATCTTCCCTCAGAGCCTACAGGAGGAAATGACACAGCCAACACCTGGCTCTTGGACTTCTAGCCTCCAGAACGATGAGACAGTAAATTTCTGCTGTTTAAGTCACTCAGCCTGTGGTACTTTGTTATGGCCGCCCTAGCTAACTAATACAGTTGGAATCATGTCCCTTCACATCTTAAAGGCCCTGATGGCTTCTTGTTTCATTCAGATTCAAATTCAAATGCCTCCCATCATGACCTATAAAACTCTTCATGATCTGGTTAGTAAATTTCTGCTGTTTAAGTCACTCAGCCTGTGGTACTTTGTTATGGCCGCCCTAGCTAACTAATACAGTTGGAATCATGTCCCTTCACATCTTAAAGGCCCTGATGGCTTCTTGTTTCATTCAGATTCAAATTCAAATGCCTGCCATCATGACCTATAAAACTCTTCATGATCTGGTTCTGGCTGGCTTCTCCAGTTTCATCTCCCACTCATGCTTCTTTCCTCATCTTCAGCCACACTGGCAACTCTCTGTTCCTCAGTCACACTGCACTCTCCCTTTCCCAGCCCCTGCACACGCTGTGTCCTCTACTTGCAGTGCCCACCTCCTCCCTCACTCCCTTTGCGTGGCTAACACCTTATCCTTAGGGTCTTCATTTACACATCACCCTTCCCCATTCCTGCTGTTATGCTCTGCCTTGGCCTGATTTTTTTCTTATAATTATCATGATATGTGTTTCCTTTATATTCTCGTGTACTTTCTTCCTTTGATCTAGTCTCTGAGGTCCACAAGACACATCATTCTGGTTCATCAGTGTATCTCTTGTGCCTAATACAGTGCCTGGCACACACCGGATGTTCAGTAAACATGTGTTCAGGGGGTGAATGCATGGAAGGTGTCTAGGAAGCCCCCTTCCTCAAGTCTCATGGCTGCTGAATTTATTGTCACATAAGCCTTTATCTTTTTGGTTACTATTTGGAAAAAGATGAATTTTACATGGGAAGCATCCTTTGATTTCTCCTTAGGTTGGAAATGTCTGGATCACTTCACATCCTTAAGGTTTTATGTCTAGTATTGGAGGACTTAACCAAGAATCTAGGTGTAGTGATACCACAGGAAGAATGGGTGGAGTCAGGTCTTTGCCCATTAATCGCACCAAGATATTTGTGAAACTTCTCACATAAAAAATGTGGCCTCTTGGCAGGCCAAAGAGTACATTGCTGTATAGAAATACTCCCTGGACTCAGCTTTTGCCAAGTTGAAAAATAGGAAGTTGTGTGGGTGAGTGTGGGGGAGACTGCTAGCTGTCCACTAAAATCTGTTCTTTCTTCCTGGGCACACGATGAAATGATATATCCCAGCCCCCCTAGCAGTTAAGTGTGGTCACATGACTGAGTTCTCTCCAGTGGTTTGTGGGCAGAGGTGCTGGGTACTATTTTCAGGCCCAGCCCACTGAAAACCTCCCACACGCACTGCCCGTGATCTTTTCTCTCCAGTTGGTGGGGCTCTCAATGCCTAGGGCAACCTTAGAAACCATGGTTGAAAATGGAAAACCACCATCAGCCTGGGTGTCTGAAGACGATATGGAGAAAACCCTCCCTTCAGCCCTGAACTGACCAGGTGATCCTGCTGAGCACTTTATATTAAGCCACTGCAATTTCAGGGTCTATCTCTAAGTGCAGGTTAGTCAATCCTAACAGCATCATGACCTCTTCTTGAGGAAGATCACACTCATGAAAGGAGTGAAGCCATCAAACACCAAGTTGCTGATAATGCTGGCTAAAGGAGACAAGCTTGGGGAAGGAGGGGAGTGGACTGTTAGAACTGACTCAGGCAGGAATCTCTTCTCTCTCATGCACCACACAAAAAGGGTTTTGGAAAGAAACCATGTAAAAACTCATTTGTTTTAACACTCTGTGAGACAAGAGAGATTAAGGAAAAGATGACATCTGTAAGTATCTCACCATCTTCTACTACAGTCCCTGGATGCTGTGCCACTCTCGATTAGTCCTCTGTCTTTTCTGGCAGTGACCCCTCTTGAAACCATTGCAAAAGCTTTTAAGCCAACAATAGGGAGATAAAATTTGTGAGGTGAGCACTCAGGGCCTGGAAGGGGAAGAAAAGGGCAAACAAACTTTGAATGATATTCTGATAAGTTTGGTGTCTTCTGAGTGGTTATATCTGCCAGGAGGGTGGCAACTGTGGCTTATTGATCCTTGTATCTATATCCTTGTATCCAGTCCAGTGCTTGGTAGATCTTATGTGCTTAATGATTGTTTGAAAAATGAATTAATACATTATCTTATTTGAATGTCACAAAAACCTGCTGAGGAAATAAGACTTTATTGCAGACATTGTTGTTTGCCTAATAGGGTCAGAACAATTCCTGCTTCATTCTCCTCTTTCCAGTACATGGGAGACTACACTTTCAGTTGGGTAGGGTCACTCACTGGTTCTGTCCAAAGAAATATAAGGGAAAGTGACGTCTCCAGCTTCTCCCTCTGCTGCTGGAGTAAACCTGAGGCCTTGTGCTGATAGGATGGAGCCTCTGTGAGTCTGATCTTGAGTCACTCTGTGCAAAAAGAAAGAGCCCTTCACTGACTTGTGCTGGGCATGTAGTGCGGGCAAGAGATAAGTTTCTATTGGGTTAATCATCATGTATGTTATACTCCAGCATGGCCTAGCCTGTGCAAACTAACACACTTACCCAACGGCAACTTGCCCCTCTTCATTTCACATGCACAGAACTTCAAATTTTGCCAGCTCTTCTCTGGATGGCCATTGGCTCCAGGGGAAGCCAGGCCTCTCCCAGCCTCAGGGGTGAAATGTGGGTTGTCTCAGACAATCAGGATAATCTCGATCCACTCAGCCAGTGATGATTTTAGGGGTAGGCGTGTAAGCTGGTTCTGGCCAAGATGACACCTGGGGAATTCTGCTGGGGGACCTTTTGGGGAAATTTTTTCATACCCATAGACCAGGAGACAAGAATGCTTCCTTTTCGTGCCCAGGGGCATTATTTTGGGAAGACATGAGGCTTGGAGCTGCTACAACCGTCCTGTGGCCATAAGGGGAGATGCCAACACATAGAAGGTGGCAGACTAGGAAAAGACAAAATTCTCTTTAGATTTTTTAAGTTGAGTATTCTGTTCCTTTTACCTCAGAGCATCCAAATAGATTATCTCTACTTTATCAATGAGGAAAATGAAGTTGAGAGAGTATAAATGACCTGCCCAAAGCCTGTTGGCTTGTAAGTAGAAATCAGGTCTTCTAACTTGGAGTTTTCTTCTCTTTGAATTGTTCTAGGGACAGCAAGAGTTTTCTTTCATCTCCGAACAACTGACTGGGGGTGCCTGCTTGGAGAGTTGTGTTGGGAAGGGTTGTAAGACCACATCCAAAAAGAAAGAGGGTTTTGGTTGATTAACAAGTTCGTGGGCGTGAGGGAGGGCAGCAGTGTACTTTTCCTCATGACTGTAGTATGCCATGAGGCAGGTCTTTCTGGATTATCTTGACTGTGGGAGGGATGGTGTAATAGTTATCTACTACTGAGTAACAAATTTAGCAGCTTAAGAAAAACAGGTATTTACTATCTCACAGTCTCTGTGGGATGTGGAAATAGAGACATGGATTAGCTGAGTGCTTCTGTCTCAAAATTGGTTATGTGGTGGCAATCAATTTGGGGCTGGGGCTGCGTCCTTTTCTGTATCCTCAGCTGGGGGAAGGATCTGCTTCCATGCCCACTTGTGTGGTTATTGGTGGGATTCTGTTCCTCATGGACAGAGGGTTCTGTTCCTCTAGGACAAAGGGCCTCCGTGTTTCATTGGCTGTTCCTTAGGTTCTTGCCACCTGGGCCTCATCATGGGACAACTTACCCCGTGGCAGCTGCTTTCCTTGATGTGAGCCAGCAGGTCAGAGAAGGCATCCAGAAGAGAAGCCACAGCCTTTCTGCAGCCCAACCTCAGAAGGGCCATCCCATCACTTGTACGGTATTCTACCCCCAACAAGCAACAGATGAAAAAAACATGCAGTTACTTCTTCTGTTACCATTTCTGTCATTGTCATTGTTGGCTATTTTGCTTCAAAAATTGTGATTTATCTTCTTGAAGCTCAGTCTCTTTCTGTGCATTCAGCAATAGTATGAGGGCCTGCCTCGTGTCCCCTTTCCATGTCAGGGGCTTAAGCATGGAATAATGGTATTATTGCTTATTATAATTAGTAATTTTAGTTAATAATAACCAATAATTTAGAAAAGAGTGCCACAGGGCAGTGAGTGCCTGTGGTGTTGGCACGTTCCCTCTCACTCCTGTCCAATCCCTTTCACATCACATGTGTGTCTGTTCTGAAATCGAACATGACCAGTGGTCCCTTCGCTGACTCTCTGGCCTCCTTCCCTTGCAGGACATGGCTGGAGGCTGAGTTTCAATCTTTTCTGCCTCTGGGAATTTGCCTGAGAGAGGGCACAAGAAAGGAAAGGAGGAAGGAAGTCATCTGTGAGGGCAAGGTCCATTCTTTAACGTCCGGTGCTTCCTTAGGCACCAGGCACACAGTTTGGGGAGAAAAAGAAACTCTTTCAGGGACTCTGGATAAGAAAAAGAAGGAAGTAGAATGGGTTAATGTTAATCAAAGGGGCTGAAGAGTTGTGGGGCTTTTACTAGCCTGTCAGGGTGGATAAGATGAGGGGAAGAATACTGGACTTTCAATAAAGGGAGGCAGATTAAATTAATCATGACAGGAAAATGAGCAAGAAATGCTTTCACATTGTTATTTAATAAGAAAAATGTGTAATTAACTGATAAAAATAGTTTTTGCAAGAAGCAGGCAGTTAAATAGTTTATAAAGCCAGCCAGGCCCAATCCTCAGCATCCCTGACTGTTAGCAATCAGAATGCTTTTTATATGGTGTCTTTCTTTGGAAACGCACAAACCATCTCACCACAGACATTACCTCATTTGCTTCACAGCCTAATGAATGCTTTATGGCTGAGAAATGATGGAGGAAGCGAGTGAGACTGAAGAGATGAAGAAACTGAGGCACACAGAGAGAGACCCGGACGTGGCATTCCCAGCAGTACTCAGGTTTTCTTCTTCCTAACCTCCTGCCCTTTAATTGTGTTTTAGGCATTGACTAATGAATTTAAATGAAGCAATTACTCATGTCTTCCAAAAGCTGCATAGAGGAACCTGGGCTGTGTATTATGGCTGATATGATACTAGTCTTCCGAACGGGAGGTGGGGGTGGGAAGAGATCCTGGCATTTGCCATCTGGTAAGCCTGTCTTTAATCCTCAGTAAAGTAATGGAATGGAGATGAGGAAAAACATGTGTAAGAATCAAGAGCATAATGCCACCATGAGCAAGCAGCTGTCTGGGTTTTTAAAGAGCAAATTCCATGAGACAAATTTAATTGCATTTTTTAATAGAATTAAAAAAAATCCACAACATTAGTGGGTGAAGGAAATGAAATGGATGCATCCAGAAATCTCACTTGAAAGATGAATTCAACGGGGCTGGTTCTGAGCTGTCTCCTGTATTGAAAGCTGGCTGGAAGGCCACGTGAGCAGCCGGTGGGCGGCCGTGGAGTGACTGGGAGCTGGTGGCCAGCGGCATGCTTCTGGCAGGCTCTGAGATGGGCCGGCGTCTACAGAGCATCATTATTAATGACTTGCAGGAGGTGATGAGCAGAACATTAATTAAACATGCACATGTGGCCAAGTAGGAAATTGGCGGCGAAAACACCAGAGAGGCAGGCACATAATACCCAGGTGCTTGTTTTTCAGCTTTTGTGATCTGGCCTGTGAGACTTGACTTTGCCTCCCCTGCTCTCTCCCTGCTGTCTTGGGCTTGAACGAGATTTTTGCATGGTGCCACAGGAGAAGTGGCAGAGGAGGTGCCCTTTAGAGCAGGCTCACAAATCCCCTTGCCAAACACCAGGATGTGTACAAGTTGCACCTCTAGCCTGATGTGCTGAGAAAGGAAGCCTGCAAAAATTAATATTGATATTAGTAGAGTAATGAAGCAGCTGCAAAGCTGGTTCGCAAATGTCTTGCCCTGTTTTGTGGCATGTTTACATCTGCAAAAGGGAGAAGAAGCAAGAGAGATAGGGAAGTGGAGGCATCTCCTCTGAATCATCGTTAGGGGAGTCTGTTGGTCTAGCTCATCTTTCTCAGAGAAATCAGGATGGTTTGATTTCTGAATACATCCAGGCATTTGGAAATTAGGTGGCTGACCCCAAATCCTAAAAAATACCATGCTGTTGAAGTGAAGGTCGAGCATTATATAGTTTTCACATTCAATCAACATTTAGTTCTCTTCTTAGGAGATCATCCCTAATAACTCTATTCGTTTGGCTGGTTGCTTTGTCACAACTGGATCTTGGCACTGTCCCTATTGGAACTTATATTTATTTGAAAATTACTCTGCTGCCAAGGTAAAAAGAATAGCTCCAGGAGAATGCAGGCTCCTTGCTCTGCAATATCAAGTACTGTGTGTTCCAAGATGGTAGATTATCTTTTGTATTTTATTTAATTTGAGAGCCATTCGCCAAACTCTGTATAAACAAGGAGAAGTCAGTAATGGGGAAGGTGACACCGGCCAAACTTATGTCATTTTGAAATTGTACTGTGGCCAAGCAAGTGTTTAGGAAGAAGGATAAAGACACTACCCCCACCATGGCACCAAAAACAATAACACAACAATAATGTGATTTCCAGCATTCACTGGTTGCTATCAGGCATTATCTAAACTGTTCATACAACAATGCTATGGAGGTAAGTATTATCATTGTTCCTATTTTACAAATCAAAAAATTGATCATAATTGAGACAAAAGCTTCCAGAGTGCAGTGTAAATGTCAGAGATCGAAGCCTGAGTCTCAAGCCCATTGCTTCAGCATTGTGTCCATCACTCAACCTTGAACCAAGGTTACTTGGGTGGGAGATTTGATGCCTAGAATAATGGGTCTAGAGTCCAGGGCCAGACAGTGAAATGCCACTCTTTAATTATTTGTTTAATGTTTCTTTAGAGAAGTTGAGGTTGACTTGAGGGATGTGCAGAGATGATGGGATGGTGGTAGCGCTCTGCCTGCTTTCTACTCTTACAAACAATTCATCTCTGGTCCCAGACTTGCATAATCTATCTAGGAAGGCAAAAGTTCTGAGTTGCCTGGATCTACTCTCCTGAGAATGTACTTCAGTGACCCTCTGATGTTACTTAAGCATGCCTCCTTTTGAGTCTCACTTCCTACCTCTGAGAGTCTATCAAGCCATTCGTTCCAATGATACACTGCATGCTGCCTTAGAGGACTTCTGATGTGTTCAATGTTCTCCATATTATTTTACTTCCGGTAATTTTATTTTAGGTCTAAGTGTTAATTTAGCACCCTTTATAGATTGATGCCCCAAGTCACTACCTTGCTGGCCCTGCCAGAGCCACATCCACTAAGTCTTTGAGTGGGATGGCAGGAAGTAGGTATTATAGGATTGCACTGTGTGAACAAACAACTTCAGATCAGGGCAAAGAATCTGTCAATGAAGACAAAGCCACTTTTGGCCTTAAAGCTGATATTGGATATTTTAGATACCATGCCATGGGAAGGCAATCAGAGATTTTTGTCCCCAGTCCCCAGTTACAGATTTTATTTTGCAGTAATATCCCCATCCTACATATCTTCTAAAGTGTGACTTTGCACTTTGCTATTTGAGAGGAACCTAATATCCCTCCTTTGAATCTGGGTTGACCTTACGACTTGCTTAGACTCAATAGAATGAAGTGGAAGTGACACCACATGACTTCCAAGATTTGGTCAGAGAAGGCCATAAAGCTCCTCATAGATTCTCTCGAGACACTTTTTCTAGGAGAAGTCAATGTCATGTAACTGGTCCGGCTGCCCTGAGACCACCATGCAGGAGAGGCCAGGTGTAGGTGTTCTGGTCAGCAACCACAATGGAGCCCAGCCTTCTAGCTATCCTTAAGGTACCAGACATGTGAGTAAAGTCATCTTGAAACTACCTACCCTTATGCCAACTAAGTACCACTCAGTAACCTCAGTTGACTTCATGAGGAGCAGATGAATCACCCAGCTGAGCCCTGTTTGATTCCTGACCTGACAATTCATGAAATACAATAAAATGGTCATTGTTTTAAGTCAGTAAGTTCTAAGGTAGTTTGTTACACAGGATGGAGACTGGAATGTTTCTTACTACTCATATTTAATTCCATTCAAATCCTGTACATCACTTAAAACACAAAAATAAAACCAAAAATAGACATTTTATCCTGTATTAGGAAATAAGCTGACTTCGGCCTGCATCACCATTGCCCCCTTATTAACAAGCCCTTTAGTAAGGAATTGGGTTCATTTCATGCATGATTTCCTATCTTGCTTTCTAGTCAGTAGAACTGGCTTGGTGTGGAACCAATATTTTTACATGATCCATGACAACACTCATGAAAGTTCTTTATGCCCCATAGTACGGTCTATATGAATTAATCAGATTTTTTAAATGGCATAGGTAAAAATACCAGGCTCAGAGCCTAAAGATTCAATTGTTAGAAAACAGTTGGATTAGAGAATTATTTTCTGAGTTCAGGACTGTTTGGAGTTTCACCAAATTTGGATGACCACTGAAGGACAGCAGGCTTTGCAAATAAGGGTGCCAACTATGAGGGAGCCCATATGGAAATGACTCCTTCAGAATGCAGAGCATTTTAGTAGAAATATTTTTGTGAGTGGATTAGCATTTGTTTTTCCAATGCGGAATCTGTGGGGGATGATAGTTCTTTTCTGACTGAGAAGAAGGCCTTTTTACCTTCTCTCTCTGTGCCAAGGCTGCCTTCTCTGAAACTGTGATTAACATTGCATAAGAAGGGCTCTTAGGCAGAGTCCCACTTGCTCTTCAGCAGCAGCCTCTTCCTTTCCTGTTCTTTGGGCCCCATGTCTAAGCCATTCTTTTTCCATTCTCTCTCCCCTTCTCCCCCACCACACCTTTCCTTTTGCATCCATCCCCTTCTCCTGTGCATCCGCCTAATTTTTCTTTTTCCTGTCAACTCCCCTTCCATCTCCTGAGTAGGGGAGACACAGGAAAGGGAGCTCATGTGTGCAAGGCGATCGTCCTGCGGGGTGCTGTGCTAGAAGCTTTATAGATGTGATCAGGTTTTAGCGCCTGACAAACCTTTGAGCTAAGTAGTAGTATTCCTATTTTTTCAGATGAGGAAACTGAGTCCCAGAGGAATGAAGTAACTTGCTGAAGTTCACCCAGCACATGCTGGAGCTGGGTATGTTTCTAGAACTGTCTATTTAAAAAACCACCCTCTTTCCATTGGTGGCATGACTTGGGGTTTGGAGGAGAACCTCATTTACAGCACATAGTTATGTTTAAATGAACGGTTTAGTAAACCATAGAGTGTTCTTCCACACTAAGGATTTGATCAGTTCAATAAATCCTTTGTTGTCTGTATAAAGTCTAGAGTTAAACAAACAACACAGAGCACAATATCGAGGTTTTGTCAAGTTTCTGGTGAACATAACAGGCAAATATCTAAAAGCTTTCTTTAACAAGGTTTATTTCCATGTGAGAGAGCTGTGGGTTACACTGATGATGCAGGAGCTTAAGGAAGTGAGTATCTATCATAAGCTTAAAAAGTGTAGCATCAAAATGGCAGTAACCAGTAATAAGTGTCCAATACATACATATATACATATATATATATATATATATATTTTTTTTTTTGAGACAGAGTCTCACTCCGTCACCCAAATGGAGTGCCGTGGTGCGATCTCGGTTCATTGCAGCCTCGACCTCCCAGGTTCAAGCGATTCTCCCACCTCAGCCTACCAAGTAGCTGGGACTACAGGCACACACCACCATGCCCGGCTAATTTTTGTATTTCTAGTAGAGACAAGGTTTTGCCATGTTGGCCAGGCTGATCTCGAACTCTTGACCTCAAGCGAACCACCTGCCTCGGCCTCCCAAAGTGCTGGGATTACAGGCGTGAGCCACCACGCCCATCCCAGTAAGCATTTATTGAATAGATAAATGATTTTTTTTTTGTTTTTGGCTGGGGCATAGCTGATGTTTTAGTTTCTGCTGAATTTTGTGACTGTACATCCCACTGTGAGTGTGTGGTGGGGTGAGGTGGAAGCATGGAGGGCAAGGGTGGCTGTGGCTGCCTGGAGAATTGTAAAAGGCCAGGCCCTTACATGGGCAAACCATGGTATCATTCTGGACCTCGATTTTCTCATTTGCAAAGTAAAAGTTGGAGTGAGATGATCTTCTGGGTCGCTCCAGTTCTGTATGTGACCATCCAAAGTGTTACATGGAGACAGAGATATATTATTCAATGTGGAATCTGGGAAACTGGTAGCAAGAATGCTGAGTACAATCATACAGTAGGATTTTTTAATCCAAACATTATTTATCCAACACTAGTCAAAAATGCAATGAAAGGATTTAAAAAAATAAAGAGCAAACTGAGAAACTGCCAGACTATAAAACAAACGCTTTTCCTCTCTAGCTCTTACAGACTCATTCTACCATCTGGGGGATTTACAGGTGTTAAAATTGCCCCTGAAAGGAGCCTTTTTATTTCCTGGGGTGATGGAAATATATTGACAATTACGGGGGGAAATGAGGTTTTTTAATAAAACAATTAAAAGGGCTTAGTGTTTAAATGAAGGAGAATGTAATTTTCCTTTATTTTATCTATCATTAAATTGATATTACAAGCTATTATAAGAGTTTAGTCAAGGCTGATTTGCAAATATAATCCATACTTATGTGGATAGTCAGAGAAGAGGTGGGAAAAGCTCAGTTCCCGTGCACACACGTGTACACACACACACACACCCCTCAGGGGTTTGTTAATTTAAAAATTACGAACACTCAAATGGTGACCAAGGAGTGGCAGAATGTGGAATTAGGGGCATATGGGGAACTAAAGGAGCAATCTCTGTTTCCTCTAAGGAGGCTCTTCTTGATTTAGTGAGAATGCTGTACAATATTTCCTTTTTTTTTAGTTGTAAGTGCATGACTTAATTTGTAAGCACCAATATGTGACATCTGAATACATCTGAGCAGATTTGAGACTACTGTCAGAGGCGCCCTGGGCCTGTCACATGACTCTTGATTGCTCCATTCTCTTCCCAACTCTGTGCCCAGAGTTCTAACTACCATCACATTGGTAGTTAGAAATCGGCCAGGGTGGTAGTATTGACATCATGGAAATCAGCAAATGATACAAATCAGGGATCTAGTTGTGATTTAACTATAATTGTTAGTATATATTTATCAACACATCACTGATCACAGTGAAATAAAACTTACAATAAAATTAATGGGACATACTACATTTGTTATTGTTTGCAATAATAATTAAACATGAATGATTCATATCCATTTGTATGCAGAACCAGCTGCCCTTTACTGAGCCCCTACTGTGTGTCAGACCCTGTACCTGTTATACCTGTTATAGATTGTCTGTAGTCCTCAAGGCAGCCCTAAGAGGCCAGTGTTATTGTCTACATTTGACAGGTAAAGAAACAGAGACTCAAACTGAAAGTCAAAAAATTGCCTGTGGCCACACAGCTAGCTAATTGTTCAATCAGAACTAGAACCCAACACTCCCCACCTGCATTGAGTGAAAACAATGTTGCTGAGATCAGCTCATGAGGTTGCAGGGAGGGGATGATGCTCAGGGAAACTAAAAACCATCAATGCTTCTTGCAAGACTCAAGGATCTCAAAGTTTGGAGGCTGAGCTTCGCCTCATTTCTGCAGCAGGGCCTTCCTGTGAAGAGTGTCAGATAAGATGCCAGCATCCTAGGAGGCCTAGATTCCCAGCTACACTGGTAGTGAGTGCTTGTGAGTTTCCACAGTGCTGAGAAATAGTTCTGCTGGCTTAGCTCTGGTGAAAGATTTTCTTGCTGCCCTTGCCTTGATGTCTTTTTCAGAGGGGTTTTCCTGCAGACCCCCAAAGACTGGTTTTTCCTCTCCTTGAACTCTCTCTCTTCCTTTTCCCTTTCTTATTTGGCCATCTGTGCAGCCCATGTCTTAATCTGCCTGTTCAGTTCCTGCTTGCCCTCACTCTCTCTTACGTAACTTCGTTTGCTCCCAGTGACGTCTCAGCAGAACACTCCCTCTTCCCGTGTTCTGAACAGTCCCAAGGTTTTCCAGGGTAACAAGATAGAGAAAATTTTATAATAATTGACAACAGAGTTTCTTTAAGGGAAAAGAGTCTTTGGTTCCAAGAGATGACTGATGGGTGCTTGGGGAGAGGAGCCTGGACTGGCACCCAGGCCCCTGGGGCAAAGGCAGCTGCTGGGCATGATAAGTGGATGAATGGAATCTAGAAGTGAAGACAGGAAGTGGAGGGAGAGAGCAGAAACCTGCCTGGGGTGGTTCAGTAAAGTTTATAAAACTGAGCAAGAGCTGGGTGAAGGATATTTTCATTTGATTGCAGAAAAGGAAGAAAGTACCGGATTCCACACTGGGATTGATATGTGTGGGACAAAGGTAGCTGGTTCAGAAATTGGAGCTGAAAACCTTGAGAAGAGGTCCCTTGGAAGTGGCAGCAATCTGGAGGAGAGCTTTGGGTTTCCAAAGGCCACAGAATGGGTGGGAGGTAAGTTCTGGTCAATTTTCTTCATACCCACAAAGAGCTGGGGAGCCTCTGGCTGGCATCTGTGTTACCCTCAACAGCTACAGCTTCTCCAAACTAACTACCAGCCTGCTCTGGTCTTGACTGGCTCAAATATTCTCTTGCTTCTTCTCCCCACATGTCTACCTGGCCAGTGTGTGTAGGCGTAAGAGAACCAGCTGGTAGTATGAGGATGCTGGTTAGGAAAGATGGAGCACCAGACAGTGGAAGAGAGACAGGGTCCAAGAAAAGAGAGAATCAGTAAAGAAAGCAGAAGCTCCATTTCATAGCCCTCCCTCTACCATATGAAAGAAAGCAAAACAAATACATGTCCCAAGCCAAAACTGACACAAAAACTGATCCCCCCTGCCAAAAAAACCATCACCACAACAAGAAAACCCCACTTTCCGGTGGTAAGGTAAAGGGAGAACAGGCAACAACAGCAAAGTGTGGGTGACCTCGTTGCACGTGGCACAAACGATGAGCTAAGATGGAGTTTTAGGCCAAGACAGCAGAAGGTGGCCACAGGGATATTTCATGCCTTATTCAGTGTTCACAGGTACACCTAGTGAGAACCCATGTCTTAAATTCTGTCCCTGAGTGTGAAGTTGAAGCAGAAGGCCCATTAAAAAGGGCCTTTAGGAGTGCTGTGGAGAGTTGATAAAGGTGTGAGAATCCTGCAATGGCTGACATCACAAAGAGAGAACTTGAGATCCCCTTTCAAGTCCTGGCTGAGGGTTTTGACTGGAAAAGCTGGTTTTAAACACTGACATTATGAATGCTTGGGATGTGAGTAAAACACCTGAAATTCTTCAGCCAGTTGTGAATAGAGGAATAGTCCCATTTTTTAATGGCTTGACTTAGTCACTGAAGGTGATTTCCTAAACCCCAGAAAATTGTTACAAACCATCAGACTGTGGGTGCCACAGCCCTTAGTCAGTAAAATAGCCCCACATGGTGGGAAAACATTCCAATCTCTCTCCAAAATGGGAATAAAGGCATTCAACAAAATTACTCGGACTTTAAAAACACAATACCATTTCTCACTTTGCGTTAGTGTAGTAACAAATTCTAATGGAGGTAATTCTCAAGTATGCAATTGTATAAACTTGCCTTCTGAATGGAAAGATTGGAATTTAGGCAGCTGACCCCTGGCGTGATGTTTATGATCAGATCCAAGACAGGGCTGTCTGCCTGTCATGTCCCAGTCGGTACCACCCTGCCCAGCATCTATGTTTGCTAAGGGTGTACATATACAGCAAGATCTGAATCAATGAAAACATATCCCATGTCTTTATGGAGTGACCCAGAAAGAATAGCGTTTATACTGACCAAGAATACGGTTCACAGAAGTTTAAGGAGATTTATTGGGCTGCCATTTACTAGCTGTAAAATCAGGATTGTGATAGTCTCTACCTCATAGAGTTGTTGGGAGAATCAAATATGATCACTGTCATAAAACTTTAGGCTAGAGCCTGACACTCAGCAAGTATACAGTATACACATAGGAAATGGTACTAGAACTTTTGTTAATACGTGATGGGAAGTTTCTATGGTGTGGAAAATTTTTAAATGAATGAAACACAGTCCTTTCTTTAAGAATCTCACTGAAGAGGGAGTAGAAGAAGACAGGTCAGTGGATAATTATGATATACAGGTCATAGTAAATACAATGTATAATAATAGGAGTAAATATTGAGTATTGCTTTAGGAGACGTGTCAGTGCTCTGACATAGGGAATCATTAAGGGTGAAAGGGCCATCTACTTGCATGAAGCCTGTAAATGTGAAAGACTAGGTCCTAGCAAGGCCAGCATTGCCATTCTGCTGTCCTAATGATGGATGGGGATTCGTGAGCAATTGAATTGAGCCACTGCCATTACTATTGATTTTTGGGATAGACTTCTCCATCAGAGCCAGTAGGCCACAGTCTGGGTCAGTGGCCAGACTGACATAAGTTTATGACCTTTCATAGGCTTCCCATGTGTCTCACCACACACCCATCTGCCCGGGGCCTAGGATCAAGCTGGCGGTAAAGGACTTGAGAAAATGAGGCTTGAATTAAGTGACCTCAGATCTAAACCAAATGTGGCTGGAACCTCTTTCTTGTTTTGAGAAGGATTTTTTGTTGTTGTTGTTGTTGTTATCAGAGCTTTGGAAGCAGTTTAATGAAGGGCGTAGATGTGGAAATGAGATGCATGTAGGTTTCAATAGTAGCTCCTATTGCCTTGCTCTTTGACCTTAAGAAAGTTTCTTACCCACTTTGAATCTCAGTTCGTTGTCTACCAAACAGGGAAAATGAAACCTACCTTATTAGGATTTGGGGGTTTTGTTGTTCATAACAGCTTCTTCAAGATATAATTTACATACTATATAACATTTCACCCTTTTAAAGTGATTTCAGTCAGTGATTTTTTAGTATATTTAGAGTCATGCAACAATTGCCACTATCTAATTCCAGAATATTTTCATCACCCCCATAAGAAACTCATACCCATTAATAGTCACTCTCCATTCCTCCTTTCCCCTATCCCTCCCAGCAACCACTTATTTCAGTTTCTCTGGATTTGTCTATGCTAGACATTTCATGTAAAAGAAACCATACAGTATGTGGTTTTTGTGACTGGCTTCTTTTACTTAACATAATGTTTTTAAGATTCATCCAATCTTTTACATGTATCAGTACTTCATTCCTTTTTATTGCTGAGTAATATTTCATTGTATGAATATACCATATTTTGTTTATCTATTCATCAGTGTATGGACATTTGGGTTTTCTTTGGCAATTATGGATAATGCTGCCATGAACATTTGTATACAAGCTTTTGTATTGAATTATCTATCTTCAAATCTCTTGGGTATATGCCTAAAAGTGGAATTGCTGGAACTGAAGGTAATTGTATGTTTAACTTTTTGAGAACCTATCTAATTATTTTCCAAAGCAGTTGTACCATTTATAGTCCCGCCAACAATAAATAAGAGTTTCCATTTCTTCACATCCTTGACAAAATTTGTTGTATTCTGTCCTTTTGATTTTAGCCATCTTGGTGTGAAGTGGTATCACATTATGATTTTTATTTGCATTTCTTTAACAACAAATGATATTGAAGATCTTTTGCGTGCTTATTGGCCATTTGTATATTTTCTTTGGAGAAATGTCTATTAAAATTCTTTGCTAATTTTTAATTGGGTTGTCTTTCTATTGTTGAGTTATAAGAATTATTTATATTCTGGATACAATTTCCTCATCAAATATATGATTTGCAAGTATTTCCTCCTATTTTATGGGTTCTCTTCACTTTCCTAATGGTGTCCTCTGTTGCCCAAAATTTCAAAATTTTGTTGAAGTTCAATTTTTCTGTTTTTTCCTTTTGTAGCTTGTACTTTTTGTGCCCTGTATAAGAAACCATTGCCTAGCCCAAGATTATAAAGATTCAGTCCTATGTTTTTCTCTAAGAGTTTCATAGTTTGATTCTTACATTTAGGTCTATAATCCATTTTGAATTTTTGTATATGGTGTGAGGAAGGGGTCTACCTTTATTATTTTGTACATATATGGATATGTCATTGTCCTGGCATCATTTGTTAAAAAGAATATTCTTTCCCTATTTAGTTATCTTGGTGTCCTTCATTAGGTTTGTAGTAATATATGATATGATCTATGTAAATTTCCTGGTATATGATAAGTTTCAATACATGGTAACTATTATTTTATTACAGTCAGCTTAAGATCTATTTAAGGTTTGCAAACAATAATAGCAATAGCAGGAGCTAACATTTTATTGAGTACTGCCTATTCACCTGGCATTTTCCTTCAACAAACTCAATCATGAGATCAGTACTATTTTAATCTCTTTTATTCAGATGAGGAAATTTGAACTTAGAGTGGCCAAAGAACTGATTCAAAGTCACACAAGTAGCAAGCCACAAAGTGGATAATTTAATTCAGACAGTCCTTGGTTGTGATGGAAATGAATCTCATGAGATATGAGTAAGAGGCTTGTTAGAATGAGAGAAACACAATGACGTGTCGAGTGACTAACACAGTTAACATGACTACTGCTAACAAGCAGTAGAAGGTGGCTAACAGCTAGATCATGTGGGTTTGAATCTTGGCTCAGCCACTTACAAGCTGTATGACCTTGGGCAGCTCAATTTGTTCAATATATAATGGGGCTACTTGGACTTCTTTTTGCATGGGCTTGCTGTGAGGCATCAGTGAGTTAATATGGGTAAAGCACTTAGAACAGTTCCTGGTAACATAGGAAGTGCTTAAAAATTGTCAGCTGTGACACTGATGCAGAGCTCTAAATCTGAGCCCAAGCTTGTGTTCCAGAATTTTTCCTACTCAGGGCTGGCTCCATAAGTGTCCAAACTATGCAACTGTATAGGACTCTGTGCTCAGAAGGGCCTTGGACTTGGTTTAATGTTCTGTTGTTAACATCTTGAACTTCTTAATTATTTTTGAACAAGGAGTTATTTTCATTTTGCACTGGGGCCCACAAATTATGCAGCCAGTCCTGGGCAGGGTGTAGGCCTGGCCAGACGAGTTCCCTCCTCCTAGTGATGCCTAGCACAACCCACGCAAGTTGTCTCTTCACAAACACTGTAGAACCTCCTTGGCTGCCCTGAGCTCCAGTGGATCTCAACATGGAGGATAGTGCTGTTAGGTTTAAGTTTCATGTCATCGAAGCCCACGCACATCTACTTGACATTCCTGGTTTATTACCCAAAAGTAAATGAAATGCATCGTGGGCCCCGAATCTTGCCTCTATTATTGGACTGAAAACCTCCATTGACTTCAGCTGGCAGCCGGCACCACTAATTGAGGACAGAGTTTGGCCCCGCGGGTTTTATATAGAAGATTTTTCTTTATTTCTTGTTTTCATGGTTGTGTGTTGTGGGCTGGGGATTATTTTTATGTTTTTCCACTTCCTGATTAGTTTTAGGACTTGTTTATTTGGAGACTGCTTTAATAAATTTGCACAGCAGGGTGAGTTATTAACAGAGTTGGTGTATTTAACCAGGAACTGCCTTCATTTCAGTTTGGTGTTTGGTGTTTGTTGTTTAACTTCAGTCACTTTGTTTCAGTACCAAACCTCTGCCAAAGATCACCTATCCTTGATCTACACACACCTTGGTGGTTTAACATAAGGGCAGAGCTCTGCTCCCCCAAGGCCCTGTACAGCTCACCACCACAGTGCATCCCCATTGCACTTCTAAAGTGTACTTGAGTTCAGATAATATTTTCTTATCTGCTTACCCCTCTAGGCTGTGGAGCCCAAGGTGGGGGGGTCTTGGTCATTGGTGGAGTTTCTGCGCATCGTACAGCTCCTGTTACAAAACCCTTCATTCGAGAAATATTTCCTGAGCATCTATTGTGTGCCAAATGCAGATGCAGATGTGACACAAGCAAGACAAATGGTCTCTGCTCTCAAGGGGCTTACATTCTATGGGTGAAACACAGGTACAGATAGGCAAAGGATTGTAGCAATAATTGTAGAGTGAGATTGTTATTAAAAATAAAAGTAAATAATAGAATACAGGGATACAGTGGTTTGTGGTGTGTGTGTGTGTGTGTGTGTGTGTGTGTGTGTGTGTGTGTGTGGTGGTGGTGGTGAAGGAAGGGCTCCCAGAGGAGATGACTGCTGAGTGGAGACCTGAGGCAAGAGGGAACCAGACATATGCAAATTGGCACTGCAGGCCCAGGGTGCAGCTGATGCAAAGGCCCCAGAGCTACGCTGGCTTGGCTTTGAGGAGCAGAAGGGAGGTAGGAACACAGTGAGCATGAGGAGAGTGTTCAGAGATGACCCTGGCCCTGGTAAGGAATTAGGTTTATTCCAAGGGCAATGAAAACCTTAGGGAGAAATGCTGCATTTTCAAAGAGCACTACGGCTGCTTTGTGGAAAAGGAGCTGTAGGTGGGGTGGGCAAGTTTGGGAGCAGGAAGATCAGGAAGGGGCTTTTGTGGTAATCTGTTGAACTGACTGGATTATTTCCAGAAAGAAACTGGGGCTTTCCTTGCTGAGGCTGGTAGTAGAAAGCGGAAGTGGAGTAGCAGATCAGGGTTCACAGCGTGTGGCTGAGAGCCAGGGTGACATTCCTCTGGACATTCTTCTGGACTGAATCCTTGCATCATCTACATTTAAAATGAACCTCAGAAGCCCTGGCCCTGTGATGCTGATGCTATTGAGGTTGAATTCTCAGGGAGTGAAGAAAGGGCTTGGCTGAGAACAGAGAGGGAGGAGTCCCACATCAAGGGATGACTTCACTAAGGAGGGAAACTGGAGAGAGGTGGGCATTTCCAGGCAGAACAACAGCGTGGCGGAGAGTGAGGGAGCTGACGGCAGGAGTGATAGCTGGTTTAATAGAGGGTGCGTTGCGGCGCTATCAGCAGTGTGGAGTGGGATGGCGAGGCTGCATGCTGGAACTTATTTAAAGAGGCTATTGTAAAAGTCTCTGAGCCAGTTAATTACCAGTTTTTGTTATGTCAGGAACTCCTTGAGTTAAAGCAGAAAGAAACCATTCACAAGTATGTTCCAGTTCTGTAGTTTAATGGGACATATAAAAAAAAATAAAAAACTGATATAATGATTTAGTTCATGGAAGGATTGAAAACCATCACAAGAAAAGCTGAAATTACATATTGTGTTCCATCTCCTCCTACAGAAGCCATTGAAATGGCTGCAGACTTAATTGGACTAATGACCCATTGCTGTTATGCACAACACTCTGTTATTCACAGAAAATTGACAAAGCCGTGGAAACGGTCCACAAATATGAACCCAGGTGAGCACAAAGACCCAGATGGGCTTTCTGAAGCACGTGTCCAAAGGTAAAAAGGAAAAAAAAGATGGAAGCAATGTGTACACACAGCTGGGAAGCCTTCTATGACTAGGTTCCAATCTTGTGGCCCAAGACCTGAGTGGAAAACAAATTAAAAAAAAAAAAAGAAATCCATATTTTCAACCTAAGACAAATTTTTGAAGGGTTGGGAGGTGCAGGTTCAGGATGAAGGGAAAGAGGAGGATTTTTAAAATGTGTATAACCTAAATTTATCAGGTAACAAGTGTAATTGTATAAAATGAACACTTGAGATAAGAGGAGGCAGACTGTGAATATCTTCTTCATGTCTAGTTTTATTTCTTGCTCACCTATTCTGGTTAACTCATGTCTCTGTTTGGGAATGCATCAAATCCCAAAAGTAGATCTCTGCAATGGTGGTTGGAGAAGACACATATTCATGGAATTTGCCTCCAGATTTTACTCACTGTTGTCACTGGAGTTAAATGGATTTAGCTTCTGGCCCTGGTTCTGGCACTTACAGGGGTGTGATATTGGACCGTTTCTACTATCTTCTCATCTATCCAATAGAGACAATGTCCCCTCCCCATGGATGGGCCCGGTACTAGGTGATGGGTGGCCCTGGAAGGATATGGAGGGTGCTGAGTAGGTTGCCTGCTGGAGGACCCTTGTGGGAACAGCTCGGCAGTCTGAGGCCACCTCTGCCAGCTGTCTCACAGAGCTCCTGGAGCAGCCCCTTTCAGCCAGCAGGCATGGTCCTGCCCCCACCTGAGACAGTTGGATTCTCAGCAAAATATACTTTATATTTTAATCTTGGTGGTTATATGAAAGAAAAACTGATAGGGGCTAAAGAGGAACAAGGGGATTTTAAATTAGCTTCCCAAAGAAGAGCTGGGTCTTGCTTTATTTTGTTGTTGTGAATCAGAGCGTCTTCTCTGAGGGGCCATCTGGGGGCCTGGGGAAGGTCTTTGCAATTTGCAATGAAAGGGTGAAAGTGCCATTAATAACTAGGCCTTCCAGGGAGTAAACAGAATGTCAGTGACAACTGCAGAGGATACTAAATGTGTCCGCCCTGGTGAAATGGAGAAGCAGCCCATAGGGTCCAGTTGAGGAGGATTGGGGGTAGAAAAGGGCATGAGACTCAATGGGAGAAAAGACAAAAGAGAAAGATGTGCCTGGGCAGAGGGGACTGAAGGCTAAGATGTAGAACCGTGAAAGCACTGTGCAGCCTATGGGGCCACTTCAGGGTGATGCCCGTCACCATGAGGCTCACTTTGTCCGCATGATTTGGTGATCTGACTGCAGAAGCATGCTTGGAGGGGTCACTTGCTCAGCCCTTGACCAGGAACTTAACTGAAAAAGTAGCAACTTTGTGATGACTGCAAATTCCAAAGAGAAAGAAAATGAGTGGAAATGCTTCAACAGGGAACGTAGAACTCTTGCTACAAATTTGACGCGTGTGGTAACCTGAGTAATGGTCCCCAGACACATTAACTTCTAATCTCTGGAATCTTATATGGTAAAAGAGGCTTTGCAGATGTGTTTAAGTCAGGGATCTTGAGATGGGGGAGATTGTCTTGAGTGATCAGGTAGGTTCTAAATGAAATCACGAGTGTGGCAGAGATTTGACTACAGAAGAGGAAGAAGGCCGTGTGATGATGATACAGGGAAAAAAGGTAACCCCTCACTATACAAGAATAAGTTTGTGTTGTTTTAAGCCACCAAGTTGGTGGTAATTTGTTACAACAGCCAGGGGAAACTAATATAGAATAATGTGTGACTTTGGCCTCACTAAGCCTCGGTCCCCCCAACTGTAGCATGGAGGTATTACTACTAATCCTTTCCCTCTCATGGGTTTGCTCTGAGGTTCAAATGAAACAATTTATGGGAGTGCTTGCTATTAATTATAATGCACTATATACATGTGAGTTAACAATGTTCTTGAAGGACACTCATGATGGTCGCTCTTTTTAACAATATGAATCCTGAGCAATGAGGGGATCAGTGAAAGTTAGAGGTGCTCCAGGATAGGGCAGATGACAGTGATGGTAGAGGGAGAGGAGAAAGAGATGGGAAGAGGGTAGACACTGGGGCTGAGGTACAGCCTTGCCACAGGATGCCCAGGGCCCAAGCCTGGCTGAGGGGAAGGTTTCCCAAGGTTTAACCTGGCACAGCAGCCAGGCTATGGCTTCAGATGTCTCCAGAGGAGTTCACCAGTCCTCAGGAGCCCAAGATTCTGTGTTGCTTGGAAAAAAAAAAAGGGGGTAAAAAGGAATCAGTGATCAGGGAGGTATTTTCTTAATTGGGGGCAGGGACAGGCAAAGCTTCCTTGATTAAAAGAGGCATCTTGAACTTCTGGCCCCCAGAATGGTCAGATAATGACTTTGTTCTCCACCCACCCCCCCCACCAAAAAAAGGAATTGCTGCTAGAGCACATTTGAAGACCTTGCAGAGCTGACCTGGGATACTGAGGTAGTTTCTTTCTTTCTTTTTTTTTTTTTATTTAATTTAAAGTTTCAGGATATATGTGCAGGACATGCAGGTTTGTTACATAGGTAAACGTGTGCCATGGTGGTTTGCTGCATCTATCAAGCCATCACCTAGGTATTAAGCCCAGCATGCATTAGCTATTTACCCTGATGCTCTCCCTCCCCCGCCCCCTGATAGGCCCTGGTGTGTGTTGTTCCCCTCCCTGTGTCCATGTGTTTTCATTATTCAGCTCCCACTTAAGCGTGAGAGCATGCAGTGTTTGGCTTTCTATTCCTGTGTTAGTTTTTAACTACTTCAGTTTTTAGGGGTCCTTGTCTATCCAAGACTTAGGCCTAACATTAATGATTGTGTTTATTATAACATAAACTCAGAGGGTTATTCCACTGGATATCTTGAAGTCACCCTATTACTATATGCCTTGTCAGTAACTTAAGTGAAATATGATGTTTTCTTTATTTATAGTTTAAACCCAGCCAGTACCCAGGAAGGTTTCATAACAGCTAGAATAACTCAAATATCATGTATAAGGCCTTGATTTCCCTTAGGATACTTTGTAGCTCTTCACAATATATTCTCCAACAATCCTGTGAAGTAGGTGGTTCATAACTTTCACTCCCGTTTTCTCTAATAAGTGACTAGTAGGGCTTTATAGGATGTTTGCTTTAATGAATGGCTGAGATCTTCAGGTCCTCTGTGTCCCAGTTAGCACTGCGACTTGGCTGTCTGATATGTAGGGTCATTGTCATCCCTGCATTTCATGCACAATCACAGGTCCTCTTCAGTAACCACTTTCTCAAATGGGCAATAATCCAATCCAAAAATGATCATGGTTTCACTGTGTCTTAAATGAGCAGGTTCTCATCTAAATTAAGGTTATCTATGGCAACAGAGAAAAAGGCAGGCACCACCGGCACAGAACTAGGTGATGGATGAATGAAGTGAGGGATTGGTTTTCCAGGGTTTGTCAGTTGTCTTGACAACAGTGTTTTACAGATGTGTGCATACAGATCTGCATGATTTAAAGCAATGAAGTCATTTTTGTATTTTCTCTTTTCATTCTGCATTTCCAGGAAAGGTTCTGTCAGTAGGCTCAGCTTATAGCCATAGGGGACTAACTATCAGATGTAGTTTCACTACTGTCTGGACTTGCTTCTGAGCTGCTTCAGAGAGAATGAGGTCCACACTTGCTGGCTCCATTTCTTCACCTCTCCTTCACGCCTCACTCCACCAGCTGCTCCTGAATCCACTAATGAAGTGGATTAATTGCCAAATCTGATAGACAATGTTTGGTCCTTACCTGATCTGACCTTTCTGAGGACTCTGACTCTGCCCGCCATGCATTTCCTTTTTCAGACTGTTTCTCTGTTGACTACCAGGACAGTGGTGTGCATTTTTGCCTATTTACCTCCTCCCTGCTGGGCCTCCTCTCTGTCCAACATTGTCCTCCCAGGGCTCTGAGCTCAACCCTTCTCTCTCCTCCCTCTGTACTCTCTCTCTGCAACTCACAAGCACAACAAGGTTTCAAACACCCGGGACCTGTGAATCTTTACCTCTAGCATGGCTCGCCCAGATGGGTTTCTCAACTGTCTGACCCTACCCCAGCCACTTACTCCTGTGCCCTTCCATTACCAACCCTGGCAGCTGTTCTATACTCTCAAATTACTGCCCCACTCTTGGCCCCCAGCTCCTATCTTTCCAGCTCATTCTTTTTTTTTTTTTTTTTTTTTCTTGAGATGGAATCTTGCTCTGTTGCCAGGCTGGAGTGCAATGGCCTGATCTTGGCTCACTGCAACCTCCGCCTCCCGGGTTCGAGTGCTTCCCCTGCTTCAGCCTCCTGAGTAGCTGGGACTATGGACATGTGCCACCATGCCTGGCTAATTTTTTTGTATTTTAGTAGAGACAGGGTATCACCATGTTGGCCAGGATGGTCTCGATCTCCTGACCTCATGATCCACCTGCCTCGGCCTCCCAAAGTGTGGGGATTACAAGCATGAGCCACTGCGCCTGGCCTCCAGCTCATTCTCTTTAGTACCCATGCTGAATGATGCCCTTGGCCACGAGGACCATACTCGATTGGTATTTCCACTTTTTCCCTGTCCCTCACCCCTTTGCTGTCCCCATTCTTCTTACTGAGCTTAAATCTCAGGCTCAATCCTCATAATCACATCCTGCTATATCTTGTTGACCCCCCTTGCCCCTTTCTCATTTCCTCAAACTTATTTAGTGAAACCACAATCTTGGTTAAATCCAACTCGCTTCTTCCCGCATCCGTGCAGCTGAATATGACTAGAGAAAAACACAGCCACACGGACTGGTCTCACTTTAAATTCATGACCATGAACCCTAAGTGGGTCCTTAATGCTGCCAGGCAATCATTCTGTTAGTTTCTGGTCCTTTCATTCTCCCAGTTAACTAATTTCCTCTCCCCATACCCACTCTCAGCTAATGACCCTGCTTCGTACTTCACTGAGAAAACTGAAGCAGGCAGAAGAGAAAGTCCACAGACTCCTGCCCTACTTCCCCCTACCTACTACCATCTGTACCCACAGACTCCACCTTGCAGCCTGTTTTTACAGATGATCTGTCTGTGCTCCCTTCTAAAGCCAGTCCGTCTGCCTGTGCAGTATGCCATGCCTCCCTCTTCTACTCAAGGATATTGCTACAGCACTGTATTAGTCAGGGTTCTCTAGAGGGACAGAACTAATAGCATATATGTGTGTATATATATATACACACACACACACATATATACAGACACACATATATATGTATATATATGGGAATTTATTAAGTAGTAACTTACACGATCACAATGTCCCACAATATATTTTCTGCAAGCTGAAGAGCAAGGAGAGCCAATTCGAGTCCCAAAACTGAAGAACTTGGAGTCCGATGTTCTACGGCAGGAAGCATCCAGCACAGGAGAAAGATGTAGGCTGGGAGGCTAGGCCTGTCTCTCCTTTTCACATGTTTCTGCCTGCTTTATATTCACTGGCAGCTTATTAGATTTTGCCCACCAGATTAAGGGTGGATCTGCCTTCCCCAGCCCACTGACTCAAATGTTAAATCTCTTTTGGCAACACCCTCACAGACACACCCAGGATCCATACTTTGTATCATTCAATGCAATCACATTGACACTCAGTATTAACCATCACAAGCACCTCTCCCTTCTGACATTTGCAATGTCTTACTCTCTACTGCAGCATTCCTGTCACCTCAGCTCCCTTGCCCTCAGAGTAAAAGCCAAAGTCCTCACAGTGGCCTATATGGCCCTTCGCAATCCAACTGCCCCATAGGCTCTCTCTGACCTCACCTCCTGATTCTCTCTCCTTGCTCCTTTCCCTTCAGGCTCCCTGGTCTCTTTGTTGGTCTTCCAACCTTAGGACTTTTTTTTTTTTCTATCTAAGATGCTCTTCTCCGAGGTATCTGCTTGGCTGACTCCCTTACCTCCTTTGAGTCTTTGTTCAAATCTCACTTCTCATTGCGGCCTGCCTTGGCCACCCTAGTTAGAACTGCAACACTCCCTCCCCCAACTCCTGACCCCCTTACCTCCTGTACTGTTTTTTAGTTTATCGTCAGCCTTATTATATAGTTTGCTTATTTATTATGTTTATTGCTGCTTGCCTCTCTGCATTAGCATGTAGGCTCCTTAAGGGCAGGTATCTTTGATTTGCTCACTGATGTATTCCAGACATCTAAAACAGTCCTTGGCATAGAGCAGGAGCTTGAGAAACCTTTGTTGAGTGAGTGAATATCTGCTGGTCCTATCCATGTGGATGCTTTTTTAGTTCTCTCCTCTTCTAATCCTTCTGGCCTGATTTCCTACAATATCTGCTCATATAATGGATAGCATGTCATTTCTCACATATCATACAGCCCTTCCTCCCCATCACCCTATGGAGTTAACTTAGGTTCCAGTCACACAGACGTTCTGGCCATTTCCTGCACGTGCCATGCTCTTTTGCACTCCAGACTTCTGCCCTTTTTCCCTTTCCCTGGAGTGCTCTCCACTCCTTTTTCTGATGTGGACTTCTACTGCGGAGTCGGCCCAAATAACTTTTCTTTTGTGAACACTTTCTGGATGTTTCAGGCCCTACCCTGGGGTATTAGAAGAGCTTGTGTGTAACTTTATTACAGGGGAAGAGACTGTCTTCCTCCTCTCTGTGGTGCCAGCAGCTCCTCAGTGCTTGGTACTATGTGAATGAGTGCATGCTTGGTTCATCAGTAGAACTGACTAATGATACAGGCGGTGGCTACTAACCAGCAAAGATTGTAGGCACAGCTCCTGCTCACGTTTGTCAGACCATGTCTGGCTCCTGACATTTGCAACCCTTTTCTCCCTCTCCTGAGGCCCCTCCAGCAGCATCTGCTGACTTGTACCTGTACTTCCACCATCAGGGTTGAGGAACATTGTTGACCATGGCAGAAGCGATAGAAGAAACTTCTTTCCATCAGCTTTGAGTCAAAATAATGCCAGCTCTATCCCTTGTATCCTGAAAATTGGTCATTTGCCTTTTTTTTTTTTTAAAAAAAAGAAAGACCTAGTTTTCACCTTGAGCTCTATTTTACCTGCTCAGAAACAACTGTAGAGTAAATCAATACAGTGCATTTCTGTTCACATTGTATTGGCTGGATCTAGTCATAACACTCCATCTGATTGCAGGAGAGATTGTAAAATGTAGTTTAGCTGTATGTCCGGGAATAAGAGGAGAAAGGGGATAGTGGGGGTACTAGGGTCCCCTCCACACCCTTTTTTTGTAACTATGAATATTTTCCCAAGGAATAGATATTTCATTAATAGCTAGGGTATGGCTTTAATTACTATCTGGTTTGTTCACTTGGTGAACTGGGATGGAGCTCGTGGAAGAACAAAGACTAGTTTTGACCTATAAGCTTAAACCCAAGCCCTTTTCCTCTACTCCTATGCATGCCTGTTTAGTCTTCCAGGTAATACTATGCTAATGGCTAAAGGAGAAATGAATCATAAGACCTCTTTCCTATACCTGCTAGTTCTTTCAGGGATAGGGGCTACTTTCAAGTGGGAGGGGACCAAATCCTGTCTAATTGCAGCTGCCATAATACTGAAAAGACAGAGGAGAGGAGAAAAAGCTGTATTAATTAGGAATATTGCAGTTACAGGTGATAGAGGGTTAGGTCATAACTTTATTTTAAAAAAGGATATTAATTTGCTCAGGTACCTGGGAAGTTCATGAGAGACAGCCAACTTTAGGAACAGTTGGATCTAGTGCTTCAAATAAGGTTTCTCCCTCTTTCCATCTCTATCTCTATCTCTAAACTCTCTCATCTCTATGCCTCTGCTTGGCTTAATCTTCAAGTAGTTTCTCTTCACGAATAGGTAAGATGACTGCTGGCAGCCCCAAATAATTATATGTCTCAAGAACTCTGGTAAAATACCAGGAAAGGCTGATTAGTCTGATTGAGTTGTAAACCCACTTCTGCACCTGTCACCATGGCTAGAAGGGCGGAGGAGTCTATCAACTAGGTGTAAGGCAACGCAAAAGTCCTTCTGTGTATTTAGCGGGGCACAACTTGTGGGTATGTCAGCCCTACCTGAACTGAACAGATTGAGCCATGTTGTTATAGAATGGGTAACAGATGAAAAGAAGGGAAAATAAAAAATAAATGTCCACAATAGAAGCAATCTGAACCAGACTGTGTGGAATAGAGAGCTTTTGCCCTTTTTGTTACACAAATATGCTCAATAGATGGTCATTTTTAAATCCTGTACTTGAAGCTTCCCAACCGCCTGGTCTTCTCATCTTCACTGCCTCTAGGGTTCCTTGTGGAACTCAGGTGCCTGTGTTCAATGCCATGATAACACTGATTGTTGGTTCGGTGGCTGAGTTAAATTCCACATCCTGAGCTTTCTCCATCTGCCACATCCCATTGCTGATTGTAGGTCAGGTTTAATTGTGTCCTGAATGTGCACAAAACCAGGGTTGGTACCTCTGTTTTTGGTGTAAGGGTGAGTTTGATTTTTGAATATGTTAGCACATCAGTGTTTCATCTAAGATGATGTATGAGGATTATGAGTACTTTTTTGTTGTTTAGGAATATGATTTCTTTTGCTTGAATTAAGCCTTCAATGTAAAAATATTAATATTTTGCGCAACATTTTTTTCTGATGATAAATACATGTTTCTTAAAGAAAATCCAGAAAATACAAAAGAATACAAGAAGAAAAAAACTACAATTTCTCATCCCAGTGAGAATAATATTAAAATTGTGTTTGATTTTTAAATGTGTGCTGTGTGTATATGTATGTGTAACTAATTATAAAATTAAAACCATAAGATATATATATATATATATATCTCATTTAAACCTGTTCTTGATTTAGCATGAAATATTTTCATTCATTAAATAATCTTCTAAAGCATAATTTTTAATGGGTGCAGAGTTCATAATATATAAGTGTTGCTAAATGTATTTAATTCTCTTTTGGACATTTAGGTTGTTTACGATTTTGTATTATAAATAATACTGTAATATGCATCTTTCATTTTTCAAATCTTTGATTGTGATTTTAGATAAATTCCTGGACATTGACTCCTGAACTGTTCTAGGATTTTTATACATAGTTAAGTTCATGTCAGAGAATTTATACTGCTTTACACTTCTCGCAAGTATGAATGAGCATATACATTTCCCTCACCTTTTCCCACAGTAGTAACATTTAAAAATTGGTAGTTTGATAATGGAAAAAAAGTACCTGGCTTTTGTTTTAATTTATATACGTTGATTTCTGGTGGGTTTGCCCATTTTTTTGCATTTATTAGCCATTTGTGTTTCTTCTGCTAGATGTCTACTCATAAAGGACTGTGCTTATGTTTTTTTGGTATGTTCACCTTTTTCATTTTGAACAAACTTTTGGTGACAGACATACTGGCCTGAGAGTCAAAATTACTGGGTTCCGCAGTTTCCTTATCTATAAAATGGGGATAATGTCAGGTGGATCCATAGTCTATTCTAATAGGTCTAAGTAGCCAAACATTAGCCTTTTTAGAAAGTTCAACCTGTACTTATCTTACTTCTCTCACAGGGAGTTTAAGAGACTCAAATGAGCTGAGTGTGCAAATGCTTTATAAACAACAAGAATGAGTCAAAGTGAGGATCACTATTTCCTCCATAGTGATCTAGGCACAGACATTTTACTTTCAATATCTCACTTATTTCTCACCACATATTCTTTTCCCCATTTAGCAGGGGAGGAGAATAAGGCTCTGCCAGTTTAAGCCACACAGCTTATGAGGAACAGAACCGGATGCTAGCCTGGAATGGCTGACCTCCTGTCCCACCATCTTTCCACTGTGGCATCCTGCTTCCCTCCAAGTCCTTTAAAAGGCAGATGAATTTACTTCCTCCCAGGCATAATCTACTTCAGTTGTGCACCCAGTAATAGACATTTGCCAAAGCTGTGCAGACATAGCCTGGATCAGTGTGGTGACCAACCAAGTCTCATTAGCAACATAAAGAGCATTATTGAGTAGTAATTATTTTCTTTGGAAATGATTATTTTTCAGAAACATGCAATTCTGGGCTCCTGGAAAGTGGAATCATGGCCATCTTGGGTAATTGCTTAAGTCATCCTCATTTACCGTTGCTTACATTATGATGAGGCAGATTCACAACTCTTAAAGTGCAAGTTGGGAGAATGAAACTTTTAGCATTCTGAAATTTCTAGAGGTATTATGTTCTTCATCGTCCCTTTGCTCTCCATTTTGGGCATGTGAGAATAAACATAATCCCTGGCAGAATAATATTTCTAGAAATATGAGGAAAAACTTAATTTCTTTCATTTTACGTCCAGATGTTTTCCAGCAGGAAAGAAAATCTCCATAGAATGCGAGGTTCCCAAACAAATAAAACTTCCAAAAGAATCCTCCTTTTAGCAGATCACATGGTATTACTTGCAAACTAGCTGGTGAATAAGAGAAGCTTTGAAGTTTGCATAGTCAATCAAAAATGTTTCTTAGAGATAAAAAGACACATAATCCATCAACAAGTATTTTTTTCTTGGTATCTTCTATGTTAGTTAATCTTTATATATAGTATTTTTTTTTTTGAGACGGAGTTTCGCTCTTGTTGCCCAGGCTGGAGTGCAATGGCACGATCTCGGCTCACCGCAACCTCCGCCTCCCAGGTTCAAGCGATTCTCCTGCCTCAGCCTCTCAAGTAGCTGGGATTACAGGCATGTGCCACCACTTCCAGCTAATTTTGTGTTTTTAGTAGAGATGGGGTTTCTCCATGTTGGTCAGGCTGGTCTCGAACTCTATATGCAGTATTTTAATACTCAAAGCAACATTTGGAATTTATGAACAAGACCCTGGACCAGGCAGCATGGAGATGCCAGAATGAACAAGTCTTGGTCATTGACGTAGGTGGCCTTCCAATTTAGGAAAGGGGTTAAATCTAAGGCAAGAAACTTGTAATAAATGTTAATACATGACAAATTTTATAAAAGAGAAACAAACAAAGTTCCATGGGAGATAGGGTGGGAAGAGATCATTTCTGCCTGGAGAGATCATGGCAGACTCCATGGAGGAGGCGGCATATGGGATGGAAGGCTTTGGGCAGGCTGGGAGTGGGTAGAGGATTCCAGACAAAGGACACAGCAGAGGCCAAGTCATGGGGTTGCCACAGCATGGGGGCAGGGAAGCTGGATAAGAGTGGCATCTAGTTGGCTGGTAGGTGGACGGGAGAATGGGAGCACCAGGAAAGTGAGCACTGGTGCTGCCATCAACTTTGCTCCTTGCCACACTGCTAGTCCTTGGCACAATGCCTTTCTCAGGAGGCTCAAGGATATTGATGAACTCCATAAATGAACAAATGAAAGAACAAGACCCAGTGAGCAATCAAGGAGCAAAAGCCTTCATGTTGGTGGCAGCACATTCTTTTGTCTAATTCACTGTCTGGGTGCATTGGTATATTTACCTCTTAGTACAGTAGAAGCCCCCTCTTCAGTCTAGGGTTGGTTATGTGGAAAAAATTTAGTTGAAGAGGTAAGCCATGGAAAAGTATGGGTTTACACCTTAAATGTTTTTAATTTATCTTAAATAAATATACTTTAATTCAACATCTCTATTATTTTTATTATTACCTAGGGCTAAGACTTTTCCTTTGAGTAAGCACCCACTGAAGGAAGCTCCCCTACCTCGTTTTGAATAAACCACACCTGTAACTCAATAGCTATGATTTTATGATTAAAAGAATAGCTTAGGTTCTTTTAATGCAGAAGGCAAACATAAATAAACCTGTGAAGCAATCTGAATGCAGAACCATTTCGGGCTTTTATGTTTTGCCCCAGTCCTGTACAGTTGTCTTTCTCATACACCATTAGGCAATATATTTTTTTTAGCAATAGCCTTTACCAATTCTTTTCAAATCATTCTACTTAGTTTTCATGCAAACAGTCCTTTTTTTCCCTGAACTCATATTTCATCAGGTTACATATATTGATCAAAATTATGTAATTATGATAACAAGGACATTTGGAATGAGGAATCTGAGAACCATCACAACTACCTCTTGATCAGAACATAATTGAGGCTGTGGGAGCACAAACACACAGGCTAAGTAGAGAGACCTCTTCTTTTAGACGGTTGCATGTGCCGAGGGCCTCAGTTGTGTGTCCTCCAGAGAGCTGGTTAATCCTGAGTTCAGAGAGCTTCTAGCATTCCACTAGCACCTTTTATCACAATGCACTGAAACCTTGGCCAACACAGAGGCATGTCATGCAAACCGGACATAGAGCTGGTCTGCCCTAGAGTACATCTGGGGTGTCTTGCCTTAGAAATGCCAAGGGGATGGGTGCTGTAACACTTTTACTATCATGGGGTCCCATGGGGGTCCCCTCCAGCCGACTTCAGGAATGAAGCTCCAGGGTGTGTAATTGTTTTAGCATAAATCAATTCAAAGTGGGGAGGAAGGCTCTTGGGGATCATGGAACAGTGCTTGGCATGTGGCTAATATGTATTAAATAGCTCCAAATAAAAATGGACATGGTTTTCTGCTACAGTAGGCAGATCGCTTGACTCTCTGGGAGTTGAGTACTTGGAGGAGAAAAATGAAGGTTTCCAAGACTCTGGCTGTTGTCCTAGCAAGACTCATCTTCCGTTGTCGAGGTGGCTGGTTCCCTGTGGGAAGGGAGGGAAGCCAGGCCCATCTGAGCATCTCAGGCCAATGCCCAGAGCCCTGACCCTGCACCAAGCATGCAGAGTGACCTCGTGGGGAGAAGACTTGGGTAGGGGTCAGGAGCCAGCGGTGTTGTCCTTTCTTATGCTTAGCTGGCCACATAACCTAAAGAAAATTCCTTGATCCCTGAAAGGCTACTTTTTCTTCTTTTTCCGTAAATTGAGGGTCAACTGAAAGCATTTGTGAAAGTCAAAAGCTAAGAGTCATGCACTGTTCAAGACACTACAAGGCCATGGGGTTTCTTAAGACATAAATCACTCAGTTCATTCAGGGGCAAGAGATGTGCCCCATCTGTCTCCTCAGCCTCCCTTCACTTGAAGGAACTGAGGATGATCTGCCTGATGCCTGTCACACCATCCATCCACCCACCATGGCTAATTAGTGTCTCTGCCCTTGAAGATGATCCCACCCCTCAAGATTAGCCTTGGGACATGAAGATCATTGCCTGGAAGAATATGGTGAGTCAGGGAGTTGAAATAACTGAGATTTTTTTCCCCCCTATCTTGTGACTACACTGAGGATTTTAGATTCTTTTCACCAAACTCCCTCAATCTTCTGTGAATACCCACCACCCCAGTCTTCCTAAAACCTCCTACCGCAGAGCAGATGTTTAGAGCCTCCTGCCAGGGAATAAGCCTGGCCTTTCTGCACATCATGTTAAACTGTCATGAAGTCAGACAGCAGAACAGGCAAAATGGGGACCCAGGTCAGCCAGTGCAAAGCTCCCTCCAGGAACCCCAGGCTTTGAGATCTCCTGGAACCTTCCTGTGCTTCTCTGTTATGGGACAAGGAGTCCAACAAGCTTATCATTGAGTCAGCTGGTGAAATGGCCCTTTACGGTGTGCAAAATGCCACCATCACCAGTAAAACAAGCAAAGGAAAAGCAAAAGCTCCGTAACTAAAGAAATGATTTCTTTCCAATAAGTGGATGGTGTTTAAATCTGATAAGGAACAAGTGAACCTGTGGTTCTTCCTGGTTCGTTGTGACTCAGGCCCAGAAAAAGGCTTAGAATGTGTTTCTGGAAGTGGTATAAAGGAAGCCTTTCTTTAGGGCCACCTTTGAGACCTGGGCAAGTAGAGGAGGGGTAAGAACGGGAGACCCAGGCCAGTGGATGGAGCTCTGAGGGCTGGCAGGGATGGAGGCCTGGGGCAGCAGGGACCGAGTGGCACTGCCATCTGGCTTTGGTTGCGTGGGCTTTGGAAAGTAAGTTGGTGTTCTGAAGGCAAGGCAGGAGGGATCCCAGTGCCAGGGAACAGAGTAAATGAGAACTTGTCTCTAAGCCACGGATTCTGGAATTTCCCATAATTAACATTCCAGCTGAATATTCAAAAGGCCCGGGCTTTTGGTAGGCCTGTAAATTAAAACAGAATAAAGTATTTAGGGTCTACTTAGGAGGGTAATGGTCTGGGAAACCATGGCTTTTGTTATTTGTGAAATGTGACTCAGTTTTTACATCTGTAAAGTGGCAATAGATTCAGAAATTTTTAAAATGTTAGTCCTGAGAGGGATCTTAGAGATAATTTAACTCTTTTTATTTTAGAGAAAAGGATCCTGAAGCCAGAGAGATTTGTTACTCTAATGGTATTAATATTAATAATGGTGTTGACTATGCTGAGTGTCTGTAGTACATAAATTCATTTAATCCTCACAAATTCTTTCTGAATAGTTATTACTATTATCCCTACTTTACAGATGAGAAAACTGAGACTTAATAAGGTTGTGCGTCTTGCCCAAGGCCACACAGCTCATAATGGGCATAACTGGAACTTGAGACCAAGTCTGCTGGATTCTAGATTCTGAGTCTTAGAGAAGTAACTCACAGCAGCTCATATAAAAACTTTTCTTCACTTTAGGAGGCCGAGGCAGGCAGATCACTTGAAGTCCGGAGTTTGAGACCAGCCTGGCCAACACGGTGAAACCCTGTCTCTACTAAAAATACAAAAAAAATTAGCCAAGCATGGTGGCGCACATCTGTAATCCCAGCTACTCGGGAGGCTGAGGCAGAAGAATTGCTTGAGCATGGGAGGCAGAAGTTGCAGTGAGCTGAGATTGCACCACTGCACTCCAGCCTGGGTGACAGAACAAGACTCTGTCTGGAAAACAAAAACAAAAACAAGGACAAGGGGTTTACAACCATGGAGTAGGGTGGGGGTCAGTGGATAGAAAATTACTAAGAGTGAACCTTGAGAACAAGGGGGTTTCTGGCTAAACCAACTTGATGGGATTATTGTTGAAGGCAGGCCAGGGTGATCGGATACCAAGGGCAGAGGATTTTTCCTTTTTTTTTTTTTTGACAGGGTTTTGCTCTTGTTGCCCGGGCTGGAATGCAACAGCGCGATCTGGGCTCACTGCAACCTCCACTTCCTGGGTTTAAGCGATTCTCCTGCCTCAGCTTCCTGAGTAGCTGGGATTACAGGCGCCCACCACCATGCCCGGCTAATTTTCGTAATTTTAGTAGAGACAGTTCACCATATTGACCAGGCTGGTCTCAAACTCCTGACCTCAGGTGATCTGCCCGCCTCAGCCTCCCAAAGTGCTGGGATTACAGGAATGAGCCACAGCGGCTGGCCGAGGATTTTTGTTAGTAGGATTCTTGTTCAAAATGGATTCTACAAACACAGAGAGGGAAGCCCAAGTTCAGGCCCAGTCAAGCTGAGGACTCAGAGGAGCCTGACTAAAGTTTCAGTCAAAGGAGAGAGTCTTTGTCAAACTCTATGAGATAAGCAATATTATTCCCATTTTATAGATTTGTAAACTGAGGCACAAAGATGAGTCAAGGTCACACAGTTGGTAAATGGTGGAAACAGGATTTAAACCTATGGAGTAGGATTTGAACCTCTGTGCTATATGTATATCTAACGTGCCTATTATTGACATGTACTTCCACACAACTACCATATAATGACAATTTATGTGTAATATGATGCCCTTGATCATTAAAGACAGATTAAACATAACACTGTGTCTTTGTTGGGAGATTTATTCTATTGTATTCAAGTATTTTGGGGATCGGTCATCCATCTAGTTTCCAGATAACATTTGCAGATTATTATCTCAATTCCTGGCCATTCATCCGGAAGGAGCTATTTGCTTAAGTGGACGGGACTGACCTGGCTACAGCTCACCCTTGTCCTGCCCTTTCCTCTTCAGAATTGGAAGGGAATCCTGCCCTGCCGTTAGGCACTGCTTTCTCCCTTTGACTGGTTATACTGGAAGTCATTTTGCAGATAAGACCAGCATTAAGTTTTGTGAAATAGTGGCGTCCATTGGTGTTGAAAGGTGTAGAATGAAATCACTTAAAGTAGAAGCTGTTTTCCAAATGATTTCATGTCTCAGATCTAAATTATTCATTTGAGAAATTAATCAGTTTGGATTTTAAGAGTTACTGTTGGGTGATGTTTTTCTTCTTCTTTTGCCTCTAATGGATAATTTGAGGGAATCAGCTTTTATATTAAGAAGATAAAACATGAGTTTGCAAAGTTGCCATCTGATCTTATTGCCTGGTGGGCCACCTAGGAAAAGGAGTCTCTGATGGATATTGGATCCTGAGGTGCATGAGGGCAGGAGCTACATATAGACAATTCCCTTTGTCTTTTATTTAATGCAAAGCCTTGCACGACTGGGCACCACACATTTGCCTGCTAATGATATGTGGGAGCTGGAGAGTTACCCCCATTCTTCATTCTAAACATCTCTCTTGGCTTTCTTTGTCCCACTGCCTGCCTGAATCTGGCCCTGAGCAAGATGGCCACCCCACAGGACATAAGGTATGGGTTTGGAAAGTTGAGAAAATGATCTGTGTTAGCTGGCTTCTGTGTTCCATGTACATTTTATTGGAGCCTGTCTGAAGATAGTGCCTTGCTTTTGGAATGAGGCCTACTGAGTCATGCCAGACTGTTTAGCTTTTCTTCTTTCACGGTAATGCCTTATCTCTGAGCATGAAATTGGCCCCATGTTTGTCTATCTGGTCACTACCATGGTTCCCAAGCCCATATACATCCCCTAATCTTTTTCTTTGCTACTCATGCAGTTTTTCTACTCATATTCAATACTTTAAGAAACTCACTCTTTCATTCTGTTTTACTAACACATCACCCCTTCCTGTTCCTTCTTCACTTTAGTATTTTCTTTTTCTGAGAGGAGATCTTGGATGAAAGTTATTATAGCCATAATTTATTAAATGTCTTCTGTGTGTCTGGGTCTGTGCTTAGAACTAATAATTATTTGTAACAATTGTCGTCACTGTACACTTACTATGTGTCCAGCAGTGCTAAGTGCTTTGCAGACATAGATTCATTTAAGTCTTATAACAAGCTTATGACATGAATACTATTAATAAACCCATTTTACAGATGTGGAGATTGAGGATTAGTGAAATTAATTAACTTGCCCAAGGTTACTAAGCTAGTAAATGGCAGTCTTGAATCAGGCAGTCCAACTCCCAAGCCCTACTCTTAATCACTACAATATGTTGTCCTTCTTTTAAGCCTGTGGCCTTTCCTATTGTTCACAGGTATCCCGCAAGGGCAGTGTTTTGCTGTGCAGACCTAATAAGATCCATGCTTTGACCTCAGGCTTGTCTGCCTCCAAAGCCCAAGCTTTTTCCACTCTCCAAATTGCCTTTGAGGAAGATAGACTCTGAGTTGCCTGCTATCACCTCACCAGTTTTTCCTTTCTTAGGCATGGAGAGAATGATGTAGGATTAACTACATCACATATGATATCCAAACAAATCCATTGGTTTACTCCAGTGGCTTCCCAATGTCTTTATCATCCTTTCTTCACATTTTACATGGTACAAGAGATCGAGACCGAGCTACTCTCGTTGAATTCACAATAGGGGACCTGTGCCCTCTTGTGCCCCTGCTCTACCTCCCATGAGCCATGGTTTCTGCAGTTCCTCCATCAAACCCTGAAGGACACCTGAAAGCACAGCTGTAATGTCAGTTAACCTCATCTTAAGTCAGGAACACATACCAACCTTCACTAGGTGGATAGTTGTTTATTCCATTTTTGCATTTATCAAGTATAACATTATTCCAAGACATCTATGGTTAAAACAACAACAACAACAACAACAGCAACGTTAAGTCCTCATTCCAGCCAAAAATATATTTTCTAAGCCCATCTTCCTATAATTACCATTAAAAGAAACATATTGGTCAGATCAAATCCATAAACACTTGTCTAGTGCCTGCCAGCCCTGGGGAAACAAATCTCAGTATGACATGGTAACTTCTAAGTTATGAGATGATGATCATGATTATTATTATTCTCAGTTTTCTGAATGGCTTAAGCCCAGGCAATTAGGTCCTCTCTAAGACTATAGCAAAACAATCATGTGTTGGATTTCTCTTCCCACAGGAACTCCAACATCCAAACCATAGACACAACACTAAGGCAGGTCACATTATGATTTCACCTAAGCAACTAGAGTAAGCCATGGCTTACTTTCTTCCTATAGACAGTCCAGGGCACATGCTAGCCATGGACTTTAGCTGCTGACACCCAGGTATGAAACTAAAATGAATGATAGACAACTCATAGCAAGATGTAGAGTACCATGAAGCCAAATCTAAAAAGTTTTCTGGATGTGTCTGTTATCTTTACCACTGTATTATCAGACCAATGTTTTGAATTTTGATCTTCATATTTAGTGGAAGGAAAATCTGATTCCTCTGGAGTAAAAAAGGTGAAAAAGATGACATATGTGTACGTCTTTTAGGTTATGAGTATGGAATGGTGGCAAAGAATACTATGTGTCCGCCAAGTCCTATCGCTTTGCCTTTTAGGCTCATACCCAGACTATACCTCCAAGCGTTTTTTGTGACTAGGTGGCATCATGTCAATGAGTTCTGGCCAATAGATGTTGCCAGAAGCAATGTGTACCATTTCCAGGCCTGGCCCACAAAATCACCCTATGCAACCCTCCATGGTCTCTCCTCCTATATTCACTGGTTGAATGGAGAGGACTCTGTAGATTTGGAGTATAGTGGACCCAGAGGAGAGAAAGAGTGTAGATCTCTAAATGAGCAAAGAGTTTGTAGAGTAAGACCTGCACTTGGCAGTGAAATAAGCAATAACCAATTTTTTTGTGTTAAGCTGTTGAGATTTGAGGAATGCTAATTACAGAATTTAGCCTACCTTACTAATACAGAGGCACAGTGAATAAGAGCCTAAGTATTAGACAATTCTGGGTTCTATACAAACTTTTCCACTTACCAGCTGGGTGACCTTGCACAAATTACTTACCCTCTCAGAGTTTCAACTTCATTTGTAAAATGGGAATATGATAACACTTACCTCATAGGATGGTGGGAGAACTCTATGAAAACATATGTATATAATGTCTGTTACATAGCAGGTGTAGCAAGATTACAAATTCACTCACACAATCCAATTGTGCAAAGAAAATGTACTCCTTTATTTCTCTATAACTGATTGAATTTTCTTCAAGATCCTCCAGCCCTGGGGTAGCAGGGAAACAAATGTGAACTTTAAATGAGCCAATTAACAATATGTCAGTCTCCTTTTGGTTTAAAATAGTTCCTTTCAGGTAACTGCTCAGGCTTTCAGAATCCTCACGCTCAAGAGGGTCGATGGGTGAGTTTACTCTGTAGCCCAGAGGTGGCCCCACAAGTCTTTGTGCAGGCCTCTGGCTGCTCTCGGAGTCCTCACTGGTCCTGCTGGGTTGTGTCCTTTCCCTGTACTGTTAGTGCTTGCCCATGTGGCAGCTGCTGCTGGAAACTTGAGAGCTCTTCTTTTCTCAGCTTGGAAATGGCTTGGTGGGCTTCTCTTTTGAGCCAGCTGGTGCTGTGTATCCTTCTGAGGCTTGGCTGTGACTACCACTTGCTCTCTGGCCTTGGCTGCCCTTGGCCACAGGGTCATTTTGCTCCCCCATGGTGACCACTCTGGCGAGCTGACTGTTCAGCAAGTCAGTTACTTTCTCGTTCCTCCTAAAGAGCATCCAGGAATTTCTGAGTATTTTCCATACAAGGATGGAGACTCCAGCAAACCAACTCAGGCCTGCTTTCAGCCTAATCATGACTTTGCTCTGATACGGCCACCACGTGTTGGGTGTGGGGGTGGGGACAGTACTCTGCAAGGTTTCTTCTCAGAGATTCAGAGAAGGACAAGGGCCTCTTTTCTTTTGGTTTTGTGGCAGACAGGCTCTAAGGTGATTCCTTATGATCCTCACATCCTGGTGCACATACCTTTGTATAATCCCCTCCTCTTGAGTTGTGGGGGTGGGACCTGTGATTGCTTCTAATCAATAAAATATAAAAAATGGATACAGCATCACTCTGGTGATTATGTTACATTATATAAAAAATTTCATCTTGCTAGCTGACTTGCAAGAGACTTTGCTTGCTGACTTGATGGAGTGGCCGTTTAGGGAAAGCCAATGTGGTGAGGAACTGTAGGTTTCGGTTACCCCTAGGAACTGTGGGTGGCCTCTAGGACCTGAAGACAGCCACCAGCCAGTAGGAAGCCAGGATCCCCAGTTTTACAACCACAAGGAAATGAAAACTACCAATAACCTGAGTGAACTTGGATATGGATTCTTCTCCAGTCATGCCTCCAGATGAGAATGCAGCCCAGCTGCCATCTTGGTTGTAGTCTTGTGTGACCCTAAGCAGAGGATCCAGCTAATCCTGATCCACAGAAACTGTAAGATAATAAATGTCCATTGTTTTAAGCTGCTAAATTTGTGGTTTAAATAACAAGCTGCTAACTTGTTATGCAGCAATGAACTTTGGCTGAGAGAGAGTCGGAGGCATGCATGTCCATTATTTCTCCTCCTCCAGCTCTTTTACACTTCTCACAACCTGCTGGGGGGTAGAAGAGCACACTTGCATTTTCCTCCTTCAGTCTGATGGGAGGACCCCTCCTGCTGTCCCCAGTCACACACACATCATCACTTACTCCTGATGCCCAAAGTGGCATTTACTCACTCTGTTTCTTTGGGCTCAAAATGTGGAGTGGCTGCTGTGAGACATAATTTAGAAGAAGAGGTAATAAATACACAAAGAATTAATATTTTAAGAATATTATCCCCGTTACAAAGATCATTATATTTAGTTTCTGTATTAGTCTGTTTTCACAGTGCTATACAGAACTACCTGAGACTGGGTAATTTATAAGCAAAAGAGATTTAATTGACTTACAGTTCCACATGGCTGGGGAGGCCTCAGGAAACTTATAATCATGGCAGAAGGTGAAGGGAAAGCAAGGCATATCTTACATGGCAGCAGGAGAGAGAGAGAGAATGAGGCGGGGAACTGTCAAACACTTTTAAACCATGAGATCTCATGAGAACTCACTCATTATCACGACAACAGCATGGGGAAAACCACCTCCATGACCCAATCACCTCACACCAGGTTGCTCCTTCGACTTGTGGGGATTACAGTTTGAGATGAGATTTGGGTGGGGACACAGAGCCAAATCATATCAGTTTCCTTCCCTTTAGATTCAATTGGTTGAGCCTCATTGTTTTCCCAGATCAGGAAGTTAACAAACCGTTTTTAACTCTAATTTTCTCTTTAGTTTTTCCCTATTTCAAACTTCTCCTGGCATAGGAAAGGCCATTAGGGCTGGGTGGCCCACCTCCTTAGAGACATAAATAGGGCTTGCTATAAATGCTTGGGGAGTCTGGTTTCCCATGGGGATGCTGATCCTGATAAGTAACTATCTAGTTAGGGTCCATGGAATACAGTCACAGATTATTAGAACTGAAAGGAGAGCTATAAAGTCCAAATGCTATCATTTTATAGAAAAGGAAATCAAGGCCCAGGGAGGTAAAATGACTTGCAAAAAGTCACCATGTTGGTTATTCCAAAGCTGGAACAAAAATCTGAACATTCCAATTCACAGACCGTGCACCAGTTATCTTAAGATATCATGTACAAACTGCAAATCGATATGTAGCAGAAAATTCTTTAATGAGGCACGCTTTGCCAGAGTGGATTATTTTTTAGATTCACTTTATTGAAACCTCTTCCTTTGCAAGAATTAAGTTTTTATCCTTTTCTGCTGATAAAAGAAAATCTTTCCAGGTAAAACCAAAGAATATCATCTTTCCTCTGACCTGCTAAAAGGTAATAACAGCTGTTAGGAATATGTCCCATCAGGCCCCAGGGAGTGAGGTATGGGGCATTTACAAACTTTGGGTTGCATTTGGAATTGTCTGAATCTGGGCAGCCTGCTGACCTTGGTTGGAGACAGACCTTTTAACTGTGCTTTTATGTATCATCACTTCTTCTCTGTATTCCTTTTTTCTCTCTTAAGAAGGGGAGTTAGTCTTTACTTTTTCCCCTTTCTGGCCTTTCAAGACAAAGCACTTGAAATATGAATATGATCTTTGTGGAAATTGGTGAGATTAAAAAAAAATTCTTCTATCATTTTGCAGAGATTTTTCTACCCCTGGAATTAGAAAATGGTTTGGGTCATAGAGAATGACCTTTTAAAAGCATGTTGTTATTTTATTCCTAATTCTCATAAGCGAGCTTCCTGCAGATGAGTAGCTTGAGACACTGCCACTGCTGCTTCATGTTACCGTTTCTCAGTCCTGACAGTCAGTTTACGATGTCAAGCATGGCACCACATTTCAGCTTTGTGAGAAATGCTGTAGTGTGGTGGGGAAGGACTCTAGTGATGGAGTTGAGCAGACCTCAGTTCAGAATCTGTGATTTGAGGCAAGTTACTTAACATCTTTAAGTCTGAGTTTCCTCACAGGTAAAGTGGAGAGATTAATAGTGCTTACCAGATATAGATGTTGCATACGTTAAATGAGATAAGAATATGGCACAGCTAGCACATGCCTGGCACATAGTAGGTGTTGTCATAACATGCAGGACACTGTATTAGAATTACTGTACATGTTCATAATCCCAGCCACACTGAAAACTCAATCAGAGCAGAAACTATGTCTGTCTCGGTGTAATCCCAACTCTCAGTTTAATGCTTACTGTATCACAGGTGTTTATATTTTTGTGAATTAACAAATAAATAAATGATCAAAAATTGATAATTATTACTAGTGTTCCCCTTAACTTGAGTGGCACACCAGCAGATGACTCAGACTAGCTGAGTCATCTCAGCAATACCTGGTTGCCTAAACGCATTCAAGCTTGCTCATACAGAGATGCAGGTACCAGTTGCTTCCAGGCTTCCTACCTTTGACATATTTAGTTCAGGTTTAGGAATTTGGAAAGGCATTTCTTCATAATCTGGCATTGACTGGAGCTTACAGAAAATTCTCAGTCTGAAGTTTATAAACCAATATCTGAAGAACTAGAAAGGGCAAGTGTTACAATAATCTGGTTAGAAAAACAAAGTTTCTTCTAACTTAGTTCTTAAAATTCAAAACCCAATGTGAACCCCTCATGAGTTCAATAATTACCAAGGAAACTGAGGCTTTTAATGTTCCTGTTCCATTATAGATAATTTCCTTCTCATAGGAGACCTCTAACAGCAGTCAAGATGGAAATAAAAATAGTCTGAGGAGAGACAGTGGAAGAAATAAAAAAGGAACATAATATGGAGGAAAGATAGACCCCTAGGAGATGGAGAGTTTTGTAAACAAGCTTTCTCTACACAGAGGTTGGATATGCCTTTCTGTCTCCAGGGCCCAGCACAGAGCTTGGACGTGTGAGCTGCTCCACCCATATTCGTTGGGTGAAAGGTGCCTAGGAGATGGCGTGGCAGAGAAGGAAAATGTGCTGGAGTGGAAGAAACCAGAGCGAGAGAAGCTAACTTGCCGGAGTCCATTGCCTGGCCAAAGAGCAGAAAAAGGAAGACAAATGCTTGGAAGGAAAGAGGGAAGGACAAAAAGCTGGACTGAGAAGTTCTACTTTCACTTTTTGTTGTTTTTGTTCCTTTATTTAAGAAAAGCAACAAGGGGGCCAGGCACAGTGGCTCACGCCTGTAATCCCAGCACTTTGGGAGACTGAGGTGGGTGGAACACCTGAGGCTAGGAGTTCGAGACTAGCCTGGCCAACATGGTGAAACCCCATCAGTATGAAAAATACAAAGGTTAGCCAGGCATGGTGGTGCACACCTGTAGTTCCAGCTACTCAGGAGGCTGAGGCAAGAGAATCGCTTGAACCCAGGAGGTGGAGGTTGCAGTGCACCAAGATCGCGCCACTGTACTCCATCCAGGGCAACAGAGCAAGACTCCAAAAAAACAAACAAACAAAAAAAAACAAAAAAAAAAAAAAAGAAGAAGAAAGGAAGAAAAGCAACAAGGGAGAAATGTCAAGAGAGTGCTAAAAGGAAGTGAAGGCAAATGTGGGAGATAAGAATTAATTCTTTGTTTCTCTTTTCTCTCTGAGAATGTTAGACCTCTGATCTAATTCTCCACTGCTTCCTGCTCTTTGTATCTGTTTTTATTATTCTCTCCCATTAAACCATAAGCAACTTGAGGGCAGACAATCAGTTTTACTCCTTTTATATCCACCACTGGACCTAAGTGGGTGCCTGGTTCATTTGATGCTTAATGAATTAAATTGGCAAGAACAGATGATACTTGTCAATGGATGTATCTATATAAAGAAACTCCACTTTTCCATGACAGTGGGACAATCAATTCTTTCTCCTCTCTCTGTCTCATGAGATATACACAAGAAACAGAAAATTGAAAATTATAGGGAATTTTTTTACAGTTCTACACATGATGTTGCTGGAATTCACTGGAATTTAATCAAAATAATATACTACAACATATGTCAACTCAACTTCTGTGGTTGTTAAAGGAAAAGTTTATCTCCAAGTGAGACAAAGTGCATTTGGAAATATGCAGTGGTGTTTTATTATAATCTACTAGTTCTCATCTCAGTTAAGTCACTCCATGGAGTTGGGTAATCTACTTTCTTCCAGCTATAAAGTCTAATCTATTACAAGTCATTGAATGTTAGAAATAGGTCAAGTCATGTCCAGGAATATGGCTGGAACATTGGAAAAATAGAATACACAGGAGGTGAGCTGGAATGGGAGGATATGGAAAGAGAAATAAAATAAGGACACATGGAGGACAGAAAAAAATAGGAGCCAAAAAGGATCCTTCAGTGGAGAATAATACAGCTTCATTTCTATTTCCTTTGATATTTATGATCGATCAAGCCTACATTTCTTCATACTGAGGAAGGAAGATGTGACTTAAGACAATAAAAGTTGCAAGTTGGCCTTTGAGTAATGGGAAAAGTATATCACATAATTCTGTGTGAGACCAGTTCTTAGTTTTTTTCTGAGTCCATAGAATCACTTTAATAATCTGATGAAAGCTAATGAATCTTTCCCCCACAAAGTGCACAAACATCTAAAATTTGGCCTGTGATTTTATTTTGAAGGTTCACAGACTCCTGCAGCCCCTCAATTAATTCTGTGCAAGACTACTTCTGGTAGCTAAGTTTTCTGTGTCCCTTACATCTTATATTGGAATTGAGCTTTCAGTTGCCGTTTACCCCAGAGAAGACAAGATACAAGTGCTCCCATCTGTGGGTAGGGGTTATCTGGTGTCTATGTTCTACATTTTTGGTGCAAGCAGTTGGCCTTCCAGAAATGGGAATAGCTATAAATAGCAAATGTTTGGCTGAGACAATCTGAAGCAGTTTTCTCCAAATGCTCTGTGGGCAACATGAATGAGGGAACCAAACCAGACACAAATGGTTTACGTAAGTCTGTCAAGGGCAACAAGGGGGTTAGTGGTAAAGGAAGGGGATGAAGAGGACACGCATGAGTGCATGATGCCTCAGAGCCAACATGTGGCAATGTTACTGGATGATGTGGCACATCTGTTTGCAAGCTGTGTATGCTTCAGAATTGAGCAAATAGGTGTAGCAAAAGGTCAAGAACAGCAAATAGAATCCATCTTCCTTACCAATTCCAGTAGTCTGTATTGCAGTCTGCTATATCAATTTCCCCCAGTGGATCAACTCTCCTGGTATTGACACCATTGTGTAACCACCTCCCCTTGAAGCTGGGCTGTTCCTCTGATTTGCTTTAACCAGTAGAAGGTGGAAGAAGTGGAGTTGTGCCAGTTCTGGCCTAAACCTTAAGAGGTCCTGGAAGTCTGCTTTCTGCTCTTGGGAGCCCTGAGCTGCCACAGAAGAAATCTGTTTGCTGTGCTACAGCGACCATGTGGAGAGGCCATGTGGAGAGGGAGGGAACCTGCGACTCCATGAAGGAGAACTGAAGATCCAGCCACCAATGAGAACTGAGGATCCAGACACAGGACCACAGGCAAGTCATTCCAGCCACTGCCTAGCCCTTTGAGCCATCTCACCTGAAGCACCATCAGACATGTAAGTGAAGAAGCCATTTTGGATGATCTAGTCCCAGCAGAAGACATGAGAAGAAGAGATGAGCAATCTCTGCTGCGCTCTATCGAATTCCCGACCGTGGTTGTTGTTTTAAGCTCATAGTTTAATTTTTATATTTAAGTTCCAGAGTTCATGTGCAGGATGTGCAAGTTTGTTACATAGGTAAATGTGTGCCATGGTGGTTTGTTGCGCCTATCAACGCATCACCTAGGAATTAAGCCCAGCATGCATTACCTATTTATCCTGATGCTCTCCCTCCCTCTCCCTCCTGACAGGCCCCAGTGTGTATTATTGTCCTCCCTATGTCCATGTCCATGCATTCTCATAGTTTAGCTCCCACTTATAAGTAAGAACATGCTGTGTTTGGTTTTCTATTCCTGTGTTAGTTTGCTGAGGATAATGGCTTCCAGCTCCATCCATGTCCTTGCAAAGGACATGATCTCATTCCTTTTTATGGCTGCATAGTATTCCATGGTATGTATACACTACATTTTCTTTATCTAATCTATCATTGATGGACATTTGGGTTGATTGCATGTCTTTGCTATTGTGAATAGTGCTGCAATAAACATATGCGTGCATGCATCTTTGTAGTAGAATGATTTATATTCCTTTGGGTATATACCCAGTAACGGGATTGCTGGGTTACGTAGTATTTCCGGTTCTAGATCTTTGAGGAATCGCCATACTGTCTTCCACAATGGTTGAATTAATTTACATTCCCACCAACAGTGTAACCTCACCAGCATCTGTTGTTTCTTGACTTTGTAATAATCGACATTCTGACTGATGTGAGATGGTATCTCATTGTGGGTTTGATTAGCATTTCTCTAATGATCAGTGATGTTAAGCTTTTTTTATATGTTTGTTGGCTACATGAATGTCTTCTTTTGAGAAGTGCCATTCATGTCCTTTGCCCACTTTTTAATGGGTTTTTTTTTTGTAAATTTGTTTAAGTTCTTTGTAGATTCTGGATATTAGACCTTTGTCAGATAGATAGATTGCAAGAATTTTCTCCCACTCTGTAGGTTGCCTGTTTGCTCTGGTGATAGTTTCTTTTGCTGTGCAGAAGCTCTTTAGTTTAATTAGATCTCATTTGTCAATTTTAGCTTTGTTACAATTGCTTTTGGCAATTTTGTCATAAAATCTTTTCCCATGTCTATGTCCTGAATGGTATTGCCTAGATTTTCTTCTAGGGTTTTTATAGTTTTACATTTAAGTCTTTAATCTATCTTGAGTTAATTTTTGTATAAGGTGTAAGGAAGGAGTCCCATTTCAATTTTCTGCATATAGCTAGCCAGTTCTTCCAGCATCATTTATTAAATAAGGAATCCTTTCTCCGTTGCTTGTTTTTTGTCAGGTTTGTCGAGGATCAGATGGTTGTAGATGTGTGGTCTTGTTTCTGAGTTCTCTATTCTGTTCCATGGGTCTATGTGTCTGTTTTTGTACCAGTACCATGATGTTTTGGTTATCATAGCCTTGTAGTATAGTTTGGAGTCCAGTAGCATGATGCCTCCTTAAGCTACTAAGTTTTTAATGGTAATGGACTACTAAAACAGTAACTTTTACCTAGAAGTGGGTCACTGCTGTAATAAAAACCTAAATCTGTGGCACTGGTTTTGGGACCAGGCAATGAGTGAAATTCAGAAGGTTTTTGAGGAGATTGCTCACAGAAACTAAAATGACTGTAGGAGAACTGTGTTGGAGGCTGGAGAAAAAGTTGATTCTAATTATGAAATGGTGGTTAGTGGCAATGCAATAATATAAAATGTATGTCTAATGAACTTGTGGATTTTCCTGAGATTATCAGGCAGAATGTTGAAAGGGCATGTGATAGCTTTTAATTGTGCCTGATAAAGTACAGAGATAAAAAAAAGAGATGAATGAAAGAAGGGACTGTTCAGTTTTCAAGAAGAAAGAAGCAACATTCCTAATCCAGGATTTGCTGCGTTACAAAATAAAACAGTTCTCATTCTCAGCCTCCCCAGCCTACAAAATATTCTCAAAGTAAATAAAAACCTGGGGGAAGAGATTAATTCCATGTCACTGCTAGGAAAACATGGCCTTGGAGGTCTAGATCAGATCAAGGTTTTGGCTGTAAGACCTGTTGTGGAAACCTCAATAAGATTTAAGTTTGAGTCTTATCAATCCTCCGAGATAGACAGTAGGATTTTAAGACTCTTGGAGGACTGTTTCCTATACTCCCTCTGCTAGAAAAACATAATTTCTAAGAGTATAATAGCATTTGTTTTCACAGCACCCTTATTTTCAGCCAAAGGTAGAAAGGGTCTTATTTTTGAAAGATTTATGAGTGTGAAATGTTTTTAATGGATTGCAGGATACTTTTATATATAGTAAGCCTAAAAAATTAAATGAATTATTTCAGCTTGGATTAAAAGGGACAGATAAAATGAAAAGAAGTCTCTGAGGACCTAACTTCCTATGGTCAAGAAGGTTGAAAAAGCTACTTAGTTGTAATCATAAAGCATTTCTAATGAAAAAGAATGACTCAGAGAGGATGAAGCCAAGAGCTCAGGGGGCAGACACAATAGCCATTGTTGTAACAAAAGCCATTCTGCTCTCAGCGGGCAAAACTGAACCTTACTCCAGGAACACTCCCTGACTTTGGAATTGGAGGATTTCAAAATTGCAATGGACCAGTGCTTTTATATATCTTTTATACCCCTCTTCCATTTATGAATGGAAATGTCTATTGCAGTTATTCTATCTCTTTCTCACTGTTGTGCATTGCATGTGTGGGGAGCACAGAACTTATCTTTTTAGTTCACAGTCCTTGTACTTGAGAAACCATACCTGAGTAGCTGCGTAAATGGGGCCACACATTAAGAGTACCATCTATAATTATGCCTGAGATTTAGCTAATAAGATTTTAGACTTTGAGCTAGTGCTAAAAGGATGGGGCTTTTAGGGGATCTCGCGTAGGAGAGAGAGTATATTTTGCACTTGAGAAGAATGTGAATTTCTCTGGTCAGAGAGCAGATTGTGGTAGCTCTCAAAAGTTGTCTCTTAACAATTCCTCTTCTCAGTATGCACAAGCTGCTCTTCACATCGAGAGGTGGAGATTATTTCTCTTCCTCTTGAATCTGGACTGCAGTTGTGACTCACTTTCATCAGAAGAATGTGGTGGAAGTGAAGTCTGGGACTGGCAGCTTCCACTTTCTCTCCCTTGAAGTCTAGCCATCATGCTGTGATAAGCCCAAGTGAAACAGGGAGACCAGGTGGAGAAGAACTGAGGCTCTCCAGTGGACAGCTCAGATTAAGCTCCCAACCAAAAGCCAGCATCAACTATCAGCCATGTGAGTGAACCATCTTGGACACTGTAGCCTAGCTGACCCCCCAGATATCTGCAGCCCAGGTGTCATTACATGGTGTAGAAAAACCATCTAGCTGATTCCAGTCAACCCCTTGGATTGTGAGAGATAATAAAATGGTTGCTATGGCACATGTATACATATGTAACAAACCTGCACGATGTGCACATATACCCTAGAACTTAAAGTATAATAAAAAATAAAAATAAAAATATAAAATGGTTAGTTTAAGTCACTAGATTTTTGGGATGGTTTGTTATGCCACAAGGATAAGTCAAACAGGTTGGTGGTGGCTTCTTGGAACACTGTATTGAGAAAGACTTTTAGGCAATACCCAAGATTAGTGGGAAATGTGCTATGACTGATTACCAATCTCTTTATAGAGGCAAGAAGGGAGAGTATAGTCCTATATAAAATGGTAACAGAATGACAAAATTACAATTTATGCTATCTCAGTAGAGCTCAGGAGTAGCTGTTGGCAGTTTTTTGTAAGAAAGTTGTGATTTAGAATCAAAATAATTAAAGATCCTGGCTTTTGATTAGCACTAAACGCTTCTATTTTCCAACGTTTGAATTTGTTAATTTCTGAAGAACTTTAACCCAGGAGAACAGACAGAAACTCCATGAAAGTTAGACCAAGTGAGACCTCAAAGATAACTACTAGGATTCATCCATTGCTGTTTTCTCCCTTCTCTCTTTCCTTCCAAACTCAGGGCTGCAAACAGTTATGGAGGGTCCCTGGAACAGTAAGCATCCCCGTAGACTAGTCTACATTTTCCTGCAGATGTCTAAACCCAAACCCTGCAAATTGTAATATAGAGGTGCTAAGTATGTCTGTGAAAACCCCACTTGCCTACTCACTCACTCATTCATTTTAATTTATGTACAGTTATGTTATGTACAGTATTCTCTGTGCCAAATATCTCTCTAAGGACTGGGGAAAGAGAAATAAACATGGCATAGGTTCTAAGCAAAGCATCGTCCCTATCTTCAGGAAGCTCATGTTCTAGTGTGGGAAACAGAAAACTAAACCAATCTGGAATTATGACAGGATAAGATCAATACAGCAACAACAGAGGTACGCGTTATAAGAGTAACTGGCATTTATTGTGTACTTATCTAAATCTTTTAACATTTTAAATTAGTTTTAATTATTTTTATGACAGCTTTATTGAAATATAATTCACATACCATAAAATTCACCCCTTTAATGTGTATAATTCAGTGTTTTTAGTGTACTCACAGAGTTGGGCAACCATCACCACTATTTAATTCCAGAACATTTTCATCACCTATCTATCAGCAGTCACTCCCTATTTCTCCTGTCTTCCTGTACTTGACAATCACCAGTCTACTTTCTGTCTTTATGGATTTGCCTGTTTGAAACATTTCATGTAAATGGAATCATTTATGTCTGTGTCTGATTTATTTTACTTAGCATGTTTTCAAGATTCATCCATGTTGTAGTATGTATTGGTACTTATAATATTCCATTGTATGGATATGCCATGTTTTGTTTCTTTGTCCATTGATGGGCATTTTAGTGGTTTTTGGTTACATGAATAAGTTCTTTAGTAGTGCTTTCTGAGATTTTAGTGCACCCATCACTGGGGCAGGTGTATGCTATACCCAATAAGTAGTCTTTTATCCCTCACCCACCACCCAACCTTCCCTCCTGAGACCCCAAACTCCATTATATCATTCTTATGCCTTTTCATCCTCATACCTTAGCTTCAACTTAGAAGTGAGAACATGTGATATTTGGTTTTCCATTCCTGAGTTACTTCACTTAGAATAATAGCCTCCAGCTCCACCCAAGTTGCTGCAAAAGGCATTATTTCCTTCCTTTTTATGGCTGAGTAGTATTCCATGGTAGATACATACCACATTTTCTTTTTCCACTCATTGGTTAATGGGCACTTAGGTTGGTTCCATATTTTTGCAATTGCGAATTGTGCTGCTATAAACATGGCTGTGCATGTGCCTTTTTCATATAATGACTTGTGTTCCTGTGGGTAAATATCCAGTAGTGGGATTGCTGGATTGAATGGTAGTTCTACTTTTAGTTCCTTAAAGACTCTCCATACTGTTTTCCATAGTGGTTCTACTAGTTTACATTCCCACCAGCAGTGTAAAAGTGTTCCCTTTTCAGTATATTTATGCCAACACAGGTTGTTTTTTGATTTTTTTTTTTTGAGATGGAGTTTCACTCTTGTTGCCCAGGCTGGAGTGCACTGGTGCATTCTTGACTCACTGCAACTTCTGCCTCTTGGGTTCAAGCAATTCTTTTACCTCAGCCTCCCTGGTAGCTGGGATTACAGGCACCTGCCACCATGCCCGGCTAATTTTTGGCTTTTTAATTATGGCCATTCTTGCAAGAAAAAGTGGTATCTCATTGTGATTATAATTTGCATTGCCCTGATAATTAGTGATGTTGAACATTTTTGCGTATGTTCATTGGCCATTTGTGTATCTTCTTTTGAGAATTATTTATTCATGTCCTTTGCCCACTTTTTGATAGAACTATTTGTTTTTTTCTTGCTGATTTGTTTGAATTCCTTGTAGATTTTGGATATTAGTCCTTTGTCAGATGCATAGTTTATGAATATTTTCTCCCACTCTGTGGGTTTTCTGTTTACTCTGCTGATTATTTCTTTTGCTGCCAGTACCATTTATTGAATAGGGCATCCTTTCCCTTAGTGGGTGTGAAGTGGTATTTCACCGTGGTTTTGACTTGCATTTTCCTAATACCAATAATGTTGAACATCCTTTCATGTGCTATTGGCCATCTGTGGGTTTTCTTTTTGGACAATTGTCTATTCTAAGCCTTTGCCTATTTCGTAATTGGTTTTTTAAATTTTTAAATTGTAAGTGTTCTTTGTATATGCTGGATACAAATCCCTTATTAGATGAATACTTTGCAAATATTTTCTTACATTTTGTTTTTCACCTTGGTGGTGTCTTTTGAAGCACAAAATTCTTTAATTTTGATGAAATCCAATTTAACTATTTCTTATTTTGTCACTAGTGCTTTTTATGTCATGTCTAAGAAATCATTGTCCAATCCAAGGTTGTCACTGTTTACTCCTATGTCTTCTTTTAAAAGTTTTATAGTTTAGCTCTTATATTTAGGCCTACGACTCACTTTGAGTTAATTTTTGTATATAATGTGAAGTACGGGTCTAAGTTATTTCTTTTCAAAGCAGGTTGATATTTAGTTAACTCAGCATGCTTTGTTGAATTGTCTCAGCATCCTTATAGAAAACCAATTGACCATAAAAAAGGCAAGGTTTTATTTCTGGACTCTCAATTCTAGTCCTTTGACCTGTATGTCTATCCAATGCCAGTGCCTTAGTCTTTATAGGAACTATGTGAGGAAGGTTAGTATCTAGTAATTTAAAGGCTCAGGAAGTTTGAGCATGTTCTTCAAGATCATATAATTAGTATACAGTAAAGCTGAGACTAGAAATTTGGATTTTCTATTGCCAGAGCCCAGATTAGAAAGTTAATACTCTGCAGTCACAGGAGGGAATTACTGTGGCATGGGCTTATTATTAGACAGAGAATGACAGGATGGAAGAAATTTGGATTCAGGGAAGATGTCACCTGTGGGGATATAAGAATACACAAGGCAAAGCCAAGACCCAGGGGACAATGGGAGTGGAAGGAGGCCAAGACACCATAATTAATTAGTGCCCTTGAAAGCTCAGAGGAAGCCAGGGAAGGTTTTCAAGAGGATCTCACATTTTGACGATGTCAGGGAAGTTCTGCAGAGGTTTACAGGGTGTGTGAGTGTTGGGTGAGATAGAAGAGATTCTGGGTAGAAGAAATAGCATGCATGACAAACTAATGGTACTGAAGAATATAGCATAGCCAGGCAATGGCAAGAACCCAGCTGAAAACCAGGAGGAGCTTCAGGAACTAGTTGGAGATGAGACTGGAAAAGTAATCTGACGGTAGACTATGAAGGTCCTTGAATATATTGTCAAAGAGTTTGGTTTTTCTCTTGTAATCAACTGGGAACAATTGTAGAGTTTATATAAGGGAGTTATGTCTTCAGACAACTGGTAGCAGAGAACAGGATAGACTAGAGGAGGAAACAGAGGCAGTAAAACTGGGTTGGGAGCTATTGCAGGAGAGATGATGAGGAGAGTAGGGATGGAGAGGAAAAGGCAGTTCTTTAGGAAGCATGATTGATAAGACTTGATGACTGATTTGTTGTGGGAAGGGGAGGGAGAGCGACAGGGAAAGAGATAGAGAAAGAGAGAGAGAGCAGAGGAAGAGGAGCAGGAGGAATAGGAGGGTGAGGAGGATGCAGCAGTGGCTGCTGCTGGTGACAGGGAGGGAATGGGAAGGGAGAGAAGAGAAGAGAGAAGGAAAGAAAGGAAATGAACATTTCCTGAAGGCCTAATATGTGATAGCTCTGTTAGCATATTTATATTTTCAGATGAGAAAACATACTCAGAGAAGCTAAGAAAATTATTCAAAATCACAGAACTGCTAGTTGATGGTTGAAACAAATTTCAAATCCAGTCTTGTCAGACTCCAAATCCCCTGCTCTTTGCTCCACAGCATGTTGTCAAAGACAAAGCTTAGCTTTGGTAAAGGCAAGAGAGTGAGTACTGATACCACTTAGAAAGAAAAGGAAGAGAAGTGAACCTCTGTGCCCTTTTTCTTTAACAGGCACAAAGGCTTCTGCTCTAGAACTCCCTTCTTCTTACTCCTGAAATGTTGGATGATGCTATGGGAAACAGATGAGTTTGTCCAGGGAACCATGTGGAGTACGAACAGAGGGAAGGCAAGAAAGGAACTCGTCAAACGGATCGAAGATAAGAGATGGATGGGCCCGGGACATCTTCCCCAGTGGCTCTTGTCCACGGGACACCTGGCTTGTACCCACAGAAAGTTGGCTTCCAGCCATGCTTGAGTGAGAACAGTGAGGGCCCTTGCCTTCCTACAGTGAGTACTCGATAAATGATCACTGCCATTGTCACATAATAATGTGGCTATTATGATCATGGACAGAGCAAAAATAAGTGACTATTTTTCAAGAGTCTATTTGGTGTAGACTTCTCCAGAGGCAGAACTGTGGAATAAAATTATTTCTAGTGGTCCCTCCCAGCCCCTTGGCTCCATAATTCTCCCACTTTAATATGTGACTAGTAATTAAGAACTATCTTGAAATTTTGATTTCTGGCCCAGAGTCTATCATTATACTTCCAAATTTTATTGAGAAAATATTTGAAGCCAAAGAGAGATTTTCAATTTGTTGACTTTAAAAGAAGCATTATTCATATTCATCCAACAAATATTCATTTATCACTTGCTCACATAAACAGCCCTCTGCTAGGTACAATGGTGAAGCCAGGTAAGTACAAAATCTCTGTCCCCAGGCTGTCTGTAATCTAGATAAGGAGGAGGTGAGCATACATGTAGAGGTAAATATCAATGGAGGAGGTACTTGATCAAAATCAACTTTTTTGAGAGTTATTTCAAAGCGATTTATGGCTAAGTCTTGGAAAATATAGATTACAGAAGGATAGAGGTGAGAGAGACAGACAGACAGACATTGAGAGTGAGAGCAAGAAAGAGAAGAATGAGAAGGAATGAGAGAAAGGAATGAGCTTGAAGCTGGCCTTGAGATTGGGTAGGATTTGAACAGTCAGAGATGAGGCCAATTCCAGGAGGGAGAGAAGGTCTGAGTGGAAAAGAGAAGGCAAAGATAGTCCAGGTGTGTTGTAAGAAGGGGAGCCAATTAGCCTGAGGTTAGCAGGGAACTGTCCAGGTACATCCTTGGGGCCTAAGGTAGAAAGAGGAAGGGAGGGTTACAGGTCACGGACTATAAATGTGTCTTCACACATTCACTTGGACCAGGCTCATCCTAGACTTCTCATGGTCATCCTGGGGAGGCCATCATCTGTCCCTTACAAAGTGGATTTTACAGGCAACTCAGTCCCAAGCCATCCTCTTGAGATGTGTATTTTGAAAGAAACGTGGTTACCAACATCTCTCAGGCATTGGAAAAAACCATTCACTGCATGCATATTGGTGACTAGCACAGTTCTGTCCATTTCCCAGAACTTTTACTATTACTGGAATGCCTCCTCTTCACTCCCTTTCCCAAGGTCATGAAGCCTGCCAGGATGCTGCCATGGTAAGAAACTGAGGCAAGGTTCTGAGGACAACCAATGATTGAGAGGCTGTTTGATTTCTCCTTCCTATAGCTTCTAATCTGGTTCCTCAGTGATTTGTGTCCTCTACTTATTTGGGATGCAAACCCTCATAGTAGGGCCTGGGATGCACTCCCAGCTTTGTGTAGCGCCTGGATAGCCAAAGATAGGGCCTAGGGAAAGGTTTCTTAGACACCAAATAACATGTAGATGATTTATACATAAATGAGTCAGAAATATGGAGATTAAGTTTTCGCTGAGATGCACATGAATTAAGGAGAAAAGTGTTTGAGGCAATTTAAAAAGAAATGCCATGAAACTTAAAGCATATGGAAAATAATACAAGATGTTGGAGAAATCTCTAAACGGATGGGGTTTGGCCTAACAAATCCTTGGAGCCCCTCCCCATTTCACAAAAAATCTCTTGATTTAAAGGAATTAACTTGACTTTAGAGACTGGCTGAAAAGGGTCTATGGCTCCAGCTTTGACTGGCTCATCCCCAGTCTAATTGTTCAGATTTTAATTTTTTTTTTACCTTGTTCTGTGGTTCATGTCTAAATACTCAAAGATGTTTATATTGCATACATTCGGCTCTAATTGGCCCTTAAAAGAAGGTGTTGATTAGAATCTGCTCAACATCAACAGCTAGCTCACACAACATTCTGTAATTACTGTTTATTAATTTAGTTCAAGTGGCATAGTTGAAAGCCCTGTTCAGATGGGAGAAGTAAATTGTCACTGGTATTGAATATGTAAATTATGTGCATTGTAAATTTCCATGAAGAAATGTTTAAAGTCAAATGCTGTGCACATAAACCCTTCTGGTTTTATCTAACCCAGCCCTTGGAGTCGAATCAGGTCTTCACTCAGAAAGCACACAGCAGAGCAACCTGTGGGGGCTATGCCATTGTCCCAGGGTGGTGCATCTTACCTAGAGTTCCTAAAATGAGATTTTGTAATCAAGTTTTGTTGTGTGTGTTCCCTTTTTTTATGAAACAAGTCAACGCTAATGTGCCCTCTTTATCCTTGTTCACAAAGCCCTTCTGTGGAGTTCCCCAGCAGATTTTCTAAGGATGTTTGGCAACCTAGCAAATTCCCCTCTTTCCCTGAGGAAGCTTCTAGATGCTGTTGGGTGGCATGCTGAAAACAACAGGAATTGAAGACAGCTTTTCTTCAGCAAATAGCTGAAATAAGTTACTGTGAATGTGTGGGGTTTTTTCTTCCCCCAGAGCATTAAAGAAGATGGCAGGAACTGGGACATACTCTCTAGTTGGGCTTGTTTCCTGAAGCCCAAACACTATGATCTCAGGAAGCTGTATTAAAGGCTCTGCAGCTCTTCCCAGGAGAGGGTGTGGCTTAATCTGGTTGGGATAACCTTATTATACCAAAGATTGTCTTGGATTCTTGCTGTATTAAGGTTGAATTAAGTGAAATTTTTCTTTAAACATCAACCAAAACATTTTTCTTTTTTCTGTCTTAATGGTGCTTCGGGCAAGTTACTTAATTGATCTATTCCTTGGATTCCTTACCTATAAAATAGAAAAAATAGTAGTACCAATTTCATGAATTGAATGCAAAGATTAAGTGAAATAATACCTGTAAGGTGCTTAAAAGACAGCTTGCCCATAGTTTAGGGACAATACGTGTTAACTATTATTTGTCCCTGTAAAATTTTACATGGTTACAACTGAACCCCAGAATGCTTTTGTATGTTATTATAAGATTTCCTTTTGTAGAAATTTCTGATTATTTGAGAGAATCTTAAATTTACAACTAGTCCAAAAAGATACTTTTAAAAAATTAGGGATGAAAACCAAAGGTTTTTGTAAACATGAAAATTTAATTATTATTTTAGTCTTTCTTAAGGTTGAAAAGAGTAGTTGAGGCAAAAAGTACATCTGGCTCCTCTGCCACTGAAGCCCACACGTGCCCATTTGGGGGGCTTTCTGTCTTTGTATAAGTTTTTCAGCCCAGATGTTGGATGTTTTCAATTTTGCCGAATCTGACTATAAATGAACTGAAAATAAATGGCCCAACTGTTACTGGGACTAATTATGATGGTTCCAAGGAGAATGTGCATGCTTTCACTTTTTCTTTATGAAGTCTTCCTGAAGAAAGCCTTTTGATTGAAATAACCCATTTGGATGATAGCTAACATTTTCAGAAGTAATAATAATACAACTTCAGATCCATAGAGAGGAAGGAATGGGAACATGAAGCGCTTTACAGATGCTAGCTCATTCATCAGCATTACCCTCCTGTGTGGCAGGTGGCAAACATTATTCTTCCTGTTTTACAGATGAAGAAACTGAGGCACTGAGAAATAAAAGCATGAGGCATAAAAGTTCCAGAGCAAGTCAGTGATAGAAACAGGAAGCCTAGAGCCTTGTAGTCTGGTTAGCTGCTATCCACTAAGGAAAATCTGGTTAGGAGCCATCCACTGAAAACACTGCTACTACTGAGTTCCCCTCACCCAGGAGAGCCTGCCTTTATCCACCAGATGTTTCAGCTCAGCTGTCTGTTTATTCCTGTAAAGTAAATCCCATTTTCCTATTAATTTCTATTGAAAAATCGGCGATATGGACCCCCAGATTCTTCCCATACATAGAGCTGAATGTTTTTGACATGGGAGAACCGAATGTGGTTGCCCAGGCTCTGGTTGTTTTTTGACCTCTCCACTTCCCACCTTACTCCCATCCCGGTAGTGTTTTGAGAAGTTGGGGAAAAAACATGATGCAGAGTGGAGAGGGCATGGGCAGTGCTTTCTCACTTTTGGTGCTCACTCTGGACAATATTTCTTAAGGTCAGGAGGGGTTCTGTCCAGTTGGAGGCCCCCAGAGCAGATTCTTAATACCCCCGGGATTTGGCTTTGCATCTTCCTTGGGTGATTCTAAGCTCTATTCTCACAGATTGCAAATAAGTGACACCATTTTACACATGGTTTAATTTCTTGAAATATTTTGTTTATTAATATAACTGCCCACTAATGTCTTCGTTGCATGTTAGGTAGAGACATGGGGACTGAGAAGGTGGAAGGAGGTAAGTAGGGAGATAAACAGGGAGTCCCTGCCCTCAAGGAGATAGAAGTTTTATGGGGGAGACAGAAGGAAACCAACATCTATCATGCAGGGTCACTTGTAACTAGGTAATGATTGGTAACAGGGGCACCTAGCTAACCCTGTCCTCTGGGAGTTCTCAGGGGAAGTTTTGAAGAATGACTAGGAATTAGCCAGGTGACCAGGGGGTGGTGTGTCACTCTAGGCAGAGGCTACAGTGTGTGCAAAGGTATGGAAACTTGCAAGATCTTGCCCTCCGGGAAGCAGTGAGCAGTGAGAAGTACTGCACAGCTCTTGTGCACACCGTACACTGACGCTGACTGGATGTAGAGGTCAAGGTGGGTGGAAGCCAGGCTTAGAAGTCACTTTAGTGCTAAGAAACATTTGAATGTTTCCCTGAAGACCACAGGGCATCTTTGAAAGCTGCTGTGATGGGGATTTGCACATGCCCGAAAGTAAGGCTTCCAATTCTACAGAGCCAACTGGTTTCCTGCTTTGCTAATGGAATAAATCTGTGGTGTATTTATGTGTTTATTAGTCAAGGCTCTCCAGAGAAACAGAACCAACAGGAGATTTATTTATTTGTCTATTTATTGACTGATTGATTTTAGCAATTGGCTAACAAGATTATGGAGGCTAGCAAATCCAAAATCTGCAGGGTGGGCTGGCAGACTGAAGTCAGGAGAGGAGCCAGTGCTGCAGTTCACACCCAGAGGCCATCTACTGGCAGCATTCTGCTTGCTGAGGGATGACTTGGGGGCAGTGTGTGTGCCAACCTTCTGTTCTATTCCGGCCCTCAAGTGATTGAATAAGGAGCACCTACAGCATGGAGGACAATCTGCTTTACTCAAAGTCTACCAGTTTAAATGATAATCTCCACCAAAAACATCCAGAAGAATGTTTTACACATATCTGGGCATCATGACCAGTCAAGTTGACACATAAGGTTAGCCATCACAAAGGAAATATATATATTCACATGGGTGTAGTATTCCTACACCTGTCTGCTTCCCATAGGACTTCATTTATTCTTTAAAAATTCCTAATTGAGTGCCTACTTCGTGTCAACCCTTAGAGACCCAAGAGTGAGCAAGACAGTATTGCTGACCTCATGGAGCTTTCTACAGGAGCAGGGGTTGGCAAATTATGGCCCATGCCATATCTGGCCCACAGCTTATTTTTGTCAACAAAGATTTATTGTGGCACAACTGTGTCCATTTATTTATGCATTGTTTATAGCTGCTTAGGTGCCACAATGGCAGAGTTTAGTAGTTACAACAGACTTTATGGTCTGCAAATCCTAAAATATTTACCATCTGGGTCTTTATGGTGTTCATAGTAAAAGCTTGATGATCCTCATATTGGAGGGTATGAATATTAAGAAAGTAAATATATAGACATATAATATGATGTCAATTAGACATAAGTGCTTTGAAGAAAAGTAAGACAGGATAAAAGGATAAAATACTGGGGGTGCTTTTTTTCGACACAGTGGTTAGGAAAGGGTCTCTCTGTAAAAATGATATTTGAGCAGGGACCTCTGTAAAAATGATAAAGGAGAGGCAGCCATGAGAATGCCTGGGGGTCATGAGTCCCAGGCAGAGGAATCTGCAAATTGCTGGCATGCTTGAGAATCTAAAGGCTAAGAAATATCAGGGCCAATCACCTGCAATTTGTTCTCTCATTTGATATGTGCAGGAAGGCCTGTGTTTCACTAAAGTTGGCTGAGAGGTTGAATTCTTGAAAAGTACAGTCTGAGTGTTTTGGTTCTGAGCATTAGAACCCCAATCTTCATAATTTCCCCATTGGGTTACCAACTTCCATATGGGATCAAATGCCTCCATTGTTACTCTTTCCCCTCCACAAATCTCCACCATTGCAGAGTCCAAAAATGCAAATTCCTCAGCCTGGCAATGCAAATCTTGGATGGTCAGTCCTACCTCAACTGACCCTTCTAACATGACATCCTGGTTTGTTACCCTGCAATTCTCCCATGCTATCCCCTGTTCCTCCCATATCAAGAGCCTGTGTTTCTCCTTTCTTCATGTTCCATTCACCTTCCCCTCCCCAACCAGAGCCACTGCTCATACCGCCTCCTCCTCCTGAGATGCTCTCACCTCCATCTCTTTTGCTCTGTCTCTCCTTTTCTTCCTCTCTTCCTCCTTCTATTCTCCGTACCTCTAAGTCCCCTCCCACTCATTGCTTGTTTGAATTTCCATTACAACATTGACTTCAGTTTCTGTGATCCTGGCTCATGCACCTGTGTCTCTCTTCTAGTCACCTATGAGGCCTGACAGTAGAAATGCAAGGAGAGCAAAGTAGTTTTCTGTGCAGAAGGAATGAGGTCAAGTAAATTACAGTTACTTGACATCTTACTAGGGACTTGTTTGTGCCAAGTACTGTGCAAGGGCCCTGAGGAGATAGCCATGAATCAGACATAATCTTGACCTTTAGGGAGCTCACAGTATAATGGGGGAGAAAACACATGAAGAAACGCTGATGGTACAATACAGATGCTTATATGTGCCTCAGAAACAGAGATAGTGTGTGGCTAGCTCTGCCCACATGAATCAGCAGGTGCTTTATTGGAGAGGTGATGTTTTAGTAAGGTCTAGGCAGAAGAAAAGAGAAAAAGCAGCACGTGTAACAGCAGGAAGCTGAAAAGGAGTCGTGCTTACCTGAGACTTGGGGAGAAAGTTGTAAGTAGTGAAGCCTAGAGAGGGAGTCAGTGGGAATGGTAGGAAATGGGGCAGTAAAAATAGAGTCCTGATGTGGGTGAGCAAGCAAGAAAGCAAACTTTATTTTTATATTTGCATCTTCCTCACTTAACCTAGTCCCTTTAACAGGGTTATAAATACTCACCAGTTTCTTGACTTGAACTGAGCAAATTAAACACATTTTTCTATATATCTTGACAACCTTTCAAACATGGTAGAGCAATAATTTTTGTAATGTGATACACATCACATATAATGATTGTGTCAGATATATACTGCTATAGTCTGAATGTTTGGGTCCCCTTATGATTCATATATTGGCACTTAAAACCCAATATGATAATATTAAGAGGTGGGGTACTCAGGATGTGATTAGATTATCAGGGCTCTGCCCCCATCAATAGGATTAGTGCATTTATGAAAGAGGCTTGGGAAAGCCCTTTTCACCTTCTGCCTTGTAAGGACACAAAGAAGGGGCCATCTATGAGTAATGGGCTGTCACCAGACACCAGATCTGTTGGCACCTTGATCTTGGACTTCCCAGCCTCTGGAACTGTGAGCAATAAATTTCTGTTGTTTATAAATTACCCAATCTAAGGTATTTTTTTATAGCAGCCCAAACAGACTAAAATGTATACAGTTCATTGCATCATATATTACATGATTTTCTTGAGCTCAAGGCAGAGCCAGGCATCTAACAATCTCCTGATCCTAGCTGTGGTTTCCTCTTTGAGACCAATGTATTTACTATGCATAAAAACTTTTTCTCATTAAAGTAAGAATTGTGCCCCATGCTTCAGCAATGAGATATGTTGAAGCCAGCAGACCTACCTGGCATTTTACTTTTATAGAACCCTTGCTAGATAGATTGTAATAGAGTCAGGACAAATGGCTGTGACAAGATTTCCTTCGGAGGAGACTGAAGAAATAGTGACCAATGATCATTTGGTGTCAGTATTTAATTACTAAATGAGGTGAGCATGATCTAATAGCAATTTGATTTCCTTCTCATATAGCCCAAGCCAGACAAGGCTGACCATGTGTTCTTGCCAGGAAGCTAACACCATCTTAAAGATGAATTTTTTCTCTATTAGGTCAATGAGGAGTGAACCAAATATTTTCTACTTGGGTCTTCACATGATAAAAGCTTAACAGCTTTGAAGGAGCTATTACAGGCAAATGCCTGAAAGAAATAACCGTTTTGAAAGGTCTATAATTATGTACTTCTGTAATAGTGTGTAAGGGGATCACAGTTCCCATCAAGAGTTATTGAGTAAATAGTGAGTTCTTAAGTCAGTAACTACTTATTTACATCATAGTCAGTAATGGCAGTCAAAGAACCATTGCAAGCTACTGAGTAGATCTTATTCATCCATGTAGTAAGGTACGTAAGGCACTGAGGTCTGTTCTCTACTCAGATATGAAAAAACATTGTAGCAACTTGGAGCAAAGGTGAGGTACCATCTTGCCGTTGAGCCAGGGGATGCTAATGAGTTCCAAAGGTCCCTGCAAATGATTTAGGTTCAAAGTGACTGGAATGGCACTGCCTGGAGGACATCTGCCTTTGACCTTCCAGCCTCCATTATCCTTCCTTCTGATGAAAGGTTCTTTTCCTTCCTTTTGGATTCACCCTTCCTAAATTCTCTGTGACTCAGGTAGGGCTGTCAATCAAATGGTCAGGCTGCCCAATCAGCAAGAGTTCCAAGCAGCACTCTTAAGAGTCCTTTTGGGGATTTGATATAATTTCTGGGAAATAGACATAATTTTTTTGTAGGATCCCTGGTAAAATGTCCTTGGTAAAAGTGTAAGCTTGGAGCTGCTGTACCTTTCTTTACCACCCAATAGAAAAATCTTGCCTAAAGCTAAAACCAACACAGAGTAAAATAGAGAAAAGAGATGGTGGGAAAGAAATAGATTTCTGACCACATTGTTTGAGCACCTGAGTGAGCCATGCCTGAAGCTAGACCATGCCTTGAACTTCTCAGTTACAGGGCCAGTAGATTTCTGTTCTGTATTTATGTGCTTCGAATTGGGTTTTATGTTGCCGTCACTGTTGGACTCTCCAGTGTGGAGTACCTTATTTGTGATTTTTATTTTCTTCTCTCTAGTGCCTACCTAATTTGTGAGAATTCCATGAGTATGTCTGTATGTATTCTGTGAGTATATTAGGAGACATTGATCTCTGTATTGGGACATGACCCCAGCTGCTTGACATCTCTCAATAGTCCCAGTAATGTTAGAATTATAGAGAAGTTGAAACTAAAGGGTTGGCTTTATCAGTCTAATGCCTCCTCCATCGGCAGAATCAGCAGGAGTTGTCTAACTGTATCTGAATAACAATCCCAGGAAAGAAATACCCCTGCTCATACTTTCCCCCTTTCATTCTTTTGTTTTATCTTTGTCAAATATATGAAGTTTCTATCTTCTTAACTTTAAACCTGATGACTAGCATGAGATGATGCTGCATTATAGAACATTTTCCTTACATATTTAATATTTTAACACTTATAAAAAAGAAAAGGTGGCATTGGGAATGATGCACTGTTGAGCCTGTGATTATGACTGAGAGAGACCACTCACCACTCAGGGTGAAGTCATTGTCAATCCTCTCTGCAAAGGCTAAGCCTCTAAGAGGATGACAAAATACAATGTTAATTGGCATAAGTCTTCTTTATAGCTAAAAAGAAGCTTTTATGATGGAATGAATGAAAATGCAGGATGTTGACAAAGCCCCAAAGAAGTGTTCAAAAGAATAAGTGACTGCAAAGTCTCTAGGAACTGAAATTGCACCAAATTTGGCCTAGTTTTTCAGTAGCTAAAGGCATAGAGTTAAAAATTCAAGAACTAGACTGGAGTCTTTTCAGAAATATGGTTGCCCTGGGTGCCCCTGGGGTCTCAGAGTTAGGGTTCAAGTATCTAATTGTTGGTTCTGAGCTTTGCTCAGAATGTTATCCTTTCATTTTGTTTAGTATTTGTTTTATGGTTTCTCAGCAACTACCATCATTTCTGCATCTGGAACAGGTCAACAATGGATATACATCTCTTAATCTTGCTCCAGATGTTGAAAATCTTAATTGGTGGAGTGACAAGGTAGCTGAGAGTGGCTGTTTCTATAAGGGGAATCAACATCTTTCTTCAGTTGGAGAACTTCTTTAATGTTGTGTCCAAGTAATGGATGGTCAAAATCTAGAGGAGAGGATAGCAGATGACATGAGTAAAGAAACAATTTTTTAAATAAAAGATGCCCAGAGGGAAGGTAGATGGGGAGAGGAACCAGCCAAAGATGCGCAAGGGCAAGTTGGACAAGAAAAGTTCACTAATGTTGTTTATGTCTATACAAGACTCAGCAGATTCCCATAGGACGCACTTGTCCATCACTTCAAGCACTTTCAAGGACTATTTCATGAGCCTTTCACGGGTATGCCTCCATTTTTCTTTTTTGTGCAAGAGTACTGTACAATTATTCTCCATATCTTTTTAAAATATTCTTTTAGTAGGAAACTTAGACCTACATTTAGGTGGTTTTACAAGCATATCTCCAACTTTAAAATTTTCACTTGCATTTGGGAGTCTTAAATCATTTGGGCATGAAATCAGGTAGGTAGGAATAGGGTATAAAGAAGGAGTGCATGTATATAGAGTTGATTCTGTTCTTCTTGACTTACAAAGCTTAATTTCTATCAAAATAGCAGAATGAGAAAACCTGAGACATTTTCAATGGCTTCAGAGAGGCTCGAGATTTGACTTAGCTGGCAGAACAACTAAAATGGCCTAAGATTCTTTATCTTTGGCTACAATGTGAGGAATGCATTCTGTCTTGGTGGCTGGCTTTCTTTGCCTCCTTACCATGCTTGCTAATGGTTTCATAAACCCCTCTCCACTAAGTAATGGCTTCTCTCCTGCTTCAGCCTCTACCCTCAGTCTCCCTCAATGCTTCCTGGATTGCTACTCCTATTCTTTCTCTCTTCTCTTTTCCTGCTTGTGGTTCATCTCCGTTTGTGTCCCAGTAGCAGTAGAAATGGGGTAAACTTCTCCCAGGAGATATTGTATAGCAGTTCCAACTTCCATGAATATAATTACTGCGCTGCATAGAATACTTTCTATTCTCTTATAATGTATTCATAATGCTAAGATTCAGACCATTCAGAACTTTAAAGTTCCTACCATGTATATGAGGACTTGATTTATATATCTTCTAGAAAAGCAAGGAAGACAATAGTTAACCTAAACCAATTCCTTGGTCATTTAGCCCTGGACATCCTAAATACCTTTTACATTTTAGTGAAGAATGTATTTTCCATTTGATAGCTTAATGAATGATATTGTTGTGTCTTGCATAATGATCATTACAATTCAATGGCCAGGGGAATAAAAGCACCCAGCCAATATACCTATTTTGGCTCTCAGTTTTATTGAGGGTAAAGTATAGAAATGTTATCTGGGCCGGGCGCGGTGGCTCACGCCTGTAATCCCAGCACTTCGGGAGGCCGAGGCGGGTGGATCACGAGGTCAGGAGATCGAGACCATCCTGGCTAACAAGGTGAAACCCCGTCTCTACTAAAAATACAAAAAATTAGCCGGGCGCGGTGGCGGGCGCCTGTAGTCCCAGCTACTCGGGAGGCTGAGGCAGGAGAATGGCGTGAACCCGGGAAGCGGAGCTTGCAGTGAGCCGAGATTGCGCCACTGCAGTCCGCAGTCCGGCCTGGGCGACAGAGCGAGACTCCGTCTCAAAAAAAAAAAAAAAAAAAAAGAAATGTTATCTGAGTTTCTAATGGACCCGCTCCTGTTCCTCAAGGGGTTATCACCAACTATCAGAGAGATCCCAATCTTTAAGACTATGGGATGTAGAGTAATTAGGCTTCAATGTTTTCAGGAGTGTGTGTGGGTTTTTTTTTTTTTTTTTTACCCAGAAAAAAAAACAAAAAAAGCCTCTTTCTAGATGTAGAACTGAAGTATCTGTTGCTTCTGATGTTGCTGTCAGAGGCCAATTGGGAAGCAAAGTATCAAACACAATGGCTCTTTTGAATTCCTTTGCAAGAGGCAGAACATTCCCAGCCTCAAGATTCCTGTCCTTCTTGCCTTGGTGTGGGGAAAAAAGCAAATCCCCTCCAACTCGAAGAAAGAGTCTTCCTCTCCCCACCTTGTGCCCCTGACCTCTGAACCCAGCCTAGTTCTGCTATTTCTTAGGAAATGATTCACCTCAGAAGTGTGGCATTTGAAGGTGAAAGACGGGGAGATTAGAGGAATTCGAGACTGTTTTCACAATTCCAGTTGGGAAGTTGGAGAAAATTTCGGTGACATTTAAACTGCCAGTTACTTTATTAGATTTTAATTTCTAAAGCAAAACTAAATAAGTGCAGTCAGTCAATGACTGGCCAAAATCTGTGCATGCATAGGCTCATTAGGAGCGTTTCTTCTCTTAACTGAAAAGCTCTAAGTGTTGACCTTGAGTGGAAGCACCATGGAGAATCAAGCATAACAGTTTCACATTTCGGTCTCAAATGTACTTGAGCATTTTTTTTATTTTTAATAAGGAATCACACATTTGGGACCAAAAAAAGGAAAAAAAGAAAATAAAGTACTGAGACATTGTTGTCCCTTTCTTGGATATTGGTTTTCCTTTTAAAAAAAATTAGAAATGAGGTGGATTGATTGCTGAAGTTTTAGGCCAGCATGGTTTTGAAAGCAACCCTGTTGCTATCAGCACAGGCTAGGCAGATCACAAATAAGAAATGTTTATGACGCTTTCTTCTCCTCTTCCATGCTCTGATCCTCCTTAGAATAAAATTTTACTTAGAACACATATAGATCAGATCAAGGAAAATGTGGATGAGGACAGTAGGTTGGAATTTTTCTTGTGGGTTTTTTTTTTGTTGTTGTTGTTGATGATTTGTTTTTCTACTAGCTGTTTGGGGGTTAGGGGAAGGGGTTGTGCATTTTCAAGATGGAATTGCTCACCAGGCCCCTTTTTTGCATTATCTTTGAAATTAGATTCTTTTCAATTATTCAGGAGCAGATGATCAGTTTGCAGATTATCTGGGTATTTTGTTTCTTCCCTTTCCTCTCTTTTGTTTGCCAGCTTTTTTGACAGTTTGCTTACTCTGCTGACATCCACAGAATTGACCATAAAAGGAAGGAAACATCCAATCAGTTTTGCTTGTTAATTGCACTAGTACAATTTATTCAGAAAGAAACGAAAATATAGACCAAACTGGAGCTTGAAGATTATCTGTGAATCAAATCTACCCATATTTTCTTTAAGCCTCATTTGTACAGATAATCGAGGGTTGGCAGAACTTCAGAGAAGTATCTCTTAAGGGAGATCAAACACTTCTCAAAACCCAACTCCCTCTGAAATGGCAAATTTTTTCATTCCCATGGGAAAGTCATTGCTTAGAGAAGCAAGTAGACAGAGGTGCTGAGAGAAAGGGAATTCCTCTGGTCTGAGCTACCTTTGATGGGACAGGTTCAATAAAGTTTGGCTAAGTGGGTGATTTGTTCTAGGCCCAGACATGTACATAAACGTGTGAGTGCGCATGTGCACGTGCCCGTGTGTAATATTCAAATCCACCTCAAGGCAAGATGCCAGGAGCGGGTATGGAGGTCAGTGCCTGTGAGTTGCACGTTTCTTAATAATGAGAGCTCTCCCCAGCCTGGGGCCCCTGCTCTCCGCCCCTTTGGGTTCAAGGGCTGCTCTTCCAATTCTGACCACCCAGTGGTGTGAAACTAATGATTAACCCTTTGGCACCAGCACTGGAGGGTTTTCTCCACTAATTGGTAATGCAAAACCCATTAGTGATTATTGTGGGGATATTCCGAGTCCAGATGTCAGAAGGCTAATGAAAAATTAAGTATTGTATTTTGCTGGAGGGGATTAAAAATTTTAGGAGGGGTGATGATGTCTTTTTCTTCTTTCTGCCAGCAACTGAGATTGAACATCAAGCTATTGTCCTCCATGAGCTGGTTGGGCTTTATCTGGAAGGTCAGAAAAGTTTTGCCACCAGATCCAAACAAATACCATCTAGAACTATCCTTCACAGTTCAGAAATGGAGATGGTTCCCAGGGGTCATGTAAAAAGTGAATTTAATTGCCCAATAATTGTAGGCATTTTGCCTGTAAATATATTTGTTAATTGAAAAAATATATATATTTTTGCTATATTTAGGCTCCTGGAAATGGATAAGAGGGAAATTTATTGGAGAACTTTATTTGGACTTGAGGACCTATTTGTGCAAGTCCATTCCTTATTAATAGGTCTTTGTTTTCGCTGTAAGCCACAGACAGGGATTTTGAGAAACATACTCATTTTCTTCTAAGTTATATCAGCATAGTAATCTCTCTTGGCTAAAAACCAGCTTCCATTTGCATGTTTAATAAAAATATAACACTAATATCATATTCAAAACTATTTTTTCCTTTTGGGCAAAGCCTTCAAAATAACCTGGTTCCTTATATCTACCGTAAATGCTGTTTATCCTGGGTTGAAGTCTTTAATATAGGAAGAGAATGCTAAAACAGCTTGATTACTCTTTCCTTCTTCTATCAGTCACAAACCATCTCTCTTAATTTTGGTGTAAGGACATTTACATAACCAGGGAGAGGGTCCTTTAACTACATTTCTATTATGCTTGGCACTTGTGTGAAAGGATATTATATTCATGTGCATTAGAGATTGCTTATAAAAGATCAAGACAATAATAGCCGATCAGACGATAAAGGTCTCTTTTCTCCTCCCAGACAGGCTGTCTCTGACAGAAGAATACAGTTCATCAAAAGTGTCTGCAGGTTGTCAAACTCAGAGAGGTTTGGGGACCCTCTGAGGCTGTCGTGGTCAACAAGAAGATTTTCTGTTGGGCTTTTCCATCACTCACCCTGAGGAAATAATCACTCACTACATTCTGCATGTTCTCATGATAGAGTTCTCCATTTGAGAGAAAAGAGCCATTTTATCAAAGGACAATATAGCCCTTCTCTGGGTCCACGTAGCTTCCATTATCAGACCATAATAAATCATATTTATGTTCCCAGTTAATAAGACTGATTACAACACAGGTTCCAGACATGGGAAAAGCAAAGCAGGTGAAAAGATGTTTTAATGAAAATATGATAAGAAAACAGCTTCTTGTGAACATTCTGTGCTATTATTTGTAATGATTACAGACAATTTTTGATGCATCTTGTTTAGCAATGGTTTAAGCTGCATAAATTGGCTCACTGGTAGATAAGTAAAAATGATAAGAAAAAATCATGAAATCTTCTTATGTTGTCTAGAATCATTATGTACATAACAAGGGCAAAATGGGTTTAATGTATATGCTGGGGATGGAGGGGAAACAGGCTTCTCAGAAAAGCATGGCTTGGGTATTATTTGAAATGATTTAGAAATTTTCTCCTCATCTTGCTTATTAAAGATGTGTTCTCCCTGAAATTTGGGGGTGCTAGGCATTAATTTCATCTTTGTAAATGAATCTACAGCTCTACTTCTTTTATCCAATCTCAAAGTTGTTGTTTTTTTTTCTTGCTTTCTTTTTTTCCCTTCTTGGACCTCAGTACAAAGAGACAAAGAGATATATATTTCCTACTCAATGTTTGTGCACACTTGCCATTAGTGCTAATGGGAATTAAGTGCCTGCTTGGGAGGAAAACAGACCCCAAAGTTTAATATTGGAAGCTACCTTATTAAGAAGGTCTGGACATTTTTAGCTTCAGTGAGTTCAATTACATTAAAGTACCAACTTTCTAAATTAGTACAAAAAAAAGAAAAAATCATATAAAATATTGAAATAGCTTCAGCCTTTAACTGTATAAAACAGAAGAAGAGCATCTGAAGGCGAGGACTCAGGGTGTGTCGTATGGCTTGTTTGTTCATATTAATTTACCAGTTTGATAGTGTAACACATAACAATTTCAGGTTAGCACCCAGCACTTGGAGTAATTCTTTCCACTGTTCGTTTGTGGCTTTGATGAGAATTTTGTTGTCCTTGGCTTTGGGGTTTCTAAAAAGGCAAATGAAGCTTCCTGGAGTCCATGTTATTCTGAGAGTGGCAATCTGAAATTTTAGATTAGCACAATTCAGATTCAGCAAGTGGTTGGGATATTTTATTTATTTTGGATGGGGAGTGCAGGGGTGGTTGGTATCTTTCTCACATATACATGTAGGCCTCACAGTGTGCACCTGTGAGGGATTCCTTAATAATCTGCCCGTGGAATAACCATTGTTATGAACTGAAGAAGAGAGTATTCTCCATAATACAATTGTCATGGCTGTACTGCTAGAAAGGCACAGGGATGGCATTGCAAACCCTTCTTGCCAAAAGAAAACACCACTCAATATCTCCCAGACAATTTTGCTCAGAGATTCTTGGATTCTACTTTTTCTAAGGCAGTTTGCACTAAAGTTAAATATTGGGAGAGTGGATGAGATTCAGTCCCCTCCTCCTAGATCATTGCTTTCTTTGTTGGCAATTTCTCTTTGTTCTATTTTAACATGAATAAAAGAGGGGAAGGGCGATTGGCCCCACGTCATTCACATTGTCTGTTTTCCATGGAAATAACTGTCAGGACTTCTACTGCATCTTCCTTTGCTTTTTAGCTTGCGCTCCATTTTTCTTTTCATAGGTTGACCAAAAAATATTGCCTGCAAGAGAATTCCGTAATGCCACCATATATCTAATATCTATGAGGCGTTTTGTTTTAGCGTTACTGGACTTAACCACAAAAGGCATTTGACATTGATAAAGAATCTGTCAAGTCTACCCTGATCAGTGCACTGAAATCACTCATGACAGGGAAGACACCAACTCCCCAAAGCAGTGGTAGATTAGGGGAAAAATGATCAGAAGCTTTGTCATTGTGAAGCCATCTCATGTTGGACCCTACACTGAGCCAAATGTGTTTTACTTGTCACACTCCATTAGCATGTGTGAAACAGTTGGGAAAATGGCCATATGATTAGACAGAAGGAAACCCAAATTCTTCATATCGGGACTTGTTACCACTGAATAATGTCTTTGCAGGAGGGATTGGTTTAGATTTTGTTAATTTCTTGTGTGATGAAAAATAAATGGCATTTATGGATAGACTCTACAAAAGTTGACCACAAACAGTCCCTCTAAATCTCCCCTGTGTTAAACATTTATAAAAGAAGATGTGTTGAAATCCACAATTTTACTGGCAAAACGGTCACTGATATCAGACTCCTAAAATTTGCTCCCTCAACACCTCCTCACCATGGGCACCAGGAGATTACATTTGCCCAGAGCTGAGCATCTTTCTATGGCTAAGAAAAAGCAGAGGACTGGTGTCAGATGAGGACTTCCCTCTGGAGTAATTCTTACCTGAACAAAATCCGAATTTATGTAGATATTTTCTGCTAAAAAATTGTTGTTGTTGCTTTGTTTGTGTTGAGAGAGAATGTCAGTGAAAAGATGACTTTAAGGATGAGAAGATAAGAAAGACTTGGATACAAAGGAAATTCCAGTAATGCTTAAAACACCATGACCTCAGCACTGTAAGGAAAGGACAGAGTAGGCGGTATTTTCCTCTTGGGGCCAATCTGTTGAAAACTCACATAGAATGAAAGAAAATCTATTATGGGAAAGAAAGATAGCTTTCTTGAATACTGCCTGTATAATTACATATGTATGAGTGTTACAATTCCTGAGAATGAAATCTCATTCCACATATGATTGGGGAATTATTAAATGTTGACTATTAAATATTTTAGTTAGTTTCACACTGTGTTTATTTCTCCAGAATGATGAATATGCAGATTTAAAATTGAATTTCTTCGTCCCAAGAAAATGATGAAGCCAAGTCCTTGACGATGTCTAGCTTTTACAGATGGGCCCTCAGACAGGGTGACTAACCACAGCAGGCAGCCCATGTGTCAAGAAAAACCACGCCACCTCCCACCTCTGTGAAGGAGGACCATTTAGATTGGGAAACTGCCCTAATTCTGATGATGGTCCCTGGGTATTTGTGCAAAACTATGGCCTGATTTAGTTACTGTGGGTAACAGTTACCCAGCCCAAAACCCAAGCACAGGCAGAAAACAGATATTATTTCTAATAGCAGGAAAGGGCAAGGACAAACAAAAGGGCACAGGAAAGAGGCTTCCGCCCCTGGACAGACCAGCGTGGTGGGCAGTAATTAGCACAAAACACCCACTCTGTGTTTTTCTTGAGCCTGTTCAGCTTGTCTGGCCCCCAGAGCTTCATAGTTGGTCCAAGAATTCAATGCAGTCCTCCCTTGTGACTACACAGAATGTGTTTGCAGTGTTGAAGGCCAGCCCAGGACTAATTTTGAAAAGTAAATCTGGGAAACAGCTTAATTTCATTTCCCTAGAGATTTTTCTGGGACAAAGTTAGAAGGGAAGACAAGTTGAATAAAATAGCAGTTAGAGGCAGAGGCTACTTTGAGCAAAAGTCTCCTACACTCTCCTTGCTCCTCAGTTCCTGTACTATGTAGGAAGTTTAATACGTTTTCAGTAAATGGTGGTAGTTTTTGATGCTACACTACAGTGTTTTACAACCCTTGTGATGCAGGTATAAACTGCAGGATCTTTAATTAAAGTGGTCTCTTAAATACTCAGAAGAAAGTCATAATCAAATGTACACAGGTGACTTGTGCTTCATAATTCTACACAAAGCACCTACTATGTGTTAGGCCTTGTGACCCATAGACTAGGCCTCCTAGTCCTGGGCTCTTACTACTACTACGCCACACACTGCTGTCTTGGTAGAACTGACAGAGCTAGTGACCCAAAGTCAATGCTGTTGACTTTGTAGGTCTCAAGTTAAAAACAGCAATTTTGGCAGAAACTCTAAAATAGGAATATAAGTGAAAGATGTACTTAACTTACCAAGAGGTGTCAGTATAGAGTCGTGTATACTGTAAGAGCATGAGCTTTGAAATGACATATTCTGGTTCAAACCCTGACTCTACTGTTTTCCAGTTAGTTTGTTACTTAATCACTCTCAGCTTCAATTTATTAATCTGTAAAATGGGTATAATAATACTTATTTTCTTACCATTGTTGTGAGGATTAAATGCATGTGAACAGCTGGCACAGTCAAAGCCAGATTAAGAGCTGGCCATCAGGGCAGCTGCCTGAGGGTCTATGGGTCCATGCTGAAGGGAGACCAAATACCCCAGGAATAAATTATAAACATGGTGCCAGTAACTCAGGTGTCTACACGTCATCCTGGCGAAATGGAATTGGCTCTGTCCTGCCGGAATAGACAGCCCCTTGGAATAGAGAAAAAAACTATCCTGATTGGCCAGTGTGGCTGAGTTGCATGGGACACATGCAGGTTCTGCCACCACCCAGCCTGAAGCTGGAAGTCATAGCCAGCTGAAAATCTAAAACCAAATGATGCCGGGCTTATGGCTGTATTCTGGAGAATTATGCTATTATCTAAATTAGAATCCTGATACTAGGCTTCCCAAACGGGGTTGTCTGCTTTTAAAGAATCATAACAGAAAACAAGAACAAAAACACGGGAAACATTCTGTCAACATGAAAGTCAGAGAAATTAGATTTTTAAGCAAAATTTGAACAAGATTTTACAACTCTATCAGTATGTTATCTTAATGCTTTGAAAAGAACACTATTCAGTTGTGAGAGTGAAATAAGTGAAATGGAAGGCAATTTTAATTAAGTCAAAATGTTTCAGTACATGAAATAAGTCTCTTATTTTGAACATCAAGATCGATGAATATGAATTATATTAACAGAAAATCAGTTTCTCTCACCCTCAGAAAACGACTGTTGGTCAATAGGATATTGGTTTGTAGTGACACCAAACGGTGAGCCAACCCAAGCTGCCCATATTCTGTCTGGCCCTGAGCGCAGTGCCTGCCACACAATGACTGTCAATAAGCATTTGCTATTAGAATATAAGCATTTGCAGTTACAGCAAATTTTAAAGGGTCTGATTATGATTTCCTGAGAAAATGTTGAGTAGGTGACTTGAGGATTTCAAACCTGTGACACAAAAACAAAGGAAGAAACATCTGTTTTAAGTGTGATTCTTGGAACTTCTTGGCTGGTGTGGCCCCTGCCTCTCCCATCCTTCTTTCCTCTACTCCTTTCTCCTTTATATTCTTCCTTGTCAGCTCCTGTCTCACTTCATGCTCTTCTACACAGGCCAAGCACCTGACACCTTGCATGGTGCAGGCCTCAGACGTGCCAGCTTTCTTCTCCCTTCTATTCTCCTCTTCTCCCCCTATCCCACCTTCCACAAAGTATAACAGTGATGGTTAATATTAAGCGTCAACTTGATTGGGTTGAAGGATGCAAAGTATTGTTTCTGGGTGTGTCTGTGAGGGTGTTGCCAAAAGAGATGAACATTTGAGTCAGTGGACTGGGAGAGGCAGACCCACCCTTAATGTGGGTGCGAACCATCCAATCAGCTGCCAGTGTGGCTAGGATAAAGCAGGCAGAAGGTGGGAGATGCCAACTTGCTGAGTCTTCTGGCCTTCATCTTTCTCCCATGCTGGATGCTTCCTGCCCTCGAACATCAGACTCCAAAATTGTGGCTCTTGGACTTTTGGACTTACAGCAATGGCTCTTGGGCCTTCGGCCACAGACTGAAGGCTGTACTGTCAGCTTCCCTACTTTCAAGGTTTTGGAATTGGGACTGAGCCACGACTGCCATTCTTGCTCCTCAGCTTGCAGAAGGCCTATCGTGGGATTTCACCTTGTGATTTTGAGTCAATTCTCCTTAATAAACTCCCCTTCATATATACACCTATCTTATTAGTTCTGTCCCTCTAGAGAACCCTAATACAATACTACTCACTACCCTGTAGAATAGTGAATGACTCAAGAGAAGGATCTTTCTTCTTTGAATTTCTGCATGAGACCTCTTGACAATGGTTTTATCTGGCTGTTCATGTAAGTGAAGTGAGGCTTGGTGGTAGAACGGTGGTGGCCTGGTGTCAGGAGGAGAGGGCTCTAGACCCACGCCTGCCTTAGCCAGCCAGTTCTTATTTAAATGTGGCAATTAAATGCATGTAAGAGGCAGATCTGGGCATTGAAATCTGCAGGAGCAACATAAGGAAGCTGGACTATATCTGTAGTGTTCAAACACTTTTAAAGGAGTAAAAACCTTTTTTACAAACACTATTTTTTGTGATATGCCTCTATACAGAGCAGATGTAGCAGGAGACATTCTGAAGAAGAACCGGGAGCTCAGAACTCATCAGCTCAACCTATTATGATCCGCCCTCCCCACCACTCCAGCTCCCCTCCCCCAACTCTTTGGTGGCTTCTCAGGAACTTTCAGGGAAATATCTGTGGACTAGATGATCTCCATGATCTATTTCTGGTCCCAGGTAACTTCCGTAGTGGGTAAGCTCCTTGAGGCAGGCATTGAAACTTACTTTTTCCAACTCCTGTTCCCACACGATCCCCTTAATGCTCAGCGAAATATTGGACACACATAAGCAGTTCATATTTATTTATCCTAGTCAACTTCCTGGTGATTAGAAAATAATTAGGAAAGTATTACTATATGCTTGTAGTTACACAGATTTAGCCTATTTATGCCAGTATTTTAGGGCTAGTTTAAGGTTTTAATTGTGAAATGATTAAAAAAAAAAACTGGGTGCAATTTCTTAGTAATGATACCTTTCACTCCCGAGTGTTCTGAGCATTGAATTAGTAGATATCTGCTGGGGTGGCTCTTGGTTCAGAGTTCCCCCATCTCTGGGACTGACACCAACAAGAGTTGCCATGGCTTTTTCCAAGCAGCGCAACCCTATCTTCTCCCCAAACCCTGCCTATGGTTTATTTGTCTAGGGATGGACACCCATCGAAAACAGGCCAATCAGAATCTTTCCCTGGGGTTTTCTGAATTGGAACCAAGAGAAGATTGCCTCTCTCCCTCTGATGGCAGCAGCCCCTGCATGCCGGATTCAGGGGCTTTCTGAGCTGTGATCCCCACCACATGAAGGCAGTCAGTCTGTGGAAGACAGCGAAGCCTTCCTCTGAGAAGAATGACAGAGAGTCATGGTGGTGTTTAAGCTTCACTTTCAAGTTGCTTCTGGGTCCCTGCTCTTATTCCTGATTATGGTCCAGTATCATTCTGAATCCCAGTGTGGCCTAAACTAGTTTGAATCAAGTTTCTGTCACTTACAACCAAAAGAATCCAGACTAATATAAGAGTCTTGCCTTCTTTGTGTTTCTTATCTGATTTCATATTAAGTTTATTCTCCATGATGTTAGTATTGAGATGTGCACACTTTCTGTGCCTCTACTTGATACTCAGATGGTTATCCATGCCAAGGCATGGCACGAGGAGGTCCTTGAAGACCTAAACTAGTTGTGGGTGACTGTTTTCTGCAAGACAGGTTGGAGCTTCTCCTTTGTGTTGGCATCATGTCCTCTAGTTGCCTCTTATAATATTTGTGAACAGCATGGTGCTCATCTGTCTGCTTTCTCTCCTAAGCTGTTTCTGAACTTCTCTGAGGACAGGGACAGTGTCTTATCAATCTCTATGAACAATTTCTAGAAATTTCATTGATTTCTGATTGATTACCTATGCCAAACACAATACCTGGGACATTGTAGGCACTCAATTTTATTTTTTATTTGTTTATAGCAAAATGTCTTGCCAGATAGTACAATCAGCTTCTCCTCACTTTTCTTCATTGAGGGGTTACACCCTCAATCACTGGAAATCACTGAGAGTAGCACCACCTCCCTCAAAGGGTAGGGGAGTCTGTCTTAGATGGCTAAAATGTCTTTGAGTCGCTGAAGGTGGTTTCTCTCCAAAGAGTGGGTATAAGGTGCCCTAGAGGTACGGAACTCAGCCTATCATAGGGAAAGTGAATAGCTTCAACATTTAGAAAAGGGGGCAGAGTACTTTGGATGTTTAAGCTTTAAGAGAAAAAAAAAAAAAACAAAGCAACTGAACTGCAAACGTAGAGCCCTGGGAAGGAAGGGAGAAGGTGGCTCTGGATCCCAGAGGTAGTACACAGTGGAACCAACACCAGCTCAGTGCCTCTGCAGCTAATGAGTACCCAGGGATGCCAGTGGGAAGAGCTGGGCGTTGGGAGCTGCATGGTGGGAGCAGAGAAGTGGGATATTCTTGGCTGCAGCCAGCACTGAGGAAATGGCACCATCCTTTCATGGAGAAGCCTGCCAGGCCTGTGCAGAGATCTGGACCAGTGAGGCAGTTTTCCCTAGGGAATCACTTTCACGTGACAGATGACGCAGCACTGCCACTCAGTCGAAACACTGTATGGTACAAGGAGCCAAGCAACAATGGAGGACTGAACAGGCTTCTGTATTTTTCCTGATCTGATACACGAGGCTGCAAGGACCTCCTGAACAGTTGGTCAGGGAGCAGGACAGTGTCCGAGAGACGCTGGAGCATCCTACTAATAAAGAGCCTCCGGCAATGAATTAGAAACAGTAAAAGTGCCATGACCAGATTCTGTATTCCATTTTTGAAAGACAGATAATACTGCCTACACATGGCATTTGGGTCCATTCTGATGGACTGTGTCACAAAACTTCAGTATGTCAAAAGGCCCCTGCTGGTCTGTTACAACATAGGAATGCCAGACGTTTACATAGGGTTCGTGTCTCACAGCAGTCCCGTGAAGATAAGCAGGGCAGTTAGCGCTATCTCCATTTCAAGGTGAAGAAATTATTGCTCAGAGAGATGGAGTGACTCGTTATTGTTAAAAGGACAGTTAATGGTAGAGCACTTTCCACTATGTGGAGGTTTCTCCTTCACCAGACAGTTAACAGATATCCCCCCAGTCCACTTCTATCTTCTATGGAATTTGGAAAACTGGGAGGCAATGTGGAGGGGTGGAGAGAACACTTGGCCCCTTGTCAAGCCATCTAGCTTCTGGTTCTACCCATCAGCTGGCTGGGCAGCAAGACGCAAGCTCTTTCTATGGGACCTTTAGGCTTTCTGTTCTTCATCTTGAGAGATAAGTCAAATGGCCTTGAAAGTCCTCTCTAGCATGAACATCTCTTGGATTTGTAGGTGCAAAGAGAAAGATATGGCTTCTAGGTGGGGTGGGACAACTAATTAATTGCTAGTTGCCCTCCAATTTTGAATCTCCCTTTATTTTTAAAAATAAACTTAGTCTTGGGATGGTTTTAGATTTACAGAATTATTGAAAGGATAGTACAAAAGGTTCCCATATATCCCATGCCAAGCTTCCCATATGAATACCTTATATTGGTACAGCACATTTGTCGCTATTAATAAACCAGTATCCAGGGCCGGGTGCAGTGGCTCACGCCTGTAATCCCAGCACTTTGGGAGGCCGAGGCAGGTGGATCACCTGAGGTCAGGAGTTCGAGACCAGGCTGACCAACATGGGAAAACCCTGTCTCTACTAAAAATACAAAATTAGCTGGGCTTGGTGGTGCATGCCTGTAATCCCAGCTACTTGGGAGGCTGAGGCAGGAGAATCGCTTGAACTCGGGAGGCAGAATTTGCAGTGATCCGAGATGGCACCATTGCCCTCCAGTCTGGGCAACAACAGCGAAACTCTGTCTCAAAATAATATAATAATAATAATGTTAATAAACCAGTATCCAGTATTGATACATTCTTATTAACTGAAGTCCATGCTTTGTTCTGTTTTCCTCAGTTTTTCCCTAATGTCCTTTGTTGTTGCTGCTGTTGTTCCAGGATCGCATCCAACATGCCACATGACATTTATTAGTCAGGTCTCCTTAGACTACTCTTGGCTGTGACAGTTTCTCAGACTTTCCTTGTTTTTGATGACCTTGACAGTTGTGAGGAATACCGACTGGTCAGGTATTTTGTAAAATGACCCTCAACTGGGATTTGTTTGATGTTTTTTTATAATAAGACTGAAGTAATATGTTTTGGGGAAGAGGACCACAGAGGTAAAATGCCATTCTAACCATATTATATCAAGGGTACATACTATCAACATGATTTATCACTGTTGATGTTAACCTTGATTACCTGGCTTCAGGTAGTATTTGTCAGGTTTCTCCACTGTAAAGTTTCTTATTTTTTTTCCTCCTTTTCCAAACTGTACTTTTGGAAGAAAGTCACTACATGTAGCCCACACTTAAAAGTGGAGAATTGGCCGGGTGTGGTGGCTCATGCCTGTAATCCCAGCACTTTGGGAGGCCGAGGCGGGCATATCACGAGGTCAGGAGATTGAGATCATCCTGGCTAACACGGTGAAACCCCGTTTCTACTAAAAATCCAAAAAATTAGCCGGGCGTGGTGGCTGTTGCCTGTAGTCCCAGCTACTCGGGAGGCTGAGGCAGGAGAATGGCATAAGTAAACCCAGGAGGCAGAGCTTGCAGTAAGCCTAGATCGCACCACTGCACTCCAGGCTGGGCGACAGAGTGAGACTTCATCTTAAAAAAAAAAAAGTGGAGAATTATGCTTCCTCTCCTTAAGGGTAGAATATGTAAATAAATTACAGTGTTTGGAATTTTTCTGCATAGGAGATTTGTCTATTCCCCTCTATTTACTTATGCAATCATTTATTTATATCAGCCGGTCTCATAGATATTTGTTTTATACTTTGGGTTATAATCCAATACTACTTCAATTTATTTTGATGCTCCTTCCTTTTATGACCACTCTCTAGTTTTTAGCAGACTATATAGCTGTCATAAATAAGACTACATTTCCCAAAGTCCCTTGCAGCTAGGTGTGACCATGTGATTAAGTTCTAGCCAATGGGATGTGAGCAAGGGTCACACGTACAAATTCTTTCTTTTCTTCTCACTTGTTTGCTGAAATGTAGGATTGAAGCTAGAACTGGAGTAGTCATGGTGGAAAAGAAGATGACCTTAGGAATGGAAGCCACATAGTGGTGCACTAAGATAAGGACTTGGTCCCTGACCCTGTGGCCCTCCATTGAAACCCTGAATGTTGTGACTGTATTTTACTTGAGATAGAAAAAAATTTCTACCTTGTGTAAGCTTCACAGTCTTGAGTTTTCTGCTACTCCCTGAAGAACTTTGTCCTAACACAGTATGCATAGGGCATGTGTATTCTTGCAAGTGTGTACATATGAGTAAGGGATGACTCCAAGGAATGACATTGATTTTTAAAAAGAAAATAAGCCGGGCGCGGTGGCTCACGCCTGTAATCCCAGCACTTTGGGAGGCCGAGGTGGGTGGATCACCTGAGGTCAGGAGTTTGAGACCAGCCTGGCCAACATGGTGAAACCCCGTCTCTACTAAAAATACACAAAAAATTAGCTGGGCGTGGTGGCAGGCGCCTGTAATCCCAGCTACTTGGGAGGCTGTGGCAGGAGAATCACTTGAACCCGGGAGGCGGAGGTTGAAGTGAGCCAAGATCGCGCCACCACACTCCAGCCTGGGTGACAAGAGCAAGACTCCATCTCAAAAAAAAAAAAAAAAAAGAAAGAAAGAAAGAAAGAAAATACACCAGAATCTTCTGGCTAGTTTTAGAGAAGGGGTTTTTTTTGTGTGTGTTATATTATTATCATTAAAATGTTTGTAAAGATGCAGCCATGGGTAGTTGGATGTTGTTTGCTAGCTGTTTGATTCTCTGACTTCTTCTAAGATTGGTTCTTTTGTACAAATGTAAGGCAAGTTCCACCCATTATCCTTTCAGTAAGCCCTGAGGACATTTGAAATCTCTTGGCAGATAATGCGATGTTCTACTTAGTTATTTAAATTGAATGAGTCTTTTGCTGTGCTTTTGAAGGAAGAGCAGAAGAGATTTTTTGAGAAAGATTTAGTTAGAATAGTGTGCTGGTATTCCCTGACGTGAGGTTAAATTTGTGCATGTAAGGTCGCTATGGACTTTGGGCAAGGAAGAATTGTATTAGTCCTTAAAGCAGAGTGCTGCTATGGGCTAAATTGTGTCTCCCTTAAAATTCATATGTTGGCCAGGCACGGTGGCTCACGCCTGTAATCCCGACACTTTGGGAGGCCGAGGTGGGTGGATCATCTGAGGTCAAGAGGTCCAGACCAGCCTGGCCAACATGGTGAAACTATGTCTTTACTAAAATACAAAACAGCCAGGTGTGGTGGTATGCACCTGTAATCCCAGCTACTAGAGAGGCTGAGGCAGGAGAATTGCTTGAACCCAGGAGGCAGAGGTTGCAGTGAGGAGAGAGATCATGCTATTGCACTCTAGTCTGGGCGACACAGACCCCGTCTCAAAAAAAAAAAAAAAATTCCGATGTTGAAATCCTAACTTCTAATACTTCAGAATGTAATTGTATTTAGAAACAGGGTATTTAACGAGGTAGTTAAGAGAAATTGAGGTCATTAGGCTGGGCCCTAAACCAATATTACTAGTGTCCTTATAAGAAAAGGAAGTTAGGACCTGGCTAATGGGTAGCATAGGAGTGATTGGATTGTTGGAAGAGGAATTGGCTGTGAGCTCTATAGTAACAGCTGGATTTATCTTTCCATCTCCAGTGCCTAGCAAGGAGCTGTAGGAATGAATAAATGAATGCTTGAAAGAAAACCAGGATGAGAGAGATTATCACGACGCGAAGTGTCCGGGAGTCCTTCCCAGCCTCATCTTCCTGAGGTTTTCTTGAATAGTTGAGAGTTTGGGAATAAAAAGGGGAGGGGAGGACACCAAAGACAAAAGAAGAGAATTAGCAAAGGCACATGATTATAAAGTAACCTGATACAACGCTATGTTTTAGAACTCTGCTGTCTAATAGAGTAACCACTAATCACACGTGGGTATTGACATTTAAATTAACTAAGATTTAAAATTCAGTTCCTTAGTCATACTAGCCACATTTCAAGTGACCAGTGGCCACATAGAGCTAGTGGCTTCTAAATAGGACAGAACGGATGCAGCACATTTTCCCCATCATTACAGAAAGATCTGCTGGACAGTGCGCTTTCAGGGTGAGGTACGAAGGGCAGCACAAGCTGGAAAAGTGAGTGGGGTTGGATGAAAAAGGACTTTGTGCAGCATGCTTGGGAGCTCAGACTTGATCCAGAAATTGATGGGGAGCTATTGAAAGGTTTTTAAAATTATAATAAAATACATTCATAAAATTTACCATTTTAACCTTTATTAAGTGTAAATTCAGTGGCATTAAATACATCCATATTGTTGTGCAACATTGCCACTATCCATCTCCAGAACACTTCCATCATCACAAACTGAAACTCTGTAGACCTCAAACGATAACTTTCCATTCACCTCTCCCCCAGCTCCTGGTAACCACTCTTCTACTTTCTTTCTCAATGAATTTGACTATTCTATGGACCATATAAAAGGGAAATCATACAATACTTGTCCTGGCTTATTTCACTTAGCGTAATGTTTCAAGGGTCATTCATGTTGTAGCATGGATCAGAATTTTCTTCCTTTTTAAGGCTGAATAATGTATACACCACATTTTGTTTCTCCATTCATCCATTGATGAACATTTGCGTTGCTCCCACCTTTTGGATATTGTGATATTGTGGATCAGTGAAGTACAGGGGTGGTGGACATGTACTATGCACCTGAACCATCAATATTTCATCCTCTGGGCCACAGTGATTGGCTCAGAGGCTAACATGTGAGCCAAGATGGACCGTATTAGAACCACTTTGGTACTATATTGGAACGCTTGAGAACAGCATTCTCTCTGCTGAGGTTGCTAAGCAGCTAGAATTTACACCTGGAGCTGCTAATCACCATCTTGTCACTACAAGGAGAGCCTTCCTGAGAATAAACCAACTTTAAACCCAGAGGACAGCAGAGTGAGAGTTGAAGATAGATGGACTACTGTCTTCATCTGAACACCTGGGTCTACTTTCCAAGTTACAAGAACCAATACATTTTCTCTTTTGCATATGTCAGTTTGAAATTAGTTTCTGACACTAGCAGTCAAGAGTCCTGAAAAACACAGATTGATACATAAAGATTTGCATTTTTAAAAGATATATTGATGATTCTGGGAAGAGAAGATTTGAGAAAGCAAATCTGGAAGCAGAGATACAGTTAGGAAGCTATTACAATAGACAGAGGCAGAGATGGCTGTGATATCAAGTGGGACAGTGCCAGCAGGGACAGGGAGAAGGGGATGGGGTTTAATGCATATTTAGGAAATGGGAGGCCCAGAACTGTGTGGCTGATTGGGCTGGGCACTCAAGAAATAGCAAAATGATCCCATCTTTCTGGCCTGGAGGTCTGGGGTTGGTGATGACATTGGCTAAGATAAGCAATATGTAGGGAGGTGTAGTTTGATGGAAAAATGAACTATTCTGAACACGTTAAGTTTGAGGTGCCTGGGGGATGCTCAAATCGAGATGCTTAGCAGAAATTTGCGTAAATGAGTTAGAAGATCAGATGAAAGATCAGAGCTAGAGATGAAGGTCTGAGAGGTGTTGTCTGGCCTTTAGAGCCATGGGGGTAAATTAGACAACTCTGAGTGAGTCTGTAGAGAAGAGCAGGGACAGAAGGGAACTCTACGACATCGGTGTTCAACGAAACTGTTTTTTGATGAAAGAGGAGTCCACCCAAGAGATAAAGAAGGAAGAGGCAGAGAGTTAGGAAGGAGGCACGGAATGTTACAAGGAGGCAGTGTTCAACCCTGTCAAAAGCAATGGTGAGGCCATTCAAGTGAGGCTGGACAGGGCACCTCAGAGGTCTCTAAGCAGGTGCCAGGTGAGAAGCAGTTTTTGCTCAACCTTGCCTTGGGGAGGTAGTGCAGTGCCATGAAGTCAGACTCCACCTCTGCCCTGTAGTGCTTGGGAGATGTTTGGCAAGTCTCTCCACCTCTCTGAGTCTCAGTCTCCAAATCTATAAAATGCAGATGGTATCCCATTTATGTAAGATTGTTGTGAGGCTTCACTGAGTCATTAATAAAGCTCTAATCCAGAGCCTGACACACCACAGGCATTCAATGCATCCCAGCCTCTTTCTTTTCCATTCCTTTCATATCAGGGATGTCCAGTGACCACATTTCTGTTCATTCTTTTGAGTTTGAGAAGAGGGAGGGCCACCTTGAAGTGTCTGGGCAGGGGCTAGATCTTAAGTCAGCCTCTTGCTCCTATAAAAGTTAAAATTAAGGGCGGCATGAGGGGTCAGTAAGCAGCAAGGAGGCATAGGGGAGACAGAAAATGGGTATAGGAATCTTGCTGATTGAGGATTGGAGTCCCGGGGTCGGTGAATGATCTGTGACTCTGAAAGGGTGGGCTGAGAAAAGCAGAGACCTGAGGGCTGGGGATGGAGCCTGTGCTGCCAAACAGTGGGCCACCAGTGGCCTGTAGGTATGGACCCCTATTCAAGGCAGAGGGCCATTCAGGAAGGCAGTACCCTGGCAGGAAAACTGTGGAACTGAAAGGGACTATTTGCCCACAATAAGGAGGATTTCAAGGGTAGGAGATTCTCCCTAGCAGGAAGTTTTTCCTATGCTGTTTTCTATTTTCATAGGAGATATAAGCCTGAACAGGTGGACTTGGGACTTGGAGTAATTCATACACACACACACACACACACACACACACACACACACACACACAATGTGAGTAACCCACATTATCATCCACATATCATGCAGCCTATAGCTGGAGTTACCCCTCCTTGTGTGCTCATGGAGGTCCCATTGGAAAAGCCTAGCTCAGTCCTACCTCACAGAAAGGGCAGAAGCAATACAAGTTTACTCAGATTTTGTTAATATTTTTATTCCAATAACCTCCAAATAATATCCTATAAAAATGTAAATTATTTTTTCTGTCATCTGTTACTTATGAAAAATATTATAACAACAATAAAGGAATCTTAAAAATGATCTAATTTCATATTTTATGCCAAAATGTGGCCAGGAAGAAAGGTCCCAGTGACTGTGGTGTCTGAAAGTGCAGATTTTCAATTTGTGAGCGCTGGTGGCCTCAGAAGGACTGACTTCGTTGGTCAGGCTTAAAGAGACTCTTTGAAGAAGGTGGGATAATGGATAAAGTTTTTTTCTTTTTGAGGATTTGAATTTTAAAAGATGTTATTTAAAGTTATTGCACATATATTTTTGTTCAATGAGTTGTGTAAATGGGTTCAGTCAATCAATATGATCATTTATATTAAAATAATGTTATTTCATTGGTTTCACACCAGCCCCCGAGAGGTCTAAAGAGTGAGGAATCTCTTATTCATGCACCAGAGACACAAACAACTAAGAGAAAGGTGGGAGGGGAAGTGAAGAAAAGCCATTCCAGAGAAGGACTAGGGAATGGCGGTTATGGTGTCACAGAATCTGCGAGAAACAGCACAAGGTAGCTTCCTAGAGTCCTGTGTGCTCTGTGGTACGGCAACCCAGGAATTCAGGGCTCAAGGGCAGCCCCTCAAATGAGTGTGTGATTTGCAGGGTTTTTAAAATTTATTATTATTATTATTTTTTTTTTGCACGCATGTTGTCTTTTAAGGACCTGGCTGTGATCCTTCTGCATATACCTCAAGGAGAGCTCAAAGAGAGCTCAAGAGACCAGGAAGGCTAGAGATCTCCCTGCAGTGTCTTGCCTGAAGCCTCTGGATGTTAAGGTCTAACTTTGTCTTTCTTACAGAGTTATACCTTGTCTAACCATATGAAAATATCAGGAGGCACAGAGTTTTATCACTTTTTTGTTTTGACAACCCAAGAACTGATTGCTCTGACAATTGTGCTCTGAATTAAGTGTTTAATCGGAGTACCAGCAGATGGCGCCATTTGTCATTTATTGACGCTACTACCCACGGCTAAAGCAGGGGGCTTCTTGCCTCTTTAATTTGGATAGTATTATAAGTAAAGTGTTTTCTACTGTTTATTATGCATGAGCCAAAATTCTATGAATGTGTAACATTTTCTCTTGTATTTCCTTTTTTATAACATCATTTAAATTCCTTATTAATAATTTAAAAATGTTCTGGATTTTAATCACTTTTCTCATCACTAAAATATCTGATGAAGAGATGTTTGTTCCCCTGCTGAAGGTGAGACAGAGGAAACCATCAGCAAGGAAGAAAAAAGAGAATCTCACTTTTAAACCGAGCTCTTCGCCCCTCTCACGTCACCCCATCTTTTCAGTTTAATTGAATAATATTTATTTAATTAATAAAAATATCTGCCTAGTGCAGGTTTCAGAAATCCAAGGCCAGAATAGGCTGCCATTAATAAAACAAGTTTTTTATATCCAAGTTTAATTATGGTGGTGTGTGTTTGATAGCTTGTTACTGTAAATAAAAGAGATAAAGGCAGCCCTTCACTGGAGTAGCTCGAGAGCTGTGAAATATGTACCTAATTAAAACTATTGGTGTAAGAGGCTAATAAAGTACATGTGCCTACTAGATGTCTTATTCTAATGAATCTCGGCTAATTTGCTTTGACTGATGAATTTCGGTGTTAGTGGTAGGGGCTGAATAATTATGAAATTTATCACAAGATACAAGGACTCATTAAGGATTACTCAGGTTGAGTTAGAGGAATGTTTTCTTTGTCAAGAACACAGGCCTTGACCAACATAATTATGGCAATGGGAAAGAGTAGCCGGATTCCTATCCAAACCCCAACAAATGTTCAAGGCCAGAAGGGGCGCACATTTATGAGTGGGGGTGGGCGTGTGAGGTGGGGAGGGTGGACAGGACACTCTGTGTCAACTCTGCAAGAGATACCTGTGTGGTATTTATGCCTGAATTTTAAAGCATTCAGCACTCACGGATGGCTCTAATGACAATGACTGGCTTCCCACCCTCTTATTGAAAACACTTCCCTACTCTTCATGAAGAAAAATGGACGAGGCTAGCATTTATTTAGCAAGGACACTACTGCGGGAAACCACAGTCAGCTCCCAATTCTTTTTTTCTGCTCATAAGTTTTAGCTCTCTGAGACTCCAGACTTACAAATTAATCTGATTTCATTAACTCCCGGTGGCAGACTCCAAAACTGGGGCCATGATTGGAAACCGTTCATGTAATCAGTGTCACGTAATCACTTGCAGAATGCCCTAAAGGTAAAAAAAAAAATCTGTTTATCTTAAAACAGAAATTTTAATTGTTAGAATGCATGCTGCTGGCAACGCAGAGGAATAATATCTTCCCAAGACGAACCGGACATTCTGCTCCTCACCGTCCAGGACCCAGAGCTGAAGAGGAGGACACACCTAGACACCTTTCTGAGGACAACTGGACACGGAAGCAGGAGCCGGCAGGCAGGACCCCCTCTCTGAGGACAGGAATGAATGAATGAGCGAATGAAGGGCCACTGTGAGCCTGGCTGGTTTCAGTCCCTTCCTCTGGGGACCAGGCAGGGACTGTGGTGGGGGTGGGGGTGCAGAGAGACAGCAATGCCCCAGCAAGTGACACTTGATGACACCCCAGCTGGAAGTCTTGTCAAACAAATGGAGAGTTATTTACCCCCCTACCACCAGAGACGGCTGTTCCCAGGGCTGAAATCAAGGGGGATGCCACAAGGTCTCACGGGGGTTTCGTGACCCTGACCTCCGGGCAATTACAGTGAGAGATTTCCCTTCTTGTTCACATACTGGCATTAGTATGAACAAAGAACTTCAATCTCTGTGACATCAAACCAGATATACAGATATATAAAAATGTGTGTGTGTGTATATACATAATGTACACACACACATAAATATGTTTCTAAATGTGATTTACAACTAAAACAATTAGAAATTCAATTCGTAGGTGTCTTACCACTAAAGCTTTCAAATCAGTTAACCCTCTGCTTTGTTTTTCTTTCTGGAAATAACTTTGAAACAAACTTCCAATTTACTTTCCTTTGAAGAGAAATGTCAGGCACAACATTAAGTGAAAGCTCAACTTTTATGCCAAAGACCAAAACTACTGGATAACTTGTTGAATTTTACAATTCTTATTGTCTTTGTCTTCTAACTCAAAAAGGCATCCCTTATTCAGCGAAGGAAATGCCTCTGTGATTCAGGACAAGGCAAAGGGTGCTGAGGGTTTTGGGGTCTCCCCTTCTCTATCCCCCCTTCCTCCTGACCCTTTTCCCTAAAATAAGTAATAATAATAATAAATACTAAATGCTTACCATGTACCAGGCAGATGCTTTTACAGTTATGTAATTCTCACAACAACCCTAAGAGGTAGGAGCTATGACTATTTCTTTCATTTTGCAGAATAAATTAATTTTGCACTCTAGTTCAGAGAGCAGAGGGAGTTTGTCCCACCCAGCCGGTAAGCAGTAGAGTCAGCTTCCACTCTGGGTCCATCCATCTGTCTGCCTAACCTCTATGGAACACAGTCTTCTGATCAAAATATACTCTGTGTTACCTTGAGAATATTCTAGAAGTTCACCACCGTTTTGACTTTTTTACCACTTAAACAAAAAGGACTCATAGCTCCAATACAAATTAATGCCAGATCTGTGGGTTCAAATGAAGGCACGTAATTAGCATCTGTGTGGAAGGCTTTGCTCAAGGGGCTGTGGGCGGGCGGGAGGCTGGCACCGAACTGAAAACTGAGCCTGGGCGTCAACATGGGCGGGCCACTATTTGCACATTTGTTTTCCTTCTGCCTCGGATCGGTTGTCTGTATATTAGGGTTGGCTGAATAGTACAGATGTCAAAGGGTTGAGATGCTACATTGAGGGGCCTGCTATAAATCCCCAAACAGATCTACCTGCCTCCTAAAACTCGCCTCTTCCCAAGGCATGATTTATATACACTGCCCTGTCTTTTACGGTTTCCTGAGTTGGTTGTTTCAGACTAAAATTTGTGTGTTATAAGACTCAGCATGCATGATTTCTTAGGTTTTTAATTAGAAAATGTAGTTTTGACTTAATAAATTATGTGTGAGGTAAATTTACCATAATACAGCCTTACTAATCCCCTACAATTAAGAATTTACAGTTCTTTTGCTGAACTTTTTATTGAATTTCCCATGAGGACACTTGCACAACTGATTGTGAAGAAAGTTTTTAGCCCGTAACTAGCAAGCCGACATGGTAGAAGTGAGAATACGATTTAGAAAATCACTTCCCATGTGGAACCAGACTTCCCATTTTTGCAGTGTCTCACTGAGGCCTTATGACAGCTCTGTGAGACGGGCATGTTATTTCTATTTTATAGATGAGGAAACTGAGGTGCAAACCTTGATGTAAGCCGACTAAGGTCACGTAGCTACTGAGGGACAGAGCCAAGGTTTGAACCAGGCCATCCAGATCTTTTGATAATAAACACATACAGCACTTACCATGCTCCTAGCGCTGCCCTATGAAAATATATATTTATTACTCTCTATTTAGCTCATTTATTCTCACAGCAATGCTAGGAGGGGCTGAGGGGGTTGCTATTTATTATTCCCCTTTTATAGATGAGCAAACTGAGGTATAGGAAGATGACACAGCTTACTCACTGTTCCACAGTTGGTAAGGGGCAGAAGCGAGGCGTGTGCCCAGCGGGATGCAGAGTCCCTGCTCATAGCCCCACCTGACACTGTCTCATCCTCTCCATGTTTCCATCTCCCCGCCCCATCCCGTGCCCCACCGTGAGAACTTCAGCCACAGAAGATTTGCACCCCTTCTCTTCTCTAAACCCACCCTGTACTTTCCCACCATGGGCCCTTGGCTACCTCTGTTCTCTTGGGCTGTGTAGGTCTCTTGGGTTCTGAAGGCAGATAGACTTGGGTTTGGCTCTTGCCCAGGCTGGTCCTCAGCTATCCCCATTTGCAAAGTGGGGCAAATTCCCTCTTCACAGTGCTATGTTGGTTTTCTGGTGTGATACACATCAAAAGCTGGTTACGTATTAAGTACTCAGAGAGTGGCAAGGTGTATTAGTCTGTTCTCATGCTGCTAAAAAGACATACCCGAGAATGGGTAATTTATAAAGGAAAGAGTTTTAATGGACTCATAGTTCCACATGACTGGGGAGGCCTCACAATCTTGGTGGAAGATGAAGGAAGAGCAAAGGGATGTCTTACATGGCAGCAGGCAAGACAGAGCATGTGCAGGGGAACTCCTGTTTATAAAACCATCAGATCTTGGCTGAGACGGTGGCTGTAATCCCAGCACTTTCGGAGACTGAGGTGGGTGGATTGCTTGAGGTCAGGAGTTTGAGAACAGCCTGGCCAACATGGCAAAACCCTGCCTCTACTAAAAACACAAAAATTATCTGGGCATGGTGGTGGATGCCTGTAGTCCCAGCTACTTGGGAGTCTGAGGCACAAGAATCACTAGAACTCAGGAAGTGGAGGTTGCAGTGAGCCAAGATCATGCCACTGCACTCCACTCTGGGCGACAGAGTGAGACTCTATCTCAAAAAAATAAAATAAAATAAAATAATCAGATCTTGTAAGACTTATTCACTATCATGAGAACAGCATGGGAAAGACCTGCCCCCATGATTCAATTACCTCCCACTGGGTCCATCCCATGACATGTGGGAGTTATGGGAGCTATAATTCAAGATGAGATTTGGATGGGGACACAGCCAAACCATATCACAAGGCTTCTGCATTTTTTATTTTGAAAGCCCAGTTCAGGTCCCTTCCTCTGCAAATTCCTTCTGTGGACAGTATAATCAGCCAACCTCTGAGCCCCCACAGTCCTCTGTGTATATCTCTATTTAGCACTAATCACCGCTTGCTTTGTATCATGGTTACTTCTGTGTGTGTCTGTCTCTCCCACTAGACTCTAAGGTTTTTAGGGTCAGAGACCATGTCTTATTCATGTCCACATCTCCAGATGCAAGACCAGGACCTTACGCATTCAAGCTCTTAAAAATTTTTTGGTGAATTGAATTGAAAAACAGTGTGTTGGAATTGTGGGCTCCATTAATTATGTGCTACACGCTCCAAGTAGATCTCTCAGGAAGTCTGGGGGTCACTCCCACTCTGGCATTTAGAAACAGAGCCAGGCCACCTCCTATGTCATCTGTTCCTATTCTCTATTTCCTACTGCTCAAGCCACCAACAGCCTTCCTGACTGAAGCTTTCTTTTCTCGGTGTGTTTCAATTGCTGCAACGTGACCTGAGAAGTCCCTGGGGTGGGTCATGTGAGTTTCGTGAGTGATTGGAGTAGCCTTCTGCTATGATCTGAGTGTTTGGGTCTCCCCAAAATTCATACATTGAAACATAATTCTCAATGTGATGGTATTAGGAGTTGGGGCTTTGGGGGATGATTGGGTCATGAGGACAGAGCCTTGTGAATGGGATCAGTGCCCTTATAAAAGAGGCTCTAGAGAACTCCCCTGATGCTTCTACCACACGAGGACACATCTAGAGCCAGGCCCTCACCAGACACTGAATCTGTAGGTGCATTGATCTTGGACTTCCCAGTCTCCAGAACAGTGAGAAATAAATTCCTGTTGTTTATAAGACACTAATGTATGGTATTTTGTTACAGCAACTCAATGAGACTAAGACACCCTCTGTCATTGATTGGATTGGTGGCAGATGTAGCAGACTTGCTCCTCTCCCAAGTCTCCTTCAAATGACCTTTCCTGAGGCCAAAAATTCTGACCTGCAATTTTGAATTAAAAGCATTGTTTTCCAAAGTGTTCTAAACAAATGGGGGCATGGGATACGCTATCAAAGGCTCTATACCTGATGCTTACACCCGTGGCATAACTTGTTGGCAGCTTCATAGCAGAGAACAAGGCCCAGAAGGATGGGGACCTGGAGCTAGCATCCTCTGACCTGGGGTCTAGGTGTTGGGGGTGAGTGAAGAGAGGATTGTGTCAGCAAAGATGGCCGGGACATGGATAAGGCGGATGAAGCTGAGACTCCTAGGCAGGGCATAGGGAATGGAAGACAGAGAAGATGGGTGGTGAGGAAGAACGTCCCTGGGAGCCCTCTGCTTCCTTATTGTGCCGAGAGTAAACTTGGCTGAGGCCCCTCCTGGATTTCCAGCTGGTGGCTGAAGGTCACCCTGCAAAAGAAGGCACTTAATTCCCAAGTTGCTCCATTAAGGAGCAAAGAGGGAGAGAGGCAGTATACTCTGGCCATTAAAAGCTCTGACTCTGGGGCCTCACAGACTCAGGTTTTCATTCTGGATCTGCTAGGAACTAGCTCGGTGACTTAGGACAGTTACTTAACTCCTCTGTTCCTCACTTTCCTCATCTATAAAATGGGGACATACATAATGCCTCAGGAGGTTCCAAGGAGGATTAAACTTGGCTGAGATCTTCCATGGTAAGCACTCAATAAAAGGCAGCTAGTCTTACTAAAGGAGGCAGCTCCTGCTACTCTCACCATCTGTGCCTGTGTTCCACTGCAGACAGGACCAGACCAGCCAGAGAGGCAGTGATGGCAGCAGGCAAGCTAAAACTCGGGCCTACAGAATTCTCCAATGTTAGTCCCAGAAGGATTGGATTCAAAGTGTTATCTGATTCAGGCTTCCCTTTCAAGAGCAGAAAATAGGCCTAAAAAGGTCATATAGCTAACAGGAGGAAATAGGCCTAGGCAGATCATGTGGCTTGACATAGCCATATAGAGATGGCCACATAGCTGAGGAAGTCACAGGCAAGGCACTGGGAGCAGCAGGCTTTGTGGGCCATTTCCAAACCCATAGTAATCATCATCCTCAGAATAAAAGCCTCAAAATTCTATGCCCCATAGAAGGAGGTGGCTTTCAGATGGCAGATTGCTTGCAGGTTGGCTCTTTTAGGTGAGGATAATTCCTAGGCACTTACTCAGTGAACCTGGTCCATTTTTCTTCTTTCCAATCCTCTTCTCCTTATGGGGATGTTTTCATTGTTTTCTTTTCAGGCTGGGCTTAGCCCTGGCCTCTCCAGGCTTGTGGGTTTTCCCTTCCCCCGTCCTCCTCTGCCCTCCCTGGTTTCTACCAGGAATAGGCAGTGATTGAAATTATTGATTCAATCAGTTCATCCTCCTGCCGAGATGCATCTTGGCTGGATCACTAATTCCGGGGCCAAGCCTTAGCACAGTCCACTGGCTTCCCCTGCTCAGCGCCAGGGGCAATTGGAGCTGCAGAACCTCCTGGGGTATCATCAATGAAGCCTGGAGGATTTGACTGGTAATGGGCTCCTGGTTCTGAATCTGGCGCTGCAACTGAATCCGGGGAAACAGAGACACGTCCAGCTTCTCTGAAAGCCCACCAGCTTGGTCCATTGCAAACGAGGCTGACTTTCAAGTTCCTAGTTACAGTTCCCACTCACTGTTACAAGAAATCTCTCTGAGGATATTCTTTCCTATAGCATGGAATAATTTGGAATCACAAGAATGAAGACATTGCTGTTTCTCAAGTGATAATAAAAGCATCATCGTGGGGGCAATTTTGGCGGCCAAGTGACTGGACTTACTATAAATGCCTTCCTATTTTACTAGGTCTCTTCAGTTTCCTTGCCCGCCCTCATTTATTTTACAGGGATTCTGTGTAGCTGAAGTAATGTGCATGAATATTGCGTAACATTTTGTGGACGGATACAATATTGTAGAAATAATTTAATTGACGACCTGTAATGAAAAGAGCGCTGGGTAAGTAGCCTGGGTTGCAGTTTCTCTCTATATTTTTACATCACCAGGGATAGTGCTGTTGACATGAATAGGCCAGTATTGATTTCATTTAAAATTTTCAACATCTGAATGATGTGAGCAGTGATCTGTGGGAAGATACTGTGGAGTTGTCGGCATAGCCCCTGCTAACAAAATACCATTTAAAAAGGATTTTTCTATTAGCATTCACAAAGAGAAGAGAGAATAAAAAGGGTTATGAGAATGTTAAAATTTTCACTGACCAAAGAAATATGAAGTCACCATCTTCATTTTACTCTTAATTAATTCAGTTATTGGACCTTATATAAGCCTCTGTTAAATTCCTAAAAGAAAGCAGGCTGGGGCCTTGAGGTGGTTATATAGAATACTTTGTTTTCTAAAGGGAGTGACTTCAATCACCCCATGAGAAAGTCCCTGAAGGCAATCAGACTCCCCCAAGAAATGGATTTCAAATGCGGCAGCAACTCCTTAATGCTGCCCTGCTAATGAGTTCCAATTCAGTGGTTATGAGTTACCATCATTGAACAACAGTAGCACGAATTAGATTTTCAAACTTTCAGAGATGCAGTTTCTCAGGACCCCTGAGTCTACCAGTCAGATCATAGAAGGTTGAGAGGAGATAGATGCTGGGCAGGTGGCCCAAGGAGTGATTTTTAAAAGGCAATCCTGTGGTAAACTGGGGACACTGATTGGGTTCCATTTCTGGGTAGTGGGGGTTTGAGGTTCTCAGTTTGCCCAAGAGATAGGTTTGTTGTGAAATTATGGACCAAGGCAGAGGTTGCAGTGACCTGAGATTGCGCCACAGCACTCCAGCCTGGCGACAGAGCAAGACTCCATCTCAAAAAAAAAAAAAAGTATGGACCAAGTGGAAGTCGGCAGCTCCTGTCTTCATCCTTTTGTTGGCCTGGAGGTCAAGGAGAGGTAGAGGGACAATGCTGGCTGTGAAGTGCCTGGAGTGGCAAAAAGCCACCTCTTGAGCTTCTTCAGCCTTCCTGTCTTTCTAATGATGAGCTTCAGCTCAGGTATGGCAAAGACATTTGAAGAGAAAACTCAGGGAAGGAGCTTTCCAGAATCACTGGTAATGAGTCTGATAGAAGAGCTATCTGAATGCAGTGCTGCCCCGGCTGTGGATTCTTCCAGAAAGCTGGCCTCAGTTGGGCTGCTTTGGGCTATAGGACTCCGCTGCCTGCCTTGCCAAGCAGAGTGGGTATCTTCAACCTTGGATGAGGAGGCCCATGAAGGAGACCTGGACCAGTGTACACCGGGAGATGAAAGGGGCCTTGCTGGATGTTGTCCTGAGGGGAATGTACTAACCCTGGCTTCAGTTGTGGCAGCAACACAGAGGGAAGGGGCATGGGAGGGATAAAGATGAAAAGGAAGGCGAAGCATGAATACTAGTCTTCACCCGAAGAACAACTGGAAATCATGAAAATGTCTTAAACCAACAGAGACACGTCATTCTAAATGTGTCTGATAAAAGCAGTGCGAATATTTTTATTGACATTCTAAGAACATAACCTAGATTGATATACATAAATAATATATAGAAAAACTATGTATCATTTTTGTAGAACTCAATAAAGCTATTTTCATTTTGAATAGAAAAAAACAATTTGAAAACTTAAAAAAAAAACCACCACATTGGTTAGCCAGGCGCAGTGGCTCACACGTGTAATTCCAGCACTTTGGGATGCTGAGGTGGGTGGATTACCTGACGTCAGGAGTTCAAGACCACTTTGACCAACATGGTGAAACCCCATCTCTACTAAAATACAAAAATTAGCTGGACATGGTGGCAGGCACCTGTAATCTCAGCTACTTGGGAGGCTGAGGCAGGAGAATCGCTGGAACCCAGGAGGTGGAGGTTGCAGTGAGCTGAGATTGCGCCATTGCACTCCAGCCTGGGCAACAACTCCAAACTCCATCTCAACACTCCATCTCAAAAGAAACAAACAAACAAACAAAAAAAACAAGCAAACAAAAAAAACAAGCAAACAAAAAATGGCATTGGCTTCACATCACTGAAAAAGACTTCCAGAGAGGCTGCTCTAATCCTGACAGGTGCTGGCCAGGCATGTGCCTGGGGTACTTCTGTCAGACTGTTGTCTGTCCTAGTTTTGATTGTCCTCCCATCTGAGTCACAGAATGGGCAACAAAGCAAAAACTCCACCATAAATGCCTCCTCCGGAAGTTTTCCTCCAAAATTGCACGGCAAGCTCACACTCTGGAATGAAGCCACCCCATCGAATCGTGGCTAACCACCTGTGCTCAAGAGTCTCCTCCCACAACCTGCCACTGAGCCTGATGGTCCCACAGTCAGAGCCACACTGGCTCTGGAAGGTCCCCTGAGAGAGCCAGTAGGTCACGATTTAATGCTGGGGTAACCGTGGGATGATATTGTATGATATTATGTTCAGGGACCCAGGAATCCTGAAATCCTTTCTGATGAGGCACTGTCACTCTGAGGGAGGGAAAATGAGGGGGAACAAGAAATGAATGGACATTATACTTAATTATTAGCCAGAGTTTTGGCCTTCAATCCCAATGCAGAGAAATCTGGAAGGCTGGGCTGGACCGCATGGAAGGTGGACTCCCTCTGATGTGTCTCTCTCTCTCTGGGTAGCCTTAGATGGCAGCAGGCTTGAATGTTTGCTCTCTTTTCTTTCTCCGCACCCACGCACCAGTTTTGGAGTTTACCGTTAGGATGCTAGAAAAGGCTGATCCACTGTACAGCAGACAAGAACAAGGAACCAGAGAGACAGAGCAACTTTGCTCGCAGTGCCTAGCAGGGATCTGGCTCACCTTTTCCTGTGGGAAGCCCAGTGGGAAGTAGGGAGGGCATTTAAGGAGAGGAAAAAGTTGAGGAAAAGGGAAAGGGTAGCTGCCTCACATGGACACCACACCTTGCCACAGCAACGAAGAGAGCAAGATTTTACCAAAATGACTGAATTTTTAGCTGCTTGAAACCAGAAGAATGAGATCCTGTATCCTATATCTGACTAACCAACCTGATACCCCTGTCTTTGAATCCACATGTTGTCCCATAGTCCAGTTTCCACATTAGGCACCAACAGTTTATCAATGTGTCCTAAGGGTGGGACACTATAGTTAAGGTGATTTGGGGTGTTCCATGGACACAGTTATTAAAATATATTGCTTTGTTTAATAAGAAAGTTATTCCATTTAAAGCACTTTCAATCCTTCATATTAATTCTAGGAGACTATCTCAGTTGGTGCTATGTATCTTTAACACTTTTAAAATAATTTAGTTCTTTTTCTTAACAGAGGATAGGCCTCATCCTCAGAGCTCTCAAGCAGCTGCAATATGTAGCAATAATTTAAAAACATGTTTTTATTTTTATTTTTAAATAAATTTCATTAATTTAAGTGAAACAGGTAAGATAATTGTCCTCCTAGTTAATAATAATAGCCAAAAGCTATGTATACTTACCAGGGACCAGGAACTATGTGTTTAATGTATATTAACCCCTTTAGTCCCCAACACAACCCTATAAGATAGGTCTATTATTACTCCTATTTTACAGATGCAGAAGCTGTCAGTAATTTTTAACATCTCCGTTTTTGAAAAATATTTTTTAAAAGTTTCCATATTATAAATATGATGCATATTTTATTAGAGAAAAGCACTAAATATAGTTAATGAAAAAGAAGGATCATCATTAACACCTTGGTCTATAAGCTTTCTAAGCTTTTTTATATATACAGTTTGAATATCCCTTATCTGAAACGCTTGGAACAAAAAGTGTTTCAGATTTCCAATTTTTTTGGATTTTGGAATATTTTCATTATATATACCTATTAGTTCAGCATCCCAAATTTGAAAATCCAAAGTCCAAAATACTCTCATGGGCATTTCCTTTGAGCATCATGCTGGCACTCAAAAAGTTTTGGATTTTGGAGCATTTCAGATTTCGGATTTTCAAATTTAAAATGCTCAACATACACATATATACACATATGTGCAAATATTTTATTTTCAAAAATGAAAATGAGATCATATCAAATATATGGGGTTATTTTTGGTTTTGTTTGTTTTAAGGAGACAGCGTCTCATTCTGTTGCTCAGGCTGGAGTGCAGTGGCTCAATCTCAGCTCAGTGCAGCCTCAACCTCCTAAGCTCAAGCGATCCTCTTGCCTCAGGCTCTCGAGTAGCTGAGACTACAGGTGCTCATCACCACACCTGGCTAATTTTTTTAATTTTCTGTAAAGACAAGGTCTCACTCTGTTGCTCAGGCTGGTCTTAAACTCCTGGATTCAAGCGATTCTCCCGCCTCGGCCTCCCAAAGTGCTGGGATGACATGCGTCCACCACCATGCTCAGCCAAACATAGGATTTTGAAACTTCCTATTTCACTTAAATCTACTCTACTTTCCCTTACCTTAGTCCCTGTCTCTTTCTAAGAGGCAAGCTTGCTTGTTTCTGATTGGGAAACACTGAGGTTTCAATGGCAGACTCTAGCTTCCCTTTTTCTGAAGATTGTAAATGAAGGGTCTTATGACAGCTGTCAAGAGCCATTAGTGTAACAAGATATCACTCCAAAGTCAGGGGGAAAATCCTTTTGTCTATATGGAGTTTGATCCCTTCGTATATTTGGGGCCTCATCAAAGGGGAGTTTTGAGATAGTCTTGCTTTCCACATAAAACTCAGAAAATTGCTTGATTTAAAATGCAACTTCTGTCTCCTCTTTTCATTTGTCATTTCTAAAACATTTTTAAAAAGTGTTAAAACTAATGGAGTAACAAACTGCCATGCAGTAATAATATTTTAGGTAGATGAAAATGCATCTTGATAGAGAAACAAAGACGTAGTTACCATCAATGGAAATGGAAGAAAGGGGTAGATGTTGCTTCTGGTCTCAATCAATCTGATCTTATCTAATTTAACCAATTAAGCAATTTTGAATTTTGTAATTGTTCTAATGGGGAACCAGTGGAGACATTATGTTATTCTAAGCATGTTTTGTTATGATAACACGGGCCTTTAAAGATTTTTTATGTCTTTTATTTTGAACGTTTTTCACATATTTGAAGTCTTGCCTGGTGGCCAAACCCTAGTGTTCTGTGGCTCTGTGGAAACGGGATCACCTCCTGCTCCTGGTATCCCACTCCCTCTGGTTTTAATTAATACCATACAATAAAATTCCTACTCTCCAGCCAAACCACCATCGGCTGTAATCTTGTCAGTTCTTATAAGCCGAAGAGAAACACACGCATTTTCTTGTTATTGTTTAATCGTCTGCATCAGCTATTTAATTTCCAGAGGAACCTCATCTTGCTGTTTTGTGTTCCCCTTCCTCCTTTCTGTTTATTTATTTGCTTTTTAAGTTTTTTTCCAAAGAAAACCATAGGTAACAAGTTTTGTGAATCTAATCCTGAAGGTTTTAATGGCAGATGCCTCAGTTCCTGGCTATCTGCTCTTTCTAAATTACAGCACAAGAAAGATGAAGAATTTAAAAAGCTAACCTAGCATAACAGAGAGGGGCTTTAATTTTAACTAGAGCAAGAGTTGAGAACCAGCACATTCTCAAGCATTCTCAGTCATATGTAGCAGGTTGCATTGCTTCAAAGTATTAAGGTTGGGCTGGGCCCAGTGGCTCACACCTGTAATTCCAGCACTTTGGTAGGCTGAGGTGGGAGGATCACTTGAAGCCAGGAGTTGGAGACCAACCTGGGCAACGTAGCAGGACCCTGTCACTAACAAAATTTTTAAAAAATTAGCCAGGCATGGTAGTGTGCCCCTGTAGCTCCAACTACTTGGGAGGCTGAGGCAGAAGGATTGCTTGAGCCCGGGAATTCTTATCAGGATTGTATTATAATGCTGTTGTTGTTCTTGAAGTGTGCAAAAAATTGCAAGTCACGGACTACTAAGTTTGGCAAAAGCCTCTGTTTAAAGGCTGAAGCAAGCATACTTACATACAAGTACCTCTACTCATGGACCGTATCTGTACCTACCTGCCCCACTCCCTTTTTTTTTTAATGGCTCAGAACACCCTTGTACTTGTCAAAGTGATACTCAGACATGTATACAAACCTTCCCTATCACCATAACCATAACCATCACCTAAGTCCTGTTCATTTCACTGACACCACCAGCAGCATCCTCCAAATACAAAGCTTATGTGCTCTCTATGTTATTGATATTGCAATTGTGTGTCATTTCTTAGTGCCCTGCAAACATTTTTGGTACTTTAGTGCTTGGATTTGGTTTCTTTCTGTCTATCTTTCTTTTCATCTTACTAAATACAAATTCTATGTACTGTGATAAAGGAATGGAAAGAAACCATGTACTTTTCTCCAGTGTACTTCTCTGGAGCTATTAGAAACAAACTTGCTGTTGAAAATCTTTAACTAAATTCCCTGGCTTTCTGTGAAAGGAATTTCACCTCTAACGCAGCATTAATGGGGTTTTGCATTGAACTGCCTTTTGGGGTTTGATTCGCCTTTTAGAGACGCTGGTGTTTGACTGCATGTTCAAACACAGCGTGTATTCTTATGAGCGATGTGAGATTCAAATAAACACAACGAGTGTGTTCATTTTGATGACCTCCCCATCACACATTCAAATAAACACAAATGTTCTCAAATGTATAAAAGCAGCTGTGTTTATGTCAGCGTGCAAAGCACCAGATATATACATTCAGATTCACTCATCTATCTGGAACCATGTACCTCCGCTCATCGTTAAAATTTAGTGGAAAATCATGCATGGGGCATGTGTAATGTGCAATTTTCAACCATACACACATCTCTAAACAAATTTTCTTCAAGCATGTTACTGACATTTGTTCTAATTGGGGATGAAGCCTGGAGAAACTTTGAAGTTTTTGAAAACAAAACGAAGCATAATGCAAGTTGCTACCAGAGGGCATAGCATGTCTAAAGTATTCTAGCAGCACCAGTAAGAGTCACCTTCCCTGATATTCAGAACAATCTTCTTTGCCTTTCTCTTCTCTTTTTTCTTCTTCCCTTCCCTTGCTTTTCTTTCCTTTCCTCTCTTCCTCCCTTCTTTCTTTTGTTTAAGAAAAACTAAGAAAAGCTCTTCCTTCCCCCTCCACTTTTCCTCCTTGTCTTTCTTCTTTTTTTCCTTCCTAGCAAAGTCATGCAAAATGCCAGCTCAAGAGTTAGGCTTTTTTTTTTTCTTGTTTGCTTTAAATATCATAAATGTGAGACATGACAAATCTTTTTCTCAGAACCTCAGCTGGAACAGCTCAAGCATTAATGCCGGGTTAAGCTGCACTTTCTGCGTAAGAACCAACTTTGGCTTTGTATGTCAGACTGAAACAACGCTTCCATCTTGCATTTCTTCAAATATAAGTACAGTTTGCAGGTCTCCAGGAAAATTCCCAGGCTCCACTTTGCTGGCAAATAGTCGTAAAAAGAATAAAAATAACATCTAAAGTTGATTGAGAACTACCTATGAGCCAGGGACTATTCTAAACATTTTGAATGTTTTATCTCATTTAATTCTCAACCACCCTCTGAGAGGGGGACTCTTGCTATCCTCATGTTACACGTGAGGAGGTACAAAGAGGTAGTTTCCTCAAGGTCACAGCACCAGTAGGTGATGGGGCCTAATGGACATGCAAGTCTCAGACCTCTTGGTGTTTTAAAGAATCTGTAAATCTAAATATTCACAAACGTTATCCCGATTTTTAAATGTTAGCAAAAAATTTAAACTTCTAAGAAACTCTGTCTGCTGAACAAAGCACATTTGGTGCCTGGATTAAATTCCTGGGTTGCCAGTTTGCCTCCTCTGATTTAGGGGATACTGTCTCCAATTTTTCAGTGTTACAAAAACCTACTATTAAGACCTAGTTCAATGAGTAGACAGAAAGTAGGATTTGGAGGCAGATAAGTTATATTCACATATGAACTCTACCAATTCCTAATTAAATGACCTTGAACAAGTAACTTCTATTCTCTGAGTTTTAGTTTCCTCATCTGCAAAACAAAGATAATTCCTGCCTTACGGGAGGTATTGTAGGATTCATACAGTTCTGACAGTTCTTACATAATATTTCCATTAAAGCATTTTGTAAACTCTGAGCTTGTTACAATTAGAAACTATGGTTGTTATTACCATCTCCTTAAATCTGAGTATGAACGGAAAGACATGCACATTTACTGAATGTGAGGCATTGGGCCAGCCCATTGACCTGCAAAGTTCACCAACAGTGACTTTAACCCTTTTATAGATGAGGATTCTGTGGCTCAGAGAGATTAAGGACATTTCCAAAGGGTGCAAAACTAGTAAGAAGTGAAGCTGAAATTCACAGAGGTTTGTTTAATTCCAAAACCCATGGGTCTCTCTATCCCAACTCCTTGACAGCACCTAATATATTAAGCTTCTATCAGTCATTACAATTTTAGTGGGAACCAGTTTATAAGACTTGTCAAAGGGTCAGCTTAGGATCCTGCTAGAATAAAGCTTGAGATCAGTAACTAGGGATGAGGAAAGGAAGACACACACAATCCAGGGAACAGAGGCAAGTACAGAGCTGGACTGGCGTGGACGCTCCTTCATGCCGGGCTTGGGGATGTTAGATGCCTAAAAAGAGAAAGGAGAGAGTCCCGGCATTCCTCTCCCTTTACTCTCAAGAGCAAGTCACCTGGGGGGGCCAAACTGTGTCCTGCCTGCTGCTGTGCATTCAGCTGCTCTGGAGAGGCCTGCGCTGCTGAGACCATGTTGGGAAGTCAGTCTAATTGTGCCATTTGCTACTATAAAGCTTACTTGGGGCTGGGCATGGTGGCTCACGCCTATTATCCCAGCACTTTGGAAGGCCGAGGTGGGCAGATTGCCTGAGCTCAGGAGTTTTAGACCAGCCTGGGCAACATGGCAAAACCCCATCTCTACCAAAAATACAATTAGCCAGGTGTGGTGGCACAGGCCTGTAATCCCAGCTACTCAGGAGACTGAGGCAGGAGAATCGCTTGAACCTGGGAGGAGGAGGTTTCAGTGAACCAAGATTGCACCACTGCACTCCAGCCTGGGTGACAGAGCAAGACCCTGTCTCCCCCAACCAAAAAAAAAAGCTTACTGGACTCCAGATAAAAGTCATTTTTGCAGATACTTGCTCCTTCAGTCTGGTGGTGATATTTGGGCCCCTCCTGCCTTGTCCCTTCGGGTTATATCTTAGTTGGTTCAGCAGTCGGGCAAGAAGAGGGGTGTTGTCTCATGGTCTCCTTAGATCCCAGCACGAGCTTGAGGGGATGAACTTCAGAGTCTCCTGCGTAGCCACTTTCCAGGCCACCTTTAAATGAGTGTAAAACTTCCCCTTTATTTGAGGAATTTTAGGACTAAAAATATTTCCATTTCTTGAGTGCCAGCCCAGGGGTCTATGGCAACCTGGGAAAAATGATCTAGCTCTTTGTAAATGTCTTTTGGCTGTACTGAGTCTCCTTTAGGGTAGGACCTTTACAATGTGGGGGATCTTTTTATGGAGTTCAGTGACCTGTGGGGGAGGGGCAGCTTCTTTAAAGCTAATTTATGTTAAAGCTCTAGTTCTAATTTTCTTTCAGTCATTAAAGGGGAAAGAAATTTAACATGGCGGGTGTAACAAATATCCAGCCCCATGGAATTGTAGAATGGATGGTTTCCCCAGCAGATTCAACAGTGGTAACGATAACAATAATCAATACAAATTAGGGACATGCTTCTGTTTTAATGCACTTAGTAACCAGATCTCTTGTCCTCAAATAAGTCTAAAGGAGAACTGTGTTCTCCTAACCAACCAGAGTGCTGTTGTGAAGGAGGTGTATATGTGTGTGCATATGCGTGTGTGTGTGTGTGTGTGTGTGTGTGTTCTTTTTTCTCCTAGGGATTCTATAGCTTCCTTCATTCTTCGCCTCTCTCATATTACAGAAAGAAGGTAATTTTTCCTGGCCATTTACTAAAGCTCATTAAACACTGGAGAGAACAAACAATGCTACTCCTCAGAGACTACCATTCAAAGTCACTCTACAATTCTCTGTTCTAATACTTGAGACAAATTAATTATTCCTTAGTGAAAAATGTATAATTCCTATTCTTCATTTTTGGGGGGTGGGGAATAATAATGGGAAGTTTATATCTGAGTGAAAAGCTGTCTGTGCTGAAGGGAAATGAGAAAAAATGTGTGTTCTGAGCAGAGTAAAAGCAATTATTCTAATAATAATTCTAAGAATATTAATGTCTTTTTAAAGTAGATTGCCTTCAAATAAACACAGAGGTTGAAGCAATGGGAGGCTGGTTTATTTATTAATCATTCCGAATGTGCATTCTTCTAAATGAACAACTGCACGATCAACTTTGCTGGCACATATTAAATTTAGTTAAACAGCAACTTGCAAATGTCTCAAAACTTTTGTAACCAGAGACTAATTTGTTTAACACATTTAAAATGTTATACTGATGTAAAGTCCCACATATTAAACTTCAAAGGGAAAAGCTCTTGAGAGTTCCTCATTTTTAAGACTACATGCTAGAAATGAGATGGAGACAAGGCTCATTCTCCATTCTCTTGTTTTGTTTTGTTTTTAAATACAAGGCAGTCTCTGGGCCCTGGCCCTCATCCTCGGCACTGTGTTTGGTCATCTGCAGAACAGCAAGCATCTAACTGTGGGGACTGTAAGGCGATGGTTTAGAAAGGTCTAGTGTTTCCCTTTCATCTCTATTAATTAATCCTGGCTCCGTTTGCCCAGAGTACGTTGCTGTTGACATCACCTTTTCCTTACACTTTAAAGAGTCCCAAGAGAGACCGGCTGCAGAACAAAACTGGACAAAGAGTACATTTGGTAACCATTTTATTTCTCAATTACCAACCTAAACGTATGGAAAAGATTTGCTCGCTATCCGATTTACACAACAATTATGCTTCAAAAGTTTAGAAATAAATAACTTTTTTCTTGGACTCATTAGTTCGTCTACCAATTGTAATTGGTGTCAACTAACGAGTTTGCTCCATGGCTTGCCCTTAATTACTGATAAAAGCTAAATTGCAACTCTAGCCAATCAGAAACTAGTTTATTCATGAGAGTATAGTATTCTTTTAAAAGCCCTGTTTGTCCTAATAAGTGGTTTTGTGTTTGGCTGAAACCTTCCATAAGCCCCCTTAACATAAGCAAAGGACTCTTAATAACTATATACCGTGAAGGAATATCATTACTGCCCCCATTCAAACAGATGAAACAAAGGGAACGTTTTATACATTTCAAATGTACACATCATGAGTTTAGCAGATCCTGAAACCTCATCCATCTGGTGGGAAACAGATATTAGTACCCATAAGACTGATACGGAGAATTTGTTTCCTCTCCCAATGTCTATGTTTTTTTCAAGGTCTCCCTAGCCTTCTGAAACAGGCGGTAAGGAACAAGAGAAACCCAACAGAGGCATGAGGCATGAGGCATGTTAAATCCTAATGGTATAAACAAGATTTGGCCGAGGCCAAAATCCCACATTAAAAATAATAGGCATTCTGGAAACAAGAGTGTTAGGAGATAGCATGTGGTGGAATCAGGACGCCAGGGAGGCCTTGCTACTGGGAAAGCCTACTTGCAGAAACATCATCCTGAAGGCAGCCCTCTTTGTTGTCATTGTTGTTGTTTTCAGAAAACAAAATAAACCTCTTCAGGATTATCAGAAATTCTGAAGATTGGTTCTTACTTTATAATAATTAGGATGCTTTCGGCTGCAATGATCAGAAAACTCAGTTAAAAGTGTCTAGACTGTAATTCCAGCACTTTGGGAGGCCGAGGTGGGCGGAGCACCTTAGATTAGGAGTTCGAGACCAGCCTGGCCAACACGGTGAAACCCCATCTCTATTAAAAATACAAAAATTAGGCAGGCGTGGTGACATGTACCTGTAATCCTAGCTACTCGCGACACTGAGGCAGGAGAATCACTTGAACTTGGGAGGCGGAAGTTGCAGCGAGCTGAGATTGCACCACTGCACTCCAGCCTGGGCGACAGAGTGAGACTTAGTCTTCAAAAATAAATTAAAATAAAAAATTAAAGTGGTTAGAACAATAGGGGTATTTATTTACTCAGTAACGAGAAGTTAGAAATCCCAAGTTTCCAGTTGGATTAATTCAGGCCCCCACCAACATTATTAAAGACACAGTTCTTACTATCTTTTTACTCCCTTTGCCTCATGGCGTTGGTGACTCCCTTCATGGTCACCAGATAACAGGAGGTCCAGGTATGTGGTCCTCACATAACACCATCTAAAGGTATAAGATATGGGACCATTTCTTTCCCACTTTTCTGGGTTTGTTCTGATAAAGAGCAAGGATACCTTTCCTGGAAATACCTTTTCACATCTTACTGGTCAAAAGGAAGCACATGCCTACTCCTAAACCAATCACTGGCAAGGAGTGCTCCAGGTTTCAACCAATCATGATTCACCTCTGTAGTCTGTGAAGTTTTAGGTTCTGGTAAACCACTTGGCTTGGTAACTGAACAAAACCAAGCTTCCACTAGAGAGGAGAAAGGGGATGGTTGTGAATGATTTGCTGGAAAGATAAACAACAATGCCTGTCACACACTTGAGATTACTATTCTAAGTAACCTATCTCAATGACCTCCAGTCAAAAGTGAAGGGTCAATTTAAAGTATGAAGTCAGAAGACAAAGTTGAGCATAGGGTTCGATCTTTTGTGGCTCTCATACCTGTTCTCTTGATAAATCACCCGTCAATAAAGGGAATCGTGTCCTGGGATTGGAAGGGGGTGTAGCCAGCAATTGATGAGGTGGGAAGAGTGCAACCTGGGGCCCAGGGTAGGCTCTGCCTCTAGCTTGCTAGGTGATTGCTACTGAATCCTGGACCTCTGCACTTCCCTGACTTCATTGTGAAATGAAGGAGTTGGGTCAGAGAAACCTTAATGTCTCTTCTCACCTTGGAATCTGATAGATTTTCCACTTTACTCACTGCCATCTGGTAGTCTCCTTTGTCTCTTTGCAGCTGATAAAAACAGCATGCCAAAATTCTCTACTTGCCTTTAGTTGTTTCTTTATCCTTTAACTCTTTCTTCTTAGACTAGATTTTAAAAGCCCAGAGGACATGACCCCTCTGTGTGTTTTGCCGTATCTTGTGTTCATTGAGCTATCATTGATTGAGGGCCTACTCGGTGCTGTACACTGTGTGAAGGGCTTTGCTCAGACATAGTGGGCCCTCTGTCATTATTTCCTTATTCATTTTGCTCCAGCAGCTTTTGGTGTCTTCAGATTTTCTTACGAGAGGCAACGTAGCATTCCTAAGGTGCAGGTAATACGTGTGTAGCTTATTATTATTATGAGGATGAGGCCCGGCCCAGTCTCACAGGATCACATTTGCTGTGAATAAGGCAGCACTCCCTGCTTCCCAGCGCTACCCCCTCATTTCATAAGCACAATTTCCATATCCGGTAGCAGAGTTAGAGGAAGTAAGAGAGACTAGTTCCCATAACCTGGTTTAGTCTTTGAGACAAATGACAATGTAATGCTAACTTTAAGGAACTTTATCAAGGCAAGTAAGGGTGATTTTACCAGAGAATGGAGAAGTAGACAGTAAGAGATCCAAATTTTAAGGTAAACATGGAGGATTCTCTTGGATGCTTTTTAAAAAATAATCTCTAGCATCATTTTTTAAACACTTGGTCAGTAATAACTTTGTAGTTTTCATGCATGTGACCAAAAAGTAAACATGTTTTTACTCTTCCAAGCTGACAAGCAGGTGGCTCTAGAATTTTAGAGGGAAAAAAAATCCATGCTGTTGATTCCTTTCTTTTTTTTCACTTGACAGCATCTTTATTTAGTTTTAGAAGTCTTTGGTGTGTTGACTTTCTTGAAGATGGGAGTGATTATTTTGCAATTAATAGTATACAAATGCCTGACAAGCAGTTCATCACAAGATCAATGGCAACAGCGAAAAGAGCACCAGATCACTTTACTACATGTGCCCAATGTAGTACCAGCCCTAACTGTGATGAGGCTTGGAATTTTTATGTCACAATAAAAAGCACTGTGGCAGATACTGTTTATTGCCTAACCATCAGCCATTTCCCTGCCCCCACTTCTCTGCTAATCAATTCCTGATTTTTTTCAAGGCAGAGATCAGTTGATTCAAGAGAAGGTGTTTTTCTCCTTGGCTGGCTCAGGGATTTAATCAGGATTGGCTTAGGGCTGAGCATATGATCTTGTTCTAGCCAGTGAGACATAAAGGGGAAGGGAAGTCCAATGGGTACTTCCCTTCCAAATAAAGCCATCCTCCCAAATCAATGACCTATTTTCAATCATCACCTTAGCCTCTTAGCAGCATTTGCAGATTTGACTAGTGTTCTTCTTACAACATTTTCTTCATGTATCCTCTGGTTTTCCTCCAATTTTATTACCTCCTCTTTTTCAAGTACTGGACTTCTCTTCCTCCTCTTCATGACCTTTAAAGTTGGATCAACCCAGGGCTCAATTATTGGCCCCTTATAGTCTTATTCATGGTTGTGAAACCTTTTATATATTAACAATTTCCAGATCTATTTCTATAGCATAGACTTATCCCATGAGCTCCAGACCTACATATCTAATTGACTTCTCAACTTCACTACATGGAGGTTAAATGGGGATCTCAATCTTATTACGCTTAGGTCCAAAACAGAATCTCGATTTACCCCATAATCCTTTCCCAGGCCTCCCATTCAGAAAAGGACAGCTCTCTTTCATCTGCTTATCCCAGAAAATGAAGTCATCCTTGATTTTGTTCTTTCCCTTTAGTTCCCCACAAAGGACACTGGCATGTGCTCTTAACATTACCTTCAAAGTATATTTGGTATCTTACACCTCCCAGCACTTCCACCATTTGCCCTGGTCCACATCAACTTCATCTCTCACATGGAATACTGCAGTCATCTCTTTATTAGTTTCTCACTTCCACTTTTGCTTCCTGTGTCAGAATTAATTTCAACTCTCTGCAAAAAATTTAAAAAGTTGTAAGCAAGATATGTTTATTTCTCTCTCATATGTTTGGAAGTAACTATTGCAGTGCTGGTTTGACAACTTCATAGTATTGCCAGGGACCTGCCTTTCACCAAGGCCTCCATCTTTCATCTGTCTGCTCCATCATCTTAGTACAAGGTTTCATCTGTCTGCTCCATCATCTTAGTACGCAACTTCTATCCTCAAGGCCATCTCATGGTGAAGCTTTAGTGATTAGGTCCACATTTCAGGCCCAAAGAAGGAAGAAACAGAAGAGAAGAAGAGAGCTGAATGAGCTCTCTTTAAACACATTCCTAGAAGTCCTATCCACCCTTCCTCTTACATAGAATTTATTGGCCAAAATGTAGTCACAAGGTCTATTGAGCTGCAAGGGAAGTTTAGGAAATGCAGCCCTTTATTCCAGGTGCCAATATACACAGTTTAAATTGGGGTTCTATTTCTAAGGAAAAACGAATCCTGTGGTAAGCTTGTAGTAATTTCTGCCACATATCCCTCTAATCAATTCTTCCCCAAAGGCCAGTTAACTTCTTAAAAATTAAATCAGATTATGGCACAACCCCACTTAACACCCTCCAATGGCCTCCCAATATGCTCAGATTAAAATCTAAAGGCTCTGTTTCTCTCTCCAGTATTTTCTGTTACACTCTGTCCCTCTCACTCCATTCTAGCAGCATGAGCTAACACTAAGCATGCCATACTTATTTCCACCCCAGAGTCTTTGCATTTGCTGTTTTTGTTGCCTGAATGCATTTCTGTCAAATCTTGGCACAATTTAGCATCTCACTTCATTCAGGTACAGCCTTGCCCTGTTCCTGATTTCACTCTTTAAAACAATGACTGTAGAGCTATTATCAGAATGCTGTGGAGCCTAGAAAAATCTTACTTTTGGAGTATCTGCCCAAATCATATCAAACACATCCCACAGTAATATAATTTGAGCGTGCCTATATAAGAAGCGAAATATATTGCAATTGTCCAGTAAATTCACTACCATTTGTAGACATTTAGTTGGATATTTATTAACTTCCATTTTAGAGTTTTGCTTTTGTATTCTTGAGCTTATATAAGCACACAGCATTGTGCCATGGGCATACTGGGTGCAACTTCCCTTGATGACTATAAATTTAACCCCAACCAACACACTGAAATTGTTCTGACTATAGAAAGTTCCTTAGTTTTAGATCTTAATGAAAGATTATTAATAAGTGTGTCATAGCTTATGTTACTTCTACTATGACAGTCCAATGATGGAACAATGGTTTAGAGCAGTGGTCTCAATCTAGGCACTTTTAACATTTGGACACAGAAGGTCGGGTGCAGTGGCTCACGCCTGTAATCCCAGCACTCTGGGAGGCTGAGGCGGGTGGATCACCTGAGGTCAGGAGTTTGAGACCAGCCTGGCCAACATGGTGAAACCCCATCTCTACTAAAAATACAAAGTAATTAGCCGGACTTGGTGGCAGGTGCCTGTAATCCCAGCTACTCAGGAGGCTGAGGCAGGAAAATTGCTTGAACCCGGGAGATGAAGGCTGCAGTGAGGCAAGATCATGCCACTGCACTCCAGCCTGGGCAACAGAGTGAGACTTCATCTCAAAAAAAAAAAAATTAGGACAGAATAATTCTTTGTCGTTGGGGGCTTTCTTGTGCCTTGCAGGATGTTTAGCAGCATCCTTGGCCTCCACCCACTGATGCTAGTAGCAACTCCCTGTTTCCCCAGTGTGACAACCAAAAGTGTCTCTAGACATTGCCAAATGTCCACTGGGGGGCAAAAACCATCCCCAGTTGAGAACCACGGGTTTAGAAGCTAAAGTTGCACAGACTAATTTATTAGCATGTAGGAGTGGACCGTGGAAGGTTTCTTCAATCTATTAAGCTTTGCTGAATTCCAAGTTTTGCACCTCAGCTTTGATGCTATTCTTGGGCAATCACTTAACATTTATGATTTGAGTTTCTTCAGTGTTAAAATGGAGGCAATGGCAATGATGCCTATTGTATTAGGTAGTTATTATGATTAAATGAATTGCACTATGGAAAGAACCTAGTTTAGTGTCTGTATTCCTTGGGAGGTCCAATATTTGTTATTTCTCCCTTCTGAGTTAAAATAGAAATATCTGAGTGAAAAACAATATTGTGGCTATTTCTGACATAAACTCAGAATGTGAGGAGAGGAATTTTGTGAGGTGAGAGATGGGGGGAGGTGCCTGCCCAGCTTCTCAGAAACAGAAGGGAAGGTATAGCTGCCATGAAACATGGAAACACCAAAGATTGTCAAAGGCGCATGAACTCAAATGTAAATTGTGAAATAGAAACCATGGTTCTATCTGCCCCAGATATTCAAAATATATCCAAAATCTGATCACTTCTTACTTTCGCTTCTGCTATCACTGTGGTTCCAGCCACCATCACCTCTTGCTTGATTTCTGCAAGAACCTCGTCATGGTGATCTTTCTGCTTCTTCCTGACTGCTTTGTTGTTTGTTCTCACCCAGCAGCCAGGATGAAGTGTTTAACGTGTAGATCAGATCATATCTCTTTTCTGCTCAGAATCCTCCAGTAACATCCAGGTAAAAGCCCAAGTCCCACATCTGTCCCAATCTAAACTCTGATCTCATCTACTACACCCCAGGCAACCTGGTCTCCTACCTGCTTCTAAAACACACCAAACACATCTTCCTTAGGGCATTTGCAACATTGGTGCTCCTACCTGGAATTCTCTTTCCCTTAGGAGCACGGCTCCTTTACTTCCTTATGTCTTTGGGCAAATATTATCTTGTCATTGAAGCCTCCCCTGGCTCACCTACACAAAATTGTGCTCGACCACCAAGAGCCTTTCCACTTGGCCCCACCACTCCCTATCATTTTTACCCCGCTTCCTTTTCTTCCTAGCATGTTCCACCTTCTAACATGCAACAATTTATAAATGCCATAAGGGCAGGGGCTTTGCTTTCTTTGCTGCTGTATCTCTACCACCTTGAACATTGGTTGGCACATAATGGGTGCTCAATAAATGTTTTTTGAATGTATGAATGAACTGAGGATAGCACAATTTTAATTGAGGTAAAAATAACGAAGAAAACCAGGAGTCCATTTGTGTATGGCAACTGACACAAATCCTACACAAATGCCCTGAACCTACCAGACTGGTTTTCCCACTGCCCTCCTCAACATGCATATAACAACTGTGAAATGTGTAACATCTTCCCCACCTTCTTTCCTCCTGCAAATAGTCATGGACACTTATAATCCTAAGAGATAGGAAATATGGTGCTTATGATATGGTGACAAGTAAGAAATTGATGAGTGTTAAACACAAAAGAGGTAGATCTCAGTCTTATTCTGGCTGGTCTACATAGGTCTAAACCACCCAAGTGTGGGGCGTGTAGGAAGCCAGTTGGATTCTTGGGTCTAGAATTTGCTCAGATGGCCCTATGTGCTGCAGGTATCTGTTTCTCATACTTATTATGAGGTCTCTTGTGGCCTAAAACTCCTATTTTTTTGATGACCTGCTTTGGATGTGATTGCCTGATGGGCTCTCTGCTCCTCCTCATACCTGATTCTAGCATTCACCCTCTGACCACATACAATTTGGCTGACATTCATCACTTAAAAAAAAAAAAGTCCACTATCTATTTTCCTGTGGGGAATTATCTCTTTCACTCTATAGATTCTGGGAGGGAGGGGACTTCCAGGGTTTGCTCCAACTGCAGACGCCCTAAGAGGGCTGCTCCTCTTCTTAAGAGTCAGGTACATGACAGAGTGCCCAATAGGAGGCTCTTTTTAGGGATTTTGCAACTTGACTAGGTGGCCCAGGGAAGAATAGGAACAGTTAAAGGTCATTTGTCTAGGCAACACCATACTAACCACCCTATTTCTGCTAGGAGACCACTGTTGATATTCCTACTTCGTAACTTTTTAGAGCACTTCTGGTTCTTGCTTTTTCTCAGACTGGTCCTCAGGCCTCGTGTTGATTCTAAGAACCCCTGATATCTTTTAATACATTCCCTCATGTATGAGTTAGTTATTGGTATTTCGTGCTTATAACCCAGATCCTAACTGGTCCACACCCTGATTATAGTGAGGACACTCCAGCTTTTTGTCCTAGGCTCTGCTAGAGAGGGAGATTGGACAATAGGGAGCAAATGGAAGAATTCATAGTAGAGAGAAATAGGTGGCAACAAAATATCTCATTTGGCTTTTTCTCACAGCATTTGTTAGCTTTCTACTGCTGCATAATAAATGATCATAAATGCAGTGGCTTAAAACAACACCCATTTGTTATCTCAGAGCCTCTGTAGGCTGGTGTTCATGTATGGTGCAGATGGGTTCTCTGTTCAGGGTCTCACCAGGCTGAAATCAAGGTGTCACCTGGGACTGCCATCTCATCTGAGGCTTATGTTCTCATTCCAAGATCCCTGGTTGTTGGCAGGATGCATGTCCTTATGGCAGTAGGACTGAGGTCTCCAATTCCTTGCCAGCTTTTGGCCAGGGACCGCTCTCAGCTCCTGGAGGCTGCATGCAGGTCCTTGCTTCCTGTGTGGCCTCTCCATAGAGCCTCTCACATATGGCAGTCTGCCCCTTGCAGAACAACAGGAGAGCATCTTCTGCAGCTCTGAATCTCTTTCATGTCTTCTATCTTTAGACCTCTCTCACAAGGGCTCGCCTAATTAACGCAGGCCCACCTGCACTCAAGGACGAGGTGTTATGAAGGGCACACACACCCGAGGAGGGGAATCTTGGGGGTATATCTTAGAATTTTGACTACCACAGCATTCCTGGGAGAATGCCATTTGGAGAAGTCTATTACTTAGCCCCAGATTATCATTATGTATTCAAAGAAGGTAAATCCAGGATAGTTGGCTACAGTGGCTAACATCCATGGATGGAGCTTTTGTCGTGTAGGCAATTCCTGGGGCTTCCTGGACAGAAATGTATTTGGGTGCCAATGTGGGGGTTTATTGGTGTTTCTAGAACAATTGATGACACTGTTAAGTAGGCTCTTGCCTTTTGTTTGTTTGGTCAAGGACAAATTTATTTGTGCGTTTTTGGTATTTGTTTCTTTAAATTACACAACCTTTAGAAGCTGTCTTCTGATTGGAAGAATCACACAACAGTCTCCTCCAGACACAAAGTATTGCTCTCCATTAATGGGGATACAGCCAGGGTCATTGCCATCCCACAACCATCAGGGAAAGGGGTCATTCTGCATCAGCCATTTGGTAAAATTAAAACATAGTAATTATAACACAACAGTGTCATAGGATCCATGACACCTGCTTTAAAAATAAATATTCTGGCTTTGTCTTTCCCTTTATTTTCAATAAATGCTCCAGTATTATTGCCACTGCATTAATCTAGCAGCAGGAAACCATTATCCTATGACAACAGTCTCTCCCATTAACATTATCTTTTAATTTTAAGATTGTTTAGATGACTGCTAGAAGCTACTAAATTAAGATAAAATGAAAAAAGAATTATTTTCTTTAAGCCAAGTGTTCAGTCAAGTTACCCGCCTCCAATCTTGACTGCTCTGGCAAAAGAGACACCATTATTTTTGCATCAGATTATTAAATATTATTGGGTATAAGATAAAATTTCTAGAAATCAAGGCATGTTTTAAATGTCATCTAGGAAATAACCATTAAATTTTAAATTATTATTTATATTGTTTGCGATATTACATAGTACATATTAAGAGTTGAAAATACTGGTTGTTTTTCTAGAAAGCAATTGTTGTAGTAAATAAAACAATAATGAAATCACAATGATGAAAACTCAGTAAGGAAATAAAAGGAACATTTGTCTAGTAGAGTTTACCCTGAGAAATAATTGAATTTGGAGAAACCCAGCAAAAATGAGACAGGAGGAAAATAAACCTAAAACTGAAAGAGAGTTGTGATTGGTGATGATTGTTATTTAACGTTCTGGCAAATGAACTTTAAAGTGATAGTCATAACACATTAAATGGTATCTGTACATTTTATATCAAATATATTATAAACTTTTTCCCAAATAATAATGAACTTGCCTACTATCCATTAATTCAAAAAAATTCTCTTTTATTCTATCAGCTGTATTACAACACTTGAAGAGACCTTTTAAAATCTTTCAGTATTTGTTCTGCTCCACCTCTATCTGTTCCAATGATCTTAGGGCTTTCTTTCCAAAAGGCAGACGCTGGTATAACTACAAATGAAAACTATATCTAAATCATTAGTAGAATAGTGATGTTATGCATTCAATAGTTGAGATCTGTGATTCCTCCCTCTCAGGAGTAAACCACACAGATGAAAATTAATAGAAACTGAGTGACCGTCTTAATAGAAATCACACTAGAAAAAAGAGAAATGCTTAAGTTGTGAATTCCCCCATATTGTTAATGGAGTTCAAGTAGGCCATCAATATGTGTCCTATTTACTGATAGGTGCAAAATAGGTGGTGGGAGATCAATCAAAACCCCCTTCCATAAATTACCATGACTTCTAGAAATTATCAAAACTTCACTGGAGTGTCATGCGTAGTCTTCCCAGCAATGAGTTATAGTCAATAATTCATTCCCTGACGGAGCTGATAACAGGCAGATATTCTAATAATGTGCTAGGATTTACTACTGGACACAAGCAGTAAGTAGGAATTTCAATGCAGTGTTAAATGTTATCTCAGTGGAGAAAAGCAATAAAAAGAGGACAGAGAGAGGCATCTGGGGACAATGCTTGGGTGTTTTAATGCTGTAATTAGAGCAAACATGTATGAAGGTAGTGTTGTTTAAGTTTTCATTCTTTTTTGAGGCAAATTGTTTCCAGAGTATTGTTCTGTAATGACTTCTCCTGGCCTTATTGTCAGAGAGTATAGCAGATGGCATTGAAAAAAAATGCTGAAAAGAAAGTCTATTTTATTCTTCAGTTATTTCTCCAAATTTGAAAATGGCTTCCCTTGAATGTTTTCCTTTTAAATGAAACTTTCAAAAAAATTATTATCTTAGACTAAAGGTCTTAAATATATTTTCAGTGATTTCTTATCACACAGAGAAATTGACAAATTTGCTTTCTCTGTCAGAATGTTTTGAAGCTAGAAAAGAAGTGGTGATTCATCAAAAACAATTTTATTATGAAATTTGATTTATGTTGAGAAATATAAATGATGATGTTATAATGTGTACCTCTGTGTGGTGGGAACACATTTTAGTCAATTGAGTTATTCAATTTTATTATTTAAAAAAATCCATATCTGGTTGTTCTTTTTATTCTAAAAAATTTATGGTGCTGTATAGAGAAGAAATGCGTGCTTTCCAAGTCCAAGGACAGCTATGGATTGTACTTCCATAATTCCAACAGAGTCATTCATTACAATTGGATGAATAAATATTATCATATTTTCATCAACTTTTTTAGTGAACAAATAGAAACCAATGTTATACTTTAAAATACATCTTATTACAAATCCACACAGAGAAAAAGCTTAATTATATCAACACTAGAATTAAAACTGACACTAACAAAAGAAATTATGGTTTTGGGCCCTTAAAATTTCTGAATTAGTAGCCTTTCTTTTACCAAGAAGAGTTAGTGGGAACATAAGGGAGAACGAATTACATCTTAATGCCTTAGTTTCTCTATCAGTAAGTGCTCATTTCCATCGTCTTGGAGAGAAACAGTAATTAATTTTAAACAGAATTGCTATTTTCTGCTGGATTTATAACTTCAACATATATTCTTAGTAATAACCACCTCACATATATACAAGTGGCCCAGTCATCTATATACCCTCTTTTGTAACTATTATGAAATTAAATCTATCCATGCAAAGACTTGACTTTAATAAGCAGTAGCTATTGACCCACTAGACCATTTAAAAGACCTTAATGAACATATAATACACTCACACATATAGTCTGATAATTTATTTGCAATGATAGATGCAGAATATCACTGTGATTGAATATTGTTGACAGAATTCAGGCTTAGAAATAGGTAGTATGAGTAAGCCAAACAATTTTTTCTATGGTATCATTGCCATGAAACAGATTCACATATCAAGATTTGCTGGGCTGAGCACAATGGCTCACATCTGTCATCCCAGCACTTTGAGAGGCTGAGGTGGGAGGATCCCCAGAGGCCAGGAGTTCAAGACTAGCCTGGGCAACCAGTGAGACCCCTGTCTCTACCAAAAAAAATTAGCTGGGCGTGGTGGTATGCACCTGCAGTCCCAGCTACTGGGGTAGGGGTGAGGGGGCTAAGGAGGTGGGAGGATGGCTTGAGCTCAAAGTTTGAGGCTGCAGTGAGCCTTTAGCCTGTGACCCATCCAAGACCTTGTCTCAAAAAAAAAAGAAAAAAAAAAGATTTGCTGATAGTTCTGAGGCAAATTTGGGGGATTTGTACTGTTCTGTTGCTATGCTAATAAACTTTTACGAAGACAATGAGTAATTTCACGACACTATTTTAAAGTAGCCTTGCTACATCAGGCAAAATGCTGGGTCACAGAGGTGTTTTCTTCTTTCCTATTATCTTTTTCACCTTTCTATCAACTCTAGGAGTTTCAAATACCTTAATCAAATAGAATAATTAAAATCAAAATCTACATCTTAAATTATATTTCCAGTCACAACAATGTCAATGCTGTTTCCTTTTCCTCAGTGATCTGTTATTTTCTTGCCATAAAATCAACTTCTTCACTATGCTTGTTTATTACCTTAAAAAGAGTAGTTAGGGTAGAACTTCCTAAATATTGATTAACATAATTTGGTGGGATACTTACCCAACGTAGTCATCTGGATTGCTTTAACAAAAAACAAACAATAATATTCTAATAAGGCAATTATTAGAAACATTTATCACATGAAACATTTAGTGAGATATTTATAAAGAATTTTGAGAAAGACTAAAAAGGCAGTCAGTAAATTCAAAGTATTATTAAATATTATCAATATTTTAAAGCCAAGATATGGTTCCGTGAAATATAGGCTTTTCGAGATGTTGAGTTCTAGGTAAACTCTTATTATTATTATTATTTTGCGACAGGGCCTCACTCCCATTTCCCAGGTTAGAGTGCTGTGGCACAATCATGGCTCACTGCAGCCTCAACTTCCAGGGCTCAGGTGATCCTCCCACCTCAGCATCCCCAGCAGCTGGGACTACAGGCACATGTCACCACACCCAGCTAAAGTTTTGTATTTTTAGTAGAGATGGAGTTTTGCCATGGTGCCCAGGATGGTCTTGAACTCAAGGGATTCACCTGCCTCGGCCTCCCAAAGTGCAGGGATTATAGGCGTGGGCCACTGGGCCTGTAAACTCCTATTCTTAAATGAAGCAGCAGGTCCGACTATACTTACTGTGCCATACACCCTGCTGCTCAGACGACAACGCCACCACAGAAAACTGGCCCAGGACCTAACCTGCCCTTCCTCTTCCTTGGGTTTTTTCTGTTGGTAACTACTGTTCCCTTTTCTCTCCACACCTTTTACACTCTGGAATTGTTGTCCTAGACTCAAGCTTTTTGTATTCACGTTGGAGGAAACTGAATATCAAGGGATCTCTGTGATGGCAGCAATAAAGTTGAGCAGATTTTTAAAAATTTTCCTTCCTAAAAAGACTTTCTTCAAAAACGGTTTTGCATTGACTTTAAAAGGACAGAATATTTTTTCCTGAGAAAGAGCTGGGGCATGTTGTCTTGGAGGTCATATCAGCATCAAATAGCCTAGACTTTCTCCAGACATTAAAGGCTGCATAGGTCTGTGTAGAACCTCTGGCTGTCCATGGGAGATTCTTAGCGAACTGTCACTTGGAGAAAAGAATGATTATGATTGAAGGACATAAACGAGAAAGGAAGCTATGAACAAATAATTTTGGGGCAAGTGGAGAAAATGACGGCTTGATCTAGGAGCAGTATGGTTCCCACATTTAATTAGGATTCAAGAAAGAAACGATTTACATTTATCTTTCTTTTCCAAAGCCCCCTAATCTTATATCTCATTGCAGATGAGTAGGATGAATGATGAATGTGTGATATCAGCAGAGGTTTCGTCAACTGTGGGGCACAATATAACATTATTTCGAGTTAGGCAATTTTACTTCATACCAGGAATATTACTTTATGCACTGTTTTTAATATTTGTTTGAAGAATATCCGAATACAGAATTTCTTTACCCATACTGAATTTGTGTGTGTTTACAAGGTTTTTGTGTTTCGCATCAGTGGAAATAAAAGATTGACGTTGCTACCCACTCAACCAGGCATTTTCAGACCACAAATCAGGATGAGAAAGGACTGCTAAACGCAAAGAATGCAGAAATAAAGATTACCCAGAGGTGGCGCTGTGGTAAAAGTACACCTGAATTTTGATTACAGTGAATGTATTTACTCCCTACCTCTCAGAAGAGAGACTGTTAGCCATTATCGCTTTTGTATTTCTATAAACACACATCAGCAAATAAAGCTCTCTGGTAATACACTCCCATCCACTCCAATCTACCAGGACATGTTTAAAGACCTCACTCCGCACAGAATTAGAGCTGAAGCACTAAAACCACCTCCTAAAATGTAGGCCCTGTAGCCTAGAGCTCTGTTATTCAAAGTTTTATCCATCTCACTCTCCTTCCTTCCACAAACACCACCGGGATCCTCTGGATAATCACTCAATGATAGCTGAACATGTGTCTGGTTAAATTTCTAACATTTCCTTCAGGAATTAAGATTTCGTTTTAGTGCATATTCTTCAGGAAAAATCCTGAAAAGTACCACAATTCGTTATACATCTATGCATTATGTGCTCTATCTAAGAAAATCATTTTTAAAAAGAAAAAATAAAGACCATTTGGCTTAATTCTCTCATTTGTGGATGAGAAAATTAAGGCCCAGAGACGGAAATTTACTTGCACATGACAAATCATAACTTAATTGTAGCCCACTAAGATCTTGTGTCATCTCCTTTTATTATAAATTATTTAAAAAGTGAAAATGAACCAGGGGATTCAAATGTATTATTTGTTTATGGTGTTCCTCTCCTCATCTGGTTTAATTGAGTTTTCTTGACTAACCTTCAAGCAGCATTACATCTTTTCTAAGTTGGTCCTCTTTAATCATGCCCATCTGTAGCTGTTTTCTGTGTAGGACATTTTAATTACTATTATAGTTTTAATGACTTTTTTTTAAAAAAAGTTTTTTATATGTGCACAAGGTGAATTCATCATAGCAGTGCAACTTTAAATACAAATCAATAAAATTAATTCATTTAATTTTAAGGTGCTAGAATTAAAAAATGAGTATTTGAATTGATATTTAAAATGCCCTCTACCTGACTGTATGGGCAATAATTATTCTTTCTTATGCAGCCTTATTAATTTTGATGGTTTGAAAGACAGAAATCCCCCAAATAGACACTAAAACCCTAAATGTTCAACATCTGCATTGTCTCGCCAGATTCTCCTTCAGGTTCCTTTCCTCAATCTAGCAGTACTGTGTGTAACACAATATGAAAACTTGCCCCACAAGGCTGGTTTTACTTAATGATACTTAGCAGAAGGGCTTTGCACTTTCATGATAATTTCCACCAGAAAAATCTCTCTGGAACTTACTAACAATAATCAGGCCTAATATTAGCCTCAGTCTGGAGATTTATTTAACCTATTTGGCAGAGTAGATAAAGTCGAATGCCTAGGTATTCAAGCATCTAGGCTGTGCTTCGGCCTTGGAAAAAGACTCTCAGGCTAGCACCCTAAAAGCATTCCTCAAAACTTGATTTATACTAGAAGTGACATTTCTTACTCTCTAGAGGCTGTGAGATTGCAAATCTTGCAATTACTTCCATTGCTTTTGGGGGCTGTGAGAATTTCCGCCTCTCATCCTCCACAGTGAGGAGGGTAGTCGGGAAAGGCTTTCTCCCTTAAGTTTTCGTCAACTTTGAAAATAAGGACTGTGCTCCCTACATCACCAGCAATTGACAAGGATCCAGGAAATGCCTGCTAGGCACTTTCAAACTCGGAAAAATGGGAGTATGAGGGAGGCTAAGTAGGCAGTATTTAGCTAGCAACTATTATTTCCTTTATGTTTCTACCTTGTTAACTAAGCTTCCACTACGGTTCATAAATCTCCAATATCGTGAATTAAAGAAACAACAACAAAAATCCTCTTCTGTGTGCTTGTGCGTGAGGGGATAGAAGTCCACTGCCCTAAGATGCAGGACTTATCTTCCCAAACAGGAAGAGACCCATTTCTGAGAAAGATGGTAAGTTTCCTAAGGGTCTCCTCTCAGATAGAGGGGATGGCAGTCCCCGAGGGGCGAGCGGGCGCGGGTCCTCAGGGTCCCCGTGCGCTGAGAAGGCAGGTGAGGCCCCGCCCTGCGTCTCGACTCCGGATCCCGGGTCGCGAAGGGCAGCCCAAGCGGGTCCCCGGCCCCAGGCGCCCGGGTCACTTCACCCCACCTGATTCGGGCCCTTCCCTTCTCCTCTGTCGGCCAGCTCTGCCGCCTCGCTCTCTCTCCCGCCCCCCGAGTCTCGTTTCAGTCATCCCTTTGTCCTTCCCCGGATTGGCAGGTTTTATTATTCCGCCTGAACAATCCGGCCGCCCAGTGGCTGAGGGTCGCTGACGTCGGAGGCAGAGCCGGGGAGTAGTTGGGATTTTGCTCTGTCAGTAACACATGTGTAAGAGCCGCGGAGGGAGCGAGCGAGCCGGCTAGAGGCCAGCGCCGCCGCCGCCGCCGCCTCCGAGCCGGGCAGCAACAGCCCCGGCAGCGGCGCAGGCTCCAGCGCGCCGGGCCCGGCCGGCCGCAGCCCCCGACGCCTGGGTGCGCCTGCCTGCCGGCCTCCGCACCGTCCGCCGCCGCTCCCGGGGCTGTTGTGTCTGCGACTGCTCCCGGCCGGAGGTGCAGGGAGCTCAGCCGAGCCGCCGCTGCCATCCCGGAGCGAGCAAGCGAGCGAGCGCGCGGGAGGGAGGAAGGCGGCGGCGGAGGAGGAGGAGGAGCGGGAGGAGCGCGGGCGGGGGCGGGGGCCCCCGGGCGGGGGAATATACAAAGTGAAGCCACATTGCCAAACTTGCAGCAGCGATTGCAGCAGTTGCTGCCGCTGCGCCGCGCCTGAAGCCGCGCCGCGCGGGCCGAGGGCTCCTGCAGCTGCTCGCGCGCAGTCGGAGGCGGAGAAGGACGAAGACTGAGACTGACACTTCTGCTCCCGGCCGCCCGGCACTTACGCGGGGGCCCCCCAACCCGCCCCAGAGCAACGCGATTTAAAAAAAAAAAAAAAGCCGCCCTTAGCCCCCTCCTCCCCTTTCCTGCTTCTGCGAGAACTCCCTCCCTCCCTCCAGCTCCGCCAGCCCAGGCGCCCCTTCCCTGGAAGCCGAGCGGCTTCGCTCGCATTTCACCGCCGCCGCCTCTCGCAATATTGCAATATAGGGGAAAAGCAGGTAAGGGGGCGGGTGGAGAGCCGCGGGCCGGGAGGTGGGAGAGGGAGGGAGGGGGTCGATTCGGGCCAGGGCTGTTTTCTTTGGCTTCCTTCCCCTGACCGTCCCAAATTGCAAGTAAACAATACGTCGGCTTAGATAAAGCGCGAGTCTGAAACTACCGAGGCCGGCCTGCGAGCTAGCGCGGAGGGCAGCCCCGGGCCGCCAGCTTTGTAGCGGTTCCTGCTTACAAAAGGGCTCTTCTTGGAAACGGGGCTGGTGGGGACCGTAGAGGGGGTGGGGATATTTCTAGTTCATAAGGGAAAGGCAAGGGGTGCTTAGATGAGGATTTTAAGTATGAGAAGTAGTGTGTTTGGGGGGGTGGGGGTGGGGATAGTCACGATACCCCCCCTCCCTTCTAGTAAACACTATTTTTGAAACAGTGGCAGGAAGGATCTAAGTGAGCAGGATTCGGTATTGCTGGTTCTTTTAAAAAAATTCTTCTTGGCTTATAAGTCTTTTGTTCCAATCCAGGAGAAATACGGTGAATCACCTAATTAAAATCAAGACATGAATTAAGCATCCATTTTTGTACTACAAATTGCCAGCGTTACGTTTGTCCCTCCCTTGGTCTCCATTAAAAAACACCAGAGACGTTGTTAAAGGGGGGCAGATTTTGCCTCTAGCTGCCAGTTCTGCTTTCTATTTCACTGACTATCCCAGGACCTAAATTGCTTGGCTATGTAATTACTAGAGTATAAGCCTATTTAACTTAAAAGCTTTCTTTTTTTTTTTTTTTTTTCCAACTCTAAATGAAACTTGATGAGGGCCCGTCCTTAGTTATCAGGGGAGTCAGTTTCTGGTCAGTCTTCTTGATTCATCTCTTTTAGATTTAATCAGCATTAAGGTATTGCTTGTCCTTAAGAGCTTTAGCTAATGGGGTTACTGGATGCTTTTCTCAGTGTAATGTTTCCTTTTCAAAAAAAAAATACATATATATTTACCTCTCACTAAAGATGGGGGCGGGGAAGAGCTTGGAATCTCCTCCCTCACTCTCCTTTTAAAAAGGAATTCGGAGCGATTAAAACGTTGGGGGAAACAGTTTAAAGATCTAGGGCAGGAAATGCAGATTCATTTGGGTTAGGGCTGAAATTGTAACAAAAAGCAATTCCTCGAGTAAATGCATCAGATAAATCAATTTACATAAAGGTATGATGCATTCGGATAAATGCAATGCTAATGGGTTTTAGAGTGGTCCTGTTTCCAAAGTCTCAGGGTTTTGTTACAGCTTAATTGGTGCAGTTCTTATTCTGGTTTATTGTGCGGTCACTGGACACACGTTCCGGGACTCTTTCGGAGGAAATGTGTTTAAAATCGGCCTATTTAAGGAACCCGAGTCCTTGTTTCGTTCCTTCCTCGTTTTTTTTGCAGCAGCCAAGTTGGGCCGGGTACAGGCAAAGTTCGCCTTCTTCTGAGGTATCAGCTGAATGTCTTGAGCAGATAGCCGGGAGCCTCAGGGGGAGCCCACACTCTCAGCTTACAGAGGACAAAGACAATACAGGCTGCTTAATTGGCAGTAAATAACTTGATCTTTTTACAGAATAAGTGACTAGAGGAACACTAGGACTTTATTGGACTCGGGATTGAAGGCAACAAATTAATCGGTTTAGGCTAAGCTTTATAAATTGATTCCTATATTATATCCCAGTTGCATCTCTTGTGGCATTCATTAGAGTGGGGAATTCTTTTTTAAAGCAGTTTTTGGTGACAGCAGGACGGGCTCGAATTTAACTTGTGCATCCCTTAATGGTGCCTTCTCGCACATTATCTGTAACGCCGCCCGCCCCCCCCCCCCCCCCGCCCTTTGGAGGAACAAAGCTTTAGCATTTAAATTGCTGATCAAGGGCAGATTAGTGAGACCAAAGTGGAGAGTGTTTGTATAGGAAGTTAACAGGCATCCTAAAGTTCAATGATCTATTATTCTTGCCTGTGTCCTGAAAACCCAGAGAAAACACTCATTGATCTTCAAAATGAAATGAGATTTGGAACAATAATGGGAGATGGCGGTCACCACAATGGCATGTGAAAGGTGCTGCTTAAAATACGAAAAACCAGTTTCGCAACTTTACACACTGCACCCACCCCTCCCGTCACCTTGCCTTCCCTCCCATCACCACGCTCTCCGTCTCCCGTCTGCCGGTCCCTCCCTCGTTCCCTTTCGGAAAACCGAACTATTTCCAACTTGTGAACTGCAGCTGCACTTCCCGGGGCAGAACCCGGGAGGGAACGAGGCTCCGGCGGGGCCGCCGCCTCCCCACTCCTCTCGGCTCTGTCCCGGGGCCCGGCGGGGGCTGGGGAGGGGCCGGGCGCGGCGGTGGGTGGGTTTGACCCTCATTTGCTGGAGGCGGGCGGCGGAGGAGGGGAGGAGGGGGCAGTGGGCGGAGGCGGGGGCTGGGAGGAGGTGCCGCGAGGGGTGGAGCGCGCAGCGGAGCCTGCTCTCGGAGTTTTGACAGTACCGGAGCTGAAATTGTCAGCGGCGGCAAGCGCAGGAAAGTTGAGAGGAGCTCGTGGCCCCAGAACAAAGCTTGAGAAAAGTAAACAGGCGGCTGCTGCCGGCGAGCCTCCCTTCTTCCCTCTCCCCCTCAGCCTCCTTCCCGCCCTTGCCCTGCTGTTTCCTTCCAGCAGCTCCGCGGGGAGGAGGGGAATGGGCTTGCTCTCTCTCCGGCGATTACTAACTTTTGCATCGCCCCTGTTTTGTCTTTCTCTCCCTGTCCCCTTCCCGCCCTCTGCAGACCATGGTGAATCCGGGCAGCAGCTCGCAGCCGCCCCCGGTGACGGCCGGCTCCCTCTCCTGGAAGCGGTGCGCAGGCTGCGGGGGCAAGATTGCGGACCGCTTTCTGCTCTATGCCATGGACAGCTATTGGCACAGCCGGTGCCTCAAGTGCTCCTGCTGCCAGGCGCAGCTGGGCGACATCGGCACGTCCTGTTACACCAAAAGTGGCATGATCCTTTGCAGAAATGACTACATTAGGTAAGACTTTGCTGTCTTTCCTGGAGATGGGGGGAAGAGCAATGGCAAGGCCAAAGGTTAACAGGGTTGTGAGGAAAGGAGTAGGCGTCTACGGGGAGTATGCAGCCTTCACCTCAAAAATCTTCTAGTTGGCGGAATTTAAGGGGTTCAGGAAGCATGTGTTAGTCTTCCAATATCTGATGGCAAATTCATGGCAAATGCCATACTAAGTAAAGACCATCTGGTGGGACTGGGTCATTAGATGTGCAAAGGTTGAGCACCCTCTGGTCCTAGAGTTTAAGTAAGTGGTCAGCCTCTACTGGACTTCAGGCTAAAAGCAAACATCCCAAGCGGGAGTTAAGCTGCGTTCTTAAAACAAGGTAGGAACTCACAGAGGAACCCAGAAACAAAGGTTGACTTAAAAATACAAGTGTAGTTAGTGAGAAATGATTTGTCTATGGCGATGGCTTATTAACGATATTTACATAAGCATCTTGAAACTTTTTTGAGCGGAAGGCTGTGATTCGTTCTTTGTGCTCCTTGAGAAAAATGCTAATTATCCATCAGTTTAAAGACTTGTAATTCTTCTTATAGAGAAAAAAAAAGTCCCAAGAAATAAAACCTGGTGGTAATGTTTCTCTTCATACTGTTACTCGGAGGCTTGCAATAATTCAGTTAGTGTGTGGTTTGCGATGTAGAATTTGCAGTTTTTTTCAATTGAAGCATGTTCAGGTTTTGGGTTTTTTGTTGTCGTTTGTATCACTGCCCTTGATCCCCAAAAGAGATTTAGAAAAAGGCTATAGAATTATACTAATCTTGCATTTTAAAGCAATGTATAGGAACATTCATATGTCCATGTAAGCAGTCTTTTCCAACAAGTTGCAGTGCAATTAATGGAAAGAATTCAGGAGGTCAGGTGCCTATAGGATCTTTTCAGGTGAACTCAAGCTACTTAAACTCATTAATTTGAAAGGAGGCATTTGAAGGATTACACATTTAATTTGAGTAAATGGTTTGATAGACTGATGCACATGAATGCTTCTAGGAGGTGTTCTGTTTCAACATCCAGTAATTAAAAAAAAAACCCACACGCACACAGTTGATACTAGAAAACCGCACACTTTTAAGAATTTCATCCTATGTAAATTTGTCCTAAACCTTTTTCTTTAAAGTGATTAGTAGAAAATTTTTTTCTTTCTTCAGTGTGGGTAAATCAGTGGATGAACTATTTTGTTCAAAGTTTAGCTCCATTGTGATTCGCCTTATCCTGCGACTAACATTGTAAAAGATCCCAGTGCAGTTCCGAGCTGAGTGTGGATATGTTTACCCCAGTGATATCATTAGTGTAAGATGATGGAGTAAAATGACATTTAGTTATTTTGATAATGCAACCTGTGTCGATTCTGCTGGCATCCTCAATCAGTCCAAGTAAAAGAAATACAGGAAGGGAGAGGGCTTTTATTTTTAAATTAAGATGGCAGCATTAATTTCACTAAGTGTTCTTTTAGAAGTAAATGTTGGAAAATCAGCAGGAACATGGGTGTAATGCTTTCTGGTCCTCCTTCCAAGTAATGCCATGAGCTTTGACGGTGCTGTAATTAAATAGAAAGCAAAACTGTGGTAAGAAAGGAGTGTGGTTTGAAGTGGAAAAATTGACAGTGCTGTTAAGATTCCGTGAATGGTACAGATTCATCTCTTCTCCGAGTGCCTTCAAAAAAAAAAAAACAAAAAACAAAAAAAACCCTCGCTTCTGATTACAACTAATTAAAAAGAAGATGGGTCCGCTTGTATTCCCCCAGGACAAGTTTAGGCAAGTGGCTTCCTGGGAATTGTGTCCATTCTTTTCTCTATTCTTGGGGCCAAATGTAAATGGCCTTTTGGTGTTTTCCTGTGCCCTAATGGAGCAATGGAGGATGTGTGCCCAGCCCTGAGCCTTAATTAATGGCATCTACGTTCTTACTTCCTTTTTTCCCTCTGAATCTGGAAACTGGAGCCAGGCTCGCTCTTGAACTACATGCTACCCCGAGGACCTTAGATCTTTCTAGGAGAGATGAGTTCTAGCTCAGTACGAAATTGATGGCCTCACACTTAGCTCAGGGCTCACCAGCAGCTGAGCGCCCCTTCCCCTCCAATTTAAGAGATTACTGAAGTCTTCCTTCAGTGTTCCTCTCTCAGCCCATCAGGATGTCCAAAGGGTGGGAAGGTGCAGACGTTGCTGTTCCTCTCAGCTACCCCCTCTCCAATGTCCCTCAAGTCCACTTGTTGGAGGAGCTTTCAATGCCGCAGGGACCGCTGCAGAAGAGTGGAGTAATCTGCTCGCCCGCCGCCAGGTGAAGGGGACCCCTTGGTCCGACTGAGACCACATAGCGATTTACTGAGGGGCTTTTAAACTGTCTTGACTTTGAGTTGTGGTTTTTTGAAAACAACCAAGGTCTTGCTAAAAAGCTGCGGGAGAGCTGGGAAAGGCCGGCCTGAGCGCGGGGGAGGGGGCTGCAAGATGAGGGGGCGCTTTCACCAGTCCCCTCCCCCTCCGCGGCCAAGTGTCGATGGGCAGAGCTGGGCTTCTGCCTCCTCTCCCTCCAAGATTTCAGATAAAGCGGCTGCCTTGCTGCAGCGAATCCGCACAATTAAAAGCTTTAATTAGTGGCTCCTCCATTTTCTTAGTTCTGATGGGCTTTATCTAATGAGATCTGGTCTCTGGCTTAGATCTGCTCCGAATGACGTGTCCGCAATGAATGAGAGCTGCGTCGCAAACAAAACATTTAATTAACAAAATTGGCCTCTAAGAGAGGGAGGGAAAGAATGAAGGGGGGGGGGTTGTAGAGCGGAGGGGGAGGGTGGATCTTAAAGGGACCAACGCCTGCCTGGCCCCCCCATCTTACAAAAATAGGGGAACCTTGGGACTGCCCCTTCCCCCACCCCCGGCTCCCGACCCCTCAGCTCCACCCAAGCGCCCCAAGTAGCTTCGGAAACTCCGTTTCTCTTCCTCGAACCGTCTTTCCTCCACCCCCACCTCGGGCCCGAAGACTGGCGCGGAAAGTGCAGCGAGAGGAGGAAGTTCGGAGACCGGCGGGTGGGGCTCCAGGTCCGGGGAGGGCGAGGAAACGCGCCGGAAGCCAGGGTGGCGGTCGTCGGCTGGCCCTCGCTCCCTAGGCGGCCAGCACCCGGGCCGGCGCCGCCCGAGGCCGCAGCCAGAGCGCCCAGCCGGCGGGCGGTCTCGGGCCCACGAGGGGGCGAGCGCAGGGCGGGAGCCGGGCGAGCGGGTCGCGCTTTCTTTCCCCGGGCTCCACTCGGGCGGTTCACGTGGCGCCCGCAGCCGCAGTGAGCCCGGCGCGGCCGGGGGTGGGGGCCTGGGGCGAGGGTGGGGAGAATTGGTAGTTGGTGGTGGAGGGTGTGTTTGGGTAGGGGGTGGCGTTAGGAATGGAGGCGCCGCCAGACAGCGAGTTCATTTCCCTGGTAATCAACAGCAAGCTGCTATATTCAGAGAATGCTGTCCCTTTAATTGAACAGGCTAGGTAATTAAATGGCACTTTTCCAATAGGACGTGCTAGGTAAATCTAATAGTTGGTTATTTAATATCACTTTGAAGTCTGCCCACTCAAGCACAATGACAGCACAGGAGCATGTGAACTATTAGCTAGAAAAAAAAAAAAAACAGGATCTCAAAAATTAATTAAATCGCATGCAATTTAGGGGGAACGTTTATCTTGATTTGTCATAACAGAATTAATTCAAGGCCTCCAATTCACTTGGGGGCAGATCTGTTACTCTGAATTAACCAAGCGTAATTTGGCTGATTTTTTTTTTCCTATTATGCACAGCCCCCCTCTTAAGTATCAATAGCTTCTGGTGCTTTTAAGGTGCCTGGTCTCTAGTTTTTCCGAAGTACCTTTAATGGACTTGGCTCCAGGCATAATTTCTGGGTTGCATTTCTTTGTTACATTTAATATAGCTGGTGCAGAATTTAGATTAAATATAGGAACCTGCTGGAAAACCAATTGCTTCTGGATCAGTAGCTGTGGATGTGCTTTTTTCTCCTCAGATAGGTTGCTGATATTTACTTGCAGGTACAAATGTATATACCTTTCAGCCACACTCTCAGAAACGTACCTCTCCTTGCCCAAAAGCAGTTTAGAAAACACAGCCAGGTAGCGTTTCATATTGCATGTATTTTGCTTGAAGTAATAATGCAGTTGAAAATAAGCCCACCTATTGGTCATTGAAGTTACTGAAAGATGCTAAGCATTGATAGTAAACTAAAAATACGATTTGCCCTCCATCTCTTAATGCCAGCAAGGAGAGCTGGAGCTCAGCGGGCAAACAGGAATAAAACTACATGGTGTTGTTCAAACAGGAGCAAAGCACCTTTAAAGTGCAGTGGTTTGGTGGGATTTCTTCCCATCTTTTCCGTTTTCCCTGTATAAGGAACCTCTTGATGTTTGTGATTGATTGCATTGCCCAAATGCTGAAATATTAACGACCTTCTTGGACTGAGGACCCAAAGAAAGGAAACTGAAACCGATTCTGTCATCACAATTAAAGACTCCCCTGGCTTTAATTAGCCTGACCTGGGGTATATCTCCCCGTTGCTTGAGTTAAAGAGAAAAGAGCCCATTATAGTCCAGTCTGAGACCGATAGCTACTTAATTGAGCACCTAAAGCCTCGAGCCTTTTAAATCAAACACTGTCCGGACAGTCCCCCTGGTTAGATAATTAACTCTCCAGCGCACAGAAACGTTGTGAAAAAACACACACACACACGCACACACAACTTTTCAGAAAAAGGGTGGAATTCTAATGGTAGCCTTCCTCTCTGGTAAAAGGGGATTAGAATGTGTATAGACACGTAAGTTATTCTGCTCTGAGGCAGCCTTAAAGCTGTAGGCATGGAAAGATCTTAAACTCCATTGATACGTTGTTCAATAGCACATCAGTCCTGGGTAGATCTTGGTCATTTCAAACTTTGTAACTGTAATTTTTGGCACTTCAGGAATCCCACCATTTTGTGGCTGATTGTTCTCTGAAAGGTTATGATAGCAGCCCTGGAAAAAAATAAGATCTATGAAAGGCTTTTGGATTACATATGAACTGCCCTGATTATTAAAATACACTTCGATGTTGAAGACTTACAACTGACTTTACTCAGGGTGAATTGTTAAATAAATGAACACTTAGGCTGAGTAATCAGATGGGTACTGTGAAAAGGGTATTTTTGAGATGGAGTGTCACTGTGTACCTGTTGGTAGTGGCAACCATAATTATAGATTCTTATCCATTAAAATACTTCAGGGTTGCTGTAAGAGGATATTTGTTCTTTAGCCTTGTTAGGATTCTGTCACCCCCTTCTACCCCCATTACCTGTCTTCTCTTATCCTCAGCATGTATTTGGCCACATGGACTGGTTTTTAACTTTATTTTTACCCAAATTGTTTGAATTTGGTATCCCTTTTGGGGGTTGGAATAGCACTACTGCCGTCCATAAATGCTTTCCTCAGGGCCATGCCCATTCTCTGGCTACCTTCCCCTTCTGAGAACTCCCCTGCGGCAGTGGTACTGCAGGTGAGACACCGGGAGGTCCTCATCAGTGTTCCTGAAGTGTCCAGCATTAGGAGACAGCAGCCCAGAGGCCCCCCAAGCTCCCACATGGTGTGGTCCTGCAGCTAGAGGTCCTGACAGTGTATTATTTCAGCTTTCTTTCTGTAACTGTTCTGATTCTGCAAGAACGTGTCAATGTGTCGTGGATCTCAGACTAATTAGTTTTGAAATGGAGTTTTGATTGAACTCTTCAAATCGATGCTGCTGCAAAATTTGTTTCTCGGGCTTCCTATTAAAAGCCATCTTAAGGGGCAGTTTTACTACTCTCCCTGTCGTTCAGTCAATACATTTAATAACAACTTACAGGCTATTTTCAATAAAGTGGCGACAGCAAATTAGTAGTTTGAACATGACAAGCCTCTTCTGCAAGACCAGATTCTGAAAACTCAAAGCAATTATTTTTATATAGAGGCATGCTGCAATCATTCAGATTATGGGGTGTTCTATAGGAATATGTCTCCTGGTTTGACACAGACTGCATTTTATGACTTTATTTGGACAAGGAGGAAATGCAAATGTTAATATTTATTATGACACCAATATGTTAATTTGTAAGTCCTCTTACTTTGTTTTTCGTTTTTGAAAACTACCTCTCTGATTCTGCTTACTTGTTCCGACACCACCTTTCAATGTGAAATCATTTTGGTCTGTTTAATAAATATTTGTGGATATTAAAGAGGGAAGCCCAAAAGCAAATAAAGCTTCCCAGGTTGAGTCTACAGATTGCATAAAAGCCCAAGTTCGGTGGTTATTAAAATATTTTGTTGTGCTTGCAGAAGGATGTAAGGAATTATGTATATGTTTTTCTTCAGTACACCACAATTCCTTGAGCTTTCCCCTCCTCTGCAGCCTTTTCCTTCTCCCCCTCCTCCCCCCATGGCAGATGTTGTGGTCTCATTTGATTGCATAGGAAAACTGCAGTGATACAGCAAACACCCAGAGAGATATGATGACAAATGGGTCCAGATCCCGGTAAATTACTTTCTGCTCAAATCGAAATTTCATTCAGTTTGTTGCTAGCAGAGATGAAGTAATCTAAATTGTGGACTCAGGAGCAGATAGAGGGAAGTTGGAGCAAGCATTTCATTATCAAGAGAGAGAGAAGGTTAGGATGAAAGAGATGAGCAGAGGCAAATCTTAAGTGTTGACACCATGATTGAAAAGGTTAACCCATACACATTATATATCAACCTGGATAGCAGAGAGTTTCTAATGGAAAGTCTGCACTGATGGAGGTTTACGGGAGTTTCAATACACTGAGCATGATGTCTTCTTAGATATACAATCAAATCCTCTTAACCCTTTTGATGACTCATATCTGAAGATATGATTAAAGTACAAAAGAGTTCTTCATATAATTTCAAGGACACAATGCATTTAAACTCCAGTCATGAATTGTATCTTTTTTTTTTTTATGATGAACCTAGTAATCTGATAAAATGTGTGTAGAACAGAATTGTATTTGCTAGAGGTGTAAGTCAATATTTTGATTAAATCTGGGGCATCCTCTGCGGTAGGCAGAAGTTTGTTGTCCCACAAAAAGGATTTTTCCCAGATTATGTAAATCACTCAGAAAATCTGAGGCTTGAGCCTAAGAATTCAGCCTGTCAAATGCATTCCAAAGGGATGCCCAGAGTCTGGGGGTGTTTTTCTTTCTTTTTCTTTGGTTTAGGATTATTCACTGGTGTCAACCGTTATTCTTTGTTTCAGGTTATTTGGAAATAGCGGTGCTTGCAGCGCTTGCGGACAGTCGATTCCTGCGAGTGAACTCGTCATGAGGGCGCAAGGCAATGTGTATCATCTTAAGGTAGTATTTGCATCTCTCTTTTTTTTTTAAAAAAAAAATCATACCTTTCCTACCTACATGGGGGCAAAGCATTTCTCCTTGGTATGAACTGTTTTCTCAAGCTGCAGACACTTGAAGGAATGATTGAAATTGTAGCATGGCAGTGATGGTTACACATCCACATGCACAGACCACGCTTCCCCTATGCCACAGACAGAAGTACACATGTATTTGGATTTGTCCCCATTTAGCCTGGTCCAGTTGATAGCAATTTGGCTTACTGTTTTCTGGAGATCTGTCAAAGGAAGAAAAAACGCTAAACCCTAAGTGTCTCTGTACTTGACAGATACCTGCTTAATAACAGGTTATAAACTTGTGACCAAAAAAAGACTTAATTTTTACCTTGTTTTCAGTGGGTTTGTTTTTCCCTTTCAGTGTTTTACATGCTCTACCTGCCGGAATCGCCTGGTCCCGGGAGATCGGTTTCACTACATCAATGGCAGTTTATTTTGTGAACATGATAGACCTACAGCTCTCATCAATGGCCATTTGAATTCACTTCAGAGCAATCCACTACTGCCAGACCAGAAGGTGAATACCCAGCAATTACTAATAAGCTTTATTAGAGCAAGTTGGAAGGTTCAACCTCTTAACCTAGCAAGAGAGTTTTCTTGGGTGGTTGTATTTTTGCATGCCCTTTTAAAGAAATGTAGATTACTAGTTGTACATAGAGTGTTCAGAAGTAGGATAGCTGATTAAATTGTGAATCCTTTCTAGTTAAAAAAAAAATCCTGACTTTGTTATATCTGTAGCTTCACTCACGTTGAACATAAGATTATCACATGCAAAAGCAAACAAAATGTAAAGCTTCCATATAACTGGTTATTTATTCCATTTGACAATTTTGAAATTCAGAAACATGATGTGATAGGTTATTGTGGAAGAAAAATTAGAACATTTATGGTAGGAAAAGAGAATAAAGATCTTTGTTATGAAAGAATGATTTCTGCGTTAGGAATAGCAATCTGGACACCTGCCTTCCAAACCCAATTTACAATTCATTTACTTTTTAGAAGAGTAATTTTACAAAACATTCTGTAACTTCATAAGAGGGCATTTTTGTTCATTGGCGGTACCATAACATTTGAATAAGTTATGGCTTTTAAAACCAAGTTCTTGTTCTTGCTAACCCGCTTAGTGCCATTAATAGTGCCATTAGAAATTATGTATCTTGATTCTTGATCCACAACTTGAAAATCCTTGTACCAGAATTAAAAATTAGGAAATTATACAAGTATACAAATCATGTAGTATTAGAAGATATTCCAGAGGGAAAATTGGTGATCAACAGTTGTCCAGCACCCCCAGTACTGGATAGTTTTAGATCTATTTTAATCTCCTTAATAAGTCCTATAGCTATGCAAGTGAGTGCATTTTGATAACTGCTGTGCCTAATTTGTAACAATTACTGTCAACCTTCAGTTAAGAGACTGTTCATTCCACACCGGCCCAGAAAAGAGTGAAATGTATGACTCGTGTGCATAATTTTATTCACATCATATTTCATACTGATTATGTATTGATGACATTGATTCATTTACTCTTTACAGCGCCACTTGCATGGATATTAAATCTTATTGACCACAGATGAATTTTAATTTCAGATTGGTGATAGATTTTTCCATCAGCTCTGATAGTATGTTTGACTTTTTCATCATTAACCCAGGCAATCACACAGCACTGAGTTATTGCATTGAAACAAAAAGTGCACACTTCACTTGGTAATTCTTTATGGATTTACAATAGGAACTTCATTAATGTCTGTTGTAAGGATCACAAAAAAAACAACATTTATCTGCAAATAGGAATTTAGCAAGCTTCAAAAATCTCGGGGAAAAAAATAGACTTTTTTGTCTTCTGTAATGCATTTTCTTAGTGCGGTGGTGGAGGTGGGGGTTTGACAAATATTTGAAAACTTTTAACCATTAAAATTATGCTGCCATATTTTGATGCTTATATTTGCCCTTTTCCCTTGCTCAAGTTTATGAGGTAATTTTAAATGTATGTTCTGTTTCTTAGTGTTAATTACATGACATTATGTGCACTTTAATTTACTAATATGGGGAGCTACATAGAATAACCATTTTAAGAATAAAAGTTGAACTTTTTAATTGCAAACTAACCAGTCACTGCTGATGAGGTATTTCAAGCTTCTTCAAGGAGTGCCAAGACATATAAATGCTTAAAGATTTTTGTGATTTGGATTCTAATGAAGTGAATCTGCAGGGCAGAGTTGAGAACAATGAATGAGCAACATAAATATTTGGAGATACCTATTCAGAATAGAGGTAAAGCTGTTTGTAGTTACACTTGGTAGCAAAAAAGAAAAAATATGCTAGAAATAAAATGGTAGACCTTCTCTCCACTCCTTCTGATGTAAAAGCTTAATTTTTCCCCGAGTTAGAGCTTCACTTTGTTGCTGGTTTTATACCATTTCTTTCTCTGACTTAGCAAAGTACTATACAAAAAAATGATTGTTGCAGTTCACCAGCATGCATGGTGAGAATGAAAGGATGTAGAGATGAGATGGAAAATGTTGCTAGATTGTGAAGCACTGAATACAGGCAATAGCAGTGTTAGGTAGGGACCAAGTATAAAGCACACCTAAGAAATATGAGCAGGATTTCATACCATCTTTTATAGTATAAGATGGCATAAATTTAGAGGTGTTAGGGAGGAGAACTGCAGAAAAACCAGGTTTACCTGTTGATGAGATTACATGTCTTATGCCTTTCATTGAAATCTGTTTTCCACACCTTTTCCAGGATGGCAGTGGTAGGGTATTCATTTTGGAACACTATATTTTAGGCAATGAATAAGAACCTATTAGTGTATGTTTTCTTAATGTTGGAGGCCAAAAAAGAGACAGGTGGCCTTCAAAAATTAATAGCTCTTAAAAGGCATAAGGAAATACAACTTATGGAAATGTTCTTGTCAGACATTGGTGAGAAGCTGTGTTTTGGGGGTGCTGTTAATTAAGAACATTTCCCTGTTGGCGTAAGTGTCTCACATTTTTGCCCTTGGTGCCCAGCTCACCATGAGCACGGTCAATTCACAAGGTAGTTTTTATAAATAAAGGTTTTGGGCAAGCTGAACGTGGTCCAGAGAGATATTAATGAGAGGGCAAGGGGGAAGAGTTAATGAAAACATACTTCCTGGTGGAACATAAACTGCTTTTTGGAACTGGAGAGGCTTTAAAATTATTTTCCCAAAACCCTGTGGCGTTTCTTTTCTGGAGGCAATGAGATGGGGAGAAATGACAAATGGCTTCGTTTTATTATTTTCTCCTCTCTCGTTCTCCATATTTTTGGTAGGGAAAATTGGACATTTATTTTGGCCATTTTCCTTCTATTCGCAGAATCAATTACATTTTTGGTGTATTATGCGTGGTAAATATACTCAAGGATCCTCTGGCTTAAAAGCAATGAGTTGATTATTCGAACATCCCTTCTTTAAAGGCAGTTAATTGCATGGAAAACATAGGCCCCCATTGTCTGGTCCCTTTAAACTTTTATTCTGAGATTTGTTCCCAGGGTCTGGGCTGTGTAGTGTAGTTGTTGTTCTGCATCATTGGCTGTTGTATATTCCAAGAAAAATAATTTTAAGCTTTTAAATCATACAGTGATTGAAATCTTGCATTTCAGATGGACTGAAATCTCAGGCCACTAGTGTTCAAGGATCTACAACATTTTATAACCTATATCACTTAAAGGAGGCTTGGCTAGCTTTGGGAGAATGCTGCCTTCTAGAGGGTTATGTAAATCAGGAATTGTGGCTAATTTTTTCTTTTGTAGATTGCTGCCTGTTCTGGAATTTTTTTCTTCCACTCAAAAGTGTGATGGTGCCATCTAGAATTACCTGTGCTTTTCAGTTTTCAGTGGAACAGGAGTTAGATCACATCTCTTTAGTTGGAGGAAAATTTAGTGAGTGTTCTAGTCTACATGTCACTTCGCAGTTCCCCCATAGTTACATAATTGGTGTTGTGTGTGTCCATCGTAGAAGACATTTGATGCTCATTTATTAAATATGCTTGCTGGCTGCTGCTGCATCTTTGTTCTGGACAGACAAATTACCTTTCTCACACTGAGCTTCCACTCTGGGGAATTAAGCCTTCACCACTTTAATTAGCTTGGAAGTAGGGGGTTGCAGTTCCTAATAGACTACAGGCTTTTTGTAAGTTAGGGAAAGGGTGAAACGAGAACTTCCTGGGAGGCTCAAAATGTCATTTAAAAACCATAACAACCTAATATGTATTATTTCATTTTGGTAATTGCAAACAGATTGTATTTGACAAGTGTGTGGATTTCCATTTCTGACTTAGACATTGAAGCCACCCTTGCATTGAACTATGTTCTTTTATCTATCACAGGTCATTAACACATTGCATGTATTGAATCACATATTTGTGTAGCTATTAAGTGACATAGCAGATAAGAAATAGTGAAAAATATGTGAATATTTGTACATAGAAATTTTCATATAGACACACACCTATAGGTAGTACCAATATGGGTGAATATTTTTCACATGGGGATATCGGAATAATAATGATAACTGCCAGTATTTGTTGAACTTTTATTAAGGGCCAAGCACTGTTGAAAGTGCTCCCATATGTATTATGTAATTATCATAACAGTGTCATTATCCCTTCTTTAAAGATGAGGAAACTGAGACACAAGCAGTTTAAGCAACATTCCAAAAGGTTACACGGTTAAGCATATGAACCCAAAACTTCCTAGGTAGGAACTTGTCTTGGAATGTCCCCGCTATTTAAAAAATTCAAGATCCCACTGCTGGGCAAGATGTTACATTCCTTTTGGAAAGACACTTGCTCTTAACAGAGTTAAGCAATTAATTGTAGTACTTTACACCAGAAACTTTCTGAGCGTCCATTTACTGTCTCATTTTCTTTGCTAGTAAAACTGCAGAAAATGTTATGCTTTAGTTCTTCACTGCCAGAGTAAGTAGCATAGAAAGCCTCTATCAAGTCACAGTTGGAAAGTAATCTAATAAAAGAAGATTAGTGAATGTGGGGAAGACAAAAGCAGTCATGTTTGAGTTTAATATCTCTCAAATTTAGCATTTTAGCTAAGATGCCCGTTTTTATTTCTTGCAGGTCTGCTAAAAGGTCAGAGTAATGCAGAATGCGTGCCTTCATCTCAGATTTGTTCATCACAGGTGGATCCCATGTGTCTTCAGTAGACAAGTCACCTTTGTAGCTAGCACCAGTGCCAGCTCCATGCCATTGCACCTTCTTTAGTCTTGATTGCCCTTCCCGCATTTATTGGTGTATTAAAATGACTGAATATGAACATTAAGGACTCCATGAACCTGGGCTAATGGGAGACTGTAGAGAAAATGAAAAAAGATCCACCAGAGGACATCTTGGGGAGGGGGAGGGAGCTGGGGGGGAGGGAAATGACTAATGAAGCTAATTAAAAGAAGCATTCAAATCTGCTTTCTACCCTCATTAACAATTAGCAGGGCACTGGCCAGAGTTTGTACCCTGTGTTTTACCTTAACAACATTCTATTTGCTCTTTGTATATTTAAGTGTTGTAAGGAAACGTGTTTCAATCAAAACTGACCATGAGATAAAGGAAAGAGATGTGGCTTTTGTGATATTCTATCACAAACACTTATTGTATCTCTGTAAAATACAATGTATGTATGCATGTAAGTGTTTTTGTCCTAATGTTGCTACTCCCATGGCAAAGAAAAAAAAAAGAATGAAAAAAAGAAAAAAATTTGGAAAAAAAAATCAGGCTCATAGCAGCTACTGTGTAGAAAATTCCCCCTACTTCTAATTTGCTGAATGAAGAAAAAAAAAAATCTTTTATTTGTGATATTTTCAGAGACATTTGCTCTAGTATGGTGTATTTAAATAATAAAAACTTAAAAGAAAAAATATTTAATGGTGTTTGGGTTTAAACACTGCTTTTTCTCTTCTGTATTTTGAAGAAATTTAGTTTTTATTGTTGTTGAATAACAAGCTCACTTTAAATTTGAAGGAGTTGAGGGAGGTGGAGTGTATATTTATTTAGCTCTGGGCCAGTAAGGTATTCTTCAAATTACTTAACCACGCCATTATTGGCAGGGGTACAAAGTAGTTTCTAACAGGGTCCTTTCTATAAGTCAAGAATATTCTGTTAACAGCATTTCGTTACACTTCTATATCACAGTAAGTCTTTTGTGTTTATAAATACTTGAGTGTCCACTATTTTGTTTATTCTTTTTCTCAATAGCAAACAAAGCCTTGGGTATTGATGAAAAGTATGTATAAAAAAAAATACGGCACAACCATCCTGTTCTCTTATTGAGTTTATAGCTTTTGAAGGAAGTCACAATTTCTAAGTCATACCTGTACATATTTTGAAGCTCACTTAGTTGTAGGGACCCAGAGCTCTTTTTTTATGGTGATCTTTGATTGGTGAAGTAGCCATTTCCTGGTGACCCTTAGGCTCGTGTGGTTGGCTGTAAGGTGTTTATTTTGTTTTGCTCCTACACTTCTTTACTGACTGCGTTTCCGTATGTATTTTGGGGGAAGATTCTGACTTCATTTAGTCTTAGTCTTGAGATACTGAGTTGCTGGTTGCAGGCAGCAGAGTGTCCACCACAGTGCCTGCACTGCCCGCAGAGCTGCCCTCCGGAAAGCATGCAGTATAACAGCTAGTGCTGGAAGGAGGAAAACCAAATAGGCCTGGAGGCTGAGGTTGTACTGCCAGCTTCCTTAGATGTGAGCAAATTTCAACTACAACTTCCATCACAGGCTAATAAAACCAGGTGTGTGAACGCTACTATTTTAAATTTTCTTTTTTAAGATGGCATTTTATTTTGTTCCAGAAAAGCGCCTGATGTAGACCCTCCCTCTGAGAATAGCCGTGGAGCCATGTAGAGAGGTGTAGCTCAGCACATCTCAACTACCAGTCAGCTTCCCTTTGAGAACTTCTGTGCTCACTTCCTGTTTTCAGAGATTCCAGGGCAGGGGAAAAAAAAAATCAGTTGAACTTCAAACCTCCTAGAGGAGATTGTAAAGGCATAGAGTTGAGGTGAATAGTTTTGTTAGAACCTTATAAAAATAAAATGCAAGAAAATAATATGAAGAAATCACATATATATGTTTGAATTAGATGTCTGTTTGAATTAGATCCTTGGGGAATTTCTTCAAACTAGTTCTGGTTCTTATATTTGTTTTTTTTCCTTTAAGGAACTTTCTGAAGGAAGTTAGACTGCGATGGTAAAGGGGGAAATGGGTTAATGAGATTGCAGGCATTTTCTATATTCTTTTTGGCATAAGCACTTATGTCCCTGATATGTACAAATTCAAAGGAGGTGGTTAATAACTTTAGTAAATAATATATTGTCGCATTTAATGATGTGGAGGGCTAAGGTCATTACGGACTTTAAATAAACTATTATATGGCTGGTTCCTCAAGCACTGCTGCGTATTTAATAATGAGCTTCTAAAAGCATTTCTTAAGTTGCAGACCTATAAGATTACAAATGTCACTCATGTTAGTATAATCCACATGCAAGTGATGAAGCCTTCTCTTTGATGTGCTAAATTGGAGAAGGACTAATGGAGCTATGAATATACAATAGAACATATTTAAGTAGTAGTCTTGCTTTAGGTAAAACACTTTCTTGAAACCAGAGGCATTTCAAACAATAAAACCCGGCTCTAATGGGGATGCTCTGTGTGGATAGAAAGCTACTAAAAACACTCAGGTTTATTCTGATGTGAGCAGCGATTGTGTGCAGTTCCTCCCCCAATCTCAACATTGCTTAGGAAAAAAAAAAATCTATGAGTTTATTCCACCTTTCATCCATTGCATTTGTGATGTTATTAGTTAGCAAGATGGACACTGTTCTTTAGAAAGGACTTATTTAATATTAACCACGTCATAGAGCAAGATGGCCCCCAGTCCCTACAAGCAAGTGCAATTAAAAATAAAAGCAAATGTTACTGAGCCCTGCTGAACTCCTGATAAAAAAAATTATGTTTATGGTACATATAAATGTCTCAATCATGCAAATTGTCACTCTTGTTAATGAAACAATTTTGTAAAAAGATAGTCCTCTAAAAGGGTTTAATGTTTTTTACCTATCTAACTGTCTAATTAGATTTACACATCCCGCAAGGCAGGGGAGCCTGAAGCTTTTCCAAACCAAATCGTTTGCCACTAGAAACTATTTTCAGCTCTTCATGATTTATTAGGAAATAGTTTAACCCGGACTGTAGTGTCTTATAAAATACAAAACGAGAAAACTGACACACCAAAATGAAGTCTGTGAAATTGTCATCCTCTTAATATTACCTGTATTTAAATTCTTTCTTTTGCCCTTATTAACACTGATATTTGAAACAACTAATCATCTAAAAGGAAGCTCTTAAAGGGCTTTAAATGTCAATATAGTAAGATTCTAATGTGCACTACTATTTATATAAAATATTTCTTAGGGCCCATAAATCATATAATAAACAGTGAACCCAAGAGCTACATATGGAGTCTAGTGAAGAGTTCCCATGTAGCCTAACTAATTGTATTTAAATTGAGGAGATCCAAAAACCCCATCACCCTTCACCCCAAAGACCCCTTCACCCTTCACCAGGGAATTCTATCCTGGGTGCTGTCCCACCTATGACCCCTTCAAGAGGCCATTGGAAAAAGGCCATTTACAAGTTAATGTTACTTATAGCTTTGTTACTAAGACTCACCTATTGTTAGTGCAGCCAAGTCACAGAAGTGCTTATTGCAGTTAAATAGCAATTTGTTTCCATGAAACTGCAATTAAAGTATTACTGAGCAGCCATTTTAGATTGGCAGTGCTCTGAACGCATGTTAAACAGCCAGCTACTCCCACTTGCAGAGTCTGAGATCTGACTAGCAGCAAAGTGTAGCACATTCGCCGATGCTGGGTACCTAGTTAAAGAGGCATTTGTAGCCCTCTGCTCCCATCGTGAACATGCTGAGAGCAATGACAAGTCAGGGCTGATTTTTGGAAGGTGAACTTGCAACTTACCTCAAGTGAATACTGTTTTCAGTTGTGCAAGAAGTGCTTTATGCTAGTAGATATGTGCATGTTTCCTAGAGGGAATGTTTTCAAGTTCAGATTGATTCTGCTGAGAATGGACGGCAACTCGGAGGCCTCAAGCCAATAATGTACTACAGGCCCTGACATGTTACAGCTGTGTAAACAGGGCCATTCTATTTCCTAAATCACAACTAATAAAGCAGAGGATGAAAATCAATTGATTCTGTTATAAGTTCTTTGAATGACACTGGAAAGTTGTTTAATGACTCCCTGTTAGAATGGACAAGCCTGAGTAGAGTCACCAAAGTACCGATTTTAATTGTCTCTCTCCCCTCAGAACCAGGGCAGGACAGCCTTTCCTAGGAATTGACATCACCATCACCAGATCAAAACCTGCTGGGGAGAGGAAGGATCTGAACTGAGTTCTTCCCGTAGATCTGACATTCAGAATTTGTTGAGTGAGAAAGGTGAAGTGCAAAGGTTGCATTGAAAATGTGAAACATTGATGCAAGATCCTGAGAGAGAAAAGGATTTCAGAGGTGGTGTTTTAAAATGCAATTAGCACTGAATTCTAACCAGTTTGGAAACAATCATTAGCTCATGAGAACGGGAGGCATCTCACCTTCCTTCACTCTGGAACAACCCCCCATCTTGAACTAAAAGGTTAACATCCCCAACTTCTTCAAAAACAGTTTCTATATTTGTGTGCTTTCACCTGTTGTTTGAGCTGCAAGTTTTTTCTTAAGTTAGAGTTTCTTCCTAAATTAATTTTTCATTTTTGGTGAATTGAATGTTTTTAGGAACTGTAAAGAGAAAATCTGAGGACAAACAGGATTTACAAATGAAGATTAATTATGAAACCTGGAAAGGAAATTGATTTCTTGGGTTGTTACTGTACCGTTTTCTTTATTTAAATAAGGTTTGGTAGGAATAGGTGTGTCTTAAATTCTATTTCTCTAAGGCCTCTGATTCAGTTTCTGTCATCAATCATGGGACTTAAACTTGCCATAAACCTTACATCTTTAAATATAATGTTTAATATAATAACTTTATCTTGGAGTTGCATAAAGCTTTGTAAATGTGTTTATACATTAACTTTTACAATGAACAAGTACTTAGGCATGCAATATCATTCAGTCCTCATAATCCTTTTAATTATTATTCCCTCAGTTTTACAGATGAGGTAACCAAAGTTCAGGGAGATTACTTATTTAGCAGGGCTAAGAGTAGAGTCGAGGTTAGTGGGCACTTATTTTGGGTGTAGAATTTAAGGAGGTGTCAAAAAATCAGTAATTAAGATAATCTTTTAATGCAGCATTTAAAAAAATTAAATCAATGCAAAAAACATACATGATGAGCAAAATGTCACAAGTTTAAGTAAAGGTGGGGTCAATATTACTTACTTTGTTTTTGCTGCAGCCTCTAACATGTCGGGGTATTGTTATTAAGGCCCAGAATCCCAGAATTGCTATCGAACGCTGGCATTTGGGGCATTTTGGTAAAATTACCTGCACTGATGATGTGCTTTATCCTGTTAGGTATAACTAGTTTCTTTCCTCTTAAAAAAACATTGCATTTTGTCTTTATCCAACCTGAAATGCCAGCTCATTTAGATTGCCCACATTTCAGCCTTGCTCTAAGAGGTATTTCTTTTGAATTTTGAGAAATCTTAACTCCTTCATGATGAATAATTAGGTATAATTGATAATAACTCTGCCCACAGATCGTTGTTGCTGAGGAACAAGAACAAGACTTTCGTAATCATGTTAGTTCAGAAAGCAAAATGGATCAACATACTCCACACAAAGTAGTAAAGGATGTGTTTAGAATCTTTGAATGAGCTGTGGCTTGAGCCACATAAAAGACCTTACAATAAATTAGATTATCTAAAAGTCATAATACACACACATGAACATTTTTAGGAAAACTTTTTACATATTCTAGTATGATGTGAAAAGCAGACATCCCTCAAAAGAACTGATGTTTATATTTGTTGTTTTAAGATGGGAAAGCTCTGAGACATTCAAAGAGAACAAATTATACCTTTACTTATACACCAACAATTATCAGATTATTTTAAAATTTTTGTTGGCTATACTTTCTTTTTTCCCATTAATTGCTAGGGTCTAAAAAGATACATAAAATTGTAAATAAATTACTTGAACATACCATTAAATCCAAGCTGCTTTTATTACAAAGGGAAAAATGGTTAAAGAAAAATATCTACTCCAATTTAATGAAACATTCTTTGATGTTGATAGAAAATGGTGAAACAAAGCAAAAAAGACTTCTTTTTTTGTGTGTATTTTTGCGTAGATTCTTGACTGCAGTGGATTTGGGTGCCAAAGTACCAGTTCTTAAAGCCCATAATTTCTATATGTTAAATCATGGGGTATCTCACAAATATCACCTTAGGTTATAAGGACCTGGAAAAATATGTATAGATCAACACACCTATAGATTCAAAATACAGAATATCAATAGAAAAGGGCAAGGTGCTTTGTAGATATGTGTACATTATGGCCTAAGGTCATAAAATTAGTAAGTTAAGTCTGGTAACAACACGGGGGGTAGGCAAGATTTGCACCAGGTATGGAGGCTGCAGGACCCATATACTCAATTACTTGGTTATACTATATAGTATGACCAAAAACCATGATACATTCCAGTTTTTCAATAAATGCCATCTGTACCCAGAGCTGAATAGCCAGTACAAACCATACCCTGAATAATATTTACCAGTGGTTTTGTTTTTTGTTTTTTGTTTTTTTGGCAGTGGGTGGGAGTAGATGTTTATGAAATTGATAATAGATGAAATATTTTCTCTTAGAATTCTAGGCTATGAGGAAATTTCTATCGTGATAAAAAGGAGGGTAGGGAGAATGGAAGGAACAATTGCCTAGATAAATAGCTCTGTGAGGGAGTTTAAGGGGCTGGGGTCTCTCACTGCAGTTCAGGAAGAAGGATGTTACAAGCTCCACAAACACCCCCGCCGTACATCTCATTTCAGTGGTTTTGTCTGTCTGATTTCACGACTTTCAACAAGACCCTCTGCCCTACCCACCCACACAGGTGCTTTTGCTGTGCGTGGTAAAACTCAAGCTATGATTTTGTGTACTTCAAGCTCATGTAAGGCTGTGACATCAGGAGGTCTCAGACATTAGCAGAGTTGGCAGTTTTTAAAAGTTGATGTGATACAGCATTTGGTGACACTTCACAGGTGTGTCAGGGAGAGCTAAGGCGGAATGAAAATTGCAACAGAAAAAACGCAGACTCCAATGCTCTTGATGAAGTTTGAGGTACCACTGTGGAAAAAAAGGCCTCTGGTTCGTTAAAGCTACAGCCTCTGGAAATCGAATCCTTTCTTTCTCTGAGAGTAGAGGGAGGCAGTAGGAGTCAGAAGAAATGAAGGGGGCAGGTTTGAGTTTTCTGATTTGTTACTGAGTGAATCAGGAAGATAAACAGGCTTGATTTTGAAAAGACGGGCCATCCTAAATGGATTTCTGACACTGAGGTCTAGCTAGGCCTTTCTTTCTTCGTGGGGATGGATATAATTCACAAAACTCCATCAACCACCTCATGCTGTAAGCAATTGTTTTTTTACCCTCTTTAAGTAGTAAAACATGTTTTAAAGTTTTAAGAAAGAGGGAAAGAGAATTCAGGCTGGCTTTGGAGCTCTTGAAAACCAGACAGTCTTTGCTGTGGGTCAAGTAAAGGTGTAGCTGTAATATTTTTCTCCCTAAGTTGTGTTCTATATTTTTTTAGCCTGGAATTTGATTTCTAGCAGGCCTACCAAAGCATTCTGCCTCTGGAATCCCCTTGTTTTGCATGCAGATGGCATGTTAATGAACTCGCTACTGTGCATTTTATCCCACTCTGGACACATTTGTGACATTATTTTTCAAAACAAAATGAGGTTAGGCAGTTGGTTGATTGGGCCTGATGAGAATTGGGTGACTAAGTTTAAAACATTCTCAAAACAGTATCCACTTACCCAGGGTTGCTGCTAGATGTTCTATGAAACAATCCTTCCCTGCTAAAAAGGTACTTGGATTTCCCTGCGTACATAGAGACTTGTAGAACTGTGTGCTTTCCAGAAGGTGTGTGATCAATTTCATTCTAACACTAGGTAATTCTGGGCTGTCTTTTTGATTTCTTGAGTATCTGTGGGCATCTTGTGCATCTTTTTTTAAACTTAGGTTTCTACACCATCCTCCTGACTAAGGGAGAGTCGGTACTCATTGTTGTCTTACGGGGAATGTTATGAAAATTAATGATGGACTATTTCCCTCGTATTTTGTGCTTTGTGCCTTTTAGGAGGAAGGTGCTTATGCCTCCCCACTCTCTCCTCTTATTTTAAAGCATGTAATAAAGCACATATTGCACTGTAGTGAAATAAGCACCAAACTGGGAGTCAGGAGACACTTGAAATTTAATTCTAGTTTTGAAAGGAAGTCAAATGGCAACTATGATTAAATTTGTCTTTCTAATCACATATTAGCCATGGGCTAGTCATTTAATCTCACTACCTCATCTTGCCCATCTGTTAAATAGGAATTTACTAACAACAGCTGTATTTGCCAATGCATTTGATATATCATTAAAGGTAAAAGGGCTTTATATTCTGAGGATGAACACTATTTTGGACTGTAAATACTGAAACACTGGAAAATATAATAACTTCTCCGACTTAAGTGTTAATTATAAGGTCTTCAATTTACTTCAAAAATTATTGCAACCAACTCTTGGCCTGTCTTCTCTAAGGGAGGGGAGTGATGATATAGATTAATCCAAAATAATGGATTACATTCAAATTATTTTTGGTTTAGAATGTATTGTGTGTTTCTTTAAGCAAGGTAATAATGCTTTGTTAGGCAAATGTTAGACAAAATTTACAGTTTCATAAACTCAGACCAAATAGTTGGTAGAAGGTAGTTCAAGAAAGAAATGAACATTTCTTAAATAATTATATGGCCCAGGCATCTCCTTCATGTGTTATCCCCAGCATACAACTTTGAGGAAGATGTTACCATTCCTACATTTGCAGTTGAGGAAGCAGGAACTTAGGTTAAAAAACACTTGCTCAGAGTCACACCGCTAGAGTTGTCTGAACAGAGATGAATCTGACCCCAGAGCCTTATCAATAGGTTTCCATGGTCACCTATAAAGAAAAGCATATTAGGATTAAAGCTTTGCCATATCAATCCCCATCAGAGCATAGAGTTGATGCTATACATTTAAAACCATAGCAAACTAGTGAATATTAAAAATATCTGATTGCCTTGGGAAGGAGACATTGAGCCAGCTATCATTGTTTACATGTGAAAATATTAATAGTTGTAACGGCTTTTTGATGACACTTTCCTTCAAAAGGATAATGACACTTATTTCCCATTTCATAGCTATTTGGGAAAGAAGAAGGAATTATCATTTGTTGTTTATCTAGTAATTCAATGAGAGCTAACAACTATTGAGCTCAGCACTTTGTATGCAATTACTCGTTTAATTCTCATAATACCTATAAAGTTTTATGGATCCATTTTACACATATGGAAACTGAGATTTAGAAAAGTTGGGTAATTTGCCCCATATGTTCAGTACATGGTAGAGCTCATGCTTAAATCTAGGTGAGTATGAACTATGCTGTTATGTGTCAGGTACTGTACCTCATTTAACTTTTGTGATAGCCCCTCAAGTAAGGTGTCATCACTGCCACTTAACAGGTAAGGAAATGGAGGTTCTGCATGTTTGCATAATGTGCTGAGGCCACACAGATTTGCCCCACTTGGAAGCCCATGTGCGAACCAGAACTGTGTCACCTGTGCAGTGTGTAGCTCAACCCTGTCGAACTTCTGTTTGGTTATAGAATAAACTGGGAGGAAGTGTCTAAAACTTGGGCCATTTGTGTCTTCAATCTTAGAGATCTTTAGAGCACTTTTTTTTTCCTATCACCATCTAGAGATTTATCAAATCTCATTAGCTACTTTTAAAATAATGCGAGTGGAGCTCTGGGTTGGTTAGCATAATTTTTCTTTACATTTTCTAAAAATGGCCCCAATTGTGAGTCACTCTCATTTATCAAAGGAACTTCACTATATCTGTAGCATTTATTTTTTTCCATTTTCTATGAGACAAACCTTTGGCTGGAGCATATTTTAATTCTAGTTGACCCACTTTACTCCATGTTGCTTTGGACAAGTAGAAGTCTCTTCTGAACTTGCTTATGGGCTTTGCAGGCAGGCAAGGTGAAGATCACAGATATTTGCAAACTAGTTCAAGTCTTACTCAAACTCAGGAGGTAGATTTTAGGATAGAAAACTAGATTCCAGTGTAGCGGTCTTCAACACATGGATTCTACAGCAATGGAATTTGTGAGCTCTTTCCCTAACACTAGTGCTGCTGCCTCTGGGAAGTCTTCTTAGATTTTCCAACCACATTTGAGAGTCCTCTACTGGATTTAAATAATTTGCTTTCCAAACAGAATGCGAGCTCCTGGAAGGCAAGAATATGTCTCATTTATTTCCATATCCCTGTTCTCCAGAAGAGTGCCTGGCATCAGTGAATCTTTGTCGAATGTCTGAACAAGTGAATGAACAAATGAATAAAAATACATATTACCTGCAGGATTCTAGGTTGACTTAATTCTGAGCTGCTGTTATCTCTTTCTAGGCAGTGCTGCAGTACTCCTGCCTTATGTGAAGGTGTGGAATTACAGTCTGCTCTTAGACATCTTTGACTTCTGTTGATTACAGCCATGGCCTTAAAATGATTTTTACCCCAGTGATCCCTGGGTGGATCATCCTTTATTCCTAAGAATGTTAGCATCTCTCCATCCTGGGAGCTATATGCTCATCATAGAAAATGTGCCCGTATGTTAGAGGTCAAAAACCGGCTTTCTAGAAACCACATACTGGAGGCAGCAGAGCCTCCCAAAACATATATTTGAACTACTTTTACAATTCGTATTATTTTCTCAAAAGACTACTCTAGAGGTTATTTTAAATCTTTCCTTCTGAACCATACAGAGAATCACTTCCCATGTACGTGGAGAACCAAGTAGTCTCATGAAGGCTTTGGGAAAAGCCTTTTTGTTCTGTGCTCATGGAACCTTATTTTTAAAAGTCGCTATCTGGCGTGTGACTATCTGGAAAAGGCCGTCACTGTCATCAGGTACTTGGATTGGGGGGCCCTGAGATGGTGGTGGGGAAGCAGAGAAAAGCCAGATTAAGAAGATTTCCTTTGTTGGGCTGAATTTTCAAATCCTTTATGGAGCTGCAACAGAGATAAAGGCTCAGGACAAATGCAGCGAACTCCATCTTCCAAGCAGTGCCATAAAAACAGCCTGACTCTTGCCTTCCTCCCCGCAAAGTTCCACATTCTATAAATAAGCATTCCTAACATGGGCCCTCTTAGGCCAACTCTCAGCCTGGAGCTAATGTTTTACAGCAGAGTTATGAACCCCTAAAAATACAGGTTTGTGCCACAAACGATGGCAGGCCCATAAGTATAGCAGCACTACTGGGCACCACTATAATAAGATGGAGATTTCACCATCTAATACCTAGATCTCCATTAGTAAATTCCACAGCTCAGTAAGTTTGCTTCATTATCTTATTAGGTAAAAAGAGCAAGCCAGCGCACCCTGACCAAGTCAGCCTGTCCAGAATGCTAATAGATGTAGCACTAAATTATTCTCCTCTTTTAAAGAGTTGTGTTAGTGACATTTTGTTTTTATCAAGTAATGCAATTAGACTTCAGCCTTAATATCTCTGAGGCTGTCACATCCCTGAACTCCGCAGCACTGCTTGCCAGCCGCAATCAGAAATAACTCTGTCCCTTCAACTTAATGAAAAAGAAGTACTTGGCCATAAACTTGTAGTCATCCTCTATCCAATCATATTGTCTTGAGTAATTAAAATGATTAGCTTAATTAGCTTAATTAACTAAATTTGACTACAGGACATGGCCATATGGTGAAGCAAAACAAAGATGGGAGCTAATTAAAGTTAAAATAATGCAGGTTTTAATTAACTCAACCCCTAGGCATCAACATTTTCAAATTTATCCAAGCTGATAATTAAAAAGTCCTCTTGCCCAAGCAACATTTCTTCTCTGAGCTAATTAAATCTGGAAATGAATTAGCAACACGAAGCTCCAAATATTAATTCCTGCTAGAAGATGACTTCACTTCCTAATGAAATTAATTAGCTGCGCTGGACCTTCAATCAGACGCCAAACGCTGTCCATGAACACAGACCTCATGTAATCTAGCGCAAGGATACAAGCCCTGGGGCAAGAATTTACAATAGTAATGAACACTCTTTAACTGGGTGCCTCTCCTAATATACCAAAGGAACATGAAGATCCCTTTGTGCCATGGGCTTCCTCTCCTGTTTAAACAAGTTGGTCTCACAGATAGTTAAAAAGTAGGTTGCAAATAATATTACCTGTAAAGCATACTGCTACCGGACTGCAGATTAATCAGTTTTAGTTCTCTCCACTGAGGTCGTGGTGTGAGTGTGTGTGTGTGTGTGTGTGTGTGTGTGTATACACTCTCTTATGTGTGTAGAGAGAAAGTATCATATCAAAGATTTGGTATAATGGGGAAAGTGTAACACCAAGACTCAGGAGTCAACTTGATCTTCCTCTAACCAGCTGTGTGACTCAGGGCAAATCATGTCACCTCTCTGGGCCTGTTTCTCTATATCTTAAAAAGAGGGAGACTATGGGCTCTCCAAGGTCCCTTCTAACACTAAAATTATCTGATGACATTCTGTGAAACTGGAAAGACTGTTTGATCCTGACCAAGGGTAAGATGCCCACGTCCACCCCTCACTCCCCCTCCATCCTGTAATTGAAGGCAGCTTACTTTGCACCACTCCAGGGCAGAGCCACAGTGATTCTGGTCCATGAGCGAAGTTAGTCACATGGAAAGGATGCATTGTGGTAGTTACATTTCAGTGAAGTACCTGCTGGAAGGAACGTTGAGATTTAAAGATACTTCAAGCCGACATTAGCCACAGAGGAACAGGCCTATTACCGTAGCACTGTTCTTGCCGCCATAGATAAAAGTTGTGTCAGTGCTTCTGTTATAAACCTCTGTTTCCAGGGGTTTACAACTGGGCTGTAAAACTGCATCCCACATTGAATCTGGGCCCATAAAGGCCTGACCTGGGAGTCACATTTTGCATATTTCTATATAATCATCTATACCCATAGCTGCACTCTTAATGGACATACATGTAGGCTCATGCAGGGACAGAGGCTCTCAAACTTGCAATAAACAGGGACAAATATTTGGGTCATTTTTATGGGAGCACAGAACCGGAGCTCATTGCTGCCTTATGCTGCTGTGCTTTGGAGTTTCCTGGGTGCCACTCTTTCATTTTAGATGATCTGCATCAGACGATGAATTTGATTTTAGGTACTGTAGATGGCATTTTAGGTACTGTAGACGGCATTTCTGATTGTCTAAAATAACCTCTGCATTCTGTGATGTGGCAGATTGTATTTCCAAAGATGGCTGCAGCAGTATTTCCTAGCCCACATCCTTTCCAGAACCCTGCTACTCCCCATCAAGAGATGGAGTCTAATTACCCTCCTCGTGAATCTGGGTGGGCTAATGACTCACTTGTAACCAATAGGATGTGGCAGAAGTGATACTGTTTGACCTCTGAAGCTAGACTATAAAAGATGATGCAACTTTTGACTTTGAAATACTGCCTCTTGAACTCTTGAGTCTTGATGTAAGCAATCCAACTGCCCTGAGGCCTCCATGTTGTGAGGAAGCCCAAACTAAACCTCAAGGAGAGGTCTTGAGACTACATGAAAAGAGAGAGAGAGATGCCTGGCCAGCTCCAGCCACTCTCTGTCTGTACCTGCATGAAAGATCCCAAGCCTAGCCAAAACATTCCCAGATTCCTGGCCCACAGAAACAATAAGAGATAATAAAATGTTGTTGATTTTTTAATGTTTAAATTTAAATTTTTTTTTTTTTAATTATTTTTATTTTTGCAGAGATGGGGTCTTGCTATATTTGCCCAGGCTGGTCTCAAACTCCTGGCCTCAAGTGTTCCTCCTGCCTCTGTTTCCCCAAATGTTGGGATTACAGGCATGAATCCATCACTGCACCTGTTGTTGATGTTTGAAACCACTAAATCTTGGGGGTGATTTGTTATGCAGCAGTAGTAACCAGACGTGGAAAGAAAAAGTAATAACTGCTTAGGGAAGAGTTTCCAGCAGACCCAGGAGCCAAACAGATATCGTTGTTCCAGCCCTTTCATGTATGGCTGCTAAATGAATATGAGAAAGGGCAGCAAAATATGGAACCATCAACTAGACTGGATACCTCAGTTGTCTCCTGGCCTGCCCCTGGCTAGTGGCAAAGTCTTTGGTAAGTCACTTGATCTCTTCCAGGCTTTCACTCTATCACCACATGAATGGATTGGGTTATAAAGATATTGGAGGCTTCTTCCAGTTTTAAAGATTTTGCGGTTCTCACCTCTCTGCTTCTATCTATTAAGAATCACCACGTCTGTGTTTGAGATATCTTGGCATGGGAGTCACAGTGGCCTTTTCTCTTAGTGGTATTGCCAAAAGGATCTCATAATTTCTGCAAGAAACTCATGCTACGAAGCAATAATGGGAATATATTTGCAAAGTCCTTCACCTGTTCTTTTAATCCTCTAACTTTCCTCTTTATCTCTTTTTACTTATGCATTCCTTCAATAAATATTTGCTAGGCACTTGCTAGCATCAAGAACTGTTCTGAGCACAGGAGAGCAGCTGTGAGTAAGATAGAAATCGTTCTTTTCTTATGGAGCTTACATGTGAGTTGAGGAGGTACAATAAACATCTCAGTAAAGAAAAGAACCAAATAATTTTAGATAGCAATACATTCTGTGAAGGCACTGGAATTTCTTTGAGGGTGTTACTTTGGTTAATGATCAGGGAAGAATTCTCTGACGAAGTTACTTTGAGCTGAAACTTGGACAATATGAAGAGCTGACACAACAGAGCTCCAGGCAGAGGGCACAACTTGGGCAAAGGCCCTTAGGCTGGAACAGTGTGGTTGAGTTTTGGGGAAGAGATAGAAGGCCATTGTGACTGGAGCAAAATGAACAAGGCAGAGCATTATATAGGAGGAAGTTGGAGGGATGGGCAGGGGCCAGATTTAGTAAGGTTTTCTAGGGGAAAAGCCCTTTGAATTTTACTCTAAGTGTGAATTGGAGAGTTTGTAGAAGCAAAATGATATGATCTGATTTGTGGGTTTTTTTGTTTTGTTTTGTTTTGTTTTTGTTTTTTTTTTTGACGGAGTCTCACTCTGTCACCCAGGCTGGAGTGCAGTGATGTGATCTCGGCTCACTGGAACCTCTGCCTTCCGGGTTCACACCATTCTTCTGCCTCAGCCTCCCGAGTAGCTGGGACTACAGGTGCCTGCCACCACGCCCGGCTAATTTTTTGTAATTTCTTTTTTTTTTTTTAGTGGAGACGGGTTTTCACTCTGTTAGCCAGGATGGTCTCGATCTCCTGACCTCGTGATCCGCCCGCCTCGGCCTCCCAAAGTGCTGGGATTACAGGCATGAGCCACTGTGCCCAGCCTGATTTGTGCTTTTAAAATATCACTCTGCAGTCCATGCCAGCCATCAGTTTGATGGTTTCCCAGAGGGGGTTTCAGCATATCTTGGCCGTGCTGGCTAATGGCACTAGATCAGGTTGCTGAGCTGCAGAGAGAGGAGTGTGGGCCTGGACGAGGAGGCAACAGCTAAGCAAGAAGAATGCTCAGGAATTAGGAGGATGATGAGGAAGCGTGGCTAATGTGTAAGGACCTGCAAACACTGACTCTGAATGAAACACAGGGGCAAGGGTGGGAGAAATGAGACTGGAGAGAAGACAAGGGTCAGATCAGAAAAACAGCCTTGTCAACCAAGCTGAGGAGATTGGACTTAATCCTAAAGGCAATAGGTTTCTGATGACACAATCAGATTTCTGCTTTAGCTGTTATGTGGATGATGATTAAAGCGGGCAAGCTAGGAGCAGAAAGACAAGCTAGGATTGTGACAGGAATCAGGGAGGAGATGGTGGTGGCTTGGGGCAGGGTGGGAGCAGTGCGAATGAGGAAATTTAGTTGGGTCTGAGAGTGGATGACGTTATGAGCAATAGGACTTGGAGAGTAACTGTATGTGGGGAAGCAAAGGAGAGTGGGGTTTGGGAGGTGCAGACTTCTCTGACTCTCATGCTTTGAACACCAGAGGTGGAGGGGGCTTCTGGGGCCTCAAGTGAAGCAATCTCTTTTGGTCCCTCTGTCTCAGGTAAATACTCCCAGGCTGTCGCCAGTGTTACTGGACACTGAGGAAAGAGATGAGAAAAGAAAGTAGTGGCCCTTTCCTGAAGGAGATAGAGCAAGACGATTTTCCAGTATTTGTGTTTGCAGTGTAAGAATTTAGTTAAGTCTATGTAGCTGCTAATGTTTTCCAGCTACTAAATCCAGTTCTTTTCCAATAATCATCATTAATAGCCCTAATCTAACAGCAATGTGTAAAAGCAAGACTTTTGCTTTTGTTGTCTTCAAAACTTCCAGTCCAACATCACTGAGCACCTGCTCTCTGTCAAGCCCTGAAGAGACAAAGAGGAGCCAGGAGCTGGATAGAAAATCTCTTAGAAAAGAAATACCATTTGACCCAGCAATCCCATTACTGGGTATATGCCCACAGGAATATAAATCATTCTGTTATAAAAATACCTTCACACATATGTTCATTGCAGCACTATTCACAATTGCAAAGACATGGAACCAACCCAAATGCCCGTCAATGGTAGACTGGATAAAGAAAATGTGGTACATGTATACTGTGGAATTCTATGCAGCCATAAAAAGGAATGAGATCATGTCCTTTGCAGGAATATGGATGAAGCTGGAAGCCATTATCCTCAGCAAACTAATGCAGGAACAGAAAACCAAACACCGCATGTTCTCACATGTAAGTGGGAGCTGAACAATGAGAACACATGGACATAGGGAGGGGAACAACACATCCTGGGGCCTGTTGGGGTGGGTGGGGCTGGGGGAGATAATAGATAATGCATGCTAAGCTTAATACCCAGATGATGGGTTGATAGGTGCAGCAAGCCACCATGGCACATGTTTACCTGTGTAACAAACCTGCACATCCTGCACATGTACTCTGGAATTTAAAATAAAATAAAAAGTAACGTGAAAAAGAAAAGGGAAAAAGAGAATCTCGGAAAAGCACTCTGTTTTGCAGATAATCTACCCGCCACCTCCTTCCTGTCCTCCCTCTCCTGTGCCCCCACAGCATTTTGTCACTCTTCTTCTTAATAGTTTTTGAAAAGTTAACAGAGTGAAAAAAACAAGGTTTAGGCACACATAATAAAGAAAGCATATAAATATATATCTTGCAGCTTCAGCAACTTGAGTTCATCTCAATTTTCTTCAAGTCAGGGAAACAAAAAACAAAAGCAAAACAGAGAAGCATTTCTCAGGCCAGCCCTCAGTCTTGTTTTGAGAAAAGTCTCTCTGATTCTGGAGTTCAGAGACTAGTAATGAACGTACAAGAGTGGAGCTCTTTGACGTTCATTGCTTATGGTATTCTTAAGATCTCTATCTTTTTCACTGCATGGCCGGCAAAACTAGAAACTACTTAAGGCAAGATTTTTTTTTTTTTTTTTTTTTTTTTTTGCCTTTGTATAAGCTATAACCTTGTCTTCTAGGGCAGGGTTATAGGAACAGACCTCATTTAAAATCCCAAATCTGCTACCACCCAATAGCTGTATGACATCTTGGGTAGTGTTACTTAACCCCTCTTAGCCTCAGTTTCCTCATCTGTAAAATGGGGATAACTATGGTACCTACCTCATAAGGGAGTATTTAATGGTTAAGAGTATAGACTCTGGGAGCCAGACTGTCTCAGTTCCTACCTTACCTCGGCCACTTACCACGTGGCCTTATGCAACCACTTCACCTCTCTGACCTTCTGTTTCCTCATCTGCAGAATGGACATAAGCATGATGCCTGCCTCATTGGGTTGTTATGGGGATGGTAAAGCATTTATAACCCACTTGTATGAAGGGGTTCTCCCAAGAAGTGGGCCCCTAGGGAAGCACTATTCACATAGCACGTACTTTTCCAGTATTTGCTAAATAAATAAAAAGGACATTTGAGAAGACTAAATAAGAAAAGGTATAAAGCCAAATGGCTAGCATAGAATCAGTGATTGAGATTTGCAACCCCAGTCTGTACTCTGACCCCAACTTCAGAGTACAGTCTCAGGACTGGGCACATGGTCAGTGTTAGGCAAGTATTGATTGGTGACACTCTAATCAACTCCAAATACCTCTGGGCCTCCAGGTTTATGTTCTTTCTTTGCAAGTGTAAGCTGGTACTGATTTCAGAGCTTGTGAGGGAGATGTGATTTTCCTTATTTACTAACATTTACTTGGATTGGTGTCTGGGACACCCAAAATATGTTATGAATCAGTCAGAGGATAACAAGATCTGCAGTACTATACAGATTACTCACTAATTTGACATTTGGGGAATTTTTGCAAAATGTTAGGGAACATTTGACAGGATGCAAATTGCTGTATCCATAAAGTACATTTGACTCTGAGGATGGGTGGCACTCTCCCCTGATGTGGTTACATCCGTTCCTAGCACCAGCTGTTGCATCCTGAAAATGTTTCTTGTTTTGTTTTTCCCTCCTTGAAGGAGACAGTGCTGGAATTTTGCTCTGAAAACATAACAAAAATTCATCGAGCACCTACTATGTGTCAGGTGTCTTGTGTCATTTAATATTCACAATCATCCTGTGAGGTACATACCATTAGCATCTCTATTTTTCCAGTGAGGAGTCTGCGATTCAGAGAGGTTAAGCAACTTGCTTAATACTACACAGCTCTGAAATTCCTAAGCTAGAATTTGAATCTGGGTTCAAATCTCCAAAGTCTGGATTCCAATCCAGCAGCCTGTCTCTCACACTACCAGAGAGCATCATCAGATTCTGATTGGGTACTCCCATAATTAGGAGGGATGGAGGAGAGAAAAATGTCTTGGTAAGCCTTAGTTTTAAACAACTGGGCAGCAACTCTGGCCATAAATATTAATACTTGTTCTACATTGTTTTATACCGAGACCTGAATTTGTTGGTAACCTAGTGCTTTGAAGAGCTTTCTCTTACTGTGACATTATTTTCTAAGACAAACAATGAAGACTGTGTTAGGGGAACAAGAACTGCCCACCCAGGCCCCCATCCTCGAGGCACCATTATCACTTTTGCATTATTTTTGGCATTGTACCATCTTACTGAGGCTTACCATACCCTGTGAGGCAGATTTTCTCCCGGCTTCATATAGGTTATGGGAGAACCAAGGGGCATATGCATAGGATCTGGGTGTGAGGAATATAGGATGCCCTATAACAGGAAAAGGGCTCTTGGGAAAACTCTGGTTCCTAGGGGTGGCTCTCTGGGGAACCCAGTTGTGTGGAAGAGCCATCCCAAGCAGAGGGCTCTTAGAGAGGAACCACACATCAAAAGCGCAAATAAATGCCTCCTTGTTCCAAAGCCATACTCTTCACTTGCCATTTTAAATGAAAGAAAAATATATATTTCGCAAGAGGTAAGAGACTCCTAGGATTTTTAATTTGTTCCTTTCATTGTTCTCCACTATCTTTGTAGGTATGTCAGGTCTGCCCAAATGAGGGTCGGTTTCTCAAGACAGAAATTGAATGCTCTATACCTTGTGTTCACCCCAAACTGCCTTGTAGTGTTGTGTATGTGGTAAGTGCTTAATAACTACTTGTTGAAATGAAAGCGACCCTGGAACAAATCCATCCAATGAATTTTAATTTGTTAGTACTTTAAGTAATAATAGTGACTAAGTTATTTCTTTCCTACTTAGGAATATTGTGCAGAATGTGCAGGTTTGTTACATAGGTATACACATGCCATGGTGGTTTGCTGCACCCATCAACCTGTCATCTACATTAGGTATCTCTCCTAATGCTATCTCTCCCCTAGCCCCGCACCCCCTGACAGGCCCCAGTATGTGATGTTCCCCTCCCTGTGTCCATGTGTTCTCATTGTTCAACTCCCACTTCTGAGTGAGAACATTCCGCGTTTGGTTTTCTGTTCCTGTGTTAGTTTGCCGAGAATGATGGTTTCCAGCTTCATCCATGTCCCTGCAAAGGACATGAACTCATCCTTTGCAATGGCTGCATAGTACTCCATTGTGTGTATGTGCCACATTTTCTTTATCCAGTCTATCACTGATGGACATTTGGGTTGGTTCCAAGTCTTTGCTATTGTGAATAGTGCCGCAATAAAAATATGTGTGCATGTGTCTTTATAGCAGAATGATTTATAATCCTTTGGGTATATTCCCAGTAATGGGATTGCTGGGTCAAATGGTATTTCTGGTTCTAGATCCTTGAGGAATCTCCATACTGTCTTCCACAATGGTTGAACTAATTTACACTCCCACCAACAGTGTAAAAGCGTTCCTATTTCTCCACATCCTCTCCAGCATCGGTTGTTTTTTTGACTTGTTAATGATTGCCATTCTAACTGGCATGAGACGGTATCTCATTGTGGTTTTGATTTGCATTTCTCTAATGACCAGTGATGATGAGCTTCTTTTCATATGTTTATTGGCCACATAAATGTCTTCTTTTGAGAAGTGTCTGCTAATATCATTTGCTCACTTTTTGACGGGGTTGAGTTGTTTGTTTTTTTCTTGTAAATTTTTTTAAGTTCCTTGTGGATTCTGGATATTAGCCCTTTGTCAGATGGATAGATTGTAAAAATTTTCTCCCATTCTGTAGGTTGCCTGTTCACTCTGATAGTTTCTTTTGTTGTGCAGAAGCTCTTTAGTTTAATTAGATCCCATTTGTCAATTTCGGCTTTTGTTGCCATTGCTTTTGGTGTTTTAGTCATGAAGTCCTTTCCCATGCCTATGTCCTGCATTTTATTGGCTAGGTTTTCTTCTAGGGTTTTTATGGTTTTAGGTCTTACATTTAAGTCTTTAATGCGTCTTAAATTAATTTTCTTATAAGGCCTAAGGAAGGGGTCCAGTTTCAGTTTTCTGCATATGGCTAACCAGTTTTCTCAACACCATTTATTAAATAAGGAATCCTTTCCCCGTTGCTTGTTTTTGTCAGGTTTGTCAAAGATCAGATGGTTGTAGATGTGTGGCGTTATTTCTGAGGCCTCTGTTCTGTTCCATTGGTCTATATATCTCTTTTGGTACCAGTACCATGCTGTTTTGGTTACTGTAGCCTTGTAGTATAGTTTGAAGTCAGGTAGCGTGATGCCTCCAGCTTTGTTCTTTTGGCTTAGGATTGTCTTGGCTATATGGACTCTTTTTTGGTTCCATATGAAATTTAAAGTAGTTTTTTCTAATTCTGTGAAGAAAGTCAATGGTAGATGATGGGGATAGCATTGATTCTATAAATTACTTTGGGCAGTATGGCCATTTTCACGATACTCGTTCTTCCTATCCATGAGCATGGAATGTTTTTCCATTTGTTTGTGTCCTCTCTTATTTCCTTGAGCAGTGGTTTGTAGCTCTCCTTGAAGAGGTCCTTCACATCATTTGTAAATTGTATTCCTGGGTATTTTATTCTCTTTGTAGCCATTGTGAATGGGAATTCACTCATTATTTGGCTCTCTGTTTGTCTATTATTGGTGTATAGGTATGCTTGTGATTTTTGCACATTGATTTTGTATCCTCAGACTTTGCTGAAGTTGCTTACCAGCTTAAGGAGATTTTGGGCTGAGTTTTCTAAATATACAATCATGTCATCTGCAAACAGGGACAATTTGACTTCCTCTCTTCCTATTTGAATGCCCTTTATTTCTTTTTCTTGCCTGATTGCCCTGGCCAGAACTTCCAATACTATGTTGAATGGGAGTGGTGAGAGAGGGCATCCTTGTCTTGTGTCAGTTTTCAAAGGGAATGCTTCCAGCTTTTGCCCATTCAGTATGATATTGGCTATGGGTTTGTCATAAATGGCTCTTATTATTTTGAGATATGTTCCATCAATACCTAGTTTATTGAGAGTTTTTAGCATGATGGGGTGTTTAATTTTATCCAAGGCCTTTTCTGCATCTATTGAGATAATCATGTGGTTTTTGTCATTGGTTCTGTTTATGTGATGGATTACATTTATTGATTTGTGTATGTTGAACCAGCCTTGCATCCCAGGGATGAAGCCGACTTGATCGTGGCGGATAAGCTTGTTAATGTGCTGCTGGATTCGGTTTGCCAATATTTTATTGATGATCTTCGCATAGATGTCCATCAGGGATATTGACCTGAAATTTTCTTTTTTTGTTGTGTCTCTGCCAGGTTTGGTATCAGGATGATGTTGGCCTCATAATCTTAGCAGTTGTAACTCAATTAAGAGTGCTAATTCCAAATGCAAACTGGTGGATAGATAGGTTTATTTTTCTGGGACTTAATTACTCCAGAAGTGGTGCAAGTAAAGCTGGCCTCATTTAAAGTCTCTTGGTACACTGTCTAAATGGTCTCCTAAATGTCACCTTTAGAGGCAAGGAGACAGCATAGGCTAGTGAGTCCAGCACTGCCCTGGTTATCTGTAGGACTTGGTACTAAGTCTGGATTTGTTTCTAATTGGCCAGTTAAGCTGATTCAGGTCTCTGGAGCACTCTGAACACATCTGTAAAATGGGGAAATTGAATGAGATGACCTCTCAACGCTTTCCAGGCTTTGCATTCTTCAGATCCCTGGTAGTTTGAAGGTGGAAGGTGCTACCAAGCTTCTCATGATGCCCAACCACTGCCTGCACCACCCAGCTCTCCAAGAGTTGTGCTCAAAACATTGCTTTGGGCCTCTCTGGAGAAGGGCCTTTCATTTTCGGTGTCCTATTATTAACCTTTTTCCAAGCTCTATTTTCCAAGTTTAGGTTGGCTCATCAGAGTTGAACATGGACTGTTTGGATTTTTGCCCAAGCTGTTCTCTGAGCCTGATAGCACATTCATTACTCCCTGCCCATGGTTTCTGCTAAATGACCTCGTTAGTGCTCTAATTACATGTTGCTCTTCAGAAAGTTGGGGGTGGTGGATGAGTTAAGAAAGGCTGAGTACTGAGATGGAGTACATTGTAAACACATTGAATGACACCTACCTTCCCCTGGCCTGATTACCCGTGGGGAGTTGGAGGGAAGTGCTATGCTTTTCCTCTTCTCTTCCTTTTTCAGTACACATCAAAACATAATAATAACACATACCAAATGTGTTGGTAGTAATTGGTAATACATGAATTTGAAAGCTGGATGGTGATATTTTTATAACTTAATTTATGTGGAACCAGAGAATGAAAAAAACAAAAACAAAAACAAAAAAACAGAAAACAAAAACAACGTAGAGGAGAAAGAAATGAAAACAAATGTTTTTCTGAGCACCTACCATGTGCTCATGTAGGTTTTTGTTTATCCTGCCAACAACCCTATGGGCTAGTTATTATGCTAGCAGTAATGAAGAAGTAGGGTCAGAGAGGCTTAAGTATTTTCCAAGGTGACAAAACAAGTATGTGGGAGCATTGGGAATTGAACCCAGGTGTGTCTGATTCCAAATCTCAATATTCCATGCTGCCTCTCCATTCATTCATGCATTCATCCAACAAATATACTCTGATCTCTCTTCTATGACTAAATATAATCTCAGTTTCTGTACTACTATTTCAGAATTAATTCTACAAATTCCTCAGATGAATCTAAACTCGTAGTGGTATATTCTTCCCTTGTGATTTTCTCTGTCCATTTACGTTTCTTATACTTCTGCCTTGAAGATCAGATCACAGATCTGAGATGCAGGACCCTGAGGGTTATATTTAAAGATTACACTGAGCTAACTTCTTATTTTTCCATTAAGAAAACAAGTTCAATGACTTGTTGAAGTGGTAAACTAGGGCCTGTACTTTTTGCTAGACTACGTAATGAGGATGCCAAGAGCAGAGTTGAATTTACTTGGGGTACAGAGAAAGGATGATTGTGTATCATAACAAACATGAATAATTTCAAATACTTTCAAGTTCCCCTTGGGTAGTGTGTGCACATGACAAGAGGTTCTATACCCATCACGCATGGAGATTGATTAGCAAGTGACTTTAACTTAAGCCTGTTAACTACAAAACCACGAGGGTCACATTTTAATGAAAAAGAACTTGTCTTCCAGACTGGATATCTTAAGTGTGTGTTGTTTGTTTGTTTGTTTGTTTGTTTGTTTTCTGAGGCTTCCTGTTGGGTGATGTTAAGGTGAGCTAGTAGAGTCAAATCTTTTACTTGTCCCTCCTGAATTCTCTTGGCCACATTTTTCTGAAAGTGGCGAATGCAGTATGTTGAGTGATGAGAGATGTTCACACTTAGGACAGAATAGATGATGTGATAGTAATGTTAACAGGATGCAACTTTAACCATGTGATGAACTTTCTTAAAACAGGGGTTCTTACCCATCTGATGACTGATTAGTATTTCAGCATAGAAATTGGAATTTGCAAACCAAGCATCTTAAAAAATGTGAGTATTATTTGTTTGACAGACTGTCAAGACACGTGTGCAGGCTTAAGGTATTAGTTTATTCTATAGCAATCAAGTTGTTATTATAACTACAAGAAAACTGGAAAAATAAGACTTTTCACAGTCAAATCATCCATCGGAAAGAAACTATTAAAAAAAAAAACCCAAAGAACAAAACTTTGAGCTATACCCTCAATCTATAGTATGTTTGCTGAATTGGGGGTGTGAAATAGCAGGAAACCATTACTGCATGTGATCATAGTTGTAATGATTCTACTATAACATAATAAACCTATATGTCTGCCTCGAAAAAAATTATAGATCTCATAGTAAAAAGCAACTTTTTATTCAACATTTATCAATTGGGAGAACTGCTCCCTTCTTCTGCAAAAAAGTCATTAAGCTGCATGTTTCACCACAGAATAACTTTTGGAAGAATTATTTAAACCTTCTACAGTAATTCACTTGCATTCCTCTTCTATTTTTAATAACCAAAAACATACATAAGAGATGTAAATATACCTCTAGAATTTTTGAATGACTGGACAAAGCAGAGTCAAAAATTCAACAGCACTAATTACTAGCTGAGCAGTATAAAAGCCTCTGAATAAATGTCAGCCTAGGAGATAAGCTCTTATCTTAATCTAATGACTCCACAGACTTAATTTGTCAGGCCAGCCTAGTTGATGAAAAACAGGTTTCTATTCTCCAGTGTTAGCAGGAACATCTTCCCAAATCTTTGAAGTTGGATAGTAATAACATCAGTGTCATCCTGTAAAAAATCTTGTGACCAAGCCAATTTAATTCCTATTGTCCTGTTACACTAATTAAAGTTGTTCTACCCCTCTTGGACAAATATCTAAAAGTGAAGCCAGTGTATTTTTAGATTTGCCACATTTTGAACTAACCCTCAAATCCCCGTGTTTTGTGATTTTTTTTTCTCATAGTATTGGATCATCAGGGACCATCTATCTTCTTTTGAGAAAGCTGAGCTTTCCAGAGAAATCCATTAATTCAGAGGAATCCTTTAACTGAGAGGCTGTGTAGCAGAGTGGTTACGAGTACGGACTCTGAGAGAGAAAGGCCTGGGGAAATTTTTGCTCTGTCATTTGCAAGCTGTGTGACTTTGAGTAAACTTTCTAAACTTTCCTAACCTCAATTTAATTATCTGTGAAATGGGGGATAATCATAGATATTGTGAGGGTTAGATAATATAATCCATGTTAAGAATTTAGAGTGCCTGAGCCTTATACTTAAACAGTTATTCATTCATTAACTCATTAGTTCATTCAACCAACAAATACATACTGAGTACTAAAAAGGCTGTAACACATGCTAGGCGTTATAGGACATAAGAAGAACCAAAAGGCGAGGCCCTTTGCCTTTGTAAGACTTTGAATAAACTTCCTGTTTGAGGAAGCCCAAGCCTGACATAACGAGCTGATCTCACTATGCCTGGGATAGGATTGCCACAGATTTATCGGGACTTTCCACCTAAACTCCATTGTGAACCCTGTGGCTGGCTTTTCAGTAAAATGGGGATGTAAATTTCCATCTCCAAAGTCTATTGTGCACATGGCATGAGATAATATATGGGGGACAGCCAGATGTTGGTGGCCTCTCAGTTCCTTGTCTCTCTCATCCCTGTGACCCACAATCACACGCATGGTACTTATGGTGCAAATATATCTAGTGAGTTCTCCTGTCTTGTTTCATCCTAGTATTGTCAGACAATGTAATGTTCCTTGCAGCAGTCCATACCCTCTCTGCTCAATCCCCTCCTGATGACTCGAACTGCACCCTACTGATGCTGTTTTATTGCATGGCACTTGAAGATACTTGTTGATCATTGTTTCTTTGATTTCTCATTGTAATGGAATATGGTGATACAATTTCTTTCCAACCTCTTGAAATTCATGCATGTACTTAAAAAGTGGCACACACCTGTAGTCCCAGCTACTCGCGAGGCTGAGGCAGGAGAATCGCTTGAACCCGGGGGGCAGAGGTTGCAGTGAGCTGAGATCGCAACACTGCACTCCAGCCTGGGCAACAGACTGCTACTCCATCTCAGAAAACAAAACAAAAAAAAGTATGCACTGAGAGGCTATACTAGGAATCCCACTAGGTATTCAGATACCTAAATATGTAAGATGCAGACCCTGCCCTTTGGGAACTTGGCAGTGTGAGGTACATGCTGTGACAGAGATGCCTGGAGTTCAGGGGGAGATATTGGGTAGTGGGAAGGGGGACATTCAACTCAGACTGGGCACTCAGGGAAGGTTCTCCAGAGGAGAGGAATAGGGCTTACCTCTGAAAACTCATTAACAGTCCTTTGAGGAAAGGTGTAGGGAAATGATTCCAGGTTGAGAAATCAGCGTGTGCACATGGAAGAAAGTGGTTCAGTAGAAGAGTGAAGGGCCTGGGTGGCGGTGTGCTGGGAGATGAGGTGACACTGAAAGATCATAAAGGTCTTATGTGATGAGGAGTTAGAATTCCATCCTGCAAGCAACAGGACCCATTGATAAATTTTAAGGCTGTTAATTTTCATTAACGTGGGTCTTGGGCCCAGAAAGCAGTTTATGTCTGTGTTTTGGGGTTTCTGTTCACCATTTTCTTTTCTTTTTTTTTTTTTTTTGAGACGGAGTCTCGCTCTGTCTCCCAGGCTGGAGTGCAGTGGCGCGATCTCGGCTCACTGCAGGCTCCGCCCCCCGGGGTTCACGCCATTCTCCTGCCTCAGCCTCCCGAGTAGCTGGGACTACAGGCGCCCGCTACCTCGCCCGGCTAATTTTTTGTATTTTTAGTAGAGACGGGGTTTTACTGTGTTAGCCAGGATGGTCTCGATCTCCTGACCTCGTGATCCACCTGCCTCGGCCTCCCAAAGTGCTGGCTGTTCACCACTTTCATGACCTCTGATTACATTATCTTCCATCCGGCTCTCAGCCAGTCCCTCTCTTCCTGGTCTCCTGTCTGTTCTGCTACACCCAGAGCTGCTTCTGCTTTGAAAACTCCAGCAGCAGCATTCCCGTCCCTAGTCACCATCTCTTACTCTCCACCTTGTCCTTTCCTTCTCTCCTGCAAAGGCTGCTCCCACCAAGCCTCAGAGTCACAGTCATTCCTTTGACCCTGTCTACTCTCCCAGTCCTCCTGCCCTTTCTGGGCTTTATTTCCCATCCTACCTGGGCAGGATCCTATGGTGGTTTCTCCTACTACCTTGTTAATTCCCTCCCACCCCCAATCTTTAACTTCATCCGTTCCTGTCATTGGCTGGAGAAAATGGAATAACCTTGGCTGTTAATTCCACTTATCATTTATGGTATCCAGTTTTAAGTTGAGTTCTCAGTATGGCCCTTTTCCTTGACTCTAGTAGACTTCCATTTCTATTCCTTACTGACACACTGTTTTAGGCTATTACCGTTTGTACAAGACAGGTTTGGTGGGCATGCCTAATGTGCTCTGGGAACTGTCCTCTAGGTAGCTACATTCTTCAGTGTGTAACCCATCCCCTGCCCCAACCCTGACACAGGTATTTGGACAAAAGATAGACACTTGATGCCCAAATCCCAGTGAGGCAATCAGATTTTCTTTTGACAATTTGTTCCTCTGTTATTTACATAGACTGCCTGTTACTTGAGTTACCTTCAATGGGTCTATTACTTTTGACTCAAAACGGTTGGCAAGATCACCCCATCCCTGAAGTCTCAACCCTACTCTTGCCCGCCTCACTCTCTCTATTACATTTTAGGAAGAAAATGGAGGATCTCTAACCAGAAGCCCCTCAGGTTTCCCCTGGCTCTTTTCAATTATATTTCTTGATAGTTGACCTTGTCTCAGAGACTTGTACCTGGTTTCTTTCTCAAAATACAATGAGAATTTATCTACATGTATTGACTTATTATTGATATTTCATTTTATGCTTTCTATTTATTATGTTTTTCTTTTATTTTGTTTTTCTCCTTTCTTGCTATTTTGGGGTTGAGTTTTTTGTTCGTTTGTTTGTTTGAGATGGGGTCTTGATCTTGTCACCCAGGCTGGAGTGCAGTGGCACGATCTCGGCTCACTGCAACCTCTGCCTCCTGGGTTCAGATGATTTTCTTGTCTCGGCCTCCCAAGTAGCTGAGATTACAGGTGCCTGCCACCACACCCGGCAAATTTTTTAGTAGAGACAGAATTTCACCATGTTGGCCAGGCTGGTCTTGAACTCCTGACCTCAGGTGATCCACCCCCATCGGTGTCCCAAAGTGCTGGGATCACAGGCGTGAGCCATCTAGCCCAGCCTTGATTGAATTTGGTTTATTCCTTTGTCTTCTCCCATTTGTTTGGAATATATACTTAGGATTTCTATTCTTTTAGTAATTTTTCTTAGACTTTTAACAGACACATTTAAATTTACATTTTTCTCTCAAAGCTTAAAAGTACCTCTATCATTCTGTTGCCAGAAGCATTAACTTTCATCTGAATGAACTTCCATCACTCCTATACTAGAATTATCTAGTATTAGACTTCTACCCTGTTTCTAAGTATAGAAATTACTTGTATTATTTTTTATAATTAATACTTATTTAGATTTACTAACATGTTTTACAAAATTTTCCCCATACATTTGCTTCTTTCTTTAAGGTTATATTGTTTTCCTTACTAAATACATATTAAGTAGGGTTTTTTATTTTTATTTTATTTTTTGGTTCTGTTTTTAAAGAAAGGGTTTATTGTGGCCGGGCGCGGTGGCTCACGTCTGTAATCCCAGCACTTTAGGAGGCCCATGCAGGTGGATCACGAGGTCAGGAGATAGAGACCATCCTGGCTAACACGGTGAAACCCCATCTCTACTAAAAATACAAAAAATTAGCCTGGCGCGGTGGTGGGTGCCTGTAGTCCCAGCTATTCGGGAGGCTGAGGCAGGAGAACGGCGTGAACCGGAAGGAGGAGCTTGCAGTGAGCTGAGATCGCGCCGCTGCACTCTAGCCTGGACCACAGAGCAGCGAGACTCTGCTCAAAAAAAAAAAAAAAAGAAAGAAATAATTTATGGTAAATAATTAAATAATTTTCTGAATCCAACCTGTTGAATGGTAGTTTGTAGAGAATTTCAAAGTCAGTGTTTTTTCTTGGCACTATTATTCCACAGACTTAATAAATTTCTTTTTATTTTTAAAATGTTTATTGTAGGTTCAGGGATTCATGTGCAGGTTTATTATGTCAGTAAAAGTGTGTCATGGGGGTTTGTTGTACAGATTATTTTGTCACCCAGGTACTAAGCCTAGTGCCCAATAGTTATTTTTTCTATTCCTCTCTCTCCTCCCACCCTCCACCAGTGTCTGTTGTTCCCTTCTTTGTGTCCATGAGTTCTCATCATTTAGGTCCTACTTACAACAGAGAACATGCAGTATGTGGTTTTCTGCTCCTGCGTGAGTTTGTTAAGGATGATGGTCTCTAGCTCCATCCATGTTCCAACGAAAGACATGATCTCATTCTTTTCAATGGCTGTATAGTAGTATTCCATGGTAGACATGTACCACATTTTCTTTATTCACTCTGTCATTGATGGGCATTTAGGTTGATTCCATGTCTTTGCTATTGTGAATAGTGCTGCAGTGAACATTTGTGTGCTTGTGTCTTTATGGCAGAATGATTTATATTCCTCTGGGTATATATCCAGTAATGACATTGCTAGGTCTAATGGTAGCTCTGTTTTTAGCTCTTTGAGGAATCACCACGTTACTTTCCACAATGATTGAACTAATTTACACTCCCACTAAATGGTGTATAAGTGTTCCTTTTTCTCTGCAACCTCACTAGCATCTTCTTCTTCTTTTTTTTTTCTTTTAACAGGGTCTCACTCTGTTGCCCAGGCTGCAGTATGGGCATGATCTCGGCTCACTGCAACTCCGCCTCCTGGGTTCAAGCAATTCTCCTACCTCAGCCTCCCAAGTAGCTGGGATTACAGGCACACACCACCACGCCCAGCTAATTTTTGTATTTTTAGTAAAGATGGGGTCTCACCATGTTGGTCAGGCTGGTCTCGAACTCCTGACCTCAAGGGATCTGCCTGCCTCCACCTCCCAAAGTGCTGGGATTACAGGCATGAGCCGCTGTGCCAGGCGCATCTGCTGTTTTTTGACTTTTTAGTAATAGCCGTTCTGACTGGTATGAGGTGGTATCTCATTGTGGTTTTGATTTGCATTTCTCCAATTATCAATGATATTGAGCTTTTTTACATATGCTTGTTGGCCGCATGTATGTCTTCTTTTGAAAAGTGTCTGTTCATGTTCTTTGCCCACCTTTTAATGGGGCTGTTTGTTTTTTTCTTGTACATTTGTTTAAGTTCCTTATAAATGCTGGATATTAGACCTTTGCCAGATGCATAGTTTGCAAATATTTCCTCCCATTTTGTAGGTTTTCTATTAACTCTGTTGATAGTTTCTTTTACAATGCAGAAGCTCTTAAGTTTAATCAGATCCCATTTGTAAATTTTTGCTTTTGTTATGATTGCTTTTGGCATCTTCGTCATGAAATCTTTGCCCATTCCTGTGTCCAGAATGGCATTGCTTAGGTTGTCTTCCAGGGTTTTTATGATTTTGGGTTTTACCTTTAAGTCTTTAATCCATCTTGAGTTGATTTTTGTACATGGTGTAAGGAAGGGGTCCAATTTCAATCTTTTGCATATGACTAGTCAGTTACCCCAGCACCATTTATTGAATAGGGAGTTCTTTCCCCATTGCTTGTTTTTTGTCAGCTTTGCCAAAGATTAGATGGTTGTAGGTATGTGGCCTTATTTCTGGGACCTCTTTTATGTTCCATTGGGCTATGTATCTGTTTTTGTACCAGTACCAAGCTGTTTTAATTACTGTATCCTTGTAGTATAGTTTGAAGTCAGGTAACATGATGCCTCCAGTTTTGTTCTTTCTGCTTAGGATTGCCTTGGCTATTCACACTCTTTTTTGGTTCCATATGAATTTTAAAATAGTTTTTTCTAGTTCTGTGAAAAATGTCATTGGTAGTTTGATAGGAATAGCATTGAATTTCTAAATTGGTTTGGGTAGTATGGCCATTTTAATAATATTGATTCTTCCTATCCATGAGCATGGAATGTTTTTCCATTTGTGTCATCTCTAATTTCTTTGAGCAGTGTTTTGTAATTCTCATTGTAGAGATCTATCACCTGGTTAGCTGTATTCCTGGTTATTTTATTCTTTTTGCGGTAATTGTGAATGAGATTGTGTTCCTGATTTGACTCTCAGCTTGTGTTTTGTTGGTGTATAAGAATGCTAGTAAGTTTTGTACGTTGATTTTTGTATCCTGAAATTTTGCTGAAGTTGTTTATCAACTGAAGGAGCTTTTGGGCCAAGACTATTGGGTTTTCTAGGTATAGAGTCATGTCACCTGCAAACAGGGATGGTTTGACTTCCTCTCTTCCTATTTGGATGCTCTTTATTTCTTTCTCCTGCCTGATTACTCTGGCCAGGACTTCTAGTACTACGTTGAATAGGAGTGGTGAGAGAGGGCATCCTTTTCTTGTGCCCGTTTTCAAGGGGAATGCTTCCAGGTTTTGCCCATTCAGTATGATGTTAGCTGTGGGTTTGTCATAGATGGCTGTTATTATTTTGAGGTATGTTCCTTCAATACCCAGTTTATTGAGAGTTTTTAACATAAAGGGTGTTGAATTTTATTGAAAGCCTTTTCTGCATCTATTGAGATAATCATGTGGTTTTTGTCTTTAGTTCTGTTTATGTGATGAATCACATTTATTGATTTGTGTATGATGAAGCCTACTTGATCGTGGTGAATTAGCTTTTTGATGTGCTGCTGGATTCAGTTTGCAAGTATTTTGTTGAGGATTTTTGCATCAATATTCATCAAGGATATTGCCTGAAGTTTTCTTTTTTTGTTGTGTCTCTGCCAGGTTTTGGTATCAGGATGATGCTGGCCTTATAGAATGAGTTGGGAAGGAGTCCCTCCGCCTCAAATTTTTGGAATGGTTTCAATAGGAATGGTATCAGGTCTTCTTTGTACATCTGGTAGAATTTGGCTATGAATCCATCTGGTTCTGGGCTTTTTTTTGGTTGGTAGGCTATTTATTACTGATTCGATTTTGGAGTTTGTTATTGTTATTGGTCTGTTCAGGGAATCAGTTTCTTCCTGGTTAAGTCTTGGGAATGTGTATGTGTCCAGAATGTATTAATCTCTTCTGGGCTTTCTAGTTTGTGTTCATGGAGGTGTTCATAGCAGTTTCTGATGGCTTTTGTTTCTGTGGGGTCAGTGGTAACATCCCCTGTGCCATTTTTAATTGTGTTTATTTGGATCTTCTCTCTTTTCTTCTTTATTAGCCTTGCTAGTGTCTAGGATAATCTTATTAATTTTTTCAAAAAACAAACTCCTGAATTTGTTGATCTTTTGAATAATTTTTTGTGTCTTGATTTCCTTCGCTTCAATTCTGATTTTTGTTATTTCTTCTCTTCTGCTAGCTTTGGGGCTGGTTTCCACTTGCTTCTCTAATTCTTTCAGTTGTGATGTTAGGTTGTTAATTTGAGATCTTTCTAAATTTTTTATGTTGGCATTTAGTGCTATGAATTTTCCTCTTTACACTGCCTTATCTGTGTCCCAGAGATTCTGGTATATTGTATCTTTGTTATCATTAGTTTCAACGAACTTCTTGATTTCTGCCTTAATTTCATTATTTACCCGAAAGTCATTCAGGAGCATGTTGTTTAATTTCTATGTAATTGCATGTTTTTGAGTGATTTTTTCATCTTCTGTTTTTGTTGCACTGTGTTCTCAGAATGTGTTTGGTATGATTTTGGTCCTTTTGTATTTGCTAAAGATTGTTTTATGTCCAATTATGTAGTTGATTTTAGAGTGTGTGCCATGTGGCAACAAGAATGTATATTCTGTTGTTTTGGGGTGGAGATTTCCGTAGAGGTGTAAAAAATCCATTTGGTCCAATGTTGAATTCAGGTTCTGAATATCTTTGTTAACTTTTTGCCTTGATGATCTGTTTAATACTGTCTATGGAGTTTTGGTCTCCCATTATTATTTTGTGGGAGTCTAAGTCTCTTTGTAGGTCTCTAAGAGCTTGCTTTATAAATCTGGATGCTCTTGTATTCGGTGCATATATATTTAGGATACTTAGATCTTCTTGTTGAATTGAACTCTACCATTATGTGATGCCCTTCTTTGTCTTTTTTTATTTTGGCTGGTTTAAAGTTTATTTTGTCTGAAATTAAGATTGCAATTCCTGCTTTTTTTTTTCTGATTTCCATTTGCTAGGTAGATTTTCCTCTATCCCTTTATTTGAAGCCTGTGGGTATCATTATGTGTGAAATGGTTCTCCTGAAGACAGCATACCATTGGGTCTTGCTTTTTTATCTAGCTTGCCTCTCTGTGCCTTTTAAGTGGGGCATTTAGCCCATGCATATTTAAGGTTAGTATTGAGATGTGTGGATTGGATCCTGTCATTGTGCTGTTAGCTGGTTATTATGCCAACTAGCTTGTGTGATTGTTTTATAGTGTCACTGGTCTGTGTACTTAAGTGTGTTTTTGTATTGGCTGGTAACAGTCTTTCTATGTTTAGTGCTCCTTTCATGATCTCTTATAAGGCAGGTCTGGTGGTAACAACCTCCCTCAACATTTGCTTATCTGAAAAGGATCTTATTTTTCCTTCACTTAGGAAGCTTAGTTTGGCTTGATATGAAATTCTTGGTTGAAGAGTTTTCTCTTTAAGAATGTTGAAATGTTGAATATAGGCCCCCAATCTCTTCTGGCTTGTAGGGTTTCTGTTGAGAAGTCTGCTGTTAGCCTGAGGGGGTTCCCTTTGTAGCTGACCTGCCCTTTCTCTCTAGCTGCCTTTAACATCTGTCTTTCATTTTGACTTTGGAAAATCAGACGATTACATATCTCGGGGATGATCTTCTTGTGTAGAATCTTGCAGGGTTTCTCTGTATTTCCTAAATCTGACTGTTGGTCTGTCTAGCAAGGCTGGGGAAAGTTTTCATGGATAATATCCCAAAATATGTTTTTCAAGTTGTTTGCTTTCTCCCTGTACATAGACTTCTTATTGCTATTGTTGCTAATGAGAAGTCTGCTGTCAATATGATTGTCATTCTCTTAAAGATTGACTTTTTTCTCTTTTTTTCTGACTCTTTTATTTTGATATTGTGCTCTTTCACTACAGTATATCTAGGTATAGATTTTTAAAGATTTGCCCTTCTTGTCACTTGATGAGCTCTCTCAGTCTCAGAACTCATGACTCTCTTCAGTTTTGGAAAATTCCCAACTACTGTCTTACACACCCACACCTTCAACACTCTCTCTAGTCTATGCTTAAGAAACTATTGTCAAATATATGTTGGAACTTATCTTTGAACTTTTCCTTCTTTTTTTCTTCAGCTTTTTATCTTTTTTGATAGCTTTTTCAGTGATTTTTTTCATTTCTTTCTGCCAGTTCATTGATGTCTAGCCTTTTAAATCTATCTATTAAATTTTTTAATTTCATAAATGTTTTGCATTTTAAAGACGTTTTCATTTTCTTCTTTCCTGGTCTTTTATGGGTATTATTTCTTTTTTCATTGCTTTGAAGATGTAAAAATCTATTCTTTTTAATGTTCTTTTTATATTGCCCAAGTATCTCTATTTTCTTGGGTTTAACTTCAGTTTTCTGCTTTATTGATACTTTCTCCTTGATATCCTCCTTATGGGAATGGTTTTATGGTTGCTCCTGCTGAAGCTGTACAGTCATGGCTTTGTTGGGTCTATCACCCTACAGAAATGATCCAGTTCTAGGCCCTTGCCCTGAATGTAGTGTGGACTCAAGTGCTAGTCTAGTGTGGGAACTCAGTGCTTACTCCTGTTTATGGGTAGGTGACTTCTTTCTTGCTGTAATGGAAATATTTTGGCAGCCATTAATGGCTATAAAGCACTATACTGACTTCTAGCTTCATGTGGGTGGTTTGACCCCATGTTGTGTATTAGATATTCAGCTTTAGTTTACGTTTACCTGGTTTTCCATCTATTTTTTTCTTTTTAAATATTTCTTTTTAGGAAGATTCCACTGGCTTTTGTTTGTTTATGGAGTATGTTCTTGTTTTTGAGCATGAGTACAATGTTTTAAGAATTCTTTCATTTTTTAACTTTACTAATAGTGTATGAAGGATCTCATCATGAGTTTTTTTACAATTCATACTTTGCTCTTGAAAATTTACATTCACTATACTTATACATTACTTTTTACTTCCTTATTTATAATATCCTAATATTTTTATGTTTATATTTTATTCTATAATATAGCTGTTTTATTGTTAATTTGACTTTTACTTTCACAAAACAATACATGTATATTATTTCAAAAGTCATGTAATACTAAAAAGCTTATAATGAACCAGAAGAGTTTTCCTTCTCACCCTGAATCCTCTACCCTAGTGACAACCACACAAAATTCTTCTCTTTCTCCTTATGTTTAACTTCATAGTTTGAATAATAGCTGACACTACTTACTGTGTAAGTCATTGTTCTAAGTACTCTAATTGATGTGATATAAATAATGTGATTATTTATTAATCGATACATTTTAGTAATATTTTATTGCATTTTTGCTCTAACAGATAAAAATTTAACTCCTCCTTATTCTCTCCTTCTCCTTCCACCTATCTGTTTAAATAAAACAATTTCAGTTTCTTTGCTATGCACATTCAGAGTTATGTCAAATAGTTTGTCACAACTGTGTTTTCTTCCTTGTAGGGCGTTTTATTTCTCCTGGAACTGAAAATTGCCTCGTTTATTTTTGATCTGTAAATTTTTTTTAACTTTTTTTTTTTTTTTTTTTAAGATGGGGTCTTATTCTGTTGCTCAGGCTAGACTTGAAATCCTAGGCTCAAGAGATCTTCCTGCCTCAGCCTCCCAAGTAGCCAGGACTATAGGTGCATGCCACCATGCCCAGTGCCTGCCTCATTTTTTATGTCTCTTTAAAAAATATACTTATGATTAATTTTCCAAATGTTCTAATATTTCTACTATATCCCAATTTTAAAAATTTGTCCATGGATTCATATGGAGCAGCTCTGACTTTTCTAGAGAACTTCTCCAAAAAATGTTCCTCTCCTGCTCCAATAGGGACTTTTTTTTTCCTGGGAAATTGAACAGATATCATTATATATTACTTTTGCCTCTCTCTTAGTCTGTTTTCTGGATTTTATGTCTTCATTTTTCTTGGTGTATTTCTTGTTTTTTTGAGGCATACATTCTAATAACTCTTTAAAACATTGTGATGTTTTAGTTCTTGCATGGTCTGATAAGCTGGGAATAGAATTGTAGATTGAAAATCATTTTCACTTAAAGTTTTGATGACATTACTCTACTTTGTAAATGGATCTGAGGCTAACTGGGTTGATTTCTTTGTAAGAAATCTAATTTTCCCCACCTGGAAGTTTTTAACATCTGCACCTTAATCTTTTATCCCTGGTGTTCTGAACTTTTACAGTAATGCATTTTGGTGTGAATTTTTTTTTTGGCAAGATGGACACAGGAGTGGAGGGAAGGGTGGCTTGGGAATATTAGTGCTGGTGTGATTATTGTTTTGCTTCCTGGGGCTGCATTCAAATTTCATGTTAGTTGTTTAGTCATCATCCGTTATCAGGATTTTCAGTTCTTTCAAAATTTTTGAATTTGTTTTATGGCCTAGCATGTGTTTTATCATAGTGAACATACTATTGCACTTGAAGTTGTTGGACATGGGATTCTATAAATATCTCTAAATATCAATTAGGTTCAGTTGTTCAGATTCTCTATGTATTCAGTGTTTTAAAAAATCTAGTTCTACGAATTGTTGAGAGTGAAGTATTCAAATTTCCCACTATGATTGTAGAATTTTTGTATATTTCTCCCTTTAATTCTGTCAATTTTTGCTTCATGTATTTTAAGGCTCTGTTATTTTGCACATATTTACCATTGTTATGTCTTCTTGATAAATTTACTCTTTAATCATTATAAAACATGTATGTCCATCTTTGGTAATACTCTTTGCCTTGAGGTCTGTTTTATTTGTTATTATAGCTACTTCAGCCTTTCTATAGCTTACCGTTTGCATTATATATCTTTTTTCATCCATATACTTTTGACCTATGTGTGTCATCATATTTAAGACATGTCTCTTCTAGACAGGATATTGTAGAATCTTGCATTTAAAAAATCTATTCTTATAATTTCTGTGTTTTTATTGGTCCATTTAGTCCATTAACATTTGATGTAATTAGTGATATGGTTTTATTTAGTTTGTCCCTTCTGAATTTTGTTCCTCTCATTCCCGTTTCCTTTTTTCTTTTGGATTGTTTGAATATTTAATTTATCTATTGGCTTCTTAGTGATACTACTTTACATTGCTTTAATATATGCTCCTAAACTGGTTTCTTCTGTGTCAATCAGAGTGCGGTCTGGAGAGAGAAACCATAGCAGTTATTGAACAGCGAGACTTTAATATAAAAAGTGTTACCTAAGTAACTGAAAGGGTAAAAAAGGGACGAGGATATCATGAAAGTGGGAAGCACCTATCCTCTTTAGGGTTGAGAGAACAAAGAGAAGAGATAATAATTTTTAAAACTTAGAAGCTTAAATGAGGAGTCTCATGGAGATAAAAGTCAGACCTCTGAGGAGAAGGTGCTGATATCTCTAAGTCAGAAAAAGGCTGGGACCCAGACTCTGTGCAGGAGGTGCTAGCCGCCAGCATATAATGAGGTCTTGGGATGGGAAGAGAGTGAAGTGAAGCTGGTTCTGCAAACTGGCAAAACTGAAAACTGGATTCAGCTGCTGATATTAGAAGGAACTGCCACTGATGGAGTGAAGTATTGCTGAGGTGAATCTCATAGGAACTACTAACAGATGGGAAGTCCACAGGAAGCAAATAGGTAGCAGATAGAAAGAAGCAAGTCTCTTCCTCCTCCAGCCTTTCAGTCTTCCTCTGACGTTTCCTATTAACAGAGACCTATTGGAAACCAGCTGGCAAAGCAAAAATGATGTTTGCAAAGTTCTAGCATCAAAAGTGGAGAATAAAAGGGCAAGCTTGAAGCTAAGGGATAACAACTTAATAACTGGTCCTTCTTCCTATGATGTAGGACAAATTTACATCTCTCTTTTTTAAAAAAAAATATATATTCTCTTGGACCTACTGGTTTATCAAGCTTCTACCAATTTTTCCTTCTCCTCCAGCATTCTTATCTCTTATTTCTCCCTTTATGATTAGTGATATCACAGAGCCGGACATAGGGGAGAAACTGGTGCTCAGAATTATCTACTGGATTAAGAGTAATACAGGATAGTAAATGATAAGTGTCAAATGACCAATACAAACTCTAACTGCCATACAGGCTCAGGGGAGGGAGACGCTACCATGAACTTGGGTGGCTACAAAGACTGCATTGATAAGGTGGGTCTTGAGCTAAATAATGATAAATGAGAAAGGCTTAAATACATGAAAAGGGGGAGGAGACATTCAAGGTGAAGGGCACAGCATAAACAAAGACTTAGAGATAGAGATGAGCTAGATGTCTTTGCAAGACAGGCATGGCTGGAGCTGAGGCTTCCTATGGGAATTTGAGGCTATCCCGTGGATAGTGGCGACTTAACATCAGGCTAAATGGTGGAATTACAAAGAAGCAATTGGGACATTGTCCTGTAATCCTGTAAGAGCTGAAGAGGAGACATTCGTGGCTTTTTCAGTAGGAGAGGGTCATGATGAGATAATGCCAAATCATAATACTGTGTAGGGTGAGTAGTGTGATGTTTGTTGTGCCCAGGTCTTCTGCATATATGTGTAGTAGACTGAATAGGAATCAGGAAATCAGCAAGGGAAACAAGTTTTTTAAAGACGTTTTTAAAGATTCTCAGATTTTATTATACTGAATTCAATTTCAGGGTCTACATTTAGAAGCAGGAAATTGCAAGAAGAAACAAACAATGAGCTGGAGAGAAGTCCAAGAGATTGGAAGAGCATCCAAATGGTGTGGAAAAATGGAGAGGGAACAATTTCAGGTCAACATGCAGTCATCCTTGCCTCTGCAAGGGTGGGTGGCAACTTTAGAAGTAGGCAGTAATTTAGTTAGAGTCAGCACTTGAAATTAGGGATGGACCAGCTGCTTGTCAGTTGACACCATTCCTGTTCCATTTTCTTACATGTACCACCTCCTCCCCTGTTGAGCTCATCATGCTATTTTTTTCGCTCTCTTTGAGGACCATCTTCGCTACTCTTTGAAAAAGAACATTTGCTTATGCCTTAAATTGTGGCAAAGTCTTGTACCTGTTTACCAGGATTTAAAATGGTTAAGATTGATTTTTTATCTATTTTCTTGAATTGTGCTAACTCCTCCTTCTTCAAGGAAAACAATTTTACTGGAAAAAATTATTACTGATAGGTTCTGAAAAGGAACTGCAATATAGTGTTGAAATAAATTAAACCCATTTAGTAAACAGAATTGACATATTCAAATGAAGATGCTCTAGTTTTCTGTTCCACCAGTCTTTGCTACGCATACATGTGAAAGCGATTCTATTTTCTACCTTGGTTTCTGAACTTTTCTAAAGCATTTCTGTTGTTTTTAGGAGTAGCCAGTCCCTCTTGACTGGGGCCTGGGAAAGTCAGCCTCACCCTCTGGACATGTAACTACAGCAAACTGCCTGGGCTGCCAGGCACGTTGGAGATCCTGTGGGTGCAAATCCTCAGAGACCAAGGGCAAGATAATCAGTCCAAGGAGACAGTTAATTTTAGTACAAAAGAGGTTAGATGTGATTTATTTCCAACACCAATGAACCAAGAGAGCTAACAATCATCAGAACAAAACACAGAACCATCAAATACTCCATGTTAAAATGGCTTGTGTCAGCTGAGATCTGTCTCGTCATTAGCAAGGGAGGCGTGCTTCAGGTGGCTCAGAAGCGCCGGGGAGGACATATTCAGGTTGTCTTTACAAGCAAAGGGGTTTGTATCATCAGAGTTAGAGAAATGGGTTTGGAGACAGGAAAGAGAATAGGAGAAGAAAAGCAGGAGAGAGAGGACAGGAGGGTTTTTATAGGAATATCATAGCTCATTCATCATTTCCTTCATCATCATTATCTTCAGAAAGCATAATGCTAGGACAGGATCCATATGACTTATGCTGCCTCTTAATCATTCCTTTCAACTGCTGCAGAAAAATCCTCTCCATGGCTCTGCTTGTGGTGGAGCAGAGTTCAGCATGCCCATTGCCAAGCTCACCGTACTCCCTAACAGCATCTCCACCTAGGCAGGTGTATCGTTTTGTACTTGAGCAGTGTGTTCTCTTGCACTTGAGCAGAACAGGAGGACTTGTCAAAGGCTGTTGCGCATAGTCCCATTGTGGATTTAGTCAACTCTGCAAAAACCTTAAACAGCTTCTTTTCCTGTTCCTGGGACTCACATTGCATCTGAATCCCAGGGTTTGGAGGAAGACCTATAAAAACGCTATTGACAGCAGGGTGAGGGCTCAGACAGGGATGCACAAATCCTTAGATCCTTACGTTAACAAGGAAAAAGCCTTAGACCCTCTCTGTTCTTCTTTCAGGGACCTTACTTAACAGAATACTTTGGGTCCTGATTCCTGTCCCCTCTGTTTAGTCACCCTGTCCTCTCAGCAGTCACTACATCACGTGCATACTTCTGTTATTACCTTCATGTATAACACATTATACAACCCTCATTTTTCCGTGGACTAGAACAATAGCTTAATTATCTGTGAATCTCTTGGACCTAGATCGGTGCTTGGTATTTATATATTGAGTGAGTAAGTGACTGAATAAAGGAAAGAATGTCATTTATATTGAGCAAATAGTAATTAAATGCAGAGTGAAGCTGTGTACATCTATCCCTGGCAAATAAGAAGGGAAACATTATGAGACTCTTGTATTTGTCAGAGGAGAAACAAAAAACAACATCTTTCATTGTGCTTAAAGAGGAAAAGACTCTGGGGGGTATTGCTCAGGGTACTCGAGTGGGATCCAGGGCTGGAGAGGTATTAAGATCTAAGATCTGTGTGTCTGCGTAGTGCATGTTTGAAAGTAAAGGTTCATATCTCGCTTTCTATCTCCCATTGCCTTTACTGACTTTTCCTTATTGCTCATATGGACAGAGATCATAAGGCACTCTAACTGACCTCAGTTCAAATAATCTGTCCTGTTATCAGATCAAGGGCCCAATTGTAGGGTTCAGAAAAAGCACCTCCACTTCCTTAGTTTTTCTTTAAGTGTGTGAACTTAGATTGGCTAGGCTACATGCCTAAAAGAGAAAACGACTTTTTAAAAAAATTGCACCAAGGTGTGTTTGTCAAACAGTAGAGCAAACAACTACATTTGATAGTGGTTGGGGAGGAGCTGGATTTTCCCCAGTCCTCTCAGTATCACAGTAACTTCTTTCTAGAGCATCTTAGACTTCCGTGGTTACCAGAGAATGGTCATTCAGAGCTTTGCCAGGAGTGCCTGTCTTGCATTGCATTCTGTGAAAGCCTCAACATGCATCCTTGCACCCTCTCTGACCTGCTCATTTTTATGGCTACAGAGCTGGGAAGCAAAGCTAGTGACATGTGGGGAGTTTCCATGTGCAAATGTCCACATCCTTCATTCATGTCCTTCAAGGGTTTCCTTTCACATTTTCTGATTGTGTTTCTGAGTACATGGTGTCAACAGCTCTCAGAACTGTTAAGTTTTCTATTTATCCTCAGGCCAGGAAAAGGCACAGATCACTGCAGTGTAAAATTACCAGTGATTTTGACAGTGACCTGGAAGAACTATGGAATGAAGAAATTTAGCCTTGAGAGCTGAGGTTCAGCCCCAGGCCCATCTTAACCAAGAAGTTCTGCTCAATTATACAGGTCACAGGAAGTTCTGCTAGTCTTAAAAATATTGAACTCATCAAACTTAAGTTCGGTGTTGTTGACACATCTTGATGAATGGCCAGTTTTGGACAACAACTACCGTATTTACTTGTTTATTTCCTCCTTTGTTCCATTCCTACTCAACCTTAATTTTGAAAAGTAATACTGAGTTTTAAAATTCGCTTTTTATTTCTTTTGCAGGGGCTCTCCAAGTCAGCACAAACTCTTCTGAAGGTTTGAAAAACTAGGTGAAATAGTAAAAATGGCCATATTTGCTGAAAATAGAAGACAGAGGACTTATTTCTCTGGAACTGTTCTGACCAAGCCTTTAGAGAGCAGATGTCATAATGGCTAAGAGCTCAGGCTTTAGAGCTGGACCATCTGGGTTGAACCCCAACTCTGCCACTTCCTACCTATGAATCTGTGGGCAAGTTACCCTCTGTGTGCCTCAGTTTCATCATCTGCAAAACAGAGATGGGAGCCATGATACCCACTTCTTTGGGCTGTTGTGAGTTAATAGGTATAAAGCAATTAGAATGGGGTCTGGCATGTAGAAGGTCCTCAATGAACATTAGCTACTCTATTAGTCAGCTTGCGCTTATAACAAAATACCATAGACTGAGTGGCCTAAACAACAGAAATTTATTTTCTCACAGTTCTGGAGGCTGAAACTGTGAAATCAGGGTGCCAACATAGTTAGGTTCTGGTGAGGGCTCTCTTCTCAGCTTGCAGATGGCCACTTTCTTCCTGTGTCCTCTCATGGCAGAGAGATCTTTCTCTCTTCTTCTCATAAGGCCACCAACCCTGTAAGATTAAGACTTCCTCTGCCTTAGGATGACCTCATTTAACCTTAATTAAATCCTAAAAGCCCTATCTCCAAATATAGTTATACTGGGGGTTAGATTTTAACATATGAATTTTAGAAAGACACAATTCAGTCCATAACAGCTACTATTTTTAATTAGCTTATAACTTAGAACTGTTGCAGATGTCTTGTGAATGTAGAATCACGAAGTTACTCTGGGCAGTATAGAAATACGTACTTAAAAAGGGAATTGTGCGAATAAATGGGGGATAGCTCAAGATAGTTGTGTTTTAATTAGAAGACAATTCTCATGTATTTCCTTGGTCTATCAAGCTACCATCTTAGAGCCCTTAAAAATGATCTTGAGGCTTCTATTTCTTCTTCTGCTCTTAGCTTACACTAACCTTGGTGAGTAGTTACTTTCTGAATGTAGTTTATTACCTTGCTTCCAAGGGCCATTTTAACTCTTCAGATATAATTTAGACACTGATGACTTGTTTTCTAACTGCAGGAGTTACACATTAAGGTCCCAAAAACTCCCCTGACTTTCCTCAGGAGGGTGGGAGTCCCAGAATCTCAAACACTGTTTTCTAAAATTCTTCTCACAAAATGCTTCCTTAATTTTCTCTTTCTGGGCCCTTTTATATCTTCATTGTGAGTGACAGATTTCAAGGATTATGCAACTGGTTCTTCTCTGTTTCTCTTTTTGGAAATTCTGCATATGGTCTAGCACTTCCTTTGGAATTCAGCATCAATTGTATCTTGGTACATCAGTCAAAACTTCCAATTTAACATCCTGTTACATTTAGAAATGCATCCTTTGTATCTCATCATGGTACACTGGATACAGAACATTTATAACTCTCCAAGCCTCAGTGTTGAGCCAATAGAGTTAGGGGTAGGTGAGGAAGGAAACTAACCTTTATTGAGTTTAAGTAATTTGTTTATTTCTTTTCACTAAAAACGGCAGAGCCAAAATTGCTCTCTTGGTCTGATGTTCTAAAACCCAGGGTCATTTGCTATATGACAAAGCACTCATGCAAAACCTATCCATGGAAACACTTCCTTACACACTTTCATCTTTAAACTTTCTTGGTAATATTAATCAGTCTCTTAAAATATGGTCAAATATTTTTGAGTTTTTGGTAAATCTAAGAAAATATTAAAAAATGAAGGCATTCTCTTTGCTCCTGATATAGCCTCTTTTTTCTACCTCATAAATAAGGAAAGGGTAACCTCTACTTTTATAGCCTTTGAAGGCTTTTTTTAAAACTATAAAATTAGTGACTTTGGCATGGCCCCAAGAGGATGTGTTTATTAACTTGGTTATAAATACTTGAACTCCACACTCTAAATTTAATTTGTCAGATAAGAGAATATTATGTTTACATGCATTTATGATTTATTACTTCCCTAATATCGATGTGAGTTTCAGAAACTAAAATATGGCTTTTATTTTCTAACTCCTAACAGGGAAGACAGAAAGAAGTGGGTCTTTTTGTTAAAATTCCTTAAAACCAGGTTTTATCCATACTTAGGCACATACCTATGAAACTGGGAGCACTAAGGAAAAACAGAAACTTCTAAAAGATCCTATAGAGGAAAAAAATGGTTACCTCCTAAACCCATCTTTACTAAAAATACAAAATTAGCAGGGCATGGTGGCTTGTGCCTGTAATCCCAGCTACTCAGGAGGCTGAGACAGGAGAATCACTTGAACCCGTGAGGCAGAGGTTGTGGTGAGCCAAGATCGTGCCATAACACTCCAGCCTGGGCAAGAAGAGCAAAACTCCGAAAAAAAAAGAAAAAAAAAAAAGGTAACCTCCTAGGGAATCAGAATCAGAATAGCTTTTGACTTCTTATTAGCAACATTGGATGCTAGAAGACAATGGAATAATGCCTTCAAAGTTCTGAGGGAAAATAATTTTGACCATAGAACTCTATTCCCAGCCAAACCACTAGTCAAGTAAAGAGGAAAAAGCACATCAAACATGGCATAAATTATAGTTTATAATTCTGAAAAAAATTAATTGAGGATGAACTCCAGCAAAAGAGAAACACCATGAAAGAGGAAGGCAAGGGATATCAGGAAGAGTCGGTCTAACTTAGAAGGGCAGAGAGAGAAGTTTCTGGATGACAGCTGGGCAGCAGCTGAAGAGCACACTGTCTAGATGGGAGCAGCATTTAGGAGACACCTGGGTGGATGTATCAGGCAGGAGATTGGTCTATGAGTGAAAATATTTATGTAATCATATAACCTCTATTTTTAGGCTTATATATTATTTTTAGCATTAATCTTTAGACAGATCCACAGAAGGCTTAATTAGGATTACAGAAAAGACCATAAATGCTATCCATTTTGACAATGTACATGTATAAACAGGGTTGACAGATACTGGGATGTGAAACGGGGGCATGGAGGAAGAGTGAAAGATAAGGATAACAATATTCTTATCTAACGTATATAAATGTGCTGAAACAGGAAAAAGGCATTGGATATATTATTTGACATTACAAATGTAACCGGTAAGACAGCCTAAGCTATAAGTCTTAGCAATTGGGAAGAGGAAAATAGATAAAGAGGAAGGAGGAAATGTAAGGTAATTAAATATTATTCAGAGCAGGGAGTGAATAGTGATTGTTTAAAGTTGGTAGAAAGAGAAATAGTGATATAACCCTGTTAGAGTTAAAAAGGTAAGTGCCAGAAAATCACAAAACAGATAAACAAAAATTCTTAAAAATGATTAACTGTGGGAGAGGGGCTGGGCATGGGGAGGAAACAGGTAGGAGACTGTGGCATTTTATTGTAAGTCCTTATTCAATATTTTTTAAGAGACTGTGTCTTGCTACGGTGCCCAGTCTGAACTCCTGGGCTCAAGTGATCCTTCCATCTTAACCTCCCTAGTAGCTGGGATTACAGGTGTACCACCATGCCCAGCCTATAAACTCTTATTCAAAATCTGAAATACTCCAAAAATCTAAAACTTTTTTTTGTTTTTTGAGATCGAGTTTTGCTTTGTTGCCCAGGCAGAGTGCAGTGGCACAGTCACGGCTCACTGCAGCCTGGATTTCCTGGGCTCAAGCCACCTCCACACCTCAGCCTTCCAAGTAGCAGAGACTACATGTGCACGCCAAAAATGTCTGACTAATTTTTATTTTAGTTGAGTTTTTGTGGAGATGGGGGTTTCAGTATATTGCCCAAACTGATCTCAAACTCCTGGGCTCGGGCTATCTTTCTGCTTCTGCCTCACAAAGTTCTGGGATTACAGGCATTAGACAGTGTACCCAGCCCCAAATTTGAAATTTTTGAGCACTGACATGACACCACATGTGGAAAACCCTACACCCGGGTTTAGGTGGTGGATTGTAGTCAAAATGCAAGTGCACAACACGCAGTTTATTCAGTAACCCCAAGAGAAAAATAAAGTTATCTTCAGGCTATGTGCAGAAGATGTGTATGAAACATAAATGAATTTCATGTTTAGATTTGGGTCCCATCCCCAAAATAGATCATTATGTATATGCAGATATTCCAAAATTTGAAAAAATTTGAGATCTGAAATACTTCTAGTCCCACACATTTCAGATAAGGGATACTCAACTTGTGTATACACAATATATAGACAGTCCCCAAATTATGGTGGTTCAGTTCACAATTTTTTGCCTTTACAGTGGGTTTATTGAGACAGCAAATGCATTTTAGACCCACAATGAGTTGTATTGGGAAGTAGTCCCATCATAAGTCTAGGATCATCTGTATATATGTTTTATTGTATTAAACAGCCCATTTTAGTATGTTGGCTATTTAAGCATTTCAGTCTGTCCTGGTGATGATAGCAGAGTAGATTGTAATCAAAGAAAACTGTTTGCCAGCAGGCAGATGCAGATCAGAATAAAGGTGAGGTTGGGTGCTTGTCGGAAAGACCGTCTCAGCCAGAAATCAGAATGAACTACATTTTTCAGGGTCGTGTTCCACATATTAAGGATATGCAAATTAGCTTCTCCATCAATTAACACAACCACAGAAGTCCAAAGAGGCAAAATCTGGAGCAGCAGGTGAGCAAGAAGAGGCACGGCTTGGAGCAAACCAGGGGGTACCTAGAAGATGGCTTGTGGTCATCACAGTGATGAGCAAGAGATGTAAGCCAGAAATATTCACCAGCTGGTTAGTTTAGCCTTAAAGGCTACTGACTGTGGGCCAGGCTAGACAGAAACAATCTGGGTTAATCTACTCAATTTAAATCCAGGCAGCGGGGAAAATGGATACTTTCATATGTCTCTGTACCCAACTATAAACTTTTGGTTCTCATGCACCATTTTCATTTTGCCTTCTCACTCCAAGTACCACTGATTTTACCAATTACTCTCATAATTGACTTTGCTACTGGAAGAAACTCTTAGAATGTTGGAATTTCTCTATTACACACTTTGCCTCAAAGAATGTGTCAGTCAGGACTAAAGCAATAGTCTCAGGGCAGACAGCCAACCTACATCTGATGACAACATTGCAGTACAGTAGTCACAATATGCTGACTTCTGAGCAAGCCCGTGGCACTACCCTGGAAGGATGGCCCCAGAGAAGCTGGGATATGCAAGCTACCCGCCTCATAGTTCGGAGACCATTGAGTGGAAAGTGCTTCCCCTTTGTTCTTTCTGTTTATTCACAAGTGGGTGAAATGGATTTCTGAGTCTCCTAGCCTAAAGCAAGTTTTGGCTTGATGACTTTTATGGGCATTTATGTTTACTTTGTAAAAGTGTAAGAAACAATAAGTTATAGTAATATGGGGGAGTGGGAGGTTAGTAGTTGTTTAAATCTTTTTAAAAAGAATGCATTTGCAAGAGATTAATGTTTATGAGTGGCTAGGACATTCAGAGAGCATAAAGTGCTTTTAGGGTGTGTTGAGATGGGGAGTTTTCAAATGAGCCCAGAGTTTCTGAATTCCTTGAAGCCATTCTGATAATTTCTTTGAAAGAAAACTTGCCCCTGTAAACATGTTTGCTGTGTGTCTGTTCCATCGTTGCAGGGCTGGTTCTAACGCTACATCAGGAAATGGAATTCTTGGGCACAGTAATAATAGAGAAGTGAGTCATTGGATTAGAAGGTCACCTATCCAGACGAATCAGTGGGAAATTAGTTCTATGGTCTGTTTGGTTTGGTAATAAAAGGAAGTATATTTCTCCAATCGATAAAGTTCCTAGTTCTTTAAAAATTTCTCTCAAATCCTTGGTAGGACATACTTAAGACTACAAACTTGTCATTTTCTAGCTGGGGAAGATGGTTCCTTAAAAAGGATCCTGTTTGTCACCACCCTGTGGGCACTTTTTTGAATTCTTCATTTGAAGGGCCTTGGAAACCATTTCATCATGCCTCACCATATGAATATATAATGTTTCCTAAGTACTGAATAGTTTTCCTTCATTCTGGGTCCAAGGGGTGGCAGTTGAAGACAGGCTGGGAACTGCTACCAATCATCACAGTGGCCTGGTTTCAGAAGGGCTCTATGTTCATCTCCCCTCGTTTTTCTTCTCTTACCTCTGTTGGGAGATCATCTGCAGAAATCCTTCTGTGCCCTTCAGTAGACTTGGCATCAAGGAAGACTGAGGTTTTCCAGCTCTCCAGTGGCAAAGACCTGGGGCTGTCACTGGGGAGGCTGCACCTGGGCTGGACCCGTTTGTACTGATGGCACTGGGTCCTGCACTATCTGTGCAGCCCTAAAAATAGCTCTCAATTAACATTGCATTTCAAGAATTGGAAAATTTCCCAGAAGTCCATTCTTTCTTCCTTTTCTATTTCATTACATTTTGCAGTAATAATACACAAGCCTCCAGAAAACATGACGGGTAATGAAAAAATGTAATTAATATAAGCAGCGTAAAGCATGTTTTTTTTTCTCTGTTGTCCTTGCAGAAAATTGCTGCTTTAAACCAAGCAGGATATGAAAATGCATAAACCCCCCCTAATCTGCTGTGGTTTGTAAATATCTTATGCAAAACAGTTAAGTCAACTGTCAGATTTTTTTTTTTTAACATTAAGCCACATATTCTTGTAAAATTTGTTTCCCCTGCAGGACAAGTGGAGTGATTTAGATAAGTATTTGTGAGGGGGAAGAAATGGCAGTGATGGTAAGGTTTTTCAACAATAAACCTAAAAGCAGAAAGAACCTCCTTTTTGAATTGCTGGTCTGTCCATTGGTTTCATCTGAATGGCATTGTGTGCTGCCTCTAGGTACACTCAATTTTGGTATAGTACTTGCGAAAAGTAAATGTCCTTGCTACAATTTCACACCAGTACACCTTATCCCATTCATTGAAATAAAGTGATTAAGACGCCAAGAGGCTGTGGTATAGTCAACATGCTGGAGACCATTTTGGTTGACTTATCTGTACCACTAGTAATTATCTATAGGTGTTTGACTAAGAAGCCACAATAGAATTTCAAAACTGAAATACAGAGCATTATTCTGAAAACATCTTCCAAGGCCAGTGCTTACGGTTTGTTCGCATTTGTTCTTTTCTTTGTCCTTTAACAGCAACAACAACAAAAACTACAGTTAATATAACTTATGGGTCATTGTTAATTTCTATCTTGTCCTGAGTTCTAAAGGTTTCCTACGGCCTGGATGTGCGTGAACTTTCAGATTTCGCTCTCTGTGGAAACTCCTGGCCTTGTCACCACTGTGCCACTAGGCTCCCTCGTGAAGGTAGGGTTCCCCCAGCTGAAAAGCAGCGCCTCTCTCCTGTGGCCTTCTGAGCTGCCGTTTGGAGTCCCAGATGTAAGAAATGAAATAATCCACGCTCAGACAGTCACAAAGTGCCCATCTGGCACCCAGAATGCTTGTGAGATAGAAGCACACAGGCGTGAGCTCACTTTTGCTGTGGCATTTCATAAACAGAGCTGCAGCCTGCTAAAGAAAGACGTTGGGATGATAATAATCACTTTCCACTCCCCTCCCTTTTGTGCCTGCTCCCTTCAAAACACACACACACACACACACACACACACACACACACACACACAGCCTTAGCTTTTTTAAAACATAGGGGCTAGGGAGAAAAAAATAGAGAGCCATCCTCAAAAAGGTAACATTTTTTTTCAGAGGGTCTGAAGGAGAAATTTCCATTAACAGCTAAATCCCTCCCCACCACCTCTCCAGCCTGTGTTACTGTTTTTATGCCCTCCATCCTAGGATGCACAGGCAATGATGTGAAATGTGACCAGTCAACTATTAGCTAACTCACTCCTTGTACATCACCCTAAAAATCAGGAAAAGCAGCAGTGGGAGGGATTACATAAATCACGCACTGCTGCATTGCTTTCTAGTCCTGAAACCAGATTCACAGGAGAGCCTAATAAAGGACCTCAACACTTCTTCTTTAGCTTCCTTTTGTGTATTTGAGCCAAAGTAGGAGTAACAGAAGCCCAACCAAGGGGGTGTTGTTCAGAGAACACCTCGGGATGAGTGTGTTCATGTGTGAATGCAGAAGGGTGACCGTCCCTACAAATGCTTGCAACTGACATTCAACCCCAAGTTATAATTAAGGAGCAAGGCAGATGTGTAAACTAAGCCTGCTGGGGCAGGGTGTAATTGTTATATCAGATCCCCATTACTCTATGGCTCTAACTCTATTATTATTATTATTATTATTTATTTATTTTTTTAGACGGAGTTTTTGCTCTTGTTGCCCAGGCTGGAGTGCAATGGCGCGATCTCGGCTCACCACAACCTCCACCTCCCGGGTTCAAGCAATTCTCCTGCCTCGGCCTCCCAAGTAGCTGGGATTACAGGCATGTGCCACCACACTTGGCTAATTTTTTCTATTTTTAGTAGAGACAGGGTTTCACCATGTTGGTCAGGTTGGTGTCGAACTTCCGACCAGGTGACCCACCCATCTCGGCCTCCCAAAGTGCTGGGATTACAGGCGTGAGCCACCGCACCCGGCCAACTCTATTATTTTTAAAAAACACAGATTTCTAAAACATGTAGTACCCAACGACAAGAGTGAGACCCCTAAAGTAACAGATGACTATGGACACTGTGAAGAAGTCGAGCAACAAGCATGGGGCTTCAATGAAAGACTGGTAAAGTCATGTTCTGATTTGTATTATCATAGCATTAAAATGAGGAATAAAATCACCTTAGACATTTCACTTGATGTTGTTCTGAACTATAATAAAAAAAAATCAGGTTGCATTATCCTTCCCAAATATCACATCCGCTCTCTCAGCAGGTCTAGCCTTGCAAGGAGATATTTTCAAAGTAACCAGAGTTTTCGGCCCCAGAGCAGAGAATGATCACCATAACACAGGCAGCGTCCATCCCTAGCCCCTGCTGACCAAATGGCATGCAGGAGAAATGAGGTGGCTGGAAGATGTCTCCGTGGAATAGAGGTTCCTAGACTCATGAACCTTAGGGAGGAAGAAACAAATGGCTCTCTCCTTGGGGAACTTTCTCACTCTTCTCCGGCACCGCTCCTGCCTTTCCAGAGAATGGGGTCTGCTTGTTTGCAAATCCAGAGTACCAAGTGGGTAGCACAATGCGATGTTTGTAAATATGATAAACCATTACAATATTATAGCTTTTCATTTGGAAAGCCATTTAGGCAAGAAATGATTACTGACCCATGATATGTAAATGATGGAAATGCAGAAATTAGTATTTGGGTCAACTCATGTATTTTTCAACCATGAAATGAAAATCTCAGTGCTCACATTCCAATTCATACATGAAAGCATCACGGTGCTATTAGTTGACTATTGTGTTAATTTATTATTGTCTTAGTTAATGTTTTCAGAGCCACCCTGAAGTTATACCTCTACTTTCAATGCACTAATATCATGGCGAAAAGAGGGGCACATGTTCCTCTGGGTCAGCGGGTCTCCTGAGGGAATTCTATGTTAGCTGAGGGGAAATAAAGTGATTTTGAAGGAAGGTGAGGGAATCTCCACCCCAAATATTTCAAATATGGGATCAGTCTTACCCACCCACCGCCTTTTTTGAGTTCATAAAAACTACAAGAATGTGTTGGACACTCATATTACTGTGACAAGTTCCTAGGTGCTCTTGTGAACACAAACGAATCCAAAAGAGACCTTAGTATTCAAGGTTAAAGCAAAAGAGACTCAATATGAAAATGGCACAAAAACTCAAAGGGAGAGCATTTAGGAAGGCTTCCTGGAGGAGGCCATATTTAAGCTGTTTCTGAAGGGCTGTTAAGACTTGAATAGGCAAAAGGATGGCAAAAAGTCATCCTAGGTGGAAAGCAAGAGAAAAGATTCCAAAAATGGAGTGGATGCCATGCGAACAGATATCTCACCTTACAGAAACAGAACATGGGTGCAGCAGAGCAAAGAGTACAGGAGTGCCTTCAGAAATGTCAGGTTGCAACTGAACTTACATGCCATACATCTTGGAGACCCCTCAGAGTTCCTTCCCAGAGAGAACCAGAATAAGCGTGATGGAAAAAGTCTGGCCTACTTACACCATGTAGACATGCAGCCATCCTGGGGCTGAGAGAGACCGAGGTGGGAAGGCAAGTGGAGAGGGAGAAAGAGGAATCCAAAGACTGGGGAAAGAGAGTCTGGAGTAGGGGTGTTTTAAGGGATGGAATGGAAAGGGTGAGTTTGAGAGACAGGAAATGAAATGTAAGAGATGAATCTGAATGCTGCATGCAGAGGGATAGATTTACTGTCAACCCTTAAATTCGATGAGTTTAAAGAGCAAAATGAGTATATGATGCAGAGAGTAAGTGGAGTAAGGAAATGCTGATGGTTTTGCTTTTTAATCTAATTAATTGGCTAGAGGGAAACTTCCATATTTCCACTGTGCTACTAAGACTCCTCTTGTAACCTCAGGGCATAACAGCCTCAAGATTGGGTAGTGCTGAGATCTTTGGCTCATCCAACCTTGACCTTGGGTTATGATCTGGGTTGTGCCAGCACCTTCACAACAGGCACTCACTCAAACCCTTTACTCAGGGTGTCAAGGTCAGAAGAGATGCTCCGCCTTCAATAGGTTCTGAATGTAGGACAGTTTTTAATAGGTAGGTTAGATCAGTAGTTCTCCATGGAGGTGCTCTTGCCCACTACAGGGTGTTTTGGGAATTTCTGACAGCGTTTTTCAGATGCCACAAAACTATGTGGGAGCCAGAGATGCTAGACTTCTGCTATTCTCAGGACAGTCCTACTCAGTGAAGAATTGTAGAATCGTGCAGCATCCCACATAGCTTTTGAATGCACTGCCAGGCTTTCATGTAGGTGAAACTGTTTATAATGATCTATACCTATGACCTAACTCCAGTTGACATATTTTGTTGCCCAATTTTAATACACACTAAAATTTCCATGAATTTACATCTAACTTGTAAGTTAGGGGAATATTCTATTTTGTTTGGTTCAGAACTTTGCCAAGAATTAGACACTGAGAAAATAACATCACTGGCAGCAATGCTACTCTGATATTTGAGTGGCATTTGTGGCTGTGATTTCACAAATAGATACAAGCATTTGACCACTTCATCATGCCTTTCATATGTACATATTTAAATATACACTTTGTTATGAATTAGTTTCCTTTTGTTTCTCTTTTATATTACATTTTGGTCATTATATTGATATTTAAAAAATATACGTGTGGGTAATATGCTATTATAATATATATGTTCAGGATAGTAAAGGGAGGATTATAAATGTTATAAAAAGGAGATGTTGGGTCTGATGGGTGGGAACCACAAAGTTAGAAACACAAGAAACTTAGATATGACCTACTATGAATTGTGACCATCTTTTATCTTATTTTTAAAGCTGGGTCAACCGATGGATCTTTGTGGAACTCCTCTGATAAGCCTACAGTGGTTCAAGCACCGTACAGGCAGACTGAAGACAGAAAGAAGTGTGAGTCACAGAGTCTCTTCCAAATTTCAGACCTGTGGCAGCTTCCCAGAGGCTGGAGTAGACCAGAAGAGAATGACTAAGGCATGATGTTCTGGGAGTTACAGTCCTGGCACGTAATTGTGAATATGGCACAAAATGAGGCGGTGGGTGTCCAGACTGCACCTAACAATGGGAGCCTGAGAGCAAATGGCTGGAAGGTCAGGAAGGCAGGAGACTGTCAGTAGCAAGAGCAGGTGGGTGCACATTATGTAGCCTCGAGCACCAGGCTGGGATGAGAGATGGGACTCCACCCCCTGTGGAGGGGCAAAGTAGAAGCCAAGCCTGGACTCAAATCACCAAGATTGGGGCCCAGAAACAAAGGAAGAAAGCTGAAAGTCAGTACCCAAAACATGGGTAAAGCAGGGACCCTGGGCTCAACCTAGCAGGCAGGAACTCAGAGGGGCTGACGTCCAGGGCAGACCAGCAGCAGACCATGTTGGGTCATGGCCTAGGGGTTAGAGTGGCTTAATATGTTTTGCTGAAAGGACAGATGGATTTCTGTGCCAGGTTTTAAAGAGGAAGCCAGGTGTGGAGTCTGGGAGCCACGCTGGATCTGACACTCAGGCAGTTTGTCATCTAATTGGAAGAACCAAAGTATGAATACATAACAAATGAGTCACCTGAGCTGTTGTTAACTGAACATGGGGCAATATTTCAAGAGTACCTGAAAGCCCTATATTATGCATTGTCTGGCTTGGGCCAAGGAGGGCATGTGACTCTAGGATACAAAAGAGTCCTCTGCGTTGGAGTGGTTTCTGAAGGTTTCATGGAAGGGCAAAGGGTTAAGCTGACCCTTGAAGAGTGGATGAATGGATAACTGAATTAATTCAGTCACTCATTCACTCAAAAAAATACTTAGAAATCCCTGCAGTGAGATAGGTGCCAAGAATAAAGAGGTGAACAATAGGGACACTGACGTTGGCTGCATAGAAATTGCAGGCTCATGTAGGTTTGAGAGAAGCAAACAAGCAAGCAGGGAAGATGCAATTTCAGCCGGGACTGGAGGAAGTACATAAGGCCGGTGAGGCACACCTAGAGCCAGCTTCTAAGGAAGTGTTCTTTCTGCTAACCTGGGCTGCTGCCAGGCCCAGCACTAATTGTGCATACTTTCTACCTGCTTTAAGGCTTGATCCTAAAGAAAACTAAAAATGTTATTAATATAAACTCTTTGAGCTAGGGGGTGGCAAACACTTTCTGTAAAGGCCCGGATATTAAACATTGTAGGCTTTGCAGGTGTGTCATGAAATACTATTCTTGTTTTGATTGTTTTCAAGCATCTAAAAATGTAAAACTCATGTTTAGCTTACAGGCCAGATTTGGCCTGCAGGCTGCAGTTTGCTGACCCTGGTCTAGGTCAATACAGTTACTTTTGTTCATAGACCAACAAGGTGTTCAAGTGCATTGGTGGATAATAATAAGCACTATTTATTATAAGTAACATTTGTAGAACATGAAACATTGTCCAATGTTTTTCATATTTATAAATATATATATTTACATATATCCCACCTGGCTCCTGAAACAATAGAATTGGAGAAGGTAAGCCATATAATGTCTTTATTCCTCATTTCAGAGATAGTTTGAAGCTCAGAAAAGTTCCCTTGTCACATTAAGTTACAGGGCCACAAAAACCACTGGGTCTCAGATCCAGTGATTCCAGAGCATGTCCTTGATCTACAGCTACTTTGAACTGGCCATCCAGCCAAATAGTCGCAACTTTCACAGGACGCTTTAGTTTTGAGTGTGAAATTCGAGGCTTACACTTAAAAAACAAACAAATAGTGGATATGGTCTGAATTATTGTCAGTGCTATTAAGAGAGAAGGATTGAGTAGACTATTCTATATCCAGGCACTGGCCTAAATGCTGGGAACACATCACTAAATTGAATAGACACAATCCCTGCTTTTATTAATAGTTTGCTTTCTAATGAAAATAATTCTAATGATAATGACACAACAGTAGGACAAGTAGCAGCTACTTAAAAGCCATGTATTGTGTTTGGAGTTATAAATGTCTTATCAGTAATCCTCAAAATAGTGCTATAAAGTGGGTCTTATTCTCCTCATTTTACAAATACATTAATAACAACAGCTAACATGTGGAACTTACTCCATACTTGGAAGGAGCTGTGCAGAGGAGATAAGGGAGCAGGCGGGTAGCCAAGGGGGATTTGAACTCAGGTTTATACACCCTAGAGTCTAAGGCCTCCCTACTTGGTGCTGAAGCAAAACCCTAGGCCATGGCCATTTGACTGCATCAACTCACTTCTACTTGTCCATGCCTAGTGGATTTCAATCAGATGTAGTGTTCCTTCATTTTAGTAGTCTGTCATTTATGAGCTAAGGCAGCCAGAGAGCACTTATTCATTAGTGCTTTACACAGTGATGATTGCTGAGATGGCACTTCCGGAGTCATATAATGCTATTTTCTAAAGCTTATAACTCTGAAGTAATTGCCTCATGGATTACAATTTCATCCATGTTCCTTTTGTCATAGGTTTACTGGGGGAAACACTGCCATTGACGTGTCGTTGGCAATTTTGAGGCATAGGCATCGACCTTAAGGTTTCAGGGGACACTGAGTTTAATTTAAAACTGTTAGAAAAGAAAGAAGATGGGAGTGATGTGCTGGTTGAAATTCTTCCCTTCCTTTGCTACGCTCATTCTCTTTTTACTTGCTCTATTCAAAGTGAGGCCACTGACAGACACCTCTCTGTAGGACTGTTAACATTATTATTTAACTTGCATGAATGTAGCAAAATTCAAGGTTCAGAATCAAATGACCTTTCTTTAGCTTCTCAACTTATTGTGGCACAGGTGCACAAAGGAGGTTTTGTAAGCGCCCTTTTTTCTTCAGTCTGGGAAATTACCGAAGCTTACGCATGAAGGGGGACCCTAGCAGCCTTAATTTTAAACTTCCCAAATTTTCTGCGATTAAGACTTTGGCAGAAAATAGATTCTTTTTTGTGTATGTGTTAAAAAGAAATACTGAATAACGTGTAAATGGTTTTTCCTTATAAATACATTTATCCGAAGAACTTCATTATTGCATAAATTACTTCTTCAAAATTAATTTCTATTTTTTTAAAGAGATGAAACCCATGTTTTCAATGTGCCATTAGGAAAGCTCAGTGATCACATATAATAACAATATATTAAAAGCCATACAGAAAAGAACCTATTTTTTAAAACCCATAACTCAACAGACTAGAAAAATGACAGACTAGCCATTCATGCAAATTAGCTAACTCACATTTATCAGAGAAAATATTTCATAGCATTAACAACGCTGTCATTTAAGAAAAATTAAATGGGGCCCAGAACCACACATTTATTTTTACTGCATTCATTATTCATTTGCATGTTTCTTTCCTCCCTTTAAAAAAAAGTATGTAAGTTTTGAATTCAAAGTTCAGTAGAGGAAGAAGCAGATGATTTTCTCATTTTAGTGACCCTGTGGTTAGCAGCAATAAAGCAACAGGAACAAATCTGGCTTGAAATGTGTCCAAACCCACATCTCCCAGTGTGCACAAAAGGCAAAAAAGTAAGATGTGCAGCGGATATTAACATGAGTAATCTTGGAAATCTAAATATTAAACATATGTCAAAGATTATCTAATACACATCCACATGTCTTATAGAGATGTCTTTCATCTGAGGAGCTCCAACCCATTTCAATGTGCGTAGACTATTTTCTAGCCCTGAAGGCCTCATCAAAGCTTGGCATATCCAGCATCTACAGCACAGTTTTTTAGATGGGTCCTTATGAGGTAATAACTCCTCAGCTCCCACATCTTCCTGAAAGACAGTCTTTTTAATTTCTGCCCCCACCCAGAGATGTTATTTTAAGTCCAAGTTGATTAAGTCATTTGCCCAGTAAACTGTGCAATTGGGGAAATTTCCTGTGGTCTTTGACTTGTGTTCTGATGCTGAGGTCACTTGAACCCATGTTTGACTCCGTCTACAGGACTCTTATTCTAGCAGTCCAGAGAATAATGTTCCAGACGAGACACTGAGAAGCTGTATTGTCTTATCTCCTGGGCACCGTGTGAAGGCTGTGACTTAATTCCTCTTCTCCATTAGTAAAATACGCTTATAATACTTGGCATCTTCTTCCCTCTAAACCTTATTCTTTGGAGTAATTGAAGATATATTTTGGAAGTACTTACAGTTCCTCCTAAAAGGGCGTAATATTATAATAGGGAGCCAGCCCCCCCTTTTTTTGTATATTGGCCATTGAATAATATTATTTTATAAAACATCTTAGCGCAATGTGTCCTTAATTTTTCTTAGCCTCAGTTTTGTCATCTGTGAATTGCAAAAGACAAGCTGACTCTCAATATTTCACAATGAGATCATGTATATGGGAAGACTTTGTAAACTCTAAAGCTTTATACAAATGTAGAAAGGCACATGTTGCAGAAAGAGGCCCCAGCCCCAAGTGATAACTGGTGCACTGAAATCCAATTTCATTTCCACATTCGTCCTTCCTTGGCAAATGTCACAGCTTTGTGTAATTTGTAAAGTCTTCATTATTAGCTAACTGTGTTGTCCTGTGCAGACAGGCTGTGAGGCAGAAACCAGATTACAGTACTTACCTTTGTGCTACTGCCCTCTTGGGGAGTCTGGCACGTAGTAGGGGCTCAACAAATGCGTGCTGAATTGAACTGAATTGTGCAGAGGGTGTGAGGACTTGGAGTGAACAAAACAACTGAATGCAAGATCAGCCACTAGCTTGGTTGACCCTCTCCAGGGAGGCGGTGTTCCAGGACACTGCCTTGAGACAGGTCACTTGAGGACTAGGGAAAGGACCCAGCCATTCTCTATAGCAGGGCAGAGTGCTCAGAGCAATTGTGATGGGTGGGTTGTTGCAATCTGTCCCCTTTTCTCTCCTGTCCGCCGAGGGGAGAAGTTGTTCTCCTGGGTAGCTTTCCTTCTGATGCTTTCTCTCACCTTCCCTTCCATCTTTTACCACTTGGAGGAAGGAGAAATGCTGAGCCTTTACTTATTTGTTGCTTATAGGCTTTTTCTTACTCTGAGAAAGCTTAGATTCTTTGGGGAAATAGCATGGATTCCCTAGCTCTCTTCTTTAGGGAATGCACAGGAGCTAGAAAAGGCGATCTCCAGATTATGTCACATGGTGAGGGTAGGGAAGAAAGGAGAAAGGATGGCATTTTGGGGAAATACGTCAGCACACAGTTTTGGGAGGAAGATTTGCTTACTCAATTTGTCTTTAAACCAAAGCATCTGTTTTGGTCATTAAAGTAAAACATCTTGGATGATTAAAAAAAATGCCCTATTCGTTCATTTTGACCTATATATGCTCCTAGACCACATTTTGAGAAATAATCAAGAAAAATGTATCCTCCAATAATTTTACTTGCTTTGTCAATGTGTTCCCAAATAACATGACTTGATTCTTGATTCTCCCTAATCCATTTGATTACCTTCCTTCCTGCCCTCACCACCTTTGAAATAAAAACTACTGTTATCAGCTAAAGAATCTCAGAACACGCTTTTCTGTTACCAGAACAAAGGGTTAAGCTAAAGGTGTGGTTTACTTTCTATCCTCTGAGTCATGGAGCGTATACATATACTCATCATTGTCTTTTCTGTTCCTGGCTACTTATCTTTCTTTCATCTTCATCTTTATCTGTAACCTACATCTCATAAGCTGAGTATGCAAGATTTTCAGTCCCTCAAAGCATCATCTACCCTGGGTAGAGACACAAACAGATCTGGGGCTGCAGCTGTTGCCTGAGTCTTCTCCTTCCGGACTAAGGGAACTGTATTCTGCAAGAAAAGCCTACATGCAAAAATCACATTTTACCTGCTCTTTAATAATTTCCTTTTCATCCTTTTCCCAGCCACTTTCTCAAAAACACATAGAAAGCTTTGCTTTTGGTTCTAAGCTGTAAGGAATCAAAGAAAGAAGAGAGGAATGGCAGAAGATCTAGATCTGGGGTCATTGAGGTAGAGCATTATTCTTTAGCTGATTCAGGTGAGACTATCAAAAATTAGTGAAAGTTGCTGAATGTGATGGCAGCTCAGAAGTCAAACACTTGTACACTTTCCCACCTCTGTTTTAGGGTAAAATATTAGATGAAGACAGAGAATGTGGCTAGAATGAAACTCTAGTGACTTACAAGTGCACATTTTCAGAGAATGGAGTACATTTAAATGAAAGCATTTATAAAACATTTATTCGAATATATCACATTCAACCCTTGACTCATCAAAGCCCTAAAGTCTGTTTATACTGAATAACTCTTTAAAACAAGTCACTTGTCATTTGCATACATCTGAACATATATTTACTGACATTAGCCAAAATAGTAAACTGCAGCCAATTGGAAAGTCAAAATGTTCATTGCAATTTAGTTTATTAAAGAATGTGTTTGGTTCTTTAGAGACACCATATGAAGAATATCATGGCAAGCTAAAGGCATACATATTTTTGCTTGTGGCTTCATTACTGTAATTCAAGTACAGTTGACCCTTGAATAACATGGAGTTGAACTGTGGGAGTCCACTTAAATGTAGATTTTTTTCAATAAAAGTTACACTGAGTGTGATTGCCTCTCCTGCTTCCTCTTCCACTGCCTCTATCTCTTCCACCTCTGCCATCCCTGAGACAGCAAGACTATATTCTCTTCCTCCTGCTCCTCAGCTGACTCAATGTGAAGATGATGAGGATGAAGACCTTTATGATGATCTACTTCCACTTAATGAATAGTGATATTGTTTGTCTCTGTCCTGACCCAAATCCCACCTTTTACTGTAATAATCCCCACATGTCATGGGAGGGACCCAGTGGGAGGTGGTCAAATCATGGAGGCAGGTTTTTCCTGTGCTGTTCTTGTGTTAGTGAATAAATCTCACTAGGTTTGGTGGAGTTCCCCTGCACATGACCTCTCTTGCCTGCTGCCATGTAAGACATCCCTTTGCTCTTCCTTCATCTCCCACCATGATTGTGAGGCCTCCCCAGCCATGTGGAACTGTGAGTCAATTAAACCTCTTTCCTCTGTAAATTACCCAGTCTCGGGTATGTCTTTATTAGCAGCATGAGAACAGATGAATACAAATACTAAATATATTTTCTATTCTTTATTATTTTCTTTTTAACATTTTCTTTTCTCTAGCTTACTTTATTGTAAGAATGCATATATAATACATACAACATACAAAATTGTGTTAATCAACTGTTTATGTTACTGGTAAGGCATCTATCTGGTCAGTGGTAGGCTATTAGTAGTTCAGTTTTTGTTTGGAGTGTTGGAAGTTAAACTCAATTTTAGGCCAGGCACGGTGGCATATGCCTGTAATCCTAGCACTTTGGGAGGCCGAGTTGGGCAGATCACCTGAGGTCAGGAGTTTGAGACCAGCCTGGCCAAAATGGTGAAGCCCTGTCTCTATTAAAAATATAAAAATTAGCCAGGTGTGGTGGTGCATGCCTGTAATCCCAGCTACTTGGGAGGCTGAGTCAGGAGAATTTCTTGAACTTGGGAGGCGGAGGTTGCAGTGAGCCAAGATCGTGCCACTGCACTCCAGCCTGAGTGACAGAGCAAGACTATGTCTCAAAAAAAAAAAAAAATTCATACTCAATTTTCAACTGCATAGGGAGGGGTCAGCACCCCTAATCCTTGCATTGTTCAAAACTGTTATTCAGAACCAACAAGAAGCTATAGTTGGATCAGATCTTTAGAATCTTTGAAGTTGGAAAGAATATTAAAGATTGTCTAGTCCAGTGTTTTTCACATGCTCCTGATGATGCTAATTCCTTGTTCTTATTCCATTCCTGTTGAATTTGAATCTCCAGGGATGGGGACTGGGAAACTGTTTACACAACATGATATTTTTATCATCAGGGCAGTTTTAAATAGATTTTTAAAATTTTTGTTGCAAATAGAGATGCAAATAGAGATGTGGCCTTACTATGTTGCCCAGGCTCATCTTGAACTCCTGGGCTCAAGCGATCCAACTGCCTCAGCCTCCCAAAGGGTTGAGATTACAGGCGTGAGTCACTGATTCTCAGCCTTATGTGTCTTATATATCAGAATTATCTGCAGAGTTGTTAAAAATACAGGAGGCTGGGTAGTGGACATCATGTCCTTAGATTCTAATTCCATCTATGCATCTACATTTTTAACGAGCTCCACAGGCAATGCCAAAGCAAGTTTGGGAATCAGTGATGTACTTTGATTTCTTACACGTGAGTAATCTCTCCCAAAACATTCTGCTTAAACAAGTAACTCAAAAGCCAAGCTATTTCCTCGTTGGGGGGATGCCTAATTTTAGATATTACCTCTGTTTGTTGGGCCAAAGTATGACTTCCTGTAACCTCTACCCTCAAGTCTCAGCTTATCTTCCAGAGCAACAAAATAATTATTTCAAATGTGTAGCTTGCAGATGGTGCTAGTAAATGTCAAATCTGTTCCCCTGTTTCTACATAATTGTCCTCCAAGTACAACAGACCCTATACTTGACCTATTCCTTCACATGTGATTACTCCATAAATTGTCTCTTTTCATACAAAACATCTCCACTTTCAAAAGCACTTTTTATGGTGTCTATATTCATAGAATCCTCATTACCTGACAGCAGACATGCTGCAACATCTGTATTAAAATTAATTTATTCCACAAATGGTACTGAGCACCCACTATATGTCAAACTCTGCTTTAGACACAAGGGTTACCACAAGGACCAGAACTGAACCCAGGATGCCAGATGGGTTCTAGGTGAATCTAGTGGGAATACAGTTCTGACTCCATTGTTCCAGTAATGCAGCCCATGACTACAGTGGCTATTTTGAAAGCCACGTCAAACTGTTAGTTAACTCTGGGTTAGAATTTAACTAACTAAAATTTCAGGACTTCATATAAGTTACTATTATTATTACCATTACTATCATAAGTACTATAGACAATAACTTTTGTCCAATGACATATAGTTTGTAAAGTTGTTTCTACATACCTAATTCTCACAACATCTCTGTGAACTTGTATTATTATTTCCAGGTTATGGATGGTGTTATAGTCAGTTTGGGATGCTATAACAAAGTACCATAGACTGGATGGCTTATAAACAACAGAAATTGATTTCTCACAGTTCTGGACGCTGGAAGTCCCAGATACCAGCATGGATGAGTTCTGGTGAAGGCCCTCTTCCATATTGCAGGCTGCCAACTTCTCATTGTATTCTCCATGGCAGAAAGAGAGTGAGTTAGCTCTCTGGTCTTTTCTCATAAGGACACTAATCCCATTTATGAGGGTTCTAGCCTTATGACCTAATTACCTCCCAAAGGCTCCACCTCCCAATACAATCATATTGGGGATTAGATGTCAACATACACATTTTTGTGGGAGAGACTACACAAATATTCAGCCCATAAAGACAGAGAAACCGAGGCTCAAATAAGTTTAGAGTGATGCTTGAAATTACATACCGATGTCAGCCAAGCTAGGACTTGAACCTAGACCTTTGACTCCAAATCTGAAGCATTTTCTATTGCCTCACAATGCCGTAATAAGCCAGGGATTCCCTGCTTGTACTTCAGCAAGTGGGACAAATTTGGGTGAAACATTACTTTTTCTCATTTAATTATATATGATTAACTTTGACCCTTTATTCTAGCCTCTTGAAATCTTTATAAATTCATGGTTGACCTATTAGTATATTGGCTGTCCTTGTCTTCAATTGGTATCATGTAGTCTCTATGTCCTTATCCAGGTTATTACAAACTTTGAGCAGGACACAGCCAAAGAGAGAACCCATTGGCATATCGCTGCAACCTTTCTCTGGGTTAACATTAACACAATAATGAACACACTGGGGACCATTTTTCAACCAGCTAGGATTTTATATACCTGTGCCATCATTCTGCTCACATGTCCCAATCTTGACATTCAAAGAAATCATGAAAGCCTTAGTCAAGGGTCTGCTGAAGATGCATTATGTCTACAGAATTCTCCTGATCCACCAAAGAGAAAATGGTCACCTTTTAGCTGAGTGGACAATTTTAACTGTCCCACAAATCAAGTTACCTCATCATTCAAAATAAAACAACTCAAGGTGTTCTTTTACGTCTTGGAAAAGCCTTGTGAGTGCAACCATCCTTTAAGATCCAGCTCAGATGTCACCCTCTCTGGGAAGCCTTTTTCGATCCCCTAGGCAGATTTAGCAACACTCATTGCTCTGTCCCAGCATGATACTCATGCTGACCTAGCACTTCCCACATTATCTGCTGTTATTTGCTTCCTTTTCACCCCTAATATTTCAACTTCTGAGGGCAAAAACTGCATTTTATTCACCTTTGAAATCTTCTGCAACATAGTGTAGTGATTGGTGCATATAAGAAATTCACAATAAATATTTGCTGAATGAATGGGTGATTGAATACATATATAAGTGGGAAATAAAGTTCCCTTGTAACGTTTTTACAAGATAAAGAATATTAACAAGAATCACTTTTCAATTTCTTTTGGACTGTGACACTTCTTATTGAGGATATCTAAAAACAATGGACAAAGCCTGATCAAAAAAGTCCAATATGTATCCAACTTTTCATAAAGAAGAAATAATCCTTTGGCCTGCTAGAGTGGTTGTTGTTTTAAGATTAATCTTAACTTATTTGTAGCCCATAAAACAAAACTAATTGCAGAATTCAAAGCTTTAGAGCATTCTTAGGTGGCTTGATGGGAAAGCATTGAAATAAATACAAACGTTTAGATAAAACAACCATTTTAATAGTATTAACTCTGCCAATTAATGATAATGGAAGAGCCGTCCAATTAGCTAAATCGCTAATAGTTTTATCAAGCAGAGGTTGGTAATTTAAAGCAAACAAATTCTTTCTAATTTTATCCACTTGCACACCAAGATATTTAAAGGATAACAGGGGATCCAATAAAGAGTATTGCTCAAGAAGAGCTATATTTAAATCTCCTAATGGCTATAACACAGAGTTACCCCAATTAGTCAGAAAATCCAAGCAGTCAGTAAATTCTTTCAAGCTTTCACAATTTGGGGTAAAAATAAATGAGATACAAGAAAGGTGCTACTTGCAATCATTAGCATTATTACTGAGGTACATTTGGAAGATGGAGAGTGTCCTGAGACAGTCAGGGGTATAAACTTAACTCATCAAATGCAGCAATTGTGAGCACTCTGCACTCATGCTCAGCCTCACACTGGGGCATTTCTGAGCAGTTTTCTTGGAGGTTACCGCTATATACCCCTACTCAGTACAGAAGGTCAGGGAGAAGTTGATTCCACACCAAGTTTGGGACTGGGACTGCGCCTGTCAAACCTCCACAGAGAATCCAGGCACATAATTGGATAATTCAGGAAGATCTTCTTAGGACAAGAATGATGTTAACATTTCTTACAATACCTGTTTTATTATTCTCAAGAGAATAGACTTTCAAAAACATCTGTGTTATCTGAATATGTGAACTTCATCAGTAGGGACATGGTCAGTTAAGGACAAATGGCAAATGATCAACTAAAAAGGGCCTTTGTTGTCCTTCTGCTTGGGTATAAGATAACCTTAAAATTTTCAGAATTAATGATGCTGTTAACCCCACATTAGGGTACTGCCAACCAAGCCACTGTGCTTAGATGGACAAATGTTAAAGAGAAAAGAACACAATGAAGAGCCTTTCCAGAGCATTATCTTTGCCAGTGCTAGCAGGTGGAAAGTATTATTTGACTATCATAACTTTCTTTTATTGAGCTACTTACTAGGAGCCAAGCACTGTGTCAATATCTTCATATTCCTTATTTCATTAAGCTTCCCATCAATAAAGTGAGCATTACCTGTGTTGTATAGATGAGTTTACTGAGGCTTACAGGTTAAGTAGCTTGCCCACAGCTATTAGTCTGGGAGCCAGGATTCAGCCTTAGGGCTCTCTCACTACAAGGACCTTGCTTTACCTGGATTGTGTCCTGCCATCCTGGTTCCGTCATCTGGCATGTTGTCAGTGTTCAGTGTATATTGCAGGAGGATGATGGTCTCCATGTGTTCTAGTGGTACAGAGAACAAATACCCTATGGATAGCCCTGTGGGGTAAATAAAGAATGAACTGGGCCCAGCTGGGCATTTGCATCAAAGTGCCTCACCAGAGTTCCCAGCTGCTCTGGCAGAGTGCCCAGGCTTGCCCCAGAGCCCAAACAGAATGCTCTTTGAGATGCCTCTGGTTTTCATTTTCCAAACCTTGCCACACACAACAAGTGGGCCTGGGGCTGGCCTCAAAGTCCCCACCCTGCCTCACTTCCTTTGGGGGTTGGGGGAAGGGTTGTAGAAAGAAAAAGAATTGGTGACACCAGTATCTTGGTATGAAGAACTAACTTTTCTCTAAACTGTTAAAGGTCTTGTCAAATCCATCCATAGACTCAAATATTAACAAGGATCTTTAGATAAAAGGTTGTCAGTGACATAAACCACATGGAACTTGTGTTTACCACAAAATAAGAGCAAGGGCATATTTCTTATTTTTGTGTGTACCAAGAAATACAATCAAAGACTAATGGAAAGACTTAAACGTAGTTCAGTTTCAGGACTGAGAGCAGGATGGGCTGAGAAAACACTTCCTAACCCAGACGCCCAAGCAGGCAGGCCAGCCTGAGCAAGGCCTGGTCAATGTTAGGAAGCAATCTTAATTTCTCTCCCTTTATATTGTCTGCTGTTTGGTTTAGGCTCTTTCAAAATTTTTTTTTTTTTTTTTTTTTTGAGACGGAGTCTTGCTCTGTCGCCCAGGCTGGAGTGCAGTGGAGCTATCTCGACTCACTGCAAGCTCCGCCTCCCGAGTTCACGCCATTCTCCTGCCTCACCCTCTTGAGTAGCTGGGACTACAGACACCCGCTACCATGCCCGGCTAATTTTTTTTTATTTTAGTAGAGACAGGGTTTCACCGTGTTAGCCAGGATGGCCCTTGGCCTCCCAAAGTGCTGGGATTACAGGTGTGAGCCATCGCGCCCGGCCCCATTTAGCCCCTTTTCAAGGACAGATCTCATGGAAAAAAGCACCTGGCAGGTCACAGATACTCAATGAGCAGAGTTTTTTTTCTTTCTAGTTCTACTTTTTAGTAGAACTTTTCTAGTAGTTTCTTTACTACTTACAGAACAGTATAAATGAGGATAATTTTATCCTCAGCAGAAGTGGCACTTTGGTTTGAGAAAGAATGAGGGAGGGGGGTGGAAAACAGCTGAAAAATACCAGCCATTATCTGTTTGGCCTCTTGGTTGGTCCTAGAGATTTTCACAGTAAATTCTACCCACCATCAGCTGGTGTGAGGGGAAAACACTGGGCCAGGAGTCAGGATCCTTGGTCTTCTTCCCACCTAGGCCTCTATGGTAGGGTAGATTTCCTGAGAAACAGACTCTGTTACGGAGGTTTTCTTGCAGGAGGTTTACTGGGAAGTGCTCTCAGTAACACCTATGAGGTGTTAAGAGAAGCAGGCTTGGAGAGAGGGAGAAGATGAGCTGTGATGTTGCTATAACAAAGCCTCAGCAGATCCCAAAGGGAGCTCTGGAGCTGGGTGGCCTTTATAATGTCTGGAATGGAGGCAGGGGTCCGGGACTTTGAACGTTGCATTGATCAGTCACTCCATGTAGGCTGCTCCTGGGGAGGCACCATAATCCTAGCTGAGACCGGTTCCTTCCTCTGAGGCACTTCCTGCAGAGGGTCTCAGCTGTGAACCATCGGCTGGCAGCACTTCTCACAGCTGGGAAAATGAGTGCCTTGGTCCTGAAGGGAGGAGGGGTCTGGGCAGTGCATCATAGCATCCACTATTGCTCCCAGATGGGTGAGGCACCTCACTCCTTTGGTCCTCACTATCCTAAAATCGAACAGTCCTTTCAACCAGTACCTGTGGATACCTACTGTGAGCGTATTGTTTCCTTAGCATGGAATGTCTTCCCTTCATACAGAACTACCCAAGAAGTTAATATATCACAATTCTGATAAAATGCCAGGTCCTCTAAGGAGTCACCTTTAACTATAAGGCACAATTAAGACTCTGTCTTCCTTATGTCTGTGTCATCAAAGCATTTCATACAAATTCCTCCTAGGATTTATCTCACTGTATTAAAATTACTGTTCACAGAAGACTCTATTTTATTTATACTTATATCTTTTTCTCTTTTCCTCCAACACAAAACTTTGGTGACCAAGTCATTATTTAAAGTCAGTTTTGTCTGATATGAGCATAGTTGATACCGTCTTTCTTTTGGTATTTGCATAATTTATTTTTTTCATCCTTTCACTTTAAATTTTTCTATATTTTTATATTTTAGACATGTCTCCTACAAATGACATTTAATTCAACTTAAATGTATTATTATCTATTCTGACAATCTTTGTATTTAAACTGTAGCACTTATCCCATTTATTCTCAGTTGAATTAGTGATGTGTTTAGGTTTAAAAAACAACCTTTTTTTTTTTTTTTTAGACAGAGTCTCGCTCTGTCACCCAGGTGGAAGTGCAGTGGCGCACTACAACCTCTGCCTCTTGGGTTCAAGTGATTTTCATGCCTCAGCCTCCTGAGTAGCTGGGATTACAGGCACCTGCCACCATGCCTGGCTAATTTTTTTTTGTATTTTTAGTAGAGATGGGGTTTCACCATGTTGGCCAGGTTGGTCTTGAACACCTGACCTCAAGTGATCTGCCTGCCTTGGCCTTCCACCATGCCCAGCCGCAGCTAATTTTTTGTATTTTTAGTAGAGACATGGTTTCCCTGTGTTGGCCAGGATGGTCTTGAACTCCTGGCCTCAAGTGATCTGCTTACTTGGGCCTGCCAGAGTGCTGGGATTACAGGCGTGAGCCACCGCACCTGGCCAAAAAACAACCGTCTTATTTTGTGCTTTTAGTTTGGTCCACCAGATCTGTGTTTCTTTTTCTCACCTTTCTTGCCTTTCTTTTGAACTGATTATTTTTTCTTACCATCTATTTTTTCCTTTTCTGTTGGTATGAAAATAATGTACTCTTTTTCTATTCTTTGAGCAGTGGCTCTCTGGCTCTAGAAATCACAACATTCCTTTCCTTAGCAAAGTTTTTTTTTTTTTTTTTAATTTAAAGACAGGGTCTCACTTTGTGGCCCAGGCTGGAGTGCAGTGATGCAATCACAGCTCACTACATCCTCAACTTCCCCGGCTTAAGCAATCTTCCCACCTCACCCTCACCAGTAGCTGGGATAACAGGCACACACCACCACACCTGGCTAGTTTTGTTTGTTTATTTTTTGTAGCAACGAGGTCTTGCTATGTTCCCCAGGCTGGTCTCAGACTTCTAGGCTCAAGCAATCCTCCCACCCTGGCCTCCCAAAGTGCTGGGTTTACAGGTGTGAGCTACCATGCCTTGCTTAAAGTCTAATGTTAATCAGTACTTTCACTGTCCTTCTGGAATGAGTATAAGGACCTCAGAATAACTTTTTTTTTTTTTTTTAAGATGGAGATTCACTCTTGTCCCCCAGGCTGGAGTGCAATGGTGCAATCTCGGCTCATGGCAACCTCCACCTACTAGATTCAAGTGATTCTCCTGCCTCAGCTTCCCAAGTAGCTGGGATTACAGGCGTGCACCACCACACCCAGCTAATTTTCATATTTTTAGTAGAGATGGGGTGAGGCAGGTGGATTACCTGAAGCTAGGAGTTCAGGACCTTAGAATAATTTAACAAAACTTCCCTTTCTCCCTAGTTTCTAGCTGGCAACATGTAGTTGCTATAAATTTTAATTCTGTATATTTTAACACGCTGTAAGACATGTATATTACAGCTTTTAAGGCCAATATTTATGTTTACTCATGTATTTACCATTTTTAAAGTTCTTAATCCTTTCTGTGTCTCTGATCCTTTAGCCTAAGTCAGTAGGTTGTGAACTCTCTCAATTCTTGTTTGTCTGAAAATGTCTGTATTTTGCTTTCATGCTTGAAGGATATTTTGCTGGCTATAAAGTTCTTTAATAGTTTTTATTTTCTATAAGAACATGGAGAATATATTCCCATTTTTCCTTTGGTTTTCATTTTTGTGCTTTAGAAATTTAAATCTAAGGCCGGGTGTGGTGGCTCACACCTGTAATCCCAGCACTTTGAGAGGCGAAGGTGGATGGATCACGAAGTCAGGAGATCGAGACCGTTCTGGCTAACACGGTGAAACCCCGTCTCTACTAAAAATACAAAAAATTAGCCGGGCGTGGTGGCAGGCGCCTGTAGTCCCAGCTCCTCGGGAGGCTGAGGCAGGAGAATGGCGTGAACCTGGGAGTCGGAGCTTGCAGTGAGCCGAGATTGCGCCACTGCACTCCAGCCTGGGAGACAGAATGAGACTCTGTCTCAAAAAAATAAAAATAAAAATAAAGAAATTTAAATTTAAATCTTTTTTTTCTAGCTGCTTTAAAGATTTTTTCACTTTTTCTTTTGTTTTCTGCAATATCTCAGGATGAATGTTGGTGTAGATTTCTTTCTTCTTTATCCTGCATGGGATTCTTAAGTTCTGTGAGTCAGTCCTCCAAAATTGTCGGCCATTTTAGTCATAAAAATTTAAATATTGCCTTTGCTCCATTTCTCTCTCTTTTAAAACTGCAATTAAATATATGTTAGACTTTTTCAGGTTGTCCTCCCTCTCTCTTATCCTCTCTGCTATATTTTCTATGTTTTTGTCTCTTTGTGCTATAATAAGGAAAGTTTATTCTGACTTATTTTTCTGTTCAATAATTCTTTCTTCAGCTATGTCTAATATGCCCTTAAACTCACTCAATTAATTCATAATTTGTTAGTATATTTCCCCTTTTCAAAATTATGTCACTTTTCCCCCTCAGTTTCTTTCTGAAATTTTGAAGATTTTCTTTTCTTTCTTTTCCCTTTTTTTTTTTTTTTTTTTTTTTAGGCTTGGTAGGCATAGTTCTTTTATAGTTGATATCTAATAATCCCAATATATGAAGTCTTTGTTGGTCTGTTTCTACTATCTTCTTGTTTTAACTGGTTCTTGCTCATGGTATCTTGTTTCCTATGCGTTTTGTTTTCTTTGTGTGCTATACAATGTATTTTAGGAATACTTTGAGACATGAGATGATAGTGCCTCTTACAAGAGAGTAATTTAATTTGTTTCTGTCAGGATTCTAGAGATGCTACTAATGCAGGACTATCTTAATCCAAGTTCAAGGCTTCAGGTTCCCTAAAAGAGCCAAATGATGAGAAGCTAGGCTGCAAGTCTTTTGAAAGACTGGTTTAATTCTGGTTTACCCTTACCCTTAAGTGATAACCTTGCTAGGCTCTACCTTACAGTGGCAGGTGGTTTATCTGAGTCTTAAACTTCGGTGGACCCTGAGCTTTAGGCCTTGTTTCCTCTGCCCTGAAAGACCCCCACCCGCCCTAAGCAAATGCAGTTTCGCAGTTATTTCTTCGACACAAGCAAATGTCATTAGGGCCAAACAGATTTTAATATAGGGGTTACATTTTTTCTAGATTTTGACTGGGCAATTTCTTATTTGATTAACTTTTTGGTGCTTTTGGAAGGTGTGAGTTTTTTAAAAATATGTTTCCCCAATTTCATTTTACTTTTTCTCAGCAGAGGGGTTACTCTGAGATAACTAGTCTACCACTATAGGAAATAATATATATCTATTATTATATTTCAGTCTTTGGCACAGCTCTGGTCATTCAATATTTGTTAAAGAATGACGATATGAATGGCCATGGGCATTGGAATCAAGTTGTAGAAGCTATGGTTTCTTTCTTCAAGGAACTTATCATTTAATAAGTGAAGAAAAAATCACAAATAAAACTTAAATAATGACTATACTTTCTTAGTAGAAGTGTAAATTAATATACCTTTCTGGAGAAAAATTTGGCAATGCTTATCAAAATTAAATATACCCTTTGGCTAAATTCCACATCTAAGAATTTATCTGATGTATACTCCACACAGAGTTGGACAGGTGCTTAAAGATGTATATATGAGTAGTTTTTATTGATAACAGCATGTTTGTAATACAAAAGACAAAATGATCTAAATATCTATTGAGATGGGACTGATGAAATAAATTATGATATATTATAATATAATGAAATAATGTGCAGCCATTAAAAAGAATGAGAGAAGATTAACATATATTGATAAGGAATAATTTGAAAGATATATTTAAGTGAAAACAAAGAAATAAACAAGAAGCTTGATAGGACAGTTGACCCTTGAACAACTGGTCGTTAGGGGCACCTACCCCCTCAACACAGTTGAAAATTTCATACGACTTTTGATCCCCCAGAACTTAAAAATTAATAGCCTACTATGGATTGGAAGCCTTACTGATAACATACACAGTCAATTAACACATACATATTTTGTGTGTTATATGTATTATATACTGTATTCTTAAAGTAAGTTAAAATGTTATTAAGAAACCATAAGGAAGAGAAAATACATTTACTATTCATTAAGTGGAAGTGGATCATCATAAAGGTCTTCATCCTCATCATCTTTACATTGAATAGGCTGAGGAGGAGGAGGAAGAGGAGGGGTTAGTCTCGTTGTCTTGGGGGTGGCAGAGGTGGAAAAGAATCCATGTATAGGTGGACCCATACAGTTCAAACCCATGTTGTTCAAGGGTCAACTGTGTATATAATATGCTGCACACATGCATGCACACATATATACACTTCCTTAGAAGTTCATAGAGTATCTCTGAAAGACTATCAGAGGAACTGCTGACAGTAGTTATAGGCTGGGCACAGTGGCTCACAGGTGTAATCCCAGCACTTCGGGAGGCCGAAGTGGGTAGATCAGTTGAGCCCAGGAGTTCAAGACCAGCCTGGGCAACATGGTGAAATCCTGTCTCTACAAAAATGTACAAAAAATTAGCTGGGCATGGTGGTGCACACCTGTAGTCCCAACTACGCAGGAGGCAAACGTGGGAAGATCGCTTGAGTCCAGGAGGTTGAGGCTGCAGTGAGCCACGATTACACCACTGCACTCCAGCCTAGGCAACAGAGTGAGACCTTGTCTCAAAAACCAAAACCAAACCAAAACAAAAAAACACAGTGGTCATACCTGAGGAGCACAGTGGTCATATCTGAGGAGAGGAACTGGGACTTGGAGTACGAGAATAGGAAGTAAACTCTTTTCTGGGAGCTTTTGTGTTCTATATTATAGTTTATATTTATTTTTCCCATGTGCATTTTAAAACCATTACCTTAAAATACAAAAAGTGTGAGGACAGTAGTGTATTAGAAGGCATACTATACTGGTGGTCAGTTGACCTGAGCTGTAGTTTGTTTTTGTTACGAAGTCCCATGATCTTTCCAGAACTCAGTGTCCTCTTCTGAGAAATGTGGACACTGACCTAGCCGGTCTCCAAGGCCTCTTTCAATTTTAACATTCCCCCATTCCACTGACTAACACAGAGATACTTTTATTGCAGAAGTGCTTCGGTCAGGCAGTGTCTTTGAAGATAATTTGGCAAATGAAAGCCCTGGTATTGGATGAAAGTGCTAGCTGCTGGGAATGCTACCCCTCCTTTTGGTTCTCCTTCAAGTATTACACTGTGCTTTCCCTGAGACAATAAACTGAAATAACTGATTTGTTTAGCTTCACAGTTTGAAACTGTGGTTTTTAATATAACCTCACATTTGAAATATTTTAGGCCTGTTTTTCTTTAGGATCGGGTAGGTTTAAATCTCTGACAGATTGACCGAATCTCATTACCCCCTATTTACTATACAACGAAAGCTTATTTCCTAAGTGTTTCCACATTTTACGCTCACATAGATCTAAGTGGCCAAAATATTTAATTAAATGGACTATTCATACAATCTTATTTCCTGGCTGGTCATCTATGTCAATGATAACAGTAGCATTTATCCCATGGCTATGAATCTGAATCTTAAAAAAAAAAGAGAGAGAGAAAAATTATTTAAATCTAAACTATGCTCAGACTAGTGATTTGAAAGCTTTTTTAATTATGAAAGTAATTTAAGTTCATTTTTAAAGGTTCAAACAATACAGAAGTGTATAAAGTAGAATTGAAAGTCTCTTCGCTGCTTTAATCTCACTCCTCAGAGGTGATCACTGTTAAGTATGGCATACATCTTTTCAGGTACAAATACACACACACACACACACACACACACACACACACACACACAAACTTCGCTTTTATAATAATGGGATTCTACTGAACATGCTGTTTTACAGTTTGTTTTTGTACTCAGCAATATGTTGTTCTTGGGGTACACATAGCTCTACCTCACTCTTTAAAGGGCTATAAACTATTCAATCACACTGCTGTGCCATCATTTATTTGCATATTTTCTCAGTGTTGGACATCTAGAGTTAGTTTCCATTTGTATGTTGTGAGAAGCCGTGTTGTATTGAACTTAGACATTTGGCTAGAAGTTTTATAGAATGTTTTCCTTGAATTAGGGTTCTAGGTTACATGGCACTTCCTATATATATGCCAGGCACCAGTGTAAACACTTTACAAATATCAACTTTTAAAATTCCCATGACAACCCCATGAGTTATAGATACTATTATTATCTCAGTTTTGCAGATGATAAACTTAGGGTCAGAGAGGTTAAGCAACTTGTTTGAGATCTCATGGTTCTAACTGGTAGAGCCAGGATTGGAATCCAGGATCTCCGAATCCAGAGTCTGTTCTTAGCTCATATGCATTCTGCTGCCTCATAGGATAGGTATATTTGGAATCTTGATAGATACTGCCAAGTTGTCCCTGAAAAAGGTTCTATCAATTTATATTTCCACAAACTGCATTTGAGTGTTCACCCATTTTCCTGTTTCATTACCAAACCCTATGTCCTCACTTTTAAATTTTTTTGCCAATTTGTGGTTGGAAAAATAGTATCAAATTATTGTTTTAACTGACAATTAATGCGCTATTAACATTTGTAATACTTAACTTTTATTAGACCTGTACTACAATAAAATACATAAAAGAATTCTTCATCATTTCCAGATTATCATCCCAGAGCCCTGAAGCCCACACACAGCTTCTTCAGGAAATGCTGACAACATGGTATACACATGGCTTCCATGTTTGTCGTGGTTCCAAAGTTTGCTTTTGAGTTTAATTTCTTTCTTTCTTTCTTTCTTTCCTTTATTGGCTAAACTCCCCCCCAGGACCTGAGTGAGCAGAAGGCTTTTCAGAACAGCCTGAACTATTTCTTGAGCAGTTTGGGAACTCATTTCTAAAGCAGTCCTCGGATTCACACAACATAGTTTGTGTGAGAGGGTATGCCCAGAGCAGGCAGGAAAGGCAAAACAGCATTTTGACACTGAGGGATTTAGCAGAAAGATCTGATGCAACAAGTAAAAACTCTTTTAAAGGTTCAGTCAAGTTTGTTCCCATCACTTTCCTCTGGAATGCCCAACAGGCACATGTTTTGTCAATGAAAATTATTTTCAATCTCATTGATGTTTTGTTTGGCAAGATTTCTTTGAACAATTTCTTATTAATCATCTATAATTTTTCACTTCTGACATTGTTATCACCAGTGCTTTCAGTAACTGCATATTTATACAACAGCCAAACTCCAACCTGTATTCAGTTTTTATCTGTTTCTTGGGAATGTAATTTGGAAAAAAAGTTACCAATATATTTACAACAAAATTTCAGATCTTCAACATTACAGAAGGTAAGAAATGTGAACCCAATGGAATTCTTCTATCATCCTTATTTTGTGAGATCTAATTACTGTATACTCACCTTCCCAGTCATGTCACATTAGCTTTCTCCCTGTCTTTGTGGCTTGTAGATTTCTGTCTCCAGGGGCATGGTTTGCATTGTGGTGATCCAGATATGGATAAGGCAACACCCTGTGTCTTAATAGGGTCCTGCCTCCCAAACAAATAATTCACTGTGGCTCTAAGATTGTGTCTTTCTGCATATGCCAACTTAAGCTGTTTTAGCCAAACCACCTTCTGCATAGGCCTAATAAAAATACCTTCAGGGCTAGATGAAGGTGTTTGGCATGCTTTTTCTTCCATGGTGGGGGCAACATTGGGCAGTGCTGCCTCCCTGGCTGTGAGCAGCTTGTGGGTCCTCAGGGACCGTTTCACTGGACTTCAGCTTAAACATTGTTTATACATGGCCATCGATTTCCTTTACCAAGAGCTGCCATTCCAATGGAATTAGCCATATCTGCCATGCACTCGCACCCCTCCTCAACCAGGTGGTAAGCACAGGAGATGAACTGGTGTTAGGAGAAAAAGCCATACTGATGGTCTAGTGCAGTGGGATCACCAGGGAACTTGTTAGAAATGCAATTCCCTGGCTCCACCCTACATCTCTGGGTGATTTGGGTGTAGGCCACAACATTTGAGAACTGCTGCGCTAGCTTAATACATGAGAATCTTCCACTTTATTGTTTTATTTCCATATTTGTATATCCCTCTCTTCCCCTTTGACATTTTCTGTCATGGTTTTGCTTTCTAAATGTCTTTGAGCTGTCTTGTTGATGGGGGCGCACCCTGACTAATGGCGTGTTGGCAAAGGTTTAACAACAGGCTCCAGAGGAGGGCGGACTTGAAGTGGAGCCTTCAGGGGGCAGTGTGAGGGGTGCTGATTTCAAACAACTCATCTGGTATTACTGAACATGAAGTTGGGAAGAGATGTGCATAATTGAAGTGGGTGAGAGCCAGTCCAGCACCCTGTGGAGAGGTACCAATAATTCTGTAGGTATTTGCTCAAATTTAACTCAATGGGGGTTTAGATTGGGTTTACATTGAGTCATTAGTTGCAGGTCATTTGTTGAATCATTGAGTACTTTTGGTTGTTAAGGTGACTGAAATACTCGGTTGATGTCCTTTAAGATCACTGAAAATATTTAAAATCAGCTTACATATGGCATTTTGGAAATGCCACAAACGTAATAGATTAAAACCCACAACTATATTTGCTGCCTTTCCTATGCATGCCCTGTCAAAATTATTTTTGGTGGACTGTAAGCCCTAAAACAACATGGACCTTGTTTTGCTCTCCATTCTATTCTCATTACTTATATTCAGCATTGTTTAAAAAAAAGTTTATTGATGTAATAAATGTGTAGTTGAGGTAATAATGTAATAAATGTGTACTGCCATAACAAACTACTACAGACTAGGTGGCTTAAGCAACATTTATTTCCTCATAACTTTGGAGGCTAGAAGTCCAAGATCAAGGTGTCTGCAGGTTTGGTTTCCTCTGGGGACTTTCCCCTTGGCTTGTGGATGGCCATCTTCCACCTGGGTCTTCACAGTCTTCCCTTTGTACATGTTTGTGTCCAAATTTCCTCTTCTTTAAGGACATCAGTTGTATTAGTCTGTTCTCATGCTGCTAATAAGGACATACCAGAGACTGGGTAATTTATAAAGGAAAGAGGTTTAATGGACTCACAGTTCCACATGGCTGGGGAGGCCTCACATCACGGCAGAGGGCAAGGAGGAGCAAAGTTATGTCTTACATGGATGGCGGCAGGCAAGAGAAGAAAATAAGAGCCAAGCGGTTTCCCCTTATACAACTATCAGATCTTGTGAGACTTATTCACTACCACAAGAACTGTATGAAGGCCAGGCATGGTGGTTCACGCCTGTAATCCCAACAGTTTGGGAGATAGAGACATGTGGATCACTTGAGGTCAGGAGTTCAAGACCAGCCTGGCCAACATAGTGGAACCCCATCTCTAAGAAAATACAAAAATTACCTGGGTGTTGTGGCATGTGTGTGTAATCCCAGTTACTCGAGAGGCTGAGGCAGGAGAATTGCTTGAACCCGGGAGGCAAAGGTTGCAGCCAGCTAAGATCACACCACTGCACTCCAGCCTGGGTGGCAGAGCAAGACTCCATCTCAAAAAAAATAAATAAATAAGAACGGTATGAGGTAAACCGCCCCCATGATTCAATTATCTCTCACCAGGTCCCTCCCACAACATGTGGGAATTATGGGAGCTACAATTCAAGATGAGATTTGGGTGGAGATACAGCCAAACTGTATGACCAGTCATATCGGATTAGGGCCCACCCGAATAACCTCATCTTAATATATTACTTCTTTAAAGACTTTATCTCCTCATACAGTTATATTCTCAGGCACTGGAGGGTTAGGACTTCAACATATGAATCTGGGGGAGAGGGGAGACATAATTCAGCCCATTATAGTAATGATCAAAACTTCTATATTTTGAGGATCTAATAGCATAAGGAAAAAACAAAACATCAATTGTGTATTAGAAGTATATTACACATGTACATTTATGTTTACCTTGATATGATAACTAGCATTGATACAACCTTATCTAAGAAGTGACAAACTAATATTTTATAGATTGCAAAAGTGTCTCTCCCACCTCTCTCCTCATCTCATAGTGCCTTATTTTTGATGCATGAGGTTTTTATCCTGCCAAATGAGTTAGAAGAGTGGAAGAGATGGAAATGTAGTTTGCATATAGGTATTATGCAATTAGATATTGAAATGTGTGTACACATACTATATATATAACATATATGTATGTTGTGCTGTAAGAATAAAGTGTGGGAACTTTATCCTAGCACATACTTTCACTTTAAGGAAAATATCACTGGGGAGGTTCAATTGCAAAAGTCTGATCTTCTCACATTTCTGAGATTTTTTTTGATCTGATGACTATAAGAACAACAGAGAAGTTCAAAGTGTGGAAAGCTTATAGAGCCTTTGGGGTGTCATTTTCTTGGGAAGGAGTAGGCTCCAAAGAATCTAGAACTTTCTGGGTTGAGACATAACCCCACTGTAGTCTTCACTCTGACCATCTATGAAGAGGGCATCACGACACCTGACTTCAGGCCAGCTTCTTGTTTTTTCCTTATTAATACTCTGTCATCTTAAATCCTGTGGTGACATGAGTGAATCATTACACAACACTTTGATTTTACACTATAGGTTTTTTTTTTTAGGGTAGGCGTAATTTTTTTGTTTCTTTTTGGGATTACTATCAGACTTTAAAAAATTATTTATTTTATTGCTTTTTAAGTTGGTGTTCCCTTTTGATCAGTCAGCTTTCCTTTAGAGATCCCCAGAATAATTTCAACATACCTTGAGGGCATATGTTCTTATAATATAATAGCATGACTAGGTGGTTATTGGCCACCAGCCTAGCACAGTAAGGCATGCTGTTATTACACAATTACACACATCCTGGTGTGTGTCTTATTACGTAATTGTAATTCAAAGATGCTGCTGAAAGCAATTACATAAGTCCTATTCATTTCACAGGGAATCGAAAGGGCAGAAGTAAAGCAGAGCCAAGCTCCTAGGCATTGAGGGCAGCCATTCTTTATTTATTTTTGAGACAGAGTCTCACTCTGTCACCCAGGCTGAAGTACAATGGTGCAATCTCAGGTCACTGCAACCTCTGCCCCTGGGGCTCAGGCAATCCTCCCACCTCAGCCTCCCAAGTAGCTGGGACCACAGGCGTGCACCACCACACCCAGCTATTTTTTTGTATTTTTGGTAAACACGGGGTTTTACCATGGGTGGCCCAGTCTGGTCTTGAACTCCTGAGTTCAAGGAATCTGCCTGCCTCGGCCTTCCAAAGTCCTGGGATTACAGGTGTGACCCACTGCGCCCGGCTGGGCAGCCGTTCTTTAGATGGCATGTTGCATCTCTTGATAGAAGATTAGGTGACCATTCTCAGGGGATTGAATTGTCACATTTTGACCTTCTTATCCAACATTTCTTTTTTTCCCAGACAGCAAGCAGCAGTAGCAGCACCTGTAATTTGTCGTTTTATATTTACTTTTAAGGTTTTCAATAAAGTAAAATGGAGTGATACAGTGATGATATTCTCTGCCTCTCTAGGAGGACTTTGAATTCTTATTCTATGTGTCCAGGGGTGTGACACATCTAGAGTAAATAAAATAAAGCTTACCTACTCCAAGTATAATAGAAACCTAAAGGACAGGGCAAGGAGAGTTGCTTCTATTACTCAGTGCAGCTCTCAGAGTCAGATAGCAAGGACCACTGGTTATACACATTGGGATTCCCTAGTGTCAGACTATCCCTTAAGGTTCTCTTCTGTTGAAGGTTTTTGCATAGGTGTGCACTTCTCTAGAGGGGCTGGAAACTCTGCCAGGTAGGAATTTTTCAACCTGCTCTGTGGAAGTTGTCCAGTTGAGGATGCATTTGTGTGGCTTCTCCTAAAACATATCAAGGAGCCATACAACAGGAGCCAATACTCATTTTTTTTTTTTTTTTTTTAATGAATGACTTGAGAAAGCAAGCTGCTGCTTCTTTCCTCTTTTTCCAATTTCTCCTCAAATCCCAAGGGAGCTTTGAATATCACTGAGTTACTTGGCAGGTTAGCATCAGGTGAAAATTACAAGAATTTGGTTTGGAAACAGCAGGCTGTCTTCCTATGTGATAAGGAGTCCCTAGATACCCACAATTGTGCCTCTGTGCAGGGGATATCCCAAGTCACCGAAAAGAGAAAGCAAAGCATGGAACCAGCTATTGAGTCTGTAATTTTATTGTGAAAACTTGGTACCAGTGTGATGGTAGATCATAAGTTTCTTGAGGACAAGGAGTGTGTCATTAATTTTGTGTCACCAAGGCCAAACCCACGATTTGATATATGGGAGATCTTTAAAATATGGTCCCTGCAATGGTTAATTTTATGTGCGACTTGGCTAGGCCCTGTATGGGGCCCTTTGACCAGATATTTGGTCAAAGATGTCTGAGTATTGCTGTGAAGGTATTTTTTAGAAGAGATTAACATTTAAATCATAGACTGAGTAAAGCAGCTTAGCCTCTGTGATGGTTAATATTATGTGCCATAATGTGAATGGACCTCATCCAATCAGTTGAAGGTCATAAGGAAAAGGCTGACCTCCACTGAGGAAGAGGAAATTCTGCCAGCAGACTGCCTTTGGACTCAAACAGCAACATCATCTCTTCCCTGAGTCTCCAGCCTGCCCACCTACCCTGCAGATTTTGGACTTACCAGCCTCCATGATTGCATGAGCCAATTCCTTATGAATGAATGAATGAATGTCTTCAACATCTTTGCTTTACTCTGATGCTCTCCCCTACCCTCACAATTCCAATGAAGTGAGGAAAACTATTTTGCCAAGTCAAAACTTTGGATCCTTGCCCTAAAATCCCAGAGTCTTCCCTTTAAACAGAGTGAAAGCCCTGATACTGACAAGGATAAGACAGGGGAAAGATAATTTGGGGGGCGGGGGTGAGGGAGGAGAAGAATTCACCAACTCCCCTCAAAATCTTTGATTTTATATTTACTGTTAATATCCATTGTAAAAACCATTGGCTTGATTTAAATATCTTGTTGGTTTCCCAAGCCCCATCACCACCACCACCACCAGCTCACCCTGCCAAGGCCTGAGAGGCTGAAGACCACTTTTCAGCCTGATGTGATTTCTAACAGCTGAGATATTAAAACACTGAAAAACGGGGTTTATAATGGAAATGCTGACAGACTATTAACTATAGCAGCACTGCTCTAATAAATGGAATGGCCTGTCATAATCTCTAGTTCATAAATATGCAAATACAAGACTGGGGATTTGCTCCAAAGGATGTCTCTATAATTTTAACTGACCTTTACTGATACCAAATGAGCCTGTTGCTTCTGTTTTTGTACATTGGATATAAAGTACAGGAAATCCAGCCGCCTGTCGGCCTAAAGTATATAAAGTTTAAACTGCCAGCTACTAAACTCCGGGCTCAGATTCCATTTCTCTTCACATTCACACTCTTTATTGACATTTTCATTTTTTTTTCCCAGGGGGTGGAAGCTGAGTTGGGGGGAAATCAAACATTGTTCATCCCCCTTCCCCCCCACATTACTTCCACATGTCACAGCGCCTGCCCAGCCAAAATTCATGGATTGCCTCAAGGACAAACAGGCCATCTACACTGAATTATAAATTTGAGTTTTATCCAGTTTTCTGCTTTTGGACCAAATGGGCAGCAAATCCAGTGACTTCATATTTAATAACCTAGATGTCATTTGTCCTGTGTCTTTCAGCACAGAGTAAAGAATTGGATGGCTAGCAGTTTTGCAGATTTTTTCCCCCTAATTATTTTAAGCTATTCAGCCTGGTATTCGAACTATTGATGCAGAGCCAAATTGCCAGCAGGGGAGAGATCTGTCCAATCCAGGAGCTAAATGAGTCACTGAGAGTCAATCTGTTTTTCCCTTGCTGCTGGGGTTTCCTCCGGCCCTGGCCTCTCTCTCTCTGCTCCAGTCACTCACAGAGCTGCAGGCTCAGCCCTCGTTGGCGCCCATCGCCTCCCATTCCCCTCCTCAGCCCTGCTTGCTGCAGCTGTTGATGGGGTCTGACCGGCTGGCTGCGGAGATTCAGGGCCTCAATCACACTGTAGTTGAGGCCGTGCTTTGACAGAAAATGAAGACATCTTTGCCTTGTTGCATTTGCTTCTCCAGTAATACATCAGGTATCTGGAGAGGAAGGCCCACAAGCAGAGTGTGTTGGGGTACGATGCCAGTTCATCACTTTCCGCTGTCCAGTTTTCAGAGTGCTCTTCTACTTTTCCTAAGTCCAAATGGAGTCCTTGGAGCCAGAATCCTGCATGTGGTCATAAAATAATAAAAATAAAGGTCTGTGGATATGCTGGAGGTAGCGGCAGGGCGGAATGCCACAAACATAAGCCAGGCCTGCTGGAGCAGTCGCTCTTCAAGCATTGGAGAAGAATTCACAGCGCTTCTAATAACATATATATATTTTTTCCAGTAAAAACATTTTATTTCTAACAACATTTACTTAAAAACAAAATTCTTGTATTCTTCATGTAGGGTCAGTATTCAATTACACAAAAATAGGCAGCCAACTTAAGAACTGTATATAAGATTAAGACAACTGGTATTTCATGGTAAATGATTAAATTAGCTAACACAGTTATATCCTGAACTTTGCCATTAGGACTGACATTTTTGTTCGATGTGCATTGAGGATTGTGGGTAATCTAAACTGGTATGAGCTTTTTCTCTTTGAAACTCAAACAGAATTAAGGAACAGTATTCTCTGCAAATGGAATACGGAGTTTGAGAACAGCCACAAAAAAATTCTCTTGTAGTAAGCTGAACTGCCCTAGGAGTACTCAGGAATTAGAGAATTAGAGAACTGGAGAAATGAGGGGCATGGATAGGAGGGAGAGAAAAATTGATTAATTGATTTACTATAATTTTCAAATGGAAGTATGTGGGAAAATAAGACAAAACAAGCAGAGTTGTTTTTCACAGTGAAGCCTCAGAGGGGTGAAAGCTTTGTTCCTCTGGGTAGCAAGTTGTATTTCCACATTTCCGACTGCATATTCCATATTTATGTTGATTTTTGGTCTCTCTGTTCGTAGCTTGCTAGGTGGCAAGGGCAGTTAGAGGAAAAAAAGGCAGATTTATGAAACACAGAAAAATTTCTCACTGAAATCAGGCTTGGATTTGTGAATCACTTGTTTTTTTCCCTGTGGTCACTCCTGTGATGAGGTCAACTGCTTCAATCCTTTAGGTTTTGTAGAGGGGTTTCCGGATTCCAGGAGTCCCAGAAGGTCCGGGGAGCACTCCCCACATTTTAGCCAGAAGTAATTAACTAAAACATAAAGGCTCCACTTTCTCTTTTCACATTTTGAGCCACAGATTATCTAATTCCAAGCTTAAGACATCAGATTTCAGATCATTAGTGCAAAGCATCTTCCACAGGAGGCAATAAAATGTCACTTTATATAACTCAGCTACAGTTACACTGCTTTCAGAAAGCAGGAATCTCTCTGAAAAGAAATTTACATGAAAACAGTCGCATTGTTTGAGAATTTATGCAAATGTTGCACAAAGGAGTTTGACAGTGATTTTAAAAACTGAAATCTTTATCACTGCCTCAAAGATATCCTGAAAAACTTAGTTACCTCTAAAGAATTCCATTGCACTTATTTTTTAAATGTCTATAATATAGAGTTGTTTTAAAAATTTTCCCTAAACTCCAAACTTCTTCCTCAGCTTCAAAGCCTTCTATAATGAATATCCTACAGAGAACCTAGTGCATATTGGTTTAACACTTACTAGGATCACTCATTACTAGTTAAGAAAATTGAAGATAACAACCATAGCGCCAAGTATTTTGAACAACATAAAATGTTTCTCCCGTGGGTGTAGCTCTTAGGGACCGCATGGGGATACGTACCCCTCAGTGCTCAATCAGCACAAGATGAAGCTCTAAGTGTCTCAATCCATGTTGATTGCCTCTGAACTCCCCGGTGTTAGGAATCTGGATGTGTCCATTACTGCATTTTCAAACAATGAACTGCCTGCGCCAGGAATCTGATTTCTGTAGAAAGACATTAAGGGGCTGGGTGAGGAATAGGGTGTCAACAAAACGTGGTATTTTCCTTTGATTTTCACTTTCTTTAAATTCTTCTGCATTTACTACCTAGCGACTGTCTGGCATTGGTACCCTCAGTTTCTTTTCTTCTGCTTTTCCTCCTTATTCAATGTGGAAGATGATCAAAGTATGACGTTTCTTCTACCCCAGAGGTTGGCATTTCTGCAGGCACAAATGAGCTTGGTTTTCAAGCACCAGTCTTTGAGCACAAGGAATTCCTTTAATGATCACGGGCTAGATAGACTTTGGAATCAGACTCTTTGAATTCCAGCTCTGCCATTTACCAACTTTGACACTTTGGGCAAGCCATTTTAACCTCTTTAAGCCTCAGTTTCCTTTTCTGTAAACAGGAATAATGATAACTAACAATAATAATAATAATACTTTCTTATCAGTTAAAAATAAACTGAGCTGAAACTGCTATTTGTACGCTCTCAACATATATGTGTGTGCGAGTATATATTTGTTTTATATAGGTACTGATATACTATATGCAGTATGATGTAAATAATAAAATGCAAAAAATGTAAATTAAATAGTAAGGTTACAAAATAAACAAAAACAAATAATTTAATATTTTCATTGTATCCTGCACAAATACTGGGAGCATTATTACTTCCACTTTTGAGAACCATAATGCATGTAGTGTGTTTAGCAGACTGCATAGTACCAAGTAGTACTCAGGATGTGTTAGGTTATTACTTATGTTCATGCCTAAGGAAAAGTTTAATTGGCGAAACTTCAGTCATTCTTGCGATAAAGAACATTCCGTTTCATTTTGGCTTCTTTTTTGACATGACTTTGCTCTTATATAAGTAGCAGAGAATGGCTGAGTTGTAAGTCAAACTCTTCCAACATGGAAGAAACTCATTGCACAGTTCTGGTCAGCATTTTTTTTTTCTGCTCAGGTATGCTGTACATTCACAATTATTTTCCACAAGGTTTCCTATTCGAAGGAGGATTGGTGACTTCCCTTCCTTCAGACAAGCAATGATGATAACATCGTTGTGTTCCCTTGTGTAGGTCTGGGGTGACGTTGGCTCCTTGAGAAATGAAAACTTCATCATAAGAATCTGTGAAAATGGGGAAAATGGGTAAATGAGGACAGATTCAAAATTGGAAGAAAACAGAAAAATCTCTGTTCTTTTTTTCTAATTGTTCTTTTAATGAAATCAGTACTGCCCTTTGGCATTAACGATCATATGCAAAAGGTAAGACACATTGATTTTGGATTTTATTGTTGTAGCATAGAATATAAGTCTAGATATTTGTGTAAATATTCTTGGTAGAGATACTTCTAATTTCACACTCATTTATTTGTTCTTCCTAAGCATTGGTATATATGCTTAGCACTTACGTCTATGTCAGACACTGTGCTACTTTGAGTGTGAATTTATCTTCTGAACAAAGAGAAGCAAACCAAGGGAAATCAGGAAGCAAATCTAGCAAATCAGAAGAAAATCTTGCAAATCAGGAACCCTGGATTTGCTAGAAAATTTAATGTGAACCAAGTGGTGATTAACCTCACATTTAAAAATTAGTATCAACCTTTCTTCTTGGAAGATCATTTCTTTTTTCTTTTCTTTTCTTTTCTTCTTTTTTTTTTGAGACAGGGTCTTGCCCTAATGCCCAAGCGGGAGTGCAGTGGTGCCACCAGAGTGAGAGGTGGCAGCTGGACTTCCTGGGTCCAGTGGGGACTTGGAGAACTTTTCTGTCTAGCTAAAGGATCCTAAACACACCAGTCAGCAGTCTGTGTCTAGCTAAAGGATTGTAAACACACCAATCAGCACTCTGTAAAATGGACCAATCAGCACTCTGTAAAATGGATCAATCAGTGCTCTGTAAAATGGACCAATCAGCAGGAAGTGGGCGGGGCCAAATAAGGGAATAAAAGCTGGCCACCAGAGCCAGCAGTGGCAACCTGCGAGGGTCCCCTTCCATGGTGTGAGAGTTTTGTTCTTTTGCTCTTCACAATAAATCTTGCTGCTGCTCACTCTTTGGGTCCACACTACCTTTATGAGCTGTAGCACTCACTGCAAGGGTCTGCGGCTTCATTCCTGAAGTCTGTGAGACCATGAACTCACCAGAAGGAAGAAACTTTGGACACATCTGAACATCTGAAGGAACAAACTCTGGACACACCATCTTTAAGAACTGTAACACTGCAAGGGTCCATGGCTTCATTCTTGAAGTCAGTAAGACCAAGAACCCACGGGAAGGAACCAATTCCAGACACAAAAGCTCACTGCAGCCTCAGCCTCCTGGGCTCAAGTGATCTTTCCACCTCAGCCTCCTGAGTAGCTGGGACTACAGGCACATGGCACTATGCCCTCCTAATTTTTAAATTTTATTATCTTCTGTAAAGATGAGATCTCTCTATGTTGCCCAAGCTGGTCTTGAGCTCTTGGGCTCAAATGATCCTCTCGTCTTGGCCTCCCAAAGTGTTGGGATTACAGGCATAAGCCACCGTACCTAGCCTTGGAAATTCTTTTATCACCTGAAATGTAAATGCTTGGCAAAAATCTTAAAATAATTTTTAAAATCAAGGAATCAAAGGCAGAATAGAAATTTGCATTAATCTTGACAAAAGTACTCAGTAAGTACTCAGTATTTTAATTCTGCTTTGGTTATTCTGGATCCACTGGGTGTCCAGGCTTAGAGATTTCCTTTATGTTCAGCCTTTTCTCTTGGCTTCACTCTTCTTGAAGCATCAAATCTTAGTGTAGTCAATGGTGATGTGCATGTGTTTGCATACTTTTTTTGTTCTTATTTCTGCACACAGAAAAGACCACATTTCCTGGTACTTAGCGGACTTGTGACTTTCACTAGTTAATGGGCTATAAACTGAAGTGGGGTGATGTTCATTCTGGGCCTAGGCATAGAAGAATGCTATGAGATCCTCTTTGTTTTGTACAGTAGGGACATGACCAGATGGTGTAGTCACCTTCAACCTGGGTCCCTGAGGAACTACCTGGAGTTGCTCCTGGTGCTTGAGTAGCCCTAAGAGTAGAATATTTCACTAACTTGTGATGAGCATGTAGTGAAACAAAATAGAAGCCTCTGTTTTGATGATCCACTGGGGTTTTAGGGTTAATTTATTACCTCAGCATAATCCAGTCTATCCTGAGAGTTGCAGGGTTTTTAGTTTTTATGTTTTTGTTTTTCCTAGAAAAAGCAGAGATGTCTAGATCTTTCTCTAAAAATATTCTACTCTGAGAAATTGTGAGCAAAGTACGAAGATTTAAAGCCATCAGGGGACTGCAGTGAGAGCAACTTATGAAAAGATCAAGGAAAAGAACTCAAATATTTGGAATAAACATACATGTCCTGCTGGTCAGGTGTGCACATTGGAGAGTCAACACTGCGTGGTGATTCTTTAAGGGATTCATCTAGGGAATTTGAATTGTGACAATACTTTAACTTCATGAAAAATGAGGAAGGGTGCCCATTCAGGCTTTTAAAAGTGAGAAATAAAGGGTAACTTTTTAGCATGAGGTTTTCAGAACTTGAAAATAAAGAATTTGTACCACAAATATCTCTGGAAATGATGATCACTTAGGTCTCTGAGAAAAAGATCCAGAAGAGTGAACCACAGTTGGAAGCAAACAGAACTTATCAACACAGGAAAGTCCAAAGGGAAAATAACATTTTGGGTAAGAGCTCTCCAGTGTGTATCAAAGAGCTCCTAGTGTAACATTTTTCGTCATCGAGCTAATCTGGCATTATACAGGATGAAATCATTTTCCTAAATTGCTAACTCAGAGTTGTCATGGAATAAAGCCCCTATGAGTAGAGTGGATATAATCAATATTCTAAGTTTGAAAGATAGTGACATTTCTGATTCCCCTAACGGCCTGGAAGTGGTGGTTGCATGGCAGGCTCTAAGGCTGACTTGTTGATCTGTGAGGCTCTTTACAATGTACTTTTAAGGCTGCTTTCTCCCTAATCTTAAACACTTGACCTTTGAGTCTGATATTCTTCAGTATTATTAGATTAGATGATTAGTTATTAAATATACTGTCTCCAGTAAATAGGTAATTGTGTAATGCAATGGCGCTCAGCCTTTCCAGGCCATGTTCCCATGACATTTAGAGTTAGAACACTGAGTCCTTCTGTAGTAGGAATCTTTAACCCTTTCTGTGGGTCGAAGAATGTACAGGGGTTTCCCTAGGTCTCAAAATCAGCTGACTGATGAAGGACAGTAAAAAATGTAGAGTGTCACATGTTTTTGAGAGCCATAGAATTCAAAGATCACAGAACTTTTATCACATTTATGCCCACATAATAAGACTGAGTAATACACCAAGATTTTCCCTGTGACAAGCTGGGTGTGATGAACACAATCTAGGTCCTTCCTAGGATTTATGTTGGGTGTTTGAGAAAAGCTTAAGCACTGTTTTGCAACCAAAAGCATGCAGGTGTTAAAGTTTTAAATGTCTCTATTGCTTCTTGCCAGATTTTGCCTTGCATGAAGGGGTGGGGACGGAGAGGGGAGGAAGAATAGAGGGAGGGACAGGATCTAGCATGTTTTGATTCCTTAATGTGTGCAAAGCACAGTGCTAGGCATTTTACATATACAGATTCATTTAATCGTCCCCTAAATAGAAATAAAGTTTGTGTTATTAGTCCTCATTTTGCATTTAAGGAACCTGAGGCTCAGAAAAGATAAAGTTGCCTAAATCCAAACAGCCAGGGTAGTTGAATTAGAATTTGAACTTGAGTTCGAAGTGCTTATTCTTTTCAATGTCTGACAATGTCTTTATTTTATTAAGTGCCTACTACGTATACATAAGGTGTTACTCATGTTGGCAGAAAAGGTAAGATGGTCAGGAAAATCTAGGAATGAATTATCCATGTGCTGTTTTTTAATTCAGTGTTTTTGGTAGCACATTGTAAGGAACACAAAAGAAGTATTGAGACACAATGATCTCTCCTTAAATTAGAAGCCATAACCTATTTGAGAAGGCAAAGCATCATGTATCAAACAATTCCTAAATTGGGTGCTATGAATGATAAGTCTAAAAGTTCCCAGAGGTAGAGGTAAGCATGGTATGGAGATGACTACTGAAAGCTTAGAGACTATGATCTTGTAAAATAGCCAGGATTTGGATAGAAAGGGCACACAGCATGGGAAGCCATGAACTGAGGCATGATGGTTTTGCAGAAAGACCAGCCTGGCTGGGGAGGAGGAGCTGACTGCTCTGATTGCCTTCCCCTGTCCTGGTCTGGACTGGTCCTCTCTGCTCCTCTCTCATTGCCTTTACCACACCCAGGTAATTAACCACAGGTGATGCATGCATATCCATCTCCCCCTGTGAACTCCTTGGGAATCCGGGCTGCCACCTATTCACCTTTTTATTCTCAGTGCTTAAAGCAGTCCATGGCGCCCATTAGGTGCTCCATAAATAATTGTGAAGTAGATGGATGGAAAGATGGGTATAGATGAAAGGATGAATAGTGGATGATACACTTAGAAAAAAAAAGGGAGCCAAATTGACACAGAGGCAGGAAAAATGTTAAGCCAGATATGACAGTAAAAAGTTCTTGATTGAGTGTGTAAACAAATACAAATAGTATTTATGAGTGGGTTAGAATGATGAAAGACTAGGAGAACTGAGGTGATAAGAGCATGCATCAGTGAAAGCGAGAATGAGGAAGAATGAGGAATTGAAGTCAGAGAGTAGGGAGCAACCATGGGCTTTGGTTAGAGCTCTGATGGAAGGGAAAAGAGAGAATGGGCGTCCTCTAGGAAGAAATGTGGGGTGCAGGGAAAAGGATATAGTTTTAGGAAATAATGAGCACACTTCTAGACACGTTGAAAAATCATAAAATAAGCTTAAATGATGATACTGAGCGTTAAGTTCTAAGAGGGGCACTCTTGGAAAGTTTAATTCATTAGCAATTAAGTATTTTGGAAAATAAATGGAAAGAGGCTGGAAGTAGAGATGTGGATGGCTGGAGAGAGTTAAGATTCTACCTGTTGCAGTCAGAGTCCAGATGTGTCTGGGGGTGAATGATTGCCTCACCAACTCCTGGAGATTATGGATTCTCCCTGGAAGCCACAGGAAGTTTGAGGTATGAAATGATCCACGTGACTTAATTCACCATGAGATTTCCTAAGGCCTTGATGTGGGATTTCAATCTCCCGTTAATCAAACTAAATTGATTTTTGAAGCCTCTTGACTGATGATGAGTGAAGCCCAGACAAAGGCATCCCAATGGGCTACCAGTGCCTCAGATTTCTACACTGCTTGACTTGACCACGTGTGCGTGCATGCACACACACACATACACACACGCAATTAAGGTTAGGGTTGGGACAAAGAGAAAGGCACACACAACACTTAGGGACATTTCTAGCCATTCTGAATTTCTAGCCATTCGAGATGGTCTTACGTCAGCAAAGGATCCTTGCACTCAACATTCAGCCAAAACAAGGCTAGCGTTCTTATCATAGCACACCACACCCGCATAGAGACAAGAAACATTAACCACAGGACGCTCAACTCTCCTAAAGCCACCAGCCAAGCCCAAATCATGACTCAGAACTCCAGATCTCAGTCATTTCTTCTGCTCATGAAGGCATTCCTTTTTTGAACTGAAAACAAACTCATAAATAAACATCTCCTTCCTCAGTTCTCCCAAACAACTTGATGGACAGAGAACTCTGTATTTTATAGGAAATGCTTGTAGATTTTTATGGTAAGTTTCCAAAAATAAAAGCACAAACATTTCTACTCACATATATTTGTTATGATAGCTACTGGTCCAAGTAGGAATACATATCATCCCGAAGGTAGAGAATGCACCAGGATCGGATCTTGCCCATTTTCATAAACACCATGGAGCATAGTTAGCTCAGAATCCTACAGAGTCCACTTGGCTTATTTATAGAACTCAGACCCACACTGGTGCATCAGGATAGTTTAAGGTTTGGGGAACAAGTTCCCTTACTGACAAATAGCATAATTAGGCATAATGTCTTAAGCGAACATATTAGCTCGGGCTTTTAACAGTGTGCAAGCCTCAGCTTCCGCAATAACAACCTAATCTTGTGTGGGAGCCATCCCAGGCTTCACTTGAACACAGGCACTGTTGTCCACCCGCAGATAAAACTTGGAATGGTTTTATTTATATCGTCCTTGTTAGTCATGCAATCTGTGTGCAAACAAAACAACATTATTCTTATCTCCTTGGAAAGTTTAATTCATTAGCAATTAAAAACTGGTGCAGAAGAAGGGCCAGGCACCCGGAAAAGACTCTTCCTAGCACAGCACACCCCGAAAGAGCGGTTTGTGGGAGCAACTTTCACTGATAACAGCACCGTGACATTTGCTGAATTGTTGCACAGCTTTGTTTTTAATAAATAGTTTAGCCATGTAAGGATTATGCCACTGTAATTAGATAGGATAATGTAGCCAACAATCTCTTCAAAAGTACCGTGTTGAAACTTGCTGTCCTCAGGCCCTCGCCAGAGCCCATTCCTGCTGTCTGCTCCCTGCCCCCTCCCTTGTCTGGCTTGTTTTTAGGGGAGGTTGCCTCTGGGTCAGTTTCCTTTGCTGTGACAAAGGCTTCTTAGTAGGAGGAATGGCTTGGCCCTAGAAGCTGGTTAAGGGCTACAGATTGAGTGAGTCCTATTTGGAACAGGGATGGGCCTAACAGTATTCTTTGCCATCTTAAGGTCCGGGAACTTAAGAATAGCAAACCTGGACTACCCTGTCAAAAAGTCATGCTCAGTCGGGCCTGATGGGGTGCTCCTGTAGTCCCAGCTACTCTGCAGGCTGTGGTGGGTGAATCGGTGGAGCCCAGGAGTTCAAGTCCAGGTTGTGCAACATAGCAAGACCTTGTCTCAAAAAAAAAAAAAAAAAAAAAAAAAAAGTCATGTTCAATGGAAGATGTTAATAATAGAGGAAACTGTGGGAGTAGGGGTAGGGTAGGGAGAGGGTATATGGGAACTCTTCGTACTTTCCGCCTAAGTTTCCTGTAAACCTAAAACAACTCTAAAAGGTAGTCTATTATTAAAAACAAAAGCAAGTCAGGCTCACCCATGGCTCTGAGATGTGAGGGGCCAAGATTTATTTTTAAAAGACTTTTCTTCTTCTCCGTAAGAAGTTGAACACCAGGAAGCACTGAGATTTGGAGGGCTACACCCACCATAGGGAATTAGAAAGAAAACAGTCCCCTGGCTGCCTTCATTGGTGGCATTCCATTCATGTGGAAAGTGAGACATGACCCAACTGATGGGACCTCTAGGTTTAGCACCACTTGAGCTTTTGTCTGACCCTGAAATAAACAATACATCTACTCTTTAGTTTGGCATTGCATGCGTCAACTTGTTACTTAAATATTTTACCTTCAACTGCTTAACTTTATATAGGTCAGCCTCAGTGTTGCTGCAAATAATTTTTGCTAAAAATAATAAACAGTTTTGGAAATAGATTATATCTAAAACAAATAAGTTTAATGTAGAATAATACATCTTAGGGCTAGTCGGGACTTCAGTTATCATTTGGTGCAAATTTTGCCTGCTCTTAAATAGGCATGAAAGAGTTAAATAATGCAGCCCCAGCAAGGCAGGTAGTAGAAGTTTTTTAATCCCAGCTGCTGCCTCCGGGGGTAAGAGGAAGAGATATTTGATAGTCCAAAGCAGAAAGTAAATATAGAGTAAATTACTTCCACATAATTGGGGAGATTATTTCAAGTAGATTGCAACTTGGAAATGGATGGCTTCTTTTCAAAACCTAGGGTGACCTGTAAATTTCCCATCCTGGTTTCAAGGTGGCACCAAGGGAAGGAGCAAGTCCTGGCTTTCAAGGGCAGCTATAGCTGATATATTTAGTAAAGTGAAAGCTAACATCTTTAGTATTTGCATTACTCAGATCCGTGCAGTAGTTAATAGGAACAGAAATAGAAAGAGACATAGAAATGTGGCCAACAGAAAGACACTACCTTAAATGTTTGAGCTGTAAACTTTGGTAGATGGAAAACAGAAAACTTTTTGCAATTAATATAATTGCCCTTGCTCAAGGAAATAGTCAATTTGATTTGAAATGGGGTGGAAAAGCCTGGGAAGGGATCTGTGTGAGACACCTAAAAGAATTAGTGTACATTTTTCCACATAGTGGGCCAATTTTCCCATTCTTTGGTTTTAGTGCTCCCTTTTATAGTCAGTATGACCATGCACCAATACTATTTCCAAGTGGTAGTCTTTCTAATATTTGTCTTCTCCTCTTTTTTTTTTTTTTTCAGACAGGGTCTCATTCTGTCAGCCAGGCTGGAGTGCAGTGGCACTATTATAGCTCACTGCAGCCTCAAACGCCTGGGCTCAGGCAGTCTTCCCACCTCTGCCTCCTGAGTAGTTGGGACTACAGGCATGTGCCACCAAGCCCAGCTAATTTTTAAGTTTTAAATTTTTTGTAGAGATGGGGGTCTTGCTATGTCACCCAGGCTGGTCTTGAACACCTGGCCTCAAGTGATCCTCCGGCCTCGCTCTCTCAAAGCTCTGGGATTACAGACATGAGCCACTGCACCTGGCTCTGTCTCCCCTTCCTATGTGTGTTGGCTCTAGAACAAGAGAAGCCTTGTTGAGATTCATGGCTGCCCCTTGCGCCCCATCACCTCTCTGACTTTGGGCAAGTTGCCTGGTCTCTCTCAGCCTTTATTTTCTTTTTGTGAAATGGGGATAATAATAGTACTTTCCTCATAGGCAAAATGTTGTGAGAACTAAATGAGAAAATACATGTAAAGCTCTTGGCACTTAGGTCTTTTTATGATTATGATGATAATCACACATAATAAATTATTTCCCACATCACATGCTGTTTAGCCTATTCACTGTTCTATTTTTCCTGAAGTCAGTTCAGTGTGTAGCATCCAGAATTGAATAAAACACACCAGTTGTGACCTGATAGTGCAAAGTAAACTATCATCTCCTTCATTCTAGGTTTTATGTTTCTATTAATGCAGTCTAAAGGTAGGATATGAGTTGTTTTTGTTTATGTATTTTTTTTTTTTTTTTTGCAGGGATGGGGAATGACTGTCTTCAATTAAACTGCTCAGTAAAATCTCTCCTCTTGTGTGTTGTGCTTTAGTATTTAGTTTTGGATACTAGTGCAGGATCTTAAATTTATCCCATTACATGTGATTTCTTTAGTGTTAGTTCCTTTTCAAACCTGTATAAGCCATTCATTCATTCATTTTAGAAAGTCAAACATATATTTATCATGAGCCAGCACAGTGCCAGTTATTTGCCATATTCTAAGATTTTAAACATTCATTGACATTTAAATTGTGCATGATTTCTATACCTTCATCTGAATTGTTGTGTAACATGTTTGGATAATACAGAGCTAAGGGCACAGGCTAAGAAATATCTTTAGAAACTTTCCTCTAGGCTCACCAGCACCCTTAGGTCACTGTCATTTAAATATTATGAATTCATCTTGTGTGGTATCATTTGGTACAAATTATTTTCCAACATGACCAGCAAAAAATCTTGAGACTTTCTCAGAATTCTTGTTCAAGTCAAGATTCACTATATCTTTCTAGTCACCTAACTCAGTATTCCTATCAAAACAAGATTAATTTGATATGATTTTTTTAAAAAAGTGAAATTAGGCTGGCTTGTTTCCTAATGGGCTCAGAGGACATATTCCCATTCCAGAACTTTGAAGAATTTAAGTGCAAACAGCACAGTGCCTAAAGCATGTCAGCTGTCTGTTTCGGATGCTCGTCCTACCACGTGTAGCATGGCAAAGACAGGAGTCAGAGATTGGGAAGTTTAGCTAGGTGAAAAAGTCTGCCCTAGGGCATGCCCTTCCCACTACTAGAGAGCAGTTGCTTTACATTTTATTTTACCTAGCTTTTTGTAAATATTTCTCCCTGGGTTACTTGTGATCTAGGGGCGTGGACTTACTCATCTCTTGTAATTCCAATCAGTGCATGACACATCATAACTGATCCTCGATTATTTTTTAAGTTAATGTACTCAAGGTTTATTTTTCAATCAAATGCCTAAGCTATTACAATTAAGGAGAGAGAATACTACCCCCTTTCAGTCCAGGAGTATGGCAAATGGAGATGTCTATAGGTATTAGGACATACCTAGAAACTTTTAGAAAAGCATTGGAGGAATGCCTCCTCAAACTGTATGAAACTCCAGTGATTAGCAATGGAGTCTGATGAATGAGAGGCAGTACAATGCCTTTCTCAAAATATTGGGAAATTCGTGATCTTTTTCTCTCCTTTATCATTCCTAGGGTTTTGGAAATCTGGATTGTAGTGGGGCATTGTATGTTAAAAAATCATCTTCCCATTCTGATCTTTGCAAAGATTTTTCTGTTCCTTAAATTTGTTCAGGTTAAGAGATTGCAGATTGCTTCTGTGGACTTATTGAAGGTAAGTATTATCTCTTGATATTTGTATCTCCAGTGTCTGGCACAATGCTTGGCAGTGAGGAGGAACCCAATAAATGTTTGTTGGATGAATAAGTAATATTTGTGAAAGTGTTTTGTAGACTGTGAAACTTTGCACAAATGAAAGATCACAAGGATGATTGCTTACGAAGCTCAGAAATTGAAGTGGAACTCTTTTCTTAATGTAACACACACATACACATTACACACATTTTCTCTTTGAATAGTGGCTGCATTGTTTTTAATGGAACACTGGGCTACTTTTAAACATTGAAATCAAAATGTACATGCCCACTTTTTATTAGTAGTTGCTCCATTTGCTCTTCCAGCTTTGGCTCGAAAACATCTGCTTGTATGCTTAGTATCACTGTCCTTGCTTACCCCCATCCCTTGCCTTCTCACCCATCTTTAGTCTGCCATATGGTCTTGACATAGATTTTCAACTGTTAGACTGTCAGGCTTTCAAGGATGCATTTTAAGAAATCAGTTTCTTTGAAAGCACTTGAACCAGAAGTCAAATGGCATGATGTAAACCAATAGTTTTTCAATGAAGAAATGAAAACCCTCAATAATTACAAATAAGGAATGTAACCTATTGACACCAATTTGGTTACACTGTATTGATTCCTACAAAAATATTATGAGAGAGTAGGCTACTTATACTCTACTGATCAGATTACAAGTATACTTAGTAAAGACAGAAATAGTATAGGCATAAAAGAGTTTACCTTAAAATGTCACCTGATGTTAGTTGTCCCTCACTGATTCAAGTAATTTCCATTATTCAGGTGGATCTGGCTGTTGGTGGAGATCCCTAGACTGCATGGGGCCATGGGCATGATCTGGAGACACAGTAGGTGAGTCCAGCATGTCAAGGGCAGATGACAATGAATGGAAAAACCTGGTCTTGCTACTTTCTCAGTAACAGTGACTAGCAGTGTGTATGAAGAGATCAAAATTCTAAAAGTTCCCACAAATTTCTCAGTTTCCTATTTAGGGCTTCAGGTCTTTGGAGATATCTTCCAGATATGGTCTTTGTCTGTTTTCCTTATTCTTCTGTGAACTGGTATAAATGAAGGTGGGTTGGGTGGGGTGGGTGGGGCTCTGAGGCCTTCCATTTCATCTGAGCTAGATGTGCCAGGAGGAGGCCCCTGAGAAGCTCAGGCAGTTCCACATATGTCAGCTTCCGCACAGCTCAGCAGGACTTGACAATGATTGCACTGTGTGGCTTTCATCCTTCTGGGCAATTGGCAAATCCAAAATTTCTAGGTAGAGGGGTTTAGGGTGGCATTCTGGAGAGGAAGAAGGATCAAGGGCATTGTCTTGAAGCTGCTTTGCCTAACAAGCACCATTTTTAAACTTAGCTTTAATGCTTATTTTGACATATCTTGGAGTTAAGTACATGGAAATTTTGGAGAGGAACCCTAAGGAAACTCCAAGTCACCCCTGGGTATTGCCAATAGAACCCAAGTGTGGTAAACACTTCAAAGCCTCCATAGTGTTGTATGAAGCATGGAATCCCTCTTTTGAGGGTCTGAATTCACCCTCCAGGGAAATGTTTTTCAAAGCGTTGTCCTACTGAACCATGCAATCAAGAGTCAGGATGGGGAGGACTTCTAGTGAAGGAGAGCCTTCACCTGTAATAAGCATCTTGGACAGAACTAATGCATAGTAAAATCTGAAACCACTATCCTTTGAAAGAACCTCAAGAGCTCTTATCCTTCTGATGTATGGAATTTCTTAATTTTTTATTCCTTTGTATCTCCCAGTGGTGTTTTGGAATATGAACACCTCCACTGGATTACTTTCCCCATTGTGACTATGAAGTCTGTATCTTTTTGAGTGAATCAAATTATCAAAGGGCATCCCTCAAAGCCTTTCATGCTGCATCTAATTACATTTATAGCACACGGTATTGGCAGTCCTTGGGCAAAATAAAAACATGACAACAATATTAATACCATATATCTGAATAATAGTCTACCATTCACAGTTACATAAATTAAATTGCATGGTTAAATTCATAGCAAATTCATAGTTAAATCATATCTCATCAATTTTTACAATGTGCTGTCAGGATAAGGCCATATTATTTCTATTTTACAGATGAGGAGTTTGAGACTCAGAGAAGGCAATGATGTATCTTAGGTCAGCTGACTAGTGTACACAGAGGAATTGGCGCTCAAGTCAGATCTTCCAACCCTAGTCCACAGATGCTAACTCATGCCATCAGATATTCTCCCGAGTGGCTTTCAGGGAGATTTGTTGATGTCAAATCACCTGAGTTCTGACATTTGTAGTCCCTTTGGGAAAATCTCCATTTAGATTGCCATGGACATCCACTTGATGAGTGACAGTTTTCTCCAAGGGAAGATGCTTCTTAGTTGGTCTTGCTCCGCCCTTACCTGCCAGCTTTACCCTAGGCCTCAACATTCTTGATACAGAGCACATCCTCTCCTACCTTGCTTGCCACTGTATTGCTCATATCAGGGAGGGTGTAACTCTAAAATTTCACAAAAATCCTTTTTCTCATATCTGATTATGCCGTGTCTATAGACACTCTGTAGACATGTTGTCTTTCTACTTCTTTGTTTCAATCGTCTTGATTTAATCCCTGTGAGCTCATATTCCTTCATTAATGTCATCAAATTAAAAGAGGAAAAGGGATTTTGGAGGCTTATGCTGGATTTCCCAAAGACAGGCACAATAGTGGTCCACTCAGGATCTGCTGTGCCCTTCCTGTGGCAGGGACACACTATCAGGGAATGCAGCCTGCAATAACTAGACCCCCCTCATTGTCACATAGGTCTCCCTTTTGTTCAGCTAAAATTTTCAGCTTTTACCTTCCACACATTGGTCCTTGCCTTGTCCCTTCTTCGTGTGAAAGTTTTCCAAATATATGAGCCAGTCATCATGTAGCATTAAAGTTGTATAACTGGAAGTTGTTGTGTTCTGAACCATGTCTCCCCAGATTCATATGTTGAATTCCCAACCCCCAGTGCCTCAGAATGTGACTGTATTTAGAAACGGGTTTGCATTAGTTCGTTTTCACACTGCTATAAAGAATATCTGAGACTGGATAATTTATGAAGAAAAGAGGTTTAATTCATTCACAGTTCTGCAGGCTGTACAGGAAACATGGCTGGGGAGGCTTTAGAAAACTTACAATCGTGGTGGAAGGTGAAGAAGCAGACACATCTTTGTGTGGCTGGCAGGAAAGAGAGAGAGCAAAGGGGGAGGTGCTACACACTTTCAAACAACCGGATCTTGTGAGAACTCTATCATGAGAACAGCAAGGGGAAAGTCAACCCCCATGATTCAGTCACTTCCCACCAGGCCCCTCCTCCAACACTGGGAATTATAATTAGACATGAGATTTGGGTGGGGACACAGAACCAAACTATTTTATTCTGCCCCTGACACCTCCCAAATCTCATGTCCTTCTTACATTTCAAAACACAATCATGCCTTCCCAACAGTCCCCCAAAGTCTTAATTCATTCTGTCATTAACTCAAAACTCCATGTCCAAATATTCATCTGAGACAAGGTTAAGTCCCTTCCAAATATAAGCCTGCAAAATCAAAAACAAGTTAGTTACTTCCTAGATACAATGGAGGGTACAGGCATTGGGTAGATGCTCCCATTCTGAAAGGGAGAAATCAGCCAAAACATAAAGGATACAGGCCCTATGCAAGTCTGAAACCCCGCAAGTCAGTCATTAAATCTTAAAGCTCCAAAATAATGGAGCTTAAAGCTGTTGGTGGATTTACCATTCTGAATCTGGAGGATGGTGGCCCTCTCCTCAAAGCTCCATTAGGCAATTCCCTAGTGGGAACTTCGTGTGGAGGTTCCAAGACCATATTTCCCCTCCATACTGCACCAGTAGAGGTTCTCCATAAAGGCTCCGCCCCTGCAGCAGTCTTCTGCTTGGACATTCAGGCATTTCCATACATCTTCTGAAATCTAGGTGGAGGCTCCCAAGCCTCAACTCTTGCCCTCTGTGTACTCACAGGCTTAATACCACATGGAAGCCGTGAGGCTTGCAACTTTCACACTCTGGAGCAGTGGCCTAAGACATATCTGGGGCCCTTTGAACCATGGCTGGAGCTGGAGCAGCTGGGATGCAGGGAGCCATGTCCTGAGGCTGCACAGAGTAGCAGGGCCCTGGGCCTGACCCATGAAACCATATAACCCCCCTATGCTTCCAGACCTGTGATAGGAGGGGCAGCTGCAAAGGTCTCTGAAATGCCTTGGAGGCATTTCCCCATTGTCTTGGCTATTAGCCTTTGGCTCCTCTTTACTTATGCAAATTTCTGCAGCTGGCTTGAATTTCTCCCCATAAAATGGGTTTTTCTTTTCTACCACATGGCCAGGGTGTAAATTTTCCAAACTTTTATGCTCTGCTTCCCTTTTAAATGTAAGTTCCAGTATCAAATTATCTCTTTGTGCATGCATATGAGTGTATGCTGTTAGATGCAGCCAGGCCACATCTTGAATGCTTTGCTGCTTAGAAATTTCTTTTGCCAGATACCCTAAATCATGTCTTTCAAGTTCAAAGTTCCACAGATCTCTAGCACAGGGGCACAATGCCACTAGTCCCTTTGCTAAAGCATAGCAAGAATGACCTTTACTTCAGTTCCCAGTAAGTTCCTCATCTCCATCTGAGACCAGCTTGGCTATCTCTGTCCATATTACTATCAGCAATTTTGTCAAAACCATTCAACAAGTTTCTAGGAAGTTTCAAACCTTCCCTCATCTTCCTGTCTTCTTCTGAGCCCTCCAAACTGCTCCAACCTTTGTCCATTACTCAGTTCCAAAGCAGCTTCCACATTTTCAGGTTTCATTATAGTAATGCCCCACTATTTGGTACAAATTTTCTGTATTAGTCCCTTCTCACACTGCTATAAAGTCATACCTGAGACTGGGTAATTTATGAAGAAAAGATGTTTAATTGACTCACCATTCTGCAGGTTGTACCAGAAGCATGGCTGAGGAGGCCTTAAGTAACTTACAATCATGGCAGAAGGCAAAGGGGAAGCAGTTACATTTTCACATGGCCAACAGGAGAGAGAGAGAGCAAAGTGGGAGGTGCTACACACTTTCTGACAACCAGATCTGGTGAGAACTCTATCACGAGAACAGGAAGGGGGAAGTCCGCCCCCATGATTCAATCACCTCCCACCAGGCTCCTCCTTCAACACTGGGAATTACAATTCAACATGAGATTTGGATGGAGAAACAGAGCCAAACCATATTAGGGTCTTTAGGAGGTAATAAGTTAAAATGAAGTTATTTGGGTGGCCCATAATTCTACAGAACTGATGTCCTTGTAAGAAGGGGAAGAGACACCAGAAGTGCCAGCACAGAGGAAAGGTCATGTAAGGACATGGGGTAAAGACAGCCATCTACGAGCCAGGGAGAGAGGCCTCAGAAGAAACCAAAGCCATAAATGCCTTCTCTTGGACTTTCAGCCTCCAAAGCTGTGAGAAAATACATTTCTGTTGTTTAAGCCACCCAGTCAGTCTGTGGTACTTTGTTATGGCTGCCCTAGCTGATGAATTCAGAAGTCAAATGTATATGGCTTTGAAGCCACAGAGGAAGGTGAGATTATCTGGCCAGAGATCCAAGGTGAAAGGGGTGGAGAGCTTTGGGGTAAATCACTTTACAGAGTGGGTATAGGAAGAAGGGCCTGTGAACAACACAGAGAACAATCAAGAGAGAGCAGAGTTAAAGATGACAAGGGAAGAGAGAGTTCCTTGCTTCTTTTATTTTGGGTTCACATCTCTTAATCTTGTGTTCACTTTTGTCAAGGTCATCCTCAGAATTTACACTCTCTCTCCTTTTGTGCCCCCATGGACCAAGTTAAGAAGGTGTAGGCTTCCAATCTGAAGATTGGTCACCACAAAACTCAAAGGTAAGTGAAAGGGTTTATATTAGTGTCACTGAATCAAGGGCCAATCTCAAAATTTACTTGGGGATTTTTCAAAGTGCACATTTATGTGACATACACTATGAAATTTCATTTTAGTATAGATTTGTGGTGGGATACTACCATATATTTTGAAAACAAACAAACAAGCAAACAAAAAAATGTTCCCCAAACTCACAGAATCCCCAGGTGCTTCTGATATACACATTGACGGAGATAAACTAATCCAGATGAAAAGACAAATGAATTTTTTTCTACATGCCTGGAAATAATGTCAGATGATTATAGATTTCAAACTTCATGAAAAATTGAAATTTCACCCTTTTGTAGGGGGAATGTTTTGTTAATCTAGCATACACAGCCTACGTTTTCTATTCTTATTATTTTTAATAAAATTTTTTTCTTTTCTTTTTTTTCACAGGCAAGGTCTTTGTTGCTCAGGATGGAACGTAGTGGTGCCATAGCTCACTGTAACCTTGAATTTCTGGGCTACTGGCATACACCACCATGCTTGGCTAATTGTTTCTTATTTTTTGTAGTGACAGGGTCTTACTATGTTGCCCAGGCTGGTCTCAAATTCCTGACCTCGAGTGATTCTCCCACCTTAGCCTCCCAAAGTGTTAGGATTACAGGCATGAGCCACTTTGCCCAGTCTCCTTTTTTTTTTTTTTTTTTTTTTTTTGAGATGGAGTCTTGTTCTGCAGCCTAGGCTGGAACACGGTGGTGTCATCTCGGCTCACTGCAGCCTCCCGGGTTCAAGCGATTCTCCTGCTTCAACCCCCAGGTAACTGGGTCTACAGGCACCTACCACCACCCAGCTAATTTTTTGTTTGTTTGTTTTTGTTTTTGAGTCGAAGTCTCACTGTGTCACCCAGGCTGGAGTGCAATGGTTCAGTCTTGGCTCTCTGCTTCCTCCACTTCCCGGGCTCAAGCAATTCTCTTGCCTCAGCCTCCTGAGTAGCTGGGACCACAGGCACCAGCCACCACACCTGGCTAACTTTTGTATTTTGAGTAGAGATGGGGTTTCACCATGTTGGCCAGGCTGGTCTTGAACTCCTGACCTTGTGATACAACCGCCTTGGCTTCCCAAAGTGCTGGGATTACAGGCTTAAGCCACCATGCCCGGCCCACCAGCCTACTTTTAATGGTAATTTTGAAAATGACAGTTGACCTGGTAGCCTTTGGGGATGTTTGTGTTCCTCCTCCCAGCAGATTGCCTTCCTTGGGCAACAGGCACTGCTCCTCTCTCATGTGTCAGAAAATCAGTGTGAAACTAGCTATCAAAGCGTACAACCGTCTATCACGTTGACCATCACATTATTCTTTGTGACTTGGGAGAACTCCCCTGTTTTCTCAAATCTCTATCTGCTGAGAATTAGGAACCATTTCTATACAATAAAGAACTATTGCTCACCAGAAAGTATATTCTACTTTCTTGTGGAAGAAAACTTATGACATTGAACTTGACAAAAAGGCATTTTCACAAGCTCAAATAAAACCAGTTTTCTCCATCTCCCCTCCCGCCTCTGTTGGCTCAAGTAATGAGCAACTGAAGGATACCACACTGCAAAGGAGATGTTGGGCTTCAGGCTGAAGCAAATCTGGGCTAACCAGAGTTAATCAAATTCTTTATAAATAAAATGAATTGTGCCACGCTAACTTAGATGTTTCAGAGAAACACTAACATATTTTTTTTAACTGATTTCTTGAATTTTTAAAAAAACTACTGCTCCTTTCCTTTGGGTAAGTGAGGAGGCAATAGGGTCTTGAGAATCACCAGGACAGCCAGACTCTGTTAGTTTACTTTCAGGTGAATACATTAGGTTCTGGGTAGATAGGCAGAGCTACTATACACTGCGCCTAAAACATCACAATGGAGAGGTGTATGTGTGTTTGTTGCGGGTGGAGGGGCCTGGTCCTGAGATTTATCAAGCCTGCCTTATGGGTACTGACTTGACTGGTTCATCTACTTTAGGGACGATGAGAATATACTCCCCTGCCCCAAATTATATTTTATCCAGGTGCCATGGTGTCTGACACTCCATCTGTAATGGTTCATTCCTTTGGCTTTCTTTCCTGCTTTTAAAATGAACATTCTCTTGGTTTGTGCAAAACACTAAACTACTTTACAAAGGCAGATACGCTAATGTAGGAAACTGCTTTGTTTTCCTTTGGTTGAAAAGGACTAGTGGAGCTGCAGGAAGCTTGGAAGTTCATCAGTGGGAATGGAGGGAGGCTGCCAAGAAGGTGAGGGGAAGGGGAAGGGCCACAGACACAGATTTTGTCTACTTGGGAATTTTGAATGGGATTGACCCTACCACTCAGTAATAGTTAAAAATGAAACAAAACAAAAAACAAGGGTTTTGAGTGTTGTTTGAATCCAAGTGTACTATTTCAATAGTGGAACTGAGCAAGACTTATAAAGCTGGCATAGGGAAGGGTGATTAGGATTGCAAACATAAGCATGAGGTGTAAATCATGACATTTATTTTGGCATGGAAGCCAGATCATTGTTTGAGGAACACCTTTTGAAACCCAAATGTAGAGGGCAGAAAATGGTGTTGGCTTTTTACACTATTTCTCTCTTTTTGAGGTAAGTCAGAGAGTTGAGTTATGAAGCATTAAAAGATCATTTTTTTCCCACATTCAATTTTCTTCTTTGCACTTAGGGAAAACCTTTTAGGCCAAAGACCATCTGAAGTGGCCCTGGTTCCTCCATGTTTAACTCACTGGCCCCTAATTTCTGCTGGACCTTCATTTCAGTCGACTGTGTTTCAGGAGGTAAGTGATTCTGGTGACCTCACTGTAGGGAGACAGGAGCCTCTGGCAAGTTACCAAACTGCTGGCCTATTCTACATGAGCCAGGCTCTTTGCTTTGGCAGAGGAAAGCAGTGCTGTTTTAGGTCAACAGTCAAATGTGTCCCGGAAGTTGTTAAGTGCGTGGGGCATTCTAACCACTGCTGCTGGTGGAGAGACCTGGCTGTCGCCTGCATCTCACTTTCAGAATGTGGCCCTGATTAAGCTCCGCAGGTAGAGTTCTGGTTTCTAAGAAGGGTACAAGGCCTGAGGACATGCTGGTATTTCTTCCTCATGCTGCTGCTGAGGACACAGAGAAGGGTGTTCTGGCCAAATTAGCCAGTTATTGGTTCCCCAAATAACTTTGGTTTTAGACACCTGACTTGACTCTGTGAGTGAGTGGGAGGCTGTTTTCTCTGACTGGTTTTGCATCTTGGCTTTCATGTCTCTACATGAACATTCAGCCCACAAATTTCTGTTATCTAATCAGGCGCATCAGTCCGTGATGGAGATGAGAGGGGAGGAACACCCCTTTGACTCAGATTTTGCACAAACAAAATTCAGTCTTGTTAGCAATGGCAGGAAGAGTAGCCACGGCTGCTCAGATCAGATCTTTCCCTGACAATCTGCAGGGCAGTGCAAGTGGGTGAAGAGTTTTTATGGCAAGATAAGCAATGCAAGGGCCCCAACTTGGTATACTAAATAAAATTAAAATGTCAATATTTACACATGACCTTCAAGGCTCTTCCACTCTTGCTTTCTTAGTATTCAGTACAGACTGCATTTTCTTTAGTCCGTTACCAACAGCTTGGAAATTCAGTTAGAGGACATAACCCAAATGTTCTCCAAATGTTGCTTCCAAATGGTCATCTTGAAAAGTGCTGTTTTAAGGCATGCAACCTTTCTGCACCGAGAGAGGGCTGTCGCTCTGCCTACCCAACTGTAGGGGAATTATCCAAAGATTAAAACCACTGATGATAAAGATAGTGCCACACAGCATATTTTAATTTGTTGATAATGAAAGCACAAGAGGCCTTTTTACAGGCTTCTTGAAGCCTTACTATTGTGTGTTGCACATTCAACCCCAGCTTGTGTGCTGACACAAACAAATAAACGTGATCATAACGGTTGAAATGTAGTTAGAAACACAATTGAGAACATCTGTATTGTAAGCAGAAATACATTAGAAATACTGAAGTGTTTTGTAGCTGTGAAAATGAAGGAATAAAAAAATAACCCACAGTACCTGGATTAAGCAGTTATAAATAATGTATAAAGCAAAAATCTCATTACCCCCTGTGTAAACTCCCCCCCAATGAAATATATTTTATGAATGTAGTAACACTGTAATAACCAAAGCATTTGTTTTTCCCCACAAACTTTCCATTTCATAACTGTGAGATTGTTTGGATTTACAGATTCGGGCCACAACACCCCTGAGTTTACCGGTTTTGGTTTCTTCCTTGTGACCTTCGGCTCCAGGATGCAGCACAGCTCCTCACTGCACTATTTATCAGAATGTTGCTCTGCATGCTTGAAAGTTTCCCCAAACAGAGGTACATAAAAACAAACAGAGGCGAAACACAAATCCCATCAGCCCTGGAGGAAAAGGCCCTGAAGCTCTTCCAGTGCAGAGGCCACGCAGAGGACAGGCTCCTACCTGTGCACATCAGCCACGCCTGGGGCGCCTCCTGGAGTCCAGGCTGCTGGCAATGGAATTCATCATGTTGCTGATGTCACTGTAAGTTAAGTCGCAGCTGCCAGCTGAGCTATGGGACAGTTTGAGGGATGGCCAGAAGGTTTCTCCTGGATGCCATCTTCAGCATACCTAGGAACCAGAGAAAATGCAATTCTTCGCATGCCCATCTCACTCCTGCAGCCTGGGGTCCCTCTTCAGTTTATTTTTTTATTTTTTTATTTTTTTATCATAAGCACATAGTCAGGCTCTGGGACATCATGGAACCCAGCAGCCTGCTGAAAGGTGAAGCACAAGTCTAAAGTCCTGTTAGTTATGAAATCCAGCTCTCCTGGATTAGGCAAGGGGAAAACCACATCTTTAAGATACACTAGGGCAAGAAGTAAAGTATGGAGAGCTGGCTCAACGAAATTTTGTGTATAATAGGAGCCGTCCTATGACTAATTGTCACCTGTCTCAGAGACCTCATGATTATTTCTGAGCTTTAACCAATGAATTAATGTGGGTTCTACCTGGCTCTTCTAACGTCTTTGGAATGGTTCCTCAGGGAACCACAGCTATCCATAGAGATAACAACCTGAATACAAGCCCATCGCCCGATCAGATGCTGCTCTTACTTGCATGACTTGGTTCTATTCTTGCCCAGTCCCACTGGGATAGCAGTGGTAGCTAAACAGCTAAGCAGAGTGACCTCATTAGATTCTCCTCTAGTATAAAGTCACATGTTAACTCATTTTTGGACTCATAGTCAGAAACTTGTAATTTTTCCTCATTTTGGTATGCAGCTATTGCACAGTGGGGGAAATATGAGTCAAAAGACTTGCTCTTATATTCCATCTTCCCCCTCATTGCCTGGGTGTCTTTGGACCAGTTAATCTTTGAGCCTCAGTTATCTAGAAAATGGGGACACTGCTACTTTATATATTTTTTTTTAGTGGGACCTAGATAAGGTAATATAAATAAAGGGGCTTTATTTATATATTGAATGGCATGATGTTAGGATTACCAAAAGGAAATAGCTATTCTACTTACATTACAATGTGGTTTGAGGATCAAATTCAATAAAATATGTGAAGAGGGCTTTGAAAACTAGAAAGAGCTAAGCAATGCAAAATGCGTCGCTGCACTTGAATGTAATGGCTGGTGTCATGTCAGCTGGATTAACTGTGGTCACTAGTTCTCATATATCCATTTGCTAGAGTAGCTGAGTCCTCTGGACTACGAAAAAGGGCACAGAAGCTACAGATACGAGATCTGGTACTATCTTTATCACTACCTTTTTATTGTGAGCACCTCAATCATTTTGAGATATTTGTCTCATTTCTTTTACTTTGAATATGCAAAAACAACAGTCACCTCCTAATATGGCTGTTGGGAAAACACAACTGAAATGGATTCAGAAAATAGCTTTTAAGGACAAAGTTATGTGAAGGACATAAATTGTGCATGAAGTCTTTCAGCAATGAATAGGCACATCTCCACATACCCCAGGATCTTAAGCTGATAATGTAACAACAAGAACCTATTGAATCAGGACAAGGTGATGGTTCTGCTCCTGTGGCAATCTAGGTCTCAGAATCTGGTATGCAGGCAGGGTGTAGAGAGCAGATTGCATTTTCAGGAGAAAGGTTAAGCTTGAATGTTTTGGACAGGAGGTGGTTAGATGCATTTTTAAAAAGTCCTTGAATTTACCTGATGATTTTTGTGTCCTTGTGATGGTTGTAGCCCATTCCAGGATATGAATAAATTTAGCAACACAAAGGAGGTCATTTAAAAATCTTTCCCTCAGATGCTCCACTTCCTCTTCCTTCTAGCTTTCTCCTCTTCTTCACTAATTTGGCAACCTGCAAGGCTGCCCTTTTGATCACTGGCAGTTTAGAATAGTGATAAGTGGTTTTGGAAAATGTTATTGAAACTTTTATAGGAGAGTGGTGGAAAGATGGAGATTTCTAGAAAACCCTTAATAGAAGAGATCCATTTTACTTAATTATTTATTTATTTTTAGTTTTAAAACATTATTTTATTTTGAATTAATTTTAGACTTTAAGAAATTGCAAAAATACTAGAAAGTGTTACTTTAATCCCTCACCCTGCTTCTGCTTATGTTGACTGTCTCTCATCATCTTAATATGATTATCAAGAATAGGAAATTGATGTTGGTACAATATTTTTAACTAAGCTACAGACTGCATCTGATATTCACCAGTTTTCCTGCAGATATCATTTTTCTGCCATCCGAGTACTAACCAGACCCGACCCTGCTTAGCTTCCAAGATCAGACAAGATTGGGTGTGTTCAGGGTGGTATGGCTAGAGACCCAAATATCATTTTTCTGTCTCAGGAGCCTATCCAGGACCCCACATTGTATTGAGTTGTATTTCTCCCTAGTTGACTCCAATCTGTGACAGTTCCCTGGTCTTTCCTTGTCCTTCATAACTTTGGCACTTTTCGAAGGATACTGATTGTTACCAGTGGAAGGTATCCGAGTTACCAGCGGCAAATCCATACGGGTCTGCAGCAACCTCAATTCTTGCCCCCTCAAAAGAAATAATTTGACTGAGGGGCATAAAGCAGAAAAAGAGATCAAGGCAACTTTCAGAGTAGGAGTGGGAGTTTATTTAAAAAGACTTTAGAAAAGGAAAGAAAAGAAAGTACGCTTGGAAGAGACCCAAGTGGGCATGTGAAGGTCAATTGTAGTGTTTAACCTTGATCCTAGGACTTTATAGGCTGGCCTCTTTCCCATGATTCTTCCTTTAAAGGGGGCTGCCCTCATGCACAGTGCCCTCCTTACCCTTGGGAGTTGAGCATGTGCACTGTGTTTAGGAAGTTGTATGCATGCCCATTGGAGGCTTTCTTCCCTTTTCTCATGGCATGACCCTGGAAGGCCATACTCTGCCATTTTATCTCCTAATGCACATGTCTGGGAAGTTGTGTTTCCCTGGTACCTACATTAAGTTCACACTTTAGTGCAACAGGTGCAGACAATCAGGAAATGGCCTCTCCCTGGCGCTGGCTGCCAATTTATCACTTTTAGAGAGGCAATGTGATAATTGCCAAACCATCACCTGACATTTTTAGTGGGTGGGGGAAGAGCCCTCTCCTGCCCTGCTTATGCCTGTCTACCTATAAATACACTGATGAGTAATTTGGTAGAATGTCCTTCATTTTAGGTTTGTCTAACGTTTTGTCATGATTAGAGTGAGGTTATGCCATTTTGGCAAGAATACCACAGAAATGATACTATATCCCTTTTCAGCACATCATGCCAAGGGATTCATGATGTTGATATGCCTTATTAATGGTGATATTTACTTTGAGCACTCCATTAGGTTAGTGTCTGCTGGTTTCTCCATTATAAAACCACCTTTGCAAAAATTATAACAGTGAGAAAATTATGACAGTGAAAGAGATCTGATCTAACCAACCCCCATCTTGCTTTTAACCTCCAAAATGCCTTACTCATTTCTGGGCTTAGGCCAAGTTAACTTTGGGAGAAGTTTAGTTTATAGTTTAACAGATTATATCCCTTCCTCAAAACTAAACCACCTTTGTGTAAAGCTGATGAAAGACCACCAGATTAGGAGGATGAAAGGAACCTGAATTCTGTTAACATGTAGATATAAATGATTACCAGCCATTATTCCAGAGGTCACAAGATTTGCAACTTCCCAATTACTCCTGCAGATAACATCACTATTGTAGAACCTAAGATTGGCCTTTTGAGATGACTTTTCAGATTTTTGTGTTTCTGAAAATGGATGGCTCCACCCAGACCCACCAACTGGTCCTGGCTCCACCCAGAAGTGGACTTAGCTTCTCATGAGGACCATTTTCCACACCCCTATGATTGCACCCCCAACCAATCAGCAGCACCCATTCCCTAGCCACCCCCCTCTCCTAAACTATCTTTGAAAAACCATAGTCTCCAAATTTTCAGGGTGGCTGATTTGCATAATAATAAAACTCTAGTCTCCTGTTTATCCAGTTCTATATGTGTAAAACTTTCTTTATTGAAATTCCCCTGTCTTGATAAATTGGCTCTCTCTGGAGAGCAGGCAGGAAGAACCCATTGGGTGGTTACAACTATACAGTTACTGTATTTCTCTTTGTAGCTGATAAGTGTTTTGAGGGAGATACTTCGAGTTTATTCAAATCCTGTTTATTGTTCTTGATTTTTTTTTTCCATAAAGGATCAGATACCTGTGTGTTTTCTTATATCTGATTTCTTACACAAAGAATCACATAACCCAAAATCACATCTTTTGGGTTTTGGGTTTTGTTGTTGTTTTTTTTCCGTTACTTAATATGTCATGGAAAGCACCCCATATCCACTCTAGAGACTTTCCCCATTGTTTTATACATTTGCATAGTACTCCATGTTATTGTACCAGCTTATTCAAGCACTCTTCCATGATGGGCATTTAAGTTGTTTCCAGTGTTTTGCAATTATAAACAATACATAATGAGTAAGTTTATGCGTATGCATTTTTGTATTGTCAGAGATACATACCCTAGAAGTGGGATTGCTAGGTGAAAAGGGAAATGCATGTGTACTTCGGTTAGATATTGCCTAATATCCCTCCAAAAGGATTGTACCAATTTGCATTTCTAACAGGGAAAGTGCCCATTTCCCCATAGCTTCACCAACAAGCCTTAACAACAGAATGTATTCTCATATTTGTTTTATTTTTGCCAATTCAATAAATGAGAAAGGGATTTCCTTAATTATCAGTGAGTTTAACCATTTTCTGCATGTTTAAAAGCCATTTTGAATCTTTGTCTTTTTTTTTAAAATGAAATTATCTGTTTATGCCTTTTCCTCATTTTTACCTCAGGATTTTGTCCTTCAATTTTAAAGATTTTTTTATGTGTAAGGAATATTAGCCTTTTTTCTCTAGTTTATGTTACAAATATTTTCTCCCAATATGTTAGTTGTTCTTTGATTTTGTTTATGGTGGTTTTTGTCACACAAAAAATGCAGTCAAATTTATTAATCTTTTAAAAAATTGCCCCTGGATTTTAAATCATAGTTAGAAAGCCTTTCCTTACCAAGTCTAAATAATAATATAGCCATTTATTTTCTATACTATGTGGTTTTAGTTTTTATATTTACATCGCTAATCCACTTGGAGTTTATTCTGCTGCTATATGGTATGTTTTACCCTAGTGGTTTGAGATGCCACTTTTGTCATATACTAAATTTCCATATGTATTTTGGTCTAATTCTGGACTATTCTCTTCCACTGGCTTGTCTATTTCTCTGTTTATGCTCCAGTACCACACTGTTTTAATTATCCAGGCTTTAGCAAATGTTTTAATTTCTGATAAGCCTAATCACCACAGCTTTTCTTTTTCAGTGTTTTTCTACCTCGTTCTTACATGTCATTTGTTTTCATATGAACTTTAGTATCAAAATCTCTAACTCCAGAAAATAGTCTATTCATATTTTGATGGAATTGTATTACATTTATAAATTAACTTGGGGGAAGTGGTATTTTCATAATGTTATAATTCTATCCAAGAACAGGGGGATGTCTTTCCTTTTATTCAAGTTTTTATTACTGTCTGTTAGGAGTGTTTTGATATTTTCCATGTATAGGTTTTCATACCTCAAGTTAAATTTATTCATAAGTACTTACTATATTTTGATGCTATTTAAATGGTGTTTTTTTTACCATTATGTCCTGTTTATTGTTTGCTTATATGAAGTTATTGATTTTTATGTTGATTTTACATCCTTCTTCAGTAAATTATTTTATTTTTTGAATTGGCTTTATTATTGATTCTCTGGGATTTTCCACATATATTATATCATCTGCAAATATAGAATTTTACCACTCATTTAGTCACTCTTCTGCCTTTCATTGATTTCTCATATCTAATTGCACTGGCTAATATCTCTAACAGTATCAGAGATAGTAGAAATTTATGTATTGCTTCTGATGTTGATAGAAACATCTCTATTGTTTCTCCATTAAATAAGATAATGACTTCAGGACTATGAAACCCCAAAATTTGAGACAGGTATCAGTTAATTTAGAAAGTTTATTTTGCCAAGATTGAGGATGTGCACCTGTGACACAGCCTCAGGAAGTCCTGATGACATGTGCCCAAGGTGGTCGGGGCCCAGCTTGGTTTTATACATTTTAAGGAGACATGTGACATCAATCAATATATGTAAGAAGTACATTGGTTCTGTCCAGAAAGAAGGGGACAACTCAAAGCAGGGAATAGGCTTCCAGGTCACAGGTAGATGTGAGACAAATGATTGAATTCTTTTTAGTTTCTGATAAGCCTTTCCAAAGGAGGCAATCAGAATATGCATCTATCTCAGTGAGTAGAGGGATAACTTTAAATAAAGAATGGGAGGCACATTTGCCCTGAGCAGTTCCCAGGTTGAATTTTCCCTTTAGCTTAGTGATTCTGGGGGTCCAAGATATTTTCCTTTTATAGGACCAATTATCATGTTGAGCAAGTATCCATCATTTCCTACATATAGGAGTCGTTTTATGATAAGTATGTGTTAAATTTTGTCAAATGCTTTCTCAGCATTTTCTTGGTCTATGGAGATGATTATATGTATTTTTTCCTTTAGACATTATTATGTGTAGTGGGATGAATAATGGCTACCCATAGACATTGGGTTCTAATCCTGGGAACTTGTAAATGTTACCTTATATGATAAAATTTTGGCAGATGTAATTAAATTAAGGATCTTTTTTTTTTTTTTTTTTTTTTTTTTGAGACGGAGTCTCGCTCTGTCGCCCAGGCTGGAGTGCAGTGGCGTGATCTCCGCTCACTGCAAGCTCTGCCTCCCGGGTTCACGCCATTCTCCTGCCTCAGCCTCCCAAGTAGCTGGGACTACAGGCGCCCGCCACTACGCCCGGCTAATTTTTTGTATTTTTAGTAGAGACGGGGTTTCACCGTTTTAGCCGGGATGGTCTCGATCTCCTGACCTCGTGATCCGCCCGCCTCGGCCTCCCAAAGTGCTGGGATTACAGGCGTGAGCCACCGCGCCCGGCCAATTAAGGATCTTGAAATGAGAAAATTGTCCTGGATTATCTATGTGGGCCATGTAGGAGGATGATAGAGTGAGATTTGACAGACACATAGAGGAGAAAGTGGCATGAAGATGGAGACAGAGATTGTAGTGATGTAGACTCAAGCCAAGGAATGCTAGAAGCCACCAGAAGCTAGAAGAGGCTATCGTCCCGAGCCTATGGAGAGAGCATGGTCCTGTCAACACTTTATTTATTTATTTAATTTGACAGAGTCTCCCTCTGTTACCCAGGCTGGGGAACACTGGTGGAATCACACTCTTTGCAGCCTCAACCTCCTGGGTTTAAGCAATCCTCCTACCTCAGCCCCCTGAATAGCTGGGACTGCAGAGGCATGTCACCATTCCTGGATAATTTTTAAAATTTTTTGTAGAGATGGGGTCTCACTATGTTGCTGAGGCTTGTCTTGAACTCTTGAACTCAAGTGTTCCTCCTGCCTCAGCCTGCAAAAGTGCTGGGATTAAAGGCATGAGCCACCATGCCCAGGCCCTGTCAACACCTTGATTTCAGACTTTTCGCCTCCAGAACTGTGACAAAATAAAATTTTGTTGTTTTAAACCACACTTGGTGGTAATTCATTACAGTGGCCATAGAAAACTAATACAGGTTTTGGTACTAGGAAGTGGGATGCTGCTGTAACAAATACCTAAAACGTGGAAATGGCTTTGAAATTGTTTAATAGAAAGAGGCTGAAAGTTTTCAGGTGCATGATAGAAAAAGCCTAAATTGTCTTAAAGAGACTGTTGTTAGAAATAGGAATGATAAAGCACACCAGCTGAGGACTCAGAAGAAAATGAAGAGCACATTATAGGATACTGGAGGACAGATGATCTTTGTCATACAGTAGCAGAAAAGTTAGCTGAATTGTTACCCATGGTTGTGTGCAAAAGAGAATTTGAAAGAAATGAACTTGGATATTTACCCGAGGAGATTTCCAAACAAGGTATTGAAGGTGTAGCCTGGTTTCTTCTTGTCGTTTATGGTAAAATGCCAGAGGAAAGAGAAAAATTGAGGAAAGAACTGTTAAACAAAAAGGTACCAGCACCTGATGATTTGGGAAATTCTCTGAATTGCAATCAAGATTGCAAATGATGCTAAAAGGGAGAAGTTCACTGTTAGGAAGTGTGATCTGGAGAGAAGGCCAAAGGTGTGGCTGGACAACCTCTTGCTAGTGTTGAAGAGATTTAGGTGTATGAGTTGTGGATTCACTCAAACATCTCAGCAGAATCCAGGAATAGAGATGGTATTATTCAGGAAAGTTCTGTGGAGGACCCTCTTGTTTCATGGTGGGAATGTCTATAATGCACGCAGGAAACCCACATGGTTTTTGAGAATATTATAGCAGTAGAAGCACTCCCAGCTTGGACTACAAATGACAAGGACAGAAGAAAATTAAAGAAGGTTGTTGGACTCAAAATATTATATGGGCAGGAAACAAGCTGATAAAACTACCGAGGTGCAAGCATATGCTAACTCTCAAGAAAAAGGATGACTCTGAAGCTGGATCTACAGGCACAGTGGCTGCATCCATGGGTGTAGAGGGCAGAGCAGTGGGTGCAAAGGGTATGTCCTTGGGCCACAAAGGATGATTATCCTCAATCCTTAAAACCTAAGAGATTTCTTCCTGCTGTACTTCAAAATTGCTTTGGAGTTGTGACCACTTTCTTTCTTCTATTTTCTCTCTTTTTGAATAAGAATGTCTATATTATCTTATGCCTACTCCACCATTGTATTCGAAAGCAGATAAGTTGTTTTATAGTTTCATGATAGAGAGGAATTTTGTCCCAGATAGATTATACCCAGAGTCTCACATATACCTGATTTAGACAATGAGATTTGTAATTTTGGAGCTGATGACATTTAGATGACATTTTGGACTCAAGTTGAGGTGGTGATGGGTTGAGAGCTTTGTGGACTTTAGGATGGGGATAATTGTATTTTGCATGTGAAAATATTTGTGTATTTTCCAGAGAATGGAATGTGGTAGGCTGATAATGGCCCCAAAGATAGGTCTACCTTGTTACTCTTTGAAACCCACAAGCATTGCTTTCTTTGGACAAAAAGGGTCCTTGAAGATGTGATTAAGTTATGGATTTTGAGATGGATTATCCTGAATTATCTGGGTGGGACCTGAGTGCCATCACAAATGTATTTCTAAGAGATGGCAGAAAAAGACTGGACACATACATAGAGGAGAAGGTAATATGAAGATGGGGTCAGAGATTGGAGTGAAATGGCCATGAGCTGAGCAATGTGTCTTGGTCTATCTTGCATTGCTATTACAGAATATTTGAGACTGGATCATCTATAAAGAAAAGAGGTGTCTTTAGCTCATGATTCTGGTGGCTAGAAAGTCCAAGAGCATGGCACCTGTATCTGCTCAGCTTCTGGTGAGGGCAGTGAGCTTCATCAAGACATGGTGGAGAAACAGAAAGTAAGCAGGCACATCAAGGAAAGACCAAACAGAAAGAAGACTCTCACTTTATAACAACCCACTCTCTGGGGAATGAATCCATTCCCATGAGAGTGATAACTCATTTCTGCAAGATGGTATTAATTCATTCATGAGAGATCTGCCCCCTTGACCCAAACATCTCCCACTAGGCTCTACTTCCCAATACTGTCTCACTGGCAATTAAACTCTAACTTGAATTTTGGTGGACACAAAACACATCCAAACCAAAGAAGAAGGTGAAAGAATATGATAGGCACCAGAAACTAGAAGAGGTAATAAACAGATTATGTCCTATCGCTTCCAGAGGGAGCATGGCCTTGCTGGCACCTTGATTTTGTATTTCTGGCCTCCAAAACTGTGAGAGAACACATTTCTGTTATTTTAAGCCACCAAGTTTGTGGTAATTTATTATTGGCCATAAGAAACTAATATATAATGATATATGATATTAATGGATCACCTATTAATGGGTCACCTAATAATAGATCACCTAATCACACTTGCATTCCTGGCATAATTCTCACTGTATCATGTGTATTTTTATCTTAATGTGTGTTGGATTATATTTGCTAACATTTTGTTTATAATTTTTGCATTGATATTTATGAGTGATGTTCTGTAGTATTATTTCTTGATATTTTCTTTATCTGTTTAGGTGTGAGCATTATAGTTGTTTCATAAAAAGGATTAGGAAGTTTTCCTTTATTCTGAATGCTTTGGAGCAATTTATATAGCATTGGAACTAGCTGGTATTTAAAGGTTTGGTAGAATTCTCTTGTGAAATCATCTGTGCCTAGTGATGTTTTTGTAGGGGGAGTTTCTTAATAACTTTTTCTATTTCTTAGATGGAAATTTATCTGATTTGTAACCCTAATGAGATCAATATGTATTTTTCTAGAAAATTATCTACTTTAACTAGGTTTTTGAATGTATTTGCATGGAAGTCTGCAAATTAGACTCTTATGATTTTAAGAATTTGTTCTCTTTCAATGATGTTTTCCTCTTTTCATATCTTATTTTATATATGTGTACATTTTCCCCTTTTTGGGTCAAGTTAGCTAATGGTTTACTTATTTTGTTAACTTTTTCACAAAATCAGGATTTTGATCTTTTAAAATCTACTTAATACCTATACAGCAATATAGGCATATCGACTTTTTTCCCTTCTCCTACAGTATTTGTACTTTATCACAATACACAATAGCTGTATTTTAGTCTTTCACCTCAGTTCCAATCTTTTAGTATTATACATACATGTATATATATTTAAGTGCTCACTATCAGTCCTTTAGTTGATGTTTTGCCAGGTATCATTTAGTTGAGTGAAACTCATTTTTAGTAGATTCTTCAAGAACAGTTTATTGGTATATAATTCCATAAATTCCTATATATTGAAAATTGTTATTTGATACTCGAAGCATAGCTTGGCTGCATGTAAACTCCTTTGCTCACAACTTCTTTCATTGAGTTTTTTAAAAATGTTATTCTATTGTTGCCTTCTTTGTATGTTTGTTTTAAAAACTCTGTTGCTAATTGAATTTGTTTGCCAACACAAATTATTTGTTCTTTTTGCCTGGAGGTATTGAGGATTTTATCTTTGTTTTTGAAATTTAGTAGTTTTACCAGGATATGTATCAGTTTTGATCATTCTAGGTTAATATTTGATCATTCTAGGTTAATATTTCCAGGTATCAACTGAGGCTTTTCAAATATAGACTCAGGCCTTTTCAATTGCTTGGATTACAATTTTAAAGAGTAGCTGGTTTGTTTTTTTTTTTCCTTCTTTAAGGAATGCAATAATACGAATTTTTCTGCTTTGCTTGTCTTCTATTTCCACCATTTTTTCTCTGGTCCTCTTTATATCTTCCTTTATGTTATTTTCATTTTCTTGGTTGTTTCCTGGCCTTTCTTCAACGTTCCTTATTAGATTTCCTTTTGAGTCAGTTTTCCCTTGGGTATGTTGTAATTTATCCTTTATTTCTGAGGTAGTATTGTCTTTTCCTTTGCCTTCTTTCCTGAGTTGTTTTTTTTTTTTCATTCCTCCCTGCTTTTTGTCCATTTCTGTTCTTAGTATTTGAATTTCTAATTTGAGGTGGTTTTTCATATCCACAAATGCTTGTTAGGATATATATAATTCAGTTTGGAGTATAAACTTAAAATTTTCTTCTACTTCATGTTAAATTTTCCTCAGGTGATTTGTGTGAAAATTCATTTTGCAATTGTCCTTTTTGGATTTTACTTTTCTGTTATTCAAAAACACATTGTCATATTGGAGTATTTTACATGATCTTGGTTAAATGGCACCCTTTTCTGTTAGTCTAGTGAAATTCTGGTACTTTAGCAGGTTTTCGTTTGTTTTGGTGGTAGTGGAGGAATTGTGAGTCCTCCAATTTTGTTGATCTATTTTTTTCTTACAGGAATCTACATTTTTCATTTTGTTCTGCTTTACTAACCAATTTCTAAAGGGCCAAAATGTATATGAACAGGTGCTCAAAATGACTAATCAGAAGGGAAATGCAAATTAAAACCACTATGAGATAATCACCTCACATCCATAAGGATGGTGGCTACTATCACAAAGAGAACAGATAACAAATGTTGGTGAGCATGTGGAGAAAAGAAAACCCCAGTACACTGTTGGTGGGAATGTAGATTGGTACAGCCATTTCAGTATGGAGGTTTCTAGAGAAGTTAAATATAGAACTGCCATATGACACAGCAATCACTTTTCTGGGTATATACCCAAAAGAGATGAAATCATTGCCTCATAAAGATATCTTCACTCCCATGTTTATTGCAGCATTATTCACAATAGCCAAGATATGGAAACAACCTAAATGCCCATCAAAGGATGAATGGATAAAGAAAATGTGATATATATGTGATAAAATATTATATTGCTTTAAAAGAGGAGCTATTGCCATTTGCCAAAACATGGATGGAATTGAAGGACACTATGCTAAGTGAAATAAGGCAGACACAGAAAGAAAAATGTTGCATGATCTCACTTAAATGTGGAATATATATTAAAAAGCACACACAAAGATAGAGGATAAAATGGTGGTCACTACTCGTGGAGGGGGAGAGGAAATGGGGAGATGTAGGTCAAAGGACACAAAGTAGCAGATATGCAGGATGAACCAGTCTAGAGTTCTAATGCGCAACATAAGGTCTAAAGTTAATAAAATTGTGCCATATTAGGGATTTTTGTTAAATATATTTTAGCTGCTCCTATAATGCGCAAAAAAGTAACTATGTAAGGTGATGGATGTGTTAATCTGCTTCACTATAGTAACCATTGTACGTCTATATGTATCCTGTAACATCATGTGGGTAAATCTCAAACATAAACAATAAAACTTACTTTTTTTTTTTTTAAAGGATACCTCTTTCTCCTTTTTCTTTTTTTCCTTTCTCCATGTCACAGAAGCTATGTGTTTGGAGAACTGTCCCTTTAAATCATGCTTACTCAATTCAAAAGGGTACTGTCTGTCCCTTTTAATTGTGTGCCTGGCCCTTTAAGTAGCTGCCTGCCCTTTAAAAAGCACACACTTTGAAATTCTATTCCTGAAGTCCTGCTCTATGTAAGCTTTCTGGTGCCCTCTCCAACTCTCTCTAAAGTCCTCTTGCCTGTGTACCTCCTCTGTCTTCCTAGCAATTTTTATTGGTGGGCCTCTGCTTGCAGCAAAGCTCTATAAGTGGAGAAAGGGAGGATTTGTTTCTTTTTCCTTTTTACTCACTTAAAAAAATACACTTGGCATTCTCTCCAAGCAATATTGAGAGTGTGGTTTTGCATAGTACTTTCATAGTTCTGACGCAATTTTGTATCGTTTGGTAGGGTGCAGTGGGACTGGGGAGGGGGGCTGCGGGTTGGGAGGTTACTTACTACACACCTGTTACTGTCTTCAGCTACTTGAAAGTCTCCAAAGAATGCATGTTCATATGTTAAAAGAGCAATCTCATCCATTGCAATGGCTTTACTTATCAATTATATGACTGATGGTTTTCATCTATGGATTTTAAACCCAAACTTTTTTGTGACCCTCAGATCCGTATATCCAACTATAATCACACAATCTCAAGCTCACCATGTTCAGAATTCAACATTTTTCTTTCCCCAGAAGCCTGATCTGCCCTTTCCCCTCTCACACATTCTGTTTCTTGCTGATAAGTTGCATGTACCACTCAGGGACACAAGTCAGGAATTTGGGAGTCATCTATAGTCATCTATCTCTCTCACCCATACATCTAATTGGTACTTAATAAATGGTATTGGATAAACGTCCTTATAATTTCTGGAAGAAGATGAAAAAGAAACAAATTTCTCTCCCTTGACATCACCTGGCCTAAGGTTGGATGAGGTGTTCTTTGCTACTCAGATGTAAATCTTGCTAGTGATGGAAGTAACAGCACAGAATGCTTATAATTTAAAAAGGCATTTATAGGAACGATAAACTTCTTATTAGAGTCTAAGATCTTGGAGGCAGGTACTATATCTTATTCACTTGATAATCTTTCACAAGTGACAGAAAGCCTAATAAAGGTCAGTAAGGATATTTTAACTAAATCAATGATAAAATGAATGAATGACTATCACCTGTGAAAAAGAAAAAGAAAAAAGTGATCAGAAAGGTCACTGAACGGAAGCAAAGCAACTCAAAATCCTATAAGCATTAAGAATGCTACGAAAGTGAATGATGTGGCCACTCAGGAACTTGGGTAAACCGGGAGATCTAAAGGGGGCTTCCTACTCATTTTTCATGCATGCACCTGGTGAAGCCTGTGGACCCTCCTCAAAATAATGCTTTAAAATGCATAACACAAAATACATGTAATTACAAAGGAAACCAATTACACTGAAATATAGTTATCAAAGCATTAAAAAACACGAAAATTGGTGATGTAGTAGTATATGTGCTTCCTTATTAATGCATTAAATAACAAGATATAGCAGACTAATAACTACCATATTTTCAAGTAGCCATGAATATAAGCAATTTTTCAAGACAGCTGAAAGCACTGTAATATGATACAAAAATATTTGTGATTTCTGTTGGTGATACAGTTAAGGCACTGCTAATACCATAGTAGTTTCTTGCCTATATTCATAATTGAATAAAATGCTAAATTCCAATTAGACATTGGTAAAAATAAAGATGCGATATATTTTTTCCCATTCAAGTTCATAGCCATCTAAATTCTATCCATTCATTTCCATTCATCCTTAAACTCCAGGTTAACAATCGCTGGTTAGAAGGTGCAGCTGCTGCTCAATGCTCTGATTACAGCCATCTAGAGCTGGGAGCTCAGAGGCCTGTGAGTCCTCAGATTTTTGTGACCTCAGACCTAAGCCCTGAGGTCCATCATGTTACATTCTCTCTTTAAGGGTTACCCTTATGAAAAAACAAAATAAAAGACCAGAATGTGAGAGTTGAGTTGTCCCTTGACAGGTAGAAAAGTCTATTTTGCCCAGGACAAAATGGATTTGCATTTTGTAAAGTTAAAGGTAATACCTGTAAGCCATTCTCCTCAAACACTAGTCTGAAGAAGCTCTCAGAGGCCTGGGCCATGACGGAGCAGAGTATGGAAGGTGATGGAAGAGGGCTGGAACCTGGAAAACAAATTCTACAACCTGTAGATAATTAAAAAAAAAAAAAAGGGTAAGTACATCCCCCTGGTTGATAGAAAATGTCACAAACACAAAAAACATAATAAAGCTGGGTTTGAGTCCTTGGTGCCTTCCCTTCATGATTAATGATTGGTCTCAAATAGGATGGGTAAGGGAAAGTGAAGTTCCTCTTCAAGTAGCTTTAAAAATGCCACAGCTTAAAAAAATTATTGTAACATCAATTTAAGAAAAAAAAAAAAACTCTGCTAAAATGTAAAGGTCAAGAAAGATTTGGGTGTTTTTAAAGGCTGTCTTGAAGAAATTCTTATAAAGGTTAAGATGTCATGTAGTTTCAGAGTTATGGGCATGGGGGGGGTCCAGCACAAAAAGAGCACCACCTCGGGGCCCTTGGTGACTGTGACCCACGCTGACAGTGGGCAGGGGCAGCTGGCGGATCACAGCGTGTCACCATGTCAGTGGGAGAAGCCACGCACTGCTCTCTCAGAGCCTTTAAAGAAATGGGAACATGTCACTTCCAGAGCTCTGTTCTGACTACCCGCAGGCCTTAAGATTATCTGCCCCTCATAATCCCAAACGGCAAGGTGTCTCCTGCTGCCAAGAGCGGCACTCAACACAGCACTTAAAATCACCCAGGTGAGGGAATTCTGAGCGCCTGCTATTTCTCTTGCCTTCTCTCACTGTGCCCTGAGCCACTCAATTCTTCAGCAGAAGTTTCAACAGATTTATGGGGGATGGGAGAATCTCCTGACTTCCACATATAAAGTGTTCTGGAGACATTGCAGAGGTTTCCATGACTCCACACCTAAGTGTTCTGGGAAAAGATGTCCACTTGGTCTCAGGTGTTCTAGTCGAAAGCGCCTATCAGGCCCCTAAGGAACAGTATCTTGGTCAAGGCAATTCTTCCCAGGGAATACAGAGTAGAGTGCCTACACACCAGTGCATCTGAGCAGGACTTCACCTTATGGGGCTTGGGGAGTCTCCTGATCACTAGGTAGCAGTGATTCTCAACCAGTCCCCATGGACATGATACTCAGATCACCTGGAAGTTATCCACTTGTATCTCTCAGTGTGGTCTATGGAGCAGCAGCTTCAGCATCACCCAGGAGCCTGTTAGAAACGCAGAACCGGCTGGGCGCGGTGGCTCATGCCTGTAATACCAGCACTTTGGGAAGCCGAGGTGGGCGGATCATGAGGTCAGGCGATCGAGACCATCCTGGTTAATATGGTGAAACCCCATCTCTACTGAAAATATAAAAAATTAGCCGGGCGTGGTGGCACGCGCCTGTAGTCCCAACTACTTGGGAGACCGAGTCAGGAGAATCACTTGAACCTGGGAGGCAGAGCTTGCAGTGAGCCAAGATGGGGCCACTGCACTCTAGCCTGGGGGACAGAGCAAGACTCCATCTCAAAAAAAAAAAAAATAAGAAACACAGAACCTCGGGCCTTGTCCTAGACTTACTGACCCTGTCCTGGAGATACGTATTTCCATTCAAAGTCTAAGGAGCACCACTTGCTCAAGATCTCTTCTGCATCCAAAAGTGCATGCATGTGTGTGGGCACACACAGGGGCCAACTCTCCCACTGGAAATCGCTGCTGAATGATGAGAGTCGGTCATAGCCTTCAGAAGAGAAGGATGGAAAGTATCATCATAGAGGATTCTAATTTGTCTTGCCAACACCTATGAAAGGAAGCAAGAGCAAATGTGGGTAGTTACCCTAGTGAGACAACCATCCACATTTACCTGGACAATGTAGGTTCTCTGAAGAGCAAATCAAGTCATTTGACCCATTAGGTCACCTCTCTCCAAAATATTCCTTGTGACACTCACTGATCTTATGTGGCAGGGCTTGACCCAGAGGTAGGTGGGCTAGGCCTTTGCAAAACATAACTTGCAGGGCATCAGGAAGTGATTCTGAAAGTGCTATCTGAGTGACTTATTGAGTCTGAACTCCACCATCAGAATTGGTCATTTGGGTTAGCTTCGGATGTTTTGTTAAATATTGAGTCTACTGTTGCTGCTCAAACTGCTTCCCCTCGCGTGGGTGAAGTGCTTTCTCATCTCTCTCTTCTGGTGTCTCTCCCAAACTCTCTTCCAGAGCCAGCTCAGTTACCCTGACACTTCCTCCGATTACTGCTTAGTCTTGTTTCTGATTATACTAATTTTATATTACATTCATTTGGCTCTGAAAAGATACTCTTGTCTTCTTCTTCTTTTATTTTTTTCTTTGCAGCTCCAGCTCAAAGAAATCCTCTGTTTTATTATAGTCGGCCCTCTTTATGCAAGGGTTCTGCATCTGCGGAAAATACTATTTTTGATCTGTGGTTGGTTGAACCTGCAGGCACAAAAGGCCAACTCTACTACTCCATTTTATATAAGGGACTTGAGCATCTGCGGATTTTGTTATGGAGGCGTAGTGTCCTGAAACCAGTCCCCCTCAGATACTGAGGGATAACTGTATTTCATATAGGCTATCTTTCTAATTAAATTTTCAAGTCCATTGAGGGCAGAGGCCTATCCTATTTGTTGTATCCTAGCCTTCATCTCAGGGCACTGTATCTAGAATGGGGTCCAATAAACTTTTTTTTTTTTTTGACACAGAGAGTCTCACTCTGTCACCCAGGCTGGAGTGCAGTGGCACAATCTTGGCTCACTGCAACCTCCACCTCCCGGGTCCTCCCGGGTTCAAGCGATTCTTGTGCCACAGCCTCCTAAGTAGCTGGAATTACAGGGGGGGCGCCACCATGCCTGGTTAATTTTGTATTTTTAGTAGAGATAGGATTTTGCCATGTTGGCCAGGCTGGTCTCGAACTCCTGACCTCAAGTGATCCACCTGCCTTGGCCTCCCAAAGTGCTGGGATTATAGGCATGAACCATTGTTCCAGGCCCCAATAAACTTTTAAAAGTATATATTAATAGTATCATCATCAGTTGTTAATGGTTCTGTGTGCTGGTGTTTTCCAGGTGCTGGGCATTTCCCACATGTCAGCTCACATGATCTTCACAATTAACCTGTGCAGTTCCTGTCATCCCCATCCTGAGAGGAGGAGATCAAGGCCCAGGGACCACAGGGGATTTGGCAAAGTCACAGGGCTAGGGTAGGGCCAGGCCAGATTTGAACTCAGATGATCGGCAGTGTCTATAATATTATGGGAATTAATGTTCCCTTTGCTGCCTGGTGAGAACACCTCAAATAAGGGTGCTAGGAGGAAAAGTCTGGTTTGGGAGAGGGGCAGAGGACTAGGTCCCAATGAGAAAGCATTGCATATATCATATCAGGAAAGTGGTTTATTTCTCTGCATCCCAGCTTCCCAATCTCTGAAATGGGAGTGGTTATCCCTAAGTCACTGGAGATCCAAAAAAAACTCAACAGACTAGTAGGGTTCAGGAAGCATCAAGGAAGGAAAAGGGCACTACCTGTAAATTCTGACCTCGGGGGCAGTTCTGGGAGTTGGGGTCCTTAGATGCTCCCGTGGGGGAGGTTTTGTTTATAACCAACCCACTGCAGGGCTGTGCTTTTATTTATTTATTTCTAAAAGGAATAGAGGCTCCTCTAGGCTGGCTCTCATACCTGGAGGAGCACACCACAGAGGTCCATCTCCCACCTTATGACATCAGAAAGGGCAGCTTTATTCCTCACCCTCAAAGCGCAGAAGCTGGAAATTGCTCCTTTATGAAACTACTCTTGAGAAAACTCACACTAAAGGGGTCTGGGTTACTTCCTTGACGCCCACCGCAAAAATTTTTGCTTTTTCATAAATCAAAAAACAGAACAAAACCCTCCAAAACTATGATATTCTGGCTTCAGGAAGAAGTGGACCTAATGTAATTCTTCTCTCAATCAATAGTCAATGAGGGATTTTAATTCATGAACACAATTAACATGATTACTGTGACCCCTATGGAGTCATTGCATTTTATTGCTCATTGCATGAACTGGATTTCCATATTTAGGAAGGAAAGCAAATAATATCAGCAGTCTTGTGTAGCTACATAAAATTCTTTCCTAAATATGTAGTGCTTTTCTAAGGATCCTTTTTGACTAAGTGATTCAACCTAATGTCAAAATGTTTTACAGATATATATTCATCCCCCCAATTAAAACAAATGTTAAGGAAAAGGAAACAAAGTGAAGATGTTCAATCTTTCTGTCAGAGCTGACCATGCATATAGTCTTCTTTGAACTGGTCGCAAAGGGAGATTCTAACTATTTGAGCAATTCTGACCATTAGAGCAATTTATTTGGAATAAGGCATTGTCTCTAGAAGGAATTTATTAAAAATACAGGTTATGTGGGCCTAGTAACACAATTCCCACAATAATCATTATTCTAGCTGCATGAATTACTTTATCAGATTAATAAGCTGTCACCTATCAGACAATATGGCTCTGAGGAAATAAGACATATTTTAATGGACATCATTGTCTTAAATATGAAGCAGTTCTATGAGACTGGCTGGCTTGCTTGGGGGGCCTGTGCTGGGGGTCTGGCAGGCTGGAAGACCAAAAGTCACTGAATAAAAAGAAGAAGCAGAGGAGCGAGAAGTGAGGGGAACAGTAAAATCCAACTTCTAGTCTCTTCACAATTTTGCCTCATGTCACCCTAGTCTTGTTTAAATGTTTTAATATACAAATGACCAATATGGTCTCTTTTTTTGGCCCATACCTCCAAAAAATAAGTTACTTGTACCAAAATTAAAAGTGAAATGACTCCCCTGCCCATTCCTTTCAGGAATGTTCATCGGTATCTTGTTCTTTTCTCTGGGCACACAGCTGAGCAGAATTTCCCAGCTCTCTGTGCCTAAGTGGGGGCAAGCAACTGAGGGCTGGACACCAGAGTGTGGCCATATAACACTCCACACTGACTTCTATCTTCCCTCTTTCCTCCCCTGAATGCCCAGAAACCAAGGACTGCAAGACACAAGAAAGATGAAGGAAGCCCTTGCCAGTGGAAGCCTGGGTCCCTGTGTTACCACTTGGAGAAGGGCCACCCAGGATTGGTTTGTCTTAGTCCATTTGTGCTGCTATAACAAAATACCACAGCCTGGATAATTTACAAGGAAGAGAAATTTATTTCTTACAGTTCTGGAGGTTGGGAAGTCCAAGATCAAGGTGCTGGCAGGATCAGTATCTGGTGAGGGCTGCTGTCAGCTGCCTTGTTGCTGCATCTTAAGAAGGGATAGAATACTATGTCCTCACTTGACAGAAGAGATGAAAGGGAAAGGGAATGAACCCACTCCCTCAAGCCCTTTAAAAGGGCCCTAATCCCATCCATGAAGCCCTGCCCTCATGACTTAATCACGTTTCTGTTTTTTTTTTTCTTGAGACAGAGTCTCTTACTCTGTCACTCAGGCTAGAGTGCAGTGGTATGATCTTGGCTCACTGCAAACTCTGCCTCCTGGGTTCATGCAATCCTCCTGCCTTAGCCTCCTGAGTAGCTGGGATTACAGGTGCCCACCACTACGCCTGGCTAATTTTTGTATTTTTAGTAGAAACAGAGTTTCACCATGTTGGCCAGGTTGGTCTTGAACTTCTGGCCTCAAGTGATCCTCCTGCCTTGGCATCCCAAAGTGTTGGGATTATAGGTGTGAGCCACCATAACTGGCCTTAATCACCTCTTAAAGGGCCCACCTCTTCATGCTATCCCGTGGGCAATTAAATTTCAGCATATGACTTTTGGGGGACACATTCAGACCCTAGTAGTGGCTAGCCAGGAACACCCACCTTGGACTTGGCATTTGTGAAAAACAGAACTTGATTGGGCTAAGCCATTGAGATCTAGGGGTCTTTTATCGTGTCATGCAGTATTATTTACCTTTACTACTGCAACTTACTATATTGGTGTTTGTCATCATTCTATTGCAGGATACTTAAATCTTTTGTGCAAAAGAGGTCTTTAAAATGATTTTTAAAGAAAGAATAGGATATATATATCAGTAGCTTCAGTTTGCTAAGGACTTTCTATCAGACACTTTAAGTGCTTTGCATTCTTATTTAATCTCCATAACAATCTTTGGGGGTAGATTTACTATCCCCATTTTACAGATGAGGAAATAGACTTAGAAAGTTTATTGAAGAACTTGCTTCAGCCAGACTGCTAATGAGTGATGGCACTGCGATAGTGATCCAGCCAATCGCGTTCACACTGAGCTCCTTACCAGTGTGCGATTCTATTCTTATGGTTACTCAGGGAAAACAGGATGAGACCATGGAGCGACACGACAAGATCACGCCATGAACTGAGGAAAAGTCCTGGCCTTTAGAGGAAAAAATTATCATATCTCTCTGCTCACAAAATAGTTGAGAGAACGTTTTCTTTATCTCCATTCCACACCTAAAAAATATGGAATTGATTTTCTGTGATTTCCCTTTTCTGCCCTCCATTGAAAGCCTTGATTATGCCCCAGTTTTCTGCAAGGATAAAATTCTTACTGCTGAGTTATACATTCTGCAGATGAGGAAGTTATACCTAGGTTTCAACTGTGAAACATTTACTCCTCCATTGATACATGTGTGTAACTCCCATCAGGGGAACACTTTTCTTAGAGGAAAAAATACTTAGTTTCTATAGAGGCAAAACAAGGAAAAAGGTGGACATGACGTGTGGCAAAAACAAGCACCCTGAAGGGCGAGGGAAAAGAAAGAATGAAGCTAAGTACATATAGTTTATTTGTTGTTGTTGTTGTGGATAGGGAATGTTGAATTTCAAGTTTTCTTTTTTAAGCAGAGAATGCAGAATTTTGCCTAACTGATCGCTATCATTATTGCTGTCATTGGAATTCAACAAGAGAATGCATGTAGAAGGGGCTTCGTAAGACAGTGGTGCACCACACATGAAAGATACTATGATTATAGCCTTTATTATTAGGATGGTGCAAAAGTAATCATGGTTTTTGCCATTAAAATTAATGCAGAAACTGCATTGTGATAGGATGTGGCAAAGTAGAAGTAAGTGGTAGCTTAGAACATAGGCTATGGAGGCAGAGTCTGGGCTTAACATTTTGGTGCTGCCTTTACTAGCTCTGCAACAGTTTGGTCAAGTTACCTAAACTTTCTAAGCTCCAGATTCCTTCTTTGTCAAATGCAGATAATGTTATCTTCCTCATTGTGTTTTGAGAATGACACATGATAATACGCATCTGTGAAAGGTTACTTGTTTTAAGGATGGTGATGTTGACTCACATGAAAAACAAGGAAACAAGTGAGTCAATAATAAAAACATATAGTTACTTACATGCTTTTATTATATAAGTTAGCATCAGTTTTATGGATTGGAAGGATAAAAACAAACTCAGAAGGAATCCTAGAGAGATTTGGCTAGGCAGTGACTCAGAGATCAGGTAGATAAGGCTCCCTGCGGAGTTGGGACTTGAATAGTGGGGAGGTAGAAGGAAACCACAAGTGAATCCAGCCATTTTGCATGACCTTCAGTGTAACTTCAGATTTGGTTCAGGTCTCAGTAAGCACCTGCTCGCCAGAGAGGGAGTGAGGCTTCCATAGCACTTGGCTAGAAGCAGAAATGGGCATGTAGGGGAAGACAGGGCTCATTGTAGGCCTGAGAGAGAGAGAGAGGACAGTTAAGACAGTCTCATGAGATCCGCTGGAGGTTCAGGGAGGTCCCAGACCACCCTGGACTTTCCCTGTAGGCCAATCCTTCATGTTCCAGTTATTGAACGCCCATTCTACTGCAGGAACTGATCATAGTTATTAGAGTTCAGAAAATAAAGTTTCCCTGTTATTTATTCTGGAATTTGTCTTATCCTTTCAATATTCTACAAGTCTCCCACCAGTCTGCTAAAGAATATCACTTCTCTGAGGAACAGAATGGTCTGCTTCTGATACTAAAAGTAAGATGTTTGTTTTTGAAGCAACATAGATTCAAATAGGGATAACAATTCTTTGTGGAAAATAAAAGCATCTTTATATTTACTTGAGTAAACAGAAAAAATAGTGCAATTGAAATGATTTCCCACCTGCCAAACAAAACAGTTTTCTTTTGTAAGTCCTATTCCATATACGAGGGTGGTCAAAGCAAAAGGCTGCACAAAGGGAATAGTGATGAATTCAGCTAGTGGGAGCCACTGTGCCTGCCGACAGTTCACTCGCTCCATTATATTCCACTGCGGCAAGAGAAAGTCACCCTGCAACCTGGACTGACAGGCTCAGCTGCTTGGCAAATGTCAGTTCTCTTCTCAAAGAGCCATGTTTTTCCTGGGAGTTAATTTGTGGGCGTTTCATGTTGGTTGAATTGGGCCTAAAGTCAAAGCAAAACTTTGGAGAAGCTGTGATGCATCCCAGGTTAAACCAGAACTATTTATTGCAGCTTCCCTTTTTGGCCACGTAGTTCTTGTCCTACAGAGCGGCTGGGATTTTCCACTGAAAGTGTCTGCTTATATCTTGGGAGGTAGGTCGTGAGGACCTCTAGCCTTCTTCTTTTCCTGTGGCTCTCTTTGGAGGTCGGGACAAGCTGACCCACCAACGCTCCGCAGGACCAGCCACAGGCAGAATGCTGCAGGACATGAAGTTTGCCTTTTACAGCCCCATACCTGTACTATTTTCACCTTTCTCAATCCCTAGGCCTTCCCAGACCTACCCAGGGGCTTCTGGCTATGGTGCCTGGCTCCTTCGCTATGGCACTAAACCTAGCCCGCCTTGATTTTTAAAAATATAGCAACAATCATCACCACAATTACCATTTACTGGCCCTTCGTTATGTGCCTGACATTATGTCGCACATTGTATTCATATTTTTCTCCGTGACTGTGTGAGCTCAACAGCTATAAGAAGTGGCTATACATGCAGTGAATACCTTTGGTTTCCTCTCTGTCTCCTTGCCTACTCCAGGAGGTCTCGTGCAGGCCAGTTGGCATGACAGCTGCGTCCCTTTGCCTGAGGGGGTGCCCTCGCCTCCTGAGAAGATGGTAAATTGAGGGCTAAGCTAGAGGTGCTCAATCCAGGAGTGATCCTCAGCCTTTGAGGGGTAGGAATTTCTGGGAAAATTTATTGACTTCCTATTCCCCACGGTGGGACAATTCTGGGGTAGGTTCCCAGGTCTCCCAGAGGGTCTTCAAAAAGATTGACAGCAGTGGCCTCATGGTAACCTCATGGCAACCACTTTCATTGGTTTGTCCCCTGTCCCTTCTGTCTCACTTACCAATTCCCTCTCATTGCTCTCTGGGATTTCTGCCCAAACTTGTTCTCAATCCTTGTGTCATGATTTGTCCTTGAAGGAATCTTCACCAAGATACTGCATGATTGTCCTCCCAGAACAGGAGAGAAAGAGAGCTTTGGGATGCTGACGTGCATGAGGACATGTAGCTGGTGAGTGGCCAGCAGGACTTGAATCAGGACCATCACTTATGTTTCCATCAGAATCAGTCTGGGCGTATTTTTCTAGTTAGTTAATCAAATTAATTAGTGTGTAGCTTTTTTGAAAATGATTTAAGCCTTTAGAACATATCCTAATACTTCCTTCTTCTATCAAATCTATTTGTCCTGTATCTCATTCCATTGAGACTCAGGATTTAACCAGCAATATAATTATATACAAATATAATAAATTAATTAATATTGCAATGCTATAGCTGAAAGTGATGAAATGTAGTATGCCTCTAGATGTATTCATACTTTACACTAGACTTTTCCAATTGCAGTGCCTTAACTTAAAGGAAGAACTGTTAGTAGAATTTCAGGCATCTAAGTAGTCAAGGAAACCCCCTCTCCATGCTCTCCAATGGACTTTTCCTGAGCCCCTTATACATCTTTCCATTTGCTAACTCTACCTGCTGACACTGATGCTTTATCTAATCATCAGTGGGATTCCTCTTGAATTGGAAGGCAAAGTTCAACCCTGAATGTGTGCTGGCCTGGTTCCTTCTCAGTGACAAAAACATGCAACTGTCTCTTCTTTACCTCTCTGGCTCATCAGGGGACATGGAGGAACTGTTTACGTGCCTTGGTTTCCTAGCCTGTGAAAGGAAGATAACCCTTGTTCCAACATGCTTTTCAGCGGGTGATGTGAAGATAAATGTGATAACGTCTACAAAGTCCTCCGAATTCTTGGGATGAAAGGCGCTATGTAAATGGAGCACAGCCCTGTTATGATTAAAGTTTAATGCAGCAGCTCTCAGGCCTATACAGGGAATGCAGTCTGGCTGGAAGATAGGATTGCTGAGTTGTCCCCTCTAATCATTGTCCCCATGGATTCACCATCCAGCAGCCTCATCTTAGAAATGCCCATCCATTCCGTTCATTCAATTTGGTTTTTATTTTCAAGAGACCAGTTACACAGTTACGTTTTGCCCTTCACATTCTTCAGCTATGGGGGTCAGGTTTTAGAAAACACATATGTACAAACGTACATTGCCACCTAATTTATGACCCAACTCCTGGAGGGCCTGAGGACTAGATCAGCAACTAGACATTCAGATATAAATTCTGCACTGAAAAGAATATCCTTGAACCTCTGCATGTTTGTGTGTGGCCTGAAACACAATCATGCATCGGCCATTTTCTTTTCTTTTCTTTTCTTTTTTTTTTTTTGAGACAGTCTCGCACTGTTGCCCGGGTTGGAGTGCAATGTCGCCATCTTGGCTCACTGCAACCTCTGCCTCCTGGATTTAGGCGATTCTCCTGCCTCAGCCTCCTGAGTAGCTGGGATTACAGGCACCCACCACCACGCCTGGCTAATTTTTTGTATTTTTAGTAGAGACGGGGTTTCACTATGTTGGCCAGGCTGGTCTCGAACTCCTGACCTCGTGATCTGCCTGCCTTGGCCTCCCAAAGTGCTGGGATTACAGGCGTGAGCCACCGCACCTGGCCCAAGCATCACCCATTTTCAAAACAACAAGCTATACAATTTTCCTTTTTGTGACAGAATTGGAACTACTGGATTTCTCAGTAAAAGCAAAACAAAACAACCATAGAAAAATACCACCGTCTCCTTCTCAAATTAATTCTTTCAGTTTATGCTCCTAACTCCATAAAAATGTGGTTTAGCTTTTGAAGTTTTTATTAATATTTATAATGCCCTTTTGGTGCCCTTGAACCACACAGAAATAGAGCCCTGATATAAATACCTATCTTCTAGGTGGATTGTGGTATACCTAAACTCAGCCATTAACTTTGAAGTTTTTATGTATATATATATATATTTGACTTTGCTTTGTTTCTCTCATTTCTTGATGCAAAAGTTTATATTTTAAATACTTTTTAAAATGCAAATTTTAATAGCTTATATTTTATTTTCAAAAGTAATGCATGCTTGTAAAAATACACTGATATGGATATAGAAACGAAGGGAAAAAAACCTCTTCTTCCAGACACATGTCTAAAATCCTGTTGCCAAGGGTAAATCATGCACTTTAAGTCCTTTTAAATTAGGGCCTTGTTAGTTTGAGGGATTGAAATTGTCTTAAGAAGCTACTAACTAGTCATATTTCTTTATTTCTAAATATTGAAGTAAAAAAACTGTGAAAGATTTCAAAAATACAGAAAACTATACAAAATTATAATCATCCATAAGACTACTGCCAAAAGGTAATCAAGTTGTAACATTTTAGTGTACTTCTTTCAATATTTTTCTCTGCCAATATGGTAGAGATGGTACAATGGTCCCTTCAATCCCTCCATATTATATTGTGACAATTTTCTAATGTTAAGAGACATTTTGTCATTGGGCGCAATGGCTCATGCCTGTAATCCCAGCACTTTGGGAGGCCAAGGCAGGAGGATCACTTGAGGTCAGGTGTTCGAGACCAACCTGGCCAACATGGCGAAACCTCGTATCTATTCGAAATACAAAACTTAGTTGCGCATGGTGGCACGCAGCTGTAATACCAGCTACTTGGGAGCCTGAGGCAAAAAATAAACATTCTTTCAAAAAAACATAATTTTGAATGGCTGCAAAATATTCCTTTGCAAATGCTTCGTATTAAACTTTTTCCAGACAATGAGAGGGAATATTTAGCCCTCTCACCTCGTGTTTTCCTTGTGAGGGAGGGGCCCTTCTTCAATGACCAGGAAGGAGACATATAAATGGAACCGTCATTTGTCACCTCTCTGAATCCCCTCCCTCCTTCCTTCCAAAGGCAGAGTGACTCCTCTGGCTGCTGAGATGGAAAGAGGTGTCAGTTCAGTCACTCTCCACAGCAATCCTGCGACACCCTGAGGCTTGTGTTTCGTCTCCTTGGAATGGCTAGTTGGGCCCCACCATGTGGCCAGCTTCTCTGTCAAGACTCACTTATTCTGGCATGTTCTTGCTCCTGCAGAGGGCAGGCCTGCAGTTGGGGATGGAAGTGTTTAATTCTGAAGGAAAAGTGGTAGGCTTGTAGCCACAGGTTGAGCTGCTTCTCTAATGCAGTTTAGTCAACCTTTAGGATTATAGATAGATGTTCATCAGCTGGATTCCTGTATTTGTCTCTCAACTTGCTCCTAACTTAGATGAGGGGAGATAGTGAGTCAAGAGAAAAAAATGTAATGATTAATAGTTATAGCCCTATACCTCAACTAATGTTACTATAGCTAACATTTATTTAGTATTTATTCTGGATCAAGCTGCATTTTCTCATATAATTCCCCCAACAACCCTGTGAGGTCATGGTATTATTGTTATCATTTTACAGATGATGGAATTGAGGCATGATGAAAGCCTCTCGCAAGTGAGGGAGCTGGGATTTGCTCCCTTGCTCCTAGCCACTTCACTGTATCATCCTTCATCTATTCTACATCATAAATAACACATTAACTTTTTTGCACATTAATTGTAGCTTGACTTGTAAACTCTACCTGATGCTGTCTTCTATAGTTGAATATGTCCGTTATTTTTTAAATAATATTTTATTGTAGTTATTGAATGTCTTTTAATATCATTTATAATGACTTGGGATATACAGATTTTTATTTTTATGCAGTTAAATCTATTCTTATTTTCCTTCATGACTTATTCCATCTTGATTTTGTGTTTAGGAAGTCTTTGCCAACCCGATAAATAGACTTTCACCTATATTTTACTTTAGATTCTATGGTTTTATTTTAAAAGTATAACTTTTACCATCCAGAAATTATTTGGTATAAGAGAACCGTTCTAAGTTTTTTGTTTTGTTTTGAAGAAAAACAAACAAACAAACAGTTGACTCAACACCATCCTTTCTCCACTGGTTTCCAAACCTGTTTCTGGTTTCTGTTTTTCTCCATTGCACTACCTGCTAATTTTTCTGTAATCTCACTCTGTTTTTATTTGTTTGTTGAACTTTTTACTGTAGCTTTATGGCATATTTTAATATTTAGAAGGATGAGTCCCACCTTGTTACTCTTTATTTTTAGAAACTTGTTGTCATCATGTGATATTCTTCCACATACATTTAAAAATTATTTTATCAAGTCTTTGCCCTAAAATCTTAATGGGAATATAGTTAGAATCTAGTTTCATCTGCAACTCAGTTTGGAAATATTTAATATCTTTACAGAATTCCTTTTTTCCATCTAGGAACATGTAATTTATTTATTCTTAAATATTTTCTTTTGCATGTCTCAGGTACTGAATTTGTCCTCATGAATGTGGCATTCTTTCTTGTTCAGGTTATTTCTATTATTTTATATTTTTGGAGGCTATTGGGAATAGATTCTTATATAAATAGTTATTATGATTTCACATTGTTTAAAACAACTGGTTATTGTTGGCATATGGACAATGTGGACAATTTTTTAATAGTATTTTTGTTTAGTTTGTAGTTTCTTTATTGACTTCATTAATTTTAAAGTTTTTCCTTTGATCCTCCTGAGCTGTCTGTGCATAAATATACCATTGAAAATAATGATTTTCATTGCTTGCAATTTTTATATATGTTTCATTTTTATTTTATTGACCGGAACTCCCAGAATAATGTTAAATAACAATTATAATGAACATCCTTGTTTTGTTTAAATTTTAATGGAAATGCCTACAGGGTTTCACTGTAAAACATGACAGCTCTTGTTGCTTTAGAATAGATATTTAAATAAATAATATTTCTATTTGTAAAAAAATGTTTCCTCTTTAACAACCAGGACTAGATGTTGAATTTTATTATATTATTTTTCTTTGTCTTATTATATTTTCAAACATTAAACCATCCTTGCATTTTAAGAATAATATTTAATGATGTGTCCGGAGACAATTCTCCATGGGTCTCTCACATTTCTGTACTCCTTGTGAGCAGAGGCACTGACTGCTCTTTGTTTGAGAGTATGTTTTCAAGGGTAGAGGCTTTTCCTCCATAAAAAGGGTAGGTTTGCTTACAGACTTAAAAATATAGTGCCTCTCCCTGGTGCAACAAACAGACATTCTTACTGGTCCAGTGTAATAAAGTCTCCCTCTGGAGCAGTGGGCAGTGGGCAGATGTTTATTGCCCATTTTAAAAGATTTGAGTTTCCTGTCAGGAGATCGAGACCATCCTGGCTAACACGGTGAAACCCCATCTCTACTAAAAATACAAAAAATTAGCCTGGCATGGTGGCGGGCGCCTGTAGTCCCAGCTACTCGGGAGGCTGGGGCAGGAGAATGGTGTGAACCCGGGAGGCGGAGCTTGCAGTGAGCTGAGATCACGCCATTGCACTCCAGCCTGGGCAACAGAGCGAGACTCCATCTCAAAAAAAAAAAAAAAAAAAAAAGATTTGAGTTTCCTGAGCTCAGGCTTCCTCTCCTGTAATGCAATCCACTGAACGTGCGGGTGTCCACCTGGTCCTATATCACATGGCCCGCCTGAGAATGTGTGGGCGAGGGGTCAGGAGCAGTGATGAACATACTGATGCTCATGTTGTTTCCTGTGTATGCCAAGAGCAACAAAATCCTTTGTCTCTGACCCTAAAGTCTCATTTCTTCTGCCACATGAAACTGTGGCAGGCTAACTTGTTAGCTTGCAAGTAGGGTAAGATGTCAGACCCTTTACAGTTGTTTGTTTGTTTTTTGGAGACAGGGTCTCATTCTGTTGGCCAGACTGGAGTGCAGTGGCACAGTCACGGCTTACTGCAGTCTCAAACTCCTGGGCTTAAGTGATCCTCCTGCCTCAGCCTCCAGAGTAGCCAGGACTACAGGCATGCGCCACCATGCCTGGCTAATTAAAAAAAAATTATTTTTGTAGAGATAGGGTCTTGCTGTGTTGGCCAGGTTGGTTTTGAACTCCTGGCCTCAAGTGATCCTCCTACCTCTGCCTCCCAAAATGCTGGGATTATGGGCATGAGCCACCACATCCAGCCAGTTCTTATTGTTTAAGTAACACATTCAGTTTTCTACAAATTTACTTATGGATTTACATCTACCTTCATAAGTAGTATTGGTTTGTAATTTTTTTCTTCCACACTATCTTTATTAGGTTATTATGGTTATGCTAATGCTACAAGAAATTTGTAAGTTTTCCATCTTTTCCTGTACTGAAACAGTATATATGATGTGCAAACTATTCCTTTAAAATTTGCAAAGACTAAGACTGAGCGTGGTGGCTCACACTTGTAATCCCAGCACTTTGGGAGGTGGAGGTGGGAGGATCACTTGAGGGCCAATGGCTTGAGTCCAGGAGTTCAAGACCAGCCCGGGCCACATGGTGAAACCCTGTGTCTACTAAAAATACAAAAATTAGCTGAGCATGCTGGTGTGTGCCTGTAATCTCAGCTACCTGGGAGACTGAGGCAGGAGAATCACTTGAACCTGGGAGGCAGAGGTTGCAGTGAGCTGAGAGATCATGCCACTGTACTCCAGCCTGCGTAACAAAGTGAGACCCTGTCTCAAAAAAAAAAAAAAAAAAATTGCAAAGACTAGTAAAATGGTTTTGGCTTAGAAACTTTATTGGAATTAATTATTTTTTCAACTTTTTTCTATTCACAAAAGCCTATCCAGATTTACTACTTATCAAGTTAATTTTAGCTATTTATATTTTCTCAGAACATAAGTGAATTTAAAAAATTTAACTGTATATAATATTGTTTTATCATTTTAAAAGTCTCTCATATCTATAGTTATATCTCATTTCTCATTTATTTGTTGTTGTGAACTCTCTCTCTCTCTTTCTGCCTCTCTCTCTCTTTTTCCTGGACTTTCCAGAATTTGCCAGAATGTTATAATTTTTAGTGTCTGCTTTCATGAATCTTTGCTTTTATTTTTGCTGGATTTTTTTGCCTTCAAAAGCTAACTTCATCTTTTGACTTCTTAAATTTAATTCAGCTTAATTATTTTGTGTTACTCCTGCTCTAATAAAGCAAGCACATAAATCTGCTTTTTCTACTGAATAGTTTTAGTTCCATCTTGTAAGATTTGATATGTAATCTTCTAATCATTATTATTTTTTGAATAATCTGTAATCATAATTGTTCTTTTCTTTAGTCCAATAGTTATTTATGTGCATGTTTTCTAATTTACAAATAAACTCTTTCCTATTTTAAATTCTTGTTACTATTTTCTGGTTTATTTTAGAATAAACATTTAGAATGTGGGCTGTGTGCTTTTTCTTTATGGGATTTTATGAAAATTATAATTTTGTTCTATTATACCATTAACTTCCAAAAATATTCCAGAGATGTTTGAAAAGTATATGTACTCATGTAAGTGTAAAAATTAAATTATGACAATTAGAATAACTAAAACCTATTAGCTAAATCTGCTTTATTTTAGGCCTACTTGATTTACCAAGGCATGAAAACACTGTCTGAAGATTCCAATTGTGTATATACCTATTTCTCTCAGTACATTGAAGAGCTGTGTACTTTAATACTAGTTTCTAAGTACATAATGGTTTCTACCTATTATATGTCTATTGTGAAGTCTAACTTTTTTGGCATTCTAAATTTACATTCTTTGTTTTATCTAGTGAATTTTGCCTACACTTTGCCTTTTTATTTACCTAAACCTTTTTATTATATTTTTATTTATATAAACCTGATAGATCTTTGCTAATCTTTTTACTTTAAATTTATACATATAATTTTTAATCCATTATATAGCTGGAATTTTTTCCAACCCAATTTAAGAACCTTGATCTTTTAATAAATAACTTTAATATATTTATATTTATTTTCATAACTAATATTTTTGCTTTTATTTTTTAATCTTAAAAAAGTTTTTTAAAATTATTAAAACAAATTTTTGTGGGTACATAGTAGGTATATATATTTATGGGGTACATGAGGTGTTTTGATACAGGCATGCAATGTGAAATAAACACATCAAGGGGAATGGGGTATCCATCCCCTCAGGCACTGATCCTTTGCGTTTCAAGCAATCCAATTACATTCCTTTTTTTTATTTTATTATTATTATACTTTAAGTTTTAGGGTACTTGTGCACAATGTGCAGGTTTGTTACATATGTATACATGTGCCATGTTGGTGTGCCAATTACATTCTTTAAGTTATTAAAAAATATACAACTAAATTATTATTGACTATGGTTACCCTATTGTGCTATCAAATAATAGATCTTATTTATTCTTTTTATTTTTTTTGTACCCATTAACCATCTCCACCAGCCTCTCAACCCCCAACTATATTTTCCAACCTCTAGTAAGCATTCTTCTACTTTCTATGTCCATGAGTTCAACTGATTTGATTTTTAGATCTCACAAATAAGTGAGAAGTTGCACTGTTTGTCTTTCTGTGCCTGGCTTATTTCACTTAGCATAATGACTTCAAGTTCCATCCATATTGTTGGAAATGACTGGATCTCATTCTTTTTTATGGCTGAATAGTACTCCATCTTGTATAAGTACCACATTTTCTTTACCCATTCATCTGTTGATGGACACTTAGGTGGCTTCCAAATTCTAGCTATTGTAAACAGTGCTATAACAAACAGGAATGCAGATATCTCTTCAATGTACTGATTTCCTTTCTTTTGGTTATATAACCAGCAATGGAATTGCTGGATCTTATGATAACTCAATTTTTAGTTTTTTGAGAAACCTCCAAACTGTTCTACATAGTGGTTGTACTAATTTACATTCCCACCAACAGTGTATGAGGGTTCCCTTTTCTCCACATCATTGCCAGCATTTGTTATTGCCTGTCTTTTGGATACAAGCCATTTTAACTGAGGTGGGATGATATCTCATTGCAGTTTTGATTTGCACTTCTCTGATTGTCAATGATGTTGAGCACCTTTTCATATGCCTGTTTGCCATTTATTTGTATGTATTCTTTTGAGAAATGTCTATTAAAATCTTTTGCCTGTTTTTTGATTGGATTATCGGATTTTTTCCCATAGAGTTGTTTGAGCTCCTTATATATCCTGGTGATTAATCCCTTGTTAGAGGAGGTGGTTTGCAAGTATTTACTCCCATTCTATGAGTTGTCTCTTCACTGTGTTGATTGTATCCTTTGCTGTGCAGAAGCTTTTTAACTTATATCACCCTTTTTAATCTTGTTTTATGCTTTCTCTCATTCTGCTTCTTTGAGGCTGCCTTTTTTCTTTCTTTTGGTATATGAACTAGGTTTTCTTTGTTCTTTTTCCTCTTATGATGATTGGAGTGTTTTTATATACCTAAAATTTTAATTAACATACATAATCCCACATTTCTGGAATCATGCCAAGAATGAAACAATCTCTTAACTTCTTATTTTGTTAAATAATAAAATTAGCATATATCATTTTTTTTTAAAATTATCTGTGCTCATAAAAAATAATTTCATTTTCAGGTATTTGCCATAGGACAACTCTGAGATCTTTGCTTAATTTCAGGAGCTAGCCAATATTGCTAAAATTATAGAAAATGTAGCTAGAAAATTTTAGATCCTCAATATCATCTCTTCCAAATGCAGTATTACAGTAATAAAGCCACTGAAGCCTTGAATAGTTTAAGACTTGTTGTAGGTCCCCAAACTAGCTAGTGGCAGGATTAGACCTAGAACTCAGATCTCCTGCCCAAACTAGTACTCTTTCTACTGTATTATATATTTTATGAGCGGCAATTGAGGCAGTGAACTAGCTTAAATTTATCTGGGGTTAGTGAAGACATGGATAGACGAATAGAGCTCTGAACATTAGAGAAAGGAATGATGGAGGAAGTCAGGAGTATTTGATTTTGAAAAGGAGATAAGATGTGGCTTATGACTTCAAAGGAAATAAATATAAAACAAAACACAAGCTTTTCTTGCCTCCCTCTGTCACCTCAGAAGGGGTTTGGAGTTGGTGAAGAAATATTGTAATGTGATCATGAGTCTAAGAAGAGGACTTAGGTTGAGTCTATTTGGGTTATTTGGCTGGTCCTATGCTCTGGATTTTCCTTCTGTTCACTTTTATTGAGTTTTAATAAGAAGCCATCTGGTAAAATATTTTAGACTTAGGATGATATTTAACATGTAGAGCAGGCTGGTTTAAGTGAATACCCAGCCACCAAATAATAAGATAAGAAAATAACCCAAACAGCATCATATTTTAATGTTTCCTGATTGACATTAAGATGCTGGTGAGTTATCTTTTAGTCTAAAAATGTAATTTTGGAGGAACATCAGCTCAGAAAATCTCTGGCATAAGGAAATAGGTCAGCTTTTCTTCCAACATGAAGGATTTCCAAATTCAGCCCAGAAAACTTAATAAAATGTCCCTAAGGGAAGTAGAAGACAGTGAAACTGGAGTTCATCTTCCATGAACATGGATACACCCTTTGATCCCTATGTTTCCTACGACCCTCTGGGCAGAGCAATCAGACAGCTAGTCATCTATGTAGGATTCAGTTTATCATTAAACTTTTGTCTTAACAGTATATAATAAACACTTGATGAAGTTTTGAGATTAGATCTCGAAGAATGCCTGATCTTTGTGATTTCTAAAGCTTATATGGGAGGGCGTCCATGTGTTTTTAAGGACTATATTGCTTTTACATTTCACCCCTTTCCTCACGTCTTTTTCTGCCAACAAGTTGAGTGTGGTTGTAGATTATAATTTAATAATTGTCAAACATTCTGTAGACAAAGTTGTTAGCTCCATTTTGAAAATAACACTTGAAAAATAACTACTGAGGTTCACACACAGAATTTTTCTCTAAATTGGCAAATGATTTGTGTGCATTTACCTGCTGGCTTGCATAATCCTTAAGTTTTAGAAATGGTGACACTGGACTGTGCCTACATAACCTTCAGCCCTTTACAGATGGTATCATTGGTCCTTTGATACATATATATTTACTATGATGGTCTGGGTGATATTCATGCTTTAATGCTTTAAAATATGACCCATTCCTTTCTGACTGGTGGCATCTCTTCTACACTGACTTCAGGGGGGTTTGACAGTGGTGAATAGCTATAACTCATTTCTTCATATAGATATATTACTGTTTTTGTCTTTGGACTCTCTTCAATACATTTAGCCCCTCAAGTTCAATTTTATTACCTGTTTAGGAATCATGTCATGATCCCAGCTCAGTAAATCTATCTACTAGGATACAAGTTTGGTGTTCATGTACTGATCATGTATTTGGGTCTTATTGATCATGCTTCTTCTTGACTTTGGGGTGATTCTCAAGTTGAATGTGATTATCCCTACCAGGGATGCCACTACTAAGTAGGTTAATTCTACTGCTTTCTAGACTTTTACTACAGTTTTAAAATTGATGCCATGGCGACAGCATTCCCTTTTCTACAGGAAAATAATCTGTAAATATTTTTTTTCCACCTACACACCATGTAATAATATATGGCCAAGAAAGGCAAACTTGGTGTGTTACAGCTCTGCCTTATCCATGAACTTACTCCTTGGAACAGAGGTCGTGAGGCAGGCTTCGGTCATCCTCTTGGTTTCAGGGCATGGTTATTTTGCCAACCCTGCAAAGTGGTCTGAAGCAGTGATTCCCAAGCCTAACTTCTCTCCTGAAAAAGCTGGGAAGTGTTCACAAAATATAGATCCTCCAGCTTAAACCTGATTAATTCTCAATGTTCCCAAAATCTAAGCTTTGAAACAGCTCTTTAAGCAATAACAACGTTGTTGGATAGTGAGAAAAACTACTGCTCTAGAGGCTCTTGAATTCTACATGTGTATATGTGCATAAGTGTTGGAGGCATTAAATAGTAACACCTTAGAATCAGAAGGTACCCTTCAAGCTCATGTCTCACTTCATGGAAATGATGTAGAGGTATTTGTAGGTTAAGGGACATGTCTAAGCGCACATAGCTAGTCAGTGGAGAACTGTGAAAAGCAAAGGAAAACAAAAGCCAAGTGTCCTGATTCTTAGTCCAGACTCATTTTCTCTAAATTAAGCTATCTTTGATATTTTCATAAAGTGCTACCATTTATAAGTTCAATAATTTTCCCAAGAGAGATAAGTTAAATATAAGTTAAATGTCTTTTTCTCCTGAGCATTAGAGCATAAAATGGAATTTGAAAAGCAATGAGTTAACTCAACAATACAGCCTCACCCCATTAGTAGCTGACACATGTTAACTGATTGTTGAAAAAGTCATTTGTGGCACAGGTTGACATAAGCTGTTGTATTGAGAGAGGCAGGAGAACGGTGTGTAACTATCACAGGTTTTGGAATCATAGGCCTTAGATCAAATCCCAACTTAACTATGTGATTCTAGAAAATCCTAGGCCTCAGTTTGTGCATCTGTAAAATAGGTGTAATATTTTCCTTTTATGGTTAATGTTAGGTTAAATGAAACATGAATACATGAATGGTGCCTGGCACTTAGTCACTACTAATAATTAATCTCTTATGCTTATTAAATGCCAGCCGCTTGACAGATTATTAAAATTCACACCAACCCCACAAGTGAGTATTGTAATTATTCCCATCTTAAAATGAAAACTTGAGACTCAGCTATGTTCAGTAACCTGTCTGGGGTCATGGAGGTATTTAGAAATTGAGACGGAGCTCTGCCCGTCTTAAATTTCTCAGATTCTCCGCTCTTATGCTGTCTTTCAACAAATGACAGCTGTCATTATTGCCCTCATCCTCACCCAGAAGCCAGTATAATTCAGTGGCCAGGCACATGGCTCAGGTTTGAAGTCCAAGGAGCTGGATGTTTCTTTCCTTTCAGTAAATGACAGCCATGTGACCTTGAGTGGGCTCCTCAATTTCCCTATTTCTTGGTTTCCTCATTTGTAGGATGAGGATGATAATCTAGGTTATAGGGTTGTTGTGAGGATATCCAGTAAGCTCTCAATACTGATGTTGCTTTTTACATACCAGTCAGTCTAACATGCTAAATGAGAGTGAATTCTGGGTCTTGTCTTGCCCATGTTTTTGAAGCTTCTACTAAAGGTTTTTATTTTTTAGCACTTTCCCTGAATTTCAGGTGTGAGTGCAGTAAAAGTGTTGGCTGAAGGCGGATGGAAACAAACATTAGTTACCCCTTCAAGATTTCTCCAGTCAGAGTTTGGTCTTTCCTCTAGTAGGTGGTAAACCCTCTTCAGTTATATGGCCCTAAAAATCCTTGAAGCTCCATATATTGAAGGGAAAATGGGCCAATATCTGAACAGCATCTCACCACCCCTCTTGTGATGTGCTTGGCAAACATGCTCACAGAGACAGGGGCTCAGGATTTTTGGAGTTCTATCTGCTCTGCAGAATGGAGCCCAACTCCAAAGAGGCATTGATATTCGGAGCTGATGCACAGATGACTGTGTGGTGTGATAGCCGAGATACTCAACCATTCACTGTGTACTGTTCATTCAAATGCAAGGTTAGAATTAAGAGCAGACACTGCTAGTGCTACAAGCGATCATTTTTTGTATGCACGTGTGCTCGTGTGTTTATATGCTTTTAGCTTTCTTTTTGATAGTAAATATAGGAAAAGACCTTTCAAAGACTATACATGCTAACTTTCTGACAGGGAAGAGCTGTCATTAAAAACATAAAACATCACATTATATCTGAGTTCAGTAAGCTGAAGTTCAGCAAGTTTTCCAGTCTCAGCTTTCCTAACAAGAAACAATGCACGTGTCTATTTCTGTGCTTTCATAATACTTTGTTCTGTGCTACAGAATAAAGTATTTTAACACCCCTTTATCTCTCTCCTTTATGCGCAGTGTGTTTCTCATCATGAACCAAGATGAGGCAGAACCACAGCCCAGGGGTAGTTCCCATTTCAAGCTAGCTGTTTTCTACATCCTCCCACCTCCCTCAAGAGTTGCGGGCTTGATTGAATTAACTAATACCAGTTGTGCTTTACATATTTGAGTTAACATACATGTGTTACATGTCAACATTGCGCTAAAATGTATTATTGAAATTTTATTAACAAGCATTGCTTTAATTTAGTACTGAAGAAAGTCTACGTTTATTGGACAGCAATTTTATACCTGCGTATGAATACCTGAGTATGTAGAAGAATCAGATATGTGATTAGCTAAACTTACAAAGTTGATAGAAACTAGGTGATTATTTAAATTGCACAAAACCCCGTATTTTACTTAAATTTCTATAAAAGTAATAACGTGTTACATTTGCTTAATGAGAAGTGCTTTGCAGATGCCTTTGACATATGTTATCTCATTTGTTCCTCTCAAAATTCTTATGAAATAAGGGGAGAGTGGCTATTGTCTGCATGTTTTATGGATAAGAAAAAGAGAAAGCATCCTTAGCACATTTGAAATGTATTACCTTTACAAAAAGGTAACTCATCATCACCTCTTTAGAAAGCACAATTTAATGTGGAAAGTATGCCTACCTCTGTTTACTCATATGCATGTATGGTTAGTGTCCTGGTTATCTCTTGCTATGTAACAGATTATCCTAAAACTTAGTGGCTTAAAACATCATTTTATTATGTCTCACTATTTTTTTGGTCAATAGTTTGAATAGGGCTCAGCTGGGTGATTCCTTTGTTCCACGTGGAGTCAGCAGAGATAACTTCATAGTACCCAGCTGCCAAATGAGCTGGTCTGGAGATTCCAAGATGGCTTCGTTTACAAATTTAGTGATGGGGAAGGCTGAAAAGCTGGTCTTGGCTGGGACTGGCAACTAGAGTGCCTACATGTAGTCTTTCCAACATGATATTAAGATAGTCAGGGGCTCAGTGTTCCAAGAGAACTTAAGTGGAAGTTGTTGGTTCTTAAGGCCTGGATCCAACAACTGGCCCAGCATCACTGCTGCCATTTTCTGTTGAGCAAAGCAAATCATGGAGCCCACCCAGATTTGAGGGGAGGGAATATCTGCCCTACCTCTTAATGGAAGGGTATCAGAGAATTTGTAGCAACCTTTAATCTGTCACAGTGCACATTTTGGCCATTGATTATGTTTCTTGCCTATGCAAAAATACATTCACCCTTTCTAAGAACTCCCAGACTCTCAACTCATGATGGCATCAGGACCCAAGCAGCATCAGGATCAGGCTCAAGATGCAGGATCTTGTCATCCAAATCAGGTCCACACATGGATGAGACCCTTCAGGTATGTTTCTTCAAGTATGTTTCCTCTCGACCTGTGAACTAAAGAAACAACGTTATTTGCTCCTCCATCCCCAATACACAATGTTGAGATGAAGGTAAGAAAAATGCAGTTGGCATTCTCATTCAAAAATAGAATGAAAAGCAAAAAGCAGCCCCTAGTCTGTAGTATTTCTGAAATCTTACTGGTCACATGTCCACATTCTTTGATTACATCTCAGTCCTGCTTCCTAGGAATTATGCAGTAATATGACAAAGTAATATAACTAATTATTTAACTACAATAATTTCACATTTCATTTCTAAGCTCACCTTTTTCTGTACAATATCATACATGCATAAAACAAATCATTTGGCACTTTTGGCATTCCTATCAGAGACCCAAACCCAGCCAAATCCGTCAGCTCATTAGGTATATATATTCTATGGTCTAGATCACAACAGGCAACAGTATTGTCAAAATTTCTGCCACTTCATAACCAGGGTCACTTTTTCTCCAGCCTCCAATAGTAATTCCTATACTAACTTCCTCTAAGTATTCACTAGAAGTCTCCTTCAGGTTTTTCTGTTCTCATTAACAGTGTCCTCAAGGTATTTGCAGTGTTTGCTTGTCATCTGGTTCCAAAACCATGGCCACATGTTTTAGATAGTTATGGCAGGACTCCATTTCCAGGTATCAAATTGTGTTCTTATTACCTACTGCAGCATAGCAAATTACTCTAAAACTTAGTGGCTAAAAATAACAATCATTTGATTATATCAGGACCTTGTTGCTGGGGCATTTGGGCATGGCTCAGCTGGGTGATTCTTCCACTCCATTTCAAATTGACTGAGGACACTCAGTAGTTTTCAGCTGGTTGTTGGGCTTGTCAGGAGGGTCAGGATGGCTTTCCTCACATGACTGCCACTGGCCCAGAAGGTGGGGCTCAGCTGGGCTTGTTGACTGGAGTGTCTACACATGGCCTCTCTAGTAGGGTGGCTTTAAGGTAGTAGAACTTCTTACATACTGATTAAGGGTTTCCAGAGAGAGTGTTCCAAGAGATAGAAAGTGAAAGCTACCAGTTTCATAAGGCCTAGACTTGGAATCTGGGCTGGCTTCACTTTTGCTATGGCTTTACTGGCCAAACAGTCACAGAGGCCACCCAGATTCAAGGCCATGGGATATAGACCCTATTTATCTGTGGGAACAGAGTCAAAACCTTTTAATATGAAAGAAAAATAATGTTTAGTTTTTCATCTTGAATTGCTTACTAGTGCTTACAAGGCTGACTGACTCAATGAACTAACTCATGTTTAGGAATTAGACATTTGAGCTTCTGGTTCCATGTCTCCCATTGCTTGGCTGTGCTTAAATGGAGGTAAATAACCTTTAGGCTTTAGTTTATATCATAGGCAAAATGGAGATGATGATAACTGTTGGCACCTACTGGTTCAGGGAGATGTTGTGCCTCTTTTTATTTTTTTTTAAATCAGTATTCAAAAAGTATTCTCTAAAGTGCTCTAGGAAGTAGAATAATAAATTGCCATGACAAATTGGACCATTACAAATTCACCACGTATGTTTTTATTAAGAGAGAAAATTGGGTCTTAATATTGTGTAACATCAACAGGGATACGTAGGAACTCTAGTACTTACAGAAGTCTCACACCCCACACACACCAACCTGTGCCATAGCATACGCTTCCTCTGTCTTTCCTGTATGCCAGGCAATGTATGTTTTCTCACTGAATCTTTGCCACACTTTTTGGAGAGTTAGGTGCCATTATTAACATGTTAATCAAGTTTTCTGAAACTTTTTTTTTCCTGGAGTTTAAATTCTAACACATCTTTTGCATATTTATACTTAATACATCTTAAAAGAATCTAATGAAACCTTTAGTAGAGTCTGTAGGGGTTTTGTTTAAATTCTGTGGAAATCATCCCTTTTTATTTTTATACAAATATTCTTGCAAAATGAGATAAAAGCACATTTATGAAGACATCAAGATGACATAACTAAGATGAGATACAAAATAAAAGCAGAGGCATTAGCAGAAGCTAGTTTTACTCATGGAAGCCAGAAGGAGGATGGGGTGGTTGGTACCGTGGGAGGAGAGACGGGCTGGGAGCCAGGGCATCTGGCCCTGCTGTGCCATTAGCTTGGAGCTAGGTGTGCAACCTCAGAAAGCTTATTTCCTCCTCTAGGCCAAAGGTTTCGTGTCATATGAGAGTATTAAAGTACATTAACTCTAAAGCCATCACATCTTTAACATTCTCTTATTATTCCAAGTAAAGGGGATGAAACACTAAATCAACATTTCCAGGCATTAAGAAGGTGATTTGCAAAAACATTTCATTTATTCTTTCAACAAGTCTTTGTTGAGTCTCCTATGTGCCAGGCTTTATTCTAGGTATTTAGGGGTACAGTAGTTAATAAAAACTCCTTTCCCTCATGGAGCTTACATTCCAGGTTGGGGGATACAGACAATAAATAATCTCAGTAAGTCAAACATGTGATATGCCAGAAAATCATAAGTGCTTAGCAGAAGATAAAGAGGGGAAGGTGGGTACAGCATGCTGGGTGGGGTTTGCAACATCAGGTAGGCTAGTCTGGGAAGACTTCACTGAGAAAAGATCTGAAGGAAGTAATGAGCCATAATGACTTTGCTGACTAGTTCATGGAGAAAATGAAAGCATTTTCAGGGAGAGGAAACAGCCAATGTAAAGGTGCTGACATCGAAGCATGTCTGATATTCTCAAAAAATAACAAGGAAGCCAGTATAACTGGAGTGGATGGAATAAATGAGGAGCAGGGTACCCGGAGGCATCAGAGAAAATATTCTGGGAAGATGTTGAGCAGAGAGTGCCATTTGGCATTTTTTAATGAAATAACTTTATTGCTATATAGAGAATAGACTAGAAAAGTCAAGGATGGAAAGTGGAGGACAGTTAGGAGGCTACTGCACTAATCCAGGCAAAAGATGATGGTGGCTCAGACTATAACAGCAGCAGTAGAAACAATGAGAAGTGATGGGATTCTGGATATATTTTGAATGTAAAACCAATAGGATTTGTTGGATGGTTAGAATGGGGGTATGAAGAAAGAAGACTCAAGGAAACTGCAAGGAGTTTTGACTTGAACTAAGAGATGGGGAAGACTGTGGGAGATGCAGTTTTTGTGATGCTGCTGTAGGCTATTAGGAGTTTAGTTTAGACATGTCAAATATTAGATGCCTGTTAGGTATCCAATCCATGCATGTATCATGTCTTATAAAGACATGAGTGTGGGTTTCAGGGGAGAGAGCCAGGCTGGAAGTACAAATTTATTACAGCTCTGAGATTGGATGAGCTTCCCAATGGAGTAAGCATAGATTAAAAAAAAAAAGACAGGTTCAAGGACTGAGCCTGGGGAGTCAAACTGCAGAGATGAGAAGAAGCATCGAGGGAAACAAAAAGGAGTGACTAGACAAGTAGTAATAAAACTGAACAAGCAGAGAGTCTGGAAGCCCAGTGGAGGAAAAAAAGTGTTTCAAAGAGGAGAGAGTGGTCGTGTCCAATGCTACTGATTGGTTGCATAAGATGAGGACTGGCTGAGAAATGACCACTGGCTTAGCAAAGTAGGGGTTTTGGTACCTTGATCAGAGCAGTGTCTGCAGAGAGGTGCAGGTGAAAGCCTGTTTAGAGTGAGGTCCACAAAGAGCAAGAGGAAAGAAATTGGAGACGGGGTATGGACACTCTTTCAAAGAGTGTTGCTATTAAGGAAATGTGAGAAAGGGGAATCGCTAGTGGGAATTTGAGTAAAGAGAGTCTTTTAAAAAAAGATGAGAAAACAAGGTGTTTAAATGTTGGTGAGAGTGATGAAATAGAGAAAAAATAGGTAAAGTAGAAGAAATAAAAGAAAATCACTGGAACGGTGTCCTTCAATAGATGAGTGAAATAAGATCTAGTGGCAAGCTAAGGAGTTAGTTTTGACTAGGAACATGGCTAGGAGGAAAAGTTGAGCAGATGGGCACAGATGCAGGAGAAGAGGAGATGTTGCTGGAGGCTGATTGGAGTTTGCTTTTGATTGCTGTTATTTTCTTCGTGAACTAGGAAGCAACATAATCAGCTTGGAGTGAGGATGACAGAGGCATTTAGAGATTTGAGAAGGGAGGAGTAGGCATGAAACAGTTTTCAGAGGAGTAGGAGAGTTAATGGACTAGGGAAATATTGTACGTTTGCTGGAGAGTATTAAGGACATAACTGAGGTCAATACAGAACTCTTTGGTCTTCTGAAGTCATCTGTGGCCAGCCCTTTTCAAACTGGTGTTCTTAGAGCAGGGTATTCCTTGCAGCACCAACTGAGAAGAGAGGAAAGCTTGGAAGTGAATAAATATCCTAAGATGCAACTGTTGTAACATAGCCACTTCTTCTAGAACACCACCAATATTTCCTTGGGAAATATTGAGATTTCTTTCCCTAACCTCTTTCTTCCTTTCTTTTCTGGTCCCCTGCCTTATTTGTGCTAAGATACAGCTAGAGTGATTGTGTATGGGTTTCAGGGAGCAGATCCACTTCCTGTACCTGATGGGTTTGTTTTACTGTTGTATTGGATAGCTTTTTCTATGTCATACTCTGGTAACAAACAATCACAAGTTCTCAGTGGCTTACAACCATCTGGATTTATTTCTCTCCCTTGTTACCTGATGGCTGTAGGTTAGTTGCAGCTCTACATATCTTCATTCTGAAATTGAGTCTCTATTTAGGTCATGCTATTCTTTGGGCAGAGGGAGAAGAGCAATTGTGGAGCCACGCGATGGCGCTCAGTTTCTATTGGGAAGTGGTAATTGTCACTTTTGCTCACATTTCATTGGCCAAAGCAAGTCATGTGACTGAGCTTGATGTCAATGGGATGGGAAAGTATAAGCTTCTTTTAGGGAGGAGAACTTATAATTTGGAACAATCATATAATTAACTGCAACTTTTTCCATGTGTGGCAGTAAAAAATCATCCTCAAGCAAGACAGTGGGGCAAATTATCTCTTGCCAACCATGATCAGCACTGAGCCCACAGGAGTAACCCCAAGTGACTTGACACTTGGTATGAATTTCTGGGTGCAATTTTATGTCTGGCCCTGTGGGCTAGATTATTTAGCTTTAGAATTTAGAAACTATCTTACCTTCAGGGAGGCAGGTCATGTATTTAATCACATACATTTTAGTATTATAGTATAATAATAAAAGCAGCTATGCTAAATTTTACAAAGTACATCTTATAAGCTGGAAGAGAGAGGCCCATCCAGATCTGTCTTTGGAGACTTTCTTAAGTTCTACATACTCAAGATCAATTTTATAATAATATAAATATAATAGGAGAAAGAGCTCTGCTTGCAACTAAGTAAAATAAAAATTCAGAGATGATAGGAAATTCCATATTTATTCTTGGTCTAGCAGGAGGAATTTTATAGCTTGAGAAGGAACTGGGATATTTCTCTAAGACACTGTGTAACCAAATCTCGGGCCCATGATTCACCACTTTCCATACCAAGTACGGTGCCCTGCAAAATGCCATGGGTTGTTCTGAGTGATTGCCTCGCCGTGGCGTGATAGACATGAGAAACTCAAGACGAGCAATGAAAGTATCATGATTGACACAAATACCAAGTATGTTGGCTTAAGTATTTTCATGTTTCTTCTGTTAACACAGAAGAGACCAGGTTCTGCTGCTGTATGTTCTTTAGTTTCATTTTAGTGAGACTTTTCCTCTCTGTTTATGAATATAGGATTCTGACAGCTGACAAATGACATTCCAAGAACTTAGCCAGAGCTCAAATTGTGCACTGTTGTGGGAATTTCTCCTCACAGATTTGTCCGACAACTCTGCTCTGGAGAAAATGCTCAGGTGATGCATTCCCAGTGGTAGCTCAGTTCCCATCAACTCACCACCGGTGCCCTCATTAAGGTGTTTTTCTTTCTTCAGGTATTTGTTTTCGGTCCATCTTCACCTCCCACCACAGTGCCTTTAGTGTCCGTGAAGGGGACTGGGTAGCTCTCCCCTGAGACTACCCTGGGTTTATTTTTAGCACAGGCAGTTTGGAAAAATTACTTTCCCTTGCTGACTGCACCAGGACTGTCTTAACTCTGACACAGAATTCTGGACCTCTCACATTGGATTGAGAATGAGTGGGTAATCCATGCCTTCACTTTAGAAATGGAGGAATCACATTACAACGGGGATACAAAATTTACCACGAGTTACCCAGACAACCAATTGAAAGAGCTTTTCTTTGGTCTGTTGGTCTCAGATTTGTAAGATGTTTAACAGTGTAAAAATTGCAAGTTAGTCTGACTAAATTGGACAGATTGCAGGTAAAAGCCCCGCTCCCTAAATCCCAATTGATCCCCTGAGCCATCTGTACTCCCTAAAAGTGTTATTATTACTTTCAAGCTACATGCTCAAAAATTATTTCCCTTGGGAACACACACCTAACCCAGACAAAAAGATTACTACTTTTTTTTCTACTCATTCAATACACTTTGTCCCAGCTATCTTGTTTGTTTCTTTCTTCCTATGTCTCATTCAACATTATATTCACATGCTATGATCTCCCCAGTCCCCTGTCGACTATTAGGTTGAACCACATGAAATTGCCAATATTCAGCTGGTTTTGACCAATAAAGATGGTGATTTCATATAATTCAAACAAACCCTATTAGAATGAGGTAGCAAATTGTGAAAATTCTCATGCAGAACAATGCAAGTTATTGACCAAGTCAACTACGGCTCCATCATATGGAATCGAGTTGGATGTGTATCCAAGCTCTAATACAATCTATTGTAAAATGCAGGCTAATTAGCTTGTTAAATGAGAATTTAATATTTGGAATATTAAAAGGGAATTTCAACTTCTGATAGGGAAAAAATGTATAACTGATGTGCACTCAGGTATGTTAATATGCCAAGATTCTCTGTGTGCAATGGCTGTGGCCACTACTCAGCATATGCAACTTCCTCAGGTCTTTGAAAACCAACTCTTTACATACTTTCTCTCCTCCACCACCCCCAACTTCCCCACTCTCTTTCTCTGTCTCTAGTCTCTCATGGTCAGACTTCTGAAAAGAGCAGTCTACACTCACTTTTCTACATTCTCTTTCTTATTCATCCTGTAGCTCACTGTAATCTGGTTTCTGTTCCCAACACTCCACTAAAACAGTTTCTGCCAAGGTCACTAATGAACTTTGATTGACAAATTCAATAGAAATGCTTCTGTCTTTATCTTTCTTAACTTCCTTGTTGCATTTAACAGATGTGCCAAGATTTGCTTCTTAGTATTTCATCTCTTTCTCTGTCTTGCATGATCTCCCTTTATTTTGATTTACAGATATTTTCCTCAAACCAGATTTTCAGCCTTTTGAGGTCATAGGATTTGTGTCTTATTTAGCTGTGTATCCCAGGGCCTAGTTTAGTATAGCCTCTGCAAGGTGCTTATCTATATTTGTCGAATGAATGAGAAACAATGAATTAGTGAAATGACAGCACTTTGTTGATTATTAGTCATTGCAAATATTTAGTTTCTCTTTGGTTTAATCCCTATTTCTAGCAACTTCTCTACCTGACTTTCTGCCATACATATTTTTAATAATGTATAGCTGGCAGGGTGCCACAATCTTCATGTTTTCATCTCAGAAATCCTACTTGATAGTTGGAGACAAGGTAGGTAAGACTGAAATCCCTACTGGTTCCTTTTCACATGGCTTCCTCTAATTATGAGCACTTATAATACGCTGGGCCAACACTCATGAATTTTAGTAACTCCTAACTCCTAGGAAAAAAGATCTCTGTGTCTCTTTTTTTCTTTTCCTCCCCAAAACGTGTCACTTTGAGGTCCAATAAAGTGTATAAAGAAAAAGGCCACTTGTTGCTTGCTTGACATACGACCTGAAAAACGGGGGATAAAATCTAACACAAGACTCAAGGAGAACAAAAGAAACACGCCAATAGAAAATATGATACACACACACACAGTTTATGCAAGTTTAATTTCTGTTGTTTTGGTTGGAAAACAGCTGCAGGTGTCCTCTAATTATAACCCCATTTTCACAAATATCAACTGTCATATTTAATCTGCTGTATTCACCATATAGCCTACTGTTGCAGCACATTTCTTTCATTACAAATTTAGTAGCAGAGTTTCAAATGCTCAAACTAACATTCAGGCTAGTCAATTAATGCATTATTTACAAGTTAAATGTTATTAAAAACAGGTTCTTAATTTGCTAATGATTTACTAGACCCAAGGCAATATTCCATTGTTTTTGTTGTGGTGGTTGTGGTTGAAAATGGAAGAACATTGATAACAGTTGGGATGGGAGGGATGTCCGGGATACTTTGGCCTTTCTCACCAATTTCTGAATCTCTTTTCTGCGTTCTCCTTCTTGCGTGCTGTGTTTGATGCCTATATTAACCAGTTGAAGCATGGTTGAGAAGAAAGACTTATGAAAAACAAGACCAGCATAAATACTATTGTGAGGAGTGTTTTAAAAAATCACCAGGCAGTTTGGAAAGACTAAATACACATGTTCCCCATACAGTTCAGCATATTTTGATTTACAGTCCCATTCCAGCAGCACAACAGGTTAAGAAGGTTAGAAGTCAAGGAAATTAAATGTTATTGGCATTCCACTGTTGTCAGACTACACACACTGAATATATGTCTTTTCAAATACACTTTGAAAGAGTTTAGAGTTCCTAAGGTTCTAGGGCCTCAGAATCATCCCAACAATCTGGATTTTGTTCTTTGTTTTAGTTTTCTTCCTCTTTTTTGTTTAACCTAGATCATGTTCTAAATCCATACCTTTCATGTTCCATAATGGCACACTACTTATTTATGAAAGATAATATGGGGGGGGGTTGAGCTTTTTGATGAAAAATAATTCAGGTTCCATGAAGCCAGTTACCTCATCTTTATGCTTTTCTCTTCAGCTGTTTCCTTGGCCTAGAGGAATCCATTTTCTCCTTCCCGCTTTTCTCTTAAAATTTTTTAAAAACCTAACCTTCTTAATAAAATCTTGTTAAATTTAAGTGTAGCTCACAAGAGTCATTCACTTCTATGAATTCTATTTATTTAATTTTTTGTTTATTTATATTATTATATCATATAAATTTAAGGAATACAACATGACATTTTGATATATATACATATAGTGAAATGATTACTAAGGTCAAGCAAGTTAACATATTCACCATCTCACATAGTTACCTTTCTTTTTTTACAGTACAAGTACCTAAAATCTACCGTCTTAGCAAATTTCCAGTATACAATATAGTATTATTAACTATGGCCCTCATGTTGCACATTGCCTTCTCTGAATTCCTATAACTCTTCACAAGAAAGTGTTATGTAGTCACTCACTTAAATTTATATTGCCCTGTATTTTCCTCACATGTAATTGTTTCTCTATAGGACAAGCTGTAGAGTCAGAAAGATCTGCTATGAATTGATGGTGTTACCTAGGCCAAGCTATTTCTTTTCCCCAAGTCTCAACTTTTCTCATCTCTTAAATGGAAATAAAAACTTGTATTGACTAGTTGTAAGAACTGGTGAGAACATGCGTGTGAAGAACCTGGTTAAATGGTAGCAGCCTGATATATGGCAGGTCCTGTTGCCATAACGAAATAAGATGATATATATAAGTTGCCAGGTACAGGGCCTGGCCCATGTTTGGCACTCAATAAAATTTAATTCCCTTTGATACAATGAATACATCACAAGCATTTCTTGTTTTCATTTTTACTCAGAGTAAAGTTTTCTCAAGGGCAAGGACTAATTTTTTTTTTCAAACTTTTCAGTTTGTGTGAATTAATGTTCCATCCTCTGTATTTTGGGAGGTATTCTGCATATCTCTCAGGAAATCCAGATGGAACTGAGTGCCTGCTGCCCACATCAGCAACCCAGGTAAGGCACTTTTTTGTTGGGTCTTCTTTGTTTCTCTTCTTACTCTCCCTATTCTCTCCAATCCTGGGATCACCTTCCAAATAGACTACAGGTATCCAAACCCTTGTCTCAAGCTCTACTATTGGAGGAACCCAAACTAAGTAAGGAAAAGATTCAAATGACAGAGAAAGACAATAGTGTGCAAAATAGCAGAAGAACTTTCAGAGCTGTCCAAGGCAGCTAAGACAGGAAAATGTCAATGGAATAGGACAAGAATAGAATTCATTCATTCACTTATAAAAAAAAGGTACTTACTGAGCACCTAGTATGTACTGAACATTCTTAGGCCTTACGGATATGGTAGTGATCAAAACTGGCAAGGCATTTATATTGTAGTGAGGGAACATGCAATGAACAAGCAAATCAACATGCAAAATCATATCAGGGAGTGAGAAGAGCTTTGACAGCAAATGGCATAGTAAGAGACTGTGTGCAGGAAAGGTAGCTATTTAAGACAGTGTAATCTATTTAGAGTGAATAAAGGCCTATCTGGGAGGGTGATACTGGAACAGAAACCTGGTCAACATGAGAATGACCCACCTTTTGTCCACTGCCTACCTTCTCCTGAAGTGCAAGCAGAAAAAATCATGTGTGCTAGCCTGGGTATGGATAATAAGACAGGATCAAAATGCTGCTAGTTAGAAAAATGGGATGCACATATTTCTCAGTGTCCATTTTTCCAGGCTGAGTGCTGGGCTACTCCAAAATGGACCTTAGGACCAGACATATGCCTACAGCTCTTGGTAAGGCCTTTCTGTAGGAATACCTGGGGGGATTTCATCATTTTATCCTTCATTAAAAAAAAAACTTTTCTCCTGTCTTTCTTGTTCACGGCATCTTTTTCTTCAGTTTCTCAGATGAAAAGAATGCCTTTATTTATATAAGACTTTATTTATATAAGACTTTATCCCATTTGATTCCCACACAACTTTGTCCATTAAGTATTTTTATTCTTTTTTATAGATGAGGAAACTGGGACTTGGGGGCTTTGCTTGAGAGAGCTGGGACACAAACTGAGTCTCTTGGCTTCAAGTCCATGATTCATTTCAATGCTGAGTCCACTGGCCCCTTAACCAATCTTCATCCTTTCCCTGCCACCCCCATTGATGGCAACAGGATTTTATAAGCTGATGATCTTCACCTACAGGATCCCATTCCTCTGATATTTCATCAGTGGGCACAGGATCAGATCTCAGTAAAACTAGAAGATTAGAACTGGAAAGTCTGAGGATAATTCTATCATGAGATCTTATGTATTTAATGTTCTAACTTAGTCCAAGTGCTGTACTTGATAGTATTTTCTCAGTGCCACGTTAAGATAACAAGGATTTTCTTAAATGTAATATTGAACTTTAAGTATGTACTAAAGTGGCTGATTCTTAATGCTCCTCCTTTTGAGAAAACTTAAGGTAAAATTGAACATAATTGCTCCTGATCCATTTCACTCCACCTAGTGGGCCTTTTGTTCGTTTGCTTTTCTTCCAGGACATCCCACTTGATTCTGAGTCTGTAAGACTCCTTCCCTCAGTGATGGATCCTCACTTCTGGGGGAAATCATAGACAATTTCTTCTGTAGGGCTAACTCTACTATACAGTTTATGATGTCAGGGTGAATACTTCCTTTGGGTTGCTGTCAGAAACTGTAGATTTTTAAAAATTTAAATTTCATTATTCTATGTCAGTATTCCAAAGTATATACAGAAAGCTATTGCACTGTTAAGGAGATGGCACTTAACATTTTGGAAATTCAAGGTGATGAAGGTCCATATAAGACTATCTCTCCTGGTATAAATGTTGACAATGCAGAACATTTTTAAAGGTTCTTTTTGATATACAAAGTGCACCAATGAGTACTTTTTAATTCTTACAATAATTCTGGGCGAGGTAGGTATTTTTCCAATTCCCATTTTATGCTTCAGTAGCCCTTTGTACTTCTCCTTCAAAACACTTTGCTCACTTGTAATTATTTAATAAATTAGTTGTAATTATTTGTTTAATGTGCAGGAGTTACAAAAGGCGAGCTTTAGAACAAGACAGACCTGGTTATGATTCCTGGCTCTGAAAGCTGTATACCCTGTAACCCTAGACAGGTGTTTTCATGCCTCGCTGCCTCTGTTTCTTCCTCTGTAAAATGTGAACGATAACAGTATTGGCCTCATGCTTTTTTCTGAGTTTTAAAAGTAATAATGTGGACAAAGATCAGTGCAGTGCCTGGCATGCTGAACCCATTCCATGACTGTTAGATGTAGTTGTTATGATTTGTATTAATCCATTTTTACACTGCTATAAGGAACTACCTGAGACTGGGTAATTTATAAAGAAAAGGGATTTAATTGACTCACAGTTCCGCATGGCTGGGGAGGCCTCAGGAAACTTACAATCATGGCAGAAGGGGAAGCAAGGCACTTCTTACATGGCGGCAGGAGAGAAAGAGAGAGAGTGAATGGGGAAGTGCCACACACTTCCAAACAACCATATCTTGTGATTAATTAAAAAGTACTCATTGGTGTGCCTTGTATATAAAAAAATATGCACTCACTATCACGAGAACAGCAAGGAGGGAGTCCGCCCCCAACATTCAATCACCTCCCACTAGACCCCTCCCCTGACACATAGGGATTACAATTCAAGATGAGATTTGGGTGGGGACACAGAGTCAAACCATATCATGATTGTTCTATAATAAAGAGATGGCCACATGTGTTTCATCAGGGACAGTGCTAATTAACCAGTTGTCCTGCCATAATTATTAATAGTATTCCAATTGCTTTCAAAAGTATCCTAGTTTGCAAAAAGTATAGAAATGGAGGACAGATTAGTGGTTGCCCAAGATTGGAAAAGGGTAAGGGTAAAGGGTGCAGAGGTGGATGTGGTTTTAAAAGGCAACATGAGAGATCCTTGTAGTGAAGGAACTGTTTAATATCTCCACTGTGGTGGTGGATACCTGAACCTAAACATGAGAAAAATTGCATAAAACCAAACACACACACAAATGAGTACAAGTTAAGTTTGGAAAATCCAAATAAGATTTGTACATTGTATCAATAGGTATATCTTGATTATGATATTGTACTATTGTTTTGCAAGATGGTACTATTCAAGGAAACTGGGTAGAGGATACATGAGATTTCTCTGTATTATTTCTTATAACTCCATGTGAATCTGCAAGGATCTCAGGATTAAGAAAGATAGCCTAGTTTGGAAGATAAACATTATATCCCAGTAGTAATGTCCATTGTCCCACCAGGACCTAACTACCTTCTATAAAAAGAAGTGCTGTTGTTCCCCTCAAGTTCCTTTATTTGGTTTTATTCTTCTTCGCAGTACCTACCTCCACTTGGCAGATTAGATTTATTTTTTCATCTTTCAACAGCTATTTGCTGAATACCTACTAGATGCCAGGCTTGAGATCTAGCAATGAACAAGAGCTCTGTGAAACTTACATTCCAGTAGGAGAAATAAATAATAAACCAAAAATATAATCGATAAATTATTTAATATGCTGGGAAGCAATATGTATAATGGAACAAAGATGTAGAGTGATGGATTAGGGTTCTCCAGAGAAGCAGAACCAACAATTGACTCATGTGATTATGGAGGCTAAGAAGTCTCAAGATCACAGTTAGCAAGTTGGAGATGTAGGAGAGCCCCTGGTATGCTTCTGATTTGAGTCCAAAGGCCTGAGAACCAGGAGAGATGATAGTGTGGTTACAGTTCAAAAGCTGGCAGTCTTGAGGCCCAAGAAGAGCCAGTGTTGCAGTTCAATTCCAAAGGCAGGGAAAGGCCGATATCTCAGCTGAAGCAATCAGGCAGAAGGAGCTCTCTGTTACTCATGGGCAGGTCAGACTTTTGGTTCTATTCAGGCCTTTAAGTGATTGATTGAGGATCATCTACTGGGGAAAGAAATAAGCTTTATTCAGTGTACTGATTCAAATGTTAATCTCATCCAAAACCATGCTCACACACACCCAGCATAATGTTTGACCAAGTATCTGGGCACCTTGTGGTTCAGTCAAATTAACACATATTAACTATCTTAGCAAGATGAAAAGCAATGAATGCAGCATGGTGGTTGAAATTTTAAATAGGGTGGTCATATAGTGTCATTGAAAAAGGAATATTTGAGTGAAGACTTGAAGGGGTGGGAGAATAGGCCATTTATTTGCTTATTGACTGTCTCACTCCATCAGAACGAAAGCTTCATGAAGCCAGAGACTTAATTTTTACCTGTTATATCCCTAGTGCCTGGTGCAGGGTAGGTGCTCAAAAATATTTGTTGGGTGAATGGGTAATGATTGAGGATGGGGATTGGTTTGTGTCTGGTTATATCTCTTGTCCTTGGCACAGTACCTGGCACATCCTAAGCCATCAAAAAGTGTTGGTTATATGATTGTCTTTGAATTCTGATTGTTTATAATATACAATAAACTTCACTGAGGACACCGACTCACTTGCTTTGTTTGATATTGTGGCCCCAGCACCGCAGCACTTAGAACAGTGCCTAGAAAATACATAATAGTTAGTCAATAATTGTTATTGACCAAACGGGCACAGATAAGGAGACTGAGGCTCGGAAATGTTAAATGAGTTGAAAATGGTCTCACAGCCAGGAATAAACAAAGCATGGGGCTTAACTTTGTCTTTTTAATTCTCAAATTACAATATTTCATCTATATCAAACTGCTTTAAAAATTGTCCTGGGGTCTCTTGTTTGGCCATGGCCTTTCTTTCACCTACACCACCTCTCTTCTTTGTCCACTCCAGGCTGTGTTGTGTGGCCATGTCTCCCTGAGTGACAAGCAGGCTGGTTATGTGGAGTTGTCAGCACACAGGCCTCCCAGAGGACGGCCTTCTCCTCCAGGTGCCACAGTGTCAGGGGACACTCTCTCACATTAGGACAAGCAGAAGGTAATGCAACCTTTTGGCGACCATCGACTTTGTCAGACAATAGTGCCGTTCAGTTTGAAAGACTCCACCGGGAAGTTGCAGACTTTTAAAACTAATTTGGTGTTTATTCAACTTTGCAATCACTTCTATGTACTATCTGTGTTTCACACACCGTGAAACGGCGCTACACTGTGCAATTGAATTAGTTGTACAGTGACTCAAAGGCATTAAACAATGACTTTGATATTTTAAGTACTGACTAGGAGGGATTTTTAATTCCTTCCTCATAATGAAAGCAGCAAAAAAACCCAGTTACACAACCCTGGAACACTTATTCTCTTTTCTATTCTGGGTGGACCCCACTGAGACAGAAAGAAACCTCCAAGCATTTAGTTTGCTTAATGGCAGAAGAAAAATTAAACAAGCATAGACGTGCAACCTTAATGACACCGAGCAACACTAGAATAACAGTTCCCAGCTTCTAAAACCTGTTATTTAATATAATGGGTAAATCTTGTGGGAGCTTTTCAGGTGCTGCTGAGTCTGAAAAAACAGCTACTTTGTGAGGAGGGGTGGGGGAAGAGGCAGGGAGAGTGTCTTGCTTGTGCTCACTTGCCTAGGAGGGTCTCAGTGCAGAAGCCAAGCCAGAGGGGTGCAGGCGAAATACAGCACTGGCAGGAGAGTCCCTGAAGGCTGTGACCCTTCTGCGGACAACAGCATCACTATGCTAGGCACAAATGTGTCAGTTCTGCCAGAAACAATAAGGGACTTTTCATACAGTGCCCTTCTGGAGATGGTACTGACAGAAAGGAAGAAGGTGGGGGGGCGGTGGGGGGGAACAACGCTACAAAAAACGAAAACCATAGCAAGTGAATTAGTACCATGAAACTATGAGCATTAACTGGTAATAGTTCAGGGCAAAGCACCTAAGTGATGATTCACATCTGACAATAAAAACATGAATAGCTGTTGAAAGCTTGTTTGATTTTCACAAAGAGGTTTAAACAAACATTTGTTTGTTCATTAGTCTTAAGCAAGACTTTTACGGCAGGGGATGCATTAAACCTAACGTATGTCTGCGACCAAGATACTTGGTTGTTTTAAAGATGAAGACACAAAGCCGTGCATATAGTTTATGCAGAGCGGCCTTGAACTACCTGTAATGGAGTGAGATACAGTTATTATGTATTAATGCTGTGAATCTTCATCCAGAGAGAGAAAACAAACAGGGAAAGAATGCAGCATCTTTGAAGATAAAGACTTAGAGGGCCCCATTCTGCAATTGGTATTGAGTTTGCATAAACTCATTTTGTTGTTGTTGTTGTTGCATAATTTTTAAAAACGCAACTGGTTTAAATCTGTTCCCTGAGGTAATTTATGCTAAAGCAGCATTCTAACACCATAGATTCCCTGCTTATGGCAATCTCTGCTTGGGTGTCAGGTCGGTGTAGGTTACTGAGCAAATGGCCGCTTCAAAATTTTTAGGGTAATTGCCTCTATAACTCGTTTAGCATAGGCCCTGTCAGGAAATCTCTAATTGTAATTGACGCCTCTGCTTCCTTTTCTCCTCCTTCTTTTTAACCACATTGTTGTATCAAAAGCTTCACTCTCCAGTGCAGAAGAGCACGGGGCTTTTCATCTTCTGTAGCACTTGGATTTTGTCCTTATTAAAGCCTTCCCTCATGAAAACGTGATGTCACCCCTGACGGGGTCCAGAAGGTGGTGGTTGGTTGGGTGTACCTCTGCCCCAGCCCAATCTCTATCCTTGCATAGGAAACCTTCAGTCCAGAGAAGGCAGATCTTGATGGGGTTGGGATAAAATGAAGAGCAAATTACCACTACTCCAATTCTCCTAAGTTTTGTATGAATGCTGGGTTGGCTGCTGATTTCTACCAGAATGGTGTGAGCAAGGTCAACAGCATACTTCTCTCTCTTCTCTCAGCTCATGTGTATGGGCATGATGCCTTGGTAGGAAGGGTATCATTGGGATTGTGTATTACAATATTCATGGCCAGGAGCTTCTGTTGATTTGTGTCTACATATGGGGATTTTTCATCAAATTGCATAAAGTATGTTAAATAATCAACTCCAAAATCCAATTCATTAATTATCTTGCTTAAAATATACTTCAAATATATCACATTTGACATCTTATGTCATTGATAGTAGAAGGAAATGATAACACTTAAAATCAATAAGTGTTTTTAATTTATTTTACTTATTATGGTTGTCATAATATTTTGACATGGAGGGCTGACATGTCAACCACACTGTTATCAGGAGGTAAGGCAATGGCATTAAACTGTCTCACCATCCGTGCTACTGTTTCAGCATAAAGTGGGCCCAGGGGGAAAATATAGCTAAAATCTCCAAGGAAGTATCTGCTTATGAAGTCAATACAGGTCATCACTGAATAAAGCAGCCTGAGCTCAAAACAAAAGCTGAGGGAAAGAAGTCTACACTCTAATCTGTTATCTTTTCTCCCAAAGGATTTAACAATAATAAGAGCACTAAAAATGTGTGAGTGCTGTGTGCCAGACTTGTGCAAAGTGTTCCACATATTTTATCTCGTCTCCTTTAAGAGGTGAGGTACTTTTACATAGCAAAACCCAGGTTTGAATGAGAGTCTGTGTGATTCCATGCCTGGCTCTGTTCTCGGATACCAAAGCCATCACTATTCTGTATGGTTTGGAACGAAAATGGATTCTGACTTCTGGATCCCACTTTCCGCCCAGAATCGTGCCTTAGTCCTAAGTCCTGGTCACCTCCTACTGCTGGATGGTATTGGAGTAGGACTTGCATGTGGACAGTGGGTTGTTACAACATGCTTTTGTACGCCTGGAGAGGGTAGGCTTGAAGGCAACTAATGCTCTTCTCTTTGTCTCTAAGCATTAGAGATTAAAGGCAGATTCAAAAGAAATTGTAAGAAAGGAGGACTTGAGAGCATGTGTTTTTCTGCTATTTAGGACACAGGCAAAGCCAAATTTTTTTTTAAAGGCTAAATGTAGGTTTGACCCTGCTTGAAGTAAGCACCAAAGCAATGAGTAATAGATGAGACTTGGAATCTGATAGCAGCAGCATTCTCTATGCCCAGCTAATTAAAGGCCAGTAAAGAGCTCCTGGTGGGCAGGGCTGATGTCTTCTATACTGTAGTCCCTGTTTTGTACAGAACGGGTGCCCAACCAGGATTTGTTGAATGTAGTTTTTCATCCATAGCCAAGAATCAGCAGCTTGTTCTTATCTTAACTCCTCTTTTCTTGGCTATTGGTTTGCTTATAAAATGTTTTTGCTTTTCCTGAAGACTTAAGAATTAGCCTTGAGGACAAAAAGGTAGTCATTTTTTAACATAATATTTATGTAATGTTATTTTTATGGACAAGGCTCTGTGTTAGGCACTAGGGATAAAGCAGCAGTGGGGCCGGGTACAGTGGCTCACGCCTGTAATCCCAGCACTTTGGAAGGCCGAGGCGGGCAGATCACTTGAGGTCAGGAGTTCAAGACCAGCCTGGCCAACATGGTGAAACCCCCGTCTCTACTAAAAATACAAAAATTGCTGGACGTGGTGGTGGGCACCTGTAATCCCAGCTACTCAGAGGCTGAGGCTTAAGAATTGCTCAAACCTAGGAGGTGGAGGGTGCAGTGAACCAAGATCATGTTACTGCACTCCAGCCTGGGCGACAAGAGCGTGAAACTCCATCTCAAAAAAAAAAAAAAAAAAAAAGCAGCAATGAACAAGATGGTCAAGCATGGAAGGTAGACATCAGTCAACTTATCAGACAATTATCTGATTACCATGGTGATAAATCTTATGAAAAAGTATAGATTGTTATGGGTGTTTAGGAGAACTTGACCTAAATTAAGAGATCTGTGAAGGCCTTCTTGGAGAAATGACGTTTGAGCTGAACTATTTATTAAGGATGAACAAGAATTAATCAGGGCAAGTGGAGTAGGGAAATGGCAGGAGGGAGGGTGGTAAACAAACAATGCAAGGAGAGAGAGCGCATTGGTGAGAATGCTTCATCAGAAGGAGCTTAGTAGGGTTCTAAAATACAAATCAGATTAGTGTGGCTGAAATGCAGGGTGGAGAACCATGCAGCAAGATGAGACTTAAAAAAACAGTTAAGACTTTTTGGTTGCAAACATAAAGGAATTTATTGGCTCAATAAACAGAATGCTTCAGAGGTAGCTTGGCTCTACTCATAACTTTAACAAGAGCTCTTTATTGCTCTCTAGTTTTCTTGGCCCTATCTCCCCCACATATTGACTTGTGTCTCCTAAGGTAGCGAAGTAACTGCAGCAGCTCCAGCTTTCATACCTGCCTTCCATACCATCCAGAAGAGAAAGAAACTTGTTATGGTATTCCTAGTACGAGGCCTGAGAATCACCCTGATTGGAGCAGTGGAGGTCACATGCCCTGTCTTGAACCATGCACCGTGTTGAGGAGGCAGGAATGGCCTGCTTAGCCTGGCCTGGGCCAGATGGTCTATCTCAGGAGCTTCGGGAAGAGTCAGCTTCCCTGGAATCACAGAGATTACAAAACAGAAATCAGGGCTGCTAGGAAGTGCAGAATGGATGATGGTGGGGCCACAGTGATCACTGCAAGGTTGAAAAGGTGAAGACAGGCCTGTGCTATAGGATTTGGGACTTCTTAAAATGACAGGAAGTCATTAAAGGATTTTCAGTAGGTCAGTAATGTCTTTGGTTATTCAAAAACATCATTGTGAACTCTACCTTGATGTGTCTGTAGTTTCTTTTTTTTTTTTTTTTTTTGAAACGGAGTTTCACTCTGTCACCCAGGCTGGAGCGCAGTGGCAAGATCTTGGCTCACTGCAACCTCTGCCTCCCTGGTTCAAGTGATTCTCCTGCCTCGGCCTCCCGAGTAGCTGGCCCGCCACCACGCCTGGCTAATTTTTGTATTTTTTAGCAGAGACGGAGTTTCACCATGTTGGCCAGGCTAGTCTCGAACTCCTGACCTCAGGTGATCCACCTGCTTTGGCTTCCCAAAGTGCTGAGATTACAGGCGTGAGCCACCACGCCCGACTGATGTGTCTGTAGTTTCTAAGAAAACCATTGTCAGATAAATAAATCATTATGTTAAGAGCAAAATGCAACTCATTTTCTAGTTTTCCTAATAATAATAATAATTCTTATTAGTCTTCTAATGTTAATAACAGGCTAATAATAGTAATAAGCCCGCCACAGTGAAAAGAGATTTACAAGCATTATCTCATACAATCTTGACTATAATCCTGGGAAGTAAGCCTGATTATTATCCCCATGTTAGTGACAGGGAAGCTGAGGTATGGGGAGATCAGGTGATTTACCCAGGGTTACATAGCTAGTAAATAGCCAGACAATAGCTGTGTGAATCAACATATTGTGTTATTCCCACTAAACTCTGTGATGTCATGGGGGTGGGGAAAACTTTTTATTTACAGTTGCTCCTTGATAAATTGATTCCAGGATGCCCACGGATACCAAAATCCTCAGGATGCTCAAGTCCTTTGTATAAAATGACTTAAGATTTATGTAATACCAGCCGGGCACAGTGGCTCACTCCTGTAATCCCAGCACTTTGGGAGGCCGAGGCGGGGGGATCACGAGGTCAGGAGATCGAGACCATCCTGGCTAACACAGTGAAACCCCGTCTTCACTAAAAATAAAAAAAATTAGCCCGGCATGATGGCTAGCGCCTGTAGTCTCAGGTACTAGGGAGGCTGAGGCAGGAGAATGGCGTGAACCCGGGAGGCGGAGCTTGCAGTGAGCGGAGATCGCGCCACTGCACTCCAGCCTGGGCTACAGAGCGAGACTCCGTCTCAAAAAAAAAAAAAAATTTGTGTACTACCTATGTACCTCCTCCTGGATACTTTAAATCATCTCTACATTACTTGTAATACCTAATACAGTGGAAATGCTATGTAAATAGTTGCTATATTGTATTTTTTATTTGTATTATTTTTATTGTTGTAATGCTAGTTTTTATTATTTCCCAAATATTTTTTATCTGAGGTTGGGTGAATCCCCTATGTGGAACTCATAGGGATAGGGAGGGTCGACTGTGTTTGACAAACAATTATTGGACAAAGCCTTGTGCTAGGAATCAAAAGTATCAACTGGGCAGTCAGATTGCATAGAATCTGCCAGAATTTAAAAAAAAATTTAGTAAAATATACATACCGTAACATTTGCCATTTTAACAATTTTTAAGTGAGTGATTAAGTGGCATTAATTACATTTACAATGTTGTGCAATCATCACCATCATCTATTTCCAAAACTTTTGCATCACCCCAAACAAAAACTCTGTAACCATTAAGCAAAACCTCCTCCCCCTAACCCTTGGTAAACTCTAATCTACTTTTTGTCTTTATGAATTTGCCTATTCTAGATATTTTAAGTGGAATCATACAATATTTGTTCTTTTCTGTCTGGTTTATTTCACTTAGCATAATGTTTTCAAGGTTTATTCACGTTGTTGCTTGTATCAGAACTTCATTCCTCTTCATGGTTCAGTAATCTGCTAGAAATTTGAAAAAACTATTTTTGTCAGTTCAGTGATTACAAAATATTTGAAGTTGAATAACTATAATTTTAAGCAAGGATTGCACTCTAGTTTTCTACTATCCCTATGATACCCTATTGTCTTAAAATTAGTAGCCTGCTTGCACTTATTAACACTGTCTAGCCCAATTCAGAAGGCATCTGTGGTTGCAACAATCATCCCTGTGATTTGGACTGACAAGCTCTTCGAGATTAATTACACTGAGTCCTCTCCTAAAGAAGGTAGAAACTTGTCTTTGTACTTCTTTTTGCCATCACCTATTAGCACTGTGCTTTCTATAATAGATGCTTACTAAATATTTGTGAATACAAATTTAAATTCAGTTTATCAAATCTGTATCAAGTATTTATAACGTTCTAGGCACTGTGCTAATGGTTAGGGTTACAATAAGGAGGTAGTTCCTGTCCTCTTGGACACTATGCTACAGGTGGACAATAATGATGATGAGAGCCAGCCATCTTAAAAATAGCAGTGTCTTCAATTTTTATAGGTTTTTGTTTCTAAACATATATTAGCCCATTTATTGCTATGATGTTTGGCATACATTTACTTTTGAAAACTAGTGGCTATTTTTTAGTTTATTCCAAATGGAACAAGTTGGAAGAGATTATTGGTTAACCACAAGATTTTGAGGTTTGATTTCACGGGGTAGTAAATGATGAATTAATTCTTTAAGAAAAAGGTTTCTTTAAGTCTAAAAATAGTTCTTATAAGGTCATTGTTTCTCAACTAAGTTGGAAGATGTGCCAATTTATGCTATGCTCTAAGAATCTTTAACTTTCCTGCCATTTCATGAACTTAACTCTTTTGATAGCTCCAGGATTTAAGTCTTAAAGGCAGCTTAAAACAAAGCCCCGAGCACATTGCCCTTGTCTTTTCATGTGTACAACTGTCTGTCCCTAGGTCAGTGAACGATAGTTGTGAAGGTTCTTAGAGAGTGAACAGAGTTTCAGAGCTTTCTTGAGTAGGTGTCCTGAGTTCACCAGACTTGCTGTCATCTGGAACTGTTCTACTTATTTGGTTGTCAACAGCATCCTAGTGGAAAAGAGGATAATGCAACCATAGCTGCCACACAGCCCTCAGGAACTTTCCATCTTGCTATGTAGCTGAAAGTGTTGGTCTCTGTCTTCATTTGTCATGAGCCTCCCAACTCTGGAGATCAGTGGAAAGGCCATAAATGGAAAGAGCCAGCATTTAGTCAGTAAGGTGGCAGAGATGAGATGGTGTCTTTCAGAATTTTCTATTAAGCAGTTAGTCCTGTGTCATTACCAAGTAAGGATTAAAGAGGCCTATGAAAAGCCACAGACTAGCATCGTTTAAAGGATCCAAATGCAAACCATAGTTACAAATGTGCTTTTTGTCAAACATTAGGAAAGAAAATGTACGACACTACTAAGAAAATGGTGCAGAAGGCAGAGAAGACTCTTGGATTGGGAGGAAATTCCAGTTCAGTCTGGTTTATAGAAACTTCAACCACAAGCTCTTTTCAAAAGGATATCAGGATTCAAGCATTACATCATCTAAATAAATTCTCATTGGATGTTCAGTCCCTGACTGGCTGGAATCGGGTTCCCTTTATTTAACCCTTTCCCAGCCAAGACATAGCCTGTCCTAACTTTGAGAATGTATCTTTCCTGTTATTTGCAGCAGCATTTAGCATTTGAGCAGAACGCATGTGAAGAAAGTTGCTTTCTATAAACCCCCCACCTCAGTTTAAGTTTTTATACTTAGTATGTCAAAAAAGTTATTTCAAATGCTTTGTTGCTATGTAATTGCAAAAGCAGCATTACTGAGAGAAATGCTTCAATAAAGCCTTTGGAAAATAGAGAACGTCAAGCCATTATATGATTACGTTTCCTACACCCCAGTCCTCTTTCTCTTATAGTTACACTCCTACCCTCTGGTTCAACATTTTTGTCAGATTATGTGTTTTACCTGGTCATTATGGATGGATATTAAAATTACAGGCTTATAACTAAGCAACCATTTGCAAAAAATGAAGTAACATACCATGGCCACCAAAGAGACATGTAAGTGTTTTGGCTAAAGGGTGACAATTTTATTTGGGTATTTCACACTTTATTGAGGAAAGAGTGTTGATATAGTTAATGATTTCAAAAGTATACCACTCCGGAATCGTCCTGCAGTCTTCCTGTCTTTTCACTGGATGCATAAATGGAATCAGAGAGACACAGACAGTAATTGTGGGTCAGACTGATAAAATGACTCATAATAGCTTTGGAGTTGTGAAACTTAGGGCTGTTATCTTGAGTTCATATCACTTTCCCTCCCTTTTAAGAGTGTTATCGGAAATATCCATTTCTCAGTTAATAAATTAAAAATCCTCTCTATTTCAATCATTTTTGGTTTTTATAACATCCCTGGAGATAAATGGAGACAACCCCAGGTATTGCAAAACCAGAACAAGAATCACAGGTTTAGAGGCATGAAGAATTGTACAGGATGGAAGAACACAGGGAGGAGAACATGGGCATTCTGAGCTCACACCTGTTTGCGGGAGGGCTGGATGCTTAGATATAACTGTGCCAGCCAGGACAGAAGGGAGGAAGGAGCTGCATCTTGGATTTGTCAAACATGTGCTTACTCTCCCTCCTGGCTTCATTACTACACAAAAGATGATAAGACTTGACACCACCAGTCAGGATTTTGTCTTCAAAGATATCAAGAGGAGAGTGGGAGAGTGAAACCCCCAGGGCTGACCTTCAGAGGAGATGAGAAACTCAAAGAGTGAGTATGAAAGGGTAGAAAAATTAGAGTGGTTGGGGAGTATTAGCAGTTTCTTTACCTTTTCTGATACAGGGCCTCACACGTCAACTGATGCAGAATTGGCAGGGGGCTCAGGATGATACCGTGTTTAATACTGTAAAATTAAGTGTGTTTGAAAGAGCAAAGTTTATATATTCTTTACCTGGCTCAACAAAATTCCCTTGTCACCTCTGAAAACCATTTTCTAGAATGCAGGCTCCCTCTAGCCCAAAGCTTAAAATTATCAGTCATATTGAAAAGAAGAATGAAAACAAGTCCTCACACTGCTGTGTATTTGATTCTGGTTTAGAAATCCATTATCTTTAAAATATACCCATGTTGTCAGTCAGGTTCCTCAGGAAGAAGTTTCTGGGAGAGCACTGGGTAGTGAGTGCCCTCGCTTTGCAGGGAAGGAAGGGAACAGGACTCAGGAGAGCGAGAAGTCAAATAGTGATGCAGTTACAAAAAGCCTAGGCATCTTGTGGCCCTGCTCCTTTGGGGACCTCTGGAGCTGGGATAGCTCTGCAGAGTTGCCCTGTATTGGGGCTAGGGGATCACATTGACTCATCATGAGATGTGGGTGGCCCTAGGGGATGGGGTATCATCCTAGGTAAGGTGGCTATCTAAGGCAACTCCTAGAGAGCGACTCAGCTGAGCACTATGTATGGTCAACCCTTTTGGTGGCCGAGGGAATGAGTCTTAGTCTCAGTAGGGTGGATATGGGCAGCACACCACAGCATCCACTACAATGAAGATAAAGGGTCTCAGCAAAATTCTGGGATTATTCAAAATTATCTAAGATTATTAAAAACTCTAAGATTTTTCAGTCTTTTCAAAAATTGCCAAAGTAAGCCCAGGGTGCCAAATTGCCAGTGTAATCTCTGAGCCATTGAAGTTTTCTTTATCTTTGAAGATAAAGCAAATTGATATGTAGCACTCCATTGCATCTTTAAAGAAAACCTCAGTGGCCCAGAGAGATGGCATATTTCTTAGAAAATATAAGGAAAGGCTTTTGTTTGGAACCTTTCTACACATCAAATGAATAGCTTTTCCATAAAATAGATAGTAGTAAGAATACAGGGGCTCTTCTGGGTTTTGATCTGCAGGATGGTGTGGGACAGGGGTAGGGGTGTAGTGGCTCCATCACAATTTGCTTGGAAGAATGAAAGTGGTTGGCTTAGGCTTCACTACTCCAGCTTGAGTCCACATTCTTAGGGGATGAGCTAAAGGCTGCATTCTGGATCTTTCTGTGTAAGAAGTGGAGAAATCCGCTGCCAAGTATGGGAGCACTGGAGCCTTAAAATGGAATCCAAATACTGGTTGTGGATTTGGAACAGTGCCTTATATGGCATCATTGTTCAGAGCCACTTCAAGGAGTTAGGGTATCATTGTGGCATTGCCTACAATGCCACAATCAAGGGCTGTCTGAGATTCAGGAGATGAAGCAAGGAGATATCTGTGCCTAATGTTGAAGAAAAGCATTTTTATGTCTGTTAACATTTATGGTGTCCGATTGAGTGGGTTAGCAAAATAAAGACAGATGGCAACAGATTAATGTGAACACTTACAATACCTACAATATTGCGCCCACTCCAGCTGAAGCTCTCCAGCTCAACTTCCTCCACGACTCACAGTCAAATGTCACTTAGTGACCCCGAAGAGAAGAACAATTTATGATGGATCAGGAATCAGGATTAACCATACATTTATCATGGAATAAGGAATCAGAAACTTCATTTAATGTATAACTGTGATGTTTGTCTGGGGCTGGTGGATCATTACTTTGCAATCACTCCTTGTGTTAGGAAGCAGGAATTGATTAGCCCAGGGTCATTAAGTCCATCCCCTGCCTCCAGGCTGTACAGTTTGTGTAAATGGTTCCAGCTGGATGTGCCTTTATGCTATTCTTAAGGAGCTCCTGAAGAGGAAATTACAAGATGTCCCAGAGGGGCACATTGTGAGGGTCTCACAGCCTTAAGCGCCAAGAAGTTCTTTTCCATATTTGAGGAGCATTGGACCAGGGAGTCATGAAACCTGGGCTCCCCATCAATTCAGATATTTAGTAGTGGTTAAACCTCGGAGTAACTGTTCTTTGACTTGGTTTTCTTTTTCATATGTAAGATGAGAATAAAAGCATTTCTCTTGATACCCACATGAGACTGTTGGAAGGATCAAAGGAGACAGTGATATGTAGAGCACCATTGCATTTCTAAATTAGATTGCGATTTACCAACTTAAAGGTACAAATTGAGATCAATTAGATACAATTAAAGACCGATGAGGCCCAAGGAGAAGCAGAGTGATTAAGAGTGGAAAGCCTCAGTGCATTTAGATTGAGAGAACAGGTATAAGATGGAGTCTATCATGCTTAAGGTTGGACATTAGGTGCATTTGACTTGGTCATGTTCAAGCCTACTGTCTTCATCACAATGTGATACCAAAAGTTAAGTTATATAATATGGCTGTCTCAATTGTCATTGTTGGGTTTAAGTACTCCTTGGAATGATTTTTGCTTCTAGTTTAAGATGCTGTATGACCCAGAATGCACTATCCCATATTTGGCTGAATCCAATTACTAGTAAGATAGTGTGGGTGTTTTGGTGTTGAACCAGAAACCCATCCACTCATTGCACATGTGTTTCCATATCACATAATGAAAAATACATTGTAACTCCAAGCCTTTGATGAATGATGGTCAATTTTTTCCAACACTGGAATTTTTCTAATGCCTGATAAATGTCTTTCATAATTCACTGAAGCCTTTTGAGTACAAGAGAACATCCATTATAAAGCAGAGATATGAATTTTCCCTGGATATACCGTCTGACATGACCCACCTTTGCTTTGCTGGCATTTGAGTTGGGGCCGTTTTGTTGCTGCCCAGTGGGCTATGCTGCTGCAGTGGAAGAGTTGTGACCCTCTCTCCTTCGATACTTGGACACAATTTGTCCTGTCTCTTTCACCCTTGGAGAGCCTCACTGCTCGTCTGCATGATACCCGGTATCATTTTTATGATAAATGAAGGCCTTTCTTCAAGTACGGTATCTCTGCCCTGCTATGGTGTGGTAGTTTGGGGGAGGGGCGTAGGGGTCCTGGCAGAGGAGATATTCAAAAAACAACATAAAAATGCAAAAAACTCCTATACTGTCAATACAGTGTATGGGTGTTGTTTGTCAACTTTGACATGACCTATTGGGCAGGAAGTGTTGATAAAGAGGTTGTAAATGGAAGGAGCTGGAGAGTAAAGGCAATTTGGGAGCATGAATAAGGAGGCCCAGGCCAGATTCCAAGGCAAGGGTTTTAAGCAGTCATAGAACATATGAAATGTACTGGAGTAAGGGAACAAGAGCAATGCAAAGAGGAACAGGGAGCAAGGGAGAGCTGTCCTGGGAGGATAAGAGAAGGGTGTGCCGAAAGAGCATCTCAAGACTGAATTTTGTGTGGAGTGAGCTCTGCTTGCTCTCCTTCTAGAGATTAAAACAGCTACTATTTCACTCTGCCAAATCAAATTTTACTTTTTTTGAACTCAAGCCAAAAGCATTTGCTCATCCATTTACTCAACAAATGTTTATTGAGTGCTTACTATACGTCAGGTAATGTTCCATTGTGCTGGGCGTATAGCAGTAAACCAAACAGGCAAAGTTCCCTGCCCCACTGGGGCTTCCATTCCTATGATATGTCATGGCTCTGGGCTACCCATCACAGACAAATAAGCATCTATGCTCATTCTTCGGATCATGGCTACTACTCTGTTAAAAGCCAAAATTCTGAACCAACAAGACAATCCCTTCTCTGAAAAAGCTCATCATCCAATAAAGTGATTTATGCATGCACAATTAGTGATAAAAGGACAATATAGCACATGGGAAAAGATTTGAAAGAATGAGAATTACTCCCTCCTAATTTTGTTTGACCCCCTACTTTGAGCTCTTGCCCTTAAACCATATAATTATATAATGCCTAACAGATCACAAACTGCATTTGACATCTATTATCTGACTGCATTCCCTGAACAATTACTTATCTTAGATAAAACAGGCATTATTGTTTGCAAATTTGAGAATATAAATGCTCAAATGTGAATGGTACTTTTAAAAAAAATGCAGAATTCTGTATTTCCCTTTCCATTTCATGTCAGACCACATGCCCTGACTTTCCTAACCTCTCCTCGCCATTGGGAGACTAAACTATTGAGTGTAAGAGACTAGGTAAGCCAGTGGCAGTGAGCTGGCTCTGAGAGGTTACTAATCATGGCTAACCAAGTGGGTGCAAAGGGAAGTATGGTGTGGTGGGTGCTGGAGAGGCATTTTGTGCTGTAATTGGCCATGCATGCCCAATTTATGTGTAATGCAATGTGGGGAGGAGTGTTATAAGATATTAAACATTTCTAGTGAACATTTTTTTCCCCTCCACCTACGGACAACCTTTAATGTGCACAGATGTATGGCTTTTTCCTGTCAAGCAGATCCTACCAAAGGAAGGCTGAACAGTGAAAATGGAAGGCAGCCAGAAAGAAAGAGGGCAGGTTTCTTTGCAGTCCTCTTTTGGGAAGTTCTTTCTCCTTTCCCAAAATGCGGGGGCAGGAGGACTAGTTCTCCTCGGATGCTCTCAGGACAGATGCAAGAAATCACTGCAGTCCAAAATCAGGAAGACTGCTGAACAAAGACAGGTTTTCCCCAGCAATATGCGTTTAGAAGTTTGTCAGTCCTTTTTATCCTTACCATCATCCTGAGAGTCGGGGATAGGGTGAGGTACTGCTAGCCCCACTTTATAGACAAGAAAACTAAAACCGAGATCTTAAAAGAGTCTGCAGAGATTACAAATGAGTTACAAGTAAAGTGGAGATTTGAATTCAAGTGTCTTGACATTTAAGCCACAGGTTTCTTTTTCTATGCTACAGTTTTTCCCCCATGAATAAAAAGTGAAGAGGAATTGATGGTTAAATTAAACTTGGTAACTAGTTATATACATGTGTAAATTCAATTATTTGGAAGCCAGCATGAAGTTTACTCACAGTATTATTTTTGTTCTTCTCAACTAATTGTAGTTCTCCAAGTCTTAGGGTAACAGTTTTCAACCTTGCTGCACATCTGGAACTTCTCAAAAACATGGATGTGTGCGTATGTGCGTCCATGTACATGTGCATGTGCTTTTGTGTGTGTGTGTGTGTGGGTGGGTGTGTGTAGGAGGTTGCAATGGGTAACCAGGTTTGGAAACTACTATCAGGTTTGGTGCTTAAGCAGAGTTTAGCTTTAATGTATGGCTTGACCAGGTCTCCCCAAATGGTGTCCCAACAGTGATCAGGCTCTTAGCTTACCAAGGCCCGTATTTGGTTGGCATACATAGAACAACCTACCTCTAGTAGGCAGAATTTTGTAATGACCCTCAATGACCCATGTCCTGTATATTCCTCTCCCCTTTAGATCTGTGAATATGATGGTGATATAATCTCTTGATTGGTTTACATGAATAACAAAAGATCAGTGAATTTTGCAGACTCAACTAAAGCCTCCAATCAGTTGACTTCAATTTAATCAAAAGGAAAATTATTGTGAGTGGGTCTGACCTAGCTAAATGGGCCATTTAAAAGAGGATCTACAAGTCAGAGTCAGAAGAAGCAACAGAGATGTTGGCCTGTTAGCTGTGAATAAACAAACTACTATGTTGTGGATAGAGTCACACAGTTAGGAAGGGCAGGTGGCCTCTGGGAGCTGAAGTCTTCAGTCCTACAACCTCAAGAAATAGAATTTTACAGAATCAGTGAACTTGGAAAAAGACTCTGAGACCCAGATGAGAACAGATGACGTCTTGATTTCAGCCTGTGAGACACTGAGCAGAGAACCCGAATAGCCAGTGCCTGGACTCCTGACCCATGGGAACTGTGAGATAATAAAGTTGTGTTTTTTCTGGTCTCAAAGTTTGTAGTAATTTGTTACACAGCAGTTAAAAAAAAATCCAAATACATTACCAAAATCAAAATAAAGATCTTCTAGGACAATGGCTAATAAATTGCAAACATCTTGGAACTATTTCAGTGCTTTTTAAAAAAACGTCAAAATTCTAGGCAAAAAAGAACCACATGGTAAAAAAAGTCTGAAGGTTAGACATACTTGCATCCAAATCTTCACTCACTTCTAACCCACGTGTGTGTGTGTGTGTGTGTGTGTGTGTATGAAATATGGATAAGCAATATTTTATTAAAAAACACAATTTACATATCACTAAATTCATTCCTTTAAAATGTACAGTCAACTAATTTTTAGTATATTCACAAGGCTGTGTATCTATCATCACTATCTAGCTCCAGAATATTTTAATTCCCCCAAAGGAAGCTCTCAACCCCTTAGCAATCATTCTCCATTTCTCCTTCTTCCTAACCCTTGCAACCACGTATCTACTTTCTATCTCTATGATTTGCCTATTCTGGATAGTTAATATAAATGGAATCATAGAATATGTGGGGTTTTTTTTTGGTCTGCTTCTTTAATTTGGCCTAATGTTTTCAAGTTTCATTTATTATATAATAAACAAAATATGTTATACCTATTCTAGGAATATTATTTAGCCATAAAAAGGAATGAAGTACCTTTTGATTTATGGATTTCATCTTTTGGTTGTTAGGTACATATATGTTTGTATTATATCCTCTTGATAGATTGACACTTTCATTATTCTAAAATGTCCTTTGTCTATAGTAACCACTTCTAACTTAAAGTCAATTTTGACTGATATTGGTATAAGCCACTCCAACTCTCTCCCGTTTACTATTTGCATATTGTATTTTTTCTATGGTTTTACTTTCAATCTATCTTCATCTTTGAATCTAAATATGTCACTTGTAGACAGTATATAGTTGTCATTATAGTACTTTTGTTAAGATATGTATCAGCCTAGTGTACTGACGTAGAAGCCTGGCTCTCCTCAACATTTGTGCTTCCTCTTCTAGAGTATAGAGTTGTTGAAAGGAAGTTATTTTTCAGCAGAGACTGTATCTTCAGCTTCATCTCTCTTATATCTAAGGGATCATCTAATTGGTTTTCACCAATGTATTGTAAGCACTGTGTTGATGCTGAGTCAAAGAGGTTAAGAAATAAGTGTGCTTCTCTTTCTTCATTTCTCAGTTTGATGCAAAAGAGCACATTGATTTTGGGAGCCATGTGTTTGAACATAGTGAAGGTACAAGATGGAAGGAGTCTGGGAGCCTGGATGATACTTGGAAGAACATCTACTTTGGTGTTTTTGAGTGAGAAGTAAATTTTTGTTGTATTTTATCCATTAAGGCATTTTGTTAGAGCAGATAGGATCACCCTAATACAAAAGATGGTCTGATGAAAGCACTGGTACTACAGGATAAGACTAACATCTGCTCAATACATGATCCTCTATGTGGTAGTGACACTTTTGGTAAAATTATTTCCCTGAATCATGTGTATTTGAGGATCTCAGAGTAGGATCTCTACTGTATAGTCAGACAATCTGGGCATACATGGACCTGTCTATCTGGGCTGGTATAATGATCTGGTAAAACTCTTTTGGATAGCAGGGAGAATTCACAGCTGTCAGGTTGGGGCTGATGACTTGCTTCCCGAGGAGAAGACCCTCCCAAGAACAAATGGCTAGGCTTTAACTTCCTAGCTAATACGTTAGACTGAGGAACAATGGATTCCTTTTATGTAGGTCCAGGAAAGCTTCTCTAGGCCAAGGTCAGACTCTTAAAAGAGACTATGTTAAGATGGAAATATCTGGCTAGAGGATTGATGTCAGTTTTCACATCTGGAGAGTCATTCTGGGAGTCAGGAATGTCAGAGAAAGTTGAGAAAATGCTATGAGGTGGGAGCAGAGGACACTTGCAGTGATTTGGGACACATGTGAGACACACCAGGGACCCCTTGAATCAGAGAGATATGGGCTAGGGAGTCTCGAGATTTTTCCAGTGAGGGTTACGTAAGGGGCACCTCTTTTGTTGCTTTATTGTGACATACATTTCTGATTGAACCGTCAGGCTTTTGAAACCTGAGGAAATGTGGCCTATACATATGCTATGATGAGCTGGGTTATGCAGCTTATAGTGGAGGCAGAAAAAGATGCTGTGATTTGCGTCTATTCTTTGCTCATTCTCTTTCATTGTCTGAAGTCCACTTTTTCCCTAATTGTATGACCACTGGGACTAGAGACCCCATGGACGGAGTTCTGAGCAATCTAGGGGAATGCTGTAATAAGAAGCTGCTTCCTATTGATCTCCCCCTCCCAGTAAGCTCTGTATTTGGATTGCTTTGGATGTGGGGGGGAGTGGGGTGAGGGCAAACATCCAGGAACTTACATTTCCAAGAGCTTTGTGGCTTATACTCAGAAACTCAGTGAACTGATAATGATGGCAAGCAGAGGTTAAATCCCCATCTCATCATCAAACTGGGAAGAATAAAGGATTTGTATTCAGTCACACAATGTGGAATGAGGGCAGCTCTTAAAATGATTGCTTAGGGTGCTTTTTTCTCATAGCCTCTATCTGTATGTGATAAAATTTGCTCAAAAAGAAAATTTTGACTAGATATATAATAAATGAGAAATGCCCTTGGGAAAAGGGAAACACCTGTTTTTCCCGCACTCTGTTCAATTCCTACCAGTTAATTCCTCAGGAATATTTAGGTGGCAGACATCAACAATACAGCACCCTGCCTTCCCTAGCCCCTCCCCAACACAAGTCCCTTTGGCATTTTAAATTAAGAGTTATTTTTTCTTCTTTAGCAGACCAGTTTGCCTTTATACTGCCTCCATGGGGCCATGGGAGTACCCTGTCCCTGAATGTACACAAACCCATTTGGAAAACCTGATGTGGAAATGATCCATACAAACAAGAGAATGCCTTTGCTTTTGACCATACATGGATCTTGGCACTGTGTGTGGGGAATTTTCCTGGGCTGTTACACAGCCTCTGCCCTGTGCCCTTGGTGGGGAGGCGGCTGTGCTTTCTTTAGCATGGGTGCTTTTAGAGGGTGACCGCTCAAAAACCTCAGATACTTTCCCCTCACAACAGAAGGGGCCTGCCCCGGGATTTCAGCCAGCACAGAAATGACCCAAAGGGAGATGTTTCTGAACATTCTCTTCCTTGAAATCCATTTCTATTCCTCACCATAGCTTTGCAAGAACTTCTTTTACGACAGCCTCCTGCAGAAGTTTAAAACATTTTCTTTTCCACTTAATTTACTTTCCAATGTCTTACTCATACTTGGCTTCTGTCTTTATTTTACTTCTTTGAGAGTTGAAGGTACTAATATTATTTAATAGCCATATATACACCTTCCCACACAGGGGCTACATCCTTGTTATATTACAAGCCCGCAGCTCCTCATTTTATTCCTCGAAATCAAGAGGAAAACCCCCAACAGAGCGTGCTAGATAATTAGCTTGACTACTGTTTGCTGCAGAACACATTTTTGGTTGGCTTTGGCCTTCAGGCCTCAGTGGAGGGGGCAGTCAGAATGACGGCAGCCTGCTGCAGCCAGATCCAGCTACCTCACCACAGCCCGTAATTGTTTATGAATTAAGCTTTTGCCAAACAAATCTACACGTTGTCTAAACCTTCCATCCCCAGGGTGCATTCCAGCCCACCCACGAAAGCGCAGCGTGGGGCTGCACTTTGAAACGTCTTATTCCATCCTTGACAGAGTTGGTTGGGATTCAAACTTTTTGGTTTTTATCTTTATTGGCAGCATCAGCTAAATCTGGGATTGTTTCTGATCGCCTTTAAATGGTGGCACAGGTGTCACATGTCAAAACTGAGTTCACATCTCTTTACGCCATAACCTATCCCCTGAGAACGGTGTCCCTTTCTGCTCCACAGCTAGTCCCCCGCCCTGCAAGACAGGAAAGCCCTAGTGGAAAGTCCTCCCTCACACACAGTGGATAGAGTAATCCAGCAGGAATAAGCCAACAGTTGCTGCTTGGTATTTGAACATCATTTAATGAGTGCCTAGAATTCATCTGTAAATGCACATTGTTAATTTAGGGCCTGCTCTTCATTAATTAGGGGTTTAGTGGCAAGTGCCATTGAGCTATCTGCAATGTTTAAGGTTACATCAAGCCCTAGTAAACGGCTTGCTGATAACAAGATGCATCCATCTTCATTACTCGGCCACTCCTGTCTGACTTTGCTCAGCATCTTCGAAGGGCTATGCCTCTTGGAACTGAAGAATTAAACTTTTATCCAAACCAGACTCTGCTCTTTCACCTCTTCTGATTCCTTGAGTACTTCCCATTTATTCTGCCTAAATGACATCTGATTACCTAACATGGAGTGGAGCAGGGTCTTAACCTAAAGCAGTCTGCAGATCTCAGTTCTCAGCTGGAAAGTTCCAGCGGGTTAACGCTAAGGAAGCCCTCACATTTCCATTTCATCTGATACTGGGCTCAGTGTAAAAGAAATAGTTTCGAATTTTTCTTCTCATAAGGTTGCAGTTCCAATACAATTTTTTTCTTAAGCCAGAGAAGTACAGGAAATTAATTTTAAACCTGAAGAATAAATGTCCCTATTGGTTCGAGTTTACTTCTGCAGCGTTTCTCTCTCTCAAAGTATGTATTATTTGAGGCAATCATGGTGCCAAATGAAATAATTCCAACCACCTAAAGAGCCTTACATGTTGAGTCTCAGCTGTACAAACGTAGTCATGTTGGAGGTACACACTCAGTCACCAGAGGGGCTCCAAACCTGGACTCCTTTTCCATTTCTAGGCCCGCAGTTGAAGCAGGCAGTGAGAACCAACATTTAGAGGGAACTGCTCTTAAAGAAAATTGTGTAAGTGCAAGTTTGTTTATCCTTCAAATGCTGGGTTAGAGGACTTGCATAAAAACTTCCATTGACAGAGGGTCTCTGTAAGTAGCTGATTCCAAGAAAGGAGACAGCTACCTGGCATGGCTGTTTAACACATTAGGGTGCTTGCAGGGAGAGCCTACTGCTCCCCTGAACCATGGTTCAATTTTAAGCATCACTGACTAGGATGGGTTATTGTAACTATGTTGAGAACTGAGCTTGGAGAGCCTGATGCTCAGTGTATGTGAGGGAGAGGGGAGGAGGAGGAGGAGCTGCCTACTGGAATGATAGCCCAAGGGAGGGTATCTGAAAACCTTTGCACCACTGAGCTGGCACACTTATCACAGGGTGACAGTCTATACCAGGGGCCTGCAGTGCATTGCTGTTTGTGGTGCATGCTGCCAACTGGCTTAGAAAATGCAGATTCCCCTCTCAGATAGAGAGAGTAGGAGGCAAAATGTCAGTTGACTGACATTCTCAACAATAAGTCTTTCTCCGCTCAGCATGCTGGAGTGTGGATCTGTGGATCCCAGCCTGGTCGGCTGGGCTGGAGTAGGAGGTAGCTCTTCCCAGAGAAGGCTCCCCTCTCTGTTGTTACCATGAGCCCACCAGGGGCTAGCATTCAGCTGGCAGGCCCCCATCACTTCTCACAGGTTAGCAACAATGCCATCTTGTTTTCTCTCCTTTCAGTTTTTGTAATTAAATTCCACAAACACTAAGGTTAAAAAAAAAAAAACATGAGTTGTATCTGCAGAGCATCTTCTTGTTATACATCTTACTAAACACAAAATAGAGACTATGGTGAGAAAAAAAGCAAAGCAAACAAACGGCTTGGTTTATAATGTTTAGTCATGAAGTTACCCACATTATATGTGATTGAAAGAGACGATCTTAAGCCGAGGATTTCTTAATTTACCAGAATGATGCGCTGGACACTTGAAGTAAGAGCCCTTTGAAGCTGACGTGCTGCAGGATAAAACACACTCTTTCTCTGGAAAAGAGAAAGCCAAGATACTGTGGGGGCACAAGGAACAATGGAGCCAATGAAACGGAGGTCAGAGCTGAAGGTTTCTGCTACAAGCAAGCTATATACAGGTATTTTAATTTTTTTTCATTCAGCCAGAAATTCTGCTGTACGACCCAGAGCACTGCATGCAGACTGAGAGTCAGAAAAGCACTCAATTGTTCAATTTTTATCATTCAATATTATATTAAAAATTTTTAGGCTCTTCGGGTCAAGGCGACTTTTAAAAGGTTAAAAGCTATTCAAAAGGGTTACCATATCCATAAAAGCAAATGAGATTAAGCCTAAAGACTGATGGAGAAAAAACAGTAATTTAGATAAACTGCCACCGCCTCAAAAATGTTTTGACTTTTACCAGGGAAAGGGAATTCAAAGATTCTTGGATTGGTTGTCATATTAAAGAAAGATTCATTAAATGTGAAGCAATTATTTTAGTGCCTTTTATTGTTTGGTGTGTTTTAGACTGGGTTCCACCTTTCTTCTGTTACATTCTTTATAATGGTTTGGGAGGTGTAATTGCATGGCTTCAACGTCCATCTGTCAACTATTGACCTCACTGGTTGTACATCTGTAACATCAGACACTGTTGTCATGGAAAGAATTACGATGTTTCAATCCAATGTACTGCAAAGTTAGCAAACCCATAACATGGTCGGGATCACATGGAAGGGTTTAGAAAATCTGTTTCAGAGGGCTCAGAGAAAAGTGAATAGGATATTCCCCATTAACTCTTATCTCCACTACTTACCATTGTTGAGAAAGTTATTCCATGACAACAGAAGACCTCAATTTGAACCTTGAACACTTCTGAAGAGAGTACTCCAAACCAAAATGTTGGGGTTCAGTAACTGAGACAAAAACCATTACATGCTTTCAATATGAAGTTACATTTGTATCATTGATTGACTTGGTGGAAACTATGGAATGTCTGTCCTTATGGGGCGTCTTTAATTTTTGCTCAAAGTACTTAAAAGTGTGCTTTAGTCTGGCTTTTGTCCTGATCTCAAAAAACTGAACCTGCTAGAAAGCAGGTCTCTTAGAGCTGGTAGACCAGCCAGAGGAGATTACAGCAATCAGAGTTAGGTGATATTTGCTCAAAAGTCTATGGATATAGAATAACAAATTTTCTCAACATAAAAGTGAAAAGTCGATATAAAAATTTAATTTGATCTGCTGAGAAAAGTTGGTCTGGCCTGATAAAATTAAATGGATAGAAATAATATTTTGGAGACTTAAATTTTATTTTCATTGTCTTGCGACTGAACAAATAAGTACTCTAAGTAAGAAGAAGGGCTAAAATTCCCATTTCATGAGAAATATTCTCTAACAAAGAGTTTTTGGGCTACATATTTTTCACTTTCATAAATTCTAAAAGGAGAATAGTTGATGTGGACATTAAAATAATTGGCTTTCTTGGATCACAAAATGACAAAGCAAAGCTGATCTATCTAAGAGTTTAAAAAGCAATGTGGTTGGCCCTGCCTGAAGAAAATGTACTATGTGAAACCAAAAATTTACAGATGAATAAACTAAGGGATGATTATTCATACTGTAAAAGAGTCTTTAAAGAATTCCCCTAGGATTCTTTTAAAGGCTGAGTTCCACTAGTTCATGAAAGTGTTTGTATGCAGATCATTAACTATTTGACAGGCAGACTGGAAATGCAGGTAGCGAGAACCAAGGGGGAAGGGAGTTCAAGTGGCAGAGGAATAACTGACACCTGAGGATCATCAAATCTCTAAATAAACATTGATAAAACAATCATGAAAGTCAAAGCAAAAAATAGGATATTTACTTACAAGACATGCTTTATATACTAGAGCTGTTGGAGGCACACTATTTGGGTTCAAATGCTAGCACTGCCACCTGTTTAGCTGTATGACCTTGGATAGGTTACACAAGCTCTCTGAATACCAACCTTCTGTGTCTGGAATTGGTGGGTTCTTGGTCTCACTGATTCAAGAATGAAGCCGCGGACCCTGGCGGTGAGTGTTACAGTTCTTAGAGATGGTGTGTCCGGGGTTTGTTCCTTCAGGTGTTCAGATGTGTCCGGAGTTTCTTCCTTCTGGTGGGTTTGCGGTTTCGCTGACTTCAAGAGTGAAGCTGCAGACCTTCGCGTTGAGTGTTACAGCTCTTAAAGGCCGCGCGTCTGGAGTTGTTCGTTCCTCCTGATGAGTTCGTGGTCTCCCTGGCTTCAGGTGTAAAGCTGCAGACCTTCGCGGTGAGTGTTACAGCTCATAAAGGTGGTGCAGACCCAAAAAGTGAGCAGCAGCAAGATTTACTGCAAAGAGCAAAGCACAAAGAGTCCACAGCATGGAAATGGATCCCAGCAGTTTGCCGCTCCTGGCTTGGGAGGCCTGCTTTCGTTCCCTTATCTGGCCCCACCCACATCCTACTGCTTGGTCCATTTTATAGAGAGCTGATTGGTCCATTTTACAGAGAGCTGATTGGTCCGTTTTACAGAGAGCTGATGGGTCCGTTTTGACAAAGCACTGATTGGTGCGTTTACAAACCTTCAGCTAGACAGAAACGTTCTTCAGGTCCTCACCTGACCCAGAAGCCTAGCCGGCTTCACTTCTCAATGGCAGTCGCTATAGGACTTTGCAGCACCTAGCCCAGGCACTCTGGCAGCCCAGAGGGAACTCATCTCCTGATCAAGCCCAGCAGGCACCGGCTGGCTGCGCTGAGCGCGGGGCCTTCTGAGCCCGGCCCACCCGAACCCGCGCAGGCCCCTGAGTGCCGCTTGCGGCCCTGGCTCCCAGACGTTCCTCTCCCTCCACACCTCCCCGTGAGCAGAGGGAGCCGGCTCCTGCCTCGGCCAGCCCCAGAGAGGGGCCCCCACAGCGCAGCAGCGGGTTGAAGGGCTCCTCAAGCGCGTCCAGAGCCATTGGACTCTGAGGCCGAGAAGGCGCCGAGAGCGAGTGAGGGCTGCTAGCACGTTGTCACCTCCCACTTCTAGGTTGTATAAGGATTACATGAGTCAATATATATAAAACATTTGAACAGTGGTCTGGCACATAGTAATTGCTACACACGTTTCTAAGGTGATTCTGGACAAGCTATTACAAAATATCTGTTCTTTACCAAAGTAGAGCTTATTAGCACAATCATGAGACTGGATATAATTTCACAACATCAAAATAATTTCTAGCCCCAAAAGAAAAAACAAACCAAAAACACTGAGAAATAAATTCTGCTTTCTCATTGAGTTTCTAAGGAAGTCAATCTGAAGTTTAACTTTCTTTAAAATTATTGTTCTAACTTCAGTTTTCTAGGAGTTTGACAAAATTTTTAAGTTTGAGAAGTACATAGAGGCAGTCAGCAATCTAGTATCTGTTAATTTTTCTATGTTAAAAGGCTTCGATTCACCTATTATTACATTTGTCATCTTAAGAACAATAGTGCACGGGTTGAAATAAAACATTCTTATTTGTGGGAAAGAAAACCTTTTGCTTGGTTAATTTTACTTGGTTCACACAAGAATGGACACGTTCTTTGTATTCTACTCAATGTCACTACTTATATGTAGCTTTCAGCTTGAAAGGACATTAATTGATGTTTTCCAAAGGAACAACCGGTTACAAGGTGTCCACATTTGCTCTCTTAGTCTGATGAAATGGTTGCATAAAACAGGTTGCCAAACCAGAAATATCAAAAATGGGCATGAAGGTAGGGGTGTGTGTGCAGCGAGTATGGCACTAGGAAGCTGAGCTGGGTGAACAGGAGGAAGCTCACAGGCTTGCTGTGGCTGAGGGAGCCCGCTCTGGGATCCTGCAGTCCACAGTTGGCTATATCATGTTCAGTCCTGACATGGCACACGAGAAGGCCCAGACTGTTGTAAGGGCCAGAAATGACACTTTTTAAAGATTATAAACGGTCTCCTAATTACTCAATGGATTCTTCCTTTGTGTTCCCTGAAACTCCTCTTCCACTCAGAACAAGTTTCCTTATCTGGCCAGCCCTCTTCTTGTGTCATAAGACCCTCAACTATGGCACACGCTAGCCCATATCTTGGTTGGATACAGGTTAAATGAAAATATGCTTTCTGCTTCTCACACTTAGTTTATGTGAGTGAAAGCTGATAGAAATGCGTAAGTAAATAGTTTTTAAGTGCAGGAGATCAAATTACCTCCTTCACAACTTGAAGTTCTTGACAGCTCTGGCAATACTATGCTTTTTTCAAATGTTAAAGTGGGGTGATCTTTACCTACTCTCACAGCAGATTGCCAAATTGTCAGCTTTCAGTGTATTATTTTTTTGAAAAAAAATTAAGTGATTTGATTCATTTTGAGGGAAAATTTCTCAAGTTCAGAAAACTTAAAACCATGAAATTCTATAAATGCTTTTATTTCTGACTTGAGTTATATAGAATAAGGGACAGAACTTCGTTTAAGTGGGAGCTAATTTAGTTGCCTTTAGTTAAACAACTGTCTCTTACTGCAATGGTCCCCAACCCCAGGCCATGGATGGGTACCTATCAGAAACCAGGCTGCAGAGCAGGAGATGAGTGGCCAGCAAGCCAGCGATGCTTCATGTGTAGTTACAGCCACTGCCCATCACTCACATTACTGCCTGAGCTCCGCCTCCTGTCAGACCAGCCACAGCATTACATTCTCAAAGGAGCACAAACCCTATTGTGAACTGCACAGGTGAGGGTTCTAGGTTGTGTGCTCCTTATGAGAATCTAATGCCTGATGATCTGCCACTGTCTCCCATCACCCTCAGAAGGGACTGTTTAGTTGCACGAAAACAAGCTCAGGGCTCCCACTGATTCTACTTTATGATGAGTTGTATAATTATTTCATTATATATTACAATGTAATAATAATAGAAATAAAGTGCACAATCAATGTAATGTGCTTGAATCATCCCAAAACCATCCTCCCTGCCCCTGGGTCTGAGGAAAAATTGTCTTCCATGAAACCGGTCCCTGGTGCCAAAAAGGTCAGGGACCACTTTCTTACTGTGTATTCCCTTTTTGTCCAATGGCTGTTATATGTTAGTACCAAAAAAGCAGATTTTGTTACACTTGCATACAAATCTCCCAAAGCAATCTGTCAGGCTTATGTTCCCCTGTTATATTTTCTCATGATACATTTAACCTTCCCAACACTTGACACAAGTATAACTGAACAATTTATTTACATAATTATTTGTTTAATGTTTGTCTTTATAGATAGACAATAAGCTCTCTCATGATAGGAGCATGTCTGTCTGATTCAATATAGACCAAGGATCACACAAATAGTAGGTGCTCATAAAATTTATTTAATAAAAAACAGACACTAGTAAATATTTTGTGCTTATTCCACTTCATGTTAATTAAGTATCTACATCATGTAAGTCCCACTGAAATTCTTTTTTATTTAAAAATTTTAACTTTTTTTCAATTTTATTTATTTTGTATTGCTACATATTATATGTATATATTTTTAGGGTACATGTGATAACTTGATCCATTCAAAAATCAAATTAGGGTAACTGGGATACCCATCACCTTAAACATTTATCTTTTCTTTAAGCTAGGTACATTCAAATTATTTTCTTCTAGGTATTTTGGAATGTACAATTGATTAATGTTAACTGTAGTCACCCTACCAATTTATTGAACATTACATCTCATTTCTTTTATCTAAGTGTATATTTGTACCCATTAATCAACCTCTCTTCATCCCCCTCTGTCCCCTACTGTTCCCAACCTCTAACCAATATGTATCCGTTAAAATATTCAAACGTGTATAGAAGGGGAATGAATGAAAAGTAAAATTTATCTTTACTGCCTCCTACTGATCTGTAAAGATTTCCAAAGATAATGATTTTAACTGCTTCTTTTTTTAGCATTCTGACATTTACCATCCTATCTCTAAATCGTATGTTGTATTCTTGATTTTCTTAAGATTTGAGATCATATCTGTTGATTTCCAAACAAAAGGTAAGTTTTATGTACTTATACTCTTGCCTTTCTTCTCATTTCCCTTCCAAGTTCTGATTTTTTTGTTGGTTATTTTTGGAGGTAGTGTGTTAGTTTTTATATTGGCTCTCTTTATCACTTAATATTATCCTTAACCTATGTTTTTCAATCACCAGTTTTAGACTGCCTCTATTTTCGCCATACTAGGTGAGCTGAGAAAATCAGCTCACCTAACCTTTCTTTCTTTTCTTCTTTCCCCCTGCTGACTTTTGTCAGTGGAATCGTTATATTTTTACATTTTTTTAAGTTTAAAGCAACTTACATGTAAACAGAATTATAATAATTTACACTTACATATTGATATTTTTATATTTGTGTCACTTATAGTTTGGTTTGAAAGTATAAAAAAGTCTTTCACATATTGTCTATAGGTTGATTTAAAAACATAAAAATCTGAAATATGTAAAAATTATAATGATATAAATATTACTCTCTGTAAAACCATGTCGTATGATTAGGCACATGGAGAAAGCAGTATAATTTCATATCATTCCAAACACCAACTAAAAAGGATTTATATATATATGTTTACATAATATGCTGTCTTTATAATATTTATGTATATTACAACAATTGCTCAAAATGTCATATTTTACTTTCCTTTATATTTCACCATGAATTTATTTTACATCCATTTTCTCATGTACATTACCATCCTCAATATCCTTAACTCACCTCCAATTAATATAAAAAGATTTTTTTTTATAAAGTCCTCTAGTCTCCTTCTAATTTGTCCTCATTACTTTCTTGATGTACTGTTCATTCTGAGATTTCTTTCATTGTACCTCTGGGTCAGGTTACACTGTCTTTGTATTCCTTTTCTTCTTCTTGGTTATTTTTTCATATTGCTGGAGTATATCTTCAAAATATTTTCTTTAGAAAAGGGATGAGAAGTAAACTTTCTAAGTTCTTTCATGTCTGAAAATGCCTTTATTTTTTCGCTTAAATTTTGTCTACAACTGCACTTCATATAGAATTATATGTTTAACATTGCTTTATAGTCTTTTTGTATATCGTGTTGTGTGTTGTTCATAGGACATTTGTGTTAATCTGATGCTCATTTCTTTTTGGTTAATCACTTTTTTTCCCTCTCTGAACTTTTTTTTTTTTTTTTTGAGACGGAATCTCACTCTGTCACCCCCAGGCTGGAGTGCGGTGGCACAATCTCGGCTCACTGCAAGCTCCACCTCCCAGGTTCATGCCATTCTCCTGCGTCAGCCTCCCGAGTACCTGGGACTACAGGTGCCCGCCACCACGCTTGGCTAATTTTTTTGTATTTTTAGTAAAGACGGGGTTTCACCATGTTAGCCAGGATGGTCTTGATCTCCTGACCTCACGATCTGCCCGCCTCAGCCTCCCAAAGTGCTGGGATTACAGGTGTGAGCCACCGCACCCGGCCCCCATCTGAAAGTTTTTACAATTTTTCTCTTCATGCTTGCTGTTCTGAAATTTTACAATGATGTATTTAGTGCATATATTTTCCACTGAACATTTGGTGGGATTTGTCAATAACTGAATTTATATTTTTTCCAGCTGATGGAAAATTTAAGCTATTTTCTTTTATTATTTCTTTGATTATTTCAACTCTTTTATTGTTTACATTGTCTCATTCTAAAACACCTCTACAGATAGGTATAGGATATTCTGGATCTGCGCTCTAGATCATTGCTTTTCAAATTTTAATGCATTAAAAAATAGAAACTCTTTTTTATTTCTAAGAACTCATAGCAGCCTCTTTTTAAATTATAAATACAATATATTCTTGAATTTCTGAGGACACTAATTAGGATTTTTAATGTTTTATTTTATTCCTTGCATTATTACTGATTCTTCTGGGGTCAGTTTTTCTATTTATTCACTTTTGTCTTTCTTTTTCTTCTACTTGGTTCCCCTTAAACATCTGGTCTTGGCTGACTACTAATTTTTGTGCATAAAGGACTACATTCATCAATGTAGAGGGCTGGCATGGGTAATTTTTGAAGTTAAACAGACCATTTCACCCAAAAGGCCACTGCCCTGAATGGAAGGACTGCCAAGCCCTGTGTCAAAGGGTGAAACTTATTGATAAGTGGCTTTTTTATTTTATTTTATTTATTTATTTTGAGATGGAGTCTCATTCTGTCGCCCAGGCTGGAGTGCAGTGGCACGATCTCGGCTCACTGCAAGCTCTGCCTTCCAGGTTCACACCATTCTCCTGCCTCAGCCTCCCAAGTAGCTGGGACTACAAGTGCCTGCCACCACACCTGGCTAATTTTTTTTTGTATTTTTAGTAGAGACAGGGTTTCACCATGTTAGCCAGGATGGTCTTGACCTCCTGACCTCATGATCCACCCGCCTTGGCCTCCCAAAGTGCTGGGATTACAGGCATAAGCCACCACACCCGGCCAATAAGTGGCTTTTTATTTTTAGTATATGAACAGGCCTGGGGCACAACAAGTGTCAAATAAGTAAAATGCTTCATACATGAAGGAAGAAGACAAGCTACCTAAGTCCAGATTTCTGAAGATGATCTTCCAGTTACAAACCCTTATGGCTGCCCCTTAGCCACTCCTGTCTGTATGTGCTTGGAGACTCACCAGAGATCTTTTAAGGAAAATGATTCCTAACTCCACTATATCTTTTTTGGGTTGTAATTTACTCTACTAGAGTTTATTTAGCAATATAATCCAATCTGTCTCCTGTCTTCCAAGACTTCATCAAACTTTCTGGCCTGCTAATATCACCTTCTTTCCCCTCCCTTTTTTTGGTTTTGTTTCAAGTCCTGCTAAGGATTTATTTATTCATTTTCATACAGATATTGTCATTTCGATGAGTGTTTAGAAATGAAGAAGAGGCAACTGCAGGTCTGTCCACCATCTCAAACTAGGAAACTATATAGCTATCTTAGAATTGCTCTACATTGTTATCCGAACTTGGGTAAAACTCTTCTGGCTGCTCACAAATAGACCTAACTGTAAATAGGTAAATTCCCATATAATTTCCCCCAGACCTTGATAATTATTCTTCACGGATCAAGTAGGATTTAATAGTGTTAAGGGCTTTGGATAATTCTAAATTGTTCCCTGAGCCTCTTGGCAGTTTCATATGTGTATAGAAGAGTGTGATAACAAAACAAAGTAACTATAGAGATGTACATAAAAGAAGAAGGCTAAAACAAAAACTAAAGTTAAAGCAGAATTTGAAGCAACTTGGAATTTACTTTGGGGTGTTACATATTTTTATGCTAGTTGGGCTTGACCAACTCTATCTTGGATTTGCCAAGAAAATAATTGATGTGATCATGGAGCCAAGAATGATAACGTGAAGATCTGTGGAGGATTGGCAGGACCCCAGATCACTGGGAAAAAGCCAAAGGAGTACCTATTTTTAAAAGGCAATAAAAAGTTGCTTGAGAATAAATGACCTTTTACATAGACAAAAAGCAGTGCATACTGATTAACTCAAATAAGCTTTAGACAGTCTTATAGAGTAATGGCAGTAATGAGTAGAGGAAAAATATATTCATATATTGTATCAACATAACATTAAATATCCAAAACTGAATAAAAGTTTTTAAATGAAAAAATATTTATTTATTATCACCATTTTATTAGGATTTTAATTTGTATCTTGTTAAGCATATAGATAATTTAAGACATCTGGATTTCGGCCACATTTCTTCATTTTTGTCCAAATTATATGTTGTCATTTAGATGCTTCTAATAACACAGAAATGTGATGTTAAATTGAAAATTTTGAGTCATTGTTCAGATGCCAATTTCTTTCTTGATATGTATGCAGGATATACGTTAAAAATTTGCATATATGACTGAAACCTGGTGGTGGCTGTCTTACTCTAGAATTTAAAATTAAATTTAAAATAAATTCAATAGACTAAGTAATTGTTCTAAAATCAAATCAAATAAAATGGAACACGTGCTGATATAAGATGTTTTAATTAAGAAGGAAAAAAGTATGTCCATAAATTAGAAGTTGGGAAGAACTATTAGGTAATCAGAAGTCTCTCAGAGTCCCTAAGCATTATTATCCACTGACTCAATAATTTTTGATGGGATCTTTCACACCTATGCTGATCTTTATATATAAAGCTTTCACTTCTGGGATCTACTTTTGTTTTTTTTTTTTTTGAAACAGAGTCTTCCTCTGTTGCCCAGACTAGAGTGTAGTGGTGTAATCTTGACTCACCACAACCTCTGCCTCCCGGATTCAAGAGATTCTCCTGCCTCAGCCTCCTGAGTAGCTGGGATTACAGGTGTCTGCCACCACGCCGGGCTAATTTTTGGATTTTTAGTAGAGACGGGGTTTCACCATCTTGGCCAGGCTGGTCTCGAACTCCTGACCTCGTGATCCACCTACCTCGGCCTCCCAAAGTGCTGGGATTATAGGCATGAGCCACCATGCCTGGTCAGGATCCACTTCTTTTTCCATCCTTATCTTGAAAATTATCTACTCATCCTTCAAGTCTGAACCCTGTGAAAACTTCCTTGCCTCATATTTTGAGTTAATTTCTCTGTGTTCTTGTTTCTTTGGTATTTTATACACTCAGGTGCAACCCACATTTATTGTACACCTATTACTTACCAGGTACTGCACCAAGAAATGATAACTATATGGTAGGGGCACAACCTCACTGTGATGACCCTTATTTAACCAGTTGAGGAAGCCCAAGTCCCAAGAAAGTACATGAATTGCCCAAAGTTACACAACTAGCAAGTAGCAAATACAGATACAGATTTACATTACATAATTATTTATAGTTCTTTCTCCATCACTGGTCTTTAAATCCTTCAAAGGGAGAAAAATATCTTATTCATCCCTTGATCCTAGTAGCTGCACAGTGCCTGGCACATGGTCGAAACATATTTGCTGAACAAATAAATTAATGAATAAACAATGTAGTGAACTTGCATTAAAGGCAAGCTGCACTCCAGTAAAGTGTAAATAATTTACTTTTCTCATTTCTTAAAAAGTTGGCATTCAGTAGATATTCATTAACATTCCCATCTCTATGCTTTACCAGATTTTGATTTTGGTAGAAGCATAATGAGTGGTGATGAAAATATGGACAATAAAAACAGTTAAAAGAACTAGGTATGCTTAAGGTAGAAGCACCATGCTGATGGTTTGGTTCAAGCCCCAAACAATGTTGAAAAATAATCAGTTCATTTTTTATTAGAGATGTGTTTATATTTAATGTGTATAAGGCACTTCATCAGTCATCATGGGAGTAGTAAAGTGTATACACACAGCCCCTTACTTCAAGTTCCTAACTTCTGTATAAGACAGCATATAAGAGATATGTGTTCATAATGACAAGATAAGTTACACTGTTTCATGACTCCAGTGCAACTGGAAACTGAGGAAAGTTTCTATAAAGTGTTTAGACATAAGATAAGCCTTAGACAGAGCCTATTAAGTAGTAGGTGCATAATGTTTGTTAAATGTTTAATGGCATTTTGAATGTTGAAGTTTAGGGAATGCTGTGGTTTGAAAGCATCCCCCAAATTTTATGTGCTGGAAATTTAATCCTCAAATTCATGTGTTGGCATTTGGAAGTGGGGCCTTTCAGAGATATTTAGGATTAGATAAGGTCATCAGGATGGGGACCCTATAATGAGACCAGTGACTTTATAAGAAGAAGAAGAGAGACCTGAGCTGGTACACTCTTGCTCTCACCAAATGATGCCTTCTTCTATGTTACAGTTCAGCAAGAAGGCTGTCAGCAGATACCAGTGCTGTGATCATGGACTTCCCAGCCTCCGGAATCATGGGAGAAATAAACTTCTATTCTTTATAAATTACCTAGTCTCAGGTATTCTTGGATAGTAACAGAAAACAGACTAAAATAGTACATTGGTACTAAGAGGTAGGTCTATGGCTAATAATGAATATATGAGCTTTAGAACTGGATAATGGATACAAACTGGAACAGGTTTGTTGAATGCTGGAAAATAAAAAAAGCCTTTATTGCCATAAATGGAGAATTAAGGGCAATTCCGGTGGAGGGCTTAGAAGAAGACTAAGGAAAAGTCTGGAGCTTTTCAGAGATTACCTAAGTGGTCATGACCAGTATCTTAATAGAAATGTAAACAGTAAAGACCATTCTGATAATGTCTCAAATGGAACTGAGGCACAAGATACCAGAAAATGAAATAAAGACCACCTTTGTTGTAAAGTTGCAAAACATTGCTACATTGTGTGCATGCCCTAGGATTTTGTGGAATGCAGAATTTAAGAGCAATGAACTAGAATATCTGCTGGAAAAAATTTCTAAGTAGCAAAGCATTCAGGCTTCTGCATGGCTACTTCTAACTGCTTACAGTGAAATAAGAGAGCAAAGAGATGACTGAAAGATAGAATATATAATTAAAAGGGAAACAAAGTGGAAAGACTTGGAAAATTATCAGCCTTGCTGTGTGGCAGAGAATGAAAGGGCATTTTCAGGAGACGAAACCAAAGGTGTGCTCCAGTGACCATTTGCTAAGGAGATTAGATAGAAAGGATAATCAAGACAATGGGAGAAAAACCCTGAAGGCATTTCAGAGATCCTTGAGACTGCCCCTTCCATCACATGCCCAGAGCCCTAGGAAGGGAGAATGATTTTGGAGAACAGGCTGCTTCCCAGGGCCACATCAGGACTATGCTCCCCACACACATTTGGGCACAGTACTTTTAGCTGCCCCAGTTGTGGCTCAATGGCTCTAGGTGTGGCTCAACCTGCTGCTCCAGGAGACACAAGCCATAAGCCTTCGTGGCATCCATGTGGTGCCAGTTCTGTAGGTTCACAGAAAGCAAGAGCTGTGGAGACATGGCAACTTTCACCTAGTTTTCAAAGGATGTATCAGATAGCCTGGAGGCCTAGGTAGAGCTTTGTCATAGGGGTGGAGCCACTGCTGAGAGCCCCTATTTAGGGCAATGTCAAATGAAATATGAGGTTGAAGCTGCCACAGAAAGTCCCCACCAGGGCAAGGCCTATTCAAGCCATGGGAATAGGACCACCACTGAGACTCCAAAGCTGTAGAGCTACCAAAATGCAACACCAGCCTGAAAGAACTGAAGCATAGGCTAAGCCCAGCAAAGCTATACAGGCAAGGCTGCCTGAAGCTTTGTGGTCCCAATGCCAACAGCAGTGTGTCCAGGGGATAAAAGATTATTCTGGAGTCTTAAGATTTAATGTCTGCACTATTGGGTTTTGGACTTGCTTGGGGACATATTTTTGCTAAATTCTTGCCTATTTCTCCCTTTTTGGAATGAGAAGTCTGTCTTATGCCTGTCCCAACATTGTATTTTTGAAGTAGATGACTGGTTGATTTTACAGATTTACACCTGGAAGGAATTTGCCTCAGGATGAAGCATGCCTTGAATTTCATTCTTTTTTTTTTTGTTTTGAGACGGAGTCTTGCTCTGTTGCCCAGGCTGGAGTACAGTGGCGCTATCTCGGCTCACTGCAAGCTCCACCTCCCGGGTTCATGCCATTCTCCTGCCTCAGCCTCCCGAGTAGCTGGGACTACAGGCATCTGCTACCATGCCCGGCTAATTTTTTTGTATTTTTAGTAGAGACGGGGTTTCACCACGTTAGCTAGGTTCGTCTCGATGTCTTGACCTCATGATCCACCCACCTCGGCCTCCCAAAGTGCTAGGTTTACAGGCGTCAGCCACCGCGCCCAGCCAAATCTCATTCTTAACTAATTTAGATAAGACTTTGAACTCTGGAGTTGGTGCTGGAATGAGTTAAAACTTCAGGGCTGTTGGGATAGAATAAATGTATTTTGCATGTGAGAAAGACATGAATTTTGGGGGCTAGGGTTAGAATGCTACCATTTGAATGTGTCCCCCTAATTTCATGTGTTGGAATCTTAATCATCAAATTCATATGTTGATGGCATTTGGAGGTGGGGCTTTTGGGAAGTAATTAGGATTAGATAAGGTCAACAGGATGGGGCCCTTATGAGAGGACTGGTGGCTTTATAAGAAAGGTAAGAGAAACCTGAACTTTCATGCTGTTGCACTCTTGCCAGGTGATGCCCTTCACCATGTTATGATGCAGTAAAAATGCCCTCACCAGATGTGACCCCTCAACCTTGGACTTCTCAAACTCCAGAATTATAAAAAATATTTTTTAATTGTTTTTGAAATAAATTAGCCAACCTCAGGTATTTTGTTATAATATTCCCACTACTACTTCCCAGCCTCTGGTATCCATCATTTTATCCTCTATCTGCACGAGTTCAATTGTTTTAATTTTTAGGCCCCCCTAAGTGAGAACATGCAAAGTTTGTCTTTCTATTCCTGGCTTATTTCATTTAATGTAATGTCTTCAAGTTTCATCCATGTTGTTGCAAATAACAGGATCTCATTCTTTTTTTATGTCTGAATAGTACTCTATTGTATACATATACCACATTTTCTTTATCCATTTGTCTGTTGATGGATGCTTAGGTTGCTTCTAAATCTTGGCTATTGTGAATAATAATGCAATAAACATGGGAGTGCAGATATCTCTTTAATGTATCGATTTTCTTTCTTTGGGGTATATGACTAGCAGTGGCATTGCTGAATCACATGGTAGCTCTATTTTCAGTTTTTTGAGGAACCTCCAAACTGCTCTCTATAGTGGTTGTAAATTAGTACAACCACTAATGTACTTATTTACATTCCCATCAATGGCTTGCAAGGGTTCCCTTTTCATCCTCACCAGCATTTCTTATTCCCTGATAAAAGCCATTTTACTGGGGTGAGATGATACTTCATTGTGGTTTTGATTTGCATTGTCTGATTATCACTGATGTTTAGCACTTTTTCATATACTTGTTTGCCACTTGTATACCTTCTTTTAAGAAATATCTATTCAGATCCTTTGCTCAGTTTTTAATCAGATGAGTAGATTTTTTTCCTATTGTTTCAGCTACTTATATATTCTGATTATTAATCCCCTGTCAGATGGGTAGTTTACAAATATTTTCTCCTAATCTATGGGTTGTCTCTTCATTTTGTTGATTGTTTCTGTTGCTGTGCAGAAGCTATTTAACTTGATGTGGCCCTGTTTGTCAATTTTTGCTTTGGTTATTTGTGCTTGTAGGGTATTACCTGAGAGATTTCTGCCCAGACCAATGTCCTGGAGAGTTTTCTTAAAGTTTTCTTTTAGTAGTTTCATAGCTTCAGGTGTTAGACTTAAGTTTTTAATCCATTTGTTTTCATTTTTGTATGTAGTGAGAGATAGGGACCTAGTTTCATTCCTTTGCATATGGTTATCCAGTTTTTTCCAGTACCATTTATTGAAGAAACTGTCCTTTCCCCAATGTATGTTCTTGACACCTTTGTCAAAAATGAGTTCACTGTAGATGTATGGATTTGTTTCTGGGTTCTCTATCCTGTTCCATTGGTCTTTGTGTCTGTTTTTATGTCAGGACCATGCTGTTTCAGTTACTATAGCTCTGTAGTATACCTGAAGTCAAGTAATGTGATTTCTCCAGTTTTGTTCTCTCTGTTCAGGATAGTTTTGAGTATTCTGGATCTTTTGTGGTTCTGTATAAGTCTTAGGATTTTTTTTTTTTTTGTAGTTTTGTGAAGAATGTCATTGGTATTTTGATAGGGAATGCATTGAATCTGTAGATTGCTTTGGGTAGTATGGACATTTTAATGATATTGAGTCTTTCAATCCATGAACATGAAATATCTTTCCATTTTTTGTGTCCTCTTCAATTTCTTTCATCAATGTTTTATAGCTTCCATTGTAGATATCTTTAATTTCTTTGGTTAATTATCACATATTCTATTTTATTCATCGCTATTGTAAATATAATTACTTTCTTGATTTCTTTTTCAGATTGTTCACTGTTGGCATATAGAAATATTACTGATTTTTGCATGTTGATTTTGTATCCTGAAACTTTACTGAATTCATTTATAATTTTTAATAGTTTTTTTTTGGTGGAGTCTTTAGGTTTTTCCAAATATAAGATCATATCATCTGCAAACAAAGATAATTTGACTTATTCCTTTCCAATTTGGGTGCCCTTTATTTCGTTCTCTTGTCTAATTGCTCTAGCTAGGACTTCCAGTGCTATGTTGAATTAAAAGTGGTGAAAGTGGGCATCCCTCTCTTGGTCCATATTTTAGAGGAAAGACTTTCAGTTATTTCCCATCCAGTACAATACTAGTCATGTGTCTGTCATATATGGCTTTTATTGTGTTGAAGTATGTTCCTTCTATACTGTTTTTTGAGGTTTTTTAAATCATGAAGGGATGTTGAATTTTATCAAATGCATTTTCAGCTGCAATTGAAATGTTCATATGGTTTTTGTCCTTCATTCTATTGATACGATGTATCACATTGACAGATTTGCATATGTTGAACCATCCTTGCATTCCTGGGATAAATCGCACTTGGCCATGATGAATGATCTTTCTAATATATTGCTGAATTTGGTTTGCTAGTATTTTGTTCAGGATGTTTGCATCAATATTTTTCAGAGATATTGGCCTGTAGTTTTCTTTTTTTGATGTGTCTTTTTCTGGTTTTAATATCAGGGTAATGGTCCTGCAGAATGAGTTTGGAAGTATTCCCTCCTCTATTTGTTGAAGTAGTTTGAGTGGGATTGGTATTAGTTCTTCAAATGTTTGGTCAAATTCAGCATTGAAACCATCAGGTCCTGGGTTTTCTTTGCTGGGAGATTTTTTTTATTACTGCTTCAATCTCATTACGTGTTGTTAGTCTGTTCAAGTTTTGGATTTCTTCATGTTTCAATCTTGGTAGGCTGTATGTGTCTAGCAATTGATCCATTTCTTCTAGGTTTTCTAATTTATTGGCACATAGTTACTCATAGTAGCCACTAATGATCCTTTGAATTTCTGTGATATCAGTTGTAATGTCTCTTTTTTTGTGTCTGATATTATTTATTTGGGTCTTCTCTCTTTTTTTCTTAGTCTGGCTAAAGGTTTGTCAACTTTGTTTATCTTTTCAAAAAAACCACCCTTTCATTTCCTTGATCTTTTGCATTTTTTAAATTTCAATTTCACTTATTTCTGCTCTGATCTTCATTCTTCTACTAATTTTGGGTTTGGTTGGCTCTTGCTTTTCTAGTTCTTTAAGATGTGTTGTTAGGTTATTTGAATTTTTTGTACTTTTTTGATATAGGCCATTGTAGCTAAAAACTTTCCTTTTAGTACTGCTTTTGCTGTATCCCATAAGTCTTGGTATGTTGTGTTTCCAGTATCATTTGTTTCTAGAAATTTTTCAATTTCCTTCTTAATTTCTTCATTGACCCATTGGTCATTCAAGAGCATATTGTTTAATTTTCATGTATTTGTATGGTTTCCAAAATTCCTCATGTTATCAATTTCTAGTTTTATTCCATTGTGGTCAGAGAAGATATTTGATACAATTTCAATTTTGTCAAATTTTTTAGGACTTGTTTTGTGGCCTAACGTAGGGTCTATCCTTGAGAATGATCCATGTGCTGAGAAAAATATGTATTCTGCAGCCATTGGATAAAATGTTCTGTAAATATCTATCAGGTCCATTTGATCTATAGTTCAGACAAAGGCCAGCGTTTCTTTGTTGGTTTTCTGTCTAGATGATCTTTCCAATGCTGAAAGTGGGGTGTTGAAGTATACAGTTATTACTGCATCAGGCTCAGTCTTTCTCTTCTGCTCTAATAGTATTTACTTTTTATATCTGAGTGCTTCCGTGTTGGGTGCATATATATTTACAATCGTTACAGCCTCTTGCTGAATCGACACCTTTTTCATTATGTAATGACCTTCTTCATCTGTTTTCATAGTTTTTGTCTTGAAATCTACTTTGTCTGTTATAAGTACAGCTACTCTTGCTCTTTTTGGTTTCCATTTGCATGTAATATTTTTCCATCCTATTATTTTCAGTCGATGTGTGTCTTTAGAGGTAAAGTGGTGTTTCTTGTAGGCAATAGATCATTGGGTCTTGTTTGTTTTTAATCCTTTCAGCCATTCCATCGTTTAATTGGTGAGTTTAATCCACCACTTACATTCAATGTTATTATTGGTAAGTTAGGACTTACTCCTGCCATTTTGTTATTTGTTTTCTGGTTGTTTTGTAGTCTTCTCTTCCTTCTTTCCTTCCTTCCTGTCTTCCTTTTAGTGAAGATGATTTTTTTTTTCTGGTGGCATGTTTTAGTTTCTTGCTTTTTATTTTTTGTGCATCTCTTGTATTTTTTTAATTTGAGGTGAACAGGAGGCTTGCAAATAATATCTTATAGCCCATTATTTTAAACTGATGATAACAATGATTGCATAAACAAACAAATAAACAAAGAGAAAACTAATAAAACCTTTACACTTTAACTTTGTCCCCCTGCTTTTTAACTTTTTGGTTTTTTCTATTTATATCTTATTGTACTATGTCTTGAAAAGTAGTAGTTGTTGTTGTTATTTTTGATTGGCTCATCATTTAGTCTTTCTACTTAGAATAAGAGTAGTTTACACACCACAGTTATAGCACCATAACATTCTGTGGTTTTCTGTGTAGTTACTCTTACCAGTGAGCTTCGTACCTTCAGATGATTTTTATTGCTCATTAATCTCCTTTTCTTTCAGATTGAAGAAATGCCTTTACCATTTCTTGTAGTATAGGTCTGGTGTTGATGAAATCCCTCAGCTTTTGTTTATCTGGGAAAGTCTTTATTTCTCCTATGTTTGATGGGTATTTTCACTGGATATGCTATTCTAGGTTAAAAGTTTTTTCCCTTCAGCACTTTAAATATGTTATGTCACTCTCTCCTTGCCTGTAAGGTTTCCACGGAGATGTCTGCTGCCAGACATATTGGAGCCTCTTTGTATGTTATTTGTTTCTTTTCTCTTGCTGTTTTTAGAATTCTTTCTTTATCCTTTATCTGTGGGAGTTTGATTACTAAATATCTTGAGGTAGCCTTATTTGGGTTAAATCTCCTTGACATTTAATAACCTTCTTGTATTTGAATATTGATATCTTTCTCTAGGCTTGGGAAGTTCTCTGTTATTATCCCTTTGAATAAACTTTCTACCCTGAGCTCTCTCTACTTCCTCTTTAAGGACAATAAATCTTAGGTTTGCCCTTTGGAGGCTGTTTTTGAGGTCTTGTAGGCAGGCATCATTCTTTTTTATTCTTTTTTCCTTTGTCTCCTCTGACTGTGTGTTTTCAAATACCCTGTCTCACAAAACTCTTTCTTCTTCATGATCAATTCTGCTCTTAAAAGACTCTGATGCATTCTTTACTATGTCAATTGCATTTTTCAACTCCAGAATTTCTGCTTGATTCCTTTTAATTATTTCAATATCCTTGTTAGAGTTATCTGATAGGATTCTGAATTTCTTTTCTTGAATTTTGTTATCTTGAATTTTGTTGAGTTTCCCCCAGACAGCTATTTTGAATTCTTTGTCTGAAGGGTCACATAATTCTGTCTCTTCAGGATTGGTCCCTGGTGTCTTATTTATTTCATTTAGTAAGGTCATGTTTTTCTGGATGGTCTTGATGCTTGTGGATGTTCCTTGGTGTCTGGGAATTGAAGAGTTAAATATTTATTATAGTCTTCATTGTTTGGGCTTGTGTGTACCTGTTCTTAGGAAGGCTTTCCAGGTATTCAAAATGACTTGGGTGTTGTGATCTGAGTTTTTAGTCACTGCAGCTGTATCTGCATTAGGGAGCACTCCAAGCCCAGTAACACTGTGGCTCTTGCAGATTTGTAGAGTTATCACCTTGGTGGTCTTGGATAAGATTTGGAAGAATTCTCTGGGTTACCAGGCAGACAGTCTTGTTCTTTTCCCTTTCTCCCAGGCAAATGGAGTCTCTCTCTCTGTGCTGAGCTTCCTGGAGCTGGGGGAGGGGTGACACAGGCACCCCTGTGGCCAGTACCATGAGGCTATGCTGGGTCAGACTTGAAGTCAGCACAGCACTGGGTCTTGCCCAAGGCCTGTTGTAATCACTGCCTAGTTACTGTCTAACTTTGCTCAAGGCCCTAACACTCTACAATCATCAGGTGGTAAAGCCAGCCAGGCTTTTGTCCTTCTCTTTAGGGAGGTAGGTTACCTCCAGTCCTGGGAAGGTCCAGAGATGCCATCTGGGAGCCAGGGCTTACAGTTGAAAACCTTAGGATTCCATCTGGTGCTCTATTCTACTATGGCTGGGCTGACACCCAAGTCACAAGACAAAGTCTTTTCCACTCTTCTCTACCCTTTCCACAATCAGAGGAGTCTCTTCCCATAGCCACCACTGCTCTAGACCTGTGACGAGTACTTCCTGACTACCTCCAATGTTCATTCTAGGCCCAAGGGCTCTTCATTCAGCTTGTTGTGAATGCTGCCAGGCCTGGGACTCTCCCTTCAGGTCAGTGGGCTCCCTTCTTGCTCTGGGCTAGTCCAGAAATGATATCTACAAGCCAAGGCCTGGACTCAGGGACCCCAAGAATCAGCACAGTGCTCTACACAACTGTGTCCAAATTAATACCTAATCTGCAAGACAAAGTTCCCTGTATTCTTCCTTCCCCTTTCCTCAAGCAAGAGTCTCTCTCCATAGTCACCACAGCTGGGAATGCACCTGGCCACACCTGAAGCCAGCATGGTCTTGTATCTCACCCAAGGCCCATGGCAAGTACTGCCTGGATACCACTGCTGATTATTCAGGGCCCAAGGGTTATTTAGTCAATAGATGATGAATCCTGCCAGGACTGGGTCCTTCCCTTCAAGACAGCTGGTTCTTTTCTGGGCCAGGGTGTCTAGTAATGTCATCTGGGAGCTAGGGTCTGGAATGGTGCCCTTTCTTGCTATAGCTGAGCTGGTATCCAACTTGCAAGACAAAATTCTCTTTGCTTCCCCATCTCCTCTCCTCAAATGGAGGGAAGGCGTCTCACCCACAGCTGCAAGCTGTGCTGTCTGGGCTTTGGAGAGGGATCGTGCAAACACTCTCTTGGCCACCCTGGCTGGTGTCTCACTAGCTTGTGTGTCTATCAAGTAAACTGGCTCTGAGCTTAGCCCAGCACCAGGAATTGCCCCAGAATTGCAATCTTTGTGGCCTAGACTTCCTTTCAAGTTTTTATAGGGTCCCAGAGCACTTTAGCCCTCAGTGACGAGGCTTGCCACAACTCAGACTCCAACTACTGGGATAAGTGATTATCCTCTGGCTAGGATGGCTGTAAATGCTCCCTCCATGGTCACTGGCTGAGTTCTGCCTGGTGTTGCTTTCTGCTGTGACAGGCAGCACTGGGTTCCAATGCAAAGTCCCACAGTCACTGTCCTCTCCCTCTTCCAAGCACACAGATTCTCTCTCCATGCCACACAACTGCTGCTGGGGGATGGGGGAAGCGTGGGATCAGCAATTCAAGACTCTTTCCTACTCTCTTCAGTACCTCTTTCAGTGATAGGAAGTTAAAACCAGGTACTATGATCACTCAGCTGAGAGTGGATAGTTGTTCAATTTGTGTTCAATTTGGTGTTTCTGTAGGGAGGATGATTGGTGGAGGCTTCTATTTGGCCATCTTTCGCTGCATCCTCTTCCCTAATTTTTAAATTTTTTGTAGAGAAAGGATCTTGCTATATTGCCCAGGCTGATCTCGAACTCCTAGCCTCAAACAATGCTCTTACCTTGGCCTCCCAACATGCTGAGATTACAGGCATGAGCCACCATGTATGGCTGCATTATATATTTTGTTTGTTTTCTTTCTTTTTTTTTTTTTTTTGAGACGAAGTTTCACTCTTGTTGCCCAGACTGTAGTGCAATGGCGCAATCTCGGCTCACTGCAACCTTCACCTCCCAGGTTCAAGCAATTCTCCTGCCTCAGCCCCTCAAGTAGCTGGGATTATAGGTGCCCACCACCACTCCTGGCTAATTTTTTGTATATTTAGTAGAGACAGGGTTTCACCATGTTGACCAGGCTGGTCTTGAACTTCTGACCTCAGGTGATCCACCGCCCTCGACCTCCCAAAGTGCTGGGATTACAGGCGTGAGGCACTGTGCCCAGCTGGCTGCATTATATTCTTTTTTTTTTCTTTTTCTTGTTATTTATGTATTTTTTTCTTTTTCTTTTTTTAAATTTTTTTATTTTTTATTATTATTATTATACTTTATGTTTTAGGGTACATGTGCACAATGTGCAGATTTGTTACATATGTATACATGTGCCATGTTGGTGTGCTGCACCCATTAACTCGTCATTTAGCATTAGGTATATCTCCAAATACTATTCCTCCCCCCTCCCCCCACCCCACAACAGTCCCTGGAGTGTGATGTTCCCCTTCCTGTGTCCATGTGTTCTCATTGTTCAGTTCCCACCTATGAGTGAGAACATGCGGTGTTTGGTTTTTTGTCCTTGTGATAGTTTGCTGAGAATGATGGTTTCCAGATTCATCCATGTCTCTATAAAGGATATGAACTCATCATTTTTTACGGCTGCATAGTATTCCATGGTGTATATGTGCCACATTTTCTTAATCCAGTCTATCGTTATTGGACATTTGGGTTGGTTCCAAGTCTTTGCTATTGTGAATAGTGCCACAATAAACATACGTGTGCATGTGTCTTTATAGCAGCATGATTTATAATCCTTTGGGTATATACCCAGTAATGGGATGGCTGGGTCAAATGGTATTTCTAGTTCTAGATCCCTGAGGAATCGCCACACTGACATCCACAATGGTTGAACTAGTTTATAGTCCCACCAACAGTGTAAAAGTGTTCCTATTTCTCCACATCCTCTCCGGCACCTGTTGTTTCCTGACTTTTTAATGATCGCCATTCTAACTGGTGCGAGATGGTATTCTTAAAGAAGAATAAAATCTCAGAGTTGGGAAGGAATTTTAAAGGTCTTAAGAACTACCTAGTCTTCAGTTCTAATGTCTGTAATAGTGGTAACTACCAGAGGTTTAATATAAATGTTAGATTTTAAGCATATATTCTTCACTTTGTTTTTAGAAAATTTACCAAAACAGCAATAAAAGGAAAACACATATGTAACCTAGGTGCTTTCATGGTTCCAGCTCCTGACAAACCACCGTAACTGAGGAATTAAAGCTGTAACAAATGATTGAACAGCTGTATAGTAAGAAATAAATTGACAATTAGTTCAGAGAAATTTTTGTTCTTGATATTAGATCTTAGCTACTCACATGTCAGGATTTGGTAAATAATTTAAAAAGAATGATCATATTGAGAGAATTTGAAAAATGTTACAAACTACCTACTAGGTAGCCCAAGACAGTGTTAAAATAATCACGACCATAGCATTCATCAACTCTAGGCATTCCCTGACTGGATATGAGAATGACTGGCTGAATATGAGAAGGTCCCATTCTGTGTACCAAGATGACTTTCTCAAACACTGTTTCAAAATAGAAAACCTGGATGGGATAGAAAGTTCCCACAGGTTCTGAAACTCTCACCAAGAGCTCTTGCAAAATTTGGCAAGAATCATAATTTACATTTACTTAACCGTTCTCTGCCAATAGAGCTGTAGTCTCTGCTGTTGATGTTGGAAATAAACACTCTAAAGTAATTTCTTTTTACCATCAACATTTGTAAAAGAGAGAGAGACTCAAATGCCTCAAAACAATGCTTATCTAACAAAAATTATTTTGTAGAATAAATGTTTGCTTCTAGACTGAAAACCTGCCACATTTCATGTTAGCCTAATATGTCTTCAAAGTGACAAACTACTTGACAATTGACAAATGATTAACAAGAAGAAAAAAGTGTACTGAAACACTCATCTGTGGAGATTTTAAAAGGGGAGGAATGGATAGATAAAGACCCAGGTTGAACTGTTTGTCTTGCCTTTCAGAATAATTGTATTAATTATTTTGGGAACACTTGAGGGAAAACACTGAAAGGCAGAGTCCAGTTGGCTTCATTTCTCATTAAATTCTTTAAAGACCTGCGCAATTAATCTTCCAGTTGCTCTCTTCATTCTGTGTGCATTTCTTCTCTCTTTTTACCAGGATAGCTGGTTCTGAGTGCTACCCTAGCCCAGGCCTCCCTTTCCCACCAGCACATCTAGGAGGCTGTGTCTTTTTCTTACTCCAATATCCAGAAAAGAGAAGCTCATTGCTTATGCTGCAATTTTGATAACCTAACTGGCAGAACAGTTATTCAAATTTTAAGCTTCTGAATGCAGCAAGATCAACCTGGCCTATCCACATAAATAATTTTGACATGATAAGTATGCGAGAGCGATGATAACCGATAAGTGAAGCAATTACCTTGCTTTTTTGGATTATATTAAATGAAGATTCTGATAGAGTAATGAAAAGAGACAAAGCAGACAAAAAGTCGGCTGCAGAGCTTTTGGGCACTGTGTTATCTCTATTATTCCATATTGAAATAGAGAAGCTATCACCAATCATGCATTTCTATGTAACTTCTGGCTTCTAACGGTGAACAATGAATAAATTGTCACAAGACAGTAACTGATAAATTGGGATTGGCAGTGCTTTTTAAAAAGCATAAATAAATTTACTGGTCACCTTTTTCTTTTTCAAAGCAGTTTTTAAGGGGCTGTTGGAGGTGGGTGGGTGGGCAGAATCTATTACAACTTATGCCTATTTCCTACCCTTATCATAGCCCCTTCTCTGACACTATTCTTTGTTTAGTAATCAATTTTAAGGAATCAAGAATGTATCCTGGCATTATTAACACATTTCACCAATCTATGGCCCTCTTAATTGGGTATGTGGCTTGAGTGTCTGGAATTCACAACATTAAGTTAGTGTAAAAAGTTTGTTTTTGGGAAAGCAAGTCTTTCAAATAAAGGTAAGTATAAAATATGGACACTTATTTCCATGAGCCTTGGGTTCCAGCAGAAAGAAAGTTGTTTAACAGCCTACAAATGCTTTCATGATGGCCCAGTCCTGTATTTGCACATAGTTTGGAAATAATATTCCCCTTGTCGGAGAAGGTAGCAATAGCCACTTCTATCATCATAAACCTCTTAAATTACAGAGACCCATATATATGAGTAAATGAAGTTTTCCAATTCAAATAATTCCAACTCAATATCCTGGCAAAGTCTGTTCACCCAGCAAGTTTGCAGGTTTAATGGTGACTTGTTTATTTATTTATATTTTCTTTTTCAGATGGTCTGTGGCATCATGAGAGGGCTGGGTTTAGGAATGAATAGGATTCAGTTCTTTTCTCAATTACAACCTGGACTGCCTAAGCTAGTTATATTAACACACTATCCACCATGGTGTGGAGGAGGGAGCTTGAATATGGAGGTGGAAGGGCAGTGTTCAAGTCTCAATGCTACCACTTACTTGTGGGAACTGAGTTTTACTCTAAGTGTCTCATCTGTGAAATGGGACTAATACACTTTGAAGGAAAGTATGGTAGTGACAGTGTATTCTAAACAATTAAGTACTGTTCAAATGTTAGTATTTATCCGGCTGGTGAATACTGTCTTAGTTTGTTTTATGTTGCTATAAAAGAATACCTGAGGCTGGGTCATTTATAAAGAAAAGAGGTTTATTTAGCTCACCATTCTGCAGGCTGGAAAGTGCAAGAAACATGGTGCCAGCATCTGCTCAGCTTCTGGTAAGGGCCATGTGCTAGGTCAAAACATGGTGGAGAAGGTCAAAGGGGTTGTGGACCTGTGCAAAGAAAGAAAACCCAAGGGGTTCTGGCTTTCTAACAACCCACTCTCAAGGAAGCTAATCCATTACTGAGGGAACTAATCCAGTCTCGCCAGGGTGAGAACTCACTCACTACCTGGAGAAGGGCACAAACCATTCATGAGGGATCCACCCCTGTGACCCAAATACCTCCCACAAATCTCACCTCCCAAAAATGCCACATTGGGGATCAAATTCAACCTGAGTTTTGGTGGGGACAAACAAACCATTTACAAACCATAGCAAATGCCACATCTCGAGGTATAAAGGAAAGACCAGTTCCAATGTTGCCATTGGCTTTATCAAGAAAGTTGGAGTTTCAGGCCAGTCAGTTGTAATGGCAGGGTGGGCTGACAGTTCCATGAAACAAAGAGAGTGGGAATAAGTATCATTAGTCTTCTGCTCCTACAAGTAAGATCATTTACGTTTTCTCTCATTAAAAACAGAAAAAGAAAACCATGCCCATGGTCACTTTTCAAAATGAAAGGGCCAATAAAGAATTTATTTAAAGCAAATCACATTTGATTAAATTATTATCATTATGGTGTTTGAAATAACATTTGTTCTGTTTATCAGTCTCCAGTCTTACTGCATCAGCAAAGAATTTGCCTTTGAAGACCAGGAAAACAACAACATGGAAATGCAGCCCAGTGCCTGCACCAGACTGGATCCTTGATTGTTTTTCGCTAGTTCTTTACTACATGCCTGCAATTCTAGAGCTCAAACTTCTAGACCTCAAGTTATGCAAGTTAATGAGAGCTAGGCTGAGAGAATCAGAGGATATAGGGGAGAAATGGAAGGATGAGAAAAGGAAATATTGACATTGTTAACCCCAATGCAAAGTCTGGTTTTACATTTGCTTGGCAGTTGTTTCATTTTAAGAACACATTTAGAAAGCTGACTTCATAAAACTATTTGTTACCCATCCTGGTGTCTTGAATGTATAATTTCTTCCCTGCAATAAAAAAGATTGGTTGTTGGTGTTACTTGAAATAAAGGCAAAGATTTTTTTGTCAATTTGTACATAACTACCACTAGCCTTATCCTCAAATTTGAGAAATCAGCAATCTTAAAGTATAATTTGACTATGATTGGTCACAATGAGAGAGGTAGGTATTCATCAGAGGGACACAGGTAACCAAAGAGGTAGGTATTCATTAGAGGGGCACAGGTGTGCCCCTATGGCACAATGCCAATTGTGGTGCTTTGTCAAGAGCAGAAACCAGGAGCCCCCAAAGGACTCCCCCTACCCACACCATCCTGGCCACTGTAGAACCCCATGCCTCCTCCAGAGCTCCCTGCCACCCAACAACTAAAGGTTAATGATGGGCACACCTGGGGTCTCCATGTGTCCATTCTGATTGGTCATTACCTGTTTCCTACTTGTTATTAATTATATAAACATCATGGATATCTATTTAGTACTACAAAGTCAAGTGCAAAGAACAGACATCTATATTTCGGCCTACAGAAATGAACTTTTGTCTGTTGCCTTTAAAAGAAGTCGAGATAAGCCTAATAGAATCCACAAAGGCAAACTTAGGGACATTTAATACTTTCAGTCTGTGTATTTTATGGGCTACTCTGGGTATGTTTGATAAGGATTCAGAAGCTTACCACTTGAATGGGTATTATACACATGGAGAAAACCATAATCATAGGATTTTTGCACCCACTGACAAAGATCCTTTAATAAGCCAAATATCCTGCAGCCCTTTTTTATGGTATTATGGCTTTGACAACTAACCTTAAAAATATGCAGTAGATCCAAAAGAATTAAGGTTGAACCTGTCCACACCATTTAGAAGAGCATTGATGTACTTACAAGATCTGAAAAAAATCTACGTCAGGCTTGTACATGTCCCAGAACATAAGTAGGGTTTCCATAAAATCTAGACAGTATTCCAGGACAGTCTAGGATCCCAATCAGTAACTGTACTTACAGATTATGTACTTTGTGAACATTTTGTATTGAAAGAGGAATACAAATAAGAACTTCTGATGAGGTAACCATGGATCAACCTGGCCACTACTGAATCAGTGCATCCTGAAGTCTGAGGATGTGTCTCCGTGCAGCCCAGGAGATGCAGCTGGCTCACACCTTCACTGAGTTCATCCACACTGATTTGGTCACATGGAAGGTGATAGCTGTGGTGTGGGTAGGACACAGTAAGTTAGGAAGAGGTAAGGATATTTTTTCCCACTAGGGAGAGTATAAATATAAGGATACCATCTTTCCTTCTCCCTCAAGGGTCCATATTCCTTATTCCCATTGTCTAGCCCACAGCAAACATTCAACATTTGTTGAAAACATAAGTATTCTTGGAGATGAAATGTTAAGTCTTTTTTTCGTACTGCATGCTGTTTCTACTTCTTGAGATGATCTTTTTCTCATTCCCTTTATGCCAACTCCTTCTTCTTCTTCATTATTTATTCATCAAATATTTATTGAGTGCTTAGTGTAAGCCAGGAACTGTGTAAGGAACTGGGATAGTGCTCTGAACTAGACCTGGCTCAAATATCACCACCTCTGGGAAGCTTTCCCTGAGTTTCTTGGGCAGGAGTTGCCCCATGATAATTTGTTATAATACTTATTACATTCCATTTTAATTCGTGGTGTCTGGTTCTTTCCCCAACTCTAAACTGTGGTTTTCTTGAAGGTGAAGAGTGGATCTTGATTATCACTGTATCCTCATAGCTGAAAATGAGTGTACATATAGCAACCCATCAAAACATTACTGGTGATTGTGGTACGTTGATTGCAAAAATGACCAAGATTCTTTTTTTTCTTCTTTCCAACTTTTATTTTAGGTTCAAGGGGTACATGTGCAGATTTGTTACATGCATAAAATGCATGTCATAGGGGTTTGATGTAAAGATAAGTTTGTCACCCAGGTAATCAGCATAATACCCAATAGGTTGTTTTTTCTATCTTTATTCTCCTTTTACCCTTCATCCTCAAGCAGGCCATGGTGTCTATTGTTCCCTTCTTTGTGTCCATATGCACTCAATGTTTAGCTCCCACTTATAAGTGAGAACATGTAGTATTTGGTTTTCTGTTCCTGTGTTAATTTGCTTAGGATAATGGCCTCCAGCTCCATCTATGTTGCTGCAAAGAACATGATTTCATTCTTTCTTGTGGCTGTGTAGTATTTCATGGTGTATATGTACCACATTTTCTTTATCCAGTCCACCACTGATGGACATTTAGGTTGATTCCATGAAAAATGACCATGATTCTTCACCTCTCCCTGCAGCCATGACCTTGTCATATAACCTGGTAGGTCCTTCCTACAAGAGTAGAGCTTTATTTTCCCACTTCTGGCATCTGGGTTGGTATTGTGACATGTTCTGGCCAATAGAAGATCGCAACAATGATAGTGTGCCAATTCTGAGCCTACACCTCAAGAAGGAGCAAGTCTGATCTAGCCTGGTGATTGATGAGAGATCCATGGCTTGGTTACCTTTGCTTCCCCAGTTAACAGCCAGCCAAATGCCATACATGAGTAAGGCTATTCTAAGCTAGCAGCCCTCAGTCAACTCAACAGCTGGACACAAACAAATAAGAATGCACCACTAAGATATGCTGAGCCAGGCACAGATTAGCCAACTATCTGTTTGATCTGTAAACTCATGAAAAGTAATAAATGCTTATTGTTTGAAGCCAGTTTTGGTGTGATTTGTTATGCAGCAACGTCTAACTAGTACGGTGCTTTTTCTTCTTCTAATTTTTTTTCTTCCTCCTACTTAAAAAAGAAAAAAAGATTGTGTATACTCTTGACTAGAAAGCTTAGCATTTCATATGGGGAAAAGCATTCAAGTGTTTGTCTTAGGCTAGCCACTGCTGATCTTGGCCCTTATAAAAATCATGAACCTACTGAATATTAGAGCTGCCAATGAGCTATTTGTCATCTTAACATGACAATTCTTGAAAAGGAAACTGAGTCAAAAGAATTGGTGTAAGTTACTCAAGGTTGCCCAGCCAATTAAGTAGTGCAGACTCTATCACAGTTTATTTTGATGAGGTACCAGAGAAGAACCACTGGCCTCCATAGCTATGGCACATTTCTCACTTCCCTACCAAGCTTTGATCACTAAAGTCTTTCATTTATCCTCTTTTTTTTAAAGGTGCAGGTGGCACAAACTGTTCATAAACATAGTCCTAGATGCTATAAGTATCCAAGAATGAGGTTACCAAATTACTCCATTACTAAAGAAATGCAGTATGTATATTTTCTTCTGCCTCATTTATGGTGTTTTTGGATCCTCACTGCAGACTACTCTGATGCCAAGACTTCCCCAACAGACAGATATGTGCACATGTATGCCTCCTCATCTCCAAACTTATTAGTGTAACAAAACATCAATTCCTCAATTGGCCGAATGATGATTAAATTCTGACTCAGAGGTCATGATCACTCTCCTGTTTTGTTTGCCAGAGGAATTTCATTTGCTGCTGGATCATGTGATTCTTGGGTGACCAAAATCAAACAGAACTCAAGCCCAAGACCTCTTCAAGGATAGTTATTTTTCTTAGTAAGAAGCTAAGACCTTCATCCGAAAGATATTCTGGGACCTAACACTTTTGTATACGACTTAGTTGAATATAATGGAAACAACCTTTGCTGAGTAGGTAAAAGAGTGATGGGCTGGAGGTTGGCAGGAAAGAGCTGAGAGTTGTAGGCGAAGCATGTTAATGTCGATACATTTTTTTCCCAATGCAAGTCAATGGTGAGGAAGCTAGTATGTATACTTAGTCAACATTTATAATCGACGGCAGCTATGAAGGAAAAGCATTTGGTATTGATCTTCTCTTAATCAGAAATCAGAATGAATTTTATCTCATGACAAGGTAAAATTAACTATTTTGTTAATTACTATAATTATCTTTCCCACATTTATTTTGACAGCAGTGTCAGGGATAGAAAACTATCTCCTTATATTGCCTCTTGCCTATTATGAATTACAAATTCTTACAATTTTGATAAATGATTTCATTCTCTCCTTTACACTTGCTTTGGGGCCTTTTGCAATACATGATTTTTCAGAGAAATGCCTTGGTGATTAAAAAGTAAAGAAATTCAAAGAAAGGTCATATCAAAAAGACTACTACATGGAGAGGCCTTGGAACTGCCTGCCAATGACAAGAAGTCTCATTTTTCCTTGCCTTTTCACTCTAAGGGTGTTCCAGAACTCAGGAATGCTGGAAGCAAAAATTAAGAGATCGTTGTGATTGGTTAAGGATTTTTCCACCCAGGATTACTGTAAATGTGACTTTTAGCTAAGGCTTAAATTTTCTTGATGATACGTGATAGTTAAGACCCATTCTTAAGTAAGTAGAAGAAAATTTTCAGGTCACCATGAACAGTCAAACCTAGGAATAAATCTTGGTACATTGTTCAGGCAAATCTCCACCAGTTTTCATAGGGACCTCAGACCTCCCTGACTCTACGGTTGTTCCTCTCTTGGGCTTTACAGACCATCCTTCACTTCCCTCTTCTGGTACCTTCAGAAGGCAAAGAGCTTGGATAAGAGAAAGAGCCATGAACTCTGTCAGGACCAAAAGGAAAGATACTGTTTGTTAATGTAAACACTTTATTATCCAGGTAGGCATGACTTCTCTGAGGGTCATGCTGGCAGCATTTTGCCAAAGAACAAATTCTTCACTAAAATGCTAATCCTCTGAAATGGGCTTGTTTCATCCAGCTTGTGAAGCAGGTAGAGTAAAGGTAAATGTCAAGCTAGCTGTTATTTTTATCGTGATGGTCAGAATATAATGAAACGTATTCATGCATGCATTTATTCACTTATCAAACAGTTATTAGGCACCTACTATGTGCTGGGCATGATGGCAGGTATTAGGGGGATCCACATTTTGCCTTGTGAGACTCTCAGACCATTAGGGGAAGCAGGCACATAAACAGAAGATTACAGAACATTGGCAAGAACATTTTTTTCAGCTCTTATTGGCTCCCTTTTAGTAAAACTAATTTCTGTGACTTACTTGGTATTCATGGGAAGATGGATAAAGTTTGCTTAGGAAACCTATAGGTTGGAGGGAATGCCCACAAAAACATAAAGAGATAAGCAGGAGGCAAGCCCATGTTGCCACAAGAGAACATCAAGATGCACCTCATCCATATTTGGGAGTAGCAGGAGGTAAGAGCAGAAAAGGCTGGCTGAAAGAGATGACTCCTGGAATAAATCTTAATATAAATGTGAATTGATTTCCAAAGCAGTACCACTAACACAGAGAATATTAGAGAGAGACTAATGTTGCGTCTTCATGGAACCTCTGTCCTTATTAAGCAACTCTACATATAAGAGCATCAGGGTCAACTGAAACATGTTTCAGGGTTGTCCATTTTATACTCTGGCAAGTCCATGGAGAATTTTCTGTAGACTGTTCAACTTGTTCATGCTGGCAAGTCAATGAACTAATCTGGCCTATTCAAATGGGAGTATAAAGTGGTTTATATTGTGTTTTGTGGTTAGTTTTCATTTCTATTATTATTATTATTATTATTAGTGTTCTCTCTTACAGATGCTTGAGTGAAAAATTTTTTTTGTTTCCTCCCTAATGGCTCAAGACAAAAGAGAATTTTACAAACAAATAAAAAAACTTTAAATTGCCCAACCCACAGAAAATGTAGAAAGGCCTGTTCCCTGATAAACACATTGGCATTTTCATCTGGAAGATTCTTGTTTTCTAAAGAATGGCTTTCTTGTTGTTCCCAAGTAGTTCTACAGTACTTTACAATATCACACAAAAGACTGAAAAGATAGGTAATTTTCTCAGTTAAAATGAGACTTTAAAATTTCCTTGGACTTTTTAGTGATTTTTCTTGCAGATTTTGCACATTTTATACATTTTACATTTAATATACTCACGAAGGCAGTTCTGGCTTATCTATGAGTAACTAGGCTCTACCTTGGCTCAGACATTCCTAAATCCATCTATTTTAAGAATTTTAAAGTACCTCTTATCATTTCAGAATTCAGATTCAAAGTCAGAGAAGGGAAGAGAGATATTTGTTCTTGGCTTCAGTCCCATTCTGAACAATATGAGGTTGATATGGAAGCTTAGAGAACGAATTTGGGATGTGTATAGATTTTATTTTAAAACGACTTACATTTACTTACATTTCCTTTTTCATGAACAAGCAAATGGTGGTTTTGCAACAGTCCTCAACTAAGAACACATCTATCGTGAAAAAAACACTCTCTTAGCTCTTAGTGGTCTCTTTTAATAAAATAAAACTGTGTCTTGCTTGTTTGTGGGAAGATTAAGATACCTTGCTTAGAAGTTTTCTTGTATGGAGAGACAGTAAAACACATGAAGCCATTTGTCTCATGACTACTTGGAAAGTTGGGTACCTGGAGAAGCGAAGCACAGCATCAAGTCCTGTTTCCAGGTCAGAACTAAAATGCGCTGGGCACATTAAAGCTGCCAGGCTCCTTCGTCTCTGAAAAATCTAACAGGAATCCTTAAAATTACCAATTTGGCTCTCTATTTTGGAGTTTTACCATTTCTAGAAATAACTAAAATGATTCTACGGAAAGATTATACTTCTGGGGGCTGGGCTTGGTGGCTCACGCCTGTAATCCCAGCACTTTGGAAGGCCGAGGGGGGCGGATCACGAGGTCAGGAGATCCAGACCCTCCTGGGTAACACGGTGAAACCCCGCCGCTACTAAAAATACAAAAAATTAGCCTGGGGTGGTGGCAGGTGCCTGTAGTTCCAGCTACTCGTGAGGCTGAGGCAGGAGAATTGCTTGAACGCGGGAGGCGGAGCTTGCAGTGAGCCGAGAATGAGCCACTGCACTCCAGCCTGGGCAACACAGCGAGACTCCATCTCAGGAAAAAAAAAAAAAAAAAAGATTATACTTCTTATTCTTAGACCACGTTGTTTGACCGCCGCAGCTCGTGTCTTCCTCTGCAGTAAGAGGTAGTAAGGTAAAGAAAGGGCTTGTGGCGTTTCCTCACTTCATGCCTAATGTTAACCTGAGAGCATGTCTTAAAAGTTAGTCCTACCAAGGAAGTGTCCATGAGTGTTTCTCAGGTCTCCCTTTGTGTGTCCTGTGGCTGAATCCTGTTGGATCTCACAGCGCCTGTGGACCCCTCTTCCCAGCAAAGCTGCACTTGCTAACATCCTAATAATTTCTTTCATGGTCAGGCTTTTTTATTTCATTAAGGCTCTTCCTCCACAGGCTCTTGTTTTCAATAAAGTTTTTCTTCAGTGAGACGTGAGAAAGTGTCCTTTCGTTTTCTCTGTTGTTTGTACTTCTCTTCACCATCACCATGGGGCCATTTCAAACTATCATTTTTAAAGGTCACTTGTTTTGTTCCATATGCAGTTGAGCCTGACAATGGGTTAATGACACCCTAATAAGCTGTATTAAAATTATATCCTATATGATCATAAACAACTATTGAGTCAAAGGAGAAGAAAGCAAACAAACTCCTTCCAAGAAATCAACACTGAAGATATTAGTTAGAATGTTAAAGTATATTAGCCAATTACATAAAATCCTTTTATATTGCCTTGCTTCATTTCAAACATGGCATGGGCTATTTTGTCTGTGAACTCAAGTGGAACAAAAAGCTACAGAATGCAATTTGTGTCAGGAGCTGGACTACAGAAGGACAACTAATTCTAATTAGTACGAATTCCCCATAGGCCAGAGGGAGGCCAAGTGCAGGAACCAACTGCCTAATGCTGTTTCTATCTTGCAACAGGTGGGCCAAGGCCTTCTAAAGGTTGTCATGGCAATAGCTAATGGTAGACCTTTAGCCGGACACCAGTAATTAATTGCAGGCATGTCCAGCCTTTGAATGTGATATCTTTTAATACATTGCTGAAATAAAAGAAGATTGGCTCTTCTAATTGGTTAAAATTAAAACAGCAGAAGCCTTTGCCAAGAAGGACTGCAAAATAATGCAAGTCTGATTTCAGCCTCTCAAACTTAGATTCTTTGCCTATCGCTACATGAAGGAGTAAAGAGAAAGGTATTTACTTCTGATAACACTAATATTCTGTCAAATGTAGGCTCACCAGCAAAATATTCATGTAATGCACTGTTAGATGATGCCTGAGACCTTTAAGAAGCATGTCTTCAAAATTCTGACAAATTATCAGAAATGTTTATCTGATTTCCCAGTCATGGGTGTTTATAGCCTACAGAGAAGATATCACACACTTGGTAGTGATTCTATGTGATGGTCCTATGCTTGAGGGGTGACCTCCTGAGCACTGTTTAGTTTGGGGATGTGGCCAAGGACTGGGGAGTGAGGGAGCTTCTTGTAGGGTGAGGGGCCTGAAAGAAGGCACTGCACCGTGTGCTACACAGGAGTCTGCCGATGCCCAGCTGCAGGCTTAAACACCACTCATGGCCTGCACTGGCTAGCCATTTGAGAAACAGGGCATGGCGCAGTTTTAACAAAGTGCCTGAGAATAGAGTGAAAAGAAAGAATACTCTTTTCCATTTGGGTTGTGAATTGTGCTGTTCCATATTCTGGAATTATAAAATAAAAATAACCATAGCAGGAATAATAGCTAAAATGTATTGAATCTTACTGTGTGCCAGGCATTGTGCTGAGTACTTTGCATGCGTTATGTTATTTGATTTTCATAATGACTTTAGAAAGTAAGTACTATTATTATTCCAGCTTTAAAGGTTAAGAAACTGGGATTAGAGAAGCTGACTTGCCCATTGTCTTCCAGATGTTAAGGAACAGAATCAGGATTTGAATCCAGGCCTGACCCAAGTCTTGAGCTGTTAACAAAAGAGAAGGCCATTAAAAAACGAGTTGAGTTGTGTTATTTATTATAGAAAATAACCAAACTCCCTTTTAAATCATTCAAACTAAAACATATTATGTAATCTTTGAACTCTTAGTTATGAATCCTGAAACTGAGTTCCTGAACTATGGTCCAACTTATTGAAATTATTTTTTCAAGATACCTTTTCTTAAATGCTTATATTTCTAATTACAGATCCATTCCTCCTTCTTCCCTTTCTGTTGAACATAATGGGAAATGCAATTATTCTTTTCCCTTGTTCTAATGGTAAAAAAGTAAATAAATGAGGAAAGCTCTGTCCCCCTCTTCATTATCAGCCAAAAAACACATTTGAAAATTTCCAGCCACTTTCTTTTATGTCTGATATTTCAAAAAATAAAAGTTTTAGTGAAAACAAAGTCAAATTTAACCCATTTTGAGAAACTGATGTTTTTAAAGTATGAGGTTCTAAGCAAAATGATGCTGAATTATATATTTATGGGGATTAACTTGTTTTCGTGTATAGTACAACTTTCCTGAGTAAACAATTTCCTTTTGGCTCCTTTGGATGACAAAAATATACGTAGCAGTATTTTTTTTAGAGATCTCACTTCTTTAGGTGAGCACTTGAGTTGGAAATATTTATTCTTACTACTCTCCAAATACAAGTGAATACAAAGTATAAGTGGAAAAGTAAAATTAAGGCATCTTTGGTAGTTCAATTCCCCGAAAAAATGTCTTAGCACAGTTCTTTGGCCACCTTATTATGACACGTTAAGTGGGCAACAGCTTCTGCACTATGCAGGACATGTCCCCTATATTGGTATATGTATGCGTTCATGCATATCACCTTTACTTACACATGTTCAAAACACAACAGTTTTTTGTTCATTGTAGCAGATGGAAAATTTCTGGGCTGTGGACTTCAAAAGGAGAAAGACTTTGAAGTGTTACTGCTTTAATACTGTTCCTTCATTAGCCCCTACTGCTTGGTAAATAAGGCAGCCATTGGGTTATCAATGGGTTTACTTTTACCAAACAATTGGACTGAAAATACTCCAGAGAGTTATGGCCTCCCTTACCCTGTTACTAGAATCATTGTATTAATAAAATGCTTCTAACATGACCTCCCAAGATTTTTTGACTTATTGCTTGGGTGGCACTAGAGGCTAAAATGGGGCTCCTTTTAATAACACATTTGCATAAGTTGATCTGAAAGATCCCCATGCGATTACATGACTCCAGGGTTGGCCTGTCATCTCAGAAAAGCCTGAGGTACTCGTCCCAAAGAGATCAAAACTTAAGAATTAACTAGTCTTCATAAAATGAGAACATCTCTAGGAGCAGTAAAACAAATGATTATCATTTCTTTTTGGCGTTGGACTATGCCAAGCTAGAGAAAAACAGAGCTTTCAAACGTTGACAATCTGGTATATTGAAGTATGACCATTATTTTTTATTTTCCACATTTTTGGTCCAAAGACAGTTCTGAGTAATTGATTCCCATAATGAGCTATGGTTCGTTAGTCAATTTAATTTATAATTGAATTGGATGGATGTAACTCTGTGTAAAATTGTCTCTGAAGAATCTGTTTTGTTCGTCTGTTCAACTTCTGACAGGGATGGAAGAAAATCTAAATTATTCCCTCCTGCAAGGGGGAAAAATTCAGAGTCTCAGCCTCCCTGGTGAAATTAAGAGAAAAAATATTTTTAATAGTTGCCATGCAAAAATATTATGGCTTTACTAAAATTTATACAAGCATGTCAATTAACACATTCATGGCAAGGATGGTGGATTCAGGAATCTGAGTAAATGCCTTGAGGCAAAGACCTTTTCTGAGTACTGGGAAGGATTTCTCATTATTAGAATGAACACCAGGTCTCTCTGCACTTATTTTTATCAGTTATTGACAAAGATTGTCTTATTGCTACATAAATATGCCCAGAAAACAATAGCTCTAATTCTCCAGGTGTTTTGCAATCATCACAACTTGTATTTCCTATACATTTCCAATAATGGCATAATTTGGGGAACAATTATTAAAATAATCACTTAGAGCTTTTTTTAAGTTTTGAAAGACTGTCAGAAAATTTTTTAACTTTAATTGTTAACAACAGGCTTTCATTTTTGCTCAAAGATTTTCTCTTATTCCCGAAGCCCTTCACATTTAAAACTTTTACAACCATCTTAGCACACACTCAAAACAAAGCCATAATTATGTAAAAAGAAATGTTTTACAGTTAATGCCATCTAAGACACTCACCAAGTGCCAAAATGCATAGGATTTTGGTAAAAGGCAATCTGTTCTTTGAGGATAATGCATGCAAACTACTCTTGTGCAAAACCTGAGGCAGGAATAGTATACTGCCTTAGATCACACCTATGGAGCTGACTTTGATACTATGCCCAGAAGTGGGTTACAGGCTGTGATTTGAATGAAGTTTAATCATTTTTAGAAGCGAAGGGCCTTTAGGGTACTCTTGTTCCATAAGACTTATTATATCTAAGAAAGACAAAGGCGTAGGCTTTATTCTTCCTTGTTAACAATGGTAATACAGTAATGATCTTTAATGATGGACTGTTGTATGAAATAGACTGACTGGGAAGAAAAGCTAGATGAAAACAGCTGTCATTTTATATCGCCAAACCCTGTTCTCACATGGACAAAGAGAGATCATGAATTCATGTCCCATAATGTGATGGAGAGGTATTATATCACTGTATGTCCACTGCCATTTCTATGCACTTTCATCTAATCCCCTGCAAATGTTAAAAATATATATTTTAGTTAGTTACAATGAAATGAATAAATGAGGTCGAATTAAGGCAGGTCAGGATATAAAGTTCAAATGTTACAGTTCTCAAGGGACAAATCTTTTACAGTTTCTCTCTGCTCACATACACCTGGCTGTTCCCATTTCCTGAACTTTGCAAGATTTTAACCAGTGTTTTTTTTCTTTTTAAAAAATTTCTGACATGGAAAACAAAGATATTTCATTTGGAAAAATACTCCCTAAATGAGCTAGGCTGAACAAAGCAGGAATTAGCTTTACCAGGTGAACAAAATCACCAGAGATCACTTACATTCATAATTGTTACATTTCTCCTGAAGAATTTTGAGTAGCACTCATCTTTTATGTAAGTCAGCTATGTAAAATAGATTGAAAGGTGAATCTAACAAAATATGCAAACCCACATCAATGATTCATACATAGCGCACAGTTCAATGAAGGCCGGCTCTGGAGCCCAGATAAGCAGTGTCACAGTAAGTTATGTTCTATGGCAGCAGAATCAGTTGTGATCAATCACATAGTAACCAGTGTGAGTTACATTTTTGCTTTAGTCCTTAAACTCTTTCGAGTGTACTTTGAAAAGTATTGTTTTTATCTAAAGTAGTAGATCAATACCTGTGATCAATAAGCATTCATTTCCAAGTAACAAGGACAATGGTGAGTGAATTCCTTTAAACATTTTCATAGCAAGGAATGTTGGGTTGAACAGTAGATCATTAATATGTCAAATTTTAGGGGGAGCTCTTAAAAATCTCTTGGAAGACAACTCTCAAAGAATGCCTCTATTCTTTGACAACTGTTCCATTTCTAAGATTTCCAGTAAAATCATCAAAACTTTGTATATTGATAGCTCCGGCAGTTTCCATCCGGATCCAATAAAATGTAATGCATTAATTAATGACAGTTTTGGCTTTTGTGAAATTTGATGACAACTTTTCTATGATGAAGTGAAAGCCCTTGAAATGGCACTAATGAATATCAGAGTGAAAAATATGGGGTGATATTCCTGAGCCCACCCTCACCTCCAGTCACCAGACCATTGAAGGGGCCTTGCTTACTTGTCTTGAAGTCAGGAAAAAGAAGGAAGATTTTGACACTACTGACCTGAGTTAATCTTTTACAATTCACATTGGTTTACACACTATCTTTTTAAACCAGTTCCTAGAGAGCAGGATTAGAGCTTATATTTTATTGTATTCAGGAATTGCTAGTGTATTTTTTCCACTAACAAAGATATTAAGGGAATAACCAGTGGAGATATTTCTCCAGTGTCTTAAAGGTTTTACTTAAAAGCTGCTTTCCATTAATTCGGCTTGACTTCTGCAACAGGGTTGCAGGGAGCAGAGGGTTGGCCTGGATGAGATGCATAAAACTGGCAGGCATCACAGAGTCGGATGAACCGTAAAGCAGCGTTGAAAGCAGTAGCAAGCTTCAGGCTTTGAGAGCGTTGGCAGGGACAGGGTGGAAAGTGGAATGGGGAAGAAGGAAGATACTTGTTCCTTCTCCATCAGTGTTCTTTAAAGCTCTTTTGACTGAGCACCCCTCAATTAAAAAAAAATCCTTCAAGCTACACCTATACACGTTTGTTTACAAATTATATACATGTGATGCTATCATCAGTTGACAAACCAAGGTGCAACACCCACACAAAATTTATCATTGATGATAATAAATGTAGTACTTAAAAAATGATTTTGATTACTTTTGGCCGACTTATTGTCACATAAAATTATATTGTCCTTAATTTGGTTAGAAATGTGGCTATTGAAGAGCTCTGCTAGGAAGAGTAACCAGCTTATACATTACTGGTATCATCACGGATCTGTGATATTTTTACAATCTGCATTAATTTCAATCTGTAGTTTTTGCAGCAATTTAAAAACATTAAATTATTGTACAGGATATAGACATTATGAAGTTAGTATCACTCAAGTTATGTAACAGGCTCTACAAATCCGTTATATTCATCCATGTAACCTGTGTTAACTGTGTGCTGTGTGTGTTATCACTTCCTGTCCAGGATCCAGTGCTTACCACACCACTCAAGGCTACCTGACACACACATCGAGGTGGGCACGAGCATCAGTCCATACAGCAAATGCTTGTAGGACTTCTTTTTATAGAAATGTAACTATAAATGAGCATTCAAATATTTCTTCCTGCATAACTAAAGGTTATCCTATATAGCCTATTTTGGAGACCACTGTGCTAGACTATAGAGAGAACATCCAACTGTTCTCTAGGGTGATTTCACCTGACATGAACACCATTGAGACTGAATTCTATACTCCCAACTAGGGGAAGGTAGGCTTCAAACAGACAAAAAGAATCACCTCTGCTTCCTCTCCCTTTATGTAATACATAGGAATAAGAATTTATTTATCCATTTATTAATTCCATAAATATTTACTGGGAACAATCTGTAAGCATGGCATCCAGTGTCTCTGTCCATATGGAATTTATGGCCTAATGGAGAATATGTAAGCAGAGAATTACATGTTGGAATAAGTGCACTGATGGCAGCAAGCACAGGTGCTCTGGCACAGCAGGGACAACTCACCAGGATGTGTAGGAACAGGAAAGGTTCCTTAGAGAAAGTGATATTGGAGTTGAAACCTTCAAAATAAGTAAGATTGGTCCTAAGACAAGAAGGAGCAAAAGTGCCCTTGATGGCTGATGTTTGGAATGTAGAGAGTGGGAAATTAGACTGAAAAGGTTAAAAGAGAGGTTAGATTAAGCAAAGTCTTATACGATCTGTTAAAGTGGGAACTTTATCCTGAGGGCAATGGAAAGCCAATGAAGACATGTCAACACAGGGCAGATATGATTAGAAAAAGTCCAGTAGAGGTAGTATTTATGATGATGCCTGGCATATGCTGAGCACTCAATAAGTGTAAGTTCTGATTAGCATTCTTATCAATATCAATATCATTATCAAATTTGATTTGTTATCCCTATTATTATCAGATTTGATTTGTGGAATGATCCTTTTAGTTGCAATTTGGCAAACAGATTGAAGGGACAAGACATTTTATCTGAGCCCTTTGTTCTTAAAAATTTCTTCTCTTCCTGAGATTTGTCCAGTCTATTTCGTTCTATGCTTTCTCTTTTAAAGACTTTTATACACCCATGCTCCTTGACTTAGGTGGTGTTACGTCCTAATAAACTCATTGTAAGTTGAAAATATCAAAAGTTAAAAGTATTGTTTTCAACTTATGACAGGTTTATCAGGATGTAACCCCTGATGTAACAACCCCATTGTAAGTCAAGGAGTGACCTGAATGAGTATTGCTTTTGCACGATGGTAAAGCTGAAAAATCCTAAACTGAATCATTGTAAGTTGGGGACTGTCCGTAATTTTACATTTTTTAATGTATTTATTTATTCTTGAAGTGGATTAAGTGGGAAGTGGCAAGAGGGAACCCTGGGGGAAATAGAAATGAGTGAGTTGCAGAAGTGTTATTGAAGAGCTTTCCTTGCAGAGAACCACATATTTCACGTGGAAAGCATTTCACACTGGGCCGGTTAGATACACATACTTAATAAATACTTGTTAACTGACATAGTTTTTCTTTTAACTTGAGGGACCTTCTCACTCTTGAATGACTTAGGTTTCAAACATGGATGACTGACTTTTTTATTATATGAAAATCCCTGTTTCATCCCCCTCTCCTTTGCGGCATGTGGTGTGTGTGTGTGTGTGTATGTGTGTGTGTGTGTGTTCGGTAAGTTTATACAATTGCATGGTCAGTTCCCTTGGCCTGCCTTCCTGGAGCAATTAAAAATAATTACCTTCTCTTTTAAAATTTGTGTGGAGCATATTAGACTATTATTGCATTAGCTTCATAAGTTATATCCCATTGAGGTAAATTCTTCATTGAGCACTGAGGATCAAACATTTCATTAGATTATGTAAATATTAACAAAGGTATTGTTAATGGTGTTGCTGATTGTTTTGAAGATAATTTCTCTTTGTGTCATCAACATCTGTGCAGGAAAATTTAAAGAGATTGTTTTTCTTTGATGCCTTTAGGCTGCCATTTTGTTAAAGGGAAGCAGCCCCAAATCTTTCTTTTGTGTGTTAGTCTCAGTCCAAAAGCTGTCCAAATGAATACAGATGTGGAGTTTCACATTCTTAGTGGGGAAGATGGGCTACAGAAAATTATCTTAGAAATGGTCAGGGGAATTGATAAAAAGTACCATTTTTTAAGGAACAGACACTGACTATTAAGGGGATAAAGGACTAGGCACAGTAAAAACCTAGCTGTGTTTTAGGCATTTCATCATACGAGGAAACAGGCAGCTTATTCCCATTTTTGGATACACTAATACCTGCTGTGCTGAAATTAAACATCGCATGAAACAGGTATTTAGAATGCCCATCAGAAAAAAAGATTAAAAACAGTAAATCTCAGGCCCATGAGGCCCAGACTAAATCTGGCAAGCAGCCTATTCTGCAACAGACTTCCTACTTTTGAAGACAGCAAACTTCAGCCTGGCCAGGCAAAGAACAAGCAAAAATACTGCAAAGGAATATTTTATTTTATTTTTCTTTCTTGCATGAAGGATACTGATGCCTCAGTCCTTGTCTTCGCTAAAATAGGATGCAGTCCCAAAGGAAAGAACTTAATTTCCTGAGACAAGAGTGTGAAAAACCTACCAAAGGAAATAATGTGCAAGCAAGATGAGCACCTCTTCAGATGATGTGGGGAAAGTCCACATGGAGATGTCCGAAGGCTCTAATCTGTATGTGCAGACGTCATCTCCATCTGTCCAAGTGTGCGGTTGTATGGTTGTACCACCTTCACTGACTTAACCACAATGAGAGATGATTTTCCACCAAATAAATAGCCAAACAAATATCAGATTGTAATTCTGCTTAAAAAGTCTGAAAATGCACAAGAAAGACAAACATAATTTAAAGTTGGCATTAGAAAGCTAAGGGTATATAATTTGGAATAGATGATTTTTTTGTGCACACTGTCAAGTTATAGTTTATCTCTGACTTTTATGCGTGCTTTCCCTTTTGGGTGCATTTTCATCCAATACTGTTCCAGATTTATATATGTAATATAACCTAGAGAATGATGTACAGTATGCAATACTGGGATTGTTGGCACTATCCATTTACAATAATAAAAACTTAGAAAGACAAAATGTGATGATAATAGTAAACAAAAAAAAATCAATGCTTTTCTAAAAGCTGTTTATTTCTAACTTTTCATTCTGTAACAGTTCTTCTAGTGGATAACAGTTGATTGTTTTAAATCCTTTCTCTTTTTGCCTTTGCTTCTATTTTTTCTTTCTTCTCATTGGGACCATTAGGTCCCTAACTCCTCAAACATTTCCTTTTGTTTTCATATTTATGATAAGCTTTAAAATTATTACTTTTTCATTGTTAAATCCTCAATTTTTCATATTTTTTGCTATTACCTTTAGTTTTGCTCTCCACATTTGCTGAATGCCTCCGAAGCTCGCAGTTCGTTATGCCTTTTCCTCTCGACTTCTTTCGTCAGCTTCCTATTCATTTCCCCCCTTTCTCCCTCCCTGACTCTCTTCTTCCTTTCCTTCTTCCTTTTTTTCCCTTCTTTCTACCAGTTTATTTCTACTACTTCCTTTTCTATTTATTTTCCTTAAAATGTACTCTATTGTAGAGATTAACCTGGAAATGCTACTAGCATAACATGTTTTTTCTTTGAATAATGAGAATGAGAAAAGTACAAGGTGGTTATAACGGAAATGAAAATAATATTATCCCTGCAAGAAGTATATTATGCAATATTAGAACAAAGCTTTGAATTGCAGTGATCGGCATCTTCTAAAAATGCATAGATACTGGACCACGAAACTGTACTTCTTCCAGGAACCCTTAGTTTGTAAACATGTCATTTTGTCTCAACCTATAAATATCTAAGAATGCTATTAGAATCTGCCAGCTATTATAAATTTAATAAATTTACTTACATTCACAAAATGTTGTGCTGTCTGAATTTGAAGGTTTTCTACTTGGGTTGCTGATGGCCTACTGGTCTTCAGACACCATAGGCACATATCAAAGGCAGCTATATATGTTAGAGCTGTGAAGTTAGCTCAGATGTAGAGTGGACATCGGGAATACTTGATGTCAACCCTGGAGTCTAAAATCGGACCCACTCAAGGCATTAGCAGAGGAATTGAGCAAATTGTTTTTCTTTTTTTTTAATTTGTGGTGCAGAGATGAGGGCAACCAAGAAGCCACTACTCCTAATTGCTAAATTTTAGCATTAAAATAATGTAGTTGGGGGAACAGAGATAGCAAAATCAAGGACAGACTACTGGATTTCTTTTGTCTCTTTTTCCTAAAGTTGGGTTGGTAGATCTACTGTGTTGACTCTTTTTATACTTTATTTCAGGGAAAAAGAAGTTGGGAAGTGTGTCTTAGCATGTAGAATGTGTGTGTGTGTGTGTGTGTGTATGAAGTTTACTTTTATTAGTATTATTTTTTCTTTGCAGAGTCAGAGTCTTGCTCTGTCACTCAGGCTGGAGTGCAGTGGCGCAGTCATAGCTCACGGTAACCTTGAACTACTGGGTTCAAACGATCCTCCCACCTCAGCCTCCTGAGGAGATGGGACTACAAGCACTCACCACCACACCTGGCTAATTTTTTTTTTTTTTTTTTTTTTTTTTTTTTTTTTTTTGAGATGGAGTCTCGCTCTGCCACCCAGGCTGGAGTGCAGTGGTGCGATCTCGGCTCACTGCAAGCTCCGTCTCCCGGGTTCATGCCATTCTCCTGCCTCAGCCTCCCGAGTAGCTGGGACTGCAGGCGCCCGCCACTGCGCCCAGCTAATTTTTTGTATTTTTAGTAGAGACAGGGTTTCACCGTTGTCTCGATCTCCTGACCTCGTGATCCTCCCGCCTCAGCCTCCCAAAGTGCTGGGATTACAGGTGTGAGCCACCGTGCCCGGCCACGCCTGGATAATTTTTAAAATTTTTGTAGAGATGTTATTTCATCATGTGGCCTGGGTTCAAGCAATCCTCCCGCCTCAGTTTCTCAAAGTGCTGGAATTATGGGCATGAACTACTGCATCGGGCTGTGAAGTTTATTCAAACTCACTGTGGCCTCTAACACTCCCTTGGTTTATAAACCCTTATGCAAGAACTAATGAGAGGTCTAGACTGTGGATGCTTTGGGGGCATGGGTCATAGTCCCTCTCCTAGTTCTTAGTTTGGAGGCGGGTGTATCCCTTTGGTAGTTGGCATGTCAGTCAGCTTTTATCAGAGGAGGTTCTCGCCACAGAAGCTTGTTTCTCACTCTGCTCTGGCTTTAAGACACATGACTGCTCCATAAGACTTCCTCATCTCAGCATCCAGAGTCAGAAGTAGCAGCCCCCATCTGGGATATTGCATTCTTCTGATGGAGAAAAAAAGAACAATAGAAAGATGTGAAAACACACGTGTCGACCCTTAAAGCTTTTACTCAGGTCAGGTATACCTGACATCTGCTTTTATTTCATTGGCCAAAGCAAGTCACATGACCAAACCTGAGCCTGGACGGGCAGGGTATACTTCTCCCAACAGAAGCACTATACATCACACGGCAACAGGCTGGACATGGATATTCTTAAGGGAAAGGGAGTGCATTACTGGGAACAATAATATGATTTCCATATACAATAAATGCTATTGAATTGAATTATAATCAGAAGCAGTTAAATGACCAGTATATTCTATTGATAGCTTGTTAGACACATGAGCGTTAGGATCAATTTTTTAAAGAAAAATTTATCGTCTTCAGCGAGATTCTGTGTATTAGTCTGTTTTCATACTGCTATGCAGAAATACCTGAGACTGGGTAATTTATAAAGAAAAGAGGTTTGGCCAGGCGCAGGGGCTCACGCCTATAATCCCAGCACTTTGGGAAGCTGAGGCTGGCAGATCACCTGAGGTCGGGAGTTCGAGACCAGTCTGACCAACATGGAGAAACCCCATCTCTACTAAAAAATACAAAACTAGCCGGGCGTGGTGGCGCATGCCTGTAATCCCAGCTACTCGGGGAGCTGAGGCAGGAGAATCGCTTGAACCCAGGAGGCAGAAGTTGCGGTGAGACGAGATTGCTCCATTGCACTCCAGCCTGGGCAACAAGAGTGAAACTCCATCTCAAAAAAAAAAAAAAAAAGAAAAAGAAAAAGAAAAAAGAAAAGAGGTTTAATTGACTCACAGTTCTGCATGGCTGGGGAGGCCCCTCAGGAAACTTCCAATCATGGTGGAAGGCACCTCTTCACAGGGCAGCAAGAAAGAGAATGAGTGCCAGCAAGGAAATGCCAGATGCTTATAAAATCATCAGGTCTCATGAGAACTCACTCACTATCATCACAAGAACAGCAAAGAGGAAACCGCCCCCATGATCCAATTACCTCCACCTGTTCCCTCCCATGACACATGGGGATTGTGGGGATTACAATTCAAGATGAGATTTGGGTTGGAACACAAAACCACACCATATCATCCTCCATTTTCAGGAAGAGTTTAGTAATATTATCTGACTGAGTACTTAGCACTAATTCCACGAATAGATCAGTGATCATGAAATAGTTAAAGAACAAAGATAATATGACATGGTTAAATTATAGAGTGGTGCTTTTTTTTTTTTTTTTTTTTAGAATCAGAAAGATTTTTGGTGGAGGCCTCAGGCTAGATATTGCTCTACTCTAAATTCTGAGGAGTCTTTTGGAATCCTATTCACTGCAATTGCCACAGAGGGAAGATAACATGATTTTACACATTGTCTTTCCAAGGAACATGCACCAGCTTTTGCAAAGATACGTGTGGCAGCTGAAAAAGACTGAGGAGCTGAAAGTTTGGACCTTCTCTTTTCCTGACAAGGACACTTTCTAGCTCAAGTGCCTGTCTTTCCCAGCACTGAGCAGTTTACCCATGTGTTCTTGAATTGATCTTTCTCCTCCACCACACTCCATGAGGACTGATGTCCTGACACAGGGTAGATGCTCAATAAATATTTGTTAAGTGACTCAATAAATGCTGAGCAGTTGCTGACATGGAGGCTGAGAATTCTCTATGTTGGCGTATCAATCTTAATAAAGGAAATGACCAACCTGGTCTAAATGCTTATGGACTGTACACTAGCATGTGCAATACTGCAAGGGATCAGAAGTCAAGTACCAGGAGAATGAGCATAGATTTAACTCAGCTTCCAAGTGCAAAGAAATTTTAGTTTATCCCAGATCCCATATTGTACTTAGATTTGTATATTAATTGTAGCCTATTGTCTATGGCCATATCTATATTTAAATTATTTAGCTTACTCAGTATATTTCATTACACAACATGCTATTAGCCATTCTAAATTGTTTTCCCTTTTTAGAAAAAAGCATCTGAATTGTAAAGATTGTTTCTAGTATGGCTTATAAGTTCTAAAATGGATGGAGCTGTGTCCAGGTAGTCAGAGAGGGAAGAATCCAAGGTAAATAACATCTCTCCCAGAGTCTACCTGAGCAGGATCTTAGCCCAATTGGGTGATCTTCACCTACACAAACACCTTGCACACAGTTAACACTCAATAAATATTTGCTGAATTGAATGGGAAAGTTCTATATAGGTAGTGGCCATGGAACAGAAAGGCTAATTCACACCAGGCCCAGAAATGCAGACTGATCACCAGCTGAATATATCTGAACAACTCATTAAAAACCAGGGGAAATGCAGAAGAGTATTTCTTCCCTACCCCATTACTCTGTGGGAAATATAAATGAAATAGATCATTTACATAACGGCATAATGTGCCTAGATATAACAGATTATTTGCATAACTGCATAATGTCACTAATCAGGGAAAAAGCCTTAAATATTTCTGGGATATGAACATACAGAATTATAGAAGGTATGCATATCAACCAATAATCAGAGCCTTCTCTTTTTTGTAACTTGTATCCCAATAGGGAGAAACAAATCTTCTACAGAAGTGAATGAACCACCCCAGCAGCAAGAAGTGAAGCTGGGCATGCTTGGAAGACATAAAACGACATAATCTGGGTTCAGTTTCTCCAAACCACCGTTCTTTCCTGCATAACGAGCAACTAATAGGGACCTGGTTAGTAGAATACAAGAGCAGAGCAAGGCCTTTTGAAAATAATTTCAGGGTGAGTAATAAGGAAGGAAGGACAAGGCTGTTCTCTTAGGTATCAATGCCTTACCTTTCTTGTTAATCATGATAGCACTTTGAGGCAATAGCAGGATAAGGGAAGGGAAAAGAAAGCATGGTTTAGTGGGCTTTAATATTTCCCCCCACCCATAACTAGAGTACCTATGCTGTTTTATATTTACTTTAGTGCAAAAGTTCTTTATCATGCACAACTCCACTGAGTTCATTATATTTTTTAATGTATCTCAGACTCATTTCAGATCCTGATTTCCCAGTACAAACTAGAGTAGCAAATATATAATTATTCTCATAAATAACTCAGCACCTTATATTTCAAACAAGTTTTCCCACAAGGCACAAGTGCCCTATATTAAATTCTTTTAAGTATAAGTTGATTAAGGTAAAAATTAGTTGTTATTACCTTATGGACATTTTAGTTTTAGCAGCAATTCAAAGCCAGGTCTATCACAAGTAGATTTGTTGCCGCCCACAGGTATAATCATCAGGAAAATTAATAATCATGTTCAGTATGACTATAAATCATTGTGGTTTAGGCAATTGATTTCTGTAGAAAAATGAAAGATCTATAAGTATTATTACTGTGCAAACTACATGTTGTGAAAACCCAGATCCAACATAGTCAAATTGCAAATGCAGGGTTTCTAATTTCAGAGTGTGATAATATGGGGTCATCAGAGGCAGGAAAGCTGACGATTCTGAATAAATAATGTGGTAATTTTTAGTGGTTTATGAATGTAGCTTTTAGTGCATACAGTATTCAGAACCTCTAACCCAAATGCAGTGGAAACAATTGCTAATTTCTAGAAAAGGCAGAGAAGCCACTAGAAGAAAATGAACACGGGGATGTTTGAATGAGTCTACCCTCATGGCTTGGCAAATATCCCGAGAATCATAATACAAGGCATGCTCCTTGCAGAATTGCTTCCAGAAGACTTCTTTTATTCTGATCTGTCTGTTTAGTGTGCAAAGTCAAAGGCCCCTAGTAAAAAATAGTTAACATCCATTCATTTGTGAATACCAATGGTATATCAGACAATCTCCTAGGCACTTATTTTTAAATTTAATTCTCACAACATTAAGTATGTATAATTATCTATATTAATATATGAGGAAATAGGCTTAGAATGGTTAAGCAATTTGTGAAAGTCAAAAAGCTGGGAGATGGTAGAGTCCCAATTCCAAACCCAACTGAGCGCCCAAAGTTTATGGCTTCCTTCTCTAAGCTCTTTGTGTTTTTTCCTTACCCTTCCTCTCTCCTTCTCTTTTCCTCTACCTTTTATGTGTCTGTTTTATTACTTTCTTGTTCAGATTCTTTCCTTAATCTTCATGCTTTTGCCTTTTCATGTCTGAGGTCTCCTACCACGCCCATGAGCATTTTGTAGCCAATTAATGGCCCTTAGGCTCAAAAGACTGCAGACGTTTTGTGCAATTATGGCATTGGTAGACGTGATGATTTCAGGAACAACTTCTTTTCCTTTTTAGTTTTAGGTGTTCTCTCTTTTTCCAAGCCTGTCTCAGTCTGTACTTGCCCCGTCGCATCCCACTTTATTACAATTTTCACTATAAGAAGGCATCAAGTCTTTGCTTTATTTGTGTATTACATATCCTAAGGTAGGCTCTGTCTTTATGGATTAAAGACATCATGCAAGTAAAAATGAAGAAGAAAACAGAGAAAAGAAGGAAGAAAGAAAAGAACAGTAAAGAGGAAGAAAGAAAGCAAGAAAGAAAAAAATTGTAGAATGACCCCCTCACATTAAAAAAGGTTGGTCACTTTCTAAAAGATTTACCATAGATTTTTCTTCTTTTTTTTTTTTTTTTTTTTTTTGAGACGAGTCTCCTCTGCCTCCCAGGCTGGAGTGCAGTGGCGTGATCTCGGCTCACTGCAAGCTCCGCCTCCCGGGATCACGCCATTCTCCTGCCTCAGCCTCCCGAGTGGCTGGGACTTACAGGTGCCCGCCAACATGCCCGGCTAATTTTCTGTATTTTTAGTAGAGACGGGGTTTCACCGTGTTAGCCAGGATGGTCTCGATATCCTGACCTCGTGACCCGCCCACCTCGGCATCCGCCCACCTCGGCCTCTCTAAGTGCTGGGATTACAGGCGTGAGCCACTGCCCCCGGCCGAGCCACCTCTGTTATTTGTTCGGTAACACCTTACCTTATAGAATACGACTTATAGCTAACAATATATTTACCTATCTAACTTATTTGACTCGCAAAACAACTGCATGGGGTGGGTAGAAAAAAGGCCTTATTTCGATTTTTCACTTGAGGAAAGAATTTAGACTCTAAGAGATTAAGTGACTTGCTTACGCCACACACAGAGAGGAGAGGTAGGAAAGGAACTCAAACCCAGGTCCTCTGACTCCACAGCTGCGGCTGGTTTGTTCAATTATAGGCACACACTGCTTCTTTGAGATTCTTGTCCTATTAGGTTAAAAATTAACCCAGCTTCTTTCCCCATATTTCTGTTGAAATTTATCTGATTAATGCAATCATAACCCTCCCAATTATTCAATCCAATGGACACTGTTTAATCTTTACCTTACCTGATGTCTAGACTTTAGCGTCTAGGACTACACCTGAAATTTCTTCTGTGTTTCTAGAGACTCTTTTCTGTCCTTTTTCTCCTCCTACATCTCAGATCATTCTTTCTCACTCTCTTTTACTGGTTTATCTTTCTTCTTTATACATTTAAATGTTAATGTATTTTGGCCATTTCTCATTTATGCACACTTCCTGTAAAATCTTCTCTCCTCCTAAAGAGTCAACTAATGCTTATTTACTGAAGGCGAATGTATATTCATTCTTCTAGTCCAGATTTCTCCCCTTAGCTTCATGTCTACAGTTTCAACTACTAAATGGATATATTCATTTGAATATCAAACAAGCAACTCAAACTCAGTTATATCCCAAACTAAACTTGTCATCCTCCCCACCAATTCCACTTTTCCATCTGCTTCTTACCTTAGTTAACAGTGCCACCATCCAGCAATACTCAGCCCGAAATCAACCTTCAACAAAGGTGAATCACCGAGCTCTATTGGATCTATATTCTAAATATATCTGGTGTTTGTCCCTTCTTCATCCCTGCTAAAGTTCCTTTAGTTCAGGTCCTCGTTGCTTCTGCCTGAATTATTGCAATAGTCATTTAATCAGTTACCCTGCAATATGTCCATTCAGTCAATCTAATTGACGCACAGAAAAAAGAAGCCACAGGTTATGCCTGAGTCCTCAAGCACTAGCTACATTTTGATTTTCTACCCCCAATGAAGAAAGGGTATCAGGAGCATGGAGAAGCCTAACATGAGTGGGAAAGACATCATCATCTTGACTAAGTCTCTATGCAGAGAGACTTTTTTATCCAAAGCATGACCCCAAGCCATCCCCTAAACCCAACTACTGTGGTCCATAAGTGCTTATCATTTTTTACCTTGCTTTTTAGCACACAACACCTCTAAGCATTATGTTATTTATGTTCTTTATTGGATGTCTCCTCTACATTAACCTTCAAGACCTGAGGGATCCTGTCGTCTTCAGTACTATTTCTCAGGGCTGAGAAGAGTTCCTGGCTCATAGGAAGTGTGAGAGAAATGTGTATCAGTTGACATCCCTTCAGAAACAGAAAGGACACTTAAACTGGACAATTAAAGAAGATTTAATACGGGGCCATTTTCCAAGGTGTGGACAGAGTTTAGGCAAAGCGACAAAAGGTCAGGTGGTCCTGTAGGCTGGTAACAGCCAGAAGCACTTCCACCCCTTGGTGAAGGGGTGAGGGAGGAAATCATGGAGAAGGCCGGAACTGGGAGGAAAAGCTGATAAGAGAAACACATGACTGGAGCTGTGGCCTGCAGTAGAGGAAAAAACCAACCTGCAGTGGGAGCCAATCCAGCAGAGAAAGTGAGAGGAAAATGTCCTGACCTCACTGTCATCTTGCCTTCCAATTTCCTGCCCTCCCCTCATTGCCCTAACCTAGCTGGAAGCCAAGACAGCAAGGGAGCACATGAATTTGGTCTACAGTCCATGAAGATTGCCTTGGCGGGGACACGGCAGCTTGGAGAAGGATGGAAACAGATGTGGGGAGGCACGTGGAATATTTTGGCGTCTGTGTTGTAGGTGAATGAATGAAAGACAAGGTACGAGTGATCATCTTAAGTCTATTCTAATACGCGTAAAAATAGCATGTCACTCAAAACTGCATCCATTTAACTATTATTAAAAAATTGCTTTATATGAAACTTCCACCCAATGCGTATACACTGTGGCTGAGCACTGTTTCATCAGTGTCCTGCTTACCCTGGCAGCAGCTCTTCTTAGATGCAGAATAACTTTTGGGCTCATTAGCCTGGCCCACTAAGGGAATCATGATTGGACCCCACTCCTTTTCCAGGCTTACTCCCTCTTGCCCTGAGCACTCTGCCCTTGCCTGCCCAGTGCTTTGGAAAAAAAGACCCACTTCAGTCCTTTGTGCTGCCATGCCTTTGCTCACGCTCTTTCTTTTGCCTATAATATGTTTACCCGAATCTTCTTTTCATCTTCCTTCTCTTGGCTAAAAATTCTGCTTTTTTTCCAGAATTACTTGCATATAACATATCTGATGCTTTCTATGACACCTTATTCCAGTCTGTTTTATCGTCTTTGTTTAGGTCTTACTTTATTCCAAAGAGATTCAAGGTAGGGATCCTACAGAGTTAACATCTAGTTCATTTAGACTCTCATAACGCTTTGAAATGCCTTTATTCACATTGTCCTCCTTGTATTGTATTATTTTAAATTTCTGATACAAGATTGTGTTTGAGGTCAAGGACTCTGGACTTATTTACTATGAAACTCCAACATCTAGACAATGCCAAGTACATAGTACTTGGTGAACATATAATTGTTTAATGAACAAATGAATGACAAAAAGGAGGCTAAAATACCTAACCGTCCAGTAGGACTCCCACTCAATGGATTCTAAAGCTTTAGAATCCAAGAAATAAAGGAGAATTCATTTTCATGATTGTAAAAGCTGAGTGGAAGCGATTCTTCTGATTCTTAGGTACAAGCATTTTTTTTTTAGACGGAGTCTCTCTCTGTCACCCAGGCTGGAGTGCAGTGGCACCATCTCAGCTCACTGCAACCTCCGCCTCCTGGGTTCAAGTGATTCTCCTGCCTCAGCCTCCCGAGTAGCTGGGACCACAGGCACGTGTCACCATGCCCAGCTAATTTTTGTATGTTTAGTAGAGACAGGGTTTCACCATGTTGGCTAGGTTGGTTTCAATCTCTTGACCTCGTGATCTGCCCACCTTAGCCTCCCAAAGTGCTAGGATTACAGGTGTGAGCCACCACACCCAGCCAATCAAGTCATTCTTTAAGGTTCATTTATTTCTTGAAAATAAAAATAGTACAAGACTAAAACACCTAGAGAAGAAAATCAACAAATAGAGGGTGGAGATTTTAATAAAGCACCAAGGCATACCTCTTCTCATGTATTAGATACATTCGCCAACTATAAATTAGTATACAAATATTAGTGACTTATCTTCATCATAGTCATTATCACCTGGTAAGAGATACAGTTAACTAAATTCTGAAAAAATGTTAAATATTTGCAATGAGGGTGGACCAATATTAGAATAAAATATTCTGACCTTTCCTGGCGTTTGTGGCTTTTCCTCTGCAATCTTAACTTTTCGTAGACTTCATGTTTCAAAAGTTCACATTTTGGAAGCCAGGCAGACTCCTGAAATGGTGGAAGAGGGTGGGGAGGGGGAGGAGTGGGAAACAAGAAACATTTAGTGAGCCTGGAGAATGTTTGGAGGGCAAAAGTGAGGTATTTTACAAAGTCTATAGCAGCTCAGGTCTTCTTTAGTGTACTTTTCCTTCAGTATTTTTACTTTTATATTTCTTTTAAGATAAAGTGTACATGCATCGGAATTCACAGATCTTAAGTGTACAAGTCAATGAATTTTGATAACTACATACACACATATAGCAAACATCCTTATTAAGAAATAGAACATTTCCCACACCCCCGCAATTTCCCCTGTGCTCTCTTGCAATTAATCCCATCCTACACAGGCAGTCACTGTTCTGATTTCTAATACCATAGATTTGTTTTGTCTGTTCTTGAACTTCATATAGTATGTATTCATCTGCGTCTAGCTTGTGACTCAATGTAATGACTAGGAGATGCACCCATATTGTGTGTATCTGTAGTTTGTTCCTTTTAATTGCTGAGTAATATTACATTGCATGAATATACCACAATTTGTTTATCCATTCTCCTATTTAATGGCATGTGGGTTGTTTACAGTTTTGGGTTATTATGAGTAAAGTAGCTATAAACATTCATGTATAAGTCTTTTTGCATACACATGCTTTCATTTTCTTTGGTAAATCTCTAGAAAGGATATTGCTGGGTAGGTGTATGTTTAACGTTGTAAGAACTCCAAACATTTTCCCAAAATGATTGTACCATTTTACCTTCTCATCAGCAATATACAAGAATTCCAGTTATACCATATTCTTGCCAACATATAGTATCATCAGTATTTTTAATTTTAGTCATTTTAGTGGGTGTAAAGGGGCATCTCACTGAGGTTAAACTTTTATGTCCTTGATGACTAGTGATGTTAAACACCTTTTCTGGTACTCACTGAACTTTTGTAGTGTCTGTTCAAATCTTTCTGCTATTTTTAATGCATGATTTGTCTTATTATTAAATTGTAAGACTATTTTATATATGCTGGATACAAGTCTTTTTCCAGATGCACGCACATGCACACATACACACACACACACAGAGTGGTGGAAGGATAGAATATTGAGACAATCACTTTACCAGTGCCTTTTGATGAGCAGATGTTTTTACTTTTTTTGTTTTGTTTTGTTTTGTTTTTGAGATGGAGTCTTGCTCTGTCACCAGGCTAGAGTGTGGCGGCACGATCTTGGCTCACTGCAATCTCTGCCTCCAGGATTCACGTCATTCTCCTGCCTCAGCCTCCCAAGTAGCTGGGATTACAGGCACGCACCACCACACCCAGCTAATTTTTGTATTTTTAGTAGAGACGGGGTTTCACCATGTTGGCCAGGATGCTCTCGATCTCCTGACCTCGTGATCTGCCCGCCTTGGCCTCCCGAAGTGTTGGGATTACAGGCGTGAGCCACTGTGTCCGGCCGTTTTTACTTTTTATAAAGTTGAATGTATCATTTTTCTTTTATGATTAGTGCTTTTTGTATCCTCCCTAAAATATTATTTTCTGGACATGAAAGTCATGAAGATATTCTTCCACATTTTAATTTAGAAAATTTATAGTTTCAGCTTTCATGGTTATGTTTATGATCCATCTCAAATGACTATTATTTGTGCATTGTGTAAGGTTGTGATCAATGTTCATTTTACTTTTTCATACAGATATTTAGGTGTTTCAACACCAGTTTTTGAAAAGACTTTCCTTTTCCCATTGACTTGCCTTGGCATCTTTGCTAAAAAACAATTGAGCGGGTTTGTGTGGGTCTCTTTTTGGAACTCTTCATTCTGTTGCATTGACCTATTTGTCTGTCCTTTCATCATTATCACACAGTCTTGATTACTGTAGCTTTAGAGTAAATCTTCAAATCAGCAGACAAGTCAAATCCTTTATTTTCTTTTTCAAGATTGTTTTGTCTCTTTTAGGTTCTATTATCATATACATTTTAGAATCAACATGTCAACTTCTGAAAAAAAAAGGCTTTTTCTTGCCAATGAAGGCATATTTGACTGTGATTTTATTGAATCTCTAGATCAGTTTGAGGGAGAATTAATATCTGAATAATATTAATATTCAATATAGTAATATTGATAGTATTGGTCAGGCACGATGGCTCATGCCTTTAATCCCAGCACTTTGGAAGGCCCAGACGGGAGGATTGCTTGAGCCCAGCAGTTCTAGACCAGCCAGAGCAACATAAGAAGACCCGGTCTCTACATACAATTAAATTAGCTGGGCAGGGCATGTGTGTAGGATCACTTGAGCCAGGGTGGTCGAGGGCGCAAAGGAGTGACCACAGCTCACTGCAACCTTGACCTTTCTGGCTCAAGCGATCCTCGACCCAGCCTGGGCAACAGAGCAAGACCTTGTCTAAAAATAATAACATTGATAGTAGTGATAATAATATTGAATTTTTAAATACAAGATTGTGTGATACATCTTCATTTGTCTTCTTTAGTTTCCCTGAGAAATATTTTGTAATTAGCAATATAGTGGTCTTACACACCTTTTGTTAAACTTATTCATACATATATAAGTTTTAATGTTATTTTAAAAGTAACTTTAAAATATGATTTTCTAGTTTTTTGCTTCTAGTACATATAGATACTTATTTGTTATTTCTTCTCTTAAGGGGCATTTTTGAAAGCAGACTTGCTTGTGAAAATTTGACTTAGAAGAACTTGGTGTTATCTAGCAAATGAGAAAAAAATCCATTTGATTTCATAACCTAAAAGTAGGCTGAAATAGCAACATGATTCTTAACATTATAAATCCTAAACACAAGGAATGGAGATGACTTTTTTTAGGTGTATCCAGCATCCTCCACTTCCTCCACAGCAGCCAGTGTCATCTCTGACATCTACTTTCAGGAGCCTCCTGTTCGAGTTTCTGTTTCTCATATACATGTAGGACAAAAAGAAGGCTGTATTTTCATTAGTCACATGTAACTGTCCATGTGGGTGACCGTGCAGTTCAGTGGTCTAATTCCTTAACCAAAGATGCCACTGTGGTACTGCATGATTTGTGACAGATTTAATTTTTAAGCACTGGGAAGCACACTGCAAATAATCATCTGAAACTATTCTGGCACACATCCGTGGATATAAAGTTTCTGGGAAGCTAGAGTATGCAGCTATGCTTTTTAATTTCTTAAACAGATTAAATGCAGAATTGATAACAAATGAACAGCAATAAAGAGGAAATTCTTTTTAAAAAAAGCCCCAAAACACTTTATGAAATATTTAACTCTGTGGTCACGGTATTTATGATAATCTCAGCTTGTACAACTTTGGAACTCCCTTCTAGAAGAAAACATATTGTTTATAGGTTGTGTATGCCTCAAAGACACCTGGACTTTCAAAAGTCTTCTTTCTTTTGGAATATAATCTCTGGGTGAGAAAGTGAAATTGTCAATTCCAAATAAGTTTGAATTTGTTGCCACATTCTCCTCTGAAGTGTAATCGTGTACTTATACTGCAAAATACCAAAGTTAGGAGCCATCAGGGCTTTCGTAAATAAACTCCTACACCTTCCTTGGAGATATTGAACAGAATCACTGAAAATTCAATCCTTGAGATTCTCATCCATTTGACATACTCTGTGTTTGGGTGAACTGACCTTATATCCTCAAATAAAGTGTCCCACTAAATACTAAAGAAGACTTTCATTCTTTACAGTATAATTGTATAATTTGCTTCTTCCCATCATAAAATATCTACATGAAAACACCACAGAGAATTTATTATACTATTCTATGAAGTAATATTCAGTGATTCACTTTTCATTCTCAGAGGTTGTATTGTTACTAGATACCTCAGTAAAGGCAGAATTGCAATAAGCCATCCATTCAGTCTGGTGATGTTTATTTAGCTTCTTTTAGTTTATCCTCTAGAGAATCTTTTGATTCCTAAGAGACAGCAGACATAATTTCATCAGCAGGGATTTAGAGCAAATTAGGTTTAATAAACATAGAGTTGAAATTTTGCCATTGTACTTTCTAAATAGCCATTCCAATTTGCCAATACAGCATAGATTAGTTTGAGGATGATTTCAGACTCCCCTGTTGAGAGTTTTACATATGTAAAATCTCTTTAAGGTCAGAAGTTAAGTGTGCATAGTTACAAAAGGCTTTTGGCCTCATAGGGTAATAATACAATTTTATGGTCTAGGTTAAGAATGCTCTTCCCAGTTATTAAGACTGAAGAATGCACCTTGGACCCAGAGAAAACCTGCCCATAGAGTGAGAAACGTGGCTACTGCTCATATCCCAACAGCAGAGCTGCCACAGGGAAGGCAGAAGATAAAAGTAAGAAAAAGAAAACAAAAAAGCTTCCAACAGACAATTCACACATGTCACAAAAATCCACCCTCCTGTGTCTGAAGTCACACATATGTCTCTGTATTTCTATATTTAGGCTTATCTTTGCAATATCTTTGATTGTAGAAGCTATAGAGCTTTTTATTCAAATGGGCATTTGCAAACGATATGTTTTCATTTGTAATATACGTCACTTCAAATCGTCCAGATAATATGAGCCCTCAGTACACAAATGTATGTGATTTTGGAATTGTCAAATTAAAGCCTAATTTGATGACCAAATTTCCTTGTAAATGTAATTAGAAATACAAGGCATGAGGCAACCATACGGCAGCTCTAGCTGAGTTAAAACTATCTACACATCCTAAAACTTTTACTCCTTTTCATTTGAATCATCCATGTCTTATATTTAAATATGTATTTCATTGCCATCAACAATAGACTCATTCTTGTGTTGTGCTGAGCTCTCTTTAAAAATGTCACATCTTTATAGTTTTTATCAAGGTTTTTATGAAGAATGTCACATGTCCACTGCTGATGGAAGAAAGCCACAAGAGCATTTGCAAAACTGGGTAAATATGTTGTGCTTGAGCTTGTGCATTAGTGAAGGTACCATCAGTTGACATAATGCATAAGCCCCCATATCACAGTGGGTTGGTCATAAAGGGAGTTTATTTCTCTCCTACATGAGGTCTAAACTGAGTGCTTATGTCGAGTGGGGCAGCTCTCCTCTAAGTTGGAGGACTCCTTTCATCTTGTAGCTCTACTATCTTCAACTTGTGCTTATTAAAGTCGCTGTGCTAATTTGCATCAAGCTGGTGAATGTGGAAATAATATGATGAATACTACATGTAAAATTTTTACAGGCCTGGCTGGGAGCTGGCATGTATCACTTTTGCTCACATCTCATTGGCTGGAATCATCACGTGGGCACATGTAACTGCAAGGGGGTGGGAAATGTCATCCAGCTTGTGTCCAGGAGAACAGGGACATGCTTATCATTAAAGATAGTTGTGTTAATTTCTTGTTATATCAAATTTAAAAGCTTAAGTGGAACTCTTTAATAAAAACAACTTCAATAGAAAGCAGGAGGGTGAACATCTCTCTATCTCTGGTTTCACTAGACTTTCAAAGCTAAGCCTATTTAGTTATGTTTTCTGACATTCTTTGAAGAAATGCTCCTTTATAGGTGGCATGGTATGGTCAAAAATAAAAAGGGACCCAGATTCATAAGATCTGGATTGTTTATCCCCCTCTGCTACAAATTGCTTGAGTGACCTTGGACAAGTCACTCTCTGGGCTTTGCTTTTTTCTCATCAGTAAAATGGGAACATTCGATTAGTTGATTGCTAGGGTTTCATCCAAAGGACATTCTGTTATTCACTGACTTTTTTTTTTGTTTCCCTGTTTTTATAATATATCTACAATTACAAGAAGACTAAATGAATATTTAGTATGTTAATTATATTCTGTGATAGAGCTATTATTTCTTTCAGATTATAAGGCTTTTGTGAGTGTTTGATAAAAGTTATTGCCTTTTATTTTCACTGTACACCAGGGCTTTTAAAGATTTACTCTCTTTCCAAAGTTCCTCACTGCCTATTCTTTGTGGCACAAAGGTTAACAAGCATACCACTTTTGCCGATATCTACTCATTAAATCGTTACAATCTTAGGTTTGCAGGATAAACTGGGTCATGAAGCTTACTGGCTGTCATCCGTGAGGACAGTGAGTGAGGAATTGAACTTGGGTCTTTTCAACTCCCTGCTGTCAAATTGCCTGTAGACAATAGATGGGATATTGCTTAACATTAAAATGTTTCCTGAAGGTCCTTGCCTTCTCTATATCCAAAAACATCATAGAAAACAGATTTTCACAGTGAGAGTTCTTCCTTTTTCTCTAATTTATTTCCTCTTACATGGGTATAAATATGTGTGTATATATATATTTAAAATAACCTACATGCTCTCCAATTTCCTTCTCCCTTGAGCATATTTTTGAAGCTCTGATATTCTCAATAGGGGAATGGATAGGATATTTTTTCCAACTGAATTCCTCCAGACTTTTTTTATTCTGCCTAATTCTTTACAAGAGCCTATGTTCCCATGTTAAAAAATTTACGTAGGACCAGACCTGGAAGTTCTCCCATAGAGTGGCAGAAGATGACATGCTGGCATGCTTCATTTTCTTGATCAGAGATTATACGATCAAGGTTTATCCACTTTAAAACATTTTCATTTTTGTTAGTGGGGAAACACCAAAATCAACACATCACAACAAAGACTTAAGGGCCTGTTTCCTTTTGCAGGATAAGTATCATAATAAGAGGCCAGGGCCTTTCCCTTCAAAATTTCCCGAGAGTAGATATTTCTTTAATTCCCACTTGGCTCAAGGGAATGTAGATCTGGCCAAATACCTGGTTCCATGTTGTCTGCTTTTATCGAAGAACTTCAAAACACTTTGCCAATGCCAATTCATTCCCATCACACTTATAAGAAGTAATATTGTCCTCATTTTGCTAATGGGAAAACTGGGGCACAGAGAATATAAGTGACAAATTCAGAGCGTGTGTTGAAGCACAGAATTGTACCCAGGGCTCTAGAGAACCAGACTCCTGCTCTAACAACTAGATAAGACTTCCTCTGAGGCTGTGGATAGGGCTGACGTTTTTTAAAATGACGGTTTATTTTACTTTTAAGGCACAGAGAGACTGCTGAAGAGACAAGGGGATGAAAAAAATTTAATAAGAAGTCTTACTTAGAACGTTGAATGATGCATGTTGTTAGAACTTGAAAATATCCCCCACCTGTAACAATTCAAGACGCTGAAAAGCTGTGAAACTATTAACCAACAACAAAATAGGAAATGAAAAATATTCATGGGGATTTTTAAAAATAGAAGTATCTTGGTCTAAATGCTAAATTTGAAAATGAAACCATCCCAGCTTCTTTTAAATACATCTTCATTACTGATTCTCACCAATAAAAACATATTTGGATGCTTTCAACTAGACACGCTCTCTGCATCTATCTCTCCATCAGGATATTCCCAGTGTGACCTTTGGCATTTGATACTTTCATATGGACAAGCTAGGCTGTGTACTAAACAAAAACCAAAATATGCCAAATGTGATGAACCATTTCAGTTTTGAAAACATTAGCTTAGGTAAGCTTTCTCAACAATAAGACATTAATAATCTTCTGTGCATGATATGAAGCAACTTTTAATGATTGATTAATAGCTCTCTGATGCAAACAATGATAACAATGAATGTACATGTTCGTTGTTGTGTAGGCAGATAGATCGTGATCCAAATAAAAATTACCCTATAATTAATAAACAAGCACATGCAAAATGCAAATGTGCCTGTAGCCCTTAGAGCCAGTGGAAGTATAAAGTTTGGTAAGTATTTTTAATTTTACTGAGAGCAATCACTTATAAGATGAGAAATGAGAGACAAAAGAGTGGCTTTGTCAGAAGAATGTACTTTAAAAAACTTGTCCAACAAAATCATGCAAGTAGGCAGATTTTCATGGACCCCTGGCTGAAAAAAAATATTCTGAGCTTCAAGAGAATTAGGCAATCTACCCAAAATACATATTATGCCTTGTTTATCTTAGTTTTCTTTTCATTAGAAAACGTGTATTAACTGAGAAGTTCTGAGTTAGTCTCTTGAAAGGCTGATACTTGTGCCCTTTGATTGTGAAAGCAGTTAGAGGAAGTGATAGCTTAGGCCTGGGTGACCATGAGAAGCATGGGGTGGTGAGGTCCATACAAAGAGTGGGGACCAGTAAGACCTGACGAATGTTTATGGGACTTTTCAAATCCATCGGGAAGAAAGAGGATACAGAACACAGCTGTTGGAATGATGCATAGAATTGTAAACGTTTTAGTAATTGTGTCATTGCCAAACTGTATTTTCTTCTGGCTTTACTCAGTAAAGTTCTACACAGTCCAGAGAAGCTCAATATGTAACAATGATAAAAATGATGGGACTTGCAAATTGACAGTGAGTTATATTGTAGTTTTTGTAAAGCAGTGTTTCTCAAAGTGTGGTCCCTGAACCAAGAGTATCAGCACCTGAGGATGTGTTAGGAATGCAGTTTCCTGGGCCCCAACCCAGACCTACTGAATCAGGAACTCTGGGAATGAGGCCCAGCGATTTTCATTTTAGCAAAACTTGCAGGTGATTCTGACCCACGTTAAAGTTTGGGAAGCACTGTTATAAGAATCAAGCAGGACTCATGGAGAGCCAAACCAAATGGGATCTTCTTTAGGTTTAAGTCTTGGGATAAAGGCTGGGATAAAGGTTCTTTATTTGTAGATACGGGCATGGTCTAAGGACCAGCTACACTAATTTTGAAAGGTCTTTAAATCAAATGCAAATTTGCATTAATTATCCCTCCTTGACCATTTTCCTGAGGTACACTCAGGGGTTAAGTGGTGGTGAGCCAGGAGCAGCCCAAACCAACTTCCCAGAGTACCCAGTGGAAAGACAACAAGCAGGGTCTTTGGCAACTTTTTTCTTGGCAAGGCAACCATGTCCCAACAAGAACACCTCTCAATTTCCTTTCTAGCTGCTACTGAAGCCACAATTACACATGTGAAATGGACTAAGTATGTCTGGGTTAGACAAAGGGAGGTTTAGCAAGTCACATTTTATACACTGTTTGGAGATTACCGATCCTTCAAATATTAGAATATCACATCCAATGTGAAATCTCTGTCTTATAGAAAGAGTCTGTGCTATAAATTTAAAATTACCCTAATATTAATAAGCCATTTTTGCATCTCTCTTCATTGGAATTTTTTCAGTGTTATCTTTGTCACTGCTGCAGAAAAATGCAGAAAAGAGCCCTAACTATGACAGCACAAGGGTGCTGTTGAACAACCAGTATAGGAGAGAGGCTGGAGTCTGCACCGTGACAGGCATTGGCTTATGGAGCAAAGGATCGGTGATGCCTTAGGAAAGGGACAGTGTAGTCTGGGCAGGAGAAGCCTTGGGGAATCAGGGAGGTGGTGATTTGTCAATGGGTGTGATGATTTGGTGCCTACGTGCTTCGTGACAGCCCTTACACAAGAGAAAGAAAATTGGCACTATTTTTTTAAAAGTACCATAGGATTAAAAGACTATCAGTATTGACATTTCAACCCCACAGGTCTCTGTGTGCTATTTCTTTGATGGGGTCTGAGTGTAGCCTAGATGGTCTTTGCCTTTGTTTGGCAAGCTGTTTTCTCTTACCACAACAATAATTACATTGTATTGTAGGTATTTGTTTATTTGTCTTGGTCCTCCATTGGACTGTAACCTTCCAGAGCACAAGAGCTCACTATTTCTCTCTCCTTTCCTTCCTTTCTTCTTACATTGTCCTGGCATCTAGAGTGTATGGTATTGGTAGGTAATCAATAAATATTTTTGAATGAATGAATAAATGAATGAACAATTGCGAAATGACTAGCGGTGGATGCTAAGAGCTGATAGGCAACAGATAAACAAGAGAGGCCTCTCATTCCATCACAAGACTGGCTGAGTCTAGGTTCTGGATGACACCATAGAGAAAACAAAACAGATTCCCTGGAGTTTCTGTGGGATACAGAGGCCAGTTACAGAAACAAAGAGAATTAGTTCTGTAGGAGCTGGGACCAGAAATGGCATCATGTTTGGGGTGTCAGGACACTTCAGAAAGGAGTGGGGTTGAGTTGAAACAGACTTGTGGGAGGTAGCAGAGTGGTAGGCAGAAAAAAAATATCCATGCCTCTTTTTTGCTTAGGTGCCTTGTAGAGTTCACAAGAAAGCTGGGTTTGAGTAGGGAATAGTGTAGTGGAGTCACAAAGAAGCTTGAGGAAAGACATGTTTGGGCCAGGGACAAGCTAGACTCATGGGGGACAGTCACAAATAATTTAGAACATAGTGTCTTTAAAAATAACACTCAATTGAAGATAGAAAGAGTCTGTTTGTGCACTAGACACCTGTTAGTCATTTATCTATATAACACTGGTTCTCTTAGAAATCATCCTGTTTGTAATATACTTTGTTATATTATAAACAACTGACCTAATAGAGAAGTATTCATCAACTTTGAGTAGGAGTGACTTGAATATCATAGTCAATTATTGAATGTTTGTTGAAAGAATATATGAATCATGGCAAAGATTGTATGTGTCTACTAAGACGAGCCCAATAATCTCAGGGTGGTAGTGGGTTTTATCACCTATCAGTCAGGGGCCCTAAATGCCCCAGGTGACTAAGTCAGAGAAAACAAAACAGTAAAGCAGGAAACTTTTGACTAGTACCAGGAAGCACTCTTTGCCATGAGTCTGATAAAACATAGCAATTGGCTACCGAGAGAGCTGCTGCTCACTGTCTACAAATATATCGAAGAGGATAAAAGACTTCATTGATTCTGAAGAGTTTGTTGTGTTTTCAGCCTGGAGGCAGGACTCTGGTGCACTCCATCTGGAATTGAGACATTTTTCCAGACCTCTGGGATCACTCTCATTCATCGTATGGTTTCTTGTCCCTTGCCTCCTTCCTCTCAGCCTCACCTTTATTTCCTGCTCTTTCTCCTCCTTTCCTTCTCAATAATAGCTGTGTCTCTGACCTTCTGCTTCTTTCTCACTACGACCCTTAAGTGTTCCCAGACTTCTTTCTCTATGGTAGCTGTTTTGGGGAATGTGGCAACTGGTCTAGCTATGCCCCGACAGCAGCCGCTGGTGATGGAGCTTGTGAAATACGCTTCAAAGAGCCTGCTCACCCTGGGGCTGGAGAACAACACTAGGTTGGGCTTTGGCAGGTGCAGCCCAGAGGGGGCTGGCAAAGCAGAAGGCAGCCTACGCCAACCAGTAGGGAGTGGCTCTGGGTCACTTCCCAGAAAGGGACTTCTACCAACTCAGACAATCGAGTCAATGGGTCCACCCACCAGAGGCAAAATAGATTGCTTCCATTGTTTGCAAGCAGAGTTGAGCAATGGGAATGGAGGGAGCACCTGGGCAACAGGAGATGCTGGTTTTCAGTGTTTGTTCATTCTTCCATTAGTGCCCCTGGGTCCTTCTGCTGTCACTCTACTCACAAGAATCCAGTGCCTTCCTGCTTCCTTGGGCGCATCAGGCCCACTTCCCTCCCCATCACTTTGGCTTTTCCTCTTGGGACAGTACCTCATGCCTTGAATGCATTCATCATCACCTCTCCCCTTCCCTCTGTCATTCAAACTCATCAGTCTGTGTCCTCTTTCCATAGTGCCTGCTCTTTCAGGTGAATTACTGTGAGGATTGGGCTCTGAATCTTTGTCTTTGTGTTCCCTACACTACCCAGTACCAGGAAAACTGAAGGTACTCAATACATGTGTTTGTTAATTTCAAGGTTACTGAAATTGCATTGCTGTTATCATCTCACTTCTTCTTTCTGATAGATACTAGAAAGAGAACTGGCCACAGAATTAGAATACTGCAGCTGCAGTGGTCCTGGTTCCATCTTTACTACCTGTGAGTCCTTGGGCAAGTTGCTTAACCTTTCTGAATTCAGTTTCTGACTGCAACGCAAGAATTAAAGCAGTTTTCTGTTTTACGTCTCATAATATTGTTAAGATTAAATGGCAGCATATGGGCAAAAGAGCTTTATGATAGCAAGAGATATACATTTAGATTACTTCTTATGGTATAACCAGTTTGAGTTAATGACTGACAATAGCTTAAAATATTCGTCTTCTCAGATAACTTGCATGCTTGTATTATGAGGACATCATTTTAAAAATCTAATTCTATTCAGTGAGAAATTATTAAATGTCTATTATGTGTCTTGCAATTTTATATACATTGTGGAGGTTTTGAGACAGGTAGAAGAAATGGTTGCTTTCTAAGAAATTGTGACATAATTAGAAGGGGCTATACCAGACTATAGTGAGCTGCCCACGTGGGATTTAATACATGTTTCCAAGACTTTGGAACTAGTTTTCTTAGGCCAGTAAAATTAAAAAAGAAAAAAAAATGGGAGACCAACATTGACTTGCCAAGTTTTAACTTTTCTCATCTATTCAACAGTTTGAAACTTATATTTGGAATTTGTATATAACAGCATAGAGAACTATAACACCAATAGAAATCTATAAAAACTTAAAACTTGACTCATGGGAACTTTACGAAAAATATAAGCTACCGCCCTCATCTCTCTCACTTTACTTTGAGCCACTCTGCAAGTTTGTGGACCAGGAGGTGGGTACTACTACGTGAGCACACAGAACACCTGACTGGGAGTTGGCTCCCTCGCTCTGATACTATTTGGTTTTCTTTTTTTTTTTTTTTTGAGACAGAGTCTTTCTTGCTCTGTTGCCCAGCCTGTTGCCCAGGCTCACTGCAAGCTTCGCCTCCCAGGTTCACGCCATTCTCCTGCCTCAGCCTCCCGAGTAGCTGGGACTACAGGTGCCCATTACCACGCCTGGCTAATTTTTTTGTATTTTTAGTAGAGACGGGGTTTCACCGTGTTAGCCAGGATGGTCTCGATCTCCTGACCTCATGATCCACCCACCTCGGCCTCCCAAAGTGCTAGGATTACAGGCGTTAGCCACTGCACCCGGCCTACTATTTGGTTTTCACAAAGTCGGTGTGAGACACTGTGCAAGGCCCTGAAACACTGTAGGCTCTATTTCCTCTTTTGCAAAATAGGGATTGGACTAGAACCTGTGCAGCCTAACACCATGGGCTCTAGCCACATGCAGTCACTGAAATTTAAATGAATTCAATTAAATAAAATATAAAATTTAATATCTTAGTTACACTTGCCACATTTCAAATGCCTAATAGCCACATATGACTAATGATAATCATACTGGACCACACATATTTAGACCATATCCAGCACTGCAGAAAGTTCTGTTACATAATGCTGGACTAGATGATTTCTAAAGTTTTTTTAAATTTTAAAATTCTAGGAGGTTTTGGTTACATACAGTCCTGCTTAGCGTCTGAGTCATGGGGTGGCTTCAAAATAGTGAGGTTATAAAACAGTCCCTCAACTGTCTGTTAAATCTATATGGTGATGATAATCGTTTAACTCCAATGGATGGCATGGATACCAATTGTTGCCTAAGAAGTGTTGATTTTATTGTAAATGTTAAGCAGTTTGGTTAAACCAAAGTCTCACATTCAACCTTCTGTATCTATCTCAAAGGTTGTCCTCCATTTGAATACCCATTTTTCCAATCCCTACCAGGTATTTCTTTCTTTCTTTTTTTTTTATCTGAGATTAATCTCCCATAACATTTTCACAATCTTATGGGAAAAACTAATCTAAATGATAAGTAGTTTCTTTTTTCTTCTTCAATCTACCATAAAATTGCCAATGTGTTTTTAAAACCACTATTTTTATAGAACTTGTGTAAACACTGTTTTGGACTCCATCTGTTGAATCGGTCCCAGCCGCTAACAAGTATTGTTTGTGAGATGTGCCATCATTGGTGATGTGGAGGGGGTACAAACTGAGATGGCTTGGCAACATGCAGCACCACATAAATTAAGCCATTGTCATTGCTGTTAAGGAAAAGCACCAATGCCATTTAAGCTCTGCACAACTGAAGATGGAAGGAAAGTACCCAGCACTTGCTTTCTGAATCTTAAAGAACAAAATCATGAAAAAATACTAAAGTAGTTCCAAATTTCCAAGATATTTTTAAAAAGTAAGAAATCTGTAAGAGAGAGAAAGAGACCTCAACAGTTTCTAAAATTAACTCAACAAACGCTATCACCATGATAATGACAATTTCTGAAGATCAGAGCCTATCCAGTCAGCATCCTTTTTGAAACTTTTTCTCTGAGCAAGCAGAAGTTACAGAGCCCAACACCATTGTCTTTTCCACGTTGAAGCAACTATAATAAGACAAGTAAAATCTGAAGATACCTGGTTATTATAAATATGAGGCAATACCGGCCAACAGAATTGACGAGAATATTCAGTGAGATCCAGTGACTAATCCACCCAGCTTTATAAACTGACAAACTCTGACCTTCTTGCCTGCTCAGAGACTCTGCTTCTTGTCAGTTACGTGGTGTTGCCCTTATTACCATATTGCCCGTGTACTACGCTTAGAGCAGAGAAACTCTGGCCCTGGAGTGGGCTTGTGTCAACATTTTTATTGCAAATTCCCATTTTCTGGTCATTAAAAAGCTTTCGGCACAGAAGTAACTTTGCAAGAGTTCAAACTTTGAAAGAACTCATTTAATGGCTTAAAAATAACACTTGGGCCACACCCATAATTTAAAATGTTCTAGCTGGCTTTGTGGCCTGGGCTTTTTCAAAATGTGTAAACTGAAAATACGAAGGGACTTAGGACTTGGAGCAGTTCCAAAGATTGGTTTTTAGTGTTTGTTGAACTGGAATGAAGTTCCTTAATGGTAAGCTTTTCTTGCAGAAATGAAATTGTAGGATCAAATTAGTCAGAATGCTGTCTAGCTTCCACTGCAAAGGGGTCCCTCAATAACTTCCTCACAGGGTTATGAGGGAAGAATGGCTGGGCCTAGGCCAGGCTACATAATCTGGGGTCCCCAGTGCAAAGTTAAAATGTGGGACTCCTTGTTAAAAAAAAAAATTCAAGACAGTGACAGCAGAGAATTAAATTGAGTGCAAGGCCTAAGTGTGGGGCCCCAAGAGACTGCAGGGGTTGCATGCCCATGAAGCTGGCCCTAACGGGGCCTTTCCCCCACCTCCCTCCCTCTCTCCCTTCCTCTTTTTTCCTCTCCCCTCTTCCCTCCCTTCCCTCCTCTTTCTCTTTCTTTTTCTTCCCCTCCTATTTCCCTCCCCTCCTCTCCCTTCCCCTTCCTCTCCTCCTCCCTCCCGGTCTCCCCCTTCTTTCCCCTCCCTCCCTCCCTCCGTCCCTGCCTGCCTGCCTTCCTTCCTTCCTTCCTTCCTTCTTTCCTTCCTTCCTCCCTCCCTCCCTTTCTTCTTTCTTTCTTTCTTTCTCTTTCTAGTATTCTCAAGGTATGATAAGAATGTTTGTTGCTGTTTATAAAGCATTGTTATTAAGCATTATTGATTTAAAAATACTGTTTAATAACAACAAATGAAACACTTAAGAGATGATTTTCGGCTGGGCGCGGTGGCTCACGCCTGTAATCCCAGCACTTTGGGAGGCCGAGGCGGGCGGATCACGAGGTCAGGAGATCGAGATCATCCTGGCTAACACAGTGAAACCCCGTCTCTACTAAAAATACAAAAAAATTAGCTGGGCGTGGTGGCAGGCACCTGTAGTCCCAGCTACTTGGGAGGTTGAGGCAGGAGAATGGCGTGAAACCGGGAGACGGAGCTTGCAGTGAGCCAAGATCGCGCCACTGCACTCCAGCCTGGGCGACAGAGAGAGACTCCATCTCAATAATAATAATAATAATAATAATAATAATAATAATAATTTGATGGGGTTGTTAGGCTAAAATAAGCCCATTTTTCAGATTAAGGAATTACGTTAAGGCTCCACTGAATGGTTAACTGATTTTCATAAAGCTTTATAGGTCTTCACTGGTAGAGCTAGGATCACAATTTCATTCTCTTGATACTTAATCCTGTTTTGAGTAAAAGGATGTCACATATCACAAAGTTTAATTAGGAAAAGGGAGGAAACCTTGGACCAAGAAATAAAGGAACTATAATGAAATGAGGCTTTTTTTTTTCCTTTTTTCATAATTCTAGGATTGGGCCAAACTAACAGTCTCTGCAAAAACTTTAAAAGATCATTTTTATAAAACTCGTTTTGCTTCAGAAGACCACTCCTATAGTCTGGCTGAATCTGTGTGATATGAGATTGTGCTATAATTGGGCTTGTTTACAACTTGATAGACCAAAGAAGTGGAAAGGGCTAGCCATGGACTGCTATTCAGTACAAAGCAAAACTTCAGGAAAGACTAGATAATAGACTTGAGGTTTGAGGCTCATATTTGCTCACTGAAATAATACTATGGGTCCTGCATTTCTCAGTGCATTCCAAGGGTTGTTAATAATGTGTTACTTTAAAAAAGAAGCAACAGCTCTTTTTGGTCAATTAAGTTTGGGGAAACAATGACTTTGATAAAGTTAAACAACTTTGGGACATCTCAAACCTTTAATCAGCTCTGTGATTTGTGATTCCCCAAAGGGGTGTATAGCTTTCTAAACTTACTTGACCACAGAACCATCTAACCTTTTTTTTTCCTCTGAAGAATCTCAAGGGGCTAGTGCTCCACGGAACATGCTTTGAAAAATGATGCCTTGGATTGAAGAACCAACATCATTGATTACAGTCCTGTAGTGAGTTGAATTGTGACCCTCAAAAGATATGTCTTCAGAACCTCAGAACGTGATTGTATTTGGAATAAGGATCCAAATGTAGATGTCATTTATGTAAGGAGCTCAAGACGAGACTATCCTGGATTTAAAAACTTTAGAGTGAGCCTTAAATTCATTGGCCAATGCCCTTATAAGAGAAAGGAGGGAGAGATTTGAGACACAGAGACACATAGATAAGAAGGCCATGTAATGATAGAAGCAGAGATTGGAGACATGTTGCCACAAGCCAAGGAAGGCCAGGAGCCAACAGAAGCTGGGAGAGGCAAGAAAACATCCGCCACTAGCACCTCTGGACTTCGGCCCCCAGAAGTGGTTCTTTAATCTGAGGCATCTTTTTGGACTTCTAGGTTCCAGAGGCGTGAGAATAAATTTTTGTTCTTTGAAGGCAGCAAGGTTGTGGTAACTTGTTACCACAGTCCTAGGAAACGAATGCAAGTCCAATCAGTAAACCAGAACCAAGACTCCAAGAACCAAGTGCCTCCATCTGGGGCCCATGGAAATGTGGCCATCCTTGTTGGGACTGCTCTTGGGAAATGGGAGGTGGTTCACAAGAGGTTTAAGGCCTAGATAAACTACAGTGAATGAACCCCATAGAAAGGGCCAGGACCATCAGCAGTACAAAGGCTATATAAAGGGAAAAGACATGATGGGGCAGAGATATTGGCGGGGCCCCTCTCAATGCTACTCCTGTCCTGTGGGGATTCTCCCATGGGTCGCCAAGTGGCCTGTGGGCGATAACCCTGAATGTTCTTGATTGTCTCACCCCTGCTGCCTGGCTCTCAAATAAGACTGAGAACATTTCCATGCTTGTTTTGTATTCTGGCCCCTCTAAGCATGTTCATGATTTGTCCTCTTTGCTCTTAGTTCAAGAGGGCATTTCCTTTGTTTGTTTCTCCATAGCCTTTCCCCTATATTGTTGCCTTAGTCTTTTATTTCCGACCTATTGGGCAGCATCATAAGGGCTTTCTTTGGCTCAGAGCAAGGAGAAGTTGTGTTGACTAAAGTAAACTAGTTCTCTAATTACTTGCATGCTTACTGTGTATTAGCAGAAGTGGCTACAATTTCAAAAATGCTTTCCCTCCATGGCTTTCACTTTGGGGGTTAGAGGTATGGCAGCCTGGGAGGGCACTTGAGTTAGACTGGATTTTGTAACTGCTTTTAGCACAATATCATGTGAGCGGAAGGCTACAGCTTATGCACTCATCACCCTCCCCTTCTGGAGACTCAAAACTAGTGGATTCAACTGGTCCTACCCTTCTCAGAAGGTGATTAGAAGCTATGCCAGGAAACCATAGCTCAGAAACCCACTCATTCAATTGCTTTTAGCAGTTGCTGAACACTTGCCTCGTAAGAGCCTAGAGGCCCCTTCCTTCTCTCACACCAGTAGGAGGCGTCCTGGTGGGAACAAAAGTGGTGAAGGAAGCAGCGTTGAGGATCAGTGCTGGACTCCTGCTTGTCTGGTCTGTCCTCTGCCCCTACTGACAAGAAAGAAAATGGAAAGGAAGGCTGGTGCCAAAACAACTTCTTGGTGCCACTGCAAAGAGCAGTCTGACTGGTAGTGGGGAAGTGATTAAGAGGTGGTGAAAGGGGGACTAGTAGAAATTTTCCTCCTGTGACTGACCCATAAATTTTGGAAACACTGGTGATCACCCCTATTAAAAAGGCAAAAATATGGGCCACAGAGAGGTTATTCCAAGTTCATTCTGAGACACCAGGGCAGTGCTGGAAAATAAACTTCTGACTCCTGATTCCTGCTTGACGATACCACTCTGGGAGAACCACGTTACCCCTTGCCTGTCATTCCATTCATAAATATAAGCAGAAAAATCCACCTCCAGGACTCCTTTGCCTGCTCCTCCCCCTTTAATGAAACCGTCCATCCCAAACTAGACAGCAGGAGCAAATATGTTACACAGTGAGAGCTTTCAGAGACTCTGTGCAAGAAGGCAAAGAAGACAAAACGTAATAGGTAGAAAAAAAACAGAGAAACATCTGGAAAAAAAATACCAGAGCGCATTATTATGATAACAGCTCCCAGAAAGTTCCCAGTTTAAGATTTCTAGGGATTCTCTTTTCCTTATCTATTGTGCACATGCCCTCAAAAGCAAAGCAGACCTCCTTGCCCTGGCACCTCCCCACAACCATGCATCACTCCCAGCTGCTTTATAATCTTCCTAAAACTACCTTTCTATTTTTAATACTTATTTACCTCTAAAATGCAGACATCCTAGACTGTCTTCTAATGATTTAAGATTGAATAATTAGGTAATACACATATCTGAAAACAGATAAGATGCAGTTTCTTTCTTTGAGGAAATGGTCAGGGGAAACTGCTCTGGGCTGTTTTTAAACGAGACAACCCCTCTCTAGGGGGTTTTAAACACATCCTTTGCCCTCTTCAGCCAGTGCTTGTTAACATCCTGCAGCATTGAAACTGCCCATATTTAGATCAAACATCCAAGTAAAAATTTGAAGGAATGGAGGCTAATTCAAGAATGTAAGATCCATTAAACTATGCAAGTATGCATGAACTGGAAAAAGTGGATCCCATACATAGTGCTATAGCCCTTAGCTGTTAGCAGGTGTGAGTCAGTCAGTTGTACAATTCATTTGTCTACCTAATTGCACTGAAGATAGGCTTTTACTTTGCCTATAACATCTCTAATGAGTAGGTTTTCAGTTCGATCTAACTAATTAATTCTTGTTAACTTCCTTTGCATTGCTGTTCTTTTAATTTAACCAGAGACGGCCCAGAGTTGCTACTAGTGTTTAGTCTCAACTAGATTACCCCAATTCATTAAGGGCTGTAATTGTTGGTCATACCCTTCCAAGCGGTCATTACAACCTCTGGCTTGCATATTGAATAACAGCAATTTCCTGACTCCAACAGACTCTATGTGAGGAAGGAAAAAATGCTAATAAAGAAAGAATAAATGATTCTCGACTCCATTCAGGGCTGTGTAGATTTCTTTTGCAGCAGAAATTGTACCGAGGTGGCAAAACGGGCTTCTTGCAGGCCCCCTACCTCCACCCTGAGCGAAAACAATAAGAACCAAGTGAAGCATTCCCTGCTACTGTGATTACAGCATCCGTAAAAGTGATTATATGGCTGCTGTAATCAACTTCAATGAAAGCTGCCTGTTAGAGCTTCAATAATTACTCATTTCTGTTAACAGCTTGCTTTCATTTAGCACTTTGAGGCCAAGGGGAAAAAAACAACAAAAAAAACTTGGGGCATTTTAATAAAGGATCCCACTCACATGGTATTTTTTGGGGGTAAACCCTTGTGTGTGGGCAAAAAAAAAAAAAAAATGCACATGTAAGTTTTTTGTCCCCTTCTCAATAGCAGGGCCCCTTTCATTTTAAGCTTAGATTCTATTTAACCAGCAAAAGCACAAGTTCATACAGGGTTCAATCATGTGCTGAATGTTTACTGAAGGAGGCACAATAGTTTAAATAAAGTGGTGGTTTTAAATATTTTACCCATTTCTTTAAACAAATTGCCAATCCTTAAAGTCTGTGCTGAACACATTTCAAAAGCAAAATACCACAAAGATCTTTCAATAAAACCCCTGCATGGAGTGTTTCGTTTGCTCTCCTACACTTTCCCCTTCCCTCTTGCTTTGGATGCATTTGATTATTTATTTTTTTAAGAGAGGGCAAGTTTGGGAGAATAAAATTTGTTTTAAGTCCTTAAAATATTTGCTCTAAATGGCTTCTTTGGAGGAGATGAAGCAAAATAAGAGATTATCATAAGCCCAGCAACATCAGTCATTCAGGTAGTCAAGTTTTGGGGGCTCTGAGCAAAGTGTGATTAGGTAGGTAGAGAAATGGTTAAGACCCACTAGAACATGAGTCATACATGACTCACCACTCTCACTTTCAGCATTTCTGAGACACAAACAAGATGCATAAACATAATATTAAACAAACAACGGTAGAGACCTTGTTTTCATCAAAGACAGACAGCAAGACTACTAATGTACAAAAATTCTTTGAGCTCAGTTACCATCCAATAAACCTAATCTCCCTTCCTTCTTCCCAAAACCAACACCCCAGAAAGAAAATACCAAAAATCGTACAAGAAAGTTGGATCCTATTATATTTCCTTGCCTTCAAAGTTCAGATAAGTTGGAAAATCTTCAAAATTTGCTTGCAGTTTCATACTAAATCAAAACTTTTTTTTTCTCCACAACACATAACATTCAAAACATATCAAATTTAAATTCTGGTGCCTTTAAAGTTTGCTTAGAGAAAATGAAAATACTACATGTTATTGTGTTTTATTTTTCTCAAATGGCTAAATGATTAGTGAGAAAAGTCCACTAACACTTTGAACACTGTGACATGAAAATACAGTTATGTGTTGCAGAATGAGGTTTTGGCCAACAACAGAGCATATTTATGATGGTGGTCTCATAAAGTTATAATATTGTATTTTTATTATACTTTTTCTCTGTTTAGATACATAAATACTTACCATTGTGTTACTATAACAATATACATACCCATGCGTTACCATTGTGTGCCTACTATATTCAGCACAGTAACATACTGTACAGGTTTGTAAGCTAGGAACAATAGGATAAACATAGGCTAGGTCTGTACTAGGCTATACCATCTAGGTTTGTGTAAGTACATTCTATGATGTTTGAACAATGACAGAATCATCTAAGGATGAATTTCTCAGAATCTATCACCATCTTTAAAAGACGCATGGCTGTATAATTAAACTTCCTTAATAAAATAAATGTGTTTTATTAATAGTAATAATACTATCAATTTTGATTTTACTTAACATTTTCTTTAAAGGGTCAAATTTCACCTGTATTAAAATTTCACTGCATTGTGATATACAGCACATAGCAAGAGGATAGCTTGTCTAGGAAATAAACATTCCTCAGTAGTACGTATCCATATCTGATACATGAAAAAGATTCCATATTTCTGGGATTTACTGATTTAATAGAGCAAGGAAACATGTTTTCATTAATTTTCCTCCATAGTTGTTCTACTGGGACATTTGAAATGGGTTTTCATCTAAACTGTGTCTTTCTGAATGGCACACCTCCCTTTATTTTCACATTGCACCCACTTCTGGTTTTGATTCAGGGTGTAGTGTCCTCCATAGGACCAGGTATCATTATCAGTGCTCATGGTTCTGTTGCTGTTGCCCTCCTCACTGATGTCTGGCTATACGTAGATGCTAGGGATGGGATGAGGTGGTAACTGTGAACAAGCTGGGGCCTGGCACCCAGGGTGAGGGGAGTGGAGTAGCCAGAGAGATTTTTTTCCCATTGGTAGTTTAAGGAAATTGTTTCAATAGGACTCTTGGGTCTCTGCCATTAGAAAGGATATGAGACTCCAAACCCAAGTTTGTCATGCTAATCCTTTCTTTATTTCCTTCCATATTGCCAGCCCATGATTGTCTCATTCTAATTTGGATGGTTCTATTGCAGTAGATATTTTTCTATTCATCTATGAAAAGAAAAAGACAAAGCTACATATTTGGGATTCAAATCAAAATGGGACAGTCCTTTTTCAGATACTTAAAATTTTTGAGAAACAAGAATCTAACTAGTATTACTAGAGCTTTATGACTATTTTTATTTGCACTTATCTATGTAAAGTTACAATTTAAACATAAAGAACTTAGATTTTTGATTAGCCCCTCTGTAAAATGTACAACATGTGAAATATAAGATAATTGGCCAGGTGCGGTGGCTCACGCCTGTAATCCCAGCACTTTGGGAGGCCAAGGTGGGTGGATCACGAGGTCAGGAGTTCGAGACCAACCTGGCCAACATGGTGTGGAACCCCGTCTCTACTAAAAATACAAAAATTAGCCGAGCATGGTGGCACGCGCCTATAATCCCAGCTACTCTGGAGGCTAAGGCAGGAGAATTGCTTGAACCCAGGAGGCAGAGGTTGCAGTGAGCCAAGATCGCGCCACTGCACTCCAGCCTGGGTGACAGAGCAAGACTCTGTCTCAAAAAAAAAAAAAAGAAAAGAAAAGAAATATACGATATCAGGGTCATTGAGGAAGATTTGAGTGGTTTTATCTTCTCTAGCTTTCCATTTAAAACAGCAAGTTTCCACTGAAAAATTGCAAGGGTTGCCACTAGGTTTCTACCTTGGAGGTTAAGGTTAGCATGTTGTATTCTGCAGATTTTTATATTCTCTGAGTGAGAGAAAAAAAGATGAGCCCTTGAAGCCAAAAGTAAGCAGAGATTTGCCAGAGTGGTTCTTCCACTAAGATTTTTATACCATGGGTTGGATCCTGTGGTTTCTAGTTTGTTTCTCCTGGTTTCTAAACTCCAGTGCCTCTGGCCTCCTTTATTTAAGTGAAATAGTACCACTCAGGTATGTATAATAAATGACCAACATTGATGAGATTCAGGTCTTTTAAGCCAAGGTATCAAAGAAGACAAGTAAATTGGTAATGTTCTGACATTTTTATTCTTAAGACATGAAGATTGGCTTTAAACCTTTTAGCAGGAAGAAATGATTAAGAAAGACAGGCTCTGCAGGTACTAAGAGAAAGTGGTATATTAGTGCTGTAGCTTCTGGCTACCTTATCAAATTACAGCATTAGATAAGCTTCTGCCTCCCAGTTGCCCACTCCCCCACATTACCAGGATTCCACAGTTGTTGGAAGCCAGGAGTGGGGAAGAAACTCTTCAAAGATTTCAAGAGGGAATCTATTCACGATTAGTCATTTTATTTGCAAACTGAAGGCACCAGAGTAAATAGCATAATCCTTGCTTAGAGGTAAAATAATATCTTTTTGATATCTCTCTGATCCTTATTACTGCCTTGAGAATTGGTGACTTACAGATGCTCCCAGTTTGGAGCTCCTATCGCAGTGCTTTGTGCTTCTAAAATGCTTCTGATAAATATTTGCTGCATTTGGGTACAATATGGTGTCTTGAATATGTATACATTGTGGAATGGCTAAATCGAGCTAATCAACATATCCATTACCTCACATACTTACCATTTTGTGTGCGTATGTGGTGAGAACACTTAAAATCTACTCTCTTAGCAATGTTCAACTATACAATACAGTGTTATTAACTAGAGTCACCTTCTTGTACAACAGATCCCTTAAACTGATTTTTCCTGTCTTACAGAAACTTTGTATCCTCTGACGAGTATCTCTCTAATCTGCTCCACCCCTTCCTGCCCCACCACCACTACTCATCTGGTAACCACCCTTCTACTCTCTGCTTCTATGAATTCACCTTTAGATTCCACATACAAGTGAGATCATGTGATATTTGTCTTTTTGTGCCTAGCTTATTTCACTTAATGTAACGTCCTCCACATGCATCTATGTTGTCACAAATGACAGGGTTTCTTTCCTTTTTTAAGGCTGAAGAGTATTCCACTGTGTATATTTACCACATTTTCTTTATCTTTTCATCCATTGATTTTGTAGCTAGGCTATTGTGAATAACGCTTCAATGAACATGGGAGTGCAGATTATCTCTCCAACATACTGATTTTATTTCCTTTTTGTATAGATCCAGTAAGTGGGATTGCTGGATTGTATGGTAGTTCTATTTTTAAAAATGTTTTAAATTGTAAATTGGCAATTTAAAATTGTGTATATTTATGGTGTACAAAGTGATGTTATGTTTTATTAATGCAATGTGGAATAATTAAATCAAGCTGGTTAACGTATCCATCATCTCAAATAATTAACTTTTTTTAGTGAGAACATTTGAAATTACTCTTAACAATTTTGAAATGTACAATACTCTATTATTAACTATATTCATCATGCTGTGCAATAGATCTCAAAAAATTCCTTTTAATTTTTTGAGAAACCTCCATACTGTTTTTCATAATGGCTATACTAATTTACATTCCCACCAACAGCATGCAAGGGTTCTCTTTTCTCCACATCCTTGCCAACACTTATCATTTGTCTTTTTATTAATAGCCATTCTAACAGGTGTGAGGTAATATCTCATTGTAGTTTTAATTTGCATTACCCTAATGATTTCAGTATAGCATTTAAAAATATAGCTATTGGCCATGTATGTCTTCTTTTGAGAAGTGTCTTTTCAGGTCCTTTCCCCATTTTTAAATTGGATTATTTGTTTTCTTGCTATTGAGTTGTTTGAGTTCCTTATATGCTTTGGATATTAACTCCTTCTCTGATGTATGGTTTACAAATGTTTTCTCCTATTCTGTATGCTGTCTTTTCACTCTGTTGATTGTTCCCTTTGCTGTGAAAATATTTTTAGTTTGACATAATCCCATTTCTCTATTTTTGCTTTTGTTGCCCGTGCTTTTGGGGTCATAGCCAGAAAGTATTGCCCAGACCAACAGCATGGAGCTTTTCTCCCATGTTTTCTTTGAGTAGTTTTACAGTTTCAGATCTTATATTTAAGCCTTTAATCCATTTTGAGTTTATTTTTCTATATAGTGTGAGATAATGATTTGATTTTATTCTTCTGCATGTGGATATCCAGTTTTCCCAACACCATTATTGAAGAGACTGTCCTTTCACCATTGTATGTTCTTGGTCACATTGTCAAAAATCCATTGACCAGTGTGAATTTATTTATGGACTTTCTATTTTGTTCCATTGGTCTAGCTGTCTATTTTTATGACAATGCCATGCTGTTTTGATTACTATGGCCTTGCAGTAGATTTTAAAATCAGGTAGTGTGATGCCTCCTGCTTTGTTCTTTTTGCTCAGGATTGCTTTGGCTATTTGGAGTCTTTTATGATTCCACATGAATTTTACAACTGTTTTTTCTAGTTCTGTGAAAAACAAATTTGGAAATTTTGTAGGGATTGACTTAAATCTATAGATCACTTTGGGTAATATGGACATTTTAACAATATTAATTCTTCTGATCCTTGAACACAGGGCTATTCTTCCATTTATTTGTGTCTTCTTCAATTTCTTTGGTCAATGTTTCATAGTTTTCAGTGTACACTTCTTTTACTTCCTTGGTTTAAGTTATTCCTAAACATTTTTTTTTGTCTTTCTGATGCTTTGTAAATCGGATTGTTTTATTGATTTCTTTTTCAGATAGTTTGTTGTTAGCATATAGAAACACCACTGATTTCTGTATGCTGATTTTAAATCTTGAAGTTTTATTGAGTTCTCTTACTAGTTTTCACAGTTTTTTGGTGGAGTCTTTAGGGTTTTTAATACGTAACATCATGTCTTCTGAAAAGAGACAATTTAATTTCTTCCTTTCTGATTTGGGTGTCTTTTATTTCTTTATCTCACCTACTTGCCTTGCCTAGGCCTTCTAGTACTATGTTCCCTTTCGTTTTGGACTGACAGTAGAGTCCAGGCCTCAACAATCTATAGAGGGAATGACAAATGTCTGTTATAAAGTCACACTTTGTTTTAACATTATGTAATTTTTATCATGGCATTGTTAAGTATCCAGAACTGACTTTTTCTTAAAAGTTTTGTCTAGAATTCCTAAAAATAACTATTACATTACTCCTACTTTACTGAAAAAAATTATTTGGTTAGTACTGTATTTGTTATGGGAATCTTCCTACACTTCAAGATGTTACTGTTACTATTACAGCTTAAGACTGAGATCTAATGATGAAGACTGAAAGAGTACCTGGATAGGCTGGGTGCGGTGGCTCACGCCTGTAATCCCAGCCCTTTGGGTGGCTGAGGTGGGTGGATCACAAGGTCAGGAGTTTGAGACCGGCCTGGCTAACACAGTGAAGCCCTGCCTCTACTAAAAATACAAAAATTAGCTGGGCATGGTGGTGCGCACCTGTAATCCCAGCTACTCGGGAGGCTGAGGCAGAAGAATTGCTTGAACCTAGAAGGCAGAAGTTTCAGTGAGCCGAGATCATGCCACTGTACTCCAGCCTGGGCAACAGAGTAAGACTGTCTTAAAAAAAAAAAGAATACCTGGATGATGGTGTTGATAAGAGAGTAACAAAGTGGACACTCTCATATCCTATTGATGAGAGTGTAAATTGGTACAACTTTTTTTGGAGGGTGATTAGGCAGAATCTATCAAAATTTAAAATAAGCATCTATATTGAACCAACATTTCACTCTCTAAAAATTATTTTGCAAAAGAAACTGTACAAACATATAAGAAAATGTATAAAAGAATGCTCATTGTAACATTATTTGTATTATAAAAACATGAAGGCAACCCAAATTTTATCAATAGGAGAATAGTTAAAATATATCATGGTGCAGCCATGGCATATAATGCAGCCATAAAAATGAATAAGAATGATGTGGGAAGATGCACACAATGTACTCATGAATAAAGAAAGAAAAGTAACTTAAAGAACAGCATGTACTTTGTTTCCATTGTTAGTTTGAAATATACATATGTGTATTGACAAAAGCCTGGAAGGACATAAGCTTACCTTTCCAATGACACCTGTGAAGTGGGTATGGAAAGTCTGAGGAGTAAATTTCACTTTTGAATTTATAACCTTGAATTACTTTATATTAAGTAGTTTTGTTTATTTTCAAAAATGTTTTTAGAATTTAATGAATAAATTTATTGGGAAGCTATAGTTTTAAACTCTCTAAAATAATTTGCCATAGGACATTCCATTTTAAGTAATAAAGAAATCAGCTAATAATTAAAATAAAGGACATTTTGATGATTGGATTCCAGATTAAAATGAGAAATATAAGACATTTGAATATCAGAACACAGTCCATCTAGAAAACATAAAAGTAATGTTTTTAATAATGATTTATCAATCTTTATTGATAAAAACAATCATATTTTTATCAATGATTTATCAAATCACAATCAATTTATGCATGTAGATTAGCTCCTGGGGTTAAACAAGCAGAAATTCACTTAGGTTACCTTTATAAAGAGGGTTTATTTGCGGGGGCTAAACAAACTGGAATTTAAACTGGGATTATAGAAATTGAGTTTCTGGAGACAGGCTTTTGTCCTCTGCTGTGTCAGCGTGCGTTTGTTTGGAAGTAAGAAAAAACCAATGAAACTGGCTTAAACAATAAAGGAGACTGAGAGGTTTAACTTAAAATAAAAAAGAAAAAATATAAGAGGCAAATCTACAATTTCATGAGACTTGATCCAGCAGGTCCAAAATACCACCAAAACCCAGTTTTTTTTTTTTTCTGTGTCTCTGCTATTCCTTCCATGGTATCAGCTTCATTCTAAGGTTAGCTAATTTCGTGATGCCAAAATGGTTACCAGTAGCTCTCAGAAATATACTTCCCTATGTGAGCTGGGAAGAGAGAGAGTATCTTTTCTAGCATTCCTGATGGAAGTCTTGATATGCAGTACGATTGCTTGAATAACATTAACAACCTTGAGCCAATCCTGTGGCCGGTTGACATATGAGTTTTTTGGCTTAGCCTGGGTCACTGTTTTGCCCTGGTAAAACATGGTGGTGTGGGTGGAATCACATACTCAAAATCACACGGCTGCCCAGACAAAAACTGGAGTTTCTGAGGAGAGAACTAATGCAGGGGAGGCAGACTAGGAGTGTTCACTGAGGTCTCCCAAAACATCTCTGCTTTTCCTCAGCCATCTGCTCCATTTCCCTGTCTCCACTGGCCTGTTTCTCCTGTTTATAATAATTTCCATTCCTTTATAACTTCAATTTATACTTGGCAATCATGGCCTCTCTCTGCTCACATCCCACTTCCACTTATCAAACTATGACTTTTCAGTTTAAGCTCTCATAGGGATGAAAAATTATTTTTGTCCTTTAAACTCTGTCGGACTAAAACAGAAAGTCCTATAGAGGGATGGAAAATTATTTTTATCTCTTAATTCATATCTGAAAACTGAGATTCTGATAGGTCCAGCTCATCTTTTTGAACAGGCCCCATGTATTGGCCAACTTGAGGATCAGTTGTCTTGAATTAGTCATCCACTCCTGTTCACATAATCTTTTTTTTTTTTTTCTTTTTTTTGAGACAGAGTCTTTCTCTTGTCGCCCAAGCTGGAGTGCAGTGGTGTGATCTCAGCTCACTACAAGCTCCACCTCCCAGGTTCACGCCATTCTCCTGCCTCAGCCTCCAAAGTAGCTGGAACTACAGGCGCCTGCCACCACGCCTGGCTAATTTTTTGTATTTTTAGTAGAGACGGGGTTTCACCGTGTTAGCCAGGATGGTCTCGATCTCTGGACCTCGTGATCCATCTGCCTTGGCCTCCCAAAGTGCTGGGATGACAGGTGTGAGCCACCGAGCCCAGCCTTTACTGTTCCTGTAATCTTTAAAAGAGGGGTGAGGTTTAGGAGAGTCTAGTCACATGATCCAAAGCATGGCAGCCTGGATGAGTGTCTTAGTCCATTAGTGCCACTATAACAAAATACCTGAGATTGGTAATTTATAAAGAGCAAAAATTTATTTCTCACAGTTCTGGAAGCTGGAAGTCCAGTCATGGTGCCAGCAGATTCAGTGGTTGCTCTCTGCTTTCAAGATGGCACCTTACTGTAGCATCCTCTTGAGGGGACAAACACTGTGTCATCACATGGCTGAAGGGCAGAAGGGCAAAAAGGCCTAGCCAGCACCCTCCAGCCCTTTTATAAGGCACTAATCCATTCATGAGGGAGGAGTCTTCATGACCTAATCACTTCCTAAAGGTCGCGCCTGTCAGTACTATTGTATTAGGATTTAGTTTCAACATGAATTTTGGAGGAACATAAACATTCAAACTACATCAAGCATCTATGAGGCAGGGCATTCCCTGTGGACAGGAACATTGATGAGGCACACCAAATCAAAGGTTGAGCAATCAAACGATGCTCCTTCTCACCTCTTGCTCTACAGGTATATGTCTATTTAAAAAGCAACCAAATTTTACATAAAAAGTATAATTTTACTCTTCAAGTTTCTTCCATAGCCTGTATCATATTTGTTTGCATATATTTAATTAGGAAAAAAATCTTTGTCTTTTGAAAGTAGGGTTGATTTTAGGAAATAGCTTGAAGTAATTTACAGACATTTCTGATTAAGGATAATGAAGATACGTATTATAAATTTGTCAAAAATGAGGTGTGACCATAAAAAAGAGAGACAAATTATCTTTTCTGGTTCATAAACTGACCCCGAAGGCAATTCCAGGAGGAGTTTTAAAAGTGTTTTGAGCAATGACAGCACATTAAATAAATGTATTATCCTCCTGAGGTGATTGCTTCATTTGAAGGACAAAATTCAGGTGTTTGTTCAGGCTGATGAGCATGTATGTGTGTGTGTCTGTGTGTGTGTGTGTCCTATTACATCATGATAAATCTTCATTCTATAGAAATGAGAGAAACACTGATCTGAATCTAAGTTCAGGAAGAGCTGATATTCAGTAGGTAGGCCTGGTACAGTGGTACTGGATTTTCATACCTGTGATCCATTCTTATTGAAACCAATGTATATTGGTTGATAAGTATTTTTAGTATTACCTTTGATTAGGGCTTCTACCATCACACTGACTTCCATTGATAAAAGGCGGAACTGAGGGACTACTCTGTAGGAAACATAAATACCACAGGAAAACTCAAAGGCAAAGGTAAGATCATGATCAATCCAGCAAAGGAGTACAAAGGGGGACTCCAGCTCCCTGTTGTGTCTGTTCTGTAGCCCCTAATATTGTTATAATCAACATACTTCCAGAAGACCTTGGATTTCTCAACATTTCCATTAAGAGGTACAGACAGTTGGCCGGGTGTGGTGGCTCACGCCTATAATCACAGCACTTTGGGAGGCTGAGGAGGGTAGATCACAAGGTCAGGAGATCGAGACCATCCTGGCCAACATGGTGAAACCCTGTCTCTACTAAAAACACAAAAATTAGCTGGGTGTGATGGAGTGCGCCTGTAGTCCCAGCCTGTAGTCCTAAGCCCAGGAGGCTGAGGCAGGAGAATCGCTAGAACCCAGGAGGCAGAGGTTGCAGTGAGCCGGGATCGTGCCACTGCACTCCAGCCTGGGCGACAGAGTGAGACTCCGTCTCAAAAAAAAAAAATTAAAATAAAGAGTTATAGACAGTTGAGAACCATTTAAACAGCATAGCATTCACCAATAAGCAATCAAGCAATGTCCACTCTGCTGATTTCTTCCTACCAAAACCCAAGGGTGTGGAAAGTGTAGCGTGATCCTCAGGGAACTTCTCCTCAGGGAATGAAGGTGTTTTACTTCTGGTGGGCGATATAGGGAAGAACTGGTTATTTGCCACAATTATCTAGAATGAGGCCTTCTTTCTTCCTCACACACCAATATCCACTCCCTCATGTATGCCTTTTCATTCTTCATGCATTAATATCAAGCAGAAAAGGAGGCTCAAATGTAATGTCATTTTATCTACAGGACACATGTAAGTGATGAGGTATTAGCATAATATGAGGAAAAAGATAAATTCAGACTGGAATTTGAATTCTGGCCCTGGTGCCTACTCGTTGTTGCTTGAGGAAAGCCCTTGGAAAGTTTTTAACTTCTTTCAACTTCGGTTTCCTCATCTGTACAAAATAGGCAATATTAAATGAGATAACACATGCAAAGCACTCTTAAAGTTTACCTTTTAGCTTTCCAGGTAAAACATAAGTAATAAAAAAAAGGCAGCTCTTTCACCCCACCTTAGGCCCCTGTGGAAGTTTGTTGTCTTCATTCATCAATATTTGTTTAGGTCCTTCTCTTTGTCAGAAACTCTGTTATCTTTGTCAAGGTAGTGGCAGATAATATGCTTTTACAACCCACTCCAATTTCACCTACATCAATTTTTACACTTCAACATTATCCCTAATATTAATTTCCACCTGCTTTTACCTGTATGAAAATATTGTAGTGGCTTTTCTCAGCAGTTAAACTTTCTATAAGGATGAGCTTGAGTCTAGAAGGAACATAGTTGTCATTGGAGTTGTATATGTTGTTACGAGCAGGGGAAGGAGGTAGCTACAGGACATTGAGACTGAATAACTTGGCATCCCAAGTTGATAGTTTATAATTGATCCAGGAGTCTCATTCTACACCTATCCTGAAGTCATTCTCTATGATCTATTGCTTAATGAAAGAAGAAATTAATTAATTAAGTATATGTGCAAGGAAGCCCTGGGGTTCCATTTTAATGTAAAATAAGTAGCTTACATCTTGTCAAGTGGTTTTAACAACGTAGTTCAACTACAGTCAAGGCAACCTTGAAAAGCATGGCCTAGGCCAGAGGTGAGTGTCTGAAGACTTTTCTTTTACCACCTAAACTGTTTCCTCTACCATCAGTTAATTATTGTAGACATGAGATCATGATCTGTAGTTCAATCACTTTTGGGGTCCATGATATCATTTAGATTCATGGCCATAGTTTCAATTCTGAACCCCTATTAGCCATTTTGTAAATCCTGTCACTGGTCACATGGCTATCCTTTCTCTTTTATAGTACTTGTCTCATTGCCTTGGTTTCATTTGTTTTCCTGGCTCCTTTATTTACCAACCTATTAACTTCTTGCATATGTGTAGTACTCGTTTTTCTAGAGCCTAGTACAGTGTTTAGATGATCAATAAATGTTTACTGAATGAATAAATTAATAAAAATCAAAAGAGAACAACAAAAAAAGCTATTCCTGCTTCAAGACATGATTATTAGACAGACCAGTAGTGTGAAAATCAACCAACTTTTCGTCACCTCCACTGATGAAGGATGATCTCCTTTACATGGGATTGGTTCTAGCTTCCTGTTTAGTTCTTCTGTTTCCAGGTGAAACTCTCAGAGGCCCGTTTTCATGCTGCCTTCTGTTTGTAGGGACCTCAGGTTATGCCTCCTACTCAGTGACACCATCTCATTAGTTTTGCAGAAAGGTGAGATTTACAACTTCTGTAGAAGTTTTCCTGTACAGACTAACAGGGAAGGAAGCTATAACTTCTTGAATTAGCACAACGTATTTGCCTTCCTTCCGGCTGCCATAAATTCTTAGGATGACACAGAATCAACAATTCAGATGATTATATCTGGCTTGTAAATTGTCCTCCAAATTGCCACCTTTTCCCCCTAACCTACACCTGGCGGACTAAGGTATGGGAATAGTTCTGACCTCTGGCCTTAGAGCCAAGGTTAATTGGCAGCAAGATCACATGACTAACCCACTCCTTTCAAGTCAAGCCTTAGGAATTCTACCAGATTATTTTTTCAGAAGTATTTGATTTTTTTTTTAACCACAAAGTTTTGTATTGACAAAACCTCTGTTACAAGACTTTGCCCAAAATTCTTCAAAAAATGTCCAAGCCACACTTAACTCTTTGGAAACTAGACTGTTTGACAAAGAATTTGCTAGTGATTGTTAGCAACAGGTAGATCACAACTGGCCTTGGGACACATGAAAATTGTACACATTGCACTCTGAATAGTAAATTACAATATATTTAGAAGACATATTTATAAGTTAACCCAGTTATGGTTAACAAACCATGAAGAAAATACATTTTATTTTTAGTTTCAAGATAGAAAAGAGGGTGGCAGGCTTTTGACTAGCATGCCTTAGGAAACAAGATGAGAAGCCAAAGTAAATCTTTCCATATTTGTATACATTTGAAAGAAGCAGGAGAATGTGAGCTCTCTTCAGGTTGACATCAAAAAGTGACTGTGAATGATTTATAATGCACGCAGAAAACATAGTTAACTTCTCAAAACCATTAGTTACCTTTATTTTGTCCTAGCTTAGAACCCTAGACAGGAAAACTCCATAATAAGCTTTTGGGGAGGGACAGATGTTGGCAATCATGCTTTCCAACAAGAGATTTCAGAGAAGTCACAAAACCAAAGAAACCATTTCCCTGGTTTCTTTCTGTTTGCTGGGCAAATATACAAAGCTTCTTGTCAATTTTACAGTCAATTATGGATACCAAACTGGAAAAAAAAAAAAAAGCAGTGAGACACAGGTGACACTTGAACAATTCTGAGAAGCACTCAGAAAAAGTAATGTCATTCATAGAGAAACTATGTGCTAAGCGCTGGTCAATTTTTTTTTCTGTCATCTATTTCTTCAGTTTCAGCAAACATTATGATGTCAATGAGAACTTACAAGTGCTGCTCCTTGGACAGGACTGGGATCTGAAGGAAGGAGTTTAGAGAGCTCGGTTCCTATTGGAGTGGCCCAGGCAAGTTGCTTCACTTCTCTGAACCTCAGTTGAGTCTAGAAAGTGTCTTCAATGCCCCAGTTCAGCTTAATATAGACCTTGGATTGTCATACTCTCTGCCTAGATTAAAAACATCTGAGGTAAGACATAGAAAGAAATAAAAAGTTTAACTCTTTGCCAGTTGAAGAAGAAAGGAAGGGAGGGAGGGAGGGAGGGAGGGAAGGAAGGAAGGAAGGAAGGAAGGCGGGAAGGAAGGAAGGAAAGAAAGAAAGGTGGGTTGCTAATTTATAGACTCCCTGGAGCTACACAGGGTACCTATTTTCCCAGCAATGATCCTAGCAAGGAAAGAGCAAAGAGACACTAGGGGCAGCTGAGCTCGCCTACCCTGCCTCTCACCTGAGCTCTCTCATTCTTATTTGGCAGGGAACCCTGAGGATCCATCTCCCATAACTGGACTTCAAAAAACTAACAGTCCTCAGAACAAGAATTACTGAAGAAAACAAAAACAAAAAAAATCCCCTAACAATCCAAGGCAAAGTCAGACAGGCCAAGTTCTGCTTCTTAACCCTTTGAATACTATGCATTTAAATACATGTATTTTCTCAAAGAAGAATGTTTGTTCACTGTAGCAGAGAAACATTCACCTCCACTGTTGTGTATAGATAGTGTTTTAATATGACTAAAATCTTTAGAAATTATTCTTTTATCTTTTTGTGATGTAGAAGTTTTTTGTTTGTTTTTTGAGACAGGGTCTCACCCTGTCACCCACACTGGAGTGTAGAGGCGCCATCTTGGCTCACTGCAACCTCTGCCTCCCGGCCTGAAGCTATCCTCCTGCCTCATCCTCCCGAGTAGCTGGGACTACAGGTGTGCGCAACCATGCCCAACTAATTTTGTAATTTTTTTTGTAGAGACAGGATTTCACCATTGTTGCCCAGGCTGATCTTGAACTTCCCAGCTTACATGATCCACCCACCAAAGCCTCCTAAAATGTTGGGATTACAGGCATGAGCCAACACACCCCATTTAGAAGTATTTTAAGTTTTAATTTTATTTATTTAAGAGACAGGGTCTTGCTCTGTTGCCCTGCCTGAAGTGCAGTGGGATGATCATAGCTCATTGTAACCTCGAACTCCTCGGCTCAAGTGATCCTCCTGCCTCAGCTTTCCTAATAGCTAGTGCTACAGGCGGGTGCCACCATACCCTGCTAATTGTTTTATTTTATTTTTTGAAAAGATAGGGTCTCGCTATGTTGCCCAAGCTTGTCTCAAACTCCTAGCCTCAAGTGGTTCTCCTGCCTTGGCCTCCCAAAGCATTGGGATTACAAGCATAAACCACTGCATCTGGCCAGAAGTTATTAAAAAAAAAAAATCTGACTAAACAGGGCTCACAGTTGAACAACTTTCAGTCATCTGGACTTGTCCCAAATAACATTCAGTCTTAGAAAAATAAGAGCAGAAAGATTTTAAGTCACTTGCTTAAGCACCCAAGCTGCTTCCTGTCAGAAGCCAGGGGCATCTTTTGCCCTGTTTGCGTGTGTGTTTGCTCTTTTTAAGGTGAGAGCAGCCATTAGGAAGTCTTTCCTCAAGCCAGTATTACATCAGGGCTGCAGTATAAATCAGGTAAACTCAACATGGTTTTTGGCAGAGTTTTTTTTTTTTTGCACCTAGGGAAAGAAGTGAAGGCCAGGATTTTTGTATAGTTCAACTCTTTGTGTTGTCCCCAGATACATCCTCCTTTCCTCCCTCCCTAGTAGCTAACTTTTCCATTTTGTAAAGCATGTGTTTCTTGGCAACAGACTCCTTTCCTGATTTAAGAGTTAGAGCATGCAACCCACGTCAGGCCAATGAATGCATTTTCTCTACCAACCTCAGTGAATCCAGAGGGGCCCTGTGACCAAAGCTGCTCCCATCAGAGGAATATCAGGACTCATTAGCAATACTGAAATAATGCTTTTTTCCTTCTTGGCTGTGAGAAGCACATAGCTCCAGGAAGTTGGTGCTGTCATTTGAGCACCACGGTAGGAGTCATCTTTAGGATGAAGTGATAGCCCGGAAGGCAGAGCAAAGAAAAAGAAAGAACTAGACACTTGGTGACAATGTTGGGTGGCTGGATCAAGCCTCATTTGATACTTCTGGATTTTTCACCTACAGAAGGCCTTATATCCCTTTTTATTGTTTAAATCATTTGGAATTGTGTTTTCTTTAAGTGCAGTTGAATGAATTCCAACTGAGAGAGGAATAATGGGAGAGCAGAGTGATTATAGGATAAAGGTGGGGCCTGGGAGCCAACTGTCGATTTAACATGAACCTGAGAGTAACCGGGCATATCTCCTCCACCCGGGGGCAGATATCCTAAACCCTTACTCTCAGAGATCAACACGGAGTCTCTGAAATCTTTACCCTCATAAAAATGAGGGTAAATATTTCTTTGTTTTTGTTATATTGAGATGATTAAATCTAATATTTTTGTGGGAAAGAGAGATACCTCAGTTCACTGGTGTGGTATGTCTGCACAAGTGCTGATGGAGAAGGCATGGTTAGCTGGCGAAAATATATGCCATTGGCCTCCTTCCTCACAGCATGAATGCGTGAAATCTCAACGGGCAGCAGAGAAGAAGTATAGAAGGCAACTGCCTTGGCCAGAGGTTTCAGGTCAACCACTCGGGGATCTGAATTACACTGCAGAGTTGAGTAGAAATTAGTGTGTGGAATAAAAATGTTTAAAAGTTATATTTAAAGATAAATAGTTATCTTAAAAACTCTCTGACTGGAGAGGTTTTTAAAAAGACAAGGGTTAAAACGTCACGGCCTGTGTCAGGTATCTAAAACAATGTCTTCTCCCCTTTTCTGAGGGAAGGGTCTGCCATGGTGATTTAAGCAGAGAGAAAGCAGGGACCTGTGGCCTGAGAGGAGCCTGAGAAATGACGGGGAGCATTCCTAGGGATGCAGAAATGCAGAACGCAATGCCTTCGTCGACGTCTCTGAAACCTGGTGGGATCGAGTTCATAACCAGTATGGGAGCAGTCCTACCAGGGCATTAGAATTCAAGAGAGCTAATTTGGGGGAATTAAAAAAAAAAATCTAGTGAGTATGGTATTGAAGTAGGGAATACTAAAGCCCAGGAGAAGGGCAGGCTGCTGGAATATCCACCATAATTAAAGCAGATTACAATTGCTCTGAGAAAAGAGGGACGCAAAGAGTTAGAATATCCAGTGCGCCCGTCGAGACTGATGGGACGGAGGCTCTGTAATGGCAGTGAGGAAATTGGGAGGGAACCCTACAGAAATTTTTCATAATACCTATTCTTTTTTTTTTTTAAAGAGGAAATGATAATTATGACAAAAACCAGAATGGAAAAGCTGAATAAAGTAGCTACGTGAAAGGAGAGGCATTTGTGTCTCATATGGGGGAGCAAAGCAAGCAAGGCCACTAATACAAATCAGAATATTTGCAGCAATAATCTGTTTTTAAACTCTTTTAAAATGAGCGGCAGGGAAAAAAAAGGAAACTTAGAAAAAAAATACTGACACCTCTGTTAAAGTCACAAAGCAGAAAAAAATAATTTTGAGCAGGTACACTGACATATTTGGAAATCAACAGATCTACATGACAGACACAGGGTAGCTGTTAAAGAAGACAGATGACAAATTTAGACCCAACAATTTTTTTCTCTCCCTTCGGAGTGGGAAAGGGAGTGTGGAGTTGAATCTGTTTGATACTTTTCCTTCCTTTTAATTCTATTTTTTTTAAAGGAACTACATCAGAAAGTTACCAGTACATTCTATAGTAATTAAAATAAAGTAAAGCAAAACAGACTCATTGAGCCATAAATGAAAACTGAGGAATGTTAACAAGCAAGCGGAAGTGTGATATGTGAAAAGAAGGTAGTGGCTATTAACAGGACTACAGAAATAAACCTGGAAAATATCCCTTGAAAAGCCTGACGATACCACTTTAATAAAATTAAAAATTGTCCGACTCTATTTGACACATCTGTGAGCATGACAGCAGCACCACTCACAGAAATAGCTGTACAGCAGATAGTCCTGGGCAGGTCCACCGGATGGCCTGTGAATTAAGTATATATGTCAATCAGCTGGCATCTCATATTTATGGAACATTCATGATGTGCAGAGCATTAGTTAACCCTTATGGGCAATTTCTACCTCCAAGAAGTATGAGGCTACTTGAAAACAAAGTAACACATGTATAAAAATAGTTACTAGCATAAAGCAGTATAGGCTTACTGCACATTAGGCTCAGGAGAACGCAGCACAGCTGGGACCTGAGTTTAGAATTCAGATACAGAAGACTACACAATTCTAGGCCAGAGTAGAAAGGCAGAATTATCCAACATTATTTTTTTAAAGGTGGAGTTAGGAGAGGGCAATTAAGTTTATCAGTCTACTTGGAGTAGAAGAATTCAAAAGTGGGAACTGAGATTTCACCAAAAATAAGAAATTAATTGAGAATGGATTATAAACCTGAAAGTGAAATGCAAAATAATAAAACATCTAGAAGAAAACATAAGAAAACATTGACATATTGCCATGATCTTGGGGAAAGATTTTTTAAACAAGATACAATAAAGCACTAAACATAAAACATACATTAATTGAACTACATTAAAATTAAGAACTTCTCAATCAAAAGCAGCCATTAAGACAGTAAAAAAGCAAGCCATAGACTGAGAGAATGTATTTGCTATCTAGCTACATATCTACACATATACATGTCATATATATACACATGTATTAACACGTCATATATATACACATATCTACATATCTACACATATACATGTCATATATATACACATGTATTTTTATATATGTACATGTATTTGGAAATGTATGTAAAATATCTGGCAAATAACTTATATATAGAATATATAAAAAGCTTCCATTAAAAAAAAGAAAAAGAAAGTTGCCAAATTAAAAAAAAATGGGCAAAAGACTTGAACAAGTACTTCATAAAAAATGACATCCAAGTGGCTAATAAGCATGGGAAAAGGTGATCAATGCAATTAGCAGAAAAATGAAAATTAAAATCATAATGAGATGTTACTACACACCTACTGATATGGGAGGTGGGCAGGGAAGTGCTGGGTAGAAAGAGGCAGTTCCCTGGCTAGGGCTCCACTCCCATGGACCTAGGTGAGGACAGGCACTCCTGCTTTCACACCCAAATGTTGCATTTTCCAAGACCATCCTGGCCTACCACACCCCTATCCTATGTCTATAAAAACCCGAGACCTGGCCGGGCGCGGTGACTCATGCCTGTAATCCCAGCACTTTGGGAGGCCAAGGCAGGTGGATCACGAGGTCAAGAGATTGAGACCATCCTGGCCAACATGGTGAAACCCCGTTTCTACTAAAAATTAGTGGGGCATGGTGGTGCGGCCTGTGATCCCAGCTACTTGGGAGGCTGAGGGGGGAGAATTGCTTGAACCTGGGAGACGGAGGTTGCAGTGAGCCGAGATCCTGCCACTGCACTCCAGCCTGGCGACAGAGCGAGACTCCATCAAAAAACAAACAAACAAACAAAAAAAAACCTGAGCCCCTAGCAGGCAGACACACAGGCAGCCACAGGGCAAGAGGAGTACATCAGTGGAAGAAGACACAAGCAGCTCGTTGGCGAGAGGATGATGTAGGAGCACACTGGCAGAAGAGCACGCCACAGGTGCCAGGCGCAGGCAGGCCATCGACTGACGGGAGGAGGCGGAGTTTGGCCTGAGCAATCGGAGGAGAGCCTGGGCACTGAGCAGTGCAACTCCAGGGAAAAGACCATCTCCCTTCTGTCTCCCCCATCAGCAAGGATTATTTCCACTCAATTAAACTTTGCACTCATTCTCCAAGCCCATGTGTGATACGATTCTTCCAGTACACCAAGGCAGGAACCCAGGATATAGAAAGCCCTCTGTCCTTGAGACGAGGTAATGGGTCTAATTGAGCTGGTTAACACAAGCTGCCTATAGATGGCAAACTAAGAGAGTACCCTGTAACACATGCCCACTGGGCTTCACCTGTAAACATTCACCCCTAGACATTGCTGCCAGGTTGGAGCCCCACAGCCTCCCTGTCTGTATGCTCCGCTAGAGGTCTGAGTAGCAGGGCACTGAAGAAGCAAGCCACACCCCCATCACATGCCCTGCAAGGGGGACAAGGGAACCTTTCCTGTTTCACTACCAGAATGGTGAAAATTGAAAGGACTTACAATACCAAGTGTTGGCAAAGATGTGGAACAAATGGAATTCTATGTATTACTTGCTGGTTGGAGTAAAAATTTCTTAAACTCCTTTGGAAACTATTTGGTAGCTTCTATAAAGCCAAACATTTATACACTCTACCAGAAATTCTACTTCTAGGAATACACCCAACAGAAATGAGTGCTTATGTTCACACACACACACACACACAATGTGTACAGAAATATTCATAGCAGTTTTTTTATAGTGCCCCCCAAAGAGGAAACCATTTGTTCATAAATTAAAAAATATAAGTAAATTATGATATATACAAAAGATAGAGCACTGTGAGTATTGAAAAAGAACAGCTCTACATAATGGTATCTTATTATGCCCAGTGAATAACGGAAGCCAGGCATAAGGGTACATGTTGCATAACTGCATTCATATGAAATTGAAAACAGGAAAAACCAATCCATGTTGATTATGGTTAGAATAGTGGTCACCTTTGGGAGTATAGTCTGAAAGGGGAATGAGAGCTTTCTGGGGGATTGGTAATGTTGCGTAACTTGGATTCAGTAATGGTTTCTTGGGTGACTGCATATGTAAAACATTTACTAATCTTTACACTTAAGATTTGTCCCCTTAATTGTATGTAATTCACACCTCAATTTAAATGGAGGTATCAGAAAAAACAATTGAAGAGGACATTAAAAGAGAAAAAATATAAATATTTATTCTTTCTTACCTCCCTTCAGGATTTAGGAGTCAGATTATGGAGAGTATCTAATCACAGGATGAGGAAGCTGATTCTGTTTTGTTGGCAATAATAAGCTGTTGCAAACTTTTTGGGCAAAGTTGATATTTTAGGAAGATTAACTTTATATACAAATATGGAGAAAATATTGGAAAAGAGAGAGAATGAAAGGGAACAAAGAAAGTCATTAAGAAGCAGTTATCGGCCGGGCGTGGTGGCTCACACCTGTAATCCCAGCACCTTGGGTGGATCATGAGGTCAGGAGTTTGAGACCAGCCTGGCCAATATGGTGAAACCTGTCTCTGCTAAAAATACAAAAAATTAACCAAGCGTGGTGGTGGGTGCCTATAGTCCCAGCTACTCGGGAGGCTGAGGCAGGAGAATGGCATGAACCCGGGAGGCGGAGCTTGCAGTGAGCTGAGATCACGCCACTGCATTCCAGCCTGGGTGACAGAGTGAGACTCCATCTAAAAAACAAACAAACAAACAAACAAAAAACCCCACAAAAATTAGCCGGGTGTGATGGCGTGCGCCTGAAGTCCAGCTACTTGGGAGGCTGAGGCAGAAGAACCGCTTGAACCCCGGAGGCAGAGGTTGCAGTGAGCCGACATCACACTACTGCACTCCAGCCTGGGCAACAGAGCAAGACTCTGTCTCAAGAAAAAAAAAAAAAAGAAGCCATTATGAAAATCCAGCAAGAGTGCAATCATGTGTACACTGTACAGGAAACAGTCTGTTTTCCCAGCTTAGGGTACAATAATAAATGAATTTTAATTTTTCAATAGATCAATTGAGATCCCATTTACATGTATTTTTAGGAATTGTAGTATTTCACTTTTGAGGTTCACCGATTCTGAATTGTCCAGGAACTCTGAGGAATTGCACTGTTCAAAGGACGGCAGAACTGTATCACACTTCAGCCGCTAAGCGTCGCTGCTGAAGACTGGTTCTGCACTTGCAGGGATGCAGTGGGGCATGCATGCCTTCCCTGGGGAAGCAAAGTAATAAATTTTTAATTCAGTTTCATTTGGTTAAGCCATTTTTTCTTCAAACCTCAACACTGTTCCATGGTGGCTGGATCCAGATGCGCTTCCGGACTCAGGCATAGGTTGTGCTGGAATCAGTTCTCCAATCCAACCCTTAGGTGATTGTGTTGAGTTCAAGTCATGGACCAGGCCCTGTACCCACTGGTAGGTATTTCTTTAGGGGCTTTTGAGACCTCTCCTGTCAGTAGACCTTGGACAGAGCAACTGCAGTTGGACATGACAGCTACCTATCAACTTGAATGTTAGAGAACCTGAGAGCTTTGATCTCCTTATAAAAATTGCTTAACTCTGCTTCCAGAACTTTCTATACTTAAGGACCTCACATGGTACCATCTTTGCACTATCTTTTTCAAGCCACTCTACAGTTTTGCTATGGGCCTTTCCCTATGGTAATACATCTTCACCTTCCTCCTCACACGTTGTTAACAAGAGGGGTCCATTCAGGTGAAGCCTATCATAATGATAAAAATCGGCCCCAAGGCTGGGTGTGGTGGCTTATGCCTGTAATCCCAGCACTTCGGGAGGCCAAAGCGGGCAGATCACCTGAGGTTGGGAGTTTGACACCAGCCTGACCAACATGGAGAAACCCTGTCTCTACTAAAAATACAAAATTAGCTGGGCATGGTGGCGCATGCCTGTAATCCCAGCTACTCAGGAGGCTAAGGCAGGAGAATCGCTTGAACCTGGGAGGCGGAGGTTGCGGTGAGCCGAGATCGTGCCATTGCACTCCAGCCTGGGCAACAAGAATGAAATTCCGTCTCAAAAAGAAAAAAAAAAAAATCTGCCCCAAAGCTATTTGATGTTTTCATTCGTGGGCAGAGAAACAGCTGAAATCATTTCTAAAATTACACCTTATCAGGTAAGTAGAGCATTATATAAATAGCCTTTGCTAAAAAAAAAAAGATAAAAAATTTAAAAAATGGAAAATCAAACAACCTAAGTTCATTTGCATCTATTTAGTATATGATGATTAAAAATTCTTATGCATCATATGCTAAAACAATAGCCGGCCTATTTTCTATAAAGAAAAATTAAACTAGAATTTATGACTATTTAAAGGGGCTAAAATAAAAATGAAATAAGCAATTAAATTAACATGTGTAGATGGTTTAGTGGGATAAAAAGTAGACTTGGGGCCGGGCGCGGTTGTTCATGCCTGTAATCCCAGCACTTTGGGAGGCCGAGGAGGGCGGATCACAAGGTCAGGAGATCCAGACCATCCTGGCTAACATAGTGAAACCGTGTCTCTACTAAAAATACAAAAAAATTAGCCAGGCGTGGTGGCAGGCGCCTGTAATCCCAGCTACTCGGGAGGCTGAAGCAGGAGAATGGCATGAATCCGGGAGGCAGAGCTTGCAGTGAGCCGAGACAGGCCACTGCACTCAAGCCTGGGCGACAGAGCAAGACTCCGTCCCCCCCCAAAAAAATATAAAGAAATAAAATAAAATAAATTTAAAAATAAAAAATGAAAGGAGACTTGGAACTCGAAAAACTGAGTTCAAATCATGTTTCTGCTATTTATTAGCTGTGTGAGCTTATTAGTTTATTAATTTCTCTGAGCCTGTTTTAAAACATGAAAAGTAAAACATCTTCAAAAAGTTGGTGTGAGACCATTATGAAGGCATCTAGCACACAGCTAGTCCAATAGGAAAACGTCAGTGAGTAATTTTTTTTTTTTTTTTTGAGACAGAGTCTTGCTCTGTCGCCCAGGCTGGAGTGCAGCGGCACAATCTCGGCTCACTGCACCCTCTACCCGCCCCCCCTCCCCACCCCCCGGCCTCTCCCCCAGGCTCAAGTGATTCTTCTGCCTCAGCCTCCTGAATAGCTGGGATTACAGACATGCGCCATCACGCCCGGCTAACTTTTGTATTTTCATCAGAGACAGGGTTTCGCCATGTTGGCCAGGCTGGTCTTGAACTCCTGATCTCAGATCTGCCCGCTTTGGCCTCCCAAAGTGCTGGGAATATAGGCGTGAGCCACCGCGCCCGGCCAGTCAGTGTTTCTAAACTAAAACCTGACGGGGGGTGGGAGAGGAAGTTTTTTAACAGATGGGTTTCAAGGTGAGTAGTAAATCCTTATTTGTTTATTCATTTGCCTTCATTAGTAATTTGGAAAATGAAGCAAACCAGATAAAAGTGACAGTAAATTGCGAAGTAAATTGTGGGATAAATTGTAAGGTATAGTTTTAAAAGAACATAAAATGCTTGAAATAGGTGGTCATTTTCTTAGGCCTATCATAGGTAAATTTGATGAGGTGGAAGAAAATGCCTCAGAAACTATTCGAAACAAACCTATAGTCCTTGGAACTCAGTGTAGGAGTCAGAAATCTGTATATCTTAAAAGGCTGGGCTACCATATTTGCATCCACTTCAACACTATAAGGAAAAGGAAAACACAGACTGGATTCAGAGTAGAACCATTCCAAATGGTTAATGGAAAGAATTTACCATGAAGAGATTAGCGTCTGTGCAATTGTGTTGAATGATGGCAGGGGTCTCGGTTTGGTATTTGGCAAAGGTCTTCAAGTGTCTGGGATGAGGAAAAAGAAAATTAACTGAGGACAGGAATAAAATTAACCTGGTAGAAAATAGCATTATTAAGAAAAAAGAACTAAACTTTGGCTATGTAACACTTAGGCTGGATTATAGGGAACAAAAACGACCTTTCTGACAGTGGGAACCTCATTTAGGAGTAAAATAACATTAAATGGAAAAATAACCCATGAAAAGGTGAATAATTGTCATCTCCCAGAAGATTTTGAAATTATTTTCTGCCAAATGGAAATTGGGAAGTCTTCTTATCTATGAAGCTGACTCCCTGCTGTACTCTATCTCGGCCAATGCTTTAACCCTACTGGGATCTCCGATCCATCGATCCATCTTTTTAGTGTCCCTTTACTCTTGGTGACCTGACTTCCTTCACTTTCTAGCTTAAATTCCAACTTCAGTTCCTATAATCATTCCCTGGCTTATGGATCTACCTCTCTTGCCCATCTCTAGTATCTCTCCTATAGTCAAAGTGACCTTTTTTAAAACTTAAGTGAGGAAAGTCAATTCCTTGCTCAAATATTCTAGTAGTTCCCCCATTGGCTTTTAGAAATATATATAAAAATGTCAGTAGCTACAACACAGAATGCTAAACTTGGTATTTTCACATTAACTTAGCATCCTCACATGGGAGTGAGTGCTCTCCTCTTAGGAGTTTTCTAGCAGAGGCAAATAAAAAATTTCTTTAGAGGAAGGCACCTTCACTTTGGAGTTTTGTTATTTCCATAGATGAAATCACATAAATATGAGCCCATAATTTACTAAAAAAACCCTCCAAACATACAAGGAAACAAACCACCATGAATGGACATCAGTTGAAACAACAAAGATCCAGACTCACAAAGACTTCATATATTAACTTGGTACACATAAAATATAAAATAAATACACATATAATGTTTAAGAAAATAAGAGGGCATAAAAGTAAGTAACTTTCCAAGAAACCTTAAAAAAATCCTTGAAAGTTTTGGGAGGGGGGAGAAAGCCCAAACTGAATATGTATGGATAAAAATATTGCAATTAGAAACAGATACTAATGGAGATAAAATGTATAAACTGAAAGGTAGATCTGAATAAATTATAAAGAATGCCACCCAGAGAGCTTTGTCACCCAGAGAGACAAGAAGATAGAAAATAGGAAGGAGAATGTAAGAGTCATTGAATACAAAATGAGGAGTTCTAACAGACATCTAGTAAGAGTTATAAAGAAAAACAGGGCGATTAAGAGGGTTGTAATAACCGGAGTCTACAGCTCAGAATTTCCTGAAACTGACAAAATAGAAGAATCCACAGACAAAACAAACACAATTTTGCCAAGCCACTATAACTAAGACATCCACAACTAGACACATTACAGTGTATCTGCAGATCACTGGAGACAAAGAGAAAACATCTTAGCAGCAGCCAGACAGAAAAGGTGACTTGCAAAGCAATGACAATTTTACCCACAACAGACTTTGCATCAGTGATAATGGACACAACAAAAAATAGGAAAAAAAAAAATCCGTGTGTTGAAAGATAATCCACCTAGAATTGTGTACCTAACAAAATATCTTTTAAAAAATGAGGAGAAGCCAGGCGCGGTGGCTCACGCCTGTAATCCCAGCACTTTGGGAGGCCGAGGTGGGCAGATCACAAGGTCAGGAGATCAAGACCATCCTGGCTAACATGGTGAAACCCCATCTCTACTAAAAATACAAAAAAAAAATTAGCTGGCCATGGTGGCAGGCACCTGTAGTCACAGCTACTCTGGAGGCTGAGGCAGGAGAATGGCGTGAACCTGGGAGGCGGAGTTTGCAGTGAGCTGAGATCCAGCCGATGCACTTCTGCCTGGGCAACAGAGTGAGACTCTGTCTTAAAAAAAAAAAAAAAAAGAGGAGCACATACAAAATTTTTAGGATACACAAAAGTTTTTTAATCATATGTATAACTTAGCTAATCTTCATTAAAGGAACTTCTGACTAAGGGACTTAAAAATGAATGGTTGCAATGTGAAGTATAAAGATATACGAACGGCTTATTAAACTCAGAGATACTTAAAAAATTATGCTGTCTATATAAAATAATTTTAAAATAAGGTTTAATTTACAGAGCTTAAAAAAGATGGGATTAAAATGCTGGGCAATACTAGCCTATAAATTAGGAGTGGGGTGGGTCATAGTAAAAGAGTTCTAAGACCTTCCTATTATTCAGGATAAGACATTACTAAAACTTACACTTTTGGTAAGTTAGCATACATAGTGAAAATTTCAAGAGTGACCTCTAAATTATAGAAATAGAATGCATAACATTGAAACCAGTAAAAGGTATAATGTAATATTATAACAAATTCTCAATTACAAGAAACAAGGAAAAAAGCAAGAAAGAGACAGAATGGTAGAAACAAATATAAAAGTATCATTACTTATAAAAAATAAAAATAGACAATATGTGCACATTAAATCAGAGTTTGTCATATTGGATAAAGATACAATCCAGTGATATACTGTTACAAGAGACACAACCAAAGTTGAAAGACATAGAAAGGTTTAAATTAAAAGCATGAAAAAATAATAGGCAAATGCTAACCACAATAAACATGGGGTGACTGTATTAAACCAAACAAAATAGGCTTTAAGATAAAAAAGAAGCATTCCTGGGAGGATTACTTACATAATTATAATAATTTCAATTCACCAGGAATATATAACTATTCCAAGTGTGAGCTGACTAGTAAAATAGCCCTAAAAACATGAAAAGGAATAATTATAGAGTTATAAGGGGGAAAGTACAAAATCACAGTTGCAGCAGCAGATTGTAACAGGCTTAACAATTTAACTCCCTTAATTATTGATAAATCAATAGACAACACATTAGTAAAGATATAGAAGAATTTAGCTCTGTTTTTAGCAAGTAAAATAAAATGGACTTCTGTAGAATCACCTCAAAATAGACAATACATATTATATTCAAACACATATGTGATCCTTATAAATTTACCACCATATTAATACATACAGCGAGTCACAACAAATTTCTAAGAATTGGTATTACATAGATCATATTGTTTAACTGGAGTGCAATTAAATTAGAGGCCAATAATAAAGATAAATGAAAATTCCGACATTTTTAAAAATTAAAAACACCTCTAAATTACTCATGGATCAAAGCAAACATCATAATGAAAATATAAAACTTATAACTAAGTGATGATAACATTACCTATCAAAACTTATGTGATGTGGTTGAAAACAGGCTGTGAAGGCCATTTATAGCCTAAAATGGTTACATTAGAAAAGAAGAAAGGCTAAAAAAAAATGAATGAGTTAAGTATCATACTGAATAATCTAGACCAGTTGTTTTCAAATGTTTGCCTGAAGACCATGTGATACTCTTAAAAATTATCAAGGGCCCCAGCTGGACATGGTGGTTCATGCCTGTAATCCCAGGACTTTGGGAGGCCGATACGGGCAGATCATGAGGTCAAGAGTTCGAGACCATCCTGGCCAACATGGTGAAACCCAGTCTCTAATAAAAATACAAAAATTAGCCAGGCATGGTGGTGCGTGCCTATAATCCTAGCTACTTGAGAGGCTGAGGCAGGAGAATTGCTTGAACCTGGGAGGTGGAGGTTGCAGTAAGCCGAGATCAAACCATTGCACTCCAGCTCTGGGGGACAAAGCAAGACTCTGTCTTGGGGAAAAAAAAAATTATCAAGGGCACCAAAGAGCTTTTATTTATGTGAGTTATAACTGTCATACAGAGGTAGAACTTTAAAATTTAAGACATTTATTGATTCATTTAAAAATAATAACAAACCTATTTTATGTTAACCGTATGTTTTAATAAAAATATTCTCCCAAACGAATTTAGTGATAAGCATATAATTATTTTACATTATTGCAAATTTCTTTAATGTCTACCTTAATAGAAGAGAATTGGATTCTCATATCTGCTTCTACATCTAATGTCGTATAATATGTTAGTTTGGTTGAAGTATATGAAGAATACCTGGCCTCACACAGACATGTACTGGGAAAGGGAGAGTATTTTCATAGCCTTTTCATATAATTGTGAATATTATTCTTTGATACTATATCAAATCTCCACTAATGGTAATCTCTTAAAGGTTAATTGCAATGTGGAATCTGAAACCACATCAATGAATGTTTCATAATCTGTTACATTAAGATCTATGGGTATGTCTTGCACTTTGAATGAATCTTTTACCCATGCATAATTTTGTAATATCATTTATTGATCATCTAAAAATATTCATACACCAAGTAACACAGATCTCCTGAATGTTTACATATTTCATTGTATTATATGGAAAAACACTTGTTAATTTCACCACCGATTTCATCAAAATGGCGTTTAAGCATTGGGAAGCTGTTAAACTCACAGTGACAGATATTCTAATTTTTATGTGAAAGCTCAAATTTTAACACTTGTAATAAGTATTTTCAACGTTTTCCTTGAAGTGACAGTCTCATTTCATTCATTTTTGAGAAAATGCCTGACAAATACCCAAAGCTAGGTACTCGTAGTTTGCCTAGTTCTTTCAAGTAAAAATGCTGTCCTGTGATGAAAATGGCTAGTTCAGCTTGCAACTCCAACAATCATGTAAGTTCTTTTTTTTGAGAAAGGCATCATACTTTAAAATACAGCAGAATTGCTTTATGTGTAAATTCCAGTTCATTAGACAGCATACTAAGAAAATATGTAATCAAGGATCAAGTTTTAATAAAATTAAATAGTTTTTACTGTTTCATTAAAGAAATTCCTAAGTGAACTGACATACATTTTTATAGTGAGGGTGCAGTGATGGAAATACCATCACTGCCTTGATTTGTGCTAAAGTGCCAGTGATTTTATCCACCCTAGTTTTTGCACTGCAGTTCAATGTAACATGGTAAGAAAGTAACATCCTAGCATTGTAATGAAAATAGTTTTGATTTTACTTCCTAAAAAGTTCCTAGGGACCCCTCAGAAGTTTATAGACCACGTATTGAGAATCCAAGAGTCAGTAAACTGGCTCAAGCCAAGAGTCAAATCTTGCTCCTGTTTTTGTAAATAAAGTTTTATTGGAACACACCATGCCCATTCATGTACATTTTGTCTATGGTTGCTTTCATGCTACAATGGCATGAGCCTATTACTTGTAACAGACACTGTATGGTCCACAAAGCCTAAAATATTGACTACTTGGTCCTTCACAGAAAAGTGTGCCAATGTCTGAATTAGGCTGTATCAACAGAATAAATCCAACAAATGTACTTGAAGGAGACAATGAAGATCAGAAGTTAATGTAAAAAGAAAATGGCATGTGATAGAAAGGATGAATAAAGACAAATGCTAGTTCTTCAAGAAGACTAATGAAATACAAAAATCTCTGACAAGATTGACTAAAAAAAGTTAAAGGATACTTATAAGCAATAATTATAATCATAAAAGGGGGCTAAAAACATGTCAAAGATTTACAACATAAGAGAAAAATATAAAAAATTTTATGCTATTTTTAAACTAAACACAGAAATGATAAATATCAAGAAAAATCTGAATTACAAAATCGGACAAAAAAATAAACAATTATTCATTGCACATTTAGTTAAAAATCTTACCTTGAAAAAACTAGGGACCAATGGTTTCAGGCAAGTTCTGTAGAATATTCAAAGGATGGATTATTTCAATCTTATAAATTTTTCTAGAAAACAGAATAAAAGGAATATATAATGCTAGTATTTAATCTAATTTAAAAAATAGGTAAGGACAAAATAACAAAGGTAAATTACAGTCTAGTTCCACTTATGAGTTTGACTATCCTAAACAAAGTATTAGAAAACTGCATATACTAGTATATAAGAAAGAATAATTCAGCATGACCAAGTTTAGTTTATCCAAGTAATTCAAAGAAAGTTTAGAAACTTGATCAATATAATTACTCCAGTAATAGATCAAAGGTGAACAACCAATATTAATTTTTTTAATAGATGCAGAAAAAGCACTTGGTAAAATTCAACACTCATGATTTAAAATGCCAACAAAACCCTTAGCGATCAGGAAAAAGGAAAAGTTGCCCACTATTACCAGTTCTATTCCACATTCTATTTCACATTCCACATAGCCAGTGCAATAATCCCTTCCCCTTACAAAAGTTAGCAAAATTAAGAACTGACATTATTCTCAATTTATTATTTTCTACATAGGAAATATAAAATAATCTTATGGAGATATTTGGAATTAATATCAGAGTTTGGCAAGATTGCTGAATATACAAGCAATATAGCATTACAATCGATACATAAAAATAAATTACTATGTACACCTTGACAACAAAACAGAAAACATACTTTCTCTCTCTCTGTCTCTCTCTCTCTATATGTATATATATGTATTTATATACCTTATAATTTCAACTGAAAATATAAGATGCCTAGGAATAAGAATAAGAAAAAAGAAAAATTTCAAGACCTATTTGGGAAAAATTTAAAAACTTTATTGAAAGATCTAATAAGTGAGAAGTAAACCATGATCCTGGACAGAAAATCTCAGTAATGTAAGAATTTCGATTATTTCCAATTTTAACTATAGATTGATTCCATTACATTACATCGAACAAAATTCCAAAAAGAACTTGATAATGTATAAATTGTGAAATTTACATGTAAGAACAAAGGCCCAAGAATTTTTAAGACCCTTCTGTCCGGGCGTGGTGGCTCATGCTTCTAATCCCAGCACTTCGGGAGAATGAGGCAGGTGGATCACTTGAGGTCAGACGTTTGAAACCAGCCTGGTCAACATGACAAAACCCCGTCTCTACTAAAAATACAAATATTATCAGGGCATGGTGGCACACACCTGTGGTCCCAGCTATTTGGGAGTCTGAGGCAGGAGAATCACTTGAACCCAGGAGGTGGAGGTTGCAGTGAGCCGAGATCGCACCACTGCACTCCAGACTGGTGACAGAGCAAGACTCCATCTCAAAAACAAAACAAAACAAAAAACAGACCCTTCTGAGGAATAATAAGCTAAAGGATTTTGTTCGTTCATATGTCAAGATGTATTATAAATACATAGTTTCTCAGATAATATATTGGCATGGGGATAATGAAGTTGATCAATGCAACAGAATAGGGAACTTACAGGGGAATCTGACAGTTGGCCTGCCATAAATTATGATGATGACCAGGTTTCCTAGCAGCTCACTGGGAAGTATGGATCACACAGTAAACGGTATTTATATTACTAATTATCCACATGGACAAAAATGAAATTGAATCTGTTTTATTCACAAAAACAAATTCCAGATGTATAAAAATGAAACTAGTAAAGACATAACTATAAAACTTTTAGAAGAATGTATATATATATTCAAGAAAATATAAAAATTTTGTTGCTACAAAAACAAGATTTGTGAGCTTACAATTGCTCATCAAAAAGCACCATAACAAGAGTAAAAGGATAACAAACTAGAAGATATTTGTAATATATATACTATGGGCTGAATTATGTCCGCCCCCAAATTCATATGTGGCAGGCTTAACCTCCAATGTGATGGTATTTGGGGATGAGCCCTTTGGGAAGTAATTAGGGTTAGCTGAGGTCATGAGGGTGGGACACTCATATGGGATTAGTGCCTTCATGAGAAGAGACAGCAGACAGATGGCTCTGTCTACCATAGCAGAGGCAGCTGTTTGCAAGTCAAGAAAAGAACCCTCACTGGAAACCGACCATGCTGGCATCCTGATCTTAGACTTCGAGCTTCTAGAACTTTGAGAAATAAATTTTCTGTTGTTTAAGTCACCCAGTTTATGGCATTTTATTATGGTAGCCTGAGCTGACTAAGACAACATATAACCAACAAAGTATTAATATCCTGTATTCATAAAGAACTCTTGCAAAGTAAACAAGAAAAAAAAAACCCTTCCAAACTGAAAAATGGATAAAGTATTTGAACAGGCATATCACAGAAGAGGAAATACATTTGAGAAATATAGAGAAAATGCTCAGGCCAGGCACAGTGGCTCACGCCTGTAATCCCAGCACTTTGAGAGGCCGAGGCGGGTGGATCACTTGAGATTAGGAGTTCGAGACCAGCCCGTCTCTACTAAAAATACAAAAATTAGCTGGGTGTGGTGGCATGCATCTGTAATCCCAGCTACTTGGGAGGCTGAGGCAGGAGAATTGCAACCCAGGAGGCAGAGGTTGCAGTGAGTCAAGATCACACCATTGCACTCCAGCCTGGGCAACAAGAGCAAAACTCCATCTGGAAAAAAAAAGAAAAAGAAAAAGGAAAGAAAAATGCTCAAAATCATTAGTAATCAGGGAAATGCAAATTATGACCATGATGAAATAGAATTCATATACACTAGATTGGCAAAAACTAAGAAGTCTGGTAATAGCAACTAAAAGTAAGGATGTGGGAAAATAGACATATTTTGCTATCCAGACTAAAAATTGGCATGACCACTTTAGGAAACCACATTGTAAAATCAAACATTCTTATACCTGAGGCTCTGGCAACTCTTCACCTAGATAAGGTATTCCTTACAGCAGAAGTTTAACAGTGGTGAAATGATGTGTCGAGAAGCCACAGTGTGCTGTTTGGTCTGCTGAGTAGAGCTGGGAGCAGCTGCAGTTCAGATTAATGCAGGTCTGACAGTGCCATAATGTGAAATAGACTGGAAAGCTTCACCTGAGTGAATTCCTGGCATATGTACAGGAGGAGATCTTTAAAGGATATGCATAGCAGCTCACTGGGAAAAGGAGGATTAAATAAAAATGGTGGTATAGTCATAGAATGGAATATTATATAGCACAGAAAATGTGAAATGGGAAAATTTCCCTTTTCCCCCTTGCAGGGCATGCCATGTGGGTGTGGCTCACTTCTTCAGTGCCGCCCTGCTGAAACCTCTAGGGCAGCATACAGATGGGCAGGCTGTGGGGCTCCAACCCCATGGCAGTGTCTAGGGGTCAATGTTTACAGCTTCTGAGGCCCCTGTGGGCATGTGGTACAGGGTGCTGTTTTAGTTTGCCCTCTATAGGTGGCTTGTATTAACCAGCTCAATTAGACCCTCTATCTTGTCTCAAGGATAGAGGCCTTTCTGTATCCTGGGTTCTTGCCTTGGTGTGTCGGAAGAATCAGATCACACATGGGCTTGGAGAATGAATGTAAGGTTTTATTGAGTGGTGGTAGCTCCGGGGAAGTGAGAAGAGGATGGAGAAGGTTTTTCCCTGGAGTTGGGCACTCAGAGGCCTGGGCTTTCCTCAGACTGCCCCAGCCAAACTCCATGTCATTCTACTTCTGCCAGTCGGTGGTCTGCCAGCGTGTGGGTGCCTGTCTGTGGGTTCCTCTAAATGTCCAGCCGCCGTGTGTTCTTCCGCTGATGTGCTCCTCTCCACATCCAGCTGCCTGTGTGTCTGCCTGCTAGGGTCTGGGGAATGGGTGGGGGGAGGGGTGTTTATAGGCACAGGATGGAGGGTGTGGCAGGCCAGGGTGGTCTTGGGAAACCCACCACTTGGGCAGGAAAATAAAAATGCCTGTCTTCACCTAGGTCCATGGGGTGGAGCCCTCGCCAGGGACCACGCCCTCCTCTACTCAGCACTTCTCTGTCCCACTTCTGTATCATTTAAAGAGACCATGCCCTTCTCTACCCAGCACTTCTGTATCACATCGATGAATTCTAGCTACACTGATGAATTGTCAAATGTACTTCAGTGATAAAATCAAGTTGCAAAAAAGATGCACGCCAGTACCATTTTTACAAAAGTCATTACAAATCAAAGCAAAGAACAATTTTGTTTAGGGATATGTATATGTAATAAAAGAGATAAGAAGAAATAAAGACATAATGTAAAATTTAGGCTCCTGGTTACCTCTAGAGAGAAGCGGTGGCTAGGATTGGATGGGGCAGAACCTATGCAGTTAGTAATATTCTTTCTTGTTCTTAAGTTGGTGGTGGGTTTACTTTATTACTGTGCTTTAAAACTTATATATATTTGTGTGTGTGTGTGTGAATATAGAATCTTTTAAATACATTAATATTACATAAGAATGGTTTGGCCGGGTGCAGTGGCTCACGCCTGTAATCCCAGCACTTTGGGAGGCTGAGGCGGGCGGATCACGAGTCAGGAGATTGAGACCAACCTGGCTAACACGGTGAAACCCCATCTCTACTAAAAATGCAAAAAAAAAAAAAAATTAGCCGGGCGTGGTGGTGGGTGCCTGTAGTCCCAGCTATTCGGGAGGCTGAGGCAGGAGAATGGTGTGAATCCAGGAGGTGGAGCTTGCAGTGAGCCAAGATCGCGCCACTGCACTCCAGCCTGGGCGACAGAGCGAGACTCCATCTCAAAAAAAAAAACAAAAAAAAAGAATAAAATGTTAGAGCCAGAATGGACTAAAACATATGATAGATGCACTAAATGTTTGCTGAGAAAAGAAAAAGATAAGATGGGACCATAAATATCAAGTCCACGGCTTTTGACTGTTTTTGATTTCAGGTCACAGTAAGAAGTACATTTCATATTGTGTCCGGAATTGGTGGGTTCTTGATCTCACTGACTTCAAGAATGATGTCATGGACCCTCGCGGTGAGCGTTACAGTTCTTAAACATGGTGTGTCCGGAGTTTGTTCCTTCTGATGTCCCGACGTGTTCGGAGTTTCTTTCTTCTGGTGGATTTGTGGTCTTGCTGGCTTCAGGAGTGAAGCTGCAGACCTTTGCAGTGAGTGTTACAGCTCATAAAAGCACTGCAGACCCAAAGAGTGAACAGCAACAAGATTTATTGCAAAGAGTGAAAGAACAAAGACTCCACAGTGTGGAAGGGGACCCTAGTAGGTTGCCACTGCTGGCTTGGGCAGCCTGCTTTTATTCCCTTATCTGGCCCCACCCACATCCTGCTGATTGGTCCATTTTGCAGAGAGCTGATTGGTCTGTTTTACAGAGAACTGATTGGTCTGTTTTGACAGGGTGCTGATTGGTGTGTTTACAATCCCTGAGCTAGAGGCAAATGTTCTCCAAGTCTCCACTAGATTAGCCAGACACAGAGCACTGATTGGTGCATTTACAAACCTTGAGCTAGACACAGGGTGCTGATTGGTGTGTTTACAAACCTTGAGCTAGACACAGAGTGCTGATTGGTGTATTTACAATCCTTTAGCTAGACATAAAGATTCTGCAAGTCCCCACTAGATCAGCTAGACACAGAGCACTGATTGGTGCATTTACAAACCTTGTGGTAGACACACTGTGCTGATTGGTGTGTTTACAAACCTTGAGCTAGACACAGGGTGCTGATTGGTGTATTAAAAATCCCTTAGCTAGACATAAAGGTTCTCCAAGTCCCCACTAGACGCAGGACCCCAGCTGGCTTCACCTAGTGGATCCCGCACCAGGGCCACAGGTGGAGCTGCCTGCCAGTCCCGTGCCATGCGTCCACACGCCTCAGCCCTTGGGCGGTCAATGAGACCAGGCGCTGCGGAGCAGGGGGTGGTACTCGTCCAGGAGGCTCGGGCTGTGCAGGAGTCCATGGCTGGGGGGAAGCTTGGGCATGGTGGGCTGCAGGTCCCAAGCCCTGCCCTGTGGGGTGGCAGCTGAGGCCTGGCAAGAATTCGAGCACAGCGCCAGCAGGCCGGCAATGCTGTGGGATCCGGCGCACCTTGCGCTGCTGCTGGCCTGGGTGCTAAGCCCCTCACTGCCTGGGGCCAGTGCAATTGCCAGCCCGTCCAAGTGCGGGGCCCGCCGAGCCCATGCCCACCCGGAACTTGCACCAGCCCACGAGCGCTGCATGCAGCCTTGGTTCCTGCCCGCGCCTCTCCCTCCACACCTCCTCACAAGCAGAGGGAGCTGGCTCTGGCCTCGGTCAGCCCAGAGAGGGGCTCCCACAGTGCAGCGGAGGGCTGGAGGGCTCCTCAAGCATGGCCAGATTGGGTACCAAGGCCAAGGAGGTGCCGAGAGTGAGCGAGGGCTGCAAGGGCTGCCAGCACGCTGTCATCTCTCAATATTATGCCCCACTAAACACACACACACATAGAGTACATAACTGAAACAAAAGTTATACAAAACAGAACCCACCCTTTCTACATGCAATTAACTCTGATGGTTTCTATTCTAATTTATTCTACTATATGTTTTTTAAATTGATAGTTGTTACCTACTATAATAGATTAATCTCATGACCCTCAGAAAGGCCATGCCATGCTTTGAAAAACACTGAACTGATTTATCACTCGTATTTTACAGATGAGGCAACTGAGCCTCCAGCAGGGTTACAGAGACAATGATTTTGAAAAGTGGTATATGTTCATGTGTCTAGAATAAACTAACATGATGCTAGTTTTAAATGTACCCTGATCATTGACATAAGTTTACATATTGTATCTTTGTTTCCTCTTCTCATATACCCACAGCCCGACATTTGTCAAGTATGTCACTGTCTCATGAGATCAGATTAATCCAGTGGAATTTATTCTGAATAAGCCATGCTAAGCACTAGCTAGTATCTTCTCCTTGTTTGCAAATCAATCTCTTGAATGGCTTTCCAATTTTTTTTTCAGGTATTAAAGTTAAATCTACAGAGCTATCTTTTTAAAAAACAATGTTGTGATAAAACAACCAGCAATACAAAGCAGTCCCTGGATCTGTGACTTTACACATTTATTTCATTACTTAAGCTGGAATTGAAAAATGCTTTGAAGTCCAAACACAAGTTTGTGTTTGCATTCTCTGATGAAGCCCATAACATACTGGCAAAACATCAGTTAAAAGAAAAAAAGTCTTAAGCTCAATTTTTATGTATTTATTTTTTACTTCCTATACACATCTTCACAGATCTGTGTCTAGATGGTTAACCGGTCATCATCCTTTCTAAAGAATATCCAAAATACATTATTCCATGCTTAGTTTCAAAGGTGATTTTTAGTTTAAATTTATACGTGAATTCAAATAACTCACAGGTGGATTCCTTTTTTGTTACTGTTCTCATTACCATGATTATTATCAGCAATTATACTGTTATTTTTAACCAAATATAGATTAATTTTTTGCTTTCCAATTGCTTAGAGGAGTCCAAAGCAAATGCACAGGAAAGGGAAGGAAATGCTCACTGTTTGAAGACCTGTACAGGGATTATTGGTGGTCCATTCCTCCAAGGTAAAGGCATGTTACTACTGCTCCTCAACAGACCAGCATCGTATGGAATTGAGGTAGAAGGTGAGACTCGACTCCAGAGGCAGGGCTTGGGCACCAGACCAGATTGAGGACTAGCTAAAAGAGGGAAGAGGAGAAAGCACCTCTCTGTAAGACCTGGACACCAGTTTGCTAAGTCAGTTTACCATTGCCATGGCAACACCTGGAAGTTACTGTCCCTTGCCATGGCAGTGACTCAATGATCTGTGCATTAGTCTGTTCTCACAGTGCTAATGAAGACATACATGAGACAAGGTAATTTATAAAGGAGGTTTAATGGACTCACAGTTGCACATGATTGGCGAGACGTCACAATCATGGTGGAAGATGAAGGAAGAGCAAAGTTAACATCTTACATGGTGGCAGGCAGGAGAGCTTGTGCAGGGGAACTCCCCTTTATAAAACTATCAGATCTCATGAGACTTATTCACTATCATGAGAGCAGTGCAGGAAAGACCCGCCCCCATGCATGTTTCAATTACCTCCCACGGGGTCCCTCCCACAACATGTAGGAATTATTACAAATAAAGGTGAGATTTGTGTGGGGACACAGAGACAAACCATATCAGTCTGGAAGTTACCATATTTTGTCTAAGAATTTGTGCATAATTTGCCCCTTAATTTGCATATACTTAAAAATGGGTATAAATATGACTGCAGAGTTGCCTCTGAGCTGCTACTCTGGGCACACTGCCTGTGGGTTAGGCCTGCTCTGCAAGGAGCAGTACCTCTGCCACTGCTGTACACTGCTGCTTCAATAAAAGTTGCTGTCTAACACCACCAGCTCACCCTTGAATTCTTTTTGGAGTGAAGCCAAGAACCCTGCCAGGCTAAGCCCCAGTTTGGGGGCTCCCCTGCCCTGCATCAGAATGGCCACTTGTAAAGGGAAACAGTTTATGACTTAAAACTTTTTTAAGGTTCATACACTGGCTCCTGATGATAAGTGTTTTTTGAAAGTACTTACTGTTTTTGCATTTCTGTATCCTATGAGATAACATGATGCCTTTCCACATAGTAAATTATCAATAAATGCATATTTAATTTTGCAAAGCATTCTTAGAATATTGTTCTGGAGAAGACCTTGAAAACCCTTCACTGTACAGGTGAGGAAAGTAAGGGGAAGTGAGATCAGTTTTCTCCCCTAGGTTTTGTGGCTTAGAAGTGGCAGTGCTGAAAAAGTGGAGCTCCTTTTTTCCAAGCCATATTACCTCTTAACTTTGAATTCTTTCCATGTTCTCAAAAGGACTCACAAAAAACAAATGAAATATTCCTCTGATCATTGTCTTTTATCAGTTTTAACAATAAACTTTGAAGCCTCTTTATCTACATGTAGCAAAACCTCTTTTTTTCCTGAGTGATTGTATCTAATAGTAAAACTGATTAAGCATTCCTTCTCTCTTCCAGTAAAACACTTCTATCTCCCTAAAAAAGAAAATACAAAAAAAAAATTGCTCATACTAGTGCTGATCTGTTTAAAAGTTAGAATATACTTAACCTAGTCTTTCTGTCTCAATCTATCCTGTATTTATAATTGTTTAGCATTGGCCAGGTGCGATGGCACATGTCTGTAATCCCAGCACTTTGGGAAGCCAAGGTGAGTGGATCACCTGAGGTCAGGAGTTTGAGACCAGCCTGGCCAACATGGTGAAACCCCATCCCTACTAAAAATACAAAAATTAGCCAGGTGTGGTGGTGCACCTCTGTAATCCCAGCTATTCGGGAGGCTGAGGTGGGAGAATTGCATGAACTTAGGAGGTGGAGGCTGCAGTGAGCTGAGATTGTGTTACTGCACTCCAGCCTATGAGACAGAGCCAGACCCCCATCTGAAAATAATAATAATAATAATAACGATAATTGCTTAGCATTATGGCCATATGCATTAAAAAGTCCCTACTCATCAAATAAGCATTGATATAGTCACTACATTGTCCTTAAAGATGAGAAATTTGTACGTTTTAAAAGTCTTTATGTCTTTATAGAAAACTTATAGAAGTAATTTTCCCATGTAGTTGTAAATTCAATTAATCAAAATTCTATATTCTCTGCAATTTTTTTTTTTTTTTTGAGATGGAGTCTTGCTCTGTCACCCAGGCTGGAGTGCAGTGGCACGATCTTGGCTCACTGCAACCTCCACTTCCTGGGTTCAAGCAATTCTGCCTCAGCCTCCCGAGTAGCTGGGATTACAGGCGTGCACCACCACACCCAGCTAATTTTTTGTACTTTAGTAGAAACGGGGTTTCACCGTGTTGCCCAGGCTGGTCTCGAACTCCTGAGCTCAGGCAATCCACCCGCCTAGGCCTCCCAAAGTGCTAGGATTACAGGCATGAGCCACTGTGTCTGGCCCATGCAAATTCTATTTTTATTTATTTTTTATTTTTGCTTTTTTTTTTTTTTCTGGACTCTTGCACTGTTGCCCAGGCTGGAGTGCAGTGGCGCGATCTCAGCTCACTGCAAGCTCCACCTCCTGGGTTCAAGACATTCTCCTGCCTCAGCCTCCTGAGTAGCTGGGACTACAGGCGCCTGCCGCCACGCCCGGCAAATTTTTTGTACGTTTAGTAGAGATGGGGTTTCACCGTGTTAGCCAGGATGGTCTCAATCTCCTGACCTCGTGATCTGCCCAACTCGGCCTCCCAAAGTGCTGAGATTACAGGCGTGAGCCACCGCGCCTGGCCATCTTTTGGTTTTTAAATATAGAGATGGGATCCTACTATGTTGCTCAGGCTGGTCTCAAATTCCTGGCCTCAAGTGATCCTCCCATCTTGGCCTTCCAAAGTGTTGGGATTACAGGTGTGAGCCACCGCACTCAACCTTAAAATTCTAGTTAAGTATGGTTTGAACTATTGTGTTTCTTTTGTCATGTTTGAATATTTCCTGTCGCTTGCACTTTGATTTTTGAGGTAATGCACATTGAAAACAAGACATAAATTAAGCCCTCCTATTTACTTGAATCTCGTAGGAACACAAGCTGAATGTTATAAAACAAGACTTAACCCTGCATATCAGGAAATAAAATAAGTTTCCAGGGTGAGACATGCAAGTCGGTGGAAATTAGACAGGGAAAGATCATTTCAAGTTAGAATTATATAGGGAAATTCCAGGATGGGCAGAATTGTTTGGACAAGATGTTTAAGGTTTACAGGTATCAAAGGTATACAGAAATAGGTGTGGTCTCTGTGGTGGTCAAGAAGGAAGGTGGCCTGGGCAGAGCAATGGTCACAGAATTGATGAAGGCAACGATAAACAATAAAAGCAATATTTATGTAGCACTTGTAAGCATTATCACACTTAGCCTACACAACACTTCTAGAGGTGAGTACCACTGCCATTGCTAGCTAAGATCTGAGGGCTCAGAGAGGACAAGAATTTGCCAAAATCACAGTGCAAGTAAGGGACAGAATCCTCTGACAGATTAAGCTCTGGGAGCAAAAAATGCCAATGGCTTGACTCTGTTCTAAGATGAAGTTCTGGCTCTTTTCCTTTGTCCCCTCCTCTTCCTCCTTCTCCTCTTTGTTATTATTATTTTTAATCTGAGAATTCCAATTGTTTGTGTATTAACCTGGCCAATAGTAGGTGATGCTATGCATTGTATTCTAGACACATTTCCCAATACCCAGGACCTATCTCTTTTGGGCTGGTTATCTTCTTCTCAGAGATTTGTTATTTCCGAGAATTTCTTGATGGAAGAAGCATCTTTTATTGTTTGGGACCTGTGAGCACGGGCCCCACGTGCCCCCCATGCCCAGCAGAACTAGGGAATATGAGTGAAGGTCTGTGGAGCATAAGGCATCCAAACAGCAACACTGAAGATCCATCCTGAATGACGTGAGAAAAACACATTTCTGTGCAAATCAAAAGCTAACAAAATGAAGCCCTCAGGATGAAATAATTCCTCAATCAAAAATCACTTTGGTGGAAATACGTACTGACACCTGGATTTGCAAGAAAAAAAATATGAGACTGAAAAAGAATTAGAGCTCCCTTTCAATTAATAAATCTTGGCTACTGTTGGTAGCACTGAGTTTTGTTTTCCAAATGAGGTTTAAAACTATATTTTGTAAAAATGCAAAATGACAGGTATTTAAACTCATCCACTTCCTTCGAGCACTTTCCCTAGAATCTGTTTTTATCTGGTCTTTTTAACCACATGCATGCCATATGTACATTCCACCCAGGACCACTGGCCAGGGGCAATTCCACAGTGATCAATCGAGCAGCATGCTGTTTACCTCTTGTCTTTCAGGCTGAAAAAGGTGCCCTTTTGTCAGAGTAGACTCCCTCTGGACAGTCCATAGATTAAAGAGAAAAATAAAACCCCCAAATGACTAAAAATAAAACCTTGCAATGACTAAAAGTTAGAAACAACCATAATAAAAAGAAATATAGTCGGGAGAAGAATATTGTGGATTTTCTTCTTGGAAATTTTGAGAAACCTTAAGACGCAGGTCTAGAATGATCTTACTGTTGGCCACAGTCAAAGGACACATAGCTTTAAATGAAAGTTTCAGGGTGGGTATTTGAGAATGTTGGGGCTCCTGAAATGATTATCTGTTTGAGCAGGTGGCGTCCATGAACTGGTCCTGAGGACATACTCCCCTGGTCTTTTAAGTCTGAGGTCAAACATTTCACAGACTCTGCCACACTAAGTGATTAACAAAACTAAGTTGTAGCTGGTAGGCAGCTGGGTGCTTATAGCCTTGTAAGCCCCAGTGGTTTAGGCTTCTTTGATTATAGGAGCTGACCTTGGTCTCTACAAGAGTTGGGCAATCTGGGGGACTGGACAAACTGCAAATAGATTGCTAGGAGTTTCCTGTTTTCATTCAGATGTGTACAAATTACCTCAACATGCCCTTTTTTCCAGAAAACACTAAGGTCTGAAAGAAACTCTTGTTATATTGTTGCCACTTAGGTTTCACTGAGCCTGCATTATCTACTCACAGCTTTAATGACTTCCTGCTGAGAGAGGTTCTGTAGCAGTCTTGGCAGCAGGGCTAAGAATAGCATTAAATGCAAGGTTATCTAGGCATTACACTCACTGTAACATGCAATTAACTCTCCTCTTCCATTTTCATTACACAATTATTCATTAATGTCAATTTAATTTTATGCATTGTTCTACATGACCGAAGGCTGATTACGGGCCTTTTCACTCCAATATCCTAAGTTAACTGGTGCCAGCCGCACTCAGGGCTGCCTAATTGCAATTTAGCCCAGAAAATTCCTCCCATTTTTGCCCTCCAGTAATGGAACAACAGATCATGGCCAGGTAAAGATTTTAAGGTGGAAATAAAGCCCAAGCTACAAAACACTGAAGTTCAGAAAAGCCTTTTTTCTTTTATTTAACGGAATAAAGGCTCTCTGGAAAAATTAAATGAAGCAAGTTTTGTCCCCTTTTTAAAAATATGATGCTTTTGTGAACTGGAGTTTAGTAATTTTAACATAACTACCAAAGTCAGAGTGTACCCCAGGTCCAAGAACCCCACTGGGCTCCTTTAGTTCAGCAACATCCTTATAATGCAAAGCTATGCTGTCCACACCTAGGAATTTTGAATGATAATGTGGAATCCACAGGAACATTGGAGAATAGTTTCCATAGGTTTGATGGGTTTTTTGACATTAATGAATAATTATTTGTTGCTGTTGTTTTAGAATATGGGCAGGTTGTAGGGTTCTGAAGTTAGTCTTTTTACAACTGTAATGGAGTGTTTTTTGAACAGCATCCCTCAGGAGGTAGAAATGAAAAGAATCCTGCTTCTCTCAAAAGCTTTCCCCACTACAGTCTTTCTACTTCAAATCAGAGTAAGTTCATTAGATATCCACCTTAAAACTATAATGGTGATGTAGACTAACAGTAATTCAGATCCTCATACATCCTTGTGTCCAAGTAATTCACATTATCGTTTAATCTGCACAAACAGCTCATCATTAGCTTTTCTAGTTTTATCAGCAGACAATTGTTGAAAATTAAGATTTAAAGAACTATTAACGAGGAAGCTGGGACTGTTCCCTGCTTTCTGTAGGTAGTTACTGTTGTTAAATCCAGGGGAAGGTGAGTCTCTGGGATAATGAAATCTATTAAAAGTCAGGAAATAAGTCTGTCCCCTCTCACAATGGGTTACTAGGTTCATTTCACAGAAGGCTTCAGTGCTAGCTTCTTTGCAAACCACAAGTAGTCAGAATATATGAACACACACATACTTTTAAGCAGTGTATAGTGCCCAGGGCTAAGAGTCAAGATTTCTCTTTCTAAAGCCACAACAAAGCAAACATGGTACAAACAGGCAGTGCAGCAGCCCCCTTCTTGCCACTATGGGTAAAGCTGTGTCAGCATTTCCACTAGAAACCCCCTTTTTCAGGGGCTTTATAACTCAGCCATAAAAATTAGTTCCAAACAAAAACTTGGCATACAAAGTTTCAGCCTTAAAGTGACCTTTTTTTTTTCCTTTGACAAATTGTCAAAGGAAAAAAACCCAGTCCTTTGGCTATTTTTACTTTTTTTTTTTCTTTTTTGAAGGCACAAAAATAGAAAACAGAAATGTACTGGTTGTGCACTTTTTTGGAACTCTTACAAAAACATTTATAGGCCATTATGGGGCATGAGTGTTCTTGGAGTACTACAGGTTTTCCAGACAGATGGTTTTATAAGACTAACGTCATCAATGCTTGTGAGGTGACTTTTCAAAAAAGTATTCTCTGTTATATCTCTTTGTCTTCAGTCACATGGAACAGATCTGCCTTATAAATGGGTGTGACAGTTCTGATGCACACAATAGTGAGTCGTTGAGGTCTATTAGCTCAATAATCCACGCTCTGAAGTATCCGTCAATATAAATTTGGCCAATAGACCGCAGAGACTGGGAAAAGCTTCCATAGTTCTTAGAGCAGCTGCAGTGTGTTCTAACATTCTCTAAATATGTAGGAAAACAATTGGGCCCGTGTGTAAGTTTTCAAACTCCTTTGAAAACAATGGGCTAAGATCCCACTCTGTGTAACTCTAGGGGAGAATTAAATAACTTTAAATAGCAGCACTCAAAACTTAATTAATGTGATTCAGCCAGAGTTGTGCAAATTTGGTGATACGAAGTGCCAGTGGTCACAGAGTCACACTTGTGGCTAACAGTGACTCACCCCATTGTTCAAAAATACAGATGAGGTCTGGGAAAAGCTTGTGATGTTTTGACACCATAGGGACTATAGCAACTTGGTACAATGTGACAAGTTAAGGACAGTCGCAGTGAGTTAAAAATGAGGCCTACTCTTTGGAGCTTGAATTATGTAAGAACATAATGAAAGAGTTTACATTATGATTATAATTACTTTTATTTGTGCTGAGGTTGCCTTTGTTAGGTTACATTAAGACCATAACCACTGAACTTACTCTCCCACCCAACTTTGATTTTACACTTAATTTATATGTTACTAATAGCTAACTTCTGTCTAAAGCCTTTTTGATTCATGCTCTGTTTGCTTTCCTTCTGTGAGGTTTATGGTCAAGGGACCTAATTTGCTGGTTTCGTTATAAGCTGCATTTTGGACAAAATATGAACTAATGGGGTTGAATTTAGGCTCTCGACTTTGCCTCAAAAGTCAAACCATGGCTTTATAACAAAGAGGTATTTAGCGGTGTCATTGGAGCATTTAGCTTCCTGAAGTTCACATATGATTAGAAGTTAAATATCTAAAAATCCATTTATTTGCTTAATAACACTGCCAAATTGAACCCGTCTGTGGTTTCTGCATTATAAAGCTACTAAAGGACTCTTTTGAGGTACTGTGTATGTGATTACTAACTGAATAGATTTCAACCAGCACCACTCAAATCAAATCATCATTCCTCATGGATTGTGCACCTAGTTCTCATTTAGCAATGCTGGGTGTCAGGGGGATTTGCAGTTTCCTGTGCTTTCCTCTATGATCTCGCTAACCACAGTGTAGTTTTATCAAATATTTGAGTCCAGGTCTGTCCCCCACTTCCCAACCCCTGTTCCTTGATGGTGCAGGCGAATTTGCATATATGTGTATCCTGCAGCCCATAGCACGCTCCCATATGCTCTATGTGGGAGATTAAGCCCTTCCTACATGGTGGTAGCCAATATCGATTGGGTGCTATAAGACACGCCAGGTCCTATTCTGAACTTGTTACCTGAAAACACTACTAAAATCTTCCCAACAACCTGAAAAGATAGGTACCATCATATTCCCCATTTTACGATAAGAAAACAGAGATACACAAAGATATTAGGCCCCTGGCTAAGGTCACGCACTAGTAAGGAACATGGGTGGATTCACATGAAGGCATCTGTCAACAAAGTCCAGCCTCTCAACCTCATGTTCTTCTGTTTCTCTAAATGTGCACTAAGTCACTCTGTGACAGAGTTCCTGTTTTTGTTTGCTTCTTTGAGACAGAGTCTTGCTTTGCTACCCAGGCTGGAGTGCAGTGGCACGATCTCAGCTCACTGCAACCTCCATCTCCTGGGTTCAAGCGATTATTCTGCCTCAGCCTCCCGAGTAGCTGGGACTACAGGCAGGCGCGTACCACCACGCCTGACTAATTTTTGAATTTTTAGTAGAGATGGGGTTTCACCATACTGGCCAGGCTGGTCTCGAACTCCTGACCTCATGATCCATCCCCCTCAGCCGCCCAAAGTGCTGGGATTAAAGGTGTGAGCCACCATGCCCAGCCGAGTTCCTGTTCTTAAAAAAATTAAAATCTAGTTGAGCTGATAAGCTCTATGTACACATGTGACACAGCTGTGTAATAAAGGACCACATGTGATTAAGAACTAAAGGTATGACAAGGGTAACAGGTGCTAGAAGCATCTAAAATAGCAGCTATCAAGGTATGTTAGCATGCTAACCTGGGAAGACTTCCTGGAGATGTCACTGTTTTTGAGATTTGAAGAATGTAAAGGCCTTGGATAAGTGGCGAGGAAGTGGGAGTTATTTCTGTTGTGGGGAAAGAGGAAAGGAGGACAGTGCTCATCCTGTCAGCATAGTCGAACCTGGGCAGAAGAATGGTAGGAGAAGTTGTCTAGGGAGGCAGGGGCCTTGAAAGCCAGGCTGAGAAATACAAATAGAACTCAAAGAAAAATCATAATGATCTGGTTAAGTGTATGGCTTGGAAAATCATCTTTTTCAAATTTGTTCAACAGTCTAGGAAATGGAGTGTGTTCAGAAGAAGGGCCTTGCTGTTTTAGCATGGGAAAGAGCTGTACACACCCTCCCTTTGCAACACGACTGTTGGTCCCATGTCCTTCCTGAGACTTCCTGAAGTGGAGAAGCTACTTCAGTCTGAGGTCTGCAAAGTCTAAAGATCAGGAGAATATGAGCAGCAGTTCATCTGTAGTTAGCAGGGGCCGGCCTCTAAGTTGACTTGGCTGGTAGTCCTAGATACTGGTGACTATAACACATGCATTTCTTGGATTAAGAACTCAGTCTGCCATATTGGATTCAGGGAATTCAGTTAAGTTCAGTGGTTCTTTCCCCTTCTCTCGCAAAAGAATATTTAGACAATCTCTTAGAATCTCTCATAAAATCTGATTTAAAAGGTATATGTGTTCTGAAAATCCCAAATTGACATCCAGCTGATAACAAGGTAGCGCATCATAAAACAGTCATCAGGATTCAACTGAGTGAACAGCATACTCTTAGAAAAAGATATCCATATTTGGAATTCCACTTCAGATACTCACATTTGGCTAAGTTCTGTCTGCCAAATCGGGGCCTACAGCAAAGTAGATTCTCAAAAGTAGATTCTCCTAGGGGTGACAGGTGGTCCAGGCCTAGGCTAGATTGGAGATTCTTGACATTTTAGGTGGAAGTTATCTCACAGTAGGTTTTAAAATGCATTTTAGAGGCTATTTTTAAAAGCATCATATCAGAAATGTTTTCACATGTTAAACATTTTTGTATTTGCTTTACAATGATAGAATTTAGTCTTAGAATGTAAGAACCCTTAATGAACAACCCTTAAACCCAGAGAGAGTAAATGATTTGCCAACACCGAAACCACGCATTCAACCTAGATCTCCCGACTTGTATTCTGGTGCTTTCAGAAGCTCAATGTGCTCTTTCCTAATATATCTTTGAGGCTGTTCAAATTATTAGGCTAATTAGAGAGAGTTCTCCTTGGTAAGAATAATTAGCAGAGAGGTACCAGCTTTGAATCAGAAATCCTAGGCTTCAGTCCAAACTCTCACTATCTGAAAGACCTACAGTAAAGCATTTAACTTTTCTGATCCTCAATTTCCTCATCTGTAAAATGTGTATAATAATAGTACCTAGTGCCCTGGGCTGTTAAGAGAATAAAAAAAGATAGTATATAGGAATGTTTTTAATAGATCGTAAAGCACTCTGCAAATATAATTGTAAAAAAGGATGAAAATATGATTTTAGAATGTGATAATGTTTGTATTGACATAGTTTATATCTGTATATAATTTCTCTCCTCCCACTACCCCCTAAAATACAAAACAAACAAGAAATTGGTTTTAGAACAGACTGCATTCCTGCCATTGTTTTACTCTAAATTGAGTGCTATTGGAAGGTTACAAGGCATAAGAAATGGCACATTCTAAATCATTCCTGTTAAAATACATCAAAATGTTAACAGTGGTTGTTTCAGGGTAGTAGGAATGTGGGAAATCTTTAAAAAGTTTTTTTCTTTATAGTTTCTCAATTATTGCTAATGAAAATGTATTAGTCTTATAATTAAATAAAAAGCATTTTAAAATAAATCTGTGGTACATGAAAAGATCTCCATTTGACAGCAATAATGATTGCTACAGTTTATCCATTGCATATGGATATATGTAAAGTATCTGTGGCATATACTTTACATACATTGCTTTACTAGAGTTTTTTACATCTTGCATTAAGTATTATTGTTCCATTTATAGATGATAACCTGAGTCTCAGTGAGATTAAATCCCTTGCGCAATGTTATGCAGCAAAATCCATGGATTCTCTCTGATTCCAGAGTCCATATTCTTCTTGCTGTGCGGTGCTATGCTGTGGGATTGAGATCGGGACTTGGCATGTAACTCCTCTCCTCCTCCTAAGTACCACGGTTACAACAGATTGCTGAATGGAACTTTGCATAGTGGGCAGAGACCTGGCTTCTCCTGGGTCAGGGGAATTGGGTTCCAGTCCTGACTCTGTCCTTTAAAAGCTGAGGGATGACCTCACATAGATCCCTTCACTTTTCTGGAGCCTGTGGTTTTTCATCAATAAAATGAAGGCCTTGGATTAAACAAATGGCTTTCAAACCAGCTTTAGCTGCAGATCTAACCCACTTTTATTTTTCAAATGAATTTTAGTCATCTGACCCAGGTGTTAGGGACTCCTCGACCTTTAAGTTCTAGGAAAGCCAAGTGAAGCCTCATCAGCCTCTACCGGGTGAAAGTGCAATTCCCAGGACTGTCATCGTATGGGCCCACTTCCACGGAGTATGGGTCAACACTCATGCAAGGCCTTGTGTGTAGAAGGATTTACCAAATATTTTGAGAAGACGGCGGAATTTACAAGCAAATAAAATAAAATTTCTATCAGGTGCTGCTAGATGTTTTTTGTCTGTTTTAAAAACTTGGACTCTAGCCTCTGGTTGTTGCCCTTTCTCTCCTCATTCCCTCCCCCTTCTCCCTTCTTTTTCTCTCTGAACATCATGGATTCCTATTTATTCTTTTTTTTTCCCTCCCAACAAAATATCTACCTTGAAGAATTTGTGTGCCAGGTGTTAATTTTTTTTTTTTTTAACAACACGTCATTTGATGCTTCAATATATAGAGTGGATCAAGAGTGATGCTTCTCTTTGGAACTGCAGAAGAAGCACACCTCACTTTCTGAGGCACCTAAACACTCAGAGGAACCTGATGGAAACCACTGGACAAGATCATCTTTAAGGTGGAACCCTCTCTGAGCTACTCCCTTCCTTGCCTTTTCCCAAAGACTATTGGCCACTTTCTCCTTTGAACCCCACTGTGCTCCAAGCAGACATCATGTATAGTACCTAAAACGTGTTTGCACATCTCTGTTAAATATCTCTCTCACTGACTAGGCTGTTGAAGGGGAGGAGGGGGTATGTTATTGATTATTTCTGTACACCAGGTATTTGCTAAGCAGGTGCATAATGACTGCTTGTGGATGATAGTTTATGACTGTGTGACCACTTGATTAAATAGATTATCTGCTAGAAAGAAGCCAACTAAAAGTGGTCATATAGACAAGAAAGAAAGCAAACCCACTGTATTATGCCTGGGGGAGAAACTAGAGTGATGTCTTTGCTCTCTGTCCTTCTCTGTACGTGTGATATCTGTAGCACCTAGTTTTACAAGGGAGCGAGAAGAAGTTCTGCTTGAAAGCTTCACTTGTAAACTTTTTGTGATCAGCCCAGTTGGCCGTTTTATTTAGATCATCTTGTGAAAGACCATGTTTGGATTAGTGTTGGGCATAAGTAAATGGCAGTTCTTTATCCGTTCTGAAATGCTCAAATGGCTCACTGAGGTATCTGTGCAGCTGTTGTAGAACATGTAATGGCATTAGGCGCTGAGTTGGAGAGGAGTCTGGTGCCAGACATTTCTGGCAGCGGCTGTAGTTGTAGCTCTTCTCCTGGTGAGGAAGCTATCATCAGTGGCAGTGCTAGGGGCTAGGCCCCTGAGTAGGCAACTTGCTGGATAGAATACTGGATTTCTGCACAAGGAAGGAGGGAAAGAAGTTTTGCTCTTGAGTCATAATAATTAATGATCACCCTTGAAATTTCATTTCAGTAACTGGGCGTGAAGTGTTCACAACCCAAAGTGATTTTACATGTAACCTGGATGTTTTGTGTAGCCTCTTTCCCCCTCCCTTCCTCTCTCCCTTCCTTTCTCCTTTTCCCTACTGGTCAGATAATGTAAACGAGAGAGAACTTATTACAGCGGCTTGCTCTCACTGGCTTCTTGGGGGCATTATGTCCTTTAGCTCTCATATTCTGGAAATTTGTGTGTGTGTGTGTGGGTTCTTGTCACCTCATGTCGGTCACTGTCCTAATTCTTTTTGTAATGAAACTGACAGATAAGGGGAATTACTGTGATTGTACCTCAGGGTAAATTACCAAGCTCCTTCCACCGATTAATAAGGAAACTCTCACATATTTCTAATCACATGCACATACACTTTCTTTCTTTCTCTCATTTTTCACCCTCCCTGCACATAAACACATCTACAGAAAAAATAGGGCCACTAAGCCACAGCACAGACATAGAGAAGCATGGGTAGTATTTCAGGCTGGCCATTCCAAAGGAAACTTTATAATTACATATTAGACTAAGATTAGCTGTCAGTCAAATGTTGATGCATACAGAAATTTAAAGATGTGGATGCATATGGAATTGCCTACAATACTTACCCATTAAAGATTAGAGGCTGCTCTAATTATTCATACTGCTAAGGGTTTTTTTGTTTAAAGACCAGCATTCCACATATACATTTGTGAGGCTCAAGCGTGCAAGTTTCTGACCATTAGATTCAGTTCCTAACCATTAGATTCAATTCTTATGGAAAAGCTCTAAACCATCTTCCCTGTGAAAGCTGTACCATTATAAAGGATGTTGGTCAGACATTCTGTTATACATTCATTAATTTCTTCCTCCACAAACATTTCTTAAACACATTCATTAGGGTTTTAAAGTCTCAATAAATAACACCACACTTCCTTGTCTCATCCATTTCAAAGATAAATGCACAGTCAGAGATATGCAGATCAAAATGTCAACTTTACCAATAAAGTTGATTCGAGAAATGGCCATATAGACTCGCTAAGATAATCAGCACTCTCTGAATTAAATTTATCTCCCAACTGACTAAGCTTTCAGTACAGTGGAAAGAGAATACAGGTTCCTGAAGGCAGGCTGATTCCTTCCGATGTGTTCTGGGTTCATTCTGCCAAACCTGTCAATTAGAGAAGTTTCTCTTCTTCCAGGGAAGCCTGGGAGAGGAAGAGCAGTGAACAAAGGGCCACAGAGAAGCTTGGAGTATTGCATTCATAAACATTGCTATGTGGGAACATGAGAAGTGGAGGAATAAGTGTTCTTCCTAATAGCAGACAATGGCAATACAAGAATGAATAGAACAGAGTCCCTGATATAAAAGCTGCATAAGCAGCATAGAGGCCTTGAAATATTTGTTTTAATACAATGTAGTGAAAGGTAACAAGATATAAAGGGCAGGTGGAGGGGTGTGCAGGCAGAGCCTACTAAGTAACCCATTTGCCTAGCTTGAAAGGCTAACTCTTCTTGCAGGCATATCATTTGACTCAGCACAACCTTTCGTTTTCCACAATGCCATGTTCCAACTGGATTTTACACATATTCGTGATCAGACATGAGCAGTGTGAGTCCTACAAGAGCACCAGGTGCAGTGACCACGGTGGGATTAAAGGAATTATCCAAATGGTGGCTTCTCAAAGGGGTAGAGATATCAGTATTAGTATGACAGTAATGGAACATTCTCTGGTTGTCACCACCATTATAACCTAATTATTACCCAGTTAGCTCTGGATTCCTCAGACACTGGGTTTTTGGTTTCAGAATGATCTGAATCTTTTTGCTGCTCTTCCTGTTGGCCTGCTTTTTGATCATCTTGCTGTCAGAGGAGACCAAGGGGAATAGCCGACAATGAAATGTCAATCAATTGACCATTGTAAATCTAAGACATTGTATTCTCATGGGACTAGTATGGGATTTGAGGTCAGAGGATCCGAATTCAAATGCTGGCTCTACTCTTCAATTGGCTCTCAGATCTTGGGCATGTCTTCAAACCTCTGAGATTCTATAAATGAAGATGCTAATAAGAATAGTGATACTTTATAAAAACTTACACTGATGGTGAAATCAGGTAGTGCATATGGTAGTAGTCTGAAAAATACATTGCTACCCAACATAAGTTATTATCTGATGAGACATTTGGGGGACTCATCAAGCTGAAACAGATGGCTAAAACATTGCAAAAATCTTCTATTTTTCCCTTTCTCTGTCATTCTACCTCCTCCCCAGATATTGAATTCTGTGCTTTCATTATATGCTCGACCCCACCTTCCGAGAGGTACATGTATCAAATGGTGATGAGGGCAGCAAAGGACTGTATGGACATGATACCTTTCAACCCAGCACCCTTCCCAGGCTGGTTTGCACACTGACGCTGTTGAACCAAGAAGACTCCATTTATAAAAGGGGACATTCAGTGTAGGGCTTTGCAAGATAATGCTGCTCACTGAGTCAGGCCTCTGTGAAAATTGCATCCACTTAGGCCAGCTCTGAATTTCTGTTTTTATCATGGGTTGTTAAAAAAAAAAAAAAAGTGACCAAAGTGATATGAGAAAAAATTAAGAACAAGTAATATCCTACTCAGGTGAAAAATAAGAATTCCAGATACCTCAAGCATCTGGATTGTGATAGAATACCTAGACAAAGCATCCCTTCTTAGGCCGACCTCATCCTCGCTTCTCCTCAACCCCTGAAAATAAAAAACACATCTGATAGAAAAATAATTTCCTTGATTATGAACACGGATAAAGAAAAACTTAAAACTAAAAGGAATTGATAAAAATAATTATAAAAGTTCAACAGAATAAGAATATTTCAAACACAGGCATGCATGCCTTACACACACGTATTTCTAAAAATTATAGGGTTTTAGGCTGGGCATGGTGGCTCATGCCTGTAATCCCAGCACTTTGGAAGGCCGAGGTGGGTGGATCACTTGAGGCCAGAGACCAGCCTGGCCAACATGACGAAACCCCATCTCTACTAAAAATATAAAAAAGTTAGCTGGGTGTAGTGTCACCTGCCTGTAATCCCAGCTACTTGGGAGGCTGAGGCGTGAGAATCACTTGAACCTGTGAGGCAGAGGTTGCAATGGGCCAAGATCATGCCGCTGCACTCCAGTTTGGGTGACAGAGTGAGACTGTCTCAAACAATAAATAAGTAAATAAAAAGAAAAAGAAGGCTGGGCGCGGTGGCTCATGCCTGTAGTCCCAGCACTTTGAGAGGCCGAGGCAGGCGGATCACGAGGTCAGGAGATCGAGATCATCCTGGCTAACGTGATGAAACCCCGTCTGTACTAAAAATACAAAAAATTAGCTAGGTGTGGTGGTGGGCGCCTGTAGTCCCAGCCACTCAGGAGGCTGAGGCAGGAGAATGGCATGAACCCAGGAGGCAGAGCTTGCAGTGAGCCGAGATCACGCCACTGCACTCCAGCCTGGGCGACAGAGCGAGACTCCGTCTCAAAAAAAAGAAAAAAAGAAAGAAAGAAAAAGAAAAATTATAGGGTTTTAGACTGGAAGGGAGTTCAGGAGGTATCTGGTTAATTCAATTCAATTTACTCTAACAAACATGTCTTGAGCACCTTCTGCATGTCAAGCTTGAGGATGCAAAACTGAAAAGACATGGGATCTGCTCTCAGGGGGAACACGCACACACACACATACACACACTTACATATAGGATTACAGAATAAAGGATTCAGGGAGAGTACAGAAGAGAGAGCTCAGCTATGTTAGGGGTTATAAAAGCAGAAAGAGGCTGCAAGGGAGACAGAACTTGATCAGGATCTTGCAGGGTGAGTAGGTGTCTGGAGCATCTTTGGAAAAGGAAAGAGCTGAGCTAAAGGAAAGAAGTGACAACCCTAAGGAGCAGTCAGAAAATGACCAGTGATCCATTTATGTGAGGGGGCAATTCATGCTCAGGTTGGGAAGTGGAGGTGGGCTTTTAAACTCTGGGGAGTCTAAAAAGCAACATTAAATAGTGGTTAAGAACGTGAACATCTGGGTTCAGATTCTGGCTCTGCTGTGGGATTTGCAGAAGTTCCATGACCTCTCTCTGCCTCCTGATCTGGAAAAATGGAGAAAATTATATAAAGTACTTATCTCATAGAGTTATCATGAGGTTTAAATTAGATAGTTCATGTAAAGTACTTAGAACAGTGTCTTGTACACAGTAGTTACTGAAAATAATAATTATTAAACTTATTGCTGTGGACTGAATTGTGTCCTCCCCAAAATTAATATTGTGAAGCCCTAATCCAAAGTGACCACATTTGAAGACAGGACTTTTAGGAGGTAATGAAGGTTAAATGAGTTCCTAAGTGTAAGGTCCTAATCAGATAGAATTGGTAGGTTTATAAGAAGAAGACAGATGTCTCTGTGTGTGTGCACTGAGGAAAGGTCACATAAGGACACAGGAAGTAGGCAGCCATCTGCAAGCCAGGAAGACAGTCCTCACCAGACCCCCATCACTCTGGCACCCTGACCTTGGACTTCCCAGCCTCCAAAAGAGTAAGAAAATAAATTTCTGTTGTTTAAGCCCCTCAGGCTTTGATATTTTGTTATGGCAGCCCAAGCTGACTAATTACACTTATAGTCTAGGGATTGTGAACTCAAACAACCATGGGGTGACAAAAGTAATATAAATAAATGGAGCAACATGTTCTTGGAAATGCAATAGTATAAGCTCAGTGATAAATGGCAATGGACACAGGGCAGATGTGATGGACACCTGAGAACAATGGAGGCTGGTGAACTGCCGAGTGACTGCCAGACCCAAAGGGAACAGCTATCACGTGGGCTGAGTCCATTGATCACTGCTGTGTAAGAAACTGGGCCTAGCATTCCCAATTCTCCAGTGTTTTAAAGAAAAGACAGACTGCTTTTTTCTTGGGTGTGGTGGTATGGGGAAGAACTTCTAAAATTTAAAATATTGGCCAATACTGTGAGGTCATGAAATTAAAACCTGGCCCACAGACCACTGAGATGTCCCACCAAAAATGCTGGGAGACCAGCGACAGGGAGATTATTGGGATGAAGAAGAAATGCCGAGATTGGAGGTGGGAAGACACTGGGATTTCTAGTCAGACCTAGCTCCATTTTAGCTCTGTGATCTTTTGCTAATACTATAATCTTCCTGAGACTCAGTTTTTCCAAGAGAAAATGGTGATGAAAATACCCGTTTTGTATGATTCTTGAAGAAATGGATGGAAAGTGTCTGGAAACTGTCTAGTGAGTACTTGAAAATGTTAAGTTCCTTCACTTCTCTCATGCCTGAACAAAGGACATGGTGGTGGAATGGAGAGGATGCTATGAAGATGTTATGAGGTAGAATTTGACTGGATGAGGAAGACTTCAAAGTTGATGACCCTTGGGAGGGAAGAGATAATGAAGCTGTTAACTGAGGAGGGAACCACAGGAGGCAAAAGATTAATTAATTGTGTTTTAGATAAATTGAAGTTGGGGAGTCTATGGAACATTTGGGTTATGTCCTACTGGCATCCAAATAAAATGTATGAAGAGATCAGCTAGGGCTAGAGATGTAGTTTAGACTACCATCATCTCATAGGGAATAGTTGAATCCATGAGAGTGGAGGGGATTTTTCAGACAATGGGGAAAAAAAGCCACCCTGGGAGAGTGAGAGTTGGGGGTGGGGGTGGGGGTTACAGCCAGAGGAGCACGTGTAAAACAATGAGTGGGCAAGAAGCAGCATGAACAGAGAGAAGGAGCATTTCAAGAAAGAAGAGCTTGTGATAGCAGTATTAAGTAGAATGAACATAAAGAAGAAGAGCTTGATTTTCATAATTTGAAGTTTACTAGTGAACTTTAAAAGAGCAATTTGATACAAAAACTCACCTTATGTGGTCTGACTTACAAAAATCAACTCTGGTGACACCTCTTTTACCCTTTTGTCTACATTCTCCTAACTCTCAGTGATGACTCCTACCCATTAAAGACACATTAACTTATGTTTATAAGAAAGAAGGTATATTTGCATTTAGGGTAAGGTATTCCCAGAAACTATGCTGTAGGTTAAACTCAATTTTCTTGTAGTGAGAGTGATATAGAAAAGGATTATGCTCCTGACACAGGGCCGTATGCCCAACTTTTTATGGGCAGGAACACAAACTCTATATTGAATTAATTATAAATGATAACCATGTATAATATAAAGGCTTTTCAAGTATACATAATTAAACAGGGTAATACAAAAACCAATCGCATAAATTATATTTAATATGAGGGAATGGCATAAATATTAAACATAGTTATTATTTTACTCCCTGACATTCTTTCTCATTGGCAGGTGACAAGAACGTCACCATCATGGAATCAGAAGGAATCTTTTGGAAAAGTTTTCATAGACATCTCTGAGAAGACCTTGGAGGCTATTGGGGCTGCTTAATGCCTTTATGTGGAATTAATGGACTATTTTTGCTTCCTTCTTTTTGTTTTAATGATTTTCAAGGTAAACATTGGAGACCTAGATGTTAACTTTTCTGTTACCATCAAGAATATAGTATTTCTGTTTTCCTAACCTGCCATCTCACCAGGATTAGCCCCCTTCTCTTACATCCTGAGATTATTCAAGGAATACAGACTTTGAACCAATGTAAAATACATTTTAAAATGTTGATTCTCTCATTTTGTTGCTTTACATAATATCAAAAGAGGCCCAAAGCTTTTACTTAAATGGTAGAAAACTCCATTAAAAGTTTGATCCAGATCTGTGGCAAGTTTTAGTGAATCTTAGCAATCACCATAGGTTTTACCCTTTTGATGGAAGGAAATTTTTGAGAAGTTATATTTTATGTGGTTTATAAAAAAAGATAGGTATTTTAATTGGCACTGAAAAATCTCACTTTATAATTGAAAATATTTGTGTTATACTTTGGAATTATAAAAAACTTCCTATATACTGATTCATGGTAGTTTCAAAGTGCTCTTATCTATAATAGTAGGGTTATTATTATTATTGAATTGTTATGGATGAAGGTTGGGGATCAGTGAGATTAAATATCCTTCCTTGTGCAACACAACTAATAAAGGATGGAATGAGGGGTGGGATTCCAGGCTCTCTAACCCCAAGATGATGTTCTTCCTAAGAAATTGCCCCTTCTATAATGGACGGTCCCCACATCCCTGGGGATGCTGTGCACTTATTCAAGTGTTGGTATAATTACTCAAAATATTTTCAGAAAACTTGCTTTTAGGTTTATTTTCTCAGTGACATTAAGAACTTGGTCTCAACACCATCCACCTTCTCACCCTACTTAGAGTGTCATCATCTGCTATGGACCCTGAGGCTCAGCACAGGTGCCTTCTGTTGCAAGCATTTGAGAGAGGTCTGTGCATGGATGATGTGAGCCAGAGGGGTCAGGGAACTCCTGTGAAGCCTGCTAGGCTGCTGCCAGAATCGCCTGGGGAAACTTGTTTGTTTGTCACTCTCCTGCCCTCTGTTAATAGTTACTCTCATGGACATAGTGAGCCTTAGCTCTGCTATTGGGAATTGCTGCACATCAAACTTCCAGAAGTCAAGCACTCCGCATCCCTTCCTTATTGAAGCAGGGCAATGCAATCCAAATATTTTCATTAAAATGATTATAATTTTATGTCCACATTTTGGTTTTTATAAAAGTATGTTTTATGTCTCTGGGAATTTTCCTCATGTGGAATTTCTCATTCCTTTATACTACCAATAAAGAGTTTGGAGACTGACCTAAAATGGCGTACAGACTATAAAGGGATGTCATTTGTATTGATGATAAACAGAAATGGAAGGAGAAGAATGTTTATGACAAACTTGTGTGAATCGCCAACTGAGATAGTATGATTTCCTTCTGGATATCTCCACAAACAATATATTATCTTTTCCAAGGGGAAATGATGTTACCAGGCTTTCTCAATCTTTTCAAAGTAGTGCATGCTTTTTGAGTAATTCTTTTCTAGTTTATGCAATGGATTTGCCTTCTTCAACCACCCACATTCTCCTTGACCAAGGTTATGTATTTTCACAATGTCTGACCCAATAATAGTATGTTAGGATACTCACTAGAGATTAAAAATGAAATAAAAGTTTCTCATAAACCTCTAAAGGTCTGTATTTAGATCTTTCCAAAGAAGGTAAGGGTGATTATGTTTGTATTTGTGTGAATATACATATGTAAGAAGACCATCGCCTCAAAGGTGCTGAAGGCATCTTCTCTATAAGGGGTGTGTGTGAAGGCATCTTCTCTATAAGGGGTGTGTGTGTGTGTGCGTGTGTGTATGTGTGTGTGTGTGTGTGTTGGAAGAAAGGAAGAAACTGGAATAATGAGATCTATTTTTGCAAGGTGTAAGGGAGGCTGGACAATAGCTAAGCGGGAGAAATGGTGGTAGTGGTGGTGGCAACTGGGAGAGGATGAGCTCATAGAACAGTCAAAACCTGAGATTCTCCTAGCTCACACACCCACAATTTGACTTTGAGCTTGGAAGAGGCTCTGCAAGTGAAGAGGGGGAAGACCTGCTCTGAGGGACTATGTGCAGAGCCTAAGGCATTGGCTGCACCGGTGTTTAAGGGCATAACCAGGCAAGCCAGCTGCCATCCCCGTGTCAGCACCCTGTCTCATGGTCATAGTAGAAGATGTTGCTGTGACTCAGAACTGGAGCTCCAACTCTGATACTCTGGGGAGACAGACAGATCCAAACAATTTGGGCAGAATGCTGCCAGGAGATAAAGGGATACTTTCTGAATACCTTGGGGTTTTTTTCCCCTATAATGTACACATTCATCTATGACACCTATTACCTTCCAAGAAATCATTTTTTAACCACCTCATAGGGATTCCTAAATGTGTTGGTTCCATGAGTCCCTGAAGGTTCATATTACACCCAAAGGTCCTTAAGGAATTTTCAGTTTGTCTTACAGGTTTCTTCACTACCAAAATCCTTTGGGATTATTTCTAGCTCCTATCATACTACAGTTTCACAATGCTTTGTCTGAAGTTCTTAGAATTAAATGTATTTTTGAGTTTAGATATTCTCAGATTTTAGAAGAATAATATAAATTACTTAATGTCCCCAGTAGCGTAATACATGCACCCAGTAACAAAAAAAAATAAGATTTCCATAGTCTATGTACAAACATTCATACTAAGGGAATAAATGAGGTTCATAAGGAACCTCACATTAATCTACACCAGCTTTTGTTGCCACTGAACTTGTACCAAGTTTGTGAAAAAGTATTTCAGTTTTCAGGGCTTTTTGGATCTCAGAACTGTGGACAAGGAATTGTGAGCCTATTCTAGTATCGTTACACATCATGAAGGTGAGAAAGAGTAATGGATACAACAATGTATTGGTCCATGCTTCCATTGCTACAAAAAAATACCTGAGGCTGGATAATTTATAAAGAAAATAGTTTAATTAGCTCACAGTTCCGTAGGCTACATGAGAAGCATAGTGGCTTCTGCTTCTGAGGAGGCTTGGGAAGCTTCCAGTCATAATGGAAGGCAAAGGGGGAGCGAGGCATTTCACTGATGGGAGCAGGAGCAAGAGAGAGAATGAGGAGTGGGGAGGTGCTATGCACTTTAAAACAACAAGATTTCGTGAGAACTCACTCACTATCACGAGAACAGCACCAAGAGGATGGTGCTAAACCATTCATGAGAAACTCCACCATGATCTAATCACATCCCACCAGACCCCACCTCTAGCACTGGGGACTACAATTTAACATGAGGGTGGTGACACAGATCCAAACCATATCAAACAGGAAGGCTCGAATGGAGGAGAATGGCATGTCCTCTTATAGTAGGCTGAATGATGAGCCCTAAATTACATTGGGACTTCTCCCTGGGCTCTGTGAATACTATACTATATGGCAAAAGATAAGGCAATGATCAAGGATGATCAGGTAGGCCCTAAATGCAATCACACGTATCTTTTTAAGAGGGAAACTTGACCCACACGGAAGAGGAAAAGGTAATACAAAGATGAAGCAGGGAGAGATTTGAAGATGCTGACCTTGGAGATCAGAGTGATGCAGCCACAAGCCAAGGAATGCTGGCAGCCACCAGGCACTGGCAGAGAGAAGCATGGGTTCTCTCAAGAGCCAATGGAGGGAGCAAAGCCCTGGCAATGCCTTGATTTCACACTTCTCACCTGCAGAACTGTGACAGGATAAATTCTTGTCATTTTAAGAGACATTTTGTGGTATTTTATTATAATGGTCATATAAAACCAGTATAGATTTTGGTACTGGGATGTAGGGTGCTGTGGTAATAAATACCTAAAAATGTGGAAGTAGCTTTGGAATTTGATAAGAGGTAGAGGCTGGATGAATTTTAAGGTACATGATAGAAAAAGCCTACATTGCTTTAAACAGTATATTGGTAGGAATGTTAGAAGCACTTCAGCTGAGGACTCAGAAGAAAATGAACATGTTATTGAACATCAGACATTGGCAAGGAACAGTTTCTACTTCTGGGAAGAGTGTGGCTCTACTGACACCTTGGTTTCCATAGAGTGAGACTGATTTTGGACTTCTGGCCTCCAGACTTGTGATAATATTAACTTCTGATGATTTAGTCACCAAGTTTGTAGTAATTTTACAGCAGCAGCCCCCAGAAGGGGTATCTTAACACCCACCCCCCGGACTCAAGCTCTCCAATGTCAGTCACATTTTTCAGATCATCTGTCCCTTCTCAGTGGTTCATTGGGTCTTACTTCTTTAAATTTCAGTTTCTTCATGTGTAAAGTGAAGATTATAGCACACGCCTCAGAGAGTGATTGTTAAGAATTAACTTTAAAAAAATGTACAGTATGTTTTACATGTCACCAGCATATAGTTAGTGCTCAATAAATGGTAGTTTGTTTTTGACATTACTATTCTCTTAGAACTCCTTTATAACTTTCCAAGAGATAGGAATTTACATTTAGATTAGAGATCATCTATATTGCAGAGAGAGCTGATCCATCAAATCTCAATTTTCCTCATCTAAAAGATTTTGCCAGCCCATTTATATTCACCAGTGTCACAGTGATGATGCATTTGATGTCTAAGACTGTTAGAAGTCTAAAGACATACCAATCAGTCCTGGGAGGCTTAGTTTCTATATCTATCCTGAACATTTTTACTTTCCCAAAGGCTAGAGCCTTTGAACCCAGCATCTTCAATCAAACAATGATAATTCTCTTGACAAATGCTTAGAATTATGCCCATTTGCAGATGGGTATGCCTATGGTGCTTGGTAAAGAGTAGTTTTCCAAAAGTAGGCAACTATATTAAGGGAGGGGAAAAATATCTAAGGGGCTAGTACATTTAGAAGGGAGACAACTAAGAATTGCAAAATCGCCCAAGCTCCTAAAAACAAGAATAAATAGGACAGTAAATTCATTAGGATGCATCCACCAGGAATTAAGAGATATAGAGAGCACAAGCTAATGGATGGCAAAGAAGGAAAAAATGGATATTGTTTGAGTGCCTGCAATGGGTGAGGCACGCATACTAAGAATAGTCACACACAATAGGTATTTGTTCTACTTAGCTCCAGTCAGACCAACTATTTCATAGCCCTCTGCAGCCTCCAACTCCTGGGCTCAAGTGATCCTCCTGTTTCAGCCTCCCAAGTTGCTGGGATTACAGGCATGAGTCACTGTGCCTGGCCCCAGATAATTGTGTTTTTTTTTTTTTTTTTTGAGTACATACATTTAAAATACATTATTCTTTCAGGCCATGTAATTTTGTGCCCTCTGATAAATGTGTTAAAAGCTCCGGGTGACTGGGAAGTATCCACAACCCCACCAAAAAGCCCAACTGATGCTAAAGTCACAAAATGTGAGCACTGCCAAAGCCTCAGCAATTACTTAGTACTGTATCCACAAAGGAGGAGGAACTCAGGTACAGAATTCCACATACCCACTTGACAATATCACAGTTGTTGATGAGGGAGGCAAGGCTAGATTCCCAGTGCTTGCCTTTCCAAAGACAGCTCTTTCTGTCCCAAAATAAGGCACTAATCGTCGATATGTGATTAATTCCTTTCTTGACTTCCAATTTCGGCCTTTTCAAGCTTGCAACACTGGAGAAGAGAAAGGAGCACAGAACAGTCCTGGGAGTTTTGATCCAAATATAAAGCTCAGCTCAACCCCTGATAAAGTATGATCTTGAGAAGATCAGTTACCCTCAATTTGTTGAAGGTTTCCCCATCTGGGAAATAGTTCTCATGGCCCGTTTTGTATGGTTTGGCTGTGTCCCCACCCAAATCTCATCTTGAATTGTAATTCCTATAAGGCCCACGTGTTGTGGGAGGGACCTGGTGGGAAGTAATTTAATCTTGGGGGAAGTAACCCTCATGCTGTTCTCATGATAGTGAGTGGGTCCTCATGAGATCTGGTGCTTTATAAGGGGCTTTTCCCCCTTTTTGCTGGGCACTTTTTGCTGCCACTAGGCAAAGAAGGATTTGTTTGCTTCCCCTTCCACCATGATTGCAAGTTTCCTGAGACCTCCCCAGCCCTGCAGAACTGTGAGTCAACCAAACCTCTTTCCTTTAAAACCAGCCTCAGGTATATCTTTATTAGCAGCGTGAGAATCAACTAATACACCCTCGTTCCTTCCTTTCGTAGTACTTACTTCAGTTGTCATTTTCTAATATCTGATTCCTGCTCCAGGGTGTGGTGGTTAAGGGCACAGACTTGAGGCTACACTGCCTGTGTTCAAATCCTGGCTCCCTCATTTATGAAATGTGTGGGAAAGTTACTTAGTCTCTTAATGTCTCAGTTTTCTAATCTGTAAAATGGCATAATGATAAAAGCTACCTCAGATGGAGGATAAATAAGTAGGACACTTAGACGGGCACATGGCACATATTGAGCACTATTTGTGTACTTGTTCATTATCCATCTCCTTTGCCACTCTATTCCATGTGGCAATTGTCTTCTTAATTTGGTCCTTCCCTTTTGTTTCTTCAATTTTATCTCATGCTACTCTCCCAGTGGCACTAAACTATTTTTGTTTCTCTCCAACTTTTCTGAAGTTTCCATGACTTTGTACAAGACTTTGTCCATGACTTTGTTTCCTTTCCTTCATAGCTGCCAAACAATAATGTGATAAGAAAAAGACCAAACATGAAAAGGGCAGAGAAAAGGAATGATTCTTTTGGTTTTCTTTAAAAAAAGAGGTGCCTAAGTGCAAAGGGTATTGAATTGGCTGCACAATAAAAACAGTGAGACTCCATTCACTAGCTTGTATGACGCTCTGAGGGTGGATACTTACTTGGTTCACTCAAGCACACCAGTAGTTTTCCTGGAACTAGTACTGACCAGCACAAAGTGAGTATCACCACACCCATTATCATTTGAGAGTGCCCAGAGATGCTCCACAGATCCTGGGGACATGTTCCCTAACACCCTAGGAGAGTTGAAAGCCTTCCTGCTCTGTGCTTCCACTGCACTGTGTCTAGTGTCTATATTTTTCTTCCATTGTGTGCCATGTAGATCAATGTTGAATGGTTTAAATATTTTATGTTTTTGTTTTTCTCTCTGACAAAGTTTTGAGCTTTGTGTGTATCTAGCACAGTGTCTGGCACATGGTCTTAAAACTCTCTTATTCCTTGGTTTCCTGGACATCAAACCCTTCCAGTTCTCTTCTAAATTCTCTGAATCTTCCATTAATTTTTCTTTGCTGACGCTTTTTTTCTTTGCTCAGTCCTTTGGTGGTTCCTAGGTTCATTTTTCTTCCTTTTCTTCTTATCCCTCATGCTCACATGGGTCCCAAGGCTTTCGTCACTCCCTGCAAGCAGAGTCGTCCTACACTCTGGAATCTATCTGATCTCTCCCTTCAACCCAACTGCTGGCCAGGTATCTTTACTTAGATGGCTTATGTGTACTTCAAAGTAAGTCTGTTTCTAAAATAGAACCCATTTGACCTTGTGATATGGTTTGGCTGTGTCCTTACCCAAATCTCATTTTGAATTGTAGCTCCTGTAATTCTCAGTATTGTGGGAGGGACCTGGGGGGAGATAATTGAATCATGGGTGCAGTTCCCCACATACTGTTCTTGTGGTAGTGAGTAAGTCTCATGATATCTGATGGTTTCATAAGCGGAAATCCCTTTCAATTGGTTTTCATCTCTCTTGCCTGCTGCCATGTAAGACATGCCTTTTGCCTTCAGCCATGATTGCGAGGTCTTCCCAGCTGTATGGAACTGCGAGTCCATTAAACCTCTTTTTCTTTATAAATTACCCAGTCTTGGGTATGTCTTTATCAACTATATTCAATTATTATATTTTTCAGACCTATACATTCCATTAGATTTTTAATATAGATTATTAGTACCTGCTGAAATTTTTTTTCTCTCTTTTCTTGAATGTAGTTATTTTAATGTGCCTGTTTAATAATTCTAAAAATATCATTCTAAATCTTATTCTGGATAAATATCCCAGATGGAACACTTGGATTTCTTCATCTTTCCTGCTACATCTAAGTAGTCTTTAAATGCTGAAAATGTAGAATTTATATATCGCATTTTTGATCCCCCCTCAAAATCTACATGGTAATGCTTTAGTTCAGGTCTTCATCATCTCTATGTTGACTGACAACAGCAGCTTCCGTAACTCCCTCACAACACTGACATTTTAGAAGACTACAGGACAGATGTTTTTCAGACTAATCCTCACTTTTTCTTATGATTAGATTCAAGTTATACATTTTTAGCAGAAATAACACAGAAGTAATGTATCCTTCCTTATCAGTGCATCACATTAGAAGGCACATTATGTCTCTGTAATTAATAAGTAATTTGTGGGAAGATATTTTGAGATTATGTAAATATCCCATTTTCTCATCAAATTTTCACCAAGTAGTTTCATCATCCATTGATGATTCCTGCTCGATAAATTACTACTATGATGGTTGTGAAATGGTATTTTTTAACTCCATAATTTCCTCTACATTTTTAGTTAACATTCTACTTTAATTAATTCAATAATGTATTTACTATTTGTATGGATTCGCAAATTATTATTCAATGAAGTACAATCTCTTACTGTTATTATTTATTTGGTGTTTGAATTATCCTGGATTTGGCCAGTGGGAGCCCATTCAGACTGGTTCCCATGTCTTATTACAATTTCTTGAGCATGTCTTTATTTCTGGGATAATAAGATGTTTTATCACTCTAATTTTTGAGGAATATTTTGACTGCTATAAAATTATAGGTGACTAGTCATTTTCTTCCAGTATTTAAAAGCTGTTTTTCATTGTTCTCTGGTGTCCACTGAAAAAATCAATATTGATATATAAGCCCCAAGAATTATTACTGCTTCTTTGAAGTCAATGTGTCTTTTTACCTCTGACTTTTTAAGAGTTTCTCTGTCTTTGATTTTTAGTATGTTTTACTATCTTGTGCTTAGATATAATTTTCTTTATCCTGTTTGGTTTTTAAAGTTTAATGAATCTGTGGTTTGATGTCTTTCAGTTTTAGAAACTCTCAACTAGTTTTTCTTCAAATATTGTTTCTGTGTCATGTTTATTCTCCTTTCTTTGTGGAACTTCAATTACATGTTAGACATTTTCACTATGTCCTACATATCTCTTCTACTCTTCTCCCTAACTTCCATATTTTTCTCTCAGTGCTCTGGTCTAGACACTCTAAGCTGGCCTGTATTCTAGTTTACAAACTCTAATTTCCTCTCTGTCTAAGTTTCTATTAAATCTTTCTGTTGAATTCCTAATTTCACTTGTTATATTTTTCAGACCTATACATTCCATTTGATTTTTAATATAGATTATTAGTACCTGCTGAAATTGTTTTTCTCTCTTTTCTTGAATATAGTTATTCTAATGTCCCTGTTTAATAATTCTAATATCTGAATCATCTGTAGCTCTGTTTCTGCTTGGCTTCGGTCACTAGTTTTTTCTTTTTTTTAACATACTTCATACATTGTAGTTGGACGCTGGACCTTGTGTATTGATTCCATTAAAATTATAGAGAGTCTGTATGGTGTTATCTTCTTTCTAAGAGGGTTAAGACCTCTTTTGGCAGCAAGGAGTACTTGCAGATCACCTTAATCCTGTTGAAGATTGATTTTGGAGCTGTTTTATTTCATTTTGTCTTTACTTCTAGGTTATAGACCTTCTGATGTCTCAGCTGAGAGTCTGGGATGTTTACCAAGGCCATTTGACATTGGCAGGCCTTAAATTCCTATCTTTGCCTCCTCAGTACCACAATATTTCCAGCTGCTAGTTTCTGACAGTTTTCGTGTACAGCCTAGAAATTGGCCAAAGCCTCAAGTGGCATTTGAACAGATTTCCAGGCTGATTTCCCTGTAGTATCCTTCTTTCAAGATTTTACCCCTCAAGTCCCAGCTGGTTTGGCTGTTCAAAACTCCAACATGTATCTTCTCCGGCCATTGGAACTACCACTTTCTATTCTCTCGTGCTAAATATTGGCAAATGCTCATGGAGAAAAAGCTAGGCGAATGTAGATCTCATTCATAGTGTTTACCTTCTCTTAAAGGATCAGAGCTTCTCAAGTTCTGTGTTGGTCACTGGCCATGGTTTTGAATGTTTTTTTATTTTCCCTTCTGCAGGTTTTATAGCAGATTTTAATGGAGAAGTGCTTAGTCCAAATCAAACTTGACAAAGGCAAAACTTTTCTATTTAGTGATTATGTTAAATATTTCAGAAATATTTTTCAAGCTCTTGCTTTGTCATTGATTTTTAATACTATAGCACCGTAGTCAGAGAAGATATAGTCTGTGATATACCAGTTTGGACCAAATGAAATTGTCATTTTTGTACATCAAATATAGCTGAATATTGGTACTCTTGAAGAACTTCAAGCTGCAGTTCCTTTGCAATTTATTGATGCTTTAGTAAGGGAATATGGATTTTTTATAACATATCTTTCTTTGTTTAAAGAAAATAACATGTATCCTGTATTTGTTGGAGGTATTCTTTGTTTTTTCTTTCTCTTAAAACTGTCAGACGGGTGTGGTGGCTCATGCCTGTAATCCCAGCACTTTGGGAGGCTGAGGCGGGCAGATCATGAGGTCAAGAGATCGAGACCATCCTAGCCAACATGGTGAAACCCCGTCTCTACTAAAAATACAAAAATTAACTGGGTATGGTGGCATGCGCCTGTAGTCCCAGCTACTTAGGAGAGTGACGCAGGAGAATCGCTTGAACGTGGGATGTGGAGGCTGCAGTGAGCCAAGATCACGCCACTGCACTCCAGCCTGGCAACAGAGTGAGACTCCGTCAAAGACTTAAAGACTTAAACGTCAGACCTAAAACCATAAAAACCCTAGAAGAAAACCTAGGCAATACCATTCAGGACATAGGCATGGGCAAGGACTTCATGTCTAAAACACAAAAAGCAATGGCAACAAAAGCCAAAATTGACAAATGGGATCTAATTAAACTAAAGAGCTTCTGCACAGCAAAAGAAACTACCATCTGAGTGAACAGGCAAACTACAGAATGGGAGAAAATTTTTGCAATCTACACATCTGACAAAGGGCTAATATCCAGAATCTACAAAGAACTCAAACAAATTTACAAGAAAAAATCAAACAATCCCATCAAAAAGTGGGCAAAGGATATGAACAGACACTTCTCAAAAGAAGACATTTATGCAGCCAACAGACACATGAAAAAATGCTCACCATCACTGGCCATCAGAGAAATGCAAATCAAAACCACAATGAGATACCATCTCACACCAGCTAGAATGGCAATCATTAAAAAGTCAGGAAACAACAGGTGCTGGAGAGGATGTGGAGAAATAGGAACACTTTTACACTGTTGGTGGGACTGTAAACTAGTTCTCAACCATTGTGGAAGATAGTGTGGTGATTCCTCAAGGATCTAGAACTAGAAATACCATTTGACCCAGCCATCCCATTACTGGGTATATAGTCAAAGGATTATAAATCATGCTGCTATAAAGACACATGCACATGTATGTTTATTGTGGCACTATTCACAATAGCAAAGACTTGGAACCAACCCAAATATCCATCAATGATAGACTGGATTAAGAAAATGTGGCACACATACACCATGGAATACTATGCAGCCATAAAAAAGGATGAGTTCATGTCCTTTGTAGGGACATTTGCTCAGAACCATCATTCTGAGCAAAGTATCGCAAGGACAGAAAACCAAACACCGCATGTTCTCACTCATAGGTGGGAATTAAAAAATGAGAATACCTCGACACAGGATGGGGAACATCACACACCAGGGTCCGTCGTGGGGTGGGGGGAGTGGGGAGGGATAGCATTAGGAGATATACCTAGAGTAAATGACGAGTTAATGGGTGCAGCACACCAACATGGCACATGTATACATATGTAACAAACCTGCACATTGTGCACATGTACCCTATAACTTAAAGTATATATATATAAAAAGACTATTCTTTCTCCTTCAAAACAAAAACAAAAATGAAACACACACACACACACACACACACACACACACGCAAACTCTCTCTGGGCTTGCCCTCTGGGATTGCCTCTCACTGGGCTGCCTTTCAAGGTATTGTGCTTGAAATGGCCGGTAGAATCATCGGCTATTAACAGTGGGCCCAAAGTTTTCTACTATTTAGATGGATCCATCAGTACCACAAGTGCCACATCTTTCTCATGTCTTCCTATTAAGAAGCAGAACTGACCATGTTATCCTAAGCCACTACCCAATCCTTTTTCTTGATGACGTTAAAAATGCTATTGAGGGAGGGAAAAATGCAGTCAAAATTAAGACCTTCCAGTGGCATAATGGAGACTGAGGCAAAGGAAAATCCCAATAATATTTTTTTTATTTAAAATTTTGATATTTGAATCACTGTATTTTTTTGGTCTTAATTTTTACTTTTAAAACATATTGCATTAAAATACTATCTATCTGGATTACTGAGGTTTTTGATGCCTCTTTAAATTTTGTGTCTGAGGTGAGTGCCTCAAGGCCTCATCCTAGTTTGGTCCCCAGATGTTCAGCTTTGCAGGAAATGGAGCTCCTGGTGAGAGGTTTTTTTTTCCTCTCTGTGAAGTAGGCTGGGGCTTCTTGAAGCAATATAAGCTGAGGCAATGTAAGTTGACAGACCAGGTTGAGCCACAAACAGATCAGAGTACTTCCTTACCACCAATAGCTGACTAGTTAAATATTTCTTACTCCAGACAGGAAAAGAGTTAGGCCCTATAAGAAGGAAAAGGCAGAGTCCTCCTCAGACTAACTTCACCCCTTCCCCTTCCCTCGTATGCTAGCAGAGTGGAGAGGAGCATAGAAAGAGGACACCATGGCCTCTCCCCTTTGCAGATCCACATGTTCTGTATTCAAAGAGGAGAGGAGAAGGGAGGGAAAGGGAGGGGGATGAAGAGGAGAGAAAAAGAGATTTATATTGAAACTGAGTTTGAAATCTTAATTAGACCGAATCTCTAATAACCAACAGTGACCAGACAGGGCATTTGTTCAAGTCATCATTAAACAACGCAAAAGGGAGATTTGATAATATAATGTGGAAGTCCTAAGGTGGTGTATTAGTCTGTTTTTGCACTGCTATAAAGAAATACCTGAGACTGGGTAATTTATAAAAGAAAGTGGTTTAATTGACTCACAGTTCTGCATGTCAAGGGAGGCCTCACAAAAGTTACAATCATGGTGGAAGGGAAAGCAGGAACCTTCTTCACAAGACAGCAGGAGAGAGAAGAACGAGGGAAGGAGGAATTTGCCAAACACTTATAAAAGCACCAGATCTCATGAGAACTCACACGAGGACAGCATGGGGGAAACTGCCCTCGTGATCCAGTCTCCTCCCATTGGGTTCTTCTCTCAACACTTGAAGATTATGGGGATTACAACTGAAGATGAGGTTGGGGTGGGGACATAAAGTGACAAAACCACTTCATACCCCATAGTAATTGGTTTCATATATGTTGATAATAAAGGATATTTTTAGGCATATTATTCAAATCTTTCATGTCATTGCTTAAGTTTTATCAACCTGATCTACTAGAGTCTGAGAGAGGTAGATTAAATCTCCAATGACTATTACTGGGTAGTTTTTTGTTTTGTTTTGTTTTGTTTTGTTTTTGAGATACCTGGTCTCACTCTGTCATCCAGGTGATCATAGCTCACTGAAGTCTTGCTGGAACTCCTGGGCTCAAGCAATTCTCCCACTTCAGCCTCCTGAGTAGCCGGACTACAGGTGTGTGCCATCATGCCTGCCTAATTTTTTATTTTTTATTGATGGGGTCTTACTGTGTTGCCCAGCCTGGCCTTGAATTCCTGTCCTCAAGTGATCTGCCTGCCTTAGTCTCCCAAGTAGCTGGGATTACAGGCGCAAGCCACCAAGCCCAGCTATTTTCTGTAGTTCTATTAGCTATTGCTTTATAAGTTTTCAGGCTATATTATTAGGTGGAAATATGGTCATAATAATTGTGCTTTTTTAATATTGTTTTTTTCTTATAAATATTTTTTTCTCTTGTGATTTTTAATTCTCTTTTGTCTGGTATTAAAATTTTTAGCCTTGCTCTCCTTGGATTTATATTTGCCTAGAATATTTTTCCAATGATTTATTTTTAACATTTCAGTGTTTTTAATCTTAAGGTTTCTTTCTGAAGTTTGATTTACTATTTTCTATTTATTCTTTATTCTTTTATTTTATCATTTTTTCATGTTTTCTACTGGGTAAATTAAATTTTATTTTGTTTCTCTGAAGATTGCACATTCTATTTTTATTCTTTTAATGAATACTCCTAACTTGTTTATACCCACATTTCCGCAGTTTCCTTCCATTAGCATCAAAAGCTTATCAATAGACATATCTTTCCTCTCTGAACATGACCAGAATTTCAGCACTCCCTTAATTCCTTTAGCTTTATGCTTCTGCTTATGCTCTGTGTATGCTTTTGGAATTTTGACATGGTCTTTGATATCTTAAATATCACTCTATTAGACTTGTAAATCTTTCCTTAATTTTGAGAAGTTCTCTGTCATCACTTCTTCACTCTTTCTTCCCCTACATAATCTCTTTTTCTTTTCCTTTTTAAAAAATTATTTGGATTCCTATTGGATGTATATTGAAGATTTTGCTTCAATGCCCTGTGTTCTTTTTTTTCATCACTTCATCTCATCCAGTATCTTCTATGCTACAGCTCAGCTGTATTCATTCTGCTCTTTAACCAATCCATTCATTTGTTTTTTTTTTAATTCAACTATTGTATTTCTTATACCTAGGAATTCTAACTGATTTTCCTTTATAATATGTGCTCCCATTTTGTGCTTACATTGTCCACTCGTTCTCTCTCTCTAAAGATATTTATTATGCTCATTTCAAACTCATACCAGTTTCATGTGTTTTACTCTTTTTGGTATAGGCCACTCCAATTGTTCATTTTGGTAATGCTTCTCTGATATCTTATTTTTTGCCTATGAACTCACCCTTTATCCCCTTGGAATCTTTAGCTGCCTTTGCTAGTCCTGTCAGTAAGGGAGGGAAGGCAGAAGTCTAGTTCCTAGCTTGTGCTCTTTTTCAGATGGGACATAGTAGGGAACAAGAACCTCTAGAGATGATATTTCCGGGTGTAACACATCCCTGGATTTTTCTTTTGACATTTTTAACCTCTTAGTAATTTGGCCCTGTAAGAGCCTACAGGGTAGAGAGAAGAGGGGAAGGAAGGAAATGCTCATGGGGTCAGCCAGCTTACCTGTACTCAGTGACTTTGGCTCCCCACCTTCCCCTGGCTCCACTCCCCTAATTTAGCCTGGGTTCCCCAAGATGGCTTTAGGCTTCCAGGGCTGCCTTTTTCGCCCATAATAGCTACAGTGCCCTAAAGATCTACATGAGGGAGGAAGAAAGGGCACAACTAGAAATCTTTCCCCAGTCTAGCCTATCCTAGAGGTCCATAGCCCTGTAGTCCTCAAGCTACCATTCCCCTCCCTCTATGCTAGGACCACCCTCTGCCTTCATCAGATTTCTCACAGCTTTGGGGTGTCTTGGGTGGGTGGGAGGCTACAACTATGATATCTGTCAACTTCTTTATATTCTCTGAGTCATCTTCCATGTTTGATTTAGGGGATGGAGACAATGACCCATGTTCATTTACCATCACAACCAGAGCTGTGAATAAATTATTTGTTTCTCCTTAATAGAAAATTAAGGCCTAAACCTCTGTGTCCATCAGAGACAAATTCTTTCAGCAAAATTATTAATATGGTCTCAATACTTACAGGATTAATAAATAACACAAAACATAACTTTAAGATCTTTTATAGAACCTTCACAATTTTTCCCCTAGGTTTCCACTCAATATTAATTTTACCTCAGGGGGAAAAAGGACCTTATGTAAAAACCCTTTATTCTCTCTTCACCCATTCATATTAAATAATACAAAATTATTTTAATAATTGTGATATGGAATCTAGAGACAAAACACTGGTCTACAAAAGTGAACCAATTCATTTCATAAATCACATTCGTCTGCTCCTTCCAGCAATTTCCCTTTTCCCTGGAAGGGGGATGTTATTGTGTTTTATCTGTGGCTTTTTGTGTAATTTTAATTTATCATTAAGTAACACTTCGCTTTTTAACATAAAGAATTCAGTGTGCTTGACGGAGCAGTACTCCATGAAAAGTTAGTTTGAAGCGACAACTGTTTGGAGCAGAGGAGTTTATTAATTTATCAGAACCTTATGTTCAGTTTCACATTTCTCAGCATAGGAACCAACAATCAGCTGCACCTGTTGCCAATTAAAGTATTAATGGCACATCAATCAAAGAAAAATCACTGGGAATGGAGATTACACAAGCTCTGTACTCACATCATTTTTTGGAAGTCATCCTTTATTTCAAAGATAAGTGAGATCTGCAAACCGTACCTTTCAGTCTGCATTCTCCACTTTTCCTCTAAGATAATTTGGTAGCTGAGTGCCTTAGACTGCGAAGGAAAATGCATTTTCCACTGGAAGAAACCACAGTCTTGTATTTAAAAATTAATAATGGTGCTATACATGTGGAGTGTGGCAGGACCCTGTTAACATTTTTAGGAAGTTTGACAAAAGTTAATTACCAAGTTTATAGAAAGCAGGGTGGCACTGGCATAGCTCAAAATGGATAGAATCTTCATTGCCCGTACAGGTTACTATGTTTGCTTGGAAGAAATTCATGGTGCTAACACAGAAAAGGCCAGCAGAGAGAGCTGTGCTTTTGAATTCCTTATTTAGAATAGGTCAATATTCTGGAGGGTATGGCTAGGGATAAGGATGGTTGAATAGGTCAATATTTTCGGGAAGGCATGGTGAGGGATGAAGATGGGGATGAGGATGGCCATAGAGGGAAGGAACAGTTGAAAGAACACAGGTTATGTGTTTGAACCTCGGCTCATTTTCTGTCTGGCTCCTGTTAATTAATTATTCTGGGCACTATTTTTCACACCTATAAAGTGGGGGTACAACGACTCCTCCTGGGGCCTTGGGAGGAGTAGATGAAAGGTGAATGAAAGAGTCTGGCACAGTACCTGGCATAGGTAGGTTCTTTCCTCTTCCTCTCCACTAGAACAGTCAGGTGTCATGGTGTGGACAACATACTACCTTGCTGAGCTAAGGCAAGGTACTTAAAAATCAAGGCAATTAACCTCAGCCTGGAAGCAGAACACTGGGAATGAATGAACACTTCCCGTATTCTCTTCTGCCAAAAAGCTGTCCTAAATTGCCTTTATATTTTCTCTTCCTTGAACTGCTGCAGTCTTTTTTTTTTTTTAACTTTTAAATTAGAGACAGGGTCTCACTCTGTCACCCAGGTCAGCCATAGCTCACTGCAATCTCGAATTCCCCCCACCTCAACCTTCCTAGTAGCTGAGCCTACAGGTGTGCATGCCTGGCTAATTTTTTTATTTTCAGTAGAGATGGAATCTTGCTTGCTATGTTGCCCAGGCTGGTCTTGAACTCCTGGCTTCAAGTGATCTTCCTGCCTTAGCCTTCTAAAGTGTTGAGATTACAGGGGTGAGCCATGGCACCCGGTCCAGTTCTTAATATCTCTATTGCTTAAAATACTTGGTTGCTTTACTGAGGTAGAAATGACAACAAGACTGCCATAACGGTTAAGACCAGGATCTCTGGAGTCACATAGGCCTGAGGCCAAATTGAGGCCCTGCCACTTTTAAGCTGTGTCATCGTGGATAAATCTACCGGATTCTTTGTTGCCTCAGATTCTAACTCTGGAAAATGGGCATAAATGCTGACCTCACATAATGGTCCAAAAGAGTGTAATGAGAATGCAAATACCTTGCACAGTGTCCGGTGAATAGTGGTGGCTGTTGTTGTTATTGGCCAGACAGGACTAATACGGAGAGCTCCACCATGTCAGAATGTTTCTGGCAGGCATCACTGGAAAGGTGTTAAGTATAGGAGAAACAAGTAAAAGCAAGTAGGAAATTTTAAGTAGGGGCTGTTTGCCCTCTAGCCGAATTTATGCAACACATAGGCGATGTTATAGTGGCATGTGCCTTTTGAGGCAGTGACAGAAGATGCCAGGATTAGCCTAGTTTATATTATTAGGGAAACACTCTAGTACATCTGCCTTACATTGCAAGTGGAATACAAGCTAGAAGGCAGGTACCGTACCTTCTTCTTTGTTGTGTCCCTCACATGTCTAGTACAAAGCTTTGTGCATAGTAGGTGTTCAATTAATATGTATTGATCAGTAAAATGAGTTTCTTGTTGAATAACCTAGAGTGTCTCTAATTATTTCAAAATGTTCTCTTTTCTTTTTTTTTTCTGAGATGGAGTCTTGTTCTGTCACCAGTTTGGAGTGCAGTGGCGCGATCTCAGCTCACCACAACCTCCGCCTCCCGGGTTCAAGTGATTCCCCTGCCTCAGCCTCCCAAGTAGCTGGGATTACAGGCGTGCACCACCAAGCCTGGCTAATTTTTTGTATTTTAGTAGAGACAGGGTTTCACCATGTTGGCCAAGATGGTCTCGATCTCCTGACCTCGTGATCTGCCCACCTCGGCCTCCCAAAGTGCTGGGATTACAGGCGTGAGCCACCATGCCCGGCCTCAAAATTTTCAAAGTCATTCTCAGAATATATTTTAAAAGAAAAAAATCCATTGTAATTTAATAATATTATTTCAAATATTTTGGATGGCCAAAGGCTAGGAAACAGAAGAGTGTCAATATAGTGGATCTTGATGCTAGAATGGTTTGGAATTACTGCTTTAATGTGTGGCTATGGTTTTGCATCCTTCATTGTAGCATAATTACATGTACAGATTTTGATTTTCCTGTCCATCATTTTTTCCTTTGCAGAGCTACCTTTGACCATTCATTCTGCTGTAGTGAGATTGTCAATAACAACACTCCAGCCTTCATTACTACCTCTGAACTGCCTAGCCTTAAGAATAGGTGTGACCAGTCATTCCACCTCATCCTCAGGCAACCAAGATTGGTCCATGGGGCGGGCACATGACCAGAATAAGGCCAAACACATTGTTTGATATAGAGATGCCATGCCTAAAAAGTGATTTTTCCTCTGGGGTTTCTAAGCCTAGAGTAAAAGGCTATTCTCCACAAGGTGAGGTCCTTTCTGCTGTAGTAGCACATGAAGCAGCACTGTGCAAAGAGAAGAGAGAAGCAAAATGAGAGATGAGTAGGGTGGGAGATTCCCGTGAGCACAGAATTCCTGATTTCAGTACCTGGGGTCTTTGCTGCTATAGCCCTTCCTCCAATTCCGAAAGCTATCCAGCACCTTTCCCAGCCTTGCAAGCAATATATATATTCTGGCATTCAGTGTTCAGCACACTATATGTGTACATCAGGATTTCTCAGCTTTGGCACTGTGGACATTTTGGACTGAAGAGCTGTGCATTGTAGGATGTTTGACAGTATCCCTGACTTCTACCCACCAAGTGCAGGTGGCACCACTGCCCGGGTTGTGACAAACAATAATGTCAAGTGTTTCCAGACATTGTCCAATGTCACAGGGAAAGGGGAGGGACAAAATCATTCCTGTTAAGAATCGCTCATGTATACAGAATGCAAGCTCCATGGCAGCAGGTTTGCTTTTTCTTTCTTTTTTTGGGATCTGTATTCCCAGTACCTAGAACTGTGCCTGGATCATAATAGGTGCTCAATATATGTTTATTCAGTGAGAAAACAAATGGGTTCAAAGTAAATGGAGGACATTGTTGCAGATGCTGCAGGAATCAAAAGCAAAGAAAGTTGGGCCCGGTGGCTCACGCCTGTAATCCCAACAGTTTGGGAGGCCGTGGAGGTGGATCACTTGAGCTCAGGAGTTTGAGACCAGCCTGGCCAACATGGTAAAACCCCATTTCTACAAAAAGTACAAAAATTAGCTGAGTGTGGTGGCGTGTGCCTATAGTCCCAGCTACTTGGGGGACTGAGGCAGGAGGATCGTTTGAGCCTGGGAAGCAGAGGTTGCAGTGAGCTGAGATGGCGCCACTGCACTCCAGCCTTGGTGACAAAGTGAGACCCTGTCTCAAAATAATAATAATAAGAAGAAGAAGAGGAAGCAAAGAAAAGAAATCCAAGGAAGAAAACCATGTTATCTTCTAATACTATGACAATGCAGGCTTAAACAAACAAACAACAAATAAAGAAGAAGAAAAAGACACACATAATTTGGCAAATGAAGAATCTCATGTACAACACAGTTCCTTTTAATGTGGAAAGTAGAGAGATGGGTCAGGGAGGAGGGAAAAATTGATTTTAGGAATTCTCCTTAAAGCACTGTGGCTTTCTACATTCTCTCTGTGTGTGTCTCTGTCTCTGTCTCTGTCTCTCTCTCTCTCTCTCTGTCTCTCTTTTTTATTTTAACAGAGCAGTACAGCCCAGCAGTGAAGACTGATTTGGGACCTAGGTAGTTAAAACAGAATGTGAAAGAATGCCTCAGGAGGAAGAAAATATCTATAGTAATTTTGCTTTTGTTCCCTAAAAATGACACATGCTTTTTGAAGTGTATTCTGATTTCCACACCTTTATTGAATAGTTTTCCCATCAGGATTAAAATGATCAGCACATAGAAGAGCCACCCCTAGATTTTATCTTTTTCCTTTTATTATAACTCAATAAAGAAGATGTGAGTTAGATAATTTAGTTTTACAATAAGTTTTCCCACATTGAGGGACACCTGATATATGAAAACATACATGCATATTCTTGGCAATACTAATGTAGCATTCATAAAGTGACTGAAACTTATATTATCCAGTCACATCATGTGAGACACAAATTGCAGGTACTCCATCCTTATCCAAATAGAGCAGTGATTATACAGTTTGGAAGTTGCCAGAACAACAGCCCCTGTTCATCAGAAAAGAAATAATACAGAGCTGTTTCCAAACTGCATGGCCACACTCTCTACTTTCTCCACCTGCACTGCACCTGAGCTCCATAAGATTATCATCGGCTGAGACCTATGTAAATCCTTAAGTTCTCAAAAAGCATGACTTTCTTTTCAGTTTTATCACCAGTCCCAAATAATTAGTTTACTTTTCAGCAGTGTTTCACACCAAGCAGTTTTGTTTATTTGCTTGTTGTCTAGAGTGGACAGCAATAAAGCCCCAAGGAGAGGAAATCCTGGGTGGTCAGCCAGGCACTCCACCAGCAAAATGATTCAGTCTCTGCCTCAGCCACAAGAACAGGCCATCGAATTTCATGCCTCAATAATATTTAAATCACTGCATGTTGTTAAGAGGCAGGATAATGTGGTCAAAGTCACTTGCTTTGGAGTTAGACAAGCCTGGGTTTGCAAATTTACTAACTGGAGGCCCTTGGGCAAGTGATGTAACTGCTCTGTCAATAGATACCATGTGTAAAATGTTTACACTATAATACTCATAAGGTTATTATAGTGTACCCCCAAAGGGGTGCCATTGTGATTAACTTCATTCAGGGTCACTCACAAATAATGAAAATCATGAACGTTAAATCCATGAATGCTAAGATGCATAATGCAATTTTAGCATTCAACAGCAATAAGAGAACACTATCAGGTAGTCTGTGCTTCAAGCATTTTCATGATTCTGGATTGGTCTCTGAATCAGATTTGCTGATAGGCAGGTGGGAATTAAATCCTAGGTTTCCTAGTTAGATCTTACCTATGAGGTAGCTGGACTCGGAATTCAAATCTCCAAGGAAGCCACAAAGTGGTTCATGACTATCTTCCACTTGCACTTGATTCTGCTCCAGATTAGACTATTACTTCCCTTTTTTTTTTTAACTTTGCTTTTGGAGATAATAGAATCACTACATTTAGATGAAGTAAACTAATATCCTAATGAAAGCTGTAAAACAGTCGCCATTAAATCTCAGTTATAGTCAATAAATGGCTGTAATTGCCTAATCTATATAAGAAAACATTCGTTTTTCCAGCAATGTATATGTGCTATGGTCTGGATATCTGTGTCCCCCCAAATTCATATGTTGAAACCTAATCACCAATGTGATCATATTAGGAGGTAGGGCCTTTGGGGAGTGATTAAATCATGAGGGCAGAGCTCTCATGAATGGAATTAGTGCCCTTACAAAACAGGTCTCGGAGATTTTCCTTGCCCCTTCTACCACATGAGGAAACAGCTAGAAGGCGCTATCTGTGAGGAGCAGGCTCTCATCAGAAACCAAATCTGCCTGCACCTTGATCTTGGACTTCCCAGCCTCCAGAACCATAAGAAATAAATGTTTGCTGTTTAGAAACCACCAAGTTTATGGTATTTTGTTACAGCAGCTTGGATGGACTAAGACAATGTGACAAATTATAAGCAAATCATTGAGAAATCTAAAATCTAGAAGTCTAAAATCAAGAAATTTGAAGGTTTCTCACTGGAATGATCCAGTGTGTCAATTTCTATTGAAAAACTGATGTTAAAGCCTTATATTTAAAAGAAATACATCTTAAAACATAGACACTCCCACAGTCATCTATCTTAAGATACTGGAACTAACTTTCCAAAGTACCAGAAAGCTTTAGTTAATTACCATTCTGTGTATGATACAACACCAGGTGCTGTGTATATTGACATACACTTGGTCTCTGGCCTTAAGAAGATTTTCATCAACAACATACACCATTGATGCAGATAAAAATCATATTACACTTTGGGGAAATAGCAATTGAATGTCAGTAACATGCGGGCTTCCAATTATTTGTTTTCATTTTCAAATGGCTAAGTTTGAATAAATAATTTTATCTTGGATAGGTCAGCAGACTTCTCTAAGCAATGAAGAAGGATTAAGTAAACTAATTTCATACATTTTTCAAATTTACCAACTTGTCTCTCCACAGCTATATACTGTAGACCACCATCATGTCTGAGTTACTGCAACACCCTTCTAACTCTTCTCTAGTCTTGCCCCTTATGGCAAATCATTCTCTCAAGCAGAGTCAGTTAATTTTCAAAAGTAGGCACATGAACTTTTATTAAAAATCAGAACTTGACTATTATCGCTGTTAATACACAGAAGTTAGAATGTCTCTAAAAATAAACTCATCTGACCTAAAGGTTAAATTTTCTAGAGGCCAATTTTGGGAATACAGAGCAAGTTTTTCTTACAAACACCACCCTGTATTGGAGAATTATCTTTTTCTAGTTGTATATTTTAGCTCAAGTTTTGAATTCATTTAAATGATCTTATTAATAAAATACTAAAAATCTAAAAAGAAAATGAAAGGTGGCACATGATTGGTTTATTTCTCTGCTTAAAACCCTCAATAGCTCCCCAGTGCACTTAGATTAAGGCTAAACACTTGGAGCTTACACGGTCCTGTGGGGTCTACCTTCTGCTTACCTTTTCTAGTCATTTCACCCCTTGCAAAATGTACCACAGCCTCTAACACAGCTGGTTAATGCCTACTTATCCCCTTCTTTTTCAGGTAAACTTTTTCTTATCTCTGAATTATGGGTTAGTTGATTTTTTCATGTGCCAGCATGACTCTTAGTAGTCTCCTCCACCACCATTACACTACTTACACTACTAAATAATAATACAATTATTTACTTTTTTGGATCTTCACTCATTTCTAAGTTCCATGTAGGCAGGCCCGTACATTTCCTGTTTACCACTATATCCCTAACACTTATCACAGTGCCTAGAAAACAGTAGATATCGTTATAGCAAATTAGAATGGAGACCAGACCTGGAAAATTCCAGAGCAGTCCTTGAAAGTATCCTTAACTTTGCTTGGAATGCAAACATAAGCAAAACTTAACTTGGGCCATTTCTTATAAATACTTGGATTAGAGAAAAACAAAACTTGACCTCAACCAGCAGAAGCCGCCCACTAACTTACAGTCATCTAACTAGGGACTCTTCAGTGTGATAATACAACCGTACGGCTGGGTGCGGTGGCTCACACCTGTAATCCCAGCACTTTGGGAGGCTGAGGTGGGCGGATCATGAGGTCAGGAGATGGAGACCATCCTGGCTAACACAGTGAAACCCCGTCTCTACTAAAAAATACAAAAAATTAGCCAGGCGTGGTGGCAGGCGCCTGTAGTCCCTGCTACTCAAGAGGCTGAGGCAGGAGAATGGCGTGAACTCGGGAGGTAGAGCTTGCAGTGAGCCGAGATCGTGCCACTGCACTCCAGCCTGGGCGACAGAACAAGACTCCATCTCAAAAAAATAAAATAAAATAAAATAAAATAAAAAACAAATAATACAACTGTACAGTGTAACTAATCAGATATTGTCTTTGTCTTGCTTCTGCATTTGCCTTTTGAAAGCTTGACCCTTGTGCTCTTTTCACGGAGCTCAAGGAACCTGTAAAGACTTCTTTTGGTTTGGTGCTTTCTGATTCATGAATTGCTGTTTGCTCAAATAAACTCTATAAATACTTTTGTGTCTCACTTCTAATTTCAACAATACACAGTACATATTTTGTTGAATTAGGTGACTTTTCTAGTGGTTTGATTGCTCTTTGCATTGGTGTCTTTTCTTTGAGAGCACCTGCATCCAATAGGACTTGGTGTGATAAGAATATTCTGTATCTGTGCTTTTCTAATACTGTGTCCACTAGCCACATGTGGCCATTGAACATTGGAAATGTGGCTAGTGAGACCAAGAAACTAAATCTTTAATTACATTGAGTTATAATTAATTTAAATTTAAATAACCAAGTGCAGACAGCCATATTGGACAGCACACTCCCAGAAGATCTTTATTTGGTAAGATTTATATATGGTCAGATTCATACAGTGTTACATTTTTTTCAGGAAATGGGTCTAGAGCTACGTTTTTCACTAGTAGCCACTAGCTACTTGGGACTGTTTAAATTCAAATGTGAATCAGTTAAAACTAAATAAAATTTAAATATTTGTGTTGCAGTCCTGCTAGCCACATTACAGCTTACTCAAAAGCCAGATTTGGCTAGTGGCTACCATACTGAACATTGCAGAGAACATTTCCATTATCACAGAAAGTTGTCATGGACTGCACGGGTTTGAAGAATAGCTCACCCGACCGGAAACAAAGATACAAATTCTTCCCAATGGGGTGTTTGTTACCTATGGGTCCTGACTATTAGGAAGACTTGATTAGAGAACTGAGGTCATAGTGCTCTAGAAAGCTGATAAGATCAAGCTCTTACCTTATCTGAATAAGATATTGACCCCTATGTCCCAGGGTAACCCTAAATTAGGGACACTGATGAGGACAAAGTAGCTGACACCCAACAGGGGAGTCCAAGTTGACTCAGGCAGGTATTCTCTTATAAAAGAGTGTCAGGGTCAATTTCAACAGTCTCAATTCATGCTCCTTATTTATTCCCAGACATGACAGCTGGCAAAGTTGCAGTGACCTCTTGACCCTTTGCTGCTACCTGATTCCCAGAAGGCAACCTCTTCCTAGAGCATCTCTTTTCTCTTTATTCGCGTTCAGCTCTGAGATTGGCCAGCTCTCCTCCCCCATGATGCAGCTATTGGCAGCTCCAGTCTTTGTTGCCTCCAGAATGGATAACCACAAAGCGTCCCTGGAAGACCACCCAGAAGCTTCAGCTGGCACAGTGTGGCGCTGTCCATCTGCTTAAAAGCACCGGGCTTGCCATGCCAGGAACACCTGCGCTCCACAGTGTGCCCTGGCTACCTCGTCACTTCACAGTGACATTCAAGGTGCAGTCCTGAATGCCCATGCTGGAAATTGCTACTTTGGAGGTTTTCTCCTCCCCTCAGCAGCATCCCAACAGTGCGATGCTCATCATCTAAGAATAGCCCCGAGCAGGGGGTTAAAGTCAGGCCATTTTCTGAAGAATTTGCTTCTCCTCCTGGTTTGACAAAGCTGACTTTTCTGTGTTCTGGGACACAGTGAAAAAGCCATCTGTTAAGTTAGGCTTGTGCCATGAAGGGTGGTCTTGGGGAGCAAATATTTAAATAGTGTTTTTCTGTCCTCCTCATGTACATTTGGAACTTTAAAAACATATCAATAAAAAAATGATTAACTACAAGCCTTCCATTTCTATTAGGATTTCTTTTCCTTCTTCTTCTTCTTTTTCTTAATTAAGTTAACTTTGTTGGCAATTTTGTGCATCTTCCCCAGAATAGTCAATGGTCCCTCCACTCAGTTATCTCACCAAGTCATAATACTCATTTCTCAATCTTTGGCCACAAGAAGGGCTTTGCTTTAGCTGTTTTACTTCTCCTATTTACTTCCCCTCAAGCCCACTTCACCCCAGTGTTTTAAAACCATGACCATTAAAAATTCTTTTAAAAAACACTTAAATAGTATCACCTCCCCCCTTAAAAATGTCTTGTCAGATTTCTTCCTCTTGTTTGCTTCAGAAAGTGGTGCTTTGATTGTCCATTAGAGAGTTGTTTACATTTCTCCAAAAGCTCCATTTAGTTTCCTTGACAAGGTGGAATAAGTGACTGGCTGTGATGGATAGAGGCACCTGTCCTAATGGCTGCTCACACTGTGCCCACCAGTGCACGTTACATTGATAAATTGACAACAGTTGGGACATGCTCTGCTAGCAGCAAGAATGAGGCTACGAGGACAAACACAGGCGGTTAGACAGTCTGCTTTAATATTCCTGGGAAAGGTGTACAGCCTCCTAATCTAACACCCCAACAGCTGCGGTGAGGAATTAGTGCACAGGCAGAATTTCTTTGTTGCCTTGACACTACCTCTGCTAGTTAGCCTGGAATTATATTCACTGTAAAAGATTCCTTGGTCTTCCAGTGATATGCCTGCAGTACTTGGGTTGGGTGATTTAATGAAAACTATAAGATTTTAATTTTGTTATGAATGTATGGGTTTTTAAAAAGATTCCTTCATTGAATTTTTCTCCTTCCTCTGATGAGAAAAACAATAAGGACAACAAAATGTCTTATTAGCTATGAGTTGATTATCAGGAAAATGTGGGACATAGCCTTAGTCAACACTAAGGTGTTAATTATCTGGAATAAGGAGCTCAGGAGGGCCCAAATTTCCAGTAATGAAGAGATAACTGTCCGTCAGGACACCCCATGCAGCCAGGGGGTCTTAGAAGGTGTTCCGTTCTCTATCCTGCTTCCACTTTCATTTTCTTTTTCCACTCTGCTGGTTTCGTGTTACCTTTAAAAGACCGTGCAGCAGTGGGTCTTAGCAACTGAATCTCCCCCATGTTGACAAAGAGCCGAGGCAGGCACATAGCTATAAGGGCAGACCCAAGATTTTGCAGTCCCTCTTCACAACGTCCTCCCTCTCAGATAAGTTGAGAGCATTCGGGGAAAGTGGTGGGTGGATCAGCTCACATCGCTGGGCCAAGAGCCGCCGCCGCAGCAGCAATCTCGACACGGTCCCTCGCTGCTTCATCCATTACATGCTTATCTTAACTGAAGACTAATCTAAAGGAACAAATGACCACACGGAAAATGCTACAACTTAATACAAAGTCATAAAAAAAAAAAAAAGAATGCAGGCGCAAAAGAAGCACGGACATAATAATGCTTCCCTGAGCCTCGCTTTTGAATGGCCTAGTTACTGATTTTATGATAAGACACAGTTTGCCTTTATGATTTGCATGGCTAATGAAGCAATTAGCAGCCATCATATATAAAACATGCTAGTTCTTCATTAGACACCAAACAAAATGGCATAACACGAGATGTATAGTGTGGGGAGGCTCAAGTGACTTGCTCATTCTGTTTACTTTGTGTGGAGTTTTGTTGGAAGCCTGGTCGCTGCACGCATCACATTTAGAAGGCTAGACTGTGGTTAGTTTGATGTGAAATTCTGACTGGCTGGCAGTCGCCTCCACTCCCCACCCCCTAACTGCTACTAAATTTCATTTCAAGTTATAATTATTGACATTGGAAACAGCTACTCGTATCACAACAACAAAGCAACAATTATACAGGATCTGGTGTTTCTCATGCAAATTACAGCAATAAAATACAGGAAAATCCGGCCCACTTACAGACCAGTCTTTGTCTTTGGAGAACACAGTCTGAACTATTTGGTTAACTAAATTAAAATGTAAATCTTGGCTGGCTTTTCTTCTTAGATAGCGATATGAAACAGTTTCTAAAAGACAGAAAAAGCTTAAGGGACCACATTTCAAACAACTTGTCATGAATATTTTTTTTAATGAATTAGGTCTGAAAAGCTTAACTGTCTATAACAATCACGGATTCTACGATGCTGTTCAAACAGGAAAAGCAGAAGGGAGAGTCCTGTATATTTTCCCCTTATATTTTTGTTTGTAAAGGAACTTGAGAGTGTTGGAAGATGCACGGCAGTAGAGTCCCTTGCGTTGCACAAGTAAAGCCATAGCTCTCAGACTCCCGGTCGGTGTAACATGTATAATGAGACATATAACCTAGAGGAGGAGATTAGTGAGTATTAAAGCTGAGTTCTTTTACTTTATTAGTGTTGCTTTCCTTCCTGTCTTTGTCTCTTCTCCACACAAAACCCAAGCTTGTGAAAAAGTGTCCCAGCGAGGGAGGGCTACATTAAAAAGTCAACCACGGTGGCATTAGCATTAAGGCGCTCTGAATGCAGCCACTCTGAGCCACATGGAGTTCTGCAAAGAACCGGAAACAATGATTTGAATCTATAGGGAAATGGCATGGTTTCCGATCCATTATCATTACTGGTTTAAAAAACAAAACTAAACCAAACAAAGCCCCCCTCGACAAGCATAAAAAAGGGTTGGATCCACAAGGCCGCAATCAGAACTACAGAAGACAACATCAAAGAAAGGAGAAGAAAAGCAACTGCTTGTGCCTCTGGCCAGGATTCAGCTAACAACGCATCTGCTTTGAAAGCCATACCTCAGAGTTTGACCACAAGTAAACTGACCCGTAGGAAGCCACGACAATGGAGGACACTGACATTTAATTTATGTATTTAATTTTTTTATACAGAGAAAAGCAATTGTGTGATCATATCTCATTTATAACAGATCTGATCTTTAAAAGGCAATAATTTTACAAATGCACTTTTGCATTAAGAATACTGTTATCATAAGCATGGAGCAAACACTGTGTGGGCAGTCACTCTGACTTATAGCAGCTCTGTACAGCCGCTGCAAGATAACCAAGAGTAATGGTTTTTGATAATCAGGCCACACTATTAATATAACATGAACCACAAGTGCTTTTGTACTGCAGCTCTGGTTAAACTAGCAAATCTCATTGGAATATAAAGAAGGGGTGGGGAGTCATGTTCTGTTTTCTGCTACTTCTGCACTGAAAAATATGCCTCAAGGTGCTGTCTTAGGTGTTTCATGTCTTAGGGCACATGTAGTGGCGCTGAAGAATGTTTCCCTTTAGAACCTCTGGCCCTTTCTGCTCAGTTCGAGTTCAGTGACTACCTACTAGGTCAGAATTTAGGTCCGTGAAATGCAGCAGATGGATTCCAAATGGCAGTTTTGTTGGCTGGAGTAAAGCTGGTGGAACATGCTGAGGCCCATAGCAAGCTGGGTTTATGCTGGTCTCTCACTGGTCTGTGACTGTTGAAATATTGCTGGGTGTAAAGGGACTAATTTTGGCCAATGTGAGCAAAGGGGAATGCTGCCCCTCCATCGTAAATGTTAATGTGAAGGAAAATATGAGGGAAACACTTCTGGTGGTAAGAGTCAGACAACATAATCATAACAAGTAAAACCAGGCTTAAGCATGTCACTGCAATGTTTATTCATATGGTGACATTTACTGTAGCTTTCCTCTAAAAGGCAATGGTTTCTTCCTGTTTTAACAACCCAGAAACCATTATGAAGTTACTTTGGACACATGATGTGTACTTCTGTCATAGAGCTCTCCATTTCCTAGGACATCTGCAATGGGAGTGAATTATGTCTAGAAAATCAATGCTTGGGCCAGTTCTGTAAATTTGAGGAGGCATGTAAAGAAACATATTTCCCGAATTTCACAATGAGGAGAGAAGATTAGAAAGGGCCGATTAAAGAAGCAGAGCCTCTATAAGACTGAGTGCTGTGTTTAAACATTTAAGAACCTCCTCCTGTGCCATGTTTTTTGTAAAACTCGCCCTACGAATGCACATCAGGAGTGGATCTCTCTGGATCTCTTCAGCTGTCATGGCAGTAGATGAAGGCTAATGTTTATGGTACTTAATTGTGCTTCAGTTGTGATGCTTTTGTGTGATGCTTTCGTCACCATATAATGCCTTATATATTGTTATTCATTCATTTATCAAACATTTATTGAGCATTTACTATGTGCCAGTCATTCAACCAGGCATGCAGAAAGAGGATGAAGTGAATCTGTCTCAAGCATATCAGAATCTGGTAGGAAAGAATAGACATGTACATAATTAATTATAAAACTTGGTAGAACATGTTAAAGAGAAGTACATTTAAGTTGCTGTGGGAAAGATTACATTGAACAACATGGAATTAATGAAGATTTTGATGCATTTAATCTGGTCCTTAAATAATGTGTGGGTTTTAAATACATGTTTTGTTGTCCCCACTGTGATGGAAATTAGTTGAAGTTAGTCACCATGTTTAATTTATATGAATATATTTAATATATTGCTATATTGAGTCAAATGTCTGTTCTATGGAGGCCTTACATTAATGGATACCATCTATAGAGCACTTGCTATGTTTCAGGCATTGTTATAAGCCCATATGCTCTTATTTAACCCACGTGGCATCTGCAGATAGATTCAAATTATCCCCATTTTATAGAGAAAACTGAAGCACTGAGAGGTTCACTAAATTGCTCAACTTCATAGCTATTAAGTGGAGAAGCTGGGTTGGAGCTGGGGCAGTCTGCTCTGAGTCTATATTCCTTACCCAAACACTTTAACTGCTTCTGGTCAATAAACACTGAATGTTGAACAAATCCTGAGCAGTTACAATGCAATTTTACTTATCACTGTTGAATTTCTCAAGGATACTCGGCTCAGGAAACAACATAAAAAATCATCAGGGTGCGTAAAAATTGGTTTACAATTTAATTAATTCTCTTCGTAAGAAAGTCAAGCCGTTGTTCACAATGTTTGTTCTCTTGAAAGCCTTGAGGTATTGAATCATCTAGGATGGTTTCAAGTTAAACAGATTTTTAAGATAATAGTTTTATTGTTTGATAAACACAGCATCATTGCCCTGGGCATCAAGTCAGGTGTTTAGTCTTGCATTATCATGATACAGTGTTATGATGCACATCCGTATGGTAAAGCTGGGTTCTATGGACCTGAGTCTCCAGCACCCTTGGTGCTCCGCATGAGTTGCAGAACAATCCTTCCCTGTCAGAAAAGAATTCATTGTTCAGAAGATGATCAGTAGCTTGATCTTGTTTGCACAGATTTCAGTGGTGTAGAGTGTAGGGAGTTGATGGGACAACTGGGTAGAGAGTAGGCAATGCCACCATACATATAAGCATGTGAGCTGCGTGCAGAAACCTGCTCCATTGGAGAAGCGAAGAAATGGAATGTCCTCAAGTGGACCAGCTATCCGCATTTCACCAGGTTCAATCTTTGCTTAAATCCTTTTTTCCACAATACAGCTGAACTTGCCTGTTTCAAATAAGAAGTTGTGAAAAATAAATATGAAACCGACAGATACATTTATCCTTGTAAAAATTAGCAAGGAACAAAGAAAACTATAATGTTCAATTTTGCTAAAGTTATTGAAAAATTGCTATTCTTGTACATCACTTACATGTAGTGCAAAAAATTGTGATCTTGGTGATTTGTAAACTTTATTTAGAGCTATAAAATGCTATGCCAAAGGTACACGTAATTCCATGGCCAGTAGTTCATTATAAGGAAGCAGTTATGAACATAAAGATTCGTAAACAAGGATATACATTTAAAATTATTTAAGATATTAAAAAACTAGAAATAGCCTAAATTTTTATCAATAGGGAAACTACTAATTTTAGAACATCTATAAAATAAAATACAAAAAAGCAGAGTACAAGCTGTACATAAAATGTTGCCTCGATTCAGCATGAAAAAAATGCTCTACAGAATAAAATAACTGTGCAGCAAAATGATGGGTACCTTTAATTTTTCTTGTTTGTACACCCTATATATTTGTTGAAATGTTATACCATGAACATATATTGTTTCTGTTTTTCAAGGATTAAGTAAATATGAAGCACTATTTAGAAGGCTGTGAACGTGCTGAGGATCCATCCAGAAGGACTCCAGACTTGCTCTGTGAGGACGAGGCTTGTTCCCTCTGTCCCCTCTTGATTGCTGAAATCAGTGCTGCTTTTTCCTTACCCTTCTACTGTAAATTCTAGGAGAGGTAAAACTTTTTAATAGGTTATGAGAGAGCAGCCTTTAGAACTAGGAAGAGGAATGAGCATTTGAAATATATTTTCAAGAAAAAAATAAGCATGTTATTTTGGAGAACTTGTTGGAAAATAGAAAATTTTCCTCCTGCTTGAGTTAAACAAATCTCTGGGTGAGTTAGTTTTGGACTATGGACTGTAGACAATATAGATTGCTTTTGACTTTGTAAGTAATAATGTCTAACTTTAACAAGTCAAACATTATGAATAGATTTGAGCACAAAATTTTCAAGATAAGATAAAGTAAGGAAATAAGAGGAAACAGTATTTAAAGCAGGCAAGGGCATGCCTTTCCTTGGGTTTCTCTAGATAAGTATTGATTTCTACATGGCTGCATTGGTTGCAATGCAATATTGCTGGCAGCTACTAATTACGATTATACCACTGGCTTGTGATGACAAAAATGCTGGCCCATTCTGTTAATGCTTCTTTTCAGTTTAAAGAAATAAATAAAATAATTCTGATTTCCCCAGATATTGCCAAGTTGCAGTGTCAGTCACTCTCAATTATATTCCTGTTCAAATGATTGTACAAAGTTTAATTCCCTTTTATTCATAGTTGGCATTCATTCATTTATTCAACATTTGCTGAATTCCTATTATATTACAAGAAATAAGAAGTTTTATTTGTCCTTTAAATTTTATTTCCAACCTCTTAGAGATTGTTTAACTTAATACCAATTATTTTCTGTTATTTTTACACCCAGCACCCAAAATGGTATGGGGCATATTTATTTCTTAAATTAAAGTGAATTAAAATAAATTCTTGAGAATTTCATTATATCCCTTGAGATAATTGGAAACATAAAATAACATACCACAGAAAATGTGCCTTTATATCCATGTGTGTGTGTATATGTATTTGTTCAGCATTAGAAATAAGAATCACAGATAATCAAGAAAGCAGCAAAATTTTTAATAGTCTTTGAAAATGTTATATTTAACTAACAATATACTTTTCATATGACAATTTGTAGAAAAATTGAAATATTGGAATTTGTTTAACTTTTAGATTTTAGTGGCAGTAACAAAAAGCTCTTGTTGTTATAGTTGTGTCTATAATTGGATTCAAAACAATTCAATAAAATTAAATTTACAGGTTAATATAAATAAATTTATAATTTAAATAAATTAATAATTTTAAAAAAAGAAACAGTATGACATAATAGAACAGTCTTTTAGAATAGTCCTGGCAAAGAAAAAATGTCTTAGTATTACAAAAAACTAAAATAAGAATCAACTTTCTATAAAATCCTATTCCCTCACTTTAAAGATAGACAAGTTGAGAAACTCGTCCAATGTTCTATAGCCAGCCAGTAGTAAGCTCACTATCAAACTGAAGTTTTCAGACTTTCTGTTTGGTCACCTTGTCTCAGTCCACATGAGCCAAATTTTTCTCAAACTCCAATCAGTTGTATAAATGGTTTATTTGCCAGCTTTTCTAGTAGCAAACCAACCTAACTATAAGAAAGTTTAATGTCAGAGAGAAAGAAAGAAACAAATAAGCAAAGAAAAGAGAGAAGCAAAGAAATAAACAAAGAAGGAAAGAACAAGCAAGCCAGCCAGTCATTGGCCAGTGTTAAATAATAAGGGTAAATAAAAATGAATATTTACTGTGAAAACTAATTGCACTAATGTCCTGTGTAGTACCAAAAATATATAGAACTAGAATGCCCAGCAAATACACAAAAGGTAGAAAGGGCAAAGGGAATCAACATGTTGGTAACGTCAGTATTACTTGGGAAGGAGTAAAAACATGAATTTATTTATATGTTGGACCATAATAAAATAACGATGCATACTTTAATCTCTAGGGTAATCATTAAAAATAATAAAATACAGCCAGGCATGGTGGATCATGCCTGTAATCCCAGCACTTTGGGAGGCCAAGTTGGGTGGATCACGAGGTCAGGAGATTGAGACCATCCTGGCTAACATGGTGGAATCCTGTCTCTACTTAAAAAAAAAAAAATACAAAAAATTAGCTGGCGTGGTGGTGGGCACCTGTAGTCCCAGCTACTCGGGAGGCTGAGGCAGGAGAATGTTGTGAACCCAGGAGGTGGAGCGTGCAGTGAGCCAAGATCGCGCCATTTCACTCCAGCCTGGGCAACAAAGCGAGACTCCATCTCAAAAATAAATAAATAAATAAATAAATAATAATAATAATAATAAAATACTAACAAACCAACAAAAAGAAAATGGAATGATTTAAAATAATTAATTAATTTAAAAGAAGGCAAAAAGAAAAGAAAAACGTATACAAAGCAGAAGGAACAAATAGAAAACAAGTAGTAACGTTATAGCTATGAAACTACAAATATCAGTAATTACATTTAATGTCAATAGACCACATACTCCAATTGAAAAACAATGATTGTTAAATTGGATGAAAAAACAAAACCCAACTATGTGTTGCTTACATGAGATACATCTTAAAGATAGGTACACAGAAAATTTGACAGTAAAAGGATGGACACAGGAATAATGCAAATCCTAACCCCCCAAAAGCTGCTATATTTATACTAATATCAGATAAAGGAGCATTTTGAGAGATAAGCAGTGACATTTCAAAACTATAAAAGGCTTTGAATAACTAGATGCAGATAATAATTTTAAGTTTGTACCACCTAGCAACATAGTGTCAAAATACACAAGTCAAAAATAGACAGAAAAAAGTAGAAATAGACATATCTGTAATAACAGTGAGAAACTATAACACTTCTCTTACTAACTTGTAAACAAAGCAGATAAAAGTCAATAAATACATAAAATATCTGAACCTAACAATACACATTATTTTCAAGTGCATGTGGGATATTTACCAAAATTGACCATATCCTGGATCATTGATTAAGTCTCAAATTTTGGAAAACTGAGATCAGTCAGAGTATGTTCTCTGTTCTCAGTGGAATGAAGCTATAAATTAATAAACAAATATAAAAAATCCAAATGTTTGGAAATCAAGCAACACATTTATAAATAATTTATGCAGAAAATAAGCAGTCACTAGGAAAATTGGAAAAAAATTTTAAACAAATGATAATAAAATATAACATATCAAAATTTTTAGGAATTTGCTGAGGCTGTGATTAAGGGGAAACTATAGCCTTAAATGCATACACGCTAAAAGAAGAAAGGCTGAATATCAAGAATGTGAGAATTGATATCAAGAAATATGGGGAAGAACTCACAACAAATGAAAACCAACAAAAGTAGAAGAAACCACTAAAGATAAAAGTAGAGAATAATAATATAAAAACCAAATTTACAAGAAAATAAAATCAACAAGGTCAAAAGTTTGTTCCCTGAAAAGACTTTTAAACTGATAGATTGATCAAGAAGAGAGTGATACAGATTACCAATATTAGAACTGACAAATGGGACATCACTACAGATTCAAGACACTGACAGAATACTAAGAGCATAATGTGAACAACTTTATGCTAAGAAACTGGAAAACTTAAGTGAAATAGATAAATTTCTAGAAAAACACAGGTTTTCTAAACTAATAAAATAAGAAACAAAAAATCTAAATATTCTTATATATATTAAATGAATTGAATCCTTAATACAAACCTTCCCACAAAATGTCTTTAATCCCAGATAGCTTCACCAATGAATTTTCCAAATATTTAAGGAAAATTACATCAATTTTCAACAATCATATGCAGATATTTCCAGAGAATAGAACTGAAAACACTTTCTAATTTATTTTAAAAGGTCAGCATACCCTTGATACTAAAACTTGTCAAGTACTTTAAAAAAAATAAGAATAGGGCAATTTCTCATACAAACGTAGCTGCAAAAATCCTGAACAAAATATTGGAAAATAGAATCTATTAATACATTAAAATAATACATACATCATAATGAATCAAGTTTATTCTTGAATAAAAAGTTGGTTTAACATTTAAAAATTAATCAGTGAGGCTGCTCTGCCTATGGAGTAGCCATTCTTTGTTCCTTTACTTTTTAAATAAACTTGCTTTCACTTAAAAAAAAAAACAACTAATCAATAAATCACCAACATTAATAGAATAAAGCAGAAAACTCATATAATCATTTCAGTGGATGAAGAAAAAAATTGAATAAAATTCAATATCCACAAATGTAAAAAAGTTCTTGGTAAACTAAGAATAGAATAGAATTTACTTAATCTAATGTATACATTATATATTGTAAAACTATTGACCATATGACTTCAATGACTTCCAAAGAATCTAGTCTTCTTTAATAAAAGTGCTGATGGACCAGAACAGTTTCTGGGAAATTATAGATCATCAGGGATTACCAGCTAAGAGTTTTTAAACAGGTTAACAATTGTCCAAGTTGGTTATTACTCTGCCAGAATTAGTCTGCACTTTCATCATTTTCAGATTACAGTTTTTTACCTACAAAATTTTTTGAATCACATTAAGGAAGTTGCCTCTCTTGCTCTTTTTTTAGTAAAAATATTTTACAGGACATATTCCATTTACTTTGAACATTTATGTGTTATAATTATACTTAAGCTATTAAGAATGGCATAAAGGCAAACTTTTTCATAATTGATTAAAACACAAAACAAAACCACTGGCCCTCAAAAAGAAATGTAACTCAAAGTATGGGCGGGAAAGAAGAGACATATGGTGACCTCATGAGTGGGTTAAGTTCAGAATAGATAAATGACTTAAAGGTTTACAGTTTCTATTTTGAGAGACATACAATACACTTCAAAAAACCTATTGCTTAAAGAAATATTAAGAACAAGAAAGGAGCTATATAAAAGAATTGTTCTTAGAAACCTGGAAGCGATGTTCTACCAGTATTCTTTTAATTATAATTAGATAATGAACAATTATAATAAGGAAAACTGCTACAATACCCACTTAGGCTGATCTTTCCCTTTAACTTCACAGCAGGATATAGGACTTACATTTTTTCAATTCCCTTGAAACCAAACCTAAGTGTGAAGTGAGCCATTCTCTGGAAGTATGGGCATATATATATATTTTTCACTTAGTAAGTTACCAAACTTGACATGCAATAAGGAAAGAATGTTTTTGAGTGTAGAAGAAGTCTTGTAAAAATCCACCATCTGGGGTGGTTTGAAAGATGTGGTCTAATGTAGAAGATAAATTAGTGAAAAACAAAGGATAATTCCTATACTGCATGCAGGTTGGCTGGAGACACCCAGAGATGGCCACATGAGAAGAAAGGTGACACATAAGGAAATTAGTGTTGAACAATTTGGAAATAACTGTCAAACCCTGGTTGAATATTTGCATGTAGGAAGATATTTCTTTTGCTGTTTGCCCTGTGTGAATGAGTTAATACCAGTAGACAGGATTGAACAAAGTGGACTTATTAGAATAATTGTTCTAACTCTCAGTCTCTGCTGAAGACAAAAATAATGCAGCCTAGGCAACATGGCGAAACCCTACAAAAAAAATACAAAAAATTAGCCAGGCATGGTGGTGCACACCTGTAGTCTCAGCTACTTAGGAAGCTGAGGTGGGAGGATCACTTGAGCCCAGGAAGTGGAGGTTGCAGTGAGCTGAGATCACGCCACTGCACTTCAGCCTGGCAAAGGAGTGAAACCCTGCCCCCCTGCCCCGAAAAAAAAAAAGATGAAAATAATGACAGGAGATATTTATTAGTAATTGGTTTCCCACAAGACACATATTTGTCATGTACATAATCCTTTCCGAGATATATCTTAAAGGCTATTTGCACTGCAATATGGCCTGACTTTAAGTATAAGATGTGTCTATTTTATGCACTACTATATATTCCAAGAACCTAATACAGTGCCTGGCACATTGTGCTCAGTAACTACAGTTAACCCTTGAACAACATGGGTTTGAAAGGCATGGGTCCACTTATACATGGATTTTTAAAAATAAATATATTAGAAAATGTTCTGGAGATTTGCAACAATTTGAAAAAGAATTTGCAAACTGTGTAGCCTAGAAGTGTTGAAAAAATTAAGATATATGTAGATACTAGTGTGTTTTATCATTCACTATCATAAAGTGTACATAAATCTATTATAAAAAGCTAAAATGTATCGAAACACACACACACACAAACACAGGTAGACTGTACATGGTGCCATTTGCAGTGGAGAGAAATGTAAATGAACATAAAGACAGTATTAAATCATAACTACATAAAATTAACTCTAGTACATACTGTACAACTGTAATAATTTTGTAGCCACCTCCTGTTGCTATTGTGGTGAGCTCAAGTGTTTGGAGTATCTGCTTAAAATGCCCTATGATGCTACTAATCACCTCCACATTAGTACTTTCTCTCTATAGTAAATTGCTTATTGCAGTAAAAAGTAACCTCTTGTGGTTCTCACTTGGTTTTCATTGTGTTTAACACCACACCCAGAACCTTGAATAACACCAGGGTACCCATAAGAAGCACCGCTAGTGGTGCTGGAAGTGCTCCCAACAAGCAGAGAAAAGTCATGACATTACACGAAAAATTTGAATGGCTTAAAATGTAACATAAACTGAGATCTGCAGCTGCAGTTGACTGCCATTTCAAAATAAATAAATCCAAGTGTAAGAACCATTGTGAAAAAAATAAAAGGAAATTCCTGAAGGAGTCACTGCAGATATGCCAGCAGGCACAATATTCTTCTGCTTTTTGCAAAATATCTTTTTATCTTGTATTGAAAAATGCAGCTTTTATGTGTGTGCAGGATTGCTATATGGACAGCATACCTGCAGACTTTAATATGATTAGAGAAAAAGTGAAGTCATTATACAGCAACTGAAAGCAAAAGGAGGGTGAAAGATCTAAAGCTGGAGTATTTAATGCTAGCAAAGGATGGTTTGATAATTTTAGAAAGAGGTTTGGCTTCAAAAATGTCAAGGTAACAGAAGAATCAGCTTTTGCCAACCAAAAGGCAACAGACAAGTTCCTAGATGTCGTTAAGAAAATCATTGAGGAGAAAGGATATCTGTCTGAATGGGGTTTTAACGCAGATGAAAGTCCCCTATTCTGGGGGGAAATAAAAGCCATAAAGGACATTTATTACTAAGGAAGAGAAAGAAGCACCAGATTTAAGGCAGGAAGGGATAGTCTAACTCTACTATTTTGTACAAGTACATGCAGGCTTATGATCAGGAATACCCTTATCTATAAAGTTGCTAGCCTGGGAGCCTTGAGGAAAAAAGTAAATAAATACCAGCTGCCAATCTTTTGGTTGTACAACGAGGAGGCCTGGACAATGGGAATCATTTTTCTGGGTTGGTTCTATTGATGCTTTGTCCCTGAAGTCAGGAAGTACCTTGCCAATAAAGGACTACCTTTTAAAGTTCTTTTGAAATTAGACAATGCCCCTGGGCCTCCAGGACTTCATGAGTTTGACACCAAAGGTGTCGAAGTGGTCTACTTGCCCCCAAACATAACATCTTTAATCCAGCCTCTAGATCAGGAGATCATAAGGACCTTTAAGGCTCATCACACATGGTACTCTATGGAAAGGATCTCCAATGTCACGAAAGAGAACCGTGTTAGAGAGAACATCTTGACTGTCTGGCAGGATTACATTATTGCAGATGCCATTGTTGTTACAGAAAAAGCTGTGAAAGCCATTAAGCTCAAAATAATAAGTCCCTGCTTGAGAAAACTGTCCAGATGTTGTGCATGACTTCACAGGATTTATGACAGAATCAATCAAGAAAGTCATGAAAGAGATTCTGGATATGGCAAAAATGGTATGGTGTGGCGAGGGTTTCAAGATTTGGATCTTGGAGAAATTTAAGAGTTAACAGACACTACACTAGAGGAATTAATAGGAGGTAACTTAATGGAGATGAGTGCTTCTGCACCCGTGCCAGACAATGAGCAAGAAGACAGAAGAAGCAGTGCTAGAACACAAATTAGACAACCTGGCAGAAGGGTTCTGATTATTTGAGACTGCTTTTGACTTCTTTTATAATAATGGACACTGCTATGATATGGGCACTGAAACTAAAGCAAATGGTGGAAGAAGGATTGGTACTGTATAGAAACATTTTTAAAGAAGTGAAAAGCAAAGTGTTAGAGAGAAATTAATATGCTCTTTCTCAAAGTTACACAAGTGTGCCTGCCACTCCTGCCTCCCGTTCCACCTCTTTCACTTCTTCGGACTTTGCTACCCTTGAGACAGCAAGACCAGTCCCTTCTATTCCTCCTCCTCAGCCTGCTTGATGTGAAGATGACAAGAACGAAGGTCTTTACAATGATCCACTTCCACTTAATGAATAGTAAATATATTTTCTTTTCTGTATGATTTTCTTAATAACATTTTCTTTCCTCTAGCTTACTTTATCATAAGAATACAGTATATAATATGTATTAATTGACTGTTCATGTTTTTGGTAAGGCTTCTGGTCAACAGTAGTCTATTAGTAGTTAAGCTTTTGGAAAGTCAAAAGTTGTATGTGGATTTTTGGCTGGGCTCAGTGGCTCACGCCTGTAAGCCCAGCACTTTGGGAGGCCAAGGCGGGCGGATCACGAGGTCAAGAGATCGAGACCATCCTGGACAACATGGTGAAACCCCATCTCTACTAAAAATACAAAAAATTAGCTGCACGTGGTGGTGCGCCTGTAGTCCCAGCTACTCGGGAGGCTGAGGCAGGAGGCTCTGCTTGAACCCGGGAGGCAGAAGTTGCAGTGAGCCGAGATCGTGCCACTGCACTCCAGCCTGGAGACAGAGCGAGACTCCGTCTCAAAAAAAAAAAGTTATATGTGGATTTTTGTCTGCACAGCAGTCAGAGCCATTAACTCTTGCCTTGTTCACAGGTCGACTATACTTTGAATAAATTATACCTGAGTTTTGCAAATAGTTGAATCAGTCTTTTCTTGATACTTGTATCAATCTAAAACAAAGCCATCTAGAAAACTATCTGTCTTTTTTTCTTGATGACCTTTTATCAATTTATATGTGTCACACATATATTATATACAGGGAGAAAGAGAGAGAGAAAATACATGTATGTATTTACTGATACACATAATTTGTGAATACTTTTTACAATCGTTTCTAGGAAAGTCATTCACTGTGTGTCCTGTGTCCCTTCCCTGTGTCCTCAAAACAGGGCTAAGTAAGGACAATGGGGTCATGATACTTTATTGCCCACTATGTCCCCATTAGATTAAAGAAAATTAAGAAAGTACTTCAATCTTTGAACTTATGTGACATGACCAGAGTGACCTTGTGTTCTCAAAAGTACTCAACACATTTGAGAAAACCTCCATCTTTTTTTACTTCACAGGGTAAAATTGTACATTGTTTTTAACAAGTGCCAAAAATGCTGATTTCCCAAAGGGCTTAGAATTTTTCTGAAGGGAGAAGGAAAATCGTGTGTTAAAAAAAATTACATATTTCCCATTCATTCTTATAACAGTAGGAAAATACAGGAAAAATAGTGTCAATTTAGTAATCATATGGAAATCCATATTTATTTACACCATAATGAGTGTAAAGGAGACATTATATTCTGCGGGATAAAATTCACTTTCAACATATTGTTTCAAACAAGGATAATATACTAACTGTCTTGAAAGTTTTATTATTTTCTTTCTTAGAGGTCAAAGACACCAAGGTCTTGAAAAATGTTATCAAAGCATATGAGATGTAAATAATCATGTAGGGACTTGCTGCTCACCAGTGAAAAGCAAGTTAACATATCTACAATGTGTTTTCTGGGTTATATTTAAAGGGAATTTAGACATAAGTTAGACATAATTTTTGTGCTCAAGGAACGTAGAATCTGCTAGAGAGAATATGAGGAAGAAACACGTGAGAAATTATTGAACAATATAATTTATCTGTCTGAGATGTTGCAGTCTGGCAACTTGTCAGAAGTCAAGAAAGGCAATTCCTATCTTTGTCTTTTGCATACTGTTTTTTTCTTATTACGCAGGGCATTTAGGCCACTATGAGGATGACTTCCCTTGAGTTTTGTGACTTTTTAGTTTATCTGTTTTGTTTCTTTGTGTAGCTAATTCTAGTCTAGTTGGGTCCAACTGTGGCAACATCTCTTGAGTGGAGCTACACCAGCATTTACTGCCATGCCTTTTCCCATTGATTCTCTTCACAGTGTCTGCAATGAGCCTTTTAATTATATCTGTTTCATGCCAAGGAGTCTTTGTACATTCTTTTTGCTCTGCCTGGATCTCTTTTCCCACTCTCTTTGCTTGAATAATTACTATTCACTTTTTAGTTCTCGACTTAGATATAATTTCCTCCATTTGGCATGAATCCATGACATTCTCTAATAGCCCCTTGTTCTCAAGAGTTTTACGTTTCAACACGTATTTCACTTAGCTATTTGAGCATCAGTTTAACTAGACTGTAATCTCCCTGAAGGCAGTGAATAGGCAAAACTAAATCTATTATTACCATATGATTCAGCAATCATGCTCTTTGGTGTTTACCCGAAGGAGTTGATGAGTTATGTTTTACACAGAAAAATCTGCTCATGGGGTCAGGTGCAGTGGCTCATGCTTATCTCAGCACTTTGGGAGGCCAAGGCAGGAGGATTACTTCATGTGAGGAGTTTGAGGTCAGTCTGGGCAAGATAGTGAGACCCCATCTCTACAAACAAACAAACAAACAAACCAAAAAAAAAAAAAGCTGGACATGGTGGCACATGCCTGTAGGCCTGGCTACTTCAGAAGCTGAGGCAAGAGGGTTACTTGAACCCAGGAATTTAAGGTTTCAGTAAGCTATGGTTGCACAGCTGCTTTCCAGCCTAGGTAACAGAGCAAGACCCTGTCTCTAAAAAATAAACAACATAAAAAACTTCTTGTGGATGTATGGGTGTTTATAACAGCTTTATTAACAATTGCCCAAACATGGGAGCAACCAAGAAACCAAGATATCCTTTAGCAGGGGTATTAGTCCATTTTCACGATGCTGATAAAAACATACCCGAGATTGGGCAATTTACCAAGGAAGGAGGTTTAATGGAGAACTCACCATTCCATGTGGCTGGAGAAGCCTCACAATCATGGTGGAAGGCAAGGAGGAGCAAGTCACATCTTACATGGATGGCAGAAGGCAAAGAGAGACCTAGTGCAAGGAGATTCCCGTTTTTTAAACCATCAGATCTTATGAGACCTATTCACTATCAGGAGAACAGCACAGGAAATACTCACCCCCATGATTAAATCACCTCCCATCGAGTCCCTCCCATAACACCTGGGAATTATGGGAGCTACAAGATGAGATTTGGATGGGGACACAGAGCCAAACCATATCAGCAGATGAATGGATAAATAAACTACAGTACACCAAAATAATGCAGTATTAATAGACATTAAAAGGAATGAGCTATCAAGCCATGAAAAGATATGGAGAAAACTTAAAGACATATTAAGTGAATGAAGCTAATCTGAAAACACTGCCTACTGTAGGATTCTAACTGCAGTTGATCCTTGAGCAACCCAGGGGTTGGGGGCTCCAACACCCTTCCCAGTTGAAGATCTGCATATAACTTTTGACTCCCCCCAAAACTTAACCACTAATAGCCCACTGTTGACTGGAAGCCTTGCTGATAACATAAACAGTAGATTAACACATATTGTATGTGTTATAGATTGTATTCTTACAATAAAGTAAGCTAGAGGAAAGAACATGTTATTAAGAAAATCATGAAGAGGAGAAAATATATTTACTATTCATTAAGTGGAAGTGAATCATCATAAAGGTCTTCAACCTCATCATCTTCATGTTGAGAAGGCTGAGGAGAAGGAGGAAGAGGAGGGATTGATTTTATTGTCTCAGAGGTGGCAGAAGTGGAAGAGGTGCAGGAGATGGAAGAGGAGGAGGCAAAAGAGGCAGGCACACCTGGTGTAACTTTATTGAAAAATATTCATATATAAGTGGACTTATATATATATTCTATTTTATAATTATATGTATTTATATGCAAATATAAAAGGGGCTGGGTGCCATGGCCCACACCTCTAATCCTGTGCTTTGGGAGGCTGAGGTGGTTGGATCACCTGAGGTCAAGCATTTGAGACCAGCCTGGCCAACAAGGTCAAATCGCATCTCTACTAAAAATACAAAAATTAGCCAGGCGTGGTGGCGGGCACCTGTAATCCCAGCTACTCAGGAGGCTGAGGCAGGAGAATTGCTTAAACCCAGGAGGCAGAGGTTGCAGTGAGCTGAGATTGCCCCATTGCACTCTAGCCTGGGCAACAGAGCAAAAACTCTGTCTCCAAAAAAAATAAATAAAATAAAAGGGACTATATAGATTTTAATTTATATATATATATAATATATATATTTATATATATACATAAAAATATATAAAATATATATTATATATACACACACACACACACACACACATTATATATCATGGGATATTGTTCAGCCTTAAAGACAAAGGAAATTGTGAAACATGCTACAACATGGATGAATCTTGAAGACACTATGTTAAGTGCAACAAGCCAGTCACCAAAAGGTAAATGCTGTAAGAGTCTATTTATTTGAAGTATCTACAGTAATCAAATTCATAGGGACAGAAAGTATTAATATAATTGTTGCTGCTGGGGACTGGAGTGGGAGAAATGGGGATTTGTTGTTTAATGGGCATAGAGTTTCAGTTTTGCAGCATAAAAATGTTCTGGAGATAGGTTGCACAGAAATACTTAACTGTATACTTAAGATGTACACTTAAGCTGTATACTTAAGATGGTAAATTTTATGTTTTGTATATTTTCCCACAAAATAAAACAGATTTTAAATAATGTATTCAATGACATATTAAAAGAAGTAGGCCGGCCATGGTGGCTCACGCCTGTAATCCCAGCACTTTGGGAGGCTGAGGCAGGCAGATAATGAGGTCAGGAGATCGAGACCATCCTGGCTAACATGGTGAAACTCCATCTCTACTAAAAATACAAAAAATTAGCCAAGCATTGTGGCACGCGCCTGTAGTCCCAGCTACTCGGGAGGCTGAGGCAGGAGAGTCACTTGAATCCGGGAGGTGGAGGTTGCAGTGAGCCAAGATCATGCCACTGTACTCCAGCCTGGGAGATAGAGTGACAGTCCATCTAAAAAAAAAAAAAAAAAAAAAAGAAGTATGCCACAACCAACTTGAGTATATCTCAGGAATGCAAGGTTGGTTTAACATTAGGAAGCCTACTGAGATAATTCACCCCATGAACAAATTAAAGAAGAAAAACTATATGAGACCACTCATCAGATGCAGAAAATGTATTTGATGAAATTTTACAGTTCTTTGTGATAAAAACTCATAGAAATCTAGAAATGGAAAGAAAACCACTCAAACAACAATAAAAAAGGTTTTTGCTGAATCCACAGCAAATATACCTAATGCTAAAGTCTCCTACAAATTTAAGAGAGAACATAGGTTGAGCATTAATACCACTTGCATTCATTTTGTGCTGGAGCCTCTAGTTATGTCTACAATATATGATGAAGAATTTTTTTTTAATTAGAAAGAAGTAAGGATAACAACATTTATAATTCACTAATAACATGGTTAAAAAAATAAAAATGTGGGCTGGGTGCAGTGGGTCACACCTCTAATCCCAGCACTTTGGGAGGCTGAGGCGGGTGGATCCTGAGGTCAGGAGATCAAAACCATCCTGGCTAACACGGTGAAACCCTGTCTCTACTAAAAATACAAAAAATTAGCCAGGTATGGTGGCACGTGCCTGTAGTCCCAGCTACTCGGGAGGCTGAGGCAGGAGAATTGCTTGAACCTGGGAGGTGGAGGTTGCAGTGAGCTGAGATTGTGCCACTGCGCTCCAGCCTGGGTGACACAGTGAGACTCCATCTCAAAATAAATAAATAAATAAAAATGAATAAAAAATAAAAACAAAGCATATACTGAGAAGGTTTGGGACTTTAAAGACTTCAAAATAGTTTTGGATAAATAATTCATATACAAAAGGAAATGCATTCCTGTAAATTTCAACAATTGGAAAAATATTTAGAAAAGGTATTTCATTTAGAAAAAAGATTCTAACAAAAATTTTGAGGAGTGCAAAATCCTTTTTTTTTTTTTTTTTTTTTTTGGCAATTGGGTCTTGCTTTTTTGCCCAGGCTCCTCTTCAGCTCCTGGGCTCACACAATCCTGCTGCTTGGCCTCCCAGAGTGCTGGGATTACAGGAATAAGCCACCATGCCCAGCTAAGGAGTACGAAATCTTAAAGGAGAAAATTTTTTAAGATTAAAAATGTCTAAATAAATGGAAAGGCTGGGTGTGGTTGCTCATGCCTGTAATCCCAGGATCTTAGGAGGCCGATGCAGGCAGATGGCTTGAGTCCAGGAGTTTGAGACCAGCCCGGGCAACATGGCAAAACCCCATCTCTACAAAAAAATACAAAAATTAGCCAGTCGTGGTGACATGTGCCTGTAGTCCCATGTATTTCAGAGGCTGAGGTGGGAGGATCACGTGAGGCTGGGAGGCAGAGGTTGCAGTGAGCTGTACTCCACTCTGGGGACAGAGTGAGACCGTGTCTCAATAAACAATAAATAAATAAATAAATAAATAAATGGAGAGATCTGTCATGTTCATGTATAAGAAAACGTCATAATGCTACAATTTCTTTCCAAATTAATCTATAAAGTCTAACTAAAATTTGAATAAGACTTTAAAAATATAATCTGACAAATGATTATAAAATTAACTTGAAGATGCAAAGGGACAAGATGATTTAGAAGAATAAGATGGGGCATACTATACTGCATAGAAACATTATTATTGTAATTGTACTTATAATAACTAATACAGTGTAATATAGAGTTAGGAATAAACACGTTGGACCAGTGGAACAGAAGAGATTGGATTGGTTGCCCAGAAGAGATCCAGGAACAGACAGAATTATAATGGATGACTGAGGTGGCACTACAAATCCATGATCCAACATGCTAGCATCAATTAACCATATGGGGAAAAAATTTGAATTCCTATCTCTTAACAGACAACAAATCCATTCCTGGTGAATCAGAGACCTAAATGTGAAAGCAAAACTTAAAAACTTTTCAAAGAAATTAGAGAATATTTATTTGATCTGAGTGTAGGAAAAGACAATTCAATAGTAAAGCCATACAAAAATGGAAAAGTTTGACATTAAAGACTTCTGCCTAATTGGGGCATGGTTGCTCAGGCCTGTAATCACAGCATTTTGGGAGGCCAAAGCGGGAGGATCGTTTGAGCTCAGGAGTTTGAGACCAGCCTGGGCAATATGGTAAGACCCTGTCTCTACAAAAAATACAAAAATTAGCTGGGCATGGTGGCATATACCTGTAGTCCCAGCTACTCAGGAGGCTGATGCGGGAGGATCACTTGAGCCTGGGAGGTCAAGGTTACAGTGAGCCATGATTGCACCACTAGCTTGGGTGACACAATGAGACCCTGTCTCACAAAACAGAAACAAAAACAAAAAACACTTCTGTCCAGCAAATGATACTATAAAGAAAAAAAGAACAGAAAAACACAGACAGGGTGAAATTATTTGCAACACATAGTTGACAAAGCATTATCTGAATATATGAAAACTTCTAACAAAACAATGAAAAAAAGATAAGAATCTCTACTTAAAAATAAGCAAGTAAAAAAAGAGAATGAGCAGGTGCCATGGGGAAAAGAAGAAACAGAGTGGCCAAACACCAGCAACAAACTGAGAGGTTGAACAGCAAATATGCTCAACCTCCCTAGTAGTCACAAAATGCAATTTTAATTTATAATAATATAAAATTTCTCACCCATTAGATTTGCAAAATCAGAGTTTGAAAATACCAAGGTGAGATCTGTGGGAACTCTTATATATGTCAATTCAGGGGTCCCCAACCCCTGAGCATGGCCTGTTAGGAACAGGGCTGCACAGCAGGAGGTGAGCAGGTAAGGAAGCAAAGCTTCCTCAATATTTACTGCCACTCCCCATTGTTCGCATTACCAGCTGAGCTCCACCTCTTGTCAGATCAGCGGCAGCGTTAGATTCTCTTAGGAATGTGAACTCTATTGTCAATTGCGCATGCAAGGGATCTAGGTTGCATGCTCCTTATGAGAATCAAATGCCTGATGATCTGTCACTGTCTCCTATTACCCCCAGATGGGACCATCTAGTTGCAGGAAAACAAGCTGAGGGGTCCCACTGATTCTACATTATGGTGAGATGTATAATTATTACAAGTTGCACAATCATTTTATTATATGTTACAATGCAATAATAACAGAAATAAAGTGCACAATAAACAATGTGTCTGAATCAAACCAAAACCACCCCTCACCCATGGGTCCCTGGCAAAATTGTCTTCCACAAAACCAGTCCCTGGTGCTAAAAAGGTTGGGGACTGCTGTGTTAATTGACATAACCACTCAGGGGAGAAATTTGGCATTATCCATAATACAGAAGATGAGCTTATTGTATGACTCAGAATTATATCCCAGAAAAATTCTAGTATAAGTGCATGGGATTCATGTACAAGAATGCTCATGTGTCTCTTATAAAGAACAGAAGCTTTGTGTGGACAGGGGCTTGCTTGGGTTAGTTCATTACCATAGTCCAGAGCCCAGAACAGTGGCTGGCACCTAGTAAATAAATAAATATGGCTTTAAAATGCACCTAAATCAAGCAAAATCAAAGACAAGACAAGAATGCAAGTCAGTTCTATGTACATGAGGATAATTTGAGCATTCAGTATAATCATTCCACTCTTGTATCATTTTTCAGCAGGCCAATCTAGAGTTGGCTCAGCCTATGTACTAATGATCCTAGCATTTGTTGTTCTTTCTCATCCCAAAGGCCATCCTTGCTATTTTCATAGAATGGTTTGAGGATGGACTGCTGCTTCAACAGCTCAGTCTAATGACTCATGGTTATTCACTTATTTTTTATATTAATTCTCCACAACTGTCATCTGAAAAAAGAATTTTGCATTTTTGAAATACCATCCTTTGAAAATATGATAGTGGCACCATGTAAGTGAGGTCCTTCTGCACTCAGCCAAATAGCTCTGATGCCTTGAAAGATAGGCCTGTCTCCAGTTTCTTCCCTCAGCAGTGAGCAGAGGGCTTTCAGGCAGTTAGAGATTGACTTGAGGTATTAGAATAAAAAGTAATATGTAGATTAAACTGTATTATTTTCTTTAACATGAAATAAAAATGAGCCTGTGTATAAAAATATTTTTGCTAATCATTTTGGAGATCAAAGATTTCATTTCCTAAGAGCTCAAACTTCACATCTTTCAGCAAGGACTTACTTTGAACCCTGTTTAATGACGCTGTAGAAGACTTTTTTTTCCCTCTTGAACTACAGCAAAAAGACTTGTAAAAAAACTGTTGTTTCAACACTGAAGCACTTTAAATGACTGGCTTTAACCACAATGTATAAAAAGTATAATTCAGACTTGGCAGAGTGAACTAAATAAATAGTGATGATAAGCGACCTATCTAACAATGTAGCCTCCGTGTCTTGTCATTAACACAATTATGTCAGCACAGTCAATCAGCAGATTGCCTTGACTTTAAAGCCAGAGACTGAATACATGCTTTTAAAGTTGGAGGGAACAGAGAGAGAGAGAGAAGAGCTATCACACTTAAGCCAGCAACGTGACTTCACAGTTATTCAGGGCTTTTTAAGAAAAACGAGGTTATACATTTACAAAATGCTTTGTTGTTGCAGTAATGCTAAAATTATTCTTATGAGTTCAATACCCTTTGTAATAACCCTCTGGCGATCCCAAACAAAAAGAGGGACTCTGGTTACAGCATTCCTTTCACATAGGAGAAACTGATTTACTACCTGAAGTGATAATTAATGGGATTCCGTTCAGTTTCAAGTGGAGATGAATCGCACAAGAGGTAAGTATGGAATCTCAGAATGGCAATATTCTTCTGAGAGCTCTCTCAAGCGTTCTGGGCTGAAAAACCTCCGTAATCGTAAGCGGCAAGTGACAGCACCTGCCAGCTGAATATCATCCATGACAACAGGCAGAGGGACTAGGCCACAGAAAAGGGAAGGACATACCTAAGAATTCTATACGTTATTTCTCTTCTGTTTGGCTGGATGAAACTCGCCCAGGCTACAGCAATCTATTTGCATCATTTGTTGGAGTGACTTCAATTTCATTCAACAGCACAACTGAAACGCCACAAGAAACACTTCCATTCACTTGAGTTTAAAAGAGCCTGCAGACTGGTGAAGAGGGTCAGTGGTTTGAAAATTTAGTGAAGAAGTTTGACTATCAGAATTTAAACAATGAAATCTTACTTTGATGCTTCAAAGGGTCGAGGGAGAGGGAGCAGTGCCCTGTGCTGGGTTAGATAGATTTTTATCTCACTAGTTCTAGAATGTTGGCTATTTTTTTACAAGTAATAACTATTTCACATAGTTACATAGGAAAGGATTATATATAATCCTAGGGGCCCTTGTCTGAGGGAGATACTATATTACTCCCATTTTACAGAGGAGGAAATTGAGGTGCAGAGAGATGCAGTGACATAAGCATTCATGATCCATATCACGGACAGGATGCAAATACACTCATCTCACACAAAAACTTGAAATTGTAGGGTCTCTCGGAACATGTGTCTTTAATAAGTATTTGTTTTATTGCCTATTTTACCTTCATTTTTACCATTTCAGATTCCATTTTCATAATCAACCAAAGTTTGCAAGAGCTCTTACCCACATTATCTTAGGTAATTTTCCCAACACTGCAGGAGGCAGGCCGTGCTCACCCCTGGCTTCCTAGTGTTGGCAGCGGCCCAGCACTCCGTGTCCCCCTTACCCTGCTTTATTTTTCTCCATGTTAGTTTTCACCACTGGACATAGTGCCAATTATGTATTATTTGTTTGTTTACTTGTTAATGTCTGCCTACCCACCCAGAATACAAGCTTTTTGAAAGCAGGGATTTTTGTGTTGGGTTCACTGCTGTGTCCTGAGTGTATGGAGCAGTCCCATTGTGCTGTGGTTATTAACGAAAAAAATGAATGGATGCTCAGGTGGGAGCATTCATTCAGAGGTGAGATGATTAAGACTCAGAATCTTGCTCAAGGTCACACAGAACATTAAGTGGTGGAACAGCCCTTTGAACCTAAGTCTGAGAACTTTGCAGTCCTCTTTGTACTGAACCATATCAGCTTCAAAATAGAGATTATGTGGTCATTTAAAAACCCAAAAATACTAGCTTTATCAAGTTTGGGTGTAGATCAAATTGAGAAAGAAAAGTCGGTGATATTTACTGGCTTCAGGAAGTTGGTTTGAATGTTCTGAGCATATAAAACAAAACAAAACATTGAACTTGGGTAGGAAGTGAAATCATTTGATTATTTCCCAAACAATTCTGACAAACAGTTTCTGAGGTTTCAGAAATCATTTAATGTAATTATTTAATGATGGCATTGAATACAGATTTTAAATGCTATAGTAACAAGTTCTGAAGGGGGGCAGAGGGAGGTGGTCCTACTTTCTGTAATATTTAAAATAAAAATAAAAATACTAGTTTCTGACTTTCCACACCAACTAACACCATATTATTTTTCACTTCTTCCTAAACATCAGATTGCAGCTTGTTTAAATAAGGCAATATGCTTAAAAATCACAAAGCATTTTGGGTGGAATTTAAGAAAGGATATTTTAAGGTATTTGGACACTTCACAGAGAGCCAAGGATTTAGTTTTTACTCTGAATGTACCTGAACATTATTAATAATTTCATGAACAGAAGAGGTTTGTCCAAGAAGAAAAAAAAAGGGAGAGCTAAGAATGTTTGACAAGGACCTGAAGTAGGCGGGAAGAGCAGGAAGGGGCCACCATTTTCCAACTCACACTACACACCAGAAAGCCTGCTCAGCTATCCCATGCAGGGATTATTATATCCATTTTACAGATGGAAATGAGACTTATAATAGCTAAGTAATTTGCCCAGGATCACACAGTTCATTAAGAGGTAGAGTCAGGATTCAAATCCAGAAATGCTGGTTGCATATTTAAACCTTCTAAGAGAGACAATGTGGTGGCCAAGGAAGTCTTGAAGTCCACTCATTTTAGAGCCTATTGTGGAAATGTCTGAAGAAACAAAGATTTTACCGTTAATTTACTTATAATGTACCTAAAACTAGGGAGCCTCAGTTTCCTCTTATATAACACTCGTGTGTGTGAAAATGACAAGAAACAAGATGTTAGATGTGTATGAACCAGGCAGGTTGTCAATGAATGCTGAAAGACCTTCTGGGCAATTGATTTCTTTTCGATTTCATCTATAACATCCTTTCAACATTTTTTTGCTGTGATTTAGGGAGGAAAGGAAATGGGCAGCAATTATGAAATATATTTAATCATGAATTTCCAGCCAGGGATGATGCATATCAACAAAGATCTTAAATGAAAGGTGACAGAAACTTCCTAGAATTTCACATTAGGCAATTTTCTAAAGAGCAGGTGAAACCGGCAGAGAAACCTTCCCTTGCTGGCACAGAAAGAGGAGAACACAATGAATTTGGGGGACTAAAATCCCCAAAGCCTGAAAAACATGTTCTGTCAATGATTACAGTCTCAGGGAGTGTCAGCTTTGATAACTCTGAAGAGAAAAAAAAATACCCTAATTGAGAAACCGGATCTGAGAGATTTTCCACATGCATCACAATTACCAACCCATTTATTGAACAATTATTACGTATGTGACATTGTACCAAAGTGTTAACATATATTTTCTCCTTACAACAGCCTTTTAAGTTAGATATCATGGCCATCTTATAGGCAGGGAAACTGAGGCCTATAAAAATTGAATTTGCCCAAAGTTGTTCAGCAAAAATAGACCGAGAATAGACCTTTCTTTCTGTCTTTAAAGCTGTGGCATGTAACCGCTAAGCCATAAAATCTAACAGGATCCCTTAGGTGGAAGATTCAGTACTCATTACCATCTCAGGTGAGAAGATCATTATAATTTGCTGAGATATTTTCTAGAGGAGCAGAGTGGAACCGGGTCTCTTTCAGACAGGAGAAGGACTATGTTTCTGTGTGAGTTTGCCCTGTTGATCATGGCGATGGTTACAGAACTGAGGGAGCCACCTCCTGAGTTCCCCATTTGAATGAGGGTATATCCATGTCGGAAAGATGAGAGCAAAACTGATTTAGAGAAATGCTCATGTAACAAACAGCCTGTAATACAAAGAAAGGTTAAGGATGTAAACTGGAAAGAGGGCTGACTAAGCAACAATTAACAGGGATGTGTCAACAATTTACAAACACTGGAAGTCTACAAATATCAAGGAGAGATTTTCTTTAAAAAGATCATGAAAAGGTGTAACAAAAGTGAGGTATAATGGTATAATAATTACACTGAATAAAATTAAGTAAGGAAAAATATTAGGCCAAATGTCAAGAAAAACCACCACCCTGACAGAATTAATATTAGCTAGAGTATGGAGGGTTTTAGGCCCTCCCTGGCTCTGTCTTGACAGCCCCCTCATAGCAAGATTGCAACCACACTTTTCTCTGCTGGGATCCAGCCCTACTCAGTCCCTAAGTGGAGGCCTTAGGCCACGATCTGGAGCCACTCTCCTACAGCATGCTGGGGCTCAGCATCAAGTCACTTGCTGCTGGATGGACTCTTTAATGTATGCCTCAATTTCTTACAACAGACTTTTGCCTATTTCTAGATTTGTTTTCCTCTTTTACCCCTGTCCTGGTTACTGGTTATTTTTGTCTTGTTTCCTGAGCCCAAGACCCCATTTTATTCAGCAATCCAGCTATCTCTAAGCATACGAACTGTAGTTCTGCCCTCTCTAACAAAGTTCCCATATCAACCAAACATCTACCTACTTAAGTTAATTGACTGCTATTGGATTTTCCTTTTTTGAGTGCCATGTCTTTATTAGGACACCCACACATTTCATTTGGCTCTCCTCCGATTTGAACTATCATCTGTAGCCATTAGCCTGTTGCAAACATTCCATGCTTAATGTGCTGGTCCAGACTTCTCCCAGCATTTTCACCTGGGTATGGCCCCCCACCCCTAAACTATTCTCATTATATGGTGTGAACCTGCTGGCCCCTTTGCTTCCATGGAAATATAACTTGGGTATGTCTGGCCATGACTATAGAGATTGAATGGAAGAGTGCCTTGGAAAGTGTCTCTACCAAATGGCACCTGAGCTGAATGTTGTAGAATAAGAGCTGTTCATCAGGATGACAATGGGAGGGGAGGAGGCTGAGATAAAGGCATTTCAAATGGAGGGAATAGCAAAGATGTGGAAGCATGGCCTGTCATTAAACTGCAAGTAGTTCAGTATGGCTGGGGAGTACCAAAAGAGATAGTGAATGGCACAGTGTGATGTGAAGAAGTAAGGAAAGGGATGGACTTAGAAGGCATTTATATGTTGTGTTAAAGAGTTTGGACTTTGTCCTAAAGGCAATAGAGAGACACTGAAAGATTTTTAATTGAATTAACTAATTTGATGTACTTGTATTTATATTCTAGAAACATGATTTAGGTAAATAGAGTGGGAGGTGGGGATTAAGAGTACAGACAGGGCAACCAGGTAGGAGATGATGACAATGTTTCGGTCAAGGGTTGAAGAAATAATAAATTTACAAGAAATGGCATTGAGGAAAAAGGTGAGCAATATAAAAGAATAGGAGAAATATTTTGGAAGTGAAATTGATGAAACCTGGTGGCTTATTAGATAGAGAAGGGAAGGATGAGGGAGAACTTTAGAACACCCAACTTTAAGATCAAATAAAGGAATACATTTCTTTCTTAGACTAACAGAAAGCCAGAAACAATTTCTCTAGGAATGTGGGCTTGGCAAGCCCAGCGATGGCCTGCAGGACTGCAGAACATAGAACAGAGGTGAAACTGAAGGCCAGACAGACACTAGAGCCAAAGGGTCAATTTAAATAGCTAAGCAGGCAGATAATCCAGGTACAAGAATACCATTCAGAACCAGGAGATTCTAAATGGAAGGTATGAGTCACAGAAATTCTCTGAGATAGTCTGACACCTAAGTCACAGGCAGGGAAGAAGAGATGATTAATTCAAGCTCAGGCATACTAAGCGTAAAGTGTCTATGGCCAACCCAATAGAGACATTCAGCAGGCAGTTGGATTTATGGTCTGCCACTAGGGATGAGTTAGCAGGTAGGCTGGGTCTAGTCCACAGGGACAGGGGAAGATGTCCAGATAAGTGTAGCATTCTGAGTGTAGTTAGCCCATACTTGTATCCTCTTTCTTATTTGTCCCCTATGACATTCTAATTCTCTCTCACTGTTCCTCTGCCATTAGGAGCTCCTTTAACCTCTGTTTGTTACACTGATCCAGTTGCAACTCCTTTGGAGCCCCTGCAATCCTCCTTGAGCCTCCCTTTGCTGTTCTGATCCCTTCTATGCCTCCCTTGTGAGCCTTCAATTATCTCTCAGCTTTTCTGAGTCCCTCAAATCCCTTAAATCTCAGCTGTGAAATGCACACTATTCTTAGTAGGCATGCCCCTTTTGAAGTCAATGGGAATTTACAAACAACAACAATAAAAAATAAACATGATCCATCTGCCTTCAAACATTGATGCAATTTAAGAAAAAACTAGAAGTTGGTAGTCTATAAACTATAGTATCTAATCTCTCCTTCTTTTGAAAAAGCAATGTCTAGTGAAGATTTTAGGTCACATTTTTTCCCCAAATCTTTCTACATTTTTATTTTAATCTAGCATGTTCTCCATTAAAAGTGTGTTGAAGTCAACCAATCAAACTAATGTCAAGAATTACACACACATTCGCATACCCAAAATCAGATTCTGTGATTAGTAACTGGGGGTAAGGAGAAATTGATTTCTGCATGCGTTTTTGAACAACAGAATTTCCTGCAATATTATTATAAATGGTTGTAAAAGGTCACACAAAGTTAGGTTTAGAGTCGTGAGGTTGACTAGTCCTTTAATGTACTTTTATTAAAGACACTCATAAAGTCATGTGTCACATTTGAAGACTCAGGTATCTATCAGCTATGATTTAAACTTGCTTTGTGTGCTGTGAGACAAAGAATCACTGATAACTCATGTTTATAAAAGGCAGAATAGAATATTGGAAAGGTCCTGAGCTTTGCAGGCAGAGATACGTGTTTTTCAATTCCACTTGCTGAATTCTTTGAAAGCATGGAGAGAGTCCCTCTCTCTCTCTCTCTCTCTCTCTTTCCTTTCTCTCTGTCTCTCTCTGTGCACGTGTGTGCATGTGTGTGTGTGTGTGTGTGTGTGTGTGTGTATTTGGGGGGAAAGAATGACCATTTTGTGATCATTAAACATCTTCAAGTCATATCCCAAGCTGCATTACAGATATGATTTCTAACCTTACTCACTATAAGGTATTATTATTCTCATTTTATAGATGAGAAAACCAAGGCTGAAGGAGGCTAAGTGCTTCACATAACTGCAAAATAAATAGTAGATCATGAATTCAAACTCAGGTTTTATATGCTCAATAAAATGACAGCACTTTCATTACATGCCACTGCCTTCCTTATAAATGACTTCTCTCACTAACAAGCTATGTGACCTTAACTTTGCTAAGCCTTAGTACCTAATCTTTAAAATGGGGGCAATTATTTGTATAAGAGAATTTGCATATAGAACTGTTAAGGGGATGTAATGAGAAATGTATAGCTAAGTGCCTGGCACATAGTAAGTGCTCAATAAATTGTATTTTTTTTGGTAGCTGAGAACCTGTGAAATGAAGTACCTTAGTTTTTATTAGAGTGACAATATAAGCAGATAAATTGCCACAACTCTCTTATACCCTCCATGTGAAGAAGGGGTTTCTGCTTCTCAGGGTGGACAATACTTTGTGGATAGTTTTCTTGCTGGTCCTTGAAAGACGCCATGAAGTGTTCATTCACTCTATAGTAAATAACATTATTAAAGTTCTTTTTGTGCTCTTATTTTATTTTAACTAATGGTTCAAGAATATGTTTAGTTAACATATAGCACTGTTTATCACTATGCAGCATCAGCAAAAAATCAGTAAGGAACATTAATTATCAAATGTGCCAGTTTTGTGACCATTAAGTACCTCATTAGATTCTGTTTCGGAAATTGCATTTATGAGCATCTTTATAGAAAAGAGCACAACATGATTGGCATTGCTTAACCACAGCACAGTCTAAGGCAAAATCACCTATGTAATACAGCTCTTTTATTGTTATTATATCACAAAACAACAAAATGATAATTTCTCTTTGCAAGCATAACTAAAAAAACCTCACAACCTCAGCCTCCAAACACATAACTTGTTTAAGGGTAAAACTACAATCTTCATATTAAAAATACTCAACTTTCTAGATAAAAAAAAGATGTATCTTGAAGATCAATGTGTAATTTCTGTTTTGTATTTAAGCTCCCTGTTTGAATGGTGGGGCTTGTCTGCACCTATAATCATCCCTTCTCATTGTGCTTGCTGGAATGTGGGCAAAACTGGTCTCTGTTGACAGGTTTTATATCATATCATTCTTATAGGCACTGATTTTTTTTAGTAGTGGTTAGCATGAAAATCTGATACACTTCAACTGTGAAGAAAAAAATAGAGAAGAGAAAAAAATAAATTAAAACTATGTTTAAAATATATGATATAGCCTAACCTTTTCTCCATTAGGGAAACTATAGCTGCAAAAAAGATTAAATACAAATTTGCTTTGCTTTTAAACCTACTTAAGAAGCACCTATCCTATCTGTCCATATAAATTCCAATGGAGAACACGATGACACGCAATTACTAATCTCAATGTACACAGCTATGCCTCGGGGACTTGGTGGTTCATATTTTACTATTCTGTAATCAAATACAAAACTAATGAGTAAAAATATGCTTCCCCCAATAAATTTCCAGCACCTGGACAAGTGTCTGACAGGGAAATGGAGGATGCACACACAAAATTCATTCTGCAAAGCTATTAAAGTGTTATACTTGCCAACAAGTGTTCATTAAGCAAGAATGAAGGATCTCTATGCCAGTTTCTTACCAAAGGCTTTTAAATATTTTAATGGAGAGTAAAGACTATTTATCTGAACTCTGATCGGTTAACGTTCAGATCTGTTATGAAGAAACAAGGAGTTCTTTATAATACCTTTCATAAAAATCCACTTTGCAATGCTTCAAATAAAGACTAAGGACTGTAAAAGATTATGCTGCATATAAACAAAATCAGTATCATTTTGAAATTATATGGTTATCCCTGGATCTCCTTAGTACATTAGCATCATGCTGTATTTTTATTTAAAAAGTGGTTAACAAAATCCAGTATACAAATGGAAAATGGGATTAGAGATGGCATTCTAGTCATGTGACTTCATCCAGGCTCCAGAAAGCAAGGAACACACTTAATGGGGCAGACAAGGGGAACAGAAGGCTCATCTTCTATCTAGGACTCAAGAGAAGGAAAGGGAAAAGAGAAAGGAGAGGAGAGGAAGGGACGGGAGAGGAGGAGCCACAGGATCAATATATGGTGATGGGAACTGCTTTTCAAACCTGAATTGAAACAGGTAAGTCTCTTCCTGGGAGTCAAAGTATATGTACACACACAAAACACAAAAGTTATGAAGTGGAAGCAGTTTTATAAAGGTTATAATACAGTACCTCTAAAACAATATTTTAGTGCCAGTTTACCATTCATATGCTTTTATCACTTCTACCATATGCAATATATGCATACATACATTTGTGCCTACATGGAGACACATATATAAGTGTGTTTATAAACACACACACTTTTAAATCTAGCAGTCAGGCAGTACAGAAGCATGGATCAAGACATGGGATATCACATACAATGAGTTTTCAGGACTCTGTCTCCAGTACCTGCATTTGTGCATGGTAAGCTTAGGCTTGTGCATGACTAGGATGTAACCAAGCAGATAAGACAGAGCAGGAGTCATGCCTGGTCTAACTTAAATGTTTCTTCATTTCAAAGAAAGAGACTAATAAAAAAACAGTAACAATAAAACCATACTTAGGTTAGTACTTGTTAGAAATTGACTGTGTGCCAGGCATTGTTCTACGGACTTTATATTGGTTTTCCTATGTAATTTTCAAAACAATCCAATTAGGAAGATACTATTATCAATCTTATTTTACAGATGCAGAAATTGAGCCTCAGAATGATCACACCACTAGCTCATGGAAGAGGCAGTCGAAAGTTTATTTATTTATTTATTTATTATTTTGAGATGGAATCTTGCTCTGTCTCCCAGCCTGGAGTACAATGGCGTGATCTTGGCTCACTGTAAGCCCTGCCTCCCAGGTTCAAGCGATTCTCATGCCTCAGCCTCCCGAGTAGCTGCGACTATGGGTGCGTGCCACAACACCCAGCTAATTTTTGTATTTTTTAGTAGAGATGGGGTTTCACCATGTTGGCCAGGGTGGTCTCGAACTCCTGACCTCAAGTGATCCACCCACCTTGGCCTCACAAAGTGCGGGGATTACAGGCATGGGGCACGGTGTCTGGCCAATCTATACTTTGAAACCAGACATTGGACCAAAAATATTAGGAACATCAGGAACCAGAATTAAAACAGATGATGCCTAATTACCTGGATTATCAAAGTAGCTAAAAGCCTTTAAGGGGAGAGGCTCTGTTTTGTGGAGATGAACCCCATAAAAGGCAGAGGTTGGCCTCTGGTTCCCTAGTGACTTTGTACATGTGATTTAACCTCTGGGTTCATGCTTGAGTGAATTAAGATAATAATGTACAACTAGAAAAGAGCTGAGAGAAATAAATACTTTTTGGATATTTCAAGCTTCTCAGATGAGATATGAAAATGTTGGTGAAAGATACTACAGTACTTCTGGTAAATTCCTATCTTGACCCAAAGTGTCTACAAGAATGTTCAAGTAAAACCAAACACAAGTTTCAGAATTTACCTCTTGGGGGTGTTAGAATCTGCTTGTTATGTATTTCTGCTAATGCTATGTTGGCAAAAGGAGCCTATTTTTGCTAAATGTGAGAATAATATCACCATTATCAGCTGATTTCTTTTGTTTGGCTTGTTTCGGAAGAGTTTAACGTGATTCTAAGATACCCTTTAAGATCCTTCATCTGGAGTTTTGAGTTTCACAATCATGGTTTGTGGTAAGAATATAGAGTATAATTATATAGTTATCTTTATCTTTGGTCTCAGAAGGGAAGAGTGAGTTCAGAGAGTCTTTCTTTCTTTTTTTTTTTTTCTAATGAGAAAAGAGAAATGGGTCAGGATTTGGATTAATAAATTTGACATTCAGACCAATAAGCTGTTTAGGTCATAGGGAAAACACATTTAGAGCCCTTGGCTTTAGTTTCTAAAGAAGACTTGTTCCTCCAAGAAACCAAACCAAGGGGCTGCCAGGGTCTGTGTTCACAAAATCATTCAGCTGTTAAGAGTGAGGTACAGTGAGACCCAAAACCTCACATCCTCACCAAAACTGTCTGAAGTTAATATGATCTCCCATATCTCACAGGCAGATTGCTTTCAGTAAGAAACCCAGCAGGAATGTTAGTTCTGATGTCTATGAATAAATAGAAGGTTCTGATCTTCCTCCTTGTAAGAAGTATCTGAATTTTAAAAACCATGAGAAGAAATAATGACTAACAAATGTGGAAAACTCCACTAGCAAGAAAATACTGGCAAGGAAGGGAAGATGGACTATATGTGATTTTTTTATGGGGAGGTAAACATATAGATATACACTGTGGAATGAGAAAACTGGATTTTAATGTCACTTATTTAACTTATTTTACAAACACAGAGCATGCTTGCTGTGTGCCTTGCACTGTTCTAAGTGCTTAACAAATATTAACTCATTGAACTTTCTCTTTTGATGCAATACTAAGCCTAAGAGATTGTTTTATTCTGAAACCTGGAACAGAGATAAGGTTGTCTGTACATTAAAATGTCTTGCCTTATAAGGAAGTGTTTGACTGCACTAGATTAAACTCATAAAAGCTAATGAAGAGTCCTCCTTAATACACATTTCTTTTTTCCTGTTTGGACTTGAAGTGACAACATTACAGAAACACCCTGCAGGTTTTTATCTAAATAGCATCCTATAAAACAATGTCCTCTTGTCAGTCACCACTAATTCAGCACAGTCAAGCTATAAATCTGTCCAAAGGCCAGCAAAGTGCTTAACTTGGCACATCACTAATAAAATTAGGAATGTGGGTTTATTACATGAACCTTAAGTAGGTTTGGCCAAGATATTAAGATTTTTCCTTATGGCAACCATGGCTAATGTGGATTGGTATTTTCATTATAACACACCCCACAGCATTTCCCAGTAACATCTCAGGTTTCCAAATTAGACAATAATCTTCTGCACTTTCATACTCACTGCTAGGTCCTGCAGCTGGAGCCCCCATCTCTAACGCCTCACACTTTAGGGTACTCAAAGATGGTAAAGACTTTTCAATAATGCTAATACTACTGAATAAAATTAGAGCAAATTAATTAATACTTCTATTAACGTAAACTGATTTCACTTTGTTCAAGAACAGAAGCACTTATAGGCTTTTAACATGCGCTTAGAAATATCATTTCAGCTCAGGGCAATTTTGAGAAGTGATTTATAAGCAGTTGCAAATGCTTCTAAAATGGTAAGATTTGAGAAAGCCAAATGTATGTTAACCGAGTTGTCCTGCGGTCCTGGGTATTTTATTTTTTAAATTATGAAAGAGTAATAAGTATATCCTCTCTCCTGAGCCAACCTTTTTTGTGATGGCTTATATTTGCATAGTAATTTAGTTTACAAAGTGGGCTCATCTGCTTTCCTGTGTCTGATCTTGGGATGACCCTACAAGGTGTATTATTACCTTCATTTTATAAATGAGGACACATAGTGAGGATCAGAGCTGAGATTGGGAATCAGCTCTCCACCTCATATCAAGGTAACCCTCACATTTGTGAACATTTACAATGCTACAAAATGTTATCATATCCATTTGATCCTTATACCACCTAGACAATGTGCCTGTATAAGTGTGCCTTCGCATGCATACTTTATAATTTTTTACTCTAGCGTTTCTATTTTCCCCAATCCAAAGACTGACTCTTCCCTCCCCAACGACACTAGCTTCCACACTTACCTTTCTTACCAATCTTGTTGAGGTTGCCTACATTGGCAACCTGCATTATGGCAGCTGCATTAAGAGATTTGAAATGCAACTGTGCAGAGGGGAGATGGGAAGCTCTCTTTAGCATGCTGCAATCTCAAAAACCTGTAGATGGGCAAAGTCACTAAAGTTCACTTCATGAAAAATACAACACACCACTGAGAGCAAGTATGATTGATGCCCGTAGAGCAAACTGTTTATCAGACAAACACATTTTGCAAACTTTCACATAAATTGTTAAGTTGCCTTATCACCCAGACAGTGTAAAACTAGCATCTTTGTAGGAACTTCCCCAAAACTCTTTAATGACCTCTAAAAAGCTTTATCTTATCGTGATCTGATTTGCTACTACAATAAATCATTTACAAATAGGTTAAAAGAAAAACGAGTATTAGAAATATGGATTCATTTTCCAAATATAAGAAGCCTTCAGCTCTTGGCTGGCTATTGTGCAATTGTGAAGGCATGATAAAACACTCAATATGCTCAATACTAAAAGATTCAACAGGAGAAAAAGTGCTGCAACCTATTCAGATCTAATTGGAGGCTAATTACACATTTGGTAAATCAGGCAAGCCCTTTAATTTTCTTCTTTCCTGCTTTCTGACTTTTACCATTTATAGTAAGGGTGGGAGTAAAACAAGGAAGTTATATTGTTCAATTTCTAGCATGTCTGATATTTGAAAATGAAAATGATATCCGGAGGTGGTGGTATACAATTGGCAGTCAGGATACTAGGGTTTAAATTGTGCTTCTGTCTTATATAATCCAATTTGGTTCAATCAAATCAGTTAAATTAACATTTATTGAGCACCTACTATGAGGCAGACATTGTAGTAGGTATTAGGGATATGAAATAAGCAAGATATTTCTGTCCTTAATGGATCTTTTATTCTGACAAATCACAACTACTCAACACATTGCCTTTTTCACCTTTAAAATAACAGAATTAGCTCAAGTAATTTTTAGCTGTTTCTAATTTCTGTGTGGGTTATTATTATTATTATCTTATTTTGCTGAATCTTATCCATTGGCTTCTTCTCACCTATTTTCCATTCTTTTTGAACTTACTCTCTACCCCGGAAGAATGACAACAAGCTCTCTTGCCCTTTGGCTTTGGTTGTGTTTGGTTAATGAGAAGCCCTTGTGGTAGATCAGAGGGAGAGAAGAAAGAGAGGTCAGATTATGTGTTCATTTGGCTCATTCGTTTGCAGGGATGAGTTGCACTGGCTGTGTCACTCTATGGAAGGTCCTTGGTTTTCTCAAGGTAGCCCTATGTGACTCTTTCCTTCAGGGTGTTGGTAACTGACCTCTTTCCTCCCTTTGGGCAAAGGTATGGTAAAAGCACCACTGTTTTAGCTACAGAACACTGACTGTTCCTGTGGCCTGCTTATATCCTGCCCACTGCTTTTAAAATAGTCCCTTTGTAAATTGTCTTCAAATCTTCCTAATTTGAGGGTGCCATCTGTTTCCTGCCAGGACCCTGGTTGATATACTATATGTGTCTTGTCAATTGGTTGAAAGTGATTTTTGAAGTTTTGAGGAGAGGTCAAAGTAAGGTAGAAATTCTAAGGTGGGGTGGGGGATATATTCATTCTTATAGCAGATTCACCATTTTCCTTGCCATAGGAAAGATATTCTTTTTTTTTTATTTTTTTTTATTTATTTTTTATTTTTGAGACAGAGTCTCTCTCTGTCACCCAGGTTGGAGTGCAGTGGTGCGATCTCGGCTCACTGCAACCTCCGCCTTCCGGGTTCACGCCATTCTCCTGCCTCAGCCTCCCGAGTAGCTGGACTATAGGTGCCCGCCACCACGCCCGGCTAATTTTTTTGTATTTTTAGTAGAGACGGGGTTTCACCGCATTAGCCAGGATGGTCTCTATCGCCCGACCTTGTGATCCGCCTGCCTCGGCCTCCCAAAGTGCTGGGATTACAGGCGTGAGCGACTGCACCAGGCCAGGAAAGATATTTTCTAACATTTAATTTATTTTTTTATTTTATTGTGGTAAGAACACAACATGAGATCTACTCTCTTAACAGATTTTTAAGTGTACAATACAGTGTTGTTGACTACAGGCACAATGTTGTACAGGAGATCTCTAGAATTTATTTATCTTACATAACTAAAACTTTATGCCCATTGATTAGCAATTCCCTCTGTCCCCCTCCATTCAGCTCCTGGTAACAACCATTCCATTTTGCTTCTGTGAGGTTGACAACTTTTGCTACCTCATAGAAGTGGGATTACGGAGAATTCTGGGACTGATATATTTCACTTAGCATAATTTCCTCAAGGTTCATCCATGTTGTCACATATTGCAGGATTTCCTTCTTTTTTAAGGCTGCATAACATTCCATTGTATATCACCTTTTCTTATCCATTCACGCACAGATGGAGGTTTAGATTGTTTCCACATCTTGGTTATTGTAAACTGTGCTGCAGTGAACATAGAAGTGATAATATATATCTCTTCAAGATCCTGATTTCAATTCTTAATTTCATGGGACTTGCAGATGGCATATGATGAGATAACAAAGAATCATAGAGATTTGACTAGGCCAAATTACATTTCCCAGAATTCTTTTCCTTATATGTTACAGGGTAAGGAGGGCCATGAGAGACTAGTTTTGTTTTCTTTTTGCATTACAGTTGGAATGTGGAACCAAAATAGCAGCCATATTGTTTTATATTCTCAAAAGTCCAGGCAGGGTCACCAGGCATGTCTGCAGCTCATGCGCTTATGCACTGACTTACTTCATTGGTGTCGGGACAGCAGCAGGGCCTGCAACTGCTTTATCTTCCCCTGAATTCTCCTTTAGCTTCTTTAACTTCTGGGAAAGATGTTAAGCACAGTGATGAGGAGGACTAATTTCTCTGGCAAGGCCTGACTATCATCAAGGTTAGCAGCAGGGAGAACTGACAGTTTCCAGTTTGTGATTGTGGCTTCCAACTTGTGTTGGTGGGTTCCAGCTTGTTTTTGTTCTCCTGTCCATAACTCCATCTTCCCACTCAACTCCCTGCCTTGAGGATTTCAAGCTCTAGTATAAAATGTAAAGGAAACAGCCTTACAGAGACTGTTTAGCTTGCTCCTATAATTGTGTAAGAACAAATCTTTGTAACTTCTTTCTCTCTGTCTCATTGAGATATATGTGTGTGTATCTGTTTATCTATCTTGCTATCTATATCCTTGCAATACTGTGTGTGTGTGGGTGGGAATAGATGTGTGTGTGCTGGGATCCATTCCCAGCACATCTATGTATATTTATGTATAACCTAAAATATAATTTATAAATCTCTAACCATCTATCTACACACACACACACACACACACACGGATGCACACATAGGCACACACACATATCCTGGTGGTTGTTTCTTTCTCTGATTGAATCTTGACTGATAGACTGTGTAAGGCTTTTTTGGAAGCCTGAGCTTCAGGTATATCCCCTTTAAGTTGGATATGCTCTTTGTATCACCAGCCAAGAACACATCAGCCAAGACCAAATCTTGAATATCATATTAAAAGCAAAGAAACTCTCCTTAAAATAGCTCATTGGCAAATGAACATTAAAACTGGGTAAGATTTTTTAATTGGGCAATTATATACAAATCTCTGAGAGAAGCTAATGATCTAATAATCTGTTGGCTTGATATTCCTTGTGATAATTTTATGTGTCAACTTGAGTAGGCCATAGGGTGCCCAAGTTAAACATTGTTATGTGTATGTCTGAGATTAGCATTTGAATCAGTGAACTCCTAAGGTAGTTTGCCTTCTCTAATGTGGTTGGGCATCATTCAATCCACTGAAGGCCTCAATAGAGCAAAAGGTGGGGGAAGAAGAAATTCCCTCCTTTTTATCTTCCCTCACTACTTAAGCTAGGACATCTCATCCAATGTTCTCCTGCCCTGAGACTGTAATTTACATCATTAGCTTCCCTGATTCTCAGGCCTTCAGACTCAGATTGAATTACACCATTGGCTTTCTTGGGCCTCCAGCTTGCAGACTGCAGACTATGGGACTTCTCAGCCTCCATAATCACATGAGCCAATCCCTTATAATAAATCTCACTACTGGCTCATGTGATTATGGAGGCTGAGAACATGTATTTACATTTTTTCTCTATTGCTTTTGTTTCTCTGGTGAACCCTAACACACCTCTGGAGTCAACTCTGGAGACATCACAGAAGGAAAATGGAGGTTGATGATCTCAGAAAAAAAAAATAGATGCAATATCCCTGGGGAGACAGCGTTTGGATCATGGGGTCTGAGTATGGAGAGGGAAAAGATGAGCAGCCCAGGGTGGACAAAAGTGTGTGTAGTAGAAAAGCAAAAGGCTGGGAGTAAGGTTTTAAAATGTGCTGATTACCCACTTCCAAATCATGAGGAGACAGAAAAGCATGAGGCAGTATCATTCCAGCCATTACCAGTGGGGATGATACCAGGGAGTGCAGAGGCCTGGATGGGTTGGAGAGGGGAAGGCTACAAGTGCAGGCAGACTTGTGGGTTCTTGAGCATTCCCTCTCTACCTCCCTGCATTACAGCCCAATGGCCAGGTGGATTATAATCAAGAGATAAAGCCCTTGGATAAGAACAGAATCCAGAATCAACGATATAGGAGAATTCCCTGAGGGTCACTGTAACCTAGTGAGATGTGTTTTTGTATAGAACAAGGAGTGATCAAGCTCTGAGGGTAACATCAGACGATTTTCATCCTGATTTGTTGGCCCCCTACCTCCTACTTCCTAAATTCTCACAGAAGGGCACAGGCTAGGGTCTAGACTTTTACTCCTTCTTTAAAGAATACATGTCCATCACTTCTGTAATCCCAGCACTTTGGGAGGCCGAGGCGGGCGGATCACGAGGTCAGGAGATCGAGATCATCCTGGCTAACACAGTGAAACCCCGTCTCTACTAAAAATACAAAAAAATTAGCTGGGCGTGGTGGCAGGCACCTGTAGTCCCAGCTACTCGGGAGGCTGAGGCAGGAGAATGGCGTGAACCCAGGAGGCAGAGCTTGCAGTGAGCTGAGATCGCGCCACTGCACTCCAGCCTGGGCGACAGAGCGAGACTCCGTCTAAAAAAAAAAAAGAATACATGACCAGGCCGGGCACCGTGGCTCACGCCTGTAATCCCAGCACTTTGGGAAGCCAAGGCGGGTGGATTACAAGGTCAGGAGATTCAGACCATCCTGGCTAACATGGTGAAACCCTGTCTCTACTAAAAATACAAAAAATTAGCTGGGTATGGTGGCATGTGCCTGTAGTCCCAGCTACTCGGGAGGCTGAGGCAGGAGAATTGCTTGAACCCAGGAGGCGGAGGTTGCAGTGAGCCGAAATTATGCCACTACACTCCAGCCTGGGCAACAGAGTGAGACTCCATCTCAAAAAAAAAAAAAAAAATACATGATAGTTGATATCCTCAGGGCAAGATAAGCTCAGAAAAAAAGAAATCATGAACTATTTGAGGTGTTACAAGCATTGTGAAAGACTAAAGGATGAAACTAAATTTTCTGTGTATGAAGCAGAATTAATAGGCCAATAAGGACAGAAATTTAAAATACACATAATAAACATTCTCAGATAAGTAAGTTGGAATATTGATAACATGAAACAATTGTAAGATATAAAAAGAAGTCAATTTAAAATCTGAGGAAATATGGCAAATTAAGAGCTCCATAAATATGTCCAATGACAGATAAATCTCGATCATAAATTAGTAAATTGAAAGATCAAGTCAACAGTTTCTCTCAGAAGACAAATGAGAGGCATAAAAGATGGAATATATAAAAGTCACAAGATATGGAGGATAGAAGAAGAAATATTAAGATATGGATAACAGAAGAGCTGGAAGGAGAGGTAAAAGTAAATGAGAGAATAAATATTTCATAAAATACCTGATAATTTATTAGATTTAGAGATAGAACACCTCTGATTTCAAAGATACATATTGCCCAACAAGAAATACACAAGGGTTAAAAAAAACTCCTATATACAGACATTTGATAGTAAAGTTTAAGAGCATCAAAGACAAAAAGTAAATTCTAAAGCTGCTAGAGAGGAAGAGCAGGTCAACAGACAAGAAGGAAAAATTGATTGATTTTAGAGTTCATTGAGGAGAAAAAAAGTCAAGAAAATAAGGGACTGTAAAGAAGATTTATGTTCTGTATCTAATGGGGCATTGTCAGTTTCAAAAGAGTCGTGAAAGCTACATTCTACTCCTCTTCATTGAGCAGGGGTCTTGTCTTCCGGCACTCCCTGTGAATTGTTTTGCTGACTTAGTTTCTCTAGTGGCCAGGAGTTTCTTTGTCAGAACCACTTCTTCTAGCACTTAACAGGTTGCCTGGAACATAGCAGGTGTTCAAAAAAAAAAATGCTTCCTGATTTTGTTGTATTGGTCTAATAATCTGTGATATTTCTTCTTTACTGAGAATTTGATTAATTAAACTAACAACAAATTTACTCAAACTATGGAAACTGAGTACGCCAAACACGTTCCATCAATAAATATTTACTTAGTAAAACACAAAGCACTAGATCCAATGAGAATGTCAAAATGAATAGAGTACAGCTCCTGGAAAAAAATGTGGGAGCTAAGTGGTTATATGTAAAAAGTTAAGGTACAAAACACTTTTAAGAATCAGTTACACGTCAGAGAAGAAGAAGATTGATTCAGGAATTCAGAGGAAAGAGACATCACTTTCATTCAACAAGATAAGGGAAGTCTTCATGAAAGAAATGACATTTGGTTTTGGGTTCTGAAGAAAGAATGAATAGGCAAAAAATTTGGTGCTCAGATTCCAGGTGGAAGAATGAGCAAAAGCACAGAAGAAAGTGTTCTGAGAACTGCAAAAGCTAAGTGTGTCTAGAACTGGAGTTTATGAGGGATAATGGGAGATAAGCCTGTCTGGATTCAGACTGTGGTGGACTGCAAACACTAACCAAGGAGCAGAATGAAATATAGAGGAGTATGTAGACCACTGGAAGTTTATGAGCCAGAGAGTGGTACGGTCAAAGCCAGATGATTGAAGAAAATTTTTCTCCAGTAAAATGTGTATGTTGGTTGGAAGAATCCTAGAGTCAGAAATATGAGTTCACTTATCTGAGTTGAAAAATAATTAAAAATGTAAACCAGGAAGATAGTAATGAACAAAGCAAGGCCAAATGGGATGGTGACTATTTGGGAATTGGTTGGGTATGGGTTTGAAGAAACACAAAGATACTCAGATGGCTGATAGTTGTTCCTGAAAAACATCTGCAACTTGTGAGGTATAAGGTGTCAATGTTTAATCTCAACTTCCATTGACGGGAGAGATGATTATATATATTTATATAAACATACATACATACATACATACATATATATCGGTGAGTGTCTAGATACACAAACACAATCATATTTTCTGTTCAATAACCAAACCACAACGTTTTTCATGAAAATCTGTTCTTTTCAACTTTCAATCAAAAAGGATTTTATCCAAAATATCCAGATATTTTGAATTTCTGTCTTTCTTCTTCAGCTGACAGATAATGACTAGAAAAACCAATCCAGTTAGGTCATTTTGGATTCATTAGATTAATACAGCTAAATTAAACATTTGGAGAGGAGAGAAGCAACTAAAACTAGCCAGGAGTTACCAAGTCTTCCCAGGCATTTAGACCACGAGGGGAAAGTCCTCTTTTGCAAGTGAAAAACCTGCAGTGAGCAACATAAAGTAAATTTACTTCAGTTTAATATGGATAATCATATGCAGATCTAGAGTCCTTATATTTTATAGCTCTCCTTAATTCCACATCTTCCGACTGCAGACAGTACAGACACAAAACATTTCATCATTGTGTTTAGGGATATTTTTCCTTTAGAAAAGGAAAAGAAAGGAGAAAAAAGTTCTTTCCTAACAGCATATACTCTCCAAATTCCTAGCTATATTATTGACAATCATAATTTTTATGTCAGAATTACAAAACCGCACTCACATGACTAATTGAGAAGAAATTGAGAACTGCACAATGGAAGGTGAAATAAAAGAAACACAGAGCTGCATTTTTCAAGGCCTCATTTTAGATGTAAGTGTTACTGATAAAAAGAACATTTTACTAGTAAGTATTTGACATGTTGCATTTAAATCACATTAATTCCCAGCTCTTTGCTCTGAAAGAGCAAATTGCCCCCTTAGTATTTAACATGTGCCTTGGCTTCCTTTAAGCATCTCCATCTTTAAGGTACACATGGTAGGGCGGGACCTGGATGTGCTCACACCTGCACACATATCTACACAAAGAATTCACTGTATGTCACTAACCACCCTGGTTATCAAAAGTTAATGGACCCTGAAATTGATACAATTCCAATATTGTGGCTCATAAATACCAGAGAGATATTTTATTTGTGACCTACATCATTCATATTTAAGAATCCAGAGGGAATTAGGACACCTTTCTGCCTTTTGCCTACATAACTGCTTCATTCCTTATTTTAAATGATATCTTGTTAAAATTGTGATAAAATACACATCACAACATTTGCTGTCTTCACCATATTTAAGTGTATGATTCAGTAAATGTTAAGTACGTTCACATTGTTGTGCACCAATCTTCAAAACTCTTCATCTTGCAAAATGGAAACTCTAGACTCAGTAAACAACTCCCCATTTCTCCCTTTCCCCAGATCCTGACAATCACCTTTTTACTTTCTGTCTGTATGAATTTGACTACTCTAGATACCTTATATAATGAGTCATGTTATACCTGGTGTTTTTTGTCATTGGCTTATTTCCCTTGGCACAATGCCCTCAAGTTTCATCCATGTTGTAGCATGTCTTAGAATTTCCTTCCTTTTTAAGACTGAGTAATATTCCATTGTAGGTATATATCACATTTTGTTTATTCAGTCATCTGTCAGTGGACACCTGGTTTGCTTCTACCTTTTGGCTGTTGTGAATACTGCTACTATTTTTTTTCTTTTTTGTTTTGAGACAGAGTCTTGCTCTGTCACCCAGGCTGGAGTGCAGTGGCATGATCTCCGCCTGTGTACTGTAACCTCTGCCTCCCAGGTTCAAGAGATTTTCCTACCTCAGCCTTCTGAGTAGCTGGGATTACAGGTGTGCACCACCATGCTCTGCTAATTTTCATATTTTTAGTAGAGACGGGTTTCACCATGTTGGTCAGGCTAGTCTCAAACTCCTGACCTCAAGTGATCTGCCCATCTCAGTGTCCCAAAGTGCTGGGATTGCAGGTACGAGCCACTGTGCCCAGCCTATCACTGCGATTAATGTGGGTGTACAAAAGTGTCTTTGAGACCTTGCTTTCAATTATTTTGGGTATATACCCAGAAGTGGAGTTGCTGAATCATATAGTCATTCTATTTTTAATTTACCGAGGAATTGCCATATTGTTTTCCATAGAAGCTGCACCATTTTACATTCTCACCAATAGTACACAAGGGTTCCAATTTCTCCACAGCCTCACCAACACTTACTTTCTGTTTTCTTTGTATTTATTTTTGACAGTAGCCATTCTATTAGGTGCAAAATATTATTTCATTGTGATTTTGATTTGCATTTTCTTAGTGATTCATGATGTTGAGCATCTTTTCATGTGTTTTTTGGCCTTTACGATATTTTCTGACTTATTGACTAGAATGAGCAAGATGGTAAGGATGGGAAACAAATTTCCTTGACTTCCTAGGACTTTGGTGTGACAATCAGCAAATATTATTAAGGATGTCCTTTAAACAAGGCTCTAGGATAGGGCTACAAATTATTTAAATAAATAAAACAAATGAGTTTAAGAGGAATCTGCCTACAGGAATGTGGCAGAGGAGACAGGCCATGAATATAAAAATGCAAGGGCTCTCTTGAGACTTCAGGTTCTTTGAGGATAGAAGTAATTACATCCCTACTATTTCCAGCACAGGGACATCTTATGCTGTGCCTTTAATAAATATTTGTTAACAAATGAACAAACTCGTTCTTTATACTTGTGATCTTTAAAAACTAAAATTCCCAGAGCAAACTTTTTATGCTTTTTCAACAGATGAGCTTCAACATGGATCAACATACACTACACTCTTGTAAGTGTTCTGGAAACAGTTGCCTCTGAAGAGGTGTGAATTTTCCTTACTTTTCTTAAAAGGGTGTTAACTTCAAAAGGCGACCTGGTGAGTGTTAAAAAATTAACACATTTAAGTCAGTAGCCAAAACATCACCCCCAGATCTGTGAACCTGAAATTGAACTGGTAGACTGAGCTGACTCTGGTGTGGATGCCAAAAAAGTCATCACTCAGCACTAATCTGGACCAGTGAAAATTTGCTCTTTCCTTGGGTTGGGAAAAAGAAGGATTTGGAGGACGGTGATGTTAGCAGGACATAAATGCATGAGACAGCCAGTTATAAATGCTCCTTTAGACCCTTCTAACCCCTTAAACATGCTTTAAAAGTGACTTCACAGCAGAGAATGTGTACTTTAGCTGGCTAACATAAAAAGAAACCTCTTTCTATTAAAAGTGGAATTGTTTATTTGTGGAGAAAACTGACTGAAATATCTTCGCTCGGCCCCTTTCTTTCCTTCTTTCCTTGTTTCTCATCCTGCTAGGGCACAAACAGATTTTTTTTTCTTCAATTTTCTGTCACTTTGTGTGTCATCCACCAATACATTACCTGGGTCCTCCTTTCTCTCTGCCATCCGTGTTTAGAAATGATCTTAACGACTAGATTTTGGTCAACAAAAGTGGAGTACATGCTCCTGCTGTCCTGCTGTCAGGCTCCACATCAGGGACTCTACTGCTAAAAGGAACTCTGAGGGCATCTGCGTCCACCCTCCTGCCTCTGGGCATGACTGTGCTTAGCTGGTACCATTACAAACGCTTTCATGCCACGCAGAGGCAAGACATTACAGTATGGTTGTGAAATACTAGGAAACATTAGAAGCAGAGAAAGAAAACTGGTGTAAAACAGAAGTACTGAAATGTAAAAAAAAGTTTCTGAGAGTTGGAGATCAAGAGGCGGTGACCCAGGCTACAGTTTTGTGAAAGCTATAAAGCAGTAGATAATGTATGAGTGTTTCTAAACGGGAGAGCTGGTTGTTGAGTGGTGTTCCTAGGCATCTCTGCAGAATTCCGACAATGACAAGCAGTGATCCAAGCCTGGTCAGACAGTGCATTACTTGCTTTAGCTAGGAAATGCATTTCTAAAAGCTGTCCATACACATTCACCAGGTCATTCATTATTTCATTCACAGAGATTTATTAAGTACTAACAACACATCAGGCCCTTTGCTAGGTGCCAAAGATAGAAGGATGAATATGACCTATTAATTGAATTAGAGGTCTCCTAGTCTAGTGAGGAAAGGCAGACATCCAAACACGAATTCAAATAGAGGGTGGTAAGTATAGCAATAGCAGCAATGTTAGGTACAGAAGCAAACAGAGAAAGGGAGGCTGTCTGCCTCTTGGTGAGTCAGTGGAAAAGCTTTTGGAGTTTTTTGTTTCTCATTTTCTTGTCTGTCTCCTGATATCTGTTTCTCCATTAGCATTCTCACTGGTCCATGGACCTCTCCCATTCTCCTACTCAGAACTTGGAGCCCAGGAGAGAAACAGTCAAGGGATATGAGGGGTATATACCTTGCTAGTATATTTTAATATTTATTCAGACCTTACAATGTACTGGGCACTTTTGTAAGTTCTATATATGAATTATGCGATTTTATTCTTTACAGTCAACCCCGCCGCCCCACCCCCATGAGGTAGGGACTATTTTCAATCATCCTTTTTTTTTTTTTTTTTGACAAGGTCTTTCTCTGTCACCTAGGCTGAGTGCAGTGGCACAATCACCCCTCACTGCAGCCTCAACCTCTCAGGCACAAATGGTCCTCCCACCTTGGCCTCCACAAGGGTTGGGATTACAGGCGTGAGCCACTGCACCCAGCCTCAATCATCATTTTTTTAGGTGAAGATCTGATGCACAAAGAGATACATAACTCTCCAAGGTAGTAAACTAAGTGGTGGTTTGAAGTCAGGCAGTCTGGCTGCAGAGTTCATGTGCTCTGGAGATAATAGCAGCAGTTGACATAAGAGTACTAGAAGAAGCACGTGTTGTCAGAAGAGAAGTAGGCCAAAGGCAGGGCACTGAGGAGTAGAGAGATTAGTGGCCAGGCCCAGGTAGAGATGGCAGCAAAGATGGCACCTGAGAGGGCAGAAAAGATGACAGAGAGCCACAGCACAGTGGCGTCCTGCAAGCTTAGGGAGGAGAGGGCTTCAGGAGGATAGGAGTCCAGGCAGCTTTGCATTTCGAGAAGAACGCTGAAGGGAGTAAGGTGGAAGGTAGAAGACTGGACCCAAGCCTGGCTGTTTTACTCATACACTGTGTGAACTTGGGAAGGTCACTAACCTCTCTGAGCCTTTTAATACTCATTTTAGAGCAGTGATAATGATTTTTTATGTACCACTGAGGTTGTTATAAGGTTCATGTCAGAATAATTTTTGTGACCATCCTGAATATGATTTAAAACATTCATTATGTGAACGACATGTTCATTATTACACCATTCCACCTGAAACTGATTTAATTGAAACACTAATAAAAATTGCCTTTAAGGTTCCTCATTTTTACTTTAGGAATATAGATAATGGTGCACATTTTATCTTCCTTTTAAATTCTGTGAGAAAAGCTAATATGATATAATCAGCCTATATGACTATTAATATTCTAAATGATCAATTCATGCATGCATTGATTAAGGCTTTGAGTGCTTACTATATTCAAATCAAGAATATGTTCAGCTTACTACTTCTTCATGAAGGAACTTTTGATCTAGACAGGAAGTCTATCTGTATACAATAACTATAGTACAGCTGTTCTTAACTGGGGGCTGCTTTGCTTTTCTCCTCTACTCCAGAGGACATATCTGGAGATATGTTTGGCTATTACAACTGAGTAGGAGCGATGCTACTTGTATCTAGTGGGTAGAGGTCAAGGATACTGCTAAACACCCCTCAATGCAGGGTACCGTCCCCTCTCCTACATTAACAAACAATTGTCTAGCCCGAAATATTGCTAATGCTAAGGTTAGAGGATGCTGCTATAGCACAAATGATATGGTTAGGCTTTGTGTCCCCACCCAAATCTCATCTTGAATTGTAATCCCCAGGTGTTGAGGGAGGAAACTGGGGGGAGGTGATTGGATCATGGGGATGGTTTTCCCCATGCTGTTCTCATGATAGTGAGTTCTCCTGAGATCTGATGGTTTTCTAAGTGTTTGGCAAGTTCCTCCTTCACTCACTCTTCTCTCTCCTGCTGCCTGGTGAAGAAGGTCCTTCCTTCCCTTCCCCTTCCACTGTGATTATGAGTTTCCTGAGGCCTCCCCAGCCATGCAGAACTGTGAGTCAATTAAACCTCCTTTGTTTATAAATTATCCAGTCTCGGGTAGTATCTTTATAGTAGTGTAAGAGTAAACTATCGCAAGAACAGAAAACCAAACACCACATATTCTCACTCATAGGTGGGAATTGAACAATGAGAACACATGGACACAGGAAGGGGAACGTCACACTCTGGGGACTGTTGTGGGGTGGGGGGAGGGGGGGAGGGATAGCATTAGGAGATATACCTAATGCTAAATGATGAGTTAATGGGTGCAGCACACCAGCATGGCACATGTATACATATGTAACTAACCTGCACATTGTGCACATGTACCCTAAAACTTAAAGTGTAATAATAATAAAATAAAAAAATAAAAAATAATAAAAAAAGAATAGACTAATACAACAATACAATAGGTGCTGTAATAATGGATTGAAAGAATGGCACAAAATAGGAAGTCATAATGTATTTCCTAGAGAAATTAGGAACTGACTCTTGGCCTTAATAAATACATTTGGATCTTGAACAATACATGCCAAAGATAGTTCCCATTTCACTGAAAGTTCTTCAATGACACATGTATGTTTGAGCAACTATACACATTATTCAAAGAATTCAGCACAACTCAAATAGGAAATTTTCAGGAAGTGATTTTGAAGTAGAACCATTAGACACTAATGGTTCACTAGTTCCTAATTGCATGCCTATCATATTAGTCAGGGACTAAGTTCAAGAAAAGCAAAACTACTGTAGGTAGTTTGAATAGAGAAAATTTAATGCAAGAAAGTGGTTATATAGATGATGGGAGAGCTGAGAACCCATAAAGGAGACAGTGTGGCACCCGGAAATTGGCAATAGCAGGAAGCCATGACGATCCTGAGGGCCAGGGAAAAAAGGAGAAGCTGGTGCTACCAGGCCTAAAAGCTGGTGAAAACCATTTGGGGTTAGAACCATGAAGGATGCTGCCCAGTAGAAGCTGGAGTCAGGGAGGGAAGTCTGTCAGGTAGAAGCTAGAGCAGTGGAGGAAATACAACCACAGCCACAGATGCCACCTTAACAGGTATCAAAAGAGATATCCTGACGTCTTCCCTTGTCTCTTCTTTCCACCCTCCAGGCTGCTTCCAATCCATTTCCATTGGCTGAAACTACTCTTCAACTAGTTGGCATGGAAATCTAAAAATGTAGTTGCTGTGATACAATCAGAGCAGGAGAAGAGTGGTGAATGAGCAGAAGGCAAATACATATCTGGCATTTACATTGTCACTAAGATGCTAAAGGAATACTCATCCCTTAAAAGAAAGAAATGTGCATCATATAATTATTTTATAAAATATACCTAATATTAGAATTTATTTTAAATAATTAGTCTTTATTCAAATATATAATAGGTACGGCTGAAACAGTTTTAGGCTGATGGTGATGATCTCTGAAATTTTCTCTGTAGTAAGGGACATCTAAGACTTAAAATATTTCTTCAGTTCAAAAAAGGTGGACATACAGGCATTTAACCATTAAACTGAATCATTACTTAATTGATAACAGAGAACCCAGTCTTGCGAATACGTGTAGTATAGTTAAGTGTTTAAGTAATGCGATCAATGAAATGTGTGTGTCTGTAATCTAATGAAGTACAGTTGCCACCATTTCTGTATTATAACAAGCAAGTATTCATGTTTGAGCACTTGCAGTTCTGATGTTGCATAGGAAAGCAAAAGTTGACATAACGTGAAAATATTCTCAAATGCTGTGAACACTTAAAATTAATCCTCACGCAAATATCCTTACCAAGCTTGGCCCCAGGATTTGTCTCTTCCAGGAAAGCCAAAGCTTCCAATGTTCAATATTTCAGTGATGGTCAAACACTGTACCACAGAATGCAAACACTATAAATACACTATGGAGTAAAACAGAAAATCTTGAAAAAACAAGGTTGACGATGATGATGTTGGTTACTTCCGAATAACCTGCAAAATCAATGACAAATGAAAATCTTGTAAACTCAAACCAGTTAACAAACAAGAGAAAATGGATAAGAAGAGTAAATTAAACTTCAGATAAGAATGATTTTAGTATTTAAGGATTAATAGAGGGCTGTAGGATTGATGAAGTGTCCTGAATCTTGCAAAAAATATTATTTTTTATGATCACATAGTAGGTAAAATTTGAAATAAAAGTTGTTCAATCAGGCCATCATATAATATGTCAGAGAAAGTAAGTTCCCAAAAGTCAATATTTGATTCATTCTTCATTTTAAGAATTAAAACTAGTTGGGAATATAATCAAAACTCTGTTGTTATAAGAAAAAATAGCACATTTATTTTCATATATTTTAGATTCATTTTTATATGAAATTATAATAGTTTTTTGTCACTATTGCCTATGAAAATTTGGTCTCCATCTTCAGTGAATTTCCTTTACATGACTTCTCCCTGTATAAATCATCTTTGGGCAGGAAGGATGTGCTATTCGTCTCATGGCACTAGGGCATCATTGTTTTTGCTCGTCTCTCACTCTAGCCATTGAGTCCCTGGAAGTAAGTAGTCATGGACAGTGATACAGGCAGTCACTTCAGTATCAGTGCAAAATAATATCTACAGCTTTTGTAGTGCACAGATTGGTGCAAAAACCAATTGCTGTAACTTTTAAAAGGCGAGAGAAATAGGAACAGATAAGAGAGGAAGCAGACTTATAAAATGTTACAGCTGAAAGGGATCTTAAACTCTTCTAGTGCCCACCCCCCTCATTTTATAGTTGAGGAAACTGAAGAGTCAAAAGGGGATAACCTGCTGTGTCATGCCACCAGCTTGTGGGAGAGTTGTTGCTTGAAACCATGATCTGGACTCCAGAACCTCCTTCTAAATGACACTTCAGCATTAAGAGCAGTTGATGAACTCTTAGCTGTAGCAGAAATTGTATACTTTAATGACCTCACAGGCACCAGCTAGCTGCTGGCTAATGAGCAGAGTCATCTGCAATTCACAGGCGTAGCATTGCATAGTGATGATGAACCTAGGCTCTGGAGCCAGACTGCATGGGTTTTAATGAGGCCCAGCCACTTCCTAGCTGAGTGACCTTGGACAAACTACCTAGCCTCTCTGTGCTTCAGTATTTTCTGAGTGACTGTTCCATGCCAGGGAGAATGAAAACCCCTACCTCAAAGGGTCTACAGTTAGCTGATATTTATGTGAACTACTTAGAATATGGACTTCCTCATAGTAACCTATCAACCATTCCAATGTGAACCATTAATGAGTTCAGGAAGTCAACAGTGGGGAATCAGAGGCTGAGCAATGAGACTGGGGCAGGGAAAACAATCTGCATCTGCACCCACTGACCACCTGACCAACTGATACTATAGGGGCTGGTTAGATAAGGTCACAAGCACCTAGGAGCTATATCCTTACTCTTCTATAGGATTTGCTCTACTTAAGTTGAAGATTCAGTAAATCTATAGTTTTTTCATGGAACTTGTCAACTCTTAACTCTTTGTTGCCGCTTTAAAGCCTTGAGTTAAAAATTAATTTAGATATTGTTAAGATGCCAAAACTGGGTGAACCCAACCACATTCACTAGTCTTGTTTTCTGATAAGAAGCAGCCTATATTTGTTACCAAACAATAGAAAGTCTTAAAGAATGAAAGGTGTGACAGGGAGCAGCCCTGCTAGGCTGACTCAGATAAGCCATCCCTTAAAATACAGTCTACATGTATAAGCGTATACACACACAAACACACACAGCAATTTGGAGCATCAAATTTCCTATTCCATGCTGTAGATTTAAGTTCATGCATGCCAGATTTCTTCACAAATTTTCTCCAAAAGGGACCAGTCACAGAAAATACATATATAAGTTCAAAGGAATTAAAACTTTCTATTTTCATGAAAACATTTATTAAATAAATCCAACCTAATTTCTTTGAAGTCCAGATGGCATGCTAATTTGCATAGTTTATCAGTTCTATTCTTCAACATTCCTGGGAAGTAGATTCTTCAACCTAGCTTCGAATTCCCCTCAAGTTTCTCACAACAAATGCTAGGCAACCATCTAAATTACAGAGCGAGAATCTGAAGGAAACAGGCAATCCTACAAATACACCTCTGTTACCTCCACCCTTGCCCATTAGATCAGCTATATTGTATTCTTCTTTAAAAAGTGCTGAGAGAATATACAAACTATTATAAAACCAGCCCTCTAGAAGTATAATGGGGACAGGGTTGGAGAAGGGGAGAAGACTCATTTCAGAAGGCTGCTTTTAGAGGATTGTTGAGGCTTGAGAAATTTCATTCTAAACGTTAGAAAAAAAGAAGAAACAAGAGATTCACATTGGGCATCCAATGCAAATGGAATTAAACTGTGAAAGCTCTGGGGAGCAAGAAGAATCTAATTATGCTTTTGTTTTTCCATAAATACATCAATTATTCTTACAATATTTATTGAAAGGCAATAAAAAGGTGGGGTTAAGGGCTTGAGCTTTGGAGTGAGATACACTTGGAGTTGAATCCCGGTTCTGCCATTTATTAACTGTGAGATCTTGGGTAAGTTGCAAGCATCTCTGAACCTCTGTTTTCCAGCTGTAAGGTGAGGATACTCTAGTACCTACCTTATAGGGTTGTGAGGACTAGTTAGATAATGCAGAGAATGGACCTAGCATTGTTTTGGCATCCTGTGAATATTAATTTGCTGCTGGTGTACTGCATGACTGCTATGTGCAGGCTAGGAATAATATCAAGTCTCCATTAGCTTGGAAGCATGTTCTAGTTGAGGGAATAGAAAATAGGCACTCCCTACACAAAAAAAGCAGCATATTTCTTGTGGTCACAAAGAAAATTAAAGCAATGTAAAGAAACAGAAAGAGATGGAGTTGGGTTGGGTGCCGTGGCTGACGTCTATAATCCCAGGACTTTGGGAGGCCTAGGCAGGTGGATCACAAGGTCAGGAGTTCAAGACCAGCCTGGCCAAGATGGTGAAACCCCGTCTCTACTAAAAATACAAAAAAAAAAAAATTAGCCAGGCGTGGTGGCACATGCCTGTAATCCCAGCTACTCAGGAGGCTGGGGCAGAGAAGTGCTTAAACCGGAAAGGTGGAGGTTGCAGTGATCCGAGATCACACCACTGCACTCCACCCTGGGCGAAAGAGTGAAACTCCATCTCAAAAAAAAAAAAAAAAGCAAAAAACAAAAAACAAAAAATCAAGAGATGGAGTTGGATAAGGTTGCTACTTTACATGCGGAGTTCGAGGAAGGCCTCTTTGGTCATTTAAGCAGTGACCTAAAGGAAGTGGAGGAGTGTTTCAGGCAGAAGGAACACCACAAAGGCCCCAAGGAGGGACCATGCAGTGGTGTTCCGGAGCAACCATGGGAGGCAAATGTGGGTGTAGTAGAAGGAGATCAGAAAGGAGCTGGGCAAAACCATAAAAGGTCATTGCAGCTGGTGAGGAGTTAGGATCTGGTACTGAGTGAGGAGGAAGTCACGGGAGGTTTGGGAATAACAAGTGATGTGAAATTTTAAGAGGATCACCTAGTCTTTGAGTTGAGAATAACCTACAGGAGGAAAGCAAGAAAGCAGGGACACCAGTTAGGAGGGTTTTGTAATAATCCAAGCAAGAGATGATGGAGGCTTGGACTAAAGGGGAAATGGAAGCAATGGTGTGAAATGCTCAGAGCCTGGATACATCCTGAAGGTAGATCTAAAAGGAGTTGCTGATGAATTTGATGTGTGGTATGAGAAAGGGAAAAGTCAATGATGATGACAAAGTTTTTATTTTGGTGGTAGTCCAAAGGCCTGGGAGCTAGAGAACCAGTGGTGCATATTCCAGTCCAAGTCTGAAGGCCTGAGAACCAGGACTATCCAACACAGAAGAGGATTGATCTCTCAGCTCAAACAATAAGGCAGAGAGCAAATACAACCTTCCCCAGCCTTTTTATTCTATTCAGGCCCTCAACAAATACCCACACATACTGGGGAGGGCAATCTGCTTTACCCAGTCCACCATTTCAAATGTTAATCTTTTCCAGAAACACCCTCAAGACACACCCAGAAATAACATATAATCAGATATCTAGGCATCCCATGATCCAATCAATGAACACCTATGATTAACCATCACATCTGTCACCTCTAACTGCAACATATTCTAAATGGGTCATTGTACCAACATGGTCTCATTTCCCTCATTCTAGAATAGAATGGATTTCTCTTTCAGGTTCCCTTCTCATCCTAAACTTCTGCATTTCCAGACAAATTAATAAATATTTTCAAATTTATAGTGCCTAAAATAGAGCCTAGCACTCAAGAAATACATGCATAATGAAAAGTGAATATACACGTTAGAAGACTTTGACATTGACACTGTCATTGTCATGACAATGCTATTGTCAATGACGTGACAGAGATATTGGCATTGACTAGTTAAGTGACATTGACATAGTAGGTGGTTGCCTAGTCCAGTCAGAGCTGCCAAGTAGTGAAGCCAATGGCTAAGTCTTCTAACTCCCAAGTCAGTGACAAATTTGGTCTGGATTTCAAGATTTAAAATATTAAACCTTTCCATCCATAAAAACAGCTACTTTTTTTTTTTTTGCACATTTACAATGATATGGATACTAGTCAACTAAAATAGCCAAGATTTCTTGACTAATTGGTCTGGGCTTCAGAGACCTTCAAGAGAAAGGATATGTACATCTCACATATATTGAGACAACTGATTTGGATACTACAGCATCATTTAAAATAGCTCAGAGTGTCTCTTTCATTAAAAGGCAAGAACAAAGTCATTCAAAAAGTAGAGGAAATTTTTTTTGGAAGGTTTATTTGTTTGATTCCTCAAAGTAAAAATGCCCCAAATTCCCATACAAGCAGAAACATAGTTAAGCTGCATGGTTCTGTCTTGAGTATGCAAATATCACAGCCCAGTCTTATGTCAGCTTGAAAAGATAATGTCATGCAGAAAATTAAGACCATCTGATGAAATCATGTTATGAAATGTGGCTTGAGAGAGCAGCTTTTTGTGTGTTATGATTTGATATATTTTCACACCAAAACTCAACTGAACAGGCAAGGAGTCTCAATTAATGCAAAATTTGAAATTTTCAGACAAATTTACAAGGTGTTTACTGAGGAGAAAAGGGAGGGGGACATCTTAAATACTGTCTCCTCATAACAGCCTTGATTTTATGTTATGTGTCTAAGAAACTGAATGCCTCAGCTTTTCATTTAGAATTTTGAATTTAATCTGATGGCAGTTTGGATATAATAATGATGCATTTATTGTTAATTTCCTTAAAGCCTTACTGTCTAACAATGTAGACCATTATCGCCCCAAATACTTTCTGTGTTTGGAAGGATTTCCATATTCCACAGTGCACAGAAGCTGACTCTGAAGCAAGGCTTAAGAGGAATATACAAGAAGCAAGAATATATTTCCTTAGTAACTAGCTGGCCTTTTTTTCCTCACTGCAGACCTGTTTTCCAGAAGATGAGAAGGAGACTTGACAGGACTTTATTGGTTCATAAATTAACTTGGTGGATTTACAATCATTTTTTGGAATGTTAGGAACTCTTTTTAGGAACTTATTTTCAAGAGAAGAAAAAAAACATATTTAACTTAGAATATGAAATTGGCACTACAATCCACCTAGAACATGGTGGGTTAGTTTGTTTTTCACCTATGGATTGATCCCATATGCTATTGACACAGTTATTTTTGGCCAAATGAAATATTTAAACGGATATTCACGATATGTTTTCTTTCCAGTGTAAGTGAATAAACAATAAACTATCATTAGCCATATGATCAGTGAGGTATAGTCAGTCATATTTGTTGGCTTCTTTAAGAGACTATAATGAAGTGGAGAAGGTCAAATGAGCACTACACAAGAGCCCCAACTATCCTTTACTTCCTGTAAACATGGAAGTGTAATCCAAAAGTCAAGAAAAGTAGATTAATATCTGGGTGACTATCTCCCTTCAACCTCTGCCCAAATATGTAAATAATCCAACTTTTGGAGATAAATGGCACGCATCCTGAGCAGATCTCTGGGCCCAGGGTTTGCTGGAGAGGTATTTTCCTAAATGCATAAGCGAAATAAATTCTATACTCACATGTGGTGGAGAGAAAAGTCTACCCATGTCTACTGAATGAAAACTTTCTGTCTGTTTATCTTAGTCATTTGTGCCCACAAGAGAGCCACACAGAGGTCTCCAGCCCTCTCAGAAGGAAGGATACAGAAAAACAAACATTTAAATTCAGAACCTTACCTTCTAGAAAAACATAGGCTACTAATGAAGAAACTGCTCATTTGTCCAAAGCAAACTTGAGCCCCACTTTCCTGTGATCCAGGCAAGCAAAGTAAAAAAAAAAAATTTTAAGTAGGATGGGGCTAATTATAGGAGGCAGAGGGTAGGTAAAATAGCTCCTTGTTCAGAAGCATCCACATATTTTCCTGAGATGAAGAGCAAATATTTTGTTTAAATAGCAAGCAATTTTCTATAAAAGTGCTACTGCTTGGAAATGCTCTTTATGATTTATTGCTGCCTTTTAACCTGAAAACATATTAATAACTGAGGAGCCCTTGTTGGTATCTTTATTATACTTAAACCCAAATTGCCATAATATTATAACTGGTGTGGCCACATTTAATATTTTTCTTCCATGAATACAGCATGGGCTTATTAACTGAGACCAGAAAATAAAAATAGAGGCGACCTTCCAAGCTCCAGCTTTACATAGAGATACCATGGCAGTAATAAGGCAGCTAACTTTCAAAAGAAGCTGGGGTAAGGCCACAGAGAGAATCTTTCCACGTTTTCTCCTTTTCTACCAGATAGAGCACTTTCTCTGCGTATGGATCCATGTCATCATTCAGCTGTTTCTTCTGGCAAAGCCAGAATCCAGAACAGAATCTCAGTGAAAAAGAAACCAATAAATTAGATCTCTTTGTGAGCAATTTGCCGTTAGTTCTATCCTCCCTGCCTATTAAGATTCTTTATTTACTTCACCAAGAGATTTCTGCTGACAAGTCCATCCATTTACCACTAGCCTAGATAAAATGATAATAAAAAAATGTCAAAAAATGTATTCATGGGACCTTCCCCATTCTCACCCCCTCCCCTTCTCCTTTTTCATCAAGCTGGTATATTAAGGAGCCATCAGAGCTAAAAAGTTTAAAACCTACAGGTTGGCGGAGGCTTTCTGTTTCTTTAATTAAATATATTTTATGACTATGTTTTTATATATTATATATTTATAATGATATATATAGAGACGCATATATATAAATATTATACCCAAATCTGGTGCGGTCAGAAAGAAGGCAAATCCCTTTCAGTTCCTGCTGCTTACGTTCCTGATCTGATCTGGCTAATAATCATGGGGAGACTGGATGAGGCATATTGGGGGAAAGGAAATTTTCCATTTTATGCTTATGGATGATTCCCAGAGGAATCTTTTGTTTCAAGTCTCTTTCGAGTCCTTTGGGTGAAAGGCAAATGCTGAGCAGTTCTATCTTGCGCATAACTCCAATGGAGACACCTATAATACAAAACAGAGATCCCCCGGGGGCACCGTTATACATTTATTATAAAGCAAAGATTAAAACAATTTTATGGAAATTAAAGATAATATGGAACATTTGTCTCTCTCTCAGTCAAAGAGTAACATGAAGCAGTTCAACAAACAGCTCCAGGCAGTTCCATGCGAGATGATCGAATGGCTGGGACTAAGGGGACAGGCAGGGCGGCTGCCGACTGCGAGGTGTGGGTTTTTTACCAGGGCATCTTGCCGGTGCTTGGCAACTGTGCTCGGGTGAAAAATGATATGCCTGCAAAATCAGAACAATGGGCAAGTCGAAGGGTACTTAGGTGGTTTGCCCTCTTGAAATCTATCTCAGCAGGACAGGATGCAAACAGCAGGGTGGGGACCAGAAGGGGTGTCCCGGATAGCTTTTTATGTTTTGTCTTTTTTTGGAGTGCGTGTATGTGTGTGTGTGTGTGTGTGTGTGTGTGTGTGTGTGTGTGTGTGTGTGGTTTTCTCTGTTTCTACTTGATTCATGTGCTCACTGGAAAAAAAAATGTACAAAAGCCCTGGAAATTTGCTAAAACTCCAAGCTGGTAGCATTTCCATTTTATATATAATAGAATCTTGTTACCAAAAAGAAGTGGTGGTCAAAGGAGAGTAAAACATATGTGTTAAACAAGAAATATACTTTACTTCATTTGCACACAAGGGTCTGATTTGACCTCTAGTGCACTGAATTTATGGTAAAAGGAGGGCTTTTAAATTGGGTTTGTTTTATTTTGATCCTCTGTCTGGATATTTCTTTCATACCTCCCAGGCAGTAGCTCTCATGGGGAAGCTTATATTTTTGTTAATAAAAAATGCAATTGGTGCTAATCTAGACTTCCATCATGATCATTCAAGCTTTCCAATGTTAATAACCACTCCCTAAGAAAGGATCATCAAAAGAGTTCAGACTACGTGGTTTTGCGGTCAAGGCAGTGAGCCATATTCAGAAATGTCTGCTTTCCATTCCCTGGCCCACTGCTGGATAACTATGTGACATTTATAAGTTAATTGTTTTCTTTCAGTCTTGATTTCTTTAGCTGTAAAAGGCTACTCTTTATTTACTTATTTAACATGGGTCGAGGGATGGCAAGGATTTACGGAGTGAACTAGTTAAGATATTGGGCTTTTGATCTGGCTGACCTGGGCAAAGATCTCTCTTCAATACTCACTAGTTATGTGACTTAGGATAAGTTACCAGCTATGTAACTCATTATATACATATATGTATATATATACACACACAGATATATACACATATATACATACGAACACATATATAGTTATTGTGAAGATTAACTGAGATAATGTAGGTAAACTATGTTTTACCTACACTCAATAAATGTACAGATTTTATAAATAATAATAATAGCTAAACGTTCTTTAGGCCTCCACACAAATAATTAACTCAAGAGGAAGCATTATCATACAATTATTATTCATAAATAATAGCAGCAACATTTATATACAGATTTTTATGAGCTCTACACAGCAATGAATTTCAATGCCAGATCACAAGCACCATACTTCACCTTTCATTTCAAACTATATGACTTTTTCATATAGTGGCATAATGTAGTACAGACGCTTGAAACACCTCCAATTTTAATTCTCCTCCTCCCCCACTGCCTCCTGCTTTGCACTCTGTAATGAAAAATAAAGGTTAAGGGCAATCTGTTTGAGGCTAAACTAAAGCCTACTAGACAGACCAGGCCAGGTGATGGTGCAGGGCTCAGAGTGATGTGAACAGGAAGGGAGACAGGGAGGAACTTATGAAACACACAGAAGGTGTCTGCACTTTTGTATTAAAAATACCCTTGGCGGGGAGCTCAGCACCAAAAATAGAGGAAAAAATATTTTCAATCGCTTTTCATGTGCTTCCTTTCACCCTTCAAATAGGAACTATTTTTCCCTAAATGGGTGGATGTGTTTAGTACAGTAAATACAAAAGCTCTCTTGTTCAAATTCGTTTAAAAAATAAATGTGAAAGAGACCTCCTTTGTAATCACAAAAAGACATGGAAGCCAGGGGTTTTTGGGTAATCACACACATCAAGGGGCATTAAAGGGACAAGGCCTTCAGTACTACCTAATAACATTCACCCTGGAGTGTCATTGCTTAATTATGGCTTTTCAAATATTTGGGCAATAAAGGAATCAGAATTCATTTCAAACACATATTGATGTACAGCCAAACAATAGAGTTGTTTCTTATCTATTAATGAGGTTGAGACTTATGCCTTTAAAGGGATCACAAATTCTTGGGTGTATTTGGCCTTTTAAATATTTTGAATATATGAATTCATCAGGATTTAGGGATTAGGTAACTGCTGTCTACACAAAAAATCTGCAAAATTTTTCATTACTTTTTTATTAGTTGGCAGCACATACTCTGTGAACTTTTATGAAGCTATAAACATAAAGGACCTTCTGATACTGGTATGATGATAATTCTAAATTTCCTCTTTGCAGCTGGGGTTGATCCCCTCTATTTGGTACAGTCTATTTTTTTTTGTGACTTAACAGAAGAAAGTTGGCTCACTACTGTATTGCCTTCAAGCACTTTCTTGGGAAGTTCTTGAATTAAATCCACATGGAAACCCAATGCCCCTCTCCACCTTTCCCTTAAGGTGGTTATAAAATGTCAGTAGAAAGTAAAGCTGTTTATTTTACTTAGGGTTGGATTCTGTTAGTAAATGAGTTTCTGGTGGGGCTTATGTGCAAACCACATCTTTCAATCAGATTCTTTACATGACTAAGTGTATATTAAATTGTGCCATAAATATTAATTTAAAATTCAGAAGTTCAGATTCCATCTAAATCCATGTGAATAAGCAGAGATACGCACTGTTTAACAAGTTCTAGATTCACATTCTAGCTCCACTAACAAAACATTGCCTCACTTTTGTATGCAGCAGGCAAAAAAGACAATAGTGCTGTCTTCCCAATAGGCAGAGTTCCCCACCAGCAGAGATCTATGACTTGGCTTTAACACGGTGGCTTGGAGATCTCTGCAAAGAGAACCAGGCAATCCTGGAAGGATAGTTCTACTTCTGGAATCGAGGAGATGATATGTGCTGAGGCAGAACCCGGCTGCCGAGCCACATCTTCTGGAGTTGGGACAATTTTCAAATATGATGGAACAAGGCAGTGACCTGGGAGGTGCCAGAGTACGAGGATAATGGGAGGTAGTTAAAGCTGAGATAATATGGTTTCTTTGGGCTGGGCATTAAGGGTTATCTCTCATGAAACTACGTGATGTTTCTAGGATCTGGTGGGCAAGAGACCCTCCCTGGGCTCTCCAGGCATTTCTTCTACTGATTTCCAGCTATATCCTTTGAAGAACATTCCACAACGTGCCATAGGTTGAAAAGCAATAGCTTACGTGTAGGTAATGCATGAAGATAAAGACTTCTGTTGCATTTACCTTTTCATATGACTTGCTTTAACTCTGGCAATATCTTATTGATACAGACAGGAGGCAGAGAAATACTGGGTCGACTAGGGAGGGGTCCCTGGCAGAGGCTCCACCCTCAAGCCTGGATCCGCGGCCCTAAATTAGAACATACATTCCTGTTTTCCCACCCGAATGTTGTCTTTTCCAAAACCACCCTGGCCTGCCGCACCCCCCTACCCTGTACCCATTGTACCCATTACAACCCCAAGTTCCACTGGCAGAGGAGCAGAGTGGCAAAGCAGAGAAGGAGAGTAGAGAAGAAACTTCTGAACATTGAGAGGAGAAGAGGTAGCTGGACATCAGAGACTATGGTTGGAGAAGAGATCAGCCGGGGACAGCCAGGGGAAGATTATATTCCCCCTCCATCTCCTTTCCAGTTCCCCATCCCACTGAAAGCCACTTCCATTGGTCAATAAGATCCTCTGCATACACCACCCTTCAATCCATTCATGTGACCTGATTCTTCCTGGATGCCAGACAAGAATTCCGGATGCACTTGGTGTGGGACCCTGACTCTTCACTGAGCTGTTTAAAACTGAAGCCATTTGCAGATAGCAAAGCTAAAAAAGCACTGTTTGTAACACATGCCCTCTGGGGCTCCAGAGGTCACTAGCAACCCCCAGACGCTGGAGCGGGCCTGCATGGAGTTCATTCCTGCTGGCGCCCAAAGGCACTTGCCCTGGCTTCTGCACCTGCTCACCTGCGTGCTCCCCCTCCCACAAGGTGTTTAAGCTTGGTGACCAAATAAACCAGCTACCCCTGTCGCAAACCCACAGGGAGTCAAGGGAACTCTCCTGTCTCATTATCTTTTACTAAACTCAAGGCTTAAAGAGAAGGGCAGTGACATCACCATAAATTGCAGACTGAATGGTAGAAACCACCTACTTTCCTTTCTTTTCATTTCCCTACAGACCTGGACCTGTTGTTCCTACATAAAGCTGTGGAAATCTATCATTTGTTTTGGAGCTTGGAGGAATGAATGTACACATTCTCTCATTAGAGAGAAACAGGATGCCCTTTGGTACCTGTATTTCTGTCTTGCTTAAGTTTCAAAAGTGAGATTCTTGAGTCCAGAAGATGGTATTCAATTGTTCTCCATCTTTTTTATTAGGAGAACCCATTTCACTTTGCTATAAAGTCTCATGATCCTTCATATATGTGTTCTTAAATCTGCATTATTAGTCACTTCCACATCTATAGATCTTTGCAAATACACAGAAAAATAATTAAATGCATCTTTATGAAAGACAATAATATTTGAGGAAATCCTTGCCTTTATCTTTACTCACCTCTGGTATTAACTCTGCTATTTCCTAGGAGCTTTGGAGCCCATATATTGCTAACCATTGAAGCACTTGAATGAAGATGGCTGCTGGAAGTCATTTGCTCTGCTCTTAAATGCACTAATATTAACTGAATGGGTCTTTTGCTATTGTCTGGGATTGGCTTATTAGCATCCTTCTATTCCCTTGGTGTTAAAAACAGAGCCTGCTTAGATTATAAAATAAACCCAGATGAAAACAGACCTGTGATGGATAAGCATGCCTGCAAACCACAGGGATAACTACCATCTTTGTATCGTTAGCTTGCAGGAAAGGAGAAATAGAGTCAACATTCTAAGAAATAAGGCAAAAAATAGCTTACACATGGTAGTAAAGCTCTCCTTGTTTTTTCTTCTATGGAATGCTCCAAGGCTTATGTTGATGCATTTGACTTAAACGGCAAGAATCTATAAAATCTAATGGAAAGGGTAGTGGTTAAGAGAATAGGGTTTGAAGTCACATTTGGGCTTAAATATTTCAATGCTTACCAGCTATATGAACATGGGTAGGTATAATTCAGACTCTCTCCAAGTCTTGATTTTATCATCCCTAAAGGAGCAATAATATTTATACCTATAAGTTAGTGACTATTAAATAATAAAATTATGTAAAGCCTTAACACAATTGAAGGTGCATAGTAGCACTCAAAATTTGCAGTAACACTTGTAAGTACCTTGTGGCAGGTTATGAGAAAGAGATTTAGGGGAATACTACTTAGAGTTTAATTGCTTTTGGGCATTAATCCTTAAAATTGGTTGGCTCTACCCACACTGTGCAGATTCCCTGTGAGGTTTGGATCTAAGAACTCACATGTACTGTCTGTGACATGGGGACAAACAGGAGCATGCCAGGGATATGATTAATCTGGAAAACATCACTGTAACTGAAGGAGCAGAGAGAACAGTGGAGGATGGTGGAGACACTGGGAGAAATATGGGAGGAAAAGAAAAGAAAAGAAATAAACAAGTAAGAGAAAATAAAAGAAGGAAGTGTGATCCAGAAACAAAAATTGGCATACAATTGAAGGACACTGGGGGAGCTGAGTATTTCAAATCCTTGTGGCAGGACACTAAGTTGAGAAAGCCCATAAGCCTAGGAATCTGCAAGTGAGTTGATATCAGTGAAGTCTCTAGTATTTGCACTGCCATTGGGAGTTGGGGCAGAGATTTTTTTCTTCTTTTTGTCTTTTATGCAGTTATGCCTCATATTTAGGCCTCCAGTTTTTACAGAGTTTTTTTTACACCCACCAGAGTTTTGGCATTACCACTTAATAAAAATAATACCATTACCAAGAGTAATAATATTGATAACTAATACTAATTAGGTTCTTGCTATGTGACAGGCTTGCAAACATGCATTAGCCCATGTAATCTTCATGACACCTCTATGAAGCAGGTAACATTGTATTACTGCCATTTTTACAGATGAGAAGACTATGGCTTAAGGAGATTATGTAACTTGTCTGAGGTAATACAGAGAGTAAATGGCAGAGCTCAGACAAAATTAGAGCTTTTGCACTCTAGAGTTACTAAACAGGGTTGCTATGTATAGCTGCACAAGTTGTGCACTGTACAATTCATAAGCTTGGCTTCATTCAGAATATGATGTGAAGGTGGCAACCTTGGCACTGTGTAATGTAGAGGCCCCAGTTTTTAATCTTCGCTCTTTAACTCAAATTTAGTGCCCCCAACTTCTTCCTTTAAATAAACCTTATGTCTTCGTATCTTCAATTCGAAGAGGGCTCTTCAGCCTCTAATGTTTTTTATGTGTATTTCACAAAAACAGTAACTCATGTCTGTAAAGATGTTTCTGATGTAGGCAATAGCTAAACAAGACAAGATCACCACCAAAGGTCCCACTTAAGATAAACGGATGTTAATCAAATGTCTTTGAATAATGTCTAGACTCTGCCAATCTAAACCAGTCTCTTCTAAGGTTGGAATCCTGTGTTAATTTAGAGAGGGAAGAAAAGATCTTTTTCAACCAATCCTTAACATTGAGGACCACCATTACCAAACCGAAAGACCATATCACCTTTGTCTAAATGGTTTTGATCTGTTATAACTAATAGTATTCAATGTTCACTATCTATCCAGGTAAATGAAAATTTGCTTTAGAGTAAAACAGTATCTATCTTTCCAAATCCTGGGAGTAGGATGGTTTGTTGCACCTGGAAGCCAAGCTTCAGATCCCAGGAATCTGGTTGAAGTTTGGAAGTGTTCAACAAGCAAATATTTTTTACACAGTCAAAAAAAAAAAAAAGAGCCTGGTACGGATGTTAGAGGCTACAGTGATAGATTCCCTGCCTAGTGAATTGATCAAGAGAACAGAAGCACCAGCCATTTCCCTACAAGACCAGCAGAATCTAGAAGTGAGTTGGTATTTGATATGAACATAATCACTTGCGGAAACAACCAAAGCTATTTTTGAATTATTCAACTCTGATAACAGTAAGCTTTCTACCTGCTACTTTTCTGCATTTTCTTCTATAACAACTTCTTCCATCCTCTTATACTGCATCCGCTTTGTCCCCTTTCCTCTTACAGCTCACATGCCCTTTCTTTACATACATGTGTCATCTGCTTCTCAAGCTCCACAGTATTTCTTTTCTCCAGAAATTCTAGAGAGTATTATTTTCCCATTAGAGCAGAACACCAGGACACTGAGAACAGTTTAATATTCCAAGATTCCATAAACAGTCTGAGTGATTGCTCAGATTTAAACGGCCTCACACATAATTTTAGCAAATGGAGATGCATTAGATGGCTCCAACAGGTGTATGATTAAAAAAAGAATGTCAAATTTTTGTGGAAATTAATACTGGATTATAGGTTCTACTATTACTGTTTAGCAGCAAATGGTTCAAGTAGTATAATAATATAGCAGACTTATGGAGCCAATTAATCCATTAGAGGAAAATTCCATTTATTTAAAAAAATAAAGTGAGTTTTAGCTTAAAAAGGAACTGCAGACAACAATTCTAAGTGGAATTCATCTTTGCAAGTTACATACTGTTTTGTAGATAATTTGAAATCCAGTTATGGAAGGCAAAGTAGGGTATTGAGAAAACATAATTGCTATTTTTAATAAAATATGATTTTTGAGGTACACTAAAACTTTATGTCAATGACACTAATTATTTTGGCATCTTAATTGGCAGTCACAATTGGACAAAATGTGGAAGTGTATAAGCGCAAAAGAAGTTCCTGGCTTCATTTCCTCATCCTTACCTACTTCAGGGTTTATTTATGGCTAAATTGAAGCTGGATGTCAAATCTGGGCCCCTCAGAACAAAATCTTAATAATTAACTGGCAAAACTGAACATGATCGCTTCTGACACACCTACACTGGTAATTATTGCTTTGAGGCCATTTACTAATGAAATTAATGTATTCATTGCCCTAACAAATTAGCATAACTCATACATAATGCCCCACATTTCAAGACCTCGCTAGAAAAACAACACTTAGTACAGCAGAATGACATGGCAAGGGCATTACATGGAGACAGTGTTCACTGAATTACTACATGTTAAAAACCACAATAGCTAAGTGTTCGTTACCAGGCAAAATGTAAACACAATGTGGTTATTAAAGCCATTAATAGTGTAGTCAAGAGTGTACAATTGATGATTATCTTTGCACTTCAAATAAGCAGATATTATAATAGCAGTAACCATGGAATCTAATTAAATGTCTACTTTTAGAGCTACAAAGTATGAAAAGAATGCTCCCAAGACAGCCTCTTCTTCCCTACCACATTGATAAAGAATATTGTGCAGCTGTTGTCACTTTTCTACATTTCTTATTAAATGAACTCAATGGCACGCTCATTAAATACTGGCCCTTACCCTAGCAGCAAGAGGGTTAAAAAAAGGAGAGTAAACAGTTTTAGTTTCTACATGTTATCTTTAAAGGGGAAAAACGTGAAACTATCCTTATCTGAACTTAATGATTTAATCACCTCCTTAATGTATAAGGAGGTGATTTTGCTTTTATTCTCTATGTACTTTTCACTTTAAATGACCAAGAATAACTCTAAGTCAAGTGAGATAGTAAGAAGATAAAGCAAAAAAAGAAGACTCTAAACTACATTATATTTTCTTTGGCAAACTGTAACCTAAAGACATCTTCCCAAGCATACATGTGTAGTAAAAGGTGGTGGTGGATGTTTTTAACATCCTTGCCCTACACCTACTTTAAGAGAATTATGCCCTAAAATAACCACATGCTCAATTGTGATAGTGCTTGACACCAGTGTGCCATGCACACACACAGAAGAGTCAGCAATTGGCCGGGCACAGTGGCTCACACCTGCAATCCCAGCACTTTGGGAGGCCGAGGCAGGCGGATCACGAGGTCAGGAGATCGAGACCATCCTGGCTAACATGGTGAAACCCCGTCTCTACTAAAAATACAAAAATTAGCCAGGTGTGGTGGCGGGCACCTGTAGTCCTAGCTACTTGGGAGGCTGAGGCAGGAGAATGGTGTGAACCCGGGAGGTGGAGCTTGCAGTGAGCCAAGATTGAGCCACTGCACTCCAGCCTGGGCGACAGAGCGAGACTCCATATCAAAAAAAAAAAAAAAAAAAAAAAAAAAAAGAGTCAGCAATTACTGGAGACTTGAGGTGTGGATTTGACTTATGCTTGATAAAACATGTATTATGAAAAAAATTGCGTTTACAGCATCCTCCAATTCACAAATGTTGGCCTCTATTCAGTACCTACAAATATGTATTGCATCAAAATTCAAGGCATGACTGAGACAATTCATAGGATTGATTAAAATTGGAAGCTTAAATTTTTATGGATAGAAGTGAGCTTGGCCATCATCTAATCCAGCTCTGTCACTTTGTCAGTTGGGAAGTAAACATTTTTATTTTTTTGAGCATTTGAGCAACTTGTCTAAGGTATCATAGTAGGTTTAGTCAGTTAAAGTCTCTGGCTTTTCTGACCTTAATTCCAGAGCTCCTTTTATTACATTGCAGACAGAGTGAATGGATGAGCACTCAGAAAAGAAACTGTAGGTGTCCCTTTGCTTTGTTAATTGGAAAAATAACTGACAAGTATATCTTAAAACCAAGGACTTTTGCAGTTTCATTAAAGCCTCCTAGAAATATGTTTTAAATAAGGTTAAGCCTGAAATGCTATAAACCCTGAAATGTATGCAAGCACTTCAGCCATAAGGAATCCATGCTTTGAAATCCAGACTCCAACCCCGACTTCTGTGTCTCCCCATATCATTCTAAGGAGGCTTAAATAACTTCCTTCATCAAATACACACAGGGAGTTGATGTGACAGCAAAAGAGTTGGAAAAAGGGAAAATCCTGTTTAGTTATTTATTAACTGTGTCTATCACAATGGAAAAGATGAATTGCAATTAAATTGACTTAAATCACACACACACATACTCACATGTATGCAGTATACATCTATATTTATATTTATATGTGTGTGTGTTTGTGCAAGCAGAGACCACGCCTGAAGGTTGCTCACAATCAGATTCTTGTGAAAATCAAATCAAACAGAAATAGCATGAAGACTACGTGGTGAGAGTATTACATTTCTGTTAGATACACTACATAATTGCCATTTAGTCTACAGACTGGTTTCTATTTAATTTATACGCAAGAGGTCTTGTGCTTTTATAATTGTCACAGCTCTCTTTGATTATGGCTATGATTTACTATTGTGGGTCTATTCCTATTCCCTTCACCCTTGACCCCTCCCTCCCTCCCTCCCTCCCTCCCTTCCTTCTTTCCTTCCTTCCTTCCTTCCTTCCTTCCTTCCTTCCTTCCTCCCTCTCTTCCCTCCTCTCTTCCTTCCTCCCTTCCTTGCTTCCTTCTTTCCTCTCCTTTCTTTGAAGTTATTTTCAGAACCCTGTATATCACACTGAATATCCTATAAAAGTGGCCAGTCTGGAGACTGGTGATGGTAAAGACTTTTAGCTCATTACCCTGCACCAGTGACTTCTTTACTGCCTTATTTGGGCACACCTTGCTGAGATGGAGATGGTAAGAAGTTTGGAGATGGGCCATGTCTAACTCTGGGTTCTTTCCATTCCCTTCTGAGGCTAAAAGGGAAAAACATTAATAAGACAACATAACATATACCAACAAGCATATTTAGGTATGCATTGATGCCCATGAGTGGTAAAGGCAGCTCTGATGAGGGACTTTGCTGCATTTACAGGAGACAAGTGAGGAAGGCCTTGTGACAGATATGAAAACCCAAGTGTAACAAATGTGCTTTTTATGTATAGAATATGGACTTGCACCAAATGAAATGTTGGCTAAAGTTCAGTTCTAAGAATATTTTGATGCTCTAAGAATATTTTAGGTTCAGTCAATTTAGAAAACATGTAGATTTGATACTGGTTTTAACTTAGAGCCTATACTACTATTAATAAAAAAAAAACAACAGTAGTAATAGCTACCAGAGCATTGAGCAGTATGTGCTAGACAACATGTGCTAAGAATTTTACAGACATTATCTCATATAATCCTCAACTAAATACTATGAGGCAGGTTTTATTATTAGTATTATCCTCATTTTAACTCTCTGAGGATAAGATAATTTTAATATTAATATTAATAATAAAGATAATTATGATGCTAAGAATAAGAATAGTTCATATTTATGGATCATTTGCCTCCTATATGATAAGTCCTGTTCTACATGTTTACATTTACATTTATGTAATCTACAACAACACAATAAACTAGGATTATTATCCCCCCCGTTTAATAGAAGAGGAAACTAAAGAACAGGGAAAGTAAGTGATTAGCTAAAGGACACACATCTGGTAAGTGGTGAAGTCAAGTGAACCCTGTTAGCCTGACTCTATAGTTCCTGCTTCTAACTGTAATACTCACTACCTCAAATTACTTGCTTAGATAAACACAACAAAGCTAAGATTTGGAGGTAAGTCTGTCTGACTACTACATTCTGTTTGTTTAAACACCAAGCTCTGTTCTGCCTCAGGCCTTTGCTCTTGTTTGTTTCTCTACCCCATGTTCTGTCCCCCTGCCTGTCTCTGAGGCTGACTCCTTATCTTGCAGTCCCAGACTGATCTGGCCCTTTCTCAGTGAGGTCTTCTTGGAATGCCTAAGTATGTCACTCAGATATTCATCATCACACCAACTTTGTGACATTTATTACTATATATGTGTGTTACTATGTCTTTACTTGTTTATTGACATTTTATTGTCTGACTCCCCAGTGCTAAGCTCCATGAAGGCAAGAACTGTGACCATTTTCTTCACCAATGTACATCAGGGCATCTCTTAATCCTCTACAGAGAGTGGAGGCTCAAAAGTGCTTGCTGAGGGAAAGAATAAGTGAATAAATCTAACCTCTGCTTTACAACTACAGCTAGAATTGGTTCACTATGTGAACCAGCTGGGTGATGATGAGTATTTTAGATCATGGCAGTGTTTTAAGAAAAACAGATACTGTTTGCCTCAGGGTTAAGCAGGTTTCACTCCAGCATTGTGGTTTTATTTAAGTTCTGTTATCAAAAGCTTTATGAGAAGAAAGATGCTAAAGGATATAACTTTACACCCTACTCTTACAGGTATTTTTGTTGACTTTTTTTGTTCCAAAATGGCTGCTTTTTCTGACCATTTGGAGTTTTAAAAGTTGCATTTTGATTGGAACTTGCATTTTTCTATAAGCTAATAGCAAGGTGCTGCTTGGGCTAGAATTGCAGGGTTGACCATTTGAAGGAGGAACTATCTCTTAGAAATTCACTAAAGAAGAATTTGAACAATTTGTCATCTTTTCCTTAATTTCTATGACAATAAGATATTCTATCACTTACAAATTGTGTTCTAGTTCTCTCTTTAGAGTTCATGTGTCTGTACCACATTGAGAGAAAGTGACTTCAGCTTCCATATGGGTCTGGGTAGGTGTGAAGGTGATACCAAAAGAAAATTTATTTAATGTGGTCGTTGCTCCTTCTAGTTTGGGGCAGTGGCAGATAGAGGGAAGAAGAGGGAGATGAGACTCCTGGGGCTGAAAGTCCATCCTTAAATCACACCAGAACTAAGAGTTTTTGGATCGCATAGAGGGCACAGGAAAGAAGAAGGTAAGTAGGCTATAGGGGTAGGTTAAAAAAAGGTACCTCGCCTATTCAAACAAACAAAAAAAAAAGTGAGAGAGAGGAAGAAAGAAAGAAATCAGACAGTGATCTAGATATCTTGGCATAGGAATTAAAGACTGGGGAGCACTTTTCCCTCAGGAATGGCCCTCCCAACACTCACTACTGCTTATTAAGCACTTACTATATGCCAGCCACTACGAAATATTAGGCATAGCTTAACTCACTAAATCCTCAAGTCTAGTAGTTCTCATTACCTGCATTTTATGGATTAGTAAATTGAGGCATAAGGAGTTAAGTAACTTGCCCAGGGCACTCAACAATTAAATGCCAGATCTAGGATTCAAAATCCAGTCTGACTACAACTCAAATCCTTGCCTCCCAGGATCCTACACTCTTTCTTGGAAATTATTTCCCCACCAAATTTTAGCCAGAGTTCTTAGTTAAGAAATGTCCCCAATTTGAAAGCTAGGTAGAGGCTGGCAGAGGAAGAAGCCATTTCCCTTCAATCAAACATGGCTACCTGCAACCCAGTTGGATTTTGACAGAGAGAGGTAGAGAGAATGTGAGTTGTATGATTGTTTGTTTAAAAATGGTATATGAGGCCAGGCGCAGTGGCTCACGCCTGTAATCCCAGCACTTTGGAAGGCCGAGGTGGGCAGATCACGAGGTCAGGAGATGGAGACCATCCTGGCTAACACAGTGAAACCCTGTCTCTACTAAAAACACAAAAAAAATTGCCGGGCGTGGTGGTGGGCGCCTGTAGTCCCAGCTACTCGGGAGGCTGAGGCATGAGAATGGTGTGAACCCAGGAGGCGGAGCTTGCAGTGAGCCAAGATTGCGCCACTGCACTCCAGCCTGGGTGATAGAGCCAGACTCCGTCTCAAAAGAAAAAAGAAGAAAAAGAAAAAAAAAAAAGTATATGAAAGCGTGCTGATAGGGGAAACAAAGATTTGAAAAATAAATAAAATGTTATGTATCTGTTTATTTATTTATTTGTTTTGAGACGCAGTCTCGTTCTGTCTCCCAGGCCACAGTGCAGTAGCACCATCTTGGCTCACTGGAACCTCCGCCTCCCAGGTTCAAGCAATTACCCTGCCTCAGCCTCCTGGGTAACTGGGATTACAGGCACGTGCCACCACGTCCAGCTAGTTTTTGTATTTTTAGTAGAGATGAGGTTTTGCCATGTTGGCCAGGCTGTTCTCGAACTTCTGACCTCAGGTGATCTGCCTACCTCGGCATCCCAAAGTGTTGGGATTACAGGCATAAGCCACTATGTCCAGCCGAGAAATATAATTGTATCTGTTTCATAAAATAGCACAAAAATTGAGGGGGGGCGGAAACAGGTCATTGTCCAAACCCACAACACATACAACATCAAGAGTGAACCCTAACGTAAACTGTAGACTTTGAGTGATTATGATGTGCCACTGTGAGTTCATCAGCTGTAACAAGTGTACCAGTTTAGTGGGGGATGTTGATAATGGGGGAAACTATGCATTTGTGGGGGGAAGGGGTATATGCGAAATCTCTATACCTTTTTCTCATTTTGCTGTAAACCTAAAAGTGTTCTGAGAAAAAAAAAAGTCTTTAAAAACAAAACACAATACTCCAAATGATCCAAAAATTAAGAAGACCAGGTAAGGAGGGAGCCTAGTGAAGTTCAATAAGCCACAAGTCATTGTTGTGGCCATTTAAATCTGTGGTTCAAGTAATGATCCCGGAATATAATGTCAAAGAGTAACAGCCTAATGTAACAAAATTATCCTATAAGGTGGGTAGCAATCCTGTCCACTAGGCCTATGCTTATAAAGGGGTATGTGCAGGGTCTTATATCCATTGGAGCACACACATAGATGTGTGCACAGATCCACTGAGCTGTAATATTTGATATTTTAGAATCAGGTGATCACAATTCCAAAATATTGTGGCCAAAACTGTTGTCTAGGATACAGAATTTTTTAACACAAGTCTCTGGGATAAATAATCTCTGAGAATTCCCTGGTGGCATCTATTTTCTATGGCCTTAAATTCTGTATGTGTCTGTTTGCATGGTGAGGAAGGTTAACTAGGTGGCTCGTGATTAAGGATCAACCTTAGCTTATCGCCACTCTGCCTAATGGGTAGGCAGGATGGACTGGGGAAATTTTCCAAGCCTCACCTGAGGTTGGGGAAGAGACACCAGTGCCCTGAATTGGGTGTTTGTGGTTGCCTAGATTCAGTGAATGTTTGTAGACCTCTCAGTCTCACTTTCTTACTCACAGCAGTGAGTAAACATCTGGTTCTCCCAGGGACTCCATGGTTTTGTCAGGCCAGAGCCTGAAGGAATGCCACATTGTGAGGGTCAAGTGCTGAGAACCTAGGGACTGGAAAAAGACCCAGATTGGTGAAACTTATGAGAAACATTATTAAGAGGCAATCAATCTTCTTCTGGTGACATTCTGGCAGGAGTACAGGGCTGCTGAGTATGATCACCGGAGGGGTTAGCGCTGGGACAGCCAATGTGGGCAGTCCGCCTCCCCTTGCAACTGAAGGGTGAGCTGTCGGGAGAAGGAACTTTGGGTGACCTCAAGGAGCGACGCATGCGGCCTGCCCTAGGACACCCGTGAGAACGTTCTCTGTTATGTTTATAAACTTTACAAAGTTATGCTCACAGTTATATAACCCCTATGTGGTGCCATAGTTAATGAAGTGCTGGAAGTTAGAAAAATAATGATGATGTTGTTTTGCCCGTGCTAGGCTTTACCATATACAGGTTAAAGTCAGTGCTAATTTGCTGATGTGACACAGGATGCAATCTCTCTGGCACTAGCCACAGGTCAAGTCAATCTTCTAGTTCAGGAAACTTGGAGAAATCAAATTAATATACAACCACATTAAATTCATTTCAAAGAAGGAATGCTAATGAGTGACTGAGATTTGTGGCCTCATCCAAAAGCAGAGCAAGATCATCTCATAAAAATAGTGATCATAATAATAATTTGTTGACTCCATAGTTTATCCTTGTTTTTATTTTTTATGCATCAATCTGTGATACAAAATACCATTTTGAAAAATGCCACCACTCCATCTCTCCCTCCCCTGGCTGCTACATAACTTCCCAGTTTAGAGAGGATGCATCAGCCTCTTGGGTAGCTTTCGAATTCTTAACTTTTTAATAAAATAATAAGTAAAAATCTACAGAATAAAATGTGAGTGCTTTTCCTCTTTATATCCATCTCCTACCATACCACCACACATGCACACAATACCTAAGTATTGCCTTGCAGATGGCAGGCACTCAATAAATGTTGGTTGAGTAAATGCAACAAATCAGCACAACCATTTGTGGATAAAAGATCACTCTTTAATCTGAAGTAGAACCTGGAGGTGCAAGTCAATATTTAATTAAAGGACTAATAGTTGTGTTAAACCTAGTGAATTGTTATATCTACAAATGTCATAATGTTTCTCTCTTAAGAGATCACCGAGGGACTTTGAGGTCCAAAGAAGTACACAGGTCAGTAAAGTATTTGGAGAACCATAAAAATCTTAGTGTCGGTTGGATGAATAAAACATTGTATAAAGTAATAAATGCCTGTAGCCATTTCCTTACATTAATATATTCCATTTTATAAACACATTGGGAGGAAAACAATATAATGTGATATTCAAATATATTAAAGATAACAATATGCTCTTTTTTTAGTTTTCTCAGAGGACAAAGTATTTACTAAAATCATTTTAGGGGTTAGTTTAAATATTGAAATTACAACATTTAAAATATTTACAGTATTTATTAACATTTTTAAGAGGCAGTATTTAAGAATTTTGATTTTTTTCGTCAGGCTTCTATGTAGATACTTCAACTCTAGACAAATTCCTCAAAACAGAAAAAGTGAAATAAACCTTTTTTTTTTTTTAAATGAGACATACAAGACTGGTTACAAGATGAATAAAACTCATAAAAAGGAAATAAAACAACCAAATATCAAATTGAACAAGATAAGAATTATGATGTTATTTCACCTTTTATCATCTCAGATATGAAAATTTTAAAATCCTCCAATTTTCCTTTGAAAGAAAAATAAGCATATAAAATGTCAACAAGGCTTCTCTTAAATTTTTAACATACTCATAAAAAAGTAAACTGCAAAAAAACTTGAGAAACATTTTGCATATGATTACCATAAAGTTGTTTCACTTCCGGAAAACTCAGAATAGTACTGCACATGTTCTGTACAGCATAGCATAGGGGAGAGTGCCAAGGAAGAGAACTGCACATTTCAGAGTTCTATCAAAAATAATGTTTTGTATCATTATAATTGAGTATCTCCTTAGAGTTTCAAGCCATAAGTTTTGTGGAACCTACCACTACACCCTGAAAGAGAATTGTGGCGTTTTCCATAACATTTCATGTCCAATTTCCTCCAATGGTATGTGTCTTGCTAACTTCTCTGGTGTTTTGGGAAAGTGGGTGGCCCATTAGTTTTCCATATGTGGGTGGAGCAGTGCTCACACCAGAATAAACAGCATGACTTTATCCTGGTACAAACGCAGAGTTGATTAATTGGGAGGGAACAGAATCCAGGTTCAAATCAAATGTAGGAGGCTAGAGGCTTATCTATCTTTTTCTATCAACCTGCAATAGCCGCTATTTTATTTAGCCCACTCCTCAAAACCTCTTCAAGAAAATCTATTTCTACTTTTCTGAGTAAAATGGTGCGTGAACAGAGGCAAGACGCAAGTCTAAAAGCAAAACCAGATAAAAGCCTTTTTACCCCAGGAAACACTAAACCAACACCCTTTCCTCTCTTCAGTCCCACAAAATATCCTCATTGCTCAGATTTAAACATGTCTTTCTTACAAATATTTTGGCTGTTTTCTGCGACTTACATGTGAATGACTCAAATGGCAACCATGTATTCTGTAAATCTCATGTAATTCTCCACAGCTTTAATAAATGTTAGATATGATTAATTCACCAATTGGGAAATTCTTGTGGTTAGGAATAATTATTACAGTTATTTCATCTGTGAGCAATTATTTTACTTCTGAAAGTCCAACACAGGGTTATTTTCTTGTGCAGGAACCCAGGATTTTGCCGTAGAAGGATGACTCCTGTTTTCCTGCCACCCATTCAGGCTGTGCTGATACCCTGTTATCCACCATAAATGACTTCAGACACATCACAGTCTCTTAGAGGATGAGGAGGGCTCTATTCTGAGTGCTGCATGGAGCTAGCGAGAATAATTAAACGATTTACTCTCAGCTGTGGAAAACACCCAATTAGAAAAAGATAAGAAAATGTTAAGAAACAGTATCTTTTAGTGAAAATTAGAGGTAAAGGAAAATGTCAAAGAATATTCTTCACCAAAACAGTCAAGAGACAGAAGTGGCTGTATGTAACTATGACCAGCCCTGCTCTCTGGCTAATGATGACCTCCTGTATTCAGTGTATAAACAATGTTCACAGATACAGTACATTAGCTATACTGTACCTCCAGCCAATTACTTACTCAGAATACAATGTCTTTCACATGTGAACTTGTGGGTCATAAATCATTTGTTTCCCTTTAATTGAGCTCATCTTTGAACAAATCATGGCAAGAAGAATAGCTGTGTTTCTCACCTCGGAAGTATGACTCTCCATCTTGTTCTCTCATCCTGATCAGAATGCTATTAAAATAATTTGGTTTTAGTAGGAAAGCAACTTTAAAAATTATGTAGACCAGAAAAACATTAGTATTCCTCCTGCTTTCCCCCATGCACACAGAAGATGAAAATGACAGTTAAAAGGTGAATGAAAAGTGTATCCTGTACTATTTTAAAATCTGGTTCCCATTTGATAATTGGCATCATCTTTTCATTTATATTTGTCATTTTATGAAAACAATCTTTAGGAGTCTTCTAGTCAACAAAGCAATCCTTGAAAAGGCCCTGGACAGTGTGTTCACAGTGGCACTCAGACTTAGGATCCTCTTTGAACCTTCAGAAATATTCAAGGTTCATGATGTTGCACCATCATCCTGAAATAAGAGGCAAATTAGTGTATTCTAGGAACAAGATCTCCAAAAATAAAGACAAGGTGTACTTGAAGGAGAAATGTTCGGGAACTGACGTTTCCTTCTAACTCTACAATCTTGTAGTGAGTTGGACCTTACCGCAAATAGAAAAAGAGAGCTACCACCTGAGATGAAGATAGATACAGGGAACCTCAAGAGTGAGCTACATACAGAAGACTTAAATGAATGCAGTTCAACTGCAAACATCTGCAATAGTTGGAGGGTATGATTTTTCTTCTTGGGGGAAATATGCTTTTTTTAAATCTCAATGCAGAAGTATGAATCATCACACAATTTTTTTGAAGTGCATATAGAACCTAACATTTTTTTCATAAATTAAACATGTTAAAGAGATAAACTTTAATATTGCAAATCACTGTATATCTTGAAAAGCACCCATTTTTCTTGTGGACATCTTGAAGTCACAACTGCTTTTACAGTTTTTTGTTTGATAATCTTTGAGAACTGAACTTTACTTTATGAAAAGTATTTTTGTATGAATATTACTAATTATTTGATTAGATAGCCTCTGTGTTTAAATCGCATAATTAAAAATTTTGAACAAAATAACTCTATTTTGCCTTCTCAACATCTGCACATACATACATGCATATATGCATACATAAATACATTGTATAACACATTAAACAAATAAATTATTCTAGAATATTATAATTATTTGAGGGCCATTTAATGCACCCTAAAAGAAAAAGATCTCTCCCTCTTTTATATATTATAAATATATTTACAATATTAATTGTTTGAGTTCTCATGACTTTGAGCCCACAGTCTGCCATTAGTGTTATTCGTGTAGATGACTGGTTGCCACAGAAAACCATAAGCTCTCAGAAGTCCTCTTTATTAAAATCTCCACAGTTTTTAGACTTCAACCACAGAACAGCAATTAATAATGTGTGATAAATGAATAAATTAACGTAGATAACTTTTTTCTCCCAAGGGCTATCAGATTAATCTAAGACTTTCCTTAATGGCATTTAGTTTCTATATATCAAACTGAAGTTTTAAAAATGAATAGTAGATAAAAAAGCTGTAGCCAAAATGGAGAAGTCTGGTATAACTAAAAGCACCATTCCAAATATGAGGCAATTTTAAGCTATATCAAGACTGACTGCTAATTTATTTTTTAGTTATGTTTCTATCAAAAAATGGAATCTGGGCCGGGCATGGTGGCTCACGCCTGTAATCCCAGCACTTTGGGAGGCTGAGGCGGGTGGATGATAAGGTCAGGAGATCGAGACCATCCTGGCTAATGCGGTGAAACCCCGTCTCTACTAAAAATACAAAAAAATTAGCTGGGCATGGTGGCAGGTACCTGTAGTCCCAGCTACTCAGGAGGCTGAGGCAGGAGAATGGCATGAACCTGGGAGGCGAAGCTTGCAGTGAGCAGAGATCGCGCCACTGGACTCCAGCCTGGGCAATAGAGTGAGACTCCGTCTCAATAAAAAAATAAAAATAAAAAGTAACCTGAAGGCTAGGCTTGGTGGCTCATGCCTATAATCCCAGTACTTTGGGAGGCTGAGACAACAGGATCTCTCAAGGCCAGGAATTTAAAACCAGCCTGGGCAACATGGCAAGATGTTTTCTCTACAAAAAATATGGAAATTAGCCAGGTGTGGTGTTATGTGTCTATGGTACCAGCAACTCAGAAGGCTGAAGTGGGAGAATCACTTGATCCCCAGAGGTCAAGGCTGCAATGAGCTGTGATTGCCACTGTACTCCAGTCTGGCCGACAAAGCAAGACCTTCTCTCAAAAAAAAAAAAAAAAAAAAAAAAAAAAAAAAAAAAAAAAAAAAAGAACCTGAATGTTCCCAAGTGAGAGAATTGTTAAATGAACTAAGATGTGCTCATATAATTAAATATATCATACCAATTAAAATCTTTCTTCTGAGGAATTTTTAATGACTTGGGGAAAAGTTTATGTTATGTCTTGTGGGGGAAAAAGCAGAATGTGAAATTGAATATATAGCTCTATTGCAATTTTGTAATAAAGGAGGAGGAGAAAAAGAAGGAGAAGGGGGGAAAACACATATAATTGCAATCTCTATGTGGGAACATTTGGGGGTGAGTTTTATTCTTTATATATTTCTGCAGTTCCTAAAATGTCTGTAATAAGCATATAATAGTTTTATAATTGAAGAGTTACAAAACTATGAGTAAGAGGGTGGATCTGAATGAAAAAGAAAGCAAAAGAAGAAAAATCTACTTTTCAGTAGGGGAACTCCAAAGGAACCAAGACAGCAAATGTAGCAAATGTCAAGACCATAGCAATAAAGATGCTCCAAATGCATTGAAAAACTGAAAAACTTTTTAGCTTTTTCTCTCCCAGTTACTACCAAACATCCTCTAGTTCAAGAGGCACATTTTAGCATTCACAGGAAAACATTCTGAAATTGAACGGCCTACATTTCCTTTTCTTGTTTTCATCCAAAATCTATTAGTAAACTTTACAATAGCTTCTTGTAAGAGTTGATATTTTATAAATCTGAATTGTCAAATATAATTCTCAATTCTCTCTTTGCTCCTCTTCCTTCCTTTCTTCCTCCCTCCCCTCCCTCTCCCCTTTCCTCCCTTCTTTCCTTCCTTCCTTCTTTCTTTCTTTCCTTCCTTTGTTCTTTGAAACATGATTAAATGCCTACTGTGCACCAGTTACCATGCATGGGTCAAGTGGTATAGTGTGAATGTGACAAGTCCTATTTCTCAAAGAGCTAACAGTCCGGTGAGGAGCAGATGGTGTTAGGAAGAAAGGATGTTTTAATAAAGTGTGAGAACACTGCTATAGGGTAGATGACACAGGAAGCTGTAGAGGCATGTAGGAAGACATCAAACCCAGAGAAGGCTTCCCAGAATGACCCTGCAGCAGAGACCTGAAAGATGAATGGGAATTTGTGAGGTGAGAGGCAGCAAAGTGGAGAGTGTCCCAACAAGAGTAAAATATATATTCAGAGGCCTAGTGTGGGAGTAGACGGATGCATAGGAAGGTGGAGAGAGGGAAAGAGACAGAAACAGAGGGAAAGAAAGAGACAGCAGAGAGACAGGGAAAAAACAAAGAAAGCCAGAGAAGAGAGTGAGAAAGTTGGGAGAGGCACAAAGAGAGATGGACAGGGTGACAGAGAGAGACACAGAGAAGCAGACCGCAAGAGCAAGTCTGGGTGAACAGAAAGCAGTTCAGCCTAACCTGGGTACAGATTTTAAGCTGAAGAATGTCAAGGGCTGGGGCTGGCAAGGGAAGCAAAGACCAGAGTATGTCAATGGCTTTAGGCCTTGTGTGCTGTGTTAAGGATTTTGAGCTGAATCCTGCTGGATTGAGGTATAGGGTGAGAGTTTTAAGTATGGCGTGGTTTGGTTTCAGAAGGATCACACTGAATCCTGTGTGGAGAATGAATTACTTTTATGTCCCTAATCATCATGCACCTTTTTCAATTTGTCCTTTTTATTCAGACCCTGGGGATCCTACTTGGTCTTCCAGGCTCCCCTAATCTTCATTCTTCTAGTTAGTTAGATTTATTCACTTCTCTCAGATCTTTGCCTGTACTTGAAATGTGGCACAGCTCTATTTTGCTTGTGTCTGCCCTGGGAACAGTGTGGACTTGGCTCAGGCAGAACAGACTGCCTCTCTGTTCTACCACTTACTTACCATGTGGCATTGGACTAATTTTTAACACTCATAAAATCTCGGTTTTCTCGTCAGAATCAGTACCAATCTCATATAGTTTTTGTGAGGATTGGTTGGAGAGCTCTATATAAAATGCTTGGCCTGCGCTGGGTGCTCAGTGCTCATGACCCCTTCCTCCCGTGATTAATTCATCTCCATGGCATCCAGTGAAAGGGCTGCACAAAATAATTACCAAAGGAATGGTTGCTAAGTGAATGAAGACAATGTTTAATGGACTAAAATCTTCCAAGTCAGATATTTTTCCTTTGTTACTTTTGGACACATGTTTATCTGATTTTATTGAAATTCTTCTTAATAGTGGATGCCGTGATGCCCCTCACAGACCCTCCTTCAGGACTGCTGCTGTGAGTTGCCAGCACTGCCAGCAGACAGCCCTCAGCTACAGCCCTCTACTGCAAGTGGCTGGGCTGCCAAGATTCACTGCACCCTGGTCATGCCCATTTCCAGTCCTTGTAGAGAAGAAAGGGTGGTTCCTTCACCCAACTCTGCATACTTCCTTCCCTTCACTTCCAGAGCACTGATCGCCTGTAAACTGTGCACTTGTCCTTGTCTCAGAGGGCAATCTCTGGGAAAATATGTCTGATACCTCTGAAGTCGAATTTTCAAAATCCACCTTTTTCTTTATAAAGATGCCTTTAACATGCCTTAGAATGACATGAGTATTTATAAGTGACTGGCTATGTTTATTAAGCTTCCTGTAATGCAGGAAACATGACTATGAATGTTTCATGGTGTGCTCTTGTGAAACAGCAATTTTTCAGTGAATCCCCCTACTTCCCAGCTCCCCAGGGACAAATAAAACTTTCCTAGTCAGTGTTGGATGTAGGCAGATTCCAAGGGAACAGTTTTTCCCTATAATTTAAAATAGTAGAATTTATAATATGAAATTAAAAACAACATAAATTAGTAATTCAATCCCAGCATTCCAACTTAATGAACTAGAAGTTTTATTGCATTACTGTTTTGTTCCACTGGACCAATTTTTTGGTGTATGAATAGAAAGTTCTTCTTTATTAATAAGTATATAAAAAAGTTAAAGGTGCCTCTCTGCAATTATGTTGATGTCTCCTAGGAGCGCAAATTCAATAATTTAAAATATTATTTTCTTAGCATATTAACAGCCACAGTAGATAAGAGGGTAAAATTTGTGTCTCTTTAGTTTAAACTCCTTTTAAGTGCAGTGTAGCAAAGCAGTTGTTCCCCAGTGGCACATGAGAAGCACTTACCAGGAAAATTGTTATTGAATTAAGCTGCATAAAGTGTAAATAAAGGACATTTTTGACATCCAAAGAGTGACCAATGGTCAGGGATGTGTAACACCTTCATAAGATTCAAGTTGAATACAAGGTTTCTTGTCTTCCGGAAACAAAAGTGACGTGGGATTTTAGTTCTAGTTCATTTATTGCTATTTCATAATACTTTATCCACTATAATTTGGAACATACGACAGATGCAAAAATCTTATTACAGATATTTAAAAACTGTGTCAGTCTAGAAATTTCTCTAAATGCTCTCATCTCTAGACATCATGGTCCTTTAAGAGATCGTATTTGCCCCCAACGAATGTAGGTCCATGCTTGGAATGCCACTGCCATGTGCAAGATTGGCATTTTCTAACTGATTTCCTCAGGCTGCTTCTACTTGAACAGCCACGCCTTTTGTAGTCTATGGCCTTCCTGTTTGCTCACATCAGCTCTTGTTTATGCTCTGGCTTTTCTCCATTCTGTCTCCTTCAGCAAATCCTCTGTATCTTCAGCCTACTTTCAGATGGGCAGTAAGGTCTGTGAGGGCAAGGATCCTGTCTGTCTTGTTCCCAGCTATACTCCCCAGCACCCAGCCCAGTTTCTGATCTTGAGTAAGTGCAGCATACCTATCTACTGACTGACTGGATGAATGGGTGAATATCATACAATATCATAGCCAGATATGGGTGAATATCTGGCTTCCACTTTTGTTTCCTCTCTCTCTTAGCACTGTATATATGCAGATAAATAAATTTACAACAGATTCTTTTTAATCTTTTAATCCCTGGACCTTTCCACATCTACTACCCTTTAAACAGCTTTGTCATGATGAAGAATGAATATTTTATTGTTTGATGAACTTTATGGACTTTCAATATTCAAATATAATAAAAATGTTTAAGAAAAAAAATGAGAGGCCGGGCACGGTGGCTCATGCCTCTAATCCCAGCATTTTGGAAGGCCGAGGCGGGCGGATCATGAGGTCAGGAGATCGAGACCATCCTGGCTAACACGGTGAAACCCCGTCTCTACTAAAAAAATACAAAAAATTAGCCGGGTGTGGTGGTGGGCACCTGTAGTCCCAGCTACGCGGGAGGCTGAGGCAGGAGAATGGCATGAGCCCGGGAGGCGGAGCTTGCAGTGAGTGGCGATCGCACCACTGCATTCCAGCCTGGGCGACAGAGCGAGACTCCGCCTCAAAAAAAAAAAAAACACACACACACAGAAAAGAAAAAAATAAGAAAGAACTTTCAGGTTTAGTAGTGTGAAAAACTAGATATCCTAAACAATTATCCCAACATAAAAATTATATATTAAAAATATGTTAAATTTTAAAAACATTTAACCGAGTTGTCAAGAAGGTAGATAAATTTTTCAAGAACCAAAAATTAGTGAAAGCAGGAATTTAGAGTAGAAAGGTTTCTGAAGCCCCAAAACAAACAAAACCAAGAGAAGTGAGAAGCAATTGCTACTCCTTGGGGATCTAAAGTTCAGTTTTGGTGAATTTGAGGGATAAAGATAGTACGCAAATCTTAGAGACCTAACTTGGAGATTCTGACAGGAGCACCTCACATAAAGCCAAGACCACATGGGTCGTCATCCACAGGGGATATGTGAGTTAGGAGAAAGCTTGTCTTACAGGGGAATAGAGAAATTTACATTTAAGTGGAAAGAAAAATTCTCTCCTGTTAATTCATAAGCCAGCCCTCACTCAAATTTGTAGCCCTTACCTATTTACACTTTCATTTTGGCCAAAACTAATTCAAATCTATAAATTATTTAAAATATATCCTGATTTGAAAGTTTTAAACTGAAAGTAATAAATATCCTGTATAGATTAAAGCCCCTTGAAAGTAGGTCTCAAAGCATTTCCCCAGATGAAGTTCTATCAAACATAGAATTGGAAAAAATAGTACAAAATAAAATAGATTAATTATTCTGAGTGTACTGGTAACTACAAAACATTGAAATGAAGTAAACACTTCATTTAAAAGATAAACAGTGGGGGAAAAAGATGAATATTGGATGATAGAATATTTTTTAAAAATCCACGTATATGTTATTTATAAGAAAAATGTCTAAAATATATGACTAAGAAATGCTTGAAATTAAAAGAAACAACATAGAAATCAATAAAAAGGTTAGTATATGGTAATGATAAAATAATTCAAAATATATGTTAATATTAAAACTATTACTGGAAATTTAAAAAATCATTATATAATGTTAAAAGATTTAATGTACCTTAAAAATATAAAGTTCTGGATGTGTTAATTTCTATTAATACAGCCTAACGTGTATATATACATATATATATATATATATATATATTAGAACAAGAAGAACCTGATAAATCGGCTTTCATTGGGGGTATTCTAACACAATTCTTTCAGCAATTGCTAGATCAAGTAGACAAAAAAGAATAAGAATATAGATTTGAAAGCCATACTTAGCAAACTTTATCTAAAAGACTTCTATAAAACATGGTATCTAATTATTGAATATGAAAGTCAACCACCCACTAGACCATAAAGCAAGTTTCAAAAAAATTCAACTATTTATAGATGAATAACGAGTCAAGGAAACCATTATAATAGAGATTATAAAATACTTAGTACAGAAAAATAATTAAATTACTAAATGTAATAGATGTTTAAAACTTGAGAAATGCAGCTAATGTGGTCTTTAGAGGAAAAATTATAGCCTTAAATGTTAACACTAGAAAAATAGGAAAGTTCAAAATTAATGAGCTTTATCTAAATTGTAGAGTTAGAAAAAAAGTACAAGATAAACCTTAAGAAAATAAAATGAAGGAAATAAGAGGGATAAAAGCAAAGATTAATGAAATAGAGAACAAATACAGAGAAGAGAAAAATCAGTAAAACCTAAGGTTGGTTGTTCAAAAGATGACAAAATTCATAAAACTCAGACTAGACTAACCAGATACTAGTAAAACTTTTCAATATGAGGAAGTAAAGGAGGTCATTACAACAACAGCTATAGAAATTTAGAAGAATAATATCAACCTCTTTGTGGCAATAAATTTGAAAACATTGTTGAAAGGAATAAATTCCTAGAAAAAGCACAACCAAACAGGCTAAGAGGAAAAAAATAAAGAGGGTACATATTAACCGTTAAAAAATATTAAAACAGAGGTTAAAAATTCCCCATCAAGAGAATACAAAGATCAGGTCGTTTTACAGAATTGTTATACTGAATATTCAAGGAACACATAATTTTTACACATAAAATATGTCAGAGAACAGAAGAGGAAAGAACATGCCTCAAGTCACATTATGTGATTAGTGTATACTGAAAACCAGCACTAGATGACGACTGGATGAGATGGGCAAATCACAAGTCAGTCTTATATGTAAAAATCAACGCAAAATCTCAAACAAAACAAAATAAAACAAAAAAATGGAATCCTGCCATGTATAAAAAGGAAAACAGATCAAATCCCATGTAGGCTTATCACAAAAACTCAAGTGTGGTTTACAATTAGAAATTTTATTAACACAAACTTTATCATATTTAGCAGATTAAAAAGGAAAAGCCATAAAATCTCAATAGATTTGATAAGATTCAACTTTTACTCATGAAAAGAATATCTACAAAAATCCTATAACAATTATGATACTTGAAGGTAAATTTTAAAAGCATTTTCTTTAAATTCAGGAAACTGACAAGATGCCAGGTGTCAACACTTCTATTCCTCATTACAGTTAAAGCTCTCATCAAGATGCTTGCACTGTCCAGATGCTCACGGATCCAGTGCGGTAGAAAATTGGAAAAGAAGGAACACTTTTATAATAGACTAAGGGCATAACGGTCTACAAAGAATAACAGGGTTTACTAAAATGCCAGATATGAGAAGCTGGTTATATTGCTCTATATCAGTAATAATTAAAAATTTAGAATTTAAAAAGGCTATTATTTATAATAACAATACAAAATATAACAGAGCATGAATAAATCTAACAGAAGACATGCACAGACTTTATGGAAATGTTAGTTTTGGATTTATTCAAAGATAATAAAGACCAAAAAGTCGTGGAGGTATACTATACTTGAGGATAGCAAGACTTAATTTTATAAGGATGTCAATTCTCCCCAATTTAATCTATAGATTGAATGTAATGCCAAGCAAATTTCCAAGGCTTTTCTTGTTTTGTTTCGATTTGGGTTTTGTTTTTCAAATGTATGGGTGCTGTATAGTGACCCTGAAATGTATATGGCAAAATAAAAGAACAATAGTGGTCAAGATGTTCCTAAAGAAGAAATTGGAGCAATCAGCATTATCGTATATCAAAACTTCTTTGAGTTAAAGTAATAAAGATTTTTTGGTATTGGTGAGATATAGACACATAGAGCAATGGATTCAATAGAGAGCCCAGATAGACACTGAAACATATATGACATTCGATATATAAAAAAACTGGCAATGCAAACCAGTAGGGAAAGCATGAGCAATTCAATAAACTAGAATGAGACTAATAGTTATAGATATGCCAAAATCCAACCTCACATATACTGTTCTTGGTGGATTAAAGGCATAAATGTGGAAAGAAAGAAAAACCTTTTGGAATAACGTATAGGAGAACATTTTTATGACCTTAGGATAGGAAAGGTTTTCTTAAACTCTACCTTTCTTCAAAAGGGCAGATCATTAAGATAAAAGTTTATACATTTCTTTGGAGAAAGATACTTATTAATACCTATAAATGATGACAGAACATATCCAAAATATAAAAAGAACAAATCAATAAAAATGATAACTCAATATTCAAATGGTCAAAAGAGTAGGTTAGTATTTTATGTAAGAGAAAACATTCGTAGTCCTTGAAAAACATATATGAGATGTTCAACCTCATTATTCATCAGATAAAATTAAATCCACTGTATCATGCCATTTCCTATTCAGCAGATTTTAAATGATGTAAAAGTCTGACAATGTTAAACAGCTTCAAAGGCAAGGGTGATAAGAACATTTATACACTGTGAGTAGGGGTATAAACTGACACAATCACTTTTTAAAACAATTTGATATTACCTTGAAAAGCAATTTAACTCATCAGCAGTGGTCCTCAAAGTAATGCTGTGAGAACCTTTCCAGCAGGTCTGAGAGATCATATTTCCAACTACATATTTGTGCAAGGCCGATGTTTTTCACATACTTCAGCCAAACAACAAACCCAACAGACAGAATACAGAGCAGATATGAGAATTTAGTTGTCGTTATTTAAGCCAGGCATTAAAAAGATTTACCAAAACCAAAGATAATGTCATTCTTTAATTCATGTTTTTTCTTTTTGGAAAAAATAGTCAACTTTAATAAAGATGTTATTGATTTAAACACGTGTCTACACAGTTCAGGGTGCTATGCAGCTTAAACAACAGATATCTGTTCCTCAGAGTTCTGGAGGCTGGTAAGTCCAAGATCAAGAAGCTTGAAGCTCTGGTTCCTGGGGCCCTCTTCCTGGCTTGCAGAAGGACAGCTTATTGCTGTATTCTCACATGGCAGAGAACAGATCATCTCTCTCTCCCATCCATTCTTATAAAAGCACTAATCTCATTCATGAGGTCTCCTCCTTCATGACCTAATTACCTCCCAAAGGTCTCTACCTCCAAATAGCATCACATGAGGGATTAGTGCTTCAACCAAAGAATTTTTGGTGGGAAACAAACATTCAGTTTATAGACACATCTAATGGGATTATTGTTATTATTTTTGAATAAACTAATAAACATTCAAAGATTTCTGAGTTTTAACTGCTAATACTGTAAGAATTTTTATAGATACAGTCGATGTAAACAGCAGCCCTTACTTATCCTTAACAATTCTCAAGAGTGAAAAGGGATAGTGAGGTCAGAAAGTTTGAGAATTGATGCACTAAAAACTTTTGCAAGTATAAATTAGGATATATGAACAAGAATAATCATAGCCAATTGTTTGCAATAAAGAACAGAGCAAAAATGAACAAAGAAAAACACTAGACAAATCCCTAATATTCATTGACAAATGGACAAACAAATTATGGTATACTTACTCAGTGGAATACTATATATTCTGACATATATATTCTATACTATGAATAGTCTCCATCTATATATCTATATATCTCACTATATATATACTATATATTGTGAGAATACATGAACTTTACCTACAGGCATTAATATAGATGGGCTTCAAAAACACAATGTTAGATGAGAAAAGCAAATGTTACACACAAGAAAGAATTCCCAGATCTAAAGAATACAATACAATTCTTATATAATATATTGTTTAAGGAGAAATACATGTGTAGCAAGCCTATAAAAATAGAGAAATATAAAACATAAAATTTAGTGGTGGAATTACTTCCAGGGAAATACAAGGCGTACGGAGGAGCTTCAAAAATGTATTCTATTCCTTAAGCTCTGTGGTAGGTTTCATGGGTGTTTGTTTTATTTTTAGCGTTATTTTTTGTGATGAGAACACTTAAAATCTACTCTCGTAGCAATTTTCAAGTTTACAATACATTATAATTAACTATTTTTAGTTTTTAAACCTTACTATGTATTCCAAACGTTCTTTTGTGTATAATATTTAATTTAGAACATTTTTATCTTAAAAAGGCATTTGAATACAGGAGAAGGAAAAAGAAAGGGAGAAAAAAGGGGAGAAGGAAGGAGCAAGCAAAGAAAGAAATATTTCCTGACCTTTAATGGGGGCTAAATACATCTATTAAATGCACTTTGTCCAATGTTACCCAACTTTTCTGTGCTGAAGGAAGATAACCTTTTGGGGAAAGATATCACCTGTTCAGCCCTACATGTCCTAAAATGCTGTTAAAACATCCATTTTAAAGCTCTTTCAGATAAAGAGACACATTAGTGATGAAAGTGATGCTGAGCCGATTTCTCTCTAGGATTGGCTCCGTGCCATATACAATTTATTGAGCTTCACAGTTTAGCAGGATCAGAATAAATAGTCTCAAAAAGGTTTCAAGTTTTCATGGAAATCGTAGTCTCTTTCCCAGGACAATCTACCTCAAGCTTTCTACCCACTCAAGACCTTAGGTGAGGCACACAGCTTTTTGCAGTGAGCATGATGACCTTGCTGCCATCCCCTAAGATACTAATGACCGAATGACAATGTCCTCTAAAGGTGAATGCAGGACAGAGACCAGCAGTGCAGAGTCTGGTTGCAGGACCTTTCAATATTTTCTAACTAGAACAAGTGAGTTCGTTTTACTTTTTAAAGCCACTCTTTATATGGCTGCTTTAAATTCTCATAATTATATAATTAGCAACTTTGGCAATCATTTTGCTACTTTTTAATTATGTCACTAAACATAATTGGAAAAACAAAGAAATACACCTGGGAAAAGAAAAATAGGAATCCAAGAGGAAAAAAGTTGCACTACTTAGACTTATGCTTGTGCCAGCAACTATTCCTACTATTAGTAACTCCAGGGCTTCAGACACATACTTCCTGTTACAATGTCATCGTTTTGTGTATTAAGAATCAAAGATTTAGTCAAATGCTAGGCCCCTTCAGAGACTGTAAAGTATCAGCACAGTGACAGTTTCCTCTCTGATCTACTTTTCCAAATACCTGACATACCTGTAGCAGAGTGATTTACTGAAAATTTAATGTGGTAGAATAACCATATTCAAAATTAATGGTGTCTTATGGGTTTACCATGAAATATTAGGAATTCTTTTTACAACCGTTTTTAAAGAGGGTAGCCAAGGCTTCTGATTTTGTTGGGTTTTAGCCTCCCTTTTCTCAGAAGAGAGTTGAGAGATTTTTGCTTGTAAAACCAGGACTCTTCAAGGGTCTCTGAAAAGAGAAGAAAGAGGTGTGGCGTGGCCCAACCACAGAGATTCCTCCGATGCTCAAGGTATGGAGAGGTGGTGTTGCCCAGAGGTGGTGGGATCTCTGATGGGCGTGGGTGCATGGATAACTGAAGATGGGAAGGAATCCTAAGTACATAGGCCATGAGAGTCATAATGTCTCCAGTAAAGGGGTGTGAGAGAAGAGGTGGATGGCGTGAGCAAAGAACTTGCTAGCCGCTGACCAGTGTGGATGCCATACAGTTCAGCAGTGATGGGGATGGACTGAAAGCAAGAGGATAAAATATCCTTCCCTTATTTCTTGATTTCTTAAATTGTGTAAGCTCCAGGATTCCTACCCAATTCAAAGGCACAGAAGAACCCCAGAAAATTAACTGAGGTTGGATTTCCCACCAACTCTATTGAGCAGGCAAGATGGGAGGAAAGAAGGGCAAGAGTCAGATTTAATGTGATTTTAAAATCACATTTCACAGAGTGCATATGTCTTACAGAGCCCAAGCAGGCTGGGAGTCAGGTGGGTTGAGCTCATTCCTTGCAGTAGAACACAGGACATTAGAGCCAAATGGTTAGATTCTGGTCTTGGTGATAAACAGCCTGGTTCTGGTTCTGTCCCTTGTTTACTTAGTCTCTATAGATCATAATCTCAATAGACCAAAGTTTCTTCACCTGTAGAAAGGAGAGTCTAGCAATATGGGTTTCTACCAATATGGTTCTTAGGAAAATTCTGTGTAATAACCACATAAAACGATCATCTTAGTGGCTCACGTATTAGTGGAAGCTCAATAAATATTAGCTGTCATTTTTATTACAATGCTCGTCATTCTGAAGCTCAGTCTTCCTAACCTATGAAAGGAAGACTGTATGACTGGCCACCCTCCTGCTAGAAATGCCTATACATTTGAAGAATCGAGTTGTAGAAAAAGGAAACATGTAAAAGAAAGCTACCCAAAATAATTTTATGGCGACCATTTACTGAGACCTTAAAGTGGGCCAGATCCACAATAATTGCTTTCACCCATATGATCCTACCAAATCCTTCAAGCAAATTTGAAAGGTTGATTATACAGATTAGGAAACTAAAGGCACACAGAAGTTATCTGCTCATGTCCACAGTGAATAAATGATCAAGCCTGGTTTGAAACATGGCCACTTTTGTGCTCTTATAATTTTAGAAGAATTATGATCTTAAATTCTTCCCTCCTAAATGCAGTGTTCTAATGTTAATAACTACCAAATACTAAGTAATTGCTAAGTGCCTTGTTTTAGACTTGAAATTCTACTTATAGTTCATTATTTGCATCATAGGATAACTCAATGTGATAGATATTCTATCTCCATTTTACATGTAAAAAAATTTTCTTCATAGAGATACACAGTATAACTGAGATACGGCTGAATTCAAATACTTTACTTTTCTTCTTCTGCCGTAATTCACTGTCTCATATGACCCAGGTATTCTACTTCTAGGTAACTGCCTAAGAGAAATTAAGATATACACATTCAGCCAAACTTCCACATGAATCACAATCTTAGAAACATTACTCACAATAGCCAAACATTGAAAATAACCAAAATGTCCATCAACTGGTGAATTAATAGACAAAATGCAGTATATCTATACAACGAAATACTACTCAGCAATAAAAAGAAACAAACTACTGATACATACACGAACAGGAACAAACTTCAAAAGCATTATGCTAAGTTAAAGAAGCCAACATAAGAGACCACATATTACATGATTCTACTTATATCAAATGTCCAGAAAAGGCAATTATGCAGAGATAGAAAGTATATGATGGCTGCCTGAGACATTGAGTGGAAAAGAAGATGAACAGTAAATGGACATGAAGGATCTTATTGGGATAAAGGAAACATTCTGAAACTAACTTCTGGTGATGATTACACAGCTAGGTTAATTTAACAAAAGTCTTTATATTATACTCTTGAAATAGGAGAATTTTATGATATGTAAAACATGCCTCACTAAAGTTTTTTCAAAAGCATTGTGAAGAACATACAGTATTTAACAGTTCTTAAAATACTTTTCATTTTGGTTCATTGTGGTATTTTTTTTCTTGTTATTCTAGCCTGTTATGTTGTTAAGTATGGTGCAACATTATTTTGATGACTTATGAGTCATTTCAAAAAATAATTTTAAAATGCTCTTGGAAATTATGTGTTCCTATTATAATAAATAATCATTATCAATTATTTTTAAAATGACTATAAATAATGCATACTGTAGCAATTCTAGAATACTTCTATTCATTGCCACTTAAAGATAATATAATTTTAAAAAAGAATAGAACTACAAAGATGTGGATCTAAAGAAGATATTGAGGGCCCCTTCCTCATCTCTAGCTACATTCTCTCCCCACTATCAGTTCTTGATAACTTTCAAAAGGATCATTTACCTCAAGGGACAAGCTACAACTTTCTGTCCCTTCCACCTGCATCTTCTCCTAGAGTTCCTTCTTAGTATCTTGATTTATATTTTATTGATAATAAAAAAGTGAAGGAAGGCAGAAGAGAGACAGTGATAGATAGAGGATCAAAGAACAAACAGATGTTTGAAAAGAAGATTGTGTTCGTGTGTGTGTTTGGAAGTTTCTTTCAAACTTAATATTGCCTTTGACATTGGAAGAAAATCTATTGACAGATCTTGAGCTAATTCACTTTGCTGAATAGTAATTCTAAGCCACTCTACAGGGATTCTGTGAAATTGGTTGGTGATAGTTTAGGATGTTTCTTTAAAATAGATGATCAAGCTTTGTCAGGAAGAGGAGAGAGCCCATTGCAGCTGGGTAGAAGAGGAAAGGAGAGAACAACATTGCACATAATTTAGGTTACATTTTCCTTTATTTTCTCAAGGATTTTGGATATCCTTTCAAAAAATAGATTAAAATCTTTTTTAGAAAAAAAAAGTCACAAATTGGAGGATAGGACTGAAGCTGATAATTCAGCCTTTGTGCACCAATATGGTATACCATCTGGAGTCCTTTCTGATTTGTCAGGTGTCTGTACTGACCAGGCAGGGCCTGCACTATTGCTAAATATTTTGAACATAACTTCTGAATATGAATGTCCCAGAAACTTCTAGTCTTGACGCTTCATGAGGACAAATGGTATGGCCTTCTTGCTCTGTCTGAAATACTTAGTACACACAGTTGGCACTCCACAAATCTATCTATCTGTCTGTCTGTCTGTCTATCTATCTATCTATCTATCTATCTATCTATCTATCTATCTATCTAATTTTGAGACAGAGTCTCACTCTGTCACCCAGGCTAGAATGTGGTGGTGCGATCTCGGCTCACTGCAACCTCCGCCTCCTCGGTTCCTGCCTCTCTCCTGCCTCAGCCTCCCAGGTAGCTTGGATTACAGGGGCCTGCCACCATGCCTGGCTAATATTTTTTGTATTTTCAGCAGAGACTGGGTTTTGCCGTGTTGGCCAGGCTGGTCTCAAACTCCTGACCTCAGGTGATCTGCCCGCCTTGGCCTCCCAAAGTGCCCTGCACTCCATAAATTAATGAACAATTTGAACAAATCATCCAAGGAGTTTGAATATTCCATGAGAAAGTGGGTACGCAACTCAGTTGTGATTGTAGAGATGCCTTTAAAGCCCCCCACCCACCGTTGTTATGCCATAAATAATTATGGTCATAGTTAATCATGACATTATTTTCTTACCTTATGGGGATAGAAATGTAGATGCTGCTTCTGAAGTTAATTCTCAGGGTGCAACAGACATTTCTACACTACCAGAAAGTGAGAGTGTACTATGGGCACTCTGTGGTCAGCCTGCTCCGTTTGAAAACATGATGCTCTTATCTTAGTTTCTTTTCCCTGAAATATGTTATTAAGTTACCGGCAAATTGGAGTTGAAATTAAGGGAATGAAGGAACAAAATTTGACTTATTTTTGAACAAAATATCCTACTTACCGTACAAATTATTTCTCTATAGTAGATGTAAAAAAAAAAAAACTAACAGTCCTATTCTAATAGCTGATTAGAATAAAGCCATATCTCCTTTTGGTTCTCCCAGCAAATTTAATCCTTTCTTTCTATTACAGAAATAATAGAAAAAATAAGGTGTATCAAGGAAAGGAATAGATTTTTGTGTCTTTGGTAGGGAGGGGTGTGTGTGTGTGTGTGTGTGTGTGTGTGTGTGTGTGTGTGTGTGTGTTTGGGAGAGGCAAGGAAATGCCAAACTTAAAAGGCATTTTAAATATTAGGTCAGAAAGAAGCCTAAATTAAATTCTACACCAACAAAGACATTTGCATTCATAGGACCAAACTGGGTAAAATTAAAGCTGGAACTCAATAGATATAAAATAACAATAATAAAATAATTGGAGGTTTTAGATTTCAATGAGGGGTCATTATATGCTCTTTCTATCAATATAATGGGCTATAAAGATGAGCTCTTGCCCAGTTATAGTTATTAAATACCACTTTTTTCCCCTAAAAATGCGATGCCTGAAGATGCTCTTTTGAGACTGTAATTTGGTTGATGACATTTTGACACCTCTGTTGGGAACTCAGGTCTTCATCTCAGGGAAATTCTGCATTTTGTGTTCTAAGACCTGACCCTGACCTCACCCTGCCATGTCGCGTCTTGAAGATTTGTCTCTGTATCATTTTTCTATAAGCCTCAAAAAATTATCTGGATGAATTTCACTTTTTTGTCTTGACACTTAACATGTGGTAAGTAGACAAAAAGATTTGGGTTGATGAATAGCAAGGGAATGCAAGAAGAAGTTTAAATCGCAAACTTGCATTCTAGTTCAAAGACCCACGCATTCCATGCTGGTGAAAGCAGACCTGAAGAAGCACATGAATACACTGAAGTGCTTTGGGGAGGGTAAGAACAATGGAAAGGGGTTTGGCAAACATGGGATAGGAAAAAAAAAAAAAAAACTAAAGGCTGGGTTATGACTCAAAAGCCTTATAGGAGCCAAGCAAGTAATAAAGGTGAGCAAAACGGGGCAGCAATAAAGAATAGTTTTCACTGCCTTAAATAATTATTCTCTTTCCTATCTTTCTTGAAAATGCAGACGTCTCAGTCCTTCTTCCCTCATCTATCCTTTGATAGAGAAATAAGTCCAAGAAGTATTAAGTTTCATCTTAAGAAAAATAAAAGTGTAAGCAAATGATGAGTCACTGAGAGGGCCCAGGGAGGGGAGGCTGACCCATCTAATGAAGCAGTGGCTATTTAGCTAATTGATGCTATGTAGCAAAATGGTCAAAGTGCTTCTAGAGAGTATCATCATTAAGAGAAAATGGGGATTCATTATTTTATGTAAAAATCTCCCAACTTAAAAAATATTTGCTATGTTTTGGCCAGGCATGGCGGCTCACGCATGTAATCCCAGGACTTTGGGAGGCCAAGGCGGGTGGATCGTGAGGTCAGTAGCTCAAGACCAGCCTGACCAACATGGTGAAACCCCGTCTCTACTAAAAATACAAAAATTAGCCAGGTATGGTGGTGCGCACCTGCAATCCCAGCTACTCAGGAGGCTGAGGCATGAGAATTGCTTGAACCTGGGAGGCAGAAGTTGCAGTGGCCAAGATGGCGCCATTGCACTCCAGCCTGGGTGACAGAGCAAGACTCCATCGCCCAAAAAAAAAAAAAAAAAAAAAGGAAGAAAAAGAAAAAGAAATATATATGCTATATTTTAACCAAAAGGAAAGACCCTTGTGAAGGCCAATATTGTACGTATATTGTGAATCACATCTGTAGGGAAAATCTGGCCATAGGCATCAATGACATCTCTGGAAAATGGCTGACAAAAGAGAAAATTCAGAGCCACAGCCAGGAAAGAAGATCTAACAAAATAGAGTGGACTTCTTCTGGACCACCCTAGATGAGAAAAGTAGCCCCATGGATGAAAGTTACCAAAAAGAATATTTCAGTGCCTCAGGGAGAAAAATAGCCTACAAAGTTAAACCTCCGTGAGTAAAACAGGTTGGCTGATGATACGACAGGTGCTCCACGATCAGCCTCTAGCTGGATGGTCTTCAGTTAGAGATCTTGCTTAGGAAATTTTTCTTGGCTCCTGTGTGAGGGCTCTACCATCCTTTCTAACCAGAAAAGACAGTAACTTTAGCCTGGCTCTCAGCAGTTAAACAAAGGAAACCACATAGCTTAAACTAAGTTTAGTTCCTTCATATTTAAAGTTTTATTTACTCAATGTTGACTTGTGTTAGGTAATATCTTCATGGGCTCTGGAGTAAGACTGCCTGAATTTCAATTGAGGCTTTATCATTATTAACTTTGTAACCTTGAATCAACAACTTAAGTTCTGGGAGTCTAAATTTCCCAATATGCAAAAAGGGTTTGGTAATAATACTTCTTTTACAGTGTTATTGGGTAGATTATATTAATACATATTAAATGATTAAAATATATAGTAATTGATTCATAAATATTAATCAGTTGTGATAAACGTAAAGTATCAGCAGCAACCATAGCAATAGCTGTGGTAGTCCTATGATGATTGGGGAGGTAATGGAAATATATTATAAATTTGGTACTTTAATATGATTCAAGCTACTAGAACATAAACTTTATAACAGCAGGGACTGTGTCTGTCTTATTTGTCATTTTATCCCTGTGCTATTTCAACAAGTTGTTGAAATCAGTTTTTAAATCAAGGGAGATTCTACAGAGACCCTTTATAAACTACACTTGGTAGGAAGACTATAAATAATAACCATAGTGTGCCCAGGTTTTAAAACATGGAAACAAGCCATGTTTGCCTGATTTAAAGTACAGTTTAGCAGATTCTTCACATTCCTGATAAATGTATCTCAAACTTTGAAAATTCCTGTTTTTGTAGACATCAATAAAGCATTGTTTTGTGAAGTTTCATTGAAAAATATGAGACCCCTCTAGATGCCAGATAAAAGTAACCTAGCTGGTTCCATTCACTCATAATAAGTGAGATTCAATAGCACATCTCTACTAAATCACAAATCACAGCGATGACACTAAAAATCTGTGAAGCCCAATGAGTCCCATCAACTGATCAGAACAGACACCCAGCCAATCAGAATAGATGTCAGCCATGAGCAACCAGTAGAGATGAACTGATGGGTACTGGCTGAATATTGGCCCTACAGATCAGATGCCTGGCTCTTTGGATCATTTATTCATAAATAACTATAACCTTAAGTGTTAGATCCTCAAATGTTAAAGCTCTCCTGTTTAATCAGATATGCTTATGTGATTATAGGGTTCTATGGTAACACTTTTAATATAATACTCCACGCACACACTACCATTATTATATTTTTATCTGTTTGGGCTGAACTGATGCCCTCACCAAACAGCTGTTCCAAGATCTGAAAATGTGGACTATGTTTTGCTTGGGGCACACTTACAATTATATCCTGGAGTTCTACGTGTCCACTCCAAGAGACACTTGTTTAAAAGAGCAGAGCCTTCTATTTTCCCTCAGCAGGTCCAGTGTGTCCTGTGCCTTTTTAAGTACTTTGTTAGGATTTAAATCAACACTCTAATTACAGGCAAGAGCAGAACATTAGAAACCAATGCCAAGACTGGAGAAAGCTGTTTCTTCTCATGACCAAAAAGAGTTACACAAACTGCTCAGATCTGCTGCCCTCACTAATGTGGAGGCACAAGAGGCAGATGAGAGAATCAAACCTCCTTCCTCCCTCCTTAGCATTTGGGTTATCATTATTTCTAAATAATTGTAAAATCAACAGGATTTTTATGGGCAACACATAGAGAAAGAGATTGGCATCAGGGGATCTAAATTGTACACTTCTTGTCACTAACAGATGATTCATTTGGGGCCATTAATATAAATTGAGATATTGTCAACATATGCTTTCTGTTTACCAAAACCTTCACCACTTAGGCTCAAGATCTATGTTGCAGACAGGACTAGACATCAGAATTGAAAGATATTTGACATTCTCTACTTTCATCTGTCTATTTTGAAAATAAATTTGGATTTGGGAAAACTGAATCATCACTAACCAGTGTTTAGTAAAATTTGGTCCTCAGACCACCTACATCAAGATCCCCTGATGTGCTTGTTAAAAATGTAGATTCAAAATCCTCAACCAAGAACTACTGATCTATCAGGGACTATGTCTTATCAATTTCTGTATCCCTAACTCCAAGCATGCTACTTAGCCTAGAAGTATTCAATAAGTTTGTTGAATAACATGACTTATTAATTAGTAAGATCCTGAGATAGATGAGTTGGTTGGGATTAAATTAACCAGGGCTTTGCTTTTATCCTCCTTCCCACTGATCTTCAGTTGGCAGGACTGACATAGTTGGAAAAAATGCAAGTCAAAACATTTTCCATAGTTCCCTTTAGGCTTCCAAATTTCCATCAAGTCTGTAATCTTTAAGAGATGAAGTTAGTCTTGGAGCAGTTCTATGCTGGCTAAAACTCAAAATAATCTAAAAGGTCTAGAGTTAAAGCCCAAACTTCAGACAAATAAAATATTCAACACCTGGTGAAGAGTGGGGAGAACTGTCTGTGTTGGAAATGCAGAACTAAAAGTACAAGATGAAGAGGGGAGCAACCAAGAAGTGCATTTGTCACAGGTGTACACACAGGTATCCTATGTAACTGGCTAGGGCAGACCTGACCACAAAGGAGTAGATGGCTTCTGATATGGTAGGATTTAGGTGTCAAAACCCCTCAGAAACCCTACATCGTCTCTTCCACCAGCTTTTCTTGCTCAAGCATGAAGAATCAGAATATTATGGAAATATACTTAACCACTGATTTCTATCCTAAGTCCCACAAAACTGGAGCTTACTCAATTTAACATGACGGACTGGATTAAATAAAGTTTTCATTGCATACCATCTCAGAATCTTCACTACTCCAATGGGCAAGTTAACATACCCTCGAGAATCAGCAAGTGCCATTTGTGTCTGTGTAGAGACAGAGGTTGGTCTGCTCAACTCAGAAGTAGTAAGAAGGAGTAGGCCAAGAAGGTTGACAAAAGAAGATAGTGAAGGAGCCTCAGCCACCCTAAAACACAAGCCAGAGGGCAGCTGCTCTCATGAATGTTAGTTACTTCATGATTTCATTATGTCTTTATACAGGGCACTTCTTACAAATGACACTGCTGACAACCCTGGAATGCTGACCCCAGTACTGTGCCCTCATTCTGTGTATCTTAATTTGAACAAACCAGGTTTGTCTCCTCAAAAGAAAAATAAAGGAGACTTCCTGGTTCTAGGAGGGAGGTGTGTTGACAACAAATCCCAGTAAAGACAACAGTGGCTCATGAAGAAACTGACCATGTGTTATCTGGAAAAAGATTATTTAATAATAGGTCTCTTTGTCTATGGGGTGGCCTGTGCTGGTTTTTCTCTTCCTGTATGTTCTGTCTCTCGCAGTGCTCCACAGTTTGACTCCTCCAGGTCATTATATACATGAACAGAGCCAAGACACTTTGACATTCGCTTTGGGTGATAATGTACTTGAAGGGATTGGAACACACCCATGGTAGGTCCTGTCCCCGACACATACACAGTGGTATGCCAAATACTAAAATAAAAGAAAAGAAAATGGGGGGGAGGGGGTCATGTTCAAAAGCACTAATTTAAAAGCTTTTTAATTTAAAAAAAAAGCCAAAATTTATCTATTTTAGCTCAGTGTCCCATCTGATCAAAGTCCAAGAACATGAACTGGGTCATAAAACAAGTAAAACACCCCAGAACGGGAGGATGAGAGGACTGGAGAAACACTGTCGGGAAACATGCGTGCACTGATATGGCTACAAAACCATCTTGCAGTTCCCAGCTCTGGTCCCTTCCTTCCATTCACTGGGGAGTTGGCCCTTCACCCCAAGCTTTTCCACACGGCACAAGAGCAGCTTCTACCCCGTCCTTGGCATTGTCCAACCTTCCGTTGCTCTGGCTTAGACTTGTCTTCAACCTCAACAAACCTGCTATGCCCTGCTTTTCTTACCATCTTCACTTTGTATTACATAGGTCTTCTGTGTAAGAAGGAAACGTTTATCTAGATGGTTCCAAACCAGGTTTGAAGGGGAAGAAGCAGGATCTTACTTATTTGAATAAATGTTGTCATCATGCAAGATCTTTTATGAAGACTATTCTCTTGGTACAGCTCTTAGTGATTTACTCCTTTCCCAAAGCCTTCTTTTGCTTTTAAAGCATCTATTGGGTTGACCTGTTTTGACTGCAATACTTTTAATAAGTGATCTATGAATGACTTAACTGCGTGGGTACTGCTTAAATTCATTAGAAAATCTGGAATTGAACTTCTGTCAATTTTTCTCTTCAAACTCTTGCTAAATGCGGCTAGCATCCTGATGTGAGAAAATGATGTGCACTTTTAAAATTGAAGTTCCCTGCAACAAATCTCTGTTGAACCAGGAATTCTACAAGCAATTGGAAGTGACACCTATTAAGCTTCTACTTACTTCATGTCAGACACTTTTACGTACCTCATCGTCTTATCTTCACCGAAACTCTTAGGGAGGTGTGTTCCCTACTTCATGGACAAGTAAACTATGGCTTAGAGTTGGGACTCAGACACAAGTCTATGCTATTTACGCTACACAATATGGGCGCCTAGTAAGGGGTGAATCTATTATCCAGAGTCTCTCTGGCTCTACAGCTTCTCCTCTTAACCCCTGCACTCTAATGGCTGCTTATTTAAGCTTCCTTGGTGGAGTCCCATCACCCACACCATGAGGTCCCTCCTTAATTTGGCTTCTGCCTGCCTCTCAAGCCTCATTGTGCACCATTTATCCAATTTAGAACCATGCCCCCAACTATGTGTCGTTTTCTCAACAGGAAGTGCTGCTTCATAGCTTTACAACATTTCTCTGTATCTACCCAGATCATTCCTATTCTTCAAGAGTCAGCTCATGTACTCATTCTGCCATGTTTACCCTGACCTCTACACCACCAGGCAGTTAGATAATTTCTTCATTGTGTTTCCATATTCACATATGTGCCTATACCACTTGCGAGCTATGACTCTTCCAGGTTTTCTTCCTACGGATAGCATCTCCAGGACCCAGCACAATGCCTGATGCATAGTAGGATCTCAGTAAGACTTTGTTGGCTGAATATATGATTCTGTAGCATAAAGATCGAAGTACTGACTCCAGCAACCTTTAAAGTTCAAAAGAGGGTTACTTCATACTGTTGTTCATTTACTTACATTTCTCATTCTTCCCAATCCTGTTTTCCTATTTTGTCAGTTCTGGCTTTGTCATAAGCCTGTAACCCCAGTTAATGCTGTTCTCATTATTTTTGTTTCTGTAGCTTAACTATACTTTCTGACATGCTTCCATCATACTTTGGGCTCCCTTTCCAGTTTCCCTGATATTGCCGTTTCAGTTCTTCATTCTTAGTTTCACTGTACATGTGAACTCCCAACACTGGTGTGGCAACAATTTTAAATGCCCTCCCTAACTCCTCAGTTTTAACAATGCCAGCAAAAACTAATCTAATAGAAAGGGGGAAAAAATGGCTCTTCATGCATATGATTTGCAGCAAGAGATATAAGAAAAGCCCTTCCCAGCTGGAAACAAATGTTCCCAGCTTTGGGCCCCTCACCTTGTGGCCCCAGGTGAACAGTGAACTCTTGGTGAGCAATCAGGCCTTGTAGTCTCGTAAGTATGGGAGAGCATCACTGCCCATCTCATCTCCTTCCTGGCAGATAAAACATTCTTTTGCTTCTAATTAAAAAGATTAATAAAGGAATAGAACACATCAGGCGCACATCAATCATTGCCCATGTGGTTCTTATTACTGTAATTAAAAGTTATCTTTCCCAAATTTCGGGATAAAAGTGCCATGATCTGCAATTGAAAACACATTGTAAGTTTTACATTTGCCAACTTCATTTGTTTTTCCTCTTTACAAGAAGAATGGCAAAGCAATACTCTTATGGCTGATATGTTTAGAGGTGTCCTTAATAGCAGTCTATCTGAAAAATGCACTTCTTTATTTCTTGAAACACCCTGAAAGAAGGTGCATTTCCCTTTTGTATTCAAAATGTATGATTGCTTATTTTTATAATTCCTATGCCTGTCTTTTCTTTTTGTTCAGCTGTCAGTGCCCTTGAAAATTCTGATATGAAAGGCATTTTTAATGACAAGTTAAAAATTTACTAAAGGCTCCACTATCATGCTTGGGCTAGAACAAGACAAACTTAATGCTTAAAGAATTTCTGTCTCCCAGAATGCATCAGCTTCCCCGAAATGGAACAAAGCACCAAGCCCCTTGATTCACCTGGAAATGTGTGTGATTCTGGGGACACTGAATCCTTTTATACAATCTGAAGGAGTGAAGTCAACCCTGGGTCAATTTCTGGGGGATTAGCAATGCAATTTCACTGCAATCAAATTTCATTAAGAACTGACAGGTCAACCAGGCACCATGGGCTTATGAGTTTATTAGGCTGCAGCCAGGGTGGGAATGGCTGGAGACATAGAAGGCGGTTCAGAAAGTTCATAGCTCTCTTTCTCTTTCTGGGTATGAGGTCTCCAGGCAAGAATGATTCTCCTAGGAGGCCAATTGATTCTTAAGGTTTCTGGCTTTTTCTACACCAGTTTATATCCCTCTCCCTTCTTTGAATCTACAGTTCTTACTGGTATTCCTTCTCTCTCTGGCTCTTTGTACTTCCTGGTTGCTGGAAGCCTTGCTGGTTGAAATGCATGAACATTGCCTTTCCCAAGGCTCTCGGCCTTCTGACTCAAGGCTCTATCTTCTCTCTGTTTCTCTTATCTGTGTCAAAGCAGGGGGCTTGTAACAGTCTTTGCACATCTTGCATCTGCACAGTTCAAAGCAGAAGTCTGCAGCCTCAGTGTTTTTTCTTATCTACTAGGCTTCCCTGTGCAAACAAGGGCCTCAGCAGCTTCATCTACATGGCTCCTGCACAGCCCAACTTAGCACACATTGAGATGGGGTGACCGCCTGTAAAATTCTAGTTTCTTCTATGAAAAAGTGCATACAACTCCAATTTGCACAAATCTGAATCTGCTACATAAAAACCTGACGTTTTACTATAGGATGGAGGGACGGGGATGGTAACAAAACAATTAACATGAATAAATGACTGAATGAATAAAAAAAAAAAACTCATGTTTTTAGCTTATTGACACAGAGCACCCCAGGGGCCTTTGCATAAGACCAAAGTCCTTGTCCTCAAGGACTTAATCACCTATTCCAATAAGCCATTCAAATTTGTGTAGAGCCACATTCCCAGATTGAAATACTTCCTTTCCTAAAATCATATTATTTCAATCATTCACGTGGCACTAAGTGCAGTGCTCTTTGTATCTTAGCGTTTTGTATTCATTCTTTCTCACCTAGGTTGTGTGTCTTTGGAGGCAGGGAGATCTGCCTTTTTTCTCTTTGGTTCCCAGCACCTTTCACAGTGTTCTCACATTGCAAATGCTCAAAGAATGTTCACAAGGATGATGACTTTTAGTGATTCCCACAGTGGGTAAAGTCAGAACATTACAGAGTTAGCCCAGCAGGTGGAAAGCATGCACATGGAAATGCCTGTAGTTATGGATAATTAATACCCTTCTGCCATGCCTGTCTGTGTCAGAGGCTGTCATCTTGGCCTCCCCTGGATTTCTCGCAAGCTGATCGTCTGTGCTCAGAGCCTCCCTTGCCTACACCAATGTACTGAGGCAATGGGGCAAAGTATGGAGTCAGAATTTCTTTCCCTGAGAAAGGATCTCAGTTTATCTAATCAGTGCTTAGAAAAGTGCAACGGAGGAAGCAGCCAGTTAGCTGCACTTGCGGGATGGAATCTTAAAAAACCAAATTAGCATATTCATAGGAGCAGGTAACCTCTGCAGCTTTATGAAGAGAATGGAGCCTGGCCTGGGTACTAGCCCCTCTGCCAAACCCACAGGACATGGACCTAACCTCAGATGGAAAGCCAAACAGAGAGATGGAGGTCAACATTTTTTCAGCTCAGAACTAGAGTTTCCTAGTTTGGGTCCAGGGCTATAGAGAAGGACTACATATTGAATCCAGAGGCAGAGACCAAATATGCAGAAAAAGATTTTTAAAAACGGAAGAGACTCTATAATGCCAATACTTTAAATGCTCAGAGTATATTCTCCAAAGCAGTCAGTTTTTGTTATCTTGTCACCTGCTGTTTTGTTATCTTGTCATACCCCTATAGTTCTTTACTGAGGAACTTGCCTATATTGCAAGTTAAATTTTCCAAGGGAGAGCCATACATTTCAAATATTCTAGGTCTGCAAATATTTTCAATGAAATCAAATGAAAACATATCATTTGAGACCACAGATATTTTCCACATTTTTCTTTGTTCCTCTTGGATACTTTTCTAACTTATGTTTGGTTTCATCACTTTTTAAGACAAGAAAACATATCAGTGGGACAGTTAGAGCACCAGCCCAACAGAACACTCAGAAACAAGCAACAGAAGCACATTGTTTAGGCTGCAGATCCTTTTTTTACTTTTCCATATGTTGGTCTACATGGAGCTAGTGATAAGGCAGAGTGTCTGTCACCCCGACAGCTAGTCTGGAGGCTCTTGTAGGAAAAAAAAAATACAGCACAACACATTGGTTGGAAATGGAAATGGACGTTTGGATGAAATGTTTTGTAGGTAAGAGGCTTGCTTTCCAACTAGTCTGCAAAATCCTTGAGACAGAGCCATGTACCTATCATCCATAATGCATGGCTTATTTTTAGTATACATTTACATACAAAGTTGATTTGAAGTCCTCGATGAACACTTCTTTCCAAAAAAAGTTTACTGGCTGTTGCAGAGATACAATCTCCATTTAAACGGCATCCTTCGTGCTTTGCCTTGGTGGCTGGCCATGCATTTTAAAGACAGTTTCTCCTACCCTGTTTGAATAAGGAGTCCCACCCCCAAAACCCAAGAGCAACTTAGCGATGCTTCATCCTGTGTCATGTTTGGCCAGGGCTACAGTTCCTTTTATCCCTTTCACTCTTTGATTATCAGGTAAGTGACACTTACACCTATGCATAACTTTCAATGTTGTATATTAAGGGCATTGTTTTCTCAGATACATATTGAAGACATGCTGTAATTCAAGATTAATAGAAGGTAACACAGATAGCAGAGGCCAAAGAGATGGGAACTTTAAATGGACCTGCAAGAAACTCCTCCTCCTCAAATGACAGCAATAAGTAAGGAAGATGAGTAATTATTGCTCTATTACCATAACCTGCCATGTTGTGGAAATGAGTTTAGTTCTAAAGTAATACTAGTAGGCTGTGGGATTCCACTCAATTTGTAGAAGTCCTGTAAAATCTAGATTTACATTCCTAATGGGTCCCAGGAACACACGAGAAATTCAACAGTAAGCCAAAACTGCTCTTGGAGAGGCCAGAGAATTCCCAGCCAGCCTGAATACACACTGACTATGTGATGGTGAGATCTTTGCCTAGAAATCTTCCCACACCTGCTCTGACCTTCTCAAGAGTGACTTTCCAGAGCTAAGACTGGCATAGACTGGCTTTGAAGGTTTGTGAGAAATAGGGAGCAGTGTTTCATATAGTCATACCTCATCTTTGCCATCTAAAACAGCTGCTGAACTATTGAGCCAAGGTTTAGAGAAATGGATGGGATGAGCTACCTAGAGTTTAGTACTTGAATAAATGTTACAAAATCTATATGGTGAATACCGCTAAGTCTTCAGATATTTGAGGTATCTTTTCTAAACTTTACAATAGCCCTGAATTTGGTTTTAAGTTAGAACAAGAAAGCCACATAGGAACAATATTTCTTTTAAATTACTCCATGCTATGAGATTACATGGGGAGCAGATGAAGGCAGAATAATAGAGTTCAAAATATTGTATTTCAAGAACAAGAAATAGTGTTTAGCAGGACTTCTGAACATTTTGAACATGTCTAAAAGCAAAAAACAAGAGCCTAACCTAAACATTAAACATTAGGAGAAGGTTATTTATTCAGATCTCTGTTTCATGTTACACAAATAAATAATAAACAAGGGTGCTGGGTTTTCAAATAGGATGCATTCTGCATTACGAATTTAGATGCAAATGTGGTGTGATGATCATCAGTGTTTATCATTTTACCATCATGATATAGGCTATAGCTTGTAGGCAAACTGCCTTAGAAAAATGGGCTTCTCCAGCTTCTCCTGCTCCCCAAGAGGAACCACAGAAGCAAACTAAGCTTTTTCTTCAGTTTTCTAGACAGACCATCAATAATAGAGTGTAGAACAGTGAAGGGCCCCCAAAGCAAACTCACTGTGGCCTGGGTAATGTGAACCCTCATCATTTTGATGATGCCGTTTTGAGAGAGATTTGTTATGCTGCCTATGTTTCATTTCCAACTGATCTGCTGTGACCCATTTGAACTGACCAGGGACAATAGCCAGCACCTGAAATACAAGCATCTCACTTCATTCACTGAAATAGGGCCCTCAAGAGCCAGAAATTCTACTGGTTTCATTGCTTACTGGCTTGTAGTGCAGGTTGGGTAATGTAGAAGTAGACTAATGCTAAGGAAACTGGTAGCTGGATTAGTTAACATTATTCTCCTCCTTCCTCTTCTCTTTTCTTCTGCAATTCCTTGAAAAAGCTTTTTTAATGGCTCAGACAAACCATAATTGAGCATGGTACTAAATGCTTCAACATGCATCACAGACTTAATCATTGCAGAGGCCCTGTGTGGTTAAGCATTTTATAAATAAAAAACAAACAAACAGTAGCATCGACAGGTTAAGTAATTTGCCTGAGGTTGCACAGCTCATGAATAAACCCCAAGCCCATATAAATCAAAAGGTGTTAACCACTATGCTGTAACTGATTTTTACGAGCCACACTGGCTTCAATTGCCAAATTTCTGAAGAACATATCCCTTCATTCCCACTCCAGCTTATCTATCTTCATAACACCTCCTGTACATCACTTTTATCTTCTTCTTATATGACTTTTTAAAAATTACATTTGGGTTGCTTTCAGAATTATTCCTGATGTTTTGTTTGGGCAATATCTCCCGCCACTTCTAGGGAAACTGACAGAAAAGTGTTCAGTCAGCAGAGGCCAGTTCTTTATCCCTAGGAGCTTGTCTATAATTTTGCATTATAATTTTGAATTATGTTCTCAAAGTGGCACCTTTAATTCTATTTTGGGCCTCCAAAGAGCCAGATGCACCTTGACTATGGAAAGCAACTGCTCAAAAAGTCATAGAGGGATAGACAATGGCAGGTGGAGAATACATCATGCTGCCTCTGAAATTGAGGGTCCACAAAAGGAACATAAAAGACAAAACAGGAATGAAGTGGAGGTCAAAAAGTACTAAACTCTCTTAAGTAGGAATGAGGAAGAGAAAAATAGTCATAACAAAAGAGATATAAAACAGAAAAAGTCCGTACTGAAGATCAAAAACTAATGAAAAGAACAAGGTAAGATTCCTTCAACAAATTTGCATTGAGCACCTACTGTCTTCTAGAACTGGAATATAGAAATAAACAAGAGAGGCAAACTCCTTGTCCTCCTGTGGAGTCTATAGTTTATTGGGAAAAATAGATATGGACCAATTGTCTGTAAAGCTTGAAGAGTGTTTAGGGTGTTTTTAAGCTCTGCGAAGCACTTTAGTTGCTGAAAACTGAAGGGCTAGCACAACTTGTCTAGGAAAAGATTAGTAGAATAAAGAAGTAAAACTAATGCATGAAAAATGTCAAAGAAAAGTCTTAACAATGTTCTTTATCTCCTTATGTTTTGACTAGCCTAGTTCAGTAGGAAGTTCATGTTTCCACCATATTTCATTGCTCTGTTTTTGGACCATTTTGTACAGAGTACTCTGAAGTCTGTTTAGGGATCATGCTCTATGACAACTTGGAAAAGAAGATGGTGTGTCTGTATATTTTTTTCTTTTGCCATTGAGATGTTTGACATATTTGGGTGCACAATAAGCAAACACAGATGTGATTGAAGCAAAATAACACAAGGAAGTAATGATGAAAAGCTGAAAATGAAAAGGCCATGCAGCGTATTTCACAAATGATTTGAACACCAGAGGTCAGACCATATCAATCCTATGGTTGTGCTCCCAAATGAATATCATATTACAGGAAATACACATTGGAGAAGAATTAAAAAGGTGCACAAGGTGGTAACCAAGATCTGAAAGTCTTGGTATGCAACAGGGTTAGTGACTGAGCTCCGTGGAAGGAAGAGCTGGTCGTACAGTGGTGTTCCTCATTCTGAGACTCAGAAGACCTGCAGTTCCATGGTTGGGAAAAAAGATAGATGCAAGACCAAAAATTCCAATGAACTACATCTGAAGCAATGCCATTACACATAAAGTAATTTGGGAAGTAGGCTCCTAAAGTCATCAGGAAATGCTCCACATATGCACATACTAACAGAGAATTGGGAAGAGGAAGTGACTGAGTACAAGAAGCAGCAAAGTTGGGAATGGGAAGAGAGAGCTCAGCTGTCTTGATTTCTCCAGAATGCCTTTTTAACATCTCAGACAGTGAAGTGGAGAATGCATACAGGGCTGTTACTAACGTCACCTACTCTTCACGGCAAATGAAAAATGTCACCACTTGGCAACTAAGAAAGCTGGCAAGTAAAATGGGGGAACAGAAAGTGATCAACAAGAAATTTACCATGAAACCAACAGAAAATGCCTGGTAACTTAGCAAAGACTTATTTTCCTAAGCTATGAAAATAATTTTTCTATGGTATAGCTAGGAGAATTGCCTAAAAGTCTTAGAAACGCCCGGTGATTTACTGACTGACCTCGTTACCTCCCCTCTGCTCCTGTCCTCTGCATAAATTGTCCTACTTATCAGATAATGTTTGGGGAACTCTTTCCAGCAGCTGTCTATTAGCTATCTTCAAAAATTCTCTCCTTAGGCCACAGAAGTGGGTACTGAGGCATTACTGCTCTAAATGATATTCCTTAATAGAAAACATTGTTTTTCTATTCATTCCTTCATTCGCTCATCACATATGCTATAAGTGCTCTCTGCACACCTCATGCCATGTTTAGAGGCAGATCTGGAAAAGATGACTCCACGTCTCCACTTTTGCACAATGGACTTTCTGATTATCTCAAGGAGAGGGAGTAGATGATGCTATAAATGAATATTCTAGGGTGCTCTAACCTCGTACACAGCTTCAGTGAATGCAAATTGTTATCGTAGTCTTAGTGGCTTTGTTTCTAAACTACCTCAGGCTGGCTGGTCACCATAACTTTGGTCCTGACAGATGGATACAGGACTAACTGCAGGGTTTCAAGTATATTCAGAGTATAAAGCCAAAAACAAAAAATGCAAGAAAAAAGCATCATCAATGTATGTTAGACAAATAGTAAAAATATTATGCCATTATTTTTTCTCATTCTAGTGGAATATTCAATTTCTTATTTTGTATTTGTAATTCTGTGTTCCTTCTTAAAACAAGCTCCTTCCCCTGTCCACAGCTGTATATGCTTTAGGCCCCACAAAACTTAAATTTGCCCTTGGTGGAGAGATGTGAATTCTTCTTTATATGTTCTGCTGTTATCTAGCTGTGACTACTAGGGTTGGTCAGCAAATTTATTTATTTATTTATGGTTGTTGTTACTATTATCATTTTTTAAAAGGGGAAAAAATCCTTGTTTCTTTATTTTAAATTTTTCCCTCTTATTTCCTGTCAACAAAAACCCCAAATATTTTCCCAGTAACAGAAACCAGAAATCTGGGAGTCAGTCTGGTCCCTTAACCTGTCAAAGCCAAACCAATGTATGATTCTTTTGATTTTGACTTCCATATCTCTCTCAATTTCATATCCTTTCCTTCATCCACCTCCACTCTTGTGACCACTGTACAAGTTACCATCACTCAAAACACTCCTAGGTTCTAAACAATCACAGTGAACTTGTAGGAGATACATTTTACAAACTTTCTGCAAAATGTTCCAATAATTTATACTAAGTATCTTCAGGTCATTTTGTTTTATTTTAAAAATCTTATTTCTTTCAATATTTATTTATTATTTTACCTCATGTTTCTTTTAAACTTACATAACTTTTAAACTTACATATTTTCAATGAATGGTATTGGTGAGTTTTAGAAAACGTTAAGCAGTGGAAATATACTTGTCATGGTAAAATTCATTCTAGTTAAGGGATCATTTACAAACCCTCCAGCCCTCCCTACTTCAGCTTGGTAGTGCATCTACTACAGCAGTTCAGCCTCAAAGGTCATCTGTGGGACTTCTATTGATGTTTGGCTCTGGAATTCCTTTTTATCTTTCATATATTTAAGCCCTGAGTTGCTACCTAATCTAAAATTCCCTCAAGTGGACATTGAGTTATCTATCTCCTTATAGTTCTCATTGGACCTAGTACTGAAACACTGGAAGTCCTTACTAAGTATTTGTGAATTTGTTCAATTTATTTGAATTATGAGATTTTGCACTGGTAACCATCCATCCATCCACCCATTTATCCATCCATCCATCCATTTAACAAACATTAATTAAATGCCTATCTGTGCCACTATGGATGCCTAGAGTGGGAACAAATGAAAGCTGGGCTGTTCTGGTGGAAGTGGGCTGGAGGACCTGGAGTCCGGCCTAGCTAACTTCCTCCCGGTAGCATTTGAAGCTTACATCTGTGGATAGGTGTGAGCCATGTGTGCCAGGCACTATCCCCACAACCTCACTCTGCCAGGTACTTCCTAGGCCATGTGCTGGCGATATAACAGTTAACACTATACAGTGCCTTCCCTCCAAAAGCTCACATTGTCATGGGCAAGACCAGGAGGTAATGAGACAAACCGTAATGACTTCGCCTAAAGAAGCTAAAGAAGTTACACAGTGGGGATATCTTTTGAGCTAGGTCTTGAAGAATGAGGGAACCATCCAGCAGGCATATAAAGTGGGGAAGCACTCCTAGGATAGGAATTGGCATCAGCAAGGGCATAGTGGTGTGCAAGCACATGCCAGTGAAGACAAGAGGGGGCTTCTGTGGCTCCAACATAGCACACATGGAGGTGGAGCAGAGGTGTCACAGCAATGGGATACTGTAGAGCTTTGTTGACTATCCTGAATGCAACCAGCAGCCACCATCGCTTTTAAATGGGGAGATGTGATCAGCCTTGCATTTCAAAGCTAATATAGAAAACACCTTGCTGGTTCTGAGCCTCCAGAGCAGGAATCCTATACCCAGATTCCAAAATGATTTGTCACTTGGTATATAACTGTGGATGTCTGCCAGATGACTCATAGAAGCCGCTATCACAGACCCATCCCTCTGATATTAATTGTACTTAATCTGAACTGTGAAACTCCAATAGTGTTGAGGAACGAGAAAGAAAACATGTTTGAAACATAACTCTCTTATTTTAAAAGTTTTCAAAGAAAGTAAGAATTCTGGACAAGGAACTACAATATTCACTGTCTTTCTCTAACTGTACATTTCTTCTAAACAATTTTCTGAGATTTCTCCATTGATTAAAGTTAGGACTTCACTGTGGGAACCCTAGAGTTTTAGACAAACATAGATTACGCTTTGGATAATGCTGTGCACAGTGAGATGGAATATGCCTACTTTTGTGTATCTAAAAATGATTAAGAAGTTCTGTCCTGAATGTGAAAGCCAGAATGAAATGATACACATTAGGCACAAAGCAAAGAAGTAAAGTACCACCTGGAGAGCAAAAAATATGGGTTTTGACATGGGCATATCTGTAGGTCTATCAAAAATATGATAAGGCAGAAAAAGCTGCTTGCATTAAGATCCATGTCTCTGAATTCTCCCAGAATCCAGGCACAGTCAAGTGTGGGGAGATTGGCACTTCCCTAGGGAGGTCTTCTAGGCAGAATGAGCAGAAACGTTAATCATTAACTCCAATGCAAACCCGTGTGTTAAGAGTTCATATTTGTAAATGTTTTTTGATCCTCAGTTAAGCTGTTTCATATACCAGCACTCCCTAGGTAACTCCAAAACTTTTTCTTTTTTTTTTTTTTCAGTTGAGACCTTGAGTGGGGGAGGAGGTTGTGTTTGGGGAGAGAGTTAGAGCTTCTCTGCACCTGGGAAAATGCTAATTCCTGTTTTTAAGAAAATAGGCTAAGAAAAGGCTCAAGGGAGTCTAGGACATCAAAGAACTCTTTTAAAACAACTTTTTTTGACGATTTAAATGAAAATGAGGCAGACATATATGGATTAAATTTCCCCTTAAAGCAGCCTGAGGTTTAAAGATTAAGGGGGAAAGAGATGGAGGTAAAATGTATTGGGGGTTTATTATCAGAGTTTCAACTACCCAGACTGAGTGCATTAACCCATGATGCGTCCATGTGCACTCCCATATGTGTGCTTGCATGCAGACGTGCGCACACGTGTGCCCCACGGCCGTGAGACAGTCCCTCCGTAGCTGATGATTTATGCAGCTTGCCAGAAGAGAAGTAGGCCACGCCAGCCTTGAAAGCACTTTAGTTTGGTTGTTTTTACTCATGAAGGACATGTTGTCCTGTAATTACTCTGTCATTTCTTAAGAGGTGAAATTCTTAACAGGTTTGTGCTTTATGTGTTGCTGTGAGTGTTCTTGTCAGAGCACATCTAACCACGTTGGAATCCCCATTCCATATGGCCTTTATGGGGAACAAAGAGAAACTGGACATTTTAACATGTATTAAAGCATCTAGGAGAAAAAAAGCATGAGTCAAGGAGGACATAGATAAGGTGCAGAAAAATTGCAAACAACGTTCCTGTTACCTCTTCAGGCTTCAAAATACCTATGAAATAAATACTTCGTCATTAACTTCTTTTTTGTTCCATTTCTCTCTCTGTCAACAAACAAGTATAACATTTTGTATCTGCATGTGATAACAAAATAGGGTAGGGTAAAAATAGCTAATGTTTAACTCAAAGGAAAAAATGAAAAACATACAACTCTAACTAATGTAAATGTTAAAGTTACATTTTAATACTTAAGAGAATGTAAAAGGAGAGATGCTGGAATTGATCAAGTTAGTTATTTGTTCTGTGTACTACTGATAAATGTTCCAAGGTTAGTGAATTAAAAAAAAAGAAAAGTTTGAGAGCCTCAAATAATTAAGAATTTTACTGTTTCAAAGATCAAATGCAATAGGAATGTAATTCATTTTTTTCTATACCAAAATTAATCCGTCAGTTTGAAAAGTCTAGCACTGTGAAATGTTATAGGGCATTTCTGAGCCAAGTCAGAACGAACATTTTAGCAGGCTTATCATCAGCTTAAGAATGATGTTCTAATTTCATAAATTGTAAAAAAAAGCCTTGCCTTCTTTAAGTCCATAGGAAAGTCAGATCAATAGGTGAAATGTCTGCTTTGTATGATTAAGAAAGCGGAAGTCTAACCTCGGTGTATGATATAGGCAATTACTTTCTAGTGAGTTCTCAAGGCTAGGTCTCCTCCTGAGGTTCTTAAACTGTAATCATCAAACATAGTTACTTTTCATTTGGACCCAGCCCATAGCAACACAGCCATTTATCATTCCATCAGCTACCTGCTCTCTGCTGGGGCATTTTAGTAATCAAGCTCTCTGTCTTGTCCCCTCACCTGCACACTAGTGCTCAGAAATCTCTGTTAACTTGAACTTTTGAAAACATAACGCATAATGATCATGGAAGTCAATGCTGAGATTCAGCCAGTGCACAATGGGTTACAGCCACCGTGCTTATGTTTGGAGTCTTTTCTGATGGTGGCATCATCTTTGTTACTCAGTGCTCATGAAAAATTGATTTTTACATATTTTGAATATTATCCTTGAATGGATGCATAGTGATTGCTATCCTAAATTCTTCAGGTCAATGTCACTTCTTCTCAATTAATGCTGTCACTGACTTAGTTAAGGGTCTTGTGATAGTTTGCCAAGGCTATTGCAAAAGGCCCTGATACACCATGAGGCCAGGAGCGTTTGCCATAGGATATAGGCCGGATGAGATATGTCTAGGTAGGCAAGACTGCCCAAGCCTCTGCTGTCATGATAGATTTAGAACCTTCAAGGAAAACAAAATACACACACACAGAAAGATTCAGAGAAGACAGAAACTAAGAAGGGAGTTTTGGTTCAAGAAAGATGGGCTAATGTCAGAGGAGAGATGATTCTGAAGTTGACAGTGTGTCTACTCAGGAAGTCTCCCAGCCAATCTTGTAGCCTTTTGCCTGAGTTTCAGGACAAAGTGAATGCAGGTGAAAATCAAAAATTAATTTCACCTCGATCTTGGCAGGACTTTGGAAGTGTAGCCCTTGGCAGCATTGACTTCAGTACTTTCTCTAGCCAGAAGAGGTATCCTTAGCAGACACCTCAGTTCCATCAAAACCTTGATGTATATGCCAGTGGGTGTCCGCAGAAGCAGCATCCCCCTAGGCTCCTTGACAGTAGGTTAGCAACAAAACAGCCTGTTTGGATATTGAGAGCCATGGTCATGGGATCCATGACCATAGAAAGCCAGTGTCCTAATACATCCATTTATTGATTCCAATCAATACTGAGTTCTTACGAACTAAGAATAAGGGATTAAGAATATAGTAATATAGCAAAACAACAATACCTGCCTTTTTGACCATTAACCACAGTAAAAAATACATTTTCTATCCCAATCCAGTACACATGCATATATGTGTACATATACCACCATGTATATTGAAACAATGCTAACCCTTGCCATGCATACTCTGATGTATTCTGTATTTACAGATATTTTCTATTATGCCATATTTTATTTAAAAAGATACAATGGTCAGTCCTGCTAAATTGATTTATGTATCATTAATGGTCTGTGACCCACGGTTTGAAAAACACTTCTCTAACAGGGACTGAAGCTGTTATATCCAATGTTTATTAAGCATTTACTACAGTGCTAGGCACTGTTCTAAGTATATTACATGTATTAACTTATTTAGTCCTCATAACTTAACCATGTTCACTCAGTAAGTGGAGGAAGCAGGATTTTCCAGACAGTCTTAAAATTCTACACACTTAACCAGGGAGGAAGGAAACAGTGAATATTACAGAATAACTAAAGGGACAAGACACCTTTAAAGACTCCCAGATCTAATTAGGAAACAAATTTAGGGCAGAGTTTTCTATGAACAATCAAGAAAATGATGCCTTACGAGTGTTATATGATGCTTTTGCCTTATAACAGTGCTATGGCTGGAAAACACAGGCGACACCCCACTCCATCCCTGCTTCTTCTAGAATTGAGTTCTTTCAATGCAAATTGATCTTTTCATCCTCCGACTTCAAAATCTTCAGTGAATCTCCAGTGCTCACTTGGAAAATTCCATTCGCCTTAGCATGGAGTGTGTATTCCTTTGTGCGCCACCCCTGACTACATATTTAGCCTCAATTTTCATCACTCCCCACAGGAATCTACATTGCAACCAGGCCTCGGTATCTGCTAAGCATAAACAAGCTATGGCCTTTCCTGTTTCTGTACTTCCGTATATGTGCTTGGTCTTTGTATACGTTCTTTCCCCCGCCTAGCATTCCCTTCTCATATTCTCCACTGGTTGCTTCCTACTCACTCTTCAAGAACTTGTTGACTTTTTGGTGAAGCTTTCTTTAGCTCCCTCCCTGGCACAATTAAGTGGTATCTCTTGCTGTTTTACAGCCCCTTATATAGACCTCTATTATCTCACGTATTACCTGACATTATCATGATGGTTTGCCTAATCAATTTTCTGAAAGCAGAGCTTATGCCATATCACCTTCTTGCTACTCAAGAGGAGGACTTGGGGATTTTCTTTTAAAACACTAATAAAAAATCCACACCATAGGGGAAAAAATATTGTTTTCATGCTCCTTATTGTTCCAAGAACTACTCTAATAGCTGAGAGCCATGAGTCTAGTCACATTGGGCTGCAGCTAGAACAGGAAATGTCTATTGGAAGTAACATAGTATGCTTGGAGGCAGAAGCCAGGCCAAATTAAAGCATCTTAGAGAAGCCTGGAATTTAAACACTGGAGAGAACAATTCAATAATTGAGGGAGTATGTCACAGGGTTTTATAAAAGGGCTCAGTCTCAGTATTGAGTAATGGAATGTTGCTTAGCAATTGCCAGGATTATCCATGACATCTATTGCTCACATTTACAGAAATGGGTTAAGCAGATTACATTTCTATAAAATATAAGGATTTCTAAATATAAACACAAATGTCATAAAAGAAAGCATTAATAAATATAAATTTATAAAAATTAAAAAGTTCTCCACATTTAAAAGCATAATAAAGAGAAAACAATAGGAGGATGAGAAAATTTTTTTTAACATATTTGATGTATATCTTTAATATACAAAGAGCCTTTACAAATCAATAAGACAATATAATCCTCCCAACAGGAAAATATAGAAAAACAATTTACAAATAATAAATAAATACACACATATTCTGTGTCAGTCAGAGTTTAACCACTGAAGAATAACCAGTATGAGATACATATTAAGATATTGACTGTGGGGACTTGGCTTACATGATTGTATGTCTGAAATCCATCACGTGGGTCCTCAGGAAAGGTAGACTGAAGCTGTCCATAGGTGAAGTTTCCTCTTCAGGAAACAGCTATGCTCTTAAGTCCTCTTAATGATTGAATCAGGCCCACCTAGATTACCTCAAATAATCTCCCTTCCTTAAAGGCAACTGATTATGGACTTTAATCACTTCTCAAAATATCTTCACAGCAACATCACAGTTTAATGTGTCAAGTTAATACAACAAAAATCGTACTGTCTATCCCTTGAAAACTTGACAGTTATACACATTTTCCTAAACCATATTTAATCTCCAAGCAGAAAAAAAAGTCATATATTTCTACCTAACCTGAAACAATTATCTTTCATATAACTGAAAACACAGTAACCTTTTCACCAGAAAAGGATGCAAAGTTTTTTGGGAGTTGTTCCTTCTTTTTTTATATCCAGTAACTTAAATAATGTGATATAAAGTTAACTATTATTAATACATCTTATATTAAATGATGGGGGATAAGAAAAAAAGAAATCAAAATGTCATTTACATATATATATACACACACACACACACAAATACATACACACACTCATATGCCCACATACAAACATATTCATAACAAAATAAGGAAGAAATACTTACAACATTTACAGTCATTGTTTCTGCAATTGGTCACACACTTGTAGCTGATATTTGTAACTGCCTTCTCCCACTAGGCACTCCGTATTCCCTTTTCCTTCAGCAGCACCTCTGATGGTCATGGTTGTTTGCCTGGTGGAGTGATCCAAACCTTCCTTTCTGAAGAGTCTGGGCCACTCTCAGGTTTGTTATAGTTTTCCATTGGCTTTAATCACAGGACATGGGAGTACTAGGAGATGCCAACCTAAGGGCCTCCTGCATTCTAAACATAGTGTCCGTTACCTCCATTGTGGAGTAGCAGTTTAATTTCCCCTTGATGATTAGGACTGATAATCCCAGCCAGTACAGTAACTCTCTTCTTTGCCTGTGAACTCAGAGACATGAGGAGCTTACAATGGTCAGGTAATAGCTTCAATTTCCAGATCAATGGAATCATTGTGATGTCTTCTGGTAGAAGCACTCCTAACTTTGGAACTAAGACTTCTAGATCAACAATGCAAAAGTTCAGGGGGATGGCAAGCAAAACTCCTGATAGTGGCTTCCCAGGAGTAAGAGTGAGTGGAGTCATTTTCATCCCTTGATTTTCTCGTTTTCACCCCTTGATTCCTGGACCCATGAATCCTGGCTATGGGAGAAGCAGCACCATACACTAGATGCAGATTTACAGCACATACAGCCTCCTGGAGGAAAGTACTTCAGTCCTGGAAGGTGTCGCCATGTAGTTGGTGCTGTCTCTGAATTTCCAAAAGGCCATTCCAATATTCTATGAAGCAGCTACTTCAGGATGCTGAGGAACATGGTAAGATCAGTGAATTTCATGAACGTGGACCCATTACTGCACTTTATTTGCATGAAGTAAATTTCTTAATCAGAAGCAATGCTAGATGGAATACTGTGATGGCAAAAAAGGCATTCTGTATGTCCACTGATGGTAGTTTTGGCAGAAACACTGTATGCAGGGAAGGAAAATCCACACCCAGAGTAAGTGTCCATTCCAGTAAGAACAAAGCATTGCCTCTTCCATGATAAACGCAATCCAATGCTGTCATACCACTACATTGCTGGCTGATCACTGCTGGGAATGGTGCTGTATCAGGGACTCGGTATTGGTTTGTTTTCCAGCAGACTGGGCACTCAGCAGTGGCTGTAGTCAGTCCAGTCTTGGTGAGTGGAAGTCCATGTTACTGAGCACTTTCATAACCTCCATCTCTGCCACCATGGCCACTTTGCCCATGAGCGCATTCCGTAATGACAGTACTGGCCGGGGAAAGAAGCTGACTGGTATCCAGAGAACAGACCGTCCTGTCCACTTGATTATCAAAATCCTCCTATGCTGAGGTCACCCTTTGATTAGCATTCATATGGGACACAGATATCTTTACACTCTTTGCCATCAAAAAGGTTTTTCCACATACCTCTTTCCCAAACCTCTTTGTTACCAATTTTATAATCATTTTGTTTCCAAACCATTGGCCACAGATCATATATCTGTATAGACTCTTACCTCTGGTTATTTCCTTTGCCAGTGTGTCTCCAGGTGCTGTGTTTGAAGTTCTGCCCACTGGGAGAAATTTCCTTCACTGCCGTCTTTCAAGGATGTCCAGAAAGGGGCTGCACTGCTGTTGCTGTCCACTTTTGAATGGTGCCTGAATATTGTGCAGAAACATCTGTAAATCAGGCCCAAGTTTTATCTTCCTCAGTCAACTAGTTGCGTGTGTGTGTGTGTGTGTGCGCGTGCGCGCGTGCACATGCACTTGGGGGAAGGTGTATATATTTGTGTGTGTGTGTGTGTGTGTATAAATATATATATATATATGTCTATATCTACTCATCCTCATTTAAAATAAGTTAGTATACAACAACAAAAAAAATAAGTTTAAGCAGTTATGCTGCATCTTTCCAGGCAGCTAAGGTTAGCATGCATATAAAAACTGTGTATTCAAATTCTTTAAGTCTCATAAAGTGCAATAGTATGTACAGTATTATTTCTCGGTAAGCTTAACACAGTCAATTTTTTCTCTTCCACTAGAATAGATCATTTCTTTGGTTGCTCATCAGATAATTAGCTTGCCAGGAAAGGAGCTAAGACCATGTTACAAGATTTACATATAGATATCTAAACACCACAGAAACAACAGCAAAGCAAGTTACTCACCAAATGACAGCCAAGAGGGAACTAAGACCTTTAGATAGAAGAGTAAATGTCTACCCCTCTCATCTCATGAGCTAAATAAATAAACAAGCCAATCAGCCAACCAACCCAGAGTAAGGATTATTTTCAAAGTCAATACAAAACTCTATTTCAACACTAATAACTGTTTATTAACACTTACTGTCTTTCAAAAACATGATAGGTTTTGGGGATATAAAGATGAACATATCTTGTCATTGAAAATATTCTATATCAAAGATAAAACACATGTCTTTGACCTTAAGAAGTTTGCATTCTGAAAGATATGAAGAATAATTACTAACAAAGTGCACTGAAACCTATGTAAGCATAACAATCTATACATAAAAACATAAGTATTTATATATTTATGATGAAATAGGAGCATTACTTACATCTTGCTGATAGTATAGCTTAGAATAATAGCATAGTAACAGTTACTAAAAATATATAGTGTTTATTTTATGCCAAACAATGAAATACATGCTTTTTCTCAAATGCATTAGCCATTTAATTGTTCCAGAAAAACCTACATTTATTATTATCACCATTAAGCAGATGAGACGATTGTGAATAAAAGAGATCACTTAACCAATGTCCCCATACTACTATAAAGTAGAGGTGGATTTCTGGTTTGAGTCTAAATCTTATGCTTTTATCCATTAAGCGAAGCTTCTTACAGTGAAATAGCAAATAAACAATTCAGTCCCTCATCAGTAAGAACTTTATGAGGTGATCCCTTTGCCTTAGTTATACATTCACAACTAACATGGTGTAAACAGTAAAAAATGCTGGGTTCAAGGTCTGGCTTCGCTAATGTCTGGTTGTGTGACCTTAGCAAAGTCATTTAACCTTGCCAATGCTCTACACCTTATCTATAAATGTGTTAAATAGTAAATAGCTTATATCATTGGCAAGTCTTAGACATTAAGTGTTTTGTAAATTGAAAAGGTGAATCTAAAGGTAAAATGTTATCAACTTTGTTTGCAATGTTGCAAGAGGCTAAATGAAAATTAGAAAATAATGAGCAACAATTTTGAAAATTCCTTATATCAGTATTTTATCCTGGAATTAATATCATCTCCATGATAAAATATAAAATCAAAAGAAACCAACTAAGAAAATCAATAATTCCTGAAAGAATTTGATGAGGGAGTTAAAAAGATCTCTATTTGAAAGGCAAGTGAGTGAACACCTATACCGACCAGTTGAATGATGTTAGCTAAGTCATTTACTCTCTAGGCTTCAATTTCCTCATTTACCAAGCTATAGGTTTGGGCTAAATAATCTCTAAATGCCCTTGCAAGTCTAACAGTTTATCATAGGAGACCCTCAGGATCCTCTGGCTGGGACCACTGTCCTCTACTTTGTTCTGACCAGTTTAGAGAATTAGAAATATCTTCCACCCAGTTGATCAAGTTGCATTTCAACCAAAGAAACTCTAAAGATAGTGGGCCTTTGGTCTGCTTTTCTGAATTGAATTAACAGTTTTGTAAAATGTATCTTTCATTGACTTCAATACCAACCCCTTAATCCCTGGAAATTAAACGAGGGAGTTTGAGTTTGAATTTCCCTGGTGTTATTGGTGTATGGAAAATCTTGTTACTTAAATCTCACTTTTGTGTGTTACATTGTAATTTTTAAGAGATCATCATAGCAATCTCCTATTTCTGTTAACTCTGAAAATCCAAATGGGTTTACTTCTTAAATTGCTAATAACCTTACCCAGCCAGACAAATTATCAAGTATACGGACTACAGTTGAACACGAACTCTTTATTTGATGAAGGCAAGGAAAATACTAAGATTTCCATTTTGAGAATAAAACTGCCAGGGTGAATTACTTGAAATGCAGTTCGACATGATGAAATGCCATAAATTATACTGAACATTTCTTTATGTAGATATTCAGCTCTGTATGCTTTTATTGATAAAGCCGCAACTCCCCCCACCACACAACACTTTTTTTTATGAGGACTAACAATTACATTACCCTGAAAAGGAACTTGACTCCTTTATCTGACTACCGGACCTTTACAGACAACTTATTGTCTTATACTAATTTTGGCAGAAAAAAACATATATCTCTGCTGAGAAGCTCTGCCTTGTACCTTGTGTCCTTTTGGTCTTTGTAGCAAGAGAAGAAGTCATTTTACTCGTTAAAAGCAGGAGCCAAGGTGGAAAGTATTCTCAGATACAACGTAACAAATGTACTGCTGCATAAAGATGCTTTTTCAAACAAAAGTCTGGCAGAGCTCAGGAATCAGAACAGAAGGTAATACAGAGTTCTACCAGGCTGTACTCGAAGCTCTCGAAGTGTGCTGGATGATTCCCCACACACTTTTCCCCAACTGGGCATGCGTTTTGGCAGTGAGTCTTCCGTTTAGGTTCTGCCATTTGATTTTCAGGGAATTGCTACAGTATACAAAAGTTAAAAAAAAAATCAAGGTTTTAAAGTTCCATATGTTTGAGCAAAGTCTTCAGTAGTGACCAGCTGTATTCCAAAGAAACCTGTTTGAAAGTTTGGACAAAACCTCTGCCGAGTTGGGGAGGAAAAGGCCTCGTTCCCTTTGCATTAGTCACTCCATAAAAGATTAATCCTAATGAGCTACTTTCTACAGGCAGGCACACCCAGGCTTTGTATTACATACCTACGATTTCTCAGTATTTAGGCCAAAATGTGTACACTCAGATGCTGATAGATATCGTCTTTCCAGAAACCATTAACCACGGTATTAACTGTAATAACTTAGTGAGTTTAAGGAATGAGGCCAAGCAGGGGGGGAGTCGCCGGGGAAAGAGTTCTTCAAAGCAGTGCAAAAAAACACACTGACGGAACTTAACATTTCTAAAAACAGAGCAAGAAGAAAACCCAGCCCACTATTTTTTCATTTCATCTGTTCTACCCTGCCATCCGTTCCTCTGCTAGATCAGTTTTCAGCAGGTAGTGCTGCTGGCTTAATTGATTTCATCAGTTAATGGCAGCCACTCTGATGGAGGTTAATGCTTTTTATCAGCAGTTCACTACTTTTGCACTATGACACAACTCCACTGTAGCCCGGTCCCAGGGAGCTGGCGGAGATGCCTGTTGCTCTGAATACGTTTCTAGGAGTTAAGGGTTTATACCTAACCAACTTTATTCTAATGCAGTTCTAAAATTAAATTTCCTTTATATTCCATGACTGTTTTGCCTTATGAAAAAGGGCTTTTTAATTTTATTTTTCTCACCTGTTGCTTGAAACTTTAGTGACTATTGAGACCAAGAAGACAAAGAGGCAAAGCAACTGGAAGAGATATACAAATGGAGATAAGGAGGGCATGCGAAGCAGGGTGAAGTCTGAATCCAGTCAGTGGTAGCAGTCAGTTTGAATTTAAACTCAACCATTGACTGAGCTGTATATACGGCCATATGCACAGCACAGTGCTAGGTGATGTCCCTTTAGCAAGCAGATCAATGACCCTCACCTTTAAAGACTTAAATTTTAGTGAGAAACAGATCAATAAATATTTGCTAACATTATTTTTGTAATTTTTTTGGTGACAAACTCTGACACAAAGTAAAGCACTTTATAGGCTGTATCACTTATAATCCTCACTACATCATATTATTAAGTAAGTATTATTCCCACTTTGTAAATAAGGAATGTTAGGCTCAGAAGACATAACTGCCCAAGCCAATAGATGGGCATTCGGGGGATCAAACCTAGATTTTTCTAAACTTAGGAATCATGTTCTTTAGGATTATGACATGGCGATTCACCAAGGATACAGTAAAAAATACTATGAGCCTATTGGAATAAAGCCTAAAACAGAGGTAAGAAGAAGTTCTTTGGGATAACAAAATAAGGAAAAATTAATTTTAGCTAGTTTAATTAGGAAGTTGTAGATCCTTGGCTGTTTCAATGCCTTCAAGATGTTACTAAGAGTTTTGAATGTCAGTTTAAGGTATATGAGTGTTATTTTCAGGAAGTGAGGTGCAGTCCCATCTTTCTAATTCAAGATGTAACATGCAAGCAGAAAGGAGGCTTTGAGATGAGGGCCTGCATTTCACGATAGTCTGTGCTGCCCAGTGCAGTAGCTGCTAGCCCACTTGTAGCTACCAAGCACTTAAAATGTGGCTAGGGAGACTGAGAAACTAACTTTTTAATTTAACTTAAATTACTTTAAATTTAAATTTTAAAATTGACCCTCAATTCAGCTTTTGGAAACTGTTTTTGTACATTTGAAATAACTTAGGTATGTGCATCTAATTTTTCAACTGTAAATTTTATAAAATCTAAACACAGATCAAGCACTTTTAATGAACGCTTAACTGAGATATTCTGTAAGTGTAAATAAAGTACATTCTAAATTTTGAAGACTTAGAAAATATGAATGCAAAATATCTTAATAACATTTCATATTATTTTGGATGTGTTGGAGTAAATACACTGTATTATTAGTTTCACCTAGCTCTGTTAATTTATTTTTAAATGTAGCTACTAGAAAATTTTAAATGACGCATATGGCTCATATCATATCTCTAGTGGACAAAGCTGGCTTAGTCTAAGGGCAAAGACTTTACTACTAGGCAGAAATTGGAGAAATCAGTAAAATCTGGACAAAAGCCTCAGGCTCTGTGAACTTAATATCAAGGGCATTTTGCTTTGGAGGAAGCAATAGAGCAATAGATGTGTACCTGTACCTGAGGTGAACAGCCTGTATAATCAAAGAACAGGACCAACAGAATGAGGCACTAGGCCCACATGAAGCTAAGGTAGTCATACAATTCTAGGACTTGAAACAAGCAGCAGATGTCACTTGTATGCACACAGCCTTCCTTTCTCCATGAGAAGATAAACACCAAACAATCAGCAACTGGTATGTACTTTTCAGTCACATATTTGTCTACATCTGTTCTGAGCCTATTTCAATAGTCTCTCAAATTTCAATTTGCCTTCACTTTGGAAGGAATGCAATATACCTTTACCTGGTTTCTTAGGTACCCTCCTTTGTTGGTGTCAGAAAGATTAAACCATGCAAGCCCTGGATCATGAAGGGAAACTTCACTTTCACCTCTAACTACCTAACCATCATAAACCCAAGACAGTCTCCATTCTCTGCTCTCCCAACCATTTTCAGACCTGCTTGGGAATCTGTTCTCCCCAGGAATCTTCAATCCATGATTAATAAAAATGTTCATACTCTCTTGGTATGTGTGTATGGTACCATCAGTCATGATATCTGAACAAAGTTTCACGTGGGGAGCCCATTCATTGCTGTGGGGTGATTACAACAACATATAATTCTAGTTGACAGCTATGTGGCTTCAACTTACTGAAGGTACTATTCCACTCTCTTGACTTTTATTGTTGCTACGATAATTCTGCTGTCTGCAGTCAGTATAATATTATTCTTTCAAATGATTTTTCCTTCTTTCTGGCGCTTTAAAGAAACTTGTTTTTTATGTTGGTGTTCTGAAGTTTCATTATGATATGTCTAGGTGTGGATTCAATTGTACTTATCATGTTGAGGCTACTTTTACTATTTGAATCTGATGATTCATGTTCATATCAGTTTTGGAACAATTTCTCAATTACCATTTTAATTGTGTATTCTCCATTTTCTCTGTTCTCTTCTTCTGGATTCCTTTGAAATAGTTCTCTTACATGTTATCCTTTTCTTTATCATTCTGTGCTACATTATAGGGGTAATTTTTAGAGATCCATCTTCCTGTTTCCTAATTCTTCCTTTAGCTAGATTTCATATGTACTTTAAAAAGATTGTTGGCCAGGCTCACACCTGTAATCCCAGCACTTTGGGAGGCTGAGGCGGGCGGATCACGAGGTTGGGAGATCCAGACCATCCTGGCTAACACAGTGAAACCCCATCTCTACTAAAATTACAAAAAATTAGTCAGGCCTTGTGTCATGCACCTGTAGTCCCAGCTATTCGGGAGGCTGTGGCAGGAGAATGGCGTAAACCTGGGAGGCAGAGCTTGCAGTGAGCCGAGATTGAACCACTGGACTCCAACCTGGGTGACAGAGAGAGACTCCATCTCAAAAAAAAAAAAAAAAGATTGTTAGTTTTATATTTTCAATGATTATTTAAAATTTTTATTTTCTCTATTTCAATAGCTGACTAGTCTTTTTATACTACCTTTAAAAATCATTCTCTCATTGCCTTTAAAGGTATTTAATACTTTAAAACATAATTATTTTATAGTATCTAGACTTCTTATGTGAGGGTAGGATGCGCATAATCCCATTTCCTGTGTGTGATGACTCTTGTTTACAGAGAATTCTTTTCTTTTTTTTCTGAGACAGAGTTTTGCTCTTGTTGCCCAGGCTGGAGTGCAATGGTGCGATCTTGGCTTACCGCAACCTCCGCCCCCTGGGTTCAAGTGATTCTCCTGCCTCAGTCTCCCGAGTAGCTGGGATTACAGGCATGCACCACCACGCCCGGCTAATTTTGTATTTTTAGTAGAGACGGGGTTTTTCCATGTAGGTCAGGCTGGTCTCGAACTCCTGACCTCAGGTGATCTGCCAGCCTCGGCCTCTCAAAGTGTTGGGATTACAGGCGTGAGCCACCGCGCCCTGCACAGAGAATTGTTTTCTAGTGTGTTCTGTAAATTCTGAATTATTAGCTCATTTTGAATAGAGATTTATCTGTGAGAATCATATTCAGCTTGTTGAGGATATATCCCTTCATAAATGTTTTGTGTTTGCTCCTACAAAGCATTCCAGTTTGGGACAAAGACATGTAAGTATCCATGTTTAAAGGGATCCTTGCTTACATTGATAGTATAATTTTGAAAGCACATTGGCCTAAGGGAAAGTAAGAGGTTATAAACTCTTAAGTATGTAGTTCCCCCTTCCTCTTAGAGCTTATGTTTATTTTTTTAAACCATCTTTATTGTTTTCCCATACAAGTGGGAAGGGTTTTGAATTTATGCTGTCCAGCTCCAGACTTATAAATGGGGTCTGAGTAACACCTCTCTCCCTCCTTGGGGCTCCCTCCTTCGGCCTTGCCTCTTACTCCTTGGCTGCTGAGAATTGTGGCTCTTTCTTACCAGCACTAAAGCATCAGCTGCAGCCCACTGTCCTGCTAATGTTTCCTGTTCATTTTTGAAATTTTTTTTTCTGACTTTCATGTTAGCTGGCCCATGCCATGCATTTAAAAAGATGTATGGTATTATAATATTTTTTAATTTCTAGGTATTTCATAGCTGGGACAGATGTCAAGTTATCTTAGTACATCATTGGTAGAAACAGAAATCCTCAGAAAAGCTTTTCCTCCCTTTTGTTCCATAGCATGTATCTAGTGTGCTTTGAAAGTGAAAAATACTAGAATGTGGAACAAGTCAAATTTTACAAGTTCTTGGATGCATTTGGAGTAAATAAAGGAGTGGTACCTTTACACACTAACTTAGACCCTTTATGCTACAAAACAAATTTCTCTGATGCAAGTTGGAGAGTAGTTGTGTTGTGTTGCTATATGTGCATACTTATTCATAAATGCATATTTATTTGTGTGCATAAATGGATACATATATAGACATTGATATTTCACTTTGGAAATTACTGCTTGTCAGCGCCTACTTCTGTATTACCCAGCTGTGTTTCTTAATTACTTCTCCTGAGGGGTGACACTCACCATGGTTCCCAAATAGCCTGTATTCAGATCAGGCAATATGTGTTTCTCTCGCAGCCCCAGTGCACTGAAATCTGATCACTCCTGCCCTAACCATTGTTCTCCAAGGTTTGGGTGCTACTCTTCAGACCAAGAACCATTGCCCTTAAAACGACCATTGAGCTACTGAGTTACTGCTTTTCTTCATGTGCCCGAGTTCCTAGACTGAGTTCTTTGTGTTTGCCCACTGTCTTGAAATCCCTATTCTGAGAGATCCTAGCCCTAAATCTGAAATCTGTTCCACTTTGTTCTTGCCAGTGTCTCTTTCTGGGACAGAGCACCTGCCACCAGTTGGTGATAACATGATGGAGGTACTCCAACCATGGTCAAACCTCTTAAAGAAATCTCCCAAGTATAACTTGCTTGGATTCTGCATGCACATGTGTTGCCCATTGACCTGGGGCCCTGAGACTTCCTCTTGGAAAACCTGGTACATAATATTTTCTAATTTGTACTAGTCAAGTTCTTTGGACACCATGCCTTGCATAGCTTTTCTGTGTTTATGAGAGTTACCATTAATGATTACAACCAAGTTCCCAGGTAAGTAATTATCAACTATTTGTATAAGGTGAATATAAATATTAATCTTTAGGAGTGGTCAAATATGTGCTTATATTTACATGTATATATTACATATACATACACACCCACACCCACATACACACACACACTCATATATATGCTCTTCATTTTACAAACAAAACACCCAATAGAAGATGGGTTGTCAAAATATTCAGCCAGGCTAATAGTTTTGATATTTATTTGCAAACTTCACTTAGCTATTCATTCTTAAAATAGAGATAAGACTTTCATTCTCTTTAGATTTTTATTTTTACAATAATTCAATACAACAGTTTTTCCATGATTATTCTTAATATGAGCATTTAATTCCTATTTTCTCATCAATAACTTAAAGTAACTATGGAAACTCTATAATAAAAGTTGACCACTTAAAATGTACAGCCTCAAAAAGTAGATATTCTCAATATTTTAATAATAGGGCAAAATACTTATTTCAGTCTCCTATGAATATGGTAAAAGGTGAGGGAAAAAAAAAAAAAAAACCCATGAAGTTAGTAGGTGAGGGAATAGGACAGACTGGAATAAGAACATGGTGCCAACAAGGGTATTAAAGAGAATGAGGGATGCGTCGTGAGAGAGCAGGGGGCTGAGGAGAAAATTGGTAGGAAGGAAGAAGGAGCTATTCAAAGAAGGGGAAGACAGGTCCTGCAAAGAAAGGCTAAAAAGGTTTGGGAAACATTTTCAATTACCCAGACAAAGGATCTGGGCGAACGCTTCTAAAACGGTAGAAAAGAACAAAGTCCCAGTAGCAGAGAATGAGGGTCCTTTTTGGGGGTGGGAGAGTTCAGAGGTAGAATTTGGTGGAGTTCTTCTGGCAGACATTTATTCAACTGGATCTTGTAAAATTTATTTCTGGAATTTAGAATTGGAAAGTTGGATGTAACAGAATATTTAAGTAAAAAAAAACTATGTAAAATATACCAATTGCAAAAATATGAAGTCAAGTCTTATATAATTTTTAAAACATTAATCTTATTTTTCCTCAGGAAATGATTATAATTCCATCCATAACCATAAGAGTGATTAATTTGAAAGTTAAAAAACCTTCACATGCTCAAATTATTCTTAATACTATGGAGATAGAATGTGTTTTGTGGGAGTCAGAAATAAAAAAAAAGTATATAAAAGAATGCCATCAAGTGGGAAACCAGCCGAGGCCTGTTTCTTAAGAAGTCTTAGTATCTACTAAGCAGCCCACATAAAAGGAACATGTATCTTAACGTATCTGTCATATTCAAACATATTAGTCATATTCAATGCATTTTAAAATATCACCATGTATTTTATAAATGTAATTCAGAAAAACTTTGCTAATTTTCACTTCCCTAATCTGCAAACCCCCAATTCTCACAAAGAACCCTGCAGTCTCACTTCACTTCTCAGCAAAGATTTAATAGCTGAGAGCTCTATCGTGTTCTCCTATTACTAAGACTTCATTACTTTTACATGCCACACTACAGGACACTTACTAATATACTATTAAGTATTATCATAAATAATTAAAATGCAACTACACTTGACAAAATGAAAGAACAAAGTGTATTCTGTGTTGCAGTCAACTTGTGTGTATGTTGGCTGGAGTGAGCTGAGCACATATTTTAAAAATAGAAAATCAATTACTAAGAGCGACCTCAGTCGCTCTTAGCAATGGGCCTACCTCTCATTAGTGTGAGTTAGTGAGGTCTTTTTCCGGCTCCTACCTGCCAGTTAAATCATATAGTCATTATATCATTATCACTGTTAAATTAAAAAAAAATAAGTACCAGTAGAATTTTGTCTTTGTGCCAGCCTTTTTCACATAGCCATGCCTTTCATTCCTAGTTGATTTGGTATATCCAGCACTTTTTATGCTCCCTTGCTTGCCTCACACATCCTGAGGTAAGAATTTACTATCTTATTAATTGGTCAACATATATTTGGAAGCACATACCATGTGGTCAGCATATATGAACAGTGTTCAGGATATATAAGTGTAATAGCCTTTGTCTTCAAGGAGTTTACAATATAATTTGGGTAACAAGATCAGCATAGAAGAAAAAAAAAGTCCAGGTGTGGTAGCTCATGCCTGTAACCCCAGCACTTTGGGAGGTTGAGGTGGGTGGACCACTTGAGGTCAGGAGTTTGAGACCAGCCTGACCAACATGGTGAAACCCTATCTCTACTCAAAATACAAAAATTAGCCAGGTGTGGTGGTGCATGCCTATAGTCCCAGCTACTCGGGAGGCTGAGGCAGGAGAATAGCTTGAAAGCTTGAACCTGGGAGGCGGAGGTTGCAGTGAGCTGAGATCGCGCCAATTGCACTCCACCCTAGGCGACAGAGTGAGAGTTTGTCTAAAGAAAAAAAAAAAGAAAGAGGTACCAAGTGACCAGTATTAGAATACATATAATTATGTTTTAGATTGTGTGGTCTTTACTCCTGGGGCAACATGTCAGATGACACTGAATCCAGAAAAACTTCCTAGATGCCATGCACCTGGGTTAAGTGTCAGTCATAGGTGCTCTGCTGGCATCCTGCATTTACTCTGTAAAAAGTTGTTCATTTTTATGTAGCTGTAATGGGATTCATGTCGTGTAATGTAATATTTCTCACTAGACCATATGCATCTTGAGGACAAAGACTGACTTTAGTTCTCAGCACCAACCCACTGCCATGGAACGCCAGGCACAGAAAGTGATAAGGAGTGTGCAGCAGCATGAGACTGGAGAGTAGGTGAGGCTGGACCACACTGGCCTCACCTGTGGCCCTGCTGCAGAGTTTGGCCTTCAGCCCCACAGCAATGGAAAGCTGGTGAAGGCTTTCAAGCAGGCAAAATGACAAGAGCAGATTGGAGTTTTGAAAAAAAGCCCTCCATCCACAGTGTGTTGAAGAACAGAGCAAAAGTGAATGCAGGAAGCTCAGATCATTTGAAATAAACATTTAGTTAAGTAAGGAGGGGTGGCCAAAATTAACATGTGTTTGTGGTGTGATTTACTCAAATGTGGGTAATAGCCAGGCTTTCTTGGCCAGTGGCATGGAAGTGTGGTTATTGCTCTGTTGTTATGAATCAGCTCATTATTTCTGAAGGTAAATAGCTTAAATTACATTACTATCACTTTTGATAATCTTTGATAGTCTATAGTATGTGCTGTGTTCGAAGTTGGGTATAGACATAGAAGCAAATTAAAAGTAGTACAAAAATAATACTCAAAAAGTTTCACTTACTCTGTTAGTAGGTGGCTTTGCTAAGATATTCCAAATGGAACATTTTGTTTTCTAAATCTATTATTAGTTGCTAATCTTGCTAGGTGTGTGGTCCAGATTGCTGGATTTTTAATACCTATTTGTCATCCTCCTTTGCCAAAGAATATGAAATTGTCCAGTCAGTGTTTAAGGAAATGAAATTAGTGTGAACCTTTAGGATTCTCCTGGTAAACTGGTATCACTTTGGTTTCTAGAAGATGTGGATCTGGACTTGGAGTAGTGTAGGGGGTAGCACAAAGTTTTTTGGGTTGCAGGTAACTCCCTCGATACTAGCAGGAACAACAGGTTTCTTATTACGTTACTCTCTGTGCCTTAAGCCTTTCAGTGGCTCTCCATTGCTCTTTGGATCACTTCCAATAGCTTTAATAGGGTCTGCCAAGCCCTGCGTGGACTGGCTGCCTCCTACCCACACTCCAGCTTCAGTTCGCACCTTCTCCCCAGGGGTTTAGGTGCACAGGACTTCTTTAATATCCTTAAATGTGCCCATCTTCCTTTGACAAGGGACATTTTGACTTCTTTCTGCACTCTCCCTGATATGCTTCTGACCCCATTCTCATCCTCCCCTCCAACTTTGCTTAGTTGATTCCTACAGTTAAAAAACAAATCTTAGTTCAATAAATACGTTTCTCAGGCACACCTCTGAGATGCCGCCACCAATCTCTACCCCAGACTGGGTAAAACTGACTTATTTTATGCTCACATGGCATTATATAATTATCCTTCACAGCACTTAATACTTGTACTTTTAATTAATTATTTTACATCATTATTTGATTGATGCCTCTCCCTCATCAAACTGTGAGCTCTGTGGGAAGAGCAAGCATGTCTGTTTCTGTGCAACATATATCCCTAGTGGTTAGCACAAGATCTGACTCGTAGTAGGTGCTTGATAAACATTTTTGAATAAAGAAGTGAATGAATATGTAACTCTAATAATACGTTTCTTAATTTTTCCCCCTCTGTGGTCTCATAATCATTTGCTGGAAATTGTGTTTTTGTCTGTATTTCACTTTGAATTATCTAAACTCTCTAGGTGCAATTGTACATCCTCCTATCGCCTTACCTAGTATAGGAGGTGGGAGAATGGTAGCCACTAAGACAGAGGCTCAATTCTAGAAAGTCCTGTATAAACTCACTAGGGGAAACATTTCAGCTTCCCAACATGCTCTCTTGCCGCTGAGAAGAGATAATAAAACAAAAATTGCAAAAGGGCCAAGAGGCCCTAAAGAGACCTCGTATGTACTAGACCTCTTGGCTCATTCTCTGCCATTTAAAAGGAGGTACTCTGGACATTGTGAGCCTCTATTTTACTTTTCTAATAAAAAGGTGAGATTTAAAGGGAAGTAGATTCAAGTAAAAATAGAAACCACTAAAAATCATGGAAAATAAAGACTTCATAAATTCACTTAAAAGTTCATCTTTCAGGCATTTCTAGAAACATAAATAGGGTGGAAGTTCATTCATCTTTCAGAGAAGCACAATTTGTTTCTCGCCTCTCTTGTAGTACATATGTGAGAATCTTATCCTCATAAAAATTGCTTTAGGGTAAATATAACCTTCGTCTAATTTTTTATTCCTCTTAAATTCATTCTTACTGTTCTTTGCAGAAAGTGGTCACTGTGGTGGTAGAGACAGAAAGATTTGGGGCAGCTGGGAAATGAAGAAAAGCAGCAGGTAATTATGAAGTAGGGGCAGTTTAAGTCCTGACTTGTCCCACTATTCGTTCTGTGGGCCAGAGATCCTCCAGTTCCTCTGGCTTCTGGTTGTCACAGGCACAGCCTTGGAAGCGGTGACCGTGGGGTCCCAGGGAGAGTGGAGAGGGACTGATTCCAGCAGCATCAGCTGTAGGAATGCAAACATGCTCTCTGGGGTTGAAGCAGCAAAGCTGGCCAGGAGCCTTCTGGGAGACTTGTTTTTAGTCCTCTTTAAAGTTGTAATAAAATGGTAGAAAGTAGTTTTGAAGCCTCCTTTGAGCAATGTTATTGTCTGTTCCCTTTGCCACAGCAGGGTAAAGTTGATAAACTGCTAAATAATCAACCTTTGTATATTTCATTAGAAAACTTTAAAATTTTAAATACTCACTTTATGGCCCTGATAAAGCATGACAGATACCCATTGCTGTCCTCATTGCACTCCTGTAGTGGGTGGATTAGAGATGCCTGCTTTAACGGCACGCTAAGGGGCTGTCACTGGCCTGGATTAGACCCCCAGTTCATGACTCACTGATTGGAGAGAGTAACTACTCCTGGGAAGCAACAATTTCACATATTTCAGGGAAGAGGCTGGGCCCAAGGTAGAAGTGAAATCTAGTCTCTTGGGGTTGGTTGGGGGATATAAATAATATTTATTGGGAAAGAACCACACACATAAACGTAGATCCCAGACTGGGATAGGAGGAACCTAAGAACATAATTATTAACACTTTGGAATAGTCACGTTTGTTTGAATATGGGGATTGGGTCTTATTCATTTTTGTATCCTTACTGTTTTGTGCAGTGCTTGGCACATATTAGGTGCTTAATAAATGCATCTAATATGCATTATGTTTGATGAATACATAAATGAATGAAAAGACAAACTGAGTAAACCTCAAATAGAATTGTCCTCTATATTAGTTTCCCAGGATTTCTATAATGAAGTAGCACACATTGTGTGTCTTAAACAACAGAAATGTATTGTCTCATGGTTCTGGAGGCTGAAAATCTGAGCTCAAGGTGTCAGCAGGGTCATATTCCCTTGAAGGTGCTAGGGAGGGATTTGTTCCAGTACACTCTCCTAGCAGTTTAACACTAATCTTCACATGATGTTCTCTTTGTGTGCATGCCAATCTCCACCGGCACCAGCCACATTGGATTAGGGGCCCACCTTATTCCAGCATGACCTCATCTTAACTAATTACATATGCAATGACTCTACTTTCAAAATAAAGTCACATTCTCAGGAACTGGAGGTTAAGACTTCAACATATGAATTTTAGGTGAACACAGTTCAGCCCCTAACACCCTCTTGACTGCACTATGAATACAGTTAGAAGTTTAAACTGGCTGGATGCGGTGGCTCACACCTGTAATCCCAGCACTTTGGGAGGCCAAGGCAAGTGGATCACCTGAGGTCAGGAGTTCAAGATCAGCCTGACCAACATGGTGAAACCGTCTTTACTAAAAATACAAAATCGGCCGGGCATGGTGGCACATGCCTGTAATCCCAGCTACTCAGGAGGCCGAGGCAGGAGAATTGCTCGAACCCAGGAGTGAAGTTTGCAGTGAGCCGAGATCATGCCATTGCACTTCAGCCTAGGCAACAAGAGCAAAACTCTGTCTCAAAAAAAAAAAAAAAAAAGAAAAGAGAAAAAAAAAACCAAGAAATTGAAATTGATTATAAAAATATTCAAAGGGCATTCATTTGTTAGGTACTTTTCTGGATGTCAAGAGATACAGGTTCTGGACTCAGCTTAGTTATTAAAAACTGTGTGAACACAAACAAGAATTTCATTTGGATTAACAAGGGGGCTGGGATATAAGGTCTTTAAGGTACTTTTTAGCTCAAAAGTTCTATAATGTTCTTAGCTATCCATCTGAAATACACTTCTTATATGTGTTTTTCTTAGTGTTCCTTGCCTGTTGCTGCACATTTAGATTAGACTTTCAGAATTCTACAGCAATTGAGTCCAGCAATATTTCTTTAAAGAGTTTAAGAGCTTGGCCCTCCTGCTTCAAAGAGGCCAATGTTCTGAATTCATGAGGTCCAGGGACCACGTCTGTTTCACCTACATGACATTTCAGTAGCTACATCTTGCCTGGAACTCAATACTCAATAATAGTAAACGCTCAATAAATTTGTGTTGGATAAATATTGAATGAATGAATGTACTTATTTCAGTATTATTTTCATAAGTTTTTCAAATGTGTTCATTCTATATATACTTAAATATTTTTTCCTCAGTATTTACATTTTGCTATAACTATCAATCCCAATGTAACTTAGAATTCAAAAATTTCATGTTCAATGTCCATAGATCAATGGTTGTCTATAAAGTCCTTTCAAGCTACCTAGGGGATTATATGGAATATTTTGAGCATTGTGAAGAAATCAAGATATAGTAAACACAGCACTGCATGAAAAATGGTATGAAGCTACAAATGTCCAGTGAAATCTGGTGGAGAAAATTAGCACCTCTCTATGGACTTTTCTTAATAAATCTTACAGTTTCTATTTCTATGTAGATATGTAGATGGTTCTATGTATTGGGACACTCATGAAATAAAAAGCATAGTAAAAAGCTGAGATTATAGAAAACATCAATTTCTGTGTTACCTCAATGTTTGGATACAATGGATCGTGTACAGTACTCAAGGAAGGGTGCATAAAAATAGTGCAGAATACTTTATGAATTATAAACATTTTCTTGTTATTATTATTTAAAGCCCCAAAGAAAATTGGTCTCTAATACTATTTTCAGGGATTTGACATTATTTCTTTATTTTCAGTGCTTGAAATTTAAACTTGTCCTAGTGTATTAGTCCATTTTCACATTGCTATAAAGACATACCTGAGACTGGGTAGTTTATAAAGGTAAGAGGTTTAATTGACTCATAGTTCCGCTTGGCTAGGGAAGCCTCAGGAAACTTACAATCATGGCACAAAGCAAAGGGGAAGCAAAGACCTTCTTCACATGGTGCAGGAAAGAGAAGAGGGAGAAGTGAAGAGGGAAGAGGCCTTTATAAAATCATCAGATCTCATGAGAACTCACTATCATGAGAACAGTATGGGGGGAACCGTCCCCATGATCCAATCACCTCCCACCAGCTCTCTCCCTAGACACATGGGCATTACAATTCAAGATGAGATTTGAGTGGGGACACAGCCAAACCATATCACCTTGTGAAATGTAAGAAGAAGTATTATTTCCAAAGCTGCTGTGTCATCTCTGGCTAAGCCAAGAGCCTTTGTACTAACCTACGAATTCTACCAATAACAGGACTGCTAGGTGTGATAGCAAGCAACATTAATTAGGTAACCTAATTCTTGAAAAAGTTTAATAATTTGAAAGAGAATTTTAAGTTAGAGAGAATAGGATCCCAGGAGTATTTCATTCCTCCTATTTCCACCTAACCCTGTAACCCCTTGCTAGTCAAACCTCAACTAGCCATTAGCCTGAATTGGGGGAACTGTTTGAAAAATCTTACAGGGTACAAAAGGTGCCTCGTCTTACTGAACAGTTAAAGGAAACAGGACTCTTGCAACGATAATGTTAGAAAATTATATCTAGTTTAATTTTTCTCCTACATCCCGGTTTCATTTATGAGACTGTTCAGTTCTCTGAGGCTGTAGCTGAAAATCAGGAAAGCCTTTCTGCCAAAGAAGAAAAGTTTCCATTTGACAGAAATACTGTTCAGAGTGATTGATTTAAAAGTGCTGAACTCATATTCAGAGTCTAAAATCCAGGAACTGCCAGCTGGGTTGGGATTCAAAATTACAAGGCTGGAGTGAGTTTCTGAGTTGGGACGCATTAAGCAGTGGGGGCAATTGCTTTTCTCACCTGTCTCACAAGGGAGGGAGAAAGGGAAACATTAAAAAATTAAGAAAAGAGATCTTTGGACTGTTGAGTTACTGCATCTTGCTCTGCTAGAGGCAGAACCACCGTCTGCATTTAGCAGGGAAACTTTGGTGAGGAATTTTGATAACCATGAATTGTTTGAAAGGGTAGTTGGAGAAGACAAAGTAAATAATAGAGGAGGAAAACCGTATAGACCACTCACTTGACTAAGGCTGGACATACTAAATATGTAGGTGTCTGAGAGCATAATGGACCTATTTAAAACAAGCAAAGCATTTCCGGGGTGTAACTAAAAGGAGTTGGTCTGCTGGAAAAAATAGCTTTTGAATATTCTGCAAGAAACAGTAAGCACGAACAATGGTGCTAGGAGATTAGGACATGTAATGTTAACTTACTCTTTTAATTTGTGTACTGTGGTTTTTAACAGATGGATTTATCAGTGGTTTGTTTCTTCTTCTTTTTTTTCCTAACGCATGCCGAGCTGTTTCCTTGCATGCCATCTTAAATAAAAATATTTTTAAAGGGGACACAATGTTAAGGGAGACGTATAAATAAGGCAAGTGCTAATTACAGTGTCTAAAAAGAATGTCTTTATCCTGTAAATCGCAGCACAACTGCTTACACAGAGAATGAGAGAGCTCCATTCTGGAGCTGCACTTTCTATCAAGTCATGGCGTATAAATCTGGGCAATAAATGATCAGGAGGTACTGTACTGTGTAACTTGTACAATGTTCATAAAAGAAATTAATGAACAAATAAATATTCTCTGATGGATGAGCTGGCAAAAATATATCTTGCAAAAATGTCTTCCTCTTTAGTTGGAGAGAATGGCACGGAAGTGACATCGCTTTGAACAGCGCGCCTCGCTTCACAGAGATTAATGCTTGAAAAGTAATCTTAGTGCCTGATCAGAGAGCCTTGACATAGACCATAACCCTGTGGCTGTCAGTGGGGGATCTGCCTGGGGTGAGGATGCAGGATCAAGCTATTCTCTCACCTTCTGGTCACAAAGCCACCAACCTACATGAAATTCTCAGAGACCTAAGTATTGATTTGTATCCACAGAAAGAAGTTTGTGGGTCTTCACTGTGAATAGAAGTAACCCTACAAGCTCAAAAATCTGTAAAGGCAGAAGACTTTTGTTAAAGAAGTGCTCAAAGAATGACAATGCCGGTTTATGTCCTGTGAGTTTTGATTACACAGTGCAGAAGCAATTCTGATCTGGTTTCATTGAGATAGATATGTAGGGTGCACCATCAGAAACACCACTCGTGGGATGTCCATTTCTTAGGCAGGCATATACAAATGCTCTATGGCCTGTGTCAGCCAGTCTAAATTCTGTGGTGTGGTCTTTAACATTTCAATTAATATGACTATGCTTCCCATTCATAAATACATCCCACCATTTCAAAACAGAAGTATTTTTACTTTGTTCTTACCTTCCACATAATCTCTGGCTTCAACCATCCTTCTTATTCTCCTGTCCCAAGCATTGCACATATTGCTTCTTCCTTGGCCCTACACGTACCTTCCTCTCCAAGGATATATTCCCAGCCCATCCTGCAAGGCACACATTAGGCCCCCGTTTCTCAGGGTACTACCCCATGGTGATTTCTCCATTCTTTAAACTTTTGGTTTTAGAACTTGATAGCACACTGAATAAATTTTCTTGTAATTGTTTCACTTCTCTTCATATTATCTTCCAAAGTAGGCCTAAGCCTTTTGAGGTCAGAGTCAGTATTATACAAGGCAAGGTTACGTGTCATGTGAATATTTAAAGTAGGCAATTTGATATAGTGCAAGTTAAAATATTAATAGCTCTTCACTTTATGCACAAAATTTGAAATAATCATTTAAAATTAATTTATAATTTTAAAATGTCATCAAGAACCTCTAATTTCAAAGTTTTATGCTTTAGTCTTACAGTAGTATCTCTTTAGCTGATAAGCAGAAATCTTTTTTTTGTCAAGATCATGTGAACCACACATCTGTTTACCTGCAATAAAATGTTTGCAAATCATTTTGGTAACTATTTTGAAGTTATTTTAATTGTAATATAATTATACTTTTAAAATTATAATGTATTAAAAGGGGATTCATGTATCAGCATTAATACTTCAGCTCCAAAGAAATGTGCCCCAAATAAATAACTTTGAATTGGAAGTTAGATTTGATACGAAGATACTAAGAAAGCCAAATAGTCACCATGATATGCTGTGAATCATTTAAGACAAAGTCCTCTGTGAAATTCTAGAGACAGCATGGTGAACAAAAAAAGCAACATTAAAATAAACACATTTTAAAATTCTCAAAAACTGTAAAATAATCCAGCCAAAAATGATTTAAAATTGGAAAAAAAAATAAACCCACCTGGTGTTGTGGCTATAAGATCAATACCCCCAATCTGCCCAAGGCGATAATGGCCATAGATGTATGAATGAATTCTGGCATGCCATCCCCTGCTTTGTATTTATTACATTAATTATGTAAATTTGGAATTCTGGAGAAACACACACACCTTTCTTTTGCTATGTTGTTTTCTATAGCATAAGGTTGTCACATAGAATATAGGATAAGTTTAAATTAAATTTAGAATTTCAGATAATTTCAGTTAAATTTGAATTTCAGATAAACAACAAAGAAATTGTTGGTATAAGTTTTCCCCAAATATTGCATGAGACCTACTTGTAATGAAAAATTGTTCACTGTTTATCTGAAATCCAACTTTAACTGGGCATCCTCTATTCTAGAACTAGTTGGATGATTTGTAGTAATTAAAACCCAACGAGTATGTACGTGCTCATGTGCTTATGCACGTGCACACGTGTGTGTGTGTGTGTGTGTGTAAAACCTAGTTTGGAAGATTTTTAATTCTAAGTTATCTGGCATAAGCTTCTACCTAAGACCAGAGTCCAGTTTATAACAGCTCTTTTAGATTATCTCTGATTTAACACAGTGATGGAATTTACTCCACTAAAAGACAGCTATAATGATTACAATTTTAAAACAAAATTATCTCCCAATCTTCCTGCCCTCTCCACAATAGAATATAAGTGTACTCACTATTTCAGAGGATATCTTTATCATATGTAAAGATAGGTGTGATATTTCATCCTCTGTCTAACCCCTGTTCCTGTCTCCCCACTGTTTTATTTTCTTTAGGCTGAGAAAGTTACTATTTTCTTAAACGATCCCTCATAATAATTTAGTTTCCAGAGCCTTTACTAGTTCTAGTAATAATTGACATTGCATAGCCTTTGAAGTGCACTGTTGCATAAGAATGTCTGCTGTCTGTCTGTCTCTCTCTGTCTCCTCCACCACCACTGAGCTGGGCACATAGTAAATGCACAATATTTTCTCTAGGCCCTTCGTGATTCTTCAAGCTAAAATTATCCTATCCTTCCTCTGTTGTCCAAATGCTCTCTCTTGTTATTCACATAGTCAACAAATATTTATTGGGCACCTACTGTCAGCCAGGCGCTGTTCTAGGCTTGGGAGACCAGTAATGACTGGTAAAAAAAAAAAAAAAAAAAAATAGACAAGGCACTGCCTTCATTGAGTTTATGTTCATGTGGCAGAAGAAAAGAAATAACCTAAAATTATATAATTTATCTGGCAGTAATAACTAATCTGAAGACAAATAAAGCAGGATAAAGGGGATGAGGGCCATGTTGATAAAGCTGCCTTTGAGCAGACACCTGAGGAAGAGAGAATGTGAACCACACAGATATCTAGTAGGCAAAGAACCACAGAGGCACCAGCCTGAGCAGCACGTTTGGTGAGTTCCACGAATGGCAAAAAAGCCAGCGTGCCAAGAATGGAGAGAGCAGGGGGTGTAGGGAGGAAGTGATAGGAGAAGAAAGATGTAGCCTGAGCTACATTCAGGTTATTTCTGAGCGACTATTGCCTGAAATGCAAAACAATCCATTCCTGTAGGGCCAGGACTATGTCCTGGGCAATGTGGGCATATTGTTTGTATGCAAATCTGGTTAGGGCATTTATTCTCCGTGGACTATAGCTTTGATGTGGCAAGTCAGAAGGGCTGAGGAGTTGCCCTTCTTTCCCTCCTTGCTCCACTGAAATTTCCTCCTAAAGATGAAAACTTGAACTATTAGAGTGGGCTGCTTATATCTAAGGGAGATGTCGTTTGGCTGAAGCTACATCAGCAGGTGCATCTGCTGGCTGAAACAGCCAAAGGAATTCTTGCTTTAATGACACTGGTAATCTTTTTTTCTTAGCAGCACCCAAAATTCTGCGTAACACATAGTAAATTGGAAATAAATGTTTGTTAAAAGGAGTTGTTGAGCCACTCAATCCACATTTTTTTCACCTCCATTCATTAGGTTGATGCTATTCGGTAACTTCAAAAGTCTCATCAATTCACTAAGGATGGAAGTTTCCTAACTCATCCTCTTTTACATGATGCATTTGTTTACCATCTTTTTCCCAAATGTGACATTTTCCAAAGATTCTTTTAAAATTTTAATTCAAATTGCATCAACTGGCTATCATGAGTGACCACTAGAAAAATGACAATGGTAATTTCTTTAACCCAGTTCCTTTCTTACTTCAGATGATGCCGCTGTTAATAGATAACTCCACACTGTGTTCATTTGTTGTAGTATTTTCTGCTCATTACCAACAGGCACATACTGACCACAGAAATAATAACATTTTGTCTCCATCTGGTATTTATGTTATGCATGCTTGTAAAATTCAAAGTCCTAAATGCGTGAAGCAAGATGAGTCTCCTTGAGCCATTGGTGATCTTTCCTTCTCTCTCGGGAACCCCCATCTTCTTTCCCGTAAGTTCTAGTGTCCTCACCTTTGAGCTGGCAGGCTTTTAGAATACCCTAGGACTTTCCTCTGTTGCCCCTCTACCCTTGTCCAAAGAAGCTTCTTTCCATTTCCCTCTTCTATAGGACTTTTTCTTCTGTGTATATTGTGGTTGCTCAATAAATAATGGTTGACTGACTAGTTTGTATCTGTTACACTGCCTCACTTTCTTTTTCCTCAAGCACCACTTCCTACAGACACCTACTTGATAAAATGCCTCTATAAAGCTATCATCATGAATACATTTGCTCATATTTGGCAAATATGCTTAAAGTTACAGACAAAGGGATGAAGTGGGTTAGGGTGATGAGAGAGTAACCAGAAAGCCCTCCATTGAGTTAAACCAAAGAAAGTCCCATTTAAACTTAAATACACATTGTGAGCCATAAAATCAGTACTTCCAAAGGTTCTTGGTCTATCCCATATGACAGATGATCAGCAGGTACATTTTAAGAGGCGCCACGTCCACAATCCACAAAGATTTCTCTTTCAGAAACACTAGTTAAAAAGCCAAAAAACAAAAACCCCACCACATTCATCTCCTTGCTAAGCTTAGAAAAACAGGCAAAATGATGTCGGGTTTCTTCTTGCCATGACCTGTCCTCTTTCTTTTTTAACCCAGTTATAATCCTTTTTTTTTTTTTTTTTGAGACGGAGTCTCGCTCTGTCGTCCAGGCCGGAGTGCAGTGGAGCAATCTCGGCTCACTGCAAGCTCCACCTCCCGGGTTCACGCCATTCTCCTGCCTCGGCCTCCCGAGTAGCTGGGACTACAGTAGTCGCCCGCCATCGCTCCCGGATAATGTTTTTTATATTTTTTTTTAGTAGAGACAGGGCTTCACCGTGTTAGCCACGATGGTCTGATCTCCTGACCTCGTGATCCGCCCGCCTTGGCCTTCCAAAGTGCTGGGACTACAGGCGTGAGCCACTGCCCCCAGCCCCAGTTACAATCTCACTCCTACCCCGAATCAACATCAAGATGAACAGTTACCTTCAAGTGCAAATGGAGAGGACCAGGAAGGGATTTGGGGGACTCATAACTGTTGCCCAGTGGCCAGTCATTTCATTTCTGGAAACATGGTCTTCACATGTATTTATTCTTCTGCCCCACATGGATGTTCCCAAAAACCATTCTGTGTCTCTCCTCCTTTCTGTGTTTTCCCTAAATTCTACTATGGCAGTCTGGGCACACATCCAACATCAGTGAACGAAAACCTCTTCATGCAGTCCAGGTTCAGCATTGCATACCAGCAGTTAAATGCTGTCTTCCCCGTCACACATCCAAACAAGAGCATATACAATATCAATAAGCTGTTCCTTTAATCTTCCCAGCACTATCGAGGTGTTTATATTTGTATGGGACATTTAAGCAATTCTAGCCAATGGGCTTTTGCGTTAGGGTAGGCCCCAGGCAGGGAGCAGCCTCAATTGGAAACAGGAACTGAAAGTGTTCTTGGTAAAACTCTCCCTCTGCCCAAATCGAGCTGTCTAACTCAATGCCTGACCTTCTTTAAACAGGTCACCTCAGAATTATGGAGCAGTTTGATAAGCTGGACTATACTAATTTATTGGCCATTAAAAAAAGAGGAAATTTTATTATGAATTACTCTGCTTTCTTGAAAACTTTTTTTATAATTAAAAACATCTGGGAGGCATTTTAATATATCATAAACAAGAGGAAATCCAAAGCACGTGACTTCTAAGAAAATGATGCAAATAGAATTCCTTGCCAAAATTTACTGTAATCTGTTTTGCTTTTTTTTTTCCGGGGTGGGAGTATAGAGGCGGAGGATTCAAGAAAGGAGGGCAAGTGAGAATAGCATTGAGCATTCTGCAGAGAAAACAGTTATTTCAAATTTACTCTACTGATAGTTTTTGCCAGTGTTAGAAGGCATTACACATTGGCAGAGCCTCTGAAATATATTTGGTTTGTTTTTAACAATTAGTCATTTTACTGGTCATTTTTTTTCTGAAATGGACAAATAAATAAACACAAACTGCATTAGGAGGTTGTAGTAAGATGTAGAATCAGAAAGGATACATCTTTCAGGGTGAACTTAGGTAAAGAACAGATTATTTGCTTAGTGTTTTACTCTTTCTATACCCATTTTTTATTGGTATAATGGCATAATAAGGTTACATGCATTTCTAATAGGTATCACCTGAAATTGATGCTGCTACATATAATACTTCAGATATTTCCCAATTTGTCTTTCATAAGAAAGGAAATAGGCTAGCTTAAAATATAAATGATATGTTTGAGGACTTTCTTCTTTAGTTTAAACATGGAGCTATATGAAAAATAAGCATCAAGCTCAAGAATTGCATTGTTTTAAAACTGTGTATAACACACCCTGCAACACCCACACGCTCACCCTTCCATAAAACAGACTTAGCAATAACAATGTGGCTAATGCTTACCTTATTTGGCTTCCAAATATTGGATATACACTTAATAATTCCATGAAAATAACAACATTGTTTGGTGTAGAGTATATTTTAAGTATACAAATAGTTTATAAAAACTCACTGCAGTACTCTAAATCTGTAATTATACAAAGTATGTGAAACAATAAGTGCCATTTTAAAAGACACAGGAACTTCTTATTTTCCTGAATAAATTCCAGATTTGGTTTTGAGGGAAAAGCACGGAACCTGAAGGAACATCACAATGTGTTCAAATCATGACCTTGCACTTTATAGCAGTGACTTCTTTGAGTTTCATGTTCCTCATCTCTAAGATGCAAATAATAGTACCTATATTTTCTAAGAATTAAATGAGATAATATATACAAAGGACCTGGTAAAGTTTCTGGAACATAATGGAGTATTGAGTGATAGCTGCTATTATTATTATTATTATTATTATTGATACTGTTGGTATTAATATTATTGTCCAAATATTCTCATAAACGACCAGCTTGTGGCAAGACATTTTGGTTTTTGTTCTCATTTTATTTTGGGGGGTTGCTATTCTGTCTTGCCTCTTTCTGTTCAAGAGGTTGATCATTTGATTGAATGATAGACTCATCCCTTCTTCATATTTTGCCATGTGGATGTGGGCTCTGACCGACATGCAGACACATTAGAAGAGTTAGATGTCCTAACATTCAAGAATGTTTTTGTCTATGTAGGGGAGCAATTAACTCTAAAACATCTATTCACTTAATACTGACATTGTGAGTGATGCTGAAGACAAGAAATGAGTGAGACAACTTTCCTGCTAGGCTAGAGGAGTTCGAGGAGTATTTGTCTCTCTGAGCATAGGTAGAAGTATAAACAACTGGCTAACTCAAAAGGAGGTCATTTATGTTGACTGTGAGGTTTGCGGGGTAGGTCAGCGGCCAAGGTATACTTGAATGCAATGTGGAATACTGAAATTAAATTCATAAAGGTCAGCTAGGGTCCTATTTACAAATATCTGTAAAGAAAAAATATTTATAGAAAAATGTTATGAATTAATTAAGGCAATGAAGGATCATGAGGGAAAATGTAACAACTTTACATTTTCCAAATCATTAGAGCCAGCTATGGTTTTATATTCCAACTGTATAATTGTCTGAAGTGAAGCATTGAGCAAGTTATATAACCTTTCTTAGCTTTGATTTCCTCACCTGAATAAAGTAAATAATCATATGTATTTAGGGTGTTAAGAATTTGGCAGGTGGTAGCATTCAATAATAATGTCTGTTGTTGGTCATTATTATTATCATCATTAAGAAGGCCTAAGGACTTATTGAATTTACAAATCATTTTTCTGCAATTAAAATATAATTCATATCATTTATAGATTTATACATTCCTTCTACATTGTTATGAAATTTAGCTGGTGTGTGGTCATTAGCCATGGAGATAAATTTCTGCAGTATTTTTAAAAATATTTATTATTATATGTGTTGAAAGTTTTAATTATTTACTAATTTCCAAGAAGTTTATTAAAATATATAAAGTTTAGCACTTTCAAAGACAACATTCAGTATTCTACAAACTTTATGTTAAACTAATGTTAAAAAAAAAGCATCGTTTAACACCGATATCTGAAGTATATGATAATGATTATATTTACCACTCTTCTGACTCCTCTTTCGTTAATAGGAACACAAAACAACCAGCCTGAAGAATAATTACTCAACTACAGATTAGTGAGCAAAAGCAAAACTTTTAGTACCAAGGAAATTACAAGGCTAATTTGCATTGACTGGTTTAAACAACAGTCTGCCAACCACACTAATCTTAGAAAATATTACACATAGAAATGAAAGGAATAAAGGTAAAATAATGTTTTTTTTAACATTCATATTTTAGAATCATATATCTCGAAATAGATTATCAGATGTGTTAATGGGCCTATTTCATTTTAACACAATACCAAAAAAAGTTTGTGGAAGCTGCACTTTAAAAGGCTTTTGTGAGCCCAAATCCAATAATTATTAGCTACACAAGAGGAAGAGAGCACATTAAAGCCTAACATGAGAGAGGTATATTTAGTAGACCCAGGGATTTCATCATAAGTATTGCGGTGAGGAATGTAGTGTAACAAAAATTAAAGCAATCAACTGCAGACAAAATACTAATATTTAATAAAAATATGCTGCTTTGAGAGAAGCAAAGTAATATATACTAGTAGATATAAAGGAAATATTAATAGTTAGTTCACCAATTCTGTTTAAGCCCTGATGTGTTATCTACAACCTTCATGGGATTCAGAAATGCCTTTTTCTCATTTTGCATTTTGTCCTATGGTGATATTCTTTAAATTACAGTATCTGTCCTATGGTTTACCAATGGTATTGTCAACCAGTCTGTGTACATACATTTTGAAGAGATTCTTAGTTTTTGCTAGTGGAGCTATTTCCAGATCAGAGAGTAAAACGACAAAGAAATCTCTCAGACCAATGTTTAAAAACAAACAAAAATAGGAAAACAAACAAACAAACAAACAAACACATCGACAACCAAAACTCTCTAGAATTAGAACAAAGTAAGTCTATTTAGAACAAAGTGAATATATTCAACGGTCACTAGCTGTAACCTTATGTACTTAAGGACTTAAGGATGTCAGCCATCATTTAACAGATAAACAAGGATAAAACAAATTTAAGGAAGTTACTCAAACTGCCCATGTTAAAGTATTACTGCTCTAAGAGGTCATCAGTAAATTTTAAAACAGTGCCCAATTACTCTTTCTCTGTGTTCAGTTGCTGATGCTATCTGCCAAGATATAGTCAAAGTCTGTAAATGTAAATAAATAAACCAATAAAACCCTTGGGGAAAAAGTTATTAACCTACAACACAGTGATCTTGTAACTTGGAAAAATAAACTTTTGAAAATACAGAAGTCTCCCCTTATCCACGGTTTCACTTCCTATGGTTTCAGTTACCCTTGGTCAACCATGGTCTGAAAATAGGTGAGTACAATACAATATGATATCTTGAATAGTCACATTCACAGTCACATAAATTTTGTTACAATATATTGTTATAATTGTGCTATTTTATTTGTGTTATTGTTGTTAATCTCTTACTGTACCTAATTTATAAATTAAACTTTATCCTAGGTATGTACGTATAGGAAAAAGCATAGTATATATAAAGTTTAGTACTATCTGCAATTTCAGGCATCTACTGGGGGTCTTGGAATGTGTCCCCCATGGATAAGGGGTGACTACTATAAACTTGCAAAATAATAGTAGGAACAGTGTTCATCTTTCTATCTATGGTGTTGATAAAAACACAGCCAGTGTGGTTCATTGATTTAATGAAATAATGTTGAGCCAAGCAGGGTGTTGGGGTTTTTTTGGAGAATAAGACAGACGTGGGCTCTGTACTCATAGAGTTTATAGTCTAAATCTCCCTTCATATCTTCCCTTTAATAGCCAGGGAAACAATCATCCAGCCATATAAACTCTGCCTGGAATGTAAAGAGCAAGAGCATGCACCATCGGAAATAATGTTGCAGAGGTGGGAAATCTGAAGATTCAGAGATAAACCTAATCTTAGCAGTAGTCCTCAATTTCTCAATGAGTAATATTACAAATCAGAGAAAATGTCTAATTTCTTCCTTCGTTATAACGTGAAAATATGAGACGGTACTAGGTAATTTTGAAAGGAAATATGCTGTATAAATCTCGGGTGTTCTCCATATCAAATGAGTCAACACGTTTTCATTGCACGACCATTAGACACAAGAAGAAATTCATCATGCCCTAGCCCATTTATTTTAAATGGAATATAGCATATTCACTGGAAATCTTAATAAAAGGCAGAGAATAATAAATCCTACTATGAAAGTAAAACACTCTAGGATGGGTCCTCAGAAGATGAAAAAAGATATTTTGACAGAAGAAGTTGGCTTTGGGCTGAAATTTGACATAGAGGTAAGATTTAGTGTGTGGAAGTGACAAAGCAGGGACATCCAGGAAAAAAAAAAATAGACACAGGATCAAAAAGGCCTCTATTTAGTCAGTTGAAAAGTTTCATCCTCCAAATTTTGCAAAGTACTATTTATGATTCAGGTACAAGCTAGGAGCTCAGGATTCTGAGGTCTGTGACAGGAATACTGAGAGACAGGCTACAGTGGGATTGGGAGCCAGATTATGGGTGATCTTTACTGAAAATTAATGACTCTTAACCTTGGTCAGCAAGGAGAATCACTGAAAACTTTTGATTATAGTCTGAGCTGGTCCTTAAGAAGATTAATTTACCAGCATTTGCCCAGTGGATTAGTGATAAAGAAAGCACTGGAGAGCAATCTGGTAAGAATTAGTCCAGGAGTAATGGAGGTGGTAAGGTTTGGACTGATCTAAAAATTAAAGGATTTGACATTGAATGGATTTAGGACATGAGGGAAAAAAAATTACTTCCAAAGTTTCAGACTCAGGGTGACTGGGAGGGTGGTATGACAGTATTCAGCAGTGTGCTAGAAACATGTTCAAAAATCAGCCTTTAGAAAAGAAAAGAAACCCCTGATTTGTAGCATTTGCCATTATCTGTGGTGTAAATACTCCCCACATGGCTGACTTCAGGGCTGGGGAGACATGCAAACCATAAGCCCTCAGAAACTGGTGTGAGCCAGCTCCAGCACAACACTCCTAGAAGCATTCTCAGGACGTGAAGAGGAGGAGATCTGAGAAGGATGTCAGGGACTTCAGCTTTGAATTTAAAGTTAAAATTAAAGTGATTGGTGGGAGCTCCTAAATGGCATTATTCGGCAAACAGTCAGAAATTCTGGATTGTAGTCCAGTGGAGAAGTCAGTTGGAGACAGAAAGGTATGTGTGTGTGTGTGTGTGTGTGTGTGTGTGTGTGTGTGTGTGTGTGTGTGTGTATTTATGTTTAGGGGTTGTCTGCATAGAAATAATACTCAAAGTGCATACAATTACTTACAGAGAGAATGCAAAGAGAGAAACACTGGCGATAATTACAGAATCTTAGAAAATAGCTGTATTTAGAAAGCAAGAGGAGGCAGAAAAAGAATAGTCTGGAGGGATAGGAGGCAAATCAGAAGAGTCCTACATTTTATCAACCAAGGAAAAAAACATTTTAAGAGGATGTGGTTAAAGTGTCAAGGATGGTTGTGAGGTCAAGGAGAATTAAATTGAAATAATCATTGAGTGTGTCTTTTTAAGCCACTGGAACTCTGAAGGAAGCAGTTTCAGTAGAGTTGTGGATTGAGAGAGAGTTTTAGCGATGTATACATATTCTCATTTTTCCAGTAAACTTGGCAGTGAAAGGAATAAGAAAAGATGAAAGAATAGCATCTCTTTTTTTGAGTTATTATTATTTCAATGGAAATGTAGCTGCAATATTAGAAGAAAAACAAACCCTTGTAAGCCTCACTAGTAGCAAGAATGGCTTTATTCCAAAGTCAGAAATGTGCGGCCCCATCAGGGCTGACCCTTGGGCTGCCTGTTACGAGCTATGAGCCTCGCTTGGTCAGACCACTGGGGAGAAGAAAGACTCATGGACAGCTGTGACCAAGCAAACAGAAGCAGTGGAATGAGCCAATATCAGTCACTGAAGAGGAAGAATATGACGAAGCATTTGCTTTATGAAAAATACGGGGGTGGGGGGAAAAAGGAAGGCAATGCCAAGAACAAATATCTGAAAATACATTTTTCTAGAATGACTTGTGGTCTTCATTCAATTTAAAGCTTTACATAAGAGAGTTGTCCTCTGAACCTACAATGCTTATTTCCCAAGTCATTCCCCATGTTGTTTTCTTCTTGCCTGGAACAGTCTTCCCTGACACATATTATTTTCAAGTTCCTCAGATAACCTACACCTTTTTACCTGTACAAGAAATAATATAGAACAATAAATATCTATCAAGTAACTATTTCAAGCAATGCACACATGTGGACACATTTCTTAGTCTTCCATTCTATTATGACTATTTAATGTATGCATTTTGTTACTTACATTTGAAGAGCTATGACCTTGTTTATTCCTGTTATAAACCTCTCTTCCCTATATGGTACACAGAATTAGAGGCTAGTTTAAAAAGTATTAACTGATGCTTGTTGAATTGGATTGAAATAAAAACAAATGAACAGATTTTTATTGAAATCTTAAGGATAATAATACATGGAAGCTATTGTGTAACTGAAGATAAACTGTAGAATATCTTTTAAAACACTTTGTTTTAAAAAGTAGCTTCTCAAGAAAAGGAATGGTTCTTCTAATAAATGAATTTGGAAATAACTGAAAGATAAAAGTAATTTATCAGTATCAGCAGTTTCGACTATAACAAGTATAAGATTTTTTGAAATAAATTAGTTGACTCCCCCCTTATTCAGCCAGAGGCATCCATTATCTCAGGCAGGATTTACATTATTAAAGCAGGAACACAAAGAGGAAAAAAGTCATTGTTCAAGAAAGTCTTTTTTTTTCTTTTTAAATCAGTGTTTAGTAAGACAAAAGTCTTGTGAATCAGGATTTGTGGCAACAGAAAGAAGTCTTCTGGCTGGGTGTGGTGGCTTACGCCTTAGGGAGGCCAAGGCAGGGGGATAACTTGAGGTCAGGAGTTTGAGACCAGCCTGGCTAACGTGGCAAAATCCCATTTCTACTGAAAATACAAAAAAAAAAAAAATTGCCAGGGGTGCAAGAGCACGCTTGTAATCCAAGCTACTTGGGAGGCTGAGACAAGAGGATCAGTTGAACCTGGGAGGCAGAGGTTGCAGTGAGCCGAGATAGTGCCACTGCACTGCACTCCAGCCTGGGGGGCAGAGTGAAGACTCCATCAAAAAAAAAAAAAAAAAAAGGAAAGAAAAAAAGAAAGAAGATTTCTAAATTCAAAGAACTTCTTACATATCCAGATTAAGCCTTCGAGGTATGAAAATATGCTTTTAGTGTAAAGAAGAAAAAGAACTTGATGTAGGGAAAGATCAACTTTGCCCAAAAGAAAACAGAAGGTATGGTACTGATAGCAGTGCTGAGAGAATTCAAGGGAAATGAAGCAAGAATTCAAATGGAGTGTCCTGGCTTTCCCATCAGGAAAAGGCAAAAGGGAAGAAAAGTGGGGTCTGAAACTTAGATAGGTTTGAAAAATTCTCAGTACTTGATTTTTCCGGGGGGTTGCTCAGAAAAATTACAGACCTCTGAAAAGAAATACCTCAGGCCAGCATGATGATAACCACGCCATATCACCTAGGGTGTTTTTAGAAATTTCTGGCCTGTCATTAATCGGAGAGCACGTGAGAAGTCTTCGCAGAGTGACTCACATCGGCCTTAGGGCAACCTTTAAGAAGGAGAAAGGGCAGCATGACATGCTCAGGCAGAGAAAGTGGCAGTGTGGAAGAGATCTACAAGTTCTGTTATGGATCCAGGAGGCATGGGAAGGCAGAATTGAGACACAATCGACCTTCAACGGGACCACTGTGGTGAGGCTAGGAGCAGATGAAAGGAAGCTGACCAGAGATTATGCACAATGAAGAACTGAGTAGGCCAGTGAAACTTGAGCTAGACATTTCCTTGAAGTTCACCAGACGTAAATTTCAGCCACAGCACAATGCCTATCCCTCTCCACTACTCCCTGGCAAAAAGCATTATCAGCAACAATTTGGTGGCCATTAGTGTCAGATGCCTAGTGACTGGAGGAGACCAGACTGCTTTTGTCAGATCATAGACCAGCAAAGATGTGAAGGACAGCTTGAAACACTTCTTCCTCTTGGCAAGCAGGACACAAAAGCTTTTCCATGGATCCAGGTACCATCTTGAATAATGGAAAGGGAGGAGATCACTAAGAAGAAGCTAGACTATAAATTAGCTGAATATTTATCCAAAATACTTTGTTTTAAATGCCCAAGTCTGGGATTTCTTACCAAGTTTAAGTTTGTACTCCCCAATACCCAAATGGGATAGTGGGATTTGAAAGTTTAGACTAGTCATAAAAAATAAGTGGCAGCAATTCTTTTGCACATTTTGAATCATAGTCTATACATTTTGATATAAAAACTAACAGAAGAGTAAAAAATAATTGGAAAATATTGTTTAGTAGATATCATTTTTTACTTCCCATAATGGTTTTTGTCATTTTACATCTTTCCATGAAAAGTGGAGAAAAAAATAATTGAGAAGAAAGTATTGGTTTTTTTTTTGCCTTGTGCAAGACAGTAAAAGACACAAAGCAGTGAAATTTGAGTACCAGTGGTAAAACAAGGCACGATGTCATATGAAAAGGTTCAAGCTAAATTAAAACTGTAATGCTACTTTTAGGAAACTGAGTATAACCCAAAAAATTTTCAGCACCTGAAGCATTTACAAAGGAAAGAAAGAAGTTTATTTTCTAAAACAAAGTAGCTTCAATATAATAAATTAGGGTAAAATTTATTGAAAATGCAGTGTCTAGAAAGTTGTGTTCATTTAAATCTTGCTCCAAAGTTGTATTTTTGTTCTAATAGACTTGGAAATGTTAAAATTTAGCCATGTGTAATTGTGTATCGCTTAACAACTAGAGCGTGAGTTAAGAGAAATACATCGTTTGGCAATTTCATTTTTGTGTGAACATCATAGAGCATACTTACACAAACCTAGATGGTAGAGCGTACTATATCTGTAGGCTATATGGTATGGCCTATTGTTCTGACCACCATCATATAGGTAGTCTGTCTTGACGTTGTTATGTAGCACATGATTGTATTTATGTTACTTATTATAACAAATGTTTTATTTTATAAGAAAAAGCTTAATTGAGGAAAACTACTATCTCCTTATCTTCATGGGATACTTTTCAAGACCGCCAGTGGATGCCTGAAACTGAGGACGGTACCCAGCCCTGTATATACTATACACAAATTTATTTTTCTTTCTACAGTTTCATAAATAGAGTATTCATTCTTACTGTGGATCTTAGCAACCTCAGCATATGATTTCTTTCCTTTCCTTATTAAGTTGAGAACTTTTACCTTTTAGAAAAGTCAAGGAAGCACTTTATGGCTTCTTTTTAGCATATCCAAATTGCCAGCGTCACTACTCTTGCACTTTGAAACCACTATTTAGTAAAATAAGGAGAACGTGAACACAAGCACTGAGATATGGTGACAGTCAGTCTGATCATCTAGATGGCTACTAAGTGACTAATGGGTAGGTAGCATGTCTCGCATGGAGACACTGGACAAAAGGAGAACTGGGCGGGGCAGACTGCATGAGACTTCATCAGTTTTAGGAATGGTACACAATTTAGAACCTCTGAATTGTTTATTTCTGGGACTTTCAGTTTAATATTTTTGGGCCATATTTGGCTTTGAGTAACTAAAGCCTCAGAAAGTGAAACCATGGATAAGAGGGACCACTGTATATGAAATTCAGAATTTTGTGACTGTATGATGCCTCGTAGAATGGGCTCATATTCATAAGCCGGACATCTCCAATAACCTGTTGGTAGTTACCCAGACAAGAGATGTAGTTTCAAGGACAAGTCCCAAAGCTGTCAGGTGGCAACAAATATCACATAGTAAAGTCATGATTTTATAAGTAATCTCTATAGGACATTCTGATTATTGTAGAAGTTGACGAAAACTTGTCAAATTTGAGGTGGTTGTTTTTTAAATTATAGAAATAAAATGTTACCTGGAATTACTTCTATCTCACTAAAACTTTTGGTTTATTGAAAACAAAATTTTGGAACAGGTAGTGAAAATTTTATATTTATTACTACACAGTTCTTTCGATGCAGTTGAAAGAGTCATGCATATTTATTGTCATATTATTTTCCTTAAGAAAAAAAGTCACCATTCATAGCTCTGCAAGAACCACATAATGCCACAAATGTTTTTAAATTTCAATAATAAAAACATTAAAATAACTTGGTAATTGTATCTTCTGTAAAATATTTTCATTCTCAATTCCTTTTTTTTTCTCTACAAAACATTAAGAAGAATTTTGAAGTTGAAACTTCACCACAGTTGTGCCTTAGGTGAAGAAATGGAAAACTGTAGAATTAAAACCCAGAACGTTAAAGGAAGAAAGACACATGAGGTGTATGAATCTGCAAACAATTCACTTTACTATTGATCAGCAAGTGAAAACAAGATTTCAAATTTCTGTCCATTGTTTGATGGGAAAGTTTTCTGCTTTATTTTTATTAATACTTAACGCTTGCCACCATGCAGCGAAAGAGATCTCATCATTAATTAGTGGAAGCATAATTTGGTGAAACCTTCCTGTAAAGCCCTTTGAAAATGTGAGAAATGCAAATCAAAACCACAATGAGATATCATCTCACACCAGTTAGAATGGCGATCATTAAAAAGTCAGGAAACAACAGGTGCTGGAGAGGATGTGGAGAAATAGGAACACTTTTACACTGTTGGTGGGACTGTAAACTAGTTCAACCATTGTGGAAGTCAGTGTGGCAATTCCTCAGGGATCTAGAACTAGAAATACTGTTTGACCCAGCCATCCCCTTACTGGGTATATACCCAAAGGATTATAAATCATGTTGCTATAAAGACACATGCACACGTATGTTTATTGCGGCACTATTCACAATAGCAAAGACTTGGAACCAACCCAAATGTCCAACAACGATAGACTGGATTAAGAAAACGTGGCACATATACACCATGGAATACTATGCAGCCATAAAAAATGATGAGTTCATGTCCTTTGTAGGGACATGGATGAAACTGGAAACCATCATTCTCAGCAAACTATCGCAAGGACAAAAAACCAAACACCGCATGTTCTCACTCATAGGTGGGAATTGAACAATGAGAACACATGGACACAGGAAGGGGTACATCACACTCCGGGGACTGTTGTGGGGTCGGGGGAGGGGGGAGGGATAACATTAGGAGATATACCTAATGTTAAATGATGAGTTAATGGGTGCAGCACACCAATGTGGCACATGTATACATACGTAACAAACCTGCACATTGTGCACATGTACCCTAAAACTTAAAGTATAATAATAATAAAAAAAAAGAAAAAAAAGAAAATGTGCATTGAATGTCTACAAATGTTCACAGGGCTTAAACCACAATTGCCATACCTGAGACTCCATCTTAAAGACATACAGATAAGTCAATGTTCCATGTACAAGCACTTTCACTACATATTTATTATAATAGAAAAGTGGAAATAATCTAAATTTGCAAAGATAGGAATCAAATTAAAAAAACAGTTATTTTGTTTTGTTTTGTTTGGCTTGCTTCAGTTTGAAGATGGCAATATGGACTCCTGAGTTCAGTTTTCTATTGGACAACATCAAACTTGACATAATGGCCATTTTATGCTGTCATTAATACATTTGTTAATGAAATAGTTTGCTATTGGTTAAGAACATGTTATAAGGAGCATATAAAATAGCAGTAAAATGCCAACCATAAAATATTGTGTTTGTATATGTGTGTATTTGGGTGGAAGGGAAAGAGAAATAGTTCAAAATGCTAATAGAGATTACCTCTCAGTAGTAAGATAATACAGCTTTTGTTGTCTTCTTTAACTTCTCTGAATTTTACAAAATTTCTACTATGAGACTTTATTCATTTCAAAGTCAGAAAAAAATAAGATTATTAAAATTAAACACAAAATAAGTCCTGAAAAAAAATCATACCTGGTATATTTTACAAATAAAATTCAAATTTCCCAAACTCACCTATTTGTGTATAATATTCTCTTATTAAACATTCTCATGAAAATAGAAATGAAGATCAGAAACCTTCCAAAAATGATGTTAGATACTGCCCCAAATCATGAATAATGAAAACAATGTTTCACATTTTTATAGAAATCCACATTTTTCAAAGTGGTTAAATGTACATGCATTATCTGCCTCTTCTGCCCCCAACTTGTTTCATCAGAGAATCAGAGAGTCTGAGTTGGAAGGAACCCTAGGAGCCAACCAAGTGAAATCCCTCTTAGTGCCAAAGAGTGTATTATATGACACCCCGAGAGACTCTGTCTTCAACCATGTGAATGTTTCTAAAGCTCATAACACCACAAGTCATTTTTGCTTTCTGGACAGTTCCGGTTATTATAACGTTCTTCTTATATTGAATATATATACACATATATGGAAAAACGCCAACTGGCTACTTATTTCATACTTCCTTGTAGAAAAAGACATTGTCCATCTCTAGCCCTGAGCTTCAATTTCTGCCAAAAATTAGGGAAGATAGCTGGCATCAGGAGATGGAGGTTAAAGCTGGTTACTAAAATTGTGATCCACAGAACACGTACATCAAACCACCTGAGAACCTTTTGTGAAACAGATTTCCAGGCCCTATCTGAGACCTACTGAACCAGAATATCTGGAGGTAGAGCCCAGGAATATGCCTTTCCATAAGCTTTCTAATTAATTCTTGGATGTCTGGATGGGTAGAAGGCCCTGCTAGAAAGGAAGCCATTCTTAGATCTAAGGGCCATTTCATTCCAGCATTAATCCATTGTTAAACTATCATTCATTCAACATTAATTATCCATGACATCAGGCACTATGCCTGAGAGCTGAGGATACAAAATGAAGAACATATGGTGTCTACTGGTGAGGAGCTCATTGCCTGGCATGGCAGCATGTGTTCTATCTAGCTGGTATTAGAATTTGATGCTTTTTCCTTCGTTACCTTGCTCTAAAAGGTAATATCAATTGAAAAGTACCTGCTGTTAGCATAGATGCTAGAATTTATTTAGCTAAGAATTGAATCTGATGATTCCAATCAGGCTTTGCCCCTTCTTTATTTTGCAAATTATCCCAGTTAAGAGTATCCCCATCCTCAGCCTGGATGTCTTTTACGGCCTTTATTTATCTTTATTTCATCATATATATATAATGAAATATACACATACACACACACATACATACACACGTGTATACACATACATACACATATATATAATTTACCAAATGAAAATAAAAATTTACATATATAATATATAAATATATATATTTAACCATTTTAAAGTGAACAATTAAGTGGCATTCATAATGTTGTGTAACTACCACCTTTATCTAGTTCCAAAACATTTTCATAACCCCAAAAGGAAACCCCATAGCCATTAATCAGTTACTCGCCATCCATCCTCCTCTCTGTGGAAAGGAAACCATATTTTGTATGGTTTCTTTTTCAGTTAATTTTTCACACCTCTTTACCTCCTGCTGAGTTAAGGCTTTTTAATACTGAGAGATTGTTTCTGGCTCCATCCGCATTCATTCTGTGCAATGTTCTACATTGTGGGCACCTAGTATCATCTTATTTTTTTACTTCTATAATGAACACCTAACTTCCAGATTATCTGATGTAATACGACATTTTTTGTGATAGTTATGGCATAAACTTTGTTAATTATAAAAGTAATATATGTGTGTTGTGAACATTTAAATATTATATAAATAAAGTAAAACATGAGAATCTCTCATAAGTCCCCTACATTTACCAGAATAACTACCAGTAATAAAGTGCTGTGTAACATTTCAGATATTTCTTGATTCGGTTACATGCATTTCCCCCCAAAAATTATATTACAATATAATTATATCAATAAACAGTTTTACCACTTGTTCATTAATTTTATGTTTCATTTATTCATTTATTCTTTCAATCAATATTTACTGAGTGCTTATTAGATGCCAAGAATTCTTCTAGGAGACAAGGATACAGAGGTGAAAAAAAAACCATGTCAGCATTTGTCAGATCATTATTTGAAATAAGAATATGTCATTTCATTACCTAGAAGCATCATGATTTAACACAATTTACTTAACTATTTTTCTACTGATGGACAGAAAAGATTATTTTGACCAACATTTATTGAATATTTACCACATGCCAGGCACTAGACTGAGATGAGTACATTTCTTTCTTGTTTTTATAACTAAAATTCAAATAATGTTCAGCTTCACTTCTATAGTGCCAAAATAACCTCTCTTTCATATTTGAAGCAAAGTTGGGATTTTGAAGGTCTGTGAGTGAAGCAGTTTTAATCATTCCAACTATGTGCTCAGGACTATGGGGAATATATTTACCCATCCCTAAAATATTGTACAGCAGAAGAAATAATCAAAATAATTAAAATCTTTCTGGCCGGGGCACCAATCATTCAAATGGACACCTGAGCAGTGAGAACGGATAGAAGCTAGGAAAAAATGAATGCTTATCAGCTTAAGTATATATCCTAGTATGCGCTGTAGGAATATCCAGTCCTCAATTTGGTTGAGTCCTTTCTGTATCTTTTTTTGTGTGGTTTGCTTATTTGTTTTGTTTTGTGGGAAATGGGCAATATTTTTGCTTTTTCATTTACATATTTGGCTATGTGGAAACCCGAGGGAATGAATCATTCTGGATAGCTGAAAATTTTAATCATTTTTGATGGAAATCTTTCTAAAATGGATTTCACACTTCCCTGCCTTCTTAAACAGAGTGGATGGAATGTAATTAATCTTTTTTGATGACTTGGTTTTATCATTATGAACATTAATGACTGTGTGTGCTATCCAGAGATGATGTCCTCAACACTGATTGTGGTATGCAGGATGGTCTGGATTCCTATGATTCTCTGAATATTTGTCTCTAGTTATATTCTTCCCTTACTGGTGGACCATCAGTTGTCACTTCAGCTGACAGTGAAGCAGCACAGTGTGGGTGCAAAAAGGTAGGCTTAGGGGGAAGAGGAAGTTGCATTTTGGGATCAATTACTCTCTAATTTCAATCTCTTCATCTGTAAAATGATCACCATAACCCACTTAACAGAAATATAATAAAGATTAAATGATGGGTCTCATGCATAGTGCAAAATAAACATATGTTAGTCCCTGTCCCCTGTCCGGGTGCTGACTTATAAAAACATATTTTCTGACTACATTGCATTTTCTACTTTGCTGTGGAACTGAAAGCTGGGCAGTGCAGTTGATAGGATTGTATGCAAAATAAGATTAATGAAGTTTTTGGGGGGCAAGTTACCAAGAGCTCTCAGTTTTGTTCCATATAGACTTGTGACATCAATTTCGAAACCTTAGATATACGGTTTCTTCTTCTTCTTCTTCTTTTTTGTTTTTTGTGGGGGGGTGGTTTTAGACAGGGTCTTGCTCTGTCACTCATGCTAGAGTATAGTGGCACAATCATGGCTCACTGCAGCCTTGACCTTTTGGGCTCAAGTGATCCTCCCACCTCAGCCTCCCAAGTGAATGAAACTACAGGCACGTACCACCATACTCTGCAAATTTTTAAAGTTTTCATAGAGATGAGGTCTCACTATATTGCTTAGGCTGGTTTCAAACTCCTTAGCTGAAGGGATTCTCCCACCTTGGCCTCCCAGAGTGCTAGAGTTACAAGGGTGAGCCACCACTCCCAGCTGCTATAGTTACTTCTTGAATCCTAAGAAATGTTCTGCCTCCACGAAATAGAGTGCTAGAGGGAAACATAAAACTTAGGTATTTTGAAGTCCATACATAATACGGATAATGTTTTACATCAAGTGAATATTTAATTTTTAATATAATAATCAATGAAGATCCCATGGGAAAGGTGACATTTGAAGAAAGACTGAAACAAGCAAACCATAGATATTTGGCAGAAGACTCTTTCAAGCAGAGGAAACAGTAAATACAAAAGGAGGCAAAAACTTGTGTTCAAGAAATGGCAAAGAGTCCCAGAGGGTGGAACAAAATAATTATGTCAGATGTTGATAAGAGCAAAAGACAAAATCAAGCAGAAAATGGCATTGGGAGTATCTGGGCTGAGGTGGAAAGGATGGAGTTGTGGTGGAAAGCATGGAGTTAAGGTGCAACTTTAAATAGACAATTACATTAAAGATGATTGGTCTAAATGCTCCAATTATAAGACAAAGACTATTATCAGATTGGATAAAAGTATAAGGTCTTGTTTATGCCTATAAGAACACACTTTCAATATAAAGACACAAGCAAATTAAAAGTAAAGGATGGAAAAAAGGTATGCACATCATGCTAGCATCGATCAAAAGAAGTTTGGAGTGACCATATAAATATCAAAGTAGATCTTAGAGCAAAGATTATTACCATGGATAAAGGAGATATTTCATAATAAGTGTGAAATCATGAAGAGGAGATAATGATCCTAAATATTTATATATCTAATAACAGCTATACATAACACAAAATCTATATAATTTCAAGGAGAAATAGATAAATATGTAATTATAGATAGAGATTACAAGTAAGCAGAAAATAAGTGAAGATATAGAAGATTTGAAAAACATACCAACAATCTAGATGTAGTTGATGTTTATTATACAGCTGTCTTAGTTTGATTTGTTGCTATAACAGACTACCACACTGAATAATTTATAAAGAAATAAAAAGTTTGCTTAGCTCATGGTTCTGGAGACTAGGAAGTTCAAGAGCACGGCACTGGCCTCTTTTGAGAGACTTCTTGCTGTGTCATAACGTGGTGGAAAGCATCACTAGATGAGAGGGCAAGAGCATGCATGTGTGTCAGATCAAATGTCTCTCTTAGAAAGTCACCAGTGCCATCATGGAGGCCCCCACCCTGATGATCTTATCTATCCTAATTACCTTCCAAGGGCTCTACCCTCCAATCAACATATGAATTTGGGGATTAAGTTTTCAAACCATAGCAACACCCTACCACAAGACAGCAGAATGTACTTTCCCCCCTATTGCACACAGGGTATTTACCAAGATAAGTCATTCACGAGGCAATAAAACAAGTGTTAAAAAACTTAAAAGGATTAAAAGCATACAAAGTGTATTTCCTGATTACGATGTAAATAAAAGTAAATAATGGAACGATCTCTGGAAAATCTTCAAATAGTTGAAACTAATTAACACAATACTACATAACTCATGGATCAAATATGAAATCAAAATGGAAATTAGAACCTATTTTGAAATCAATAAACATGAAAACATAGTATATCAAAATTTGTGGGATGTAGTAAAAGTTATGTTTAGAATAAAATTTATATCCTAAAACACTTAATTAGAAATAATAATTAAAGGTTCAAATCAGTAGCCTCAGTTAAAGAAAGTAGGAGAAAAGCATTAAAACAAAGTAAACTGAATAAAGAAAAGTGGTGATTGTCAGAGTAAAAATCAATTTAAAACATTTTAATAGAAAAAAATCAATAAACCAAAAGCTAGTTGTTTGAGCAGATCACTAAAATTGATAGACCCCTAACTACATGATCAGGAAAATCTTAGATGATAAAATTACTAATATCATGAATGAAAGAAGTGACATCACTACAGATTTCACAGATAATAAGAGGATCACAAAGGAAAATTAGGAAAGGTTACTCTTAGTAAACCTGACAACTTAGATAAAATAGACAAATTTATTCAAAGTAACAAACTATGAAAGTTTACTCTAAGAAATAGGTAACCCACATAGTCCTATATATATTTAAGGAATTGTTATGCATTTAAAAATCTTCTCACAAAGAAAACTACAAGCCCAGATGTTTTAATTGGGCCACTGTTAGAAGAAATAATACCAATTTAACAAAACTCTTCAAAAGTACATAGGAGAAGAGAAGGGAATACTTTGAATGCATTTTGTAAAGCCAGCATTATTCCAGTACCAACACCAAATAGAAAGAAAAAAAAAAAAACCCTACAGATCAATATACGTAACAAACAGGTGCAATTTTTATTATTGCAAATTTTAACAAATTTAATCCAAGAATATAGAAAAAGGAAATACATCATGACCACGTGGGATTGATGTCAGGCATGCAAGTTTGGTTTGACATTTGAAAATCAATGAATAGAACTCATTATATTAGCAGACTAAAAATGAAAAATCATGTAATTATCTCAATAGACCAAAAAAAGCTTTGGGCAGATTCAATATCCACTTGTAATAATAATAAAAAAACCTCAGCAAACTAAGAATAGATAAAAACTTATTCAAACTGTTAAATTCCATTTGTGGAAAATCTACATCTAACATAATCATTTTTAATAATGAAGGACTGAATGCTTTTGCCATAAGATCAGGGACAAGGAAAGAATATGTACTATAATTACTTATATTTAAAATTGTACTGAGGGCTTTAGGTAGTAAAATAAGACAAAAAAGGAAAAAGACATCCAGATTGGACAGGAAACAGTAAAACACTTCTTACTCACATATAAAATGATTGTTTATGTAGGAAATACCATGGAAACGTGAATTAATTAGGAAGGTTGCAGGATACAGGATCAATACACAAAATCAGTGTGTTTTTACATATTAACACCAAGCAATTAAAATTAAATTAAAAATCTATGTCACAAAGCATACAATGAAATATGAAGATATATATACAAAAAGATGTAAATGATATTAAAACCTAGAAAACATTGCTAAAGAAGACATAAATAAATTGAGAAATATAGATTCATAGATAGAAATACTTGATTTTGCTAAGATGTTAATTATCTTCATTGTATATCTAGATATACAATATAATCCTAATAAGAATTTAAGAATAATCTTTTAATATTGAAATTAAGAACCTGATTCTAAAATTCATATGAAAATGCAATGAACTAGAAATGCCCAACAAACTTTGGAGAAGAATGAAGTTGAAGAACATACACTACCTGATCTCAAGACATTATAAAGTTGAAGATATTATTACAAATATCAAGACAGTGTGGTATTGGTGTAATGATAGACAAATATGCCAATGGAACAAAATAGAGCATTTAGAAACAGAACCACACTTACATGGTTAATCAATTTTTGACAAAGGGACAAAGGTAATTCAATGGAGAAAAGATAGTCCTTTCAACGAATAGAACTAAAATAATTGAATATCCACATGTCAAAAAATAAACTTCAATTCATATGCCACACTATGGAAAAATAAACTAAAAAATGGGCTATAGACTTAAATAGCCTATATGGAACCCAAGTGTGATAGTTAATACTGTCCACTTGATTGGATTGAAGGATACAAAGTATTGATCCTGTGTGTGTCTGTGAGGGTGTTGCCAAAGGAGATTAACATTTGAGTCGGTGGGCCGGGAAAGACAGTCCCACCCTCAATTTGGTTGGGCATCATCTGATCAGCTGCCAGCACAGCTAGAATACAAAAAGCAGGCAGAAAAATGTGAAACGATGAGACTGGCCTAGCCTCCCAGTCTACATCTTACTCTTGTGCTGTATGCTTCCTGCCCTCCAACATCGGACTCCAAATTCTTCAGTTTTGGGACTCAGACCGGCTTGCCTTACTCCTCAGCTTGCAGACAGCCTATTGTGGGACCTTGTGCTCGTGTGAGTTAATACTTAATAAACTCATATTATATATATTATATATAATATATATAATATATTATATATAATATATATAAGTTTATATATAAATACTTAAACTCATTTTATGTATATATATAGGATATATATGATATGTATGATATATATGATATCTCCTATTAGTTCTGTACCTCTAGAGAACCCTAATACATCAAGACTATAAAAGTTCAAGAAAAATAACCCAGGAGAAAATCATCTCTTGGCTTAGGTAAAGATTTCTTAGGTATATTAAATGCATAACCCATAAAAGAAAAAAATTGATAAATTGGACTTAGTGGAAATTTAAAACTGTTAATTGAAAGACAGGAAAGTGAAATATGATACAGACTGGGAGAAATATAAACTCAATAATAAGAAAGCAAACAACCCAGTAAAATATTGTGAAAGATTTAAACAGATACTTCACTGAATAAGATATAAATGGCAAATAATCACATGCTATGCTCAACATTTTAAATCATTTGGGTAATGCAACTTAACACCAAAATGATATATTTCTAAATACCTTATAGAATGTCTAAAATTACAACATTGATCTACCAAGTGTTCATGAGCATGTAAAGGAATGGACCACTGCTGATGGGAATGTAAAATGCTACAACCACATTGGAGAAATTTAGTAGCTTCTTTAAAAGTTAAATATACTAATATATGACCCAGCTGTTCTGCTTCTATGTATTTACCCAAGAAAAATTAAAGCATGTGGCCATATACAACTTATATATAAATGTTCGTAGTAGTTTTATTTCTAATAGTTCCAAACTGGAAACAACCCACACATCCATCAATGGGTAAGTGGAAATACAAATTGTAGTCTTATCTATACAAGTAGTATTGCTGAAGAATACCACTCAGCAATTAGAAAGGATAAGCATGTAAAAAAACATGGATTAACCTCAACCTAATTATGCTGCATTAGAGAAGTCAAGCACCACCCCTCCCAAGAATACATATGTAATTTCATTCGTGTAAAATTGTAGAAATTGCAAGCCAATGTGTAACAAATAACACATATAAATGGTCACCTGGGGACAGGTATGTAGGGGACAGGGATATAGGGAGCAGAGATGAACGTGGGGATTACACTGGGCAGGAGAAAACTTTCTGGGGTGTTGGATATATTTACTATCTTGACTGTGGTTATGGTTTCACTGCTGTTTATTTGTCAAAATTCTTTACATTTTGCACATCAAATATGTACAGTTTATTATATGTCAGTTATACCTCAATAGAGACATTAAAAATTTTAAAATCTAAAATTATAATAAAAGATGGCATGTGATAAGAAAGTTCATTCTAAAATTTTCTTGATGACAGATATTTTAGAGTATTTAAAAATTAGGCAAGCAATTTAATTTTTTTTTCTTTTAATATCTACTGATAAAATGCTTAGTTTGTGCTAGGTACTATTCTAAGTGCTTTACAATTTTTAACTCATTTAGTCCTCATCATAATTCTATTACATAAATAAGGCATTATCCATACCCTTTAGACATGTGAAGAAATGGAGACACTGAGAATGGCATAGTGTGTAAATGCAGAGCTGGGATTTCAACCCAGGCAGTCTGGCTCCAGGGATAGAGCTCTGTTTAATCTTGCTTATAAAGAAAGAGTTTATTTTGACTACTTCACAGATTCAGTGACTGTACTATAGGATTTTACTTTCATTCTGTTGCCACCACATTTTTTTGAATAGATTTTTGCACACAGGTTGAATTATTTACTGCCTTTTATAGGATCATACTTTTAACACATACTAAGCACTGCTTTGATTAGCACACACTGTCCTGCCCACCAGGCCCCTGCCTTAAATACCTCTCTGTCTCCCGATTCTTCACTTCTTTTCCAAATTGTTTCCATTCTACAAAGCACAAGCCTTCAGGTTTTTAAATAAATACAGCAACACGTCACTTACCCTTATTTCCATCCAAATTTGTTTGCCCCATTGTAAAGTTTCCATGGCATTTATTATCCAAATAAAATTATAGAATACCTGATTACATATTGCTTCTACTGATTCTTGTATAGTGAATGTAAATTTTGTGTTGCCAATTAGATTATGTGTCTTCAAAATCAGAAATCAAGTCTTTACTTTTGCCATACATATGCAAAAATACAAGTTTTTGACACAGAATTGCCAACTTCTCTGGACTCACAGGAGCACACATGCCCCACTTAAAAACACATTCCTACTGTCCTTTTTAAGCACTCATAGAGAATAAATAGCTCGGAATATGAAGACTGGCAATACATCCATCCCTACCTCCACTGCTATTTCTAAGTTTCGCCTTGGGTGTGTAATGAGAGATGTCCACTCGGGCATGAAAAACAGAGGCTAAATGAATTGTATTTGAATTCTGAAAATGGCACATTTATTGGTTAGGGCAAATTCCAAGTTTTTTTCTTCTTTAAAGAATGTGACATTTGTATTGAACCAATGAAGAGTGGGTGTGCAGCGGGGGGGTGGGGGGGCGTCCTCTTGGAATGGATAAAAATTCATTAAGCTAGTTCAGCAGGGAATACCACGATCCACATTTTACCCAGTCCTTCCTCCTCAAATAGTTTTCATTAACTCTCTGAGTTCTAAAACAAATCACTCTTGTTTTTTCATTACATGTTTCATATAATTTATTGTACATAATAAATAGTTTGCAAGAGTTGGGTTTATGAATAGCTTGAAACAGGTTTTCCATGTCCAAATCAAGCTGCCATAGTAACCATTTTTCATTTCTGCCAAACGTATGGTCTTTTCCTTTTTTTCTGCCTTGAAATATGTTGTTTAAAAAAATCCCAAATTATTCAGGAAAGTTGATCAGGTTTCATTAAAATAATGACTTCATTGTTAGCAAGTGCTCATTTCAATCTCTTATTAAATGACTGCTTCTTGCATTATGAGTATCAAACTAAAATATATAAAGAGAGCATTAAATTTTGATTCAGTGATATTTATCACAAAAATAAATTAAAACACATATTTGTTCTCCTCTCATCTCTCCACAAAGGAACCCTCTATCCTTTCAAACAATAGAGCAGAAGCAAGGCCAAGTTAAGATTCTGCCAGCATAATCCCGTGTAGAAAGTCCAGGAGGACAGTAGAGTCGCCTGAGTATTTATATCCAAATAATCTCACGAGCTTCTATTTCTTTGGCAAGGAGGATTTAAAGGTTGTTTCTACAGGTGTTTTTCCAACTTCCCATTTTTATAATCTTTTGCCTTTTTCGGTAACTAGCATTGCAAGTCAGAATCCTCCATCAAGCAACCAGTACCTCCTAGATAAACCTACAAGTTCCAAAAGCCAACCCAATTCCATACGGTTTACAAAACCTGCACTCAACAGTCACTTACCTCAAATCCTGAGGCAAAAAAACCACCTTCAGAAGTCACTATGATATATGTCCATTACAACAGCAAGTGTTATGTAGGTTGAAGGGAGCGACAGTGTTTTGGCAAGTAGAGAAATACCTACTTTTATGAAGACACTCTTTATATTAATGATCTACTTTTAGGGGTTCTTTCTTTTTTTTCTCATTAGAATTTTAAAACGTTTGGCTACCTGTTTCTGTTCTTTCAATCTCTATAAACTAGTATTTAGCTTAGAGAAAGATAATTTATTAAGCAATCCTGATATAATTTATTAAGCAACTCAGCAGCATCAACAGATGTACAGAATTTTACCATGCCTATTAAAATACCTTGCTTTAAAGTACTTTATAGAAGCCTCATTGTTTTTCAATACATACTTTAGATTCTTACATGTCTAACCTAATTGTATTTCCTTCACAACTTCATTTATTCAACAAATATTTAATGAGTGATTTCTCTGTGCAGTATCATATATATTCTATGGATTCATATATTTAAGAATAAAATCTGAACTCTATCATCACGGATGTAAATTAAACACAAAGATGAAATGTAATGTAATGTGGAAGCCAGATTGTGTAACACTTTGAGTGAGAAAACAGAGTTTGGATTATACCACCACTATTACTACTACTGCTATCATTCTTACTGTTACAATGACTACTACTAATTATATTTTAAAACATTTTTTGCAAGCTTCAGAAACCAACTGCAGATAGTTTAACTAAGAAAACAGGTGGTAAGCAGATCTGCTGGAAAGATCTATATATCTCATGGAATCTAAAGAAGAGATTAATAAGCTTTGAGTGCAATAGGAGCCAGGGGCTCTTTGGAACCTGAATTGTAAGTTTCTGAATCTTGTCTCTTGATTGCTGTCACTAAAATGAAATAGTTCCCAGCTTCCAGTGTAAGGCTCTTGAGTTACAATCCAAAATTTGGGAAAACAAATCTACTTAGTCCAGCTTGAGTCAACGTCCAGTCCAGACTAACTGTGGTTAAGTTGGCAGGTTCAAGTATTACAGACATCATTGAGGTCCACTCCCGGGTATTGAGTGAGTGGAGTTGAGGGAAGGAAAATCACAGTGAGGTAGTTGACAAAAGACGCTTTCTGTAACCGCAACCACCATTCTGTAGATGAGCCCCCCCACTGTCAGGTCAGAGCTCAGTAATGGAAAAATGTGCAAAGCACAGTGCTAAGTACTTCTCATACCATCTCAAGTAATCCCCCAAAGCCTAATGCAGTAGATTACTACTCTCAATACGCCTAAAAGAAAATTGAGATTTAAAGAGAATAATAGCCAATAAATAGTAGAACCCAGATCTAAAGTTTGCTCTTTCTGGCTGTACAGCCTATAATGTATCCCTTATCTGCTGTGGTCAATCCAGTAGATTAACGTAGAGATTGAGTCTGGTGTCTCTGACCCCAGGGGATTTCTGTCCACAATTCTTTATTTTGAATACATGAAGAGTTGATTGATTGAAAGAGTAATTTAAGGAGCCAATAAACATCTGGTTCTAGTACCCTAAAAGTGCTTCACTTTTCTAGTCATGCTCTAATATGAAAAGAAAGGAAAATGTGTTCCAGGTATGTATGAGTGTGTTTTCCCATGGAATCTATGTGATGCATTGTGCCTAGGTGTAGAATAAATGGTACTATTAATATAGTATTCCAGTGCATCATGAATAGAATAGAACTTTTTGTGGGAAACCAACTACCACTTATTATATGGTTTATATGGGAAATTCCAAACATTTGACTGAGAAATAAAGTTTAAGCATGGATACAAACTATTAGCCAGTCAGATACTGCCTGTAGATGATTTTCTTCTGGACACAGAATAAGCTATTTATTTCTCTAGTGAGTGAATTTTAACTTGAAAAATGAGAAATAATCTGTATCTGTTTTCCAATCAGAGGAGCAGAAATTCCCAGGAAGCTCTTGGAGGTGGAGTGAGGACTCAGATGTTGGGAAGGTAAATCCAGGCCAGTAATGAGTTTTCTGTACATGTTTTCATAAGATAAGGTAGCACTTTGGGCCTGGCACTCGAACTTGTTAAACAAAGCCCAGTTTATTACCCAGCAAGGGTGGAGTGGATGGTGAGGGTGAGAGGAAGGTGAAGAGCAAGCAAAATTGTGTTGGCTATGGCTTAGTCATATTCTCAGGTTATTATTAAGTCTTAAAGTCATAAGTGTCAACTGAAGAATCACAAGTTCATAAATTTGGAAAGGAGAGCTTTATTTCTCATAAAGGGTTGCAGCCTGCAGGCAGCCATTCTAACAGGCTGGAGAAGTGTAGCCTCCGGTCAGGAGCCAGAAAAAGGCACTTAAAGGGTAGAAAGAATAAAACAGGGATTTATGCTGAATGGGATGGCCAAATATACATATTCAACAACTTATAGGAGGAGCTATGAATATTCACAAAGGGGAGGCACAGGTATGCGTAATAGGCTAATAGGCATGCAACATGTGTCCCACAGTCACTTTGGGGTGGACTTAACAACTAAATGTATTACAATTAGGCCCAAATACATAAAAAAAAAAAGTGAAGCTGAGGACATGAAGGGCCTCTGTACACAGCCTCTGTAGACTGGTCAGAACCACCTGGTGGTTGGTGGTCCCTCGTTAGGAAGAAATGCTGGTCATTTGTTATGCCAAAACCACAAAAGGGAGGGGCGGCATCAGGTGGTTGGTTGATATTGGTGGTGGAACAAGTCTTTTAAAAGGACTGATTTCTGTTTAACTCTTAGGAAAGAAAGCCTAATGGCGATCAGCTGGGGAGGGGTTATACTGAGGTATGTCCAATCTCTGGTCAATCATAGCTGGAAATTCAGTTTTTAAGATTTCTCTGGAGTCCCCTTGGCCAAGACAGGGTCTATTCAATCAGCCGAAGGGAGCTCATGATTTTAGTTTTATTTCTCACAAGTTAGGGACTTTCTATGAGGAAAGTCATCCTATGTTTAAATGCTGCATAAAATGGAAATTCCCACCAGGTTTAGCATGTACAACCTAAAAAAAGAAATCACGAGCTTATCCTTTGTGTAGTGGACCTATTCTTGAAATGGATCCTTTATGAAAGTATTGATGTTGACTGCATCTCTTTTGGGGTAATTGTAGGCAATGAATTCCTTAAAGAAATGAAAAAAGTTTTGTCTTAGATGGGGGCAGAATTCTAGTTTGGCAGTGGAATTCTCAGTAATGGGAAGATGAGCTGGACTCCCTGTGGTGAATAAACCAGGGTGACTCTACCAAACTTGATCATTTGCCTCCATTAGTCATGATGTCTTCATAAACACTGCAAAAGAGTTGAGGAAGAGCTAAGAATGCAAAAATATCCAAATTTACATTGATGACTGAATTAATTAGGACACAACTAATTCAAAAATTCTGCTAACAAAAATAGGAGTCAGTGGGAAAGTAAATTAGCTCTCCTATCAGAGAAGGAAACACATATCAGACCTCCTCATCTTAAATTCAGTTTAAATATAGCCCAAACATAGTCCCGATGACTTTTCTTTGTCATCAGAGAGTGTGCTTTTGACTAATTCTGGCTTGGTTTCCAAGAAGATTCTGGTGCAATAATGAAGAATTGTTATCTGAGAGATGCACAGAATGTACCCAAATGGCTTTAATGCTAAATGGCCCAGCCAGAAGGGTGAGGCACCTCCGCTTGTCAGGTCAGAGTGGGAAGGAACAGTGAACAACTGCTGACATTCTCTCACCGTATGCATGACGCAATATGTTTTTAAGGAGAAAGAAGGAGAGGAAGCACAGGAAGAGAGGACGGGAGAGATTTGAGAAGAGAGATAAAGGGATAGAAATTAAGGAGAAATTTGCTGTGGACATTGAATATTAAATTAAGATTATGTGCTATGCGAATATTCCCCTCCCCAATTTTTAGGATGTTAGAAAATGATTCCTGTTTAAAGGAGAGAGAAGCTTTCTGAAAAGCTAAAAACATCTCCCAAGAAATTGGCTACAACTTCCTTCACACACACACACACACACACACACACACACACCAAAACAAAAACAAACAAACAAACAAAAAAACAAGTTTGAGAGATACGAATAGTCACAGGAGGGATATTTTATGGAACAAAATATTTATTCTTGTTTCACTTTTGAGGGTATCAAGACAGAAAATAGTCTCTGAAGGAAATCATGCCTCTGAAAGATATTTTAAGATCAAAGTTTGCCTGACATATAAACCAACTCACTAACAATGAAAAATGTGAAATTCTGTTTTGAAAGCCACTGATTTTTCTTTTTTCTTTTATCAATTTGGCCCTTTTGTCTTGCAAAATATACATGCAACTATAATAAAATGATCTTAAAACTTGAAACTTGTAATATGATCAGAGAATTCAAGCCCCACATGGAATACTAGGAACTTAGTTTCCTTGACATACTTCTGACAATTTTTTGAAACAGTGACATTTATCTCATACTAAATGCCATCAATCTTCCCATTTATATATACAATGCATACTAAATTTTTGAAAAAAAAACTTTTCAATAGTATAATATCTTTTGTGGCTCAATTTCTTTTCAGTTGATGATGAGAAAATCAGAAATACATTGTTCTTACTAACTTGAGCTGAATGAAAGTCTTCATTTAAAGTAACTTAATTATATACAGAAAATATGTAATAAAATAATGACCTCTATTATAAATCATAAGTAGCAATCAAAATAACGATCAAATCAGATAATAAGTTTGATTATGTGTAGAATTCCTCTTTCCTTAGGTATGTTATTACTCCCAGAACAGGATGGAAACAAAAGGACTTGGCTGGAAATAGTCTCCCTCTTGATCACATGCCTAGTGCAGTTCTCTGTGCCCAGTAGGTTCTCAATAAATATTCAGTGATGATTATAATATGTCCTCTGGAAAACTACAATGTGCAGGTATGCATAGATTTCAGGTTAGAAAAAAAAAAATTGGCCAGTGTAATTGATTGTATATAAAGAAAAAGAATTCGATATCCAATATCCATCACGTAAACTGTGCACCCAGACAAACGCAACTGATCTATGGCATTTTTCTTTCAATTTCTTATTTTTTTGGCCACCCCACATACTAAATGGAGACCCACGGGACACACGCATCTCTTGGTCAAATTATTGAGGGGAAGGAAGAACTGTAACACTGTTGCCAATGTTTCTGGAAGGTGTACCTTATTTCCTGAAACAGGTCTTCCATTTCTAACTGTTCTTTTCCAGAGAATCGCCCTATGGAGCGCAGTACTTTGGAAGGTCCTGAGATTACTGTTACTGTGCCAGACTTTAGTCCATTCTGAAGTTAGAGAACAAAGTTGCACATGCAAAGTTGCACATGCCATAAGTATTTATGTTAAGGAAATAAATGCTGAATTTAAAAAATAATCAAGCGTAAAACAGCTCTGATTATTTGCAGATTGTGATGGTATCTGGGAAAAGTTTAATATTAAGCCAGCGGAAAAGTGGGACAGTCATTTTGTTCCATTGCTGCAGCCTAACAACTGCACCTCCAGCAAATGTGAATCATAGGTCCCCAAAGGGAAAAGCAAGAGTAGATGGTTAGATTTTTCAGTGCAGGAAACTGGAAGTCAATCTTGACTTTTAAATTTGTTTCATCTATATTATTCTACATGTAATCTGTGATGTGACCACGTTTTCTCTACCATCTAAAAATATTTGAAATATTCCCACTTCTCACCAGCCTGCTGTCACTTTCATTTCTTATGGGGAATATGCAATAAACATGTCATTTGCCACCTTCACATGTCTTTAACCTCCTTAAATCCGTTTGCCTCTCTGTGGTCTGAGTCATATTTTTAAGTATCTGGACACAGTCAACTTACTTATATAAGGCACTGTTATAGGGACTTTATACATGTTTCTTTTTCTCATTCGAGACTCTCAAAAAATTCAATTTGATAAATGTAATTATACCAACTTCCTATTGTTTCTGTAACAAATATGAAGAACTTGCTGGCTTAAAGCATAAGAAATTTATTCCCAGTGAGTTCTGGAGGCTAGAAGTCTAAAATGAGTCTACAGGGCTAATATGGAAGTATCAATAGCCTCCTTCCAGAGGCTCCAGGGGATAATCTATTCATTGCTTCTTTCAGCTTTTCGTGGGTATTGGCGTTCCTTGTTTTGTGACTGCATCTGTCCAACCTCTGCTTCCATTGTCATGCTGCCTTCTTCTCTTCTGTAGTGAAATCTCCCTCTGCTTTCCTCTTATAAGGATTACAGTTAGGTCCCACCTTGGTAATCCACATGATCTCCCCATCTCAGCATCCTTAATTTAATTGCATTTTTTTCACCATAGAAAGTAATACAGGTTCCACAGATTAGGACCTGGCTATCTTTTGGGATCTATTATTCAGCCTGGTGCAATAGTTCTCGCTTTTCACATATGACAATAAAGTTTCAGTGGGTTAGGTAGCAGGCCCAAGTTTATACATCCAGGAAGAAGCAAAACTGATATTCAAACTCAAGTCTTTTTGATCCTAGAATTAATGTTCATGTATGATGAAGAAACTGGATGTAGTAAGCTCAAAGAAAAAAAATCGAAAACAGGCATGATTACCCCCAAATATTTGAAAGAACCATCATATGATAAAATAGCTAATCATAATATCTCATATATATTGAAGACTTATATATGCCAAGAGGTATCATAAGCCCCTTTACAAGTATTAACTCATTTAACATTTACAACTCCATAATATAATTTCCGTTATTACTGGTTAAGTTAATTTTTCAAAATGTCATAGCTAGTAAGTGATGGAGTTGATGTTTGAACACTTGTTGTCTGGCTTCAGAGCCTGTGCTCTAAGTCTCCCTAAGATGTACTGATCTCATCCTATAAGTTCTGGCAGAAAGAACTTGAACCAATGGAAAAAAGTAGATGAAGACAAATATTTACTTCAATATTAGAAGAACAATTAACAATTGCAGCTGTTCAAAAATGAAATGGGCTTCCTTTTGAGATAGAGAAGTCTCTGTCACTGGGAATAATATAAGGATTGACACTGCTTCTCTGACATATTGAAGCTGATGATGATGAATTAGAGACAAGTTAGACTGATAATTTCAGTTACTTCCAGCTTTATAAGCTATGGTTTTAGGATTTTATAACTTCAAAGGCTTATCATCAATGTGGAGCCATTGGTAAATGAATGGTAGTGTGTTTTAGGAAGATTAATCTAGCACAGGGTCATCATGAAAGTGAATAGAGAAAGAGAAGTTTAGGGAGAAATCATGTAGGAAATTATTTTAATATAGTTAATAGTGGGCTTGAAACAGCCACTGTGAGGATAAAAAGAAAGGGATTATAAATACAGTCAACTGATTTTTGACAGAGGAGCGAAGGGAATACAACAGAGAAAAGATAGTCTTTTCAACAAATTGTGCTGGAAAAACTCAATAGCCACATGCAAAAGCATGAATCTAGACACAGATCTTATACCTTTTACAAAAAAAAAAACTCAAAATGGGTTGTAAACCTAAATGTAAAATGTGAAAATATAAAACTCTTAGAAAATAACATAGGAGAGGCTGGGCGCAGTGGCTCACACCTGTAATCCCAGCACTTTGGGAGGCCTAGGCAGGTGGATCACGGGGTCAGGAGGTCAAGACCATCCTGGCTAATATGGTGAAACCCCATCTCTATTAAAAATACAAAATACATTAGCCAGATGTGGTGGCAGGTGCCTGTAGTCTCAGCTACTCGGGAGGCTGAGGCAGGTGAATGGCTTGAACCTGGGAGGCAGAGCTTGCAGTGAGCCAAGATAGCGCAACTGTACTCCAGCCTGGGCAACAGAGTGAGACTGTCTTAAAAAAAAAAAAAAAAAAAGGAGAAAATCTAAATGACAATGGGTATGACTTTTTAGATACCACACCAAAGACATGATCCATGAAAGAAAGAATTGATAAAGTGGACTTTGTTGCAATTAAAAACTTCTGCTCTACAAAAGACCCTGTCAAGTGAACGAGAAGACAAGCCTCAGACTGGGAAAATATTTGCAAAAGACATATCTAATAAAGGACTGTTATTCTAAATACACAAGGAATTCTTAAAACTCAACAATGAGAAAACAAAGAACCCAATAAAAAATGGGCAACAGACCTGAACAGACAACTCACCAAAGAAAATATACAAATGGAAAGTATGCATATGAAAAGATTCTCGACAGCATAGGTCATTAAAGAATTGCAAATTAAATCAACAATGAGCTATCACTTCACACCTATGCAAATAATCAAACTCCAAAACACTGACACCACCAAATGCTGGTGAGTATGTAGAGCAACAGGAACTCTCATTCATTGCTGGTGGGAATGTAAAATGGTATAGTCACTTTTGAAGACAGTTCGGCAGTTTTCTTACAAAACTACATATACTCTTACCACTAGATCCAACAGTCACACTCTTTGCTATATACCCGTTAGTTGAAAACATGCTCACATAAAAGCCTGCTCGTGGATGTTTATAGCAGCACTATTCATGATTGCTAAGACTAGGAAGCAACCAAGATGAACTTCAGTAGGTGAATGTATACATAAACTCTGGTATATTCAGAAAATGAGATATTATTCAATGCTAAAAAAAAAATGAGCAATCAAGCCATGAAAAGACATTGAATAAACTTAAATGTATATTACTGAGTGAAAGAAGCCAATCTGAAAAGATTACATCAACTATATGACATTCTGTAAAAGGCAAAACTATGGAGACTATAAAAAGATCAATGGGGGAAGGGATGAATAGGTGCAGCACAGAGGATTTTGAGGACAGTGAAACTTCTGTATGGTACTGTGGTGAATATATGTCATTATATAGTTATTAAAACCTATAGAATATACAACACTAAGAATGAACCTTAATGTAAACTAAGGGACTTTGGGTGATAATGATGTGTCAATGTAGGTTTATCAATTATAACAAAAAAAATTTAAAAAGAGATCAAGTGAGACACTGAAGAAGCAAGATTCTGAGTTTCAGTCTAGTCAAGAGATCTACATGAAAAATCTGATGTTTACACCTTAATTTTAGAAGAATGATGGTGTCACTGGCAAAAATAGAGAAGTCTGAAGTCAATACTTTTTTTTAAGGTGGACAATGTAACCTCAGTTTTGATCATGAAATTTAAGGAATAAGCAAGACATCTAAAAGATTATTGTAGTTAAGGACTGGAACTTGAGAAGATGCCTAGGTTACACATAAAAGTTTGGCGATAATTTATATAGATAGTAGTTCTCTGCAACAATTAGCTTTCATTAAATAGATTTCATTTTACATGCATTATCTAATTTAATTCTTGCATCAACCCTATAAAGTAGATATCATTGCCCCATTTCATAGATGAGGAGACTTAGAGAGGTTAAATAATTTGCCCAAGTTCACATAAGTACATGAGTGCTGGAGCATCAAACCATACCCATCTGATCTCAGAGCCCATACTCTTCATCACTTTGTATACTGTCATAAGAGTAAGTACAGTCATTCTGAGTGGTGCTTCTTGAAAGTTGCTTCTAGATTGTGCCTCATGGCAGAGTAGACTGCCAGCATATTCTGCCTGTGCCTGAGTGAGGAGGGTAGATGGGAGGAAGTTGATGGATACCTCTCAAGTATTAATAACACACTGAAAAAAAGTCCACATCTTAAAAATTCATCCTAATATTCCATTAATTTAAACAAAATGTTTTCTCCTCCCCAAGTATCAAGTAAACCTGATAAGCTAAGAAGATATGCCCTGTGTAACCTCTGCCTTCACTTTCAGCAGACTCTCCTACACTCTGGGCTTGGGAAAAGAATGACCCAGGCTGAAAAACATAGGCCGTAGTAGAACATAGAGGGCTAGGGACAGGAGCATGAATACAGGGACTGAAATGTCAGTATTTGGGAAATGAAAGGAAGAAGAAGGACTTGTACAAAGAAGGAAAGAATTGTTAGAGAAGTGAGGCCAAATTGTCATAACAGAGAACAAAGCAGGGTGAGAGTTTCCACACTATCAAATGCTACATGGAAATGTCTAAAAGGTTAAGAAATTGCAAAGAAAAAAAAAAACCCAAAACAAAAAAGCCTTTATATTTAGCAGTAAGTAACTCTCAAAGGTGGAGTTTAAATGGGGTGAGAGTCTGATTACAAAACAGTAAGAAATCCGTAGGTACTCAGAAATTGGAGGGACAATCAGCGAATGTTATTGGTTTGTGAAGTTTGTAGGAGGAAAAAAGGTGCTGGATAAACAAAATAAGAAACACTACATCAGTGAAGGTGTTTCTGTCACTTACTACAGAAATTAATTCTGCACAATTTAAGTAAAAAGAGAATTTAGTACAAAGATCTAAGATAATTCTCAGAATTGAAAGAAAAACTAAAGAATCAGACCTTAGAAAGTACAAGAGCTGGACCATTTCTAACAGGAACTATTAAATAGGAACTAGCAAATGGTCTCTTCAGGACAATACTGTCAGGTGAATCTCCTCCAGCTCTTTTCAGTTTTTGTGTTGTTGTGGTTCAAGTCATAAATACCAGGGAGAATGTCTGACTGGCCTAGTTCCGGTCACATGCTCCCCCTTTACCAGGGAAGGATAATGTCCTTGAATTACAGTTTATCTACTAAGGAAAAGCCAGTTCTTCAAAGAAAACTGGACAATGAGCCCCAAAAGGAAAAAAAAAAAAGTCCCCAGCCCATGTTTACCACTAAGGAGTAGAAAAACACAGGCAGTTCTCACTTTGCACTGTGCAGTGTTAGCTGAAACAGATGCATGCTGGCACTGATTCTTTACTTTGCACAGTTTTGTGGTAACTGACATTTGACCTTGGACCCACGGAATGTTGCAAAGTGAGGAATAGGTACCAGTACACACCAGTTGCAGTTAACATAGTAGCGTGCAAAGCAAGGACTGCCTGCATATATGACCAAGAACAACTATAAAAAATAAGAGGTTTCAAAGAATTTTGTAGAATCAAAATATAGTATACCACGTATATAATATTTATAATATACTATATGTAAAATATAGATGATCTTAGAGAACATCAAATATAGCCCTCTTATCATAGCAAAGGAAACAGAGGCACATTGACGTATCCAGGGCTTTCTTCCTGAACAAACAAATTATACTAGCTAAAGAAGTAAAAAAAAAAAAAAAGAAAAGAAAAAAGAAAAAGAGTGGTGTAGAGCTGCTACAACTTAACAGGGAAAGCAATCTGTGGGAAGTGAGTTTTGAGATAGGTTTTGAAGGACTACTGAAATGTGTTTCTTCAGGTGTAAATTGAGGAGGGCTGGTCTAAATCTCTAAGAGCCTTTTCAGCTCTGACATGCTATGATTCAGAGCAAGATGTACTAAAATTATCAAGTCATATACAGAGAATGGTAAGCAGGGTGGTTTGATTGGAGCAAAGAGGCATGTTGGGAAATTATGACAGCTCCAGGAGGGTCAGCTGATGGATGTCTAGCTGGGAGTTCAGGGTTAATACTCCTCTGAGGGGGCTAAGAGACTATGCCACCTCCGAAATGTTGCAGTATGCTCTCCATTGTGAAGCAACAATTCAACACATTCGTTAAAACAATAGCACCCAATACGCTTCCCAGGGAATGTGATTAAAGCATTATTGGAAAAAATTTTCCTACAAGACTGTAACAGCTGAGATTCCCTACTATCTTATTGGATGAAGCAGCTATAATTTTTAATTCTCATTTTCATGGAGTATATGTGACTTATAGCAGATGTATGGAGTCCCTAAGGCCAGTGTTAAGAGATACACAGAATGAACATACAGATTGAAGATTGAATATAACTCATTTTAGTAACCATATGAGAAACCTGCTCATAGTTGCCAAACAATGTTTGCTGAATGTTTTATTCCCTCGTGGGAGCATTTACTTTTCATATATATAGAGGTTAGATGATATTTTTAAAAAAGAAAATTACCCGAATTCTTTTGGTTCTATTATCTATTATCTTTTCACAAACCCAAATGCTTTTTGATCAGATTACCAAAATTAATGGACAAGGAAATGTATTCAGTTATTTCACTGAAGTCCAGTTGTATTATGCTATCTTAGTACATCAAAACCAACATCTTATGCTTGCTTCTGTGCCCTGCCTCTTCTTTTCTTGCAAGTTTCAGCATCCTTCTCTAATTTCATTCTTTCTTTGTCTGCCTGTGTATCTTTCTCTGTCTCTCACCTTCTACCACTCAATCTTTGTTAGCATTGTTTGCTTTGAGTTAATCAAGATGCTTTATCTTCCCCTTGTCTCCTAGCCATTTTGGCACACTTACACCAAGCTTCTACTATATTTTTATAAATGAGTTGGGAATATTTTCTCTGTCCATAACTGCCAGTGGGTTCATTCCAAATCACGGTGACTCTGGAAGTTATAAATGAGAGCTGGGATCAGACCTGGAGTGGGCAAATGTAGAGGCTACTTCTTATGTAAGTTGTTCATCCTTTCTGTGATAATCCCATATTGTCGACTGTGGCACACATGCTTTCTTATCACCTGCTCACCTATAGTCACCATTTTCTCAAATGCTTTATTTATTTTATTGCTTTAACTGAAACCAAACTTTATCCTCCTGATACTCATTAGAGTCTGTCATTCTACTCATTGCACACTAGTGCTTCAAGGGTTTGTCCAACTATTTCTTTCTCCTTCTTCTTCTTCTTCTTCCCATTAACGTCATAAGTCTATGCCAAATTTTTCCCATCATTAAGTTTTTATCTAGATTTTTTTTTCCTTTTTCTGGATGACATAAGCATGTCACTTCATCATCAGCAATTATTATTCTCAAACATTTAAGCATCTAAACTAATATCCTAACCTCAAATTTCTTCTCCTAAACTCCAATGATCCCCAAACACAGCCATTTCTTAGATTGTATTCTTACAGAATTGTCCATCTCTATACCTTAAATTCTAAGCTTCCTTTCTCTAATTTTCACTTCCTTCCCTTCCACTTTCTAATGTCTCCTTTCAAATGTAAATCAGATCTTATCATTCTCCCCCAACCCTCTTAAAACCCTCCATTCACTTTTCATTGCACTTGAAATGAAATGCAAATTTCTTACAAGACTTGCTCTAGGAATGGATCTGGCTTTATATTCCTCTCCGATATTATCACACCCCACTTTCTCTCTCCCTCATGGTTTCTAAAACATAGGCCTTCTTTCTATTCCTAGACCAAGGCAATCTCAGACACTTACATGGCTTAAGCTCAATATTACCTCTTTCTTGATATTAAGTCCTTCTCAGAGAGAACTTCTCTGATACCCTCTCTGAAAAATCTCCTTATCTGATTTTACTTTATCTTATTTGCTCATAGCACTCTCTGAAATAGTCTTTTTATTTATTTATTTATTTATTTATTGACTCTCTGGGATAGCAGGCCTCTTATCTGTCCAATTTGTTGTTTTCTGTCCTGGGGATATTTCAAAGATCTAGACATATAGTCTTTGCCTTCTGGGAATTTCCAGTTAAGAAGGAAAGTCAGATAAATTAGAAGGAAATTATATTCTAAGTAATCTTTCTGAATTAGTACAATATACTTTTTTTTTTTTTCTTTGAGATGGATTCTCGCTCTGTTGCCCAGGCTGGAGTGCAGTGGCATGATCTCAGCTCACTACAACTTCTGCCTCCCAGGTTCAAGTGATTTTCCTGCCTCAGCCTCCTGAGTAGCTGGGATTACAGGTGTATGCCACCACGCCTGGCTAATTTTTGTCTTTTTAGTAGAGACGGGGTTTCACCATGTTGGTCAGGCCGGTCTCAAACTCCTGACCTCATGATCTGCCCGCCTTGGCCTCCCAAAGTGCTGGGATTACAGTCGTGAGCCACCGCGCCCAGCCCATGTACAATATACTTATTAAGAATATAAATTCTGCAGTCAGGTTGTCTGGGATTAAGTCTCAGTTTTCCCACTTATTGGCAGTGTAACCTAGATTACTTAATCATGCCATGCTTAGCTCCTACTCATTAAATTGTGATAGCAATAGTATCTACTTTACGGGGTAGTCTGAGGGTCATAAATGAGTTAATGTTATTCAAAATGCTTAGAGTCTGGAATGTAATAAACACTCACAAATGAGGAGGAATTATTATTTATCAAATCTGTCTTTTCCTCTTCATTACAGGCATCACAACCCCTGTTCAGAACTGTGAGTGTCTTTCTTCAACCATTGAAGTAGCCTTGCCTTTAGTCTTGTAACCTCTTCCCTAATCCACGCTATATATTGTCTACACATGGATCCATTTCCTAAAACACTTAAGTGGCTTTCTGTACCTTAGGATAATGCCGAACTCGTTAACGTGGCTGGCAAGGCCCTGCATTGTTTGATATTGGCCTTATTTCCAGCCTCTTTGATTCTCACTTTCTGTTTCACAAATGCCCAACTTCCTGTAGTCTCCTAACCACAACCTTCTATTTCTTTTTTTCCCTTTTCTCATGCTGTCTTTTCTTCATAGAACATCTATTCCCTATATTATACTTGACCTAAAATCACCCTTATTAATACCTTAAGACCCAGCTTAGAGTTTCATACTACAAGTGAACAATAGTACTTAAAGTCAAGTTAAAAACGTTTATATAAAATCCTGTGTATAGCATTATCACTGCACTGAATACATTGCTTTATCATGTATGCCTGACCCCCTGAGTTGCTTGAGGGCAGGTACTACTTCTTGATCATTTTGATATCCTTAATGTGACAAGCCTGGCACATAGAAATTATATGTATTAGTCAATGATTGATACATTAATGCTTTTTAACAAACAACCCCAAATTTTAGTGGTTGGACATCTGCTGCTTGCCATCATAGAAAAGCATCATGGGACCAGACTTAAATTCCCATTATAATAATTAAAATGTTTGACAAATATATAAAGTAGTTGTTTTTAGACATTGAACAACAGGCAGCATAGAACTATAATCCCTGAGAAAAGGGAAACAAAAGAGATGAGCCCTATAATCCCCTTGTATTTCTCCCTGGAGTCAGTTTCTAGCCTGTGAGTACAGGGATGGAAACCTAAACAGAACCCAGAGCCCCCTGGGATTAGGACGTGAACTTGAAATTTAATGGGGGCAGAGACAGCTGTAAGTTGTAGGACAGACTCCAAAAGGAGGGAGTCATTAAGAAAAAGTTTTCAATAATTAGTGTAGATTTCCCTTTGAGTCTTGCTGATTATTAGGCCATGCATGTATAAATCTGTATAAAGAACAAGTAGAGTATGGTGAGTTAAACAAACAACTTCCAGAGTTCACAAAGGACAAAAAGGTGTTCTACCTCCCAACTGCTAGAGTTGAGAATCCTTAGTGACCATCTGGGACCCCAGAGGGGTTATGCCTTAGAAATGGGACTGAGTAATTACTAGAGCGAAGACTTGTCTAGAGGTTCTAACAAAGCTTAAAACACGTTCTGGAAGGATAAAGTTGATAGAGTATATTTATCAAGGTTCTCCACAGAAACAAAAGCAATAGAATAGAATAGATAGATAGATAGACAGACAGACAGACAGACAGACAGATAGATACACAGACAGACAGACAGACAGACAGTTATAAATGTAGAAGAGAGGATTTATTACGGGAACTGGTTCATGCAATTATAGAGGCTGAGAAGTTCCATGATACACCATCTGCAAGCTGGAGAAAAACAAAAGCCAGTAGTTTAACTCTCAGTCTCAGTTTGAAGGCCTAAGAAACTATGAGGCTGCTAGTGTAAGTCCCAGAGTCTGATGGCCAGGGAACCTGGAGTTCTGATGTCTGAGGGCAGAAGATGGATATTCCAGCTCCAAAAGAGAGAGTAAATTTTCCCTTTCTCCACCTTTTTCTTCTAGGTTGGCCCTCAATGGATTGGATGACGCCTGCCCACACTGGTGAGGGCAGATCTTCTTTGCTTGGTCTACTCTTTCAAACACCGATCTCTTCCAAAAACGTCCTCACAGGCACAACCAAAAATATTGTTTTACCAGCTATCGTAATATCCTTTAACCTAGTCATGTTGACACATAAAATTAATTATCACAGCAAGTAACTTAAACACACAGACAGAGAGAGAGAGAGAGAATCAGAAATACATATGAAGATAACAAAATCCAAACAGTCAGACAATGTTCAGCACCCAATCCAAAATTACTAGATAGTCTAAAAAACTAAAATATGCAATTAGGAGAAAAATCAGTCAATGGAAACAGAATAAGACATGACAGAGATGATAGAACTAGCAGACAGAAAAGATGTTACAACAACTGTTATACTATGTAAACTACTTAGAACAAAAGTACATAATAAAAAGATACAGAGAAAAATAAAAAGTCTAGACATGAAAAATATAACTCTGTAATGAAAACTTTACTGAATGAGGTTAATATCAACAGATAATAGACACTGCAGATGAAATAAAATAATCAGTAGTCTTTCATATAACAATAGAATAAAGCAAAAGAGAAGAAACAAACAAACAAAAAAAACCCCAAAGCTTCTGTGATCTATGGAACATTATAAAGTATTTAAAAGGTACGAATTATGTCCTGGGGGTAAGAGGGGGAAAATATTTGATGAAATAGTGGCCAAAACATCTTCACATTTGCTAAAAACTATAAAGCCAAATTCCAAGAAGCTCAATGTAAACTTAATGAAGAATGAACACCCCCCCCGCCCCCCCGCCAGCAACAGACATACACACAGAGTGAAGTGGAAGGTGAAATAATATTGAGAGAAACAGTGATAATCATACAATCTTAAAAATAGAGAAAAAAGAAACATTACATAGAAATACAAAGATATGAAGCTAAAGACTTCTTGTGAGACGTTATCAAAGTCAGGAGGAAATGGAGTGGCATATTAAAAGTACTAAGAATGCTGTCAGCCTATAATTTTACACTCAATGAAAATATCCATACAAAGGGGGGGTGGGTAAAAGAGATTTTGCAGAAATCAAAAACTGAGGGTGTCATCAGCAGACATGAACTATAAGAAATGTAAAATGAAGCTCAACAGCAGAAATAAAATGATACCAAATGGAGACATGTATCTCAAAAAATAACAAGATTGCAAAAAATTGTAAATATGTGGGCAAACATAGCAGATTTTTTTGTGTGTTTTAAAATTCTTTAAAATATACTTGTTTAATTTGGAAGCAATGGTAACATATTGTGGGGTTTATAGTATGCTGTTTAGGGACCTTATAATAAATATGAAGAGCAGGGTAACCCATTTTATTCCCGTGTGCCTGTGACTTTCCTGGTTTGGTCACTAAAAGTCCTAAAAACTGGGAACTCCCTACTTCTACCCACAGACCTTGGCAAACAGGAATGGTTAGTCATCCAAGGTGGAAAAGCAGCTGTAATACATTAAAAGTGCATTTTGTAAGCCCTAGAAAAACCACTGAAAAACAAAACAAAAAAAAGTATAGCTCATAAGTAAATAGTAGAGATAAAATGGAATACTAAAAATACTCAGTTAATCCAAAAGTAGGCAGGAAAAGAGTAAAAAAGGAACAAAAAGGAGATGACACAAATAGAAAAAAAAGCAAGTTGAAAATTTAAACTGACAAATATCAATAATTATATTAAATTTAAATGGCCTGAACACTTCAATTAAAAGACAGAAATTGTCAGAATAGATCATCAAAGACCTAATTTCATGTTGTTAACAAGAAACTCATTTAAAATATAAAACACAAATAGGTTAAAAGTAAAAAGATGAAAAAGTTATACCATGAAAACCCAGAGCATTACAAAAAGTTGGAGTGGATGTAATTAATATCAGATAAAACAGATTTCAGAACATGGCATATTACCTAGAATTTCATGATCTTAAAGGGATCAAACCACTAAGGAGACAAACAATCCTAAATATGTATGCATTTGATAATAGGGCTTCAGGAATATGAAGCAAAATCTGAATAAACTGAAAGAATAAATATTAATAGAGCAAATCGACAGATAGTAAGAGTATAGATGCCTGGACAATACTAAACAACTTGATATAATTGACATTTATAGAACTCTGCAACCAGCATCAGCAATATACACATTTTTTTCAGGACTGTTTGAAACATTCAGCTAGACCATATTCTAAATCAAAAAGTAATTTTCAATAAGTTTAGAAATATAATTAAAATAATACAGTATATGCTACCTAATGATAAAGAAATTAAATTAGAAAGTAATAATAGAAAAATACCTGAAAATCTTCAGTATGTGGAAATAAAGCATGCTTTTAAATACCCACGGGAACAAAGAAGAAATTACAGGAAAATTATAAAATATTTTGAAAAAAAAGAAAACTAAAAACGCAACATATTAAAATCATGGGTTGCAGCTAAAGGCTGGAGAAAATTTTATAGCTTTAATGGTTATATTGAAACAGACAAAGATTCTAAAACCAATAATCTAAACTCCCACATTAAGAAATGAAAAATAGGAACAAATTAAACTCAAAATAAGCAGAAGAAAGGAAATAATAAAGGTGAGAAGAAAGTAATGAAATAGAAAAAGAATAGAGGGAGCCTATGAAACCGAATCTTGCTCCTTTGAAGAAAAACAGAACAAAATTGATAAACTTCTGGCTAGGCTGGTCAAGATTGAAAGAAGAGATAAATTGCTAACATTCAGGATGAAACAGAGGAGCTCACTATGTATCCTATAGAGATTATAGTAATAATATGATAATATCACAAAAACTTCCCTTCTAACAAGTACAACAATTGAAATGGACAAATTCTTTGAAAGACACAAGTTACTAAAACAGACTCAACTATTTTAACGCAATCGGTATCTACAACAATTACCATGAAACCATTTTGACAAGGTCACTGATGACTGCCCTGCTACTGAATACAATAATCTTTCAGTACCGATTTTTCTATTTGATGGTATTGAGCACTTCCTGAAATTTTTCTTTCTCTTTTTGGTGACATAATACTTTCTTTGATTTGTTCCTGTCTCTATGGTTATTCTTTATCATAATCTTCCATGGCTTAATTTTCCTTTGTCCACATGTTGGCTTTCTCTCAAAGTCTGTCCTGGACTCCACTCTCACTCAAAAACCTCTCTGGGTGATCTCATTTATTTTCAAGACTTTATTATCCTCTGTAGACTGATAAATCCCATATTTGTGACTCAATCAGGCAATTAAATATCTGCACCTGAGTGTATCACAGGCACCATGAACTCAACATTTCAAAATGGATTTCATTTGCTGTCCATATTGGAACTTTCATCTTTGCTTTTGCTTTCTCAATAAATGCCTGAGTCATTTCTGCAATTTCCTTATTTTCCCAAGCCAGGAAGTTTAGAGTCATCTTTCACTGCCTGTCTCTCTCAGTTTCATAATCCAGCTAGTCATCAAGTTGTGTAGACTCCACCTACCTACCTACTGTTTGCATTATTACTACTTAACTTTAGGTCGCTATTTCTTGCTTAGTATATCCCTCAAACTGTTCTCTCTTACTTCCTTTTTCCCCACTACTCTATTCCATTGTCTACATGTGCAAGAATTATCTTTCAGAAACAGGAACCTGATTATTCTCCTTCTTAAAGCCCTTGATCACTAACCTTTACAGTTAGAATAAGGATCAAACCCTATTGCAGTGTGCAATGTCTTTTGCAGTTTGATCCTTGCTTTTCTTTCACCTTATCTATCACCTCTTGCTCAGCCTTTACAATTTGCCCTTTAATTGTGATTACTTGCAGTTTTATTCATTTGTTCTCCCTATCCACTACCCTCAAGCTCTATACATTGGTGCTGTCTCAGACGAGAAAGCTTTCCCTCAACCCCTTTCCACATTACTTCTTGTCCTTCAGAACTAAGCCCAAGCATTACTTCCTCCAGAAATCTCATTGCATCTCACCAACCTGAGCTGTTATCTTTCCTAAGTATTCTTATACCCCCTACAAATAAAACTTACATAATACTTATTACACTTTGGAAAAATATTGAAAACAAACAATGATATTTGGAAAAGCAAAGTCATAACTCTACAGATTTATGAAATGGAGAGAAAAATGTAAAATAAAATGTTAACACAACATATAGAGCTTGGTTAAATGGAGAAAGACACTACAGATAAAAATAATTGTCGGCCGGGCGCGGTGGCTCACGCCTGTAATCCCAGCACTTTGGGAGGCCGAGGCGGGTGGATCATGAGGTCAGGAGATCGAGACCATCCTGGCTAACAAGGTGAAACCCCGTCTCTACTAAAAATACAAAAAATTAGCCGGGCGCGGTGGCGGGCGCCTGTAGTCCCAGCTACTCGGGAGGCTGAGGCAGGAGAATGGCGTGAACCCGGGAAGCGGAGCTTGCAGTGAGCCGAGATTGCGCCACTGCAGTCCGCAGTCCGGCCTGGGCGACAGAGCGAGACTCCGTCTCAAAAAAAATAAATAAATAAATAAAAAAATAAATAAATAAATAAATAAATAAATAATTGTCTATTTTAATACTAAAAAGGAAAGAAAGAAGGAAGGAAGAAAAAAGAATGAGAGAAATAGAGAAAGAGGAAAAGAAAGAAAGTAATGAAGGAAGGAAGAGATAGAGAAAGAAAGAAGAAAGAAAGAAAGAAAAGAAGGAGGGTGGGAGGAAGAGAGGAAGGAAGGAAGGAAGGAAAGAAGAAAAATAGGAAGAAGAGGGAAAAAAGGGCCTGAAAGATGTGTTTATAGTAGCACCACTGGGGGCAGTGGAATGAAATTGAGCAAAATGTAATGCAAGCTGGTTTTCCAGAAGAAAAATCTTAATAACCAGATCCATTGGTCTATGGATGGAGCCATTGGAGGAAAAGTGATAAGTTCCAACATTTGAGACATTTTATGCTGAAAATATCTAGTATCTGAAACAAACTGGGTGAAGGGAAAAATGTTCTGTTGGCCAAGGATTTCTGGGATCCTACAGATCTTTCCTCTAATTTTTGGATGCCACTAAATTTTGTGATTCATATCCAGAAAGCCCAGCTCTGATAGGCCAGAAATATTAGAACCAAATACAAATAGTTTGCCACACATCTTCTCCTTCCATAGGTTTAGAGCTTTGATTCTGTTTTGCTTCAGAAGCAGTTCAGGTCATAGTCAATGGACACAAAGAAGATGCATCTTCAAACCAGGATATGATTGGGAAGACTAAAGACTTGCAATTCTCCAGGTATGGTGCAAAGCACTTACTATGATTCAAAAGAAGCCTTGAAGACAAATTGAGCATTTGAGAACCACAGGGTGCAATTACTTTTACAAAAGATTTGTGTGATCAACAACCAGAAACTTTAAGAGTCTGTTATTTAAAAAATTAAATATTGAATTTACTTACTTTTTGCCTTACACAGGCAGCTGCTAGGAAGTATTTGATACTAAGTACTGGGAATTATGGCATGTGCCAAAAGGATTTTAGAATTGGGATCTAAGTTGTGATCTAATTAAACAATAAGACCTGACAAAACAGTCACTACTGGTCTGTTAATGACTTCCTGGGGCAGTTCAACTTCCCATGTCAAAGCAGAACAAGGGCAAGGTCATCTGTCTTTGGCTAAGGCTTTTTTTTCCCCTCTTAAAAATAATGCTTCTACTGTTCCCCCACCCCCATCGCTCTCTCCTTCTCTCTTCCTCTTCCATCCTCTCTCTTTCCCTTCATCCTTCTTTCTCTGTCTCTCTCTTTTTCTCCCTCTGTTTGTGACCAAAAAGTCTGATTCAGAAGTCTCAAAACAGCAAGACAAAAAAAAAAGTACTTAACAATCATCTAAAAATAAGCAAGAAAGAAATAGCACACCACAGCCCACAGCTCTACCAAATGGAGGCATAAAGTGAGGCAGAGAAGTCGGACAGCTTGAGAACACGCATGGCCACAATGAATGACACAAAGGAAAAGGCAAAGGCAGCAAATACATACTCAAACCCCAACTCCCACATGTGGAAACACCTGTTCCAATTGTGGCCACACCTGTAGGCCTGTGTAGAGCCCAGAGGCAGGTCTCAGTTCAGGAGAGAGGCTTATCTACATTGACTACTTTATGTGTGACTTCCTGGGGGTCTTGGTAGTATGTCCATTTCAGTGTTGATAATTTTTTAAAAATCCCCTTGCTCAGGTGCAAAATTAAATACAACATTTAGTTTGGAGGACAATTAGGTTTCTTTCAGGCCACTTTCACTGAATAAAAACTTAGTTCTTTAAAATACAGCAACTGACTGCATTAAATTAAAGGTGAATTAAGAAAAGTTGTAACAAGTCTACAATACAGGCCGTTAGATTATTAAGGTTCCTTTGAACTCCTATTTTCTAAACTAAGGAAATATTTTTAAAATTTAGATTAGGTACATTATTTTAGGTGACAAATGTAGGTTTTTCTGCATCAATTCACATGTGAGGTCATTTGCAAATGGTGTACCAGCTACCTTCAGGCTGTGACTTCCGCCTTTTTTGCATAGAGCAGCCAGATAAAATATAGGGCACCCAGTGAAATATGAATTTGAAATAAACAACAAATACTTTTTTAGTATAAGTATGCCCCATGTAACGTTTGGGATATTTTTGCTTTCTAAATCCAGGAACCCTATTTTCACACTATTTTTGTTTTTAAATAATTTTCATCATTCTCCCTTTATAAGGAAAGGAGATATAGAAACATCTTGCCTGTAATGTGTTTGATACAGACCAAATTAACTGAAAATACTAAAATTCTAGTTGGAGAAAATAAAGACTTTTTTTGTAAGGGAACTGTGTCTGCCAGGCATCCTCATATTGTAGAAAGAACCTTACAATATCTCAAGGAAACTGTTAGGAGCAGAGGCCTGGGTCATTCCCCAGAGACTGGGGATTCAGTTTTCTTTTTTAGGGCTGGGGTAGACACAGCATCTCAGGTGATTTTAATGCACAGTTTTGTTGGTCATAGTCTTCAAAAACATTTGTCTGCCTATCATGTGTAAAGCATTGTTAATTATTACAAATTCCCTATCAGGCTTTTCCTGTCATTATGATTGCTTCTCAAAATATGGCCGGGGAAGTCCAATTTAGACAGGTAAAACCGATTCACTCATTTAATTTTTCTAGTAAGGATTCATTCACCTTCTTGTCCTCTAAAACACTGAGCTTTCTTTTTAAGTTTTTAATGCAGCAAACATTATCCTACCTGCCCTCTTCCGTTGGGATTTCTGCATGGTTTACTCTAATTACTCCCGATGCCAGACCTTGTGTGCTCTGAACAACTTCAAAGAAAAAAACTAGAAAAGGAACAGTGTGGTTTTTTCTTTTCTTTTCTTTTCTTTTTTTTTTAAGACACAGTATCAAGGAGACAAGATAGCATTTTGTTCTCATAATGTGATGGACAAATCATATGGATAATCTATTAGGATGATGGATGGTATAAATTTTAATATGAAACATCAACTGCACTGAATTTCTCCTAGAATGTCTTTGAAACTAAACAGTCTCTCTTTGGTCCAAATTTAATAGTCAGGTCACTAAATTTGAAGCTTCTCTGGATATTAAAAATTTTAAATTAATTTTAATTATGTATATTGCAAGAACCGTAAAATCTTAGTTTAGAGCAATTGTTGCAGGAGGAAGTATCTGAAAATGAAGCCTGTTTCCTGCCTCAAGGCAAACTTAGTATCTTACTTTCAATGTCCCTTTACCTGACTGTCCTGACAAAAACATTTCCTTGGTCTCTGTTTTTCTTTTTTTCCATAAAGTCAAATTAACTTAATGAAATTGTTTTTGTCTTGTTCTGTTTTGTTGTGCTATAGACTTTTTATTTTCTTAAAATATATTTTGTTCAAAAGACATCTCCTAGATATCTACTGTGTGCCAGTGTTTGCATCTCTTGACTTTGTAAACCATGATCTTCGTCTTCAAAAAGCTCACTCTCTGTTGTGGGTCAGAGACAAGTAAAACAACAATTAAAGTAATAAGATATGATGAATGCTTTGCTAGTTATACGCATAAAGTGCTTTGGGAGCAAAAATGGTAGCGCAACTAACTTGTAAGCATAATTTTATAATTCTAATCAAAATAGGATTTTCATGGTATTACAGATCTTAAAAGTATGCTACTGGTTAAAATTAGAACTAGTTTCAAAATCTGTTACTTCCTAGCCATATGACATATTAAAAATTACTTAACTTCTCTGAACTTCAGTTGCCTCTTCTATAAAATACGGATATTAATCTATAAGGTTGCAAGCTGTGAGAATTAAATTAACAAGCTAGTTCCTGGTCACCACTACTACCGCCACTACTACTACTGGCTGACATGCATTCTTGAGCTGTGGCCAGCACCTTATGTATATTGTTCAGTTAACTCTCATAATGGCCCTCTGAGGACCGTATTCCTCATGTTCCCACTCTACGTGTGAGAAAGTTAAAACACCCAAGGTCACACAGCTAATTCTTTTAACTCAGGCCTACTTCAGGGTCTCACCTATAATCATAATACTGGATTTGTTCAAGGGAGCTACTTTTCTCTCACTTTTTATAATTATTATTATAACTATTATTATTGAAGGAAATCTGGCACCATCCAGTTAAAGCCCTTCCTCCTTTTTTTTTCAAGTAAGTGAAGGATCAAAGGACAGAGCAGTTAAGACACTTGGAGAAGCACAGCCAGTAAAAAACTGAGACTAAATATTTTAGTCTGTTCATGCTGCCATACAAAATACCTAAGACCGAGTAATTTATAAAGAAAAGGAATTATTTCTCAGAGTTCAGGATGCTGAGAAGTCCAAGATCAAGGCACTGGCAGGTTCAGTTGTCTAGTGAGGGTTTTTCTCTACTTCCGAGATGGTGCCTTGTTGCTGTCTTCTCCAGAGGGGAGAAATGCTGTGTCCTTACATGGTGGTAGGCAGAAGAGCAAACCAGTAGGACTCTATGTGAAGCCTTTTTTGTAAGGAGCCCTTATGGCCTAATCACCCTAAATGCCCCACCTTTTAATACTATCGCACTGGTCATTAAGTTTAGACACCTGAATTTTGGAGGTGGCACATTCAAACCAGAGCACTAAAACTTCTAAGTTCAGTACGTCATTTTGCCACCTGTTTTCATATTGAACATTGGTTGTTAAATTGTAAAATGATAAAACAATTTTTTAACCAAAAGATTCAAGGTGCCTGGCTTGCTTCACACCAATCCTCAAATACAAATTAGTCTGAGGTAAACTTAAGGTTGCCCTCTTTCTAGAGGCTGACTGAGGCAGCATCTATGAACACTCCAATAAAGGTGATTTCTGTGATCCTGAAGTGACTTAGATACATGGAAAGAAGGATCCTTTCCTGGGTTCAGAGAGTTCAGAATTATATTTCCCCAGCTGTGTGCAACAGAATCATAATGCCTTCAGAAACCAAAGGGACTTTGACCATCACCCTGACTTAACACCATATTTTGTAGAAGCTTCGAGTGTGGCTTCATATTTGAAATGATAGAGTCAAGTCTAAACAGCTAATTGGTGTTCAGAATGTTCTTTAAATGAGAAAATTAAAATAAAATTACTACATTTACTATATTTTCCAAACTGCCCATAAAGCATTTATTTTTTAGGACTTTCTGTGAGACTCACACAACGATTCAATTTCTTACTATCCCACTCAATGTTTGTGTCAAAGAAGCTGAGAAATAGATTTAAACTTCATTGTTATTTTGTAAAGGGGGAAAGCACCTGGAAACTAATCTCTCTCTTTTTTTTAAAATCAGTATTATTGAGGCATAATTGACACATAGCTGTTGTATATATTTAAGGTGTTCAACTTGACATTTTAATATATGTACACATTGTGAAATGATCACTGCACTAAACCCAATAAACACATTTATCACCTCACATAGTTACCATTTCCTTCCCTTCCTTCCTTCCTTCCTTCCTTTCTTCCTTCCCTCCTTCCTCCCTCCCTCCCTCCCTCCCTTCTTCCCTTCCCTTCCCTTCCATTCCCTCTTTTCTCTTTCTTTCTTTTGCAGAGAACACTTAAGATCAATCCTCTTAGCAATTCTCAAGTGTATAATACAGCATCGTTAATGGTAATCACTGCACTATGTATTAGATCTCCAGAGCTCATTCATCTTGTGTAACTGAAACTTGGGACTCTTTGATCAACAACTTCCCATTTCCTGCCATCCCACTCCATCCCCATCCCTGGCAACCACAACTCTACTCTCTGCTTCTGTGAGTTTGCCTATGTTGGATTCTACATGTAAGTGAGCTCATGCACTATTATTTTTTCTAGGTCTGGCTTACTTCACATAGTATAATATCCTCTGGTTCACCCATGTTGTTGTTGTTGTGTGTGTGTGTGTGTGTGTGTGTGTGTGTGTGTATACCACAATTTTTTTTACTCATTCATCTATTGAGAGACATTTAGGTTATTTCCATATCTTGGTTATTTTGAATAATGTTGCATTAACATAAGGGCGCAGATACCTCCTTGAGATCTGGATTTTATTTCCTTTGTTTATATTCCCAGAAGTGGTATTGCTGGGTCATATGATAGTTGTATTTTTAATTTTTTGAGGTATCTCCATACCACTTTCCATAATGGCTGTACTAATTTGCATTTCCACCAACAATGTATATCTATTCCCTTTTCTCCACATCCTCATCAACACTTGTTATCTTTGCCTTTTTGAAAATAGCTATGCTAACATGTGTGAGATGATATTTCATTTTGGTTTTAATTTAATTACTGTTTCATTAGAAAACTAGTATTTCCCCAGAAATGACATTGCAGTCCCTGAAAAAGGAAAAACAAAAATACCAGATCACAATACATTATGTTTTTATTTACCTGTTTATTTTCCTTTATTATTATAATTCGGTTCCTCCAATGTAAGTTATACTATGCTAGACACTATATTTGTGAAGTTTTATTAAATTCTCACAAACAGCTCTGCAAGGCAGGCAAATTTCCATTTTCCACTTAAGAAATCTGGATCTCCAAAAGATTAAATAATTTGCCCAGGGCCTCACGCTTTATCCTTGCCAGAGTCAGGATCATAACTCAGGTATTTCTGAGTCCAAAGCTGGTGCTCTTTCTACCATGTTAGGTGGACTTTGAGAAGTCTATGAGTTTAAGACCTAACTGAAAGAGAAGAAATATAATTAGGAAAATGAGCATGATTTGGCTGGTTCAGAAATAAAATCCAGATCTCTAAATGCCCTTTGTTAGTAAGTGTGAGCATCAGCCCTCATCACTAGGTCTGGAGAGAGTAAGCAGCATTCAAAGCAGGAAGGAGGCCAAAAGGACCTGTCGAGAGCACCTACGGGTCCTTCAGTCCATATTCCTTTGAAATAGACCTTCACTATGACTGCATCACAGTGCCAGCAGCATATCTTCCACCACGTTAGTTAGTCGTATAATATTCAAATATACCTGACATCATCAGTTCACCTCTCTTACTTCTGCCCAGAGAGAAAAATGTTGTGGATCTTGCCCTTGGTTGGTAATGCAAATAACGTTGTTCTTTAATCTTTGAGAAACAAAGCCCATTCTCTAACATGTATATGTCAAATATATTCTCTCTGAAAGAAATTGTACTATTTCACAATTTGAGTTTTTTTATAGGAAGAGGGTGTGTGTGTGTGTGTGTGTGTGTGAGTGTGTGTATGTTCTTACATGAGTTTAAACATGTATCAGTCAGATCAGGGATGGCGTCATGGTTAACCAACAAGCATTTCCATGTTTATATAATGAGTTTTCAAAAACGATGTCAATGCATCCCATGCTTTCTAAAAATATTTTTAAATTTGAAGGTAGAGGGAGAAAAATAATCACTCCAAGTCACTGATTCTATATTTTGTGGAAGGGAATAAAATTGTCTAAATATTGCATAGGGAAGGTCACCTAGGGACTTTTTTCACCTGATGACTTTTTAAATCCTCCACCCAATGTCACGAATTTTTTAAACTCAAGAAATTCAGTTGAGATGCCAAACGGTCTTTAAGCAAAGAAGAAGTAGAAATCAATGCTAGAATTATTATTCTGAACAGGGTATTGACAGCTATAATAAAGTTATAGCAACCGGACCTGAAAATGTAAAGTCAGTTAATGGACTTTATTTAGACAACATCAGGTAAGAACATTAGTAATAACTGTTATCTTGATAGATAACCTTAAATTCAAGAAAATGTTTCCCCCAAACACAAGTTGTTGTGAATTCTTTTCCCTTTTATCTTATTGTAGGCAGAAGATTGCAACCTCCCATTATGAAACAGCATCATAAAATGCAGAGCACAGCTACCCTGACTAAAACCACCTTTCTCCTCTGCTGATACAGACAAACTAGCAGTAAATGCTTTTTGAGCTCCCGGCGTGCAGATAAATTCCTACGGACATCCCCAATTGGACTGAAAGATTGAGACACACAAGGGAGAGAATAGCTGAGGCCAGGAGAATTTAACATGGCAATTAGCAACCCTTCAACTTTGCCAGACCCCACAGCACAAGACAGGATGGAGGTAACCAAAAATCTCTCCAGAAGAGTAGTTGATAAATTGATTGGGTCCCAGGGGTTGCTGGACACAGTTATTATCCAATTGCAGGCCTGGATGGTGTGCAAGTCTATGTAGTGAAGTCAGAAAATGAAACAGGGCTTTAAATTCCCAAGGGGAGCTCCTTTGCTTATGTATCCATTGCTGCACCCTTTCCCCTCATTTTGGAAGACTCTGAATCACATCACATAGTGTGTATTATCTTCTCTAACTGAACAAACAAGTTCTAAAACATAAAATATATAAAACAACTGTAACCATTATCATCAATGATTCTGTTCTTAAGAAGTTAGAAAAGTAAAATATAAAATTAAAATTGAAAATATTTAAAGACTTCCAGAATTTTTTTTTTTTTTAAAGCAGAGGGAGGGTGTGTGGGGGAAGAGGAATTTTAATCCTCTTTCTGTATCAATTCTGATGGCTGCTTTTAAGAATTATTTTAACCATCACATATGGATCATAACAACTTTAGCACTGTATTGAAATTAACTCAACATTTCTCAATTTCTTAGGGTCTCAGTTTTTTCATCAGAGAAGTGGGGCCAATATTATTACCTATTTACAACTTTGCTATGATGATGGAATGAATTAATGTGTGTAAAATGCTAGAATAGTGGCTGGTACGGAGGAAGTTCTCAATACGTGTTAGCTGGGATGATGATGATAAGGATGATGATGATGATGATAATGATGGTGGTTTTTAAATGTTGCTGTAGCTAGATTTTATAAGCTGTAGGGCAATAACCATGTCTGCCTTGCTTATGGCTAAAACCCCAGCATCTAAGCACACTGCCTGAAATGTAATTAATATTTATTGATTGATAGGATGAATGATTACATGAGTTTTTAAATGCTGATTTCCATACCTGTGTTACTATTGATTTAACTTAATATTGAGGATTATTAGGAGTCACTAAAAAGGAAGTGGGAAATGGATTTAGCAAAATCAGTATCTTCAGGATACGTTTATTGAGGAACTACTATATGTAGGGCATAGGGCTTCGAATATCAATTTCCAATGTGTATGTTAAAAATCCAAAATACAGAGGACAGCCTAATATAATCTTCTGCCTGGTATAATAAAAGGATCATGGGAGACTTCTACAGACATTTCACTTCTATTTTTCTTTTTGCAAATTTCTAATAGCTTTCAAGATATCAATGTCAATAGTCTCTCTTCTTCCCTTCCTCCCTGGTTCTCTCCCTTCATCTCTTTCCCTTTTTCGCTCCGCCTCTTCTCTCTGTCTCTTTTCCCCCCTTTTTTCTCTCTTTCCCCCCTCCTTTCCTTACTTCCCTCCCTTCCTGCCTGTCTTCCTCTCTCCCTCTTTTTCTCTTTCTTTTCTTTTCTTTTTTTTCTTCCTTCCTTCCTCCTTTCCTTCCTTCCTTCCTTCATTCCTCCTTCCTTCCTTCCTTCTTAAAGGCCATATATTCAAATGTTTTCAGCAAAAAACAAAACAAAAACCCAAGAAATGCTTATTTTTCTATTGAATTGGCTCTTGAGATTTTCCTTTTAGACGTCATTTCAATTGAAACTCAGAGTCATTTCTATATGAAAGGAAATAGAAAGCCCACTCACACTGGAATTCCTTTGAGGGTTTCACAACTTTGGCCGTAGTATTCTTGATTGAGTTGAGCCTCCAGATTAAAGGAAGTCTCTGCCTTTCCAGTCAGTTTCTTTCCATTTCAGAGGCCTAAGGTAATACCTGGTAGGTTATTCCACAATGCCAGTGTTAACATTGAAGGGCATTTAGTGTGTCGAGTGTTTTACCTTTTGTGATATTTTGGTTTTCCTTTTTTTTTTTTTTTAATCTTCCACTGGCATTTCTAAATGCTTAATCACCAATTTGGGTAATATTTAAGAAGCTGGAGGCCAACCATGGATGGGCAAACACTGTTTGTTCCAAATTTAATAGTCCAGTGTCTATGTTTAAAGTTTTTTGAACTTGTAAAATCTTAATTCAGTGCAATAGTTTCAGGAGGAAGCGCCTAAAAATGAATGGCATTTCCTGTTCTAACAAAGTGTTTGAAGTTTAATGGCCATTTTTTCTTTTCCCTGATAAAATGCCATTTGTTAGCCATGCTGTTCACAAAGCCAACAATTTTTTCAATTGGTTTTGCTGTTTTCCGTTTGTTTGTTTTTTTGGTTGCTTTGATCTGTCATGAATACGTGATTCTATCATTGCTCAATTTGCTTGACATCTATTAATTGATACTGTGGGCTAAAAACCCAGAGACACAAGGAAAACCTAGACATGATTCCTGTGCTCCATAGGCACCCCTGGTAACCCTCCATGTAACATAGCTGCCGTCCTTGCACCCTTACCTCATGTCCCTTAGCCTGTTCTCTTTGTCTTCATATCATACGTCTGCTGACATGTATGTATTTATTTGCTTATTGTTTGTTTTTCTTACTATATTGTAAGTATGCCTAGGGCAGTGCTTGTCACAGAGTAGGGACACAACAATTATCTGTTGAAATAATTAATGAATGTTAGAGGGGAAACTTTAACATGCATTAGTTATATTCTTTGAGGCTGGTGTGGGTAGTCACAGAGGTGTTTATTTTGTGATAAATCAATGAGCTATAGATTTTTGATTTATGGGTTTCTTTGTGTGTATATTATACTTCAAAATAATGCAGGTTAAAAAAAATCCCAAACTTTTTTAAAGATTGAAATCTCATTATATTACTTACTTGTTGGCTACACCACCTAGTACTTAATTGCCAATGTCAAAATGCATTGCCTGAAGAAATATTTTCATTTGTGTTGTCAAAGCTTAACGTAGGTAGGAAAGTGATTGTCACTTATATCTGAAAGTCTTTATTTAGTATCTACTCTGTTTACATCTTACTATGTAAAAGTTAAGTTTAGCGGCAAAAAATTCTTTAGATGACAACTCTTCAGAGGCCAAGTGATATGAAGAAATCTAGACTAGCAATCTAACTTCCCAAGCCTTGAGAATATATACAGAAATGTAGATTTTGGAGAGGTTCACTAAGGTGAGGGAGTTGAAACCTTAATAGTGGTTCACAGAGGAAGGTGGGTAGACCAAATACTTAGTCTCAGTGGGACAGATCTTTTTCCAGACTGGAAGTGGGTGCAAAACTATATCCAGATTCAATGTAAAAAGTCACAGATGCAATGAAAAAATCCAGTTTGGCTTCAGTATTCAAAATAAATTCATTTGATGAGTGTGTTCTGCATTTCAGAATATAAATCTGTTTCATAGATAAAATGTGGCTGGCGAGGTTAGTGGGTATTCAGCATGGAGAATGAAGTGGTACGTGCTTTTGGCATTTTATCTTTTGATTACCCTCCCCAATGTCTCTCACTAAATGATGACCTCCACCTGCAGCTGATGTCACCCACATGAGTGCCTATGTGCCAATGCCAGGGTTTCATGTCTAGGGCTACAGCTATACTTGATAAACAGAGTAGGGCCAGTTGCATTAAATAAATAGTTTTATGGCTTATAAAAGCCAATGTTTAAGGAACCAAAGAAAATAATTATGTCCTACTTAAGGAAGGTTTATTTCAAATCCCAGCTAGGGCCCCACTGTGGCCACTGCTTACATTTTCCAAAGTTGATTTTCCACCATATATACAGTTCTTCTGAAGTTAATTGTGGCATTTCCTCCCAGTAACAATGATATAGTGTCTTTGAAACATTTCCTGGTTTTTCCCATTTTTCTTTCTTTCTGTGATACTCATTTCTTCAACACATTCTTTCCAGGGGAATTTGTTCCATGGTTCTACCATGCTAACTGCTGCCCTGTGTGACCCAGACAGATAGGGAATCAGGAATCTTTACAAGCAGAATTTTACTTACTCCTTGGAAATGAAGGCTTTGCTTGCATTAGTCTCCCCTCAGTAAGTCTTATTCACTTTCACATACAAAGCATTAAGGCCTGCACTAATCGGTTCTCACTGTATTGCTCCCCAAGGCAAACTTGGGAAGGAGAAGTTGGTCTTTAGAGTTTATCCAAGCTCCCTTCCTCTCTCCTCTCTCCTCTCCTCTATTAGGAACATTGACTAACAGCTCCTTCCCTGAGACCCCATGCACTGGCTTCCCCAGGCCTAAAAATCTACCCAGTCCTCCCCTGCGACTTGATGTCATGGCACAAGTCTGCCCAGCTTCTTTCAAAGTTCAACTGGCTGTGTCCTCATCCATAAGAATTTTGCTGCTTGTGTCCCAAAGTAGCTATAAAAAGAACTAAGGAAAGTTGTTAATATCTGTCAAAGGACCTATATATGTTTTCAGAGGCAGAAATCAAAGTATGTAGAGTGAGAAAGTCTCAATTCATATTACAACTCTCCCACACCAAATCTGGGTGACAAATCTCGTAGTTTATAAGCCTTGGTTTTCTCACCTTTAAATGGGGTTGACAATACATATTCTGTGGTATTTTGAGGCTCAAATTAGGTGAAATGGGTTAATTTTCTTGCAAACTGTAAATTTTGCAGCTGTACCATATTGTTTTAATTAATGGCATTGGGAGAGAGATGTAACCTTTCTCTACCGTCAGCATAAAGGCTGTGGCCTGCTTCACCTGTGTGCAGTGTGCAGGGCTCTTCCTGGAGAGTAGAGGATGGTTTGTTTTCATGATTTCAGAAACAGGTACTCAGTCTCTCTGTTTGAATCTCACACCCAGTTCTCTGCCCCCAGGATTTCCATTCATAAATGCTTTAGCTCCGGCATACCTCCAGTGTGAAAACTCTCCAAGAAACCCAACCCTCCCTGGGTAGGTGGCTTACCTTAGAGAATCAGTGCACATACAATGATAGTATTTATAACCAGGGAGTATGAACTCTTCCTCTGTTCCAGGCCTAGAGACTCACTAAATAAATTCAGGGCAAGTGGCACTCGAGAGGGATGGAACGTGCCTCAAACTCATTAGGAAACTCTGGTCAGAGAGGCCGAATGTAACTGAATATTGTGTGGCACTATGGAACATCTAGGTGAAGGTAGTCGTCAAGACAGCCCTCTCTGTGTAAAGGGGTCAGAGGGAGTCCACTCACCCATGTCTGGACCTTTACTTACTAAGTGCTGCCAGAATGTGTAAGTGTGTATTTTGAGATGTCAGAGAAGAGCAGAGAAGAAATATTCCAAAAGCAAAAACACTGAACAACCCACACATGACTCAGTCTTTATAATCTGTACCTCTAAATAGTATAACACGTAACATGTTAGGACTCTGAAGAGGTGAGAAACTGAGACAAGTCTTCATACCGTGACAGTCAGGTCAATCAAGGTTGTGCGGTCAAAACTGTAGAATCCTGCAAGGAATTCCAATGTGAGTGGGCTTTTTGCATCCCCATCATATAGAATTGGCTCTGCGTTTCAATTAAAATGGAACCTAAAAGGAAAATCCCCAAAGGCCAATTTCAGTAGAAAAAATACTTTCAGTGATTTTTATTGGCTTGAGACTTTGCCACCGATACTTCTAGCCATCTCTTGATATGATTTTGCTCTTAAAAAAAAAAAGTCTGAATGCCTCAAATCTCTAAGCTAAAACTTCTTCCCATGGGTTGAACTTAAAACACATTGGGGTAATAAAAGCACTATTTAAATTTATCATGAAAGGAAAATTTACAGAAATTGAGGGTCCTGCATGTCAATAAAATAATTGCTGATCAACGTATTTATTAAATTAGTTACAATCAGTGTATCCGTTTAACATCACATAAATCTGTTGCTGTCTTATGGTTATTAGTCTCAGATAATGAAGATACTGCGGGTAAATGTTTCTCCTTAGCTCCAAGGATTGTCAGGTGACTTCCTCACCAACTCTTTGAATTACTGTGGTTCTTAGAAAACTTTATTGGTGAGGCATGTGAGCAGGGCACTGCCTCTGTTTTTCTAGCATTACTGCGGCTTCAGAGCAAGAGCTCATGGGCTCATTTGAAAATTCTTTTAGTGTTTTCATCCTCGCTCGTGGCATCACATTATATTTTGGTGTATAGAAAGCGCAGTATGTGAGGAGGATAATATCATATCAAAAAGAACCCTGGAGATAGCTGTAAAGTATACCAGTTAGCAACTCGGCAGAGAACCTTCCATCAAATAACCGGAAGTGAGGTTGCTTTGTTCATTAAACTGACCTACATGAACCATTATTGCTATTTGGCTCTGAATTATTAAAAATCAGTAGCAAGATTTAGCACACCTCTAACTCCAGGCTCTCCTGTTCTCCAGGATAAAAACAGTCTCTCTTTGTGCTAGTTAGAAAACATATGTGAATGTACTAGCACTCAGCTTGTAGTGATAACCTTGTTAGTGTCTATATAACTGCATGTAACCACTCAGCATGACATCCTTTTCCATTTCTCTTTATGAATAATTTTGTTATACCTCATCCATTTTCTAGTGCTCTTTATTACAGCATGCTACTACATTTATTAGATCCCATCAGAGGATTCTTCTTCTTGTTATCCTTAATAGTGCCATGTACTGCCCTCTCTTGACTGTAAACCTGGCGCTGTTCAAAGAACATTTATTAGTTTATAACCCTTACATTTTAAATTCCTGCCAAGAACTTCCTAGGTGAAGAATAAGTTTGCAATAAATACACACACAAGCACACACACACACACACACACACACACACACACTCCACTACCACCACCACCTTCACCAACATCACCATCACTTCTACCAGAATTATGGAGCCAAGGGACTTCTTTTTAATCCAGAAATATCAGAAAACACATGGGCTAATAACTCCTTCATTTAAACCCATTATGACCCGGCACTTCAGCAAGCTCTAAGGAGCAGGTGCTTTCGATTGATTCTAGAACACACACTTAGACTTGAAGCTTTGAGCTAAACTGAGGCATGTTGGTTTCTGTTCAACAATATTGCTATCCTAGGTTTTATTGTGCAGACAACTTCAATCTGACTAGAGGCAGAAAGAATGCTGAAAGTAACTAACAATCTAATCTAAAATGCTTTCAGGGCTGGCCAGATTAGATATTAGCTGCTTGACATTGGCAATTGCCTTCTTTGGGTTCCCTGTAAGATCACCTTTGAAATACAGAGATATGGAAAATGAGCGAACATCCTGTCCATTTGTTAGTTAATCACTTATATGTGAAAAAAAAGTTTCCTTCCCAAGGGACAAAGTGGTCAACCTCTGTTTATCTTATGTTCCTCAGAGGGAGGAATGAAGAGGTTAGAAAGAACCAGGCACAGTGGCTCATGCCTATAATCCCAGCACTTTGGGAGGCCGAGGTGGGTGGATCACTTGGGGCCAGGAATTTGAGACCAGCCTGGCCAACATGGTGAAACCTCATCTCTACTAAAAATACCATACTAAAAATAAAATACAAAAATCAGCTAAGTGTGGTGGCACAGCCTGTAGTCCCAGCTACTTCGGAAGTTGAGGCACAAGAATCGCTTGAACCCTGGAGGTGGAGGTCTCAGTGAGCCAAGGTCATGCCACTGCACTCCAGCTTGTGCGACAAAGCGAGAGACTCTGTCAAAAAAAACAACAACAAACAAACAAACAAACAAAAACCCAAGAGGTTAGAAAGATAAAAGGAACACTGCCAACAGGAGCAAGAATAGAAAAGTGGGCTGGAGAAGGAGAAAAACAGGGAATGACCACTACTATCATACCAGAAAAGGCTTTCATCCACGGAATTTGCCACATGTATATTCACACATAACCATAAAAATCACTGAAAGCGTTCTCCACTTTTGTTTCAAGTGGATCTACTCCTTCTTTCTCCAAACGATGAAATATATCATTACAGGAAGATGTAAGTGCAGAGATGCCAAATATCTTACAATTTTTGGAGCTTACAAAATCCTTATCATGCAGCTGGCTCTCAAAAGTCTTAATGGATAGAGGCAGACATCACCAATAATGGGACCAGGTCACTAGGGGAAATCCACTGGGCTTCACTCATAATTAGGTTCTGTTTTGATTCCCAGAGATGTGTATTTTCTACTACCAAATCCAGGAATTGTTATGCATATCATCAACAGCAGTCCATGGACAAACAGGCAGCATGTCCTCTCTCCCTCCTCTTATTCAGTTATTATTATTTTACACTAAACCTTCTTTTGCTACCTTTAAAATTTCGTTTGCTCTTTTTGCTGTTTGCATCTAGAATACACATACTGTGTGCTTTATACGAGAATTTACACCCACTAGCCTTTGTCATTGTTGCTACCATTTCAATATCACAAGCTAAGATGGCAGATTTAGAGATAAAATATCCAGAGGTGGGAGGAGCCTGAAACTGAATATACCCCACTTGGTTATTTTTATACTCATATGCCATGAATGCCAAAATGGTGGCAGTTTTTCTTTTTTTTTTTTTTGTTCCCTTAGTCATCCACAAGAGACAAACAACACTTTATAACCCTCTTCTCCTTCTGCTTCCTGAATTGAGTTCTCCACAACTGCATCTATGTGTTCCATTTTTAGCAAACTAAAGCCAGTTTCTTAAGTGTCCAGTTAAGAGATATTGTCTTCTGTATATGTCTAGTTTTTAAAAAATCCCATGCCTGAATTTCTTAAGACATAAATTCTGGAATGTGCTCAAACACAGGACTTCGGTAATGTCTTACAGAAAAGCATGATACCAGTATTTGAGGTGAAGGCACAAGAGCTGGCTCACAAAATTTTGGTGTCGGAGACTTCTTGAACTAGAATTATGTCATCTAAAACAGATACTAAATGCCAGGGGTTCAAGAAGTGCAAGAAAAATTGAAAACTCTCCAGAAGATTCCTTATGATACTGAGAGGAGAAGACAGACGAAGAGAAGGCATAAATGTCAGGAAGGTGGAAAGACTAGACTTAGAGAGAAAAGTAGCTAAGGGGAACTAGGAGGCTGGTGTTACACCTGGAATCAAAAGCCAGCAGAAGGAGAACTAGTCAGTGACTCAGCATGAAGTAAAGAAGATCAAGTGCAGGTGGTTTTATTTTAATTTATTTCATTCAGTGTAGGGATTGTTGGTAAGGGTAGAAAACAGTGACAAAGATAGAGAAGAAAATAGTCCATATTTAAACACAAAGTAAATCACAGCCAATTGCCGTGATACAATTGTTCAGATAGATTGAAGGTGAAATTGATTGCTATTTGACTACATTTGATTTGTACATAATCCAAAGTTTACAGTAGACACACAAAACTGCCCCCTGATCCACATGACTTCCTGCTTAGAGGCCCTTTGATACTCCAAAAGTGTTCCATCTGAGGCCTTCTCATGGGTAGTCTTTGGATGAGACATAATTACCCCTTCTATTTCACTTTCCAAGTCCTCCTCAAATTAGAAGACTGTAGACTTTCTTCCTTATTTTGCTCCCTTCTCATCTCACTAGTTGACATAAGGTATTGTTAATTCAACAAAGCATTTTTCTTCCCCTTGGTAAGAATAAGTGCGTATATTGTGGATCCCATATTTGGTCCAGTGGCTAAGGTCCTTCCTGAATGATAGTGTCTCCAGATTTTTATATCTGTTACTGTTGGGCCTGCCCAGAAGTGTGCTTGGGTCTTAGAAAAAATTAAGTACAAATTGTAGATTTACTATTTATTATTTATTTAGAGAGATTCTTTCCCCCAACTTCTTGAGCCAACTGGGAAGCACGTTAAGACGTTTTATGGATAGATAAACATCTGAATTCCTGTGATGATTGTAAAACTTTTCCTGTAACTACTTGCATGTGTCACTGATGGTAGTTAATCATTAGAATGGGGCAATAAAGGTGGCTTCTCAACATTCTTACATCTATGCTTTTTGTAAGCATTGCCCAGCTTCTTAACCTCATCTACCACAGTAAACAGGCCCCATCAGTACTATATTTCTTCTCCACATTGGGATTTACCTATCTTTTGCCAAACCCACCTAGAATTTTAAATGCCAAAAATATTTCCCATAATATGTCACCCACCAGGCAAATGCTATTCATTTTTATCTCCAGTTTTGTAGAGTTATTTTTTTCCAAAAAAATGAAGAATACTTTTTTTTTTTTTTTTTTTTTTTTGAGACGGAGTCTCGCTCTGTCGCCCAGGCTGGAGTGCAGTGGCGGGATCTCGGCTCACTGCAAGCTCCGCCTCCCGGGTTCACGCCATTCTCCTGCCTCAGCCTCCCAAGTAGCTGGGACTACAGGCGCCCGCCACTACGCCCGGCTAATTTTTTGTATTTTTAGTAGAGACGGGGTTTCACCATTTTAGCCGGGATGGTCTCGATCTCCTGACCTCGTGATCCGCCCGCCTCGGTCTCCCAAAGTGCTGGGATTACAGGCGTGAGCCACCGCGCCCGGCCAAGAATACTTATTTTTTAAATGAAAGCCAAATTTGCCATATTCTAAATCTTTCTCTTTAAATTCTGTAGTCATTTCATTTATCAATCGTCATCTAATTCTTAGATATTGTTATATATGCTTAAGTAACACAGTCTTTGAAGGTTTAGTTTTGGGTTATACTGAGTGTATTGTCACTATTTTCCCTCAGCCCTTAACATGCTGGGAATTGCAATCCATTGAAAGCGATTCAAGAACTGAAAGTAAATGGAGTTTGCACTATAGTTTCCATTTTGGATTTATCCCCATAAACCTTTAACTCTAAGATTGCTGGTGAAGACTGTGCTCTCCAGTCACCCAGAACAAACAGAGGGCAAAAAAGTAGAAAGGGAAGATTCATGAATCTTAAGGATGACCAATATTCTGGCATAAATGTCACAGCTTGCAATATATTGCTATATTATTCCTATGAAAGTTTGCATGATTAAATGGAGGCATATTGACAAGTATGGGACAAGTCAACTTTTCTTCATGGATTTCTTGTTATGAGTCTTTTATGTTACCTGAATCAAATAAAACAGTCCAAACAGAAACAGTTGTTTGCTTAATGGTCTGTGAAACTAGAACCAATGATTGCACTTTTAATTTCTAGCACTAAGGCTCTCAAACATTTAATAAAATCATCACATTGCTAAAATTTCTTATTTCACCTCTGTACCTTATTATGGCTCAGAGATTAAATTTCAATAATGTAATCAATAGTGTGATGAGGAGATTGTGGCTTTATTTTCAAGGATGTATTACACAGAGAAATACAAAGAACAACTTTCTCAGCTAGTATGGAAAAGAGATGTAAGCAATGGCAATCCATTCTGACTGCTTAGAACCCCCCACCCCTTAACTCAGCACTCTTCAAATCCTGTTGATGGCTCGTTCTTATCTGTGAAAACCTCAAAATATCAGAAAACCAACCATCTTTCTCTATATGCTTTATGTAGCAATTATATTACCTCATACTCTCTGACTATATTATATATTAAAATCTATGTACAAAATACAAAATTATAAAAATGAGAGAATGAAATCAATATTATTTTTAAGATCATTAGCTAATATCTCAAGGCATATTTTCCATTTGGGGTTTATTGTTATGATTGTACATGATAAGTCCATATTTTCAAGTGATTTTTCTTGACTTTAAATATTCAGTTTGGAAGAATTATTGGAAAAGCCAAATAGATCTTCACTGCATTCAGCTCATGGAAATAGTTTATTCTGTAAGTGGAAGTGTCAGCTTTAGACTTTCCCCATACTCATCTGGGCTTACATTACAATCAGCATTATTTCTTGGCTAGGAAATTTGTGAGCCACTTGTCCATTTAGGGAGAGTTAATTTAGCTAAAATCCTGATAACACAACCTATATTTATGTCACTGGCCATATATAAACTAGTATACACTGCAATATACTGAAAATGAACAAATGAGTTGAAGATAACTCTATTAACCATTTTGCCTTATACAATTATGATCCTTCTCCCAGGGGCAGTTACATAACATGTGGTCCTCTGAAACATAGACTGAGAACCATTTAAATCTGTTTATTACATCTTAGTAAAGGTTAATTGCATTCTTACTATACATGTGGACAAGAAGAATATATAGAAGCTGGCTGGGCTCGGTGGCTCAAGCCTGTAATCCCAGCACTTTGGGAGGCCGAGGCGGGCGGATCACTAGGTCAGGAGATCGAGACCATCCTGGCTAACATGGTGAAACCCTGTCTCTACTAAAAATACAAAAAAAAAAAAAAAAAAAAAAAAGATTAGCCGGGCGTGGTGGCGGGCGCCTGTAGTCCCAGCTACTCAGGAGGCTGAGGCAGGAGAATGGGGTGAACCCGGGAGGCGGAGCTTGCAGTGAGCCGAGATCGCGCCACTGCACTCCAGCCTGGGCGACAGAGCGAGACTCTGTCTCAAAAAAAAAAAAAAAAAAAAAAAAGAATATGTAGAAACTGTAGTGTTTTCTTCTCATACTCTAACGGATCATCTTGTACAATCGGTCATGTCTATGTATTCAAGTTTAGAGACTACTGTCCTAACTGGTAAACCTGAAGTTTGGTCTCACACTTTTTCTCTTCTAATTTTTAGTACTCTCTGATTTTACACACCCTGAAGATGCCAGATGTACCACCATCCCAGACTTCTGAGCTGCAAACTCATATATATATATATATATGTATATATATAATCTGTTGGATATGTCCATATGAAAATCCTACATTTTCAAAACTGAACTTATATTTTGATTAATGGTTCTAATATTCATCCTTTGCCCAGGTAAAAAGCCTTAACTTCTCCTTCTTTGCCTGTCATAGTCATGCCAATAGGTTCCTTTTATTCCACCTCCAAGCCACTACCACTAGTTCCTGCTTTTGTTGTTTCTACCCTAAATGATGGGAAGTTACCTGCTGATTTCCTCCAGTCTTACCCAACAAATTCTCATACTATTGCTGGATGATCTTTTTAGGAGTCAAAACTATGTTACTCCACATTTCAATAACTCCATGTTAATGGTTCCCCTTTGTCCACAAGATAAAAGAGACTGCTTCTCAAGGGCACAAAGCTTTCCAAGATCTTACTCCTGACCTGCTCTCCTTTGTTACTATGTGACACTCTCCTTTTGCACCATGAACTCTGATCATCCCAAACTAGAATTCTGAAGGCACCACCATGGTTTTTCATAAATTCATTTATTCTAGGCTTTTCTGTCTGCCTCAAGGGCCTCCAGATTCAATCCATACCCATCTGAAAACTTCTACTTATTTGAACACTTTAATTTTTCATCTCTAAATAATTTCCTGCTGCAAGCAGAATTGCCTTTATTCTACCACAAGTATATCTCTGTCACTTCATTTTAATTAGTTTCTTTATTTTCTCCTCCACTTGATGGTGAGTACCTACTTAGCAGAATCTATTTCTTATTTATGTTTATAGAATGTAGCACAAAATCTAGCATGTAGCAACAAGACATTTCATTAACAATGTCTGTTAGGAACTGTTCTAGGTACTGAGGATTCGGGATGAATAAAATAGACAAAAATCTCTGAGTTCTTACAGAATATATTGTAAGTTTTAGTGGATGTTATCCATATTATAATCTATACAACAATATACTATAGTTTATATCACATTGATTTGAGCTGAATTTTGCCAAATAGTAAAAAACACTTCAGTGTCACCAAGCTGATCATAGACTGAAAATTCACTCTGCCTTATAAGAATAAATTTATTTCTTGTAATCAGATCATGTAAAACTCTTATTGACCACAATTTACATGGCATCAATTTTTAAAAATTAAAAAATAGAAAGATAGGCATTTTATGCAAGTTTTGATCATGTTTACTAACCTTTTGAGACTAATTTCTCTGATAAAACACTTGGGTAAATAGTAAGTATGCAGTAGTTATTTGTGAATGTGACTACATGAATGGTAACTAATTAATTTAGGCCAAGAATTGATATGATTTTTATAAGTTCTCTTCATGAAATGAAATTAGATTACAAGTTGAATAAGCTGGAGCTAAGATTTAGAGATGAAAAATTAACCTACATTTCATGTGATGATCAACACTCTACTTCAAACTTCTCAAATCTCAGTTCCACTCGTATGATGCTGCTAGCTTTAACAATTTCAAGTTTTTCCAGAAATAATAACGATAGGTGATTATGTGCTAGATACTGTTTAAAGTGTTTACATGAATTGTTGCATTGAATCTTCACAACTTCTTGAGGTATGTGTTATTATTCATTCTATTTTACAGATCAGGAAATTGAAACTCAAAGATGCTGATAATCTTCCTATGATTATACTGTTAATAAATAGTAGAGCAAGAATTTGAACTCAGGGATTTCAGCCTTGAAATACCATAGGTCTGCCCTGTGCTTCACTTATTCAGGACACTGATGCTGAAAGTAAAGACTAAAGGACAATAAAACAACCAAACCCAGTCTACTAACATATTTATAATCTACTGGGATTGAGGGCTGTGCTCAAATTCACAATAAGGGAAGAGAATGGAGAAGGACAAAAGTGCTAAATGTGAGCTAAACATAGAAGTCGTCAGTCTTCAACCTCAAAAAGTTTCAAATAGAAACTTGTCATTGGCTCAGGAAAAATGAAGAGGAAATAGCACCACACTGATTATTGTTGAACGTGTTTATGGGGAAATGCATAAAAAATTTTCTGCCTCTGCTTCATGTCAGTTTTAAATTCATTCTGGCAAGCTCACTGTTAAAATGTTCTGATGGTGTTGGGAAGCAGCAGAGTAGGCTGGATGGGTCAAAAATATGTCACTGCTATTTGAGATCAATATATTTAGTATAAACGGATCCATCAGGTTAGCTGTAGTGACCAAGCATGGCCATGATGTATGAGACTTAGACAATCAGGTTTTGAAGAAACACTGTATTTTGATTTGGTGAGCTTAGAACAGAATTAGAAAAGAGGTGATCAGGGTAGATAACTGAGAAGGATGATAATAGGGAGATGAACATGAGACTTAGAAACAAATTCTACCTATTTCTATTTTCTATGGCTATTTCTATGACTTAGCAACTTCTGCACTCCTGGAGCTATTCACACCTCAGAAACTGGTTCTTGAGGATGAGCAATATCATCAGTTTTGAAGTCAAGCCTATGCTCAAATGTAGGTTCCATTTATTGCTAGCTCTGCAAGTTTAATGTATCTGAACCTCAGTTTTCTCTTCTTTTAATTGGAATAATCATATTTATCTCTCAAAATTATTGTGAGAATCAAAGAGATAATGTGTAATGTCCCCAGAACAGGCCTAGGAGGCCTAGAACATAATAAGTACTCAATATTTAGTTCTCTTTCCCCTCACCTGGTAATCTCACTATAAAAATAAATGCACCATCTACAAACAGATTCACACACATGCATACAAATGCAAATTACTGGGTTAGAAGAGAGAAAAAAGGAAACAGGCACCATTCAAATGTGGAAAATATTAGCATTATGCTCTGACCCTCTTTCTTCCTGTATGTATTGGTAAAAATTTTATGTGATCTTGAGAAAAGAGGATGTCAGTTAACAGTCACAGAGCTCATAGGGCGGCTTCTTATAAGAAGCAGACTGCTATGGGGCTACAAGGAAAGTGCTCTGTCTACCCACTAAACAGATTTTTCTTCAGGAAAAGTTGTTTAGAAGAATCTTTAGATTTTCTGCAGAGTCAAACATACCTAATCCTAAATGATAAGACCTTTTGGAAGATAAGATCTGAGGCTAACATCTGCTTGAGACTCAAGTTAACCAAGAAGAAAGCCATAATTTTTCTTAAAGAGGCCACCTTTCCCTCCAGTGTGCATACTCTATCTCACCTGGGATTCACATTTTTCTTCATTTCTCTTTCTGTAATTCCAAAGAATTCTGCTTCTTGTCCTGGTACTGTGAAGAGAACTGTAAGTGACTCATAGTCACTGTTTGACTACATGTGATGCACAGTGACTATAATAATTATATTTTATGTTTTTTTTAGATACTTCAGAACAGTACTTCATTATCAGTGATGAAGTCTAGACAAGAATTTAGAGGATTTAGCCAGCCCTCTAAGAAAATATTAAGTAGCAAACATAGTTTTTTTATATGCCTGGCACTATTCCAAAAAGGATCCAATACAAGGTAACGACTTATAAGGTGGTTACTATTATTATTCCCATTGTGCAAATAAAAAGTTTTGGACCAGGGAGGTTACATAATTTGCCAAAGGTGAGATAGGTGGTAAATGCGGAAGCTGTCCTGTGTTCTAATCGATTTTCGTATATAGTACCATTTCTCGTGGTACTTACAACACTTTGTGCAAAGTAAGCGACCTTCTTTCTCTCAGTGTCAAAATTTTTTTTTTTTTTTTTGAGACGGAGTCTCGCTCTGTCGCCCAGGCCGGACTGCGGACTGCAGTGGCGCAATCTCGGCTCACTGCAAGCTCCGCTTCCCGGGTTCACGCCATTCTCCTGCCTCAGCCTCCCGAGTAGCTGGGACTACAGGCGCCCGCCACCGCGCCCGGCTAATTTTTTGTATTTTTAGTAGAGACGGGGTTTCACCTTGTTAGCCAGGATGGTCTCGATCTCCTGACCTCATGATCCACCCGCCTCGGCCTCCCAAAGTGCTGGGATTACAGGCGTGAGCCACCGCGCCCGGCCCAAAATTTTTTTTAATACGGTAAAATTCTTGTCCTGTTCCACCCTCTGCCCAACCCCTTGAAGATGGGCAAAAAACTTTCTTACAATATGGAGAGGTATTATTGCAAAATTTACTGCCAGGTTGAGACCTTGCATGCCACACTAAATTTTTATGACAGTTATAAACGCCTAAAAAATCTAAGTCTATCATGGGACTACTTATAAATCCTAATAATAACTCTCTGACCAAGCTGCATCACAAAGGAGTCTAGTGGCTAAAGTCAAGTAAGCAAGAACAAAGGCCTGAATGATTTCTTTAGTTCGATGATTGACTCTTCTTCCCCTTTTTTTTTTTTTCAAGAGAGTTAAGAGAAGAGGGAGGTAAGGAAAGGTAGAAGAAAAAGGAGACTTCCCATAGAAGCCCCAGTAGATCTCATTTTCTGAACTCCAGTTTTCTTTTAAGTAAAATGGTATTCAATATATCGTGAAGTTCTTTGAAATTCCATTTTACTAAACCCGCTCAGGATTTAGGAGGCCAATTTAATAAGTGATTGTAGAATTCCTGCCATCTGAGTGCTGCCTCAGGAGTTATTCCCCTGTTGTGTGTTTCTTTTTAAGTATTGGAAGGCCTGAGGAAATACTAAACAGAATTACAAAAATGAATTATACAAGATGTGACTTTAAAGTAATGAGACCAATTCTACAAGCCACACCTGAAAATCAATGATATTACCAAAATTATACTTACACTTTTAGTCAAAAGGGCATAATGCAAATCCATGGGATTAGGGAACAAAAAAGGATTGGAAGAATACACGCAAACTCAGAACAAGGTTACCTCTGAAATTAAAGGGGACTTTAGTTTACTGTATTATGTTCTATAATATTTTAAGTGCAATATGTTCATGTATTTTTAAAATTATCTAACTCAATTTGGACAAAAAGAGCATGAAAATCAACTAAAAAAATTGGTTGTTCAATTTCTTTGTTTCATGAATATTCAAAGAATGAGATTATGCTTTCAAGAAGTAATCATTCCAAAGCTTCAACTCTTAGCCAATACTGCATTCTCATAGCCCTTTCATTTTAGGGTTAGCATAATTATCATGGCTCAGCAGAAACAGAAACAGAATAACTGTTTGCCATGACTGGGATCTCATTGGTTTCTTTGATGTACTAATGGAACCTTGTCACAGTTCTTACTAGACTTCGTTCATTAATTTATTTAGTCAGTCTCTCCAATATTTAACACCCTCATCATTTATTTCATTTCTTTCTGTTGATTTATGACATTATCACCAATTGGATTTCACCCAATGGTTGGGTTTCTTTATACATTTCTCAGATTTATAGAACAAAATTCACTTTTCTTCCTTTGAGAGAAAAAGCAAGGAGAAAGTATTTATTCCTGAGCTTGAATTTTTCATCATAAGCAAGTGCTAACGAATGATGGTGGGGATTGGCCTGACTCTTGGAAGAAGTTGGATGTATACCCTAGAATGCCAGATGTTAAAAAAAATATATATCTTGGTCAAGATTCAGGAAAAAGTATATTTTAATTTTACCCAAAGGAAAAATATTGGTTAACATGAAATTAAAATGAAAAACAATACTCCTCTTTGTTTCCTTCTCTCCCCAAAACAATCGCAATCTCCTATAAAGTCTTCGAAAACAAAATAACATAAATTGATGTGTTTTGCTCCTAACAGTCTATTGACATTTATAATTTAGTACAGAAAGACTTTTAAGATGGAAAAATGGTGAGTTACAATGTATCAAATTGCTCAGGGCTGAGATTGCAGAGGGTCTCCACTCACACTATGGTACCATCGCTCACCAAGCAGGTAGAAACAGAACAGGAAGAGAAAAGAGAAAAAAGGAGCCTTTCATGCTTACTGATCCACATGCTGACTCTAAAGCAGAAAAAATAGCTTTTCAGAAAAATCACCTGGGAAAATAAGCCTGCAACCCTTCTCATTTGGCACAGGTGGGCATCCATGAATATATTATCATATACAATTATTGACAGTAATATATAAGTATAATGGATCATAATCATTGAGAAGAACTTATCAAGCCCATAACAATGAGTATGAATTGGAAGAAAAATCCCTGTGGAAGGACCAGGGCTAAGTCATTCTTGACTCTTTATCAAATAGTGAAATTAACTGAGAATGCCTGGTATGACTGTGCCCTGAAGCCAAGTGATATTCATATGAGATATTTCTGGGTTAACACTGCAGCCCAGGGAATTAAGGTATAAATACTAGCCTTAATCCCTCCAGCTGCTTGCTCCCATTTGACTGGAAAGCCTTGTAATACTCTGTGCTGATAGGGGCAGTATTGTGCATTAGCAAATGAGGTGTCATAGGAAAATTAACTCCTGAAAAAATTTCAAATGCATGTGTTTGCAAATATCAATTTAAAGTCGATTATTTTTACCAAGGGATTTTAAGAAAATTAAGAAATAAGTTGTTTATCATTCACAGAGGTGAGAGCTGCAAGAAAGAATGCCCTGATGATATTAAAACATCTTTAAGTCTTAAGCACTTTTGATGTTGTATCCACTCTTAACAGCCATTTGTCTAAATCATAATCTCCTGACTGATATGTGTGGATAAATAGAAAGAGTAAGGACATTGGAATCAGGCCTAGAATCACTTGCAGCTTCATTTCCTAGCTATATGTCCCTTGTCAGGTCAACTGTCCTCTCTGGGTCTTCACCTGCAAAAATGGAGATAGTAAGATTTATTTCACATAAATGTGCAATACAGAAATAATACAGTTATTAAATTGAGACAAAGTAGGTCATCCATAATTGACAACCTTTGGATTTCTATTATTAGTAAAATAAATGCTATTAGACAAACAGTCTTACCTTCTCCAGGGAGCAAATCACATAAGGCACTAACAAGAGCAGAAAGAATACAGTATCTATTCAACTCCTAGTATATGCCTAGAATTTCATTTGGCACTTTGTATACCTTATCACATGAAATTGTGCAAGTAATCTTAAGAAGCATGTATTCTTAGCTCTGTTTAAAGATGAGATGGCTGAGACTGAATAAGATTAGGTAACTTCTTTAAAGTCACACAGCTATAAATGTCAAAGTATCATAAAGTGAGGATTTCTGGAATGCTGCTAGCTCGTCATTGCTTTGCTAATCGAGTCCTTGTATCTTTCTAAATTCATTTTTAACCAAGAGATTGTGTCAGGTGTAATGTCTACGATCATAAAATTACAGTTCTCACTAAAGTCGTCTTCTGGCAAGCTTTGCAAAGAGCTGCAAGTATGGCTTAGAGGCTTTGTGATGATGTCCAGAAATCTTAGTAATGCAGAGCTTGGAATTTCAACATCAGTGTTCCATAGATCTTCTCTATAAGGGAAAGGTTTATTTTTCTTCATCATGGCAAAAGAGAAGACCTTGCATTTTCAGGGTTCAGAATAGACCCTCCATTTCCTGTATTTTCTTCAAATTGCCTTGGGTGACAGTTGATCAAGTATTCTGTACTATGTCAAAACTGTTTGTAGAAATGCTCCAGGAAATTGTAAATTTCAAAACATGTAGGCTTGTTGTCTTCAGAGTACAATAGCTAATAAAGTCATGAGGGCACCAAGGGCTTATTTTTATCTTGTGGACTTCCAACTTACAAAAAAACCACACAGTTACACACAAAGCTCCCACAGTCACACATGAGCTCTGGGAATTTGCCAGATCACTGGGATATTTGTTTGTTCAAAAGTTTGAAGATATTTTATTCAAAAAGACTAATTTTAGAATTGTTAATGTGATTGCAAAACAATGCACATGTACAATTGTCTCCTTGCTCGCTGGATGTTTAAGAAATTATTGATAGAATGAATCATCATATAATGTGCCTGGTGTAGCACCTTGCATTAGATGATCTTAATGAATAGTTGCTCAATGAAAGACTACATTAATTCAGACGCTAAACATATGACAATCCTTTTTCCCCTTTAAAACACACAAAATAATTTTTTGGTTAAGGTGGCCAAATGAATCACATTAAATACATGCTTTCAGAATGAACAAGTTTATTCTAACTAATTCTAAAAGAAGTTCTCCTCAACATTCATACACAGAACGTATAAAAGCATATAAAAACCACAAAGAAGAAAGCATACACAGTACTGCCATGTATTTATAAACATCCTACTTTAAGTAGCAATTATTATCTCAAGTTATATATATATAAAAAAGGGAAAGTATGGAGAGTGTTATTAACTCAATATTCATTCATTCATGAGTAAAATTAAGTCATTTGGAAAGCTACATTTTCTTTAATAGTAACAGAAATAGAAAGAGCAGCTATCTATTTTTTTGTTTGTTTGTTTTTGCCTTACTGAAGGCCACTTATTTAACATTATACTTCTATGGAGAATTTCATATACTTACGAAGTTGAATGGCTAGACATTTTGGCAAATCTCTTAACCAGTTCACTCATGCTACTATCTTTATTACAATCTTTATTGCCTTCAAAATAAAGTCCAAAATCCATAGCACAGCATTCAAAACCTTATGAAAATCAGAACTTTGCTTTCCTCTGGTATTAGCTATAGAGCTTTGATTTCAGTCAACTAACACTGTATATGGCTTGCTTAACCAACTACTGAATTTGTTGGGAGGATGACTGACGTGACATGTTGGAAAGGAGGGCGGCAGAACCAGACCCAGTGCTGGGAGGAACCAGGCTGTTTCAGAAGGTCTGAAGGTTTGATGCTGCTTGACTGTTCCTTGCAGGAATACCTCTGGAAACCCAAGGACCTCAGAGATTCTCAGTCTTTTTGTCATTTCTCTTGAATCTAGTCAAGGAGAAAGCAGGGCACCTGATTATTAGTCCACCGAATGGTATTAAATGGGGAGAAGTCACTACTTCCAAATAAAATCAGGTTCATAGCGCCATAAGAAAGTAAAATGAATAGTGACAAATATCATTAATTGTCCATCTCTCCCTTTCAACTTATTTTCTACCCCTCTTTTTTCATTTCTTCAAGCACATAGAAGAACTTGCAATTCCATTAATCCTCCACCATTCCTTTGCGTACACCTTTCTTTCACTCTTCTAAAATGCCCTCCTTTCTTTTTCTAACCTCATGTGGTAGTTCTGACCCAGCCTCCGAGGCTCAGCTTCTTTTTCAACAGCCTTTGCTCCCATCTCTTTCTCCTTCTTCATGCCTCATTTGGGCTGGGTGTCCCTTCTGCCTTTCCCTAGCATTCCCTGTTCACTTCCATATCACCACAGGCAGCATTGTAATTGCTGACTTCTCTATCTCCTCTTCTCAGGCCTGTTACTACATTTGCCTGGAGCTCTCTCCAACCTTCTCTCTCAACCCTTGGCATGGTGAATGTGTGTCCTTGGGAGGGTGAAGTGGGGAAGAGGTGCTTCACAAGCCCAGGAAGTAGGGCTTCCCCACTGGGTGGGGAATTCTGAGTCTCAGGTACCTAGTGTGTGGTCTAGAGGTGGGGGGAGATGGGAAGATAGATTGCTCAAAGTCTGGGTATATATATCTCCTTGGCTCCATGGATTCCTTGCCCCATGGAGAGAATTGCAGTCAGAGAGGGCAGGTAGGGCCTTCTAAAGCTCAGTGCCTAGTGCAGAGACCCTGGTTACCTGATTCCAAGGGCAATGCTATCTCAAATAGGCTGTCAGTTACTCGAAGGGAAACCATGTTTACTTTGTAAAACCAGCAACTCCTGTAGCTTATGCATAGTTAGTGCCCTATATGAATTTGCTGAGGACCAAGTGAATGGGTTCATGAACCTTAGTTTTCTCTCAGAAAAAAGGAGGTTATGCTCCCTACCTGTCCTGTCTACTTTCCATGCTGATATGAGAGGAAGGAAGTAATTGATGCAAGTATGCTTTGAAAAGAATTAAAGCTTTTAAAGATTGTGCCTAACAGCTTCTCAGACAGACTTATGACTTATTTTGCTTGCCCTCCCAGAAAAAGAAACAGCAAAATGTTTTACCAAGTCATTTAGAACAGAGTTTAGATTGTGTGTATATATGCATATGTACATATATATTCATATGTATTGTGAATCCTTGGTACAGAACCTTAAGAATTGGGTTATGATTATGAATAATAATACAAATAGAATCATTACCATTTTCAATCTCTATAATTTATAGTTCACCCTTTCCCTTTAAAAAATGTTAGAAAATCTCTAATAAGGGTCTGCAAGCAAGAAGAATAGAAGCTCACCAACTGGCACAGGACATGAATTATTCCTAAGATACTCAGTTACATACAAGCTAATCATCTTAATATGGCAATTTTTGGCTGAACTTTCTTCTGAGAGTGATTATAACACAGTTTTCTTTTCTTTAAGCTTATTTATATAGGAAAGATTGCCATCTGGGGTGTGAAGTGACCTCACTAAGGTGAAAAATACAAGTAGGATTTACTGCATATTAGTTCTACTCCTGACTGAGCTGTGTTCGTTCATTCATTTAATATTCATCCATTGTGAAACCATGATTGAGCATCTATCTTGTAGAAGTTGTAGAATGTGTGGGGATAAAAGAAGAAATAAGACGTGAGATCTGCCCACAGGAACTTGGAGTCTGGTGAGAAAGACAAAAGTAAGCCATTCAATGCCATAATAGTAAATATAAGTATAAATCCTGATACCGAGATAGACGCCTACTCCACTTTTCTTAGACCCTGAGGACTGCAGAACTTCCAGCATTACAAAGTTGATGATAAAAGAGAAATTGGCCCTTCTATTTTGTTCCTATTATGCTTTATGTTTGCTTGATTTTCTGTTTTATTTTATACTTCTCATTCAGTTTTGTCAACTGATTGATTGAGTAGCTACCATGTCACAAGACAAAGATGATTGTGGCTTATCAAGCTTTAATATCAGCAAGGCTGACACAGTTCTGGAGGACAGGGACAGTGTGTTTAGTTTACTCCACTTGCTGTCAGATGTGTGCCACTCAGACTCATGTCATGAGTGTTACTTGATGAATCAGGCATTGATAATTAGTTCATAATTGTGTATTCAAGATTCCTATGAAATAGCCAAGAACTTGGAACACCATGTGCCTGCTAGGAGAAAAGCACAGTTAACAGAAGCTTTTATCCCCACTCACTTTTATTCCTATCCAGAGCTCACGTAAGTGTCATGGGTTGAAGGAAAAAGTGACGTCTCATTGATTTCTCAAGATGTGATTAAAGTAACATGACTTGTAGGTATATAAAATTTGAGAATTAAAGCCAACAAAAAAATGAGGAATTATAATAGCTTTATAGTGATGAACATTCTTCACAATTGTGTGATGTCATGCTAAGAAAACTCTAGCAAAAGAACCAACGTAATTCCAAACAAGAAACAAATACATAGCCTTAAAAAAAATTATTGGCTCTGACACCCCAACTCTTGACCCTTAATACCTGCAATGATCATGAACCCTGCAGGGCCCCTTGTCACATTGTATATGTAATATTTTCTGAGTTCCTGATACTGGCCTATATTTGTTTAACATCAGTCTGCATTTACTTCCCTCCAGCCAGAGGGATTGCATGCACCAGCTGTTTACACATCTTCAGGAGGAGGAAGGGGAGTGGTTATCTTGCTCTGCACACTGTCTCATGTCAGAAAAGTTTCCAAGTCACTGAGGGATGTGTGAGACCACAGAGTTGAAGGAAAGTTCGGTCTTTAGTATTTCCTTTTCTGTCTTCTTACGTTAAAAGTACTAAACACAGGCTCACCCAGGCTTTCACTTCATGGGCCGACTGCACTGCCTGTGTTTCCTAAAGACGGGGACAGTGGGGCAGTCAATTGTTGAAATGCTAATGACTCCAAAACTTTTCATAACCTCCCCAAGCTGTCTAAAATAACTTAATATGCAACCATTCTTAGGGCTTTTGTTTAGCAGCTTAAAAGATTTCCCAGGTGAACAGAAGGGAGAGGGAGAGAGAGCATACTGATGGCAAAGTAAAGCTGAGGGTAAGATGGAAATTATACAAAGATTACACAATAGTGTAGGGAGGGTAGCACTTAACACTGACCACCTGGATGGCCATTCAGAGTCCTTCATCCACAGTGCACTCCTTAGGACTCTAGTCCATGCACCACATTTTTGTGCCACTGCTGAGAGATAGGTCAATTGTGAAAAGATAGTGCTTTTGTTACTTAGATGGCAGACACAAACTGCATGAATTAAAGCCCTTTAGTTTGAGTTTAGTTTTCATGGTAACTTTGAAAAAGGCAAGATATGTAATACAGACAAAATAATAGAGGTATAAGAAATAGGAGCAAAATGCCTGTGCACCATGCAAGAAGGGCACGGACAGAAGACTGGTTCACCCAGACTCCACTTAGGAAGCCTCAACCATATAGAAGGTCCCGCGCAAGCATGTGCAAACATGGTCATAACCAAAATCTTATGCTTAAGGAGCTTTATAAGCAAGTGCTGACTTACACTAGACATTCACTTTACAAAGGGCACTCACAAATATTGGCTCATGTAATCCTCTCTGTAGCACTGTGAAGTAAAGAGGGCAATAGATTCTTCTGGTTTAAGTAATGTTTCCCAAGGCAATGAGAGTAAAATGTAGTGGAGCCATGTTTGTCTTCAGATTCCAGCTTCTGGGCCCTTTGTACTTATAGTCAGTGACTGAGACATTTACGCCTAAGAAAGGGAACAAATATGTAATTACTGAGCAGACCATAACCAGGGCTGTAATACCCTAGGGATATTGTCTCATTTTTTTTTCACTTTTTCTTTTTTCCCCGTTCATCCATAAATATATTAATATTACTTACATGCCCAAACTGTTGGACAATTAGAAATTCATATTACTTACCCCCATTATATCATCATTGTAGTATTATTAGGAAGGGAAGATTTCTTAAAATGTATCCACGTGCTTACACTTTGCTTTAAGTATTGAAATAATTGGATATGCATTGAACTTCTTAAATTTAGTTATTTATAATAAAAATATAGGACTATAATTGTGAATCTTCAGAAACATGTTGCTGCTGAAAGCAATGGAAATCCAAGGAAAACACACACACAGGAACACACAATCCCATAATGTCTTACTGACATCCTGCAACATTCTTCCATCAGCTATGCACTAAAGATGCAAACTACCAAATAGCAGAGGATAAATCATAGTTCCCTGCCTGTTTTCCATTTGGTATGCCTGTATTCACAACCTTGATAGCAATAAGTAAAGCTTCTGTTTCTTTTTCAAAAATTTTATAGAATGCTCTCATGTCCTTTTCTTCCCCTATTCCTCCTCCCACAATTCAGCTCACTCAGAAAATGCTATAAAGTTTCAAAGAAGAGGTTTGCTCAAAGCAACTACAAATAAAGTGCATGCACATAAATAACTTAGCCTGACTTTTTGTTTAATGTCCAAGATGATTGGGACAGATTGTATCATGAACTACTTTCCCTTTGGCTAATTAAATAGCAGTACCCACTTACCATAAAGCATATTCTTATTAAAACAAGTATCTATAGTCACTCTGCTGGATAAATTACTCCCAAGTAAGTGCCATAAAGCCCATTACATTCCTGCTTTAGGAATGGAGCAGGTCCAAACAGACAATCAAAGGATTTCACTGGGATTATTTTAGATTAGAAAAACTAAGGGAGACATGCGGCACTGACAAGATCGTAAAGGCATAAAGGATAAATTAGTGGTTCCATACAAAACAAAGTGCTCTAGTGTATCACGGTATATCCAAAAGTAAAAACAAATTCCTACTGTATTAACCTTCGCCAGAATGGAAATCTGTTTATGCAGAAATAAAAATGTCATGAACAACTGTTATCTCCTGTGCAAATCAAAATGACTGTTTTGAATAATAATTTTAAAAAATTCTTCCAAATCAACAACTATGGAAAAATATGCCACAGGAAGGAAAATGCCTTCATTTCAAGAAATTTCTTTTTACATTTAATAGAAAAGGTTATGTTATGGTTTATCATATTAATGAGCCATTATTTCATAACCATATTTTCATTGCAATATATTACCTGCTAAGTGATGCCCTTTTTTCCAGCAGAAAAAATTTCAGAGAAGAGATTCTATGGAAGTTTTTCTTGCTGCCAGTTGTTAAATCTTTCAAAAGCTGTCAGCAGCCTCAGAAATCAAGTTCAAAATACCATAGCCAACATGAGCCATAGACATAGGCTAGTCTATTTTTAAACTGTAATACAAAACTGCCAGAGAAATACCTAAACGCAAATGATTATTTAAAACGATATCATCTTATCTAGCTTGTCAATGTAAAGGACAAAGTCAGTGAAGTGAAATTTAACCCACAACGTCTATAAATATCACTAGACATTTGGAGCTAAGTGATTTTTTTCAGGCTAATTTTTCCTTAAACTCATTATGCACTATAGCCTTCATGCTCTAATCCCTCACAGACTCTGCCCAGGCTAGCCACAGGGAATATGGGACACTAAGCATCCAAGGCAGTCAACAGGCTCAATTCCCTACTTTGCCTGAGTTCAGCAAGCCCTTTTCCTTAAGGGCAAATGGATGGCAAAGACATTGGCATCTGCACTGGAAACTTCCGCAGGAGAGGAGCCATACTTGTTTGTACAAATAGCATTCTGGGTTTGCCCTGTGTCTGCAAGCGTTGATTCACCATATTGCTTCTGAAGGAGAAGACTATCCTCGACGTTGCAATCAGAGCCACATCAGCTGGGTCCCTCTCAGGATATTCCACGCTTATGACAGTGAGCTAGTTATCTGATGGAAACAGAGGTGAGACATTTGGGTGTATTTTCCTGCTTAAGCTGCTGCTGCTGTCATATTCTTGATGGTGAAGCCCTGAAGAAACAAGGCAGGTGCTGTCATTTCTTAAGGTACTGACTGCCTTTGCTGTCAGTTCATGGGGATGCTCACCTTTGGCTGCTGCTGATAGATGTTACAGCCCATCATTCATTTCACACAAATTTTTTGAGAGTATAATATGTGACAGCAATGAATTAGGTGCTGTAGACAAAAGGGAACAAGACAGGTGAGGCTCTTACTCTCAAGGAACTTTAAGTCTAGTGAAGGAGACAAACATTGAGTAAGTATTCGAAGAAAGTAGATATTTGGGGTCTATAAAAATGTAGTTTGGGGAAAACTCCTACCACATTTTTCCCTTAAAAATATGATACATATAATATAGAAATATATGCATGTTGCAAAATACATAAATAATACAATACTGTGAAAATTTTCCTTCCTTTTCCCTGTAACTTACACCTTTCCTGTAGGTAACTACTACACTCACATTTGAAAATAATATCCAGACAAGTACCTACCTACATATATGTACACACATATAGGTTTACTTTTCTCTTCTATATAAATGGGATTATGGTATAAATATGATGTAACTGAAAATTGTATCTGAGAACATTTTCTATGTAAATATAGAGACATACCATATTTTGTCATTATTAAGTTCCCATATGTGAACACAACATAATCTACATAACCATTTCCCTTTGATGAGTGTATTTGCTTGGTGACTATAACAAACTAGCACAAATTAGATGCCTTAAAACAACAGAAATATATTCTTTCACAGTTCTGGAGGCCAGAAGTCTCAAATCAGTATTACTGGTCAGAAATCCAGGTGTCAGCAGAGCCATGCTTCCTCCAGAGGCTCTGTGGAAGAAATCATTTCTTGCCTCTTCCAGCTTTTGATGTCTGTCAGCATTCCTCAGCTTGTGGCTACATCAGTCCGGTCTTCAAGGTCAGCATCTTCAAAGATCTATCTGTCCCAGCTTCCCACTGCGTGTGTCAAATCCCCCTTTGCCTTTTTCTTATAGGGATACTTGTGATTACATTTAGGTCCCACTTAGATAATTCAAAGTCATCTCCCCATCTCAAGATCCTGAAATTATTTCTACAACGTCCTTTTTTTTCTCCATAGAAAGTAAAATGCACAGATTCCAGGAATTAGAACCTAATAACTCTGGGGGCCATTGTTTGGCCTACTATAGTGGATGTTTAAGTTGTTTCTATTTTTCAATACAAACAATGCAGCTATAATGATCATTGAACATTTATATTTGTGCACTTGTGTAAATATTTTGGTAAGTGAAATTCCTAAAAGTGAAGTTTCAGAACCAAAGAGTTCATGCAACAAAATATTATTAAATAATGCCAACATACTGTCCAGGAAAAAAAATGTTCCACATCACGGTGTACTCTCCAAAAAACTCGATGCAGAAGCTCATTTTCCTACATTTTTGTCAGCATTACATATTTTATCTTTGTTCTTGTCAACTTGAAAAGTAAAAACTGGCAACATATTGTTGATTGAATTTTCTTCTTATTAACAGGCTTAAAAATCCTTATTTGTAATAGGGTAAACAGCAGGGGAATTAACTGAAGGAAAGATTTAGAATAACTGAGCAAATTGTGCCTCATTCATACCACTTTCTCTGCTATGGAGAGCACAGAGGGCAGTGGCTTTCTGACTGCAGGAAGAAAGAGAACAGCTCACTATGTAATGTATGATCTCTTTAGGGTTTGCGAGCACAGAGTAGGTGTGTAGGGAGGTGTAAGAAGTACAGTGAAGCTTGACACTTTAGTTGACCTTTATAACAGACATGGCAAGGTGGGGGTGGGGTGGGCAGAAGGAGAGCCACATCTGCCCAGCAATTAAACAAGCACATTGAACTCTCCATCCACATGGTAAGTCCTCCTTATTTAGGGAATTGTAGTGGCTTCCTTTGTCTAACACTCCTTGCCTTCTAATCCAAGGCTCATGGCCAACCCTCACTCTTAACGATGAAGGCTACTGGGAAATGGATCTCTACAAATCTAAAAGGAAACTTACACCAGCTACCTATACTAACTAGCGGTAACTCACTTATGAGACTAATCTCACAACCAAGGAAAACTAGAAAGTTGAGGAAAACTAACACATGAAAGAGATGGATCAATGCTGACAAAAAGAAAAAGAAAAATTCATCTTAGTGACAACAGCAATAATACAAAGAAAAGATTTAAAAATTTTAAACAGTTTTCTACTTATAATCCTCAGTTTTCACCACAATGTATCTGCAAATAAATATGAATCAGATAATGCCATAAATTATAGTAGGCCCGATAGAATGGAAAAACATGTAGCTGCTGGAAAGCAAAAGGTGTACCTATCTGTACTGCCATAGAAGAAAGCCTATGATTTGATGTTAGGTGAAGAGAGTTAGTTGCAGAGTGCTGTGGTTGGTGTAATTCCAGGTTCTGAAAACTTGTAAATACATGGAAGAAAGTGTGAAAGATATACACCAAACTGTTCAGTTTAGGAGAAGGAAGGAGGGGAAGACTGGATTTGTTTTACTCCTTCTGTATATTTAAATTATACTGCAGTGGGTATGGATTATGTTTGTAGTTGAAAAATAAACTAAAGGGTTAGAGAAATAAGAGCATCTTTCATTGATAGAACTTGGTTTAGTTCTAATGCACTGGACAGCACAGAGATGTTTAACACTAGTTTTAATAATAGCTTGTAAATCAGAATGAACTTGGTACAAAAGACAGCCTCCATTCCTCCCTATTCATTTAAAGCCCTTTTAATCATACATATGGGTGTCATTGCAGGGTATATGTGAGACAAGAGACATTGGTGACACCACACCTCTACTTTTGCTTTTATTCCCCAACACCTTCATACCCACCTGATAAAGATAAATTAATGGGAGTTCAAAGAAGTGCAAACAATTGATCATCAGTCTGAAGGCACTGACTTGGAAGGATGGATTAGAAAGACTGAATATGCATCTGGTAAAGTAAAGGACAACGGGGTTGGGTAGGAGAAAAGAAGAACGTGATTAGTATCCAAAGAGAACTTGAAAATAAAAGATTCTAAAAAGGGCAAGTCTGATTCTTAACTGGGAGCTAGCAAATGATTAATAAACTTAGATGAAAACCACCCTATATATTCTCCCTGTGGTGGACCTATTTATTTTTAGATCCTGTCTGAGGATGTTGATCTAAAAGGAGATATTCTTGGGGGATTGTCTCTGGAGAGGGGAGAGGCAGAGTCTCCATGACCAGGGGCCCCAGAGTGACCAAGGGACCTCAGAGCCCCCCATGTACAGATTGTCCCCAGTGTTAGTTTATAGCATGACTGGTGCATGGGTCAGCTTCAGAACAGGGCCAGGAAGCCCATGTCTCCACTTCTAAAGCTTATTCCCAGCCTCTCCACCACTGCTCCCACAGCGCTTTCTTATGTTGCAAGCATAGCGTTCAGTTTATCATATTTTGTTTTCATCTCTCCCACTAGCCTATAGGCTCATGACCAGCAGGAAACTATTTCTTAAACATGGTCTCATCTGAAAAACACCAAGCTTGGAACTGGGGCACATAGAAAGTACCCCCCACAAATATTTGTAAATTGAAGAAGTCGAGTAAGATTGACTGCTTGTTGCTTTGAATGAGTAAGTCAAAGGAGGAAAATGTGAGGAATCTATTCCAGTACAGACAGAATATAGCCACAAAGTTCTCAGAAAAACTGAAAGACATGTCAAAGGCAATAAAAGAGGTGTTAAGTAACACCACTTTGAGATACACAGATGCATATGAAATCATAATAATCTGTTGTTTTTGTAATCTAATTTTCATTTCTTTAACAGTATACAGTAGATATCTTAGTGCAGTGATTAAAAACACAAACCCTGGGCTGGGCACAGTGGCTCACACCTGTAATCCCAGCACTTTGGGAGGCCGAGGCAGGCGGATCGCCTGAGTTCAAGACCAGCCTGGCCAACATGGTGAAACCCTGCCTCTACTAAAAATACAAAAATTAGCTGGGCATGGTGGCAGGCATCTCGAATCCCAGCTACTCGGGAGGCTGAAGCAGGAGAATTGCTTGAACTCGGGAGGCAGAGGTTGCAGTGAGCTGTGATCGTGCCATTGCACTCCAGCCTGGGCGACAAGAGTGAGACTTTGTCTCAAAAAACAAAAACAAAAACAAAAACAAAAACTCATAGACCCTGGAGCTAGAGAGTTTGGGTTCAAATCCTAACCATATCACATACTGTGTGACCTTGGGCAAGTTACTTAACTTGTTTATGCCTAGCTTTCCTTATCTAGAAAATGGAAATTAATACTAATATCTACTTCATAGGAATATTATGAGAATTAAATGACAATAGTGAGTGCTTATTAAATAATAAAGAGAACTGTCTACAACTAATCTCATAGACCTGGTCCTCTTGCTCTACCACCTGTTCAACTTCTTTCACTAATGAAATCCCTGCATACTTCACAATGTTTTATTATATTTTATAACCTCTCACTCTTCACCTATCAATTTAGTCCAACATTATCTCGGCAAAGAAGGTTCATTCACATCGTAGCAGGTATCAGCACGGCATTCTTTTTTTATAACTGAATAATATTCCATTGTGTGGATATGCCACATTTTGTTTATCCATTCATCATTTTTTAAAAAATGTATTATATTTTTTAGAGACTAGGTTTCCCTATGTTGCCCAGGCTGGCCTCGAACTCCTGGGCTCAAGCAGTCCTCCCACCTCAGCCTCTACAGTAACTGAGATTACGGACATGTGACACTGTACCCAGCTCCATTAATCATTTGAGGGGCATTTGAATTATGTACAGTTCTTGACTATTTTGAATAGTTTTTCTGTAAACACCCCTCTCCACATTTTTGTGCAGATATATATTTTAATTTCTCTTGGTATATACCTCGAAATGGGATAGCTAGGTTATATTGTAACTCTAGGTTTAACTTTTCGTAAAACTGTGAAACTGTTTTCCAAAGAGTGTGCACCATTATACATTCACCACTAGTAGCAAATGAGGGTTTTAATTTCTTCACATTCTTGGCAAAACTTGTCATTATCTGTCTTCTTTATTATTGCCATCTTAGTGCATGGGAATTGGTGTCTTGTTATGGGTTTGATTTACATTTACCTAATGATTAGTGATTTTGAGCATCTTTTCACATGATTATTGGCAATTTGTATCTCTTCTTTGGAGAAATGTCTATATAAGTCCTTTGCCCATTTTTCAAGTGGGTAGTTTGTCTTTTTATTCTTGACTTATAAGATTTCTCTATATATTCTGGATAAAAATCCTTTTTGCAAATATTTTCTTCCATTCTGTGGGCTTTTTCATTTTCTCGATAGCGTTGTTTGAAACACAAATGTTTTTAATTTTGACTTTAAATTTCAATTAATTTTGAAGCCTAATAAATATTTTTTACTTTTGACACTTGTGGTTTTGGTGTCACATTTAAGAGATCATGGTCTACTCCAACTTCAGAAAGATTTATACCTGTTTTCTTCAAAGAATTTTATAGTTTTTGCTCTTGTATTTAGGTCTATGATCCCTTTTGGGTTAATTTTTGTGTGCAGTGTTAGCTAATGGTCCATCTCCAAACTTTTGCATGTGAATATTCAGTTGTGGCAGGATCATTCGTTGTAAAGACTGTTCTTTTTCCCCCACTGAACTATCTTGGCACTCTTGTTGAAAATCAATTGGCCATAAATGTAAGGTTGCCTTCTGGAATTTCAATTCTGTTCCACTGAACCATGTGCCTCATTCATCTGCTAGTATCATGCTGTCTTGATTATTGTAGCTTTGTAGTAAGTTTTGAAATTGGAAGTGTGAGTCCTCCAACTTTGTTTTCTTCCTTTCTAAAGGTTCTTTTACCTATTCTGGGTTTCTTGCATTTCTTTATGAATTTTAGGATCAGCTTGTCAAGTAAGGCAATAGGGATTTAATGAGGAATGCATTGAACCTGCAACTCAATTTGGAAATTGTTTGTCATCTTAACAATATTAAGTCTTCCGATCAGTGAACATGAGATGTCTTTCCATTTATTTAGGTCTTATCTAATGTATTTAAATATTATGTTCTACTTTTCAGTGTACAAGTTGTATATGTGTTTTGTTAAATTTATTCATGAATATGTTATTCTTTTAGATGCCATTATAAATTAATTGTTTTCTTAATTCGATTTTTGCATGGATCATTGTTATCATATAAAATACAATTGAATTTTGTCTAATTTTCTTGTATCCTACAGTTTTATTGAGTGTGCTCATTAGCTCTAATCACGATTTTGTAGTTCCTTAGAATTTTCTATACATAAGTTTTTGATATATGTGAAAGGGAGTATTTCATAGCCTCTTTTTGAAACTGGATGCCTTTTAGTTTTTTTTCCGTGTCTAATTTCTCTGGCTGGAAACTTTAGTATAATGTTGAACATAAATGAAAAGAGTGAACTTCCCTGTGTGGCTCCTGATATTTCAGTCTTTTGTCATTAAGTATAGTATTAGCTGTATTTTTTTTGTAGATGACTTTCACAGGTTGGGGAAGTTCACTTCCATCTTCAATATCTTGATTATTTTTATCATGAAAGGGTGTTGGATTTTGTGAAAAGCTTATTCTATTAATATAGTATATTGCATTGATTGATTTTTACTTATTTCAACTACCTTGCATTCCTGGGGTAAAATCAACTTGGTCATGTGTACAATCCTTTTTAAAACAAACATAATTGGATTCTTTTTGCTAGTATTTTATTGAAGATGTTTATGACTATGTTCCTTAGGATTAGTGGTCTATAGTTTTCTTTTTTTCAGAATCTCTCCCTGGTTTTAGTGTCAGGGTAATATAAGCCTAATAATATGAGTTAGAAACATTTTCCTTTTGTTCCTTTTGTTCTATCTTTTGGAAGAGTTTGTGCAGGATTGGAGCTAGTTCTTTTTTGGTAAAATTCAGCAATGAAACCATCTAAGCTTATTTTCTTTGTTGTGGGATAATTTTTTTTATTACTAATTCAATATCTTTACTTGTTCTAAATCTACTCAGACTTTTAAAAATTGATCAGTTTCAATATTTTATGTCTTTGTAAGTTATCTTATTTGTTGGAATATAATTTTTCATATTATTTCGTTAAAGTCTTTTGCTTGGTAAGATCATTAGTAATGACTGATCTTTCACGCTTAATTTTACAAATTTGAATTTTTCTTTTCTTGGTCCATCTAGCTACAGATTTTTCAATTTTGTTAGCTTTTACAAAAACACTTTTATTTTTCTTACCACACAGACTGAATAATCTCTATTGACATCTTTGAGTTCACTGATTCTTTCTTCTGCCAGCTCAAATCTGGTGCTGAAAGTTTCTACTGAATTTTTATTTCAGTTATTGTACTTTTTAACTCCAGAATTTCTATTTGGTTGCATTTTATGGCATCTGTGTCTTTATCAATTTCACCCTCTTAGTTAGACATCATTCTCATGCTTCTCTTTAATTTTTTAGATATGATTTCCTTTAGATTTTTAAACATACCTTTAATAGGTGGTTTAAAGTCTGTCTAGTAAGTCCAATGGCTGGGTTTCCTAAAGGACAATTTCTATTAACTATTAACTGTTCTTTTTCTCCTCTGTAAGGGCCATGATTTTCCCTTTTTGGTGTAAGGTGTTTTTTGTTTGTTTGTTTGTTTGTTTGTTTGTTTTTAACTTGACATATTTTAAAGTATATTGTAGTAACTCAGGAAATCAGATTTTTTCCTCCCCAAATTTGGTGGTTGATAATATTTGTTGTTGTTTTTGTTATTCTTGTTTGTTTGTTTAATGACTTTCCTTTCCTGAATTAATTACTTAAGTCTCTTTTCTTTATTGTTTTTGGCCACTGGAGTCTCCATTTAGTTAGCTTGGTTGGACAAAAATTTCCTTAAATATCTTGAACAAATAAGTCTTCCAGCCTTTGCTAAACGGCTTTGTGTGTATGTTGGGTTACATTTTCAATGCTTGGGCAAAGAGTTTACAACTGTATCTTAACTTTCATGTCCTCCTTGTTCAGAGCCTCAAGGTCAGCCAGAGATGAGACATTAGAGCCTTTTCAAGTTTTTTGGCAGCAGGTGCACAGCCCTACACATGTGCATGCATTTTAGATTTCCAGGAAAATGTCAGAGCTTTTCAAACCCTCTATAGACCTCTAATTTCCCAGCTTTTTGTTTTAAGTTTTTTGGTCAGTTTCTTATTTGCTCCAGCTGTTATGATTTCAGGCAGCTGTGATCTCAAACAATTGCCATTGATTATTTTCCACATATGTCTTTAGAAAAAGTCTGTTCTCAGTGAGTAAAAGCTGAGTCAGGACAAATAAAAGCAAGTCCTGTGAGTGGGTATTTCCAAGGAACTTCTAGACAGGTCTAACAATCAAAATTCTCTGCAGATGGGGCTTGTGGGTCACCTCCTGTGGCTGCTCAGCTACTGGTTTTCATGGTTATCATGGTTACAAGACTGATGGTTTTCAAGGCTAACATGCAGCAAGGGAGAGGGCAATGGGAATAGTTTAGGTTATAATACCACAGAGCTTACTGTTCTTGCTGTGATCTAACAGTTGTTCTTCAATAAAGACTGCTAGAGTTTTTGCAAGCCTTGATTAGTATCCACACTTTTGAAAAGTTTATTTTGAGCATTGTTGCCAATATTCTCATTTTTATATGGAGGAAAATAATTTTGGAGGTCCTTACTCTTACATTCTGACAGTATTCTCTCTATTGATACATATTAACAGCTTAGGTAAATTTACAAACATCTGAAAATTCTAAATTCTAAATAAATTATAAGTAAATCACTGGTCATGTCAATACTACTTCTGGTGGTGAGAGAATATAAATAAATAGCAATATAAACTAATACACTCAAAAGTTAACCAATAAGAGTAGCTAATATTTAAAAACCTTTCTCACCACAGTAATGGCTACTTTGAGCATTCTTGTTTTAAGAAATATAAATGGGAGTTTTTATTTGTCCTCAGTTCTTTGATTAAGAAAACTCCACACAATCAGCCACAGCTTTAGAAAGATACTGACACCTTATTATTTTAAGCTTACCTTGGTTCCTGCTGGATACATCTTCCTATTTGTCTATTGACTAGTTTTTCTTGAATCATGATTTTTAGTTATTAAATGAATTTACTAATATACCAGTTTCTGGTACAAGTAAAAGCTGTACAAATATGTAGCCAGTAGGAGATATTTCAATATTGGATTCAAGTGAGGGACATCTAGGATGCACAGTGTAAGACACTCAGAAGGATCAAAGAAAGGTGCATATATGAAGTTAAAAATCATGTCTAACCCAGAGTAGGTATCAAACAAATGATACTGCCAACCATCAAGGGAAGAAGCAGCTTATTGTAATTTTTCTCTAATTCCTCCCTTGATTCTTAAAAATTACTTTTTCAAGAATTCATAGTTTAAAAATTTGTGCGTACCCTATAAGGTCATCTTAACCAAATCGAAATGCAAGAATAGAGTTCTAGAAAGAAGTTGTTAGAAGATATTCCTCAATGTTATTTTAAATTGGCTGTTAATGATTCCAGAGTGACTGCTAAGCCTATTGAAGAAGCTAAAGAGTAATGATGTCAAATGCTTTTAAAAATGTAATTAACTATAACCTGTGATACAGTCATATCAAACCTGCTAAGGCTTAGAAATGTAGCTGTATTTTGATCCAGCAGTATCTGGGAGAGTGAGCACACTCTGACTCTCTAAATTTAGTCATTCATTGTTATGGCTGGCTTCACATGTTTATGATTCTATTGGAGCACATTTGTCACATGACCGTTACGTGATGACAATAACCTTTAACATAATTCAACTTCATTACTCATTGAATATATTTTCCAAATAGATTTTTTTTATGGGGAAGACAATCCCACACAGCTTAAAAAGGCAATCTTATCAAATATATCTGCTCTTTTAAATTAAGAGATAGGCATTCTGAAATATTTCTCTCATTGTGAATATGGTTGACATCAGTCTTTATTTTGACTTTTTTCCAGCCAACCAAACTCAAATTTATAAGTGAACTGATTCTGTTGTTTTCTTTATCTGTGTATGAGACCATGTATACATGTTAACCTCACCACATAATGACCTAACTTTTAAGTAGAAATGTATTAAGTGACTACAGTGTAACATAGAGACCTGAAAGCCTGAACTGAACTCATCTGTGGACCTTTCTAATCACTTATTTTTCCATCTCTATTATCCTCCTGTCCTACCCAATTCCTATTCTCCATGAAAACCCACCTTTGCTTCCTTCTTTCAAATATAAAATTGTCATTTGGCAAATATAGTTCTTAAAAATTGCATCAACCTTCACTACTCTTCCATCCTCACATGACTTGAGCTCTTGTTACGATTGCTATCAATTCATAAATGAGGCCCATCTAAAACTTGAAGCTCTATTTTTGCCATTCAACTCAGAAACTTGGTTTATTTATGCTTGAGCTTATTATTTTGTGCTACATTTGCTCTTAAGATGGATTCTGTAGTGTATCATTTTAGCCTAGAATTTAATAAACAATTATACAAATTAAACATTAAAATGACACTTTACTACACAAGCAGTTTCAGGAGTGAAGGAAGCCATCCTGGGATGGGAGCCCACAGCCCCACAGAGCTGTGTCTCTGGTATATCTTAGCCTTTAATAAAAGAGTTTTTATGCATCATCCTGCTTATCTGTGTGTTCACAGGTGTGTGAAAGACTATCATCTGCAGAATAAAATACCCTGTGGCACCACAACAGTAAAAAAAAAAAAGGTGACTCTCATCTATCTTTGCCTGAGGAGAAGAAGGCTTGAGAACACATAGAAATAGAACATAGAAGAGAAAGAAAAGGCCAAAAGCAAAGTTTAAATTGTTTCCAATTTGGGTCAGCAGAAAGGAATGCCTCACATAGAGCTAGGAGGCATTGACCTTGAAATTCCAGCAACTGCACCCATAGATGTGGCAAGATGGTCCAGGACAAGGCCACGGTTGGCACAAATGGAGCTGTGAACTAAATTAAGGAAGCAGAAAGACACATTACGAAAGGAAGATAAGAACCTAATCGCATCTTTCTGGGAAGAGAGAGAAAGATATTGTTAATAGAATAGATTGGGGAGAAAGGACAAAAGCACAAAGAAATATCCTGAAGAGTAGTCAAGTTACCTTTAAATATAAACTTAAGAAATCTAGCCGTATGGGATAAATTTGGCCAACTGGGCTAAGAGTTCATTTACTTTGCTGCCATATTAGCTTTATCCTCTCTGACCTATAAAACAATCCATTAAACAGGATGAGGCTCTTTATTTTTTTTAAAGCATAAGAAAAATTTTATCTGAAGAAAGTGTATTTTTAATGATCCAAACTATTCTAACTCTTTCTTTATATTAAAATGGTAAATGAAATAAATGAATTCTGAACTGAAACTCAAGGTTCTTCTCTCATTGTTAGTGAACCAATGCCATTTTCAGAATGAGGGAAAGTAAGGATAGAGAGGTGAGGACAAAAATCAGATCTTCCCCATGTTTCCATCTAATTGTAAATTCCAAAGCACTGTTGCCTGGATTTCATTCTGAGTGGTCAGAGGAAGAGTGTAACTGTAACCAGAGTTCCGGGGAGGCCTGAATGATATTATTTCATTTAGGATGACAGTGGCCACCCGAGCAAACAGACAACCAAAAATTGGGCCTGGTTTGAAACAGCACAGCTTCTCTGCAGACACTTAGCCTCCTGGTAAGCCAACTGCTTATTAGACAGAATCTCACAGCTCTGGCATCTATTTTCAAAGATTTCATCAATTCAAAAACAGGAGAAAGCACAAATTCCCAGACCCACAAAATAAACTTTAACACATTGAAGAGCATCGATTTCCTTCTACCTGGAATGCTTATGCTTTTGAGTAAAGCATTCTGAGCATGAAAGGGAGGTACATCATAGAAACAGTGGGGTAGAATGATTTTCACCACAGTAGAGTGAAGTTTATATCATACTGAAGAGCATTCAAAAGAGAACGGGCTATACATGTGCGGAACGGGCACATTTACTAGGTTTCTCCTTCTCCTCAATTTTACCTTCCCAAGCTTGAATTTATAGGCTTAAGCTTCATAGTGTAATTACCGGGTTTAATATCAGAGAGGAGGGCAGCTTTGGTTTTTAGAGTGTGTTTGGTGTTTATTCAAGGGAAGCAATCTCCAATGCAGTTTCGTTTTCTTTTCATTTTCTCTGGGGAGGGAAGAGGGGGATGAATACTGATATTTATGGAGTTTAAGGGTCTGGCAGCACTGGGAACTGCAGCACTTTGTTTATCCAGAGTCCAGTTTCAACCCAGAGGGTGCCAATGCAAACTTCTCCAGACCACCATGCCAAAAATGTCTGCCCTGTCTTGGAGGAGCTGCCTTCCCAAGCAAGGAGAGCTACTCAGAGCCAGCTCAGTTTGAAGCTGAACCAAGAAGAAAGCCCAAGCATTAAACCATGCTGTCTCAAGCACAGCAGTTCAAAAATATGCTTTTTATCAGATTTTCCTCATATTTTGCCTCATATTTTTTATCACAGCAGGAGCTTGCCATCACCAGCCAAGCTGATTGACTGTGTCCTATACCAGCATCCGCCTTTGATATTCATGTTTTCAGGAAAGCTGCATCCCTTTCACTTATACTCTTGCTGGGGTCTCTTTATGCACCCACTATTACTACCGTTACAGCATCTGTCCTCCAACTGTGAAGGAAGCTCATCAGGATCACCTGCGTATCTACTAACCGTGGGTGCCATCAGAAATGCAATGTCGTCAGCACCTTCTCTCCACTCTTAAGACATTACATCTCCACAGCCCTTGCAGCCCTTCTAGCAGCTGGAAATTCCTGATTTTCAATACAATTTGCTTCTTCCTCTTCATATTGCTTAGTATCAGGGCCAACTTTTTAAGGCAATCTTAATGAACCTATAACCAGTGTGTTAAATATATTTGTTGAGTTTTTCCATAAAGCTAAGTTAATATAACATGATTGTTTTCTTATGCACCCTGTGGGGAGTAAGGAAGGTAGGGGGTAGGAAAAGTGGGGGTGTGTAATTGACATAGTTGGTATATTGCCAAATTTACTCACCTTTCAGGACCCCCCACCCAACAGTGAGCCGATGGCCTTCAGGTTAGCTGAGCTTTCTAAAATAAGCAGTTCGTCTATGGACTGAAGTCAAGAGCTCAAGCATCAAGTACACGTCTTTGAGAAAAGCTGCCATGCTTGGAAAAGTTAACTTTTCAGATGCTGATAGAAATGAACTCTTAACCACTAGCATGGGCAAACTTCAAAGTTGAACTGTGTGCTTGCTGCTTTCTTTCCTAGAATTCTTGTCATTACAAAACTATGTAAGATCAACGCAAAACTATCTGTGATGTTGATCAAATGCAATAAAAAGAATGATACAGCCATATTTAAGTTTCTATAACTTGTATTGTCTGTGGAACTTTATATAGTGCCTAGTTTGCAGGAGATTCTCAAGTATTGGAGATTGTTTCTGGGCATTTCTTTGTGATCTCCCTGTTTAGTTCTGTGAGAGCTGGCAAATATTGTCGGTAGCTTTAGCAGTCAATTAAAACTCAAACCTTTAAAACTGCAAAGTGGGAAGACAGTATCAAAACATTTTTTAAAATGAGAAATCAAGTAAAATATACTAAGTTATAATCCCAGACTCTGGATACAGACTACTTGTGTTTTGGTTTTAGCCATTTATTTACTAGCTATACAATGGTGGGCACGTGTCTTAACCTTTCTGTGACTCAGTTTTCTCATCAGTACAATTGGAGATAATAATAGTAGTTACTCATTGCATTAGAATGAAAATCAATTGAGTTCATGTCTATAAAGGGTTAGTGCTTTGCACACAATAAGTGCATTTGGCTATTTATTAAATAAAATACTCTCAGGATGTGGTCATTTATTAGAGGGCATTACTTCCTGGTCAGATTCAAAAGCAGCATAGATGGAATGAATACATACATTCACATAGTTAATATATTTAGTTATTAATCCATTAACAATAAATTCACTTAACAACAACGTATTTCAGTACCATGGTAAATATTCAAATTGAAATAAAGTACTGGAAACTGAGCATTTATAGCCTTGGCATTGACAATATTTTTTAAAATTTGGATAAAGTTTGCAGCAAACTGACAGAGGTTTTGAATTCCAACTGTGACATTTACAAACTACATAATTAAGATTTCTACTGTCTACTTCTATTACCTGTAAAATGGGTTCTTATATTACCTCATGCAACAGGCTTGTGGTGCGGACTAAATAAATCAATATCTAGAAAGTGTTTATCACAGTATCCAACACAATAAAGTAACCACACGGCAATATGGAGAATCTTTTCTTTTTAATTAGGAGGCCATAAAACATTTTTGGACATGAAAATTGAATAACTTGTGTGGTTATTAAGAAATAGCATCTGAAGAACACAAAAATCCCAGAAATTTTAAAGATTCAGAAAGCAAAGAACAGATTTAAAGATTATCTAAAGCTTAAAATTTTGTTTTCTTTTGTGGCATAGTTTTGGACTTGCAGCTATCAAGCTATAGTACCCATGAAAAGGAAAGGCTTTTTCCTTTTACGCTAAAATTTTAAAACAGAGAAGCAGTGAATATTATGAGACATAACAATTGCTCATGGTTAGCAAAGCTCTATGTATTTTACACATATTGCTAAAAACGTATATAAAATTTGAAATTACTGAACAGGAATACATACCATTCTAAAAAGATGTTAAATAATTACAAGTTTCTAAGGAATTTAATCTGGAGTTTATATTTTTATTTCAGTATTTTTAGAATCATACAAGTTCTATTTCCTGTCCAAATTGACTTGTCTCCATCCTTCTTCAAACTCCTCACATGGACAGAATTCAACATCACATAATCTTAGAGTTAGAAGATGCCCTATAAATCATCTGGTCAAATGTCCTTGTGAGGAAACTGAGGCTGAGAAAGGTGAAGGAACCAGCCCAAGGCCACAGAGATGTTCAGAGGCAAAGGTGGGCTTAGAATCTAGGATCCTGGTGCTCTTTCTGTTTAATTCAGTGGAATGAAAGAATTTTGTTAAAGTTGCTGGGGAAGTGACAACAGCCATCACTTTTAGGTTTTGTTTGCAAGGTTTGCATGTGTAAGGTTGTTTATTTCCTTTCAGATACCACATCTACAACTTGAGTACCTGTCACCAGGTGAATAATGGTGCTTAGACTGTAGTCCTCTGTGTAGGATTCCCAAACAGACTGAGCATCTGATTTTAATACCTGCTTCCATTATGTGTGCATGTGTGTGTGTGTGTGTACAATTTATGCACACATATACTCACACATATGACACTTTTTGGTACTTCCACCTTTGGTTATTTTAACGCTTACCAAATTTATAAATATATATATAATGTGCAACTTAAAGAAATATAATACTTAGGTGCAAATAAATATAATCGTTAATAATCCCAGATGAATCCAACTTTGGTCTTCTGTTCAAATAGAAAACAACATTGCAATAAGTTTGAACTTAATCTTGGAGCCTGCTGGGGTAAATACACAGCTATTGAGTCTAGCATTTGGGAGCCTTCAGTTAAAGATATTTAATCTTTCTGAGAGATTCTACGGATCTCAGTTTATAACTCATCACAAATATGGTATGACACTTCCTTGCCAGAACTATCCAACAACTTTCTTATTACATAAGTTTTCAGCTCCACTATCTTATTTTGAGAAAGAGAAACACTGGTTTGATTAATATATACATATATTTTTATATATTTGTATGTATATGTATACGTGTGTTAAATAATGTATAAATATATATGTGTATATATGTGTGTGTATATATATACATGTATGTATGTAAAAAGAGGTTTAGTCCTTACAATAACCCTATGATGTAGGTTCTGTTATTATTTACATTTTGTAGTTAAGAAGATTGAGGCACAGAAAGGGCAAGTAATTGTTCACTAAGTAACAGACTGAGATTTGAATCCAGATGTTAGGCCCCAAAGCCCACATTGTTCACCACCACACCTACAATGTTTCTAATAAGCTAGCTGACTCTCTAGGAGGGTCAGTCCTGTTTTCTTCCATCTGTAATGTGGTCGGAAAATCCAATTGTTTACCAGTCTTTATGGTTCCCTAACTCATCCTTAAACCTACTTGAAATTCAGAGAGCAAGCTTATTCTCTATTTAATAAATTATGCGTTATTTTAATATTATATATTATTCATATTATATATTTTATAATACATGTAGGTAAAATATCATGGAGTTTCAAAATGTGTATACAAACTATGTACGTACATATGTGTTTTTGTCAAGGATATCTTATATTACCACTAAACTTTAGATATATTTATTCAGGTTTTATAAATAGTGTTTCTTGAGAGTTGAGGGTAATCATGCTATATTAAAAAAAGTTGAGTGATACTTTCTGAAAACTGAAATAAGCAAAGAGAAAATAGTATATAGTTAAATTAAACATAAAAAGTTTGATGTAAACTATGCATAAGAAAACTATGCATACTTATTATAATATTAGGTCAGTGCAAAAGTAATTGCGGTTTTTCTTTTGCTTTTAATGGCAAAAACCACAAATACTTTTGCACCAACCTAATAGTATGATAGTAAGGTATAAAAACCAAAGAGCACATTTTAATTGCTATAATGATTATTTCTCTTACACAGCAAAATCATGCTTTACCATTTCTTCCCCCATTTTGTTAGTTTCCTGAATCTATAAGCATCATCATTATCAGTAGACTTTTCTATCAGGTTGGTACAAAAGATAATTGTGGGTTATGCCATTGAAAATAATGGCAAAAACCGTAATTACTTTTGCACCAACTTAATATAATAATATGCATAATTAGACCCACTTTGCCTACTTACATTTGACATGCACATTGGAAGACAATGTCCCAAAGTTGACAAACTAGTATCTAGGGTGTCTTTATGTGTAGTGTTTGCTGCAACAGAGAGACATTGCTCCGTGCAGAATTCCTCCACTATGCTTCTAGGACATCCACTAGGCTGCCTAGAGTCAAACATGGCACAGCTTCCTGCCTAGACTGTAAAAGTCATCTACCAACGGCTCTGTGTCTCCAAAGCCTCAGGCCATGGGGATTTTAGGCCATCAGTATATAGAGATGTAAGCTCTAAATAATGCCAGCATCACCTCCACATTAGTTCCATCACCTCCCTGAATAAATGAAACTAAGCCATTGAATGTGGAATGATAAAAGCAGAATGGAGAGAACATCATGAGAATAAACAACACGGAGCCTTGCACAAATTGGAGGTCAGCCTTCTGTGAGAGTGGTGGTAGAGAGAAAATAGATGCTGAAAGCTCTGAAAGAGAGAAGAAAAAGAGAATTGGGAAAAGTAGGATTGGCATCAAGTCCATGAAGGGGGTCTGAGCCGGGGACAATTGAAAATAGTTGTGGTTGTTAAGGTGTGCTCTGTCCAGGGAGCATGGACTCCAAGTCTCTGATCTTCCAAGGAAGAAGCTGAAGATTCCATTACACTTTTCTACTGTAGAACAGGTTTTCTTCTAGTCTCCCAGAAATCTTTAAACGAGATCCTATTGTTTCATGGGCAAGGGCATGCAAATCTAAGCTAATTGTTACATGGGGTTATTGCTCTTTGATTCTCTCTGCAATCTAAAAGGATAGAAAGATATAAAAATTTATACTCTTTCTAGATCGCTTACATTATTAACTCTTTACCTTCAGAGAGAGCCTAATGAGTGAAAATATAGGTAGTGTACAAAATTCTAAAGCTCTCCCTGCTTGACTCCAATGTACACACAAATTGCAATGCCTCTCTTATTTAATCACCAAGAAATAATTCATTTTAAAATGAGAGAAAAAGATTAAAATGCCATTGCCACCAGAAGTGGCACCAGATAATTTATAATGTTACTAAACAATTGCACCTTCTTCTGCCAAAACTTCAATAAAGATGAGTGCAAAAGGAGAGAAATTTGGATACCTGAGCCACTGTAATAGGCACAAGGAGGCTCCAAAAGGTATGCTGGATATCTTTTTTTTTTTTGAGACAGAGTCTCGGTCTGTCTCCCAGACTGGAGTGCAGTGGCACGATCTCGGCTCACTACAATCTCCGCCACCTGGGTTCAAACGATTCTCCTGCCTCAGCCTCTGGAGTAGCTGGGACTACAGGCATGCACCACCATGCCCAGCTATTTTTTTTTATTTTAGTAGAAACAGGGTTTCACCATGTTGGCCAGGATGGTCTCTATCTCCTGACCTCGTGATCTGCCTGCCTTGGCCTCTCAAAGTGCTGCGCTAACAGGTGTTAGCCACCATACCCGGCCAGTATGCTGGATATCTTTAAGAAAAACTTATCTCTTCTACATTTTCATCTCAGACTGCTTCTTCAAGGAGCCTGGCGAAGACAAGCCATGATCATAGCCAATATCGCGGAGAGCACTAGCCAAGGACTCTAGGACTCTCTTATCTTCCATGGGCCTCCATTTTCTCATTAGTAAAATTATGAAATTTTTTTAGAAGACTTTTAAGGTCCCTTCAGATTTTAATATGATACTTGCTTATGGTTTATAGTGTTTTTTGTTTGTTTAACCAGTGAGATCTCACTATGTTGTCCAGGCTGGTCTTGAACTCCTGGGCTCAAGGGATCCTCCTGTCTCAGCCTCTGTAGTATTTGGGACTGCAGGTGTGCACCACTGTGCCTGGAAGCCTGTGGTTTTCAAACACTTATTTTTAAGCCAGCAGAATTATTTTGTTCAACAAAGTCTGACATGATAAACTAATAAATAAAAGTACTATTCTAATTAAAGATGGAATTGGGAAGCTCAAACTCTGTTCTCAGCCTCCTCCTCTTCTCAGGTAACTCTGAGGAATCCTCAAGGGGTCTGAAGGAAAGGCTCTTACTTAACATTTACGGAGCCCAGGGCAAGAGGACAAATGGAGACCATATGTCTAAATATTTAAGATAAATTGTTATAAATAAAACTAAGCAATCATTAAATAAAACATATTCTATCCCCTACTTTGTCAAATATATCTTCATAATGATGGAGAAGACTATGTTTAGATCTAGAATTCTTGTACTCCTCAGTTTGTGATGGAAAATTCTGGAATGAGAAAGACCAGCTCCTGGCTCTCTGCCCTTGGAACCCAGCCCACAGTCTCCCCAACTTTTCTTACCATTCCAAGTTCCATGGCCCACAGTGGGACTTCATATGTAATCTCTGGACACCCTACCCATAATTACAAACACCGTCCACGATCTTGTCCACAATCTCTGCAAAATAGCCTTGCAGTACACCCTTGGGAGGTAAAATTTAAGAGAAATGACTATTCAGGTTCAGGCCATTTTTTTTTTCAGAGAAATTCTGGGTCCCAAGTACCCAGATCATGGTCTAGAAAGCAGGCATAGGCTCCTGGTGGACACATCCCCTCAGCCCCACAGATTACATGCTATAAGCCTATGGCAGGGGTTATAGCCACCAAGACAAACTGCTCTAAGGTATAGAACCCTGGCTCAAAGCCTCTCTTGTCCAAGTCTGAGAGCAGTACTGACTAGATGGAGTTTGAAAACCATCTGTGTGAGTCCTTGAGGGTCTCTTGTGAATGCACTTTGATGGGGTACGTGGATACTTAAGTCAGGTCTTTATAATCAACCCATTGTCTATGTCTCAAGGCTGCAATGTTTCAACTCCTGTCAACTTTTCAGCCTGCCAGCCTGCCCTATAGATGTTATACTTGCCAGCCCCCACTATAGCATGAAGCAATTCCTTAAAATAAATCATATATATCTTCCATTGGTTCCTTTTCTCTGCAGAATCCTGAAAATACACCTCAGACATTTAGTCTGAATCACATTGTTGATGTACATATCTGAAGGCCTTCTTGATGATTGGCTCTTATAAAACTGGTTTTAACAACAGATAAGAAACAACAACAAATCATACCTGTAGGATTTAGTGAATTCACATAGGCCTAGTCCAATCATGTAAGGTATTCACTGTCATGGTGGGAAAGTCATGGCCTTTGGAATGTGTTAGACCTGAGTTCAAACCTTCTATTTGGCACTTACTTTGTTATATGACCTGGGGCTAGTTTCTGACTCCTCTGACAGTTCATTATCTAATCAACATCATCAGAGTAATAACAACAACCTCTGAGCTAGTGAAAGGATAATATGGCAAGTACATAATATAAGCTTGACATGCAGAATAACAATTTCAAAAAAATAACAACCACCCCTTATGACTATTACCTTCAACACTGGAACCAAAATTATTATGCTGGAAATTATGTAACATACAAATATGAAAACATACATTCAGCACAATGTAGTGACTAAGAGAATAAGCTTTGGACTTAGACCACGGCCATTGGCGTGTTCACTCTATCACCTGCTTCAGCAGAGATCTTGAGCTAGTTACTTCTCTGTGCACCGGATTTCTTCATCTGTAAAATTTATCTCATAGAGGTTTAATGAGAAAAAAAATGATGATGCATGTGTAGCACTGAGAACAGGGTCTTGTGCCTTATAAGCACTCAATATATGTTATCTATTATTATTATCCCCTTAATAAATATTACAAATTTATTTGACGAATGTTTATTAAATACCTACAATGTACCACAGAATATGCTAGGAACAGTTCCTGCTCCCACCAAACCATGGCCTGACTTTCATGAATGTAAAACTCATGGGGGATTGCCATGACTAGTAGATCCTACAACATTGATTAAGTTCATTTTTAGCTTAGGCTCTTACATTTGAAAAGCACAAAACAGTTCTCAGATAGAGAGTACAGTCATTGAATAGTAAGAATGTGGGATGATTTGGCAAACTCAACCCAGCAATTGCAGACATACATAATTTCTGGACAATAGCGTGGAAACTTGGAGGAAATAGTTCATTCTCTCAAACCATTATTATACTTATAACTAGAAGCAACATCACAGTCAGGATGCACACAAATCCATAATGTTTCTAACCCATGGAATCTTAACTACATTTAATTGGGAAAGTAATTTTACTGATGACTTTTCAGAGCTGCTGTGCTGAAAGAAATAAAGTTTAAGTAAAAGGATTGCTTTTTCCTGACTAGTGAGAGACATTTAAGGGTTTGACATCTAATATGATAATGGCATAAATTTCTCTGTTACTTATCAATTGAAGGTTATTTTTTAAACATAAACATTATATTTTTATGAAAGAAAGCAAGATCAGGAATGAAAATTGTCATTTTTATGGAAGCCAGATCTCTCTAAGATAATTGCATGTGTACATTCAAGGATAGAGATTTATAGCTGAAGCACACTTTGTAGATTTCAGTAACAGATACAGGCCTTGAAATACATCTGCAATGCAGGAGATCAAACAGATTTTTTTTCTTTTTTAGTTAAAGCTCATGATAGCACAGTAAGAAAATGAGCTGACAACTTACTGAGTTAATCTCTCCCCTTTCACCTCCTGTACAATAGATTTTTCACAGTTCCTACCACTTTTATTGTCTCTTATCTCAGATATTCTCCCACATCACACCTGGAATTTGTGGTCACTGAGTCAGGCCCCCAAGCTTTTCCCTGTTGGTGGGAAGCTCTGGCATTGAAGGCTGCCCTGTTTGTAAGAGTAATAAGTGCTGCCAACAGGAAGGACTAATCTCGACCAAGCCCCAGGGTTCTCTAACCTCTGGAAAAACTCATCTTATCCCTGAAGCTGCACCCCTGTCTGTAAGTGTTAAACCTTACAATAACCTAGGGAAACATAACAACTGCAATTCACTGAACCTCAGAATTCGTTGGGTGTGGACTGTCGAATTGCAGTGAGCACCATATATATTAACATGCTGAAGAGCTGAATCAACACCCAAGCTTATTTTTCTGAATAAGAAATTCATGGAATCTCAGTCATGCAAAGGACTTTTAATAGTGAAGGGGAAAAAGTGGATAAAGAAGGATAAAAGGGGTAAGGATGACACAGAAAGGAAGGAATAGACAGATGTGAAGCCTGTAGAAAAGGCACGGTGAGAAATGAAAATCCAAGCTGTACAAGTTAAATCTTACATATCAAAGAAAATTTTCAATCCCCTAAAATGTTTCCAAGTCCTAGCAAATGTTTCACTTGTGTTAAGGGAGATGCTATATTGTAAAAATTGCCTATAGCAATGGAATTTATATGACCTTTTGGTGTGGTAATAGATAAGGACTGCATGGCAAAAAGGAGATATATCTTGTGGCCAGAAAGACCCACATTCAAATTTTATATCTACTAATTCAAAGCTGGGTGGTCTTGGATAAATCACTTAGCTTACTAGCCTTAATTTCCCTATCCATAAAAAAGAAGTAGTTTATTAAACAGTTCAGTCTATATGGGGTGCACTGTAAGTGGTGATTATTATTAAAGAATATGACTTTCACTTAGAAAACTACTGGGCTATAAGTATCAGGCAAAATATACTAGGTTAAGCAATCAATAGGCAAGTCATCATATATCCCAGTTTGCTCAGGACAGCCCCAGTTTATACCTGTTGTCTTGGCATAATTATTAACAGAGCCTTCTTTCACTCTGCAATAGATGATACGGTCACTTTGGTAATAGGCCAAATACTCAAAGGTCAGACAAGGCAGAAGTGAGCAGATGCAGGCATCAGGCAACAAAGAGAGAGTCCCAGTGAAGGAAGCTGAGTGGTCCTAGCAAATTAAGTGGATCTGATGCTAAGCTTTCACCTAGGTCAGTCATCTACTCATTAGAGAGTCAGAATCTATGGAAAAATGTCCTTATGTGTAAACACTTCTGGAAATAGTTTTATTTCATCAAATGTTTTCTGGTATCTACTAGGCACCTGACATTACCCTAAAAATGTCTACCTTCAAAAATTTCAAGTAGATTATCCAAGAAAGAACTATAACATTTATTTTACATTTTAATTGTTAAATTTATTTTTTATTATAGTTGTTAAATTAGAGGCCTTAACAAAAGTCTATGGGAGAGTTTCAAAGAAACCTTTCTCTTTGCCTAGGAAGAGAGAGCAACAATGGGTAGACTGAGAGTCAACTTTGAAATTTGGGTAGATATTTTCCTGGAAGACAAGTATTTTCACTACTTTTTCCAGAGTGAAATGCATAAGGATGGATACATACAGGATGCCTAACTTGTCTATACAATTCTCAGAAAACAGAGTAGCTTTGATGAATGGCAGATGAAAATATTACCTGAGTAAGGTGAAGAAGGGCTTGTATGAGCCAGAATAACCTTGAGCCAACTAAGGTTTATTATACGTAATGAAATTATTGAAAAAGGATGAGAACTTCGGCATGCTGTCACAACGAAACTCTTGGGTTTATTTTTAGTACAATTCCTGAAAATGAATATTTGAGAGGGGGAAAGGCTCCAGGGAATGTAGCACACTGGCAGATATTTGTTCAAGTTAAATTTCACAACCATTAAAAATAAACAGAATTAGTTCTTCATTTTGTTGCTTTCCATGTCTCCTTTATTTTTACAAAATGCTTTTTTTTTTTTTTTTTTAGTTTGTAGGCCTCTTTTTGTCTAACTGTGAAACATAATGTTTCACTGCTATTAGTGGATAAGCAAAATTCTCCCTAGACTGCCATCAGGAAGCAAGTATGGAGCCAGTATGAACCATGGTATAGACTTGGAAGCAGATAGAATTAATACCTTCCTGAATGCTTTGTTGTGTTTTATTCAGCATTATCCATCTGTGGTACTAGACAAGTTGATTAACAGAATCTCAGACATCTAGAGATAATAAATCTTGCATGAGCTATCTGTCTAGATAGAGAGAAATATTCACCAAAAGTAGGGTGTGGCAGAAAAAATCCTGTCCAGTCATCTAATCCTTTAATTAATGCCTTTATTCAACAAGATTCCACTCTGGGCCAGGAAATATTATGGGTGTCATAAGGGATTCAAAGTTTGATGAGCTATGCCTTAAAAGTCAAAAGAGACCTCATAAAAACCCAGGAATACGTGGTAGACAGTAACATACAGCAGCAGCATTCTGGGACAAACTGGTAATGTTAAGAGCATATAAAATACCCTTCTCTTCTGATCCAAGGGCTTAGAAGTGCCAAAGAAAATAGTTAATTTTTCTCTTCAAAATATATAGCTGAACTTGAATGCTCTTAAGAAAGGGAAAAAACTTCATGGTACCAGGTAAGTTTAAGAAATCTACTGTACGCTGGGCATGGTGGCTCATGCCTGTAATGCCAGCACTTTGGGAGGCTGAGATGGGAGGATCATTTGAGTTCAGGAGTCTGAAACCAACTTGGCCAACATGGCGAAGCCCCTTATCTACTAAGAATATTAAAAAATTAGCTGGTGTGGTGGTATGTATCTTCAATCCCAGTTACTCAGGAGGCTCAGGCACGAGAATCGCTTCAATCTGGGAGGCAGAGGTTGCAATAAGCTGACATAGTGCCACTGCACTCCAGCCTGGGTGACAGAGCAAGACTCTGTCTTAAAAAAAAAAAAAAAGAAAGGAAAAAAGAGACCTACTGTAGTAGGTCAAGGGACTTATTTAGGAAGATATTAGGGGTGGTGGGGTTTTAACATCCACATGTGACAATAGTTGAAACTGCAACCAGTATGTAGAAAGAGGCGAAACAGAGATCACAGTCTAAAGTCTAAGCCAAGAAGAAGCTAAGTTCCATAAAGGGGAATTTGAATATCTCTGTTCTCTGGCTAGGTTGAAGCATAAAGCTAGCTGCCCACTTGGGTCCACAAATATAAGTAGTAATCTGTGAAATGCAAATCTACATTTGAGAATGGCACTTGAATTTGAATCATGTGGTGTGGAAATACACAGATCAGAAACATTAGTTAAAAAACTGTAGGACCTGATTACAAAACCACCCTATAGTAAGCCACTACAATCTAGGCCATACATAGGAGAAAACAATCATACAGTATGAGAAATTCTGCTGTCAGTGAGGTGCAATGTGTAACAAAGGGGAAAATCTACATCAAGGGAATTAGAGATAAGAGAGAGAAATCAGAAAAGTGAGGTTATGAAACACAAGCAGCTATGTAGACATGAAAAAGAACCAAGAATAAATGGAGATAACCAAAAATAAATGTGGTTAGTTAAAAAAAAGAAACTAAAGAGATAGGTTAAAAGATATAGCTAAAGAGAGAATTAATTAATTGGAAGATAGAACAGAGAAAATCTTCCCTAAAAGAGCACAGATATAGAGAAATGAAACAAAAAGACAAAAAATTTGAAAAATGGATTAAGAATCTCCAAAAAGTATCTAATATTTTTAAATTTTTATTTTAAAATAATTACTGATGCACAGGAATTGTCTAAAGTAAATACCTTTAGGTTCAGCCATACATTTTTAGGTGCACAATGTAGAGTGACCCTTACAGCTATAGAGAGAGTGATAAAAGCACACATATAGAATTACTTAAATGAAGAGAAAAAACTACCTAAAAGCTCATTGATAGGAAAATGTATAAATAAATGTGGAATATTCAGATGAAGAAAAACTACAATTGTTTTAAAAACATAATCAGCCCAGCAGTATCTCATTTACATAATTACTCATTCCCTAAGTGTGGGTGAAAAAACAAGAAGCATAACATTATACCTGTTATAAATTTATAACCAAAAAAGTTACTTATTTTTTGTGGAAGCATATATAAGTTTTGTTTTGTGTCTGTACTAAAATATGAATGGGAAAGAAACACGGTAAATTCATGATGATGATTGCCTCTGGAGAAAGACAAATAAATATTATTTAACATTTAATTAAATAAATAAGCAATATATATTTTTGTATAATATATACATAAAGTTTTATTTCTTAAAATTATAAATACCACATAAGACAAAATTTTACTGATATTAAATAGCTTGAATATGAGTATTTGTTTTGTTATTTAAAAATTTTTTCTTATCTCTTAAATTTCTCAAAATAATAATTGAGGGCTATGCACAGTGGCTCATGCCTATAATCCCAACACTTTGGGAGCCACGGCAGGAGGATCACTTGAGCTCAGAAGTTTGAGACCAGCCTGGGCAACTGAGTGAGACCACATCTCTACCAAATAATAAGAATTGAGAAGAAACTTTTAAATTAGAGGTAAAAAGATAGAAAAGACCTTTGAGTTCGGCCTTGGATGACATAACACAGAGTTAAAAAGGCCTTCTAGGAAGAAGCCAGAGGGATATGACAAATCATTTCATCCAGTGATTTTCTAAGGTGGCCTATTGATGCTGAAGTGGGGAAGCTGACATGGTATGGGCAGAGCTCATGTGAGTAAGGCTCTAAACACCCACCCCCATTTCAACCCCAACAGTTCAGTTTGTGTCTGTTTTTTAAGTTGCATTTGGACATAGAGTTCCATTCATAAACAATTTACTGTTCTGTAATCCAGTCCAATTATCTCATTGAATCTCAGAGGAAAATGACTCAAGGTTAACATTGAGAGCTGATGGTAGAGGCTCAGTTAAACATTGAGAGCTGATGGTAGAGGCCCAGTTGTCATAATCTCCCCTCTGGGGCTTACCTTTGCTAGTTTCCCTCTGAGTTGAGGAAGTTAATCAGTGTTATGGACTGGACCTAGAGTTTATTCCTAAAATGACAAAGAGATGCAAAATTCTCAGCATTCAATATGTTGGAACCTATGAAGGACCACTAAGGAGCTGCTGGAATATTTATTGATTGTATTATTTTGTTGCATACACAAAACCACTGATTTTAAGATCTGTTTAAAAATAGTGGCACTCGATAATTTTGGCTAATTGATATCTTTAAGTTGATATAGCATGTTATTTGTTAACACAAATAATCCAAGCCAAAGCTTTGTTTATGGAATTCAAGTGAACATACTTTAGTCCCTATGAAGCCTGAAAAATAAAGACTATGAATATGTTATATTTTGCTTTTTAAGCAATATTTATCTATACTTTGTACACTACTTTTCTATTTATAAAGTGTTTTCACATTCATTTCTCGTGTGATTCTCATAACATTGCTAGGGATAGATATTAATGTCATCTTTGTTTTATGCACAAGATAATCAGAACCCAGAGAGGCACGTGCCACCCCTTGAGTACAATTCTTACATTGGTATTTGTATCATCCTCACAGTTAACAAAGAACTTGCCTATATTTTATCTCATGTGATCTGTGCAAACAGATCAGGCAGGTCTAACAGAGAATGCCCTCTGAAAGTCAACTAATTGCTATGTGGTTCAAGCTCCTTTTTTTGCTTTTTGAGACAAAATCTTGCTCTGTCGCCCAAGTTGGAGTGCAGCGGCGCAATCTCGGCTCACTGCAACCTCTGACTCCCGGGTTCAATCAATTCTCCTGCCTCAGCCTCCTGAGTAAGGCTTTAGACACCCACCCCCATTTCAACCCCAACAGTTCAGTTTGTGTCTGTTTTTTAAGTTGCATTTGGATATAGGGTTCCATTCATAAAGAATTTGCAGTTCTGTAATCTAGTCTAATTATCTCATTGAATCTCAGAGGAAAATGGCTCAAGGTTAACATTGAGGTTACAGGTGCATGCCACCATGCCCAGCTAATTTTTTATTTTTAGTAGAGATGGGATTTCACCACGTTGGCCTGGCTGGTCTCGAACTCCTGACCTCATGATCCGCTGCCTTGGCCTCCCAAACTGCTGGGATTACAGGCGTGAGCCACCATGCCTGGCCTCAAGCTCCTTTTATAAGGAATTTTGGGTGAAGTTTTGACTTTGTAAATCTGCATGGTCTATGAAATACAGCTAGTAAACTGAATCTGAGGACTGTGTTAACTTCAAGTCATTGTTCCATTTTTTAAAATTTTTTTATTTTTAGAAGATTTTATATATATATATATATATAAAATGTATACCCATACACATATGAAATCTCACAAAATTAAAGAACATCTGATACCACATGGAGAACTCTGAAATATATTTTGTTCAAAAGAAAGCAAATAAGATACAATATAACTTTCATTTACAGAGCTTCTTTCATGCTAATCATTGCCCCCAGAAGCTTTACAGATCAATATAATAGGAGGCAACAGCAGAAAGCATATGGTCCACTGTAAATTACTAAAAAAAAAAAAGAGTTCTAAAGACATTATATGATGAATAAATTAAAGTATTCAGTCATAAATCCAATAAAAAGGGGGAAATTAAGAAGTAGTGAATAGGAGAAAAGAAAGGGCTCAGAATTAGCTGTAAAATGAAATAAAGGATACAAGTGACAAATGTGTGTCTCCAAGGGGCAGCAGAAGAGAAAAGGGAGTGTAGGGGCCTTGAACTCCTTCGGTAAAGTCTCCAGGAGCCAGAGTGAAATATTGGCAAGAACAGGGCCCCGCAAGGAAAATAAATATTGGGTCACTGCCTAGGATCTAAAAGAAATAAGGTTAAACCTAATGAAAATCAGACATCAGCTCTAAAGAAAAATGTATAATACTCTGTTCTTTCTTTTTTCCGTTTTGATTGGTTTTGATAGGAACATGTGTTTATGGGAGGGCTCTAATCTATGCATGCAGATGTTTGTTTTCTTTTAAAACCCTGAGTTGTTGAGGAATAGAAATGGGAGAACACTGTGCTGGGAAATTTGCTTAAGCCAGGGCAAATTTTGTGGGATGTTAAATGTTGGCATGCAAATAAATGATATTCTTAACAGTATTTGTATGCTCTTTATATGTTTTGGAACCCAGAGATCCAGGATTTTGTCTCTGAGGCCCACAGATGAGGCAGGTGAGCCAAGAACATTTGTTAAGTCCTTTATTTCAACAATATTAGGAGGCTGGAGTACCAGTACCAAAGAAGAGTTTGTATAGGTAACTAGATCCAGGTTCCAGTGCTGGCTGCTACACCAAGAAGGCAGAGCAGATTAAGTACCAACAGTAGATGATTGTTGTGCTCATAATACACAATTCCTAATTTTGTAGTTTTAATTCATATACATTTGTCTATGGATTTTAGTAAAATTAGGAGCACTATTATGCTCATAATGTATGATGTAGAAAAAACATTAAAACTGAAGTCAACATGCAATATATGCATATGTACATAAACACAAATATGCATACCTACATACATACAGTGAGGATCACAGGGAGGCAAAAGGGACCTTCAATAGAGAAACACTGCCTTGCTAGAAGACGGAAAGGAGAAGGAGACCAGGAATGAGAATACAGCCCTCTGCATAGTTATGATTGATAGCTTCCAAAGTTGTTTTTCTATTTACTCATTCATTCGATCACTACACATTTATTGAACATAAGCCAAATATCAGGCACTGTGCATACAAAGTCGGCATACAAAGATGAATTAGGCACTGACACCATCTTTGGGCTACTTGGAATCTAGAGAAGTTATTTTCAAGCAAAAAACACTGAAAAGAGGAAAGGAAGTTTTTTTTTTTTAATGGTGTGATTGAAAGTGAAAAGGAGGTCAGCTCTAATGGAAAGTAGAAAAATAAAATGTGGGCCGGGCGCGGTGGCTCACGCCTGTAATCCCAACACTCTGGGAGGCCGAGGCCGGCGGATCACGAGGTCAGGAGATCGAGACCATCCTGGCTAACACGGTGAAACCCTGTCTCTACTAAAAATACAAAATAAAATATTAGCCAGGCATGGTGGCAGGCACCTGTAGTCCCAGCTATTCGGGAGGCTGAGGCAGTAGAATGGCGTGAACCCGGGAGGCGGAGCTTGCAGTGAGCAGAGATCGTGCCACTGCACTCCAGCCTGGGCGACAGAGCAAGACTCCGTCCCCCCTCCTCAAAAAAAAGAAAAAGAAGATGTGTTCAGAAGCATTCAAATGCAGGAAGAGACATCAACCACAATAGAAAATGAGTGTAGGGGTGCCAAGGATAGGCCTGCTACTGCTTTCAAATATGAAGAAGGTCAGATTTTCACAAAGTGAAATCAGCTCGCAGAAAAGGAAAGTTTTTCACCTTCCTTGCTCTGTAGCCTGGAGGGATAGGGCAACAGGGGACAAATGCTGTCCATTTCCCTTTTGTTCTAGCACTGAATGGAGTACCTCTTTTAGGGCAGATACTCGCTCTGTTTTGGTTCAACTGAAATGTCCACCCAGATCCCACTCTTGCTGGGTCAGAGCAGTAGGAAGCAATGGGTGGAGAGGGGAGGATTGGCAGCATTTTCCTGATGGCCACTAAAATTCTCCAGAGAGCCATCTTCTGTCACACACGCAGCATGCATCTATGCTTTGTCTTGTTGAGGTAAGAGAATAGTCTGATTTTTATAATCTAATATTTTTTTTGATGGGTTTCTTTGTTCTCTTCAGACCTTTTTTTTAGAGCATCTCTTAGTTAAATAAGAACTTATTTACACTACTGCTTATCAGTGCCCCTTTATATCCTCCATATTTGGTAGCTTATTTCCTTTTTCAGCCAAGATTACTTTAGAAACCATTATAATTCAGGTTAGAAGAAAAGCTATAAGGAAGGCCAGAAATAGAATAGATGGAAGAATATATTGACAAAAATAGTTGTCAAATTGCAGAGAAACAAGGAAGAGAATAAGGAAATATGAATAGTATTAAATTCATATTTAATTCACTTAAGGCAATGTATACTAACATCTATGCAAGAAAGAAAGAACATCAACCACAAATCAAATGCTTTTGAACATTTTCTCAGATAGTAGAAAATTATTTTGCCTTAAACTGTAACTATATTTTTTTCTCCAGAAATCTGAGTGAACAAGATGACATCGAAAATTAAAAAACAAACTAACAAAACAGGCTTTAGAGACAGCTCAATAGTTCTACTGTTTGCTCCTTAAGAAGTTTTCCAGAAGTGGTGTTTTGGTATTCATGGTTTCGGATGCTAACAAAAAGAAAAGACAAGAAAACAAAATGTGCGCTTGCCTTCACTTTCCCAGATTGAGGAAAACGGCTCTTCTTTTTTCTCCTTCATCAAATGCTTTTTTCACCTGCAGAGGTCTCTCTCTGGCTCTCTGCTCATTCTGCCAGCATATCTCCTAGGGCCATCTTCCTTCATTCATTCCAACAAGATCTTCATCTGTGCCAAACTCCACTGAGACATGTGGAAGCATTTTGGAAACAGGGTTTCTCTTGGGGTCTAAGTGCAGATCACCACAATATGAAACAAAACATTTGACTACCAAACTGATTTACAGCAAACAAACTATGAATTGCAAAGTCTCATGATCTTTAATCACATCACCACTTAGGCCTGATACCATTAACACATTGCTGTGAACTATGGCAAACCTTATGCCCAAACTGTAATGATGGTTCCAGAAAGAATTATCCTTTTGCTTGTTACACTTATATTGGATATCAGATTGTAAAAATGTCTGAGAGTCACCCACACTGTTCTGGAGGGCACAAATTAGAACGGGGCAGGGGGAAGTGCAGTGAGGAAGGAGAAAAACACAACCATCCAATATGATTTTCTCAGCAAAAGAGACAATATTTCCAATGTCTAGATGCCTATTTAATTATTCCACTTAAGTTCATTCTTAGAGGGGTCTTGTCAATAAAGTCAACCCAGGCTCTTGGTGTGTAACAGCGTTTTTGAGGGTCTTGAGAGCTTCATTAAAAGCAGACAGTTTCTCTAACCTTTTAGCAGAACCTGTTATCTGATGACGTGAATTAAAGTCTCTCAAATGACTAATAATCATATCAGGGCTGCCATGTCAGCTTGTAGATTTGAATAAGAGGGTCTGAAAACATTTGCATGCCTCAATGTGCCAGTGCTAAGAAGCTAATGTGATAGTGCTGTCATAAAGCACTGGAAAGACATGACTTAATGTAATCTGTCATGTCATATGCTAATCTTCAACCATTACTTGAGTGCTGTAAGTAAGTAGAAAGCATTTGGGAGAAATCCTTTCCAATTTCTCTGAGTACCACTTCTGCTGCTGGTCAGCTCAAATGGGTTTTGTGCATTTAATGCAGAGCTCAAGTCAAGTTGGTTTAGGTCACACTTAATTAACCAGCACACGAATGGGCTGGGCCATGAGAGCTCTATGGAAAATGGTTATTTCAGAGGCGGTCTAACAAGTAAATATTTCATATGCTGAAGGAAATGGGAAGAGGATACTTTCTTATTCCTTGATAAAGAATATGTTCTTTTCAGAGAAAACACTATGAATCTTAACAAGACATCATTTTGGTCTCTGCTTTCCTCCTTCTATATTTGAGTTGAGTTTATAGAAAGCAGATAATAAATAGTTAAAAACATCACTCTCACTTTGATACCAAGCACTCTATTCAGCAGATGTGGACTTATCACTCAAATAATAGAGACTGCTTTGACTCTAGGTCCATAGAAACAGAGGACAAGTAATCAAAGGGAGATATCCACTTGGCATGCTCTTTAACAAGATGACAGTGTCTCTTAATAGACAGTCATTAAGACAGGAGACTGGTGTCAGGGCTAAGTACAGTTTGTGAAATAGACAGTAACTGAGACTAGAGAGACTGACAAATTTTTGTCCAATTTTTCAGGAAAGTGTGCAAGGGATTGTGATTCAAAATATGAAGTTTATTTTTATCAGCCACACTGAGTCAAGTCAAAAAGATGCTTAAGAACTTGAAGAACTGCCTTCTGGAATAGGATTTTTGAGGATGCTGAGCAGATGGCATGAGATTGGCCCCAAAGATACTGCCTGAATTTCCCAGCATTCGTACAAGGCCCGCTATTGGTAACCCAAGGGAACTTTCATGCATGTGGGAACTGGCTTTTTATAGGTCTAATTAGAAAGCACAGGCAATTCCCACCTACAACATTAAAAAATGCTTCTGTGAAAGCATTTTTTTCTTGAAAAATGTGTGTAAAATTTACAGAAAAAATTATTATGAATCAAAATTGATAAAGATGTGGTCATATTTTCCTAACAGTTAAGATTGTGCTAACTTAGGGGCTATTTCACAGAAAAAGAATAAAAACCTTATTACAGAAGTGGTGTGTATGCACTACTTACAACTCTTCCAGAATATCATGACCATCGATCATGAGTTGATGGTTGCCTAGCATAGCTTCCTCTTCCTTTATGTCTGCTTATAAAATTGACATTTCAAAGAAGTTAAGGGTGAGGTTGATTCCTGGTGCTAGTGAAATGTGGCTCCTTATCTAGTTCTTTGCTTCTGACACAACCTAATCAGCAGGGGACCCTTCATCTGAATTTTTCAGCTCTCATTTAGCCTCGAAAACTGGTCACATGACTTTGTTTGGCTGGGTAGAAGTTGGTCTCATTGGCACCAGTTTCCAAGGCCCATCATCGTTTGGACTATCTTTTTTATAGAGCACTTTCAACTCAGTCCAAGCATCTTGCATTTGTACATGGCTTGCACTGGAAAAGTTCGTTATGATTATTAAAAGAACAAAGTAACACATTCCTAGGGTTTGAGGTCAATGGCTTCACCTTCCAAATGAGGGCAATAAAATGTCTTCCAAGTCCTCTGGGGACTTATCAGCTTGAGCTTAACATCACAAAAATCTGTATGACTAGGTCCCAGAAAATGATTCTTCCTAACAACATTTAGCCATTAGCCAAAGCAAGTTTTTTTGTTGTTTTGTTTTGTTTTTTTAAATATCTGTCTGCTCCTAGAGGACTATCCAAATAATCCGTCTGAGTTTCTTTCACCTAATTGCTGTAACTTCCTGATGGCCTCTCAAACTTTTGACTCCACTGACTTAAGTTATTCTCTACCTTGCTCTTTTTTTATTCACCTCTACAATGCTCACACTTTCTGGGGCTCATGATCACCCTTCCCATACCATTCTTTAACCTTCCTTCTTAAAAAGAAAAAGACTTTTCCTATCTCTTCTTCCCTATGATTTCTTAATCCATAACTTTGCCAAAGCAGTCTCACTCTGAGAAGCCTCAAACTACGTCCTTTTTCATCATTGAATTAATATTTTCTCAATTTGTCTGGGAAATATTCCCAGGTTAATCCAGCCAACTATTAATATTATCCCTGACCCTGTACTGAGCATTTTCATACCTTCATTCATTCAACACCTACTGTGTCACATGTTGTGCTAGACGGTGGAGATGGTGATGAAATGGGGAAAGAGTTCTTATTCTCATGTTCATTTTGTGTTAAATCTTATGAAAGCCATATAAATCATGTTGGCTGTATATTCTTCCAATTGACTTATGTTATGTTCCTTAAGGGTCCTGTTCAGGGAAGACTTGCTTGAGCAGGCCTACTATTTTATATGTAAACATATGTATGCTTTTGCTCCTTCTCTGTTTACTACCTTCCAAAGCAGCCTGCGCAGTTTTCTCGTGGAGGTGCTCATTTCAGTTCTGCAAGGACTTGCTGCCCTTTAAGCACCTATTGTGTAAATAGCACTGTGCAAAGCAGTACAGAAGACAAAAATGAATTATGACGCATGTCCCTGACATCAAGTGGTTTGTAGTCTTCAGTAGAAGTTAATACTTTATACATTAGACAATGGAATGACTCAAAGACAACATAAAGTGCCAAACTGAATATTATTTGTTTGGATCAGGAGGCATGGCAGAGCTGGAACATACACGTGAGAACTCCAGGTGGTAGGACAAATGAGGATTGGCTAGAATTTTTCAGAAAAAGTCTCACAGAATATTGATGAGAGACTACATAAAGTAGCCCATAAGTATTTACACATTTGTCATGAATTGAGTTCCATTATAGGAGATTAGGGAACCTTGAATGCACAGTATGGATCCTGGTGGGGTAGAAAGGGAACAACAGAAATCAGTAGGAAGATGAGATCCTTAATGTAAAGGGAGCAGAAGCAGGGAGAAAGCAAGGCAAAAAGCATGGGACCTCAGAACTCTGAGATAATATATCACACTAAAGTACTGTATTTACTACTCTATCACTAAGATCAAACCTCTTGCCATCAAAAATAAACCAAACTGTGATGCAAGTGGTGGAAGATCCTAGGGTACCTAATGCTGGCTCACCAACTAGGATTTTTAAATTAGGCCAGTACCATTCCCCTATTTTATGTATTGTTAAAATATAAATTTCTAAGAATTATTAACTTTCTATTGTCTTCCTTATTAAGATGCCTGTTTTATGGGTAGGCATAATATAGACTCAACCAGTTTCTGCTCTTCATTCTTAGTTGAGAAATTTGAGTTTTCCTGAATGCTCACTAGTAAAGGCAGTTCATTCATTTCTGAATCAAGTTTTTGCTTTTTAGAGGCCATAGTGCCTCTTCAGCCCCTCTTCAGCTTCCTGCTGCGTTTCTGTCCAAGAACTTAATTGTTAATGGCTCCCAGCTGTGTCACAAACTTCACTTCTTTAACCCTTTCCTTTCTGGCTGCCAATTTGTATCCTGTGCTTAAGATGTCAAGTCCTCACCTGTGCACTCTTGGTAGAGGTAAGGAGTTGATGGCTAGGTAGAAAGATTCAGGAAAGCACATATGAATTTTACTGTATCTAAAACTTTGTCATGTATACACTGCTACTCCAGTCTCTTAGGTTGAGGGGAATATGTCAACTTTCACACTGAACCTTGGACAGCAGCATCAAAAAAATCTCTTTTCTTGTTCCCATGTATTCTTGATTCATATTTATATATGTATGTATCAGCTGCCTCCTTAAGGCTGTAATTTATATTATCTGTACTTGATCCTTACTGGCAATTCTTCAGCTCCACCTCCACTTCTCTATCTTGCCTTGATGACCTATAATCTTTCATGAATTTCAGCTCAAACCCCCAATGACTCCTGATGTCAAACCTTATCCATGTCAGCATCTTAGCACCTGTGAAAATCATCCCAATTGTCTTTTAATTCCTGCCCCTACTCACTGATGGTTTACGTTACAAAGGTATACCTCAGGTAGCCGAGGCAGAATTGGTTTCATTCTTCATTCTGTGCTTTTTTGTCATGAGAAGTTTCTTTCTTTTCTCTGAGAAGTGCCAGGTATTAAGAGCCTACTACCTCTCTTTCTTGTTCTTCAAATTCCCCTAGAAACTTGTTTATTCTCTTCTGATTTCCTACTACTTCCAGTCTTCCAAGGCCTGCTGGGCCCCAGCTCTTTTTATTACTTCTGTTCCAAGTTCTCATTGCATCAGTCAACAAATTCCAGTGGCCCTGGCTGTCCTCACACACAGTGTGCTACTTTCACGTGTTACTCATGGCATGAACCTGGCCCTCAAGCCTTCAGCTTGCCAAGGCTCTTTTCCCTTCCCAATCTATTGCCCAATCCCTTACCACTCAGTGGTAAGCATCCTTAAGATTTTCTCCCTTAGAAATGACCTCAGTTAGCAGCTTAGGAGTCAGCTACTTGGATAATAACAAACTCCATATCTCTTCCTTATGGCTCTGTACACTCAACATTGCCTTCAGCTTCTTTGGTGACTAGAAAGGAGTACTTAGAAGATTCTTTAAATACTGAAGGAAGGATGGTACTAATATTTATTGTCTACTATTATTCCAGGCCTTGTACAAGCTTCATGACACTTAATTAACAATTTGTATATTAACTTAACCAATATTTATCACCTACAACAACTAGCATCTATTATTCCATTTCAAGCACTGAACTGTAGCACTTCATCATTTATTTTCTCGTTTTATCTTCATGTAGCCCTAAGGGGTAGACACTCTTAATATCTCCACTTTACAGAGAGGAAGTGAGGCACAGAGAAGGGGAGTAATTTTTCCAAGGTTACCCAGCTGGAGGAATTTAAGTGAAGGGAGCCTAACTCCAACAACCATGCTTTGAGGCAACAACCATGCTTTGAGGTAACAACCATGAATAGTCATTGTTCCTGTTCTCCTGGATTTTAAGCTTTAGCTGAAGGAGTGCACATTAAACAAATAGTTGTAGAATTATTTAATTACATCTGTGATAAGGGATCTAAAGACCAAGAATAGGTTTCCATTATAGTGTAGAATATGAGAACTTGACCTGATCTAGGAGTTTAGGAATATCTTTCTTCCTCAGGTGGTAACATTTACAGTGAAACCTAAAGGATGAGGGTGGTAGGACTGGAATTGTAATGAGATCTTTTCCACAGAAGAAATAGCAGTGTGCACAGGCTGCAAAAGGTAAGGTGTCTGAAGCCACAAAGAATTCAGTGAAGACCAGTATTGGCTAAATGTTTGCAACAGAAGGAGAAACAGTGGTATGAACTGAGACTGGAGAGATGGGTAGAGATTTCACCGTATGGGACCATTTTGGTGAAGACAAAGATTTTGGTCTATCTCAAATGCAATGAGAAATCATGAAAGGTTTTAAGGAGGAAAGGGACATAGATTTACTTTTTAAAATTGGCACTATAAGAATAAATTAAAGGCAGTTGGAAGCAGATACAGTGTTTCAATTAAAAAGACATTTTAATTGGCCGGTGACATTTTATTGTAATTCCTATCTTACAAAATGAGAAGAATATACAATTCAGAGAGGCTACATCACTAGCCTAAGTTCATATAGTTTGTGCCAAAGCCAGGATTTGAATCCAGTTCTGTCTGACACTGAAGGTAGTGTTACTTTCCACTGCACCAATCTTCTACTTTTGAGAATGACTTATGTTTCTCTACTCATAAAATTTAACATAAGGCTAGAGCTTAGGAGACCTACTTAAGAACACCCACCTGGTAATTAGCACACCACAAATTTTAGCACATGTCTTTGAGGCCAGATCTAGTACTCTGTCCACATTATGCTGCCTTTTGCCATTAGCCAACAACATGTTTCAAAATGATCCCTCTTTATCCTGAAAATGGAAACAGTGAAGTCTTAAATGGCATTACCATCATAAATATAATGTACAAAAATACCTGCCCAGTATACCTCACAGGATTGTTACAAGGTTGAGATAATATGCATTAAAACACTTCATAAAGTGCCAAGTACTATGCTTTACAGTAAAGCCAAGTAAGGCTTTACTGATGTTTGTTATATAGGAAACCAGAATGCTATGACAACTTGTCCAGTAGGAATGGGACCTCCACCTTGAATGTTGATATCAGTTAGTAAAAGATCTCACAGATTATAAAGTACCAGTGTTTTTCAAAGATTGTTGCACATCAGGAACAGGGCCAGGGAGGAGCAATTGATATCCCTGTTTCTACCATATCTTGTTTATTTCATGGTTATGCCTATTTGGAGTTCAATTGGATAACCTTCAATATAATTATTTGTTCTAGGGAAACCTGTGTGTCCCAGGGTGCTGACTGATGTGCATTATCAGAAACTTCTATTTTAGGAGACAAAGGCATTTTTTTAAACACATCTGAAGCTCTGAAGCTGTGAATATATCTTTGCAATTTAAATTCTCAAGGAGAATGAAACATGGGTACACAGACTCAAATCAATAGTCATCTTTCTTCCATTAGAGAATTTTTAGAGTCTTTCATAGGATTCCATTTCTTATTATTAGCCCACTCCTAAAGTTACTTTCGGTCTGACTTGGTATTTGTCAAACTGCAGATCATGACCTGTTGGTAGCCTATGAAATCAATTTAATGGTTATAGGCAGTATTTTAAAAAATGAAATAGAAGAAAGAGAAAGTATCCAAGTGGGTTGTATATTGCACAGGTATTACTTTAAGAAGCTTTTGTCCCAGCCATAAACACATGTGCTTGTCTACTGGGTCACAAAAGAAGATATTTTTCTTAACGTAGGTCACTATCAAAAAAAGAAGTTTCAAACACACTGGTCTATTGAATTCAGAAAAAAAGCTAGTGTCTTTATTCTTTTATAAGCTGGACTTATTCAAGTCTTAGCTTGATTTCAGGATGAGGAGATGCTACCCAGATTTGATGCAGGTTGTACCTGCTTCAATTTAAGTATTCCCTAAAAGGTTTCTAAAAGCTACATTGCATGGAGAAGGGGTGAATGTAGAACCAGCACTACCCAGCAGCTATTCACTACAAGAACCCTGAACTGATGGCTCCTCTAAGAGGGTTGAGGGATTTTCAGAGCAATAGCTAAGAATAGGACTTCTTCTATAGCACATATGGGGGATGTACCACGTGCTGGGCGCTTGCTTTACATGTTTATCTATTTACTAAACACTTATATAGCACTCACAATGTGCCAAGCCCTGTTCTCAGTGCTTTACATGCATTCATTCATGTATCCAATGAGGCAGGTACTATTGGTAGTACCATTACAAAGAGGAAGAAATTAAAACATTGAGTAGCTGGAAAAACAAAGAGAATGTTCTCAACAATATGTTCTGCTGCTTTGGTGTTTCTCCATAGTTCCCATCACAGTATGGGTGATTTATTATCAATTCTAGTTCAATGTCCATCCCCAGGTCAAGGCTCTGTGTGTGTGTGTGTGTGTGTGTGTGTGTGTGTGTGTAAGAGAAAGAGAGAGAGACAGAGACAGAGGGAGAAAGTATGTGTCCAACACATGCATTCATGGGTGGGAGTGGTAGGAAAAACTACCTGTAAGAATCCTGCCAACACAATCGTAGAAGGAAGCCAATTTGTAGCAGAATGCCAAAAAGCAGTGGCTTCCTACACTTACCCTGGTACTTGTACCCCTTTTGTATATTCCAGTTATAATAATAACAATAAAACAGTGGGCCATAATCCCTCATTTGCATACACGAGTATCAGGGTAAGATTGGAAAGAAATCCTCTGCCATGGGGCAAACGTTTGAAATAATTGGGCTGGAGAGTAGAAAGGAAAGTGAAAAGGTGATTTGGAGAGAGAGGGCTCATATATTTACTGGATTTCTTTCTTTCTCTTTTTTTTCTTAAGACAGTTTCACTCTGTCACCCAGGCTAGAGTGTAGTGGTGCTATCTCGGCTCACGGCAACCTCCGCCTCCCAGGTTCTAGCAATTCTCCTGCCTCAGCCTACTCAGTAGCTGGTACTATAGGCATGTGCCACCACACCTGGCTAATTTTTGTATTTTTAGTAGAGATGGAGTTTCACCATGCTGGCCAGGCTGGTCTCGAACTCCTGACCTCAAGCGATCCACCTGCCTTGGCCTCCCAAAGTGCTGGAATTACAGGCACAAGCCACCGTGCCTGGCCTGCTTACTAGATTTTTATGAGGCCATGTCACAAGGAAGGGAGGAAGAACAAAGCCTTATGATTTGGGCACAAAGGGCTCCCAAGGTTTGTGAAGACATTTAAGCATGTTCCACAATCAGAAAACAAAGAAGACAGAAGATAAAAGCACCCTAGGCTAAGAGGAGGAAGAAATTTGGGAAAAAGAATGACAATTAGAATGATCGGTGTTTATAAGAGGGATATTATCTATTTATTTTTTCATGTGAAAGTGTTACATCGTGTCTTTCAGAAAAGGCACCAGTGTACCTAGGCATCATTTGCAAATACATTTCAAGAGAAGAAGAAAAACCTCAGGTGCAAAAGGACTGAAATTTTTCCTTGGGTTGGAGTAGATTATAGTGATATTTTGATCCTATGGGGAAACAAAAGAGAATACCCAGAGCCCCCAAATTCCAATAAATAAGTTAGTAAAAGTTGGTCATTGTTTCCATATGTTCTTTCCTGCCTATCATGGAATTTTAAAATATGACAGGTTAGACCTCAACCCTATGTATGAGAAGGGCTGTGAGGAGCTGAGTCTCTGTGATAACTTATCACTCCTGCATAGTATGATCAACTGGCTGTATTTCAAGAAAGCTTTCTAAGTAACCCTGGCTGGCAGTGATTTGTTCTTTTTCTGACTCCTTTTATATTAATTTGTTTCACTTGTGATTTTTTTACACACTATTTAAGTTTATTTGTTATCATTTTTTATCATCGTTATTAGGGGGAAAGCTCCTTGAAGGCAGGGACTATATTATTTGCTTTGCAGTATCTGCAGCAGAGAATTAGGTCCTATACATATCAAACCTTCAATAAATGTTTATGGATCAGCTAAAATAAAAAAACTTCACAAAGTTTCAGACAAGAAGACTTTGTGTAACCCTGGAGCTACCACTTCCATTGCTTTCTGGGATTTTATATTACTTTTAAAGCTTTCTGAGAATTTATTTGAATTTTATCTCAGTCTTTGGGGGTATTGGTAGGAAACCACCTCCCTACAACTCCAATCAAGAGCTACCATGGATAATTTAAACACATATGGAAAATGGTTGTCACAAACACATAATTCACTCTAACATGGAACCATCCTTTATACTCAAAATACAGGTGGAGGTGATGGGCCTCTCAAAGGCAGTCTGCCTGTTTCTTTGCAAGTGCCATGCACAACTTTCCTGGCATTCAGGCCAACCTCTCAGAGGTGTGATTACCGGAGGCTACCAGGTCCACAGGTTGCCATACTCCTAGGCATGGTAGGAAACAAAGGTTGTCTACTCAGCTCCTATGCTTAGATAGTGAATAAAGACATAGATCTTATTCTATGGTGGTTTCCTACCAATATCCCCAAAGACTGAGATAAAATTCAAATAAATTCTCAGAAAGCTTTAAAAGTAATATAAAATCCCAGAAAGCAATGGTAGTGGTAGGTCCATGGGTACATGAAGTCTTCTTGTCTGAAACTTTTGAAGTTTTTTATTTTAGCTGAACAATAAACATTTATTGAAGGTTTACTATGTATAGGACCTAATTCTCTGCTGCAGATCCTGCAAAGCAAATAATATAGTCCCTGCCTTCAAGGAGTTTCTCCCTAACAAGGATGATAAAAAATGATAACAAATAAACTTAAATAGTGAGTAAAAAGAATCATAAGTGAAACAACCAAATATAAAAGGAGTCAGAAAAAAATAAGAGGTCTTGAGAGGTGTGAAAAAGAATAATGGTCCTAAGAGGTGTGACATTTCCACACAAGTCAGCCATCTGTATTTAAGATAGTGCTGGCTGAAGGTGAACATCAGTATAGACTGTGCAAACTACTTTGTTACTTACAGGTAACAAGGTAAATTAGGAGATAGTGCAGAGAAATGTCATCTGTTCCCCATTTAGTACTTCTTCATACATAATGTTCTAGTATGAAATGTCAGCTTTATCTTCTACAGGTTTTGTGTGTGTGGATAATTTATGAAGTTATCCAGTTTATAAAGAAGGAGTAGGTTCTGGAGCCCCACCCTGGTTTTGTTGCTAAAATCACCAGAATAATGACATTAATAGGGTGGCAGAGAGGAAAGGAAGAGGGTGAAGGGAGAGAGAAGAGCTCAAAACTGCATGTACAGTTAGGATCCTAGAAACTCTCTTCTACACACACAATCTTCATGTGGCTTGTAAGGATCTTTAAGAATATCCTACATCCATTCCTTCTCAGGCAGCATGGATCGGCTTCTAGTTCTGCCAGTTTTCTTCCTTTGGATTTTGTTGAGAACAACCTGAGACCTAGTGTGCCAGATGCCAGACCTGTGCTTTTCTCACCAAGTGCAGGGGTTAACAAAGCTCTCTGTGACTTCATGAACCTTAAAGCTATCCTTCTGCCCCTTCTAGCTCCAAGTTTTTTACTGTGTAGCTCACTTGCCTATTAATCTTTTGCATAGTTCTTGATACAAGGTTAGTTCACTTGTTCTTTTATTTATTCAACAATTGTTTTTATTGAGCATCTATTTTGTAAGCATCATTGTATTAGGTGCTGGTGACTCAAAAGTAAACAAAATGCATTTGCTACTCTCAAGATGCCCCAGGAAGACAAAGACATAAGTAAATAATTTTAGCATTATCTCAGTAGGTTACTATGGGAATGCATAGAAGAGGCATTTAACCTTTCGTCTGGGGAGGAGGTAGTCAGGGAAGGATTCCAGGGGAAGTGATGCTTGGGCAGTGGAAGATGATTAAGATTAAGCTTGGGGATTGGTAAGAAGAAGCAAAAGGAAGAGGAGGCAGGAGGGAATACCCAAAAGCTTCTGCAAAAGCTTAGAATGGAAGAAAAGCACAGGTAATCTGGGGAATTGCAAGTAGTTGAATATGGCGGGAGTGACACGTGTAAGATAGAGTACTAGACATAAACTAGTAATGAAGAGCATTTGAAGTCATATCAAGGAGTCTGGACTTTATCCTGAGGGCCACAGGGAACCATTAAAGGGTTTTAAGTGGGGGGACTGATTAATCTGATTTGCATTTTATAAGAATCTCTCCAGTTGTAGTGTGGGGAGCAGATTGGAACCAGACAAGAGACTGGCTAGATGGCCATCACAGTAATCCAGAGGAGAATGTTGAGGGCCTGGCCCAAGGGGGTAGTGAGGGATGGCAAAAAATGGTGAGATACGTCAGGCTCTCTGGTGCTGACTGGATGTGCAATGCAAGGCAGAGCCACAAAGGATGACCCCTGGGTTCTGATGAGGGCTTCCTGCCAGCTCCCTTGTATGCTGAGAGACGGAGACCTGTAACTATCAGATAAAATTCTATCTTTCCTTTTCCTCTCATTACTGTATTAATTTTAAATTTTTTGTTTAAATGAAAACAAACCAGTTCTTCAGACTGGTTAAACCCTTGGCTGTGGTATTCTTTCTAACTTTGGAAACTAATAATTGCACAAAAAGATGAGAGAGACCAGGAAAAAAGTTTGAAAAGAATACTATTAATTTTTCTGAGGTGGGGAGGAAACCTATGCCATATGCAGAAAGTTTCCAATTAGGTTAATGTACCTTAAACTGTATTAGTAATTAAGTGCTTTGGGTATTAAAATACCTAATCTAGCTTCAGGCTGTTTTTAATAAATCCTTTGACATTTTCCTAACTGAGGGGTAGAGATAGAGCAGAGGAGGCCTCGCCTGGGATTATAGAGCTGTTGGCTCTATTCCCTAGCTTTTAGCAGCTTACTGCGTGACCTTGGTAGAGTTGCTTTAGGTCCCTAGCCTTTAGTTGCCCTATCTGTGAAATGGCAAAAATAAGAAGATGGCAACATGACTGGTGATAAAAATAAGTCCTCCTACGCAGTGCTTAGAACTCAGTAAAGGAGTTGGTTTTTAGTGTTTTCTTTTTTCTTTAAATTCTACTTAGAGACATTAGCCTGCAAGTTAACAGAATACCTACTATTTCTGGCACACGCACGCACACACACACACACACATTTATATTCACATGACTATATACATTGGCTTATTTATTTATTTATTGTAACATAGGCAATCCAGGACATTCATACAAGATGCATGGAGCTCTGGCAACTCCACCAAGTTATCAAGAACCCAAGATTCTTCTGTAGTTCCACTCTAATATCCTTAGCCTTTGCTTATTGCCAGATAGCAGCTGTACCTTCAAGCATCATATACACTGAGCAGGAAGAAAGTAAGAAGGGTTGGTGCCAGCCTCATGTATCCTGTTTGTCAAAAAGAAAGCCACTTTCCCAGAAGCAGTACCATGTCTGCATGAGTCCCTCATGGACAGAACTGCACCCCACTGGTCGAGCCAAAGAAGGCTGGCAACGGGAGTAGAAAAACATTGTGGAACTTTTCCTGTCTCCACGGTGAAAGGGGCAAGAAAGAAAGGGGCTGGGGAGGGTGCCAAGTGAGAAAATCAACAGCAGCTGTCACACCTGCTAAACAGAGCACCATCCAGAAGTGGGAGAGTGAATCACTTTTCTAGAAGCAAAGTATTGAAGGTTACACTGGAACTGAAATTTTGGGAGGACAGCCTTCACTTGGGAGTTTGCTTGAATTTTGGTGGAATCTTTGGGTAATTATTCTGATTCAAATTTGTGAAAATTTGGACCATGCCCAAAGATGAATTAGAAGGAAATTTGATTACTTTATCTAGAAGGTGGACCTGACTTTGATTAAAAAGCCCATGTTTGGCCAAGCACGGTGGCTCACACCTATAATCCCAGCACTTTGGGAGGCCAAGAGGGGCAGATCAGGAGGTCGGGAGATCAAGACCAGCCTGGCTAGCATGGTTAAACCTCGTCTCTACTAAAAATACAAAAATTAGCCAGGCGTGGTGGCACTCACCTGTAGTCCCAGCTACTTGGGAGTCTGAGGCAGGAGAATCGCTTGAACCCGGGAGGCAGAGGATACAGTGAGCCGAGATGGCACCACTGCACTCCAGCCTGAGCCACAGAGCGAGACTCTGTCTCAAAAAAAGAAAAAAGCCCATGCTTGAAGGGGCAAGAGAGAGAGATATATCTACAAAAATGGAAGAAGAGCCAGTTCTTAAAGAAGTCTAGTTTATCTGTGTCCCTTCAGACTTAGTTATTGTGGGGTGTAAAGCAAAGATGCTAAGCCAGGAAAGAAAAATCGAATGACATATTTGTATGGTACCCTTGAAATAATTACTGACCCAGCATTTTGGGAAACAGGAATACAAGGTCAATACAACGGAATGTGTTCCCAATTCCCATATTGGGTGGTCCCTCAAAGGTATCTTGCTCTTCTACAGCTTCCCTGGAGAGATCTTTCCACTGCTTAAGACAAAACAGTAGGGAGTGTGCCTGTGTGTTTTCTCCATCAAATTTGAATAAGGTCTCAATTTTCCTTTTCAGATTATCATTTAACAAGGTTTATTGTTCATGCTTATGTGCCTCAGGCAGCCTATTAGGATGCTAGGGAAAACTGCCCATTTATTATTTTTGTTTAAGCCTGAAAACAAAACATGTAAAACTGTAGTTTCTATTCTTGGAGAGGAGGAATGGCTCCCAGGTCTGACCACCCACCCGCCTCATCCCTTAGACTCTGATCCCCACACTGGGCTGCACTGGGAAGGCTCTCAAACTCCAGGCTACCTTTCCTTTGAGCCTGGACCATTATGTAAGCCTCTGTAGTCACTAGGACTCAAAGAAAAAAATCTGTTTTAAAAACTCGGCTTCCTTAGTAAGATTGTCACTTCCCCTTGTCTCAGATGAATTGTTTTCCCAGAGAGGGGAGTGTGTGTGTTTTCAAATGTTCCAATCTGACTCAGGATGCCAGCTAGATTCAGCAGAGAAGGGGTGGAGCATGTAACTCTCACACAGGAGAGTAAGGCAGGGGCACTCCGGCAGAGCTCATTGAGGAGAAGCAGACTTCTTAGCTGGTGTAAGCGAACTGGCAACTCAATTTCAAGGACACAGGAGAATCACCAGGGAGGCTCCAACTACAGAGCGAAGCCTTGTCTGTGTATTTTTGCATGCATCTGTGCCACTACTAATCTGTCTGCTTCCATTGCAATAGCCCAGTTCTTCTATTAGATTGAGTGCAACCAGGAGAAGAGAAGCAAACTCACACACTATTAGGACATATTTGTGAACAATAGAGTAAGTAAAATTAAGGTTAATAAGCTCTGAATATATTTCCACATCACACTGCTAGCACTTGCTCTAGTGACTCAAACCTATATATCTCATACTCTGAAAATCCATCAGAGAGACACCAGGATGCCCCCTCACAAAGTTCACATATCAACTATCCAAGAGATTCATCAACTCATGGCAACACTTTAGAAGCCCATAGCATCATGGTTGTCAAAATCTGTTTAAGGTGAATAGTTCTGGGTTTTATCCTTCAGTTCCTCCTAGAGATGAAGCCCCAGAAGCAAGGGTAGAGCAGAAAATCTAAAGAGATTCTAATTGCGGATAAAAAATAGCATCGAATACTCGTCACCCTGCCCCTGGTGACTTCTCAGATCAGAGTTGAGGAGGGAGGATGAACTGTGTGCATGATTCAGAGTGGTTGGGAGAGAGTGAGGGTTTCTTTTTCTTCTTCTTCTTCTTTTTTTTTTTTTTTTTTTTTTTTTTTTTTGAGACGGAGTTTCGCTCTTATTGCCCAGGCTGGTGTGCAATGGCGCAATCTCAGCATCTCAGCTCACTGCAACCTCCGTCTCCCAGGTTCAACCACTTCTTCTGCCTTAGCCTCCCAAGTAGCTGGGATTACAGGTGTCTGCCACCACGCCCAGCTAACTTTCTGTATTTTTAGTAGAGACGGGGTTTCACCAGGTTGGCCAGGCTGGTCTCAAACTCCTGACCTCAGGTGATCCTCCCGTCTCAGCCTCTCAAAGTGCTGGGATTACAGGCATGAGCCACTGCTCCTGGCCAGATTTCTTATGAAATGAGTTGGTACATTTAACTTTCAGTCCTACTTAAACGTCTTCATGTGGTTGTAGTAACATACCTTGATCTCCTCAGAAAACATCATGGTCTGAGGGTTTGAGCTGCAGCAATTTTGAAAATTGTCTCAGGCTTGGGAAACAGCCTCTCTGGATTTATGGTTAGTGGCAAACTGGCATCCTGCCCTGTTGTGAATTTTAAAAGAATGTTCTCTTTCTAGGATTTTTCCAATTTTCCTCAAACATGATAACGTTGTTTGGGGGATTCCTGACTCATAACCAAACCGTATGTCCTCTAATACAGTTACAACCTAAGTTAAATGAATATTTATTGGCCTGACATATACCCACTTAAAGTTGGGAAAACTGAGGACTGATATAAAAATTTTTATTCAAGTCATTGGCCAGAGTTAAAAAGGGGAGCTCATGGTTGTATTTTACACATTTTATCATAGTTGTTCGGTCCTTCTTGAATGAGAAACACCCTTCAGGAAGATGCAATTTACTATTTATGTCTTTTTGCTGAACTATACCTTGATCACACTGACTACTGAGTGGCCGTGGCCCCTCTCAGTTGTCTCTGCATCTTTGGGCCCCATGAGAGCTTGCTGATTTCTGATTTCGCTGCTATCTGCATGCCTAGATGGGCTATTTACCCATTCTCTGGGGTTTGAGGCAGTAGGCGTTAGCTTTGAGGTGAAGAGTTGTGAGGATAAACTTCCTTTAGGGAAGGACATGAAAATCATATTTAGGGGCAGTTCACAGGCTCTTTTTTGGTAGTCATAGCTCCCCCTGCTGCCCAGTTAGGGGCAAGAGAGGCCAAAGGAACTGAAGTGAGACAAAGTATAACCGACTTGGGTGGAGTCAAGTCAGCTCCAGGAGCCAGCAACTGAAGACAACTCACCTTAGCTCTAGAGCCTAGGACCCTAAGCATGCCCAGGAGAAGAGATGGCAAATGTGAGAAAAGGCAATGAATGATTTAGGAAGGCAGTGTTAGGTTTTTGAGGGTGGGGGAGTACAAAAAAGGAGGATTGACATTTTTAAATGGTATTACCAAACTGTTGGCTAAAATCAAATATACAAACAGAAGAAAATTTTGAATTCACACACAAATGTAACTAACCAGCAGGCTCTCCACTCCTCCATCATATGTCTTATCCTAGAATATCTCAGCTCTGTCAGCTCTTACTGGGGGCAAGTTACGTAAACTCTGCCTCGTTTTCCTGGTCTGTAAATGGGATTTAGTATAATGATTTAAAGAAAAAAAATGTATATATTTCTCACAAAGCCATGTATTTGTATAGAAGAAGCCAACACATGTTGGCTGTTTTTTTTCTCCTTGTGCTATTTTTATTTAAGCTATTGGTCCTCAAACATGGTTGTACACTGGAATCACATGGAGAATCTTTTAAAAATACTCATTCCTGGGTCCCATTCCGAAGGATTCTGATTTAATTGATATATGGGGTGTGGCCTGGGTATGGAGAGTTTTCAAATCTCCCAAGGAATCATAATATGTAGCAAAGTTAAAGGGCCATTGCTCTAGGGCTCCTCATCATCCTTCTTCAGAGACCAGTGTTTCACAAGGGGTTGAGGTGTGCCAGGTGGAGTGAAGTGACCTTTTGCAGTGTCAGATTTGTGGAGGGACACAAGGAAACACTAACTCTTTACTGAAATGTGGTCTTGGGCCCAGCAGCATCTGAATCACTGGTGAGCAATTTAATTTTAGACTCTCAGATCCCACTCCAGACCTGCTGGATCATAGTCTTCATTTCAACAAGGTCCCTAAGTGATCTGCACACAGATTCAGGTTTGGGAAGTCCTGCTGTAGCTCACACGTTCTCTCTCTCTCTCTCTTTCTCTCTCTCTCCTTTCTTGCTTTGGCTTCTTTATTCACCATAGAGAATAGTGTTGAGTATTTCTGATGAGGAAATATCCTTGCAAAAAAGGCTCTGGGTCTTTATTTCTCTTCAGATTCCAATTTCCTTAATTTTTTTTTTTTTTTTTTTTTAGCTGCCAAACATAGTTTGAGTTTCTAATACCTGTCTCAACTTACAAGCACCCACTTCAAGTCTGCTGATAGATGTACACTGGGCCTCTTATGTAGCGTCTAAAAATATTCTTTCTAGGGCCGGTGCAAATGCCTTGATGGGGCCAGCTTTGGCCTATTGATGAGACAGGGTCGACGTTTGATAGAGGATCTTTGGTACATCACAGCGGTGAGACCAAATTTAGAGAATGATTATCATTTACTAAAAGTTCAGAAAGGGAATAAAATCTTCCATCAGAACCTACTTATTAAGGTTACCTTAACAATAAACCATAAAATGAATGGAATGTTGGCCTTGTGGACCGGTTCCTAAAAAAGACAATGCAAATATTTTAAACTAAAATGTAAGGAGATGGGACAGGGCTTTGGAAAAGTGGGAGTGGGGTAGAGTGATTTAGTAAAGAGAATAAATCTCAACAGGAATTTTGTTTCTATAACATTAGCATAATTCTGTGACATTAGTACTTCTTCCTCACTCCCTCACCCATCTCATTTCAAAAAGGGAAATATTTAAACATGAGTTTTAAAAGATTCATTTTGAGATGGAAATAATACAAGAATAACTATTGCTGTCTTCACTTTTTCTCTCTTATTTTCTTTCCGGAGACACGATGTCCCATTTATGATGCTTTTATGTCTATAAACGATTTGGGGAAAGCACTGAAACCAAATCTGTAAACGTGCAAGCCTTCTGCATTGGTGGGGAGGGGATAGGGTGAGGGGGAGACACAAATTGCAAAGAGCAGAATAATCAGATACAGAGGGACTTTGATCTTCTGGAGACCTAAGCTAATAGATGTTAAGTGCAGTTCAGTGGAAGTAATAACCCATGAAGAAAACAAAATCTGCAAAATGACAAAATGCTGCAGTCCACTGATCAAGGAAGACATTGGAAAATTACTATGAAAGCATCCTTAGCCCAGCAGATCCAAGGTGAAAAAAGGGCTGCGTCTGCCAACCAGCAGCCAGACATTCCAGGCAGACTTAGCCGTCTCCCATTTTGTGGCCAGATTAACACTCTGTGTAACCTGAATGCCTTCTCACTGAAAAGGCATGAACTGGCACCACTGCAGCCCTGGGCTTCATCTCTCCCAGTGACGCCATAGTGAATCACTGTGAGGCTAGCTACAGACTCGGTGGGGGCATTCCAGGGGCCGTTATTACCGTTAATCAATTAGGAAGAGTTAAGAATTTCTGAATATATGCCAAATGCAGTGCTGGTCATTTTTTTGACATCAGTAGGACATACTTGAGATAAATTTGACATCTGTCAATAAATTAGTATTTCACCAAGCAAACTACTTAGAAAAAAATTGGAAATTTACGGACATTGAAATGCACTTTAGAAATCCAGAAACTTTATAAAGGAGAACTCCTTAATACTAGTCTATTTAAGTTATATTTTATTATGAGTATTTATTTATTGAGCAATGACTACATCACATATGTTGTATACAAGATAGGGCAGAATTAATTTAACTGTATAGAACAAACTAAATTTGTATTATCCAAAGAAAATCTACAACTTGAAGTAATTACTTTTGTTGGAGACAGATTCTTTATTGTGAAAATAATTAAACAAACAAACAAACACCATCAGAGAATGTGAGTTAACAGTCAGGAAACTGGGAGAAATGGAGAATGCATTTTAAAAGTCCCACCTTCCCACATTTCATGTAATGGCTAATTAAACATATGGAATACATTATCTGAACCACAAATTAATGTGTTTGGATAGGGTAGGAGCAAACAAATGAAAATGAAGGAAAGCTATGCAATTGGAATCCAGGCATGATGTGGACAAGCTCTGCTGGGCACCAGCATTTGGTTCATGTTTGAAAAAATTACATTAGAACACTTAAAAGCAACATCTTGCTTAGAGGATTCTCCTTTTCAAGAGAAAAATTGAAGTTGGCAAAGCTCGGATAACAATATATACTAGTATTATTGATGGCCAAAAATAAGAGGAAAGGAAATTACACCACTGATTTATTCCAATACATTTAAACTTTCTGGACAGTTTCCACATGTTAAAAAGGACATTGGTGAGCATCTACAGGTATCTTATTAAGCATTGTGCTGCCTCTCAATATAGTTATTTACAGAAAGACTGGCCTTTAAAAATATATTTTGCCTATGGGGAAAATTGAGACTGGACCTACATGATGCCAATGGTACTTATAGAAAATTAAAACTCCTCAATTGTTGGAAAAGATATTTTATATCATACATGTATGTATTTTCGAAACAAGTTGCTTCCTTGTCTTAGAGTCTTGTGGGTACAGGCTTGGCTCCCACTGTAGACTAACCAGGTGATGAAAATGAGAACTCCCAACTCTGAGTTACCCGTCCATTACTCAGCCTGCTAGGCCACGCTGCCTCTCCCCAGCAACTCTCCCTATCTATTATATACATATATACAATTTAGACTGAGCATGCTGGGTGGCTTAACTAATGATTGCAGACCACTTTGGAAATAGAAAATACCCTGTGTGCACAGAACTAGTAATGATTAGATAACAGACTGTCCTAAATTTTACATTTAATTCAAACAAACCTTTTCTTGATGAAAGTTTTGCTATTAAACAAAAGACTTTTTTTATACTAGAGGTTTTCACGGTATTTTCATTTGAGTTGAATTTCTGTTCTTCAGACCCATATTTCTGCCAATTTCTATCTCTTGTGCTTTCTCTGGCACAACTGAAAGAACAAAGTTAATAACAGAGAAAGGACAAGCTTTAAAAAGTGCTGCATTTATCGTCGGTTGTAATTCTGCTATTAAATGGTCTTGGCATTTGGGAAATTCTTCTCAATCTTGCTTTTTTTCTTAGAGGTAAAAAATGGAAAACATGGAATTTATACTAAAAATAATCCTCTATCTTCTGCGTTCTCAGTCTTTACCTCTTTGCATTCAGTGTGTGACCTCCTACCTCTATAAGATAGTGTGCAAGATGAGTACCAAGCCTTTGCTTCCCCTTAACTTTTCTAGAAGTAACACACATGCACGTCCTCACACACACACACATACACTCACAATTTGTGTAGAATTATTTTTCACTCTGATTTCTGCCTGTGGAACAGATTGAAGATTTTACCATCCAAAACCCACAAAGAGAAAACTCCTACTGTGGTCTTCAGAATTTCCATTCAGCTGATTTGCCTGCCAAGTCCAGTGACCAGTACCGCCGCTCCTGATGGTGGGGAGCATATGGTACTGCTGTGAATAGTTTTGCTCTCACTGCTGTGAAATCCCACGCCTTCCTACAGAATGTGTTTGGAGGAGCAAATGGTAAGTGTCGCTATTCAGCATAGCTCTGTCTCTGCCTATGGAACCCAGTCTTTTAAACAACAAAATGAAGATAACTGCAAGTCTTCACAGGCCCTGGTTTAGTGTTAGGCTTCAGGGTTAATGGTCACCTGTTAACTGTTTCTTCTTCCCAGGAGAGAGGATTATCTTTTACACATCCTGGATTTACCAGGATGCATAATGGTAAACCAACCATCCATCATTTTTGTTTGTTTGTTTCAATCCTCCTCTTCCTCTTTCTTCTCCTCCTTCTAAAAAAATCATCTTAAAGTGGGACACAATTTCTAAGTTAAATTGGGGCTCTGAAAAGAGCACTAGACTTGGAGTTAGGAAGTCTGGAATATCAAACACTAACTAGCCTTGTAACCTTGGGCAAATTTATTCTGTGCCTCTTCTGTGAAACAGATGGTGCAGGCCCTGAACGTCCCTTCCAGTTCCAAGATTATATGTGTTTGTGTAGTCCAACTCCACCCCACTCCCAACCTCATCTCCCAGAAAGTCTTTCTCTACCATTCAAAATAAATTGTTATTTTTCATTTTATAATGCAGCTTTCAAGAACTTATGGGGTGGCTTGCTTCTGGGTTTGTTCATCTCCACTGTCAAGTGGTTCTTCTGTATGTTTAGCAAAACCCTGTCCCACTGTGGTGTAAGGCTGTTTTTTTTTTTCCTCCTCTGGTTTTTGTGAAAACAGAGAACAATCCTTTGGAATTTGCTTATAGTAATAGTTTTTCTTGTTTGTACTGTTACTTAAGTTGCTCTTTTATGTTGTGGCCCTTAAATGTGTCTTCTAATATTCTTATTGTCTCTTCTCCCCTGTTTTGCCAACGCATACATGTGCTGGCTGAGAGGCTAGGGTGGGGCCATTTGGGGGCCTAAGTTTGATATAATGTGTGCCACATCGGCTGGTGTGCAACTGAAGGGAGGAGGGAGCAGGCGTTCCTCTGCTGCTGAAGAGGGCTGTGGAAACTTAAGTCATAGACATGCTTCAGTGAGAGGATGAGGATTTGCCCAGATGGGAAGCTTCAAGTGCAGAGGCACTTGTACATCTACTTATCTTGAGTCTCAATGATGCTGTTTATGAGTGAGCTATTCAAATGGAGGAAGAAACCCACGGAGAAGGAGAAATAACAGGTCGGAGTGATTATGTACAGAAGGATAGGCTCTAGCAGGAGTCCAGTGGGAAAGAAGGAAGGGAATACAATTAAGAATTATTAATGGCAGATCTCTAATGATTTCACTGGATCCAAAGGAACAGGGCAATACTGAGTAAGAAACACTTGATATACGAAAAAAGCGTGAGTGCGAAGGAAAATACATCATTCTACAGATGTTGACGGACTCTGACGGTGGGAAAGCGTCCCTCAAGATTGAATTGGAGTAGAAGCTGACCCTCCCACTTGCCCAGAGATCCCCTAGCTGGTACGGCATCTTTTCCTGGTCTTTCTGGGAAATTCCCTTCATCTGTGTTTTAGCGGGGTGTGATAGAATAACTGTGTCCATAAGATGGGGGTGAATGCACAAAAACAGGCTTCAACTTTTAGAAAGATTTAATTTAGGGACACACAGGCACCTCTCCTCCTAAATATGCCCTTAATGGTACTGTAAAGGATGTGCAGGTATGCAGTGTATGTGCAGTTTCTATGTGTGTGTGCATGTGTTGTTGAGTGTCTAAGATTAAGAAAATAGATTTTGTGAAACCCCGTCTCTACTAAAAATACAAAAGATTAGCCAGGGGTGGTGGCATGCACCTGTTGTCCCAGCTGCTCAGGAGGCTGAGGTAGGAGAATCGCTTGAACCCGGGAGGCAGAGATTGGAGTGAGCAGAGATCACACCACTGCACTCCAGCCTGGGTGACAGAGTGAGACTCTGTCTCAAAAAAAAAAAAAAAAAAAAAAGAAAGTAGATTTTTAATTGCACGAGACCTAACATCACTCTCCCTCTGATCCACTCCCCACCACATCCCACCTCTTCTACATCAAGTTTAGAATTGCTAGAATGCTTAAGGCTACCCATAATAGGTTAATAATAATCTATTGAGAGGTTCTTCATATGTGCCCACATCATGCTGAGCTCATTACATGCATTTTCATATCTAATCCTCCCAGTAATATATGAGATATTCACAAACGTTTATACAGTGCTTATTAAAGAGCAGACAATATTCTGTTTTGTATTTATGTATATAAATTTAATTAAGTACTATTATTATAGTTTTTTATATATAAGGAAACTGAGGCACAAAGAAATTAATAAGCCATCCATAGTTAAAGAGCTAGTGAATGACAGAGTAAGGATTCAAAATCCATGTCTGATTTATCTCGTTGGACTGCAAGTTCCATGAAAGTAGCAATTACATATGGTTTTGCAAACCATCATGCCCTCAATGCCTGGAACACAGTAAACACTCAAACATATTGTTTGAATGATTAAACACAGAGCCTAAAGCATTATCCTCCATGCAGTACTAAGTCTCTGAATAAGCTTTCTCCAAAATCAAGAGAAACATAACTAGATAAGCAATAGAAGTAGGGGAGACAGTCTAATTCAATCATCATTCATTCAACAACTATTTCTTGAGCACCTGCTACGTGCCAGGCCCTGGCCTGGATGGTGCTTTTTTTTTTTTTTTTCTCCCCGAAAAGGAAACACTAAGTGATTTGCCCCAACACCTTCCATACCCAGCCAGGTTTGCCTCCAAATTTCTTCCACACCCTCCTCTGTCTCCCAGGGCTAATACAATGAGCCCAGCAACATGGAGAGGGCGGTTCTCGTTCCATGCAGGCAGCTCTAAGCCACGTTTTACTTGCTTTCCATTAGTCTTAAGCCTTTAGAACCCACTGGGGATAATGATTCAGTGCTGGGGAGAGCATGAAGGCTGCATGAAGCAGATCTCAGAGGGAGGGTCTGAAAATTGGAGGCATTTTATTGTTTTCTTCTTTTTAACTCTGAAAACTTTCCAAAAGGAGAGATCTATTTAAATGGTTTACAAAATCCATCTTAAGGTCAGTTCTAATTCAGGTGGGGCCTGGCAGCTGTATGATTTCAGAGTTGTTACATAGCTGCCAAACCTAGCTAGATGCCCACCTTGAGCAGCAGTGAGACTCCAGCTGCCTACGCAACTCCTGCAGCCTCCAAGACCAACTTGGCCTCTGTGAAATGTAGAATGTGATCAGGGCCAAAGAGAAAAACCTGTCCTATATTTTGGTAGAAATAGATTGATGCAGGACTTCAGAACTTTATTTTTGGTAAATTTTAGAAAACAAAGACACCCACTGTGACACATAGTAGGCATGCATATGACCTTCTATTTCTCTTCATTTCTACAATCAGGATACGATTTCAGCAATAGAACACTTGATCATCACAGTGCTTGGCATATAGTAAGTACTCAGTAAATGTATGATCAATGACAAAAATATGTATAAAATAATGAGGAAAATGAGGAATTGGGAGATCCAGGTTCTAGTCACTAGATTTTTTTTATTAATTAGTAAGATAAAAATATGAAAAATCATCTCTCTGAGGCTCTGTTGTCTCATCTACAAAATAAGGACATTAGATGAGATTTTAAAAATTTCTCCTTGTTCTTAAATTTTACAATTGAAATTTTGAAGAGTCATCATTACATAGTAGAAAGAACAGAAGCTGAAGCCCAGAGTCCCCAGACAGGATTTAACTCTAGACTCAGCCACTGATCAGCCATGAAAGCTTCAACATGTTACTCAACATTGCTGAGCCTCCATTTCTTCATCTGCATAATTGAGATGTTGAAATATATTTTGTAGGCTTGCAGGAAGATAATGAGGTAAAAATTCAATGCCTGGAATACAGAAGGCTTTAAATACATGATAATTAAAAAATAAAAACCCACTGAATTTAGACTCCATTCTTCTTTGTAGTAAATGCCACAGCCATTTAGGGTAGATTACCCTAAGAGCCCCTCTTCTTCCCCACTCCCCGCATTTATGCTGTTTGCCCTGTAACTCTGCAGTGCCCCATCCAGCCTGACTCTGGCTTTGGCTAAATGATGTACTTTGGTCAGTACAGTGTCAGCAAATGTGATGCAAGCAGATGTTTGAAAAATGACTGGGTGATTGGACTCAATCTTTGGTGACTCTGCCATCACTAAAAGAAGGATATGTCTAACTAATCCAAAAGTCCCAAGAAGAGGACAAGAGACACATGGGATAGAGCCAACACTAGCCATGATCAGTCTAGGCCAGCCAAATCCCAGTTAAGTCAACCCTCAAAAGCAAAATAGATGAATTGTTTTAAGCCACTGAATTTTGGAGCAAATTGTTATGCAGCAGCTTTATGGCAATAGCTAACTGATACACCATTGATTCATTACAGAAGATAGGAGTTGTAGATAGTTTTATTTTAAAATTGTAGTTAATTAGTAAAATTTGAAAATATATTTACTTTCCCATATTTGTTGAATCTTCAGATACACTTTTGCATGAAATTTTGGTAGAAGAAGGAAGACAAAAATTTGCTAAATTATCTTTTTGGTTCAAATGACATTTTTCATGGTTTCTGAAACATTTTAAATTGCTAAATTATGAACATTTGAAAACTTGCCATTAGGTCTGAGTATTCTAGCTTTAATTTTAGATTTAGGAATTTTTAGCAGGGAGGGACTTAACATTTGCAGTCCCAAATCTGATTACAGAGTATGTCTGTGCATTGCTCAATACCATTGTCCATTTGTGAAACCTAGGTATTCTAGGTATACAACAGTAACAGTTGTATTCAGATTAATGAGGTTTTTAAAATACAGTGTCCAAAGATGGTTACTGATAGAGCAACAGGACCCCCTGTTTACAAGGCTGAGCACATCTTTTAGAAAGAAAGGCTCTGGTAGAAACCAATCACCTCTGAACCAACACAATCATTTCTTAAATAGGTTAGTGTATTAATTTATAAATCGGAAGCCACATTCTTCTAGGCATTAAGACTGAAACTAGTTGGTAAGCTTATTCAGAACATGGAACAGAACAAATATGCACAACACTGGGCACATGATTGATTGATTATCAGAAAATGAACATTTTGGTTGAAGAACCGTGAGATAAAACCTGCTCCTCCTTACTTAAGATCCAGACCAAATGCTACTCCACCAGGAAGAATATGTCTCCTGGGACCTGTCAGACCCACTCCCAAGAATGACTCTGCCATGAGGCTGTAAGCTCCTCAAAGACATGAGACATGTTATACTCATCTTACATTTCCTGCCTGTCAAGATACCATACACATAATATACATATATACCTAATATGGGCATAATATTATTAAACAAATGAGTAATAATATTGCCCAATTCATAAGTGAGGAATCTGAGAGTCAGAGAGATTAACTAAATTTGGAAATCATGCATCTAGACAAAGCTGGGAATTAAATTTGAACTCCACTCCAGGTAAAACCGCAGTTATTTTCACTATACTACACTTGAATCAGGGTTCCTGTGGCAATAAACAAATTAACACATGCAAAGTACATAGCACAGTAGTAGATGCCGAATAAATGTTGAAATAAATGTTGAAAAGGGTAAGATGTTACTTACACCTTTCACCTCTTACTTTGGTGCCAGGAATCCCACCATTGGAGATCTCTTGCTCTTCTCCTGAATGCCTTTTTTCTTAGAAGTCACTAATTTATTGTTGGTTGAGGGAGATGGAAAACAAGGCAAACATCCTAATAGAGTAATGGCTAATTTATGGTATTGACAATCAACTGGATTTATATGGACATTGTTATATGGACAATATCCAGTTTAAAATAACATGGACATCCATTAAATGATGACATTTTATGTTTTCTTTGAAAGCAGCTTAGTATTTTTTTCATACATTTGGCATATTTGCAGTATTATCGCAATACTTTCAAAACTAAAAAAAAGTAGTGATTGAGAAAACACTAGATGGAAATGTTCACAGTATTTGTCTTTAGGTGATAAGAGCTGGGATGATTTTTCACCATCTTTCTATTTTCCTATTTCAAAAAATAAGTGAGTCTTACTTGGATACACTAAGAGGATTTCACAATGGCTTTTATGTTGCATTTTCTGTTCCCTACCTGTCTGTGGCAGATGGACCATCTACTCCCCTTTATCAGTGCTTCCATATTGTGGTATTTATAGCCTTATATTGTACTTAGTTATTTCATATTGACCTCCCCTCCCACCTGACTGTGAGTTTATTAAGAGCAGGGGTTGTCGAATTCCTCTGCATATCTCCAGCACCTGGGTAGTCCACAGGCCATAGCAGGCTCATAAATCTTTGTTAAATGAATGATATTTTTCATGACTTAATTAATAATTTGCCCCATGATTTCCAAGAACGGGAGAATAGGAAAATGCTGATATTCGTATGTGTGTATTACAGCAGATTCAGAGCTTGCAAATATTGTACTATGTTTTCACATGTCTTACTTCGGTTTTGCACATTTACAAATTAGAAAATAAAACTAAAAATTAGGTTGAGCTTTTTTTCCTCCCACATCGCCTTTTCTGAGTAATGATGAATAGTGCTCAATATGTATGTTCTTCTAATATGAAATCTGCAAATTCTCTGAATAAAGGCAAAATGTATGGAAATTATATTAAACAGAATTTAAGTCTGTTTTCTTAAAATTAGAATGTATAATATTTAGTTTCATGAGCAGAACAAATAATACAATTAGTGTTTATTCTCCGACTACTCTTTTACTAAAAAGCTCAGTTAAAAAATGCACGCAACACCAAAACATAGCGCTTCCCCATCACTGTTCCAAGTTTCATATGTTAAACAAAGACAGGCCAACCTTAAACCTTTTGATAAATATGATGCTTGTGGTAACTGCAGCATTCACTTCGTATCCCATTTCTCCAAGTTCCTGTCAGCCAGATGTCACTTGCAATGCAAACACTAGAAAAATATGAAATAATAATTTCATACATCATCTATGTGTGCATGAGCCGGTCAAACATTCAATACAAATTCAAACTGCTACTACACACAGAGCAAATATCATCCAAATAATATTTAAAATGATTGAAAGGCTTTTGATTTGGAAGTGTATTCTCTTAAGCTAAGTGGTCCCCAAGACCATCTAGAAAATTCAATTGTTTCATTTTTAAAATGTTTTCTGCCCAAAATTATATCAAACCCTAATGTCTCAATAGAAACACATGGGATTGGATTGCTGACTGGGCGCCTGATGTCAAAGAAAAAATCTAATTTCACAATGGCATTTCCTCATACTGTCTCACCAAAATACAAAATTGATAAAATTTTAATGGATAATTTTCAGAAGCAGAATGTTAACCATTGGGAAAATATGAAGGGAAACTTAGCATTATAGTATAGGAGAAGCAAAGTGAAGGAATAAATTGACTATAAATACAGATAAACAATGCTACATAAAAAAGTTCTTAAAAGCTTTTCTTATCGAAAACAGAATTTCGACTTTAAAAAGGCCCTTACTATAATAGCAATATATATATATATATATGCTTTTTTGTTTCTGTGTCCATTTCTAAGTTTCTTTCCCCTAATCTTTTCTATTTTGTAAAATGATATGGGGAAAGGGAATCATACTGTAAGCTATACCATTAGATATACATTTGCACAGTGTTGATTTCTATTTTTGATGTTAGCTACAGAAGTGGGCATGTATACCCCTGGCTTCAATTAAGAGATAAGACAGAATGGTACTACATTCAGGCCTGCTCCTTTGCACTGAGGTTCTGCATTTCCTCTTTCCCCTTGCTGTTTAGTGTGAATTTCCCTGCCTGTATGGAGGGAAGGAGTCCAGTTCCTTCGCACCCACCCGCCCCCTTCTTTTTAAGGAGAGAGCTCAGTGCTGTACAAGAGCAGGGTTTCAGAGCAGACATTCATGTGCACAGTGTGACCTTCAGCATGTACCTTAACATCTTTGAGCCTCAGTGTTCCCATCCGTGAGATGGAAATAATAATTCCTACCTTATTGTATTCTTGTGATATTTGGGAATAATGCTCATGAATCACAGCTGATACAATGCTTAACACAAATGAGCTACTCAAATATTACTTTATGATGATACTATTTTATTTTTTGAGCTTCTCATACCTGCTGCCTTGGATTCTGCCTTCTTTTTAAGCTTTCCTGATCAATTTCATCACACAAGCTGGCAGCTATGGGCAGTGAGGGAAGGAAGGGGCAATCTCCTCACTAGACAGCCGTGCCAAGGTCACCCTGGTCCATCCATGAGGTAAGCCATGTGACAGCCAAACCACTGCAGGACCCTAAAAGTCACTATGTGACCTGGAGCCACAAACTCAAGGTGCTGGGGACACTCCAGAAAGGCAGATGCTGATCTCCTGCAAGAAGGGATCTTCTTCCTCAGAGACACTGAGGATGACCATCAATTTCCCTCACTTAACACCGCTTCTCGCATAAGATGCTGTACAGGGGACCTCACCATTAGTTCAAAGTTTTAGAGCAGAATCAACTGTAACACAAATGTTCCTGTTTAAAAACGTGAGATCGAGTAACATGTTGAGCGTTTCTTCCCTCTGTTTTCCTTTTCTTTCTCTCTCAACCATCTTATCCACTTCATTATGTTTTTATGTGAGGGCTGGCCCTGGTTCCTAAATAATCTTGGCAGTATATTCTTTCTTCTCTCCAGCCCCAATACAGGATTTTGGACCAGGTAGATCATTAATAAATAGTATTTAAAATTGAACTTAGCCCTTTTACTTAAGGTGGTTTATTTAGCTGACTAAAAACTGATCCTCTTTATTAGCTAGGATGAGGGGACTTTCTGGTATAGTTGCTAATATGTAGGATTTAGAGTCAAACAGAACGAGACTGTTATCCTAACTCTGACATTAGTTAACATCTTGGGCAAATTTCTTAATGACTCTGAGTTTTCGTTTTCTCAATTATAAAATGGAAATAATAATTCCTATTTCTTAGGATTAGTATAAGTAGGATTGCCAGGTAATATACAAGATACCTAGTTCAATATGAATTGCAGATAAATAATGATATTTTTCATACAAATATGTCCCAAATATTGTACAGAACACATTTACACTAAAAAATTATTTATTGTTTATCTGAAGTTCACATTTAACTAGACACCCTATATTTTTATTTGCTAAGTATGGCAACCCTAATTATAAAGACTAAATGAAAAAATATACTGTAAAGCTACCAGCTTCATTCCCAGTAGGTAGTAGGATTCACTGAGTATTATCATTTCCTTCTTCCCTTGTTGGGTTGTTGTGAGATTAAATGCCTGTCACATAGTACTAATTCAATAAATTTTAGTTTGCCTTTCCTCTCAAGGTTCAGCCTCAGAAGAATCTGTGCTCTGTGCCTAACATTGGAGAAAAAGCCTCAACCGCTTGTGACATTTATCTCTAGGCTTTACTCCTCATCTCTACTCCCCAGGGCCTGTTTGTAGCATGCAACAGAGAGCGTGGAGTGGCCTAGTTAAAAGGACAAAGTAGACGGGACAGAGCTGTTAATACCGGTCCCCCTCAACTTAAGGCAACTTTATCTTTGAAAATCTGAACTTACTCTGGAAGCAGATGTCTGAAGGAGTGATTATTCCCGTGATTTTATAAAATGTTCCATTACAAAAATTCTTTAAATTGTGAGCTCTCTAAAGAGTTCCAAAACAAAGTTTTAAAAAGGATTTGATTTACAAAAACATAGACGTAAGATAACCTGTTCAGCAATAAATCTGTTACCTAAAGAGTGTGATAAAGGCGTTACTAACAGCTCTATAAAACTTGCTTCCAGAGGCACCACTCAGCCCCCAGGTCAGCTTTTCCGGACACTGTTATTCATCTGGCTAGAAAGGCTTTCAGCTGTGACTATTGCCAAAGGCCCTCCTGGGGTGGTGGCCAGGCATGAACTTGGCTGCCCACAAAAGATACAGGCAAGGGTTTTAAGGACATGTTTTCTTTCTTTCTTTTTTTTTTTTTTCTTACAAGTTAAGTGTTGTTGCTCTCTGAGAAGCCTGAGATAGTGCATAGGATATGATTCAACGGAAAGTTTTTGTATGAGAAAATGGCTCTTTCAAAGTGGGCTATCTGAGGATCAGCACATTTGGAGTCTGTCTGACCCACATTTCCAAAGCTACAGCTGGCTCCACTGGACTGGGGCATGTGACAAGCATCCTGGGAGAAGCTGTCCAACATTGGGAAGGGAACACTTCCAAGTCTGGAGAATAGTTAGGGCTAAAACCTATGAATGTCTCTAGATTACACACTGGGTCTTTCCAGGGGAATGAAGGCTTTGGCTGACAGCAGAAAGCAGGTACTGTCCACTTTCTTAGGCTCACATTCTCATGTAAACAGGCCAGGCGGCCACATACTCTGCACCAGCTGCAGCTTCTGGGTGGTCCTGCTAGGAAGTTCCAAGTGGATTGCAGTGCAGTCATGTAGCTGGTGGTCACACAGCTAGAATAAGCATCTGTGGGAGACAGCAAAGGCATGTAGGCTCTCCACTCTCCAGTCTCGGGTGGAAAATCAAAGTAAAATCTGACTTCCCCGAGAAGTCTGTTCTCCAAAATTAAAAAATAAAATGGAACAAGACAAAATCATAGAGTCAAAGAGTGGGTGGATTTTTCTGACAGGCAATTCCTGATGTAAAGATTATTCAGTTCTGCTTCCCCGTTCCTCTTGGGAATATGGAAGTAGAGCCTTTGTAAATGCATGTTAATTTATCAGTGTTATTGCATACTAAGCTATGAATGACATTATGACACTTTTCAGCATCTCTCCTTAGGAAGGCATAACAAGGGTATTGCTGAGTTGGAATTCCCCCTCCACTACTTATTACCTGTTTGACAAGTTACTTAACCTCTCTGTGCCTGTTTTGTTATCTGTAAGTGAGAAATACTAGTAACTCCTTAAAAGGGTCGTTGTGAGAATATAAATGAATTAATATATATAAAAGTTTAGAACACTGTCCGGCATAGAGAGAGCCCTAAGCAAGGATTAACTGTAATTAATATAATGAAAATGACATTAATGTTATGGACTATATTTGTATTGTGCTTTGTAGTTATAAAGCACTTCCACTTCTTTTTGGTGAATCTGTAGTTAAGGTGAAGTGGAGTAAGACTGAAGAATCTCTATTTTTCTTAACGAGGTAAGCGAGAAATAGGAGTAATCATACTATATGAGATTATCCCAGGTAGAAAGGGTGATGTATGTAACTCAAGAGTAGAAGAGGGAAATTCCATAAAGGAGATACTGAGGTGGTTGCTGGGTTGGAATTGAGAACCCAGGTAGAAGAGTAGTAGAATACAAGCAGTGTTCAGGGCTGTGGACAGCAAGGGGAATGGAAATGGATAGAAATCCAAAGAAATGTTTATAAGGAGTTTACAAATAAAAATCAGGAGTCTTAATATGGTTCAGCAGACAGCTAAGGTCTTAAAGGAGTATTTTGCAAATTGAAAACACTTAGTTTTCCTGGTTCTACATTTTACCCCAAAGTCAATTACAGATGAAGGTCTAAGAGCTGAATATATTAAAAATTAGAGAACATAGAGTAACAAGAAGAGAAGAAAATTGAGAATTCATCAAACATTTGGGATAGGTTTAACTTTCTAAAATTAGAATCAATAGAAGAAAATTGATACATGGTGGCATTGAACAAGTACTTTTGAGTATTCACATTTCCGTTTTGATACCCATAGACCAAATCAGGGAAACCCATTTCAGGTCACAAAGATATTACTTCCTACAGAGGATCTTGGCTTCTCAAGGTTCCATCTTTCCATCAAGACCATTAGGTAGTGCTTTATAATCTGTGGGGCCCAGCACAAAGTGAAAATTTGGAGGCCTTTTTCGAAATGCAGGAAACAAGTGCTATTAAATGTACTAAATTATAAAATGCTTTCCCGTCTTCTATGGTCTCTCTTCTGAATTGTCATGATTTCTTTTTTATTTTCTGTTTAATGTCATTCTAAATAAGAAAATAAACAAATGCAAAACAAACGCAAAATATTTCACATGTATATTCTATTAACACTCTACTTTTGGCTTACTAGTGAATAAGGATAGACTAAAAGGAAAAGGAACTATGGATTGGCCTATCATCTCCTTTCATTCCACGTCGTCGTTTCCAGCATAAGTGATTGATTAATGCACAGAATTGACATGGGTAGAAAGGATCCGATAGAGTTCCTTAATTGTTTGTGTTTCTTAGAACTCCATGCCTTCTTTCTGTGGTCTGTTTTTGAAGCTAACCAGAATTCTCCTGGAATGAAAAGCATGGCCTCTAGAGGGTGTCAGTGCCCCCCTACCCCACCCCTTCCTCCCCAAATTACTGTCATAGATACAACACACTTAACTCTGTACTTGCTTTGAATCTCCCTTAACTCCCACATCTTGTAGGTCCACCAGAACTGTAGGCTCACAGGGCATTGTGAATACTACATGCAAATAGGGCAGCAAGGAGAGATTGACACGCATGTTGTACGTATCTTCTCTGCTCATGCGCATGCCCCCTTTGGACTTTGCTTATAAAACACAAATTCAAAGATTAAATTATTAAGAATCTCAAAATGACAAGAGCAGAGAATTAAAACAAGATTAAATTTCCTTGAGACTACACAGGTCTCATATTCATGAAGCTGGCTGTGATCCCCAGTAAAGTTCCATTTTGACTGTCTCAGTTGCAGTCATTGTACTCTCTTTGAAACACTTTTAGTACTTATTGTCCAAACAACTGTTTTATGATAGTTTCTATCTTTTAAGCCTATAGTGTTCTCTTTGGACTCATCCAAATCCCCTGGAAAGGAACAGCTGTCTTTTACAGCATTTTGCATCTTTTATAACACTTTGCATCTTCAGTGGATTGTAGAGGGTCCTGTGCATACAGCAGGTGCTTATTGTGATTATGGATGATACTGAGCACCCCAGGGGCATGATCTGAGTCATGGAACCCCTGAAACTATAAGTTAGTAATATTTGTTAGTCTCCTCCTACTTGCTAAATCCCTCTTTATCAACTAACAAGGGGGTAAAGTACCCTGTCTATTACTTGTGAAATTCCTTTTTAACCTTTCATATATTAAAGTGTTGCCAAAATCCACTTTTTTTGTATGAGTAAAACTTCTGGCTCTTGCCTAGTAGTCCCTAGACACTAGCAGAGGGCATGGTGACAGGAGAGCTGGGAGTGTGCACGTCACCATACTGTCTCAGTCAAAATTGAAGGATGTATCTACCATTTCCAAGTATTCTTACCATGGAGCAGCAGCACAGGCATCCATAGCCAGGGATTCTGGACACTGAAATCTTTGTGTGTATGGTATGCAAATTCTATATATACAAACACTTAGTCTTCACTGGAGATTAGAGAGATGGCAAAGTGACTTTAGAGCATACAGACATGGGCCAGCTCACAGTGGTGAAAATAAGACATTCTAAATTGAGGCAAAAATGTGTGAGGCAAAATGTGTAGCACATTACCTACTCTCCCCTCTCCAAACCTGGGGACTGTGGCAAGCCCTACAGTAATGGAGTAGGATGGTACTGGGGAAAGACTCTGTGGGTATAAGTTGATTGTATTTCTGATAGTTGCCCAGAGTGGCCCCCAAAAGTGGAGAGTCCAGAAGGTTTGCAGTTCTCATTCTAGGACCTGGAATCTATGTAGCAATAAGGATAAGAGCTAGGGAAGCCAAAATGTCTACCTAGACCAAGGATCTGAGAACAGGGACAGACATAGGAAACCAAACCAAGGAGGTTATATAAATGCAGGCCTACTCTAGACTGGAGGAGATAGCAAATGGAATGACACAGGAGCAGATAGCTTAGGACAACTATCAGTGAGTAAGTAGTGGTTCAGCTGAACTTAAAGGCACAGAATCTGATCACCTAGACACATGATCAAAGATAAATCAGTGTGATCACTGTCATTTTGCTGAGACAGCACACCTCATGAGATAGGCAGTGTTTAAAAAAAGGGTGGGAGAAAGTCAGGGAATGCTATGCCTGTACTTACGTCCCAGTGAGTATAAGAGGAGGAGAGCCAAAGTTTTTCAGGGAGGATGTAAAAATATGTTCAGTGAAGGAAAGTCGAGTGTATCTGGAAAAAGAAAAGGGAAGGAATGATGGAAAGAAGAAAGAAGGAAAGTGATTATATTTGTGAAAGCTCCTTGCTTTGCACAAAGCCTGATGCATAGTAGTGATGTTATTTGAAGTAAGCTGAAGATTAGAGAAATTAGAAAGGAAGAAAATAAGCTATAAGCTGTGATTTAGTTTGGATGGGTATAATTTTTCTCTTCAACCCTGGCTTCTAAAAATGTCATAATTTACCCCATGATGAGAAACTTAAAAGATAAACACTTAATTGAAATAGGCTGACACGTCTCCTAAGGGTACTCATCTTAGGACTAGGAAGAAGAGAAAGAAGGAAAGATGGAGAATAAAGGAGAAGAAAATTGATAGCTCACTAATCTATTTCCAATCAAAAACAGCTTGAGTTGCTCAGAGGGGAGCCTCTGTGGTGTGGTTGCCAAACAAAACATAGAGAAGTTGACTTGCTATGATCCACAGAGACGGCTAGTTCTGAAAGGCCGGCTCACAAAGGCAAAAAAGATCTTCTTAATAAAGCCTCTCCAAGGGGCCATGGTTTCTGTGTTCATCAAGAATCCCTGAAATCCTAGAAATTTGGAGGTAGTCAGAATTGATTTAATCCTTTTTACTATAAATCTCATTTCTGAAAATGATTAACAGAGGCAGAGACATAAATGGTAAAGTCTCGATCAGGGGAAATGCTGTCAGCGTATCATCTAGATAGATTAGAAAATGAACGCTCAGGTTTCTGTGAAGGAAGACTAATGACATTAAGTCAAGATGAAATAGAAAGGAGCATTGCACAGCCTCCAAAATCATAAACCATGAGCTCGCCGTGACAGAAGACCCTCAGCCATGTTCTGAACTGGAAAATCATCAGGAGTTCAGTCTGAGAGTATTTTCTTAGGCCTCATTTGGAGCCCCTGGCTTTTTGGGGTGTGTCTTGAAGTTCTTGGAATTGCTTTGCGAAGGTTCTGACATTTGTATAAAAGTCAGATCCTTCTGCCTACAACTTTCAGTGTAATCAATTGCGCCCTCAGAAAAAAAAAAATGAGGGTTTGGCTCACTAAAACAATAAATAAACATTTAAGATACTTCTACACTGTGCAACCATCTGATTTTCAAAGTGTCACAATTCTGATGCCTTTCAGAAATTAGACAGAGCTATTGCCCTGAAATCAGTGGTGGCTGAGACCAACGTCCTTTGTTTAAGTTAAGATCAAATCATGAAGCAAGTATATAAATTTCTGCCAAATAAAGCTAAAGCAGACATTCTGCTCTGTTTAGTAGAGAGAACAATCCTGTAAATCTGCTTCACATGTGGTGTATCACTTGATTACTTAAACTGTGTCTCCGTTGGAACCACAGCTAAATATCTGTTTGCTGGAGTTTCTCTGCGATTTGATAAAATAAATCTATGCTGTTCTAATACAGTCTTTTTAAGTTGTCCCACCTTCCTTCAGGGAAACACAATGACCAATTGGAAATGACTGTGATCATCTAAACAGTGGGAGGCCCTGCAAACTAACTGCAAGTCGTTCTTATGCAGGGAGCATTGGAATCACTGACATTTGATGTTAAGGCACTGGCCCTATGGCTAGGCCAGAAATGGTCTCCAAGCTTCCTAACACACCACTGATTTTTATGAGAAACAGGCCTATAAACCTAAAATTCAAGGTAAATTTTTATCCAATTTCAGAGTAGAAATGGTTATGTTAAAAGTAATTTCCCAACCCCTCCTCCATCCAATTATGGCTACAACATTAGAAGATAAAAATAGACTATTCTTCATCTCAAATTTTCAAAAAGTGCAGTATTCAATAGATAGATGGGTAGTTAGGTGGGTAGGTAGATACTTACTCTTCAATTCTAATGTTTCTGACTTAAAATTTTAAGGTCATTGTCTCCCTTCTGACACCTCTTACTACATCAACATCCCATTATATCATTATAGACTCATGAAGCAATGTACTTTTACATTTTGCAGGATAATGACTCTTTTGTATTTCAGTTTTTATCATAATATAAATCTTGAATTGCAATTTGCATATCTTTTGTTTAGAAAAAGAGACCCCTATTTAAGACTTTGTCATTTTAATACATAGGCTTTAAAGTGGCTTTTTTTTTTTAAAGAAATGCACCAAAATATTCCAATTTATTCTTCGCGTGAATCTGATTCTAACTCTGCTGCTGCATCAATAAATTAGCAAATGTCCTGAACAATACATTTCCAACAATGATGGCTCAACGGCTTAGTCCTCTGTGCCAGTATGCTCTTTGCCTGTTAGAAGTCCAACCATAAATTTGTAATGACAGTTTGGACTAGACCATCAGACTGATATCAGACTAATGTGTATACACACACACATATATGTATATATATTTGTCTATTTTTTATGAAGAGTATACTATGTATGCATATTTATATATGTTTACATGTATATATGTATGTAGAGATATTTATTTATTTCATATGAAGAGTGCACTGTTCATCAGCCTTTTTTGCTTTCTGTCTTTTTATTTTTTCTTCCCCATGGTAAGACTATCTCCACAAAGCAGTTTGGGAAATTAGCCACTGTGGCAGAACTTGGGGTGACCTGAGAGAGCCTTTAAGAGACAAGCAAGGCACGGGGCAGCTTCTTGGCCACCTCCACACAGCATGGGGGAGCAGGCAGAGTGCTGAAGCGTCTGGCATGCCCAATGCTACCACAGTGCCTAGTATATAGAAGGTGCTTACCAAATATCTGTTAAATAAATGTATGCATGAAATAATGAAATGGGCTATAGGACTCTTCTCGCTCTCTCTCCACCTCTGTCACCAACTTATAGGGCTGATTCAGTAGCTACCACTCTCAGGGACTGCAAGATATCTGACCCTTTCCCCTGAGTGGCCCTGTAGGGGAGAAAAAATATCTTTTCTTCTACCCTTCTAGGTTCTCAGTTATAAAACAGATTAACAAAAGAAAATCATATACATTTATTCAATATAAGTTTTATGTGACACAGGAGACTTCATAAGGAAATGAAGACCAGAAGAAACAGTTAAACCCAAGTGTTTTTATAGTAAGTTTGATGAAGAGTGGAGAGTTGTGGAAAAATGTGATAGGACAAAGGATATCAGCTATGAGTAGTAAACTGAAGGAAACTTAGCAAGGCTTATTCCTTCAGGTTTCTCTTGTCCTTCCTCCATCTTCAGAGATAAGGATGTGCTTTTCATCCCAGTATAGAAAGGGTTCCTCTCACATGAAGGTCTTCTGACCTGCTTCAGGGGAAGGTCATTGATATCGTTTGGCTGTGTCCCCACCCAAATCTCATCTTGAACAGTAGCTCGCATATGGGAGGGACCTGGTGTGAAGTAATTGAATCACGGGGGCAGGTTTTCTCATGCTGTCCTCACAATAGTGAATAAGTCTCATGAGATCTGATGATTTTATAAAGGGCAGTTCCCCTGTACATGCTCTCTTGACTGCCTCCATGTAAGACACACCTTTGCTCCTCCTTCACCTTCCAGCATGATCATGATGTGTCCTCAGCTATGTGGAACTTTGAGTCCATTAAACCTCTTTTTCTTTATAAATTACCAAGCCTTGGGTATTTCTTCATAGCACTATGAAAACAGACTAATACAGTCACAGAGTCCTTCCTGTACCCACCATTTCTCAAATTCCTTCTTACAATATTCAATATGTCAAGGTGTTATATTGTAGGCAAGCACATCCTGAACCTCGTCAGCTCAGAGCATTGCCCATTTGCCTTTTCTCTGCTCTTACCCACTCCATCCTGGAAGACTTCCTTGGTTGGCTAAGTCCAAGGCATAAGATCATTGTGGAAAAGCTACCTTTTTGTGACAAAGAAAACTCACAATCTTAAAAAAAAAAAAAAAAAAAAAAAAAAGCTTACCTCTTTACTTTCCAATGTCCTGATGACACAATTGAACCAAGTGCTTAGTTGAGCAAGCAGCAATCAGCTGTGAAGCCTGGGTCAGTGTAGTGTGGAGCTATGAACTAGAACAAACTCTAGCCCCACAAAAATAAAATTTAAATCCCAGCTCTTCCATTTGTTAGCTATTTTAATTTCACAAGTTATTCTATTTCTCTAAGCCTCAATTTCCTCATTTGTAAAATGAGAATAGTAATATCTGCTTTACTGGGGCTATTGTGAAGATTAAATGTGACAGTGCATGTGAAAATGTTTATTTAACCTTTATTATGTTTGTAACATGTGTTTACCTCCATTTCTGCCAATGCTACCTGCTACCCCCCTTCCCCCACCACACACACCTATTATTTCAAATTATTTCTCCTTTCTTCCAGGAGAAAACAAAAAAATCCAAATGTGTCTTCAAACATGGCCAGAATGAGGTAGGTGAGCTGGAGGGAAGTAAATCAAAATAGCCCAAGCAGAAAACCAACCTGATACTTCACAGTACTGTCTCCTTCTTAGACTTTCAGCCATCCCCTGACCTTCCCGTTGGACTGGGACACCCTCCCTGGACACACCAAGAAGTCCACATTTGGCCAACCTGGCTGACAGTGAAGCTGTGGGGAGCTTTGCAAACCCCCATAAACATATGCAATTAAGCCCCTAAAAGCTCTTAGGCTTATTGCCCAGTAAACTCACAATGAATAGCAACCTTAATAAATGTTATAAATCTCACCTCAGAGCCAACAGGAAATTCAAACTTTTGCATGCGTGGGAGCCAAAGTGCTGCTGAAACAAAAGGGAGGTGTGTGGACAAGGAGAACATTGTACTCCATCCTCCTTTCCCCTGGCAGCACCAGAGCGCCCCAGGCCTGGGAAAGGCCCTTAATTGTATTTTGTGAGGCAGTTCTCTGGCCACCTCACTCCTCCCTTCCTTCACCTGCCTTAACTCTTTCCTGTCCCAGTGGCCCAAGAGCCAATCCACACATACACATCTCCTACTGACTGAAATAAGTGATGGAAATATTTGATGGGGCCAAATCATGGACAAGGTGCTTTCTTTATATCAATGTTTTAGTCTGAAACAATTTTAGAAACTTAATTAAAGCCTAAAATTGAAATTTAAACTCAGTGCCATAAAAAAGGGAAAGGAGTATCAAAGAAGAGAAACCACTGGATATTTTGATCCACACCCTGACAAAAGGGTGTTAGTTTTAATAAACAGTCACAATTTGGGGCTGTTATGAACCATAAGGCACACTCCTGGCCATGTTTCCAATTTCCTCTCCTGCCTTTACTGCCGTTATATTAAGGTCTGTGGTGAGGTAAAATGTTTATTAAAAAAGGTGAGGAGAGCAATATTCCAGATTAGATTATTTTACCTGTTCTAACTATTTGCCAGCCAGTCAGAGATCTTCACCATAGGTTTAAGAGAGGCAGCCCTCCAACCTCTGGGGTTGAGGGAGGGTGAGTCTGTGGTTACAAAGTGAATGTAGATTAGGCCATTTTAATTACTGACTGTAACTGAAAATGGCATACATTTTCCATCACAGAGGGGCAAATACGTGCATCTAGAGCCGCCTCCATGATGGAGTTAATTACACTGGGATTGAAAAACGTCTCAGGAGCAATGAGCAATGAGGATTGGGTGATAGAACAGTCTTCAGAGAAGGAGCCCTTCATTTCATGAAGGGTTAAAATGGGGGAGTCTTTGAGGTGGCTTCACATGGAAATAATTTTTTTTTTTCTTCAAAGGCCCAATTCATATAGAACCCTTTGAAAATAAAATACAGAAAAATGCTCATCATGTTGGAAATTACCTAGAACACAGCACATTCTTCACAGCAAAATCCCATTAATGCAACGTATTTCTTTGATTCTCTGGGGGCTTTCTTTAAGACAATAGGCTTCCTTACAGTGAGTCCTCAGGGACTTCCAAATCCTTTGTTTCTGAATTTCTCTAAATGTGGGAGTTGCTGAAAAGTACTTTTATATATTGAATGAATTGTCTTTATTCCCCAACCTTAACCTTGTTCCCTTATACACTTTCTTTTCCTTCTTTCATGTTGGTAGATATATGATGCCTCTATTCCAAGCCAATATGATAAGTGGGCTTTTGTTAAAGAGTGTTATCAAGGTTTAGGATTTGCTACTTGACCTATGGGGTAGCCAGCTCTGTGTAATAATAAGCTGTATTATAACAGCTCTATAGAATTTATTTCAGAAACATAGGCTTTTATATACTTAACACAAGTACTGTATTGAATTATCCCACATTCAGATACACAGGGCTTCCTTACGCGAACATACCCTAGGCCAGGGTCCCAGTAGAAATATAATGCACATCACAAATGCAAACCACATCAAGTAATTTTAAGTTTTCTAGTGGCCATATTAAAAAACATAAAAAGACACAGGTGAAATTAATTTTAATATGTGCTGTAACCCAACACACCAAAATATTTAACATATAGATATCACAAAAATTTACTGAGATTTTTTTTTTATTTTTTGTCATATAAAGTCTTTGAAGTCGTTTTGTATTTTAAACTTCCAGCACATCTTAATTTGGACCAGCCACACTTCGAATGCTCACTGGTCACTGTGGTTACCAAGTTAAGCAGTGTAGCCTGAAACTCTCAAAATCTCTAATTCTTCAGGGAGTTGAGCTGACTCCATCATTCCCTTTATTAGCTTGGGTGTATCTGTATCTCAGCACTACCATTTTCCTATCCACTGCATCTGCTTTGGAACCTCGCATGTCCTATATGATCTGAGTAAACCCAGGTGTCTATCTTGTAACAACAGACCCTTGTGGTTTCCAGTGAGAGGAACCTGATACTTTCCAGTGTTTACTCCGAGCACATAAAGTCCTCATCTTTTAGGATGCCTGTTTTCTTCATGTGTGTTCACAGAAGTGCCAATCCACACATGGAAATTACCACAGAGAAGAGGGGCTCCTACCACAGGAGACAAAAAGAACCATCCACATTCTGTAATTGGGGTTCTGATTAAGGCACGGCACCCGTTTCCACCTCCACTCATCTCTATCTTATTCCTTCAGGGCAGTTTGGGCTTGCGGAGACTCCCCTAGTCTTCTGCAACATGTTCAGTCTGACAGGCTGTCACCATAAGTAGGTAATTCAACACTGTCTTCACCTTGAGATAATCAAGAACTCTGGGGGTAGCTTTTAAGTACAAACTTTAAAATGTATATTAAGTTCCAAAAACATATGTTTCTTCCTTTCAGTCACCCTGCCCCACCCCAAAAAAGCATTACAAATATTTCCGTAATTGTTTCCCTAGAAAAGACTTTTCATAGACCACTAATGTGATCTTTAAAATCTCTATCAGTATAAAGAAATATGTTTTCCCACTTTTATAGGGTTAAAGTGCTGGAAAGTTTTAGAGAATGAACAATGAGGTGGAGGGACAGTAAGCAAATGGACTTTGGGGCAGCTCATTTCCAAATTTCTGCTCTTAGAAAAATAAAATTCCTAAGGTATTCTATAAAAATATTCTAACCCACGACTAGACTCAAGTTATGCTTATAGCCCTGCTACTTCGGAAGCCTGTTCTTCTAAAGAGGACCTTTTGATATCATATTTCTCAAAATACTCGATCTGCTTAGCAAAGATCTCAGCATATTAGTTGTCTGTGAAAGAAAGTTCATGCGAAAAAAGAGCCAAGAATAACTACAGCAGTGGGTGGAAATTCAGATTTAGTGGGAAAAGTATTCATAGGCTCCTAGATGCCTGTATTGTTTGTCAATTTTATACAGCATTCTATTTTCCTTTCAGTTGTTATACAACTATTGATAATTAGTACTTAAATAATTGGACCCATTTTTGTTATAAAGAAAACATAAAAAATGAAGTTTAATTTTTAGTACATCTTTCCTCCCTCTTAGTTACACATGTCTGGGTACATGCCATTATAACCAGTAGAGCCATTATACAAGATGCCAACACTCACCTGGCAGCAACTACCTAAATACGCAGGCACTGCGCCAACCAGAAAAAGAAAGAAGAGAAAAGAAAAGAAAAAGAAAAGACCTAGCACTACAAACCCGAAGCCATAAAGCCACTGTGGATGCCACAAAGTGCAGCCTCAAACTATCTTGCTGGCCAAGATTTCTGCTGTGTTCTGAGCTGGGTAAATACTGCCAGGCCCAGATAATAGGTCTTTGTTCAGGCACAGACTACAGGGGGTTTCCAGGTGAGTAGAGAACTCATGACTCTGAGACTGCTTGGGTGGCACAGACCTCGTCTTCTCCTCGTTCATCCTGCCTGCTGAGCCATAATGCCTAAGCCATGCAACTGCAAATGTCCTGAGGCACTTTGAAGACAGTGAATTAAATAAGAATTATACTTGTCTGAAGATCATATTATGTTTTCATGTTAAAAAAAAGATCTCACAGTGAAAAAAACCTGGAGGAAATGTAAATGTCTATTACTAAAGGCAAGAAGCCAGTCTGAAAAGGCTACATATTGTATGAATCCAAATATATGGCGCTCTGGAAAAAGTAAAACTACGGAGACAGTAAAAAGATCAGTGACTACTGGGGGTTAGGGGAGGGAGGGATAAATACATAGAGCACAGAGGGTTTTCAGAGCAACTCTGTGTGATACTCCAATAGTGATACCTGCCATTATACATTTATCCACATCTGCAGAATGTACAACAGCAAGAGTGAATCTTAATGTAAACTGTGGACTTTGGGTGGTTATAATGTGTCAATATAGGTTCATCAATCGTAATGAAATACCATTCTGGTGGAGAATGTTGAAAATGAGGGAGGCTAGGCATGTGTGGAGGCAGGAGTGTATGGGAAATCTCTGTACCTTCCTTTCAATTTTGCCATGAACATAAAACTACTCTAAAAAGAATTTTCCTTAAATTGAAAAAAGTATATATCTTATCTATCAACTAAAGGAATTTTACATGCGAAGAAATCAAGGTTTAGAGAGAATAATTGAGTCGTATAAGATCATAAATTTAACCAGTGTCAGAGTTAGTACTACAGTATTGCAGAAATTTGTTGGGAAATGGAAGTAATGGAAGTAAATTGAGGCATACCATGCAAGAAGCAGCTTGTGGCTCTTGTTTTCTTTGGTGAGTTCATGTTATTGTGAAAGCAAACTGCTTCTTGCTGACTATCAAATAGCTAGGTGGCCAGGAATGGTTAAATTTCCTGTCTTTCAATTAAATGGGAAAAATCTGTGCCACAAATATGGTTGTGAATCTTGGTTTTTCTTGTCATATTCAACTTCATGAGCAAAGAGAATGTGTCTCTCTTCTCTCATTCTGTCCCGTCTCCAGCACAGTGCCTGGTACATTACAGAGTCTCAATAAACAGGTTCTGAATGAAAGAATGGATAAATGAATCAATAAGGGAATGAGTCCTTGGAATGAGGTCTCTTTGCAGCAGAGATGTGCCTTTCTTTACATATTCATTCCATTTTTGTAAATGTATTGGCCGGCCTGATTTTGTTAACACACATGATACACTCTTACTTAGTATTGCATCAGCTTTTTACCTACATTTTCAATAGCCAGTCTAAGTCATCAATGATCTAAACCAGACACAGACAACCACAGATGGAGCTCAATTCAGAGGATCTTCTAAAAGTAAAATATTCTTCATGTGGTGGGGAGGACTAATAACCCCTCAGATATCTGATTTGTGAGTGTGGATACATGTATGTGCTTTTATTGTTGTTTGAATTGCTGGAGTCATCTGTTCAAAGGGAAAAGATAGCTACCACCAACAAAGAACAAAAGTGACACCTCTGAAGGCTCTTAGGCCCTCCAGTAGTTGTGACAAGTGATTAAAAGCGGAGCGGGGCTACGCCTCAGGAACTCTTGTTCTCAGCTGCTCCCCTTGAACCCTGGGAGACTTGGTTTGCCATCAATTCTGCACAAAGTGAGGCTGTATTTTTCAATTGAGAGGCAGTCAGGGGGACAGAGACAAACACCTTGGTACGTCAACCTTGAAGTACCACCTGGAGGGCGAGGGCCTTTCACAGTTTAATAGTGGACGGAATGTTATGGTGATAATCTGGGTCAGGTGGTGACTGAAGCAGTCACAGATCCTGAAACAACAGATGTCACAGTGACAGCTGTAATATCCAAGACTTATTTTTCTCCTTCAGCAGCAGAACCAAATAACAGGTAACAGATCTGATCCTACAGAGGAAGCACCACCTTTCCTTTATTAGTTTGCTCACTTTGGCTGTGCAATATTAACTCCTTACACCATGTGTGCTAAATTTCAAGCTGTGCAAAATTTCCTTAAGATACAAAGTGGAACATATGGTGCTAAAGGTAGACCTTTAATAGCTAATTTTTTAAAAAAGTTGCATGTTGGCATTCCTTCCGCCAAATTCTCCTTGGTTCCCACTGAGAAAAATTATCTCCCTTTTAAAAGCCTACTGGCAAATTGGTAGACAACTACTGACAAAGTAGCTCTCTATCAATAGTGTGACGTCCAGAATATCATGATTATAAATATGCCACAGAATTTTTAAATGGCCCAATATATTGGATAGACTATGAGACTATAAATTTCATTGATTTATAAAGTATATAGAGTGGTTTTACAATATTAAACAATAAACAGATAAAACAGTGTCTAGCATAATACCTGACATAGTAGACACTCAATAATATTAAACAAATGAATAGTGTGTGATCCAAGACTGCTTCTGGAGCTTTAGGTGACTGCGTCATTGCTCTTCAGTGTTTATTACTTGCCCCGCCTTTTCTTAAACCTTTAATACCATTCTACCTCTGTCTATATATACCTTGCTAATTAATCCTGTCCTAAATAACATGATACACTGTATTTTTATTTGTTTGTGTTTAAAATATATAGGGTGCAATAAAAGTAAAGTAAATGCCACAAGTTAAAAGAACTCTTAAGGAGTAACAAAAGGAAAAACGTAATTTAAACTCGACTTCCAAATGCCTTCCCTGTCAGAAAAACAGCTTCTTGTTTCTCAACTGGTGTGGAACGGAATAACTGTCCACTGCTGAGTGTCTCTGTGTTCCGGCCAGGGGCTTTGTGTCATCTTTTGGGGCCGATCACAAGCCCCTCTGAAACTTGCTGTCACATTGTCACCTCACCCTCAAATTGCTTGAGTAGCTGTATCACAATAATATAGTTTATATCCTCACCAAATCTCATGTTGAATAATAATCCCAATAATGGAGGTGGGGATCTGGTGGCAAGGGATTAGATCATGGGGGCATAGCCCTCATGAATGGCTTAGCACAATCCCCTTGGTAAGGAGTGAGTTCACACAAGATCTAGTTGTTTAAAAGTATGTGATACCTCCTGCTCTCTCTCTTGCTCCTGCCTTTACTATGTGATGTGGCTGCCTCCACCTCACTATCCACCAGGGAGGCTTCCTGTGGCCTCCCAAGAAGCTGAGCAGATGCCAGTGCCATGCTTGTACAGCCTGCAGAACCATGAGCCAATTAAACCTCTTTCCTTTGTAAATTACACAGTTTCAAATATTTCTTTACAGCAACACAAGAATGGCCCAACACACATGGCATTCTTTTCTTATCACAAGCTTGTCTAGATTAGTAGAGCTCATTCCAGAGGCACTTTCTCTACCAGTCCCAGAAAAATGGGGCTAAAGTTTTGGAATTATGACTCAGGGCTCATGGTCATTCTAGCTTCCCACTGGTGGAAGTGAGGAGATAACTGGTAAAGACATGGCCTCATGTCAATGATCGTTATTCTCATGAATACAAGAGCATTATTCTCATGCTCTATTTGAGCACCTGCTATTTGCTGGGCGCTGGAGACATAAACAAGTGGAAAGCACTGTGTTTCCTTAGGAAACTTAGAAATGTACACTGGCAGATAACTGACAACATAAGGTAGTTCATGAAAAACAGTCCGAATCGATGATACAGACAATAATTGCTGGAGGTGGACATGGATGTCATAGAATGGAGCAATTGAGCACAACATCCAGAAGATACAGGAGAAAAATAAGCAGGTTGAGACCAGAATCCTGAAGGAGAAAAACCATAAAATGCCAAAAAGGTTTAATTTCATTTGAAATCAAAGTAAAAACCCTGAAAGCAAGAGTAAAGATTTTTATATTCATACCTAACCTATTCTAAACCAAGCAGTATGAGGAACCTCACAAGAACAAGTTTGATTGCATGTGATTGACAGGGTAGAAACTTTCAAATAATGTTGGAAAAATTCCTGAACTTCTGGGAGAGTCTCTGACACCAGCCCCTCCTTCCTACCTGTGGGTGGCCCAATCTAATCGTATGAGCGATTAGAACTTGATGTGGCAGGTCACCACCTAGGTGAGTCCTAGAAATATAACCAAACATGTAGTGTTAAGAACAGAGAAGGAGAAGGAAAGAAAAAAAAAAAAACCCAGAGAAATCCTCTGTGGGATGAAACCCAATTTTAAGCCTCTAGAGCATAGAAAAGCCCCACTATTCATTAAGGGAGGTCCCACCAGCTATTTTCTCAGGCAGCTTGTATTCACATTAATGAATGAAAGAGAGAATTTTAATGTGCACCTCTGAGAGAAATAAGACCCCCAAAAAGTTCATTCCCTAGATCCCTCTGGGTTTTTTTTCCCCTTTTCCCTTTTCCAGTGCATAGTAATGAGGTTTCCTGGTTTTGTCAAGGCAAAGCAGGAGAAGTCGGGTTCTGCCTTCACAGACATTCAGCACCAGACAGCTTTCCTTTATCTGTAGCCTATTACTTCTTCCTGTGCTTCTAACTCAGACCCAGCCTCAGGCTCTGTCCCAGGGGGAAGGGGGTCTGGAAACACACACCTCTCTGGCTGGGCTAGGGGGAGCCCAGGCCACTCATGGGAAGATCCTGATCATCCCTTTGGTACAAATCTCCAAACACATCCCAATCTTGTCTCCCAGTGATTGATCCTGGTGTCTTTAACCTTCCTCCCTCCCTCCCTCCCTCCTAATCAAAGAATACTTCTGCCTGACATTGTAAGAAAGGCTTAATAACTGGAGGTCAGTATGTCAATCTTATTTGCCCTGAAATATCCCTGAACTTGTGGAAATTCATATTTGTTTATGTTATAAATGCACTAAATGAGCTAATTATAGTGATCATAACTCACAATTAAAAACAAACACAGTTAGAAATTTCAAAGACTTTCAATATCTTTTCTTTAATCATTCACCCAGGCTCAAAATATGCATTTTTTAGATTAAAGCATTAAAGTTGCTAATTATATTCTCAGAACTAACAATTATTTCTTTACCCTTTTACTACCTTCTTCTGGCAACAAAAAATGTCAGAGCTGATTTAATTTTTTGTTATTATAGGATTAAAAGAAGTTTCTAAAAATGCAATTAAATTCGCCCTATAGCTAGAGTAACTTCCCTATCAGCATCCAAAACCTCTTCCCTAAAACAACAGCATAAAAAATGATTCAGACTTCCTTGACTTTTCTGATACATTCCTTCGGTGATTATCTCCAATAACAACTCAACCATTTTAATGAAACTCCCTGCACATCACGTCCTGGTGAAAGGTAGAACATATTAGATTAATAAAGAAAATGCAAGTTAAATTGGCTGTTGGAGTGTGAAGCCCTGCCCGTGTCATGCATGGGTTCTTCACCTTTGGGAGCCTAGTTCAACTTCAGCCTGAGGCCCTAAGTGAAAAGTTCAGTAGTCTTGAGTACGTCCCCACTTAATATATCACAAAATCAATTATTTTATGGTGGTACACTTGGTAACCTATGCTCAGACAGAATCAAGTTTTGTTCCCACTGGGGATTCATCAATTATCTATTCAGTGAATTATTTTCAGATAAAGCAGAAACACCTGCTGTCAGCAGAGGGAGTATCTGCCTAATATGGGTATCATTCTGAGCCTGACATGTTATTGCATTTGTCACGTGCAGGATGGCACTGTGAGACTTTGGATGGATTTATCACATTACCGAGATGCTTGATGGGACATTGGAGCATGATTCAGTGCCCAAAGTTAGAGCTAAAATGCTGTAGCAAAGAGATCCAAAATGAAGCCACATAAAAATTGGGGAAGGGGGTAATCAAGTGTGCAAATGCTGCAACTCATCTGTCTTGCCTTATTTCCAATAAGTCAGCACAAATAAAAATTGTGATCATTCAGCACAATTTCCTGTTACTGGCTATTGACCTGGGCCAGATTCAAAGTAGGAACCAAAGAAGGGCTCCACGGACTTTGATTCCAAGACTGGAACAAAGGTCAGGCCTGAGACAAGCATAGTTTATGAGGACTACTACCCCTAACCGTTTACCTAGTGGGACTTTGATTCTTTCAGCATCTCTCTTTTCCTTCTCAGAAGTCAGTCAATCTCAAAACACCGATGGCATTTATTTTTCTGTTTTGCAAAATTAACAATATCTGAAACTGAAACAAAAGAACAAACACAACAAGGTATCTCTACAAGCTCACCTGCATTTCAAAATCTCAAAGTTGTAACCCATGAATGCCAGGTCTCATGACAGATCAGTCCAGAAGCATGTGTGGAACATCTAGTACCGCATGCAGAGTACTATTTGGCCTTACAGAAAGAACAGGAAAGGATTAGCAAAGGCTGAGTAACATGATACTGACATATTGATGTGTTCCTTTTATTATTATATTCTTCACTGGAATAATTGCCTATCAAAAGCGCAAAGTGAGAAGCCATGGAGAAAAGTATCATTTCCTGGTCATGAGCAAAGTTTCTTGAATCAGACAGATCTGGATTCAAATGCTAGATCTACCCAATTATTAGCTATGTCATATCAAGCATTTATTAAATTACTTAAGCCTTAGCTCCTTTACTTTCAAAATGAGACTAGTGGCTTATAAGGTTACCATGGGGATTATTAATAATATATATAAAGGTTTTGCATGATACTCATCACATAGTAAATATTCTGAAATTTTTACCTGCTCTTTTGGTAGTGGTGATAACTGTTATTGTATTGTTGCTGTTGTTGTTATGTTACTAATGGAAAAGGGCTGGATGTGTAAATAGTAAATGATGACCTGGGCTGATTCATAAAATTCTTGGTTGAGAGAACTAGTGGAAGAAACTGATAGGGACTAAGTTTGAGGCTGAAAGGAAAGGAGGTAATGGATTTAGAAAAGGCATTAACCTTGCCGCAAAGAATACTAAAGCAGCTCTCAATGATCTTTGCTAATAGAAGGGAGAGGAATAATCTAAAACAAGAGCTGACTCGACAAGCTGGCATTTAAAAAAAATTGAAATCCCATGAAAGACACAGACATATAACCTGTCAGGTTCTGCTCTGCATTCCAGCTTTGTACTTGGTCCTGTTGCTGGCAGGTGCCTGAAACTCGACTGTACCTCTGAGAGAGAACTTCACCTTCCTGGTGATGTAACTGCCACTCTCACAGAGCCCCATGGGCCACACCATGGAAGAGCTTCACTGGGGCTCAACCCGGCATGCATTCCTCAACCACCTTCCACTCCAAGTGCCCTCGCCATTCAGCTCCCAAACTTATTATTTTAAGGCCAGGAAGTCTACTCATCCTAAAGCAAGCCCTGCTTTCAAATTCCTTACCGTATCCTAAAGGTCTAACCTCCATGCAGACAAATGAATTTGCTTTAGCAAACATAGTCACTTTAGATCTGGCCTTTCTTCTGAATCTCTGATTCCAAGCTCCAACCTTTTCCCCCCTGCCCTTCCCCTCCACCGTTACTGTTGCTGTTATTGGCCGATGTTCTCAGCCTTGACTAGCCTCCACTCTAAGGGCAACTAGAAGAGGCCAGTGTTAGTGGGAATTTAAAGTGAAACCTTTAGATAAGCTTCAAGCTGCTTATTCCTTAGCATCAAGGAAAAGTTCAAGCTGCTTCTTCCTTAGAATCAAGGAAAAGTTCAAGCTGCTTATTCCTTAGCATGAAGTTAAGGCAGAGTGCACGTTTGAGAGGAACTTTAGGTAAATATCAGTCCCGCATGCAGTCTTTCCAGATGACCATCACAAATGTTTGCCTGTTCTTTTAACTCAGAACTTAATAGAACAGATAGCTGATTTGTGTGATTTTACAGAAATCTAGTCATTATACAAATAATTTTTCAACAATAATTTATTAATTCATTCCTTCTACAAATACTTATGCTAACAAGTACTGTCCTAAGTCCTGTGGGGAAGAGAAGCTGAGATAGAGACACAAATATCTAGGCCAGTGGTTCTTACCCAGGTGGAATTTTGCCCCCAGGAGACATGGAGACATTTGGCAAAGTTTGGAAAAAGTTTTGGTTGTTTTAATCAGTGGGGTGGTTTTACTGTCATCTAGATAGTAGAGGCCATAAATGCTGCTAAATGTCTCACAATACAGAGCACCGGCCCTCACAACAAAGAATTATCTAGCTTCATATATCACAGTGCCAAGGCTAAAAAACCTGACTTCCACTCAAGCCACTATAGCCCATATTTAATAGGAGGAGGCAAAGGAAAAGACGGTGGAAAAGTAAAATTCACCTCTGTTCAGGGGTTAAATCTAATTTGTAAAGGTCTCAAGAAGAACGTACCATTTGACTGTTCCACAAAACTCATATGAGAGTTTGAAAGCTGGGAATTAAAAGAGTTATAGGAAATGGAGAATAGCTTTCTAGCAAAAGGAAGAAAAAGTCATATTTTAAAACTATGTTGAGGTCTAAGGGGAGCTCCAATTGTAAACAAAACAGCTAGAATCATTTGAAGAGTAGGACGTAGGCGGGAAAAAGGAAACAAACTTATCAAGGCCTCAAATATCAGGCTAGACAATTTGCTTTATAGCTGTCAGAGACTATTCATTTGAAACACCAAATTGGTAAATGTTAAAAGAACTAATAATTTTAGGCCCTGGTGTACATATTGTTCTTTTATTTCAGAATCAAATAAATTTGGAGTTGAAAATAGATTGTAGACATCCTTTGGTCACATGTCCATGTTTGACAGGTAAAGATGCTGAAGCCCAGCATCTTGCAAGTTGACCACACCCACGGAGCCAGTTGTGCAAAAGCTGGGATTTCCATTCATGCTCAGCCTAATTCTTTCGCCATTACTCTTTGCTGACTCCAGGAGGTGCTACCATGTGCATTCTTAAGGTGTTAATTTGCATTGGGTTGCCTGTCTTTAACAAGTGCTCACATGTAGGACTCCATGTAGGCTAGATTGGAGGAAGGATAACTGACAGCTCTCTGTGCCTCTCCACTGGTCTCTGAGTATTATGGACAATGATGTAGGGAGCAGCCATGTCTCCACACTCAGTTGTGGGCATTTCAGAATCACTTGCGGGTTTTCTTCAAATTCAACATATTTCTTTGGGATTCTAATATACCACCTAGAGATATCCCGAAGCAGCTATTCCCAAACTTCTGAGAATCCCTGCTTTACAGAACCATTGTTGAGTGGGAAGAAAAAAAGATTGAGAGACAGTAATATGGACTTTAACAGGGAGTCTAATCTAACCTATTACATTCCAAAGTGACTTTATAGTTCAACTTACTTGGATTTCTACACTGAGGGATAGTTTTAGCACTGTAGTATTATTATTAAGGTACTCTCATGACACTTGGTCTTCCAGAGTCTTCCAAAATTCTACATGATGTATTTATTTTTAAATACAATTAAATCAGTTTCATTTTGACTTCCCCCTGCCCACCTTTTTTGATGTAGCAAGTTAAAAATCTTTCAACACGCAGGAGCTCAGGTAAGCAAAAAAGAAACAAATGGTTTATTAGCGGTCAAAAGATTGGAAACTGCTGAATTAATGTGCTTGTCATGTTTTCCTCTACTAGGACATGTTAACAGTCTTCTATGTGCAAACTTAACACTAGGTTAAGAGTCAGACTACATCACTTCGACTCCTGGTTCTGGCACCAATTAGCCAGATAATCTTGGTCCTATCATGTAACTTCTCTGTGCTTGATAGAAATGTTGAGATAATAAAATTAGTTTATATATATAAATCGCTCAGAGCAGTAGCTGGCACATAGTAAGTACTATTTAATTACTATTTAAATGTTATATATTACTATTTCTTTTAAAATAATTTTGTGGCACCATTTAAGACATGTATTGGTTTTTCTTTACATGCTGATGGTGCAGGGGATTCCTCCCTCGCTCAAGGGTTTGAGCTGAAGTCCTGGAAAGGTCCTTTCCTACCCAGACCCATGACCTTCTCCCCACTGGTCCTCTAGGGGTTTTAGGCAGCTATAACAGTCACTTCATGCTGCAGCACACAGGTTCCCAACCAGGGGCTCCAGAGCCCCCAAGATCATGAGTTTCTTTATTATTTCTCAAATTCTAGTATAAATCATTCACTTACTTGTAACTAGGCTACCGGTAGAGTGCCTGGCACATAGTAGGTTGTTGTTAATAAAATGAATGGATTACAACTGCTGGTTTTGCTTCTTTCCTTTTGGATGTAATTATTTCAGCAGTGTGCTTATCCTATTCTGGAAAGAAGATCAGTTTGTGTTAATGCATGTCTCATGAATAAAAATGGGAAAGTAAATTAATCATGTCTTTAAAAAATACAGATTGTTCAGTGGACTATATCTTTTAAAATATGAGTCCATGTTGAAGGAGGGGCTAATCAAAGGGAGCCTCATTGACTAAAAGGTTGCAAATTGCTGAAGTCTAATGTGTTCCCTGCATTTTCCTCATTTTCTTGTATGTGGCTAAATGTCTCTATGAAATAAAATAGCACTAATATATCCAAAAAGCAAACCCAGCAGTGGAATGGGAAGAACAGTGCCTGGCTGGTGCAGAATGCATGGTTGAGATGCAATCTTCTATGTGCAAACTTAACGTGCCAGTTGTTTTATTTAGGGAGAGAAAGGAGGGGGGATGCATTAGAGAGAAAGTCCACAGCATAATTAGGAAACAATCAACACGTTTTTCTTGCTGTCCTAATTTTTTCTTCACTTTAAAATGCTCCATTGAGTTTAATTAAACTTGCCCTGGGCTTATAAGCCCAGCAAACTGGGGAACATTTTTCTGAAACTTGCTTTCCTGTCAGAAAGGTTTTCTTCAAGCTGGCCCAGTACTGCTGAACTTCAAGGTTTCAGGGGATGTTAAAACAACTGCAACCAAATTAATGTAGATCATCTTTATTTTTTCCTATTGATTTGAGCAGAGGGGATGGGAAGCTGGGCATCGCCAAATAAAAAGCTTCTGCAAGGTTGTTAAAGATGCTTAATCTGGGAAGCAGAGAGTGGGAAGATGGTTTTATGTGATTATGAAGGAGAAAGAAAGAGAGGGATGATAAAGGGGGTAAGCAAATTATAATTACTGATATTCCAGTGGACTGTTCTTAGGGATACTAACTCTTCCCCTTTTGGATGTCACCATCTTGTTTTGCTTTGGGAAATCACCACTTTTCTATCCCATGTGGTTCATGTGAAACTATCAACCATTTTGGTCTGCCCTCAACCAGACCCCACCCTCCTTGGCAAAGTGGTAGACAGGAATGTGAGCATTCTGGACCAGTGAGGCTCTCTCTCTCTCTCTCTCTCTCTCTCTCTCTCTCTCTCTCTCTCTGCTCCTTGGGAATTTGAATCTTCATCAGAGAAACACATAATCAGAAACTTGATATAAATCATTCTAAGTTCAAGGCCATGTAGAGTTTGTTCATTGGCCCCAACTAAGATTCCTTATAGCCTCAGACTCTAGCCCTTTCTAAATCCAAGATGCTCAGTTTTTCATTGGATTTTGTGAGTTCTTCAGTATTTATATTTGTTAGATTGCACAAGGTTATGCTAAGGAAAGGAAAACCCCCAAAGTCTTAATGGTTTACAACAACAGAAATATTTATCTTGCTCATGTTCAAGGTTGGCTGTAGGTTGCCGGAAGCTCGGCTTTTTATACTTTTCACTCCAGGATGAAGGTGTAACTTCTGTTTGGAAAACTGCTACTCTTGTAGCAGGCAGAAAAGAGCAATGAGGCAATTATATGAAGCTTACCAAACCCTCTGCTTGGGAGTAGCATGTGTTATTTCCTTCACTTGGCCCAGGGAAGCCTACCATCAGAGCGGATGGAAGTGTCCTTCTCTTCTAGGGAGGAACCTAATAGAGAGAGGCCAAAAGAGAAGGGCAGCAGACACTTTGAATAATAATACAGTTTGAACACCAGTCTGCCAAGTATCAACTCTGTAACTATGGAGAAATTTCTTAACCTGGCTGGGCGCCGTGGCTCATGCTTGTAATCCCAGCACTTTGGGAGGCCAAGGCAGGTGGATCACTTGAAGCCAGGAGTTTGGGACCAGCCTGGCCAAAATGGTGAAACCTCGTCTCTACTAAAAATACAGAAATTGGCTGGGTACGGTGGTGCATGCCTGTAATTCCAGCTACTTGGGAGGCTGAGGTTACAGTGAGCTGATATCCCACCACGGCACTCCAGCATGGGTGACAGAGCAAGACTCCATCTCAAAAAAAAAAAAAAAAAAGAAAAAGAAAAACAAATTTCTTAACCTCCCTGAGCTTCAGTTTCCACATCTTTACAGCAGTACTCACTAGAATCCAGCCCCGCTTTTTTTCTGGGCACATGGAAAACTGCACATCCCAGCACTTCATAGTTGGACGGGACCATGTGACAAATCCTGGCCAGTGAATTGAGCAGAAGGAATACATTCTGTTCAGGAAAAGCCCAGTGAAATTCTCTAGAATCAGTCTTTCCTGGCTGCAGCAACGAGACCACCAGAAGTTCCTCTGGGGACAGTTTCTGTCAGCGTGGGTCTCTGAGTGACTGTGTAAAGCAGAGGAAATATCCTGCTGATGAGCTAAGCCAGACACTGTCATGAGAAAAAAAAGGCAGTACTCTGTTATGCTAAGCCACAGGTTGTAAGGTTAATTTGTTTCTACAACATAAACTAGATTTTCCTGACAAGTACAGAAATTGGTAATGATAATATATTTCTGGTCTTAAATTCCTTCCCGTTTGAAATGCCTGGAGTAACTTCTGGTTTCTGCACTAATATGACTGATACAAATGCTTAACTCAATCAGGAGATGATGGGGAGGGACCTCTTGTACAAAGTGACACCTAAGCTATGTCTAAAAGAATGAATAAAATAAGAGAAGTGAAGGGGAAGAGACATTCCAGAGTTTACACTATGAACAAAGGTAGGGAACAGCATCATGGGGATTTATATTCAATACTATATACTGAAGTTAAGAAAAATGAGGTTGGAGAGATAAATAAGAATTTTTACTCCTGTTAAGGCCATGAGAGGGGGAAGATCTTGTGTCCAATGTTAAGCTGTATGAAGTCACATTATATGAAGGTAATGGAAAGAATCATTGATGGATATTAAAAGGGAAAGACAGAAGGATATTATACATGAATTTTAGGTAAATCCCTCTGTCTACTGCACAAAGGGTAAATTCAGGTGATGTATTAGTAAAAGAAGGGAAGGCTAGGAAGCCATTTAGAAATAGTATTCCTGAAGAAAGTTAATGAAGGCTGAAACTAAAGAAAGAGTAAAGGAGATCAGACTAGGGAACAAACCACAAGATATTCTGGGTATTCAATTAATGATACTTGTTGAACAATTCAGTGTGGTCATGAAAAAAGAGAAGAATCGAGGCATGATTCTCAGGCTTCTAAACTGAATGCCTGGGTGAGTGAGATCCCTGAAGTTGAGGAGGATATTACTGGAGGAGCACATTTGGATAATTCATTCAATTTGTATTTATTGATGTTGAAGCATCATGGGCATATCCAGATAGATATATCCAGGAAAAATTGAATATCTGGGATTAAAACTCAGAGCAGAATTCTAGACTTAAAATATAGATTTGTAGATTTCAAAACCATTTGTCTATAAGTGGCAGCTGAAACTATGGAAGGGAGTGAGATCACAAAGGAAATTTTGGAAGAGTTGTTTTCTGGGAGAGCATCAAAATTAAGACTGGAACTCACAAATTAGACATTAAAAAAACCAGAGATGATCAAGGAGAACAAAGTGGAGTATAGTGGCATAAAGTGATTGATATGTTAGGCTGTGTCCCCACCAAAATCTCATCTTGAATTGTAAATCCCATAATCCCCATAATCTCCACATGTCAAGGGAAAGAACTGGTGGAGGTAATTGAATCATGGGGGCAGTTTCCCCCATGCTGTTCTCATGATAGTGAGTGAGTTCTCACGAGATCTGATGGTTTTGTAAAGGGCTCTTCACCCCTTTGCTCAGCACTTCTTCTTCGTGCTGCCTTGTGATGAAAGTGCCTTGCTTATTCTTCGTCTTCTGCCATGATTGTAAGTTTCCTGAGGCCTCCCCAGCCATGCTGAACTATGAGTCAATTGAACCTCTTTCCTTTATAAATTACCCAGTTGTGGGCAGTTCTTTATAGCAGTATGAAAACAAACTAATATGGTGATAATAACAGAAGTGTCAAAAGCACAGTTTTGGTAAGCTATAATCTAAAAAAGGTCAACTGGGTTTGACAACAAGGAATATTGCAGTAGGATTTGGGAAGGAATTAGAAATCAATAGAAATGGGAAATAGTCTGTATATATATTTTAAAGGATGATAATAGGAAAGCTATATGGGATCAATGGAAGACTGAACATGTTTCTAAGCTTCAAAGAAGCAATCCTAAAAATAAAGTAGAAGATATTTATGGTAAAGATGAAGAGAAATGGAGTAAAGCCTCCGTGGGCAAATGAAGAATCAGAGTCAAGAATAAAGGTGGAAGGTTGGCTTAGAACATTAGAGACGCCATGTCCTATAGAACTAGAAAAAGGGAGATGAGTCACATTGTGGATAAAGAAAATCTGCTGGTAGGACTTAGAAAAGAAATGTCAGAGGTCAGAAGGGGGCTAACAGACGGAAAAAATAGAAGATTCAAGGACTTTGAGGTCTCTAATAACTTAACAGTGATTTAGTGAGTGACTTAACATGATTAGAGAAATAGGAAGTTATGATAGGAATAATTAAGATACAGCCTTACTGAATTTAAGATTATAAAAGTGACACAGTCCATTCTGGATAGACACAACTTCAGAGAGTGTCTATAGCAAAGATAGAGTGAAATGAAAAGTAGAGAAAGACTTTAGAGGAGAACAAGCCAAGAAACCTTGGGTTTAGAGTATTTGCATGGTTACTACACATGGATTCATGGTGTTACTAAACTTGGGGTAGACTATGAAGATTGTTTCAAAGTCTTTAGTGACCAAGAGCTAGGAAAAAATGAGTTGGTTAAAAACAGCAATGATCATGATCTCACGTGACTAGGTACTTTTACTTGAAAATAAAGGAATATTGATTGAGAAGTCACATGAGGAGTGAGAAGACTATCGAGTCCATTCCCAGTGTAAGCCAAAAGCGTTTCAGTCTGAATGATAAAGCATATAGTCACCCTAACTAAGAAAAAAATGGATTTGTAGAAAACACCCAAGCTAACAAAAAAAGGTGGGAAAAATATTTCATGCCTAGATCCATGATGTAAAAAGAAGGTTAATGAAGGGATTTTCTGGGGTATGTTTGTATGTGTGCTTCTTCAAGTTCCTCCATAACTGACTGCATGACACTGCCCTTCTTTCTTTCTGCTGTAGAAATTCTCCTCAATAGCTTGTCATTCTATCCTTACTGTCCTCACGTCAAAGGCTTCAATTAGTATTCCTATGTATATCTAAGTCTTAACATGACCAGTTTGAATTCTACCTTTGTTACTAAGCATTCTCCGACTGTATAACAACCTTTTTGGACTTTTCTATTTTATGAACCACTATGCACTTTTTGGATATGTCAGTGTGGGGTACATCATTATATGCTGCTCATGAATCACTGTGTTGACTTTGCTCTCCTAAATAGCTGCAAGCTCTTTGAGAGCATAATAGGTATTGTGGCTACTTACTGTTTTGGCTTCACTTTACTGCTCCATCTCCATTTCTCTGGAAGAATTGCCTTTTGCCAATTTTAGATATATGTTTTTGTTGGAGATAAAAAGTGCTAGTTAAATATTCTACCCCATCCCTCCAATCTCAGAAATAACCAGATCACCAAGCCTAGACCAATTATAATACTGCATCCTGGTAGACATGGTGATTTGTTTGTAGGGTAACTAATGAGAATTCTTCTCTTGGATTTTCCAAATGGGAGCTGGAAGGGAAGGAAAGATACCCTGTCTCTTTGGTTCTCAAGATGTTAGGATGGGACTTCCTAGCTAATGGCAGATGCTTTCTATGATGGTTAATTTTTTTGTGCCAACTTCACTTGGGCCATGGAGCACAAGACATTTGGTAAAACATTATTCTGGATATTTCCGTGAGGGTATTTTTGGATGAGTTTAACATTTAAATTGATAGAGTGAGTAAAAGAGATTGCCCTCCCAAATGTAAGTGGGCCTCATCCAATGAGTCTAAGTCCTGACTAGAGCAAAAAGGCTGACCATCCCCTAAGTAAGAGAGAATTCTTCCTTTCTGACTGCCTTTGAATTAGAAAGTTGCTTTTTCCCCTTGTGTTTGGACTCAAATGGAAACACCAGCTCTTCCTGGGTCTCAGGCCTTCAGATTCAGACTAAAACTAAATCATCTCCCCTCCTTGGTCCCTAGCGTGCTCACTCTCCCTGGGGATCTTGGGACTTGCAAGCCTCCATACTCTTGTGAGACAATTCCTTATAATAAATAAATAAACAAACAAATAAAAGGGAATAAGCTGACATCTAGAGATAAGAGGAAGAGAGAATGAGAGACACAACTTCAAGGCATCAAGTCTCCAGTTTTTATTTCACTTCTGATGTTCCTAGGTAATGGCTATAGTAAATTGTTCCCTTCAATTCTGTGAGGTAACCCAGAATCTTCCAGTAAATTCCTCTGGTGTTCCAATTAGCTTGAGCTGTGCTTCTGATACTTGCAACCAAAAGAACCCTGACTAAAACAGTATATGTCTTATATGTTTATATTTCCTTTAACACTCAGGACTGTGCAGAGCTCATGTTTGATTCAATAAAAACTTTGATTCATTTATTGATTGATTGATATTGGAATTAGATTATTCTTTTGCTCAGTTTGTTTCCTGTTAGACTCCTGGCCTTCTCAATATTTCATTCTGAGCCTTATATTGAAGAAAATATATCCAGAATCCTCCTAAGAGATAATCCAACTCTGAGAAACCAAGGCCACTGGCAATAAATAGCCTAGATTCACAAAGAATAAGACAGATTAGACTAACTAGAAACTTTTTGGCTGAGATCAGAGATTAGATTAGCCAAAGGGAATGTGTTAGATGATTATTTGATCTTGTGTCTTGATAGTGCACATAGTAAAGTGCTGGATGCAGCATCTTGTGAAATCTTGATAGCTAAATTAATTTAAATTAGTTGAATATGTAGATCTTAAATATCTGAATATAGCAAACATGAGATGAATATAATATAGAAAGGTAGGTGTCAGGTTGGAATGTACAGACTGGCTAATCAGATAATGGGGGGTCAGTTTATCTCTGTTTTATTGAACCGTCTTTACTAATAGCAACTGAAGTGATAAACAGCATGTTAATGAAATCTTCAAAGCACTGGTAAGAATATTAATAAGTTAGACAAAGAACTTAAAGAGATATGAGAGATATACTGACAAAATAAAAGGATACTAGATAGGAAAATATTCCTCACATCAGTTAGATCCCAAATGCTTAATTAGAAAGAAAAAGAAAGTAACTAAGATAAAGTTGTCATATTTTAAAAAGATGCTAGGGATCAGTATTAAGTACATTGAAAGGCAAGGTTACATAAAAGCCCAGAAATCCAAGTATAGGTAGAATAGTGTGCATTGAGTCTGATAATTTTTTTAAAGAGGAAAAATGCATATCTAATCCTAGAGCAGGGAAGGACTTTTAATACATGAAGGCAATTGAATAATCCATAAAGAAAAGATTTGTCAGTGTAATAACTATGTATCATTAAGTACTGGTTGTAAAAAAACAACAAAACGCAACAAAAGGATAATAATTATTTGTATAAAGTTTTATAAATCTCTGCAGAATAATATGAATAACTCAATAGATAATGAAGTAATTACATGACAAACAGCACCCACAAAACAGAACGTAAATCATTAATAATATATAAAATTGACTGGGCATGGTGGCTCACGCCTGTAATCCCAGCACTTTGGGAGGCTGAGTCAGGTAGATCACCTGAGGTCAGAAGTTTGAGACTAGCCTGGCCAACATGGTGAAATACCGTCTCTACTAAAAATATGAAAATTAGCTGGGCTTGGTGGTGCACACCTGTAATCCCAGCTACTCGGGAGGCTGAGACAGGAGAATTGCTTGACCTGGGATGCAGAGGTTGCAGTGAGCCGAGATTATACCATTGCACTCCAGCCTGGGTGATAAGAGTGAAACTCTGTCTCAATAATAATAATAATAATAATAATAATAATAATAATATATAAAAATTTTAATCTTATTTTATAAAAGATGTAGTATTTTTAACCTTGAAAGTCAACTGGTATAGAAATAATATGCTTATGTACTGCTGGTAGAAATAGTCTTAAAAGCTAGAATTTGGAGGATAGAACAAGAGGAGTAAATTAAATTAGGATAGACTAATCTGCAATAACAGAGAGACCTAGGACTTTTAATGGCTAATGAAAAGAAGTTTGTCTGTTTATTTTCTCATGTAGGAGTCCTGGTCAGGTGTTCAGGTTAGTGAAGCAGCTAGTATCTGCTCATCTAGGAAGCCAGATTCCTGTCTGTCATCTTTTTGTTCCATCATCCTTGTGTGCACTGTTATCATCTGTGTCCAGCTGGTGGAAGGGAAACAACATGGAGAAAAATGACTGAAAGGTTTTTATAGGCCATTTCTGAAAGTAGCATGGAATGTGTCTATTTATATTTCCACTGGGGAGATGGCAGTCACTTGGCCACACTAAGTGCAGGGATCCTTGGAAATGTAGTCTAGCTGTGTGTTCAAAGAAGGAGGCAGCAGAATGGGGCACTCAGTGAACAGTGTCTGCCACAGAAACTGAAGTCAAGGTCCTGAGCTGTAATGGAATCCATTCACTGTAGCTCCAAAAACGATCAACTCCAGAAACAAATTAACAAACTTGCATTTATTAACTCTGCAGGGGTTCTTTCATAACATTCCCATAATCTTTGTAACATCTCTGTGAGATAAGCATTAATGTTTCCATGAGGAAAATGTAGGTCTGAAAGTCTTTAAAAATATCTGTAAGTCAGACAGCTAGGGAATGGCGGAGCTGAACTCAGGTTGGTCTGATTCCACAACCAAGTTTCTTCATTTTTTTAGCCTATACCACAATGGATGAAATGAGCCCTCTGTGACTCTAGCTGCTTCATTTTGTTCTGCAATAACTACATATAATCCATCACTAATTTATACTTACTTAGTCACTCATTTTCAAGTCAACATTTAGTGAGAACTTGCTATTTGCTGCGCTCTGAACCAGCTAAATTAATGTGCATTATTTCTTTCAATCCCTACAACCAACCCTTGAAAAAGACATTTTTTATTTCCCACTATGTGTGAACTTGGCAAGTCCACACAACGAGTAGGCAGTAGTTCCAGATTGCAAAGCTCAGACTCCTCCCCACTAACCCCATGCAGTGCCCACGCTCACACGCACGCACTTTCCCAGACTATATACTACAATATTATTTAAGAGATGGCTTAATATATAAAACCTACCTCTAATCTCAACGAGCTACCAGTTAGTTGGGGAGACAAAACACTCACATATGCTCACATGTACACACTCAATGCACACATAGAAGGAATATGTAAGCTGAAGATGATGGTGAGGGTACCAACAGTCTGTAATTCAGACACAGCCAAAATGAATGTATACTGGAGATATGTGGAACAGCTTCTTGGAATCAGGAGGATTTGAAATGGGCAGATTAAGAGAGACAGTGGGATCCAGGGAGAAAGGAAACAAGACAGAGGTCTCCCAAGGTGGGAGAAGGGGGAGCTCAGCCAGGGAATCTGGTAGCAGGGTTGGCCCCATGCATGCAAGTCCCATGGAACACTATCTGACCAATAATGTTGGCTAAAACAAACAAGAAAAAAAGAAAAATGTTTCACAAACACAGGTTAACAAGGTGTTGGCTCTGTTCTTTTCCCTTCTAGTGTGAGTGATCTGCATCCTAATTCAATGTCTCCTCTGAAGGGGTCCAATTCTTGATTTAAAATACCTTCCCCCTCCCCCTTTTTTATGAATGTGCAAATGTTATAATGCAAAGGTGAACTGAAAAGCTCTTTGTCTTCAGAGACTGAAATATATTGCCCTAATATTAGTTGGTGATATTGCTCTTGCAACAGCTGTTTTCCTATTAATATATGTGCAGTTTACTTTGTTTATCCAGGCTTATACCAAGAGATCTTACTGGAAGGTAGAGTAGATACCTCAGGGAGAAGGGTAGAGAATTCCTTGGCTCCAAAAATCTTATTTTAATGTGTAGCCAAATTGCCTTCTATCCCAGAAATGATATAAATACATTTTAAAGAAAAATGTACTAGCACTTCAGAAGAGGTGTGTGGAGGTCCTTTTTTTTTTCTTTTTAACGAAAATGATCATTAAAACTCCTGCTGACTAAGATTATAGCTTTAGGGGGAAAGGCCTCACAAGTTGACACTTTAAAACTGTAAGGCAGTCCAGTTTCAATCAGGTACTTACTGGATCCTTGGGTAGATTCTGTTCTAAGTACTCACTGTGCAACCAAACTTTGCTTTCAAAAATCTCAACCAAGGATTGGAAGATATTTTTCCCATTGACGGTATAAAACTGCCCTCTTATATTGTATTTTAGGCATTCATGCACTCTTTTCATAAATACTTATTTTTTTTTTCTATGAGCCAGGCACTTTTCTAGGTATATCAAGAATACGGCAGTAAAGCAAATAAGACAGAGGAATAAACAATCTAAAATATGTTGCATTTTGTGAAGCAAAGTATCTCAAAATGATGGGTGAGGGGGTGGGGGGGCGGATTTTTTTGTGTGTGTGGACTGGACAGGGAAATCCTCTAGGATCGCATGAAATTTGAGAAGAAATGACCTGAATGAAGTGAGCCAGCAAGACCTGTGGATATTTGGGGGAATATCATTTTAGGCAGAGCTAAGAATAAGTTCAAAGGGCCTTAGAAAGGAGTAGACTTGGAATGTTTGAAGAACAACAAAGAAGGAAATGTGACTGGCAAACAGTGACTAAGGAGAAAGCCATGAGAGGTGAATCAGAGAGAAAATGAGCAACTGGGTAAATGTGGGTCAATTTTATTTTGGGTAATGTTGAAAACCTCAGAGTGTTTTGAATAGAGAAGGGATATTATCTAAATTATTTCATGAAAGTTAGTCCTAGTTGCTGCCTGAGCATAAATAGTAGTGGGGCAAGTGTTACAGCAGAGAAACACTTAGGAGGCTATGGTGATAATTTAAGAAAGAGAAGACAGTGGCCTGGACCCCTCGGCAGGGGTGGAAGGGGCAGGGTAACAGTGAGGTATAAATGGTGAAAGGGTGATTTTCTGAATATACTTGAACATAAATTGGATGGAACTTTTTTGGTCACTTGTATTTAGGGTATGAGGAAAAAAAAACAAATCAAGGATGAATCCAAATTTGGGGACCCGAGTAAATGAAAAGTGGAGTTGGAATTTAATAAACTGAGGAAGTTGGTGGGGGTCGGATATTTGGGGTGGAACTCTTTTTCACATGTGAAGTTTGAGAAGCTATTTTGATATCCAAGTGGAAAGATGGGCAGATGAGTGAATGGCTGGACACAGGAATCTGGATTTCAGGGAAGAAGTCAGAGCTGACATATAAATATGGAAGTTATCAGGGTATAGTCCATGTTTAAAAGCCCTGACTAGGTAAGTTTACCTAGTGAGTGAGTGCAGAATAAATAAAGAATTCTGAGAAAGTAGTGCTAAGCCATCCATCCCATTACCTAGAGGAAGGATGTATAAAAAATAATCGTGCAATAGAGACTGAGAAATTGCAGTCAGCATGTAGGAGGAGAACCAAGGGAGAAAAGTGTCCTGGAAACCAAGTGGATAAATTATTTCTGCAAAGAAGGAGGATTGAGAAGCAGGTGGACAGCAACCAGGGCTCCAAGAGCAGATCTAAACAGAGGAGACTTTCCAGATTTTACAGCCCATGACTCAATTACTTGCCCTGGGTTCTGACTGCCTCACAGGGTTCGACTGAAAGTTACTTGGTGTTGGGGGCTCATCTCTGACGTTGCACCTGCTCTTACTGAAAGCAGTAACTCTTGCTGCTATCGTAGGTTGACACCTTATAGTTTCCAATTATTTCCAACTAAAGAGGAATACCAAGCAACCATTTAAAAAGAATTGATGATTATACATCTTCACTTAATTGAGGCTTTCTTCTTACATCATCATTGTTATCATATAGTCATTGTTGGTGTCTTCATTATCTAATCATTTTTACAGGGTCTATATTTGCCATTGAACTACGATCTTTACATACTCCCTCAGTTTTAATCTTGGCAACAATCTGTGAGTTAGGTATTTTTGTTTCTATTTTAACGCATAAGAAAAACTGAGACAGGTGGGTACAGCGCTTGGTTGTAAATGGCAGAGCTAGGTCCCCGGGGTGTCTAAACCCAGAGTCCAATGCTCCAAATTGTTCCCCTGCTTCTGGTTTAGTGACTTTCATGTGCTTGGTTTACTTTCAGCAAAAGAAATTTTATTTCATTTAAAGAAAAATAAATACCAAGACACTTACCAATAATCTGAGAAAAAGTTGCTGTAAATCTTCCAGAAACCCTTACTCCATCCATCCCTTAGACCAATATTTTGTCTAATTCCTGAAGTTTTAGACTCCCTCTTTAGAGGTTAGCATACTTTACACACCACCCCCATTTCTATCCCTACCTCCAAGAATTCCTCTCATTGCCTATTAAAGTATGAGGGGTTTTTGGTTTTGTTTTTGGTGGAGACCAGAGATGGCAGAAAAAGCACATCTGTGGTCTTCCTTACACATATGACATGCATTACGTCACTATTTATATTCTCCAAATTCAGGCTTTCAATTACTTCTGTCTACAGGCTTGGTTTAAGGCTAAATTATATTTATTTTGCAAATAATATGAAAGGGAAAGGTTGATCTCCATCCATTACATTTGGTAGTTTTGAGTCTCTAAAAATGTTAGGGTTCGTCATTTCTACCCTTGTTAAATTATTATATTTATAGAATATTTATGCATATTGTGTTCTATTTGGACAATATTGCTCACTTTTTACCTATATCACATTTATAGTGTAAACACTCTTACTACAGTTTTTTATGTTATACGCTTGAGATTCAGTTGACCATTTTTGAAAGTAAAAAAAAAAAGTGAGATCTGTGCTTCTTCTAAGCCAGTGTAACTGAGCTAAACTTCATTTGCCTCTTTATAAGATATTCATTTCACTTCTCAGCTTAATGAAAACCAGAATAATATTTTGGTAGCCATGGAAATTGTACCCCACCATTATTTTTGATTAATGCATATTTTTTGTTCTAGTTGTAGAATTTTTATCTCATCATAAAACTTTCATTAATATTCCAATGACTTTTTCGGAGACTATTCCTCAAAAACCAACAGAACATGTTAATAACTTGATGGGGGTATGAGCTCTGCTGAGCTTCTCATCATTTCCAACAGCTCAACAAACGTAAATTTGAAGCTGTCGTCTCAGAATTTCCTTTTCAACATATAAAATACTTTTAGAAGTGAAATTTTCATGTTAAATTTTAGAAGAACATGACAGCAAATTTCCAGTGCCATATATGCCTGCTCTAAATAGCAATGCTAATAGCCATGGACAAATACAAAAAGACATAAACCATTAGCAGTTCTATAAACTAAAATAGAAAAATTCTGAGTTAAAAGCAAAAACTCAGGACAGAAGCAAGTTCTATTAACTAACCTATGGGCAACTCTTTGGCCTCATCTCTCATCTGTTCTTCTTATTTATGTCTGTCATTTTATTTTTTTCCATCAAAAATGATAAATGATCTGACTCTCCAGTCATATCCACCACCTTCCACATTCTTAGTCATCAAGTTCCTCATATTCCCAGTTCTCCACCAAAAAATTCCCTGTCTCTGCAGTGGCTGCCCTGATGCCTAGAGTAGTTGCAGGCACTGTTGGGCGATTCTCTAGCACTTGTAATTCTCACATCATAACATTTATTACACGTTAGCATCATGGCTTCTTCGTTTGACTCTCATCAACATGAGATTTGGGGCAATGAGAGCAGGGACTCGGCATTTTATCCAATAGATTGTCTATCACACATTATATACTTCACACTATGTGTTGAAAAACTGAAGTGTGACATTAAAGGAGGTAAATAAATAAAACATTTATGTAGTTGTGGAGTGCAGTTTATGAGAGTTCAGGCTTCCTTACGTTGACAGTGCTAGATTCAAATCACAACTTGGACACTTCTTTGCTTAATTTACTGACCTTGGGTAAATTACCTAATCAACTGGAATTTCGGGTCCTTTTCTATGAAAATGGACAGAAAAATAGTTATTTCATCATATAATTATGGTGAATATACAATGAAATAGTTTATATGGCATTGTGTTTGGGATATCAAAGTATCAAATGTCTATTTCTTCCTGTTATTATTAAACAATATTATTGCTAAAGAATAATAAAATATGCCTACAGATCAGGGTATGAATTGCTTTTGCTGCAGTGATTATTAATTTCAGTGGTAAATAAAAAATAACTAATGTAAAAGGCTTACACAATAAAAATAATAATTGTATAATAGTGTGTTGAATCTACAACCACAATCCACAAAGATTAGAATGTGGCATGACATTAGTCAGCCTGCTAAATTCTCCATTAGACATCAAGGAAAATTTATGTTATCGCTTTGTGATTATTTTTGGTAATTAGGGAAATTCAGATTGAATTGCATATGCAATAAACTAAAAGACAATCATTGGCAGAATTAAAAATCAAATGTCTTCCAAAAACGTATAGAAGCTTTGAAAAAAAATCAAGATATAGTCTACATAGTGAAACACAGAAAACTAAGGATATAGCAGTGTAGGAAAAATAAAAACCAACAAATAAAAACTAAAATTCATAAAACATTGCAAACGCACAGCCAATGATATTAGTTACAAAATATATGCAAATACATTAGACATCATATTAAAAATTAGGCCTTTCAGAATAACGTTTTTTAAAATTCCATATAATCTTCCAAGAACAAAATAACCTTATAAGTATTAAAATGAAAGATTCATTAAGGATAAACAGAAATTCAGTTTTTTATAGTTCAAGTTTTCTACAATAAGCAGATATTACCTCTTTAGGGAGAAAATGGAATAAGGTAATACATGTCAAGACCTCAGAAGGGTGCCTGACACAGAGTAAGCTCTACTTAAGGGTTTATAGTACTAGTCATTGCTGTGGCTATGCTAGTGCCATCTGAGCAATACACAAAAGTCAAGACATCAGCAATAGCATCACAATCAAGCACCCTCCTAGGCTTTAGGGTGAAATTGGTCAGATTTTTGGGAAGACCCCAGGGTGAAATTCCCTGTAGTAATTTCAGTTATTTGTGCTGTGGTCCATTCATCATATCATAACCCTTATTTGAAGACTAATGAGTGACATATAGTAAATACTTTCATTATTTTCACTAAAACAGCAAGAATGACATTTAAATTGCTTTTCAGTTTACAAAGTGGTTTCATCTTTATTTTCTAAGGTAATAGGAAACTTAAGCTAATTTTCATTGAATCATTTGCCCTCCCCATCATGTAAATTCAGCTATTGTATTCATTTAATTCATTAATTAATTCATTTGTCAATTACTTAGCAGAACTTTTGTGCATATATATATGTGTGTGTGTGTGTGTGTATATGTATGTATATATATACACACACACACAGTGAGTGAAAACATGCATGGTCTCTACCCTCTTAAAGCTTATTGTCTATTAGAAGCCAACAATTAATTTGTTATCCAAACTGAAGGAAGAAAAGACAGTTCTAGGAAAGGTTATAGCATATAACCAGCAAGTCTATTACCTACAGTCAGGGCAAGGATAGGTTTTCATACAAGGTCTGTTATGGCCAAGGGTTGTTGTTAACATATCTTCTCTGCCATGTACATGGCTCAATTTATCTTTTTAACATCTAGAATGCTGATTTACCAGAATAAGGAAATTTTTATTCAATGGATCCTCTGTTCTGATCACCCGAACTAACTGTAATCTATGAGTTTATACCTTGTTTTGTTAAACCCTGTATATTATGTCTTCTAAAAATATATGTTTTGCATTTGTTAGTCAGTAAAAACTACATTTAAAAAACTACTGGGGCAGGAAAACAGAAAACACACTCAAATGGACAGTTACGTATCCATAGTGAAACACCTTCAAACAGGTTTAACATTTTGGAAGGACCCACATACCTCCTTACCCAGCACACTCTGCCCCGGCATGAGTGGAGGGTTTTACATAGGTCAGTTGCCCTGTTCTGCCCCTAGAGATTGGGCCATATCTGAAAGAGTTACCTGGGTATGAAGGAGAAAAGCCATGTAGTGTATTGCCACAGCTATCTTGGGCTCTTTTGCAATGCCTGTAAACAAATTTATTAAGGAAAAAAAATAGTTTAACAAATAATGCCTAAATGCATTCCTCTTGTGAGAATGAAAACATAGGAAATAAGATTAAAGTTGCGTTTCACAGCCACCTTTATATATCCTGTGTATCCTTGTATATCCTATAGGGATATCCTGTGGCATCTATGAAGCTAACCCCTGTCATTGGTGTGATGTTTTTTTCAGAACCATTTTCTCTGAATTTATATATATGTGTGTGATACTAATTTCTCTAGTTTTGTTTCCACAAATAGTATTTTCCTGTAGCTGCTTTTTGTAACCTTTTTTTTAACCAAAGAAAATATCTTACAGATTTTCCATGACAATAGAAATAGATCTACTGCATTTTTTAAAAATTTTTATTTTTTAGTGACAGGGTCTCACTCAGTTGCCCAGGCTGAAGTGCAGTAGCACAATCACAGCTCACTGCAGCCTTAAGCTCCTAGGCTTAGGTGATCTCCTCCCTCGGCCTCCTGGGATTAAAGATGAATGCCACCACACCCAGCTTACCTCATGCATTTGTATTGTTGCAGAATGTACCAAAATAAGAGTATACCAGAGTTTATACATTCCCCTAATGATGGGCATGTAGGTTTTTTCGTATTTTTTACCCAGAACAAACAATGCCACAGTGAACATTCTTGCAAATATACTAGTTTATCTTTTTCTAGGATATCATCATATATATATGATAATAGATATATATTTGTATATAATATATAATATAGATATATTAATGTATATAATATATATCCATATATTATATATGATAATATAGATATATATATGGATGTAAGCTTGTGAAAATTTTAGAAGGGTCATCTGTCACTTTATAATTTCATAGTTTACAAAAATTTAAATAATATTCAAAAATCAGAAGGCACGAGCACCAGCCCACCAGAAAGGAGGCACCACAGAGCCAGGGCAGGTGTTTGCCAGAAGTATTTGGTATTCTGTGCGTACTTTTTCTTTCTGCCCAAATACCCACACAGGGATTTGAGTTTTCAGTGCTGGCATTCAGAAAACATTTTTACTCTCTTGAAAATATTCCTGTGATTGTATTTGATGATTCACACTAGCAGTGGTGCAAATCCTAGGCCAAACAGCACATAAGCCGAAGACTGTGTGTGTGTGTTGCACAGGTACATTATGGCTGTTATAAAAACAAATATTTATTATTACTTTTAACAAAAATTATAACTCAATTTGAATATCTAAATGAAGTATATAATAAACATTTAATTAAGCACATAATTTTAAAAGAAGATTTTTAGATGATAAGACAAACAAAAATGGGTTGGAATCTTTCTCAATAAATACAGTATTATTTTTCATCTATTCCAATCCAAATGTTATATACAGTTTAGAACTTTTCTAGAATTTTGTGTGCTCCTGACGTTTCACATCGGTTCCCCTCAAAAGCTTCTCTAGCTTTTTAAATTGTACCTATGCATTCTTAAGGAACTAGTCCTATGACTACTAAGCTTTCATACTTGCTAAAAAGAAAAAAGTTAAAAGTTTCAGTAGTTTAAGTAGAAGCTAAGTCTTCTACTTAAGGGCGTTTCTTTCATCCTTTCCATGGCGGAGAATCAGAAAAAAAAAGGAAAAGAAACACATGGGGCATTCCCTTTGCTGAGATTTCAAAAATGCCTTGTGATTACTTCAAAAGAATCTGCAAGAAGTACTTTTCTGTTTAATTATTAAGCAAGAATGAAGCATATCTTTTCCATAGCTTTTCTTCTAGGAAAATAAAAACTGGGAATAGCATGGCATGTTGTCGTCTGTGGAGTACATTTCCATCCACCAATTGGAAGCTCCTAGCAAGTTATAACAATACATGATAGAATATTTTTTCCTTAAGCAAAACACTAGCAAAGATTCCTACCCACAAACATGGCTGATCTCTTAGCAAACACTTTCATGCTACTAGAAAAATTTAAAATAAATTAGAAGAGGATTTTCAAAGCAAATCAGAACTGGTGATCTGATGGCACCCAAGAGAAGGGAGTATGGCCCAATCCTATTAACCATTCCCCTTTCCCCAGTCACTCAGAAATGTAGATGTTTTGTACCTTCTTGATTCAAAAGCAAACCGAAGCCATCTTTCATTCAAAGTGCTCATGACAGAGGGATCTTGGGAAGCAATTTCCAGTCTTATGATTTTAGAATCTATTAAGCCTCTTGTTCTTATAATTATCTTCACATTTTCTCCATTACTTTACATAGACAGCAGAATAAAGAAGCTGCAATTTTGATTACAGGATTGTTGTAATCTCATGACTTCCTCATAGCCACTTTTTCTCTTTAATTTCTAATTTGAAACATATTAAAATAATAAAAAAATTCAACTATTCTAACACTAATTATTTGACAGGTCTAAGATCCTAATCTCTCAAACATCTTACTTATTTCAAGGAAGCACATATAATTTTAAGCATTAAGAAAAAATTAATTTTAATTTATTCTGTAAGTGAAGAACATTATATTTAATTTGATAATATACCAGTCTATTCCAACTGAATTTGAAAGAGAGAAATAGTATACCATTGCAACCTCAAAATCGAAGTTTCTTACTCTTCGCTATACAGATGAGCCTGGCATTTTTCATTTAAAAACACTTTCATTCTACAAATTACAAGATAGGTGTGTTTATTGGTCACATATAACTCTGATCTAGGCATCATATCAGGCTCTTGAACACAAAGATAAAGAAGACTCTGGCTTTAAGGTGCCAATATAATAAAATGCAACATTGATAGCACTACAACGTGTAGTAATGACATGCTGGTGAAACATTATGGGCACCAAATGATTCCTTCCCACCAAGGGAACCCTCAGGAGGGTGTCACAAAGGTAGTAGTTTATCAGAAGAAGCAGAATTGCAAATTAGTAGATATTGAGGTATATTTTAATAAACTCAGTGTATAGCTATTTAAAAAACACTTTGAAGATTGTTTAATTCTGTACAGATATATGTACAATTTCCTCCTACTTTAGTAGTTTGCAAGGTGTATTTACAGAAGGCTGACACAAGGGGTGAGCTGCAAGCCAAGCAAGGTTCTATTTTCTCCCTCTACCTTCCTTCAACACCTGCCCCCGTTTCAGCAAGAAAAGCTCTGCTTTTAGCTGCATTATATATATGTAATTGTGCTGCAAAAAGAAATTGCTGTTGTCATTTATTTGTTTTGTAAATTCAGACTGTTGTGTGTGTATATATAGTTGTATGTGTATATACACATACGTATATGTATGTAAGTATATACATATATTTTAAAATTAAGTCGCCACTAGTAATAGACATACAGATAGACCTATATACAAACAAATAGAAGTCCAGGCTTTGAAAATAAATGAATCTCCAACAAACACTTTTGTATTACAAATCCACCTTCAGTTAGAGAATGTGTGTATAATGAAAACAAAGAGGTCAAGTGTAAATGGGGCACATCTTCTCCTTCACACTAAGAGAGTGACTTGCTAAGACTGCAGCATTTCACATTTGAAATGATTCTGTGAAATTACAGCCTCGGATTTATCTACTCTTTTTTCCTGAATTCTTCAACACAGCACATTACTTTTAAAAACAAATTCAGAGCTCTATACTAGCCTTTAGAATACTTTTTAAAACTCTGAGATCTACTTGTGCTCAATCATTTTTATTTACCATGAAAATCCTTTTATATTTTGAGGAAGAAGAGTAAAACAGTTCCTTTGGAGTTATCATGTATAAATTCTCTTTGGAGCAGTGGAGTGAGAGGAGGAAGAGATGAACAAATTTCCTTTATTCATTGTCTGCAAGGTCTTCATATGAAATGCAGAGGTGATCAATGGGTTAAGTATCATCACAATTATAAAAATTGTTGAGATTGAAAAAAAAGTTTTCTCCCATTTATGTTAGACTGAACCTGCCAAATTGAGTCATGTTTTTGCTATATGCACAGAAACACACATACTCTCCCTCTCTCTCTCACACACACACACACACACACACACACAAACACACAGGCTTGCACCTTCCAGAAGCCTGATTTGTCTTGAGAAATGAAAGAGGAAACTAAGAAATGGTGACAAATGCAAAATTTTCCACGCCAAGGAGAAATGCAGTAAGTTTAAGAGCTGGTTATGGAAACTTTTTTAGGGAAAAGACACTCTAATTTGTCTTTTGGCCTTGGATAGTTCTTAGAGGATGTTCTGTTTGGATTAGGAGTAAGAAAGAGAGAGAGAAACCACTCTGCCTATGAAATCAAATGGCTTTCGAAGGGAGTAACAAGCGAACCTGGGGAAAAAGTGGGAAACTAGGAAGAAAGCGTATCTTCAACATCATGAGGGGATAAAACTGGATTGAGAAAACAAATGGAAATTTCCTAGTGTGTAATGACTGAGGCTTTTAAGAACAAAGTCATCTATTTTTTTCTTTGTAAGTTGACTGTGGCCCACTATGATATATCCACCTTCCAACCACTCTATGATCCCACCTCTCATCTGCTGATTCAAAATCCTCAGTAAAATCTACCACATACATAATCTTTAGTAGGTAATATTTGGGGAGACTATATCATATCCAGCAATGTGGTATGACATGAAAACTAAACAGTGCATACAGGTGATTACAAGCAAAGCAATGACTGAGAATCTAGCAGAAGCTGCAGTGCCTATGGGAAAGATGAGCTTTTGATCCTAAGATTCTTCAGGAGTTTGGGGATGGTGAGAGACTCAGTTTCTAATAAGCAATGGGACAAAGGCAGGGTGATCACAGCAAACCAGACACTTGGAGACATTCTACAATTTGATCCATGCATTACATTTCTTGTTGTTCCAGAAATGGCTCACTAAAACCTACATTTGGAATGCAATAGAAGAAAAAAGAAAGAGAAAGAAGAGTAAGAGGAGGCAGGTGGAGGGAAAAGAATAGAAAAAAAGAAAAAAAGAATGCAGAGGAGCTTTCCTCCAATCCCTACAATTAATTTAGTCTCTGCTATTTTGGTAACTTCTGTTAAATCAAAGCCTCAATATGTCATCAGACATTATATTAAAGCTCCATCCCTTTCTGGCTCCAAAATGTCTTTTAAGCCATATTTCCCACTACATCTATGTCTTATAACTCAGATTATTGGCTAATGACCCCTGGGACTGGCAGAGATGGGGGCTAATTTAAATTGGGCAGACCCTTGCTTCCTAGTAAAGGAGTAAGGCATGGAGAAGAGCTTTTGCAAAGCACCTGCAGCCCCAAGAGGGAAGCTATTCAGGTCAGGCATCTATTTTCCCTTTCCCGGATTTGGCTTGGGTTGGAATGAGGCAAGTAGAGTGTAGACATCTTCTATCTACCTAACTAGGAGGATCTTATAATCACCTTGGAGAACAAAATTCAAGAATGTGCTTTGTTATATATTACTTCAGTTATTTTCTGTCTTTCACTAAATTGAAAAGCAAAGAATGTGACTTCTTTGTTCTCTAGGTTTCCCTTTATTGGTACATTGGAGACTCACATCTATTGACCTGAATAAGAGAGAATGACAGGTTTAAAGGGAATGTGTACAGAAGAGAAATACATTGGTCACAATTTAACAAACTCACCTTGCTCCTATAAATAATCGAGAATTGTGATGACTCAGTCACTGAAGTGAAAATTTCCTTTTCTTAACTATCAAGAGCTTGATAAGCAAAAGGTAGAAACAACAGCATTTGGTGCCTGTTCAAATGGTGCACCTTTCTCCTACCATCCTTTTATTCACTAGGCTATAGCTGCTTGGGATTTCAGCACAACACTTGCTTCCAGCCTTGCTTATCCATATCCATTTCCTTGGAATTCTTAGGTCTTTATAGCTGGCTTCTTCTCAATATTCTGATCCTTGCTCTATCATCTTCCCTGAAGGCTTTTCCTGACCCATCTCTAAAAATAACACCCAAAACATCTCAAAACATACACATAGTCACTTTCATTCTATTTTCTGCCTATCACTTGTCATAATATGAAATCCATTCATCCTATCTATATATCATCTATTTATCCATATCGAGCATCTATTATCTGTCTTTTTATCTATTATCTAGCATCTTTCTTTTTATCCTTATCATTTATCATCTATTATCTATCTATCAACTATAAATTGTTTTTCTCTATCTTTATAAAATATTCCCACTAGAATCTGAGCTCCATAAAAGTAAGGACCTTTTCTGCAGTTCCCTGCTCTACCCCCAGCATGTAGAACAGTACATCCAACACATAGTAGGTGGTTATGAATGAATAGCATTTAAAGAAATTTTATGTACAGCATTCATCTACTGTTCTTTGTTTTCAATACATGTGTTAATGACAAATGATTATTATCCATTTCTCAAAATTGGGCCAATGAAACCTCTAGCTAAGATATTTTTGTTCACTAATAAAATTGTGCCTAGATTGCAGTAAGTTCATATATAATTTTTAACCTTTGCAACCATTCAGGCTTTTTCACTAAATTAGGTTAATCCTTCCTCAAACTAATATGGACTATTAAGATTTTAGTAATGTAATGATGTATGATTCACCAGATATCTCAAAATCCCTTTTCCTTTGTTAAATAAGATCTAAAGGAAATGACTAATTAGTCAATTTGAGTGATTTCCAAATAACACCACCAGCCTGTGTTTGTCTATACTACCAAGGTGAATTATTCATTAGCATTTATGAGAAGTGCCTGAAGAACACTAGCAGTGGGAGTAAAACAACCTGGAATGGTTTTTAAATGACCTTCCAAGCAACTTGGATTAACAGTGGCATTATTCTCCCTGTACAAATTGAGTTAAAATTTTCCCTGTGTCAGGTCTCAGAAGAAGGCAGTGAAGGAGTGCTGCCTCACAGACAAATGACCTTCTGCATCTCCCAACATTTTAGATTCTTCTTTTTTCCTTGTGTAGTGACTGTGTGCGTGTATGTGTATGAGAGAGGGACAGAGACGCATAGAGACAGAGTAGCAAAGAAGCAGAGTGAGGAGTGAGGAGAATCAGAAACAGAAAGAGATGAAAAGGAGGAAGGAAATAAAAACAGAAATGAGAGAGAAAAATACGAAGGAAGGAAAGGAGATAGGTGGTCATGAAGGAAAAAAGAGAAAGAGAATAAATAAATATAGGAAATAAAAGCTAAAAAGCAGAAGGAAGAAAGGGAGAAATGGAGGGTCAGAGGGAGGGAGAAAGTCCAGAGGCGTGACAGATTCAGAGGCAAGCTTTCCCTTGAGTTGGCACACCAGGCTGCCAGAATCCCAAGAGTTCTCCCAGGTGTGCAGAATCACCTGACTTTATACTGATTAAAAGTGTAAATTGCAACACAAAAAGAAAAAAAAAGTAATTGCCACGTTGTTTCTCTCCAGTGAGGTCACACTCCTTGGTTGTAGCTGAGCCTGCTGCTAGGCACACTCCTCTTGTTTAATAAAATTGTATTAACTTTATCCCTGCCCTTGATTTGTGGCTTTCTCACGTTGTGAGGAATAAATAATAAATGATTGTAAAGTACCCGTACATATGAAATGCCACATAAATGCTTAATAATAATCAGCTTGGGCCAGGAAGCCAGGGGGTTGAATAGAAATCATTGCACAAGGCCATTCTTGTTTATGTGGCTAAAATCATCCTGTGTGCTGTCTCCACTTCAAATCATCCAGCAGATTTAATTTTCACCCATTCAAGAATCTACTTCTCTGCAAACTAAACAACCTTTGTTCCTCCATCCTTACGGTAATGTCATTTATAATGGTGGAATATAACTGCAGCAATTCATCTTTGCCTTTTCATTTCAGCTGTGTTTTTGCAGCACTCCTTCCCTTCTTGTTAGCCCTTCCAAATCCCCACATACATGATTTCGGGTCATCATTTCTTACCCCATAGGGGATGCCTGCCTTATTTTGATTAGCTTTGGAAACATATCTGTCTCCTGGTCTTGGATTTTATTATGTTTGTGTTTTGGAAAACCAAGATAGCTAAGTTGGTCCTTCCTTGATGGTCTTCATCTATGCATTCATTTAATCATTTATTCATTCAACACTTGTTGGAGTCCTTTGCTGGGCACTAGGAATATAATGGAAATCAAGATGAAAAGAGTTTGCATTCCATAAAGAAAACACACAGGGTATTTCTAGCATAGTTTAGAAAATGCTACAACTAGAGAAGTGCAGAGAGTTAAGGAAAGGTAGCATGTAAGTGGCATGAAGTAGGAAATTCTGCTAGGGCCGGAGCTTATTTGTTTGTTTTATCTTAAAATATCTTTATAATCATTTTTATGTACTATTCAACCTAGCTGAAACTTATCTGGTTTGATCTGTGGTTGTGGATAGAAGGGAGTTGTTCAGACCTAGGGAAAGGGCCCAGGACTGGTCTCTCCCTGTCAGTTGGAGAGAGGAAGGAGGGCACTCTCCATATCCTCTGTTGCAGTTTCTGGTGGGTGGAACCCAGACTTTGAAGGTTGGCAAGGGTTAGCCGTTTCTGTCTATAAGATTGTTGATGTTAGACCTAGAGTTTATAACTTCAAAAAAGAAGATATTATCTAGACTTTTATTAGTACATGTAATGACAAAAGTAGTACATGCTTATTGTAGAAAAAAAGTTGAAAATAAAGCTGAGCAAAACTAAATTAACCACAATTGCATCACCCATTAGGGACCATATTTATCATTTAATACATGTCCCTTCAGATTCTTTTCTATGCTTATATATAAATGTGCCTTAAGGGACATATTCCCCAATCCCATATTACTTTTCTTATCAATGGGATACTATACTATACTCTGCACACATACATACTGGTTTATTACCTTTTTAAAGACAAAATATAAAAATATAGTTTCATGTCAAAATGATTTTATCATGATTCTAATGACTGTTTCATAGTCTATTACACGTATGGATTATTTAAAATTTTTAGATCCATGTATGTTACTGAACTAAGCCTCCTAAAACTGGCATTACTGAGTAGAAGTATGCCTGCAATAGAGTTTTTGTTACATTGCCAAGTTGCCCTCCAGAGAAGTTGGACCGGTTTCTACTCTGATCTCCAGTATATCAGACCCTTTCCCACATCCCTTACTCTCCTTCTTAGCCCCACATACACCCTTTTGCCAAGTGGAGTACTCTCAAGGAAGGTATGTTTGAAGCTCAACAATTTTAATTTTTCTTCTACTCTTCCATTCATTCCCTTGTGGTATGAGAATTAGTGGGCCTTGGGTTTTCAAACAGGTGGAGAAGGCTGTAGGGTGTATAATTGTTTTTAGTGAAACCATCAACGTCCATGTTTAGTTCTTCCTGCTCCACTTCCTCCAATTCAATTAGGCTGTTCTTACCAGAGGGAGAGTTTTCAAAGCATCAGATGAAGTGTTACCTCATGATTAATAATTCATGACAAGAAATAAAGATTGGGAAAGGTAATCATGCCCTTCAAGCTGTTTTTCTCCACCACTCCCTTGTTCTCATTCGCATAAAATGCTGTGTCTCAATCATTAAAGCAAACATACAGTTTCATTGCCCTCTAAACCAAAGATCCAAAGCAGGAATTCATAAGCTTTTTGAAGTCCCAAGCTCCTTTGAGAATCTTGTGAAAGCTACAGACTCTCTCTCTGAAGGAAAAAATGAACTCTGTGGCATGCACCACTGATACGGTGTTTCCAGTTCACACGGATCAGGCACCCCTGGAAAAGCATCCGAGGACTCCCTAGGTAAAAATCTCTGGTTAGACGAACAAACAGACGGAAAAAAAAAAGACAAGCCCAAAAGGAATCAAAAGTGGATGGACAAGAAGTTTAATGTGCCTTGCCTGTACTTTCTGTGCCCAAATTTGCAATGAAACAAAGAAATTGTCCAAGTGTTATTTACTTAGTTATTTAGGTAGTTTGCAAGGGGACCAGTGAGGTAGGTGAGTATTAGAAGATTGGATTTTGGCAAAGCGTATATTACAGGAGAAATCAAATAGGGGTGATTGTGGGGGCATGGCTGATATTGAAATCTATTTGCAAGCCTACTTTCAAGGCTGCATTTTTTCCTTGCCAAGTGCTATCAGCCATAAAATGTCCAAGGCAGTGGGCCACACCCACAGCTTCACGCTCTGCTACTTGGCATTCCTCTAAGTTCTCCCTCAATTGTCATATCTCCACAGGCCATAACAAGGGACAACAGTCAGCAGCAATTCAATTTCGACCTCCATCTGCTGGCAATAAGAACATAAGGGAGAAATTAATGTACACTCACACACTTGTCATTATAGTAGCCCAAATTTGCTTTTATAGTGTGACTTTCTTCCAAGGAAATAAAAAAAAAATAGTTTTCATTCAAATTCCCAAACAACAACTAACCTGATAGAGGACTAAAATAATCATCTCTATTTTTTGAAGGCACGAAGATGCTAAAAATTTGTCCAGGGCCACATAGCACTTTCATGGGAAAGTATGGATATCAGAAAAGCTCTCTGAAAACCATTCTGACATGTCTTAAAAGTTTGACATCCAATATCCAAGCCAGCAAGCAGGTTATATTAACATTTAATCAGATTGTATAAACATACAGCAAAATATTTGTGTTCTACTACCTAACACAGTATTACTTCACTTATTTTTCTCCTTTTATTCTCATTACCAAAACCCAAGACCCATGATTTGACATTTACTAGCTCTGTGATCTTGAGCATGTTACTTAATCTCCTTGTGCCTTTACATTTTCCTCTGTGAAATGGAAATAATAAAAGAAGCCAACTCAGATTTGTTAAAAGGGTTAAATGAAAAATTCTTAGAAGGTTCCCTTAGAAGATTTCCTAGCATATACAGGGTATCCTGTAAAATCTGGAAACATAGATATAATCTTCTTATACATTTGAAAGGTTGATGAAAGATGAACATATTGAGCTTATACTCATAAGCAAATGAAAGGGCTGATCACAATGATTGCAGAGCCCTTCTTTGCATTTCATCTTGGAAGAACTACCATTTCCCACAGTACAATTAGAAAACTAGTTAAAAAATTCAAGATCATAGTGTGTTCAACAAACTCTTCTGTGAACAATTATTTATTTCCAACAAGATAGAGGAAACAGTCATCGCCAACCAAGGTCATAACCAACCAAAGAGATCATCTTGCCAGACATCCAAGGAATTGGAGGTGCCTTGCAGAACTGTCCCAGTGATTCCTAAAACACATGCCTTTCAACCATACAAGATGCAAATTCTACAAAGCTTATCTGAGGATGATCCTATCCAGCATGATGAGAGGCAAGGCACTGAATGTATCAGGTAAGGCTTCTGAACAAATCATGTATTGTAATGTAATACTAATAACCATTTTAGTGCATATTTGCTAATGCTTCCAGGCTTTGGGCCATCTACAGTAACTGTGTATTAAATATTTGCTATTACTATTAGCATTATTATTATTTAAGGAAAAACTTAAGAAAAAGATGTTACACGATCCACTTTTTTCATTTTTGAAATAGTCACATTTTCACAATAGTAAGTAAGGGTAGAAGAATCACTAGTTAGTAATAATGATTTAGCCCTTTTAACTTGTGGTCCCCTATTGACCTCTTTCTTCATTAACTAATCAATATGCTCCCAATCCTTGAAGGAAACACAACAGTGAAATAAGTTTGCACATGTTTCCTAGCTATTCTCTATAGAAGAAGTTAAGAACCAAATTGAAATTTGAAATCTCACTACATATTTGTTTCCCTCCTTCCTACTGTCAATGCCTACCTCATAAAGAGATAGTAGTACAAAGTTGACTTTGATTCATGAAAATATTATATACTTATACAAATAAGAGCAGTATCCTCCAAAACACAAAATAATAACAGCAATTTATTTTTGATCATTTGTGTTAGGCTCTCTCAAGAAGATTTAATGACAGATTACTGATGAGCAATTCCATAAAAGCAATTATGAGCCAATAACTTACAAAGAATTTTGAAAAACCTGTCTTTGCTTATGCTCATCCCTAATCAAGATATACAGAACTTCCAAACATAAGATATATGTAATTTAAATAAAATGTATCATGCTGTCATGTCAAATGACAGATACCTCAGCTTGATCTTAATTCTCTAGCTCACGGTGCTCAGTGTGATGCAGTCTGGCTAAAGAGGGAAATTAAGAAAGGTCTATTGTTAGTATGCTGATGCTCCTTAATGTCAACAGGTGTGATCAGGTGTAAAAAGGCAAGTATCATAAGAGCATCAACACAGAGCCTTCCTACATGATGCTTCAAAGGGAGGCCAAGATTGAAAAAGCTGAAATCTTCCATCAGACTGCCATTTGGCAAGTATATCCGAATTTCTCTCTGCTACCTGGCAGAAGCTGAAGATTGAGGGATAAAGAGAGGCTAAATATGTGTAACCATTGAAATCTTGTACTTTCTATGAATATGGCCTTTGGAGGAATCAAAGGGCATAGAAATTAAAGAATGGCCAAAATGCAGGCATAAAGATCAAAAACCTTCTCAGTAAATTAGTAACTGGTTGAATTACACTAAAGGATGTTATAAATAAATCCACTCAATCAGGAGAGATGGAGAGAGTGTTGTAGTAACTTTCTACGGGTATTATTCTCATCTCTAAACTGTTTACAATTATATTAACAACTTCGTTAAAAAATATGAGATAGAATTATTAAATTTCAGGATAGCACAAAACAGAGAGAGAAAGATAGTATTTTTGAGGACAAAAGGTATAATATGGAGAAAGAATGGACTGAAAGTTTAGGACTTCGAAGAGTAGAAAGACTTCAGGTATTAGATTTCCAGCTGAATGGGAAGGAACACCCAAATTAATATAATTTAAGAGAGTTAAATACAGGAATTGTTTATAAAAGTGTGGGTAGGGTTTAAGGAAACCACAAAGGATTGTTTGTTTGTTTGATTTCCAACTTTTATTTTAGGTTCAAGGAGGCATATGTGTAGTTTTGTTAGATGGGCAAATTGTGTGTTGTGGGAATTTGATGTACAGATTATTTCATCAGCCAGGTAATAAGCATAGTACTTGATGTCTTTTTTTTTTTTTAATCCTCACCCTCCCTCCACCCACTAGGAGGTAGGCTCCAGTATCTATTATTTGCTTCTTTTTGTCTATGTGTACTCAATGTTTAGTTCCCACATATAAGTGAGAACTTGCAGTATTTTCCTGCGCTAATTTGCTCAGGATAATGGCCTCCAGCTCCATCCATGTTGCTGCAAAGGACAGGATTTCATTCTTTTTTATGGTTACATAGTATTCCATGGTGTATATGAACTACATTTCCTTATTCAGTCCACTGTTGATATGCATTTACGTTGATTCCATGTCTTTGCTATTGTGAATAGCGCTGCAGTGAGCATATGCATGCATCATGTATCTTTGTGGAATAATTTATATTTCTTTGGGAATATGCCCAGTAATGAGATTTCTGGGTCAAACGGTAGTTCTAAGATATTTGAGAAATCTCCAAATTGCTTTTAAAAGTGGCTGAACTAATTACATTCCCACCAGTGGTGTATGGCGTTCCCTTTTCTCCACAACCTCACCAGCATCTGCAGATTTTTTACTTTATAATAATACCCATTCTGACAGGTGTGAAATGAGATCTCATTGTAGTTTTGGTTTGCATTTCTCTAATGATTAGTGATGTTGAGCATTTTTTATATGCGTATTGGCTGTACATACGTCTTCTTTTGAGAAGTGTCTGTTCATATCCTTTGCCGAATTTTAATGGAGTTGTTTGTTTTATGATTATTAATTTTGTTTAAGTTCCTTATAGATTCTGGATATTAGACCTTTTTTGGATGGATAGTTTGCAGATATTTTCTCCCTTTCTGCCGGTTGTCTATTTACTCTGTTGATATTTTCTTTTGCTGCGCAGAAGCTCTTTGGTTTAATAAGATCCCTGTATTAGGCCATTCTTGCATTGTTATAAAGAAATACCTGAGACTGGGTAATTTATAAGAAAAGAAGTTTAATTGGCTCATGGTTCTGCAGGCTGTACAGGAAGCAGTGTACCAGCATCTGCTTCTAGGGAGGCCTCAAAAAGCTTTTATTCATGGCAGAAGATAAAGCAGGAGCAGGCACTTCACATGGTGAAAGCAGGAGCAAGAGAGAGAGAGAGGGTGGGGAAGGAGAGTTATCACCAAGGGAATAGCCAAAGCCATTCATGAGGGATTGCTCCATGATCCAAACACCTCTCAACCAGGGCTCATCTCCAACAATGGGGATTATACTTCAACAAGAGATTTGGGCAGGGACAAATATCTAAACTATATCATTCTGCTCCTGGCCCCTCCCAAATCTCATGTTCTCACATTTCAAAATACAATAATCCTTTCTTAATAGTCCCTGCAAACTCTGAACTCATTCCAGCATTAACTCAAAAGTCCCAAGTCCCAAATCCGAAGTTTTATCTGGAAATGAGTTCCTTCCACCTATGAGCCTGTAAAATCAAAACAAGTTATTTACTTTCAAGATACAATGGGGATATAGGCAGCGGGTAAACATTCCTGTTCCAAAAGGGAGAAATTGGACAAAAGAAAGGAGCTATAGACCCCATGAAGTCTGAAACCCAGCAGGGCAGCTATTAAATTTTAAGGTCCAAAATTATCTCCCTTCACTGCATGTCCCACATCCAGGGCACACCAGTTCAAAGGCTGAGCTTCCAAGGCCTTGGACAGCTCCACCCTGGTGGCTTTGCAGGGTACAGCCCCTACAGCTGCTTTCATGAGTTGTTGAGTGCCTGCAGCTTTTTCAGGTGGCCCACACAAGCTGCTAGAGGATCTACCATTCTGTGGTCTGGTGGATGGTGGCACCCTTCCCACAGCTCCACTAGGAAGTGCCCTGTGAGGGCTCCAACTTCACATTTCTACTTGGCACTGCCCTAGTAGAGGTTCTCTGTGGGGGCTCCACCCCTGTAGCAGGCTTCTGCCTGGGATTCATGCTTTTCCATACATCCTCTGAAATCTAAGCAAAGGATACCAAACCTTATTCACTCTTGCACAACTGTGCACCTGCAGGCTTGGAAGCCACAAAGGAAGACACATGGAAGCCACAAAGGCTTATGGCAGCTTGAGCTCTCTGGAGTGGTAGCACGAATAGTATCTGGGGTCCTTTAAGTCAATGCTCAAAGTGGAGCAACCAGGATGCAGGAAGCAGTGTCCCAAGGCTACACAGGTCAGTGGGGCCCTGGGCCTGGCTCAAGAAACCATTCTTCCCTCCTAGGCTGCTGGGCCTATGATGGGAGACGCTGCAGTGAAAGTCTCTAAAATGTGTTCAAAGTCTTTTTCCCATTGTCTTTGCTATCAATACTTGGCTCTCTTTTAGTTATGCAGATTTCTCTAGCAAGTGGTTGCTCCATAGCCTGCTTGAATTCCTCATCCCAAAACGCTTTTTGTTTTTCTGCCACATGGCTAGGCTGCAAATTTTCCAAACTTTTACACTCTGCTTCCTTTTAAATATATAAGTTCCAACTTTAAGCCATTTTTTTTGCACCCACATCTGAATGTAGGTTGTTAAAAGCAGCCACACCACCTCTTGAACACTTTGCTGCTTAGAAATTTCCTCCACCAGATATGCTAAATCATTGCTCTCAAGTTTAAACTTCCACATATCTCTAGGTCATGGACACAACACAACTAAGTTCTTTGCTAAGGCATAGCACGTGTGCCCTTTGTACCAGTTCCCAGTAAGTTCCTCATTTCTACGCAGGTCCTCAGCGGTTTGGACTTCAATGTCCATATTACTATTAACGTTGTGGTCACAATCATTTAATCAGTCTCAGAAGTTTCAAACTTCCTCTCATCTTCCTGTCTTCTTCTGAACCCTGCAAACTCTCCCTACCTCTGCTTATTACCCAGTTCCAAAGCCATGTCAACATTTTCAAGTATCTTTATAGCAATGTCCCACTCCTCTGTATTAATTTTCTGGATTAGGCTATTCTTGCATTGCTATAAAGAAATACAGGAGACTGAGTAATTTATAAGAAAAGAGGCTTAATTGGCTCATAGTTCTGCAGGCTGTACAGGAAGCATTGCACCAGTATCTGCTTCTAGGGAGGCCTCAAGAAGCTTTTACTCATGGCAGAAGGCAAAGAGGGAGAAAACACTTCACATGGCAAAAGCACGAGCAAGAGAGAAATAGAGGGTGGGGAAGGGGGGGTGCCACACAATTTTAAATGACCAGATTGCATGTAAACTCAGAGGGAGAGCTCACTTATCACCAAGGGGTGGCCCAAACCATTCATGGGGGGTCTGCCCCCATGATCCAAACACCTCCCACCAGGCCGCATCTCCAACACTGGGGATTACATTTCAGCATGAGATTTGGGCGGGGGCAAATATCCAAACTTTATCAGTCTCACTTGTCAATTTTTGTTTTTGTTGCAATTTCTTTTGGAGTCTTATTCATGAAGTCATTTCCAGATTCCAGAATGGTTTTCCTAGGTTTTCTTCTAGGGTTTTTATAGTTTTAGGTTTTTACCTTTAAATCCTTAATCCACCTTCAGTTGATTTTTGTACATGGTAAATGGAAGGGATCCAGTTTGAATCTTCTGCATATGGCCAGCCAGTTATCCTGGCACCATTTATTCAACAGGGAAGCCTTTCCACATCGATTCTTATTGTCAACTTTGTCAAAGATCAGATGGTTGCAGATGTGTGGCTTTATTTTGGGCCCTCTATTCTGTTCCATTGGTCTATGTGTCTATTTTTGTACGAGTACCCTGCTATTTTTGTTACTTTACACTTGTAGTATAGATTGAAGTTGGGTAGCGTGATACCTATGGCTTTGTTCTTTTGGCTTAGGACTGCTTTGACTATTCAGGATCTTTTTTGGTTCCATATGAGATTTATAATAGTCTTTTTCTAATTCTGTGAAAAATGAAGTTGGTAGTTTGATAGGAATAGCATTGAATCTGTAAATTGCTTTGGGCAGTGTGGCCATTTTAATGATATTGATTCTTCCTATCCATGACTATGGAATGTTTTTCCATTTATTTGTGTCACCACTTATTTCTTTCAGCAACATTTTATAATTTTCATTGTCGAGATCATTCACCTCCCTGGTTAACTGTATTCCCAGGTATTTTATTCTTTTTATGGCCATCATGAATGGGACTGAACTCTTGATTTGGCTCTCAGCTTGGACATTATGGGTTTATAGAAAGGTTACTAATTTTTATACATTGATTTTGCATCCTGAAACTTTACGGAAGTTGTCTATCAGATCTAGGAGCCTTTGGGCAGAGACCATGGGGTTTTCTAGGTGTAGAATCATATCATCGGCAGAGAGATACAGTTTTACCTTTTTTCTATTTGGATAACTTTTATTTCTTTCTCTTGCCTCATTGCTGTGGCTAGGACTTCCAGTACTATATTGAAAAGGAGTGGTAAAAGTGGCATCCTAACCCTGTTCTGGTTCTCAGGGAGAATGCTTCCAGATTTTCCCCATTCAGTATAACGTTGGCTGTGGGTTTGTCTTTAGATGACTTATTATTTTGAGACATGTTACTTTGATGTCTAGTTTTTTTATGGCTTTTGACAAGAAGGAATGTTGAATTTTATCAAAAGCCTTTTCTGCATCTATGGGGGGATCCTGTGTTTTTTGTTTTGTTTATCTCATGAATCACATTATTGATTTGTGTATGTTAAACCAAATTGGTGTCTCAGGGATAAAGCCTACTTGATAGTGATGGATTAGCTTTTTGATGTGCTACTGGATTCAGTTTGCCAGTGTATTAGTCCATTTTCATGTTGCTGATAAAGACATATCCAAGACTGGGTAATTTATACAGGCAAAAGGGTTTATTGGACTTACTGTTCCATGTGGCTGGGGAGGCCTCACAATCATGGCAGAAGGCAAGGAGGAGGATGTCATGTCTTATGTGGATGGCAGCAGGCAAAGAGAGAGCTTGTTCAGGGAGACTCCTGTTTTTAAAACCATCAGATCTCATGAGATCCATTCACTATCATGAGAACAGCATGGGAAAGACCTGCTTCATGATTCCATCATCTCCCACCAGGTCCCTCCCACAACACCTGGGAATTATGGGAGCTACAAGATGAGATTTGGGTGGGGACACAGAGCCAAATCATATTATTCCACCCCAGCACCTCCCAAATCTCATATCTTCACATTTCAAAACCAATCATGCCTTCCCAACAGTCCCCCAAAGTCTCAACTCATTTCTGCATTAACTCAAAAGTCCACAGTCCAAAGTCTCATCTGAGACACGGCAATTCCCTTCTGCCTGTAAAATCATAAGCAAGTTAGTTACTTCCTAGATACAATGGAGGAACAGGAATTGGGTAAATACAGCCATTCCAAATGGGAGAAATTGGCCAAAACGAAGGGGCTACGGGCCCCATGCAAGTCCGAAATCCAGCAGGGCAGTCAAATTTTAAAGCTCCAAAATGATGTCCTTTGACTCCATGTCTCACATCTAGGTCACACTGATGCAAAAGGTGGGCTCCCATGGCCTTGGGCAGCTCTGCCCCTGGGGCTTTGCAGGGTATAGACCCCCTCCTGGCTGCTTTCATGGGCTGACATTGAGTGTCTATGACTTTTCCAGGTGCATGGTGCAAGCTGTCAATGGATCTAACATTCTGGGGTCTGGAGGACAGTGGCCCTCTTCTCACAGCTCCACTAGATGGTACCCCAGTAGGGACTCTATGGGGGTGCTCTGACCCCACATTTCCCTTCTGCACTGCCCTAGCAGAGGTTCTCCATGAGGACCCCACCCCTACAGCAAACTTCTGCTTGGTCATCCAGGTGTTTCCATATATCCTCTGAAATCTAGGCAGAGGTTCCCAAACCTCAACTCTTGACTTCTGTGAACCCACAGGCCCAACACCATGTGGAAGCTGCCAAGGCTTGGGGCTTCCACCCTCTGAAGCAACAGCCTAAGCTGTACCTTGGCCCCTTTTAGTCACAGCTGGAGTAGCTGGAACACAGAGCACCAAGTCCCTAGACTGCACACAGCAGAGGGACCCTGGGGCCCATCCATGAAACCATTTTTTTCCTCCTAAATCTCCAGGCCTGTGATTGGAGCGGAAGCTGCAAAGGTCTCTGACATGCCCTAGAGACATTTTCCCTATTGTCTTGGTGATTAACATTCAGCTCCTTGTTACTTATGCAAATTTCTGCAGCCAGCTTGAATTTCTTGTCAAAAATGGGATTTTCTTTTCTATCTCATTGTCAGGCTGCAAATTTTCGAAACTTTTTTATGCTCTCTTTCCCTTTTAAAACTGAATGCTTTTAACAGCACTCAAGTAACCTCTTGAATGCTTTGCCACTTAGAAATTTCTTCCACCAAATACCCTAAATCATCTTTCTCAAGTTCAAAGTTCCACAAATCTCTAGGGCAGGGGAAAAATGCCACCAGTCTTTGTGCCAAAACAACAAGAGTCACCTTTGCTTCAGTTCCCAACAAGTTCCTTATTTCCATCTGAGACCTCCTCAACCTGGGCTTTATTGTCCATATCACTATCAGCATTTTGGGCAAAGCCATTCAACAAGTCTCTAGAAAGTTCCAAACTTTCCCACCTTTCCACATTTCCTGTCTTCTGAGCCCTTCAAATTGTTCCAACCCCTGCCTGTTACCCAGTTCCGAAGTTGCTTCCACATTTTTGGGTATCTTTTCAGCAGCACCCCACTCTACTGGTACCAATTTATTGCATTAGTCAGTTTTCACGCTGCTGATAAAGACATATGTGAGACTTGGCAATTTACAAAAGAAAAAGGTTTATTAGACTTACACTTCCACGTGGCTGGGGAGACCTCCTAATTATGGCGGAAAAGCAAGAGAAGCAAGTCACATCTTATGTGGATGCCAGCAGGCATAGAGAGAGCTTGTGCAGAGAAATTCCCATTTTTAAAACCACCAGATCTTGTGAGACCCATTCACTACCATGAGAACAGCATGGGAAAGACCTGCTGACATGACTCAATCATCTCCCACTGGGTCCCTCCCATAACACATGGGAATTATGGGAGCTACAAGATGAGATTTGGGTGGGGACACAGAGCCAAACCATATCAGCTAGTATTTTATTGAGGAGTTTTGCATCTATGTTCATTAAGGATATTGGCCTGAAGTTTCCTTTTCTTGTGTTTCTGCCAGGCTTGGTATCAGGATGATGGTGTCCTCATAGAATGAGTTAGGGAGCAGTCCCTATTTCTCAATTTTTAGAATTTGTTTCAAGAGGTACGACCTTTTCTTTATATGTCTGGTAGAATTTGGTTGTGAATTCTCTTGTCCAGAACTTTTTCTGGTTGGTGGGTTTTTTGTTACTGATTCAATTTCAGAACTTGTTATTGGTCTGCTCATGGTTTCAATTTCAGAACTCCTTATTGGACTGTGCTTCCTGGTTCAATCCTGGGAGGTCATATGTTTCCAGGAATTTATCCATTTCTTCTAGGTTTTCTAGTTTGTGTGCATAGAGGTGCTCATAGTAGTCTATGAGGGATGTTTGTATTCCTGTGGAGTCAGTGATAATATCTCCTTTCTCATTTCTGATTGTGTTTATTTGGATCGTCTCTGTTTCTTTATTAGTCTAGCCAGTGGTCTTTTAATTTTAGTTATACTTTCAAATAATCAACTTTTGGTTTCATTGATCTTTTGTATGGTTTTTCATGTCTCAATTTTATTCAGTTCAGTTCTGATTTTCATCTTTTTTTTCTTACGCTAGCTTTGGGATTGGTTTGTTCTTGCTTCTCTAGTTCCTCTAGTTGTGATGTTAGGTTATTAATTTGAGATCTTTCTCACTTTTTGATGTAGGTGTTTAGCACTAGAAACTTTCCCCCTAACACTGCTTCAGCTGTGTTCCAGAGATTCTGGTATGTTGTATCTTTATTTTCATTAGTTTCAAAGAAGTTCTTGATTTCTGCCTTAATTTCACTGTTTATCTAAAAGTCACCCAGGAGTAGATTGTTTGATTTCCATGTAATCATATTGTTTTAGAGATCTTCTTAGTATTTATTTCTGTTTTTATTGTGCTGTGGTCTGGGAATGTGGTTGGTATGATTTTGGTTTTTATAATTTGTCGAGCATCACTTTGTTACCCAGCACAAGGTTGATTTTAGAATATGTTTCATGCGCAGATAAGAAGAATGTATATTGTGTTGCTGGGTGAAGTGTTCTGCAGGTGTCTGTCAGGTCCACTTGGTAAAGTATCAAGTTTATCTCCTGAGTATCTTTGATAATCCTCTGCCTCAATGCTCTAATACTGTCAGTGGGGTGTTCAAGTGTCCCATGATTATTGTGCATTGGCTAAGTCTCTTCATAAGTCTCTAAGAACGTTTTATGAATCTGGGTGTCTCCAGTGTTGGGTTCATATATATTATATTTAGGATAGTTAGGTCCTTCAATTCTTGTTGAATTGAACCCTTTATCATTATGTAAGGTCCTTCTTTGTTCTTTTTGATTGTTATTGGTTTAAATTCTGTTTTGTCTGAAATAAGAATAGCAATCCCCGATCTTTTTTGTTTTCCATTTGCTTGATAGAATTTTCCCTATCCCTTTACTTTGAGCCTGTGGGTGTCACTGCATGTCAGATGGGTCTCCCAAAGACATCATTCAGTTGGGTCTTGCTTTATCCAACTTGCCACTCTTTGCCTTTTAAGTGTGATGTTTAGACAATTTACATTCAAGGTCAATATTGATATGTGCAAATTTAATCCTGTCATCGTGTTGTTAGCTGGTTGTTATGTAGACTTGATCATGTAGTTGTTTTATAATGCCAATGGTTGATGGACTCAAGTGTGTTCTTGTGGTGGATGGTACCGTTCTTTCATTTCCATGTTTAGCACTCTCTTAAGAACCTCTTGTAAGGCAAGTTTGGCGGTAATAAATTCTCTTAGCATTTGCTTGTCTGCAAATGCTTTTATTTCTCCTTCATTTATGAAGCTTAGTTTGGCTATCTACCACTAGTCTCCTAACAGTGCTCAACATCTACCAAGCTGAAATGAAAATCAGAGAGTAAATATTTCATTGTTGTTATGATTCCTGGGGTAGGACTTAACAATCTGTACTTACTTTGAAATACAGTTAATAATTTGGTTGCATCCCAAGTTTTAAGAAGAACTAAAGTTCAGAGAAAACTGTGAGTCTTGTTCCACTGAAGTCCAGTATAAACTCTGGGTCTTGTTCTACTCCATGCATGAGAAAACATTTTTTTGTAAAAGGCCAGATGATAAACCTTTTAGGCTTTGTGGGCCATACAGTCTCTGTCGCAACTACTCATGTCTGCCTTTGAATAGCAACTTAAAAAAAAAAAAAAAGAGAGAGGCTTGGCCAGACTTTGCCCCCAGTGGGCTGGATTTGACTTACAGTCTGTAATTTGCAGATTCATGCTCTACTCTGTGAGAGCCAAAGTTTCCATGGAGTATGGAGTATTGTGTTCATTACTACCGTTGCTTTAAAAAGAGAATTCCTGAATATGCTCTGATGTTTGAAGGTTTAAACATATACTTCTTATTAAATTTAAGTTAAAAGCTTTAAAAAATACAGATAATTATACATATTAGTCACACCAGAAGTGAAATTTGACAAACGTCTCCAAAATGGGAAGCTCATATCCCAGAAAGATGTTCTATTGAGGTATAAGAGGGAATATTAGAACTTTTATTTGTATTTATTTTTTATCACATTTGTTTTAAATTTTATTTACAAATACTTTATTATGTACTTAAATTATCATTACTATAGTAAATACAAATATTTACACATTAAGTAAATTATTCAATTTATCGGAATGCAAGTTTGGCAAAGTAAGAACCTTTAAAACTCCACCCCTCCATAAAATCAATAAGAATACTGATAAATAATTGTTAAAATCATCTTTTTAAGTGCTCTGGAAATTAACTAAAGGTTTGCAATACAAGGAAAGTTTATTCAAGGAAATTGGTTGAGTCTTGGTAAGAATATTCAGCTTTTTGACAATTTAACTTGCCCAATTCCTATTTCCTTTCTCTGAGCTCTGTAAGAGGCTTGAAAGTCAGCAGGTTTGCAATGATAGTACCTGTGAAACACAGCAGTCTAGCAGCCACTGGAGGGAGTAGAGTGAATTTGGAGCTCCCCCAAAATCTTCATCCCCAGAGAATTGTTATTATTTGAACTGTCTTGGAGCTACTGAAAAAAATCCCATTCTCAAGGTTTGTCTTTTTATTTGAACTGACTTGGAGCACACTGAGTGAAAAAATTTTGTGTTCAGGGCACTTGTTAAAAAAAAAAAATCAGAGGCAACTGCTACACATCATAGCTACCTAAGGTCACCACACCAGTTGGGATAATCAAGAGGCCAAAAAACAAAAAGGAAGTAAGGAAAATGAGACCTCCATAAGGAGTTTTGAAAAGCTCTAACATGTTCCTGGGAATCTAGAAGTACATGTGCAGGGCTGGAATATGCCAAGGAAAGACTTGAGAAGATCGCTTATCCATGGCTGAACTAAGGCTCTTTGCAAGCAAGAAATGAGAGATAAAGCATAGCTGTAAACTGCTAGAGCATTGAAAGCATACCCCAACCCACACCGCTAGGCCTCTCTGCAAAGGGTGAGAGACATATTGGTTCAAGGCATTTCAGGAAATTTCTGTGCAATCATTATCCGACTACCAAAATAACTGAGTGGTGACAAGACTTCAGTGGCTGCACACAACAAAGAACACAGACTTTACAGAATTCATCCAGGAAAGTCACTAAACAAAGAAACAGACACACAGCAAAAGAAACAACAACAAACTCTGGGAAAGGGGCAGAGACCTAATTCCCAGAGTTGACATGCTATTTAATTTAAAATATACAGGTTTCAATAAACATTACAAGACACATGAAAAAATAGAAAAGCATGTCCAATACATAGGAAAGAAAACAATCAATAGAAACTGGGGCTTGAAAAAACCCTACAGATATTAGACTTACAAGACAAAGATTTTAAGTCAAATACCATTCAAAGAACAAAATAAAATTAAACTAAAAGGTAGTATCTGCTTGCCAAGGCGGGCAGATCAATTGAGTCCAGGAGTTCAAGACCAATCTGGTCAACATAGCAAGACCCCGTCTCCTCTAAAAATACAAAAGTTAGCCGGGCATGGTGGCGCACGCCTGTAATCCCAGCTATTAAGCAGCCTGAGGCACAAGAATCACTTGAACCCTGGAGGCAGAGGTTGCAGTGAGCCAAGATCGAACCACTGCACTCCAGCGAGATTCTGTCTCAAAAACAAAAAAAAAGAAAAGAAAAAGAAAGAAAGAAAAAGAAAAGGAAAAAATTTTTTAGATGAATGCATGAAAATGGAAACAAAAACATGTAATAAAACTGATAGGATGTAGCTAAGTCAGTGCTCAGAGGGAAATTTATAGCTATAATAACTGCCTACGTTAAAAAATAAGAAAGACCTGAAAGCCATAACCTAAACTTTCACCTTAAAAAAATAAAAAGAAGTACAAACTAAACTCAAAGCAAGCAGCAGAAGAAAATGATAAAGACTAGAACTAAAATAAATGAAACAGAAAATTGGAAAACAATATAGAAAATCAATGAAATCAAAAGCTGATCTTTGAAAAAATCAAAAATGTTGACAAATCTGTAATTAGGTTGAGCAGGAAAAGAAAGAAGAAAGACTCAAATTACCAAAATCAGTTATAAATGAAGGAACATTACTACTGACCTTACAGAAATAAAGAGCATTATAAGGGAATATTATACACAATTATATGCCAACAAATTAGATACTGTAGATGAAATGGCAAAATTCCTACAAAGATGGAATTTACTAAATCTGACTCAAAAAGAAATAGAAAATCTGAATAGAGCTATTATAACAAGGAAAGAGATAAAATTAATAATTTTTAAGCTTGTCATAACAAAAGGCAAAAGCATAGATGGCTACGTTAATCAATCCTACTGAACTTTTAAAGAAGACTTAATAGCAAATCCCCATGAATGCTTCCATAAAAAGGATATTTTTAGCTCATTTTTGAAGTTAGTTTTACTTTGATCTCTAAATCAGATAAAAACATTATAAGAAAACCACAAACTAATTTCCCTTAAGTATACAAATACAAAAATTCTCAATAAAATTCTGACAATGTATAAATGCTAGCAATATATAACAATATATAAAAATGATTAATTGCTATAACCAATTTGAATTATTCCAGAAATAAAAGATTGACTTAACATCCCAAATCAATTAACAAAATGCATCATATCAATATAGAATAAACCACATGATCATCTAAATAGACATGAAAAAGATTTTGACAAATTCCAGTATTTTTTCATGATGAAAATATTAAACAAACTAGAATTGGAAAAAAGCTTGCTCAACTTGGTAAAGAACATCTATAAAAAACACAGCGTTGACAGTTATCTGAGTTAGATTGCACAAAGAATACCACCAAATCATCTTGTATACAGAAAATCCTGAGGAATTCAGGAAAAAAAAAATCAGAATTAATCAGTGTCTCAGCACAGTTTTAGACTAAAAGATCAATCTGCAAAAATCAATTGTGTTTCTATGCACCAGCAATGAACAATCTGAAAATAAAATCAAGAAAACAATCCATTTATAATACCATCAAAAAGAATAAAATACTTAAAAGAACAAAAGAAGTGCAAAACTTGTAGGCAAAACTATAAATAATGTTGAAAGAAATTAAAGAAGATGGAAATACACAGAAAACCATCTTATGATCATGAATTGGAAGACAATAATATTAATATAGCCATATTCCCTAAATTAATCTATAAATTCAATGCAACTATTATTAAAATTCCTACTGCTTCATTTTTTGCAACAATTAACAAGCTTACCCTGAAATTTACTTGGACATGCAAGGGACCCAGAATAACTTAAATGATATTGAAATAAAGAACAAGGTTGGAGGACTTACACTTCTCAGTTTCAAAACTTACCAGAAATCTATAGTAATCAAGACAGCGTGGTATTGGCCTAAGTAGACATAGATAAAACAACAGAATAGAACTGGAAGTTCAGAAGTAAACTCTTATATTTATGGTAAATTGATTTTTCACAAGGGTTTCAAGTCAATTCAATAGGGGAAAAGAAATCTTTTCAAAAATTGGCACTGAGACTACTGGATATTTTCATGTAAAATAAAATGGAAATGAACCCCTATCTCACATTCCATTCAGAAATTAATTCGAAATGGATCATAGTCTACAATATAAGAGCTAAAACTATAAAACTCTTAGAAGAAAACAATAATGATAATTATTCATTGACCTTGGATTAGGTAATGGCTTCTTAAATATGACACCAAAAGTACAACTATGAAAAGAAAAAAAAATAGATAAATTGGACATCATTAAAATGTAAAAACTTGCATTTTCAAAAGACACCATTAATAAAGTGAAAAGACAGCCCATGGAATGGGGGAAAATATTTGCAAATCATTTATCTCCTAAGAACTTCTGTTCAAGACATACAAAGCACTCTTATAACTCAACAATAAAAATAAAAAATACTCCAATTTTTTAAAATGGGCAAAAGATTAGAATAGACATTTCTCCAAAGAAAATACATTAATGGTCAACAAGCACATAAAAAGATGGTTAACATTTCTAGTCAACAGAGAAATATAAGTTAAAACCACAATGTGACACACTTCACACTCACTATAGTGGATAACAAAAATAAAAAAGACAAATAATAAGAAGTGTTGCCAAAAATGTGAAGAAACTGAAGCCGTAATACATTGTTAAGAATGTAAAATACTGAAGCCTCTTTGGAATGTTTGACAGTTCCTACAAAAGTTAAGCAAAGATTTAACATATGACCTAGTCATCCCCCCACATAATTATATTCCAAGAGAAATGAAAATATATGTACATATAAATATTTGTACTGGGATGTTCATAGTATTCATAATAGCAAAACACTGGAAACAACCCAAATGTCCATCCACTGTTGTATAGGTAAAATGTGGCATATCTGTACAATGGAACGTTATCTGGCAATAAAAGTGAATGAATTACTAATACATGCACAACATAGATGAACATTGAAAACATTACGTTAAGGGAAAGAAGCCAGTCAAAAAAGCATATATTCTATGATTCCATTTCTATGACGTATTCAGGATAGGAAAATCCATATAGTCAGAAAGCAGTTTAGTGATTTCTAGCGGCTGCAAGGAGGGTGAATGGGGAATGACTGCTAATAGTCACAGAGTTTCTGTGTAGGGTGATGAAAATGTACTAAAACTAGATAATGGTGATTACTGTGTAACTGTGAATATAGTAAAAAACATGAATTGTATTCTTTAAAAGGATGAATGTTATGGTATGTGGATTTTATCTAAATAAAACTGTCTAAAAATTATTGAATTGCATGCTATCATTTTATTTTTTAAGAGATAGGGGTCTCACTACGTGGCCCAGGCTAGAGTACAGTGGCTATTCACAGGCATGATCATAGCACACTGTACAAGCCTCAAATTCCTGACTCAAGCAATTCTCCTGCCTCAGCCTCCCAAGCAGTTGGGACTTTAAGGACATGCTCAGCTCATCATATTTTAAGATTGATGGCATATAAGCTCAAGATAGCTTGAAGTGAGTTCTGGTTCCTAAAAGGCTGATCAAGCTCCTACTAGTCTGACATTCTTAAATACATCAACCACAACTCTAGATAATTACAAAAACAAACAACTTCAAAAAACGTGAACAAAACAAGACAGATGGTGGAGTGGACCATAAACTTGGAAAACGCGTCTTACATGCATTGAATTTTCTGTTTTAGGAATTTTAGCCTGAGGAAAAGCTGAAGTTGAATAAAGGAAACTCACACTTTCTCTGCTCTGAAGATCCAGAGGATTAAGTTCAGGAAAACCATAGCTGTTGAAGAGTAAGGGAGAAATATTAGAAATGAGAGATACTTCAAGCTGGAGAGGTACCAAGTTCTGTGATAGACTCAGCTTAAATTTCCTGCTGAGTCCTGAACCACATGTACCTGAGACAAACACAAAGCAGCACACATAAGGGTTAAAACAAATAAACAAACAAAACTAAAAAGAAAAGGAACTCTTAACTGGTATTTGAGCTGCTGCCCAAGGAACAGCATTTGTAATTTCAGTACAATCAGTTTAATTGCCTGTTACAATGAAAATATCAGTACTCGGTTAGGGCTTCAAGTTGGTTGACTAGAAGCAGCTATCATGTGCCGCTCTGACACAGAAAAGAAAAAGAGAGGCGTAAATACTAGATTTTCAACTTAAATATGCAGATGGACACCTTGGGATTAATCAAGGAATCAGCTCTACCGGTGGAGAATGGAGAGGAGCGAGACTGGACAACTGCCCATGGGGAGTGGCACAGAACCAGGGGAGGCTCCACCACAGCAGGGAATCAGTGAGTGAGTGAGCATCCCTGGCGACTCCTATTTCTGACACAGACCTTTGCAACCCTGGGCTCAAGAGATCCCCTCATGAACTCATCCCACCAGGGCCTTCAGACTGATATGAAGACCTATGTGGTGCTTATGCAGGATTTTTTGCTCCTTAGTTCAGCTAAATCCGGGTTCTTGTCTCAAGGACACATTGAAGAGTGAGGAGAGCGGAATTTATTAAGCAAAAGGAAAGCTCTCAACAAAGAGAGGGGTCCTGCACCCAAGCTTCCATCTCACAGAATTGAATGTCAGGCCACTACACGGGAGTTGAGGAGGCCAGGCTCCTCCCTGGCCAAAGGCGCGAATTCCTGGTGGCTCCACCCCATTCCCGGCAGTGCTCGAGGGGCATGCCCAGACAAGCTGCCTGTGCGGGTTCCCCATCTGCACAAAGCATCTGGTGTAAAGACTTGTAGGGTGGGTTGGAGATTCTACAGGGACCTTTCCCTATCTGCCTAGGCATTTGGCTGTCTTCTGCCTATATCAGTGCCTGGGCAGAGCTGCCACTAAGGCACATGTGGAGTCCCCAGAGCATTGGATCCCTGGGCATCCCAGCCTTAGCAGCTCCAGCTCCAGCAATGGGGTAAGTCGGGCTCCCTTGCATGCCCCCACGAAAAGGGCAAATCCAGGGGGCTGAGCAGTGATGGACTGCAGGCCTTTGCCTCCACTGAACCTCACAAAATAAAGCTCACTGGCCTAGGACGACAGGCACCCCCAGCTGGGGCTCTCAGGCCCATAGCAGCTCTGCACTTCTCTTGGACAGAGTGCGCAGCAGGTGAGGCAGGCTGCCATCTTTGCTATCTGGCAGCCCTTGCCGCTGTTGCCGTCAGGCTCTGGAGAGTGCCTGGTGACCTGGGACTGGAGCAGACCCCCAGCACAGTGCAGCCACCTCACAGAAAAGCAGCCAGACTGTTTTTCATGTGGGTCCTCAATCCCGCTTCTTCTCACTGGGCAGGACGTCCCAACCTGAGACTCTAACCGCCCTCCACTGGTAGCTGCTCTACATTTCCGTGGGTCAGAGCTCCCAGAGGGAGGGGCAGGCCACCATTTTTGCTACTTCACAGCCTTAGCTGCTGTTGCCTTCAGGCTCTGGAGAGTGTGCAATGATTAGAGGATGGTGCAGGGCCCCAGTACAGTGCAGCTGCTCCACAGAAAAGCAACCAGACTATTTTTTATGCAGGTCCTCAATTCTGCTTCTCACTGGCGGGACCTCCCAAGCTGGGATCCCAGCCACCCCTTGTGGGGGCTCTTGGGTGGCAGTTCTGTACTTCCCTGGGGCAGCACTCCCAGAGGGAGGGGCAGGCCACCATATTTGCCGTCTGGCAGCCCTCAGGCCCCGGAGGTTGTGCGGTGATTAGGGACTGGCGTGGATCCCTGGCACAGTGCAGCTGCCCTGTGGAATAGTGGCTGGGCTGTTCTCCACGTGGGTCCCCATCCCGACTTCTCCTTACTGGGTGGGGCCTCCTGACCGGAGACTCCAGCACAACAACCCTGCCCCTGCCTGAACACTTCAGTCAGAGGCAGCTCTGCAATTCTCTGAGGAGCAAATCCTAGAGACAATTCACAGCCCCTCGCCATTGCAGCTGCAGTGGTACCACCCTAACTCTCCTCATTCTGGGGAAGGAATCAAGGACCTAGTCGCTACACTGGCATCTCCAGCACACAGAAGCAACCACATGGAGAGGAGCCCAGTCTCTCTTCCCTGTGAGCCTTCACCCGTAACTCTTCACCAGGCAGGGCCACCAGCTCAGGAGTGCAGATTAGCTGCCCCACCCACAGCTGAGCATACCCACTAGTAGTGGCTCAGAGTTTACCTAGAGAGGGGCTCCCAGAGACAACTGACAGTCCCTCTGCCACTGCCACAGAAGTGGTTCTGCTCCTGTTGCCCTTGGTCTGGGGAAGAAACAAAGAGCCCAAGGCCTTCACTCGCACTTTTAGCATGCCACAGTCACCATACAGCGAGGGGACCAGTCTGTCCTCCATATGAGCCCTGGACCCCCAGCTCTTCAACATGTAGAATCCATAGCTCACACCAGCAGTGCAGCAGCCACACCCCTTGGCTGAACATTTCCAGTAGCAGCAGCTCCACATTTCTCTGAGGTGGAGCTCCCAGAGGCAACCAAAAGCCCTTCTGCCACTGCTGCTGCCACTGCAGTGGTATTTCCCATGCTGCTCTCAGACTGGGGAAGGAGCAAAGAACCTGAGTGCCTTGATCATACCTCCAGCAAGCTTCAGTTGTCGTAAAAAGAAGAGGCCAGTCTGTCTCCCATGGGAGCCACCTGAACCCTTCCAATCACCAGGCAGGGCCCCCACAGCTTGGGCCCACAGTGCAGCCATCCCACCTCAGGTGATGGATAGCAGCTCCACATCTCTCTGGAGTGGAGTCCCAAGAGAAAAGTGAAAGACCTTCTGCAACAACCACTGCTAAGGAAAGCTTGAGCTCAGCTCAGAGCTGCAGTGTGCAGCTTGGGAATGTCAAGCCATGATCTGCAGCTAGCACTCCAGTGGGAGAGGAGCCCACACTTTCAGAGCACTGAGAGGGAGCACGGATGCAATCATGAAGAAATACAGAGGAGCCACGTGGCTGAGCAAGAGCCTACCTACTGGCCATTATGCTTAAGTGCCATCTACTGAATCATAGCCCAGAAATTACCCTCATGCTGTTCTCGTGATAGTGAGTGAGTTCTCATGAGATCTGATGGTTTTATAAAGGGCTTTTCCCCTTCTGCTCATTCTTCTCTCTCCTGCTGCCTTGTGAAGAACGGGTTTGCCTCCCCTTCTGCCATGATTATGAGTTTCCTGAGGCTTCCCCAGCCCTGTGAAACTGAGTCAATTAAACCTCTTTCCTTTATAAATTACCCAGTCTCAGGTATGTCCTTATATATAACAGCATGAGAACAGACTAATACACCAAGCAAGGGTTATTAACTAGGCTGTAATGGTTGAAATGACAGAGATATAACTCAGAATATGGATAGGAACCGAGATCCCCAAGAATAAGGAGAAAGTTGAAACCCAATCCAAGGAATCTAAGGATTACAATAAAACAGTATGGGAGCTGATAGACAAAATAGCCATTATAAGAAAGAAGCAAACTGACCTGATGTAGCTGGAAAACACACTAACTGACCTGATGTAGCTGGAAAACACACTGCAAGAAATTCTTAATGCAATCACAAGTATTAACAACAGAATAGACCAAGCTGAGGAACAGAATCTTAAGAGCTTGAAGACTGGATCTCTGAAATAACTCAGTCAGAAAAAATCAAGAAAAAAGAGTAAAAAAGAACATACAACCTCCAAGAAATATGGGACTATATAAAGAGACCAAATCTACAACTCATTGGCATCCCTGAAAGAGAAAGCAAGTAACTTGGAAAACATATTTCAGGATATCATCCATGAAAACTTCCCCAACCTCATTAGAGAGGCCAATGTTCAAATTTGAAAAATGCAGAGAACCCCTACAAGAGATATTACACAAGAAGTCTGTCCCCAAGACACATAAACATCAAATTCCCAATCTTGAAATGAAAGAAAAAATGTTGAAAGAAGCTAGAGAGAAAGGGGAGATCACCTACAAAGGGAACCCCATCAGGCTAACGGCAGACCTTTCAGTAAAAACCCTACAAGCTAGAAGAGATTTGGGGCCTATATTCAGCATTTCCAACCAAGAATTTTGTATCTAGTCAAACTCAGATTCATAAGTGAAGAAGTAAGTTCCTTTTCAGACAAGCAAATGCTGAGGGAATTTGTTACCACCAGACATGCCTTATAAGAGGTCCTGAAAGGAATGCTAAATGTGGAAAGGAAAGACTGTTACATAAGTGTACTTAGAAAAACACTCATGTACATAGACTCTTGATGCTATAAAGTAACCAAACAATTCTGCATAATAACCAGTTAAAAACACAATGACAGGATCAAATCTGCACATATTAATAACCTTGAATGTAAACAGGCTAAATGCCCCAATTAAAAGGCACAGAGTGGCATGCTAGGTAAAGAATCATGACCCAATGGTATGCTGTCTTCAAGAGCCCCATCTAATATGCAATGACATCCACGGAGAAAAACTTACCAAGCAAGTGGAAATCAGAAAACAGCAAGGGTTGCAATCCTAATTTCAGACAAAACAGACTTTAAACCAACAAAGATTTAAAAAAAAGACAAAGAAGGGCATTACATAATGGTAAAGGGTTCAGTTAAACAAGAAGACCTAACTTCTCTTTTTAACATGGCAATCCCAATGTCTAGAATCCATAAAGGCACAACATGAAAAGAAACAGGAATATGTGACCAATTGTCTAGAAAAGATAACCAACATTGATCAACCTCAAAATGATTTAGGTATGGAATTAGCATATAGGGATTTTAAAGCAGTTACCATATCTCTTTTAAAGCTGTAAATACAAAGATAGTTGCAATGAATGAAGAGATAGGAAACCTCAGCAGAGAAATATATGCAACACCAAATAAAGAAAGCTATAGAACTTAAAATATCTGACTTATAAATGTCTGACATGTAATATGCAGTGTATGCATTTAGCAGAAGAAAAGAGAAGACAGAAGAAATATCCAGTAAACTTGAAGATAGATCAATAGGAATTATTCACTCTAAGAACTAGAAAACATAAAGATCAAAAAATAAAGAAAGAAAGCTTTATTGGCCTATGGGATAATATTAAATGATCTATTTGTATGTGTAATTGGAGTGTCAGACAAAAAAAGAGAGAAGAGAGCAGAATTGATTTTGAAGAAATAATGGCTAATTTTTTTCAAAACGGTAAAAGACATAAATTTAAATATTTAAGAAACTCAGCAATCTACAAACAGGAAAAATATGAAGAAAATCATACCTAGGTATAATAGAAAAAAATATACAAAACCAAAAGAAAAAATGTTTCAAAGCAAGCAAAAAAAAAATTAAACATTATACACATCAGATTAAAATGAATTATTTTACTGTTTACTTATTAGAAACCTTGGATCATGGAAGATAGCAGAGAAAGTATTAAGCTGGTGAAAGCAAAAGCAAAAAATCAAACAAAAATGTCGACCAAGAGTTCTATATCCAGCACTAATATTCTTCCAGAATGTGGAGGAAAATGCATTTTCAGGTGAAAAAAACCTTTAAGACAATCTGCTGCCAGCAGACATAAATTAAAAGAATTGCCAAGGAAACTCTGAGGCTGAAGAGAAATAATATCCTTCTTTCTCATATCCTCAGAAGGAATTAAGAGCATTGAAAATGGCAAAAACATCTTAAATTACTATTTCAATTTCCTCTTTTAAAAAAAACTTTGCATGAATATTTAAAGCAAAAATCATAACCTTGTCTCATATGGTTTATAATGTACATATAAGCAAAGCATAAATCCATGACAGGAAAAATATGGGGGGTGGAGAACAACATAAAGTCCTATAAATATGGTCCAGTATATGCAACTTAACAGTTGCAAATTATCTGAATTTATGTGAAATGGCACAAGATTAACTCTACTGTGAAAAAGTAAAGACCTGTAGTTTAATCTATACTGCAACCACTAAAAAATTCAAAGAAGTATATCTAAAATGCCAATAGAAAAAATGGCATTTTTAAATGCCATTTTAAAATCCAAAAGAGGACAAAAACATAGGGCCAGAGAATCAAAACACATAGAGGACAAACAAAAAACACATCATAAAATAGGGGAAGTAAACCCAATCCTATCAACAATTATATTAAATATAAATGACTAAACTCTCCAATTAAAAGTCAGAGATTATCAAAACGTATAAAAATCGAGACTCACCTGTTTGCTATCTTCAAGAAGCTCAATTTAAATGAGTTGATACATTCAAATACATATTAAATTTAAAGATACATTTAATAGACTGAATGTATTAGATTGAAAGCAAGTGATGGAAAAGATATGCCAAAGGAACAGTAAGCGTAACAAGGCCAGAGTGGCTACACTAATATAAGATAAAATAAACCAGCAAGAAGAATGAAAGTGTAGTTATCACAACAGGTCCTAGAGACATTGGATAATGAGACAATCTTTGAAAACATTTACCCAATAAGTTTGACAACTTAGATGAAATAAAGAAATCCTGGGGAAGCAGAGAGCAGAGAGAGGTAGCTTACCAAAATCAACATATGAAGAAATTGAAAGTCTAAATATCCCTATGTCTAATAAATAAACCAATTATTAAAGCCTTTCTACAAAGAAAACTGCATGTCTTTAGGGTTTCATTTGTGAATTATGTGCAATATATAAGGAGAAAAAGTACAAAGCTTATACAAAGGTTTACAGACATTAGAGGAAGACAGAACACTTAGTAATTCATTTTATGAGGCCAGTATAATCCTAATACTAATAGCTGACAAAAATTGTAAAAAAATTACCAATCAATATCCCTCATAGACATACATGCAAACATCTGAAACAAAATATTGAATAAAATTTCAGATTTATTCAAAATAGCTAAATTTTGAAAGCAACCATATGTATGTAAATAGAAGAATAAATCAACTGTAGTATATTTATACAATGGAATGTTACTCAGCAATACAAAGAACAAACTATTGAAACACACAACATGGCTGAATATCAAAAACTGTGCTAAGAGAAGTCTTACATAAAATAGTACACACTGTGTGGTTTCATTTATTTGGAGTTCTAAGACAAACAAAACTAATTTGTGGTAGAAAAACGTAAGACAACTTTTGACTTTGAGAGCATAAAGGAAGGAATTGACTAAAAATTCTATTAAAGATTTTCTGATGGTAATAGTTTATATCTTTGTAAGAACTTGAGTTACACAGAATCTGTCAAAATTCACCAAACATACACTTAATATTTGTGCATTTTATTCTGTACAAATTTTACATTAAAATGTGCAAAAAGGATTGAACTCTAATGCAATGGATGCTGAAATATTTAAGGAGAAATATGTTGACATATTTCTAAAAAGTAAAATGAATTAATGAATAGCCAGATTGATGGATATATGAGTATATATTATGATAAAACAAGTCCAATATAATGTTAATTTCAAGCACACAACAAAGTTTACTCTGTCTATTATAAAAAATCTCTATCATACTTTATATTTGACATTTTTAATGATAAAATGATCAAAAATTGGTTTGGAGTTCTATACTTCACACTATGGAAAATTTATCCTTTAGGGATTTGAAGGACCAGCAATCTATGGAATCTTAATATAATTATGAAACTGTCTGGAAAAGACACCATATTCAATGTAATACCGCTCTGAAATGAGAAACCAGTAATACTGCTGTGAAATGAGAAACCAGGTTCTGGAAGGAATTTTTCAAATCTTTCTTCTAATGGGTTAGGACTAAGAATCTTAGTTCTAAGCCTTCTCCATTTTTCTCACTTAACTCTTGCATCAAGCAGATTATTTGAGCCACAGATTCAGGATGTTCCTACTTCTATGCCAGCACCACAGATTTCCTCTGAGCAAATGTTCATTTTTAAAGGTACACATACAAGCAAAATTCTCTGCCTAAAGTTTCCACCAGTTTTCATATTCCATATGCTTCAAAGTCCCACAGTAAATTTGATAAGCTACTAGTAGCTTTTCTTGTTCTTTAGATTGGACTCCATTACAAAAATTGGTTGGATGAACAAATAAACCAACAAACAAAAGAAATGAACAAAGGAATGAATAAATATCATTTAGCCAAGGCTAACAATTTAGCCCTTTAAGTTGTATTCCAGTTTCAATGAGCATTTGGGTAGCTTGCCAGTATCTTTGTCTATTGTGTAGAATGGAGTCTAATCCTTATATCCTGGCTATCCTTAAACCCATGGACTAAACAGAAATCTTTTTGTTCAAAGACAAGTAAACAGAAAATGTCAACATATAACTTGTGAAAAAGAAATCAGCAGTACAGAAGTGTAAATTCTTCCCATGATTAGATTTAGATGATCACAGAAAAGGGAAATTGCTTTAAAAGATGTTTGCTTTGTATTCTCACTATAAGCATATACATATATTACTCACAGTATTTTCATCTTTGTATTCTCTAGCACCTGGAACAAAATAAATGTAAATATTTTTGAGTGAGCAAACGAATTTCTATTATTTAAAAAGATGACTTTAAAAATGATAGAAGAATGAAGATAAATCGCTGTTGGAATCTGGAAGTTGCTAATTGATACTGCAGAAAATAAGTATTTCAAAGGACATTCTTGGAAAATACTTGTAAAATGAAGAAAAAGAAAACATAAATGTAAAGTTAGGGAGAGAATATAATGGATTAGAGTTTCTAAAGTTTATAAAAGATTTTAGAATTAAAATGGAAAGAAGTGTAAGAAGCAGAGTAATGAAAGGAGACACAAATAACATGGTAAGTTACTTAAATTTGAAAGGTGAATCCTTAGCACTTACTACCATGTAAAATATTATAAATGTTTACCTATATTATATAATGTCTTTTTTATCTACTAGAATTTAAGCTCCAGGAAAACTGGAATTTTTGTCTCTTGGTTTGCTATTATTTGCCCACTACCTAAAATACTGTCTGATATACATAAATATACAATAAATGACTATTGCAATAGGCATTATGCAAGAGGCATTATGCAATATACAGTAAATGCTTATTGAAGAAATGAACTAGTTTTTAACTATTTTGTTTAAAAGAACATCTGAGCAAGTTAGCTTTGGCTAAGTGATCCAGGAGTGGTTGTGGTGGTATATGGCTAGGTAGGAAGTCAAGTATATTTTCAGCAAAACAATTAAAATCACATTGTCCCCAGATTTCTTTTCTGCAACAAATGCTTTTTTTTTTTTTAAGAAAAAAAGCAATTTAGCTCAAAAAACTGTTTATGACTCCAAAATTGCATTATTAAATAAGCTACCTTTTGTGCATAAAGAAAACAGGAACAAACCTCAAGTTTTCACAAAATTTAAGAAATTACAGTTCATAAATTTACTTAAAAGAGTGCTTTGAATAACTTACAAATTTTATCAAAATGGAAACTCAGGAAAGAAAAATAAGGCAGCTTAATAACCGGTAATTTAAAGGTCAACCGAAGTCATAGAATTACATGAATAAGAGGACAACCACTATGGAGGAAAAAAGTGAATGCAGCTTAGACTAAATGAGGTATTGAAGTCTACTAAATGGAATATTAAATGTAAACATGACAAAGAATAAAGAATATACATGCTTATATGCATATACAATACATATATAATGTATTATATATAGTATGTGTTTATAGATATAAATATGGATAAATGATAAGCAGTAGACAGATGCTAGATAGTTGCTCTGTGTGCACATATGTGCACATGTGCAGGTATGTGTTATGTTTTACTTTCAGAATAATCAGTCAAAACGTCAGTGAGTGAAGAAGAAGTGAGGATGTGGAGGGAAGAGAATGACAGTGTTTTCTGAATAATGTTAGCTGCTCTCTTGCTTCCAGTGTGAAAGGTGGCAGGAAATCTGGAAACACTCTGTCAGGCCCCACTTCCTCTGTCCTATTCCACTAATGCCTTTTGTGAATCTATAAAAACAAGGGCCTTCTTCAATGCCACTAAAGCCTCAGGGTCACATAAGGTATTTCTTCTTTTTGCTCAGACTCCTCAAAATGTGGCTTAGTTGGATCTTAGTTATTAATTTACCTTATAATTTAGCTTTAGTTTCCTTGGTAAACAAAGCCCAAAATAAGGACATGTGTTCCTACTCCTCAGGAAGTAGGAATGAGGAATGGGGAAGAAAAGAAGAGAGAAAAGATAATATAAGGGTGTGTTTTTAAGGACCGCATGGAGGACACATGTGGCTCAATCCCACCCAGAACTGTCTAAGGAGCATAGAAAATAACTCACAATGGTGTTACAGAGGGTAAATGAGAAGCATTATTTCTATTTCAGCTTCTGTCTAGCATGGATTGGGAGATGCTCCTAAGGGCATTAACTCCTTGAAATCTCCTGTTTTCACAGGCTGGTTGCTCCTTCTAGTTTCTGTAAAATGAGAGAAGCCAGGCAGAAAGTGAAAGACATGCAGACATTAGGTCATCGTTTGAGCAGGGCACTATCAGCACAAAATGAGTGGAAGGCTCAAGGAACGGTCTGCTGCTATCATGGCTGAAATTAGAGGTGAGGCAAAGAGGTTGCTACTCAGGACATCAAGAGGAGTCTGATATTCCTTTCACAGATCTTCCAAGACTATATGCTTTACAGCCCATGGTTAATTCCTTTTGATCCCCCTGCCTAGCCCAATTAACCAGAATCTCCTTTGAAAATTGTGATCCATGTTTCTGCTTATTTGAAGCGGGGATTTGGACAAAGAAAAAAATTGTTAATGACAGTAATTAAGAATATTATAAATACATGCATGTGTGTGTGTATTATCTGCATCTTTTATACTCTAGAAGCACAGGTTACTAGTTCTTTTTAAAATATATAAGAATTCATATATTTAAGCCTAATATTTGAGCCAAAGCTGAAACATCTTATTTTCAAAATAAAACTATGGGGGAAAATCTTACAATGCAATAAAACTAGAAATTCTATATGTAGTTTAAATTCTCAATGTTCATTTTATACTATAACTCCAACATTCTTGAGTTCATTGTTGATTAGCATATATACTATACCAGCCATTTGACTCTTTGCCCTCAGCTCCTATTCCCACCCTTCTGTGCTTTTCTGTGTATTAAAGACTAGAAGTCTACAAGCTGTTTCTTGACCTTCTTTACCAGCTATCTTCCTGATGAGTTCTACTAATAGAAGATACTAGTGAGAGAGAAAAAGACATCAGGAACAGTAAAGTTTTCTCCTTCTGGATCCGACAGTATGGCAGCCATTGTCAATTACTGTTAGTAGCTGTACTAGCAGCAGGGGTGTGTTGATAGCGGACTCTAGCAGCGAGGGCACAGATAGCATCTTTTTCTTGGTTTCGCTCTGGTCCAGGCAATACACCTTTGGCAGATACAGAACCAACTGAAACACCATCTCCAACAGGTAGCAGAAGGGGCAGACTCATTGACTCCAGCTTGGGTGTCTTACCAGCTTCTGATCTCTTGGTATAATCCCTTTTGTATCTTTGTTCTTCCAACCCTCCTTTCTGCTATCAGCTATGGTCTGAATGTTTGCGTCCCCCGCACCAAATTCATATGTTGAAACCTAATCCCCCATGTGATAGTATTAGAAGGTAGAGCATTTTGGAAGTGATTAGATCATGAAGGCTCTGCTCTCATAAATGGGGTTAGCACTTTTAGAAAAAAGACCCCAGGCCGGGTGCGGTGGCTCACATCTGTAATCCCAGCACTTTGGGAGGCCGAGGTGGGCGGATCACGAGGTCAGGAGATCAAGACCATCCTGGCTAACACGGTGAAACCCCGTCTCTACTAAAAACACAAAAAACTAGCCGGGCACGGTGGCGGGGGCCTGTAGTCCCAGCTACTTGGGAGGCTGAGGCAGGAGAATGGCGTGAACCTGGGAGGCGGAGCTTACAGTGAGCAGAGATAGTGCCACTGCAGTCCGGCCTGGGGGAAAGAGCCAGACTCCATCTCAAAAAAAAAAAAAAAAAAGAAAAGAAAAGAAAAAGAAAAGAAAAGAAAAAAGAGAAGAGAAGAAAGGAAAGGAAAGGAAAGGACAGGAAAAGAAAAGAAAAAAGAAAAGAAAGGAAAAGAAAAGAAAAGAAAAGAAAAGAAAAGAAAAGAAAAGAAAAGAACAGAACAAAGACCCCAGAGAGCTACCTTGCCCCTTCCACCATTGTGAGTATGCAGTGAAGAGGCTCTGTCTGTGAACCAAAAGAGAGAGCCCTCACCAGACACTGAATCTGCTGGAACCTTGATGTTGAACTTCTCAGCCTCTAGAACTATAGGAAATAAGCTTTTGTTGTTTATAAGCCACCCAGTTTATGGTAATTTGTTACAGCAATCCAAATGAACCAAGACACCATCCCAGCCCTTCAGACACACATAAAAATTATTTGTATAAAGTTATCTCTGTTGAAAATACCTATAGTGACTTTTTGTTTTCCCAAATGAACCCTAATACATATATCTTTGACTAATTCTCACTTTATTGTTGTTTTTGCCCCAGAATTCTGTACATAATACTTCAGAATATTTTATCATTTTGTTTCATGAGAGCAAAAAGCTGAAATTAGTATGACTTTTATTATATTGCATGTATTCCGTTCGTTTGGTTTTTTTTTTTTTTTTTTTGCAGTGCTGAAGTCTGAGACATTTCCTTTTCAATCCCCTTACTTTCAGCCTCTCTTTTCACAAGTGTCAGACCTGCATCTCAATCTGAGGGCTCACGCTGCCTTCTGCAGTTCCCTCTTCACAGGCACACAGGCAAGGTCCTCAATAATTCTTTCACACTTATAATTCTGTTTTCGCATCTGCTTATAGAACGACCTGAACCAGCAAAGTAGGGAATGCAATTTGGATAGATTAGTCTAGTTTCTGAATGGAAACTGAATTTAACAGAAACATATCTGGAGGGAGAGAGATCAGTTATGACTTTCCTTTTTTTTTAAGACAGAGTCTCTGTCGCCCAGGCTGGAGTGCAGTGGCACGATCTCGGCTCACTGCAACCTCTGCTGCCTGGTTTCAACCCTGTTCTCCTGCCTCAGCCTCCCGAGTAGCTGGGATTACAGGAGTGTGCCACCACACCTGGCTGATTTTTGTATTTTTAGTAGAGACGGGATTTCACCACGTTAGCCAGGCTGGTGTCCAACTCCTGACCTCAGGTGATCCATCCACCTCGGCCTCCCAAAGTGCTGGAATCACAGGCATGAGCCACCCTGCCCAGCCTATGACCTTTCTTAAAAATGTGTTTTAAATAGCTGTCTATCAAATTTAGAAACTGTTAAGAAGGATATTGTTTTTATAGATTCATAAGCAAGTTTGTTTTTAAAAAAATAAGGATATGAACAAATCTAGTATACGCTCAGAATAAAGCAATTCAGATAATGAAGAGATGAAGGCACATTAGAAGTAAGTGAAGGGAATGAAGAAGAAAACACTTAGAAAAACGTGAGTAATTAAAAGACTAATATACAAAATGGAGACCTGGATTTATGAGATAGAACTAGGATCAATAAATATAAGCTGCAGGAAGATAAATTTCAAGGTACTGAAAGGTAATACTAAAATATATTTTAATAGTTAAAATATATTAATAATTAAATAATACATTTTACAATATATTTGCAGAGCAAATAGCCCCTTTGTGGGGTGTTTAAACAAGGACTTGACCACCTGGTAGGGATGTGGCACAAGCACTGGGTGAATGGCTGGAATCTAATACTTTTAAGATCAGTCTAATGCTGAGGTAGATGAATCTATAACAACTTTAGTAAAACAGAAGAATGCATTCAAACATCCCTCGCTTTTGTAATTTCTTATTTTCTAAGATTATTTTTATATGCATAATGATGTCAAGAGGGCATTCCTGCAAGAAAGCACTCTTTATGAATATGCCTGTTTACTGTGTCTCAGTGAGGGCATACATTTAGATCTCAGTGGAGAAGAACATATGGAGCCCAAAGAAAGGAAGAAAATATATTGGTTTAGAAATAACTAATTAAAGCTAGCGACTGGACCAGAAATATCTTCCACCTTTACATTAAGACATTTCAAATTAGTTACTAATTAATATAAAGTAGAAAATTTAAAAATTGTCTTATTTCTCTAGGAGTTGCTTTTGGTATTGTTGATGTAAAAATGATGCCTAGACAAAAATGGCACAGAACATATTGCATATCCTAGCTAAATTTTATTAATGCATCTTTAAAATGCAATTCACATGTCCTTATTTTCTCATAAATTTCTCAAACTCACAAGAAGCTAAAAGTAAACAGCTATTATTCCAAACTTGGGTTCCTCAAAAGAAGACCAAAAATTAGCCTAAGTAGTTAATGAATTGATATTTATTAAAAGCCCACAGTGTGGTGAGATTGTGGACAAATGTTTGATAGGGTATCTCAGGCACTGACACTGCCTTCTGCAGTTACCCAACCTAGAAAAGTCAGTTCTGTTTAACTCCCTCTTACCTTTTCACCCTAATTAATCTGACTCTACTATATCAATTCTTTTTCCTAAATACTTTCCCAAACCTCATCTGCTCTCCAGCCCCGCACTCCCAATTCAGGCTTTATTACTTCCTCGCTGGATTGTTAAAATAAAATACTTTTCTATCTGGATGTCCTGTCCCTCAACTATTACCTCACCAATCAACTGTCCACATTATTACCAGAAATGTCTAATTATTTCACTCTGCATTTGAGAGCTTTCAGTGACTTCTCAGTGCCTCCCACTGAAAGTGAACTTAGGGTCTGGACTGTATTAGTTGTCAATCTCTTCACCTCTGGCATGTTATGAACTGCAGCCTCTCAGTAAACGTTGACTAAATGATGGACAATTCCTAGACAACATTGTCCTTAAATAAACATGTGACTATGGCCATGTGGTAATTTTCCTAAGTTACTGAACTGAATTTTGTATCTGTTTGTTATCTATTTATATATCTATATAAATATATAATTTTTTTCTTTGTGTATGCAGCATATACATGCTTCATTAAGAATGAAAGAATGTCCAACATCATTCTTTATGTCCAATATAAAGCTATATTGGACATAAATTGTTTTGAATAGTTTGATTTAAAGATCCCCATATTTCTGACTTTAGAAACTTTGAATAAAACCAGGACAATAATGATAGTAAAAAACCACTAATAATGCCATCATACAGAGGTAATCATTGCTGATAGTTCAAGTTCTTTCTTCTCATTCCTTTTTTTTAAACAACCAAATAAACTATTTAAAAATCAAGATCCTATGGCATATTGAGTTTTGTCACTTCTTTAGCATCAGCATTATTTCATATCATTAAATGTTTTTAACGTGCTTTTAGAAAATTTATTATCTTATTGCTCATCTTAAACATTAATTAATCCTTAGCTATATTCCTAATTATTTTCCTAGCATAGATTCCTAGAAATAGGACTTCTGGGTTGGAAGAAAAGGATAGTTTTAATGCTTTTTGTATGTAGTGATAAAGTTTTCAAGAAAGTTAACAACCATATGAGAAAATATTTATCTTCCCAATATGCTGCCACCACTGCATATTATCTTTTTAAAAGGCGATTATGCCATTTAAAAAGTAGGTTTAATTTAAGGTAATTGAATATTTTTTTTCTTATGGATATTCGTCCTTTGTTTGTTTCTATTGTAAATTGTCTCTTCATGTACTTGGCCCATTTTACCTTAGGAATATGAAATAACACATATTTTGCCAGCAGGTTTCAACACACATGGGAACAAGATATATTCATGGAATGTGCCTTTGAACCTGCATTCAAAAGAACTCAGACAGAGGTTAGTGGTGAATAAAGCAATTGCTTTCACTTAATGACACAGGTGGGGAAAGAGTTTGCAGAAAATGTTTTTCTTGAAAATAAAATATCTGTGGCTTGCAATGTGGGTGCACGTACAAATCAGCTTCAAAAGTGCTTTCATAGAAGGAGCTGTTGGAAACGTAGTATAAATATCTGCCTTGTGTATCACAGCATTTTTTTAGAAGGGCATATCTAATAGTTCTTTCAAGTCTAAATTTAGGAATTGATGATAAGTAAAATATCAGAGAAGCTAGAATCTTTAGAGTCATCCTTGACATGTCCTCTATCCAATTGCTAACCAATTCCCATTCATTTTTCTTGGGTGTCAATCCAATAGATCCTCCCAGATCTACCCACTTTGTTACAGCTTTAACTTGAGCCTTGTGACACCTCACCAGGACCTTTGCAGCAGCTTCCCAGTGTTTAAAATTGCTCTCAATTAGTATCCAGCCTTTCAGTTCTATCAGTTATAAAGTATCATTTTTTTCTCTAAGAAAAGTGGTAAAGCTTATCAGAGAAAATGTGGATAACAGGAAATACAAAAATAAAATCATAGTATCCAGACCACCAATCCTCAAAAATAAAAACTAAAATTCCCGCATATATTCTTTCAGTCTTTCCACTTATATAAAAATGGGATCACCCTGGATATGTGTATAATCTCTTTCATTCACAAAGCAATATATGTATTGCAAACACCTTGTTACGTTTTTGCACATTTCTCTGCAACAGCATTTTTAACTGGTTGCATAATGTGCCATTATATTAACATGCAGGTCATTTCCAATATTTTGGTATTACAGGCAATGCCAAAGTAAACATCTTTGTAATTATCTTTTAATAGTTTAAAATATTACTTTATTGTTTTCTCCCATCCAATGCTGCTATGGAGAAATCTGATATCATCCTTACTTTTCTTTCCTGTGGGTGAACTGTTCTTCCTTTCTGAAAGGTAGTAGAATTTACTTTTTGTTTTTGTTATTCCTTGTGTGAGGTTTTATCTCTCTTGTTTGGTGTTAAGTCCTCATGCCAAGGTCTTTCACTTTTTAAAAATCCTGGGACATTTTTGCCATTATTTCTTTGAATATTTCATCCTGTTTTTCTTTTTCTTTCTGAGATTCCTTACATCCAGATAATGGCACTTCTATCCTTTAAAATTATCACCTTCTTTGAGTTTTACCTCTTCATTCTTTCCTACTGCCTTCTGGGAGAGCTTCTTAATCTAATTTTTTGACTCACTAATTTTTTTTTCAGCTGTGTTCATCTAACTCTTTAACTCATTTTTATTATTCCTGGTCCTGTCTCCTAATTACATAAGTATTTTTATCAATTTATTTTATGTTATTCATCTATCTATACAAAAAATTTACTTACAAAGGGTGTACATTTTTTAATGTAGTATATGTGTTCTGTTAAGTAGTTGCCTGTCATATTATATTCCTTATTTTGACCACAAGTCCATGTTCTTTTCTGAGTGTCAGCTGCACTGTCTGGTAGACTTTACAGTGTGAGAGCCAAAGTACCAAAGTCCTAGTTCAGTCAGACCAGGCAAGTTTCAGAAGCAAAAGAAGCATGAGCCCACAGCAGAGAGCTAAGCACACCATTGACCACTCCCTTTTGCTGCAACAGCACCAGGCAACTCCTCTGGGAAAGGCTTAATCAAGCAGCAATGGCAAGACAGACTCCCAACATTGTAGTCCACCAGCCGTGGAGTTCAGAGTAGAGGAGAGGATGAGTGAGTGCCTGAGAAAGGCTGATGGGTAGGAATCTGTTTACCCTAATTTTTTTTTTTTACCTCTTGAGGGATTTTTTGCTATGCTACCTTGATCCTGTACCCCCAGAACCAGATGCCCTGGCCAGCAGCAAAATGAAGGCATTAAAGATCCCCAGACAATGGGAGGAAACAAAAATTAAACCTTTCATCTCCAGTTCATATGTTGACAGCCATATCCAGTTACCCTGTGTCTCCAATTATAGCACTTCACCCCTTGTTGCATCCAGTCATTGGCACACAACCAAAAGTCAGAAGTCCTTTGTGTTCTACCAGTGGTTTCCCAAAGTTTTGTGGTGCTGTTTGTTCCTAGAATCTTTTTCCCATTTTTTATTAATGTCTCTAGGATGCATTTGGAGCAGGGATATCCAATAGCCCTTCTAGTTTCCCATCTTGGTAGGAACCAGAAGTTCCTAACTAAAGCTTTGTTCACATCTATGCCAGTTTCCTTAAAATAAATCTCTAGAAACAGGAATGCTGTGGCATAGCATACTTAAAAATTTAAGGCTTTTTATATGTTTACCAAACTGCCCAGAATTATAAATAGGAAAAACATATGGTTTGGTAATTCACATCTAATCTTGCTTGAACAATCTGATGTCTTCATAAACAGGATGTTATGAACCTGTGTATACCATACTCAACCACACAGGGTAGGTTGTCACGTGATGATACCACCTCTTTCCTACATCTGTCCTTGTTTCCTAAAACCTTCTCTATGTTATCTTGAATTTCATCGTGTTTCCTCAAAACAACTATTTTGAATTCTCTATTTGAAGGGTCACATATCTCAGTATCTCTAGGATTGGTCCCTGGTGGCTTATTTAGTTCATTTGGTGAGGTCATGTTTTCCTAGATGGTCTTAATGCTTATGGATGTTCATAGGTATCTGGGCATTGAAGAGTTAGATATTTCCTGTAATCTTTGTATTCTGTGCTTGTTTATACTTGTCTTTCTTGGGAAGGCTTTCCAGGTATTCACAGGGGCTTGGGTATTGTGATCTAAGTTTTTGGTTACTGCAGCCAAATCTGCATTAGGGGCCACCCCAAGCCCAGCAACACTGCGGCCCTTGCAGACTCATAGAGATACCGCCATGGTGGTCTTGGATAAGATCTGGAAGAAATCTCTGAATTACAAGGCAGAGACTCTTGTTCTCTTTCCTTACTTTCTCCCAAACAAAGAGATTCTTTCTCTCCGCTGAGCTGTCTGGAGCTGGGGGAGGGATGACACAAACACCCCTCTAGCCACCACCACTGGGACTGCTCTGGGTCAGATCTGAAGCCAGCACATCACTGGGTCTCATCCAAGGCCCACAGTGACCACTGCCTGGCTACTGCCTATCTTCTCTCAAGGCCCTAGGCACTACAGTCAGCAAGTGGAGTAGCCAGCCAGACTTGTGTCCATCCCTTCAGGGTGGTGAGCCTCAAGTGGGTCCCGAGATGCTGTCTGGGAGCTAAGACCTGCAGTTGAAAACCGTAGGAATCTGCCTGGTGCTCTATTCTACAGTGGCTAAGCTGGCACCCAAACCACAAGATAAAGTCTTTCCCACATTTCCCTTTCTTTTCCACAGGCAGAGGAGTCTTTCCCTGTGGCCACCCCCTCCCTGCCTCCCCAGCTCCAGCCTGTGGCAAGTACCGCCTGGGTATCACTGATGTTCACTAAAGGCCTAAGGACTCTTCAGTCAGTTTGTGGTGAATGCTGCCAGTCCTGCGTATCTCCCTTCAGGGCAGTGGGCTCCCTTCTGGCCCCAGGCAAACCAAGAAATGTCATCCAGGAGTCAACGCCTAGAAGTGGGAATCCCAAGAGCCCACTTAGTGCTCTACCCCATTGTGGCTGAGCTGGTATCTAAGCTGCAAGAAAAAGCCTCCTTTACCTTTCCCTCTCCTATTCTCAAGTAGGAGTCTCTCCTCATAGCCACCACAGCTGGGAATGCATCAGGTCACACCTGAAACCAACACAGCTCTGAGTTCCACCCAAGGCCCATGGCAAGTACTGCCTGGCTACTGCTGCTGATTATTCAGGCCCCAACGGCTCTTTAGCCAGCAGGTGATGAATTCTGTCAGGACTGAGTCCTTGCCTTCAAGGCAGCTAGTTCCCTTCTGGCCCAGGGTGTGTGTAGAAATGTCCTCTGGGAGCTAGGGTCTGGAATGGGGGCCTCAGGACTCTACCTGGTACCCTATCCTACTGTGTCTGAACTGATATTCAAGTCACAAGACAAAAAGTTCTCTTTACTCTTCCCTTTCCTCAAGGATAGGAAAGGAGTCTCTCCCACATCTGCAAGCTGAGCTGCCTGGGATTAGGGGAGGGGTGACACAAGCACTCCCTAGGTCACCCCAGCTGGTGTCTCACTAGGTTGGATGCCCCTCAAGTCTACTAGCTCTGAGCCCAGCACAGCACTAGGACTTGCCTAGGAATTGCAGTCCTTGTGGCCTAGACTGCTTTTCAAGTTTATTTAGAACCCCAACACACTTTAGCCCAAGTTGGCAATACGAAGTCCCACAATCACGGTGCTCTCCTTCCTCCAAGTACACGGATTCTCTCTCCCACCATGTGGCTACTGCCGGATGGGGAAGGGATGGTGGCAGTAGTTTATGACTGTTTTTCCTATCCTCTCCAGTACCTCTTTTAATAATATGTTAAAACGAGGTACTGTGATTGCTCACCTGATTTTTTGTTCTTATGAAGGTGTTTTTTTGTGTGGATACTTGTTCAATGTAGTGTTTCTATGGGGAGAGTGATCAGTGGAGGCTTCTATTCAGCCATCTTGCTGGTTATTCTGTCCTTGTTTCTTGGAATGGTGTTATTTATATTTTTTGCTGGGTTACAACTCAATATCACATATTTTGTGAATCCTTCCCCAAATTCTCCAGAATTACTCTCTAATTTTTTTGTTATCATTGTTATTTTGTAGCATTTTGTTCATGCATCTATTATAGCACAGCATATTTTAATTATTTACTTTTGTACCTATATAAGCCCCTAAGCTATGAAGTTCTTTTAGATAGAGATTCTATCTTAATCACCTTTTTATTGCCAGGGCCCTGTGACTGGGACTAGCACCATGTTAGGTGATCAATCAATGTTGGCAGAACCAACAAATGAATTTTCAAATATCCAACAGAATCTGAACTAAGTGTGCAAAACATTTTTAAGTACTTTCATTCAATCTTCCAAACAATTTGTATTATTTTCTCTACTTTTTAGATGAGAAAACGAAAGCCTTAGAGAGGCCAAGGAGCTTGCCCAAGGTAGAGCTGGGATCTGAATTCCTATCTAATTCAAGAGTTGAGACTTCACCACTAGAATCTTATGGTTCCTGCTGGTTCTGTGTTTTGATGAATGCAGGTAGAGAAAATCACGAAGATTGTTCAATAAAGAGGCTTGTTTCTTTGTGAAGTTGCTATTTTGAACCTAATATAATTCAATATTTGAGAGGCATCAACTTCACTATCCAGTTATTTCAAAATAAACCTGAAACTAGAAGGATTGAATTATATCACCTGTGAGAAATAACCTAAATACTTTCTTTTTATAATAACCTTGCTGAGATACTATTAAAAGGACAGACCTAAAAACATTCATCTGCCTGCAGTGTGACATAATCCATATCCTTGTTTAATAGTTTTATCTTAAAATGCTCCTAAGCTTGCATAGTCTTTATTACTGTTTCCTGGTAAGGGGAAGAGACAGTAGGGAGGGGATGTAAGGGTGATGCTGAAAAGGACCAAAAAAACCCAACAAATACTATTTGAGGTAGCAGGCTAAACTGTGAATATATGCTTTTTAATTTCTGGTATTACCTCAAGAAATTTCAAGCATATAATTAATGACAAATATGAGGACCTAGCTCATTGATTTTTACCATCTTCATGAAATACTCTATAGGTGCAGCCTTAGAACACATGTTGAATTACACAATCCTGATGCCTCTAGTAGGTACATATGGTTGAAGGATGACTATACGATACCAAATAGCCCTACAAGGTCAAGTTTTCAACCATCTTCATCACTTACTGCCGGAAGTCAACTGGCTGAGGAGGTGGAATGGATGACCCATGCCACCTGATTCGCTCTGCCATGCTCTTGTTATTTCAGGCATGGAGACACAGTCCAAGGTAAATGTCACTGATACATATTCCCCTAAAGCTGAATAAGAACAAAGGCAGAGCTTATTGATTTTAAAAAATTAATTTATTTCTGCCAGACTTCATTTAGGCCCATTGTCTACTTTCTTTGAGAATACCTGGGCAAGCAGAAATTTCCATAGCTGATTTAGAACATGGGGAAAATTGCAAAGAACCAAATTTTTCTTGTCATTTAATGCAAGGGGAAAGAGATCTTAAGACGAGCATGTTGGTAACTCGGATTGCTAAGAGGAGCAACACATTGAGGAAAATGCCCTAGAGGTACAGGGGGCCATGACCACACTGATGTTATATCCTTTCTGAAGTTAAACATTCTCGTTCTTGGAAGATTTTTTGTTTTGTCAGCAAATTTCCACAGCCACTATGTTCTATTATTGGCCATTTTATTAAATATGTTTTTCAGGGCATGATAGCAATGTATATGACAGGATTCCTAAATATGAGAGGTGAGAATCCCATTATGTTGGAAATCCTTTTCAAAGAGAGGGTATAATTTAAGATTAAGCCTTGAAGGAATGTGCCCCAACATGCTCTCTTACCATGGAAAGACTTCTGTAAGAACAAAACACTTACAATTTTATGAAAATATATCTAGTCAGTAGTGTTTTGACCTAAAAAGAAAATGTTTTACAGATCCTGAATGTTCCAGATACCAACTTAAAAGGCAAGTGTGAAGGGCCACTTCAGAAAGAAAATAGTTGCAATAGAGGAGTCACCATCATATTTTCCTTCTTCAATTAACATTGTAAAATGAACCTTTTGAGCCTCTGTCTCTTGTTGATACTGAAAGGAATGTCTCCTTATTAGAAGCAATAAAAACAAAATATAACAGATACAGATCATGTCACTTCTGGAAATGGGAAGATGTGATTTAGGTCGGTTCATGAACAAATGACCCTGCAGATACAATTCTTCTAAATCCTGGGTCATGACCCTAAGAGTGGAAATAAAGTGAATTATATGCAACTTGATAGACGGAGCCTGATGTCTTGTACCACACATAGTATAAGATTGAGTATTTTACTTTATTCAAGTCAGGGCATTTCATTTTACTAAAAAACTCTCTGTCTCCCAACCCCCACCACCACCTCACACACACAAAAAAGCACCCCAAACACACCCTGTTTTCATTAACTAAGACACAAAATGCAAAATTCAGGCTTATCTCACAATACCCCAAAGATGACCCTGGTCCGGTTGCTATACAGAAATCTCTATTGCTGTACAAATGTATGGTAGACCACAATTGTTTTGTGCTAAACAACAGATAAATGACATAGATTGAAATTATGGTAAATTTAAATTGATGGCCTAATTAGTATTATCTCTTTTTGTATTCATTGTAAGAAAAATTATCCAGGAGGAACTCATTTTGCATTAATGTTGATATAAAGTGTAATTCTCCAGGATTTTCGTTGTAATTTGGCACTAATTAATGCATGATTATTTTAAAGTGTTAATTAAATTGTTACAAAAAGGGACATCTGCAATGGCTGAGAAAGGAAATCACATGAACAATTAGTTTTGTATAGGACTGTGGTGCAGTCTCAGAGATCACATTCGTGGCAGGAGCATGAAGGCGGAGGTAGATTGCAGACAGGAAAAACTCCTGCTCTGTCCTGTGTGGTATATTGTTGACAGCATATGACCACTTCTCTTTCCCTTTTCATTGTCTGCATGTGAAGAATGGGTAGTTTCTAGAGCACTAGATTTTTGTTCTGTGGTTAGGACAGGATGCACATCAGTAGGACTATGGTTCTTTACTTGATTTTTCTGGGACCTTGGCAGATGTCACTGACCATTTCCATGTCAGTAAAAAGAATCACTGAATCCTTTTTGTAATGTGGTCTAAAGAGCTCATAAATATGCAGCTGTATATGGCTAGGTTAATATTTCTACTGGTAATAAACTCCATACAAAACTGTGACAAATCAAAAGGGAGATAATCTGCGGTAATTCCTTACACAGTGGACCATCATTGTCAAGGCATCTGGAAGTTATTGAATGCTATCATGGCTTAAGATATATAATTCCAAGGAAATTCCATCATCATTTCATATATCAAGGAATCATGGCAATCAGATAGCAATTTGGGTTGGCAATTCTATGGAACGTGGAACTCAGAGGGAATATATAAATTAGGCTCTAGACACTCTGTCATCATGGTCCCACAGGACACAGAAATTTGGGGAATGTTATTCTGTCAGCAACATTATCCTATATTTGGCTCTGTGGGGCTCTACTGAATGAACGTTCTTTATCAAGGGTTGTAAACCAAGATCCCCATAGGAAGAGTATAACGAGATACTATAGCACTGTACCACATACAACTGTGAAGTCTTTAAATTGGTTATATATATATTTTTTCTGGATACCAACTTAATATTAAGGTTGCAACTTTTCCTTTAACAGCCACAATGGGAGCCTCTTATTTTTCAGGTTCTGTGAAATTTTCCTCATAGATAACTGTTTTATGGACCTACAAGGCAAGGCCCAAATTCCACAATCAAGTTGAAGTCAAATCTTTCCTCTTTACATTGAATGATAAGTTGGACAGATAAAATCAGAATCACTCCATAATGTTTTTGACAGTTCTCCTTAGATGAATGTAAACCACTTCCCTCTTTCATGAAGATGCAAACTCCCCACAGATCTAAGTCTTTCTTGGGTCTCTTGTCCAGCATGTAGCCTGATACCAGGCTCACTCAATAAATCGTTAATAAATTGATTGATTCATGTAGCTCATGAGTAATTGCTTTCCTAAGAAGAGATGGCCACAAAACTTCTATAGGTTCAATAGAGTCTATTTGAAAGTGATTGTTTATACAGAAGATCAGTATTCCCGCACCCAAGCTCCCAAACTTTTCCATTACCTGTACTGCTAATCACTAGAAAGGGAAATAAAATGAAGCAGCCTAAAATTCTAATTCAATGTCATCTAACGAGGAAGATTTAGTTTGTGGGGGAAGAAACCTCTCTTGGCAGAAAAATAAATGTTTTTTAGATAAAACAAAAATAATAATAAGGAAAAAAAGAATAGAAGCAGAGTTGCTGTTGAAATACTAGAAGAGCCTATTCATCTTCTGGGAAAGTGTTGCACTATGCTTAGGTCAAAAGGGTTCATTCCTGTGCCCTGAGATTTAAATTATTTTAAGGTGAGCCCTCATCTCTCAATGAAGATTCCTTCCAGTCTCTGACCGGGCATTCCTGATTTGACCAAAGTATCTCAGTTTCCTGATTATTATAATGTGATTTTCTGAAACTGTTCAATTAAGTTCAGACTTCCTACTTCCCAAAACATTGATTGGAGGAAAAGATGAGAAACGTATATTACAAGAGAACAAAGCATTTCAACTGAATATTACACATACCTGTGCTTAAAGGTCATGTTCCAGCCTTACTAACACAAAGCCTTGTTGGCCATCACCTTCTCCTCCTCCTTGTTCACCCCTCTTTCTCTTCCTAGATACCAACCTCTTTCCCTCTCCTTTCCACAGTGAACTTCAGCCCCAAAGTACTATAACTTCTTTTATAGTATGGTTTTGCTACCTCTTTGTTTTAGTTCTACTTTCATACCATACCCTGAGGCCTTACTCTCTAAACCAAAGTGGGTCTGTCAAGACAATTTTGCCAAACAAAGAGCTATTTAGTCTTTCCTAGGAAACAGAAGTTGCATTCAATTGTGGTTTTAAGTAACTTTGTTTTTTTCTGTTGAGTTTGTCATCTTATAGTTTCAATGGTTACCTCAGGCTCTTTACAAAACTCTGGTTTCTTTGTTAACAGTGCTTCAGTCACTTACATCAGAAGCCAATTCCTTGCGGGCAACTAACATGTGTCTACTTTCCTTTGTAGGTGTTTGTAAATGCCAAGTAGGCTCTTCTGCCCACTTTGGGTACTAGACAAATGCTGTTGAGGAGCAAGAGCAGACTGAAATTCAAGGAGATGACAAGAAAAGCATTTCCAGTCCCACGATTTGAATGTGGGAAAGGGAATGTGCAGAAGAGCTTACCACCTTCCCAGCAGCAAGGGTACGGCAGAAAGGACACGAAACTAGCTTTAATATTTAAGCATAAGATGCTCCACATTTCTCACTCTAAATTTAGTGCTGTGGCATTCAGTTTAAACTACCTTGTGTCCAATAATATACTTCCTGGCCTGCCCTGAGGTCTTCAGGAAGCTTTTTATCTTTGATATAATTGCCAGGGTGAATCCCTAGTTATAACACACTCTACAGCATATAAAATAATTGTTGCAACTGAACCCATCACATAAATATTAGTGATTGAAGAGATTGGTTGGAATAAATCAATGTGGGTGACATATTTAATAAACTTTGTATAAACATTGTTTGCAACAGCTATAAATAAAATTGTCTTTAGGAATTTTACATATTGCACATCCCTCTCTTCATGGGAGATGCACAGGCATGATTTCTAGCTGCACCAAATGACAAGCCTTTTAAAACTTGTCCAGATTAGAACAGGCAAGCCAAGTCAGGGAACGTGCCACAGCAGGTCAGGAGAGTGCTGAGGTTTGCTCCACCCTCTGAGCTTTCCTCATGCACTTGCCACTGGGAACCAGGCTCAGGCTGAGAAGAGCTTCCAGCCAACACTCCCCTCTCCTCCCCTCCCCTCTCCTCCCCTCCCTCCCTCCCTCACTCCCTTCCTCCCTCCCTCCCTCCCTCCCTCCCTTTCTTCCTTCCTTTCTTCCTTCCTTCCTTCCTGTTTTTCAAAAGAAAAACACACACCATAAATAAAGCATGATCAAGATGGCATTTTACATTCACACAGATTTTGGCATAAATAAATAAAAGGGATTTTGTTCAAATTCTGTCATTCTTACATGCCATCTTAAAATTATCTTTCTCTACCAGTTCATCATATTCTACTATGCCTTGAGAGTCATACTGGCTCCCTCCAGTGGCTGACTGAGCTCTGATGAAAACACAGGGGCATTTCTGAAGGCCATACAGCCTAGTGGTTCCACATGGAATCACTTATTTCCAAGATAATGAGTTCAGATCCCTTTGTGAATTCCAACTCTCAGCATGCATTACTATTCCTGAAAATGTTTGATAAAGGTGTTAATTTTAATTAATCTACCCCATGGTCTCCCATCCAAATGGCCTATTTCACTGTTCCCATTTTATGGATGAAAAACAACCCATTGGAAGGTTGTGGAACAACTGGGAATGCTGGGAGGTCATGGTAATGCCTCACATGTGAGCATCAGGCCAGAGTGCTTGCATGGGGGCTTTCTCTTGGCTTAGAACAGACCCTTTCTCATTCTCTGACTTATTATTGTTAGATTCCAAAGGATGACAAATTGTAGAAATATTTAGGTTCCTTTTTTAAAGAGATCAGATATAATGCAGTGTGTCTTCAGCTTTAAGCTTAATGAAATGTCACATACACATTTGGAAATCCAGGTATCAATTATGAGTCTTACATTGTTTGAAATTTACAACTTTCACATTTATTTTTATTAGTAATATTTTAGTCCCTCAATATATTTCTCTGGCATTAATGGAAAAAACATGGTGCCTTCAAGCAGCCAAAATAATCTCTCTAAATTCCCACTGAGTTTAATCAAAGGCCATGCAATTTAATGGCTAAAGTTACTGCTATATATTTCCAGTGTGCTGGGTTCAAGTCCCATTAAATTAGGCTCTAATTAAAATTCATCTGAAATATTCTTTCATTGTGTAATTGTTTTTTAATTCTTAATGACTCACATTAACCTCCTTTTACTCAAAGGAAAAAAATAGGGAATTAAAAAAACAACAGCCAGGCAGGAAAAAGAACAGTTGAATTAGAGGATGATATGATGCTTTTATAAAATGCAGCCTGAGAATTGGGTGTGCAACACAGAAGATCAAGAGGAGACTTAATTAGGGCTCTACTGCTCAGTTCGTAGTTTTTGGGTCTTTATGAAAGCTAAGAGCATAGCTAAATCGTGTAATTTGCCATTATTTTCTCAGGTAGCTCTTACTGAAATGTTACTTTTCACTTGTATTTTTTTTTTTTTCATTTTGAGAGCATAGTATCAGACCTTGTATATACAGCTTGCCACTTGCCTGCTGTCAGAGACAGAAGTGACAACACTTGTCACTACCAATCTCCTCATGTCTGGTCTCATCTGAGCGATACATACAGCCTGATTTCCAGGTGTTTGTTGAAACTCCAAGTTACATAACATGTTTGCTGTGCTCAGAATGGAAAAAAAGCACCACTGTGGGAATAAATTCTTAGCTTTCTAGGAACAGTTAGTGTACCTAATACTGAATTAGTCCAATTCCAGATAATTGAAGGGAAAATTTGGAGACAGAAAGAGGAGGCATTGCAAAATTGATAGCCTCAGGGGTGGTCAAGTGACATTGATGGGAAATTTTTACAAACTTTTTAAAAAGCAAAGCAACATGAGTACATAGTTTAAGAAATTAACCACGATAAAAACACTGCATTTTTTTTTTTTAAAAGAACTACTAGTTCCTCTGGTCTCCAGCTTACCTACTATCCAAGAGCAGCCACTTTTTCAATAATTTTTATTATGTCTACTCCTGACCAATTATATTGTGATTTATTAGTTTTAAATAGTATATATTGATCTCTTATAATGGTAGATAAAGAGCTTAGCTTTTATCTCACACACACACACACACACACACACACACACCACACAGATGCACACAACCTCTTTCTCTCTTCCCTCAATCCTTGCAATAGAGCTTTATCAATTTGGAATTAAATCCACATGTATAATGCTATTGTTGTTACTATACACATATATTTCCTTCATAAGCCAAATAGTTGACACTACTTTGTTTTCTTGTACAACTGCTTATTTTCTAAAATTAATAATTGTTTTTCCTTTGCTTGGCTTCTTTTTATCTCTAATTATTCACTCATATTCCAAAGTGTGCCCCTTAATACAACTTCCCATCCAGTTAAACCTAATAAGTAATATATCTGTGCTCTCATCAAAACTCCCAGAATTCTACATTTTCTGGTTTCAATCTGTACTGGCAACTTCTAAGCCTGCTACATAGTAATTGCTTCCTATATTTGCCGTTGAGTCATCCTGGGAATTACTTTATCCTGTCTCCAATGTTAGATTTGTTTTTTAACAACCCTGTTTTGTTGGAACATATCCTCTAGTCGCTTCTAGGGAAAAGGTGAATTTAGAAATCTTTTTCCCCTTCAAACTTAAAATTATTGTTTTTCTCCTTTCTAGCTTGCAATATTGCAATATAGAAGTCCAATGCCACATCTTTATCTCTGGTGTTCTAAAATTTCATCATAATTCACTTTGTTGTAATCATTTTTCCAATCCTTGTTGTAGGCACATTGAGGGCCTTTATATTTTGAAGTTATGTTCTTCAATTTTAGGATTTTTTTGCATTTTTCTTAAAAATCACTTCTCCATCATTATCTCTTGAATGCCTCTTTATTATACGTTAGGCTTCATTTGTGGTTCTTCAAATTTTCTTTTCTTTTTTGCCTTTTCCTGTGTTCATTTCTTAATATTGCTTATTTTTCTGGAATTATTTTTTGACTGCAATTTATAACACTTTCATTAAAATTTTAGCTGCCATATATTAAGAATACTTTATTTTTCTCAAATTATTCTAGTTTTTAATAGCATTCTGTTGTTGATTTATGGTGAAATATCTTCTCCATCTCTCCAAAGATATTCATTCTTTCCATTGTCCACATTTTCTGTCAGTTCTGTTCTTTTGTTTATTTATGTCTCTTTATTTAAGTGTCTGATAATTCTTAGTTCTCTGTTCATAGTTAACCGTTAAAGAGTTTATGGAAAACCATGTATGTTGATTCAACTGTAAAATAATGGGCTTCTCTGTAGCACAAAAGAGTGACCAGTTAGGTTTTTCAATGGACCATCTGACTATTGTTATCTGTAGTTCTATAGTGATTTAATTTCTCAGGAGGATTCCTCCATTTCCCCTCTGCTGCTAGCATCTGGAGTTGGGCATAAGAGCAAAACATCTGGCATGGGGGTGGAGGAGGTGGTCTCAATATTCATTATTTTGCTATTAATAGTTACTCTTAATCCTAAAATTTTTAGTTCCCACCCATCCCAATTTTTATGTGTAGCTAGTATCCCTGAGCCCTCTCTAAGCATGTTGTTTTATTTTGGTGCTTTTAATTAAAAAATTGTTTTTTTCTGTTGTCATTATTGTTTTATGTCAAATATATCCACTTGAAGTAGCACTAGTATAAAAGAAGATATCATCAATATAATCTTTCATTCAACAAATAGTGAGTGCGGGATCACTTTTCATAGGCAACTACAGGTCCATCTGTTTCTTCTCTCTTCATTTCCCAGCCAACTTGAGTAGTCAATTTTAGTAAATATATGGACCTTTTAAGTTTTGCTTTTATATCCTGAGGATTTGGGACCAGAGAAACCTGTGCTTGGCCACTGTTTGACTATCTGTATGATGTTACATGACATTTCTGGATTTCAATGTTCTTATCATTAAAGTAAGCTAACTTCTGAGACTCTTCTTTCTCAACTGTAGCATGGGGATATAATATCTTTTATAGGTGTAATAATTACCTGACTAATAACATGTAAATTGCCTAGCACATAAATTTGTCCTAATTCCCTTTTCCCTGGAATCTTAATAGGTCATTGTATCAGGAATGATTAACTTTAGCTGTATATATTTTTTTAAAAAGGAAAATAGCTGAGGCTGAAACAAGATCTAGAGGGTCAATTCTATTTATGGCTGGAACTTAGGCTTTTTCTAGCTTTCTAACACTTAACAAATGGAAGTGACAATAATATTAGAAGGATGAAATGTGTATGAAGAACTTAGCATAATGAACACAAAAATGCATGATAACTGTTAAAAGGATAAAAAGTCAATCAGTCAGGTTAGTCATAACCAATTACCTGACAGATAATCTGGAAATATAGTTGGTTTATCATGAAGAATGCACCTACCAAAAATCTGATAGCAAATTCTTACTTATCTACAATTGTCTAGAGTGAAAACAAGCAACTTGGCAGTTCAAATTGTACCTCCAGCAACAAATCCCCCACTATTCCACTTTAGGGCATGCAATGCTACTCCCCTAATGTTGTTTCCCCCTCGTGGCACATAGTCTCAATCTATTGATTGGATTGAAGACGGTAAGAAAAACAATAATGATAATCTCTCTGCATACTCTACATGAGGGTATCTGCTCTGAAAACTTTATTCATCTCGTCTACATTAACATCAGTTAAGACTGGCTTTTGTCCCATTCTTAAAAGATACTTGGTTTCTGTCAAAATTGGAAATAACCTCAGTAAATTTTAGATTTAACTTTTGTCAGCATGCCATTGTTCTTTAGATATTTTCCCTCCAGGGCCTGGCAAAAATATTAAATTATTTCCAAGAAAAAATTATGATAACTTGAAGAATAAAAATGTTTTACTTTTCCTACAAGGTTTTTAATAATTTTCTGGAATGCTATAATTACTTTCTTCTAAATAGTAAGTGAAAGAATTTGCTAAAAATATCTCAGACCACTTTTTAGTTTTGCTTATTGTTCTGGAAACTTTGTTTCCTGAAACCATTTCAGAACCTATGGGATCCAAATAATTTATTAATGTGCACCAATTTTCATTATACTCTATGTAACTTGCAAAAAGCAAGATTTTCCACCTGTTACACTCAATTGTGTTGATCAACAAAAGGGCATATCTCCCCCATTCCATCTTGACAGAGATGGTTTCTTTCTTTCCAGTTCCAACCAAAGAGAGCAGTTTCAAACAGCCTGTGAAATCCAAGTAGATTTCTACCATACAGAAGTCTATTTCCTGATGGATTCTCTACCCTTTTTCCTGAATGATGGACAAAGAGTGATACGTGTTATGGATGGAAGATAGTGGCCAGCTCAGGATTGAGTGTCTTCAGAAATTATGTCCAAATGAATCATGGACTGAACCCATTTTGTTATACTAAAATTTCCTTTGTGCACTAGAGGTCATAAAAATGTTTCACTGCCAAATCTAGACCACTTTATCCTCCAATGAAATTATGATTTCTAAAGCACAAAATCTAAGAAAAACTCACATTGGGTAGCAAGCAAGGCCAGCCAGTTCATCAATAGCCAGGCATAAAAGTCTACATGTTTCATTTTGCCAATAAGCTTGTCTGCTTCATCTGGTGCCAACAACTCAATCCTCTGAACATCACATATTGAATAAAGGAACCTTTTCAAATCTACGGAATACTTCAGTTCTCATCTTTCTAATGTATCATCTGATACAAGGGTTCATTCTATCCTTCTAGAGTTAATAAATGATTACTGTACCAAGTCTGATATTCTGGAGGTGCTGAAGTAAAAACTGCCCCAAACGTCCCCTCAGGACAGTGGTTATTTTTTAAAACAAATTTACTGTGTATCCTGGAGTTTCTAGAAGTTCACTTATGCAGAAAACTGAATACAACATTCACCACTGAGGTTTTAACTTTCCATTCTTTGTCAACAATTGTATAATAAAGAGAAAATAGAGCCGTAATTATGCAGGAGGAAAATAACTCAATTTAAATAATTGCGTCTGCGAAATTCAACTCTGTTGTCATAAAATTTTTGACTAAGAATCCTACAAAAGAATTCACTCTGCTTGGTTTATTACTCAATAGAAATCTATGATAATCTGATAACAGCCACATTCCATATTGGAAATTTGTATGTTTCCATAGGTCTAAATTTGCTGATGACCTATTTCAAGAGGGCAATCAACCTTTACCAAACTCACTGAGTTCATTTTTCCCTCCTTTGCACCAGATTGAGAGAATATTAACAGGCCCTAGCAGAATCTTTATGCTAAGAAGAAGGGAAGAACTTGCTTTTTTGCCCTGTGTACAAGAAGAGAAGGACTGAACAATGGTCTACAAGGGAAGCTTGGTGTCAGATGTAGCAGAGGAGCATATATACGTGAGACAATTGTACCACATACACGATAGCAGGCCTTATTCTTTTCTGATGTGCAGTTCTTTATCCAGAGGATGCGGGCATCTGTGGCACAGGCCAGTAACAAATCAAAGTGGAGCTACTGAGCTTACCCTGAGTGGGAGGCATCAAGATTGATAGTGTGATGTCTGTGAGTGAGAGGTGCTGAAGGCTGATGGGGTGGTGAAAGGAGCTGATATATTTAGATTACTTTACATGTTATTGTTCAATGCAAAGCCCTTCACGTGTGTTAGAGAGTAATAGTTTCTCTTCTTTTAATGATCTTTTAGTAGGAGAATGGACCAGATGACCTCTATAGGTGTCTCTCCACAGGGTAAGTCCAAGTTCTATATTCTTGGTAAAGGTTTGCCTCTCTAGGCCTTATATGTGAAACAACAGACTTGTTTGATGAGTTGTCTGCTCTCAGGGAGTTTACAATCTATTGCTGGGATAAGAATGCAAACAAGAAATTTCTCAAAAGCAATATATGTCACTATGAAAAAAGAACAAAATATATTACAAGGAGATGTTTGTCACTTTGGTTTATTACTGTATTCCTAGTATCTCAGATAGTACCAATCACACTGTAGTTGTCCTATAAATATATTTGAATGGATGAATGAATGAGTGATTTCACACAAAATGTATTTAAGTCAAGATTAGAAGTTCCCAAACTGAATAGGTTTGCTCTCAAAAGATTACATACTGTATGATTCAGTTCATATAACACTATTGAAATAACACAATTATAGAAATTGTGAATGGATTACTGATTGCCAGGATTAGGCAGGGAAGGTGACTGTGGCTATATGAGGGTATTACAAGAGAAGTAGGGAGATGACTATGGCTATATGAGGGTATTACAAGAGATCCTTGTGATGGAATTATTCTGTATCTTGATTGTGGTGGTAGTCACACAGATTTATACATGTGATAAAATTCCATAGAACTAAATAAACGCATACACAAATGCATGTAAAACTGGTGAAATCTGAGTAATGTTGATAGAGTGTGTCAACGTCAATATTTTCTTTGTGATTTTGTGCCATAGTTATATAAAATATTAAAACTGAATGACACTGGGTGAATAATATGGTTTGGCTGTGTCCCCAACCAAATCTCATCTTGAATTGTAGTTCACATAATCCCCACATGCCGTGGGAGGGACCCGGTGGGAGGTAACTGAATCATGGAGGCAGCTAACCTCATGTTATTCTCCTGATAGTGAATGAATTCTCACGAGATCTGATGGTTTTATAAGGGGCTTTTCCCCTTTTTGCTCAGCACTTCTCCTTGCTGCCACCATATGAAGAATGATGTGTTTGAAGCTTCCCCTTCCGCCACGATTATAAGTTTCCTGAGGCCTCCCCAGCCATGCTGAACTGCGAGTCAATTGAACCTCTTTCCTTTATAAATTACCCAGTCTTGGGTATGTCTTTATTAGCAGTGGGAGAACAGACTAATACAGTGAAGGATATACAAGCTCTCTCTGCATTATTTCTTATAATTGTAGATGAATCTACAATTATTTCAAAATAAAAGTTTAGACACAATATCTGAATTGGTTTACTGGAGAAGGGTTCATGGAGAAGTGGGAATGAACTTGGCTTTGAAAAAATGGCAGGATTTGGATAGGAAGCGAGAAGAGTGCTTGGATGGTGTGGTGAATGGGCTAGAGAGTAGGCTATAAGAATCTCAAAGGAACAGTCATCCATGTGAATATGGAAGAAGCTGGCAGCATGGTTAATTTGGTGGCATGGTTTTTAGTAGCAAAAGTAGGAATTTTGAAGTTCAATCTCCCTCACCCTGTTGGCCAGTTCCTACACTGTCCTCTGTATGATGGCAGCAAACTCTCTAATCTCCGAATGTAGGGTTCCTCACTTGCATCACAGAGGGCATGATACTTTCTTGACAGTGATAGGAATATTAAACAAGCCAATGCATGTCAAGGGTCCAGCTCGGATTTTGGCTCACGATAGATATTTAGCAAATACAGATTCCTTTCTCCTGCCCTTAGACAAAGTCCTACAGGTAAAGCTAGGGTTCTTAGGTCAATCTCGAGGCAGGTTATCACACATTCGTAGCACTGCTCAGTGCTGGGGAAGCTGCATAATGGAGCAATGCCAGGAGGAGAAGCCTGTCACCCATTAGCCCTAAGCCACAGCAGAAGCCCAGTGTGGGCAGAGAATATGAGCGGGTGACGAGAAGTACCTTCAGTCTCTGGACTGGAAGGCACACCTGGCCTTGTGAGAGGAGAAAGACAAAGTTCTCAGAGCAGCCTGTCACAGCCAGAAGCTGTGACCACTGCTGCCTCTGCTTATGCTGCACAAGGCAAGGAAATAAAGCCAGGATGTCTTCTGGGCAGTGGCGGTGTGTCTATGCTGAGCCCAGGGCAGAGCTTCATTCCTTGTGCCCTGCACACGTCAGCCAGGATGGGAGCTGCTGGGAAAGCCAGCTGGCCGCATAAGGAGATTCCCCTTCAGCAACAGCAACAGCAGCAGCCGCAAGAACAAAACAGAAAACTTTTAAATAAAATGTTTGCTCACATACCAACAATTTTCTTAAATCTACATGGAAGATTAGTACCAATTTGGAGACAGATGAAAGATCTAAAATAATAACTTTCCAAGGAGTGTTTCTCCCTCATTTTCTCTAATTTCAAAATTCAAAATGATTACCATTTTAAAATCTTGGTTTGTGTGTGCGTGTGTATGTGTGTGTTTCCATGTGTATGTATGTGTGTGTTTTGTCTACAGTGAGTATTAGTACATTTTCTGCTATTTTCCTTCAAAGAAGAAAAACAGATTGGAGAGACGAAACTCTAAGCTGACAATATATAGTTTTGTAAATACAACATGTAACGATACAAGCATTTACCAACAGGCATTAGCTGTAACAATATGAATTCCATGGCTGAGCAGCATAAAACATATTTAGAGCCATTGCTCTACAGCATGCTACTGATGTCGTAGGATTGTGTTTATTGAGATGTACGGTGAAACCTAAGGAGCTGCTTGCACACAAGAAAGGAATCTAAATTGACTTCTCCAAATTTCTGCTGCTTTCAGGTAATAAAAATCTAACACTCTGGACTCTAAACAAAATCTTTGTCAAAATGAACAGTTAGTTTGAGATCTGGTCAGAAATGTCAGGCTAAGAAAATAAGTCAACATTTTTTGTGACGGTGGTAGTGGGTTTTTCTGTTGTGGTGGTGATTTTATTTTTGTATAGTTCCATTTGTTTTCTGTTTTTCACTGCTATTGATACATCAGGCATCCAGTCATGAAAAACAATGTCCATGTCACTAAAATGGCCTCCAGGCATTCAGTATATCTACATTGGGGTTAAACATCTCTGTGAAGATGTGACAGCACACCCTATAATAAAAGGTATTATTGAGTAATATAGACTTTCTGTAATAACCAAACAGTAAAGCATACAGCTTTTTAAAGGTCTCCCCATGGCTGATCTCATGACTCAAAGATAAGACACTGTGCTGCAAGCTAAGTAATAAAATCTCGAGGATACTCTGGGCTAGCTTGTGACAAATCATATCAAAGTATTATTAAAGAAAGAACTTGAGACCCAAGACTATTATTGATTCTTGACAGAATTTCTTATAAATAAAGTGTTGCAATCAGGTCCCCGACTTGCCAAGGTCCTGGTAGAATTCTTCCTATTATAGGGGAGGCTGCAAAATAGTAATGCTCCATTAGTGAGAGACGAAAGCCTCTGTGTGCAGCACCACAAGGATGGGTCATGGTCAAAAGAGAGCCAATAAGAACACAATTTCCAAAGGCCTTTTAAGGCCCTCTTTGCTGATCCCTTTTTGAAATGGGTAAAGCTGCCTCTGAGCTTCAACGCAAAGCAGCCTGTGCCCTGACTGTGTTCACAGAATGAATCTGTGACCCTTCAGAGCACTAAGGACACACCTCCATTAGTGTCCATATTCTTACAGGGAAGAGGTTGATACAGTCAACTGAAATGACAGGGTGATAAATATAAAACCACTATCATCAATAAGACTGGAATGTAAAAGCACTTAGTTTCAGCCTAAGTAACTCACAGAAAGTTTGGTTTCAAGAACCAATGCGTCATCCATCACTACTCTACCTTCTGTTGACAAAGTAATTGTACGATATCTAGAATGGAGGTTCAATACGAGCTGACATTTTTGAAAGGAGGAATTGTGTGCCGTACTTACTCATTAAATGTATTTTTCCTCTACTAAAGATGTTTCCTTTTTTAGTTTATGTATGAATAACTTTAACTAAAGTTCCCTTGACACTCTGACTTTGCTCTGAATAGCACCTATGTTCATTAACATAAAACCTGAAAGAAAATAATTTTAATGTAGTTTTTTTAACACTTCAAAAGCCTCTAACAAATTGATCGAGCACAATTATGCATTCTAAAGGGAATTATAAAGAGATCACAGAAGGTTGAAAAGTTCTAGTTAAAAAAATAAAAAAGAAAAACTTTGGGGTGATAAAGAAAAGAAAAATAGGCAGTTAATGTGAAACTACAAGATACATGAATAAAAGTAAACTTTGAATTTGTAGGTGTTTTTTACTTTTCTATAAATGCAGTGTTTGCAGAGAAGAATAAACAAGAACCCACACCAGGATAAGGCTCAGATAATTTGACAGAATAAGGTATATATTATTCAAATGTATGAACTCTGGAGTCAGACAGACCTGGGTTTGAATTTCTGCTCTGCCACTTACCTGCACGATCATGAGCAAATTATTTTTTTCTAAAACTCAGTTTCTTCATTTGTAACCAATGTGAGGATTAAATAATACTTTTTTGTGCTTTTAAAAAATGTATTATTTAATTGTTAAGCACTTAACGTTGCTTTATACACACGAGGCATCTAACAATTTGGTCCTCCCAATTCCCAAACCAAGCAAATCATGAGATGATTAGCTCTCTCTCTTAAATCTTACAGAACTTTTTTGAAAGAAGTAATTGTCCTCATTAAAGTTCCAGGGTAGGAATAAGACAAACTCTGCTCTGAGGTGGGTGCATCAACTCAGGCTTAAATTTCTACCCCTGTTTAATGGCAAGTGGAGCATTCTTGGCATTTCCTTGATCCATATATTTTTCTCGATCTTATTGCTTTTTGTAGAGTTTAGCTAAATCCCACCTCCTCCAAGGAGCCATTCCAGATTCTTCCAGTTTGATTCCCACTTCTCCAGGGGGATATTGTTGGACTTAATTTCCATTATATAGTGAGGTCTTAGAGGGTAACAGCCCTGTCTGGTGTGCCTTTGTCCTCACAGTACCTAGCCTTGGCCTTTGCTAATGATGAACACTCAAGAAATACACCTTGAATGTCTACTGATACGCTATCTTATAAGACCAAGTTAGGGATAAAGTCCCAGAACTTGAAATAAAATCCCTAATTCCCAGATGAACCATGCCCCTAGCTCTTTGTTCATTCTGCAGATGTAGTCATTGTGATCACCATACCCAGTCACTGAAATTCAGGCAGCCAATCAAAACCATTTACTGAGCCCCAAAGTGTTGTAAATAAGGGATATGCAAGATAAATAAAAAGCTGTACACCAACCTTTGAGAAACTTACTATCTTGCTAAGAAAATATACATGAGGGGGATGTTAAAAACACACCACCACCATATGTAGGTTATAAATCTTAGGCTGCCAGGCAATAAACCTCAGCGGATATGTTCCCCCATTGCCCCGGGCCATTGTATACAAGTTATAGTACAGAGAGTGTATCAGTAAAACTATATTGGACCTGTTGCTCTGCATGAGTTTAGATTTATATTTAGCTCGAAAGTCCAGGCAAGCAGGACAAATCTCCTCTCTTTTTTTTAAATTACAGCCTTCCTAGTGGTTACAGACATGAGTGCTGGAGACAGTCTGCCTTGGTCAGCACCTCAGTTCCCTTTTTCACTTGTTTGGCCTTGGACAAGTCACTTAACTTCTTGATCTATCACTTTCCTCATCTGTAAAATGGGAGTAAAAATCGGATGTTCCTCATAGCATTTTGGGGTTGATTAATTTGGTAAATTCAAGTCAAGCACTTACAACATTACCTGTCACACAGTGAGCACTTAATACACACTGTTTATCATTAATTGTTTCTTGGAAGCAGCGCATTTTGGCAAGAACACTGTTCACTAAGGCTGTTGATTCCATGGCAAAAGTTATTCTCCAAAATTGAAAAACTTATCCTAGGCCTTATTGCTGGTTGGATTTTTCTTGCTTATTGATGAAAATTGCAAGGAAATAAAGAAGAGTGAGACAGGAGGGGCTAAAAGTTGTGACCCTTAGAAATTTCATGAGAAGTGTAAAATGGAGCAATGAAGACAGTGGTGATACCATAGAGGTTGTCCATCATTTATCTGAGAGAAGGGGGAGAGCAGTTAACTGTAAACCTCAGGCATGTGTTGATCTTGCAGTTTTAACAGTTTGCCAGTACTTGACATGCACATACCTATATACTTCCAAAAAATCCTCATTACAACTTTTATTATCTCCATTTTGGAATTTAGAATATGGAGACTCCGGGAATTTAGGTGACTTGTCCAAGGTGAGACAAACAGCATGTGTTGAGTCCATTATTGGCTTCTGTCTAACCCCAAACCCTTTAGTCTTGCAAAGACACTCTTATAAAATAGTTCTTCAAGTAGAAGAAGAATCACTTTACCATGAATTAAATTTAGGGCCTACCTTTCACCCTGCACATAGGTTACAGCCACCAGTAAATTTCTCCTGAAATCTAGAAAGCAACTGGCTTTAAACAGAATCCAGTGTATATATCATTTGTACAAAGCGGAGAACCTTTGATTCTTAACCTTGAAACTTCCTCTGCCCCAACACAACATTTAAGAGAAAAAAAGCAAATATTCTTTTGCTGTTTAGATGCTCTGTTGCCTGCCTTCTGCAGCAGCATTGAGGTCCCTGGAGCACCTGAACCCATTTATATTCCATCTGTTTCTTGCCTTCCTAAAGCAATTTTATTGCGCCCCAGAAGGCTTTGCTTCTCTCAGAGAGGGGAGAAGCACTCAAAGACATACAGCATGCACCAGAGACTTTGCAGGTAGGCAAGAAAGATAAACAGGTTCAAGAGCCAGGAACACAGATATCTGAGCCTGTAGCACTTAGACATGCATTGGCCTACCCGATTCTTGGCTGCAAGATTACCACTCAAAGAGACCTGTACCTAGGAGTCCACTCTGTGGGGAGAAAGCTGAACTTTTCATATGGTGGGTGAAACTCAGAGTGCTACTAAGAGACAGAGAGGAGAAAGGCATGCAAATTGATGGGAAGGTAGATTCTCATACATCTTGTTAAAATATAAAGAAGTACTGGAATGCTATATGGCCACTGAGTGCTGAGAGGGCTTGGCAAATCACTTTTCTCACTGAGAATGGCCTCAAGCTCGTCCTCCTGAAGCAAGAACATCTAAAGCCTATCCGTTTTGGTCCTTCAGGGGTGGATGTTGGCTGCTCCTGGGGAAAGGCTCCCCTGTGAAACCCTTGAAAGTGTTTCCCTGGAGCCATGCCTGGTTTAATGGCTCCTGTTTAGATGCAGTTATGACTGGCTTAGGAACCTGGGGGAGTGTGGAATCAGCAGGGGTAGGGATATGCAGTAGAGGGCAAAGGGGACTTGTTCATAGTTTTTCATGTATCTGGAAACAGCGCTCAACATGGACTTCTCTTATTCCGAATTGTTATGGGAGTCAATTATTCCACCTATTAGGTTTTAATGTAGCACCAATAAGTCAAAACCAGTTTAACAACTAAGAATTATAGTTGGTATAAAACGTTTGAATTTAGGCTAATAACATATACTAAGTTATAGACAGATGAGATTTAAAATGACTAAGGTAAGAAATTGGGTTCATAATGGACACATTAATAGGCCACTAAACTGACTTTAAAGGCTCTGGCAGGCACATTCAAGACACCAAATATATAAAAACTCCATCCATCCTGAGCTTCCTCATCATGTCACCTAATAGAATTTCAAACACTATTAGCACACTGATAAATGGTTATTATATATTACCCATGCATGCTGCCTTATGAATTAAAAGACAAGCACAAGCATCAGGCATTTGTTGTATTGGGTAATTTTTCTTTATTCTTGATTATGAAATACTGAGTTTTACTTCCCCAGGTTGTTTCAGGAGCCATGAACCCCTTTCTAATTTCAGAAAACAAACATAAAAACCTTTTGTAACCAGAATGACCACATCTATGACGGGACAAATATTCAGAATAGCTTGAGAGAAAGCCATCCAGGGCAGCTGCTGTGGCACTCAGCTGACCAATATCTGAGGCCAGACCTAACTCTCCATTGCCACATCTGCCAGGCCAAGGACCATCATTCATTTACTCACCAAACATTTTTTTTGAGCAACTACTCTAACCTGAATGTTGTTCTAATCACTGTCAATATGACAGCAAACAAAATAGACATGATTTGTGCACTCATGGTGCTTGAGGTTTTGTGGGAGAGATAGGCACTTAACAGCCGAAAACTTGTTAATTACACATATAATTACTATGTGGGACCTATGGAAGACAGAGAGAAGAAGAATTCTCTGAGAAATGGCAGTTAATCAGAAATCTGAATACGATTTATTCAAGTAAAGAAGAAATATATATTTAAATTTCTGAAGCAGAAAGCTCTTATGCTCACCAAAAGAAGTGGATTATGACTAACAGAGGACACTTCATGAAGATCAGGCCAAGGACTTAGGGTTTTGTCCTAAGAGCAACGGAGGTCACTGAAGAGATTTAAGCAGGGGAGCCATGTGGTTAAATTTGAGTTTTTAAAAACACTACTATTACTGTTATATGAAAAATGTGTTGATGGGATCAAGAGGAACAGCTAGAAGTGTAACTAGGGAGCTATTTCAGTAATCCATCTGTGTGATGATCGAGGCTTGCATCAAGATCAAGATGCCAATGGTGGAAATAAAGAACACTGAAAGGATTCAATATCCATTTTGAAAGTGGGGTCAACGAGACCTGTGATGGACAGGAAAGAGGGATGAAAAGAGAGGCAGATGTCAAGAGCTACTTCCAGAGTTCCAGCATGAGGAACTGGATGGACAGAGATGCCATTTAGCCCCCTGAGCTTACAGAGATATAAATCCATAAGGAAATTCCACTGACAGTACATCAATGCCTTGTCTATTGCAATAGCTTACTTTTCTGGGAGACTCATTGATGTAGAACTGAGTCAAGTAAGAGATAATACTTCCATGGAAGCCAAAATACACATCATAAAATCTATGAGCTTTGATGGAGAAAAGTTCCTAAACTCTCAATCAAAACCATCTATTTACTCTTCCTCTTAACATAACTTTCTTACATAGCACTTACATGGCCATAAAATAATGACATAAAGCAAAATACAGAAACAAATGAATGACCCCACAGAGTAGGTAGAAACATACATAAGAACATGGAAACAACATGAGAGTATGCAGTTTGCAATGTGAAAAAAATATTTGTGTGATATGGAAAGTTTTCATTGTGTTGATCATATTTACCCAAGAAAAATACACCTTCACTGAATTTTCCTATATGTTTTTATTCATTAGAATAATTTCTATTATTGCTTTTATTTCCTTCTTTGTTTTTTGTCCTTTTCAGTTATTCTCTCTTTCCCTGTCGTTCTTATCTTTACGTTCTTTTTCCTTGGCAATTAGAAAATTAGACTTTCAATATTTATAATTAGATCTATGAAAAAAGACACAGTGAAGGTTGTAGAGAGTTTCTCAAAAGTCAGCTAATATACAAAGAAGACTGTAATAATCATTCTGAATTCTCAATGAAGTATCACTATGATCTCTTTAAAAATAAAGAGACTAATTTATCTTTGTATCCTCAGATCTTAGCATATACCTAGAAAAATTGATTTAAAATTTCTTGAGGGAATGGGTATAATGATAGTCTAAGCAAATAAAATTGAATCTTTGGGAACAGTGATGAGGTCTATTTGGCAAAGACAGTTTGTCAGGGTAGTCAGTGGGAGGGCAACTTACACGAAAGAGATAGGGGAAAGTTTTAGATTAGGTGTTAGAAGGCCTTCTTCTTTTTTTTTTTTTTTTTTTTTTTTGGAGATGGAGTCTCGCTTTGTCGCCCAGGCTGGAGTGCAGTGGCACGATCTCAGCTCACTGCAACCTCCGCCTCCCAGGTTCAAGTGATTCTCCTGCCTCAGCCTCCCAAGTAGCTGGGATTACAGGCACTTACCACCACACCTGGCTAATTTTTGTATTTTTAGTAGAGACGAGGTTTCATCATGTTGGTCAGGCTGGTCTCGATCTCCTGACCTCGTGATCCACCCGCCTCAGCCTCCCAAATTGCTGAGATTACAGGCATGAGCCACCGCGCCCAGCCCTAGAAGGCCTTCTAAAAGTCAGAGTAAACTATTTTTTTTTCATGTTATATTGCCCAGGAAAATTGTGGCATCACTTTCCTTTGGAATTTAATTGAATTTGATATTTTATTATTGTATAAATAATATTACAAGAAATTGAAACAAAAAGAAAACACAAATCCAAGTCTCTAGCAATTGAACACATCAAATTAAACTCCCATTTATGTGAGTTTTTCCCTAGTCCCTGCCTACAACACACAAACACACACACACACACACACACACACACACACACACAAACTAATATCTGAGGTAATCATAGCATGTATACAATTAAGCATTTTCTTTTGTGTAATATTATATCATAAACTTGTACAAAATTTTCAGTCATGATTTTAATGCATTAAAAAGTCCATCAATTTGAAAATGATCCAATCACCTATCTGCATTTCAAAAATTCATTAAAATAACAATGAAAATATATCAAGAGGAAGACATCAATATCTATTAATTCACATGTTGTTCATCCATTAATTCAACAAATATTTATTGAATGCCAATCATATGTCAGACACTTTCATAGACTCTGGGTACACCATGGGAATTAGAGTTTATTTCTGCTCTCATAGTGATTACAATTTAATGAGATGGAGAGACATTCTTCGCAGGGAAGCACAGAAAGAGTCAATCTTGGAGTTGACAGGCATGAGGATCAGGAGTGGGCTTTGGTACATAGGTTCAGGACAATTAAATAAAAATATTTCTATAAAAGAGCTGGGACTGGTGATTCCTCCACCTCCTACAAGGGTAAAGAGTAGCATTTGCCTCCACTTTAATCAAGTCCTTGGGAGTTGATTTCTAAACTTGTCTTTCCAAGAGTCCTTACTGGAGAACTGGGAATAGAGAAAAGAGACCAGAGCTAGAGATAACTCTAGACCCACACAACAGTCCAAAGTGTGAGTGGAGTTGCGGGGTGGGAAGAAAAGACAGCTCCAGGCTGGCACAGGAATGAAATAAATAAATTACTTTATTCTGTCCTCAGAGTAAACTCTCCCTTTCAATGGTGATGTTGGGAGAACTGATGCTACATGCCTATTTCCTTCCTACACATTCCACAGGGAAGCTTGACTGTCAGAAGCACAGCCCCCTGGTGGCCTTACCAGGAAGAGGAGGGGGCCTTTGGTAAATCAAGTAATGACCACAAAAATCTTACCATTAACTTATGCTAATTGCATGATCCTCATTTATCCATGTTGACAGTTACCTAACCAATAGCATAAAATAAGGTTATCAAAAATAAACAAATAGAACAAATGACCCTAGGGAAGTGGAGCTAGTGTTAAGAACAGAAGAAAACATAAAAATTTGATTGGTATCCTAGTATATATTCAAGAAGATATTATATCCCTAAAACACAATTAGACCACTCCAAAAAGAAGTAATCAGGAAGTAAGACAGACTTTTAAGAAATTAAATAAGATTTCTAAAAGGTAAAGAAATGAATAAAAGAACTCAATAATGAATGAACACGGCTGAAAAATGAACTTGAGTGATTTGGAAGATAGGGTTGAGAAAAATACTCCAGAACTAAATAACAAAGGAATGGAAACTATGGGACAATGCTTCATCAAATGCCAATTCAGAACAGATCAAAGTATCTAGAATTCTTGAGGGAAATAATATTCTTTCCCACACATGGGAAATACAGTCAAATAAATGATAGAAAAAAATTTGACTGAGCTAAAGGCACAACTGATTACGCAAATTGAAATCCTAGATGCATTTTTATAAAATTTCAGAACTTAAGAGCAATGAGAAATCCTAAGAAGTCCCAGAGAGAAAAAATAGATTATCAACAAAGGACAAAAAATATACCAACATTACACTTTTTAATCAGAAGTAAAAGCTAGTTAACAGGCAACTTTAAAGTTTTAGCCAAACTGTCATTTCTGTTGGAGAACTCATACAAGCCTTCTCTTAGAAAAAAAAAAAAAAAGTAAAAGAAATTACTAGAGGATGCACTTCAATGAAACAAAACAGGAATCCTGAAATTATGACATGGAATTGAAACACAATGGTACTAACACAGGGCAATACAAAAAGACAGTAATTGTGCAGCAGCCCTAATAAGCAATGTGTAAAATCAGTGAGAGTGCTATGTAAAAAATATCTTTAATAAGCAACTTGATTCTTTTACAAATTGCATAATCCAAAAATGAAAGTTCTCTATGATAACATAAAATCACTTGCGTTTTCCCTATCTCAATATGAAAAATAAAGGTATTTAGCAATTCTACGAATAAATAGATGCAATGAAAGCCATCATCCAAACAATGCGCTCATTCTAAGGAAGTTAACAAGTATAGCCAGGAAAATAGACTCTGTTTGCTCTTGATGCTTAGACTCAACAGTCTCCTTTAAGTGGTGGAAATTGAAATTGTCCAAAGATGGACATATACTTCTCTGTGAATCCAATCACTTCACTTCGTTGTGCTGGAAATAATATTTATATTACAATGATATTACATAGGTGTTGATTTTCAATTTATAAAATCAACTTACAGAGACAAACCAAAGAAGACAATTATAATTACAAGACATATAAGAGTAATAGTATAATTAATTGTACTGGGATCTGAAGAAAGGGAGAGAAAAATAGATGAAAAAAAGTAGGCTCATTAATTTCCTCACTTATCTAGTTAAGACTCAATAGATGCTCTCTAAATTGATGAATAAAGAATAAATAAAAGCCTAGATATATTATTTAGTTATAAATGTAATGGCTAGAAGTACTAATAATATAACTAATAAAACTGAGAGATAAGTGTGTTAAAATCCCAATGTTTTATAGTTTGGCATAAATAGATGCAGTCTAAAGTTGATAAATTGGGAAACAGATATATAAATATATTATTTAGAATTTATGTAGCAATTCATGGTGGATGAACCTTGACTCTCATTACAGCCTGTTGTATTGTTTGTTTATAGCAGATGACTCAGGAAAATAGCTCTCAGTAATATGTGATAAAAGAACTCATAACTGTCATTCAATTTCAAGTCTAATTTCTCTAGGAGGAAAAGATTGCCTTTTTTTTTTTTTTTTTTTTTTTTGGAGATAGTCTTGCTTTGTCACCCAGTCTATGGTTTGTGTGTGTGTGGTAGCCTGACTTTAATTCCCATGAGAAGCAGAAACTGACAAAATGTCCAGCTCAGATGCAATGAGGAGCAAAGCAGAGCCACCTTAAGCAGAAACAACTGGTGACTCAAGGAATTTTCAAAGGAAAATGGGCTACTTGGGGGAGTATTCAAAGCACTGTGAAAACCATATATCCTAGTCTTGGTTCCTGATAATGTGTTCTGGATATGGCAAAGTAGGAAGAATCTTATAAAGACCTTTCAAAGTTTAGGTACCCTTCTCATGCTTTTGGGACTTGAGTTTTGCTAGTTATTCCATTTTTTAAATCAAACACATTTATCCGATTTTGAGAAAAGATTTTATTTGAAGTAATCAATGATAATCATCCATCAAATTCCATTTTGATCCACTCTGGACTTTTTTTTAAGAGGCAGAGTCTTGCCATGCTACCCAGGCTGAAGTCCTGTGGCTATTCACAGGCACAATCACAGTGCACTACAGCCGGCAACTCTTGGGTTCAAGTGATCATCCTGTTTCCGCCTTATAAACAGATAGGACTACAGGTGTGTGCCACTGCACTCAGCTCTCACTCTGAACAATTTAAATGCCACTTTAAAGAAAATCCAAGTCTGCTGTTAGGACCCTCTCTCTTAAGAATATTTTGCAAAGAAAAGCATAAAAAGAGACTGTGCTCAGATGCTCAAGACAGCACATTAGACATGTATCACCAGGAGCTAGAGCTGCACAGGGCTGTGCTTACACCTGCTGCCCTATGTTTCTCAATGTGCATGCAATGTGGGGCCAGACAGACAAGATGACTGGTCATGCTTCCCTTAAAAACTGTGTGCCTCTTGACAATTGCAAAGCCTCTCCAAGCCTCATTTGCTCATCTGTAAAGTGGACATATTAAAGACAATTAGATACAACCTACCTCATTGATTTATAATGGTACTCGAATAAGATCATTTGTTAATGGTTCTTTATAAATTTAATATATTGTTGTTATTATTATTACCATTCATATCATCATGGGATAGATTTTAAGAAAACTCTTTCACTTGGCTCATTTTTCTTTCTTTTGCTCTTGCCTAGCATTGAGTATATCGATGGCATAAGATTTCAAATGGTTATGCCAGCTCATTGGCTTTTCTTCTCCAAGATCAAAAAGGCTCTTCATCTTGACCACACCAGTGAAATGGAATTTAAGTTTCCTTGCTAAAGCATAACATCAGAGTTCCAATTAGGAATTTTTGCGGCTGGCTACTTCCATAATTAGACACATTTGGTGGTTCCTTTTATTACCCTCCATTCTCAAGTCCTTCATCTTATATTACTTCTCTATGTGTCTCTCTCTAAAGTCAATGGCTTACACATTTCTGTATCTCTTTGATTTGCCAGTTTCTGTGGTCCGTTGTCTCCTACGTATCCTCTTGCATCATTAGTAAACTATCATTAGATGCTTAATAAATTACTAGAATTTATTAGAATCCCTTTCAAACAAAGCATTTTGAAGTGCCAATTACTGATTGGTATGGCCTGGTAAAACTATTTTTTATTAAATCAGGCTTATGAATATAGATAGGAAATACACCCTTTGTGATAGGTAGATCTCTGAATCAAATTGAGAATGTTTCTCCAAGCATTTTTCACATCTCTTTAGCCATCCAGAACTATGAATTTTATAATATTTAACCTTCTATATATTTTATAGTTAATAAGGGGATTAAAAATTAAGTAAAATGAGAGTCATCTATTATTGTATTAGGTTGCAATACTGCACAAAGTACTATAAAAAGCATTGAAAAATACAAATTATTTCAGAAGACTAATTAAAGAAGAACTCAAGTACCCTAATTCTACACACCATTATATTTTTAAAATAACCCATGAAACAAAGAATTTGGTTTGTTGTTGCTTTTCCAAAGAAGCATGTGGTAATTTTAACATGGCTTATGGCAATGCATTAATTGCATAAAATATCATTTCTGGGACTCAGTCTGCAATTCTCTTCTCTATCTACACTCACTCCCTCAGTGATCCTATTTATTTTTGTGGCTATAAGTACCACCTCTATACTCTTAATTTCCCACTTGTATTCTTGTCCCAACCAGACCTCAATGCATACGTCCAAATACTGACTTCACTTTACACCTGGATGTGTAATAGTCAATTCAAACTTAACATTTACAAACAAAGTGAACTCCCCATTCTTCCCACCAAGTACTCCTCTCACAATGCTCCTCATACCTGTACAGGGTGCCAACATTCATTTAGAGGCTAATATTAAAATCTTGGATTCATCCTTGATTCCTCTCTTTCTCTCACTTCCCACATTCAATTCATCAACATATCTTGTCAAATACACATTTAAAATATTTCCCAAGTGGACCATTTCTCACCATATCTACACATTTCATCCCAATCCAAACACTATCACCTTGTATCTGACAATAGCAATGGCTTCTTAGCAGGTTTGCTGCCTCTATTCTTACTCTATACTGTCTATTCTCCACATAGCAGCTAAATGACCTTTTTTGTTGTCATTCAGGGGATTTTTCTTTATTTCTTCTAAAAAAAAAAGGGATACATGTGTAGAATATGCAGGTTTGTTACATAGGTATACATGTGCCATGGTGGTTGGCTGCACCTATTGACCCATCCTCTAAATTCCCTCCCCTTGCCTCCCATCCCCCAACAGGCACTGGTATGTATTGTTCCCCTCTCTGTGTCCATGTTTTCTCAATGTTCAACTCCCACTTGTGAGTGAGAACATGCAGTGTTTGGTTTTCTGTTCCTGTGTTAGTTTGCTGAGGATGATGGCTTCCAGCTTCATCCATGTCCCTGCATAGGACAAGATTTCATTCCTTTTTAAGGCTGCATAATATTCCATGGTGTATGTGTACCACATTTTCTTTATTGAGTCTATCACTGATGGGCATTTGGGTTGGTCCCATGTCTTTGCTATTGTAAATAGTGCTGCAATAAACATACATGTGCATGTGTCTTTATAGTAGAATGATTTATATTTCTTTGGGTATATACCCAGGAATGGGATTGCTGAGTCAAACGGTATTTCTGGTTCTAGATCCTTGAGGAATTACCATACTGTCTTCCACAATGGTTGAACTAATTTACATTCCCACCAAACGTGTAAAAGAGTTCCTATTTCTCCACAGCCTCACCATCATGTTTTGTTTCCTGACTTTTTAATAATCGCCATTCTGACTGGCGTGATATGGTGTCTCATTGTGGTTTTGATTTGCATTTCTCTGATGATCAGTGATGTTGAGCTTTTTTTCATGTTTGTTGGCCACATAAATGTCTTCTTTTGAGAAGTGTCTGTTCATGTCCCTTGCCCACTTTTTGATGGGGTTGTTTTTTTCTTGTAAATATGTTTCAGTTCCTTGTAAATTCTGGATATCACACCTTTGTCAGATGGGTAGATTGCAAACATTTTCTCCCATTGTGTAGGTTGCCTGTTCACTCTGATGATAGTTTCTTTTGCTGCGCAGAGCTCTTTAGTTTAATTAGATTCCATTTGTCAATTTTGGCTTTTGTTGCAATTACTTTTGGCATTTTCATCATGAAGTCTTTGCCCATGCCTATGTCCTGAATGGTATTGCCTAGGTTTTCTTCTAGGGTTTTTATGGTTTTGGGTTTTACATTTAAGTCTTTAATCCAACTTGAGTTAATTTTTGTATAAGGTGTAAGGTAGGGATCCAGTTTCAGTTTTCTGCAAATGGCTAGCTAGTTTTCCCAGCACCATTTACTGAATAGGGGATCCTTTCCCCATTGCTTATTTTTGCCACGTTTGTCAAAGATCAGATTGTTGTAAATGTGTGGTGTTATTTCTCAGGTCTCTGTTCTGCTCCATTGGTCTATATGTCTGTTTTGGTACCAGTACCATGCTGTTTTGGTTACTGTAGCCTTGTAATATAGTTTAAATTCAGGTAGTGTGATGCTTCCAGCTTTGTTCTTTTTGCTTAGGATTGTCTTGGCTATACAGGGTCTTCTTTGATTCCACATAAAATAGTTTTTCTAATTCTGTAAAGAATGTCAATGGTAGTTGGATGGGAATAGCATTGAATCTATAAATTACTTTGGGCAGTATGGCCATTTACACGATATTGATTCTTCCTATTCATAAGCATGGAATTTTTTTTCATTTGTTTATGTCCTCTCTTCTTTCCTTGAGCAGTGGTTTGTAGTTCTCCTTGAAGAGGTCCTTCACATCCCTTGTTAGCTCTATTCCTAGGTATTTTATTCTCTTTGTAGAACTTGTGAATGGAAGTTCATTCATGATTTGGCTCTCTGTTTGCCTATTGTTGGTGTAAAGGAATGCTTGTGATTTTTGTACATTGATTTTGTATCCTGAGACTTTGCTGAAGTTGATTATCAGTTCAAGAACTTTTGGGGCTGAGATGATGGGGTTTTCTAAATATAAAATCATTTCGTCTTTAAACAGAGACAACTTAACTTCCTCTCTTCCTATTTGAATACCCTTTATTTCTTTCTCTTGCCTGACTCCCCTGGCCAGAACTTCCAATGCTATGTTGAATAGGAGTGGTGAGAGAGGGCATCCTTGTCTTGTGATGGTTTTCAAAGGGAATGCTTGAGTTTTTTGCCCATTCAATATGATATTGGCTGTGGGTGTGTCATAAATTGCTCTTATTATTTTGAGATATGTTCCATCAATACCTAGTTTATTGAGAGTTTTTAACATGAAGGGATGTTGAATTTTATCAAAGGCCTTTTCTGCATCTATTGAGATAATTGTGTGGTTTTTGTCTTTGGTTCTGTTTATGTGATGGATTACATTCATTGATTTGCATATGTTGAACCAGCCTTTCACCCCAGGGATGAAGCCGACTTGATCGTGGTGGATACATTTTTTGACATGCTGCTGGATTCGGTTTGCCAGTATTTTATTGAGGATTTTCGCGTCGATGTTCATCAGGGATGTTGGCCTGAAGTTTTCATTTTTTGTTGTGTCTCTTCCCGGTTTTGGTATCAGGATGATGCTGGCTTCATAAAATGACTTAGGGAAGAGTCCCTCCCTTTCAATTGTTTGGAATAGTTTCAGAATGAATGGTTCCAGCTCCTCTTTGTATTTCTGGTAGAATTCAGCTGTGAATTCATCTGGTCCTGGGCTTTTTTCGGTTGATAGGCTATTAATTACTGCCTCAATTTCAGAGCTTGTTATTGGTCTATTCAGGGATTCAACTTCTTCCTGGTTTAGTCTTGGTAAGGTGTATGCATCCAGGAATTTATCCATTTCTTCTAGATTTTCTAGTTTATTTTCATAGAGGTGTTTATAATATTCTTTGATGTTAGTTTGTATTTCTGTGGGGTCAGTGGTGATATCCCCTTTATCACTTTTTTATTGTGCCTATTTGATTCTTCTCTTCTTCTTTATTTGTCTAGCTAGCAGTCTATCTGTTTTGTTAATTTTTCAAACAACCAGCTCCTGGATTTGATTTTTTGGAGGGTTTTTTGTGTCTCTATCTCCTTCAATTCTTCTCTGATCTTAGTTATTTCTTGTCATCTGCTAGCTTTTGGACTAGTTTCCTCTTGCCTTTCTAGTTCTTTTAACTGTGATGTTAGGGTGTTGATTCAAGATCTTTCTAGCTTTCTGATGTGGGCATTTAGTGCTACAAATTTCCCTCTTAACACTGCTTTAGCTGTGTCCCAGAGATTCTGGTATGTTATCTCTTTGTTCTCCTTGGTTTCAAAGAACTTATCTATTTCTGCCTTAATTTCATTATTTACACAGTAGTCATTCAGGAGCAGGTTGTTCAATTTCCATGAAATTATGTGGTTTTGAGTGAGTTTCTTAATCCTGAGTTCTAATTTGATCGCACCATTGTCTGAGACACTGTTTGTTATTATTTCAATTCTTTTGCATTTGCTGAGGAGTGTTTTACTTTCAATTATGTGGTCGATTTTAGAATAAGTGCCATGTGGCCCGGAGAATAATGTATATTCTGTTGACTTGGGGTGGAGAGTACTGTAGACGTCTACTAGGTCCACTTGATCCAGAGCTGAGTTCAAGTCCTGAATGTTCTTGTTAATTTTCTGTCTCGTTGATCAGTCTAATACTGACAGTGGGCTGTTAAAATCTTTCACTGTTATTGTGTGGGAGTCTAAGTCTCTTTGTAGGTCTCTAAGAACTTGTTTTATGAATCTGGGTGCTCCTGTATTGGGTGCATATATATTCAGAATAGTTAGCTCTTCTTATTGAATTGTCCCTTTATCATTATGTAGTGCCCTTCTTTGTCTCTTTTGATCTTTGTTGGTTTAAAGTCTGTTTTGTCAGAGACTAGGATTGCAACCCCTGCTTTTTTTTGCTTTCCATTTGCTTGGTAAATTTTCCTCCATCCCTTTATTTTGAGTCTGTATGTGTCTTTGCATGTAAGACAGGTCTTTGGGTTAGAACATGCTCCTTTAGTGTATCGTAGTTTTTTATTACCCATCTTCTGAAGCCTACTTTTGTCAGTTCATCCACCTGATCCTCCATCAGTTCTGTGCCCTTGATAGAGAAATGTTGCGATAATTTGGAGAAGAAGAGGCACTCTGGCCTTTTGGGGTTTTGGCATTTTTTCGTTAATTCAGAAAGAATCATGAGTTTGTCTAGTTTCAGTCTTTGAGGCTGCTGACCCTTGGATGGGGTTTTTGTGGGGGCCTTGTGGTTGTCGATGCCATTGTTGCTGCTTAATGCTTGTTTGTTTTTCTTTTAATAGTCAGGTCCTTCTTCTATAGGGCTGCTGCAGTTTGCTAGGGATTCACTTCAGGCCGGATTCATCTGATTTGCTCCTATGCCTGGAGATGTCACTCAAGCAGGCTGGAGAGCAGCAAAGATGGGTGTCTACTCCTTTTTCTGGGACCCCTGACCTTGAGGGGCACCAACCTGATGCCAGTAGGATCGGTCCTGTATAGGGTGTCTGACAACCCCTGTTGGAGGATCTCATCCAGTTGGGTGGCACAAGGAGCAGGACCATTTTAACGAAGCACTTTGTCCCTTGGTGGAGATGGTGTGTTTTGCTGGGGGGAAACCCATTCTTCTGGGCTGCCCGGATTCCTCAGAACTACCAGGAGGAGAGGCTAAGTCTGCTGGTCTGCAGAGACTGCAGCCACTCCTCCCGCTAGGGGCTCAGGCCCAGGGAGATCCGAATTCTGTCCCTGAGCCTATGGCTGGAGTTATTGGAGATCCTGCAGGGAAGCATTGCCCACTGAGGAAGGGTGGGTCAGGTTTAGAACTGAAAAGGCACTCTGGCCACAGATGGCCACAGCTGGTGTGTTGGGCTGTGGGGACAAGTCTTGGGACCAGGCTGTCCAGTCTCCCTGGCTCCAGCAGGGGAAAAGCGCAGCCTGGAGCTATAGAAATGGGTGCCGCCCTTCCCCCACCCAGGGAGATTAGGGTGTTAGGCAGTCGTGAGTCCCAGTGCTGGCTGCTGCCCCTCCCCCGAAGGAGCTCAAATGGCTTCAATAGCAGGCAGCTGCAGCTGGTGTTGGTCGCTCCTCCCACTGGGAGTTCAGTAGGGTTAATCAGAATCCAGTTGAGAGGCTCTAAGAATCTGAAAGTTCTGGGGTTGGGATGTTAGGCCCCAGTGGCACGGATTTGTGAGTGGGATCTTCCGATCTGTGGGTTGCACAGTTGCGTGGAAAAAGCACAGTTTCCCTGGCTGGATAACAAGCTCACTCATTGCTTCCCTTGGCTGGGGGGAAGGGGTTCCCCTTCCCTGTGTGGCTCCTCAGGTGGGCCACCGCAACACACTGCTCTTCCTTCTCTCCATAGGTCACGCCAGCCTTCTAGTCAATTTTGATGAGAGAACCTGGATACCTTGATTGCAGGTGAAGGATTCACATGCTTATTATGGTTTTTTTCAGTGGGAGCCTCTGAAGGGTGCTGCTTCTAGTCAGCCATCTTGGCCCACCCTCCAAATGACCTTTTAAATATTAATCACATCAATATCTTCCAGAGGCTTATTAGATTATGTAAACTAAAAGCTAAAATCTTTGTCATGGCCAGCAAGACTCTAAATGAACTGGCATCTGGGTATCTTTCTGTCACTCTCTCATTTCCATTCTATCTGGTGCTTACTGAACCCTACATAGGCTAGTTCTGTTCTCCACTCTGCACTTGTAGCTCCTTGTGCCAAGGACAATCAGACATTTGGTTTTGCCTAGAGGCCAATATTTATCGGCTGATCTGATGTTTCATTTGGTTTGACGATATAAGTCCCTGATTTAAGTTTCACTAAAATAAATTGGAATGTTTGGTAGGCCTCCACTTTGTAATTCCAACTCTTGTCTGGTACTGTGTGAGACACACATACAGTGAATTGAGTTTTCACTTTCCACAACATATAAAAAATGGAGAACCATGTGTCACTCTCATTCCCCAATGCAGAGGAACTAAGGTCTTCATTTCAAAGGGGCATGCAGTGGGCCTGCAAGCACATGGCTAGGGAATGCTCACTTCTTCTAGTTTCAGGTAGTGGTGGAGGAAACATATGAGGCTGCCACCTATGCCAACCACTTGCTGTACTGGAGCCCCAGCCCCAGCCTGTGAGATGCATGAAGTCTCCAACTTGCCTATTAGGGGTCAGTGACAAGTGAAAGAAATTATGGTTTAAGTCTATGTGAAATATATCCAGAAAATGAGACTGAGGAATCCTGTGGAGCATTAAAAAGTACAGACTGAATACACTTAGTATGGAAGTTTGGTTATCACTTGGTATGAATCTACAACTATTTCTATATTTAATTTTTTGATATTAAATATATAAATTTATAATTTATTTTACATTTTTGAAATAAAGGATCTCAACAGCAATGAGCTAAAAATGCATCCTAAATAAAAATAAAAGTGCTGATTTTTCATTTCTTATGTTGATGGGAATGCTGAACTTATCTTTAATGCTTATCAACACTTACTGCTTACTTTGGGGGCCATAAATGATATTGCTGACATGTGAAAACCATAGACATAAATCTGCTGAAGAAACATTATCATCTGTTTTAAACAGTATTTATTTTAAAGACTAAGCCCCCAAGAGATAAGTTAACTGATGCAGCTGCAGAATATATGTTTATGAGTCACTTTGTGAGCCATGACTTTTCATTCAGATCGAAGGATTGTTATTTTTAATTAATTGTGTTTATTTTCAATGCCAAGTTTTTTGTTTTCTTTTGTTTTGTTTTGTTTTTAACATGAATGAAAAGTAAAGCAGTAGTTCTTAATATGTTGGGTTCATTACCAGAAGTGACGTTAGTTTCTTATCAGTGTCAGATAGAAAGTCAGCTAATTCTAATGGTTCAATTTTTTCATGCAATTCATGGAATCAAAGGAAGGCTTTGGAAGTTCATTTTGTTAAAGAAGAAACATTTGAAATTATTATGAGTGCTATTGTAATATCAGTTTAAAAGTAAAATATTAAGCCACAGTTATTTTCTTTGCTGTGATAATTTAAAAAGCCAAATTCAGAAGAACATTGTCTCATGGTAAAGCACAGCTCTTACTAAATTAAGAAGCTTATAGAGCAGACATTTACTTGGAATTTATAGTGGTAAACACATAATTCATAATCACAAATAAATTGGGATATTCCACCAAGGAAAATATAATTTTTAGCTGTAAATACACACACACTATAACTGAACAACAAAATATGATAACACTGTTGAATACAGAAAAGAAAATACTTCAACATGAAAATACAAGCTTCCTCCCTTTGCTATCCATTATAAAATGGGTTTTAGAAACATTTGTACCTTTGAAGTACTGCTTTTTAAATCAGCCTTCTTGCTTCATAAGATATTGTGCACTTTTATAAATGATTCCAAATTTTGTTTTGTTGTGAACAATGAACACAAGTTATTATGAACATGAAGTGTGGACATAAAATGATGAAATTTATTTCTACAAAAGCAAAGGAGGAAGTGAAGAAATAAAACAATGAAAGCTGAAACATCATGCGAGATTTAAGTCTGAAATTTTATAATTGTGCTTTGGAATAGTTCAATTTGTGGGAAGATTGTATGATAAAGTTCCTATATATAATACAGATTAGTCTGTATTATATACTGGAATTCGATGAAATTGAGAAGGTTTATGATCTTATAGTGTCTATATTATCTATAGTTAGGAAAACATTCATAAGAATCATAGAGAATACTCATTTGATGAGTTTTGCTGTGTGAAAATATTTATCATAGAAAGGTCCTCAAAGACGGTACCTGTGAAAATATTTGGTCTGAAATATTTACATATTTCAGTACAAAAAAATTAAGAATATTCTCCATTTTGTAGAACATGCTCTGAAGTTACACAGTACCTCAACACTTATGTGGAAAACTTTATTCTCAATTCAGAATATGATGTATAGAGAAAAATTTATTGGAAATGTCAAAAATTTCAAATTTATTAACACTAAAATGCAACGTGGAAGAAGATTGCATTTATGGAAAACAAAACAAAAACAAAACAAAACTATGGTGGGGCACAGTGGCTCACACCTGTAATTCCAGCATTTTAGGAAGCCCAGGCAGGTGGATCACTTGAGCCCAGGAGTTCGAGACCAGCCTGGGCAACATGGCAAAGCCCCATCTCTACGAAAAAAAAAAAAAACTTAGCTGGCCATGGTGGTACATGCCTGTAGTCCTGCCCATTTGGGAGGCTGAGGTCGGAGAATCACCTGAGCCCAGGGAAATCAAGGCTGCAGTGAGCCAAGATTGTGCCACTGTATTCTAGCCTGGGCAACAGAGCAGTGAGACTCTATCTCAAAAACAAAACAAAACAAAAAAAGACAATATTGAAAAAATGCATTCTTTTGAAAAACACTTGTTACACGGTGCTAAGACAGACATGGCTTAAAACGAATTAAAGCATGTGAATATAATTCTAGAATAATTACTCGACTTCTCATTTTTAAATGTTTAGTTGACATTATTTTTACTTCGCTTATGTTATTTTTAGTGTTTGAGTAATCGATAGCAATACATTTTTTTTTCTCTTGACTTTCTAGGTACATGAACCACATACACTCTTTTTTCTCTTTTTTGTTTGTTTTCAGTTAAAACAGTGCGAGCTGGATTTTCTCTCACTTGCAAGCCAATGAATTATGACACTACATTTAATAGGGCTGTTTTAAAGAAATAGGGAGATAACATTTGTGAAGCACTTAGCATCTTGTATAATACATCCCAAGTTCTCCATAAAGGTAGCTATTCCCATAAATTTGGCAAAATAGGTACCATTAGGGATGTGTCCAAAAACGCCAAGATAACATCAAGTCCCTAACAATATATTTGATATAATTTGGATAATGCTAATTATGGCTCTCAATCAAGCAACTTTTTCCTTATAGGTGGCTACTTTCTCTGATTACTCTGTCCTCAGTTGTTGTAGTGGTAATCAGTATTCACGTTAAAGAGTTTGAAACAGCTGACTGGAGAAGTAGGCTGAGAGGTTAATAATTTTTGTAGTGTAATTTAAGACCCATCTAGAATGACTACTAATCAAATATATTTTCTGAATCACATATGAATTTATGTGAATCTGAAGAATATGTGAGTTTCCACCTTCATGACTGTTGCCTCCTCCAGCCTGTCATAGATTTTGATGCAAATGCTTGTAAAACGGCAACTATCACAGGCTATTAGACTCATGCTTTCATCCATGTGCTGGGCACTGTTCTAGCTGCTGACTTTCGTGGAGTTTATAATAGCAATAGGGAGTAACAAACATAAACAATATTTTAAAAGTAAATTATATCATATGCTATAAGGAAGTGCTATGGGAAAAAAAGACAAAACGTATGGATCATGTAATGGTGATCAAGAATAAAGAGAGAAAGGTTGGATTTCACTGTTAAATAATGTGGTGAGGAGGAGAAGGTGGGATTTAAGCAAAGACTTGAAGTGGATATCTAGGAGGAGAGTGTCTTAAACAGAGGAAATAGCTGGAATAAAGGCCCTAAGGTAGGAGAATGTCTGGCATTTTTGAGGAACAAGGAGGTCACTGCGACTGGCGTGAGAGGGTGAGAGGCAGAATAGAGGTGCTGATGTCACAAGGACTCTGGCTTTTACTCTGAAAAAAATAGGTTAACAAATGTTTCTTCTTCCTGGCAAGAAAGTGACCTGCACTTAGGAAGTATCTGGAAGTCTGGGATATTGAAGTCAGCTATATGGAAAGCAGGGGGGGTGGCACTTATTTGATAGGAAAAGATGAAAATAAAACACATCATCGTCCCTAGGAGCACTTTTACAAGTGGAATACCTTTAAGCAAAATGGACTGAAACGAAACAAAGAGATTCTAGCTAGAAAAAGGAAAGTGGCAGTTCTTAATAGGCAAGTGACAGAACGCCAAAGCGTTGGATGTGTTACTTGACTGAATGAGTCTCAGTCCACTTCCATGGTAGCCTTTGCAAAAAGTGACTGACTTTCACCACTTTAAGCTGCTGTACCTTCTTAAGCTTGTGTACTTTCTGTAGTGCTCCTCACTATGTGGTCCATGGACCGCCAGCATAGTATCACCGGGGGACACTTGTGAAAATACAGGTCCCTGGACCCTACCCAGGCATAGTGGATAATGCTGTCCAGGTAATTTTTACACATCTAAAGTTTGAGAATATGGAACAGAAAGACAGCTTTTTAAGGCTCCCTCTGACTCTGGATTCCTATGAACAGTTTCCCATGCCAGGTCCCCAGAATGTTCAATTTTGTGTGTTTTTGTTTATTGCTGTCAGGGCCATAGATCTTTGGATCAGATAAAGAGAAAAAAGTTGAGAAACATGCCTTTTGATATTGTCACAGGGAAAGGGAGATGATTTAAATAAAATTTTACAGTGTTGCTCATTTCCATAACTGTACAAACATGAAAAATGTTGTGAATAGTTACTGGGTGAAGGTGACCTTTTCATAGTGATGTTTGGATTTGAGGATATATTAATTTTTCTGAGTGTACATGTTGTTTATTGTGATGGTTTGAGCCAATGAGAAGTAATAATGGTTAAATATCTGAGATCTATTGCCTTGTTAGCTATGTTAACAGCCAATGACAACATAATCTAAAGAGATTTACTGTTTGGCTTTAGAAGTAGTATCAAGCTAAAAGTATAATTAAAACATTTATTAGCCTGCCAAGTTAGAGAGAGTAGGTTAAGACTTACAGTTTCTGAAGAGTTGGCAATGCCTTCTTCCCAATTTTGTCTTATGTCCACCTTGCCCCATGCACTATCCCCACATACTCTATAGCAACTGAGAAAATGAGCTCACTAATTTTTTTAAATTTGTAGTTTGAGACCCAAAGACTTGAAAAACATCCTTTGTTGCAAAACCAGCAATTATTGCAATTCTCTAATTACCACGTCTGAGACCTTTCTTCATGCTGGGATGATGCAGACGGTCTCTTGATTTTTTAAAGGTCAAATTACGTTGCTTCAGTATCTTCTGGTGATGGGCCAAATGAGACTAGCTTAATTTAATATGTCTCTGCTGCTTTTCTTTCAATCCAAAGGGGCATCCATCATGGGCTTCTCATTCTGACTGATATTGATCAGGTAATTGCCCTCAGCTTGTCAAACTATCATGATTTTTATAAGAATGAGTCTTTTCTAGAAGAAAGCAGACCCTGAGAGAGATAACAAAGATTGCTAATAGAACTTTGCCCAAAAGCAAGTCAAAGTAGAAGGCAGGATTAGAGAGAGAGAGGAGCTAGAGGAAGGAAGAGGATGAAGAGAGAAAGTAGAGATAGTGCTGTGTCCCAAAATGTAATAATGTAAATTACTATCATCCACTTAGTACAATTCAGAAAATAAATTCCAGGCCAGCACATAACACAATTCAAGGAAAAACAAAAACAACAACAAAAACAAAAACAAAAACAAAACACAGTTTTAACAGTCACCAACTGTGTGGCTTCTCAGAGTAAATGTTTAAAAAATTACCAGCCTCATTTAACGTTCTGTCTGAGGATCCAGGTGGATCCTAATCTTGCGGCTCAGGAACATCATTTACTGTTTCTTAACTAGTCTGAGGTAAATAAACATTTGCCAACTCTAATTTATCAAAAATTATCGGGGTGAAGATGGAACCTAAAATAAAAGAAAAAACTCCTGCCTGGAAAAGAGTTCCTCCAGGAAACTGTCTAAGGTTGACTTGAGGAACATTTTCCTAATATGACTGACACACCAAGCCCAGGGATGTCCTGAGAGAAGCATTCCCATCAAGACATGCTGAGCAGCATAAGAGAAAATTTCAGCTGAATGCCTTTCTGTGAAAGTAGAACAGGCTTACAATAGCTCATGTGAAGAGTGTAGAAAGTCAAAGTGAGCCCACGTCTAGTGTATCATTATCGTTAACAACTGTGTTTCAGGGAGTGCTTGGTATCCAAGAGCTGTTTCAAGCCCCAGGGAGAGCCAAGCTGCTGCAAGGGCTTCAGATAATCATCTACCATCACTACAGATATTCGAGACTAACTTGATGCCCTCTGTTGAGAGTACTTGAGAATAAAGAATGCAGCTTTGTCACCTTGAGAAAATTCTTCCAGTAATAGTTCCTTAAAACACCAGTACCTTCAGGGAAACTGCTTTAAGACAGTTGACTCCTTACTCAGGTCCTTTTTCAGATCTCCGTTGGTCTTAGGCCTTCTTACACGTGGAGACCTTTCCCCGCAACATGTCAACACTTTCTAAAAGTGTACCCATGACCCCCATTCAGCCTAATATTGTTGTCATTTTTTGAAAGGATATTTGTAAAACTTTTTTGGTAATTATTTGGCTATAAGTGATTCACTTGATTCACAATTTGTTATGAGCTCTCAGCAATCATGCATGGATGGAAATTTTGCAATGAGAAAATCTAAACCTACAAATTGTTTTCAAATGCAGTGAAGTTTTAATGAACACTAAATGTAACAATTAAGTTGGCATGATAGCACATCATGTAGGCATTTAATAGATTTCTTAAAATCCATTCTATGGTTTTCTTTTTGGCATTTTGGAGTCATTTTTAGCATGATAATCTTATACCATATCTTCTGTGAATATTTGATCCAGTCTTGGTACTCTCAATGGTAACTGTATCATGAAAAATATTGTTTGTTAGATCTTCATGGTAGATTTGTAGTAGAATTTTTAGAGGTTTCCTTCTTGCAAAGCAAATCTCATATTGTGGTTCATTTACCATTAAGGTCCAGAAATATCCTGAATTGGACAACTATCAGAGTAGTTACACCATACAGGATGTGATATTACCCCAGGCAAGTATGACCCAAGGACAAGTTCAATTTGGGGCTCCACCTGAAACTATGTAGGTGCTCCCTAGAGAAGGATCACAATAAATTGAAGTTACTGAGGAGGGAAAGAAGATGCAGAGAAAATAACTAAAGGAAATGGAAAGTGTTCTTTTCAGTTTTCATTTCTGGGACTCAAGATTTCCTCTTCTATTTTAATTTCTTTCCCACACAGTGTCATTTTTCCTACCTATGTCTCAAAAGAATTGCCAGTGTCATATTGGGCTAACACAGTAAACACACATAGATGCAGCAGGTGAAAGACCTATTCCATTGTGTTCCTTCCCTCTCCTAGCCTTACCTTCCCCCAGAAGAACATGGATTACTGACTTAGTTGAGATGTTTGCTTGCACACCTCTGCATGTATGCTGAGCTATATGCATGTACATTCACAAATGAGTACTCTTAGTGTTTTCCTATTGGGACTCATCCTCCCTGGATGGCAGGTGAGTCTGTAAACCTTGCATCAAACTCACCAAAAATCCTCTTTACCCATCTCCCTCTCCTTTCCTGGCTCCTGGCCCCAACCCTCTGTGGGTCATTAAAGCAAATTTGCATCACCTTGTAGTTGAGAAATCTTAATTTCTGAATACTTTCTATGAATACCACTACCCAGGGTAAACGCTATTTATTTTATTTTGTTCATATTCCTTGCACTGATGCATTTCTTACATCAGAATTTTTTCTCCTATTCAATGGTGATTTATGTTTCTATATATGTATGTGTACACATCTATGTGTGTGTTTGTAGTTTGTGTGTGTGTTTACCATGGTCTAGCCCACTTAATGCTCCTATTCTTTCACATTTTCAAAATTAACAATATTTGTGTAAAGGATAAACTCTCCATTTTAAGGAGCCCTTTTTCTTTCTTAAATCATGTGTGGAATGCACCTTTTGGCTCTTCCCTGTGTAAATAATGTGTAAAATAATCAAAGCACCATCACGACTTGACAGCTCGGGCCTTTGATAAATAGGGCTTTATGTGGGATTATCATATGACATTTCCAAACTAAATTATATTTGAGTCATATAGGGTACTATTGCATTATCATCCCTCATGTAAAATTTGTACATCTTACAAGGATTGGAAGAAAAGAAAGGGATCTGAATTTGGATGCCCTTTATTTTGAACATGAAATTTTAAAAATAAAAAAATAAAGTCATTTATTTAACATTTCCCTGACTGCCTATCTAAGATTTCTGAACTTCTGAAGAGTATCTTATGTGCAGTATTGTCTTGGATTCTATTACTTTGTATACTTAAAATTAACATGTTCAGAAATCCTTGAAGATGAGCTAATTTACCACTCTCTTTACAGATGAGGGAACTAAGCAGAACTAAAAACACATTTCAAATCTCCCTACTCCTTGCACAGTGTTTTCACCTAACCTTATGGCTTGCCTAGATAACCATATACACAGATAAGATGTAGTCAAAAATCAAGATGACAACAGATAGGCAAATCAAAGATATTCTAAATGTGAAATATTGGCTCCCAAAAGATTTACTTACATACATATTTAATCAACCATTTTGGAAAACATTATACCACTCAAGTCAGAAAATGTTTTTTCTTTATTAAATTCAAAACAATTTTCTCCCTTTAACTATGTTATTACTCTATAATTTCTTAGGATTTCTAATAAAGAAAGACAGGTATGGTTCTTCAGTCTCCCTTTCTTAAGTCAGAGCTCTCAGAAGAGTGTGACGTGGGTTCTTCAGCACCCTTCTCCTATTTTTCCCAGTGGCCTTGCAACTTCTGCAGCAGTATCTGCCAGCCCCTACCCTGTTCTGCCTGTTTCTGAGAGAGGAGTTAGAGAAATGAAGAATTCACCATCACCTCAAATAATGCACAGGCTCATGGTAAATTATGTGCATTGAATTTTTGTATGTCACATCACATTTTAAATGTTCTTTCGAGACTACATTCTAGTTGGAGGGTCCTTGTGTAACATTCCTCTGTAAATAGAATGCTATCCAACCAACTGTACATTTGAAAGTGTTAATATTCCAACAGGTAAGGCTGCTAGATAGTACAGCGGTAAGATAGGTATGATTGCTGCTTTTTAAGAAGTAAAACTGTAAAAGTCACTTACAAACCCATGAATTACAGGAGAAAATATAATACAGATAAAGAACTACTGTACTATGTATGATACAGAATAAAATTCTATCCATTACCCAAACCCACTCTATAGTTCATCTGATCCCATAGCCAACATATACAGAATTGTCTACATCATTAAAGCAAGGTAGTTTGACTTACAATAAAATAAAATATACCAAAGGAAGATAGTCTTTATCAGCCCCAATAGAAAGTAATGTCTGAAACAGGATAATCAACATCTGTCAAGAAAGTATTTAAACAGTCATCGAGCAGAAATTCTTCATGAGTTCCTGGGATTTCTTTTTTTTTAAGTCTTTAGTGTGGGCTAATATTCCAAGCAGCAAAATGATTATAAGACAAAATACTGGGGGAAAAAATGTGTTGCAACTTCTTTCTTTGGTAATTCGTAAATACCAGCATTGACACTTCTAAATTCTCAAAGTTCTCCTTACTTTGATTAAAAAAGTCACAACCCCTACACAGCAAATGGCATAATTGCTAAACCAAAAATCCATCATAATGACACACAAACTTATGGTGGAAATTTGTGACCAAAAGGAATAAAACAGGCAGGTACCATGACAACTTAAAGTACCAAAATAACAACAAAGAGAAATCCGGTCACATTTTCTTTTGGCTTTTATGTGCTGTTTCTAGATATGCAAAACGGTTAGCATGGTACGTGTTTCTCCAGTACATTAGCACTGAGGTAACCAAACATGGTTAAATAATGGAGCACCTATTTTATCAGACTTCACATAAATGTTTTAGATTATTTTGTTAAACAGTCAAACTAAATGATTGAAATTATATTCACACCGTTTACACAGCAATAACTGTAATTTGCCAAATGCTAAATTTCTCCTGAACCAGCTCAGAATATTGAGTTCAATTGGAGAAACTTTCTTTATAATCAGTTATTTTCAGAAAATTAAAAATATTTAGGAGCTGGCACCAGGGCTTTCTCCCAAATGATCTTTAACAAAATCAAATCTTTCAGACATGGAACTGTATCAACAGAAAACCCTCTCATGTTCATAATCATGTGCAGATGCAAATATCTTTCTCACTCTAATGAAATAATGATACTCAATTTTCTGCAGTTTTATTGACAAATAATAAGAAAGATGTCTAAATGGGTGTGGCAGGGTGAGGGTTAAATCTGATTGTAATTAGATTGCAGTATGCATGGTCATGTGGTTAATAGTAAATTTTCCTTGATTAACTGGTCCTGTTTGTTAAGAGCTCCTATTAACATTAGTGCTCTCTGTGTTGGCTGTAGAGACACACCATGGACCAGTGCAAAATTAATGAAAGCAGGTACGCATGCTGATTAGAATGTGGCAGTTTAATAAACTCTTCCAACATTAAATTATTTAATGCATTCATGCTCATGCAGGCTATTCGATGGTCAGCTTGACCACCTATGTGTTAATATTGGGAATTGAAATGCAGAGAGTGGAAGAGATATAGTGGTGTATGAGGTAATTAGCTCTCATGTCTGATAAATGGGGCAATACCTATGTGTGCGCATGTTTTAGCACACCACAAATGGTGCTTTCATTAGCTGGAATCTTCTGTGGAAATTTTTAAAAATGTTCGGTTTGATTTTTGTAGCATAAACAGTGGCTCTGATAGCTGTAGCCATCGTCAGTTGACTATTTGAGGCAAATTTTAAGTCGGCTATAAAGTAAGCTTTGTTAAAATAAATGGGTAACAAAAATTAGATAGGAAGCTTATCAATAAACATCTCCAATATGGACATAATCACTATCATATAGAATATACTTTATATAAGTACAAATGATTTCAAAATGTAAAAGAAAATATGTATTAGATTTTGAGCAAGATAATATGACTTTACATTTGTACAAAGCTCCATAATTTGCATGTTGCTTCACATGTTATTGAATCCTAATTGTAGACATTTTAGGTACATAGTGTTTCCTAATAAGTGGCCAATTAGAGCCTTAAAAATCTCACTTCTTGTAACTCAAAGTCCAGAGCTTTCAGCACAGTTCCACAGCAGCCCAAAAAACTAGTATTTGTGAGAATAAACTATTATTTATAAGACAAGTTAATTTTTAACATTAGATGAGCATTCTAGAGACTTAACCTCTCTGCAAACAGGATGCTACCTAGATTTGGTGGAAACACCAAAGAGAAATTTTCTATATTTAACTCTAAGGATAAATAAGTGTTTTTAATGACTTACATTTTACCAAACTCCAAGATACTTTCTGATTGTATTTTAGGCATTCACAGGCACTTTCACAGTGCTTGCATGGAATTCAGTATGCTGACACAGAACAATCCAGACTCTGGAACTTGGAGACAGTGTAGAAGGTATTGCAGAAACATGCTGCAACGTCTTTCTTTGATAATTCAAAATACCAGCATTGACATTTCTAAATGCTCAAAGTTCTTCTCCTTACTTTAATTCAAAAAGTCACAATGCCTACACAGAAAATGGCATAATTGCTAAACCAAAAATCCATCATAAATTCTAAAACTTATGTGACCAAAAGGAATGAAACAGGCAGGTACCATGACAACTAAAAGTACCAAAACAACAACAAGAACAAAAACCTGGTCACACTTTCTTTTGGTTTTTATGTGCTACACCTTCAGTGAGGTCACCAGATCTAGGTTTACTGAATCACAAGACTGCCCACTGTTAAAGTAAGCCCTGAGAGGCTGGCCGAATGGATTTTTCAGTCTGGGGATTTCTACAAAGAAGAAAGATTTTTTTGCCACTGCCATCTTGAGTTCTTCTCCCATTCTTAGGATGACAGCTACAATAAGAAGAGAAAGAGAAAATTATTCTTGCCCTAGCAAAATCAAAGGAGAATAATGAGGAAGCCTGGAAAGACTAATGTGCAGAAGGCCAGAATAGCAGATTTGTCTTTCCGTCCTGGACATCCTTAGGAACTGGCAGTGTGACTTTGAGCAATCAGTTAACTTCTCTGGGCCTTGCTCTTTTCATATGTAATTTAGGGAACTGGAGAAAGTGAACTCTCAAGTTCCTCATATCTCAACAGGGCTTTCTAATTGTTTCTTACCAGGAGAAAATATACGAATGATCTTTTTCAGACACCTCCCTGAGGACTAAAAGGAGCCATGAAATTCTATGGCAGACAGAAACACCACCTTTGAACAGCATACTCTGCAATTTCCCTCTTTCTAAGGGCTTGAATGGTAATTTTGAGTCTTGTCTGGCCTCTGATAGCTCTATGGGCCCTAGCCAGCCTGGATGGTCTGATTGAATTCCTACTGTTGTTTTTATTTGTCTCTGGCTAGCTTCAAGGGATACTGCAGTCATGAATTAACATTGTCCCCTTGGTAAGCAATTATAATGTTGGTTACAGTATCATTGATGCTTGTCCTTACTGCTTCCTTTGGACAATGTAGACAGTTATTGATGTTTGGCACTTCTTATAGGTGGTTGGCAGCTATGCGAATACTGTAACTTACAATAGGCTTTTCCACAACACTGTCATGGTGTCCATGAATTTGGAAGGATATAAGCACTGCCATCCCACTTTTTGCAGTCATGATATGTGTTGACAAAAATGGGTCATATTTTCCTCTGGATCTAGCAGAATATTTGTATAATTAGGAATGTAAACAATTCCACTTTTTTTTGTATAGTTTCAGCCAGTGAGCACTATGGAAAAATCAGTTTTCTATCCAACTTACTTATCCCAAAGAAAAAGTATAGACCCTCAAAAGAGCTCAAACAAGGCTTAGTCTTTACTTCTTACTTTCAACCTTTGGCTGCTTTAAAAACTAAGCATAATAAAGCATTTTAGCTGAATACCTGAAGTGGGAGAAGGATACTCCCCAAAGAAGACAAGGGTACTAAGCATTGAAAATGGCATGATTTGATGGCCAGGGTAACAAAATGTGGTGAACATGGAAATACAACTATGATATCATGCATTTCTTTAAAAACCTTTAGTTACCTGAGGAAGGCTCAGGCAACTCCCTCAGTAATACCAGTCCCTTTGCGTCCTCTAATGCAGTATATTTACTATTTTTGGGGTATTTTGAATTCCTTTAACCTCATAATAACTCGATGAGATAGAAGCAATTTTTACCCTCCTGTTTTACATATTAGAAAACTGAGTCTCAGAAAGTTTAATTAACTTGCCCATGGTCACAGAAGGACAGAGGCAGAAGTAATATTCAAACACAGGGAGTCTTAGTGCTCTCAACTCCTACAACCATTACATCTAAATTTGCAGACCAATATGGTAGCCATTATGCAGCCACTGAGCAGTGGAAATGCAGCTAGTCTGAATTCAGATGTGCTGTAAGTGTAAAACAAGATTTTGAAGACCTGGTATGAAAAAGAGAATATAAAATATCTCATTGTAGTTACCTTGTATGGATTACATGTTAAAATAATAATGTTTTAAATATTTGAAGTTAAAATATATTATTAAAATTATTTCACCTGTTCCTTTTTACTTTTTAATGTGCCTACTAGAAAGTTTATATTTATATACATAGTATGTACATATCACATATGATGAATGTATATGTACATACTCTATCTGTAATGTTTATATTGAACCATGCTCCAACTGTATTTGTTTTGTACATTTTCCACCATGAGAATATTTCGTTTGTAGTAAAAATCCCATTGGAATGGAAAAAAGGTAGAAAACCATAACTCCGACCAAAAAAGCGCAATGCTCTCAGTATTGGCCATAGAATGTGTGCTTCATGTTAATAAGCTGATGAAGGATTCAGAATAATGACTCTTCAATAGTAATTATAAAACAGAGTTGGCTGTTTTATACTGTTTACCATAGAACTTTTCTAATTTACAACAAATCATGTTGAAATTTTTTGAACGTTGGAAATTTTTGTCCAGCTGTTGTCCAAACATCAGCATCTATCATGCAATTCCCACTCTGTGTTGAGATCTTTAAGAGTAGGCATCATGTATTATGTATTGTTTTGTGTGTATCATTTTGTACAAGGAAAGCCCTTGGAGGCTATAATAATAGTAAACAGTGACTCTGGCCTAGACATCACCAGTGAGATTGTGAGTATTAGGGAGGAAGAGAAGAGAATCCCTCATGAAGTCTGAAAAAACAACTCATTTCATTCACAATTGTACAAGTAATCTGAAAACCAATATTATCAAGCAGAACATATTTAGGTTACTTTCACAAGGAAGCTTCCCTATGAGAAAAAAAATAGTCAAAATTAAATGAATTTCTGTATTTGTTGCTGACTGACCAAATGTATCTTACAAATAAGATTAATAAGTCAGCAAGCACTAGAAAGAAAATCTTAAAAACCACAGTGAGAAGCTACATGAAAAGCAGAGCCCAGAATTATATACTTGAATATTTACATTCTCACAATGAGAAGATGACATATATGAGAAGCCACAAAGTAATGGGTTGTAAATGTGAATGGACATGGGTAGAAATTAATTAAATACATTAGACTTAAGTACAGCATATTATTCCAGACATGGTAGAGATCCCCGACATTGTAGAAGACTGAAATACGTAAATATAGGAGGAGAGGTTTAAAACCTTCACTTACAAATTCCAAATGTATTTGAGAGGCAATTGCATACAATTTTTCATATAACTGATCAAAAGAGGAATCTAAGTTTTAACTTTTTGAGACAGTAAAAACAACAACAAAACAACTCATTAATGTTTTTTCCTCACCTCTAGCTAAAAACCAGCTGCATTTTAAAACCAAATTTGGCAGGCTCTTGATGGCATACTTTCAGCATGATGTTTTAAAGATTAAACTATGGAGCAATCTTTAAACATTAATGGAGGTTACATGGCAAATTCTGCTCACACAATAGAATCATCGTGTCCATCTTGCCAAATGCATGTCTCAGCCTCTAAGCTAGAGGATAACAAAAAGATATTCTTATTCTTCCTCCTCTTCTTTGAGTTCTAAGAGCACTCTTTAAATGTTTCTGTAGCACATCTAATTCCTCTCTAATACATTTTGCTGGCTTTGGTGTTCAATTTAATTTAAATCAGCAGAATAATCCAAGTGAATCCAGGTTGCTGTAATGTTACATTAGGAAGGTCTGATCCATTTGCAGCTAAGGTACACCCAAATTCATTAACATTTACTCAGTAGGCTTCCAGCAGGTGACTTTATGGGAAGAAACAGATGCATCTGAATGTCACCTTACCACACATGTGACTATTATAGATTTTTGTTCTGTCCATATAATATTGCTGCATCCCATTCTAAGGGAATATAGATAATAGCATTAGTTTAATTTATTTTTCAATACACCAAATTACACAGAAATGTTCTCTAAGAGGCTTTGACAATTAAATGAATCCAAATTTTGTACAGGCGCAATGGGGATTGACCTCAATGGCTTTCTAAGTGCTAATTACTAAACCTAAATGCAGTATGGCTCAAAGGGCTAAACCACAGAGAGGGCACTCAGAGGTTGTGGGTTCTAATCTCCACATCAGTAGCATGACCCACAGCAAGCCTTCCCAGAACTGAAAAGTAAAAAGATGCAGTCCAGTGTCAGGCTTCTGCACCAGAGCAAAAAACAAAACAAAACAAAAAACCCTGATTTGGGACCGGCAGCCTCAAATAGAGACTCTGTACATCCTGAAAAAACTTAGCCCCTTGCCAAAAGGAGCTTTTATCATTGAGCTACAGAGGCTAAACAAACCTAAAACAATTAGTACACAAATAAAGGAAAACTATGAAATGCTGGCGAAGACACCGAGGGAATTCTAGAAGCTCAGAGAATGGAGAGATCACGTGAGCCCTCTAGTTCTGTGGAAACATTTGGGAAGATGTTGCGCTGGAGTAGAATGAATGTATAACAAGAGTCACAGCACCTTACTAGTGCTAGGGCCAGCACATCTCTGAGACATATATTTCCTCTTCTATAAAATAGGAATGATAGCTTCTGGCCTGTAAATGTACAAAATTGTGTGGAGGAAACAAATGAGACCATGAGAACAAAAACATTGTAAACACTACAGAGATCAGAAGTGCTATAAATGTAACTGTTATGTATTATTGGGCTGCTGGATTGGTTTGTGAAAAAAGAGATCTGAAACAGCAGATTCAGCCTTAGTATTCATGTGATTTGGGGGCAAGTGGCTCTGCCTCCTTGGAGAGCTCCATGAAACATGGCGGGCAAGACGCTGTTGGGGTCTGCACCCAGAGAGTCCTCCTGCCCAGAAGGAAAATGGCACTGCACCAGCACCATCCCGCAAATCAATAAAATAAAGCTCACATTAAAGTAAAAAGAGAAGATGAAAAGGAGTGGGAAGAGAAGAAGGAGGAAAGGAGGTAAAGGAGGAAGGAAAGCAAATAATTTAAACCATTAGCGAAGTCTCCAGAAGGATGCTAGAGAGTGAACAGCACTGCCTGCAGCTGAAGATTTCACCCATACCTGCTGAGGCTCTTCCTTAGCTTGGTGTATCCTCCTCCTCTCCCTTCCTGTTCTCTCTTCCTCTCCTGCCCCTTACCTCCACTATCCTTTTCCTCTCTCTTTCCCACTCCTCACACAAGTTCTCTTCCTAAATTAGCCCATGGATGAATTTTCTGGCTTCCTGATACCTCTCCTCACACTCTTCCTTCCTGTCTTCCAAACAAATTCTGTTCTCTGTGTTGCTCTATGTCCTTTCTGATCCTTGTCAGTCTGGTCTTTCTTAGTTCCTTCCCATTCTGTCTTCCATTGGCCTGTACAGCCAAACAAGTGCCTAAGGACTGAGCAGCAGAAACAACATCTGCCTAATAAGGTGAAGGAGAGAAGAACGGCTGTAAATATTTATGGTAAACAATAAGAGGAAGATATACAAAGATCCACTGGATTATGATAGTTAAAATTTAGTAGTGCTTACTATGTGCTAGGCATTATTTCAAAGGCTTTACATTCCTTAACTTCTTTAATTTCATCACCTACCCTACAAGATAGGTACTGTTATTATCCCTATTTTATAGATAAGTCAAGAAAGCTCAAATAAGATAATCAATTTGTCCAAAAGTCATATAGTTTTTAGTCTGGCTGAGGATCTGGAATTCAGCCACTAGAGTGGATGGATGCCTGGGTAAAGGAAAGAATCAATGTTCAAAGTATTCAAGTGGGCTTTTAGGGCTGGTAGTGGGGGATTTGGAGTTTCACGGGTAGAGAGTGTAATGCCTCCCAAATGGGTCATAGCCAACTCCAAGAGTAGCTACCACAAGCTTATGACAAAGTACGATATTGCCTAAGGACAACGCTTCTCTAGGAAATGTTTCCTCAAGGCTGGATTTGTAGGAGGAAACATTTTTGAGAAATTAATTTGTATTGACTACCAATTTCATTGGAAATGGGAGTGTCAAATGAAGCAGAATGAAAACCAAACTAAACTCAATGAAGGCCCATATATTAAGCTTTGGCCACACTCTCCAAATTATTACAGATCTGGGAAAATCCTGCTAATCAGAGGCAGCAAAACATCATGCACATTGCTGATGCATGCATATGGGAATGGCATGACTTTTTTATAGGTGCTGCATGAAGGTTGATATGTCATTGCAAAATGGCTCTTGCAATGTTCTCCATCAACCCTGTATATGTTTGCTAAGATACAAAAGCAATATGAATTTGTTCAACAAGGTCAAGTAGTCTTTTTTTTTTTTGTAATAGTGACTCCTTTTCTTTTTTTTTTTCATTCAGATCTTTTCTCTCCAGTTCATGAAAGTTTACACTATATCTGATACTAAGTTTGACTAAAAGAAATCATTTTAATGTGTTTAGGCTTTAGGAGAAAATCTTCAGGTACAATCCAGGATCCAGTAATTGACTGTTATTAGTATTAATAGGAATTACACAGCCAAATCTCACTGCTATGCGCTGAAAATTTACCACTTAAGATCAAGCTTCAGTAATCAATGGAATGTGTTGAAGTGTAATTTCTGGTTCATAGACCTCTCAAAAAGGAAAAACAGATATGGGGAGTTAAGTTTGGGATAATAGAAAGGAAACTTCTTAGTTTATACTGCTTAGAATTAGAAATATATAATAAATAATCATATTTTCTTCAAAATGTAGTAATCAATTTGCTGTAATTAATAGGATTGAATTAATACATAGGACAAGCAATCATTCTTATAAGGGACTCTTTAATAGAGGATCTTTTCTGTGCATTTCTTCAAATGAAGGGTACCTCCGGTTGTATTTCTTTCTGACAGAGCCATTTCCTTGCCTTCACATCTCTGTAATACATATTATTTGAATATCTGGAATATGTATTATTCCCTTGTAGGTAGGTTGCGAAAATTACCAGCCCACACAACTTTTATCAATATGTCTCATGCTAGGTTTTATTCCTGATGTGAAATAGAATAAATTGGCCTTCTTTCCTTTTCACCTGATATAATTTGTTACTTACCTTGAGATAATTTTTTTAAAGACTGCTGTTAAACAACTACTAATACATTTTTTAAAACGTGGGTAAATTATAAGAAAAGGCAAGCATGGCTTTCCTTATTCTACCTGCTTAGGCAAGAAATGAGCAGCACATTTTGCGTGTGTATTCTTTTCATTAGTCTGATGCTGTCTGCAGTGATGCCACACACACATTCAAAAAATGCCCCAGCTATTCCACTTCCCTATCTTAGTATCTTTCATATTTTTAAACTTGATTCAATAATCATTCCACACCAGGGGAGGTATCATGACTTTTGAAATCCTCAGTACTTTTCAATAAAAAAGATGAAATAATTTTACATAAGCAAGTTTAAAATGTCAGGAGAACAAAAATGGATCTATTTGAAATCATTTCTAAAACAAAATTTGATTTTTGTCAATGGTGCATGAAAAACAATGAAATAGCCAAGGAAACATTTTGATATTATACATTTCTTTTGACAGAGGGTCAGTCTTAGATTTTTAATACTTGGCATCCTAAAATAATATGAATATCTTTAGTTAGAATATAGAATTCTTTCTGAAAGTTTGCTTTAAGTAAAATTAAAAATGGAAGGACTTGAAGCAAAATATGTTAATAAAATAAATCTCGTGCTGTTTTACTGATGTACTTAATGGAGAGTTGTGATTATTAATTTATAATTGTCATAATTTTAAAAACTGCTGGTAAGAGGTTTCAGAAACATCTCCATGGTGAAACATAGAACCATCCAAATCCAATCCACCAATATTTAAACAAATACACTTTGAAGACATGTATTTCTTCTATTCAAAAACTGCAGGTGATTTTACCAATGTATACTGGTCACTGGAAGTTAGGTAAAAAAAATATCTTGAAAATGGCAATGTTGTATCATTTCTCAGAAACTTAAAAGTGGTGCATATCATCAAGGGGTCTGCAGAAAGAAACATAACATAAACAAAGCCAACTTTGGATAGAGCCTAATTTGTTCTTTAATGTGCTTGACCTCATTGGAAAACATTGTTCTATATTCATATCAGTGTGAGGTTTTTTAATGTTTTATTCTAAATCATGGGTGGATTTATGAAGGTCTTTTTCTTAAGAGCTAAAAAACAAGCATTTTCATTCTGTAAAAGGAATGTCCATTGATAATTGTGATTTGTATTCACAGACTAATATTAAAAGACCAGGATGTTCTACCTCTCTTAAAGTAACTCTTGTTTCAGGAATCTCCAGAGAACTTATCCCTCAACCTTCACATTGAATGGGTTTTAATATTTTTAACACTTCTACAAGTGTCATGGTCTGTAAGGAGCCCTGGAGTGAAGTGGAAGCATTCCTATCAATGATACTTTTGAAAATAGAATGTTTCCCAGATTCCTTGATACATAAATCAGCAGTGAGGGAAGTTAGGTGCTCCATTTGCTTCTGATGAGTTGGAAAAGGTAACCTCCAACCAGAGGGCAAGAAATGTCCAGCACATAGTGCTAAAAGCTATCTTCTCCTGTGAGGTGAATGGAAAGAAAATCCTATTGCACAATTCTAAAGAGTTAAATTTCTTCAAGAGGCAATGGAACAGTTCAGTTTCATCAGATTCCTTTTCTGCTTCCTTCTTGATATATTAATGTTCCCCATATTTTCTTTCCATGTTGCAATACTCTAAAACATTTCTATCCATGTGCTGTGAGTATTGAGAGTGAACTAAGCCCAGACTTCAAAATAGCCTCCTTGCCCATTTTGTTCTCCCTTGCCACACTTTGGGCTTTGGTGCCTTGATACGTTTGCAAAAGGAGTCCCCTGAGCTGGGAATGTTTTTCTTCTGTATTATAACTATACCTTCTCCCAGGGCCCAATTCAAACACTTCTTTAGTCAGAGTTCACCTTTGATTTTCATGTACATTATAGGCTTGGCATATGTTTCCTGTGTAATAGATATACATCTGAATGAATCCATATCACTAATTATTTGTACCACTAACAAGCCACCTAACTACATCACCGTGTTTAGATGTCAATTTTCCCAACTAGCTGGTAAGCACCTAGAAAAATAGATCTCTTTTACTGTGGTGTATATCTTCAGTGCACATGGTAGAGATCCTTGTTGTAAGAAGTCAATGGATGTTTTTTGAATAAAAAGTAGGCATGAGATACTATTAGTAGAAGATATGAAGAGTCTTAGCATAAAAAGTTTCTCGCATTTTGTATATTATACAAATATATACAATATATTTGTATATTGGAAAACAGCACTGGAACACTAAAGTAATCTTAACTAAGGCAAGATCTCAAAGATTTCACCAAAGTATTGACAATGAAAATAAGATCATTTTAAATCAAACTATGACATTCAATAAGCAGGCCTTTAAATTTTTCAAAAAGGAAATATTTGAAGGATATTAACAAATGACACATATAAATGAGGAAAAGGCAAACTAATGTTTTAAAGATTAATAATGTATGAGTTTTGATTCAAAATGCAAGCTGCCCTTCTCCCTTTCAGGGGCTTAAAATGGAAAAAAAGTAAGTCCTGGGCATTAAAAACAACTTCTTTAATTCCAAACAGTCTTTCACATAGGAAGTTCAAAGTTAAAAATGACTCAGTGTTAAAAATTGTACCTAATGGCTAGATCATTATTATTGCCATGGTTATCTAGGGGCATAGAAACCAGGATTTATAGAAAATCTGAAGTCACACAGAGTATCAGTAATCTGAACAAGAGAACAATGTCTGCCTTCCAAATCTTGACTCATTCTCTTGTTCTGGAGCTACATTTTCTATATCTCTCCTGAGGAAATATAATGAGAAATAATTTTTAAAGAACTAATAGTAACCACCAAATTTGAAATTTTCTGGAATCCACTTCCTGTCCATTTCCACTGTCACTGTACTAACTTAAATCTTTTTAAAATAATATAGCCTCCAGCAGGACTTTCTGATCTCAGCCTCTCCCCTTACCAGATAACCCTCTTACAACTGTGATGTAAGTCTCTCAAAGTCATGCAGCCCAAAGATGGTAGCACACCTGACCTCATTTCACCAGTTATTAAGGTCTTATAAAATCTCATCACACCCTAACTAGCCAACCTTATTTTTCTACCATTGAACAGTTTAATATGTAATTCACCTTTCTAATTGTATCAAATACATTAATCTTGACTTTTCAGATCTATTTTAAATGTGTGAAGGCTCACCACAATGCCAGACACAAAATGGATGCTCAATATACACATGTTAATTGAATGAATAATTGAAAAGATTTTAAAAGTGCTTTTGAGGTACTGGTAAATTGAAGCACTTACAAGCTGCTTTGTAATGTTTCCATCTATCCCTCTGTATGTAAATATTAATAGGTTCAGGAGTTCTAGAAAAGAAATCAACCGAGGCCCCTTTCCCTTTTCTCATCAGAACAACTGTGCTTTAAAACATTCCTCTAATGAGAACTGCCTCAGACAGAATTCAAAAGACACTTCCGTACTTAGAGGTGTTGAATTTATTTGAACACCAAAAACCTAAAACTCAAGTTTATTTGTCTTCTTATAAGTACTTCAATAAGGCGGACCCAATAGCTATCAATTTAAGAACAACATCTGGATCTCTTACACCTACCTAATAGACACAGAGTGTTCTACTCCAGAATTTTAAGACAATAAATAAGAAAAAGGATACAAAGCTAGCAAACCCTATGTGCTATAAATTAAAGAGCAAAGCTCATTTTTTCATGATTGAAAGGAACTGTGAATATTCTCATAGTAGCTCCCATAGCAATTACTTGGAAGATACAATCTCTCAGAGGAGAGTTCTTATCCATCTTGTGTATTTGTCTGCAGGTCAGGTATTCATAAATTTCCTGGTTTAATTTCAATCTTAGCTGGGCAAACAAGCGTATGTTTTACAATGGACCCTTCTTGTCAACCCTTCAATGATTAGCTCCTTTGTAGTTTGCTGATGATCAAATCCAATGAATGCCACTCTTGGGTTACTCGTGAGTCATCTCTTTGAGATTCCCCATCCTGCTCTACCTGCGCCCAGCAAGAAAACATCATTTCTTGTGGTCAGTTATCATGAGATCACTTCTTAGGGAAAGAATAAGAGAAAAACCTACAATTCTTAATAAGTTCATTATTAGTGATGCAGACACCTGGTCAGCTATTGCCATTTAATGACCAAGATTCAAAGTGGCACAAGCAGACAACTGACATTTTGCCTTAGCATGCATCTCTGGCCAGTGATAATTAACCTGAAGGTAAGGAACCAGTCATTTTCTTAATACAACAAGGCACCTCTTTCAAAGTTGGGGCTCTTCCTGTTTTAATAATCAAAAGGAAAAGACCTTTGGTACTTAATATTTAAACAAAATGTTTAATATTTACACAGTAAAGTTCTTCTTCTGATATTAAACCAGCATTAAAGCAGGGATGGAAATTGGTTTATAATCTCTGACACTAGGCCTGGAGCCTTGTAGTGTAGTAAACAATGTCACTCTTCAGATGGGCACCACCTGCATTGGGTTCAGAAATGTCAACTGTAATTAAACATTTTATTTCAAGGATAATTCATAGGTTATGTGCATGAAGGACTGCTTTCTGCCATGAGAAATTTCAAAGTACTGGCCTGTGTAAATAAGAAGCAGGTCTTTTTTATTGCATGTTTTTTTAAAAAAAACCATATGCAAACTGTCTGAGACTTAATTAATATTATTCTTAAATATATCCTTCATATTTTTCAAAGGATTTTAAAGTCAATTTTATGAAGCTTGACTGGTAATGTTGCATCTCTACCTTACCAATTGTTTCCTGAAGCTATAAGCTCTAGTTATAAGTAGGAATACTGTGGGGGAGAGGGGAAGAATACGATTTGCCACATGCTAGCATGGTAAACTAATGGCAGAGTGGGATTGGTTCTCACCAGCCCTACATTTTGCCTTTGGGGCTTTGGTTTTTTTAACTTATGATTTCAATGCAAACTTGAAAATCATTTATAATTTTTAAAAAGAACGACAAGTTATTCATAGGTGTGGGGGTCACTTAGCACCTCTAATAATGCTTCTGAACCTAATGAGAATTTACAATGTAATTATTCAATTAAGCATGTGTGTTCGTGTGTGTGTGTGTGTCTAAGAAGGGAGTAAGTAATCCTCTATTTTTCTATATCAATAGCAATTCACTACTGTTTATTGGGAGTAATTTGTTAGAAGCTAATATAATGACTGAGAGACTTATTAATAAAACACACCTTTCCTAGCTCTCCACCCTAACATTCTACATCATTTTTTTTCTCAAAATAGGGCTTAAGAGGAAAAACCTTAAGTAAAAATGTTCTTAAAGTAAGGAGAAAAAATCTGGGTAAAGGTAGCACTCTTTTGTGCATTTAACACAGTCCCTCATAAAGAGTACTCTTTTCTCTATTTGAGGCAACAAGGAAAAAAGATGCTCTGTCACTGTCTCTCACTCACTTTCTCTTCCTTTGCTTTTTGAGTTACTTCATAGCCAAATATTTCATGACATACATCACCTACCAAAGAGAAGGCCTTAGGTACATGAACAAGCTCAAACATTAGGCAAAGGCATTTGATGGGGAATGCAGAGCCCCACCTGTATCAGATGGGCACCTTGCAGAGAAGCCTCTGACTGGGCTAACAGAGCCATGGTCACTGAGGCACTCTTTCAAAGATAAAATGTTAGTTGTCATTGGGAAAAATTGGTTGGCAATAGCAAAATGCAACAGACAAATATTCTTCCAAGTCACCATTCCAAAATGAGTGTAATATGAGCATTTGTTAAATGAGTTCTGATTATACTTGCTTTAATTAATAATCTTTTCTTTTAGAAATATGATTGCCATAAAAGCTATATAAAAACATGTGAAAAGGAAATGGCACAGTAAGAGACAATGCTATAAATCATATACACACTGATTAAAATTACATTTGAATTTAAAAACTGACATATAGAAAAAATGCTTGAAAGAAATATGGCAATGTGTTAGGGTGGCAGAGGTACAGGTAATAATTTTCCCATTTTCCAAATTTTTATAATATGATCATATGACTTTAATTATTAAAAGTCTATGTCCAGTAAGAAGTTAATTACTTTGGGGGATTAAAAATCCCACAGTGCGTTTGTTCATCAAAACACATTAGAGAAGAGGTACAGAAGAAATTTGGTGAAGGCTTGGATCAAACACAATTTGAATTTCTTTGTCTCCTTATCTCTATATCATCATAAAGAAAACAGTTCAAGAATATTAGCAAAATAGGACAGAGTGGGAGAAGGTAGGAGAAACACTATTGGAACAGCTAGTTGGTCTGACCCTGGAGCTTCTTTTTTAACTAACAGCAGATCATAAGCATTAAATATTTCCTTTATCTTCTTCTTAAAATGGTGTTACCCTGGCTGCAAGATAGACAAAAGACAAAAGCTTTCTCAGTGCATCCATATTCCTTCCTGGTTAGGAGAGTAGTAAAAGCTGTGGTTTTGGTTATGTCTATAGCTATCAAAATAGGATTATCACATGGACAATGTACATCAGCTGCATAAACCCATGTTAAATTAGACCAGATGTAGATATTAAATTTACCAAGTCATTATAAACTTAGAAATAATCTGTCTAAAGTCACAAAGCTAGTAAATGACAGAACTGATGAGATGGCACAAATGATCAACTTGATTGTTCCACCAATAATCTAGATGTAAGTACATATACAGATGCAGATATAGATGCTATAGATAGGGATATCGTTATCTCAATCAATTAACATTTGGTGAATATTTCTCATGCGACTTAGAGTGCAAGGTCTCTCATTTTTCCTTTCAAACTGACATGATTTCCCACTACATCTCTCACCAAACTTTCCTCTCTGCAAAAATTCCATGATTGCAAGGGACCTGCCACAGTGACAATGCCAAAAACTTTCCGTATGATAAACCCTATTAGCCAGCCTTGCAGTCTCTAGGGGTGGACAGGTAGAGGGTTCTAGCAGGAGACCTTTTGTGTAAAGAACCAGGTGAAGGGCATGGCAGCCATGGAAGAGTTATTATAAAACAACATTTTTCCCCTAGAGCTTTCTCCTTTACCTACTGAAACGGAAAAGGCTTAGGAGAAAGAATCCTAAACCACTACACCTGAACAAATAATAGAAATTCATTTAGAACAAATACAATATTAAAAGCTATTTTTTCACTACAAAATTAATTGATTAACTTTTTCCTCTACAAATATATTACTGGAACTTTCTCACTGCACAAACTCTCCAAACAAAATTAATGGTTTTGTTTTGAAAATTAATTTAGATATTAAAAAATTATATTTTCCACCAAGATCTCAGTTACTCAGATTAAATATTAACCAAAGCTGTCTTCTGCTTAAATAGAATTTAGCCTTTGAAGTGTTTTTATTAATCTCTTCTGATGTAGGTGCTTGAAATTCTATGAGAGTGCCGCTGCCGCCCGTTCTGTGCATCACTTACTGTAATTTATTTTCAGAACATAATTCTATTTATAAATGAAAATCCTATTAAAAGAAGACAAGAAAAATTAGTCCTAGACTTTGCATTGGTAGAGTAGAAACAAAATGAGCGGCCTAACCTGAAGTGACATTTACAAATTACCTGTTAATTTAAACCGGGTTGAGGGATGACAGAGTTTAGTCAGACTGACAGGAAGTACCGAAGGAATGACAGTTGGGCCTGGAGTGGCCATAAAGCTCGTGAGGCTGGCACATTTATCTGTGTTCCCCCACTACCCCACCACCTCCCAGAAAGCTTCCTGCCTAGTAAATAATATATTTTTAAAAATATTTACCTTTTTGGCAGACTAGTGAGTAAAGGTTTTACACAGCCGAGGGCTCTCTTCCTTTTTTTTTTTTTTTTTTTTTTAAGGGGAGCAAATCAGTGATTAAAAATGGCTTCTGGCTTTAGTCATGTGTGTGTCTTCCTGCAACCTATTGAAGCCCAAATATAAGTTGTTTTCTTCTTAGGTGTCTTTAATGAAGCACAAGGGCCTAACAAGGCTACAAACAACTGAATATCTATTCATGGGCATTCACTCCCACCCCAAGGTTTTTAAGAAAGACGTGGTGCTCCTTTTATTTTTTCTATTTTTGAAATGTAACATCCAAAAACCTTGTAGATAAAAATCTTAAAACAACAGTCTTTTAAGAAGGAACTCTAAGAAGGGACAAGAATTGCTTTATACTTGGATTTTTCTCATTCAATTTCAATTACTACTAGCCAGAATAAATATCTGCTGATATTATACATATCATGTAACAGTTAAAACTCATTTTCACAGAACTTCTATTTCACATTCTATTTACATGGAGCTACATTTTTCTGTCAGTGGGCATGTCCTCAGTAACACTAATATGAGCTACACATATGGATAAACTGAAAATACACAGGTGCATATACGCAGACACATACACAAAACACAACACACAATAGTATACCCAGTAGTTTGGCCTTTCATGAGCAAGACCTCTTTTTGCCTTAAAAAACAAAACTGGTGATTTTTTTTTTATGAGAACATCTTTAGCTTCATAAATCGATGATTACAAAAACATCCCGGTTTCATCTGCCTGCATCCTGGTCAAGGCTCCTGTCTTCTTTTGTCTCCTTTAAATGTGTTTATCCATTTGAGAATTCAGCAAATTTCAAGGAATTGTTGCACTCTTTCTTCTTGTTTACCCATTCTGGAATTCTATTGACTGTGCAGGGATAATTCTGTAACTTAAAAGTAATTGCTGTGAATTATTCACACCCTGATTCTCAGAATCTTCACACAACTTTCAGTAACTATTCTGGAGGGGAAAAAATGTTTAGCTTAAGGACTACTTCTCTGAACAAATGTTTCATTATATTTGTGGTAAAGGTATCTACCAAAGGCAATGAATCATTAGTGTATTATTTTAGAAGGGTGATGTTACCAAAGTAAGAAATAATTTTCTCTTGAAATTTTGATCCAATGTTCTTGATATCATATCGTTTGTTATCTAGCAAAAAGGAATAATTTAACCCCTTAACACTAGAATAATCTGAATAATCACAAGAATAATTAGTCTCTCTCAATAAGAAACTGGTTTTGAATAGATAAAAATGTCAAACAGAGTGAAAAAGTTTGAAATATGAGATTCTGATGAAGAGGGTCTGTTGGAAAAACGAATCCTCCTTCCCTAGTTCTTCAGCCTAGTTGGGTGACAGCCTGCCCTGCCTTGAAGTCCTCTCCACACAAATTCCGTGACTTCTATTTAGCAAGTTGTTGAAACATAATACAAATTTAAAATAAAGTTCAGAAAGGAATAACCAAGAGAAAATTTTCAGCTCTGTCTCCCTCTACTCCACAAGTGCCACAGGAGTACTTCTCCCAATGTAATCTACTATTAAAAAAGAAAATCAGAAGGCTCCCTAGTCCTTTTTGGCACATAAAGAAACACACTTTGTACTAAATGCTACTTTTGAGGGTTTTTTTTTCAATCAAGGTTTAGAGATAAATTATAAATTATTTGTGTCTTAGACTCTTCTGTCACATTGCTGTCAAGAAGCATATGCCTGTTTGGACAATCCTGGTTATTTCTATAAGATTGATGAAATGTTACTTTGCTCTAAGATTGATATCCACGTCCTTATGCAGTATATCAAGGGCATATGATAATGATAGCGATCAATGTTATTTTAACACTGCACAAAGGCCAGGGTGTCAAGGCCATCACTTCATTAGACAACAGGACTATTGATTATTAACTAGAGACTGGCTCAAATAGAAATACCTGTACAATCTCTCCATGCCAAAACATTGGTGGGTGAGCAGATTACATAATCTGTCAACCAATATGAAACTCTCTCAAAACTAAGCAGAGTACGGGGAGCATTTGAAAGGGCATTTCACAATGAGCAATAACTTTTTTATGTCCCTTGTCCCTCTGCTATCCTCCCTCCTAAAGCGGATATCATTTTAGACTTGCAACACTGCCTGAGTCCTGACCTTAAAATGCAAATACTCATTTGAAATTGAGGGGAAGGAGATGAGAAAACTAAGGTTTGGGTGCGAGTGGAAGAGAGAGGAAGAAAAGAGGTTACAGGTGTGAAGGGAGACAACTAAGAACTATTTATGCTCTACGTTTCTTCAATCTCAATTCTATGTTCTTAAAAATAGTAGATGTTTTCTAAATATTACAGAGCTAAAGAAAACCACACCATTTCTCCTTCCTGTCAAGAGATATATTATTGTTTAGCTGACTTCAATAGTTTTTTACATGCAAATTTATCAGATGCCCATTCTCTTTGCCCTGAGCTATGAGCTATGAAATGCGTGTATGCTCTATGCAAGTGTTAAAGAGGCCTCTCTATCCTGGAGTTATATATTCAGACTCTAAGGCAATTTCTCCATCACGCACCATGCTTCCTAATCAGCATAATTTCCCCCTTGACCAGCCCTCTACGTGCATACATTTAGAAAAAAATAAGTGGGTTAAAAGGAGGGCATTGACAAAAACAGCCTGTTCAAAACAGTGATTTGAACACTTCCTAATGGAGCTTTAAGAACTCATCCTAAGTAAAGCAAATGGCATGAGGCATGTGGAAAACTGATTAGTGAGGACCAAAGCAGACATTTATTGCCCAGAGGTAGAAAGTCCACTAATCTTCCTGTTAAACCTCTGTTTTCATTTCCTTCTCAACTAACCTCACTCTGGACCAAATTCATCACCTGTCTTAAGCCTCCAACTGGTACTGAAATCAAAGAAGTCAAGGGAACAGTGAGTGGAATCTCATGGGAATGTATTTCCCCCATTCGTCCCTGCATTCCCGACGATCAGTTTGAAGTGCTGAAATGTCAGGGCCCTGGCTCCTTACAGCTTTCACTACATTTTTGCTTTTCAGAAGCAGCCTTAGGAACCCAGATCATGGTCTGGATCCTTCACCAGTGGTCTTGAGCAAGGGAGATGGGACTGACTTTGGTAAATTGTTGAGCACACAGAGACAAATATCTATAACTAATTGTAACATGAGGATGTGACAGGAGCCTTCGCTGTCCCTGGCCAAACAATGATGATGGCACTAGGCTAATAAGACAGAACCCTTTTTGATAAGTGAGAGACCCTAAAAATGCACATATTAAAAAAGACTGTCAAAGGTCTTTGAGCAACAGAATAAATAACAGTATTGGATTATAACCCAGAGTATAAAGTAAATATATATGAGCTCTTATTGTTACAAATAAATGGAGGAGTAAATAAATGAATAAGAAGAGAAAAATCTTCCCCATAGGATTCTAAATAATTTGTGCACACTGCCATCTGGAAGATGGTCCTTAATGCCCTCCCCCAACCCACATTCTCTCCCTTGAACATGGACTTGCTTTCAAAGAATAGAGTGTACAGAAGAAGGGTTAAGTTTATGGTGGAGAAATCTGTCAAAGACTACCTGGATCAAGTGATCAAGATTAATACCACCAGTGATAAGTCATGTTGACAACACATACACCTTGATAGGATGTGAGAAGAAGGCGCTTCACTTCTGTGGTGTTCTTCCCCAAAACTTATAATCCCAGTCTAATCAGGAGGAAAGCATCAGACAAACCTGAGGGAGATTTTACAAAGTAGCTGACCAATACTCTTCAAAACTGTCAAGGTCATGAAAACAAGGAAAGACTAAGGAACTGACACAAACCAGAGAAGATTAAGGAGATGTGATATGTAAATGCAATGTGCTACCTTGTATTTAATCTTGCAAGAGAAAAAAGGACATTAGTGGAAAAATTAGTGAACTCTGAATACAGTCTGGAGTTTTATTAATAGTAATGTACCAATGCTGTTTTCTTAGCTTTGATAAATATACCTTAGCAGTGTAAAGGGTTAACATTAGGGGAAGCTCTGTGAGGAATATACAAGGATCTCTGTATTCTCTTTGCAACTTTTCTGTGAATCTAAAATTATTCCAAAGTAAAAAGTTTATTTAAAAAATTCAAAAATATTTCCATAATGACCTGCCTAGAATTTTTTCATTGTGTAAAGGAAAGGAGTAAAAATGTAGAAAATTACATTTTTGTCAAGAAAAAGAATGAAACGAGAAGGCATAACCTATTTGTACAAAAAAGAACAAAACTAAATAAAACTAGACACACATACATTTTTATACATAAATGTGTATATAATATGTAAATACATAGACATATAGATAGATCATAAATTCATAGATACATGGATAGATCAATACTATAATTGCCATTGTACTATTCATTTATTATTTTATTCATTTACTCACCTACTATTTTTGAACTAATAACTACTATATGTGAGGCACTTTGCCATCGGCTAGAGATCCAACAATGAACAAGATGAATACGAGCCTTATCCCCAGGGAGCTCTTCAGTAAGTTCATAAAAGTTTTGTGTTCCAAAACTTTTAAATCTTCAAGAATGTCTTCTTAAGATTCATGTATTTCTCAGAAGTGCTAGTTTTTTGGAATAAAATTATTGGGTTGCAAATCCTGACATACCATTTATTAGGTATGTGGTTCTGAGCAAGATTTTTAATACTCATGCCTCAGTTTCCTGGTCCAGAAAATGGGGATCATAATAATTACTACCTATCAAAGCTGCCATAAGAGTAAAATAAGTTTTCACATATGTTATAAAATGCTATGCAAAGGACAGTTACCACGCCATCCACCAGGGCCTATTGGGAAAAGTAACCATGGTAGAATGGGGAATCAGAAAGGAGGATGGAGTTCTGACTTTGGAGACAGAAAGATACCAAGAAAAAAATCTTCTCTACTTCATAATCTTGCCAGGAGTCAGCTTTGGAACAGAATATGTAAATGTCTAGAAGGGAAGTACAAAACAACCTTGTGAAGTAAGTAAAAGTCACACATTATTATCCCCATAAATGGATGAAGTATCTGAGGCCTAAGGATATTAAATAACTTGTTCATAATTCCACACTGAGTCAGTAAGACATGCAAATTTAGAATTTAGTCCCTTTGGCATTGAGAGTGTTACGACAAAAGTTTTTGTTCTTTAACACACCTTTTGTGTATATGCTCCCCTAGTGAGGACTGAAGATCTAAAACTGCCTTTTGGGTTGATCGATGGCTGTGATTGGAGATTTATGCATGGTTCTTTAGCCAGATGGGATGCCAAAACTTCCTCATGCCTGTTCTTCCATGTAATCCTATTTAATGCTATAAAACTCCTCATCTGCCCTCTTATTCTCTGTGTCATCACCTCTAACCCAACACCACCGGCCATCCAGGAGAAGCCTCTCCTGAAAGCCATATGCCAGTCTTCACTACCTCTCCTTCCCTATGTTGTATGGTACAATTAAATTATGATGTATACTTGTATTTTAATGTTATATTTATAACTGTACATATGCCCAAAGGCTTTAGCAGGAGTTACATTTTTATATCTTGAAAAAAATACATATTCAAAATATCAGTTTTTGAAAAACAAGAAAATTCCTTCAGTAGTTTTCTTCTTTTTGCAAGACAAGAGTAGTCAAAATTTTCCCTAGGCTACTTTATGAAGCATTAGATCAATTTGAAAAGTTTTTTGCTTTTTAAAAAAGCTTCTGGTGGTTCTTCTGGCTATTTTTTTGCACACATGGCACATAGGTGACAGTCTATTTCAACACAATATTTCAAGTCCATGACCATTTATTGAGTTTTAAGTTTCTGAGACACAAAAGATGAATAAGAGTTTCATCTCTCAAAGAATTTATTATGTAGTGAAAATGGGAAACAAAACAAATACTTAGAAAATAATATAATTTTTTTTTATCTGGCTTACAAATACATTGCTCTTGAGGTTTAGCTGGGGTTGTTGGGAGAGGGTTGTGAGAAAAATAGTGGAGAAGGAGAAAAGATATTTGAGTTAGATCTTCAAGAATATGTATGGATTTAATAGGAGAACAAGAAAAAGTAGGCATCTAGGCAGACAGAATCACATAAGCATGGACCCAGAAACATCAATTATAGGAGACTTACGATACTAGAGCTTCAAGAGGGCAAGATCAGAGGTGAAGAAGCAAAATATGGTTGAGGGGAGCTTTTGAAAGCCCTTATACCAAAGCGGGCAGATCACTTGAGGTCTGGAGTTCAAGACCAGCCTGGCCAACATGGTGAAACCCCATCTCTACTAAAAATACAAAATTAGCGGGGTGTGGTGGCGCATGCCTGTAGTCCCATCTACCCAGGAGGCTGAGGCAGGGAGGCGGAGGTTGCAGTGAGCCATGATAGTGCTACTACACTCTAGCCTGTGTGACAGAGTGAGACTCCATCTGAAAACAACAACAACAACAACAACAGAGCCCTTATATTCTAGTTAAGGAGTTTGAGATTTTTAACGTATAGAGTGTGTTTATCTATCAGAGAGTTTAATGGGGGTTGGGAGCTTAGAAAAGGGTGTTGAGGTCATGACTAATAATGGAATATTCAAGTAAAGATTCATAAAATCATCAAGGCTGGTTAAATATTATTTTAAAGGACAGTTGTCAATTCACTAACCAAATTTAATTCGGTTTTACAAATACGAACTGATGAATAATGGTTTATATCAGTCAAAGCTCTGTCAGGAAAACAGACACACTCTAGGTATTTCATGCAGAAATGGTTGCAACACAAGAAATTAGAAACTTAAAATACATTGGAAAGGCTGGGGGAGAAAAAGGGGATGCCACCACTAGCATTCAGGAAATCAGGAGATACATAAATTAAGGAATTTGCTACTGATGATCTTAGCTATCTTCAGCACCTAAGTAGTGCTAAGAAATTGTAGGAGAACATCCAGAAGCTTCTGGAAAATTCTTAGGTCTGTCATCTTCCATACCCCAAACACCTATCTACCCAATGCTGGCCAGATGCAATCACAGATTTTTATTCTCTTTTGCCTTCCAATTTTTGCACAAGCATCTTTCACTGGTGGAACTTAAAATGGAAATCTTCCAGCAGATATTTTTAAGGAATTTTATTCTTATGCTTTGAGCCCCTCCAATAAAGTTAGCACAGAGAAGATGGGGAATGGTATAGAGCTGCCAACAATTTGGCACATTAGGCAAGGAAAGTCAAAATCTTGGGTAAATATTTATTTAAATGACATCAATAGTAAAATATACAGTTATCAAACACATTGGGGAAACAAAACAACAAAATAAAAAACCAGAGGACTACCTCCTAAGAACTTGAGAGCTCTGCCGCACCTTTTCCTAATTCTGAAAAGTTGCCCCAATTCAGGTGTATCAAAAATCCGTGAGCCAAGCTCTGTCTACTATGTCTTCTGACTCTAGCCCCAACTACCTCAGTCTCAAAACTTACTCCTAGCTGGGCGCAGTGGCTCACGCCTGTAATCCCAGCACTTTGGGAGGCCGAGGCAGGCGGATCACCAGGTCAGGAGATCGAGACCATCCTGGCTAACATGGTGAAACCCCGTCTCTACTAAAACTACAAAAAATTAGCTGGGCGTGCTGACGGGCACCTGGGCGTGCTGGCGGGAGGCTGAGGCAGGAGAATGGCGTGAACCCGGGAGGCGGAGCTTGCAGTGAGCGGAGACCGTGCCACTGCACTCCAGCCTGGACGACAGAGCGAGCCTCCGTCTCAAAAAAACAAACAAACAAAAAAAACAAAAAAAACTTACTCCTGATGGTTCACAAGACTTTTGAAGATTTGAGAGACAATGTTCAGTTTTGTCATACTAAAATTGGCACATAACATGTTAGGGACTTAAGGTTAAAGTCTCAAATGAGAATAATCATAGATTTCCATGGAATCTTCTGTGAGGTTCTCAAACACACAAGAAAGATCCATCAAATATTGCATTTCTGACCACACACACACACGACCTTAAATTTTTATTTTAATTTTTTAATTTTTATTTTTACTTTTTTGAGATGGAGTTTCACTCTTGTTGCCCAGGTTGGAGTGCAATGGCGCCATCTCGGCTCACCACAACCTCCACCTCCCAGGTTCAAGTGATTCTTCTGCCTCAGCCTCCCAAGTAGCTGGGATTATAGGCATGCACCACCACGCCCGGCTAATTCTGTATTTTTAGTAGAGACGGGGTTTCTCCATGTTGGTCTCGAACTCCCAACCTCAGGTGATCCGCCTGCCTTGGCCTCCCAAAGTGCTGGGATTACAGGCGTGAGCCACCGTGCCCGGCCTCCTTAAATTTTGTAGTTGCTTCTCATTGCTCTTAGGATAAAGGTCAGATTTGAAAATCTGGCCTGCCAAGCAGCAAGTCACAGCCCTTGACTACCTCTCCAGGTTAAATTCACATGGTGCACAGAATCCACTCTGGTCTTCTTTCAGTCCTTTCTAGCATAGGCCCTTCTTCATCTGCCAGGATGTTTCTGCCCACCTCCTCCCTTGCCTTCTCTGGGTTGACTGACTCTTACTTATCTATCAAGTGTCAGTTGATGTGACACTTCCCCCTGGAGAAAGGGGCCTCACCTGCTTATCAGTCTAAGTTTCCCATTAGTCTTGCCCATCATGTTCTATACTTTTTCTACACAGAATTTACCTAGTGTAATCACATAATTATGTGCATAATTTATTGTTAATTATTTGTTATATTTCTGTCTCTTCCAGTAAATTCCACAAAGGCAATGACCTTTGTTTGTCTTGTTTATAATTGTATCTTCAGAGTCCATCACAGTCTGTCATAGTAAATACTTGGTAACTATTTGTGGAAGTAAGGAAGGAAGGAAGGAGGGAAGGAGGGAAGGAGGGAGGGAGGGAAGGAAGGAGGGAGGGAAGGAAGGAAGGAAGGAGTGAAGGAAGGTGGGAGGGAAGGAAGGAAGGAAGGAGGGAGGCAAGGAAGGAAGGAGTGAAGGAAGAGGAAGGAAGGAAGGAAGGAAGGAAGGAAGGAAGGAAGGATGGGAGGGAGGGAGGGAACGAATGAACAGCACCTTTGGCCTCCATTACCATGCTGCACAATCTACTCTCTTGTAAACAACATCTTTATTTTCTTGCATTTCTACTGTTCTATGAGAATACGAAAGTGTGGTGGGTTCCTTATTGTCAAGTCATTTACTGCATGCATCTAAATCAGGACAACTTGATTCTTAGGCAAATTGAAGTCTCAGAGTCTTTGGGGGAAATCCTTGAAAAGTAGACCCCTGCCTGGGGAGTGGATTTTGTGTGAGAGAGAAAGTGGCAGGTTTCAACAAAAGAGAAACACCAAGAAGCCACATCCATGGGCTTTGGATGAAACTCTGCCTTTGGACAAGCACTGGGGGCTCTGGCATCTAAACCATGAATTGGGGCACTTTGTAAGCAGCTACAACACCCTCGTACCTTGTAGCTTCTGATCTGTGGCAGCTGCATCTTTAGCATGGCAGTTAACCAAAAATGGGTGAACTTACCAGGAAAACACACTTATTTGCAGCTATCATCGAGTAAAGGCCTTGGAATGAGGGAAAGGAGGAACATTACTGCAGATTGTAGCTAAAAGAAGTTGAGCTGCTTCTTTTCAAATGTGGTGTCAATTGGTGATTATCAGACAACTTCTGCTTTCACATATAGGCTAAATCAGAGATCCAAATGCAAAATCCAGCTCTTGGGGACATCATTTGGATTTTAATGCTCCCTTGGGAACCTTGAGCCCTTAAAGAAATGAAAGGTTTACAATGAAGCATAAATATACTATTTTCAATTCTGACAGATCTAATCTTGTTCTAAAATAACCTGTTATTTAAAGGAAGATGATATCCACTTTTAACAACCGAACATTGAAGTTTCAAGAGTTAAGAACTCCTCAACTTGGATAAACTCATAAACATATGAAAATTAATTTTGCATTATTCTTTGAAACTTCACACTTACAAGCATCAAAATTGGCTTTCTGTTATTCTGTCAACTTAAAAGGAAAGAACAATTGGGGATGGGGCAGTTTTTCCAGCCCTCAGCTGCTGAATGGTGTCATTGTGTTGTAGCCATTTAGACAGCAAACAGAGATGTGAATGATCAATGCATTGAACAATCTCACAAGGTGGGGTTCAATAGCCAAATGTAGGAATTTGTTGATAGGGAAGCCAAACACACACACACACACACACACACACACACACACACACACACACACACACACAGAGTCTAGCTGCCTGGATAGAAGTAAAGCATAGAGGTGTAGAGTGTAGGCTCTGAAGCCAGACTGACTATGTTTGCATCCTTGGCTCGGATAGACACATACAGTTCAACTCTAAACAAGCCACTGATCCCCTCTGTACCTCAGTTTTCTCATCGGTAAGGTAAGAATATCAATATTATCTCCCCAATGATTGCTGTGAGGCTAAAATGACCTAGTAAATGTAAAATGGTTAGAACAGTCATCTGGAATGTAGTAAATCATTGATAAATAGTACTATGATGGTGATGAGACCTTCCCAAGGATGCATGCCTGCACTGTTCCTCCAAAATATACATATTTATGGGTACCTTTGGGCCTTTACTAAGTGCTAGATGCCATACGTTTTCATAAATATATTCTAAATAAGTATGTGCTTATGATTTTGAGCCACGCATAAATGTTCATCTAAGGCAGTTTCTGTAAAGGGCCAGATAGTAAGTATTTTAGGCTTCACAACTATTTAATTCTGATGTGTAGTGTGAAAGCAGCTATAGATAACACATAATAAATGAACATGGATGTGTTTCAATAAAGCTTTATTTACAAAACAGGAAATGAGCTAGATTTGGCCCCTGAGGGGTAGTTTGCCTGTTCCTTATCTAATGGATTATTTAACTAGGAAATATTTACATAGGTAGTTTCCTAAATGAAGGGATTCAGAAAAGTAAGATTCAAATCTCCCTAGTTATTTAATCCAGTGCTTCACAGGGCATTGTGTATACGAGTGAAGTCCTTCCTGACATCACACTTAACTCCTCTTGAGACAATTAATTAGGAAGTCTCAGTTTCTTCCCAAATTCACAAGAAAAATTTTGGACTGAAACCAGTTTATTCATTAAAAACAATTGTCTACCATTTTATAAATGTTTACTCTGTAGCAATCAATGTTCCAAATGAGTTGTGCATTATCTCACTTAGTAATGATGATGGCAAATGCCGACAACAACACTTTCAGAATATATCCCCATTCTGCTCCCTTTCTGCCTCCTCCAGACCCATTCTGAAGCAGGGCACCTTTATCCTGTTATAGTTCTTAACTCATCTCCCCGTTTCTACCCTTGCCCCTTACAGTCCACCCACAACTTAGCAGCCAGGTATTCCTTATAAAATGTGTCAGATCATGTCACTCTTCTGCTCTCTCAGGGTAAAACATCAAATTCCTAATAGTAGATGTCAAACCCTCTGAACTGGCCCTGATCTCCTCTCTGGCCTTATCTTTTATTACTTTTACCCTCTGCTCACTCAGTCTCCTGCCTCAGGGGTCTTGCACTTACTCTTTCGTAGACCTCATTTAATAATGGCTTGATCTTTCCCACTTTCAGGTTTTTGCTCAAATACTGTCTTCTCAGTGAGCCTACAATCCTATCTCAAGTTGCACCCCCACCCATTACCATTCTTATCCTCCTTTTCTGCTTTAACTCCATACCTCTTATTATATATGCTGTTTTTATATTTGCTGTTTATAGTTGCTATTATATTTACTATTTTGTCTACTTCCACCCACTAGAATAAAAGCTGAAGGGGGTAGGAATTTTGTTCACTGATGTCTCCAGAACCTAAAATAATCCTTGCCACATTGTAGGTATCTCATAAATATTTGTTAAATGAACGAATCTATGAGATGCTTCCCATGTGCCAAGTAAGGTTACAGGTGCTTTAAAGGTATTATTTGTTTTAATACTCACAATCCTGTAAATGGATGCTATTATAACCCATATTCTCAAATGAGGAAACCAAAGAATTGAAAGATTAATGAATTGCCCCAAATCATGTGACAAGTAATAGTTGCATGCCCTTGAAAGCAGGCCATCCAGCCCCAGCCTTTCTGCTCCCAACTACTATGCTACATTCTCTTTATTTAAACCTCACTTCTCCTTGAGTGCGGGACTGATTACCCTGGTATTACAGATGAGAAAAGTGAAGCTCCATGATATTAAGTAACTTTTTGAAGGTCATACAGTCTGTAAATTGAGATGCTAGAATTCAAACCTATGCTTATGAACTCCAAAAATTAATCTAATTTTTGAATGCTATGTGATGGGCTTTGACAAAGGAAAACTGATACAACTTTACAAAAACACAGCCTTTTACACATTGACAGGCTTAAGACAACCATTCAGAAAGCCCTTGTCCAGCCTGCTATCTGATGTGGCCAGCTCTCTAGAGGCTTTCCCAGCACTAAGGGAGTTGCCAGACAACAGCAAGAAGCCTGGATAAAGATATTGTCATCATCCTCACTGCATTAGGAGAAAAAAGGAAAGAATAGTAAACACCCTTGTGAAAGATAAAAAGAAAACAAGGATTTAAATTTCATTTTGGCCAACGAGTTCATCTGGATGCTCCCAAATTAAATTCAACTACCTACAGTTTAGATCACGTCAAACCTGGGATTCAAACAAGACTCAAAGAAGGTGACAATGTACATGGCAAAAATTAACAGTTCCACCTGGAACACAAATGAAAGCAATGCCTACTAGTGAACTAGTGTTAAGTCAGTACCTCTTTTATATTAAGGAAGTGATGGAACAAAGATCAGAAGAAGGAGCAGTGGTTGAACTAGATCCCTCATTAGTAACAAGGAGGAACTAAGTAAATCCAAACAAAGGTGACAAACACTTGCAGAAAGTGTTGTTTTGATTCCTGGAAAAATATATAAAAGGAGGGATCATCTGGAAATTCTAATTTTTAAAAGGACATGGATAAACACAAATGCTTTATTTTATATTTTATAAAAAAATGTTAGGTACACAAGAGGTTATAAATACTAAGAAGGTGCTCTTACTTGCATTTTAAAGCAGTTAAAATTGCAACGATGCATCAAGAAGTATCACAAAAGACCTGGAATTTTAATAATTTGGAGAAGGCTTCTGATGCACAAAGGCAGGGGGAGGGATTAGATTCTTGATATCCAGTTCTGATCACACCAGGAATCTCATATTAATGTTTGTTAGGAAAAGGAATCCACCATAATTCCTGCAGCCTTAATGTTGAACAGAAATGTCAATATGTTTTATTCAACCTTTTATTTTTCTTCATAAGGTAAAATCTGGCTCATATATCTCAGTACATAATAACCCTCAAAAATTCTAAGAAAGACAAAAAATATGTATTTTATAATTATTTGATAATTACTAAATTTCTATTATTACCCAGAATGCACAACTACAACTAAATGTATTACTTGATGTGTGTATGTAGATTTATATGCACACACAAACTCTTTTAAAACCTTCCTCAAAAGGTTAAGGAAATAAAATACTATAAAAAATCTAATGTGACTTAAAATGTTACATGTGGAAGGACACTTTAAGCAAGTTCCACTGTCTCTCTCTCTCTCTACACACACACACACACACACAAAATCAGGATATGTATAATAAAAGGCAACCACAAAATCTCAGAAATTCGACAATGATGAATAGAAATAATTTGATTAGAGAATGTAACCTTTGAAATCAAAGAAAGCTACACAAAATCCTCAAAGCTGAATTCAGTACTTTGGGCTGGGGAGAGGAGAAATGAGATTTAAAAAATATTTTATTAAAGTTTCATAGTTCAGAATGCTCGTCTGTAACCGTTCTGAAAATATGGGTCATATCTTTACTATTATCTATGGCCACAGCCATGTGTGCATGCATACACACACACACACACACACACGCCTAAATGGAATTTGTCACTATAGGATATTTAAAATCCAGACTTGCTGCATTTAAAATGTATGGAATTTATTTTTAAACCAGCCATATCTGAATTCAATGCCTTATATTTTGAGTTTTAATTCCAATCATGCTAATTTTAAGTCACAAACATATATCTGCCGGTAATGAAGGTTGTTTAATTAGGTCCAGATAAAATAGCTCCAATTCTGTTTCTGATCCACCTGTCAAAGCAAATCAGTCTTTTACATGGCTAAAAAAAAACAAATTAGACTAGCTGATGACTTTTTGAATATTCAAGTAGACACACCGAGGATAAATCCAAACAGAACTTGTGACTGAACAAAAGCCTGAAACGTGACCTCAAAGATGAAGATATCTTATTCTGCCAAAAGCAGCTTTACAAGCTGGGTCTTCACAGTATTATGAAGTCAAGGACAGGGTGCTAAGAAGAAGTAATGAGAAGGATAACAAAAACAGAACAACACAGCACTACAAGAAATCAAATCTGCCACAGCTTAGGGCAATGTAACAGCTCAATGTAATGAAAAATAAATACAAACAATGATGAAAATTGTGACAGAGAGGGCCAGTTTCAACATTTTCTCTGAAGGAAATTCTAAAACAAGAAGTATCCTAACTCAGAGAGTATATGCTATCCATGGTTACCATATAAATTATTTTCAAAGACTATTAAAGATAGAAAAACTGTATCTCTTACAAGTTTAATATGAATAGTTTGGAGTATTCTAGTCCTACAGATCTAGTTTACTTATGTATAAAGCACTATACATTTCAATACAGATCCATTTAAGCCCAGGGGAAAAGTTATTTGAAATTGGCATGGTGGCCATGTGAATAGGAAGTGTTAGATGGGAGGATACAGAAGAAAGAAGAGAAAAAAAACCTGATAAACAAATCCTTGAGAAGCTTGGAGGTTACTTCTATATAAGACCCTCAGAACCTTCCATCCTCCCATAGTTGAATCCTGAGCAAAGATGTGAGATGGAGTCAGTAGTCGAGGCTCCAGGAATATGACTATCCTAATTCCTCATTATTGCATTCAGAATAGGCTTTGGATTCAGAAAAGAGATTCATGCTCAACACTCTCATTCCTAAATTGCTTTAAGCAAGAGACACAAAAATAAACACAATAGTCCATGATGTAAACATTTTATAGAAATACACACATGCACACACACATATATACAAACTGCATAGATAATTTAATAGGGAAAAGATTAGAAAATGAAACAATTGAATATCCATTTGGAAAAAAATTAATCTCAGTCCTTACCTCACTTCATACACAAATTAACTCAAAATGGATAAGAGATCTAAATTGAAAAGTGGAACTATAAAATTCCTAGACAAAAATAGGATAAAACCCATAGCCTTGGCATAGGCAAAGATTTATTAGATTAAAACACACAATGAATGAATCATAAAAGAAAAGATTGATAAATATAACTTTAAATTGAAAGTCTTTGTTCTTCTAAAAATGCCATTAAAAAAATAAAAGACAAGTAAAAACAAAAAAATTGCTATGACTGTATATGACAATCAGTAAAACAACTTAGTTTTGAAAATGGGCAAAATGTTTGAACAAATGCTTCATAAAAGATGACATACAAATGGCTAATCAGCACATGGAAAGAAGTTTATTATGATTAAGTCATCAGAAGTTTGTTGTTATTTGTATCAAATGCAAATTAAAACCACAATGAGATACCATTACACACACATTCCAATGGATGAAATTAAAAAGACTGACAACACCAAGTCTTGGCAAGGACATGAAGCAACTGGAATTCTCATCTATTACTAGTATAAAGTGGTACGAAGACTGGAACACAGTTTGACAGTTTCTTATAAACTTAAAAGTGCACTCTCTGGGGATAAATTAGAAAAATCCATCTAAATCTATTTCAGTTCTGACTTCAGCCATGTCTGGAAGTTACCTGATACAAAAACCAGAAACCACTGTGTCCATCAACAGAAAATTGCCTGGGAAGAAGCACAAGGTAGCATTTTGGGGAGATGAAAATGTTCCTGTATCTTGATCATGCTGAGAGTTACAGGAGTGGTAAATTTGTCAAAACATTGAAATATACATTAAAATGGGTATATTTTGTTATGTATAAATTATACCTAATAGCTTTAATTTTAGTAGTATTAGAATAGAAAATGCCTATGCTAACCCTTTTATATTACAGATGAAGAATTTGAAGACCAGGGACCTTTAGTGTCCAGCTCAGCTAGCTGATAACAGAGCTAGGACCAAAGTCCTATTCCCTAAATCCTAGATGCACACTCTCTCTGTACAAAAACTTTTTTTTTTTTGAGCTGGAGTCTCGCTTTGTCACCCAGGCTGAAGTGCAATGGCACGATCTCAGCTCACTGCAACCTCTGCCTCCCAGATTCAAGCAATTCTCCTGCCTCAGCCTCCCAAGTAGCTGGGATTACAGGCGCCCGCCACCACGCCTGGCTAATGTTTTGTATTTTTAGTAGAGACAGGGTTTCACTATGATGGCCAGGATGGTCTCAAATTCCTGACCTCGTGATCTGCCTGCCTCGTCCTCCCAAAGTGCTGGGATTACTGGCGTAAGCCACAATGCCTGGCCCAACAACTACCTTTACACTGAACGACAGAATTAATTTCAATGGAATTTAACCTAAATGGCCTGGAGATCAGGGATTTTGATTCCTTGAAAGTTAAGAGACTTTGTGGGAGTGATGATGATGATGGTAGTATTAAAAATGATTTTGCCTCTACAAATTTCATTTTCTCTCTTCCAAGAAACAGATCTTAATTTCTATTCATTTTTTCCCACTTTCAGTCTGTATAGTTTGAAAATTGAACCTGAACTCCTGTTCCAAGGAGGGTACATGACCCGGGCCTTAGACCTTTGTTATCTACTTCAGTTGCCAGTGGCTACGTGTGGCTACTGAACTAGCATTTGAAATGTGGCTGGTTCGAACTGAGAGGTGCTATAAATGTAAAATACACACTCATATATTCTTTCTGTGGTAAAAAAGAAAAAATAATTCAAACTAGCCAGTTAATTTTTTAATGTTCACTATGTTGAAATAATATTTAAGATATGATTAAAGCAGATATATTTTCAAAATAATTCCTTTTTTTAATTTTTAAAATATCACTACTATAAAATTTAAAATTACATATGTGGCTCACACTTGTGGTTAGCATTATAATTCTACTGGACAGTTCTGGTCAGGCAATTATATTCGTAGTCTTCCCCATTTCAGCTTGTTTTTAGAAATACATATGTCAGCTTATAGCAAGTACTAACTGTACTTAACCCAATAAGTTACCTTATGTGAACTACTGCACAGTTATCAGGGAACTTTTACATTCATTATTTTCTTTGGTCTTATAAGATAATCATTGTTATAAGAAAACTGAGATTCAAAGCCATTAAGTTAGCTGCCCAAGGTCAAGCTAAGAAATGAGCAGAGGCCAGGCACAGTGGCTTACGCCTGTAATCCCAGCACTTTGGGAGGCCGAGGCGGGCAGATCATGAGGTCAAGAGATCGAGACCATCCTGGCCAACATGGTGAAACCTCAACTCTACTAAAAATACAAAAATTAGCTGGGCGTGGTGGTGGGAGACTGTAGTCCCAGCTACTCGGGAGGCTGAGGCAGGAGAATCGCTTGAACTGGGAGGCGGAGGTTGCAGTGAGCTGAGATCACGCCACTGCACTCCAGCCTGGCAACAGAGCAAGACTCTGTCTCAAAAAAAAAAACAAAAAACAAACAACAACAACAACAACAACAACAACAAAACAGAAACAGAAAGAAAGAAAGAAAAAAGAAATGAGCAGAACCCAGTTGCCAAATTCAAGTGTGTGGATCCTAGACCTGTTCTTTTCCTCTTTGGCACCATTCTGTTGACCCACCTGGAATGTTACCTTTTAAAATTGAAAATGAAAATGGAGATGACTTACCATTTGTAAGTCCCTGTCTCAGAATTAATCCACCTAAAAGACGATTTGTGTTGTGCTGCTGATGAGATTAAAGTGCATTCCAAATGTTATCAGGCCATATAAAGCACGCGGCAACTACTTATAATATTGTCAGAGAAACAGTTTAAGAAGAGAAAGTAAGAAATGAGATGGTAAAATGACCAAGGTCATATTGTGTAAATTTGTGATAAAAATATAATAAGGGGAAGACTGGGTAATAAAGAGTTTATATCTCTTCAGACCTATCCATTGGAGAGTTAGGGTCTGTATAGTGGGCCCAAGAATGCAATCTACCAGGAAAATATTTTCTATAGGTTAATGGGCTGAGACTAATTCCTTGCCTTCATGGACATTGCATTCCATGGTCTCTAAAATTCCCAGAATGCTTATTTGGTTTCCTGGATGCCTTGTCTCAAAAGCAAATAAACACTTCAAAGAGATATAACTTAAAAGGTGTATTTTTAGTGAAAATAAATAAATTCTACATTCTGGATTGTGTATTAGTTTAAATGAAGTCCCTAGAGCATGATTAGCCCATAAAGAGTAAAAATACTGACATTTTGAATGTGTCATACAGAGTACCAGACGTCAATTTGCTACTAAAATGCACATACCTTATAAGCTTAACTTAGAAATGAAAGCAGACTAGTCTCCTTTTGGTCTTTTCTATAAAAGAAAATGCAATCGTTATGACCACTTATGTCCTGGGTTTACTAGAATGGCCCTGGTTTCCAAATCCTTTCTCGTTGTCCCCATGAGAAATCAACTTGCTATGGGCTGAATGTTTGTGTTCCTCCAAATTCATATGTTGAACGCCTAATCCCCAGTGTCATACTGTTTGGAGGTGGGAACTTCAGAAGGTAATTAGGTCGTGAGAGTGAAGCCCTCGTTAATGGGATTAATGCCTTTACAAAAAGAGACACAAGAGAGATTATCTTTATCCCTCTCTGCCAGGTAAGGACAAATTGAGAGAGCAGCTATTCGCAAACCAGGAAGAGGGATCTCACCAGAACGCAACCACGCTATTACCCTGATCTCAGACTTCCCGGCCTTCTGAACTGTGATAAATAAGTTTCTGTTGTTTAAGCCACCCAGCCTATGATATTCTGTTATAGCAGCCAAAACTAAGATACAACTTGTGCCCTGATTGAAGTATATGTCCTGGGTTTTAATTCTAAAAATAAAAGACACACTTTATAAACCTAAACTCAAATTCTTCTCCTCATGGAGATTGCAATCTGGTTGGGAAACTGAAAGAAGTACATGTACCAAAGAAATAGAATGTGGAGGATTTTACATTAAGTGTCAAAACACAGCACAGACTATTAGCAGCATGCCTCAACAGTGGTCCAAGCTATCCTGTCCTCGTCAGGCCAGAGCCCAAAGGAATCACAGGGGGTTCCATTCCAAAGAGGGATGTGGGCCAGTGGGGAAAGTTGCTCAATCTCTCTGTGCCTTAGTCACCTAGTCTATAAAACAAATATAACACCCATTTCACGGTGATGTTGTGGAGATTACATATGATACCCCTTTAAAAAAATATTTTCACTTTGTTTTCCTGTGGAATCCCTAAGGCTAGGAACCTTTGGTTACTGAAATTCCTCTAGGTGAACCACATTATCTGCATGACCAGCCCCCTGCCCCTAGCATGGTGGAAGGGCAGCGCAAGTCTAAAAAGTTATAAGCCAGTAATTTTACCCCAAGTAGGTCTTTAAAGCTTCCTTTCCAACTCAGTTTTCTGCAATGAAAGTTGCTGTATAAGCAAAAAATATTATTAGTATTAATAAAAATATTTCAGCCATGCTGCTTCTTGCATCATATGTAATTCATTAGCACCAGCTCATAGGCGAGGCAAAATTTTCATGTCAAATAACGTTTTATGGGTCTTTAGAACATTATGCTCACTGGGTGTCCCCGCATCATGATGAGACCTCCCCAGGAGGGAAGGCAAGAAGCACAGGCTTTTAGAAACCCTTTCTTTTTCAAATTTGCTTGGGAAAAAGGTTAGTTTCTACTTCTTGTTCAGCAGCCACACAATGCCAGGAAGCTTAGGTGCTTCTTGAAAGGATGCGTGTTGTTTTGTTCATGGGAATAGGATTTATAATGATGTTAATTCAAAAGAAGAAATTAAATATAAAAAGGTTAATGAAAGGTTTCAGTCATGATTACGGTGACCATGATCAATCAAAGGCCAGAGAAACGGCTGTTTTACAATTAAAATATCCCAACACATTGTTATTTATCACTATTGCCATACTGCAGCAGCAGGCCACAATTAATCATATAAATCACCTGGACTAAATTCTGAGGTTCTCTTTTTGTCAGATAAGATGGCCATGCTATTGTTAAAACTGATGAAAAGACATTTTTTTCTGATATTCTGATTTAACATACTTTTGTTTAAAAAGATCTTTTATGCAAAGATTATAGGGAAAACTCTAGGCAGGAAACTTTAGTAATTTCAAAGCTCATTAGATTTCAAGAATGGATATGTACCTCCCATTCAAATGCATAATAGCATTTTCACAAAGGTTTATCAAAGGGTGAATTAATTGGGTTCTATGTTTTGTAGTCATTATTCTTTCATTCATTCATCCATTCATTTATCCAGTACTTATTGAGGGTCTACTATATGCCAGGTACTCAACTAGGCCCCAGAGCCATAGCAGTCATGGTCCCTAACCTCATATGACAGGAGTCTCTAGGGAAGAATGCCATTACACTAGTAATCACAAAAGTGGAGAATGTTTTGAAAGACAGAATGTAGAAGACCACAGAAACTTACAGGAGTCTGGATAAGAAAGGGACATTTCAACTGAGATCTGAGATCTGAAGGATAAGGAGGGGGGAGTTGGACAGGTCAGGGGAAGTAGCCAAGCAGAGCAAATAGCTTATGCAATTGGCCACTACTGTACCACTGAAACCTGGTACATTGTAGGGACATGATAAGTATTTGTGGAATATATTAACTCTGAATATTGTGTTTCCAGAGGTCCTTGACTCTGTATAGGAAGAGCCATCTCCCCTGGAGAATGATGGGCCCATGACAAGGTCCACTCAGCCTCCTCCTTTTCTTATCCATAGTCCTGCACAGATAAAACCTAACTAAGGTGAATTGGGGATAAAGAAAAATATATCAAAAAAAAAAAAAAAAGCAAGAGAAAATCCATGGTGGGGTAGGAGATAAGTGGAAAAGAAAGGACAAGGTGTTGCCTGTAGCCATTCCACAGACCCATCTGGTGCTGGGATTTGGGTAATGAGTATATGTTTGCATGAGCTTGAGGGTTTTGTTTTCCCATTAGGAAAAAAATAGTCCCCTCTTATCATGTCACCATGCATTTGTACCTTGCACAAAGGCACCATCAAAAGCAGTGAATGGGAGCTGAAATAAGCCCAGATTCCACTCTCCAAGTTAAATGCCCTGGCATGGGATTGTTACCTCACAGAGGAGGCATCTTTTCCTAATTTGTTCACCCACAGAGGATGCCTTTTGTTAATTCCCATAAGGCACCTTATAAACCAGCTGCATTCCTATTCCTTCATAGTTCTCTACCCCTTGGACTGTAGGATACATGGATATTAGCTTCATATTTTGCACTAATGTTTTCACTCAAAAAAAAAAACAGATATAAACCAAATGAATACATTAGCAAAATGTAAGATGTGGGTCAGATCTATTCTGGAGATGAGGATGATGCTATCAAAACAGAGGCCTTCATGGGTCTTGGGTGCAAGTTATAATTTATTCTTCTAAAATGACCCTGTTTAGACTAAAGGTCATTCCATGACAAAACACTGTAGAACACCAGAAAGTTCTAATTTCACAAGCCTAATTCATAAAGACCATAGAAAGGGTGTAGTTAATGTCAACAACGTATATTCCTCAAACCAAACAACCTCAAACCCATTGAGTCAAGGCATTTTAAGTTAAAGCACTTCCCCAGGTCTAGGTTTCAGAGAGGAAACAAAGAGGTCTGAGATTTTTGTCTCTGACTTCAGTGAATTTACATACAGTAAAAAAAGTGAAAATAACAGCTATTTTCTACCATTAAAATATGGATAAAAATTGTTTAACTGCACAAACATAAGATGGAAAGTGAAAATGTTTCTTAGTGTGTATGAATATAACATCAGGAAAATACATGTCACATTTTGCCCCTGCCTTACAAGTTTTAGAGTGCACTCAAATATATTATTCCAACTGAAACTCACAATAATCATGGGAGGTTAGGCAAGCCACACACTTTCACGTTCATTTCATGTCCAAATGAAACAGTTCCTGGGAAAAGTTAACAACTTGCTCAAAATCACATAGAAACCATACCAGAAATCAGGTAGTTTGACTGCAAGCCTGGACCGTCTTTACCCAAAGTGCAGACCAGAAAACGAAGCTATGTGTCACTTGTGCCTCTGAACTTGTGAGGCCATGGGGTTGTTGTGACAATTCCTAGCAGGACTATTTTTGCTATAAATTACTACAAGTATCCAACAGAAGAAAACCTGGTGGATGAGAGATGCTGACAACATGTGGCAGTTAATTGAACATATAATCAGGGGTTGCACCACTGTGGCAGCTCTGGATTATATCAACAGGCATAATGATGTTGCTAAAATTATGCACCCACAATTATCCCTTAAAGGTAGGTGATAAATGAATTAACTAAGTACTAGAAGCATACACCTTCAAATATTTAGGACTTGACTGCTGCTAGGTGTACAAGTATAGCATCATGCCAAAGAGTCGGCATTCCACTAGGTGATTAGTAAGCTCTTCATTTATGACAATAGTTTAGTAAAACATTGGCATGAGTGTTCCATGTAGTTGAAACATTTTCTTTAAATAGGAAAAAATGAAGCATTTGTATATTAGCTCTGGCAAAAGGGGCAAAAGCAAATAAAGAATTCAAAAATGCATCAAAATAAAAATGATTTTCCAGGTACTAGGGGATAGATGATCAGTTTTGAGTGAAGAGGAGCCATCCCATGCACCCACACTTTTTCATGATATTTCAGTACCAGGAACTTGCAGATGAGGGTTAAACAACTTTTATAAGATGTTGAATCAAGGTGTGGCTAGTGAAGATGTTGTGCAGCAAGAGGATATCAAACTAACACGTGCCACGGGGCATCATGTGGATGACTCCTGACAGCCTCACATGCTGGGGAGAGAAAAGGTGGGAAGTCAATTCTGGGGTCACAGGAGAAGAGCCTGGAAGTTGAACAGGCCTGGCTTCCAATCCTACCAGGTTCTCACTAGTACTGCATGCAAGGTGAACATTTAATCTGTTAAGCCTCAGTTTCCTCATCTACAAAATAAAGGTAACAGTTGCTCCAAACCTCCTTTAAGCAATTAAATACCAGTATTTAGCCTAGTACTTGGCACAGAGTGAGCACTAAATGAATAGACAGTGCCCTTGTGATTATTACTGGATCTCAGGCTACTATAATGTGTACATATGCTGTGGACAGTTAGTAATGCCTGACTTTTCTAATGGTACTATGCCATTAATCAAGTGAATTTCTACATCTGACTCCATCAGTATCTACACGCCTTTGTGTTTTAAAGAGATACATATAGTATTCAGGCACTGGGCCTCCTTTGCTTGTTCATAGCATTTTGATAGGAAAGTTATCAACCAAAATAAATGAGAAAGTCACCAGGTTTAGCCATTGTAGCAGTTCTGGTTCAATATTGGATGGGGATGTAGGTTTAAAATTAATCACACAAATGAGGATAGGAGACCACCTCCATATTATGTGCATCCATGCTAGCCAGTCTCCATTACCATAGATAACTGAGAACTGACTGTATTTATTTCCAAAGGCTTCCTTAAAATGGAAAGATCTCTGTGGCATCTATAAGATTCAATTAGAGGACCTTTATAAGCACACATCTAGTTGAACCAAATGAGAGATAAATTAACCTATAAACAGCATGCTCTTTCTTGTGGAATCCTCTAATGGCCTGATTTAGGATATCAGCAGATGGGAGGTCAGTGCCCAGTGCTTTCAGAGTTCAGCCCATTCATTACAATCAGGTTCACGATGCCACGAAGAGTTTCTAATGAAATACACTCCAGTAAACCTCAGAGGGGGACAGCTCATGTGTGCATGAGACACGAGTTTAAGGCAGCAGACAGACTGATTTTGTATTTCCAGACAGGCAGAGGTCCAAATGGAGCCACTGCACATTTATTAAGTTGTATTCTTTCAGGGGAGAAACTCTTGCCGAGACATCTTACCTGTAAGCTCCTTTAAGCTTTTAGCTGAAATGCTCTAGTTCACATACAAAGAAAATTGCGCTGTTTGTCACTAGTCAATGTCCTCTAACATCAGGGCTTTAGTGGGAAAAGAGACACATTAAAAAGGTACCTGATCTTCCCTGTATCCCTCCCTATTCCAGCTGAGAGTACTTTCTCTAAGTCCTTTCTTCTTAAATCTTGGGGAAAAGAAACTTACATATCTCAAATCCTGCCAAATTGTAGCTCCAAATAATACAAAATATGAGCCTGTGGGTTTTCTTTTTTTTAAAAAAAAAAAAAGAACAGTACTTCAGAAGCCTTAAAAATATCTGCTTTTGTGGTCATGTCTACTGACAAAAAGCCTTATAAACTGTAAACCAAATTAAGAACATCACAGCAAGAAAACATCCACTTTTAGCATACATGTATAACATCACAGGGCATCTTGCTGGTTTCGAAACACCCAGTTTTATGTGGTGCTAGCAGATGAAAGAGAAGACTGGCTTTCACTTGTGTTCTACAGATGCTTCTGGGGCACAAGGCAAGGGGCATGAAAGTGAATTGTAGATAACACATTGGAGGCTTGATAGAATGCTTCCCTTGGGGACCCATGCTGAGAGGTGCTCTTAGAGATGAGATGGCTTCTTCTGAGTTTGCATTAGTACTTCAGTAAATGAATCCCCTCAGATAGAAGTTCCTAGTGGCTCCACTTTAAACAAAATTCTAATGTATAATGAATACTTTTCCAGTGTGGTTTTAAAAACCTCTTCTTCCTATTTTATGTTTTCCCCATATGAGCATATATATATATATATATATATATATTCCGACTTTTTGTACCTCTCTTCCCAGCAAGTCAAATTATTATTGAGTCCTGGACATTCTTTCACTATGTCTGCAGTTTACATAGGTAGGTCAGCTGACTAGAGCTAGTCCAAGTTAAAAAATTAAAACCTTAAATTTCGGCGCTTCATAACCTGCATTGTAGAATAACTAAATAGCCTACCTTGCCTAAAATGGCTTGTTGCTGCATATACATTTTTCTCTTCTTACATGATTTTTAACTTTAATGAATCTTACATTTTTTATATTGCCTTAAAAGGACAAGTTAGTAACAAGCTCACCACGCTTTCTTCTAGTAACCATGGTTAAAAACCTTCGGGATAAGAGCTTTTCTCCTCATCACAACTAATATCTACCCCACTGCCACATCTCTACTACCAGCCCCTTGGCCACTGTTGACCTCACTTTAGCAAAAAATCCAAATCATGCATACATAATGTACTTAGTGTACCTCCATCACTATAAGGCTGAAACATGTTGCTCAGTGGTTCCTTCCAAAGCATTAGTTGTTTCTTCCTTTATGTTACACAAAAGTGGAGGTTACTAAATGCTACTGCAAGTTCAGAAAATGTGCTTGCCCATGCTATTCACTTAATTAGGTCTGTCTTCTCCTTTCATCTCAAATGTCCTCATTTGTTATGATACATGCATTCTTTTAATAAATACGTCTTTGGTGGGCATTTTACGCCAAACAGTATGTTAGGTGCTGGGAATGCAAGAGGGAATAAAGTACACCAGGACCCTGCTCCTCACAAAGTATTGTGTGCCAGGGAACCCAGATGAGTAAGCAGGAAGTTATAACTCAGTGTAAGACATATTAGAGGAACTACACACGAGGGACCCCAAAGGCTTCGAGGAGAGTAAGACATCTCGGTTTGACCTACTGTGACATAGGCACCAGCCAAGGGAAAGGAAGAAGAGTGGAAGGCCATTCAAGTAATCCAGGGAAAACAACATGTGTGGAGATTCAGGGGCAGGAGAGAGAGCACCACCTGTGCTGTGAAACTGAAAGCAACTGAAAGAGCCACTCATGTTCCAGAGGGCAGTACCAGAAAAGGCTTTCATTGATCACCAGAGTGAATGCTGCTCCCTGACCCACCCCCATGTCGCCTCCATGACATTAACTTGTCTGATTTTTGTCATGCTTCCTGTAATAAGTAGAAGATAATAAGTAGAAGCTCATTATCAAATAAATTTGCGTTCTGTATTTGATCAGTTAATTTTAAATGACATTTAAGCAAGAAAACATAAAATGTGATTTTTTAAAACCCTGAACATTTTATTTCAACTTACTCTTATTTTACCTTATTCTCTAAATATATATTCCTTTATCAGTTAATTGATGTGGAGATAAGACTTTTTGAGAACGAATCCTGCATTAGATTTTGTTTTTTCTTTGTTGTGTAATACACCACCAGCAACTTTCAGTTTAGCTTTTTCTGGAGTAGAGAAAGAACTTAGAGATAATTTTGAGTAATCTGAATGCAGATCTTTACAGTATTTTTCCAAAAATTTTTTTAGGTTTCTTGCTTACACCTGATTTTTTTTTTTTTTTTTTGCTTACACCTGATTTTACAACTCATTTTTAGCACTTCTTAAATTGAATCTTTTCAAGTTTTTCAAATTATCTATTACAGAAACACTTCATTATAAAATTATCTTAATGCATTTTATTTGTTTCAGAGACATGTCTCGCTCTGTCACCCAGGTTGGAGTATAATGGTGCAATCATGGCTCACTGCAGCCTCAAACTTCTGAGCTCAAGCAATCCTTCTCCCTCAGCCTCCCCAATAGCTGGGACTATAGATGAGCACTACCACATCCAGGTAATTAAAATTTTTTTTTTTTAGAAACAAGATCTCACTATTTGTCCAGGCTGGCCTTGAACTCCTGGGCTCAGGTGATCTTCCCTCCCCAGCCTCCCAAAGTGCTGGGATTACAGGTGTGAACCACTGTACCCAGTCTGTCTTAATTCAGTGTTTAATTACGTTATTGTTTCAATTCTTCCTTAAAAAGGATGGTCTCAAATATAAGATCTTACTATATATTTAGAACTTAGAATATTTTCTGATACCTATTAAGTATCAGTAAATATTTTTTGAATGAACAAATAAAAAGACGATGTTAAAAAGAGTAGCAAACTTTGGAGACCTAGCAAGCCAGAATATGGAGTTTGAATATTTTTCTAAGAGCAATAAATGAAATGAACAAATATAATAATTTATAGTATATCTCCCACTAGTGTCTTTTATTGCATTTCAGAGTTCTGTGTCTCAAATTTTGTAGGTAAGTCATATTTCAGGAAGTGAAATTTCGTTGATAATTCATGGTCAGTCGTGTGAACATAATTTTCATTTGTATGACAATTGTGGAAGGTTCACATTCCGGGAACCAGAGATGGGGGTGGTAAGGAAGGGGTAGAAGTGAGAATCTGGGAACAGTTTGATTTGGTGTGGTAGCCATCCTGACACTTTCCACCCCTGAGTACTTATTTTATTTTAAATCTCAAGGGCTCATTCCATTAGTGTTTTGATTTTTTTAAAAGGTGCAGCGTGTTTAACCTGTTCTCCATTTCAGCGATGTTCTCTTTGAGAACACAGAGCCAGCACATTACTTAAAACAGCAAAGTGTCATGATTCAATAGTCATAACTTTTCTTCCTATTAATAATAGTTTCGCCCCTGAATCATACCTACATGTCAATCACATCAATAGACTAGAAAAATGATGTTTGGCAACATTACAAAACACAGGCATCTTGGAGTCTGGTTATTTTCTATTTTGTAAACCTTTAATACTGAGCTAAAATCTATAATAAATCTCAAACATAATCAATAAGGATATATTACATTCTGTTAAAAAATTTAGTGTAAATCTTTCAATCTTTACAAATTTTGACCTTATGGTGGTGTAGACAGATGAATTGTAAATTAGGTGTTTTTAAAACACATATATTTTTAATTAATGCATGATATAATACAACAATAAATACAACCAAGAATAAAATGCTAATTTATATTTTATATTTAGGTATAATCAAGTCAGGTTAAAACAGACACTTGATGTTTCCCACATTGATTCAGCGTTTATATCTCAGATGCAAAAGAATCCAATGAGTAATAATTTACATATATATACATTTTAAACAGTAAAAATAGATGGAATCATATATAGGCTTGCATAGAAGATAGTAGAACACTAGAAAGCAGTTCAATTGTGAAATATAAAATCTTAGGAAATTGATATGCTATTTAAGAAGTAAATTATAGCTCCGTATTTGAGAGTCTCTGTTAGTATACTCCATATGTCCTGTGTTCTTTTATCAGTAACCTTCATATTTTTCAAATTTCATAGGGACTTAAAAAATCCATTCTGGCTTGAAAGCTTTTTATCTCTTTTCTTTTACTGTTAGGGTAGCATCTGGAAGGGGGTTGATTGATCTAGCAGAGGTAGCCAGTGAGTCAGGCTCTGCTAGAGAAAGGGTCACTTGAGAGTCACTTGAGTTTTCACCTTTCTGTTGATGACCTGACTTTCCAGGTATGAACTGCTCTGATTGATACACTTACACAGCAATGTGGAAGAGTGATTATGAATACAGGTTCTGGCATTGAACTAACTGTGTGACCTTGGGCAAGTAATTTAACCTTTCTTTGCCTTGTTTGCTCATCTGTAAAACTGAAATTATACCATTGGGGTTAAAAGACATAATATCTGTAAAGACAAAATGGCGTAGTGCCTGCTACATAGTAACTCTCAAAAAATGTTAGCTATTTGTTATCTGTACACTCCTGAATCCCACTTCCTTCTTTATTCTAATATCATCTTGGGTTTCTTCCTGATTTTGAAAACCTAGATATGGGTTCTGTTGGCTAAATCTCTTTTATTTTATTTTTTTTTGCTTCATTAATTCTGATTTGATAAGGTTACATGATTGTCTCATTATTCCCTTTGCTTTGCCATTTGGCCACGGGCTCCTTGGCTCAAGATGTGGATGAATTCAGCCTCCACAGGAGCTCAGAACTGTCTTCCCCCATTTGATCCCATTGGCCATATTGTCTTCCAGTTGAAGTAACTCCAAATCCTATTATTTATCTTGGACTATCTTACATTCTTTCTCTTTCCATATAAAATATATCTTCAAGTTCAGACAGTTCTTCCTTTATTACACCTTTTGTATCCGTCACTTCCCTTCTGATCCCATTGCTACCACTCTATTCCAGGTTCACATTATTCCACAGGTATATTCTTTCCCTCTTCCTACTCCTCCTGCACACAGATGGTGTAATAATCTCTCCAAAATGCTGCTTTTCACTTGTTACTCTTTACCACTCCCACTACCTCCATCGAAAATCATTGCTTACTGGAGTACGGAAACACTTCACCTGACATTTAAGGTCAGCAATACCCCATCAATTTTATTTCTCATCACTACCCTACTTTCATTTCTTTATCAAATATTTACTTTATGTCAGCTTCCATAACAGGCATTGTAGATATAATGATAACAAATTAGCCACAGTCTCTGTCTTCAGGAAACTTACAGTCTAGCGAAGAGACTTTTTTTTAAAAAAGGCATCTTGATATCATGTGTAGTCCTTTTCCTGTGCTTAACGGACTTTCCCATCTCCATTGGTCCCAGACCTGTTTTCCTTCAAGTCCTCCTAAATGTTTTTTTTTTTTTTTTCCTTCTAGAAGCCTGTTTGAGAGCAGGACTGATGCTGAATTCAGAAAATGTAGCTGCTGATTGCATTCACTTTCATTCTCTAACTCATTTCACTGTCCTTCCCAAAATGACTGGAGAAGAGCACCAAGCATCTCTCTTCACCACTTTTATGATACTCCCTTAAATCTATCAACTTTCCAGAATATCATGGGAGAGAAGGGAAAAGGCACAATAAACAGCTTGATTTCTGAAGGCCCTTTCTGCTTGATTTCCTTGGACTTACTTCTGTTGATTTTAGGTCCTGAGAACATGGGTAAAAGCTCATTATCATTCTCTGACATTTAGCTCAAGTTTCCTTTATGAGTCAAAATAAACTAAAAGTTTAAACAGTTATTGGACCCTGGAACATTTACTGAACATTCTATTATACATAAGAACCTTGCTTGTTTTTATGGGAGAAACCTGAGACGAACAAGAGGGAGTTTCTCACCCCTGCCTCGCTCAAGCTCTACTCATCCTATGCTACTTGCTAATTCCTAAACATACACCCTCTTCATACTCCTGAGCCTTTGCTCATGACGCTTCCTTTTCCTGGAATGTTATTCCTTCTATTCTTTATCTAATAAAATCTTATTCTTAAATGTACAAATCAAAAGCTTCCTTCTCTATGAAGACGTCTGATCACTACCTTCCCAGAGAGGAATAACATTGCTCCCCTTTGTCTTCCCTAAACACTACCATGTCATGAGCACTTCCCTCATTGTGTTATAGTCGGTTGGTTCCCTTCATTTCCCCCTCAGAGATATTTAGGCTTTGTGAAATCATGTCTTATTTATCTTTGTGTTTTCAGGGCTTAACACGGTGCTTGCCACATAAGGAATGCTCAATATTTTTTGTTAGCTTAATTAGAGGAAAGAAAATTATACTCTTATTCCATATAAAATAGAGTAGTTTTAAGACAAATAGAATAAAATACTTAGGTATTCAGAAAATCTTGACTGACTCATAAGAGAAAATGTTTATAATCAGCAAAAAGAAAAAAACACCCATTTACTAAAGACCTACCATGTGTCAAGCCTGCATTAAGTGCTGGCTGTACTACTTAGTAGTCATGTGAATTTAATTTATGCCTCAGTTTTTTTAAATCTAAGAGGGAAATACTGTTGTGTGTGTGTTTCTATTTGTGTGTACATGTATATATCTACAACTACAGCATAGGTACATTAATAGGTACGTTAGAAGAATTAAATGAGATGAAGCATTTAAGGCACTAGTATATTATGAGAATTAAATGAGATGAAGCATTGCCAGACAGAAAGAGATTAAGAGTGACTTCATGATTCGAAATCTCTATAGCTAGCTGGGTAAAAGATAGGGTCAGTGACAAACTCAGAAGCTGGACACAGACCTGGTTTGGGGGATAATGATAGTTTGCTTTTGGACATATTGAGTTTCAGGTGACAGCAGCCTTAAAGTATATGCATCTGAGGGCAGCTGAAGACCCAGGACAAGGGCACAGGATAAATAACAAGTTAGAAGTACAGAAGATGTTCACTCATTCCTTCATTCATTTAACAAATATTTATTGAGTGCTTTCTCCATTCCATCCACTGTGCTAGATGCTGGTGAAAATCTGGCCTAAAATGTTGTACTCATGTAGCAAAGAATCTACTGAGAACTCACTAATCACATTAACAATGACAAACTGTGATAAGTGATATAAAGGAAAGGCTATCACTCTAAAAATCACACTTGAAACTGTCAGCGTGGTTAAGATAGTTAATACAAAGTGCAAAAAAAAGATGTGCAGAAGCTAAGCTTTAAGATATGGTTTGTATTTGAGCAATTGGAAAAGATGATGCAGTCCATAAGACCATGAACATGATAGAGGTGAGTAAGTCAGAGAGGTAGGAGACAGACCAGAGTACAGAAGTACTGTGGAAGCCACGGTGTAAGGTATTTTAAGAAAAGGGAGAATGTCCAACCGTCAAATGATGCAGAGAAGAAGAGTAAGTGAAGATACTGAAATTAACAATCAGGAAGGTACTGAGTATTTTGAAAGTACATTTTCAGAAAAACTATAGAGAAACAATCAACATCCAAGAGATTAAAAAAATGTTGATGGAAATGATGTGGAAGCTTAATGCTCAGATCAACTATTGGTAAAGAAGTCAGCAAAATTAGTAAAATAAATGAAGAATGAAAGTAGTAAGGGACTCTGAGGAGTAGATTTAAGAAACAGGATAGGAAACAAAAGTAGGGCTTATATTTTTGAGATTATCAATGAACCCTTCAAATATTTTATTTTAAAAACATCTATCATCCTAATGGCCCCTCCCCTATTTAAAGTTTTAAAACTTTTGATGTTTAATTTTTACCTGAGCAAATAGCCAAAGACCTCTAAATATGCTGGGTGCAGAATTTTTATTGTCTGCTGCTGTGAGTTTGGACAATATAGGAAATAAAAATGAAAGTTACACATGATATAGGTTCAGGGTTTTTCAATCCCATCGGCCTATAAAACGACTAATATTAAATGATACAACTTTAATATAAGAAAACAGCCACATCTTAATTGCCAGTAAGAAATGAAATTCAGCCACAATAGAACAAAGCATCGCGATAGATTAAACAGCCTCAGTTACCCTCAACTCCTTTGATCTACCCCATTAAATCAGTATTCATCATGTTAACAGTGACCACACAGACAAAAAGCATCAAAATTGGTGTGGTCAACTGAGTCAATACATCTGACCAGTTGTCAGGCAAGTCTACAAACAAGCAGCAAAGTGTGAGTGGTTAAAAGAGGAATTATTCCAAAATAAAATTTGTTAAGTGCTATATTATTTGGCTCAACCCCTGTATCTGACAAAATTTTAAAGGAAAAAAAGCAAAAGGAAGAAAGAAGAAGGAAGGAAGGAAGGAAGGAAGGAAGGAAGGAAGGAAGGAAGGAAGGAAGGAAGGAAGAGAGGGAGAGGGAGGGAGGGGAGGGGAGGGAGGAGGAAGGAAGAGAGGGAGGGAGGGTGGGTCGAGCAACCAAAACACACAAAAAAACCTTTCAAATGTTTTGCAGCCTCCCTCTCAGAGGTGGTATTGCCTGAGCTTAGCGCTTTTGTCAGTAGGAAAAGAAATTTGAGGAGCATTGGTCTCTCCAAGAATTGTTGGACCAGATAGTAGTTGCTATGTCCATTGGGCCACCTCAGAGGGAGGAGGCTTGTGACACAGATATTAACATAAAATTTCTACTTGATGTATCAATCCCCAGTCAAACACTAGAACAATAATTATTTTTAAATTGAAAAATAATTGACATTTTTTCTCCTGCATCATATGTGTCCAAGATTATTTGATTGAGATGTAAAAACTATTTCAGATTCCCAAATGATTCAAGTTTATCCATACACACAAATTGAAATGCAGAAAAAGGGGACTTAGCCAGATAAATCATCCTTGCCATCCCCGTCATCTTTTAGCATAGTGATTTAAAAAAACACAGGTTCTCAAGTCAGACTATCTGAGTTCAAATACCAGCTCTGTCACTTAATTTCTTGGGCAAGCCATTTAAATTCTCTTCCCTAAATTGACCATCTGTAAAATGTGGATAATGATTTTATCTACCTCATAGAGTTGCTGGAACATTAAATGAAATCATTCTTATATAGTACTCAGAGCAGTGCCCTGGAACATAACAAACACTCAAAAATGTGAGCTGATATTACAATAGATAATTATATTGCATTTATTCAACAGTGAACCCATTTTGGAATTATTTTATTGAATTTCTAAGCCTAAATACAGAAACTGAGGTTTCTACCTTTGGGAAGTTTATGTTTGAGGACTGACTACTGATCTTGCATATGGTGGTCTGGGTACTCAATAGAAGCAGTGACTCATTCTCTAATAACGCCCTCATCAGTACAATCCAGCACAGATGACAACACTGACTGGTACTTGGGCAATCATTTTTCTGCCTATATCCCTATCACTGTGAACAGGAATCACACTTTCTCATTATTGTTTCCATGCACATTATCCTTACAACTTCATAAGCTTGTTGAGTTGAGTTTCGAGTGCAAAACTTGTGCAGTTGCACAGAGTCCCACAGTCAAATGGTTTCCATGCTTGGCTTAACACTCTGCTGTGGCTGTCAAGAAATTCTTAGTAACTTTTGCACAACAGAACCTGCATTTTACTTTGCAGTTGGCCCCACAAAATAACTAGCTGGTCCGGTCTGGGACCATGTCTTTTTCATCTCTGTAACTTCAGGAACAGTGCTAAAAGCTTGCCAAACATGAACAAATGAATGAATTAAATACATACATGAATGAATGAATGACACTGAAAACAGTGAACAAGTGCATTTCTTTTTCTCTTAAAGGAACAACAAGGGCCAAGGCACAACCCCATAAAGGAAACAACTTCTAAGCATCTAAGGTTGCCTTGTTGCCAACCTTCCAACTGCACCATGAGTAGGGCATCACCTTACTGGGTTTTAACCATGGTGCTCTCACCAGTGTTAATGGACACTAGAAAAGGGAATTGATGGCAGGCCCGAGCAAGGCCTGAAGTATTCATTTTGATAACTGGATTCAGTCACATTTACTCCTTAAAGGTTATTAGTTATTTTAAATAATTTTGTTAAATGCTTGAGAGGGAAAATGAAGACATATTAATAAACACACAATTATACAGGTTAGAGCAACAATGCAGTGCTGGTCATTCAGGAACCCTGTGCTAATTTTAATTAGCTGCTTTCCCTTGCTTTCAAATGTAATTAAAGGAGCTTAGTTGTGCTCAGTGATGCAAGCCACCTTACTTAATCACTAACATTATTTCCCTGAACTATTAATGATTTTCAAAACGCTTGTTTATGCAGAATTAGAACAGTAATTACCTTACCAGTTAATTTTGTACCTTCACATTTCACACCTAGCTCAAACGTCATTCATTTACCATGGCTTCTCTGTCAAAACAAAGAAATGCTTGTTCTAAATGTGCTTCTGAGTGCCAAATTGAAAGCCAAGTTTTGTAACACTAATAAAGTAGCTCCCAAGTGAAACAGGTGTAGTAATTTAGACCCTTCCTGTCTCGAGCTTGCACGTACATGCTATGTCTTTTCTTTATTAGCTTTAAAATGAGAGCTTGGTGTGCAAAATAAGCTATTTAATTCAGACTTGTGGAGCAGAATATAATCTTTAATTTAAACTAGTGCAGTAAAAAGAGGCCTTTAATTTTAACTGGCATGTGCGTGTGAATTTGAATTAATAATCCAGAAAATTGAAACCGTTTTGCTGCTGTTGCTGGATATTGACTGTTCTTCACATGCCCTTAGTTTCACTCACTCGTTTTCTCTCCGAAACCATGGCTAGTGCTTTTCTTCCCATCTTTTTTTTCCCTTATGATGTAGCTGCTTTATGCAAAGCAGAGCTTTCTGAAAAAGAAAGTCTCAGTTGACTGAACTTCCTTTCCCAAAAAACGCCTTTAATAAAAGAATACTAAATATGTATTAATGTAGTTTACAAAAAGAATATAATTGGTGTGTTCATTATATCTACTTAAGACATAATTCAAGTGTACTCTGAATTTATGCCTGATTGAATCCTGGATGGGAAGACAATCTACCCACATTCCCAGTGACAAAACTTCACTGAATCCAAGTGTACTAATTCCTACTCTGAAGATTATTTCCAAATCGGGAGCAACGTTTTAGGAAATATTGGCAACAACAATTAAACCTATGATGCTACGTTGACTATGATTTGATAGAACTCCTTCATACTCATCCTCAAAGACCTCACATGAAGATTGCTTAGCTGGAGAGCCTCCAGGTATTATGTTAACCCTAACTGAGCTTCCACTTCCCTGCATCCTGGAAACACTGAACATGTGTACCACACAATTAGCTCTTAGCACTATGCATTAATTCCTCCATTAAGGCAGGACATTTTTAATTGACAACACACTTCTTTGTTAAAACTTATTTCCCAGATTTTCAACACCTGGGGGTTAGAGCCATGTCCTTTAGGTAATATTTGCATGTGATTGGGTAAATGTCCAAGATGGAAATTAATACTAAAGACATAAATGTGCAGTGTCAAATAGGTGGGGCTATGGTGCAAAAGTACACTGAACTGAAAGAATGTCAAGAGTATTAGACAATATAAAATGTATATTTTAGAGTAGAGAAAGGAAGGGAATAATTTGGTTAGGATTTGGAGAGTTACTGGTTATATCTGATATGCATTTAGAATAGAAAGGGAAGAGAAAGGGAAAAGCAGAAAAGGCAGGAAAGCTTGGGCAGGCTGGAATATTTGGGCTCAAACAATATCATTGCAATCTCTGAATGGAGTTGTGATGAATACACAGAGCAAAGAAGCTTCACTGGTCATGTCTTCAGCAGGAATAGCCAAGTTCCCCATGAGAGAGAAGAGTGCTGTTCTAGGGTGGTGGGGAAGACCACCCCTAGTGGAGAAGACCATTGATGGAATCCCAAATAGCCCCAGTACCCACCAAGACAAATATAAATAGATGATAGATAAATAGACACCCAGACAAAAATAGATATGCATTTATGTAAATGTCTATACCTTTTTGCTAGTTCATGAAGCTCTTTTAATAGAAGGCAAAGCTTTTCATTAATGAAAGCTTAAAATATAAATCGTTAGAAGGGAATTGTCTATGAAGGTAAGACTCATTCACATCAGAACGCAACAGTCAACATGTGTACATAACAATCCTGTGTGATATCAGCAGGTTGGCTACAGAAAGAAGATATGTGCTGACACAATTTGATGTTGTCCAGAAACTGAATGCCTTTATTCCTGCCTGGTGCATAGTTTGTCATAAAGAAACTCCATTTCCAGCAGATTTATTAATAAAGGTAGAACTGTCAGGTGTGATGGCTCACGGCTATAATCCCAGTGCTTTGTGAGGCTGAGGTGAGAGGTTAGCTTGAGCCCAGCAGTTCAAGATCAGCCTGGACAACATAGTGAGACTCCCATCCCTATAAAAAATAATTTTTAAGAAAAAGTCAGATATGATAATGCACACCTGTATTTCCAGCTACTCAGGAGGCTGAAATGGGAGGATTCTTTGAACCTGGGAGTTCAAGGCTAGAGTGAGTTATGAACATGCCACTGAACTCCAGCCTTGGTGTCAGAATGAGACCCTGTTTTTAAAACATAAAAATATTTTTTGCCCACTTTTTGATGTTTTTTGTTCTTGTAAATTTGTTTAAGTTCCTTGTAGATTCTGGATATTATTAGCCCTTTTTCAGATGGATAGATTGCAAAAATTTTCTCCCATTTTGTATGTTGCCTGTTCACTCTGATGATAGTTTCTTTTGCTGTGCAGAAGCTATTTAGTTTAATTAGATCTCATTTGTCAATTTTGGCTTTTGTTGCCATTGGTTTTTGGTCTTATTAAAGACTTAAGTCTTTAATCCATCTTGAGTTATTTTTTGTATAAGTTATAAGGAAGGGGTCCAGTTTCAGTTTTCTGCATATGGCTAGCCAGTTTTCCCAGCACCATTTATTAAATAGGGAATCCTTTCCCCATTGCTTTTGTCAGGTTTTCTCAAAGGAGACATTTATGAGGCCAAAAAACATATGCAAAAAAGCTCATCATCACTGATCATTAGAGAAATCCAAGTCAAAACCACAATGAGATACCGTCTCACGCCAGTTAGAATGGTGATCATTAAAAAGTCAGGAAACAACAGATGCTGGGGAGGATGTGGAGAAATAGGAACACTTTTACAGTGTTGGTGGGAGTGTAAATGAGTTCAACCATTGTGGAAGACAGTGCGGTGATTCCTCAAGGATCTAGAACCAGAAATACCATTTGACCCAGCAATCTCATTACTGGGTATATACCCAAAGGATTATAAATCACTCCACTATAAAGACACATGCACACACATGTTTATTGCAGCACTATTCACAATAGCAAAGACTTGGAACCAACCCAAAGGCCCATCAATGATAGACTGGATAAAAGAAAACATATATACCATGGAATACTATGCAACCATAAAAAAGGATGAGTTCATGTCCTTTGCAGGGACATGGATGAAGCTGGAAACAATCATTCTCAGCAAACTAACACAGAAACAGAAAACCGAACACCGCATGTTCTCACTTATAAGTGGGAGTTGAAAAATGAGAACACATGGACACAGGGAGGGGAACATCACACAGTGGGGCCTGTCGAGGAGTGGGGGGCTAGGGGAGGGATAGCATTAGGAGAAACACCTAATGTAGATGACGGGTTGATGGGTGCAGCAAACCACCCTGGCACATGTATACCTATGTAACAAACCTGCACGTTCTGTGCATGTATCCCAGAACTTAAGGTATAATAAAAATAAATAAATAAAAATAAAGGTATAACTACAATTATATATAGTCTTGCTTTTATTCCTTGGATTTTGGTCATATCTTCCCAGACTGGGTTATGTCTCCCCAGAAAGGCTGGATTCATGTTGTATACACCTGTCTCCTCTTTAGAGATAAGTACTGTGCTCAGTAAATAAAAACTTGGTAGTATTGATGTATTATTTGTAGCACTGGCTAAAGAAAGCTTAAATTTTACCAGACTTTCCAAGATGCTTAATGCAGCTCTGAGTAAATATCAGCATGGGGATCCCCTTAGTCTGCGTCATGGCTGTCCATTGTACATACAGTTTCACTCAGCAAACATTGACTACATGCTTACCATGTGCCAGGCATTGTGCTAAGCTGTGAGAAAACAAAGATTAGTGATACCCCACCCCTGCCCCTAGTGAGGTAGAAAGACACACCAGCAAATAAATTAAACATGATGTGTTGTGAATCACAGAGGGAAAAAGAACCTCTTAGAATAGACTGTTACCAATTCTCAAAAAGATCTCTAGGGATATTTGTGAAATTTGTATTTTGTTTCATGTTGTGGCTTTATTCCTTACTGTAATATTGTTCTAGAAGACCACTGAGGATTTTTTCAGTTCCAAAATGTTGGCCAAGCTTTCCATAAGTCAAACTGGAATACATTCTACTCTATATCCATTTTCAATTATTAAAATTCTCTTTCTTGACCATGAAAAACAGCTAGTCTTAACTGCATATCTAAATTTTTTAAATTAATTTTAAGACAATAATTAAGTTAATCATTAGCCTTTTCTTCTCTAGAATAAAACATTCAAGTTACAGTAGACTTCCTTCATAAAGGCTATTTCTCAAACTTAATAAATATAATTAATAAGTATAAAGTATACTTTGCTAAGTGTACAACCTTCAAATTACTTTCTATTTTTCTGTATCATTTTTCTTTTATTTCTCTTTATTTTTCTTGCCTGTCTCTCATTTCCTCTAAGCATATGGTCTTATAAGACATTCTGCATAGAATATGAAGGCCAATAAAACCAATCCTTGCCCATAAGGGTCTTAACAGCTCTGTCAGGAAGACAGTGTAAATGATATGTTACTAAACTAACCACAAATAAAGTACTTGGGAGTATAGAGTGAATAAAAATGAAAAATCAGAAAAAGACTGACGGAGGATCGGATAGGTTTAATTTCCACAGAAAGAGGAATTGGGAAAATGCATTCAGGAAAAGAAGCCATATACGCAAGAAACAGAGAGACACAAGAAAGCATTTGGTGTGCTTAGGGAATTCCAAATAATAATTATCATTAGGAAGATGCAGTAGGACATCAAATGATTGTAATGGAAGATAAGGCTGGAAAAGCAAGTGGAAGTCAGAGGTTGGATGCCCTTGCATGCCACGCATTAGTGGTTGGACTCTTCTCTAGGGCAATATAGAACCACTGAGTACTTTTGAGCAGAGGAGGAAAATCAGTGAAGAAAAAAACAAATTAGTCTCCTTGCCTCCTAAAGGTAAAGTGGATAAAGCATGAGCTTTGAAATTAGGAATACCTAGTTAAAATTCTGGCTTTTCCATTCGCTAAATGTTTAATCATGTAAACATTTCTTAAACTCTTTCCCCAGCCTTAGTTTCCTCATTTCTTAGAATGGAATGATAAATTCTTTTTCACTGATATGTTACGAAGTGAAATGCTATACTGTTATACTGTGCCTGGCATAGAGAATATGTTCAAAAATATTGTTCCCCGTATCCCTCCCTACGTTTCCAATCTGCATTCGTGACATCTCTGATTCATTCTGATGCCTCATGGACCCCCTCCCCAACCTACCCGCCCAACCAGTGGACAAATCCTGTTAGTTTTATCTCTGCACTAGCTCTTGTATTTACACTTTTCTTGTCCTTCTGTCTTCTTCTATCCTACTTCAGACTTGCTTGAGCTATTGTTGTGGGCTCCTCCTAGTTCAGGCCACCTCCAGGCCCTCCATCCTCCACTTCACACTACTGACTGGCCGGATTTATCTTCTTATCATCCTTTGCTTGTCCTATCACTGCTCTGGCTAAAATAATACACCCATGGTTCTGAATAGTCTATAGAATTAAGTCCAAGTTTCTTAGTTTCACATTCAGGACTCTATAATATCTGGCCCAACAATACCTTTTTCAATATAGTCCCCATTAATTTCCTATGTTTTAGTCAAATAAAACAATCTGTTTCCTGTACATACCCTGTGGCCTCTTGACTTTGTGCCTTTGCTCATGCCATTTCCCTGCCTGGAATCTCTTGATTCTATCACTATTTTATTCAACTCTGAAGGAAGCTGACTTGCTGAGAAAGAAATTAAGACAAGTTAAAAACAAATTGGGTCTTTGGTGACAACACTGGGCCACTGAATTTAGTAATCCTAGGGCCACCCAACTCCAGGACTTCCTATTAAGTGAGCTAACAAATTTATTTGTGGTTTAAGCCAGTTGGGTTGTTTTGTTTTTAATTAATAATAGTTGAAAGCATTATATATGATAATATGGCCACCCACTTAATGAGCATGTGATTTAGCATAACATAGTAGGAAATAACTTGGAAACAACTATGTATATGTCCCATGAAAATAAAGCTTATTTGCCCGGAGGATTCATACCTCCATACTCTGTATTCTATGAAGTCCATGGGCTTCCTTTTCCTGTACATGGCACAGACTATACCTGCTATAATTTCCAGGCTCACACTTACTGTTCTTGGGCCATTCAAAAGATTTTTTTTTCTCCTGGTATGAAAATCATTTCATAAAACTTTATATGTTCCAACATTGGAGGGAATAGGTAATTACTTTCTTGTCTAAAATTTAGCCTTTTTAAATTCTCTACTTTCCCTGTCAAGGAACATAGACCAAATCTTCAGTGGCTAGGCCAAGGGACAGTGCAGTACCAATAACAGCCCTGCCTCGGAGAGCTTCTTGGGGCATTACCCTAAAATGCTAACATGATCATTTTCTTCACTGTTCTTTTCTTGAAATTTGGAGGACTCAGGCCCCCCAAATTTCTTTTTCCATATTTCCAATCAAGTCCAAAAAATAAGACTTTGATGTCATAGAGCTCCTGTGATGGGCAATCCACTAGGAACCTTTTGATTCGAACACCTCTAATTGTATTACTGGCTGTTTACATCATATCATAGTTATGTGAGTGCATGCCTTATCTTTCTCTTAAATGACAAGATTCTTGAGGGCAGTTTTCTGTTTCATCTTTGTTCCCCAGCAGTTTCCTGAACTAACAGATTTTCAGTCAATAACGAGAGGAATAGAAAGTAGCTGTGTATAGCATAGAATGCATAGGGAGGAGATTCAAGCCAGGACGTCTGCTTAGAGGGCAATGATGAAGACCGAAAGTGAATGCCTACCCTGGGCCAGTGGTGGTGGAAATGGACAGGGAAAGTAGATTTCAGAGATATTACAGTGTTGGTGTTATCAAAGACTGTAATGAAGTGGAGATAGCAGGTTAAGAAAGGAAGAGAAATCAACCTAATTATGAAATGTGAAGCACAGATAGGAAATAACACTAAAAGAAATTAAGGAATGAAAAGTAGAAATAAAAATGGGGAAAATAAACGAGTTTAGTTTTAGTTTCTCGACATTCCTGTTAAAGTTACAGTTCTCTACATTCCTGTGAAATCACCAAGATCAAATATAATATGCTATTAGGTGTTCAACTGATTGGTGGACAAGACCTCCAGGCCTAGGTCTTGAGACAGAGTGCCTTTCCCAATGCTGTCCCCCTTACTGCTGGCCAGTTCCCACAGTCAAGATGATAATAAGCTCCAGGGAGATAGTGGAGCAATGTGATGGAAAAACCTGGCTCTCTGAATGTGGGGCCAACCATGAACCTGGAATGCTCACCTTGAATTATTATATCAGAAGAAAATAAACTTCCATTGTTTCAGGCTACTGGATTATAATTGGGTCTTTTTTAAATGGCATAACTTAACTTACACAAAAACTCTGTTCTACTTGTTTGGAGCTCTTATGATAAGCTTTAAAATGAGTCACTTCTGACCCTAGGGATGAGGAGAGTGCAGTTGCTCTCTAAACTATTTACTCAATAAACTGACATCAAGATATAGAAAAATACAGTAGATCTTAGAGGAATCAGATTAACCATAGAAGTTTGAAATAAAGTTTCCCCCAGCTCTCAGAAGCAGAAAAATCTGAACTGGTCCCAAATATAAAACTTGTTCTTAATATATGTCACATAAGCAAGCTCCTTTTCCCCCTGCCATGGTTGCAAGGAAACCCAGCGATATATCTGTGGTGCTACACTAGCGAACATGCCAGCAAATACATAGGACCACGGATGCATGGTTTGTGAATTCATGGTCGCTGGCTTTCATTACTTTCCTCATATTTTCTCTCTGCTGATTACCTCAAGCATAAATTCTGCCATCCCAAACTGAATAGGATATTTATAAGTCACTTCAAATCATTTCTGGAATGAGATGGTACATAAAATAAAAATAAATACATTTTCAAAAGGACTCCTTTTTTAAAAACTGAAGCTTCATATGCAAAAGCTGTAAAACCCAATGGGACAATATGGGCTATATTCCAAAGGTGATTTCAAACCCATACCATTTGGATAATCGACTTTGTAGCCTGCAATTTTCTGCTTTTTCAAGGCAAGAATATATTTATTAAGCTATTTATAGATTTTAACATATAATTTACTGTTCTAAACACTCATTTCTTGATCTTTGCTCTTTATACCAGACATCCATTTAGTATAGCATATATTATTCAATTGTCATAATAAGAGAAAAAAATGAAAACTCTCTGTTTTAATTTAGTACAGAATTAGGTTTTAGTAACTCCTTTCCTGCTTTTTGGTTATACTATTTATATGTATAAATTAAATAAATCGTTTTCATAAGAGTTTTAGCAAAATTTGAATGGGCTTTTTGTAATGGTTTCCACCTCCTGCAAGTTTAATGATACCATATTGGAAGAATTATATAATCACTGAAAAGATTCCAGAAGGTAGCACAGTAGTCACACTGCACCTATTCAAAAGTGATATGAAAGGTCAATTCCATTTAAGATTTCAAATATACACTCTAATTTTAAAGCTGCCGAATATCTCACATATACTCTTGAACACTTTACACGTAATAGTGGCAGTGTTAGTTTAAGAAAAATGTGTATTTAACTTTACACTAAATATATTTAATATTTAAATATATATTTTAAAAGGTTTAGGAAACTTAAGATGACCAAAAAATGTATTTCCAATATTTCTACAACGCCCAAGATTCATGGCCTCCAGGCAAGTAGGAAGCACATGGCTGGTCTGGCCTGCTCTCACAGCACCCTGATGTGTTTGGTTGATGATTTATTCAAACCCAGTTTCAAACCTGCCATTAGCTCCCTCATTGCTTCAATACAACCAGTCCACCATTCATAATGTCAAGGACTGATACATCGCGACTGGGACTTCTTAGGCCTCCAAACTTGTAGAAATGTCTTATTTTTAGTTGTTAGCATATATCAGACTATAAACAGTATTGTTCCATTCTTTCATACTCTTCCCTTTTTGTAAAATACTTTAGAATATATCTATCCACTTTTAAAGCTAACCTATCAAAGGAAACATACTTGAATAATAAGTAAACATGGCATTTTAGAGATTTGTTTGCTTGTGCTTGACAGTGATGACCCTTAATGCCTCTTAATTAATCACGGGTAAACAGTACTGGCTTTTATAAAAGAAAAATAAATGATAGTATGTACAACTTGACAGGAATAAGTGACCAAGTGACTAAAGTCTTGATGAGATCTTCTAAAACAGATGACATAGACGTGACCACTTACCTTACCTTAGTCTGATAGTTATGAGTCTCCTACATTAAAAAAAAAAGAATTTACCGCAATGGATGAATCTTAAAAGCATAATATTTCAGAAAAAAAATCACAGAAGAATGCATAGAGCATAATTCTATTTATATAAAGTTAAAAAATGGGCATGTTAAAAAAAAGCAAGGAATGTTTAACTAAAAATTAAAAATTCAGGTTATTGGTTACCCAGGAGATGGGAGGCATAGAGAATGACATTTGAAGAGGCACATAAGGGACTTCCTGAATTCCTGTGAAAACTTTGAAAAAACCAATCCCATAAATCAGGAAAAAAAATCTGAGGTTGGTTGGTGGATAGTGGGCAAAAGCTTGTTCCTTTATAATTATTTTGGTAAAAAAGGTTTATTAATATTTGCAGGGCAAAAAGGGTTTATGGTATAATAGCTCAGTTCGAAATGTCAGTCCTGATATTATGAAGGCTCAGAAGTCTTCTCGAGAGAATTTCCTGATGTTTTGCCCATATCATCAGGAATTTCGACAGAGGAATAAAATGGCACTCTATCTTCTGGACAGCTTGGTGTTTGTCTTTGGCTGTCAAGCAAAAAGGGCTGCAATTCCACTCATCTGGAGAAGATTAGAATACTCCACAAAATCAGAGAAAATTGAAAATAGAATAATGGAATGCTGGCCAGTGATTTTTTCCAACTTACTTTGGAAGAGGGCATAGCCCCACCTTGTAGCAAAGGAATTAATGAGCTAAATTCCCAACAGCAGTAAATATTGTAAGATGAAAATATACGTAAGTACTTAAATTTCAAGTCATGAAGCATAAAGGCCAAAGATTACATTACATGGAAATTCTTTATTGAAAGGGGGAAAAGTCCACTTGATACATAAATAGCATTTTATTTTTGATTCTCAAAAACTTTTATAAACTAATCATTTATTCAAATAATCATAAGTGTTAAAATATATGTACCTAGAGGCTGTCAATAAAAAGAAAGTTCCAGTTTAAATTTCAAGTTTAACACTCAGTGGTTTCAATATTTTTCAGATGTTTCTTTAAAATCACATGCACCTGCTCCAAGAAGAGGAGAAGCGGGTGTTTATACTATAATTATCTAGAAACCATTTAACTTCAGGATGAAAATATACATATATATATATAAATATATGCACAGACATATACCAGCACACTATATATACTATACTATTGCATGTATACATATATATATTCAACTAAAAATTTGAATAAAAATATACTTTTTGTTTCATTAGAATTACCCCTTAAAGAAATTTAAAATTAAAATCCTCTTTTAATCCCATGTACTGTGCAATAAGCCTTGTATTACACATTATATCAACGGAACACAGATATTCCCTGAAGAATTGGCTCAGGAAAGTGCTACAACATGGCAGCCTGTCCCATCCCCCTTTGGCTTGGATTCCAATTAAGTCTAACCATGAGGGAAAGACCTTCTGCCAAAAGCGTAACAAAGGGAAAAGACAATGTTAGTCTGGGCCATGGGGAAATTAAAGGCAATAATACAGACTGCTGCTCCTAGAATTGCCCCTCTGATCTAACCTGGGAAATGCTGAAAGGGACTGGTGTGAACAAATCATGTCCTCTTTCTTCCGATTTATTGGTTTATTTCTCTATAACAAACCTTCAGTACATCAGGTTTAGAGTGAAACTGCAGCATACACAGACCAACGAAAGGACAAGGATGAGATCTCTTGGATCCTGTGTTCTTATCTTTGTGTCCCTTTTGATGGCTGTGAAATGTCACCAATCTCTTCACCTCCCAGAGCCTGGTTCACTCCTCTGAGGCCAGGTTTTCACAGCAAGAGACAGGTGGACACCTGGCATTTTGTCTACTCTTTGGACCAGAATGTGGGCAGTTGGTTTGTTGGTGCTTGAATCCTGACATAATGAATAAACAGGATACTGAGTTCTAACCCCACTTCTGCCACCATGTTCAAGATTTTCAAAATGTGGTCCAGGGACCCTGGGGTCTCTGAAATCTTTTCAGGATGTCTCTGAAATCAAAACTCTTTCATAATAACACTAAGGTGTCATTTGCCTTTTTCACTCTTGTTTGCTCACAAGTACACCATGGAGTTTTCTAGTGGCTACATGACATATGATATTATAATAGCTTAAATGCAGAAGCAAATATGGGAATCCAGCTATCTTTCATTCAACTAGCCATTAAAAAGATCGACAAAAAAAGGCAAGACGACACCAGTCTTCTCACTAATACAAACGTATTTTTCATAAAATATGTTATTTTATTTATAAGGTATTTATTACTATTATTTTTAAAGGAATGAATATTTAAAATTATTCTTCAATAACTAATACAATAAACATTGATTGATACAACTCACTTAAACTAAAGTTCACTGGGGTCCGTAGTAATTTTTAGGATTGTAAACTGATTGAGACCAAGGAGTTGAGACCTGCTGGACAAGGTGATTTCTGACCCTTCTCGGCATATAATTCTTTGATATCCTATACATTATCAGATATTATCACTATAGAGAGAAACTTCATAGCATAGCTAAACTCTTCAATTTACCTTGGCCTGTATAAACACAATCTATAAATAAATAATAATATTTTAAAAATTAAACAAAAATTGGTAATTGCCTACACAGTGAACCTATTAGACTCCTAGTCTTCTGAATAGAGTCCACACACAATTAGTTATACCTGAATTACTCTGCATTTTGTGATCTTTATTTCTGAAATATTTATTCTAAATTTTGTACCTAGAACTAGCACCTATCCCAAAGTCAGCCACTTGTGAAATGGCTATCAGAGAAGCTCATGCAGTGACTCTGAGGAAGAATCCTATTCAACAGGGTTATTATACACCAAACACTGAACTAGTCAATCAGATCTTCACCTTGGGGAATTTGATGTGACACGTAGAGAGGTCTATAGAGAGTAGTGGGCCACACACTTTGAAAGACACATAGGCAGTAAACCAAAGCTGTGAAGTAGTAGAAGCCATAGGTAGTAGAAGCTACTATTAAAGAGAAGTCATGATATAGCAGAGAACTAGAGCAGAGAGAAAAGGCATCAGTAAATGCAGTGGGAAGAAAAGCAAAGTGAAAAATAGAGGCAGAAGCAAGGACAAATGAAAACTGCCACACAAAAATGGGATAGTGCTGGAGTTGCTACTGGCCTGCCGGGAAGGTGTTGTGCATAAGGTTTCAGGTCTCCATGAGCTGACTGTTCAATTGTCAGAGTGGGTACCTGTTCTCCTCACGTCCATGCCTCTGTACGATAGCCAAGGCAACAGAGGTGTGTCTATTTCTTTATTTCCCAGGAAGTCTAACACAGCTCCACAGTGTTGGAGTATCTATTAGGAAATTAAAATGTAAAGAAATGAGCAAAGGAAGAGTAGTACATTTGTGTAAAGCAAATACATAAGCAAAACCTTTAGAGAGTTATGTGCATGAGTCCCTTTATATTTTGTATATTGTAAACAAACGCATAATCTTTAAAGAGCTATCGCTTCCCTCCTATTTAAGGACCTCAGAAAATAAAATTGCCGTTTAACAGCAGGAAAGGGAAGAAATGGCCAGCACTGAGCCAGGTGACAGCCAGTTAAAAAAGCAAAAGGTGAAAGAAGTGGGACAAAGGTAATAAAGGGCAAGTGTCATAAGAACTCATAAGAGTTCTATTCTCTGGGAACTTGCAAGAGAGATAAGCTAAGAACAGCAGCTGGGAGCAAAAATCATAATAAACTGAGATGATCAGAGGCCAAAATAGATTAAAAGAACCCAAAATTCCAAAGAACTCCTTTTGTGGTTCCCTAAGAAATAAAATATCTTAGATTTTTAGATGGCTGGTCTGACTCCATTGCTAAAGTATATAGAAAAGTTAGGACACCACAGATTTCACTGGCTTACCATTCATTTACTAACACATTTCTTCACTTACTTGATCTTTCATTTAATATATATTTTTTGCCAGGTTTCAGTTAGGCATAAGGTTGGAGTCCCTACATAGATTACATACTAAAGTAGGAACTCGTTGGGGAATGAGGGAGATGAGAATAGACTTCCAGGCACCATTATGGCTACAAGGACAAAACAGACAGAATCCACACTTCCAAGAGCTGACAATCTAGGAAACAAGATGCTAAGTTCCCAAGGGGCCAAGCAGGTATAATCTACACCTTTAAAAAGTCAGCCATGAGTCTTGGTAAGGGGTAAGGATTACTCCTACCAGTGGGGAGGAGGAAAGTTTTTCATGAAGGAATGTTTTCACTGGGTCTCTAAAGGTGAGTAGTTTGCGGCAGGTGAGGAACTGTACAGAGGGCATGTAACTGGAGGGAGAAGGGAAAAGCAAGCCACAGAGACAGGCACAAATGAGGCCTCCCTGAAGACAGTGAACAGGTGGATGGGCACAAAGTGCACTGAGTACGGAGGGAGATGAGGCCAGAAATGACACATCAGGGGCAGAGCATGAGGGTCCGGATGCTAAGATATATGGTTTCTTCACTTACAAGATAATAGGAAATTGTAAAGGCTTCAGTGTAGAGGAATGACATAAGAATTACCATTTTAGGGGCTTACTGTGTGCTAGTATAATTTTATATAATAATCACAACTTAACAACAAAATAGATCATTTTTATTCCTATTGTACTTAGGAAAAAACTAAGGCTTATGGAGCTCAGAGAGCTTGACCAAGATCACAGAGCAAGTAGCTGACCTGGATTCACAATCAGGACAACTGAACTTAAATACTCACGGTATTAACTGCTAAAAGTGTGATATGGTTTTGTTCTGTGTCCCCACCAAATCTCGTATTGAATTGTAATCCCCAGTGTAGAAGGTGGGGTCTTGGAGGAGGTGATTGGATCATGGGGGTGGGGTTCTCATGAATGGATTAGCACCATGGCCTCAGTGCTGTTCTCCTTGCGCTAGTGAGCTCTCGTGAGATCCGATTGTTTAAAAGTATGTGGCACCTCCCGCCTCTCTTGCTCCTGCTCCGGCCATGTAAGACCCGCCTGCTTCCCCTTTGCCTTATGCCATGATTGTAAGTTTCCTGAGGTCCCTCCGGAAGCAGAAGCTACTATACTTCTTGTACACCTCCAGAACTGTGAGCCAATTAAACCTCTTTTCTTTATAAATTACCCAGTCTCAGGTAATAAGCTAAACTCCACCCTTCTCTCTCTAATATGACCATAAAAATTCAAAAGTCTTATGAAGATTGGATTGGTCAGGAAAAAGGCAAGAGGCAGAGGGACCAGTTAGGAGGTCACCACATGTTTGCAGATGACAGAAAACAAATCTGGTGACCATGGAAAGGGAAGAAAACGGCTCATGTAACATTCATACTGTTGCTGAGTCAGGGTAACAGCTTTTAATCATGGGAATACACAGAGTGGGTAAGGCAGAAGGTAGCTGTTCCTTTGTGTCCATTCCTTACACCCTCAAGTCATATCCCACTTTTAAACCCTTCTCAACCTACCTACAGAACTCAGCATCTGTTAGAAGTCTCCCAAAAATTCAGTTTCATAAACACCATGACCACATATTGGGATCCTTACCAAAGATTTTGTGAAGAAAACAGAAATGGGGATTTTCCTCACATTTACACAGTAGCCAATAGCTTCAAAATCCCCAACAAGATACTTACCTTCTCCCAATCTTCTCTCACCCACACCTACCACAAGATTTATCTCAAATCTCATTTTGCTTTTTCCTTTCTCTCTCTTTATTCTCTCACATAGTACCTCTCTCACTTCTAGAGTTTTTCCCTGAGAATTTAAAATTTATCAGACCTTTATAAGTGAAGCAATATAGTCCTGGATATTACTCCAGCTTTTTCATAGCCAAATCTCTCAAGGCCATGAAACCATAAAAACCCTAGAAGAAAACCTAGGCAATACCTTTCAGGACATAGGCATGGGCAAAGACTTCATGACTAAAACACCAAAAGCAATGGCAACCAAAGCCAAAATTGACAAATGGGATCTAATTAAACTAAAGAGCTTCTGCACAGCAAAAGGGTTCCTTCTAACAGGAACTCTCCACCCTATGAAGGAGTTCAACTGCCATCTTTTGTTTCTCAAGCAACCCTGAGGTGCTCACCACCCATCTCAATTAACTGTTCTAAGCATTTCTCGCAAACATGCGTCAGTTCGGTGTCCCCAAGGGGAATCCTGCTGACAGAAATTTTATTTATATAGTTGCAAAGTTACTAGTACAGGAGCACACAGGACTTCAAGCCTGGATCACTGGGAGGATCACTGTGGCTTCATCAGAAATCCGAAAATAAAGAGCTGGAAACAGGACCAAAATCCTTGAAAGAGGTTAGGGCTGGAAACTTGAATTTGGGGTGCATTCAAGATTGAGTTGACACAGGAAGAGGGAATGAGAAAGAAAAGACAGAGAGAAGAGAAGCCTGAAGGAACTGCATAGGGAAAATGTATGATGATAAGGCAGGTGCAGGAAAAGGAATGTGTGAAGAAGACAGCAAAGCCAGAAGCACAGAATAAGAAAATGAGAAAAAAATTCTGTCCTGGAAGCCAGAGCAGGAGAGATTTCCAGGTTGCTCAGCTGCAGAGGCCAAAAATACAGAAGCCATCTTTGATTCTTCTTTTTCTCTCACACCCCACATCCAATCCATCATCAAATCAGGTTGACTCACCCTTCGAAATGGCTCAGTCTGACCACCCTTCACTCTTGTCATTTCTACCAGCTCAGTCCAGGCCATCTTGCCTAAGATTGCTGCAAAAATCTCTGCTTCCGCTCTGCCTCTAATGTTCGAAACCCAGCATGGCAGTCAGAGTGAGGCTTTTAAAACGTCATGCAGATCACATTAGTTCTCTGCTCAAAAACCCTTCACATGCTCTCAAGTCTTTCAAAGCCAAAGTCCTTACAATTGATAACAACAAGTCCCCCGTGATCTGGCCAGGAACCACTCTGATTTTGTCTCCTACCACTTGCCCGGCTCACTTGCTCCACTCTATCATGGCCTCCTCCTTCTCCTCCTAGAACCTATCAGGCACATTCCTGCATTTGGACCTTTACATCCGCTATCTCCTTTTCCTTGAATTCTCAAGTGAGACATCTAGGGTTCAAAAAGAGGTAAGGTCATATAAGCGCCAGCCCCATAAGTCTTACAATTGATGGTGATTTTAATTAGACAATATGGTTTTTATTTATATGTCAATTCCTTGTGGTCTATATTTTTCCTGTAATGTGTAAGGGCAGAAATTTTTATTTGCTTTATTCATCCATAGATTTCAAGTACCTAGGACAGTGCCTGAATATACTAGGCACTCAATAAATGTTTTTTGAATGAATAAATGAGGATGGTGTGCCCACAAATACCAAATGCTGCAGATAAGTCATATAACTCATAGATTTAAAAGGTATTTAAAAATTCGGGAATAAGATGATCATTATTTCTTTCTAAAAGCACAGGCAAGGTCATAAACCAGTGTAAATGATGAAGTGAAAGCAGGAAACCTGAGAGCCACTTTCTAGAAATTATACAGCAGTGTTTTAAAAAATAAGGTGGCAGGTATTAGTTACCTTTACTTGGAGTTTGTCATGGAAGGAAAGTTGAGAAATAAGACCTTAGCTTGTAGGTCAGGGGCAGATAAATGGTGGGATGGGCTGCCAATGAAGGTTTATAAGGAGAGAGAGACCCACGGTTTGCAGGCAAAAGGTACAGCTCCAGAGAGCACTGAGTTGCTGAAGATGTAAGAAACAAGTAATAATTGGCTCTGTGAGAGGAAAAGTAAAAGAGAGAAGAAGAAAACAAATAAGGTGGAAGAAGAAAAAAAAGACATGGAGCAGTTTAATAAAAAGAGTCACTTGGAAAGATGGTCAGAACAGCCCAGTGGACAATGATAAAATGCTCCTAAAATTATAATCACCTTACATATTAGATCTCACTCCTGTGGTACAGCAGAAAGAACTTCCATTTACGGCAAGGAGGCATTTGAACCAACTAAACTGAATACCAGTTTAAAAAGGAAAAGTTCAAAGGTAAGAGGTAAAAGCAGATGAAAGTCAAATGCTTAATCATCTTAAGACAACTGCAAGAAGATGTCCAACTAGTAAAATAAACAGGCAATCCTTTTAGTTCTTCAAAAAGGGATTGCCAGCTTTTGCAGCTATCAAGATATCCACTAAACATCTAAACTTGAAACTTCAGCTGGAAATTAAACCCACTACTCCATGCTGTGAATGAAGGGCTCTGATCTTAAGAAGGTTGGAAAACAGGGTGGAAAAAAGAGAGAAAGAAAGAGGCAATTTTCATTAGTGTCTGCAGTCAGCTAGAGGGATATTCAAAATCGCATTTCAGATGAAGTATGAGCATGAGCAATATATTCACCTGGTGCTCACAAATCCCAAGGAAAGTTAACTAGCCACTTGGGGATGTAGTTACAGTTTCTCTACTGTAGATGCACTTTGGGAAAAGGGCAATAAGTTGGAAAGAGTTCTGCCAGGAATGAGATTAGTTTATACACTGGTTTCAAGCCCTAGTTTTTCACATATGTGAAAAATGAAACTAGAAACATGTGCTCTGAGGTTGCACCTGATTCATTCCTTGTTTTAAGTCAGACACCTAGAGTGGTGATCAGGCCTGTTGCTTTATAGGAGGATTCACTCAATCTTTCCCCAGAGGGCTTATCAAAGTCCTCATCAATATTTTCCACAAGAGGACAGTGATCCCTTTTCCCAGGATCAGGAAGGATATATGTGACTTTTCCCACTTCTTCTATCCCATGTTAGATCCATCAACACATTTCATCACTTAGTTAACTCAAACCTGCCTCAGTGGAGCACATTTTATTGTTACAGCTTCCAAAAATTCTAAAGAGTAAATTTCCCTTCTATTGTACCAAAAGCCTTTAAAAAAATCAGAACAAGTCTCATATATATCCAAAGTAATCAAACTTTCTTTCCTGGTGTGCTCAAAATCTTTGTTAGCTTGTAGACATTTAAATCCTGTGCAACTCTTTTGTCTTTTAAAGCAAAACCCAGCTAGCTTACATGTCATGAGAAGTAAGCACACATCCTTTTTAGAAAATCCTATTACTATATAAAGTTTCAGCTGAATAGCCACAGGTGCAAGAGGCAGTGTGTCTGAAGTTCTCACTCACATTCTCTTTTATTATTGCCTATTTCAACCAGCATGATCTATAATGAATACATTGGGTTTTGTGCTCTTTCAGAAGTTTCAGCAAGTGTCTCCATGCCTTTACCTTAGTGTTCCTGAGAGAAGGAGAGCCTCGAGGAGGGGTGGAAGAAATTGAAAAATACAAATAACAAATCAAAAATTACAATTGATTGGATAAACAATTTCCCTTCGTCTGTTTCTTAATAAGTGATCGATTTTGTGATCAATATTCATTATTTCTCAGAACATACCAAACTGCTTATTGAACAAATGAATGGTTGAAACTACAATGACACAGAATCAAAAAGGTGAACTAATTTTTTTTAATAACATGGGTTGAACAGACTGTCTCATCTTACCTTGTTGTTCCACATCAATGCACTTTTCTGCATAGCCCTTTGGAAAAACGCTGAAGTTCAGGAAAACAGGAGGTAATTCATTACTCATTAAAAGAAATGGGTTATGGGAACACATGTTTGTAAGTATGACGGCTGAGTTGCAGTTTGTGTTGGACTGTCTTTTGCGTGTTCAAAATAAACCCTCCAAGCTACCAAACCAGGATCCCCCTAAAGGCATTGCCTTTTGAAGTTAGTGTATTCCATGGATGTATACAAAGTTGAGAAGCCCAGAGCATATTTGCTTTCTAGACATACTTTTAATTGAAATTCAGGAAGATGACTAACAGATATTTGGATTGAAATAAGTTAAATCAACTACTCATTTGTCACCATTGTCATTTTGTTTGCTTGTTCTATAACTTCCAAAGCATTTACTTGAATTCAACCAATTCTGATAAACTTACAAGCATCCAGGTTATTCTACTTTGCAGTTTCCTTCATCATCTTGAAATAATGTGGTAACTGATATATTTTTGAATGGCCATCTTCACCCTGATTTTTAGTGGCTTCGATGGTCTCGTGTACATACAAAGAGGGTATGCAGAAATGCAACTGCACTGGCAGCTAGTATTACCGCTAACCTCACCAAATTGATAACACTAATCTGGGAACAAGCTCCAATATTTAGCAGAGGTGGTCAACAGGATCCTGGCTGGATGATGAACATGCAAAGGTGGGCTCTGGCTGTGGCTGCTGGGACTCCCCTGCCCCTTCCAGCCTGTAGAGGAGTGAGGAACCACAATAGCTTGCTTACTTCCTTTTGGGCTCTACTTTCTTGTCCCCCATTGCATAGTCCCATAGTGTCTGTTACAAATGCCTAACTACCTGGCTGTACAAGAAATGCTGGATTGATCAATTATGAAAGCAACAAATGATTAACTAGTTTCTTTTTTTAAAAAACCACATCACTTACTTAAAGTCAGTCATCCAAGGCTTATCCAAACTACTTAGGAAAACCTCATTAAATCAGGCTCCCCTAATTAGAAATTAGATAATTCTGACAGGAGCAAAGCTAAAGTTTACCTTTTTACTGTCTGTAAAAAAATATTTCTGCAAAGCAAAGGAATAACATAAACAAGACAATGATTTTCTAAATTTAAAGTTCCAGGATAGATTCAATATTCTCCTAAGTATCTTGACAGCAAATTGTCAACCTTGAAGGTATCTTCATGCTATATGTAAACCTCCACCTACAGAAAATAAAGCTTTAATTGTAAAACATTCTTATCTATCACTGAAGAAGGTCTCAGTAAAGACTTTACTAGGTAACATAATTGGAGACTAGTTATAATTAAAGCTATTTTAATATATGCATAAGTGTCTCATTTTATACTGCATCATCAGGATTCATACAAGTAAAATTTTCAGACAACTGGGATTTTTATTTTAAGTAGCAATACTAATTTATCTTAATTGGGCAGGTATGACCCAGTGATGAAACATGGACGATCTGAGTCTACTTCTGGCTGCATCTTGGGCAACTTAATGTATTTTTGCCTCCGTTTCTTCATCTGTAAAATGGAAATAATAATGGTAACTCTTCATAATCTTTTTCTGAGGATTCTATGAGATAATGCATTAAAAAGCTCTTAGATAAATGTTTGTTTCATAGTAAATGCTCAATAAGTTCAAATTACTACTATTTAATCCTTTTTGAAAGAACTTAGAAAAAATATTTTGCATAATCATCTGCTTTCTCCAACAGAGTGAAATGAGCATAATTTAACCCATTCTTATTTATTCAAAATCACCATCATGAAAATAACTCTATTATGCTTTAGGGGACCACTTTTGCTTTTATTAGGTCCCATCAAATTATCATACTCATCTCTAATAGTTCTTCATCTCCTTCTTTTCATTGCTGTTCATTATCTGTTATCGGTATGTCCCCGGTGTTTCTCATAAAATGCCTTATTGTATACCCAGTGGTCTACAATATGAGGTTCTGAGAGCAGTGCCATGTTCTCCTATCAAGTATATTATATGTGCTTTTGGGAAGCTGTTTTCCACACAGCTGGGAAGATCTTTGCCATGTTTTCCTGAATTCTAGAGTATAGTCAATGGTCGAATTTGCTAAACCTCTGAGTTCTTCATAAAAACAGTGTTATCATATTTAAAAGTCCTGCATATATGTTTATTTAGAGTTCCACAATCAATAATTTTCACAGAGACTGGCCATCCCCCAGTTAAGAACATTTTATAGAATTCATTTCTCTAAATCACAGATACCTTTAAATTGATAGAAGGCCATTGTACTCAAAGTGGCTTATTTGTATTCTGTAAAAGATGGTAACGTGATAATGTACTGTTTCTCTCCACCACCCACTTTCACCTATGAGTTACAGCAATATAAAAAGTGTACAAGTTTGGGGAGATTTGGGGGTAGAATTCTTCCCCAGTCTTCCATCATCTAGTCTGAAGTCTCTAAAATAAGAATCACATCAGAAAAATGAGATACGGAAAACCGTTAACAGCAAAGTCTCCAAGCATGGTGAGTGAATTCCTCTAATAAGTTTTCATCCATCAGCATCAAACTAAGCACAAATGGAGTACAGGCTTTATCTTACATGTGCCACATTGTGGTGTTTTTCATCTCATGGGGTGTAACATAAGCTGATGTGGCATTCAGGATTTACAGAATATAGATGTATTTTACTTAGCAAGACAGAACATGTTTTCTCCAGAGAAGAATAAATAGATGTTGAAAGACACATGTGCTCTGAAACATCATATTATACAATGTCCATGTTATTCCTCTAAATGTCAGATATAAAGGAACCATGAAGCCAGGGACAGTGGCTCACGTCTGTAATCCTGGCACTTTGGCAGGCTGAGGCGGGAGGATGGCTCGAGGCCAACAGTTCAAGACCAGCCTGGGCAACACGGTAAGACCCCATTTCTACAAAAAAAATTTAAAAGTTAGCTGGGCATGGTAACACATGCCTATAGTCCCACTACTCTGGAGGCTGAGGCTGGAAGATGGCTTGAGCCCGGGACGTTGGGGCTGCAGTGAGCCATGATTACACCACAGCACTCCAGCCTGGGCAACAGAGTAAGACTCTGTCTCTAAAAACAAAATGAAATAAAAGAAACATGATCTTATTGCATTATTCAATGTTGATCACTGGTGATCGTGATCACTTGTGAATGATCATAAAGATGTCAGCCACTGGTAGTGACTCCCTGGGTCTGGTGGTAGCATTTCAGCAGAGAATGATGTGAAGGAAAATAGGAAAAAGTTGAGGGAGAAAGTGATGGCACCATCAGCCCAGAAATTAAAATAATTATGGGGATAAAGTAGAATCCACCTCTTCTGCTGCCAGGCTTAAAATAGCATAAGAGGAAGAAAGCTACCAACTCCAAGCAGCTTTCAGTGAAAAGATTTATAGGTCTTTAAAAATACCGGTTTTCCCACTAACCTGGTGTAGAACATTACTGTAATATGTTTAAACTAAAAAGCTACCTCAATATCTCCCACTGGAAAATGGCATAGCCCAGAAAAGCTACTTGAACACTTAGATTTTAGACATCCAAATGAATGTCAGGCTATATTCATAATCCAGGGTAGCAACCAGCCATCCATGGGATGACACCACCCTTGGATCCCAACCACCTGTGCTTTGACTCAACAACTTGGCCATTGCCAGGGGCCATGTCCTGGCTCCAGCTTGAAGTGTGGCCTTGCCTTGGCCAAGATCTTTCTGTCTGGTGGACCCAGTACACAGCTGTACTCTGGATTAGAAGGAGAAAACAGCAGTGGTGGCTGCATTGCCCTGGACTACAGTTCTGCATTCTCACAAAAGTAGGAAGAAAGAATGTTGTAAAACATGAGAAATTGTGTTTTATTCTCTTAGCTTTCAAGGTTTTTACATTATTTTCTCCATCACCCCTTGAATCCCAGTAATTATCAACCACCACCAAGGGCCAAGGCTATTTACTACATGCGTGTTTTTACCCAATCAAAATCTGTTTTTAATAAAGTTGAATTAAATCACTCTGAGTGACATAATTACTTCAAGTACTTCCATCACCCAAGGAGATTCACATTATAATGGGGATCAAGGCCGTAAAGGCAGTTTTTAATCTGGGATGCAAACGGTGATATACTCAGAGAGAGAAGAAAAATCTTAGCTCTTTTACTCATATGTATTTTTCTTGCACAAAAATTAGAAGGTTCACTGATATTTAATATAGATTTACTCAGCCACTGTTACCCAGCCTGCCTTTTAAGTGGTCATATGTCACATAAGTTACATGAAAGTGACCTGAAAAAAGAACAGGAGTCCACAGTGTAGAAGAGTGGCAGGGTGCCTTCAGGTCGCCAGGCTGCTCACAGTTGACTGGATTTGTGTATTATGCTACCAAGTTATAACTAAACTATACCACACAAAATGAGTAAGAAGATTTCAAAATCTGTGTCCGAAAACTCTTTATTGGCATCATTCATGGGCAAAGAAGTTGAAGCTGGGCCAGGCGCAGTGGCTCACGCCTGTAATCCCAGCACTTTGGGAGGCCAAGGCAGGTGGATCACGAGGTCAGGAGATTAAGACCATCCTGGCTAACATGGTGAAACCCCGTCTCTACTAAAAATACAAAAAATTAGCCGGGTGTGGTGGTGGGTGCCTGTAGTCCCAGCTACTCAGGAGGCTGAGGCAGGAGAATCACTTGAACCCAGGAGGCAGAGGTTGCAGTGAGCTGAGATCTGCCACTGCACTCCAGCCTGGGTAACAGAGCAAGACTCAGGCTCAAAAGAAAAAAAGAAAGAAATTGAAGCTGAAGTGTCAAAGTCCTTTAGGAATAATGACAACCATGACAACCACAAAGCCTTTAAAATATAGTCAAATATTTACCATTGTTGTTAATGAGATAGAGAAGGGCCACAAAGATCTTTTGTATCACAGTGGTTAGGTGTTTATCTCATGAACAAGAAGTAGAAAAATCTTGTGACATTTCAATATAAGTGTGCATTTTCTTTTGCAAAAAGACAAGGGGCATATATTAACTGACTTATGTACTTAATCTGGCCTTTAAGGTTTAACTTAATGTTTTAATCATGGATGAGAAACAGTGTATTTAAAACTAAAACTTGGATTACAGAAAGAATATTTTTAAATTGGTATTAAGAATCATTTCCATTGTAAAAATGATTTTGCTACTAAAGATGATGTGTCTGTCACCACGTCTTCATACTTCCTAACAACTTGAAAACAGAATATTATAACCTGCTTAAAAACCTTCCAGATCAAAATTCTCAGAGGGATTTAAATTCATTTGTTAAAAATACATAATGTATACCTTGTAATTAGTTTGCAAAGACAACTGATTGACACCAGGGAAGATGGGCATTAGCTTTCCAAGGAGCCACACAAATGCCTTATAGTGATGGAGGAGACCCAAATCTGGGTATCACAAATTCGTAAATGTAGCCACAATGCCTTTTTACATGATACCCATATACTTTGATAAAATATTATTTTTTAGCTGTAATAGCCTTTAAAACAAACTTGTAAAATAAACTGAATTTAGACCCAGAAGTAATGTCACAAAAATATTACACCGAGATGAAAAAACAGTTTGAATTATAACTAATCATAGTCATAATAATAATCTTATGAAAGCAAAAGGTTCTGTACCCTTATAAATAAAATATTTTTATTTCAGGTTTGTCTCCTTAAAATATTTGCATATGTTCTATTAGGTATTAACATACTTATGCAATAGTACATAGATAATATATAAATCAATAAATGTGCATATTTGGGGATAAGTACTCAAAAAAGTTTACAGATATGATACATAATTTTAAAACTTTGGACCACTTTTTTTAGGAGGTTTCTTTTTATTTCTTTCTTCTGTTCTTTTAAAAACATTCCTCAGGTGGCATTTCAGATTTTAGAAAATCAATGAAAAGCATGGGCACAGGAAGTTCTTTCCTCTCGCCTCTGAAAGTCGCTCAGAATCCACCTATGCATGAAGCAATCACGTCCTGCCTCACAGCTGAACCAAGTAACTGTGGTGGGGTTAACAGGCATGAGTAAAAATTTCTACACAATTGAGTTAGCCTCAAGTGGGAAAACATGACATTTCTATTTATTCATTTCTTCAAAAAACCTTTCTTGAGTTCCTACAGGCTCTTTCCAGGTGCTGGAGAAACAGAGTTGCTTTAGACTCACTCATTCTTGCAAGAATGAGACCCAGCTTACCTTCCCTTTGCCTACAGAGGGCCCACAAGAACTCCAATTTAGAAATAAGGAAGCCATCTAGCCACTTTGTGAAACAGTTATACAAATTGCATTTGCTGTGTGCCTTTAAATTGCATGGAGCAGAAGTGCACCTGTGATTTTAAAATATTCCTAACAGTGTCCTCTGGATATGCTCCACCTTCAGCTACAAACATTCTGCCGGCGAATGCTATTCCAGTCACTCTATTCCTTCCTCAGCCCTTCTGTTCTTCTGCCCACACGTTTCACGGAACTACCAGAAGCCACCAGGCAGGCAGCTGCCACAGAGCGCCAAGCAAGGATGATGATTTTAACTTCTTGGGGTACACTGTCCAAATGCCAGAAAACACAGGATCAAAGAAAATGAGTCATTCTGACAGTCACACAGTGCAGACAAGAGGGCAAATTCCATTCTGCCCCTGGTTACAGGAAAGGGTAAGCGTTTCAAGGTCTGTTTTGTGTACTTGTGGTTCAGAAACACGTTCCCTGAAAGTATGCTGGCAAAGTTGCTTAGATCTTTCACACAGTCCTGAGGAAGGTACCCCAATTCTTTAAAACAAGCTTTATGTTGCACAACACACTCTCATAAGAGACGAGTTGCATGATTTCCATTTTCTCTCTAGGCTCCTTCTTTCTAACTTCCGAAAAAATTCCCGTATCAGAACCTGATCAAAAGCAATGCAGAAAATAAGGTACATTCTTTAAGTACACACACACAGAAAGAGAGAGAGAGAGTATAAGAAAATGCACCAACCAAATTCATTATCACAGTTACCTCCCAGAGGGTAGGTAGGGCAAAGCCATCAGAGAGGAGTACCCTCTATCAGTAGGTAAGCTTTGTATCTTAAATTGGGGAGGTGGGTAGTACATAACTGTCACAAGTCTTGATATCTTTGGAATTCTTAAATATAGTTTAAGTTAACACTTTTTTGACCTTATTGCCTTCAATTCCCTATAGCATTAACATTCCATATAATGATCTTCTCACTACATAAACACTCAAAGTGAAGAAACTGAGCCCTGGAATCAGATAAATCTAAAGTCAGAAGCAGTTCTGTAACTTACCAGCTGAACAAACTTAGACAATTTCCTTAAACACTCTAAGAATTGGGTTTATTCATCTGAAAAATATGCAAAAATAACAGTATCTACTTCATAGATAATTAGGAGAAATAAATTAGGTCATGTATGCAAAAACTTAGTACTATGCCAAGCATATAGAAAGTACTCAATAAATGTTAGCTATCATCAGTAATTATTTTATGTTTTCTCAATGGCCTATATAATACTCCAACACTCCAATATTGTGGACTGTATTCACTGAACATCCCTTTTCATCTTTACTTTCCCAAGCAATAGGCTAAGTTTAGAGTACTAAGAGATATGAGTCTTGATTAGAGAAAGCCATACCCTTTGAGCCAAATTCCACATTCTCCAGCAGTTTAAGATAAACATCTTCTGTTTCAGAAAATAATCTTTTTGTTCTTCTTAGCTTCAGGAATTGGAAATGGATTGGCTCTGGTGCCAATGCACCAAAAAGAGATTTTTTTTTTTCCCACTATTAGAAAAGGCTTTCATAAGGAATAGTCTCACTATGAGTTAAATGCCCTGAACATATATACTCAGCAAGTGTGGTTTTCTCACAATTCTAGACATGAACATTATGATAATTATATTTACACATCTATAGTTACCACAACCAGGTACTCAGTATCAGGGTCTTTAGCTGTCATAAACCAAAACACTTCCGTAGCATAAAAGACAACTTCTAAGAGTCCCACCTCCAGACAAGACTCCAGCATTTACCAATATTGCCCGGCAGCATAAAATATGATCAGACATTCTTCCTACAGAAAGGTCTCCTGCGAACTACATGTTTTGTTTCCCCAATGCAACCCCAATGTACAATGGGATGCATTCAGTCCATAACTTGCCATCTCTCCAGACATGCTGGCCGTTCTCCATGGATTGAGGATGGCTCTGTGTGAGACCAAAGAGGTAATTTCAGCAGCACCATCAGTCACTTGGCTAGTTGTTATCGGCATTGCTCAGGGAGCCATGAGGGTGGGAGATGATCCAGGAGAGGTTTCAAAGCCTTTGCTAGTAACATAAAGACCACAGCTGCTGCCTGATCAGTGGCCATGGCCAACAAGCACAGCCAAGACGCATTCTATTTTTCACTTGACTTTATTCACTTCTCCAATAGTGGTAAATCTACCCATATTAACTGTGGGAGCTTCACTTTACATACATTTATCTTCAGGATTTGGGTAAATGCTACATTTTCCTTTGGAGTTGCCTCATGCAGGAACCATAAGTGGCTGTGTCTCCCGGTCCCAAGATCTGGCTGATAAATGAAGATGGCAACTCCTTTTGTCTTTTAGGTTGATTATCCCTGATCCTTAAGATAAACTGACTCAATTATTATCATTGACTTTCAGCTCTTAACCACAAGCCACACAAGTCAATCTCAGACTCTGTATTGTGATCAGGTTCTCCTATTTAGTGGCACTTTATCTATCCAGGATTTGGTTCTGGAGAGATTTCTGTTACCAAAAGTGCTAGTTCCTATTTCAGGTCACCATTTGCTGTTTGGTCTATATTTGGCCAATAGCACAAAATCCTGTTTGAATAAATCTGGTGTATCTGCTGTATTTTTTCGTAAGATGTGTACCTGGATAGTTCTAATTTGTTATCTAGTCCTACTAGACATCTAAAAACATACCTCTGTCATTCAGCCCAGCAACCTTCTCTGCTGTGACTATGCTGATGAATAACAAGGAGGAGTCAGTGTCTCCTTCTGAAAGCCAGCATTTCTCTTCATCAAAGCCTGATCTCTATACTGTGCCCCATCTCCCCACTGCCACTCAGTCCCCGCCTAACAAATCCTCCCTTCAAATTCATAGCACTTAGACATCAACATGAATAAGCTCCATGTTCAAAGTCATCTTTACTTGTAACTAGTTTGTATTAAGCATAATGCCCTGAGTCAGGATGTCTTTTAATCATATAAAGACTGAGAACTTAGTCTCAAGGAACTTAAACTTAAAAACAACAATAACAACAACAAAAAAAAAACCAGCTTAGATATGAAGATGTTGATTTCAAGCACATGAAACATAATGTAAGTATTAAAACAAAACATATAGTTCCATCTTTAAACATGTCTTCAGGTTGGTTTTGACATAAAATTCCCATTGCTTTTCTGAGCTTGCCTCAAAATAATTCTGTTTTCTCCGAAAACTCCATACAAGGAAAGATTAGTGTTCGTCTGAGCTCTTGAACTCTTCTGATTCAAGCTTAAGCAGACTGGCATTGTGTATACTATGCATATAAAGTTGTAAGTGTGACAATTCCTTAAAAACTGAATTCAAAAAGAAAGTATGTGAATGAGCCTAGTATAATGGCTAGCAAATAACAATAATAAGCACTCAATACCTCTGAAAGAACAATTCAAATCATTTTGTCATAAATTATGATTTACATTTTTTTCTATAAATGACTATATAAGAGAGAATGAGGTTTTTTCCCTGTACTAACTATGGGAACTCTAGCTCTAAAAAAAAAAAAAAAATTGGAAAATAGGCAGGGATACTTACATACGTATTTCAAGATAAAAACAGAAAAAGTATAGGTGAATCCTACAACAGCCTGTAACTGGGAAACCTATTATCCAAAATTTTTTCCAAGTTTCTGTTGCATTAAGATACCTATTTTCATGAGGTTAAAAAAAAAAATTATTAAGGGACCGGCGCAGTGGTTCACACCTGTAACCTCAACACTTTAGGAGGTCGAGGCGGATGGATAACTTGAGGCCTGGAGTTTGAGACCAGCCTGGCCAACATGCCAAAATCCCATCTCTACTAAAAATTTAAAAAAAAAAAAAATTAGCCGGGCATAGTGGTACATGCCTGTAATCCCAGCCACTCAGGAGGCTGAGATGGGAGGATTGCTGAGCCCATGAGGTCCAGGCTGCAGTGAGCCGTGATGGCACCACTACACCCCAGCCTGGGTGACAGAGTGAGACTCTGTCTCAGAAAAAGAAAAAAAGTCCAAATCACCTTAAAAAACAAAACTGTCAGAAAAGAAAAAATGTAGTTAAGAAATGTGGTTATTCACACAGTTCTTCTCTGGTAGCCATCTTGTTTTCTACCCCAATATATAAGGTCAATAATTCTAAAACAATAAAGAGGGGATGGGGAAACTCCTTACTAACGAAACACTTTAAACGAGCTCCCTAAATACTTTTAACTAGCATTTAATTTATTTTTAATCAGCTGCTTATCATTTATTAAATAAATTCCAAAGGCCCCAGGATTCCACAGCCCTTAGATAGGCTAATCTCCCATTGGGAAGCAACACGTATTAAATAGTTGCTAAACCTTGGTAAATACACTTTTAATAATTAATTCTAGAAGTATTTAACTTGCAGTTATATACCGGATATTTCAGCAATATTGTAATCCATGGGATATTGCCGAGGGATTTCTCAGATTAACACATTTGGGTCCCTGAGTCCCATCTGTATACCTCTATCTGAATTAACAGCAGGTGATTCAACACATGGCTACCAGCTCTGTGTCTGAGTGACCAATGATTTTATTACCATATCAGTGAGATCAAATCAGTGAAATGCATCAGCTGAGGAAATGCTTTGTAAGGGATGAGACAGACGGTGGCTTACAAGTCAACCCGGGTTTTCAAAAATGATAACTACTGAAAAGAAAAATTACTTTTCCTGTTGAGATGTGTAAATATTATGTAGATATTCTAACTCAATCTCTATGATGGATGGCGCTCAATTTTAAACATATTTCAGTAATGCCTTAATTTAATAGAATGGGAGATACACAAGATGTTGAAGGATCAAGGTGAGAATAAATTTTCTTGCACAGATGGTTTAGTCTTGTTCTAAAAATCCATGGGATTCTTATACTTTCCTCTCCATGAAAAAAAAAAAAGGCTTTGCTTTCTTTCCTTTAAAAAGATGTTTTGAGTAACCACTTTGTTAAATTCTGTATATCCAGTCCCATTCCTACTAGCCTTGTGTAACATAACTATAGTTCCTCCCCCCACCAATGTGGAGTAAATTGTTAACACTGAAGTCAGTAGCGACCTTTGTCTTGAGCGGAGCAGTTCACTTCCCCACCCAGGCTGACAGAGACTGCAGATTGACCAGCAGATGGTGCTACAGAGCAGGCAGCAGCCCAGGGCCTAACATCCTGGAGCTCAAGGACTGCATCAAAGACTCTCAAAAGGATCTTTAGTCTTCTGGCTAGTCAGTTATCTCATCGAGTAAGGAACTTGCCATTTCCTGTCTTTTCTCTGCTCCATTCTTTTTCCTCCCTCGTTTCATAAATGTATTTCTTGTACTCTTAAAAACAGCGTGGCCTGTCCATAGCATGACCCTTGAGCTCTTTCCTTCAGGGCACCATGAGATACCTGAATAAACATGGATGGTGACGAAGGCCCTTTCACTCAAAAAGAAGTATACCTTTCCTGCACCAGCTAACACGAAAGCACACACCACGATGATGTTTTAGTAGTGATAAAAATCAAACATTTTCTGGAGCCATTATACTCTAAAATGTTAATGAAGTTTACTTTTTAAAATGTGATCGATAGATGGGGGAAAGTGCCCATAAATTACTAAAGGCAAAAAACATTCTATTAGCATGCAGTGGGTTTCGCAATGTTCGTTGGTCTGTGTTTTACTGGGGGGAAAATTTTTAATCTGCTGAAAGCGTGAGTTCTGTTTTTGTTTTTGTTGTTGTTGTTGTTTTAAAATACCTGTCTTTGTCTTTCATGGTACAAGAGGGATATTTTTAACATGACTCATTTAGGAAATGTAATTCTAATGCAGTATAGCTATAGGTTTCAATTAACGTTCTACCTTTCTGACAGTCTTTACATTACATGTTTTATGAAATCATTAACTATTGTCATGTTTCTATTATGATACTATTAGGAAATAAAGAGACTTATGTAAATGGAGATGTAAAAGAAATGTATGACAGTTACTCCGAGCAACATCTGTGCACTATCATACATGCTCACACTAATTTTCTAAAGATTGTTCCATTCATTATAGAGCATTGTTAGTTGCAGTGGCACAACCCTTATTTCCATGCATTTAGGGAATGAAGCAGAGAGTGGGTAAATGAGAGCCTAATCAATACCACTTTTCATTTTGCATCTAATGTGCTGCCTTTCCCTTTCTTTTCCTCATGCACAAATCCAAAAAAGATCCTGACGTTACAGTCATAAAATGTAATTCTTCTGCAGAAACACAGACAATAATGCTTTCTGTATTCAGGCGTATTGCATATTCTAATGGCATTTGGCTAAATTGAGTATGGATTTAACATCAAAGGCTTCATGAATTTTTCAAATGAGATATTAAAGTCAATATTTCAAGTGAAAGATATTTCAATTTAGTTGCATACACAACAATAAAAAACTTCTACAAGGTAGAGGTACTAGTGGCTGTAGCAGTATTAATTCATTCAAGAAATTATTAGTTTATAAGAAAATCAAACACAAGGTTGTGATATGGCAAAGACTGAATAAATTAGACTAACCGATATGCACCAGTGTACTTTATCTCTTGCAGGCTGAAACAGTACACTTGCCACTGGCATGTTCAGGGCTCCTGGCTGATTTTTTTCTAAACTCTGTTGATTAGCATGAAGATTTGCATTGCCATTTCATAAATCTCCTTATTTTCATTTGTACAAGTGGAAGACTTAGGATACGTGAAAAAAGAGCCATTTTTAACCTTGCACTTAAGTGGATCTTACTTCAAGGTGTCAATACCTAAAGTGGGTCTCCACAATGATGCTAAATGTTGCCTTTCGGGCAGGTTAGAGGATGCTCAGTTTCGGTGTGTGGGAAGGTGCTGTGGCTTGCTGACAGCCATCCACATCATGGCAGATAGCTGAGATTCTGAAACAATACATGTAAGTTTGGATTTCTAGAACACCTCTCCACTGAAGAACTCAAAGCTGATTCACACTCATTGTCTCATCCATCTATCCAAATGCCCAATGAGAAGCAGAATGACAAAGGGTGTTTTCATCCTTATTTCACAGATAACAGACAAACAGAAGGCACAAAACCCAAAAATGACTTGCTTTCCTGCTGGCCTGTGACCCTTTGAGGAAGGCCCCTATAAAAAGGGAGGCACTAAAACTGGAACTAGAACTGCCTCTTCTGCTTTCCAGTCCAGTCTTAAACACTGAACTGATGCCCCTTTTTTTCATCCATGATGACAACAGGTTGGTCTGTTTGGGTTTGTATTAGCTTTTTGGCTTTGCTCTGTAGACATATAGAAAGACATTAGCCTGAATTTTCTGCAGAATAGTCCTCATCTTACTTCTTTGTTTTGACTATTGCAACATAACAGTGCCTTTTATCCAGTATTTTCAAGCCCTGATCAGTTTAATCATGGATTAACCCACAACCTCAGATAGACAATCTATTAATTCACAAATACTTTATGTAATAAACAGTAAAACAACTCACATATGTACCCGCCAACGTGGAAGCAATGACCACTTCTGGACAATAACATGCCGCCTACCCAGCTAACCTGTAGGCAGAAACCCTCACCTATAGTTCATAGCTAAGCCAGACACTGAACAATGCAAACGCACTCAGCTCTGCGTCGTGCCTATTAACTCGTCTGCTACCAGTGCATTATTTAAACCAGTGTCATTGTCAGAATCCCTCACTTTACTGAGGCTCTTAAAAGAAACGGCATTTTAAAGGCCCAACAACCCTGAAATACATGAAGATTTCACACAATTGGAAGGACGATTGCCCATCTTTAAAATAGGAGAAATCCTAATTTCATAAATACTCTGTAATGAGGAAGATGCACGCACACACCAAATGTTTTTTCTTTAACGAGAGAAAAATATTAGACTCGTTACTTCTTGGAATTTCAAAGGATGTGAAGTCCCCTGAGAGGGTGTTTTTCATTGACCCATCACACACGTACGCACAAAATACTCACTTCACCTGGTTACGTTAATAGCAACTCCAATGGCAGGACTTATTTTGCAACTGGATTGCGAGAAGATATTTTTCAGTATATCCATACCCACCCCGAAGAACAACAACAAAAAGCCTCCAGAACTGAAAATTGTTTCTTTGCTTCATTACATCTAAATGATCAGACTCATTCCAGTCTCAATTCTCAAACTTCCCTCCCTCTTTTTATTCCTCTTTCTTTTTAAGGGACCCTATTATAGGGAGGAAAAGCAAAATGGAACAAAGCTACAATTCAATGCTCATTTTAAGGTTTTCAGTTATAACAGTGCTCCTGGGCACGACTATTATATATTGGCTTCTTTGGGAACTGTTGATCTTTTGAGGTTTATCATTTCTTTATATAAACTGTAAAAGGGAGCTTTGTGAAGAACAAGACTTTGTCTCTAACTAAGGTCTATATTAAAACTCAGCCCAGGCCATGACTGGAAATGGAGCTTGTGGACTAAAACTATTCCCTCACTGGCCCCTGCCCACATCATAAAACCAGTAAGCTATTTGGCATAGAAGAAAAGAGATGGGAAAGCGTGAGAACTAAAAGCCGGCCGACCACGTACCTAAGAGCCATGAATATAAACACAGAAGGAAGGGTTAGCTAAGCTCTAGAAGGCGGCAAGGGGAACATCAGAGGTTTATGTGATATTCAGCGTTCATATTCCTAAAAGAAAGTGCACATTTTAAAATTTTCACTGCACATCTGTGCATTGCTACATTTTTAAGGGCCTGCTAGGACTGGAATTACAGGAGATTTGAAGCTCACGACCGAGTAGCTCTGGCAAAGCTGCATGGGGGAGGAAGGCTACTGAAAATCATGGGGGGAAAGGTAGAGCCTCTGCCAAAGAGGAGCATTAAAAAAGGGTTCTAGCCGAGGAAACTGTCAGCTTTATATATGGGAACTGGAAATGGAAAAATTGGTAGTGCCATTGAACCTGAACAGCAGCTGTGAAATCAGAATTTACTCCCTAATCTGAATTAACTAATCAAAACCAGGTCACTCCTCTTCCTTCTCTCCACTACCCACCGCATCGCCCCTGGGTTATTTTTCATGACCAATCGCATTCTGCAGCAAAATAAATAAAGAGCAACAAAAACAGAAATAGTAAAGGTCAATGTGTCCCCACAAGACCCAATGCACTTGAGATTTATCAATGGAGCAAAGAACATAGATTTTTCACCTTTTGTCTTTTCATCTTTGTGGTACATACACTCAGTAAAAAAGAGGAAGGTTACATCCTCACCATCAATGTACTCAAATAGAAGCCAAGAATGATCTTTAAACGATGACTGCTGAAATCTAAGCACCAAAGAAAGCTAAAAGGTAAGGACTACATAAAGCAAAACAACCACTGTGCTAGTAATTTTTTTAAATTCAGATTCTCAGCTAATTTTATACACAAGCACTTTTTGATCAAGCAGAAGCATTTAATAAAATTGTACTGGTCAATTATCCAAATACATTAAAGGGTGTACACTAGCCAAAGCACAATTTGAAGCTCTTATTAACTCGTGATTATCTTCACTGATCCACATTACCATTCAGTTGCAGATGTTACTGACATTAAGATGTATGATGCAGAGGCTGGAGAAAGAGCCCATTTAAGACAGGTGAATACTTAATAGTAATTCAACATACGCGGCACAAAATGTCTTTCACACGAGTTCAAGGATTTTCCCTTTTTTCTCCTTGCAATTTTATATGAATGTTTATAAATAACATGAGAAATGAAACTTCATTTGGTAGCCATTTGATAGCTCAGCTTTAATGGCCATTTAAAACTTTGCAATATATCATTTTAGGCTTCTTTCTCATCTGGCTTTATTTTTATTTATTTATTTATTTATTTATTATTTATTTTTATCTTCATCTCTAAATCATTATCAAAGCCTCATATTTTAAGTATGCAGATAAAATTTATCTGACATGGAGCAGTTGTTTATCTTTCAGTTTTAGTAACCCCATAGCTGAAACTGTAATAGTTAACTGACTGCCCACTGGATGCAGAGCAGACCCCCCCCTTTTTTTTTTTTTTGACATGGAGTCTTGGTCTGTCACCCAGGCTAGAGTGCAGTGGCACCATCTGTGCTCACTGCAAGCTCCCCCTCCTGGGTTCATGCCATTCTCCTGCCTCAGCCTCCTGAGTAGCTGGGACTGCAGGCGCCCACCACCACGCCTGGCTAATTTTTTGTATATTTAGTAGAGACGGGGTTTCACCGTGTTAGCCAGGATGGCCTCGATCTCCTGACCTCGTGATCCACCCGCCTCGGCCTCCCACAGGGCTGGGATTACAGAGCAGACCCCTTTTAAGCCCTCTTTTTGTTATCCAGCCTTCTAGTATTACAGAAAGACTCACTGCCTTCAACCCCACCACACGCCCTACGTCTCATTAGCCAGCCCATTGATCTATTCTATATGTTTCTTAGGTGCAAAAAAGCGCTTTTTGAACAGAGGAATATTATAAGACATACAATTAAGCAGATGATTTCCTAGTATAGTTCATGGATCAGTCAATAGCATATTAGGGGCACTTTCTTGATTTTTAAGAAAGAGAACCTAGATATTCCAGTAAGAAGTAAAGAGGTTAAAAGTGAAAAGATTCATGGGGAAGCACATCAACACCATTGGAAAATTTTGAGTATGATTCAAGCCATCAAGTCAATCTCCCTCTCACTGACTTTCAAATGCAAATGCCAATTGGTTACTAATTTTATATATAGATTATATTCACACAAACTCTTAAGTAGTTAAAAAAATTGCAAAAGCAACAAAGATTTTCTTAGCAACCCTATCCTTTCTGTACAGTTCTGATCTTTAAATATCCATCTTGGATAAACCTGTGCCACACTGCAGCTGGTCAGAACCTTTTACTTCAAAATCCAGCCAAAATAATGTTTCCCCCAATTCAACTTATTCTCTATACTTGCTATTTTCTTTGAATTTCCTCCATTCTATATTTCAATCCATCCCCCAATCTTGCTCTCCGGAGGATTGATTTGAAGTAAACTATTAATGGCCAATAATGGCAGAATATATGCCATCCCCCAGATGCTATTTCTTTTTCAACAATTCTCATTACCCAAAAGAATAGGTAATGGGAGATTACACATATAACTGGGCCAGTGAGAAGTATATTTTGTCTGAGGAAGTTTTTTCCAATCATATAGCATAAACATCTACTTGTTCTGCATAAGCATAACTGATCCTGTAAACATACACATATGTGTATTCATAGTTTTCTTTCCCGTATTTGGAAATATATGTGTGTTGCTAGTTATTATTGTATATAAACAGAAATTTTACAGTTTTTAGGGGAATCTATATAATAAAATAGCTGCACATTCAAGCCTGGAGTTTCCAATATTCTCCTTTGTTCTATCAGACAAAATAGATAATAAAGAGTGACTTTTCCTCAGGTCAAGAAAAATGAGTCTCAAGTGGTCTGAGTTGTCTTGAGCCAGTAATTTTCATACTATGTTAAGAGGAGCTACAAGTTTCCTTTGAGGTTTCCATGGAGAGGAAACTTGGGGAAAACAACATACAAAGTTTGAATTAGAGGGTGGTTCTGTCCTTCTGACCTCCTTCTTCAGCCAAAGCACCTCTACTTTTATTGATTTTATGTAAAAGGAGTCTGTGAATGATTTTGCCTGAAGACAGGCTTCCTCTGCTTAAAAGCACAGTATTGTCCTCTTTCTAGGAAGAATGGTACTGGGAGAACAAAGACTTTTCTCTGTGAGCCAAAGGGAAAACCCCAAAGTTGAGGTCTTTAGCAAGTTTCTCTATCCTGGCTAAAGGTTCTGCTGGGATCTTTTGAACACCAGGCCCAATCTGACTTTGTCTCTTTCTAGGCTCCTTAGAAGCACACATAGAGGTTGTACAACAGCAAAGGTTTTCAACAGGACTCATCCTCAGAACCTTTCTTGACAATACAAGTAAATATATAAATGAATAACTTATGATTATTTGGCTCCCCAAAGGAACAGAATTCCTAGTGGATAACATCTAATTTGCCCACTTAGCAGACAGGAAGCTTTGTTTGTTATAAGTCAGTGAGTTAGGATGTAAGCTAAGAATAATCTTTGCAAAAATATCACTAGAGGATTGTCCTTAGTCCAAATCATTACACCTGGAGCTACGAAGTGTTACTCTAACCATAATTTCCCACACCAGCAGAATTAGACATGCACTTTACCACTCTGCCAGGGGACACCATAACATACCTTACAGGCTCCTTTCCTACTAGACATCCTACTCAATAGATGGTCATATAAATAGAGTTGGGGTCAAGTGAACAGAGTACCACAAACTTATGGTAAGTTCTTTCTCACTGCAAGTGTTATCTCATAGTGTATGATCCATCATCACTTCAATGCACACTTTGGTTCCTCATGGAAGACTTGTTAACCTAATCACTTACTAAACTCTGAGAGTGAGGGTGAAAAAGACAATGAAAACACAAATAATAGCAATGAGGATAAAATAATAATAAATTTGCTCCCACTTTGTCAGACACTGAGAAATTTCCATTTTGCAAAGATTTCACACTTCCTACATCTCTGTACAACATATGGTATGTTCTAGTGGAAGTTAATTAAAGTTCATGTTTGACTGTTGATTCATCCTTATTTCAGAGGACAGTAACAAGAAAAGGTGCTCACACAAGTCTGGAACTACCAGTGGAACCAGTTAGTCCTTCAGTCAAATGTGTATGCAATCAATTAAATTCCAACTGTAAAATTGTATTAAAAGTACAGAAAGAAAAAGCTGCCAGTAGGTCACTGAACAGTGTGTGTTTGATGAAATACTTTCTCTGGTTGCATATTTGAGAAAACCCATTATCTCCTTCCCTAGCAAAAGAAGACAAGGCTCTAGAACATTAAGAACATAGTGTTTTCCTTGTGAAGGTGGTTATGTGGTACAGGAGGGGCTCCTTGTCACCAGGTTGCTGTATCACCACCAAAATAATGTTCTTGTGGAATAGCATAGTGCTTAAAATACAGTAATTACTGTTACAGTATGTGCACAGCAACGTAAGAACCGCATCTAGAGCTATACGTGGTACCGAGAGTTGAGAAACAGCTGTAATTTTGGCTTTAAATATGTTTACGAGCATTCTGAATGGTTTAATCTTGCTGTGCAGCATATGATTTTAATTTTCTTTATGGATATAGGGGGCAATGAAATGCTGACTTTTGATATAATAATCTTTCAGGTTTAGGAGGAACTATAGGAGGCCAGTCAGTCCCCAAGCCTGCCCTCTTAAATCTCTACTTATAAAGTTCTCAGTGATAGATGTAAGCTTAAAAAAAAATTATACCTCACATTATATAGTATGTCTTTTATCTTTGATTTGAATGAACCCTTTCAGTTGACTACTCAGGCTTGCAAAATCAGGGAAAACCTGTAAAATGGAGGCACATATCTTATTTACAAAATAATGACTCCTTTCTTTGGAACAGAATAGAGTATTCCAAAGAAAATTCAATTTCATTATTTACTATATACAAAACTTAAGGAATAGTCATCTTTATATTGAAACTTATATGTAAACATACTTCAAAGCAAGTGCTAAATTGGTCATTTCTTAGGAATTGCTAAAGCAGATTTGCTTACAATAAAAAAAGAAAAACGTTTGAATTGGCTCTAGTTATTGTAAGTTAATTGATCCTACTTTGATTTGTTTCATTTAAAAAAACACATCTCAGACCAGTTAGTAGTTGAAAGATTAGTGATAGAGAAGAAATGGATCCTACAAAAAAAGATGCACTTAATGAAAAATAAATGATGTCATTTCCCTCAAATGATTTCTAGTATGACAGACTTATAAATATCCATTTGACTAAAACTAGAGAAAACAAACTTTGATAAACAAGTCTTACTTGCAAGGTGTGGACTCAGGTAGGTAATTTCATCTGCTCCTTAAAAATATTTTTTCTGCATCATAATCTTTCTAGAAATGTCTTGTTTTGTCACCAAGGTACAAAGTTACTTCTCAAATTTAAAAAATGCTTTTGTCAATCAAATATTTCTACCAGCTTCTATTCACATCAACAAAGTATAGCAAATGACACGCTAAAATCCCAGGAACGTAATAACAATTAAGTTCCAAGTAGTTATTGGCCAATCTATTGTGATTTTTAAAAAATGCTTGCAACATATAAGCCATTGTATGACAGGCTTGACCAGTTTCTAGACTTCCTTAGATGTCAGTGTAGCAGGTGCAAGCCTGGGTTAACTAAACTTCATTTTATTTTCTCCTAGCTCATAACTAGACTATATTTTCAAGCCTCCTTCCAACTAAGCTGAAGTCATTGGACTGAGTTCTGTCTGATAAAATATGGTTGAAGTTATATGTGAAACTTCAGACTTTCACATCCTCCTTCATTTCCCACACACTGGCTGAATATAGAAGGGAATGAAGCTCCAGAAGATGATAGGGCCACATGACCGAGTAATCCTAGTCCTGACTGACTGCATGGAACCAAGACATTAGGGAGAAATCTGTTTTTATTATGTGAAACTACTGAGATTTTGACTAATGTAAGCAGGGACATTGTTGTGTCTCCTATAAGTTAGGTTTCAACTGAAAACCACAATAATAATAGAAAGCCCAGTTTTTTTTAAGACCCCCTCAGAGAAGTAGTGAATACTTTAATTTAAAAACATTTATTTAGCACCTAGTCCAGGCACCACACAGAGTTAAAAGGTTCAGGCTCTTCTCTCAGGATGTTCATTGTCCAATGGTAAGGGGGATAAAGTTCCTGAGATGAAAATACAAAATGGTAGAAATATTTAACTATGGGGCACTAGACATGGACATACGAGAGACTTAACCCAGGCTGAATGGCTTATTGAGGGCTCCTCCACATGGTGGCAATAATTCCAATGGAAGGATTAGTGTAGGGGGAAGCACATGAGAAATGGAGCCACAAGCAACAATGGAGGTGCCTGAAAATACGCTATGCTCTATGTGATACTGTGAGAGACTCATCTTCAAAGAATTTACTGTCTAGTGAAATTACAGCATAGCAGGAGTCAAATCCCAGGTTCCATCAGTGTGCTTCATGACAGAAATATCTGTTTTGCTCCATTTAAACATATAAACCCTCTGCAGGAAGAAAAAACCTACACACACTTCCCTCCCCCCACACCCAGATGATACACTCCAACACACACACACACACACACACACACACACAGAGAGAGGACCAAAGAAGCATCATTTTGATTCTGCATGAATGTGACAAGTTTGGCCAATTCCCTGAAAGTGACGAAGATGAGGAAGTCTTTCTAGTCTTCAGTTTTGGAAGAAACATCTTTATGGTCTGGCTGTATGACAACTAAATCTTTTTGTGTTTTCTGAGAATATTAAACACATAGTTTCTATTCTCTTAAAAGTCAGACTAATATTTGTGTGCAATTATCACATATAGATATTGCACAAATATCACATATAGATATTGTATCATTCTTGGAGCCTCATGTGTGTGATGTTCAGATACTCTGATTAATCAATACAAGTGCAATGCATGCTGTACTATAATGGGATGGTATTTTTAAATTATTTTTTGTTTGGATGGGAGATGCTACTTTTCATTTATGCATGCTCTTTTGACCAGAAGATGAGGGTCAAAATGATGATGAACATAATGAGCAGAATGATACAGTTCCATTACTTGGACTTGGGGAAATATGCAGAAAGAAGGCATTTAAAAAAGTGAAAAAAGCTACCTGTATTAGGAATGCTAGCAGATAAAAGTGGTCAAGGTAACATAAATAACTAGACATTATGTTACAAGACTTCAGTTACTAGCTTTAGGAAATATACAAGCTTTGGGCAAAAGCAACCAATAAAATGTATTCCAGCCAATACTACGTTGGATGTGTACAGAATCTTTCATAAAACTTTGGAAATCATGGAAGATAGCAGAGAAGACAGTAACACCCCAGGAGACAATCAGACGCCTGGCATATTATCTTCAAGCCACCCGCAGTGTTTCTCATCTAAATCTTTCTTTAAAATAGAAAGGCCTAGACTACTCTGATCATGTAATGAGGCTTAAATATTATTTTGAGTAACACAAAGACCACATTTCTATAAAAACATAAAAGAAAGGATTCTTGACATTAAGAATATGCTTAGGAATCTCAGTTTGAATCTTGCCTACATTTGGTTTTAAGCCTCTGAAAGCAGAAGATGTCATGGTAGAATGGAATGTTTACTTACAAGTGCCATCTTGTACAAACAATAGATAATATGAAAACAGAAAAGCAAAAAGATCAGACTTAAAACCAAGGTGAGGATCCTTTGGACCACAGAAAGAACACAAATGCAAAGCTGTGTGCTGAGGTGAAGCTGTACGCCTACTAAGTTTCAAGTATGGTAGCAGCAGTGGAGTTTAGGAGCCCTACTCCTGGGGTGGGAGGGGGCTGTAAATGGGAATTAAAGTGTTCAAATGAGACTAAGCGTAGGGGTGAAGAAGGTGTGAGAAAGGAAACCAGAGCTTGGCTTACTGCTTAAAGTCAGGAAGTGAAACTAGCTAGTCTTCCCTATAAAGATAGCTTAAAGCAAAACAAAACTAGCACAAATATATTGCTAGCCACCATGGCCAATAACTGAATTAGGCCAGTTATTGGTTCAGTGGATACATCTGTGAGATCCTTAATATTGCTGAAGAACAGAAGCACAGAAACCACAAGAGAAGACTTGGGTAAGAATGGGGATAGAGGTTAAATTCACATGGGTGGCAGGCAGCAGTCACTCACAAACACACACACACACACACACACACACACACACACACATATAAAGGGGTGCACATAGAAGGAAAAAGAAAAAAGTTAAAACACAGCAAAAAAATAGCAATAAGGCAATAAGAATTCCCACTCACAATAAGTTGTAAAATCAAAATTACAAAGCACATTAAGAAATACAGTGCAACTAAAGGTTGCTAACAAAATAAATATTTGGCATATTAATTAAGCTAAAGGAATTAATTTGATGGAGCCATGTGACAAAAACTTTCATATTCATATATTGAGACTCTTCAATATTCAGTGAGATAAATGAAGAAATAACACCTATTTAAAGTGAACAATAAGTTATTTTTTGAAAGATACTAAACAAAAATAGATGGTTACGGAAAAAAACAGTTAAGATTCTGGAAAGTGGGAGATATTTGATTTTAAAAAATATTAATAGCATGACAAATCCTAGACTAAAAATGGTTGAAGAAAGAAGTAGAAAATTGGAAAAAAGAACTGAGGACTTTACCCAGAATTAATCATACAGAGGCAAAGAGGGTATTTTTTAACAGTTTTGTTTTGTCTTTCTACATAAAATATCAGATACAAGAAATAAAGAACAGATTGACAAGAGTCAATTTACATCTACTAAGTGCTGCAGAAAGTGGAAAAAAAATGAAAAAAGAAAAGATGAAGTATTACTTGAAGAAATAATGAGTTTTCCAGAACTGAAGAAATGAGTAAATAGACTTGAGTACTGTGGGCATTCAGTAGCATAAATAGGGATAAATCTAGGCCAAGAGGCATCTTAACAAAACTGTAGAATACTGAAGAAGTGAGGGGGGGAAAAAGGAAATTTAAAGCTAACAGGAAGAGAGAAAAAAAGAGATGACCATGACAATTATACTGATAACTGACTCATCAGCAGTAATAATAAATGCCAGAAAGGAATGAACGAATATTTTGAAAGTACTGAGGGAAAATTACTGTCAGTTTAGCAGGTTTTATACAACTAAGCTATTTTTCAGGAAAGAGGGCAAAATTTAAGCATTTTTTTTACATATAAAAACAAAGGGAATTTACCACTCATATGCCTTTGCTAATAGATTTATTAAAGAATGTATTTCAGGAAAACAACAAATTAACATAAAAGGAAGTCGTGGAATTAAGGAACAAGGATGAAGCCAGAAATTGACATATGTTAATAAATGAATTAATGACTATCTGTGAAAGCAATATTTTGTGCGCACACATTTAAAATAAAGCAAGGCAAAAACTGCCAAAATAACAATGATTGTTGTGTGTCCATTTGGGGTGGGGATAGGAATGCAGAATGGCTGGTTAAAGCAGTCTAAGATCAGTGGTGTTCTTAAATGAGCTCACAAAAGCAGCTTTTTAGAAATTTTGCAAACCAGTTATCAAACACAGCCATTATTTAAATATTCAAGTATATCAATTTAGAACTAAATAAATTATATTAGAAGCAAAAGTAATAAATAAGCAAAACCCATTACTTTCCAGTTATTTTGCTTCATTTAGCTATTTCCTATGTTCTTGAGGTTAATCTCTGTCTGTGATATCTGGAACACTTAGGATGATGCCCTATTGAGCATCACTTCCCAACTTTACATACATTGACATCACATTTATAGCTTGGAATCAGTCATGGTAGGAATATTTACACCAGGGAAATCAGTAAATGCTACAAATCAGGACTTTTTTCCTTCTCTAGAAAGCTGGTAGCTAAACATTTACCAGAACAACAGTGGCTAAGGCTGATACATTTTTTAAGAGAAAGCTAGAAATACTAAATAATTTTATACTTTTTAATGTTACATATATTTTAAAAATTAAGGACAACTGCTGAAGGAATGGATGAATTAACTAATCAATGGATGAAAGAAAGAAAGAGAGAAAAAGAAAGAAAGAAAGAAAGAAAGAAAGAAAGAAAGAAAGGAAGAAAGAGAAAGAAAGAAAAAGAAAGAAAGAAAGGAGAAAAGATAGGAAAAAATACAAAGAAAGAAGGGTGGAATAACTTGAGAATTAGATAAACACAAAAGGTAATAAAGGAAGGGAAACAGAAAACACAAAGAGAAATCTAAAATATGATTATAGAAATAAACCAAAACATTACAGGATTCATAATACATGAAAAATGGAAAGAGAATATCACAGTAGACTGAAAAAAACAATAGCACTGCATTGCTTACTAGATATATCTAAACCCAGTATAACCAACCCAAACAGAATGATTAAAAATAAAGGAATTGAAAAATATTATCAGAAAAATACAAGTTAACACAGAAGGAAGTCACAGGAATTAAGGAACAATAGTGATACTAGAAATCAAAATAAAGCTGGTATATCTATACTTTTTGGAATCATAAAATATACATAGCGACATGTCAACATTTGATCAAGCTGATTGTTATCTTGTTTTATTGCTCTCTAGAATTTTCTATATGGTAGTATCATTTCCTGATACAAATACTTTTCAAAAGAAAGTACATTTGATCAAGGAAGCCAGGTGTTTTACAATAAATTTCCAGCTATGCCATTGATTTTGCTACCTCTATAGCCTTCAAGTAGCACCTCTAGAAAATGATAATTTTGGATTTTCAGTGGTTCATACACCTGCTACATCAGGATAATTGTCACATTCAGGCGAGGCCTAGATTAGAATTGGACACGGCTGTCTATTTTTAAAAGCTCACCTGTCACAACCAAGAAAGATACCTGGATTTGGAGACCACTGACTGATTAGCTCTCATTTCAAAAGAAACTTTGGCTGTGATTTTTCATAATCCTGGAAACAAACTATTAATAATCTTTACTCTTCCTTTTATTGGGAAAAGATCTAAAAAGTAAACCAAATCACAGGCTAAAAGTCTTGGGATTTACATATATTAGCAATAAAAGCAGAGCAAAATAATTATTTGTTGTAAATAATACTTTAAAAGCTTTCACATTTAATGGCAGAGGTGTTTAATCCAAAGTTGATAAGAGTTCAGAGAGTCCACAGAACCCCCTAAACTCTGTGCAATTGTATGTGTCTGTATGCATTTTCAGGAGGACAAAGTCATTCGCTTGAATTTAGATGATTACACAAGTTTGTAATTCTAAATAGATTAGAAACCACTGACTTAAGAAAATGACCAAAAGAAACTAAAAATTCTAGAAAGAACCTCTCCCAAACCTTGTAGCATTTCAGTGTTATGTTACACGACATGACCAGAGGTTGCTCTGTGTGTAGGACTGAGGTCAGTGCTCACTCAATAATAGGCAGTGACAGGATCGAGGAGAGGTAATTTATAATGAAATGCCCTGAGACCTCTGAAGTGGCGTGAATGGAAGAGGGGGTCCTTATGATGTGGCCTTTAAGCAAGCATTGTGTAAAAAAGGACTGTAGACCAGAAGACTATTGTAGGAGGCTGAAAACTAGGTTCCAGACTTCTCTTGCCCCATAATGAGAAGTGTCCTTAGGCAAGTTGCTTGGCCTCTCTTCATGAGCAAAATGAGAGGATCATGTAGGTGACTTAAAAATTCCTTCTTGTTCTAGATTCTAAAATTCTACCAGAAGCAGTGCTCTCCCCTCCAAAACAGAAGATAAGCCAACATCTCATCCCAAACACAAATCTAGACAAAATCTAGAAAATCCAGTGATGGATCTGAGATGGAAAAATCAGTTTTAGAAGAAAAAAAGGATGAACTTTGCTAATCCAATAATCCATACATTAATTCCACGAAAAACTAGCACAATACACTAGATTCCCCTGAGTGCATAATTGAGTTTCAGCAAGCAGATAAAGCCCATTAGAATGACTGAAAGCAAAGGCTGTTATTCTCCATTCAAGGTGTTCTCATTTCTCTTGAAAGTTTAAAATCAACAAATTAGATAAGCTTGGGCAGACTGCAACTCACTGGCAGTCAGCCCAAACCACCATTTGTCCCAGAAGTCCAAGAGTCAAGACATAATCATATGAAGTTGATGCCCACCAGATCCCTGGAGTTGTGACTCCATTAGTCTTTAGCTGACCCCAGCTATTAGTATTTACTATTTCCAAAGTCTCTCTATTTAATCCTATGGTTTCCAAATTGTGTGCTAAGGCACCATGGAATACTGCAGCAAATTCACAGAGCCCATGGATATTTTACATTTTTAAGGGTAGCACACAGCCACATTTCTCAAATATCCCATGAACTAACAGCAAGGTAGTTCTTGGTCTCAACATCAGGTCTTGCTACATTCCTTTTCAACAGCATTGTACCTCTGTAAAGGTAGGCTTTTAATGATAGAAAACAAGTAACACAAAAAATTATTTGTGGAATACGAAATGGAGGAGGCATTATCCAATCTGATTCTAAGGTTTTAGAAGTTGTGAGATGCTGAATTGTTATGCACATCCCAGCAGTAATTGTGGCTATTTCAAAATAAAAATATGATTCTGCCTTTCAGCTTCTTTGTATTTTTTTTCCAAATGTTATGTTAAGGACATAAACACTAAGTTGTTTGGACCCTCCTACTTAATAAACAGGACAGTTAGATATTTCCTTTGGCCTGGGTATTAAAAAAATCACAGAGACACCAAGATTCATGAGAATGTTTGGGGACCACTGATTTAGTCTTAATGTGTTCCAAAACAGAATAGAAAACAAGCCATACGTTCTATGTTGTATGGCATATATTTGTTCTTGTATTATATAATAGGAGGAGGAGGAGGAGGAGACAAGGAGGAGGAGAAGAAGGGATAAGAATAAGAGGAAGAAGGAGGAGGAGGAGGAATAGCAGTACTGATAATAACGGTCATTAACTGAGTACTTACTAAGTGCCATACTTTGTGCTAAATACTTTATCTAACTTAATCTCTTTCAATCCCATGACTATTTATCTAGCTTGTATGCTATTATATGTATTGAAATCCTCTGCTTTGGTTAGTAAACAGTTGTTACTCCAACTCCTCAAAGACTCTTCCTCTCCTCTGGCAGTCCTCACTCTTTCCCAGGTACTCCCTGGACTAGCTCAAAATACAGCAACTAATGCAGCCCAGAGGGACCTCCATGACCCTGATGCAGCCCCATGACTGGCACCCACTATGACTGATCAGTGCCTGAGCCTTCCAGCTGTTACATATTCAGTATTCACTTGTGTTGATTCCTCAGAGCAACACTGTGAGGAAGGCACTTTTATCCCCAAATTTAGATGTCAATCTTGAATCCAGTTCTATGTGACTCCCAAGTCCATGTTCTTCACCAACATGTGTAGGTAAGTAGGTAATTAAGCTCAATCTATTTAGAATTGTCCCATGATTTCAATGCGTGCCTCACCCAATGGGCCTACAGACCAGTGCCTGGAATCCCTTGGACCTGCAACTGATTCATATTTTATTTGATTTGAGGACAAATCTTAAACTTGAGGGGCTCTTTCCTCTGAAGTTTTTAATTAGCTGACATCAACTTTTTAACCTGGAAGCACACTCTATTATTCTATAGAATTTTAAAAATCCACCAAATTATATATTCTGCAAGACCAAATGGCAGTAGTTCAAATCCCGTAGCCCGTAATCAATGGAATCATGTTAGCAGCAGGCTTTGTCTTCAATGGCTGCTCCCATAATCTGTCATATGTTTATTAAGTGTTGCTGGGGAAATGGCCCTTTCCTAACCCCATGGCACCCACTGTCTCAGGACATTTTCAATGTTACCAGAAGAAACCTGGGAATTTTATTTTCTTTTTTTTTTTAAACTTCTGATTTCACATAAGATTATAGCTTCTCCAGAAGACTTCATATCTACGGGTAGCAAATCACATCTAGAATTGCTTCTTCTTGCAGAATGAGAACTGTATCCCCATCTCATTCAGATTGGTGGGAGAAAGAGTTGTCAGCTGCAATTTCTATATTAAATAAAGAGAAGAGGAAATCCCCTCCTCAACCATAAAGTTCTTTGTCTTTTAACTATAGGATAAGGTTTCCTCCCTCTCTGATTCTATAATTTCATCAGAATGGCCCACGAGTGCTCTTATTGAGTAATCCCATGAGATGATTATTATTATTATTTTGAGACAGAGTCTCACTCTGTCACCAGGATGGAGTACAGTGGCATGATCTCAGCTCACTGCAACCTCCACCTCCTAGGTTCAAGCAATTCTCCTGCTTCAGCCTCCCAAGTAGCTGGGACTACAGGCGCACGCCACCACACCTGGCTCTTTTTTTTTTTTTTTTTTGTATGTTAGTGGAGACGGGGTTTCACCATGATGGCCAGGATGGTCTCCATCTCCTGACCTCATGATCCACCTGCCATGGCCTCCCAAAGTGCTGGGATTACAGACGTGAGCCACTGCACCCAGTCATGAGATTCTTAATGGAACAAAAGCAGCCATCACCTCTCATTCTCAGGGGAAGGTCTTCGCTGTTGCATTTGTACTTGTTCTCACCTATCCTGAAACCACCCTTCCACTCTGATAACATGACTCAGGTTTATTCAGTAAAACTGAAGTGATTACAAAAATGATCACAGTATAACAGCATCCGGCTTGATTTTGTGTGAATAAGCTACTATCTGAAAATAAAATGCCCTTCACTTTTCCAGGCACTATTAAGTAAATTTCCTCTTTCAGTGCTCTAATCAGCAACCTAGAAAAACATATTCATCTCCTATGGGTAATGATTTGCTCCCACCGAATAGTTTAATTACTCCAGCTCACCAAAGGTTCAGGTCCACTGTAATTAGAACACCATAAACTTCAACTGGGTATAACAAGGACAGTCATTTTTATCTTTACTCTGCCCTATTTTTACAAGTCTGGAAAGTAAGTTTTCAAAACTCTAAGAACCAGATATTCAGACAAAAGAAAACTGCTTAATGTAATCAGAAAAGCCTCCTTGGAGTAAGATAAACTTGGAAGGCAGTTTGGTTGTTTGATATAAAATTTAGTGTCTAAAGCTAGGAATGAACTGATACCTTCATTTAGGTAAAGTACAACACAAGTACAAATTAGGATTAGAATAAAATAAACATTCAGATCATCAGTTTAGAACCAACAGGCACTAAGCTCCAGCTTCCTCGGTTTAAAGTTAAAATAAATTAAGGTTGGTGAAAGTTCTCAACCAAAGTCACATAGCTAGTTAATGGCCAAGCCAAATTAGAACCCAAGTCTCTTGCATCTCAGTTTCTCATTATTTCCCATACACTATATGGCTTTACTAATCATCTAAAAAAAAGAGCTATGCTTTTTCTTTGTAATTTTACCTTTTGTATATTCCCTTTTAATATAAATACAAACATCCAGTTTCACTCAAAACCAACTAAACATTTTCTATGTGCAAGATATTCTGTAAGACACTAACAAGGGGCTGTAAAGTTGACAAAGATTTGTCTTCTGCCCTCAAGGAACATATAATCTAACAGGAATCTAACAGTATGATCCTATTTGAGCAAAATAGATATCCAAGCTTATTCTACATAAGTATCTACATTTTTTAGCAAGTTTTTCAAACAGAAATGGATTCTTTTTAAGATTTGACAGTTTTCAGCAGTCTATAATAATTCCTGATGTGTAACATTATTTTTGGACAGATCTTGTGCTTGGACCTAAGCAGTGTTCTTTTCCATTGTAAATTGAGAAGTCAATTTACAGGAGCCACACCTGAATGAATTCCTAATGACCTATGTTAACTATTGTGAATTTGCCTTAAGTAGTGTGATTAACCTCTCCTGGAGAAGTTCTTTTTCTAAATATAGAGCAGTTAGTTTAAGGAGAAGCCCCTTGGATACTGAAGTTCTCCCTGAGTCAGAAAGGATAGAATGAAGAGGATGCATAGAAGTCACCTAGAGAAACTCTACAGAAATAGACCCCATCATTTTAATGGGATCTGGAATAATTCTGTATTCTACCTGCAATGGAACCCCTGCAAAGGGGTTTGTAGGTAGAGATGGGAAATTAAGAGCTCCCATTGATAATGAAGGCCTCCACCCATCTTTTTTGTTCTCATTTATAGATAGAAACCATATCAGGAAGAAGACAGACAAAATCATCATAAGTCAAAGGAGGAATATGTGTATTTTTAATTCCATTTTAGCTTATTTAAAATTCATTAGGAGTAGCAATCCAATGTTTCACACAATCTGTAATATATTAAGTGCCCTATGTCTAGTAGGAATCAAAGAGTAACAGAAGTAATTAAGGACAATGATATTTATGCTGACCCCTTCATAGGAGAATATTTAGATATTGAAGTTTAAGAAGGTGAATATCAAGACCATACAATGTCAGCAGTTCTTTCAAAATCACATGGGCTGAGAGTATGAGGATGGTCAGCATGGAGCTCAGCCTTCTTATTTGTGACCTTCGGATGACGTGTCAAGACATGATTGTGCCATTTGGGACTTACAGTTCAACAACTCTCAGACTCCATGTGTGGCCTGAAAACATCTGGCAGAAAATTGCAACTCCTCTGGACCATATTGTCTAATGCTGGGTAGCACAGTCAGTGTCTGAAATTAGGCCAGGACCAATGTCACAATGGTGCTTTATTTTCTGTGTAACCAACTCAGTGCAGCTGTTTTTCTTTTCCACCTAGGTTTCTCATGTCAGGAAAGCCTCTGAAGGAGCGAGTCCCATCTTGCTCATACAAAGTAGAAGACTGGAGTCAGACATTCAATCATGTGGTGCACATTCATTGAGCACCTACAATTGGCAGGTGTAGTGCAGGGCACTGAGGAAGCAGAATAAAAGACCCATCCAGCTCTTCTTCCACTCACAGTAGTTTGCAATGATCCCACATGCAGGATTCCAGGACAGATCTTGTTCCAAATATTCGGTTCCATTGTCAGACAACGTGTCCTGACTTTTAATTCATAGAATAACATCACTACATAATTCTTAAAGCACTGGTAAATTCGGAGCTGCTGAGATTTCAGCATGTGGCGTACAGGACATAGAAAACTGAAGTAGGGAGGAATCCTGGTACCTTTAAAGATAAGGTGGCATGGAATTCAAAGGCCTTGGCGATCAAAGGCAACTATGAGTCATGAGATTTCAGATGACATTAAATAAACTCCTTTATGCCTGTTGGACTAAATAACTTAGGAAACATGTAATAGGTCCCTATCATTGTACAACTCCAGGGATGCTGTTCATACCATAGTCTAAATCAATGACACTTCCAAAGTTGTGCTCTGCACAGCATGTATGGTTCTTTGTGATAGCTCTGCACAGATGCAAATAATACATTATGAAAGATCAGCCACCTTTGGGCCAACACCCTTTCCTTGCTACATCTAATGTTCATTAAGCTTTTCTCACTATCCCAGTATCACTACCCAATATCACTCAGTATGATGTAGGATATAAGGATCCTTATTCCTCTTGTCTTATATCATAGGACCAAGATGCTTTTAATGAGAAATCCCAGCACTGTTGGAGCACTGCTATGTGCCAGACACTTTCCTAAGTGCTTCATTTTTATTAATCCTCAAAACAACCCCGTAAGGTAATTACTTTAATATCTCCATTTTAAAACAGAGATTTACCTAAGGTGACATAGCTAGTGAGAAAAGCCTGAACTCAAAACCAAGTCACTCTGATTCAAAGTCTGGCTTCAAAACCCCTACCCTGGCCGGGCACGGTGGCTCACGCCCATAATCCCAGCACTTTGGGAGGTTGAGACAGGTGGATCACGAGGTCAGGAGATCGAGACCATCCTGGCTAACATGGTGAAACCCCGTCTCTACTAAAAATACAAAAAAAATAGCCAGGCGTGGTGGTGGGTGCCTGTAGTCCCAGCTACTTAGGAGGCTGAGGCAGGAGAATGGCCTGAATCTGGAAGGCGGAGCTTGCAGTGAGCCGAGATCGCGCCACTGCACTCCAGCCTGGGTGATGGAGGGAGACTCCGCCTCAGAAAAACAAAACAAACAAACAAACAAAAAACCCTACCCTATACTGCCTCCTGTTTCTTATCCATTCAGTGATTTGGTCATTAGTAAATATTAATTGTGTGCCTACTATGCACCAGGTACGGCTCTTCAGTGAATAAGGCCGAAGTCTCTGTCCTTCAAGATATTACATTAAACAGAGAAGACAGAAAATAAACCAGAAAAATAAATACTTTCAAAAAAGATAATTTCAAACAGTGGTAAGTTCTGTGAACATAACAAAATAAGATGATAAAATCCCAAGGGACTGGCATGGCACAAAGCCTACTTCACAAAGGTGTTCAGCAAAGGACAATTGAGAGCTCAGTGAAAATAAGGAGCCAGGCATGCACAAATCTGGAAGAAAATATTTCAAAAGCTCAAAGGTCATGGGGCAGGAACAACATTGGCATGTTTGAGAAAAAGCAAGAAGGCCATGTGGTCATAACATGTGAGCAAAAGAAAGAGTAGAAAAAGGTGAGGTAAGCAAGATAGGAACAGATTGTGAGGGTGTCTTAGGTCCTAGTAGAGTATTTGGATATTTTTCTAAATACAATGGAAAGTTATTGGAAAGTTTTAAGCAGAAGATTTATATGATCTGACATTAAATATAAAAACGTCATCTGGTCTCTGTATGAAATGAACTACATAGGTAGACAAGCAGGATAACAGGGAATCAATTAGGAGACTCTTGTAGCCAAAGTAAGAGAGAATGAGGATTTGATTCAGGATGTAATGGGGAGGGGATAAGAAGTAGCCCGACTCCAGTAATCTAACTGTCAAAAGTTGGGGATGGATTGGATGTGGAAGGTGAGGGTAAAAGAGGAACTAATCTCCTGGGTTTTGCCCTGAGCAATTAGATGGAGATGGTGCCTTTTGTTAAGTCACAGAAGAGTGAGAAAATCTCAGGTTTGGATAGATGTTTGGGAAAACAATAATTTTTGATCCTATTGATTTTGAGATACCTTTCAGACATTGAAGTGGCAATGCTGAACAGATACCTGGAATTCAGAGGGACACCAAGGGCTACAGATTTAAATTTCGGAGTTGTCAATGTAGAGATTTGGAAGTCATAAAAGTCGAGATTTAAATTTGGGTGAATCAATGCATTCAGAAACATAGGACTAGATTAATTCCTTTAGGGCTATACCAAAGACAAAGTTGAAATAGAGAAGATTAGGGATAAGGCCCTGGGGAGCGCCAACTTTGAGAAACAGAGCCAAGGGACAGAAGAGATACAATCAGTGGACAGGAGAAAACCAGTTGTGATGCCCTTGATAGTCATTTTTCTTACCTTTAAAATAGGAGAAAAAATACCAGCCAAAACTACCACCCTGGGAGAACTATAAGGTCACATGACACACTGTGGGTTCAAGAAAGGGACTGTAACTTAAGAAAAGGGAACATATTCAGAGAATAACTTTTTTAAAAAATTAAGCTCATCTCAGCCATGTGCTAAATTTATGAATTGAAGCGAGTCACTTTTCTTCTCATTTGCAGTTTATAAGTCTGTAAAATAACAGTGTCCTCACAGCACTTTTTTCTATAAATCAAATGAAGTAAGATATGCTAAGCACTTAGGTTGACCAGCTTATAGTAGGTACTTAAAACACAGTGCTCAGCGATGCCTTGTTGGCATCATGGTCTAGTAGAAAGAGCCTGAACTTTCGCCTTGAATAGACTCTTGGCTCTGCCAATTCACTGGTATTGTGACCTATGCAACGTTATTGAATCTCCCTGCATCTATTTATTTCCTTACCTATAAAATAGGGAAAATAATAACTATCACTTGGTGGTATAGTGAGGATTCAAATGACAGATACAAAGTTCCTAGTAAACAGAAACCACTTAATAATATATACCTTTTATTATATTTATAACCATTATTGCCTAAGCTGCATAGCTAGAGCATGGCACAGCTCAGAGCTCAGGTACCAAATTCCAGTGTTTGGACTCTACATTCCGTGCTCTTCCCACCAGATCCTGTTACTCAATAGCACTCTCCAAGCAGCGTGTTTCTCATTTTTAATGAAATGAATAATACTTTCTTTGAATTCCAGCGTCCCCTCTTCTCCCCTACCATAAGTCCACAATCATGAACATCTATGATCTAATGGTTTTACAATGCCTTGGCACTCAAAATAGCTGCCCTGGGAGGTAAAAAACAACCTCTTGGTTTCTCCACCAGGATTGTAAAGGTGAATAGCAAAAACCTTTTCTTTGAGGTCCCTGAGTAGTTAGCTAGCAGGAATGAAGAGAGGGCTGAATTCCATATTTACCTACGATGGGGTTGTGCTTTCATACGCACTCAACATATATTTTAGGATTAAAAAAATAGGAGCCCTCGGATGCGAAATTATTTGCATATTTGTCCCATCTCTGTTTTGGCATTAAAAATTGGTGAGGAAAGAATGGTTACTAAGAATAAATATTATAATTACCTTTAGTAAAAATTCTTTGAGATCCTCAGATGAAAGATGTTTATAGGATATTATAGGATAGGCTATGATTCTTCCATGATTAGCTATATCCTATTCTAACAGTACTTAGTAAAGTGTGTGAATAACATTACTAACCATGGATATTGTATTTTATATTTACATTTTCAGGGTTTTATTGCTATGTGAATATTATTCAAATAGTTTTCTCTAGCCAAGTTCTGTGTGTTTACTTTGAATAACAGACCTTCACTTGAAACAAATACTATTAAAATGGCTCCCACACAAGGAAATAAAAAGAATTGAGATGAAGTTGACTGGTTATACACATATACACTGAGCATGAAATGAAACATGAGGAAGAAATATAAAGCTTTTGAAGGAGATAAACTAGAGTTTGAGTGGTTTATGTAATAAAATGAGGAATCAGAAACAAATTCTCCATGAATTAAACTAGGCTACATTTGTGTTCTTACTGGAGCCTAAATTCACGCAGTAGGCACTATGAATGATTCCAAAAGATGTAATTTTCACCCTCAAGGTGTTTACAGGCTAGCCTAGAAAGATAACACACACACACACCCCTCACAAAACGATATAGGAAAATGGTGCAAATAATATAGAAAATAATAGTTAGCTTAATGTTACCTCTGTAATCGAGGCCAGAAAGCAATCTACATATATGAATATCTACACAAATACTTGAATTGAGTGTGTGTCAGGACATTTGATTTATTTATTTTTTCAAACTAACATCCAGGTCATCGGGAAGTTTTGCTGCCTGTGTAAAGCATTCTGATCAATGTAAGGTCATCATTGTACCTACCGGCCTCTTTGTCCTGTTATCCTGATGTGATACACTAAGTAGTGGACAAACTTTCAAGGATCCCTGCTGCTCAGACAAGCCAATTGAATAGGCCACAGCAGATTTGCTGCAGGAAATGCTTGAGTCTCTTTAGGTTCATGCATACACCACCAAATAACCTAAGAGGAAGATATTCCTTTGGAAATCCCAGTATCCTAGAGGAACTATCAGAATTTTAGAATCAATAGTTTAACAGCCAATTAATGTGACTGCCAAGGTCCCCTGAAGGGGAGTGATGGGGCAGTGCACCAAATTCTCAGGGAGGTGAGGCAGCTGATAACACAGCTGAGATGGGAAAGGAAGAGCTCTGGGTCTGTGCAAGAAAAGCCAGGTGAACCTGTGTTCTCCATACCACACTGACAGCAGGACTGTGAATGACCAGTCACTTTCCAGTCTTCAATGGAAAGTCTTGCACAGGTGCGCCCATCAATTTTGGAATGTTTTGTATTAGAGCTACTCCACAGAGAAAACAGTTTCCTGCACCATGGCCCTTGGACATCAGCTACGTACCTCTTTATAATATTACTATCCCCTTTCTCTCCATCATAGTTTTGTGCAATCACCAATGTTCAGTCCTAGTCCCAACTCCTCTGTAAAACTATCTCCTTCTCTTTCTTCTCTGGCTTCCAGTAACACTCCCTGTGCCACATTAAATTCTTATTTAATATTCGATATTGCAATTTAAATGCTTCCTTGAATTTACCTTATTCTTTTATATAGAATGGTACACTTTTCTAAAACATGGACTGTATTTCATACTTCTGTTTATTTCTTAGCATGATCCTTTGCATTTCATCTTTTAGATTTCTTTATGCCATCTGTTAACTGAACAATGAATAGTTATTGAATTGAAGCTGTCACATATTGAGTCTTTAATGAGTAATGCATATAGTCTTTCACATCAAAACCAGGACTGAGGGCACCTGTGTCAAGCTTTTCAAGCAGCAGCAATCATGACATAAGGCAACACAAAAACCATAGTGGAAGACATTGACAAACATCTTTGGGTATCTTCTAAGTACCCAGTAAAAGCTAGGCATTGGGGATAAAATGTGATATAAGCCTTTTACTCCAAAGCACTAGGTTCTTGGAGGTACTATGGTTTTGATTTCTAAAGTCAATATATGTCTGTCCTCATATAGTCTCTGAAATGTGTTAAAATACATGATTACAAAACAGTCATAAATACACACACTGAAACTACTCTGGGTACTTCCATAAAACCAGAGCAATATCATCTGGCCACCCACACTGGTAAATTGCCTCAGATGATTCTGTACATGTGTAGACGCTCTATGCCCAAGACTTTATCATTTCAAAGGAACAAATGAAAACTGATAGGCACCAAAGATAGCCCAGTCTTTTCTGTTGGCCCTGTTTGTTGATTGTTGATGATGTACTACAATGAAGACACATATTTGGCTTGTGAGCTTTCTTTAATTGTTATCTAAGACCAAAAAAAATAGTTGTTAATTAACAAAATTTTTCATTTTATTCATACGTCAGACAAAATTTGCCCACTTAGGAATTTTGTTCAAAAGAAATGTAGTTTTGTTGAACTCTGTATAAATTTAGAAAAATCTGAGTCAAGTTGTGGGTGCCCCTTGGATAATTCTTGAGTAAATGCATCCCCTCATGACTAGGAATTTGCAAGAGATGCATACTTTCATTCAGAAACCACCCAACATCTGATGGTCTCTTTTGATTTGGCTTTAATCAGGAAAAAAAAATCTTCTCGAGCAACTTGATACATTCGGGTTAAAACTCAAAGAAACACTTGAGATGAAAATGCATTCTGTTTTAGCCCAACTAAAGATTTCACAAACTCCTTGCAAATTGGTTCTATGCTCATACTCTGGTATCTCCTGTATCTCTATGATAAACTCAGCCCAATGAATCAAGTGCTACACACATATGAAATGGCATGTAAAAGATAACAGGGAAATATAACTACCTAAATAATTTTGTTTATAATTTAGTCCTACCGTTTATAGAGAAATATAAAAGACACTACATTTCTAGGAAGAAACAGCTGAACAATAGATTAGCCATTCTTCCTCTGGAATAATTCATTGTCTACAAGCTAATACGTTTCTGGACCTGGGTAGGTGTATTCCATAGGACCCCACGATATGCGCTCATATACTAGCATGCTACTCAGGGAATTATTTCTTAATCTGACAGACTCGTAACATATAAAATCAAGATTAGAGCTAGGTGTCAAAGGGCAGAGCTAAGTGATTAAACTAAGTTCCTTTTGAAGACAGACATGAGGAATTCCAAACTGTCCAACTCTGCTTTTGTTGGAAGGTGCACAACCCATTTAAGATACCACATTTTTGTTCCTTTTGGTTTTACTCTGTAATTATTTATATATTGTGTCGGGTCCTCTGCTAGGTATAGGAGTTATAATGATGAATAAGACATGAGCCTATCTTTGAGATAAAGGTACAACTGGCCATGGATACACAACAAAGCTTATATGGTCAGCTTCAGTCTGTTTTTCAGGCTCAGTAGCTCTGTCTAGAGGCTGGGCTCACGAATCCCCCTCTAGGCTACTACTCCTAGCTCTTTTGTTCTCAGGATCAATTCTGATCAGATCCAAAGTGACTGAACACTCCCTGGTTGGTAATCAATCCTCCTAGGCCAGAGCAACCACTTGCTTTCCAAGTACTCATAAATGCCAATGACTAGACTTAGCTCTTTACATTGTTTGCTTAAATCCTCACTATAAACCAACAGTTTTATTATGCCCATTTTAGAGAATCAGAAACTGAGAGTCTGAGAGGTTACATTATCTTTCTCCAAGTCACACAGTTAAGTGAATGACAGAGGTGGATTTGAGCCTAGATGTGTACGGGACCTCAAAACCTATTTTTCCAGGAATTCCAGGCCTGTCTCTAAACCCCAGCTGGGTTCAGCAGCTTACTCTCAGTTCTCACTGATGCTCACCCTCTCCCTTCCTACTGCCTCACCTTCCAAGAACCAGTATTCCAGATTCCCAGTGGCTGTCAACCATCTCCTCCATCTCCTGCTATGCATGTGCATAACAGACTATGCATACATATGTGGCCAAGCCCCTGGGTGGCACTTGGCCTTCCAGAAAGCAGCTCCCCAGCCACTGTCCCTGCTAGTGAGGACATCCAGTGCCAAATCCCAGCCCCACCTCAAGTGGCCACCCAGCTGTGGTGGAACAACCATAATCACACAATTTTGAGGAGACACAGCTTTCAAGATAACACCAACCTCCTTTCTTCGTTTTGCTGGAAGAATCAATAGTACAGAGGGTAGCCTGCTCTGTGCTTACAAAGTGCAAAAAAGGACACAAAGTGGGCAACTATAATCTCCCACACACATTTTTTTTCTAAGCATAAAGCCAGACTTGAGGTTTTGTAAAGTTTCTGGACCTCTCGTAGCATAACATGTACAGCAATACATGTGTTCTACTCACTGTTTTGATTAAAATACAAGTCTACATTTAGAAGCAAAAATAATTGTTTCAGTATATTCAGTTCTTTCCTCCCTTGCACTCATTTCCAAAAATTAACCCAAATAACAATACCACACACAAATATAAAACAAAGAAATTAACCCATGATCTAAAATAATTCTGACTTGGATTAATGTTCTCACTAATGAAAACTGCTGAACATCCCTTGTAAGTCTTAGGTAGATCCACCATGATTTCCTACATCATGTATATGTAAAAAGCTCCTCCTGTTCAAGGATTCTTGAGAGCTTGGTGACACCAGTATTTATTATCTCTATTTTACAGCAGAAAAATCAAACGCCCAGAGAGGTCAAGATGTCTGCAAAGAGACACAGAGTGATGCAATGGAAATCCTGTGTGGAGGTCTCCAGAAGGCTAATTTCTGAAGCAGTGTTCTATCCACATGACCGTGCTGCTGCTCATTAAGATGGTACCTCTCATTAAGATAAAGCATAATCATTAAAAATCCTTTAGCTTGCTCACATTAACTACCATTGTGCGTCACAGGTCTAATGCTTCATGAAAGCTCAGAGTGAATTAGACATTTTATTTAAGTGCTACTTAACTAAAAGTTAAAAAGTATAATTTTCTATTGCAGCATAAGAACTGGAGAGACTAATTTGGTGTGGTTGTTAAATTTTACAAAGCCTGATTCTCAATTTTCAAAAAATATTGTACATTTATTTATTGAAGTGAATGAAACATTTGCTATAAAACTATTCAACGGAAAGTTTTTTAACAAAGCATAATTTACTTTTCATTTACAGAACAATGGAAAGTAGAAAGAAATCTCCTCCAAGGTATTAGAATCATGTACAGTTTCATATTTGACTAAAAAATTATTTCCCCAGCCTGTTTTCTCAACACTAAGGATATGCAGAAAAGTATCACTTGCATTCATCATGAAAATTACAGAAAAATGACTGAAACTACTGAGAACATTATTAAATAAAACATATACTTATTATCTGTCTTTTGGTCTCTGTCTTTTATTCTATGGTTTACAGAACATTGACCCTTTCTTACTAGTCTTCCTACTCAGAAATTAAATTTTACTCTACTCCCCAATGTGGGAAGTCAAAGAACTCCCACAAAACTTCATCTGGGGCATCTGAGGGTGAAATCCACACCGGGGCTGTAAATCCAAGTGTTCTACTGCCTGCCAGGAGTGCATCCTTTAAGTGTGGCAAATGGGGCAGAGGGAGGCCTTCTCTTCCCCCAGCAGATGGCAAGCAGAGTCAGAGGTTCTTTGCTCCAGGTGCATTGAGTTTCAAAATGAGGATAGGGCCCATTTCTCCTGATCTGATTATGCATGTGCACAGCATTGCAACCCAGGAGGCTAAAGCAATGAATATGTACTCAGATACATCAATGTGATAATATGGAATTAGGGGGAAAATAAGAAAAAAATTATGCCCTTGTTACCACCCAACCATTCATATTCAGATCCAGAGCCAATGAGCTGAACTTGGCATCTTAGGCATTTGTCATGATATAGTTCAGGAAATACTATCAGAGTCTCCAGTCGCCTTGTTCAATGCAAGTATAAATATTTGCAGGCATGTAACAGGAAGTCTTAGAATCAAAGAGGTAACTGATATGACTCAAATTCTGTTTCCTGGCAGAGTACAATAGAGCAAGCATTATAACCATGTGTGTGCATATGTGTATGGTTCAAGCTTATCCATATGGGTATGTATGTTTGTGTGGTTCAGGGTGTATGTTTGCATGTTTGTGCAGAACCTGTCCATTATATGAGGTATAATGCTATCCCCATAGGTCACTGGCAGCCATGGAAGCACGCTGCTGACTTCAGGGAGCAAGGGTTTCCACAGTGGACTTGCAGGGTGTCAGGTACAGGACCCAAGCAGCAACAGTGGGGTAGTGGTAAGGGAAAACAGGATGAGGCCAGGACCCAGAGAACATACAGACTCACAGGAAACCAGGTAAACTCATAAGGGAGGTCTCAGCAGCAGATGGATGAAGGCTGTCACAGGAGAGTGCAGTTCCATTCGAGTCTATGCTTCTTAACAAAGGACCAGCATTTTATTAGTTGCTGTTTTCACAACCATAGAGTAGGCATACAGTAAATGTCTGCCCTATAAATGACTGAATAAATAAATGAAAATGAGGCAATGAGCAGAGGCTTAGATAGTTAAAACTAGGAAGATCCAACTGTAGGTAGCAGGGATCCAGGCCACAAGCACTCCCAATAAGAATTTGCTACCGGCAAGAGACGGATGAACAGGCAGGGGGAGAGAGGCACAAGACAGGAATCCTTTACTGCAAGTGGAATAAACAGAAATAGTTACTAAGAAGAGCAGGACAGTTTGCATCCTGCAACCAGGATCCACTGTCAGAGGAAACTAGCCACCAGAGTGACACAATGCTAAGACCCTAAGCTGGTAACAGAGACAGAGGAAAGAGAAAGAGAAGAGAGAATGGCTTTGGAGCTTTTCCTTATTTTATTTACCTATTTACTCAATCACCAACTACATATTTATAGAATACCTGTTCTGTGCTGGGCACTGGAGATACAAAAAGTCTATTTCATTTGGAAGGATATGCATTCACAAGGAGAATATGAATGAACAGACATTGATATATGTTCTTTGTGGAGCCTGGGAAAGAAGCCCACCCACACTGGCAGTAGCCTACAGCACAGACCATTGGAGGGTGGGGGGTGGGCAGAAGTGTCATCCCAGGTGGTATGCAGATTTCTACCAACTGACCTCTCCCCTTTTATGCACACATCATACCAGTTCCTCATGAATCAGAAATGTCCCTCCTGCTCAGTTGCTGCTCCAGGTCCAGAATAGTAGCCAAATAAAGAAGCAGAAGATGATGGTGCAAAGATTTATCTTACTGTGATATTCCCAGAGAACTTCTCATGGAAGTACTGATTCTTGCAGATTTTTTTAAAAGACAGGAAAACCATCATTTCTGTAGGTGATCAGATAAGTTTTACTACTTAGTATTAAAAATAAAATAATAAATGCATCTTGACAAAAGAATACATCATTCAAAAAGAGAAGGTTTGGTGAAGACATGAGGTCTGTTATCTTCAGATACTTGAAGAATTGTCATATGGGAGAGAAACTAATCTTGTTCTGTGTTGCCCTCAAGAAGCAGAGTTAGGACCACTGGAATGTAAGTTTTGCCTTAATATCTGTATCTATATCTGCCTTGATATAATAAATAAACCATTAACATAACTTCTATCCACAGAAGAAATGTACTATCATAGGTTGGCTCAAACACACAATGCATGTATGGACCGCTGCAAGCAAGGAATGACACAGGCACCTGCTGCATCAAGACCTGTAGAAACGTTAGACCTAAAACCATAAAAACCCTAGAAGAAAACCTAGGCATTACCATTCAGGACATAGGCATGGGCAAGGACTTCATGTCTAAAACACCAAAAGCAATGGCAACAAAAGACAAAATTGACAAATGGGATCTAATTAAAATAAAGAGCTTCTGCACAGCAAAAGAAACTACCATCAGAGTGAACAGGCAACCTACAAAATGGGAGAAAATTTTCGCAACCTACTCATCTGACAAAGGGCTAATATCCAGAATCTACAATGAACTCAAACAAATTTACAAGAAAAAAAACAAACAACCCCATCAAAAAGTGGGTGAAGGACATGAACAGACACTTCTCAAAAGAAGACATTTATGCAGCCAAAAAACACATGAAAAAATGCTCACCATCACTGGCCGTCAGAGAAATGCAAATCAAAACCACAATGAGATACCATCTCACACCAGTTAGAAGGGCAATCATTAAAAAGTCAGGAAACAACAGATGCTGGAGAGGATGTGGAGAAATAGGAACACTTTTACACTGTTGGTGGGACTGTAAACTAGTTCAACCATTGGGGAAGTCAGTGTGGCGATTCCTCAGGGATCCAGAACTAGAAATACCATTTGACCCAGCCATCCCATTACTGGGTATATACCCAAAGGACTATAAATCATGCTGCTATAAAGACACATGCACACGTATGTTTATTGCGGCACTATTCACAATAGCAAAGACTTGGAACCAACCCAAATGTCCAACAATGATAGACTGGATTAAGAAAATCTGGCACATATACACCATGGAATACTATGCAGCCATAAAAAATGATGAGTTCATGTCCTTTGTAGGGACATGGATGAAATTGGAAATCATCATTCTCAGTAAACTATCACAAGAACAAAAAACCAAACACTGCATATTCTCACTCATAGGTGGGAATTGAACAATGAGAACACACGGACACAGGAAGGGGAACATCACACTCTGGGGACTGTTGTGGGGTGGGGGGAGGGGGGAGGGATAGCTTTAGGAGATATACCTAATGCTAATTGACGAGTTAATGGGTGCAGCACACCAGCATGGCACATGTATACATATGTAACTAACCTGCACATTGTGCACATGTACCCTAAAACTTAAAGTATAATAAAAAAAAAAGACCTGTAGAAACTGACTAGTGGCCTTTAGGACTGAGAATTAAAGGGTACAAAGTTCCCACTCAGATCCAAAGATGCTGATCACTGCAGCAGTAATGTGTAACAGGCAATTCTCCTAAATTAGGTAGGTTAATAGTTGTATATCCTCAAGTGATGATCAGTCACTGGGAGCAATACTCCAGTCAATAGCAAATGACAGAAAATGAGATGGGATCAGTCCTTATATGAGCTAGAGGATAATTGGCTAGTATCCTGAACACTACTCTAGAGGGTAGCCAGAAATGTTCATTAGGACAGAAGGTGGAAGTCCAGGCCTGTGCATTCACCACACTGTCTTAGCTCTAATTTAGGGGTTTCTAGCTGTATCATGTGGAGTCCTAGTGTTCCAAGAAAGTACCTCATAGGAGTCCTGAAAAGGCTTAAAAATTAGGGATTTGGGATCCTCACCCTTCATTTCAAACAGAGCAGCTATTTAGTTATACATGCAAGATTGCTTCAAAGAACTGTCACCCTCTTTGACTCCAAGAAGAATCCCCAGGACCACACATAGCTGACATTTGAAAATCATAACTGTAAAGGAGTTTTAAGCCCCTCACATCTTGAGATGGAAAACTCAAGGCCCTTCCAAGAAGGAAAATCCAAGGGCCTAATAAAGTTCTCACAGATGCACAACTGGGCCATGATAATACGGGAAAGAGCTTTGGAGATAAGCTGCCAAAAGATGAAGAGTTATTTGCTTTTCTGCCATACCTCAAGAGTCCCTGCTTGTCTGGGTTCACATTACTTTGTTCTTCTCTACCTTTACCTAATGTTGCTTCTTTGTTGGCTTTAATGGCAAGGCTCACTAGGGCCAGGGAGGCACAGGGAAATGGAAACATCACTCTGAAAGTGGTAAGTTCCTGAAGACCATGATTATCATATGAGGCTTAAGCAAAAGGACTTCAAGTTAGAAAGGTAAAAACATTCTGAAAAGCCTATGTGTAGTCTAGTCCAGTTCACAAATACATGACAACGTGGACATGAGTGCTAAGGCATAAATTAATACTTGTTTGCCCAAAATGACATTGTGCTTGACATTGTACTCAGGCCCTGGAGTCACCATGGGTACCTAGGCTGGATTTAGGATCTTGGTTACCTGGCCATGGATATTCATGAAATCACACAACATGACATAGTAATATGGAAGGCTTCCGTTTATTGGAGGTGTATTGCCTATGACTCGTAATTGGGAAACCAGACACCAGGACTATGGCAGCACAATTATTTCCTGATTTTCCCAGCTATGGGACTGAACACACTGGTGGGATTAGATTTCAATTGCTAAGGGATACCTGGGGGAAGGCAGAGACAGTCTTTTTTAGATAACTTCAAACTTAAGCTGGAAGTCTGTTGTGGAACTTAGGGTATTCAGGCATTGGAACTCATCTACTGTTTTCAAGCCCCATTTCTTTTGCTCCCATCTTCAGCCTGAATTTTTCAGGGAGACCTCTCTGATCCAGTGAAATCCGATAAGCACCAGAATAACTTTGTGTTGTCATTAACACAATAAAATAGTATTTCTTATCAATGTACAATTCACTGAGGATGTTTTCATTGATGGGTAGATTTCTAGTTTTAGAAAAAACATATTTTTTTCATTCCGAACTATAACTTACCACAGTTTACTAGTCTCAATATTTTATAACTTCAAATGAAGTCAAAGGAATCTTATTTTTACTTACATCCCTTTATATGTTCCACTTTTAAAATGTAATGTTTTTAAGTATTTCTTCTACACATATTAAACACCACATCAGAAGGTGTAATGATTTTTGTTTCAACCATCAAATATAATTCAAGAAATTCATGAGAACAGTCTATTATGTTTACCTCAATTTTTTTTATCCATTCTGTCTTCTATTTTCATTTCCTTTCTGTTTAGATAATCTTATTTAGTGATTCTTCAAGAGTAGGTTTGGTAGCGACAATTTTGTTTTGTTTTGTTTTTGTTTCTTTGTTTTTCTTAGTTTAAGAATGTATTTGGGAGGTCAAGGCAGATGGATCACTTGAGTCCAGCCTGGCAACATGGCGAAACTGTATCTACTAAAAATACAAAAATTAGCTGGGCATGGTGGGGCATGCCTATAATCCCAGCTACTTGGGTGGCTGAGGCACAAGAACTGCTTGAGCCAAGGAGACAGAGGTTGCAGTGATTGCACTCCAGCCTGGGTGACAGAGCAAGACTCTGTCTCAGAAAAAAAAAAAAAAAAAAAAAAAGAGTAATGATTTTCATTCCTTTTACAAAGAATATTTTTGCTGGATATAAAATTTTTTTTTTCTTTCAGCACTTGAAAGATTCTGTGTCACTTTCTTCTGGCCTTCCTGGTTTCAAATGAGAAATCTGCCATCATTTGAATTGTTTCCCTGTAAGTAGTGTGTCATTTCTGCTCTGGTTGCTTTCAAAACTTTTTCTTTGTATTTAATTTTCAAAAGTTTTGTTATAAAGTAACTTAGTATGAATTTATTTGGTTTATCCCTTTTAGGGTTTGCTCAGATTCTTGAATATGTAGATTTACATCTTTCAACAAATTTAGGAATTTTTTAGATTTATTCAATTTGTTTTTTCAGTTCCACTCTCTCTTCTCACCTCTTTCTAGTCTATTTTCTCCCCATTGCTCAGATTATGTAAATTATATTATTCTATCCTCAGGTTCACTGATTCTACCATTTGTCATCTCCACTCTAATACTGAGCCCATCCAGTGAGTATTTTATGTTGCTTTTAATGATTTTTGTAGTTCTATGATTTCCATTTGGGTTTTTTATAACTTCTATTATTTTTCTGAGGTTTTCATTTATTTCATTTGTTCCAAGGTAATTTGTAATTGCTTGTTGAACCATTTTTATGATGGCTGCTTTGGAATTCTCCTCAGATTATTCCAACATCTGGTTCATCTTGATGCTTATGCCTATTGATTATTATTTCTTACTCAAGTGGTGATTTTATTAGTTCTTGGTAGGAGGAATGATTTTTTAACCCGTATCTGGACATTTTGGACATTATAGTAATGGAGTCTGATCCTATTTAATTTTCTTTTTTGTTGATAGTCCCCCTGCTGAGCTCCAGTGTGAACACTAGATGGGTGTGTATGTCTAGCTTCCCGCTGGGCCTTGCTGACATTATCTATGTAAACGTAGAGCGCAGACTCACACTGCCTCATTAAAAATTATTGGAGTGGAAGTTGAGCTTCCTTTTCAGCCCCAAGGATCCCTTCCTGGTTAATTCACACCACCTCACTGCCTTCAAGCAGGGTGTAAGCTCAGCTACACTCCCCACTGTGCCCTACTGGCACCAGGGATGGTGAAAGCTTAGGGCTGACTAGACCCACCTTGTACCATCTTGTTTAACCTCATTGATTCCAGGTAGGTGTGGAGCCTCAGGTCCTTGCTAAGCCCTGCTGTCATTGGTCTAAGACCATCTAAGTCTCACTGCTGCTGTTGATTCTGGAGGCTAAGCTCTCCACAGGACTCCACTTTCCTGTTTGTTTCCTAGAGTAAAATGTGAGCTCCTTGAAAGCAGAGATGTGTTTGGTTCATTTTTATATACCTATAAACTCACATGGAGTAATAAAAATATTATTGATGGTTACATAGATAAGTAAAATAATGGATTTAAAAGGCGATGAAGTTAGATGAACTTTAAGGGCTCAAAGTCCTGTCATTTTGTAATCTGTGATTCTAAAGTGTAATTGTATGGTTCGGTGACACAGAAATTCAGAATTTCCCCACATCAGTGATGGGAAGGAAAGAGACTAGATAATCTTTTCTATATATATTTAGCATTTTTAAATACAAGATTTAGAATTATCACTAAAATAGAGTGAACCTCTACTTTCCTGGGTAGAGAATTTGATTTGAACCCTCATAATTTCCACTGGGGGAAGCCTATACTGCTTCTTTCTAAGAAGTAATTTAAGTTTTTCAGAACAAAGAACTACATACGTCCCTTCCCTTTTCCCCATCTAGATCTACTGGGAGGCCAGAAGTCCACAAGTTATAGCTTTGCTGGCTATTTCCCGGTAATTTGCTTTCAATTTTAAACACATGTTATCTGGAGTCATTAAATTAACAACACTCACCAGTGTACCAACCCTGTCATCCATCTGCTTGTCAAATGATACCCTCCTGTATCTGCAGCTTTCATCTGGTTTTCAAAGCTGTTGAATCCAGCTCCAAGGTAGTCCACCTTCTCTTCCAAGCTACAATATTAACTCTCAGCTTTCAACACCAACAACTATGCAGTGACTAGCAGTCCTGCCCATATACTACTTTCCATTATCGGGGGTCTTTGGAGTACATTTAAACCTTGGAGAATAGTAAATGGAGAACATCTTAGGGATCATAATCCCTAAGATTATTTTTTTAGAAACGTGCTTCTAAAAAAGTATCATGTCACCATCACTCTTCCTCAACCAAAGAGTCTGAACCCTGAGTTTTCAAACCTTTCCTGTATGCTAGTTTATTTCTTACAACTTGAAAATCCCCTTCCTTCCTCATCCCTGTGAATAAAAATAAAAATGTTTGTCTATCTTTGGATAATAAGCAAGACCTTGACATTGCTGAAAGAGAATCAAACTATGATCTTCAATTACAGAGAAATTTGGTGAGTAAACGGGGCAAAGGGAATAAAATTGCATTGCTTTTTAAACATCTTTTTCTTTAAAATGGCTTTTCTTTAAATTTCTTGACCTGACAACCAAGGTCCTCCATTATATACCCACAACCTCACATTTCTTCACAAACCACAATTACACACCTCCACTCCAACCACACTCATTTTCATTGTATTCTGAAAGGCCAGTTATCTGTTTTCTAATTTCCAAATCTCTGCTCATGAGTCTCTCCTTCCTGAAAAGCCTGCACTGCTCCCTTCTGAATGTCTTGCTTCCTTCAAGACTCAGCTCAAGCTCCAGTTTCTCTATGGCTATCCCTGCAATCACTGGCATCTTCAGTCTTCATTGGTCCCTCATTTGGAACTCCTATAACAGTTATTTTCTGCATCACTCACTTGACACCTAACATTCACTGCTTATTATCCTTCTAAATCAGTTCTTAATCTTTATTATTCATTCAAATCTCTTAGAGTGTTGTTAAAAAAAAATTTCTTTGATTCCACTGAAGAGACTCTGATTTAGTAGGTTGGTAGGAATAATTCAAATGAGGGACCCCAAAGACTCCAGTCCCCTGTTTATTTAATCGAATACTAACCTACATACTGCTGAGAAGGGATTTTGCAGATATAATTAAAGTCTCAAGTCAGTGCACCTTAGAATGTCTTAAATTATCTGGGTGGGCCTAATGCAATCATAAAACTCCTTTAAAAGCACAGAGTTTTCTCTGGCATATGACAGAGGAAGTCAGAGAGATTCCAAGGATGAGAAGGACTTCATGTGCCTTTGCTGGTTTAAAGGTGGAGGGGCCATATGGAAAAAAATGTGGGTGGCCTCCAGGAGCAGAATGTAACCCCCGCTGACAGACGGCAAAGAACTGATTTTTGCTGATAACATGAATGAGCTTGAAATTGGATTTTCCTACCAGAGCCTTCAGAAAAGAATCCAGCCTTGCGAGACTCGAAATTTTGTCTCATTCTAATTTTGTGAAATCCTAAGCAGAGAACCCAGGCAAGCTCACCTGGACTTCTGACCTTCAGAACTGTGAGATAATAAACAGATGTTGCTCTACACTACTAAGTTGGTGGTAATTTGTTTCACAGCAATAAAAAGCTACCATAATAGGTTTGGGGCTGGGCTCAAGAATCGGTATTTCAACAAGTAGGTAGTCCCTAACCACAATTCAAGAAACCTCATCTAAAAGTTTTATAATTTTTGCTCTCCTGTCCAATAATCTAGGTTCACAACTAGTTTTCTACTTGGGAAGATAATGTATTTGTCCCTTTAATTTGTAATTAATTCCACCTCCACACTGAGAGTCTCTGTCTCAGGATTTTCCAAAGTCTTTTTACTTTATAAATCTCCCCACTAGTTACATAAACTAGTTATAGCCGAAATGTAATACCTGAAGCCTGTATTTGGACAAGTCCTCATACATGGAGAAGACAAAGAAAATGCTGTGAGTCCAAGAATGATGCTTTCTGGATGGGCCATTAATATCTTTGTAGTTGTGCCTTGACCACACAGGAGTGCACAGGAGTCTTTGAGTCTATGAGTCAGGGTTCAATAGGAAATCTTGACAAGGATACCATAAAACTGGAGTTATAAGAGTCACGCATTATACTGGTTTCTCTGCATGACCAGCCACTCCAGGTGTTAACAGAACATTTACCAGATAACCCGCAGTAAAAGGTAGCCTTCTTTGCAGTCTTGAGGAAAAGTGAGGCAGTGAAGAGCAGGACTTGAGATTCCTGAATATTTTGAACTTCTATCATCATTGAAATTCTCTCAACTTTCTTGATGGAGGCAGTTGAACAAAGTCTTTCCACAAAAAGAGAATCATCAAATATTAGTGATGGAAAGGAACTTGAAACTCATCTAATTGAAGCTCTCACTACAAACTCTGCTTAACTACTTTCAGTGATAGGGAGCTCTCCACATCACAGTTTAGCCTGCTCATGTCTGAAGAGCTCTGTTTAAAGAGCACTTCTTCAGGCTGAGCTGTAATCTGCCACCCTGTATCTTCCTCCTGCCTGCTTTAGGGAGACTTCTGCAGCCATGCCAACATTTAAAGACCACCATTATACTCCACTCCTATGCTTTGTGAGTTTTTAAGGAAATATCCCCATTCTCTCCAGTATTTTCTTGTTGGATATTATTCCCACACCATTCCACATGCCTGGTCTCTCAGAAAATCAACCATATCAGGAGGAGTATGGAGAACAGCCTACAGAAAGCAGAGTATTTACAAAAACAAGAGATGATAATGAAGCAACAAAGAGAAATAGAGAGACAAAAAGAGAAACTGACACACTTCAAGGCCAAATAGTGAGTGCACAGTCCTTTATAGCTCTGAAGTTCCAAGAGAATAGACAGGATTTGAAGTAGCATATTTAAGAGCATTGCTTCCTTAAAAAATAATTTCCTATCATCACTCCACTATTTTATAGACCCTACAGCATTTACATCCCTATTTCTGCCAGAATCATAAAGCAGCTGCAGTCACAAGCCCTAATGGAGTCTCTAACCTGAGCTGGAGAACAAAGAAGATTTTAAAGACAAAAAGAATAGATTGCAGAGGAGGAAAAGCAGCCCGCAGTTCCCACTTGGCCAGATAATATAACATAGTCTTTGTCTTATCTGTCAATATCTATAAGTCTGAAAAGCCAAATATGTACAGTGCTTATGTGTCTAGACAGACAGACAGTTCTAGACAAATCATGGAGCTGAATTTTTATGCTTTGGAAATATTTTAAACAAAGGTACTGCTGTGGAGGTCTTACAGTGCAAATGCCCCTAGCTCAAATGCAGCAGGAATCCGAGGAAGAATTTTCAGGTTCTGATGGAAGGGGAAAGATCTGACTTAACAAAAAAGTTTCTTTCCTATCTCCCCCTCCCCTCCCAGCAGCCCAGTACAACACCTGTCTCATCAGCAGGGGCACTCGGAAGGGATGGGCCTCAAGGCACCTCGGTCTCAAGATTCTCCATGCCTCATCCTTCATCCACGCTGCTCGTAATGTGCCATCACTGGCACAGTTACACCTGAACACTCTGGTGCTGCCAAACACCTGGCTTGATTTTCCACTGTCCAAATGAAAAATAAGCATAATCTGCTTTTTGAGGATACAGCAAATGAGGGAGTTCATGACAAATTGTGTTGGTTTATGCAGAATAGTGATAATAAGATACAAATGAGAATTTTTTGCTTAATGAATAATACTAATCACGTTTCAACAAATGCTGTGCCCTTCTAATTAGAGAGACTGCATAAAATCAGCTTAATTTATTTGTGACTAGTTATACAGAGTTTAAATATTTACTAGAGATTTACTCAAATGTTTGAGAGGATTTTTAACATTTCCTGTGGTAGAAATGGCCTGCCTAGTTCTGTGGAATGTGGTGACAGCTCTAACTTGTGGGAGCACTCTGATTTTGCAGTGTGTGATGAAAATCCTGGTTTCAAAATGAAGAAGAAAGGGTATTATTGATTTACATACGAATTCTCCAACTGTTACTCATTTTCCTGATTCCAGCTTCCAGCTTCCAAAGTTGGTCCTCGAACATTCATCACTGTAGTACACTAGAGGGGATCAGCATCTTTTTCAATAAATTATAGGAACCATGACTAATTACAGTGATATTAACTATGCAAAGTATTGTGTAACTTAAAATGGATACGTTCATCATTTCAAATTATGCCTTTGACTTTTGATGGTCTAATACAGAAATACTCTTTTTGTACTAAATGTGTTCTTAGAATCTCTTTACAATTCTAGTTCTTGCTTGTGAATATACTGACCTACTAAATATAACCCTCTTGAGCCTCTTCAATGACCCAGAGCAATTATAGGAAGAACACACAGAACACCTTGAGAAAATAAGAAGCAGGGAGATATATATGTGTTATGCCTCCCTAGCATCAAATTGGATATAAGAGGTCTAGTCATAAGAAATTTTGTTGAAATGTTTTATCATTTGTAGCTTTCAATAGCATTTTGACCATAAATTGGTTTTATTTGATCCTAAAAGCAACTCTGGGGCTTTTAGATATCCATGTCCTAATCTTCTGGAGGACAATACTGAGGCATCAAGAGGTTAAGTGATCTGTCCCAGGCCACAGGGCTAATTAGTGACACTGGGGATGAGAACCCACACTTGCTGCTATCTAGTCCATGTTATAGTTTTTACACCAATTGAACCAATACTTCAGTTAGTTCATTAAAGAATACAGAAAACTTCCAAAGTTTACCCTTTACTCAAGCAATAGGATTTGTTCCATCATTCATTCACCCATTCATTAGTCAATCTATAATCATTTATTGAACTCCTTTTCTGTGCCAGGCACTGCATTAGATGCTACACATAGAAAGATGAAGACAACAAGCTTTACCTTACAGAGCCCTCCCTCTGGTGGGGAAGATTGACATGTAGCCAGGGAATTATCAAACATCATGAGAAGAGCTATAAGGTCTGAATAAAGTGTTATGGGGGCACAGAGGTGAGAGAATTGTTTCTGACTAAAGGCAAGAAGTCAAAGGAGGATTCTCCAATGAGGCGATGGTTAAATTCAGTCTGAAAGAATTCACTGGGTTTTCCCCAGCAGACAAGACCAGAAAAGGCATTCCATATACTCGAAAAAGCAAGGCTTGAAGGACACAGTGCATCAGGGAAGCAGAGGCTAGAAAAGTAGGCAGGGGATTTTGAGGAGGGCATTGCATGTCACCCTAAAGAGTTTGAGCTTTATTGTATGCTGGCAAAGGGTCAGTTCAGGGTTCTAAGCAGAACCGTGATAGTGTCAGCTTTCTGCTTCAGCAAGGTCATCTGGAGAAGGTGTATAAAACGGAAAAGAAGGGACAATACTGGAGGAAGAGAAACTAAGTAGAAGGCTACTGCAGTGCTGTAGAAGCAAGTGTTAAGGATCTGAGTCAGGACTGGGGAAGCAAAGGGCAAGGGCTGCCTAAGAAAATGGATTGAAAGATATTTAGGACAGGATGCGCTAATGGACTACACTTGTGGCATATATACTTGTGGTATGTATAGGTATGTTTTCCCCCACTCTCTGGTTGTCTTTGTTCCTTTGGTTTTTATGTGACATGCCTTATCAGTCGTTAAATTTCAATAGGGCAGGAACAAATATTTGTCAAAGGGAAATTCTTATTTTTTTGAAATTGTACCTTGTGCAGTGCTCACATTGTAACAGGTATATTCATGGAAATGATTTTTGACTTACGATCGGCTGACATGTTATGACGTGGTGAACTTTCCTCCAACGTACAGAGAAAATGACGTCTACATCAGAATTGAAAATATTGTGCCTGAAAGCCCATATACTTAATAGGGAATATTTTTAATTCCTAAATATACCTTCTCCTCAATACTAATTGCAAACAATACAGCAAACCTCAAGGCAAATATGTGTTCCAAACCATAATATATAGCCCATACTTTAGGCCTTTAAGATGGCATATTGTATGTCAAGATAGCTTGTGACAACACTTAATTCATAGTCAAGAAAAGGATCATATAGGAAGCGGGTTGAGTGCAGACCCGCTGGAGCCAAATGCCCAACTTCAAATGTTCCCTCTATTATAAAGCTGTGTGACCTTGAACAAGTCATTAAACCTCTTTGTGTCTCAGGGTCTTCATTTGTAAGAGGGGACTAGAAACAGTTAACTACCACAGAGGTCATCATAGGTATTGAAGTATTGAGTCATTATATGGACAGAGCTTGGTATAGTGTTTGACATTATTATTATTATTATTGCTATCATAATTGTCAGATTAAAGAAAGACAGGCTGAGGCCTTAATAACATGATGTGGTTCTACCCAATACTCTTAGTTATGACAACAATAGTATGGCTATCTTCAAAATCCAATATAAGCAGCATAGTCATTAATTACAAAAACAAAGGAATTGTCTTTTAATCATAGATTTCTGATTCTGAAAATATCACTAAGTTCAAAAAAGGTGTTATATACATTAAGGGATGCTCTATACTGAACAGGCAAGAAATCTGGAAGATAAAGGGCCTTGCTCAAGGTTATCCCATTAACAGGTATCCCAGAAGGGATTTGCCCTGAGGTCACCTACCTATAAATCCATGTGCCCAGCCCCAGTGATCAAAGTGATTCTTGGCCTTCAACAGCTCACGATGAAGAACCTTCATTCTCTTAGACAAAGTTGGCCTCTCCAATGTCCTAAGTGTTTTAGTAGGTTTTTCTCAAGATATTCAACCCCATTATGTATTACTCTTTTAAGGCCAATTCAGCAACCTGAACATCATGTGGAAATTCACATGCAAATGCATCATGGTGAAGTAGAGGATTTTAAACAACCTTCTAAATATATAGCATCCTCATCTAAAAATCAATGTACTGAATATAGGTGGACATTCAGAACCTAGCATGATTTAGACCTTGATCATTGTAAGCACCTTTTAGAAAATGCATGGGCTCACGTTTTATTACTGTGATAAAATAAAAATTAGTTGATTAAATGAAATTTAAAAGATCGCTAACTTTTTTTTAAAGTATTTAATGAAATGACCCTTTAAAAACAACCTATTAGCTGTCAGATGCCTTTCAAAAATATGTAATGCATCCTAATTAGAACAGAAAAAACAAACAAACATCTGAGGCCTTTAGGGTCCCTGAGATCATAAAACTTTCTGCCTCTTTTCTGACACCAGCAGCTTTAGGCCCCATTTCACCACTGGACAGTTGGTGCTTGAGGCTGAAGCCTTGAAAGGAATCCCGCAGAAGCTCGGACTGAAGTTGTTCTGGCAGCAGAAGGAGGCCCTAAAAGCATCTGATTATTTTAAAATGTGCTTTCATTGTGCTGTTTGCAGCTGTGAGTTAATTTTGTTAAAAAAAAAAAAAAAGACCATTTGCTTCTTTAAAATCCAGGTTTTTTTCCCTCTGCAGAGCAGCTGCAAGGAGAGCAGCTTCAACTTCAAAAGCCCCGTTTCCCCGAGAGCACTGCTTTGGGAGGATGCCTTCCTCTTGCTGTGCTCCCAAAGGCACAAGCTTCCAAGGCTCTCTTCATTGGTTGACTTGTGCAATGGGCAGATGGATGGGCCAATTGCAGAACTGTAGAATATCACAACTGGCAGGGTCCTTGCAAGTCTTCTGATCCGACTCTCAGCTGTTTCACAGATGAGACACCTCAAGGACAGAGAAGTTAAGTGACTAACCTAAGATTTCGTATCTATTTAATAGTAGCCTCATAGCGCATATAATCTAGAACCAGAGAGCAATGGGGTGTGGGGAACAGAGATTTAGGTGCCATCACTAGGCAGATTCTACCAGTGAGCATTTTCCCTCCCCAAGGCAGTATTTATCACAGCTATCCACAGGACTTCTTAAAGGTGCTTGGCCACCAGCCCCTTTATCCCTCTAGTACCATTTCTGAAACACCTTCTCAATCGAATTCTGGACTACTTCTCTCTTCCCAGTCACCATTTGCTCACAGACCCCTTGATTAAATGGGCTCATGCATGCCTCTCTCTACTGTACCATGCCTTACAATCTAACCAATTTGATACCATGTGAGTACTCAAGTGTCTAGTTTATAGTTACTTCTAGCTTTTGAGATCTAGATTGTGAATGGACTTTCTTCCTTTTACCACACTGCCAAATGAGGTAAAGGAGTTCTAGATCCTGACTTTGGAGCTTCTTCCCTCAGTGTAAGATAATCAGTGTCGCCGTGAATCTTCCCATGTTTCTATACCTTTAAAATAAGACACACAGTGATAATCAACCCCGTCTCTGTCATTGCCCTGTTAGCTACAGGGTAGTTCTGCCAGTCACTTGCCAATCAATTTCACAGAATGTAGGTTGTGCCTCACCCAATTCATCTCCTAATTAATGAAGTGACAAAATTTTGACATTTTGTTGGCTTCTCTGGCTCTCGTGGGAATTTGGGGAAAAGGATTGAAGGAGGCTGAGAAGGAGAAGAGTGAACAAGAAGAGAAGAAGATGCACTTAACGGGTTTTTGCTAATTTTTAGTTAATAAAAATTTTGTAAATAAATAATATTTTCTGATTATGAAAGCAATATACGTTCAGTGAGAAAATCTTTTTTAAATACTGGAAAACATAAATAATAAAATAAAAACCACTTTATTTAAGTTTCATCAGTTTCATTTTGATATAAAACCTCAATGCCATCTACCTTAAATGATTAGGTAATATGTTAGCTCATCCCAAAATTGGGGCAAACTTTACTGTTATTTTGATTCAGAGACTTAACAGTGTTACCAGTTACAAGGTCTCATTCCACCTCTCTACTCTGCCTCCTGTGTGGCAGTTCACCCTAAGGCTTGCTTTCCCCTGGGAGACAAAATCTCTTTCAATATTACCCAGGACTTCATGCTTCCTCATCCATGTCCAGGGAGCAAGAATGGGTATCCCTCATCCAAAAACTGAATAAAAGACTTTCAATTATCTCTCATTAGACCAAATAAAGTTATATGCCTGTCTCCAAGCCAGGCAATCAGGCCAAGATATTGGGGAGGTAGGGAAATGTTGGTCAAAGGATACACAATTTCAGTTCTGTAGGATGGATAAGTTCTAGAGATTGAAGGTACAGCATGGGGCCTACAGTTAATATTGCTGTATTGTATACTTGAACTTGGTTAGAGAGTAGATTTTGTGTTCTCATCACACACACACAAAAGGTAACTATGAGAAGAGATGATATATTAATCAGTTTGACTGCAGTAATTAGTTCACTTTGTATGCATATTGAAACATCGTATTGTATACCTTAAATATATATACACTTTCAATTTTTAAACAAATTCTAAAAGGCCAAAATATTAATAATACTATTCACAAAATGGCTTGGGCCTGTGGTTCCACCTCTAACCTAAAAACCATAAGTAGAGGGATTAGACCCTCCCAATTGATTTGATCCAATTGACACTCCAAACTGATTTGAGTTCCACCCACAAAACTCAAGTAGAGGTCAGTCTCACCAAGTTGCATAGCTGTTGCATGTGGTGCAGAGGTAGGAGGGATAATGGAATGGATACTGGGGAGTCAATCACAGTGTCTTCCATACACCAGGAATCCCACTGCCCAGGGAAGATGTATGTTGGTGTTTTTGTTATACTACGTAGCTCTGAATATGCACATATAAGCTGTGGGGTGGGAGGTGGGGGTGATGTTATTACAAATCACCATTAAATTGTATATATTGTTTTATGACCTTCCTATTTTTCACTGAAAAATATGAGAGTTTTCTCATGCCAACAAATATTATTTTAAAAATTATTTAAAGGGCTTCATGGAGTTTAAATATCACCTAAGATTTGGGCATTCATTAAACTGTTTTACTTTCCACCCTTACGAATATATACATACATACATACATGCATTTGAATATATATCATATATCATTGTTCACATCCAGATTTGTTTCCATAGGATAGAGTACTAGAGGTGGAATTGAAAGAAAAAGAATATAAACAAAAGTTTTAGTTACTTATTACGAAATCACTTAGAAATACTGTGCCACCTTTACACTCTGGCAATAGCATACATTAGCATGTTTAAGTATCTACACCTGCTATATTTTTTAATCCTCAAAATATAAAAATATCACTGAGGTCAGTAGTCAAATCTGTGGGGAAAACAAAAAAACACTAACTTATTAAAAACTTGGAATTTCAAATATAGCAACTCTTGATTTTTTTCAACCCATGATGCCTAGGCCTATCCGAAAAGCTAACACAAAAAACGATCATATTTGTGTGAGGAAGAAAACTAAGGTTTCCTGAGGACCTAGAGCATGTTACTCTATTAATCCTTACTCTTATACAAGTAAATGCAGGCACATAATTTGAGCTATCCTAAGAAAAAGGTAAATTTATCGACTCATATAAGGAGTAAGGTATAATTGGAAATGACTAAAAACAAAGATTTGATGGCAGCAGGATACACCCTCTCCTTACCTCTGCCTCTATCATGTCTTCTCCTACTGCAAATCAGGATTCTCTGAGAAACCAGGGCCCCACCTGCCAGCAGCTTCTGAGTGTGCACTTTCTCACTTTCACCACCAGAAAAGCTCGCCCCAGCCTCAATTTCAAAAATCCAGGGCTATTTCCTGATTGTCCAGGCTTAGCTCACGTGCAGATCCCTTGCTTTGGGGAGAGTGGCAGTGTGCTTCTATAGAGTAAGCAGTTACTACATGATTAGCATTCCCTATAAATCACAGACATGATCTAAGTAGAGAGAAACAGCTCCTCTAGAGGAGAATGGCATTATCAGAAGAGGAAAGGCATGCTAACTAGACACAAAAGACCCATCTCACAAATATTATTTTTAAAGTCTTTAACTCCACGAAGTAGTTATTACCATAAATGTATAGAGGAGGAAACTGAGACTAATAGAAATCAAATCATTTGCCATGGATCTCTCTCTCTCTCTCTCTCTCTCTCACGCACACACAACCCAAAGTGATATAGCTGGAATTTAAACCCAGCTCAGTCTAATTCTAAATCCTATTCTTTCACTTACTATACATCCAGAAATATAGCTATTATGTAAATAAAGACACTGTGGTTAGATGGCAGACAATAATACCTCACCCACCCCTCCCTGGTCCCCTCTACGCCCCCGCCCCCACCGCCCCACACACATACAACTTCACAGTGTTGCCATACACTATTCTGGCTTCCACTAATACATGTGAGGAAAAATGTTTCATGTGTGGCCTCTACCAGCTTCCTCTCTGAGCTGCAGCTGCCCCAGACTATTGTCCTGAACCACAGAGCTATGGGGAAAGGGAAGGCACGTATCGAAGGAAACAGCCCATCCTCAGCCCTCTCTTGGTCAAAATCTAGTATTTACTCTAGGGAGATATGCTGAATTTCCATTTGCTCACATTTCCATCTTTTTCTCTTCTGTACCCCATGAGAGAAGACTAACCTAACCTGTCTCTAAAGTGCACAAGAAGTATCACAGAGGAGCCCATTGCTTCAATCCAGTCCACACATTTCATTTTGTGGCCCAGGGAAACAAGGACCAGAGAAATCACATGATTTGCCCAGGGTTAAAAGCCCAGCTAATGTCATGCGAGAATCCAAACTCAAGGCTCCCATCTCTTAGGCTAGTGGCCATCCCAATCACATGAGGATGTTTCCTCATTCCAAATGGAGTGTGCTTTTAGGGTGAAAATTAGATCAGAAAGCAGCTCCAGAGAGGAAGGATGAAGGATGAGGAATATCTGTGCAGTCTCAAATGAAGAATACCCCACCCTGTCCTTAGAAAAAGATGAACATGGCAGGGCACGGTGGCTTACGCCTGTAATCCCAGCACTTTGGGACGCCTAGGCGGGCGGATCACGAGGTCAGGAGATTGAGACCATCCTGGCTAACATGGTGAAACCCCGTCTCTACTAAAAATACAAAAAATTAGCCCGGTGTGGTGGCGGGTGCCTGTGGTCCCAGCTACTCGGGAGGCTAAGGCAGGAGAATGACGTGAACCCGGGAGGCGGAGCTTGCAGTGAGCTGAGATCGCGCCAGTGCACTCCAGCCTGGGCGACAGAGCAAGACTCCGTCTCAATAAATGAATGAATGAATAAATAAACAAATAAGATGAACATGCCTCCAATCATAGGAGAGAAACAGAGTCACAGAGGACAGCAGTTGAATTAGGACTAAAGTGATATCAGCAAACATTTATTACATACCTATTAGGTGTGCAAATGACTATTTTGTGCAAGGTGCTGGGGATCAAGAAATAACACAGACAGAGTCACGGGCCTCAGAAAGATAGCGGTTGGCTCAGTTGGTGGGGAAGATAGACATTAAACAAAAAGTTACATGCGTGATGGCTATTTTGAAAGGTCAAGTGCAGGATACCTTGGGAATATAGGGCCTATCGATGGCATTAAGAATGGCCTGTCAGCAGAGAGGAATTCAAGCAGAGATTTGAAGGATGAGCAGGATATATGCAGGAGCATATAGAGGAGAATGACTGTCCTTGCAAAGGAAGCAGCATATATAAAGACCTGGAGGTGAAAGAAAGTGCTGATTTGGGAACCTGGCGGCAGGTTCCTGTATTTAGAACATCAAGAGTGAGGAAGAATGTGGGATAGTTGTCTGGAGAAGCAAGTAGAGACCAAAATATGCAGAGCCCCATGAGCTATGTTCAGAAATTTGATCTCTATCTCAAGGGCAATACAAAGGGTTTTACGCAGGGAGAGGTAGGATAATATCTGCATTTTTAAAAGATCATTCTAACAGCAGCAGTGAGAGATTAGAAGGGACCAAAGCTGAATGTAGTGAAAAACCTCTTAGGAGGTGCTCCCGCTGGTCTGATTAAACCATGGTGGTGGCCTAGATGTGAGTGTTGACAGGGTGGAAGAGGAGAGGATGCAAGATTTGCTTCCACTGTTCCCTGAACCATACATACCAGGAAAAACAAAATCAAACCTAAAGTCTGTCGATGAGCAGGGTCTCTGAGAATTAAAATAGAAAGAAATCCAAATCGCCTCCTGTTTGCTAGGAAAGGATTAGAGAAGTAAGTCTACAAAAGAAAAATAAAATTAGTTGTTGTAATTCTGATTCACAGACTATTTCCTGGCCAGATGCTGCTGTGGAAATTTCAGAAACACCCACTAAAATCATAAATGAAAATCACATATTCGTAACATTTAATGGGAATACAGGCTGAATTTACAGCCGCTGAATGTGCAATATGGATGAAGATGTTGATTTACCCATGGAAGATGGAAATATATGTGATAGAAGAAAACAATACCCAGAAATGTGATAAACATTTGCATGAAAATGAATCACTGAAAAAACTCAAAACTTCTTCAATACTTTCTGCATCAAATTATCTTCAGAGCAGCCAAAAGAAATAATAATAAATAATAATAGTGCATTTTCCTGCTGTTAATTTTTTTTTACAAAACTTTTGTTGACTTCCGTGGAAGTTCTGCATCTAGAATGTGGCCCAGGAAATTTATAGTCTGTAACTCAGCGACCAAAGACCTTGAACATCAAGAAAATCTCTTACCCTTATTTATATACACTGTTCTTTATCACAAAGGAAGAGCTGGTACCCATTCCAAGTAACCAATCATTATGCAAGGAATATTCTGACTCACCCAGCATCTTTAATCAGTAAATGCTGTGCCAATGGAAAGAGAGTGGGACGAAGTCACAGCATCCATTAATAAAAAATGACTGGGGCTTTCTATCAACAGAAGCATCATTAGGAAATGTATGGTAGGAAAATAGTAGGCTGTAGATTTGTGGTGGCAGGGATGGCAATGGAATACTAACATTTATACCCTCTTAACTACTTTGTTTTAAAATGACTCTGGATTTCAGGTAGCTATACATGTGCTTAAACTATACATTGTGCATTTCTAATTTCTTGCTAAATCTCTGACTACAGTCTCAAAGGATAAGACTGCCTTACTTGTCCCCTTGGCCCTCCCTCCAATCTTCAAACACAGATATTTCTCTCAGGCAATTGACTGTCATTTCCTGAGCATACCCCTCATGAAGGCATTGGTCAATTCTCAGAAAAAATAAAATAAATAAATATGAAGAGGAAGAACTTCAGATTAATTCAATATTTTTTAAAATAATCTCCTCTCTTTGCTACACTTCCACTCCCAAACATGAACTCTTAAGTAAATAAAGAAAATATGATTCACTTTTCCAATAAACCATGAAATCTGTATTTCAACTGAGGCTGCTTCTTGGTCACATAGTATACTTGTAATTCCGAAGTAATTGTATTGCATTTTGAAAGAAAACAAGGCAGTCATGTTCCATCAACAGGAAGCCTTCTTGAGCATGTCTCCTGGTAGGCTAAAGGGATCTAAGTCATTCGCCGAGGGTGAATGGGAGAGTAAGTTCATATAAAACACCTACAAATCTTAATAAGGGGATGAGCTAAAACCACAAAACTCTTCATTCCTTTTCAAGTATCACTAATGCTTGTCACCAGTGGATTAACTAATAGTGTTCTACTTTAATGGCATTTCTGCTCTATCATTAACCTAAGCATGGTCCATAAAGTTACTAGAATATCCATAAATGAGCTTACTACAAGGTTATGTGATTTCTAGTTCTATCAGCTCAGTAAAAACAACATCAAATTCTTCATCCAGGTTGAGTTTTGTAGGACTGAGAGCTAGGAATTGGATAATAATATCAATGATTAAAATGATTTCAAAAAGAATTCAAATTTCTATTGTGTCAGTTTTCTGCTTCTTGCTTTTAAAAGATCATGATTCTGATCCTAATTTTCCATAGCAGGATATAGTTTCTAATGATATTCTACTATTTGTCTATATTCTACCTTCAGATGGAACCTAGATAGGTGGTGTTTTCAAATCACCACCCAGTCTATACTGGAACTTATACTGGTTTTGATAAGAAGTAGATGGAATATACTACCCACCCACCCCACAAAAAAAAAAAAGGCCTATTTAATCTAATCTTCTAGTGGAATTCCAGGATTTATGTCACTATTATAGAAAAACTCATTTTGGTTATAGCACCAACATAGCCAAATAAATGACTTCAAGATGCTAGAAGAAAGTATTTGGTCAAGATAAATAGATGTTCAAAAAGGCCTCCCCAGCATACTCATTTTGCTATATGGAAAATGAACTAACCAAGTTTAATGTACACCAAATGAGACTTGGAAGCACATTCTAATTCACTTTATTTTGTACCAGAAATGAGGCTGTTTTTTATTTTCCTGCTTCTTCCCTTAACCCCTAGGGTGTATTCTCAACAAAATGGCCAATGTGATCTTTTTGAAACATACATCAGATCACATCACTTCACTGCTCAGAACCCTCCCATGTCTTCCATTCTCTGAAAGACAGAAAGCCAGGGCCCTGGCAGTGGTCTACAGGCCCCACACCATCCGGCCTCTCCGATGTGGCCGTTCCTTCCCCTGGCACACTTTAACCCCACGGAATACACTGGTTCTCAAACACACTCAACATATTCACTCCTCAGGACCTTTACCATTAGCTGTCCCCACTGACTTCTTTCCAATGTCTGCAAGACCAATTCCCTCTCCTCCTTCAAATCTTTGCTCAACAGTCACCATCTCAGCAGGCCAACCCTGTATAACTCATTTAAAATGATATGTCACTGCTTCTTCCCACACTCCCAACACCCCTTGCCCTTTCCTCCATAGCAGCACTTATTGCCTTCTACCATTCTACATAGCTTACATGTTTATTACACTTATTATCCTTTTTCCTCTCTAGAATTTAAACTCCACAAAGATGTGAATTTTAATCCATTTTGTTCACTACTGTATAACCAGGACTTGGAACGATACAGGGTACATAGTAGGTGCTTAATAACATCAGATGGATGAATGAATGAATTCCAAATTTGCTGAACATCACAAAGATCTAGCCACACACAAAAATATTTAACTTAAACCCTTGATTTAAATTCTGCCATCCTCCATTTTCTCATCTGTAAAATGGAATAATTAGAGTGTCTAACACTTAGGACTGTTGTAAAGATTAAAAGAGAAAACAAATGGAAAACACATAAGATAGTGTCTTACATATTGATTCATTATTTTGATTCGTTTAGGAAAAGAATCAAGGATAATAAAAATAACACCTAAAATTTACATAGAATTTTACTCTGTATGAATTTATACAATTGTTTTCATTAGATCTTCCCAGGCTCCTTCTAGATCAATACCCCAGAAAAAAGAAATAACAGTATCCTCAGCGTCTGCACCTTGCAATGTCAGGGGATATATCCAAACACAAAGCTATGAAGGATGGGGGCAAGATTCAAACTGAAGTTCTATGATTCCAAGCCCTGTGCTTTCTCCTCAATATCAGAGAACGGAAATATTACCTCCAGCTTAAGGCTCTAACAGATTGAAAGGTCTCTGAAGTAGTGTTTTTTGTTTGTTTGGTTGGTTGGTTGGTTGTTTCTTTATTGAGACTGGATGTCTGCATAGACATGGCTGAGTCCAAGCAGCAGTCGGTCATCAGCATCCAGTAGTCCCTGCAAATCCCAGGAAGTTAGGACTCAAGCACTGGAAGACATTGTCTCACAACTGACCATTGATTCAGTCATGTATATGCTGCCTAGACTACTCTTATTATGTAATTTTTTCCCAACATGCTTCTAAACACCTCAAGGCCAAGATTGGATTTTGTCGGTCGGGGGCTCTACTCCTTATTCAGCCTTGTTTACATGGCTGTTTAGGAAATTCTTGATAAGTAAATGAATGAGTGAAAAAAAAAATGGGTGTATTTACTGGCTGTCTACAGCAGCTTGCAACACAACATTTTCTCCTTTCTTTTCTACTAAAGTAATTAGAGTACAAGCAGATGTCTACAGCAGCATGCCACCACCCCTCCCCATCCTCTACGATTGTGTTAATTGGGAAACTAGTTCCCCAGAATGTTGTGAACAGAAGAATTACACATTTAGAAAATGCTGAATTAAACAAATTTAAACAGGCTTTTTTACTACAGGACTTCTCAGGGCCTTTAATACACTGATGAACTGCAAATCTTCAAAATTTAGATAGGATCTGCAGCATTTTGCAAAGTTATTGAATTATGCTTTCCCCTCTACCCCACTCAAAAAAAAAGCTTTTTGCATGGAGCTTCTTTCTCTCAAGTCAAGTTTTCCAGGGAACTTGCTTATCTATAACAAAAACACTGAGGGTCTTCAAAAGCAAAATATACAAAAAATTAAAATAAAACACTAGGAACATAAAGAAAGCAAGGAGAGTTTAATTTTTTTGAAAGCTATATGCCTTGCAGAGTAATTTTACCTAGATTCAGTATTTACTTTCTATTAGGCCTAATACTGGGTTTGCATAAAACTACAGATCCTTGAGCAAGCATTATTTTGGTCAATGTGCTAAAAAACTGATATTTATTTCACTGTATTTTTGGTGTATATATATACATATATATATTTTTTTAAGTTGTGGGATACGTGTGCAAAATGTGCAGGTTTGTTACATAGGTATACATGTGCCATGGTGGTTTGCTGCACCCATCAACCTGTCATCTACATTAGGTATTTCTCCTAATGCGATCCCTCCTCCCCTAGCCCCCCACCCCCTGACAGGCCCCGATATGTGATGGTACCCTCCCTGTGTCCATGTGTTCTTATTGTTCAACTCCCACTTATGAGAACATGTGGTGTTTGGTTTTCTGTTCCTGTGTTAGTTTGCTGAGAATGATGATTTCCAGCTTCATCCATGTCCCTGCAAAGGACGTGAACTCATCCTTTTTTATGGCTGCATAGTATTCCATGGTGTGTATGTGCCATATTTTCTTTAGCAAGTCTATCATTGATGGGCCTTTGGGTTGGTTCCAAGTCTTTGCTATTGTGAATAATGCTACAATAAACATACACGTGCATGTGTCTTTATATTAGAATGATTTATAATCCTTTGGGTATATTCCTAGTAATGGGACTGCTGGGTCAAATAGTATTTCTGATTCTAGATCCTTGAGGAATTGCCACACTGTCTTCCACAATGGGTGAACTCATTTACACTCCCACCAACAGTGTAAAAGCGTTCCTATTTCTCCACATCCTCTCCAGCATCTGTTGTTTTCTGACTTTTTAATGACTGCCATTCTAACTGGCATGGGATGGTATCTCGTTGTGGTTTTCATTTGCATTTCTCTAATGACCAGTGATGATGAGCTTTTTTTCATGTGTTTTGTTTGTTTTTTAAAGAAGGCACTGGTTTGGCACCTTACACAATTGCACGGACTTTAACTAGAAAGCCAAAGCCCTTCATTGGCAAATTAGTTAAACTGCTGCTGGGAAGGGAAGCAAAGAGTGCTCTTGCCTCACTGGTCTTAGCACAGGGTCTATAACGTCCCCCTTGGGTCCATGTAAATGAAAACCTACTATCAAAAGGCAAATGTTATCCAAAGACCTTATCAGCCAATAGCATCTTACTTAATTTCATTTGCCTGTTAAATAAAGGTCAACTAGTACTGAGGGCAGAGGCCACAAAACTTAGACATTTTGATGATGCCAAGAAGAGAAGTATGGCTTGGGAGTAAGGTATGCCAGGGAAAGACAGCTGTAATTGGGCATCCTGAAGCAGGTAACAGGACAGTTATATCAGGAAAGAGGGTGCAGTATAACGGGGATGAAGGAAGACTGAATTCCACTGTGTCCACTTTATATGCTAGCCTCATGGTGGCATGATGACAGATCTTGACTATTAGAGTTTCCACAGGAAATAGTAAGCAGAAATTCAAAAGACCTAAACCTAATTGTGTAGATGTTGCTGGCTAAAGATCCAAAGATACACAAGGAAGTAAATAATGTCTTAGGACACTGGATTTAGCAAATATGAGAAGTTACTGATGATGAAAGGTCCCCAGAGCATGAGATAGGCATTCAAAGTCAAAATAAAACAAAACAAGCCTTTTATCTCATTCATCCAGGAGTATCCCATTTCTTCTTTTGTTTTACTCCACCCCATTTTCATCCTTAACCTCAGCCCCAAATGAAGAAAGGATAGAAATTAGCCTGATAGTCTGTGTTGCTGTGACAGATTTTTGTATGTATGTTCACATATACCCCAATCATCAGTTTTGCACTAGCTCCTAACTTTTATTTTTCAGACTACAAAAATATGCAAACTATTTGAAGGCTATACAAATCCCCTCCTCTCTTCCCGAACATATAGTTTAGGAATTGTTGATGAAATTACTTGACTCTAAGATTTAGCCTCCTTATGGAGACTCCTCTGAATTTTAAATCCAAAATTCCACACCCAGAGCCCAAGTCCTTTATGTTCTTCACATTCCCACTGTGCTGCTTCTGTGAATGTTCTGTGGAGGCCTTATCTTCAGGCAATGCCCATTAAGCACAGCCCTCGGATGCAAAGGCATTCTATTCTCTTAGGGCATCTCAATTTGGAATATGCTAAAGGGAAGATTTTTAAACAGGTTAATACTGAACCCTGAACGAGTCTCTGTGCCGCTGAAAGAGGATTCACTGACTCCAGATGAGCAGAGCTCACCACAGACCAACAGGGTGAGTCCTCCCCCCACTCAGTCTCGCCCACAGCTCCCTTCTCAAAGCTGCTGAAATCTGCTCTTCCTTTGTCTTCTTAAGAAGATCTAGTTTTCCCTGGATCTTTTCCAGGATAAAACCCACTCATTTCCTTGACTCACAATGTCCTCTGGAAAACTAAGTAATGAAAGCAGATGCTCTAACTCAGACACATATTTTCTCACTCAAATGTTCATCCCAGCTTCCCACCCAAAACTAAAGCACAATCTATTAGAAAAGTCACCATCTCTAAAGCCCACAGAAAAATTGGTCGGGCTGTTCTTGTGAGTTTCATAACTGTAACTTTCAATTAATCCAACATTTGTTTTATATTTTCTCTGTTTTGACTCTTATAGGACATCCTCAGCAAAACAGATATACTTTTCTTTCTGAGTATTCTAATACTCTTTTTGGTATTCTAGCATTAAAACTTTAAACTTTTTCTTGGAGGGGAGAGAAACCTGCTACGTAGATTTTACTTTCTTTGGCCAGTCACAAATAAACTAATGTATTTTTAGCTAGATACTCAAATGACATCCATAAAGTCAAAATCTGAACAATTATCTCTGTGTATTCCTAATCTTTCTTCCTCCCCCAGGATGGGGGATTGGGTGTAGGAGATCCATAAGTGGCAAGCCATTTCTTTTTTTTTTTTTTTTTGAGACGGAGTCTTGCTCTGTTGCCCAGGTTGGAGTGCAGTGGTGCAATCTAGGCTCACTGCAAACTCCGTCTCCTGGGTTCATGCAATTCTCCTGCCTCAGCCTCCTAAGTAGCTGGGATTAGAGGCGCCCGCCACCACGCCCAGCTAATTTTTTTGTATTTTTAGTAGAAATGGGGTTTCACCATATTAGCCAGGATGGTCTCGATCTCCTGACCTCGTGGTCCGCCCACCTCAGCCTCCCAAAGTGCTGGGATTACAGGCGTGAGCCACCGCGCTGGGCTGGCAAGTCATTTCTAATTGTTTCCATAAACCAACAGGCTGAACACATTGAATGTGACCCCTCTTATAATTGTATCATCTGTGGCAGACCAAAAGTTTTCTATGTTTAAGAATCCAAAAGGCAGACTGTTACAATAACCTTGTGTGTCTTATTGAATGGCTGATTCCAATTAATAAATAAATAGAATTAATTAATTTAAAAGACTCACATCCAGTATTTCATGTGACTGCTGTTTATCCTCCGTGGCATATATAAACTTTTTTTTAGAAATTGCGGGAAGTGTCAAGACCCTTACTTGTTACAATTTAATTTTGTGCTGCTAAGGCAATTACAGTTCAATGAATGATGATTCAAACACATCGAAGTTTTCATTACTCTTTGCTTAATTTGTCAGTTAATGCCTTTGAGTTCTACGGTTTCCCCGGCTGTCTTAATTGCCATTAAAAACCTGTCAAGAAAACACAACCTTCTGATTCCAGCCGGGTTTAAAGAGTATATATCCTTTCATTGTTAAGAAAGTTAAAACTTATTCCCCAACCAAAATATTCGTACTCCACAGTTAGGAAAGGTTGCAATAATTTTGGATTAGTGTTTTCTAATGCAACAGCACTGTAATAAATACCAGAAATAAGAGTTCATGCTTAAGATACTATATATCATAAGAATGTTACATTCTATCAATGTTTCTTCGTAGTTTATGGTTACCTGATAAATGTTGGACTTTTAGATTCCTCTCCATGTCCCAAACATCTATTACACTTACACATTTTATACTTCTCTAATATTTTTGCAATACATTTTCCTGAATCATCTGATGACATTTAATAGAATGTTTAAAACACAATATAAAACCTTAAATGCTTTTGCTTATTCCGGACGAAAAATGTGCACATAGATTGGATTTCAAATTAAAACCTACGATGGTGTACTCAACATTTTTGCTTCTGCTGTACATACTAAAATATAACTAAATGCTTCTTATGCAATACTGCAGCATCAGTACAAATAACAAGTTCTTGTACTTACAAGCAAGCTAGATGATTAGGAGCTATTAATGAAGGGAAACAAAACCACAGTGCTGGGATGTAATAGTCCATGAAATTCTTATTGGTAGAAAGGGAATCTGCAGTAAATAAATATTAACCTAAGTGCTATAGAAAACATAAAGCAAACAGGGAAAAATGTGTTCTTTAAGCTAAAATATAGGTTAAATATTGCTGACAATGTAAGGAAAGTCCATTTGCATACCACAGGGCTCCATCTGCTGTGGAAAACATAAGCTGCAAGAATGATTTAATATTTAATAGAAGTAGTAGCCGTTGTTAATTATAATTTGCACATTTACAAATCAGCACTGATAGCAATACAAATTATGAAATATAAGGGTGTTCTGCTGGATACTAGGGAAAATAAGATGACAGACAAAGTTAATGGAGTATCCCTAACCACAGCTCTGTCAGAACACATCAGAGAACTAATCCAGTTACAAAGAGCCTGCAATGGAAAATCTATTTAAAATATTAAAATGCTGTTTGGTAAAAGCTTTTTCATAGTGCATTTTACTTAAACAGTTGCTTATTGCTCATGGGTCATTAGCTGTACACCCAGATGCATTCTGCAAACTGCCATTTAAAAGAATAGTAGAAATTAAATAAGAAATATATTTCTGCAGCATTTTTTCCTTGATATATAGTAAGAGTTTGCTGAATATCTAGGCTGGATATGAAAAAAAAAGTGTGTGATTACACAATAAGTGGAAAGCTGTGGAATTAAGCACTATACTTTGCCTACATTGAGCCATAAAACTCAACACAACTTTTCCCTCTAGACCTGATTTTATTCCCATTTATACTTACATGCTAATAGTGATGATACAAATCGACTCTTATTTAGTAAGACAGAAATTACCATTGATTTTCTCATTAATCTTCTATTTCACCTCATTTCTCTCATCATCATATAATATGGATTAGTGGTGGAAACATTTTATGCACAATGTTTTAATAGTAACTTTTGTTCTCTAAATCATGAAAACTGCTAATTTTAGCCTCTAGAATCACTAATTTTCAAAACTGATCTTTTATTCAAACTTCCTCAATTTACTGTGATTAGCAAATCCTTGCTCCATGACCATTTATTTTTAATATATGCTAAAGATGTTTCTGCACCTTAAAAAAAAATGTAGAACAAAGGCCATACCAAGCATGCAGTTTAAAATACATTAGCCTAAGCAAGTCAAATTGTTATAGATCACATTTAAATGTAAAATTGGATGTTGTCAAGGAACATCAGGAAAGAGCACATATTCAAGTCTATGTGTAAAGTATACTATCAAGGTATTTGTTGAGTTTAGGCAGACGTGAAAACTGGCAGTCTCTGGGTCAAGTACTTTCAGGAGATGTTTTTGTGGCTATCTTCATTTTTACATTTGAATTTGAATCTTTTAGACAGTTGCCCACTTGTTGTTATTGTCTTATTCTTAGCAACTTCATGCCTTTATGTTACCTACCTAACCCCTGTTAAGTATTATCCCTGGCTTAAAGAATTATTTTACGTATCTATTAATATGCTACTTTATCTGTTTTTAGATATATTTTCCTTCAGCCAACACATTCGGCACATATATTCATGCTTACAATCCAGTAAATGATCCATGAGATATGAATTTCATTAATTTTGGACCTCAAATGGGCTATAATATTAGTCAAAAGGAGTTAAAAGCATCTGTGTACTAGCAATGGAAGCCTATCAGGAAAGTGTCTGTCTTCACCAGGACTCTAGGTTTAAACAACCAAAAAAAAGTCCAGGACCAGACGAATTCACAGCCGAATTTGAACAAAGGTACAAAGAGGAGCTGGCACCATTCCTTCTGAAACTACTCCAAAAAACAGAAAAAGAAGGAATCCTCCCTAACTCATTTTAAGAGGCTGCCATCATCCTAATACCATAACCTAGCAGAGACACAATACAAAAAGAAAATTTCAGGCCAATATCCCTGATGAACGTTAATGTAAAACTCCTCAGTAAAATACTGGCAAACCGAATCCAGCAGCATATCAAAAAGCTTATACACCACGATCAAGTTGGCTTCATCCCCGGAATGCAAGGCTGGTTCAACACATGCAAATCAATAAACATAATCCATCACATAAACAGAACCAATGACAAAAACCACATGATTACCTTAATAGATATAGAAAAGGCCTTTGACAAAATTCAACAGCCCTTCATGCTAAAAACTCACAATAAACTAAGTATTGATGGAACATATCTCAAAATAATAAGAGCTATTCATGACAAACCCACAGCCAATATCATACTGAATGGCAAAAACTGGAAACATTCTCTTTGAAAACCGGCACAAGACAAGGATGCCCTCTCCCACCACTCCTATTCAATATAGTATTGGAAGTTCTGGCCAGGGCAATCAGGCAAGAGAAAGAAATAAAGGGTATTCAATTAGGAAAAGAAGAAGTCAAATTATCTCTCTTTACAGATGACATAAATTGTATATTTAGAAAACCCCATCGTCTGGCTGGGCATGGTGGCTCACGCCTGTAATCCCAGTACTCTGGGAGGCCGAGGCAGGCATATCTCAAGGTCAGGAGATCAAGACCATCCTGCTAACAAGGTGAAACCCTGTCTCTACTAAAAAAACATACAAAAAAAAAAAATTAGCCAGGTGTGGTGGCGGGTGCTTGTAGCCCCAGCTACTCAGGAGGCTGAGGGAGGAGAATGGTGTGAACCCAGAAGAATGGAGCTTGCAGTGAGCCAAGATCACGCCACTGCACTCCAGCCTGGGCGACAGAGTGAGGATCCGTCTCAAAAAAAAAAAAAAAAAAAAAAGAGAAAAGAAAAGAAAAAAAAGAAAACCCCATTGTCTCAGCCCAAAATCTCCTTAAGCTGATAAGTAACCTCGGCAAAGTCTCAGGATACAAAATCAATATGCAAAAATCACAAGCATTCCTATATACAGATAACAGACAAACAGAGAGCCAAATCATGAGTGAATTCCCATTCATAATTGCTACAAAGAGAATAAAATACCTGGGAATCCAACTTACAAGGCATGTGAAGGACCTCTTCAAGGAGAACTACAAACCACTGCTCAATGAAATAAGAGAGGACACAAATGGAAAAACATTCCATGCCCATGGATAGGAAGAATCAATATCGTGAAAATGGCCATACCGCCCAAAGTAATTTATAGATTGAATGCTATCCCCATCAAGCTACCATTGACTTTCTTCACATAATTGGAAAAAAAAACACTTTAAATTTCATATGGAACCAAAAAAGAGCCCACATAGCCAAGACAATCCTAAGCAAAAAGAACAAAGCTGGAGGCATCACGCTACCTGACTTCAAGCTATACTACAAGGCTACAGTAACCAAAACAGCATGGTACTGGTACCAAAACAGATATATAGACCAATGGAACAGAACAGAGGCTTCAGAAATAACAACACATATCTACAATCATCTGATCATTGACAAACCTGACAAAAACAAGCAATGGGGAATGGATTCCCTATTTAATAAATGGTGTTGGAAAAACTGGCTAGCCATATGCAAAAAGCTGAAACTGGATCCCTTCCTTACATCTTATACAAAAATTAGCTCAAGATGTATTAAAGACTTAAACCTAAGATCTAAAACCATAAAAAACCTAGAAGAAAACCTAGGCAATATTATTCAGGATATAGGCATGGGCAAAGACTTCATGTCTAAAACACCAAAAGCAATGGCAACCAAAGCCAAAATTGACAAATGGGATCTAATTAAACTAAAGAGCTTCTGCACAGCAAAAGAAACTATCAGCAGAGTGAAGAGGCAACCTACAGAATGGGAGAAAATTTTTGAAATCTATCCATCTGACAAAGAACTAATAACCAGAATCTGCAAAGAACTTAAATAAATTTACAAGAAAAAAACAAACAACCCCATCAAAAAGTGGGCAATGGATATGAACAGACACTTCTCAAAAGAAGACATTTATGCAGCCAACAAATATGAAAAAAAACTCATCATCACTGGCCATTAGAAAATGCAAATCAAAACCACAATGAGATACCATCTCACGCCAATTAGAATGGCGATCATTAAAAAGTCAGGAAACAACAGATGCTGGAGAGGATGTGGAGAAATAGGAACACTTTTACACTGTTGGTGGGAATGTAAGTTAGTGCAAACATTGTGGAAAACAGTGTGGCAATTCCTCAAAGATCTAGAACCAGAAATACCATTTGACCCAGCAATCCCATTACTGAGTATATACCCAAAGGATTATAAATCATTCTACTATAAAGACACATGCACACACATGTTTATTGTGGCACTGTTCACAATAGCAAAGACTTGAAACCAACCCAAATGCCCATCAATGATAGACTGGATAAAGAAAATGTGGCACATATACACCATGGAATACTATGCAACCATAAAAAAGGATGAGTTCACGTCCTTTGCAGGCACATGGATGAAGCTGGAAACCATCATTCTCACCAAACTATCACAAGAACAGAAAACCAAATACTGCATGTTCTCACTCATAAGTGGGAGTTGAACAATGAGAACACGTGGACATGGAGTGGGGGAGCATCACACAGTGGGCCCTATCAGGGGGTAGGAGACTCGGGGAGGGATAGCATTAGGAGAGATACATAATGTAGATGATGGGTTGATGGGTGCAGCAAACCACCATGGCACGTGTATACCTATGTAACAAACCGGCATGTTCTGCACATGTACCCCAGAACTTAAAGTATAATTAACAACAACAACAAAAAAAACAGTTTCATCGTTTCTCCTGAGAATTAGCCTATAGACCTGCTGTCACTCAGGTCACAATTTCAGATATATATTCTTCCTGTGGCCAGAGAAACCTGAAGCTGACATATTATATTACAGTGGTACCAACTTCTATTCAACAGTACCCACCAGGAGCAAGTACAAGTTCTTTCTGCAGGAAGGTACCCCCAAGTTAGGCCCCCAAGATTCTCAAAGAAGTTCAACAAAGTATGAGCTCATAATACAATAAAATTACTATGCACATGAAGAAAGACTCCACAGTGTATGTGAAGAAAAACTCCACAAGTTTAAACCCCTAAGCCTGTGGAGTTCTAAAAATATTAAATAAAATAAAATAATTATGAATAAAATATTTTAAAAAGAAAAAAAATCAAGATACATGAGCAATGACCAAGAGACTATCAAATATGACCAGTTAGATTTGGAAAATAAATGTTTTGAAATAATACACACACACACACACACACACACACACACCCTGAATTTTTAAAAATTAGTGGAAGGGAATTCTGTTTACAATAATGGTAGACTAGATATTTCAGATCAACCCTTAAAGCAACTAATACATGTGGGCAAATGTTTTAAATAATATGTTTCAATTCATTGAAAATATAAAATGAAGTCAAAATTCAGAAAATGATAAACACCCAGAGAAATCACCCTACATTTGAGCCTACTTTCCCCTATGGGCCTCTACTGTTTTTAAAACAAAGGCTGAGCAGAGCAGCTTCGCAGACTCATGATAGATGGAGAGAAACTCAAGTTCAGAGCCTGCCAAGCAAGAGGGACTGGCAAATCTCCTAAACTTTCAAATAAAGATGAACAAAACAAAAATAGCCTCAAATGAACTAAATCCTTATTTAAACTAAAGGAAACCTTGATTGCTAGTGCCCTTAGCCACCTGTCAAAAATAAAAATAAATTTTCTTTGGTGGAAGTTAACACATACTCTAAGTCTCAAATTACCTTTACTTTTTTAACACAGTGATTAGTAGTTAGAAATATAAGCAAGCAATATAATGTAATCAAAACCCAAGAGAAATAATAGAACATAGAAACAGATCCACAGGGAATTTAGATAATACAGTTATCAGCTAAGAACTCAAAAATATGCTTAATATTTTCAAAAATATAAAAAACAAGATTGGCAATTTTGACAGCTTCAAACTATAAAAACTGGAAATTCTGGAACACATAAATATACTAACTGCACTTAAGAACTCAATGGCTGGGATTAACTACAAAATACACAGAACTAAAGGGACCATTGATGACTTAGAATATAAACATATACCCAAGATACATGAGAAGATATATCAATATGTCAATAGAAATGTTGTCAATAGGCAACATAATGTCAATAGGCAAAAATATGTCAATAGAACATATCCCAGATAAAGCTGACAGCAAAAAGAATAGGATGAAAAAAAAATAAGAGTATAAGAAAAATAGATAATACAATTAAAATTTTTAGTCTACACATAAAGTCCAAGAAGAGATAAGAATGAGAAAGAAGCAGAAAAGATGCTTTTCTTTTTGCATTTTGAAAAAAAAATTCAAGCAAGATAAATATTAAGGACATCACATCTAGGCATACCAAAGGTCCTATAGCCAGCTAGAGGAAAAATATATACTAATCTTCAAAGGACATAAATGAGCAGAGCAGCTGATGGCTGACTTTCTCACAGAACAAGTCAAATCTAGAAGACAATGAAATAATTTTCAAAATGCCAAAAGAAAATAACCAGTGTTATAAAATTTTAAACTCAAGGAAAAGAGTCCTCAAAAATAAAAACTAAAAAAAAATGTTCAGACAAGAAAAAAATTAACTCAAATCTGAACTAAATGCAATATGAAAGGTATTCTTCAGGCAGAAAAAAATATTCCAGATGGAATTGAAATATATTTTTAAATGCTTATGTAAGTTGAGAAAATACCATGTTCATGGATCAGATAGCTTAATATACTTAAGATAGCAGTTCTCCTCAAAATTAATCTTAGACAATAAAACTTCACTTAAAATTTAAATAAATATTTTTAAAATTTAGCAAGTTAACTCTAAAATGTATGTGATTAAAGTGCTAAGAACAGCCAAGAAGACACTTTCAAGGGGAGGGGATTTGTTCAACGAAACACCACAAGCAAGTGAAAACGAATAAATAACAGATATGTCAGTGAATCTTAGGATTCTAATTTTGAAAGAACGAAAAGCAAGTTGTGAAAGGCTAACTAGAGTATTATGCTATTTTTTATAAAGTTCAAAAACTTGCAGAGTTAGACAACACATTGAAGATGATTGATACACAGATAGATGTGCTTTACATATACAACCCTATATGTATTTCATATGTATGTATATATGTATATCATATAGGTATATAATATAAAGAAAAACAAAGTAATGATGAATATCAAATTCAGAGTTTTGTTTACACCTAACCAGAAGGAAAAAGAATTCACTCAAGAGAGACAAAGACAACTTCCATACTATTCAACCACTTTATGCAATGAGTTATTTTTATAGGTTATGATATACATAAATATGTCACATTATTTTGTATATCAAATATCATATAATAATATTATTTAAGAATTATTGGTAGGAAAAGAAGAAGAAATGCAACCATATAGTAACTCAGTTTAAAGAAATGTCAAAAATAAAAAAGTAAAAGCTTAAATTTTTTTTTGCTAACTTGGTTGCCAAACTTCTTCAAATAATTGCATGATTTTCCTCACTGCATTGAATTGATTGATCAAGTTTCTAGAAGTAACAGTATTGTTATGGATTGAATTTTGTCCTCCCCCCAACATCCCCAAAAAGGTATGTTGAAGTTCTAACCCCCAATACATCGAAATGTGACTTTATTTGGAAACAGGGTTCATATAGAAGTAATCAAATTTTGTTTTTTGTTCTTTTTGTTGTTGTTGGGTTTTGCTTGTTGGTTTTTGGAGACAGGGTCTCCTTCTGTCACCCAGGCTAGAGTGTAGTGGTGCCATCTGGACTTACTGAAACCTCTGCCTCCCGGGCTCAAGCGATCCTTCTGCCTCAGCCTCCCTAGTAGTTGGGACTACAAGTGTGCATCACTGCACTTGGAAATTTTTGTTTTTTAATTTTTTTGTAGAGATGGGGTCTTGGCATGTTGCTCAGGCTTGTCTTGAACTCCTGGGACTCAAGCGATCCACCCACCTCGCCTCCCAAAGTGCTGGGATTACAGGCATGAGTCACTGTGACTACCCAGAAGTAATCAAATTAAAATGAAGTTATTAGGGTGGGCATTAATCCAATACAACTGGTGTTGTATTGGAAAGGGGAAATTTGGACACAAGACAGAAGCACACTGAGGGAAGACAACATAAAGAGACACAGGGAGAAGACACCCATTTGTAAGACAAAGAATGCCTGAAGTTACAGGAACCTGGGAGAGAGGCCTCAAACATATCTTTTTCCTAGAGGTTTCAGAGGAAGCACAAGCTTGTAAACACCTTGATTTTGGACTTTCAGCCTCCAGAACTGCAGACAATAAATTTCTGTTCTTTTAAGCCATACAGTTTGTAGTAATTTGCTATAGCAGCTGTAGCAAACTAATGCAATCTTGATGTTTTTGAAATAATAATGCTTTAATCCCAGTAATTTCCAAGTGCAATTTTATAATAATGTATATGACAAAATTAGCAAATTATTTTCAAGCAACTTAAAATCAACTTTAAATCATTTGAAATATGACATGGTCACTAGATTACAGATAGTAACATGAAGTGAGCAACAGGAATGTACAGAATTTTTTTGAAAGTTGAGATCACTGGTGTAGAATCAGCTGAAGTTTTGAAAAATATAATGTGTTTTAACAAAAGGGCCAGCCTCAAAGGTTGCCAATTTGGTGTTTATTGTCATTGTAATGACTGCATCCAATCCCTGGGATTCTGTTGGTGGTCTTCCAGCAGATGCTATTCTGGATGATTCAGTGCTAATGTGGTAATTTAGAATAAATCTGTGTGCCAAGTAATAAATTATAAGAACTATATCATTTGAAATTCAACTTTATTTAACCAATGGTAAACAAGTTTGCTTAGATTTTTTCCTTGGATTTATAAAAACAACTGTTTGTAGCATGTAGGGCAGTTAAGAACACATTTAATTTTGTCTGTTAAATGAAATTTAATAATTTAAGTTTCTTTGTAGACTGCAAAAATGAGTTACAAATTTTTAAAATGTGTTATTATTATAATAACTATAAAATTATCAGAGAAGCTCACAAAGTGAGACTCCCTCCAAAAAAGAATCAGCCTGATGTTTAGGGCAATGTTAATGAATGAATCATATCAACTACTTTGTTTCTTAGATTCACTGTCTGAAAATATAGTATAAAAGCAATTCCTCCCCCCAAAAAAACTTCAAGTCTTTTGAAAACTGATACACTTGGTGATTCTGCATGCATGTGGCCTCAGTTTTTTCATCTGGTAAGTAGAGATATAACTTCATTGCTTTCCCATGGTTATTATGAAGACAAATTAATAACTCTTAAAAATACTTGGCAAATATAAAGTGACCCATGTATGTTCAACATTAGTATTTGTGGAATAAAATGCCTAACCTGAGGCCTAACAACTAGGTATTTTTTATCCTTTCCACACTAGGGAATAGGACAACTTTCAGAAGGGTGTATGGAATATATTACTGGTTCCCATTTCACTTTGGTATGAAAATGAAATAAATCCATTCTTGACTTAAATTAATTCAAAACAACTTCCAAAATCTCTACCAAAATTGCCCTGTGTTCTTAGACTAATTTACAATCATTATAATACATTAATAATATTTAATATTTCCCCCCCCACCTTCCCCATAATTTTATTATTACTTTAACCAGTATTTTATGCAACTTCCTCTACTAAGAAAAGATACAAGAAGTAAGGCTGTATTTGGACTCAGTATTGAAAGCAAGCTTATAGATCATCTCATTTAACTCACCATCCTTACGGGATTTCATTTAGTGACATCTCAGACAAGTGGCCATCTGTGTAGACTTTGAACACTCTCAGTAAAAAGGCCTTTATTGTAGAGATGATGGAAACTTCCTGAATTGTTTATAGAATAACCAATTAAAAATTCTTTCTCTGATTTTGGGTCCAAATTTGCCTCACCAGGATTTGTGCCTATTGATGCTGTTCTGCCCTCTGGACCAAAAAAGAACAAATCTATTTACTCTTTTGTGATCTTTCAAAATTTCAAAATTGTTCAGATTTTTCTCACAGTCATCTCTTGTCTAGCTCTGATGCAGCACAGTTTCTGCAACATCGTCAGTGGTATTCTCAGAGCAAGCTCTAGCTTGTAGACGACCCTCTACACATAAGGTACACAGAACCGAATATTCCATTCAACTTCACAGGTGGTTAGGCAAGACTGTTTTCAGGAAGTGTTGCCCCTGTGATCTCTTTGCACTGATGTACAATAAAACATTTGATTAGCTTTTTAGCAGCAATGTCACCGACAGTTACACAGATCTCATGGGCAACTACAACTCTCCAAGAACTTTCCAGTGATCTCCAGCCAAGGCCAGTTGCTCCAATGCCATCATAGTTTGTTTTGTGAACCTACATTCGTTTTGTTTTGACAGTTTTGACTCAGAAGTTATATATTTCCATGTTCATGTTTACTTTGATGTAGCATGCTATCTAATAAAACTCTGTTTTACTGACTATAACTTTGATAAGCCAGCTTTGCATTACTTAGTCCTGCCATCCAGGGCCCTACCACCTGTTCCTAGAAAATTTTATTCACCTTGACACAGTTCCAGTTTGCTCATAATTACAAAAGCCAACTTTGAGTCCATCTAACTGTACAACTTCCAGCCCACATTTTTCGACTTCTCCACATATACTGATTTTTATGTGCTAATTTCCTAAAATGAAGATTCCCCATACTTATGAGAGCTCTTAAACCTATTACTACTAATAATAATCATTCTCTAAATGAGTACTAGCTTAGCATTTTTTTTTTTTTGAGACCAGGTCTCACTCTGTCACCCAAGCTGGTGTGTAGTGGCATGATCTCAGCTAACTGGCTAACTTCAGCCTCCACCTCCGTGGCTCAAGCAATCCTCCCACCTCAGCCTCCTGAGTAGCTGGGATTATAGGCGCATGCCACCACACTGGGCGAATTTTTTGTATTTTTGGTGGAGACACAGTTTTGCCATGTTGCCCAGGCTAGTCTCTAACTCCTGCACTCAAGTGATCTGCATGCCTCGGCCTCCCAAAATGCTGGGAATACCCACATGAGGCACCATGCCCTGCTAGTACTAGCTTCTTTAAGAGGCCTACTCTGTTACATCTAGGCTTAAGTTCTGTATCATATAATTTGTCACTTAATTATTGATTGTTGTGTGATCAGAGACCTTTATATTTTATTTATCTTTTCATTCTGGATGCCTTTGCAGTACTTATACTAAATTTTATTTAATTGAGGAGGAAAGGAAGGCAGGAAGGAAGGAACAAGGAAAGGAAGAAGGGAGAAAAGGAGAAAGGGAGGGAGGAAGGGAAGGGATGAAAGTCATCTTTTCATTTAGGTTGTAAGCACTGAAAAGTAAGAAACCACCCACTATACATTGTCTCTTGGCCTTTCAAAATTTTTAAAACTCATCTCAGAACTCATCTCAATATTAAATCCACAGTCAGAAATCTACATCTCACATAATGACTAAGAGCAAACCTGTGGAGACCATTGAGGATGGAGCTAATATCATCTATGGACCAATATAAGTGAATACAAGAAGATAATAAGAAAAAGTTGAATGAATTAAAGTATTATAGCAGTTTGTTAGCAGATGAACAAACCTACAAGGCAGTGAAATAGCTCTCCAGGTATCCTGTAAGAGTTTTGACAAAATCGAGAGCATATTGAATCAATCTTTAAGATACTCAGCTGCTGACACACAGGAAAAGGAAAGGTTGCTCATGAAGATTGATTAGCTAGCAGGCTCCATACCTGGTGAATGAAAAGAGGTATTAATGAGCCCAAAGTAGAAGGAAACCTCTGTCCTGGAGTTAAGGTTGGGGAGAAAGGTCAATGAAGGAAATGAGGTGAACCAAGAGGGCCAATCAATTGCAGGTCACAGTGGATCAATTACAGCCCATCTATGACTTCCAACCAGAAACTCAGAGTCAGCACTATCTCCCTTTTTTCCCTCACTCTCTTATGAGTCCCAAGACCCATCAATTCTAATCCTGAAATCAGTTCTTATCTACCTATTCATACTGTCCCAGCTTTAATTTAGGCTTTTGTCATATCTTGGCTGGAAATTTTCAATGATTTTTCAACTATAATCTTCATGCCTTTAGACTCACTCCCTTACCCTAACTATTGCAAGAATTTCTTTTAAACCACAAACCTGGTCACATTCATGGATAAAAATCCTTTGATGGCTCCTCAGTTACCTACTAGATAAAGTTCTTTGCATGGTATTCAAGGCCCTTCATTATCAGACCTCAACATATTTCTCCAACCTCACCTTCTACCAGACCACCTCCAATGCACACTATATTTTGGTCATCACAAGTGACTTCCTCAACTTCTATATCTTTTATCTTTGCTTAAGTTGTTCCCTCTGCCTGGTAAGCCCTTTCTTTCTATCTCTTCTTCATATACTTCTATTATCATTTAGGACCAAGCTGAAATGTCAAATCCTTTTCCAAGATTTTCCCACTTCCTCAACCCCTCTTTAAAGCATAAATATTTCCTCCTTTTCTGAACTTCACAGTACATTTTCATGCATCTTTTTCACCTTTTCAGTTGTGTATGTCTTTATCTTCATATGCCCATAGGTTCTCAATAAATGCTGAATGAATGATTGATCCAGAAAATAGATGGAGTAGTGAGAAGTAGTGAGAATATGACAACAAAGGAGAGATGATATGTACCCTCTCAGCTATTACTTTGAGTTACACTTACAGTGAGTCCTACAAAACAATGCAACATATAATCAAGATATATATGTTAATAAAATATATATGTTAAAAATATATTTTTATATTTATTTTATAAATATAATCAATTATAAAAATATAATTTAAAATATATTTTATGACTTTTCATTCATAATCTTTACCAACCAAAACATTTAAATACGTCTCCATTCAAAAATATCTGTGCTATGCATTATTGTAGGCCCTGGGATTTCACTGGAGAATATTACAGTTAAGGTACTCTTATAAAATTTACATTGTAGTGGTAGTAATGGATTACATAAAATAGTAAACAGATAACCTTAGATTGTGATACATGCTAAACAGAAACGATAATGTGATAGCAAGGCTGGGCAGGAGCATTGTTAGGAAAGAGCTCTCCAAAGAGTTGGTATCTGAACTGAAACCTAACTGATGAGAAGGAGCCAAAGAGTTGGTATCTGAACTTAAACCTAAATGATGAGAAGATACACCTAAAGAGCATTTAGGCTAAAGGAACAGCAAGTACAAAGTCTCTGAGGAGGCAATGACCTTGTGTTTAGAGGTGAGAAGATCGCTGTGGTTGGTGCTCAGTAGAAAGGGGAGCAGGAGACATTATTCAGAGATGAGGCTGGGAAGCAGGCAGTGACCATACCATGCAGGACTACATAGGGCATGAGGAGAATACTGCATTTTATTTTTGTTATGATGGGATACCTAAGAGGTTCCATTGTAGGTCATTAAATTTATGACTAACCAAACTATAACAAATATCTCTTTAGCATGTTCTCTGATTATACCTTATTATACTTTAATTCAAACACCCATTATACCTTGCCTGGACTACTGATCTCTACACTGGTTTCTCTAACACCAGGGCAATCCCTACATGAGCTTATATTATTGTCAGATTTTCTTTAAATAAAACAAATGTGATCAAATTATACACTAGTTACAAATCTGTGAACTGTCCAAATGTTTACCCAATTTGCAATCTTTTGTTTTTATCTGCTACTTGACATGTTGGATGTTATTCAAGGGCTAAGTACATTCCCCTGGGTGTCAGCTGACTTTGATGACATCACAAAAAAAATGTTAAATAATGTGACAGAGAGAGAGCATTTTTAAGCTTTAAGCTTTACATAGTAACATCAAACATTATAGCTAAGTATTTATTTTTAAAAGGACAATGGCCTACAGTTTAGAATGTCTTCTGCCAAAGTTAAAACCAAATTTATATAAATTTCATGGTATTTATAAAAACTGACATGGTATGCCAGCGCCATGATTATAATAATTTGTCATTAGTATGGAAACACTTCTTAGCAATGCTCTTGCTTATGTCTATAATGTACATGCAGATGCATACTCATGTCTTCAGTTGACTTTGGCAAGCTATTTATTTAATATACATAAGTGTGTAATTTGATGTACACACTTGTGTGACACCAAACCAATCAAGAACACTTCCATCACCACAGAAAGTTTCCTAGTACCCCTTCCCAGTCAGTCCTTCCAACCCAACCATCCCAGGCAACTGCTAATGTGCTTTTGTCTCTACAGATAAGATTTGTCCATTCTAGAATTTCATTTACATAAAATCATGCCGTGTATTTGTGTGCAGGCAGTGTATGTGCGTGGGTATAAGTTCTTTTGCTCAGCATTATGCTTTTTAACTTCATCCATATTGTTGTATGTGTAGGTAATTTATTCCTTTTTATTTCTAAGTAATATGGTTAATTGGTTTAACCATTCACATGGTAATGAACATTTGCATGTTTCTAGTTTGGAGCTAATAATAATAACAAGCTACTATAAACATTTGTGTACAAGTTTTGTGTGGATATATGTTTCTATTTCTATTGGATAAATGCCTAAAATTGAATTGCTGTGTTAAATGAACGTGCTTAAGAACTTGGCAAATTATATTTCAAAGTAGTTGTACCACTTTACACTCCCATCAGCAATGTATGACAATTACAGTTGTTCTGCATTCTTGCCATTCAAGTACGTATATAGTGGTATATCCTATTATTTTAATGTTCATTTTCCTGATTATTAAGGAAATAGAACATTATTTCATGTGTTTCTTGATGTTTTGTGTATCTTATTTTGTTTGAAGTATTTGATCATTTTAATTGGATTATGTGTCTTCTTAATATTGAGTTTTAAGAGGTTTTTTATTTATATATTCTGTATGTAAGTTATTCAGCAGCTGTATGAATTGGAAATATATTCTTAGTACCTTGCTTTTTCATTTTCTCAATTGTTCCTTTTGAGGAGATGTTTTTAGTTTTGATAAAGTCCAATTTATCAATTTTTTAAGTTCATACTTTTAGTGCCCTATGAAATCTTTCATCTCAAGACAGTGAAAATTTTCTCCTTTATTTTCTTCTAGAACTTCTACAGTTTCCACTTTTATGTTTAGATATATAATGTTTCAAGTTACATTATTATTTCTTCTATCCAATTTGTATTTAATTTTCTTTTTTATTTCTAACTCCCTAAGGTGGAATTTTAGATCACTGATTTTTAACCTTTCTTTTTATTCTAATATGCATATCTAAATATATAAATTTCCCTCAGAGCACTGTTTTAACTACTATAGCTTTCCTTTTAAGTACACTTTAGATGAAAAAAATTGATATGCTGCATTTTTGTAATCATTTAGTCTAATTCCCCTTTTAATTGCTTACTTGATCCACAGACAATTTAGAAGCATGTTATTTAATTTCCAAGTATTTGGAGATTTTCTAGATATCTTTTTGTTATTACTATCTAATTTAATTCCATTACGGTCAGCAAACATACTCTGCATGATTTTAATCACTTTAAATATGTAAAGACTTGTTTTATATCCCAAAATACAGCAAGATTAGCACTTTAAAAGCATCCACACGGTACTGTTATTAGGTGCAATATTCTACAAATGTCAATGAGGTCAGGTTGGTTGACATTATTTTTCAAGATTTCTACGCACTGCTTTTTTGTCTACTGGTTCTATCAATTGCTGAGAGAAGAATGCTGAGATAACCAATGATTATCGTGGATTTAGTCTATTTTCTGTCTTCAGTCTTATCAGATTTGTATTTTGAAACTGTCATTTAAAGGTATACACATATAAGATTGTCATATCTTCTCAATGAGCTGATGTTTTTAAACATCCTTCTAAAGCTCTGCTAATATTTGTTTCAAAGTCTATGTTGTCTGATATAAATAAAGCCACTCCAAATTTCTTATACTATTTGCATGATTTGCATAGTATAACTTTTTATTATTTTCCTTTATGTTTCCTGTATATTACTTATAAGTAGTATTTACCCATTTCTTAATTTTTCATTCAATCTTTGCCTTCTAGTAGATATGTTTGGTCTATTTACGTAATATAATGTTTTATATAGTTGGATCTAATTCTACTATGTTGCTGTTTGTTCTCTATCCCATCTGTATTTTCTTCGTTTTTTTCTTTAAGAAAAAAACTTTTCTTTTTTAAGAAAAACTTTTCTTTTTAGTATTTTATCTCCTCTTTCAATTTATTAGCTACATAGCTAAGCTAAATGTCTTTCTTCAGTTGTTGCTCTATTTTCACAATATTATTAACTTATTAAAATCTACCTTCAAATAATATTATACTTTATGAATAATTTAAGATAATACAGCTCTATTTTTCAACTTACTCTGTCCATTTTTATTATTACACATTTTACTTCTATTCTTGTTTTAGACTAACAAATTTAGACCAATACATTATTTTATTTAAAATTTTAATGGAAAAAGTTTTTATATGTATCAGTATATTTATATTTCTCATACTTTTCATTTATTTATGTAAATTTGAGTTTTCATCTTGTATCATTTTCCTTCTAAAAATTCATTTAACACTTCTTATCAAGATATATTCTAGCAATAAATTATTTCAGCTTTTGGTTATCTCAAAATGTATGTAGTCCTTATTTTTTAAAGGTATTTTTGCTTGATAAAGAATCTAAGCTGTTGTTTTTTGTTTTGTTTTGCTGAGTTGTTGTTTCCCCCCAGCACTTTAAAGATGTTCCTTTGTCTTTTGGTTTGCATTGTTTCTGGTCATTTATGTCTTTGTTTGCTTGTGTACAACATCTTTTCTTTTTCTCAATATGGCTGCTCTGAGATTTTTCTCTTTATAATTGACTTTCCGTGAGTTTATTATGATATGCCTTAATATAATTTTTGTGCTTATATTATTTGAATTTTGTTGAACTTCTTGGATATGTGTGGTTTTTGTTTAAATCAACACAGAAAAAAATCCAGCCATTATTTTCTTAAATATTATTTCTTCTGTGCTGTCTACCTTTTCTGGGACTCCAATTAAAGATATGCAAAATTCCTTGACATTGTCCACAGGTCTGAAAGGCAATATTAATTTTTTTTCAGGCTTTTCTTCTTTCTATGCTTCAGTTTTGATAGTTTCTACTGTCCTATATTCAACTTCACTGATGTTTTCTTAAGCAATCTGCTCTTAGATCCATCAAGTGAATTTTCCATTTTGGATAAAGAAGTTTTTTTTATCTCTAGAAGATCAATTTTTTTTAATAGTTTCCATTTCGCTTCTTATTGTGTTCATGTTTTCTTTAAATTCTTGACATATTTATAATACATATTTTAATTTCCTTATCTGCTAATTCTATCATCGCTCTCATTTCTGAATCTGTTTCTACGATTATGGTTCACATTTTCCTGCTTTTTTATATAGCATATAATTTTTGGGTGGAGCTAAACATTGTGAAAGTTATGGTGTTCAATATCTGAATTTTGTTGTTTTCCTTTGAAAATGTTAAATCTTTGATCTGGAAGGCAGATAATTTACTGGCAGATCAGCTTGTTCCTGTGGAGGCTTTTTCTTGCTATTTTTGTTGTTAGAACAGATCTAGAGAAGTCTTTACTCAATTTTTTCTTACTCCTAGGGCATGGGCCGTCTGGGATCTTTATAAAATACCCTAGGTGTTCCATGAAGTCTTTCTTCACTGGCTAGAGAACATTTGGCTCTCTGCCCTGCGTGAGAACTAGTTGTTCAGTTTACAGTTCCTTAGCAGTTGTTCTTCCTCAGTAGTTGCTCTTTGCCAAGCGTTGAATAGTCCTACCCTACACACCTGCAACTTACTATTCAGCCCAAAACTTAAGGGGACCCCAAGCAGAGTTTTTAACCTCTTTCTCTGCGTAGTTCCCACTTTGGTGGTACTCCATCCTACAAATTCTGGCAGCTTCAGCTTCCCCAAACTCTAATCTCTGTCTCTTCAGTTCAGCAAGACTACTGGATTCCTCTTGGATTCCTTTTCCTTTACTTGGGTCTAGTAAATGCTTCCAAGAAGAAAACGAGGTGATCACAGGGCTCGCCTTGCTTGTTTTCCACTTCTTATGGATCTTGTATACTTCTTGTTCTCTAATAACTGAAAACAGTTTTCTTCTACATGTGTCTACTTTTCTAGTTTTTTGTTCATTGTTTATGGCAGAAGGCCTGGTCCAGTACTAGTTGCTGCATCATGGCTTGAAGCAGAAGTTCATGCATAGATGAAAACAATAAATATAATTCTAAAATCATATCTCACAACCAAGAAATAATGCTTAATCCTAATTAAAAATACTCCAAGTAAGTGTGGGCTGGGCCTAAGATAAGTTGGATGGTGGGTTGTGAGTAATCACCAATACAACTGCTGCATTCTACCCTATTCTCTCATACTCAATGAAAGATAGAAGAATACCAGCGAGAGAGGGCAATATTACAGTATGAATAAATATGAATCTAGTTTTTACTTTACCCAAGACATAACTCACAAGCAATTACAAACATCTGTGTGTCCAAATATTAAGTGTTGAAAATCACCGTTTATTTAAAGGTAAAAACCCAGCCATAAAACTTAAAATACATAACTCTCAATATTTCATGTCAAACTATGTCTCCAGCCTTAACTGTCTCTAGTCTATCTTATCCACACCATATTTCAGCCTCCATGAATTGTACATCATTCCTAGAATGCATCATGCCTTGCTCAACTCATTTCTATCCTACTTTCAAGACCCCTCTAGCCTTGAATTAATAATTAGTCTAGTATTAAAATATTTATTGAGTGCTTTCTATGTGCCAGATACTCTTAAAACTCTTCACATGTATTAACCCATTTAAAACTTACAATAACATTTTATCCTAACTTTAAAGATAAGGAAATTAAGGCTTAGAGAATTTTGAAACTAGCCCAGGGTTACACAGCTAGTAAGAAGGAAGCAGGAGTATAAACCCAGACTTGTATGACTCCAGAGCATGCACTTTTAAATACTACATTTCTTTTTCTTAAATTTTTGTTAGATGTTAGAATTACCCAAGGAATTTTCGAGAATCTCCATACAAGTCAAATATTAGAATTTCTGGGAGTATGACTCAGTTAACATCTCCTAAAATCCCATAGATAATACCAACTTGCAGCCAAATTTGAGAATCAGTGCACTACCCTAAATTTTTCAGTTCAAATGAATTTGGTATTGGTCAATGAGAGGTCAAGGAAGTGGCCAAAATAAATTTTATCATACTGGAATTTAGCATTTACCAAATGATTACTGATTATACTATGTAGAGTGGGCATCAGGGAGATAGAAATTGATTCCTCAAAACAACCTCAAACCCAAGCACCAGGCAACTGTTGGGTAATTGAATATCAAAAGTCTACTATTAGAGCAATAATAAAACATGCCTCACTTTGTTATTGTGGTTGGCTGATTCTGTCTAAGTTACTGTTCCCTAGGCATTGCAGAATACCATAAAGTAAATAAGAGGCATTACAAAATTGCTTTGTAAGTATAAGTACAGAACATAATACTGTTATATTGTTAAGTACAACCACTGAACACCGCATACTATTAATAACCTTTGAGGGATAGGGTGGAATATGGACTCGTGTTCATGTCAGAGAAATTAACATTCACCTATCAATAGTTATTGAGGAACATAGCATTTGTGTATCAGGTGAGAACACTATTCTTTCAAATCTAGTGTCCTGTCTCCAAGAATAGCCTATGCCCAGTGATTCAGCAGAACTCAACACGCAGCCACCCCCACTGTCATATACATACTACGTTTCTAGTAACTTGCTTAGAACAGAATTCTTTCTGGTCCCAGTAGGAAATCAGCTTTAGGATTAGAAATAATGAAATTCGATTAACTCCCTAAATTGGTTTGTATATTTACAAATACTAATGCATCTAAACTCTGCCTGTGTGTAACCGCTGGTCAAATTCTGAGCTACATAGGTTTGCTTAATATTACTAGTATTCAACCAAGATGGCACTTTATAAAATCACAGGTAAGGAGATACTTTTCTTATAGAGAGTAAAATTGCTTTTGAAGAATTTTTTTGGTTGTTGTTTTGTTCTGTGAAAAAAAAACATATACTTATGTTCAATAGAACACTTAAATGCACTTTATCAATATTCATTTAATATTCTGTTTTCCAACTGGAGAATGTATCATCTGTCAGGCTAGGGTAGTCTATGTTGCAGTAATAAATATGGTAGTTTAAAACAATAATTTATTTCTCTTTTATTATTATTATTATTATTTAAGTTTTAGGGTACATGTGCACAATGTGCAGGTTAGTTACATATGTACACATGTGCCATGCTGGTGCGCTGCACCCACTAACTCGTCATCTAGCATTAGGTATATCTCCCAAATAATTTATTTCTCAAACACACTACCAGCCATTGGAGGTCTGCACTGCAGTCGTCAAGTTACTGTAGTCCACGAGGATTTGAGCTGATGGAGGGGCTTCTGAAAGGTGCTGGTAGCCATATAAAAAGGAAAGAAACTGTGTAAAAAGGATAGTTAACCACTCCCTGGCTTTTAAGTTTCCTCCCAGAAGTCAATTTCTGTTTCCATGTCTTTGGCCAAAGGAAGCAAGAAACTACAAACGTTCCATGTGTCCAAAAAAGAGAATCAGCAAAACACTGATAAACAGAACTGATGTCTGCCATAATCTGCCCTTCTGATTACCAAATATTTGGTTTGTTCTCATTCTTGCATGCAAAACATATTTAACCCTATCCAAGAGAAAAAAGCCAAAACTTCCAAGATTACAACATCAAGTTCAAAGCCTATGATCTCAAGATATTACACAGTGGTTTCTTCATCATTCATCATCACTCCACTCAGAAAGGAGAAAGTGGAGAACACAGAAGAGATGTTGGTCCATGACAAGTCTAAAGTTCTGGACAGATACTGTGAGACTTGCTATCCCAGAGGTGAGGAATATTCCTTGATTAGGCCTTGATTTCCTCCTTTTACATTGTTCTCTGTAGTCCTTGGCTTTGTCTTTTGGAAGATTGTTTCTTTTCCATTATACTTTTTGGCCACATATAAAATGGGTATCCGGAAATATGTTCTCCTTGGGAGCTTAGCAGCTTTCTCAGCCTACTTCTTCCCCATGGACAATAACTGTTATTGTCTGCAAAAGCTGCTAATTCCAAAGATCATGTTAAGTCTTAAACTTTTGTAGGCTTGTGATTTATTTGGCAGTGCAAAATTTTTAAAAACTTAGTAAGCTTCTTATCTGTTTTATTTCAGTAATTTTCACATACCAAAAACTATACCTATAGCTCTTTTCTGACGGAAGTTCTATATTTGCTATTTTGCTTTGGTTTCTTGACACTCCCCGCAATTCTTGTCTTTATTGCTGGCACCTTTTGAATATCAGTCTCCGGGAGATCCACAACTTAAATCTCTTTTCTCCTAGGCTTTTTGTCTGATTGAAAGATTGAAAGTACTCTCTAGGTGTCAAGTTGATCCATCTAATGGTTTTAATCGTAGGTATCCCTTGCGACAGTTATACTAATTTCCCATTTTTATCTTTTACTGTTTGAATGGGAAGCAATCATACAAGTCCCTGAGGTTTTTTTTTTTCACTGTTTTATTCCCTTTGTTCCTGCTTGTAAATATACCACACCTTTCAGAAAAACATAGTCTTTCTTTCAATGCCTTGCCAAACACACCCAATAGCAACAAATACATGCTAGTCAGTTCCACATATTTTAGGTTTTGTTAGTACAACACCCAAAATTCTAGGTGCCAATTCTATGTCAGTCAGGGTAGGATAGGTTATGCTACAGTAACAAATACTCCCGGATCTCAGTGGCTAAAACAAAGAGAAAGGGGACTTTTTTCCTTTGCATGTTACATGGCCATTGCAAATTGTCAGGGATAGCCCATCCATTGCTGTCATTCAGGGTCCCAAGAAGATGAAACAATCACTATCTCAGAAGTTGCTGGCTACCATGAAAGGCTTAAAGAGACAGCAGGCTCAATTTTATATCAGCTTTTAAAGCATCCACTCAGAAGTAACATGTATCACATAGGCCACTGCAAGCCACATGACCACACCTCACTTCAAGAGGGTTCAGAATGAAACCTTACCATATGCCCAGAAAGATAACTGGATATACTTAATAAACAGCACTGAAATCACAGGAAATAATTTGAATACAAAGACTTAGTCACTTAATAAATGATAAAGTAACCCAGCAAATCAAAGAAAGAAATTTCTTTCCTATCATCACTAACTTATACACAGAGAGTTCTTAGATTATAAGCATTACACAAAACCAAGAAAATGTAAAGGAACAGCCTCCTAAACAGCTTCCACTCAAAGGAGGTAAATCAAATCAATATTCTATTTTAACAAAAATATTTTCTTCATTCTCACATCTGCTAATTACCAAAGGAGAGAGTTTACTCTGAAAAAGTTTATCAGATGAAATGATTTTGAGTTTAGGTATTTCTTTTTCTTATATTAGTTCCAAATATTCTATCTCAGCAGGCTCTATAGCCTCCTGAAATAATGTAAGCTAAAGAAAAAAAATTGAAGATGGGCTTAGCACAGAAGAGAAATTAGTGCTTCGCTTAGGCATAACCTTGGGCAAGTCACTTATTACTTGCTAAGCTTTCCTATTCATAAATGTTTGACACCCACATATACAGCAGGGATGCTGGAAGGGTTAGTGAGATAACATTTGAGAAGTGCCCTGAACTCGTAAACACCAAGTGTTAGAGCCAATATGAGAGATCATTTTTTCGAATAAGACTCAATAAATTAATCTCTTGTTCCTCTACTAAAAATATTAACAGGAGCTACAAAATGCCAGTTTAGCAGAATTAGCGGATTGTTTCTTAACATACCTCAACCGCATAATCAGTACAATTATGTTCCATTATCCAGTCTTTCCTCAAGCTGTTCAGTACCTAAAAGCTCTTCAAGCTTTACTATTCAAAAGCTGAATATGGGCCATCAATTTTTCCTTCTGTGCTGCTTCCAGTTACATCAGTCTGAAGAGATCTTCAAAGAAATAGTTATTCACATGACACTCATTCTCATCAATAACTTATTGCCACGTATAGTCTGCAAGGCCAACTGGACTGTGTTTATAGGACTCCAAACAAAAGGGGACAAGAGAAGGGAGATGTGCCACAGAACTTCATAAGGAGTATCAATGCACATCTGGCTTCACCTTAAATTTTCATCCCTCAGTTTGATCGCCCACTCACTGTATTCTCCTTGGTCCCTTTTTTAATGCTTCATTCTGTCACACTTGCCTTAGTGCCTGGAGTAACTATCTAATTAAGATCTTATTCATTAATCATACACCAATGTATTCACAACTGCAATTCTTTTTTTGTTTAAAAAGTAATTTTTTCCTCAAGCTGTTAAGATTAAATTAGGGAAAATTTTACAATTTCATGGGATTACTCAAACTCTGAACCTTCTGATACCAAGTATAATAGAAATTCTTATTATGTGATTTGGTTATGGAATATGGTATGTGGCTAACCAATCATCCATCGTAATATTAATATATAATATCTAACAATGAGTTACCAATGTAGAAAGACTAAAAATATGACCAAATGTTTTTCACGTCAAAATTAATAATATAATTTTTTTCGTTGAAATGTACTTTATAATGAATCTCAAGGTTATCTTTATGAAGCTATCACTACATCATAGATGGACACGGCAGATCAATTTTGTTAGTGGCTCCAATTAATGTATTTCCTATATCAATATGTTTTTCTTGTAATTTTCTAGTCTCCTCCTACTCTGGCTCTGGGTAAAGCCATGTGAGTTACCTTGACCAATTAAACAGTAATGAACTTGACACTAGCAGAGGCTTGAAAAAGTACTTGCACGTTTTTGCTTCCTCTTGCTCTTCTGCCTTCACTATGTGAATGTTTCGAGGTTAGCCTGCTGGGGGATGGGACATGTGGAGCAGAGCAGAGTCAAATCAATTTTCCCAGCTAAGGCCTCAGACATGTTAGAGAACGTATCACCTAGCTGACCTGGCAGAAGACAGTCTTATCAATGCCAGTTCAAATCAGCAGATCTACCAGTCAACACACAGATACTTGACTAAAAATAAATATTTACTATTGTATGCCACATAGGCTTTGAGGTTGTTTGTTACACAGCATTTTTGTTGCAATAGATATCTAATACATTGAAGTATTGTTTAATAGAGATTTGAGGTTAACAGAATGCCAGACAATAGAGTTCACAATGCCCCAAATTAGTCTTGAAATCTGTCATTACAAAATTCTCCTGTGCCGTTACATGGTAACACATTATGAAACTTCTGGGGAAAAAATATTAATTTAGAATGTTCTTTAAATGACATTTTACCATATTGAGCAGACAAACATTGCTTCAGAAATCATTTAACTCCCTTCTTTTTTTTCTCCTAAACAAATAGAAACATGTGCAGCCAGGAAGACAATTTGAAAGAATGGAAAGAATCTTAAGGCAAAATTGTTCAAAATTAAATGCTGATGGTAGCTATACCTCCAAACCATTGTACTTCAGCTGAGAACCTGCACCATGGATCTGGCCAGAAATGAGAACGGCTGTAAAGTGGTTCCTAGGAAACTTCTCACAGCCTTCCTGAGACTGAAGAGCATATGCACTGCCCATTTTAGAGATGGTTGACTATACTCTATCTCTTACTGGAGCTCCTTACACAACAGGATTCCACACAGTGCTCAGAATCATTGCCTATCAGAAGCTCTAAATAAAACATTCCAACACCAAATTACCAAACATTCAATGGTTATCCATGGAGTGCAACTTACCACACAAGTTTAGCATCCTGCCCAACCACATTAATGACTTGAATTTGGTAGTAGCCAACTTTTCTTAGACTTTGAACTGTAAATGTCTTTAAACTTGAGTTGTTACCTTGGAAATTTAGGTGTCTCAAATATCTTCCTAACAAGGAGTATAATGATATAGAAGTTTATTTCTTTTGAAAGTAAGATAAATTATGTAATTGCTCTGTCATTCTCATCCACATGGTAATGAAGCCCCCACTCAAGAATCTCAAAAGTCCCCTCTACTCACTGGCTCTACTGATATATTAAAGTTTATTCTCCTCTGAACAATTCACTGATATAAGCTTACTTATCCCTGTGAAGAAGTCAGTATTACTACCTTTACTTTATATTCTGAGGAACCAAGGCCAAAATTATAAAGTACTTCTTACCCCTGAAATGAAGTAAAAGCAACACCAAGAAAGACATTTGGACCTTGCAACTCCCAGCCATGAACAACATGATCTTCACTGATGAGAAAACAGTACAATAAATAATACCAATATGCCATTCTCAAATGGAAAGAAAGCATTATTTCTGTACTAGAGGTACACACCTGATAAACAATTGTGATCAGCCCCCCAGTTGATTATTTCTACATTTTTAAATTTTTAATAAAACATATTTTTTTCCTGCTCCTCTCTTCTTTCCCTGTTTCTCCTGTAACCAGCTCTTTCTCTAAAAGTATCAGATAGTAATAAGAGTTCCAACTGTAATTCAGAACTTTAGATAAGGAAATTAATTACTGAAGAATCTACTCAAATGGGTCCCACCACTTCATTTCAAGCTTTGGAAAGAAATACTCAAAAGACTATGGAGAAACTGTGTAAGAATTTTACTCTAAAGATTAACTGCCTAAACTTCACTGATTCTGGATATCTTAAATCATTTTTGAGATAATTTAGAGATTTAGGGATAAATCAAATCATTTTAAAGAATAATGTGAATTACATAATACACAAATTTTGAATATGTAAATGAACATGCTTTCTTTTTGGGAAAAGTTAACGCATAAAATAAAGATGAAAAGTGAAGAAGAACAATATTTAAGGAACTTTTCATGTATGCCCATATGAATTCATCACATGTTTGTAAGGCGCTGTGATTTTACTGTTCTTACCAAAAAAGTTTTATATATGCTCATTTTAAAATTAAACCATTTGATTATGTTTTAGATGCTCTTTCAATATGGCATCTTCTTTTGGGGAAAGATTTGACATATAACATGCAACTCTAACTTTTATCAATATATCCCAAGAAAAATTCCCTGTCACGTGCTGATGGTGATTGTATTTTATTTTCCAAATAGCATTCTTCTACTATAATGGAAAACATAGGTACTACTGTGCTTTGAATTTTCTTTGTGGTTCATTTGATGTAGAGATACGTTTTATTAATTTTTAATTTTTGTGAGTACATAGTGGGTATATATATTTATGGATTACATGGATATTTTGATACAGGCATGCAATGTGTAATAATCACATCACAGTAAATGGGATATCTATCCCCTCAAACATTTATCTTTTGTGTTACAAACAATCTATTGTGTTGAGTGAAATAAGCCAGGCCAGAAAGACAAACTTCACATGTTCTCACTTGTTTGTGGGAGCTAAAAATTAAAACAATTGAACTCATGAAGATACAGAGTGGAAGGATGGTTACCAGAGGCTGGGAAGATAAGCTCTAATTCTTAACAATCTTCAAACACAACTCAAGCTTTCCAGCCTCATCAGGGGTTTGCATTCCAAACCTGCCATGTCTTGGAGCATCCCCAAACCTATCACAATTTCACGAGTGATTTGTCCTACTGATAAGTTCTCCCTGATTAGAACAATCCACAGTGGAGTAATTTGGGAACTAGATGCTTGGTCTAATTATTTGGAATACATTTTTTGCTTAATAGCAATAGGAGCATTGGAGCTTCTTGAAGGTTTTTATGATTAAGATCAATTCAGAAATCATAATTTGTGCCCCTTCCCCCAACAACTGGAACACAGCCCAGCCACTCCCAAAACCAGGCTTTCTAAAGACACAACATGCATTTTGATTTTGTTTTTCAGAGCATGTTCCCAATTTTCACTTTCAATAGGAATATTTTTAGAGATCATTGAAAGCAAAATGTCTTGAAAATGTCTTCAAAACTTCTCTAAGTTTCTTTCCAAATGTCATGATTTTTGGAAAAGACCACACCAAGTGGTAAAGAGATGGACAAGACTGCAAACACTTCTAAAATCTCTTTGGAGATATTCCATGTACCGCATTATATATGAACTGAGAAATGAAACATCTGTGACTAATACAAAATTGAGTCTGTCTTAAATTATAATTAACAGCAATGAGAAAATGTTGCCTGTTCACTTCTTCAGAGAATCAAGTCATCTTTTTACCATTAAAAAGCTTGAGTCAATGATTATTATTTGTGTAATTGCTCTGCCCAGTGCTTTTCCAAATTGCAAGTCAAGACTCACAACAGAATAAGAACAATGAGGACTCTTACCACAGTTTAATAAGGTCCTCAAAAATTAGTTTTCAGAAGACTTTAAGCCCTCTGCAATATTTAATGTGTAAGACCTCTTTTTGGCCCCACATCAAATATTCATACCATCTTTTTCTTTGCACCAAATAGCATGTTGGTAGAACTTAAGCTTTTAGCTTTAGAAAATACATAGTACTAATTTTCTCCTGAAAAAAATTTCCAAGAGAATATAACAAAGGAGAAGAGAATAAATTAAGTTTCTTTGGCGACTATGCTGAAGCCTCTAGATTGTGCTCATGGAAGAGAACGTGTACCCCTAGTGCATCAGTACTTTATCACAGATACGGCACCTGACACCCAAGGCCTCCCAAGACTACTTCCATTCCCGCAGCTCTGATACAGACCCTTTACTTGAAACAATCTAGTCTACATCTGTCCTGCAAACATCCCTTGCATCTTAGGGCCCATCATTACTCCTTTCTAGCTTTATAGTTATAATTATTCCTCAACCTAGTTCCAGTCTCACGTTCCAGTCTGAAGGTTCTCTAACAATTGACAATCTTGCTCTTCCCTGTGAATTCCTATAGTAGCCCTCTGGTCTCACCTGCATTCATTTGGCCAGTAGTACCTTGTGCTATTGGTTACCTTCTTAAATGGGTGGGTGCCATAGGGCTACAACTCAATGGAAAGCTACTCAAAGGCAGGGTATTAGCCTATTCTTTATTAATAAAGACAGCAATTCCTTGCAACTGTAAAAAAAAAAAACACTTTGAAAAACCATAAAACTAATTTTTGAATTTCAAATCCCTTATGTGCTCATTTATACTTGAGTTTCAAAATAATCCTGTAAGATAGGCCAGTACAGTCTTTTAATATTCACATTGTACAGATATGGGAAATGGGATACAGAAATATTTAGTGATAAGCTAATGGTACCCTGAGATTAGAAACTAGGTCTAGTGTTCTTTTTGCAACCAACAGCTCCACATTTTTCATATGACAATATCTTTCAAATATTTAAAAATTCAAGGGCACCAAAAATGATTGTGGTTGCACTGAATTTATTGTCTACCTAACCTCTAGTACCTACCTTCTAACTTTGAAGACCCATCTGATATCCAATCAAGTTTGCTCTGCCTGTCATATCTCTTTCAACCCCCAAGCCCTCACAATACTCAGTCTCCCAGCTCTGGTTCTTCTTGGCAGACCCTCTCCCACTGACACCTAGGACTCTTGTAATATAAATCTTAGCTTCACTTCAAGGAACAACCTCCTTCTCAATGTCCACCTACATCTTGACATTCTGGACTAACGTGTTGCCTGTCCCTGGGAAAAGGGATTCCTGTAATAGGTTGTAAAACAGCTGATTCTCTGTGTATCAGGCATCAGAATATATAGAGCAATATATTAGAAACTGGGGTCCTCAAAGAGTTTACCAATTTCAAAGAACACAGATACCTGTGAGGCAACTTTAATTTAAAATGAGATTAATATAATCATAAACAATTAATGTTTTGACACTTTCTGTCTGTTCTCCATGTTTACTTTAATGACTTTCTTTTTTAGCTCTATTGCTTCCTCTGCTCTTTTAAAGGTTTCATTTGACCTGGGTCTTGAAGCATATGAAAAATGTTCATAGGCATGAATGGGGCAAAGGCTAAGAAGCATAAGGAGAAATGTGCTCTGGTTTAGGGATTAAGGTCTGGAGTCAGGGAGAACTGAGTTCTGATGCTGGCACTAACTAGTGTGTCTTTTTGCAAGTTGCTTAACCTATTTAAACCTAAGTTTCTTTATGTATATAATGGGCATAATACAATCACTTCTCTTATTATTGTGATTGTTAAGTAAGATACAGAATCTAAAGGATGTAACACATATTTAATAACCAAAATATGTTGGATGATGAGTACATAGATCTGACTAGAGTACAGGTAAATAACTAACTTAAGGAGCCAGACACTATGGACACCTTTGAGATAAGTGGAATGGGAAAAAGATATCTCTCTAGTAAATTGGCCTCTTTGAAGTTTTTTTCCAGTTGGTGTCAGCACCAGAAAGTAAGGAATCCTTAAAAGTTGGTACTAGAACTCAGTCTCATCCACACTGAAGAAAGCAAAGGAAAAAAGTATACTAGGAGTCAAATGTTCTGTCATCCTTGCACTTCAAGCATGAGATAATTTGTGTGACAGTGCTTTGAATACTATCAGGTATAACACAGTGGCCAATGATGTTTCTGAGGCCTGTGAGACAGACACAATATAGTCCTGTGCCAGTCTCCATGGCATGAGCTAATTGACTGGCTGATTATTATCCAAATCAGGTTTACCTGATTTCAACTCTTTTCCCATTAGTGCTCCCCTAAGATATTTATTCTTTCCAATATATCAGATTTAAAATATCAACTCTGGCGCCAAGTATTAAGATATTCACATTAAAATCACTGGCTTAAAGTTTAATTGTATTGATTTGATTTTTAGAGGCAGCACTCACAAAAAATATTAGCTATGCTATGCTGCAATGCAACATTGACTCAAATAGGTATTGAACATAAAACCTACCCTGCAATAATGCAATCCGTAAACCCACAGAGGCAAAGACAAGCATAATCTAGGCTGATTCTCACCTCATCCTCTGCTGATTCTGTCTCTCTTTCACGATGTCTGTAGTCGTCTGTTAAAGGGCCCATAGGCAATGTAGGGTGGGAGGGAGGGTGCTGCGTAAACTGAGGAACTGAGAAATCAATCCAGATAGGAAGGCAACATAAACTTTTGACCAGGTGGTCACAGGAAGGTAGAAGTAATGGAAAGTATGCAGGTCTAGGAAACAAACAAAAACAAATATGTTTGTATATACACTATATGTCGAAGTTTTGGTCAGTGGCATTAATTCAGCTGCATAATTACAAGAAAATCACTTATCTGTGTCTCGAATTTTGACAACCAAAAAATGGAGATAATCTGCAAAGCTGACAGAACTAAATTTGGGAGCCACATAGAACAAAGTTTAAACCTTGGATCCTCTGCTTGCTGACTGTAGAAGCCTGGACAAATCGCACTACATTAGAACTGATATTTCCTCCTGAAATTCAGGGAAATAATTTTCATCTCAACAGGGCTGTAGCAAGAATTAAATGAGATAATGTGGTAAAGGCATTATACAGAAGATATTCGATACATGGGTTTTTTTTTTTCCTTCCTATTTTAAAGGGCTGTTACAGGAATTCAATTGCAGTAAAAATGAATATATTTGAAAAAAATGTTGATGATCTATGCAAGTGTAAAGCACTATTATTATGATTATTATCCTTCAATTCAATTTTTTCACTCTTATCCAGATACTGGTGTTCTTTTAAAAAAATGGTTTGTGGATAAAAGACAAGCTGAGAGGAACAGTGTTTAAGAAAACTGAAGCAGACAGTGGAAAGCTAATCTTGCTTTATTGGTTTCCAGCTTTGTGGTATTTGGTAAGTCAGCAAATAAAACCAATCAGTTCCAATTAACTTTTCTGAAAGTAAAGAACCAAAAATAAAAGAGCAAGTTATATGCGTATTTTTTAAAACCTTCTCAGTGCTGAAAAAGCCACAGAAATTTGTATAGTTAAAAAAATATATGCAGTGACAGTACTAACAAAATGCTAATTGCTACCTGAAACAACACTCATAAGATACACCAGTGACTGGGAAAGAGCAAGGTCCCTGCGTTTCTGTGGGTATTACTAATGGTTTACCCATCCAGATGCTATTTGCAAGGATACCCGAAGGAGTGCTGCTGTGTGGTTACCAAGAAAAAAAGCAGATTTCCAAGGGCTGCACCCTAAATTCAGCAATAATGTCACCTCCAAAAATAGCAACAAAAAAGAAGGGACTTAAATCTACTCATCGTATGAAGCTATCAATTAATAAAGCTGACATAGCAGCAGCTACCAGAAATTGCCTCAATGCCACTGGTGGAATGACTATTCTCAGAAAGACACACACATAAAGGGAAAACCCACAACTGGACATAACCCTGAAAGTGTAGGGAGATAGGCTGGAAGTCAGGACACTCAATTTAACTGCAGAAGAGACTTCTCAAGGTTCAAGGTTTAAGACACAATTAATCCATTCCTTATTTTTTAAAAAAATTCACTCCTTCTCTATGTGCCTTTAAAACCAGAATTCTCCAGGACCGATCTCCTAGAAGCTTAGTTTCACAAGCAGCTCCTCAGAGTCCTGCTCACTGTCATGCAACTTCATGCTTTCCTATAAAGCATAGAGGGAACTAGCACATGTCTAGCTTTTAAAAGTGTTAAAATATAGGAAACATGTAAAATAGTCAATTTAAGCTTAACATCCAAACAATTTCCCCTTTCTGTCGGCTTACCCCATCAATTTCTTCTCTTCACCCACAGTTTCTCTTAGTTTGCTGAGCGACCCGTGTCTTAAAATCCAAACATACAGACTAGTGTGCCTGTTTTAATACCCACATGTCTCAAACAGGAATACCTCACATATGTTAATGAACCTGACAATTTCTTGTCTAATAATTGTAGCTTAGTTGGATTCCAAATTGCTGTTATAATTAATAAACAAGAGCTTACTAGCTGAAAAGGGGAAAAAATAGAATTGGTGAGCTTCTGCTGCACTACTGTATATTATAATTCTCTTCACTATGGAGATTTTCATCTCTGTGAAATTTGGGAAAGGGGTAAGATACATGCTAATTTTTTGAAGTTCACACCTTCTAGCAAAACCATCCAAATCATTTTGGTGTGCAGAGATTTTATTTCTAATCTTTCTGTGCAAAATGCTTTGTTAAATCCTGATGACAACTTTTATGCATAATGCATAAAATAAACTTTGCCAAAATCTGAGGCACTCTTATAAGCATGTAAACCCCTTTAGAAGCAAAATGACACATTACAGGGTATGTAGTTGCAGTACACTTGGAAAACTACACTGCAAGGCCGACGGAAAGCATTGTGCTCCATGTCATTAACTTCCAAATATCTAATATGTGTAGTTACCTTGGTTTACTTGCATTCAAAATTGCATGCTATTTCTTATGAGATTCTTCATATATTGATGCCTAGTTTATGTAGTACATAAATTCAGTTCTGTCTTCAACACTTCTGAGAATCTTCACACTTTAAAAAGACCAGATACTTATTTTATATAACCGAGAAAATCTTGTCACTGACCAAAAAAATAATTTTAAAAATGTTTTTTTGTGTATATAAATTAGTATTTCTATACATGTGCCTATCATTTGATAAATCATATAGGTAACCCCAGTTCAAATCTTATGACTGTTTTTGCTTAGTTAAAACCATAAAAATAGAGACCAGAAAGGAATAAGACTTAGAATTCAAAAGTAGGTGCTATAAATCCTGCAAGAGCCAAATAAATAAATAAATAAATATCAGAATAGTAACAATGTATCACTAGCCAGTGTCACCAAGATGATTTGTTTTACTCCTCTAATCTTTACCGTATCTAAGCTGACTATAATAAATGAATAATTGCTTTGCATACAGAGCAGTTAATTGAAAAACCGCACCAAGTATAAAACCAAGAAATCATAACACAAAATACAAGGTTTCATCAGTGTTTAGGAACTTGTCTTTGTCAATATTTTTAAGGTTCAGCGTAAATGATACTGTTTACTATCATATATCATAGACCATCATGAATTATGTTAGGTGTCCCATGAATATTAATGGTCTTAAGTTACAAGATATTTCATCAACACACATCCAGGTGTAAAATTCTGATGGAGTTTGGCTTCCTCATAAAAGAAAATGGTGCGATCTAAGTGAGCTTTACCTTGAAGGCCAAGTTTCTCAGGGCAGGCCCTATTCAGAAGGCGTGTGCGAATTTGACAAAGCGTGGGCATTCCCTTGAATGCGGAAGGTGTGGCCTCTAGCTCATAGGCAGATTGTTTTTCAAAGTTCCCCTCTGGACATTCATTTACCATTGTGTGTACAAAACAATTCAAATCCTAAGAGGGGGGTGTATATTAGAATGCAGAAACAAAAACTGCATTGTTGATTTCAAACAGTGTTTTCCTGGGAGAGCACACATTTGTGTAGCCATCCCACAGTGGACAAAATAATTCCAAAAATTAGTTGAATGAAAACAAGGGCACAAAGATGAGTGGTTAATTATTTGGGCCAGTGAAAAATGTCCTTTCTGGAAAATCTTTCAAAACCTATGGCACTTGAATTTGCATGAAAGTTGTATTCTATGAATATTTCTTTATTGAAAATAAAGCACTTCAGGCTCAGTTCAATAATAACAGCTTACAGGAGAGTAATTGAAGTTATCCAATTCTCTTCCCATTGAAAATGACCTACAGTATATACACACAGAGATGCAGGAAAAAAAAATCTGTTGTGCAATTTTATTGAGACTGAAGTAAAAAGGAATTGGGGTTAGGCACTGTGTGAGCATTTAACGCACACCAAATGATGATATGGTCGGGAAAAATTATCCCTTTTTCTTTACGTTCCTTTTCCAAATTCTCATCTTGTTCCACCCCCTGCTGAGCTCCTATTGACTTCAAAGAGAGGTCCATGGGGGTCCTGAGCAAGATGAGAATTTGGCCCTGCATGCATAATTTTTGTGCTCCCTTATTCATAACATACACAATAAGCACGGGATTTGAAAAGGCTCTAACAGAGGCTGATAATGGCTCCTGCACGATCACGTTATCTTCTTAGTATACTGAAAGGTATCACCAATTGTACCAGTGGAAACACTGAAAACTCTGAGGAAAAGGCCATGCCAAGTCTTTATTATTATTCCCATCTATCATTATTACTCATGCCAATAATAACAATATTTATGTAGTATTAGAATCACAATCTCATTACTGTAACTTTTATAAGACCACAGGCATATCTGAATCTTTGTAATCAGGAGGCCATACAGAAAATTCTAAAATCTTCTCCCAGGAAATCTCACCATCTCAAGGTACAAGAAGACATCATGTGGACCAGCACACCACAGCAATAACATGAAATTACAGTGGACGATGGTGAAGAAATAATAGGTGGGTAAAGCTACTTTTTAGAATACTGGTAGGGAAGACAAAGTCACTCTATTCCAGGACTGCAAATGACACAGAGGCTACTAGATGGAAAGTTAAGGAGAGATAATGCTGGGGTGGGGCTGGGGGTTGAACTAGCAAACTATTCTAGCATTGTGGAAGAATAATATGTTGCTGGAGGGAGTTAACAATGTTAGCTAACAACATAATGGAATCTGACCATTTTGAGAAGCAAGAAAATATATCATAACATTTGGTTGATTATTCACAAATGGCAACATTCAGTCACATTCGAACAAATGAGGGCAGGTAAAGATAAATAAGTTTCCCTAGTAGGCATTTTGGTCCATCATTATTTCTTCCTATAAAGTTTTTACCTATATATGTGGTGAATCTAATATTGCCTTATTATCACTGTCCTAATGAATAATTCTTCCCAAACCATGATGCCTTGCTGTAACCTATCCTGTACTATGACAGACAGACAAGACTGTGAAATAGCTGAGCAACTCATTTACTTACATAATTTTTAGATATTCATCATTTTCAACATTTATTGATATTCAGGATCTTTAAAAGCAACTGATATCTCATTCCACATAAGGTGCATTTGTAACTTAGATGTGCAGCAAGTGCTATCCTCTATTTGTAGATATATAATGCCTGCAATGTACAGGAGGTAGTCAACAAAAGCTTTAAAATGATATCACATCTATGAAGCACATTATGTTTTCTTTAAAAAGCAGCTTCACATGTATTATTTTTATTTAATCTTCTCAACAATATTATGGGTCAGTAGAAAAGAAAATAGAACCTTGATTACCAAGGAACCTTCCAACAGACCTCTTTGCCCTAACAGATATGCCACTTAATTAAGAATTAGACATATTTCTTCATTTGTCACTGACTTTACTTTCCTGGATATGTTGCATTATCCCCAGCATGTGACCTTTCTCTCAGCTTTTAGCATTACTATTATCATGTATATACACAAAAGGAAAAAAAAAATAACAGTCACTATTGTAGGTGTTGAGTCCAGTAGTATGCATACCTCACTTTGACTTCTTTGAGATAAACATTATGTAGACACAGTGTTATCTTTTGTTCTAGTTATATGGTTCAATAGCGCCTGCTTCTGAGTACTCAATAGGGAAAATGAGGTTTGCTCTCTACCCTCTTGTTTTTCTTTCTTTGGTTTACTATTTAAAATGAAATCCTTCAACTTGTGGCTCTCTGTGCCCCCAGCACCTAAGTACTTAGTACATAATCAGCCACTGATAAGTTCATTGTAAAATGAATCAACCAATGAATGGAGGATGCATTTATCGTGTGTAGAAACACCCTTTAAAACAATTACTTGAGTCATCTGCATTTAAGAAGTTACTCTCAACTTGAAGCCAATTTAAAATGTTAGGATCTATGATTGTGTGTGTGTGTGTGTGTGTGTGTGTGTGTGTGTGTGTGTGCGCGCGCGCGCGCGCGCGCGCGCGCCTGGGACACCACTGTCGGCATTTAAAGCTGGACCCAACAAGGAGAATTTAAGACGTAGACACAGAATTATAACCCAGGATTTTCCCTGGTCTGCCAGGAAAGAAGCTCCATTTTGGAGGCCTTTTCTACTTGTCTTTCTGTTGTGGAACCCACAGCAAAACACAACACACAGGCGAACATCACATGTAAATGGATAAAGCACGTAGCATGCAACTGTCTCACATTCTCACAGCCTTAAGTAGTAGAAGATTATCCCTTTAACGAGGATAATTTTATTTTTCACTAGATATCTATCAAAGGAAAGATTACCACACAGCAGCTGGAACACTGGAACCTACATAATGTATTGCACATTTTAATCATGTTGGATAAAACACTCTTTCTATGGATATCAATTATACTAATGACTCATATAATACTCTCATGTGCCTACGGGATACGTATTGTCACCTCTCTTTTGTCATAAAAATAGTTAGTAGCTCTGGATCCACACTGAAGTAGTTGCTTTCATTTTTATATAATGAATGAGTAACACTGTAAAAAAAGACATTTTATCCCATATTAGTTTAACAGAGTGAAGAGATTTCACATATGACAGTACTAAATATACTCTTAAGCTGCTAATAAAGCCAAAGCCTGCAGGGAAAAATTCAAATGATGAGCAATGCCAGAAGTTTGTATTTCTGAAACTAAAGCAAAAATGTTCCACTTAGGTATAACTTCTAAATATCTTAAAAAGGAACAGGGATTTCTTTTTTCTTTTTTTTTTTTTTTTTGTTGTTGTTGTTGTTGTTGTTATTGTTGAGACAGAGTCTCATTCTGTCACCCAGGCTGGAGTGCAGTGGTGTGATCTCGGCTTACTGCAACCTCTGCCTCCTAGGTTCAAGTGATTCTCCTGCCTCAGCCTCCCGAGTAGCTGAGACTACAGGCATGCGCCACCATGCCCGGCTAACTTTCGTATTTTTTTTAGTAGAGACGGGGTTTCACCATATTGGACAGGCTGTTTTCGAACTCCTGACCTCAGGTGATCTGCCCACTTTGGCCTCCCAAAGTGCTGGGATTACAGGTGTGAGCCACTGAGCCCAGCCTAGGAATAGGGATTTCTAATAATTTCATTTCCAATAAATCTCCCTAGTCAATTTGGAATCATTTTATTTGCAATAAATCTCCTCAGTCAGCCTAAGCGATGAGCACATTTTTTTTTCTCTTTTCCCAGAGTGCAATGTTATGGAGGAAACGTCTTTGAATGCGTCCTTAAAATTAATCATGACAGCAGAAGTTATGATTCATAGCCAAACTACTGCATGCTTCCTTTTTGTCAACAGAACAAGAATTTCTGCTAGAATGGTTGAAGATTATTCACCCATAAATGAAGACGTGACCAAATCCTCAGGTGGTGTTCTAGAAATGCAGCAACAGAGGGCCCATCAGTGCCCCATTCTTCAGGGTACCTGCTAGCAAGGCTAGAGTTAAAGCTTTATGAGAATTTCCATTATAAACTTCTAGTTTCCAGGTTTAATAAATCAGTCATAAAAATGTGCTCAAAGCTGAAACTTGGCAAAGCAATTTAAAGAAAAGAAAAAAACTTCTGCCTGGTCATTTTTAAGTAACACAAGTATAAAAAGATAAAGCTAGGAGTCTCAGAAGCATTCCCCCTACAAATAGTTCTGAAGGCACATGATTTTAATTACATAGAAAATCAGTCAAGTGATTGGTCCACGTAGAATCAGAATATTTGGGGTGGCTGGAAGAAAAAGGTAAAAATAATGAAGTTATTTAAATTCCACCTAGAAGCTTTTAGATGTGCATTTTGAATACCATATCCTCTTCAGTTCACCAGAGTTTTTGAAAAAAAAAAAAAAAAAAAAAAAAAAAGAGCACTGGATCATCGCCTGCTTCTCCTTTTGTTCACCTAAATATGATATCCCTCTGAAAAGATCTTGGAAAATTCTAATTTAAGCTCTGACATTTATAAGGTGTGTATACACTTAATTATTTATGTAGCAAAAATGGAATTACCTATATTCATAGAAGTTTCTGGTTTCTCTGATTTATCTTTATAAAAATTGCTTCTATTCTTTTGTGGGTTAACTCATTTAAACAGGTCAATAGATCCATTTGAACACTAAATCTTCAGGTACATACTGAATGTTTCTTGAATTCTATTAATACAATCAAATAGAATATTTTTAGCTGGTCATGTGTCCTGTCCAAGTCTGATGGCCATGGGAAACACGGATGATTTTGCCTCAGCAGTCCAAACCTTAACTTAAACATGAGGACTAAGAAAACATTTTTAAGGCAAAAGTCATTGTAACTTAAATTTCTTCCCTTTCCCCCAAAATGGAGACCTAATTCCTTGGTATATACAGATTGATTTTTGACTATTTAGGATATATCCTGGAGGTTCATGAAGTTCTTATTTTAAAATGTTTGCTCATGGCCGGGTGTGGTGGCTCTCACGCCTGTAATCCCAGCATTTTGGGAGGCCAAGGTGGGCAGATTGCTTGAGCACAGAAGTTCGAGAGAACAGCCTGGTCAACATGGCGAAACCCGTCTCTACCAAAAATACAAAAAAGTAGCTGAGCGTGGTGGCACATGTCTATGGTCCCAGCTACTTAGGGGGCTGAGGTTAGAGGATCACCGGAGCTTGGAAAGTTGAGTCTGCAGTGAGCCAAGATCACACCTCAGCACTCCAGCCTGGGTGACAGAATGGGACCCTGTCTCAAAAAAATAAATAATAAAATGTTTGCTCATGTTCATTCTGAAATTGGTATGTAGGAAGAATGACTTAGTGAGCAAGCCTAGCTACATGCTCAGAATCCTCATCCTAACTTAGCTGTTTTCTAATCATGTTTTTGAAACCAGTAATAACATCTTTGTTTTCTTTGTGCCCCTTAAAAGAAAGGTAACTGGTGTTGAAAGTAACATAGACTAAAAATGAATCACTATTTGTCATAAAACAAAGGAGCAATATAATATAGTGTTTCTTGTCTCTGAAATTATACTGCCTGGGTTCAAATCCCCGATTCATTCATTCAGTTTGTGTGACTCTGGTCAGATTATTTAATTTCCCTAATAATGGTCAATTTACTCATCTGAAAAAAGAGTGAAAAAAATAAGAACATGTCCTCATAAGGTTTCTGTGAGAATTAAATGAGCTTCAGCACTTATCAGAGTGTCTGCCATAGTGTCCAGTATAATGTTAATATTGTAATTACCATCACCAGCATCATCAAGTTATAGACATGAAAATTAGAAATACTCGAGGATCTGAAGATAATCTTTTATACTTATGTAACAAATATTTATGTTATTAAGTATTCATTGTATATTGAAAATATATTAAAGGATGTTATGGTTCATGTAGTCTTGTTCGTATGATCTCTGACCTTAAAAATCTTTTACTAAAGATGAAAAACATAGGACGGGTGCAGTGGCTCACGCCCGTAATCCCAACACTTTGGGAGGCCGAGGCAGGTGGATCACCTGAGGTCAGGAGTTTGACACCAGCCTGGTCCAACATGGCGAAACCCCATCTCTACTAAAAACACAAAAATTATCTGGGCGTGGTGGTGCGCACCTGTAATCCCAGCTACTCAGGAGGCTGAGACGGGAGAATTGCTTGAACCCGGGAGGCACAGGTTGCAGTAAGCCGAGATCGTGCCACAGACTCTGGTTTGATTTTTGGCTTATCTAGTTACTGAACTAATGTAGATGAAGATAAAAATTACACTAGCAGCCTCAGTTCCTCAATTTTCACAGATATAAAGTAGGTTATTCACCCAGCAATGTATTGATCCATTCTTGACTTCTTGGCTCCCTTGTGACCTTGGCCTCTGCATGGTCTATCCTACCTAATACTTAATGCCTTCAAGAATAATGACTCTATATACATATTCACTGTTCACCTCAAAGCTGCAACTCTTCTTCTTTCTTTCCTCTACTGGCTTAGTTCTCAGGATTCAACTTCCACATTCACTTCTCCTCCCTCATCCTTATCTGTTGCCCTATCTAACAGGGATCCTAACAGAACCCCAGCCCAATTATGGTGAAGTAAAGAGAGCTCCTACTTCTCTGTCTTTGCTTTTATGATCCTCCTCTGTATTAGTCTGTTTTCAGGCTGCTGATAAAGACATACCCTAGACTGGGCAATTTACAAAAGAAAGAGGTTTAATTGGACTTACAGTTCCACATGGCTGAGGGAGCCTCACAATCATGGCAGAAGGCAAGGAGGAGCAACTCATGTCTTACATGGATGGCAGCAGACAAAGAGAGAGTGAGCTTGTGTAGGAGAACTCCTCTTTATAAAACCATCAGATCTCATGAGACTTATTCACTATTATGAGAACAGTATGGAGGAAACTGCCCCCCACGATTCAATTATCTCCCACCAGGTCCCTCTCACAATATTTGGGAATTATGGGAGTACAACTCAAGATGAGATTTGGGTGGGGATGCAGAGGCAAATCATATCATCCTCCTAGGACTGGAGTGTTGTTCCATACTTAGACCCATTATCTGATTCCAGTACAAAATCTCTGGATAATTACCATTTCTTTCCAGCTGCTACATTTCTATTGCTTTGTCTGCAAGATATGGAATGTCTATTACTAGTCTTTTTCAGAATCATTATGACTAAGCCCTCTTGGTCATTTGCCTAGTCAACCTACAACACTTCCAGAGTCTGTCTCTGCAACTTGTTTCCCACCTGTACCTCTGGGAGCCCCAGATAACTCCCACCAAAGATATCCCAAGATTTTACAGCTCCCATCCTCTATGTCAAATAATTTCTATTCCATCTCCATTTTTCAATTCCTTTTTGCTATTCATGCTCCCTCTCACTCAACCCATTCAAGACAAAACTTTCAAGTACAACTTGCCCTTCCTGCTATTCATGCTCCATCTCACTCAACCCATTCAAGTCAAAACTTTAAGCACAGCTTGCCCTTCGTCAATGAAGCCAAAGGTTTCACGTCCACCCATTAGTCACAGCAGGGATAGTTCAATTTACATTAGCTTAGCCTTTAAACATCTTTATCAATGACTTGGATGAAAATTTAGAAATCATATTCATCAAATTGGTGTATGACACAAAGTTGGCAGGAATCACTAATATGTTAGATGATAGAATTAAGATTGTTAAAGGAGCTGACAGATGAAAATGATACGTTGAAACTATCATGGTGATCAAATCAAATCTGGAATATTGGGTTTAGTTCTGAGCAAGAACAAGTTAAATTACATCCAAAAAACTATAATGATGAAATATAATAATAATAAAGATCCCTGCATATGAGGAATGACTGAAATATCTGAGACTATTTTTCTCAGATAAAGACTGAGGAGTCAAACCAACCATTTTTTACATACTACGAAGGCTCTGATTTGGAAGAGTGACTGTTCTTATTCAGCATATTTCCAGAAAGTTTGACCAGGGGCAGTGAATGTAAATTATAAGTAGATTTCTAATCATTCAAAGTAATTTTTTTCAAATAATCAGAACTTTCTAAAAAAGAGACAATTACCCTCATGAAGTGCTGAGTTTTCCCATTTTCTCAGCTTAATCTCTGTATACCTTCTTCAAGCAAAGCCAGTGACCCTCGTATATCTTACATGTGGACTTCTTTCCAGACCTCTAGATTCAAATTCCAGCTGGATTTCCAATAGGTTCTTCAAAGCAGATTCACTATCTGAACATCCTAACGTGTTCCTATTTTGGGCTGCCTATTACACTTCAGTCACCTAAGACAGAAATTTGAAGTGCCTCATTTCTCCCTATTCTTCTTGATAACGATGACAATAAAAGCAACTATTTTCCATTGAGTTTTTACTATCTAGAGTCTGTGCTAAATTTTATATAACATCCCTTCATATAATCTTTACAGTAACTTTGTAATGTGTGCATTATTATTCTCATTTAATAGAGGAAGCTGAGGCTTATAAACAGCAGGGCCTGAATTTATATTCAAGGCATCTGACTCTAAAGGCAATATGATTACCCCGTCTACTACACAGCCTTTCCTATTAGTCAACTATTCTACCTCAGAAAGCTCCTCACTGCAGTCTTCTCACGTGGGCTCTGGCTCTTAACACGGCTGGCTTCTCTCATCCTTCATGTGGCAACTTGGATGTCATCTTAACTAGAAGACCCCCTTCCCCTTATTCTCTTTCATGGTGACTGATCATTTCCTCCATGGTGCTCACCATTATCAGTTGCTTTATAGATAGATATGTACATATGTATATGTATGTACATGTATGTATTTACTTGTTCATTGCCCAATTCTCCCAAAGGAATGGAAGTTCTGTGTGGGAGGACTTGCTATCTTCTTCTTAATTTCCAGCACAGAAAATGCTGATAACTTGCTCAAGCAAAATTAATATTTGTTGATTGACCAGTTGATATACATTTTACTCTGCCCCTTAGGTGTAGTCTTTCCACCACTGATATTCAAGCTTTTGTCATCTTCCTTGGATAATACTAACAAGCCAGTTATCTTGTCTCCAATCTCTTCCAACTTGAATCCAAATACAGAAAAAATCATGCCCATGTTCCTGCTCAAAACTCTTCAATGGCTCCTCTTTGACTACAGAATAAGTCAAAACAAGATCTTAACGGGGAATTCAAAATTCGATGTTAACACCACAACCTCCTATGTGCCAGCCATACCTCATTACCACTGTTGTCTAGACAACCTGTATAAATTCATGTTCCTGTGTCTCTTTGATATTGTTCTGTTCCAAAGCTTTTTTCTCCCTTTCCTAAAAAATTACTAATCACTCTTTAGAAATTACCTCTTCTGCAAAGTTTTTCCCAGCTCCATCCTCCAGAGAAAAGTTAAACATTCCCCTACCACGTTTCCATTGCATTTTGTCTATTATTTTAATATCTATGTCACTGTATTACCGTTAATTATGCACTTTTCTTATCGCCCCAACCAGATTTGAGATTACAGAGGTGGCATACAATAGTTGCTTAATATGTCATTAAATTTTGAATCGAGAAAAAAGTCGAGCTTGATGATATATATTAAATATAAAAGAACATTAGATATCTTTAGTGATTCTGATTTTTAATGGAAAATTTTTTGGTAGCCCATGGCAGGTTCTTTTAATTTTTATTTTTGCCTACTCATTAAAAGCTGTTAACTTTAAAGAAAACATCTACAGTCCCAAAGCAATGGAAGGACCTATATAAAGATATTGTTGAATTATTAAATGTTGACTCCTATTCAGCAATTGTGTGTTGTTATTTCAATTAAAATCCTGTCATGCATTTATGATGGAAATTTTACAAATCTATCTGGTGGAAGGCAATAGGGCAATATGTTTCAAGAGTTCTGTAAGTCTTTATGGTCTTTGATCCAGTATTTGACTTGTAGGAAATACTATATCAGAAAAAACTAAACATACGGATTAATCATATCATTAATTTATTATTGTATTACATAGTATTTTATTATACTATTATAGCCAAATAAAATTCAATGAAAAAAATTAAAAATAGTTACATAAATTAGGGTATCTCCATATAATTGGAATATACATGAATAATCAAAGACATGAAAAACCATAACAATATGAAAAAAGTAGCAAAAACCATATTTACTATAGAATCTGAAATATATGCACACATATACATATATGTATAGGAGAGAGAAAGAAAAGCATTAACAGTATAATTTCCAGATGATAAAATTATGTTCAATTATAATTCTTCCTTTTTATATTTTCCAATATGATGTATATTCCTTATTCCTCAGATATTTTAAATTATTATAAAACACTTGTCCCCACAAACCTTGAACTATCTAGAATCTCCCCTAAACTGAAGCCAATTAGGACTATTAGCAAACTATGAACTATAAACTTTGTTTCAAATAAATATACCCTTCACACAAAGCACTTTCCATACAGCGTAAGATATAAAATGTCTTATAAAAAATTAACGTTTTTAATCAAATAGCTCAGTGAAAATGGTATAAAGAAGGGAGATAAGTCTAAGAAAGAAAACATAGAAAACTTTTGGATAAATTGATATTTGAATGTGACAAATGGTTAGCATAGTGTGTGATGGAGAGCGAGACATATGTGAGAGAGTTGCCCCAATACATCATATGTACATATTCATATGTAAGTAGAAAATGCAAAATATACCCCTTTTGTTTTTACCTTCTTTTCACCCTCTTCAATTCCTCAAACAGCTGGTTGAACAGCAGTGTACTTTCTTGGCAATATTTTCGTTAGAGGAGGAAGATGGCTTCCACTACTTCTTGTTACCGGACCAGAGATGGCTAATGGGGTCAATCCAAGATGGCAGCCTCCATCACAGCTTAAGTACATATATCCTGGCATAATGAGTGCCCCAGGCTGTTAATGCAGTCTGTCGTTTTTGTTCTTGCCAGGCACATTTTTTTCTATCCTTAGTTACAAAATGTGGAAGTGGCATGACACTTGCAACAATTTCCTACCTCAAATGAAGTGGTAGCAGGCAAGAGACTTTTGCAGATTGATCTCATTGTGGTTACAACTTTATATATGCTATATGAGTAGTGTTAAAGAAAAACATATTCATAACACTCCTTAGAGGTGGTAAGGCAAACTTTATCAGGTGCAGGGAGGACTACTGTGATAGGCTTAGGGACCACCACAATGGGATTGTGCAATGAGGAAGAGAGATTAGGCTCAACTCCAAATACAGCATGGGTAAGTAGGAATTTATACCTAAACAGCAATGGGTGATCAGTGAATGAAAAATTACTACAAGGAAAGATCAGGGATCAGTGGGAAATCCTGACTATAACAACCTAACATGATTCTTGCTGAAGGCACGCAAGGATGACCAGACCTCACCTGGGCATGGTGGAGGACGATGAACTCATTTATTGAAAGAGAACAGATATGGGGTAGGGGGTAAGGGGTAGGGGGTGGGTGGGAGGGTTCCAGTTAAAATGACTTAGCAGGATTCTCACTAAAATTGGACAATGGAGACACAAACATGGAAGCCCAAAAGGAAAGCCTAGTTGAAAAACAGTCTAGGGGACCCTGAGTAGAGTTTGGGTAAGGAGAGAATGTTTGTCAGTAGTTTAGACATTATTTGTTTATCACTACCCAAATACCTGGAAGATTGGACTGTAACAGCAAATAGAGCTTTTTTTTAGTATTTTCATTTCATTCATATAAATAATGTGTTCTTTCTGACTCAGTTCTTACGGTCATCATCTCAATGCTGCCAAAACGTTCTTGGATAATGACTTAGTGTTTGTGAGTCAATGAAATATTCCTTCCATAACAATATTCAAAAATAATATGCTGCAATGTGAAGAACACTATAGGAATCACAAGATTTGGGTTTGATTTCTACCTCTGCTTCTAAACAATTATGTCATCTGGGATGTGTCATTAAGCCCACTCACCTTCAATTTTAATATCTACAGAAACTACAAAGGTGTGGAACCCAGAAGTCTATGCTTCTACCTCAATGGTTCTCAATCAGGGTAATTTTGCATATATGTGTATCCCCTCTCTTTCCCCTGCCACCAACCATGAAAAATTTGGCAATGTCTGGAGATATTTTTCATTGTCACAACTGAAGGGAAGGAGCTACTGGCATACACGGTAGAAGCCAGTATGCTGCTGAGCATCCTACAACACACAAAGCAGCCCCCCACAACAAAGAATTGTTTTCCAAAATGTCAATAGTATAGGTTTGAGAAAATGTGTTCTAATTGCACCATCTTTTAGGAGAGAAATTCGGAATAGCTAAAAGATCAGAACTTTAAACATGTTTTAATGGTATTGAACTTCAAACAGTAATAGTTGGCTTCTAGACTTGCTCGGGTGATGGTTGGTGAAATTTATCTTCTAAAATGTGAGAAAACATTTAGAAAAGTCTAAAACATCATCACTGATTTCAGCTGGCACTAGTGCTTAATTTAATGTGGGCTTATTCACGTAAAATTAGTCTTCTACACCTTAAGTACCAGCCTCATTTCCTATTATCTCAGCAAAGGCAGTTTAAAAATCTGTTTTCACACTACCAAATGTGATAGCATCAGGCAGGTGACACAACTTAGAAATCAACATGGGCTTATCTACAGGTCAGAGTCTATTTAGATAGTTGACCATTTATTTGGTTATTTTCCCAATAACCCTGGGCCTGATTATTTCTTGGTTATTTTTCCTAACACTAAGCTTCTCAGTGGCCAAGTACATTATTGCAGTAATGTGAGGATTAGATAACATATTCATGTTGGAATTTCATTCCTAAAAGGGGCAGAGAAGATCCTAATATAAATGATCATTAATTAAATGCAAAGATTAGGGGAAATCCACAGTTAAGAATCTTCTTTTAAAAATAATTTTAAAAGCCAGAATTTTATGAGATTAAAGATAACCATATGTAAAAGATGTTTGCTCATTTGTCTGTGTTCATTTCTTTAACTGGAAAACAATGAAAAATCTGTTAGTTACACTAAACTGCACTCTAGTTTGATATATTATTTGAAAAAGAGATGGAGAGAAAACTCTGCCTAGTCTTTTTTCTTTACAAGTACAATAATTTTAAAATAATTATTGTCACTAAGAGTCCACAGGAAGTATAGATTCATAATGGAAGATTCTATCACTCATCTTGGTTTCAGCAGAGTTCTCAGCTTCAAAGATCTTGTTCTTCATTGCTTTCGGGTGTTGCCACAACCTATAGATATGGTGACAGGAGGGCAAATTCACCTCAGATTGGAAGTTCTAAGACAGAATTGCAAACATATCTCAGCAAGTGTCTCAGCTAAATAGGTCTTCTGAAAGTCTTTCAATAAACACAAAATGGTTTTTTCTCATTGATCAGTTTAGACCTCAGTGGGTCCCTGAGCGTTGAGAGTCATAGAACATTGCAGAAGAACCAAATAAACTTGTATATTATAGAAATCAGAGAGTTGTTGGATGAATGTAGAGATATGTGACCATCCTACCATTTGTTCTTGAGATCACAGGTTTTCTTTGAAACTCTGGGTAGATACTTCCATTTCTTTCACTTATAGTTGATGCAATTTTAGCAAGCTCTAAAGGCCTTATACTAACAGTCAATCAACTCTTAAAGTGCCTCGTCATTCTTGTCAAATCAGCCTTAATGTTTCTTGGCAGAAAATCCAATTGTTTCTGTAATGGTGGACTTAAGGAAACCCCAAGTTAATGCTGAGAAGGATTCTCCATTTCCTAAAAGAAAGACTGGTACAAATGCTGTAACTTGATTTTAGTGTTCAACCTTTAGTCTTTTGACAACATAAATTTTGCTATGCAGTCTGATGTCATACACAGACTGGACTTGTCAATCAGAAATCTGGCTTAGAATCACAGTTCCATCATTTAATAGAGGTGGGTCCTTGGGTACCTCACTTCACATCACAATCTCAGTTACCCTCAAAAGATAAAACACCCAACTCAAAGGGCTATTGTTGGCATTAAATAGAACAATGCTGTGAAAGTACTTTGTAAATTTCAAATCACTATACAAGTTTCATTTATATTATAATTTCTGCCTTTAAGAATAAATTGAATAGATATGCTGAGCAAATTAATCCAAGGTTAGAAGTGGGAGAACGTGCATTATTGTGACCCTGTATGTTAACATCATAACAGCACATCTTTTCCCTGGTTTACAAACAACCCACATACATAAACTGTGGAGGAAGAACCACTTCCCACTACCCACAAAGGTTACCATCCTTTTTTCTCTTAATATAAAATATGTAGCAAGTAGATGATCTAATGAGCTTCTATTTTTATGCAGATGTGGAAAGGAAGAGAGTTTATAAGCTATGGGCACACTATGAGAAGGGACTCTTGCCAGGAGAGAGGTCACTGTTGCAAAAGTGGATCCCAGTATTCAGTTGGGCTCGGACTGACATTCTTGTTGAAACCTTGTTACATGCAACAAGTGTAACTGAAATATGATTTGCCTGAACTGTTAGTTCTTCTGGTTTCAAAATGTGTGCACAATGGTTTAGACAGGGCTTTATGGACAGTTCCTGAACCCAACCATCCCACATGATATTCTTTACATAGGAAAGTATATTTTGGATAGAAAAAAATAATATTAAATAGACAGCTAGATTTTGACTCGCTCAAAGGTAGGGATTACCAATATAATCAATGAAATATAAACGGTGTTGCAAATTCTATCAGGATTGGGTTTCCTGAAGATAGAATCAGGGAATTGCCTGCTAGTGAATTTGCAACAGTAAATGCTGCCCCAGGATGCTCCACTGGGAATTCTGGTATACTTGGAAGAATCTCAGTCTGCATAGGTGTAGATGGTCTTTGAGTGTTGTCCTGTTACCGTATATTGTGCTTATCTCAGGAGATGGTCTTTTGATGATATATTCCACTTGTCTGAATAAGAGGAGAGGCCAATAGAATTGACCTTTTCCTCCTTCATTGCCAATAACTCTACTCTTAAAGCTCAGTGCTCTTTGCAACCTGATGTAAATATTACTAAAGCCATCACTTTTAAAAATTACTCAGAAATTAATAATTATGGTCCAGGCAATGAGATCATCTAACCATTTCTATGTCAATTAATAACTGTGACCAAATCAGCTGTGTGGAAACTTGCAGTAATTCTTATGAATACCAATATTATTATGTCATATTAGAGTCTGCTTGTTTGCCCTATAGACCCAGCCTAATTCTGTTTTTCTAGAAAAAAGGTATGACTAGAATAAATTTTAATGTATATTTTGTAGTTTCCTAAATATGCCATGCTGGTTTGCACACTGTTCCCACTGACTGAAACCCTTCCCTCCTTGCCTCTCAGAGGAAATCCCCATCTTCCTCTCAGAGGATGTGCAAACACAAGCTAATCTAAATGGTCTCCCTAAGTCTTCCACTCCTCTCCCAGCCCAAATATAATTTTATGTATTCCATATCCCGCTCCCCTATATTGTTTTGCACTTACCTCCACTAGCACTTATGTTATCACCTTATAAATACTTGTTCACAGACTATTCACTGAGGGCAAGGAAAATATTATTAATCTATAGTAGCTATAGGATAAAGTAAAAATCAAGTAAATGCCCACTAATTGTTTTCTTTTTTCTTTTCTTTTTTGAGACAGAGTCTCACTCAGTCGCCCAGGCTGAAGTGCAGTGGCGCGATCTCGGCTCACGGCAAGCTCAGCCTCCCGGGTTCACGCCATTCTCCTGCGTCAGCCTCCCAAGTAGCTGGGACTACAGGCGCCCGCCACTACGCCCGGCTAATTTTTTTGTATTTTTAGTACAGACGGGGTTTCACCGTGTTAGCCAGGATGGTCTCGATCTCCTGACCTCGTGATCCGCCCGTCTCAGCCAAAGTGCTGGGATCACAGGCGTGAGCCACCATGCGCAGCCCCACTAATTGTCTTCTGACTGCACAAGTAAGTGGTATTGAGAGTCAAGCATTGTGCTTTTGATGTTTTAGCTCCCTGACAGTTTAAAAGTCTCATAGGTCATTCATTTATCCAATCTATTATTTCATTCAATTAATCATTTGAGAAGTACTCACAGTTACTGTGTATCTACTGCAAGGACAGGGATACGTACTATGTACCTATGGACCTTGCATTATCCATATCCTTCTGCCTTATTTGTTCTTTATTTGTTTGTTTGTTTTGAGAGAGGTTTTCACTCTGTTACCAGGGCTGGAATGCAGTGGTGCAATCATAACTCACTGCAGCCTCTATCTCCTGGGCTTCAACAATCCTCCTGCCTCAGCCTCCCAAAGAGCTGGAATGACAGGCATGAGCCACCAGGTCTGGCCCACCTGCCTTATTTGGAACAGTGACATCTCGAGTTTCTAACTATAATCCTCAGGCCAGATTTCTGCTCTGGTCCTCTGGGTTCTTACCTTAAAGTCTTTGGAAGCCTGATTCCCCAAGAATAGGTCAGCAGCAGACTTGAGTTTGGCTGACCTGTAGTCCTCCTCACTATCTGAGTAAATTGGAGAAAGTTAATCTCTTAGGATCCCAGGTGTCACATGTGTAAAATGAGGATGATACATATTTTATATTTCACAGAGTGGCCATAAGAAAATATGTGTAATACACCTTGGAGGTGGGAATCACTAAATGTTAGTTCCATCTGCCTGCTTTCTCTCTCCACTCCACCCTCCTTCAATAGCTAAATGTTATATAACCATGTTGGAGATAATCTTAATGGCCACTATAATTCTACCAGGTGGAAAAAAGTGACTATAGAAGTGGTGATTTCTAAAAAAAATTCATCAAGTTACCAGTATTTGAAAAGCCTTATAATTCCAAATACATCATTCATTCTTTTATTTATTCATTCAAGACTATTCCCTGACATGTGTCAGGCACTTCCCTAGGCTTTGAGTACACAGCAATTAACAAGACAGACAATATTCTCTACCCTCATCAGACTTTCAGTCTAGCAGCTTTCAATTTATGAAGAGATCAAGTGCTTCTAATTGTGTAGAAAGTTGGGAAACAGTTTACATTATCTAAGCATGAAAGAAAGGCGTTTTCTTGTTTGTTTTGACATTTTCTAACTGAGACAGAGTTCTTATGTTGGGGTGTTTGCCAAAACACATTTTTAAAGGGTATCACAATCTCTTGCACATAGTGGCTACTCAAAAACACATTTATTGAATGATTTGAATAAAGTTTTAAAAGGGCTTCTATTCATTTTAGCCTTAAATTGCCTATGAACACATAACAAGCCCAAAAAGGCCTTAGAAATTATCATCGAATGTGGACTGAGAAACAAAGAATGTGAATTTCATGCATCATGCCAGGTTTCACACCTCCACTGGGAAAAAACAGACAGGTTGACCAGCTAAATAAACAAAAATTTTTCACAGCTGGTGACTTTTGCTATTTAATCATGAGATGAGAAGGAACTGCTTTTCCTACCTGAGAGGAACATGAATTGGTCTTACCCACTGGAAGGATTTAGAAAGCATATGATACTGAGAATAAGTTACACAAGAGAAACAGGAAAAAATACCCACCCACTGGCTACCAGAACATACTGAACACTCATCCCATTGAGCTTACTGTCAACATGCTCTCTTTGTGAAGAGACCTGGGAGCCTTCCTTTTTTGTTCTATAAAGGAAATGAATTCTGTTGTAGCTAGGATGGCTAATGGTGCTTCACTGAGTCTCTCTGCACATAGGACGCATCTGTATTTCTGTGGGGAATGAGGTTCTCACTGCATCAGATGATGAAGAATATCCACGCTCCAATATCCACATGGCATTGTACTCACCAAGGCAACACTAACTTTATGCTCTGCACTGGAATGATGGTAAAATTTGGGAGCTAGATGTGTACTTAGAATTTCGTGTTGTTTGATCGCATCGATGAAAGGATATGCAATCAATCTCCTCCTAAGACAGTGAGTGGTATTGGCCATAACTCATTACTCCGTCAAGGATTTGGCATTTCAATCGATGGGAAATGATGTGTGATCATTCTAATTTATTATACATCATTTCCCATCAATCGACGAACTAAAGCCTTGACGTAATAAGTACTTACAGACACTGTCAATCATTCTTGGTCCAAATACTTTCCAGTACTGCCATTTGGGATATCTTCAAATAGTCATGAAAATGGAACGTATCCCCAGATTGCAAATGTGGTGATTTCACTCAGCAGAAAACTTTGAGATGACCTCTTACTGGGGGATTCCATCAGCAATTGCTTAAGCATTGGACCATCCCCCAATTTAAGGAGAAGAAATTGATGGCTATTTTCATTAGCCATGATTTTCCTCCCAACGTGTTCAGATGAGATTCAAAGATGGTGGTGCTACCAGAATCATAAAGTTACACTTCTGCCTTGAAAAATGCCAATCTTTTCTGTCTACCTCTTTTCAAAAAATTTACTATTCCCTGAGTGCTTTTTGGAATAATGTCAAAATACATTGATTTTTCTGCCTTTTGTCACTGTGGAGAATGGCATCACAAGAGTGCAGATCACCAAATAGCATCAACATAGCAGAGCTCATGAATTACCAGTACTTTCAAATAAGATCCCTCAACTGTTATTACTGCCTATACTGAAGCATTGGATGAGAACTGTCTGGTTTGATTAGTTCTATTTGTTTGAAGTTTGAGTCTCATGAAAATCAAATAAGAAAAAAAAATTCTCAGGTGCGTATACTAAAGCAATAGTGTGCAAAGTCATAATTTTGCACATTCATACTGAGTATGGTTTTCATGGTAACTCCAAAAACTGCTGTTTCATATGAGCATTTTCGGTAGATTTGAAAACATGTCACGACATTTTCAATTTTTACTTTCTGATGTTTTTCAGGAGCAAAACCATATTTCCATGAGAATTTGCATGCATAGTAGGAGGATAATTTTTATTTTTACCAGCAGCAAAAGGAACATTTTCTGAAGAAAGGAGGGTGATGTACCCTCCATAACTGACACACATAGCAACATTTTTGTGAGGACAGAAGGAAAAATACTCCATTTCTGCTGGAAAACATTACTTACTTTGCCTTTGACTATCTCCCCTTAAATCTGTGGAAAATAACAAGTAAAGTCCAACTGCAGAGGACTTTTCATTCTTAATAAACTTTTTTTTAAAAGGAAAGAAAGGAAAGAAAGTTTACATGGGTTTTTTTCCTACCAGCAACATTTGTGGAATCAGCTTTTCTTTTTCTTTTTCAGAATCCAGCTGTGGAAGTCTGATCGTTTTGGAGGAGGAAGTCTAGCACAATGTTTTGCATGCAGTGTGTGGATATGATCTAGAAGTCAGTTCAAGGACTGCAACTCATCCACAAGAAAGTTTGCTCCCATCCTGTTCAAAGACCCACTGCCCTGGAGATTAGAAATGACATACTAATACAATGGATTTTAATAGAATCTTTGTCGATGGATTTCAAGGCATTCATTAGCTTATTCAATCCTCATGATTTGCCTAAGCAATCACTTTCTAATCTTGGTGGGAGGAATGCCCTCCTCACTCCTCCGAGCACCAGCCTTTCCTCTTTGCTTCCTCGTCAGCAATCAGTGAGTCTTGGCAGCACCAGGGCTTACTGGGGAGCCAGCTGGCTCCTTCAGCTCTTCATATGCTCTGGGGCTTATCCAGGCTAATGGAGTATCACAGTTCATTATGCACCTTCCTCCTCTACCCCCTGTGAGGAAGCTCCATAAATACCAAGTTTGGGGCAAGAAGCATCATTGCCGCAGAAGCTGCCAAAAAAAGCTGCCAGTATCCCATGGAGGAGCTAAGAAATATCAATATTTATAACAAAATGTGCCCTGACCTCAGAAGAAGACTAGAGGAAGATCCAAGCAGGCAGAAAAATGAGGGTAATCTCCTAATCCTACCTTGACCTGTATTTGTAGGGCAGCAGCCACTAGGTAGTTAAACTCTTGCACTATGCCAAGCCCTTTACGTGTATCAGCTTATTTAGACCTTAAAACAAGCCTAAGAAATTGGTACTATTATAGCCCCCACTTTTTTAGGTGAGAAAACAAACAGGGACTTAGGCAAAATATCTTGCCTGAAGTCACGAAGCATGTGAAAGTGCTGGCATTCTAACCCTAGTCTCAGTAAGTCCATCTTTTCACCTGCTTTATAGTACAGACTTTAAGAATGGAAAGCTACATTCAATTCAAAGACAAAGAGGAAAGCAAGTCAAGGAGGGCTTTGTTGTATGAGGAAAGGAAAATAGAGAAAGAATAGAGGAGAGAAAATGGCAGGCATCCAAAGGATTAAGAGATGGGTCCAAATCTGGTACAGGAGTATAAAAATATAAACTTAAAAATCAGAAGGGCATCCTTATGATAATTAGGACATCCCTTCTGAAAATATTTATATCTGGAGAAGAAAAGTTACCAATACTCAAAACCTTATTTTCAGAGGGAGAAATGATTACAAAAAAAAAAAAACTTTTTTTCCCAAAAAGCTGATGCATAATCAATCATGGCACATGTCACTCTAAGAAATGAAGCCCCTGCTTCAGAACCCTCAGTAAAGAAGGAGACAGTGCCTAGAGTGAGTGTTCACTTTTGAGGTTTGAGTGTGATATGATTGGAAAAGCTTGAGTAATAAACTCCTGAAAAATGGGGTTTGGTAATGAGCAAGCCTTTAACTATATAGACATGTTGCCAGGTACCACTTTAATAAACTATTACAAATGATCGATGCAAAGATGTTTCCAACAGCTGTTTATGCAATGTGGCTGGAAGAATTCTTCCATAAAGAAGCTGTTAGTGGGAAAATTGGCTATGCATGGCTGCGATGTCAAATCCATACAAAACAAACTTTTTTCTGTCAATCAACAATCTTGCCATAAATTAATCCATTTATAACAAGCCTTTTTTGAATTGACAGCTTCGATGTGAGAAAAAAAAGGGCTCTTAAAGGAAAGTGAACTCAGAGTGGCTTTTTGCAACTCTTTAACACATGGGGAGAAGTGGCAAAGCCTCGTAATTTTAAATTTATGTGGAAAAAGGTTGGCAGCAGCTCCAAACACCAAGGTAGCTTTCCAAGAGCTTCTGAATACAACAAAGCCAGGGTGATCTCTTAGGTTTGGGTCACAGAGGTTAAGCATGACCTGCCCACATCCAATGATGGAAACAAAGCTGGACTGTCCGAGGCATAAAGATCAAATCCAGATGTAGTTGTAAACACACTCTTGTTTGCTTTTGGCACAATGAGGTGTTGCTGGTACCAAAACCTCATGCAGGTGACTATGTCTATTGGGTCAATAGTGCCATAGTAGGTACATCAGGCAGACCCTTGGTCCCTGCTGTCATATTCTGTGTCCTGGTCCTTGATCTTACTTTCCATACATGTTGTTTTTCAAGCCCAGTTATCTCTGGTTTCTGATGTCATTTCCCAACAAGTTCAATTCATAAAAATCACGGGGTTGTAAAGAATGTCAGCATGACATTAGGTGTGTGCTTTTATGTCTCAGGTAAAACAATGCCTAAGGCAAAAGTTGTGTTTTCAGAGATGGCCAGAGATGAGATGCCATAATCCCTTCAGGGATCCCTAACCTGACATTCCTAGCTCTGCTGAATTTTTTACCTTCATACAGTAAGATGACTCCTAGCACCACTACAGGCAAAGGGAATTTGGCTATTTTTACTCCCTACATTCAACATGCTGCTTCTTCTGGTTAAATAACATCTATTTCTGTAACCAAGATTCTGTCTCCAAAACTCTTTTAGTACATGTAACATTCCTGCTCTCTTCAATCCTCTCTTCACCTCTCCACTCAGTCACTCTGACAAAAAAGTATGATTATGGCTTATGGCATGAATAAATTGCCATAAGCAAAGATGAAAGCCAAAAATGATTTGATACACCAACACAATTCCCTCAATGTATTAGAAGGTTTTGTTTGCTTTATATTTTGCTCTCCTGCACTGGATGAGAATGGCGCTCTACATTCCCCACAATTTATTCTATTAAGTTGGCCCTTGAAGAGAGAAGCTCCATCTAATGCCTTCCTCTTCACAGATGCCTTGCCAGTCTCTGCTAAGGAAGATTATTCTGAGATTCCTCTGTTCCCGCTCTGCCCCTTGACATGCTTGCTGAATTGCCCATGCTCTTGCATCTTTGTCTAGTAGATCTTTCCTGCCAGTTCACACCCAGACACAGGCAACCAGTGCCTAGGCCTTCCTGTTCCCCAGGTGCCTTATTGAACCCACTGCATTTCGGTCACTTTGCTTTCTCTGTACCTTCATTTCGATTTAAATGTCTCTATCTACCCTAAGAAATTCTTCTAAAGGCCTTCCTCGGCATTCTCCTCTTTCAATACAAAGATACCTAGTCCCAGAGTGCTACCAAAGGTCAAAATGCTTGTATATTCAGAGACTATTAAAGCCCTAACATTCAAAGCAGATAAAGCAAAGCTGTACTTATTTGTAAGAAATGCATCTGTCCAAAATGTGCAGAATATTTTACGTACTTAATGTTGAGATGTAGTAACATGTTCTTCCTCAGTATCTCAGTTGTTTTTCTGAGTTTATATTCCAAACAAATGTATTCATGTCATCCTGTGTGAAGTGAAATGTAACCTACCTTCCTCCCTCCCTTCCTTCCTTCTTTCCTTCAGTATTCACTGAGCTCATCATGTGCAGGTACAAGGAGGCCACGTCATCCTGCTCAAAACCAGATATTCCCAGCTATCGCACTCCAGTGAGGCTCTGATGGCAGGATGAAGGTGAGATAGCAAGTTACCAGTAAAATTTATTCTGCATTTCTCCACAAGTATTTACTGAGGGCCATGCACTTTTTCTAAGTTGAGGGTTCTATCAGTGTCAAAAAATATATATATATATAAAACAACGCAAAAATCTTGGGGGATACATAGATGCAAGCAATTGCTCCACATTCGTTATTTCTACATTTTATTTTCCTGACTCTAAACTGATTCAGATAATGGGAAGATGAAGATAAAGAAAGGATGACTGAAAGGGAACCCTGGAACAGGAAGTCAGGAAGATGGGCCTGAATTATGTAAAGATCAGAGGTTTCTTCAGAGTGATGGAGTTTGGACGGTACTACCCCCAAAATATAGCACCCTGGCATTTGAGAAAACAGCAGAAGCTATTCTCATAATCTCCTTGCCCTTCTTTCCTGAAGCAGATCATAAAACCTAGGAAGGTCACTTCTCCTGCTCCTTTCCCCTGACGCAGGACATAAGACCCTCATTCAAGAGGTACCCACCCTACACCTGCAGGAAAGGAATATCCTTATTTCTGAAGACAAGGGGATACAGAGAAGAATCAAACAGGCTTTGCTAAGTTCACCCCAATTTATTACCACTTCTCTATCATACCCACTCTGTCCAATCATGCCTTTGCGTGACTACTTACTTCTTCATCAAACCTAAGGATTTATAAATTATTTATAAAGGATTTATAAAAATACATAGTTTTCTCTGTTTCTTTGTATCCTCATTTCTGAAGGCTCCTGTGTTATGTAAAGCTTATTAAATAAAGTGTGTGCTTTTCTCTTGTTAATCTAGTTTTTATTATGGGGCCCTACCCATGAACCTAGCGATGGGTGAGAAAGCTATTTTCTTTTTCTTTGCAAGGGCCTCCTACTTTCTGCCTTCCCTGCCATCTTTTATTTTGGATGCTTCATTAACACCCAGCCATGAGCAGAATCTCCGCAGGAAGCCCAAGAATCCAAAACAGGCCAAGTTTACCATTTGTAGCTATCTAAGACTTCCCTTCAAATCCCCCAAAAATTGAGAACTGGTTGCCGACATGGATAGATCAATTGTTATCCTTAAAAATCCATGTATAATGAAGAATAACAACAGTAATCCTTGGCAATTACACAGCTCCACTGCTCTCTTCACTTTACCATTACCACCAGAGCCCTTCAATAGAGGCAAGGGGCTCCTTTTGCCTGCCTGCATTGTTTCTCAATTTTGCATACCCTATTCAATTAAACAAGGATGGGCTAGCAGAATTTGACACCAAATTTCTTGAACTGGTTATTATTTGAGAACAATGCTTCTCCCAAAAAAAGAAATTTAGAGAAAACCCGAGATGAGCCAAAAGCTTAGGTGAACATTTTTGCTTTGGCTCTATATTTTTAAATTAGGAGCACTGCAAATGGAGATCTTAGGATAAAGTTACTGTAAATAAGATCTTTGTCTCTAAATGAGACTAGTTCCTCAAAACTCCTTTTTCTTTTTGACTTGCACTGTTCAGTCCCACTTTCAGTGAAATTCAATCACATTCATTAGCATTTCTAAAGATGTAAGCTACTCAAAACAGCTGCATTGTCTTTCCTTTTCAACTAAAATGAAGCTTTTCCTTCTAAAGGGAGAAATCTCCCTTTAGTTACCCGCTTCTTTCTGCCTGGCACCCATAATTTTCAATGGTGGAGCCAACCCCCATGAAACAGGAAGTGCAATCCCATTTGATCTCACTTGAAAGAAATTGTAAATACTTGGTAAAGGACAGAAACCGTGGCTCAAAGAAAAATACCAAAAAAAAAAAAAAGTATGAAAGAAAAAAAAAAGCAAATGAGACAAAGTAATAATCATTTAAATGAACTAACTCTTTGTCCCTGGAGCTAACATTCTCATTATCAAGGGTATTTAATATATTCCCTATAGAAAACAGGCTGCTGTCTATCAGTCCTCCTCCTCTTTCTTTGGCTGTTTCAGCAATAGAGAGGAAAACATTTCATCTTTTTAATCTTTTATGTCTATATAAAGACCATTCCATATGCTCCAAATCATAAAGTTACCTGCTTTTTTTTTTTTTCAGGGTGAGTACTGATGGAAACATTATTACTAGAAAGAACCAAAGGGTTAAAAGTTAATATTTCTTCTCACTGACTTAGAAAACCATATTTTGTGGTGCCCAGTTAAAAATTCTGCATTTAATTAAATTGTAAATCCAATTTTTTGCAGTTAAAGACTAAAGAATATGCTGCTATTTAGAAAGGAAGATGATGCACTCAGCCATCTTGAGAAGGGCAAGCACCAAAACTGTTTTCCAAGAAAGATTTGTCATGGTCTATATAGACGTCTAGTTGTCCCTCTTGTGACAGTACCATTAGGCAAGGTTACAGGGGCTTTATGGGACCCTGGGGCTGGAAGATCACACTAGTTTCAAGTTCTAACCCAGTGAACTTGGCAGACACAGAGATCAGGAAGGTGATGGGAAGGCTAGAAATATGGAAATTAGTCATTGGCAATCACATCTGAACAAAACAAAAGTTAAGTTGAATCAATCTTCTGTTCTAGTAGATGTCAGATTGAATTAAAACACTCTAATTTTTTAAAAGCTGACCATAAGTACTTTTGAAAATGAAGCAGCTCATTGTGGAATCTACTAATAGTAGCTGGGTCTGGTGCTACAGAGGATAGGAAGAGAGGCAATCAGGGCTCTTGTACTAACGGATATTACCCAAAAAAGTATTTCACATGTGATTTGCTCAAATTACTACACTCAAGAAATTAGTAAGACCCTAAACAGGTGTGCCAGAACCACTTCCTATGTTAAAATCTGGCAAACCAATTCCTTTTATAGAAACTGCTGCTGACCTGAACTGAGTAAGTCTCTAATAAGAAAGAAAATCTGAAGCTGAGACAACAAATGATAATCAGACCTATCCTAAAATTTTGTGACATGTAAATCCTTCCGAAAGGAATTTCCAAATTCATGCTTATGGGGCACAGTAAGTCAGAAATGTCAAACTGCAAATGACAAGCTCTTGCAGAAGTGCTTCTTCAGAGACTCTGTCAGTCCCTGCAAAGATGGGGTAGTTAACTTACCAGCATTATTGGGATGAAACTGAAAAATTGTGGGTGGTTATCCACATGTTAAAGGGAACTGGACAATACCTTTATGAAGTAACTGATAGGATCTAATAGAGGAGCATTGGAAACCCAGGTTGTCTATCTTTCAGTTAGGTATTCTCCCAGTTAGGCAAAAACAACAGCATTTCTTTGTGCTGTCAGGACAAAGAGAACAGATATTTGACAGTGCAGTATTTGTGGGGAACATGTGGACTCCTGGTGGAAGCTGCTCAAGCCAACCTTCCTAAGTCTGTTCCCAGTGCATGCATGCAGAGATTCAAGCTGAAAATGCAGGGCCCTAGAAGATTCTATCCATCCTGTAGCAAATATTTTCAGTCAAATCCTGGACTTCTTCAAGACTCTCGCATTCCAATCCTGCTCTCCTGTCATGTCTGCCTAGAATGTGTAACCCTTTACTCACTATTGGTATGTTGGCTGGAAAAACTATAGCAGGGTTAGAGAGCACTGATGGAATGGAAGAAGAAATGTGTAGGTGTTTGCCTTCATCCTGGGGATATGTGTAAAAACAACAATAATAATACTAGCTGCCATTTACTGAGCTCTCACTTTGTGCTGAGAACAATACTAACTACTTTATTTGCATCAACCTCTTTAATTTCTGCAACCCTATAAGAAAGGTACCACTAGTAATTCCATTTTACGGTTAAGGAAATTGAGGTACAAAGAGGCAAAATGGATGAAACCCTTGCCCTTGACATATAATTGTCAAATGTTATAGTAGGACTAGGTCTTAATTCTGTCCATTACCAATCCTATGCATTTAACTAGGATACTACTCTGTCCTCCTTTATAATAGTAGAAATATCTGTTTGTTCTAGTCAACCATTTGCCCTGTATGTTTTTGTAGGCCTGTAGAGAGATACAATAATTTCCCCAAATTTCTGCATGACCTTATGACTTACATGGCCCAGACTTCAGCAATTGCACTTAAATTTAAACTCACTAGAACAGCGCCAGCCAATAGAACTGTCAGCAATTATGGCAGCATTCTAAAAATCTGCACTGTCCAATATGTTAGCCACTAGTCAAACATGTGGCTATTGAGTGCTTGAAATATGGCGGGTATAATTGAGGAAGTTTTCATTTTAATTAATTTAAATTTAAATAACCACATATGGCTAGTAGCTACCATACTGCACGGATCTCTAGAGGGAAAAACATGATGCTCATGGTACTGAAACTATTTCATTTATTCATTTAATCAATATTTTTGAGAGCTTACTATATACCAGATTCAGTACCAGCCATTATACGGAAAGTAGCAGACAAAATAGACATTGATTTCTGACCAAAAGAGAGAATAAAATTAAAGAGCCAGAGACATTAGAGAAAACAAGGAGAGTGCATCATCACAGAAACCTAGAAAGGAGAAAGTTTCCAAAAAGGAACTGGGTCATGGCTCTTTGGTTCCTCAATTACACTAGCCATATGTTGAATGTTAAGATGACAATGAAGATGAAAACAGAAAAACACGATCTGGATCTGTCATCACCGAAAGACATTTTATTGTGTTATCAAGAGTAGTTTCAGTGGAGGGATTGGAAGTCAGATTAGAATGAGTTAAGGAGTAAATGGGCAGTTAAGGCAATGAAGACAACAATGACCTGCATAGACAATACTCTTGAAAATCGTTGCTGAAAATGAGGGTAAAGAAATGAGGGTGATATCAGAAGGAGTATGCATGGTGCAGGCATCTAGTATACTGCATATATGTAAGCCAAGGGGAGTAATCTAGTGAAGAAGAAAAAAATGGACAAGGCAGCAAAGTGGAGGGAGCAGAGGGTGGGTAACTGGTATTCTTAAGAACTCAAGAAGATCCAGACACCAGTGAGAGGACTGGTCTTGGCTGAAAAGAAAGATATTTCTTCCAGGTAAAGGAAGAAGAAGAAGATGGCTGCAGGTGAGGGTAGCTTTGCAGATTTGCTCACTTAACCCAACTGAGCCAAGCTTCCCTGGAGCTGCCCATAGCTAGGAATTTCATTCAAAGAAATGTTGCTCTTATATCCAACATAATTGAAAAGCAATTAAATATTTTTTGCAATCTCTAGAAGAATCCTCAGAGGGAATTGCATGAAAACACACAATAAAAACCAAACTTGCCCAAACTTCTCCCTCTCTCCCTCCAGCATCTCTCTCTCCTGTCCCCATGTCTACCTTTTCCTGCCACTCCAAAATCCCAAGAAAATCTCTTACTAAAAAAATACACGGAGTGAGATGAAATGATGTCTAGCGTTAGCTCTAAAATTTTATGACTGTATAAATAAAACCTGATATTTAAAACTTCACCTTTTCATTTACAAGAGGCTAGACAAGCTTGGAGGAATTCTGAAGGTTACCAGGGTTTGTTGTTTTTTATATAGTTACTAAGATGTCACATCATAATGTATGTAAAAAATGAAGGTGGAAAACTCCAAAATTGCAAGGGAAGTAGAGTGGGGGGAAAAGGCTTTGGATAAGGCAAGAGGAGGAGGAAGAGGACTAGAGAAAAGTAGGAGAATCAGGGCCAGTACTGCCAAACCCAGAGGAGAAATTAGAGATGTAGAATGAGGCATAACATCTGTTCTGTTCCAAGCAGGTTTTGTTTCCAAATTCACCTCTTTATTCCTTGCCTCAGCCAGGACCTATCTCCTTTTTCTTTGAAATCACAAAAACAGCAAAGCTTTCTCACCAAACAGTGAGACCATTCTTATACCACAACCCAAAGAAAATGGGTGCACGTGGGCGCATAGGATGATAACAATAGAACCATGGATTTCTAAATGTTTCTTAATTCAGGGAGAAGCAAAGGGAGGAGGTAGAGTAACCTACCTCTTAAACTGTTTGAAAATAATATGCAGAAAGAGAAAAACAATCCTCAGCTAACAACTGCCTTTCTTGCCATCTGCTTAATCTAAACATTAGCACATCACATATCTGAGTGAACTCAAATTGCACTGGAAATGGAGTACTCTGTTCCACTTTTTTAGACCCTTGATGGGAGAGTCAAGTGAGAATTTTCTACGGGATTATATGGGTGTTACAGGCTTCCAACATATGCATTTAGGGCCACATTTTCAGTCCAGCCTTAACTCATCATACCAGAGGCAAAATTGTGCCTGGCTTAATTAGCACAAGTACTAATCAAGTACTAATGAAATTTGCCCATAAGCAGTTCCTCAGACTAAGGCACAAGTAGTGCACACAATTTCCGTATATATCACTTAGCTTGTCAGCACAAAAGGGGGAAAGAAATGAACAATTCCTCCCTAAAATTTGCTTCAGGCTAACCACAGGCAAACATCATTTCTACCCAGAAGTAATACATTAGTTTCATCAGTGTAAACTCTGCAAATCCTAAATCTGCAAATTGCATCTCAATTTGCCACATTAGGTAACACATTTATAAAAGTATAGGCTGGGTGTGGTGGCTCACACCTGTAATTTGGGAGGCCGAGGCAGGTGAATCATGAGGTCAAGAGAATGAGACCATCCTGGCCAACATGGTGAAACCCCATCTCTACTAAAAATACAAAAATTAGCTGAGTGTGGTGGTGCATACCTGTGGTCCCAGCTACTTGGGAGGCTGAGGCAGGAGAATTGCTTGAACCCAGAAGTCGAAGGTTGCAGTGAGCCAAGATCATGCCACTGCACTCCAGCCTGGCAACAGAGTGAGACTCTGTCTCAAAAAAAAAAAATTATATATATATAATTATATATATACACACACACACACACACACACACACACACACACACAGAATGTTATCAATGAAGATGCTTCATTCTTAAAGATTTATTAGCTATTTAAGACCTAAATTTGGAAATGAGTATGATCTGCAATATACCTTAAAATACATAGGACATCTTTCAAACTGAAATGTCAGTTCTTAAGAGGGCACAATGATGTTGGACAACAGATCTATTTGTTTAAACTCAGAATAATGACAAAAAAAAGAGGCCCAATTTTATCTCTTCCATCACCAATAAACCTTTAGTCTTCTTCTTGTTGTATTTTAAGTCCACTATTAAGACCTGTCCAAGCATAAGCATTTATTTACAACAAATATTAAACTAAGGAAGATTCTTTCAAACTATCAATTAAATCATACTAATCACAGATGCAGCATGCACATTGAAATAAGTATCTATATAATCAAGCTTTGCACATAGGAACCATTTTGTTCTGGTTACCTCACAGTACTTTCCACCAAATAAAATTCTGGGTCATCCCATTTTGGAGGCACAAGAAAAACAGTGATTAATCCTTAAGAGCAAGGTCACGTTAAAAATCAGGGAGAAAATCAAGAGAGGACTGCATGAGGACCAAATGCTGTCATCTCTCCTGCCCAGTAAACTACACTCCTTCCTCAAAGGACTGTTACATTTCTGGTGGGAAAGAATCTCACCTTTAAGAAGCTGAAACTTACCCACTTGAACAGGTGCAAGGACCAGATGACCAGTTGTTCCCTTTATGGACTATCGACAAACATCACTTAAAAAAATAATAATCATTGGCAAGTGCTAAAAACCAGCCAATTGACACAATGTCTTCATAAAACGAAATTCAGGAGAGAGGAGAGAAAATAATGCAGAATCAGAGTAACCTTGGATGCAACCAAACTGTCACCTGTGGTCCATGCAACAAAAGCCTTCCACATAGCTTCGTGAGTTAAGGACAACAGATTAATTACAACATTGACTTCTGTTGCTGTTTCAGAATCATGTTGTCTGAGTATTATGTTAGTCTCATTTTTCTATTTGTAAACAGATCTAACTTATCTCTATAGAACAGTAGAAGAGGAAAAAAAGGTTCTCTTGCCATTAGTGAGTTTTATTTTTCTTGATTAAATAAAGGTTTGTGAACTATAAAGAGTACAAATTTAACATGCTGTAAAAGCAACAAGAAAAATTCACGCAGAGCACAGACGAGAACAAAATTCAAGCCCTGGCATTCTTCACAGGAACCAAGGGCCCCATCTGCTGATGTTTAAATGTACTACAGTAGCAAACAGATTTAAAAAAAATAAAAAAAATCTTATTGAACTAAAATACAATAAAGAGCCTGAAGCTGCAGAATCTTAGCAGCAGAAGGCACCTTTAGAAGTTAGAGAACCTGCCCCTGATCCAACACTTCTCACCCTTTTCTGTACTGCTGCATAGCTGTATGGAAGTTATTTGGAGCAGACAGTAGTTTATTTTTAATTTTCTTAGTTCTCAGGAAAAAAGTGCCAAGCACTACCTTCACTGGCCACCACCTCTCTACTGACAGACCTTTGGCTGAAGTGAGTTCTCTAGTCCCTTTAGTTGATGGCTCTTGTTTTGAAGTGACTGGATGGTTAGGGTCTTAATAATGGGTTTTGATGCTGCCCATTTTGATGATAAGGAGGAAGACATTCCCATTACTTCTTAGCCTTGCCTCCAACATGGGATAGTACTAGGGTCCTTTCTCTGCCTTTCTCTGAAGTTTGTTTGGTTTATGACCATTTTTGCAACTAAGCGAGTACGTAAAGCATAACAGAAAGACCCTAGATGGGTTAGAATAATGCAGTTTAGGGGTCTAGTCCATCTTTGGTAATACTCACTACTGTCCTGTTCTGTCTAGCTCTCCTCTCCTCACCTTAAAAATAAGGTGTCAGATTGCATGCTCTTTAAATGGGTTAAGTTCCTTTCCTCCTACCTCTACAATTCATTGTAGCATCCACATAGCACATTGCATATATTAGACACTCAGTAAAAAGCTGATGAACAGACATATTTTCAGTCAAAACTATTTGTTGGTAATTATCCTTTTTATTTAATCTAGCCATTCTGAGTTCCTTATACCCTTTTATATTTGGAATCTAATAATACTTGTAGTGAACATTTATGTTTGGAAAACCAGACCCTTTTAACCTTTATTTAGAAAACTACCCCCAATGTCTTTGGGAGCAAGTATCTCTTCTCCATTATGAACAGTTCAGTGGGACCATCAGTCTATGTTCTACGAGCTCTCCTAGTTGAATTGTGAGCACCTGAACCAAATTTGGCCAACTCTCTCCACTGTGACTTTGACTCCTGTGCAGAGTAAAACAAGAATGGGAAAGCAATGAGGTTAGGGCATTCTGGCAGTATAATCTGAAATGCCTGTCAAATGGTTCCTGTTACCTCAACCCCTAGACCCCAGTAGCTGACCTAGTTCATGTCCTATTTCTGTGATGAATTCTCCAGCCTTTTCTTCAGGAAACTGAAACATCAGGCACAGCTACCCTCTAGGCCTCCCAAGACATTCATTTCCTGCTTTAAGTTAATGTGATAGACATTAGCTGATTGTCTCTCCCACATACAAACCACCTCCCTCCCTTGCTTTCTTCCTAACAAGGCTCTAGACATCTAGTCATGCAATTGGTGTGGAATTGACTTCATGTCTGTCTCTAGGAGCAGATCTTGATTGGCTCAAGCTAATTATCATGCCCTCTTCCCTTGGCCACAGCAAATGGTTTGGAAGTGGACATATAACTGAATTTAGGCCCATCAAATATAGAGCATGTTTGTCGGGGATTCTAGGAAAGAGGTTACTTCTATCTTCAATGGGAATTATTTTAAAATAATTAGACATGGACATGAAGCCCTAGTTGTGTCAGCATCTGCCTTATTATCACAAGAGAAACCAGTCTTAGGATGAGGCCAACATTGTGAAAACTACAGGGGAAGGAAAGAAACCACATCCTTGGAGATACTGTAATTAGCCCGAAGCCTGAAAGTTTTAGTTATATGAGGCAGTAGATTTCCTTTGTTGTTTAAGGCATTTTGATAGAATTTTCTATTACTTATGAGTGAAATAATCCTTAATAATATCCAGGGTCTATTTCTGTTGATAAAAACCAAAGAACTTTAAAAGATACACTATTCAATTGGGAATCTGACATCCTAGGAAGATGAACCACTACTGTTCTTATATGCTATACTTTTATTTAGATATTTCAATATCATCCTTGCTTTTATATTTACATTGTTGAATCTGTTCAATCTATAGTCCATGCTAACTCATATTTTTCTGTCATTCTTACCTAAAGCAAATCAATCATTTATTCTATTCTATTGGTTTTGTCTTCTTTTCTTCCTTTGTTTACTAATATGAATGCTTCCCCACTTACTTTATTTTCCTAAACGCATCTTCAATTCATCAAAGTTCTTTACAGGCAGTAAGCAAATTTTGCTTTCTAAGTTATTTAACAAAGTCTACCACATAGTAGGTATTTTTTCAAAGAATGGATAACATGTTTATGTTTATTCATCTTTTTCCAAACTACCCTTTCCTGTTAGTTTAATGAATACCCTCCTATTATATCATCAGGGTCAATGGGAATAAATTTTACTGAAGGTGCAGCAAGTCTTATGTTGGGAACACATTGGGCTCCCAACATTAGACTGGAACTGGCTGCTGGAACACCAGGTAGCATAGTCATCTGTGATTGGATGACTGAAGCTAAATCTCTTTTGGGATGAACCTTTGGTTTTCCCCTTTTGTACCTGCCCCCACCTATTCCATTTCCAACTGTGCTTTTTCTCAGTAATATAGAGAAAAGCTGGATAGACCAGTTCATGGATTAAAATGTCATTTTTTTCTCTTCCTCTTCATCTCAGTCATTGACTTCTTTCATACTTAGTTCCCAGGCACTCCCAACATAACATCTCTCTAGTTAAATTTCCTCCAATCACATTCTAGCAGGATCACGTTCCAGTGTTTCCTTAGCATCTCGAGTAACAATACCACCTTGCACCAACTTTGTCAAACTAAAACCCAGACTTTTCTCTCCTCTTCACCTTCCACATCTTAGCAAGTCACCAAGTAGAATCAATTTTACTCAAGAAATATTGCTTTAACATATTACTTTCTTTCTACTCTTACCTGAACTTTCTAGTTGGGATCCTTTCAATCTCTTACCTGAACTATCCTCCTACCTGTTGTCTCTGCCTCCAGTCTTACCATGTTTATATACAGCTTCCATCTGCCACCAGGATGGTGCATCTCAATTATAAACACAATCTAGTCGCTCCCCTGCATAAGGCAATGTTTTCATATCAGTTTCACTATGCATTCTAACATAGATCCTGTCTTGCTCTATTCTTATCTCCCTCCACTGTGTACTTAGCAATTCAAGTTTCAGAAACATTTATTAAACCATATATGGTTCAGTCGACGAAACATATTTCTTTCTGTCCTTATTTCTTACTGTGGTGTTTTCTCTGCCTAACACAGTTCTCCACTTCTTCACTGGAGCAAACTCTACTCAACCTCAAGTGTAATCTTCCCCAAGAGGTCTGCTCTGACTATCCCCAGACTCAACCAAGTGATCCAATTCTGTGTCCTTCAAGAATTCTGTGCACAATCCCATCCTAGCACTTACAGGGTAAATTTGAACTAGACATATCAACACAGTGCCTACTCTATGCCTCCTTTGATAGCCTCTGATGAACAGACAGCATTTAGACCTGTTTTTACTATGTGATGTTTCCCTCTTTTCACAATTTATTGAGTTAGGGATGGGCATGGAGTGTCTAAGGGCATCCATGGTTTCTTTGAAAAAACATGGGCTGGACCAATTCACTCACCTTTCTAAGTATTTTGAACTAAGAAATGCAGAGACAAAATTAGAATCAGGGGCAAATTTTAAAAGCCAATTATTAGAGAAAACTTACAATTCATCCCTCACAAGAACAAGTTTTAATAGCACAGAAACCACAAGTAAGCAGAAGGTAAGATACACAGAAATGAAGAGAACATCCTGAAGACTCAGGAACCTCTGCTCTGAAACTACTGACATCCCAGGGCCACCTGAATCAAAAACCATCCTGCAATTCTGCTCTTCTTGAAGTCAAGAGGCTCATAATTCCCTGGGGTTTTGTGGTCTCATCTTCTTATAATAATCTCTATAAAAATATTTCTACCACACAAGGAAGTATGAACTGAGTCTTAGCTCTAGTATGTAAGAGGTTAATCAAAACAGAATTGAATTTTCCTCTTTTCTCATTGGTCTTTACCACTAGACTAAGAGCTTCCAATGGGTAAAGAACACAAGTATCCAGAAGACAGTAAATACTGAATAAAATGGATATCTAAACCCATGAATGAGAAACCAAATGGGAGGAGGGCCAAAGGGAACAGGTGATGGGGATATACTACAGGTTAATTTATGTTAAGAGAATTTATGCAAAACAATAAGAGAACATATACTTGTCTCATCAATTACTGAAACATATCTCATTCTTAACTGATAATTATGCAAAGGAAAATTTTCCATACTACTATCTTATAAAAAATAAGACCTGAAATTTGATGCTAGGTGTAATTCTCAATTACATTTTTACAAATTAATATTACAAGGACTTAATGATCCCCTACTATGTGCTTAGCACATTGCTCCATGCTATCAAAGATACAAAACAAAAAGTGTGAAATTCTTAATCTCAAGAACCTTATCTTCATCTATTCTTTATAAAGCTTCGTTATCCCCCACTCTTTGATCTTCACCAAGTATTTTGAAACTAATTATCCTGCACCTTCCTCATAATAAAGGCTTCTTTAAAAATTGAGTTTTTAAAATGCCAGAAGTTCTAGCTTCTTGCCCCAGTTAATCTAGTAAAGGCACAGTGAAATATTATCAACAGTAGGCTTCATTTTTTTGACTGCTTCAGCCACAATAAAGAGATTATGAAAATTCTAAATGCCTTGCAACTTAAAGCATATAAACTCTATTTTTCAAACTATATGAATAGCTGGAAGAAGCAGCTAAGAGTAAAGGCAAGCAGGGAATTGTAGAATAAAACTTTCATAAAGTCTCTGAGATGTCTAGTGAGGAAGTCTCAGGGCTGGCTGTTAGGATGATTTAAAACCTTAAACACCATTTTGTTGACACATAATTCTTTTATATATTTTCAGTATATAAATTGTGAGCTCCTCTAAAGGAAACACAGTTTTTCACAGCAAAAACAAAGAAAAAAAGCTTCTAACTCTTACTACATTTTAAGCACTAGATAACTTTGCGAGCAGGTAACCATGTTTATAAAATCATGTAAATCAGCACTCGTGAATCAGTGTGGCAGGAAGCATTTCATACGCTGACTTTCTATTGACACATATCTAACCATTTTCACATTTAGTATTTTTACTTGTGGTTGTTAATGTGCCTAAAAATATATAGAAACATGAAAACCAACAGATTCCATGGCTACAAATTAGATAGTTACTAATGCAGATAGGGCTTGTTTTTTGTGTTTTTGATTTTTTTCCTTTGGGCCCGGAAAAGTTTTGAACAACAGCCAATGGGTTTTTCTCCTTTGAAGGAAGCCTGTCTCACTCATGACACTATCTCTACTAAATGTAACATCAGGAAAGAGGTGGAATTTTTTTCTTTATTAAATTGGGAAAAGAATTCATGCTCAATATACATTTGCTGAATGTATATTGAATAAATAAATGAAACATGAAAGTAGTAGTCAGGGATCAATGGGAGAGTGTGGAGAAAACTGGGGCCGAAGCATTTTTTGCCAGATTTTCTGAAATCTCTTATGCTCAGGCTGCATCTAGGTTGGCTATCATCACGGTATTTTGTACCGTGAGAAAAGAACAACCAGTCTCTCCTAAAATTAGATAAGGTTGTTTTGAGAAATCAGATAACCATAAGCATTTATTAATCCATTCATTCATTTATTCAACAAACGTTTGTCAAGCTCCTGCTATGTCCTGGGCACAGTTCTAGGTGTTGGGAATACAGCACTGAATAAGAAAAAACTGCCACACTTGGGGAACTTACATTCTCCTGGGTGAAACAGACAATAAAGAAACAAGTAGCTCCCTAACTTAGACATAATGCTATGAATAAAAATGAAGCAGGGAAAGGGGGCAGAGTAATGCAAGCTATTATTTTAGGTAGAGTGGCCAGGGAGACCAATGGTCAGAATGAAGTGAGAGAAGAAGCCCTGTGAGCATCTGTGTGAACTGCAGAAAGGACTGCAGAAGATCTGTGCAGGAAGCATGTGAGACATGCTCCAGGAACAGCAAGGGGCTGGCAAGAAAGAGGTGGTAAGACACTTGGATTTTATGCTAAGTGTGTTGGGAAACCATTGCAATAGATACTCAGACGCGCGTCCTTTTTTAAGCTAGGCTTTACAAACTTGAGAATGAATAATCTGGGATACATATTGCCAAGACCAGCTCAGTTAGGGAGACCCTAACCCAGCGGCACTAGAGGAATTAAAGACACACACACAGAAATATAGAGGTGTGAAGTGAGAAATCAGGGGTCTCACAGCCTTCAGAGCTGAGAGCCCCGAACAGAGATTTACCCACATATTTATTAACAGCAAACCAGTCATTAGCATTGTTTCTATAGATATTAAGTTAACTAAAAGTATCCCTTATGGGAAACAAAGGGATGGGCTGAATTAAAAGGATAGGTTGGGCTAATTAACTGCAGCAGGAACATGCCCTTAAGACACAGATCGCTCATGCTATTGTTTGCGGCTTAAGAACGCCTTTAAGCGGTTTTCCGCCCTGGGCCAGCCAGGTATTCCTTGCCCTCATTCCCGTAAACCCACAACCTTCCAGCTTGGGCATTAGGGCCATTATGAACATGTTACACTGCTGCAGAGATTTTGTTTATGGCCAGTCTTGGGGCCAGTTTATGGCCAGATTTTGGGGGCTTGCTCCCAACACATATACCACAACAAAGGCTCATGAGATCAACCTCAGGTTCACAACAATTTTTCAATCAAGTCTCCAAATGCAATTCCAAACTCTGTACTTGAGGGAAGGTAGACATTGTTATTTAACTACAGCAATCAATCAAAGATGTAGCAACCCTAATGATGAACCTTAAAAACTGACTGACAGCTTCCCATCAATAATAGTTATTTTCAGGAGACAATTAAAGGTGAGCATCAGGAACAAACCATTAACCATCCCAGTTCACAGATGTCCACATTGGAACCAGGCTTTGCCAATGCCAGGTCAACACATATTGAGAGCCTAGGGTTGTCACAACTTCTAACTTGGAATAATTTTTCAGATCTAGTTCAAAAGAGCATAAATCTGAGGATAAATTTTTGAAAATTTTTGAAAATAGTATTTTATTGTTGACAGTAGGCTATTGTTAGCAATAGGTTAACAGTTGTTTAAAAATATTCCCAAATGTCAGAGGCCTAGTACAATAAAATGTTACTTCTTGCCTTCATCACAGGTTGGCAGCAAGCTCCTTGGCTTCATGCTGTCATCCAGTGACCAGGGTCATTATATCGCATGATTCCCCTCTTATAGGTCCTCTGAATCCTTTCCATTCAACCAGAAGTTGGGAAAGTGAAAATGTGTGCAAGGTTTTCATCCTACTTTCACACCAGTATCAGGGCACCTCACCCCCTAGATTTTTTTTTCTAACTTCACTGGTCATTCCTGCTTGGTGTCCTTTGCTGGAGACGCTTCTCTTCTCTAGCTAGGGTCTCCTCTTGGTAACATAACATAATACCTCATGGCTTTAAATAACACCTTTATGTTGAAACCTCCAATCTTAATCTCTATTTGGATCTCCCTCTCCAAACTCCAGACTTATATATATCTACCTGCCTGTTTAACACCTTTGCCCAGATTATAACAAACATTCAACACCAAGTTCAAAGCTGAGCTCAAGATCTTCCTCCAGTATCTGTTCCACTTACAGCCTTATCCATATCAGTTGATAACTACTTTCTTCCAGTTACTCAGGCAAAATCTTTGCAGTCATCCTGGATTCCTTTCTTTCTTACCTTCCTGCTGCTCTAGCTTCAAAATATATCCAGAATGTTATGACTTCTTACCTCTTCTACTGCCACAACCTGGTCCTGGCCACCAGCAGTTCTTGTCTATATCATTGAAATGGTCTCCAACAGGTTTCCTGTATTCTACTCTTGACCCTTTAGTCTTTCCTAACACAGCAGCCAGAATGATCCTTTTGAAAGTATAAGTTAGATCACATCCCTCTCTTGCTCAAAACCCTGCAATAGTTTCTCATTTCCCATTTCACTCAGAGTAAAAGGCAGAGTCATTTCAATGCCTATATGGCTCAATGCTGTCTGGCCTTCCTCTAGCAATCTGTCATGAGAGTGAGTCTCATTCTGCTTCAGACAGACTGAGCTTTGTTACCAGTTTTAGAACATACCAGGCACATTCTGGCCTTAGTGCCTTTACTCTGCTGAGAACGCTCTTTTCTTGATATCTACCTGATTCATTCCTTTACTTCCTTCAAGTCTTTCCTCCAATTATACTTCTCAGTAAAGGTAATCCTGCCCATGCTATTTCATGCTGAATCTTGCCTCCCACCTACCTTAGCACAGTACCCCCTGAAGCACTGTACTAATCTATATTTTATTTTGTACAATGTATTTACCACTCTATAACATGCTGTATAATTTCTTTTTATTATGCTTATTTTCTGTTTCCCTATCTAGGATTTAAGCTCCTCAAGTGCAGAGATTTTTGTCTGCCTTGATCAAAGATGGGAAGATGGGAAGACAGGAATCAAAGATGATTCCCACTTACCTAGATCAATGCCTGCACATATAGTATTAATAAATTTTATTTTGGATGAAAGAAGAAATGAACATAATAGTAGGAGTTAGAAAAAAACTATCTAGAAAAATTGGTCTGATATTCTCGGTACCTGATCCTCTGCTCTATGTATAGTAGCTTTTGTTTTCTGGATGAGTCATATCCATGGACTTTGGATTTCTAGTTCCCATTAGATCCAACTCTTGGTAACTATATGCTGTATCTGGGGCAGTACAGCATGAGTTGTTAGGGTGTGGGCCTGTGAGCCAGATATGCCTGGACTCCATTCCTGGATCTACCACTTTGGGCAAGTCATTTGCATTTTTTAGTCCTCAGTTTCCTCAATGGTAAAATGGCAATGATCGTAGTACCTATCTCATAGTATTTTGTGAGAAACAAATAATATTATAAGTGTGGTGACTAGACTGTCTTAACAGTGTTTGCATTTAATAACTGTTAGCAATTGTTAACTATTGCCTTTAAATGGATATCTTTAAATGTGCTGACCTGGTGGCCTACCCACAATGTTCCCCCTGACCAGGACAAGGTTAATACCTGATCACATAGACTCCACCTCTCTCAAGTTGTCATACATGGACTTGGTCCTGAGATATTCAAGAAAACAGCTTGTATTTATAAGTGGAATCCACATTTATAAATAATCTAATTTATATTCCATTGAACTATATAAAATTACTGGGTTTTTTAGCAAAAAATGAATGTCAAATGTTAGTAATTTCATATGGTTTGACCTAATGTTTTCATTTTGATTAGAGCACAATTTTTCAATGTGTCAAGCGTTAGTTGAGTCTAGTTCTAGTTGTGAAGTTGCAATTTGAGGTAGAAATAATATTGAAGTTACAGAGCTACATCCTAAGACCTCAGAAAACATGAAATATTCTTCTCTTTTATTTTTCACTCCTTTCTGGGGCTTGAATCCTGCCCTGCTCTCAAGAAGTTTGTCTGTCTCTTTTTTTATCTTTTCTAGCTCCCCTCAACCCCTCCGTAAGTACTCAGCCTTCCTCACTATATGTCAGGGTTCTCCAGAGAAACAGATTGATTTGTAGGTAGGTAGGTAGGTAGGAGATAGATAGATAGATAGATAGATAGATAGATAGATAGATGGATGACAGAGAGATAGATAGATAGATAGATAGATAGATAGATAGATAGATAGATTGATTGATTAGTGGGGCTCAAGCAGGCTGGCACTGCTTCTCCTGGGAAGGGAATGAGTTGACAGGTTTGCATCAAGATGTCTCTGATTGGCCTTACTTTTTTGTACCATACCTGCTACCTGGCTTCCTACCTCACTAAAAAGCATGTTCTGTATGTCTTGAAATTTATCTACCCCACATTATTCCAAGGGTTGCAGACATTTATTAGTGGACTCATCTATCTATCTATCTATCTATCTATCTATCCATCCATCCATCTCTATATTTGTATCTATATCTATATCCATATCATATTGGTTCTGTATTGATTCTATATATCTATATTTTTATCTAGCTAGCTAGCTACAGAGAGAAAAGGATATTTTAAGGAATTGGCTCACTCAATGATAGGGGTTGATAAGCCTGAAATCCATAGAGAAAGATGGCAGGCTAGAAATTCAGGTAAGAGTTGATATTGCAGTTTTAAATCTAAATTCCACAGGGCAGGGAGAGTAGGCTGGAAATGCAGTAGGATTTCTGTACTTCAGTCTTTATTGTGGATTGTTATAGTTGAATTTTTGTCACCTAAAAGTTCATATGCTGAAGTCTTAACCCCCAGTACCTCAGAATGTGGCCTTGTTTGGAAATAGAGTTGGTGCAGATGTAATTAGTTAAGATAAGATACTACTGGTATTGGGTGGGACCTTACCCCAATGTCTAGTACCTTTATAAAAAGAACACCTCGTAAAGAGATAGGCATGCATACAGGGAGAACGCAATGTGAAAAATTGGAATTGCACTGCCACAAACCAGGGAATTACCAGAAGCTAGAAGAGAAATCTCAAACAGATCTTTCTCTAACACCTTCAAAGAAAGCACGGCTGACGTCTGGATCTTGGACTTCTAGCTTCCAGAATGTTAAAGAATAAACTTCCATTGCTTAAGCCACACAACCTGTAGTATTCTGTCATGGTAGCCCTAGCAAACTAATACACCCACTGACCCAAAACTATGTTGGGTTCCTCCTTGTCCTTCTCTTTTAGTTTTTAATAAGTCACTATATCCAGTCCAATCTAATATTAAAAACATCTCTCCCTTCTAGTTTCTTCTCTCCCTTTATTTCAGGCCTGTATCATCTCTCACCTTATATATAATAGTCTCCTAAGTGGGTCTTCCTGGTTTCAGCTTCTTCTTTCTCCAATCCCCTTTCCATACTGTTTCCATAGATCTCTACTTAAAACAGAAGTCTAACTATATCCCTATCTGGCTGGAAACCTCCATTGACTCTACCTCACCAGATGCTAATGCTGGATTCCTGATCATGGTACCCCGAAGTCTTCATAATCTGGACCCATAATCTGTACCTTTTAACCACACAAAACTCCTTTTTTTAATAGACTATGACCTTACATGTCACCAACTGTACTGACTGACCCCTTCACTCTGCTGTAACCCAGATTCCCTGTTCTTTGATTTAATACCTTTTCCAAATGGCTGCACCACCGTTGTCCAATACCATGCTTCTCTTCCCATCCCAAGTTTAAATCAGCCTGGTTATCAGGAACAGAGAAGTTCAGCATTAGTCCATAACTCCAAAAATAATGCACAAGGAGAGAGAAAAGGGATAGAATCCAGAGAAGAATAGAAGGAAACAGCTGAGTGGGAGAAAATGGAATAGAGGAGTTTAGAGTTGATCTCTGGTATAGAAACAGCTTCACAGCTTCTTCAATTAACTTTTTCTGTTAGTTTGGAATTCCTTGGAGATGCGCCTCAATATCTCTTTGTATAGCCTTGTGCACAGGAATCTTAGAAAGGCTGCAGTTGCACGTTGTGTACAAGGCTCAGCTCCAATATCCAAAATACATTGGCTTGTTCAAGCACAATAAATAACTAAGGAAGACAATGCTATATGGAATAAAAGTTGTTGCAATGCAGTTGATAGATGTGCTAAGACTACACACTTGCTAAATTTTACTTACCAGATGCTTAGAAAAGAGAGAAAATTATAATTCCAACTGGTCAGTGGTCAGAAGGTAATATTCAAAACATCCTACCACATGGATAAACAAGAAAATAATTAGAAATCAAAATGTTAGAGAATTCTGCAGTGAGCATGAATGTAATCCACAGGATAAACAACACTTGGTTGACATTTGACTGAATAAATTAAAACCCAAAGTAATTTGAATAAAAATTCAAGACATGTATCAGAGAAGTTCAGGACAGGAGACAAAAGATGAAATCTTCCTCTTGCCATTCGAGCTACATTGGACTTTATAGGTAAGCCTGGAAAGAGAGGTCAAGGGACTTTTTTTTTTTTGTATTATCCTTCAGTACTGTGGAATAAACTTCAGTGTAGCAATGCCATAACTTGACTCAAGAAATCCATTAAGCTAAAATGTGTACATTCAAGATAATGTGTGCGGGAAATTACCATACTCATAGCAAATAAAAAGTCAATCCAAACCATCCACCTTGTCTCATGTTTCCTTGAAACAAGATTAATAATAACAAATTAAAGACATTCCACTAGCCTTTCATTACTCTCTGTAAAACAGCATCAATAACCAGCTACCCGGTTATGGTGCCGGACATCTGACTATCACATGCACTAATGTGCGCACACACGCACACACGCACATACAAAGTGATGGTTTTCTCTAGATAATAAGGACTTTAATTTCACAAGGTTTACAGAATCAACTCTATTGTTGAGCTTATTACCCTACAGCAAATATTTCTGCAACAGAATTAGTTGTATGAAACTTTTGCAGTTTGAGTTTTTGTACTTTAGGTTTACAGAAAATATCAGTCATTGCCAAATCTGATTCTCCACGTTGAAAATATTTACTGCCACTTGCACACATAAAAAAGTAGATTTCTGCTTCCAGGAGACACAAAAAATATCTAAACTTATGGTTATATCACCACAAGTCTCAGGAGTTCAGCTTGCCCAAAATCCCCTCATTCATGTTATTGCTGCACTCGGTATTTAGAGGAAAAAAAAAAGCCCACAGACAATCAGAATTCTGATTGGAGAGAACACAGGATAAAAGGTTTGTCCTGGTGACCAGTGAAGATGCAGCAACTTAATGATTGTACAGAGTGAGCAAGGCCATTGCCTAATATATCAAATCCATCAAGAAAAATAATTACATCCATATCAATTATTGGTCTATTAGAAATAAAGACCTGGTGGAAGGACACTATCCAAAGGTGATTGTCTAATGCTTTCAAAATAAATGTCTTATCTCTGCCTTGGCATTTTCTGTACCATCAAAAGGCCATTATCCCATGACAGTTCCATTCCACCGACATTAACATTAGATACCAATTCTTTCTAAAGGCTCTTTACAATGCTTTGTCTCATTTGGTGGGTTTGCCAAATGTTCTTCACATTTCATTAATAAATTGACCCGCACAAATCCCTCAGGACTCTAGGGGAAATTAAGTTTCATTCTTTTTTCTTCTTCTACTCTAATTAATATTATTAAGAATGAAAAGATGTTATCAATAGATCAATCAAGTCTAGTAAATTAGGAAGCACAGCTTAAATGAAATAACATTAAACAGAAAAGCTATGTTAATAAATATAGCTATATGCCATATGTAGTTATACTTAGTGATTATATATCAATTGTTATACTAAGAACTTTACATGTCTTTTGTTTTTGCACACACACACACACAGACACACACACACAAAATCTTCCAAGAAAAGTGTTATTTGCCCAGGTTAACTAAGTGCTGAAGTCAGAATCTAGGTCTGTTTGACTTTAAAGCCTGGGCTAATATACATTATGCTTTATAGCCTTTTAGGTGGTATATTTGAGGACTGTCTCAGGGACTGACTTCAGGCAGATCACATGGGCACTCCATGCCCTCAGTTTTCCTACTAATGAAAGTGAAAATAGATTGATCTATCTCATAGTGCCTCCTTAGATTATCTTAACCTCTTAGATGATTTGGAAGACTAAACCATATTTTTAGGATATGATTAAGTGCAGTGACAAAAAATAAAATTATGTCTTTATATAAGAGAGTCATATTGCTAAAACCTTACTAGATCATGTTATTTTCTAGTTTCTGTCTTTTAAATTGCTCCAGGTGAATGTTAACTAGTGACTTATAAAACTACAATACAGATCCCCATCATCTGTAAAGAAGCCTAGACAAGTCAGTTCTAATAAAATACTAGAGTTATGTGTGGTAATGACACTGCAAGCCTTGATTCTCAAGTTCATTAAATGTTCTACATGTTCATAACTTGATCTTTCACTTGATTTTACTTTTTTAATAGGAAAATGCATCTTAATTCCCTTGGATTTATACATCTGGAATAGCTAACTCAATGTCTATGATAACCTTTGGACTGTTCAGATAAAAGAAAGTTGTAACAAAGTAATTAGAAACCCCAGAGAGGCTCCACATATGAATTTTTGTCAGTAGCCCCAAACCAAGAAGAAAATCAGCTGCTGGTACATCTCTGCCCAGATCCAGGCCTGACTTTCCACAAGTGTAATCAAAGATCAGAGGGTAAGGAAAGATTAGCAGACAATTGGCCTGAATGGAGAAGAACCTTTCCTTGAGCCTTTACAGACCCATACAACTCAGTTGACAGGTCATAAAGACAAACTAAAAAAGAGAAGAATAAACAGCATTTATGAGTTAAAAGAACTGTGAGAACGTATCCAGTCCAACCTACTGCCTTCTAGCAAGTGAGTGTCAAAACCATTCAAGGCAAGTGAGGAAATCTGACCTTTTAAAAATGGAACACTTATACAGGGTTGTTGTCCAGTCATGGGGAAAGGAAAGAACCAGAGAAAACTTTATTGAGATGTTCAAAGGCAGACTAAGGGTCCCTTCTCTCTCCCCTGCTCCTCTCTGGGTAACAGCCTGAAACATCAAAATGGTCCTTCCCAGGGTGAAGTAGATGACCCTGGTGTCAACCTCTCCATTTCCCAATGTGCTCCATCATTACCTCACACCACGGTAACCACAGCCTCACTGCATGTTCAGTTTAGATAGTTCTGCAATGTCATTTAAATATAGTATCAACATTATTCTTTTTCTTTTTAAAATTTATAATTTGAAAATACTGAGTCCATTGCTCAGTATGATTTTATTAAAATTTTGGAATCAAGAATCTTGATATATGCTTTCTATTACAGTATCAATAAAAAATTATGTTTTGATTTTAAGGAATTGATTTATGGATAGCTCTAGTAATTCACTTGGGGCATAGGTTGAGGAATCCTGCACAATTCAATACTTAGAGTGTTTGGATATAACAGGATGATAGAGCAGTGGAGGCAAGAATCATTTTTAAAATAAGATCAAGGAGAGGCGAGGCTAATTCTCGTAGTGTGAAGAGCTAATCACTTAAAAATGGAAGGTAAGAGCCTTAGATCGAATAATAGATTCTCCTACAGATGGGGAGAAAAAGAAAGTGAAAAGAGAGAGGAAGTTGGTGATTGGGTGAGGAAGAAACTATTTATTTGATTACATTTATATTCCAAGACTTGTGTTTCAAGCCACTTCTGTGAATAAAGTTTTGTACGAATTATTTTTGGCATATGCCCGTAAAACTTAGGTGAAAGAAAACTAAACTGTCAAATTGCAATAAAGCTCTGGTTTGACAATTTAAGACAAAGATATTCAGAGTGAAGGTTGCTTTTCAATCCTTTAATCATCTGTTGTGTCCTGACATTCTAGGGGTCTCAGAAGAGTGCATGACAAATAATATTCCATATGTGCAGCTAAAACTATCCGCAACAAGGGTAAGTGACAAGTGAAACACCCTGGCTCTAAGTGATTCATATCAACATACTAGAGCCGTCCTTTCAACGACCTACATGATGGATAAAGTCACACGCAAAAATAAAACCCACAGCTGGTTTCATTGTGTGACCTAAAGAGGCTGCGTTGATCTCCACCCTCCTGGCGGGGAAACGCTCACAGTTCACTCATTGTACAACCTTATCTGGAGGTTTGTGCTCACAGTTGTTGATTATCTGCCCATGAATTATCCAAACCAGAATCTAGCAAATCCCCACTCTCTCTCTCCCTCTCCTTACCAAGGCACAATTAGTGATCTAATCGTGCTAACTAACTTTCTTTTTTTTTTTTAATTGGAGAGAAAAATGAACTTGCTAAAGCAGCTTGCAGTATAGTCCAAAATCAAACACAAATGAGTTTTACGTGTTTCTGGATTTTCTGTGCCCTTCCAAGTGCAGAGATATTGGGAAAACGATGCTACACAGGCAGCTTTCATCAGAGTTTTACTGTGCTTGGTTTCCCATAAAACACACACATACTGAAATATACATCACTTTTTTTTTTTTTTGAGATGGAGTCTTGCTCTGTCGTCCAGGCTACAGTGCAGTGGCGCAATATTGGCTCACTGCGAACTCCACCTCCTGGGTTCAAGCGATTCTCCTGCCTCAGCCTCCCCAGCAGCTGGGACTACAGGCATGCACCACCACACCCAGATAATTTTCGTATTTTTAGTAGAGACGGGGTTTCACCATATTGGCCAGGCTGGTCTTGAACTCCTGACCTCATGATCCACCCGCCTTGGCCTCACAAAGTGCTGGGATTACAGGCGTGAGCCACTGCGCCCAGCCTATATACATCACTTTTATCAAACCTTCTCCTATGCATACTGTAGATAGCTGAGTAGCTGAGCAGGATAGCATACTGCATGAGCTCTGAGAACATTTTAATATAAACAGGGAAAGAAAGTTGGAAATTATTCATCCATGTACATGAAAATAAGTGGATTTTGGTACTTGTGCATAGATTCATATCCTCATGAACACAGTAAATTATAAATGTTTTTGTGGTTAAAAACACTAATACTTTGCTTTGCTAGACATCTGTAAGCACTCTATGTATACAGTATGCTTGCTGTATTGAGTTTTGTTTTAAATATTGGATCATGAAAGGGTAGATTCTCCCCCAGATCCATATTGGGAATCTGTGTGTGTGTGTGTGTGTGTGTGTGTGTGTGTGCCACTAGAATTTCTACAATGACATAATTTTTTTTTCAAATTTAAATGCATCCTCAATCAGTATAAGAAATTATTCCAAACAAGTTAAAATATATTCAAGTCCTTACGGAAAAATGTTTTAAAAGAAAGTTGTGCTTTATTTAATGAGAGCAATGTTTTGCTACAAAGGGAATCGTTTTTATGCTTCAACAACCAAATATTTTCTGTTCTATGCATTTGTGACATGAATGTACAATTTGGGGCAGTTATTCAGAGTCAAGTCCCTAATATTCGGCATTGTTCCTGCGCCTACCATACCACACCCTTTCTTAATCATACTGTATGTAGTTGCTCATATAAATTCTGTAACTGAAAAAGGGAAGGAAGAAATCTAACAGAAAATTTCTTGCCAGATGGAGAAAATTGAAACATTACCCTTGTTTCTTTGCCAGCACAGATCCATTTTGACAAGCTGGAAATGATTTATGGGGAAAAAAACGTATTTACACTGGCAGAGATGTTATTAATTGCCATACAATGTTCACATTTTTGCATTGTTTTGTATATGATTACTTACTAGATTTAAATATACAGTCCAAATATGTGGCTTTTTTTGCATGCTGATTATTATATGACAGACAAACTTACAATACATGATGCATGCTATAAATTTCACTTAAACCTTCACAGACAACACCACAGGAAAGACATGTAGCAGAAAGCTACAAAGAGTGTTCAAAGGAAATGCACCATTACTATATGTGTGTTCATATACACAGACGCACACACGATGCAAATAGTTTTAAAGGACTATATACAGTATATGGGAGTTGATGAATAATAAAACACTCTTGACGCATAAAAATATTACTTTTATTACTTTTCAGAGTAACTGTTGCTATATGTAACTACTAAGGTCCCAAAATGTTTGAAAATGAAAATATTAAAGCAATATATAATTTCCAAGTTGACAATTTTGCATCATAAAAGACTTCCAGATGTACTAACTTATAAAATAGAAGTTTAGAAGGGTATTTTTTAGGTACATTATTTTAAGCAGTTTAAAAATAATAATATATTTGGAGGGAAATTTCCCCCTCATGTACACATGTGGTTATAGGAAAAAGAAAAATTAGGCTATTTAGTGAGAATAAAAGTGATTGCAGTAATGACAAGTCGATTAATTTCAGAAATCGACCATTAGTTGCCTACCTGTGTATTGCTCTTACAATATTGTCACTTTTTTACACTAATATAGATGAATATATTTATTACTACTTGCAATTTCAGATTGTAATCTCATATGAGAAAGATGTTCTTCTATAACAGCTATTTTGTCCAGGAAGCATTTATAATGTATCTATGTCAATTGAGCACATTTAAAAATACCCTTATTTTTAGTTGTAGAAATTAATTTTGAAGATCTTAATTTCAAGCAGTCGTATCAGCATTCCTATAAGCGTCTGTATACAGTTGTCCCTTAGGTTTAACGTTTTAGTAGCACAGTCTCTCTGCAATTAGTTTTATGCTCCATAAATGTAAATCAGATGTAAGTCTCTAAAACACTCCCTCTCTATAGTGTTTTGCAGAGTGTTCCCATTGTATTAGGTTTCTCTAGGAGACAAATAACTGTAAATATGAAACAAAACCATGTGATGTGCCAAAACTATAATTTAGTTGTTTATGATTTATCCAACTCCATTTTTGCTTGGGAAAACGGATTCAACATGTCTATTTGAAATTAGTACATAAAAAAGAGCTTATTGTGAATGATTAATGAGTGCAGTCCTGCTTACATAAGATTAATTCCCCCCAAGGTCAATCTAGCCAACTGTGAATTTGGGCATTTGCCCAGGGACCCCTTGTGGGTGGTCTTCACTTTTCCAAGATGGGACACCCAATAGGAAAGCAGGGACATCCAGCTGCCAAATGTCACATTCAAGCTAGTTCTTCCACTTTATCTTTCCTAGAAACTTCCATAAGTTTCAACCCCAAAGGGTCTTCGTAGGATTTATTTGCTGCATACTCCTGCATATGTAATCACCAGCTCAAAAAGCTTTGATTGAGCATCTACTTTATATCCAGCACTCTGCTAAGCATCACTGGGTGGCAGAAATTATAATAAAAATCACTGTTGCTGTTGTTTTAATGAGTTAATAAATACAAAGCATTTAGAACACTGTCTGGCATACAGTAAGTACTCATTAATATGTACTACTTTCATCCAGAATGTATTTGCTTTATGGTAAGATCCTTTTAACCAAGAGGAATTCGAGAAACAATAACAGTTCTAAGTAAAGTATAAAATTATAGTGTATATTTGGATGTTTTTAACTCAACTCTGAAGTCCCTGACACCAGGAATGATATATATTCTTCTCTATAGCCCCAGATACTAGCAAAGTGCTTGTACTTAGTAGGTACTCAATAATTATTTCTTGAACTAAACTGAATTCATTAAACTTCTGAAAAACTTTTGAATTTGAGGGTTATTACTCAAATGTCCTTCTAATTCCTGAACCAGAGTCTTCAATCCTGACCATTTAGGGTTGACTGAACAAACACATAATTCCCTGGAAAAGGAGCTTTTTTCCATCTAAAGATGGCTCCAGGAGCAAAAGCAAGAGTGGGGGAACTTACACAAGTTGGAGTTGGGGCAAGGACACAGGCATGGCTATGTGAGGAGTGATGTCAAGACACAAAACAGCAACAGTAACTGAGGAATAGGAAATATCCACATCTGGGACTGTGAAAAGAAATTGACCTGCATATTCCAGTAACATGCAGTAACATGTTGGGAAGACCAGAAGTGGACATTTGTCAGTTGTGTGTTAGCCTACCCAGCATGCATACATCTTCACTGTTCAAGAGTAATTTCAAAAGAGGTGGGAATCAGGGGCAAAGAGAGAAACAACATTCCTTTCCTACCCTCCCAGACACTGGGTTGTAGGCATAATATTGGGGTTTGCTATGGAGATGAAAGGGCCAACAGCTGCTATGGGCAGTGGTGGTGGGTGAAAAGCCCAGAGACCAGAGGCAAGTGGCCACTGGCAGCAGCTTCAATAGTAGCTTCCCAAGTTGACTATTCCTGTGGCATTTTTCTGTAGAATTTGCTGCCAAATATGCTTTGGCTTCTGCCTATTTTGTGAGCCCAGTTCTCAAGACTTCCTGGCTAGTCTAAGAAATCCCTGACATTTCCCCCATACATTGTTTTTTTGCTTCAGTTAAAAAGTCAATTTCCACTGTTTACAACCAAGAACCCTGATTTGTACGAGAACAGGGCCAAATGAAATATGTAGTTGTCACTCAAACTCTTGACTGCCCATGTCTGGGATCCTGTGATACTTCCTGACTATGTGACCTTGAGCATGCTACATGTTCCCAGGTGTATCAATTCATTCTCATACTGCTATAAAGAAATGCCCAAAAACTGGGCAATTTATAAAGAAAAGAGGTTTAATTGGCTCATGGTTCCTTGGGCTATACAGAAAGCATGGCTGGGGATGCCTCAGAAAACTTGCAGTCACGGCCGAAGGGGAAGGAGACAGGACTTATATAGCTAAAGCAGGAGGAAGAGAGTGAAGAGGGAGATGCTACACACTTTTAAACAACCAGTTCTCATGAGAACTCACTCATAATCACAAGAACAGCCAATTGCCTCACACCATGCCCCTTCTCCAGCATTGGAGATTACAATTTGACATGACATTTGGGTGGTGTATTAGTCTGTTCTCATGCTGCTATGAAAAAATACCTGAGACTGGTTAATTTGTAAAGGAAAGAGGTTTAATTGACTCAGGTCTGCAATGCTGAGAAGGCCTCAGGAAACTTAACAATCGTAGGGGAAGGTACCTCTTCACAGGGCAGCAGGAGAGAGAGTGGGAGCAAGCAGGGAAAATACCAGATGCTTATAAAACCATCAGATCTTGTGAGAACTCACTCACTATCACAAGAACAGCATGGGGAAAGCAGCCCCCATGACCCAATCATTTCCTACCAGGTCCCTCCCATGATGGTGGGCATTATGGGAACTACAATTCAAGATAAGATTTAGGTGGGGACACAGCCAAACCATGTCAGGTGAGGACACAAATGAATAGTGATGGCAACTATCTCAGAGCTTTGAAACAAGATTAAATTAGATAATAAACATGAAGTACTTGAAAGAGTTCACAGTGCATAGTCCTCAACATAGTTTGCCTATTATCATTGGCTATAAGTGAAGCAAAGCTAACAAATGAGACTGAGCCCTCGTGGCAATAATGTTATCCTGCTTATGTTGCACATCTCACTACTGCATCTCCACACCAATGGAAATCATTTGATCATATTTCAGCAGTTTCTCTGATGCATCACACATAAAGAATAGAATTTTAAGAAATGTTTTTATAAACACATGCATCATTTTCTCCACGTGTTTGATTTTACACATCTTCAAAGAAATGGAAATAAAAGTTGACTTTTGTTTTTGTCCTTTCATGCTCTTACATCCTATAATTAGACTGCAGATTCAGATGAGATAAAAAAAACTAGTATTATATTTCTATGTCACCTCACAAAGTCCAGCACATAATGGGTGCTAAGTATATGCACACTGATTGATAGCCAGCATTTAATTTGATTACTAGAGCCATCTGGGCCACTACATGGTATAGTTTGCACCCAACCATCTGGAGCCTAGTCCCCATTAGCTAGGACCAGTGACACAAACCACAAAGCCACCTAGAGATATGAAGGTATGGCTTGTAATGCCTGCCTAACTAAAGAGAAAAGATCCAATTCAGCCTTCTTCTCTAAGTCCCTTGCACTACCTTACACAGTTAAATAAACTGGCTTTCCAGAACAGTGCTGGCTATGTATCCTAATAGTTTTCCTAAGGAGTTTCCAGTCCAGCACTCCACGTATCCAGGTTGCGGGCAGCTGTAAGATTTGCTCTTCTGAGCCCCTCAAGAAACATTGAAATGATGAGCTTCAGTAACATTTTTTCTCCTTGGGGAGAATACTGTCACTGATTCCTCTCAGCATACACTTTATTATCGTCCATGTTCCCAAAGGCACTTGAGAATATGTGATTAAAGGAATTCCCTACTGTCATAAATACAATAAATCTAACTGGCTTTATTATCTGGCAAGGTTTTTTTTTCTCTTTCAATCTAATGCTTCCTGGCTAGAGCTGAAGCCACTTAACCAAATCAAATATCTCTAACTCAACCTCTCTTTTTTTATGCTGAATTGAAGGTGTGTAGGTCAAGTGCCAAATTGCCAGTATACTGGCTGTCTCCAGATCTGGTTTTTATAAAAAAAGACTTGTAATGTTTTGGATATTCTAGGATAGATGATAGATAATAAAAAACTATAAATTTCTCCCATACTGTGTGCACCACCCTTTTCTTCGCAGCACACTTTGCTTGCAGGGTTCTCTGCTGCTCCTACCATTAAGAGGTCAAGTTCCTTTCCCTAACCTTTGAATCAAGATTGAGCTTATAACTTATCCTGACCAATAGACTGAGGCAAGAAAATAGTGTGCCAGTTCTAAACCAAGGCCTCCAGAGGCCATGAAGCTTCTGTTTTCACTCTCTTGAGGTGATGCTATCACCTTGTAAAGAGCCTAGGCTAATGTTTTTAAGGATAAGAGGCCACGTGGAGTGAAAATGAGCTATTTCAGCTGAGAATTATTTCACCAACCACTTGACAGTGAGAACCAATTGCTAGACATGTGAGTGAGGCCATCAGAAGCCATCCAGCCCCAAATGAGTTGCTATGTCTGACTGCAGCCTCATGAATGACTCCACATGAGACCTGCAGACGAACCACAGAGCTGAGCCTAATCAAAACTACATACCCATAGAATCATGAATAAATAAAATTATTGTTGTTTTAAGCCACTAATTTTGGGGGTGGTTTGTTATGTAGCAATAGATAAATGAGTCTGTGAGTGTTCAATACAGGTTTGTTCAATGAATAAATAAGTGACTTCATTAGGTAAGAAAAGAATGGGGAATCTCATCATATGATTGCAATCCCTTATCATTGTGGCTAGTCCAGCACATTAGCAGAACAGGTCAGCACCTATTTGGTGTGGGAACTTTGTCTGTACTTCTTTATGGTAATGATCACACAGACCTCAAGAAACTAATTTCCTACATCCTACCATCGCCTAGAAATTCTAGCAGAGTCTTAAATATAGTCATTAGACTTGCCTTCTAGTCCAAAATCTGTCACTTTTCAAGATAGATGGCTTTTGGAACATTCATGACCTCTCTGAATAAAGTAAACAAACCTCCCAGTTTGCCTAGGACAATTCCAGTTTAATGCCCCTTTCACTCTCAAAATATCTGGTTCAGACAAGAAATTATATGGTCACTTTATCTCTGAGTCTCAGCTTCTTATAAATCAGAAATAATGTTAAGCAGAAATATAGCAGGATTGTTTTCAGAAGTAAACAAAATAACATCTGTGTAGGTAATGAAGCACTATACAAAAATAGAAAGGAACTACCTATTAATAGTACGGATAAATATCTTTGAAACAATGATGGCTTAGAAGAGAAATTAAAATGAATTACTTCCCAAATGGTTTCTTCCGACCTGCTATGATTATAACAGTAACTATAACCATACATTGAATGCCTACTAGGTTCTAGACATTGAAGGAAGCAGGTTATATGTTACATAAGTGCCCCATCACTTGACCCACTAGTGAATATAAACCAATCATATTCCTAGCAACCAGTTCAATTTCTCTCCCAACTTGTTTCTGGCTTCTGTGCAAAAAGAAAAAAATGTCACAGCATTTGCCTAGACATTTATTTCAAAATCACCAAAAATTATGTAGTGGTTAAGAAATTTCCCAAATACATTTTGACAGAAAACAAATATACCTAGACTTCACATAATCATGGGAGAACATTTTTATTACTCATCTTGATAAATACTTGTATATGTATATCACCTCATTCATCTACAAATCCTTATTATTATCCCTGTTTTGCAAATAAGGACTCTTGTGGCCGACAAAAGTTAGATAACGTGCTCAAAGTCACTCATCTAGCAAGCAATGAATTCGAACCAAGATCTATCTAATTCCAGAGTTCTGCTCTTAAATTCTCTTCTCAAATCCAACATTAGATTACCTTTTGTGGTAGATGACAAATGTAGGGCCACTGCAAAAAAAAAAAAAAAAATGTAAACTTATTTTAATCCTATTAGGGATAAGCAGATTGAGTTAAATGCTAGCACATTAGAGCCCTGAAGTTTTCAGATGTATATCAGTAAGTTTGATTGGAATGTTGGATGAAGAGTAAGGAAATGAATAGGCAAAGTATTCAGATGGAGAGAAAGAAGTGGGACAAAAGAAAGGGGGTACGCAAAGGGGAAACCAAGGCAGGAAACAGTGGGGTAGGAAATCCTATGGACGTTGGGTCAAAGAAAGTCAGCCCTGAGCAATGGGACTTCTCAGCTACCAGTTTGGAACAAGGTCTAAAAATGGGAGGAATGAGATCCTCAAAAATTAATTTTTTTGCTATGTTGACAGGGACTAGCACAGCCTTCTTCATTTTTTATAAAAAGAAGCTCTGTTTTAGGTCTAATTCATAGGCAGAAACACTAATGTCCTCCCATTATTCATTGATGGGTACTTTATACTTGTTTTACTGTTGCTTAATAAATAAATTAGAACATAAACTTGTTCAACTGCCAGTCATTAGTGCAGTTATATCTACTGTTCAGAAAACTGAAGGGCTATTGACTCTGCTCAGTTTAATGAAGGAAAATGAGTCACAGGAGATCTGGGCAGGAATGACTCATAGCTACACCAGCCGCCTTCTCTCCATTGTAAACTACTTTACATCATTTGTAGTCAGCAAGAAGCTAAAAGAATGTTGATGTTTCTTTCCTGAATGGTTAACTTCCTAAGTTCAGACAGACCGAAATTGTGGATAACAGGAAGTCAACATTTCTATGGCAAAGGAACAATTACATAAAAAGCTAGCAGGCAGTCAGATATCTCATCAGCCTTTTAGAAACTGAGTGTAGTGCTGTCCTGAGGAGGCAGGAGAAGATCTTACAGGATGAATCTCCTAATTACAAAGTCCTTCTGATATGGTAATTATCAGAAGGGAGAATTCCGCAAAATCAACAAAATGCATAACTGAATTCTACTTTAGAATAATGTTACCACAAAACTCACAAGTAGTTTTCTGGCTTGTCATGAGAACAGTCTCTTTCTCTTTTCTATGCCTCAGCCTTGACATAGACATGCCAGTGATACAGTTATAGATGTAATTAATAGGGAAAATAAGAAAATCTGCCATTTTTCAAAAGAAAATTTTCTCAAACATAGAAGCAATGATCTGAGTAGACACTGATGGGATGGCCTAGCAATAGGATTCTGCAAGCCAAGACTATGGAAGGAGGCAGATTCTTATGAAAAAGCATTGTGGCCATCAAGGGACAGAATGATCCAGAAATTATATACAACTCTTGAATTTAATAAACAAAAGAAGTATGCATGGAAATAGTCAAAGTCCACATGGTTCTGAGTGTGGATATTTATAGACTCAGAAATAGAATTAAGGTAAATTACCTTGGGCAATACCACATCTCTATTACTCTTGGCTTCCCCTTGATCTCAGCTTTACCAAGGCCAGCTTGGGGAATGTCTGGAACTCAGATTAGAATTTAATGTTCAAAGAATGATACACAACCAAATTGTAGATAAATGCAATAAAACTTCCTCAAAATTTTCCTGAAGACAGAAGCTTCTATTTAAGGTAAATAACATACATTTTAAAATTATGGAGCTGGTATAATGGTGAGAAAAATAGAGATGGCCCTTATACTAAAGATACTTAAAGTTTAGTAGGGGATACCAACAAGCAAACAGGTACTTACTATACATTTACGTAGATCACTACGATGATCTCTATGCTAGGAACTGCACACAATGCTACGAGAAAGTGTAGGAAGAGCTCCTAACACAGACTTGAAGAGTCAAGAGGGCCTTGTTGTATTAGAGTTCTCCAGACGAATAAAACCAATAGGATGTGTACATAAAGATTTATTTTAGGAAACTGGCTCACATGATTGTAGAGGCTTGGCAAGTCCAAAATCTGATGGGATGGGTAAGCAGGCTAGAGACTAAAGAAAGATTTGTATTTTGAGTCCAAGGACAGCAGAACCACTTGATAAGGAGAGGTCATTGCTCTATTCAGGCCTTCAACCGACTGGATGAGGGCTACACACATCATGGAAGGCAATCTGCTTTACTCAAAGTCCGCCAATTTAAATGTCAATTTCATCCAAAAAAAACACCTCCATAGAAACATCCAGAATCAGGTTTGACCAAATATGTGGACATTGTGGCCCAGCTAAATTGACACATTAAATTAATCATTATACTTCCTAAATATACGGTCTCTACAGTGAGACTGGAAGGATGAGTAAGAGTTGATCAGGCAAAGGCAGAATAATGGGGAGATGGAGAGAAAGCCTCAGGCAGAGCAAAGGGTGTGGGCAAAGGCCCACAATCTGGTATTACCAAGTTCAAGCAGGGCAAGGGTTTTTGTCTGTTTTGATCACTACTGTATCTTTAGCAGGATCAACCATGCCTGGCCCATGATAGACGCTTAATGAGTATTTGTGGAATGATTCAGAGTTACAGGGTGAAAACAAGCCATGTTAGACAGTATAGATTCATCTTACAGGCAATGGGAAGTCATTGGTGTTTTTTAAGCAAAAAGTTTGCATTTTTAAAAACTCAAAATTATTATCAAATGCTAATCATAGCATGATATTGTATTTATCTGAGTCACAATATAGGAACTAGATTTAATAGGCCACACAGTCTATTTTTTCTAGAGTGCTTTGGCTTTTCAATGTTTTTATCGATAACCTGTTGTTGTTGTTGTTGTTGTTGTTAGAGACAGGTTCTCTCTCCATCACCCAGGCTGAAGTGCAATGGTACATTTACAGCTCACTCACTGCAGCCTCAAACTCCTAGTCTTAGGCGATCCTTCCACCCAGCCTCTTGAGTAGCTGTGACTACAGGTGTGCACCACCCTGCCTAGCTAATAACTTTTTGATAATATAGAATTTTGAACAGTAAAGTCCAAGCATTATAATACATTGAGAATGGAGCTTCAGGCAGATTTCATAAGGATCAGCATGACATAATGGTAATTTTTTTGCTGGTATGACAATAGTAATATGGCCTTGCAATTGCTCATAGAAATGCTTTTCATCTTCAAAGTGCTTTTCAATCATTAATTAATACTTACAATGCTGCTTTTAGAACTTTCATCACATCACTCATCATACTGGTATAAAACGGTTAAGGCAGGAAACACACACACACGGACGGACGGAACAGCTTCTTTATAATAGTAGTGAGATACAAATATGTTTTATTTTGTCACCAATTAATATCTATTTTTGTCTTTCCTTTTCCTGAAAGCTGTTCCCTCTAGACTCAAACTACTAAGGTCAACAAGTAAAACTGTAGAGAAAAGTGAAAATGGGACAGAGAACCAAATGTTCTTCTCTTTCTTCCCTCTTTATCCAAACTCCATTTTTCTATGTCAAAATGATTTAGGAAAGATTTTTTAATAACATGAAGGGGAGAAAAGATAAAAAGGCAATAAAGGACAGTAGTAGCAAGGGAGAAAGGAGCCACTTAAAAGACAGATCTATAAGGGCAAAAACAATTAAACTGGTTCAGAGTCCTAAGAGGTATCTTTGTCTCTTTAGAGTGAAAGCAGAAATTTTGTGTTATGGAATGAATTGTGCCTGACCCCACCCCATCCATTCATATGTTGAAGCCCTAACCCCAGTAATCCCAAAATGTGATTATATTTGGAGATAGGGCCTTTAGAGAGAAGTAATTAGGTAGAATGAGAGCATATAGGTGGGCCTTCATTCAATAGGACCGTTGTCTGTATAAGAAGAGGAGATTAGGACTCAGGCACAAAGGGAAGACAACGTGAAAACAATTGAAGATGCCCTCTGTAAGCCAGGGAGAGAGGCCCTTAGAGGAAACCAACTATGCCAACACCTTCATCTTGGACTTCTAGCCCCCAGAACTATAAGGAAATAAATTTCTGTTGTTTAAATCTTTGCTGTGGCAGCCCTGGCAAACTAATACACTTTGCATATACTGATAACCTTGTTTCATTATTAGAACAAAGATCCTTTCCAAAGAAGTTCCAGTTGTATCTGTAACAAGTCCTCTAGTAAAGTTTTTGTGTTGACCGCTATAATCAAACATCAATTTATTTTTCTAACTACCCAGAATCCTCCAGTTAAATCCAAGCTGGCATTTTCATGGAAAGAATAAACCAAGAATTGGATTAGTTTAAGTCCATTGGATTTTCAGAAATAATTTCAATATTACTCAAGCGTGTTAATAATGGTGTTTTTCCCATTGTTTTGCTCCAATCTATGGAGTCCCTGTATCTATGTGAAGAAAAGGGGTACAACTGTCTTTGGTGGGTATTTCTGTACATTTATGAATACATCCATATATAATTTTGTAGTTTACAAAGTTCTAATGATTCATTATCTCACTTGATCTTCACAACAACACTGAGATAAATCAAGGAAGACGTTATATAGCCTTTTTGTTTAACTGATGAGAAAAAAGCTCAGAGAGGATAAGTCACTTGCCCAATATCACACAGCTTGTAGAATCACTGTGCAAGAGACTCTGCTATGTGCTGACCAAATCGATTTACTTTTCCTCCTGGACCAGATGTTCACAAGTCATGGCTCACTGGCCAAATCCAGCCTGCCACTTCTTGTTGGGAATGAAGTTTTGTTAGAACCCAGCCACACTCATTTATTTACATATTGTCAGGGACTGCTTTCATGCTACAACAGCAGAGCTGAGGAGTTGAAACAGGGGCTGTATAGTCCGAAAAGCCTAAAATATTTCCCATCTGGCCCTTTACAGAAAAGGTTTGCCAATCCCTGTTTTAGACACACAACCAAGCTACATTTCCCTGAAATCTCTTTTGCAATCCAGGAGCTCTTTTTCCTCTGGGGCATAGGCAGAGGACCCAGTGGAAGATTCTAAAGCCTTAGAGAAAACTCAGAGCCTCTAGATGGAAGACAGTGTAGAGTGGCATAGAACAGAGCCCCATAGCAATACAGGATTGGTCTAGGACTGGCATGATAATAAATCTTAATTGTATTAAGCCACTGAGGTTTGGAGGTTTTAACAGCAATTAATTTATCTTAAGACAAAAGCAGAACTTGTATCTTTTTATTCAAAATCTGGAACTGTTCTCCTTCTTGAACTAAAGGAAATAGCCAGAAATGAAAAGGAATAAGGAACCAAGAACAGAGTCCAGAGCTCAGGACATCATCACACCGATCCCTCTTAGAGTAACCTTACAGCAGGAAGAGGCAAATGGGTTTCATCTCACCTGCCTATTCTGACAGTAGCTGACTCAGGTGCTTCTTCTGAAAGCAAAGCTTCAGAGGCCACCTCCAGGCTCCAAAGAAAGTGGTGGCAATGCCAATTAACAACACCTACAATGGGCTTGGAATTTTGGAATGGATGTTGCCATCCACACCTCTGCTATTCACCTGAATAATGAGAAAGCATTTTCTACCTTAAGGGTATGAAAGGAACAGCTTTCAACATGAGCTATACCGTCAAATATGCTGCTACTAATTAATGGAATTAGAGGCATATCCTAAACACCAATTTCAAATGATTCAGCATGGTTAGGAGCAGTGTTTAAATCAGAGAATTAAAAACTAAAAATAAAAAACATAAGACCACATAAACTGAATGTCACCAAATAATAAATACCAGCCCTTATACCAGAAGTTTGGCTCCATCTTTCTTTCAAGCCACTTATTTGTCACATAGAGATTTCTCCCAACTATCTTCCCACGTAAGTGGGAAGGTTTATTATTATTATTATTATTTACTTTCCTAAGCTTTTCTGCATTTAGTTGGGAAAGTGTGGAAAGGGAGATTCTCATGGGGAAAAAAATCCATTTGATATGGAAGAAGACACAATTAAGAAAAAGAAACAAATGATCTTTATTTCTTCTGTAACTTGGAGTTATTACTCAAGCAAGCCGTGAATCTCAAAATTCTGCTCAAGTCTTCTGTATTTCCTCCAGCTTGCTCCTCCCAATGAATGCAGACGTCCTCAGAAATACGGTCTGCTCTGAAGTTTCATTATATGTCTTTCATGAGTATTTACTTTCAAGGCAATTATAGTAAATAGAAACGAGGTGGCAATATGCTATTTCCCCTGACCCTTCTTTCCCTTATTTTGGTAACACCATTGTAGGTCATTCTCCTCTTGCTGAAAAATTTTCCATCCTGTTTTCCAGCGTATTATTTTTATATATTTACCGGGTTGCTTACAGGCACTACAGCACCAGTGAAAGGTCTGTGGTAAGTGGTTCCTGCTCGAATGAATTACCCAGCTTTCATGAACAGCCATGCAGAAGCAAAGCAGGCAGAAAAATAATGAATACATTTGTACCGTGGCACTCTCCCCAGCTATGAGCGTCTCACAACCATACAATTTCCCCACAAGGAAAGACAAGATTGCACTGTCATTAGAATAGATAATCATTAGATTTATCTTTTATATAATTTGTAACATCTTAAACTATTCTATGTAGCCTCATTACTGCCAAGAGTCCTCTTTAACTGAGATGATAAGTAAATAAACTAGAAATTACACACCAACGAGAACCTAGAATATGTTGTTTTAGTGTATGTCTGAGAGCTCCCTTCAGCAAACCTAATCTGCACAGCAGTTACCATTATTTCTACCTCAATGAGCATCTCCTAATTGCTGTGTTATTGCTTGTGAAGAAAATATATTATTAAAGTCCACAACTCATGACTTGTTGCACATCTATCCGTGAAAACACTTTCATTTCATTAGCTTTTAATCAGTTTCAAATGGGATGATCAGAAGGGTCCCCCCACCTCAAATGTCTGTTCATTACCATTTCCTAATGCCAATGTATCCTTCTAAAATTCAAGATGCATTCATAATTTATTCAGAGACCTGAAGATTTTTATTAAACCAAATCTATTTAATTCTCCATGAATCAGCTCAAGATGATTTTGGTGGCTTTTTATAATGAACAACAATTAGAAACTCCAAGGACTCAGAACCCGCTTTTAGTTGTTAATGTTTTATGTTCTGCTGTTGGTCTGTTGCCAGATAATGATCCACAGAGCATTAAAATTTTGTATTAATATTATCTTTACAAATGTGATATTGCTCAGTAGAAGATGAGGTTTCCATAGGCTTCTTTCTGTTTGTGTTAGTGGTTGTCAGAAATTTTATATTAGTTAGATATTTGAGGCTGAAATATCGGACTCCGAGTCAGGGCTTTAAAAATCTCGACCCTTTTTCTTTCTTTACTACAGGATAATCTAGAGTAGGTCATTCACATCAGTTCATTTTCAATCAAAGTGAAGTCAAAACAGCCTTGTGGTCTCTGAATGAATTTAAGAAGGGTAACAAATTTTAAAAATATATTTCATTCTTTAATAACCAAATAATATCTTCCATAATAATTTAAAACAATATGGGTCAACGGCCATACTTAAGTATCAATCAATAAATATAGACAGATAACATATATTTTTCTTAGAGTGGTAAGTTAGTATATTTTTGTTCACTTGTGACAGAGATTTGGAAAGATGATCATCAACACTCAGCAAATTTCTCCCAGCATACCTGATTCCAGTAAGAATTTGATTTTTCAAGGATCCTAGAGGTCATCATAATGACCTGGTCAGAACTCAAAATATTTATGAGTTGAAAAGCAGAGGTAACCAAAGTTCTCTTTAACTAAATGCTGTACTCTGGGGAGAACATACCTGGGGTGGAAAAAGATCAGGCTGATATCCACCTAGCCGGTCATATTTGCCAAATCAGCCAGTACAGTTATATAAGCCAGTGATCCATTCTTATTCCAAAAATTTCAAAAGGATGGCATCATCGTATTATCCATGAGATTTCGGAGGAGTCTGATTTGAGAACAAGTGACGGAGGAGACCCTGCCACGCTACCCCACCCCTCCCATAACATTCCTATTCCCATCTAGAACCTGGACAACCCTATAGCTACAAAAGTCAGATTGGCTTTATTCTAAAAATTCCAGCTCTTTAAAAATAACACTGGACTGTTAAGGAGAAGATTACCCTAGGCCAGAATGCAAGGGGGGAAATCTTGTAGTATTTACTAGGCTAACCTTTGCTTTAGTGTTTTGCCTTTAGCCTTTTCCAAATGTCACCCACATGAAACAAACATAAGAACTCTGCCTTTGGATTTTCCACAAAGAAAATATTAAAGGCATCATCTATGTCACTAGAGCATATGGTCAGAGGGATGAGATCTGTAATCAGGTTACCCAGATTCAAATTCTGCCTCAACCATGTACCACCTGGATGAGCTGGTACAATATTTAGCTCCAGTTTTCTTATCTGTAATGGTATAGACATAACCATAATTCCTATTTCCTAGACCTCTTGAGGGAATTAAATTAATTATTATATATAAAGCCCTTAGAACAGTACCTAGTAACTAAGAAGTGCTCAATAAACATTAGTCATTTTCATTCAATGGACAGAGGCTTACCAAGTGCCCACTGTAGCTTAGACATTATTTAGGCACTAGAGATTTAGCACAATTGACAAGAATTTCCATCTTCTTGGGTTTCATTTCAGACTCTAGATAAATAAGTATATATAATGTAAAATCAATACTATATGACTTAGGAGCAATGGAAAAGAAATTAAGATGGTAGGGATACAGGGAATTCTGAAGTTGTGATTTTTGATATAATGAAAGGAAGCCTAACTGAGAAGGTGACATTTTAGTACAGGCCTGATGGAAACAAAAGAGTGAGCCAAAAAGATATCTGGAGGAAAAGTGGTTTGTGCAGAGGAAACAGCAAGTGCAAAAGCCCAGAGGCAGAGCATGCTTAACGTGTTTAAAAAATAGCACAATAAATATTAGCTACTCAGACCTACTGAATCTTTTAAGGTGTTGCATCTCTGGAATCTGCATTATAACAAATGCTTTAGGCATTATTGGTAAATACATGCTGATCTGATTGATCCCTTTTTATTCTACACAGATCCATGAGTCTTCATCATTCCATCCCTGACTTGCAGCTGCCCTATAGACAGATGAACTGGGAATCTGCTTTGGAGAGAGATGCAGTGGTTGATAAAAGCCAGAAAGCACGCTGGCATACATTTACATTGGATGAAATACCAATTCCATTTAGCTACAGTATGAGACGCTTCTTTTATTTGCATGGGAGATCAACCATATAAGGCATAATAACTTCTTTCAGAAGTTCATTGCTAGTCCCATACTAGCTTCTCCCAGCAGGAATGGCTGGCAGCTCTTCATGCAGTAAGTGGAAAGCCACAGTCTGTCAAAGAATCAAGCGCTAATGAAATAAACAAAAACTTTTCTTACCTGAGGCAGGTGCCAAAGCCTGCTACTCTAAGTGCCCCCACTGGACACAATTTAGACTTGCTTTCAAGTGTTAAAAACAAATAGGTTCTCCTAAGTGCAATTAAAACTAAGCCACACATCGAATCTGTTGATACTGATGGAGCTATTTTGATTCCAAGGCTCCTAAGAGTGGTTCCTGAGACTATCACATAATTTGGTAATTATTGTTTTACGCTAATATATGACAAGGAATTTCAAAACCAGTCATGAGCTTCCGAGACTTTTATAATAACCTTGAATCAACAGTGAGTATTTCTCCAAAGAACAAAGTAGTTACCATGCCATTATAGCGCAGTATGATTTAATTTAAATGATTAAATATACTGGTTTAATAAGATGTATTTCCATATTAAAAATACTTTATATCCCCTCCTGTTTCATAGCTCCTTTTCCCACCTCAGAATAAAAGTCTAATTCCCACCCATGCCAATTATTTCACTATTTCTTTTGACTTAAGGTTGTATTGGAGAGGTTTTTTCCTATTTAGTTTTTTAAGCCAATCTAAAAAGGCCCCCTCCTCACAAGTGTCTGCAGTTCTTACCATCAAAAATTTACACTGTGGGCAAAAGAAACTTCTACATCAAGATGAAGGAGGGTACTGAGTCATCCTGACTATATCTATAATCATCCTATCTACAGGCATCCTAAAGAAATAACCATAAATGTTTGTAGATTTAGGAATACGTTTAACAACAGTGTTCATCATATCTAAAAAATGCCAATTATTATGCATCCCAGCCCCACATTAGGGCCCGTGGATACCTCTATTTAACTTAGATTATTAGTACCTAACAGAATGAAAGACCAGCAATCTTTGGCCAGGAGAGAAGTGTCTAGAATATGAGATAGGATACTTTCTAGCAGGGCAACATGGTGGAAGAAAATTGGCAACTGAAGAGCATAAAATCATTAGGCTCCTAAGCCTAATGGAGAGTGTTTAGGAAGATGCTTAGAGACAATGGCCCATAAAGAAGAGAGAAGAGGATATTTAAGACAGGTTTTACCTACTGTCTTCTCCCAAACCATGGAAGAATTGAGGGTGCTTTGCACAACATTCAAGGCCTTTAGGTTTTTTCCCTAGTCCTTCACCTAACCCAACTTTCTCTCTCACCTAGTCTTTTCATTTCTTGTTAAGTTCCCAAACCCTAAGCAAGTGCTGTAAATGCATCCTTCAAGCCCAGATATGGCAAATACTCCCAGTCCCATGATAGACCGCTAAACAGACTGCACTTCCTAATCATTCTCAACACACACTCTAAGCAACCACTAATGATTTATCATTATTGACTGGTGAGAGAAAGCTATTTATTTGTAATTTTAACCCTGGCCCAACTAGTAGTCATGACAACCTCTTGTCCATGCTGCCCAATGATAGAGACTGAAAATGATATCATATTATGAGAATGGATCATAACTTAGTTAACAAATTCTCTGTTGAACACACAGTTGCTTCCATTTTTCATAACATTATTAAAAAACATTTGCAATGAACATACTTCTAAAATATAGAAGAATATAAGCTGCATAAGATAAGTTAGTAGGGTCTGTTTTGCTCATCTAACACAAAGCCTAGCACTTAGTAGATGCTTACTAAGGATTTCACGACTGACAACTGATAGAAAGACCTTTGAGAAACACTGTAATCCAACAACTCAATATATAGGAGCACAGATGAAGGAGTAATTAATTTTACTTATGAGGAATTAGAAGATGATCCAGAGAAGAACATTTGAGCTGGATGTTAAAGGATAAATAGAAATTAAATAGAACAGGAAAATGTGGAGGCAAGCATTCCAAATAGAACAGCAAGAAATAAAAATAAAGATGTAGAAGTATACTGGCTTTTGAAAAATTCTGAATCAATGTTATGTATGTTTTGGAGCAATGATATAAATCTAGAAGACTAATAGACTAGATTTTGAAAGATCTCATATACATGCTAAGAAATTTGGACTTAATCTTATAAGAAAGGGAGATGAGCAGAGATGGGTTCTTTAGACGCAGCTATCATACTTTTAGGCATTTCTCCTTAAGATTAAACAGTCAAGTGTGTAAAGATATTTATTAGGAAATGTTTAAACAAAATTTATTATAATATTTAAAACTCTAAATATAAATCACCATTAAAGGGTAAAGTTAAATGAATGATGGTCCATATATAAAATTTAACCACTAAAAACAATGATGATCTTTATTTATTGATATGGAAAGCATGTTCACACTACACTGAGGGAGAAAAGAAGGTTACAAAATATGCAGAGCATGGTCTCTGTTTTTTTCTGTTTTGTTTTAGGTGACTTATGCATAGAAAAGAATCTGGAAGGATATACACCAAAATGTTAGCAATGGCTATTTCTGGATAGCATGATTGGGGAAAATTTTTATTCTATGTACTGTCTATTTTTTACATTTTACTGCCTATTTTTTACATTGTAGATGTATTATTTTTAAAAATCAGAAAAAGCAGTGACTTTAGAAAGAAGTCAATTTTATAGGTAAGTTTACTTACCAAATAAGATTTACTTCATCTTTCTCTTTGTTACTGTGTCTCTGATTCTCTTTTTCTCTGTTAGGTCATAAATGTCTAGATCTATCTTCATGGTCATCTTCACCCTAGCTGGGAACACTTGGGCTCAATACACTTCATTGTTCCTAAATGTCTGAATGGTACTGCAAGAAGCTTGGCAGGAAAATAGTATTCAACATGCTGAATAATAATCATGATTATGGAATTACAGGTCCAGCTGAAACCTGGCAAGAGTATTAAATGAGAAAAAGTAGTCGTTATAGGCCACAAGGCATTACAAAGACACATGAAGGAAAGCAAAAGGCAGCCCAAATAAGGGCCTAATTTAGCAGAGCAGTCGTGGTGGGAAAGAGACTTTCACAACCCAAAAATGGTTGTATAAAACTGCAGTAATTGTAGACCACAGTCAGAAAGTGAAGAGATCAAATGTGTCAACTCTTCAGGGGCCAATTAAAGTCTCCACAAAGAAAAAAGTAAATTCTAGCCATAAACTGGGTCTATCCTGACTCTTTTACAGCTTACGGATAAGAGAAGGAACCCAAGTAGTTCTGATGATGTAGCTGAAATGCAAATTGCGGCAAAAGAGAACATAAAAATATATACTTCTCCAATTTTTTTTTTTGAGATGGAGTCTCACTCTGTTGCCTAGGCTGGAGTGCAGTGGCGCGATCTCAGCTCACTGCAACCTCCGCCTCCAGGGTTCAAGCAATTCTCGTGCCTCAGCCTCCCAAGTAACCCTGGATTACAGGCGCCCACCACCACACCCACCTAATTTTTGTATGTTTTTGTAGAGACGGGGTTTCGCCATGTTGGCCAGGCTGGTCTTGAGCTCCTGACCTCAGGTGATCTGCCCACTTCGGCCTCCCAAAGTGCTGGGATTACAGGTGTGAGCCACTGTTCCTGGCCTATTTCTCCAATTTAAAAAATGTGACTGATAGGCTAGGAAAATGAATGTAGACAATTCTCACCCAGAAAGAAATGAAAAGAAAGCAAAATATTTAGAGAATACTTTCATTTTAATTATTTTAAAATGTACATGTAATAAGTATGTATGACACTTGTTTTATTATTGCTAATAATATTCATAGAATGAAAAGGCATTTATAGTTCAGTACTACATCCTCAGTGACTAGAATAGTGTTGGGAACATAGTAGGTACTAATAAATATCTATATTATGAATTTTTCTATTAATGAATTTTAGAAGGAAGTTATACAATTGGTTTAGACAAATAATAAATCAAATCAGAGAATTCAGAAATAACAATTCTGGTGAAATATATTAAATTCTTAATAAAGATGTGAGGTATGATAATTAATAAGTCATTTATATCTGGTGCTCAAAAGTAATGTTCTCAAAGAGCCCTCCTTCTTTAAGCATTCTATGATATTAGGCAGAATGAAGTTGGAAAGCTTGAGCTTGGAAATCAAGCATTAGAATCCTGGGTCATCACTTAATGTTGTGACTTGGAGTAAATTACTTGATCTATTACCAAGAGCCTTACTTACCTCATCTTTAAAATGAGGATAATAATAAAATCTGCCCAACTCATCATATATATTTATATTATAATGTGTTAAAATTCTAAATAAGGGTTATTTTGTGGTAGAAGAAGATTTTTGGGGGACAACTAATTTACGTTTTTATTTATATTTGACACAATAAGGTCTTGATAATTGAGTGGTTAAAAAAACAATTGAGTGATTACATTCTATTAAGCACATTGCAAACATTACCTCTTTACTTCAAAGTGTCAGCAGTATCTTAATTTTATGGAAAAGGAACTGATGTTCAGAGAGATGCAGTAACTTGCTCAAGGTCATACGACCAAGAACTGGTGAAGTCGTTCAATTAGTACTGAATCATATCATAACCTTATCTTAACTAATTACGTTTTCAACAATGCTGTTTTGGAATAAGTTTTGGAAATGCTGTTTCCAAATAAGTTTACATCCTGAGGTACTGGAAGGTGGACTTCAACATATCCTTTTAGGGGAATACAATTCAACCCATAAAAAATGGGTATCCTCAACAATTCAGATTATTGAAAATGAATCAAATGAAACACATGTTATAAAATGGACAATTTTTAACACAGAGTCACAGGGAAAGAATATCTACAGAAGTCTAAACTCCTATCAGTAGCCATCATTCAGCAAAAGTTAATATTTAAAATCCTACAGGAGCAAGGTTAAGAAGGAAATTTAAAATGAATTAGCACCCAGAAGAGCTCATAATTGTATTCACTCTATGTAAAAAGCATCTCAGGAAAAAAGAAAAAAAAGAAAGTGTAAAAGTTACTAGACCTGTTTGTATTCAAACGAGCAGTTTAATTACCAGATGAGACAGAGATCTAACCCCATACATATACCCACATACAAATCATCCTGAATATTACTTTCCAGAGAATTGAAATCTGGAGGAGAGAAACTCCCTCATTCTGTCATCACTGTCTGCTGACTTCGGTGAAACATAAAGGCGCCCAGGCACAGGAAGGTAAGTGGTAGAAGTAGAAGCCTTGTCATTACCCAGCAGTATGGATCGTGTTATTGTGTCTGACCCTGAGTTCTGCATGGTCACCCACCTCTGCATTGAGTACCCAGGGGATAATTCATCATAAATGAAAATGTTCCCGGTAAAGGTGGGGGGAGGAGTCATTGGTCATGGCTAGAGCTGGGATTTATTGCATTATAATAAGTTAATTAACTGCTGCACTCATTGCATTTTAAAGAATGAGAATAGGTCGGAGGAGCCAAGATGGCTGAATAGGAACAGCTCCGGTCTACAGCTCCCAGCGTGAGCGACACAGAAGACGGGTGATTTCTGCATTTCCATCTGAGGTACCAGGTTCATCTCACTAGGGAGTGCCAGACAGCGGGCGCAGGTCAGTGGGTGCACGCACCATGCGCGAGCCAAAGCAGGGCGAGGCATTGCCTCACTTGGGAAGCGCAAAGGGTCAGGGAGTTCCCTTTCCGAGTCAAAGAAAGGGGTGACGGACGCACCTGGAAAATCGGGTCACTCCCACCCGAACATTGCGCTTTTCAGACCGGCTTAAAAAACGGCGCACCACGAGACTATATCCCACACCTGGCTCGGAGGGTCCTACGCCCACGGAATCTCGCTGATTGCTAGCACAGCAGTCTGAGATCAAACTGCAAGGCGGCAATGAGGCTGGGGGAGGGGTGACCGCCATTGCCCAGGCTTGCTTAGGTAAACAAAGCAGCCAGGAAGCTCGAACTGGGTGGAGCCCACCACAGTTCAAGGAGGCCTGCCTGCCACTGTAGGCTCCACCTCTGGGGGCAGGGCACAGACAAACAAAAAGACAGCAGTAACCTCTGCAGACTTAAATGTCCCTGTCTGACAGCTTTGAAGAGAGCAGTGGTTCTCCCAGCACGCAGCTGGAGATCTGAGAACCGGCAGACTGCCTCCTCAAGTGGGTCCCTGACCCCTGACCCCCGAGCAGCGTAACTGGGAGGCACCCCCCAGCAGGGGCACACTGACACCTCACAAGGCAGGGTATTCCAACAGACCTGCAGCTGAAGGTCCTGTCTGTTAGAAGGAAAACTAACTAACAGAAAGGACATACACACCGAAAACCCATCTGTACATCACCATCATCAAAGACCAAAAGTAGATAAAACCACAAAGATGGGGAAAAAACAGAACAGAAAAACTGGAAACTCTAAAACGCAGAGCGCCTCTCCTCCTCCAAAGGAACGCAGTTCCTCACCAGCAACGGAACAAAGCTGGATGGAGAATGACTTTGACGAGCTGAGAGAAGAAGGCTTCAGACGATCAAATTACTCTGAGCTACGGGAGGACATTCAAACCAAAGGCAAAGAAGTTGAAAACTTTGAAAAAAATTTAGAAGAATGTATAACTAGAATAACCAATACAGAGAAGTGCTTAAAGGAGCTGATGGAGCTGCAAACCAAGGCTCGAGAACTACGTGAAGAATGCAGAAGCCTCAGGAGCCAATGCGATCAACTGGAAGAAAGGGTATCAGCAATGGAAGATGAAATAAATGAAATGAAGTGAGAAGGGAAGTTTAGAGAAAAAAGAATAAAAAGAAATGAGCAAAGCCTCCAAGAAATATGGGACTATGTGAAAAGACCAAATCTACGTCTGATTGGTGTACCTGAAAGTGATGGGGAGAATGGAACCAAGTTGGAAAACACTCTGCAGGATATTATCCAGGAGAACTTCCCCAATCTAGCAAGGCAGGCCAACGTTCAGATTCAGGAAATACAGAGAACGCCACAAAGATACTCCTCAAGAAGAGCAACTCCAAGACACATAATTGTCAGATTCACCAAAGTTGAAATGAAGGAAAAAATGTTAAGGGCAGCCAGAGAGAAAGGTCGGGTTACCCTCAAAGGGAAGCCCATCAGACTAACAGCGGATCTCTTGGCAGAAACCCTACAAGCCAGAAGAGAGTGGGGGCCAATATTCAACATTCTTAAAGAAAAGAATTTTCAACCCAGAATTTCATATCCAGCCAAACTAAGCTTCAAAAGTGAAGGAGAAATTAAATACTTTACAGACAAGCAAATGCTGAGAGATTTTCTCACCACCAGGCCTGCCCTAAAAGAGCTCCTGAAGGAAGCACTAAACATGGAAAGGAACAACTGGTACCAGCTGCTACAAAATCATGCCAAAATGTAAAGACCATCGAGACTAGGAAGAAACTGCGTCAACTAATGAGCAAAATCACCAGCTAACATCATAATGACAGGATCAAATTCACACATAACAATATTAACTTTAAATGTAAATGGACTAAATTCTCCAATTAAAAGACACAGACTGGCAAATTGGATAAAGAGTCAAGACCCATCAGTGTGCTGTATTCAGGAAACCCATCTCACGTGCAGAGACACACATAGGCTCAAAATAAAAGGATGGAGGAAGATCTACCAAGCAAATGGAAAACAAAAAAAGGCAGGGGTTGCAATCCTAATCTCTGATAAAACAGACTTTAAACCAACAAAGATCAAAAGAGACAAAGAAGGCCATTACATAATGGTAAAGGGATCAATTCAACAAGAAGAGCTAACTATCCTAAATATATATGCACCCAATACAGGAGCACCCAGATTCATAAAGCAAGTCCTGAGTGACCTACAAAGAGACTTAGACTTCCACACATTAATAATGGGAGACTTTAACACCCCACTGTCAACATTAGACAGATCAACGAGACAGAAAGTCAACAAGGATACCCAGGAATTGAACTCAGCTCTGCACCAAGCAGACCTAATAGACATCTACAGAACTCTCCACCCCAAATCAACAGAATATACATTTTTTTCAGCACCACACCACACCTATTCCAAAATTGACCACATAGTTGGAAGTAAAGCTCTCCTCAGCAAATGTAAAAGAACAGAAATTATAACAAACTATCTCTCAGACCACAGTGCAATCAAACTAGAACTCAGGATTAAGAATCTCACTCAAAGCCGCTCAACTACATGGAAACTGAACAACCTGCTCCTGAATGACTACTGGGTACATAACGAAATGAAGGCAGAAATAAAGATGTTCTTTGAAACCAATGAGAACAAAGACAAAACATACCAGAATCTCTGGGACGCATTCAAGGCAGTGTGTAGAGGGAAATTTATAGCACTAAATGCCCACAAGAGAAAGCAGGAAAGATCCAAAATTGACACCCTAACATCACAATTAGAAGAACTGGAAAAGCAAGAGCAAACACATTCAAAAGCTAGCAGAAGGCAAGAAATAACTAAAATCACAGCAGAACTGAAGGAAATAGAGACACAAAAAACCATTCAAAAAATCAATGAATCCAGGAGCTGGTTTTTTGAAAGGATCAACAAAATTGATAGACCGCTAGCAAGACTAATAAAGAAAAAAAGATAGAAGAATCAAATAGACACAATAAAAAATGATAAAGGGGATATCACCACCAATCCCACAGAAATACAAACTACCATCAGAGAATACTACAAACACCTCTACGCAAATAAACTAGAAAATCTAGAAGAAATGGATAAATTCCTCGACACATACACTCTCCCAAGACTAAACCAGGAAGAAGTTGAATCTCTGAATAGACCAATAACAGGAGCTGAAATTGTGGCAATAATCAATAGTTTACCAACCAAAAAGAGTCCAGAACCAGATGGATTCACAGCCAAATTCTATCAGAGGTACAAGGAGGAACTGGTACCATTCCTTCTGAAACTATTCCAATCAATAGAAAAAGAAGGAATCCTCCCTAACTCATTTTATGAGGCCAGCATCATTCTGATACCAAAGCCAGGCAGAGACACAACCAAAAAAGAGAATTTTAGACCAATATCCTTGATGAACATTGATGCAAAAATCCTCAATAAAATACTGGCAAACCGAATCCAGCAGCACATCAAAAAGCTTATCCACCATGATCAAGTGGGCTTCATCCCTGGGATGCAAGGCTGGTTCAATATATGCAAATCAATAAATGTAATCCAGCATATAAACAGAACCAAAGACAAAAACCACATGATTATCTCAATAGATGCAGAAAAAGCCTTTGACAAAATTCAACAACCCTTCATGCTAAAAACTCTCAATAAATTAGGTATTGATGGGACGTATTTCAAAATGATAAGAGCTATCTATGACAAACCCACAGCCAATATCATACTGAATGGGCAAAAACTGGAAGCATTCCCTTTGAAAAGTGGCACAAGACAGGTATGCCCTCTCTCACCACTCCTATTCAACATAGTGTTGGAAGTTCTGGCAAGGGCAATTAGGCAGGAGAAGGAAATAAAGGGTATTCAATTAGGAAAAGAGGAAGTCAAATTGTCCCTGTTTGCAGACGACATGATTGTATATCTAGAAAACCCCATTGTCTCAGCCCAAAATCTCCTTAAGCTGATAAGCAACTTCAGCAAAGTCTCAGGATACAAAATCAATGTGCAAAAATCACAAGCATTCTTATACACCAACAACAGACAAACAGAGAGCCAAATCATGAGTGAACTCCCATTCACAACTGCTTCAAAGAGAATAAATTACCTAGGAATCCAACTTACAAGGGATGTGAAGGACCTCTTCAGGGAGAACTACAAACCACTGCTCAAAGAAATAAAAGAGGATACAAACAAATGGAAGAACATTCCATGCTCATGGGTAGGAAGAATCAATATCGTGAAAATGGCCATACTGCCCAAGGTAGTTTACAGATTGAATGCCATCCCCATCAAGCTACCAATGACTTTCTTCACAGAATTGGAAAAAACTACTTTAAAGTTCATATGGAACCAAAAAAGAGCCCGCATCGCCAAGTCAATCCTAAGCCAAAAGAACAAAGCTGGAGGCATCACACTACCTGACTTCAAACTATCCTACAAGGCTACAGTAATCAAAACAGCATGGTACTGGTACCAAAACAGAGATATAGATCAATGGAACAGAACAGAGCCCTCAGAAATAATGCCGCATACCTACAACTATCTGATCTTTGAAAAACCTGAGAAAAACAAGCAATGGGGAAAGGATTCCCTATTTAATAAATGGTGCTGGGAAAACTGGCTAGCCATATGTAGAAAGCTGAAACTGGATCCCTTCCTTACACCTTATACAAAAATCAATTCAAGATGGATTAAAGATTTAAACGTTAGACCTAAAACCATAAAAACCCTAGAAGAAAACCTAGGCATTACCATTCAGGACATAGGCATGGGCAAGGACTTCATGTCTAAAACACCAAAAGCAATGGCAACAAAAGACAAAATTGACAAATGGGATCTAATTAAAATAAAGAGCTTCTGCACAGCAAAAGAAACTACCATCAGAGTGAACAGGCAACCTACAAAATGGGAGAAAATTTTTGCAACCTACTCATCTGACAAAGGGCTAATATCCAGAATCTACAGTGAACTCAAACAAATTTACAAGAAAAAAATCAAACAACCCCATCAAAAAGTGGGTGAAGGACATGAACAGACACTTCTCAAAAGAAGACATTTATGCAGCCAAAAACCACATGAAAAAATGGTCATCATCACTGGCCATCAGAGAAATGCAAATCAAAACCACTATGAGATACCATCTCACACCAGTTAGAATGGCAATCATTAAAGAGTCAGGAAACAACAGGTGCTGGAGAGGATGTGGAGAAATAGGAACACTTTTACACTGTTGGTGGGACTGTAAACTAGTTCAACCATTGTGGAAGTCAGTGTGGTGATTCCTCAGGGATCTAGAACTAGAATTACCATTTGACCCAGCCATCCCATTACTGGGTATATACCCAAATGACTATAAATCATGCTGCTATAAAGACACATGCACACGTATGTTTATTGCGGCATTATTCACAATAGCAAAGACTTGGAACCAACCCAAATGTCCAACAATGATAGACTGGATTAAGAAAATGTGGCACATATACACCATGGAATACTGTGCAGCCATAAAAAATGATGAGTTCACGTCCTTTGTAAGGACATGGATGAAACTGGAAATCATCATTCTCAGTAAACTATCACAAGAACAAAAAACCAAACACCGCATATTCTCATTCATAGGTGGGAATTGAACAATGAGATCACATGGACACAGGAAGGGGAATATCACACTCTGGGGACTGTGGTGGGGTGGGGGGAGTGGGGAGGGATAGCATTGGGAGATATACCTAATGCTAGATGACGAGTTAGTGGGTGCAGCGCACCAGCACGGCACATGTATACATATGTAACTAACCTGCACAATGTGCACATGTACCCTAAAACTTAAAGTATAATAAAAAAAATTTAAAAATTAAAAAAATAAAAAAAAAGAATGAGAATAGCATCTAAACACACATGCTTATTAAGAAAGATATCTTAAGGCACACCAAATGCTTGTTAAGGAAGGTGTCCTAAGATGAATTAAAATATAGTTTTATGAGGTCTAACCCTACACATTAATCATAAGAACTAGAGAATTACAGACTAATGGTGCCATAAAGATCTGATTGGGTTGCATTTGTGGGCGTATACTGAAATTGCTGGTTCTGAAAAATACAGGCAATACTAATAGGAATAAGTTGATTTTATTCCAAAATAACCAGTGCTCCTGGATATTTGGGAAGATTCTAAAACTAGTGAATAGGATGTCAATAAACGGGGAGAAAAATCTTGATTTTTTGTTTTGAGTTGTTTCAATATAGTCACAGAAAAACATTCCAAAAATAAATGTATCCAAAAACAATTTTATAAAACCCATGATACAGAAAAAAAGAAGGGCAAAATGCTCAGAGAACACATACAACTAAAAATCTAATGAAGAGAAAAGGGTAAAATGTTACAATTTTTTAAAATGAGAAATGGAATGCAACAAATAGAGAAGACTTCGGAGTTCAACATGGTTGTATGTTAATAAATTTCAAAACATCAATACATTTAATGCTTTATGTAAACTAAAATATATCAAAATTAGCACAACAGGTTAAAAATTAAAATAAATTGAGAAAGTTATCCAAAAGCTACATCCATGCCCCTAGAAAAGGAACTCACTGCCATCATAGATTTACTAATAAATGCCTTCAAATTCCTTCAGACTTTCAAGGACAGATCTTTCCCACATTATATGTTCTGTGAGAAAGCAGGAAAAGATTAAAAGCAATCCAGTTTGTTCTAAGAAACATACCCTAATTTTTACATACTTAACAGAAATACAAGGAAAAAAACATAGAACTGAAATGTCACTTAATAAAGGAATTATAAACTTAAATAAAATGCCAGCAAATAACTCAATATAGTAAAAGTTAATCTTTTACTTCAAATCAAATTATGTTTATTATAGGAATCCAGTAATAGCCCCAAATTAGAAAACCTACTAATATAGAACATCAGTAGACTTAAATTCAAATCAGTTATAAAAAGTAATCATCTCAATGGTGGATATATCTTCTTAACTTCTTAAAGTAAGATCCATGATTCAAACCATCAGCCAACATTTTACTTAACAGTGACAAAATAAACAATTCTCATTAAAATATGATTAAAATACAGATACATGAAATTACTGTTATTTAATATTGATATCATTAATAACATAATCTGACATTCATTAAGTTCTTATAATATGCCGTGCCCTGGCTAATGAATATACATGTTATTTATATCATTTCAAAAAGTTCTTAAGACATAAAACATAAAATTATAAACATAAAAAAGAGCTGAAGTATGATGATAGGTGACTTGGTTTTAGAACATAAAAACAGAAAGAAATCAAGTGAAAAGCTGTTTGAATTCATTAACAGTTGCTATAACAGATAAAACATATTCTTATACACCAACACAAGGCAATAGAACAAAGTAAACTAAAAAGGGATCTGATTTATAACCACAAAGTAAAATTTAAATTATCACAAGAAATAATATGCTATGTGATAAGTGCAATACTTTACTGAGAGATATAAAAAATGAATAAAAGAGGTATATTAGTTTATTTTCATACTGCTATAAAGAACTGCCGAGACTGGGTAATTTATAAAGGAAAGAAGTTTAATTGACTCACAGTTCAGCATGGCTGGGGAAGGCCTCAGGAAACATAGAATCATGGTGGAAGGCAAAAGGGAAGCAAGACACCTTCTCCACAAGGCCGCAGGAAAAAAAAGTGCCGAGTGAAGGGGGAAGAGCCCCTTATAAAACCATCAAATCTCGTGAGAACTTACTCACTATCATGAGAACAGCATGGGGGAAACTGCCCCAATGATTCAATTGCCTCCACCTGGTCTCTCCCTTGACAGGTGGGGATTATGGGGATGATGGGGATAACAATTCAAGATGAGACTGGGTGGAGACAAAAAGTCTAACCATATCAAGAAGAGACCTGACATGTTCCTAAATGGGAAGACTACTTTTTCTAAAATATGAGGTTTTTATCTCAAAATGTTTAGTGTATTTATTAAAATTCTAATTCAAATCCTAATGAAATTTTGTCCTAAAATTGACCAAATAATTTTAAAGTTGATTTGAAAGTATAAACAGGAGAGCAATAATTGTTTTAAAGAAGAACTAATTTTAACAAAATATTAAAATACATAAAGCTAAAATAATCAGGCCTTGTTTGCAAGCATAAGAAAAATCAGATCAGTAGAGAAGAATAGCCCACTAAAACATAACCCATTATACATACACAGTCAGTATTTGAGTAGGCCTGTGTGACATATTTAATCAAAAATAATCATAGCTTACTTACATGAGGAATATAACATTTAATCTCATTTAAGCCTCCTGAGAGAGGAAGACTTTCTAAAGCAAAAGTCAACTGGAAGAGAGAAAGGGGGCAGTAAACAGAGGAAAAAGCACTGGAAATTTTTATAAACTAAAAGAATTATTTAAAAGAAAGAAAAAGAAGGAAGGGAAGGTAAAGGGAAGAGGAGGGAAAGAGGGAAAGAAAGAGGAGGGGAAAGGAAGGAAGGAAGTGATGGAGGGTAGGAAAGTGAAGAAACTAAAACCATAGCAAAGTAAAAATACATTTAACTATACAAAAAGCAAAAACTGTACTAGAAAACTAAAAGGCAGATTAAAAGATAACACATTTCAGGAAAAAACTAGTAGAAAACACATTAATTTAAAGGGATATCTTTACTTTCTATAGAGTATATATGATTGATACACATCCCTAGGATAAATAGGAGCATAGAGGCCACCCCCAAGAGAGTCAACTCAAATACTCTAAGTGCCCAGGTGAACCAAATAAAGAGGCCAGCAGGTAGGCAAAGAGCCCAGGCACATGTGTGACAGATGGGAGCTGGTGAGCCAGATGGGGTGGGGGCAGGCTCCTAGCAGAGTGTTCTCCTGCTGAAATGTGGGCACGGTATTATCAGATCTTCTGCTCTTTTCAGGAGAAACCAAAACTTCAGATTTTTAGAAGACTGACCAATTTGTTCAACAACATGTTGACAAAACAATGCAACCACAGTGAGCTACACGCCATATAATCTACCAGTTTACAACCCCTAACTCACACAAACAATGAATGGGGAAATAATAGTAAAAATACTTTGAAAATGTGTTGAAGATCAACTATTCATCTTGTTTGTGAGTAAGTCATATTGTTCTCGTCTGTATCGGGAATCTTCAAGATATAAGGAATTTCAAAAATAGGCAAGAAGTAGTAAAGACAGCCTCTGCTTGCTGTCCCATTTTAATATCCACTGGCTCAACCTCTCACCACTAGGCCCTACCATGACCATCCCCATGCTGTAGCTACCCTCAGTTACCAGAAGGTAGCCAAACACTAGCATTCTTTTGTCCCTGTTGTTGTCTCTTCCTAGAATTTTCTTTACTCTTGATAAAGAAAATCTTACTTACTCTTTAAAGCTTAGTTCAAATGTTACTCCACTGTAAAACCCCAGGCAGAATTAACCATAAAATCAACACATCTGTTGAGTATCTGCTCTTATCAGGCAGTGGGGACTACAGCAGCAAACAAGACAGAATCATTTCTGCCTTCATGGAGCTTGCACTCTACTTTCCCATAGCTGTTAGTTTCTGAGTTACAGTCCTTAGCATGTTCCTATTTATAATTGTTCACTGCCACCCCCTACTCCCCCAGGTCTGTGAGCTTTTTCAGAGGATGAATGTGTGTCCCATAAAACCATGCTCCTGTAGTCCATACTCTTTATTCTCAATTTCAGGGTTTATAAACAGTTTGTGTACACAGCACACATTCAATATAAGCTTATTAAACGTAGGAGGGGAGCTATCCTGTTATTAAAAAAAACCACCATCATGATTATGAAATCCTAAACTTTTTATGAAAAAAAAATCAAACTAGGGTAAAATGTTTAAAGGTAATTTAGAAGTCAGTACTATTCATTACAATTTCCTCGTACTCAGTGCTACACTGCTGCATTCTGCTTTCCCTAAAGAAATGACAAAAACACTGAAACATTAATCAATCCAGATATCTGCTAATCACTCTTACAGTTAGTTTGAGCAACAGAAAAGGAGTCAGTATTCTTAAATTAACCCTGCAGAGATGTATTAGCATAGAAACACAACACAAATCTGTTTTGACATCTGGAGTTCTGTGCAGTAACTACACCCAAAACGGAGTCATATTGGGCATGTCCTCTTAAAGCATCTGCAAAATCGTTTCTTCTGGTGTCAAGCCACAAGATTCCTACCACAGGAATTGTCCTGAGTCCATGGCTAAGGTCTACAGTTCGGGCTAAAACAAACAAACAGAAAAAGTTAATTATCAAGATAGGAAGTGAGAGTGCTGAATTTATAACTACATTCAATGCTGTTCTGGCTATGAGCTTTACATAACAGAGTTGGGCTTGTTAAAATAAGAAAGCATATAAGATGCATATAGAGACAGGAGTTTGTGCTCTGTAGGCATTATTATGTACTTACCAAGCTCTCCCTGTGTCTAAATGTCTATCTCTCTCAGTGGACTGAAAATTCTCTGAAGGGGACAAGACACAGAACATATACCTTACAGTGCCTTGACCAATGACTTGCATTCGGTAGGTGTGCAGTGAAAAGTGTTTTCACTATTAGAATATGTATTATATTTTATTATATAACATGGAATATAAACACTTTATGTTTGAAAGTATACCAAGCGACATTACAATGTTTTCCATGTTTGACATTTAAATAATATGTATCCATCATAAACCCCAATGTAAGATATAAAGGATGAAAAGAAGAGAGAAGTCAGAGGGCTTAAACAGAGAAAAAAAAAAGTAAATGAGTTCCCCACTTAGGCTAGAATATTTTTATCCATAGATCACCCTTAAAAGAAGAACTAAACCTGGTGTGCTGCGAGATATCTCATGCTGAACACTAAAATCATTAGAAGCCACAGCAAAACTGAGTTACGTATTCTGACTGAATGCAATAAATTGCTCTTAAATATAATCGTTCAAAGATAAGAACTGGCTCATTGTTGGAAGCAATAATCATTCATAATGCACATTATTCAATCGTTCATTTGTCAAATATTTTTGAGTGCTGGTATTGTAGGAAGGTAAAGAGCCATCATTAGGGTTATGAGCATAAGTAAGACATTGTTCCTGTCCCCAAGAAGATTTATAGGCTGAAGGAGGAGACAGAATGGACATAGCTGAAGTATCGGTTCCTTTTGTTAGCCAGTTGTGTAGAAAGTTGTTGACTCCATGGCATTTACCAGGTACTATCCACATTTGTTTCTATACTTCTCTGTGTGAGAAGGTCATATCAGAGAAATGGCTAACATCTTAAGACTATATGAAGTACTGCATGAAGTAGTCATAAAGAGTTTGAAGAATCCATAGACATCATTTAGTTTCACTCATACATGTTTAAAAATAAATTCCATAAATGTTAAGTACCTTGTTCAAAATTAATGCAACTTAGCAACAAATCTGAGAGAAGAACATAAGTTTCCAGCCCTTCTTTTTTTTTCTTCTAATACAATACTATGCATACCTTTTATAGTAAGGTATTACATTTATACAGAAAATACAAATGGTTTCTTATTTTAACAAGCCCAACTCTGTTATGTTCTTGCCTTTCAATTGACTTTTAGCAATTCTAGCTCAGCGATAGTCTAGTGACCCCCAACAACAAAATGCACACCTCTTTATACATATTTTATAATTTGTTTTAAGTTGCACTTTACAAGGTGTCTAAGTTTTTCTCTGGTATCCTGATTTTAGTTAATAGCAGTAAAACAACAACAAGAGCAAAACAAAATAAAATAAAATAACAGTCCTTGATCTAGACCTGTTTAGTGTACCAAAGAAAAAAATGCACCAAGGCTGGAGGCACATGAAAACATGTCAATCAGATGTAATTGCTCTCCAAGAGAAACACTTTTTAGGCAAGTAAAAAAGAACTCATCCTCAACAGAAGGCTTTGTAGCAGCAACTAATCTACTAATGACAAGCTCAGTGTGTTATTCTCATGCTTGTTTTTCAAGATTCAACATCTGAAACATGACAGAAAAGGACAATCTGACCCAGTCATGGCTCTTAAACAATTATAAAAAGTATATGGGAGGCACTTTTGGATACTATCTATAAACATATACACATATAATAATGATATTTCATTATATCATTAACAATTGCGAGAATCCAAACAGGTTTTAAGTATTTCATAGTTTCTCATATAGTGCAGACAAATATCAGAACTCTGGCACATTAAAAAAAGCCTCTAATTTTTTGCACAATAACTCTTAAAGATACTCAATAGGCCAGATTTGGCCTGAAGACAGTGAAGCCTCCATCCCAGGGAGTAGTATTTGAAGGCTATATTTGGCTGGATGCATATAAAGACAGCTTTAAAGTTCTATGTTTTTTTTTCACTATTGCAGAGTCTACGTAAGTGGAAACTTAACAACCCCTGCAACAAAGAGCAAAGGGCAACTGCTGACTCCAAAAAGAAGGGCACAGAGTCTATTATCAACCCTTACATTCATTACCCAAAAACTGAGGTGTCCTATTTTTTACAGTACCAGAATTGGAGTATTCACTGGCTAGAAGGTATGAGTTAAAGATAAAATAAAACAAAACAACAATAAAAATAACAAATCCTATAGTAAATCTTAGCCAAAAACTCAATTGCAATCTCCACTTAAATTTATTAAAGTTGGATGCTACCTATTAAGACACTGACATTTTCTGAGATGCCACATTGGGGAAAGCCTAAAAACTATCTCTACATAAAACTCATTCTAACTTTTAAAATAATTGATTTTCAGTTTTAATATAACTATGCACATGGAAAAAGTACATATAGTCAGAATCTGATGGAGATTGGGTGGGCAAATTTATTAGATAATCATTTATAATTTGGGGTACAGAATGGCCACATTTCACTAGTGATCATGTTATGGTGACTTAAGATAGAGCCAGACTCTACCCTCTCTTTTGTCTTCCTACACTATCTTCTGCATCTGATTTCCAGGTTGTAGGTACAGTGTCTAAGAGACAGAGCAGCCAGCTTTGTCCATGTGGACTGTTTATAAGAATGTTTGGTTGGTGTGCTGGACACTGTGATGTAATGCCCAGATTCTCCTTCAAGGAAGGACTTGTTATACCAACTGCTGAGATCCCTGGCAGCCAATGGCCTTTGATGTCAGCTCCTTTGGGGACTGCCTTAGATATAAAGAGGCATCCACAGCCCCACCTTCCCAAGGCAGGCCACACCTAATAATTGATTGATACAGGGATATAAAAGCCTGGTGGTCTCAGTTTACCCCACAAAAACCCTGAAGATCCATTCTATCTCTAGAACCCCCCATGGAGTCAGCCAATGTTGTCATGGGCCTGCACCCCAGCCCAACTTCTTCCCCTGTCCACTCTTGCTTCCTTATCTTTCCTTACACAGCTGTGGATCCCATGGACACTCGTTAATAAACATTCTTCAAAGTTTGGCTCAGAGGCTGCTTCCTGGGGAACCTGACCTGAGACAATAGAGTTCTGATCTCCTTTAAACATTCTAGGTTCTGTAGAATGAGAGTCTCTGCTTAGGACTCTAGATCTGACTCCTGCTGCAGCTTCATTTACCAGGGAAAATTTGCACTTGGATTTAATGAGGACACTCTAGCTATTAATAAAAATTATATTTCACTTCCCTTTTGGATATTGCTATTATGCCATGGACCACATGTCACTGGAGCAGATTAGGAGTGGGTGATAGAATTCAAACATCAAAATCCCACCCCATAGCTCTAATAAGGTCTATTCCTGGAGTCAACTGGAAAGAAGGAGTACAAGTCTCCAGAAATGTCAAGCCTTCTTCAAATGATTTAAATTTGCCCTCTTGAGATTCCTCATTTCCATGACAACTAACTATAAGGGGGAAGGGTTAGTGAACAGTTTGCAAAATGCAGAAAAGTTTTGGAGACTGAGGGATTTAAGGAATTAAATTAAATTAGTTTAATTAAGGTGAGTTTTTTATTGTTTAATAAATGGAAACAATGTGGATCTGGAAGAATATTTTTTTCTACTCATTCTCATCAAAAGGAGCAATAGATACCCAGTTTTTAAAAGACCAGTCTTTAGGGAAATCTTAATTTAACTTTTAGAACATTATGAGAACATTCACATTTTAGTGCATACTAATGGTCTGGGATTTGTAGGCAGAGGAAAATGACACAAAATTAATGCACGCTCCAAGTGAGTAGTACCATGATCTAATATTTAAGTAAACTTATTACCTTTGTGCTGCTAAAGAAAGTTTAACACTTAAATTTCTGAATTCTACCTACATGAAACTATAAAATTATACTCCTTTTTCTAATGTTATCATATTATGAATCTGCAAATACTCTATGCACAAAAAATGAAAGGGCAATTATCTTGTAAACCCACAAGAACAGCAATCAGAATCCCTTACATTTTGATCTAGACACCTAATGTAGTCATCTGAACATTTTCCTCCATCGCTATACAAAAGTAATGTCTTTGTGAGACAAGTCAGTAATTTTATCCAAATTTACAGAAGAGAAAACCAAAATTGAATTTAAATTACTTGTCCAATAAAATGACCAACTGGAAGGCTACCATGAAGACTTAGAATCACAAACTACCATCAGTTTATAGGGCAAGTCGGCTTCTCCCCCTTCTGGAGTTACATTTAAGAAATTAATATCTTTGGCGTCAAAGATACTGGCCCTGCTCAAAATGCAACAAACATTGTGTAATACAACTTGACAGCTGAAATTTATGTTCCTTAAAAAAGAATTGACGTTTCGGGAAAATACTAAGAGAGGCATGTTAATTATTCCTAGCATCTCCAGGTTGGCCTCTGTCCACCACCAACTCATTTGGGCCATCGAAGCAGGTATGGCTAACTTTCCAGCCTCAGTTCTTACCTATACCAATGTTCACCCTTGCTAAACTTGCCTAAAATGACCTGCGCTTTACTTTTACTATGCTTTTGCTCAGCCTATCACATTTTCTTATAAACTAATACTAGTTTACATTTCAACAGCAATTTACGTAGCAGCTTTACAAATACTGTATTTTACAAATGCCATATAGAGCCTCTCCTCACTGATCTGGTCTTAAACAACAAGCAAGCGTGTATACATTTCTTATATGTGCTATGAGCATTTATTAAAAAGTAAATCCTTATTATTACATAATGTGTTCATAAGTAAATCAGTAAGCACCTTGAGAATCAGAAGGCCATATGCTTCATTTTATACCCTGAGTTCAGAACAGTGTCTTATAAAAATTAACATCTCAAAATGCATCTTCTGTTTTGATCTTGTTGATATGAAATTCTAATTTCACATGAATTTCTTTTCTGAAATATACATTTAAATGCTTATTTAAATAAAAATTAAGTTAGCATTCTTATTAAAACCATAAACTGAAAGTGTTTTGCTACACAAACTTAAATGCAAAGGGATTATCTTGTTATGAACATAAATTATTTTAAACCCTTATATCATTTAAACCCTTACATTTTCTTTTAGTTTTTAATCAGCTGCTAATAAGCACACAGTTGTTGAATGTGGGTTAAGGTAACAGACGAGGCTATTGAATTTGTTTTCTGTCCCTTCCAAGATTCCACTGAATTAAAGCATTAAAAAAAATCCAGAAGAGGAATAAATATATAACAGAAATGAAACTTAGGGGTGAAGGGGACCCATGACTGAGATACTTTAATTTCTGGAGTAGGGAAGAAGGCAGTTGGATGAAACAAAGCAAGCCTCAGACTTCACAATTATAAAAGAAAACTTCTGTGAAGGTGGAAGCCAATCTCCACCTGAACATCACAGAGGCCCTGGACTCAAGGTTAGCAGAGTGGGGAGTAGGGAGGGGGCTGAAGTCATGTACTAGTTGAATATTTACACATGGGACATCTGTAACTTATCACAATACTCCTCCATCGTCTCTAACAACAAAGCTCCAGGCAAAACTCCCAAGGACTTAAAAATTCAGAGGCTAAAAATAGACTCTGAGAAAGTAGACCACAAATAAAAAAAAAAAAGCATAGTAGATAAAAGGAAAAAGGCGTAGAAAATGAATTTATGATTAACACATCCAGCTAATGTAGTCTCAGAAAGAGACAATGAAGTAAAGTGGACAAAATATAATTATAAGAAGAGAATTTCCTAACATTGAGGAAAGCAAAATGTCTTCAGATTGAAAAGATCCTCTGAATGGGTACAAGAAAACAAATTTTGAGGGAAAAATCTTTTCATCTCTTAATTACATACTCAACTCACCTATAATCAAATTTGAAAGAATAAGAGACACTTTCCAAGATACAAGGATTCAGAAATTTTATCTATCATATATATTCTTTTTCAAGAAATTCACTTAGGATCTACCCCTCAAAAGGAAGAAATATACAAAGAAACAGGCAAAGCAGAAAAGCACAGGTCCAACCAAGGAGATCATTCAGAAGTCTTAGGATCATGACTGCACATTAACCCTTCCAGCCTGACACAGCACAGAAGACTCTACAAAGTGTCTTAGGGAAAAAAGGATCTTGATAGAAGAGAACGTGTAATTTAAGCGGAAGAAGAAGAAAGGAAATCAAATAAATCAGAATAAAAAGAAACACAATTTAAAAATTCAGGTGCCTACCAGTAATTTTCCAAATATGATGCAAACTAAAGTAAGTTGAAAACTGAAGCAGTTGATAGCACTCTAAAAGATTCTATTTGTATTTAAAACAGGAAGAATGTTCTTGTGTCTAGAGTAACCTACTTGGTACTCTAGAGGAGGAAATGTCATGCCCTGGTGGCACCGGCATCAAACAACAGCCATCATAATGCGAATGCTGTTCATTGCTTTTCAACTGTTTTATATTTAGCCCACAAAGAACCAAATACTTGGTTGTGATTATAGGACAGAATATATTGTTGGTAGTCTTGACAATGTAAAAATAAAAATAAAGCTGACAGAAAATGGTATTTGAAAGAGAAGAGGAGATGGAAAGAGTAGGAATAAAAATATTTTCTTCCAACTTTGAGAGTCAACAGATAATAGAGGAAATTGATGCAGCAAAAAAATAAATATTTAAGGTTATTATTTAAAATTACTAAGATAACCAATGTAAGAACTAAAAAGTATATAAATGTAGATATTTAGAAGATAGGTGGTCTAAATGAGTCAGGTGCTCATCTTTCATACATGAGAGCTAACAGATATTGTTAAAAGCTTATAAATCATGAAACAGAAGCAGAAATACATGATCTAGTCTTTTGAAAGTCTGTACCAGAAAAAGATACACAGTTAAAAGCAATTAACTTGAGATAAGGATTTAGGGAAAGGAGAGCATTGATGGGAGACTGGCATACTTGTATGATTTATTGCCACATGCATATATTTGATGCAAATGATAAAAAATGTTGAAATGAAGGCAAGTGTTAAGTTCCAGAGAAGAAGTAAATGCCTTTGGGGGCAGCAGTCTTACTCTCTTGCAGGTAGGCCATCTCTGTTTCCTCCTTTTCCTCAGCCACTGTGCACATGTTCTGCATTCTCTTGCCATCTAGCACCTCAGCTCTTCAATGTCTGCTCTCAATTCTCTTTCTGCTTTGACTCAGCGTCACTTCTAACTGGGAAACTTACAATATCCCTGTGACTCCCCTGCCTTTTTCTAACGTCCTACACCTCTTCTCTTCATATTCAATGGAATGTGACTATGAATGAGATATGATGACACAGAATTTCTGAATAGGCAAAATGTCTTGATGCTTTAAGTGATGATGGGAGAATATTCTCTCATGAGCATATATGAATCTGAACTCTTTTGATTGCAAGTAACAGAAATCAAATTCGAACTAGTTAACAAGATAAAGGAGACATGATTGGCTCCAGGACTCCAAGGAAGAGTTATGATCAAATTGCAGTAAGGGGTACAGGTAGGCCTCAAAAAAAGAATGGTACCAGGACTTCAAGCACTGCACTGCTATGATTCCCTTTCTCCATCATCACCTGATTTTTCTCTGCATCCCAACTTTATCTCCCTTACTGAAGACCAGAGTCCTCTACACGGTGGCAAACACAGGGCATGTGTGGCAGCTCTCAATCCTCACAACAGCCAGCATTTCCATCCTCAGGCCTAGTTTACAAAATCTCAGAGAACATTAGTGGGCCCACTTTGGGTTAGGTGCTCAACTCAGGACCGATTAACTATGATCAATGAATACTACAATTGCATACATTGGGTCATGCACCGCATTCCCTCACCTCCACTGACCAATCAACTGTGGTCAGGGACACACTGTTATGCAAGAACAAGACACATCCTGCTGGAAATATATGGCTAGGCTAGAGAAAAAAAGTATTAAAAGAAGAGAGATGCTCTTCCAGGGAGTGGTATTGGGAGACAGAGGTACTAAACAGAAAAACAATACATGTTCACATATAGGAGATAAAACTGCTTCTAATAAATTATCTGGTGCATGGTAACTATGAAAAAAACTGTCAACTTTCTTAGCATTAAAACTACTTCAAATAAATTATCTGGTGCATGGTAACTGTGAAAAAAATATCAACTTTCTCAGCACTGAGGCTTTATTATTGAGAAACAAGAGTTAAAGCATTAATTAGAACTTATCTATCAAAAAAGCTAACAAATGGGAGAAAGGATGATTATTTATAGTTTCAATAATTATGTAACTTTTGCCCACCACTCCATTAAAACAGTTGCATTTGAATATCCTCAAATGTGACAAAATTTTGTCCTTTGGGCAAACATGTAGTTTCCAAACAGTTACAACTTAATTGGATATATGTATGATAATAAGAAAGGTGATAAAGCTAAATGCTTTGATTTAAAAACAATGTTTAGGGATTGAAAAATAAAATAAATGATTGTAAATAATGAAACAAGTTTCCTCTGTGACTCTAAAAGTAATTCCAAAGAAGGGAATGCAAAAAATCATTTTTGGAGCAACAGAAGTGTTTTTTGTTTTTTTTTTAACATTTATTTATTTATGTATTTATTTTATTTCAATCGTTTTGGGGGTACAGGTGGTTTTTGGTTATACAGGTAAGTTCTTTAGTGGTGAATTCTGAGATTCTGGAGCACCCATCTCCCGTGCAGTGTACACTGCACCCAATATGTAGTCTTTTCTCATTCACCCACCTCCCATGCTTACCCCGAGCCCTCAAAGTCCATTATATCATTCTTACACCTTTGCATCCTCATAGCTCAGCTGCCACTTATAAGTGAGAACATGTAATACTTGGTTTTCCATTCCTGAGTTACTTCACTTAGAATAATGGCCTCCAACTCCATCCGGGCTGCTGCAAATGCCATTATTTCATTTCGCTTTATGGCTGAGTAGCATTCCATGGTGTATACATACCACATTTTCTTTATCCATTCGTTGGTTGATGGGCATTTATGTTGGTTTCATATCTTTGCAATTTTGCAGCAATAAACATGTGTGCAAGTGTCTTTCTGACATAATGACTTCTTTTCCTTTGGGTAGATACCCAGTAGTAAGACTGCTCGATCAAATGGTATATCTACTTTTAGTTCCTTAAGGAATCTCCATACTGTTTTCCATGGTGGTTGTACTAGTTTACATTTCCACCAGCAGTGGAAAAGTGTTCCCTTTTCACCAAATCCAGGCCAACATCTATTATTTTTTTATTTTTAAATTCTGGCCATTCTTGCGGGAGTAAGGTGGTAGTGGTAGGTATCTCATTATGGTTTTAATTTGCATTTCTCTGATAATTAGTACTGTTGAGTATTTTGTATATATTTGTTGGCTGTTTGTATATCTTCTTTTGAGAATTGTCTATTCATGCCATTTGCCCACTTTTTAATGGGATTATGTTTTTTTCTTGCTGATTTGTTTAAGTTCCTTGTAGATTCTGGATATTAGTCCTTTGTCAAATGCATAGTTTGCGAATATTTTCTCCCACTGTGTGAGGTGTCTGTTTTCTCTGCTGATTATTTATTTTGCTGTGCAGAATCGTTTTAGTTTAATTAGGTTCCATTTATTTATTTTTGTTTATGTTGCATTGGTTTGGGATTTCTTAGTCATGAATTCTTTGCCTAAGCCAATGTCTAGAAGAGATTTTCTGATGTTATCTTCCAGAATTTTTATGGTTTCAGGTCTTAAATTTAAGTCTTTGATCTATCTTGAGTAGATCTTTGTATAAGGTGAGAGATGAAGATCCACTTTCATTCTCCTGCATGTGGCTTGCCAGTTTACCTAGCACTATTTATTGAATAGGGTGTCATTTCCCCACTTTATCTTTCATATGCTTTGTAAAAGATCAGTTGGCTATAAGGATTTGGCTTTATTTCTGGGTTCTCTAATCTATTCCATTGGTCTATGCACCTATTTTTATACCAGTACCATGCTGTTTTGGTAACTATAGCCTTATAGTATAATTTGAAGTCAGGTAATGTGATGTCTCCAGCTTTGTTCTTTTTGCTTAGTATTGGACTTAGGGAAAGGAGAGCGTTGATAGAAGACTGATATATTTGTATTATTTATTGTAGTCTTTTCTCTCTTACTCATCTACCATGCTTAACCCCAAGCCCCCAAAGTCCATTATATCATTCTTATATATGTAGCCACCTATAATGAGTTATTTGAAATAAACAGATCACTAAAAGACATGTGTTCATTAGACTTACCCTGTCAGGGTTTGATAAGCTCTTTCTATTTTCTATACAAATAAATAGTTTAGGTTTAGCAAGCTGTACTGTCTCTATCAGGGCTATTCAACACTGCCATTGTTACTTGAAAACGGCCATACGCAATTAGGAAATTAATGGGTATGGCTGTGTTCCAATAAAACTTTATAAGACCAGCATATTCCTCAGGGTTATCTAGAGAAAGGAATCAATGGGATAGATAAATATTAGGTTGGTGCAAAAGTAACTGCAGCTTTTGCCATTACTTTTAATGGCAAAAAAAACCACAATTACTTTTGCACCAACTTTTAATAGCGAGAGAGAGAGAGAGAGAAGAAATGTATTATATGAATTGGCTCATGTGGTTATGAAGGCTGAGAAGTCCCACAATATGCCATCTGCAAGATGAAGGCCCAGGAAAGCCGGTGGTACAATTTGAGTCCAAAGGCCTAAGAACCAGGAAAGCTGGTGTTGTAACTCTCAGTCTAAGACCAAAGACCTGAGAACCAGAGGGGCCACTGGTTGGAGTCCCCAGAGTCCAAAACTTGAGAACTAGATTTCCACAATCTGCCATCTACAAAGTGGAGAAGCAAGATAGTTGGTATGTAATTCAGTCTAAGTCTGAAGGCCTGAGAGGATGCTGATGGTATAAGTCCTGGTCTGAGTCTGATAGCCTGAGAACCAGGAGCACCAGTGTTTCAGGGCAGAAGATAGATGTCCCAGCTCAAGCAAAGAGAGAAACTTCCCCTTTTTCTGTATTTCTGTTCTATTTAGGCCCTCTATGTGCTGAATGATACTGCACACATCGGTAAAGGCTGATTTTCTTTATGCAATCCACTTATTCAACGCTAATCTCTTCTGGAAACACCCTCACAGACACACCCAGAAATAATGCTTCACCAGCTATCTGGGCATCCCTTAGCACCGTGAAATGCACACATAAAATTCATCATCAGGCTGTTGGATTTGGCCTGCTATTGCTCTGTGCTCTATACTAAGCAAATATTTATCACCTCCATTCTTTCACTCTCTTCCTTCATATACCTTACCTACTACATTCATTCTCTTTTAAAGCATAAATGTGATCATGTCACAGTCTCACTTACAAACTTTCACTGATAAATTCTAGTTCTGATCATGACAGAACAGACTGTATCAGATCAACTCTTCTGCAAGAAAATCTATAACACTAGATATACTAAAGAACACAGCTGTTTGAAGTTAATAGACAGGAACCAAAGTAGCCAGGACTGGAAGGGTCCATATCGTAGAGAAAAGGGAAGCACATGGAGGGAAGCTGCACCTGCCCCTTCCATTTCTCACTTCAGTGAATTTTTCCCTTCACAGCATAGCACATAGAGGCCAAACTGAAGAAAGTAGCATAGAGCTTTGGGATTTTTTAGAGGCAAGTCTAAGGTTCCTGAGTCAGTCAAGGCTTAGGGACCAAAATCCCAGAGAAAATGGAACTTTCTGCAAAACAGTCTGTATAGTTTTTGCTCTTGAATTGTTTGCTGAATCCCATGTGGCAAAAGACTGAGAGGCTCAGAAACCAATTTCTGGTTTGAAAGCAGTACCCTATAATGCAAATATTTAGCCAAGAACTAAAAGACATAGCCTTTAACTTAAACATACTTAACCATCTCATTGAAAAGGGCCTAACACTGGCACAAGAAATGGCATTAAAACAACAAGACAAAAGAAATTAATACAGAAATGAAACACAGGCACGGATGAAACAACATCTTCAGGGTTCTTCAGCCTGTGATTAATCGGCATCGTACTTTTAAGCCTCTGTGATTTCTGTTCCATCAAATTCTCTTTGTCATTTCCTAGATGGGTCCAGTTAATTTTAACAAATTGTTGTCTTACAGAAAGTTCAACTTCTTTGCCTATCTCCCCAAAAAAATGCTTTGAGACTAGTCTTATCTTGAAACTCTCCAAAAGTATGACAGTCATTGACGAACTGAGGTAACAAATACTAATATACTATTCACATTTGTGTTTGCAATCTCACACAAGAAAGCATCAAGATGCTTTTTGGCTTTGTAGATATCATAGTCCTTTTAAAACTTTCCATTATTCCCATTTGTTAACTTGATTTAAGCATCTTCTCATACATTGTGTAGAAACAAAACAAACTCATTATATAATATTTTAAACAATATGGAAAATGTTTAAAAATTTTTTAAACTCACTTAGTATCCAGCACTCAGTAATAATTATCCTTAATATCCCTGGAAAAATTAAGATAGATGGATTGATGGATAGTGTGGTAGGCAGAATAATGACCCCCTAAAGACGTCCACACCCCAATTCCTGTTGATATATTACCTTATATGTCAAAAGGGACTTTGGAGAGATGATTAAGATTATGAACATTGAGATGGCAATATTTTTCTGAATTAATCACCTGAGTCCTTAAAAGTAGAGAATAGTTCCAGATTTTTATCAAAGAGATGCAATGTTGGAAGAAGAATTAGACAGATATAATGTGAGGACTTGCCCTGCCTTCTCCGGCTCTGAGGATGAAGAAAGGAGGCCATAAGCCAAGGAAAGCAGGTGGCTTCTAGAAGCTGGGAATGGCCTTTAGTTTATATACAGCAAGAAAATAAGGCCTTCAGTCCTAGAAATGAAAGAAACTGAATTCTATCAACAACTCCAAAGAGAGGAAAACGATTCTCCAAAGAACACATTTCTGCTAACACCTTGATTTTATCCGTGAGATCCATATTAGGCTTCTGACCTATTGAATTGTAGTTTTGGTAATTTGTTATGGCAGCAGTAGAAAACTAATACATATAGAAAAATATATAGATGCAGGGCATTCCGAAAAAGACTCATTGTAAATTATACAATATCATTTATATATCACATTTTAGAATAAAAACTAGTTTATTAAATATTATATGAATTTACTAGAAACTAAAAATTAAAACTGAACTATTCCTTTATAAGAGATTTGCTTCTTTAAAAACCACCTATTTTTAAAGATTATGAAAAAATCTCGAAGTGTTGGAATCACTTAAAAAAAAAACTGTTTCTGATTGAGACAGTATCTATTGACCTTAACATATGAGGAAATTAGCATACTCTCACTTCCTCCCATTCTCCTCTCCATCTCTAAATTTTATTTACTGTATTATTTAATTTACTACATCAGAGTTTATAACATTCATATTTTTTCTCCAAGAGTTTTTGAGTTGTTATTTCTATGATTCAGTGCTCAACACCAATCCTTTTTACGATGGCTTCTTTATTCATGGGTTTTAAAATTTTGATTCATTTTTGGTTGACTGGAAAAAATAGCTATGTAATATTTTTTCACTGAAGGCCCTTGAGTGGTGTGTTCCCTGAGTTCTTGCATATAATGAATGCTTTAAACTTTGAGCTTGAAGGGTAAGATGGTTTGGTATAAAATTCCTTGATTATATTTTATTTCCTTGAGAAGACTGGCAGATATTGCACTGCTGCCCTATGACACTAGATGTTGCTATGAAGAGACTGCAGCTAACCAAGTATTACATTCGTCTATAATTTTATTGTTAAATGTTTCTTCTCCTGATAGAAAAGCATTCTTCCTTTACCTCTGAAGTTCTCTGGAATATATCTTTGTGTGCATAGTTTTAAATGAATCATTTTGTAAGATAGGGTGAACCCTGTTTATCTGTACATCTGGTCTTATTTCAAAAGATTTATCTGCTATTATATATTTTTATATTTTTTCTGTGGCCCTTTTGTAGTTTTCTCTTCATTAACTAGAGTTGTGTTTTCAGTCATGTTGACTAAGTTTTTCTTTTCTAAACAGCTTTCATCTCTACAATATTTTTATTTTTCTCTTCCATTTCTTTCCCGATAACTGCAACCTCTCTTCTCAGCTTCTGCTGTTTTAGGTTGTTTTTTGCCCTTGAAAACTAGCATTTTTTTGAGACTTTTTTTGAACAGAGATCAAGTGGCCTACATTTTCTTAAAACTGAAATTTTTGCCTTTCACTATTTAATTACTGCTGCCCTATATTTTTTCATTTGCCCTCTTATTATGTTTTTTTTTCTGTTTTGTCATGTAGTTTATGTTTGTAGGCCCCATGCTAGTTCCTCTGTGATTATTACCCATCTTAAAATGTAGCTAGCTATTTATGCAAGAATACTGTGAGGAGATGAAAAGCGTTAAGTCAAGGCAGTCAGCAAATTCTATGGGATGTGTGTCTTAAACACTCTCCTAACAAGTCTGCTATTGCCTCGAAAAAATAGCAAAGAGATAAGCAAAAGGAGTTGCTGCCCTTGAGCACATTAAAAAAAAATAGTACCTTTCAATGACATTTTTAAAAATAGGTTGAAATGAAGCCTAAAATGAAAAGACTTTGGGGTTGGTCTTCTCATTGTACAATTGAAATGTCAATGTTCAAACTGTGCTGGCTCATCAAACTGTATCACATCCCTTTTACAGTTGTTTGCACCACCCCTCCTTCACCTGATAGCATCACTTCTTTACTATAGAGGGTTAAAAAATGGAGAATAAGAGGGTTTGTTGACCTGTGTCTCTCAGTACCATCTCCCCACTTCTTTTCTTGGCCCACCCATACTCCTAAATCTCATCTGTAATGCAAAGATCCTTATAAAAGATCATTTCAGTAAAAGGACATTTACTATTAGGGAAATAATAGGTTCTGCTCAGCCTCTTCCTCAACTCTCTTTCAGACTACACATTAGAGCGGTGTGCTTATGTATGCAAGTTTTCAGTTATAGCTGATACTTTGTTTTTTTATATGGAATGTCTTTTTCTAGTTTAAATTTTTATAGTTTTTATTGGTGGGTTTTGAGGGAAAGAAATAGAAAAAAATGCTTTTACTTAGTCATTTTTAACCATCACTCTCAGATAATATTTCTTAAACCAAAAATAAATGAAACCCTTGGTTATAGAATTGGGGTAGAATCTGGACATAGGTAAATAACCTAGATATTAGAATGATAATCATTAAATGACAAAATGGAAAGAAGTCAATGCCCATGGGAATTACCAGAACAAAGAAGTTTTTAAAATGCAGCATATTCAGGTTACAGCATTTTTTTAATCTGAGGAATGATGTGGTGGAAAAAACAATCTTCAAAAACAGTAAATGTAATTTATACTCTTGATTTAGCTTTTTAAACAGCAGATAGATCTCCAGTAATATTCTGAAGGGGTCTTGGACTTGCCGCACAAAAAGCATGAGGGGTTTCAGCTGCAGTTTCAGATCATTTCCATCAAATAGGAGTGTCAGTTGGCCCATCACAGCTTTAAACCTTGTTTATATCATATTTTCAGGCATCTTATTCTAAAATAGATCAATTTCATCTATGTTGAAGATCCATTGAAGCAAATAAACCTTTTCGTGATAATCACAGCAAGGGTAATAGGGAACTTCTTGGCAGTAACATTTCCACCTTCAGCGTGCTGACCACTCACTTTGATGTTGTGCAGATTGGAGTAAGTTCCATCTGGGGCTTGATGAAAGTTTCATCAGTGTTCCACTATGCTTAGCTTTTAGGTTCTCAAATTCTTAACCTTCCATTGAATTTACATTAAGATAATGCACACTCAGAATTTACTTTGATCCTCTAGTCACACACTCAAAAGATTTTCCATCAATCACATTTTTTCATCTGTTAATTATAGTTGAATATATATGTGCTGTACGTTTTTGCATTATGACTGATTCACTCTGTATTTCAGAATTTTCTCACTGTCAAATGATTAATTCACAACGCATTACAATTATTTACATTGCCTCACCCCTTTCCACTTTTTAATTATCTCAATTCTGTTTGCACCATAACCTATAACTCTCCTTACTAGAATTTTTAACATTGCAATTATTGTTATGTTGTGATTAATAATATTCCCCAAACTCCTCAAAACTAAACAAGATCACTGGAAACATGTAGGCCTACACAAATGACAATGACAGAGGATAAGATGCTTTTTGTTGTCAATACCACACCTGATGGTTTAGGAGAATGTGCACTAGTACACAGATGTCTTGGTCAAGGGTTTGTGAAAATATATCTTTTTGAGCCTTGAAAGACACATTTGGTAATTCTGCTAAGTCACTAGCTGATTTAATAATACTGCTTTTCTGGGTCAGTGATCTCAATTAGGAATATGAGCAACTGGTAGGGGAGTGCGGTGGCTCACGCCTGTAATCCCAGCACTTTGGGAGGCCCAGGCAGGTGGATTCACTTGAGGTCAGGAGTTCGAGACCAGCCTGGCCAACATGGTGAAACCGAATCTCTACTAAAAATGCAAAAATTAGCCAGTCGTCATGGTACGTGCCTGTAATCCTAGCTACTGGGGAAGCTGAAGCAGGAGAATCTCTTGAATCCAGGAGGCAGAGGCTGCAGTGAGCTAAGATCACGCCACTGCACTCCAGCCAGGCTGACAAAGCAAGACTCCATCTCAAAAAAGAAAAAAAAAAAAAGAAAGAAAGAAAAGAAAAGAAACATGAGCAACTATTGCTATGTTCCTGAAAAAGTTAGAATATTTGGCTAAAAATGGAGTCTACTGGCATTACAATAGTTTTATTTGTACCTCAGCTTTCACATAAGGAAAATCTTGACCTCTTACTCTAAGGAGACAGATCTTATTTTAATGACTACCTAACTCCTTCCACATGGTAGCATCCTCTCCTTTAAAAGTTTAGAGATGTGCTGCTTAATACTCTTCAAGTTAGGCAGTAGATTGTTACATTTTTATTTCCATCTGCATAAATGTGAAGGTTACTTATGGAGAAGACCTCAGTATCACTGACATTTAGAGAGAAAGCCTACAGTATTCATTCACTTCCCATTCATTAAACGATTAAGCTAGATGATTTAAAACATACTTCCCCATTTCCCCCTTCTTATCCCGGCATCTTACACAAGGCAAAAAAAGACATAGTCAAATATTTTTATGGTAAGAAAGAGGGCATTACTTGGTATTTGTAGCTATCGTGCAATATAATGACATTAAAATCTTCTAATTCTCCGCTTGGGCTCCAAAATGTTGGCCTCGGAATTAATAAGAATCTATTTATTACCAGCATTTATCCACAAGGTCCTTGGAAATCCCACAGTACTAGCTTCTGATAGGTCCATTACAGCTGTGAAAAATGAAAATGCATGTATCATGACGTTATTTATTCCTTCTCAAATACACACTTTTCCAAATGGAATTCTATGGTTTGGTTTTCTTAGAAGGAAAAGAAATGTGACCTATAGTATGATTGCTGTTATTCGGAATATCATTGAAATGCATTTAACTAGGCATCTACTGTTTGGGGAATTTGCAGTGATTGAGTTTCAGTTCATTACTTTCAGGGCTACGGTGCTATTGTCAGGGCCTCAAAATCAGTGAGATAGCCTCAACCCAGGTCAGGGAGGCTACAATAGCACAAAGGCAATTATGCTGCAAGAAAAATGTTGTCCACTAATCAGCTGGCAATCAATTACTAAGAAGAGAAGATAACCTTCTCCCCACTCCAGCTCTTCAGTATCAATAGTGCCATCGTGTAATGACTTTAGGCTTGCGCAGGTGCATGAAAGGACAGACTCTATAGCACACTGCATCGAAGATTAATGAGTTCTGTCAATTTGCCCAGCAGACATCTGATTCTCCAGCTTTCTGTAGCTACTAGTTTTACACTTGCCTCAGGGTTTTTCCCCCTGAAAAAATTAGCTAGTAATTTAAATACATTCAATAAGCGTACATCCTTATGGCAGGAAAAAAACACCCTAATTTTGCAATGAAGTATGAACTGAAAAGACTCTTCATCTGAATATTAACACAGCAAGTGGTTTATAATGGCAGTATTCTTTTAGTCATACTTTATTTTTAGTTGTCGCAATTAGTGATATACAGGATTCAGAGGCTATATAAACCCCTCAAAGTGGAATCATGTAAATCCAACATCCCTGATATTCTCCATTCCCCTGCTGAAAAGGAAACAACTGTGAGAGCTTCAGTAAGTTACGGAACTGTTTTAAAGCCTCCTGCAATACAAATGGTTTGACGAAGGAGACTTTTAGCCCACTGATTTTCTGGGTAAAAGCCATTGAGACCTTCCCCACACCCCCACCTCGAAGGAGAATGCAGCATTGGCCCAGAGGACTTGGTCACCCAGGCCTATACATTTATGTCAGAACAGGAATTGCCTATAAACTGAAATGAATATCAGGAAATTTGCTGTTGCTCTAAATTGATATTTTATAACCCAACTACTGTAAAATCTCATAATCTTTAAATACACGAGGTCAATGTTCTAAATGGCTATTTTATGATGCTCCCTAAAACCTGCGATTTGTTTCTCGTGAGGACCTAAGTCTTCCTAGTTCATGACTCTCCCTCGATTGCTCTTTCAATGAGTGTATGAATAAAAGGAGAAAAGCCTCTGACTCAGAAACATTATTTGTTCCTTTACCTTCCTACCTCCATTCAATGTCACAATCACCCATCCATGAAATCTTTTTCCAGACTACACTGATTGGATATTAGATTTTGCTAATTAATTCTTTGTATTAATGTCTTCTGATGAAATGTTATCAACCGTTTGCAGTAAAAATAAATAAACAAAGACATTTTTAAAAAGGAAAAAAACTCAGCCCCATTATAACTTGATTTTCATATAAATGGATTTAAGCCTACCTAAATGTTATAGTTATGTTGATCATTGATCCATGTTCAATGGCTGATGCTGTTTAAATTATTATTTTTTAGAGTAAGAAACAATAGATTAGGAAATACTTTTGATCTGGAGAAACTATTCCTAAGAAGATACCACTACCTGTGCTTCCTTGAAAAAATGAAAAGTCTCGTGTTCTCAAGCCACTAATCTTCAAAGTTGGAAACATTTTGAAACCCACATCAGTCACAGATTCTTCATCCAAAAGAAATGAGAGACACATAATTGAAGCCATGACCTCATATGAGTCAGCAAGGACTAATGTCACCTCATCTCCACTATAAAAAGATCTTAGCTGCTTGAATTTTGCTCTGCATAGTTTTACCTACGTCAATATCTGTTTATCCATCCAGGATATGAAAATGAGATTATTTTTCCCAAATATCTATTACCTTTGAATGAAGTCTTTGGCAGGCCTTTCATATGGGTCAACTATAAGAGTGTCCTGCTCAGAGCTGAGAGCTGTTCTGCCTGGAGACATAATTCTGGGAGCCTAACCCTGACGCATAAGAACCCAGGCTGCTATTTGGAGTGCTCCTACAGGTATCAAAGACAGAGCTAATCTCAATCACATTTAATCGCAAATTGAAATATATGCTTATGCATGCATATGTAACCAAGTTCTTAAATACCATTTGACTACTAATTTTGGGTCAAAATTAATGGGGTACTTTAGAAACCAGTATCTAAGATCTATTTGGATGTTCTGGCTAAAAAATAGAACTGTGTGAATTGAATGGATATGCAAGGAAATTAGACAATACTATGCACAATATTAGCACTGTCTTCCAAAAAAAATCTAGGTTCATTAGTCTCTTAATATCACTGTTTTGGGATTGGATAGTATTGTCTGATCCTCAGGTATGTACTAATCATTATCATTAGATTAAAAAAAAAGACAACTCTTATAGAGATAAAAAACCTCTGGATCCCTGCAAACTCAGACTATGGAGGGCAGAAGAAAAACTGAATTTAATTTCAAAATATCTTTAAGGAGGAGGGGGCAGAAACTTAAATAAATATAAGCAGAAGAAAAGGTCATAGGAGAACAGAGTGATTTCCTATCTCTGCTCCATACTAGTCCTGGGTGTGTTTTATCTGGATGGTTTTCAGTCATCAGGCAGAGCACTTCTCAGGCAGGGGCTGCCTTTAACTGGAAAGGGCCTACTATGACAGCCAATGCCAGCCTGTCCCTTTGATGCACATCCTGCAGGTGGCTGCATGATTACATATAGAGGTAAGCCTGGTGTCTACTTAAACATAAAGATATTTCCTGTAGACACCAATCTCAGTTTATTGCAGCCAAGAAAGAGATTTAATTAGCCTGCCATGAAATAAAATGGCTGATAGAAACAAACACCTTGTCTCTGTTTCCCACTCTGTGAAACCAATCACCTCTTCGAAAGCATCTATTCAGAACTTACCTAGTACACATGCTAGGATAAATCCCCAAAGCAGGGCACGTTAAAAATGTAGGCCTCAGAACGATTTTTCAGCCTGTCATCCAATACTCAGAAACATCAGAAATATCAGAAACACCGTCATTAAATACTCCAAATATGAAACCATTTAACTGTAAAATAAAATTTTATATTTAAATTCAAAGAAAAGCCTAAAAGCTTTTTCAACTTTTAAAATAATGATAACTAACAGTGTTCATTGAAGTCAGACACTGTTCCAAGTACTTTACATGTGCTAACGCTTTTAGTCTTCCTGACAACTTTATAAAATAGGTACTATTATTGTCCCCTTTTTACAGATGAGGAAACTAAACTGGAGAAAGGTTTAGTCATTTGGACAAGGTCAAACAGCTGATACATAGCAAACCCAGGGAGTTTCTCTTCGGTCTATGCTTTTTTTTTTTTTTTTTTACCACCACATTATGTGTAGAAGTTTTAAATGATCATCCTACAATAAAAGATAAAAACCAAAGAAATAATTTTTAAATTGTATGAAATAATAGACAATAATGAGCATAGCATATAATTGGGCAATATCGTGATAGAGCTATTTAATCAACCTGACATATCAAAACTCTCGACTTGTAAGTCCAAGGCTGAGTCAATTAAATTTCCTGAACTCACTAGAGTTTCTCTTCAGTGTTCATCTTGGATGTCCATTTTTCATGCAAAGAATTTTTGTGGTGAACTTGTGCTGTGCATCCTGGGATTTCAGCCACATGACATACAGCTATTGGACTTTTTCTGGTAAGAGCATATATGAGAATCAGCCTGGACGGAAGATCATCTTTTTCTCAGAGGACCTACTAAGGACTGCAGAAAGTCCTCAACACCCTCCAGTACTCCCACATTGCCTACATGTTCTCCCTCTAATACCCCAAGCTTGGTAGGCTTTGGATGGAGTATTAAGATACACTAGCAACAGTTTAAGCAACTGCCTTGATGTATCATTTTGGTAATAGGCTCAGCTACACATAACAGAAAATTGGATTTATGGTGGGTAAACCAAATAAAAGTTGTCTTTTTTTTTTTCATACAATAAGAGATCACAAAGTTGACCGTCCAGGGCTGGTGTGGCAGTAGCATGATGTCATCGGTGAAACAGCTTTCTTCTCTCTTCACTACATGTTAGGGATGTGGACCCACTCTGCATAGCCTTAGACACTATGATTTGGACACAGACAGGATGAAGGGAGAAGAGCAAGGTGAAAAGAATGTGCCAGCTGAGCCTGGCTGTTATCTAAGGAACTTCCCTGAGACTCCTGCTCTGAGATTTCTGTTTATATCTCATTGTCCAAAACTGCATCACATTGTCATCCTCAGTCGACAAAAAAGTCTGGGAAATGTGTTTTTTAGCTGGGCATTTTGCCACCAGGAAAAATAATTTCAATTATGACAGCAATAAAGAAGAAAAGAATAGAATTAGGTAGTCAACTCTCAGTCTGCCACATTCACATTAGTCATGGATGGAAGAATCCTCACATTGCTGCATCTCACCCCTACTTAACCAATTCCTCAATTTAGAATCTGTCATCTGCAGCTCAGATATGTAAGAATACTTTTGGTTATAAGTAAAAAAAAAATAATTCAAACTAGCTTACATGTAAAAGGAAATTTAATAAGTTTACATAACTTAATCGTATAGGGTATACTGGCATCAGCTACAGCTAAATCCAGGAGCTTAAACAGTCTCACAGAGCCCTTCTCCTCTACCTCCTCCTTCTCCTCTTCTTCCTCTTAGATAAGCTTTCTCTATGTAGTATAGGAAATGGCTTCTGACCATCTTACCCTATAAACTTAGCTTTCCCAGTGGAAAGATGATTTTGTATAGTACTGAGGTTCCAAAGATAAATAAAATAGTATCCTACATTTAAGAAGTTCATAAGTGCGATGGAAAAGCTTTAATTTTCTTGAATGAATCAAGCTATGTGAAATAAAGTATTATACCCCTATTTACTTTAAGTATTTTTTGAAATTTATCTTTCATCCCTAGTTTGTACTAGTATCCATCACTGTTAGATAAATATCCCTTGAACTCTAAAGTCATAAGACTGGGCATCATGTCCCAGAGTGTATTCCAAAAGCAGAAGTTCTAGCATGCTACCTAAATGTACCATACCTAACAAAGTGTCAGAAATCATGCATGCTACATCTTATTCTTACAGACTGTAAACGTTCATTAGCATGTTAAAGATTCCAGTAGGTCCTAAAGTAAGAACATCTGTATAATTTATATAATCCAGCATTTTCCAAATTGTAGCACACAATAGTTTTGTTGTTGTTGTGGTTGTTATCGTTTTACTTGAGTAGAAGAAACTCAGCCCTACAAAACTAGTCCTTGGATTTATAAGGAAATTTTAAAAGGCAGGAAATAAATGAGAATTATAATTCACATTTTATAATACGTCACACATTATCTGCCACAGTAAAGACAAAATTCCATGTTCATGTCATAATATGCATCATAACTACACCAAAGGTAAACAGTGACCAAAGCAATGAAAATAGGAGAGAAAAGTTCACTTTTGTATGTACTGGGAGACTGAGTTATTTCTTTCGGAAGCAGCTCTATCTTCCAACAGGAATCTAAGTGCATTTTGACAGCAGAATGCTGAATGGTTCATGTTGTTTACTCTACTTAATTACACACTGAAGTACCTGGAAATGAAATACGTCTTTTTATGCGCAACATACCTAATGCAGCAGTGTCTAAGTTGAAACTACATGGTGCTCTTTGTGTCTGGCATGTTGTTCAGTGGCTTTCACATTAATAGGCTCCCTGTGTACTTCAAACTGACAATAACCATAAGCCTCAGCAACATCTAAACTCATCTAGTTTCCCTCCATTGGTACACTTTCTGCTTCCCTACATTCACGCCACTGTGTAAGCCATTTCTGCTTTGCCAATGCCCTATTCTGAAGCTGATGCAATGCCCCCCAACTCAAATCCCACTTCCTCTGTGAAGTCATCCCTGACAATAATATTGGTTAATATTTACTGGGCACTTACCATGTGCCATGCTGTAAGTGCTTTGTACACGTAATTCATTTCATCCTCACATATCTTGAAGTCCAATGGGGTCAATTTGATCATTTTTTTCCATCTTATGTGAGTCCTAGCCATCACATCCTGGTCACTTCCTTTTCTAATTGAAAATTAAAGCACTATTTTAGAAAATTTCCATTGACATGTGTGTTTATTGATAGAACAGGAACTGTTCCCATCCCTTGACCATTTGACACAGCACTAGTTGCAGGTGTTTTGTGGCAGACTGTAAATATAAAAGGTTATATAGAGTGTATTGAACTAAGGCTGCCTCTGCCTCTGTTGAGGGATATGTTAGGTTGTTAAAATCAAGTAAATAGAAGCTTACTGGGACACATGGACATTGAACATCATCGTAATCTAACCACACTCTAAGCTGTCCAAAGTCTGAATCAGATGTTTTATATATATAAAGTCTGTTATATAAAAAGAAAGAGGCAGGAATCCATTCACTGAAACTGATATTGTGCCTTTAAAAAGTATTTGATTTGAGCATTTAAAATGCTGTGCTCCACTGCTGGTTTAATTTTTATAAATGTTCTCTCCCTTATAGATCTTCTCAATAGCCACATCAGAGGAGTGTGAAGCAAGAATAAGCTCCTCATTCAGGCACTCAGTACACTCCTGCTTGATTGGAATGGATATTGTACATAATATGTCCCTACAGATGTTTCCTCCAGTGGGGCACATTGAATTTCATTTAAATGCCAAGGCACAAAATCTAAAACAATGTGACTTTAACAAAAAATCTGATGAGGAATTTGATGAGAAAATGGCAAGAATTCCTGTGGCATTTGGGTAACAATTTCAAGCCTTCATTTTAATAGAATAAACAGGATCATATTTCATTCAAATCTGGCAATGAGATGAGCTTTGGGTATTACATTGATATAAACCAATAAAGAATTTGCAAATTTGAAGCACTAATTAACAGACACAATATTAAATGAAAAAAGTTTGCTCCAGGGGCAAATATATTTTGAAGACTCTAAACTTTTATTAAAAGACATTTTTGAATCACTTCTTTTGTAGTTTATGCTTTTGCTGGTTTTTACAAAATATAGGAGTACTGTGACATTTTCAAACTGACACCTATAATATGGCATCTGATATTCCTTTTTTTCCCACCTTTTTGGAGGCAATACATCAGTGTCACAATGTTTTGAAATGTAGAGAAAAATAAGCCAAAAAATGAACCCCAATATCACAGAAGAGTCAAAATAAGTTTCATTTAAAATATTCTGTCAGTGTTTAGAGTTCAATAAACTGCAGATGTTCAAGTTGACCATAGTAGGTACATCCCAGAACAATTATCAAAGCTATTCCCAGGGTATAACAAATTAGGCCAACTACCTCAAGAGTAGGGTGAGTACTCAGAAAGATAGTCAGAAGGGCAGAAGCACATGGTTCTACTACCTTGTACTGGAAGAGACCTCAAGATTTTACTCGTGTAGTCAGGTGATAATTTCACCGCCACCATCAGCATGCCAATGGCATCTACCCACACATCACATGAATGTCTTTGTGCCTTGCTGTATCCTAGATGTCTCTGGGGTGCTAATATGAGCCTAATTTCCCCTGGAAAAATATGTGAAGGGAGGTAAAGGGATGGGTGTAAGGAGACAACGGTGGATTTAACTTGGGTCTTGCAAGCAGATAATACTTCTTAAATGAATGATCTATTAATTTTTAATTCTATATGAATAAAGTTATTTCATGATAGTTCTAGAGGAAGAACTCTCTGAAGCCTTTGCTTACTGGTCACAAGTGCACTACAGAAAGAGAATTTTCTCTACCTAATTGCAATGCTGCACAGTTGCTTTCTTGAGACTACAATATCTAAGACATATGTATCTAAAGACTCATACTTCAGAAAATGGGAATGTCAGCCAGAATGTTAAAGAATCAAATATACGAGACAAACCTTCACCTGAGATGATGTGATCTGGCTGTGTGTGTGTGTGTGTGTGTGTGTGTGTGTGTGTGTCTTTTGCTGTGTATATTTTTAAGTAGTTATTTTATCCTAAACATGTATTCAGCAGAAGTCAGCTGGTGTTAATATTACCTGCACCAATAATTCTGCAATCTGTGCCTCACTTACAGGTTTTCACAGAGACTTAATTTGTTTGCATTATGTCTAAATACATTTTCCTTCTAAGGAAGGAAAAGGAAGGAGGATTGAGATAGTACAAGGAGGTTTGTATACACTTTATTGTCACAACTACCCCATGAGCAAGATATTACCGCATCTATATCACAAATGAGGAATTTAAGACCCAGAAAGGTTAAGCAACTGGCCTAAGATCACACAACCAACAAATGAAGGAGCCAGCATTTCAAATCAACCCAAGCTTTTTCCCACTATACCAGAGCACTGGTAAAATTGGTTGAAAAGTGAAAGATTTAATCCAATTAGTTAAACCATCAAAAAACTAACTTAAGTCATTTTCACTCAGAAGAAATGTAAGAATGTCTGTGTTTCACAAAAATTGTGAGCCAGCTTTTCAGCAGAAAGCTTAGGAACAAATTTGTACTTGCCCACCCACCCTCTTTGATGCATCATGTTATCAATTAGAACCTTATTCCTAGCTCCATTTCACCTGACCTTTTTTACTATTTTGCCAATTTGTCATATTTTACATACTGTTAGCCATAAGAAACGCTTTCTGGAATAAACATGCTATAAATAAATAAGCAACTAAATACTTTTCTTCTAATGCATTAATCAGTCATTGGGTGGAACTTAAATGGCCGGCCAGTGTTTTGAGTACCATGTTCCCTCCTCCCCCTCAGTTTTTAATTTAAGGGATATTTCATTGGCAGGTCTACATTGTTCTTAACATAAACAAATGAGACTACCCTTTTAAAGGCCAGAATGGAATTCTGCCAGTTGCTGAGTATGTCTATCCCATTATGAATTCCAGAACTGGGGAAATAATCACAGGATGAGTTCGTGAACACACTGGACCCACTGTGAAACAGACCTCAGCTAAAATTCCATTAATCACCTGACCTACATAACCTTCTACTCTAACTGGTAAACTGCAGTGACGTTTGGGGTCTCCTGAAATTAGTGTTGGTTCACAGCCAAAGCCCAGCAGTCACCCAAAACCATGATTATTTCCTTTTTCTCAATTTGCAGTAACCCTGGTAAAAGGACATAGGTCCTCTTGGGGAAGACTAAAAGAAAGGCCAACAGTCTAAATTTTGGGCAGTGTATCCGTGTTCTTCCTCACAGGAATGTGGCCTCCCCCTCATTCAAAGGGTTCTGTTTCTGTAAACTGGCTCAAGTCTGGGAACTGATTGAGGGACTGTGACTCTATGTTTTGATTATTTTGGTTTGATTTCTGTTCACTTGACCTTGAACTCTCCCACTTATACAAGTCAAGTAAGAATTCGGTAGACTGCCACCTATGTCACTGCTAGGGACAACATGATCAACTGGCCAACACCACATACAATTTTCTGCAAGTCAGACTCTTCTGATTACTGCTTTGACTCCAGTGTCCATTATGGTAACCACACCCATTTTGCCTTTGGTTATTAAGTGCCACCACATGGCCCGTGCCACTCTGGGATCCAATGATCCCCATTGCATTTATGTTTCCAATTCAGTGGCAGCAGCTCCCACTATAATTTCTGATTTAAAGAGAAGAGTGACCACAGACTCTCCAAGGGTGCTGGGGCTCCCTTCACACATTTATTTCTCACAGTGGTATGAAAGATATGTCTTCTGGACCCTCCCAGGATAGGTAAGCAGAACTGATGTGATAAATCCCCCTCTAACAGGCCAGAGTGGTACAAGGAAATGTGTGAGTATACAGACCAGACAGCATGGGACAGAGGATGGCATTTTAAAATTAAAACAAACAGAACTCACGGGTAAAGTTTTTAACAATAAAGTGCTTTAATCCTCACTGTACTAATTCTATCAAATCACAGTCACAAACCACAAAACATAAGAACTCAGCTTTTCCTTTTGATAGAATATAGTCTTTCCAAGTTTGGGACATCTCAGTGCCCTTCACACTAATTCTCCCTATCTTCCACAGAGAGTGACACAAGTCCCCCACCACCACCATTTTTTAGCAAGAGTTAAGCACATACAAATATAAATGAGCTACAGCTCACAGATGAAGGGCTTGATTGTCTTTTTAGACACTGGCATGAATCAAAGTGAAAAGGAGAGGAAAGTGTTAAAGTCCAGCATTGATACTATCAACAAATCTTGAAGAAAATGGAATTCTATATTTAAAATGTCATGAACTATGAAATTAATTGAACCAGAATACAAAAATACAAAAAAAACTATAAAATGTTTACCCAAATACCCATTCTAATAGTTTAGCCTTGCTACTTCAGTATACAGAGTAATACAGAGCTGTTTTTTAAAAAATTCAACTTGCAAACCTTCAAATAAAAAAATCATCTGGGAAAATGATTTGCATATTCTACAATTTAAGTGCTAAGACTGCAATGGCTTTGCCTCCTAGGCTACTGCATTTGAAATATAAACATATTTCAACTTAACTTAGTGAATACTGTTTACATCTGCATTCTGATAACATATAAGGCTATTTTCCTTGGAATTTTTTTAAAACATTTGGCTTTACATAATGAAAAAAGGAAACCAAAGAGGTTTTTTTTTCCTTCACTTATAGATAGACTTTAGGTTTATGAATATTAGTGTCTAAGAGTCACTCTATATCACTGAAGAACTAATAGACAAAGGTCAAATTTTGAATATTAAACATTATTTTTTAAATTCCAATTGATATCTACCAATGCATATACCACATTTATTTTAATTACGTATTTATGTTCTGTAATTATGTATTGATGATCCACTAGACCAGTGGTCCCCAAACTTTTTGGCACCAGGGACCTGTTTGGTGGAAGACAATTTTTCCATGGACTTGGACTGGGGGTGAGCAGGCATTAGATTCTCATATGGAGTGCACAACACAGATCCCCCACATGCACGGTTCACAATAGGGTTTGCACTCCTATGAGAATCTAACGCAGCCTCTGATCTGACAGGAGGCAGACCTCAGGCAGTAATGCGAGCAATGGGGAGCAGCTGTAAATACAGATGAAGCTTCATTGGCTTGCCCACTGCTCACCTCCTGCTGTGCAGCCTGGTTCCTAACAAGCCAGGGACCAGTAGCAGTCCATGGCCCAGGGGTTGAGGACCCCTGCACTAGACTGTAAGTTTTTTGAAGGCAGAGATTCTGTCTTACTCAGTTTCTCACATCCCAATGATTAGCACCATCCCTAGTATGAATCTCTACAGCTGGACTGTTTTCCAGCTCAGGACCTCCATGTGAACATTTTTCTTCAGTTCTTACAGTGGGATGGAATGCAATTCAGTGAATTAGAATTTACATTAAAAAACTGGCCACAGTGCAGTCTAGCTAGCAAGCTGGCTGCTCCCTTCTCTGAAACTGCAACCACTGTTAGTATGATGAAAATAATACTTTGTAGTAATCAAATCCTAGAAAATCTCCATTTCCATTTAATATAGAGGCCAGTGCAGTAGTCTGGGAGCACTTCTGGAAATACTGCTACTGCCTCTGAGACCTAAACAGTCAACGCCATCCCCAGCTTCTTACCTTTTTTAAAAAATCCTAGTGCACAAAATTTAGTTATACACTTTAGTTTATGGCACACTATCATCATCTGTCTGTACAAAAAGCCTCTCATTTTATTTCCTTTTCACCCACTATATATATATATATATCACCCATATTAGATATATATGTCCCTAGATACACAAATTTCCTTGAAAAGTAGTGTTGCTTAGTGTAAATAAATTTAAAACAGGTTTATTATACATTAACATCAAGTTATTGTACTAATAATCACATGTTGTTTCTTAATATGTTCACTAAAATTTTTTTTAGTTCTGTTCATTTTGCTGGATATATTTCTGGCTTCTGCATTCCATCATATGTATATACCACAATTTACTTTCCACATTTTTAATACATCCTAATCTTTACTACCTCAAATAATCCTGAAATGAACATATATTTCCACTTGTAGGTTTTTTGTACATGCCTCGTTACACAGAATACTTCCAGATTTCCCTTCAAGATGGCTGCACTAGTTTATATTTCCATCAGCAGTTCATAAAAGTTCTCATTTCTCCACATCCTTGCCAACACTTGATATTATAAACTTTTTAACCCTTGCCAGTTTGATAGATATAAAATGATATATCACGGTTACAGGCTGAACATCATTTCATATAATTAATTGGCTTTTTAAAAATTTCTCCTTCTTGGAAGTGTTGATAATATACTTTATTTTTTCCTTTTGGATCCTATGTTTGTGATAGTCAATTTGTAGGAGTTTATTACATAATCTAGATTTCTCTTTTAGTTTTAGATATTATAAGAACTTTTCTCAATCTGTAATATGCCTTTAATTCAGCTATGGTATTCTTAATTAACAAAAAGATCTTTAGTTTTGATTTTTTCAAACCCATAAGATTTTCCCCTTTGATTTGTCACAGCTTACCACAAAACCATAGACAAAAATGGAACCAAGAGATCAATGGAAAATATGTGCTTGTCTCTCTCTGCACTGGTTCCATTTTTGGCAAATGGTTCCATGGTTTTGTGATATGCTTTCCAATCTGTTAGGGCATACTCCCTGAATTAGTAAGAGTTCTACAGAGAAACAGACCCAATAAGATGTATAGAGATATACATAAAGGGAGATTTACCCTACGAATTGGCCCATGCAGTTATAAAGGCCAAGGAGTCCTACAACATGCCAACTGCAAGATGGAGACACAGGAAAGCTGCTGGTTTAATTAAGTTTGAGTACAAAGGCCTAAGAACCAGGAAAGCTGATGATGTAACTCTCAACTGAAAACAAAGGACCTGAGAATCAAAGGGGGCAATGGTGTGAGTCTCCAGAGTCTCAAGGCCAAGAGATTCTTTGTGCAAGAGCAGAAGATAAATGTCCCACCTCAAGGAGAGGGTCAGTTTGCCCTTCTTCTACTCTTGTTCTATTCAGACTTTCAATGGATTGGGTAATGCCTGCCCACATTGGTGAGGGTGGACCTTCTTTACTCATTCTACCAATTCAAATGGTAATGTCTTCCAGAAACACCCTCATAGACACACCCCAAAATAATGGTTTACCAGCTATCTGGGCATCCCTTAGCTTACTGAAGTTGACACATAAAATTAACCATCATACCCTCCCCAACTTTTCTCTTAGTTTTTAAAATTGTTTAGTTAACTTATTTTTGCCCATATTAATTGTGACTTGTGTCTTATTTTCTAGTTAGAGGTTGCTACACTAAAGGGATGCTACTGATTTTTGTTGCAATGATTGCTGGCATTCTAGTCTTCCTCCCATTCTCAAAACAAAAATGTTTAATATTTTTCCGAGGAACATGACACTTGCTGTATTTTTTCAGTGGATAGACTTTATTAATTTAACAAGTTTTCTTCTATTCTTATTTTTGATAGATTTATTCAGTAAGTATTGAGAACTTCCTGTGTAATACTCACTGTTCTAGGACCTGCAGACACAATAGTGAACAAAACAGACATAAATCTTTGCACTCAAAGATCTTATGGTAAGAGAAACAAACAAACAAACAAATATAATTAAGTCACATAGTAAAATATATTAGATGCTAAAGTAGCACAGTTTCTGGGCCCTTCCCACAAGTCCAATCCCACTTAAAAAAATCACAATATTGAAAAAACCACTATGGCATTGCTGGGAAAGGGAATATTATGTTGAACTTGTTCATGTGGAATAGCAGCATTCGCCTGAGGCAGGATGCCACTGGGTAGGACTATAGAATAAGAAGATAAAAGAGAGAAAACTCTCCTGGGGTTCTGTTCTTGCTTTCCCTCCCATTTTGCTTCTGCCTATCCTCCTTGTTCCCATATGTGCATGACTCAGACTTCTGGTCCAGGTATTCTCAGAGGTTAAGTCAGAGCCAGATAAAAGTCTTGTGCTTGTGAGCCACTGTAAGAAACAGGTGAGAACCTCAAACAAGTGGCTTCTCACTCTTACCCCTCTAAACCCTCAAGGCTGGTAAATTATAATCTATGCATGTCTCTTACTGAAGCTGCTTCTCCCCGGAGTGCAAGGTGTGAAGATCTGATCTAAGGAATTGCTTAGTAGGCTATAGTTTTCTGGTGTCTGGTCTCTTCACCCTACATCACACACACACACACACACACACACACACAAAGACACACACTCATACACACACACACATTGACATCTTTGGGGCTGATCTTAACAAGGGCCTGGCCTTTCTCTATTGGCATTATCTAACAGCATAGCTGGTACTTCCAGATGAAAATTACTGGCAGGCCCAGATAACAAGACAATTAAGGAGCACAGCTATTTCAATGTACCACAACACAGATACAAAGAGAAGGAGAAATATTAGAATAGACAGACCAAGATTTTGAAATTGAAAAAAATTTTAAAATACATAAAGGAAGGTATTAGTAGCACAGAGCAAAAACATTTAAAAGTGGCAAGAAGGGAAGAGCTGACAATTTCAAATAGAGTGTCCAGGAATGGATTCACTAGAAAGGTAACATTTCTCCTTCAAAAGACTCCTAGATTTAGGACTCCTAGATTCGAGTTACAAAATCAAGATACACAAATCAATAGCACTGCTATACACCAACACCAACCAAGTAGAGAATCAAATCAAGAACCTTTTCAAAATAGCTGCAAATAAAATCAAATACCTAGAAATATATCTAAACAAGGAAGTGAAAAATCTTTACAAGGTGAACTACATAACACTGCTGAAAGAAATCACAGATGACAAAAACGGAAACACATCCCATGCTCATGGATTGGCAGAATCAATATTGTGAAGATGGCCATACTGCCCAAAGCAATCTATAATTCAATACAATTCCTATCAAAATACCAATATCATTTTTCACAGAATTAGAAAATACAAACCTAAAATTAACATAGACCCAAAACACAACCCAAATAACCAAAGCGATCCTAAGCAAAAAGATCAAATCTGGAGGCATCACTTTACCTGACTTCAAAATTATACTACAAGGCTATAGCAACCTAAACAGCATGGTACTGGTATAAAAGTAGATACACAGACCAATGGAACAGAATAGAAAACGCAGAAATAAGGCCAAATACAACCAACTGATCTTCAATAAAGCATACAAAAACCTAAAATTGGAGAAGGAACACTTTATTCAATAAACGGTTCTGGGTAAACTGGTCAGCCACATGTAGAAGAATGAAACTGAATCCCTATTTCTCACCACATACTAAAATCAACTTAAGATAGATTGAAGACTTAAATATAAGACCTGAAACATAAACATTCCGGAAGAAAATGTAGGAAAAACTCTCCTGGACATTGGCCTAGGCAAAGAGTTTATAACAAAGACCCCAAAAGCAAATGCAACAACAACAACAAAAACAAATAAATGGGACCTAGTTAAACTAAAAAACTCTGCACAGCAAAAGAAATAATGATCAGAGTAAACAGACAACCCACAGAATGGGGGAAAATATTTACACACTATGCATCTGACAAAGGATTAATGTCCAGAATCTACAAGGAACTCAAACAAATCAGCAAGAAATAAAACAAATAATCCAATTAAAAAGTGGGCAAATGACATGAATAGACATTTCTCAAAAAAAGATATACAAATGGCCAACAAACATGAAAAAAATGTTCAATATCACCAGGGAATCATCAGGGAAATGCAAATTAAAACTGCAATGCGATATCACTTTACCCCAACCAGAGTCGCCATTATTAAAAAGTCAAAAAACAATAATGTTGGTGTGGATGTGTTGAAAAAAGAACACCTACTTATACACTATTGGTAGGAATCTAACTTAGTACAACCTCTATGGAAAACAGCATGGAGATTTCTTAAAGAACAAAAAGTAGATCTATCATTTGATCCAGCAATCCCACTACTCAAAGGAAAAGAAGTTATTATGTCGAAAAGACACCTGCACACATGTTTACTGCAGCAAAATTCACAATTGTAAAGATATGGAACCAACCTAAGTGCCCATCAACTGATGACTGCATAAAGAAAATATGGTATACGTATACCATGAAATACTACTCAGCCATAAACAAGAACAATGTAATGTTTTGCAGCAACTTGGATAGAACTGGAAGCCATTATTCTAAGTGGAGTAACTCAGGAATGAGAAACCAAATACCATATGTTCTCACTTATAAGTGGGAGCTAAGTGGGTACACCAAGGCATACAGAGCAGTATAATGGACATTGGAGATTCAGAAGGGGGCAGCGTGGAAGGGGGGTAAGAGATTAAAAACTACAGATTGGGTACAATGTATACTACTTGGGTGATGGATGCACTAAAATCTCAGACTTCAACCACTATACAATTCATTTAAGTAACCAAAAACCCACTTGTACCCGTAAAGCTAGTGAAATAAAAATGTTAAAAAGACCAGAATAAATGGAGGAAGTTTGCTGCGTGGATATCTGGTCAGAGAGCAAAGCAATCCATGCTGGTGAAAGTCAAGTGCTGAGTGGGAGGAAGACAGGGGAGAAAGTGGTAGAACATGAGGCCCATGAAGCAAGAAGGCAGACCACAGGGGTCTTAGAAGGCCATCGTCCGAACTTGGTTTTATTTTTCTTTAATTTTTTAAATTTTCACTTTTTTTAAAACATAGTAGCTATATATATTTATGGGGTACATGAGATATCTTGATGCTGGCAAACAGTGAATAATAATCCCATCTGGCTAAATTGAGTACCCATCCCCACAGCAAGTATTCGTCATTTTTTTTGTGTTACAAACATTCCAATTGTACTTGCTTTTATTCTCAGGGAGTAAAGAAAGCCATTGGAGTGTTTTGAGCCAAGGAGTAGCATGATCTAACTTATGTTTTAACAGGATGATTCTGTTAAAAATAGAATGTAAAGGAGGTTGATAATGGAAAGTTGATAACAGAAAGACTGTCTAACAGACTACTCCAGGTGAAACGAGGGCAACTCGGGTTGCAGTGGTCACAGTAGAGGCGTTCACAAATGGTCAGATTCTGGATGGAATGGAGGAAAAGACTGGCCATTTACTGAGTTAGGGAACACTAAGAAAGAATCAGGTTTTGGACAAAATACCAGGAACTCATTTCTGGATATGTTAATTCTGAGAATGCTTATAAAACATCCAAATGTAGATGTCAATTATACAGATGGATATAGAAATTTTGTAGTTCAGATGGAACATCTCAGTTAGATATAAACGTTTTGGAAGTGATATGATATTAAAGAACTTAAAAGTTCCTTAATGCGATGAATTAAATGGATAGATTTTTTGAATTTAAACAATCATTTTATTCCTGGGATTAAAAACTACTTGGTCATGACATATTAGTTTTAATATAATGTAATATTCAGTTAGCTAATATTTTATATGGGATATTTGTATCTCTGTCCATGAATGATCTTGGCCTATTAGTCTCTTTCCTTGATCTCTCTTTATCAAGTGTTGGTAACGAGATTTTAGTTACTGCATAAAATGAATCTGGTAGCTTTTCCTCTTTTGCTATATTCTAGAGCAACTTGTATAAGATAGAGTCCAGGCTGTTATGGGCCAAAAAAAGAACTTGGGTTTTATTCTAAATATCTTGTGAAGGCACTGAAGGGTTTTGATTAAAATAATGACAAAATTCAATTTGACTGATGAGATTAATTTGACTATGAGGTGGAGAATAAATTAGAGGGAGCTATTGCAATAATCCAGGTGAGAGATGATGATGCCTTAGACCAGAATGATAGTAGAGATGATGGAAGAAAGTAGATAGATTCACAATATAATTTGGAGAATATGATTGGTGACTGTGTATGTACATTTGAGTTTTTAAAAGAAGAAGTAGGACTGGGCGCAGTGGCTCACGCCTGTAATCCCAGCACTTTGGGAGGCCAAGGTGGGTGGATGACGAGGTCAGGAGTTTGAGACCAGCCTGACCAACATGGTGAAACCCCCTCTCTACTAAAAATACAAAAATTAGCTGAGCATGGAGGCATATGCCTGTAATCCCAGCTACTCGGGAGGCTGAGGCAGGATAATTGCTTGAACCCAGGAGGTGGAGGTTGCAGTGAGCTGAGATCACACCATTGCACTCCAGCCTGGGCAACAGGGTGAGACTCTGTCTCAAAAAAAAAAAAAAAAGAAGAAGAAGAAGTGGCAACTATTGGACTTCTTAAAATCCAAGATAATCACGTGAGAGCACAACAACAGCTGCAGCAGACACATGACATCTTTATCTACCCCTACTGCAACTATAAATTAAATGTACCAATGATATTAAAATTGACATTAACTTAAGTAGGATTGATCACAAATCTCCCAATAATATAGTGTGAGAAGATATGTTTAGGTGCATTTTACGTTATCGCCAAGTGTACATAACAATTTCAAAAAATTCTTGATTGGAATTTTTAAATTAAAAAAATTCTGTTTATTTTTGTCAAGCAGGAAGATCCAGCTATCAATCCCAGATAAGGATTCCCAACCTTTTGAGGATGGCAAAGAGTATAACAATGCCAACCACCAGAAGTAGGAGCCCACAGAACTCAGGCCCACTGCATCACCCACGGGCACAGAGTTACCAAGAAGAACACACAGGCACTGGTTAAAACAAAGCTTTGCTCATGCAAGGAAGAAAGAACATAGCAAGATCAGCATCTATGGGGTGCACTGGTCTACCATGACTAACAGACCCCTCCCAAGGGGGATGTACTGCACACCACCCATCTAATCATGCTGGTGAAGACCTCTTTTTTTTTCCTGGGGCAGAAAAAGGGGTGAGGCAGATATAAGTGCCATATGACACACACACTTATGCACTGCAAAAAATTTCGCTGTGTAACCAGAACATGGAAAGATTTTCTCCCAGTAAGGAAGAAGAGTCTGGAACCAAGCAGCAGCACCACCCCAGCCTCTACATAAGAGGGTATGTTCCAGGCCCAGATAACTGATTGGGCAATCCTGGGGTGGGGCAACAGGTGGCACAATGGCTTATTTCTCATCAATTTTTATAGCAAGTCCCTATTTATTCTAACTTTTCCATTCTCAAGTAGTTTTTTACATGCACATTACAAGGACTACTGATAGGAAATCACAAAACATCACTGAGAAAATGCTATCCTAGTGTGTTGTGTGCTGAATTCAAATTTTCTACCCATCCTTCTTCTCCAACACATGTCATATTGATTAAGAAAAAATACTGATTTTGAAAATAGTAAAAAATAATTGCTATACTGCTTTGTAAAGCATCACAAACAAACCTATCACAGATAGTCAAAGGTAGAAAATGCTCATAAAACCTCACTGAAAACAAATATATCTATAAAAAAAGTTTTTCAACCTTTCAAAAGCAGTAGGTGGGTTATGGAATTCCACCATCTCAAGTAATTTCAGACTCTGTTTGGAGATGAAATTGCTTAAATTTTTACCACTATTGCACATACCCGTAACACATATTTGAACCAGAGCAGACTTTGTATCTGATAAAAGCTTCTCTCAAACTTAAGAGCTTATTGTCACTCATCTTCAGAGGACTATTATTCACTTTTATGAGTTTACATATGCATGTCATATCTTATTTAATAGGCTTTATCAATTTAAGACAATCAACAAAACTTGAATCAAAATGCAGACAAGCCAAAAAGTCTAATATACTACCAGAGACATCATCCATGAAAATGGATTGAAAAGGTCAAAAGGAATTTACTGCAGGCTTTCTTTAAGCACTATGTTTGTTGAGAAAAGCAGTCTATGTATTCATGAGAAAGAATAAGAGGTCTAATTTCCAAGTATATAAAACTAACATAATTCAACTATATGGTTTCTGAAAACATACTGAGAAAAACAGGACCTAGACTTATAAAAGGCAAGATACACTGCTCCTAAAATATAAAAGTCATGCTATCAGAATATGTAACGCAATCAGGCACTGTAATCTCCTGTTTACTGCTATAATTTGGGGGGAAAACAATGTTACTAAGATGACATTTATTTTTCAATTACACTCTTCCCACATTTGAGGCTATTTATGTTTCTCTCACTTTAATGTGGCTGTTTAGGGCAGAGAATCTGATATACTGGAAATAAGATGGATCCCAAAGTTGGAAGACTTGAGTTTGATTCCCAAATCTGACACTTGTTATATTCTAAAATTTAGGCAAGTCACTGAGTCTGTTTTCTTCTCTGTTAATGGGGTAGCCATTATACCTGCTTTCCAAGATTTTAAATGAGAAGAGGTCTGAGAAATGAATGTGCAAACTTTAGAATGCTCTACAAATATTATTATTATTGCATATTATTGAATCCCCCAGCATGAAACACGTTACTCTGAATATTAATAGTATTCAACACTTGCTTATTGAGCGCAACACACTCAATTGAAATGGTGAATTAATCTTATACGGTCAGAATTAGGAAGCTTACTCTTCATGAGACACATTTCAGAAGGTGAGAAAACTCAAATTGTGAAGCAAGCTTAGTTTTCCTTAAGATGTACAGTATGTTTAATGGCCTCGAACTGTCCCTCTGGCATCCAAAAGCTTATTACTTCCCTGATTTAACCCAAACCTCTCTTTTATCCTCATTATCTACTTCTCAATAATCTTTTTCCCTAAAATGTGAACTGTCGGCTAGCCAACCGGGTACACTAAGCTTTGTAAATAGGGAAGAAAGGAGTCATGGATCAATGACACCTCCCTTCCTGCAATTTTCTCAACATTTACCTTTGTGTGTTCATCAATTAATTTCTCATAAATCCTGAGGCCCACCCTGATTGATATTAAAAGCCTGCTTTACGAACAACATTTAAAATATATATTCAGTTATTATATTTAATGAATATTGCTGTAGCCTTCTAAGTTTCCATAATTGTTATGAAAATTCAAGGTTCTACCTGGCCAAATTTGGCCAGTATACTACTAGTACACTGACGACCAGTGTAACTTTTATGCTCCGTTTCTTTTTGTCTGTTTTGTTTTTGTTTTTTGAGACAGAGTTTCGCTCTTGTTGCCCAGGCTGGAGTGCAATGGCGCGATCTCGGCCCACTGCAACCCCTGCCTCCCGGGTTCAACTGATTCTCCTGCCTCAGCCTCCCGAGTAGCTTGGATTACAGGCATGCGCCACCACGCCTGGCTAATTTTGTATTTTTAGTAGAGACAGGGTTTCTCTATGTTGGTCAGGCTGGTCTTGAACTCCTTACCTCAGGTGATCTGCCCACCTTGGCCTCCCAAAGTGCTGGGATTATAGGTGTGAACCACCGCGCCCAGCCGCTCTGTTTCTTTTTTAATTATAAGTTTTGATTTTAAGTCATTCCTTTACTGTTATAGCTGAGCATAAGCTGCTAAAAGTAACCATGCCAGTTCTTGAGTGCTTTGCTACTTAGAAACTTCTTCTGCCAGATATTCTTAAGTCATAACTCTATGTTTGGCCTTCCATAAAGCCCCAGGGTATGAACACAGGTCTGCCAAGCTCTTTGCTACTTTACAGCAAGGGTGAGCTTTGCTCCAGTGTACAAATAAATACTCCTCATTTCCATCTGAAGCTCATCAGATTGGCCTTTATTGTCCATACTTCTATCTGCATTTTGGTCATGACAACCAAACTTTCCCTTGTCTTTCTGTCTTCTTCTGAGCCTTCACCAGAATCGCCCTTACTGCTTCATTCACTGTCACTGCAGTAGTCTCTTTCTAGCCTCGTCCTCCAAACTCTTCCAACCTCTGTCCATATCCCAGTTTCAAGGCCTCTTCCACATTTTCAGATATCTGTATAGCAAGAGCCCCATTCCTCGGTACCAATTTTTTGTCTTCGTCCATTTAGTGTTGCTATTAAATAACAGAATACCTAAGGGTGGGTAATTTATAAAGAAAAGAGGATTAATTAGCTTATGGTTCTTCAGGCTGGGAAATTCAAGGGCATGGCTGAGCTTCCAGCCAGGGCTTTCATGCTGAATCATAAGATGGTGGGGAAAATCAAAGGGCAAGCAGACATGTGCAAAGAGGCAAAATCTGAGGGACATCCTGGCTTTGTAACAACTCACTCTGATCAGATCTAATCCATTCCCTTGAGAACTAATTCAGCCTCACCAGAGTGAGAACTCACTGACTACCGTGAGAACAGCACTAAGCCATTCGTGAGGGATTCCATTAGGTCTCACCTCCCAGCAGCACCACACTGGGGATAAAGTTTCAACATAGGTTTTGGTGGAGACAAACTCAAACCACAGATACCCACACATGCACACACAACCACATTTATAACCACCACTGTGAATAATGCTCCTTACAATTTATGCGGTGCACACCCTGCAAAGCCACATATGGTAATCACCTCTTCCTCATAAGTAAATAAGACTTACCTTGCCATTTAAGGCATTTACGATAATTTCAATAAATAGCTATGATCATTATTATTCATATTATCTATAGTAATGCCTAGCCTATATGTCCTTGATACAAAAAGCTTATAACTGATATTGCCATTCCCAGACAATAATATAACATCACTACAATAAAGTTCTACTGTACCATTATTTCGCACTTTGTAAATGAGAAAAGCAAACAACAGGAGCATAAATGGTTTTCTAAGTACTTTTCAATATTTTGGAATCTGGTAAAATTTCTAGTCAGTTAAAAATGTTTGCACTGGCCAATATATGTCTACCAATGCCACCCAAAATTTTTCTTTATTTTTTTGAGACAGAGTTTCCCTCTGTCACCCAGGCTGGAGTGCAGTGGTGTGATCTCAGCTCACTGCAACCTCTGCCTCTCAGGTTCAAGCGTTTCTCCTTCTTCAGCTTCCTGAGTAGCTGGAATTACAGGCACCTGCCAACCACACCCAGCTGATTTTTGTATTTTTAGTAGAGACGGGGTTTCACCATGTTGGCCAGGCTGGTCTTGAACTCCTGATCTCAAGTTATCCTCCCATCTCAGCCACCCAAAGTGCTGGGATTACAACATAAGCCACTGCGCCCGGCCTCATATTTCCTACATTAATGAAAAACCAGCATATGGCTACAGCAAAGTCTACTTGTGGTTCAAATCTGGACTTAGATTTCCAGGAAAAGCAAGCACGAAAGAAATATTGAGGTGTAATAAAATATATTTAAATTACATTAGGTTCTTCTGTTGAACTGAAATTAAAACTTCCTAAAACTGCTGAAAGAAATCATAGATGACACAAACAAATGGAAACACATACCATGCTCATGGATGGGTAGATTCAATATTGTGAAAATGACCATACTGCCAAAAGCAATCTACAGATTAAACACAATCCCCATTAAAATACCACCATCATTCTTCACAAAATTAGAAAAAGCAAATTCACATGACACCAAAAAAGAACCCGCATAGCCAAAGCAAGACTAAGCAAAAAGAACAAATCTGGAGGCATCACACTACCTGATTTCAAACTATACTATAAGGCCATAGTCATAAAAACAGCATTGTATTGGCATAGAAATAGGCACATAGACCAATGGAACAGAATAGAGAACCCAGAAATAAACCCAAATACAGCCAACTGATCTTTGACAAAGCAAACAAAAACATAAAGTAGGGAAAGGACACCCTATTCAACAAATGGTGCTGGGATAATTGGCTAGCCACATGTACAGGAATGAAACTAGATCCTCATCTCTCACCTTATACAAAAATCAACTCAAGATGATTAAAGACTTAAACCTAAGACCTGAAACTATAAAAGTTCTAGAAGATAACATCAGAAAAATCCTAGACGTTGGCTTAGGCAAGGATTTTATGACCAAGAACCCAAAAGCAAATGTAATAAAAACAAAGATAAATGGCTGGGACCTAATTAAGGAGCTTTTGCATGGCAAAAGGAACAGTCAGCAGAGTAAACAGACAACCCACAGAGTGGGAGAAAATCTTCACAATCTATACATCCGACAAAGGACTAATATCCAGAATCTACAATGAACTCAAACAAATCACTAAGAAAAAAACAATCCCATCAAAAAGTAGGCTAAGGACATGAATAAACAATTCTCAAAAGAAGATATACAAATGGCCAATAATCGTACGAAAAAATGCTCAACATCACTAATGATCAGGGAGATGCAAATAAAAACCACAATGCGATACCACCTTACTCCTGCAAGAATGGCCATAATCAAAAAATCAAAAAACAGTAAATGTTGGCATGGATGCGGTGATCAGGAAACACTTCTATACCACTGGTGGGAATGTAAACTAGTACAGCCACTAGGGAAAACAGTGTGGAGATTCCTTAAAGAACTAAAAGTAGAACTACCATTTGATCCAGTAATCCCACTACTGGGTATCTACCCAGAGGAAAAGAAGCCGTTATCTGAAAAAGACACCTGCACACTCATTTTATAGCAGCACAATTCACAACTGCAAAATCGTGGAACCAATCCAAACGCCCAACAATCGACCAGTGGATAAAGAAACTGTGGTGTGTGTGTGTGTGTGTGTGTGTGTGTAGATAGATAGACACATACATATGATGGAATACTACACAGCCATAAAAAGGAATGAATTAACAGCATTTGCAGTGACCTGGATGAGGTTGGAGCCTATTATTCTAAGTGAAGTAACTCAGGAATGGAAAATCAAGCATCATATGTTCTCACTGATATGTGGGAGCTAAGCTCTGAGGACACAAAGGCACAAGAATGATACAGTGGACTTCAGGGACTTATGGGGAAGAGTGGGAGGTCAGGCGAGGGATAAAAGACTACAAATATGGTGCAATGTGTACTGCTCAGGTGATGGGTGCACCAAAATCTCACAAATCACCACTAAAGAACTTACTCATGTAACCAAATACCACCTGTACCCCAATAACTTATAGAAAATTTTAAAAAATTTAAATAAAACTTCCTTAGTTAAAATTTGCCTATTTGGTGTGGTTTTGTTGATTTGATTTCCTTGTGGGGTAGAGGAGGGTTGTTATGGATTTGGAACAGGTGTCAAGAACCTTTAGTTTTTAAACAGAATGGGTTTATATATCATTATTAATTTGTATATAGAAGGGCTAAAGAAACCTTAGCTTAGCTGTTGAGCTCCAGTCACATGGTCATACACTAGTCTAAAAGTATTTTCGCTCATATTAAATGTAAAAACATCTCGGTCCTTCTTTTGCTCTCTTGGTCTAACACATCTCTCCTTGATAAGCTGGTCTGACCACAGCTGGGCTTTACATTTCTGTAATTAGCACAGCAGAAGCCCAACTAGGGCACAGCTTTTCTTCTTGTATTGTTTGCACACTGGGGGGCAGAATTTTAAATGTCAGGATTCTAAATGCTTCTTCTTGTTATAAAGTGGCCCACTAGCTCCTCAAAACCAGTTTGAAAACCATTCAAGAATCATTGCATTGGGCCCCATATCACACATTAGATAGGTATTCTACCAGCAGGGACCTCCAAAGGGCTTAGCAGTTTTCGTAGGCTAGAAAAATATAAGAATGAAAATAAATGAGCTTTTTAGATTGCCTTGTGGAAAGCTCTGATATAAATTTAGGTGTACTGGCCCCAACCCTTTGATTTCCTTTTTATGTCATTTCATTGAAGGAGAGATGCTTTCTTTTAAATCAGCAAAGAAAGCTGGTGTGTGGGGAAGGCGGAAGGCATTTGGGGTGTGGGGGGAGGGGTAATTGTGACATTTTTTTGAAAGTTTCATAATGCCCTGACACCAATTTTCATACCTACTTACTGACAACTAGATTTCCTAAGTCAGTAAATAAGCTAAGAAGAAAGAGTTTGGCTCTTGTTTTCCTGACAGTTATATAATATGTAGAACCAGTAAAACACCAGGCATTGGTTTTATATCATTAGAAAATTACTGGCTATCCTGACACCTGAAAGTTTTATATAGTCCTAATTACTGGAGTGTAGTGTGGCAGGAAACTAAATCAACCCTTCCATTTTTCTCTCCCTGTGAGGTTCCAACACCTGGACATAAAACTGAGGATTAACTTAAAGGGAAAGAAACCCAATGTTGCTTAGATTATTTGAAAGTCTATGCAACTTGGGCCGGTCGCGGTGGCTCACACCTGTAATCCCAGTACTTTGAGAGGCTGAGATGGGCGGATCACGAGGTCAGGAGATCGAGATCATCCAGGCTAACACAGTGAAACCCCGTCTCTACTAAAAAAATACAAAAATATTAGCTGGGCGCGGGGGCGGGCGCCTGTAGTCCCAGCTACTCAGGGGGCTGAGGCAGGAGAATGGCGTGAACCCTGGAGGCGGAGCTTGCAGTGAGCCGAGATTGTGCCACTGCACTCCAGCCTGGGCGACAGAGCCAGACTCCGTCACAAAAAAAAAAAAAAAAAAAAGCAAAGTCTATGTAACTTGGACACCACACTTTCATCTTCTTCCTTATTTTTTTAAGTTAGATCAAACTCTAGAAACCGTGATGAAAACAGAAGAGTTATTACTGTTCTGGGATCTGTGCAGACCAGCCTTGTCCAAGGCTCTGTGACTCATTAGTATGTAACATGGTATAAAATTGACTGAGCAAAGCTCAGTACAAACCAAACAATAAGACTACAGGTTCATAACATAAAGGGCAAGAATTGGAGTGATGGGGAGAAGGAGGGTGAAGAGTATCAGTATCATGTAGGACTCAGTTTTTCATCCCTAATAGGTAATGCTCCCATCCCCAAATTAAGAACCATCACACTAGATAAAATTTCCCAGACACTCCTCTACTTTTCTTCTACCTAGAAAGGGAAGAACTTGGTGTCACCACCACTAGGACAGTATTGATAGAAAGGAATAATCATATCCAGCAGGAACCATTCTACTAACGAATAGGAATTTCATCCTCACATTTCAGTTGTCTAATTAAGTAACCAAGTGCTCACCTATGCAGCAGTTTTTCATTTTTGGAGAATGAAATGGAGTAGACAGTTTAAGGAGAGAGAAGAGAAATTAAAGAGTAGAGCCTTATACTCACTTGGTTCTACTCCATTCTTAACAGTAATGCCCATCACCCCCTTCATGAATTTCCATAATTTTGATTCAAATCAACATATTATTTGGTCTACAATAGAAAGGACACTGTGGATAGTCACAACACAATTTAGGTATTTGGATTCATTACCTTTCCTTCCTGGCTGTAAAATGTGTATATGTTTATCTATTAATATATGTATGTTTGTGCATGTGTGCGTATACAAAGTGTTCAAAGTGTACATGTGTACCTGTATAAGCATAATATTCAACAGTACAGCTCAGTGCTCTCCATTAGAATTTTTTTCTATGATTGTGAAGATGTTCTATGTCTCTACTGTCCAATATGGTAGCCACTAGCCACATGTGGCTATTGAACACTTGAAGTGTGGCTAGTATGACTGAAAAATTACATTTTTACTTAAGTAAAAATAGTCGCACATGACTAGTGGCTACCATATTGGACAGAGCAGATAGAGATGATCAACATCTTTACTAGATATGACATTAGCATGTATGTGTGTGTGTGTGTGTGTGTGTGTGTGTGTTTTCTGATTGTTCACACATCAGTCTCAAATACATAGAACAGTAGTCCTGGCATATAGTAATTGTCTTAGTCTGTTTGGGCTGCTATAACAAAATACCATAAGCTGAGTGGCTTATGTTTTGGAGGCTGGGAAATTCATTCGGTGTGCCAACCGTTTCAGTGCCTGATGTGGGACCTTTACCCGATTTATAGACGAAGACTTCTCACTTTGTCTTCAAATAGTAGAAGAAGCAAAAGAGCTTCCTTGGGCCCATTTTATGAAGACATTAATCCCATTCATGAGGATTCTGCCCTCATAACCCAACTACTTCCCAAAAGCCCCCACCTCCTAATACCATCACCTTGGGGGTTAGGATTTCCACATGAATTTTGACAAGACCCAGGAATTCAGACCTTTGCATTCCACCTCTGGCCTGTAAAATTCATGTCCTTCTCACATACAAAGTAAACTTATTTCATCCCAATAGCCTCCAAAGTCTTAACTCATTCCAGTATCAACACAAAAGTTTAATGTCCAGAGTCTCATCTAAATGTCATCAAAATCAGATATGGGTGGAACTCAAATTACTAATCATTCTGAAGCAAGTTGCTCTCTAGTTGTGAACCTGTGAAATCAAACATGTTATGTGTCTCCAAAATACAATGGTGGGAAAAGCACAGGATAGACATTCTCAAACCAAAAGGGAGAAATAGGGAAGAAGAAAGTGTTAACAGTTCCCTAGTAAGATCAAGACCTTAACGTTTAACAGTAAGCTTCTTTGACTTGAAGCTTTGTCTTCCACGCCCACTGGGGTAGAGGTTCTACTTCTGCAGTATTGCTGGGCAGAGTATGGGCCCACAAGACTCAAGGAAGCCCTGCCTCCAGGGCTTTGGGCAGCCCTGTCCTCTCTACAGCTCTCACAGGTTGAAGTCTCTTGCCTGTAGCACTCTTGAACTGGAATTGCATGCCAATGGCTCTACCAGTCTGGGGTTACAGGGGTAGCCTTGCTCCCAAAGTTCCACTGAGCATTGCCTTAGTGGAAACTCTCTGTTGTGGTCTCACCCCTTAAGCAGTTCTCTGCCTAAGTCTCATGCCTGAGGCTCCAGGTGACTCAAGCCTTGGAAATCTAGATGGTGGTAGCCAGACACACCCCATGGCTTCCACACTCTGAGAGCAGCAGAGGTGGACCTGAACTGACACTGCCATGATTTATCACCTGTGCCCTCTGGAGAGGCAGCAACCAAGGCCAGTGCTGCACCTAAGCCTACTGGGGCCAAACCTGGAGGAAATGAAAAGCTCCAGCATGGCACAAGAATTTGGAGAGTAGAGCCAAGTGGCAGCCTGAGGCAGCTTGCACTGAAGTCCCCCCAAATGCCTTCAGTCTTTCCTTTGAAATCATTGTGCCCTCAAGGCCTTGGCACTATAGGCCCATTATGGTGTTAATGTTTGTCCCCTCCCAAACTCATGTTAAAATTTAATTGCCATTTTAACAGTATTAAGAAGTGAGATCTTTAAGAGGTGATTAGGCCATGAGGGCTCTGTCTTCATGAATGGATTAATGTCATTATTATGAGAGTGGGTTCATTATCACTGGAGTGAGTTCCTTACAAAGAAATTAATTCAGCCACCTTTCTCTCTTTTTTGCTCTCTGCCCTTCCACCTCCCAGTATGGGATGAGTCAATAAGAAGACCCTCACTAGATGCTGGCACCTTGATCTGGGAGTTTCCAGCCTCTAGAACTGTGAGAAAATAAATTTCTATTCTTTATAAATTACCCAGTCTGAGATATTCTATTACAGCAACACAAAGTGAACTAAGACAGGGCCTGTTATGACAGCAGCACCAGTGATCCATTGTCTTGATGAATACCACCAGACCCATCCATATTAATCTCCTTATCAAATGGTCTCTTGGTCAAACCCTTGTGTTCTTTCCCAAACATACTTTCTCATATTTTACAATATAAACAGGCTGAGAATTGTCAATATCTTGTAGTTCTGCTACCCTTTTGATTAAAATTCTATCTTTAAATCATTTATCTTTTCATATTTTACTATAAGCATTCAAGAGAAACTATTCTGCACCTTCAACACATTGCTTAAAAATTTCTTCAGCCAAGCATCCTATTTCATGACTCACAAGTTCTACCTCCCACAAAACACTAAGGCATGAATACAATTTAGGCAAAGTTCTTGCCACTTTATAACAAAGATCTCCTTTCCTCTGGTTTCCAATAATATATTCCTCACTTCTGTCTGAGATTTCATCACAATGGCCTTTACCATCCATATTTCTATCAACATTCTGTTCATGACCACTTAGACAGTCTTTAAGAAGATTGAGGGTTTTTTCTAGAGCTCTTCACTTCTTCTGAGCCCTTATAAGAATTACCCTTTCTGGTGCATTCGTGACAATGCAGGCTTTTTCTAACATGCAGCTAAAAACTTTTTCAGCCTCTGCCCATTATCCAGTTCCACAGCCACTTCCACATTATAGGTACTTGTCACAGCAGCACCTCACTCTCAGTACTACTTTCTGTTTTAGTCAGTTCAAGCTACTGTAAATAAATAAATAAATAAATACTATAGACTAGGTGGCTTATTGACAAAAGAATTTATTTCTCACAGTTCTGGATGCTGACAAGTCCCAATAAAGTCACAAGCAGATCTGGTGTCTGGTGATGGCCTGCTTTCTCATAGATGCTGCCTTTTCACTGTGTCCTCACATGGTAGAAGGGGCAAGGCAGCTCTCTGGGGCTTTTTTTACAAGGATATAAATCTCACTCATGAGGGCTCTGCCCTCATGATCAAATCACCTCCCAAAGGCCCTACCTTCCAATACCATCACTTTGGGAGCTAGAATTTCAACATATGAATTTATAGAAAACACTAACATTCAGATGATAGCAGTAATATATGATATTATAAAATAATATATCATATGAATGGATGAGTCTTAACTAGCTCATTGTCAGCAAAAAGATATGAATTCATTTAGGAAGCCAGGATTCCAGTGACCTCCAAGGTTATCCTAGAGGATTGCTATTCCATGTAACTATAATTAAAAAGCAGAGGGGAGGTTGTATCCAGGGCTTTTATAGGTCAGACCTCGAAATAGGACACTTCCACTTATGTTCTATTGACTAGATTCAGTCACATGTGCATCTATCATCAAAGAAGTCCAGAAATATAACAGTAGATTCAAAAAAAGAGAAAATAGATGTTGGTCACTAGCTAGTAGTACATTCCACCACAAGTGCTCATATTTTTCTTTCTATACTTCTATATTTTGCAAATCTTCAATAAGAGCATGTATCTCCCCAAAACCAGAGAAAAACAAAGTATGTTTTATTTTTGAAAGGAATACTGAATATCTTTCCATAAGAAGATCACACTAATCATTATTTAAAATTGAAATACACCTTTTAGGTCCTTCAAAATGATTACTCTGGGATCATAAGCTTTACTTACAAAAGATATAGGAAATTAAGGCTGAAAAAGACATTAGACATTATCTTCTCTTTGTCATATAATGCAGTGTTTCTCAACATTTTTTGCATTATTGTCCCCCTAAAGAAAGAACATTTTTAAACCTTTTATTCCTAATCATCCTCCTATAATTTTGGTGACACAGATATGCTGTATATCTATTTTCAACCCCTTTGGGAGCAATATCACAATGAGATAAGAAATATGAGTCCAGAAAAGTTAAATTCACTCTCAAAAGTCACAAAACCAATGAATTCATTAATCAGAAATGATACCCAGTTGTCCTGAGTACCAATCCAGTGATATTTTACTATACTATATGCATGCTAGTATTCCAATTATCCACAATGTATAAAGGAAAAGAAAAAAAAAGCAGTGTCATAATGATGTAGATGCTGGTTGGAGGTGTTTTGTTTGCTTGCTTTTTGGCTTATTTTATTTTTCTTTTAGATTTGTTTTTTCCTGTGTCATAAATAACACAGGCAGAGCTATATCTAGATTTTCAATAACCATCGTTTGTAAAAATGCTATGAAAGAAGAAATGAAAATCAAGCCAAAGTGAAACTCACACTCAGTCATCTATCTAATGATCTGATGACTAATTCAGTTCACAAAATGTTTCCTCTCTCTACACTTTTTTCAGTGACAAAGAATGGTAAGGACCAGAAAGTGTGGCCTTCTCAATACAAATTCAAGACTTGTTTCTTTTTAAAAGTGTCTCAATGTTGCCAGTACCAATGGGATCAAGATGGCTTACTTTTCTAAGGAAATTGCATTGTCACTCTTTCCAACCAAGCACTAGCCAATGGAAAAAAGTAAAATACAACCTCACCTCACAAGCACCTACCTGAAACATGCTCTGTGTTCAGACAAAAGACAAGAGGCCAATGTGTGCTACACTCAAAATGGCTTTCCAGTTCTATGAAAGTAATTTTTAGAGTGACTTTAAAATATTGTATACAGGAAAGATGATAGTACTGCCATATACATTAGAATAATTTAACTAGAACAAAGTTAATGATCCTAATGTTTCATCTGGTTGATAATAATGACATTTTTATCAGATTTTATTATAGAATATTATAACTGTATTTGAGAGTGAGAAGAAACTGCCAAATATCAGAATTATTTAAAGTCTTTTAAAGTACCTCCAGAAATAAGCATAATTCAACGTTTTCTTTTTGTAACTGCTCATTCTTACATGGCAAGAAAAGTTATGTTCTTTCCTTTTAGTAGGACAGGTAAAATTGTCACTTAGAACATCAAGTCATTACATTTGTTTTTTAAAAGTATCATCTCTTAGATTCCATAACTAGTATTCTAAATAATTTTTTACTACCTTTTCAATTAAAAAAATCTGGCTAAAATTACTCTCTGACCTTTACATTAATATTCCTGCCTAATAAAGAGTTTGGGGAATCCTAAAGACTCATCTGGAAATGATAGAATTTCTGTTTTTGTCTTTCTTCCGTGGACACTAATGGCTTTTTGTCAGCCCTCTTCACTCAGTGTATGACACGTGAAGCCATTCCATTTAGTTGTCCATTAACCTCAAGCATAGTGACAAGAACAAAGCAACCCCCTAAAGAAACTGAGCTCAAACACTCATATTAAATTTCCCCAATTCCTTAGCTTATAAGGTGCTGTTTTCAATTGTCAATAATGTTCATGGAGTAAGCGATATCCATTACTAATTAAAACAAGCTGTTTAAACAAACACAAAAGGTCACCAAGCCTGTAGATCAACATATCCATGCTATTGTTTGGTTTCTTGGTGCATTACCATCTGATGATTTATTTCTATCTTCTATTCACCTATTTTTCTAAGTAACAAATATAGAGAATAAACACGCAGAAAGCAACCTTCCACAATAGGTGCCATGAGGCCCAGGGCTCCAATGTTGCACTGGATATTGTTTCCTTAAGATCAGTAATGTGCATCATATCACTGCAAATGAAAGCAAAGAAATTTTCATTTATTTTTTCTGAGTTTGTAGGGATCAAAGGCATAAACCACATGGAAAATGCAGTTTTTATTAGGAAAAGTGACACCTGTGGTTTTCTGCAAGATTTTTAAACAATCTTCTATCTACATGGATGTGCTATTAAGGCACAAATAAAATATAATACCTTGTCTGCCATGCTGAACAATGGCTTATTTTTGAAGTTTTCTTTATTTTTATGCCACTAAGTCCCCTACAAAATATTTTGAAACTATTTGCTCAATCTTTGCTTGAGCTCTGACATTTGAAACTGACTTTTCTTTTACAATTGTATTCCCTGACAGTATATTAATTACATAGAGGGTATAATCTCTGAATTAATATCAAACCAACTGAGTAAGCTAGTATAAAAGTCAGATAGACTTTTTAAGCTATTTAATATTAAGTTGTATAATTCAGTTATTATAATCATTTCCAAATTATCAACAGAAGTGGAAGGTAAGAATAATTTAAATTTACAAAACCCAGCACTAATTCCCAAACCTCACTTTAGTCAACATTATCAACATTGTCCTCCAAAGCTTTTATCCAAAATGCTATAATGCACAATTATGTTGTTAATTTACAGATTTTTAACTCATCTTATTTAATTTTTTTCGGACCCAAACTATAGCAGATGAATTAATTTTTAAGAAAGGAAGAGTGAAAAATAATTTTTGATGCTCATCTACTACATCTCTGAATGATAAACTCTTCACATACATCATCTCATTTAACTCTTATGCTAGTTCTATGAGTCTAGTAATATTGTCCACAATGTACAAATTAGGTTACTAAAGCTCAAAGAGTTTATATAACTTATTCAAGGTCATCCAGCCAGTAAGGAATAGAGTCCACGCCGAGACTACAACTATATAATCAAGCCCAGCAGCCCTAGAAGGGCTAAATTCAATGTGATACTTTTATTTTAGCAAAAAATAAGACATACTGAGCTTGAAAGTTTTAAATAGTGTTTAGTTGCAATACGTAATGGAGTTGCCCTATTCCATTCTGACTCTATGATTACACATATTGTGACTTTGCTTCCAACTTTGCAACATGGTAGTTCTTTGGTGCACGGAAGCACTTCATTAGTTACCATATGGTAAAAACAGTACAGCTGTATAGTAATGTTGACTTGGCTGTTCAACGCAATTTTTTCAGATGTTTGTATCTTGAGTGTTCAAACATTTAGACCTTTGAAAATGTTTTTCTTTGTCATATTCTGAGATTCTGCAAACTTATACCCATCACTTAAACTGTATTCAACCATATTCTCATTTTCACAGCCTGCACAATTAAAAAGCAGGCACATTTTTTGGTACATACAACACTGTGAAAAATAAGCAGCCTCAAAGGCAGAATCTGCAGGACGGTGCACTGAAAATTAAATTTGATACTTTTCCTGCTCATCTAAGTACTTGCCAGTTAAAAAGCTATTGTATCAAGTATAAACTATGCCAAAATGAACAAGTTTTCCCAACTTCTGAACCGGCTTATACATCACCATTTTGTTTTGACAAATTAAGTTTAAAACATTTTGAGTGATTAAAAGAATGAGAAACTGTACTAAATATTTCTATACCTTCAAAACATTTAAGCTTCATAGATATCCAAAATAACTTAAAAATAGAATGTGTGATTTAAGTATAAAGAAATCAAATTACTGAATTAAATGTCCTTAAATAACCTTAGTTTCTAAAGTATAACGCAAAATATATTTTAAATTTTTTTAGATGTTCTGAAACACAAAACATTATAAAAGGAACTGGAAATACTTTTAATAACAAAACAATTTATCTAGGTTACTATGGTCATGCAATTTCTCCATTGTCTTGAACTCCTGGCCTCAAGTGATCCACCCGCTTCAGCTTCCCAAAATGCTGGGATTACAGGCGTGAGCCACTGCGCCGGGCTCTCCATTGTCATTCATTTTTGTTTTCCTTCCCACTTAACTGGATATTAACATCTTCACCAAAGCCTTAAGAAAATTCCAAGGAAATGAAATTCAAATCCACTGATTCATGCTATATCTTTGCTATTCTTGTAAAAGGTTTGATGGGCGACAAGGTTTAAACTGCAGAGTAGAGAGCATTATTTGATGATTTGTAAGACTGAATTTCTTCAGGTAATTCAGGGCTAGCTATAGACCACTTTACCCCTGATACTATTAGAAAGAAAGTAACTCCAGTGTGACATGCTTTGTGAACATTTTTGAGAACATGCTTTGTGACATGTATAATTGTTCATTAAACCCTAAGAAAATAAAAGGACTTCATTACACAACCACCTCTGAATGTCAGTCTTCCTAAAGAACTTCCCAAAGAATATAAGAGGCCTAGTTTAAAATCCCCGCTCTCCTACCTTTTATATGACCTTAGACCATAGAATAATCATTTAACATTTCCAGAACTTAATTTCTTCACACATAAAGTTGAGATAATAATACAGTAATGTATTTCAAGAATTAAATGAGATAACACACTTAAATCATCCAGCCCAGTACCTGGCAATCAAAAGGTATTTAATAAATGCCAAGGATAATTCTAATAATGCAATTATTCTAATAAAATGTGTAAGTCAGTGAACATGATCCAAAGACTTTATTCTTATCCATCTTAATTCCCATAAAAATGGTCTAGGTAAGAAATTCTACCAGATTATACTGCACAGTAGGACAACCCAGAGGAAAAAAATAGGATTCAGATATACTACATTGAAAATTCTAGATTTTTACCACAAGCTTATATGTACACATTCATGGATTCGTGGTCAAGTCAAGGAGAGAATAGGGTAAGAATATTTTCACCCTGTTTTTAATGAAAAATCAAGTGGCCATTTTATTATGCAGAATATCTTCGGTGGCAAGGTTTACAAACTTGGTGGTCAGTTACTAATTTAACAGTACATAATAGATACACATGTGGCTCTGTGAGAGACCACCAAGTCATAAAAAATGTTACATATTAGCACATATTATGAGTAAAGTGATAAAAGTGAGTGATTCCTGTGATTTGCAGAATGGATTAGAAAATATAGTATTAACTAAATATTAAATATAGGTAATTTTAGTGGTGTTAATGAGAAAAAGTTCAACTATATAATATAATAATATAATAATGGAAATTTTATTTCATAGCAGGGAAGGCTGAAGTGAGAAAAAGAAAGAAAATAAAATGAAAAATTTTATGACTGGTTATTTCAAGAGAATAAAAATTTATATGCGTTCTGCAATGCCATTTTCTGTAGCAATATGTAATACCTGACTTTAATAAGACATTGCATTTGATATCAACAAAAATGTACAGCTAATTACTATATACTAAAAATAAGCAGGTATGATTAATGTGGAATTTCACAGTACAAATATTATAAACACAATATGCCATATATACTTACAAAGGGCCCTCAATGATCCTTGCAATCAAATTTCCTCACCATTTCTTATTCATAGTAGTTAGACTCCAAAGGCCATTTTATTTTGAACTTTCCCTATCCCTTTTAGTTCAAGTTGTCAATGGTTCTAATAAATACAATTCTCTGGCTAGGCATGGTGGCTCACATCTGTAATCCTAGCACTTTGGGAGGCCGAGGTGGGAGGATCACTTGAGGCCAGGAGTTCAAGACCAGCTTGGCCAACATGGTGAAACCCTGTCTCTACTTAAAAAGATACAAAAATTAGCTGGGCATGGTGGCACATGCCTGTGATCCCAGGTACTCAGGAGGCTGAGGCAGGAGAATCACTTGAACCTGGGAGGTGGAGGTTGCAGTGACCTGAGATTTCACCACTGCACTCCAGCCTGGGCAAGAGAGTGATACTCTGTCTCAAAAATTTAAAAATAAATAAATAAATAAATACAATTATCTTAAAAACTTTGTAGGTGTTCTACAAATCTTATTAAGGTTCACTCTATTAGACAAAAGCCATACCCACAAATCTTGTTGAAATAAGTCCTTCTGTGCCTTAAGCTTACTGTAATGCTGCTGCAAAAAAGGACCCTAAAAATTCTTAGGGCCTCTGTTGTGTAATAAAACAGTTTTACAAATAATGCCTTTAAAGTCTTTATGGGAACTTTTTTCTGTTAAAGGCACTACCTTAAATCTTTTGGAGGCTTTTACAAATGGTTTTGTAGTCACCTACTTGGGTTCATCTTTAGACTATGGTTTTCCTGACAATATCTGGATATAATATTTTCTCAGAAGCTTTTCTTATTTTTAGCATTATTTGCCATTTGGAGAGCATAAGAATAAGAAATAATGTTACTTTTTGAACCCAGCCCCTTACTATTTAACTGAGCTTCTTTGAATTTATATTGCTTTTCTTGCATTTTACTATAAGTGCAAGAAATGATCAAGTGGCACTTCAACACTCTGCCTGTAAATCTCCTTAGTTAGATCGTCAAGTTTATTAAGCACATTTTCCATTTTCAGTGTTGCCACAAGAGACACTTATAACATTTTTCTTACTTGCTTTAAGCCCTCACCAACAGCTTCCTCAAAGGCTTCCCCTAACAATCCCTTCGAGGCCCTTCAACTTCCACTCACCATTGCTCAGTCCCAAGCAACTGACACATTTTTAGTTTTTCCATTCAGCAAAACCCCACTTCTGGTACCAGAATTTGTATCAGTTACTACAGTTGTACAACAAGTTTCCCTAAGACACAGTGACTTACTACCACAATAATCATTTAGTCTCTCTTACGATTTCTGTACATTATGAATTCAGAAAGGTCTCAGGTGGAAAGTAATCATTTGCAGTCTCTCATGTGACTTCAGTCAGGTGTTCCCTGGGGATTCAGTCATCATATTTTTTATTGAAAAGGAAGGACAACTCAGGAGGTAGAACCAAGAGCCCAGAGGCCGAAGTGAATTATTCCCAGGCTGTAGGACTGGGCATTAATCAAGGGACTGGCAACATGTGCCTAACTAGGCTTCGGGATGCTTTGGAACAGTGACTTTATGTGCCTCTCTTTTTCCTAATTTGTACAGGAGACTCTACAGTGGTTAACCTTGCATGGAACACCATGGTAAGGTGGTTAGATGGGGAATCAGATAACATATTGCTCTTATTTCACATGTCTTCAAAAAAGTACTACACTTGACAAGAATTCGTTGTGGAGCCTTAGTCACATCTGGATCTGATATAGATGACAAGATCCTGGACCTAGAGCTTGAGCTGATGCTGTAAGACAGTAGTCCCCAAACTATTTGGCACCAGGGACCAGTTTCATGAAAGATAATTTTTACACAGATGAAGGAGGGAATGGTTTCAGGATGGTTCAAGTGCATTATATTTATTGTGCACTTTATTTCTATTAATATTCCATTCTTATATAACAAAGTAATTATACAACTCACCATAATGTATAATCAGTGGGAGTCCTGAGCTTGTTTTCCCACAACTAGAGAGTCCCATCTGGGTGATGGGAGACAGTGAAAATCATCAGGCATTAGATTCTCATAAGAAGCAGGCAACCTACATGCCCACATGTGCAGTTCACAATAGGTTTCACACTGCTATGAGAATCTAATGCCACTGCTGATCTGACAGGAGGTGAAGCTCAGGGAGTAATTCAAGTGATGGGGAGTGGCTGTAAATGCAGATGAAGCTTTACTTGCTCACCTGCCACTCACCTCCTGCCATGTGGCCCGGTTCATAACAGGCCACCAACCAGTACCAGTGTGTGGCCCCAGGGTTGGAGACTCCTGCTGTGAGAGACTAGATATTTTTGGAGCCTTGAAAGGGACAGCCGTATTTTGCATCTGGGTGAGATCTGAATTGTCAGGGGCCTGAGAGAAGACTATGATTGCTAACCCCAAAAATCCTTTCCTTCTAGTGTACATGTCCTCATGTATTACCCTCCCACACTGAATTAGGGCTGGCCTATAGGACCAATAGAAAGGATAGAACTGGTGATGTGTGACTTCCAAAGCCAGATCATAATATATAATTCAGCTTCTGCCTTAGCCTCGTGGATCTCTCACTCTAGAGCAGTGGTGTCCAACGTTTTGGCTTCCCTGGACTACACTGGAAGAAAAAGAATTGTCTTGAGCCACACATAAAATACACCAACGACAGCTGATGAGAAAAAAAAAAAAAAAATCACAAAAAAATCTCATAATGTTAATAATGTTTTAAGAAAGTCTACGAATTTGTGTTGGGCTGCATTCAAAGCTGTCCTGGGCCACATGTGTCTCATGAGTCACGGGTTGGACAGGCTTGCTTTAAAAGAAGCCAGTCACCATCTCATGAGGGCATCCAAGCAGCCCTGTGGGGAGGTCCACATGCAGAGAAACTAAGGCTGATGGCCAAATGTCAGCACCAGTGAATAAGCCACCTTGAAATTTTGGACCCCCTGGTTAAATCAAGCCCTCAGAGCAACACAATCCTATAGCCAACATCTGACTGCAGTTGCTTGAGAGATCCCAAATGACTACCCAGCTGAGCCCTTCCCACATTTCCAACTCACAGAAAACACAACAGATAATAAATGACTGTTGTTGTTTTGAGTAACTAAGTTTTGGGACAATTCGTTACACAGTGATAGGAACCTATACAGAAATATAAGATAAATCCAATATTGAAAATAGATAATTACTCGAGTAAAAATATAATAAAGAAAACAGATTATATTTTATAGCAGATAAGGTACACTGAGCAAAATGGAAAATATGACATGAGGAAAGATATTGTGAATGAAGAAAGGAAAATTTATGTGTACTTTGCAATGTATTTTGAGTAATAAGATATAATTTGGGACATTAACAAAACTCTGTATATGAGTTAACTTAAAAAATACATATGATAATTGCATACTAGATGTTAGTAAGTATAGTTAACCTAGAATTTCATAGTACGAACATTATAAATACGTTAAAGTCATACATAGTAACAAAGTGAACAGAATTCATTTTTTTAAATGGGTCTAAAAATGCACAATTCACAAATAGAGACCTTATATAATTTCAGAATGTAAGCTAAGTTAAACTTATTTATAATTTTATTTGGGGGATACGAAGTTATTTTTTATTATTATTAAGGAATCCATTTCTACAACTGTCATGAAGGCCAGACTGAGTTAACAGAGACGAGCTCTAGAGTTAACTACATCCCAGTCTGAATTCTCTGGTTACAATCCCTGTCTTCTCTCATGACCTCACCTGAAAACTCAGACTCAGGAGGCCTCAATCTCTTCCCTTCTATTTTTGGCAAATGACAAAGCCCAATATGTAGGAGGCCTTTTTCGGAGAAGACAAACCCTACACTTTGCTTTATGAGGCAGATAGCAGCCCCAAACCACGGTCAGGTGGGGACTATGCAGGCTTCAATTAACCTTATTTATTATTTTAACAGGATTTAAAATATAACAAAATTTCTTTTAAACAAACCTGTATTTACACAACATCAAAAGTTTGTTTACTTTTATTTTGCCTGCAACAGGCAATATGTATTAACCTATCCAACTTTACATATAAACTAATTGTAATTATTACAATCCATATAATTTAGCATATTTTTTTTTAAAAATTACACCCAAGCAACACCTTTCCATATGGCCAATTAGTACAGTCGTAAAATGCAGCAAATATATGATGCTGTATTGAACATCTGTGTTGGTTATCCTATGGGAATTTTTAATAAAGGACCAAGCAGCATATTGATGTTAATTCTACATTACCGGGACTTTAAATAAAAAACTAAAATAAATAGCATCCATTAAACTGATCATACTGTTGTAACTCAAATTGTGTTTATTATGCTAATGGAACATGAAATTAAGAAAAAGACCTTTATGCCAGTGGAATTAATTAATGAGCTTTATGAAGGCATTGGGATGTAATTTATTTCTAGATAAGTAAGTCTAATTTGCAGTTCCATGGGTCTCTGCAATGCTGATTCTAATAGTTATTCCTGCAGATGTGCTGCTCACAGCATGTCTTTCCATTAGAACTGAACACCTCATTATATAAACTGTACCTAATTAAACATAATACAGTGGTGACTTGTTAAACTGGCCTTTTTAAGTCAGCAGCTGCCTAAGCTAATAATACTGTACACAAGATTTATATCATCTTCCCTAGAATACTGATATTAAAATATACTGCCCAAGGGATTGATAACTAATTTACCAGTATGTAGCAGGTACATTTCTGATTCTGTGATAAGAGATTAAAGACCAGCAGTCCATAAAAATAAAATGAATTCAAGTCCATTTGGAACTTAAGAGTACTCGGGAAACTTTATTAAAACTACATACTTTTAAAAAATCAATAAAATAGTCATGAAAAGAAAGTGAACAATAAAAGTAAAAAATATAAATAAATAAATGTGAAAGATCTGGAAGTCCTTTAGGTATTTTTCCAAAGGCATACAAAATTTTTTCAGACTTGACACGCTGAAATTACATTTGTCACTTATTCTCATATCTGGATTGGATATATACAATCCCTATCTTTATGGCATTTGCTACTAAGGATAAGGTAAATACTTATACTACCAGACTTGCTCTATGCCCCTACTTAGATTAGGTTTTGAACTAATATTCTTAACAAATACTACACTATTCTTTCTTTTTCTAATTTTTGGCTGGTAAGATGAAAATGCAGTAATATAAAGTAAGCCATATACAGCAATATCCACGCTAATTCATGTTCTTCTCCAATTCTACATTCAACTGGTTATACCTATTCATCCTTCAACACTCAATTCGGGCCTCAAGTGCTCTGAAAAGTTGTCCGTGACTCATCCAGTCTGTTTTAGGTGTCTCTTGTTTTATCTCTTAATTACCCAGTGCTTTTATCTGATTATTGCAGAGATAATGCTATAGTGTAGATGTCCAGAATATATGTCCGTCTCCTCACTCTTACTACCAACAGCTTATGAGACAAGGGCTATCTATAATTTATCATTGCAACCCAAGTCCAACTGGAACATTGTGGTGCTTAATAAATATTAGTTGATTGAATGATTCAAACAATCCTCAACTTGTGACTTTGCTGTCAATACCTTCTACATTCAACTCCAACAACTTTCTAGGAAGTTAGTAGGTCGCTTGGTAAATATTTGTGAATTTAATCCACTGATGGGCGTTATTAAAATCAAAGTCTACTTAACTTATGAGTCGAATATTAATTCAACATCAAATTTAGGGATTCCACACTTCATTCAACTTGGTAATTCTAGATTGTCTCTTTCTGGTCCCCAACAGCCATCTCCATTTAAAATACATATTATTTGGGTCTTGAGATAATTTCATTTTAGCAGTCTCAAATATCATCTACTAGAAATTTTGAAAAGTGCCCATATGGCCACTTTGAAACATTTAAACATAGGCATAGTAAGTTTGGATAATTATAAATTGATATTTAGTTGCAGTATATAGTATAAGGCACCATAATCCCTGCTGTTAGCTCCTCCTGAAATATTTGTGAGCTCTGCCACTCTCTTTTCAGGTTATCAAAGGGCATTAAACCAAGGTAAATACATACAGACACATGCGCGCGCGCGCGCGCGCGCACACACACACACACACACACACACACACACACACACACACACAGGCTAGCTGAAGACCTATGGCACACATTAACTGACTAAAAAAGATAAACTAGGCAAACCAGATTTCATTTTGGAGAACACTGGAAAAACAAACATGGTTAGTCACTTAGAAATGAAGCTGAAGTGAAAATATTCACAAAATTGTGTAAGTTCCATGGCAGGCCAAAGTTATTTAGAAGCTAAACATATGAAAGAAGAGAAAAAGCAAAGAAGAAAAGAACAGAAAAGGTGAGGAAAACTTCATCAGTCAAGAAGAATACAGTTGCTCAATTGGAAGTAGATATGCTACATGGAACTACTGAGATTTCCTGCCATTACATCAATTTACACAGGAAAAAGTCTCCTTTTCTTGAGACAACCTAAGTGGACCTCTGTTTTTTTACAGAGAGACAAATTCAAGTGCATTGTTCAAGGGGAGGCATATAAATTACATAATGCATGTAAATTAAGATAATGCTAGCTACTGTAACAAGCTAAGCTCAAAACTTCAATAGCTGTTCTATTAAGTAGCTGTTCTATTAAAAAGTAGTCTCACAGAAACCATTGCTTCCAAACCATTTGCAATGATTGGAATAGAAGTGTTTGTTTCAATAGGGAATGAAGATATTGACTATACCAAGAAAAAGTGATAATTCTATCAAAGACACAGGGGATGGGGAGGATGGTGGGGAGAAGAGAGATTGATTTTTAAGTTCTATTTGTTTTTAAATAAAATTTCCATCTTACAATGACTTGGGAAGGTAGGTTGTGAAATTTGATGAATGTGAAAACTTGACTGAATGCAACTGACACCAGCAGAAAGTAAACTTCATATTCCAGACACTGAAGGAATGCAGTTTAATTGTAGATACTCTTGCTACCAGTTCTTTTCTTCACTGTTCTGTTGATCTGCCTTAGAGAAGAGCTAACAGGGCATAATAAGTGAAGTCAGAGACATGATTTAATCCTGTCTTTATAATTATGTAACTTCTAGCAAGCTTTTTGAATATTTCTGGGCCTCAGTTTCTACATCTGAAAATGAGACAACATCTACCTTTCAACTGTTGTGTAAATTAAGGGGACAATACATATAAAGCTCCTATGACCTGGTAGACTATAGATCTTTACTTTAAAGGGCATTGACTAGTTCAGCTTTGAAATGTAACCTGAGTATGGCACTATTACTTTGATAAAGTGTTACATGTAGATTCCTGGAAGGATCAAAATTGTTCTGCTTTCCAAAATAACTGAGGCCTCAAATTGTGGATATGCCAACTACTCTTAGATTAAAAACACAACTCTTCAAATTGTGACCTCAGCCCTGAGTTATACAGGCACCAAACTAACAGTTTAAATTATTGTCCCAATCTGTCTCTATCCATGATCCATTCAGTAGAATATTAACCCCCATTCTAAATTTTAAAAAGACAAGCATATAGTAATTATAATCCAAACTTACCCTAAGCCTCTCCAAACAGCAGATAACAATGAGGTTATCTGAAGAGCAGCCACTCAAATTTCATGGTCACCCTCGCATAATGCTGAAACTCAGGCTCCGATGAAACTCCTCAAAGTCATCTATGAAGATTGGAATCAACTTTTTCAAAATTCCTGTTAATGATAATATTTTGACCTCCTCCCTTGAATCACAAAAGTTCTAAAATGGTGAAACTTTCCAGAAGGCTTTCAATTTACTTTGCCCAGATTCATCAAAGTAATTACTATCTATGGTACTTATAGCCTTATGAAATGTATTTCTTAATAAGACTTGAAAGTCAACATTACTCCATGATCCATGGGTTTCACAATAGATATTGTGTTAACAGGCATGACAACAACATTAATCTCCTTGTATTATACATCTTCATCAGAGCTCTTGAATGACCAGGTACATTGTCAATGGGCAGTAATATTTTGAGAAAATCTTTCTTTCTGAGCAGTAGGTCTCAACAGTGGGCTTAAAATATTCAGTGAACCGCACTATAAACAGATGTGCTGCCATCTACACTTTGTTATTCCATTTGCAGAGCACAGGCAAAGTAAATTTAGCATAATTTTTAAGGTCCCTAGGACTTTTTGAAAGATATGTTAGCACTGGCTTCAAGTTAAAGTCACCAGATGCATTAGTTCCTAACAAGAATTTCAGCCTGTTCTTTGAAGATTTGAAGCGAGACATTGTTTTCTCCTTTTTAGCTATGACAGTTCCAAATGGTATCTTCTTCTAATATAAGGCTGTTTCATCTCCATTAAAAATCCATTCTTCAGTATATCCACCTTCATCAATTTTCTTAGGTAGATCTTCTGAATAACTTGCAGCTTCTACATTAGCACTTGCTGTTTCACCTTGCACTTTTATGTTGTAGAGATGTTTTCTTTCCTTAAACCTTATAAACCAACCTCTGCTAGCACCAAACTTCTTCTGCAGCTTCTTCACTTCTCTCAGCCATTATAGAATTAAAGAGAGTTGGGGCTTTGCTTTGAATTAGGTCTTGCCTTAAAGGAATGTTGTGGCTAGTTTGATCATCTATCCAGATCACTATAACTTTCTCCATATCAGCAATAAGCTTGTGCCACTTTCCTATCATTTGTGTGTTCACTGGAGTAGCACTTTTAATTTCCTTCAAAAACTTGACTCTTGCATTCACAACTTGGCTATTTGGCACAAGAAATCTAGCTTTCAGCCTATTTTAGCTTTTAATAAGCCTTCCTCACTAAACTTATTTCTAGCTTTTGATTTAAAGCAAGAGATATGCAATTCTTCCTTTCACTTGAACACTGACAGGCCATTGTAGGGTTATTAATTGGTCTAATTTCAATATTGTTGTATCTCAGAAAATATAGAGGCCTGACAAGAGGGAGATACATGGAAAAATGTTTGTCAATGGAGCAGTTAGAACACACGCAACATTTATAAATTAGTTCACCATCTTACATGAGCACAGTTCATGGTGCCCCAAAACAATTACAATAGTAGCAACAAAGATCATTGATCACAGATCACCACCACAGGTTTACCAACAATGAAAAAGTTTGAAATATTATGAGAATTACCAGCATGGAATAAAGAGACACAAAGTGAGAACATGCTGTTGAAGAAATGAGATAGATTTGCTCGATTCAGGATTGCCACAAACTTTCAATTTGTAAAAAGTAAAGCAAAGCAAATAAAATAAGATATGCCTGTACAAAGAAAGAACCTTAAAAGCACCAAAAGAGAAGCGATTCATCATATACAAGTGATCCTCAATAAGATTGTCATCAGATTTCTCATCAGACACTTGAGTGGCCAGAAGGTGGTGGGCCAACATATTCAAAGTGCTAAAGGAAAAAAAAACTGTCAACAAAAATCCCTTATTCAGAAAAATTGTTCTGTAAAAGTAAGGGAGAAATTAAGTAACTCCCAGATAAATAAAACCTGAAAAGAGTTTATTATTACTAAATCTGCCCTGCAAGAAAAGTCCTACAGGGTGAGATGAAAAAACACCAGACAGTAACTCAAAACTATATGAAGGAATAAATATCTTAATAAAGGTAAATACATGTGACATTATAAAAGCTAGTTATATTCTAAAAATGGTTTGTAACTCCACTTCTTATTTTCTACATGATTTAAGACATTATATCTTAAATCTTTAATTTAGAACTTTTTAATTTAAAAAGTTTTACTCTAGAACTTTTTAATTTAAAAAGTTTTACTCTAGAACTTTTTAATTTAAAAAGTTTTACTCTAGAACTTTTTAAAAGTTATTCATCTAGGCCAGACACAGTAGCTCATCCCTATAATCCCAGCACTCTGGGAGGCCAAGGTGGGAGCATTGCTTGAGCCCAGGAGTTCCAGTCCAGCCTAGGCAACATAGTGAGACCTCGTCTCTACAAAAAAATTTTAAAATTAGCCAGATATGGTGGCATGTGCCTGTAGTCCCTGCTACTCAGGAGGCTGAAATGGGGGAATCATTTGAGTCTGAGAGGTCAAACCTGTAGTGAGCAGACATTAAACCATTGTACTCCAGCCTTGGTAACAGAGCAAGACCCTGTCTCAAAAAAAAAAAAATCATCTAAAAACTAGCAATATTTTATAACTTTGGTTTATAACTCCACCCATTGTTTTCAACATAATTCAAGAAAATCATACATTTAAAATAATTATAGCTTATTTGAGGGGCACACAATGTACAAGAATGTAATTTTGTTACATCAAAAACTGAAAGAGGTGCGACAGAGCTATAAAGAAGCAGAGTTTTTGTATGTTAGTGAAGTTAAGCTGGTAGAAATTCAAATTAGAGTATTATAAATTTAGGGAGTTGATTGTAATCCTCATGGTAACTACAAAGAACATAAAGCTATAGATTATACACAAAAGGAAATAGGAAAAGAATTTAAACATTTCACTATATGAAACAACTAAACACAAAGTAATGCAGGAAATTGGAGATAAAAAAGCTATAAAACATATAGAAAACAAATTACAAAATAACAGAAGTAAGTCTCTTATCAGTAATTACTTTAAATATAAATGGATTAAATTCTTCAATCAAAAGACAGAGACAGGCAGAGTGAATTTTAAAAAATGGATACAACTGTCTACAATAAATCCATTTTAGATCCAAAACCACAAAGTAATTGACAGCGAAAGAATGAAAGCATATTCTATGTAAATAGTAACCAAAAAAAAGCAGGATTGCTATATTAAGGTTAGACAAACTAGATATTTAATCAAAGAAGGTCACAAGAGACAAAGAAGAATATTATATATTAATACAAGATTCAATATCACCAAAAACACAATAACCATAAACATTTACATACCAAATGACACACCATTAAAAAGAATAAAGTAAAAACTGACAGGATTGAAGGGAGAAATAAACAGTTCTGCAATAATAGTTGGAGATTTCAATGCCCTACTTTCAATAATAGATAACAACCAGACAGGTGATAAGTAAGGAAAAAGAGGTCTTAACACAATAAACCAACTAGATCTAACAAATAATATAGAACACTCTACCCAACAACAATAGCATACACATTCTTTTCAAGTGCATATGGCAAGTTTTTCAGGATAGACCATATGTTATAACACAAATTAAATCTCAATAGATTTTAAAGGGTAGATACCATAGAATGTATCTCCTTTCAGCACATTGGGATGAAATTTGCTATCAATAACAGAGAAAAGAAGAAAATTAACAAATTTGTGGAAATTTAACAATCCACTCTTAAACAAACAATGGATCAAATAAGTAATCACAAATGAAATTAGAAAATACTTCGAAATAAATGAAAATGAAAACACAACATACCAAAACTTATGGGATATTATGAAATTAGTACAAAGAAAGAAATATGCAGCTATAAATTCTAACATTAAAAAATAAGAAAGTTTAGGAAATGTATACACTAAAAGTCCAGACTCCAAAACTCAGCAACTCAGTTGCAGAGTTGAAATGCATGTAAGAAATCTGCATTTGTACTCCCTAAATCTAAAAAAATTTTAAAAATTAAAACAAAATAAAAATAAAAAACAAGAACAATCTAAAACCAACAGCCTAACTTTACAACTTAAAGAACTGTATAAAGAAGAACAAGCTAAACTCAAAGGTAGTAGAATGAAGGAAAACAGAGATTAGAGTACAGATAAATGAAATAGAAAAAGAGTAAAGAAAATCATTGAAACCAAAAGTCAATTCTTGGAAAAGATCAACAAAATTGACAAATGTTTAATTAGAAGCACTAAGAATAAAAGAGAGAAGACTCCATTTACTGAAATCAGAAATGAAAGTTGAGACATTACTACTGATTCTACAGAAGTTAAAAGAATAAGAGAGTGCTATGAAAATTGTACATCAGTAAATTGGACAATCTATATAAAATGAAAAATTCCTAGAAGGAAAAAAACCTATGAAGCAAACTAAAAAATAAATAGAAAATCTGAAAAGACCTATAACTGGTAAGAAGATTGAATTAGAATCAAAATATTTCAACCCAAACAAACAAAGCAACAACAAAAAACCCCTGGACATGATGGCTTCACTGGTGAATTCTACCAAACGTTTAAAGAAGAACACCAATACTTCCTAAACTTTTCCCCCAATAAATTGATGAAGAAAAAAACATTTTCTAGTTCATTCTATAAGATCAAAATTCTATGAGACCGCTTTATGAGATCTCTGATGTCGATGCCAGACAAAGACACAACAAGAAAAGAAAACTGCAGACCAATATTCCTTATGAACATTGAGCCAAAAATTCTCAACAAAATACTAGCAAACTGAATTCAGCAACATATTTGAAGGATTACAAACTATGAGCAAGTGGTATTTATTCCTGGAGTGCAAGAATGATTCAACTCAATACATCAATCATTTATTCCTGGAGTGCAAGAATGATTCAACTCAATAAATCAATCAGTGTAATACACCATTATAACAGAATGAAGGAAAAAAACATATGATCATCTCAACTGACACAGAAAAAGCATTTAGCAAAATTCAACAATCTTTCATAATAAAAACCCTGAATAAACTAGGAATAGAAACTACCTCAACATAATAGAAGTTATATATTTAAAAGCCCAGAGTAAACATCACACTCAACAGTGAAAGACTGAAAGCTTTTCCTCTAACATCAGGAACAAGACAAGGATGCCCATTTTCCCCATGTCTAAGATAGCTTTGGCTATTCTATCTTATTTTTTTCTTGCTTTATTTTCCAGATGAATAAAGAAAATGTGACACATATGCACAATGGAATACTGTTCAGCCATGAGCAAGAATGACAGTCATTTGCAACAACATGGATGGAACTGAAGATCATTATGTTAAGTGAAATATGCCAGACACAGAAAAGCAAATATCACATGTTCTCAATTATTTTTGGAATCTAAAAACCAAAACAATTAGACTCATGGACACAGAGAGTTGAAAGATGGCTACCAGAGGCTGGAAAGCATAGTGGGGAGCTGGTAGTGGGAGGTGGGGGTGGTTAATGGGTACAAAAATATAGTTAGAAAGAATGAATAAGACCTACTATTTGATAGCACAACAGGGTGACTACAATCAATAATAACTTAGTTGTGCATTATAAAATAACTTAAAGAGTGTAACTGGGTTGTTTATAATTCAAAGGATAAATGCTTGAGAAGATGGATATCCCATTGTCCATAATGTGTTTATTTCACATTGCATGCCTGTGTCAAAACATCTCATGTAGCCCATAATAATATACACCTACCATGTAGCCACAAAAATTAAAAATAAAAAAATTTAAAAATAAAAAAGATCCACATTGGATAGAAAGAAGTAAAATTACCTCTATTTGCACATGACATGATCTTATATGTAGAAAACTCTAAAGATTCCTCACCAAGAAACTGTTAAAACTAATAAGTGAACTTATCAAATTAGCAAGATGTAAAGTCAATGCACAATAATCAGTAGCATTCCTATACATTAATAATTAACAACCTAAAATAATTAAGAAAATTCCGTTTATGATAGCATCAAAAATAATAAAATACTTAGAAATTAACTTAAGGAGAAAGACTTGCATGATAAAAACTATAAAACATTGCTAAAAGAAATTTTAAAATATATAACTGAAAACATATCTCATGTTCAAGGGTTGGAAGAATTAATATTGCTAAGATGTCAATACTACTGATAGATGCAGGAAGCAGATAAGGGAGGGTCCCCAGAGAATCTTCAACCTTCCCCAATATCAGGAGCCCACAACCTGTATCAGTGTGTCCTGGATGTGAGACACGGAGTCAAAGGTTATTATTTTGGAGCTTTGAGATTTAGTAACTGCCCTGCTGGGTTTTGGATTTGCATGGGTCCTGTAGTGCCTTTATTTTGGCCAATTTCTCCCTTTTGAAACAGGAATGTTTACCCAGTGCTTGTACCCCCATGGTATCTTGGAGGTAACTAACCTGTTTTTTTATTTTACAGGCTGGTAAGTGGAAGGGACTTCTCTTGTCTACGATGAGACTTTGGACTCTGGACTTTTGAGTTAACACTGGAATGGGTTAAGATTTTGTGGAATTATTGGGAAGGTATGATTGTATTTTGAAATGTGAGAAGGACATGAGCTTTGAGAGGGGCCAGGAACAAAATGATATAGTTTGGATGTATATCCCTGCCCATATCTCATGTTGAAATATAATCCCCAGTGTCAGAGTTGAAGCTTTGTATTAGTCCGTTTTCACACCACCATAAAGACACTACCTTAGACTGGATGATTTATAAACAAAAGAGGATTAATTGACTCACAGTTCTGCATAGGTGGAGGGGCCTCAGGAAACTTACAATCATGGCAGAAGGCAAAGGGAAGCAAGACATGTCTTACATGATGGCAGGAAGAGCAAGAGCATGGAAGTGCCACACTTTAAACCATCAGCTCTTATGAGAACTCACTAATTATCACGAGAACAGCATTGAGGGAAACTGTTCTCATGATCCAATCACCTCCCACCAGAACCCTCCCTTGACATGTGGGGATTACAATTCCAGATGAGATTTGGGTGGGGACACAGAGGCAAACCATATCAGGCTTGGTGGAAGGTGATTGGATCATGGGGGTGGTTTTCTAATAAATGGTTTAGCATCGTCTTTTTGGTGCTGTCCTCATGATAGTGAGTGAATTCTCATGAGATCTGGTCCTTTAAAAGTGTGTGGCACCTTTCCCTATTCTCTCTTGCTCGCGCTCTGGCCATATGATGTGCCTGCTCCCCCTTCATCTTCCAGCATGATTGCAAGTTTCCTGAGGCCTTTCCAGAAGCTGAACAGATGCCAGCATCATGCTTCCTGTACAGCCTACAGAACTCTGAGCCAATTAAATGTCTTTTCTTTATAAATTACCCAGCCTCAGTAATTTTTAAAAGGCAAGAACAGCCTAAAATACTAACCAAAGTAATCTACAGATTCAATGCAATACCCATCAAAATCTCAATGATGTTTTGCACAAATAGAAAAAAAATTCTAAAATTCATTTGGAATCTAAAGGGATGCAGATTCGCAAAAACAATCTTGAAAAAGAAGAATAAAGCTGGAGAACTCACACTTCATGATTTAAAACTTACTACAAAACTACAGTAATCAAAAGAGTGTAATGCCTTCATAAAGAAAGATTTATAGACCAGTGGAATAGAAGGGAGAACAAAAAAAAAACCCTGCATATATAGTCAGTCATTTTTGACAATGATGCCAAAAACCACTCAATGTGGAAAGAACAGTCTTTTCAGCAAATGGTACTAAGAAAACTCAATATTCACATGCAAATAATAAAATTAGACCCCTACCCAACACCATATGCAAAAATTAACTCAAAATGTGTTAAAGACCTAAGTGTAAAACCTAAAACTGTGAAACTTTTAGAAGAAAAGATAGGGCAAAAGTTTTATGCCATTGGATTTAGCAATGACTTTGAATATGAAAGGCATAGACCACAAAAACAAAAATTGATAAATTGGACTCCATGAAAAGTAAAACGTTTTGTGCATCAGAAAATACTATCAACGATGTAAAAAGGCAACACACAGAATGAGAGAAAATATTTGCAAATCATATATTTGATAAGGGATTAATACCCAAAACATAGAGAGAACTTCTAAAACTCAGTAATAACAAAAACAAACACCTAGATTCAAAAATGGGCAAAGGACTTCAATAGGCACCTCTCCAAAGAACATATACAAATGGCTAAAAATGACATGAGAAAATATGACTAATCATTAAGTAAAGCAAATCAAAACTATGAGACACCACATCACATGCATTAAAGTTTTATATTTGCTACCCACAAAAATAAAATAAACTAACAAGTAAGTGTTGGAGAGAATGTGGAGTAACTGGAACCCTTACACACTGTTGATGGGAATGTAAAATGATTCAGCCATCATAAAAAAAAGACTGGTTTCTTAAAAACTAAAAATAGCGGAGGCTTCAAATGGCTGAATACAAGCATCTCTTATTCACCTCCTCTACTAAAAAGAGCTAAAATAGTGAGTAGATAATTACAGTTCAAATAGATCAGCCAAGAGAGAACACTGGAGTTGAATAGAAAGGTGCCAGGAAATACCTTAAGCAAGGAAGAAAGGAAAATGAGGCAGCCTGCTTGGCCAGGATCAGCTAAGATCCCAGAGAGACTGCAATATTGGGAAAGGGTAAGTGAGAGACCCCTAGTGATCTACATTCCCACCATAGACCTCTGCAATCCTAGCCACAGGAGAGCACCTAGACCCTTGAGGGCCCTGAAACAGACAAGACATAGAGAGCTGTCTGGAGACTACATGACCGCACTGCCTCAGGGAAGGAGCCTGCACTGGTCCCACAGTTTCCTGAGTCCTAAGCAGCAGCCCAATGTGCCATTTTGAGAGCCCAGCTCACAACAGACTGTGCACTGTTCTGGGGCCCAATGGCACCAGAGCTGAGGCATGAGCAAAGTGCAGTCTGCTGCAAGGGCTGAAACACAAGCAAGGCACGGACTGCCGCAACTGGAACTGAGGCATGAGCAAGGCAGAGGCTACTATATGCAAGGCTGAGGCACAAAAGGGGTGCATGTTTCCCACTCACCAGCATAGGATGCCACCACTGAGGGTAGCCTGCCCTCCCCAGTAGCAAGGCCACAGCACAGTCTCTGCTGCCCCCAGCCCAAATATTCTGCTGAGGGTCTGGGAATTGCCTCACTGCTACCAACCATGACAGGTGTCTGCATACACCACAAAGGGGCCTGAATACAAGCCTGCCCCGCCTAGCTCACCCTCACCTGTACCAGATCAGGTAGTCCGGAGGCCTGGAGATTGCCCAGCCCAGTCCAACACTGTTGGCACCTGAGAATTCTTTCCAGGTACCTGAGGTTGGGCCTATCCACCCTGCCACTACCACCATACCTGGCACCTACCTGCACATACAACCTATAGGCCTGGAGACTGGCCTGCCCAACTCATCACCACCACTGCCAAAACCAATGTACACCATTCAGAACCAGAGAGTAACCCCACCACTACTATTGCTATCATCCATGCCACATGCCTTTCTGGAGACCTAAAAACCCTCCCGCCTACCCAGCCTGCCACTGCCACTAACAGCATCTGAGCAAGCCACCTAGAAGCCCAAGAATGGGCCTGCCTGTAGCCACTGATACCAATGCCAGTATATGCTGCCTGGGAGCAAAGAACGGGAACAATCAGTCCACCACTCCCAGCAATGGGGCATGAAGACAGGCCCACCTGGCATTCCACTTCCCATCAAAATTTTACTACAACCTCCAATAATAAGCATAGCCTAAATCACCAAGGAAATTATAGACATCACTAATGCTATTCACAGTTGAAAAAATAATACAGAGAAAATGCTACTGCACACACTCAGAGCCAAAACCAATATACCCTACCCTGCTAACACCATAGACAAATCATTAGGAAAAAGTCTTCCCCTATGAAACCAAATTTAAAAAAATAAAATGGAAGAAGTGACTGTTACACCAAATTCACAGACATCAGTGTAAGGACATGAAAAAACAAAACAACAAAAAATTACACCTCCAGAGGAACACAATAATTATTCAGCAACAGATCTCCATTGAAAAGAAATTTATGAAATTCCAGAAAAAATTCAAAATATTGGTTCTAAAGCTCAGTGAGATATAACAGAATTCTAAAAGACAATACAAACAAATTAGAAAAACAATTCAGGATATGAATTTGTAATTTAACAAAGAGATTTTTTAAAGAAACAGAAATTCTGGATTTAAAGAATTTATTGAATGAAATACAAAATTCATGTAAAAGCTTCAACAATAGATTAGATCAAGCAGAAGAAAGAATGACAAGTCTTTTGAAATAATTCTGATATAAAAATAAATTTAAAAAAGAATAGAAAACAATAAGCAAAGACTTTATGACATATGGGACATTATAAAGCAACCCAATATACAAATTTTTGGTGTCCCAGAATGCAAAGAGAAAATGAAAAAGTTAGAAAACCTATTTAATAAAATAATAGATTAAAACTTCCCAAGTTTAGCAAGAGATATAGACATCCAGATAGAGGAGGCTCAAAGACTCCCAAATAGATACAATGCAAAAAGTTATTCTCCAAAGCATATTATAGTCAAATGATCAAAAGTCAAAAACAAAGAGAAAATTTTAAAATCAGGAAGAGAAAAACATCTAGTCACCTATAAAGGAATCCCCATGAGACTAACAGCAAATTTCTCAGAAGACAAAGAGAGAATGAGATGATATATTCGAAGTGTTGGGTTAAAAAAAAAAGCCAACCAATGATACCATATTCCAGCAAAATTATTCTTCATAAATGGAGGATAAATAAATACAGTCCTTCTCAGACAGGCAAAAGCTGGGGGACTTCATCACCACTAGAACAGCCCTATCATAAATGTGTAAGGGACAAAATGGGTAGAGTAAGATAGTTGAATAGATGGCCCCACTGATTTTTCCCCCCGACGACAGGAATACCAAATTCAAAAACCACCATCATAAGCACCATCATAAGAAACAAAAATTAGGTGAGCACTCGAAGTACCTGGTTTTAACTTCCTCTCACTAAAAGACGTGATGAAAAGGGCAGAAAATACAGTCTTGAAATGCTAATGCCACCCCTCTCCCATCCCCCTACAACAGACACATGGCAAAAAAGAGATCTGTGTGCTTGGGAGAGGGAGAGCTCAGTGACTATGAGACTTTGCATTGAACTCAGTGCTGCTCTGTCACAGTGGAAAGCAAACCATGCTGAAATCAGCTGACACCTGTCCATGCAGAAAGCATTCAGATCAGCCCTAGCCAGAGGGTAATTACCCATTGCAGTAGTTGAAACTTGAGTTCTGGGAAAGCTGAGGGCTCAAGTATTATGGGGTCCTAAATAACCTCGAAAGGCAGTCTAGACCACAAGGACTGCAACTCTCCTACTGGGTTCAGACACAGTGGACCTAGGGGACTTGTGACTTGCTGAGACACCAGCTGGGGAAGTTAAGGGAGTGGTTGTGCCATCACTCCCACAACTCCAGGCAACACACCTCATGGCTCCAAAAGAGATCCCTTCCTTCAGCTCAAGGAGAGGGAAGAGTAAAGAAGCCTTTTGTCTTGCATGTTGGATACCAATATGGCACTGGCCAGAGTTGTAAAGCCCCCATTCCTCACCCTAGCTCCCGGACAGCATTTCTAGACACACCCTGGGCCAGAAGGAAATTCACTACCTAGAAGAGAAGGACCCAGTCCTGACAGGATCCATCATCTTCTGACTTAAGAGCCCTTGAACCCTAAAAACCAGCAATGATATTCAGGTAGTATGTCGTGGGTCTTAGGTGAAACTGTAAGACACACTGGCTTCAGGTGTGACACAGCATATTCTTAACTGTGGTGGCTACAATGAGAGATACCTTCTCCTTGACAAAAGCAAAGAGAAAAGTAAAGAAAGCTTTGTCTTCCACCTTAGGTACCAGCTTGGCCACGATGGGGCAGAGCATTAAGTGGGCTTTTGGGATCCCTGATTTCAGTACTTGGCTCTTAGATGGCATTTGTGGAGCTCCCCTGGGCCAAAGGGGAGTCAACTGCCCTGAAGAATGAGTCCCAGGCCTAGCGGCATTCACCATAAGCTCACTGAAAAGCCTGTGGGCATCAAGTGAACATTGGTGATAGCCTGGCAGTACTCCCCATGGGACCTTGGATGTGATGGCTATGGGGTGAGGCTCCTCTGCCTGCGGAAAGTGGTGGAAAGAGTGGGAAGAATTACATATTATGGTTTGAGAACCAGCTCAAGCACAATAGAATAGAACACCAAGCAGATTTCTAAGATTTTTAACTCCAGTCCCTAGCTCCTAGAAGCATCCCTGGGCCCAACTGGGGCCTGGGGGAACATGCTGCCTTGAAGAGAAGGATGCAAACCTGGCTGGCTTCACCACTTGCTGATTGCAGAGGCCTAGGCCTTGAAGGAACAAGGGTGGTAGACAGGTAGTGGTTACAGTGGGCTTTGAGTGAAATCCATTGCTGTGCTGGTGTCAGGTCTGACCCAGTGCAGTCCCAGTGGTAGTGGCCAAAAGGGTGCTTGTGTCACGTCACCACAAGCCACAGGTGGCTCAGCATGAACAAGGAGACACCATTTGTTTGGGGGAAAGTAAGAAAAGAAAACAAGAGTGGCTGCCTCTTCCTGATAACCCAGAGAATTATTCCAGACTTTATCCAAGACCACCAAGGTGGTACTTCTACAAGTCTGCAAGAACCACAGTGTTACTGGGATTTGGTGCCCCCTAATGCAGACACAACTTAGATCACAACACCCAAATCCTTTCAAATATCTGGAAAGCCTTCCCATGAAGGAAGGGTACAAACAAGTGCATACTGCAAAGACTAAAATAAATACCTACCTCTTCAATGCCGAGACACTGGTGAACATCAGCAAGCATAAACACCATCCAGGAAAACAAGACCTCACCAAACAAACTAAATAAAGAAGCAGAGATCAATCCTGAAGAAACAAAGATATGTGACCTTTCAGACAGATAATTCAAAATATATGTTTTGAGGAAACTCAAAGAAAGTCAAGACAACACAGAGGAGGAATTCAGAAATCTCTCAGATAAATTTAATTAAGGAAATTGAAATAATTAAAAAGAAGCAGACATTCTGGAGCTGAAAAATGCAACTGACACACTGAAGAATGCATCAGATTCTCTTAATAGCAGAAATGATCAAGCAGAAGAAAAAATCAGTGAGCTTGAAGACAGGCTATTTGAAAATACAGTTAGAGGAGACAAAAGGACAAAGAATAAAAAAGAATGAAGCACACCTAAAACACCTAGAAAATAACCTTAAAAGGACAAACCTAAAATGTATTGGCCTTAGGAGACAGAGAAAGACATTGAGCTAGAAAGTTTATCCTCAGGGATAATAACAGAGAACTTCCCAAACCTACAGAAGGATATCAATATTCAAGTAGACAAAGGTTATAGAACACTAAGCAGATTTAACCCAAAGAAGACTACCTCAAGACATTTAATAATCAAACCAGCAAAAACCAAGGATTCTAATACCAGCAAAATAAAAGAACAAATAATATACAAAGGAGTTCTAATGCATCAGGGAGCAGACTTTTCAGTGGAAACCTTACAGGCCAGGAAAGAGTGCTGATGATATTAACCTTATATCTAGAAAAACCTAAAGACTTTCCCAAAAAACAAAAAACACTTCTTAGCTAAGATTTGATAAATGAATTCAGTAAAGTTTCCGGATACAAAGTCGACATACAAAAATCAGTAGCATTTCTATACACCAACAATTAAGTAACCAAGAAAGAAATCGAGAAGACAATCCCATTTACAAGAGTTACCAAAAAAAGTGCCTAGGAATAAGTTTAACCAAGGACGTAAAAGACCTCCACAAGGAAAAGTACAACACACTGATGAAAAAAAGTTGAAGATGACACAAACAAATAGAAAGACATTCCATGCTTATGGATTGGAATAATTAATATTAAAATAACTATATTGCCCAAAGCAATCTATAGATTCAATGTGATCCCTATGAAAATACCAACATCATTGTTTACAGAAATAGAAAAAAAGAAATCCCAAAATCTTTATGGAACCAAAAAAGAGCCAAAATAGCCAAAGCAGTCCTGAGCAAAAAGAACAAAGCTAGAGGCATCACAATTCCTTACTCTATATTACAAGGTTATAGTAACTAAAACAGCACAGTATTGGTATAAAAACAGACACATGGACCAATGGAACAGAATAGAGAATACAGAAATAAGTTCACATATTTACTGTCAACTGGTTTTTCTAAAAAAATGCCAAGAACATACCTGGGAAAAAGACAACTTTTTCAATAAATAGTGCTGGGAAAATTAGATATCCATATCCAAAAGAATGAAACTGGACCCTTATCTCTCATCATATACAAAAATCAACCCAAGATGGATTAAAAACTTAAACATAAAACCCAAAACTATTAAAATACTAGAAGAAAACCTAGGGAAAACACTTCAGGACATTGGTTTAGGCTAAGACTTCAAAAGCACAGACAGCAAAAACAAAAATAGACAAACAGGACTATATATATTAAACTAAAAAGTTTCTGCACAGCAAAGGAAACAATCAACATAGAGAAGAGACAGTCTGTTGAATGGAAGAAAATATTTGTAAACTTATTTCTCTGACAAGGAGCTAATATTCAAAATATACAAGGAACTAAAAGAATTCAACAGTAAATAATAATGATAATCCTGTTAAAAAGTGGGTAAAAGCTGGGCATGGTAGCTTGTGCCTGTAATCCTAGCTACTTGGGAGGCTGAGGCAGAAGAACTGCTTGAGGCTAGGAGTTAAAGACCAGCATGTGCAACAGAGCAAGAACCTGTCTGTAAAGAAAAAAATTAAATTATCTAGGCATGGTGGTGTGCACCTGTAGTCCTAGCTACTCAGGAGGCTGAAGTAGGAAGATCACTTGAACCCAGGAGTTTGAGACTGCAGTGAGCTATGACTGTGCCACTGCACTCCAGCCTGGGCAACACAGCAATATCCTGTCTCAAAAAAAGTGGAGAAAAGACATAAATAGACATTTCTCAAAAGAAGACACACAAATGGCCAACAGACACATGAAAAATTGTTCAACATCACTAATCATCAGAGAAATGCAAATCTAAACCACAATGAGATATCATATTATCCCAATTACAATGGCTACTATTGGGAAAAAAAAATGGGCCGGGCACAGTGGCTCACTCCTGTAATCCCAGCACTTTGGGAGGCCGAGGAGGGTGGATCACCTGAGGTCAGGAGTTCAAGACCAGCCTGGCCAACATGGCGAAACCCCATCTCTACTAAAAATACAAAAATTAGCTGGGCGTGGTGGCATGTGCCTGTAATCCCAGCTACTTCAGAGGCTGAGGCAGGAGAATTGTTTGAACCCAGGAGGCGGGGGTTGCAGTGAGCCGAGATTGCACCACTGCACTCCAGCCTAGGCAACAGGAGTGAAACTCCGTCTCAGAAAAAAAAAAAAAAAAAAAAAGTAGCAGGTGCTGGTGAGGACATGGCGAAAAGGGAACTCTTATACACTGTTGGTAGGAATGTAAATTAGTACAGCAAAGGGGTATGTTGTATGTTTATTGGACTATTCATAATAGCAAATATATAGAACCAACCTAAGTGTTTATCAATGGGTAAAGGATAAAGAAAATGTGGTATATATACATAATGGGATATGACTTGGCCATAACAAAGAATGAAATCATGTCATTTGCAGCAACATGGATAGAACTAAAGATCATTGTGTTAAGTGAAATAAGCTAAACACAAAAAGATAAATTTTGCATGTTCTCACTCATATATGGGAGCTAAAACAGTTTACCTTATGGAAGTAGAAAATGGAATAACTAGCACCAGTAGTCATTCCACTATAGTTAGCAACGATGTATCATATATTTCAAAGTAGCTTGAAGAGAGAACTTGAAATATTCCCAACACAAATAAATGACAAATATTCAAGGTGATGGACACCCTAAATGCCCTGACTTGATCATTACACCTTCTATGCATGCAGCAAAATATCACATGCATCCCATCCATATGTAAAATATCATGTATCAATTTTTAAAAATAAAAATAAAATTACTATATGCTCCAGCAATTTCACTTCTGGATATATACTCAAAAGAATTGAAAGCAAGGTCTCAAAGAGATATCTGTATACCTGTGTTCATAGCAGCATGTTTTACAATAGTAACAACATGGAAGCAACCCAGGTGTCCATCAACAGCTAAATGGATAAGCAAAATGTAGTGTATACATATAGAGTGGAATAATATTTAGCCTTAAAAAGGAAGAAAAATCTAACATATGCTACAACATCCATGAACCTGAGGACATTATGCTAAGTGAAATAAGCCAGTCACGAAAAGATAAATACTGTGTAATTCCACCTACCTGAGACAATTAGTGTAGTCAGTAGTCAAATTTTTAGAGACAGAAAGTAGAATGGTGATTGCCAAGGGCTGAGGGAGAGGGAGCATGGTGAGATGTTGTTTAATGGGTATAGAGTTTCAGTTTTACAAGATGTAAAGAGTTCTGGAGATTGATGATGGTGATGGCTGCTCAACATTATGAATGTAATTAATTCCATTGAACTGTACATGTGAAATGGTTAAGATCATAAATTTTGTTATGTGTATTTAACACAATTTTTGAATTGAAAATAATAAATAAAATCACAACTGAAGATAATAAGTTCTTATTTCAGTGCTTGAAAGTGGATTACTACTATCCTGAATCTATCCATTTCTCTCCAATTACAGTTCTATTGACACCATTTTTGCCTAAGCCAGCCTTATTTCCCATCTGGACTACTGTAACAGCCTCCAACTTGGTGACCTGCAATCTCCTCTGTATTTCTATTTTCTTTTCACCTATCCAATTCCCATGTATTTTTTGAGCTTCAATGAAAATGTCAATATCTCAAAAATAACCTTTCCTGACCACTCCTGTTGTAGATAAATTATGACCCATGTTGGTAGGTAGAATAATGACCTCCCCTACCCAAAATGCTCTAATCCCTGTAAAGTGGATCATGTTCCATTACATGGAAAAGAAGGAAATAAAATTGCAGATGAAAGCAAGGTTGCCAACCAGCTGACCTTAAAATAGAGTATCCTGGACTATCCAGGTGGGTGCAATGTAATCACTCAGTTGTGGAAAAGGGAGCAGAAGAGGATCAGAGTAAATATGAAAATAACTCAGCCCACCATTGTTAACTTTGAAGATGAATGAAGACAGTCACAAGCCAAGGAATGCAGATGACCTCTAAAAGGCGGAATGAACAAGGAAACAGTTTTTCCCCTAGATCCTCCAGACACTTTGATTTTAGCCCAGTGAGCCCCACTTTGGGTTTCTAATGTCCAGAACTGTAAGATAATAAATGTATATTCTTTTAAGCCATAAAGTTTGTGGCAGTTTGTTACAGCAGCACTTGAAAACTAACACATCCCTTTAACATAAATTATCATAGGACAACTTTGGGTGAACTTGTTCAAATTGTGAATTACACTAATTATTTGGTCAATATCTCTAAGCTTACAAAGTGTATTTCCACTCTGTCCTGCTCATAACTGGCTTAGGACATTGCCTGGTACATAGTAGGCTCTCTACAAATATTTGTTGAGTGAATGAACTGTATTGTAGCAAAATATCCTGACCCCATACAACCAAAACAATTGCACTCCAAGAAATGTACAATCCAGCCCAAAAGCTGAAGTTCCTTGGCTAAATGATGTGAACAGAAACACTTCAATTTATAAACATTAAGACAATGCAATAATGAGTGAGAAACATTTAGGAAAGGCAAAGAAGATCCAATATACATATATGTCACCAAAGAATATAATCAAAGCAGAGGAACAGAACAAATACTATAAACTATAACTAAAAAAAATTTAAAAATATTGAAACTATATATTGAAAGAATACAATATGACATCTGAAGATGTCAACTTAGAACAACCTTAGGCATATATTAGTAATTATGAAATATTTTAATTCTATCCATCTCTATGTCCTTTAGAAACATCATTCTTAGGGTGGAAGAAAAGAAATAAATACAAATATAAGTAAAACTGTGTGTGGAGGTGGAGCAAGATGGTGAAATAGAAAGTTCCACTGATTGTCCCCCCAACAAGGACAGTAATTTAACAACTATCTACACAGAAAAAAAAAAAAAAACCTTCATAAGAACTAAAATTCAGGTGAGCCCCTCATAGTCGTGGTTTTAACTTTATATTGCTAAAAGAGGCACTAAAAAAAAAAATAGAAGAACAGTCTTGACTCACCAATGCCACCCCTCCCACCCCCAGCAGTGGCAGCTTGGTGCAGAAAGTGTCTCTGGATGCTGAGGGAGGGAGAACACAGTAATTGTGAGGCATCAAACTCAGTGCTGTCTTGTTAGAGCAGAAAGGAAAACCAGACCAAACTCAGCTGACATCCATCCATGGAGGGAGCACTTAAACCAGCCCAAAACAGTGGGAAATCACTGATCCTAGCAATCCAAACTGGAGTTCTCGCAAACCTGGCCACTACAGGCTAAACTGCTCTGGGTCTCTAAGTTAACCTGAAAGGTAGTCTAGGCCATAAGGACTGCAACTCTTAGGTGAGTCCTAGTGCTAAACTGGGCTCAGAGACAGTATACTGGTTTGTGTGTGTTGGTTGGGGGTGGGGGTGGGTAAGGGAATACAACCTATTAAGACACCAGCTGGAATAGCTAAAGGAGTACTGGCACCACCCCTCACCTAACCCCAGGCTGCACAACTATAGTCTTCAAACAAGACCCCTTCCTTCCACTTGAGGAGAGGAGACAGAAGAGTGGGGAGGACTTTATCTTGCATCTTGGATACCAGCTCAGCCACCACAGGATAGGGCACTGATCAGACTTGTGAGGCCCTCATTCCAGGGCCTAACTCCCAGATGACATTTCTAGACCCATACTGGGCCAGAAGGGAACCTGCTGCCTTGAAGGGAGGGACCCAGTTCTGGCAGCATTCATCACCTGCTGAATAAACTGAAGAAACTATGGGCCCTGAATAACCAGCAGCGATATCCAGGTACTAACATCAAGGGCCTTGGGTGACCCCTCTGAGATGTGCTGGCTTCAGGTGAGACTCAGCACATAACCAGCTGTGGTGGCTATGGGATGAAACTCCTTCTGCTTGAGAAAAGCAGAGCGAAAAACAAAGGAGGCTTTGTCTTGTACTTTATCTACCAGCATGGCCATAGGTGGGTAGAGAACCAAGTGAGTCCTTGAGGTTCCCAATTCCAGGACTTGCATCTTGGATGGCATCCCTGGACCTGCCCTGAGCCAGAGAGGAGCCCACTGCCCTGAAGGGTGAGGCCAGCCAGGCAACATTCACCACAAGCTGACTTAAGAGCCCTTCAAGAGAACATCAGCTATAGTCTGGCAGTACTCCCCAGGGCCTATGGTGGCAGTGGCTACAGGCAGTGGCTACAGGCAGTGGCTACAGGCAGTGGCCACAGGCAGTGTCTTTGGAAAGGGAAGGGAAGGGTGGGAAGAGCTGTGCTTCATGGTTTGAGTGCCAGCTCAGCCACGGTACAATAAAACACCAGGTAAACTAGGGTTTTTTCTCTAGTCCCTAACTCCTAGATAGCACCTCTAGACCTGCTTGGGGCCTGGAGGAACACACCACCATGAAGGGAGGGGCACAGTGTGGCTGGCTTTGGGCCTTCAGGGCCTTCAGTAAACATAGGCAGTAGCCAGGGAGTAGTTACAGCAGGCCTTGAGCAAGATCCATGCTATGCTGGCTTCAGGTCTGACCCAGCACAGTCATAATGGTGGTAGCCAAAGAGGTGTGTGTGTCACTCAACCCCCAGCTGTAGGTGACTCAGCACAGAGAGAGAGAGAGAGAGACTCTGTATGTTTGGGACAAAGCAAAGGAAGAGAACAAGGGTCTCTCCCTGGTAATCCAGAGAATTCTCCCAGATCTTGTCGAAGACCATCAGGGTGTTACCTCTATGAATCTGAAAGAACCATAGTGTTACTGGGCTTGGGGTGCCCCCTAAAGCAGATAAAGCTAGATTACAATACCCAAGACTTCAAATATCTAGAAAGCCTTCCCAAGAAGGACAGCTACAAAAAAGCCCAGACAGTGAAGACTACATAAATACCTAACTCTTCAATGCGCAGACACCAACAAACATCTACTAACATCAACACCATCCAGGACAACATGACCTCACCAAATAAATTAAATAAGCCACCAGAGACCAATCCGGGAGAAACAGACGTATCTGTACTTTCAGAGAGAATTCAAAATAGCTTTATTTAGGAAACTGAAAGAAATTGAAGACAACACAGAGAAGAAATTCAGACTTATATCAGATAAGTTTAACAAAAAAAATGAAATAATTAAAAAGAATAAAGCAGAAATTCTGGAACTGGGAAATGTAATTAACATACTAAAGAGTACATCAGAGTTTCCTAAAAGCAGAATTGATCAAGCAGAAGAAAGATTTAGTGAGCTTGAAGACAGGGTATCTGAAAATACACAGTCAGAGTAAACAAAAGAAAAAACCATTAAAAACAAGGAAGCACACCTACAGGATCTAGAAAATAGCCTCGAAAAGGCAAATCTAAGAGTTATTGGCCCTAAAGTGGAGGTAGAGAAAGAAACACAGGTAGAAAATGTTTTCAAAGGGATAATAACAGAGGACTTCCCAAACCTAAGAAAACAAATCAATATCCAAGTACAAGAAGGTTACAGAACACTAAGCAGATTTAACCCAAGGAAGACTACCTCAAAGCATTTAATAATCAAACTATCAAAAAACAAGGATAAAGAAGGGATCCTAAAAGCAGCAAGAGAAAGAAAACAAATAACATACAATGGAGCTCCAATATGTCTGGCAGCAGACTTTTCAGTGGAAATCTTGCAGGCCAGGAGAGAGTGGCATGACATCTTTAAAGTGCTGAAGGAAAAAACTTTTACCCTAAAATAATATATTTGGTGAAAATAACCTTCACACATGAAAGAGAAATAAAAACTTTCCCAGAAAAACTAAAGCTGAGGGATTTCATCAACCCCAGACCTGTCCTACAAGAAATGCTAAAGGGAGTGCATCAATCAGCAAGAAAGAATGTTAATGAGTTATAGGCAATCACCTGAAGGTACAAAGTTCACAGGTAACAGTAATACACAGAAAAACACAGAATATTATAACACTGTACCTGTGGTGTATAAACTACTCTTATCCTAAGTAGAAAGGCTAAATGATGAATGAATCAAAAATAACAACTACAACTTTTTAAGACATAAACAGTACAATAAGATATAAATAGAAACAACAAAATGTTAAAAAGCATAAGACAAAGTTAAGGCATAGAGTTTTATTAGTTTTCTTTCTGCTTGTTTGTTTATGCAAAGTGTTGAGTTGTTATCAAGTTAAAATAATGGGTTATAAATATTTGCAAGCCTCAAGATAACCTCAAATCAAATAACATACAATGGATACACAAAAAATAAAAAGCAAGAAACTAAATCATATCACCGAAGAAAATTACCTTCACTAAAGGAAGAAAGGAAAAAAGAAGAGAAGACCACAAAACAACCAGAAAACAAATAACAAAATGGCAGGAGTAAGTCCTTACTTATCAATAACAACATTGAATGTAAATGGACTAAACTCTCCAGTCAAAACAATAAACATACTTCACCTATAAAATCACACATAGACTGAAAATAAAGAGATGGAAAAAGATAGTCCATGTCAAGGGAAACCGAAAGAGCAGGAGTCACTATACTTATATCTGACAAAATAGATTTCAAGATAAAAACTATAAAAAGAGAAAAAAGTCATTATATAATGATAAAGGGGTCAATCCAGCAATAGAATGTGACAATTTTAAATATATATGCACCCAACACTGGAGCACCCAAATATATAAAGCAAATATTATTAGAGCTAAAGAGAGAGATAAGCCCCAATACAATAATAGCTGGAGTCTTTAACACCCCACTTTCAACATTGGATAGATCCTCCAGACAGAAAATCAATAAAGAAACATTGGACTTAAATCTGTACTATAGAGCAAATGGATCCAATAGATATTTACAAAACATTTCATCCAACAGCTGCAGAATACACATTCTTTCCCTCAGCACATGGATTATTATAAAGGATGGATTATGTGTTAGGTCACAAAACAAGTCTTAAAACATTCAAAAAATTGAAATAATATCAAGCACCTTCTCTGACCACAGTGAAATAAAACTAGAAATTAATAACATGCAGAATTTTGGAAACTGTACAAATACACGGAAATTAACAATATGCTCCTGAATTACAGTGGGTCAATGAAGAAATTAAGAATAAAGTTGAAAAATGTATTGAAGCAAATGATAATGGAAACACAATGTACCAAAACCTATTGGATACAGTGAAAACATACTAAGAGGGAAGACTGTAGCTATAAGTGCCTCCATTTAAAAAGAGGGTAAAGTTCAAATAAACAATCTAATGACGCATCTTAAAAAACCAGAAAAGCAAGAGGAAAGCAACCACAAAATTAGTAGAATAAAGGAAATAATAAAGATCCGAGCAGAAAAAAATGAAATTGGAATGAAGAAAACAACATAAAAGATCAATGAAATAAAAAATAGCTTTTTTGAAAAGTTAAACAAAATTGATATATCTTCAGCCATACTTAGAAGAAAAGATTGAAGATACAAATAAAATCAGAAATGAAAAAGGAAACATTACCACTGATACTGCAGAAACTCAAAGTATCATTAGTGGCTACCATAAGCAACTATGTGCCAATAAATTGGAAAATCTAGAAGAAATGAACAAATTCCTAGACACATACAACCTACCAAGACTGAACAATGAAGAAACCCAAAACCTGAACAGATCAACATCAAATAATGAGATTGATGCCATAATAAAAAATCTCTCAGTAAAGAAAAGTCCAAGACTTGATGGCTTCACTGCTGGAATTTTACCAAACATTTATAGAAGAACTAATATCAATCCTATTCAAACTATTCCAAAAAATAGAGGAGGGAATAGTTTTAATCTCATTCCATAAGGCCAGTATTACCTTGATACCAAAACCAGAAAAAGACACATCAAAAAGAGAAAACTACAGGCCAATATATCTAAAGAATAGTGATGCAAACATCCTCAACAAAATACTAGCAAACTTAATACATTAGAAAGACCATCATCATGACGAAGTGGGATCCATCCGTGGGATGGTTCAACATATACAAATCAATCAATGTGATACATCATATCAACAAAATGAAGGATAAAAACCATATGATCATTTCAATTGATGCTGAAAAAGCATTTGATAAAACTCAACATCCCTTTATGATGAGAACCCTCAAAAAAATGAGTATGGAAGGAACATACCTCAACATAATAAAAGCCATATATGACAGGCCCACGGTAGTATCATATGGAATGGGGAAAAATTGAAAGCCTTTTTTCTAAGATTTGAAACACGACAAGTATGCCCACTTTCACCAATGTTATTCAACATAATACTGGAAGTCCTAGCTAGAGCAATCAGACAAGAAAAAGATATAAAGGGTATTCAAACTGGAATGGAAGAAGTAAAATTATCCTTGTTTACAGATGATAGAATCCTATATTTGGAAAAACAAGACTCCAGAGAAAAACTATTAGAACATATAAACAAATTTGGTATAGTTGCAGGATACAAAATCAACATACAAAAATCAGTAGCATTGCTATTTGACAACAGTGAACAATCTTAAAAAGAAATAAAAAAGTAATCCCAAATACAATAGCCACAAATAAAATTAAATACCTAGGAATTAACCAAAGAAGTGAAAGGTATCTACAATCAAAAGTATAAAACAGTGATGAAAGAAATTGAAGAGGACACCAAAAATGGAAAAATATTCCATGTTCATAGATTAGAATAATCTATATTTTTAAAATGTCCATACTACCCAAAGCAATCTACAGATTCAGTGTAATCCCTATCAAAATACCAATGATATTCTTCAAAGTAGTAGAAAAAAAATCCTGAAATTTATATGGAACTGCAAAAGATCCAGAATAGCCAAAGCTATCCTTAAGCAAAAAGAACAAAACTGGAAAAATCACATTACCTGACTTCAAATTATACTACAGAGCTATAGTAACAAAAACAGCATGGCACTGGCTAAAGAAAGACATATTGACCAATTGAATAGACTAGAGAACTCAAAAACAAATCCTTACATTTAACAGTAAACTCATTTTAGCAAAGGTGTTAAGAACATAAACTGCAGAAAAGACAGTCTTTTCAATAAATGGTGATGGGAAAACTAGATATCCATATGCAGAAGACCCCTATCTCCTGCCATATACAAAAATCAAATCAAAGTGGATTAAAGACTTAAACCTAAGACCTCAAACTATGAAACTACTACAAGAAAATATCGGGAACCTCTTTAGGACATTGGTTTGGACAAAAATTCTTTGAGCAATACCCAACAAGCACAGGTAACCAAAGCAAAAATGGACAAATGGAATCACATCAGGTTAAAAAGCTTCTGCACAGCTAAGGAAACAACAAAATTACAAGACTTCCCACAGGATGGAGAAAATATTCACAAACTACCCATCTGACAAGAGATTAATAACCAGAATATATAAGGAGCTCAAACAACACTATAGGAAAAAATCTAATAATCCAATCAAGGGTCAAAAGATTTGAATAGACATTTCACAAAGGAAGACATACAAATGGAAAACAGGCACATGAAAAGACACTGAATATCATTAATCATCAGAGAAATGCAAACCAACACTACAATGAAGTATCATCTCACCCCAGTTAAAATGGCTTTTATTTAAAAGTCAGACAATTACAAATGCTGACAAGGATGTACAGCAAAGGGAAGCTTCATACACTGTTAGTGGGAATGTAACTTAGTACAACCACTATGGAAAAGAATTGGGAGGTTCCTCAAAAAAACTAAAAATTGAGCTACCATATGATTCAGCAATCTCACTGCTGGGTATATACCGAAAAGAAAGGAAATCAGTATATCAAAAAGATATCTGCACTTCCATGTTTGCTACAACACTGTTCACAATAGCTAAGATTTGAAAGCAACCTAAGTGTCCATCAGCAAATGAATGGAAAAGAAAATGTAACACATATACACAGTGGAGTACTATTCAGCCTTAAAAACAAATTAGATCCTGTCATTTGCAACAACATGGATGGAACTGGAAATCATTATGTTAAGTGAAATAAGCCAGACACAGAAAAACAAACATTGCTGTTCTCACTTACTTGTGGGATCTAAAAATCAAAACAATTGAACTCATGGACATAGAGGATGGTTACCAGAGGCTGGGAAGGGTAGTGGGAAGCAGGGGGAAGTGGGGAAGTGGGGATGGTAAACGGATACAAAAAGAAAAAAATGAATAAGACCTACTATTTGATAGTACAACAGGGGAATATAGTCAATAATAACTTAATTGCACATTCTTAAATAACTACAAGAGTGTAATTGGACTGTTTGTAACACAAAGCATAAATGTTTGAGGGGATGGATACCCCCATTGTCTATGATGTGTTTATTTCACATTGCATGCCTGTATCGAAACATCTTATGCACCCCATAAATATACATACCTACTATGTACTCACAAAAATTTAAAATAAAAGAAAAACAGAGTAAGAAAAAGCCTTTTAGTTCTGAATTTGAATTGAAATTATCAGTATAAACTCATGAGGCATTTAAATGTTAAAGGTAGATACACATGCATACATTTCCTAGATCAGTCCACTAAAAAGTTCTAGAAACTACCACCAATCCAGAATCAATGAGCAACTCTGGGGCCCAGACTGATGTCACCACATAATTTCCCTTTAAAATAAACCATAACCTTTTAAAGAAATGGCTAATTTCAGGCTAGGGACAATAAATGTACAAGATTGACATGGAATATCTTTACATACCAGATAGCAAGAAAACTGTCAAAGACTATCAGAGTGATATCAAAAACAAAACAAAACTCAGGAGACAACTTAAAAATGGAATCCAACGGTTCCAAGATAGGAAATTTTGAGCTTTAATAATGCTAATATTGCAATGGATTGAAATCCATAAATCATGCTTAAATCCATCCATGAGTTCATAATAATATTTATGAACAAAAATACACATTTTATCATCATCTGGGAATGATAAGAAATTGATTCATTATCTTGAAAACTGAACAAATAAGGGGAAAAGACGAAGAATTTATCCTGTTTTCTCTTTGTGAACTGTACCAATGGGTAACCAAATAGTAGACGAGGGGAAGTATATTTTTGTAAAATTATTACAGCTAATAAATATAAGCAACTTGAAAAAATTAGAATACAACCCTGTATAATAAATTAAGAGATCCAGGTATGAGCATCAATAGCTGTTAACAACAATAGCCAAAAAAGAGCAAAAACCAGATATCATGTCTCCTGATAAAAGAACATACTACCACCTATAATACTGACAAAAGATTAAACCCCAATATCAACCAGTCTCTTGATCCAAATTCCAATTTGCAGGAAATATAAAGGATAGGGTGTCACGTAGACCTGTTTCATAAGTATGTAATCAAGAAACTCTGCCTATGGGAAATTCTCCAAGCCCAGTTATTTGAAAGATGGGAGAGAGAGATAGGGAGGGGGAGAGAGAGAGAGGAAGGGTGAGACAGAGAGGGAGAGGGAGAGAGAGAGAGAGAGAGAGAGAGAGGAGAGGGTGAAAGAGAGGGAGGGGGGAGAGAGAGAGAGGAAAATAGAAGAAGAAGAACAAGAAGAGGAAGAAGAAGAAGGAGAAGGAGAAGAAGAAGGAGAAGCAGGAGTAGGAGAAGGAGGAGAAGGAGAAAGAAGGAGGAGGAGAAGGAGGAGGAGGAAGAGGAGGACGAGGAGGAGGAAGAGGAGGACGAGGAGGGGGAGGAGGAAGAGAAAAAGGGAAGGAGGAGGGGAGGGAGGAGATTTTTTTGATTGATTCAAAAAATCAATCAGAGGAGGAGAAAGAGAAGGAAGGAAGAAGGAAAAAGAAGATGAAGAAGAAGGAGAAAGAGAAGAGGAGGAGGAGAAGGAAAAGGAGAAGAAGGAAGAAGGAAAAAGAAGACGAAGAAAAAGGAGAAAGAGAAAAGAAGGAGGAGGAGAAGGAAAAGAGACAAATTATAAAATTTTAATTGCAGATTAAAAGTGACATAAAAGGCATATGAATTTTTTTAATGGGCAAGACTAAACTATAGTGTTTAAGGATGCACACTTGCGTAATAAACCATAAAGATTTCAAAAGAAGTGATGACTGCAGAAGCCAGGATAATAATTACTTTTGGAAGGAGGATGAGACTGTGATGAGGAGAAGGTATTGGGGTTTCTGTAAATGTTCCAATTTTTTTTGTCCCAGATGGTGGTTACAATAATTTTCACCTTATGATAATTTGCTGATTATGTATTTTGGTGTGGTTTCTTATACCTGCATTTTATTTTACAATAAAAAGATCTAAAAATACTAATGCTGTTTTTAAGAACACAGATAACAGAGAAATACAGAAGCAACTTTTTAATCCCTGAATGGGTTAGGCAGGTATCTTGCAAGACATCAATTATGACCAAAAGCTAGTAAGAAAACTACTTAAAAGAAAAATAAAATTTCTCTGCCTAGGCCTATGACATTATTCTGGAATAAATACCTCAGACTTTGGGAAATATATTGTTGCATACATTTATGTCTAATATCTTGCACTGATCAAAGAATGGGTAGATATATGGGAAGAATAACCCAGCAGGTAGAATGTGAGATTTTTCCAAATAATCATGGTCATTTCGCCTGGTAGATGAAGGAAAGCTCCCTCTTGCAAAGGAAGAAGAGGCAGGCTTCCCATCTGAAAAAGCTAAAAAAAAAAAAAAAAAAAAGGACAAAATAAACCTAAGGCAAGCAGAAGGAAAGAAATAATAATGATAAGAGCAGAAATTAGTTAAGCCAATGAAAAAATAAGGATAATCAATGAAACAAAGAGCTGGTTCTTAGAAAAGATCCAAAAAAATTGACACACTTTTTCAAGACTGATAAAAATTACCAGTACCAATGATTAAACAGGGGATATGACTTACAGATTTTGCAGACATCAAAAGGACAATAAGAAAATACTATGAACAACCCCACACACATCAATGTGGTAATTTACAAAAAGGGACTAATTCCTCAAAACCACAAGCTACAAAATTCACCCAATATAAAACAGACAATTTGAATAGCCCTATAACTATTAAGACAGTTGCATTCATGATTTTAATACTCCCAAAAAGAAATCTCCAGGTCCAAATGGTTTCACTGGAGAATTCCACCAAATACTTAAAGAAAACTAACGTCAATTCTATGCAATATCTTTCATAATATATGAGAGGAGGGTACACTTCTACATTCATTTTGTAAAGCTAGTACTACCCTGATACCAAAACCAAACTAAAACAGCAGAAGAGCAAACAAAGAAACTACAGACCAATATCCTCAAAAATATAGATACAGAAATTCTTAACAAAATATTACCAAATAGAATTTAATAATATGTAAAAAACAATTATACATTATAACAAAGTGGGGTTTATTTCAGGGATGCAAGGCTAGTTCAATATTCAAAAAATCAGTCAGAGTAGACTACTACATTAACAAGCTAAAGAAAAACAGCACATTATTATATCCAATGCAGAAAAAGCATTTAACAAAATCCATTTATGACAAAACCTGTGAGAAAAATAGGAATAGAGGAGAACTTCCTCAACTTTATCCACAAAGAGCATCTACTAAAAAGCATATAGTCTATATTACATTTGATAGTGAGACTGAATGCTTTCCCTCTAAAATCAGGAGCAAGGCAAGGATGTTCATTCTCACCACTCTTATTCAACATAGTACTGAAAGTTCTAGACAGTGTGATAAGGCAAGAAAACAAAATAAAAGGCATACATATCGGAAAGGAAGAAATAAAACTAGCCCTATTTGTACATGACGTGATTGTCTACAGAGAAAATCTCAAGAAATTTACAAAACCTCCCATAACTAACACGTGAGCTCAGAAAGCTGACAGGATACAAGACAAACATACAAAAAAAAATTGTATGTCTATAATGTCTATAATAAATAGTAATAAACATGTGAACACTATAATTAAAGTACAATACCACTTAATTGATCAAAAATGAAATATTTAGGAATAAATCTAACAAAATATGTATAGGACTATATGTTGAAAACTTCAAAACTCTGATAAAATAAACCAAAGAAAATCTAAATAAATGGAGCAATACACCATGTTTATCTATAGGAAAACTCAACAAATTGATATATAGGTTGAACACAGTTCTTATCAAACCCCTAGCAAGATTTTTTGTACATATAGAAAAGAGCTTTCTAAAATTTACATGGAAAGGCAAAGAAATAGAACAGCTAAAACAGTTTTCTAAAAAAAAAAAGAGCAAAGTGAGAAGAATCAATATAACCAATTTCAAGACTTTTATTATATAGCTATAGTAATCAAATTGAATGAACCTGCCTCACTGTTATTCTGATCTTTCCTATTTCAAGAAATGGCAATGATTTCTGATTAAAGTGACTTCTCACTATTACATGTATTTCTAATAGACATTAATAGCACATTACACATATTAGATCCATTAAGTGAAACACACATCAGCAAATTTGTGTGCTGCATGCCTCGAATGGAGCAGACATGATAGCATACTTGATTAAAATACTGGGTAAAAGTGCTTGTATCCAAGAAATCTCTAGTACAGATTTCATTTAGTTTATGTATATATAAATTATATTAACTGCTTTGGTTTCTAAGTGTTTACGTGTGATGCTACAGTGATTTTCAGCAACCGGTACCTCTACTACATTTTTCATGCCACTACAGACTAGATATGTCTTCAAAACATAAATTTAACAGCAGAATTTTATCTAATCTTCTGGCTGCTATCTATAAACCAAACACTTCAATAATGTTTTCTACATTCAAACAAAACTACTACAGTTTTTGCATTGGAAATCTTAAAGACAAAACTAGGCTTTAATTGCATTCTCGCTGATCCTGATTATTTGAAAAGCATACAAAAGTTTACTTATAGTAAATGCTTAAATCTTACATTTATTTGCATTTGTTTTAAGGCCAGAGATTTATTGAAACAATATCAAAAAAACATTTTTAAACTTTAGTAAATACAGTATCTCATTTTATAAAGCAAAATACTCAAAATTTGTGCCAGTTTTCCTGTGGTTTGTAAAATCTGGTGTACAGTATGTTTGGTGAGTAAAGCCAAATCACTGGGACAGAAAATACAGTCCCAAGCTAATACATCACTTTACCATCTAGCATTTATCAAACACCTAGGAGGAAGCAGGAAAACAGTGCTAGGCATGTTTTACATTTTAAGGTAGCAAATACATTGAAACATTCTCTTAAAGTTAGCTATCTTTCTCTGAAATAAACAAATTCTCATTGTAAAAAACAAAAATAGGAAATTTCTTGAAAATGACATGAAAATAAATTGCCAGAGAGGTTTATCTGTGATGATTTTCTGCTTCCTGAATAGGGAAAAGTGGAACATATTCCTACTGTCACAATCCCTTTCAGCTATGTGACTTCAGTCACACAGATATTTAAAAAGCAGAATTTGAAACAGTTAAGCCTTACAACATGAGCCTAAGCCCTGGGCATTCTTACTTCCTGATTTTTTTCATGCCAGGACATTATTTGAAATACATTGTTTGACCTAGTTATAGACATTCTGATGGACAGCACTAAGAGGTTGTCAAGTTTATTAATTCTTTCTCCCTTTTTTCCTATGACATTTTATGTTTATTTCCTTCTGATTTCCAAAAGTCACCTTTTTGCAAGAGACTACAATTTCCTCCGTTAATTGTGTGTGTGTGTGTGTGTGTGTGTGTGTGTGTGTGTGTGTGTGTGTTTTGAGGCAGAGTCTCACTCTGTCACCATGCTGGAGTGCAGTGGCGCGATCTTGGCTCACTGCAACCTCCGCCTCCCAGGTTCAAGTGATTCTCCTGCCTCAGCCTCCCCAGTAGCTGGGATTACAAGCATGCCCCACCATGCCCAGCTAATTTTTTATTTTTAGTAGAGATGGGGTTTCGCCATGTTGGCTAGGATGGTCTCGATCTCTCTACCTCATGATCCACCTGCCTTGGCCTCCCAAAGTGCTGGGATTACAGGCATGAGACACCGCACCAAGCCAATTCTGTATATTTTTAACTAAACTCACAAACTTAATGTACCAAGTAACTTGTAACACTGATCAGCATGTTATGAAGTCACTAGATGTGTACTGAAACCTGTTTCCAACATGAGTTGTCATCTTGTAATAATCAGATAGTTAAACTCAATACATAATCTAATTATCGCACTCATTTTATAAATTCATCTAGCCTAAACTTTGGCTATGAATCACTCTACTTGTCAAGACACACTGATTAAAGTAAAAAGGATATCATATGTGACAAGGAATGTGTCAAAATATAAAACATTCACTGTTTTATATTATCAGGTATGATTCTTCACCGAAATCAGCAAGGCCTGCTTGAATTTAATTCCCCTGAGGGCAAGACCTTTATCTCATTCACCACTCTATCCCCAGCACCTAAAACAGAGTCTGGCACATATCAAGGGTTCATTACATATGCACTAGTTAAATGACTTACTAGTGAATTCATAAATAAATGAAATCCATAATAATTGATACCTGTATCGATAATGCCTCATGTAAATACTTAAAACTTTAATGCATAGAGAGACAGCATAAAATAGCTGTGAGTGTTAAAATTTTTTTAAATACCCAGAGTGAGTGAAAATGTAGAAAAATGAAAGAGGAGCTATCATCTGCTGCTGGTGAAAATGTAAATTAATAAATTTGTGGAGGATAATTTACAATATATGCTGTAAGTTTTACATCCAAAAACTCTATGCTTACAAATTTATCTTAAGAAAATGATCAGATTTGGGCATAAAGATTTATTGACAAAGATAGTAGAATTTTTATAATAATAATAAAATTAAAATGTTCTATACATCCAAAATAATGGAGTGGTTAATTAAATTATAGCATACCCAAAGAATGGAATATTATGCAGCTAGTAAAAATTGTCATTCAGTGAAATTAAAAAGATGTACCATCAATTTTTTAAATTCAAAATGCATATTAATAAAAAAGAGTGGAAAACACATAAAAATACTAAGTAATCTGTTGCTTCTTGGTAGAATTACAAGTGATATGTATTTTCAGTATTTTGTAATTGCTCTTTTCAATATTTTCTAAATTTTCTACAAGGAAAAAATGTTTACTGTTAGGGTAAGATTATTTTAATAAAATTAATTTAAAATCAAAACACAAAGGAAAAAAACTAGTATTAAAACCAGAAAGACCTAGGTTTGAAATTAGGCTTGGGCACAGCTTCCTCAACCCTCTCATCCTGTTTCTTCATGTATGTAACACTGTCTACATTGCAGGGCTTAGCATAGTGCTGTGCACATAGTAGATAATCAATAAATGATGCCCCAAAATAACTACATTCAGTTAATATGAGACATAAGGATTTGTAAATGAAGACTATGAAATATATTTTTGCAAAAATTTCCCTTTTAATACCTTTATCCTTACCAAAAATTTATTTCATTGCCTGTTGCATGGGTCAGTTCAAAAAACAATTAATTACATATGGAAGGATTATATGAAGTTGCAATCACAGCAATTACTAATGTAGTTCACCAATACATTTTTGAGCATATTGCTCAAATGCTTAAAATGTGGTTTTTAAAAAAAATCTATCTAAAACATTTTATAACTGGCTAGCTTTTATGACAATTTAAATTTTTCCATATGGCCAACAGCTGACAGTATTATGCCAGCTTTAATGTTCCTCTCTTTTTTTATATAAATATGCACTTTCAAAAACAGATTTAAATTATTGAGAAGAGAACCATGAATTTTTATAGAGTTCGTGTTGACATAGGGCTTTGTAATACTTAAACTAAACCTTTATGGTATATCGTTTACGTCACTTTTCTCCATTGCACAAATGAAGCTTTAACTCTATGCGATTGTTGAAGAAGTGGGTTTAAAGTCTCTTTAACATGATTGATTCTTCTATAACAAATGTGCTAACAGCCTACATCAATCTGGGCTTTTGACCTTTGAAGATCCAGACTTAGAGTTTGAGTATCTACATTTGGGTCTTAACCCCATAACTTCTAACTTAGTTTTAGCATGAGGATCAAATAAGCTCAAACACAAGCGAGCACTCTGTCAATGGTAAAAGCATATTTATGGTCTCTCGGCCCCAGCTCTGCATGAAATTGTGGTTCTGTACTCATGCGAGCTTGGGAAACTATTTCCATGTTGGAGAACCACAGGTACATTAGCACAAATAACCTGTCATTCTCAAGGTTAGAGAAGCGTTTGCTGGAGAGTGGTAGAAATAGCTCAGAACTGCCTAGAGAATGTTATCAGAATAAACATGCAGTCTCATTCCCCTCCACCTCCCATAACTACCGATCAGATCTGGACTCACCCTTGAGGTGAAGATATATTGTTGAAGTGAGGAAAAGAAACCTGTTTTTCAAAAGTATCTTAAGGGTTTCTGATATATGGTTATGCCATGAGTACCTGATATATGGTTATGCCATGAGTACTAAGGATGATAATTTCTACATTACCATATGGTCTTGACTTTATAATTCCATTATTTTGCATACTGTTTCGAGTAATATCTATTAATGCCCCCACAAAATTTGGAATTGTGATTCTTTCTCAATTCTGTTTTTTCTACCCATTTCTTTCTTCTTCACTTCACTGAGGCTTCTGGGACAAAATACAACCATTATTCACTTTCTGATGTAGTGAGACATATTTTCACCAAAATGACAGACTGGATGTTCAGGTGAGAGTAACTGCAATATCTTGAACATAGTAGGAAATAGATAATAATTTAATATGATTTACTTGATATTTTAAAGTAGCAACTTTACTGAGATATAATTCACACACTCTTTCACCCATTTAAAATATACCATTCAGTGACTTTTGGTATATTCAGAGTTTTGTGATCACCACAATCAATTTTAGCACATTTCAGCATCTCCAAATAAAACACTGTATCCATTAGCTATTACTTTCCATTTCCCCTCAACGTCCACATTTGTGTACACATTTCTGTTTGCAAATATATTTTAAATCCCTGTGGGCATTTGCCTAGGAGTAGGATGATGGGTCATACCGTCACTCTATGTTTAACCTTTTGAGGAACTGTCAGATTGTTTTGACAGCCATTGTGACTACTAATTCCTACTAATAAATATAATTGTTGCAGGAAAATCTATATAAAAATGATAACTAGTATGTAAGTCTCTGAAAATAAAATCCCCTCTAAAGCTGCATGATTTTACATTCCCTCTAGCAAAGTATGAGGATTTCACTTTCCACATTCTCATCAACACTTGCTATTGTCTGTCCTTTTTATTATAGTCATCGGAGTGAGTATAAAGTGGTATCTCATTGTGGTTTTGATTTGCATTTCCCTAATGGCTAAGAACGCTGAGTATCTTTTTGTGTTTTATTGGCCATCTCTATACCATTTTTGGAGAAGTGTCTATTCAGAATCTTTGCCCCATCTTCAGCTGGATTATGTCCTTTTATTATTGAGTTGTAAGAGTACTTTATATATTCCAGATACAAGTCTTCTATCAGATATTTGCTTTTTTTCTCCCATCTGTGTGTTGTCTTTTCACTTTCTTGATGGTATCCTTTAAGCACAAAAGTTTTAAATTTTTAATGAAGTCCAATTTATCTATTTTCCTTTTTGTTGCTTGTGCTTTTGGTGTCATAACTAAGATGTCTTTGCCTAACCCAAGGTCACAAGATTTACTTCTCTGTTTTCTTCTAAGAGTTTATAGTTTTGCTCTTACATTGAGGTCTATGATGCATTCTGAGTTACTGTTTTTCAAAAGTAGGTCCTTTTACTTATAAAGTCATTAAAATACATTGATTTGTGTAAATGTGATCAACAGAGATTATGTCCCATTTCAAGGATTAACAACTGGGAAGAGGAAAAAAAGGCAATCCAAAAACATGCTATGAAACAGTATTTCCAATTTATGGAGTCCCTGAAGGATATATTCTGTATCCTCTATGTCATGAGCATTAAAGCAATCTACTCATTGAGGCTGATTCTTAATATGTGTTTTGGCATGGACTTCTTTGGGTTTTCCTATTTGGGGTCAGCTCAGCTTCTTGAATTTGTTTGTCTTTTGTAGGTTTTTGTAGGTTTGTGGGTTTTGTGGGTTTGTCTTCTGCCAAACTTTAGAAGTGTGCAGCTCTTATTATATATCTTCAAATACTTTTTCAACACCATGCTTTTTCTCCACTCCTTCTGGGACTTAGTTGATATGATTATTAGATCATTTTTTTACAGTTACACAGGTCCCTGAGGCTTTGTTCACTATTTTCTAATCTATTTTTTCTCTGTTATTTAGATAGGATGATTTCTATTGTTGTATTTCCAAGTTTGCTAATTCTTCTCTTTGTCTTTTCCATTTTACTGTTGAGCCCATCCAATGACTTTTTAATTTTATTTATTGTATTTTTCAGTTCTAACATTTACTTTTGGTTCTTCTTTATATATCCTATTTTTCTGCTGATACTTTCCATTTTTTCATTTGTTTCAAGTGTGTTTATAGTTGCTCCCTGAAGCATTTTTATGATGGCTGCTTTAAAATCCCTGTCAGATCATCCCAACATCTATGCCATGTTGGTGGTGTCTTCTGTTTCAAGTTTAGGTTTTCCTGGCTCCTTGGTATGACAAGTGATTTTTACTGTATTCTGGACATCATACTTATTATCATATTAGACTTCGGATCTTTCTTAAATCTTATGTTTTAACAAGTTTCCTCTGACACAACACTACAGGGGAAGGGGATGCTGCCTCATTTCTGCTGAATGGCAGTGGAAGTTCAGATTCCATTCATACCACCATGGAAAGAGAGTGGTTCATGACCTCCGGGAAAAGACGCAAATCCTACTTTCTACTCTCTGACACACCCCGGCAACCAGTGGAAGAGGTACCTCATTACCTCTAGGTGAGGGTGGAAGTCCAGGCTTCCCACTCAGCCTTTGCTGACAAGGGTCGAAATAGGACTACCATTTTTTTCTGTGATGTATGGATAAAGTAGGGCAGCAATTTTCCAAAATGTTTGTTTTGCCAGCATGAGCTTTTCCTGGTTCTTTGGCTAAATAGACAAGACTTTTATTGGAGCTTTTTTTGTTTGTTTGCACTTTTAGCATTTCTATGTTACTGCCCTCTGGGATATATGTGGCAAAAATAAAACTCAGGGAGTTCACTGAGATGTTGTTCCTCAAGTTCCAAGGTCCCTAATTCATCTGTCTTCTCTCCATCCTTCAGACTTTGCTTGTGTTTACTTTATGCATAATGTTCATAATTTGTAATAGCATTTAGCAGAAGGAATAGAGAAGAGTGTGTGTATCTTATCTTTTTCAGAACCAGAATGTAATATATTTGATGTGAATGTTCTCTATATGTTTATTATTTCTCTAAAAATTTTTATGGTCTGATACTATTGTGATTTCACTCATTCAGGGCTCACTTAGAAATGTTTTTCATTATTACTATATCTTTGCATATTTCTCTGAGAAATTTTAATTTTATCATTAAAATTTTCATAATCTCCATAGCACATCCAATTGCATTTTTGCCACAAATCGATGTTTGCCACATATCTATGTGGCATAGATATGTTTGCCACAAATCTATGTGGAAGGTATAACATCCACAGCCACAAAACCCAATTTTAATGAAAGTACAAAGGTAGTATATGATCATTCCACATGGGTGAAGGATAAGATGCTACTCATCATATCTTGCATAGACTTTTTCCAAATGCACACGACCAGAGCTTGATTATTCTCTTAATTTCAGCCTCACCTGAACAGATGTTCCTAGTTGATTTTCTTCTACTTGTGCACTGATAGTCTCATTTATTCTGATTATCATTTTGTGTTTTTATTGAGCATGATCTTCTATTTGCTCATTTTCATTCCCCATTCCTGTTTGAGCACCTCCATCATCTTTCACACAGTTTGCTTTTGATGTCTGAAAAAGCCAATAATACCCACAAATCTGCTGTGGCTCAGATGCTCACTACAAAAGTCTTTTCCTTTTCAGTCCATCTCCTGAAGATATTTTCCTGGCAGGCAATAAAACAACTTTAGAGAAATAATGTCGCATTTACTTCTCTCCACTTAATTTGGTTTTTAATTCTTTCTCATCTTGGGAATTTGTATGGGAGAAAAACTTCATTGTTTTGAGCCTGTCTCATGAACTAAACATAACCTTTGACAACATTTCAGTGATACAATGCTCATTTGGAAATTTTACTAAAAATGTAAAACCTGTTTGGTGCGGCATGCTTTGCTAACCATTGTTACTTTCACATCTGCAATATTTTGAGACAAAGGATTATAAAATCCAAGTAATCTTGTCCCTGGCTGTTCTTTTGGTTAGCAAAGGGGTTTCATAAAACTTAGTAGGAGGTAATATAAATTCACACAAGTAAACTAACACAAACTGATTTGAAGTCTCCATACCACCACTCCTTTTATTTTCTCCAATCACCTGGGAAAGGGTAAAATAACTAAAAAACAAACAGAAACATCAAGCCTTCTACATTGTTTTTTCCTGTTCCTGGCATGAATAGAATTGCTACTGAAATTCTCTTGGCTCTTATGATGTCATGATAGAAATGCCCTCTCACAGATCATTCCCATTTGTCTCCTTCCCTGCCTGCTCTGTAGTTGAAATAATTCTTTTCAAAAATAATTTATAAATTGTTTTGTATGACACCAGTGACATTTATTACAGGCATCAAGTTCAGCAAAAAATAACAAAGTATTTCTACTTAATTCATTTATCAAATGCTAAGGGCTATGGTAAGAATTTAGAGGTTATGTCACTTAGCATCTTACAGTGAGTAGAACAATTTTGTTCCCAGTCAGATGAGTTAACTTGGAAGGCACTGGTCAACAAGAAGTCTGCCAGAAAAGAAAGAATGGTGGCATTGAACAGAGAAGTTCCAGACAGAAGCCAAAGAGGAACCACAGTACAGTTAGTTGATTTGATTTGTTGTCATTCTTTCCTTTAATTTTAGAAAGTGGTTATTTTCCATTATTTCTTTAAAATTGTTTTACTTGGGTTTTTTTTTTTTTGCAAATTGTTATATCACATGGGTAAAACTGATTCTTTGATTAAATCTAACTCTTCAACCTTAATTATTATTTAACTGGTATACCACTATATACACACTAGGATTATATTTGAAAGGTAGGTCGAAGCCATGTGCAATTTTCCTAACTGTACTGCACACCATAAAGTTTTAATGTAATGCAAGTATTTCCCCAAGTACTTTTCTCCACTGGAATTATATCAGAAGAATTTATCATAACAGGATGTGTTTGTAGAACTCAGCATCTCTCTGTAAGACAATGGGATTCCTTTTCCTCCCTCTTTGCCTCTACTCATTTGAGAGCATTTTCAAAACCATAGAAATCAGTCTCTGCTTTAGTTTCATTGATTCCACCCAATGTAAGAAAAAAACAATTGTTTCATAAAACTGGAGCATCACTCTCTTATCAACTTCCACACTTACTATACTTACATCTGTAGCTGTAAAACTGGCCATACCATGTTTTAGATGTAGTGATGCTCAACCTCAAAGGAGAAAATATTCCAAGATCTGTATTAAATGACATCTTAAATTGAACTATTTTAAATTGAACTATCCTAACTCAGGTTCCAACATTAATTTTTAATATATTATGGGTATTGTGGGTTAACTAAAGAAAAAATTATCTGGGCAGAAATGAAGCTCTTCAGTGGTCCTCACAAATGAGAAAGGATTCTGAAACCGATAAGCAGGAATTTCTACATACTGGGATCTTGAGGAATGAGTGAGAGAGATGTCACTTGGAAATGTAACAAAGACCACTAATGAGTGAAGGCTCTTACTAAAGTCACCTGAAGCACCCTGTTCAAAGGGATCACTAGCTGAAGAGATAACATTGTACCATCATGTAAACTGGCCTTTGACTATTACTAAGAATTCTCCACTGTACCAACCCCACACTGGCACCTGCCCTCAAGAGCCTTCTCTTCTTGCAAAGTGGGAAAGTAGGAATTATTCATTCCTCATGCTTAATGCATTCGTATTAATTCTTCACATACTATTCAAACACTTTCATGTTGATAGTACCTTGAGGTTTTTGATGTTTATTTCTGTGCATTTTCTTGTCTCCTGGCCCACATATTCCCTTTTCTTCGTCCATCTGCCTTTATTTCTCCCACCATATCTATCTATATCTTGCAAAGAAAAGGGACTTTAACATTTTCGCTTGCAGTACTCTTTCCCTAGAATCGGTGCCAACAAATTGCAACCATTGACGGGCCCTGGTGTGCTCATACGCTTCTGTACATCACCACTAGAAACAGTAAGAGACGACAAGCAACTGCAGATTGAGCATCTAGTGTGGATATATAGAGCTAACATCCACCACTTGGCAAGCTGTGTTCAGGGAGGCTTACTTAGCTCTCATTCCGGGATTATTATAAAAATAAATCTTTTAACATTTGTTTGGGATTAAAAGTGAGGGAATCTAGACTCACATTTTAAAATGCACATCCTGATGAATAATAAATACACTTAGTAAATATACATTAAGGGAGAATTATATTTTCTGCAGCTTGTTGTGTTTCACTGAAGGCATTCTCCACATAACAATGAATTAACAGAACCCAAATATCAGACCAAGATTGGAGTAGGGCGTGTCTAACTTGTAAATTTCTAAATACGTTAGAAATTTAAAAGAAAAAATGCCTAAAACAAGAGCAGACGAAAATGAAGGAGATGCGAGGTATTTATGAGAGGAAAGAGAGGCCTGAAAGACATTCCAGGGCAACGGATAGGAGGCTGTCTGGGTTGTGCTGGAAAAAGCACCAAGATCAGAGCAAACAATGTGAGTTCCAGTCTTACCTTGGCCACCAATCCTCTGCCTTGGATTCCTCTACTGCAAAAGGGTATTAGAATGCCTGTGAGGATCACAAGACCTCATGGATACAGAATGACATGCAAACTATTTGACTGACACATGTGTTTGACAACCATGAAAGAAGGATAGAGATCCTACAATTTCAGGATCAAGGGAACATCTAAGAAAATGAATCTGTGAGGTTAGCCATAAGCAAATCTGAAAAATTAACTTTCAACCCCTTTAGCTTCTCCCATTTTCCTATATTCATTTCCACTAGTCCTTCCCTTCCAACCCCTCCGTGATGGTCCACTCATGCTGCCCACCTTCCCTCTACTTAGTTTTCCCCTCATCCACACTCCCCTATCCAGCCTTGTCTGTTGGACAACACTATCTCCAGCTGACCACATCCAAGTTTAATTGTCCTCTAATACTCTCTTTTCTCTGGACCCCATTCTCTGTTAATGCAAATCTGATGAACACACGGGCTCAGGAGTTAGCGAATCTAGGGTGAAACCATAACTCTTCGTCAACTATAAAACTTGGCAAAATAAAATAAAATAAAATAACACCCTAAGTGCCTTTGTCTCCTCATCTGTAACCTAACAATAATAATAGCACTGACCTCATCGCACTCGTCTGAGGTTAAATGAGAAAATAAGGGTAAAGCCTCTAGTGCAGTAACTGGCACATAAATAGTCAGTTAGTGTTAGGTATTATTGGGGCTCATATGTTACTGATGGATATCAGTTTAATGCCCCCGCTCCAAAGCAACTCTTGATTTTATCAGTAGCCTTAATATTAAAGGACAGCACAATTGTGTGATTTTTAAATGCCATGACAAGGTGCGGATTCTTGATGGCAGGGGACATGGTGCCCTTGGACCAGGCTACCAAACTTTCAGTGCAGGATGTTCCATCACACTAGACCAGCCCTGCTTGCTGTGGCTGCTATCCTGTAGTGTCTCCTTCATTTACATAACAACAGAAAATGCAGGAACCCGCACCAGAAGACAGACGAGAATATTGGGATATTGTTTACTCTGGGGCCTTGTCAAATGATCTGCTCTTTATCCAGAACTGGGTAAATATAAATATTTTTGCAGAAACAAGTAAACACTGTACTGTGCAGTGATTTCACAAACAACTATTTAATAGTCCATTACCAGCTTTTCCAGGCAAACAATCACCAAACCTCCTTTTTCATGGAAAGGGCTGTCGTCGCCTTGTTTATGGCTTGGTAGGGTGAAGGTGTTGGGAAGGCAGCAGGTACAAAACAGGTGACGCTAAAATTACTTGTCCCTCTTTGAAGCTTTTCAGGTAAGCTGTGTCCAGACTCAAGGACACTGTGTTAAGACTGACTCCTGTGTCGCCCCTGAAAAGCCCTGGGAATTTTAATTGAAATTACTTTTCAGCACTGGCACTCTGCCTTATTTGCAATTTGTATTATGAAGGACAATGCTAAATAACAAGGGTGACTTTTTTTGAAATACGGACTCCAAAACTGTATGTTGGCAACCCTCCCCTCCTCACCTAAGAAATAAACACAAGATTTCTTTTTTCCTTTTTTCACTAAAGGACAGTAAACATCTTTGGTTATCGATATTCAAAAGCCAACTAAAACAGCGTGGCAAGCTGGAGTGGGAGAAGGTCCCCAAAGTAGAAGGCTATTCATGGAAATGGAAACAAGCAGAAGAACAAACAGAAAAATCTCCATGTTTTCATCCTACATTTCAAAGCTGCATTGAAACCGCAGTTCCTCTCGTCACAAGGCATTTCCTAAAAATTCATGAAACTCTTTAAAACAGGAAGTTCACACTTTTACTTTTTCAATATGATTCTTCCCCCTCAGTTCTACTTTAGCTCATTTACTCACTTAACAGAATACTTTTTAAACTAAGAACTGATACTTCCCATAAATATCTTTCCTGCAAAGCACCCCCAACCTCACCCCAGAGCAGCCCTCTCCCTTGCGCGGTTTTCCAAGCGGTGTCCTGCTGCTTTCCTGCGACTTAGGACTGGTTTTCCCTAGAAGGTAATACCAGATGAACAAGATGTAGCATTTCAAAAATGCAACCAAGTGAGGGAATACGTAATGCTTAGCTAATTATGAAATTTGATGGCATCTTAGGGGAAAAATATCAAATCCTGCTATTGAATAGAAGCAATCTCAATAAACCTCCAACTTCTTAATGTATGAACATGGAAACCCTTTGCTCAGGGCCCAGATACGTGCCAGAGATAATACGCCAAGAGAATAATTATTTCCCCGCGATGGGCTACTCTGATTATCTATCCCATTATGAATCAAGCCCTTGAAAATCCAAAGGTAAGCAGCAGTTAAACAGCTATAAACAGTGGTTAATGAGAATTTTGAGGAAATATGATGGGTGACAACACTGTGAAACCCACTGCAGAAATGAGTTCCTAAGTGTGAAAAATATATGGTTTCCTGAACTTCAGACCCTATATGCCCTCTCTCCTTTTCCTTCTCCCACCCTGCGTCCATCCCTCCAGTTTATTTTTCTTTCTCCTTGCTTCCCCTGTCTCTTTTCCTCTTCCCATCTTTGTCTCCTCCACTTTCCTTTTAACTCCACACCTCACCACTTCACTCTCCCAAAGACTTGTCACAATATTCACATGGACGTTTACCGTAAGCATATTTGATTCCTTGTTGGTATTTTTTAAATCAAATTTAACTCTTTCATATCACACTCTTTCTGTGTCCAAAATAAAACCAAGTTAAGATGCTTTATATTTTCCTATGATATCCCTGTTTATTTGAAAGCCATTAGCTACTGATGGGGTGGGGGTACGGGAGACAGAATAAAATTAATGATTCTGACTCTAAAAAAAATACTAAAGCTCTAAAAGCCTCTTTGAATTAGGTTCATTTTGTTCCATCTGCCTGTTTCTCAACTTTTTTTTTAACATTTGTTCATCATAAATTTATTGAGTACTTAATGTTTGCCAGGAAGTTTAAGCATACAAACAATAGGTTGGTGGAAAGATTATAAGGAAAGGGGGAAGGTTTTTATACATTTTTACTTTTTCCTCCAAAATTTATTCCTTATCTTTTCTTTGCAAGAAAACCAGTACAGAAAAAAATCAAAGGGCAAGAACACACACACACACACACACACCACACAAATCATACATACCAAACACATCACACACCAAAAACACACCACACACACCACACACCAAAAACACACCACACACACCACACACAAAAAACACACCACACACACCACACACATCACACACCAAACACACACTATACACACACTGCACGCCACACACACCTCACACACCACACACCATACACCCCATACAGACCCTACACACCATGCACATACGACATACTACACACACCATACACACCACCATACACCACACACACACCATATACACACTGCACACCACACACGCCTCACACACACACCGCACACCCCAAACATACCACACACCCCACACCATACAGACCCCACACACCAAGCGCATACCACATACCAAACACACCACACATCACACTCACACATACACACACCATACACATACACTGCACACCATACACACCTCACATACACCACACACCCGAAACATACCACACACACCACACACCATGTACACCATACACCCACACACACACCAATCACACACCCATACACAGATCACACCACACACACACCACACACACACACACACACACACACACACACACACAAAGCCAAGCATGTATGAACTTCCACTTTCCTCCGTTCCCCAGTTCCTGCCTCTATGTAGACTTCACTCTGAAATTTGACTTCCCTCTAGGCACACTGAAGGGGAAAAATATAGGGCAGAAATAGTACCCAGAGGCCAAATTCTTTCCTTTCCAAATCTAAGAACTTTGAGCAAGATGTTGGTACTCTTGCTCAAAGTACAGATGGTGGTACTCTAAGAGACATGGAGTATATGACCACATGCTCTGCAAGGTAGATGCCATTCTGTCAACTGAGTTTCAGAGGTGGAACACTTGGCTCAGCAGGTACGCAGCAGATCCTAACCCAGCTATCTGACTGGGAGAGCCATGTCCTTGCCATTCTTCTCCATCGCTGCCTTCTGGGCCTTCACAAACTCCAGCTGATTCCTTAACACTCAGGTTACATTTCTTTCCTACTTGAGTGATCCTACCCTTTCTTTCCTCAGAGCCCTGTTTCCATTATAACACTTATTATATTGATGATAAGTATTTCCTTCTCTGTCACCTTAACCACTCACATACGAACTGCTTGAGGGCGCAGTAGCCCTCCTGGCCATGTTTGTAGCTCTCAAGATCCTTCAGATGGTGCCTTACAAAAATTCATTCAATAAATGTTGGTTTCATCTAATTAAATTAACCATGAAAGTACAGTAAAGAATGCTGGGTTTAGAAAAGCTGTTTTATTCTACAAGAATAAGTCGCAAAGCAGTTAGATTATCACAGAAAGAAAAGAGACACAAAGTCCAAATAGCACTTACATTGCCTCAAACTGAGAGATCTTTCAAGAGGAACCTGTAAGAGATGCAAACACAAAGACAAGAGAACCCAGTGGATGGATTTGGGGTTGCAAAGTTGATAAATAAGGCAGAAAACGTGTATTGGTCAAGACTGACAAGACAACTGCTGAAGTCCTCAGAAGAAAAGTAATGAAGAGATGTTCTCTCATCAGGGTCCCCGGCTAACGTCCATCAGTGGGGGTTCTAACATTACACCAGATTCACTGGCCATCTGAAAGCCCCATAATTTCGGACGCAAGTTGCCCTTACACACACTTAGAACTTTTCCAAGCAGTTGTTTTCATTCAGCTTAAGGTGACAGGTGCAGAAGAAAATCCTTACTCTTTTACCCTTAACCGAAGCTCGAGCAGATCTTTAAATCAGTCTCTCTGAATTGAATCACGCATAAATAATAAACATAACCTTCACTCTCAAGTGATATCACGTCTCTTAAGACTTTCAATTTTCTAATACTTCCTTTAACATATTCTTTAAACCGATTTTTTAACGCGATGAACTCTTATCATTGAAATTATGTAACTGTGTCTGAAATTTTTTATCTTAATTGGAAGAAAATATCATTGGTTTTATCTGTAATGATTTTATGTATGCTACTTTAATATTTACCTTAGTTTTCCTACACAGAGGATTGAAAACTCAATTTTATAGGTCTGAAAGTAAGAAAATAGACTTAGTAAGCTAATTTATTTAGAATGGTGGGGAAATGCAGTATTCTGATTAATTCAATGATCTAATTAACTGAGCAACTCTGCTCACCAAAAAATTGAAGGCTGATTCTTAAAAAATTAGTACGATACTCCAACAAGACATAATATACAACTTTATCTGTTTTGATTTCATTGGGGCATTGAGCTCTTACAGAGTCGTTCATTACAAACTTTACAAATTCTTACTATATAGTGTTTCTGAGGTAGAAGTTGTAAAATTCTAGCCATTATCAGTGAACAGAAGGGGCAGAGATGATTTTAACAAACCAAGGTTTCAAATTCTAGACAAAGCTCGGGATAGACAGTTTATTTCAGGAACCTCCTTCCCACCTTCATCAGTGTCTTCATTCCTCATTCTCTTTTCGTCCTCCCATTTCCTGTCCCCATTCCATCCTCCAAATTCCTCTAACCTCCTTTACATTCCAGCTAACAACTGCTGAAGTACTAAGCAATAACTAATATATTAGTTAATAAGCGATGAAAATGAGATAACCATGATTCAAGGAATATCTGTACTCAGTGAAGCTACTTAGACAGGCCCTCCAAACTGAAAGGTTAAATGACTTATCCTTAATACAAAAAAGACTTAAGGGTCTCCTGACCCTCGGCCTTGTAATTCAACTGCCCAACATTTCCTGGCACAAAACTTCAGCCATCCATCCACAGGGTTTTCCTCCTACCTGGTGAAGCCTTCCTTGCATCCACCCTACCCCATGCTACCACCGCCTTCTTCACTTTGGTAAGCTGCCTTTGGAGGCAGGGCTCAAGGAATCACTGCATGGAGAAGTTTTTCCTAGGTTTCCTGGTCTGCCTTAGATACCCCCAGTGTGGCCCTTCAGTGCTCTGTGCACACATTAGAACATTTGCTATTTCATACAATAATTATTTCATACAATAATAAGTGTTTTCCCCCACTAGCTACACTGTAACCTCCTTACCAGACTTATCAGTCTTTATATTTTCAACATCTAGCAAATTGTCTGGTGCTCTCAGCCCATTAAGGTTAAACAAATGAAAGATTGCAATGAAACGAAAGGGGTTTGGGATACCCACATCTCAGTGGGGGTGGGATAAAAAAATACTGAAAATAGTAATTTAAAATGTTGCCAACCCCCACCATTAAAGATACAACTTCATATGTACAGAGCATATAGCACTATAGTGTTTCTGGCTTTTTTTATTTAAAAACACTCTGATATTAGCCTATTAACTTTTCATTTGTTCCTCTCTCACTAAAGCAGAGCACAAAACAATCCCGTTTATTTAGGCTTCCCAATTGTCTGAGACGCAGATAAATAGGCTTACCGCATTTGTGTGTGCTTTTATGCACTTTAATCCATATATTTCCCAGTTTGAACAAGACAATAAATTAATTCCTGTCTGTTTTAAACTAGTTTCTACTTACTCAAAGATGTCACTACATAACTTGGAGTGGAAAATTTGAATAGTGAAAAAGAATTCCTTGGTCCAGAAGTTAGTATACCTGCAAGTTTTAGAGCTCTCTCTGTCTCTGGCTGACTCTGTGGCCTTGGGAAAATTACATAACATTCATGGACCTCGGTTTCCTCATCTATAAAACCATCTATACAACACAGGAGTTGAACCAGGTGATTTTTAAGAGCCCTGTCCATTTTTAAATTCTATTATTATATAAGTCTTTAATTCTAACATAGAGCAGGTAGACTCTGAAAGTACTGGGAATAACGATACTGTACTGTCAAACAAGGAAGATAATCTCCATCACATGCATTTCAATTTAAAATTCACAGCAAAGTCGAATTTGCACACACTATGTCTGAGTGGCCAAGAGTAATAGAACAAGTATGTGAAAGGAGCAGGAAGCAGGCAGAGGGAACCCATGCACTCTGGGAAACAGTACACAGCCTAAATGTATTTTCTCTCACTGATGTATTTTAAATTTGTGACTATGAATATACCACAGTGAACAGCTTGAAGTTCTTTGGAACAAACATCTTCTAAGGTCACTCCTGAAGGAACTGCAATAATAACATTTGGCATATGCAGATAGAGTGCTTTGCAGACTGGAGCATGGAGAATTATGCTCGGCATGTTCCAGAAAAGATGATCCATGATTCAGGTGAAAAAAATGTCAGGTACATTTTTGACAGTGGCAGCAAACCCAAACAGTGTAACCAAACAATCAATATGGACGCCCTCATTAAAATCCCCCAGTAGCTGCGAGTTTGATTTTCAGCAGGGTCTGGACAGGAATAATAGATTTGGTGGCCTGGAGGAACATTAGAGGTTTTAATAAAAGGAACTTAAAATTACCATTGTTGGCCCTGGTTCCAAGGAAGCCCTGGTTGGGTGTCTGTAACAACACAGGATGAACCTAATTCCTCGCCTCTCGGATTCTTGCTATTCAGCTTAAAATGCCATTTTATGTAAGCCTGATAATTTCTCCTCAAAAATAAATTCATAAAAATTGCTTGAAAATTCCTGATCAATGTTTTCAGCTCACATAGATATTAAACCGAATTTCCTAAAGCCTGAAAAGTTAATTATGCATTCAATTAGAGTTTCTTAATAAAGATTAAAACTCTGAAGTCTATTACAAGCCCATATTTAATTCAACTGCCATTTTATCCACGCCATGTAAGTGTAAGTGGTAACAATGAATATAAATTATAATACACGCCATAGAAAGAATGCTATTTGTCCAAGAACGTTACTATAAAGAATTAAATTTTGCTATCAGTTCCATGATCTAGTTAAAATTGGTATTCTTTATTTGGTCTTTCAATGTAGTCCAATTTCCTACTTTGAAAAACAAATTCTGGGGAATAAAGAAAAGAGATTAATTTATCATTAAGACTCTGCTTAATTGAAGTCAATTCCGAACAAACTTGAATTCAATTTCTGCTCATTAAATTGAATGTGCTCTGCGTTCCTCTCTGCATTGCTTTGAGCAAGCAGCTGAGAACAAGGGACTAACATCAAAATTATTAAATTGAGGAGATTTTATTTGGTCTTCACATGCCAGAGCCGCTTTGATGAGGAGCTGTTTTGGCACTGAAAGGAAAGAAGAGCAGCTGGAGGAAAAATCAAATGAAACTAAGCCTTGGAAAATTGAAGAAAACGCAAGCTTAATAATATTTAATAATTAAATTTCCACAAACAATAGCGGCAAATGAAGTAATCTGCAAAGTCTGTGAACTCATTTGCATAATTGATGCCGGTCCCCTGTAAATGAATAATGAAGATAATAAAAGATGTTGCTAAAAATGGGCACAATAACAGCAAATTTCATCAAGCCGCGCTCTCTGATTAATCTGCTCTTGCAAATCAGCACCGAGAGGGGAGCGCGTGATTAACCGCGCCGAGGACTGCAGCAGGCGGCGGCGCTGCCCTTTCTCTGCGTGTCTCTGGGCGCGTCCTGCCCGCTCCCCGCGCCGCCCGCGCTCCTCTCGCCGCAGCTGCCGCTGGGGCTGCCGCGGGCGCCGCTCAGCCGGAGCGCGCCTCCGCCCGGCCCGCCCGCGCCCCGCAGCAGCGCGCTCGCTCCTTAACCACTTCGCCGCTGCCTTTCGTCGGGGCCGCGAGCGGGGCGACGGCCGCCCAGCGCCCCTGGCACCCCTGATCTCCAGCCGGGGCTCCCGGCCCGCGCCTTGGTGGCTGGAGGCCCAGGATGAGCCTCGATGGCGAGAGGCCCAGGATGCGCCACCAGGCCGGGCTCACTTCTTTGACGCCGAATAAACTGACAAAACAATTAGCTGGCCGGCTGGGGAAGGTGGTGGGTGACTCAAATGCCAGTCGGCTGCGTGCCCCCGCGCTTAGATGAGTCTGGGATTCTGGGCAGTTGGGACTTTCTTTTCAGGAAAGGAGGTGAGAGGTGCCGGGGAAGCCCACACGAGCAGCCACTCTTGGAGAAATGGGGAATGGCGCTGTAAAAGCGCAGGCCCTCCTCCTCCTCCTTTCTCCCCATCACACAAAAAGGATGGGCCTTGAAAGGGATGAGTTTATTATGCACTTTTAAATGCCTATTCAGAAAAGAACAGGAGGCAAAAATAAAGATGCTTCCCACCCCACCAATTCCCTTCCCTCGAAGAAAAAAGGAAAGAGAAAGCAACCCACAAAGGTAAGCTGGGTATTTCAGATTTTGTGTCTTTTTTTTTTTTTTTGGAATCAAAATAACATTTTCCAGTTTGCCACTTACATTTTCGAGTGTATTTTTCTCAGGGCTAACTCTAGGGGTAATAAAATCTCTGGAAGCTATTATGCCCATATACGTTTTAAGCAGGAGTTTGTGAAAGCAACTTTGCTGAGTGCAAACTTGAGACGATGAAACTGAAAATACTTTGAAAAACACACTATCCTGTTCCAATGGAAATGCTGCACTTTACCAGCTCTCTAGGACAAAGTTGTCTCAGGAAAATGAAATTGTTGATAAACCATAGTTCCAGACTGTTACTTCACAGCCCTCAGATTGCAATCAATCGTAGCCCGGGCCTAACAGGACTGACTCCAGCTTTTCATTTGTTTATAGTGTGTGCAATGTTTTATGCTTCAAATGCACCATGTCAACTATGCAAAATGATGCATAATTTTTGTTTGCATCCTGGATCCACCTCCACAATGGTTTTTGTTTAAAATAAAGGTCATGATTGTTTCCCATTATTACAGAATGGAAACCGATCCTAGACATCTGTGAAACGTATCTTAAAAATTCCACTACTGAGTTGGGAAAAGCAGAGAGTTCATGTTTACTTCATTGGCGAAGTCCAGTTGAATCTACTTAACTCGACCAGCTTTAATCCAATCTAATAAACCATGAGCTTGTTCCTGTGTCAAAAAAAAAAAAAAAAAAAAAAGCCAATATGCTGCCCTGAGCCTGTGAAAGTTGTCAGAAACAAAATGGAGTCACTTGTGTTAAAAAATTAATTAATTAATTAATTAAAAGAACCCTGACAAATATAGCTGCAGAAGGCTATGAAAAAAAAGGTTCTCATGCATAAATGCCTGATAACAAAAACTATCACAAAAGACCCTGCAAAAACCACAGTCCTTGCTCAAAAATGATTACAACCTTACACAAAAAATACTTCAGCAAGAACATCCGCCCAGTGACTGCCTATCCAACCTTCGACTGGCATCACCCTTGCTATTGTTATGGGTCTTCATAGCCAAGGATAATTATCTCAAAACAATGATATAATCCTCATTTTTCCTTTAAAAGCCTTTGTCTTTCTTTACCTCCCTGCATGCCTGTAGTTTACTATGGCATGTGTATTCCCATTCCAATGCTCTGTTCCCAAATAAATGTAATTTCCTTTTAGACAGCCTCTCTCTGTTAGTTACTTAGGCTGATAGCCCCAAATTCCATCTTTCGCATTGCCATGTCATCAAATAAACCTGTGATTTTCTTGTTTTTGCTAAGCAAATGGCTTGTGTTGTGGTTAGTGTCTCTAGTGTAACAATCACTTTGTGTTTCCCTGACTCTCCTAAGTACAAAGAAATAGGAACCCCCGCACTTTATGTGGGAAAAAAACAGAGACTGAAAAATTAATTAACTGCCCACTCTCACATGGGTCTACCACCATCTTCCAGGTCTTTCTTTCCAGACCTGTGGTCTCTCCCCACCTCCAGCCTCTTATGGAGAGCAAAGGAAGGAAATGGGAACAGGACTCAACAGCAACATTCCAGGAAAATGAATAGAATGTGGGAACGGTTCGAAATGATAAATCCAGGTGATAGAACGAGTTTCAAAGAGCAAGAGCCTGATGGTAATAGGGAAGCCAGGGGAACGGCAGAGGTTGTGCAGAAGACGACTCTGGCAAAATAAGGACTGTGGAGAGAAAGTAAGTGGCTTTTAAGATCTTAAACATGGGGTCAAAATTATACCATGAGAAGAAAGAAAAAGTCCCTGGGAGTGTTTGTAGACAGACCAAAGGACAGAACGTGAAGAAGGGCCTATGAGAGAATTGGTATCCGGAAGATTGTTTATGTGCAACACTTCTGAGGAATAAAGGGTGATAAACTGTCTCGTGAGAATGAACTACTGGAAGGACGGAGAGACACAAGGAATGGCTGCAGTCAAGGTGAAATGTAGGCCGTTGTGAGAGTTTCATCCCAGGGCATGATGAGAATGCCAGGGCCTGATGCGTGTCAACGGTGCTTCATCTGCTCAGAGAGTGTCCTAAAACCAGTCAGACCCTAGATGTAGAAGTATGCCACCCAATGTCACCTAGCAGTTCAATGCCAGGGAGAGAAAATTCAGGCTTTCTTATCCCCCTTCTAGTGCAAGCCCATGGAATATGCCACTTTCCTAGTTAGGATTTGGAATTGGTCATTGGGAAGGGCTCCGAAGAGAAACTCTGAGAATTGTTGATTTCCATTTCAAATCCCCCTAATGCATAAAATAAGAATGTGTTCTGCGGTGTTCCTCAGCTTATTAACTTTTATAAAAGAAAGGAATGATCTTTGTTGTTACTTGAAAACAGCCACATTTGGAAAGGTCTACGCTACCCAAATGTAATAAAAATAAATTTTAGTTCAATTGGTCAGTCTTGAAAGCTAATTGAACAGTCATGCTTTGTTCTAATTATTCCTGGCTACCATTAAAGTGATGGAAAAGTAAGTACGTTTTTATTGCCAACTCCTTGGGTTTTTTTCTCTTTTTTTAATTTGTTTGTTTTGTTTTTAAATAAGACTAACCAGTTTGGGCAAGGACCTAATGCTCTCTCAGCAGGTAAATTTTGCAACAATGTTTCTGAAACCCTGGGTTCTGGGATGCCGTGTGGGTCTTCATCACTTGCAAAAGCTGTACTCATGGAGCCTGAAATCTAGCTGAATTCTGCATGGGTACAAAATATGGTGTTCTGGTTGACTGGATACCATGATTAACTGATGGTGACAACACACATCATAAACCATTGTCTGATTCTTAAAAAATTCAAAGATCGTTAAAGGAGAGTTAGATGCCAGCTCATCTTACACAGAGCATCAGGCAGAAATTGTTGGTAATCTGGCAAATGAAACTACTCATATCCTATGATGTTCGGTTTGTTTATAGACTGAATTTGCACATAATCGAGAGTTATTTCCTCACAAATAATTTATCTCTAATGAATAATGATGTCTTTGTTGTGAGCTCATGGTCCAAATAGCAAGTTTCCCCTAGTCATAATTATCTACAACTATTATGTTTTCCCATTCAATTAAACTTTTCTTACAGAAACGGAAAATTTTATTAAACTACTCAGAAATGATTAAGAAATTAGCATATAAACTAAAGAAGGCAATATTTAAGTAGGATACCCACAAGCCATTTAAAGAATAATTTATGGATATACAGACACTTTAAACGAGTAAAGATTTTCCCCTACTGGTTATTCGTCCTTTTTCGTGGTAATTTTGCCATCTATGCTCCTCCCAAGCTAAAGCACAAATTATTTATCTTCCCCGATTTGTTCAGGATTTCCCAGGATTTATTTACCACCCGCTAAAAGCAAGTGTCAAAACCCCTGTATCTGCCCTGTTATTTACCCTTCCCTCTAACTGGAAAACCATAAAGAAAATGAATCAAAAGAAAAGCTTGCAATTCTAAATTCTACTCTTACTTTTTTCCTATTGAGAGGTGACAGCGTTCTGGCAGCCCTTGCAGCGCTCGCTCGCTCTTGGTGCCTCCTCGGACTCAGTGTCCGCTCTGGCCATGCTCGGGGAACCCTTCAGCCCGCCACTGCGCTGTGGGGGCCCCTCTCTGGTCTGGTTGAGGGCGGAGCCTGCTCCCTCAGCTTGCCCGGAGGTGTGGAGAGAGGCACGGGCGGGAACTGGGGCTGCGCGCCGCGCTTGCAGGCCAGCTAGAGTTCCGGATGGGCGTGGGCTTGGCGGGCCCCGCACTCGGAGCTGCCAACCGGCCGGCCCGGCCCGGCCCGGCCCCGGGCAGTGAGGGGCTTAGCACCGGGGCCAGCAGCTGCGGGGGGTGCGCCAGGTACCCCAGCTGGGCCAATCCACCCGCGCTGCGCTCGATTTTTCGCGGGCCTTAGCTGCCTCCCCGCGGGGCAGGGCTCGCGGCCTGCAGCTCGCCATGCCTGAGCCTCCCCAGCCCCCGGCGCCGTGGGCTCCTGTGCAGCCTGAGCCTCCTGGACGAGCGCCGCCCCCTGCTCCACGGCGCCCGGTCCCATGGACTGCCCAAGGGCTGAGGAGTGCGGGCGCACCGCGGGACTGGCAGGCAGCTCTACCTGGGGCCCCAGTGCCGGATCCACTAGGTGAAGCCAGCTGGGCTCCTGAGTCTAGTGGGGACTTGGAGAACCTTTATGTCTAGCTAAGGGATTGTAAATAGACTAATCAGCACTCCATATCTAGCTCAAGGTTTGTAAACACACCAGTCAGCACCCTGTGTCTAGCTCAGGGTTTGTGGATGCACCAATGGGCACTCTGTATCTAGCTAATCTGGTGGGGACTCGGAAAATCTTTTTGTCTAGTTAAGGGATGGTGAATACACCAATCAGCATGCTGTATCTAGCTCAAGGTTTGAAAATGCACCAATCAGCACTCTGTGTCTAGCTCAGGGTTTGTAAATACACCAATCAGCACTCTGTATCTAGCTAATCTAGTGGGGAGGTGGAGAACTTCTGTGTCTAGCTCAGGGATTGTAAACACACCAATCAGCACCCTGTCAAAACGGACCAATCCGCTCTCTGTAAAACAGACCAATCGGCTCTCTGTAAAATGGACCAATCAGCAGGATGTGGGTGGGGCCAGATAAGAGAATAAAAGCAGGCTGCCCTAGCCAGCAGTGGCAACCTGCTGGGGTTGCTTTCCACTCTGTGAGCGCTTTGTTCTTTGGCTCTTTGCAATAAATCTTGCTGCTGCTGACTCTTTGGGTCCACATTGCCTTTGTGAGTTGTAACACTCACCATGAAGGTTTGCAGCTTCACTCCTGAAGCCAGCAAGACCATGAACCCACCAGAAGGGAAAAAGTCCAAACACATCCCAACACCAGAAGGAACAAACTCCAGACATGCCGCCTTTAAGAACTGTAACACTCACCGTGAGGGTCTGCGGCTTCATTCTTTAAGTCAGTGAGACGAAGAACCCACCAATTCTGGACACGCTACCACACCAGATTTGATTCAATCAATGTGTACTGAGCACCCACCATGTGACAGACAGACACTCAGGAAACGGGTGAATAAATATGGGCACTGCCTTCCAGGAGTTTTCCCCCACCTGGGTACCTACGTGTACACAAATAACGTTTAGGTAATGTAGTAAATGCAATAGCTGAGCCTAAAAGTTCTGGGATGGTGTCATGAGAAGAAAAATGGGAAAATTATGTGGTAGCTTAATTCATAACCTCGTTGTTAATTTTGTGATGATTTTTTTTCCAACCACAAATGCTATAATCCCTCACCTTCAACAGGTGTGAAGAGGCTCCCTTATTAACAGTTCTAGTAGGCTATTGACAATCACATACTTCATTCTAGATTGTCCCACAGAATGACCTTCTCATTGAACATACCTTGTTCAGCATTCTCCTATACAACGTTGATTTCTTAAGTTGCTATATACTGTATATTGGAAATATTTTAGATATATATCTATGTATACCTAAATATCTACATGTTTCACTCTGGGCATTAGATTACAAGTTTCACAGTGGCTTGAGATGCCATTAAGAAACAAATATTAAAATTATCAGGCAATTAGTAATTGGTGGAAATTCTTGGACCTTGTGATTGGCATTATAAACATCACTGTAGCCTGAGAGGATTGTCCAACAAACATATGATCAATAGCTGCAGGAAACTACAGCTGGAGTGTGTTATAACTTTAAGGGATATGAAGAAAATGTAAAAGTGACTGCCACAGTAGAGTGCCACGAACCTTTATCTGCAGAGACAATGCTCTAACAAGCCTGTGTGCCAGACTCTATTACCTTCACCTGTAACAGGAACCCTACTAAAATGGCTTAACCAAATAAGGATTTGTTTTTCTTTTAAGGGGAGGCATGTGAGGGCTAGTTCAGCAGCCCCACAATTCTATCAGAGACCTAATTTTCTCTCTCTTGTTCATCATCCTTACCATGTAGCTTTTTTCCTTATAGTCATAAGATGGATGCTTTACCTCCATGCATTTTTCTGCATTCTAAGCAGAAAGAATAAAGAAGGGGCAAAGGTGTGTGTGATCTGAGTTTGTCCCTTTTTATAGGAAAATAATAGCTTGCCCAGGGCCTCACCTGGTAAGGTTTTGCATACAAATTATTGGGTAAACTACGTCACACAGCCTTAACTGTAAAAGAATCTGGGGAAGTGAGAAATTTTAACTGGGCACGTAGTTGTCCCAGACAAATCCAGGTAAGGAAAAAAGGGGAAACGGATATTGGTAAAGAACCAGTGTTTATTCAGTTTGTGTTTCCAGTTCTTATAAGTATCCCCTGAGACAAACTAGTGTGTACAACTACCTTGTATTTAAATTCCATGTACTACTGTTGTAAAATAAAGATTCTAAATAATTTTCATTGTATCTTCACTTATCATCACTTTCACATATCATCACTTTCCTTGGGTAGAAGGTAATGTTTTTGTAAATGTATTAAGTGGCCTGACCATTTTTGAAGGCTTGTCAATACAGCCAATATTACTGTAACTAAATATACACACACACATATATGTAAGTTTAAACATATATATTTAAACTTTATTCTGGATCTTGATCTCACACTATGCTACATTTTTGGAAGGACTTTGTGTCCATCCTACTGCCAGAAGTTTATTGGCTAATTTAGAATAAATGAATGAATAACATTAAGAAATGGCTTAATACACAAGACGGGTATGAAAGTAGTTAAGTAACTGCAGGATTGTGATGTGGGTCAGCAAAAGAAGTAGAAGAGTAAGGTGGATGATATATTTTTATCGCTGTATATCTGTCTTCTTAAAAAGCATTAAGTACCTGCACATAGCGCAGTTGTCAAAAGAGATGTTTTACTTGAGTGAACTCTTGATTTTATTAATTCTGGTAGCTACTTTTTTTTGTTGTTGTTGAGATGGAGTTTCACTCTTGTTGCCCAGGCTGGATGCAATGGCGCGATCTCAGCTCACTGCAACCTCTGCCTCCCAGGTTCAAGTGATTCTCCTGCCTCCTCGCCCCGAGTAGCTGGGATTACAGTTGCCCGCCACCATGCCTGGCTAGTTTTTTGTATTTTTAGTAGAGATGGGGTTTCACCATGTTGGCCAGGCTGGTCTCAAACTCCAGACCTCAGGTGATTCACCCGCCCTGTTAGCTATTTTTTAAACTATTTTTCCACTTAGCAGTACCTCAACCAGAGTGGAGGTGGAGGAAGATAAAGCCCAAACTTGTAGAAAAGTTGGGCTGAATAAATACTTTTTGACACTAAATATCATTTAACCAGCTCAAACCAGTCAACCTAATTATGTTAGCTCCAGTTAAAGGTTTACTGAGGGAGGAGATTGAAGCTATTTGTAAAGTTAGGTTTATGTTTGTCTGTGGATTTCAATTATCCATGCTGTTTCTAGCCCCTCTTTCCAGTGAATAATCAAGAGTTGGATGAATCGCAAAGTATTGTTTTGGAGTACGACTTGGTTACTATCTGTCAGAAATGATAATTAGCATCAAAAAGCATTTATTCAACCCAACTTTTGTACAAGGCACTGTACTAGCTCGTAGCAGTGGGGCATTTGGAAAAAGCAATGAATGGTATAGCAGCCTCTTACCAGATGCACATTTTCTTAGAAAAGGCAAGTAATGAGTACATAAGCCTATAACCTTCAACATAATGGGAGGAACGAGTACAAGTATTTTTTCCTCAATAATTAGATTCACATTCTTAAGAGTCTGGCTGAAGGCATCAGCAGACATATATCATCTCATCCAGTTATCCTAAAAGGGAAGTCTGAATGTTCAGTTTACACAAATGTGTTGACTTAGGTTTTGCAAATGAGGGACTTTTTTAAACATCTCATGCTATCTTCCACATTAGGCTCTGCTCTCCATCTTCCTTTGATTGCAGTGCAAAGACACTTAGCTCTGCCAATTACTATGTGATTCTAGGCAAGTCACTCAGTCTTTCTGAACTTCCTTCCCTTCCTCCATCTTTAAAATGGGGACGACAAAATCTACTCCACGGGGTTGTTAAGGGGAAGAAGAAAAGTCATTTTAGATATAAAATCATCTGGTAAAATGTAATGTGTTATACTAATATAAGATATTATTGTTTTGTTAATCTGAAAATAATATTGAGGAACCTTTGTCTAGTGTTGACATCATTGAGCATTTGAATGACTTTGAGCTTTGAATAATTTTGTTGAAGTAACACATGGTCTGGTCTCAAAGACCAGTCAGTGATGGCCAGCTCATTGGAAAATCTCTGGTTTTTGAAGTAAAGCCAAGGGAGTACATAATACACTTCTACTTCAAAAACCCTTCCAATGGTAATCCTCCTTTGGAAGTAGTCACAAACTATTTTTCAAGATTGCTGAAATAAATGGTTCTTGGGCTTCAGAAAGAACTGATAGGCAAGTAGACATGGTCGTCCTCTATTTACTTAGTGTAGAGTGCTACTAGTATCTGTTAAATCTATTAGAAGAAACATTTGCTTTTTACATGCATTTGCCCTTTTAAGGAATATAACAAAATTAAGAAGACATTGCTGAAATCGGTGTGTTAGTCTTCACAAATTGCTACCACCCCAAAGCTGGTTATTGTTTTCTCCTTTATAACCTAAGTTTCAGTGTTGCCCAACTCAAGGACTCTCCACTGATGAATATCCCAAGTAATTATTGCCTAGTATTTTGTATTAAATCATGCATTTTCTTTCATTTATTGTTATCACAATAAATCTTCTCAAGTACCCAATTTTTGTATCAAGTATATACAATTTCACAAACATAATTAGATTAAAGGCATTTTTAATTATTATTTCTTTCTAAACTTCTGCTCAATTCTGGTGATTTGTAATGGTAGGTTCATGCTGAATAACATCAGATATTGTGCTAAACTGTTTTTCATACATGCTTCCAAATATTTGTGGGTAGTTTCTACAACAGGTTCTAAGCACAGGGTCTTAGAGAGGAAAAAGTATCCTTAGTATCTCTCCTCAGCTAATGTAGCCAAGTACATTCCACAACTCTCCCAATCAGTATGTTAAGCAGATGTGGTCTTTGTCCACCTAGTAAGTTGCGTTAGACCTTTCAACACACTGCAGTCTTTTTATCACTCAGCTGCCAAGTTCCCTAGGGTAATCATAGACAGCTTGTCAATTTAATTGCAAAGAAACAGGCTTTCTCGTGACCATTCCAATTTTAGCTGCTACTTCAAATTGTACATGATAGTTCTTCCATGCTGTCTGCCCTTTAAAGAGTGTGGACCTCTGCAAGCCTCTTAATGGTGATGGGAAGAAGAGGCAAGGCTGAAATTTTGGCTTACTGATAAAGCCTATAACATGCCTTTTATTAAGTTGCTGCTTTAGGAAAAGAAGCTTTTTCTCAAGCTCTGTATGTTGTCATTACATAGCCAAAGCTAAATTATTTTTTTCTTTTAAATGTTCCACTTTCATGCACATTTTCCTCCTTTCTGGGTGATAGAGGATTCTTAGGCCATCTGGATTCTGAAACATCTGGACACTGAATTTCTGCAGAGAATTGGAAGGAAGAGACAATCAGTGGTACAGGGTGTCTCCAGAGAGATTTAAATCAATGATGATATTTTGGTTGTGTCCCTTTTGGAAAGTTAACACAAAAAGTGAAAGGAAAAAACAACACATTACGTGAACTCAGTGTTCTAGGAATACCAAGAGTACACTGCATAAGAAGGTTGGACTTTTAGATATGAATATAGATCAGTAACTAAATACATGTTTATGTTAGATATCATTCCTAGAATCTCCGCCTATTTTTTCAATTGTTATGGAATTTGGATTTAATTTATTTAGACATACTTTTAATAGTTCTAGATTTCGATGGTGCATCATTTGAACATACTTATTTTACCTTAAACTGAGTATAATTCAGTTCACTTTTATTAAGCATCTATGACTTGAAACTCATAAAACTATCATATTAAAAATGTCATATTCAACTAAATAGAAAGATTAGACACAGATACCACTTGGTAAACCAAGAAGAGTTACTTTCAAAGATGTGCAGAAGAAAATAAGTGCAAAAGGGATAAACCATATTTCCCAGGACAGCTGGAGTTGTGAGCTTCTGGACCCAGAAATCAAAGATCCAAGATGATAACATGAGTGAGAGTGAGACCCAGTGTGTCTTACTGGGACTTTATAGAGTGCTCCCCTACAAGCTGAGCTTCGTGTGTGTGTGTATGTGTTCACACGCGTGCATAAAGACCTACAAAGAGGCTGCTCTGGCAATGTGCAGGGGACCACCTCTTCTAGCCCATCAATCTCAGTAGTATACCATGTATAATATGACTACACAGTTCAGTACAGTCTGGTGAGGCATGAGTACAGTGCTTATTTATCACCCTCAGCCTTTCCCTGCTAATACAGCCTGGTCCAGTCTTCCCTGAACTTAAAGCTGCAGAACCAGAACAAGGGTCGATTGCCCAGATTGCCCAGTGAGCACAGCCCTTAGTCCAGTCTTAAAGCTTCTCCTTTAAGTCCACAAAGGTACTAGACTTACCATGCAGACAGCTGGGAGGAAATGTTTAGATCATGTGATTTTATTTTCTCATGTTATTGAAAAAAATTATTGTTTCCTTTCACTGTATTTTCTCTGTTAAATATTTGAGCTCTTAATTAATAGATTTTCTTTCCTGAAAAAAATTAAAATTGTCACAGAGTACACTTAAAGAGATGTGAGTTTGAAGCAACTAACCTTGGGTACTTTTCATGCGGTTTTCCTGAAGTATGTGAGCTTCTTCTACATATTAAAAAAAAAAATCTTCAGTGAAAGTTGATTTCTAGGAAACCAGAACAGTTCAAAAGATTAAAAAATCCAACAGCAAAATTTTATGTAGCAACTATTTTTTTTTAAATCAGACATACCCACATTTAAATAAAGTAACTGAAATAAGGGACTATAGACTTATTCTCCGGTTTCTGCCAATTCATTGTGTCCTTAATTTCCTCTAACTGCATCTTCACTGAGCACCACAATGAAGTACAATATTAGATGTTCACTTGTATGATATCACTCTTCTATGAAGAGAATGAATAAAAAATGAAGTTCTTAGCTGTGATCTATTTCAGATTAGCCATTTTCATTTATAAAATTGTTTATTTTACTTTGTCAGCTTGAAGGTCAATCTAACTTTAAATTGCATATTGCAGAATTTCAACAAAGATCTGAGACCCATCTCTGCTTTCTTTAAGACTAAAGGTGAAAAGCTGATTCTTAACCGGAATATTAGGCAGAGCTTTATGAAATGGACCAGATCAGATTGATATAAGACTTGCAAAGGCACTTCACTTTGAAACCAAAACATCAGGGCCTAGCCAGGACTACAGATGGCATCAGAATTAGCAAATATTAGCTATGTACATTAACCCAGGGCAAACTATGAGAGCAAGTTCAAGGGAATACTTGCTGCATGCTAAGGAAAGAATAAACAATAACAATCATAATAGATACCATTTTTTCTATACTTACTGTGTAATAGGCACTATTCTAAGCATTTTAAATAGATTATCTGACTATATCTCCACAATAGCTCTTTGAGGTAGGTATATTGTATCATATTTTACAGATGAAGAAGGTGAAGGATCAGGAGGTTAAGAATCTTGGCCAAGATCACACAGCAAGTACATGATGGAGCAAGGATTTAAAGCCAGGCAGAAAGACTCCAAAGTCCATATTCTGAATGATGAGGCTATGTGCATATGCAGTGAGACAGATACTAGGAAAGTCACTACTCAGTATGCTCAAGTATTGACATACATTAAAAAAGAAACAGCCCCTAAGTAGCACACTTGCATCATCACACCTTACTATAATTATGTAGTTCAAACCTGCCCCACTTAATTGTAAATTTCACATAGGTGGAGACCATGTCTGTTTTGTTCAGGACCATAATGCAAGTGCATGGCACATTACTTGTCACACGGTAGCTTTTTGATTAATATTTATTGAAAGTGAGGGACTGTCTATTCCTTACAGTGGCTTTAAATAAGGCCACAGATTCTAGTAAAAAGGACATGGGATTTGGACACGAATAACTTAGGTTCTATCTTAATACTGATACTGCAACGTTCTAGTTCTGTGGTCTTAGCCAAGCCACTAAACCTCTGGAGTCTCTATTGTATCATCTGATCAGTAAACACAATGAAGACCAACACATTCCTTCAAAAAGTTTTGGGTGCCACACAAATTAGCATTGTTATAGGTTCTTCTATTTGATGATAAAATACCTAAAAAGATAAATACAAATGAAGAGGCCAAATCTTTTTTTGTAGATTTGGAGGACAGGAACACAGAATAGGAAGTCACAAATGCTAAATGCTCATTTCATTGAAAAGGCCCTGTGTCCTCAAGCTTAGCCTGAATAGGCCTGGTTGGTTTTCTTGTTACGTGTCTTTCTTGTGCTGAAAGAAACTACAGGCTGAGTATGCCTCTGGGATTAAAGTATTTTTTAACTTATTCAGGTCATCAAGCCTTCTGCCCCTTAACACATTCTGGCTATTTAAAAATTTTAAAATGTACCCCAAATTCTTTGCCTAGAACTTAACTCCCTAAAGGCTTCTTATAATTTTACTAAAGTAGATCTCAACATTCCAACCATGCTTCCTGAAGATACAGCCTCCTCTTAGGTTGGTTTATTTGGGAAGCAGTCTTTTGTCTCTAGTAAGGAAACACATTTTCTTTTTCTGAAAGGACCAAACTCAGAAACTACTGAGAGATAAAATCATAGATGCCCTATTTCATATGGAGTGAACCCAGATTTATCTTTTCCTTGATGGGAATTTTAGTAATACCCACAGAATATATAGCTTTCCTAAATCAGTCAGTTATGAAAAAGAAGTATGTCTGTATTTGGCAGGTAAATTTTAAAACGTTGTTATAATCCCTTCAAAAGTGGAGTTACTTATTAAAATAATTTTATCATTTTAACCCTACCTTACATAATTAGCAGTCCATTCAGCTCTAGTTGAAACCCATAACTTTTAAAATATTTTTTTAAACTGCTCTATAACAAAAATAATGAGGCCAGGCACGGTGGCTCACACCTGTAATCCCAGCACTCTGGGAGGCCAAGGCAGGTAGATCACCTGAGGTCAGGAGTTCAAGACCAGCCTGGCCAACATGGTAAAACCCCATCTCCACTAAAAATACAGAAATTAGCTGGGTGTGGGAGCGGGTGCCAGTAATCCCAGCTACTCAAAAAACTAAGGCAGAAGAATCATTTGAACCCAGGAGGCGGAGGTTGCAGTCAGCCAAGATCGCGCCATTGCACTCCAACCTGCATGACAAGAGTGAAACTCCATCTCAAAAAATAATAATAATAATAATAATGAACAATTATTTGTTCTTAAGTATAATAATAACTGACATTTTTATGATCATAGCATTGTTAAATTATTAAAACAGTTTTTTTGGTTGAAAACACATCTTAAAAGGTAACCTGTCTAGGGATTCTTAACTTGGGGTTCATGCATAACATTTTTAAAGTCTTCAAATTTGGATAAAAACAAAAATTGTGCTTTCATTTTAGTAACTTCTAACTAAAATTTTGCATTTTCTTCCATTATGAATGTTAAGAATCAATCACAATAGTATTAGCAATACCTGTAATTTGTCACCAATAAAAATCACAGACATTTTCAAATTCTATTACAGTTACTACAAATATTTCAAAATATCAGTTTTATCCATCATTATATCAAAATTATGGTGGTTATTAGAGAAACCACTAGAGCATGTTATTTAATGTATTAATAATAAAGAAACACATCTGTTTCTGTATCACAGTGTTTTAACAATTTGCCAACTGCTTTTACATTTAATTAGTTTTCTTCATAATCCTATGTAATGTATATGTTTGTAAACTTTATTCTGGGAGGGACTCCACAAGTTTTTTGGCACCAAAAAACATTATGAACTCCTGTTTTAAAACTTATAGTATGGTATGGACTGAATCATCTCCCCTCAAAAAACAATGTTTATGTTGAAGCCCTAACCCCCAATGTGATTGTTTTGGAGATAGGGCCTTTGAAGAAGAAATCGAGGTTAAATGAGATCATAAGCCCATGAAGCCCTGAATCAATAGGATTAGTGTCCTTACAAGAAGAGAAGCCTGAGACCTCACTCCCTCTCTCTGCCATGTCAGGACACAGGGCAAGGGCCATTGTCTGCAAACCAGGCAGACAGCCCTCACCAGAACCTAACCATGGGCACCCTGATCTTGGACTTCCAGCCTCCAAAACTCTGAGAAATAATTTTCTGTTGTTTAAGCCACCCAGTGTATGGTACTTTGTTATGACAGCCTAAGCTGATGGATATCAAAATAATACTAGCTTTTTTCTTTCTTTCTTTCTTTCTTTCTTTCTTTCTTTCTTTCTTTCTTTCTTTCTTTCTTTTTTTGTTTTTGTTTTTGTCTCTTTTTAAAGACAGGGTTCTGACTATGTTGCTGAGGCTGGAGTGCAGTGGCTGTTCACAGATGCAATCCCACTACGAATCAGTGCAGGAGTTTTCACCTGCACCATTTCCAACCTGAGCCGGTTCACCCCTCCTTGGGCAACCCGGTGGTCCCCTGCTCTCAGGTGGTCACCATATTGATGTCAAACTTAGTGCGGACACCCAATTGGAATAGCACACTACATCCTAGAACTCCTGGGCTCAAGCAATCCTCCCTCCTCAGCCAACTGAATTGCTGGGGCTGCACTTGCTGGCTACCTTTTTCCTTTTTGAAGGCTCTCTTGCTTCTCCCTTTAGTCGTAAATGTGGGTGCTATTGGACAATTCACTCTACTTCTTCAGTATTTAAGACCTGGAACCACTTTGAAGCCCAAAGTCTTGTAAGTTGTTATGTAAATAAATATCATAAAAAGCAACTAACCTATTAGAAAAGAATACAGAACATTTTAAATACAGTTGTCCTTTGTCTGAGACTTAAGTGACAATTGCTGCAACTGCTTTCAGATTCTACTTCTGTCAGCAACATTGTTTTCTTTTACAAGTCCTCTGTGATCCAACTGCTTTATAAGATACTCAACAACTCCAGGTATACACAGTGATTTTGCAGGCCCCTACCCCACAGGGGACACCATGATTTACCCAATTAGGCAGCTGAGTGTCCCGATCGCAGGTGGCTAGTGGTGAAAGGGATTTTTGTGAGGGACCCATATTCCTACATCAACACTTATAACCTACTTCAGGAAGCACACCATACCATTTCTGGTTAACCTTAAAACAATCACATTAAAATAAAGAGGACTGTCAGTAGAGCAATTTTATAAATAGCTAAAATTAAACAGAGCAAGACTGGCGATGCTAATGCATAAGCAAAGAACTGACTTCCTGCATTTCATCGAGAATTCCTGATAGCAAACTGCAGTATGTTTATTATACATTAATTCAACACAGCATTCAAAATGAATTTATGCCCTGGCTGAAGGGTGCTATATTGAAACTAAATATTATTTATTATCTTAATATTAGTAACCATACTAAAAAAAATCATGTTAACAATTCAGTGTTCAAAAAGCTAAGAATACCATAGCTCTACTTACCAACCAACTGCTCTTGCCTTAATTTATGCAAGTGTAGCCTATAGCTAAAAGCTTTGTATATTTGTTTCCCCATGGTATTAGTGCTCAAAAATAGGTCACTCTTTCAAGGGCACCTTATAAACACAGAACTATAATTTATTTGGCAAATTAAAGCTCATATAAAATGTGCACACTGAGGTACAGATTAACATATTTAATTTCAATATTACCTGCAAACCTATTTTTTCCCATACACTGTTCTAATTAGTCATATAAAATCGAGTCTGTGTATTATAAGCAATTATTTTAGTGGAAGTAGAAACTGAATCTGAATTAAATATACTGTAAAAAGATAACATTTTTATGGAAAATAATATATCCATTTGTATCTAGAAAACTGTTCTAGTTAAATAGCGCGAGAATGTTGAGCATTCAAAAACCTGATTGCGGTAAAAGTTGAGATTTTTGTGATTTAATAACAGAATAATACGCAATCATGGTAATATACTAATATTTATATTTTGATGATAGTTCCAGGTTTCCAAATCCCTAGTAACCATTATATTCTCTTTATGCAGTGGTATTTTTCCTATTATGAATATTCACTCCCCCTACAGTTGAACATGCAAATTGTTTGTGAATATTTTATTTAGCAAATGATTCTTTTCCTATTAAACCTGTACTGGGAAGTAAAGTGGTGTAGACAGCAAGCTTGCATAGCATTAGAATAGTTATAAATAGGCATTGATGAAAGATTATGCCCGAAAGTAAATCAAAACTATCACTTTAGTGGCAGGATTGTTAGGCTTTCTGAAAGTTGCCATAAACTGACATAAAGGCTTCACCACTTAAGAAGATTTTTGAAAAGGTCAAAATTAAATTGAAACCACTGGACTGGGGATGATCAACACCTGGGACCATATGGTCCTCATTCTTAGATCTCAGCTCAAATGTATCCTCACCAGATAAACCTGCACTGACCCCGCATTCCCATGTGGTTTCCCTACTCCAGCCCAACCCAGGACTTCTACATCCGCTTGTGTGGTACTTTTACAGGACAAATCAAATTTGTTTATTTCCTCATTCATTATTTTTCCCCACTAGAGTAAACTCCATGAGGGCAGGGATCAGTCAAGCATTGAGCACTGTTCCTGGCACAAGCGGGGAGAGCTCAATTACCATTTTTGAATGAATGAGTGTCTTTGTCTGTTTGGACTGCTATAACAAAATACCATAAATTGGTTGGCTTATAGACAACAGAAGTGTATCTCTCACAGTTCTAGAGGCTGGTAAGTCCCAGATCAAGGTGCTGGCAGACTCAGTGTCTGTTGAAGACCCACTTTCTTTCATATATGGTGCCTTATCACTGTCCTTACATAGTGCAAGAGTCAAACAAGCTCCCTTGGGTTTCATAGGGGCACTAATCCCATTCATGAAATCTCCGCTTTCATGACTAATCACCTCTCAAAGGCCCCACCTCCTAATGCCATCACCTTGAGGGTTAGGATTTCCACATATGAATTTTAGGGGGACACAAAACATTTAGGCTATAGCAATAAGCTACTGTGCATTTTCTTCAAGATGTTTCTAGAGGATTATTTTGTATTTTGTTGTCAAGAAATCTCAGACTTCTTAAGAGATTTTCAAATATTCCCTTTGATTCAGAATTAGCTGTCCATTATATTCACAAAAACATGTCCATCCCTGTTTCATGTACCCTCTCAAGAAGGTAAGAATCTGTCTCACATATTTAAATGCATAGTGTGGGCCAAAGCAGGTACGTTGCTTGAGCCCAGGAATTCGAGACCAGCCTGGGCAACATGGTGAAAATCTGTCTCTACAAAAAATACAAAATATCAGCTAGGCATGGTGGCACACACCTGTAGTCCCAGCTACTTGGGAGGCTGAGGTGGGAGAAGCACCAGAGCCCAGGAGGTCAAGGCTGCAGTGAGCAGAAATCATGCCACAGCAGTCCAGCCTGGAAAATCAGAGTGAGACCCTGTCTAAGTAATAATAATAATAATAACTATTATTATTATTATTATTATTATTATAAATGCATAGTGTATAAGGAAAGCCCATGGATCTTCATGAATGATACACTACTGCTTTTATGGCTATCTCTCATCATCCCAAGTCATTCTTCCTGCAAAATACTGCAAACCTGCAGATATCACTTCTCCTACCTCTCATATACACTGCTCTCCCACACTTCTGGAAAGTTTTTCTAGTTTGGGGCTGTTATAGGCTGAATTGTGCTCCCCAAAAATTTATGTGTTGAAGTCCTCTAACCCTCAGTACCTCACAATGTGACTCTATTTGGAAATAGAGTCTTTGAAAAGGTAATTAAGTTAAAATGAGGTCACTAGTGTGGGCCCTAATGCAATATGACTGGCTCCTTATAAGAAGAGGAGATGAGGACACAGACACATAGAAAGAGAAGACCATGTGAAGACTCAGGGAGAAGGCAGCCATCTGCAAGGCAAAGAGAGGAGCCCCAGAAGAAGCCAACCCTGCTGACCCCTTGACCTCAGTGTTCTACCTGGCAGGATTGTGAGAAAATTACTGTTGTTTAAGCCACAGAGTCTGTGGTACTTTGTTATGGCATCCCTAGAAGACCAACACAGTGGCAGTTATAACTAATAAGTCAACCTGCAAAACACACTAAGTCACCATAGTTGTTTGTCTTAGGCATTGTCAACCTTTGGTCTGTCCAGCCTCCAAAGACCTTCAGAAAAGGTAAGCCCACGAAATCCATTCTAATACCTTATAATGTCAAAAAATTCTTCCTCCTACCCCTCCTAAATCCTAAATCCTCCTACTAAGGAGTCTTTTTCTCTTGGATTCTCGGGGTAGATAGGGAACAGCTTGTCACCACTCATTAACTATGACCTGTTCTAACATTTCAACACAGGACAAACAGGACCAGCCACCTGGTCTTTTCCTTATCACCCATTATTTTACATGCCTGGTTCTATTCTTTTATCCAATTTTAAAAAGGCTTTCACAACTCTCAATATGAGGATTACACCATACTTGGTTTCTATTATCCTCTTCAGCCTTTTGTGTTTCTTTCATATTTTTAAAAATAAAATGACTGTAATATTAACTATTACTCACAGTTCTACCTTGTTTTGATTGAAATCATTGATACCTCATAAGCCCACTTTGCAACTTTGCCATTCATCCTGCTTTTTCCCACATCTTTAACATAAATTTGCAGCAGAAACTTCCATTACACTGTCCTTGAAACACTTTATTATCAAGTTCTTTCCAGAGAAAGGATTTTAATTCATTGCTTTATAGTCTTTTTCTTCTTAGCATTTTGAAAGGCTTCACAGAGTTCAAAATCCTCACATGGCCATTGCTTGATCTGGCCCTACCTTTCTCTTCAACTTCATGCCACATCACCCTCCTCCTGGCACACAAAGTTCTTGCCACACTTACCCGCACTGTGTTCATCAAACACACCCCATCCTGCCCTAGGTAATTTGCTCATGCTACCTCTCTGCCCTCTCTCTCCTTCACTCAACCTCTCTCCTCCCTTTTTCAGGCTAACTCTTCCTATGTATCCTTGAAAGAGCCATGTCCTATGAGAGGCTCACCTTGAGCCTCTTTTACCCTATACCTCCATGAGGTTTTCCTTTATAGCATTTTGTCACAATTGCAATTACACGTTTATTTCTGTATGTGTGTGTTTAACATCTGCGGCATGAAGAGACCTTGAATCCTTGGTCCTTTTGTTCCCTCCATGCTTAATCCCTTGGCAGTTTCATCGGTCTTTGGACTTTAGATATCATCAACATGCTGACAATTCTCAGATGCACATAGCTACTCCAGACTTCTCTCCCAAACTTCAGGTTCATACGTCTAACTGCCTGCTTGACAGTTGACCTCGATATACATATAGAACTATCAAACTTCACATGTCCACCTCTAAACTCCTGACCTTCCCCTGCCAAGCCTGCTCTACCTGCAGCCTTCCCTCATTTCAATTGATGGCACCTCCATTCTTCCAAGTGCTCAGGAAACCAAAAAACCTCAGAGTCCCCCACATGTCTTTCTCTCATACCTTAAACCAATCTCTCAGGAAGTTCTGTTGGCTCTGCCTTCAAAATAAGTTAAAATGTGGCCATTTCTCACTATTTCCCCTGCCCCTTCCTGTTCTAAGCCACCGTCACCCCTCTCCTGGATTACTGCCTTGGTCTCCTGACTGGGCTCCCGGCTACCCCTGCCCTTTGCACTCATCTTGACACAGCAGCTGGGTGTGACTTTTAAAACCTAAGTGAGGTTTTAAAACCCACTTAGGTTGCATCACTCCTCTGCTCAAAATCCTGCAGTGGCTCCCATTTCCCTTTGAGGAAAGAGCAAAAACCTTACAATGGCACACATTACCTGTCCAACCTTACCTCTTCCCTCTGCTCCACCTGCACCAGCCACCTTGCATTTCCTTAAATTGCCAGCCACGCTCATTGCTTGAGACTTTGCACTGGCTGTTTCCTCATCTGAGAATGCTCTTCACCCAGACATCCCCATGATTAAGTCTTCAACTTCTTCAAAGCTTTGCTCAAAAGTCAGCTTCTCAATGAAGCCAACACCAAGTGTTCTATTTATGATAATATTCCATCCAGCAATGCTCCCCATTCCATATCCCCCTCACTCCATTCTACTTATTTTTCTATAGTAATTATCACCTTCTAATGTCCTATATAATTTTTACCTTTTTTACATTATTATTTATTATCTGTACTCCCCACTAGAGTGTCATCTTTATGAGGCCATTGATATATCTGAAGTAGCTGAAATATAACAGACTCCCAGCTATTTGTGAAATGAACATAGAGGAACTTCCTATACAAACTGCAGTTTATAAGAGTTTACAGGGTTCTTTTAAGGATAAATGAAATAGCATATGTGAAAAGGCTTTGTAAGCTAAAGTCTCCTTTGACAAATACCTAAATCTTTATTCTTTCCACAGAAGTTACCAGTATTACCAGTGGTGTATTTTTTCACCTAGCTATGTAAATATACTCATTAAAATATCATATTATTTTATATGAACTTTTTAAAATAGTGAATGGCATAATAATATTAAAAACAAAAACACTCTGTGATATGTAAAGTTCTGTCTATGTGTGAGATTATTATTACTTGGGAGTAGGAATTAAGGGACTCAAAACAGATGACAAATTACACATTTTTGCAGTAACTGTGTACCCTAACTTCAGAATTACCCTGAATATCCCTCTTTGGAGAATGGAGCGCCTTATAAAATTAGAAATAAATGCAATTTCCTTAAGTTTGAGGCAAAGATTGGGAAGATGAAATTAACTTTCCTAAGAGATAGTCTGTTTCGTTTGCCATTCTCCGTGTGTTCTGAAGGATTCTGGTAAGATTTATATTCAATTTCTGAAAAAAAAATGCTGATAGTTATACATTCAGAACATCACAAAACAAGATATTTTCTCAGTCTTCTAGACAGTCAATTCTTGTATCTACTTCTAGATTCTGATGTCAAAGTTGATGTAAATTATAACTCATTGCTACTTGTTTCTAAAACATTTGACTATTTCTAAACTACCTCACTGAATATTTTACCTCTATTTTCTGTGTATGATAACATATAGCACTAACTTCAACATTTTCTTGCATTAATAACATTAGTTGGCTTTTTTGAAATGCTTTTTCCCTGTTGAATGCTGCTTATTACCTTAAAGGTAGATTGTGCCACTTTCTCATTTAAAGACCTTGTACTATTATTGTTTTTGTACTTTTGCCAATTTTTATATAATTTTGAGGTCTCCATCAATATTTTTAAATTAATTATGATTTCTAAACAAGTTAAAATAGGCCTATAATTGGTTCATTGTAGTTTAACCCAATAAATCTAGCAAGTAAAATTGAAGGATTGAGTCAATGAAGCCATACTGGGATATCATTGCCAATTTAGCTATCAAAAGTAATCCATTATGATGTAGTTTATTATAAAGTACATTTTACACATTAATTATTAATCCACAGTGCAAAGCTTTTACCAAAAGCCTGTCCTTGATTGCTTTGTTTTCCCATACTTAAGCAGTTAGATTCCACAGTTTTGTAATCTAAGATTAGTATTCGGCGCCTTGATCAAATTCCCAAAGTTCTGTAATGTCTCCTTTTATTGCCAGTAAATCCAGATGGAAGCCGCTTTTAGTGTGGTTATTAAGTGTGAGTTTATTAATGTTATCTATTAAGCCCACACTACACATTGCTCATATAAGGACTTTCAGAATCACACTTGATAAATGCACCGTGCAAGTCTAAAAGGTTTAAGAACAAAATTAAGACTTTAATATATAAATTAGAACACTGGTGGTGCGCAAAAGCATCTTGGACACGGGGTTCTGACTCATTAATTATATATTAGAGTGGAGCCTCTCATCAGTAAAGTTTCTTAAACTATAAGCACAAGTTTCCAAAATGGACCTTAACTAAAACTCAAGGAAAAGGAGAGAAATTAAGCTAGTCAGAAAAATATTAGTTCCTCACATGGGATTTGGAATGAGGGATGGATGGGGCCCCTGTGTCAGGTGGCAAATTTATATTTGTCCACTGTCAGGAGGCAACTTATGCCAAGCTGCCGGAATTATCTGTTTTTGTCAAGCATTTCTACATGAGACTAACATAAAATTAATATTAGCACATCCTACATAGTTGCCCAGAAAATAACTTTCACAGGGGGAAGCATGTGGTCTCCAACTGTTGATCCTTTCACTATAGACCTGGAAAAAGTCACCTTGTTTACATCTCAAACTTTAACCAACATACTAAGAAAAAAAAATAAAATCAACAGTAGATGGAGTGTTTATTATGTTTTAATGTCCCTAGAATTCTTCTGATATTATTTCGTTGAATCGTTTTACTTTAAAAATCAAGTTCATTTAAAAAGCTAGGAAAGACAGTGGCCATTATTGTTGCAGAGATCCTGGAATGAAGTCCTGACATGTGCACTCACTGGAAAATCAAACTTGTCTAGAACTCCATCTCATGGGTGATGGTACTGGAGATCAGCCCACCCCAACTCTACTGCATTCCTCCTCAGAAAGACTCTGAGCTCAGTGGAGATCAAGGACACCTGTGTCCACCCAGGCAATGTGGGAAAAGGTCAAGGAGGCACAGGGTCAGGCTGACTTCCCCACCTAGGGGCAAGGGCTGGAGGAGAGACTGGTTTTTAGAATAGCATGATATGGAACAACAAGATGGTCCTCTGCCTGCACCCCACCTCCTCGCCAGAGTCCACAGCCAAAGCCACAGATATGAGACACCCATAATAAACAATGAGTGGAATAAAGCCCTGTGTTATTGAAGGCTCTGTAAGAAACAGAGCCCAAGCCAAATGTGTTTTGTGGCCTGGTACCAGGTCTTGACACAGGTGAGAGGAAGGTGTGCATCCACTTTGACAGGGGCTGGGGGCTGCACGGGTGTGCAGCTATGGCAACACCTAAAGTGATGGTGGTGTCACAGTCCCATCCGCAGGTGTAGGAGCCCCATTTGGGAACAGGAAGAGATAATGTCATAACGTTGTCATACAGAAGATTCTTTTCCCTTACCCCTACCCCTACTCAGAGACTTCTTGCAAAAGTCAGAAAGGATTTAGGGCATGGGTGAAAGAGATTAAACCAAAATTTACTCTTTGACTCTTCCTGGGGCCTTATTATACACCCTTGATTGTGTGCCATAGAACATTCGAATTGCATTTCTCTTTCCTCCTCTGAACATGTAGCATTCATTAGCGGCATCTAAAGTAGCAGAGAATTCAACCTGAAATGTGGAATCCAAACAGAATCCCCATACTTAAACCAACACGCTGCTCTGAGAAATGTTCTATGAATGATTGTTGTTCATGACACTACAGCAAGTCATTTGCTTAATGTACGGTCATAATAAAATGTTGGGATGATTGGCTTTTAAATTTACCTCTATTTTTTGCTTCTTATTTTTCTAGTCTTTGTCACTTCTTGAAAGTGCTTAGATAAGGAATCATTAATCTAAAAAGAGTAAAGATTTGTTACTTTACCTGATATTTGTCAGCAGGATTCACCCCCAAATCTACAAGTCAAAATAACTCTGGGCAGCTGTAGGTGACCTCTCTGGCCATCACAAGAGTAAAATGAGGCCCTCTCTTTCTATTGTAAAGGGACTTAAGATAGGACAGTTGAACCAATGCCTCACCATAAAGTGCAAAGGGAGTGACAGGAAGAGTGACAGACAGATTAAAGAGTAAGTAGTGTTTAGCAATTTGGGGTGACAGCACTAAAAATTTTCAGCACCAGGCCTGTTTAGGAATGACAGTATGCAGCTGAGAACAAGGCAGCTTACCCATTATAAAGAGGAATTTGTGTGTGAACTTAGAAACAGCAGTCCTCAAAACTGGAAGAAAAAATGTTTACATGTTATTTAAGTAGCTGCCTATTAAACTTTTATATAGTTTTCAAATTGCCTATTGCCACATTTCATCATTAACCCAATGTTTAAATCATTGCTTTCAGACAGATTTTTGTCTCATTGTTCCTATAGAGATGTCACTAGAAATTGGATTTAGCATCCATTTGTTGTTCTCATTGTCATTTTTCCAACCAATGGACTGTGCTATTAGAGACGCCAGCTTCCTACTAAAAAAAAGCATTAAGGTACTCTTTAGTAAGGTTCTCTGTGCTTACGATAACAAATGACACCAAAACTTGTATTAATCTCACTACGGATAATCACTTATTGAGCACTTACTATGTACTAGAAATCAGGCTAAGTACTTTGTACTCATCATCTGTCTCTAACATGTATAATGGGCACTCAATAAATGTGTGTTGGTGGAAGACAGCAATGAAGAAGGAGGGAGGAAGGGAAGAAAGGAAGAAAGTTTCATTGTCACTTATACTGAGCACTTTCCTATAAGTCATTTTGAGAACTAGTTGAACAGGTAGAAATATTCCTTCCTTCATTGGGATTTATTGAAGCAGGTCCCAAACCAGGCTGAAACATGCCCAAATTACCTTTTGATTTTTGCACTTACTGTCGTCCATCATAAATAACTCTGGTGCCAACAACTTAGATTAATAACTCAGAAGTAAATAAGTAAACAAAACTGAGTTTTCCTCACTACAGAGAAACTCTAAAATGAATCCAGTTATCATAACCTCCTTGGTTCCCCTTTACATTTTTCACCCCAAAGATTTGAAGTCGAGAGGCAACCCCTAAGGTGTAAACAACAAGAGATTATTCATAGATGGTATAAACAGAAGATGAGGGCAAAGGTCCAGGCCAGGACCCAGTTGTCATCTAAAGAGACAGATCATTCCCAAAGCCTGCCCAAACATTCATCACAAACAGGTTTGGGAATGTTTTAAATGGCTGTGAGCCAGGTTTTTGCCTTGTCCATATTCCAAAAAGTTAATCCATCCCAGTGCCATAAACTTTCAAATAACAATAAAAATGATTTGATTATAAGATGGAAGGGGGAAAATAATGACGAGCCTTCCAATGACTCAAACAGAGCCTGAGTCATCGGGGTCAAGGAGAAACTAGACATATTACAGATTGAATTTCAACAAGCTATATGGGATAATTTCATGACTAAAGATGAAGCTGAATTATACTGCCTCCAGCACCAAAGTGTTGTGCATATTTACCGTTCAGGGTTTTTGTTCATTTGTCCTTTTCGTTTTTGTTTTTTGTTTGTTTTTATTTGTCGTTGTTGTTTTTGAGACAGGGTCTCACTAAATCACCCCAACTGGAATGCAGTGGTGTGATCACATCTCACTGCAGCCTTGACCTCCTGGGCTCCAGTTTTTGTTTTTTGTTTTTTCCTATGCTGGTGTTTCACTTAAAAGCACAGAATAACTATGCTCTGTATGCTACAAAATGAAATATATTCCCTTTTATTTCTATTGTTTTTGAGGGATCTGGTGAGGAATGTTGACGTTAACTATTATTGATCATGTTATTATTACTATTAATACCACCTTTAAGCTAGTTCTTACATCCATATATTTTCACCTGCCAAACAGTAAAGGCAAACAGTCATTCCTGTGTTTTTTTGTTTGTTTGTTTCTTGCTTTGCCCTCAACCCAGGCTAGTTCCAAACAAGTTTCCACTCAACTCCTAACCCATAGCCTGAACTTTCATTTGCTGCTCCATTCCTATCCTTTCCAGCTTGATATTGGAAAATAACATATAAGTATCTTAACAGATGCAAAAAAAAGTATTTAGTACTCATTCAAAATTTAATTTTAAAACTCACTAAAATTATGACTAGAAATAACTTTTCTTAACCTGAGAAATGATATCACCCTAGCCTGTAGCAATCATCACATTTAATGACAAAATTATAGAATAGTTTTCATTTAAATTACAAGCAAAACAAGGTGCTCATTATCTTACTATCACTGCTTCTATTCAACATTATACTGAAAGTCTTACAACAATAACAAGGCTTACCCTACAATAATAAGGTAAGAAACTGAAATAAAATATATAAAAATTAGAAAAGACAACATTACCTTTTCTATACAATGTGATTATCTAAACAGTATATTCAGGATAGTCTACAAACTATTGAAACCAATAGGAGTTCGGCAAAATTGCTAAATAAAAGTCACCTGACTAGATTACACATTGAATTCTTACTGTGGACCAGGCATAGTTCTAAGGATTTTCCATATATTTTTGACTAATAATATTAACTAATCTAATACAACAGCCCTTAAAAATGATACAGTTATTATCAGAGTGATACAATTATGTCAGAGAAAACTGAAGCACAGGAAGGTTAAGCAACTTGCTGTTATAGGTTGAATTGTGCTCCTCAAAAAAGACATTTTAAAGGTAACCCCCATTGCCTTATCAAATATCAGGTCTTTGCAGATATAATCAATTTAAGATAAGGTCATTTTAGGGTATGCCCTAGTATAATATGACTGATGTCCTTGTAAAAGAAGGGAAATTTAGGCACAGACACACACAGGAGAACATCATGTGACAACAAAGGCAGAAATTGGAGTTATGCAGCTACAAGCCAAGGGAAACCAAAGATTGCTGGCAATCACCAGAAGCTAGGAAGAAAAAAAGGAGGGGTTTCCTACAGTTTTCAGAGGGAGATGGCCTTGCTGACACCTTAATTTCAGACTTCTAGCATCCAGAACTGTGAGACAATACATTTCTGTTGTTTAAAGTCACCCAGTTTGTGGCACTTTGTTATGACAAATCTAGGAAACTAACAAACTTGTCATGGGTCACACAGCTAGTAAAATGACAGAGCTGGGACATAACATCAGCATACCAAAACCAATACTCTGCACATCAGTTAAAACCAAATTAGAAAATATAGCATAAAAACAGATACTATTCACAATTATATAACTACAAAGTTATATAAACAAATATAATAAATAACATTCAGGATACAGTCCATTCTCATTATTTGTAGTGATTATGTTCCATAAAGTTGCCACACACAGTGAAGTAGCAAATACTGAACTATTGCTCCTAGGGGAAATACAGGATTAGGTTCCTGTGAACCTCTGGCTACAACATTTTTGTCAACCAATCAATACATAAGCTTGTTTTATGTGTGTTTCTGTTTCAAGACTCCTTATTTAATAAATATTGTTGATTCACTAACATTGAAGTCACAGCCAACAGCACTACAGCCCAGGCCTGAACAAAACTTATTTAACACATGTATTTTTCCTGTAAAGCACAACACAACTGCCTAGCATTGAGAAACATAGACAGCAGATCAGCACAATGCTTGAGGGGCATTTTAAATAGCAAAATCACCAATAAAAAACATAAAAGTGTGAAAAACATGGTACTATTAGCCACAAAAAGGACACGTTTTCAGTATGAGAGCAGAAGCAAGAAGGCAGAGCACCACCTTGTTGGAACTCAGCTGAGAACGTACATGTGTGCCAGACACTCAAATATTTCAGCACTCTGCTCATGTCAGTGAATGACCATGAAAGCACAGCAAGTATTGACTTGGAGGTTGCAAATAAGTTTTAGGAAGTAGGCAAATTCACAAATATGGAATCTTTGAATAATGAGGACTAATTGTATTTATGGAGAAAATTACAAAACTTCATGAAAAGACAAAAAAAAAGGAAATCTTAATAAATGGAGATGGCATATGGTCATGAATAGGAAGGCTCAACTTTTAAGATGTCAGTTTTACCACAAATTAATCCCAGCAAAATCCCTAAGAGTATTTTTGCAGAATTTGACAAGCTGATCCTAAAATTCATGGGGAAAAGTAAAGAACCAAGAATCAGTAAAATAACTCTGAAAAACTTATTCTACCAAATATGACAACTTAGAATAAAGCTATATTAATTAAAATAGTGTGATTTTAAAAACAAGGCAAGGAAAATAGGACATGGGAACAGAAGAGGGAGACCAGAAACTGACATAAACCTGTATAAAAATGTTGTGTATGTCTGAGATGGTGTTAAAAATCAATGGATAGGCCAGGCGCGGTGGCTCAAGCCTGTAATCCCAGCACTTTGGGAGGCCGAGGCTGGTGGATCACCTGAGGTCTGGAGTTCAAGACCAGCCTGGCTAACATGGTGAAACCTGTCTCTACCAAAATACTAAAATTAGCCAGGTATGGTGGCGGGTGCCTGTAATCCCAGCTACTTGGGAGGCCGAGGCATGAGAATCACTTGAACCCAGGAGGCGGAAGTTGCAGTGAGCTGAGATTGAGCCACTAAACTCCAGCCTGGGCGACAGAGCAAAACTCCGTCTCAAAAAGGAAAAAAAAAATCAATGGATAAAAATTATTCAGAAAACATGATCAGGAGAACTAAGTTATCCACATAGAAAAAAAGATAGATCCCTATCTCATGTTATGTCAAAAAATAAATCTAGGGAAAACAGTGAGAGACCCAAATGTAAAAAACAAAAACATTTAGAAAAAATAGAGAATATACCTTAAAGATTTCTAGGAAGTAATTAATCTACTTAGTAGAACAGAATAAAGCACAAACCATAAAGGAAAATATGAATAAATTTGACATTACATTTTTTAAACTTCTGTTCAATAAAAGATATTACACAGTGTTAAAATGCAATCCATGGCTAAGATAAAATATTCACAATGCACATTAACAAAAAGTTATTATAAAAACTTCGTATAGAAATTCTACAAATGAATAAGAAAAGGACAAAAACTGATTAGAGAAATAGACGAAGGATATAAACATGTAAAAGATACCAAACAACAATAGTAATCAGATAGATGCAAAAACTCATTAAATTTCATTTTATACTCATTTGGCAAAAATTAGAAAGTCTGATAATCACACATGTTGGTAAAAATGTGAAAGAACAAGAACTTTCAACACTGCTGGTAGAAATTGAATTGGCAGAGACATATTGAAGAGCAATTTGGTAATACCTACTAAACCGAAAGCTGTGTATAACCTTATACTCTGCAATTCTTGGTGTAGCCCCTGAGGAAGCTTTTCCACATGTGCACAAGAAGACATGTACAAGAATGCATACAGCAGCATGATTTGTAACAGCAAAACATCTAGAAATTATTTAAATATCTATCAACAGATTTGATTAATTATGGTCACAGTCACACAATAAAATACCATAAAGGAGCTCAAATGGATAGCTCCAAATAATGATAATAATAAGGTACAGAAAGATGTGTAAGAATTCCCTTTATATAAAGTTTATAAAGTATGTGTGTGTGTGTGTGTGTGTGTGTGTGTCATAACAGTATAAAACTTTCATGGGAATAATAAACAACAAATTTAGGACAGTAGATTTTTCTGGGAGAGGACACAATATTGAAGAGGGCTAGCCAATTAATATACAATTTCTCACTATTTTTAAATCTATAGAAAGTATGGTAACACATTAAGAGTTGGTACAAGAGAGACCAGGTGGGTGTTTGCTATAGTCTCTACAACTTTCTGGTGAATAATTGCAATATTCCATTTAAATAAAAAATGTTAAAGTGTGTTAAAGTCAGAAGGAACTCATCGGTTTAAGTCCTAAATTCAGCACTTGCTGTTAAAATTTAGAGCCTGCCATCAAGTTCTATAAATAAGATAATAGAATGTAAGAATTATACTTAATCCTCTAATTACTCTCAGCTTTAATCAAGCCTTTATTAACATAACGTGTCTAGCTTGGGGTCTTAAAACCTGAGAGGGGATTTAGGGAAGAGTAATCAAAACAATGAAAAATAAGTAGGTGATATAAGGAAAGGCAATGGGAACTGGGATAATTTAGACTAGTGAAAGAATGCAAAGGGTGAATTATGTTGAGGTGAATGCACAGTTTGTTTCTTTTATATTCATGCCTATTCCTCAGTTAAGGCCTTACTAAAACTAGCTGTTCTGGCTGTCTATTGCTGTGTAACAAATCACTCAAAAATATAGTGGCTTAAAATAATATTAAGCATTGATTTTGCTCATGCATCTTTAATTGGGTCAGGACTTCAGCTGGGGACAGCTCTTTGCTGATCCATATGGCATCAGTTGCAACAGCTCAGCTAAGGCTGGAAGATCCACTTTCACAATGATTCTCACATGCTTGCAAAATGGTACTATTGGCTGAAGCTATGCCAGGACTGTGCCCATGATCCTCAGCTCTACTCTTTGTGGGTCTCTCCACAGGTTTCTTGGACTTCCTCCCAGCATGATGTCTGGGTTCCAAAAAGGAACATCCCATGGAGGAAGTGCATGACATTTTTATATCCCATCCTTAGAAGTCACAGAGCAACACTTTTGCCAAACTTATTGGTTAGGGTAGTCACAAATCGCTTCCCACTCACTTTCAAGGGAAGGAGACATACAAGCCAATTCTTAACGGAGGAGTGACATACCTATAGAATAACTTTGGATATGAAGATAGTATTGCATCCATCTTTGTAATAAATACAGTTTGCCACACCAACATCCTTCCTGAAATATTTCTCCAGGTCAATCTGTTATTCTTACTGCTGCCAAAACAGAGATCTGGTCACACCATTCTCTTGCTCTTAACAATAAGGGAGACTGTCCTCTGCATTTCATCCCCCCAAAACCAGATTTATTCTGTGGAACTGCATGCAAGTCTTCATGTAGTCAAAAGGTATATAATACTTCATGGAGTCAACAGGGTATATAATAAAACTTTTTACAGTTTTCTTGAAACATTCATGTCTATGACCAAAACTTAGAAAAGGCTTACCAAAAATATTAATGTTTTTGGATGCATTTCTACTTGAGTTTTATCTGAAATAATGTGACAGCACATTCATATTTCATGTAACCTGGTGTCAAGACCATGTACAGACACATCAGCAACCCAGGTGAATTTGGAGGAATTCACATAACAATATTTCTGCCATCCTCTAGACATTCAAGTGAATGTAACTCATAAATCAAATCAGATTTTAAAATCCTTTTTAACCCAGAGAACTATAAGCTAGGCCTTGGAAAGTTTTTCTTTAAAGTTCTTCCGTTAAGTTACCTAATGTGGAATATTCAGCACGATAGTCAAAAGTGACAATATTTGTCGGTACAAGGATCTGTTAGTTGGCTTCACCATTAGGTTCCCACTTTCTCCCTACTCATCATTAAATAATGGTCTTCTTTTTTCACTAAACATGGAAAATTGACTACCATTTTTCACCAAAACATGTCCTACCCTTTCTGTATTGCTTAACTTGTTAAGCACACTACCAGAATGGATACCAGCAAAAACTGATCAGTATGTGAGATTAGTTTGTCCCAGGTACCAATTTAACTAAGATGGTTCTTGAACTCTACCTTCATTAGGTTGAACCATACTAAATTGCTGATAGTCTACCAATTTTGGCCAAGAAAATATGGATATTTCAAATGGTTCAATTTATAAGTGTTGGTCAGATTGAGAAATTTCCTTGCAAACCCCAAGAATTCAGGGAGTTGATTCAAAGTCAGTCTAGGATGAACTCTAACTGAAGAATCAAACTGGTTTTTTTTTTTATGCATAAGGTTTGATATAAAAGCCCAGAAGGGTGGTACCACTGGCTCAAGTGAGTCAACCAGTTGTTGAGTCCTGTATGTGGACAAACTACCCACAGGAAAAAAGTAAATCCGAAATCCTTGCTTCTTGTTGTTGTTTTTGTTACTGTGTAAATTAGTCAGTACAACTTAAATATGACAGCATGTAAGAAGAGGTTTAATATTATTGGATAAAGACTGGATTTTTTTAATAGACCAAATTTAACTGGAATGGTTAAAGATTTTGTTTCCTACACTGCGAAATGAAATGGAGAAACAAATCCTGATTGCCCCCCAGAAGTTAGAAGTAATGAAAAGAATCCTTAAGCAATTCTTAATAAGTGCTTAATACTATAATCATGATCCATAAAATAGAGATCCACAAAAAATATGACCAAACTGATTGGCAATTATGATTAGTATAGCATAATAATAAGGCTGTGGCAGAGTTTAGGAGGTAACTGCCAATTTCAACTGCTACAAAAAAACCATATGCTAAGAAAATATAAATCAAAGAGATGTATAATTTAAAAACACATTAACTTTATTTGATAATCCTTGGGGATAAACAAAGGATTAGGATGAAGCTTTTGCGAGTGCTTTGGGGGAGTCAAAGTTTACCAGAATGGTTACATGTTTCCAATTAAGTTTTGGAATTTTTTTGTCTTAAAAGACATAAAAAGCCCCAGTTCTACTTAGTGTGCTCCAGGTTGAGTGATGTAACAATTAAATGATAAATATTATGTTGAATCTAATATGCAAAATATATTACTCCAAACTTAAAGTGCAATAAGTAGCTGGTAGTATGGCCTTCTGGATCTGGGAGGAAGATAAACTGTTTTGTACACCCAGCCATCCAATTCCATCCCAACATTCTTTCCTCCAGTCACAACAGTGCTTGGCCAGAGAGAGAAATATGAGGACAAATTCACACCTCTTATTTTTTCACACGTGGCAACAAGAACCTCACGATCACTAACTCATTACATTTGAATCTGTACTGCTCATATTATATATAGTTTTCCCTATGTTATCTTTAAGTAACACATTTAGCAGCATTTCTGAAAGCATGCTCCACACAGGTCCAGCTCCACAAGATGTTAATAAGTTTATTATGATATGAAAGAGTTTCATATCGCTGCTGAGTTAAACATATTTACTGCAGTTCTTATCAAAACTTCTTACAGGCCGGGCGCAGTGGCTCACGCTTCTAATCCCAGCACTTTGGGAGGCCGAGGAGGGTGGATCACCAGAAGTCAGGTGGTAGAGACCAGCCTGGCCAACATGGTGAAACCCTGTCTCTACTAAAAATACAAAAAAAAAAAAAAAAAATTAGCTCAGCTTGGTGGCGGGCACCTGTAATCCCAGCTACTTGGGAGGCTGAGGCAGGAGAATCACTTGAACCCAGGAGACAGAGGTTGCAGTGAGCCAAGATCGTGCCACTGCACTTCATCCTGGGTAACAGAGCGAGACTCCTCTCAAAAAAGAAACACTTTTTACATATAAGCATACATTACAAAACTCCTAGGGTGTATATAGTATGTATCATTTCCTAAAGTTATTTCAATCATGGAAAACATTTTGCAAAAATATCTCAACAAACTAGAACATACATTGTGAAACTCCAATTTAAGGCATTTCTGATAATATTCTCTTGATATTAATGTAAATTATAGGTTTCTTTTTTTATTTTAATTTAAACTCACAGATATCTAACTATAGGTTTCTTAATGATAGCTGTCCTATCCAAGCTTATTATTTATCTCCCTCAGATTTTAATGACTTCTAAATATTTATGAGTTTATTTATTCAATAAACATTTATTAAATGCCTACTATGTTCCAAGCACTAAGTTTAGACTTTGGAGACATGGGAATGAACAATTTTAAAAATGTCTCTTTCCTTATAGAACTTACATTATAGTTAGGGGAGGTACCAATTACACATAAAAAAGTGAGTGCTAATGAACAAAAATAAAAAACAGGATAATGAACTAGACAGTTTCCTGGAGTTGGGAGGAGTGATTACAACATTTTGGAAGGGTTATCAACATGATTTTTCTGATAAAGTAACATTTGAACTAAAGGGGTATTAAATGAATCTTTTCCTTTCCTATTTCTCTCATTCTTTGTATTATTTTTAATCAAAATAATACATGCAGATAGTAAAAAATAAAAATATACCAAAAAGTTTATAATAAAAAAATTACTGCCCCAACTCTCTTCATCTTAGCCCCAATTCCTGAAACAGCCTCTTTTAATAGTTTCTGACTTTTATTATTCTGACCATGACAGAAGACAAAAATAGAAGACATAGTGGCAGTTGGGAGAGCAATAAGATGGAAAGATCCCGGACCCCTCAATGATTTTCAAGCCACTATATCAGCCCTGAAGTTTCTACTTTAATGTGAGAGAGGAATACATCTTTCTTGGGTCTATGTTTTTTGGAGATATCTGTCACTTGTAGCCAAACTCTAATTGATAGAGGATCAGATATCATAACCCCCGGCAATTAAAAGGAAAATATTCCAAGCATCCAAGTCAAATGTATTATTTTTTCTCTATCTACAGTAATTGCTCAAAATCATGCTACATTTTCGTTTGCATCATATTTGAATTGTAACTTTCCTATACAGTTGTTTGTTTCTCCTTTTCTAATTCTCTTTTCTATTTTCTTATAAAGGAAAAAACATGCCTGCTTCACCCTGTCGTTCATGGCGGCAGCTTTTTTTTTTTTCTAGAAACAGAATCGGGCCTTATTTTTGTTATTTTTAATACAGGTATTGTATTGCAGACAGCTCTTAGTCTCGCAGTTCAATATGGCAGATACACAGAAATTAAAGTAGAAACAAAATGAGGGCACACTCACCCCTATCCTCTGGTTGGCACCCTCCAACCCTTAAAAGAACTGTCCTCCCGGTCATCATACCCTTTCCCTGCTACAAAAGACAAAAAATAAAATAAAATAAAATGCCACCCCAAAGAAAAATCTCAGATGCTCTCTCCCTAGCAGTTAGTGGGACGAAGTGAGACACTGTTACCTTGGGTGGGATGGAGAAGCCACTAGGTCCATACCACGGAGGCCACGTGCACCACCACTGGAGCCAAACCCTGTCCATGGCCGTCAAAACTCGCCACCAGGCAAGACCACAGTGTGTTATCCACCAGCAATCCCCGAGGTCCAACGCCACACAAGTCAGGCAGCCCTGAGACAGCAGGAGCCCTGTCCTCTGGGGATGCTGGTTCCAGAGGAGAAGGCCCGAGGACAGTCTCTTCAGAGAGGAGCTCACCAGGGAAAGGCGGTTCCTGAGGAGGCGTGCAAAGGTCAAGGGAGCCACCCTTGCCACCTGTCCCAGGGCTTACTGCTGACTCCACTGTCCTTGGAGTGCTGGAGTCTCTACACCACTCTGCTCGGGACTACTGCTTGAGGGCCGGGCCCAGCACACTTCGCCTCTGCGGTCTTGGGGCCCTCTTCCAAGTCTTTACAAGCAGCGTCTTGAGAGGTAGACAGTTTCCCTTCTTCACTTTTAAAGACCGCAGTCTCTGTCTTGGCATCTACAGTAAGGCTGAGCGTTTCCTTCATGCCTCCATTCATCACTGTCTCAGTTACCTCGTCTGTAATTTCTGCATCCTCCTCTCCATCCGAGCTGGCTTCCATGGCCACATTGCCTGGTGCTTCTGGCTGAGCTGCCAGGGCAGCTGCAATGGGCAGCAGCTTTTAATCCATTATATCTAATCTTTAGAATCAGTTCCTTTCTTCTACTTGAGTCATGCTTCAAGGGGGCTTCAGAAGCTTCTAGCACAACTGCCATGCCACAGTGTCTTTCCTTTGGACTCTTGGTTTAGTGCCACAGTTTCTTTTATGCCCCATTTTTTTTTTCTTTCAGGGATTTTACCTTCATCATTCCAGAGTACACCATAACGTATTTTTCTTTTTTTTTCTTTTTTCTTTTTCTTTTTTTTTTTTTTTTTTTTTTTGAGACGGAGTCTCGCTCTGTCGCCCAGGCTGGAGTGCAGCTACACGATCTCGGCTCACTGCAACCTCTGCCTCCCGGGTTCAAGCGATTCTCCTGCCTCAGCCTCCCGAGTAGGTGGGACTACAGGCGCCCGCCACCATGCCTGCACACGCCACCATGCCTGGCTAATTTTTTATTTTTAGTAGAGACGCGGTTTTGCTATGTTGGCCAGGCTGGTCTCAAACTCCTGACCTCAGGTGATCCGCCCACCTCGGCCTCCCAAAGTGTTGGGATTACAGGTGTGAGCCACCCCGTCCGGCCACCATAACGTATTTTTCTAAGCAAGAGTGCCTGCAAGTAAATGTTCCAAGTCCACGTGCTTGTATATTTGAAAAAGTCTGCTTTTCCTTCATACTTTGGCTGTAATTTTTTCTCAGACCATTGCAGGCTCTGTTGCCTTCAAGATCTCATACATTTGAGATTGCTGAATGTTAGGCTGATCCTTGATCCTTTTGTTTGTAACCTATATTTGCTTTCTAGAAACTTCTCAGACATGCTGTTTATTCTCAGTATCTGAAGTTCCATGATGCTGTCTAGATGTAGGTCTTTTGCACTTGCTGAGCTCGATACCTTGGAGTTGGGGGGGTGGGGGTGGTTCAAAAACAAAAACTTGTATCTTTCTATTCAGCTCTGGAAATGTTTCTTCTACTGTTTAATGATTTTCTTCTTTCTGTCCTGTCTTTCCAGTACACCTATTAGTTAAGGTTAAATCTGGATGGATTCACTGTATTTGACAACTCTGAGCTGAAGCTTCTGGCAGATCAGTTTTTTGCATTGTTGTAGTCCCTGCCTGAGTGTCCTGGGCTGACATCATCTTCTCAATTTAAAAAAAAAAAAAAAAGAAAAAGTCCATCCACAAGCTTATGTTCTCCTTCCATCCTCTAGAAATATGTTGAAATACCTCATCCACAGATGGCATCCCTCTCTTTCTCTTAGTTTATTCCTTTGTATATCCTATATTTTCTTTTCCAACCTTTGTGTTCTATCTGCCATCTTGCCAGAACATTTGAAGTTTACCTTGGGTGACACAGTTGAAATAAAACTGCTGCACCAATTTCTCAGCAGTGCTATTTTTAAATATAAGAATATGTTATACAACTTAAGTAATATCAAAACACACGTTTAAATATCTAAGTATTTTATCATTGTAAAGATAGGATACAAAGAGCAAAATACATGCAAGTTTTCTTTTCTTAAAGAAAGTAATAGAGTACTATTTTTCTTCTGTTATTTTTCACTTTCATATAAAATGCAGCTCCTGAACTCACACAGTTTTAAAAACATTTTTTTTCATTTAAGTGCTATCTTAAAAGCTTCTTTGTACAAAAACTTAAATGATTTTCTGTAGAGATTTTCCGTGTGTCCTTGGACCAATATCTGATTCTTTAAAGACATGTTACCCAATATGATATTAATGTATTATTATTATACAAGTTGTAATAGGAGGATATTGATTTTTTTCTGCCAAAGGAGAGGTAGAAGGGTTATGTGTTGATATGGTTTGGCTGCGACCCCACCCAAATCTCATCTTGAATTGTGGTTCCCATAATCCCCATGTCTCCTGGAAAGGACCTTGTGGGAGGTGATTAGATCATGGGGGCAGTTCCCCCATGCTGTTCTTACGACAGTGAGTGAATGCATCTGATGGTTTTATAAGGGGCTCTTCCCCGCTTCACTCTGCATTTATCTTTCCTGCTGCCATGTGAAGAAGAATGTGTTTGCTTCCCCTTCCACCATGATTGTAAGTTTCCTGAGGCCTCCCCTCAGCCATGCAGAACTGTCAGTTAAACCTCTTTCTTTTATAAATTACCCAGTCTTGGGCAGTTCTTTATAGCAGCATGAGAATGGACTAATACATGTTCCTACACATACTCTTGGCCATAAATAAAGTTCTATAGTAACTTTTCTTCAAATAAGTAGGCTTCTAGTGAACCCAAAAATATGTGAGCAAAACATAAATTTATAAATTTATGACTCTTCTAGTTGTTTATTGATGACTGAAATATATTTATTTAATAAATATTTGTGCTGAGCACTATATTTCACCCGAGATACATAGTAAACAATACATCATATGCTTGAAGAACTATTGGGCCTAATAAAGGGATGCAAATTAGTAAACAGCGAATTTTCAAAAATGTGATCAGTGATCCTGTGGAGTAAATATAAGATGCTATTAAAGCTTATCAAAAGGTGAATTAACCTTGTGGATGAGAAGGGGGGCAATTTAGGTGAGAGATGGCTTCCCAAGTAGGTGACTCCTGAGCTGAGACTCAAAAGATGGGCATGAATTATCCAGGGAAGGAACTGGGGTCCTGGAAGATAAAAGAAACATTCTAGGCAACCAGAATATATGTGTGAAGGCCTGGAGGCAGGACCAGTCATGAACCAAAGTCACAAGCAAAGATGGCAAGAGACAAAACTAGAGAAAGAAGCAAGAGCTAGATTCAAAAGTTACCAGGATACCCTATCAAGGAATGTGGACTTTCTTCTGAAACATAAAGAACTATGCTCAGCATAAGAGCAATTCCTCCATACTCTCTTCAAGCAAGTTCTGTTTTTTTTAATAAACGAGGTAATAATATGACAAACTTTCATTGTGAGTTTATCATGTCCAAGATACTAGACTTAGCAGGTAGGACTTAAAGGCATTTAACTTTAAGAATCAGTGTGAAAATAGGTTAGAATATTTTGAGATGCTGTGTATTCTGATAAGAAAGGAACATACACAGGAGAGAGCTGAGTTATAGAAAACTGAAAAGTTATGCTACAGCCTAATGCTATAGTAGGAATTTGGACTTTAACTAATAAAGATGCTATCCAAATTTTTTGAGCAGGGAAGAGGCATAATTACATGTGTGTTTTACCCAAAGTGTGTATTCCCACTCTTTATTATACTGCATACATCAGGAAGTATATTACTTGGCTTGAAGCAATTTCAGCTTCATTTCTCTTTTGGTTAATTAGGGACCTAGGTTATCTAAATGAGCCACTATGGTTTGTTTTAAATATTGATGTTGGAGACTGCTGCTCAGCATTCTCTTCAAATTCAATCAAACTGAACATTTGTTCAACTTGCCTTCAAGGATCTCATCGTCTAAAGTTAAACCCAAAAGTAGCCCTGTAAGCCCCCAATGTATTTGTCTCTTATCATTCAATGATAGTGAAGTTGAACAGGCACAAAATCTTACGATAATCTCATGGGTTTTTCTGCATTTTCTCCATCCCCTTTGTGGGGCTTCTCATTTAGTGATTCAAGTTAATTTAGAGAGAGTGGTTTAAGTCAACCCATAATCCTTCTTCCATGGAAACTATCAAGAAGTCATTTGTGTTCTGGAAACTAAAAAAAGGTTTCTGTTGCCCTTTCTACCTTCTCAGGAACAAGGGCAGATCCAAGTTGTGTGCATATGCGGTTTATTCATTGAGAAGGAGAAAAATTCTTTAAGAAAAAAGGAATACAAAATTACACATACAAATACCTAGCTTTTCTTCTTGGAAGAACTTGAAAGGGATACTTATAAATAAAGGGCTAAGCTCTATTAGCTTCATGGCAAATACCCCTCTGATGCGTATCCAATATATAAATCTGCAATACACTTTTAAGAGTTATCAACAAAATTTACACCTACATTGGCCATTTTGGATATAAGAAATATGTCAAAAATGTGAAGGTCCTTTAAAGGTTCCTGCTTTTTGTTATAATCAACCCACATTCGCCAAAACCTTGACTGTCACAGGGAGAAACTCTCATCTGAATATTCAATCAACAAGAAAATACTTGTGGATTGCCAACCCCTTTCCCTCACTTGCTTTGAACTATTTTACTAGTCCTAGATTCCAGTCCCCAACACTTAAAATTCACAATGAATCCTTGCTTCATATCTGGCGTTTCAACAAGGTCCACCCAGAGAGTGAGGCCATTTTCAAATGCTGGCAGCCATATAGCTAATAAGGTAGAAGAGATGTGTTCCACCAGTTAGAAAAAAAAAACAGGGAAAAAAGAAGAAGAATAAAGCTGTTTGGGTCAGCGTCCTTAAGTTTGTTCCTGAGGCCAATGTTGCCGGCTGCATTTAGCAGCTTAGTTCCCTGGAAATGAGTGGTACAACTCTGCAGATAAGTCTGTAGACCTCTGGAATACAAGCAAGTAGCTCCTCATTATACAAATAGAAGCAACTCAACTATGCATGCCCTCAAACTGAGCTCAGTGTTCTGCTGCATTTCAAAAATATCCATCTGTTCCAAGAGAAGAAACAGGAAGTTTTGTTAATTATCTCTCACAACCCACTAGTTAGTTTCCAGAAAAATCACTAAAGCCATCTTTCCTGAATAAATTTAACAAGTAAGTTACAAGATGCAATGCAGTAGATAAACCTTACATTACTCCTTTTAAATGAACTGAATCTATCAGTTGGCCAATTTCACACTCACTGCCTCTATTCCCCTTTTCGTGTCCTCAGGATTCAACAGACGTATTTTCTGTACACAACTTTTTTATGTAACAATATTGATTAATAAAGCAATATCACACTAGTTATATGCAAAACACTAGATATTACACAACTGTTTGAGAGATATTTTCAGATGTATTTGCTTTGAGCACAACTTTGCTTCCAGATTCCATTAAAATCTCACAAATGTTCACACTATTAGACAAATTAATAGGAATTTTTTTTCTTGGTTATTAACTAATTTAAATAGGTACCTCTGAAACTTCTTCCCCAGTCCAATTATGTTGTCTTAACAAAGATTCCATGCCAGAGTGCTAAGGATATTAAGGATACACATGCCCAATTGGACTCTTGCCATCATTCTATAAATCATTGCCAATTATGCCAATAAAGCATCCTGAGCAATGATTGATTTCTTAGTTATGCAGTCAGCTGTTCTTCAACACTTTGTTTTCCTTGAAATGTCTCAATCATGGCCCAGTTTCCTGAGACCATGATGGTTTACATTCCTCCAAAAGAGACATTTGTACACATCTGTTGGTAAGTAAAAAAGAGTTTAGAAATTCAGTGAAACCTCATTAATTCCATCTAACTGTTGGGAAAGATAATTCAAGTTTATGAAAATTCTGGATTTTGATTTTATAGAAATGCAAGGTAGGCTTTTTTGTCTACTTTTTATATCTGTAAACAACTCAAATTCATCTAACAAAGAATCACTTTTTGAAGTGCTCAGAGTGTATGGTAAATTTATTAAAATGTAATAAATATTTAGCATTATCATAACAATCTGTTAACTTGGGTCATTTCTTCACTAGCAAATAGAGTCATATCTTTGAAATCTGAATCAATCAGCCCTTTAATTTTTTATTTGCATTAATTACTTGCCAAAATTCAAATATGCTTTTGATAAAATATCCTGGATCAAGGCTGGATATTTGATATTTATTAAGACATCAATCACTAGACACAGCTGGAAAACAAAGTGATAGAATGGAAAGCCCATAGACCTTGAAGCCAAACAGAACGGGATTCAAATCTCAGCTCTACCACTCACTTGCTCTATAGGATTTATCTGTTAATTCAGCCAATAAATATATAATGTACAGGTACTCAGGGCAGCAGATACAGTGATGGTTTCAACACTAAGGTCCCTACTTCCCAAAGGTTAAATCCTCTAGGTAAGGAGAAGAAAATAATCCAATAAAAAAAAAAAGATTTTCAGATAATGTTAAGTCTGTAAAGAGTGAACAGAGTGAGGGTTACAATGGTATATAACATGTTAAAGTGGTTAGAGAAAGTTTGAAGAGCCGGTGATGTCCCATTTGAGATGGAAATAAAACAGAGGGCCAGTTATGCAAAGGCTGGGAGGGGGCAGGGTGTTCAAAGCAAAGAGAACAGTACAGTAGTCCAAAGTTGGAACAAGTTTGGTGTGTTTAAAGAAAAGAAATAGGCCATTGCACTTGCTCTCTCTGAGAGACAAAGATCTTCATATGTGTGGTGGGATTAACAATAGCAGGACCATTATTAGATATTTTATTTGCAAAGTACCTCAGCAGTGCCTAGCACATTTTAGACACTCAAAGAAAGTATATATTAACATGATAATGAATGTTTGGAGTGCTGGTATCCTGTAATCAATCTAATATCTACAAAACCAAAAAATGTTATCTACTCAGAATTATGAATGATTTCTTGACCAAACACGGTAGCTTACGCCTTTAATCCCAGCACTTTGGGAGGCCAAGGAGGGCAGATCACTTGAGGTCAGGAGTACAAGACCAGCCTGGCCAACATAGTGAAACCCTGTCTCTACTAAAAATACAAAAATTTGCCAGGCATGGTGGTGGGCACCTGTAATCCCAGCTACTCTGGAGGCTGAGGCTGGAGAATCGCTTGAACCCAGGAGGCGGAGGTTGCAGTGAGCTGAGATCATGCCTCTTCACTCCACCCTGGGCAACAGAGCAAGACTCTGTCTCAAGAAAAAAAAAAATAGAAGAATAATCATGAATGATTTCCAAATAATGCCAGTAACTATATTCATCTAAAATACCAAAGCTGAGTATTGTTTTATCACCTTTTAGAAGCATACATTCATATTTACTTTTAAACATCTGCAAGTATATCTTTTTGGTCTGCCATGTTCAAAACATTTTAATACAAACCAGCACTGAAAAGTGGTTCACAAACCTTGTGGATATGTGAAAAAAAAATTGATATTGATAAAGGGGCAATGTGTCACCCTGGGTCATTTATAAATATGCATGTTCTCTGCATTATCAATACAAAAATGTTTAAACATATACACTGTGTCCGAATTGTCATAACACTGCAACCCAAATTAAGTGTTCATAATATACTTTCTAAAGTGCCAGTCTAAACCTGTTAATTGTCCTAACCATAATGAAATTCATAAGCAGCCCTCTTAACATTTAACTTTAAATTACCTCTGGGTGATAACTGACTCAGTCATACTACTTCATAATCATTGCCCTAATATTTACTAAGGCCTAAGCTACTTAATTCTTCCTAACAATAAAAATGTCTACACACCAAGAGAGCTACTTTAAACACAATTCAAATCAAACAGACAAAACCTTGGAATTGTAGAAGGGAAAAAAACAAATAAGTTCTAATTCAGTGAGAAATATTACAAATTAAAAGAAGCCATCTTCTTTATTTTAAAAATGCTAGTTGTCCACAGGTAAAATGAAAACTTGCCAAAGTTGATTTTACCTTCTCTCCCTGGGTTCTTTGAGATCCACAGCCACAGAAAAAAATAAATCATCTCACTTTTACTTAAACATCTTTATTCTAAAATCAGAAATTGGAAAAAGAAAACAAATTTGAATAAATAAATAAAGTAGTATTGGATTGTAATATAAAACAGATATCTGTGAGTCCATACTGATGTGAATAAATGATTGAATAAATACATAAATGGGGAAGAAAAAACAAATCTCCCATACAGAAGAATTCCAAATAATTTATGTAGATACTCTGCCTACAAGGGAATGAAGCAAAACTCCCCACTCAGGTGTTAGCTAAGGAAGTGACTTTCTTCTAAACAGCACAGTAAGGAAACAGATAAAAACTTGACCATGGAGAAACCTGACAAACCGCCCCCTCAGCCAGGTGATCAAGTTTGCCATCAATGGTGATAAGGCATGCTGACGATTATGCACCTTGACATGAGATGATGCTCTGAGAAATGATGCTTTCAGAATGGTACTTCTTCTCAAAAACCCATAATCTCCATCTAATAAATGAGAAATACATGTGACAAATTCCAATAGAGGGTCATTCTACAAAATATCTGACCAGTACTCCTCAAAACTGTCAGGAACATTAAAAACAAACAAAGTCTGAGAAACTGTCAAGCCAAGAGGAACCTAAGAAGACATAACAACTAATGTAATATATCCTGGATGAGATTCGGGAACACAAAAAGGAAAAGACATTGAGTAAAAACAAGAGATATGAATGAAGTATGGACTTTAGTTTTAAAAAAGAAACTATGTAAACTTACAAGTCTCCTGAATCCTTTGAAATGAGCCTAAGTGAACCAGGAGTAAAACAGGCTATTTTCATTAATTGATTTTCTTTTTTTCTAGCATAGGTTATTAGTTAACTCAGAATAAAATATTATCAATAACCGAAAGGCAGCATCTGAAGAAAGCATCGAAGTTGTCAACACTATGTCCTCAAGGTGTTTTAAAAGTTTACTGACTTAAATAACAATGGTAATATTTATAAGTAATCTATTTGGAAGTGCAGGGGAAAAAAAAGCTCAGGAATCTCAGCTGCCACCTAGGAATTGCTCTCCTTCTGTGGACCTCTTGCTAATAAGAACCCTTATGGAGAAATAACAATATTAAATATTGGCAGACTTTTATTAGGCACTTACTATGTACCAGGAAAAATTACAAGCCCTTGTACATATCAACTCACTTAAATCTCACATTATCATTATCATCATTATTATTTTTATTCCCATTTTACTAATGAGGAATTTGAGGCACTAAGAGGTTAAGTAACCTGCCCAGTAACCAAACTAGTAAGTGACAGAGCCAGATTGTGAGCTCAGGCAGTCTGGCTCCAGAGCAGGTACATCAGTTTCCTAAATGGGCTCATCCCATCCCCTCCGCTTTCTCTTAAGGATTCCATCTGAGCTGGTGGATGTCTACCTGCCTCCTTTGTCCCATGCTGAATCCTCTCCTTGTCAGCCACCATCACTAACTTTGGGGAAACCTAACAGGATTTCTGAGTATGCAGATCTGTTGCTTGTCTGTAGCAAGTTGGTCATCCAAGAAACAGATTCTGAGATGGAGTTTAGCATGTGTGCTGTTTATGAAGGAGTGTGCAAGGGACCAATGCCTGTGGAAGGGAAAGGTGGAAAGCAGTGGTGCAGGGGAGAAGTCAATCAGTGATGCAGGCCCAAACAACAATCTCAGCCAACTCCAAAGGGGGCTCTGGGTCTGAAATGGCCCTTGGAGTTACCTCCAGATGGGACAAGATGGCCGGGCCTTCATAAACAGGATGATGAATTACCTGATCACGCTACCTAAGACCCACCACAATCAGCATAGAACAAACTCTTCAGTTCCCTCAACAGCCATGCCTATATGCCTATTCTAAAGCATGTGTCATGGGCTCCCAGTGGATAATTTTGCTGAACTTCAGAAGGCCCATTTGGAGTAAGTTATAATCACAGTGATTTCATCTGACAGGTATCTCCCTTTGTACCTAAGTATCAAGCATGGAATTTGAAATTCCACAGTTGGAATTATTTTTTTCTATTTTAAAGTTTTTTTAATCATCAAAACATTTTACTAAATTGCAGATAACCGTCCTAAGAGGAAATTTAAACCATTTTCAGCTAATCTTAGGGGCCTTTAACGGATTGTAGCTGAGAGCAAAGAAGAGAACACTCTGAAAGAGAAATGGGGCACTAAAAGAAGTAAGAGTGTGCCAGAGATAAATACTATCTTCCTTCACAGCTCTGCTGACAGTCAGTTCTGCCCCTGGGTTCTCACAAAGAGGCTACTCTCTTCTCTTTTCAAATTTATCATTTTAGCACCCTCAGGCTTCTAGAAAACAACATAAAGACATTTCATAAAATGTCATATGATTCATAATTGCATTGTGATGCTTAAGATAAAATCTATTTCTCTGAAACTAATTTCTTCCCAATTGGACAATGTTTATTCCCACTTGGGTCTCCTTGATTTCTGTTGCATAATGCCAGGAGGAAAATGCCTAGAGATATCTTTGAGACAAACTTTAGTCCTAGTAGATCATGGGCTTCCACAAATATAACTGAAGATTTAATATGTACCCTTATATTTACAGATGTCAGTGCAAGTTGAAGAAGATGTGAAAATTACTAGAAACCAATTTACAGCAGCTGGAGCAAATTAGGGCTCATTGCAAACTTTAAAAAAAAAAAGGAAGTAATGAAACAACCAGCTCTAGGCAAACCATATGTGCCAGCCCAAATCTTTATTAATGGAAGTATAGCTACATATTAAAGGAAATTTAGTTCCTACAGCAAATCTCAATAGTGATATGCACAGATTGTAATTCTTTATTCTCAAGGTATGTAATCAAAAATATGTACAGTGATCTAGAGGCAGTTTTTATGGTGGCCTTATACAGTACTCACATGTTTGAAAGACCTCCACATTCTTCATTACACTGCCCAAAAATTACTATATTTTTTAAAATTTGGGAAAAGTTTACATTTAATTTGCCTTGGAATTGGAAAATTTAATTACATACAAAGAACATTCAAAGTAGTTGGCACATATATCTTGACTACGACCGAGATTTATAGCAATTACCAAAAAAGTACTAAAGCTTAAAATATTGGTAATAGGTCAAAAACCACATTCTTCTAATGTTAGTAATAACCTATATGGGTTTGCATGTATATGACAAGATGTTGGCTAGAGAATGTGGCATCTCTGAACAAAAATGAAGATCCAAAGGAATTTTCCTGTTCAGAAGGCACCAAAAAATGACCCTTCGAATGAGCAAATCGTGCACAAGCTGTATCTGTGCACAACAGTGGCACAAAAAGATTATACAGCATGTCATAAAAGTCAGCTTGACCCCATCAAGTTTCTGTGAGTTTCATTGTGACTCATAAGCCTTGCTCAACTCCCAGAACTGATCCACTCGTTTCAGACATTCTCCATCCCCAAATACTCACATTTTGCAGAGTTGGTCCAGTGTAAAATAAAAAGTCATGAAACTATCACTGTGGATTAGAATTGAGTCAAGCCCTAACACATCTTGTCCTCATTAATACAATTTCCTTCTGATTCTCAACCCCATGCACATGCCTAATTTTCTCTGGTTAAATGTTTTAGCTCTCTAGTTGGCTGTTCTATATGCAAAAATAAAGACAAATTGATAAATGTCTTTTAAACTTATCCTGCCATTGATTCTACTTACATTTAAAACATTTTATTATCTACAGTTTACTATTATCATATATAAAAATACCATTAAAATAATATTGAAAATAAGTATACATATTATACAATTATCCCTGTTGTTATGAGCTACTATTCTGAGCCTGAGTAAAAATTACATTGTAATTCTTATAATAATACCTGATATTAGTAATAATAGTTCTATGCTTTTTTAAATCTACCATAGTTGAAGTGTACCTGTTGATATTCTTTATTATTACCTGTGATTTAGGGTGAAACATAATCAGAGTTTCCTCTATGATTTGCTTTCTAAAGAGGAATCAGCTGGCCTTTGATTCCTCTGACTGCTGGTGATCAAGGTTGCTCTTAAACACTTGAAGATACTGGCACAAAATCCACCAATCACCAATCATCCATATACGTGTCTCTCTGGAACACTCCATTACCAAGGCAATAAAAAATGATGGTGCTTTTGAGTACAGCATCAGTATTTATATACTGTAGATAGTTTTACAGTTGAACATGTTATTATGTTTATGCTTAGCAGTTATAGCAATGTTCCCTGTTTAGTGATGACATACTATGGGAGAGTGCTCTTATGGTAAACTGACTAGAAATAATTCACACACTATCATCACCATGAGATGGACAGCCTGACACTAAAAATCCTATTAGCTACAACATTAAATTATCCTTTGTAAATTTCTTACTTCAAGATTAAGATACTCCAAGGTCAACTAATTCAAAGATTAGACTGGCTCACAATTATGCTACTCTTTTTTCCTATTTAAAACGTTGAATCTCCATGTGTGGTTTTAATTATTTTGCATTATTAAATGCTCAACATGTACTGTATATAAATTCTGACTGCTGCAGAAGTTTCTACTAAGGAAATTATATGACTAGGTGATTATGTGGTCAGTACACTGATCTCATGGTATACTGACCACATAATCACCTAGTCATATAATTTCATTAGTAGGTCCCTTGCAAAGTTCTCTCAATTTCTGCATTTCTCTCAGTGTGTGTGGTACAGAATTATTTCAACACATGGTATGCACCTATCAGAAGTTTCACTACTCTGTTTTATTAAAAGCATGGAGGGTGTGATTTCCAATCCTTTATAATTTCCGGATTTACTAATTAAATTGCCTCAATCGTGTCAAAGGCACTTTTTATCACGTAGAATATTAAAATCAGCCCTTTTTGGAGAACAAAGTCAATCAGAAAAACTCTAAAAGCATGAAAAAGTGTTTCCTGTGTTCAGATGACTTAAAAGGAGCTCAAAGGAAATTCACCAAATTTAAATAAAAATTCATTATCCTAAAGAAAATAAGCCTGCAAATTAAAGCCAAAGCAGCCAGCACCCTGAAAAGAAGCCTATGGTAAAAGACAGCCCTCCCTACAAGGAACACACTCTTCTACTGTTCTTATTCTCTTTTTGCATGCCCCTAAATCTATATATATGCAGAGTAAGTTATTTATCTGATACGATCAGCAAGTGAGATGCCTTGATTGATGTGTTTGACCAGGAAGACAGGAATTAAACATTTTTAAGCACTTGTTTGTGGCAAGCATGGTCCACTGTATTTCATATCATTTAGTCCTCACAAGCCTGGTCCACTGTATTTCACATCATTCAGTCCTCACAAGCCTGGTCCACTGTATTTCACATCATTCAGTTCTCACAAGCCTGGTGCACTGTATTTCATATCATTCAGTCCTCACAAGCCTGGTCCACTATATTTCATATCATTGAGTCCTCACAAGCATGGTCCACTGTATTTCATATCATTCAGTCCTCAAAAGCCTGGTCCACTGTATTTCATATCATTCAGTCCTCACAATATCCTGCAAGGTAGGTACTGTTATACCCACTTCTCAGATGCAAAGACTGATTGGAGTGACGTTACATAACTTTTCTGAAGTTACTTGGCTAGCCGATAAAAAGCTGTGATTTAAATCAAATTAATTCCAAAGCTCCTATTTTTAATTCACCATGCTGAATATATATATCACAATATATACAAATTACTAGTTTCTGGAGAATTTGAATATGACACAAATAAATTTGGAACATGAGAAACATAATTTATTCTCTTTGAAGATTCAGAAAACATTTTTTGTCATGCCCTAGGGTCATCATTATATACATTAATTATCCTTTCATTATCAACATATCAGAAGTGCCTATTATCAGAGACTTATGATTAATGTAATAACAAAGAATATATCTGTACATGTACATTCTATCTAAAGGAACACGACAAATTTCAGACTTCCTTGACATCTAAGCAACCATTTCATGATTGAACATTAAAGCGTGATTTTTTATTAAGCATGATTTTACAGGGCTGTTTGCACATTGCCCTTCCATGAAGCCTTTAGAACAGAACTTATTCAGTGCATAAGAGCGTGACATGCTCATCTTCATACTTACCCTTTACACTCCAGGGCACACTGGGTCCAAGTCTAACATCCAAATCCCCAAAGAGCTACTACTTTTAATTACTAATTAGGGATGACCTGGAGTAACCCCTACCACCCGCCAAAGGAAGAGATGGTTTCATTTGTTTTTCCAAATTTTCAAACCAAAGATAACCCTAAACAAAGTCACTTACATCACATTACCACTATAGGACCAAACACTGTTTAGCTCCTCTAGGCAGAATTTGGATTTTTAAAGAAATTTTTAATGACTAAATGTTTTCCTGGCTCAAAACATAGATTATCTAATGGTAACTTTTCTATCCTGGACTATGAATTAAGGAGAGATATAGAAGACAATGAGGTGCCCCCTTAGCAACTCATAGCCATCCTAGCTGCTTACTTTACTAGGCTGACCATGATTTTCCCCACCCTAAAAGTGAATCTCAGTGGACACTCTCATCCTATGCCAAATACAAAATTGTAATCATTTCTCTGTTTCAGTCTTTGTATTTCTGCATTGCTATGGAGTGTTAGAATGGGCAAGCTGAAGAAAGGTAAAAATAAATATGTGTGTGTGTGTGTAATCTATGCATATCCAAAGTTTAAATGAATCTAGATCTATTGATGTTTTCTCCATAAGTTCCATTTTAAATGATACAGATACATGCCATAGATAGAAAATCTTCTTCAGATGGCTTAGCTAAGAATATGATGAATAAACCCTTTCTGATTTATAGGAACTTCCTGAAAGATCTCCTGTTTGTTATGTTGCAAAAACTAGGAAATATGCAGCTGTTAATATCAGAGAAGGAGATAGTCTGGGAAAAATCACATGATCAGATTTATTAGTGGTCTAGGAGGTGCAGAGAAAGCAAACAAAATTTAGGTTTTGCATATAACATGAAGCTTAGGATATATTTCAAACTTTCAAGGGCTAGTGATATTTGGGAAAGAAGTGTACAAATTTAGAAAAACAAAAATGGTATATAAGTTTGCTAGAGTTGCCATAACACAGTGCCACAGACTGGGTGGTTTAAACAACAGAAATTTATTTTCTTATAATTCTGGAAGCTAAAAATCTGAGATCAAGGTGTCAGTAGAGTTGGTTTCTTCTGGGGCTCTTCTTGGCTTGCAGATGGCTGCCTTCTCCCTGAGTCTTCACATGGTCTTCCCTCTGTACATGTCTGTGTCTAAATTTCCTCTTCTTCAAAGGACACCAGTCATACTGGATTAGAGCCAACCCTAATGACCTCACTTTAACTCAGTTACCTCTTCCTATCTCCATATAGTCACATTCTGAGATACTGAGGGTTAGGATTTCAACAAAGAAATTTTAAAATAAACTCAGTCCATAACAGAAGGAGGTAGCAAAAGACTGTCTGTGCCCTCAGATGGTTTCTGTTGTGAATGATGCAGTTTGAAGACCCATTGTGGAAGGTAAAATCAAGGCATGAGGTATAGATACCAAAGATGTTGCCATAGTCGCATGGACAAAGACAATATTAAAAGTAGCCTGAGTAGATGGGGCAATCATTTCATCACAAAAGCTTTTAGTAGTAATTACAAGCATTGATATCAATTTTATACATATTTAGAGAAAAGAAAACACACATAATCTATTCAAAATTTGATTCTTATGTTCAAGTATAATTACAGATACTTTCATCCATCCATTTTATTCTATGTTTATTATGAATAGTAAAGCCTACTACATGCCATGCTGTTACCAAAGCCCACATAATAGCCAGTGTTTTGTTTTCTGGTGAATAATAACTATCAAAAGTCAGCCCTTTGGCAAGTCAGTTAAACTAGATTGCCTTTTAATTGTTGGGTTATTTCTTCTAGTTTCTAGAAAGATTGGGAAACATAAATTGTAGTGAGTTTTCAAATGTAACATATGTAGGAAACAATTACACATAAATATGTATACCATCACCCTTTGTAGTCAAAAGTACCATGTCTGGAGTGAACATTTCTCAGGTGCTTTCATGTGTTTGGAATAGTAATTATTAATGGGTGTCATTTTTTCAGTGACAATATTTGGGTTAGCAACAGTTACCATTGAGATCTGAAGGCCTGGCTGGTGCCATGAAATTTACATTCAGATTGTGCCACTTAACGACTCCAAGGATTCATATCTGACTTTTCCCTTAGCTCCAGATTTGAATAGCATTTCTAAGGAAAATAACAAAAAGATGTCTATAGATTAGGCATTTCTCCTTTATCCTTCCTCCAAAAAGAAGTGATAAACAGACAGTCATGACTCAGTGAGGTCCTTCCAGGCTACTAATTGGTTGCCGGCAATTCTGTGTCCTAAGTTTTCAGGTAGTTAAATCCAATTTTCAAAATGTCATCTTCAAACACCAAAGCTTGGTAGGGAAATTGCAAAACCCACAAAGGGAGAAATCACTATAATACAGGTTGTCTCTGTTCATTCTTAATGGACTCCTATTACTCAAATAGACCATGTGACTTGGAAAGTCTTTGTCTGCATGAAATTGCAGAGTGGTTTGAATATAGCACAGATGCCATGGAAAGCAAAAATGGACATTTTTTCAAATTGAAAACATGTAATGGTTGCCAGTACAGAGATAAAAACTTGGCTGATGAAGTATCCCAAATTGACTTGTAAACTCCAGAAAACAAACAACTTTTCATTATACAACTCATTTCTCATCTCCAAGCTTTGGCAGGGAGCATTCTTACTTTGGAGAGCTGGTCTGATGAAGAATGCTTTTACTGCTCCATTTCATGAAAACCATTGTTTGTGTCTCTGAGTTCAATAAAAAGTCAAAATTAGCAAGAGAGCAGGAAGAGTTAACATGCAAGAAGGTTCCAAAGATCCTCTAGAGATTATTAATCAGTCAGAAGACAGCATTGCCTGTTTTTCATAAAATCTTTTTCTTATAAGTGAAGCAAGCCTGGCATTGCCAACAAATGTCAATGCCATACAGAGAGAGTAGATAAATTTAGAGTGAATGATTTTCCAGTTAAATAGGGACCAACGGTGAGTTTATAATAAAACAATTTGCACACAGTTTGGAATATGACAATGGTAATTGTTCTTATGTTGAAAACAAATCTTTTATGATGTGTGCTGTGGCAAAGCAGGGCATGACCTACCTAATATAGCCCTTCCCGCATCTACACAGTACCAGGAAGACCATTCTATATTTGTAATGCTTGCCCAGCTTACCTAAGAGAGTGGCACATTTAAAGGCATGATTATACACAGGAGTTTTGAAACCCTTATTTTGAGCTGGAAATACAGCGTTCAATACCAGACATTTGAAAGCAGTGAAAGAATGGAATGTCCTTTTATCTTCAGCTGGTGGTTGATGTTTCTGTTATCTGGAACTTCTGAAGCTGTTTTAATCATGCTAGAGCACTGACTTTCAACCTGGCTCCACAGTGGAACCACCTGGGGAGCTTTAATAAACTGATATCTGGGACCTACCCCCAGAGATTCTGATTTAAGCGATCTGGGGTGTGGCCAGGCACTGGGATTTTTAAAAGCTCCCCAGGTGATTCTAAAGAGCAGACAAGGTTCAGAAAGACTGTTTTTTCAAAAAGAAGAAAACTATTAGATGACACTTTGTCATTTATAGCTACAAAAGTTAAATCTACCTAAATAGTTCATATCTCATTTTTACTAGCATCACAACAATCAACCAAATCATCACATAAAATGTGGAATAATAGAATATTTTAATTATAAGGGACCCAAGAGATCATTTTAGTCCAGGGATTCTCAACCAGGGGTCTCTGGGCTCCTCAAAGTCCCTTAGGTAGTGTGTGAACCCCCTGAAATTGCAAGTATGTGCATTTTTCTGAGAATAGATTCCAGCACTTTCTAAAAGGAGGGCCTGGCCCCAAAAAGGTCAAAAAACACTTACATGGTCTAAGTTCCTCAATTTGCAGACAAAGAAATGAAAGACCAACATGAAAACAGAAAATAATATATTTCTCACCACCCCCTCCAGGACATCTAATGCCCAAGCCCATTACAGCCGGTATGCTTTTATACAAAACTGATTAAAATTCCCCCAACAAAAATGAAGCCCAAATAGACTGATGTTTTGACTAGATCAAGATTTTGACCAGATAAGTGAAGTTTTCAGAACTGCAGAAATAGTAAGAGTTTTGAAGAAGACTTCCCTAGACTTCCCTGAGAAGAGTTCCACAGAATGAACTTCCTAAGAACTTTCCCCGCAAAACTTACTTATCAGATTAAATATAAAGTCAGGAAATGAGCAAATATTAGCCAAGCCCAAGCAGAGATTATCCAGTGTTCCCAAGGTAGTGCTAGAACCTCAATTCGATTTCTTCAAAGTTTGTATCATGTTTAATTTATATTGTCCCATTACTAGTTGTTATCACCAACCTTAAGAATTACTCTAATATCTTATTTCTCTTCTGATTTTGGCCTATGATAGCAAAATTTCATAGGAGTTCCTCTGGCAAAGTGTAAACAAATACAACAGGATAATCAGGTGTAAGTTAGTAAATTCGGAAAGCTGGAGTCAAGCCTGTGTCCAGTCGATTCCCATAGAAATTATGATATAGTTTTGACTATGATAGAGTAAAATTAGTATGGATTTTAGGAATCAAACTAATTAATTTGCTTTTGTAAAATAGGATTAATTACACCTCCCTCATAGGTTGATGTGTTCATATAAATACCTAATATACCTAATGTAGAGACTTGAAAATAATATTAAATATAATACTAAAATGTGATTGACCTCTTACTGTCTTCTAAGGTTTGTGTTCTTTCTCCTAGATCAAGTAACTTTTCATAACTTTTCTATTCCTCTTTCTCACCTGAGCACTGCTAAGCAAAGATGAGCATTAAAAAAAAATTCTAAATCATGGCAGGCTCTCTTAAATGGTCTTTGAGTTCTTAATTGTTTTTCAGATAGATTTTACATTTATTCACTGAAGCTTTTAAAGTCTGGAGCAGAAAACATTACATTAATGAATAAAAGATGTAGAATAATTTTCTTCCCATGTGCTTTGAATTCTTACCCCAATTACAATACTAGGCCAAAAATTAATATCATGAATTGAAACGAAGAAAGATATATAGAAAAGAGCCAAATCTAAAAAAAGAGGAAGAAGGAGGAAGAGAAGAAAGAAGAAGGAGGAAGAGAAGAAAGAAGAAGGAGGAAGAGAAGAAAGAAGAAGGAGGAGGAGGAGGAGGAGAAGAGGAAGGAAGGAAGGAAGGAAGGGAGGGAGGGAGGGAGGGAGGGAGGGAAAGAGAAAGAAAAAGAAAGCAAGAGAGAGAGAGAAAGAAAGAAAAAGAAAGGAAGGAAGGAAGGGAAAGAGAAAGAAAAAGAAAGAAAGAAAGAGAGAGAAAGAAAGAAAGAAAGAAAAAGAAAGAAAGGAAGGAAGAAAGAAAGAAAGAAAGGAAAGAAAGAAAGAAAAAGAGAAGGAAGAGGAGAAGGAGAGAAGGAAGGAAGGAGGGAGGGAGAAAGAAAGAGAGAGAAAAAATAGGAAGGAAGGAAAGAGAGAGAGGAGTATTTTGACACCTACTGTCACTTCTGGGCTGAGGTTTTAACCGAGACTAGGTGCCATGTATTCACTTACTCATTAAATGTTCTTTGAACACCAAATCAACATGAAGCCAGAATTATGTTAGACTGAGTATGGGGTGAGGTGTCTGATGGATATTTTACAGGGCATCATTTCAGCCTTTTGGAGTTCATTTTATTGTAACATAAAACTACTTGGTAAAAGTGTAAGGATATATAATTTTTATTTAATGAATGATATAAATATTAAATGCTATAATTATTCATAAAAAGAGAAGAGAGAGTTAGAACAACTGGGGAAGGCAGGCATTGAACTAAGACAGAAGTGACTTGAATATTTCAATCTAGAGGATATAAACTTTGGTGCAACTGGAGAAAGCAAGTATTGAACAGATACCTAAAGTACTAGAAGGTGTCACTCTCTGAAGCGTAGTTAAGTCGAGGTTCTAAGCAGGTGGGCTAAAATCCTAGGGTTGAGGCTTGTTCATGGGGCATTAAAGAAACTAATTTCTACCAGATGGTGTTTTGGAGTCCTAACGGATAAGATAGTTAAAAGACTCGAATGTCATGACTATGTGATGTAGCCCTTGGACATTTTCTAAGCTTCATAAGCACAATCAGTGACATAAGGAAGAAATAATTAATAGTAGAAACAAAATTCTTCATTAAGTTCCCTAAGAATCTAAAGAAAAACAAAATGAAGAGCCAAAATAATGGCCCATATTTAGGTTTTCTTCTACTTTTTCATATATGGCCATTTTCCAATAATTTGCAAAAATGCTTCAGAACTTCAAATAAACCTCGGACTACATACATTAGCCTATGTCTCAGTTTGGTTCTCCCAAGCTTGGTATATCAGTACTGCTCAGAATTCAACTGATAAAGACACGTCGTGGACATATTTGTGTCATCTTTTCATTTCTCTATCATTTTTAAAGTGGGAGACCTGGCTGGGTGTGGTAGCTCATGCCTGTAACCCCAGCACTTTGGGAGGCCAAGGTGGGCAGATCATAAGGTCAGGAGTTTGAGACCAGCCTGACCAACGTGGCGAAACCCTGTCTCTACTAAAAGTACAAAAATTAGCCAGGTGTGGTGGTGCACACCTGTAATCCTAGCTACTCAGGAGGCTGAGGAAGGAGAATCACTTGAATCTGAGAGGCAGAGGTTGCAATGAGCTAGATCATGCCATTGCATTCCAGCCTGGGCAATAGAGTGAGACTCCATCTCAAAATAAAAATAAAAATAAAATGGGAGACCTAAAATTGTTTGTCAAAGCACACAATATTTTTTTTCTAATTTTACATTGTTCTTCTTGCCAAAAAAAGAAACTTTTTTTTCACTATACTCTCCATAGTTCTTAGGGAATGACCATACTTTCTTGGTGACTCTTATTCCTGAATTCTCTATATTAACAACTCTCTAGGCCACAGCCATGACTCAGTCAGGCCTCAGAATACGGTTTTGTGCCTAGAATACTTTTAATGGCTCATTTACACTTTAACAGTAAGACTTAACATGAATGATTCCTAGGTTTGCAGAGGAAAAGGGACAAAACATCATTTTTCTCTCAGACTCAAGCTTAGTGTTGGCTGCCAAGGGAAACTGGCCCTACCCAGTTTCCCTTGGAACTCTGTGTAAACAGCTTGAAGCCAGGGGGAATCAACTAATCCTGGCTAGTAAGATCAAGGGTTATGTCCTTACTCTGGGAATGCTAGCCTGCTCTGGTTATAATCTTACATAGATGAGGTGATAGATCCAATATTATTATATGAATGCCTGCTTCTTCCTTGTGGGTGGGAAAAAAAATCAGGGAGGAGGAACAAAAGAATAAAAATAAAATAAAAGCAGGAGTGAATAAGCAGAAACAAAGTCAAATATGAAGAAAAAAGAACAAATGAGAAGACAGGTAAACACAAAATTATAACTAAACTCTAAAAAAAATAAAAAGAATGGTTGAAATGGAAATAATGATGCTCCTAGCAGTGTTGAGCACTGCTACTTTTTTCTCCTACTTAAACCACCATTGACACCTTTGCAAAAGTTGCTATCTTTTCCAAAGTTAAATGTAATTTATCTTAAAGGCACCTTACTGGTTAATACATCTTTACAATAAACACTCTGCAAAGTGTAAAAAAACTGAAGAAATAAATTGAAGTGGCTTTTAGTAGTGGCTGGGGGTACCAGATTGACAGCTTTGGAAATTGATGACTTCTTTTTCTCCCAAGAATAGATACAGCTTGATAAACAGAGGTGTAAGATTCCCCCAACTACTTCTCCAATACACCTTCACCCTGACAAAGTAATGGCTGCAAGGAGGAAAGAGCAAGTCACCTTTTCCAGCCAGTTCTCTGCAGATACTGCTCAGGAACTGCCATTTAGCACCAAGGTGATAGGAGTATTTTCCTTACTACCAGCAACACAGAGACAATTCACTTATTTCACTTGGAACAGTGAACAGTCAAATCAGATAGTGATAACTTTTAACTACCCTGAACTCTGCCGGATTCAACGCACTGAACTTAAACTGAAAGCTAACTTGAGTTTCCCATTTCAATTTCCCACATCCATCTAGTCCCCTAACAGTCCCCAGCACTAAATCAGGTAATGCAGTATAGTGTAGCTATTTTATCTGGCTCTCCCAAAGTTATTTGAAATGAGTACTCTGCCATCCATGAAATCAAATGAATCTCAGGAACATTTCTATTTATGTGGTGTGAGGGGGATCTTTCAAAAGAGAAAGGAAAAGCATAAAAAAGGATGGAATGTTTCCAAGAGAACAAGTAACATGTATTTTCCTTTCCAAAAGAAAAGCAGCAACTATGTATGAAAAATTGAGGTGCATAAGTTAAAGTGCAGTCTTAACATTATTTATTTATGTGCCTAACTTAAGAACCACTAAAGTCGTCTTCATCACATAACCCTAAAATGAACAGAGACCAGTATAACATGACTTTCAGATTTTCTTCAGTAGATGTTAGAAAACATATGCTTTGTTAATCTTATACTTCTCCTAAATAATCATGCACAGCTTTCATTTGTTCCAGGAGTCATTCAAGCATATAAGAGTTCCATTAAGTTGAAACCTCCTGTATCTGGTTATTTTCCTGGAGTTGTAAACCTGCTGCCACCAAGTTGGTAGTTTTCTTATGTTAACAGCAAGAACGGAAAAAAAAAAATGCCAGTTAGAAAAGAGCTGTTCCATCTTCAGTCTCTTCCATTAACTCTCATTAACAGTTTGCATTTTTTTTAAGACAGGGTCTCATTCTGTTGCCCAGGCTGGAGTGCAGTGGTGCAATTACAACCCACTGAAGCCTGGAACTCTTGGACTCAAGCAACTCTCCCACATCAGCCTCCCAAGTAGCTAGGATTGCAGGCACGCCCCATCACACCTGGCTAATTTTTTTTGGTTTTTTGTAGAGATGAGGGACTCGCTATGTTGCCCAGGCTAGTCCCAAACTCCTGGCCTCAAGGAATCCTCCCACCTCAGCTTCCCAAAGCACTGGGTTTATAGGCGCGGGCCACTACATCTGACTGCATTTACTTTTAAAACAATTTTAAACACTTACAATGTTTTCAAGGCAGAAAGCACTCACCCATCAGTCTGCAGTTCTCACTTATTGTTCCCTCAATTATTTTAATTCCTCTTCCTGGCTCTCTTCTCTCCTTGCATCTCAGAGCAAATCTCCAAACTTCTGTGCCTCACGGGCCTTCAACTGGTTTTCCTACACATTTCAAACCTTGTCTTGTCTTCGCTCATCTGTTAATTCATTCATTCCTTTATTCATTCATTTACTTAACAGACATTTACCTAACATTTCCTGAGTCTTCACTTGTCCTACATACATGTGGAATCAAATCCAAGAATAAATATTTTGCAGTGGAAAAAGCAGTAGAACAAAAGTCCTGAACTCTAGTGTCATTGCTATGATTCATCAATTATGCGACCTTCAGCAGGTCACTTTTTTCCTATACATACCTCTAATAATAGGAGTTTGGCTATGTCATGTCTACGATCCTTTATAGCTCTGAAATTCTACAATTTTATCACCACCCCAGTAGCTCAGCGCAAATAAATTCATGCATCTGTGTTAATAACTTTGAGGTACCCATTCCAAAATGTTTACATTTTCAATGGTTGAATTATAAGGGCTCTCCAAAGGGAAGTTAGAAAATCCTAACTGATATTTTTGGCATGTTAGTGGGCTAATGGAGGAGTATTTGAGAAGAGCAAATTTCATTTAGGAGATTAGTCTTGCCTACCAGCGTATTTGCTGTCTACATTTCATCTCCTTTCATTCTCCCCTTTACCCACTTCAAGCAGGCTGTTACTTCCACATATCCATTGAAACTACTGCCACCAAGGTCACCAAGTGACTTCCAGAGTTAAACCCAGTAGTCAATTGGTATTCCTCAACATATTTGTCCTGTCTTCAGTATTTGACATATTTGATCACCTCCTCCTTAATATACTTTCTTCATTTACCATCTGTGACTCACACACTTCTCTACCTACTGGTCACTTCTCAGTTTGCTTTGCTAGTTCTTCCTCTTCACTGCTTCCTCTTCACTTAGTGTTGATGTGCCTCAAGCACTGAGTTTTGGGTCCTATTCTCTATCTGAACTTAATTCCTTAATAATCTTACCCAACTCTTTGGCTTTAAACTCCATCTATGTGCCAAATACTCTCACATTTATGTCTCTAGCCAAGACACTTTCCTAAACTCAAGACCTGCACATCCAGATCACCAGCAGACCCCTAAAAAAAGGACTCATGACATTCTTGCCCAAACCTAATCCAACTAGTTCAGCTGATAGAAGCTCCATATTTTCAGATATTTACCAAAAAAAGAAATATTTGGGGACATCCTTGGTCCCTTTATTTCTCTCATATCCTACATCTAATCCATTAGGACCTTGGCTCTAGGTTAAAAATATATCAGAATTTAATCACTTCTCAAGTCTAATGCCACCCTCCTGCTATGCACCATTACTGTCTCTCCCCTGGATAGCTATAATAGCTTTCTAAGAGGTCTCTCTGTTTCTTCCACCCTTGCTCCCTTAGAATTTGTAATCAACACGGAAGTCAGAGTGGTCTTTTAAAGACACTAACTCAAATCCTCTGATGGACCACCAAAGTCTTCACAATAGCCCATGAGGCCTTACATCATCTGGCCCTCCATACTCTTCTGATTTCATCTCTTACTCTCCACTTTGCTCCCTCTGCTCTAGTCACACAGGCCTCCTTACCTCAAATATGAGAGGCATAGCTTTGGTGCTAGCTCTCCTTCTGCCTGCATACATTTATGTGACTAACTCCCTCACCTTCTTCAAGTTTTTGCTCAGTTCTCATCTTTCCAATGAATCCTATCCTGACCATCCTATTTAATCTGCAAACTGCCCCCCAAGCATTCCTCATCCCTGTGACCCTGATTTACCCTTTTGTCCTATAGCAGTTATCATCTTCAAATGTTCTACATAACTTACCTGTTATATTTATTGCTTATTTTCTGTCTCCTCATCCTAGAATGTAAGCCACAGGAGGGCAGGAATCTTTTTTTCTTTGTTTGTTCATTGATGTCTTCCAAGTACCTGGGAACTGTCCCAGGCACCTTATAAGTGCTTAATATTTCTTAAATGGATTAATAAATCAATAAGCAAATGGATGAATGGGGCATGGTCCTGTAGCTATCAGATTACAACCAACAACATGAGAAGCTACATATGAAATGTGTAAAGCCTCACTTTAATTATCCAATCAATGCCCAATTCTGCTGCTGCTTTTTGATCATTCCTGACGGAGAGATGGTCTTTGGAGTTCATGTCTCTCCATTGTGGAAACCCTTGACCTTTCACCCATCAGAACCTCAAAACAAAACATACCTTGGGTTGGAGAGATATAAACAGCTCTAGACCCATCCTGGGTGATTTACAATAAAGCCTATAAAATAACTACCTCACATTTCTGCTATAAGACATGTAAATGAGAAGAGTAATACCTAACAGTTATTGAGCTCTATGTGCCAGACATTATCCTAAGGTTTCACAAGTATAAATTCATTTCTTCCTTGCAACAACCCCTAACTCCTGACCTCACGTCTCTCTCCTAATTATTGGGTGAGTTCCCTCTGGACAACACTCAGAAAGTAACAAAAAAATGCAATAGGTCAGAAGGGATGACTTGAAACTAAGGAAGTAAACCATAGCCCTTAACATTTCTAAAGAAAAATGTTATCTCTGTCAAACACAGCTGCCATATCTCCATGAAGCCATGTTGAGGAAATATTTATGTTGACACATTGAAGGTCAAATATTCAAGGGTAATTAGATCTCTCCAAGGTGAATTATGGAGATGGCCTAGTTAGAAATAAATATAGACTTTTTGCTGTCCAGCCATAAATCGGTAGTAGCCCGCCAAATGCACTTAAGCACGTTTATAAGTATTTTTGCTCATAGTTTAATTAATTATTTTACATATTTCCTATTACTAGAATTTTACAAAAATGATTAGCTGACAAAAAATTTTACTAGCTTGACCATACTCATCTCAGTATCATTTCAAAGAGCTTTTTATTATCCTACTTTCCCATCTCCATAAACCCAAGAAAGAACTCTTAACTAACATTCTTGAAGTCAACCTCTACCTGCTGCTAATCATGTTCATCTTCTGAAAGTTGAAGACCTTCATTTCCCCAGTTAGCTTCATCAATTCACCCAGCATACATTTATTAAATGCATATTGAAATGCAGGCATAGTTCTAACAACAAAGAAACATAACCCACAGTCTCTCAATCAGAGAACTTAGTGTCTAATAGTAAAGGGGAAACCAATACAGTGAAAAAAGTTTCATATACAAACCTGAATGTCCATAAAAAGGGGACTAGATAAATAAGATATTTATGTTCATGAAATGGAATACTACACAGCACTTAAAATGAATTTAAATGAATAAATTAGATTTAAATGTATCGATATTACTCTTTTATAAAAATTGAGTAAAAAACAAGTTTTCAAAATGCAAATGCAGTATTTACACTGTTTTCTTACAAAATGTCATTTTGTATCACAAATATGTGAATATATAACAAAAAATGAAAAACATAGACTTGAAGGTTAGGCACCAAATTCAAATTAGTTGTTGCCGCAGGGGAGGCAGGAGGCAAGTGGAATTGGAAAGTGTATAAAGTAGACTTCAATTTGATCAGTAGGGAACTAATTATTTATATAAGAAAAATACTTAAAGCCAATTTTTTTAATGGTAAATTGCATCATTTGGGGGTAGTAGTTTACATAGTACTTTCCTATAATTTAACTTTTTTTCCAAATGTCTTACAAATGTATAAATGAGAGAGAGAGAGAGAGGTCACACTCAAAATACTACTCACAATAGAAGGAAGTCCCAAAGGCTACAGGGATTAGGCCAGTTAGGTCGGCAGGTGCCACATGAGCAGCGCAGTAAGAAGGGTGAGAAGTTACACTGGGGAGAGACTAGAAGCTGGGAGCGCTCCTGGAAGCCTCCCTAAGAATACTAGACTTGAGATAAGCATGAAGGATGACTAAAAGCTGCACAGACTGAGATGAGCAAAGAAGGTATTCCAAGAAGGAGAAACAGCCAATACAGAAAAGAATATGGAGCATTTTGCAGAGATGGAGCCTCAAGACACAGTCGAGAGTCTGCATTTTAATTTTGCTATTTACTAGCTTGGTGAATGCGGGAGGGTCACCTGATCTCTCTGAAATTGTTTCTCCAACTTGAACGTGGGGTAATACTATATTCTTGGCTGCATTATTGCACAGGCTAGAGAAAATGTAAACAAAGATACCTAACAAAGAGTAACATAGTAATTGCTCAGAAATTAAGATAATGATTAAGGATTATTAGCTGGGACTAAGACTCAGGTCTCCTGATTTCCTGAGTTAATGATCTTTTCATAACAGCACACTGCTGATTTTGTAATTAGCATTATTCTAATTTCATGTGGCCAAAATTTCACAATAATACACAAAGGGATCTCAGTGGAGTACTGGGCAATTCACTGGATCTGATATGAAAAATACCTCTCTTTTCTCACCCGCTCAACAGCTCCAGACTCCATCTTTTACTCAAGACTGTTAGTTGTTCTGTGAGGCCTAGCATATCTGATTATTTCATATGTCCTATCAATGACCTTGAAACAATCAAAGCTGAAATTTTGGTAAATTGGCTTTCCAATTATTGAGCCAGCTGCTGGCTGAAATTTGGAATACCAAATTTGTCTCACCCAGGAAGTTAAAATAGGAGTGTTACATGTTGAATTAACTGGCTTTCATTTGCTTACAGAAAACATAAGTATGCACAACTTTAGTCACATTGCTGTTATTGATCAAGTATTCACAGAGTTCCTCAATAGACTCTAACATACTTTTAATGTTATTAAATTTGTTAAGAAAATAAGTTTAAATAGCTTTAAAACAGAAAGGGGAAAAAAAAACTTCTGAGACTTAAAATGCCACGTTGTGTGAATAGTACATACTACTCTGAAAGTCCTTACGACTCTTTGGTGAGATCCAATTATCAGTAAAGGAAGGCTGCATCCACATGATTCTCAAACATGACACTTCCTCCAAAGCAGACTGATGGTCCCTTGCCACTCTACTGAGCCAGCTGCAGCATGTTCTAAGCCCAAATTTGGGCAATTAAGTTATTTTTCTCAATGAGGTTTTAGCAACCATTATCACTATCCCAGAAAGTGGTCCTTTCTTAGAGATAAATTGCAATGGAAAACTATGCTTCTCTCTCAGCACGTATTTCCAAATTTCATTGCTCTGCATGAAGGAAAAGAAGCATATGTTGCTTCTCAACATCACTCACTTTAAATAACTGAGAAAGATGGGGTTGTTTCAGCCACAGGAGCAATTGACATGCACCATCCAGAAATCTTTTGTCTGACAGCCTCAGCTAAATACGCCACAAATTTGCATTGATAACACTTTGTTTTTGTGCTCCATACCTCTGCCACTACTACCATTCCCACCGCCACCAACCCTTCCAGGTGATTTCAGGGCTCTTCCATCTACCATCCCTCTTCCATACCTTTTCCTTCTCCCAAAGAACAAAGAAACAACTCGGTGATTTTTATCAAGGTTAATTAATAATATTTACTAAAAGTACAAATTTCAGCACATTGTTTTTGGTTTGCAGTAGGGTTGTCAAAAAAGGAATTTGAAATGAACTAAGACAACATCTCAGCCCTTCAGGAAAAACATGCACAAAACTACAGCCAGGGTTGGTTCTAGTAGTTGGCATTTGGATCTACAGTCTAGTCAAGACATCCAGATAGAAGATAGGCCAGGAATCAGCAATTCCCTTAACACTATGTCCTTCCAAAGCACACTAGAGGACAAAGAGGGGTGGTAAATTGCTTTCCTCTAACTGCTCTAAAGAGAAGTATAACCCATCCCTGAGATTATTGGTGTAGTGTCTCCTATGGTTATACAACCTCCCAACAATTATAGGTAAGAAATAAATGAAGATAGGAAAAGCCTCAACTTTCTTTTCATTTTCTACTTTTGAAAAATTCTAAAATTAAAGGAATCTTTTTCTTTAAGAGAAGTAGAGACCAATAGGCCCAGTACATCTACTGATGCTTTGAAGGTAACATTTTGGTGTTCATCCCCAAAGACAGGCTGGTGTAGAAATCTATTGGACTTCCATTAGCCATCACAGTTTTTCATTTTATTTTTTGATTAACTTTTTCATGCATAGCTGAAAAACACTAAACAGAATGAAAGGCAAGTGACTGTAATTAGACTAGATTGCCCAAGGCCAGAGAAAAAGAGAGGCAAATCCTGTAATTCAGCTCCTAAGTAACATCCTCCACATGATAGAGTTGCATCATACATTTTTAAATCAGGCTTTTAAAGTTTTGCATGCATACATTGAAATGAAAAAGTGTTTCTGTTGGGAAAATATAATTTGCATCAAGGTTTTCATTGCCTCTTAAATACACCTTTCCTCCAAATTTTAAAACATACAGTACCTAGAGATATGTTGAGGCAGGAAGGGAAGGAAAAATATGAAAAGATGAAAAAGGATAATAAAAGTTGCATCTGTGAATACAGTTTTTCAAAAACACTATTCATTAGTACACAGATTAAAATATAAAATGGACTAAGTCATATTCTCTGGGTTGGCAAATAAAAAACTAGGTGTTATATGTTTATTATGTGGAAGACCAAGTGTTATATGTATATTTTGTGGGTTACATACCCATGTTTTAAAAAGCCTGATTTAAACAAAATATGCTTTAATTTTGCAAAGGTTTTCATGTTATCTTTATGGTCAAGATGTAAAAATGTAGACTAAATGGTAGAATAACTGAACGAATGTACCCAAGGCAGATCAGTGTCATCCTGGAGTAAGGTTTTTCATGGGTGACACAGCTCTCCACCTTTATACCATCTGCATATGTAAAATAATAAGCTTAGCTAATTAGTAACAAGTGCACAAAGGGAGAGGAATATCTAAGATGGCAAAATGACTGTATTAAGATTGCTGAAGGACACAAGAGGCTAGAAGTATAGGACCAAACTTACAAAATATAATTTAGTGAGGATAAAAGTATAGGTCTACATTGGGATCAAACGCACAGGCACAAAATTAGAAAAATGATAGATAACCAGAGCTAGGGTCCTTATGAAAAAAAGGCCCAAATATAAAATTAGAGAATACCTATGCTTTGAATCAGGTTAACTCCCTTGTCTCCCTCTGTTTTCTCATCTGAAAACTGGCCATAACAGTATCTGCCTCTCAAGATTGCCAGGCAGTTTAAATGAAATAACCTATGAAACAGTCTTACAGCAGTCCATGTGCACAGAGGTATTCTGAGCCCACACACTGTGTCACATCCAGTCAAGCATTATGATGCCTCCACTGTGCTCAGTGCTGATCAAGTCAATGGAATAAAACCAAAATCAGACCTAGGGGCCTCATTTTTAGAATAACGGAGAAAAGTCAGAAAACATTTATTGAGCATCCACTTACTTGTCTAACGTCAGGCTCTGGGGATACTCAGGTGAAGCCATCGTCTCTGCTCTCAAAGAGTTCTCAATCCAGAATCAAATGATGGGATACTTCATCTAGAAAAAGGTGGCCGTGTGTTGATGGCTCAGTAAGCAAAGTCCATGAGAAATAGTTGTCTGAATCATCCTTACATCACCCACTGCATCTAACCTAATATTTGCTCTTTGAAGCTACTCAGTAAACACTTTTTGAATGAATGAGTGATTTCAGTTTCACCTGGAAATGAGAAAAGTTAGGAAAAAAAATGAGAAATTTTTCTTTAATATTTTGAAATTCTAACTTAAGAGAGAATATATGTATATTTGCAGCTCCAGAAAGCAGAACCGAGGCAAAGGGTTCAGAGGACAGGGAGGCAAATGGATCCTGCTCTTTTATGTTTGTTACTATGTTAAGGACACTGGTTATATTATAAAACTAATCTTTATTTTTGGTTCTTAATGGCCATATTGTTGTTGCTTTGCCTCCGGGCCTATTGACTAGAATCAAGGTGAAAAGAACAATCCTGAGTTTTCTATCCACAGTTGCATGTAGAAGCAAAACCAAAGACTTAACACAAAAGGGAAGTAAAACTGTGAAAAGTCCATTTCCAAAATTAACAAATAGAGAAAGCCTGAAAACCATATACCCCAGGGCTCCATTACATCTTCAAGTAAAACCAGGATCTAACTTTTGGCTCAGAAGTTTCCATCCCAGGCCACTTCAGCCGCAAAACATTTCAATTCTATTATTTAAGGAATGGTTTGAAATATCCCCCAATTCAGCTTAACACCTCCCATAGCACATTTCTGCAGAAAATAAGTGCACTGCCAAATGGCCAGCCCTGCCGCAAACACAGGTAGAGTAGCTGGGCCAACAGGAGAGGTTACATTTGTTTGGCAACTTCCTCTAGGCTATTAGAGCTGAGACCGCAAGAAGCTAAAATGAGAAGTGTCTCGCCACTTTTACAGTGAACTAAACAGAATAATACCGAAGAGCGTGGCTCAGGTTCCAGTACCAAAAGCAAAGCAGGAGCAGTGATGTGCCCACCCCCTGGATGTTCCAGCCCCTCAGCAGGTCACATGCTGAAATGCTTTCTGAGGTCCATGGCTACAACTTGAACCCGTGACCCTCTGAATGAATGCCAGAACCCAGACCAGCATGTCACAAACAGCTACTTCAATCCACCTCCCCAGCTTACGTTTAATTAAGTGAACATGATGAAAAATAAATGAGGTTGTACTTAAGCCTTCAAAGGCCTCCTAACCTTACCTTTCCAGGGGATTTTTGGCTAGTTGGCTCTACTCTCCTGCTACCTCCATTTGCCACAAGCTGTTATATTACATTTAGGCTCAAATCTGCTCAGGCTATAATCCACAATCCATTTTTCATTTAACTTCTAAACGTTAAGAGAAATGGAAACCTCATCAGTAAACATTGTGACAGTTATCTTTTTAACTGTCATTTATATAAACTTAGGCACATCCCATTCTAAATCACGCTCAGATGAATCAGTTGTTCAAATATAAACATATTTAGCAGAATTCTGTCATTTCCTCATATGTATATTCATTTGCGAATGACTCACTTCATACATGTTCATAAACCTGAGAAACTATCTTTTGAGTTATTCACAGATTCAGGTGATGATGCCTGCAGAGTCAAAATCTGACTATGCATGCAGGGCCAGCACTGGGAAAAAAGTAGCCAAAAGTCATAGCTCTGGGATCATTTTAATCTATCTTTGGGTACAAGAAATGTCACAGAGGTTCACCTGAAATGAAATTATCCCTTTCTCTTAGCTTGTTTCGTACCACCTAATCCTCTAACTCTTTATTAAACATTATCTTTCCCATCTGCTCTAGTGAATGTTCAACACCTTGTGGACCAACTCTGGGCTGATTGGTTTTTATGGGCAGCATGAGCTCAGTTTTATGCACATATTTAGGATTATCTCAAGGACAAAGAGGATGAACAATCCATTAACTGTAATAAGCAACTGCACATCTCAAGGTAGCTACAGCATATATTTGATTTCAAAAGAAGAGACTGAATTAAAATATGTCTGTCCAGAAACATCTAACCTCCAACACACAGAAACAGCATTTTCTGTTCTCCATGCTCTGGTAAGCGGTACTACTAGAAATCACATCTCAGTCCCCCTCAATCAGACTTTCCAGCCCTTAAATCTTATTTTAAGATCTGACACTAGAGCAAGAAAAAGATCCTTTTGAAACTACTCTTCCTGATTATCTCTGGGCAAAGCGTGTAGAGCATGTGTGGACAGACACACTTTTTTTTTTTTAAAGGAAAATGCATTGTTATTGCTTTGTGTAGAAAACTTAAATTCTTCACTTTAGAATTACATGTGTTCCCATTGCTTAAATTTGTAAAATATAAATCATGGAAATTTAGCCAAATACACAGTGTTATCTGAGAAAGCCACTCTATATTGCTAGCCTGGTTAATTACAGATATTAGAACCACATTACTATTATTTATTTCAATATTTAATTCAATCTAAAGTAATCCACTAAGACCTCATTTCCCTACTTCCTAATTTAAATGTGAACATTATTGAAAAAGTCTTTGCTTATTTATTTTCATAAGAATTCCTTATAAATGCTTATCTTCTTGCATCTGTTTTATTGATGAGCTCAGTTCATTTTTTTGGCTAACCTTTCAAACAAAGGTACCTTGCTTTTGCCGTTACTATAAAGTTTATGATCCTGTAATAATAACAATTATGAGGACATCTGATCATACTGTATACATTAATGACCAGACATATCTGGCCACCTGTCTTCCCAGCTTACTGATCTCATTGATGAGCAATGTCAGGCTTCCTCCTTGCAACTTGTATCTCAAGATGATTAAAAGCTAGCTTTTTTTTTTTAGCAGTTTGAAGTCTGTTTTTCAGTGAATTGGTAATATCACATACTGCACAAAGAGAGAATGTACCAGTCACCTGCTCAGCTTTATGGCACAGAAAGTGTGAAAAACAGGTACAGGAGTTAACGTACTCAGAGTGACAGCTTTCGAGCTCTTGCATATGCTTCTTTAGTCATTACTTTTTCTAAGGAAAGAATGCTAAAATGCAGAGCTGAGTGTCATCTTCTAATTTCAGTTCAGGCCCTTACTTAATAGGTCAAAGCCAAAGTAAAACCAAAGTGAAGAACAACACAGGGCATTGAACTGGGCACAAGCTATCTTGAAGAATGCACAAGCCAGGGGTGGTGCCCTCTGGGGACAGAAGAGGAGGATTAGAAGTGAGAAGGAGAACTACTTTCACTGGATTCTCTTTTGTTCCAGCTGAACATTTTACTTGATGCCCACATTACTTTAATAACAAGAACAACAACGATAACAACTTAGAGATAACTGAATCGTGTTTGCCCCCTCCCAGTGCTGTAACAACCCACATCCATCCCAAAGGTCTGCCCTAGTGAAATGGTGCAGTGGCAAAGGTTGTGTTCCAGAGTCCCAGACCCTCACTCTTTGCTCCTCGTGCCTCATGGGGATCCCTCTTCACCCCTGTCCTCTCAACTTCAGCCAGTGTCCTCAGGTTTCACCCTGTCTGAGCGAGTTTCCGAGAAACCATCTGATCTAGTGAATATAAATAAATAACAACAGTTTTGCTTCTATACATACACATCAAAAAAAAGTGTCAGATTGAAACAGTCCATTCAAAACCTCATTGTGAGAACACTGAAAACAAATTGGCCTGTATTAAACAATCAGCTGGAGAAGATGACTATGCATGTTTTCTGTTCAGGGGAAGAGGAGTATCTAGGCAGGGAAGTGAAGGACAGCTGAGATCATGGACACAAGGGTTAGCAAGTTTATGGGATCCTGTGCTAGAGACCAGCCCACTGGGTACCAGGTTGAGAGTGACCCAACACATCTCTGGGTGGAGGGCTGACAGAACAATATCCTGGCCCCCAGCCCCTCCTGACATTGCTGGTGTCTGCTCGAACCCTAAGCACAGTGACGCACATAAAACACTGACACTAGATATCTTCAAGGAAATGGTACAGCCATTTCATCAAGCAGGACCCTGGACTAGTGAAAATGTGCTCTGCAAGGTTCTTTGAATGCTTTCCGTGAGGTTGCTCTAACTTTAGACTGATTTTACTACTTTTCTGTGTTCTCAATGCCCTATTTTTGATACTGCTGTGAACCCAAATTTTCTTCTTCTATTCACATATACATGCATTAGAACACAGTAAGACGAAAGATTGCCTACTTTGAGAATTAAAATTTTCACCTTTAGGTGGTTAGTAAGGCCAAACTCATTAATCTTCTATTTGCTGTATTCTGCAGTATAATTACATGGCACCAACCAGTGAAATTGCTGGTGAAAGGCCTATATTATGACTCCAGGGCTATTCTGCATGCCCATGTCATTCTGCAAAAACGGTGGCATCAGAATACTGGCTCCCATTACTAAACAATTCTAGTAAGCATCTACTTTAAGACATCTGTTTTGTGTCCATCTGGGAAATTATTACATTAAGATTAAGTATCATGCTGTTTTGCAAAATGTGAACATACTTAATACCACTGAACTATATACTTAAAAATAGTTAAGATCATAAATTTCATATTATGTATTTTTACCACAATAAAATTTTTTTAAAGATTAAGCATCACTGATTTTCCCCCAAGTTAGAAACATGTTTATTGCTTTTGCTGGATTTAGAGTAATAAATATCTGCTTTATGAAATCTAACACCAGAAAACAGTACAAAGCAATAAATGAAAGTCCTTTTCATAATCTTCCCTGACCAGGATATTCACTCTTAGCCATTTTGCATGTACTTTTGGAGATATCTGTTCTACACAAACCTTAATGAGAGCATATAGCATGCTGCATCAGACTTATTTTGTTTCAAGTGACAAAATCTAACTCAAACTAGCTTGAACATAAAAGATCTCACATAACTAACTCCAGGTGTACATCTAGCTAACTTCAGGCATAGGTTGATCCAGACTCAAATGGTACCACCAGGACTTGGTTTCTATCCATCTCTCACCTGGGCCATTCTCAGACTCCACATGGTAACCTCCAGCAGCTCCAGGCTCACAGCCCTTTGAATTACATTCCAGCAACAAAAGGCAGAGAATCCCTTCCTGCTAATTCTTATACAAGTCTTATGATTTGTATAGACCAAACATGGTTCTAACCAATCAATATGACCAGGAAAATGAAATATTCTGATTGGCCAGGTTTGAGTCTCACGGCACCCGTAGAGCCAGCTGTCAAGTCAACTCCTTTCTAAAAAACTCACTCATAGGGGAAGCCTGCAGAAAATCAGGGACTATTAAAGGAAGGGTGAATGAATGCTGATAAGCAAAAACATCAAGTGTCCCCAATACATTTTCTTCTTTCATCTTTGGCATCAGGGCCAGCTACATAATCTGTGGGGCCCAGTGCAAAAGGAAAATATGGGGCTTCTTGTTCAAAGGCAGTAAAAAAAAAAAAAAAAGATGCTAAGTCTACTAAAATATAAAGCTCTTTCCATCTTTCTGCAGCCTCTTCTTCAACTTACCATGGTATTTTTTTGTTATGTAATGTAAAGAAAAAATCTAAATTTGACTTATTAGCATGAACTTTACCATTCATCATTATGTTGTTTTTAAATCCAAATATGAACCTTTTAATTCATATGTGGAATCACTACAATTACAATTGATATTTTGTAGTTCATGCATGCACATGTATTTCAGTCGTAGCAGAACTCGACTGTTTTCAATTCACTTTCTGATATGTGCATCTTCTACAACGCTTCCTACCTTCAGCTTACTGATGAGTAAAGTAAGATTTAAAGAAAAAGTAATTATATGTTGCCTTTCTTACCCTTTACTTCTTTGTCATCGTTTTCAGCATAAGTGCTTGCCAAATACACAGAAGTACAACAAGTATGAAAGAATATGATAGGGTTTCTTGAACATTCTTGTCTCTTAGAATGTCGTTGTCTTCTTTCTTATTCAAAGCAAGTTCTGGTTGAGTGAACAAAGTGGCCTCTTGGGGCTGTCAGGGACCCCATTTGCTGAATAATAGATGGAACTCCCTTACCTTTTATTCACTTTGGCCTCCCACGCATCGTGGGTCCATGGGAATTCTGTGCCCACGGACATCGAAAATGCTATGTGCAAATGGGGTGGCAAAGAATGGCAGACATGCATATTGCATGTATCTTCTTGGCTCATGCACATGCGCCATTGTCCCATCAGACTAAACTTACAAAACATGACTTTAAAGATAAAATTCTTAAGAATTTCAAGATAGTGACAATCAATCATTAAACCAAGCATGGGGCCCTTCTGAGCACAGGGCTCTTTGCAACTCTGCACAGATCACACACCCATGAAGCTGGCCCTGGGTCTCAATAAACTAAATCAAACTATTTAAATAACCAAAAGTGACTCTAAAGTTCTGCAAAAAGACTGAGATATGGTTAAGGAAACCCACTTCTCAGAAAGAAAGGGCATTCTACATAGAGCAGTGGCAACAGTTATTAAGGTAAAAACAAAAACAAAAACAAAAAACAAAAAAAAAAACAGGAACCATTTCAAGTGTCTGCCCTACATTTTATGACTACTCATTTCAACCTATCACACATGTAAAAATCATTCATTTTTAATGGTTTTATAGTATTCCATTGTCTGCACTACAGTTTAACAGTCCCATATTAACATTTAAGCTCTTTCCAACTTTCTGTAGGACTTTCATGACTATTCTTGAACACTTACTTGATTATTTTCTTAAGATAAATTTCTAAGAGTAGAATTGCTGAGTCAAGATGCATGTTTTAAATTTTTATACTCATTGCCAGACTGCCTTTTAAAATGGCACACTAGTTCACTAGTACTATAACAGTGTATGAGAAAGCCTATTTTTTCCATACTCAGCACTGGATATTACCATTCTTTTTCATCTTTGCCAATCTGAATGATGAAAAATGATATTTCTGCACATTTCTTGAACTATGGATGAGGATGAGCATTCTTTTTATGGTTACTGTTCAAATTCATTTTTAACATTTCTGAACATTCAAATTCTACTGAAGGCCCCTGTCCCATTCTCTATGACAGATGAAAGAAAAAAAATGAATTGAAGCAATATGTTATTATTTCCTACCAAAATGAGTGCTAATAATAACAGCAAACATTTATTACGTGCTTACTATATACCAAGCACTTTATGCACATTTCTCTTTAAAGTCTCACACTCTCATTGAATCAAAAAAAATCTTGAGGATGATTATTATCCCCATCTTACAGAGGAAAAAAACAGCGATTTGGAAAGCTTAACTAACGTATGTGGCAGAGTAAGGACCCAGTGGGAACACAGATCTACCTGAAGCCAAAGTCTGCTATACGACTATGTTTCTAAATTCAATCTGATGTTTTTAATTTTCATATTAAGATGGCAAGCAGTCCTGCATCTGGTTGAATTAGAGCATAAAATAATCCTTAGCCACAGAATGACATTGTCTAATACCTAGCAAACCCTGAGGATATTAACCAAAAGGAAGAATGTTACCCAAACTCTATGTGCCTGGCCAGGAGCTGAAAGCAACTAGGAAAGCTGAGTGTGCATCACTCATCTTGAAGCCTCATAAAAGAAAGGAAATTGTATTTGCAAGTCCAATTTCTGAATGTTTGAGGAAGCCTCGCAGGAACACTGCAGTGAGGAGTTAAAATGAGGGCCCTGAGAGGGGATGTGGATAATATAGTGTGTGGGGCTCTCTACTGCAGGGTATGTAAATACTTTATACACTAATTCAATTACATTTTCAGATTATGCAGGAAGACTGATTTAAGCAACAGTTCACACTGCTGCCCCATCACCCATGCATGCATGCAGGAGAACAGAGTTAAGAGACCTGGGTCGACCTTAACTCTGTATTTCTTGACTTTTATGGGCATAAGTTGGAACTTTAATGTTTTATTAATGTCGAGTTTTTGGAGTTGGTATTCAAAATGTTTCAAGCAAAGATATGACAGATCTCAAATACCTGGAACCTGTTCACATTGGCAGGTAGTAAAAAAAAAGTCCACTATCTTAGACAAATTATTGACCAAAGAACTCAGTGGGATTATTTTGCTTAAATTATTATATAAAGGATTATGATGCCACAAAAAGTGAAAATATTTAACTTGCAATTATTTATATATTGGCATGGATAATGTACATACTTATGAACTTTTGAAAGTCCCTGTTCCAATGTATAATTAAATACGTTCTTAAATTGATCATCTTCAGCAAATGGGCAATAAGGAGCTATGAATAAGATTTGCTCAAAGCACAAAGGAAATGAGCTAATTCTTCCATGTGCCTCAAAAAGTCAAGAAATTATAGTGTCTTCCTTTTTATTTGTATCATGTATTGATTTACGCAAGAAGTCCCTTCCAAAACCTTAAGGCGCTGATTGTATTTATTGTTTTCTAGAAGAAAATTCAAAGATAAGCCAAGGTTGCAATTTTCAGTAATAAAAACTTTTCTGTCAGACTGGTTCTCTTCTATTTTAAAAGGTTTATCCTCTGGAAAATAGTGAGATTTATGTAATAATTTTCTGAGGGAAGAGGGTGGAGTTACATTGAGAGTTTATTTCACCTTTTTTGCATCTGAATAAATAAATGTATTTGGTGACATGTATTTTCCTTGAAAATATTATTTAATGACAGATTCCCTTTTGAAAGGCCAAGGATCAATGTGCTGTAAAAATTTTAATCAGATTGTTAACCATTAATGAGTGTTAACACGTTTTCTCAGTGTTACTTGTGTTTTTGCCAACGTTTATATGACTTGCTTTACCTCTTTCCCAGTTCATTTGCAATTTTCACAGGTTTTATTAGGGAGATTTTTATTTTTCCAGAAACCGAAGATTTTAGGTTACACGTTTCCATATTCATAAATGTCTTGACTATGAAGAATAAAGTGAAAAAAGATTAAAACTGGGCAAAAATACTGCTTATAAAACAGTCATTCAGGAATAATCATATCAACTAAAGCAACTGCTTGTGCAAAGACAAAGGGGGCCAAATCCTGTCCTTGGATGTGCACACACAGCTCCTATTAGCCGTTGAAAACAGCTACGTGAGTGTAGCCAAGGACAGTGTTTAGCCCAATTTGGTCTAATTTATCCAGACCACTGCAGCCATGAAAGATAAAGACAGATTATAAGACATTTTGCATGTCAGTACAGTAGTATGCTTTGTGTTTTTCCAATCCCCAGGGTTTCCTAGATCAGGCCAAATGTCAGTGACTGCATCCGAGAAGTTTGAAAAGTATATAGAGCAAATTTATATACTTTGCAATGCTACTTGCCATAGTTGGCAGCCCTATCTCAGAGGATGCATTCTTTCAGTGTTGGGGTCCAGACTATAGCAAATTAAATTTACCAAAAAGAAACAGCCTTAGTCATGTGCAAACAAAAATAAATGCTAAAACAGAAATAGAAGAACATTTGTTTTAAACAATTTTTTAAGATACCAGTCAAGAGATATTGAACTATGTGTTTTACTCAGAATGGGGCCGTAAGTCATAGGACTGGCTTTGTAAAAGCCAGTGCTTAGAAGATTGGTGAAAGAGTCATCAATTCCCCACCAAATTGGTGCCTCTGTGCACTATACATATCTTGAATATCAAATAACTTATCTTTCTTATACAATATTATAGAAATTATCCAGTAATGGGACCACCATTCCCCTATTTTTTCTTTCACTGACATTTCACAGAGAGAAAGAAAAAAATGATTTGGCAAACTCCTTTGTAAATCCATGTCAAACAGCACACTGCCAAATATGTTCTGTTTATTGAAGTTAATGGATACCCAGGGATATTTGCTCTTGTGGTGGACACTTATTTGACACTTCTTATTCGCTGGCAACTTTTGAATGCTTCTTGTCTGCTTCATGTGTCTGGTAACCCAATCCAGGGCTTCTTACATGAGTAAAACTCCTATTGATGTCAACAAAATACTTGACATGAGTATAAGATGTATCACTAAGGCCATCTCAAAACTTTTGGGGACATGTCAAGAACAGATTAAGGGAGAAAGAGAGATTTATGAGTAATTTGTCAAATTTCACAAAATGTAAGCTGATATTTTATGTAAATGTTATACCATTCTCTAGAGAAAGAAACATTTCAAATTCCATAAATCTGACATGCTGATGGAATGTGTGTGTGTGTGTGTGTGTGTGTGTGTGTGTGTGTGTGTGTGTGTAGGGAAGGGAATACACACATGTGTGCATCACACAGTTATACAGTTATACTATGTGCTTAGACCTGTCAGGTTTAATCTATAGCAGTAGTTCTGCAAACGGCTTAACAAGCTAAAAAAAAAATAAAGAACAAAAATGTTTAAACTTTTGGCCAAAATAAAGCAACTGAATGTGGTTTTAAATTGTCCACACCATGCTTTGCTCTTTTCTGGAGATGACAATGAATTCAACATGCCCATAAAATTCCAGAGAAGGTACAGATTAATAATGATGTTGGCAGCATGATGAGTGGAAAGTTTGGGGAGACTGCAGTAAAAATATCAAGCTATATCCTTCCTTTTTCCCTAAGAGAAGTAACATCCAAGAGCCTACATGGTTCTTTTCTTTCTTTCCCCTTGAATTTGCAAAAGTTGATTGGAAAAGTCTGCTCCTGGTTTTAAGGCTGAAGTTGGTCATCCGGACCATGGATAATTGCAAGATAAAGGTCTGTGATGCACAGCTTGTGAAACAGGAACCAAAATCAATGCAGATGATATACTGGGAACTTCATACTCCAAAGGCACAGGGAGTTAGACAAAGTTTCAGGCAGTAAAGGGTTAACAATCCAAAGTTAAACCAAAGAAGGCTGAGAGTCAAGAAACTGGGTTGTCTGAGAAAGGGTGCTTGCCTCCTCTGAGACATCAGCCACTAGCATCATCCCAAATAATTTGTTCATTCACTGCTTCTGCTTTTTGCTGGGCTTGTGTAGCCCTGGAACTACAGGAAGAAAAGGAATGAAAGGACTCTTCTGCTTGGTACAAGGACAATTGTGCTAACATTATCAGGTCATTTTGATGGTGCCACTCTAGTGAATTGAACAATTCAGCACTCTGAGGCAGTCCCCTAAAGGTCATCATCACGTAGATCTAATTACAGTGGCAATTACATGACAAGGAATATGGACACCTGGAATTTTCTTTCTCCACTCTGCGGCTTGCATATTTTTTCCCAGTTTCTCAATCTGTGCATTGAAGTTAATAATAATTCATGTACTAAAGTATCTTGAGCTTCAGGGGGAAAGTTTGAGAATTATGTAGATAGAAGTGCTATTGTTTATAACAACAACAATAATAGCAATACTAGCTTCCACATATTAAACACAAACCATGTGCTCCATAACATACTAGGTAGTTCACACAATATTTCATATTCATAAAAATTCTAGGAAGTGGGTTTATTATCCAAGTCATACAGATTTTTTTTAATTATGGGTTCAGAGAGAGTAAAAAATTTTCCCCGCTTCATACAAGTAATTCAAGGTATAAGCAGAGTTGTTATATTTGCATAAAAACTGGACTCCAGGTTTGTGCTTATCAGCTCTTGGGTTAATATGGAACCAGGGTCAAATCCTCACCAAGAAGAAGGTTGATTTTTATTTGTATGTCCACCCTTTCTGAAAGTCATCAGAAAGATTCCTGGTTCCACATATATAAATGTGTCTGTTACCTTTTCTCAGTACCCTTGTGATTACAAGTGCTTTCTTCTCCTTGTAACATTAGGTATCATGGATATCTTCGTTTCTGTTTTTGTTTCTCTAAAAAATAAGAAGAAATGGATAAATACTCACAATATGTTTGTATCCACAAATGAAGCTGAATTGAAATTGGTAATAAATGGTCTCTCAAATATTGTTTTCATTTGCTAGTGCTATACCTAATGACTGACAATTTCCTCATCTTTATTCTCAAACAAGCTCAATGGCATTGGTGTTCTGAGCATTGTATGAAAGAAAGACAAGTCCGGATTTTTTTTTTTATTTGACTGGTAAACTGATTTTACAAGATTGGCAATTTGTATTCACATCCTGATATTCTTTGGGAACTCATCAGGGCCTCAGTACACCAAACAAGGTGATAATACAAAAGCAAAGAACTGTTAACTATTTCTTGTATCACCAAATGTTCCCAATATCCTACACAACAAACTGGTACTTTGTGAGTTGAATTTTTAAAGTCATCCTTGAAACTTTTTCTTTAGGCATTTTTTTTCCTTATGCTAAACTTTTTGAAAAAAGAAAACTCACTAATGTTTAATTAGAGTATTTTTCCAACTCTATCTGTCTCTATGACCTACACCCCTGCTGAGTCATATTGGTCAAGGCCATCTCTCCTGTGGAGTATCTCCTTCAGCCCTCCAAGGCTGCTGTGTTAGGCCGTTCTTGCATTGCTATAAAGAAATACCTGAGGCTGAGCAATTTATAAAGACCTTTAATTGGCTCATGGTTCTATAGGGTGTACAGGTGTGGCATGAGCATCTGCTCAGCTTCTGGCCTCAGGAAGCTTACAGTCATGGCAGAAGGTGAAAGGGGAGCAGACACATCGCATGGCAAGAGAAGGAGCAAGAGAGAGAGAGAGAGGAGGGGGCCAGCCTCTTTTAAACAAATGGCTTTTGCATGAACTCGCTCATTACCAAAGGGATGGCCTTGAGCCATTCATTAGGGATCTGCCCCGTGATCCAAACCTCTGCCCCATGATCTGCTCCACCTCCATCCTTAGGGATTACATTTCAACAGGAGATATGGAGGGGCAAACATCCAAACTATATCAGCTGCCTTTCAGGAAAAGAGAAAAATTGGTATCTGAAGCTCTCTGAGCATATGAGAAGAGCATTTGGTTCATACGAGAAGAGATCACCACCCCCATCTCTCCTCTTTTTGCCATTTTACTCCTTTGTCTGCCAAAGTACACAGCAACAAGAAGTTCCAAGAAGACAGGAACCTGGCATGCCTTATCCAACATCCTATTCCTAGTGCACAGAATAGTATCTGAGAACCTGACAGATGCTCATTAAATATGTATTAAATAAATAAAAAGTCATATCTGAATATGGGGGCTATCAAGGAATTTTGATTATCCAAAATGAAAAGTTTTGATTCTCCATTCCTCGGGATCAGAAATCATAAGTGCTTGGTATGATTACAACAGGTTCACACTGCCTCCTCTCTCCTTCCTCAGAGCTAAAAATCTGTCTCTATAATTGTTTCTGGTCACAAAATTATATACGTATATTTTGCACCATTGGGACATTATTATCTGGGCATCTTGGCTACTGAAGACTGATCCTTTCCCCATTCAACATAGTAGGTTTGGGTAGAAGGGTGGAAAGGTTAAAAAACAAATCTAAAACTTCAGTACGTAACAAATGAAAGATATAAGATAAAATTATAGGACACTTTCTGGAAAAAGTTATGCCCAACACTACTGATTAATTTACAATATGACATTATAGTGGTGTCTAATTTGTTATATAACTTTTCCCAATTTAAAATAGGAATGTATTAAATAGAATTTCTAAAATGTCCCATTCTAATCTCCAGACTGTGAATATGACAAAATATCACGCCCATAAATATATTACATCACATGGCAAAAGGAGCTTTGTAGATGTAATTTAGGTTGCTAATCAGTTGGCCCTAAAATTAGAAGATCACCCTGGATTATGCCAGTGGTCCCAATGTAATCATATGAGTCCTAAAAATCTGAGAACATAGTCAAAGGGTGAAATCTAAGAGAATCAAAACCACACTTGCCATGGCTGGTTTGAAGAGGGAGGAGGCCAGGTGAAGAGAAATTTGAGTGGTCTTTAGCAGCTAACAGCAGCCCCCAGTTGACAGCCAGCAAGGACAGAGGGACTTCCATCCTACAACTGCAAGGAACTAAATTTTGCCAACAACCAAACAACCTTAGAATGGAATCTTCCCAGAGCTTCCATATAAGAGGCTAGCTCAGCCAATACCTTGATTTCAGCTTTGTGATACACTGAACATAGAACCCAGTCAAGCCATCCTGGACTTTTGATCTGTAGAAACTGTGAAATAATAAATTTGTGTTGTTTTAAGCCTCTAAGTTTGTGGTAATTTTTACAGCAGCAATGGAAAGCTAATAAAGGGAATGATAGAGTATCTGGCTTCACATCCTTAAAAATAAATATTTATAAAGAGTTTAAACATAAGAATAAATTTTTACTTGCAGGGTATTTTTTTAATGTTCAAACTGGGAAGCATTCTTTATGGTTCTATAATGAATGGAAGGGTGAGAGGGGTGGGGAAGATAATCCGACAGAGGTATATGCTAAAAATTAATATCAAACATTACCCAGGGAAGTTGAGTCACTCAGTCAACCAGCCTTGATTGTTTATCTGTTATCCACAAAACATCAAGCTGAGCAATGGAGATAGAGATTAATCAAATACAGTCCTAGTTATAGACCCTATTCTATAACAGAAAAATAACATGAAATGTGAGAAACGCTATCATTTTTATGGGTAAGTGTGCCACGATAGGATAGAAAGGAACTGAAGATAATTGAAAGGGATAGCTCAATCCATTACCAAGTCTTTTCCATTATTGTTCTTTCATGTCACTAAAACCCACCACTTATTTTTACCTCTATATATCCATATTACCACTCTATGGGATCAGACCAAGGCCATCTTGCCTAGATTTCTGCCACAGCCTTTTAACCCAACTTCCTGCCACCACTCTTACCATCACCAAATTCATTATCGCAGCAACCAGAGTGATATTTCCAGAATATGACTGTGATGATATTACTCCTCTGTATAATATTAACATTTTTCAGTAGTTTCTCATTGCCTTTATACAATTTCCAAACTCTTTAAAAATGGCTCATGTGGCCTTCCATGACCTGGTCCCTGCCTCCTGTCCAGCCCATTTCTTACAATACACACCCTAACCCCTGTGCTCCAATCACACTGAACTCCTTGAAGTTATCTGAACATTCCTGTCCTCTCTCCTTTGAATTTTGGTAGAATTGCTCCTTCTTCCTGGAACTCTCACCCTTGGCCCCACATGACCTAGACTGTTCCTAATCATCCCTCAAGCTTCTGTCTAGAAGTAAGTCCTCTTTGACCCCCACAAGCATAGGAGTGAGTATTTTCCATGTGTAGACTTTACATCATGAATTGTATTTGCCTATTTACTTGTCTTTCTTCTACCCTACATTGTAATATCTGTGCGGGCAGAGACCGTGTTCCACTCCCCTTTGTATCTCAAGAATCGGAGTAGTAGATAATCAGTAAAAATATGCATACTGATAAGTGTGCTGGAAGCCAACAGTTGGAAAATATCAAAAAGTCAGAAGAAGTTGATAGTGTTAAAAGATGAGACAATATTGAAAATTGGAAATGGGCCACTTGGCCTAGTGTTGGCCAATGGGCTATTGGATCTAGCATTAGGAAGTCATCTTGCTTGTAGGGGTCAAAGAGGACTTATTAGTCATCTTAGCAAGACCAGCTTCAGTTGGATAAGAAGTGAGTGGGAGCTGAGGAAACAGACAGTGCTTTTGTAGAGAACAGAAAGCATACTCAAAGCACAACTTTAAAAGGCTTCATAGTTCAGAAAAATGTCTAACACTCCATCTCCTGGCAGAAAGGGCCAAACTTTGGCCCAAAAACTAAGGTTGAGACATAGTTTAAGTGAGGAGTATGTGAAAGCTACAATCAAGGAAACCATAAAACCAAAAATTGAGTATCCAGAAACAGCTCTCTGAAGGCAGGGTGAAAAACCAAGCAATAGAGAACAAAGAATATGAGCTAGAAGAGAAAAGAAAAGGACAGGACATGAGCTCCTAGGTGATTACCTGGAATAGGTGTGGCCTTCTTTTACTAACTCCCAGTGCATGGTGAGCAGGGAGGAAGACGGTAAGTAAAAGAGGGCTGGCTGCACACAAACGGCCAAGGTAGATAAGATGAGAGTTGGGAGGAGGTTAAAGCAATAGGAGATGGGGAAGATTAGATTTGATCATGTCTGTAGGCTGAAGAGAGGGAATCAGAGACAAGAGAAAGAAAAAAATTTACATCTAGGGAGGAGGTCAGAGGAGATAGAATCCAATGAACCCAAAAAGTTAATACTGGGATGAAAGAAAAACCCTCTTACTTTAAGACTGAAGAAGAAATATTAAAAGATGTGTGCTTCTTGGCCAGGCACAGTGGCTCACACCTGTAATCCCAGCACTTTGGGAGGCTGAGGCTGGCAGATCACTTGAGGTCAGGAGTTCAAGACCAGCCTGGCCAACATGGTGAAACCCCGTCTCTACTAAAAATACAAAAATTAACCGGGCATGTTGGCACATGCCTATAATCCCAGCTATTCGGGAGGCTCAGGCAGGAGATTCGCTTGAATCAGGGAGGTGGAGCCAAGATCGCGCCATTGTACTCCAGCCTGGGCAACAAGAGCAAAACTCCATCTCAAAGAAAAAAAAAAACAAAAACAGGTGTGCTTCTGTAGGCGAGTCTGTAGGTGGAAGCGAAGAAAGTCCAAGGAGATAGCTTGGAGCTGCTATAGTCTCTGTAAATTATGAAGTAAGGGTAAAGGCTGAGAGTGAGGGGCATGAGTAGAATGGCATGAGTTTAAAGGTTTCAAACAGCTGCCTCAAGAGGAATTCTAGAGGGAGTCCTTCGGGGACAAGTGAGAGAGGATTGCCAAGCTGCATTGAGAGCCCAGCCAAAGTTACATAATTAAAGAATAATGATTATTTTTCCTGAATCTTAATTTCCATACACATCCAGAAAATGCTGCCCTGCTTGCATATGTTGCTGCTTCCACAAAAGAAGCTAAGTTTGAGAGAAAGAAAATCCAATTGAATTTTTAAAATAATTTCTTTTGTAAAATGGTTTTGCAAGTGTCTGTGGTTAATTTCCAAATACTGGAAAGTCAACAATTTTTGTAAATCACAACCACGTGTGTTTTATGCTTATATGTGTTTCTACCTTTTCACATTTGGTTTAAAAAAAAAAATTACAGGTGGGGGTAAAAACGTCAGCCAACAGGGTTTTGTGGATCACACAGCCCCATGCAATTAAGGCGCCATTGTTAATTTTCAAATTGTCATAATCCATTTGAGAATTTGAGACAATTCAAAAAACAATTATGAGTGAATGAAAAGTGAATTGGGCAATCAACTGAGATGAAATTCAGCCCAGAGAAACAAAACGTCGAGGAAAAAAATCCTAGATTATGGGAAGAATGAAAGGCCCATGGAAGGGACTGATTGTGTGGGGATGGTCTTTAAAGGCCAAAGTTACTTGACAAGAAGGTGGTAGGGGCTTGTTTTACACTGAATGGGATTTAGCTGTTTCCTTAAGTGCAGCAGATTTGGCTTTTTCATTTTTAAGTTGCATAATAAAAATGTTTAAGCCTACCCAGATGCACATAGATATAGCTGTATGTTGTTTACCTAAGACTATCATATAGCAGCAAATAAACAAAACTAGTCCCCACAGACATTATGGAGCAGCTTGCTGCAAAACAGAATTTCAATTGCTTATTCTGATTCTATGAGGGAAGATTAATTTGTGATGCATCTAAATGAATTATTTCACCCTAAATCTAAAACTTGAAATTATCATGCCCCATAATTTTTCATTTTTGAACTTGAAATAATGTAGGTAAGAGGATCATCTTTATCTTCAAACAACCTAAAAACACTCTGGCATACTCTATGGAAGGCCACGCTAATGTGTTCCAAATTAATGTTTAAAAATTTCTGTTCCCTGAAATTTTACATTCCACACAAGCAAATAGGCCCATGGAGAGGAGTCAAATATTATTACATGATGGCTCCTGTCCTTTTAAATTCTTCTTGCTAAACCTCTATTCTCATCTAAGCCATTTCCTCCTCTTCCAATCATCATTCTATGCCTTTTTTAAGGCATCAGCCTTAAAAGATTCATCAGATGCTTTCCTTGATAAGTCACAAACCATCATGATTTTTCTCGTGGTTTAATTCCCTCTGAACTCATTCATTCATTCACTTACTCATTCATGCATCGTTGTGCACCTACCATATGGGACCTCCATAGCATCAAGTTCAGTGTTCTCCATGCAAAGTGCATTTATTCTATGCCTCCTTAGGGTCCTGGACCTATGCTAAGCACAATAAAACTTATAGGAAGAAGTAAGTGTATGCAATGATTTGTTTCTTTCAAAAAGACTTAAAGCAACCAGCTGTCAAAAACAAACTATAGTACAGTAACATGACATACAAAATAAAAGAAAAAAAGTCAAGCAATAAAGGAGAAGAAATTTATATCAAAACTCTCTGCTGAATTTCTAGCAGTTACAATGGAGAAATTAAATGGATCATGAAGCCCTCATTCTCTAGTAAAAGAAATGCTATTTCTTTTAAAAAGATTGTAAGTTGAGCAGGAATAACAAAAACATGGCAATGCTGGTACTGCTAATGCCACAGCCTCAGAATCATTCTTTAAAGAGCATACCAGTGAGCAACTACTAATTCATCAGAGATGCCACTCAAAAAACAAATTCTTCTCATTATCCCTTGTATAAATGAAGTTTTTCCCTCAAGAATTTTGTCATTTGAAAATGACAATAAAGCATGCATACCTGTAAAAATTGGAGAACATTTTACAACTAAACTGTGTGATGCTAGTTAATTATTTCTGATACTTCTTTGTACCCCTGCTAGCAATGAATGTATTCCTTGCCCATGGTGGGCACATAAAAATCATTGCCTACTTAACTTACAATGCAACATGATTTCAGAGACAGAGGACTCTGCTAGTGAGAAATCTTCCTTGCAGAGGAAGAACGGAAACCGAGCCTAAAAAGATGAGTTTTTGTTGAATGAGTGAACTAAGATCTTGAATCAGTTAACTTTTTAGAAGAGGTTGTTTTTAAAATCATAATAACTAAACTTTGAATCTGTACTCTTGCATAGCGACTTCTCCATCTAAGGTGCATTTTCCCAATAATTATTTGTTCATTTTATACTGAACCCTGCTTTCTTCTGCTTTCAGACTTTAATATGTTAAAAATCCACAGCTACCAACTCGGTGTGTTGGCCTTTATAGCCACACAAGAAAGTAGGGGGCAGTTTGTTGATGCCCTCCACTTTGTCTTCTTGAGATCCGCAAGAGTTTTGTGTCATCTAAGGAAGCAGAAGTTCCTTATAAGGTTTACAGTTCAAGGAGCAAAAGACCATTTTAATTGCATCAATAATCCACTCAACAGCACCTACTGGATTTGTCTACTAAATTAGCCTTTGATTTTCATCTCCAAAAAAGAAAAAAAAAATTCATTTTCATTTCCTTCCTGTTGCTGGTAGTTAAAGGTTACAATACGAAAAAGCATATACGCTGTAGACTCCCCCAAATCAGTAAGTACTCAAAATTGTGTGCAAAATATGAATAAAATATTGATTTCATTAAAAATGTTAAGGACTACTTAATTCAAAAACATTTTATATGTTTGCATATTTATTTCTAAATTTGCATATTTGTTTGCATATAACTTGTAAAGATGAATGTTAATTATACTTTAAAATCATTTATAAATTGTAACTAAGAATGTTGTATGAATTTTTAAAACTGCCAAATTCTCAAGTACCACTAATTATAAAGTGTCATGTAAAGTACACTGGAGCAGACTTCATATTGAAAAAATATTGAGAGCTTGACAAATAGAAAAGCAAAATTATTAACTGCGCTTGCTGATTAAATGATACCTCAGGCAAGTGAAACTTAAGTGACACTTCGTGCTTTTCCAAAGCATCCATTTACCGCCACTGAATTATGACAAGAAACTCATGCTCCTAACCAGACAAATATTTTACCTGATGCCTCCACATTATCCCATGTTTAAATGTGAGTTTCTGAGAATTAGTCCACATTTTTGTTGTACATATTCTGAAAATGACAAAGAATAAGTAAATAGGAATCATAATAAGCAGTAAAGCTACTTCAGCAGCACCCTGTGTCAAATGAGGTGAGCTGAGGCGATTTGACTGTGCACTAATTGGATTTGTAAAATGATTCAGAGTAATTTAAAAAGCATTTACACAAGGTCAGATCTGAACTGGTTTCTAAAAAGAACCATAGAGAAGAATGAAATGTCCAAGTAATTACACTGGACATGTAGATCTAACACTGTATCTATTAAATTGGGCATGAAATTGGACTTTTTTTAAGTACAGTAGGTCTTACACTATAAATCTCTAGACAATTTTCTATATTTTTGATAAAATGTTTAATTATACTAAGTACAGATATGTCATAGAAAGGAACTATTGCTCATGTACCATTTTTCCTAAATTAGCAACTACTGTAAGCTAATTTCTTTCTTAAATTTTGTAGAGTTGCAGCATATTGAAAATTGGCTGACTTGGTTTCAGTTTATTCCAATATCTACAGTCTTGCCAATAGAAAGAGACATTGTTATCACTTTCTCCTCCACCAGCACCATACCCCTTGTCTCTCTTAGTTTAGGGTTGATTTGTAAATGTCTTACTATAAAAAATAATTAATGCTAAATTATTCCATGTTGTTATATTATCAGTGTCCTATCTGAATCCATACTAATATAATTAGAGATAAAGTCGACACTGAAATAACAAGTAGCTCTTAAAGTTCCTTGCATGTTAAGTAGCATTTACTGTGCTGGCAGAACAGAATTTAGATCTCAAAAATAATTTGATATTAAAAGACAAAAGTAAACAAATTAGACTGTAAGTTTGTTTTTTCCCCCGGGTATTAATCAGCCCCAGTAAACCTTGTATTGTACTCTTCAAATCTGCATTAATCAGAATTTAGGTTTTGAAAGTCAAAAGGAAAAAAATTGTCTCCCTCTGGTGGGGAATATAACAAGTTTTTCTTTCCTTTTTTTCTTGCAGTCAATTTCAGCTAAGTTTCATGATGCTTTAAAAGAGTACACTTGGATAATCAGTTTATCATCTTTTAAACAGATTTTACTGTCTTTTGACATGATCAACACTCAGAAAATCCAGATTCAAAAGTCATTTTTACTTCTTTTACTTTTTTTTCCTGAATAAAAGGATAAAAGAAGGAAAATAGCCTATGTCAACAAGTAGGAAAGTTCTGTTTTACATGAAATACTCAGCTCTAAATGGACTGGGTGATAAAAATTTTATTTTAGAATCTGTTAGTTTTGAACTTACACCCCTGAATAAGCTGTTTCAGAAAAGAAAAGTCCTGGAAGACCACACCACACCCCCTTCACCCAGATCGTCTGTCAAGAGTTCCCTGGCTTCTCTCCTTTCTCTATAAGGCCAAAACACTTTCCCATAACCTCCATTGTATCACCCATTGCCTTACATTGCCATTCTTGTTTGTGTGTCAATATCTTCCGTAAGACTATGAGCCACTCAAAGAGAGAGATCCTGCCTCATACATCTCCAAGTCACTAGTATTTAGCTTGGTCTTCAGCACAAAGAAGAACTTACCTCTGTGCCAGGCAGTGTGCAAAGCTTTCAACATACAACCATGGAGAAGATACAACTGTTTCCTGCCTTCATGAAACTATAATCTAATGGGAAAAAATGGGTTGATCTGGAGTACATTTTACCATAGAAACAATATATTAAATAGCAACTACTAACCCACAAAAGCCTATACAGTTTATATTTGACGTTGAAATGAATTAAAATTTCCCTTTAGGCAGATTCATCCCTTAAAAGTTCTACAGAGTTATTCTCATTGTGATGTATAGAAAGAATTTTGAAGTACAACTTTGTATGTCTGGAACCATTCAGTTAACAAACATGTACTGAGTATCTACCATGTGTCAGGCACTGCACTAAGCCATGGAAACACATTCTGGTCAGGAATGCCAGGTAATAAATAAGTAAACACATTTTTAAAAGCTGAGTATGCTTGTAATTTGTGCTATGAAGGAAAAAATTAAGGTGACAGAGGATGGAGTATATCAACTGGTGTTCGAGCAGGAAACAGATTTTATACTCAATGAGGTAATTGATGAGAGTTTAATAAAGGGACTTTGTAAAATGTGTGGACACTATTAAGGTAAACGAGTAAGGGAAAGCAAAACACCTTAGAACTAGTAAAAGTGGAAGGTCACTACTACCCGTAGGCCTCAGTAGAGAGGGAAAGGAGCAGTTACCAGAACACAAAGAAAAAACTGTAGCTAAAGGAAAGATCTTCCAACAAGAACTCTGGTTTTCAGGATCAAACACAGCCACCAATGACTTGCAGTCCGGGCGTGGAGGGTCATAAATGCACTGATCTCTCTCTCCTCTGAGAGTACCCTGCCAAGTCTCCCTTTGATCAAACCCAACCAGAAGCCAGAAGACCATGAAGCTTTCTGCTGCTTTCCTTAAAGGTCAGCTTCCTGTCACCGGTAGAAAGAGTCTCTAAAGAGTGGCAAATGGAGAACAGTGATACAGAGAGTTATTAAGTCATCCAATGTTGGAAGAGGTGACATCAGAGCCAAAATCCACATAAAATTTTTTTGTAATGGGGACCAGAGCAAGTAGAGATTTTGAAATGGGAAAAGTCTTGGTGGCCCAACTCTACAACTAACTAGAAACTTAATGTTGTAGCAGTCACTCCCCATTTTCGGCTACATCAGTAAAATGAACAGATTGGACTATGATGACCTCTAAGCTCCCTTTCATCTTGAACCATTTGGAATTCTCTTTGAATTTCATGATTCTACCTCCTCTTAATATCCCCTCCCATGATGCTTCAATAGTATGAGGATACATTGAATGTTTATAAATTAGGGCCTCACTAGATTTTCTGAGAGTTGACAGTCCCACAAGTAAAGAAGAAGGGAAATGAAAAAACCTGCCTAGACTTATCTAACTCACAGAGTTTGCAGCAAATCTTTGGCCTATGTGTGAAAGCATATGAAGAGACCTGGCTCATGACATACCCAAAGCTGACACATCTTCATAGAAAATGGTTTAATTGAAATTATCCCAAGAATATGATTTACTCCTTTTGAAAATTTCACCAGAGTTTTTCTATTTTCAATCAAAACTTTTTACAAACCACATTTTAAAGTTGGCGAAAGAAAGTTCAAATGACATGGATTATCTTTCTCTTGGAACTAATATACATACATCAGGGTTTATTGTGACAGTCACAAGTGAAGTACACTAAATTAAATTATTATTCCCATCTTAACTGACTCACTGGGTAGAAATAAGTTCACGTGCCAATATAGGGGCTGGTTCTGGTCCACATGACTGTACCATTGGGATTTAAATTATCACAGTATTTGTGTACTAACTGGATGAAAAGTGGTAGACTTTTTCTTTTTTTTTTTAACTTTTTTCTTGCTTTCATGGAGACTGGCCTATACATGGAATTCTATGTAATGGGTCAGAATGCAATAGCAGAAGGGGTAGACATTTCTCAATCCAAAAACTATTAATTCATTCTCTTATTCATTCATTCCAAATTGACTTACTAAATGCCAGTCACCAATGTTTGTGTGTTAGATGGTAAAGAAGAGCTAGTATTCATGGAGCTAATCAGTAGGAGCTGCCACCACCAGATGTCACTAACTCCACCCCTCACCAATAATCCTCTGTGAGTATGGAAACACCTTTTTAACCTTAAAAGGTTTCATATTCACCACATTTGTACAAAAATAGGTACGTTTTAGTGTCTGTTAATTAAAAAAATACTTAATGACACATATGACAGCAAATTCAGTAATCCTTTCAATAAACATATTTATTCATCGTAAGAATCTCTACATATATTTGAAAGGAAGTAGTGCATTCATTCAGGAAACACTGTTTTGCCCATTGACAATATATCAGGTGCTTATGGAATTGTGGACCTTTTGCCATGCAGCCTAACCCCTCCCCAGAAATCTACAGACTTCAGGTACAGAGATACTGTGCTGAAGCCTGTGACGACCTAAAACCAGGCTGTGACCTCCACAGTCCCAATGCACTTGCCGTATTATGCCATAAGAATGATACCATGTTCATACAACGTTACTCTGTCAGTTTCTAGCAATGCTATTTTCTTGTCCCCAAAATCTCATAGTTTATATGAAAATAGTTTTCAGATGTTTTAGTTATATCCTCTTTCACATCACACCACCTTTTGCCCCCGACACAACTGCATGTTGGCAGGAGGAAGGCTGAACTCTTCAAAGAAACTCCACCTTCTTACCATAAGGATGATGGTTTTTAGACAAAGGATGTGTTTCGGATTCTCTTGTTACCTAGTATCATCCCTGCCCCCAAAAGACACTTCTCGATCACTCAGCTAAATGGACTCTTATCAGGTCCACCTCACTAATATGACAGATGTGCCATTAAATGTCCAAATCCCAAAACAAAACATAACTTGACCTGATGCTTAGCATGACTCCACCATGCTAAACAATAGGTAACACGTATCAAATAGTTGTATAGCCAATGCGCTGAGAGACAAGAGACAAATTGTCGCTAATTCTGCTGGGGGAAGAGTTCCCAGAAAGTACATTTGACTTGGGCCTTAAAGAGTAAGTACACTTGTTTCTTTTTCTTTTACTTTTTTTAAATTTATTTATTTTTATTATTATACTTTAAATTCTAGGGTACATGTATACTTTTAACACATCGTGGAGATATAAGAGTCATCCAGGGGAAACATTTCTGGGGAAAAATGAGAATAGAAGAGATCTGGAACATAACAAGCAGTCTAGGGACTCGGTTTTTTATTTTAGGCAATAATTACTGGCTTAGGCAGTTTAAGAAGTCAGTGTTGACCATTGCTTGGTAGACAGAGAAGCACACCAGTGAGGGAAAGCAGCATCCCCAAAGAGCAGATAGAAAAAAAAAAAAAAGATAAATGCCACAGTGAAGACAGAACCCAGGCCGAAGTAATCTTTTTCTCCTTCAAACCCTTTGGTACTTTTCATTCTACTCACATGGCACTTATCACAGATTACTTTGCCATCCAGTCCTTTATGTTCTTTTATTTTTTCCTCTAGTGGATTGTAATTGAATTCACACAAGGGGCAGCAATGTGATAGAGTGTAAATAGCAGAGGATTTGTAACCGGACAGTCATGTTCAAATCCTAGCTTCAACACTCCACATATATAACCTCAGACAGGTCTCTCAACCTCTGTTAGTTTTCATTCTTTATAAAATATGGATGATAATGCATATTTATGACAAAATGACAAAACGACTCTTGGGGTTGTTTTTAAGAGTAAGTGAATGAAGTAAGGCATACGAAGTCTAGCATACAGGAGACACACAACAAATATGTTTCTTCCCCAATCTAATCTCCACGTGAGAAAATGATTGTCTTCACATCTTTCACATAGTTGGTGCTCATTATGGGCTGAAGGCAAAGTAGTTGTGTTACAGCATTGCATTCCACATCACCCAGATTATACTGCCTTGAATAATTTGGATTGGTTTGTAGTCTACATGAAGTTTACTCCAAAAATCATTTATGAATCACCTTCAATTACTGGCACTGCTAGTGCCTAGAGCCATAAAGTATGTTCAACAGGGGCCTTGCACTCTGAGTGAGTTATTTCTTTGGTGACTTATCCCTATAGAAAAACTTTTAAGGAAATTAACCAATCATATGCTGAATGGGGTCACTAAACCCGAGTAATACAAGAATATATTTTTAGAGTCAGGTAACTCCTTCATGAGAATGCTTGATAATGCTATGAGGGCTTTAGACAAAAACTAATAACGCAGCTAAAATCAAGACTCTTACCAGAAGAAAATATCTGGGGAGAAAATGTTGCATTCTATGCTCACAAAACTTGTTTGATCTTATTAGTGAATTGGTCCTTTAAGTATGATATGGATGAATAGATTTAAAACTGGTTCAGTGGTATAATAAAATTCCTGTTTACACTTTTGTATAACCTCAGGAGCTGGAAAATCACTACCTCAGGTTGTGATCCAAGATGAGATTATTTAAGGTAGCACCGTGCATGATAGAAGCCTAAAGGAGAGAGGCCCAGTGAGGAACAGCTCAGACAGTGGCCACAAGTCATCTCCCAAGGACAGAATGTCCCACTATCATAGATAGAGCAGTACTAAAGGTGGCAGTACTTGTGGACAAACACAATAATCCAAAGATGCAGAAGAACAGGAAGAGATAAGAAAACTCAAGCATACCTTAGATAATCAAGACTAAGAGGCTGCTTAATTAGAATTGAATTGGAGTGGCTCGAAAATAAATTGTAAGTCGAGTTTAGGGAGAAACCTTCTCCCTAATCACATTGCCATTGTGACTGTGCTCTGTTCTCTCTCCTTTACTCCACTCTCTAGCGTCTTGACCCAATCCCTTATCTCTTTCTATATTTGTAAGGAGAGAATTTTTATCAGGCCCCTCACATTGGCTGGGCACTGTGCCGGGCATTCATACGTGGTATCTATTTCATATTACAATTACCCTAAGAATTAAGTGCTGGTATTAGCCCCATTTTGCAGATAAGGAACTCAAGACTTAGAAAAGTATGGACCTGCCCATATTTATACATAACTAAGTAGAAGAGCTGAAATATGAATTCAGGTCTGTCTGATGACAAATTCTGTGCTTCTTAGACTGTTCAAGTTTAGTATGTTACCCCTCTAACAGGTACTTATATTTTATACATTGATAAGTGTTGTTAAATTTTAAATTTATTATGTACTCTCAAAGAATTTTTAAAAATCATTTTAGACTCAAAGAAATATATTTCTAATGGCAAGATTTCAGCTGAGGTCCAGTGATAACTGGAAGCCAGGAAGATAAAATGAGCAGTAGAAAATCATCCTAGTTGAACTCAAATTATATCCCATAGGTGGCTAATGCAGCCAAGTCATAGGGCTAGATGTGAGTCAGAAAGAAAATGTTTTTGAACTTGCAACAGAGCTTCAAAGTGGTATGGTTGAAGGAGAGTGATAAGGTCGAACAAAAAACTGTCTCCAACTTAACCTCAAGAAATGGAAAAAAAAATGGGAATACACTTCAGAATGGGGATAAGAGCTGGATATACTGGTGCTGAACTTCCCTCCTCCCTAAAATACATTCTATGACTTTACTATTCATGAGTATAAATGTTGTCTAGGCTATTCCCAGTTTAAAAAAAAAAAGCAATTGGCCATATCCTTTTCAGCATTTTAATATTGAGCTATTATAATCTCACATTCCAGTGGCCTTCTAACTGCATGGTTATAGTCTCCTTACACTTACTCTGAAATTGTTTTTCCATTGTTATCTTACATTATAGTCGCATCGTAATGTCATGTTTAAAGGTTCCCCATACACTTGTAATGAAATCGTTTTACAGTTCAGAATGGCATCATATTGGCACTTTAAGCAGGGTATCCATCACCCTGTATTGATAGTTTTCACAACAAAACACCCTATTTTAGTGACTGTGAAAGTAAATAGCTGTTGCCAGTGATCTGTTCTTCCATTTCAAACTTAAATGGTCTCATCTGTTTTATTTTACCTTGCAATTTTCACACCCACTGTGGTATAGGCCAAATTTATACTAGTTGCTTTCAAATGAGGACTGTCATTCCATTGGCTCGTAAATGTTTATATGACAAGCCATTTATCTGTTTTGGTCTGGCCCTTGTGCAATAGATAACTCCTTACAATCTGATAATCAATACACTTTGGCCACTTTATTTGTAAAGCTAATGTAGATAAGTCTTCAGCTAATCAAAATCTAGAGGCAAATTATTTGGTAAACTTTTCAGATCAAACAAACTGAATATCTAAAAGCAATGTGTGCAACTACGAAAATTTTATAGCACACTAACACCAAAGAAAGAATTCTACTTCCAAATGGTCACACATGAAAAATTTGAGTGGTAATTTAAGGCAAAATTTAATGAAAGACAAGAAATTTAAGAAGAGTTAAGTGTTGTGTTATAATTATTACCAAAACCCAGACATTTTTATTTAATTTTTTTAAAACATCATCATCACCTCTTGTTGGTTAAACTTTGAGAGCTTAACAATTTGGTTCAAATCTCCACTTCAGAAATTAAATGTTACCTCACTTACACTTGGAAGTAGGCCAGGATGGGTGCAAGTCTCCTGACAATAGGCTTTATTTTCGAGATCTTTCTATTCTCTGCTACTAAAGGAGCCATTACTGCCTCCACCACAATTCCTCTACAGCTGTTTCGACAGTTCTTCACAGGTCCAGCTAGAAGTTGGAGGAGCAAAAGAGAAAATAAAAGTGATAAATTATTGTAAGAAAAGATTTCTGCTAGCATTTTCAAACTCAAATTTGGCATTCAGCTGGAGCTGGGCGCAAAGCTTCAGATAAGCTTTTATTGTATATAAAACTACTTCTCTTTTTTGGGGAGTTAACACTGATAATGAGGATGATGCAACTAGCAAATCAGTTGCATCCAAGTGTTAAAGACCATAAATCCACTTGTTTTAGCTGTTTTTGCTTGAGCTAATGCTCAAATATATTTTCTGTCAGGAAGCAAGTGGCAATAGCCGCAGCAAAGATATTGGTTCTTGGATAACCCAAGGTGCCCCAAGAAATGATAATAAATTCCTTAAAATCTCCTCCCCAAATTTGAATGCACTTTATTTAAAAGCTAAATATATGTTCTCCACAAGAGACTATGGCATGAGGTGAAAAGCCTAACTAAATATGAAATAGGATTAAGAATCCCTCCACAGTGCCCAGCCCAAATGCTACCATCTCGGTGTGAAGGTCCCCTGACTTTCATTTCAAAATTGCATTTAAAATAAACCAAAGACAAAAATTCTTATTTGAATGACCACACATGAAAAACTTGAGTGCAGTTTTAAAATATAAGCCTAATTATAGGCAGCTGAGTACTGCATGGGAAAAAAAAAATCATATAACCTTGTAGAAGGGCCTAACTATACAATCACAGTGTCTGAATTTCTCTTCCCTCTGGCTCTAAGAGCATTTTAACTGCTTATAATCAGCATCCTCTTCTACTCCTGAAAGTAACTGGTAGTTCCAGACTTTCTTCAGTCCCCACAGAGGCTCAACCCTGCCCCTCTCATTCATAGCCGTTGATACTGCTTCCCTCTTCATCGGGAAAATTGAATTCATTGGTGTGATCCCATCATCCAGCTTTCTATCTCATTGTACCCACCACAACCTACACGTGTATCTATGGCCACACACATTGACACTTTTCTTCCAGTCTCAGAGAAAAAGGTGAGTTTTCCTTTGTTTAAGACCCATCTTCTTCCTCTAGGAGCATCATTTAATCAGGTGAACCTCTCTCACATACATCTTAAGCCAGCCTCTCTGTCTCTCTCTCTCTCTCTCTCTCTCCTACTGTCTCCTTTTCAGCATATAAACATCTTCAAGCTACTCCCATCATTGAAAAAAATTCTCCCTCGATTCCATATCTCCCTTAGCCACATATCTGCCCCGAATCATGGTCTAGCTTCTCTCCCCACCCCACCATATCTCCAGCTAAACTTTTCAAAACATCAGCATCCATCATTTTCATTCACAGCTCCATTGCAGTATCCTCTGTACCTTCCTTTCTACTGGAATTGACCTTATTTCAGTAGTCATCTTTCTGTATTTCACTAGCTACACTGAATTCTGTTAATAATTATCTCCTCCTTAATGAAACTCTAGTATACCTAGACTTCAATTCAACCATCCTTTCCTGATTTTCTCCAATCCACTCACTATTTCTTCTCTCCTTTTGATATCAACTCCTCTTCCTCTACCTACCCCTTCAGTGGTGTTTCTTCACCTTCTAAATGCTATTCCTCCTTTACCCTCATAAAACTTCTTTAATCCTTGTGATTCTAAATACCACATAAAAGTGGATGTGTCCTTTACCTCCAACACTGACTTCTCTCCTGATTTTTCTGTTCATATATATAACTGTCCACTAAACAACTCTACCCAAGTGTCCCGTAGACATCATAAACTTAGCATGTCCAAAGTGGCATTTATCATCTTCTCCCAAACTCATCTCTTCTTGCTATATCCTCTTTCTAAATTAATATCACCTCTATCCCCTGAGACGCTCAAACCAGAAACTTAGGAATCACCCTTGACTGCCTACTTCATTCTCTACATTAACCAAGCATTTCTGACTTAGTCAATTAAAATGTTATCGAATATCATACTCTCTTCTCCATCCCTACTGCTTCTCCCTTAGTGAAAGCCCTGGTAATCAGAAGCTAGTCTCTTTAACAGCCTCTGTATCTGTCTGCCTTTATTTGGTCTTGCTGCCCTCAAACGATCTTCTGCAAAACCACCAGGCTGATATACCTAAAGGCCTAACCATACCATTCCCCTTCTTAGAAACCCTTTAGTTGCTTCTCTCCACAATTTTCCAAGCTCCTTCACGTTTCATACTTTGCCTTAAAGAGCTCTCTCCCCCTACTGATCTCTCCAGCTTCATCTCTCACTTCTCCCCGACTCATGTCGTATGATCTAGAAACACTTCAAAATTTCTCACAAATACCACTCTGCTTCACACATCCATGACTTCACATGGACTCAAGGGAAGATATGTGGGGTCCTTTCTCTAGTTTGACTTTGATCTACAAGTCAAACTGTGTGTATTTGTTGGCCTTTTATGGATTACATACTCAAATTGCCTCAGTTAAAGCAGTTTATTGTAACATAACTGGGGAAATAAGAGACAGGAAATCACACAAAAGCAACACAGAGCCAGACCTAAGGGAGCACTGGAATATCATTCTATATACAACAGTAACTCTAGTAGGGCAGGAGCAGTGGGGAGCACTCCATGGCCACTCACAGTTTCCCCTCCAGAAGTAGCTATTCATGGCTCAATTGTTCTACCATTACGGTAGTCCAACTGTTCATAGTGGTTCTGCTTTACTGGTTTGGGCACAATTGATTTATTTACTATCACCATACTATGGCTTTTCTCTATGCTCTTTTCTAGCTCATGGATGTTTATTGTCTTCTCTCTGTATGTCTTTCTGTTTTACCTCCTACCTGCCTTATAATTTTATGTATGACCAGAATTTAAACTTTCCCTAAGACAGCATCAGATTGGTTGGTCAGACACCATGTGTATAGATATCATAGGTACCTCTTTGAGAAGCATTATCCCCCTTAACCACTTCATAGGCCACTTTTGGTGAAGTGTCCTTGTCCTGAGTGTGAGTTTCATATAGAGAAATTATGAAGATTTTTGAAAAATCTGCTACCAAGAAGACTTTCGATATAAGTGCACTCTGAGATCCCTCAAGAGAAGGTAATATAACCAACAGAAACTTTTTATGCCTTGTAAGTTCACTTTTTAGACAAGATCAGGCACATTCACGGTGGTATGGTCTTAGATGTAAGTTCACTGTTTAAATCCTTACAATTACACCATCATAACACTCACCTTTTACTGAGCAATGGCTAGGTGACAAATACTTTACATACATTATTTTAATTATTATGAAAACACTGGAAGTCAGTCACTATTCACACCTTACTGAAAATCATCAAGGAAAATTAGTGTGTCAAGGTTGCCCAGGTGACCTAATAAGTGATAAAAGAATTCTAACCCAAAACTGCCTGGTTCCAATGCTAATCCTATTCCTTCTGTACCTTTGCTACATCTAGACTATATTTCTTCATCCTCCTGTCTGTAATTTATTACAGAATGCTCTATAATACGAACTACTTTATAGCTTTTCTTATTCTTCAGCCTTGTCTTTGTTCGATACAAGAACAAAGTTGCAGCTTTTGACACATGATGTCCTAGTCTCATTGTGTCTAATATATGTGAGAACTTTTTCTCCAAATTTCTGTCTGTATCATTCTCAGTCAAAAATTGATCAAAGTTTAAAAATTGACAGTATGATGTCCTCATTAGTCCAGCTCTTCTCTCATTGAGAAGATGGCTTCAGTATAGATATAGCCCAGCAGCATTTTTTTCTTTAGTATGTGGCCGTACATTAAATATACGAATATGCTGACATCTAAGTAATTTTAAAGTGAGAAAAATGAATGTGGGGTTTTAACTTTTGTTGACTCAGTAAATAGGCTGGAAGTGTTCATATTTTAAATAAATGTACATAAAATAAAAATGTACATTTCAAAGAAGTAACAAAAATGTGTGCTACGGTGGAAATACAAATATCCTCTTCTTTCTAAGTGGAGTTTTCAAAACTGAAAAGCTTAAGACCATGAACAACTACACACACCCCAGCTTAACTTAGTTCAAATACCACTCAGAGGTGCTGAGTTGAGAGAAATCCTTTGTGAGATCAGGATGTTACACAACTAAATATGACTTTCAACGTTTTATTTCTATCATTCTTTTCAAATTGCATTCACAGCCACAACTGCTCTCTTCTAATAAAGGTGAGAGCAATAGCATTTCTTCTTTTAGAATAGCAATGATATTACCAAAGAAAAATAATCAAAGTTGGCAAATTTATTTTGGAACTCTCAATGGAAACCAATGTTCATTTAACTTGCCCCATAGCTCTCATCCCCCAAATCATCACCCAGGAATAATAGCTTACAAATTTTAACATTAAATAAATGTAAAGCATTAGAACTGATGCAAAGTATTATTTTGACATACTGTAATTTGAAAAGGGTAAATCAATTTAAACCATTTTTGTTTAAAATCAGCTCCTAAGGCTATAAACTCACAGTGGTTGCCAAGTTTCAACCCAAAGTGAATTTTAAGGTCTATGTTATTAACCCTTGAAAAATGAGCTCTATCATGGAAACAATGACAGACCTGGGCACTACCAGGTACAGCTGCTGAAGCTGACAGTCAGTCAAGTAAGAGTAATGCATGGTTTCTTCATATGCAAATCACAGAATATGTGCTTACCTTTAAAGAGCAATGTCAGATTATTGTAAAAGTGTTTAGATATAATAACTTTTTTTAAGAAACCAAATTCATTTATACTGAACTCTCTATGGCTGACATACCATGATAAATCACCTCATTACACAGGAAGCCATAAATATGGCTATTGAGGATAAGTGTGATTGTAAATGAGACTGCTGGAATTCTACTGTGTCTTGCAATGACCCTCAATAAAAAGATGCCTATGGAACATGGTAAGCTTCCCTTGGAAATAGTGCTCCACGCTTACAATGTTATCCAAATAAGTTTTCTGATCCTTGGGGTTTGTTTCTTAAAATAACACTATTAGGGTATATTTTTCATGGCAAAGTCCATGAATTAAACAACAATAAACCTTCTAAACATGTTGCAACACATTAATAAATACAAATTGATGAGTTTATATCCTGGGAAAGGTCACAAAGTAGCCGTCTGGGGTGCTAAGGGTATTCTAAATCTTAATCTATTAGTCATTCCAAGGAGTATGTGTGTATCAGTCCATTTTTATACTGCTATAAAGAACTACCCAAGACTAGGTAATTTATAAAGGAAAGAGCTTTAACTGACTGACAGTTCAGCATGGCTGAGGAGGCCTCAGGAAACATGAGGCCTTCATGGCAGAAGGTGAAGGAGAAGCAAGGTAGCTTCTTCACAAGGTGGCAGGAAGGAAAAGTGCTGAGCAAAGAGGCAAAAGCACCCTATAAAACCATCAAAAACTCACTCACTATCATGAGAACAGCATGGGGAAGATGGCCCCCCATGATTCAATTACCTCCACCTGGTCTCTTCCTTGACACCTGGGGATTAGGGGGATTATGGGAATTACAATTCAAGATGAAATTTGGGTGGGAACACAAAGCCTAACCATATCAATGTGCGTGTATACATGTGTGTGTGTATAATCACAGAGCTGTACACTTAAGATTTGTGCACTTTATTCTATGTAGATTATTTTGCAATTTTTTAAAAAGTTAAAAAGCAAAACAAAACAAAAACATTCCGACATCCCTAAGTCATTTTTTTAAATGACAGCCTACAGCAAGAACTGCTAACCTGAACTTTAAGTATCTCCTCCCAAATTGGAAGCCCATGTCCTATTCTCCAGCCCTTGCCTCCCAAATCCTTTTATATTCTTCATGTGCAAAAATGTCAAGGTAGAACTGTTCCCGGGGCGAATTTACTATTCAAATCTGGAAACATTCAGGCTAAAGTGAGATTTCCAAAAAAGATCGTAATGCCTTTATAGAGAAGTAAGATGAGAAGTTGTCCAGACAGCTGGCAGAAAAAAGGACAGAGAGAAGGAAGATATAAAGTGTTCTGAAATATATACAGAGCTGGAGATCAAAGATCCCTAGTATGTCTACCCTCAGGAGTCCCCACAGGTTTCTTGATCCTCAGTTCATCATTCCCACCGTTATTCATATTCTTATAATCTGTGCCTCTCACATCCAACTCACCTCCCTCTCACCTGCTCAATCACCAGGTATAGGACAAAAGGAACTACAAAGTCCCCAGCTGTGCTGTCTGCCAAAGACAATAGGTGCTGTAACAATAGCTCAGCCTCATGTTTAAAAATCAAAACGTCCATTTGATTTTCAATTTATCTTTAAGTTAGAAACTTTCTGGCTCTTGGTAAAGAAAACCCAAAACATATTCGATATCTGTGTTTATGCAGTACACAGACACCTGAGTATATGGTAAATGTAGTTTTTGTAGCACATGTTGTTCCTTATTTAATTCATTTAGCCTGACAGAGTTCATAAAAATGAATGCAACAATAGTAATATTTCATTTAGGTCCACTGGCATTTCTCATGATGTACATTAAAAAGATATAATACATATTATAAATGTGAGAGCAGCTGTATACACAGACATGCTTTTCACTCCAAGGTACATTAATAGAATGATAAATTCCATGTATTAAATCTATAAGAACCAAAATACTCCGAGTTAAGACATCTGTACAGAATTAGGTGCCAAATGAAATGTCACAATCAAATAAAACTTTATGAGAATCATAGGATTTTTTTTAGAGCTAGAAAGAACGTTTGAAATCACCCAGTAAAACTTGCTCATTGACAGATATCTAACCTCAGTTTTTAAAAAATTAAATGACTTGTATAAGTTCACACAGCAAGTTAATGAAAAAGCCACAGCTAGAATATTCCTTCTCCAGGTACAGTGCTCCTTCTACCACATCATTAGCAGCAATGGCTTGTGAAGAAACAAATGCACAAGGTGTCACTGTAATAACCTCATGTGCTCATTTTAGTGTGTCAACGGATGTTTTTTGTGATGCATGCTCATAATTTCTCACACTTCTGCTAACTTGGTCAATCTTCCCTCTTCTTGAAGACTGGAACTGGAACCAAACTGGATTCTTTAGACCCTAGAGCACATAGTGCAAATCGAATGGACCCTGTGGGCAACTCGGTTGGTGATGGAGTCAAATACTGGTCATTTATATTCTACATGAGTATTCACACAGACTTAGCCAAAAAAACAAGATCAAAATTGTATTTATTTAATATAATACCTTCATCCTAACTAGACCAACCTAATCTGAGAACCGAAATTAAAAAAGAAGTATTACAATTTAAAATGTCTCAACACAGAGCTCAGAACCAAAGCAGACAGAAGCCATGGCAGCAGGGAATGAAAGGGAATAACAATTTTAAGTCCCAGAGCACATTGGGTCCACCAAAAGGGTTTCAAAATCACAAATTTATTTATTTATATGTTTTATTTATTAATTAATTTATTTATTTATTTATTTTGAGACAGAGTCTCGCTCTATCGCCCAGGCTGGAGTACAGTGGTGCGATCTCGGCTCACTGCAAGCTCCGCCTCCCGGGTTCACGCCATTCTCCTGCCTCAGCCTCCCGAGTAGCTGGGACTACAGGCGCCTGCCACCATGCCTGGCTAATTTTTTTTTGTATTTTTTAGTGGAGACGGGGTTTCATCATGTTAGCCAGGATGGTCTCAATCTCCTGACCTCGTGATCCGCCCGCCTCGGCCTCCCAAAGTTCTGGCGTGAGCCACAGTGCCCAGCCCAAAATCACAAATTTAAAAGATCATTAAGACATAGTCTAATTTCTGAAAAGTATATGAAAATTTCAACTGCAATACTTCACTTGATATCTGACATGCGATTACCAAAGACCTAAACTGAAGGCCAGAGAAAACACTAAAACAAACACCCAGCATTGCTGCTGCCCAATTTGGCCTTGAGAAATTATATTTGAGTAACATAAACTTCAGTTTACCCTCCTATGCAGCAGCATAAGTCAGAAACTGTTCCTGTGTCTCAGCTGAAATGTGACATGAAGCTAAGTACGAGGCAGCCGCTCCAGTTTAGACAATACAGTCTTACAACAACTCTTACCACAAGGACAGTGAAATATTGCAATAGTAGCAGGTTGCTAACTAATACAAATGATTGGAAGATTCCGTATAAATGTTTGAATTTAGAAAATTATCAAGGAAGCAAAAAAGACCAAGAAATTAAGGTTAACACAAGCTGTCTTTTGTTCTTTTATAGAAATGTGTGGATGGAAACCATTAACAGCACTGCCTTGGACACTAGTAAAATTCCTGTAGAGTGTTTTATAAAGGTAATGAACTTGTATGTGCCTCACTGAACAGGCCTGCTATTAAATCTTCCCTAAGAAATGGGATGAGATTACTGGGGTGTTTTGTGAGCGGTGTGAGCTTTGCCCGTACATAGCCAGGAATTTTAATCACTGGCCCCAAAATTATGATTTCCCTAAGTAAAATAAAATAGAAACCAATCCAGTACACACTCTACATCATCGATTTTTAATCTGCTTCATTTTAAAGATTTCTCTTGTTAGAAGCACATTTGGGGGAAAGGAGTAAAGTAGAAATCTCAAATGACAAATGTCCAGCCTTGACAACCCAACCACAAACAAATTAAATGTCCATCTCTGTCACAGCTGGCAACCCCAGCCTGGCTTGAGGGAAATCCTCCATGTTGTTTAGAACAAATGTATTGGAGGTTAATCAAAATCTAATGAATCCCTTAGGAAAATACTTCCTTAGTCCACTTCTGTAAGAACTGTACTAGTTTGGAGGAGGTATATACCAGTTGTTTTCTGGGATAACAGTTGTTGTGTAAATAAGAGAACTGGACACCCCCAGGAAAACATTTCAGCTATGTCTATTATCCAAATCTATGTCTTCACTCACCAAAGTGTCAAGGTGATGCATCAGTTGATCTGTCTAACAATACATTTTATTACTGACATGTAGGGAGAGAAAAGACCAGAAGGAGGAAAGTAGTCAGGGCAAAGGGAAGAGGCAATTTTTGACCTCTAAACAAAGGCTGTTTGTAATTATTTGGTCTGATCAACCCCTCCAGTTTATTTTGACTATTCTACAAGTATAAAAAAAAAAAAAAGATGCTGATAAGGGTGAGTTTGGAACATTAATTTAATCAGAGGAAAACAAGGGACATGAAAAGGGCAAGGAAATAAGAAAAAGGCACCAAGAAAGTTATCATCAGCAGTAATCATATTTGTCCTGAATCCTGGTTCTTTTCAGGACTGCTTACAGTCCTGAAAGATGAGCCCTTTCAATAAAAAAAAAAACCTGTAATAACTATATCAGACATTTTTCATGGGCTTCCAAGATGCCAGGCACTTCATACACATTATCTCTAAATCTCATTATTGCCTGGCAAGGAAGGGGTCATTATCCCCATTTTGTAGATGATGAAACTGAATTTCGGAGAGGTTTGAACCTTGCCAAGCACAGAGTCGGTAAGTAGCAAATGAAAATTCCTACCCAGAGCTTAAGCTGTTTTTACCTTACCAAGATCAAATCCTCTTCTTTCTGCCCCTCTCTCTTTCTGGTCTTCTCAATAGTTTTCTCTCTCAGGGAAGTCCTATTGTTTATAGTTACAAATCTAAAGCAAATTAAAAGCTGCCTCATACCAAAAGGCTACTCCAAACCATGTAATCAGCAAGACAGGTAAAATCACTTGGTTCTATTATGTTGCAGATTATATAATTAGTCAAAGCAAAACGGGGCAAAGACATGTGGGAGCAAACAGGTTTAGGGCTACACTTCCCTTATGTATATTCAGCCTTTGCACAAAGACTTACTGTTCCCACCTTTCTTAGCAGATTCGAAAGTGCTGGGTTCCAATGCCATTTTAAGGTTTACAATCCCTGGAAGGGCTCAGATGAAAATGAGGCAGCAACCATATGGTTCCAGTTTCCTCCTCTGCCCCAACAAAGAAGCCTACTACACACCTCTAATTAAAGGATAAACATTAGCACTAGAAATTGTAATTAAAGGATTTATACACACCTAGGATCCTCTTGACAACACACTCATTCATATTACTGTGTAAAAGTTTTATTTACTCCCATGCGAACTTACAATTGTAATGCGGTTTTATGGTCCATCCCAAAGGCATAACTTGAAGGGGCTGGAGACACCTTTGGGAAAAAAACGAAAACAAACTAGAAATCTAACTTTGAATTGAAATGATGACTTTTTTGCTGGGTGTGGTGGCTCACGCCTATAATCCCAGCACTTTGGGAGGCCAAGGTAGTCGGATCACCTGAGGTCAGCAGTTCGAGACCAGCCTAGCCAACGTGGTGAAACCCTGTCTCTACTAAAAATACAAAAAAAAAAAAAAAAAAAAAAAAAAATTAGCCAGGCATGGTGGCACATGCCTGTAATCCCAGCTACTCGGGAGGCTGAGGCAGGAGAATCGCTTGAACCCGGGAGGCGGAGGTTGCAGAGAGGAGATGGCACCACTGCACTCTAGTGGGCGAAAGAGTGAGACTCCATCTCAAAAAAAAAAAAGAAGAAGAAGAAGAAATGATGACTTTTTTAAACGGTTTGAAATATCTCTGAGAACTGTATTAGTAATATTTGCTAGGAGTCATTGTGGTGTCCACATACTAGCTCCCTTGGGGACAACATGATGTCACTTAGTGTCAAAATATTATGGGAGCAAGAGCCTAGGAGTTGGAGTCAGAAATGCAATAGCTTTGAATTCTGGCTTTGATTCTTTCTAGTTGCTTACTTGTGGTATATTATTTAAATTCCTTGAGTCTCAATTTCCTCATAGAGCAAGATCAATATATGTTTCACAGGGTAGTTGTGGGGATTGAATGAGGTAAAGTATATGAAGCCCAACAGAATGCCTTAGCACATATCAGGGTGAAAAGCTGCTCTGTTCTATATTTCTTTCTCTAAATTCTAGTAACAGATTCATTCAACCAGTGTTTCGACAAGTGCTTTTTGTGCTTCTTCAAGGTAGAAAGCACAAATCTAAGATTTTAGGCACTAAAAGGGGTAAGTTATTATCTTCTCTTATTCTTAAAGAACTTACAGATCAGTGGAGGACTTACTGATACATTACTTACACGTATATAGAAATTTTATCTTAGGCACAATGTGGTAAGTAAAACTAATAGCTAATATTTATTTAACTCTTTCATTATGCCATATACTGTGATTTATACCATTTAGTTTAATGCCTATAACCTTAGTGCTATAGGAGATATTAGTAAAGTTCTGTGAAAGCCCAGAGACAAAAATTATTAATACCAAGAAAGGACACTCTGAAGGCTCTTCTAGAGTATTTGTGATATTTAAATCAGGTTTTCAAAGATGAGCAGGATTTTAACAGCCTGAGATATTTAATTGTCTAGGAAGAAAAAGCCAGGCACAGTAGCTCACACCTATAATCTCAACACTTTGGGAGGCTGAGACAGGAGAATTGCTTGAGGCCAGGAGTTTGAGCCAGACTGAGCAACATAGTGAGACCCCTATCATCTCCACAAAAAAAAAAAAAAATTTTTTTTAATTAACCGGGCATGGTATCACATGCCTTGTAATCCTAGTTACTTGGAAGGCTGATAGCTTGAGCTCAAGAGTTGAGGTTACAGTGAGCTATGATAATACCACTGCACTGCAGCCTGCATGACATAGTGAGACCCAGTCTCAAAAAAAAAAAAAAAAAAAGTGAAGGGAACAGAAACAGCAAATGCAAAGATCATGAAAGCGTTCAGTTCAGTATTTCTAGAAAACACAAGTATCCCATAGTAGCCACTGGACTAGAAGATGAAGCTGTAAAGATAGGATAGAGATAAATGGTAGAGAGCACAGAGACCAAGCTAAGGACTAGATCATTTCCCTATGAATTACCCAATCAGATCTATGCTTTAAGAAGACCATGGGAGTGGAAGGAACAGATTAGAAAGAGGAGTAACTGGATATAGAGAGTCCAATTCTGGGCCTGGAAATAAAGGTCCAAAGAGTACATACATTCACTACTATCCCTGCCAATGAGTTAAGGTAAATATAGTTCTTTCCAGTGGCATTGGTCTGTGTAGGGGGGAATAAAAGATTCAACCTGAATTTGTGGCTGTCACTGTCTTCCAGGAAGATTAGACTCCTGACAGCCTGAACTGTGGATTGAAGGGGTCTTCATGTGGGAAATTCAACAGGCTGAGAAAAAGTTGTTAAATAAAATTTAGGAACCAGAGAGAAGATATAAGCCAAGTCTAGGCCTCAGGAAGATTCATATTGGAATTTTTTTTTTACGTATCTGGGCCTTTTGTAGCTACACATCACACTCATAAAAATTCAATCACCAATAATGTATCAACTCCAAAACAATCACTTGATAGCCTTTTTTCTTCTTTTTTGCAGTGGGTGGAACGATAGTTTTTTTATTTTTATTTTTCTGCAGGTGTTTTTTCACATTTAATGCTCCTCAGCCTCTCAAGGAAAGGGTGTTTATCCTCATCCTTGTTTCCTAAGCCCCTACACAGGACATGGGACATAGAGGATGCTGCATAATTTAATAAATGTTTAATTATTTGATCAATTAATTCAAGTCAGAAGGCCATAATAGGCTAAACCAGACTTCAGCTGGTTCTAGTTATGTGGATCAATGTGAGAGCCACTTCTTTAGCATTTTAGACAAAGTGGCTCCATAAGGACCTTAGGTCCATTTCCAGGCCATCCTTGCATTTGTAAAAAGAAGGTTTCCAGAAGAAGGTTGTTTCCACTTCCCCCAAGCTCTATAATATGTATAAGACAGCACAAAATGCAATAGAATTTTTTCCCTAAATAGATATTTATTCTACTCTTCAGAACCTTGTAAGCATGGAGTATTGGCATTTTTGTGAATTGGTCTCCACTGAACAGATAAATGCCTGATATATGCTAATATATATGATTTATGTATCTTTTTAGATAGACAAGCCTATACAAGAAGTCTAGAAGTTACAAACCTTCATTTTCTTCCTTGAGTCTTCTGTCAGTCTGTAATTGAGTCCTCCTTGTCTGGTCTCTGTCTGTCTTCACCTCTTATTTATTCCTGCTCTTTCTGCAGTGTCTCAGCTCTTTCTTGTTGGCCTTTTGACATGGATTTTCAGTCAAATGGTTCCATCCAGTTTTCTCTCCAATGGAGCTGTGTGTGACTTGTACAGCTCCAGGGTAACTGAGAAAATAAAGGAAAATGATCATTCCTCATCCACTGAGAAAATAAAGGAAAATGATCATTCCTCATCCAACTCAAAATTAAGTATGTAAAAGACAAATATTTCTTTTGTCTGATTGCATATTCAAGCAGACTCTATTGATATGCTTACAGAGTTGTTCTGATTTCTTTATTTTTCCAAAGAATCTTTTCTGTCATCCTTGATAGGTATGTGCCAGAACTCCAGAGAGTACAGTTAGAACCCTGGCCCCCCAAAAAAAAGGTGGAGGAGAAAATCCTGTCTTGATACAATACCATAAAGATATAAAGTAGGAAAAATTTTAAAAATTAATTTTCATGACATTGAGATTTTTCATATTTAAAAATTATATATCTATTTAACGAAAACTTCATAATGGCTCTACTATGAAGCTAATTTCAACCAGCTGGGACATAACATGAACAATGCTGACATGCTGCAGTTGAAAACATAAGCCCCAACAAGCCTTAATTTCCATGAAAGAATACATATTATTATGAACATAATCCAGAGGCAAAAAAAGGGCTAGCAAACAGAGAACTTTGGATAAATTATGTTCCATTAAACATGCCATTATTTTTAATGTTGTACTTACCGGACACTTTGTAGACCTTTATTTTCAACAGAGGATGATTACAGAATTATCTTCGTTTTTGAAAGAACAAAACCAGAAAAAATGAAGTTAAACTTCAACTTAAAAGATTAGATCAAGAACAAAATAGTTTCATGGCCAAATTTGAGGGGTCTTGTTTAACATTAAGATGAGGAGAGGCGCTACTCACAGAGAGAAAGGATTTCAGATCTTGCAAACATTTAAATCTTGTATAACACAAGTTGGGGATTAGTCACAAGAAACAACAGAAGGAAAGCAGTTCACTGGATATACCAGTCTTTTGCACAGTTCATCCCCACTAATTAAAACACCTTTCCCACTTGGCAAACTACTATTCAACTCTCAAAACCCAAATCAGTGGTCACCTTCTCTAGGAAGCCTTCCTTACTCCCACCCCAGTTGAAGTTAATCCTGCCCTTCTCTGTATCATTCTCTACTTGTACCTAATTCTATTATTGTGTTTAATTATATTTATTTGTTCATATGTCAGCTTCTCTATTCAAAATATTAATTCCTTGAAAGCAGGCCAATATCTTATTGATCTTTGAAAAAGCAGAGTATCAGAAACATAATAGGCACATTATTCACTTCATGCAACTAAAGAAACAAGGACTAAATGTGCAAAATTGCCAAGCAGTTCTTGAAACATTTTGCACAGCCGAGAAGTCAAACAACATTCAGTCTTCAGCACCTTTGCCCTTCTTTGGCAATTTCTTTCACTCCCTTGATTTCAGCTGTTCTCATTATGATTACCAAATCTGCATTTCCATTCTTGAACTTTTGTCCAGATTCTAGATTCACTTTCACTGCCTGCTGAACATTTCCACATGAAAAGTTCATGAATGCCTCAACTTTCAATATACCCAAAAAGAATTTATTACTCCTCTGTCACAAATTTACCCTTCTTGCTGTGTTCTCTGTATTGGTTCATTGCTTCACCATCATCCCTGTATGACAAGTTAAGCACTTAGAATCAGCTTTTCTCCCTACTTTTGCATCCCCCACCCTATTCTCCTGTTGCCAAATCCTTTCAGTCTGCCTATCAACGGTCTTTTGCTTACCTCTTCTCTTTCCCACTTCTACTGAATTAGTTCAAGTTCTCAATATATTTCTCCTGACCAATGTAATAAGCTGCTAAGAGGCTTCCCGCTTCAAGCCTTTTCAACACAACTCCCATTATGCTGCAAATAACTTTCCTAAAACAACAACATATTTATGTCGGTTTCCTGCTCAAAGACAACACTGATGGCTCTTCACTGGTGCAATTCCTCCTTCTGGCATGCAAAGGCCTCTGAGAGAGCCCCATGATGTCTCCTTTTCCTATGCATCCATCATTTTTTCATACTGCCCCACAGTGCACACTCCATTCACACACCCTCTAGACATACCTCTCTACTCCTCAAACACGCCCTTTGCTGCCCCATCCCCAACAACGTTGTTCTATACTGGTAGAACCCCTCTCACACTTCTTCTCCATTTCCCTATCAATGTCCTATTCATCCTCTAGTCTAGTGGTTCTTAACCTGTACTCCATAGACCCCCAAGGGTCCAGAGGTAAAATTAAGAGATTTGTGATTTAAATGGGAGAAAAATTACATTTCCATTTTCGCTAACTCCTAACTGAACTGTAGTATTTCCTTTTATTGTGAATCTAGGCAACAAACATTGAAAATATTAGAAGTACATAAGACTTTGTCACAAATAGAAATCACAGATATATCCATATCACATTATAGTCATTACAGATATCTTGAATTATTATTTACGCTCATTACTACTTTAAAATTACAATAGTTATTACACCTGCAAATGAAATTTTTTATTTAATGCCTTAATAAAGAAGTGTACTTATTATTATATCACAATTTTTTTTATATTTCAAGAGCTATTTTGATACAATTGGTTTCAATTATAATCCTTTCTCTTTTATTTTATACATTCCAAACATTATTTTGAGAACAGTTTATTAGACACAATAATGGTTAAGGATGCCCGTCTAGGTTTATCCTAAACTCTACCACAAGATGTTTTCCCACGCCTCACCCCTACCCCACACAGTATAAATTAATATCTTCTTCTACCTGATTCCATCAACTAGTTGAAACCCCTCCTGAGGCTCTGAGGAGGACTGCCTTCTGCCTGCCTTCTTTTGTAGTTATTTATTAGTCATTTACTAGGCTTTGAGATCCCAGGGATAGGAACATTTATTTCCTGTTTTTAACTAGCCCATCCTGATTGCATCCATGGTAGGTGATGAACCTGAGTTGCGCTGAACACTTTTTTTTGTTTGTTTTTTTTTGAGACGGAGTCTCGCTCTGTCGCCCAGGCTGGAGTGCAGTGGCGCAATCTCGGCTCACTGCAAGCTCCGTCTCTGGGGTTCACACCATTCTCCTGCCTCAGTCTCCCGAGTAGCTGGGACTAAAGGTGCGTGCCACCACGCCCAGCAAATTTTTTGTATTTTTTAGTAGAGACAGGGTTTCACCATGTTAGCCAGGATGGTCTCGATCTCCTGACCTTGTGATCCATCCACCTCGGCCTCCCAAAGTGCTGGGATTACAGGCGTGAGCCACCGTGCCCGGTTGAACACATTTCTTTTTCAGGGAATGTTTTAGGTTGATGGAAATCAAATCAAGAAAATAGACATGTTGCTAATGTATTCTGGTGGCTGAAGCAAGTTTGTCAACTTGTAACACAAACTGAACTGCTCTGTTCTCCTACCTGATTTCTGTGTCTCAAAACAAGACAGGAAAACAAGGGCAAGGATGAAAAAGGTGACTCTAGAATTCTACCTTTGGTAATCCAGACACACAGCAATGAATAATTTATTTAAATATATATATATCTTTATGTATATGTGACTATGTATACATATACTGCATATCAATGGTTTGGCATGCAGTATATAGTGTATACATTATATGTATACATAATATATTAAATATATATTATTTTATTTATAGTTCCATCACACAAGTAGCAGTTTATACAAGTTGGATTTGAACCTTCACAAGAGAACATGTGGAATACTGACCAATCAAAAACCATTCATGCTTCAGGGTCAAAAAATGTATTTTTGAAACAATGACTTTTATTATTACTTGCTATTGCATAACATAAGGTCTTTGTGTGAGGATATAAAACAGTTCCTTCAATGAAGTTATTTATGTTCATTGATACCCAAATCCATAATCTTAATGGTATGGTTTAAAGAAATAATGTAACATAACACATTCATGGAGCACTCATCTCTGAACAATTAACGGAGATTGATAAAAATCAACACCAGATAAACACCCTTTTGACAATGAGCCTCATTATATGATGCATGGGAGAAACAGAAGTTGTGAATGATAAAGAAGACATAAAAGAAAATGCTGCAAGAGATTCAATTTAATACAAAGATGAATATTACAAATACATGTTTAATTGAATAATCAAATATTTAGTCATTCTTTTATGTTACTCCCACTAAAAAACCTAAGACATAACAAATGGCCCCAAAACCATCTGCTAGGAACATCCATTTGCATGCTAATTTTTTATAATTCATAGTTTGAAGTTATTTGTGCAAGCTTCCTATTCTCCTTCTTTAAATTTTGGCCATTTCTGTGTTCCCTGACTCATTCCTGCTTCTCACAACAGGCAAGGGAATTACCAATATTAGTAGTAGTAATAATAATAATAAACACTCATAAGTTATAATGTTCTGTAGCTTTTAATGTTTTAGCTACTAATATTTCACGTTAATTCTCATAAGAACACTGTAAGGAAAACAGGACAGGTATTATATTAAATATATAGATAAAGGGACTAAAGCTCATGGAAGTTAAGTAATTTGCCCAAGTTCCCACAGCCTGTGAATAATGAATAACACGGTCAAAACATGTATCCAGGCCTAATGAGTCTGAATGCAGTTCTCTTTCTGTTTCCATTCTACCCAAGGAAGAGTTAAAGATCATATAACTTCACTTGGGTGATTTCTGAATCTAATTTCAGCTCTTAACCAATCATTGTGGTTAAAGGAATGATTTACCACAGATATACAGTAGGCACTTGGTTATTTGTTCATTTAATTATGCAACAAATAGTTTTTTTAGCACCTCACATTTGCAAAGCCTATAAAATCGATTGGCAGATCCAATTGCCTGTAAGCACTTAGGGTATTTACATTACAAGGAAACAACTTAGACTGGCATATTTTTAACTTTTCAGGATAGTTTTCAAAGGGGAGTCAACACGGCAACTTATTAGTCATCTGCTTTATTCTTGTACCCATCCTAATTGTTAAGAGGAGGAAGGTAGAGAAGGACACTGTGTAGAAAATGAAAGGCTGTCATAGTGAACACTGTAGTACATCACCTAGATACCACCTCACCCAAGGTCATGCTCCCACCCCAGGAGCAACCTACATCCAATGACTAATCTATGCATGGGTGCAAAGTCCAAGCCTCATTGTGGAGCCAACTGTGCCCCCCTCATGCATAGACCATCCCAGCCCCTGAACCCAAACTGACTGCCCACTCCTGCTTCCTCACTCTGTCATAGACATTATTCTCATGGGACAAGAAAGAAGGTTCTTAAATGGGATTATGGAGCCAAATTGCCAACTGACCAGTTGGTGTTGATCACTTATGGTAGATGGAGCACAAATAGCCCCTGACATGTGTCAGTGGTACTACTGTTAAAGTTGCCACCACTGGAGAACTGAAATTGTAATCCATTGGAAGAAAATGACTGGTAGGTGTAATGTCTCCTGCACTTGAGAAATATGGGAGAGATGGCAAGTGTAAGGATAGTGAAGGCTATTTCTTGGGGCAATCAGTGCTTTTGGAGAAAGATAATGAAAGGCTGAGGGTGATTAATCAGCAATTGAAAGCTAATTATCAAAGTCAGAGCACCTCAATGCAGCATATAAAGAGTCTCATCTCCTTCAGTCAAGGGACAAAAAGCTGAGGATGAGAAACTGAACTTTATAAGTAGCAGAGTTGAATTATTGGTTCCTCCGAGTCACTATGCCAAGGCCAAGATTCTGATTGGGAAGAAATGAGACCCTGAAATATGGAATACCATATCTTTGGAAATCATGAGTCACCAGGTACTCCTGAACTCTCTGGACTTCCAGAAGTAACCCACTCCTCCCTGTAAAAATCTAGCATTTCCCCTGTGCTTGAAGATGATATAGAGGCCCCTATCTTGCAAGACAGCATGGATCCCCTCAGAACATTCCCCCAACCTGTCTCCCTGGTTATTCAACCATTATCTAGTATTAAGTCACAACAAAACATAGTTTATGTTGAGCTGGGCCTGCTGAGCAGACAGAGACAATATCCGCAAAGAGCTGCAGAATCTAGACAACATGTACCAATAGGAGGCAAGAAAGTACATATGGGCTTGGATGCTGAGAGTGCTGGATCAAAGGAGGTAGAACATGAAGTTGGATAAATGAAAAGTTACTTATTTTGAAGCCCTCATTAGGATTATACATCCTGGCAAAGACCCTGGAAATTCATATTAGCACACTACTGAGATGATCCTTTGAAGTTTAGAGAAAACAAAGTCTAGTAAAGAATGCTCCAATTGCCATGGCAGATGGTAGAAGAGGGATCAAAGGGCTTAGAAAAATGGGTATACTAGCATACATATACTAAGTAAGACCAGAAAATCCGCCAGCTAGCTTTGGCCTGCTGCAAGGCCCAGAGGACACTGTTTACCAAAACAATAAGAAATGCATCAGCTACAGGGACACCAGCATCACTGAGAAGCTCAGTGGTGGCTGTCTTCTGTTGGCCAGGGCTGACAGTAATAAATTCCATTATAAAACTGAGCCCCTTGATAGCAGACTGGATAATAAAATCCTAAAATAATGGAGACCAGGTAGAGGAACATAGCCACCAGAAGTAAGGTGAACACTCAAGATTGGAACGGCAGCCTGGAGGGTCTGACTCACAGAGAGCTATGGAGACGATTAATAGAACGTAGCATTCCTAAGGGAAATATAGATGGGATGGCAACAAGGGTACTGCTCAATTCACATAATCAAAAGAAATCAGAGATGGATGATCAGGAGGCTGTGGGCACATAAGAAGGCCAATCCCTTGCCCAGTTTCTGTACCTAAGCCAGTTTTGAGACCCAGAACTGACTGACTGAAGGAGAAGCTGGGTCCCCAGGAGGAAGGCTCTGCAACACCATGGCAAGTACACATGGTAATGATTCCCCAGTTCAAAAGGGACCTATAGCCATTTACTCAGGCAACCATATACTGGGGACAGGGTAATTTCAAATATTTTGAAGACTGTTGGATCCAGCGTCCATGCTGACATTTATACCTAAGAACTCAAAGCATCAGTCACCACCCTCTATTAGAGTGGAGACCCGGTTTGAAAAAAAAAAAAGTCCAGCTCACAGACAGTCCACTGTCTCTCCCAATCCACAGGCTCTCCCAATGGGTACTCCAATTGGAGAAGACTTTTTTGGTAGCTGGCACAACCTTAGCATTAGTTTCTTGGCCAGCCAAGAAAGTAAAACAAAAACAATTACATCTTGAGGAAACTGGAAGATGTTTGTGCCACCCTTAAAGACCTAAAGGACTTAGGGGTGGTGTTGCCACCTAATTTCCATTCAATTTATCAGTCTGGGCCCTGAAAAATCAGGTAGATCCTGAAGGATAACTGTAAACTACCACAAACTCAACCAAGCACTAGCCCTCATTGCATCTACTGTGCCAGGTGCTACAGCAGATTAACAGCCTCTAGTACATGGAGTGCAGCCATTGATCTGGCTTATGCATTCTTTTCCATCTCTATCAGAAATAGTTCTCACAACAGTGTACATGCACAACCTTTCCCAAGAGCTAATTTAACTCTCTTACTCTGTATAATGATGTGGTATAAAGAGACCTGGATCATGCTGCTGTGTTGTAGAGCATCACATTGGTCTGCCATATCAATGATATGTAAATTGGACCAGAATATCGAGAAGTAGCAAGTATGTTGGAAGCTTTAGTAAAACATATAACACTTTGGCTTTCCGTGCTGATATTGCTCCAGCAAACATGGCAAACATTCTTAAAACCCACCCGACATTCTGTAAGAAGTGTGGCAAGCACCAATCCCACAAAGTGATACAGTAGAAGAAGGGCAAGGATTCTCCATATGCCCAGGAAAAGTGGCATTATGACAGGAAGCAGAGTGGCTATGGTGGGCAGACTAAGCTGGTTTTCTACAAAAGGCTAAAAGTACAAAGAAGATTGTGCTGAGGCTTCAGTGTGTTGAGACCAACTGCAGATCTAAGAGAATGCTGGCTATGAAGAGATGCAAGCATTTTGAACTGGGAGGAAATAAGAAGATAAAGGGCCAAGTGATATCCAGTTCTAAGAATCATCTTTTGCTTTATTATGAAGAAAATACAAATTTGATATTATGTTAAAAACAAATGTATCACTCTGATGGGCAGAGGTAAGCCCTACAAAGATTAAAAGGTCTGCAACATCAGTAAAATATTGGGAGAGGGTCCAATGATCTGGGATCATCCTGGGACATCCTCTCAAAATAAAAGAAGAAATTGCATCTCCTGCCTCCCACCACAAAGAAAGAAGTAAAATGTCTGGCAGGCCTCTTGAGTTCTGGAGGAAGCATATTCTACACTTGAGAATATTACTCTAACCTATATACCAGAAAGCATGAAAGGCTGACAATTTTAAAGGCAGCCCAATGCTGGAAAGGGTTCTGCAGCAAGTCCAGGTCATGACACAAACAGTCCTGCCACTTGGGCAATAGAACACAACAGACTCTATGGGCTTACAGGTGCTTGTGATGGGAAAAAACACTGTGTGGAGTTCATAGCAAGCCACGATATGGGAATCACAATTAAGAATTCTAGCATTCAGCCAGGCATGGTGGCTCACATCTGTAATCCCAGCACTTTGGGAGGCCAAGGTGGGCGGATCACGAGGTCAGGAATTCGAGAACAGCCTGACCAACATGGCGAAACCCCGTCTCTACTAAAAATTCAAAAATTAGCTGGGCATGGTGGTGGGCACATGTAACCCCAGCTACTCAGGAGGCTAAGACAGGAGAATCGCTTGAACACAGGAGGCGGAGGTTGCAGTGAGCCAAGATCGTGCCATTGCACTCCAGCCTAGGCAACAGAGCAAGACTCCATCTCAAAAAAAAAAAAAAAAAAAAAAGAATCCTAGCATTTTACCAAGGTGGGTGAATCACAAAGTCAAGAGAGCAAGACCATCCTGGCCAACATGGTGAAACCCCGTCTCTACTAAAAATACAAAAATTAGCTGGGCGTGGTGGCAGGCGCCTGTAGTCCCAGCTACTCGGGAGGCTGAAGCAGGGGAATTGCTTGAACCCAGGAGGCAGAGCTTGCAGTGAGCCAAGATCGTGCCACTGCACTCTATAGCCTGGGCAACAGAGCGAGACTTCGTCTCAAAAAAGAAAAAAAAAAAAAAGAATGCTAGCATTCTAGAGCAAAGGCATACAACCAGCAATGGAAAATTAGGTACCTTCCAAAAAACACAGCTCTTGACATGCTACTGGGCCCTGGTGGAAATGGAGGCATGGTCCACAGAACAGTAAATAACCATGTTGTCAGGACTGTCCACCATGAGCTGGATTCTGTCCAGTCTGAAGACCAGCTGTAGCAGTGGGATACATCCCAGTAATCTTAAAAGTTTTCACCCAGAAAAGAAATCCACCAAAACCCTGAAGGAGTTGTTCCCAGAACTTTTACCAGCAAAGGGATCTGAGCAGCACAAGCAGTAAACTTTAATAGACATTTTAATGTGCTATCCAGATCACCCCTTCGCTTCAGGCCAGACACACTCATTCCCCCAGCTACCATGACTATTACTGATGGACAGCTCACAGCTGATCGTTCCTCGAGATATTGCCCTCAGCTAATGAGAGCCACCTCTTCCAATGTCATGCTCCCTTCCCAGGGCAACTGGCATCAAATGACTGATCAATACAGGGCTACAAAGGCTCACTGCCCTTGGCCCAGGGCCATTTTAGCTCCATAGTTCCTGAGATTCAGCTGAGATATCTGTTGTGACTACAATACAGCTCAAATTTTCTCTCTCAATCATCCTGCATTCTTCATTCCCTTACAGGTGTTGATCCAAGAACATTCCCTAGTAAAATTTCTGCATGCTAATCTCTGAACTTTCTTCCCAGAGAATCTGACCTGTAACAGCTGTACCTAGCGTGGGCAATCTTTCCTTGATATACTCTTTTTACAACGAAAGCTTTTTTTAGATATGGGATCTCACTATGTTGTCCAGACTGAAGTGTAATGGCTATTCACATGTGCAATCATAGCTCACTATGGCCTCAAATTCCTGGGCTCAACTGATTCTCCTGCCTCAGCCTCCCAAATAGCTGGGACTACAGGCACATGTCACCACACCTGGATGCAAAGGCTTTTTATAAACTAAGATTTTAGAACTTTGAAAAACAAAACTCACATGGCTGCCCTAATGTTTAATCCACAATTTCAATTTCCAAGTTCTTTCAAAAACTCATGTTAAAACTAAAAATTCATCTAGACCATATAAATACCTATACTCTATATCTTTGTAGCTATTTATTTAAATAGCTGTTTTATTATGTTGTAAACATATTTTCCCATTCTATGAAATCAACATTATTCTTAAATTTTATATCTTTCTTCTTTCATAAAATGATAAAAATTCATTGCCTACTATTTCATTCAGTTTCTACTGAGAAATAATTATAAATTCTTAAAACTTCACATCATCAATATTATCAATCTGCTGCCTCATACACTTGGTGTAGTAGAACTACTTAACGAGGAATCTAGACGTCTTAGTTTAGCTTTTTTATGTGACTTTGTATTACTCACTTTATTTATTCATTTAACAAATATGGTGCAGTGCTTGGGGTGGGGTGTTTCAGAAATTGCACTTAATTCTGAGCAGAAAGAATAAGGAAGACAGGCAGCCCCAATCCTCATAAAGATTATAACCTAATGGTGAAAGCAGACATTAAACAAGTCATGTTATAAATAATTGTTTGACTAACAATTGCGATATGTGTTCTGAAGAGTAAAGCCACAGTGTCATGAGTGTGTAGAACAGAAGGCCCTAACCTAGCCTAGGATGCCTGAAATTTCTTGAGGAAATGGCATTTAAGTTGAGACATAAAGAACAGATGAAACTTAGCAAGATAAAAAGGGGGAAAGAGATTTATAGACAGAAGGAACTTTATACTTGAAAATTCCATAAAGGGAAGAAGCTTAGTATGTTCGTAGAACTAAAGGAAGGCTACATAACAAGAGAATAGTAGAGACACAGGAGATTGGGAGCAAGCCATATCACACAGGGCCTTGTACATCAGAGGGACAGTTTTGAACTTTATCTTAGGTGCAGTAAGAAGCCATTTCAGAGTTTTAGACACAGATTTCCTTACATCCATAATGGTGATAATACCATCTGTCTGCTTACCTTATCAACTGCTAAGAAGATCAAAAAGATATTGGATGTGAAAAAAAAAATCACAAGAGGGCAGAGCAGGGTGGCTGAACAGAAGCCTTCACCAATCATCCCCCACTCAGGGACACCAAATTTACCAACTATCTACACATAAAAAAGCACCTTCATGAGAACAAAAAGTCACATAAGCAATCACAGCACCTGGTTTTAACTTCATATTGCTGAAGGAGGCACTGAAGAGAGTAGGAAAGACAGTCTTGAATCACTGATGCCACTCCTCCCCATCCCCTGATAGCAGCCATGTGGCACAGAGAATCCATGCATTTGGGACAGGGAGATTGCCCAGTGATTGTGGGACCCTGCATTGAACTCAGTGCTGCCATATCATGGCAGAAAGCAAAACCAGGCTAAACTCAGCTGATGCCCACCAACGGAGGGACCATGTAAACCAACCCTAGCAAGAGAAGAATTGCCCATCCTAGTTGTTGGAAATTGAGTTTTGACAAGCCTCGCTACCACAGGCTAAACTGCTCTGGGGTTCTAAATAAACCTGAAAGGCAGTCTTGGCCACAAGGACTGCAGTTCCTAGGCAACTGCTAGTGTTGTGCTGGGCTCAGAGCCAGTGGATGTTGGGGGCAAGCAACCTAGTGAGACACCAACCAAGGCAGCTAAGGGAGGGCCTGCACCACCCCTCCCACAACCCAAGGCTCTCCAGCTTGCAGTAATAAAAGTAGCTTCTTCCTTCTACTGACAGAGGAGAGGGAGGATTAAAGAGGAGTTTTGCATCCCAGATATCAGCTCAGCCACAGTAGGACAGGGCACAAGGCAGAGTTGCAAGGTCCCCCTTTCAGACCCTAGCTTTCAGACAACATATCTAGACACACTTTGCGCCAGAAGGGAACCCATTGCCTTGAAGGGAAGGACCCAGTCCTGGCAGCATTGTCACCTGCTGACTTCAGAGCCCTTGGGCTCTGAAGAATGAGCAGTAATACCCAGGTCATACACCTTAGATGAGACTCTGAGCTGTACTGGCTTCAGGTGAAACCCAGCACATTCCCAGCTATGGTGGCTATAATGAAAGACTCCTTCTGTTTGACAAAAGCAGACAGAAAAGTAAAGGGAACTTTGTCTTGCACCTTAAGTACCAACTCAGTTATAGTAGGGTAGAGCACCAGGCAGTCTCTTGGAGTCCCTGATACCAGGTGTTGACTCTTGGATGGCATTTTATGTCCTGGGCTAGAGGGGAGCCTATTGACCTGAAGGCAACTCTAGGTCCACCCAGGGCCTGGGGGAACTCGTGGCTCTGAAGGGAATGGTACAAGCCTGTCTGGCTTTTCCACCTGCTGATTGTAGATCCCTAAAGCCTTAAGTAAATATAGGTGATAGCCATGTAATGGTTACAGCAGGCCTTGGGCAAGACCCAATGCTACGCTGGCTTAAGGTCTGACCCAACATAGTCCCAATGGTGGTGGCTACATAATTGCTCATGTCAACCCACCCCAGCTCCAGGTGACTCAGCACAGAGAGAAAGAGAGAGAGAGACACTCTGTTTGGGAGAAAGTAAGAGAAGAGAACAAGAGTCTCTTCCTGGTAATTGAGAGAATTCTTCCAAACCTTATCCAAAACCAAGGCAGTACCTCTATGAATCTGCAAGAACTACAGTATTACTGGCCTTGGGGTGCCCCTAATACAGACATTATATCACAATACCCAAGTCCCTTTGAATACCTGGAAAACCTTCCCAAGAAGGACAGGCACAAACAAGCCCAGACAGTGAAGACTGCAATAAACACAAAATTCTTCAATGCCCAGATACCAATTAACATCCATAAGCACCAAGACTATCAAAGAAAAGTGGCCTGACCAAACAAACTAAATAAAGAACCAAAGACCAACCTGGAGAAACATGTGACTGTTCAGACAAAGAATTCAAAATCTATTTTGAGGAAATTCAAAGAAATTCAAGATGACACAGAAGGAATTCAGATTCTGTCAGATAAATTTAACAAAGAGATTGAAATAACTTCAAAGAATCAAACAGAAATTTTGGAGTTGAAAAATGCAATTGGCATACTGAAAAACACATCAAAGTCTCTTTATAGCAGAATTGGTCAAAGAGAAGAAAGAATTAGTGAGCCTGAACACACACTATTTGAAAATATACAGTTAGAAGAGACAAAAGAAAAAAGAATGAAGCATGCCTTGAAGACCTAGAGAATAGCCTCAAAAGGGTAAATCTAAGAGTTATTGGCCTTAAAGAGGAGATAAAGACACAGATAGGGGTAGAAAGTTTATTCAAAGAAACAACGGGCTGGGCATGGTGGCTCACACCTGTAATCCCAGTACTTTGGGAGGCTGAGGCAGGCAGATCACGTGAGGTCAGGGGTTCAAGACCAACCTGGCCAACATGGTGAAACCCCATCTTTACGAAAAAATACAAAAATTAGCCAGGCGAGATGGTGTGCGCCTGTAATCCCAGTTACTCAGGAGGCTGAGGCATGAGAATCACTTGAACCCAGGAGCTGGAGGTTGCAATGAGATGAGATTGTGCCACTGCACTCCAGCCTGGGAGACAGAATAAGACCCTGTCTCAAAAACAACAACAACAAAAGAAATAATAATGGAGAACTTTCCAAATCTAGGGAAAGATATCAATATGCAAGTACAAGAAAGTTATAGAACACCAAGTAGCTTTAACCCAAATAAGACTACATCAAAGCATTTCATAATCAAACTCCCTAAGGTCAAGGATAAAAATGATAGCCTAAAAGCAGCAAGATAAAAGAAACAAATGACATACAATGGAGCTCCAGTATGTCCGGCAGCAGACTTTTCTGTGGAAACTTTACAGGCCAGAAGAGAGTGGTATAACATACTTAAAGTGCTGAAGGAAAAAAACTTTTACACTAGAATAATATATACAGTGGAACTATCCCTCAAACATGAAGGAGAAATAAAGACTTTCCCAGACAAACAAAAGTTGAAGTATTTCATCAACACCAGACTTGCCCTACAAGAAATGCTAAAGGAAGCTCTTCAACCAGAAAGGAAAGGATATTAATGAGCAACAATATATCATCTGAAGGTACTAAATTCATTGGTCATTGTAAGCACAGAAAAACACAAATAACGTTAACACTGTTAACTGTAGCATGTAAACTACTCATATCTTAAGTAGAAAGACTAAATATGAACCAATCAAAAATAATAACTACAACAACTTTTCAACATGTAGACATTACAATAAGATATAAATAGACACAAGGAAAAGTTAAAAAGCAGGGGGACAGAGTTAGAGTGTAGAGTTTTTATTAGTTTTCGTTTTCCTTGTTTGTTTGTGCAGGCAGTGTTGTCATTAGTTTAAAATAATGGGTTATAAAATAGTATTTGCAATCCTTGTGGTAACCTCAAATCAAAAAACATACAACAGATACACAAAAAATAAAAAACAAAAGATTAAATCATACCACCAGAGAAAATCACCTTCACTGAAAGGAAGACAGGCAGGAAGGAAAGAAGAAAAAGGCCAGAAAACAAATAACAAAATGGCAGGAGTAACTCCTTCTTTCCTTCTTATCAATAATAACATTGAATGTAAATACACTAAACTCTCCAATCAAAAGACATAGAGTAGCTGCATGGATTTTTTGTAAAAATTTACCAAGGAACATTTACCAAGCAAATGGAAAGAAAAAAAAAAAAAAGCAGGGGTTGCAATCCTAGTCTCTGACAAAACAGATTTTAAACCAACAAAGATCAAAATAAATAAAGATGGGCATTCCATAATGGTAAAGGAACCAATTCAACAAGAAGAGCTAACTATCCTAAATATATGTGCACCCAATACAGGAGCACCCAGATTCATAAAACAAGTTCTTAGAGACCTACAAAGAAACTTAGACTCCCACATAATAATAGTGGGAGACTTTAACACCCCACTGTCAATATTAAACAGATCAACATGACAGAAAATTAACAAGGATATTCAGGACTTCAACTCAGCTCTGGATCAAACGGACCTAATAGACATCTACAGAACTCTCCATGCCAAATCAACAGAATGTACATTTTTCTCAGTGCCACATTGCACCTATTCTAAAATCAACCATATAATTGGAAGTAAAACACTCCTCAGCAAATGCAAAAGAACCGAAATCATAACAAACAGTCTCTCAGACAACAGTGCAATCAAATTACAACTCAGGATTAAGAAACTCACTCAAAACCACACAGCTCCATGGAAATTGAACAACCTGCTCTTGAGTGATTCCTAGGTAAATAATGGAATTAAAGCAGAAATCAAAAAGTCCTTTGAAACTAGTGAGAACAAAAAAACAATGTACCAGAATCTCTGGGACCCAGCTAAAGCAGTGTTACAAGAGAAACTTATAGCACTAAATACTCACATCAGAAAGCTAGAAAGATCTCAGATCAACACCATAACATCACATTAGAAGAGCTAAAGAAGCAAAAGCAAACAAATCTAAAAGCTAGCAGAAGACAAGAAATAACTAAGATCAGAGCAGAACTGAAAGAGATAGAGACATGAAAAGCCCTTCAAAAAAATCAGTGAATCCAGGAGCTGGTTTTTTGAAAAAAATAACAAAATAAATAGATTGCTAGCTAGACTAATAAAGAAGAAAAGAGAGAAGAATCAAATAGACACAATAAAAAAAAGATAAAGGAGACATCACCACTGACCCCACAGAAATACAAACTACCATCAGAGAAAACTATAAACACCTCTGTGCAAATAAACTAGAAAATCTAGAAGAAATGGATAAAATCCTGGACACATACACCTGCCCAAGACTAAGCCAGGAAGAAGTTGAATCCCTGAATAGACCAATAACAAGCTCTGAAATTGAGGCAGAAATTAATAGCCTACCAACCAAAAAAATCCCAGGACCAGATGGATTTACAGCCAAATTCTACCAGAGGTACAAAGAGGAGCTGGTACCATTCCTTCTGAAACTATCCCAAACAATTGAAAAGGAGGGACTCCTCCCTAACTCATTTCATGAAGCCACCGTCATCCTGATACCAAAACCTGGCAGAGACAAAACAAAAAAAGAAAGCTTCAGGCCAATATCCCTGGTGAACATTGATGCAGAAATCCTCAATAAAATACTGGCAAACTGAATCCAGCAGCACATCAACAAGCTTATCCACCATGATCAAGTCGACTTCATTCATGGGATGCAAGGCTCGTTCAACATACACAAATCAATAAACATAATCCATCACACAAACAGAATCACTGACAAAAACCACATGACTATCTCAACAGATGCAGAAAAAGCCTTTGATAAAATTTAACATCCTTTCATGTTAAAAACTCTCAATAAACTAAGTATTAATGGAACATATCTCAAAATACTAAGAACCATTTATGACAAACCCACAGCCAATATCATACTGAATGGGCAAAAGCTGGAAGCATTCTTTTTGAAAACCGGCACAGGACAAGGATGCCCCCTCTCAATACTTCTATTCAACATAGTATTGGAAGTTCTGGCCAGGGCAATCAGGCAAGAGAAAGAAATAAAGCGTATTCAAATAGGAAGAGAAGAAGTCAAATTGTCTCTGTTTGCAGACGACCTGATTGACTATTTAGAAAACCCCAGCATCTCAGCCCAATATGCAAAATCACAAGCATTCCTACACACCAACGATAGACAGACAGCCAAATCATGAATGAACTCCCATTCACAATTCCCATTCCCATTCACAATTGATACAAAGAGAATAAAATACCTAGGAATACAGCTAACAAGGGGTGTAAAGGACCTCTTCAAGGAGTACTGACAAACCACTGCTCAAGGAAATAAGAGAGAACACAAACAAATGGAAAAATATTCCATCCTCATTGATAGAAAGAATCAATATCATGAAAATGGCCATACTGCCCAAAGTAATTTATAGATTCAATGCTATTCCCATCAAACTACCATTGACATTATTCACAGAACTAGAAAAAGGTACTTTAAATTTCATATGGAAACAAAAAAGAGCCTGTATAGCCAAGACAATCCTAAGCAGAAAGAACAAAGCTGGAGGCATCATGCTATCTGACTTCAAACTATACTACAAGGCCACAGTAACCAAAACAGCATGGTTCTGGTACCAAAAGAGACATATAGACCAATGGAACAGAACAGATACCTCACATATCTATAACCATCTGATCTTTGACAAACCTGACAAAAACAAGCAACAGGCAAATGATTCCCTATTTAATAAATGGTGTGGGGAAAATGGCTAGCCATATGCAGAAAACTGAAACTGGACCCTTCCTTACATCTTATACAAAAATTAACTCAAGATGGATTAAAAACTTAAATGTAAAACCCAAAACCATAAAAGCCCTAGAAGAAAACCTAGGCAATACCATTCAGGACATAGGCATAAGCAAAGACTTCATGATGAAAACACCAAAAGCAATTACAACAAAAGCCAAAATTGACAAATGAGATCTAATTAAACTAAAGAGCTTCTGCACAGCAAAATAAACTATCATCAGAGTGAATAAGCAACCTACAGAATGGGAGAAAATTTTTGCAATCTACCCATCTGACAAACTCTAATATCCAGAATCTACAAGGAACTTAAACAAATTTACAGGAAAAATACAAACAACCACATCAAAAAGTGGGCAAAGCATATGAACACACACTTCTTGAAAGAAGACATTTATGTAGCCAACAAACATATGAAAAAAAGCTCATCATCACTGATCATTAGAGAAATGCAAATCAAAACCACAATGAGATACCATCTCATGCCAGTCAGAACAGTGATGATTAAAAAGTCAAGAAACAATAGATGCTGGCAAAGCTGTGGAGAAAAAGGAATGCTTTTACACTGTTGGTGGTAATGTAAATTAGTTCAACTATTGTAGATGACAGTGTGGCAATTTCTCAAGGATCTAGAACCAGAAATACCATTTGATCCAGCAACCCCATTACTGGGTATATACCTAAAGGATTATAAATCATTCTACTATAAAGACACATGCACACATATGTTTATTGCAGCACTATTTACAATAACAAAGATGTGGAACCAACCCAAATGCCCAACAATGATAGACTAGATAAAGAAAATGTGATATGTATACACCATGGAATACTATGCAGCCATAAAAAGGAATGAGATCATGTCCTTTGCAGGGACATGGATGAAGCTGGAAGGCATCATTCTCAGCAAACTAACACAGGAATAGAAAACCAAACACTGCATGTTCTCATTCATAAGTGTGAATTGAACAATGAGAACACATGGACACAGGGAGGGGAACAACATGTACCAGGGCCAGTCGGGGAGTGGGGGATGAGGGGAGGGAGAGCATTAGGACAAATAGCTAATACATGTAGGGCTTAAAACCTAGATAATGATTTGACATGTGCAGCAAACCACCATGCCACACGTATACCTGTGTAACAAACCTACACATTCTGCACTTGTATACCAGAACTTAAAGTAAAATAAAAATAATAATAGTAATAAACAAGCCTCCATGATCTGCTGCCTACAAGAAACACACTTCACCTATAAAGACACACATAGACTGAAAGTAGAGATGTAAAAAGATATTCCACGTCAATGGAAACCAAAAAAGAGTAATGGTAGTTATACCCACATCAGACAAAATAGATTTTGGGACAAAAACCATAAGAAGAGACAAAGAATGTCATTATATGATTATTAAGGGGTCAATTCAGCAAGAGGATGTAACAACTATAGGAATACCCAGATATATAAAGCAAGTATTATTAGAGCTAGAGGGAGAGATAGACCCCAATACAATAATTCCTGGAGATGTCAACACCTCAATTTCAGATCTTTCAGACAGAAATCAACAAAGAAATATGGAACTTAATCTGCATTACACACCAAGTGAACCTAGTAGATATTTACAGAACATTTAATCTCATGGCTATAGAATGCACATTCTTCTCAGTAGATGGATTGTTCTCAAGGATAACCATATGCTAGGTCACAGTACAAGTCTTTTGTTTTTGTTTTTGTTTTTGTTTTTGAGACAGAGTCTCGCTCTGTTGCCCAGGCTGGAGTGCAGTGGTGCAATCTCGGCTCACTGCAAGCTCCGCCTCCCGGGTTCACGCCATTCTCCTGCCTCAGCCTCCCGAGTAGCTGGGACTATAGGCGCCTGCCACTACTCCCGGCTAATTTTTGTATTTTTAGTAGAGACGGGGTTTCACCTTGTTAGCTAGGATGGTCACAATCTCCAGACCTCGTGATCTGCCCGCCTCGGCCTCCCAAAGTGCTGGGATTACAAGCGTGAGGCACTGCACCCAGCCCACAGTACAAGTCTTAAAACATTCAAGAAATGAAATAATATCAAATATCTTCTCTTCCCTAACCATAATGGAATAAAACTAGGAATCAATGCCAAGAGGAATTTTGGAAACTATAAAAACACATTGAAATTAAATAATATGCTTCTGAATGACCAGTGGGTCAATAAAGAAATTAAGAAGAAAATTGACAAATTTCTTGAAACAAATGATAATGGAAACACAACATACCAAACCCTATGGGATACAGCAAAAGCAGTACTAAAAAGGAAATTTACAGTCATAAGTGTCTACATCAAAAAAGAAAAGGGTGGGGCAGTGGCACATGTCTGTAATCCCAGCATTTTGGGAGGCCAAGGCAGGCATATTGCTCGAGCTCAGGAGTTCGAGACCAGCCTGAGCAGCATGGTGACACTCTGTCTGTACAAATACAAGACAATTAGCCAAGTACAGAGGTGCACACCTGTAGTCCCAGCTACTCAGGAGACTGAGGTGGGAGGATTGCTTGAAACTGGGAGGTCAAGGCTGCAGTAAAACAAGATCATGCCACTGCACTCCAGCCTGGGCAGCAGAGTAAGAACTTGCCTCAATAAAAATTAAAAATAAAAAAGAAGAAAAACTTCAATAAATAAACTAATGATGTGTTTAAAGAACTAGAAAAGCAAGAATAAACCAAACTCAAAATTAGTAGAAGAAAAGATATAATAAATATTAAAGCAGGAATAAATGAAATTGGAAAAAAGAAAACAATACAAAAAATCAACAAAATAGAAAGTTGGTTTTTGGAAAGATAAAAAATTGACAAACCTTTAGCCAGACTAAGAAAAAAGAGATAAGACCCATATACATAAAATCAGAGATAAAAAAGGAGACATTGCAACCAGTACCACAGAAACTCAAAGGATCATTAATAGCTACTATGACCAACTATATTCCAATAAATTGAAAAATCCAGAATAAACAAATTCCTAGGCACATACAACCTATCAAGATTGAACCATAGGCTGGGTATGGTGGCTCACGCCTCTAATTGCAGCACTTTGGGAGACAAAAGCAGGCAGATTGCTTGAGCCCAGAAGTTTGAGACCAGCCAGAGCAACATGGCAAAACCCCATACAAAAATTAGCCAGGCATTGTGGCGTGTGTTTGTAGTCCCAGCTACTCGGAAGGCTGAGGTGGGAGGACCACCTGTGTCCAGGAGGACAAGGCTACAGGGAGCCGTGATCACATCATTGTACTCCAGCCTGGGCAACAGGGTGAGATCCTATCTCAAAAAAAACAAAAAGGAAATTTTTTAAAAAGATTGAACAATGAAGAAATCCAAAACCTGAACAAACCAATAACAAGAAACAAGATGAAAGTCATAATAAAAGGTCTCTCAGCAAAGAAAAGTCTGGGACCCAATGGCTTCACTCTTGAATTCCACCAAGCCTTTAAAGAACTAATACCAACCCCACTCAAATTATTCCAAAACAATAGCGGAGAGGATACTTCCAAACTCATTCTACAAAGCCAGTATTACCTTGATATCAAAATGAGACAAAGACACATGAAAAAAAGAAAACTACAGGACAATTTCCCTAATGAATATTGATCCAAAAATCCTCAACAAAATACTAGCAAAGTAAATGCAACAGCACATTAAAAAGATCATTCACTATGACCAAGTGGGATTTATCCCTGGGATGCAAGGATGGTCCAACATATGCAAATCAATCAATGTGATACATCAATCATATCAACAGAATGGAGGACAAAAACCATGTGATCATCTCAATTGATGCTGAAAAAGAAATTTGGATATTTTAACAATATTGATTCTCCCAATCCATGAACATGGAATATTGTTCCATTTTTATGTCCTCTTTAATTTCTTTCATCAATATTTTATAGTTTCATTGTAGAGATCTTTCACTTCTTTAATTAAGTTCATTCCTAGGTATTTTATTGTATTTGTTGCTATTATAAATGAGATTAGCTTTGTGATTTTTCAGATTGTTCACTGTTCGCAGATGGAAATGCCACTGATTTTGTATCCTGCAACTTTACTTAATTTGTCAGTTCTAACAGTTTTTCTGTGGAGTCTTTAGGTTTTTCCAAATATAAGATCATATGATCTGCAAACAAGAAAAATTTGACTTCTTTCTTTCCAATTTTGATGCCCTTAATTTCTTTCTCTTATCTTAGTGTTCTATCTAGGACTTCCAGTACTATGTTGAGTAACAGTGATGACAGTGGTCATCCTTGTCATGTTCTAGATCTTAGAGAAAAGGCTTTCAGTTTTTTCCCCATTTGGTATGGTGCTAGCTTTGGATGTGTCAAATATGGCTTTTAATATGTTGAGGTATGTTGCTTCTATACCCATATTGTTAAAATATCCATGCTACCTAAAGCAATCTACAGATTCAGTGCAACCCCTATCAAAATATCAATGACATTCTTTAACAAAATAGAAAAAGCAATCCTAAAATTTATGTGGAACCACAGAAGACCCAGAATAGCCAAAGCTATCCTAAGCAAAAAGAAAAAAAACTGGGAATCACGTTACCTGACTTCAAATTACACTACAGAGCTATGGTAACTAAAACAGCATGGTACTGGCATAAAAAGTGACACATAGAGCAAGAGAACAGAATAAAGAACCAAAAGTAAATCCACACATCTACAGTGAACTCATTTTTGAAAAAGTTTCCAGGAACGTACACTAGGGATAGGATATTCTCTTCAATAAATACTGCTGGGAAAACTGAATATCCATATGCAGAAGAATGAAACTTGACCTCTATCTCTCATCATATATAAAAATCAAATCTAAATTGATTAAAGACATAAATCTGAGACCTCAAACTATGAAACTACTACAAGAAAACACTGGGGAGGCCAGCAGCAGTGGTTCACGCCTGTAACCCCAGCAATTTGGGAGGCCAAGGTGGGCAGATCACCTAAGGTCAGTAAGGAGTTCGAGACCCACCTGGCCAACATGGTGAAACCTCATCTCTACTAAAAATACAAAAATTAGCCAGGCGTGGTGGGGATGCCTGTAATCCCAGCTACTCAGGAGGCTGAAGCAGGGGAATCGCTTGAATCCAGGAGGTGGAGGTTGCAATGAGCCGAGATCGAGCCATTGCACTCCAGCCTGGGTGACAGAGCAAGACTCCATCTCAAAGAAAAAAAAAAAGAAAAGAAAAGAAAAAGAAAATGTTAGAGAAACTCTCTAGGACATTACAGTGGGCAAAGATTTCTTTACCCCACAAGCACAGGCAACCAAAGCAAAAATGAACAAATGGGATCACACCAAGTTAGAATGCTTCTGCACAACAAAGGCAACAATCAGCAAAGTGAAAAGACAACCCACAGAATGGGAAAAAATATTTGCAAACTACTCATCTGACAAGGGATTAATAACCAGAGTATGTAAGGAGCTCATACAACTCTATAAGAAAAAAATTTCATAATTCAATTAAAAAATTGGCACAGGATATGAATAGGCATTTCTCAAAAGAAGACATAAAAATGGCAAACAGGTTTGTGAAAAGGTGATCAATGTCATTGATCATCAGAGAAATGCAAATCAAAACTACAATGAGATAACATTTCACCTCAGTTAAAATTGTATAGATTCAAAAGTCAAGCAATAATGAATGCTGGCAAGGATATGAAAAAAAGAGAACCCCTGTACACTATTGTTGGGAATGTAAATTAATACAACCACTATAACAAACAGTTTGGAGGTTCCTCAGAAAACTGAAAATAAGCTACCTTATAATCCAGCAGTACCACTGCTAGGTATATACCCAAAAGAAAGAAAATCAGTATATCAAAAAGATATCTGCACTCCCACATTTACTGCAGCACTATTCACAACAGCCAAGATTTAGAAGCAACCTAATTGTCCATCAATAAATAAGTGGACAAAGAAAACATGATATATATACACAATGGAATACTATTCAGCCATGAAAAAGAATGAGATCCTGTCATTTGCAACAACATGGATAGAACTGAAGATCATTATGTTAAGTGAAATAAGCACTTAAGTGGAGATGGTTAATGGGTACAAAAATAGAAAGAATTAATAAGAACTAGTATTTGATAGCACAATAGGATGACTGTTGTCAATAAAATTTAATTATACATTTTAAAATAACTAAAAAAGTCTAATTGGATTGTTGTTAACACAAAGGATAAATGCTTAAGGTGATGGATAACTCGTTTACTCTGATGTGATTATAACACATTGCATGCCTGTATCAAAATGTCTCATGTACCTTATAAATATATATACCTACTATGTATCCACGAAAATCAAAAATTATAAAAGATAATAGATGTAAATATACTTTATAAAATATGAGGTACTCTACAACAAAAGGCCTTATTATTGTCAACTGTGTCATGTTGTTAATTAGATTGTCAGTTTCACCACCCAAGCAAAACAGTAAATGCATAATTCATATTTTGACCAAATAAATAAATAAAACAAGCTCATTATGACATCTTTAAAATACATTCTCCGAACTCCAACTGCAATTGCAAGTTCTCTAATTTTAAAATCAGGTGCTCCTTCAAGCTGATTAAAACACAATAAAATATATCTAAGTATTTTAGCCACACCCTTGCATTATGTATGCTTTACATACAATGTCATGTTATGTCATTCCATTGTATCATAATTTGGGGACAAAAGCTGTAAAGTATATCTATATAAAATCAGTTCATCTTCTTCACACAAATGACCATTTTCAGAAGGATTCCATTTTTTTCATAATTAAGAAACAGAAAACTCTAAGATACTTTTGACACATACAAAAGTAATACAAACAATAGAGGGAACACTAAAATTAGGCAGCCTATGGTCTATCAACCAAAAAAGGAGCATGGAGCAACTTAAATAATAATAGTAATAATAATGTCAACTCTTTACTGAGCATATATCATGAGCCAGACATTTGTGTTAAATGGTTTGCTTGTATTACCTCTCTGATTCTTCACAACCATCCTATCAGGAAGGTATTTAATTATCAGCCCAATTTTATAAATAATGAAGTCCCCAAAAAAGGAGTTAAGTAAGTTGCCAGGGTCATGAAGCTGATAAGTAACAAAGGAATTATTAGAATTCAAGTCTGCCAGACTGCAGAGCCCATGGACTCACTTACACTTACTTGGTTGCCACCATTTATTGTAAGAAACACCATCTCCAGGTACCAACCCTAAATACACATGACTTAATCTAGATATGCATAGTTTATTTGTCACCAAATTAATATTATATGTGGAAAAATCTCATTTTCTTTCAAGTTCCGTTGACTCAGTTATTCAGAATACATATAGATAGGTCATTTATAACCACTTAACTCTCTCTAGGTTAAGTGTATAGAACTACTATTCTAGAATCTAGCAGGAAGTTTTTAAAGCTAAAAATGTATAAATTCTTCTAATGGGGAAAAATGGTATTTGAGTATTTTTCATGTGACAGATGCTTCACATACTTTATCTCACTTAATTCTCAAACACAGTAAAGTAGGTATTAATACCTCAATTTGCTTATGATTAAGCTGAAGTCCAAGCCCAGGATCACACTATAAGAGGCAGAACGATCATTTGAACCCACACCCTAAATAGGCTCCAAAACCCACTCCCTAACTAGGCCACCCTGCTTAAACTAAGAGTGAAATGTGGGAAAATAGACAAATACAGCAAGATTATATGTGCTTGACATATGCTAATACCAATGCAATGTACAACACAGACAAGAGAAACACAGATAGTAGAATTTCAAGATCAATGGAAAAGATGGATACCTTTCTTGGTGCTTCTTTCTTAGCCCTTCAAAAAATACCTCACAATACTAAACTAGGGGCAAAGGGGCCTCGTAAAACCAGTGAAAAGGGTTCTTTGTTCTTCAGTTGCTCGTGCAATGGTATGAGTCACTATTTCCTTTTGAAATGCAGGAAATATCCCCATCTTGTGGGATTTTAGGGTATTGCTGTAACAGACCACTTTGACCATATTACATTTTTGCAACCATAGGCTTTATTGCTTAATAGAAAAGTCCATTATATATATGTTCTAGTTGTTTCAAAGCCAGATAACAAACGATTTACATTATACAAATGTGGAGATGTTCCATCACATTTGCATTTCTGAAAAAGAAGAGAATTTCATCCTACCGCACCCCTATATGCAACATATTTCTTAAGGACAAGAACCTATGCATGAACCAGGTAGTGTTGGTTAATACTGAGTGTCAACTTGATTGGATTGAAGGATGCAAAGTACCAATCCTGGGTGTGTCTGTGAGGGTATTGCCAAAGGAGATTAACATTTGAGTCAGTGAGCTGGGAAAGGCAGACCCACCCTTAATCTGGGTGGGCACAATCTAATAAGCTGCCAGCAAATATAAAGCAGGCAGAAAAATGTGAAAAGGCAAGATTGTCCTAGCTTCCCAGTCTACATCTTTCTCCCGTGCTGGATGCTTCCTGCCCTTGAACATCAGACTCCAAGTTCTTCAGATTTGGAACTCGGACTGGTTTCATTGCTCCTCAGCTTGCAGATGGCTTATTGTGGGATTGTAGAACCTTGTGATTATGTGAGTTAACACTACTTAATAAACTCCCCTTTATATATATATATATATATATATATATATATATATATATATATATATGAATTTATAATAGGACAGTAGATAAGACTATAAGGAGACTATAAGGAGATAAGATATAAGGATATATATATATCCATATATATATCCATATCCATATATATATTTATATATTTTTATCCTATTAGTTCTGTCCCTCTAGAGGACCCTGACCAATACAGGTTTTGGTACCAGCAGTGGTTCTAGAGGAACAGAATATTAAGGATGGAGTTCTTTAGATGGTTTTGGGGTTTCTGGAGTTGGCTGCTTAATATGATTACACCCAAAAACACTAAGGACTCTGCTTCTAATGGAGAACACTGATAGCCCTTGGAATGAACTGTTCAGAGAGTTATGCAAAATAAATGCATTTGACACTCCTGATTCACTGCTTGTGAGAGGAAAGGAGTTTAGTGACTCTATACATAATACCTTTGACCATATGTGGAGAACCAAGGAACATAATGAAGCTGGTTTGTTATTCCTAAGTTCACTGGATAAAGTGATTAAAGAAAATTATGAACTCAGAGATTCAGGGATTCTAACCCCCAACTTCAGAAGCAGATACTGAGCCTCAAATCTTCTAAGATTGTCCTGAGTCAGAGTCTTATCTCCTGTAGAGAAAGAGCTGAAATTGTGGAAAATCAGACACAAGCTCTTATCATGTGAGTGGCTGACCTGCAATGAAAGGTGCATGCACGGCCTCACCAGGTGTCTACTGTTAAAGTAAGGGTATTGATTGGAAAAGAATGGGACCCTGCTACTTAGAATGGGGATATGTGGGAGGACCCTGATGAAGCTGGGGACACTGAGCTTGTAAACTCTGATGAACCTTTCTTGCTAGAAGAAACAGCTTCCTCATCCCCAGTAGTGGCAAAATCCCCTCCTCAATCCATGCTGCCTTCAGCCTTTCCACCTTTGTTTGAGGAGATAAACTCTCTTCTGCCTGAGGCAATAGTGATGGCCTCCCCTGAGGCAGTTGCCAGTCAAGATAATGTTGATTCTCCTCAGAAGCCACCCCCAATACTCCTATTTGCTTCTAGACCTATAACTAGACTAAAGTCCTGGCAGGCCCCTAGAGGTGAGGTTGAGAGTGTGACCCATGAGGAGGTGCGCTACACTCAAAAAGAACTGCTTGGTTTTTCTAATTTATATAAATAGAAATCTGGAGAGCAGGCATGGGAATGGATATTAAAGGTGTGGGATAGTGGTAAAAGGAACATAGAGTAGGATCAGGCTGAATGTATTGATTTGGGCCCACTAAGTAGGGATTCTGCATTTAATGTTGCAGCTCAGGGAGTTAAAAAAAAAGTTCTAATAGCTTATTTGCTTGGTTAGCTGAAATATGGATTAAAAGATGGCCCACTAGCCAGGCGCGGTGGCTCAGGCCTGTAATCCCAGCACTTTGGGAGGCCAAGGTGGGCTGATCACGAGGTCAGGAGATCGAGACCATCCTGGCTAACGTGGTGAAACCGTGTCTCTACTAAAAATACAAAAAGTTAGCCAGGCGTGGTGGTGGGCGCCTGTAGTCCCAGCTACTCTGGAGGCTGAGGCAGGAGAATGGCATGAACCTGGGAGGCAGAGCTTGCAGTGAGCCGAGATGGTGCCCCGGCACTCTAGCCTGGGCAACAGAGTGAGACTCTTTCTCAAAAAAAAAAAAATGGCCCACTGTGAGCAAGCTGGAAATGCCTGATCTCCCATGGGTTAATGTAGAAGAAGGGATTCAAAGGCTTAGGGAGATTGGGATGGTGGAGTGGATTAGTCACTTTAGACCTACTCATCCCAGATGGGAAGGTCCAGAAGATATATCCTTGACCAATGCTTTGTGAAATAGATCTGTGAGGGCAGCACCTACATTTTTTAAAGCTGTGTAATTGCTTTTCTCTGTATGTCAGATCTAACAGTGGGAACCACAGTCACTCAACTACAAAATTTAAATACAATGGGAATAATTGGATCCCGAGGTGGCAGGGGCCAAGTGGCAGTACTCAATCATCAAAGGCAAGGTGAGCATAGCTACCATAATGGACAGCAGAGGCAAAGCAGCAATCAGAATAGTCTGAATCATGTAGAGCTCTGGCATTGGCTAATTAATCATGGTGTTCCTAGAAGTGAAATTGACAGGAAGCCTACTGCATTCCTACTTAATTTATATAAGCAGAAAATCTCCAGGTTGAATGGGCAAAAGACTAATTTGAATTATAAAAAGAGAGAGTCATGGCCCCTTAATCCATTTCCAGACTTGAGCCAGTTTACAGACCCAGAGCCCCTTGAATGAAAGGGAGGCTGGGTCCCCTTAAGGAAGGACCCCACTACACTAATGACAATTTATGCTGTTAATCTTTCTCCCATCCTTCCCCAAGGAGACCTCTGGCCTTTTACCAGGGTAACTGTGCATTGGGGAAAGGGAAATTATCAGACATTTCTGAGACTACTGGACACTGGCTCTGAGCTGACGTTGATTCGATGAGACCCAAAACGTCATTGTGGTCCTCCAGTTAAAGTAGGGGCTTATGGAGGTCAGGTAATTAATGGAGTTTTAGCTCAGGTCTGACTTACAATGGGTCCAGTGGGTCCCCAGACTCATCCTATAGTCATTTCTCCAGTGCCAGAATGCATAATTGGCAGAGACATACTTAGCAGATGATGGCAGAACCCCCACGTTGGCTTCCTGACTGATAGAGTGAGGGCTGTCATGGTGGGAATGGCCAAATGAAAGCCATTAGAGCTTCCTCTACCTAGAAAAAGTAAATCAAAAACAATATTGCATCCCTGGAGAGAAGGCGGAGATTCGTGCCACCATCGAGGACTTGAAAGACACAGGGGTGATGATTCCCACCACATCCCCATTCAACTCTCCTATTTGGCCTGTGCAGAAGATAGATGGATCTTGGAGAATGACAGTGGATTATTGCAAGCTTAACCAAGCAGTGACTTCAATTGCAGCTGCTGTACCAAATGTGGTTTCATTGCTTGAGCAAATTAACATATCTCCTGGTACCTGGTATGCAGCCAACTTGGCAAATGCATTTTTCTCCATTCCTAGAAGCAATTTGCCTTCAGCTAGCAAGGCCAGCAATATACCTTTACTGTCCTACCTCAGAGGTATATCAACTCTCTGGCTTTGTGTCATAATCTTATTCAGAGAGGTCTTGATCGCTTTTCACTTCCACAAGATATCCGCACTGGTCCATTACATTGATGACATTATGCTGATAGGATCCAGTGAGCAACAACTAGCAAACACACTGGACTTATTGGTGAGACATTTGCATGCCAGAGGACGGGAAATACATCTAACTAAAATTCAGGGAACTTCTACCTCAGTAAAATTTCTAGGGGTCCACTGGTGTGGGGCCTGTCGAGATATTCCTTCTAAGGTAAAGGATAAGTTGCTGCATTTGGTCCCCGCTATAACCAAGTAAGAAGTATAACGCCTAGTGAGCCTATTTGGATTTTGGAAGGAACACATTCCTTATTGGGGTGTGTTACTCTGGCCCGTTTATCAAGTGACCCGAAAAGCTGCCAGTTTTAAGTGGGGTCCAAAACAGGAGAAGGCTCTGCAATGGGTCCAGGCTGCTGTGCAAGCTGCTCTGCCACTTGGGCCATGTGACCCAGCAGATCCAATGGTGCTTGAGGTGTCAGTGGCAGATAGGAATGCTGTTTGGAGCCTCTGGCAGACCCCCATAAATAAAACACAACAGATGCCTCTAAGATTTTGGAGCAAGGCCCTGCCATCTTCTGCAGATAACCACTCTCTTTTTGAGAGACAGCTCTTGGCCTGTTATTGGGCTTTGATGAAAACTGAACGTTTGACTATGGGTCATCAAGTCGCCATGTGAGCTGAACTGCCTATCATCAACTGGGTGCTATCTGACCCATCTAGCCATAAAGTGGGTTGTGCACAGCAGCATTCCATCATCAGATGGAAATGGTACATGTGTGACTAGGCTCGAGCAGGTCCTGAAGGCACAAGTAAGTCACATGAGGAAGTGGCTCAAATGCCCATGGTCTCCACTCCTGCCACCTGCCTTCTCTCCCCTAACCTGCATTGATGGCCTCATGGGGAGTTCCCTATGATCAGTTGACAGAGGAAGAGAAGACTAGGGCCTGGTTCACAGATTGTTCTGCACGATATGCAGTCACCACCCAATACAGCACTACAACCCCTTTCTAGGACATCCTTGAAAAACAGCGTGAAAGGAAAGCTTCCCAGTGGGCAGAACTTTGAGCAGTGCATCTGCTTGTGCACTTTGCATGGAAGGAGAAATGGCCAGATGTGCAATTATATACTGATTGATGGGCTGTAGCCAATGGTTTGGCTGAATGGTCAGGGACTTGGAAGCAGCATGATTGGAAAATTGGTGACAAATAAATTTGGGGAAGAGGTAGGTGGATGGACCTCTCTGAGTGTTCAAAAACTGTGAAGATATTTGAATCCCACGTGACTGCTCACCAACCGGTGACTACAGCAGAAGAGGATTTTAATAATCAAGTGGCTAGGATGACCCATTCTGTGGACACAACTCAGCCACTTTCCCCAGCCACCCCGTCATCACCCAATGGGCCCATGAAATAAGTGGCCACAGTGGCAGGGATGGAAGTTAGACACGGGCTCAGCAACATGGACTTCCACTTACCAAGGCTGACCAGGCTACGGCCACTGCTGAATGCCCAATTTGCCAGCAGCAGAGACCAACACTAAGCCTTCGATATGGCACCATTCCTAGGGAGATCAGCCAGCTACCTGGTGGCAGGTTGATTATACTGGGCCTCTTTCATCATGGAAAGGGCTGAGGTTTGTCCTCAGTGGAATAGACACTCCAGATATGGGTTTGCCTATCCTACACACAATGCTTCTGCCAAGACTACCATCTATAAACTCATGCAATGCCTTACCCACCATCATGGTATTCCACACAGCATTGCCTCTGACCAAGGCACTCACTTTACAGCTAAAGAAGTGGGGCAGTGGGCTCACGCTCATGGGATTCATTGGTCTTACCATGTTCCCCATCATCCTGAAGCAGGTGGATTGACAGAACTGTCGAATGGCCTTTTGAAGTCACAATTACAATGCCAAATAGGTGACAATACTTTGCAAGGCTGGGACAAAGTTCTCCAGAAGGCCATGTATCTTCCGAATCAGCATCCAATATATGGTACTATTTCTCCCATAGCCAGATTCACAGGTCCAGGAATCAAGGGGTGGAAGTGGAAGTGGCACCACTCACCATCACCCCTAGTGATCCACTAGCAAAATTTTTGCTTCCTGTTCCTGTGACATTACGTTCTGCTGACCTAAAGATCTTAGTGTCACCAGGAGACACAACAACGATTCCATTTCCATTGAACTGGAAGTTAAGATTGCCACCTGGACACTTTGTACTCTACCTTTAAGTCAACAGGCTTAGAAGGGAGTTACAGTGTTGGCTGAGATGATTGACCCCAACTATCAAGATGAAATCAGTCTACTTGATAGTTGGGGTCCACCATGGAGGTAAGGAAGAGTATGCATGGAATATAGGAGATCCATCAGGGCATCTCTTAGCATTACTATGCCCTGTGATTAAGGTCAACGGGAAACTACAACAGCCCAATCCAGGCAGTACAACAAATGACCCAGACCCTTCAGGAATGAAGATTTGGGTCACTCCACCAGGAACAAAACCACAACCTGCTGAGGTGCTTGCTGAAGGCAAAGGGAATACAGAATGGGTAGTAGAAGAAGTTAGTCATCAACACCAGCTACAACCATGTGACCAGCTGCAGAAACGAGGACTGTAATTGTCATGAGTATTTCCATGTTTGTGCATGTATACACTTGTACTAAGAAAATATCTTCATTTTATTTCCTTTTTGCTTTATCATGTGACATAAGATTTATTGACTTCATATCAGCATTTAAGTATTGTTAACTTTATGAATAGCATTTGGGTTGGGAATTAGTGTGTTTCCAGTTGTACAAAGGATAGTTGTATTATGTTAGGTGTAATTATGACCTTATTATTGTCTTTATTTGAATGTTATGTATGATCTCAGGAGATGTGCATGGGTTCAAGATGACAAAAGGTGGACTTGTGATGGTTAATACCGAGGGTCAACTTGACTGGATTGAAGGATGCAAAGTATTGATCCTGGGTGTGTCTGTGAGGGTATTGCCAAAGGAGATTAACATTTGAGTCAGTGAGCTGGGGAAGGCAGATCCACCCTTAATTGGGTGGGCACCATCTAATCAGCTGCCAGCAAATATAAAGCAGGCAGCAAAATGTGAAAAGGCAAGACTGGCCTAGCCTCCCTGCCTACATCTTTCTCCTGTGCTGGATGCTTCCTGCCCTCGAACATCAGACTCCAAGTTCTTCAGCTTTGGGACTGGTTTCATTGCTCATCCGCTTGCAGATGGCCTATTGTGGGATTGTGGGACCTTGTGATCATGTGAGTTAATACTATTTAATAAATTCCCCTTCATATATATATGTATATACATATACACATACATATGTATATGTATATACACACGTATATATGTACGTGTATACACACATGTGCATATATATGTGTATATACATACATACACACACACGTGTGTGAATATATACATATGTGTGTGTATATATATACATATGCGTGTGTGTGTATGTGTATATATATATATATTATATATATATATATATAGAGAGAGAGAGAGAGAGAGAGAGAGAGAGAGAGAGAGAGAGAGAGTCTGTCCCTTTAGAGAACCCTGACCAATGCAGAGGTCTTATCCATCTGCAGCACCTAGCACAGCACCTGACACATAGTAGATGCTACATTTAATGAACCAGTTAAAAAGCTTTAATAATATAAATTTGCATTGAATCATATATCCAAGTAATAAGTGGTTGAGCATGGCAGAACAGTATTTTATCAACTCCAAAATTTAAAGAATCTTTAAAACATTTTGTATCCAGCTAACTTGAATTTTAAATTTTAAAAAACACTAAAGTAATCATTTGTAGTAGATAAGTAATTATTCCTTTTGTGTAAAAGAAGGAATAGATAGAGAAAATACTCAACACTTTCTGTTGAAATTATTCTCATGAAATGAATCCAAGTGAGGATATTCCTTCCTGCTGCTTCCTTAACAGAAATTTCAATAAAAAGCTCTTACTAACATTCAGGAACCCCTATAATTTCAGCATCTAGTTATGTTGGTGGTGGCCTAGGTAGCCTGGACAATATTTCAGCTTCTCACTAACTGTCCATCACGCCACCATCAGATGACAGGTGCATGTCTTCTCAAAGTACTGCCACCCCTTTATACCAGCTCTTTGCCATTTTTGTTAAGCATGCAAACAATTGTTAAATTACTACATTATATTGGCATCATATTCTCAGCAAGTTATTTGGGGGCCCAAGTGGTATTTTGTGCTACCGTATATATTTCAGCAACATGTGATTTTCCTGTTTTAGTGACTGCATAATATTTTAAAAAGGTATCACTGAAGAGATCACTATGATATTATGATAGAAAAGTTTTCTTGGCCAAAGGAGAAAAATCACTGCAAATTGAATTCAATGTGTTTTGAGAACAAAACAAAAAGTAATTATGACAATAAGGGCATTTTATATTGAAGTTATACTGGAAGTACAGTTTCACAAACTAAAAATCCTATGTCGGGCTGGGCATGGTGGCTCATGCCTGTAATCCCAGCACTTTGGGAGGCTGAGGCAGGCAGATCACCTGAGGTCAGGAGTTCGAGACCAGCCTGGCCAACAAGGCGAAACCCCGTCTCTACTAAAAATACAAAAAAAAAAAAAAAATCAGCTGGGTGTGGTCATGGGCACGTAGTCCCAGCTACTCAGGAAGCTGAGGCAGAAGAATCACTTGAGCTGGGGAGGAGGAGGTTGCAGTGAGCCGAGATAGTGCCACTGCACTCCAGCCTGGGCGGCAGAGTGAAACTCCGTCTCAAAAATTAAAAATTAAAATAAAATAAAAATTTAAAATCCTATGTCAAATGTTAACCCTACAGCCTGGGCAATATGGGAAAATGCTGTCTCTAATAAAAATACAAAAAACTAGTGGGTGTGGTGGCACTCTCCTGAGGTCCCAGCTATTCGGGAGGCTGAGGTAGACACCTGGGGAAGTACAGACTGCAGTGAGCTGTGATTACACTGCTAAACCCCAGCATGGGTGACAGAGTGTGAGCCTATCTAAAAAAAAAAAAAAAAAAAAAAAAAAAAGTTAACCCTAAATATGCATGTCCTTCAAATTAATTGTTAAGTGATCTATTAAGTAATGTCAAGCTATTAGTTTTATGCTGTTAATGTCCAGGCATGAGGCATCTTGAAAGTTAAATGATGCTTTAGATCATAATTCCATTAATATGTAATAGCATTAAAATCATGGACACAAAAATGCAAGAACAGAAGTTATCATGGCCTATGCCCTACTTAACAGAACTACTAATAAATAATATTTATTTCTCTTATTCTATTATGTACACTATACAGCGTAGTACATATATGAATATAAAATATACATATTGATTTAACAATAAGTGCACAACTTGAAAATATGCTGGAAATTGATTTAGGTTGTTCTTTTTTAAAACTTTAGTATAAAATGCTTTTAAAAGACTGAAGAACTTATTGCAACACAAGAACGCTTATTGAAACATGCATTTTTAACACCAGGGCAGAGCAGACAGCCTCGATTAGGAAAGCTAGAGGATATTTCATTTGATTGCTCCAAAAGATGAAAAGGCAAGAAAGAAAAAGGATGAAACAATTTCAGATGCTTTCAATGCATTTATCAAATCAGAATGAACTGCTTTTGACTGTTGATGTAATAAGTCAGAAGGCATTCACTAAACCAAAACGCAAGAACTTCTTTTCCACTGTGACTAATTCAACTTAATGAATTATTTTTAAAAAAACCCTACATATATGAGATACAAGAAGAAAAGGGAAGATGATAGAAAGGCAAGTAACAGCTAGTACATTTTATGAGAAGACAATAGCCACAATTTTGAACCGATTAAAGTTAGAATTTCTCTCTGACCTTGAATTTGACAAAACTCAATATAAAGGCCAAACTTATAAAAGAACTTCAATTATAAGACGTTATCTAAAGAGCACTTAAACTGGTTTTCAAGATGAAATACTAACTGAAGTTTGTATTTATTTCGTAAACAACCATGTTAACCTTGCTATTTGCACTGCCAATGACAACTTCCAAAGACTATAGAATCCCTATGCTATAAATCTTTACTAGATAAGCAGCTCATTCCTTGTTTGTCAAAGTGTGGTAGGAAGTTGCACCAGGAAAATAATACAGAAATGAATCAAATGCAATACTGTATATTACAAAAACAAAATATATTATAGTACATGTCATATACTTGGTAATAATCCTTTATCCCCTAGAAATAAAATTGATATCACAGTAACCAACACTTATACATCTGAGAATGGTCTTAAGAGCTAATAAAAGATAATATAGTATTAATAATCCCTTGCATGTGTTCATTGTTTTTTAGTTCACAAACCTATCTTGCCAGGGTTCTGTCAGTTGAACTTGCCCTGTGAGACAAGTAGAGCATCTGAGATTTAGAGAGGTGACCTGATTTGCCCAAGGTCATATGACTAAGAAGAGGCAAACTTAGAACTCAAGCACAGTGTAGGTTTTCCTGGACAACTGAACTATTTCTCTGAAGATATTGCTTCTCTTCAGGGATAGGAGATATTCAAAAAGAGGATATTGCAATGACAACACTCATAAAATTATAATTGATCTGCTTACAAATAAACAGAAAGCCACAATTCTTTCAGCATTTAATATTTTTTCAAATGATCTTCCACAGATTTAAGGTTTTAATCAAGCAATATTAAATAGAATTTCTAATACAGTAGAAGTCTTTTTATCAAATGCCATCAGGGCCACTATTAGGTTGTTAATGGAAGAGGTCAAAGTATATAACCCTTAAAATATAATAAATACTGTATTTTATTTTGCTTGAAAACATTAACGTACATTTATTCACTAATTTTTTTTCTTTTTAAGACAGAGTCTCACTCTGTCACCCAGGCTGGAGTGCAGTGGGGCGATCTCAGCTCACTGCGGCCTCTGCCTTCCTGCCTCCTGGGTTTAAGTGATTCTTCTGCCTCAGCTTCCTGAGTAGCTGCGATTACTAGCGTGTGCAACCAAACCCGGATAATTTTTGTATTTTTGGCAGAGATGGGGTTTCACTATGTTGGCCAAGCTGGCCTCGAGCTCCTGGCCTCAAGCAATCCACCTGATTGCTCAGCCTCCCAAAGTGCTAAGTTACAGGTGTGAGCCACCACACCCAGCCTATTCACTAATATTTTTAATGTAGAGACAAATACTTGTGTTTGAGAATGCACCCAGTAACTCTTATCTTAAATGTCTGTCTTATAACAACCTACCCATAATTAATCATATACATTTTCCAGTTTCAATTTACTCAATTTGAAACTAGAACTTAATTAACTGAGGAGAAGCTGCCCAATCTCAAAGTATCTCCCCTAAGAAAACATATTAACAAAAAAGATAAAGATAAATTTTACAGTAAAGAAACCCAGCAGATACCAAGTAATAACATCACCAGTAATAAGATATATCAATACCATAAGCCCCTTGATATGATACACTACGAATGGCAGAATATCACTTCTGCAGTATTCTTGCCCAAAGTGCATAGCCTCATTTCAATTATGAGAAAACATTACACAAGCCGAAATTGAGGGACATTCTGTAAGATTACTGATCAATTCTTTTTAAAGTATCAAGATCACGAAAAACAAAAATTGAGCAACAATGACAAAATAAAGAAGATAAAGAAGAAATAGCCACTAAATAATGCATTCGGGGATCCTGGATTGGACCCCGAAACAGAAAAAAGAAATTAGCGGAAAACCTCATGACATTTGAATAAGGTTTGTTATTTAGCAGTATTGCAGCCATGTTAATTTTCTGGTTTTGTTAATTGTACTGTGGTTACATGAGATTAACACATTGGAGGAAGCTGGCTAAGGGACATACAAGAACTCTGTATGCTATTTTTTAATAAATTTTCTTTAAGTATAAAATTAGTTCAAAATAAAAAGGTAAAACAACTAACAAACAAAAACTCTTGCAAAGCAATCAGATTTTAAACCAGTAATATCACCAAAATCCCAATAGGAAAAAAAGCTTATTTCCAGCAGGAATAAGCAAGTCATAAAAGAAGAAAACAAATGGCCAATAGCAAACACATAGAAAGAAGGTTCCAACTCAGTAATTAACCAAAGAAATGCAAATATAAACGATGAGATATTTGCATTTGCATTCCTTCAATGAAGTATTTGCATTTCCTCATTTTGTTTTACGAATACTATTCAGTGAGTGTAGATATAGGGAGAAAGGCATGCAAAACCACTCAGGTGGGAGTGTAAATTGATATAAACTTATTTGGGGGAAATTTTTAAAATTTAAATGTGTATATCCTTGGGAATAGCATTTCCCCTTCTAAGAATTCATTTTGAAAACATAAATCAGTCAAGAATAAAATGGACGTTCATTACAATGGTATTCATAATCATGAAAATTCTTAAACAACCTAAATATTTATCAGTAGGAAAAGGTTAATTATGATATACCCACATAATGAAATATTATACAATAATTTTAAAATAGTGTATAGATTAATATTCATTGACATAAATAGATATATATGATTATTATGTATAATATAGTTACAAAAGAACATTTATAATAAATAACAATTATAGTACAAATTATAGTATAAAATATAGTACCTATAAATACATAGAAAAATGTGGAAAAATATGTGTATGTATGTGTGTATATTTTTTCCTGATTTATTTTTATTTTCTTTTTTCCAATTTGTCTGTTTCTAATTTTCTACAATTAATATGTATTACTTCTGCAACACGACTTTTTAAATTAATGCCCCACCCAAATTTTATTCACTTCTCAGGGACCTCAGATTGTGCGAAGGTCACTATCTCCATTTGACCAAAAATTGAAAAACCATCTATGGCATATTACTGCACTTTCAGGAATTGTCACTAGGTGGTACACTGTTTCTCTAGCAGATGTTCACGACCTTTTAATTTAAGTTAGCCATATGTACGTACTGCTGTGACTCTACAGACAATAACTTAGTTCAATAGTTTTTTTCATGTAAAAATTATTTCACCTTCCCCCACATCACTAACAACATAGCCAATTGCTCCATTGCCTAACTATAGGCACTCAAGAAATGTTTGTTGGGCAAATAAGGCATAACTAAAAATAGAAGCCGGGTGCAGTGGCTCATGCCTGTAATCTCAGCAATTTGAGATACCAAAGCAGGTGGATCGCTTGAACTCAGGAGTTCGAGACCAGCCTGGGCAATATGGCGAAATCCCATCTCTACAAAACAAATTTAAAAATCAGCCGGGCGTGGTGGTACACATCTGTAGTCCCACCTACTCTGGAGGCTGAGGTGGGAAGATCACTTGTGGCCAGGAAGTTGAGGCTGCAGTGAGCTGGGACTGCACCACTGCACTCCAGCCTGGGTGACACAGCAAGACCGTGTCTCAAAAATAAAATAAAAATAGAAATGGCTAAAGCATAAAATCTTGAGCAGCTTCTTCAATTATTTTGTGAACTTTCTAAATGAAGTTAAATAGGTTTTATGGTTGCCTTTTTTATACAATGCTCTGCATTGTGAATCTACAAAAAAAAATGGAATCAACATTTATTGAGCATACTTGAATCCCTTTTCTTACAAAGCATCTTTGAAGGAATGACATTCCAAGGAATATGATTTGGAAAATCTTGTCCTCAATGCTTTTCCATCTTGTTTAATGTAATCACCTTAGTGTCAACCCATCTGAAGTTCCAGTCTTCTTTACTCTTCATTATGGACTTCATCTTTGCTGCATTCATATTCCCCAGGACTATCAAGTCCCATGTTGGCACTAGCTATTATGTTGCTAGCCAGGTGCTGAAGTCTGTCAAATGCAGACTCTCTGCACTTAAAGCACTTCTCTCTGAGTAGAGCCAGTTTCACCACAGGTGTTGATTAAATAGATCCTGTTCCTATTCACACCTGATTCCAGTCTGAACTAAACTCAGTTCAAAGCCAAGAACATGCCTACTCTCCAGCCTCTAGTTCATATGAGACATTAAAATCTCATTTCCCTGCAATGCTTGTGAAATAGAGCTGAGTGACTTACTATGCACTCATTAAGTCAAACTTTGAAAATGTCTCCATTATCTAAAGAAAATAAAAAGTCAACCAGATACGTAGACATAGTCGTATTACACTGAGAAATGGTCTAAAGAAGCAACAATTGTTATCTATTATCCAGGTATCTGTTTGTCTCTTCCACGTGACTGTGAGCCCCTTGGGAATAAGAACCATGTAGAGTTCACCTCAGCTCCCCCAGTAACTAGCATGGTATCTGGAACATTGCAGACTTTAATAAATGTTTAAAGAATAAATAAATTACCAAAGGAGTGAATGAGTACAGTAATATGTTTATTAGTAAATACTAGAAGGAATTAGTTCTAATAAATTACATTTTAAAGAAGTTCTAATAATATCACATTTAAAAATCCTGTATTAATATATGTTCTAATAATATCATAGTTCTTATAATATCTAGTTCTAAAAATAGAATGAGATAGTTCTATTAGTTCTAATAATATCACATTTTAAAACCCTGTATTAATATATGTTAACATCAAAATTGCTTTCTTATTCAATTATTCTTTCAAAAAACAGTAAAGTACACACTGTATTTCAGACACTGTGCTAAGGATATAAAGATGGATTAGAAATAATTTTGTCTTCAAGAAGTATAGTATAGTGAATAACTTACATGTATTTAATGTTTCTTCGTGTATTTTCATACTTGATACTCAGAATAATTCAATGATACTGATGTCTTTCCCATCTACATTTAATTTTTTTTGTTTGTTTTTTGTTTTTTGTTTTGTTTTGTTTTGTTTTGTTTGAGATAAGGTCTCACTCTGTCGCCCAGGCTGGAGTGCAGTGATGTGATCACAGCTTACTGCAGCCTCGAATTCCTAGGCTCAAGCAATCCCCCCATCTCACTCTCTCAAGTAGCTGGGACTACAGGAGTACATCACCACACCCAGCTAATGTTTTTATTTTTTGTAGAGACGAAGCTTCTCCATGTTGCCCAGGCTGGTGTCAAACTCCTGGGCTCAAGTGATTCTCCTGCCTGGGCCTCCCAAAGTGCTGAGATTACAAGTATGGGCTGGGCGCCGTGGCTGATGCCTATAATCCCAGCACTTTGGGAGGCTGAGGTGGGCGGATCACCTGAGGTCAGGAGTTCGAGACCAGCCTGGCCAACATGGTGAAACCCCATCTCTACTAAAAATTCAAAAATTAGCCAGGCGTGGTGGCAGGCTCCTGTAATCCTAGCTACTCAGGAGGCTGAGGCAGGAAAATCGCTTGAACCTGGGAGGCGGAGGTTGCAGTGAACCAACATCGCGCCATTGCACTCCAGCCTAGGGGACAAGAGCAAGACTTCATCTCAGAAAAAAAAACACACAAAAAAAACAAGTATGACTCACCATCCCCGGCCTACTTTAAAACATTTTTTAAGTAATATGTAGATACAAAGGAATTCGTATAAAATTGGTGTAGGTATAAAGTATAACACGCTCCTGTGTAGATGTCCTCAACTTAAGGACAAGGACCTTTAAGTCCTCTGTGTCCCATTTCATTTCCCCTAAGAAATACTTCCCTGAATTTTCTCTTTATCCTTCCCTCATTTTTATTTACATTTAACCATGTTTGTTTTGCTAAGCAATATATTATGTGCTTTTGCATATTTTTGTACTTTTTTCAAATGGAAACATACTGGAAACTTACTCTTTCTGCTCAACATTATAGTTTTGGCTTGTATAGTCTTAATCCACATGGATTTGGTTTTTTATATATAGTGTGAGATAAGGTTGCAATTTTAGTTTTTAAATTCACACAACCACACAACCAATTGTTCCAGTGCCACTTATTAAAAATGTCATCTTTTCCTAAACAATTTGCAGTGTCATCTCAGTCATGAATAAAATTTCCGTTTTTGTATTGGTCTGTTTCTGGGCTCTCTTTTCTCCTTTGTTGGTCAATTTGTACAGTTCTGCACCTTATTCCAGACTGTCTGAAGAAATAGAGCTTTATAATAAATTCTTAATTTTTGATAAGCAAGTTATTCTACTCTGTACTGCTTCTTTAGAAATGTCTTATTTACTCTTAATCATTTGTACTTGATATAAATTTTAAAATCAGTTTGTCATATCTCCTTTATACATATAATTGAATGGAACATCAAAGTGGCTCATAATGAACCATGATGAAGACAAAGTTTGAACCCATGCCTTCTAACTCCCAAATCCAAGACTCCTTTTTTCTTTTATTTTTTTTTTTTTTTTTTTTTTTGAGACAAGTTCTCACTTTGTCACCCAGGCTGGAGTGCAGTGGTACAATCATAGCTCACTGTATCTTCAACATCCTCAGCTCAAGCAATTTTCCCTCAGACTCCCCAGTAGCTGGGATTTCAGATACACACCACTGCGCCCAGCTAATTTTTTGTATTTTTTATAGAGACAGAGTCTCACTTTGTTCCCAGACTGTTCTCAAACTCCTGGCTTCAAGCAATCCTGCCGCTTTGGCCTCCCAAAGTGCTTGGATTACAGGCGTGAGCCACCATGCCCAGCCTCCAAGACTCCTTCTATGTAGCACTCAGCATTTCAGGGTTTTAATACTCTTTAATATCCCCACCAAAAGATAAGCTCATACAGCTACTTCGGAGTATTCTGCAACTAATTTATCAGAAGATCCACCAAAATGTAATGTTCTTTAAGGGATTCCATGGGACTATGCTGAAGTTCTTTAATGGATAATTATTGCAAGGCTGCTAGATGTTTGTTCAACATCCAATTATTCTCCCATTGTTCCTCAGTGATACAACCTTCATTTTATTGGGGCATGAGGGCAAAGTTGCCCAGCTAATAAATACTAAATTTCCCAGCCACCTTTGTAGATAGAGGTATCCATGTCTCACTGTTCTGCCCAAGGAGACATAAGCAGCTGTTTGGAGGCAGGAAAAAGGAAAATTCCTCAAAGAGGGAGGGGCAGACTCAGCTGACAGGCCCTTTGTGCCCTTTGAGTCCTTTGTGCCCTTTGTTCTTTCTCCTTCGTGCATCCTAAACTGCACACATAATGGCAAGTGTTGCAGCAGCCACTTGCATTTGACCACAAGGGGAAGGCCAAGAGAAATTACAAAGATCTGAGGGATATGCTCTCCTTGAGCCTCTGTACCATCCTTGTATACCATTCTTTCAGACTTTTCATTTTATTTAAGAAAAATAAACCTCTATTTGACTCAAGACACCGCCATTTGGGTTTTCTATTACAAACAGCCAAATTTAATATCTACTGATAAAGAATCAAATAGCACCTTTGCTCTAAAATTATATCTGCTTACAGTTATCTCTTCCATGGTATATAGTACAGAACTTTTACAGCTCCAACCCAGCCATTAAGTCAAAGTTCTTTTCCAGGGTACAAAGTGAGCTCCACCTACGGTACTACTCATGTTCATGCTCGAATGGGTTGGGCATCTGTTACAGTGAAAATATATGCCCCTTGGCCAGGTGCGGTGACTCATGCTTGTAATCCCAGCACTTTGGGAGGCCAAGGCGGGTGGATCATTTGAGGTCAGGAGTTCAAGAATATATGACCCATGTAAACTGGCACTCTTACCCACTTCAACTTCCCTCATGCTGGCGTTTGACGTATATGACTCTAATAAGTACATATTAACACTTCAAGTCCTTTTTAAAAGATTAAGGCCAGGTGCAGTGGCTCATTCCTCTAATCCTAGCACTTTAGGAGGCTGAGGAAGGTGGATCACTCGAGACCAGCCAGGCCAACATGGCAAAACTTCGTCTCTACTAAAAATACAAAAAATTAGCCGGGCACGGAGGCGGGCGCCTGTAATCCCAGCTATTCAGGAGGCTGAGGCACAAGAATCACTTGAACCTGGGAGGCAAAGGTTGCAGTGAGCCGAGATCACACCACTGCACTCAGCCTGGGTGACAGAGCAAGACTCTGTCTAAGAAAAAAAAATAGTAATAATAATTAACTCTTAGAAGAAGGCAGGATGGTAGAAGTGTTTAGCCCAACTTCCCTTGCAATGTATGCAAGCATGGATGTTTGACATTCTACAGACACCGAACATCTGGCAAGACATCATGCTAAAGGTTGTAAGGGGTTCAGAGATGAAGACATAGTCCCTAGTTTGAAAGAGTTTATAATCTAGTAAAGAAAACAGGCTAACTTGATGATTCCACCTTCTGAGGCTGAGACTCAAATTCTTGGAATAAGAGATTGAGGGCCAAGGTCAATGGGAACCTGCACATTTCTACCATCTACCATGGGCCCAGAAAAAAAGAATTGTGGCAATATTGTATTTATCTCAGATGCCACAGAGCATCTGTTTTTTAAATTTTATGTATAGGATCTCTGTCCTTTTTTAATTCCTATTTGCCTTATTTTACATAACATGTACTGCCATTAAATCTGGAAGTCCCAACTGCTTTTGAAAAATTAAAAATATATATATAAACTAATTTATAGGTTGAGGTGGGAGGATTGCTTGAACCCAAAATTCTCAAGCAGCAGTGAGCTATGATCACACCACTGCACTCCAGCCTGGGCAACAGAGCAAGACCCTGTCTCAAAATAAATAAAATGTCATAAACTATGAGATATAGTGAGAAGATTATTAAAATAAATCATAAATATTGGTTCTAAGACTCATTGGCTATGTTATCTTTGGCAAGTGGTTTAAACTCTCTAACACCATGTGTTCCCCCACAACCTGAGGCTATACCCATTTACCATGCAGAGTGCTTGTGAGGTTCAAATGATAAAAGTGTATGTGATTTGACAAAAAAAAATTCATTGCATGCCTACCATGAACAAGCACTCTTCTAGTCACAGTGAACAGAAGACACTCTGCACTCATGCACCTATAATATAGTAGGTGATAAAGACACGTAATATCAATAGTGAAAGTGCTAAGAAGAAAAATAAAGTATGTAATTATCATTACTGTTAAAGATAGGGAATTAGAGAGGATGTAAAGAAAAATTAAAAGTCTCCAGGGTTAATTTAACTTTCCGTTTAGCATAATGAGTTTAGGATTCTCTGAGACATTTTACTTTATGAGCAGAAGGTTCCTTTTGTGATAGGCTTGCCGGGAAGGAGTATCATTTGAACAGAGTCCTGAATGAACAGGGAGATGGACAACATAGATATCTGGAGAAAGGCTATTTAAGCAAAGAGAAAAAGAGGCAAAGGCCTAGAGACTGGAGCATGTTTGACCATTCAAGTACCCAGCAGATATTCAGGACATGATAGTTCCTTTGCAGCAGTGATATTTCCAGCTGCCCATTCTGCAACAAAGTTGTACCACCCCTTCATCTCCTTCAGTCTGAACTCTGGACCATACCACAAGCTATCTCTTTCTTTGAAATTCTCACACTACCAGCACTCTCACTCTCTTCTTCTCTTTTAGGTTAAGCTAAATGCTTAAAGTGTCCTCTTTTTGAAAGTTAACATATACTGAGAGCCAGATATGTGTTGAGCATTTTACTAAACAGTTTGAGTATTTTAACTTATTTGATCCTCACAAAAATCCTAGATAGTTATTATTGTGTTCCAAATGTGGAAACAGATTAAAAAGTTGAATATGGTCAAGTTCACCCAGCTAAGTTGAAACTTCAACCGAAGACATCTTGTATTTATGTCCATCAGATTAGCCACTATCCTATGCTACTTTCTTGTCAACTAAAGATACTGCAGACCTATTGATGAACAAGTTTGGAATAATCTCTGTTAAGGAAAAATCAATTGTCCTAAAGGAGTGATTTGCAATTCCAGCCTTCTAGAACTCTGGAGTGCTCATAGTCATTCATTCATTCAACATTTATTAAGCACCAGTTATGTGCAAGGACTGTGCAAGATTCTGGGGATAGAGCATGCAGCTAAAAAAGGCCCCTGTCCCAATGAGTCAAAGGTATATCAAAACTCTGTAAGTGAAATTTGTTTGCTATACTTTAAGAGTGGGGGAAGGTATATAAATAGAATAAAATAATTATAATAAACTGTTACCACCAGGGTATCTCAATTGCAAAGATAAGTTGAAAATCACCTCTCTAAAGAAGAGAGAGAGTCTAAAGGAATCTGCCTGTGTCATCATCAAGTCCCATTTGCTATATCCCAAAGGAGTCTCTTTATACTAGATTTTCAAGTATCCCATCATAAGAGTTAAAAGTCATTAGGTCCAAATGTGTTCTTTATTGTTTGAGGGTTTTCATCTATGTGTATTTTTACTACCTGGGGTTTGAAAAGCTGCAAACTAAATTTCATAAACCATAAAAACTTATAATGCTATTAACTTGGGATGAGCTTAATCTTTCATTTCCTATCTCCTTCAACCTTACTGGAGTTTCACCTTTCATCATTCCTGTATGCATACTGGGTTCTGTGCACCTATGTGGGTGAGGTGCTAATAAGCAACAAGACTGTATTGATCCTGTTCATATGCTCTACAGTATCCTGTTTCTCACCTACAGAGTGCTGGCTGGCAAACCCAAGGAGCACTCAGAATAACACACTCTGTTAGGCAACAATGAGTTTTATGAAGTTGAAATGGTCCCTACTGACTCGGGGGGATAAAATCCCAGCTAACACAATCAGCACTGTGGAATCAAATTTTCAGTGATGATAGAAATATTCTATATCTGTGTTGTCCAATACAGTAGGCACTAGCAACGGCAATAGAGCATTGGAAATGTGGCTAATGTAACCAAGAAAGTAAATTTTTAATTTCATTTAATCTTGATGAATTTAAATTTTAAAACTCACCTTTGGCTGATAGCTACTATATTGATAGTAGCAGCCACATAAGAGAAAGACTTCTCATTATTTTAAAATATTCTTTTTTTTTTTTTGAGACGGAGTCTCCCTCTGTCACCCAGGCTGGAGTGCAGTGGTGTGATCTCGGCTCACTGCAACCTCCACCTCCCAGGTTCAAGCAATTCTTCTGCCTCAGCCTCCCGAGCAGCTGGGATTACAGGCACGCGCCACCACGCCTGGCTAATTTTTGTATTTTTAGTAGAGATGGGGTTTCACCATGTTGGCCAGGCTGGCCTTGAATTCCTGACCTTGTGATTTTCCCGCCTTGGTCTCCCAAAGTGCTGGGATTATAGGCATGAGCCACCACGCCCGGCCATTTTTAAATATTCTTAATGGCATTAAAGCTGCTACAATTCTTTTTTGTTGATTTTTCTTTTTTCTTTTATTTTTAACTGAAAATAATAATTGTATAGATTCATAATATACACTGTTATATTCTGATTTATGGTTATATTGTGGAGTGATTAAATCAAGCTAATTAACAAGTCTCACCTCACATACTTATTTTTTGCAATGAAAATATTTAAAATCTACTTTTACAGAAAATTTCAAATATACCATGCTAAAATTCTTAAACTGACTTTTTCATAAAACAATAATTTTATAATTCTATTTTAGGGCTTCTACTGCTAATAAAAAGTGGCAATGATTGATTTATTGCAAAATGACATTTTCTTATTAAACAACAATTGCATATTTTATGGCTTATCTCACTAATGCCACAGAGCTAAATGCCTTGCTTTAAAGTGTTTATATTTACTAGTGCAAGATTTGAGGACATGTAAATTTTAGTATTCAATATAAGGTTTCACCTGAAAGGCAGAGAAAAGCATTTCAGTCCATTGGCAGATGAAGGAATATACAAATCCATTAGTATATACATAGAATAGAATATTATTCATCCTTTAAAAAGAAGGAAATTCTGATACATGCTGCATCCTGGATGTACTTTGAAGACATTTTTTAAGTGAAATAAGCCAGTCACAAAAGGACAAATGCCATATGATTCCACTTATATGAGGTACCTATAGTAGTCAAATTCATAGAGACATAAAGTAGAATGGTGATTGCCAGGGGCTGAGGAGAGGGGAGATGGGCAGTCACGTTTAATGGGTACAGAGCTTCAGTTAGGGAAGATGAAAAGGTCCTGAAGATGGATGATGTGGATAGTTGCACAACAATGTGAATGTACTTTATACCAAAGAACTGTACACTTAAAAATGGTTAAAATGGTAAATTTCACGTTGTATGTATTTGACCACAATAAAAAAATTCAATAATTCTTTTAAAAAAAAAGCATTTCTTAAGATGAGCTCTTACAGAGTGAATCAGACATTGCAATATAGTCAACCCTCAGTCTGCCCAAAGCTCCTGAAGAAAAAGAATAGATCAGATTCAACAAATTACAGACAATCCAAGATCCCTAATAACAGCCAAACACTTTTAAAGCATCAGGTCTCCTGAGAATTCACTCACTATCATGAGAAAAACATGGGAGAAACCACCCCCATGATCCAGTCATCTTCCACCAGTTCCCTCCCTCAACATGTGGGGATTACAATTCAAGATGAGATTTGGGTGGGGACACAGAGCCAAACCATATTATTCCACACTTACCCTCTCCCAAATCTCATGTTCTTTTCACTTTTCAAAACCAATCATACCTTCCCAACAGTCCCCTAAAGTCTTAACTCATTCCAGCATTAACTCAAAAGTCCAAGTCCAAAGTTTCATCTAAGACAAGGCAAGTCACTTTCACGGATGAGCTTGTAAAATCAAAAACAACTTAGTTACTTCCAAGATAAAATGGGGATACAGGCATTCGGTCAATGTTCCCATTCCAAATGAGAGAAATTGGCCAAAAGGGCCACAGGCCCCATGCATATCTGAAACCCAGCAGAGCAGTCATTAAATATTAAAGTTCTGAAATGATATCCTTTGACTCCATGTCTCACACCCAGGGCACACTGATGCAAGGAGTGGGCTCCCAGGGCCATAGGCAGCTCAGTCCCTGTGGTTCTGCAGTGTACAGCCCCACAACTGCTTTCACAAGCTGGCATTGAAAGCCTGCAGCTTTTCCAGGTGCATAGTGCAAGCTGTCAGTTGATCTATGATTCTGGGGTCTGAAGGGCAGTGACCCTCTTTTCATAGCTCCACTAGGCAGTGCCCCAGTGGGGACTCTGTGTGGGGACTCCAACCCCACATTTTCCCTCGCATTGCCCTAATAGAGGTTCTCCATGAGGGCTCCACCCCTGCAGCAGACTTCTGCCAGGACATCAAGGCACTTCCATACATCCCCTGAAATATAGCTAGAGGTTCCCAACCCTAAACTCTTATCTTCTGCGCACTCACAGGCCCAACACCACCTGGAAGCCACAAAGGCTTGGGTCTTGCACCCTCTGAAGCAACAGCCTGAGCTGTACCTTGGGCCCTTTTATCCACAGCTGGAGCTGGAACTGCTGGGACACATGACACCATGTCCCAAGGTTGCACAGAGCAGTAGGGTCTTGGTCCTGGTGCAAAAAAACTATTTTTCCTTCCCAGGCCTCCAGGCCTGTGATGAGAGGGTCTGCTGTGAAGATCTCTGAAATACCCTGGAGACATTTTTCCCATTGTCTTGGCTATTAACATTGGCTCCTGGTTACTTATTCAAATTTCTGCAGCTGGCTTGAATTTCTCCCCAGAAAATGGATTTTTCTTTTCTACCACATGGTCAGGCTGAAAATTTTCCAAACTTTTATGTTCTGCTTCCCTTTTTGACATAAGTTCCAATTTCAGACCATCTCTTTGTGAACACATATGACTGAACACTTTCAGAAAAAGCCAGATGACACCTTGAATGCTTTGCTGCTTAGAAACTTATTCTGCCAGATACCCTAAATCATCTCTCTTAAGTTCAAAGTTCCACAGATCTCTAGGGCTAGAGCAAAATGTTGCCAGTCCTTTGCTAAAGAATAGCAAGGGTGACCTTTACTCCAGTTCCCAGTAAGTTCCTCTTTCCCATCTGAGACCACCTCAGCCTAGACTTCATTGTTAATATCACTATGAGCATTTTGGTCAAAACCATTCAACAAGTCTCTAGGAAATTCCAAACTTTCCCACATCTTCCTACCTTCTTCTGAACCCTCCAAACTGTTCCAACCTCTGCCCATTACTAAGTTCAAAGTTGCTTCCATATTTATAGCAGTGCCCCACTCCCAGTACCAATTTTCTGTATTTGTCTGTTTCCACCCTGCTATAAATAACTACCCAACACTGGGTGGTTTATTAAAAAAAAAAAAAAAAAAAAAAGGTTTAACTGACTCAAAGTTCCACATGGCTGGGAGGCCTCAGGAAACTTACAATCATGGCAGAAGGAGGAGAAGTAAGTACCTTCTTGCAAGGCAGCAGGAGAGAGAGAGAGAGTGAGGGAGGGGGGCTGCCAAAAACTTTTAAAGCATCAGATCTCATGAGAACTCACACACTATCATGAGAACAGCATGTGGGGGAAACCACCGCCATAATCCAATCACTTCCAACAGGTCCCCCCCACAACATGTGGAGATTGCATTTCAAGATGACATTTGGGTGGAGACATAGAGCCAAATCATATAAGGTTCTTAACCAGGCTAAGCTGGCTGAAATGATAGAAATAGAATTCAGAACATGGATAGAAATAAAGACCATCGAGCTTCAGGAGAATGGCAGAACCCAATCCAAGGAAACTAAGAATCATAATAAAAGGATACAGGAGCTAAATAGCCAGTATACAAAAGTACCTAACTGATCTAATAGAGCTGGGAAAACACACCACAAGAATTTCACAATGTAATCACAAGTATTATCAGCAGAATAGACCAAGCTGAGGAATCTCAGAACCGGAAGACTGACTCTCTGAAATAAGACAGTCAGACAATAAGAAAAAATAATAAAAAGGAATGAACAAAACCTCCAAGAAATATAGGATTATGTAAAGAGGCCAAATCTATGAATTACTGGCATCCCTGAAAGGGATGAGGAGAAAACAAACAACTTGGAAAGCATATTTTAAGATATTGCTCATGAAAACTTCCCCTACTTTGCTAGAGAGGCCAACGGTCAAATACAGAGAACTCCTGCAAGATTCTACACAAGAAGATCATCCCCAAGACACGTAATCATCCCATTTTCCAAGGCCAAAATGAAAGAAAGAATATTAAAGGCAGGTAGAGAGAAAGGGCAAGTCATCTACAAAGGGAACCCCACCAGGCTAACAGCAGCCCTTTTAGCAGAAACTCTATAAGCCAGAAGAGATTGGGGGCCTATATTCAACATTCTTGAAGGAAAAAAAAATCTTCCACCAAGAATTTTGTATCCAGCCAAACTAACTTTCCTAAGCAAAGAAGTGAGATCCTTTTCAGGTAACCAAATGTTGATGAAATTCATTGCCACCAGACCCTCCTTACCAGAAATCTTGAAAGGAGCACTAAATATGGAAAGGAAAGACCATTACCAGCCAATACAAAAACACACTTAAGTAAATGGACCAGTACTGTAAAGCAACCACAAAAACAAGTCAGCATAATAACCAACTAACAACACAATGACAGGATCAAAGTCATACATATCAATATTAACCTTGAATGTAAATGGGCCAAGTACTGCCGTTTAAAAGGCAGAGTGGAAAGCTGGATTTAAAAAAAAAAAAAAAAAAAAAAAAGCAAGACCCAATGGTAGGCTGTTTTCAAGAGACTCACCTCACATGCAATGACACTGGAAATAAAGGGATAGAGGAAAATCTACTAAGCAAATGGAAATCAGAAAAAAGCAGGAATTGCATTCCTAATCTCAGACAAAAACCAGCATAGATCAAAAAAGACAAAGAAGGGTATTACATAATGGTAAAGGGTTCAATTCAACAAGAAGACCTACCTATCCTAAATATATATGCACCCAACACGGAAGCATCCATATTCACAACCTGAACTCAGCACTGGGCCAAATGGATCTGATAGATATCTACAGAACTCTCCACCCCAAAACAACAGAGTATACATTTTTATCATTGCCACATAGCACTTACTCTAAAACTGACCACACAATAAAACATAAAACAATCATCAGGTAACACAAAAGAACTGAAACCATACCAAACACACTCTCGGACCACAGGACAATAAAGATAGAAGTCCAGACTAACAAAGAACATTCTAAACCATGCAATTAAGGAAAATTAAACAACCTGCTCCTGAATAATTTTTGCATAAATAATGAAATTAAGATAGAAATCAAGAAGATCTTTGAAAATAATGAGAACAAAGATACAACATACCAGAATCTCTGGGACACAGCTAAGGCAGTTAGTGTTAAGAGGTAAATTTATAGCACCAAACGCCCACATCAGAAAGTTACAAAGATCTCAAATTAACAACCTAATATCACAACTGAAAGAACTAGAGAAGCAAGAGCAAACCAACCCCAATGCTAGCCGAAGACAAGAAATAACCAAAATCAGGCTGACCTGAAGGAAATTGAGACCTGAAAAACCATTCAAATATTAATAAACCCAGGAGTTGGTTTTTTTAAAACAAATAAAATACATAGTCTGCTAGGTAGACTAATAAAGAACAAAAGAGAGAAGATACAAATAAACACAACTAGAAACAACAAAGGGGATATTACCACTGACCCCACAGAAATAAAAATAACCATCAGAAACTACTATGAACACCTCTATGCACACAAACTAGAAAATCTAGAAGACATAGATAAACTCCTGGACACATACCCCTCTCAAGACTGAACCAGGAAGATATTGATCCCCTGAACAGACCAGTAATGAGCTCCAAAACTGAATCAGTAATAAATAGCCTACCAACCTAAGAAAGTCGAGGACCAGATGGATTCACAGCCAAATTCTAACAGATGTAAAAGAAAAGCTGGTACCATTTCTACTGAAATTATTCCAAAAAACTGAGGAGGAGGGGGCCCTCCCCAACTCATTCTATGACACCAGCATCATTCTGATACCAGAACCTGGCAGAGACAAAACGAAAAAAGGGAACTTCAAGCCAATATCCTTGATGAAGATTGACACAAAAATTTTCAACAAAATACTTGCAAACTGAATTCAGCAGCACATCAAAAAGCTAATCTACCATGATCAAGTAGGCTTCATCCCTAATATGCAAGTTTGGTTCAACATAGTCAAATCAGTAAATGTAACACATCACATAAATAGAACTAAAGACAAAAACCACATGATTATCTCAATAAAGGCAGAAAAGGCTTTCAATAAAATTCAGCATTCCTTCATGTTAAAAACTCTCAATAGGCCAGGCAGAGAGGCTCACGCCTGTGATCCCAGCATTTTGGGAGGCCAAAGAGGGGTGATCACTTGAGGTCAGGAGTTTAAGACCAGCCTGGCCAACAGGGTGAACCCCCATCTCTACTAGAATACAAAAATTAGCTGGGTATGGTGGCACAAGCTCATAATCCCAGTTACTCGGGAGGCTGAGGCACAAGAATCACTTGAACCTGGGAGGCAGATGTTGCAGTGAGCCAAGATCACACCACTGCACTCCAGCCAGGATGACAGAGTGAGAAAAAAAAAAACCCACCTCAATAAATAATTTGAAAAGGTACTGAAGGAACATACCTCAAAAGAGTAAAAGCCATATATAGCATACCCACAGCCAACATCATACTAAATGGGGAAATGCTGGAAGCATTCCCCTTAAAAACTGGCACAAGACAAGGATGCCCTCTCTCACCACTCCTATTCAACATAGCATTGGAAGTCCTGGCCACAGTGATCAGGAACCAGAAAGAAATAAAAGGAATCCATATAGGAAGAGAGGAAGTCAAATTATCCCTGTTTACAGATGACATGACTCTATATCTAGAAAACTCCATAGTCTCAGCCCAAAAGTTCCTTCAGCTGATAAACTCCAGCAAAGTATCAGGATACAAAATCCACATATAAAAATCACTAGCATTCCTATACACCAAGAACAGCCAAGCTGAGAGCCAAATCAGGAACACAATCCCATTCACAATTGCCACAAGAGAATAAAATACCTATGAATACAGCTAACCAGAAACCAGGAAGTTGAAAAATTTCTACAATGAGAATTACAAAACACTGCTCAAAGAAGTCAGAGATGACACAAACAAACGGAAAAACATTCCATGTTCATGAATAGAAAGAATTGATATCATTAAAATGGCCATACTACCCAAAGCAATTTACAGATTCAGTGCTATTCCTATCAAACTACCAATGACATTGTTCACAGAACTAAAAAAAAAAAAAAAAAAAAAAAAAAAAAACTATTTTAAAATTTACATGGAATAACAAAAGAGCACAAATAGCCAAGGCAATCCTAAGCAAAAAGAATAAAAGTGAAGACATCACATTACCCAATCTCAAATTATACTACAGGGCTACGGTAACAAAAACAGCATGGTTCTGGTACAAAAACAGGCACATAGACCAACGGAACAGAATAGAGAGCTCAGAAATAATGCTGCAAACCTACAACCATCTGATCTTCTTCAAAGTTGACTAAAACAAGCAATGGGAAAAGTGCTCCCTATTCAATAAATGGTGTTGGGATAACTGGCTACCCATATTTGGAAGATTGAAACTGGATCCCTTGCACCATATACAAAAATCAACTCAAGATGGATTAAAGACTTAAATATAAAACCCAAAACTGTAAAAACCGTGGAAGACAACCTAGGCAATACCATTCTGGACATAGGAATGGCAAGATTTCATGATGAAGACACCAAAGTTAATCACAACAAAAGCAAAAATTGACAAATGGGATCTAACTAAACTTAAGAGCTTCTGTGCAGCAAATGAACTATCAACAGAGTAAATAGACATCTTACAGAATGAGAGAAAATATTTGCAAAAGCCTAATATCGAGCATCTGTAAGGAACTTAAACAAATTACAAGAAAAAAAAATTCCATTAAAAAGTGGGCAAAGGGTGTGAACACTTTCCAAAAGAAGACATAGGCAGGGCACAGTGACTCACGCCTGTAATCCCAGCAATTTGGGAGGCCCAGGTGGGCGGATAATTTGAGGTCAGGAGTTCCAGACCAGCCTGGCCAACATGGTGAAACCACATCTCTACTAAAAATACAAAAATTAGCCGGGCGTGGTGGCACATGCCTGTAGTCCCAGCTACTTGGGAGGTGAAGGCAGGAGAATCGCCTAAGTCTGGGAGGTGGAGATTGCAGTGAGCCGAGGTCATGCCACTGCACTGCAGCCTAAGTGACAGAGTAAAACTCTATCTTAAAAAACGAAAAAAGACATATATGTGGCCAACAAACATGAAAAGAAGCTCAATATCACTGATCATTAGAGAAATGTAAATCAAAACCACCAGTTTTGATTGGTGAGATACCATCTCATACCAGTCAGAATGGCTATTAAAAAGTAAAAAATAACAGATGCTAGGGAGGTTGCAGAGAAAAGGGAACACTTACACACTGTTGGTGGGAGTGTAAATCAGTTCTACCATTGTGGAAAGCAGTGTGGGAATTCCTCAAAGAGCTAAAAACAGAACTACCCTGAGACCCAGCAATCCCACTATTGGGTATATACCCAAAGAATACAAATCATTCTACCGTAAACACACATGTATGCATATGTTCATTGCAACTTCACAATAGCAAAGACATAGAAATCAACCTAAATGCCCATCAATGACAGATTGAAAAAAGAATATGTGGTACATACATACCATGGAATACTATGCAGCCATAAGAAAGAATGAGATTATGTCTTTTGTGGGGATATAGATGGAGCCAGAGGTCATTATCCTTAGCAAACTAACACAGGAACAGAAAACCAAATAACACACGTTCTCACTTATAAGTGGAAGCTAAATGATAAGAACTCATGAACACAAAGAGGATAACAACAGACACTAGGGCCTACTTGAGGCTCAAGGGTGGGAGGAGGGAGAGGGTCAGAAAAAAATACCTATTGAGCACCAGGCTTAGTACCTCAATAATGAAATAATTTGTAAAACAAACTCCAGTGACATTGAGTTTGCCTATATAACAAACCTACACATGTACCCCAAACCTAAAATAAAAATTTAAACATTTAAAAATAAAAATAAAAGGACTGCATTTCCCAGTCTCCTTTGCAGCTATGTATGCCATGTGACTCAGATCTAGCTAAAGAATACAAGCAGAAGTAAAATATGCCTGCCAGGGGACACTAGGCAATGTCTGGAGTCATTTTTCATTGTCACAACTGGGGACAGGGAGGTGACATTCCTGGCACCTATCGAGTAGAGGCCAGGGATGCTTCTAAACATCCTATAATGCACAGGACATCTCCCCACAACAAAGAATTGTCTGGTCCAAAATAACAATAGTCTGATGGTCAGAAGTCCTGACTTAAAAGGGAAAGACACATCCATCCCCTTCTTTTTCCCTTCTGTCAGGTTGGAATTGGGACATAGGAGTGATCCATATTGGGCCACAGAGAGAGAAGCAACATCCTGGAGATGACAGAGCAAAACAGCAGGCTGGTGCCTCATAACTTCACAGTGCAGAGTCACCCTATCATCTCAGGCTTTAAATGAGAGTGAAATAAACTTCTATCTTGTCTAATCTACTCGTATTTTGAGTCTCTATTTTATGCACCTGAAGCTATATCCTAACCAACAGAGAAGCTAAACTTGACTGAGAGTCCTTTCAGGTGGACTGCCAAAAAAGAACAGATTTGAAAATCACGGGGGACAGAAATCCCTTCTTTACTATTTAGCCTCCATTTCCCCGTGTATCTAGTAGCAGAACTTCCTTTACGGAAATCCTCCCAGCCTTCTTCCCTGCCATGTTGTTTGGATGGGAATGACTCCGATATCCACCCCCACAGTGGACCGTGATTGACTTAAGCAAAACCTCAACTCCTTGGCCATGGTAATTGAGTCTGAGAAAGACTTTCACTGTTCCACTGGATCTTTCAGATGAAGATGTGGGACTTGGAAACGCTGCAGCCATCTTGTCTCATTAGGGAAGCAGCCCAGTGATAAAGTTGGCATCACAAAGGAAGAAAGAGTTGAAAGATGATGAGAAACCCATCATTTGATCCCCCAGATCAAACTGCATCTATGATAAGCCCTACCTCTGGCTCTTTCAAATACATGAGCCAATAAATGTTTTACTTACACAAATTTTTTTTTTTTTTTGAGATGAAGTCTCCTTCTGTCTCCCAGGCTGGAGTGCAGTGGCGCGATCTTGTCTCACTGCAACCTCTGCCTCCCGGGTTCAAGCGATTCTCCCACCTCAGTCTCCCGAGAAGCTGGGATTACAGGTGCGCACCACCACACCTGGCTAATTTTTGTATTTTTAGTAGAAACGGGTTTTCACCATGTTGGTCAGGCTGGTCGCAATCTCCTGACCTCGTAGTTACACAAATTTTTGTTAGGTATTCTGTCACTTGCAACTGAAAGAATCCTAACAGGTACAGAGAGTTTTACGGTTTGAAAAAAAAAATCTGACAGGAGAAGGAACTGACAGGAGAAGTTTCACTTTTAGGACCTTTTTATTTCTCTCAAGGATTAGGACATCATCTGCAAGGTTCCTGTGGCAAGAAAACAATGAGAACAGAAGTTCTGCCATTGTCTGATATACATGTGCTAGGGGAAGTGGATGTGAAGAGATTTGAACCGTTCATATTTCTTAGTATAATATATATCCCTTAGACTTTAGAAGTAGCATTACTGCTCTCACACGATATTCCAGCTTCTCATCACCATACCTAACTTATCCGATATTCAAATAATCAAGCTGGAGGGGGATTCTACTTTTCCTTCATGTTGTTTTTCTCAGCAATTAGTTTAGTGAAGGCCAGAGATGTCTAGCAATTATTATGATTATATTCAATTGCTCAGTTTTCTTAGGAATCCATCATAAACTATCAGTTCTAGATACACAGAAATTTGTATTAATGTTTCTTAAACTTCCACTTCACTTGCCTGTTTCTTATTCCTGGGTTTCATGTTCCTATCTTTCCTAAGCATTGCCCCAGACTCTAGTTTGTGCTGAACTAGATATCAGCTTCAAAGGAATTCTCAGAGACAACACATGCTTTCGAGACTCAAAGCAATATTACTCTGATAGAATGTCAGAAAGGAGCTATGGCAGATGATGTTGGCAATGTTTTCAGGCTAGAGGTCTTCTTTATCATTCAAATCAGATGCCAAATACATTTGTCTCAATGATAATTATGAGTTTTCGCTATTTTTGTCCTGTATTTTATAAGTAATATTCAGCCTCTGTGGTTGTTCTTGATCTTATATTTTATTGATCTTGTGTTATAGTATATATTTTTTTGAGACAGAGTCTCGCTCTGTCGCCCAGGCTGGAGTGCAGTGGTGCAATCTCGGCTCACTGCAACCTCTGCCTCTCGGGTTCAAGCAATTCTCCTGCCTCAGCCTCCTGAGGAGCTGGGACTACAGGTGCCCACCATCACGCCCAGCTAATTTTTGTATTTTTAGTACAGACGGGGTTTCACCATATTGGCCAGGCTGGTCTCGAACTCCTGAGCTTGTGATCTGCACACCTCAGCCTCCCAAAGTGCTGGGATTACAGCTGTGAGCCACCATGCCTGGCCGATACTCCAGATTTTAATGTGTGAAGACCATGTTACCCCAGATCTAACCTACATGCAGTTTCATAGCTGTGTGACCTAGGAAAAGATATCTAACCTCTCTGTGCCCTAATTTCCTCCTCTTTAAAATGAAAAGAAATGCGAATTATGGTATTGCATATTCTGATAATTGCCATATTTCAGTTCAAAGTGTAATGCCTCAAACATCAACAACTCTGAAGTATTAGCAATCCACTACACAAATGATTGCTTGCAAAAAAAAAAAAAAGAAGAAGAAAAAGGAAGGAAGGAAAGAAGGAAGGAAGGAAGGATTGATTCAATGCTATTCAATGCTAAGACTTGAGGCCAGAGCTGCAAATGGATAAACCTTACACATTTCACACATCAGATATTCTATGAAACTAGCTACTACATTGTCCATAAGCAATTTGAGTGAAGATTTCTGACCTAGCAGAGCATCTACCTTGAGATATTTGTTGAACTACACTAACTCTTGCCTCAGGGCCTTTGGACGCAATGTTCCATTTACTTTGAATATTCTAGCACCTCTTGTTGCCTTCCTATTACCCATATATCCCATAAGACCTGAAATATTTCCTACAATTTCCCATGGCAATGAAAGGATCAGCTGTCAGTCTAGATACCACTTTTTGTGGAAAGTCTTCTCTAACCACCACGCCACCCAATCCAACCATTCCACAGTTCCCTATTCTTCCCAGTTACAGCCATTACCAATCTGGATTTAAATTTTCTATTTACTATTTACTTACACAAGAGTATAAGTTCCGTAAGGACATATCTGCTGTGTGCAGATATGAAGTGCTCAATAAACACTTGTTGAAAGAAGGGAGGGAGAGAAACATAGATGGATAGTTGGATAGTAGGAAGGATTAATAGACAGGTATGGTTAGTCTCTTCATGTTGTCCTTTACAAATCTGAAAGCTGACAGACCCACCCATGATTGCAAGGCATTTTTAGTTTTTCAAAGTATTTCACATCCATTATTTTATAATACCTTTCTGAGTAAATAAAGAAACAAGAGAAGATCTCACTTTTAAAATATGAGTATAAAGACTGTTAAAAGATTAGAAAATGCAGAGAGTTTAAAGTGACATAAGAAAACCTAACTGGAGGGGAAATCTGTTACTGAAAACTAACTCTGTACTCTTTCTGTTCATCTACACTACTCTCAAGCTGATATTGGCAATGTTTTCAGGCAAAGTCTTCTTAATCACTCAAATCAGATGATGAATAAGTTCATCTCAATGATAAATGTTTTAGCTGCCTTGTTGTCCTGTATTTTATAGGTACTACTCCACCTCTGTGGTTGAAGATCAAGGGCTCAAGTACTGAGAAAGGCCACCAAGAAACCCAAGCAGTGTGACTCTTAATACAAAACAAGAAATTAATCTACTGCTAGCTTAAAATCTTCAAACGTTTGCATTAGTAAGAATAAAGATACACTCAACTATGTTAAAAAAAAGTTAATTGAATATGACCCACCTGCAAACTAATATGATTGTATGTACTGTGCACAATGGCCATGTGTTTTGCATATTGTTGTTTTCAAGGGAACTATGATTGCAATTTTGATTAATTGGACTAGTTCTTGAATTTAGGATCAAACTGAAAGCTGTATAATTTCTTAGGCCCGTTTAATGTCCTTTACATACTTTATTGGAGGTCTTGAAAATCATTTTTAAAAACTGAAATTCGTTTTTGTCCTAATCCCCTAGAGATTGATGCAGTGAAATTTATCATGCCATGATGATTAAAAATGCTGAAATGACTCATGATATAATTAGAGATTTTTTTAATCCAAGTCAAGCCTATGAACTACATCTAAAACTGGTTCACTTTAAAGTATCCCAAACAAATTTAGCGGCTTATACAAAGACATAGTAGGAGAGAACAAGGAATACTATGAGACCTGCAGGAAAACCAATATGGCTAAAACACATGTAACAAAATGAAGAAACTTTTACTCTTTTGGCAACTAGTACAAGAATTCCTCTAAGAATATAACACCATATTTTAAGGAAATATTTTAATAAGCTACATGGGATGAGAGACAAGATCTTAAGGGACATAGTCAAGCTAAAAATGATGGTAACTAAACAAGAATGGAATATGCAAATAGAAGAACACTTTGTTTTGGTGAGCCCTTTGATGGAGTTAGATAAAGCCAAATTGCTCAGTACAATAAAGAAATGAATGTAAAGAACTTGGAGTGAGGGTACGGGCTGGATCCAAAAAGGCTATATGCCTTGGGAGGAAGATAAAGACCAAAACAGTCCTTGGAGTGCCACAGCTAAGAAAAAATTTTGGGGAAAAAAATCTCAAATGGTTATTACTATACCAAGTATAATAAAATATCTCCCTCATCTCCCCATAAATTCCTTGTTTCTCACTAAGACTTTTATAAATGTGGGTTTGGGAAAGATAATATGATGATATGCAAGAGTTCTATGTCTACGAGGGTGTAATATTTTTAAAAATAATGGATAGGGAACAGCTGGCATCTGAGCTTACATACCGTGTATGAGGAAAGTGAGAAGGGATGAGTCTGGAGGAATGAGCAGGACAATTTTATGAGGGGCTATGAGAGCAATCTTAAAAATTGCGCACCTTGTCCTAGGGCAAATAGGAAACAGTTAAAAAGATTTAAGGAGGGGAAAAACATCATCAGGTTTATAATTTTAAAGTAATATTCTGGCCAGGCGCAGTGGCTCATGCCTTTGGGGAGCCAAGGCGGGTGGATCATCTGAGGTCAGGAGTTCAAGACCAGCCTGGCCAACATGGTGAAACCCTTTCTCTACTAATAATAAAAAGATTATCTGGGCTTGGTGGTGCATGCCTACAATCCCAGCCACTCGGGAGGCTGAGGCAGGAGAATCTATTGAACCTGGGAGGCAGAAGTTGCAGTGAGCCAAGATTGCAGCCATTGCACTCCAGCCTGGGTGACAAGAGCAAAACTCCATCTCAAAAACAAATAAATAAAATAAAAATTAAAAAAATAAAAGAATATTCTGGCAGCAATCCAGAGAATGGGTTGGAGGAAGCAATGTTAGAGGCAAAAGGAAAGTTTGCAGCAATCCAGGTAAGAAATGTTAATAGCCGGAACTGGTAAAACAGCAATAGAGATGGAGAGAAATAGACAAACTAGACATATTTAAAAGTTATAACAAATGAGCCTTAGTAATTGATTGGATGTGGAAAACAGACTGACCAATCTTCCTCTTATTTTCAGAACTGAGGGGATTCTACAATGTGGCAGTTCCAGTTTAAAAGTGGAGACAGCTCTGAACAAACCATGACAGTTTGCATGGAACGGAGGGGTTCCACATGCTAAAACCAGAAAAGTCCTGAGAAAACTGGGACCCAGTTTCTGGCTTAGGAATGAAGTAATCAGTCTATGAGACAGGGAAGGCAGCAACAGGAACAGATTCAGGTGGGAAGAGGATGCTGAGTTTCGTTGTTGAACGTGTTCAGTTTCAGGAGCCAATAGGACTCCAAGAATAAATATCCAAAAGAATTATCAAATTCTTTTCAGAATTTGATAATCAAGAGGGAAAGTTAGATCTAAAATATAGTTTTGAAAGTTATCAGCACTTGAGGCTATGTATGCGAATGAACAAGATTGTCCAGGGATAATTTATACAGATATTAGGGAGGGAAAGAGAGGGACAGCAAGGAAAGGGGAGGGGAGGGGAGGGGAGAGAAGGGGACTGAGAACAGAATTCTGGTAAATATCAATACTTACAAGATATGCAAAGGTGACTGAAATGGAGCAGCTAAAATGGCAAGATAAAAACCAAGAGTACATTGTCTGGAAGTCAGGGCAAGACAATATTTGAAGAAGGAGGCGAGGTCAGTGTCAAGTGCTACAGACAAACTAGGTAAGACAGAGGCTGAAAATTATCCTTTGGATTTAAGAGCAAGAAAATCATTATTGATCTTAGTGAAAGCAGTTTCAGAGAAATAGTAGGAGAAGCAAGACTGAGGAATGAATGGCAGATAAGAAAGCAAAGATAGGGAGATAAGGATAAAGATACCTCTTTTTGAAAGTTTCAAAGGAGGTGAGATATAAGGAGAGTAGAAGGAGAGATGTAGCATTGAGGGAAAGTTTTTTATAATAATTATCTTAGCACAGGATCTCTAGGAGCCTGAAGTAGGACTAAACACTGTTCTTTTTCTGTGAGATTCAAGCCCAGGGAAGTGAGGGTGAGGAAAAGGGGAAAATTGGACAAGATGAGATGCAAAGCTGTGTTGAAGCACTGATTGCCACTTCACAATGAGCCATGAAGAAACAGAACAGGTTGCTCATCACGTGTATTTGCAGGCCTTTTTGAGGGACTGTGAGAAGAAATTTCACCTCAGAGTAGTGCGTGGAGAGGAGATGAATTGAGAGTTTACCTTATGCTTTCCTACTCTGGAATCTCACTGGTCAAGGCTCATCTCATAGTTTGTTTTGCTTTTCTAATTCCTTGAGGTGAATCATTAGGTGGTTTGTGTGAAATCATTCTGTTTTAATGTAACCATGTTTTAATTTTTCCTCTTAGTACTGCTTTCCATATGTCCATAGATTTGGTATGCTGTGTTTCTGTTTTCATTTGTTTCCAAAAATGTTTTCACTTCCATCTTAATTTTTTCATTTGCCCATTGGTTGTTCAGGGCATGTTGTTTAATTTCCATGTATTTATAGTTTCCTATGTTCTTGTTGATTTCTAGTTTTATTGTATTATGCTCAGTAAATATACTTGATATGACCTCAATTTTTAAAAATTTGTTGAGACTTGTTTCATGGCCTACCATATGATCTATGTTGAAGAATATTCCATGTGCTGTTGTGAAGAATGTGTATTCTGGTCAGCTGCAGTGGCTCGTGTCTGTGATCCCAACACTTTGGGAAGCTGAAATGAGAGGCTTGCTTGTGCCCAGGAGTTTGAGACCAGCCTGGGTAACATGAGGAGACCCCATCTCTAATCTCTACAGAATTCTTTAATCAGCTAGGCATGGTGGTCTACACCTGTAACCCTACCTACTCAGGAGGCTGAGGCAGGAGGATAGCTTGAGCCCAGGAGGTCAAGGTTGCAGTGAGCTGTTATTGCATCACTACACTCCAGCCTGGGTGAGTGACAGAGTGAAATCCTGTCTAAAAAAAAAAAAAAAGAATGTGCAGCTGTTGGATAAAATGTTGTTCTGTAACTGCTTGTTAGGTCCATTTGATTTACAGTACAGTTTAAATCCAATATTTCTCCATTGATTTTCTGTCTAGATGATCTACCCAACACTGAGAACGGGGTGTTGAAGTTTCCAACTATTATTGTACTACAGTCTATCTCCTCCTTTAACTAAAATAATATTTGGTTTATAGTCTGGGTCCTCTTGTGTTGAGTGCATGTATATTTACAATTGTTATGTCCTCTTGCAAATTTGATCTTTTTATCATTATTTAATGATCTTCATCTCTTTTTACAGTTTCAACTTAAAGTCTATCTTATCTAAGTACAGCTGCTCCTGCTTAGTTTGGTTTCCATTTGTGTAAAATATCTTTTGCCATCCCTTCAGTCTTTTTCTTTTCTTTCTTTCTTTCTTTTTCTTTCTCTCTTTGTTCCTTCCTTTTTTTCTTTCTTTCCCTTTCTTCTTTTCTTTCTTTCCCTTCTTTCTTCCTTTCTTTCTCTTATTATTTTTTCTTTCTTTCTTTTTTGAGATAGGGTCTTGCTCTGTGGCCCAGGCTGGAGGGCAGTGGTGCAATCACAGCTCACTGCAGCCTCTACCTCCCCAAGCTCAGGCAATCCTTTCACCTCAGCCTCCCAAGCAGCTGGGACTACAGGTGTGCACCACCACACCCAGCTAATTTTTTTATTTTTTTGTAGAGATAGGGTTTTGTAGTGTTGCCCAGGCTGGTCTCAAACTCCTGGGCCCAAACGATTTGCCCACCTCATCCCTTTGCTTTATATGTGTGTCTTTACAGGTGAAGTGAATTTCTTGTAGGCAGTAAATAGTTAAGTCATTTTTTAAATCTGTTCAGCCATGCTATATCTTTTAATTGGGGGATTTAATCTATTTTCACTCAAGGTTATTATTGATAAGTAAGGACTTACTCCTGTCATTTGGTTATTTGGGGGTTGTTTTGTAGATCTTTCATTCCTTTCTTCCTCTCTTATTGTTTATCTTTGTGGCTTGGTGGTTTTCTATAGTGATAAGGTTTGATACCTTTCTTTTTCTCATTTGTGTACCTGCTCTACTAGTGAGTTTACATTTTTGTGTGTTTTAATGATGGTAGTTATTATCCTTTTCCTTCTAAATGTAGGACTCCCTTAAGTATTTATTGTAAGGCTGTTGTAGTTTTTGCTTGTCTAAGAACATTATTTCTCCTTCATTTTTGAAGAATAGCTTTGCTGGCATTCTTTTTTCTTTCAGCACTTTGAATATGTTATCCCATTCGCACGTAGCCTATTAGTTTTATTCTAAGAAAACTGCTGTTAGTCTAACGGAAATTTCCTTATATATGACTTGACACTTTTGTCTTCACTTTGTGTTTGACTTTTGACAGTTTGAGTATTCTGTGCCTTGGCAAGGACCTTTATGGGGTTGAATCTATTTGGTACATTTTGAGCTTTGCAGATCTGGATGTCTATATATCTGACAATACTCGGGAAGTTTTTAGCTATTATTTCATTAAATATGTTTTTCTATGCTTCTTACCATTTCCTCCCTTCTGGAACTGCCATGATGTGAACATCTGTTTGCTTATTGGTGTCCAGTAAGTACCAAGGCTTTCTTCTTCATTGTTTTTACTTCTTTTTTTTCTTTTTGTCTGACTGGTTTATTTCAAAAGAGCTTTCCTCAAATTCAGAGAATTTTTCTTCTGTTTGATCTAGTCTATGATGAAGCTCGTGGTTGTATTTGTTATTTCATTCATTGAATTCTTTAGCTCCATGATTTGTTTGATTCTTTTTTATGATCTCTACTTCTTTGTTGGACTTCTCATTCTGATCATGAATTATCTTCCTGATTTTGTTGGATTGTCTATCTGTATTCTCTTTCAGTTTCCTTAGGATCATTATTTTAAATTATTTTGCAGGCATTTCATAGTTTTCATTTTCTTGAAATCTATGAAATTACTAGAGAATTAGTGTGTTCCTTTGGAGGTGTCATGTTTTCTTATGTTTTCATATATTATATGTCCCAATGTTAATATGTTCATCTGGAGGAACAGTCACCTCTTCCAATTTTATGGAGCAGCTTTCATAGGAAAAGATTTTTTCCTGTAGATGTGTCCAGTAATGTCGGTTGTATAGACTCAGGTGTTTTGGCTTTGGTTCTGGATGGTTGTGGTAGTATAGTCTCCATGTGATTGCTTCAGCTGTAATCAACAGCAGGAATGCCTACAAGTGCTTTAGTGGCCTAGATTCTGGGTGTTTGTGGAGGTAGTGGTGTGGCTTTGCTTGGGGCAGGGCTGCTGAGAGGGCCAGTTATCAGGCCCTAGGGTGGCACATGCTGGATACAGTGGCTCTGCCAGTTGCAGGGGCAATGATGGCAGTGGCAGCAGTGACTAAGGTGTATCAATCCCTAGTCACCAGCGAGTACACATGTACATGATGGCTTGGGCACTTGTGGGGGCAGGGTCACCAGTGGCAGCAGGTGCTGTGCCAGCTGGTCCTCAGTCATAGGGGAGCATGTATGGTGCATGGTGGCTCCACGACTGGGAAGGCAAGGTCACTAGTGGCAATCGGCACCAGGTGGGCTGGTCCTATGTCCTTGGAGGAACCACTTATATACCACTTCAGCATGTATCTCAGTTTTACCTATCTATGCCATGCCTGTCTATTGTTTGGGGTACTGCTGCAACAATTGACTTAGTGCAGACATAATCTTATTCTATCTTCCTTTATGCCATGCTACACACTTCTCACTTGTTACCCTAGCATTTCTTTATTGATTTCAAGGAACAAATGCTACAGTACCCTACATGCCACTTATATGTGCATTCCCTATAAGTGACAGGGGTTACCACATGGGGTGAATCTTTGACATTGTTTTCCATCCACCAACTCCATACTTTCAGTGCTAGGTACCAAAGGACATTTTCATAGTTATACACCTCTACCCCTGCATCTTCTGTTACATTGCCAGGTAGACTGTTAAAGTAGGCACATTAATAATGCTGGAAGCCACTCCCCGACTGAGATAGTTCGCTATACACTGTAATGACCACAAACTACATAAATATATCCAACTAAATTATTTGCCAGTTCAACTTCCTCTTAGCCAGATCCCCAAAACACCCCCAGTGTCACCAAACTCAAGGGTAAATATAAAGGAAGAGAAGTATGTTAGTCAGGGTTCTCCAGAGAAGCCCGTGTGTGTGTGTGTGTGTGTGTGTGTGTGTGTGTGTGTGTGTGTAGAAAAAGAGCGTGAGAGATTGTAAGTATTTATGTAATGATGGAGGTCATGTGATTATGTGTCATGTGATTATGGAGGCTATAAAGTCCCAACGTCTGCTTTCTGCAAGCTGGTGTTTCAAAAAAAAGACAACAATGTAGTTCCAATTCAAGTCTGAAGCCTGAGAACCATAAGCACTTACAGGGTAAGTTCCACTTTGAGGGCAGGGGAACACTGATGTCCCAGCTCAAGCAGTCAGAGAGAGAGAATTCTCCCTTGCTCTACCTTTTATAAGCCCTCAATGGATTGGATGATGCCCACTTCTATTGGGGAGGGCCAGCTGCTTTACTCAGTCCACCAGTTTAAATGCTAAATACTCTGGAAACACATGCACAGGCACACCTAGAAATAATACTTAACCAGATGATGTGGTTTGGCTCTGTGTCCCCACCCAAATCTCATCTTGTGGCTCTCATAATTCCCACGTGTTGTGGGAGGGACCTGGTGGGAGATGGTTGAATCATGGGAGCAGGTCTTTCCGTGCTGTTCTTATATAGTGCATGGGTCTCATGAGATCTGATGGTTTTTAAAATTGGAGTTTTCCTGCACAAGTTCTCTTCTCTTGTCTGCCACCATGTGAGATGTGCCTTTCACTTTCCACCATGATTGTGAGGCCTCCCCAGATATCTAGAACTGTAAGTCCAATAAACCTCCTCTTTCTTTTGTAAATTGCCCAGTCTCGGGTAGTCTTTATCAGCAGTGTGAAAATGGACTAATACACTAGATATCTGGCCATCCCATGGCCCAGTCAAGTTGACACATAAAATTAACCCTCACAAGTCCACTTTCTTGTCAACTTGACATCCATGCACATTTCCTTAAACCATACTTAATTGCCAAATAAAGATAATTTAAAAGGCATAGCTCCACCTAACATGATAAAACTATCCTATATATAACTAAAACCTCACTGACCCTTCCCCAGGAGTGGAGTTAAAGCCCTTGAATAATTTGAGTAATGTTTATTCTTCTCTTTGACATCTCATAACTTAAATACTATGATGAAATATTAACAATATTTAGGTACTATTAAATAAAGCCAATACATCCTAGTTATAAATATGTGTGTATGTATAAATATGTATTAAACATATACTTTTTCTTTTTCTCTTAATACCTTGTCATATAACAAAATAAACAGGAAATGCTTATGACAATTACAGTCTTCCTTTCTGTAACTAATTACATGGTCATAGGTTTTTTGTTCTTTTTTTTTTTTTGAGACGGAGTCTCACTCTGTCACCCAGGCTGGAGTGCAGTGATGCGTCTCGGCTCACTGCAAGCTCTGCCTCCCGGGTCCATGCCATTCTCCTGTCTCAGTCTCCCCAGTAGCTGGGACTACAGGAGCACGCCGCCACGCCCGGCTAATTTTTTGTATTTTCAGTAGAGATGGGGTTTCACCGTGTTAGCCAGGATGGTCTTGATTTCCTGACCTCGTGATCCACCCACGTTGGCCTCCCAAAGTGCTGGGATTACAGGCGTGAGCCACCGCACCCGGCTGGTCATAGGTATTTTTAACTACCTTTTTCTGCTACTGTCTGCCTTTAGAAAAAATCTTCGCTGGTCATGGTTGTTTACCTGGTGGTAAGGAACTCAGTGTTACACTGCTAGCAGATTGGACATTCAGCAGTTGCCATAACCAGATCAGCCTTGGTGAGTTGAAGTGCATGTTGCTGGGCCCATGCATACGCTCCATCCCTGCCACCATGGTGAATTTATCCATGAATCCACTGGACAATGGCAGGGTTATCTGGGGAAAGAGACTGACTAGTATCCACAGAATGGGTCATTCTATCCATTTGATTATCAGAATCCTCTTTTGCTAGTGTTAAAGAACCCAAACTTTCATTCCTGAAGGGTCTGGGCCATTAGTAGTTCAGTTAAATTAGGTTGTTATAGTTTTTCATTGACCTTAATCATAGGGCATGGTAATACTACAATATTCCCTAAGGGATCTCCTGTGTTCCACACATAGTCTTCCTTACCTCTTTTGGGGAGTAGTAGTCAAAGTTCTCCCTTGGTTAGTTAGGATCAATCACCCTGGCCAGCACAGTAACTGCCTTCTTTGCCTGTTGATTCAGAGGCATGAGAAGTGTCAGTGTGGCCAGGTGACATTCTTAACTTCCAGGTCAATTGGATCATTGTTGTGCCTCTTCTGGGAGCATGCCTCTCTTTGGAACTAGAACCCCTAGGCCAACAGAGCCTAAGGTCATAGAAACAGGAGGCAAAATGTTGCTAGTGTGTCATTAGGGATAATAGTATGTGATCTTATTCCCATTTCCACCCTTTGCTTCTGGGACCCACAAATCTTGGCTAAGGGAAAAAGAGCACTATATATTGGGTATTGATTCAGAGAATATACATCCTCCTATACAGCCTTGTAAAGAAACTTGTCTCAGTTCTGCAAGGTACTGCCATTAGCTGGTTCTCTGAGTGTCCAAAAGACCATTCCATTGTTCTGTCAAGCTAAATGCTTTAGGATGGTGGAAAACATGGTAAGATCAGTGAACTGCATGAGCATAGGACCATTGCAATACTTCATTTGTTGTGAAGTGAATTCCTTGATTAAAAACAATGCAGTATGAAATACCATGACAACAGATAAGGCATTTTGTGAATCCACAGATAGTAATTTGACAGAAGCATTGCATGCAGAGAAGGCAAATCTGTATCCAGTCAGAGTCTATTCCAATAAGAACAAAATGCTGCTCTTTTATGCTGGAAGTGGTCCAATGTCATTAACCTGCCACCAGGTAGCTAACTGATCACTCCAGGAATTGTTGCCATATCAAGTATTCAGTGTTCATGTATGCTGCTAGCAGATTGGACATTCAGCAGTGGCCACAACCAGGTCACCCTTGGTGAGCTGAAATTCATGTTGCTGAGCCCATGCATACCCTCCATCCTTGCCACCATAGTCAATTTATCCATGAGTCCATTGGACAACAGCAGGGGTGGCTAGGGAAAAAGACTTACTGGTATCCACAAAATGGGTCATTGTGTCCATTTGGTTATTAAAATCCTCTTTTGCCTAGGTCACCCTTTGGTGAGCATTCACATAAGACACAAATATCTTCATGTTGTTTGCACAATGTTGAGATGACTATCTACAAACTCTTCCCTAAAATTTTCTTGCCACCAATTTTCCAATCATGTTCCTCACATCTCCCTGATCATCCAGCCAAACCATTGACCACAGCCTATAAATCAGCATATAATCACACATCGGGCCACTTCTTCTAAGTGAATTTGGAAGTTCATTTGGTGCACTGCTTGATGTTCTTCCCAGTGGGAGGATTTCCCTTCACTATCCATCACGGATATCTCAGGGAAGGGTTGTAGTGCTGCAGCTGTCCACTTCCAGGTAGTGCCTGCATATTATGCAGAACCATATATAAACAAGGCCTAATTATTTTCTTCTTCTGTCAGTTAATAATAGGGTACTACTCCCTGCAAGGTCATAGGTGCAGGCTGAAAGAGAGAAAGGAGTGTGACAGGAGTAGGAACCGTGGGCATTTAGGCCACTCTCAGGTAACTTACTTGTGCCTTTAGGGCCTGCTCAGGCCTAATCAATATATACCAGTTCCATTTAATAATGAAATGTTGCTGTGCGTGCCTTACTTTATGGCTTGGTGGGTGAGATAACAACCAGTTTTTGATGGACAGCTCAGATCACATGGTAGTTCGATAACTTGGCCTGTAGTTAAGCATTTAATCTCTACTAAGGCCAGATAGCAGACCAAAAGTGATTTCTCAAAAGAAAAGTAGTTATCTGAGAATGATGGCAGGGCCTTGTTCCAAAATCCTAAAGTACTGAGCTGCAATTTATCTATAATGGTCTTCCAAAGACTTCAAACAACATCCCTATCTTCCACCAACACTTCAAACACATTGGATCTGCTGGATCATATGGCACAAGTGCCAGAGAAACTTGCAAAATAGCCTGGACCTATTGCAGAATCTCGTCTTGTTCTGGGCCCCACTCAAAACTTGCAGCTTTCCAGCTCACCCAGTAAATGGGCTGGAATAACACCTGAATGAGAAATATGTTGCCTCCAAAATACAAAGAGTCCCACTAGAGGGGGAGGTGCCACATACTTTTAAACAACCAGATTGCACAAGAACTCACTATTGTGATAACAGAACCAAGACGGAGATGGTGTTAAACCATGAACCATGAGAAACCGCCCCCATGATCCAATCACCTCCTACCAGGCGCCACCTCCAGCATTGAAGATTATAATTCTACCTGAAATTAGGATGGTGAAACAGATCCATATCATATCACTCTCCCTTTCCAATCAATGCTCTGACTTTAACAACAGACACTCTACAAGGCTGGGAGTTCAAATTGTCTTGTAATTCAGCCAGTCACAGGATGAGGTTCTGGGTTTGATTTTCAATAATCTCAGCCCTGACAATACAGGAGATAAGGCTCTCCTTTGGGGCACACATGGAAGTTTTCAGGTCATTTATGCAGTACTTGAGCTGGTAATTCAAATGTCTGACCTCATCCTTTTCTTTAGCCAATTTGTCTAGTAACATTAGAAGCAATCAGCCAATCTCATTATACTCATTAGTTTGCCAAAAATATTCAAAAGTAGCACATGCACAGTCACCCAAACTCTTGCATTTTATAAGTAGTTGATTAGGAGTATCCAATAGTAATATTTTATGTATCTTTATTGCTAGACCTTGTTATGAACTATCAGTTCTCTCTTTACTTCTGGAAATAAAGTTATTAGCACCTTTAAATCTAATCAGATTAGACAGCCAATTCCAGAAACCATCAAACTAATTTACAAAATCCATTTTTAAAATTCTGTTTCTCTAAAAACACTCTCAATACCAAAATCTGTATTAGTTAGGGATCTCAAAAGGAGCAGAACCAACAGGACATACACAGACATATATATAGGAATACATAGAGACAAGTACCCCAAATATTCATATATATGTATGTATATATACAGAGAGAGAGAGAGAAGGAGAAAGAAAGAAAGAAAGAAAGAAAGAAAGAAAGAAAGAAAGAAAGAAAGAAAGAAAGAAAGAAAGAAAGAAAGAAGAAAAATAAAGTTGGAAAGGAGTTATGAAGAGTTGGTTTGGTTCACACAATTATGGAGCCTGAGAAGTCTCAAGATCTGCAGTTGACAAGATGGAGACCCAGGAAAATTGACTGTGTAGTTCCAGTCCAAAACCCAGTAGGCTTGAGATCCATGAAGAGCCAGTTCTTTAGTTTGATTCTGAAGGCAGGAAAAGACAGATGTTCCAGTCCAAGAAGTCATATACCGAAGTTTCCTCGCACTTGAGGGAAGGTCAGACTTTTTTGTTCTATTCAGGACTTCAACTGATTAAATGAGGACCACTCACATTAGGAAAAGCAATCTGCTTTACTCAGGCTACTAAGTCAAATGTTAATATCATCCACAAACCAGGCCAGTCACAGTGGCTCACACCTGTAATCACAATACTAATACTTTGGGAGGCCAAGGCAGGAGGATTGCTTGAGGCCAGGAGTTTGATACCAATCTGGGAAACATAGTGAGACCCCATCACTAAAACAAAAATTAAAATTAAAAATTAAAAATGTCAAAAACATCCTCATAGACGTATCTAGAATAATGTCTGACAAAATATCTGGGCATCCCATGGCCCAGTCAAATTGACACATAAAATTAATCATCAATGGAAGTCAAACCAGAATGACCTAGTGATCTTAACAAATTGCAGTTATCTTACTTTTTCAAATATCATTTATACAATATGACCATATGAGCATACTAAAAGGCCCATACAAGTGAGAAGCCCAGTTTATTCATCAGTTTCAAAGCACTGGTAAGTGACCTAGATAGTGAACTTATATAAACGCATATCCCCAAAACACACTGTCAAAAGAAAGCACCACCAACACCACCAGACAGCACTTTTTCATGTAAAGTGGTTTTGTCCAGTATTCCCAATTCTTGTGATAGTTCATCCCAGGAATCATTACTCTGGCCACAGAGCTTAGGACTGCCATACCCATGTGGATCATGGGAATGGATATTTGACTATTCAACTGTTCTTCATTTTGTATAATCCATCAAAGCAATACCCTCCATTCCACTTGAAATAAATAGCACCTCTTGAGGTTTTGGACAATACTATATTACTTATCTTTATCAGAAAAAATAACAACAAAAGATACCTTCATTGTCCCTCGAGATTGTAAATGGTTGAATAATTTTCTGCTACACTATGAGGTACATTCCAGTCCTTTAAACTGTTTAGTTAAGCCTGATTTTATTCTTAAAGCAAAATAATTCATTATTTTATATCTTTCTTTTTCAAAAAACAAGCTTATACTATTTCCACAGGATCAGTTACCAGAGTACTTGAAGTTTTGGTTCCCAAGATGCAAAGTCCTATATGAATCAGTACCAAGTACAGCACTGAACTAGGAAAGTCTTACTTTCTGAGGGTTTCCAAGGGTCCTAACTAAACTCATGGAGAAAGTTGGGAAAGGGATATGTTTTTTTATTTATGTACCTACAGGAGAACTAGAGAGAGATTTGTTTCCCTTGTTTTTTTTTTGTTGTTGTTGTTGTTGTTGTTGTTTGTGTGTTTGTTTTGGTTTGGTTTGGTTTTTTTGAGACAGAGTCTCGCTCTGTTACCCAGGCTGGAGTATAGTGGCGCAATCTCGGCTGACTACAGCCTCCACCTCCCAGGCTCAAGTGATTCTCCTGCCTCAGCCTCCCCAGTAGCTGGGATTACAGACATGCACCATCACGCCAAGCTAATTTTTGTATTTTCAGTAGAGATGGGTTTTCACCATGTTGGCCAGGCTGGTCTTGAACTCCTGACCTCAGGTAATCCACCTGCCTCGGCCTCCCAAAGTGCTGGGATTACAGGCATGAGCCACCACACCCAGCCAATTTTTTTTTCCTTTCAAATTCCACTGGATTGGCCGAGGGCGGTGGCTTACACCTGTAATCCCAACACTTTGGGAAGCCAAGGTAGGCGGATTGCTTGAGTTGAGGGGTTCTAGACCAGCCCAGACAACATGACAAAACCCCTTCTCTACAAAAAAAATTATCCAGGTGTAGTGGTGTGTGCCTGTAGTCCCAGCTACACAAGAGGCTGAGGTGTGAAGATCACCTGAGCCCAGGAGGCAGAGGTTGCAGTGAGCCTTGATCATACCACTTTGCTCTAGCCTGGACAACAGATTAAGACTCTGTCTCAGAAAAAAGAAAGAAAAAAAAATCCACCTGATGGAGATGTTGATGACCTAGTTGTCCCAGGAGCTCTGTAAGAAAAGTCAAAAACTCTGAATTGCAAAAAAACAAACAAATAAACAAAACTCTGAATTGCTTTCTAGCCCTCATATTCCCACTAGCAAGTGTGATCTAGAAAAAAATAAAAAAGGATTACAAGATAAAATCTCTTGAGATTCCAATCCAAGACACAAAATAATCTCTCTTTTAATCCTCTGCAATCTGTATAATAAAACCTTCTCCCTTTGTCAACAATGTTTTCATCCCAGAGGAAAGCACTACCTAGGACACTGAAATATTGTCATCCTCTTCTCCCCTTTATGCTCCAGAATCTTAAGAAAAAAAAAGATTACAAATTGAATGTGTATGGAATGCAAAAAGAAGGGTGGAAGTGTAATATAATAAAGGTAGTATGTTAGACTCACATAGAGGCACCAAAAAAGGAACTTTTATTTTTTGATGAAAAACTCTCAAAACTAGATTCCAGTCTTTTTTTCCCTTTCTCTAAACTCTTCTAATTGGCTTGCCAAATTAACCAGTGTTCTCCATTTCCTCTCTAAAATATAAGACTTAAGTCCAAGTACACTGAATAGTTTATATCATATTGATCCTGGTTAGTAGGCTATATTCCACTACATCCCCATAATTCTCTTTCCATTGGCTAGGTTGTATGCTTATCAATAATTACTTTTAGGTACATTTTCACTATTCTAATTGCTTTTTTGAGTTAAAAATTTTGTAAACTGATGAAGTATGTGTGAGAAAAGAAAGTTGTGTTTATAAAATTTAAGCTAAATGCTTTGGTAAAGTCTAGATAAAAGCAGTGGCTTAAAAATTGCTGTCAAAGTAAGTGTAGGTGAGACAAGCATAAAAGAATGGGAAAAAGCATTAAAAATCTCAGTAGATATTATATTAAGATGGAAGACAGAGTCTCACTGCTGCACAGGCTGGAATGCAGTGGCCCAACCTCGGCTTACTGCAACCTCCGCCTCACTGGTTCAAGTTTTTCTCATGCCTCAGCCTCCTGAGTAGCTAGGATAACAAGTGTGCACCACTACGCCCAGCTAATTTTTTGTGTTTTTAATAGAGACAGGGGTTTCACTATGTTGGCCAGGCTGGTCTCGAACTCCTGGCCTCAAGTGATCCACCTTCCTCAGCCTCCCAAAGTCCTGGAATTACAGGCGTGAGCCACTGCGCCTGGCCGGCTTTACAAATATCTTTAAAGTTTTGTTCAGCTTTCAAGAGACCAAAACTAAAATTGTAGGCAATGCATTATGGTTATGGTTGAACCAAAAAAGACAACTTAGAACATCAATAACTGTATCTACATTAAAAAAATTAAACAAGGCCTTAACCCAACTTCAAAATAGTGCCGTATGCATGTACACTTTCAGGTGTTAATCTAAAATAAAATGTTAATGTAACATTTGGAATGATTCCTCACTTTGACTTTTTAAACCGTCTGATAACAATTCTCAAGAGCCTTTTACTACACACCATTTACATGCTCACCTTCCAAATGTTATGTTCATTAATTTCTCGATGCCTATTCAATGAACTCTAAACTTTGTGGTCTAGCAAATCTACACATTTTTACCTAACTCCATGTTCTATTTTTATTTTTTATTCATATACCTTATCTTTAGTCCAATTAGACTTATTATTCTCTGAGCACATGCTTTAATTTTAAGCTCATGTTATACTATTTAGGAAAGGAAAGAAGGAAGGAGGGAAGGAAGGAAGGAAGGAAGGAAGGAAGGAAGGAAGGAAGGAAGGAAGGATGGAAAGAAGGAAGGAAGGAAGGGACGGACCTGGGTGCACCTTTGGAGAATAGGATGAGGAGGCTCCAGTTACAGGTTGAGGCAGTAGCAATGTCATCCCATCATGGGTGGGATAGTTGTAAAGTGAATTAGGAGAAACTAAAGGACTCTGGGGTGGGAAGGAAAAGACAGGACCCTCTATTAGTTGACCATCAGTTGAGTCCCAACCAAGAGGTTCTAGAACAACCAATGGACTATGTGATTTCAAAACAATTTCCAAAATAATAAATCTTGAAGACTTGAATCTCTTCACTTCTCACATTCCTGATTTAAGAGGGAATAATTAATTTGATTATTTTTCCACTTTTGGCATTACTTTTCTGCCCCTAATTTTATTTTTTTATCAATTTTATACTGTTTTCCTAAAAATCGACAGTGTCCCAAAGGAGTTGTAAGCTTATGTCCATGCAAGAAAACTGCACAGGGACATTTATAGCAGCTTTATTCATAATTGCCCACACTTGGAAGCAACCAAGAAGTTCTCCAATAGGTGAATGGATAAATGAACTGTGGTACCTCCAGACAATGAAATAATATTCAGTGCTAAAAAGAAATGAGACATTAAGTCATGAAAAGACATGGAGGAAATTTAAATGCATATTACTAAGTGAAAGAAACAAATCTGAAAAGTTATATGCTGTTTGATTACAACTATGTGACATTCTGGAAAGGGCAAAACTATGGAGACAGTAAAAATATCAGTAGTTGCCAAGGGTTGGGGGGAGGGAAAGAGGAATAAGCAAAACACAGGATTTTTAAGACAGTGAAATATTCTATATGATACTATAATAGTGGATACATGTCATTACACATTTGTTCAAACTTACAGAATGTACAACACCAAGAGTGAACCCCAATGTAAACTATGAACTTGGGGTGATAATGACATGTCAAGGCAGGTCTGTCAGTTGTAAGAAATGTACCATGCTGTGGGAGATATGGATAACGGGTGAGGCTGTGCATGAGGGAGCAGAGGGTACATGGGAAATTTCCATATCTTACTCTCAGTTTTGCTTGAACCTAAAACTGCTTTTTTTAAAAGTCTTTTTTTTAAATGACAGTGTTATAAAAATTTCTAAGCTAGAAAAGACCTTGAGTGATTATCTTCCATCTCCCTATTTTAGACAGCATCACAATAACATCATCCTAGGCAGATGAACAGCTATTATTTTTAAAACCTCCAGAAGAGAAGATTCTACAACCTCCCAACATTAACAACTCTCACTGTCAGGAAATTCTTCCATCTATAATCTAAATCTTTCATGCTGCTGTTCAAATCAGTTTTCACTCTGCAGAGCTGAGTTGATATTGAGAACAGCTGGTCTTCAGTATCTATGTAGAAATTCTTCATTTGCTACCACTGTAATACAATATATATAGAATATATATATTTTCTGTGTAGCTTTTAGTTCTTAGCTTACATCCTTGTCCAAGCTGATTAACCCCAGCTCCCCAACCTACACAAAGAGTTCATTTGTACCCTTATCTGTACTCCCACATCACTTTGCAAGTATCTCTACTTTATCACAATTTAGTGGAATTGTAGGTAGGTGTGACTATCTCCCCACACCTCCTTCTATCTTATTCATGTGCCTATCTCTGTAACTGATATGTAATAGGCTCTCAATAAATGACTGTCAAATGAATGAATGAATGAATGAATGAATGAATGAAACTGCTCCCAGATAAACCATTTTCTTCTAACTATTCAGCTATGGATGTGGGTATCCTCTGTCAGGTAAGTTTCTCTTGATAACAAGTAACAACAACCAACTCTACTAGTTTTGAAAAAAACAGAGAATGTACTGGAAGAATACTAGAATAGCTTACAGGATCAAAGGAAAACTTGGATCAGAAAGGGTAGGAACTAGGGTGTTTCCTCTGCAGGAGGTTGTGGGGCTTCTTTCCAGCGTATTACAATGTGTCTCAGCTACCAACAACTTTCAAATTATACTCCTTCTCTTCTTGCAACACTTCCAGTACACATAAGAGATAAACTGATTGGCCCAGCTTAGGTCAGGTGACAGACCTGAATCAATTAGTCATGGTTCAGGGAATAAAGATCGCTAATGTAGACACAGCTATCAGGGCAAAGGTCAGCAGAGGACATGTCTGTGCATGATGGCAGCTCCTCAGAAAAGGGGAACCCTGCACTGTAGAGCCACCTCGAGAGATGACTACTGCAAACAATCACTGAGCCCTTGAGCCCATTGTCATTGGTGAGTTTTGAGAGGATGTCACAGAGCTAAATAAACAAGGTAATTAAACTTTTTTCCCTTTTTTTTTTTTCTTTTTTTGGTTTGGTTATTTCTCTTCAGGCCCTCTGGTACCAAAATTAAAGAAGATAAAAACCTATCTTACTTAGTTGAAATGTAAATTTCCTTGGAACTAGAGATCAGTACTTGAGCTAGTGATAAATACTATCACAAGATTTACAGCACACAGAAAAATCTTTCAGAAATTCAGTACATTTTATATGTCATTGAATTAGTAGCAGACACACGCCTGAGCTACTGAATCGCAAAGAGCAAAAAGGTAGAGGTGTTGCATAGCCTAATACCCTGCCAATTGGCTCAGCATGCCTGCGGCATCCTGTCCTTAAGTTCCTCATGAGTACACATGCCAAGAAGACACTAAAAAGAGAGGAGGAACAATTGGTCAGCTATGTAATAATAATACTTTGCAATGATTTAGAAGTTTTCAGTTTAAGTCAAATTATTTCTATATTCTAAGTCAAATTATTTCATATCTCTTGTCAGATTTTGTAATTGAGTTAAACACCTACGATAGATTAAAACAGCCACAAAAGAAATTCTTTGCAGCTCTTTCCATGAAGAGGAGGAGTCAATTTCCCCACCCCTTGAATCTGAGCTGATAGAGACTTGGTTTGACTGAATGAAAGAAAATGACTTTGTGTGAATTCCAAGCCTAGGCCTTGAGAGACCTCCGAACAAGCAAATAAAAAATAAAAAAAAAGAAACCATGTGGAGACACTTACATTTGAAGGCGTTTGTTGCATTGAAGTAGATAACCTATACATCACCCAAACGCAATGGCCCATTGCCTTTTATTTAGTTTGGCACAAATCTATAATCGTCTTTCGAAAAACTTTTGTTTGGCATCTCTATATATCTCTTTCTATTCATCTATCTGTCTGTGAATCCCCCAAGTTTATAGGCAAAGCAAGCTTGGTTTCCTAACATTTTGGAAAAAAATGTACACTTAGAATTTGGCTAATCCAGAAATGCTATTCTCCAGGTTAAGACATTCAGGCAGTCTATAAAATCTTCCTAAATGTAAGATGATTTTCAAAGTTCTTGCTATTTTTTTTGCATCATTTACTGAGAGAATTAAACTTATGTTTTATGTGTTTCCACTTCTGTTCTCCTGTGTGAGTTACCTGAAAGTTAACAGGGTACTTGTAATCTATGGGCCATCTCCGTGGATGTGGAGATTTGGCTCTGCTTCACTTCGTCTTCTCTGACTTCCTGATTTGAAGATCTGTCACAGGCCCCTGCTGTGAGATCTTCTTTATTCTGTTTTCCTTTTATCTTTGCCCAGAGACTTTCAAGAATTCTTCTTTGTTCCTCCCATTTCCATAGTTACTTTGGTATTTGAATATCTTCCTATGTCTCATCCTGCTAGAGTTTATGGATGCTTGGTTTGAATTTAGGATGAGAGCTGAGATACTTAATAATTAGCACAGAAGCCAGCCTAGAAATTCCCACAACTGGCTGTATCATACACCCCTCTGTACTCATTATTTTTACTATGGTTTTGGTAATATTACGCTTCACAAAAACTAAACAAGCCACAGTTTCTTGACTAAAGGAAATCATATTCATCTTATATGACTCCCCCTTTTAATTTACTTTTAATCTAATACTGTTATTGTTCTTATGTCAGTTTCCAGTTCTGATTTTCTTTTCTCCCATGATAATTATTTGGTTTTCTATACCTCATTATTTGATTCCCCTTTCCCTAAATCTAGCATCTCTTTTTACTCTGAAAAAGGATTGTGATCATTCTGATAAACAGTAGGCAAAAAATCCTAAACCCTTTGGAATAAGAGTTAAAACATATTATTTTAAGAGATGTCTTCAGTCTGTACAATTTCTCCAGGCACCAGCACACCATAGAACCAGCTGCCTCTATTCACATTCACTACCTGCCACTCTAAAAGAAACAATGATGCCCTGGAATGAAAGGAGGGAGGGGCTTCATGAGAAAATTGGGACACTATTGATGAAAAACATCAAAAAGAAATTCTTCTAATTCACTTTAAATGGAGTTTACATTGGAAAAAAATAAAGACAGTGGAGCATTTGATCCCATGCATCAAAAAGCACTTACTGAGCACCTTGGTAATACAGGTTATATCTGCATGCCTCAATTTCTAGCATGCTTACATAAATTACCTCATATGTGAGCTAAGTAGGCAGATAATCAATGAGTTATTGTCTGTGAAACACTTTAACTGAATATACAATGTAAACATTAAGAAAAAATTTCTATTTTACACATAAGCAAATGGGGTCTCAAAGAAGTGGAGAGACCTGCCTAATCTGACAGGCCAGGTGTCCTGACTACCATAAAGCTTTGCATCACACTGCTTTCCTGTGAGTCTCCTCTGTGCAAAGCAGAGGGATATGTTGAAACCTCTGATTTGAAAGGGTTTACAAATCAGTTATAGACAAATGACATACACATAAAAGAATAACATGATGATAATAGTGAAGATGGTGATGATAGTTGACACTTTTATGGTACTTACCCTGTGCTAGGCATTGTTATACATGAAGTGACCCATTTAAATCTCTTAGCAATCTTTCAAAATAGGCATCATGAGATAATTAAGGCACAGAGAGATTTAGTTACTTGCCTGAAGTTACCGGGATAGTGTGTGGTAGGATTGAAATCATTTGAAGTCAGCTGCCTGGCTCCAGGGACTATGTTTGACTACTATACTCTACTGCCTTTCTATAAAACAGTATATGGAATACATTCTATATTCATGATCTAATTAGTGTGTTAGAATGTCAGGGAGATTTATATTGGGAAAAAAAAAGACAAGCATTTGTCTCACCAAAAAACTAGTATAGAACAGAAATTTGGGGAAAGATTTATTTAACCAGAAGAAGCTAAGGAAATATGAAATGTAGAAAAGAAAAAGAAAATCTCTGCTCAGTGTTTTCAGGAACTACTCATGGAACCAGTGTGACTAAAAGAGAGGATTTGTGTGGTGGCATAATGGATATTAAGACTGGTGTGTTAAGTGTGAATGAATTGTGACTTGTCTGCAATGAAAAGCTAAGTCTAGACTCAGTAATAAATAATGGGAAACCCCAAAGGCTCAAGTCCTCAAAAATTTGTTTTCCTGTGATAAACATATTAGGGAGAGGAAGGCATAAAACTGAGGAGAGCAGTTAAGCAATGATTGCACTGGTCCCTGTGGCATGAGGTCACAGGGGGCTTAGGCTAGAGTGACGTGGACAGGGAAGGGAAGGATAGCGAGGATATAACCGACATTACTCACTGAAGATTAACAGGACCTGGCGACTGACAGGATGAGGAAAACAAGGGATTTCCAAGGTGACTCGAAGCTTCCAAGCTTTCATGAATAAGAAACTAACAATGCCATTTATAGAAACCAGGAGGTCCAGAAGGGAGCTGATATGGAGACATTCAGATTTGAACATACAAAATTTAGGGTGACAAGATATCATCTAAGTTGAAAGGCTGAGAGTTAACAAATATTTATTGAACCCCTACATTGTGTTAAGACAACGTACTAGAGCCTGGGGATACTGCTGTGACAAGACAAGGCCCCTCCCCTCATGAAGCTTGGAGTCAGGCAACTAGAGGATTATGTAGATTAGAAGAAAGCCAATCTGCTAGACTTGGTGGCTAGAACCAGAATGATGGTCTATATTCTCTCTCTCTCTCTCTCTGTTTCAGTGGGGTTCTTTTTAAATTTAACCTTCTAAGAGATTCAGTTATTTATATTCAATCTCTCACCCCATTGAATGAATTACTATGCACAGTTGTTTTTCTTCACAGAGAATTAAAATAAAAAGTGCTTATTTAGGAAACCTAAAGAGACAGGGAGGTATTCCAAGTCAAGCGCTTGCTTGAGTTTGCTAACAATAGGAATTATCAAGCTCCCAGTCAAGAGACAGCATCAAAAAGAAGAAAAAAAAAACTGCACAACAACTTATTTGCTGATGGAGAAACCTCTGCTCCTCATATGCACATGCATCCCCTAGGCTGATGACAACTATTTGCAGCTTATGCTTGTCCCTGTCATTGGGCCTGGAGCTTAGTTTCAGAGTTAGAGGAACCAGGGCCTCCACTGTTTTTAGTGTATAGGTGCCCAAGGGCTAGATATGGCCTACAGGCCTATTCTATGTGGCCTATATAAGATTCTTACTTTGAGACAATACTTAAATTTCAGGTTTGGAATTCAGAGGTTACCCATAAAACTCAAGATATCCGGCTGCTCTTGAAAAATCAGAATGTATGTCAACATTTGGTCTGTTTTTCTGCTGACTATATTCGGCTGGAGTTAAGTTAGAACTGCTCCCATGTAGACACAGTCCGTACCCCTCATACAAAAAATACTTGGTATACCTCACTCCTTATGTTCTCTGTATGGCTCCCATAGTATTTGAACTCGTAACCTCTCAAATGTGTAGTTCTCTAGGGAAGTTCAGCAAACGTGCTTGCCTGGCAAGAGATAGTAGACCAAAAAACTATAGCTGCATCCAACATATTAAGAGGAATAAAAAAATGAAGGCAGTCTCCAATAACAAATAGGGGGCTCTTTCAGAAGAAAGATGCTTTGGTCATTAGCAAATGACACTTTGGGCATGTAATTTATATTTTCTGAAACTCAACTGCCTGATTTGTAAATTGAAACTAATAGGGATCTAGCAATCCCGCTACTGGTTATGTACCCAAAGGAAAGGAAATCAGTATATTGAAGGGATAGCTGCACTTCCATGTTCATTGCAGTATTATTTATAATAGTTAAGATAGGGAATAAGCCTAAGAAACATCTGTATTCCCATGTTCACTGAAGCATTATTTATAATAACTAAGAGAATCAGTCTAAGTGTCCATCAACAGATGAATATACCAAAAAACTGTGGTACATATACACAATGTAATCCTATTCACCCTTTTAAAAGAAGGAAATCCTGTCATTTGCCACAACATGGATAAATAAACCTGGAGGACATTAAGTGAAATAAGCCAGGCAATCAGAGACAAATAGCATAAGATCTCATATGTAGAATGTAAAAAAGTTGAACTCATAGAAGTAGACAGTATAATGGTGGTTACCAAAGGCTGGGGGTGGGGAGTAGGGGGGAAGATGTTGGTCAAAGGATATAAAATTTCAGTTAGACAGCAGGAATAAGTTCAAAAGATCTATTGTACAATATGATGACTATAGTTAATAACAAGGTATTGTATTCTTGAAAATTGCTTAGAGGGTAGCTTTTAAGTGTTCCTACCACACACGCACAAAAAATGTGTGATGTAATGCATATGTTAATTAGCTTGATTTAGTCATTTCACAAAATATACATATTTCAAAATGATGTTGTACATAATAAATACATAGTTTTTATTTGTCAATTAAAACGTTTTTAAAAGAAACTAACAGGATTCCACCCCCGCCCCCAAAAATTGCTGATGCCATTAAATGAGATCATGCTACATGAAATCCGTAGTACAGTGCCTGGCATTTATGATTGCTAAGTAAATAAAAATAATTGTTATAATTGTAGGCATTCTTTTCAGAGACAATCACAAACTTCAGGTGCAAATGCAAGCTGGTTTTAATTTTTTGTTGTTTGTTTGTTTTTGTTTGTTTGTTTGTTTTTGAGACTAAGTCTCACTCTGTCTCCCAGGCTGGAGGCAGTGGCGCAATCTCGGCTCACTGCAGCCTCTGCTTCCCAGGCTCAAGCAATTCTCTGCCTCAGCCTCCTGAGTAGCTAGGATTACAGGTGCCCACCACCATACCCGGCTAATTTTTGTATTTTTAGTAGAGACAGGGTTTCACCATCTTGTCCAGGCTGGTCTTGAACTCCTGACCTCATGATCTGCCCACATTGACCTCTCAAAGTGCTGGGATTACAGGCGTGAGCCACTGGCTGCAAGCTGGTTTTTCTGTGTACTTCACTTATGCGTGTCTATTGAACACCTACTATAGCTCCATGCAAGGCATTGGAAACACGTATAGAACAGACGTACTTCATGTCCTTGACATGAAGAATTGAAAAGGTTAGAGAAAAGTGTATTAATAGGAGAAAAGAGTTTCTGAAGTGGACAGTACCATCTAAGAAGAAAAATTGGAAGTAAAAGGCTGGGAAGAGGCAAAGAAAATTCAAGACCAGAGTCAAGAAAAGAGTATAAGCCGGGCCCACTGGCTCATGCCTGTAATCTCAACACTTTGAGAGGCAGAGACGGGTGGATCACCTGAGGTCAGGCGTTCAAGAACCAGCCTGGCCAACATGGTGAAACTCCATCTCTACAAAAACACAAAAATTAGCCACGCATGATGGTGGGTGCCTGTAATCCCAGATACTCAGGAGACTGAGGCAAGAGAATCACTTGAACCCGGGAGGCGGAGCTTGTAGTGAGCCGAGATCACACCATTGCACTCCAGCCTGGGTGACAGAGCAAGACTCCATCTTGGAAAAAAAAAAAAGAAAAAGAAAGAAAAAAGTGTATATAAAGATACCACAAAAGGATGAAAGGCAAAGAATAAGTCTCTTCCTATGTTGAATTTGGATACAATATTTCATCCTCCACAGAATAATGAGCATCCACAGATAATGACTCTGTAACAAGTAACCCTTACACAGTACTTACTACACACCAAGCAGTATTCCAGCTATTAATACTTTATACATATTAGTTCATATACTTTGCAGAACAACTTTTAAGATAGCTTCTTTTATTTCGCTTTTACAAATGTATAAAAACTGGCTCACGGAAGTCAATAATTTGCCCAAAGTTATTCAACTAACAAATTGGTAGAGATAAGCTTTAAAACTGGGAATTCTGGCTCCACGGTCAATGTTTTTAAGCTTTCTGATATGTTTAAGGTAATCTGCAATTAGATCCTGGAAAAAAAGGTATTTTCATGGCTGACACCCTTCCAAAAAATGTAGTCTAACATGCTCAACCCAGCATGCTGTTTTCCTAGAATATGTATACAAGTAGACTAATGGAATCTGTCCTTCCATGTTTTCTGATCAAACTTTTGCTTTGCTGTCAGAAAAGACTAAAATCAAATCATGGTTTTGAAGTGCTGAGGAGGAAATAAACAGACATTGGGGCATGCCCAGGAGCAAGCACACTATTTCTCCTTTCCAGTGAGTGCTGAAATTCTGAGAAAGAGAGCTGAATTTGGAAAGTGAATGACTGACCATATCAATAATGTTTAAGTCGGGCATGGTGGCAGGTGCCTGTAGTCCCAGCTACTCGGGAGGCTGAGATGGGAAGATTGTGTGAGCCCAGAAGTTTGATTGAGTCCAGCCTGGGCAACACAGGGAGTCTCCATCTCTAAAATAATAAAATAGTTATAATAATATGTAAAAAAAATAATGTGGTAGAATGGGATTTGGATTGTTGTCCCTCCCAGGGTGGGAACACTTCACTGAGTCAGAGAAGCAGGAGATTCCCAATGTCTTGCCAAACTATCTGAGTACTTGGCAGAGTTCAATTAAACACCAAAAAAAAAAAATCACAAATACAGAAAATGAAGTCAATAATGATACTAAAAAATTTTTTATGGGAGTACTTATTCTGTGTCAGGTGCAATTCCAAGTGCTTTCCAGGCAGTATCTCATTTAACTTTATAACTCTGTGAGAGAGATAGTATTTTCATTTCATAAATGAAGAAACCAAGGCACAAAGGTCATACAGCTAATAAACACTTTGCAGAATTTGAACTCAAGTAGCCTGGCTTAGAGCCCATTGTTAACCACGGCAATGTATTACATTCAGGTAAACATGTAATCTTGATTTCTAAATATCTTTTGGCTAGGTTGATATTTTTATACAACTTAGAACATTTCTCAGGCCTTATTAAGGCCTGAATCAAAAAACCCATGATCTTAACTGCAGAGGGGTTGATCTCCCTATTAACATTTATCTCCTATTAACTCGGGCCAGGCCTAAACTTTCAGGGTGATATATAATTTTAGGTTGGGTATAGCTACAGGTATAAATGTTGATGCTAATTCCTAGGCTGATTGAGAAAGACATAATATGAAATTTGAGTTGGTTACAGATGTGTCTTCACGTTTATTTAGATTCATTAAGTAGTGGTTTTCTTTCCATGTTGTGTAAATTTTGTTATTTTAAATGGCACAATAAGATAGTAAGTCCATTAAATACTTTTTTCTACCTACCAGAACAAAATTTGAATAGAATCTTCAACGTGAAAAACTAAAATCTCTTCACTAAAGTCATATAACGGTTCACCACTAGGTGGAGCAACTAAATTTTAAATTTTTTTTGTTCACAGCAAACCTTTAAGCTTGTTTTTAATTTAGTCCTGATTTTAGGTCACTTATTTAACTGCTCCCTTTTCTTATTCTTTATCAGGTGTTTAGAAGCATATTATAATCTCTAATACAGAAAATGTAATAAAAACAATGCTACTATTAGTGCATTGAATGCTTGTAAACAAAGTTTTCTGAGACAAAAGGAACCTAAAAAAGATTGACCATAGGCAATGGAATTAAAGCAAAATAAAAAATTTTAACTTAAATGAATTTTAACATGTTTAACAATGATATTCACTGTTTTCCTATCTGCAATCCACTATCCCACAATGTTACCCATCCAGGTAAACCAAGCAAAAAGACCTCTTACCTACCAAAACAAGTATTACACAATTTGTGAATATATAGCCTCGTGCATATATGATTCCGTGCATGCACCAAACAATACAAGTCCTGGCTGAAAGACTCAGGATGATGTTTAATAGTGTGACACAAGAAACACAACAGTTTAGGCTTAGTGATTCCTGTGCAATTCAGAGAGTTTTTATAGACCACGTGTATTATTCTCTTTCACTAAAACCAAAGCAATCATTCATTCATTTAATAAGTATTTATTGAGAGACTTCTATGTGCTGAGCCTCATAATCTCCAGTCACTTTCATCACAGAGAGAAAAGATATTGTCTCAGAATTAGTTCAAGGCTGATCATGCCCTGAAATTTGCAGCCTTGCATAGGTCTGCTGTGGACCAACAAGGAGGAAGGATAGCTAGAATTAATAACTGCTGAAGCTTGTGAAAATCAGGATGATGAAAGAAAAGAATCTAAACTGAACAAGGACAGAGATGTTTCCTTTATCCTCTATTGACTAAAGTTGGCACCAGTTGCTGTACTTAGAACATTAGAAATCAACATGAGAACTACACAGAATATTATTTAAAATTTATTCTGGGCATCACTTGCTACTTGCAAGTTATATACTCGTATTTCAGGCCAAGCCATTTTCATGTTTTTGTCACTATTATAAAGACTTAAATTAAATACGACTTTGTATAACATTAAAATTATTTGTCTAGGCCGGGTGCAGTAGCTCACGCCTGTAATCCCAGTACTTTGGGAGGCCAAGGCGGGTGGATCACGAGGTCAGGAGATCGAGACCATCCTAGCTAACACGGTGAAACTCCGTCTCTACTAAAAATACAAAAACAAAATTAGCCGGGCGTGGTGGCGGGCACGCCTGTAGTCCCAGCTACTCGGGAGGTTGAGGCAGGAGAATGGCGTGAACCCGGAAGGCGGAGCTTGCAGTGAGCAGAGATCGCGCCACTGCACTCCAGCCTGGGCGACAGAGTGAGACTCCCTCTCAAAAAAAAAAAAAAAAAAAAAAAAAAAAAAAAAAAAAAAAAAAAAAAATTATTTGTCTAGACTGATAATTGGGGTCAAGATTTTGTTAATCATAAGGACCGGGTCAGATAAGCATCACTTTAAAAAAAAAAAAAATGATTCCTCATTAAAGCTTTTTCCTGCCTGAATAGGACAGCCACATTAATGCTCAAAAACTTTACTAATTAGGCTTTTTGGTTATGCACTCACAGACTATGCAATTTTATCTTATTTATTTTTAAAAATTAATTATTATTTTTTTTCTTTCAAGAGAGAGGGTCTGTCTGTCACCCAGTCAGGAGTGCAGGGGCACAATCTTAGCTCACTGCAGACTCCAACTCCTGGCCTCAAGTGATCCTTCTACCTCAGTCTCCTGAGTAGCTGTAACTACAGGTGCATGCCACCACACTCGGCTGAATTTTTATCTTATTTAGAGTTCGAAGGAGTTGATTGTCTGTTTTCCAAGTCCTTAGGAGATCTGAAATAGCAAATGAGAAAGAGGATAACAATAACAGACATTTATTGAGCACCTATTATTTTCAGGGCATTGCTTTAAGCATTTTATTTCACTTAATCTTCCTGGCAACCTTATGACGTAGGTACTACTATTATCTGCCACTTCATACATGAGAAAACTGAAGAGCAGAAAGGTTAAGTAACTTGCCCACAGTTACGTGGCTTTTATATGGCAGATCTGAGATTTCCACCCAAACAGCCTGGCTCCAGACTCACTATGAAAACCACTACCTATACTATGAAGAAAGACTGTTAACTGGCAGACTCATAGACAGCAGCAAGAAATGACCATTACTAACCTGACAGCAAGGAAGAGATGAAACATGAAGAACAGCTAAAGGAATTCAAAGTGCACAGCAACCTAGGGTCATTTTAAACACCAGTAAACTGCTCTTTAAATACATGTTTTTCCAGATTTTCCAGGACAATTCAGATTTTACATATTTCTATAACCCCTACAAGGACACTCAAAAATTTCCCACTGTTTTTCTGTTTTCAACTCGGAAAATATAGTTACTACTCAAAGCTTACTTGGCATGTAGGACAGTCTAGCAATGATTACAATGCAGCTCAGATACTATGAGAGTCTATGTGTGAATCCAACTGTATCCTGGTAGGAAACATCATGGACTCCTAAGTTCTCTGAGAGTCATTTGTGTGCCCCCTCCTCCCCAAACTAGGGACCCTGAGATAATAGCCCCGCTTTATCCTAATGAGAGGCTGGAGTCTAAAGAGTACATGCAGATAGATAGCCTCCACTAAGGGGAAGGCTTACAGAGAAGATACCATAAATCTTTTTAAGATGGCAGGGCATGTGCCCCACCCGACCAGGAGAACTAGAGTTACTGGATTTGTGGGTATGCATAGCATACTAAGGAGTCAGTCCTTACAGACAGTAATGTGGCTTAGACCCGATCATATGTCTCAGATGAGGAAAGGTAAAAGCTGTGAAAACACAGCCCCACTCCTATGAGACAAGCAGAAGCAAGAGAACATTGGTATGCTACTATCTGGATCCACTGGGATCGACATCCTGAGCCAACTTTTCAGGGTGAGTCCCCCTTTCTCCTAAAACAGAAAAAGAACTAGAGAGCCTTTGGGGAGCTCTATAAACTCTCTAGAGAAAGACAAATATTTCAATATACAAATGATGCCAAGAGAATGGGTTGGGTACATGCATGGGTCCAGGTTTTATGATCCCTAAAGCTAACGTAATTTAGGAATACATTTTTTAAGAAAACACAAAATGATGAATACAAAAAATTAGGTTCAAAAATGAAAACTCATAGACAAGGAGAAATCACAACAAATTACAAGTCTTGAAAAACTGACAGATACCACAAACATCCAGAAAAATAACATAATATTTTACTAATTAATTTCAAAACATAATCTGTAATGCTTTTTCCACATTTTAGGACCGTTATCAAATTTGGAAAATATTGAGCTTTTATCATAAATCAGCTGTAAGATTTCAGGAAAATTCAAGTTTTCTTGGCAAGGACTAAAGTAAAGAATTCTTTGAATTCACAACACTCTAATCGTATTGCTGGGGTCTTAGAAGCAGCCCAGACAGGTGGTGAGCCTAAAAACTTAAGCTTCAATAACTTCAAGATAAACCCACTTCTCTATGAGCAGACAATTTCCAATGCAGATTTGAGAACCAGTAGAAAGCTCAGTAGTGAATATTTCTGTGTGGGCAATAGAAGCTAGCTGTCTACTGGAAGACTTCCACAGGTAGCCATTTGGAGACTTTGGGAATCACTTCATGTTTCAACAAAGTAAGCCACACAGCATCAGCAGCAACTCAGAGGCTTTATCTGGGTGTATAAATCTCTGCATCTGCAAAGTAAAAGTGGAATTGCATGAATTTGGACAATGTCAGTCAGTAGTGAGAGTGACCTGAGATGCTACAGAGTACTACCCAAAGGGAAAGCATACACTCAAATGCAGAAGATGGGAAGAGTGCATCATCAATGGTGGTTTTCAAAAATCACTACTTTACTTCATTTAGAAAAGACCTAGAAATATAGTGTTGTAATTGATGGTATTTAGGGGCTCTCCACCTGACAACAATGTTTAGGCTTTGAAATCAAGTAGACTTAGATTTCATCACCCAGTTTCAAAATTTATTAACTCATGCTTGTCTTGTTTCATCTGTACCCTCAAACCACACACAATCCCCTTCACCTCCAGGCAATTTTAAAACAAACTCTAGACATCATTTACTGCTCAATCATAAGTATTCTAGACTGTATCTCGAAAAGAAAGGACTCTAGAAAATATTAACCATAATATCACTATCACACTTTTGAAATTAATACTAATTCTATAACATCAAGAAATGTGCAATTATATGCTTTCTTCTAGTGATGCAAAAACTGAAAAAAAAACCCACAAAAATCCTCCAATAAACTGACGAGTGAAAAATATTATATTTAAATCTTAGTTTTGATGAGTATGTGACCACAGCAAATTCAAATAATCCTTCTGGACCTTGATTTACCCCTCAAAAATTAATAAATTGCCTGACCCACGTAGTTCTAATTCTCTCATAATTGTTTGCAAATAGCAGGTTACTTAACTTTTCTAAGCTTTCATATCTCAATATAAAATGAGAATAATAACTACCTTATAAAGTTGCTATGAATATTAAAGAAGATAAAACATGTGAAGTGCCTGGCATAAAAGTAGCACTCAAAAAAAAATTAGTTATCTTTTCTTTTGAATCCCAAACTTAACTTGAAACAATACTGCTACATGTAGTTGCATATAATCCATGCTCTGATTTTCTCCCTCATATATTTATGAGAACCTGGCAAAGTAAACAGCTCAGTTTGTGTGTAATCCAAGGATCAGAGAGATTTATTGACTTGCCCAAAGTGCACAGCTGTTGAATGGCTGAACAGAATTTGCATAGAAAGCTCCTTACTCCCCCTGTTCTTCTGAACCTGTGATATCCAAAGAAATTTAATGTGTGCTTAGAATATTCTGTTCAGAGACAGGGAGATATATAATCATCTTAAGAAAAAAATTCATTTAGGTTATCTTTAAAATTTTTTTGAAACTTGGAGAAAGTGAAACTACCTTAAGAATTATTTCTTGGGTGTTCAGTATGCCAGAAGTTGCAGTTTTACTTTCTCTCCCCAAAAAAGCCATGTAAAGGTTTTTTTAAAATTAACCATATTGAAGCTAAAATGTCCAATTTTTTATGTAAAGTTTAACCTTTTAAAGCCAAGTGTTTATTGACCTTCAATAAATAATCACATTTAAAATCTGTCCATGAGAGTTTGCGATAATTTTTAAATACTAAACAAAAAGGGCCATATTTCTCATAAAATGAAATTAGAAAATATTACCTAGCACTGTAGCTTGGCCAAATGCTAACTGCAATCGGTGTTCCTATTGTAACTTGGGTTGCAGGTGGTGTGATACTCTCCAAGCTTTCTTGATTTGGTGTATTCAGAAAGCCAAAGTCACGAAGTGGCTGTGGCTTCCCAGCAGCAGGTTCTCCAGTAGGAGCACACGCTCTTCAGACTCTGGCATTCATTTCCTTAACTCACTCACTTTAAGGCCTTCTGGGTGAATGCTAGGCCTTTCTCAGCTACAAAATCTATTTTTAAAACTTTTTTTATCTCAATGGTTTTGTATTTTTTTTCCTTTGTATGAATCTCACATTTCCTCTTAAGACTGTTTCTAGGTATTTTATGTGGTTTGTTGCTACGTGGGTGAAATTCTCTTCCTTGTATTTGTTGATATATAAGTAAATTTTCATGAGCCTAGGGTTTAATGTTCCCTGTGAGACCTGTATGAGAAGATAGAAGTGATGCCCCCAAACATCTCTGGTCATGGGTAACAATTAACCGGAATGGCTGGGATTCAAAATGACTTTAGACAATTAGAGAAATGTTCAAAACAAAGGATATAGTATTGAGTGGTGGCAGGTATGACAGAAAACAACAACAACACAAATTATCAAAAAGAAAAGAATAATTAGCCGACCATGAGTGAGCATGAGGCACTGCCCTTTTTTCTGACCGATAAAATTGAAATCTGGTGTATAAGGACAATCAAACAAACTTCCTTGTGTTTTCAGTGCCAGTGAAACCTCTAACATGACACCCTCTAACTCTGACAACCACTACTTGAAGAGAAATATAGAGATCTTAGAACCTAAGTGATATGAACACTGTAAAAAATGAGTATAAGGGTTTTTTTTTATTTAAAAAAAAGATGAGAAGATGGACTTACACAAAGGATAAAGGAAATGTCCTTTAGTGCCCAACATTGTCCATATACACTGACAGAAAAACAAGATGAAACAGCTTTAACCCACAACATGAAGTCATGCCGTCAAGGTCAGTGTTTTCAGACAGCAGGTTTATTAATCATTAAAACAAACTGACACATGAGGTTGTCAAATTTTCTGTTCTGGAAGTGTTATTAATTTTTTAATGTGCTACTGGATTCTAAGAATACACACAACTTAAGTGATCTCAGGCTGTTTTTAAAGATCCTAGTGGCTAAGCTATTCACAGCTAAGAAAGTAAATCAGTCCCCTCAGTCCTGAATGCAAACAAAAGGACTTTATAGTGACTGGGAAAAATCAGAACCTTTTTTTACAGTACTTAGTGGAAGAGGGACACAGGATGTTTACACCCAGCAACCTTCCAGGCCTAGTCTCTGGTGCCTGCTGTGCTTCATAAAGGATAGATAAGAAGCAACTTGGAAATAAGGTAGGATCTTGTAGGATCAAATACAAACGTATCTCTTAACTAGCCCAAAGAATAAGCAAGGAGGAGACTTTCAGCAGCTGAGAAATAAACCTTTAGGATTTTCAAATGGATGCTGGAGGGATAAATTAACTTAAAGAGATTTTTGGATCAAAGGACTTGCATTAAGATTAGTGTAATCTCTTAAAGAAAATATTAACAATGGGTTAGGAAAGACAACAGCAGTGCCAAGGACTATAACAGAGCCTAAAGAATTATTCTTTGCTCCATTAAAAAAAAAGAGTAGATCTTTTTTTTTAATGGTATATTCAGCATTGAGATGTTGCCCCTTGAACTGCCTGGGGTCAGTACTGAAAAGTGAAACCAGATCACAAATGGCCTTGTGTGCCATGCAAATGAATTGGACTTTATCTGGCAGGTAATGAGGAACTATCTTCGAAGTGGCAAAATCTGATTTGCATTTTGAATTTATTTTCAATGGTAACGTGAAAGATGGTCTACAGAAGGCTTGAGACTAGAGACAGGGAAGCCTTTTAGGAGGCATTTTAAAAGCCCAGAAGAGATGATAAACCTCTAAGGGAAGGCCTTATGGCAATGGCAATGGCAATAAGGCTTATGAGAAAAAAACTAATCTGAGCAAGAGATGTTTGAAAAGTAGGTTCAACAACACGACTATGTGTCTAATTAGATGAGAAACATAGACATGAGGACCATTCTGAGTTTTCTGGCTTGATTAGACAGGTGATTCATAGTACCATTAACTTAAGTAGATAATGTAGAAGTAAAAGCAGATTTCGGGAAAACAATAATAATGAGTTTAGTTGAAGATATATGCATAGGGTCTGATCCAGAAATACTCAATGGTTCTTTAGAAACATTATGTTGTTAGGACAAAGAGTTGAGCAATATAGACATACATGTGTAGGTGATAACCTAATTAATAGGAGTTGATGAGTTGCCCCATGTGTGGAATACCCATTGCTAATCACTTCCCAACTCAATACACCTGAGTCCTACATCATAGTCTATTGATAAGTGTGGCAATATAGTCATTTTAAAGGGATGTGTCCTCAACATTCTCACCTTCCAGTGTAAAGAAACATATTAAGTGACAGAATCCCTGAGAATGGCAATACTTAAGACACTACTGTGTAAACTTGAGTGTATAAGAACCCCTAGTGAACTTGTTAAAGGGCAGGACGAGGTGGCTCATGCCTGTAATCCCAGCACTTCAGGAGGCTAAGGCATGAGGATCTCTTGAGGTCAGAAGTTCAAGACCAGCCTGGGCAGTATAGTGAGATCTCCATCTCTACAAGGGGTTAAAAAAAGAAGATGCTTATGCCCATCCCCAAACACTAATTCAGTGGTCTGAGTGGGGCTCAGGAACCTGTATGTTGAAAAAGTAACTCCAGTTATTTCTTATAAACACAGAAGTTTGTGAAGTTCCTTGGAAGATCTAATTAAAAAGAAAAAATACAGTAGTCAGAATTTTGCATATGTGAATTTTGCCTTTAAAATGACCATGTGTTTAACTTGTGTCAGGTTATTTCTTTTGGTTTTAAAGTTCATGATATTAGTCAAAATCTATCAATTATTTTTCCTGGAAAAGTTTATAACAAGTAAATCTGTCTGCCTTGAGTCATACAGCATATTTCCCTTTCCCTAGACTTAACAAAGAAGAAAATAATCTAAAGTTAAAATAAAACAAGTGGTGAAGAGCAACTGGTTTATGAAATTTGAAAGTGACTAATTTAAATTTTTTTTTTTTTTTTTTGAGACTGAGTCTTGCTCTGTCGCCCAGGCTGGAGTGCAGTGGCGCGATCTCGGCTCACTGGAAGCTCCGCCTCCCGGGTTCACGCCATTCTCCTGCCTCCGCCTCCTGAGTAGCTGGGACTACAGGCGGCCGCCACCGCGCCCGGCTAATTTTTTTTGTATTTTTAGTAGAGACGGGATTTCACCGTGGTCTCTATCTCCTGACCTCCTGACCCACCCGCCTCGGCCTCCCAAAGTGCTGGGATTACAGGCGTGAGCCAACGCGCCCAGCCGAAAGTGACTAATTTAAAATTTTAGAGTCATTATGCTTAATGGACAGGGTTCTAGACTGAAATTCAGAAAACCTGCATTAGTACTAACCTTGAGCTAGTGTTCTGACATTTCTAGGCCCTCATTTTCCCATTTATCTCAAGAGAGTCTTGAGCTGGAAATTTTTCTTAAGATTCTGGATAATATTGCATGTTAGATTGAGCCAAATGAAAATGATATTTAGCCATTTTTGACCTACAAAAAAATGGCAATTTCATATGGTTCAACATATCTAGGATGGAGCTGACCTATTCGGCGTGATCAGCCTGGGGCTCTATATCTTTCTACCTCACAATTGGCTTGTCTCATTTTTCTCCAACTACGATAGTCTTCCTCCATGGCCATAAACAGACCACACTCACTTTCCATCCTTCTGGCTCCGAAACTTGAAAGGACAATAACCCTCTTTACCTCTAAATTGAAAAATCCTCCAGAAGGACTAAAATTGAAATAGCTTGGAGTAGTATTATGGGCTTGAAATGGATCATTTTCATACTCCAGTGACCAGAAGGGTAGAATAGTATGAATGGCAGCATTTGGTCCCCTAAAGAAGGTATGGTGCTGACCAGACAAACCTACAGATAGCCTCTACATCTCTGTATGTCTCTGGGTGGTAGTAATTTAAAATATACTTTACTCATAGAAAGGAAGCATTGTGACTAGACTAAACTAAACCAGAAGGAAGAAGATTTGGATTCAAAATCTTTGTGACTTGGAAAGTCATTTTCCTCTTTTAAATCTATTTTCTCATCTGAAAAATGTATTATAAATACCTCAAAAGGCTACTATAGTATTATATAAAATCATGTGTATGAAACTTCTTTGGAATTTGTAAAGTACTACAGAAGTTAAGGAATCTTTCACTCAGTAAGCATCTATTGAGTGCCTACTGTGGGGCTGTAGACTTTATTAGGATTTGGAAATACAGAGATAATATACAATGATGAATACAATATGATATTTTTGCCCTCTGTAACATCATATAGGATCTGGATAACATCTAGTGTAAAAATAAGCTCAGTGCATCTGAATTTTTTTAATCCTTAAAATAAACCAAATACTTAAGAATTGATTAAGAAGGTATACTTGTTTAACAAATGCCAGGATAGTCTATATATAATAGAATAGAGACATTTCTCAAAATCTGAGCATAAAATCGAATCTCTAAAGCAAATCTTTCACTCATTTTACCTCTATCCTTTTCACAAGACTATATTTTATTCTGCTCACCTCCTCAACAAATTATTTCTTCCTAAGATTAACACTGATGGCCCCTGTCAGGCTTCTTTCCTCAAAAGTGATCCTGTGGCTAATTCTCTACGGAATGTTTCTCATCCTTCTATACACACGTAACCCTGAATACAGCAATTCTTACCACAAGTCTCCCTCCCATGCTATCTCATCTTAATTTCCCAAACAAGCCAATTTTGAACCTCATTCATGTTCGTTTTTATTATTATATCTTTTCTTATCTTTGCACAATTCCCTTATTAAATTACGTGGTCCTACCTGAGCTAATGCTTTGGGAAGGCGTTAATAAAACTGAGACTTGCCTACTATGAAATGATCTTGTAGTTCCCCAGCCATTCTGAGTCTAAAATTATCCCTTATCATTTGTGTCAGTCAAACTGATTTCTCTGATAGTGGTTTACATTTCTGTCATCCTGACCCATATTTGCAAATATGACATTTTAAAATTTTTAACAAGATTAAACAACAAATTATAAGAGACTTTCAGGAACTTCTTGCAAAAAAAAATACTTGCTTGCCTAGGCATACTAGTTTACATGCCAATTACACATTTATTCCGTCTAAACTCGTTACATTGTAGTAAGTTCCTGTCTCTGCCAGAACTGTATAAAATTCCCAGACCTGACCGGGCGCGGTGGCTCACGCTTGTAATCCCAGCACTTTGGGAGGCCGAGGCGGGCGGATCACGAGGGTGAAACCCCGTCTCTACTAAAAGTACAAAAAATTAGCCGGGCGTGGTGGCGGGCGCCTGTGGTCCCAGCTATACGGAGAGGCTGAGGCAGGAGAACGGCGTGAACCAGTGAGGCGGAGCTCGCAGTGAGCCGAGATCGCGCCACTGCACTCCGACCTGGGCGACTGAGCCAGACTCCGTCTCAAGAAAAAAAGAAAAAAATTAATTAAAAAAAAAATTCCCAGACCTGAGGCTAGCTTAGTGGTCGTAATGCCGTCACTTATTGCTGGTATTTTTACCTATTGCTTACAGTTTTGTCATGGGTTCCTAACCCACTCCTATTCAAATTCTTTGCCTGGATTTGTTTGTTCATTTTTTTCTTCAGCAACTATTTGCTGAAGGTCTACTATAAGCCAGGTCCTAGTCTTGGCTGGGTGAGTACAAAATTAATAAGGCACAGTCTTTGCCCTCAAGGCCCTACAAAGCAGTAGAGGAGATGGAGAACTAAAAAGATAATTGCAATACAGGAGATGCAATAGATTATGGAAAGTATAGTTTTTGTCTGCCTTCTAGTTCCTTCAGGAAATAATTCCCCTACTCAACTGGTCTGAAAGGCCAATCATACTAGTTCAGGGATGGGCATGCACCTGTCCCAGGCCAATCCAAGGACCCAGAACTTTTCAGCTAAAGGTATAAGGGAGGAGTATCCTGTTATTGCTTTAGGATCACAAGCTCCAAGTACGGAGCCTGAAGCATGCAGATGTTGTCACTATTCATGTGAAGTGCCAAATGAGAAGTTGCTGGTGGCACTTTTCCCACCACGTGGAGAGATTCTATTCAGAAGAGACAGAAGCTAGCATGCTAGGAGAAGCAGAGGCAAGTAAGACTTGAAAGACAGAAAGAGCCTTACTGATCTTTGGGTCTGGTATGCTGAAGCTACCACTTCCCGGGACTTATCAATTTTGTGTGGAGGTAGGTAGTCCTGGGGTGGTATGGTCCACAATCATCAGGGATCCAGGTTCTTTCTGTCTTTCCACTCTGCCATCCTTAGCACTGAATTCTATCCCATGTAGCAACTTCATTTCTGAGATAAAGCTTGTCTCAGTCTACTCAGGTTGCTATAAGAAAATATCATAAACTGGGTGCTCCCAAACAAAAAATAATTAATTTCTCATAGTTCTGGATGCTGGGAAGTTCAAGATCAGGGTGCCAGTAGGTTCAGTGTCTGGTGAAGGCCAATTTTCTGGTTCATAAATGGCCCCCTCTCACTATGTTCTCACATGGTAGATGATATGATGGTTCTCTCTTGGGCTTCTTATAAGGGCACTAATCTTATTCATGAGGGGACTATTCTCATGACCTAATCACCTCCCAAAGGCCCCACCTTCTACTGCCGTCACCTTGAGGGGTAGAATTTCAACATTGGAATTTGTCAGGGAGGGGAACAAAATTCAGGCCATAGCAGGGCTGGACCATGTTCTGGAGTCCCTATCATCCCTTAATATCTCCCAGACAGAGTTCAGTGTCAGTTGTCATTTATCCTCAAGCTTACAATGTTGTTTTTCTTATATCCTGCACTTCACTCATATACGTAAGCCACTTACCTTATAGAGACTTTCCAAGTATGGTCTCTGATGAAAAGAAGGGGGACCTCTATTTAAATGTACCTTTGTGAGGTCAAGTAAGAAGTCTAACCTCTCCTTTCTTGTAAAGCTTTTGAAAAAAATAAAAGTAAACTCACTTTTTTTGGCAATGTTCTCAACTCCATGGTCATAGGAAAATAGTATATTTACCTGTTGTGAAGAATATGAGGTATATCCTAAGTAACTTCTTCCTAGAAATAGATGTGCTTCTAATGTTTTCTAACAGTGCTCTTCTTTTTAAGAGAAGATTTAAGGTCATCCAAATGATGAGATGATCATTCTCTCTCTCTCACACACACATTCGTGAATGCTTTATAGAATGGGAGAAAAAAGGCTCAGAACTACAGATTCATTCACATAATGTGAAGCCTCTTTAAGTATGCTCATGAATGTGTCACACATTTGAATTTCATCTTTTATGTGTAGCAACAGCAGATGTTGAAAGTATAACCCCAACGCGGATAGACATTATGGTAAAGCTTTGAATGGGATAGGGAGTAGAGACTTATTGTCATCACTAAACATGCAAATGATTTCACCATTCATGTGAAGTGCTAAATGAGATTAATTTGTTGGTCAACTGGGGCCCTGTATGAACTTAGTATGTATCAGTAGTCTCTTGGGAAAGGATGTTCCACCTTATGATTAGAAAGAGAAGACTGAGGTTAGGTTTAGGGGATTAGGAATTGTGGGTGGGAAGAGAGAATGATCTGTCTCTGAGATCATGGCTCACTCCTCTGGTAATTCAGGAGTGAGCTTCAAACAAAGGCAATCTAAGGCTAACAGTGAATTACAAATCAGTTGTATTGCCAGAGAGGTAGTCTCTGCTATGAGATTTGTAGTGAATAGAAAAACAGAAGGAATCTAGACTAGTGTAGCTGCTAGCTCCAAATGACTGGAAAACAAGAAAACCAGCCATGAAAAAAAAAAATGCTGTAGAGAACTTACTGAAGAATTTGATGTTGTCAACAGTAAGCAGGTACCAGCAGCAGAAAATAGTGCAATTGATTTTGTAGGAATAGCTCATTCAAACATCCTAAGTGATTTGGGAGAATATTTAGTTCGTTATGAGCCTATGAAATATATTGTGGCAGTAGAAAAAATAAGGGATGGATGTAAGAAGCATTAATAAAGTAATAAACAGATAAGACTTGCAATCGACAATGGGTGAGGTAAAAAAAGAGTAGAGAGATAGGAGTCAAAAATCACTTAATTATTTTGGGTCTGGATAACTAGAAGAATGAAGATACTTTTCACAGAAATAAGGAAACTTGAAAGGGAAGACTTGTTTAAAGGTGATGTGTTCGGCTCTAAATAATTTGAGTTTGAGGTGAAAGTGAAATGTGTAAGTGGAAATATTCAGACTATTCAATGTGAGGTTGAAGATAACAGGAGAGGTCTAGGATATAATTCTAAATTTGGGAGTTAGTGGAAGCTGGAAGAGTAAATGAGATCACTGAGGGAGGTGCTGAAATTCAAAGATGTGTGAGGCTGTCTTTTCCTTTGTTTTTACTTATTAATCTTAAATATGTAGATGGAAGATATACAATTATTGCCTTGAACTGGTGATCATTTATTGCCTACAATTGAGACACAATGCACCCAGGGATACTTGGTTAGAATTTGAGTTTCAGAATTAGATTAGTTCAATTAAGAAATTTAAATATACAGAGTGAGAATATTTGAATAACAGAAAGCTGCTCCTAACTTTGTCATAGTGTTATAAACTAAATCTATTGTGAGGTACATTAAATTTTAAGAGTGCCAGCCAATACTGAAAGAATATGCAGTCTTCACATGACATTTTTTTTCCTTAAATCTACTCACAGTATGTTTTTTAAAGAAGAATTTCAAGATCATTTCTGAATTTTCTGGTTTTTAGTTTTAAGTTAGACAAATGAGTTATGTCTTTTCACATATAGTGTTAAATGATCTAGGTACATTGTGTAATACAAAATACCTATGCAAATGCTTAATTGTATAAAGAACATTATGCAAATGTTTAACTGAATAAGGAATAAGATGTCATTATTAATAATGACTTGTGAATGTAATTAGAAATGAGTAATTAGGAAAACACCACAGTAATAAAGGGTGTATTTCAAAAGTAGTGCACTGGAGATATAAAAATATGCCTTTTATATGTCCTTTACATGCCAGTAGAACATACATGTGATGTTCCTACCTAAACACATGATTTGAAGTGAAAAGGTAGGGATAAAAGGGTCATAATGATCTCCTAACTCCTTTGAGTAGTTTTAATATAAAATACTATATTCACTTTGGAAAAGTTTTTAGAAAAAAATGTTTGATGTAACGATTTTTATATATAAAATAGATATATTCTATCTATTACACAGATTTGAATAGACTGGGGATCAAGCAAAATATAATCCTATTTTGTTAATTTTGTTCTGCCTCAACCTATTAATCAATGGATTTCAGAGTTCATAGTTGCATAAGTGAGTGTTGGCATTGAGAGAACATAGACTCTAGAGCCAGGCAATTTTGAGTTCTGGTTCTGCCTCCTGCATCTGTGAAGCCATGGGCAGTTCACTTAACCCTGCTAAGTCTCGGTTTCCTCACCTATAAAAGATAAGTACTAATAGTACTTACTTCATAGGGTCGTTGGGAGGATAAACTATAAAGCATTTAGAACAGTATTTGGCATAAATGTTTACTATATTATTATTGACATAAGAAATGTATTTGACCCATGTAAACACACACACACATGCAACATATACAAGTTATCTTTTGTCATATGTAATGGTTAGGCCAAATAAGCATTCTGATCAAGGCAAATAGGTTGACAGAATCATTACTTTGGTCTCAGGCAGTTGAACTTAGAGCTGGTATAGGCTCCTCTGGAAAGAGGTAAAATTGAATGTGTTTTATTTAACTTCTAAATTCTACTGTTGTTTCATTCTCCTTATCTCTTTGTTCTTTACTGTTTTACTGTTTGTGGTCTCATTAAACAGATACCAATACAGGGAAACAGAAATATACAAAGTAATGTAATAGGTAAAAATAATAACAGTAGAATTGTAGGGGCAATTTGACCTAAAGCTAGAGCTCAAATCTTAATACCCTTGACTGCCTGCCTGAAATGAAAATAAAAATTTTTCTGTACTTTGGCTTATCATGTTTTATTTTCTGTACCTTGGCTGATTCACAAGACAATTCAAATTAAGAAACAAATAGGACTCTAACTCACTCCCTTGATATTTAAGAAAATTGCATTTGGATTACATGTAAACAAATTGACAATTGCTGGACAGAGATTTGAAGTCATCCAATTAATCTAATACATACTTATATCTGCAAATTACTTCTCTTATTTTCAATTGCTAAATGTAAAACTCAGCTATTCTATTTTCAAAGTTGATAGTGGAGAGCTCTCTGTATCCATGAATTTCCTATCTTTGAATTCAACCAACATCAGATTGAAAACATTTAAAAAATGGATGGTTGCATATGTACTGAACAAGTACAGACATTTTTACTTGTCATTATTCCCTAAACATTATAGTATAACAATTATTTACACAGCATTTACATTTTATTAGGTATTCTAAGTAATCTAGAGATAATTTAAAATATACAGGGTAGGGTATATGCGAATACTATGCCATTTTACACAAGGGATTTGAGCATCTGTGGATTTGGATACGAGGGGGTGGTCCTGAAAACAATCACTCATGGACAACTGTATATAGATTTGACAAAAGGGAGAATTTTAAGAATGTAACTGATAAGGAAGATATGGATTATTGAGGGAGGATATTAAAGTTAGAATTGTTTTGGGGGGATGAGTTAGGTTCAAAACACACAAGAATTACAGATTTCAGAAGTATATAGAGATACAGAGATAGAGAAAAAAAATCCAAACCATAAAAAGAGTGGATGCTGTAGCTTGTGGAATATTACCCTTATTCACCAATCTGTTCAAAGTAATTTCTAACCCCATGGGATAGAGAAGGAAGTAAGTAGAGGAGAGCAGGAGAAAAAAATAATGGTATGCTGAAAAACATAGTTTGCCAATTGTAGATGTAACTATGATTTGTTTACAAGTTATATCTCTCCAAAAGACCAGGTCAATATCACACCAAGTGTAGAGGGAATGAATATACAGAAAATCTTCACCATTACACCTCAAATCTCTGCCAGGAATGTCCTGACTTTCATCCATTAATACTGCCTTAGGCAAAGGATGCCCCATCAACACTGCATACCGAACAAATCAAATCTAACACTTTGAGTAAGCTTTTTATTTTCATAAAAGCCTTTATAGCTTCTGGCCTCATTTACCTTTCAAATAAAAACAAATGAGTTGAGTTTATCATTATAACTAAGAAATTTAAATTCTTTCAGCATTTAAGTAATAGGAGAAGGCCCAAATTGAGATCAACTTTTAGCATGGTACCTACGGTAAGTAAAACAGGTACTAATGAAAAGTGATTAATTCAGAGCTGCCACAACTAAAATGTTAGTCTACATCATGAATCAGTTCGAAGATAAAAATGCATTTGAAGGTTAATGGTTTTAGAAAGATAGTTCAAAAGTGAAAAAACTGAGTTAATGTAAAATGTCTTAAATAACAGGCTACAAAAAATTATTTGCTTTATTATTATTCTATTACTATACTACTCACATAATGCCAAACCAAGAGGTTGAAATATAAGAAAATCTGGCTAATCAACAGTTATTTTAAACAAACATAAGTGAATTTTAACATTGTACAGTTATACCCACATGATTTCTACATGGTGAGTTTTGACATATTAGTCATAGCCTAAATAATATCTTTAAAAATAACTGACTTGAAATAAGAATAAGGATTTACTTTCCCTTATTTTGATAAACCTCTGTGTCCATTTTCCTTTATCTTTATTCATATATTGATATATATATTATAAATAGTGAATTTCAAATTTAAACATGGTTTGATCAGTATCAAAGATTATAGTACAGTTGATTAATGTAACATATTTTATTAACTCAGTACAAAAAATATTTTTGGAATGTTGACCTCGTCAAGATGGCATGCATTTTTTAGGCAAATAATTACTCCAAATACAGAGTCTATCAGCTGAGAAAACAGTGAAAAAATGATGTTAATAATATAGGTAAGATATATTTATGAAGAATTTATGGTAAGACAAATATAACCCAGAATAATTCTAAAAGCAAGTCCTATTCTTTTGGGTAAAAGCCCTTATAATATATTTATACCTACAATAGGTGATATAGTATCATTATATCTACAATACTTCAGATTTAATACAAACTCAACTTATAAGGTTGATCATTTTCATTGTTTTAATATAGTTGATAGTTCTTAGCTTTCCATTCTTAGCTCATAAGAAAATAGGAAGTATCTTTCTCTGAAGCAAGTGAACTCATGAGAAAAGTCTTGAATACTTCTCTGTAGCCCCAATTTCAAGTCACAGATTAAGTGTCCACATTGTTTGCAACTAAGTCACAGCTAAATTGCTTCAGAAATGTTTAGCAGATTGCTTTATAGCAGAATAACACAGTTTGAACCATAGTTTCTTGAATACATCTTGCTGGGAGCTTATTTCATTCAAATGGTGAAGGCAGCTGAAGTATGATATTTGAATCAGCCACATTTTGCTCTAATAAAGGAGAATTTTAGGATGCTCTAGTTGTGATAGGCAACAAAGTAAAGCAATTGAAATGTGGATCTTATATTTTATACAATTCAGACTGCTTGCATATGTGTGTGTGGTGATAAGGTACTTTAAAAATAAAATTTCATTTGGCAAGAGGCTTACAGTTAAACTGTAAAAGCAATACACAGATCATGTGAATTACCAGCATACAAAAATAAATATGCAAATGACTGTAATACTCTTCCAAAATAGCATCTTTAATAGGAAACCCTTCATAAGAATCTTTATAAAGTGACATATTTTAAAATCGCTTTTATATTTTATAAGTACCTATAACTAGCAGTTCTTATTTTTAATTAGAAAATACACATATTTTCAGCCACACTTGAATAAGTGGTATGTATGCACATAAAGAATGGTTACATATATACATTTCTATTATACATTTTAAAAATCATCAAACAAGTTCTTATCAAGCACTTTCTACTCATATTAAACTTTATATATTACTGGATGCTGTGGAGATTACAGAAGTAATATATATTGTTTTCACTCAAGAAGCTCAAAATCTACATGGGAAACACAGGAGTGAATATAATTGGATCCTAATGTGTGTATGCAGGTATAACCCCAGTAAATTTTAGATACTCCATAGATTTTGTCAAATGAGTGAATGAATTGTAAAAGCTAAACTGAGTTTTTGTTTTTGTTTTTTAGATGATTCTCAGTCTGTCTTCCAGGCTGGAGTGCAGTGGTGTGATCTCGGCTCCCTGCAACCTCTGCCTCCCAGGTTCAAGTGATTCTCCTGGCTCAGCCGCCTGAGTAGCTGGGACTACAGGTGCGTGCCACCATGCCGGCTAATTTTTTTTTTTTTTTTTTTTTTTTTTTTTGTATTTTTAGTAGAGACAGGGTTTCACCATGTTGGCCAGGCTGGTCTCAAACTCCTGACTTCAGGTGATCTTCCTGCTTCGCCATCCTAAAGTGCTGGTATTACAGGTGTGAGTCACCCCTCCTGGCCAAGCTAAAATGTTTTTAATCACTCACTTTAGATAGTTTAAATATTTCAAAAAATTCTATCAATGGAAAGTTTGAGAAGAGGGCCTATTTAAATATCTGACTTGGAATGTATATTCTAGTTAAATATTGCCATGTATATCTATTATTCTGTCCCCCCTTCCCCCAACCAAACCAACCAACCAACCATTTCATTATGCTCACAAATTCTATGGTTTGGGAGTTTGTACAGGACATAGTGGGGATTGTCTCTTTCCATGATGTCTAGGGCCTCAAATAGGATGCTTCCAACAGCTGGAAGCAACTTGAACTGGTGGGGACTGGAAGGGCTGAGAATGGAAGATCTCTTACCAAGAGGGAAATAGGTCTTTACCCTCCTGTCTGGTGACTGGGCTGGGATGATTTAAAGGCTAGGTTCAGCTAGGACTATCAACCACAACACCTATATATATGGCTTCTCCATGAAGCTTTGACTTCTTACAGAACAGTGGCTGGGTTCTGAGAAGGTTCAAGCTAGGAGGGAGTTTTCTAAGAATTTATGGTCTTTTTTTTTTATAACTGATATATATAATACATTTGCTCTGAAGCTCACATTTTAAAGCCTGAGAAGTAGAATGCTTTACCAACGGCAAAAATCACTGACTAAAATACCTATGAAGTGGATATTGTGAATTGTCCATCAAAATCCACCCTGTCCCTGTTCTGTAGGAAGAGTTGTAGCAAGGTCCATAACTACACAGTTAGAGATGACATTTCTCAGCCTCATTTGAAGCTAGGTGTGGCCATGTGACTACATTCCCAGAATGGAATATGAACAGAAATGTGTAATTTTGAGCCTGGGTCTCAAGACATTGGATATATGATCCTCCATGCTCCTTTTTCTTTCGCATGAGGTAGATCATGGAGTTCCTTGACCCATCTTCAACCATGCAGCTGAGAATAATGCCATGGTGAATGATAAGTTAGAAAGTGCACAGCAACAAGATAGAAAAAACCTGGGTTCCTGGTACAGTCTTTGTGTGTGAGAAATAAGCAAATTTCAGTGTTCTTTAAGCCATAGTGTTTTGGGTCCTCTTTGATAGAAAAGTTTAGCTTTACTCTAATTCAGATAGTACATACACATGATTGAATGATAGCTGGATGCTGAAGAAATGATGGTAGGGAAAGCAAGCTCCCTGTTGTCCATCTCCCCCAACCAAACCCTTTAAAATGTTTGGTATGGTCAATATTTTTGTATCTATTGACTTTTATTGCTATTTTAAGTTGCAGAAGATGTTTCTGATGAAGGAAGCACTAGTAGTAAAATGGTCATGTTTATTATGTAAATTTTTTCATACTTATATTCCTTTTCCATTTTGACATGGCCAGCCAAATTTTCCCACACATAGCACCAACATTTCACTTGAAAGGCCAAGAAGCTTGTACTTCAGCCCACAGATCTTCAGAAGCTTGTATTTTGGCACCACAGATCTTAAACTCTGGAAGCACAGAGAACACGTTCCCATATTTACAAGTAGAAAAATATTACTATTCCAGAATCATCAGAGGCAGCCTTATAGATTAGAGCAGCAGCTCTCAAGGTGTGGTCTGAGGACCCCTAAGAAACCTTTTCAGAAGGTCTCTAAGGTTAAACCTATTTTCATAATAATATTTAGATGTCGACAGTCGGGGGCGGAGGCTCACGCCTGTAATCCCAGCACTTTGGAAGGCTGAGGCAGGCATAACACCTGAGGTAGGCAGATCATCTGAGGTCAGTTCAAGACCAGCCTGGCCAACATGGTGAAACCCCGTCTCTACTAAAAATACAAAAACTAGCTGGACGCGGTGGCACAGGCATCCAAGGAAAACTGTTTTCCTCATTACAGCCAGAGTGACTTGTTTAAAATGAAAAATTTATTTCCATTACTGCTATGATAAACATCAAAATCTTTTTTAAATTTTATTTTTTGAGAGAAGGTCTTGCTGTGTTGCCACACAGCAAGCTACTCGGGAGGCTGAAGCAGGAGAATCACTTGAACCCGGGAGGTGGAGGTTGCAGTGAGCCGAGATTGCACCACTGCACTCCAGCCTGGGCGACAGAGCGAGACTCTGTCTCAAAAAAAATAAATAAAAATTAAGATATCACTTGCCTTTTTCACTTGTATTCTCCCATAGGGGTAGGGTGGAATTTTTCAGAGGTTGTGTGACATAGAATGAGGCCATCACTCTGATGGCTAATGAAATGTGAGCTGGTATATTCCGGTTTTTTAAATTCTTCAGTTTTAACTTCAAATACAGTGAACATCACAATATATAGCCCACATAAAAACTCTTTAGGGTCTTCAGTAATTTTCAAAGAGTATAAAGAGATCCTTAGTGTCTTTGTTTGGGCTACTGTAACAAACCATACAGAATGGCTTACGAGTAAAACAAATTTATTTCAGACAGTTCCGGATCTAGAAGTCTGAGATCAGGGTGCAGCATGGTCAGGTTCTGGTGAGGGCCCTCTTCCAGGTTGTAGACTGCTGACTTCTCATTGCATCTGCACATGGCAGAAAGAGAGCAAGAGAGCTCTCTGGAGAGTCTTTTATAAGGGCACTAATCTCATCCATGGGGTCTTCACCCTCATGACCTAATTACTTCCCAAAGGCCCCCACCTCCTAATATTATCACATTGGAGGTTAGGATTTCAATATATGAATTTGTAGAGGACAATATTCAATATATAACACTGAGGGTAAGAATAAAAAGTTCAACTTCTCAATAGTGATTAAAGCACACTTTCTTTTCATTACTTCAAATACATACAACTCAAGCAGTTAGCATTCATTCAGTTGATTAGGTCCCAAGTTAGAAAAAATGGTATTTTCTGGTACCCCTTTCAAAAGAACAGTTTATATTTTGAAGAAATGTCCAAATAATCTTATTTGGGATAACAGCTGAGAATCAGAAAAACCTGAGTATGATCAAACTGTAGCAGGGAAAGGAGCAGGATTTGCTTGTTAATGTATTGAGGGTGAAAAAAGAGCAAAAGACCCAACATTGGGGTGAAAGGCATCAGATCCTGTCATGTGATCCCTCTTAAATGTTTGGTACAAAGTTAATGAATTCATGAAATGCTTGAAGACAGAGGGTTTTGGTAGTTAAAAGTTACGGGCTGGGCTTCTGATCCCTATCAATATAGGCATAGTCAAAGAACAAAGGTGATAGAGGAGTGTTGTGGGAATACATGTGGAGGAAGAGAGAAGGAGGACAATATTTGTGAATAACCTTTCAGGGTCCAAAAATTGGACTAGGTGAAAAGAGGCTCTTGACTTTAGAGGCTATGAAACTGGGCCTTCAAGGCAAGCTTACCTAATTTTCTGAGGGCCATGGAGTCCCTAGCTAACAACCTAAATTTCTGTAATACATACAGAATTGCACATACATATACACACACAAATATCTGCTACGTAAGAGATACTATACTAGGCTATCTAAGACACATGGGCCTTTTCTAGCGACTTAAAGTTTAGTGTGAGAGCAAGACTGTATCCAATGATACAAAAAATTGCCCTAACAGATATATGAACAAAGTACTACGGGAAGGTTCATATGAGATCTAATATGTACTCATTGTTTATAATTTGTACATTTGCTGGTGTCAGGATCCTTTGGGAACAATAAGCAGAACGGGTAGAGATGGAGTCATTGGAAGAAGAGATAACACCAGTTAAACTGTGTTGCTGGTCCTAGTTACTTGTGTCCTGTAGGCAGAACTGTGGTGTGATGCTTTCTCTGATGGTTATCTCCTTGGCTTAATAGCCTAGTTATGGCTGTTTGCTTAAACACACATACGCACACGCACACACAAGCTTAAGCAGGAAGGGAAATTTATGAGGAGAATACAAGGAACCCAAGAACAAAGAATAGAGTAGCTGGACTTCCTGGAAGACTGGAGTCAGCTACTATTAAGACATTGAGAACCAAACCTGCTATATTTCCTCTGTCATCCTGGGACCACATATTCTCTCACCTCTGCTTCTTTTTGAACATGACTAGATTCTCCTATCTATTAAATCTATTGGCTTCTCTCCATTTCTACTGCCATGACCCGACTTTAAAGTACTACCCACCCTTTTTTTGCCTGGAAAACTAAAATGGTCCCCTAATTTTTCTCCCCAAATCGACTCTTGGCCATTTCAAAACTGTTTTCCTCATTACAGCCAGAGTAACTTGTTTAAAGTGAAAAATTTATTCAGTGGTATTTCCATTACTGCTATGATAAACATCAAAATCTTTTTTAAATTTTATTTTTTGAGAAAGGGTCTTGCTGTGTTGACAAGACAGGTCTCTAACTCCAAGCCTCAAACGATCCTCCTCCCTTAGCCTCCTGAGTTGCTGGGATTACAGGAACAAGCCACCCTGCCTGGCTTTCAAAATCTTAAAACATAGAACTGGATTACTATTCACCCACATTCAGTACCCTTCATTGTGGTACCGCTGTCTGTGCCCCCTTGTTGTTCTCAGGCATGGCAAATGTTTGGCTGATGAAAAGAGAAAAAAATGTGAGCCTACACTTTAAGAACCATGCTTTACCACTTTTCCTTCCGCCATGACAATGACAATTTTAGATTGCTCAGTCAGCCTCAGTCCAGAGTGAAGATGTCATGGAGCAGAGCCATGTTAAGCATGTAGGATGGGAGGTAAATAAACCTTCCTGTAGACCACTGGCAAGCTTTTGGAGTATTTTGTTACTCAGCATAACCTAGCCTATCCTGATACATATGGTCTACACACTCTTACTTATTCCATCTCTTTGCTATAGCCTACTTAGCCTTAGAGTAATTACAATAAAGTTTCCCCCTCCCACATTATAACTATTTATCTATGTTATTCTCTCTCCCTGGAAGGCTCTTTACACCTTTTCCCCCTCAGTTAACATTTACACACTTATGAGAACTCAGCTTAAGTGTGAAGTACTTAGGAAAAGATTGTCTGCCCTATGTTTAAAGTACTATGAATTTACCTTATCATTATACCTGTTTTACCAAACTACAAGTTCCATGACAAAAGCGACCAGGTATGCTTTGGTAACCATTATATTCCCAGTGACAGGAAGAATTAAATTCTTTTCTCGTTCCAAAGAGAAGTTTTTCTGCATTGTTGTGCACATGGCAGAAAATGGCTATCCAATCCATAGAACAACACCTTGCCACTCTAGACTGCCAATTGATCAGCATTCCAATGATCTGTTTCCAAAGTCTTAGAGGGAAAATCTGATTGGCTAAACCTGGATATGGTCTATCAGTGATCTAATCATAGTTTACTGGAAGAGCTATGTTAAGCAGAGTCAACATGGCTTCAGAGATATCTCTGTGTATAGGAGGAATTTTCAGTCAAGTGGATGTGGACTGAGCTGACATTCTAAAAAGCAGCTACTGTAGTCACTATAGTTGACTACTCTTCTGTGTTCTTAATCAAGAACCCTGTGCTCAAAATTATCTTCAGAGCGCATACAAGAGAATGATTTCTACAAGGGGGTTTCTTAAGGAAGAAGAGGGTGGTGACCAAGTAATTCTTACTCTGACCTCTGGAGTTTTGCCTTTCCTTAGGCACTCTTACTTTGATTACCACTGCTACTTCATTCTAATCTTTTGGAAGTAGGGGTGGGCTTTTTCTTCTAACATGGAAAACAACAACAACGAAAGGAAAACAAAACAAAACAAAACTCTTGTATTGATTCTCCATCATACTGTAGGGACACGTTTGAATTGAACAGTTTACAAATATTAAGGACAAGCAAAAGGGAAATAAACAACGGAAGGCAATAAAAATGTGACTCACAAAATAAAGATTTCTGGCCCTTTCCCTGGACATATGGTTCCTGTCTCATTTCACTTGAAATTTAAGGAAAAAGAGGGCCCATATTATCTGAATATCTGTTTCAAAAGCACAGAAAATGAAAAAAAAAAAAAGTTGTTAGCTTTTCTAGAATTTTTCCTGTAACATCCCATCTTTAAGAAAAAAAGATAACACTTTCTATTTATTTCTAGATTTTTGGTCATTTCTACTTCTTAAAGACCTTTAAAATATTTATGAAAAATTTAAAAAGGTACCAGCATAACTAGTGATACAATCCAGATATTTTTAAGGACTTTGCCCTCTTAAATGGACACTAAAAAAACTCTTCTTTTTTTTTTATTGTTAATGTAAATTACTTCTGAACTATATTTAAGATTCTCTAAACACATTTGTAAATAGGGGCCCAATACAACCCATCTGAATCAACCTGATATGTTTCCATTAAAACTTTTTCAAGTGTGCTTCAGTCTGATAAGTATGATCCATGTCCTATTACGTTTTTTTCCCCCTGAACAGAGAATGTGACCTGGGTAGTAAATTTTAGCTTAAATGAAACTAATTTGCTGTTTAAATCATCACATATTTTAGATTATCAAGTAGTTTTAATATTGTTGGCCTCCCTTTTGTACTACTTTCCCTAGCACAGCTAATCTCAGAAATAATTCCTTAACTTTAAAAACTTTGTATATTTGTTGCTTAAATTTACATGTGAAATGTAAAATTAATATTCCTTATCAACAGTGGTGTGCACCTATAGTCCCAGCTGTTTTGAAGGATGAGTCAGGAGGATCCCTTGTGCCCAGGAATTTGAGGTTGCAGTGAGCTATGATCATGCCACTGCAGTCAAGCCTGGGCAAAAGAGCGAGACTGTCTCAAAAAAATTTTTTTTAATTATTAACACTTTTAACATTAGAAGTGTGTAACATTTAAAGTCTTTTTCTACGGTAAAAATTTAATGCTTTCAGTTTAATATCAATTTAAAGTTATTATAGTGGCATGGTGAAGGTTAAAACAAGCATGGATGGCAATTAGGAGACTTAGGTAATAGTCCCCATCTCTGCCACTAAGTAATACTGCTGTCTTGCTTCTAATTAGCTAAGGAAACTATTAATTTTTTTTCCTACCTACAATAGGAGTTAAGCTAGATATTTCAAGTCACTTCTAGTTCTAAAATTACATGATGCTGAAATGTGAACATTTATATCTAAATTAATTTTTACAAAGACTGCTCATTGACTGTATTTCTAAGCCCTTGCACAGTTAACTCTTAGTTCCACCATTATTAATCACCTTCTATGTGCATGTCAGCCATCTCAAATCCATTCTGCAGTAAGCCTTGACAAAAATAAATTTGTACGCCAGGCACGGTGGCTCACACCTGTAATCCCAGCACTCTGGGAGGCCGAGGCAGGAGGGTCACGAGGTCAAAAGATCGATACCAACCTGGCCAACATGGTGAAACCCGTCTCTACTAAAAATACAAAAGTTAGCCAGGAGTGTTGGCATGCGCCTGTGGTCCCAGCTACTCAGGAGGCTGGGGCAGGAGAATCACTTGAACCTGGGAGGCGGAGGTTGCAGTGAGCTGAGATGGCACCACTGCACTCCAGCCTGGTGACACAGCGAGACTCTGTCTCAAAAATAAATAAATAAATAAATCTGTGTGCATTCAATGCCCCTGAATTGTACACTTATGGTTATAATAAATTTGATTATGCATTTTACCATAATAAAACATTATACACACACACACACAAATGCATGCAGTGCTCCCCTAACACTGTATCTATTACTTAAAATGGCATTATTGTTGTTCGGACATAAGTTGGCTTCCCCAAAGAATTCTCCAGTCACCCCAAGGATAAGTACCTTTTTTTTTTTTTTTTTGAGGCAGTGTCTCACTCTTACTGCAACCTCTACCTCCTGGGTTCAAGCAATTCCCCTGCCTCAGCCTCCCGAGTAGCTGGGATTACAGGCGCACACCACCACGCCCAGCTAGTTTTTGTATTCTTAGTAGAGACAGTTTCACCAAGTTGGCCAGGCTGGTCTCGAACTCCCGACCTCAGATGATCGGCCAGCCTTGGCCTTCCAAAGTGCTGGGATTAAAGGCGTGAACCACTGCGCCTGGCCGGATAAGAACTCCTAATCCTTTCTGTAACTCCAAAGCCTAGGAAACCATCTGGCTTTTAGTTACCAGTAAAGGTAATCATATCCCGGCCTTTCCAAGTGTTCTTTCATGTATTTAATTATCATCTTCAACCAAGGCAATATACTAGACACATAAATAGTTGTAAGACTTGTGAAGTACACACCAGAAAAATTCTTTATCACACATATGATAAGTTAGAGTTCAGAAACTGTGGCCACAGAACTCCAGATCTTCAATACATGTTTGCTGAATTGATGTATGAGACTTGAGAAGGCAAAAGGATAGACGTTAAGTCCTGGCATCAGGCCAACAGAGTTACATGGAGCGTGTGAGAAGTACATAATGTTACACTTCCTAAGAAATATGTCAACGAATGCCCTTTCTAAGTAGCAACGTACCTAAATAACCCTTACCACTCTCTCCAGGTAGTTTTAACAAAGGTATTGTACCGCAGCTTCAAAAAATCAAAAGTTACGCGTTTACCTATCCATTCACTGCTCAGACAAAACAAAAACAAAAGCTACCTGTAGGAGACTTCGAAATTCCTTAATACCATAGTGTCATTAAAAACAAACACCTAGATTTACTTTACTTAGCTATATTTTACTAAGTAGTCAGGTTAGCTTTAATGCTTACCACGCCAAGGAAAGGTGGCTTTTTTCCTTTCCCGAGGGTAATCCCGTCCCACCTCCCCCTCCCTTAAATAAAGTTAAAACAACCCAAAAAAACCCAGCTAATTCTCAGCTCTGTACAGTTCTCCAGTACAAGCAACAGTAGTTCAACCTCAAGAAAAAGACATCTTAAAGGCCGTACATTAAAAGTTGCCAGGGATCCAGCCGCTTACATTTCATGAAAAGTACAGACCATACCCGTTTAGCTAGCTGTGCACCTTAACTGGTCGAGAAGGCGCGCTGGGGGCTGGGTTTGAGGGTGAGCAAAAGGCAAGATTATTAGTTTGGGTTGACGTGGGGGTCAAGGGGAGAGCAGAGGAATAATCTGTAAGATCTGAGTCCCGAAGCTCTTTGGGTTATGGAGGTTAGAAAAGGGCCTGTTAAAGTTAGGCCCAAGTTTCGGCAAGGTGGAACTGGGAAAAAAAAAAAAGAAAGAAAAAAAAAACGAAACCCGAAAAAACAACAGCGAGCAGGCTCCCGAGTTCTAGCGTTCACAGTGAAGCCGTTAAACGCAGCAGGAAAGTAGGCGTGTGTTTTCTTCCTCTTCCCGCCTCCCCAGAGACTCGAGCCCAGTCCTTTCCCCTCATTTTCACCCCAGCCGAGTCCAATGGCTGCCCTCGCCGCGGAGTCGGGTCGGAAGACGCCCCGCCCCCTCGCCGCGTTCGCCCTAGGGAACCCCTCCGCCCCACCTTCCCTGCCCGATGAGGGGCAGTGGCTGCCGCCGTCACGTGTGCTGGCAGCCGCCAAGTGAGGCCGCTTTTGCGACGCGGTGACAGCCAAATGGTGCGACAGGAGGAGCTGCAGCCGCGGCCGCAGCGCCCGCACGGAGAGGCTTGAGGCGGCTCCTGGCGTCGCCCAGAGGGAGCGACTAGACGAACAGTCCGGTGAGGGCGGCGAGAGGAAGCCCGCTACGAGTGCCCTAGCTCCCCGCCGCTCTCGATGAACCGGACGGAATAAGCCGCGCCTCCAGCAGGGGCTGCGCCTCCATGAATCCCTAGTTGTTTTTTTTTTTTTCTTTCTCTCCCCTCTCCTCACCCCCACCCCGAGCCCCGTCCCGCCTTCTCCCTTCGCCAGAGGCGGCCGCGTCCAGGTGCGGAGTCCATACCGGAGCGCAATGGCGTCCAACCCCGAACGGGGGGAGATTCTGCTCACGGAACTGCAGGTAAGGGCCGCGGCCCTGGTGAGAGGCGCTGGCGGAGGAGACAGGGAGAGAGCCCCGCGCGGCGTCGGGGACCGAGGAAAGCCCTGCGGCCGCCGCGCCCCTAGCCCGCTAAGTGCGGAAACTCCGGGATGTCACTCGGGAAATGCTTCCCTCGGGGAACCGCTTCCCTGGGGAGCCGGACCCTCTCCCCCGCCAAAGCCCTGGCCTGCCACCGCTTTGGTTTGATTCTGCCTACCAGAGGGGACCCCATCTCTGCAGCCCTGCTGCAGCGGGAGCCTGCTCTCGCCTGGTCCCCGGAGAGGCCGGCCCGTCGCCCCCTCCCTCGGTGTCAGAGCTACCCGCGAACGCCCCTGTTGCCCCCTCCCTTCGCGCGGCCGGGCCCCGCCCCGCCTTTCCTCCGTACACCGCTCCTTAAACTCCTTTGAATGACTCCCAAGCTGTTTTCTTGTCCCTCCCCCTCCCCTCAGACTCCGCACAAAGAGCGCCCCCATAACTTCCAGCCCCTAGACAAGTTTTTTTAAAAAACGAGTCTCACCAAATGTTTGCTTCACTTCAGCAGCCCTCTTCAGGTGACAGAGTTTCTTTCCTCTATTTTGAGGGTTATCTTTTTCTTTTCTTTTCCTTTCTTTTTTTTTTTTTAACCGAGTGATAAATACAGGGTGCCTTTCTCTGCTACCCCTGCCCAGATCCGGGAGCTCAGATGCTGATGCTTTTCAGACTTTCATTTTCCCTCTCATTTGAGCACCAGAGAAAGAGCTAATAAGTTGTTTACTAATGAGAAAGCAGTCGACTAAGGGAAAACATTGGGCACCACATGTCTGCAAAAGATGAGAGCAAAGTAGATCGCTTAGTTAAGTCATGTCGAGTAGCAATGTTATTTCCCATTTCCAGATAAATATTTGATAATGTAGGCACGATTTTCTTTAGATCTCTATGGTGTACATGGGGACTTAAGCTACCCTGTCGGGTTTTTCATTACTTGGGAGTGTTCCAGAGATGTTTGTTTTTTGACTTAAAAGTTATTTTGCTTTATTTTAATATAGTTATCTTTTAGCTACTCAAAGATTGTAGATGGGAATTAGGAGAAAAAAATAGCATGCCTGCATTTCTTTTTGTGTGTTGGACAGTTAATTTTTTTTAAAAAAAAGACTAAATCAAGAAATTCTGAAGAGTTGATGTCAAAATTAAGTATTGCAACTGCATCTAAATTTCTTGTTTAAATATACTTTTTAAGAAATCTCTTTATAAGTTTGGTTTCTTGTGCAGTCAGACGTAAGCTTGAAAACTTTGGTATAATGGTTGATATTTCCTCCACAAAAATAGAGACTTTAACAATGTATATCAATGCAGTGTTGCACATTTAGAATCCTTTGGTAATGCAAAGCTGAATTTCATATAATTGAAAATGTTGCTATGTAGTATTTTAATTACAGTTAGCCTTTTATAAGCAGATCTTACAGCATACCACATTTGCTAAATGAATGGAATTTACTATTTTATTAATAGTAAATAATTTACATGAGCTTTTAAAATGAAGATGATGTGAGGCAAGTCAGAAATACTTTACATTGCCTGGTCTTGAACCATGAAAAACATACTTTGGTTTTGATTGAGAAAGATGATAGGGTCACTTTTCTTTTGAATTGAGCAGTGTTAGAGTTACAATATATTTGGCATTGGTACTTGTATGTTATAGAAAGTTGGCATAAAAGACACCTACTTTGGCACTGGAACTGAAAATATATTTTCATGTGTATTAATAACATTTAGGATCTTTTAATTAATAAGATCAATTTTGATAATAACAAGGAAGCAAGCAAAGAAGGAAGAAATTTTAAATATGATGACCTAGAAATACGACCAAAATAGAGGAATACCTAAAGTTAAGCTTCTAGATAAACTGAAATATAACCCCTTCCAGAAAAAGAATAGTTTTTATTAAGTGTTACCTTATAGGTTGTCATATATCCAAGTCATTTTCTTGGTTTATTTGACTCCCAGTTTTGATAAAAGTTATTGCATTTAAACTTTATCGTGTTTATTAAAATGTTTGCGACTATTACTTATATCAACACTTAAAGATAAATAGTCATAAAGTTTGCTTCTCCAAATATTTCCATCTATTCAGACTTTTTATTTCATTGGGTCCTGAAACTTAGTGTACAGCAACCAAGTATTTATTAAACTTTTGTTTCAAGATTCACTTTTTTAAAAAGCTTCTAAATTGTTTGAATTTAGACTGAAATACTGTTTAATATGAAGTTCTTAATTCTTCTCTGCCATACAGATTTTAAGTATTTAAGAAGTTTTGTAGCCAGTTTTAAGATGTATTTAATGGTTAAAACTGTTACTTTGCTATGTATCCTGTCTCAGGAATACTTGTTTACTCTGAAAGTTACATATTACAACCTGGCTTTAATAAAATTGATATTTATTTAGAAATATATCCAGCTTTTCATTATTTTTTCAAATTGTAGAATTTGAAATACTCCACTGCTTGAGCTGGAATTGGCTTTTGGTCATGGAAAGGCAAAGTAAGAAAATCTGAAACTACAGTATTCTGTCTTGTTAATTACTGTAATAGCATGGAGTAATGTTTTTAAGTATTGTTAGTAATTCAGGAGGCTTATTCAACAAGGAAGCATTAATAAACTATGTAAACTTTGGTGGCTAGAGGTTTCAAGGTATAAGGAAGAATATTTACTGTAGTAAAAATAAAAATCGGCTGTTTAAAATGGCCAATTTCTAATTTTTATCTCATAACTAATTTGTTGTGTTGTATTCTCTTTTTTTATTTGAAGTATAGCAGAAAACAGACATTTTTGCAATGCCAAAGAAACTAAAGTCTATTTCCAAGAAACCTGGATTAATGAAAACTGTAAAGAATCTCAGAATGAAAGTGTTGGCTACAATGGTAATTTTGTAGAATGCAGACCAAATATTGAGCAGTGTACTAACAAAGCTACCTTGTTGATTATTGGAGATTCATTTTCTTCATCAAAATGCCCAATAAAGTGTTGGTCTGGGAATCTTAAATTCCATTCTCAGCAGATTTTATTTAGATAGAGGTAACTTGCTCAAGTGGAAAGTTGAGATAGTTACCCTTAAATTACAGGGGTTAATTTCACCAAACAGTTATGTAGTATCTACCAAAGCTATATTGGAGGATATAAAGATGACAAGATAGGTTTTTGCTTTCCAGAAGAGAGTATAGATAATTGTACTAGAAGATAATTATAAGAGACTACAAATAACATTTTAAAAATTATTTGCTATATATCAGACATTGTACTTAGTGTCCTATACACCTTATTTGATCTTCACAACAATCCAATAAGGTAGGTGTTATTTCCATGTTGTGGATCAGGAAACAAGTTCAAGAATGTTAAGGAAATTGCTCATGGTTACATTGTGTGTCTGAGTTTGAACCCAGGTCTGTATGTTTCCCACTACACTATTCTTTTTTTTTTTTCTGGAGACGGAGTCTCGCACTGTCACCCAGGCTAGAGTGCAGTGGTGTGATCTCTGCTCACTGCAATCTCCACCTCCCAGGTTCAAGCGATTCTCCTGCCTCAGCCTCCCAAGTAGCTGGGATTACAGGCACCTGCCACCACACCCGGCTAATTTTTTGTATTTTTAGTAGAGACGGGGTTTCATTATGTTGGCCAGGCTGGTCTTGAACTCCTGACCTCGTGATTCGCTTGCCTCGGCCTCCCAAAGTGCTGGGATTACAGGTGTGAGCCACCATGCCCGGCGCCACTACACCATTATTTAAATTGCCACAGTTCTGGGGAACTATAAATGTTTTGCATCTAATGTTATAGTTGTATGAACTTTCTACAAATTGGCCAAAAACGTAATTAACCAACATTAACTTTACACTACTTGTTAGCTCCGTCTGTAACAAGGAAAAATGATTTCTACATTCCACTTGGTAGTCTATAATTTAGCAGTGTTTTATTATTGTAGATACAGTCTAATATTTCACAAAGAATAATAGTACAAATAATCTTTTTACAGGGTTTCTTCATTAAGAATTACTGTTTCTAATGAAAGGTGTCACATGCTTGCCCAAAACTTCCCAAAAGATTTAACATTACTCTGTAGACTGTGCTTTGCTTTAAAATTTTATACTCACATGTAACCTAGCTCTGTGTTTGACACTTAGTAGGTGCGCAATACATTGATGAGAATGCTCCATTTGTCACGTAGGAGGAGGGATGTCTAGGTTATTTTAAGAGAAGTTCATTATAATCTTTGACATATGAAATTACGTAGTTTTCTTTAATTTACATTTCTAATCCCTTCTCCCAAAAATATTCTCTTTAAAAGTACAAAAGGGATTTCTATAGTAGTTACATCATTCTTCCATATAGCACACTGGTAGTTTACTCATTTAATGGAAAATGAGAAGACGGCATCTAATTTTGCAGTGACACTGGAAAGTGGAAGGTCTGAGTTGGGAGGATTAAAATTTTAGGGTGGTTTGGGGGTTGGTGGTATGAGAAGGTAAACAGGGTAGTTAAGACAGACTTTACATTGTTTTCAAATTAGAAATGTAATGCACATGTATTACAGAAAATCCAGAAAATGTGGAAAAGCACAAAAGAAAATAAAAGTTGCTCATAGTTCTGTCACTTAGAGACTGACAGACTTTTTCCACCTAAAAGTCCCATGGCTGTAGAGTCCATTTTTTCTTTTTTTTCTTTATCTCATTTTACTTACTAGAATTTTGAAGAAAAATGAAGCTCAGAGAATTTTAAGATAGAAATCACAGTAGGTTAAAAACTTTTTTCTTGCCACTGGTTCTAGATGAGTGGATCTAATTAGCTTTTATTGCCTTTTTTAATCTCAAAATATTTCAATTATGAGTCACGGCTTTATTAAGAAGAAAAGTGCAGGCTGGGCATAGTGGCTCACACCTGTAATTCCAGTGCTTTGGGAGGCTGAGACAGGCGGATCACCTGAGGTCAGGAGTTCGAGACTAGCCTGGCCAACTTGGTGAAACCCTGTCTCTACTAAAAATACAAAAATTAGCCAGGTGTGGTGATGTGTGCCTGTAATCCCAACTACTTGGGAGGCTGAGGCACAAGAATTGCTTGAACTCAGGAGGCGGAGGTTGCAGTGAGCTGAGATCACGCAACTGCACTCCAGCCTTGGTGACAGAGTGAGAACCTGTCTCAAAGAAAAGTGCAGTAGTATGGATTTAGTAATAGACAGTAATGAAGTATAGCAACAATTTCTTTGAATAATATAGCAATACAGTGTGTTTTTCCGGCTTAGGTTTGATTGTTGCTGCTCTTATAGACTACCACAATGTTTGTAATTTGCAGCGCATACTTTGCTGAATTAAACATACTAAATAACTTTCCAAATATTTCTTGACTACCAAGATAAAAGTCTGTGTTAAAACTAGTGTTACTAAATGATGGCTCTAAAATGGATTTTTTTGTCATCTCTCATTAGTGTAATAGAGATTAGGTCTAGTATCATGCAATTCCTACCATTCACATAGTGTTGAAATAGGGACAAGTAGGGGCACCTTTTAGACATCATCTCTTTATCCCAGAGCTTAGCATCTGATTCCTTGGGCTCTCTTATTTCTGCTTTTTGAATTTGGCAATGGTAAATTTTCATGCCATTCATCAGAAGCATGTTTACTTTTAAACAAATAAAGTAGTAGTTTGTAAACATCACCTAAAATAATGTTACTTTCATACCATAAATGGTATTTGAATAAAACAGTTAATTCTACATTATTCCCTCATAAAATATACTGTGCTGATAATTGTCAAATGTCTATATTATTTCAAAAGCCAATTTTACTCTACAGTATATGACATTTAATATGATCAACTTTTGATATACAGCAGAGTTCAAACTTGACAGCAAAGTTGAAAACTAGTTAAAAGCTTTAAAAAGATTTAAAATTTAGAGTGGGAAAAATATACTAATGAAAAAGTAATTCCTTAATGAAACAGAAATAGAGAATCTTTATCTTGATGCATGTCTAGCTTGTCTTAATTTTATCTGATGAAATCTTGTTTGAAACTAGCTCTATTATCATACTTGGTTTTTTTTTGCAATCACAAAAATGAAATTTGTGTAACATTATATACATAAATATTGCCTGTAAAAAATGAAGATCAAGAAAGCATGGGACAGTGTACTTGATGACAGTAAACACCTTAAATGTGAAGGTAGTGTTGAAGTGCCTCATAAAGATGAGTGGATATACAAGACTTACATAATATTGTTAGGATTTATCTCTTTTAGAAATTTGTCAGTGACTTATCAAATTGGTGAAAGTTTTACTGCCCTGGCTCATAAGTACCTTAATTTAATGGAATGTAGTTATGACAAAATTTGGAATTTATTTTTGATTATAGAAGACATACCACACAATACATGTGCTGAGAGTTTTTTATTTATTTTATTTTTATTTTTATTTTTGAGACAGGATCTCGTTCTGTCACCCAGCTTGAAGTGCAGTGACGTGATCTCGGCTCACTGCAGCCTCTGCCTCCTGGGCTCAAGTGATTCGCCCATCTCAGCCTCCCAAGTAGCTGGTACTATAGGTGTGAGCCATCATGCATGGTTGATTTTTATATTTTTTTGGAGAGACGGGGTTTTGCCATGTTGCCCGGGTTGGTTTTGAACTGCTGGACTCAAGCAGTCCACCTGCCTTGGCCTCCCAAAGTGCTAGGATTACAGATGTGAGCGTCTGTGCCTGGCCTGAGTATCATATATTTTACACATTAATCATACTGTTTTCCCTTCCCTGTAGTTGCTACCTTAGGGATTCTTTAAGGAGGTGTTTGTTCTCCATTTCAGAATTTTCATTGAACAAATTTTATGCAACTTTTGGATTTTTAAAAAATTTGTTAAACATCAGGCACACTGCATTGGATTAATCACCTATCTGTCTGTCAATCATTTTAATAAGTACTCATGGACCACCACTCCCCCTCTCTCAAAACAAGCTAGGAACTTTAACCTACGTATAGTTTTCCTCTATTCTATCCGTCTATTTCCACCTTCTTGTCATCTAGGTCATCATTTTTGAGTCCTGTGTTCATTCTCTTCCTTATATAGTAGTCCCTCCTTATCCACGGTTTCAGTTACCCATGGTCAACTGTGGTCCAAAAATAGGTGAGTACAGTATAGTACTATAAGATATTTATAAGTACTAAGATACTTTGAGAGAAACCACACTCATAACTGTAATTACAGTATAGTTATAATTGTTCTATTTTATTATTAGTTATTGTTAATTGCTTACTGTGCCTAATTTATAAATTAAACTTTAGCATAAGTATGTATGTTAAAGGAAAAGTGTAAATAGAGTTTAGTACTGTTCGTGGTTTTAGGCATTTACTGAAGGTCTCTCGGTGGATAAAAGGAGACTACTGTGTATAGTTTAGTTGGACATATAAATCTAAACATCTTTTAGTTGTTTGTATAGAATTGTGAATATAATCTTTTTGAACTTGATTTTTCACCTGTTATAAATAAGATTTATCCACATTTTTGCATGTTGCTATAGTCATTATTTAAATTGCTATATAATATTTCATTGAGTAAAATATTCATTAACTCTACTTTGGTGGATATTTGGATATTTATCCACTCTCCCTTGTTGGGCAGTTATTTTCCATTTTTTGTTTTGTTTTGTTTGTAATTATAAGCAAAGATCCTATGGACAGTCTGCATGTTTCCTACTGTGCATGTGCCACAGTTCCTATTATATACCTAGAGGTAGCATTGCTGCCTCACAGGGTAGGTGAATGTTCAACTTAAGAGATGATGCAGAACTTTCAATATGGTTGCACCAATTTATATTCATATTAGCAATATATGAAATAAAAGATCCTTTGGTTATCCATCCTCTCCAACACTTGATATTCTCTTTTTAAGTTTTACAAATCATAAGGGTGTAAAATGTTGCCTTATTGTGGTCTTGATGCGCATTTTCCTGGTTATCACTGATGTAGAACACTTCTTTTTATGTTTGTCGGCCTTTTTACGTGGCTTCTTCAGTGAAATTCCTATTTATGTCTCTTGCCTATTTTTGTTTTTCTTACTAGTTTATAAGAGTTCTTTATATTGCTTATGTTAATCCTCTGTGTACATTGTGAATGTCTTCTTTCAGTTCCTAACTTTTTCGCTTTCTTTTATGGAGTTGTGTGGGAGGGACAGTTTTAAATGCCTCTACCTTCTTTGGCAAATATTTGGAATAATTTACATCGTTATCATCAACAGGCTTGTATTTAATATCTATTGTACATTTGGTATAGAAAGGGTAAAGTTATATTAATAGTTTATGGCCTGGGGATTTGTAAACTATCCAAATGAACAGCCATAGGAAGTTGTATAAAATATTGTATTGCTTCACACATGCTAGGCACCCAAATGCTAGGTTGATTTAGTTAATGAGTAAATTCAGAAGCAAAGAAATAGCAAAAATTATACATACACTTCATCAGTTGCTTATTTTCCAATTCCATACCTCTCTGTTGCAAACTACTTATTATTAGTCATTAATAATATTTTATTCTTTTGTTTAAAGGGCAGTATATTCCGTAAGATTATGTGAGTCAGTTATTTAGGTATTTTCATAGCTTGCCATTAAAATGCTGGAGTTGATCAGATTTAATACTGGATATAAAGCAAAATATTAATCTTCTGAACAGTTTACTAGTTCAGAAGTTTACAAACTCGGAATCCTAAATACAGTTTTTGTCATTGCTGTGCATCTTTTGATAAAAAAAATTCTTAAGTCAAATTTGTCCATTGTTTATCATACAGTAAGTCCTCACTTAATGTCATTGACGGGTTCTTGGAAACTGACTTTAAGCAAAATAACTTATAATGAAACCAGTTTCTTTTTTCTCATCAGTGTTCTAAGGAAATGATATTATAAACAATGAAACATTAGCCAGAAGTGGTGATGCACACCTGTAGTCCCAGCTACTTTGGAGGTGGAGGTGAGAGAATGACTTGAGCCCAAGAGTTAAGGCTGCAGTGAGCTGGAATCGTGTCATTGCACTCTAACCTGGGCAGCATAGTGAGACCCTGTCTCAAAAAAAGAAAGAAAAGAAATGATATTGAGCGAAACAGCATTATTAAAGGACCTGAAGCACATTGTTTTTCTTAAAGTCTCAGTTCCAAGAACCTATCAGCAGTGTTAAGTGAGGACTTACTGTAATTGCTTTTCATGCCCTTTTAAATAAATTATTCCCTATCCTGGGTTTAAAAGATAGCTACCCAAGTTTGCTCCTAAGAATCTTGCAGTTTTATTTTTTAGATTTAAGTCAGTTTATCTGGATTTGTTGTTTTTTAATAGACTTCATATTTTAAAGCAGTTTTAGGTCCACAGCAAAATCGAGAGGAAGGTCTAGAGATTTCTCAAATAACTGCGTCCCTACATATGTACATATGCATTATCGACATCCTCCACAAGAGTACATTTGTTGCAGTTGATGAACCTATATTGACACATCATCATCATCCAGAGCCCAGAGTGCACACATCTTGGTGTTGTGCATTCTATGGGTTTGTACAAATGTATAATGACATGTATCCAGCATTATAGTATACAGAATAGTGTCCCTGCACTAAGCTTATTCTCTGTGTTCTACCTATTCATCCTTCCCTCTCCTCCATCCCCTGGCAACCACTGATCTTTTTACAGTTTCCATAGTTGTGCGTTTGGGAAAATCTCATGCGGTTGGAATCATACAGTGTGTAGCCATTTTACATGGGTTTCTTTCACTTAGAAATAAGCATTTAATTTTCCTCCATGTCTTTTCATAGCTTGATAGCTTATTTCTTTTTAGTACTGAATAATATCCCATTGTCTGTATGTACCTTAGTTTATTCATTCACCTACTGAAGGACATCTTGGTTGCTTCTGTTTTGGCAGTTATGAATAAAATGCTATAGACATCCTATGCAAGTTTTTGTGTGGATGCAACTTTTCAACTCCTTTGGTTAAATACCAGGGTGTCCAATTGTATGGTAAGAATATATTTAGATTTGTAAGAAACTCCCAAACTGCCCTCCAGAGTGCCCGAACTATTTTGTATTCCTACCAACAATAAGAGTTTTTGTTGTTCCACACCATCTCCAGTATTTGGTGTTGTCAGTTTTCTGGATTTTGGTCATTCTAATAAGTGTATCATGGTATCTCATTTCTGTTTATTTAATAGCATTGATTTTTGAATATGGAGATAGGTCTGAGTTATTTTAATGTTTAAAAACATTTTGAAGGCCAAGGCGGGCAGATCATGAGGTCAGGAGATCGAGAGATCACAGTGAAACCCCGTCTGTACTAAAAATACAAAAAATTAGCCGGGCGTGGTGGCGGGCGCCTGTAGTCCCAGCTATTCTGGAGGCTGAGGCAGGAGAATGGCGTGAACCCGGGAGGCAGAGCTTGCAGTGAGCCGAGATTGCGCCACTGCACTCCAGCCTGGGCGACAGAGCGAGACTCCATCTCAAAAAAAAAAAAATTTTGAAATGTCTGTCAGACGTCTTTATAATGCAAATTTAAAATAGAGCACTTTTCAGCTTTTAGGATAGAAACATCTACACATAGCTTTATTAGCCTAACTCTAACTTGCAAAAATTAATCAAATATGATTAATTAAAATTAATTAAAATTAATCATTTGATTAATCAAATTTGATAAATTCTTGCCAGTTAGAGTTACATCATGCTAGGTTATGTATTGAACTATACCTGAACTTATCCTTACCTAGCTCAGTAATACCTCACTTTTTCCTTATTATATCAATTTGTGGTTCTTTTGTTTTTTTATCTCCTGAAGCTTTGGGTTAGTAAAGGTCATCCTTGTCTTAACTCTTATTGACACCCATCCCATTCCCCAGTTGTGGCTCAAACTTTTTATGTTGTTTTCTGTCATCCAACCTACTCCTGCTCTTTTGTTCTCAGCATATCACTCATCTCTATGTAGTGATACGTGCTGTTCAACCACGTGAGTTTCCTCAAGTTTTCTTGTCTTTACTTTCAGATTTCTTGGAATGTTAGCCATCCTTTTTATTTCTACTGAATTTTAAGGAAAAATTGCTTCTTCTTGGTAAGGTTATACTTTCCTGGGCTTTTGCTTCCTCTGGAATATCATGTTTTACTCTTTTGCAGGGTGGGGCTTTGCATTATCCACTGGCTCTTGGCTTAAAAATAAGTTAACGTCTCTCATGTTTTTATTATACTCTTTAATACTGTTGTACCCTCAAATTTCTTTCTTTTTTAAAGAAATTTCTTAGATGCCTTGTCTACCGTTTATTTAGCTTACTCATATATGACTTCTGTCTCAGTTATTCTGTTGAAGTGGTTTTCTTAAAGGTATCATGACATTCTGTTGCTTCTAGTCTTTAGACGCAATTGATACTGCTCCAGCTTCCTGAAACTATTGTTAATTAAGCTTTGAGGACCCTGCACTATATTGGTTACTTTTCTTTCATCATACCTGCCTCTGTTTGTTACTACTGCTTTTGTTTGGTAACTCCTTTTCTACCTTAAATGTTCCACCTATTTGTAGCCTATTTTCCCATTAATTTATCCTTCAGATTAACCACCGGAATCTGATTAACCGCCAAAACCTTGTTTAGTAACAGTTGCAGAAAATAGAAACCCACTTAAATTAGCTTAAGCAGAAATTGGATTTTTTGAAAAGCTATGGGGTTGTATCACTTAAGGGTAAGATGTATAGCCAGATCCCATGAGTACTAAACAGGAAACTGGATGTTTTCTTTCTAGGGCTACATGTTCTCTTTTCTTTAAGTATGTGTACTGCTTTATGTCTCTGTATACTGGTTCTCTTTGCTCTCCTTGCCTGTGGTCTCCAAGTTGCACTCCTAACTTCTAAATTTACATTAACTACAAGTTCATTGCACATAGACCACAGCTGACTGACTGAGTTGCTATATGTCACAATTCTAAATTCTTAGATGAGAAAATCTGAGTGGCCTTAGTCAGTGGAACATGTGTCCCTGATCCAGCTAACTATGGCAGTGGAGGGATGAGATTCTCTAGTATCAATATGGCTTCAAGAAACCTCTTGTGAGGTTGGGACAGACTATTTTCTGAAAAGGGATTCTAGGTTGAGAATTCTAGGGATTCTCCTGCTTAAATGTTTCAGTTACTTTCCATCGATTATAGAATAAAATATATTTATACTTTTCATCATCTGACCCCCATTTTTTCTGATTTTTCTCCCTATTTATCTTACACTCTGGAATATTAAAACTATTTACATTTCTTTGAACCACACTCCCTATCTTTGCATATGCTGATTCTGGTTTTAAGAATACTAATATTGCTTGTCTGTCTGAACAGCATTTGACAAATTGGACAATCCTTAAAATTCTGATAAGAAAATCATATTCATTGACTATATGAATATATTTATATCTAATAAAAGTTTTACTTAAGATATATTTTTGATTAATAAATTTAGGGAATTGGTCATGAAGCATTTTGATACATTTGCAAATTAGTCTCTGATTTTACAGCTCCTGTTATTGAATAATATATCACTTAATATGGTAATTGTTACATGTCTCTACTACTTTCAAGACAGGAACTAGGTCTTACTCCTCTTTATGTCGCTAGCAACTGACATATAGGTTATGCTTAATAAATGCTTGAATAAATAAATGAACAGATTTTAAAAAACATTATATGACCAATCTGCCAGACCTGACTTCTCTAAATTTCCAAAAGCTATTCTTCCCCTGGCTGCTAGAAATCTGCTAGTTACTTTTATTTGACTGTTGCTTCAGTCTCTTCAGTTGTTTCTTCTACTTCTGTATCTTGAGTTCATTCATTACTTTGCCATTGTTTAAGTGTGGGCCTTCATTATCATTTGGATGATTATAATATCTTGATATTTTACCTCCACCTCTTTTGCCTTGTTCTGCTGTTATTTAAACTATGTACAATTGCTAGATTCAGAATTTGTCCTTAGCATTCAGTGACTCCTTAATGCCTGTGGGATATAGTCCTAATTCCTTAGCTAGGCAATCCAAGCTGTCATTGTTGTAGCCCCAAAATGCTTTTCATTCTTAAGTCTTACTCATGTAAGCAGCTTATTTTTTCAGGCATACTATGATTAGTGATTTTTCCTCACCTGTATTTTTACTACATTCTGTCAGCTGGAATACTTCAAGGCCAAATTCAAATTTTGCATATTTATTTTTTTCCTTATTTTCCCCTACTCATGTTCAGTCTCTCCTCAAAACTTAAGAATATTTTCTATCTCATGACATTTATTATATATTGCATTGTACTGTAGTTGTTTGTATCCTACTTCATTTTCTCTTCTAGGCTTAATGCTTAAAATCTTTGAAGGAAAGGACTATATTTTTAATCTTCATCATTTACCCCTTTAGCCCTTTAGTCCTGAAGAAAGTAGCTTGCACATAGCAGTGTTGAGACTCAGAAAACAATACTCTACAATGAAGGTCTTAGAAGTAGTCTCAGAAACAAAAGGACTGTTTTATTTTTTAACCTTTTTTTGTCCTCTTGTCTCTCAGTTTTATTTTTCCTCCAAGGCTAGCCATATAAACTAGAATCCATCTTTTTAAAAGTGGGTCATAGGAACCAGAACCACCACCCCCCTTTTCTTTCTTCCCCAGCAGAAGCAAGCTTTATTTAGCACTGACCTTGACAGAGATTCACTCAAGGACCCCCCTGTACAATGAACGATGACTCATGCATAAACAATGTCCTCAACAAGTTTTACAGTAAACAAGAAAATATTCTTTATGGTTGTTTTTCAAAGCAATCTTTGATAAAAGCTAGCACATTAATGTTAGCACTTGGTGAAGTCAATTCTGGAAGGACCTAGACTTCGCCAAGTGCTTTGTTATATAATCTTTTAGAGGCATCAAAGACAGTATTAATAGGCGCTTACATTGCTTAACTTTTAAAAAATTTTTGAAAATAATCCATGTGTACATATGCACGGATAAATCAAAAGATACTGAAATGTATAAAATTAGAAGTAAAGACCACTTCCTTAGTACTTTCTCTTCAATTAGTCCTACTCCCCAGAAGTAGTCACATTGCCCTTTATTATTTCTGGAATTGACATTATAATTTTAAATTTTTGATTTATCAACTTTAGACCATATGCATTAACCTAGTGATTTATAGGTGACTTACAAAAGACATTTAACCAACTTCTGTTTTCCCTTCTTCATTTCCTAAATGTGTTAGTTACATTATTATTTTTAGTTTTTTTCTGGTAGTTTCCTTTACGACTATGTTTTGATTTGTAGAGCCATAGCATCTATTAACTCTGCACAAAAATGAGAGTTTCAGTACACTTCCACTTCTCACTTCCCTTGCACGGACTTTATTTATTGCATTGTATTGTTTTTACATTGACAAGGTTTATATTTCTATTATATTCTTTCCTTCCTTCCTTCTTTCCTGTTTCTCTCTTTCTTTTTCTCCCTGACCCCTCTTCTGCATAGTTCCTACAACATCTTTCTTAAACACTTTATGAACATAGTTGGATCACCTGGACTGTTTTCTATGTCTTTAAACTTACCTTCGTATTTCCTATTTCTTTAAATTTTCTCTGTTTTGGGAGATTGCCTTTATTTTTCTTTCGGCTCACTAACTTCAGATGTATATATTTCATTGTGCAGCCCATTCACTGCCTTTTTGCAAATGTATTTTTAATTATATAAGTATCTTGTTTTTTTTGCGTATAGGCTAGAATTATTTAATGTAATTTTAATTTTTTCCCCTTTTTTAAAAATTTCCAACTTTCAAGTTCTGGGGTGCGTGTGCAAGATGTGCAGGTTTGTTACATAGGTAAACATGTGCCATGGTGGTTTGCTGCGCAGATCATCCCATCACCTGGGTATTAAGCCCAGCATCCATTAGCTATTCTTCCTGATGCTCTCCCTGCTGTCATCCCCCACCCTCCAGTAGGCCCCATTGTGTGGTGTTTCCCTCGATGAGTCCATGTGTTCTCATCATTCAGCTCCCACTTAGAAGTGAGAACACAATGGTATTTGGTTTTTTGTTCTTGCTTTAGTTTGCTGAGAATAATGGCTTACAGCTCCATCCATGTCCCTGCAAAGGACATGATATTGTTCCTTTTATTTTTTTTTTAATTTTTTTATTTTTTATTTTTGAGATGGAGTCTCGCTCTGTAGTCGAGGCTAGAATGCAGTGGCGCAATCTTTGCTCACTGCAACCTCTGCCTCCTGGGTTCAAGTGATTCTCCTGCCTCAGCTTCCCGAGTAGCTAGGATTACAGGTATGCGCCACCACACCCAGCTAATTTTTGTATTTTTAGTAGAGACAGGGTTTCACTGTTTTGGCCAGGCTGGTCTTGAACTCCCAACCTCAGGTGATCCACCCACCTTGGCCTCCCAAAGTGCTGGAATTACAGGCATGAGCCACCGTGCCTGGCTAATCTCATTCCTTTTCATGGCTGCATAGTATTCCATAGTGTATATGTACTACATTATCTAGTCTGCCATTGATGGGCATTTAGGTGGATTCCATGTCTTTGCTATTGTGAATAGTGCTGCAGTGAACATACACATACATGTATCTTTGTAATAGAACCATTTATATTCCTTAGGGTATATACCCAGTAATGGGATTTCTGGTTGAATGATATTTCTGCCTCTAGGTCTTTGAGGAATTGCCACACTGTCTTCCACAATGCAGAACCCGTTTTAAAAAGTCAGTCATAAAGCCTAAGAATATTATTCTAACTTTTCCTTCTTCCTTTTTTTTGTGTAACACCAGTCATAAAAAAATTACCTGACCTACTTCGTTTGACCATAGTTCATAAGATCCCTATTTTAGAATCCTTCTCCATACCCAAAAGTAAGGAGTACATACTCAGAGAGGCACACAAACACAGAAGAATGAGACAGGTCTTGCATGGTTTCCCCACTCAGTCTATTAACATTAGATCATTCCCTTTTTGTCCAATCACGTTACGGCTGTCCATACTTTGTTGAACCTAAGCGTAAAAAAGGACAGCTTCCCCTGTATTTTTGGTTCTTCATTCTGAAGGCTTTCATGTCACGTAAAACTATGATCAAATAAATTTGTATGCCTTTTCTTCTATTTATCTGCCTCTTTTCAGTAGTTCTCAACAAACCTTCAGAGGGCAAAGGAAGTATTCACTTCTGTCTGACAGTGGCTGCTGATTAATGTTTGTTGAGTAAATAACAGTCTAATGTCTGAAAATCTTCCAATTTTAATTTGTTACTTAAATTTTTTCTGCTTTTATTTTGGTATTTATGAGGGAGCAGAACTGCAGTATATCATTTTTCCCTTGGTAGGTACATAATTTTATCACCTTAAGTCATATAATAATTGAATTCCCACATCTCAGACTGAGATTTTTTTTACCGGCAGAAGGAGCTGTCACCAGTCACAACAGAAGTAGATAATAATAGTAATGTTTATTATTAAAAACAAATGATAATGAATACATATTGATGTTACTTAATCGTTAAAACAACTCAGTTGAGGCCGGGTGCAGTGGCTCATGCCTGTAATCCCAGTACTTTGGGAGGCTGAGGCGGGTGGATCACCTGAGGTCAGGAGTTTGAGACCAGCCTGCCCAACATGGTGAAACCCTGTCTCTACTAAAAATACAAAAATTAGCCTGGCATGGAGGCAGGTGCCTATAATCCCAGCTACTCGGGATTGTATTTTCTTTACAGCTTGAGAGCTATACTTTTATTAAGCCCTTCTACTAGAGTTAGCCTTATCTTTTAAGGAAGTTAAAATAATTGTATACAGTTCCTTTTTTTGAGTTTTGTTTTTCTGGTTGCTCAATATGAGACTTGCTCAAGGCCAGCTCTATTGTCAGTGCCTATAAAACGAAACAAAACAAAAAACAGCAAAGCATTAAGTATTCTGACTTTATTTTGTCTAGCCTTGTGACTTCTTAAAAGAGCTCCAGTTTACTCTTCACAGTTAGATCCCATAAAGTAAAATGCCCAGCTATTGGGTATGGTGTGGTAATGTATAATAATATAATTTGATTTATTTTGGGATTACTGTAACTGGTTTTTGTTTTATTGTTTTCAATAAATCCGAGTTTCCATCTTTGAGAAGCATCTATTTCATTTATTGATGACTTTAGATTTCTAGTTAGCTACTATATCAGAAGTACTTATTTGACTGAATTATGAAAAGTCAAAGTTTAAATTACATTTGGATAGCAATAGAAGAGATGGCTCAAAGTCACACACAATTTCTAAGTGACTTGTGCAACAGTCATTGTAGGACTTTAGAGGAGGGAGTGGTCATTTGTTTTGTTTTGTTTTTTGTTTTTTTGAGACAGAGTCTCACTCTGTAGCCCAAGCTGGAATGCAGTGGCGCAATCCGGGCTCACTGCAACCTCCGCCTCCTGGGCTCAAGTGATTCTCCTGCCTCAGCCTCCCGAGTAGCTGGGAATACAGGCATGTGCCACCAAGCCCAGCTAATTTTTTGTATTTCAGTAGAGATAGGGTTTCACCATGTTGTCCAAGGTGGTCTCGAACTCTTGAGCCCAGGTTATCTGCTGTCCTTGGCCTCCCAAAGTGCTGGGATTACAGGCATGAGCAACCGTGCCCAGGTTGGGCACAGTTTTTATTTTAAGATAAGCTTAAAATGGGATAGTTGGAATTTTCTAAGAGGAAAAGATGTTCAAGGAGGGTAGGATAATAGGAACCAAATGCATGCAAGCAGAAAAATTAAAGAAAATTTTCTATTTTTCATTCAGAAGACTGCTCCAAATTATGTCCTTTTTATTTTTTCATACTTTGACAGGCAAATTATGTAATAACTAAAGTTGGCCTTGATATATTTGCTGGTTCTAAACTTTGGTCAGCAGCTTGAGAAGGAAGGCATTGTGTTATTTTTATTCTTTGAGATCAACAGTAAAAAAAGATGTAAAGAATGTAAACAAAGAATTGTTTTATTTTATCCCATATTCTTTTTTACTTGGAATAATGCAGATTTCACTACTTGAAAAAGTTTTTTAGTCAATTATGTGTTTTCTTTCTAGTATGATGAAAGATAATTTAAGTCAAGGAGCTATAGAGAAAAGTAAATGAAAACTTTCAACTGCACAGGTTTCATGAGATATTCTAGTTTCAGTTGAAAACTATTTTTCTGTGTGATAGTTTCACCTTTGGGAGAATTAGATTTAATTTGCAACATTGTGTTTGAAGTATTTCATATTCTGTTCCTTGCTTAAAGAGGTAAATTTCTTTATTGTTGTGGTCAGGGAAGTCTTTAGCTAATGATGCAGTGATATTTTGTGTAAACTTTTAATGAATTAAAATATACTAAAGTCCCTGTTAAAGTGTCTGCTTATGAGAGAGCATTTCCCTGATGATCTTATTATATAAAAGTAGCAGTACTTGTGATCCTACCTTCCCGCACTCCTTGTCCCTTTTCTCCTTCCTTGGTTTATTCTGTAGGTTCAATAAAATGCAGTAGTTATTTATGTAAATGATACTTAATGTGCGCTAAATAAATATCCTTGCCTAACCTTCATTCATGCTGAGCAACCAAAGTTTTTTTTTAATGTATAGTGAGAGATCCTTTTAAACTGGTGGTGATGGTTTTGTTTTATGTTAATTCTCTGGTAAATTTTCATATGTTACAATAAAGTCTAAAACGTGCAGATAGTTTTATGATGTAAAGCACGATCTTATTAATAGATTTTAATTACTATTAAACAACTTCCGTATATCAGACATGTGCTGGTTTTATTTTATAATCTTAAGAGATATTGGCTTATTTTTGTTATTTATATATTTTTAAAGTGAGGCTTAGAGAGGTAAAGTTACTTGCCTATGTTACAAAGCAAGTTAGCCCAACTGGCATTTGAAACTAGGTCTGTCTAAATCCAGGCTAATGATCTTTTCTGTGAGTATTTTGTATTTTAATATTTCAAATAATTATAGGGGTTTATTGATATATTTTGTAATAAGCATTTTCCTCTCATCACAGAATATGACTTGGTTTATAGAATGACATTTTACTATAGAGTTCTAGGAACAACATAATGTGGTAAAAAGCAAAGGCTACTTAGTCTATAGTTCCATGAAGTATTGAGATGGGAATATATCAGTTTAGCTTAATCTCATTTTACAGGTTAGAAAAATGAGACCCAGAGAGGTTTAAGTGATTTACTATCATTAAGTAGAGGAATTGATTCTAGAACCAAGATATCCTAACTCTAGTAGAAGATAATTTTTGATGAATATCCTTGATATTAGTAAAGGGAGGCTAATCCTGTATATAGAAAAAGAATAAGAGACTTAAAAAGGCTTTTTTTTTCAGCATCCTTATTTAAAGAGATATAATTGACATACAGTAAATTTCACACATTTAAAATATGCAATTTGATAAGCTTGACATGCTGATAACAACTGTGAAACTGTCAGTGCAAACAATATAATGAACATATTTACCACTCCAAAAGTTTCTTTGTGTCTCTTTCTAATCTCCTCCTGTCATTATTCCCTTTCTCCCAGTCCCTACTTTCTGTCACTATAGATGAATTTGCCTTTTGTGGAGTTTTTATACAAAAAGAATTATACAGTATGTACTTTGGAGGTGGGGGGCATGGCATCTTTCACTCAAATCATGATTTTGATATTTCACCATGCTGCAGTATGTATCGGTAGTTCAATCATTTTTGTTGTTGAGTAGTATTTCATTATATGGATATATAATACCATAATTTATCTTTACCTGTTGATGGATATTTGGGTTATCACCAGGTTTGAGATATTACAAATAAAGATGTTTTGAACATTTGTGTAGAAGTTTTAGTGGACTTACACTTTCATTATTCTTGTGTAAATTGCCTAAGAGAAAAATGGCTAAAACATATAGCAGGTGCATGTTTTGAGTTTTTAAAAAGCTACCAAATGATTTTCCAAAGTAGCTGTATCATTTTACTTTTCCACTAGTAGTGTTTAAGAGTTCTGGTTGTTAACCAGGTGCGGTGTTTTGCACATGTGGTTCCAGCCACTTGGGAAGCTGAGGCAGGATGATGAATTGAGCCTGGGAGGTCAAGGTTGTAGTGAGAGGTGATTGCCCCTGCACACTCCAGCCCAGGCAACAGCAAGACCCTGTCTCAAAAAAAAAAAAAAAAAAAAAAGAGTTCCAGTTGCTCTACATTCTTACCAATACTTGGTACAGTTAATAGTTTTAATTTTAGCTATTCTAGTAGATTTATAGCGACATCATACTGGTTTTAATTTGCATATTTGCATTTATTGAATGATGTTGAACCATCTTTTCATGATCGTATCTGCTATCTGTATATCCTCTTTGGTGAAGTATCTATTCAAATCTTTTGTCTATTTTTAAAAATTGAGTTATTTTCTTATTGAATGTTGAGAGTCTTTATATATTCTGAATTTAATACCTTTATCAGATGTGTGAGTTGCAAATATTTTCAATTCTGTAGCTTATCTTTTCTTTTCTTTTCTTTTTTTTTTTAAACAGTATCTTTCCAGGAGCAGAAGTTCTTAATTCTGATGGATCCAGTTTATCAACATTTTTCTTTTGCACACTGTGTTTTTGGTTTGGTATCCAAGATAAAGCTATTCTCCTGTTTTCTTCTAGAATTTTAGTTTTAGGTTTTACATTTAGTTTTATGATCCATTGTGAGGTAATTTTTGTTTATGGTGCCAGGTGTTGATCAAAGTTCATATTTTTCATATGGACATATTTGTTTCAGCAACATTTATTTAAAAAATATATTCTTGGCTGGGCACGGTGGTGCACACCTGTAATCCCAGCACTCTGGGAGGCCGAGGCAGGCAGATCACGAGGTCAGGAGATCGAGACCATCCTGCTAACACAGTGAAACCCCGTCTCTACTAAAAATACAAAAAAAAAAAATTAGCCGGTTGTGGTGGCAGGCATTGTAGTCCCAGCTACTTGAGAGGCTGAGGCAGGAGAATGGCGTGAACCTGGGAGGCAGAGCTTGCAGTGAGCCGAGATTGTGCCCCTGCACTCCAGCCTGGGTGACAGAGTGAGACTCGGTCTGCAAAAATATATATATATATATTCTTTCTCCACTGAATTGCCTTTATATCTTTGTCAGAAAATCAGTTGTTCATATATGTGTGCGACAATTTCTGCTCTCTCCTGATCCATTGCTATATTTATTATTATTTTTTTTTGCCAGTCCCATGCTGTATTTATTAATTTTTTGCCAGTCCCATGCTGTTTTGATTATTGGTGCTTTTTTATAAGTCTCGGAATCTGGGAGTATTAGTCTTCCAAATTTACTCTCCTTTTTCAAATTTGTTTTGACTATCTAGGTTCTTTATATTTCCATATAATTTTTAAAACCGGCTTGCCAATTTCTAGAAAAAGTCTATACGGATTTTTGAATGGGGTTGCACTGAATCTTAGATTAAGAGGAGAACTGACTTCCAAACAATATTAAGTTGTCTGTTCTATGATAAACAAAGTATGTCTTTCCATTTCTTTAGATTTCCTCTAATTTCTTTCAGCAGTATTTTGTAGTATTCAGTGTATGGGTCTTTTACATCTTTTGTTAGATATGTCTGTAAGTACTGCATGTTTTTATGCCATTTTAAATGGTATTTTAAAAATTTCTTTTTCTGATCATTCCTAGTATATAGAAGTACAATTGATTTTTCCATATGGATCTTGTGTCCTGCAACTTTGCTGAATTCATTTAGTAATTCTGGTAGCTTTTTTGTAGTTTCTATAGTGTTTTTATTTAATGATAATGCTGTCTTTGCATAAAAAGTTTTACTTCTTTGTAATCTGGAGTGCCTTTTATTTCTTTTTCTTGCTTGGTTGCACTGGCTATGACCTCCAGTACAATGTAGAATAGAAGTGGTAAGAGTAGCCATCCTTATTTTGTTCCTGATATTAGGGAGAAAGCATGCAGCCTTACATAATTCATGTAAGATTAGTTGTATGAGTTTTGTATTTGCCCTTTAATTACATTGGGGATGTTTGCTGCTTTTCCTGCTTAATGTTTTTATGAGGAAAGAATGTTGGATTTTTATCTAATTATTTTTTGTTTCTATTGAGACAATAATGGTTTTCCTTCTTTTTTTAGCATCATTGCACAGTTTTTGATATGTTTTCATTTTCATTCAGTTCAGAATATGTGCTGATTTCTTTTTGACCCATAGGTTAATGAGCAGTACTTCAGTTTCCAATTTGTGGACATTTGTCCAGATATCTTCCTTTTATTCCTTTCTAATTCATTCCATTTTGGTCAAAGAACACCTCATTTTTTTCTCATCTCCAGTCTCATTGTCTTTATGTTTGGTCAGATGTTTTGGGAACCATTGTTTTATATATCTTGTCTGTTTTTGGTTTTGTTTTGTTTCAGCTGGGAGGGTAAATCTGCCCATGGCTACTTAATGTTGGTCAGAAGTAGCAGTCTCCTCTCATACACTTTTTTTTTTAATTAGGAAATATTTCAAACATGTACCAAAAGGCTGAGAATAACTTATGTCTCTTTTCCTTGAGTAAATGTTCTGCAAAATTTACATTGTATTTTTTTAAAAATAAACGTTTTATAGATGTAAGCCCTACTTTTTTTGACATTCTTCATCTTACTGCCTACTACGTTTCCTTGCTGTACAGAGGAAAATGTGGCAGATGAAGTCTTACATTCATTATATTCTTTTACAAGTTTTTTTAAATTTAATTCTTTTCCATATTTATTCAAGGAGATGCATGTTAATAGATTGGTTTTAGCGACAGTGTAGTGTCTCATTGCATTGCATATATTATAAATCTGTTTTTTTGTATAGATGATTATATGAATTGCTTATGATTTTTCTCATCACAAACAATGGTATGACAAACCTTTTGCATTTTATATACATGATTATAGCTTATATGCATCTAGAAATGGAATTGCTGGTTCTGAGCAAACGAATATCTTCAAGTTAGCCATATGTTGATTGCCAAGTTGTTTTCCATATTATAGTTCCTTTTCCTTACAGATTATATTTTAATCTTTTTCCAGTCATTTTGGTAAGAAAAGATACCTCATTATCTTAATTGTATCTTCCTGATTGTAACAGGATTGGTATATTTTCATTTGCTTATTTTCCATTCTGGATCCATTTTCTATGAATTACCTGGTCATATTTTTCTAACCAGAATATTGAGAGAAAGCAACTCAAATGACATTTTACATTTCTTTATCTCAGAGCACTCTTAGATAATGGTGAAAGTAATCCATATGTAACTTATATTCAAATTAATATGGTTCTTGGGTCTATAGTTGTTCTAGTATTTTTCTTTCCATGCATTTTTATTTGTTTTGTGTATTTGAAGGAAACCCAGTCTATTGGACAGTATTAGTAGTATATGGGAACAAGACTGCTGTTTGGTTTTATTCAGTAGCATCACTAACACTAATGCAGATTGTTAACCTAGAGAAAAAATGTTGAAATTATTCATTATTAAGGCTTTCCTTAATACATAAATACCTGGTGATATTGTGTAGATCTGCAGTGGTGGCCTACCTGTTAAACTCGAATATGGTTTTGCAGTTGAACCTGTTAAACCTGTAGATCTTGTATTGTGTGAACAGAAATAAGGAAACTAGTTATGGGTATTAACTGGTTCTCTATAGGTTTTTGTTGTCTAACCCTTGCTCATAATGAAATAAGTCATTTTATAAACTTTATTCCATTTAGTAGTAAAGTATAAGATATTTCAAAGTCTTGTGACTATTTGTGTTTCTTCGGGGTACTGCTTATATCCATGGAAAAAAAATGTTTCTTTGTTTTGGAATATATGACTTGATGATACAATAAGTCATACTTCAACATTACTAATCCTAAATTGTGATTAAAATGTAGTTTAGTTTTATTATATTCAACATAATGTAGTGCCTCATTGATGAGAAATGAAGTGTATTTCGCAAATAAATTAATCTTAGGCCTTCAAACACATAAAACTTTTTTTTTTTTTTTTTTTTTTAAAGTAGAGATGGGGTTTCACCATATTGGCCAGGATGATCTTGAACTCCTGATCTCAGGTAATCTACCTGTCTCGGCCTCCCACAGTGCTGGCATTGCAGGCGTGAGCCACCATGCCCGGCCCCTAAAACACTGATTTTTAACATTGTTTTTGGAGATTACATTTATGTAATATATGTCACATTTTGCTGCCTGATTTACAGAATATAGGCAGATAATTTTACTTGTTCTTTAGGCAAGTAGCAGTCTTTATTTCTGTATCTAATGGCCTTTGTGGTTAGTATGATTCTTTTTTTTTTCTTTTCTCCCAGTTGTATTTTGACATTGAGCAGCTGTCTTTCCATTCATTCAGCAAGTATTCACTGAGCTCCTGCTATATTCAAAGCATTATTCTGGGGCCTGTTTATATAATAATAATCAATTTTTTTTTTTTGAGACAGAGTTTTGTTCTGCCACCCAGGATGGAGTACAGTGGCGTGATCTTGGCTCACTGCAACCTCCGCTTCCCGGGTACAAGTGATTCTCCTGCCTCAGCCTCCCGAGTAGCTGGGATTACAGGTGCACACCATCATACACCGCTAATTTTTAATTTTTTTAGTAGAGATGGGGTTTCACCATGTTGGCCAGGCTGGTTTCAAATTCCTGACCTCTAGTAATCCACCTGCCTTAGCCTCCCAAACTGCTGGGATTACAGTGAGCCACTGCACCCGGCCCATCAAAATATTTAAGAGTAATCAAATACACTTTCTTCTCTCATGAACCTTAAAATATGGCAGGGGAAGATAGACATTAAGTGATGAAGCAAAGATACTGAGACTCTCTGGGGCGAGAGGATCACACGTTGAGAACTGCTGAATTGGGATAATGAAGGGAAGGAAGCATACAATCCCAAATCACCATTAAACCAAAAGTTGTTTACAGGATTCAAAATGGACATAATAGAAACTTAGGGTTAAAATTAGAGCCATATTAGGAACATATAGATCATTCTAAAAATGTCACTGAGTAAAAATATACAGGTTAAGAAAATTAGTTGTACTTGGCTAGATGTAAACATATCACTTGAACAAAAGAACAGCATACATGTTATTATTTATTCAAATTGTGTATTACTCCCTCTTTTTACAAGAACCTTAAAAAAAATTATGCTGGGTCTCCAGTTGAACAGTGCCACTTCTCAATTACACATTCTCTTTCTCCATACACATAGCCTTGACTTTGAGAATGTATCAGAGACCTTGCAAAGGGAATGGAAAGTGGGTATGTGGTGTTTGGCATCTGATTGGATGTGGAGGGCAAGAGAAGGGACAGGTAAAAAAATGATCCTTAGGATTGGAGGTGGGTGATTGTGGATTTTGGCATCATCAAAAGAAATAGGGAGACTAGGAATACAGATGAAACATTTGTTTTGAGTCATGCTGAATTTGAAATCAATAGACTACCTCAAGTGGTGATGTGTAAACAGACAGTTAGAAATGTAAAACCGGTCCTGGGATTCAAGGTGGAGATGCACTTTGGGAAGTCATCGGATAATATTTGAATCATGATATTATATAAATTAGAATATATTAAGTGCCATATTAGTATAGAACATAGGAATGATAAGTTTAAAGAAGAGATTAATTGAAGGAATCTTCCTGGAAGTGAGTTATGATTAAGATCTGTTAGAAAAGAGAAAAATTTTCCAGGCCTATTTTTTCTCCTATTTTATACTTAATATATTGAGGAGAAATTTTGCATAAGAACTACTTTTATTATTTCTTTACATTCTATGGTATTTTTACATGTAAAAGCTATCATAATAATTATTTGAAATTAATGTAGCTGAACTTAACCACTATTTTAGAAAAGACACAATTGAAACACACAATTTAAGGATTTGCCATGAATCTTGTCACAAACCAGTTTTCTAAAGCTCAGCATCACTGATCATTACAGAAATGCAAATCAAAACCACAGTGAGATACCATCTAAGACTAGCCAGAATGGCTATTACTAAAAAGTCAAAAAGTCACAGATGCTGTCGAGGTGGAGAAAAAGGAATGCTTATACACTGTTGGTGGAAATGTAAATTAGTTCAACCATTGTGGAAGACGGTGTGGCAATTCTTCAAAGACCTAAAGACAGAAATACCATTCAACTAGCAATTTCATTATTTTGTATATACCCGAAGGAATATAAATCATTCTATTATAAAGACACATTCACGCATATGTTCATTGCAGCACTGTTCACAATAGCAAAGACATGGAATCAACCTAAATGCCCACCAATAATAGACTGGATACAGGAAAGGTGGTACATACACATCATGGAATACTATGCAGCCATAAGAAAGAATGAGATTATGTCTTCTGTGGGGACATGGATGGAACTGAAGCCCTTAGCAAACTAACACAGGAACAGAAAACGAAATACTACATGTTCTGTCTTATAAGTGGGAGCTAAATGATGAGAACACGTGGGCACATAGAGGGGAACAACAGACACTGGAGCCTTTTGGAGGGTGGGGAGTGACAGGAGGGAGAGGATTAGGAAAAATAACTAATGAGTACTAGGCTTAATTACCTGGGTGATGAAATAATCTGTACAATAAACCGCCATGACATGTTTACCTATGTAACAAACCTGCACTTGTACCCTTGAATTTAAAATTAAAAGAGAGAAGTGGAAAAAAAAAAGAACTTAAGGTTTTCTTATTCCACTTCCCGCCATTAATATACCACCTTTGCGTAATCAGTCTGGACAGTTTTGGTTTTGAAACATGTTTCTATGTTGGAAGTGTAAGAACCTCAGATTTGGTACATGCTGTCAATTGGAGTAGATATGATTTTTAATTATTTTTTATTGAGATGTCATTTCTACCAATAGTAATCCTGGTAGTATTGATTAAATGTGAAATAAGATTGGGATGAAAAAATTGACTTCATATTAATGAGGTGTTTGAATTGTAGCCATTAAATCATAGTTATTTAAGTTCTCAATTTGGATATATAATGCATTTTAATAAAATGTATATGTATTTGGAATGTTTGTAGAATGCTTATAAAGAAAGTTTACAATTGTAGGTAGAAATGTGATCATTTATATTGTTCAATAAGTAGAGAGGTGAAATCTCTGGAAGTTTCAAAGCTGGAGGGATAAAATGATGCTTGGGGAATGGCAGTCAAAATTTCAGGAGGAAGGAACTGTATTTTATGTAATTTTCTTATATTGTCCTCTACAGTTCTAATATAAACATATATGATTGGATCATAAATTATACTTAGTATGTGTATGTGAGTGTATGTATACATGTATATATATTGAACTGGCAAGAGAAATAGAAACATTATTTTTAATGTGGGAAAATTATTTTTAACTTACTTTTTTCCCTCTAAGCCTTCATAATCTAGTGCTAAGGTGAATAAACTTTAGTGATACATTATTGGTTTAAAAAATTATTTTTGTTTTACATATGATATTTTAGGAATATATTATGGGCTTAAAAGTCACAACTGTTTTCCAATATGATCTGAATACATTTTTAAAGCAAGTTATATTAAATATGTTTCTGTAAACTGAGAGCTAAGCCACCAACTTATGGAAAGAGTAGCTTGCTCTTTATATCACCACTGACTAGAATAGGATGGCGCATATAATAGGTATTTAATTAATTTTTGCTAAATGAGATAATTTTTTAGGAAAAAAACCTGTATTCTAAGTATAGGATAGATGATGTATCAAAATACCTATATGCCAAAAACTGAATTGTAATTTATATCTGATCAGACTGTTTTAGGCCACTGGTACCCCTTCCCAGGTTTGCTTTTATACTACCTATGGTGGAATATGACTTCTGTAGGAGGAGTGTACTTTCAATTATGATTTTGCATACTACTAAAATTTCTTCAAGACAGTGAAGCATACTGTATTCTGAATTATTAAGAATGTAATGATGTATGTGATTCTTTCAGACAGAAAATACTCAGGGTGTGTTATAAATTATTAAAAACATTAACAATATACCATAAAATGTAAAGTATTTTAAATTAAGGTTGTAAATGAGAATCCATTTAAGACACTAACTTGTGAAGATTCCAGTTGACTATTACTTAAATGATACATTTGTGCCATCTTAGTAGTTTCGTTTATTTTATTTTATGTTTTTATTATACTTTAAGTTCTAGGGTACATGTGCACAACGTGCAGGTTTGTTACATATGTATACATGTGCCATGTTGGTGTGCTGCACCCATTAACTCATCATTTACATTAGGTATTTCTCCTAATACTATCCCTCCCACCTACCCCCACCCCACAACAGGCCCAGTGTGTGATGTTCCCCACCCTGTGTCCAAGTGTTCTCATTGTTCAGTTCCCACCTATGAGTGAGAACATGCAATGTTTGGTTTTCTGTCCTTGCGATAGTTTGCTCAGAATGATGGTTTCCAGCTTCATCCATGTCCCTACAAAGGAAGTGAACTCATCCTTTTTTATGGCTGTATAGTATTCCATGGTGTATATGTGCCACACTTTCTTAATCCAGTCTATTGTTGATGGACATTTGGGTTAGTTCCAAGTCTTTGCTATTGTGAATAGTGCTGCAATAAACATACATGTGCATATGTCTTTATAGTAGCATGATTTATAATCCTTTGGGTATATACCCAGTTAATGGGATTGCTGGGTCAAATGGTATTTCTAGTTCTAGATCCTTGAGGAATTGCCACTCTTCTCTTCCACAATGGTTGAACTAGTTTACACTCCCACCAACAGTGTAAAAGTGTTCCTATTTCTCCACATCCTCTCCAGCATCTGTTGTTTCCCTACTTTTTAATGATCACCAGTCTAACTGGTGTGAGATGGTATCTCATTGTGGTTTTGATTTGCATTTCTCTGCTGGCCAGTGATGATGAGCTTTTTTTCATGTGTCCGTTGCCTGCATAAATGTCTTCTTTTGAGAAGTGTCCGTTCATATCCTTTGCCCACTTTTTGATGGGGTTGTTTGATTTTTTTCTTGTAAATTTGTTTAAGTTCTTTGTAGATTCTGGATATTAGCCCTTTGTCGGATGAATAGATTGCAAAAATTTTCTCCCATTCTGTAGGTTGCCTGTTCACTCTGATGGTAGTTTCTTTTGCTATGCAGAAGCTCTTCAGTTTAATTAGATCCCATTTGTCTATTTTGGCTTTTGTTGCCATTGCTTTTGGTGTTTTAGTCATGAAGTCCTTGCCCATGCCTATGTCCTGAATGGTATTGCCTAGGTTTTCTTCTAGGGTTTTTATGGTTGTAGGTCGTCTAACATTTAAGTCTTTAATCCATCTTGAATTAATATTTGTACAAGGTGTAAGGAAGGGATCCAGTTTCAGCTTTCTACATATGGCTAGCCAGTTTTCCCAGCACCACTTATTAAATAGGGAATCCTTTCTCCATTTCTTGTTTCTGTCTGGTTTGTCAAAGATCAGATGGTTGTAGATGGGTGGTATTATTTCTGAGGCCTCTGTTCTGTTCCATTTGTCTATATCTCTGTTTTGGTACCAGTACCGTGCTGTTTTGGTTACTGTAGCCTTGTAGTATAGTTTAAATTCAGGTAGCATGATGCCTCCAGCTTTGTTCTTTTTGCTTAGGATTGTCTTGGCAATGCGGGCTCTTTTTTGGTTCCGTATGAACTTTAAAGTAGTTTTTTCCAATTCTGTGAAGAAAGGCATTGGTAGTTTGATGTGGATGGCATTGAATCTATAAATTACCATGGGCAGTGTGGCCATTTTCACGATATTGATTCTTCCTATCCATGAGCATGGAACGTTCTTCCATTTGTTTGTGTCCTCTTTTATTTTGTTGAGCAGTGGTTTGTAGTTCTCCTTGAAGAGGTCCTTCACATCCCTTGTAAGTTGGATTCCTAGGTATTTTATTCTCTTTGAAGCAATTGTGAATGGGAGTGATTTGGTTCTGTATTTGTCTGTTCTTGGTGTATAGGAATGCTTGTGATTTTTGCACATTGATTTTGTATCCTGAGACTGCTAAAGTTACTTATCAGGTTAAGGAGATTTGGGGCTGAGACGATGGGGTTTTCTAAATATACAATCTTGTCATCTGCAAACAGGGACAATTTGACTTCCTCTTTTCCTAATTGAATACCCTTTCTTTCTTTCTCCTGCCTGATTGCCCTGGCCAGAACTTCCAATGCTGTGTTGAACAGGAGTGGTGAGAGAGGGCATCCCTGTCTTGTGCCAGTTTTCAAAGGGAATTCTTTCAGTTTTTGCCCATTCAGTATGATATTGGCTGTGGGTTTGTCATAAATAGCTCTTATTATTTTGAGATACGTCCCATCAATACCTAGTTTATTGACTGTTTTTAGTATGAAGCGCTGTTGAATTTTGTCAAAGGCCTTTTCTGCATCTATTGAGATAATCATGTGGCTTTTGTCTTTGGTTCTGTTGATATGCTGGATTACATTTATTGATTTGCATATGTTGAACAAGCCTTGCATCCCAGGGATGAAGCCAAGTTGATCTTGGTGGATAAGCTTTTTGATGTGCTGCTCAGTTCGGTTTGCCAGTATTTTGTTGAGGATTTTTGCATTGATGTTCATCAGGGATATTGGTTTAAAATTATCTTTTTTTGTTGTATCTCTGCCAGGCTTTGCTATAATGCTGGCCTCATAAAATGAGTTAGGGAGGGTTCCCTCTTTTTCTATTGATTGGAATAGTTTCAGAAGGAATGGTACCAGCTCTTCTTTGTACCTGTGGTAAAATTTGGCTGTGAATCCATCTGGTCCTGGACTTTTTTTGGTTGGTAGACTATTAATCATTTCCTCAATTTCAGAGTCTGTTATTGGTCTATTCAGGGATTCAACTTCTTCCTGGTTTAGTCTTGGGAGGGTGTATGTGTCCAGGAATTTATCCATTTCTTCTAGAATTTCTAGTTCATTTGCCTAGAGGTGTTTATAGTATTCTCTGATGGTAGTTTGTATTTCTGTGGGATCGGTGGTGATACCTGTATTTCTGTGGAATTGGTGATGATATCCCCTTTATCATTTTTTATTGTGTCTGTTTGATTCTTCTCTCTTTTCTTTATTAGTCTTGCTAGCGGTCCATCAATTTTGTTGATCTTTTCCAAAAACCAGCTCCTGGATTCATTGATTTTTTGAAGGGTTCTTTGTTTCTCTGTCTCTTTCAGTTCTGCTCTGATCTTAGTTATTTCTTGCTTTCTGCTAGCTTTTGAATGTGTTTGCTCTTGCTTCTCTAGTTCTTTTAATTGTGATGTTAGGGTGTTGATTTTAGATCTTTCCCACTTTCTCTTATGGGCATTTAGTGCTATAAATTTCTCTTTACACACTGCTTTAAATGTGTCCCAGAGATGCTGGTCCACTGTCTTTGTTCTCATTGGTTTCAAATAACTTGTTTATTTCTACCTTAATTTTTGTTATTTACCCAGTAGTCATTCAGGAGCAGGTTGTTCACTTTCCATGTAGTTGTGTGGTTTTGAGTGAGTTTCTTAATCCTGAGTTCTAATCTGATTGCACTGTGGTCTGAAAGACAGTTCGTTATGATTTCTTTTCTTTTACATTTGCTGAGGAGTGCTTTACTTCCAACTATGTGGTCAATTTTGGAATAAGTGCGATGTGGTGCTGAGAAGAATGTATATTCTGTTGATTTGGGGTGGAGAGTTCTGTAGATGTCTATTAGGTCTGCTTGGTGCAGAGCTGAGTTCAAGTCCTGGATATCCTTGTTAACTTTCTGTCTCGTTGATCTGTCTAATGTTGACACTGGGGTGTTAAAGTCTCCCATTATTATTGTGTGGGAGTCTAAGTCTCTTTGTAGGTCTCTAAGGACTTGCTTTATGAATCTGGGTGCTCCTGTATTGGGTGCATATATATTTAAGATAGTTAGCTCTTTTTGTTGAATTGATCCCTTTACTATTATGTAATGGCCTTCTTTGTCTCTTTTGATCTTTGTTGGTTTAAAGTCTGTTTTATCAGAGACGAGGACTGCAACCCCTGCTTTTTTTTTGTTTTCCATTTGCTGGGTAGATCTTCCTCCATCCCTTTATTTTGAGCCTATGTGTGTCTCTGTACATGAGATGGGTCTCCTGAATACAGCACACTGATGGGTCTTGACTGTTTATCCAGTTTGCCAGTCTGTGTCTTTTAATTGGGGCATTTAGCCCATTTACATTTAAGGTTAATATTGTTATGTGTGAATTTGATCCTGTCATTATGATGTTAGCTGGTCATTTTGCTCATTAGTTGATGCAGTTTCTTCCTATCATCGATGGTCTTTACAATTTGGCATGTTTTTGCAGTGGCTGGTACCAGTTGTTCCTTTCCATGTTTAGTGCTTCCTTCAGGAGCTCTTGTTAGGCAGGCCTGGTGGTGACAGAATCTCTCAGCATTTGCTTGTCTGTAAAGTATTTTATTTCTCCTTCACTTATGAAGCTTAGTTTGGCTGGATATGAAATTCTGGGTTGAAAATTCTTTTCTTTAAGAATGTTGAATATTGGCCCCCACTCTCTTCTGGCTTGTAGAGTTTCTGCCAAGAGATCAGCTGTTAGTCTGATGGGCTTCCCTTTGTGGGTAACCTGACCTTTCTCTCTGGCTGCCCTTAACATTTTTTCCTTCATTTCAACCTTGGTGAATCTGACAATTATGTATCTTGGAGTTGCTCTTCTCGAGGAGTATCTTTGTGGCATTCTCTGTATTTCCTGAATTTGAGTGTTGGCCTGCCTTGCTAGGTTGGGGAAGTTCTCCTGGATAATATCCTGCAGAGTGTTTTCCAACTTGGTTCCATTCTCCCCATCACTTTCAGGTACACCAATCAGACGTAGATTTGGTCTTTTCACATAGTCTCATATTTCTTGGAGGCTTTGTTCGTTTCTTTTTATTCTTTTTTCTCTAAACTTCTCTTGTTTCATTTCATTCATTTGATCTTCAATCACTGATATCCTTTCTTCTGCTTGATCGAATCGGCTACTGAAGCTTGTGCATGCGTCACGTAGTTCTCATGCCATGGTTTACAGCTCCATCAGGTCATTTAAGGTCTTCTCCATGCTATTTATTCTAGTCAGCCATTCTTCTAATCTGTTTTCAAGGTTTTTAGCTTCCTTGCGATGGGTTCGAACATCCTCCTTTAGCTCGGAGAAGTTTGTTATTACCGATCTTCCGAAGCCTACTTCTGTCAACTCGTCAAAGTCATTCTCCATCCATCTTTGTTCTCTTGTTGGCAAGGAGCTGCGATCCTTTAGAGGAGAAGAGGCACTCTGGTTTTTAGAATTTTCAGCTTTTCTGCTCTGGTTTCTCCCCATCTTTGTGGTTTTATCTACCTTTGGTCTTTGATGATGGTGACCTACAGATGAGGTTTTGGTATGGATGTCCTTTTTGTTGATGTTGATGCTGTTCCTTTCTGTTTGTTAGTTTTCCTTCTAACAGTCAGGAGCCTCAGCTGCAGGTCTGTTGGAGTTTGCTGGAGGTCCACTCCAGACCCTGTTTGCCTGGGTATCACCATCGGAGGCTGCAGAACAGCAAATATTGCAGAACAGCAAATGTTGCTGCCTGATCCTTCCTCTGGAAGCTTTGTCTCAGAGGGGCACCCACCTCTATGAGGTGTCCGTTGGGCCCTACTAGGAGGTGTCTCCCAGTTAGGCTACTCGGGGGTCAGGGACCCACTTGAGGAGGCAGTCTGTCCGTTCTCAGATCTCAAACTCCGTCCTGGGAGAACCACTGCTCTCCAAAGCTTTCAGACAGGGACATTTAAGTCTGCAGAAGTTTCTGCTGCCTTTGTTCAGCTATTCCCTGCCCCCAGAGGTGGGGTCTACAGAGGCAGGCAGGCCTCGTTCAGTAGTTTTGTTTTGATGTATTAAGATTAGTGGAGACCAACTTTACAATGAGAAAAATGAATGAGATAAAAGAAGCTTATGTATTAGGTTGAGTATAAATTTAAATATATCCTAATATTTCTCATATATTGAAATATACCAAGTAACATGGCATTTGAACTGAAAATTTCTTAACATCTTTTCAAGGAAATGTGCTCTCAGAATAAAACAATTTTAAAAGATTGAGAGGTCTTTGCCTTTACCTGACAGAGGACTATCCTATATTTAATAACCTTCAGGGAATTCTGCAGCCTTTCACAATTACTTCCCCAGTAATGAAATCCAGTATTTACTTTTGGATAGCTTTCCCCCTTTAGTTTTTGTATCATTTCTTCCCTGTTTATTATAAGATATTATAGACATACTGAAGGTACACAGAGAGTAATAAAAACACTGTTGTATTGACCAGCCATCAAATAAATAAATAAATAAACATTACCAGTTTTGTTGAATGAAACCTTCTGGATACCTCTCTCTTTCTTACCCTCCCCATTCCTAAACCCCCACCTACTATGCTAAATGTGATATTTATCATTTCCACATCAGAAATTATTTCTTACAAACCCTCATGGTAATTTAAGAATATTTTTTCTTGTGTCGTTAGCATATACGAAGACCAGTATGAGGACAATGGAAAGGTTGCACTTGTTTTCCTAAATCACATTTGTGTCAAATTGCCAGTGGAATATTTTATTGCTCACTAATTTTTAACTTGTTTCAACAAAGTCATTTGGATCTTTTATTGTTTCTATTTGCAAATATCTTTTATTTATCTTCTACTTAACTAGTTTTATTTCCTCAGGGATGTGGTTTTATATTGTCCATATAGTTTCATTTTTCCTTTCTCTACCTTCCAGCTCGGAGTAACTAACAACTTGCTTTTATTTCTTCAGTCTAATGAGTAAAACAAAACATTTAATGAGAAGCCCAAATCTGATTCCCTCCCTTGTTCTGTCTCTTCCTATCTGTCCATCCATTCATCCATCTATTTATATTAGTTTTGTTGTTGTTTTGTTGTATACTTAAAAACAACAAAGACATCTCTGGGCTTTTATTTTGTAAGTTTTTCCTCTTACTATATATTTCTTTATTTAAGCCAAATACTTCATATCATTATGCTTGAAATAGATATGCTACTGTGTTTTCTATTGTGTCTGTGCTTATTTAAAAAATAACACTCTAGCACACTGGGAGTTTTTGTGATAGATCTATTCTAAATTAATCGTATACATAAAACAATTTAGTTTCATCTTTTCAACATTCTTATGTTTCATCTTTTCAACATTCTTATTCTTACTGTCCATTGGCCACTTTTTGGCTATATTTAGTAATAATGATGATAATGTTATCTCTCTTGATAATTGCATAAGTGATAAGTAACAGATACTGTGACTAAGATATATATAAATTTAATCATTTTAATAATTCTTTGAGGTAAGAAAAATCTGAGATTATTGAGTGTGTAGTGTGCCAAAATTCACACAAGTAGTAAGTGATAGAGCTGGGATTTTGAACTAGGAGTCAAAATGTTTTTTGTTGTTGTTGTTGTTGTTGTTTTTAAGACAAGGTCTCACTCTGTTGCTCAGGGTGGAGTGCAGTGGCACCAATCACGGCTTACTGCAGCCTCAACCTCTGGGGTTCAGCTGATCCTCTCACCTCAGCCTCCCGAGTAGCTGGGACTATAGGTGCACGCTAATTTTTGCAATTTTTGTAGAGACGAGGTTTCACCATGTTGCCCAGGCTGGTCTTGAACTCCTGGGCTCAAGCAATCCTCCTGCCTTGCCTCCCAAAGCCTTAGGATTACAGGTGTGAGCCACCGCGCCTGACCAAAACTTGTTCTTAATTGTTCTGATATACTCGTAGGCTTCATGATTTCTTAAGAGTTGTTTAGATTTCTGTTGCACTGAGTCTCTGCCTCTATTGGAGTCACTTCCCAACCTGTCCGTCTCCATGTCTGTTTGTCTCTATTGTTGTCTTCAGAACCAGAATTTCTGCATATTTCCAAAATGCTCCTAGGAGGTAATACAGCCCCATTGAGAAGTTCTGGCTAGGGGTAAGGACTTTTAACTCACATTTAGAGATGGAAGAAAAATATAATGTATAAGTAGCCCTTTTCAAAAAATGTTTCGTGACCCTTTTTTTTATTATTTCAACAGATTTTGGGGGGAACAGGTGGTGTTTGGTTACATGGATAAGTTATTTAGTGGTGATTTCTGAGATTTTGGTGCACCCATCACCAGAGCAGTGTACACTGTACCCAGTGTATGTCTTCTGTCCCTCACCCCACTCCCACCTTTCCCTCTGGTGTTCCCAAAGTCCATTGTATCATTCTTACGCCTTTGCATCTCATAGCTTAGCTCCCACTTATGAGTGAGAACATATGATGTTTGATTTTCCATTCCTGAGTTACTTCACTTAGAATAGTTGTCTCCGATTCTATCCAGGCTGCTTGCAAATGCCATTATTTTGTTCCTTTTTATGGCTTAGTATCATATACACACACACACCATATTTTCTTTGTCCACTTGTTAATTGATGGGCATTTGGGCTGGTTCTGTATTTTTGTAATTGCAAATTGTGCTGCTATAGACATGTGTGCAAGTGTCTTTTTCATATAATGACTTTTTTTTTCGTCTGGGTAGATACCCAGTAGTGGGATTGCTGGATCAAATGGTAGACCTACTTTTAGTTCTTTAAGGAATCTCCACACTGTTTTCCGTAGTGGTTGTACTAGTTTACATTCCCACCAGCAGTGTAGAAGTGTTCCCTTTTCACCATATCCATACCAACATCTATTTTTTTTTATTTTTAAAATTATGGCCATTCTTGAAGGAATGGCCTTGTGTAAGGTGGTATCGCATTGTGTTTTTGACCCTTTGTTCTTAAGGGTCTCAGTTAAATTATATTGGTTAGTAATAGGTATACGGAACTAATTATCATTATTTCTTATATTGTTAGAACTGTGGACACAGTGGGGGGCTTGCCTGTTTTATCTACTGGGAATTCCAGGGATGGGAGAAGGTTCAGAATGAAAAAAGTGTGAGTACAAATAGAATCTAGACCTTAAGAAAGGTTTTTCTGATTATTGGGAGGTCTGCTTAATATGATTTTTGAAGTTACTTAAATTTTTAACATGGTTGATTTTGTATAAAGGAGGTATTATGGTAAGTTAATTAATTAAGGTCTTATTGGATGCCCTTTTGTGAATATAGTGTATTTTTCTAAAAAGTCTTTTTTGCATAGTAGGCTCACAAGAAATAGCTGATAGCTAGAAGGTAACTGGTTGACAAGAGGGTGCATCTACATAGGCTTTGAATTTAGGGTGCTTGGATAAACCTCAGGAATCTGTGAACCTCATGAAACCTCCTACCACTCTATGTGAGTGTGTGTGTGTGTGTTGCACACATGGAATTTTCTGAGGTCAGTTGCTTTCATCAGGATCCCATACAAATCTACATTTGTAATCTGCATCCCTATTCCTCATCCCAACTCCATATACATGCAACAGATTAAGGAACAGTACTAGACGAAAGTTGATAGAATTGATCAGTGGCATGGTGATCAGATGCTCTAGAGTCATTGGTAGGCTCTAGTACTTGTCTCATGATAATGAGCCCTCTTGTTTAAAGTACTCATAAAGTAAAATTATTTCTGTTTCAAGCACATAAGATTATAAGAATGTGGAATGTGCAGATAAGACAGGGAAATTAGTCTGTTAAGTAATCATTAAGAGGACAATTATTAATAAAGTTCAGATTTTACTCACTGTATAATATTCTTTTATGCTTGAATATGTATGCGACCTAATGGAAAGGAACAATGACTTGTGACTGAAAGCCCTTTCCATATTATAAACATGAGGTCTGTCTTTATTTCTGATTCTACCTGTTTATGTTTCCCAATACATATGTTTTCTTTTTGCCTAAAACGTTTTCTATAACTAGACCTTTGGAGGCAGGGAGGGGTGGAGATTGGATTTGGATATGAGGGATTGCTATTTCTCCCATAAAATGTAAAAAATTGCCTTAAAAATATCACTTTGAGAGGCTAAGGCAGGAGAATCGCTTGAGCCAGGAGTTCAAGACCAGCCTGGGCAACGTAGCACAGTGAGACCCCATCTCTACAAAAAAATTTAAAGAAATAGCCAACCACAGTGGCACGTGCCTATATAGTTCCAGTTACTCAGGAAGCTGAGGTGGGAGGATCACTTGATCTTGAGGGGTTGAGACTGCAGTGAGACATGATTGTGCCACTGCGCTCTAGCTTGGGTGACAGTGCAAGACCCTGTCTCAAAATAAAAAAAAAAAAAAGAAACGAAAAAAATTATTGATTGACTGTGATGTGCTGGGGACATAGTAGTGAGCAAGAAAGATTCTGCCTCTGCACTTAGAAAGCCTGTCTTATCATCAGTCAGGGAAGACAAATAAATAAAGGTGTGATGAGGGATATGATAGGAAATGTAAGTGGAATGTACTGTGGGTCACCTGGCAGGAGCATCTAACCAATATAGGTGAGATCAAGGATCGCTTTCCACCTCGACCTGAAGGATAAGGAGTTAGCCAGAGGAAAACTGTTCAGACTGTTCATTCAAACATGGTTCTTTGAATATTTGAAGCCAGGTATCTTTTTTTTTTTCTTTTGAGACAGAGTCTGGCTCTGTCGCCCAGGCTGGAGTGCAGTGGCTCAACCTCGGCTCACTGCAGCCTCCACCTCCCGGGTTCAAGCGATTCTCCTGCCTCAGCCTCATGAGTAGCTGGGATAACAAGTGCCTGTCACCATGCCCAGCTAATTTTATATTTTCAGTAGAGACGGGGTTTCACCACCTTGGTCAGGCCGGTCTCAAACTCCTGACCTCAGGTGATCCACCCACCTCGGCCTCCTAAAGTGCTGGGATTACAGGTGTAAGCCACCGTGCCCTGCCCCCCCCCCTTTTATTTATTTGTTTATTTTGAGACAGTCTTGCTCTGTCACCCAGGCTGGAGTACAGTGGCGCGGTCTCGGCTCACTGCAACCTCACCATCCCAGGTTCAAGCAATTCTTGTGCTTCAGCCTCCCAAGTAGCTGGGATTACAGGCATGTGCCACCACACCCAGCTAATTCTTGTATTTTTTAGTAGAGGTGAGGTTTCACTATGTTGGCCAGACTGGTCTTGAACTCCTGGTGTCAAGTAATCCAGCTGCCTTGGCCTCCCAAAGTGTAAATCCAGGTATCCTTTTTATGTTTTCATTTCAATGTACTTTTGCCTCATTTCAGGTGGCATAATATTTTTAGTTATCAAAATTCTATTTTAAGCAGTATTGGTGGAGTTTTAAAATCTAAAAGGCATGTATTTGTCCATTCATTTTAAAACACAGGATACTGAGCATATACACCCCCTTCTTATATAATATTTTGCCTTCTCATCTATTTTTTCTCTTTTGGTTCTCATAATAATATTGAGACGTAGGCATTTTTTCAATTTTAGAGATAAGGAGATACTCAAGTCACTTTAAGTTAGAGATGAGATTTTAGAGATAAGGAGATAGAGATTTAGAGATTTGAGAGAGAAGGAGATACTCAAGTCACTTGCTTTAAGTTAGGTAACTATTTAGTTAAGTTAGATAACTATTTAGTTAAGGAAAGCTCAAATCACTTGCTTTAAGTTAGATAACTATTTACTTAAGGAAAGCTCAACTCACTTGCTTTAAGTTAAATAACTATTAAGTGTTAGGACAAGGCCAGAACCCAGGTGTTTTGATTCCTAGTCTAATGTATTACACATTGTTTCTTATAATTAAATAGTTTCTTGATAGTTTATATTCATTAGTTCCACAGTATGATTTGTCTCCTAGGCCTTGAATCTTGTGTATCAGGTTAATTATCCTTATATTAAATAGTTGCAGGTGTTTCTGTATTTTGAATTCTTGGTGCAAATGTCTCTTGTTACATACTGCTCGTTTTCAAGTATCATCTTGTTATGCTACCTATTTTTTTGATTCATTACTTCTGATTTACTTTTTCCTGGTAAAACTAATAATGGATCTCATTAAATTTATGTATAACATTGAAGAAAGTGGCATTAAACAGTGTTCCAAGGGATTACTCTTTTTTTTTTTTTTGAGACGGAGTCTTGCTCTGTCACCCAGGCTGAAGTGCAGTGGCATGATCTCTGCTCCCTGCAACCTCTGCCTCCCAGGTTCAAGCAATTCTCCTGCCCCAGCCTCCTGAGTAGCTGGGATTACAGGTGCATGCCACCATGCCCGGCTAATTTTTGTATTTTTTAAGTAGAGACAGGGTTTCACCATGTTGGCCAGGTGGGTCTTGAACTCCTGACCTTGTGATCTGCCTGCCTTGGCCTCCCAAAGTGTTGGGATTACAGGTGTGAGCCACTGTGCCCGCCCCCACCCCTTGGTTTTTTTTTTTTTTTTTTTTCCTTCTTTTTCTTTGAGACAGTCTTGCTCTGTCACCCAGGCTGGAGTACGGTGGCACAATCTCGGCTCACTGCAGCCTCCCCATCCCAGGTTCAAGCAATTCTTGTGCTTCAGCCTCCCAAGTAGCTGGGATTACAGGCATGTGCCTGTAAGTAGTTACTTTTTATTGCTTAGTAGCATGCTGTTTTGTGAATATGCCACAATATGTTTATCCTTTTCCCCATGTACCCGTTGAAGAACATTGGGTTATTTCCAGCTTTTGGGTTAATACAAATGAAGTTACTCTGGGCATTTTTATACAGTTTTGTTTTCCTTTCTTTAGGGTAAATATCCAAGAGTGTAATTGCTAGGTCATGTTAAGTGTTACTGTTTAGATATATACAGTATTTAAATATATATGTTTAAATTTATAAGACAATGCCAAACTGTTTTTCAGAGTGGCTATACCACCTTACATTCCATACAGCAATGTATGAGAGATCCAGTTGGTGCTGTATTTTCACAAGAATCTTTGTATTATCAGTATTTCTTTAGCCATTTAAATAGGTGTTTATTAGACATCTATTATTGTGGTTTTAACTTGCAGTTCCCTAATAGCTAATGATGTTGGCAATCTTTTTATGTGCTTGTTTGCCGTTATATATCCTCTTTGGTGAAGTATCTGTTCAAGCCTATTTTCTAAATTGGTTGTTTCATTACTGTTGAGTATAGTTATTTATATATTCCACATATGAATCTCCTGTTACATATGTGATTTGCAAATATTTTCTTCTATTATGGTATGCACTTAGCACCTTTTGAAGAGCAAAAGTTTTACATTTTGATAAGTCCAATTGATCTTTTTTGTTTGTTTGCTTATTTTATGGATCATGCTATTGGTGTCCTACGAACTCTTCACTTAACCCCAGGTTATGATTTTCTCCTACATTTTTTTCTAAAAGATAAAGGGGAAAACACAGATTTTCTCATGGTTTTTACACTTAGATCTATGACTCATTTGAGCATACCAATTCTATACATATTTTGTTAGGTTTTTATCTATGTTTTAATTTTTTAGACAGATTGTAACTGGTATTGTGTTTTTAACTTTGTTGTCTACACAGTCATTGTTAGTATATAGAAGAATGATTATTTTTGTATATGGCTCTTGTATTCTGTGATTTTGCGAACTCACTTATTGTAGATGTTTTCTAGTACATTCCTTGGGATTTTCTATATACATGACCCTGTTATCTGCTAATAGGGGGAGTTTTATTTCCCAGTTTATATGCTTTTTATTAACTTACTGTAGTGGATAGAATGTCTGATATTGCATTGAATAAGAGTGCTGAGAGCAGACATCCTTGTCCTAATGCCGATCTTGGGGAAAAGCATTTAGTTTTTCACCGTTACATATGATGTTAGCTGTAAATTTTTTTGTAGATACTCTTTGTCAAGTTGAAGTTCTTTTCTAGTTTGCTTGGAGTTTTTGCCATGTATAGCTCTTGAATTTTGTCACATAATTTTTCTGCATAAGTTGGCGTGATCATGTGATTTTTTAAATCTTTATTCTCTTGATATATGGTGGATTATATTGATGGATTTTTGCATATTGAACCAGTCCTATATACTTGGAGTAAACCCTACTGTGTTGTATTGTATAATTCTTTTTCTTCGGTACTATATTCAATTTGAGTATATTTTGTTGAGGATTATTACATCTAAATTCATGAGAGAAATTAGTTTTTGTGTGTATTTCTTCTGTCAGGGTAACACCAACCTCATAAGAGCAATTGGGAAGTATTTCCTCTGATTTTCTGGAGAATATTGTATAATATAGGACTGTGCAGATTATGTATTTCATATTGGGTGAGTTTTGGTGGTTTTTTTTTGAAGAATTGGTTCATTTCATCTAAGTTATTGATTCATACTCTGTATGCTTATGTTTCTTCACATTTCTTTAGGTTTTATGATGCAGGCTGTGGTCTATCATGGTGAGCATTTTGTGGGTGCTTGCAAAGAATATGTATTCTGTTCTTGTTAGGTGGAACATTTCTATAAATGTTGCTTAAGTTCCCTTTTTGATGGTAGTGTTCTTTCTATTCTTCCTGGTTTTCTATTACTACTTCTATCTGTCTGAGAAAGGGATGTTGAAGTCCCCAACTATAATTGTCTATTTTTCAATTTCTCCTTATCAGTTTTTGCTTCCTGTGTTTTGAAGCTGTGTTGTTTCCAGAATTGTATTGTTAATGTCATCTTGGTGGATAGACTTTTTTATCATTTTTAATGACGCTCTTTTTTTTTTTCATTTTCTTTTCTTTGAAGTCTGCTTTTTCCTGGTATTAATATGGTTACTTTTTTTATTAATGTTTATATGGTATATTCTTTCCTATCCTTTTTAGCCTACCTGTGTCATGATACATTGAAACAGCATTCCTTTAGGTAACATATGGGTTTTTGTTTTTGTTTTTTAAGAGATGGGGTCTCACTGTATTGCCCAGTCTGGTCTTAAACTCCTGAGCTCAAGCAGTCCTTCCACCTTGGCCTCCCAAAATGCTGGGATTACAGGCAGGAGCCACTGCACCCGGCCCAAGGCCACATTTTTTTAATCCACTGTACCAACCTGTGTTTTAAATTTTTGTGTGTAGACCATTTGTATTTAAAGTGATTATTGGTATGTGAGGGCTTAAGTTTGCTATTTTATTGTTTTCTGTTCATTCCCATTTCCCTTTTCTTGACCTGTGGGCTACATGTGTATTTTTTTAGAATTCCATTTTGATTTCTTACAGTGTTTCTCCGTATATCACTCTTTTTTTGTTTTGTAGTTCCTTTGGGTATTATAATATGCATGTGTAATTTATCAGATTATTAGTATTGACATTCTCCACATAGGTGAAGTGTACAAATCTTCCATTTTAATCTACACTTTTTTCTTCCAATTTGATAATACTAACCGGACCACCTACTCTTGCCAGATGGGAAGTCCAGATCCCCACTCAGCACCCTCTAACAGCAAGGTAGGAAGCATCTGAGATGCCTGGCTGCGGTAGGGTTGGTATTTCAAAAAGATTTCTGTCTTACTGGGCTGCCCTGTTTTGCAGTTATTTGGCTAAAGAGAGCAGGTTTTTCTTGGGGCTTTTTTTTTTTTTTTTTTATTCTTTGGTTTTGGGTTACAGACTTCTGGCACAATCTGGAGAAGTCTATTAAAGGAAAACCCAGAGAATTCATATCTTGTCTTCCTCAAGACCTGAAGTTCCTAACTGGTCTGTTTTTTTCCTTCTACCTTCTCTGCTGTATTAAGTCCAGGGTGTTTAGTTGAATTTATGTGGGCTGGAGTGAAGAGATATAAGCCTACTCAATCTTGTTGAGAACCAGAAATTTGACAGTTAATTTTTGTTTTGGTTCTTCAAGCAGGCACATGTTTCTTTTTCTCCTTTTGGATAACTCAGTCATCTCTCAGGTCTCAATAAATACTACTTTTCTGGAGAAGGAAAATAAATACTACTTTTCTTGATATTTTAACCTAAATTACAAGCAGGTTTTTCATTCTTTGCTGTTATCAAAATTTTTAATTGTGGTTTGCTTATCTAATGTCTTTCTTCTCACTAGACATACACTCCTGAGTGTAAGGGTTATTTTGTTTTTGTTTTTTTAATGGACTTTATTCTTGAACAGGTTTAGATTTACAGAAAAATAGATAACCATATAACTACTGTACTTTCGTTGATAAAGTTGTTTCCCATGGGGGCATGGGTTAACAGTTCTGATCCTGCTATACGTTTTACTGGAATTGAATGATTCAGTAAATGGATGGTAGATGGTAGGAGCCAGGTTTCTCACTGTTGGAGTTGGGATTTACAGATAATCAACGGGAGGAGGCTAGAGTGATCTGTGTTTTGATAGATTCAAGTTGGAGACGTCATTATGAACTCATATTTAGCTTAATATAGATCATGTCTTTTTCCCCCCACAAGTCTATAGCCAATGTCCAGTGATGTTATTAACATCCCCATCTTTTTTTTTTTTTTTTTTTAGATGGAGTTTCGCTCTTGTGCCCAGGCTGGAGTGCAATGACACGATCTCGGCTCACCACAATCTCTGCCTCCTGGGTTCAAGCGATTCTCCTGCCTCAGCCTCCTGAGTAGCTGGGATTACAGGCATGTGCCACCATGCCCGGCTAATTTTGTATTTTTAGTAGAGATGGGGTTTCTCCATGTTGGCCAGGCTGGTCTTGAACTCCTGACCTCAGGTGATCTGCCCGCCTCGTCCTCCCAAAGTGTTGGGATTACAGGCATGAGCCACTGCGCCCAGCCAACATTTCCGTCTTTTAAATTAAATTGTTACAGTTGTTATCCAGTAGGAGTCCACAGAAAGTAATCGATAATAATTGTATTTGAAAAGACTGCTTAGAGCTATCATCATTTCTTGCCTAGATTAGTACAATAGCCTCTTTATTATGTGTCTATTGCAGCATAGCAAGCTCATCTCAAGATTCTTCGGGTATACTAGGTGTTTCTTTTCCTGGTCTCAACTGGGCTCACTTATGCAGCTGTATTCAGCTGGTGGCTAAGCTGGACTGGAATGCCTACTGTGGCTTCACTCACATGTCTGGTGCCTCAGCTGGAAAGCTTTTGTTCTCATACACATGGCCTCTTTCCACATGGTTTCTCTCGTCTTCCATGTTGTCTCTCTTTCAAGCAGGATAGTTTGGACTTCTTTATATAGCAGTTGGTTTCTAAGAGCAAAAACAAGCTATGAGCTCTCTTGAAGCCTGTACTTGGAACTCCTGCACATCAGTAGAATGTCACTTTAGTCAGAGTCCCTCAGAAGACTACCCTCAGAGTCCATGTGGAAGGGTGTGAATGCAAAGAGGCAGGATTCACTTGAGGCCATTTTGTAACAATGCACCATAGCTTCGCAACATGTTGCCCTGCCTCCCTTGAAATCTATTATTTCTTAACACAGGTCAGACTATATCATTTCTTTGCTGAAACCCTGCCCTGAGTTTCCATTTCATTCAAAGTAAAAACCAAAGTCTTCTTTGGGAGGCCAAGGCGGGCGGATCACGAGATCAGGAGAGCGAGACCATCCGGTTTACACAGTGAAACCCCGTCTCTACTAAAAATACAAAAAAATTAGCCGGGTGTGGTGGTGGGCGCCTGTAGTCCCAGCTACTCCGGAGGCTGAGGCAGGAGAATGACGTAAACCCGGGAGGCGGAGCTTGCAGTGAGCGGAGATTGTGCCACTGCACTCCAGCCTGGGCGACAGAACGAGACTCCGTCTCAAAAAAAAAAAAACACCAGTCTTTATATGGCCTACAGGGCCCTATATGATCTTGCCTTAACCAAATAGGGATTTATTTTCCATCTGAAACAAGAAGTAGAAAGGTAGCCAGTCTAGGGCTTGTGTAGCAGTTCAGTAAGGCCATCAGGGACCCAGAAACAAGAAGTAGAAAGGTAGCCAGTCTAGGGCTTGTATAGCAGTGCCCAGTAAGGCCATCAGGGACCCAGGCTCTCTCTCTTTCTGCTCTGCCATCCTTAGTGTATTGGGTTTTGTCCTGTTTGTTCCTCGTTACAAGATGACTGCTGTACTTTCAAGCCTTGGGTCTGCATTCTTGGCAAATAGAAAAGGAGAAGTAAAAGCTTTCATCAAAATCCTGGATTTAGTTCTCTTTGATGAAACTTGGTAATGTGGTTACTTCTGGCTGCAGGAGAGCCTGGTGAAATGAGAATTTTAGCTGTAGACATTGTTTCATCTAACAAAATGGGAGGTTTTCTTTTTTATTATTGTTTTTTAAGTGAGGATAATAGGAGGATGCTATTATGTAGGCACCCAGCACTATCTGCTTCAGTACCAACTATGTGCCAGAAACTGTACTGTTGCTATGAAAGCATATTTTTTCAGTGGGCATGGCCGTTATGAGACTTAAAAATAATATGGTCAGGCAGTTATAATAATTCCATTTCACAGATGAGGAAATCGAAGCTTTAGCATGATTGCAGTATCAGAATTTATACATGGTCATTCTGATGCCAAATGCTTCATTATTTCCATAACACAACATTCTAACTGAGCCTTCTGTTCAAAACAAACAAACAAAAAACACAATATGGCCTACATTTGTGTGAAGCCTTTGCTGCTCTTTCAAATTATATTTGGTTTTCATGTCTGTCTTCTTTAATAAATTGAATACCAGAAAGAAAGAAGGATCAGGTCATTTTTATCTTTATATTTCATTACCTAGAACTCAATGCATGTTTTGAATAAAGTTTTTTTTTAAACCTTGTATGATAGGGAAACCGAAAGATAGATAAGCAAACAGGTACAGATAAGTAGGATAATACGCTTGAATTGGATAGCCAGTACACTGGGCTTGTGTTTGAACTGGTTTCTTGCTTTCTAGTTGAGAGCACTTTCCTTTTGAGGCACAGAATGTTGGATTAGGATGAAATTAGAGAAGAAGAAATGTGTTCTGCTAATATCCCTGGCTTAAGGCAGGTAATATCTATTAATGCAAATCAATCTGGTCAAGATGTAGTTCAAATATAGATAAACGGGTATTTCAGAGGGCCCCTGGAAGAAGATGGTATGGAGTAAATAAAAACGCAATTTACCAGGAGTCAGAAGGACTAGTAAGCTGAACCCAGCCAGGTCTCTGACAGCTGGTTGCTTAGCTGCTTTAAGCATGCTTTCCCCAAGACTAAAATCAAGAAAGTTAGACTAAATGGTTTTTGAAATTCCTTCTAGCTAACATAGTATATGAATCATTGTATCCAGTGAGTTTTTATGGGTACTCTAACATTTCTTGGCATCTATCAGGTCAGACTGTTTTATATTTCTGAAATGTAGAGAGAGTAACAGCTTTTTCACTACTCTGGGAACTGGGCCAGTGAGGAGTAAACATCCTCTCCTGTCTCTCCCTAAATGAAGTACTTGGTCACGAGTGACAGTCCATTTTCATTTTGTTCTTTGAATCTGGTCTTGTTCTTATTTCAGTGTTTTTCTTAACTTTACTGTGAGTTTGTTGAAGTATATTAAATTGAAAATGTCAGTTTATGTTTGAGTCTAAAAATAAGAATTTCATTATTGTACAAAGTAAAAGTCATTGTATTTACCAAATACATATTATCACATTTGTGTATTTGAAATACTTGACTGGCACATGAGGTAATTTAATTACAATGTACTGTGTAGTCTGTAGTTTGGTCCCTTGTAGTAGAATTGTGTTGAATGAAAGTGGCAAGGTTAAGTAGCAGATATAATGTAGTATAAGATATGATTATAAGCTTTTACATTTTCCACAATTGAAATAAAGTTAATATTACTTTTGGTTCTTTTGGTTTCTTTTAAATAATGTCTTTTCCTTATTAGGCAAGGTTAAAAAAAGAAGTGGAGAAAATTTTATTGTCAAAAAAATAGAGAAAACATGGAAAACTTTGAAAAATAAAATGGAAATCCCTCTTAATTTATCTTTCCCTCTATTTTTAAAGTTCTTATTTTTAACATAACTTGAAATAAAAGTGTGTTTACACAGCAGTATATCAGCTGCATATACTGCTGTTAACTAATCAAGGGCACAAATAAGGGAAACCTTTCTTTATTCGCTAGCTGACTTGAAATTCTTTTGTTATGACACTTAGGTAGCATCTTGAACTTTCTCTTTTCTAAAGTTGGTTTAAAGCCCTGATATTTGTAAGCTTTATAAGGGAGTCTGTCTGTGCCCAATACAGTGCATTGAACATATTATTAATTTTAAAATTATTGAATTGACCATTCTATATAACAAAAATTTCTAATTATTATCTTAGGTTAGATTTCTTGAGTTTTATAATTCTATGTCAAAGAGAAACACTATTTTTAAATTTCTTGTTTTATATTCCCAACTTTTTAAATGAAGTCTTGTAAGTGGATAAATAAAATATAGTATATATACACAATGGAATATTATTCAGTCATAAATAATGAAATCTTGTCATTTCAGACAACGTGAATGTACCTAGAGGACACTAAGCCAGGCACAGAAAGACAAATACCACATGATCTCATTCATAGGTGGAATCTAAAAGGTTGTTCTCATAGAGGTAGAGAGTAGAATGGTAGTTATGAGAGGACGAGAGGGGAGCAGGGAAAAACGGGTAGGGAAGGATGGGTTAATGGGTACAAAAAAGTTGGGAATATGTAACAAGAAACATAAAAATAGTTATTCTCTTTGATAGACATTTAGGTTGATTCCATATCTTGGCTATTGTGAATAATGCTGTAATAAACATAGGAGTGCAGATATCTGTAAAACATACTGATTTCATTTTCTTTGGATATATATACCCAGTAGTGGGATTTATCGGATCATGTGGTAGTTCTGTTTAAAATTTTTTGAGTAGCCTTCATGCTGTTTTCCATAATGGCTATACATTCCCACCAGCAGTGTATAAGGGTTCCCTTTTATCCATACCCTCATCAACACCTGCTATCTTTTGATTTTTTGAGAGTACCTATTCTAACTAGAGTGATGTGATATCTCATTATAGTTTTGACTTGCATTTTTTGATGATTAGTGATGTTGAACATTTTTTCATACACCTGTGGGTTGTTTGTATGTTCTTTTTTTGGAGAAATGTCTATGTAGGCCTTTTGCCCATTTTTTGATCAGGTTATTTGTTTGTTATTGAGTGTTTGAGTTCTTTATATTTGGGTATTAACCCTTTATCAGTTGTGTAGTTTGTAAATGTGTTCTCCCAGTCTATGACTGGCATCCTTGCTCTGTTGATTGTTACCTTTACTATGCAGAAGATTTTTAGTTTGATACAATTCCATTTGTCTATACAGGTTAAATATCCTGTATCTGAAATGCTTACAACCAGAGTGTTTTGGATTTGGGATTTTTTCAGGTTCTGGAATATTTGCATTATACTTAGTGGTTGAGCATTCCAAATCAAATTTTGAAAATTCAAAACGTTCCAATAAGCATTTAGTTCGAGTATCATGTTGGCAATCAAAAGGTTTCATAGTGGCTCACGCCTATAATCCCAACAATTTGGGGGGGTCAAGGCAGGAGGATCACTTGATGCCATCAGTTCAAGACCAGCCTGGGCAATGTAGCAAGACCCTGTCTTTACAAAAGATAAAAATTAGCTAGGCATAGTGGAGCCCACCTGTAGTCTTAGCTACTTGGGAGGCTAAGGTGGGAGGATCACTTGAGCTCAATGTTTCAAGGTTGCTAATGAGCAATGATTGTACCACTGCACTCCAGCCTGGGTAACAGAGTGAGACCCTATCTTTAAAAAAAAAAAAAAAAAATTTGGAGCGTTTTAGAGTTTTGGATTTAGAATGCTCAAACTGTTTTTGCTTTTGTTGCCCATGCTTTTCAGGTTTTGTCCAAAATATTCTTGCCTAGACCAGTGACATGGAGCTTTCCCCTATATTTCCTCCATATTTTCTTCTTGTGATTTTGTAGTTTGGGGTCTTACATTTAAGTCTTTAATCCATTTTGAGTTGAGTTTTGTCTGTGGTGAGAGATAAGAATCTAATTTCATTCTCTCATGTGGATATCCAGTTTTCCCAACACCACTTGTTGCCCTTTTCCCATTGAGTGTACTTGGCCCCTTTGTCAAGAATTAATAAACTGTAGATAGATGATTTATTTCTGGACTGTCTTCTGTTCCATTGATTTGTGTGTCTTTTTTATACCAGTAGCATGCTATTTTGATTACTATAGCTATGTAATGTGTTTTGAAGTCAAGTAGTATGATGCCTCCAGCTTTGTTCTTTTTGCTTTAGATTACTTTGGCTATTTATGTTCTCTTGTTGTCTTTCTTTATGGTTAGGTGATTTTCTCTAGTAATGTGTTTTGATGGTTTCCCTGTTATTTTTGGTGTATTTCTTATAGGTTTTTGCTTTGCAGTTACCATGAAGCTTATGAAAAAAATCTTAAAATGAGATATTTGAAACTGATAGCAACCCAACTTTGATTGTAAAGATAGGAAAAGAAAGAAAAAGCAAACTCTACTTTTAACTCCATTTTCTCCCACATTTGTAATTTTTGATGTCCCATTTTACATCTTATATTACCCATCTCTTGGCAAATTAAAATAGTTATTATTTAATAGTTTTGTCTTTTAGCCTTCATATTAAAGATACAAGTGCTTTATGTATCACATTTATAGTATTATAGTATTCCATCTTCCAGTATACTTACTAGTGAGTTTTATACCTTTAAGATGTTTTCTTGTTACACATTAGAGTCTCTTTCTTCATTTAAAGAACTGTTTTTAGCATTTTTTGTTTGCTTGTATGTTCGAGACAGGGTCTCACTCTGTCCTTCAGGCTAGAGGGCGGTGGTGCGATCATGGCTCACTGCAGTCTTGATCTCATGGACTTGAATGATCCTCCCACCCCAGCCTCCCAAGTATCTGGGACTACAGCCACACGCCACCACACCCAGCTGATTTTTTAATTTTCATTTTTAGTAGAGTCAAAGTCTTGGTATGCCACCCAAGGCCTTGAGCTCCTGAGCTCAAGCAGTCCTTCCACCTTGGCCACCCAAAGGGCTGAGATTACAGATGTGAACCATTGTTCCTGGCCTATTTTTTTTTAACATTTCTTGTAAGACATATCTGATGATGATAAATTCTCTTAGTTTTCATTTGTCTGGCAAAGTCTTTATCTCTGCTTTATTTCTAAAGGATAGCTGTGCTGGGTACAGTATTCTTGGTTGACAGCCCACCCCCCCCCCCCCCACCCCCAATCTTTTTTTTTCTTTAACAATTTGAATATATCATCTCACTCATCCTGACTTATAAGGTTTCTGCTGAGAAGTCTATTGCTAGACAGATTGGGACTTCCTTATATGTTATTTGCTGCTTTTGTTGCTTTCAAAATATTTTTGTCTTTGATCTTTGAGAATTTGATTATGGTATTTCTTGGGGTACACTTATTTGGGCTGTATCTGATTGGTAACCTTTGACCTTTCTGTACCTGGATAATTTGTATCTTTCTCTAGTTTTGGGAAGTTTTGTGTTATTATCTCTTTGAATAAGCTTTCTTCCCATTTGTCATTCTCAATTCCCTCTTGAAGCCCAGTAACCCAAATATTTGCTCTTTTGATACTGTTGCATTGTTCTGTAAACTTCTTCATTCCCTTTTACCCTTTTTTTAATTGTTTCTCCTCCAGCTATGTGTTTTCAAATAGCTTGTCTTCAAGCTCAGATTTTTGTATCTGATAGATTCTGCTGTTGATATTCTCTACTGCATTCATTTTGTTCATCGTATTTTTCAGCTCCAGGATTTCAGTTTGTTTAATCTCTCATGTTTCTCTGATAAATTCCTGGATTCTTCCCCTGTGTTTTATTGAAGTTCATTGAGTTTCCTTAAAACAGCTCTTTTGAATTCTCTGAGACATCACACATCTCCATCACTTTAGGGTTGTTTCCTGGTGCCTTATTTTGTTTGTTGCATGAAATTATGGTTCCTGAATGCTTTCTTAAAATTTTTTTTTTTTGAGACAGAGTCTCACTCACTCTGTTGCCCAGGCTGGAGTGCAGTGGAATGATCTCGGCTCTCTGCAGCCTCTGCCTCTCAGGTTCAAGCAGTTCTCCAACCTTAGCCTCCTGAGTAGCTGAGATTACAGGCATGTACTTCCACTCCTGGCTAATTTTTATATTTTTTAGTAGAGACAGGGTTTTACCATGTTAGACAGACTGGTCTCAAACTCCTGACCTTAGGTAATCCACCCACCTTAGCCTCCCAGTTGTTGGCGTGAGCCACTGTGCCCGACCCCTGAATATTCTTCATGCCTTTGGCCTGCCCTGACATCTGAACATTGAGGGATTAGCTGTTTATTCCCCATTCAAAGCCTGGTGGTGGTTTGTTCCTGTTCTTCCAGAAATTCTAAGCAGGGCGATTATTGTGTTCTTTGAGCCCTTGGCCACTATCACTGTTTCAGCACTAGATGGCACCGTAAGCCCAGGTTTGCAGTGAATTCACAGTTGGTTTGTGTTCTGGCCCAGATTGACTAGGGGAGAGACTGGAGTGTCTCTCTGGGTGTGTGAGTTTCCACTGGGGCCAGGACACGTTAGGCACTGTGTCACTCTGCTCAGTGCTTGGGCCTCACCATGGCATGCTCCAAAGCAACATTGTGTACCTGTTCCCCTCTCATTCTTTCAAGCATCAGTGTCTCCACACTGTGCTGCCTGGGGTTGAGGGAAGGGGTGGAGCAGGCAGTATTGTGGCCAGGACGGCCACCGTAATGCTAGCTCACACCTGAAAACCATAGCTGCCAAGACAAGCACAGCACAGGGATATGCCCAAGACCCATGGAACTATAGCCTGCCTGCTGCTGAGGTTTATTTGTGGCTCAAGTCCACTGCAGACAGACAGTAGTGATGTACCCCTGAGTCTATTCCACTGAGGCCATGTCTCTCTGCCTGACACTGAAATGAGTTCAGAGGCACGGTCTTTGGGTGCCAGCCTGGGATCAGTGGGCCATCAGATTTTGCCCAGTGTGGAGTCTTACCATGGCAGACTTGTCACTGAGTCAAGATCAAAGTACTGCTTTTGTATCCCTCTTTTTCCCCCAGTAGATGGAGGCACTCTCCAAGCTGTGCTGCCTAGGGTTGGAAGAAGAATAATGGGGTCCCAGTCCTGCCACCAGGACTACTACATCCCCGGGGCACCAATCAGGCCCATACCACTGTAGCCTTCCTGCTGCTGAAGTTCACTCATGGCTTGAGGCTACTGTAGATGCCAGAACACAAGTCTGTCATACTGAGGCCACAGGTTTCCACATAGTATCGGGATGGGTCCTTGTCTGCCTAGCTTGGTCTGGGGTTAAGGGGCATGGGGTTCTGCCTGGTGTTGGGTTTCACCACGGCAGACCCAGTGCTGAGCTACAAGTCAAAAGTCCTGCACTCACTTCCCTCTCCTTACCCCAAGTGGGCTGTGTCTCTCTCTGTGCTGTGCTTATAGTTGGGGGAGAGGTGATTCAGGCATTGTACCTCTGTCTTTCCTACCCTCTTCAGTTGATCTTTTCTTAGTAATGCTAAAACCAGATATGGTCATCTCTGATCTGGTTCCTTGGCTCTTGCGAAGTTACTTTCATGCATAGATCATGTTCAAATTTATGTTTCTGTGGGGAGTCAATCGCTGGAGAGTCTTATTCAGCCATCTTGACTCTGCCTCTTCTCCAAATTCTCTTTATCAGATAGAGGGAAGCATGAGTTCCTCAGCAGTGGCAGGTTTTCCTTAATTGTAAAGGAAGAATATTAAATAACATAATGGACAAGTCATTAAAAAACAAACAAACAAAAAAAAACCAAACTAATCTGCCAAGCATAAGCCCTGCCCTCAAATTGCTCATAGTCTTTGAAGAGTGGTCAGATAAAAAAAAGGGGTAATTGTTTCAATAAGGTACACAATATCAGAGCACACAGGAGAGGCATTCAACTAAATTCTAAAGAAAGGCTTTGGACAGGAAATTGTTTCCCAGCAAGAGTTGTTCTTGATCTTTGAAACAAAGTAAAAGTTAACAGGGTCAAGAAGATACTTGAAAGAGATAACTGCAGGAGAAAGGAGAGATGGTGCATACCAAAGGTGAAGCATGCTTAGTGGCTGAGCCAAGAGAGATGATTTCTTGAAGTAAAGTTTTATAATTTGATATGATTGGAGTTTAAGGAACAAAGTGGAAAGAAATGGGAGTTGAGGTAGGCAGTAAACGAAAGTGTTAGGTATTTCTTCTGGCCTATGAGAAATAAGGAATAATTTCCTGAGATATTAAGAGTACCATGAACAAGGAAATTTTGCAGACCTCTGGCTTTGGACATAATATTAAAGAACAAATCTGCGAAAGCAGTTCATAAAGTGTTTTCTGATAAATGTGTAAGGATTGAAACAAAAATATTTGGAGGAATGGAACTAGCTTAAACTATTTTTTATCTAAGCATTTTTTGCCTCAGTCCACTTTACCTGAAACTAGACAATATGAATTTGGGATTTTATTCTTTGACAATAGACATGTGCTAGTGTTGTTGACAACTTGCCAAGGATAGACACTTAAACTTTGGAAACCAAATGGATCGTAGGACTTATATTCCATTATAAATAGTGAAAAATCTAGACAGCATTTTGGCTCAGGTAGAAGATCATTGTTTATCTGTATAGTGACAGATCAGAAATACAACTTCTAACAGGTGTAGATTACCTGTTTTAGGAATTCTTAACCTAGGATCCGTGGAACCTGGTAAGTATACATAACAACATGAAATTTTCTTTGTACTATTTTTTGTTGGCGTTTCAAAGGAATTCTTAGCTAGAAACAGGCTGGGCACGTGTTTCATGCCTGTAAACCCAGCACTTTGGGACGTCAAGGTGGGAGGATCACTTAGGCCAAGAGTTTGAGATCAGCCTGGACAACATGGCAAAATCCCATCTCTACCAGAAAAAAAAAGAGATTTATAGAAATCAACTACTTCATATTTTGCATAATATACCTGCAGGCACAAGGTAAATTGATATGAAAACCAAGACGAGATCCCGTATCACCCATAAGCTCACCCTTTTCACTATTTTGCATGATACATAATTTTTAGAAATTAAGAATGAATGTAGAAAGTACTTGCATCAACTTATTTATATGGGTGTGAGGAATTCTCAAAAAATTAAAGAAAATCTTTGCATTAATTAGGTCTGTGATTCAAAGGTACAAAAAGGCTGCACAGTGTGTCTTTTTCTTTTCCATGTCCTTCATAAACTCAAATCTCCTCCCTAGAGGTAACCATTATCTTTGGTTTCTTGTGTTTCAGAATTTAAACATTTTAAATCCAATGGTATTATAGTAATGGACTTTGAAACAGTAAATGATATAGAAATAGCTAGAACATAACTTTAGTTGTTGTAAATATAGATTAGCTGTGCTTAACTGATTGGATTTTCATTTTAAGGTGACTGTACTGTGTATTGTCTTAGCTTCCATCAATAGAACACAATTTAGAGGTGTTCTCAAGTAATGATGCTTTTGTACTGAGTCAACCAAATTACCAATTGGAGTACTTAGCCTTGAAGTATACAGTTGGCCATTCATATCTGTGGATTCAACATCTGCAGATTCAACCAATTGCAGATTGAAAGTATTAGGGGAAAAAAAAAATAAAAAATAATACAAATAATACAGCATAGCAACTATTTACATACCACTTGTATTGTGTATTATAAATAACTAGAGATTAAAGTATGGGGTGTGTATTTAGATTATATGCAAATACCACACCGTTTTATATAAGTGACTTGGTCATCTTTAGATTGTGGTATATGTGGGATCCTGGAACCAACCTCCCACACATACCAAAGAACAACTGTATAAATGGAGTTCTGAATATAGTTTTCCCAAGCCCTAGTACATTTAATTCATTAACTAAAAAGTGGTCATAAAGGTATCTATTTTGCCAATATTCATTTATTTTTAAGAAGTTTCTTACAGAAGATAAAATGATTCACCTATTGAATTTTTTTATTTGTATAAATTTAAGGGATACAAGTGCAGTTTAGTTACATAAATATATTATGTAGTGATGAAGTCTGGGCTTTTAGTGTTTACCTATAGAATTTAATAATACTTTTTATTTATTAAGTGACTGCAGTGACCCAGTACTTGTATTTAGAACTTCATTTACAATATTTGTGAATTATCACAGTATCTCTAAAAGGTGGCTACTATTATTATTTAGATTTTGTAGACTATTAAAACTGAGTATTTGAAAAGTTAAGTAACTTGCTCAAGGTTCACAGTGTAGGGGTTGGGATCTAACCTGGGTTCCTAAGATACCAAAATCCGCTATCTTTACACAGCCTTTGTGTGTAGATGTGTTCACTTTATTTTAATATAAATGTATTTGTCAAGTAATGCTACTTAGTAGCCAGTGAGTTCTTGAATTTATGATTTTGTATGGTTATAATAAAAGTCAGTAAGTAGTTGGTCTATTGCTTATTAAGGAGATAATTAAATATAGTTAAATGTAATGTAATCAAGAAAGACTCTCTTAGGCTGAAAACACTGCATATTTACTGAGCAGCCAACTCTCCTAAACTCCCACATTTGTATGTTTATTTTTTCTGTAGGGGGATTCCCGAAGTCTTCCGTTTTCTGAGAATGTGAGTGCTGTTCAAAAATTAGACTTTTCAGATACAATGGTGCAGCAGAAATTGGATGATATCAAGGATCGAATTAAGAGAGAAATAAGGAAAGAACTGAAAATCAAAGAAGGAGCTGAAAATCTGAGGAAAGTCACAACAGATAAAAAAAGTTTGGCTTATGTAGACAACATTTTGAAAAAATCAAATAAAAAATTAGAAGAACTACATCACAAGCTGCAGGAATTAAATGCACATATTGTTGTATCAGATCCAGAAGATATTACAGGTATAGTAGTGCTTTATTTGATGTTTATATGGTATATTAATAAAAAAAATGTATCTTTTTAGAAAATAGTAAGTTTGGGGACATGAATAGTTTTTAGCTTTTCTGAAAGTAGAGAGACTTTTTCTCTTTTGGTTAAGGTCTTATTTATATTCTGTTTAGAAGGGCAGGAGTTGATAGGTATGGAAATTGAAATGTTTACTTAGAATTTAATAACCCTAATGTATTCTCTCTTACTCTCTATCAGTAGGACGTTACTTAGAGTGAGTCTCCAGTATTAATGTTTTGTATTGAGTCAATCACATGCTTTTACGTGATTCATCCTGTAATCAACAGCACAAGTTTGCCAGCTGACTTAAAGTTAAAACTGTGTTCTTTGAACAAGAGATAGTTTTATTATTTGCAAATGTAATTAGTCAAACCTATGGCCTTCATTCTTTGTGCTCTAAGCAACTGAATTAACAAGTAAACTACTAGGCATAGTGTTCAAAAAAGAAAAACATAATAGAAAAAACTGTTACACATTACTTTTATTTTCTTTATAGAAAATAAGAGGAAAATATAACCTATGATTTCAATATAAAAACATAATTTTTAAACAATAGAATTAATAAATATTTATGTTGGAATTTTTTTAATGGTACAGAAAATAAAGATTGAAAACCCACCTCTTTCTTTCTTAGACCGTCTCCTTAAAGGTAACATTACTTTTTGTTGTATATCCTTCCAGATAAAAAATTCTATATTTGTGCCAATATTCACCCATCAGTATGTATAGTCTTTCTATAACTTTTCATACAAAAACTTACGTTTAAGTTTAAGCCAAGGCCTCAAGACATTATCAATCTCTGTAACTGTCAATTTTTTTATTTGCAAAGAAAAAGAGTGTGAGAGTGTATAGAGTAATACACCTATAGCATGGTAGAAAATTTAGAAGAACGTGTGTGATTAGCTAATAAATAATAGATGTAAGTAATTTTAATTTTGATTAAGAAAATACATAAATTTGGCTAAGAACCTTAAATTTTTACCATCTCAAAAGTTGCAGAAAACACTACTGATATTTAGTGTTCTTGTTAAAACTTGTTTTTCGACATCACTTTCAACATCTGGGATTTAGGGCTTTTATTAGGAGGCTCTCTGTGTAGAGATTTCAACCTTGTAAGAATAATCGAAACTTTAAAATGAAAGAAATAATAGGAAATCCACCTTCTAATTTTAGATTGAAATAATCCCAAAGATGCAAATTAGTTTTTTCAGAATCACCAATCTAGTTAAAAAGAACGCTTCAGCTCTTCATCTAGTATTCTTACACACTCTATAATTATGTTATAAATGGAAATAATGTATTATGAAAATGCTGTTTTTTGGTAATATTATATAAACTTAGAAATAGCCTGTTCCATGGAACTCTGCCAAACTCTACATTTTTTTTTTTGCCTGTTACATCTTTAGGAGCGGTCTAAAATAAGAAACAGCACTGGAGCTGTTTATTTAGAGAAATTTTCCTCCTCACAGAATACTGATAACTACCTTGTGATTCGCTGGGATATAGAAGAGTTTTATCATCACGAGGAGCCCATTTGGTTTCCCCATTCGTTTTATAAAAGTTAACTTTATTGTGGCTGGGTGCAGTGGCTCGTGCCTATAATCCTAGCACTTTGGGAGGCCAAGGCAGGCGGATCACTTGAGGCCAGGAGTTCAAGACTAACCTGGCCAACATGGTGAAAACCTGTCTCTACTAAAAATACGAAAATTAGTCGACGTGGTGGCGTGTGCCTGTAGTTCCAGCTACTCGGAAGGCTGAGGCATGAAAATTGCTTAAACCCAGGAAGCAGAGGTTGTGTTGAGCCAAGATCGTGCCACTGCCCTCCAGCCTGGGCAACAGAGAGCGATTCTGTCTCAAAAATAAAAGGTTTATTGAAGTATAAATTACGTATGACAAAATGCACGTATTTTAAGTACATGATTTAATGATTTTTAACAATTGTGTGTGTGCACCCAGCTAACCATCTCTACAATCGATCTAGAACATTTTCATCACTTCAGTGCTTCTCGTATATTCCTTCCCAGCTAACCCATGATCCCCAACCCTGGCCATAGGAACCCGCTGATCCATCTTCTATCACTTTAGATTGAATTTGTCTTTCCTACTGTTTTATATAAAGAAATTACCTCCTTTAAGTCCTATCAAATTCCTGATCACCCTTAAAAAACAATTTTTAGGTATTACCATAAAACCTTCCATGACATTCTCTGCTTTATCTTCTCTGTGCTACTTTGTCCATTCATTGTTGCATTGTAATGTATTTCTGTACATGTTATATCACTAAACTGTCTCCTCCTTGAAGGGAGGGACATGTGTTCACTCATCTATTTTCAAGGCTTATTACAGAAACTGAAACATAGTAGATGCTTACTTGGGAATATTATATCTCAAAATAGAAAAACACCCAGCAAATCGCATCTTATATTAGTCTTTAGAATTAGTATCAAAGCCTAATTATTATGACACTTGAAACATTAAATAACTTAGAAAACAAAGACTTAAAAGTTTTATGATAAAGCCAGAAACTTTTTATACTGACCATTTTTAATACTGACATTTCAGATAATTGGAGGGCAGATGATATATGAAATATAACTTTATACTGTGACTTCTTAATACTTCAGTTTGTTTAGAATAAACTTGATAAGTTCGTCAAATTTTTATTTTATTAAAAAAATTCTGTTTGCAAATGGCATATTTACACAACTTGGTAATAAGTCATTTTCTCTTTTTTCCATTTTACTAACTTAACAATCTAAAAGCAACAACCACAACATAGAGGATTAAAATTAATGTCATTAATTTTAGGTCAGTTTGCCATAAAATTTTAGATGTTTTACCTTGCACACTAAGGTAATCCCATGAATTTATTTTAGATTAGGTCTGGCAAGAAGATTTCAAGGACATTGTGCTTTGCTTTCAGTTCTGAAAGGTATGAGTGGATTTATAACAGAAGTGTTTGACTAATTCCTGTTGTCTTGTGGGTACATAAGCTTAGTAAGCAGAACAAATGACTGAAGGAAAGAGGGACAAAATTTAAGTCTGCATTGTGTAAATCATTACTGTCTAAGTGGTTAGGGGACTTCTGTTTTTTTCTTTGTTTTTGAGACTGCGTCTCCCTCTGTCACCAGGCTGGAGTGCAGTGGTGCCATCTCAGCTCACTGCAACCTCCGCCTGCCGGGTTCAAGTGATTCTCCTGCCTCAGCCTCCCGAGTAGCTGGCACTACAGGCTCCATGCCACCACAGCCAGCTGATTTTTGTATTTTTAGTAGAGGCAGGGTTTCATCACATTGGCCAGGATGGTCTTGATCTCTTTACTTTGTTGATCCGCCCACCTCGGCTTCCCAAAGTGCTGGGATTACAGGCATGAGCCATCCTGCCCGGCTAGGGACTTGTTCTTAATTCACCTCTGTAATAATAATCTCTGAATCTTCAGTTTCTTGTTTGTAAAATAAGGATTTTTATCAGATGAACTTTTAAACTATAAAACTCTGAAATATTCCTTATTGTAATGTCAAGGTCTGATTGTTTGAGAAAGTTATTTGTAAAATAAATGTATTCATTTATTCTTAAGAGTAGTAGGAAATGAATTTTTTATTTTCTCATCATGCCCATGATACTCTGAGCTTCTTGTTCATCTTCTAAATACTTTAAAGATGATCATATGATTTTTGCCCATAAGAGTATCCCCATAGGAGCAGAAAAAGCATTTAAGAAAATTCAACATTTTTTCGTGATAAAAATTCTATGAACAAATTAGGTATAGAAGAAATGTTTCTCAACACAAGAAGGTCTATATATGACAGGCCCACAACTAACATTGTACTTAATGGTGAAAAGCCGAAAGCTTTTCTTTTAAGATCAGGAACAAGATCAGGATGCTCACTCTCAACACTTCTTTTCAGCATAGTACTGTTAAGCCCTAGCTAGAGCACTTAGGCAAGAAAAAGAAATAAAAGATATACAGATAGGAAAGGAAGAAGTGAAATTGTCTGTTTGTGAACAACACAATCTTACATATATGTATAAAATTCTAAAGACTCCACCATAAAGCTGTTAGGACTAATAAAGGAATTCAGTCAAGTTGCAAGATACAAAATCAGCATACAAAAGTCAGTATCATTTCTATATACTAACTATATAATATCTGAATAAAATTAAGAAAACAATCTCATTAATAGCATAAAACATACGTAGTAAATTTAACCAAGAATTGAAAGAGCTCTATATAGAAAACGATGAAAGAAATTGAAGATGGTACAAATAAATGGAAAAATCTCCTGTGTTCATGAATTGGAAGACTTAATATTGTTAAAATGTCCATACTACCCAATGTGATCTACAGATTCAAGGTAATTCGTATCAAAATCCCAACATCATTCTTCACAGAAATAGAAAAAGAAATCCTAAAATTTATATGGAATCAGAAAAGACCCTACACCATCTTGAGCAAAAAGAACAAAACTAGAAGCATCACACTACCAAATTCCAAAATATTACAAAGCTATAGTAATCTAAACAGCATCATAATGACATAAAAATAGACTCATTAACCAATGGAATAGAAAAGAGAGCCCAGAAATAAACCCACGCAATTCAAATCAATTGATTTTTGACAAAGCTGCCAAGAACACACGGTGGGGACTGGACAGTCTTCAATAAATGGTGTTGGGAAAACTGGATATCGACATGCAGAAGAAGGAAGATGAACCTTTATCTTACCCTTATACGTAATACCTTTATACCTTATACCTTTAAACCTTATACCTTTATACCTTATACCTTTATCTTACCTTATACGTTTATAAGACTTAAATGTCAGTCCTGAAACTATAAAACTGCTAGAAGAAAATATAGAGGGAAAGCTCTATGACATTGGTCTAGGCAGTGATTTCTTGGATAAAAGCAGAGGCAAAAGCAAAAATAGATAGATGGGTTTGCATCAAATTGGAAACTTCTGCACAGCAAAGGAAACAATTAGCAGAGTGAAGAGACAACCCAAAGAATGGGAGAAAATATTTATAAATTATATATTGGATAAGGGGTCAGTAAGGAACTCAAACTACTGAATTCAAGGAAAAGAAATAATCTTATTTAAAAAATGGGCAAAGGACCTGAGTAGACATTTATCAAAAGAAGGCATATAAATGGCCGACAGATAATATGAAAAAAATGATCAGTATCTCTAGCCATCAGAGAAATGCAAATTAAAACCACGATGAGATACCACCTCATGTGTATTAGATTGGCTATTATCAAAAAAATGGAAGGTAAGTGATGGCAAGGATATGGAGAAAAGGGAAGCCTTGTGCATTGTTGGTGGTATTGTAACATTAGTATGGCCACTTTGGAAGACAGTGTGGAGGTTCCTGAGAAAACTAAAAATAGGATTATTTTACAATCCAGCAATTCCTCTTCTGGGTATATATTCAAAGAAATTTAAATCAGCATGTTGAAGAGATGTCTGCACTCCTATGTTCATTCCAGCATTATATAGCCAAGATATCCAAACAACTGAAGTGCCCATCAACAGACAAATGGATTTTTAAAACATGGTATATAAACACAGTGCAATACTATTCAGCCTTAAAGATGTAGGAAATTCTGCCATTTGCAACATGGATGAACCTAGAGGACCTTATGCTAAATGAAATAAACCAGACACAGAAAGACAAATAGCTAATGATCTCACTTATGTGTGGAATCTTAAAAAGACAAATTCATTGACGTAGAAGAGAATGCTGATTACCAGAGGCTTGAACTGGGGAGGGGGAGGATGGGTAAATGGGAAAGAGGAAGTTGTTGGTCACAGGTTAAAAAGTTTTAGTTAGACAGGAGGAATAAGTTCTGTTGATCTATTACACAGCATGGTGACTATAGTTAATAGCAATGTATTGTATATTTCAAAATAGCTAAAAGAAAGGTTGTTAAATCCCACTGCGAAGAAATAAATATTTGAGGTGATAGATACCTTAGCCTAATTTGATCATTCTACAATGTATAAATGTAATGAAACATCACATTATACCCCATAAATATATAATTTGTTTGATTAGAAATAAAAATAGTTTAATGGGGTACTGTTGTCATTCTATGTGGAAATTACAGTGATGGTTAGCTGAGGCTAAATGTACCTTATGAAAAAAGATTACTGATCTCTAAAATGGAGTAGTAATCTAAGCCTTAGTTGGAACCTGACACTCGTTTGAGAAAGATCCGGTTTCCTGAATCTTGGTTTCTTTAAGTATGTCATCACTGAAGAAGACTATAAGAACATTTTTTAATATTTTATTAAGTATAGATAATAATTTGGGTAGTGTATAGTCTCTGTTTTCATTTTATTTCCTTTTCTTGTACCATTCTTATATTTTCAAACCCCACCAAACTTAGATTGGTTTTTACTTATTAATTTGGTGAATATTTTCTTCAATATTTGAAATATTCAGAAGGGAATTACTAATTTAGTAATATAATATACCTAATAATATTGGGATTTTGTGGGGTTAATCTTAGCAAATTCTTCTAAATTCCTAAAATATATCTGTATTGAGGGAACTTTGTTCATGACTAAAGAACAGTTTGTGGTCTTGGATGAATAGAAATGAAGATTTAATTTTCTTTTTTACTATTGCCCTGCCCACTTAAATAGTGTGATCATTAGTAAGTTGCTCTTTTGCACTCCTGGATTTGTTTCCTTGTCTTTAAAATCATGAGATTAAATGTATAGATTCCCTAATACTTGAATTCTTTTTATGATATATTTTCCAAAAAAGTTAATGTGTAGTAAAATTGTATATATATTTTTAGTATACCTTTCCATGAATTTTAAGATGAATTCATCTAACTGCCACCACATTCAGAAAAAGGAATAGTTCCAATGCCCTATACATCTCCCTCATGTTCTTTCTTCGTAGTCACACCCTTCTTCACCTCTATATTCCCTGACAACCACTGACCTGTTCTGTCACTATAGTTCTCTTTTGAAGAATGCCATGTACATAGAATTATAAAGTATATAAGTTTTTGAGAATTTTTTCCCTCCGCATATTGCCTTTGAAATTCCTTCAAGTTGTTGTGTGTATCAGTAGTTCATTTTTTTATTCCTGAGTAATAGTTGATTGTATAAATGTACTATAATTTATCCATTCACAAAGAACGTTAGGGTGGTTTTCCAATTTTTGGCAATTATCAGTAAAGCTCCTATAAATATTCACGTACAGATTTTTGTGTGAATAAAGTTTTCAGTTCACTTTGGTAAATACTGAAGAGTAGGGTTGCTGAGTCATGTGGTAACATATGTTTAACATTATAAGAAGATGGCTGGGCACAGTGGCTCATGTCTAAAATCTCAGCACTTTGGGAGGTGGAGGTGGGGGGATCGTTTGAGCTCAGGAGTTTGAGACCAGCCTGAGCAACATAGTGAAACTTCATCTCCACAAAAAATTTAAAAATTAGCCAAGTATGGTGGTGTGCACCTGTAATCCCAGCTACTTGGGAGGCTGAGGTGGGAGTATTACTTGAGCCTGAGAGTTTGAGGCTACATTGAGCCATGATCATGCCACTCCAGCCTGGGCAGCAGAGCAAGACCTGGTCTTTAAAAAGAAGGAAATAAACTGCCAAATATATTCTAGAGTAGTGATATTTTTCATTCCCACTATCAGTGAATGAGAATTCTAGTTGTTCCACATTCTCTCCAGCACTTGGTATTGTTAATATATTTTATTAACCAGTCTAACAAGTATGTAGTAGTTAATATACATTATTGTCATAGAGGAAATAAAAATAGAGCAGCACCATCTTAAGGAGAATTTACAAAAGAACAGTGCATGCCCTAGGTACAGAGTTATGTACAGAATGAAGAAGTCTTCTCTACTAGGAGATGATAGGTGCAGTTTTCAAACATTAAGATATTTCAGATAGAGGCAGTTCTGCAATTTTTATACCTAGGTTGCTTGTTTTACCTTAAAAATTATTCTAACTCAATCACGTGAACCCAGGAGGTGGAAGTTGCAGTGAGCCGAGATCGAGCCATTGCACTCCAGCCCGGCGACAGTGCGAGACTCCGTCTCAAAAAAAAAAAAAAAAAAATTATTCTAACTCACAGTGTTAACCCTGCCTATTTCTGTAACATATTAAGAAAGCTTAAACCAGAGGTGGTATTAGTTATAAAATATTTACCAAAATTAGTTCAGTTGGTGATATATGACAAGGGCTATCGCAAGTATATAAAATAACCAATTAAGCCTCCTTTAATTATTCAGCATTCATTACAACCTGAGTAGGTTCCAGAGGGCTGTAAAAGGTAAAGTATCTTTCTTTAAGAAAGTTGGACTTTAGGAGAAGTATAAAGTTAACATAATGGTAACACATGGCAAGATTCTGGAGCAGTTTATTTTTAAAATAGTAACTTAGAGACTTATAGGAAGAAGTATGTTAAGAATATAGATAAATAGTAAGCTAGTGATTTTGTATATTAACCTTATTAATTTAGATTTGGCTAAGTTTATTTCAGCTATTAGTATAGTTCCTCTTTAATTGTTTAATGCAGTAAACAGTGTTTCTTAAGCAGATATCCTGGCTATTCAAGTACCACTTTATGAATTTTGGACATAGAGAGCCAGCTTGCTATAAAATAAAGACCAAAGGTTATATCATCTGAGATGTCATTCAGCTGCACTATTAAATGGTTGTGTGGTGTATACCACCTGGAACCTGTCGAGACCTTGGTTTTCTCATTTGTAGAATGAGAGGGACAGACAATATGTACCCTATCTAGGGTGTTTTGTGAACATGGTATTTTGATAGCTTGAGAAAAAGCATGAGGTATCCAAGGCCATCTAAGTTTGAACATGAAACCCCATTTGGATGTAAAATAAAGTCTGAGGAGGCTTTCCTGGGTCTGAGAAGTAAAGACTCAAGAATTAAACCATATTCCTAATCTCCAACACAATCAAGGAATCAGGGTAAGGCTAGACCTTAAGTAGTCAGAAGTCCTCTAAGAAGGATCGGGATTGCTCCTGTGTTCTAGAACTCTGTTTCATCTTGTAAGCCAACTGCTGAGTTGTGGTTTTAGAGAAAATACTAAAAGCACCAGAAACAGCAATCTATTTATTGCTCTACACGTTTTGGGGGAAGCTAACAAATTCAGTATTTACTCCTTATTCTGGCCTTGGGAAATCTTATCCCTAAGGAAATTTTAATCATATCCTATTTTCTGGTGACTTCCAAAGTTGTATCTCCAGCTAGGCTGTGTTTTCTGGGCTTCATCTGATAGTTTATAGCCACCCTTTTGGATATTACCTGGATGTCCTGTTGGCTTTGCCTCTTATCATGTCTAAAATTGAACTCTTCTTTTCTTGGACAGCTATCTCTAAATTTTTCTCTGTGTTTTCTGCCCCGTTAGTGCATGACCCCAGTAATCTATAAGTAAAACCTGACTTTTTAAAACCTTTTTTCCCCACCTTCAACCTTCATTGTAAGTTTGTAAGTCGCCAAGCCTTATAGATTCTACCTCTGATAATAGGTCTCAAATCTGTATCTCTTCTTCATCTTTATTGCCACAGCGTACAAGTTCAGTATTTCTTTAATTCAACGTAAACACTGCTGCCAGCATTTTTTTAAATCTAGAATTCAGATTCAGTGCTGTTAGTTTCTTGATTTAAACTTTTCAATGGATCTTCATTTGCTACAGAATACAGTACAAATTTGTAGCATGGTAGAGATGCCTTTCAAATGGTCTGGCATCTGCCTCTATTATTTCAACTTTTTCTGCTACTAATCCCAGCTCTAATTTTTTTCCCCTATCCCTATGTTTTCTTTTTTTACCTCTCTTTTTACCTCTCTATACTTAGGCACGTGTGTGTGTGTAGATTAGCAGAATCTAGGTGATGGGTATATAGGTGCTCAGTGTAAAATTCAACTTTGCAGTATGTTTGAAAATGTTCATATATACACACATACACTCTGGTATGTGTAGACACACATACATACAGGTACATACAAGGTGTCCCTTTTATATATACATACATTATATATTTACACATACACACACACACACACACACACACACCTGACTCTAACCTCTTTGAGAAGAGGAATTCTGCCACTTGTACACAGGGTTGTCCTTTGCATGATGCTTGGCTGTATATGATATAACTAGTTCCCTGTATTAAGTTCCCTCTGTCCAAAATAACTTGTATAGTTTGTTTGTCAACTAGATTCTTGAATGGCAAATCACCTTTCTATATTATGTAATAAACTTAGAATACTTACATGCTATTGTTGGCCATGTTCTATTTATATCATTTTAGCTTCAATTCCACAAATTAGATCTAAACATTCTATACAGTCATTGTTGGTTTATAATTACCCACATGCTGATCATTTTCTTTGTTCACTATTTCTTCATGCTTCTCAGACCTACCTTCTAGAGTGATCTTTTCTTGTACTTCCTAAAGTACAGTAGATACTTTAGAAAGACGATTTCCCCTTTATATACAATTCTAAGTTGACATCTATTTTCTTTCAGCACTTAGAAACTGTTATTTCGTGGTTGTCTGGATTCTACTCTTGTTGAGGAAACAGCTGCCAGTCTCATGGTTGAAGCCATGTAGATCATCTAGTTTCTTTTAAGATATCCTTTGTCTTCAGTGTTCTGGACTTGGAGTATAATGGCGTAGATTTCGTTTCATTTGATTTGCTTGGGATTTGTTGGGTTTCTTAAATCTGAAATGTATGTATTTCATCAATTATGGGAAATTGTTAGCCTCTGTCCCTTTGAATGTTGTACCTCCTGTTTTCCTTCTACGTAGTTTTTTGGGAACTTTAGATGCATATTAATTTCTTCAAATCTATCTCCATTTCTTGAATAGTTTCTTCACCTGTATCAAACTTACTCTTTATCAAATATTGTGTTTCTAATTTTGTTATTACATTTTTTTAATGCTAGAGCTTCTATTTTGTTAATCCTGGTAATTTTGGATAGTCTTTGTCCCAGTTGATACCCCTTGCATTTAGCTTTACATATTTAACATACTTATTTCACAATCTGTATAGGATAAATACAGTAAGTAAAATCTTTACAAGGCTAGTCCTCTAATTTTTTTCTCATTCATGGTGAATTTTTTTCTGATTGAGCTTTGTGATTTGTAATTGTGCTGGAACTGTCAGTATTAAAATTTCGTGGAATGCAGATTTGCTATATTTTTAAAAAATTTGCCAGTTTTTTCTTTATTTTGTTCCACATAATTGAACACCTACACATTTAGAATTGATGCATATTTCTGGTGAATTGAACCTTCTATTAAAATGAAATGACTTACCTGTAATCTTTCTGTCTTGAAGTATTTTTTGCCTTAAAGTATCTTTTGTCTGTTATTAATATAGGTTGTGGGTTGAGGTTAGTGATTGTGTGGAATACCTTTCTTCCATTTCCTTACTTTCAGCTTTTCTGTATCATGTTTTAAATATGTTTCTTAAAATAGCATATAGTTGGATTTATTTTATTCATTTGTTTTTACCTTGTCTAATAATCTCTTTTACCTGGATCATTTAGCCTATTTAAATGATTACTATTACATTTGGGTTTATATTTAGTATCTTATTTTGTGCCTTTAATGTTTCTTTTTCTTTCTTGTCATTTTTAGACTATTTTTTAAGAATCAATTATTAAAAGTTCGATTGTTTTGGAAATTGATTCATTTAGATAGTACATCATGCATACTTATCAAAGGCAGTAGTCTAATTGCTATTTTTATCTCTCAGACAATTCGAACTCCTTAGAATGCTTTTATTTGCCTACACCCTAGCTTATATTTTACTGTCTTACTAGGCTGGTGCAAAAGTAATTGCAGTTTTTGCCGTTGTAATTATATTTTTTAAAAAGCACTTCATGACTTTTTTATTTGTTTATATAGTGGTCCTTTAAAATCACTGAAATCTAAGCCACTTTATCTGTTCTTCGTTATTTCTTTTTTGACCTACCAATTAGAATCACTTTTCTTCTTCCCAGAGTACATCCTTTCGCATTTTTAAATTTTTAATAAGTCTGTGAAAAACTCTTTCATCTTTGTCTGATAATGTTTTTATTTTGTCTTCATTGTTGAAAGATATTTTCGTTGGATATATACAATCTTTATTAGTCTATTCTCGCACTGCTGTAAAGAAATACCCGAGACTGGGTAATTTATAAAGAAAAGAGCTTTAATTGGCTTATGGTTCCACAGGCTGTACAGGAAACATGATGCTGGCATCTGCTTGGCTTCTGGGGAGGCCTCAGAAAACTTTCAGTCATGGTGGAAGGCGAAAGAGAAGCAAACCCGTCTTACATGGTTGGAGCAGGAGCGAGAGAGAGAGTGGGAGGGGCTACACACTTTTAAACAACCAGATCTCACTATTGTGAGAACAGCACCAAGGGGATGGTACTAAACCGCTCATTAAAGACCCACACCCATGATCCAGTCACCTCCCGCCAGGCCTCATGTTCAACACTGGGGAACTTAGTTTGACATGAGATTGGGGCAGGGACACAGATCCAAACCATATCGCAATTTAAGGAGGCAGTTGTGTCTTTTAACATAAAGTAGCTGTCATTTCACCTTCTTCCAGCTTTCAGTGTTGTTGCTGAAAACTGCCATAAATTTAACTGTAATTCCTTTGAAGGTACCCTTTTCTGACTGCTGTGAAGACTGTCTTTGATGTTCTGAAGTTTTACCATGATGTGTCCAAGTGTGGACTTTTTTCCCCTATATGTTTATGCTTGGGGTTGATTGGGTATCTTGAATCTATGGATTGGCATTTTTATTAGTTCTTAAAAGATGATAGTCATTATCTCTTTATGTATTGTCTTCAAATCACTATTTTCTTCCGAAACACCGTAAGATATATTGGAGCTTATTTTTTTTTCTCTGTGTCTTTTTATGTCGCATTTTTCCTCTCTTTCTCTTTTTAAAAAACTTAGCTATTTTTCAGTATTAATCTGCTATTTTTCTGTGTCTGGTCTGCTATTAAACTCAGTCTAAGAACAAATCTTAGCACTCAAGATGCTTATAGTCGCAGAGGAAAAACAGATGTGAAAACAGATCATTATAATACAGTGTAGTACACATTTCAGTGGAGGGACGAAAGTATACTTTGAAGACATGTTAGACTAGAGAATGGTTAGGGAAGGTTTTCTGGAGAAAGTAATGCCTAAACTAACAATAGTATTGAAGAAAACAATCGCATTTTATTAGAAAGGTTTTGAACACAGAATTTGACAAGGAAAAATAGTAGTGGAGAATTAGCTTGGAGCTAGATAGCACAAGACCTTTAATGCCTAACCGTGAAGTTGGGACTGTATTTGGTAGATGTGGCTATTAAAAATATTTTGGTGGAGGAATTAGTCTTGTCTGCGTTCCATCTTAAAGCACAACAATTTATATTGGCTAAATGTATGTAAAGATGCAACTTTATGGGCTTAACTCTAGTGCATTGTCTACTGTAACCCAGACATGCCTAAAATCTCTTTGATCTAAAATGTAAACATTAAAGCAAGTTTATTGAATTTGTATAACATACATTTTGAATTGTATAATAATGTTTAGAAGGTTAGAAGCAAGCATAATTTCTTATAATACCCCCGAAAATACTTTTTCAGTAATATTAGCAATATATGCAGCAAATGGAAATTTGTTTTTTGTTGTAATCATGGGGTTTAGTTTCTTTAGCCAGCAAAGTATGTATTTAAGAGTAGATTCACCTCTTTTTGTAATGTAAAGGCAGTTGTTAGAGTAGAAAAATAATTACCATTTTACAGAGTTTTTAAAAAATTTTTTGAATGGTGAGAGTATTAATGGGGAGTAGGGAGTTCTAGTTTTCCTTGTTTTGAAATATGTTTCACTATGAGAAAGAGTTTAAGAAATATACTGGCAACTGTATGTTTTATAATGCTCAAATTTAACGTACAAGGAAGAAAATTGGAGAGAAGAAAAGCAGTGTGTAGGAAGGCAGGTTAAAGAGGAAAATAGATGAAATGCAAGGATGACAGCAGTGTTTCTCTGATTTCTAATTGGGGAAAAAAAGTGAACTTTATAAAGTTTACTTTATATAAGACATTTAAGGTTAAATTTCTGCATAGGTGTACACTTTTGTGACCTTTGCAATAAATTCTCTAAGTTTCAGATTTTTTTATTTGTAAAATGAAGTTACATTGCAAACCTTTATGACTTCTTGTGAAGATTAAATGAGCAGAAATACTGGCTACTTAGCTGAGCCCTGACTTGTAATATTATTGAGCCCTTATTACATTTTAAGCATCGACCTGAGCACTATATAGGCTTTATTTTTACAGTAACCGTCAATTTGTGGCTAAGGAAACTGTAGCACAGAGATGTTAAGTAAGTATATAATCAAGACCATACCAATGAGTAGCAACCACAGGATTTTAACCCAGGCATTCTGACCTCAGAGCCCTGGTTCTTAACCATTTTCTTATTTCTTATATTCCTGTAATTGTTATTAAAACTGAGGACATACTTTTCCTTAAGAACAGTGTTATGTAGTATTTTTACAAATTCACAAACTATCAGATCAATTGGTATATCTTTTTTTTTTTTTTTGAGATGGAGTCTCGCTCTGTCACCAGGCTGGAGTTCAGTGGCGCAATCTCCGCTCACAGCAACCTCCACCTCCTGGGTTCAAGCAATTCTCCTGCTCAGCCTCCCTAGTATCTGGGACTACAGACGTGTGCCACCACACCCAGCTAATTTTTGTATTTTTAGTAGAGACGGGGTTTCACCATGTTGGCCAGGATGGTCTTGATCTCCACCTGCCTCGGCCTCCCAAAGTGCTGGGATTACAGGTGTAAGCCACCATGCCCGGCCGGATATTTCAATATCTTAGTACAACCTGCTGTAATGTTTAAGAATCTATTATATAGTATCTCTAACAAATTGTAATCTTTTTGTATAAGTGCTTCCAGAGATGAGACTTTATTGCATTTTAAGACAAGCCATTTTATTGTTAGATAACCCAAAACATAAGGAATTTATGTTGCGACAAAATTTTTGCCCTACCTACCTTTTTACTCATTGGTTCTAATTCTCTGTCTTGTGGGGAAATAGTAAGTGGACAGCTTTCATAGACAAATATTTAAATGTTTAGACAGGAATCATTTATCCTTCTCATCCTAGGCTAAATACACCATCAACTGTTTTACAGACAACACATTTTCATACTCTTCTCAACTAGGGGCCTTCTATTCTGAATGCATTCCAGTTCTGTAAAAAATGTGCTTACTATAAGCTATCTTTATATACCAAATTCTGTGTAATTTACACTTCTTACAAGATTCTGATATCATTTATCCAAAAAGAGAAAAGAAAGAAAATTAAAATGTTCCCAGATCTGAACTGTTCAGTCATTGTTATAATGCGTAGTTCAATTATGGACTTAACGGAGATACACTTTCTACAGTGGGTACTGCTGGTTAATATTTATTGCATATTTACTATGTACCACACCTGTTTCTAAGCTCTGTACACATAATTTATTTAATCTTCACTATAATCCTGTGAGGTACATGATGTTTTCACTATTTAACACATGAAGAAAATAAGGCACAGAGCTGTGAAGTACCTTACCCTGTATTACATGGTTTGTACTGAATCTCAGTACCAAAACTGAGACTCAAACCTGGGCAGCCTCAACCACTATACTAGATATATACTAAGTTGCTCTTTTGTGATTTGATTTGAAAACTTACCTACATTTTATATCAGTTTTTTGGAGCAGCCCATTTGTAATTTGGGGAATTCAGTTAGAATAGAAACCTTTCCTGAATTGAACTCAGTTAATTGTGTGGCTTTGCCTGTTTCCTGATATGTAAAGTATGGATAATATCTGTCTCAAAAGGTTATTTTAAGGATTTATATGCACACATACATGTGTTTGCGCAGATATCATTAACTAAAGCACTATTATTTTACATCCTAGCCTAGTATCTCTATTATTTATTTATTTATCTATTTATTTTAGAAACAGTGTCTGACTTGGTTGCCCAGGCTGGTCTCAAACTCCTGGCCTTAAGTGATTCTGCTGCCTCAGCCTTAATATCTATATTTTTAGATTAATTAACAAATTATAATTGCATGTGTTGAATTAGTGAATTTTTTAAAGGGAATATAAAACAATATGAAATACATTCATTAAAATGGTTAGTCACACCATCTTATATTGTAGAGGAGTGAAGGGAACATTGAAGCACAAAGGTAAAGTAACTTGCAGTTTAGGCAGTTTTCCAGTCATGACCAAGTTACTTATCACCTGAACCAGGGTAGTACCCTAGTCTTTAGCTTTTATAGAAGTAAAGGGACCTGGTGTGGATAAAAATACAAAACACTAAACTTAAAATATGAAGAATTTTAGATTCAAGGTAAGTGTTCCAACAGGCTGGGCGTGGTGGCTCACACCTGTAATCCCAGCACTTTGGGAGGCTGAGGTAGGTGGATCATGAGGTCAGAAGTTCAAGACTAGCCTGGCCAAGATGGTGAAACCCCGTCTCTACTAAAAATACAAAAAATTAGCCGGGCGTGGTGGCAGGCGCCTGTAACACTAGCTACTCGGGAGGCTGAGGCAGAGAATTGCTTGAACCCAGGAGGCGGAGGTTGCAGTGAGCCGAAATCACACCACTGCACTACAACCTGGGCGACAGAGTGAGACTATCTCAAAAAAAAAAAAAAAAAAAAAAAAAGAAGTGTTTCAATAATAATGGATTATCCGGAATAACTAGATGGTTCTTTCTGAAGTTTTATTTATTTATTTTTGCAAAATGAAAATTATTTACTTGGAAAATGATAATTTTCAAAATCTGCAGGCATTGATTTATAAATGATTTATGTATTAATAGTTCCCATTTTTATTTTACTCTAGGACAAATTTATTTCCATGAAATTCATCTTTAAATGGCACATGTTTTGAATTTTTAGGGACTTTACTAACACAGATTTTGAAAATATTCCCATTCCTAAAATCATAGAAACCTATAAAACAACATATTATGCTTTTTTTTTAACTTTTATTTTAAGTTTAAGGGTACCTGTGAAGATTTGTTATATAAGTAAACTTGTGTCTTGGGGTTTTATTATACAGATTATTTTGTCACCCAGGTATTAAGCCTAGTACTCCATAGTTGTTTTTCATGTTCCTCTCCCTCCTCCCACCCTCCACACTCCAATAGGCCCCCAGTGACTGTTGTTCTCCTCTATGTGTCCATGTGTTCCCATCATTTAGCTCCCACTTATAAGAAAGAACATGTGGTATTTGGTTTTGTGTTCCTGCATTAGTTTGCTAAGGATAATAGCCTCCAGCTCCATCCATGTTCCTGCAGAGGACATGATCTCTCTTTTTTTAATGGCTGCATAATATTCCATGGTGTGTGTGTGTGTGTATCACATTTTCTTTATTCAGTCTGTCATTGCTGGGCATTTAGGTTGATTCCATGTCTTTGCTATTGTGAATAGTACTACAATGAATATACACATGTATGTGTCTTTATGACAGAACGATTTATATTGCTTTGGGTATATACCCAGTAATGGGATTGCTGGGTCGAACGGTATTTCTGTCTTTTGGTCTTTGCGGAATCTCCACACTGTCTTCCACAATGGTTGAACTAATTTACACTCCCACCAACAGTGTATAAGCATTGCTTTTTCCCTGCATTCTCGCTAGCCTCTGTTATTTTTTGACTTTTTAATAATAGCCATTCTGAGCCAGGTGCAGTGGCTTACGCCTGTAATCCCAGCACTTTGGGAGGCCAAGGCGGGCAGATCACGAGGTCAGGAGTTCGAGAGCAGCCTGACCAACATGGTGAAACTCCGCCTGTACTAAAAATACAAAAATTAGCCAGGCATGGTGGCGTATGCCTGTAATCCCAGCTATTCAGGAGGCTGAGGCAGGAGAATCGCTTGAACCTGGGAGGCAGAGGTTGCAGTGAGCCAAGATGGCGCCACTGCACTCCAGGCTGGGTGACAGAGCAAGACTCTGTCTCAGAAAGAAAAGCCATTCTGACTGGTGTCAGATAGTATCTCATTGTGATTATGATTTGCATTTCTCTAATGACCAGTGATGTTGAGCTTTTTTTAATGTGCATGTTGGCCACATGTATGTCTTTTCAAAAGTATCTGTTCATGTCCTTTGCCCACTTTTCAGTGGGGTTATTTTTTCCTTGTTAAGTTCATCATGGATGCTGATATTAGACCTTTGTCAGATGTGTAGTTTGTGCACATATTTTACTCCCATTCTGTAGGTTGTCTGTTTACTCTGTTGATAGTTTCTTTTGCTATGTAGAACCTCTTTAATTTAATTAGATCCCATTTGTCAATTTTTACTTTTGTTGCAATTGCTTCAGAGAATATTAGGAACACCTCTGTGCATATAAACTAGAAAATCTAGAAGAAATGGATGAATTCCTGGACACATACAACCTCCCAAGACTGAGCCAGGAAGAAATAGAACCCCTGAACTGACCAAAAACAAGCTCCAAAATTGAATAGCCTACCAACCAAAAAAGCCCAGAACCAGAGGGGTTCATAGCCAAATTCTACCAGATGTGCAAAAATAGTGTTGGAGAAACCACGGACAATCATCTAACTGAGTTTCAGACTTAATATAATCACTTTTATATTTTAAGTGGAATCTACCCTGGGAAGTAGTCTTGCAACTCAGATACGTGTTTTTTTTTTTTTTGCATGAATTGGTTGAATTCATGGATTATCTATAAGTATAAGGAGATTTCATTTAGGCTCATCTCAAAGTTTGAAAAATGCTGTTTATTTGAAAAATATTAACTTCCAATTTTAAGCAGCAATTCATTCTAATAAGTAATTTTAACAATATTTTATTTACAGATTGCCCAAGGACTCCAGATACTCCAAATAATGACCCTCGTTGTTCTACTAGCAACAATAGATTGAAGGCCTTACAAAAACAATTGGATATAGAACTTAAAGTAAAACAAGGTGCAGAGAATATGATACAGATGTATTCAAATGGATCTTCAAAGGTAAGTGTAGTTAATAAATGTAACTATATAGTCAGTCATTATTTGCAGATTCCATAGTTATAAATTTACCTATTCAATAAAATTTATTAGTAACTCCAACATCAGTACTGGTGGCATGGCACTTTGGCAGTCATTTGTGTACATGCATGGAGCAGGGGAAATTTGAATTATATGACATGCTTGTTTCCAGCTGAGTTCGAACAAGGTGATTTTGCCTTCTTAAGCTATGGTACACTAAAAAGTATCCTTTTTCAGATATATTTAGTGCTGTTTTTTTTCACATTTTTGTGCTTTTAATTGGTAATTTCACTGTTTAAACACTATATTGTGACATCTGAAATCATTTTGACCTCAGAATTTGAAAGAATGGATAAAAGAATTTGGAAACATGTTTTTCTTTGTTGTTGTTTTTTTTGTTTTTTTAGGTAACATTTTAAAAATTGTTTATTCCTACCAAGACCCAGTTAATAAAAAATTTTACCTTATGGGTAAAGGATACACAGGAGCTTTCCATATCTGCAACTTTTCCGTAAATCTAAAATTATTTAAAAAGAAATTATCTAAAAGAATTTAGTCTGTAATGAATTTTCCACATTATAGACCACTCTCCCAAGTGTTTGGGAGAGGGCCAATGAAAAGATGGGACATTTTGGCGTCATCAATAATTGCTTGGCCTAGACCTGTGCATTCTTGGAGATCTGGTATGGGCATATAACTCCTAACTGAAAATCAGTGTTATGGGGAGCAATTCTTAGTAATAAGAACATGTCCTTGTTGTTAGGTATAATGCAGCAAAAAAAATGTTGTGAGCCGCTGAACCAGATTATCCTCAAGGTTCTCTTCAGCCTAAGGTTCTATAGTTTTAATAATTTCCAGAAATTCTGAGAAAGATATAAAGTTATAAAATGTACCTTTGTACTTTCAACTCATGTATTTTAAATATTTTTATCTCTGGAAATCAATTTTTTTATTTTAGTAGATATTTTTTAAATAATTTCTTAATAAAAGTTCTTACATATTTCTTTTTTTGTTTCAGTTTAGAAAGAATTTGAAATCAGAGGGAAATATTTTTTTTCTTAATCATGCATCCTAACTACTCACCCCAAATGAAATTTGAGACTAGGCCTGGTGGCTCACACCTGTATACCTAGAACTCTGGGAGGCTGAGGCAGGAGGATTCCTTGAGGCCAGGAGTTCGAAACCAGCCTGGTCAATATAGCAAGACCCTGTCTCTTTAAAAAAAAAAAAAAAAAAAAAAGACATTAGGGAAGTTACCAAAAAGAGAGAAATGTGTACTGTCTATAAATGTTTTAAGGTTAATTATGAACATTAGATTTTATGTTATATTTCAAAAGAATTTTTTGTTACTTTTAGAGAAATGTATTTGTTCCTATTTACTTATGATGTGATATTTGATAGGATATTATTTCACTAACTTTGAACATTTGTTATTGGATGATAGAGTTATTTTTTGTGCTGTTATTTTTAGCACTGACATTTAGTTTTGGGGATTTTATATTTTTATAAAATGTTATTTTGACCTTTTTTTTAAGTAAATACTTTGTTCCTGGAACTGCGATTTTAGCACATTATACTGAGCATTTTTAAATTAAATTAACCCAGCTACTGCCCTGTAGAGTAAAGTTTTTAAATCTGGGGTGGATGGATTAGTTTGAGGGGTTTATGAACCCTTTGAAGTTATAGGAAAAGCAAGTGTGTATGTTGATAGTTGTATGGATGAAAGGGCTGTAGGTTACACCTTATTCTCAAAGTGGTCTTTAATCCACAAAAGATTACGAACCACTGCTCTAAGTTGAACAGAGTTATGGACATATTAAAAGTAAAACAAATAGATAACCTAAAACAACCACAGATCCAAAGTGAACAAGGCTGTGAGCATCCTGTTAAAACAAATATGTCAATTTTGCATAGCTTTTTATTTTTAATTAGATTTATTAATTTGAGGAAGACTCAAATGGAGGTCGAAAGCCTATTTGCAACTACTATTGCCTCTGAGATAGGCCTGCCAGTTATTTCTGTCTAGATTCCACCTTAACTGTTTTTATTTTTCATCTTTAAACTTCTCAGAGGGTCAGAGTACATCGTTTTAGATTAGGGAAAATTATAAATTGAAATTATGTGGAATATTAATTTATTCATTAAGGATTTTGTTAAAAGTTTGATAGCCATTATGCTCGGCTCTGGGGTGTAAGTGTAATAAAGATGGTGCCTTATTACATAGCAGGTACTCAATATATAATATCCTGCTTTTAAGAGACCCACTATCTTAAAAGGAGATATATCACATGTAAATAGTTAAAGTGTGTAATAGTGATTTGTTTGACTGACTTTGGAAGCACAATGGAGAATAATCATTTAACTGCCAATAAAATCTTTTAAGTTTTAGTACGATATTTGAAAAATGATTTGGCATTTAATAAAAAATTACTTTTTAGGGATGGTGTTGTGGGTGAATGCAGTATATACACAGTAAGGAACTGTGGAATAGCCTGGCTTGTTCTGAGGAATGAAAGTGATTTGGTGTGGCTATAGTACAAGTTCTTAGTGTATTTCTTACCTGACATATCTGAGGGTAGGTAGAATGTACTTCTGATAGTAAGAGTTGTCAACTCTAGTAGTCATTTTCAATTAAAAGCCATAGGGAAACAAATCTGAATCTCCAGAAAGACATTCATTTTGTTTGGGAAAAGTTCTCCAGGTGATTCCAGTAGGGCTTCTTTCCCTTCCCCACCAGTGGAGTTTTAAGTGGGTGAGGCATATTGAGAGGTATAACATAACTGAAAGACAAGCCAGGTTATATGGTATTTGCACAGAATTAAGCAGTTGTGATTACCTTAAAAGATAGATGGAGCTGCTGAAAGCAGGGAGCTCCTTTTCGCAGGGAAAAGACACAATGAGATTTCAAGTTTAGAAAGTTCACATCCATCCGGCCACATGTGGTGACTCACGCCTGTAATCCCAGCACTTTGGAAGGCCGAGGCAGGTGGATCAGCTGAGGTCGGGAGTTAGAGACCAGCCTGACCAACATGGAGAAATCCTGTCTCTACTAAAAATACAAAATTAGCTGGGCATGGTGGTGCATGCCTGTAATCCCAGCTACTTGGGAGACTGAGGCAAGAGAATCACTTGAACCTGGGAGGCAGAGGTTGTGGTGAGCCAAGATCGTGCCATTGCACTCCAGCCTGGGCAACAAAAGCAAAACTCCATCTCAAAAAAAAAAAAAAAAAAAGAAAGTTCACATCCATCCTCCTCAGACTTAAAGAATTAAAGAAGGTCATTTATGCAAGCAGTAAGTTTAAGTAGTTTTTTGCAGTAGTCCAGGTTAAATAGCTTCCTTTCTCTTGTAACAGCAGTGAAAACAGTGAAGATAAGAGTCATACTTTTGGTATCTTGGATATGAGGAAGGAGGCAGAGTCAAAGATTATTCTTAGATCGGTTATGTGGATAGACTGATGAATTATGGTGCCCTTTATAATGATAGAGAATTCATGAGGGGGAGCAAATTTAGGGACAGGGATGATTAATTCAGTTTGGCAGTAAAAATTGCCAACAGAACTCTGCTTATTGGATTCTACATGATTAAATTATTACCCTTGTGCATGTTGTAATCAGAGCTGTCCTTTTTAAATTTTTCAGATATTTTCACCCTCCTGCTTCAAAACCCTCCAATGGTTTTCCCTCATACTTAGGACAAAATCCAAAATTCTTATTCTGACTCTGGAAATCTATAGCTTCTGATCTCATCTTCTAAAACACCTTCCTCTCTCATTACACTCTAGCTACTCTAGCTTCTTTTCTATCCCTTAAACATAGCAAGCACACTCTTACCTCAGGGCTTTTGCACTTGCTATATCTTTGCCTAGGTATCTATTCTCCCAAGTACTTTTGTGGCTTTCTCATTCATTAAGTCATCTACTTGGATGCTACCACCTCAGCAAGCTCTTCACTACTATCCTAAGATAAATAGCAACCTCTGTCTCTTCTTAACCCTTCATTGCATTACCACCACCTTAAATTACAATTTATGTGATCAATTTATCATCAGTTTTCAGCATTAGAATATAAATTTCATGCAGGCAGAGACATTATCTTGGTTATCACCCTATCTTCAATACCTGAAACAATACTCCATTGAAATAGTTTGCTACAAATACTCAATAAGTATCTGTTAAAACAATGGATACCGCTTCGCTGCCCATTTGTGGCCGTTTATCTTCCTCTGGCCCATAATTTACACATTGTTCTTTTTCTTATTTCATACCTGTGTGTACTATAATTATTTTCATATTATCCCTTTTATGACTAACTATTTTTATTGTCAGCACAAGGATCTGAGGAATGGGATGCAGTTATTTTACCCCGTTACATAAGTAGTATAGCTTGCCATTTCTTTATTTGGTAGTGTGGCTTTAAGCAGCATCATTGGTTGTGTTTGTTTTTGTTTTGTCCTTTGGAATGATCTCTGGGGGCTTGATAAGACATGTTAAAGACATGCCTCCTGTTTTTTGTTGTTATTGTTGTTTTGTTTTGTTTTGTTTTGTTTTTGAGACAGAGTCTCGCTCTGTCGCCTAGGCTCAAGTGCAGTGGCGCAATTGGCTCACTGCAACCTCTGCCTCCCAAATTCAAGCGATTCTTCTGCCTCAGCCTGCCTCCTGTGTAGCTGGAATTAAAGGTGCACACCACTATGCCTGGCTACTTTTTTTGTATTGCTAGTAGAGATGGGGTTTCGCCATGTTGGCCAGGCTGGTCTTGAGCTCCTGACCTCAAGTGATCCGCCCGCCTGGCCCTCCCAAAGTGCTAGGATTACAGGCGTGAGCTACCGTGCCCAGCCTTGTCTCCTGTTTATAGAATCACTTGAACCCAGGAGTTTTTGAGACTTCATCTCAAAAAAAAAAAAAAAGACATGTCTCCTGTTTATATATTCAGGCAGTAAACCAAGGTATTAATTAAAATTTGGGGTTCTTACTAGCATCTTGCATCGGTTTTAAGTGTTTCCCAAGCCTCCACATATGGATATACCAGACTGTCCATCCAGGTCCCTCCAACCGCCAATCCTCCAGTATTGCCTGTTTAAGCTTTGAGATCTAATTGATATAGAAAAAAGTTGCACATATTTAGTTATACATTTCAATTAATTTGTATGTTTCTATACATATGTATGCATGTGTGATACCACCACGACAATCAAGTTACTTCCAAAAGTACCCTTGAGTTCTTTAGTGGAAGTGGTTAAGTTGTTGTTGTAGTGGAAGTGGTGTTGTTGTTGTTGTTGTCGTCGTCGTCGTTATAAAAGCACTTAACATGAGAAATTCTCCAGTCTTGACATATTCCAGACTTATTTATTATAATGACTCGGGAAACCTTTCTGGATTCCCTTAACTAAAATTGATTCCACTTTTTTGTTTGTTTGTTTTTGGAGACAGGGTCTCACTCTGTCGCCCAGGTTGTCACCCAGGCTGGAGTGCAGTGGTGTAATCTTGGCTCACTCACTGCAGCCTCCACCTCCCAGGTTCAAGTGATTCTCGTGCCTCAGCCTCCTGAGTAGCTGGGATTACAGGTGGGCACCACCATGCCTGGGTAATTTTTTGTATTTTTGGTAGAGGCAGGGTTTCACCGTGTTGGCTGGGCTGGTCTCGAACTCCTGACCTTAGATGATCCCCCAGCCTTGGCCTCCCAAAGTGCTGGGATTACAGGCATGAGCCACCATCCCTGGCCTGATTCCACATTTCTTTGGAATTTTCTTCAGCTACTTTTAACTTCCTAGTGCATATAATAATCATCTATATGTCTTCTAGCAAATTATAAGCTTCATAGGATAACATTCTGATTGATTAATATTTGTGTTTTCACTGGGTCTGGCATGTAATTTATGGCTTACTTCCTATATGTTACTTTAACATAAATACATGATGAAAAAAATAAGAATGACTGGCCTATTTATTACCTAGATGGTACTAATAAGAACAATGATTGGCTTATTTGAAAGTTTTCTGTGTGATGTAATGTGTTGTAATGTCCCACTATAGCTTGCAAAACAGTGTTATTTTTTTGTAAAATAAAAAACATAATTTGAAAGTCGTATAATTTTTTAGTTATTCTTATAATTGTAAAATATTTATTCCAAATACAATTACCAGCATTATAGAGTGCCAATTACTAATAGTTCATTACTTTAGTGTGTTAGGTTGAGCCATATAAAATTGCTGTTTTTTTAGTTCAAAATCAGACACTGGCATTTTCATGTAGTTCTACCTAAGGTATGTAAAAACTTTCCCAAAATTTGTATTAACATAAAAGTCAGATTTCTCCAATATGTAAACCAGTCCGTGTACTCCAGCCTTATCTCTTCCCTTGTACATATTATGTGCTTAATAAAAATTCCATTGAATGCCTGAAAACATAAAACTGATATGTAATAACTGTATATTGCCTGTGATAGATAATATCCAAAATCCATTTTAAAAGTTTCATCATACTTTGACATCCTGCAGATCCTCCAGAAATTTCTGTGGGAAAATTCACCTATTTTTAAAATAAAATACAAGTGCTGTTTCTTGCATGTTGAATTGAAATAGTGAAGAAAGGAGTATTTCCAAAGAAGTAAAATGATGGAACTACTTCATTTTGCATGACAATAAAATAATAAAAGAAGTAGCTTAATTGAAGAGAGTAATATTATATGGTTTACTTAATATTTATACATTTACATTAGAACTTCATTGGAATAAGACACTTAATCATTATTTTTATTGTCCTAAAAGAGAACATTTTAATGCCAATTATGTGCTAGGCAAGATAATTTTAGTTTAATGCTTACAAAAGTTTTATATTTAAGAGAATGGTATCACAATTTACATAGTTTATGCAAGAAACCTAAGGTTTTCAGAAAATAGGTAAATTGTCCAAGTTTATATATAATAAGATTTGGGCTCAAATCTGACTGCAAAATACATTTGTCCCATTAAATTATGAGCTTTGGAATACTTTTACTCTAGTCTGATCTCAAAGAAATTCATTCATGCCTTGCATTACAACAGGGATACATTCTGAAAAAATCATCAGTGGGTGATTTCATCATTGTGCGGGTATCATAGAGTGTACTTACACAAACCTAGATGGTACTAGGCTACATGGTATAGCCTATTGCACCTAGGCTGTAGTAACAGCATGTAACTATACTGAATACTGTAGGCAATTGTAACACAATGGTAAGTACTTGCATATCTAAATATATCTAAACATAGGTATATGTAGTCCGTTGTTGACCTAAATGTCATTATGCAGCAGTCTGGCCAGAAGCTATTTGCTAAATGACTGACTTTGGGAATACAAAAGAAATAAAAGAAAAATTTATAAATTTCATAAATATGCAATTATTTTTTCCTCCATGGTATATTAACCTGAGTTTGGTATTCAGCAGGGTATATTTCAGCTCACTTTTATTCCCCTTATCTCCAATCTCTTTCTTCTTTATTCAGTGTCATATAGTGTGTGTTTGATTTATTGAAATAATACTGCCGTCATCAAGCGTGTCTCTTGGGTTCTAAGAGACATGAATCTCCAGGAGAATACAGGTTGATTGTGTGCTATTTTATCCAAATTAGTACTGATTGCCTTAGTGATTAAAAATAGAGATGCTTAAATAATATGCAAAGCTTCTCCTTTCTTATGAATAAGTGCTTTCTAACTTGATGCTTAATCAATTTGTGTGTGTATGTATGGATGGATACCAGTCTTTAACAATTAATGCAACTCTAAAAACAGGAAATGGCATTAACTTCTGATATTTCTTTTTAAAATTTCTTAGTTTTCTACAGTTGCTGTAACAAATTATCACAAATTTAGTGGCATAAAACAACAGAAATTTATTATAATTTTGTAGTTATTTTGTCTGAAGTGAATCTTAGCTTAAATCAAGGTGTTGGCAGGACTGCATTCCCTTCTGGAGGATGTAGGGCAGAATGTTTCCCTGTTTTTTCCAGCTGCTGGAGGCTACTCACACTTCTTGGCTCCTGACTCTCTTCCTTTGTCTTCTAAGCTAGCAATAGCAGGTCCAGTTTTTCTCACATCCCATCACTCTGACCTCTTCTTCCTCTCTTTTCTACACTTAAGGACCCTTGTGATTACATTGGGCCTATCTGGAAATCAAGGACAATCTCTGTATTTTAAGGTCAAATGATTAACAACCTTAATTCCATTTGCTACCTTAAATCTCCCTTGCCATGTAACGTAACTTACCAACAAGATTCTGAGGCTTAAGACATTGACATCTTCGAGTAGGTCATTATTTGGCATATAATTCCTTCTGTCACTCACATTCAGTGTTACTGGAACTAAGCAGAGGTATGCTCTTGCATTGATTCATTTGTGTTGCTGTAAAGGAATATCTGAGGCTGAGTAATTTATAAAGAAAAAGGTTTATTTTTGGCTCACAGTACTGCAGACTGTACAAGAAGGATGGTGCTGGCATGTGCTTCTGTTGAGGGCCTCAGGAAGCTTACAGTCGTGATGGAAGATGAACGGCAGCCAGCTTGTCATCTGGTGAGAGGGAGCAAGAGAGAGAGGAGGAAGTGCCAGGCTCTTTTGAACAAACAGCTCAACAACCAGCGTGAACTCATAGAATGAGAACTTACTCATACTGTGAGGGTGGCACCAAACAATTCATGAGGGATCTGTCCCCGTGACCTAAATACCTTCCAGTAGGCCTCGCTTCAGACACTGAGGAATTACATTTCAAAATGAGATTTAGAGGGACAAACATCCAAACCATATCAGGCATTAACATTATTTCACTTAATTCAGAGCTTTTTTTTGAAATCTTAAGATATAACAGAAGTGTTCTCCAGCTTTATTAAGAAGGTCTCATTTTTTGACATTAAAGTGTTTCTAGGGACCTTTCTCATTGTCACCAGGGTTGACAAATGCTGTTTTCTACCTTTCTTAGCATAATTAATTGGAACACAATTGCTATCTGTGATTAGGTTTTTAGTTTAGGTTTAATCATGGAGGCATTTATTTCATACTATGTTTCTGAGTCTTAGAGTTATTGATCATAGTAAAGGAAAATTCTTTATGTTTTGTGTAAAGCAAAAATAAGAAAATTACAAATGTGAATTTGGATTTTGATTTTCTAAAAGATAGTAATAAGATTCAAACCTACAGTATCTGTTAGCAGATAAATGGATTGTGCGATGTATATATATATGTATATACACAATGAAATATTGTTCAGCCTTAAAAAAGGGAATACTGCCATATATGACAACATGGGTGAGCCCAGAGGACATTATGCAAAGTGAAATAAGCCAGACACAGGAAGAAAAATACTGTATGATCTCACTTACCTGTGGAATCCAAAAAAAGCTGAATAAATAGAAACAGAGAGTAGAATACAGTTACCAGCAATAGGGAGGAAGAAGAAATGGGGAGAAGTTGGTCAAAAGGTACATACTTAGAGTTAGGTAGGATGAATAAGTCCAGAGGTCTAATACATAGCGTGAACTATAGTTAATATTATATACTGAAAATATGCTAAGAGAGTAAATTTTAGGTACACATAAACATACACATGAAAAGGGGTAACTGTAGAAGGTGATGGGTCAGTAAATTTGTTTGCCTGTAATAATCATTTCACTATATGTATGCATACCAAAACATCATGTACACTGCAAGTATATACAATAAAAAATAAATTTTAAAAATACACAGCCATAATAAGATTTCCTTTTCTCCCAAATTGTCTTAACTAATGGAGTTGTTTTTCACAATTATCACCCTGTAAGTTTGATGGCTCTTTTTTAGTAAATGTATCTATAAGATATACTATAGCGCCAACAGCATTCTTTTAACTCTGTTTTTCACTTGCTGATATATCACTTGATCTGTTTAGAAGATAGGAAAATGTTTCATTTTTCCCTTTATTTGCTTAATTTTTCAAACTTATTTTTTTAATAGGATCGGAAACTCCATGGTACAGCTCAGCAACTGCTCCAGGACAGCAAGACAAAAATAGAAGTCATACGAATGCAGATTCTTCAGGCAGTCCAGACTAATGAATTGGCTTTTGATAATGGTGATGGAATAAATTGTCCTCCTTCTTATGAGCATAATGGTGCTAAATAATCTTATGCAGGAACAGGGCAGTGGTTCAAAGTTAAGAGGGAGGAAGCATTACTATTACTTTTTTTTTTTTTTCTTTTTTTTTTTGAGACGGAGTCTCGCTCTGTCGCCCAGGCTGGAGTGCAGTGGCGGGATCTCGGCTCACTGCAAGCTCCGCCTCCCGGGTTCACGCCATTCTCCTGCCTCAGCCTCCCAAGTAGCTGGGACTACAGGCGTCCGCCACTACGCCCGGCTAATTTTTTGTATTTTTAGTAGAGACGGGGTTTCACCGTTTTAGCCGGGATGGTCTCGATCTCCTGACCTCGTGATCCGCCCGCCTCGGCCCCCCAAAGTGCTGGGATTACAGGCGTGAGCCACCGCGCCCGGCCCTTTTTTTTTTTTTTAATCTTGAGTTTTAGACTCTTCACTTGGATAGATGCTTTTAGATATTTGGCCCTTATGTTTCAAGAAGATATTGATCTAGAATGTATCTCTTCATTTAAATAGATTATCAAGTACTTACAATCAGTCTTCATTTAAAAAAAAATCTGTTACCTGTTTAAGAGTATGGCTTTGTTTTCTTTTGTTTTTTTGTTTTGTTTTATTTATTTTTTAATTCCAGAAGAAATCTTTAAAGCTAGTTGCTAAGAGTAGGAGTAGAAACTTTCGGTCTCCCCATGTTACAATATTTGGATATCTTTCAGCTCTAAAATCTTTTTTTCAGATTTGTAATTTAGATGTGTAATGACAAAAATGAAAGGCTCTGAATTTCAATATCATATCAAATATTTTTATTTCAGTGTTTATTGATGTAAGGACTAAGTTATTGTAATGTTATAGGAATTCATTTCTTTTCATGATTTTAATCACTGCAAATTGGAAAGTCAGATAAATGGTGCAATTAAAATTTTTTTTTCCTTTCTAGCAAAACCTGTGATAAGTCCTCTTGAACTTCGGATGGAAGAATTAAGGCATCATTTTAGGATAGAGTTTGCAGTAGCAGAAGGTGCAAAGAATGTAATGAAATTACTTGGCTCAGGAAAAGTAACAGACAGAAAAGCACTTTCAGAAGTAATTTTAAATAAAAATTTTTATTTGGTTTAATAAATACATTATTCAAAGTATGTGATTATTTAAATGACAACAATTGTCTTTTCCCTGTGCAAGGCTCAAGCAAGATTTAATGAATCAAGTCAGAAGTTGGACCTTTTAAAGTATTCATTAGAGCAAAGATTAAACGAAGTCCCCAAGAATCATCCCAAAAGCAGGATTATTATTGAAGAACTTTCACTTGTTGCTGCATCACCAACACTAAGTCCACGTCAAAGTATGATATCTACGCAAAATCAATATAGTACACTATCCAAACCAGCAGCACTAACAGGTATGTAGTGTATAGCCATTGTTTTTTGTGTGTATTTTTGTCTATAACTGGTTCTGATTTAATAATTGAAAGAAAAACCTGTGCATAGATTTTTAAAATTATGATAAGATACACATAGAATAAAATTTGTTGTATTAACCATTTTAATTTTATTCAATTTGGAAGCATTTGCTATATTCACAATATTGTGTGACCATCACCACTACCTAGTTTCAAAGCATTTTCATCACCCCAAAAGGAAACGCATACCTGTTAAGCAGTCACTCCCCATTCCCCCTTCCTCCCAGCTGCTAGCAACTACTAATTGTCTGTCTCTACAGATTTGTCTATTCTAGATTTGTCATATGATAGAAATTATATAATTTGTGACCTTTTTTGCCTGGCTTCTTTTACTTAGCATATTGTTGTCAAGGTTCATTCATGTTGTAGTATGTATGAGTACTTCACTCACTTTTAATGTCTGAATAGTATTCCACTTGTGGGAATATTCTAAAATTCAAAACTTTTTGTGCACCCAACATGATGCTCAAAGGAAATTCTCATTGGAGCATTTTGGATTTGGGATTTCAGATTTCCAGATTAGGGATGCTTAACCAGTAAGTATAATATAATATAAACATTCCAAAATCTGAGATACTTCTGGTCCCAAGGATTTCAGATAAGGAATACTCAACCTATACTATATTTGATTGACCTATTTGTCAGAGCATATGAGTTCTTTTTACCTTTTGACTGTTGTGAGTAGACTGCTATGAACATTTACGTGCAGGTTTTTGCTTGAACATCTGTTTTCAATTTGGGGGTATATTCCTAGGAATATAATTGCTAGGTCATATGGTAGCTATATCTAAGATTTTGAGGAACTGTCAAACTGTTCTTCTCAGCATTTACATTATTTTATACTTCTAACAGTAATGTATAAAGTGGGTTTCAGTATCTCCAGATCCTCACCAACAGTTAATATTTTTTTTCATTCTTCTTTGATCGTGTTCTAATAGGTCCATTATTGGAAGTATGGTAATATATCTAACTATGTCTGTAGAACTGTCTGTATTTCTCCCTTCAGTTATGTAAATTTTTGTTTCCTATATTGTGGGCTGTTTTGCTAGGTTCATGTATGTTTACAATTTTTATATCTTCTAGACGGATTGACTCCTTTACCTTTACCTTAACTCCTTTATAATGTCCTTCTTTGTCTCCTATAACAATATTTAATTTAAAATCTGTTTTGTCTGATTTTATAACAGCTACCCCTACTTTGTTTTGGTTTTGTCTTTGGGTTCAAATGAGTCTCTTTTAGATTATATATTATTGTATTCTGTTTTATAAGATCCATTCTGTCAGTCTTTTTTTTTTTTAATTCATTTTTATTGAGACAGAGTCTCACTCTCATTGCAGCCTCCCACTCCCAGGTTCAAGCAATTCTTGTGCCTCAGCCTCCCGAGTAGCTGGGATTACAGGCATGTGCTACTGCACCTGGCTAGTTTTTGTATCTTTAGTAGAGACAGGGTTTCACCATGATGGCCATACTGGTGTCAAACTCCTGGCCTCAAGTGATCTGCATGTGCCACTGCACCTGGCTAATTTCTGTATTTTTAGTAGAGACAGGGTTTTACCATGATGGCCACACTGGTTTCAAACTCCTGGCCTCAAGTGATCTGCCTGCCTTGGGCTCCCAGAGTGCTGTGATTACTGGTGTGTGCCTCCACATCTGACCAGTGTTTGCTGTTTATTTAATAGTTTAAGACAGTTATCCAGATGAGGTTGCATGCACCTGTAGTCCCAGCTACTTGGGAGGCAGAGGCAGGAGAATTGCATGAGCCCAGGAGTTTGAGGCTACAGTGAGTCATGATTCCACCACTGCACTCCAGCCTGGGTGACACAGCAAGACTCCGCCTCTAAGAAAGAAAGAAAGAGAGAGAAACATTTAAAGTAATTACAGACAGGATGTAATAATCCTGGTGGTAACTACTGAGAGGTAGGTTAAATTTAATAGGTTTGTAGCACAGTCCCCCCACAAAACTGCCATCACTTCATAAGCAAGCAGCAAATTTAGAGTTTCCAAGGCTACATGCACTCCTGACCAACTGTCTACAGATTCCAGGATTTCTACTAGCATCTCAGCTCAGTAATTTGCAGGAACAAATCATAGAACTCAGGGAAGCACTATACTTAGGATTACGTTTTTATTATAAAGGATACAAATTAGGACCTTCATGGCTCACTGCAGCGAAAAGAAAATAAACATAAAGGGGGAGATCTGAGAGGATCTCAAACACAAACCTTATGTGTCCTTAGGATATATCACCCTCCTAACACATCAATGTCTGTCACCAACCAGGAAGTTCACTTGAGCATTGGGTGTGCAGAATTTTCATTGGGGCTTTGTTAACATAGGTGTGATTGAGTGAATCATTGGCCACATGATTGAATTCAATCTCCAGCCTTGTGCCCCTCCCTAGGTCAGGAGGTCAGACTGATAATGTGGCTCAAAGCCTCAACCTCCTGAAGATATGATCATTCTTTCTGGCATGGCCAGCCCCCATCCTGAAACTGTCTAGAGGCCCACCATGAGTCACCTTACCAGGTGTGGTCTAAGGTATCCACTATGAATAACAAAGGCACGCCTATCACTGGGGGAAATTCCAAAGGTTTAGACTTAGAGGCTGTCTTCCAGAAACCAGGGACAAAAACCAGCCAAATTATATACAACAAAAGGGCTTATTTCTGTCATTTTGCGGGTTTTTTTTTTTATGCAAGTGTTTATCTTTTTTTCTCTGAGTTCTAGTACTACCTTCTTTTGGTTTTGATTGAATTTTTCTACTCTGTTTTTATTTACTTATTTTTGAGACAGGATCTCTCTTTGTTGCCCAGGCTGGAGTACAGTGGTATGATCATAGCTCACTGTAACCTCAAACATCTGGGCTCAAGCAATCCTCCTGCCTCAACCTCCTGAGTAGCTAGGAGTACGGGAACGTGCCACCACACCTAGCTAATTTTTAGTTTTTTGCTAGCAATGGCGTCTCACTGTGTTGCTCAGGCTTGTCTCAAACTCCCGGCCTCAAGTCATCTTCCCACCTCAGACTTCCAAAGTGTTGGGATTATAGGCGTGAGCCACTATGCCCAGCCTCTATTCTTACTTTTCTTATTCCCTTCTTGCTCCCTTTTATGAGATAGATAGATATATATATTCTCCCACCTCAGCCTCCCTAGTAGCTGGGAGTACAGGTGCACACCACCACGCTCAGCTTATTTTATTTTTTTTGTAGAGATGGGGTTTCTCTGTGTTGCCCAGGCTGGTCTTCAACTCCTGGGCTCGAGCAATCTGTCCACCTTGGCCTCCCAAAGTGCTAGGATTACAGGCATGAGCTACTTATGCCTGGTCTTTCACTAAATCTTGAACTCCTCGCAACCACTCACCTCACTTCCTCCGTAGTTTTGCCTTTTCCACAATGGTCATACAGTTGGAATCTTAACAGTATGTAGCCTTTTCACATTGGTTTCTTTCACTTAGTAATATGCATTTAAGTTTCCTCTATGTCTTTCCATGCTTTGATAGCTCATTTTTGGTTTTGTGCTGAATAATACTCTATTGTGTGGATGTACCATAATTTATTTATTCATTCATTTACCGAAGGACTTCTTGGTTGCTTCCAGGTTTTGGCAGTTATGTATCAAGCTGTTATAAACATCCATGTGCGGGTTTATTATTTTCTTAGTGATTACCCCAATGATTATAACTAATGTCCTAAATTTATTATAATCTTATCTTTAGTAGCCTACAAAAAACTCTTTGACTGTGCCCTTGTTATATTGTCACAAACTCTCTTTATGCACCATATACCCATTAACATAGGCTATAAATATTGTTTTATGCATTAGTCTTTTAAATCATAAAGGAAACAAAAAGAAGAGTTACTTAAAATACAGAAATATTGGCTTCTGGCCAGGCGCAGTGGCTCACGCCTGTAATCTCAGCACTTTGGGAGGCCGAGGCGGGTGGATCACGAGGTCAGAAGATCGAGACCATCCTGGCTAACATGGTGAAACCTCATCTCTACTAAAAATACAAAAAAAAATTAGCCGGGCGTGGTGGCAGGCCCCTGTAGTCCCAGCTACTCAGGAGGCTGAGGCAGGAGAATGGCGTGAACCTGGGAGGCGGAGCTGGCAGCGAGCCGAGATCGTGCCACTGCACTCCAGCCTGGGTGACAGAGCGAGACTCCGTCTCAAAAAAAAAAAAAAAATACTGGCTTCTATATTTACTTATGTAGTTAATTTTACCTGCGTTTGTCTTCCTTTTTTCCTTTCTCTCTCCCTCCCTCCCCCTCCCCCTACCCCCTCCCCCTTGCCCTCCCTGACACTGCCCCCACCCCGCCCCACCCGTCACTTCTCCCATCCTTCATTTCAATCTAAAAGGCTTCTTTAGCATTTCTTATGGGCGGGTCTCCTAGTGTCTACCTCCCTTAGCTTTTGTTATCTAGGAATCTCTTTCTTTTCTTTTTTTGAATGATAGTTTGGTATATATATAGAATTCTTGGCTGGCAATTTTGTTTTTTTCCAGCACTTAAAAAAATGTCCAACTAGGCACAGTGGCTCACACCTATAATCCCAGCACTTAAGGAGGCCGAGACGGGTGGATCACTTGAGGTCAGGAGTTTGAGACCAGCCTGGCCAGCATGGTGAAACCCCATCTATACTAAGAATACAGAAATTAGCCAGGCATGATGGCGCATGCCTGTAATCCCAGTAACTCAGGAGGCTGGGGCAGGAGAATCGTTTGAACGCGGGAGGCGGAGGTTGCAGTGAGCCAAGATCATGCCACTGCACTCCAGCCTGGGTGACAGAGTAAGACTCTGTCTTAAGAAAAAAAAAAAAAGTCCTCCTGCTTCCTCCAGGCCTTTATGTTTTGTGATGAGAAATCCACTGTTAATGTTACTGAGGATCCCTTGTAAGTGATGAATTATTTTTGTCTTGTTGCTTTCAAGCTTTTCTTTGTTTTTTCACAGTTTAATTATAATGTGTCTTAGAGTGGATCTTTTTGAATTTATTCTACTTAGATTCTTTGAGCTTGATGTGTAGGTTCTTGTCTTTCATCAGATTTGGGAAGTTTCCAATCATTTCTTCAAATGTTCTTTCTTCTCCCTCTGAGACTTTGATTTTTGCCTACATTGGTGTGCTTTATGGTATTTCTCTTAGACTCTGATTTTCTTCATTATTTTTTCTTTCTGCTCTTAAGACTAGACAAGTGCAATTGATCTACCTTCAAATTGGCTCACTTTTTCTTCTGCCTGCTCAAATCTTGTATTGAACCTCTCTAGCAAATTTTTTCATTTTTGTTATACTTTTCAATTCCAGAATTTCTGTTTGGTTCTTTTTTATAATTTTTAAATCCATATTGATGTTCTCTATTTGTAGACACATCACTTTTCTTGTTTCCCCTAGATATTTGTCCATGGTTTCTTTTAGATTTTTGAGCATCTTAATTTAGTAAGTCCAACATGTCTTGACTTCCCCAGGGTCAGTTTCTGTTAATTTCTTTTTTCTGTGAACTGACCGTATTCTGTTACTGTGCTTGCTTCATAATTCAAGTACTTCATTTCCTTAGTATACTTACTCACAAATCAGATTTTACTCTTTCCAAAGATTTCATTTTTCTGCTATATGTTGAATGTAGTTGTTTGCCTAGTAACTTTTATAATCTATTTTGTAGAGACTATTCTTTCTCATGTATTACCCCTGAGGTGTCTATTTCATTAATATATTGTACACCAAAATAAAATTCTAAGCCACCCAACTAAATGAATGGACCCCCTCCTCTCAGCCAATGGCATTCTAAAGTAAACCTGAAACACTAGTTCAGGTCGTGCTGGGAATGGGTGGTTTGGACATGCCTCATTATGCCTTCCTCCCTTTGGAATTCAGGTACTGCAGACCAGCATTAACATCAAAACAGAGACCTTAAGACTGACTGAACAGACTCTTTCAGTAGATAAGAAACATTTACAGTCTCTTCTTTCTGAAGCCTGCTATCTGGAGGTTTCATCTACAAAATGAGAACCTGGGTCTCCACAACCCCTTATCTTAACAGCACTCTTACAATACTCCCTTGTATTGATTCCAGGTCTTTAGATAAACTCTTTCTACCAGTTGCCAATCAGAAGATCTCTGAATCCACCCGTGACCTGAAAATCCCTACTTCGAGTTGTCCATCTTTTCTGGACCCAACTAATGTACCTTTTACATGTATTGATAGATGGCTTATGTCTCCCTAAAATGTACAAAACCAAGCTGTAACCCAACCACCTTGGGCACGTGTTGTCAGGACCTCCTGAGGCTGTGTCACGTATATCCTTAATCTTGGCAAAATAAACTTCTAAATTGAGACCTGTCTCAGATACTTTTTGGTTTACTATATAGTCATCTGGTGTTTCAACAGACATTTCCTTTAATTCCTGAAGAAGAAAAGATTGCCTAGTCTTTGCAGCTGGGCCCTGTGCTTGAGCACTCACCCAGACACTTTACAACTCTGCATTTGCTTTGTGCAGAGCTTGAGAGTCAACCATAGGTTAGAGCTTAGGGTGTTCTCAGATCTCTTCCGAGGATGCCTCTTGCTTGCACCTAGCCTTCTAGTTTCCCAATAATATGTAGAAGCATTGCAAAGTCTTTTATTCTCCAAAGCATTTCCTCTGCTAGCTTTTCCTCCCAGTTTCTTTGGCTTTTCTATTGTTTACCCCAACTGATCCTCTTTTTCCTTAGTTTGCAGAGACTGGTTCATTTGCCTTCCATTGTTTTTGACAGATGCCCTCCACTTAGCTGTTTCTCTGCCTTCAAAGATTTTCTTTTTTTTTTTTCGAGACAGAGTCTCGCTCTGTTGCCCAGGCTGGAGTGCAGTGGCGTGATCTCCGCTCACTGCAAGCTCCGCCTCCTGGATTCACACCATTCTCCTGCCTCAGCCTCCAGAGTAGCTGGGACTACAGGCGCCCAACACCATGCCTAGCTAATTTTTTGTATTTTTAGTAGAGACGGGGGTGGGGGCGGTTTCACCATGTTAGCCAGGATGGTCTCGATCTCCTGACCTTGTGATCCGCCCGCCTTGGTCTCCCAGAATGCTGGGATTACAGGCATGAGCCGCCGCGCCCAGCCAAAGATTTTCTAGTTACGTGAAATAATGGCAAGCTGTTGGTGTTAGTATTTTAGGGAGCCCTCAGACAGGTCAAAGCAGGTGACCACAATTATTTGAGAAAAAGATCTTCTCTGCTCCCTCCTTACAGCAGGCTGCCATCTTCAATACTGCCCCCAAGGTATTGGGAGTGAAGGGAGGGATGAGGCAAAGGTAAGTGAAAACTCCACAGAGCTCTCCGGAGTGTCCCTTGCTTTTTGGATTTTGATTAAACATTTGCTTATTTGTAGTAAACCTTTGAATGTTTTCCAGAGTTCTGATAAACTCAGTTCTGAAAGTTTCTGTCAGTTTCTTTTTCTGTTTCTGTGAAGAGACTGTCTTTGTACTTTTTTTTTTTTAGGATTCATTACATATATCTTTTTAAAAAACAATTTCACAAGGCCAGATTTATTAAAGGAATATACTTTATTCTGCAATTATGTCCATCCTAGATACTAGATACTATGTGATCTGATCTGTACCACATGAGGACCTTCTTACTCCATCATTTTCTCTGACATCACCTACAAAGGCTTCTTTTTTATGGACCATGTGAATATGACATATTTTTGTTACACAGACTTTCCAGAATCCTTTAATTTTCTTATAAATATTAATGCCAACAAACCTTAAAATTTTTGAGGTTATGAAAGTGTTCTTCAATATTGCATAGCATACTATCACATTCCGGTTGTTAAAGAGTATCATTAATCAGTTTTATTCTGTGTTAAACTTATACATCAAAACATGAAGGACAAATTTACAGTTAAACTTCGCTGTTGCCACTAATTAGGATCAGTCTAAATGTGCAGTTCACAAATTGAGTGCTTAAATCTGAGGCAACCTGGGATACCAAAGTGAATTCACAGGGCCACATCAGGATTTTGTTTTTGAGGGATGCACAGCATTATCTGTACTTCATGTAGTCACCATTCAGACTACTAGCTCAAGGTAGTTACAGTTTCAGGGTTAGGTGGAGCTACATTCCTTTCAGTGATGTTGTGTATTTATGAAGCTGGGTTTTCCTCAATTGCTGTGATTTTGGTTTTTTTAAAGTGCTGTGTGAAATCAGTGTGGAATAGGAAATCAGTGTGGTAGTTTCCAAACTGATTCCAAAGCTTTAGAGTTATACAGTGCCCAAAAAGAAGTAATCTTGCTTAAGAATGAAATGAAAATACTTTTTCTTTTAGTTATATGTATTTTTTTTCAAATAGCTATTAATTTGTTAGGAAAGCAATCATATCCTATGTTTGGACCTAACTGTTTAATCAACAAAACTATAAGGTATATCTTTTGGCCTAGGGACACAGTTAAAAAATAGTTTAATAAAACATTAGGGCACCATGAACTGAGAAAGCTTGGGAACCTCTGATCTAATTCTTTCATATTGATAACTATTTATCTTTCCAGTCATATCTGTGTAACTCCTATCATGAATATTCTGTCATAAACTGGTTTGTGCCCAGTGCCTCCCCTACCTTGCTTAAATGTCTTTGCCTTAGTATTCATCTTCTTATATGTATTTTTAAATCAAAACTGGAATATAGACCTGTAAAGAGCAAAGACCTTGTCATCTACCTACATATAATCCTAGCCTCCAGCACAGGATATTTGATACATTCAACAAGTACTTGGTAAATAGTATCTGACAATTAGGCAGGGACTATACTGCAGGCAAGGACTGTACTTATTGTCTGCTAAGTTTCACCACCTTTTGGCTCAATGCTGAACACATTGTTGATACTCAAGCATTTCTGAATGATCCATTGATTAAAATAAGGTTGTCAAATATTTTGAATAACAATATTTCTAGAAAAGTAATAAAATCACATTTTAGAAACTCAGCTGATAATGACTGGAAATTTTTTTCCTTTTCTATTCTAGTCTCCTGTTCCCTCCTTTCAGTTCCTTCTTCCCCTGTTCCTCATTCCATTACTGAACTTTACTCAAAGTTATATAAGTCACCAACCTAAAAAGAAGTATCTTACAATTCTTAAGACATTTTTAAAAAATTCTTTAAGCTCCTACTGGACCATAAACTAAATTTTAAGTAACTAGGGAGAGAAATACTACTGACATTAATAGAAGACTACACATGACGAAAAGATGAACATGGATGAATAGTAAGAGCATTTGCTGTTCTGAATTTTTCACTGCATGCTATTATTTGTGGTTCGTCTCATACTCCAGTTTCTTTTGTGGTTGTATGATTATACTACTGAAATTTGCCAGTTTGTTGCTACTTTGAATAAGGTATAATTGTTTTTTTGTTGTTTTTTCTCCATGTTTTGAGAAATTTACTAGTTTTTTATAAGAGGATATTTCTGCAGAATTAAAAAAAGTTGCCTAATCATACCATGATGAAATACTGAATTAGTGAAATAGGTATAAAATAGTTTTCCAGACAGTTGAAAGAAAATTTTTAAAGCATTTACTTGTTCTAATGCAATTCATAGTTATTACTTCTGAATACCAACATTTACTTCTTGGATTTGCTTGTTTTAAAAATTTCATATTGTGCTTTATGAATGTAGTTTTAAGCTATTTCTAATGTGTTTATATGCAATTGTGTCACCTCATAAAGAAACTTCTAGATGTTTAATAAAGAACTCCCTCTAGATTTTTTTCCTAAATGAAAGCAGGTGTTGAGCATTGTCATGTTCTGATGTATTGAAATTGCTAAAATATTTAATAAGCTACCATAGTTTGAAGTAGTAGCCAGATGTTTTCAGTTTCCCCAGGATGCATTTTACAGTTGAGCATTTACAGTGGAAGTTAGCTAAATTTGCCAGTTTAACAACAACAAAACAAATAAGAAACACAAATTTTTTAACTCAAAATGATATAATTAATGTGTTATCACTGTACAGTAAGATAAGATTTCCACAGTCTAGCAAAACATTATTGACACTCCACCTCCCAACGTTAATAGCCTTATTGAGGTATAGTTTACATACCATAGAATTCACTCATTTTAAACATACACAGTATGATTTTTTTAGTAAATGTATATGCCTATTTCACCATCATCAGTAATCCAGTTTTTAGGGCAGTTTTATTGGAGGAATAATTGACATACAAAAACTATACATATGTTAAGTGTATGGTCTTGCTTTCATTGTTTTGCATGAGAGATCTCCTGCCATCTTAATCTTTGTTCCTCTCTACGTAACATGTTTTTTTCTGGCTACTTTTAGTGTTTCTTGTTCACGACTTGTTTTGAGAAATTGGATTATGGTGTGCTTTAGTATGGCTTGCTTCTGTTTCTTTGTTTAGTGTTCTTTGAACTTCTTGGATACTTCTTGAGTTTATACTTTTCATCAAATGTGGAGAATTCATGGCCTTTTTTTTTTCTAATACATTTTGTGTCTCCGATTCTTTCTGCTCTCTCTTAATGAGGAATTTCAGTTACACATATATGGCCACTTGAAGTTAAACTCACAGTTAATATATGCACTGTTCTTTGTTTATTCTCAAGTCTTTCTTTAGTGTCTTCTATTTTTGATAATTTCTTTGCTGTGTCTTCAAGGACACTAATCTTTTCTTTTGCAATGTTTAATCTGCCTGCAGTCCCATCCAGTGTATTTTTTTTTTAATCTCAGATATTGCCATTTTTTAATCACTAGAAATTTGGTTTAAGTCTTTTTCATTTCTTCCATGTGTCTGTGCCACATTTTCAGTAGATTGACTGTTTTGATGTCCTTGCCTTCTAACCCTAACATTTATGTCAGTTAAGCCACTAAGCTTGTAATAATTTGTAACGCAACCATAGAAAGCAAATACACCTGGTAATCTTTGAGTAGATGCAGACATTGTGAATTTTACCTTGCTGGATGCTGAATATTTTTGTATTTCTATAAATGTTCTTGAGCTTTGTTCTAGGACACAGTTACTTGGAAACAATATGACCCTTTTGGGTACTGCTTTTAAGATTTGTTATGTGAAACAAGCATCATTTAGTTTAGGGGTAATTATTCTCTACTGCTGGGGCAAGACTCTTCTGGATATTTTCTTCAGTGCCTCATGAATTGAGATTTTCAAGCCTGGCTGGTGGTAACAAACACTATTCCTACCTATATGCACTGAGTATTGTTCTTTCTAACTTTTTCAGTGGGTTCTTTCCCCTGCCTCAGATATTTTCTTCATAGGCAGGTGCTGATTAGTACTTTGATGAATACTTGAAAACCCTCTGACCATCTCAGGAGTTCTTTCTATGAACAGCTTTAACTGCCTTGTGAACTCTAGCTGCTTTGGTTTCCTTGTACTCTTATTTCTGTCTCTTCAACTTGGCTCCGCCTGAGTTTCCCCCTCCCTGCACTGTGTCCTAGAAACCCTTAAGACAGTAAGCTGGAGCAATCTTAGGGCTTATCTCATTTGTTTCCCATCTCTCAGGGATCACTATTCGTCTTTAACCTTTTTCATATATTTTGTCTGATTTTCTTTTTTTGGTAGTTTGAATTGGGAAGCTTTGTTTGTTACTACTTGGATAGAAATATATAAGTACTTCAGTGTTATTAAAAACAATTTAAAACTTTAAGTAAAATTAAGTAGTTATTTAAATTAATGGGACAACTTTTACCAGAAATATTCCTCCTAAAATGTTATTCATTGTACAGTATCTAAAATGTTAATACGGAAGCATTATTTAAATTCTAGTATACTGTGTCTAGCCCAAATAATGACAAAGCCATATATCCAGAGGACCTAACTCATAGTTCTTTATTTTCATTTTGAACACCTTTAGTATTTATTTGCCTAAATAAATTGAAGTTATTTTATGTTTAATTACAACCCATGATTTTTTGGCTAATTAAACTAACAGAATGGAAAGATAATGTCATTTTACATCAAATAGAACACATTTATTTAGTTATACAAAAACCCTGTAAAGTTCTTTTCTGTGTTAACTACGTAACTATTAAACATAGTTGGTATTCACATAGTGAGACTTCCTTATTTCCAATTTTTATGTGCCATTTTAGTGGCATATTATTTAGCTTTATGTTTCTCCTCCCATACCTCTACCAACATAGTTTATGTAACTTGTTTTCTTTTATGCCCTCTATACAGACAACTTTTGGGAGATGCTGTTCCTTTTTTTTTTTTTTTTTTTTTTGGAGAGAGAGTCTTGGTGGAATGCAGTGGTGCAATCTTGGCTCACTGCAACCTCTGCCTCTTGGGTTCAAGCAATTCTTGTGCCCCAGCCTCCCGGATAGCTGGGACTACAGGCGCACACCGCCTCGCCCAGCTAATTTTTTGTATTTTTAGTATACAGGGTCTTGCCATGTTGCCCAGGCTGGTCTCAAACTCCTAAATTCAGGCAATCCACCCAAAGTGCTAGGATTACAGGCGAGAGAGCTACTGTGCCCAGCCAGGAGGTGCTGTTCTTTTCTATAAAATTTCTTATAGTTGTCTAAAGAATTTGTAATGGTTTCTCTAATTAAAATAGGAAAGATGATAGCTACCTCATAGATCCTCTGGGAGAAGAGTTTTTGTTACCAGATTTTTTTTTTCTTTTTTTGAATAGGTAAGAGATTTAGATTAAGGATTCCATAGATTAAGGGTTGATGTTCTTATCTGATATTTATGTTTGCCAACAGGTACTTTGGAAGTTCGTCTTATGGGCTGCCAAGATATCCTAGAGAATGTCCCTGGACGGTCAAAAGCAACATCAGTTGCACTGCCTGGTTGGAGTCCAAGTGAAACCAGATCATCTTTCATGAGCAGAACGAGTAAAAGTAAAAGCGGAAGTAGTCGAAATCTTCTAAAAACCGATGACTTGTCCAGTTCAGTAACCAGATTTTTAAAAATCATGTAACAAACTAAAGTGCTTATACAAGGGATTTATGAAGTGTTCAAGTTGGACAAAACACTTTAAAATTATGGTTTTTATAATTTAATTAAAAAATATTAAAACCTGTGATGTCAGGAAACAAAAAGGCAACAAATTCTGTTTTGTTGAAGATACATTAGAAAACTTAATGACAAATGACATTAGTTCTTTTGGAAGAATGAAATATTGAGCATCACTCTTATGCCAAACTGAAGGTATACAGAAGCTATGAGACTGGTCCTTCTTGTAGAATCGTATCTTGATTCTTTTATTTTTCTTTATTTTTTGAGACAGTGTTTTGCTCTGTTGCCCAGGCTGGGTGCAGTGGTGCAATCAGGTCTCAACCTGCTGGGTTTAAGTGATCCTCCTACCTCAGCATCCTAAGTAGCTGGGACTATAGGCATATGCCACCATGCCTGGCTAATTTTTTTTTCTAGAGGCAGGGTCTCACTATGTTGCCCAGGATGGTCTCGAACTCAGGGGCTCTAGCTGTCCTTCCACCTCAGCCTCCCAAAGTGCTGGGATTATAGGTGTGAGCCACCATCTCCAGCCTTGATTCTTTTAATGGTTTAGTGACACTTTAATAGTAACATTGAAATTTTGGTAATCTAACTGCTGATCCAGACGTGTTTACTGAGATAGTAGCCTGGTAGTCCACTGAGATGGGGGATGGTAGGGGTTGGTTTGAGGAGAGTAAAATGCAAGAGGTTTGGAAAGCACTGGGGAGAAATTCTGAAGTATAAGCATAAACTATATGTAGATGTATAACTGGGGGGAAAAGCATGTGACAGTTCAGCCTACCGTAGAATACAAAAGTGAATTTGCCTGTGCTTTCATGTGTATAGAGAGAGGCTTTAAGAAAAATAAGAAAATAAGGAATTGTTTAAGGAAACAAGCTCTATAAATATAAGATATAGAAAGAAAAACTGATTGATATTCACACAAACAGTGTGGCAAACAACTACTATTTATCTGTTCTTTCAGTCACATGCCAATGTAAACAAAAGAGATAGCAGTCACTATTTGTGTTTTTGTCAAACAATTTGGGAGTGTCTAGTAGGAGTATATGTATCTGTAAAACTAGCCATTTAAGATTCAAAAGTTTTAATATTGATTATGAAAAACTTTATTTTCAAAGGGTCTTAAGACTTTTATTGCTAATCAAACAGCAGTACTTCTGTTTTTTATAAAGGTTTAAAGTTTTTAAGCAAGTTTGTAAATTTTAATTACAGATGATGTCTGTGCTGTTTTGAAGCTCGATAATACTGTGGTTGGCCAAACTAGCTGGAAACCCATTTCCAATCAGTCATGGGACCAGAAGTTTACACTGGAACTGGACAGGGTAAGAGGACTAACATTTTACTTGAATTTTAATTATAATTCATTTTAAATGTGAGTTATATTTTTTAGAAGGCTTCAACAAGTTGTATTCTTAACAAGAATAAAAATAGAACTTAGATTTTTTTTTTACATTTCTTATTCAATGAGTTATGCATAAATCTACCTTAATATAGAGATGAATATCAGATTGCTGTAGGATCTTTCATTTGTGTAGTAATTTGAAAATGTTTCATTCATAGCAAACTTAAAGATCAGTAAGGTGTAATATTGAAGCATATTGGTGATCTTAATGCGCTAACAGCTAAGGCGATTCTTCTGGCTCACCATGTGTAGGTTATCTTACTCGAGCTATATTTGAAATGAGCTATTAGGCTTGGTCACCCAGCCTTCTGTGTGTTTGTGTCTTTCAAGAATAATTTGAATAGCTAGAATTCAGTCTGTGGCCATAGAACCCATCAGAAGTTAACCTGGTCCACAGTAGATTTAAATCCATAGTGGTAACTTTTAGATTCAAGTCCATTCATTGGGTTGTGAGAGGAAAATATTAAAACGTAATCGTAATTTTATCTAAAAACTAAGAAAGATACTAAACTTTTTTATTATTTGGTATTTAGGTTGATGGTATATATGTTATTCTAAAAATTAATTATGTTAAAGCAGATTTACAATGCTTAACTATGTGTGCTCTCAAAATGTTTTGGTGATTACTGTTCTAAGCCTCTACTTTTAAAACTGGGAAAGCATTCAATTTTAATTCTTTCCCAGTTTTAAAAGTAGAGGATAGAACAGTAATCACCAAAACATTTTTAAAGCATTCAATGTTTTGCAGTCTCTAAAGTGGAGGTAGGAATGTAATACTCACAGAACTGTTAGGATGAAAAACCAAGAGTAGTATATGTAAAATACCTTGCATTGCCGGTACATTTAAGCCATTCAGGGATATTCTTTCTTTTAACCTGGGGTTTGAAGTATGGCTATGAATTTGAATATTATGAAAGGGGATTTGAGAATGGAGAACTACCTGGTTGAATGTCATTTCCTTTCATTTCGAGCCTATTTAAGGTAATTACTGAGTAATATCAAAATGAAACTTAAAGAATTGTTATTAGAGGGAAAATGACTAGCTAGGAGATTTTTCTTATAACAAGGTTATTGTTAATAAAGTTTTATATTGAAAAGAGAAATTACAAGTAATTTAGAATCTTGCCATTATTTTGTAGTTGAGGAAACCAAGATCCAGGTTAGTTACATACCAGTAAATTTCAGGACTGGTACTAGACCTTCAGTGTCTTAACTTTTAAATGGATGCTCTTTTTCTCTCTGGTGATTTGAATGAGATAGAAAGATAACAGTAGCACAGAGGAGGAAACAGCAGAAGATGAAGAGTGCCTGGAAGAGATAATATGGTTTTAAATTACCTAAACTACAAGCTTAGAACAATAAAAGACTGTGATAACTGTTATTTGTTCTTTCCCTGCCATTGTAATCTTCACCTGAAAATGTTTTTCGCCTCAATGGCATCAGGCATTTTTCCCACTTTGGAATAATGCTCCTTTTAAAATTTGGAAGACATTGTGCATGTTAAGCAGGTCCTCTAGGTTCTTGAGAGGCATCTTTCTTATCCCTAATTTGATTATAAACTTTTCCTTGGCAGAAACCACATTCCCTATTAAAATAGGTCCTTCTGTTTACATAGTATATTTTACATTTTCATGTGCTTTCTATTCTTTTATCCTTTGTATTTATAGACTATAAAAAATGTTTATAAAAACATAGATGGAAACATTTCAAGCGGCCTTAGTAAAAAAGAGAAGAAAAAATTTATAGAAAATGTTGCTTTAAACTGACATGTTTGTTTCCAGCATTTTGCCTCATATGTCAACTTTGTCTTCTATGGCATTCGGGAACTAAGTCGTCTGTACTGTTTCATTTCAAGATAAAAAATTCATGGTTCTTTTTAGAGTTGTAGGATAATTCTAGAAATGATCTAGATCTAGAATGATCTAGAAAAATTCAAATTATGTTCTGTGGAGCTTCAGTGTTCTGCAGAATTGTCTCAGGACGCAACACAGTCTTTTGTGTTGTTTTGGGATTTTATGTAAAATATCATTTGGATTTTGCTATTAGAAAAAACGTTTTTAAATTGTTGGTATAATTTAGCTCCATTTTACAAACTAAGGAAATTATGGCCCTCAGGCTAAGTAACTAGCGTAGGGTATAATCCAGGATTTTTTTTTTTTCTTCTTTCTTGAGATGGAGTTTCGCTCTTGTTGCCCAGGCTGGAGTGCAATGGCACAATCTCGGCTCATCGCAACCTCTGCCTCCCAGGTTCGAGTGATTCTCCTGCCTTAGCCTCCTAAGTAGCTGGGATTACAGGCATGTACCACCACGCCTGTCTAATTTTGTATTTTTAGTAGAGATGGGGGTTCTCCATGTTGGTCAGGCTGGTCTTGAACTCCCAACCTCAGGTAATCCACCCACCTCGGCCTCCCAAAGTGCTGGGATTACACTCCTGAACCACCGTGCCTGGCCTAATCCAGGATTCTTAATGAAGTCTACTTACTACCAGCTCTGTGTTCTTTCTATTCTGTCGGGTTACTCTTTTATATTTTCTTGTAGCTATGCAATTTTTCATTTTTCCTGAATTCCCTCAGCCTTCCTGTTATAAAAAGCTTAATGAAGCTCCCATGAGAGATTGAAATAAATGACAAAATGTTACACTAAGACCTGTTAACTCTTTCCCTTGCACCTTTCCTTTAGAATAACGTTACTAACATAGTAGTAGAAGTTCTTTATCAATATTAGAAACAGAGAAGAGCCCTGTCCTTAGAACCAAAGCTTAGAACAATTTTAGCAGATTTCAGTGTTGTTAAGAGCAGAACTATAGAAAATGTCGACCGATCACTGGGAAAGGAGGGAAAGAGAGTATAGAAGCAGTTAGGACAAGTAAAAAGGTGGTAGGATTCATGGATTGGGACTAACAGTGGGATTGTCATATCAGTGGATGTTGAAGTATTAGAGAGAGTGAACTAGAATATTAGGAGATAATGTTCAGAGAGAAAGATGCAGACAGTTGAGATTGTGGAAGGATTATAGTTACTGGTATGACAGTATGATGACAGGAGTGAAACGGCAAGGTAAGGCAAGTCACAAGATTATAAGAAGTTAGCCGTGTGCAGTAGCTTATGCTTGTAATCCCAGCACTTTGGGGAGGCCGAGGCGGGCGGATCTCCTGAGTTCAGGAGTTCAAGACCATCCTGACCAACATAGTGAAACCCTATCTCTATTAAAAATACAAAAATTAGCTGGGTGCAGTGGCAGACGCCTGTAATCCCAGCTACTTGGGCGGCTGAGGCTGAGACTCTGCTTAAACCCCGGAGGCAGAGGTTGCAGTGAGCTGAGATCACGCCACTGCACTCCAGCCTGGGCGACAGAGCAAGACTCTATCTCATAATAATAATAATAATAATAATAATAATAACAACAACAAAATAAGATTATAAGAACCCAAGGGACTTTTCATTTATTGGTTTCTAATTTTCAGAAATTTTTGACTCACACTACATGAAAGAAGATTGGAATTTAACTTTTAAACCACCGCACTCCTATTCTCATTCTCCCAAATAATTATGTTAAATCAGTAATCTAGTGTTTATTATAACTATAAAGATTGTCCATAGATGAACCAAGTTCTGTATGGTGATTATATTTCCTTTTTAATACCTTTTCCTCCCTTAGGGCCACTAAATACCTCTTTGTTTTGTTTTGCTTAGTTTTCTGCATACCTATTATTTATCCCCAAAAGCTCCAGAAGGACTCTGAAACAACTCTATGTAAGCAGGTATGCTTGGTTATGTATTAGTCCGCATTTCTTCCCCATTAGAAGCATCCTTTCTGGGGCCTTACATCTTTCTGCTCCAATTTATATAGCTGCTACACAGCTTTCATCTTGAGACTTTGTTTTACTATCATCTTGAGAACTCTCTTCTACATTGGATCACTTGAGTCTTGGATCACTCCATCTTCTTGCTTTACCTCCTCATGCTGGTGAATCATATCCTTCATTTTCATGCTGAGAAAAGGGTGAATGAAATAAAGTTTTAGAGATGATATATGTCTGAAAATATGTATATTCTACTATCATACTTGGAGTATAGAATTCTTTTAGGTTGGTGCAAAAGTAATAGCGGTTTTGCCATTACTTTTGATTGCAAAAACTGTGATAACTTTTGTACCAACCTAATAGGTTGGAAATTACTTTCATTAATTTTGAGTTGTGTAATTATTATTTAGCCTCAGTATTACAGTCGAGAATTCTGTGTCTCCCTTGATTTTTAATATTTAATCATGATCTGTTAGATCTGCTAGATCTCTAAAAACTTTTAAGATTTTATCTTTTTTTCCCCGGGATTCTGAAATTTCACAGTAGTGTATCTTACTTGGGTATCTTTCATTCTTTTTGGTGGATATTGTGTGGCACTTTCAGTTTGAAAGCTTATTTGTTTCAGATCCAATAAATTTCCTTGAGTTATTTATTTGATAATTTTCTCATGTCCATTTTTAGTGTTTTCTCTTGGTAGTTAAACCTCTTAGATTGATCCTGTGATTTTCTTTTGTCTATGGTTTCTGTCTTTTTGTTCTACTTTCTAGGAAATTTTTACAACTGAAAAATTTACATTTGATGTCATATTTTTAATTTTTAGAAGTTCATTTTTGTTGTTTAGTTTTTGAAAAACAACACCCTGTTTTTCTCTCATGGAGATAATACCATCTCTTAAAACTGAGAATATCAGTTTTAAATTTTCTTCTTGAATTGTCTCTACTACTTCTGAGGTCTCTTTTAAGATGTCTGCTTATCATATTGTATATTTGGGCAAATGTGTGGCCATCCATGGCTTTCTTAAGAATGAGACACTAAAGTAACCAATTTAAAGCTGTGTGTGGGCCAGGTGTGGTGGCTCATGCCTGTAAACCCAGCACTTCGGCAGGCCGAAGTGGGCAGATCACTTGGTCAGGTGTTTGAGACCAGCCTGACCAACATGATGAAACCCTGTCTCTACTGAAAATCCAAAAGTTAGCCGGGCATGGTGGTGGGTACTTGTAATCCCAGCTAACCTAGGAGGCTGAGGCATGCGAATTGCTTAAACCCAGAAGGCAGAGGTTGCAGTGAGCTGAGATTGCACCACTGCACTGAGCAACAGAGTGAAACTCTGTCTCAAAAAAAAAAAAAAAGCTGTGTGTGTGGAGTTGCCCAGGTTTTGAACTAGTTGAGAGAAACAAAGAAATGACTAATGGAAAATAAAATATCCATATTACTGAAAAAATAAGCTGTTTTTTGAGAGTATGGCTGGGTATGCAGCAAGAGTGGGGTTATGTCCAGTCTCTTGGATCACTGTAGGCCCCGATCTGTGTAAAATTTAAAGCAGGGAGGAAAAGAGCAAACTACTTCCATTGAACAGCCTGGCTTTCAACAGAAAAGAAGGAATGGGCTATGTTCCTCATGTCCAGTTTGTCTTCCAGAGTCTCCTATCAGATAACAGATTCTGAGGTTTGAATAAGAGTATTGAGGTAAAGACCTATCCAGATATTTAGGGAAAATGGGGAAATTATTTCTCATAGCAACCATGGCAGTGAGAAAGATGCTTTCTCCCTAGAAAAGGATAAAAATGCATGCAGCCACCATACCTGGTCACAGATTTTTTAATGGGGAGTAAAGCACTATAATATAGCAGAACAAGAGTAGGAATACAAAGATACTTTTAATTTTTTACATGTTATAAACTGTCTGACACTGGGAGTATTGTTTCATCTGAGATACTGTTTTTTAACTTGTAACAAAGCTGTAACACTTATCTTTTTTACCCCTCCTTTGCTGCTTCCAGATTCCACCGCTGTTAAAAATAACATGTCGGCCGGGTGCGTTGGCTCACGCCTGTAATCCCAGCACTTTGGGAGGCCGAGGCGGGCGGATCACCTGAGGTCGGGAGTTCAAGACCAGCCTGACCAATATGGAGAAACCCCGTCTCTACTAAAAATACAAAATTAGCTGGACATAGTGGCGCATGCCTGTAACCCAGCTACTCGGGAGGCTGAGGCAATAGAATCGCTTGAACCTGGGAGGCAGAGGTTGCAGTGAGCCAAGATCGTGCCACTGGACTCCAGCCTAGGCAACAGAGTGAGACTCCGTCTCAAAAAATAAATAAATAAATAAATAAATAACATGTCATGTATTCCTCTGGGGCTATATGACTTCTTTGAGACTATGAGCTGTATAGTTGACCCTTGAGCAACGCAGGGGCTAGGGAGCACAAGCCTACATTTCCAACCCATGTACTCGAAAATCCACATAACACTTTTGACTCCCCCAGAACTTAAATACTAATAGTCTACTGTGGACCAGAAGCCTTATTGATAACATAGACAGTCTATTTTGCAAAAAATACAAGGTTTTTGTGCCTGCCGTCTTAGCTGCAGCAGCAGCTTCAGAAATTTCCTTTTCTTCTTTTACAGTGGTTCTTATTCTGGATTCATTTATATTGAAATGGCAGAAGCTACAACTGCAAACCTCAATATATAGGATACATATCAAGCAGTTCAACTTGTTCTTGTAATGTCATGATTTTTCTCCCCTTCTTGGGAGCGCTTCCAGCATCACTAGTGGTACTTTGTAAGGGTTCCATAATATTATTCAAGGTTTATGGTATTGCATTAAATACCATGAAAAATATGCAAGAACTGAGGCAGATCACTTTTACTGCCATATGCAATTTACTAGAGAGATGAACTGCTCAGGCAGAAATAATTAGATTTACATAGTGTTTTAAATGGATACTGTTGACACTTGAGCTCACCATAAGAGCATTAGGAGGTGGCTACAAAATTATAGTAGTACAGTACTACAGTTAATTTTATGCAGTTATGATTTAATATTGCATCTTGATGTTTGTTTATATTTCTCTTGACTATAAATGGTGCCATGTATGGTCTGTAAGTGTTTGTGTGTAAGTTTGATAAATTCTAACCTTTTCTAATAGATTTGTGTATTTTATGGTAGTGAATGATAAAATAGACTAGTATCTACATATATGCATTCATGACATATCTTTGTTGTAATGTTTTTGATATTTCTATGCTATGTGATTCATCTGCAGATTTTTCAAACTGTTGCACATTTCCAAAAAAGATTCCAGTATATTTATTGAAAAAAAATCCACGTATAAGTCGACCTGTACATTTCAAACTTGTATTGTTCATAGGTCAGCAGTATAGAATTGCCTACTTTTTTTTCTTTTTTGTTTCTGTTATTTCTTGAACATCAGGTACTCTCTGATATTCATTAAGGATGACTTTTATTCTTCCTTCCAACATTTGCCATCATTATGAGGGATTTAAAATATCTGCATACAGTTGTCCCTTGGTATCCATGGGGAACGATTTCAGGACTCCCTCTCCCTGTACCAAAATCCATGGATGCTCAAGTCCTTTATATAAAATGGTGTATTTGCATATAACCCACACACATCCTCCTGTATACTTTAAATCATCTCTACAGTAATTATAATACCCAGTGCAATGTAAATGCTATATAAATTATTATACTGTATTGTTTAGGGAATATTGACAAGAAAAAAAAGTCTACATATTCAGTACAAATACAACTATCCTTTTATTCCCCAAATATTTTCAGTCGTGGTTGGTTTAATCCACAGATAAGGAACCCACAGATACAGAGGGTGGACTGTATATGTAAACAACCCATATAATATACCACTATTTAAACTTCTTTGAACTCCTGAACTCTGGTATACCTTTACTCCTTTGTCATTTTAAATGAACTGTGCTACACAAATTGAAATCTTAAATTCGATATACCTGTTGGGCACGGTGGCTCACGCCTGTAATCCCAGCACTTTGGGAGGCTGAGGCAGGCAGATCACCTGAGGTTGGGAGTTCAAGACCAGCCTGACGAACATGGAGAAACCCCATGTCTACTAAAAATACAGAATTAGCCAGGCATGGTGGCACATGCCTGTAGTCCCAGCTACTTGGGAGGCTTAGGCAGGAGAATCACTTGAACCCGAGAGGCGGAGGTTGCGGTGAGCCGAGATCATGCCATTGCACTCCAGCCTGGGCAACAAGAGCGAAATTCTGTCTCAAAAAAAAAAAAAAAAAATCAATATGCCAGCCTTTCACCAGTTCTCTTGTTGTCCTGAATGATAAACTACAGAAAGCACCTAGAATAATTAGCCAAGTTTGGGGCACAAGCCTGTAGTCCTAGCTACTGGGGAGACTGAGGCAAGATTACTTGAGCCCAGGAGTTGAATACAGCAGTGAGCTGAGACCATGCCACTGCATTCCAGGCTGGGCAACAGAGTGAAACCCTTTCATTAATTAGCTAACTAATTAATGCACCTAGGATAATACCTTGTACATAATGGTATTCAGTAAACGATAGCTCTTGTTATTGTTTTTCTTCTAGCTGTTTTTTTTATTATCACAAAGCTAGATATTTGATCAAATATTTCCATTTCCTTGATTCTTCAGGATATTTTCATGCTATCAGCCCCTTCCAAACTTAATTTTCTTCTCTATTTACCCTAAAACCAATGTTACTCTGAAGCATTTCTTTACTGATACTGCCACAGCATCCTTTGACCTTATCTTTATACCTACCTGCTGTGGAAACTCCCAATAGCAAATAATTTCTATTCTGCTTCTCTACTCTATATCCTGAATGTTGCTTCTCTGCTCTATATCCTGAATGATCACATTTACTACTGCAAATTTTAGTTTTCAATCTTAGCTAGGCTTGTAAAAGTTATCCCACATTTTACATTTTTATTTCATTACCAGCAACTTTTCTTTTGCCTGTCTCTTCAAGTTTTCTACCCCACGTCAGACTCCTTTGCTTTTGTTTTATAGATTAGATTTAAGACCATCAGACCTCAGCTTTCTCCTATCACCTGCTAATTTTTTTGTATCTTCCTCCTTGGTTTCAGAGAACGAAGTCTCTCTCTTTCCTGTTTACAGTCTATGATCATTCAAGTTGCCCTCTAGTTTCCATTCTTTCTAGTCTCCTATAGCCTTGTTTCATAAGTTAGCCCTATTAGCACCTATATTTTTAACCACTTCTTTCTTCTGATATCTTATTCTTGTTGGATATACTCACATTCCTCCCATTAAAAATTTTTATTTTGCTTCGTCCTAGCTCTATTGATAGGTCTTTCTTTCACAGACAAGATTCTTGAAAAATAAGTTGTGTTCAGAATCTGTTCTTCCTCACCCTCCCATATGTTAAACTGAAGTTTCTACTGCCATTATAGGTTCTGAACAAAAAACCTTATGTATAGTGTCTAATTTAATCCTCACAATAATCTTATGATATACATACAATTATTTCTATTTTAGAGAGTACTGAGGTTCCAGGAGTTTCAGTTAGTTTTCTCAGGCCACACAGCTAGAAAGTGGTGGAGCCAGTAATCAACACAAGCATCTCTCACCAAAGTCAAGTCTGTCTGAAGCCACGGCTTTTGTTCTTCATTAGAGTTAGCAAACTTGTCTCTATTTCTAGTCTATCCTTTTGGCAGTGTAGATTTTCTTCATTGCATATCACAATAATAATAAAAGGCGACATATTGAGATTGACTTATGTACTGGAGTTGTATTAACTCCTTTAATTCTCACACAGCGCTGCAAGGTTGATACCATTAACACATATTTTACAGGTGAGCAATCTGAGACCCAGCAAAGTTAAATAACTTGCTCACGGTCACAGAACTACTAAGTGGTGTGGGATTAAGATTTAACCTATTTGTTCTACAAACATTTATTGAGTGTGCATGCATACGCAAGGCAGTTTGATCCCAGTGCTTTTCTTTTTAGCAACTATACAGGTTGAATATCCTTTATCTGAAATACTTGGGACCAGAAGTATTTTAGATTCCAAATTTTTTTTCAGATCTTAGAATCTTTGCATTTAAAAATGCAAACTGATTGAGCATCTGAAAAATTTGAAATCCCAAATCCTCCAATGAGCATTGCCTTTCATTGTCATATTTGTGCTCAGAAAGTTTCAGATTTTGTAGCTTTTCAGGTTAGGGATACTCAGCCTGTACTGCCTGATGTGATCCAATCCCTACCCCTCCTTACACCGAAACCCTTTAGTACCAGCCTGTAACTTCAAGTTAAAGACCAAATTCTACTCCAAGTCATGCTAAGCTCCTCATGACTTATCTCTGCCCATGTTTTCATTCTTATTTCTCACAGCATTTCTACTTATATTCTAGGCTTTAACTATATGAAACTGTTTCCTATCCCTATGATGTACTATATACTTCCTTACCTTTGTATGTTTTTTCCCCTCTGATGACTTTGTCCTCTCCTTTAATCTTTAGATATAGCTCTCAAAACCCAATTTGAGCAATTATGATATTTTTTGATCTTCCTACTACCTTTCCCTTACAAAAAAATTGGTCAGCTCTCTGTTTTGTGTCATTGTGCATATTGTATATGCCACTGTATTGCCAGTATTGATTTACATTTCTGTCTCCCAGAATTTCCGTCTTCCAAAGCAAAACTGTGAACTATTTGAGAGCAGGACCATATGTTACTTATCTTTGTATCTCTATCACAGAAGACACTTAGTATACATATTCACTAAGTATTAATGGGATGAATGAAAATAATTAAAACTGAAAAGGAGGTTTGCTCAACCTTTTTTTTTTTTTTTGCTGCAGCATACCCAAAGAATACAACACACTCTAGTCAATACAGTGATTCCCAAATAGATACAGGTCAGAATCTGAGAAGGGAGGGCAGGTATAAATTTGAAAATGTCAGGGCCAGGCACAGTGGCTCACGCCTGTAATCCCAGCACTTTGAGAGGCTGAGGCGGGCGGATCACCTGAGGTCAGGAGTTCAAGACCAGCCTGGCCAACATGGTGAAACCCCATCTCTACTAAAAATCCAAAAATCAGCCATGTGTGGTGGCAAGCGCCTGTAATCCTAGCTACTCAGGAGGCTGAGGCAGGAGAATCACTTGAACCTGGGAGGCGGAGGTTGCGGTGAGCTGAGGTTGCACCATTGCACTCCAGCCTGGGCAACAAGAGCAAAACTCTATCTTAAAAAAAAAAAAAAGAAAGAAAATGTCTTCCAGGTGCAGTGGCTCATGCCTATAATCCCAGCACTTTGGGAGGCTCAGGTGGGCGGATCACGAGGTCAAGAGATCAAGACCATCCTTGCCAACATGGTGAAACCCTGTCTCTACTAAATATACAAAAATTAGCTGGATGTGGTGGTGCACACCTGTAGTCCCAGCTACTCAGGAGGCTGAGGCAGGAGAATCTCTTGAATCTGGGAGGCAGAAGTTGCAGTGAGCGGAGATTGCGCCACTGCGCTCCAGCCTGGCGACAGAGACTCCGTCTCAAAAAAAAAAAAAAAAGAGAGAGAATGTCTTCCTTACCTACTCTCATCTCGCTCCACACAACTGAATCTGATTTAATTATCTGTGCCTCACTTGTTATTAGGAAATCACTGCTCTACAACATAGTGTAGACATTTTAGCTTTTTCTTACCTCTCTGATCTGTAAATTAATACTCAAGGCCTCCATTTAGCACTGTGAGAAATGTAATAGAGACCAGGCACAGTGGTTCATGCCTGTAATCCCAGCACTTTGGGAGGCTGACATGGGAGAATGGTTTGAGACTAGCCTGGGCAACACAGCAAGACTTCATCTCTATTCTATAAATAAATGCACACAAAAAAGAAAACAATTTTTAAAATTAGTGAAATTTTAAGAAGAATTTTTAAAAAGAAATGCCAAAGAATGCAAAAGCACCAGAGGTATTCCTTCCATAAAGGACCCTAAGGCCTGGTAGGTTAAAAATAAATTGTTTGAGACAAAATAAAAAACTATTAAATTGTATTTCAGAAGCTTAGGGGAATAATAATTCTACCAACATGAGCTTGCATACAAAATTTTAAAATACATGAGGATATAGCCACCATGACCAAGCAGAAGCAGATAATGGGATTATTAAATATATAATATAAAATATTTTAAAGTTTGTGTTTAAATATTTAAATGATTATAGTATTTAAAGAATAGAAGAGTTTGAAAACATGAGCAAAGGATAGGTGATGAGCCAAAAAGACTAAGCAGAGTTTTAAAATAAATAAATAAAATGAAATTTTAGATGTCTGAAATTTGCTTCAAATAATTATGGGGGAAACGTGGAGATGAAACATTATTGACCATTATTGATAAATTGTTGGTGCTGATGACAAAGAGAACCAAGTAGAACTAAAAAATAGGAAATATAACTTCTGAAATGGAAAACTAAGAGGATATGTTAAAGAAAAGAAGAGAGAGTTAGTGGCCTGAAAGTGCTAAAGAAGTTGCCCAGAATACAACACAAAAAGATTAAGAGATGAAAAATATGAAAGAAAGATTAAGAGACATGAAGGATAAACTAAGAATGACTAACACACGGAGTGGAGTTCCAGAAGGAAGGATTAGAAGGAATGGGGCAGAGGCCACATCTGAAGGAATAATAGCCAGTAACTTCCAGAATGATGACAACCATGAGTCCTCAGATTTGAGAACATAAGTTCCTACAAGGATACATAAAAAGATAGCTGCGTTCAAAAAACCTTGGGGAAAAAATGTGGGCTGGATTTAAAGGATGCCTTTGTAGAAGAGATGGATGTTTAACTTGCCCTTGATGAGGAGAATTTGGACTGGTATGGGGGAAAGAATAGTAGGAAAATCTTATGTAACAATATAGGTTTGAGTTGGAGAATAAGATATAAGATTAGAAATAGAAGCTATATATGTAAAGACATGGAGGCAGAAAAGTATACAATAGGTTTGGAATAATTAGGAGTCTTTGGAACTTTTTATATGATGTGGATTGACATAGGAAGCAGTTGTGCATAGTTGATAGAGCATAGCAGTTTCTATCATAGTTGTTTTTGTCTTTCCTATAAAGGGAGCAGAGGCAGTAACCCACATCTATAGCAGGCCGACTTTTCCTGCCAAGATCATGGCCTTAATAGTCTCCATTATCTCTGTCTCCTACTGTTGTCTCTGTATTTCTCATCCTCCCATATGATCCCAAAGTTTCCCTCTTTTTGTCACATTTGTTCCAGCTGGAGAATCACTCTCATTGGACTGCTGAACTGAAAACATATATTATTGTTTCTTGAGGTGGTGGTTTTCTGTTTTTCCCCAGTGGATTCCATTGTCCTTCCTTCCCTGTCCTACCCTGTTTTTGGGCTGATGACTACAAAGTTCACTTGAATTACTTGGCTCTGACTTACAATGAGAGACACTGTTAAGAGATCCAAGAGCTAGGAGGAAAGGAAAGTCGCAGTGTGTATTTCCCTTTCTCCTTCCTTGCCTTGCCTTGCTTTTCACAACAGCATTCATCTATGGCCACCAACTCCTGTCGGGTAGTTCCTTTTTTAAGATTTAGTCTAAATCAGATTCTGGCAATGATTTAAGTTCCTCTTGCCCCTTCAGGCTAAGAGTGATAATGGATTTCTACTGTTGCTTGTCCTCAGATTCTTTTCATTCCTTGTTGGTTTAACTTTAATCACATCTCCATAAGTAGCCAATTTAAAAAACTCTCTTTAGTTAAACTCTTTCAGTGTACTATCTGCATGCTGCTAGGACCCTCACTGATAAATTTCCAAAGCCTATGTTGTCCTCAGAGGCACATTGAAGACCAATATCATCGCTCGTGTACACGTTTGCAGAAATCTCATCTTTCCTCAGCTCTTGAATTTTCCAGGTATTGAGTTTATTCTGTTTTTTAGTGGCAACAGAAAGCTTTTTTGACCTTTCTTTTCTTTTTGGCGGTGGAGCCTGGTTCTCATTTTCTTCTTTTGCCCTTTTCATTTCAGCAGTGGAGCCCAGCTCTCCACTTCTATCAAAGTTTCCAGACTTTCTCAATTCAGTGTCCTCAGTGTCCTTGTAATGTTTCTGCAGTGTGTCCCTAGACCTAAAGAAATACCCAACAGTTCCATTTATTAAGAAGTGCTTACTAGTTAGTATTTTAAGTCTTAAAACAGGAGTTTTTGAAAAATACAAATACTGAGAGAAAACGTAATATTTTTATTCCATTAGTACATGATTACAATTAACTAATGGGACATGTCTGCCTGTTGTACACTATATAACTTCCCACATCTTGGGATCATAAGGATAACTGCACTCTCATGTCTTCTTCCACAGTGATTCTTCATAGGAAGTTGCTTTTTATTGTTGAAAACCCACCTTAGCAAAGATGGGTTTATGACATCACCAGAAGGAATATGGAATATTCTAATGTTGAAACTATGAACTACCTTTCGCTAGTAGTTCTCACAGTGTCCCATAGATGTCGCTGTGTTCCCTATGAAAAGTGAAAATACTCTCTGGCACCCCAGGGCTCCTCAGTGAACACTTCGAGAACCTCAGCATTCTTTGTGCTAATTCTTTTATGATAGATGTGTACTGTTCTTTTTTCAATTGCAATACATGTTTTAATTTGTTGCTTTCTACCACACATAAGGCTGATGCAGTGTCTCTTACCTTTTTTGTTTACTTTCAGATCTTAGACTTCAGATAAGACATGCAGATTCTTTAAGTCTACCAAGCAGTTTTCTCTTTGATTCTAGATTCAATTCATAATAAGACAAACTGAAACACAAGTTGGGACAGTACCTATCTCAACTTGTACTGCTCAGCTTTTTTTGGTGGTAGTTTTACTCCGTCTAGAATATCGTTGCTCCTAGAGTTTGAAATTATCTAACAGCATGCCCTTGCCTTGTGTAACTGACCTGCTTCATCTAGAAAATTGCCGGCGTACCAGCAATCACACTTGCATTTTAAATTCTAAACATTGGGCCAGGCACAGTGGCTCACGACTGTAATCTCAGCACTTTGGGGGAGCCAAGACGGGTGGATCACCTGAGGTCAGGAGTTCGAGACCAGCCTAGCCAACATGGCAAAACCCCATCTCTATTAAAAATACAAAAATTAGCCATGTGTGGTGGTGGGTGCCTGTAATCTCAGCTACTCAGGAGGCTGAGGCAGGAGAATCACTTGAACCTGGGAGGCAGAGGTTGCAGTGAGCTGAGATTGCACCATTGCACTCCAGCCTGGGCAATAAGAGTGAAACCCCATCTCAAAAAACAAAAAATAATAAAAAATAAATGGTAAACATTAGTGACATCTTCTTATGCAGAAGCTTCAGTCTATCTGTATGGTACCTTGTTTTTCAGATACCATGTGACTGTTTTACTTATTCAAACCATGCTGGATGTTAGGATTTAAAGTGGGATTGAACACAAGTGGTGGAGTACTAACATAAAATATCTCTAGATCACAGCCCCACCCTCCCACTTATGTTGTGAAGAAAGTAACGCTCACTGGGAACAGTGCAAAGTAACAAAAAATGAAGAGCTTTATATGTAAAATGTTAGAAACAGATAATCGGTGCCGTGAAGAAAAGTCAGCACGGAGACAAAGGATCTCTCAGCAAGGCAATCTTTACTTTCTGCAGAAAGCGTGCCCCTCGCAAATGGAACAATCGCGAGAGCACACCTGAACAAAGGAAAAGCAGACATATATATCCCTTATGCATTTGGGTTGTCCTTACTGCTGTGTCCTGCATCCATTGGCTGGAGCTGGACCTCACAGTCTTAAACTGATTACTGATTTGCTAATAACCTAAAACTTTCCTAAATAGGTAAATGCAAAGGAGAACAAAGAGGAAGAGGAAGTTGCTTATGAAAGGTTTAAGGAAGCAACAACATTTCCAAATAAGGAAGGGGCATAAGCTGTGAGCTAAGACTTGCCTGGGCCTGTCCAGACATGCTTGAGTAAGCCAAAGCAACTAACTGGGCTAAAGCGTAAGAACTGATAGTTGATAGGAGGCTTTAGAGTAAGGAGCTATTATTCCTAGTGTCTTTTATTTTATTTTTAAATCAAGATGAGCTTTGAAGAGGAACTTTTCTACTTTCTACATAAAACTTTAATGTAGAGTATAGAATTCTAGGAAAGCTAGCTTAAGGTCTGTGAGGTGACTTATCCCAAATCTCAGATCTGTAACATACTTTATAAATTTTAATTTTTTTTTTTTTTTGAGACAGGGTCTCGCTCTGTTGCCCAGGCTGGAGTGTAGTGGCATGATCTTGGCTCACTGCAACCTCCACCTCCTGGGTTTAAGTGATTCTCATGCCTTAGCCTCCCAAGTAGCTGGGACCACAGGTGCGTGCACCACGCCCGGCTAACTTTTGTATTTTTAGTAGAAATGGGGTTTCACCATGTTGGCCGTTGCTAGTCTCGAACTCCTGACCTCAAGTGATTCACCCACGTCAACGTCCCAAAGTGCTGGGATTACAGGCATGAGCCACCTTGCCCAGCCTATAATGTACTTTAGTTTGAAGCATGGAATGAAGAGACAGAGGAAAGAGAAATTAGTCAATATGTTAGTTTTACCAGACTGGCTGGAATAAATAGCAAATGAGGTGATTGGACCTTCTCTTATTCACAATAAGACAAAATCTTACCATTTTAGCCAGTGTAAAAGTGTAATAAGAACTTTTAACAAGTATTAATTCTGTCTCTAGCGTATGTGCATCTTGCATCTTCCTGATGCATAACAAGTCTTCCTTGTAACAGTGGAAGAAAGCAGGAGAAAGTAGACCTCTCTTCCTCCAATCTAAAAAAATGGAGTCTAAATTACCAATCCTGACATGATTCTTCCTCCAGTTTATTTCACAAAATAACTGCTTCCAAAATACTTAACACTTTTAACTTCAATAGAATATTATAGCCTTAGTACCCCATCCCTTCTATATGCCATTTGCTAGTCTTAATTATATTCTCCTCATACTTCTTTCATGACAGTTCTCTCCCATATTAATTATGAGTCAGAGAGAAGAAATGAGGTGGAAGGCCCTGAGATCACATTCTCACTGCCATAGACGTATTTTTCTAATTCTTTTCCTGTTTGACTGTGAAACCCTCTGGCACATTGTATTTTGATTCTTTTCATGTTGCATTTTTTATAAGTGTTTTTCGTGTTCATTAACATCAACTAGATATATAATTTAAGGTCAATAGATTTTTTTTTACTGTTTATACCAAAACGTTACATAATGAAATGCATAAGTTTATAAATTGAAATTTGTTATATAAAATAAGTAATTTATTGCTTTGTAGAGCCTTAAAAGGAGAAACATTTATCTCTTTTTGTGGATGGTGTACAGAAGCCTGAAAAACAAAATAATAGAAAAGTCCAGTACTTTATGATTAAAATGTATATACGTTAAAACATATAGGTAGAGGTCAGTATATGGTTTGGCCACAGCTTAGGAACTATGTTCTACAGGTGCATTTAAACACTGGTTATTAAAACCTTAAATATATTTCGCCACATAAGCATTATTTTCAGTGTCTACTGTGTATTCTCTCATACGGCTTTGGTATAATTAACTTGTCCCTGGTTTTTGAACATTCAAATTCTTGCTAATTTGCTTTTTAAATTATGTTTTATTGTTATAATAAATGAATATCTTTCTGTATAAAGCTTGGTCTGAATTTCCCCTTTCTTCCTTTCGTACGCAGAATGGGTCTTGCTACCCAGTGGTATTCTTTTGAAAATTAAATGACCTAATATTCTTAAAGTGCTTATTAGCACAATATGTGGCACATTGTGAGTACAGAATAAATGCTATTTGCAGAACTTTTTCTGGCTTAGCAATGAGACAAATAAATACAAAGGTTTCAAATGAGTTATTTGAAGCAAGCATTGGGGTAGTAACATAGCACATGATGGCAAATAGAGGAGGGAAATCTGAAAGATTGAAGCTCTAAGAGAAGGAGTTTCGGTGGTTATTCATCTGTATTGGTTGTTCCCAGTTGTGTATTCTTTAAGTATACTTTAGGAATACCTTAGCTGGAAAATGTCACAATGTAAGTTTTGTTTCTTTGAATTAAAATGTGTAAGTTTGATAAAGTACTATACAGTTGAGAAATGTTACAAACCTCTTTAAAACAGTGTGACCTTTGTGTGTGTAATTTTTGTTTATTGTATTTGTATTTCATATTTTTTGTGATATTTTATTCAAGTGTGTGTCCAATGATGTCTTTTCTGTTTTCTTTATTATTTTTTTTAATTATCCTAGTCACGTGAACTGGAAATTTCAGTTTATTGGCGTGATTGGCGGTCTCTGTGTGCTGTAAAATTTCTGAGGTTAGAAGATTTTTTAGACAACCAACGGCATGGCATGTGTCTCTATTTGGAACCACAGGGTACTTTATTTGCAGAGGTAATAAATGTATTTTATTAAATGTGCATAACTACAATTGAAATTACATATGTAGGCAGCATAATATAGAAGTAGAAAGAGTGTTAGGCTGAAAGACAGATGACTTGAGTTCTTGGCTGAGCTATGCCACTGAATAGGTATGTGACTTTGAGACAAATCAATTATTCTTCCTATGTCTGTTTTCTCATGTAGAAAATGAGGGGCTGGACTAAACTGTAACTAAGATTCTCTTAAGCTTTAAAATTTTATAAATTTAGTAGATTTCATGAACCATGCTATTTTCATGTCAACTTGAATTTTCTTCACTGCAGGTTACCTTTTTTAATCCAGTTATTGAAAGAAGACCAAAACTTCAAAGACAAAAGAAAATTTTTTCAAAGCAACAAGGTAATTACTAACAATCAAATGCATAGCATTTTGATATTTTCTTAAACAATCTAATTACCATTTAAAAAGTAATAGCCATCTGTGTGGGTTTTTTTGTTGTTGTTTATTCATTTATTTCTAACTTCTTATTAAGGAATATTTTAAATGTATCCATAAGTGGAGAGACTAGTGAAATGTACAGTCACCCGGCTTCAACAATAATCAACTCATGGCCAATTTTATTTTATCCATATGCCATCCTCTCACTACTTTCTCAAATTTGAAGCAAACCCAGACATCATATTGATGTATTCATAATTATTATAATTTATATCTAAAAGATAAGATTTATTTTTAAAACCTTACTACTAGACTTAAAGAGAAAAAAACAATTTCTTACCTATTTATTTTTAAAACTACGTATGCTATTTTGCATTAGCCTTTACTAGCAAATAGTAAAAAACTAGTTTTTTTAAGTGACAAATTTTGTTTGTTCTTCGTAGATTATAAACTAATGGATAAGAATTTTTAAATTATGACTTTTGGTTATACATAAAGAAATTACTTGCTGTTTTTGTTTTTTTCAACATCTACAGGCAAAACATTTCTCAGAGCTCCTCAAATGAATATTAATATTGCCACTTGGGGAAGGCTAGTAAGAAGAGCTATTCCTACAGTAAATCATTCTGGCACCTTCAGCCCTCAAGCTCCTGTGCCTACTACAGTGCCAGTGGTTGATGTACGCATCCCTCAACTAGCACCTCCAGCTAGGTATGTGTCTGAGATTTTAAGCATCTCTTATACAAAGTTATTGGGACATTCTTACGTACTGATTATAGCAGGTGTACTGAGTCTTGCTTTTTTCCCAAGTAGTATTTTGAAAGTAGTGTTCTGTTTACTTAAAAAGTAAATTGTTTGCTTTAATTTTAAAGCTGTTTAAAATACAGACTTTCTATTACTGTTTTGGTGAGTTACTTTATCTTCTATAAGTGATTCTACAGTAACCAAATTGGACTTTGATCTTGAGCCTGAACCTCCTCCAGCCCCACCACGAGCTTCTTCTCTTGGAGAAATAGATGAATCTTCTGAATTAAGAGTTTTGGATATACCAGGACAGGCAAGCCATTTTAAACCTTGCATAATTCCTCTTCACTGAATGAATTAGCAATAAAAGCATCATAGTGAATAAGGCGTGTCTTTCCATTTAAAATTGCCACTGAACTGTGAATTTATGGTTTTTTGTTTGTTTTTTGTTTTTGTTTTTGTTTTTTGAGACAGAGTTTCACTCTTGTTACCCAGGCTGGAGTGCAATGGCATGATCTCGGCTCACTGCAACCTCCGCCTCCCGGATTCAAGCGATTCTCCTGCAAGCCATTCTCCTATCTCAGCCTCCTGAATAACTGGGGTTACAGGCACATGCCACCATGCCTGGCTAATTTTTGTATTTTCAGTAGAGATGGGATTTCATTATATTGGTCAGGCTGGTCTTAAACTCCTGACCTCGGGTGATCAGCCCGCCTCGGCCTTCCAAAGTGCTGGGATTACAGGCATGAGCCACTGCACCCAGCCGAATTTATGTTTCTTATGGTCTAGTCTCAGCTAAATTAGACTGAGTTGGTAGGAGACAACCAACTTCTTAATGTTGGCATGAAATTGTCATTAGCCTCTGGATGCTCATGGTCCAGAAGAGATAGAATAGGCTGCTTAAACTAGAGGTAATATAGGAGTGTGGTTGATACTACATGACATACTGCCTGAAATACTATTCTTCTTCTAACTTGATTAACATACATAATAATGTGTTAGTTTTTCATTGTTTTGGTTTTGTTTTGTTTTGAGACGGAGTTTTGCTCTTGTTGCCCAGGCTGGAGTGCAATGGCATGATCTTGGCTCACTGCAACCTCCGCCTCCTGGGTTCAAGTGATTCCACTGCCTCAGCCTCCCTAGTAGCTGGGATTACAGGCATGCACCACCACGCCCACTAGTTTTGTATTTTTAGTAGAGATAGGGTTTCTCCATGTTGGTCAGGCTGCTCTTGAACTCCTGATCTCAGGTGAGCCGCCCGCCTCGGCCTACCAAAGTGCTGGGATTACAGGCATGAGCCACCGTGCTCAGCCCAGTTTTTCATATTTTTTAGATAAGTTTAATATAAAAGCGATGGCTCCAGCTACTCGGGAGGCTGAGGTAGGAGGATTGCTTGTGGCTGGGAATTCAAGACCTCTCTAGGCAACATAGTGAGACCCACCTCTAAAAAAAGAAAAAAAAATTTTTTTAAAGAATGAGTATCTGAATTTTACTTTTCACTCCAACATTTATATTGACTTTTGAAATGTTTTTCCTTAATTTTATCATTATCAAATAAGTTGTTTTCTGGGTATTTCTATGGATTCACGTGTATTTAATATTTTACAGGATTCAGAGACTGTTTTTGATATTCAGAATGACAGAAATAGTATACTTCCAAAATCTCAATCTGAATACAAGCCTGATACTCCTCAGTCAGGCCTAGAATATAGTGGTATTCAAGAACTTGAGGACAGAAGGTAAAGAATATATACCAAATTTTGCGACTACATGTTTGGTACCATACTTTATTGTCTTATTATTAATTGAAATTTCTCTTTTCAGATCTCAGCAAAGGTTTCAGTTTAATCTACAAGATTTCAGGTGTTGTGCTGTCTTGGGAAGAGGACATTTTGGAAAGGTAATCTTTTTGGAATTTTTTGGAATATCTACAACATTAATAACTCAAGTGGAAAATAATTATTTTAATTTTATTTCAGGTGCTTTTAGCTGAATATAAAAACACAAATGAGATGTTTGCTATAAAAGCCTTAAAGAAAGGAGATATTGTGGCTCGAGATGAAGTAGACAGGTTAGTTTTTAAAAATGAAATTGTTTATTTTTCTGAATTTGTAAGTTAAGAGAAATGATATATGTATTACAACAGCAAAACTTTATGATTTTACAGTAATATGTGAAGAAATTAAATATAATGTATCTATATTTGACATAAGGTAGACATTAGTTTTTCTTTTTTGCCCCTTTTTACCCTTCTTGTGACAATTAACTGGTTAATGGATACCAAAAAAAGATAGTGAAATGTTTGAACTAATTTTGTTAAGTTTTTTATATATGGAAATATTAAAGTGTTTATATGGAATAGAAACTGTTATTCATCTGTGGTTTTGTGGGGCTATATTTCATTCTGTCTTAATGGAAATGACAAAGTCATTTACAAATAATCTACAGTTAATGGAATGGTTTAAAGTATTTTACAAAGCAGAATATGTTATCTTATTTTTTTCCTTTTATTTTTTTTAAAAACATGTTTTTTGACCCTAACGTCTGGGTCTAATAAAGTAAGTTGTGGTATCTTATACAATTGTTTTTTTATTTTTTGTTTATTTATTTATTTATTTTTTGAGACAGAGTCTCACTGTCTTCCAGGCTGGAGTGCAGTGGTGCCATCTCGGCTCACTGCAACCTCCACCTCCTGGGTTCAAGCAATTCTCCTGCCTCAGTCTCCTGAGTAGCTGGGACTACAGACGCATGCCACCACGTCCAGCTTTTTTTTGTATTTTTAGTAGAAATGGGGTTTCACCATGTTAGCCAGGATGGTCTCGATCTCCTGACCTCATGATCCGCCAGCCTTGGCCTCCCAAAGTGCTGGGATTACAGGTGTGAGCCACCGTGCCCGGCCCCACAATTATTAAAATGCAAGGATTTGGTGGGGGTTAAGATTGTAATTCACTTAGAGAATATACTTTAAAAAATGACTATCTTAATACAGAATAATTAAATATGGACATTATTGTATAAAAATGGCATATTTATCACAGAAAGAGGCTTTCAATGGACATTTTTCTTACACCACTGTAGGAGGCATATGTTAATATTAATGGTAGACAGCTCTGTACAATGAAGAGAGCCCTGGACTATGACTGAGAAGGCTGACTTTTCTCGTCCTCATTGCTCCTCCTTAGTAAGGATTGACCCTAGGGCATTTCACTGAACATCTTTAAGCCCCAGTTAACTCATATATTTAAAAATATATTTGTTTTGGTAATACTTGCCTTAATGAGTTGTCTTGCTATGTAGATATGCCAAATTGCAACTTTTAATGTTTTTTTCCACCATATGGGTAGTTCTTAGAATAAGGACAGGCCTCAAAAGGTTGAGATTTATTTTTTTATGTTATATAAACTTTTCCTTTTGGATTTTCCTATTTATTTTTCACCTCTGTTTCTTTTTCACTGTTTCTCATACACCTCAATCACATCAAAATAAATGCTTTCTTGATATCTAATACTAAAGAGCTTGCTGGATATTTATAAAATATTCTGAGTACCATATTACATGTTTAGAATTATTTTTATGTTATACAAGCAGATAATTAAAGCAAGTCTTTGATCCCACCAAAGCAAGTCTTTGATTCTAAGTCTGTTTATAATTGGAATAATAGAAGGGTCAAATGTTTTCCTTTCCTGAAGGAATATTTGCTTTTCTCCAGATTCTTAAATGGTAAATTCATTTATTTTCTAAAATAATAGGAAACTGTTTACTACTTCTATTAATCTTGATTTACGTGGGCTTCTGCTACCTTGTTACGTCTTTGTGCTGAATCTTTGTAGGAAAATGCTTTCTAATGAAATCTATAGAAAGTTTGGATCACAGGATGATGCTGTAGCCAGAATCTAGGCCATTACCTCTACTGAAAATTAATCCAGTCTTGTGTAGAGACAGGGTCTCACTGTGTCACCCACACTGGAGTGCAGTAGCATGATCCTAGTTCACTGCAGCCTTGAATTCCTGGGCTCAAGCCATCCTCCTGCCTCAGCTTCCCATTGGGACCACAGGTGCATACAACTGATCCATCTACATTTCTTTCCCCCATAGTGTCAGGGTCTTGGTATGTTGTCCAGGCTGGTCTCAAACTCCTGGCTTCAAGCGATCCTCCTTGGCCTCCCGAAGTGTTGTGATTATAGGTGTAAGCCACCACACCCAGTCTTAACTTAAATCTCCACTTTTCAGTAACATGAAAATTTAAAAATCTCAAGTAGAACTGGTATAAAAAGAGAGAAAAGAAAAATCCAAGAGTGAGAAATAAAACACACTTTTAGAGAAATTTGAGGAATGAAGGTAAGAAAAAGGAGTACTTTTAAATTTCTAGCATACCTGAAAGAAGGCAAGAAAAAAATTTATAAGTTTTTTTTTAAGACTAGCTTTTTTTTTTTGAGACGGAGTTTTGCTCTTGTTGACCAAACTGGAGTGCAATGGCATGAATTTGGCTCACTGCAACCTCTCCCTTTCAGGTTCAAGTGATTCTTTTGCCTCAGCCTCCCTAGTAGCTGGGATTACAGGCTTGCACCACCATGCCCTGCTAATTTTTTGTATTTTTAGTAGAAATGGGGTTTCACCATGTTAGCCAGGCTGGTCTCAAACTCCTGAGCTCAGGTGATCTGCCCGCCTCAGCCTCCCAAGGTGCTGGGGTTACAGGCATGAGCCACCACACCCGGCCAAGACTAGCATATTTTTAAAAGTAATGTATTTCATTACTTGCAAGTATAAATAGTAAATAACTCAAGCTAAACTTATTATAACTGAGCAGAATTTTAAATATTTACTTTCCACTTCCTAGCTCATCTTTTTAAGCCATAGAGTTTGGTGTTATTGTTTATTTTTTAATAGCTGTTCCTAGTATACTTTATCTATATATTTTTTGAGACAGAGTCTCACTCTATTGTCCAGGCTGGAGTGCAGTGGAGTGATCTCGGCTCACTACAACCTCCGCCTCCCGGGTTCAAGCGATTCTCCTTCCTTAGCCTCCCAAGTAGCCAGGATTACAGGTGTGCACCACCATGCCCAGTTCATTTTTGTATTTTTAGTACAGACAGGGTTTCACCATGTTGACCAGGCTGGTCTCAAACTCCTGACCTCAGGTGATCCACCCGCCTCAGCCTCCCAAAGTGCTGGGATTACAGGCATGAGCCACTGTGCCTGGCCTACTTTATGATTCTTAATGACAGTTCTCATAGTCTAAATTTTCTTTCTATAGTCTGTATTATATTATTTTACTTTGAAATTACCTTTTTTAATAAATCATAGAAAATTTCAAATCAACCTCTTTTTAAGTGAACACAAATTATGGATTCTAAAATAAAGTGTTAGATAATTTATGAACAAAGATCATATTCTGTGTACCTACCATTAGTAAAACACTCTAAGTCCCATTTGCCCTTCAGTTGCTGAGTAAGGATATTATGTTTATGTTACTGCAATGCCTCCTCACTCAGCTTCCTTTTCTTACCAATTTATATTTCAACACAACAGAATAGGGTTGGAAGTATATTTTTGTGTTTGTAGAAGAAAGCACAGCTAACCAGCTTATGTAGGATTCAATTCTAAGACCTTGGTTTTATTAATGATGTTTTCCCCTGACTAAAATAACTATTTATATAAGTTTTCAGGTTTCTAACTTATCTGAAAATGTAATGAACTTTGAAGGAAGTACACGAAACATGTTAGGATAGAACTAGTAACTTAGAGAAACGAGACATTAATACATTATGTAATAAAGGTGGCTAGATAGAGTTGAGGTTAAAATAAGCAATACAAACAATAGCAGTTCTTAGGAGGAAATCAGTGTACTGGTGTACTACTACACCATAGTACATATAGTGTACTACTCCCCAGGTGTGCAACTCTTCTAGTCTTCCCTATTTTATTAAACAGCAATACCAGTTGTTCAAGCCAGAACACAGTCATTCTTGGTGCTCTTTTCCCCTTACCTACAACACTCAAACTATTAGCAAGTCTGGTCAACTTCACCTCTAGGATATATCCCAAACCATACAAAGCATAAAACCAATAGTAAATCTCTATTGTATTTACTCTTAAATTTTCATTCCACATCTATAATCTGATGAAATATCAACTGACATTTGTGTTGCACTTTCACTTTGACCCCTTTATTTGATTCCTGTCATCATGATCAGAAGTATTTAGAGCAAGATTTAGGTAGAGTCTTATAAAAGAGGTTGGATTTTTGCTGGGTTTTGGTAGACAGAAGTTATTTGGGAATAAGGAGAGAAGAGTGATGACAATTTAGAGGGAAATGTTCTGGACAGGATGAATAAGGCTTAAAGTTTTAAATAAAGTTGGATTGTTGCATGGACTTTTAGGGACAATACACAGTTTAGATAATGTGGGACAAGTTGAAGATTCGTATGTAATAGCTTTTTTGTGTGCTATAAAATGCATAAAATTAAAATTATTTTGACAATTTGGATCTATAAAAGAGCCTTGCTCCTTTATCTCGCTGTCCTAAGACATCTGTGCAGATACCTCATCATTATTGTAATTCAGATAATTCCTGTGAATGGCATTGAAATCATTTCAAGGGGTAGTCCAGTCAATGGGTCTCAAATGTTTTATACCACTTATATGTTCCACCCAGTTCTAACCTAACACCTGTTCAGTTGAGAACAGTTGTTTCATTCATAAATTCACCCATAATGAATTAGTGAGTCACCCATAAATAAAAACTATGGACAGGGGCTGGTATGGTGGTTCATACCTGTAATCTCAGTACTTTGGGAGGCCAAGGCAGGAGGATTGCTTGAGACCAGAAGTTCAAGACAAGCCTGGGCAACATAGTGAGACCCTGTTCCTATCAAAAAAATAAAAGCCAGGCATGGTAGTATGTTCCTGTAGTACCAGCTACTCAGGAAGCTGAGGCAGGAGGTTCACTTGAGCCTAGGAGTTCAAGGTTACAGGGAGCCATGATGATATCACTGCACTCCAGCTCCTGAAAGACAGAGCAAGATCCTGTCTCAAAAAAACACACAACTATAGACAATGAAGAGAACATATTTGTCATCTACTTAAGCCCAAAACATCTTTGTTTTGTCTTATTTCATCTGATTATTTTATCTACATTTAGCCAAAATTCAGATTGGCTTAATAAAGCAGATGTTTTAGAATACATCTTACTGATCTTGTCTAAAGCAATTTTTAGTACATTATTTTCTAGTAAATTTAAATGATGACAAAAATAAAAACTGTTAACTTTTTAATCTTCTATGAGTTTATTTATAATAGTGCCTTAATCTGTAGTAACATTTAGAAAGTTTGTCAGGTATCCTCTTTATTTTCTAGTCTTTTAAATTAAAATTTTATGCAGCATATCTGTACTGTTCAACTTCATATCAATTTTATATGATAAAAAATTGAATACTATAGCTTGTGAATTATAGATACTGTCTTTGAAATTACCTTCACCACAAACTTTTAAATTTTTCAAAGTACGCTTTAAATTGCTAAATTCTCTGACCAATTCCTGAAGAATTTTCATATTTCACCCTTAATTAAGCCTTTTAAAAAATCAACTGTAACCACTAACCATGTATGTGCTATAGACTATCAATGTGAATGCTATAATCTTTTAAAGTTTCTATTAATATATTTCAACTGAAGTTATTTATTTTAGGTAGGTCAGTTTTCATAGCACATATAGCAAAACTAAGACACATGTTAGGATTTTTAAGTTATAGTTAAAATTTTGCTTATTTTTAAGTTTAGTAATTTATAAAGAATGTTATTTCCAACTAGAATTATTTTTAATCTGCTTATTTTAAAATATTTTCTTTTACAGCCTGATGTGTGAAAAAAGAATTTTTGAAACTGTGAATAGTGTAAGGCATCCCTTTTTGGTGAACCTTTTTGCATGTTTCCAAACCAAAGAGCATGTTTGCTTTGTAATGGAATATGCTGCCGGTGGGGACCTAATGATGCACATTCATACTGATGTCTTTTCTGAACCAAGAGCTGTGTGAGTATGCTTTAGACATTTGTCTGAGTTTTTCCATGACTGATTTCATTCTGGGAAGGAAAAGAGATTCTTTGAATTTTAGATTTTTTTTCCTAACAGAAAATAGATCTCTGCAAGAAATACTAGAACTCCTTACTTACTTTTTTGCCATATACTTTTTGTATGTATTCTGTTGTCTGTGTTGAAAATGTCATGGATTGCCCAAAACCACAATTGATACTTTAGATAAGCAATTTAGATTCATTTTAGTAAAATTTCTTTTTTTGCTATTAGATTTTCTCACTAGAGAATGCCATCCAGAATTACAGCTTTAAAGACAGATTATACTCAAAATGCACTGTTAAGTTTTTGAAAAGAAAGTACAGAAGAGTCTGTATCATATATTTATATAAAATATTTGTATTTGCCTTTCTAAAGCATAATTTAAAAGAATATCAACTATTTGCGTCCTTGTGCGTAAAATATCTCTGAACAAATGTAAAAGAAACTGGTATGTGTGTTGCCTCCAGACAAAGAGATAAAAAGCAGACTTTTCATTGTAAACTCTTTTTGTAGTTTTTGAATTCAAGGTTTGGCTTATTCAAATAAATAAGAATAATAGTAAACACTTGAAATTATATATGCATGTGTGTATATTTTCCCTGTTAGTATCTTAATTTTGTAGCTGTTAAATGGTGGAGCTAGGATTTGAACCTAGGAAAGTGATATTAATACCTACACCCTGCATGCTGGTGTTTACCAAATTTGTGTTTCCAGCCCCGTCCTCTTACCTAAACTTCCAACTCTAATAATATTCAGTGGTCAGCTAGTTTTCCATTTGTGTGGCTAAATATCTTATTTAACAACTTAAACTGAACTGATTTTTTCCATTTTTCTACCTACCTCATCTACTACTCCCCAGGCCTGCTACTCTTAGTCTTCCCTATTTTATTAAACAGCAATACCAGGTTCAAGCCAGAACACAAAAAGTCATTCTTGATGCTCTTTTTCCTTTAACTTCAACACTCAAACTATTAGCAAGTCCAGTCAACTCCACCTGTAGAATATATCCCAAGTCATAGGAAGCATAAACCCAGTAGTAAATCTCTATTGTATTTACTCTTTAGTTTTCATTCCACATCTATAATCTGATGAAATAGCAACTGACATTTGTGTTGTACTTTCTCTTTGATTCCTCCATTTGATTCTTGTCATAACCATTAGAGGTATTTAGAGCAGAGAATTGTAATACTGTCATAACCATCAAGTTTCAGATGAGGGACATAGGGGTTAATTCTAATGGGTACTGAAGCATTTTAAAAGGAGGGAAAAGCCAGAAAGTAGTAGAAGGCTACGAATAATTCATTCCCTCAATATTTAAGGCAGAGCATTACAATTATGCCTAACCTTATGCTGCCATGGGAATTTGTTTGGTTTTATTTTTTATGCTTGTTTTTGTTTTTAAAATAATACATAAATGTAGTTTGCCTTAAGAAACTGTTATTTTTGCTGAGAATATAAATTATATACAAATAAAACCATAAAGTCCAGTGAAAATACAAGAATACAATGCTGCATTACAGAACTCCAAATCTGAAAGTACCTCCCTTTATCATTCAGTTCTCAGATCAAAGGTCATTTCTTTAAAGGTAATTTTCTGAGTTCCCTAGCTAAAATATCACATCACTAACCAATTCAGTTCACTCTATTTTCTGTATTATCTTTTTCATATCATTTTATTTCTACATGAAATCATCTGATTTATTTTTAAAATTTTTATTGTCTATCTTATTTCACTTAAAAGAGAGGAGCAAGAACCATATCTGTCCTGTTTATTAGTGAAACACCTAAAAGAATACCTGGAACATATTAGGCAATCAGTGAATTTTTATTGATTGAAACCATAGAATCAAAATAGCTTGATTTCTAGCTTTGTTGTTTCATAGTCTAACTTTAGACAAATTATGTTTTCTGAGCTTCATTATCTGCTCTGTAAAATATCTTAAGGCTTGATTGAAGATTAAATAAGCTAATAAATGAAAATAACTGACACAATACCGGACAAACAGGAGCATTCAATAAAATATGTATTTTAGATGGTATACGCAATTAATCAAGGCAGTCTGTTTACAAAGAAAGAAATCAGCGGGGAGCGGTGGCTCCATGCCTATAATCCCAGCACTTTGGGAGGCAGAGGCAGGCAGATCACTTAAGCTCAGGAGTTCTAGACCAGCCTGGCCAACATGGTGAAACCCTGTCTATACTAAAAATACAAAAATTAGCTGGGCATGGTGGCAGGCGCCTGTAATCCCAGCTATTTGGGAAGCTGAGGCAGGAGAACCACTTGAACCCCAGAGGCAGAGGTTGCAGTGAGCCAAGATCACGTCACTGCACTCCACCCTGGGCGACAGAGTGAGACCCCCCCAAATTAAAAAAAAGAGAGAAATCAAGGTATTTTTATAATTGTTACAGTATTGTTTTGCCACAAAAATAAGTTTGCTAAGAAAATTATGTTTAACTATCTTAAGCAATTTTGTTTGTTTGTTTGTTTTGAGACAGAGTCTTGCTCCGTCTCCCAGGCTGGAGTGCAGTGGCACCGTCTTGGCTCACTACAACCTCTGCCACACAGGTTCAAGAGATTATCCTGCCTCAGCCTCCCAAATAGCTGGGACTACAGGCGCGTGCCACCATGCCTGGCTAATTTTTGTATTTTTAGTAGAGACGGGGTTTCACTCTATTGGCCAGGCTGGTCTCAAACTCCTGACCTCAGGTGATCTGCCTGCCTCAGCTTCCCAGAGTGCTGGGATTACAGGCATGAGCCACCACACCTGGCCATCTTAAGCAATTTTAAGCTCACGTTTATTTTAATAAACTTCAGTAGATCCTTAAAACTTCTGGTAAGTTGTTTAATTTTTAATGTATAATTAAGTAAGTATTTCTAAGTAGTTGCATTTTATTTTTGTTTTTTATTTCTGTGTTGGGAAGTCTAAGCCCTGATGAAACTGCCTGGTGGACCCTGACCACCACCCCTGCAGCACAAGCCCCGCGTTTAAAAATTATAGACCCGTGCTCACTTCAGCAGCACATACACTAAAATTGGAACCTTATAGAGAAGATTAGCATGACCCCTGTGCGAGGATGACACACAAATTCGTGAAGCATTCCATATTTTTCTGAAATTGAGGCAGTAATTAATAGCCTACCAACCAAAAAAAGCCCAGGACCAGATGGATTCACAGCCAAATTCTACCACAGGTACAAAGAGGAGCTGGTACCATTCCTTCTGAAACTATTCCAAACAATAGAAAAAGAGGGGCTCCTCTCTAACTCACTTTATGAGGCCAGCATCATCCTGATACCAAAACCTGGCAGAGACACCACAAAAAAAGAAAATTTCAGGCCAATATCCCTGATGAACATCGATGCAAAAATCTTCAGTAAAACACTGGCAAACCAAATCCAGCAGCACATCAAAAAGCTTATCCACCACGATCAAGTCGGCTTCATCCCTGGGATGCAAGGCTGGTTCAACACACACAAATCAATAAACGTAATCCATCACATAAACAGAACCAATGACAAAAACTACATGATTATCTCAATAGATGCAAAAAAGGCCTTCGACAGGCGGAGGTGGCAGTGAGCGGAGATCACGCCACTGCACTCCAGCCTGGCGACAGAGCAAGACTCTGTCTCAAAAAAAAAAAAAAAAAGGCCGGGTGAGGTGGCTCATGCCTGTAATCCCAGCACTTTAGGAGGCCGAGGTGGTTGGAGCACCAGGTCAGGATATCGAGACCAGCCTGGCCAACATGGTGAAACCCCATCTCTACTAAAAACACAAAAAAATTAGCTGGGTGTGGCGGTGTAGGCCTGTAGTCTCGGCTGCTCAGGAGGCAGGAGGCAGGAGAATCGCTTGAACCCTGGAGGCAGAGGTTGCAGTAAGCCGAGATCGCGCCACAGCACTCCAGTCTGGGCGACAAAGCGAGACTCCGTCTCAAAAAAAAAAAAAAGAAAAGAAAAGGCCTTCGATAAAATTCAACACTGCTTCATGCTAAAAACTCAATAAACTAGGTGTTGATGGGACGTATCTCAAAATAATAAGAGCTATTTATGACAAACCCACAGCCAATATTCAACATAGTATTGGAAGTTCTGGCCAGGGCAATCAGGCAAGAGAAAGAAAGAAAGTTTATTAAAATAGGAAGAAAGGAAGTCAAATTGTCTCTGTTTGGAGATGACATGATTATATATTTAGAAAACCCCATCATCTCAGCGCAAAATCTCCTTAAGCTGATAAGCAACTTCAGCAAAGTCTCAGGATACAAATCAATGTGCAAAAATCACAAGCATAATACACTGATAATAGAGAACTGAATCATGAATTAACTCCCATTCACAGTTGCTACAAAGAGAATAAAATACCTAGGAATACAGCTTACAAGGGATGTGAAGGACCTCTTCAAGGAGAACTACAAATCACTGCCCAAGGAAATAAGAGAGGACACAAACAAATGGAAAAACATTCCATGCTCATGGATAGGAAGAATCAATATCTTGAAAATGGCCATACTGCCCAAAGTAATTTATAGATTCAATGCTATCCCCATTAAGCTACCATTGACTTTCTTCACAGAATTAGAAAAAACTGCTTTAGGCTGGGTGTGGTGGCTCACGCCTGTAATCCCAGCACTTTGGGAGGTTGAGGCGGGTGGGTCATTTGAGGTCAGGAGTTTGAGACTAGCCTGGCCAACATGGTGAAACCCCGTCTCTACTAAAAATACAAAAATTAGATAGGCATGGTGGTACACGCCTGTAATCCCAGCTACTCGGGAGACTGAGTCAGGAGAATTGCTTGAACCTGGGAGGTGGAGGTTGCAGTAAGCAAAGACTGTGCCACTGCACTCCAGCCTGGGCAACAGAGTGAGACTCCTTCTCAAAAAAAAAAAAAAAAGAAAAAGAAGAAACTACTTTAAATTTCACATGGAACCAAAAGAGCCCGTATAGCCAAGACAACGCTAAGCAAAAAGAGCAAATTTGGAGGCATCACGCTACCTGATTTCAAACTATACTACAAGACTGCAGCAACCAAAACACCATGGTACTGGTACCAAAACATGTATATAGACCAATGGAACAGAACAGAGGCCTCAGAAATAATGCCACACATCTACAACCATCTCATCTTTTGAGAAACCTGACAAAAACAAGTAATGGGGAAAGAATTCCCTATTTAATAAATGGTGTTGGGAAAACTGGCTAGCCATATGCGGGGAACTGAAACTGAACCCCTTCCTTACACCTTATATAAAAGTTAACTCAAGATGGATTAAAGACTTGAACATAAGACTCAAAACCATAAAAACCCTAGAAGAAAACCTAGGCAGTACCATTCAGGACACAGGCATGGGCAAAGACTTCATGACTAAAACACCAAAAGCAGTGGCAACCAAAGCCAAAATTAACAAATGGGATCTGATTAAAGAGCTTCTGCACAGCAAAAGAAACTGTCGTCAGAGTGAACAGGCAACCTACAGAATGGGAGAAGATTTTTGCAATCTGTCCATCTGACAAAGGGCTAATATCCAGAATCTACAAGGAACTGAAACAAATTTACAAGAAAAAAAACAGCCCCATCAAAAAGTAGGTGAAGGATATGAACAGACACTTCTCAAGACATTTATCCAAAAAACATATGAAAAAAAGCTCATCATCACTGGTCATTAGAGAAATGCAAATCAAAACTACAATGAGATACCATCTCACGCCAGTTAGAATGGCGATCATTAAAAAGTCAGGAAACAACAGATGCTGGAGAGGATATGGAGAAATAGGAATGTTTTTACACTGTTGGTGGGAGTGTAAATTAGTTCAGCCATTGTGGAAGACAGTGTGGTGATTCCTCAAGGATCTAGAACTAGAAATATTATTTGACCCAGCCATCCCATTACTGGGTATATACCCAAAGGATTATAAATTCTGTAAAGACACATGCACACGTATGTTTATTGGAGCACTGTTCACAATAGCAAAGACTTGGAACCAACCCAAAGGCCCATCAATGATAGACTGCATAAAGAAAATGTGGCACATATACACCATGAAATACTATACAGCCATAAAAAATGATGAGTTCATGTCCTTTGCAGGACATGGATGAAGCTGGAAACCATCATTCTTAGCAAACAAACACAGAAACAGAAAACCAAACACTGAATGTTCTCATAAGTGGGAGTTGAACAATGAGAACACCTGGACACAGGGAGGGGAACATCACACACCGGGGGTCGGGGGCTAGGGGAGGGATAGCATTAGGAGAAATACCTAATGTAGATGACGGGTTGATGGGTGCAGCAAATCACCATGACACGTGAATACCTATGTAACAAACCTGTACATTCTGCACATGTATCCCAGAACTTAAAAGTATAATTTAAAAGTAAATAAATCAAACAAATCTTTTCAGAAACCTATATATATATATATATATATATATATATATATATATATATATATATATATATAAATAGAAAAAAATAAAAATGCGAGGCACCATGGCTCATGCCTGTAATCCCAGCACTTTGGGAGGCCGAGGCGGGCAGATCACCTGAGGTCGGAAGTTCGAGACCAGCCTGACCACATGGAGAAACCCCGTCTCCACTAAAAATACAAAATTAGCTGGGCGTGGTGGCACATGCCTATAATCCCAGCTACTCAGGAGGCTGAGGCAAGAAAATCACTTGAACTGGGGAGGTGGGGGTTGCGGTGAGCTGAGATTGTGCAATTGCACTCCAGCTTGGGCAACAAGAGCAAAACTCCATCTCAAAAAAAAAATAAATAAAATAAATAAATAAAAATTATTGACCCATTTTTAATAAAAATAGGTAAATATAAAACATAGCTATATTATCTACATGTGAATGTAAATATATTCTGAAAGTTTGGAATAACATTAAAGTGACAAGAATTGTTATCTGTATGAACGGCAGTGGAATGAGGTGAGATGGAGATAGATGGATTAAATAGTGTACTTTGGAGAAGCATATTACGTTTTATAGAGAAAATATTCATGTTATTACTTTTATAATTAAAAACTAATTATCCTAAGGGTCTGTTCATAGGCTATTCTACACTGAAGACATTTGCATTTTTAAATCTATTCATTTATTTCCTCCTTGTTCAATAAGCCTATCATGTATATTAGGCATTATGCTAATGCATTTAGGATAAAAATTGAAAAAGTCAAACATGGTCCTGCGCCTCAAGAATTATTCTCTCTCGACCCAGGTTTTTTGAGATCCAAACCTGCATACCCAGCTTTTACATATCATCACCTGCCCCACAGACAAAGTCAACCTGTCAAATGCCAAACTTAGTTTTGTCACACAACCTTGGCTACCTCTATGTTTCTTTATCTGTTCATTCTAAGATGGAAACCTTGAAAGTTACCTTTAGTTCTTCCCACTTCCTTATCCTGTAATGGGATACCACCTTCTGTCATGCTAATTTTTAAGTTTTTGTGAATCTGTCTCTCTGTTGCCACTACAGTGGATGTTCTCATGATCTTTTCATCTATAATATGATAAAAGCCTTATCTGTTCTTTTTTCCTCTGGATCTCTACCTACTTCTCCATCCTTCGCATTGCTACCAGAAAACTTTAACATAAATGCCATCATTCTCCTCTGATTAAAATGGTTTGATTCTCTGTCACTAAGAGAAAAAATTTCAGTATCCATAATATGACATTCAAGGTCCTTCGCCCAGGATATCTTTTCAGCCTAATCTCCTACTTCGTCCCCAGATACACCCATCCTTTACTTCAGCCACACCAAACTTACTTGTTATCAAACATGTTACGCCTTTTGCACCTCTATTTCTTTTTTCTCTCAGGTAAGTACTTTATTATTCCCCTACAAAACTTCTGCCTGTCACACTGTCCTTTGTCCTTATGTTATATTGTAATTCCTCCTGCAGAACCAGATCAAATGTCCCCTCTGAGGTTCTCAGTGACTCCACTAGGCAAAGTTAATGGCTTCCATTGTCAAGACTGTACTTTTCTCATTTTTAAATTTTACCCCTAATATCTAGCACAATGTGATACATAGTAGGGACTAAATAAATATTTGTGAAATAAATTAATGATAGGTCTGCTTTGAAGTATAAACATATAAGCTGGGATTCAAGAGCAATAAAATTTATTAAACTCCTGTTGATTTAATTCTTCAAACAGATTTTATGCTGCTTGTGTAGTTCTTGGGTTGCAGTATTTACATGAACACAAAATTGTTTATAGGTAAGTTAATTTTTAATTTTTTCTAATGGCTTGCTTTGGTATGATTTAGAATTAAAGATAGTATTTTGTTTTTCTTAAACATTTTATGTTTAACCAGTTTCTTAGTTTTCTCCTTCACCTGTAAGTCAAACCCCAATGTTGAAAGACGTGGTTAGCACTATGATTATATGATGAACTTTTTGTTTCCTAATCCATAGCACATTTTCTAATTAAAATAGTCAAATTATGAGTTGGTCTATGATAGTGCATTTCTCAACAATATTCATCCTAGTGAATATTTTGCATTCAAACGACTCATTGCAGAAAACCTCTATAGACCAATACTACTAAAAACGTGTCCATGATGAGACAAGTAGCTTGTGTTAGAGTGTAAAACATCACACTGCTTCCCTCATTAAGAAGCCTTATTGTCAACTGAACTAAATAGTGTATTGGTGATGTAGCTGATCTCTGTAATTCGTGGCCCAGCAGCTAGTTTGTGAACCACACCTTGACTAACACTCACTGCCCAGGACCAAGCAGATTATGAGAAGGCTAGTCAGAATTAGAAGACTATAAACATTGGATTATTTAAGCTTTTTTTTTTTTTTTTTGAGACGGAGTTTCGCTCTTGTCACCCAAGCTGGAGTGCAATGCACAATCTCGGCTCATGGCAACCTCTGCCTCCTGGGTTCAAGCGATTCTCCTGCCTCAGCCTCCTGAGTACATGGAATTACAGGTGCCCGCCACCATGCCCAGCTAATTTTTGTATTTTTAGTATAGATGGAGTTTCACCATGTTGGCCAGGCTGGTCTTAAAACTCCTGACCTCAGGTGACTACCCGCCTCGGCCTCCCAAAGTGCTGGGATTACAGTTGTGAGCCACCGTGCCCAGCCGGTAAGGTTCTAATGATGTTTTCATGATAAGATTGTTTTACCTAATGGATAAAATGTTTCCTGGGCACAGTGGCTCATGCCTGTAACCCCAGCATTTGGGGAGGCCAAGGTGGGAGGATTGCTTCAGTCTAGGAGTTTGAGACCCGCCTGGGCAACATAGTGATATTCTGTCTCTACAAAAAAATAACAAAAATCAGCCAGGAGTGATGACATCTGCCTGTATCCCAGCTACTCAGGAGGCTGAGGTGGGGGAATTCCTTGAGCCTGGGAGGTCAAGGCTGCAGTGAGCCGTGATTATGCCACTGCACTCCACTTAGACAACAGAGTGAGTACCTTGTCTCACAAAAATAAAAAATAAATTGAAAAAAATGGATAAAATATTGTCAGTTTGCCTAATTTGTAAACAATTAGTATGGATGGATAGCTTTCTCTTATTCTTTCAGAAGATGAAACCTGCCCTCTGATGCCTTATTAATACTGTTAACTTTACAATTCTTTCTTATGGATGGTATATAAGCAAACTTTAAAACTGGATTAAGTTGGCCAGGTGCAGTGGCTCATACCTGTAATCCCAGCACTTTTGGAGGCCGAGGCAGGTGGATCACCTGAGGTCAGGAGTTCAAGACCAGCCTGGCCAACATGGTGAAAACCCATCTCTACTGCAAATAAAAAAAAATTAGCCAGGCTTGGTGGTGGGCACCTGTAGTCCCAGCTACTTGGGAGGCTGAGGCACGAGAATTGCTTGAACCTGGAAAGTGGATGTTGCAGTGAGCCAAGATCACACCAGTGCTCTCCAGCCTGGGTGACAGAGTGAGACTCTGTCTTAAAAAAAAAAAAAAAAAAAAAAAAAGGCTGGGTGTGGTGGCTTACGCCTGTAATTCCAGCACTTTGGAAGGCTGAGGCCAGCGGATCACGAGGTCAGAAGTTCAAGACCAGCCTGGCCAAAATAGTGAAACCGCCTCTCTAATAAAAATACAAAAGTTAGCCGGGTGTAGTGGCACGCGACTGTAGTCCCAGCTACTCGGGAGGCTGAGGCAGGAGAATCGCTTGTACCCGGGAGGCAGAGGTTGCAGTGAGCTGAGACCACGCCATTGCACTCCAGCCTGGGTGACAAAGTGAGACTCTGTCTCAAAAAAAAAAAAAAAAAGGATTAAATTAGATTATCACAAATAACAAATTAAATACATTTTTCCTTTTTTATGTAACAGGAGAAGAATTTCTCATGAGCTACCTTATATAGAGTAATAAACTTACCAAAAGGAAGAAAACTGAATGTTTGTGTTATAGTATTTAAATCTCAAATCATAACTTGGAAATCCCATTTTTAATAAAGAGAAAACACAGTTCCAATTGCAATTATTTTTTTAACTGTATAACCTACTGATTTCTTTGATTTTTTTTTTTCATGCTGTATCTTTTTATCCTGAACAGAGATTTGAAATTGGATAACTTATTGCTAGATACAGAGGGCTTTGTGAAAATTGCTGATTTTGGTCTTTGCAAAGAAGGTAATCGAATGTTTTTAAGTTTCTTTTCTGATTCAGAATTACTGTTTCTTTGTGCATCAGTAGTTTTCAAGTTTGTCTATGGAAAACAAACTGTACTTTTAACTTTATTCTTCATTAAGACATTGTAGATACAATGAAAACATTGCTTATATAACCTAATTATCACATTAAGAATTTGTTCTCTGAATACAAATAAGGTTAGATGTATAGAAATCATAGTAAGCTTCTCTGTGTGATTAATAATTTTGTCACTACTTTAAGGAAGTATTGATTAAGCACCAAAATCGTTTATTCTGGTGAGACTGTACACAGTGAATTTCATAGGCCTGATAATTTCCTTCCAGCTTCTTAAAGTTGAAACATTTAAAAATAGAAAATAAATAGAGATAGGTATCTCATGTATGTTTTTTGTATATTCAAAAGTAAATAAGTAAATTGGGGAAATTTGAATCAGAGGTAACATAAGAAAGGATAAAGATCATGGGCTTAGGCACTAAACAGTTCTAGGTTTGAATCGTGGCTTTGCCACTATTTGCTGTTTGTCTTTGGAAAACTTAGTTTTAACCTCTTTGAGTCTTATTTCCCCAATTATAAAAAAATGGACATAGTTCTTTCTGTTTACTAGTTACTAACATTCTCTATCTCCCTCTGCACTGGTGGCTTCTGTTTGCTATTTAGCTTTGTTTCCATAGTGCATAACACAGTGCATGGTACATCTTAAGTATTCAGTAAGTGTTTGATTAATAAGTAGTTGGATGAATAAATGAATGAACTCTGTAGATATATGCCCATCACATACCCACTGACCTAATTGCTGAATCAAGTAAGTTTTTTCTTGACTGGGCTTCTTTTTATTGGACACTGTTCCTCTAAATGCTTTTGTTTCTCAGCATCTCTCCTTAGCCGGCTGCTCTTCACTGCAATTTTTTGACTAGCAGCTATATCCTAATGACTCCCAAATCTATTATTTCCTTTCCTATGGATTCCAAAGATATATATTCAACTGTCTACTAGACAGCTCTGCCTGAATAGTGAAGAGACACCTCAAACACTACCCAAACAAAAATCATTTATTTTCCGCCGGTAGTCTGGGTGTTGGTATCACAATCCCCTCAGCCTTCAATCTGAAAGTAAGGAATTATCTTGCGTTCTATCCTGTTCTCTACTTCCCGTATGTAGTTATTCACAAAATTCTACTGCCACTTAACCTCCTGAATATTTCTGAAATCTATCATTTCCAGTCAGCTCCTTTCACCCATTATCTTGTTTTGACAAGACAGGTATAATAATCTCCTAATTGTTCCTATTTCTAGTCTTTTTCTATCCCAAATCAACCTGCCATGTAATTGCTGAATTGCTTAAGGAGTCCATATAAATACAGATCGGACCATGGCACATACCTGCTGAAAACTCTTCAGTGGCTAGGATAAGGTGACATACAGTGCCGTTACTGATCTGCCTGCCTTCCTCTCTGGCCACATCTCTTGCTGCTCTCTGTTTAGTACTTTTTGCTGCAGCAACAATGAACTGCTTATAGTCTGTGTCCCTCTAGCACTGTCACCCATCCCAACTCTATTTGCTGACTAACATCTGCTCATCCTTGTCATTCAACTCAAGTGTAACCTCTACAGGCAAGTTACCAGAGATTCCCTTTTACTACCCCAACTCCCAAGTCTGCTTTAGGAGCCCTTCTTCACTATTCTACCTTATCTTGCTCTTCCCTTGTTGTTATAAAATTATCAATAAATATCCATTTCCCTCCAGTCTCCTGTAAGCCCCTTAAAGACTGTGTCTTACTCTCGTTTTTATGTTCCCGCTACTTGACACAGGTGCCTAGAACATAAAAGGTGCAGAAAATATGTGTGTTGAATAACCAGACTTATTAATGCATTATCATAAAAACATGTTTAGTAGATTATATAGCTAACAACTTTTGAGTGCTTACCGTGTGCCAAGAATTTTGCTTCATATGCATATCTCCTGTAATTTATAACAATCGTATGAAGGTAGATAGTTTTTTTGGAGGAAATATTTTATTTTTTATTTTATTTTTATTTATATAAATTTATAGGGTAGAAGTGCAATTTTGTTACATGCATAAATTGCATAGTGGTGAAATCAAGGCTTTTAGGATATTCGTCACCCAAATAACATACATTGTACCTATTAAGTAATTTCTCATCATCCACCCCCCTTCCACCTCCTCACCCTTCTGAGTCTTCCTTGTCTTATCATTCCACACTGGTAGATGGTATTATTAACTCTCATATACAGATGAAGAAACCTAGAATTTGATGTTAGACAACTTTCCCAACCTCCCACAGTTAACAAATGACAGAACTGGAACTTAAACCAGGTATTTATTAATCTAGAGCCTGATATTAACCACTTCCATGGAGTTTTACCAGTCTACAAGAAACATAAGTTATATTTCTTCATTAATTAACTTTTTCCTAGTTTTCTCCAAGTTACTAAAAGGCTGGTGCAGAACTTACATAGATATTAATACTATATCACTGTTTTTTTAAATAATATTTTATTGAAGAAAATAAAAATCATTATGATAGTGTTAAAGAAATTTTGCCAAAAAAAAATTTCTCCACTCCAGTGTGCTAATGTATCTAATTGTGCCCTTCAGGTCTTGGTTCATAGACACACATTCATTTCTATTTTATAGTCACTATATATGCATACCTAATTATTCTTAATTTAGGATTGAGAGCTTTTCTTTAAAATTCTTAAAAAGATGACACTTATGACAAGTTTTTAACACTTTGGAATACATAGAGATAATATCTTCAATATGTAGACTATATATTTGATTAACATATTAATAAATTATGAGGAACATATATTTAAAAACTAGTTAGCCAAAATGTTAATACAGGCTGAGTATCCCTTATCCAAAATGCTTAGAATGAGAAATGTTTTGAATTTCAGATTTATTTGGATTTTGGAATATTTGCATATATAAATAATGACATATCTTGAGGCCAAGACCCAAGTCTAAACACAAAATTTATATATGTTTCATATATACCTTATACATAGCCTGAAGGTAAATTTATATAATATTTTTAATAATTTTGTGCATGAAACTAATCTTAAGTACTTGCGGAATTCTCTATGGCATCATGTTGGTGCCCAAAAAGTTTCAGATTTTGAAGCATTTTAGATTTTGGATTTTTGGATTAGGGATGTTCAACCTGTACTCTCCCTTCCCTCCCCTTCCCTTCCCTTCCCTTCCCTTCCCTCCCCTCTTCTCCCCTCCCCTCCCGTCCCCTCCTCTCTCTCTCTCTATATATAATATATATTGAGATATATATATGTTTTTTGTTTGTTTGTTTTTTGAGACAGAGTTTTGCTCTTGTCACCCAGGCTGGAGTGCAATGACACAATCTCAGCTCACTGCAGCCTCCGTCTCCCAAGTTCAAGCAGTTCTCCTGCCTCAACCTCCCGAGTAGCTGAGATTACAGGCGGGAGCCACCATGCCCGGCTAATTTTTGTTTTTGTTTTTTTTGTAGAGACGGGTTTCATCATGTTGGCCAGGCTGGTCTTGAACTCCTGACCTCAGGTGATCCACCCGCCTCGGCCTCCCAAAGTGCCGTGATTACAAGCATGAGCCACTGCACACGGCCCTATCTCTCTGTATTATATGACACATTTGGTCAGCTTCTGATTATCCAAGGGTTTGCTTTTTGGTATTTTTGAAACTTATTTTTTTTAGAATGTTGATTTTATAATGAAGTAAATAAACTTATTTAAGATTGAATTGGAAAGATAATGGAACTTCACAATCAGTTCATTTTGTTATAATTTCTTAGCTCCCTTGTAATGACAAGAAGAAAAAGTAACTGAAAAGAAACATGGATATCTTATTTCTATTTACCCATTAATTAGACAGTATAGTTGCTATTGCAGTTTTTGCTATACCAGTCCTTACTGTTTTCTTGAAATGTCTTAGATATGTCTGAATTTGTTCACCATGCACAAATGTGCAACTTTAATTTTGCCTCCCAAAGATAGCTTTGATTTTTTTTTTATGCTAGATTTGTTTTCTTTGCTAACAAATGTTTACATTTTATCTTTTCCAGGAATGGGATATGGAGATAGAACAAGCACATTTTGTGGCACTCCTGAATTTCTTGCCCCAGAAGTATTAACAGAAACTTCTTATACAAGGGCTGTAGATTGGTGGGGCCTTGGCGTGCTTATATATGAAATGCTTGTTGGTGAGGTAAGCAGTGTGAAATAGGTAAGAGAACAGAGGAAGGATGATTGAAATAATAAAGCATGTCATTTATAAAACCACCTAATACTGTCTTCAGTATGAGTGGAATTTAAGTTTTATAAATATTTATAGTATACTAGTAGTCAGCTATCTTTCTGTAATACCTTCAATAAAGATTTTTATGTGGTTTGTGGAATGCACTATCAGTGCTTTGAAAATAGTTCCTTGTATTTCAGTATTGTACTTTTATTATGTTTTCTGATTTTAAGACATAGTCATTTTATAGGGAATGGAATAACAGAAAGACTAATAAAAGGAATGTACTCTGTACCTGTAAAGAAAAGCCCACTATAGATTGGTCAGAAATAAATGTTACCTTCGACTTCCTCCAGACTTCCGTCTGAGCAACACACTCTGCATCCTTGCTTCACCGGGAAACTACTGAAGTTCCTGGGGAAGCAAAGTAGAATTTCGTAAGAACAAAATGGATGGAGAGAGGAGAAAACCTATGGTAGCTGTGAAGGCCCTGATGCCATGTATGTCAAATTGATATCATCCGATGGCCATGAATTTATTGTAAAAACAGAACGTACATTAACATCAGCACGATAAAAGCCATGTTGAGTGGCCCAGGTCAATTTGCTGAGAATGAAACCAATGAGGTCAATTTGAGAGAGATACCTTCACATGTGCTATCAAAAGTATTCGCTACACCAACAGCTCCACCGAGATTCCTGAATTCCCAGTTGCACCTGAAGTTGCTATAGAACTGCTGATGGCTGTGAACTTCCTAGATTGTTAAATAAAATATAATTTTAAAAAAATGAAAGAAGTGTTACCTTAAAAAATGGTAGAGTTGAAAAAATTCGCATTTTTTCCTACTGTTTTCTGTAGATTAACTTAAATTTCTGAGGATAATTGAGTTGTACATAGAAATTATTACTATTAGGAAACAGTGAGTTATGTTAAGGCAATAATAGGAGACTAATAATTTATTATGTTATAAATTGTTAGAAATGTTGAATTGGGATGAAATTGGGAAAGAGTAAATCTTTTAATAAGTAATTGAAGATTACTTGAAGGGACTTGAACTGGAGATGCAAGAAAAATTATTTTAAGGGATTGGTTCATTATTCTGCAGTTTCCCCATGCCAGCAACCTCCCTTGTACACTTGTAAGTTTGAAGAAGTTAGTGCTGAATGAACAAATTATCAAATTGAATATCAGAAATTTCTAAAGTTTTGTTCTATGCTTGTCATTTATTGGCACTTACCCCAAACAAATGGTTTTAGTTTCGCCGGATGGATAACCCCTTTTGGTATGTCAATTTGAAGTGGATTCCTTGGAAAAGGAGGAGAAGTATGGCTAATTAAAATTTATCATGTGCTAAGCACTGTACTGTATGCCTTAAATATTAGTTCATTTAATTTTGCAACAGCCTTTAATAAGCTCAGTACTGATCTTCTGCCCATTTTCGGAGGTGTAAATAGAGACACAAAGAGATTAATGACTTGCTTAAAGTCACACAGCTCTCATATGGTGGAGCTGGAATTTTAACCTTGTCACTCTGGCTCCAGAGCATATCTAAAGCATTATGCTTTGCTGCTCCAGGACAGGATCTTCAATTCATCCAGCCTTGTTTCTGTTCTTAAGACTAGTGGTCCAGATCTGAATTTTTCACCTCTATTTAGAAAAGCTGTTGTGCAGTGTTTAGGTTGGAAAGATTTATTTTAGCTCCAGTCCACAGTGGCTTTTACTTTCTGAGAGTGCCAGAAGTTCTCATAAAATAGTTAATCTGCTGTAAGCTCTGGCATACTTGAACTCCTCCCCACCCCCTTCCTTTATTTTAACAGTAACATTTTGGAGGGTTTTTTTGGTTTTGTTTCATGTAGTATTCAAGTAAGTATGAGATTTATGAGATTCAATTATGTGCTTGCTTAAAATTTACTCTCCATATTAGAGATGACATGTGCAAAATATGAGTTTATTACAAAATACTGTAGAATTAATCCAGTTGAATCTACTCCCTCCTATTATAAAGCCACTGGAGGGTTTGGCAGAAAACAAGGAAGCTCCTGTTTCATGTTTTTTAAAAGAGCTAATTGATTGAGCTCTTAATTACCTAGAAGATAAAAGACAGTGGATCTGGCTATTTCTTCACAGTTGTTTCTTGCAATTTCTCTTTAGTATCTCCACAAGAGGGTAGCTGGGAAAAGAACTAAACTTAAAACTCATCAGTCTACTTCATAATTTTATAGCATTAGTGAAATGCTAGTGATAACTCCTTTTTAACTATGATGAAAGTAAGGTGTGGCTAAAGTTTATGTCAGATTTCTCTATTATTACAAATAATTGTAAACTCACCGGATATATTATACATGTTCAGATTTGTATACTTCTACTAGTTTTGATTACTGGAAAGACTCCAGGAATAAACAAACATCGCAAGTCCCCTTTTTCCTGTCTCAGATGGGAGTGAAGATACCAGAGAGATTGAACAGAATGCTGGACATGGTTTTAGATACTGTCAGTGTTGACATCTGAACAGACTATTGGTTTCCTTTAAATGTGCTGAAAACACATTTGTTAGCTTTCAGTTGTTAGCCCTGTTTGCTTACAATCTATTTGCAGAAAAAAGATACTACATATTTTAACAAATGTATAGATATTTCTTTGCTGTTCAGACTTGTAGAATGAGTTTTCAAGTAAAAATTGTTCAAGCAGAAGACCAAAGTGCTGTCTTTGTATTATCCATTGAAATTCCCATTGAGAATCCTAGTAAAATAAAATTTTCTTCTGACTTACTGTTTCAGTCCCCAGAAGAAATTAGATTGTCCATGTAGTACATTTGATTTATGTATTTTGAGTGTACTACATTGTCCCACGTAGTATATTTTATTTATGTATTTTGAGTGAGTGAATGAACAAACTAAGGTTTTGGTAACTGTAAGCTTTGAAATTTTCTTAGCTGTGAGCAAGATTAGAAGCTCAGCCTTAAGAAGTTGGATTCTGAATTTATTTTCACAGATTCTTAAAGATTGCTCACTTTCCCTGGATATTGCTTTCTGCTTATTATTCTTTAAAACTTAATTGGAAGCAAGCAGCCAAATCAAATCTAACGAGGCTAAGTAAGCCTATATTTCTTCAATAGCCAGTGAGAAAATAAGGTTCAAGATACTAATTCATTTCAGTGATTTTAAGGAATTAAATGATATTTAGACATTTGTTTCCTGATTTAAAAAATGACTGAGTGATTTTTAAGCCATCTGAAATTCTGAGGCAGGCAGTCACATTTGATAGACACGTTTTTAGCATAGTTGAAAGTTTCTCTCTTTGTGAATCAAATTGTCATACTGAATATAATGTAACTACTTTTTTATGTCTCAGGGTCATTATGAAAAATGATTTTAATACTGAGCTTATGGAAATGCCCTAAAACTTTTTGTGTTTAGAACATTAAAAATGCCTGGCAATGTGTGCTTTTTGGGTTCCTTTCAGTCTAATTTTGTTGGCAGCTGCTTCTTAATACAGTCATTATGCTTGCTAATCCATGATTGTGTTTTACCACCATTAATTTACTGTTGACTTTAAAATCCAAAGCACATTTATATCTGATGTATTTCCGCAGATTGCCTTCCTTTATTATAACATTTATTACCATATTAACCTTATCCATTTTCTTCTGTTTTTCCACAAGATTGAGGTTCTTCAGGATTTATCTATTATCTAAATATTCCCTACTGTCTGTTAGACACTAAAAATTGACTGTCTGGCCAAATAGGTGATTGAGTGAATGAAATAAAATGGAATGGAGTGGAATGAAATTAAATGAAAAGTCATATCATATATGAGATAGACAAGTTTTTTATAAGGGTCTATAAAATTTAAAGATTTCAGAAAGAGTATATGGTGTATTCCCTCTGTAATAGATACATATCTGTTGTCACTTCTTATAGTTCTTTTGTTGTTGTTTTGGTAGGCATGGGTTTATTGTTGTTGTTGTTGTTGTTGTTGTTTTGTCTGTTTTTTCTTTTTCACTGCCTGGATCTTGGTTGTACTTTGAATGGGTGATAAGATTTTACTGCCTTAAAACTTGCTTTAACTTACTCAAAGGTATTTCTTCTAGTCTCCCTTTCCTGGTGATGATGAAGAGGAAGTTTTTGACAGTATTGTAAATGATGAAGTAAGGTATCCAAGGTTCTTATCTACAGAAGCCATTTCTATAATGAGAAGGGTAAGAATTAAAATAAGGATAAGAATTTTTTAAAGACTACTTTAATTTTTTATACTAAAGAAAATTTCCCAGTAGAACTTTAAAAGCTGTTTTTCAGTTCATAAATGTTGCATGGCTTAGACAAAAAAAGACAAAATATATCTAAGTTTTTTAAAGTAATAATCCTTATCAGTGAATTTTATTCTATTGGTTTTATTTTAACTTTTTTATTTTACATTATGCTAGCTGTTAAGAAGAAATCCTGAACGGCGCCTTGGGGCTAGCGAGAAAGATGCAGAGGATGTAAAAAAGCACCCATTTTTCCGGGTAAGTGTGACTATTTAAAATTTTTTATGAAACTAGAGCGATTAGATTTAACAAACTAAACTAGTCATTTTTTATTTTATGATCCAGCTAATTGATTGGAGCGCTCTGATGGACAAAAAAGTAAAGCCACCATTTATACCTACCATAAGAGGACGAGAAGATGTTAGTAATTTTGATGATGAATTTACCTCAGAAGCACCTATTCTGACTCCACCTCGAGAACCAAGGATACTTTCGGAAGAGGAGCAGGAAATGTTCAGAGATTTTGACTACATTGCTGATTGGTGTTAAGTTGCTAGACACTGCGAAACCAAGCTGACTCACAAGAAGACCTCTTAAAAATAGCAACCCTTCATTTGCTCTCTGTGCCACCAATAGCTTCTGAGTTTTTTGTTGTTGTTGTTTTTATTGAAACACGTGAAGATTTGTTTAAAAGTACCATTCTAATACTTCTTCAAAAGTGGCTCCTCATTGTACTTCAGCGTAAATATGAGCACTGGAAACAGTTTCATGGAGTTTAAGTTGAGTGAACATCGGCCATGAAAATCCATCACGAATACTTTTGGATCAATAGTCTATTTTTAAAAAGAAAGAAAAAAACCACTTTTTTATAGTCCCTAGCTTTGCCATATGCCCGCCTTAAGTGGAAGGAAAGTTAATCACTTAACTATGTTTTATAAAAAGAAAAAAGGGCTTGGAATGCTATTACTGTTCACACAAAGTATGATTCTGTTTGAATAAGGCAAATGCTCCTTTTTTTAAAAAAAAAGACATTACTGTAATATCAAAAACCGTGGCAGTTTGTATACAACTCGGGGCTTGATTTTTTTTAAAAAAACAGAATGAATTGATGTCTTATTTTATAAATGTTCTATATTTATTAGGAGAAAACTTTATATTGCCTTTTTTATCAATCATGTAACAGGCTTATAGCTTTCCAACAGAGCTGCTTGCCAAACAATTTTTTTTGTTTATTAAACAGTGCTGAAACAAACAGGATCAGCATTTACTTAAGATGTTAAGAATGAGGACTTTTAATCAGCCGAACCAAGATATTGTTACCTGTATGCATTCCCAAAGTCTAGATGCTCAGTATGTTCAGTCATATCTTTCAGAATCAGTGAACCGATTACCCTTTTTTTGGTATTCACTCTACATCTGCCAACCTAGTTCACCTTGGTTTTGTGTCTGCTGTAGAAGGGAACCATAACTTGGTTAAACCGTAGGGATTATCATTGTATACATGCTGTGAACATGTATATGTGCAAGTTTTAATGTATTCTATGTTGTAGGCTTATTATTTAATTTTACCACTTCATCACTTTTGTACAGTGGCCAAGCAGACACCTCAAACTCCAGCATTTACATTAAGTGCATTTGTACATTTTAGGCCACTGGATCCAGATTTTATATTGGCAGTTATTGAGGGCAAAAGCAATATATTGTAACAGAATGTATAAATATTTTTGATAAAACAGTCTATATTTTATTAAAAAATGAATTATAACACTAAAGCTGTACCTCAAAAGTCTCAAAAATAATTTGATGAAATATTTTATACAACTCTTCAAAGGATCCGTCTGTGGCTTTTTATACTCTTTTAGGGTTGTCTTTTTACAAACCATGACTTTCCACTTGCCTGTAGTTTTTTGTTTGTTTTGGTTTGGTTTGATTTTATATTTTTTTCTCCTAATCTATGACTTTATTGTTTTTTCTTAGTTTAGTAATAGCATCTTTGATCCTGTGCTTAGCATGTTAGGGTCATTATACCTCAGGAATAGCAAGCTGTTAAGTAACCATACTGAATTAACTATTTAATTACAGTGAGCTCATCTCTTAAAAATTGTTCAGGTGTAAATCTTATGAGAAACATGAAAAAGCACACTGATTTATGGAGAGTTGAGCTAAAAACATTTATAAATATTTGCTGGGATGTTTTAGCATCTTTTCATTGTACTCTGAGAACAATTAAAATTGTCCAGAGATCATTTATATTACCTTCCAAATTGTTTATTACCCAAGATCCTTTGGGAGAAAATCTTATAGAATGGGGGAACAATATGTGGTTTAAAGTTATTTTAAAATGCCAGTTAATTTCCTCGGCAAAGGACAATAGAGGAACTTAGCTTAATTGTCTGGCTTTAATTTAAACTGTGTTAATACAACATTAAAATAAAACACTAAATACTTTTGAGGTACAGTCTGCTCACTTTTTTGGTTCTCAAATAGCAAAGAAAGTAATGTCTAAAATAGGCTCTTAGCATTAAAAACTGACAGCATTTCGTAACTACACAGTGTACAGAATTTTTTTTTAATTGAAGTCAATCACTAAAAAAATTAGAAGGCAGGGTCTATTTACACAATTAAGCTGAAGAAAGCACTAATTTTTTGTAGTTTAAAATATATATATATTTTAGTCAGATTTAAAATTTTAAGCTTTATAGAGTGTAAATATATTTTGCTATTACTGTATGTGTATGTGACTGCTCAAGCACTTTGTAAAGAAATTAGGATATTTTAGAATGGTACACTATGCATTCAAATGAAATGTGCCTTTCACTATGTCATTCTAAGAAAACAAGTGTTTTTTGCAGTCATAAATTATCACAAATGCACAAATTAAAGTCTATATAGATTGAAATTTGTAACTTTGGTTTTAAGTATTCTTTCCTTTTAGAAACTTCCTAATGATTAAAATATACTTTAACTTTTCTGTGTTCAAAATCTCAAAGACTAATTAACTTTAATAAACATTCTTGCAAGTACTTTTTGTCCTAGTGAAGGCTTAAAACCATGAACATTCAGAGCAAACTGTCCACTTCATTGGGAATAATGGGAAAAGTTTGTATTCTGCTCCTGTAAGGTCAGTAGCATCTTTTATTTGAAGCATATTTATGGACTGCTTACTGTGTATAGATACTGAGAATAGGAAGTTTTTTTTTTTAAAGCAACAAAATGTTGATGAATGAAGAACAGCCTGTTTTAATTAAGATGCAAGCACCAGTATTGTATGTACTTTTCTCTTGTTTGAGGTTAGCTTATTTTAATTTAGGACCTGGCTTCTCAAAAAGGCAAATGAATAAAACAGAATACTAGTATTTTATAGTAATCTTACTTAAAAATTACAAATGGAATATTTTAGAAATATAAAATGATCCATGCTCTCCCTGTAACACAAATTGAGGACATAATGGAAATTGCAATCATATATTGACTTGGTAAATCTGCTGTACAGATTCAAGTCTAACAAGATTTTTGCAAGTACTGCCAGTATTCCCAAAGCCACTGAAGGAGTAAGTATGAAAAATCCAAAGAAGCAAATACTAATCCACAGATCATAACCTTAATTTAAATTTAGAATTCTTATTTACCTTCCAGCCATCTTTTGAGGTCTAGGGTTTTTCTGAGATACTGGCTTTATACATTAGTATGATGGGTAGAGGCTTTAAAGTTATTAAAAATAATATGTATACATATACATATAAAATTAGTGGAAGACCGTCAATAAGATACGTAATTTGAGGTATTGATGATCTCAATAAAGGTAAGAGTGGTCTCTGGCAACCCTTCACCCCAAAACAAGCAAACAAACTTGAGCAGAGTCTGGACAAGTTAGGGCTTCAGCACCTAAGAGTTAGAGTGGGAGTGCTCAAGCACAAAAGTAGGAATATTGAGAGAACTGGAAGCTGAGTCTACAGAGTATGGCAGAGTAGCAGGAAGTTGGAAAAGATAGGAGTCACAATGGCAAGGAGCAGGTTTTGAAAATGCAGGCACCCAAGAGAAGTGGGGTTACCAAGGATAGATTTCTCTAGCAACACAATTTTGAGGATAGCAAACCTTGCAATAGCATCAGGACTTATCTTCTGTGCTTAAATCCTGTAGACGAGTTCATATTTTAGTTTGCATGTCACTCTTTCCCTGACAGTGGAAGGAAATATTCTCTGGATGGAAGCTTCTCCAGGTTGGGACTATCAGATTCCACAGATTAAGATCAAGTAATTCACTGTCAGAAATCCCTAACCACATGCGAGAGACAGCAAGTTACCTTGAATAAGAACCAACAGAAATATTAAATTTAGATATCCCTGTCAGAGATTTCGTACATTAGAATTATCAGCCAGGCACAATGACTCATGCCTGTAATTCCAACACTTTGGGAGGCCAAGGCAGGAGGATTGCTTGAGGTTAGGAGTTTGAGACTAGCCTGGGTAACACAGCGGGACTGCCTCTCTACAAAAAAAAAAAAAAAAAAAAAAAAAAACATATAAAAATTAGTCAGGTATGGTGGTGTGCACCTGTAGTCCCAGCTACTTTGGAGGCTGAAGTCAGAGGATTGCTTGAGCCCAGGAGGTCAAGGCTACAGTGAGCTGTTATGCCACTGCATTGTATTTAGCCTGGGTGACAGAGCAAGTCCCCAACTTAAAAAAAAAAGAATTACCAGATACAAGTTATAGAATAGCTATATATAAAGTATATATACATATATATACCTAAAGCTATCAGTATAAACATGTAAAATGAACATTTTAACAAACATTTTTAAAATCCAAAAATGAAAAATGTAATTGTTCTAATATGAAATTCAGTGGAAAGATTAAACAGCAGATTAGACAGTTGAAGAAAACTGAAGATTGGAAACTGAAAAGTCAATCCCAAATGAAGATGGGAAATATAAAAGGGAGATTAAGAGATACGGAAGATGGAATGGAGACTCGAGGAAAGAATGAGAGGCAATATTTAAAGACATAATGGCTGCAAGTTTCTCGGAGATGAAAAATATCCAAGCAGTACAATATTTCCCAAACAGGATAAATATAAATGTATGCGTAGAACCATTGTGAAATGGCAAATCACCAAAGACAGCATTTTGAAACTATCCAGAGAAAAGGGACTAAATGTCTATAAAGGAAAGACACCAGCTCACCTCTCAATTGCAACAATGCACGTAGTGGAATATTACCTTCAGAGTGTTGGGGAAAAAAAGGTTAACCTAGAATTACATAAAAATAAAATAATTTTCGTAAGAATTAGGGCATATAATATGTTTTAAAAGGGGAATGCTTGCTGCTTTAATGGACGTTCTGAATAATGTGCTTGAAGTAAAAAAATGATCCCAGAAGGGTAACACAAGATAAAAAAAGGTTTGTGATAAGTAAAATGGCAAACACCTAGGTAAATCTAAATAAACCAAAGAGATAAAAGAAGGAATTACTGGATTTTGAATTTTTTTGTTTTTTCTAAGCACAAATTCTAGATAGCAGTAGCAGGAAAGTCAGGATAGTGAACACCAGAGCTACAGTATTGTGTAGTCTTTTTATTGTTGGAATGTTAAGGTATTGATTAACTTTAGATTTTAGGTTCACTGTGAAATGCCAAGGCTATTCACTATAGTGACTATAAATTCTAAACCAAAAGACAAGATGGTAGAAATTAATCCAAAGCACAATTAATGTAAATGGAGCAAACTCACTAGCTAAAAGCAGGATTTATAAGATTAGATTTTAAAAAGAAATCTGGTGGTATGATGTTTGCAAAAAGATACATCTGAAATAGAAGTATATGGAGAAGCTGAAAGTAAAAATATGAGGAAAAATATGTGATGCAAAATCCACTCAAGCTAAAGCTCTGGTAGCTTCACCTAATATCAAAGTAGATTTTAGACACACCATGAAAACCTAAATGTCAACAAGAGGAGAGAGAGTTTCTGTTTCATATCCACCTGTACACATAGCCTGAAGGTAACTTTATAAAATATTTTAAATAATTTTCTATATGAAACAAACTTTGTGTACATTGAACCTTCAGAAGGCAAAGGTGTCATTGTCACAGCCACTCTTGTAGACAGTTTGTGGTTGTTTAACATCATTGTCGTTCCTGACTTTGAATTTATGCGCTGTCAATAAGCAATCATTGTTTTGTGTTCATTTACACATAAATACTTAACAGTAAAAAATTCAACATACCATCAATACAGTGAAAAAACGTGTTCAGGATAACCATGCGGCACAAGTAGCATCACCAGAATACCTGGATCATCTGTTAACAGCAACAACAAACAATGGCAGGCTTTCAGTCTCCATTTTCGATGCTGGCTTTTTTTTCTTGAGACAGGGTCACCCAGGCTGGAGTGCAATGGTGCAATTAGAGCTCACTGCAGCCTTGACTTGCCAGGCTCAAGTGATTCTTCCACCTCAGCCTCCTGAGTAGCTGCGACTACAGACGTGCCACAACTGGTCTTGAACTCCTGGGCTCAAGTGATCCTCCCACCTTAACCTCCCAAAGTGCTGAGATTGCAGGTGTGAGCCACTGTGCCAAGCCCTGTGTATTCATTAAAAGGTTACGGCGGGCAGGGCACAGTGGCTGAAACCTGTAATCCCAGCACTTTGGGAGGCTGAGGCGGGCAGATCACCTGAGGTCAGGAGTTCGAGACCAGCCTGATCAATATGGAGAAACCCTGTCTCTACTAAAAATAAAAAATTGGCCAGGCATGGTGACGCATGCCTTTAATCCTAGCTACTCAGGAGACTGAAGCAGGAGAATCACTTGAACCTGGGAGGCGGAGGTTGCAATGAGCCGAGATTATGCTGTTGGCACTCCAGCCTGGGCAACAAGAGCGAAACTCCACCTGCACAAAAAAAGGTTAGTGTGGCCAGGCACGGTGGCTCATGCCTGTAATCCCAACACTTTGGGAGGCCAAGGCGGGTGGATGGCTTGAGGTCAGGAGTTCAAGACTAGCCTGACCAACATGGCGAAACCTTGTTTCTACTAAAAAAATTAGCTGGGCACGGTGGTGTATGCCTGTAATCCCAGCTACTGGGGAGGCTGAGGCAGGAGAATCACTTGAACCTGGGAGGCAGAGGTTGTAAAGAGCTGAGATCATACCACTGCACTCTAGTCTGGGTGACAAAGCGAGACTTCATCTCAAAAAAAGGTTACTGTACATTGTTTTTGTTTTGTTTTGTTTTGTTTTGTTTTTCAGTTGAAAAGAAACATCAAAAGCAGTTGAGAGGCCAGGAAGCAGGAAGTGAGTTCTCTAGGGATGAGGAGACAATCTGCTGGATGGCTTCAAATGGTTTTTCTAGTGGCATTTGTCTCATAACAATGGTTGTCTTAGAAGTCTCTCTTTGATTTTATAAACATTTTATTTCCCAATTCATTTTATGAAATCAGTATCTAGATAAAATAGATAAGAAAAGTACATTACTAGCAAATTTAATTTGGTATTGATGCAAAATAATAAAGTATTATCAAATCAGGTTCAGTGATGTTTGAAAAAGACATCAAATTGGGTTTATCCCAGGAATGCAAGGATGGCTTAAAATGATAAAGTCTGTACTTGCCATACTAACAGATTGAAGGAGAAAAAGTAAGGAAAAGCTAATCTCATATTTGATTTTAAAAAAAAAGGGTGGGGGGGGTTGAATTTCTTTAGCCTGATAAATTTTTTTTATATTTTTTAAAACCAAAAAACTAAAACCAATGACATTTCATATGAGGAAACATTGGAAGCATCCCCTTTAAAATTGGGAATAGGACTAGGATACCTGTCATTACTACTTTTCAATATTGTACTTTGCTACTCTATGTGGCATAAGGATTCAAAGGGGGGAATAAACTGGCTACTATTTGCAGATGATATGATTGCCTACCTAGAAAACTCAAAAGACTGCAATTTGCTAGCAATAATGGTTTAACCAAGATACTGGATTTAAGGTGAAGACAAAAAAGTTGATGGTATGTTGATAACACTGTCAAACAATTAGAGGGCATAATATTCAAAAAACAACTTTTACAATGGTAACAAACTGAGTTACTTAAAAATAAATACAACAAAAGACATACAAGACCTGTAAGAAAAACCTTACTGGGAGACATTAAAGAAGACCTAAGTAAACATAGACATACCCATTTTATGATGTGATGTCAGTTTTCCTCAAATTGGTCTGTAGATTCTGTGTAACCCCAATCAGAATCCCAATACTTTTTGGGGAACTTTACAAGCTCACTTTAAAGTTCACATAGAAGAGCAAAGGATTAAGAATAGGAAATTCCTAAAGAAGAAAGGAGAATTTGCCCTACTAGATACCAAGACTTAAAAAGATATGGCAATTATTGTAGTAATTCTATTATGTAACTGTATTAATTAGATAAAATTATGTAGCTATAAATATCAACATATAAGACTTAAAAGGTGTAGTATTGGTGCATATTAGAAATAGGACAAAACAGTCAAGGAGCAGGCCCACATGAATCTGGAATTTTAACATGTAGAAGAGACATAATCAGTGGAGGAAGAAGTAAGTGTTATATAAATAGAGTTAGGAAAATTATTCATGTGGAAATGTAAAAAGAAATTGAATTCCCGTGTCACACCATACATAAACATCTCAGATTAAACAGGAAGTGTCAAAATCATTGAGGATATGTTACAAGAAAGCACTAAAATGCAAGAAAGACTGGTATATCCAACTATAATAAAATTAGGAACTTCTGTTTATTAAAAGACATCATAAAGTTAAAAGATAAGGCACAAACTGGGCTGGACACGGTGGTTCACGCCTGTAATCCCAGCACTTTGGGAGGCTGAGGTGGGTGGATCACGAGGTCAGGTGTTCAAGACCAGCCTGGCCAAGACGGTGAAACCCTGTCTCTACTGAAAATAGAAAAATTAGCTGGGCATGGTGGCACACGCCTGTAATCTCAGCTACTTGGGAGGCTGAGGCAGAGAATTGCTTGAACCTGGGAGGCGGAGGTTGCAGTGAGCCAAGATCGTGCCACTGCACTCCAGACTGGGCAACAGAGCAAGACTCATCTCAAAAAAAAAAAAAAAAAAAAAAAAACACCTAGAACCAGAAATACCATTTGACCCAGCAATACCATTACTGGGTATATATCCAAAGGGATATAAATAATTCTGTTATAAAAATACATGAACGTGTATGTTCATTGCAGCACTATTCAAAATAGCACAGACATGGAATCAACCCAAATGCCCATCAATGATAGACTGGACAAAGAAAATGTACATATATACATGAAATTTTGTGTAGCCATAAAAAGGAATGAGATCATGCCTTTTGCAGGGACATGGATGGAGCTGAAAGCCATCATCCTCAGCAAACCGAACACCACGTTTTCACTCATAGGTGAGAGCTGAACAGTGAGAACACATGGACACAGGGAGGGGAACACACTGGGGCCTGTCAGTAGGAGGTGGAGGTGCTGGAGGAGGGAGAGGATCAGAAAAAAATAGTTAATACATGCTGGGCTTAATACTTAGGTAATGGGTTGATAGGTGTGGCAAACCACCATGGCACAAGTTTACCTATTTAACAAACCTGCACATCCTGCACATGAACCCCAGGACTTAAAAAAAAAAAATGCCCAACCACAACAGTAATCAGAGAACTACAAATCAAGACCACACTGAGATACAATTTCGCACCCATTCAAATTGGCAAAATTTAAAATTTTGGTATCAAGTGATGGAGTCCAACAATGAGTTCCCTTGAAATTGCTGTGGAGAGTGTAAAGAAGTAACTACTTTGGAAAAACAATTTGGTACTATAAAGTTTGAACATATGCATACTTTGGTACCCAGCATTTGACTTGTATTAAAAAGAAACTGTTATACATGTTCACCAAGTGTCATGAACAAGAATGTTCATAGCACTGTTTGTAGTAGCAAAAACTGGGAACAACCTAAATTCCCATCAGTGGGAGATAATGGCTTAATAAAATATGACATATTTACACCATGAAATATAGATCAATGAAAATTAACTGCAGCTATAGGGAACAATAGAAAAGAACAAAATATGTGAAAAAAGCTAATCACAGAAAACTACATACAACATGATATTCTTTTTCAAAGTCTATTACCAAACAAATATAATAAAACTTTGTTAAGTAAGGGAATGTTAAACAAAAGACAGTGGTTATTTGATGGGAAGGCAGAAGAATGAGATCCGGCGAAGTGCATTGTTGGATTAAAGTTATTGGTAGTAGGTGAAGCCTCAAGTTTGGTGATTTCATTGGTCTTCCCTTTTTCAGCTTTCATTCCCAAACTCGTCCTTGTAATCACTCTCTTCCATATATCTCAGCTCCCTGCTCCACTCTTATTTCTTTGTACAACTCTGTTGAAACCTCAAGCCCAACCTCTTTTATTTATTTATTGAGATGGAGTCTCGCTTTTGTCGCCTAGGTTCGAGCGCAGTGGGGTGATCTTGGCTCACTGCAACCTCCGCCTCCCGGGTTCAAGTGATTCTCCTGCCTCAGCCTCCCAAGTAACTGGGATTACAGGCGCCTGCCACTATGCCTAGCCAATTTTTGTATTTTTATTAGAGATGGGGTTTCACCATGTTGACCAGCCTGGTCTTGAACTCCTGACCTCAGGTGCTGTGCCCACCTCAGCCTCCCAAAGTGCTGGGATTACAGGCTTGAGCCACTGTGCCCAGCCCAACCTCTTTTAAATCCATCTTTGCATCCAAACAACCATGCTAACTCTTCTCACTATTTTGAACTAAGTATTTACTAAACTTCCCTGTGTAGTTGCTCTCAAACTTCAGCGCGTATTAGAATCACTCAGAGGACTTGTTAAAACACATGAGCCTCACCCCTAATTTCTGATTTGGTAGATGAGGCCTAAGAATTTACATTTCTGGTACATTTCCAGGAGATGCTGATGCCTCTGGTTAGTCGTAAAACAAGTCTCCATAAATTAAAAGGACTAAAGTTTTTGTTATTGTTGTTGTTTGTTTGTTTTTTGAGACGGAGTCTCACTCTGTTGCCCAGGCTGGAGTGCAGTGGCGCAATCTCGGCTCACTGCAACCTCCGCCTCCCAGGTTCAAGCGATTCTTCTGTCTCAGCCTCCCGAGTAGCTGGGGCTACAGGCGCACGCCACCACACCCGGCTAATTTTTGTATTTTTATTAGAGATTGGGTTTCACCATATTTGCCAGGCTGGTCTCACACTCCCGACCTCAGGTGATCCGCCCACCTTGGCCTCCCAAAGTGTTGGGATTACAGGCATGAGCCACGTGCCTGGCCCCTAAAGTGTTTTTTAAAATCATTTTGATATTCATATCTAAAATTCAAACCGTTTCGTATGTTCATGTGGAAACTGTATACTTATAGTACCTGCCTTTGTTGCTAAATTAATAAAAATGGCAAGAATGTGGATTTCAGCATATTGATTATTAAAAGTCATAAGGAAGCAAGGCTATTCCATATATTCCGTATATTAAGGAAATACCGTATATTTTCCTTAATACCGTATATTAAGGAAAAGTCCATTTCCAGGAAATACATAAGCTTTTTCTTATTACCTATACATATATATAATCTGCTTTATAAATATAGTCACATCTTATGCTTGCTCAAATCAGCAAGACAGTTAAAATTATAGAAATAGTAATCAGGCCGGATGTGGTGGCTCATGCCTGCAATCCCAGCACTTTGGGAGGCCGAGGCAGGCAGATCATTTGAGGTCAGGAGTTGGAGACCAGGCTGGCCAACATGGCAAAACCGCCTTATTTTTAAAAATACAAAAATTAGCCGGGGATGGTGGTGCGCACCTGTTATCCCAGCTACTCAAGAGGCTGAGGCAGGAGAATGGCTTGAACCCGGGAGGCGGAGGTTGAAGTGAGCCGAAATCGCGCCACTGCACTCCAGCCTGGGTGACAGAATGAGACTCGGTCAAATAAATAAATAAATAAATAAACAAATAAATATAGTAATCAGCTCTAAAATAACACCTTGTGATGCTGTTGTCAATACCAATACCAATACCAAAAGAGATCACACAAAAAATATACAGTAACGCTTCCTTAATTCAACATCATTTGGAGTAGTTCACCTTGTGTGAATTTGCATATAACTAAAGTTTTAGTCTTATGCAATAAAACTCATTTAGAAATTAAGTAAAGCAAAAAATTCATATAATTGTAGTTCTTGAAATTCTTTAACTTACCCATAAAATGCAGTCTACTTTGACTTCTTAGTAGAAAGTTTGAAATTTAAAAACTCATTCTCACAATGTGTTACCAACAATAGGCATGCATTTGCCATTATTTCCAACCATAAATTCAATATATTTTTTTGTAACTTTAAGTGGTAGAATCATTTAGCACAGTGAATGTACACACTACAAAAGACATGAAAAAATTGAGAGCAGCTGAGGGACAGTAAACTCAGCTCCCTTGTCATGTTCATTCTGAAAGGTAAGATTTGTTAAGAGATGTTTAGTACGTAAGAGGCTAGACTGGTTGTACCATTTAAATTATTTTTCTTTCTCTCTTGTGTGCATACGCATGACAAGTAGCTGTAGTTGCGTTTGTGTAAATTAAATATCTGCTTGGTATTGTCAAGATTATGTAATTTTTTGGAGTAATCTGCAAAACACCCCTCCTCCCTTTAAGTAATCAGCACTGTGTCTCTCCCAGGTGTGAACATATGTAACCAGAGAGCCAGAAAACCAGGATATCGAGATCACCTTGGCACCAGGCTTTCCTAATGCACTTTTTTCTTTCTTTCTTTCTTTTTTTTTTTTGTTTTGAGATGGAGTCTTACTCTGTCACCCAGGCTAGAGTGCAGTGGCGTGATCTCAGCTTACTGCAACCTCTGCCTCCCAGGCTCAAGTGATTCTCCTGCCTCAGCCTCCCGAGTAGCTGTGATTACAAGCGCCCACAACCACACCCAGCTAATTTTTGTATTTTTAGTAGAGACGGGGGTTTCACCATGTTGGCCAGGCTGGTCTCAAACTCCTTACCTCAAGTGATCCACCCACCTTGGCCTCCCAAAGTGCTGGGATTACAGACATGAGCCTCTGTGCCCGGCCTCCTAATGCACTTCAAGTGTTCCTACTCTTGCTGACTTTTTAGACTTTGCCTATTTTTGCCTTTCTACTAATATCTACTTTACTCATTGCTTCTCATCCCATATTAATCAGGTCACTGAACTGAAGTCACTGCCTGCTTGTAGTATTAATGAATTTTTCACCCTTTAGAAGTAAATATAAATAGTGGCCAGATGCAGTGGGCAGGCCTGTAATCCCAGCACTTTGGCAGGCCAAGGCAGGAGGATTGCTTGAGCTCAGGAGTTTGAGACCAGCCTGGACAACATAGCAAGACCTCGACTCTATTAAAAAATAAGAAATGCTGGGTGTGGTGGCTCACACATATAATCCCAGCACTTTGGGAGGCTGAGGTGGGTGGCTCACCTGAGGTCAGGAGTTCAAGACCAGCCTGGCCAACATAATGAAACCCTGTCTCTACTAAAAATACAAAAATTAGCTGGGCTTGGAGGCATGTGCCTGTAATCCCAGCTACTCGGGAGGCTGAGGCAGAGAATTGCTTGAACCTGGGAGGCGGAGGTTGCAGTGAACCAAGATCGTGCCACTGCACTCCAGCCTGGGCAACAGAGCGAGACTCCTCTGTCTCAAAAAAAAAAAATTAGCTGGGCATGGTGGTGTGCACTTGTAGGCCCAGCTACTCAGAGGCTGAGATGGGAAGATCACTTGAGCCCAGGAGGTCAAGGCTGCAGTAAGCAAGTTTTCACCACTGCGCTCCAGCCTGGGCAACAGAGGGAGACCGTGTCTCAAAAAAAAAAAAAAAAAAAGCAATTAAATACTAATATCTTATAATTAAGTAGTCTCATGTATATCATCTCATTTAATCCTCAAGAGTACTCCTGTGAAATGAGTAGAGTGCAGTTGTCCTGGCTCACATGGCTGCTAAATGGCAGAGCCAAGACCAATCTCTTGCCTGGTGCTCTTTCTGCTACACTGCAAACCTTTTTAAAAATTGACTTTAAATTAGACCAGTCAACTTCCAAAAACATCAGATGAAAATAGATAAAAATTACAACTTTTTTTCAGGAATACTACATCGGTGGTATGGCATACTTCTTATTGCATCACATAAGTAGATATGTAATGTCAAATGTCTGTTATTTAAGTTCAATCACGTGGTTAAGGTGGATCACCAGAACTCTCTTTGTAAAGATATATTTTTCCTTTGTAACTAGTAAGCAATTTGAGATAATACTTGAGATTATTTATTCTATTTCCCAAAAACCTTCCTTTCAGTGGTTTTATCCTTCCAATTATCTTCATCTGAATAAATCATTACATTGGGAGTTGCAAAATAATTTTCTAACTCTAGTATTCCTTCTGTATTGATTAGCAGCCATTCTTAGCTTGTTCTCTCTTAAGCTTTTGCCTTTTCTCCCCTCAGTTTTTCTTTGCTTTTGTGGTTGGTATTGTTGTGTATTACTGTGAATGCATGGATTTTTAAATGTATTATACTTTTTTCTTGGATGCTTAGATGATCCCAAACTTTGACCCCATTGGTCTTTGAGTACCGCCTTGCTTTCTTAAACTACAAGATGTTCCAGGTGCACTTTATACAGTTCCAAGCAAACCTGGAGTTTTGTGAATTCAGTGAAGACTTCTTGGAGGTCTTGGTATTTAGACTGGCACTTGAATAGAACCTTTGTAATTTCCTGAATGATCATGGAGTCTGAAAGCTCCTAAATCCCTTGGAATTTTCTGGGTGATGGGAGCATCTTTTGTCCTAATAAGATGATTCTTGGCAGGCTGCTGAATAGCCTCAGATGAGGGCAGGCTGCCTAGGGAACCAACCATGTGATTTGAGGGGTTAGTCCCACCTCCCCACCAACGTCCAGAGGTGCTGAAAGTTGATACCAACAGCCAGTGATGTAATCCATCTTGCCTCCATAATGAAGCCTCCATAAAATCCCAAAAGGAGAGGCTTCAGAGAGCTTGCAGGCAGCTGAGCATGTGGAGATTCCAGGAGGGAGGTGTGCCTGGAGAGGCCATCAGTGCCCTTCCCACATATTTGATCTATGCATCTATGTGTCTGTTCAACTGTATCTTTTGTAATATCCTTTATAATAAGCTGTTAAATGTGTTTCTGAGTCACATGAGCTGCCCTAGCTCAATAATGGAACCCAAAGAGGGGCTGGTGAGAGCCCCAACTTTTTGCCAAAGATATAGGTGACAACCTACTACTTGCAATTGGTGTCTGAAGTTGGGGGGGAGTTCTTGTGGGAATGAACCCCTAACCTGTGGGATCTGATGCATGTATCTCCAGGTAAACAGTGGCAGAATTGAATTATAGGACACGAAGCTGGTGTCTCCAGGAGAATTGCTAAGTTTGTGTGGGGAAATACCCCCACATTAGCGTCAGAAAAGTTGTTTAGTGGTGTGTGGGTAGAGGGAAAAAGAGGTTTTTTCCTCTCAGAGTTCCTCCTCTTTGACCAAGTGCTAGCTTGAGCCTCCTGAAATGCCAGTTTAAATATTGCCCCAGAAATGCCAGTGAGGATTACGAATAGAAGTTTATGCTTATGAAAGATGCTGGGGCCTCTGTGGCCTAGAGATCAGCTGAATGGGGCTCTTGTAGTGATGCCTTACAATCTTGAGATTCTGATGAAGGGTGTGTGTGTGTGTGTGTGTGTGTGTGTGTGTGTGTGTGTATCTGGGAAGGGAAGAATGAAGAGGTGTTCAGGGGATCAGAAGATCTTTCAATAGCTCCACGAGTGGCAGATGAGATTAAAACTCCAGCAACAGGAAAAGTCAGGGCCACTGACAATTGGAAATATTGGCATGAGGCACAGAGGCCTCTTGGCTGGATTAGGACCATATGGGTAATAGGCTGACCCCCTCAGCTGTTCATCTTGATAATTAAAGTAAATCTTGCACCTGTGAAACAAAATTAGCTCAGAAACCAAACACAACCATTGGTAAAGTACATTTGTTGCTTTGAACACAAATGCTTACTATCAAGAGGCATCTAGTTTAAGCAGCATTTAAGTTTGGAGGAAAGGCTAAACAATTTCTGGCTATTAACTCTTTGTCACCTGGGCTGATTTAAAGGTAATTCAAAAACTCTCAAAAGGTCTCAATAAGCCAGATAGAAGTTTTGCCTTTAAGTATTCTCTTTAGTAACTGAATGGAATTCTATTTGAAGGGTACAACTAAAGTTGGTCCTCAGGCAACCTCCTGTGAGGTGAGCTTCAATGGTATGGTTCAGTGGAAAGAACACCAGATTGAGTGACTGAAACCTCAGTCCGTCTCATCTCTGCTGCTACTAAGAGAACTTGCGCAGATCTTCTCACTTCTCTACACTGCTCTGATATACCAAATGGGGAGATTGGACCACAGCACTGAAGCTAAGATTTCATGAAACGTATAATCAAATCCTTGAACTCTCAGAGTAATAGCAGAGGTTATCAATGAAAGTGGCTTCCAGTGAATGTTTCAAATACCCAAATGGAAGGAACCAAATTCATGAATACTTCAACTGTTTAAAAATGCTAACATGTGGCTAACATGAGCAAGGTGGCTCAAGTCTGTAATCCCAGCACTTTGGGAGGCCAAGGCGGGCGCATCACCTGAGGTCAGGAGTTCGAGACCAGCCCGACCAACATGGTGAAACCCCGTCTCTACCAAAAATACAAAAATTAGCTGGCTGTGGTGGCATGCACCTGTAATCCCAGCTACTCAGGAGGCTGAGGCAGGAGAATGGCTTGAACCTCGGAGGCGGAGGTTGCAGTAAGCCGAGATCGTGCTACTGCCTCCAGCCTGGCTGACAAGAGACTCCGTCTCAAAAAAAAAAAAATGCTAACATGCACAAAGTGGATCCACGTTATCTTCATAGAAACTATGTTGCATAGCTCAGTAATATTACTTACTTGTAAAATGTAGGCCCCAGAAGAAGCTGGCTTCAAGATCTAAGTATGCTCATCTCTCAATAAGGTGGGTGTTCACTTTTATATAGGATTTTTCGCAACTCAAGAGATCAGTCACGTTGAATCACTAATTTACAATGTATTGTTTTCAAAGTATGTCAAATTCTTTTCACTCTAAGTAGGGCCTGGCCATAATTTTCAAAATGTCTACGTATTAGTAATTTTGCCACAATAAGTAAGATTTAGTTGTGAATGAACACTCCACATCTTCAGTGAATTTTAGTAGAAAATCATCCAACTAAAACCTCCATAAAGATGGAACAGTCTTCAAAGAAATAGACAAATAAGGACTAGGGCCTGCTCAGGTGAAGAACGCTTGAGGGGCCTGAGCCCCAAACAGAATTGCTGCGGAGCCCTGCGCTTCTTTGCTGAAAGCGAAAATATTCCAGTAGTCAGATTTAATGACTTCCCAAAAGGGTTATTAACAACGGATCCAATTCCAACCACTTCTACCCCTTTTGAGAACACTCAAGCATGTGAAGCCAGGGATGGAAGGAAAAAACAGGTCACAGTGCTACTAGTTACCCTTCGAATAGACATTTTTCTTTATTTCAGTATCTGGAATTAAGCTGATTTAACCATACGGGTGGCTTACGGAGGATTTATAACTAGCATTTTAATTCCTTTAGTTTCAAGAAATGCCTACAATGCAAGCCTCATTCTCAAAACAAACAAAAAAACAATCCAAACATACCCTCTGACTCCAGATTAATCTTCAAAATCAATTCTCCTGATCCAAACTTTACAAATGTATAGACAGCAAAAAAACAAAACAAAACAAAACAAAAAAGACCATGTTGTTGACACAAGTAGTAAGGGCTAGATTTTTCTTTTCCCTTTATCTGAATTTTTCTAGCTACCTAATAAATGCATCTTTTTAACCAGAAAATCGAACAGACTAAACAAGTCATATTAAATCTTAATCAGTTATGCTGAAAAAAATGTGGGCCAGGCACGGTAGCTCATGCCTGTAATTCCAGTGTTTTGGGAGGCTTAAGTGGGAGGATTACTTGAGGCCAGGAGTTTCAGACCAGCCTGAGCAACATACTGAGACATGTCTCTACAAAAAAAGAAAAAATTAGCTGGGTATGGTGTCCTGAACCTGTAGTTTTAGCTACTTGGGAAGCTGAGGAGGATCAGTTCACCCCGAGTTTGAGGTTACAGTGAGGTATGATCATGCCACTGCACTCCAGCTTGGCTGACAAAGTGAGAATCTTTCTCTTAAAATAAGCACAGCAAGAAGCTGAAATGAAAAAAAAAAAAAAAAAAGTACTGGGAGGCTGAGGCAGGAGAATCACTTGAACCCGAGAGGCAGAGGTTGCAGTGAGCCAAGATCCTGTCACTGCACTCCTGCCTGGGCTACAGAGTGAAACCCCGTCTCAAAAAAAAAAAGAAAAGAAAAGAAAAGAAAAAAGCCACCAAAATACTCGTTATTTCCGGGTGACTTATGTATTTTCCTAATTTTCTGTAATCTGTAGGTACTGACCTTTACTAAGTGCAAAAATAACCTTTGATAACTGCAGTGGTCACTGAATGGGGAACTTTGTGGCTAGTCACTAGAACCTGGGGAACACTAGAAAGCACCCCTGCTCCTTAGTCCGTATGTGGAGATGTGTGATGCTAGAGATCAAAGATGCCGTCCAGAAGGGAGATAGACTGAAGCTTCCTTCTTCCTAGGTCTCACGCTGGGTGGGACAGGTTCTCCCTGACTGGATTATTTTTCCGGTGTTCTCCCCTAGCTCTGAGCAATACTGGGTGAGTGTCCTATGTTTTGTTCAAGGGAAAAATACCACTTGTCTTCATGGTGCCAATACTTATCCCTGCTCCATGGTCAGCAGAATGGCAGTGGAGGTCTGCTCTTGGGAAAGTCCCTCTATGAACCAGTCTGACCCTGCCCACCAGGCCACAACAGGAGATTGTCTTTCTAGTCTAGTGCTAACCTCTTTTCAGATGTTTCAGAACTGTGACACCTGTTTCCAGAGCAGTGAACAGTGGTGATGTCTAGTATGAATTCAAGTCCCCTGTAAAAACTACCTGATCAAAGAGCAAAATGTTGCTGGTCTTCTCTTATAGTGAGTAGAAGTCAAATGACCCTAAATCATTGTTCCTTAAAGAGTCATAGGCAAAACATCTAACACATCACAATCACGTAAAGGATGCTAGTTAAAAACAACTACTGGACAATCCCAGGCCCAGTAATCTTCATTTAAAGTGCTCTTTAGGCCAGATGGGGGCTCACGCCTCTAATCCCAGCACTGTGGGAGGCCAAGGCAGGTGGATCACTTGAGGTCAGGAGTTCTAAACCAGCCTGGCCAACATGGCGAAACCCTGTCTCTACTAAAAATACAAAAAAAATTAGCTGGGCCTAGTAGTGGGCACCTGTAATCCTAGCTACTCAGGAGGCTGAGGCAGGAGAATCGCTTGAACCCTGGAGGTGGGGCAGAGGTTGCAGTGAGCTGAGATTGTGCCACTGGACTCCAGCCTAGGCAACAGAGCAAGACTCTGTATCAAAAAATAATAGATAATAAATAAATGAAATGCTCTTTAGTCTATGAGTACACCAGTAAGCCTAACAAAGAAGAAAAAAGAACCAGGGATATGCAGATTCTATAACATAAGATTTTAACACCCAAAAATTAAAATCTGTTGTTCTACTGCTGCTTTTATCAGCATCATATTCTCTGCTCAATAAGCTCACTAAGAAAATCACATACTTAGAACATTTTAATGTCTCTCAAGCTGGTGCCTTTCAAGGCCCAAGCTCATCACTTCTTGTTTAATAATATACATAATAAATCTCACATACACATCCTTTCAAACTGGAAACTATGATGTTGATGTTAACAATGGTTCTCAAAAGCTTTTGCTCTTTCCATAAATTTATTAAAATAAAAAACTATGTATATATAAGTAATGGAAATAAAGTCTATCAGCTTTATTAGCTGCAATGATTTGCATTATTTGTAATTATGTATCATAAGTTACATGTAACATATAACAAAAACTTGAGTTTTGAAAAATGTTTTATTCAAGAATTACATAATTTCAAATATCTTCCAAAATACAGTTTCCTAGATTGCTACAAAAGAAATTTGATAAGAAATTTAAATCATTAAATATGTTTCACTAGTATATACATACAGAATGCCAAGCAATAGTATTCAGCCCTGGAATGCGTACCATGTCTTTTGTTTTTCCTCATGAAAGGCTCAACCCAGCATTTTGTATAGGCTATGTACAACAGGCAAAGTTTTGTATTCAAGAATTTGACGTTAGCTGCCTCAATTTATAGCTGTGGTAGTTTGTCCACTGGGGTGTCAAATTTGAAGTCTGTAGGAAACAGATCTGGGGCTCGAGGATAGATCAGTCTATAGGACTGTCTGATTGTAACATCAGCAACACCAGCAATATCTCCAATTTCTAAAAGACAAAAATCGAAACATTAACCATCATTTCCATCCTACCTCCTTTCCACTACCTGCATTGTAATTTGTGAGATATGATAGTATAAAGTGCCAAACTTAAAAACAAAACCAGAAGTGATTTCTAAAAACTGATAATAGAAATACATACTAAAAGGTAGAAAGCGGGAGCTAGGCCGGGCGCAGTGGCTCATGCCTGTAATCCCAGCACTTTGGGAGGCCGAGGCGGGTGGATCACCAGGTCAGGAGATCGAGACCATCCTGGCCAACATGGTGAAACCCCATCTCTACTAAAAATACAAAAAATTAGCCAGGCGTGGTGGCATGCGCCTGTAGTCCCAGCTACTCAGGAGGCTGAGGCAGGAGAATCGCTTGAACCCAGGAGGAGGAGGTTGCAGTGAGCCGAGATCGCACCACTGCACTCCAGCCTGGCGAGAGAGCAAGATTCCATCTCTAAATAAATTAATAAATGATGTTTAAAAATCCATTTTAATAAAGCATTCATAATACTTAACCAAATACTGTCTCAAAAAAAAAGTGGGAGCTAAAGTCAGTAACAAGCAACAATAAAAATGATTACTAGTACTTACTACCTTACAGGGTTGTCAATGTTTTAAAGGGTTTAACTAACATAAAATATATGAATAGTGTTCAGGTCTTAGTATTAGGAGTGTTATCATCTTATACTGGGTATTGTATTTACAACTGACTCCTCCTTTTTCTTTATAAATCTTTCTGAGGATCACAAAAGTACTCCACAAATATGTTCTTGTAAAGAAATTCACTTTATATTTCTGTGTTTGAAAGCTCCCATGCAAAATCTCCCCTAGCTAACTTCTGTTAAGGGGTCCTTATTAAAAACAAAATGTGATACTATAAATATTGTTCTACAATCTTTTTTTCTACTTAATACATCAGAGATCAAACAGCTACTTATTATAGCATACGGAGATGTTTTTCACTGATACAAGCACATACTTAAATATTTTGAGCTCAAACGAACATTGTACAGAATCCTAACAGATCCACTTTTACCCTTTAAAGTCGCTGTCCCTTTTTTCCTTTCAAAGTCATTAAAAGAAATACTAAAGGACTGCCACTACAATGTTTGGTTAAGTATTATGAATGCTTTATTAAAATGGATTTTTAAGCATCATTTATTTATTTATTTAGAGATGGAATCTTGCTCTGTCACCCAGGCTGGAGTGCAATGGCAAGATCTCGGCTCACTACAACCTCTGCCTCCCCGGTTCAAGCAATTCTCCTGCCTCAGCCTCCTGAGTAGCTGAGGCACCTGCCACCATGCCCAGCTAATTTTTGTATTTTTAGCAGAGGCAGGGTTTCACCATGCTGCCCAGGCTGGTCTCAAACTCCTCACCTAAGGTGATCCACCTGCCTCAGCCTCCCAAAATGCTGGGATTACAGTCATGAGCCACCACGCCTGGCCTAAACACCTTTTAATACAAATTCATTTTACTACCTTTTCAGTTGATTCAAATCAGTGAGGTTTTAGTGATTTTCACTGTGAATGCCTGCCATCATTGTACAATTAGCTAATTTTAAATTTCCGTATCTCACACTGCATTACATTATTCTACATCTAAATACCAATAAATGCCAACTATTTGAATGTCAACTGCCTGCTGTGCAGGGAAGAGAAAGACCTTACATTTGAAGAAGACTTTACATATAAAGCCAAAAAGCAGAAAGCAACAAGATTAATGTTTTCATGTTGTTCATTAGAATAAACTTTACAACTAGGAATGTACCTCAAGGACAAACTGCCTAGCTGCAACTTCTCAATTTTACTAAAAGACTCAAAATTTCCTTAAAACGTGAGTGAAGGCCAAAGGGAATGGATAATGGCTCCTTCAAATAACTAATGATTGGCTTTCTTTCTCTAATTATTCCTATCATTTATTACTTTTTTCAACATATAGCCTAAGCTGAAGGCTGTTGTGAATAAAGTATTACAAAGTTATTGAGGCCAGTAATTCACTTTCTGTTTTTGTTTTTTTTTTTTTTTTTTGAGACAGTCCTGTCTCCCAGACTGGAGTACAGTGGTGCAATCTAGGCTCACCGCAACCTCTGCCTCCCAAGTTCAAGAGATTCTTGTCTCTTAGCCTCCCGAGTAGCTGGGACTACAGGTGTGCACCACCATGCTGGGCTGATTTTTGTATTTTTAGTAGAGATGGGGTTTTGCCATGTTGGCCAGGCTGGTCTTGAACTGCTGGCCTCAAGCAATCCACTCACCTTGGCCTCCCAAAGTGCTGGGATTACACAGGTGAGCCACCGCGACCTGCCACCAACTTTTCTTTTTTTTGAAAAAGAGCCTCACTCCATCAACCCAGGCTGGAGGGCAGTGGCATGATCTCAGCTCACTACAACCTCTGCCTCCTAGGTTCAAGTGATTCTCCTACTTCAGCCTCCCTACTAAATGGGATTCAGATATGTGCCACCACACCCGACTAATTTTTTTGTGTTTTTAGTAGAGACAGGGTTTTGCCATGTTGGCCAGGAGGCTGGTCACCGCACCTAGTTTATGAATTTCTTTACATGCATTTGTTCATGAATAACTTCTGTAATCCTCAAAGACTTAGAAAGGAGTAGTCACTTCTAACTTTAAAAGGGAGTTAGTGGGCCATGTGTGGTGGCTTGTGCCTATAATCCCAGCACACTGGGAGGTGGAGGCAGGCGAATCACATGAGGCCAGGAGTTCGAGACAAGCCTGCCCAACATGGTGAAACCCCATCTCTACTAAAAATACAAATATTAGCTGGGCGTGGTGGCACGTGGCTGTAGTCCCAGTTACTCAGGAAGCTGAGGCATGAGAATAGCTTGTCCGGGAGGTGGAGGTTGCAGTAAGCTGAGATTGTGCCACTGTACCTCCAGCCTGCGCAACAGAGGGAGACTGTTTCAAAAACAAAAAAAAAAAAAAAAAACAAAAAAAAAAAAGGAAAAGAAATTCACTTAATACTTCTGGTGAAAGTTTTCCTACAACACTAAATTTAAACATAGCTTTAGAAGGCTGAATTACTTACATCTACTTATTTCAGAATTTGTATTAAGAAACTGTAAAATACTGTGCAAAATGGGAAAAAACCAACCTTCACAGAATGTTAAAGGCTGATGGCCAACACGTATTTTACAGTGTGTCTATCTGTAGAATCCCATGCCAAGCAGTGAGAAACAAAGCATGGCCTCCCTGACCCCTAAGATTTAAAAAGGTAAGTTTGGAAAGGAAAAGAGTATTCAAAATGATCAGGAGGAATATATTCAGGGAGAAAAAAGAACTTGTAAGAATAAAAGATGTACAAACTAAAATAATTCAAATGGGAAAAAAATTAGGTTTGTTCACAGGGTTATGTCTCTGAACATTTTTTTTATGAGCTGCTTAAAAAGCAAAACATATTTTCTTAACATTTTGACGTTGAGGAATGATGTCTTAAACGTGGGTTTTTTTTTTTTTTTGAGATGGAGTCTTGCTCTGTTGCCCAGGCTGGAGTGCAATGGCACAATCTCAGCTTGCTGTAACCTCCACCTCCCAGGTTCAAGCAATTCTCCTGCCTCAGCCTCCTGAATAGCTGGGATTACAAGCCCCACCACCACACCCAGCTAATTTTTGTATTTTTAGTAGAGATGGGGTTTCACCATGTTGATCAGGCTGGTCTCGAACTCCTGACCTTAGGTGATCCTCCCGCCTCGGCCTTCCAAAGTGCTGAGATTATAGGTGTGAGCCCCCGCGCCTGGTCAAATGTGGGTTTCTTGCTATTTACCCGGTTCAGACTTAAAATGGAAAAACAATCACATGCTGCAAATTTCAGTTTACTGCCACACTTCCTGATGACGAACCCTACCTTTTTGGGTCCTCTTTTCAGCTGATGCCTGTGAGGCCATGTAAATAGCTGCCGCTGCCACAGAGATGGGGCTCCTCCCAGGAACCAAGTCCAGTTCCACAGCTTTACGGGCTATATGTGTAGCTGCCATCTGTACTTGTTTAGGAAGACAAAGGTTGGAACAGAACCTGGACATGAAGTCCCCAGTTGTAATCAAATCCACACTGGTTTCTAGCGCTTTCAAAATAAGTTTAAAACACCGACCAATTTCTTTCTTAGAAATTCGTGATACGGCACATATTTCTAAAAGAAAAAAAATTAAATAAATCAATTCACTTAAGCCATATAGTTCATCTTAAAATCTACCATTTCTAATTATAAACATAATATACATTCTAATTGTAAAACATTCAATCATACCTTAAAGATGAAACCCTAATCATCTCAGTGATACTTCCCACAGAGTTAACTGCAAATTTCTCAGTTAACTTTAATGTTCATCACACCTTTTTTTTTGAGATGAAGTCTCACTCTGTCGCCCAGACTAAGGGTAGTGGCATGATCTCAGCTCACTGCAACCTCCACCTCCTAGGCTCAAGTGATTCTCCTGCCTCAGCCTCCCGAGTAGCTGGGACTACAGGCGTGCACCACCACACCTGGCTAACTTTTGTATTTTTAGTAGAGATGGGGTTTCACCATGTTGGCCAGGCCTGTCTAGAACTCCTGACCTCAGGTGATCCTCCTACCTCGGCCTCCCAAAGTGCTGAGATTACAGGCATGAGCCACTGCGCCTGGCCTAATGTTCTTCACTCTTTCAATTTAGAGTTTTTTTGTTTTTTGAGATGAAATTTCACTCTGTCGTCCAGACTGGAGTGCAGTGACACCATCTTGGCTCACTGCAACCTCTGCCCCCTGGGTTCAAGCGATTCTCCTGCCACCCGAGTAGTTGGGATTACAGGCGCCTGCCACCACACCCGGCTAATTTTTTGTATTTTTAGTAGAGATGGGGTTTCACCATCTTGGCCAGGCTGGTCTTGAACTCCTGACCTCGTGATCTACCTGCCTCGGCCTCACAAAGTGCTGAGATTACCGGTGTGAGCCATCGTGCCTGGCTAAATTTAGGTCTTAATCTTTCAAAATATTAACTGCTCTAAGGATTAATTCATACAACTAAATTTCTTTAAATGAAAAATTCTTTGATGTTTATGTATTAATCTGTTGTAAGCAGTGTTACCAAGGAATTGAAAGAAAATACTCAAGCTAAAGGATGCCTCTTAGGCAACACAATGTCATGTGTGCATGAAATCCCTGCGATTATGGGCTGTAGCTCAATGAGATAAAATATCTGACCCTGCTATTCCCAGATGCAACCACCACACACTTTCAGAAGAAATTTAACAAAAGTTGTTTTAGTTATAAAAACAACAAAAAAGATGATGATAAAGGCCATCACCTCTTCACTTTTACGTAAGAAAACATAAAAAATAAATACTCACTGGATGAATAAAGGGTTAAGTATAGTCTTCAGCTAAACTGAGCTTTGGTAGTGGAAGTCAGTGAGCAACACTGAACAAATTATCACATATTCACATGTAACTGCAAACTAAATGAAAAATACCAGTTCTTAACTGAAGTGTAAAAGTGCAAACAATACACCTCAAGAGAAAAAACTTAACTGATAACTTTTTTTTTTTTTTTTTTGAGATGAAGTCTCACTCTGTCGCCCAGGCTGGAGTGTAGTGGCGTGATCTCGGCTCACTGCAACCTCTGCCTCCCGGTTTCAAGCGATTCTTCTGCCTCAGCCTCCTGAGTAGCTGGGACTACAGGCGCGCACCACCACGCCTGGCTAATTTTTGTATTTTTAGTAGAGACGGGGTTTCACCATATTGGCCAGGCTGGTCTTGAACTCCTGGCCTCATGACCCAACCACCTCGGCCTCCCAAAGTTCTGGGATTACAGGTGTGAGACACCATACCTGGCCTTCACTGATACTTTCTAAAGCTTGACTCCCTCATCTACAGAGACCAGTGCTAGAAATGGAAACTGTTTCCATGTAAACCAAATGTATAAACGGCCTACTTTGGTTTACGATTATAGGCCTTCTGAAAGCCCACAAAGCAACAGTCCATCAAAAGATCTCACTAGAAAAGAACATAGTGGGCTTACGTGGACTAAAATGAGTCTACATGGGAAAACAGCCTAAAAGAACATGCTATGAATTTGCTGTCAAGGAATGAAATAAGTAGGCATTGGCAAATGATGCTCAAGTGGATTACTGTAGTCACAATAAAGATGACTTAGCTTCTAAGTGTCAAAGCTGCCTGACATTGGTCTGTTTCTTTAATATGATGTAGAAAATGTTATTTTAGGATGGGCACAGTGCCTCACGCCTGTTAATTCTAGCACTTTGGGAGGCCAAAGTGGGCAGATCACCTGAGGTCAGAAGTTTGAGACCAGCCTGGCCAACATGGCGAAACCCTGTCTCTACTAAAAATACAAAAGTTAACCAGGTGTGGTGGCACATGCCTGTAATCCCAGCTACTCAGGAGGCTGAGGCAGGAGTATAGCTTGAACCTGGGAGGCAGAGGTTGCAGTGAGTCAAGATTGCGCCACTGCACTCTGGCCTGGGCGACAAAGTGAGACCCTATCTCAAACAAACAAACAAACAAACACAAAAAAACAAAGCTAAAAACTTACCTTTAAATGTCCTAGGAACCCCTTCTTGTCTACAGGCAATATAGAGACAAGCAGAAGCTATAGCATCATTAGCTCTTCCCTTCAGGCTCTTCTGTTCATATACTTGCTTGAATAAATTATTTGTTCGATCCTTCAAAGCAGAGAAACTAAGTTTAACTCTACGTCATTTAATTAGCTGCAATATCAAAATTTCATGTGTTCATTAAATTATGCAAAGTCAATGCCAGAATGGCTTAAAGGAGGTAGACAAGAACTTACAACTATATTTCGAGGTAGATTGATTCTGTCTGCCATGGTAGTGATTTCTTTGAATGCATTCATCATTGCCCGATCAGAACTGCTCATTGTTCTCCGATTCTGGTACTTAGAATTGCCAAATTCGTCAAAACTTGCAGCTCCTGTGCCCTATAAAACAGTTTTATAACTATGAAAAAATTTTTTGGAAAGCATGAAAAATGGACAATTTCTATGAAAATATAGCTTACAAGATCTGATTCTACATAGACCAGAAATCTGAATTGTGCATCCTGCTCATCTATACTAAATGAACATGTAATTCTAACAACTGTTCAAGAACATAGAAAATAGGAAGCTTAAAGTGTATAAATAGAAATATGATACAAACACCTGACAAAACAATGGAAAAAGAAACAGTCTAATTTCACTTAGAAATATGATAAAAAATATTAAATACTAGAAAACAGAATCCAACAGCATATTAAAAGGTAGTATATCATGACCAACTAGAGATTGTTCCACAAGATATTAGAGAATCAAATAATGTAAAACATTATATTAATAGATGTAAGAAGAAAAATCATGATCATCTCCAAAGACGCTAAAAAGGCAAATGAACAAAATCAAAATTCGTCTTTGATAAAAACTCATAGGACGCTACAAATGAGTACTTCTTTACATTAGAAAACCACTCTCCTCTGCCCAAAGAAAGTACTATGATTAATGGAGAAACATTACCAGCATTATCACCAAAATCACAAGACAAAGGTACCTCCTACTGCTACCATTTTGTAACACTGATTGGAAAAACTAGCCAATAGTATTAAGCAAGAGAAAAACCGGAAGTACAAAATTGGAAAGGATGTGATAAACTATTTGCAGATAGTACCTTTATACACCTGGAATATGCAAGAAAATCACTAAAAAACAGCTGCTATAAATAATTCATTAAAGCAGCAAGGTCAAGATAAATAGAAATCAATACCCTTCATAAGTACAATCAACCAACTTAAAAGACAAGGAAAGCAAATTTTTCAATTAAAACAACAACAAAAATCTTGAAATAAACTTGAGAAACATGTGAGACGTTCATGAAGAAAACTTTCAAACATCTCCTGAAGGACACATAAGATACCTAAGGAAATGGAAAGGCATTATGAATTTTTGAATACAAGATTTATTATGAAGAAGCCAATTTTCCCTGTGTCAATTTGCAAATGAATCTGACCAAAACCCCAGTGAGAATATTAAATATTAAAAAACAGGCCAGGCGCAGTGGCCCATGCCTGTAATCCTGGCACTTTAGGAGGCTGAGGCAGGCGGATCACCTGAGGTCGGGAGTGTGAGACCAGCCTGATGATCACGGAGAAACCCTACCTCTACTAAAAGTACAAAATTAGCCAGGCGTGGTGGCACATGCCTGCAATCCCAGCTGCTTGGGAGGCTGAGGCGGGAGAATCGCTTGAACCTGGGAGGCGGAGGTTGCAGTGAGCAGAGATCGTGCCATTGCACTCCAGCCTGGGTGACAAGCGCGAAACTCTGTCTCAAACAAAACAAAACAAAACAGGCCGAGTGTGATGGCACACGCCTGTGGTCTCAGCTACTCAGGAGGCTGAGGCAGGAGGGTTACCTAAGCCTGGGAGTTTGAGGCTGCAGTTAGCTATGATTACATCACTTCACTCTAGACTGGGTGACAGAAAGAGACCCTGTCTCAAAAGAAGAAAACCAAAAAACCCCACAGGAAACAGAATCCAACAGGGTATTAAAAGGCAGTAATATCAACCAAGTGGAGACTGTTCCACAAATATATTAAAGAATCTAATAACATAAAACATCATATTAATAGAGCTGAAGAGGAAAATCATTTAATCAACTCCAAAGGTACAAAAAATGCAAGTGAACAAACCTAAATTTTTTTAAAAAATGAAACAAACTTAACCTTTAAATGGAAAAGACTAGCGAAGAAAATGCTGAAAAAGAGCAATGAGGGAAAACTAGTGCTACTAAATACTAAAACAGTGTTGTATGGCATTTGACTAACTGGACCAGGACAGGAAAAGATAGAAAGTTGAGAAATATGCCCAAGTACACATAGAAATTTATTATGTGATAAATCTAGCAGCTTAAAAATATTTCTATCTTGCCCAGGGATGGTGGATCACACCTGTAATTCCAGCACCTTGGGAGGCCGAGGTGGGTGGATCACTTGAGCCCAAGAATTGGGACAAGCCTGGGCAACATGGCGAAACTTTGTCTCTACAAAAAATACAAAAATTAGCCATGTGTCGTGGCCCACACCTGTGGTCCCAGTTACTTGGGAGGCTGAAGTGGAAGGATCGCTTCAGCCTGGGAGGTGGAGGTTGCAGTGAGACGAGATCAAGCTACTGCTGCACTCCCACCTTAGCGACAGTGTTAGAACGTCTCAAAAACAAAACAGACTATACAGGGTTCGGCATGGTAAACTCATGCCTGTAATCCCAGCACTTTGGGTGCCTGAGGCGGGAGGACTGCTGAAGACCAGGAGTTCAAGACCTGCCTGGACAAGAGTGTCACTCTGTTGCCCAGGCTGGAGTGCAGTCGCGCGATCTCAGCTCACTGCAACCTCCGCCTCCCGGGTTCAAGCAATTATTTGCCTCAGGCTCCTGAGTAGCTGGGATTACAGGTGCCCACCATCATATCATGCCCAGCTACTTTTTGTATTTTTAGTAGAGACGGGGTTTCGCCATCTTGGCCAGGCTGGTCTTGAACTCCTGATCTCCACCCACCTCGGCCTCCCAAAGTGCTGGGATTACAGGCATGAGCCACTGTGCCCAGCCAGACAGATTTTAAACAAGACTTTTTTGGAAAAAAAAAAAAAAGAGACTATGCAATAGTATACATGAAGTTATAAAATGGTGTATACTTCCTTGATTAGCCCTCAGTAATACCGTCACTATTACTTCCAACTCGGATAACAGAGTGAGAATCAGGCTGCCAAGAAAACTATACTATTGCCTTACACAATGATAGCAGCTACCACTGACTGAGCACACAGTATACAATACATGTTATATAAATACTTTACATACATTCTCATGAAACCCTCAAAAACTCTATAAGTACTCTTATTCTCATTTTACAGATAAGGAATGTAAAGTTAGGTAAGTCATAAATTCACTAATATCAGAAAAGAGGTTACACTAACCTCCCATTTATCTTAAGTGGTATAGAGAGAAAAGAGAAGACATTCTTTTCTTTTTTTTTGAGACAGAGTCTCACTCTGTTGCCCAGGCTGGAGTTCAGTGGCGCGATCTTGGCTCACTGCAACCTCCGCCTCCTGGGTTCAAGCAATTCTTCTGCCTCAGCCTCGCGAGTAAGCTGGGACTACAGGTGCCCGCCACCAAGCCTGGCTAATTTTTCTATTTTCCTTTTTTTTTGTAGTAGAGATGGGGTTTCACCATATTTGCCAGGCTGGTCCCGAACTCCTGACCTTGTGATCCGCCTGCCTTGGCCTCCCAAAGTGCTGGGATCACAGGTGTGAGCCATGATGCCCAGCTGAGAAGACATTCTTGATATTCAAAGAACATATCAATATTAACTCATGAAGGCCACACTACACTCATTTTTTGTGTGTACAGAAAATGTCATTTATGAAAAAAGGCCTGATATAAAGGCTTTATAATTTTGATTTAATGGTCTTCCCCACTTTAAGATGGAATACACACACAAGTTAGCCATCATTCACAATGATATTACTGGCAAATCTTATTAGACAGGTCAAGATTCCCCACTGGTGCAGTGACTGATACTTTTGCAAAGTTCCCAAACTCTCAGGTCTATGGTCACTCTGCAATTGGTATTTCCTGCCAAATGGACTTATTACCTTGCCAATCATGGTAGACAAATCTCCATCACTCAGAAGAGGATTCTGAGAATCTCCAACTCGAGATGGATCTTTTGTTGCTTTGTCATTGCTGAAAGTTCGCCATTCAGATCCCACATCAATAACCCGGTCACCTAAGAATATAAGCACATATCTGAATCATTTTGTCAAGATAGGGTTTACTTAACTACACTGTCCAATGCCCAACTAAGCCATTTTATTCCCAGGAAATCTCAACATGGACATCTAGGACCAAGCTTAAATATCACATTTCAGACATTTGTCCTAAAGCATTCCTTTAACTATTGTGCCAATCTAACAATAATCCTCTTGAAACATTATGCTATGATATTCTAACTCTTGGAAGAAAAAGTATTAGTCAAAAGTAGCAAAGTACAGCTATTCATATGTGATGCAAAGGTAAACCAATGTAATAATGATTAAGAACCAGATTTTGCACAAAATTTGCAATAGGCATGGGAAAAAAAGAGAAAACATTTTTTAGAATGGTATTAATGCAAATAATTTCATATTAAAATGTCACTAAGTTTGCGTGGGAAATGCTTCGCAGAAAATAAGCCTAAGCTTCTGTTTCAAAGTAACAATCTGATGAAAAACATACCTGGCCAAATAATTTATACAGAATAAACCTCAAGCCTAGAATCCGTGAGAAGAAAGCCTGGTAGGCAAACTTTTCTCTTTAAGCAAAGAGGCAGCATCTAAATATATCATGTCCAATAAAAGCAGACACAAGTAAACCTTATTATTACTGTTTTGGTGAGAAAGCTCAATGTCTGGCAATACCTTCAGAGTAGACAAAAGTTAACACTGAATACTTAACACATACTACTCACTGTGCCCTTTTGTAAATGTTCTCACTTAATCTTCACAGCCTTATAAAGGTAGGTACCAATTTTATTGCCACTTTACAAATAAGATTAACTAGCCTAAGATCACATAGCTAGAACTGAAACGCACATCAGAGTTTGTTCTACACTCCAATTGTAAAACATGACCTTTTTCAGTGAAGTGTGATGAAGCTGAAAGTAGGAAGGAACCAGACCATTTCATCTTTGTGTATACACAGCAAACAGAAAGAAACAAACGGCAGAAACCAGTTACTGTAGCAATTAGAAGTTACGGTACTAGCAGTCAATTAATATAATAGTCAGGGGTGTGAACTCTGCCCTTTGCTGCTTAGCCTTGGAATATTACTTCATTTCTATGTCTTTATTACCTCAGCTCTAAAATTCTCTTTAACCTCATATTTTAAAGATTATAAAGACTAAGCTATTATAATACCCATGTACAGTGCATGTAAAGTGCTTAAAAAGTAGTACTAAGTGCTCAATATTCACTATTTACTGCTATGAAAATTAGAAAGATAGCAAATATTCTGAGTTTCTCCTTTTTTGTGGGGATGATAAGGGAGACGCATCAGTTTAAAACATTAATCTCCAGCCGGGTGTGGTGGCTCAGGCCTGTAATCCCAGCACTTTGGGAGGCCGAGGCAGGCGGATCACCTGAGGTCAGGAGTTTGAGACCAGCCTGACCAAGATGGAGAAACCCCGTCTCTACTAAAAATACAAAATTAGTTGGTCATGGTGGCACATGCCTGTAATCCCAGCACTTTGCGAGGTCCAGGCGGGCTGTCACCTGGTTGGGAATTTGAGATCAGCCTGACCAACATGGAGAAACCCTGTCTCTACTAAAAATACAAAATAGCTGGGCGTGGTGGCACATGCCTGTAATCCCAGCTACTCAGGAGGCTAAGGCAGGAGAACTGCTTGAACCTGGGAGGTGGAGGCTGTGGTGAACTGAGATCGCAACAAGAGGGTAACAAGAGTGAAACTCCATCTCAAAAAAAAAACAAAACAAAACAAACAAACAAACAAAAATTAATCTCCATAGAAGACTTTAAAAGCTTCCAAGTGCTCCGCTAAGTATTTGATCAGGAGGACAGCAAAGAACAGAGAAAACGGAAGGAATTCCACCTAGACTATGCTAACTTTTTAATTTTTTATATAAAAATTAATTTAAATGCTCATAAACAACCAGAGTATAGTGATCATATAATCTTAGTGATAGATTTAAAAAAAGGCTGGGCATGGTGGTTCACACCTGTAATCTTAGCACTTTGGGAGGCTTAAGCAGGAAAATCACATGAGCCCAGGAGTTCAAGACCAGCCTGGGCAACATGGTGAAACCCTGTCTCTACAAAAAAATACAAAAACAAATTAGCTGGGCGTGGTGGCATGTGCCTGTAGGGAGGCTGAGGTGGGAGGATCACCTGAGCCCAGGAGGTTGAGGCTGCAGGGAGCCATGATTACACCACTGCACTCCAGCCTAGGTGAGGGAGACCCTGTCTAAAGTAAGCAAATGCTCAAGAGAATGATTCATTTCTGAAGCCTCTGACAAAATTTTTCTTTTTTCTTTTCCTTTTTTTCAGACAGGGTCTCACTCTGTTGCCCAGGTTTGAGTACAGTGGTGCAATTTTGGCTCACTGCAGCTTTTGCCTCTGGGGCTCAAGCAATACTTCCACCTTAGCCTCCTGAGCAGCTACAGATATGCACCACCACTGCCTGCCTGGCTAATTTTTGTATTTCTTGTAGAGATGGGGTTTTGCCATGTTGCCCAGGCTAGTCGTGAACCCCTAGGCTCAAGTGATCCACTCACCTCGGCCTCCCCAAGTGCTGGGATTACAGGGGTGGGCCACCATGCACAACAGAAAAACTTTTCTTTAAACAACTGAATCACCAAGGTAAAAGCGGATTATCAGTTGGACTACCATGTGTCCACATTACAAAGGGATTGAGATTAGAGGCAGAGTTCCCATGTGCCATCCCTGTATGCAAGGAGAACACGCAAGGAAGGCAGAAGCAGGACAGTAAGTTAGAAGGCAATTTTAATACATCACACATTGAGCAGGTGGCCCGAAACAAGGAGAAAAGCGTTAGATGGATGGCATTACAAGGATTTATCTGTTTCCTCTTCCTCATAATAAACATCACTAAACTTAGGAAGCAGTTTGAATTATGCAGATTTTAAAAAGATACTTAAAAGTATCATAAATTGTCATTGTGCACTGAAACCTTACCAAACCACTGTGCAGTGAGTACTATTCACCAACAAGCCCATGTCTCAAAGAGATCACACTAAAGAGATCAATTTTTCTTCCTTTTTACAAAATATTTGCTCACTAAAAGATACGTTAGAAAAAAATTACCTGCATTCCCAATACCCAATGACCACTATATTTTCATATATGCTCTGTGTTTTTCGTTCATATGTATGCACCTACGTTTTCCTAAAATTTAGATACTGTGCCTGTTTCATGACAAGCTCTTTTCATTAAATTTATCATAAACACCAGCATGGTATTTTTAGACAGAATTTAGTCCCTTTAATAGCATCCACCAATTAAAGTGATACCATGGTGTTCCCATGCACTTATGTCCAAAGACAGAAAAGACAATCTAACTTTCCTATTTGGCAAAATAAAAACACAAACATGCATAGAACAAAAATAACCGTGGCCTTCAAACCCAGAGTTACTAAATTTTAAGCTAAAAAAAATCAACAAATGTCATCAATAACTTGCAATATTTTTATTAACATACATGAATGTATCAAGAGAATGGCATAAATGAAAAGGCAGGAAGGTATGCCCACATCTTTTAAGTCTCTCTAGAAATCTAAAGATAAACCATTAGTTAGCTAAGATGCTTCATTTCATAGCATTTTCTGAAATACCTTACCATGAGATTCATTTGCTGCCTGCTTTATACTGTTTTTATAAAGACAAGATGGATTTTTTATTTTTTTTAAATGGATTATTTTAAGGTAGTATAGTATAAATAGAAAGCGCAACACTGGGTGGTGATGTAATTTTTCCACATACGTAGGAATGATCTAAATGACTCGTTCAAGAATCTGTGGTTTGTGCTAAGAACCATTCCCTCTTTTTATATTTAACTACTCAAAAGAGCATTCACAAGGAATGAAGTTTCCAAAACAACTCATTTAGCATACCATGCAACTACAACTAGTCCAGCAGATTAAGTGCATGAGTAACAAGAAACAGGGCAAGTCCATTCAGAAAAAATTAGAACACATAAAGAATTTTCATTTGAAGAAAATCTAAATGGAGTAGTATTTTTAAAAGTTGCTCTGGAAGAAAGCTGCGAGACAAAACTTTTTCAAGGGCTAAGTGGTACAAGGCAGCCATGCCTGGGTATAATCTATAGTCAACTTTTGAAAAGGAAGCAGCCAGCCAATTAGCAAATACACAAAACTTCACATATCCTTTAGTGTTCTAGAAACAGAGACACATATGAATTTCCACTAGTTTCCTTCTTAACCACACACTGTAGTCTATGTGAAGATTTATAGTATCAAAGAAAACTTACACTACTATAATATATATGCACGACTCCTCCCTCCACCTAGAGTGTGACCTTTAACACTTTTAATCAAGTTCCCCATCCAAAAGAGTAAACGCACCCAATATGTGTATTTATGTATTTCACACATTAGCTCTCAATCCATATATTAGAGTGGTGTCTAAAGAGTATTAACTGAAACATCTTACCATATTCTGAAGAGAATACGAATTCCATCTCTATTTTTCAAGAAGAAACCGAGAGTAATTGTCAAAAGTCACTTGCACCAGTTTCAAGTGGTTTAGTCACTTTGGCACCTATCTTACAATCTGGCAATTCCACTCTTAAGTACAGTTGGCCTGCTGTATCTGTGTATTCTTTTTTTTTTTTTGAGACGGAGTCTCGCTCTGTCGCCCAGGCTAGAGTGCAGTGGCTCAATCTCGGCTCACTGCAAGCTCCGCCTCCTGGGTTCATGCCATTCTACTGCCTCAGCCTCCCGAGTAGCTGGGACTACAGGCGCCCACCACAATGCCTGACTAATTTTTTTGTACTTTTTTTAGTGCAGACAGGGTTTCAGCGTGTTAACCAGGATGGTCTCGATCTCCTGACCTCGTGATCCGCCCACCTCTGCCTCCCAAAGTGCTGGGATTACAGGCGTGAGCCACCGCGCCCGGCCTGTATCTGTGTATTCTGCATCCGCGGATTCAACCAACCAGATTGAAAACATTTGGAGAAAAAATACGCCTGTACTGAACATGTACAGACATTTTTTTCTTGCTATTATTCCCTGAGCACAATATAAACAACTATTTACACAGCATTTACACTACGTAAGTAATCTAAAGATGATGATTTAAAGTATATGGGAGGATGTGCATGGGCAAATACTACGTCATATTGTATCAGAGACTAGAGCATCTGCAAATTTTGGTATGCAAGGGAGGTCCTGGAACCAGTCCCCCACAGATACTGAGGGATGGAGTGAGTGTATTTACCCATTAGAAACAACCCATCAACAGAAAAATGTGTACAATGGAATATTCTTCAGTAAATAAACTACTGATATATGCAACAACAAATATATCTCAAAACTTTTTGAAATTTTTTGAAATTATTTCAAGCCAAAAATGTCAGTCACAAAAAAGTTCATACTATATGATTTCATTCACATGAAGTTGAAAAAAACGGGAAAATAATCTATGAGAACAGAAATCAGTTCAGTGGCTATTGCTGGGTGGGAGTGATTGGCAAGTGGCATAAAATGACTTCTTTTTTTTTCCCCCGAGACGGAGTCTCACTCTTTTGCCCAGGCTAGTGTGCAGTGGCACGATTTCAACTCACTGCAACCTCTGCCTCTGAGGTTCAAGTAATTCTCCTGCCTCAGCTTCCAAGTAGCTGGGATTACAGGCGCCTGCCACCACGTCTGACTAATTTTTGTATTTTTAGTAGACGGGGTTTCACCAGGTTTGCCAGGCTCATGTCGAATTCCCGACCTTGTGATCCGTCCGCCTCGGCCTCCCCAAGTGCTGGGATTACAGGCACAAGCCACTGTGCCCAGCCAAAATGACTTTTTTTTTTTTCTTGAGATGGAGTTTCGCCCTGTCACCCAGGCTGGAGTGCAGTGGCACAATCTCGGCTCACTGCAAGCTCCACCTCCCTGGTTCACGCCCTTCTCCTGCCTCAGCCTCCCGAGTAGCTGGGACTACAGGCGCCCACCACCACGCCTGGCTAATTTTTGTATTTTCAGTAGAGACAGGGTTTCACTGTGTTAACCAGGATGGTCTCGATCTCCTGACCTTGTGATCCACCCGCCTTGGCCTCCCAAAGTGCTGGGATTACAGGCGTGAGCCACCGCGCCAGGCTGCCAAAATGACTTCTAAGGTGAGAGAAACGGTCTTTGTATCTTGATTAAGGTGTGGGTTACACCAGTAAGTGCACTGTCAAAATTCAAACTATGTTTTATTGTAAGCAATTACAGCTCAATAAATTAAAAATTAAAAACTCATTCCCACTAATATACTACTGATTTTGAATTAAATGACACCAAACCTATATATTATTTTGGGAATCACAGGACAATTCTTATCTTCTTCAACAAGGGAATACTCTTTCCTCAAGGTCTTCTTTCAGATTTCAAAGTATGATGTATGCCACACTTAAGACTAGACCTAGATTTTTTTATGTTAAAAATCTCATTTTCTAACTACTAATTGCTATATTTTATATGCTTAAATTCAGTCACTTTTAATAGACTATTAATTTTTTAAATTTGACTATTCTAGAGAACCCCATCAGTGGCAAAAAACATATTCCATTTCCAATGCTTAACTTTCATTTATATTTTATATCTAAAGCACTAGTCAAAACTTTCAAAACAGTGCTCTTGATTTTAAACTGAAACATTTCAACATTATGCATACAACTGAAACAGTCTATTAAAGCATTATTCTACTCTAAGTATCTTAAATAGGAGTAAGTGTTGAGTTTATTAAATGTCTGTCTTCCTACCAGACCACTGTGTTTCTTACACAGTCTTTTTTTTTTTTTTTTTTTTTTTGAGATGGAGTCTCGCTCAGTCACCCAGGCTGGAGCGCAATGGTGCAATCTTGGCTCACTGCAACCTCTGCCTCCTAGGTTCAAGCGATTCTCCTGCCTTGGCCTCCTGAGTAGCTGGGACTACAGGCGTGTGCCACCACGCCTGGCTAATTTTTGTATTTTTAGTAGAGACGGGGTTTCATTATGTTGCCCAGGCTGCTCTCGAACTCCTGGCCTCATGTTATCCGCAAACATTGGCCTCCCAAAGTGCTGGGATTACAGGTGTGAGCCACTGCACCCAGCCCATATTGTCTTCTTATGTTGTAAAAAGCTAATCACAGTTGTTTGAGAGCTATTATACTTTAATACTTACATGTTAGGATAAATCAAGTTATACTGGAGTAACAATTTTAAAAGCTCAGTGGCTTAAAATGAAGGTTTATTTCTTATTCACATTACATGTCTATAAAGAGATAACTTTATGGAAGCTTCTTACACCATCCTTATTCAAGGTGACAGGATCTTTATCACCTGAGATATTGCCAGTTACCATGGATGGGGGAAGGGAAATGTGGGAAGTTATACACAGACTTAATAATGGCTTCTGACCAAAAGTGACAGTAACATTTCCACTCACATGCCACTGGCCAAAGTCAGTCAAGTGGTCATGCTTCAAAGGGGAGAAATACAATTACATCATATACCCTCAAGGAGAACCAAAAACGTTAAGGGAATAGTCATTAGTGCTGTTCCAAGTGACAATTAACAAAGATAATTTGGCACTGTATTTTGGAGATTTATGTATAAAGTCGTATAAAAGACTGCTCTTTTTATTTATTATTATTCTTTTTGAGATGGAGTTTCACTCTTGTTGGCCAGGGTGGAATGCAATGGGGTAATCTCAGCTCACGGCAACCTCCGCCTTGCAGGTTCAAGCAATTCTCCTAATTCAGCCTCCCGAGTAGCTGGGATTACAGGCATCCACCACCACGCCCAGCTAATTTTTTGTATTTTTAGTAGAGACAGGGTTTCACCACGTTGGCCAGGCTGGTCTCGAACTCCTGACCTCAGGTAGTCCACCCACCTCAGCCTCCCAAAGTGCTGGGAATACAGGCATGAGCAATTGCGTCCAGCCCAGAAGATTGTTCTATGGCTTCCTTTTTGTACCAAATGACAAACTGAAGAATTAGGGATAATTTCATTGTATTTCAGCAATTGTCACAGAGAAGTAATCTGTCAATATGATTTTAGGTCCTTTGAAAGTAACCTTTTTAGGCCGGGTGCGGTGGCTCACGCCTGTAATCCTAGCACTTTGGGAGGCCAAGGTGGGCGGATCACCTGAGGTCAAGAGTTTGAGACAAGCCTGACCAACATAGTGAAACCCGGTCTCTACTAAAAATACGAAATTAGATGGGCGTGGTGCTGCATGCCTGCAACCCCAGGTACTTGGGAGGCTGAGGAGGAGAACTGCTTGAACCTGGGAGGTGCAGATTGCAGTAAGCCGAGATCATGCCATTGTACTCCAGCCTGGGCAACAAGAGTGAAACTCCATCTCAATAAAAAAAAAAAAAAAAAAAAAAAAAAAGAAAGTAACCTTTTTACTGGTTGGTTGCAAGTCTCTATTAATATAATTTTTTAAATATTAAAAGGATGCAATCCCCAGTGCTATGCACAATTCTTGATTTGTAGCCCTGAGCTCTTCTGCTAGGAATGTAAAGTTTTATTCTCTTTTATCTTATTCACCTGGATCTTCAAGTAGTACCACAATGGGTACCTTGTCTTACTAACTTAACAGATATCTTGTCTTCTTGCACACTGTGGGTGTATCTCAGGTTTGTTCTCTGCTTTACTGATTTAGTTTTTTAGAGTGTTAAGTCTGCTAATTACCACCTAAAAACCAGTTTTATTGTGTTTGTCTCCTTGTGCTGTGTTACTTTTTTCTGACATTTAATAGAAATCTTCCATAATATTTCAATAATAGACCCTTTAGCGCACTGATCACATTGGTTTCTGTAACTTTCTCTGAGTAATTAAACTATATTAGGGGCACAGTTTTCTGCTAAGTCCATAGGATCCCTGTTTCTCTTTATTACAGTTTTATATTCATAAGCCTCATATTGATTTTTAAGTTTATTCATCCTATAATAAAGAATTGTCAATCCAATCCAGATAATCTTCCAACATCACTAACACCAGTACTCTCAGTCTTTATGGGCATTAGCACAGTCCCCAGCAGACTAATAGATGACCCAAACAAGAGAAACTTCCCACAGGATTCCATTAAGTTTTTTTTTTTTTTTTTTTTTTTTTGAGACAGAGTCTCGCTGTGTCGCCCAGGCTGGAGGGCAGTGGCACTATCTCGACTCACTGCAACCTCCACCTCCCAAGTTCAAGTGATTCTCCTTTCTCAGCCTTCTAAGTAGCTGGGATAACAGGCGCGCACCACCACGCCAGGCTAATGCCCAGCTAATTTTTGTATTTTTAGTAGAGACGAGGTTTCAACATGTTGGTCAGGCTGGTCTCAAACTCCTGACCTCGTGATCTGCCTGCCTCGGCCTCCCAAATTGCTGGGATTATGGGTGTGAGCCACCACGCCTGGCCAGGATTCCAGAAGTTTTTAAGGAAGGACATACAGGTAGGGTTGCTATAATTAAATAAAAAATAGTAGTGACTTAAACAAGATAGAAGTTTCTCATGTTAACAGTCCATACTTAACAGTCCTAGGCTAGTATGACCCAAGCTCCTTCTATCTTTTTGATAAGTTATCCTTACTATGGCTTGCATTTTGTAGCACGGGACAGCTGTTGGTAATTTCCTTTATCATGTCTGCATTCTAGCCATCGGGAAGGAAAAAAAGTAAGGATACATCTTTTCTTATGACATAAACTAGAGTTGTACACATCTCTTCTAATACTTACAAACCCACTGGTCAGAACTTAACCACATGGCGTACCTAGCTACAAGGGAAACTGGGAAATAGGGTCTAGGTGAGCAGCCACATACATGCCCATGTAAAACTCAGGGACTCTTACTAATGAAAGAATGGGGAAATGGATGTTGGCAAATAACCAGCAGTCTCAGCTGTAAGAAATAATAGGATGGGGGAGAGGAGAAGTGAGAAAGAATGTCCAGAAAAATCAGGGTACTCTGCCTCATATTCTGAAGGGAATCGCAAACAAAGACAAATTAAACAGACATTTATCCTCTTTACTATGCAAGCAACTGGAAATCCAACCAAAGGTATTTCATAGCGCAATGTGAAAACCAGAAGGGCTTATCGTGCAGGGGAAATTGCAACACACCAAAAGCAGCCAGGAAGTAAATACTGAGGAGGGTCTGATTTTCTAGCCTGACCTAGACTCTTAAGAGTGTTTTTGCTTCTTATTTCTTATTGCAATTTAATAAAGGAATTTAAAATTTTGTTTTATTTTTTGGAGGTGGGGTCTTGATCTGTCACCCAGGCTAGAGTGCAGTGACACAATCATATCACTGCAGCCTCAAACTCCTGGGCTCAAACAATTCTCCCTAGCTACTTGGGGGAACTAATTCCCCCAAGTAGCTAGGACTATAGGCTTGCGCCACCACACACAGCTAATTAAATTTTTTTTTTTTTTTTTTTTTTTTTTTTACAGACACCGTCTCACTACATTGCCTAGGCTGGTCTTGAACTCCTGGCCCCAAGTGATCCTCCCGCCTCAGCCTCCTGAGTTATCAGGATTACGGCACAAGCCCCTGGCTCCTCAGAAAGGAATTTTTAAAAACAGGAACATGAAGAGGAATTTCCCAGAATTTCAATTCTTTCTGCTGTCTTCCTGGAAACTAATCTTAATCACTGTGGCATACAACCTGTAGTAGAGAATTCAGAAGTAGAAGTCTCAGAATAAACCCAAATTACTTGTCTTCACAGGCTCATTTAGTTTACAAACTACGTATGTTGTTAAATGTGCTGGTAAGTCTAAAAGTTCAAGAATCTGAACGTATTATTATTCAACGTGGACAAACTCTAAACATCAAATATTTTTACATTTAAAGTAAAAAAAAAAAATCCAAGGTACTTTGGAAAACTATTTTAAGTCAACATGCTGTAAACAGTCTAATGTTGATGATGAAATGTATCATTAGCTTCCACACTTTCTGTGGTCATATAATCCTTTCTACCATTCCTTCTCATGACATGTCAAATAATCCTAATTTTTAGTCTAGGGTCACTATACATTCTTACTGAAATTTTGCATTAGACAATTTTGAAGAGAATGCTGACCAAGAGATACTTTATAAAGAAATACTATTAATAATACAGCAAGTCTCTAAATCACCAGTCTCTAAATCACAGTTTATGTTGCCATAAATTGAGTAGGAACTCAACATGAATTATCTCCTAGAAACAAAGCATATCACAGTTTATTTCCCAGACCAGCCCATAAAAGCCTACTTTGCCCCTGATGTTTAGACCGTAAAGAAAACTGTTCAAGGTGATAGTGGAAAATAGTGAGGAAAATACATTGTAAGCTCCATCCCTGGATATCTTATTACATTTCAATTTTCCTCAAATACAAGTAGGTCGATAGGAGCAGCAGCATCTAAGATGAGGAGCTGATGCACTGGTTGAAGGTGTATCCTAAATTTGGCCACAATAAATTTGGCCACTCACTCACTACTACTGTTTAGGCTTCTATCCTATGGCATAGGTTTCTTTTTCTCTTTACTTGGAATCATTTTCTCTCCATAAATCCTTACTCATTCTTAAAAACTATGCTTCACTCGAAATTCAACAGTACTATCTTCAGGATGTCACCATACTCGGAAGATCTGTAATGTAGCTTTTACCGCGGATACTGTATTAAGTTACCCTACTCTCTTTCATACACTATCCAAAGAGTTGCTCCAGGGTTTGCTTACAGCATTCTCATCTTTCTATCACTCTCAGTGACCAACCAGCACAGTGCTTAACTGAGACATATGGTAAAAAAAGGTTTTTAAGTCCCATAGACCTGGATTTATGTGGCTCTGTCACTCAGAAGATGGGAATCTTGAGCTAGTTACCTAAGCACTCTGAGTCTCAGTTTCCCCTTCTGTAAAATGGAAACAAACCAGCTCAAAGGGCAGTCTGCTACTCAAGCAGTTAATGAGTAATTTTTTGATGTTTAAGAGAAAAACTGCACCCAAATTAAAAGCTGTATTAGGCAAGAAGGCTGTGTCTAACGGCTTACAAGGGATGCCAAAGAAATAACTTGTAAGTGAATACAAATACGTTTATTTTAAAAACTTAACTTGGCCATATTAAATGAAACCTGATTTTTTCCTTTAGGAAACACTGTTAATGCTAACTGAAAGAGGGTAACCCAATAATCTTTAACATACTATAATTGGAGCATTAAATATACCAGACCCACAGCAATCACTCAAAGATATGTTGCAACTGACATGCTATGAAATGTGGCATCTCACACTTAGAATCACCCTCTTTTTCTACAAGGTTAAAAAAAAACAAGGGGGAAGCCGAACACAGTGCTCATGCCTGTTCTAGCACTGTGGAGTCTGGAGCAGGAGGATTGCTTGAGCCCAGGAGTTCGAGATCAGCCTGGGCAACACAGGGAGATGCTGTCTCTACAAATATTAATAATTTTTTAAAAAATTAGCTGAGGGTGGTGGTTTGAGCCCGTGGCGACAGCTACTTGGGAAACTGAGGCAGGAGGCTACCTGAGCCTGAGAGGTCAAGGTTGCGGTGAGCCATAATCATGCCACTAGCCTGGGCAACAGAGCGAGACCCTGTCTCAAAAAAAAGCACTTGTATCTCCACAATATGTATCAGTGAAATCTTATACTAAAATTACACTATATATTTTATACATTATTTCATCTGACTCAGCAATTCTGAGATGTATCTGTCTTTCATGGGTGAGGAAAAAAGATTTTACAGATGAAACAAATTAAGCTTGAACAAAGTATGTAACTATAGTTACACAGCTTACTAATTAGTAAAGCCAACCCTCAATTCTAGAGACACTGACTTCTAGCTATACTAGGAGCAATGGAGACACACAATTATAAAATATATGCCCCAAAGGAGTTTGCAGTGTAGGTGTGAAGACATGGAAAATATGAAGATAAAAAATCTAAACGTACAGAAAATCCAAAAGAATGTGGTAAATTATAAAGTAGTACAGATTTGTGTTCCTCAATATGTTACCAATGTATGACCTACATTAGAATTTCTGGGAATGGAGCCTAGAATCTTTTTAAGCACATTCCCCAGCTGACTCTTAATGCCCATTTATATATTCATATTTCAGATTCGCTGGTATAAACAATATGCAGAATGAGTTTAGTAGAAGGGAGAGGTCAAATGGACTCATTTCTCTCTTTCAAATATACCTAAGCTATTTTCCAGTATTTTCCTTACGTTGCTTTTACATACAATCAAATAATTTAGATTTAAATGGTACACAAAAAAGTGGCTTTAACTAGAAATACTACTACTAGTTTCAAACAACTCCTCATTGTGAAATAATTTATAAAGTCATGATAGACCAATTTTATGTTTTAATAGCAATTATGGCAGGTTACTAAGCTAATACTTTACTGATTATAAAAATCAATTTATGGGCAATGTACAAGGTCAAATTCATGAACTGATTATCTAAATACAATAATACTGCCACCTAGTGTTCAACTTTTAAAACGACATAATCATACAATTGGAATTTGGGAAAAAACCCCCACAAAAGAGTGCTGTTAGAACAAACAGTTTCGGCCGGACACAGTGGCTCATGCCTGTAATCCCAGCATTCTGGGAAGCCGAGGCACGTGTATCACTTGAGGTAAGGAGTTTGAGAACAGCCTGGCCTATATGGCGAAACCCTATCTCTACTAAAAATACAAAAATTAGTTGGGCATGGTGGTGGTCACCTGTAATCCCACTACTCAGAAGGCTGAGGAAGGAGAATCACTGGAACCCGGGAGGCAGAGGTTGCAGTGAGCCAAGATAAAGCCACTGCACTCCTGCCTGGGCGACAGAGCGAGACTCGGTCTCAAAAACAAAACAAACAAACAAGCAAAGACAACTAACAGTTTCACAGTAGGAACAACAAAACTTTAAGAATTGGCCCAGGTTGGGCGTGGACATTTTGGGAGGCCAAGGCGGGTAGACTGCTTAAGGCCAGACGTTCAAGACCAGCATGGGCAACACAGCTAAACCTCGTCTCTACAAAAAAATACAAAAATTAGCCAGGTGTGGTGCTGTGTGCCTGTAGTCCCAGCTACTCAGGAGGCTAAGGTGAGAGGATCGCTTGAACGAACCAGGGAGGTGGAAGTTGCAGTGAGTCGAGATGATTTCAGTGCACTCCAGCCTGGGGAACAGGGTGAGACCCTGTCTCAAAAATAAAAAAATAAAAAATTGGTTGTTTTAGAGTCACTACCAGTATCTCAAGGATCACTGATGAAATGGGCAGCTAATACCAAATCATAACACTTCATATGTTTCAAATAAAAATCTTGTAATTCAAATAAAAGAGAACCAATTAAACAACTATCACATGTTGAATAGCATTAACTATAGCTACAAAAATTGGAAACAAGTTTTAAGAGACACTAAATAATACATAGCTATTTAAATACTGGGGAAAAGCATTATCAAAGGACAGTAAATGTGTGACAATTTGTATTTTCCAAAGATGGCAACAATATCTCCCATCCACATGTTCTTCTGCAATGTGACCTCGTCAGTATCAAGTTTAGGTACAGCCTATTTCCCCATTCCCTTCAACTCAGGTGGGTCCTATCATGGCTCTGACGAATACAATACTGAAGTGATCCTGTGCCAGTTCTAGGCATAACCCTTACCTACCCATGTCTAGCTTCCACTTTCTCAGAACACTTGCTCTTGAGGTATTTCTCTTAGAAGCCAACTACCACGTAGTATAAAATATGACTACTGTAAGACAACTATGGAGAAGCCCTGGAGGATGACAGATCCATGTGCGGAGGTCAAGGAGCACGGAGGAACCAGAAATGCAAGTGAAGAAGTTATCATAGAAGCAGATCTTACAGGCCCAGCCGGTGCCAACTGCCCAGATAAATCCTTCCCAAATTACTGACTCATAAAATCATGAGCAAGATAAAATGGTTGTTGTAAGCCACTAAGTTTTGAGGTAGTTTGTAATGTAACTGTAAATGAAACAAAAATTGGTTCCTGAAGTATTATGTTGCTTTAAGAAAAATAAACACTTGCCTCTTGTTTTCAGATTGGTGGTGGGTGGGCCTCAAGAAGAAGGAGGTTTGACAGACAATGAGATAAATGTTATTAGAGGCAGGAAAAAAGGTATAAAGTATAAGATATAAGCTTATAAGATAAATATACTTTTGGTATTATGAATTATTTCATTAAAAAAGGTGATAGTGGCCAGGTATGGTGGCTCGTGCCTGTAATCCCAGCACTTTGGGAAGCCGAGGTGGGCAGACCACCTGAGGTTAGGAGTTCGATACCAGCCCAGCCGACATGGTGAAACCCCGTCTCTACTAAAAATACAAAAAATTAGCCAGGTGCGGTGGTGGGTGCCTGTAGTCCCAGCTACTCAGGCAGGAGGCTGAGGCACGAGAATCGCTTGTACCTGGGAGGTGGAGGTTGCAGTGAGCCGAGATAGCACCACTGCACTCCAGACTGGGCAACAGAGTGAGATTCCATCTTAAAAAAAAAAAAAAAAGTAATAGTAATGGGCTCTCTTAGTTGCTAACACAGATGAGAGGGTGACATATGGCTCTGATTATGCAAGTTGGGCCGTATCTATGCTTAAGTTTGCTATTAAGAGGAATTAGTGACAATGGGTTGTCCTAATTTTCAAGCACAAATTAAACGTTAATTAAATATAAGACTGTCCAGCTGGGCGCAGTGCCTCACACCTGTAATCCCAGCACTTTGGGAGGTCGAGGCGGGTGGATCACCTGAGGTCAGGAGTTTGAGACCAGCCTGGGCAACATGGTGAAACCCCGTCTCTACTAAAAATACAAAAAAATTAGCCGGGCGGGGTGGCATGTGCCTGTAAATCCCTGCTACTCCGGAGGCTGAAGCAGGAGAATTGCCTGAACCCGGGAGGTGGAGGTTGTAGTGAGCAGAGATTGTGCCACTGCACTCCAGCCTGGGCGACAGAGCAAGACTCCTCCATCTCAAAAAAATAAAAAAGAAAAAGAAAAAGAAAAGAAAAATGGGACTGTCCAAAAACAATTCTGAAAATGTTTACTGAATTAATATGGTTTAATCTAAAAAGTTTCAGACAATGTAAAAAATTTTATGGCAAGCATAATCAATCATGTATACCAAGATAATTTATTAGGAAACACTTGATGTCTGGATTCAAATTCCCATGAAAAACAGTAATTTAAATAAGAAAAAAGTCACAAATGTTGTCCCTTAGTGGGTTGTAGAATATTTGCCCACCTTGATTTCTTCCCCATTTTCTTAGTGTAAGAGGTAAAGGCTGAACTGAGCTGGCAATGAAGAGCAGATGCCTTTAAACCAGCGAGCTGATGCAAATTCAATTACATATACAGTCACATGTTGCATAACATTTTGGCTTAGAATGGACTATATACACAATGGTGGTCCCTTAAGATTATAATACTGTCTTTTCATTGTACCTTTTCTATGTTTCGATATATAAATACTGGAGGCACTGACTCCAGAGAGCTGAACACATTCACATATATGGCAGGGTCTGTATGCACCCTGACAACTCACAGAACAATGGGATGAAAGGATACTTTCTCCCACTTTTCATAGGTAAACTGGATAAGTTAATGTACCTGAGTACCTACAAAAATGTAGTAAGTGGGGCCTGGCGCAGTGGCTCACACCTGTAATCCCAGTACTTTGGGAGGCCGAGGCTGGGGGTATCTCTTTGAAGCTAGGAGTTTGAGACCAGCCCGGCCAACATGGGGAAACCCCGTCTTTCCTAAAATAACAAAAATTAGCTGGGAGTGGCAGTGCATACTTTTAACCCCAGCTACTCGAGTGGCTGAGGCATGAGAATCACTTGAACCTGGGAGGTGGAGGTTACAGTAAGCCGAGATCATGCCACTGCACTCCGGCCTGGGTGACAGAGCGAGATGCTGTCTCAAAAAAAAAAAAAAAAAAAGAACTAGTAAGTGAAGGTACAATTGGTCAGACATGCCCCACAAAGCCTACATTGAACAGGATGTTAAAAACACCACATACTAGAATATGAGTTTGGCCAGAAGCTCCAAAAGCCAGAATAAATACATGCTAGGTATGTATTTAAAAAAAAAAAAAAAAAAAAGATACATACTTACCTCTGAGTTAAAACTGCCTACAGTACTCAGTACAATACCACTGTACAGGTTTGTAGCCCAGAAGCAATAGGCTATACTATGTAGCCTAGGTGTGTTGTAGACTATACCATCTAGGTTTTATTAAGTACCATCTATGATGTTCATATGATGAAATCACCTAACGATGCATTTCTCAGAACATACCCTCATCAAGTGACATATGATTTTAATGCAATCTAAATGTACTATTGATATATGACATTAATATATACAGGTGTTTATGTCATATATTGATTTATATTCATGCAGTGTCATGTTCAATTTAGGTATTTCCAACTTAATTTGCTTGATGATAGTCTCAGCAAAACAGAACTTTGCTCCTAGACTCTTCTACACCTGCCCTTGTTTGGTAATGGAATGGATTCTTCGCTTACAAGATATATTACACATTTAACCACAAATATCTATGAATGAGCCTACCGTATATTTTAAAATAAGTGTTGGTTATATTTTATGTTAGAAGAATCAGTATCAAAAAGAAATACTGTCATATATTATAGAAAGTAAGTTTTATTGGATATGTTTTTCAGATCTCAAGATTTAACATGGTGTTTGATACTAGTAAGTCAATAAAAGCAAAAACAAAATTAACTTCCTTTGGTTTGATATAGCAGAAAAGTACAAGCAAAAATTAGGAATTCCAAGCACAAGAAAGCATACAAGTCTTGTGAATTGTATCTTCCTTTTTCAGTTGATTAATCTCCACTGTCTTGCTGGTTAAAGTGGAAGTGAGGCTGGTGGGAAGGCTGAAAATATAATGGGATACTTTTACATTATTTAAAAATGGGCCAGGTGCCATAGCTCACGCCTGTAAACTCAGAACGCTGGGAGGTCGAGGCAGGTGGAACACTTGAGGCCAGGAGTTTAAAACTAGCCTGGACAACGTGGTGAAACCCTGTCTCTACTAAAAATACAAAAATTAGGTGGGTGTGGTGGTGCATGCCTGTAATCCCAGGTACTCAGTAGGCTGAAGTACAAGAATCGCTTGAACCCCGGAGGCAGAGGCTGCAGTGAGCGGAGATCGTGCCACTGCACTCCAGCCTGGGGGACAGAGGGAGACTCTCACTCCAAAAAAAAAAAAAAAAAAAAAAAAAAACGCTACAGAGGTTAGGAGAGCTAAGAAGCTGAAATTATCTTCAATCTCATGTATGTCTGTCTCACTCGTACACATTATCAGTTTGATCTTAACACTGTGGAAGAACTGGAAGGCTCTCATTTAACTGAAGGGTTAAGCAAACATTTTCTGTAAAGGGTGACATAGTAAGTATTTTAGGTTTTGTGGGTCAAGAGGCAAAATTCAGGATATTAAGTAGGTACTTACATGTCTACTAATGAGGAAAATAAAATTCTCTTTTGGGGATCACATTTCACTTAATTGGAGTTCAAAGTTAATGTTCTCTATCAAAATCAATGACAAATGTTCATGTGTCAATGATGTTGTGTTAACAAGATTTTATGTATTTCACTTTCTTTTCGCATAGACAAGTAATGCCAAATACCGATATTAATCCACAAGTGTATGATTTTAATTGAGCATATTTATTGCTTGGAAGGCATTCATAGAATTGTATTACATTCTTCTCCTGATAATGGCCTTTTAACATACTGTTACACTGCAGATTAGTCACTACCAACTGAAGGTTAGATGGAACCCCCTTAACTGTACAGTGAAAACAAATTTTGAAATATGAAAATTTCCTTTGCATTTGCATTCAAGTCTGAAAAACACTGCTGAAAATATAGCTTGAGCCTGGAAAATATATCTGCTGCAAATCTATGTGGTAATGAACATCCTATTTTAACTTCTGACACCACTGGAAGTATATAAAGTATATAAAAGCAATTTGACATTACTTATGATTCAAATGTTAACTTGTGAAATTGACTTTACTGCACTTTATGTTTCACAGAAAAGCAGTATTTTGCCTTGTAACTCTATGATGAATTCATTAAGACATATTAGCAAGTTTGCAGCAAAAGCTAATTTTCAAAACCATCCAGTGTTCAACAGCAGTAGCCGAAGGCAGTACTGATTCAGAAAAATCTTACTCTTGGCCCCGAGTTCAGAAAAATCACAACAAAACTTTGCTACTGCTAAGTCACCAGATTAGTGTGTCATTAAGACAAGTCACCCTAACAGTATTTTGTTAGAAATATTCAGCTTCTATTTCTAACAAAATGTCACAAAACTGGCTGAGCATGATAGCTCACACCTATAATCCCAGCACTTTGGGAGATCAAGGCAAAAAGATCACTTGAGGCCAGGGTTCAAGACTAGTCTGGGCAACGCTGTGAGACCCTATCTGTACCAAAAAAAAAAAATTAGCCAGGGTCCTGCTTGAGCCCAGGAGTTGAGGCTGAAGTGAGTCATGATCGCACCACTGCACTCCAGCCTGAGAAACAGAGTGAGACTCTGTCTCAAAAAAAAAGTCACAGAACTGATATTGATAGTTACGTGCACAAGAGTGAATGAAGTTCATTGTTCACAATTACTGGTTAAATAACACAAGGTAGATTAAAGTCTTCTCTAACAAAGTACTGCTGATGAATAATGTAATAGGCTTTTTAAACACCTTACGTTTTCAATCTTGGCAAATCTGTTCCACTAAGTCTTCTGCTCCACATATTTTTACCCTTATCAGTTATAATAAATCTTAGCAGATTCCACCTCAGGTTATACTGAATTAACACTTTTGCAACTGCTTTGAAGCTATTTTCTCCTATAGCTGTTCCATGTAGACTACTCACTGGAGCTAGTTCTTCTGTCAAGCTCAGCACTGACTTTTTTTTTTTTTTTTTTTTTTGAGACAGAGTCTCACTCTGTCACTTAGGCTGGAGTGCAGTGGTGCAATCTCGGCTCACTGCAAACTCCGCCTCCCAGGTTCAAACAATTCTCTGCCTCAGCCTCCCGAGTAAGCTGGGATTACAGATGCCCACCACCACGCCCGGCTAATTTTTGTATTTTTAGTAGAGATGGAGTTTCACCATCTTGGCCAGGCTGGTTTTGAACTCCTGAACTCATGATCCATCCGCCTCAGCCTCCGAAAGTGCTGGGATTACAGGCGTAAGCCGCTGCACCTCGCCCAACACTGACTTCTTGAATAAACAACTGCAAAGCAGCAATAACATTGATCTAGTCATCAAGAGCCAAGGAAAAATATACCTGAGCTAATTTGCCTTAACTTTTAATTGACTACTGATGTTGCTCCACTGTCCTCAACTCTTCAAGCAACTGTTCTTGGTGAGATGCTAACAGTCTTAAATAAATTTATTTTCTCTGCATACATTTCTTCAGCTGTTGCAATCAAATATGAATTAACCTATCATTGGTAAATGGCTTTCCTTGCTTGGCCAAGAAATAAGCCACTTAGAAACTTTAGTTGCAGCCTCAGTTTCATTCTTTTATTTTTGTGAAAAAATTCTGTTGTGTTAAGATATTCTATTTTACATTATTTTCTGACCATTGTTTTCCTGAGTTAGAAATATTCTGATGAGTGCTCAGTATGGTAATGTCCACGCTTACTGTATTCTTTTAACACAGCTACAGTATCATTGTGTAATAAACACAATGTTTTGCCATCTAATTCAGTGACAAAATAATCCATACTCCACCATGCCTTAAAAGCATGACATTCAAAGTTAACTTTTCTTGTTTTGGTGTGATGGATATGTAATGGTAATAAAAACAAATAAATAAAATAGTGCAGTATGGCAACATATGTGGCGATCAACATGTTGCTGTTATAACTGCATCACTGCAATTAGTATGCTGAGCAGCAGAAAAAAAGTGATGAGAGCTGCACATGTGGTTTCTGTTGAAGCTACTAAGCTCTGCTGTTGTAATGTGAAAAGAGTCATATACACTATGTAAACAAGTGAGTGTTGCTATATTCCATTAAAACTTTATAGATACCAGGCCAGGTATGGTGGCTTACACCTGTAATCCCAGCACTTTGGGAGGCTGAGGCTGGTGGATCACCTGAGGTCAGGAGTTCAAGACCAGCCTGGCCAACATGCTGAAACCCTGTCTCTACTAAAAATACAACAAGTTAGCCAGGTGTAGTAGTGGGCCCCTGTAATCCCAGCTATTCGGGAGGCTGAGGCAGGAGAATCACTTGAAACTGGAAGGCAGAGGTTGCAGTGAGCTGGGATCGCACCACGGCACTCCAGCCTGGGCAACAAAAGGGCAACAAGAGCGAAACTCTGTATCAAAAAAAAAACTTTGGCCAGGCGCAGTGGCTCACGCCTGTAATCCCAGCACTTTGGGAGGCCAAGGCGATCGTATCACCTGAGGTCAGGAGTTCGAGACCAGCCTGACCAATGTGGAGAAACACCGTCTCTACTAAAAAAAATACAAAATTAGCTGGGCATGGTGGCACATGCCTGTAATCCCAGCTACTTGGGAGGCTGAGGCAGGAGAATCACTTGAACCCGGGAGGCGGAGGTTGTGGTGAACCGAGATCACGCCATTGCACTCCAGCCTGGGCAACAAGAGCAAAACTCCGTCTCAAAAAACAAACGAAGAAAAACTTTATAGATACTGAAATTTGTATTTTCACATGTCCTAAAATATTATTTTTGATTTTTTTTAACCATTTAAAAATGTAAAAGCCAGAATTAACAAATAGGCCATATATAGGTTGTACTTTGACGACCCCAGATTAAAATTTTATTATTATGAAAGGCAATACAAGATAGAAATCTGCCTCCCACGCAGACAATGGAGCCAGTCTTCTAGACTACCTAAACGTCAGTTTCCTTATCTGTAAAATGAAGATAATGGTAGTACTCACCTCACAGGTTTGTTGTGAGGATAAACTGAGTGAATATGTAAATCATTTAGAATAGTGCCTAGTATATAGTAAACATATTAGCTATTAATATTCCTTACTCAGCAGAATACGGTTGCAAATGATTCTCAATTCCTATTAGCAACTCTATACTTTAAAACTCCCACTATAGGTCTGAGGCAAGCAGCCTTCTTGGACCAAGTAAGTCAAGTCCACAGTATGCCACTACTAATGCTTCTGTTATACTGCCCACAATCCTTCTAGAATTTTCATTCTTAAGTAATTCAAACTGCTAAATATTACCCCTATTCTCAGATGCTACAACTCCACCACAAGAATAATTTTTGAACAGACTATCTGTAGTCTAAAGTTCTGCTGCATATCTAGATTAGTGTGCAAGTAGGAACAAGGTGAAACTTTAAGTGTTATTTTTGGCAATAATTTTATACAAGATATTCATCAATAGATGACTGTATAAAAGTTATAATAAATCTTCTTTTTGACTAAAAGGCTTTAAGTGGGACTCAAAAATCATGTTTATCTACTTCCCAATGTATAAAAAAGCCACAAAAGTTTGATTACATGTATTCATTATTTAATATGCATGAGTGTCAGCCCATCTCTCCAGTCCTCTACCAAATATTTCAGACTAAGGACTTATGAAATTACTGGGGCCTTTTCGTTTCTTCTGGATTAGCTCCCACCCCACATTATAAAAATATACATTTGGATATACAATAAAATATATCTCTGAATAAGTTTACTCGTTTCTGTTTCCTAATTGTTTTTTTGCAATAAATTATTTGTTGGGGAAGAAAGTCAAAAATGTGTTCATTAAATGATAGTTTGGAAACTATGCAAAAGTGAAGGACCCTAAACATTATTATTATTATTATTTTTTTTTTGAGACGGAGTCTTGCTCTGTTGCTCGGGCTAGAGTGCAGTGGCACGATCTCGGCTCACTGCAACCTCCGCCTCCTGGGTTCAAGCCATTCTCCTACCTCAGCCTCCTGGGCAGTTGGGATTACAGGTGCCCACCACTACGCCCGGCTAGTTTTTGTATTTTCAGTAGAGATGGGGTTTCTTCATGTTGGTCAGGCTGGTCTCGAACTCCTGACCTCAGGTGATCCTCCCACCTTGGCCTCCCGAAGTGCTGGAATTACAGGCGTGAGCCACCATGCTTGGCCTCCTGAACAGTAATTTAAATTAAAACCATAATAACAACTCACCTACAACCAAGCCACATTCAGGACAGATCATATCACCGGCTCTGTAGTCCTCCACTAAAATCGCATCTGGATGGTTTGGACATGTGACTCTTGGAAGAGCATCCAAACTAAAAGAAAAAAGTTGTATTTTTACATCTTCCCAACCAACATGTATCAAATTAATCTTCTGGGATGGGGGATGGGGAAGACAAAGATTGTGAACGTTTTTTCATACATACAACTGTAACACATATAAGCTAGATTTTCAAAGTAAACATCCCAGTTAGGTTATTTTAAATTCCAGCTAGTAACTGGCAAGTAGTTTCCACTGGAATTCTTATTTTATTGTGGAAGGCTTTCAAAACATAAATAGAAAATAATTGTTTCTTCTCTCAATATGTATGCCAGTAAGACTTTTAGAAATGTTGATTAGTATAGTAATGACTAGTTACCGTAATAACCTGCAGCATTTACATTACCATCCAGTTTGTGCTCTTTGCCACTTATTTCTCTAGTCAGAGAACAATTTCTCTCTGTATTTTTCTACTTGTTAACTACTTTAGTAACAGATTTAAATAGTACACTGAACCCAGTAAGTATAGAAATGAGGGATGGTAGAAGTTGCTCTGCTGAACTTAAGACTTGATGATTTCCTTTAGTCCAGAATTGAGTTATTGAATTTATCATTCAAGAAATTGTTTCAAAAGCTACTTGTTATCTGTGATATTAATAATTAGCTCAATTTATTTTGAACAACAAAGCAGTTTGCAGAAGACACATTCATCTTTTTTTGACACATTAATCTTAAATGATCTGACAGAATCAGCTGTAAAAGCAACAAAGATTTGATCATTATTTCAGGGGGTATGACCTCACAATCATAAATTCTTGGTATCACTGCAAATAAGGCCCTTTTAAAAACCATCTGAAATACAATAAATGGTTAGGTTATGGACATCAGATACACGTAAAAGACAAAATCAACTGTTCTTATAGTATGTAAATAGTATTTGTGGTTTGGGGTAAAGTTTCTCATGCTAGCAAATACAATTCAGAATGTTAACTCTCAACTCAGAAGGTGATATCTACGGGAAAACTGATAAAATAATCCATATTCCCCCCTAAACTTATCTAGTCAGCTTAACTAGAATATGTCTTGAATCTTCTCATTGGGAACACGGGGGGATGAGTATTACTTCATATTTGTGTTTATTCCATAAATTCCTCTAAGGAAAGTATTTTAATAAATTATGACAAATAAAATTAAACAGTTGATATAAATTATGAAAAACCATGTTGAAATAAAGGAAAATGTTAGCAGAGTAACAGTAATTACAAATTAGTAAAAGAGGAGGCCATGTGCAACACGTGCTAAGAACTAATATCTCTGCAGTATTAAAAAGTAGATAGAAAACTATAGTTTGTGTAATGATACAGAAACATCTCAAAGATATGAAGAGTGAAGAATAAGGTAGAAAACCTATACAAAGCTGAAAAGTATGAACTAACCATACACCATAACATGGATGAACCTCAAAATACTAACAGAATCTAGACAGCAGAATACATATGCCATTTATGACAACTTTAAAGCAGGCCAAATGAATTGATGGAGTTAGAAATCAGGATGTGGTTTTCTCAAAGGAGGGGGAATGACTGAGGACAGAGACTTTGCTAGTGTCTTAGCTAGTGCTAGTGGTATCTGATTTCCTTACCTGGGTAGGAGCTATATGTATGTGCTCACTTTGTAACTGAGCTGCCCACTTTTAAAATGTGCTAACTTCATTAAAAAAAGGTAAAAGCAAGGTAGTGAATGGAGTTTAAATTAGGTCACTTTCGTGGGGGAAGAGAGGTTAGAACTATTCCTATACATTTGTTAAAGCATAAACACTAGGAAAACACCAAGAGACTAGTAATTATGGCTGATCCAGGGAGACTTAGATGGCTGGGAGCTAGGAAAGGAGGAAGACTACTTTTCATGGTTTTAGTCTATTGCAATTTTGCTTTTGGACCATTTGTATGTGTTACCTATCAAAATAAAAGTATGCTAAATTAGTAAACTTAATCAAATTACCCACAATACAGAAGAGGAACCATACAAATGGGGTGGTGAAGGTGGTAACAGAGAGAAACAATAGGGAGGAATAGAGAAACCACCACCACTGACATTAAAACGATTCGAGACTACTCAAGTACCAGATAATCCCAAACCCCATTTTATAGCTATCATTTATTGGGCATGGACTGTATTACTTGTGTTATACATTTATTATTGTCAATCTCCACAACAATCCTGCAAGAAAGGCACTATTTCACATTTAAAAAATTATGCTCAGAGAATGATTTGCCTGAAGTCATGGAACTAATAAGTGGCGGAGCTTACATTTGAACTCAGAACATTTGTACTCCTCTGTGAGGACACCAGCCAGTTTCATGGCCTAGTGACAATACACCTTCCTGAGGGAAAAACATGCAAAAGGTAGAAATATTATATTTAGGCTGGGCGCAGTGGCTCATGCCTGTTACCACAGCACTTTGGTAGGCCAAAGCCGGAGGACTGCTTGGACCCAGGAGTTCAGGACCAGCCTGGGCAATGTAACTAGGCCTTGTCTCCACAAAAATAAAAATTAATAAAATTTAAAAATAAAAAAATTAGCCAGGCACGTGGTGTGTACCTATGGTCCCAGCTACTCAGAAGGCTGAGGTGGGAGGATCACTTGAACTGGGGAGGTCATGGCTGCAGTGAGCCATGATCGTGCCACCTACACTTCAGCCCAGGCCTGTTCCATAAAATAAAAAATACTGCATTTAACTTTCTTTGTTGTCACTGATAGAAAAACTTGAGCAATAACTGCTATGATACATAAATTGCACATATCTAGAAAAAAATTTCAGACTTAAAAAGCCATGATAGAATTAAAAAAAAAAAAAGCCATGGTAGAATTTTAAGTCGTATTTGAGTGATCTGGGGAGCCCAAGTTTTCCATTTACCTACAAGGAGGCCTTACCCGACAGAACAACACCCAGATAGAATGACTGAGCATCCAATCCAAGAATCAGAATCAGTAAACAAGAGTGTCACTGGCTTTATGAGTTCTGTTCAAACAGTATATTAGCTAAAGCTGCCTCCCACCCCAAATTCCTTTTCTAATCATAAAATGTAAGTCTTGGCAGTTACCAGAAAAGGCTATTTTGTAAAAATGGCTTTCACTGTGAAATTAACCAATTCCACAGATGATAGCAGGGTCAGAAAAATAGTGCCAGAGTTCCAGAAGCTGTAGAATTAATTTGATACTTTCAACACAGGATTAGTTAACCAAAGGCCAGGTGTGGATAACAGGAAACAGGTTGTCTTAGACTCTACACTCTAACACGACTCTTGGAAAAGTCAACATTGGCATGACTCAGTTTACACTTATGCAAAAATACTAATATCTACCTCACAGTGGTAATGAGAGACATAATTAGGGTCTGCAAGCATTTTTCAGGTCACAAGATTAAAGGCTGTTTCTGAGGGTACTGCATGCATTTCCTGTAGATATGAGTACACTGCATTCTTAAATATATACTAAAAAGCGACCTCCCAGCACATATAACTAATTTTCTTTGGCAAGATTTTCTTCAGAAGTACACAGGCAACGATATTTGTAAACAAATCCTTTAGCAGGGAACTAATCAACTCTTCCGATGGCTCTAGCTTCCACTTCCGAGGCCCGCTGTGATGGTAACCAACCAGGTTCCATCTGGCTTACCAATGCTGACGTTCCCAACTTCCTAGCTGTCAGATCGATAGGAACCTGAAACTAACTGTTTCCCGTTCCTTTGAAAAGGAGAAATTACGGACCCTCGGGTTGTTTGGGCCGTAGATGAAAAAAACAAGCGGGGGGGGGGGCGCGGGGGAGGAGAGGAGGGAGGGTGGGAAGAAGAGAAAATAAAGGGAGATTGAAATATTGGGAAAAGATACGAGGGCAAGGACTGGGGACACAGTAGCCCACCAGGACCCACATAGGGTGATATCTACATAAGACTCCAGGGCAATAACGTCAACAGCTCGGTAACCCCTGCGACACCCTGACAGTCCTGCCGTCTGGAAGTGCCTTTGTCCCGGCCCGTCGGCCAGTCCCGCCGCTTCTCTCCCATACCCCTAGGCGCTCAGCCCTACGAGGCTGCCCGGAGGCCGCCTAAAAGCCGGCGGCGCTCGCGCCCGCCCCTCAGCTCGCCGGGCTCGGCGGGACATACTAACCGGCTGGTAGACGCCATCTTCACGGCGACTGCGGTGCCCGCAACAAGACACAACAGACACACCGAAAGCAGGAAGCGAATGTGGCGAAGAGACGCGCAGAGATGAGTTTTTATAGACGACTCACCCACGCAGTCGTAGCAGAGCAGGGCTACGGGTCGGGAGAAGGGCCAAGAACAGTGAGATCCCATACGTCACGTGCTTTGCGATTTCTTACGTTCTTACTCCGTTTCTGTAATTTGCTATGTTGCTAAGCGAGTCAACGTAACTACCTAGGAAAAGTCTCATGGGAACCCTGCAAAGGGGCTACAACAGAGCTACTCTCAATCTGACAGTTAAAACACAAAGAAAACCCTGGCTTCGTAGTGGTGCCAAAGCCTGCATCCCTAATAGTTTAACCACCCCTTCCTCTCCCACCTTCTCACGGCTACCTTCTCACGGCCACCACCTACCCCGCCCCCAGCCCCCCACCCCGCGTCAGGCACTCCCATTTGAGCCAGTTCTTACGTGCCCCAAGGGTGATTCTTTCTAAGAAATTTGAAATAAAAGGAGAAACTCACTTAGGTCATCCAGAACAGGTGTCTGTTCAGGATCTGTCATCAGCTAGCATGTTGTCTTCTTAGGCACGTCCTTTATACAGGTCATGTAAGTTTATATAGGTTATGGTATCTTGCCTTGCATACCCTTTTAGAATTGGCAGAAGATGAAACAAAACTACGTGAAACCAATGTGTACACAAGAGGCACGACGATATGGGCCATGCTCTGATCATTTTTTTTTCACGGCCTTTGTAACGTTGGCTGATAGCTACATATAGAAAACTTGCGAGAACATCTAGATATTGCAAAATATCCCTAGATTTATTAATTAGCCAAACTAACGTCAAAATTGTAATACCACTATTACTAACAACAATAACAGTTACCGGTGGAGAGTATTCACGTTCTTGGCGTTTTGAACAAAGAACTGGACACAACGCACAAACTAAGGAAAGAATGAAGGAATAAAGGCAGAGATTTATTGAAAACGAAAAGGTAATACCAGCTCAAGACTCCTTTTGCAGAATTTTCGGGGGTTTAAATACCCTCTAGAGGTTTCCCATTGGTTACATGGTGTACACCCTATGTAAATGAAGTAGTGGCTCCACAATCAGTCTGATTGGTTGTGGAAAGCAACCAATCAGAGGCTAAAGTGAAGTTACAAAGTTACACTCCTATGCAAGCGTCTGATTGGTTGCAGAAAGCAACGAATCAGAGATACTTTCAATTTCACATCTGCCACACGGCTAAAGTGTGTGTGTGTGTGTGTGTGTGTGTGTGTGTGGTTGTGTAGTGGGGAGGGGGTTGCAAAGGGAGTAACGTCTGGTTCTTTTGTTACTTAGGTGTGGAAAGTTGGGGTTTTCCTTTTTTTTTTTTTTTTTTGAGACGGAGTCTTGCTCTGTCGCCCAGGCTGGAGTGCAGTGGCGCGATCTGGGCTCACTGCAAGCTCCGCCTGCCAGGTTCACGCCATTCTCCTGCCTCAGCCTCCCGAGTAGCTGGGACTACAGGAGCCTGCCACCACGCCCGGCTAATTTTGTTTTTGTATTTTTAGTAGAGACGGGGTTTCACCCTGTTAGCCAGGATGGTCTTGATCTCCTGACCTCGTCATCCGCCCGCCTTGGCCTCCCAAAGTGCTGGGATTACAGGCGTGAGCCACCGCGCCCGGCCGGGGTTTTCCATTTGATTTAGTTCTAGGAAATCAGTGTGAATCTGCCTTAGGTTCCCTGCCTTCAGACAGTATTCTCCTGCGGCAACACTTTGCTGACAACTATTCTTGAAAATACGGGGATTGGTATTTTCATGGTGGTTTTCATGGGGCTGAGAACTTAGAAGATAATGACTGCTTCCTTCATCTGGGGATGGGATTTAAATGTAATGGAGCACTCACTGTTTTCTTGAGAAGGTGGGAGATACTAGCTTCCTTAGAAAGAAAAAGGGGTGCGAGAGGCAGGATTTTAGGAACTCAAATCTAGGTGGGAACCGGGGAGCATGATTTCTTTTTTCTTTCCCAATCCCAATCTTCTATTTTGTAATTCTGTAATTTTAAAAACTTGACTGTACTCTTGTGGGGGTTTTTTCCTCCCTCAATATTTTTGTCAAGTGCAACCAGGAAAGGGCTTGGGGGTGCTGCACCTCAGTCCAGTAGAGGTTTCATAGTAAAGCATCTTAACTTGGAGGAAGAGGAGGAATAAGACAACTGTGCATCTCTTAAGGATCCAGAACATGGACCTGCACCTAGTGGATTCATGGTAGGCATTCAATAATGTTTGTTGAAGGAAGAAATTGAAACCCTAGAAAAGGGAGGCAGCACTACTGGTTAAATTAACTCCTGCCCCACCTGGAGAGTCTCTTGTCTGTCATAAACTTGTAAGAATTTCTTTTGTATTAAAATAGAAGGCACCTTAGGTAAGCCATTCGTTTTCTTTTGTTAGTACAGCACTGGAAATTTACAAAGCATTTTAATCAACATAATCCCATTTAATATTTATTATTGATCTTGAGGTTAAAATACACACACACACACACACACACACACACACACACAGAGCTGGGGTTTTATCACTTGGGAACCAATAACCTAACTAGCATTCACCAAAACTTCTGGTTTGTATAATAATTGTTACTTAAATTAATTATGTAAATTAAAATGATTTAAAGCAATGGTTTAAATTAATTCATCTTTTTACTTAGAAAGTTATTCGAAAAGTTTATATCACTACTGTGAAATCTCAAGTTGATGTGCTATAGTTCATTTTAAGTATAAAATGTTTTACATGACTAATAAATGATTTAAAAATGCTTGTGACCCACCTGGCATCGTGAATCACGCCTGTAATCCCAGCACGTTGGGAGGCCGAGGCAGGTGGATCACCTGAGGTCAGGAGTTCAAGACCAGCCTGGCCAACATGGTGAAACCCTGTCTCTCCCAAAAATACAGAAATTAGCCAGGTGTGTTGACACACACCTGTAGTCCCAGCTACTTGGGAGGCTGAGGCAGGAGAATCGCTTGAACCCAGGAGGTGGAGGTTGCAGTGAACCAAGATTGCACCACTGCACTCCAGCCTGGGTGTCAGAGCGAGACTCCATCTAAAAAAAAAAAAAAATGCTTGTGACCTAGCTAGATTTCTTTTTTAAAAATCAACTTTATTGAGATATAATTACATATAGTAAAATTCACCTGTTTAAAATTTAATGATTTTTGGCAACTGAGTTGTACAACCATCCCCGCAATCCTGTTTTAGCACATTTCCATCATCCCAATACGATCTTTTATGCCCATTTACATTATATGCCTATCCCATTTCCAGCCCCATGACCCTCTAATCTACTCTCTGTCTCTATGGATTTGCCTTTCTTGGGCTTTTCATATAAATGGAATCATATGATACGTCGTCTTTTGTGTCTGGATTATTTTACCTGTCATAATGTTTTAGAGGGTCATTAGATTTACCTCATGGTTTCACTTTTGAAAACATTTTTAAGTGTCTGCATGGTGATGTTGGAGAAGATGGCAATTCCCCAACTTAAGCAAGGCTTCAGAAATATTTGTTTGGAAATTAAAAGACATATCCTCTTGGACTAGGAAGAACAGAGGATTTGATGGAATGTATGAACAGACCAGATCCTACTAGACTCTTTTGGAGATGGAAAAAGATGCCTAGGATATTAGACAAGCCTCATGTGCCTGGTGGCTATAAGACCATATGTATTGTTCCTAAAAATGTGAAGGTTTTTTAAATTTCTCAGATTTTAAAATTATGTTTGAGAATGTTCAAACACAAAAATGGGACAGAATAATGGGAATAATATTATAAATCCCCATCATACCCATCATCCTGATTACACAGTTATCAAGATGTTGACACATTTGTTTCATGTATCCTTCTCTTTACTTCTCCGTTTGCTGAATTATTTTAAAACAAAGTTTATCTATTACCTGAACCCATATATACATTTATGTACATCTCTTAGAAATACGGACTTTTAAACCTTTTTTACATAGCAATATAATACTTACCAAGTCACCAGTGATATCTTAACACACCAAGTTTTCAGCTGGAGGTGGTCCTGGGCCTGCTTCTTGGTTTGGTTTCACCAAGCAAAAGAGTAAGTCCCTGCTGAAGCCGAGGCAGTGCAATGGGGTCTGGAAGCCAAATTTCACCCTTCCAATATGAGAACTATCCCTCACCCCTACTTGCCCCTCCACAGTATTATGAGGGTACCTGCATTGCAGTGCATAGAGGCGAAGGGACTGGGAGGCTGGTGGAGCATCATAGAAATTGGAGAGCAATGCAGATTGCTCATCATTTGGAAGTTGGCTTTATTATGTCTGCATCTAAGTTTTTCTTTTTCTTTTTTTCTGAGTGGAATAGATCTCTAACATGCAGGTTTTGCAGTACAGGTGTCCAAGGTTGTATTCTTAAAAATAGGACAGCTACACTTTTCTATTTTTAAGAATAATACATTCCTCACACACCTAATGCTGTGTAGTAGAAGCTTGGTGGGAGGGAGCCAGAGAGTGAAAAAAAGAGGGTCCCTGGAGAAGCTACAAGAAATAGTTGAGTTATTTGAAGTAGGCTCCATCCAGGTCTTTATGCATCAGGCCTCTGCCAGGCACTTCACATTTTATCTTAGCTACTTCTTGGTTATCTTGTCAGGCAAGTATTATTATTATTTTGCTTCTAAAGGCTTAGAGAGGTCAAGTAGGTAAATTTCCCAGGGTCACACAATAAGTTAGTGATGTAGGTAGAATTCACAGCCAGAAACGACTGATTCTAAAGTTTTCCTGCTTATGGCTGCCCATGGTGGCTCACTCCTGTAGTCCCAGCACTTTGGGAGGCCAAGGAGGGAGGATCATTTCAGCCCAGGAGTTTAAGACCAGCCTGGCTAACATAAAGAAACCCCATCTCTACAAAAAATATAAAAATTAGCCCGGTGTGGTGGCACGTCCCTGTAGTCCTAGCTACTTGGGAGGCTGAGGTGGGAGGATCACCTGAGTTCAAGGAAGTTGAGGCTGCAGTGAGCTGAGATCATGCCACTGCACTCCAGCCTGGGCACAAAGTGAAACTCTGTCTAAATAAAATAAAATAAAATAGGCTGGGCACAGTGGCTCACGCCTGTAATCCCAGCACTTTGGGAGGCCAAGGTGGGCGGATCACAAGGTCAGGAGTTTGAGACCAGCCTGGCTAATATGGTGAAACCTCATCTCTACTAAAAGTACAAACATTAGCCGGGTGTGGTGGTGGGCACCTGTAGTCCCAGCTACTAGGAAGGCTGAGGGAGGAGAATCACTTGAACTCAGGAGGCAGAGATTTCAGTGAGCTGAGATCGCACCACTGCACTCCAGCCTGGGTGACAGAGCAAGACTCTGTCTCAAAATAAATAAATAAAATAAAATAAAATTTTCCTGTTTCTATGCATGCATACCATGTAACTGTGATTGCAAGACTATATTTTAAGGCCCAAATTACTGTGCTGTGGAAAATACAGATTATATTTGTAGAAGTATTTACCATCTTTTTGATTTTTAAATAAGGGCTATAAAATTGTATTTAAATTTAGGTAGAAGTAGTAATCAAAATTAATAATCGTGATATTAAGAATAGTAGCAATCATTCATATAGTATTTATTTATGTGCCAGGTACTATTTTAAGGCTTTGCATATATTAACTCATTCAGTCTTTCCAACAACTTTGTAAGTTGAGTACCATTATTGTTCCCACTTCACAGATGGAGAAAGTGAGGTACAGAATGGTTAAGGAACTAGCCTGAGTTACATAGCTAGTAAATGGCAGAGCTGGGATTGCAGCCCTGACAAATTGGCACCAGAATCCATGTAGTATATCTCCTAATAGCAATACAATGTGCGGAAATATAGATACACCGATTTTAAGATCAAGAAATAGATTCCACAAGAAGTGTAACTGCAGCAATCATGTGGACTTGATTTTATGGGGCAGCTGTGATCCAAAATATTCTAGGCAGTTGTCTGCACAAGGACACTTGTGTTTGTCGGATCATGTGCTCCCTAAACTGAAATGTGCTTGGCTCATATCCCATTGCTAAATGTACTTGCATGTGTGATCCTGAATTTAACTGTTGTATTTGTTTCTTTACAGATTTATTTGAAACTCTGGTGTGGTGGTTAATACTAAGTGTCAACTTGATTGGATTGAAGCATGCCAAACTATTGATCCTGGGTGTGTCTGTGAGAGTGTCACCAAAGGAGATTAACATTTAAGTCAGGGGGCTGGGGAAGACAGACCCACCCTTAATCTGGTGGTCACAATCTAGTCAGCTGCCAGCTGCTATAAAGCAGGCAGAAAATCCTGAAAAGGCGAGACTGGCCTAGCCTCCCAGCCTCCATCTTTCTCCTGTGCTGGGTGCTTCCTGCTGTCAAACATCAGACTCCAAGTTCTTCAGTTTTGAGCTTTGGATTGGCTCTCCTTGCTCCTCAAGCTTGCAGTCAGCCTATTGTGGGACCTTCTGATCGTCTAAGTTAATACTTAATAAAATCCTGTATATACACATATAGTTAGTGTGTGTGTGTATATATATATATGTGTGTATATATGTGTATATATATGTGTATATATGTGTGTGTGTGTATATATATATATGTATATATACGTATATATAGTTAGTTCTGTCCCTCTAGGGAACTCTGACTAATACAGATTTTAGTACCAGGAATGGTTCTAGAGGAACAGAATATTAAGGATGGAGTTCTTTCGTTGGTTTTTGGGTTTCTGGAGTTGGCTGCTTAATATGATTACACCCAAAATTGCTAAGGACTCTACTTCTAATAGTGTGGAGAACACTGATAGTACTTGGTGTGAACTGTTTAGAGAAATGCATTTGGCACTCGGATTCACTGCTCATGAGAGGCAAGAAGTTTAGTGACTCTATACATAATACCTTTGACCATATGTGGAGAACCAAGGAACATTATGAAGCTGGTTGGTTGCTCCTAAGTTCAGTGGACAAAGTGATGAAAGAAAATGATGAACTTAGGAATTCTGTCTCCTGGCTTCAGAAGCAGATATTGAGCCTCAAATCTGCTAAGATTGTCCTGAGTGAGAGTCTTGTTTTTTTTGAGACAGAGTCTTGCTCTGTCGCCTAGGCTGGAGTGCACTGGTGCAATCTCAGCTCACTGCAACCTCTGCTTCCGGGTTCAAGCGGTTCTCCTGCCTCAGCCTCCTGAGTAGCTGGGATTATAGGCATGCGCCACCATGCCCGGCTAATTTTTGTATTTTTAGTAGAGATGGGGTTTCACCATGTTGGTCAAGCTGGTCTTGAACTCCTGACCTTGTGATCCGCCTGCCTCAGCCTCCCAAAGTGCTAGGATTACAGGTGTGAGCCACCATGCCCCGCCTGAGTAAGAGTCTTATGTCCTGTAAAGAAAGAGTTGAAATTGTGGAAAAACAGACACAAGCTCTTATGTGAGTGACTGACATGCAATGAAAGGTGCATGCACAGCCTCACCAGGTGTCTACTGTTAAAGTGAGATTGATTGGAAAATAATGGGACCCTGCAACTTGGAATGGGGACATGTGGGAGGACCCTGATGAAGCTGGGGACACTGAGTTTGTAAACTCTGATGAACCTTGTTTGCCAGAAGAATCAGCTTTTCCATCTCCAGTAGTGGCAACATCCCCTCCCTGACACATGCTGCCATCAGCCTTTGCACCTTTGTCTGAGTAGATGAACCCTGTGCTGCCTGATGTTACAGTGATGGCCTCTCCTGAGACAGTTGCCAGGCAAAAAAAAATGTTGATTCTCCTCAGGAGCCACCCCCAACACCCCTGTTTGCTTCTAGACCTATAATTAGACTAAAGTCCTAGTGAGCCCCTAGAGGTGAGGTTCAGAGTGTGAACTATGAGGTGGTGTGCTATACTCAAAAAGAACTGCTTGAGTTTTCTAATTTATATAAACAGAAATCTGGAGAACAGGCATGGGAATGAATATTAAGGGTATGGGATAATGGTGGAAGAAACATAGAGTTGGATCAGGCTGAATTTATTGATTTGGGCCCACTAAATAGGGACTCTACATTTAATGTTGCAGCTCAGGGAGTTTAAAAAGGTTCTAATAGTTTATTTGCTTGGTTAGCTGAAAGATGGATTAAAAGATGGCCCACTGTGAATGAGCTGGAAATGCCTGATCTCCCTTGGTTTAATGTAGAGGAAGGGATCCCAAGGCTTAGGGAGATTGGGATGGTGGAGTGGACTAGTCACTTTAGACCCACTCATCCCAGCTGGGAGGGTCCAGAAGATGTACCCTTAGACCAACTCTTTGCGAAATAGATTTGTGAGGGCAGCACCTGCATCTTTGAAGAGCCCTGTAATTGCTCTTCTCTGTATGTCAGATCTAACAGTGGAAACTGCAGGCACCCAACTGAAAATTTAAATACAATGGGAATAATTGGATCCTGAGGTGGTAGGGACCAAGTGGTGGCACTCAACCGTCAAAGGCAAGGTGGGTGTAGCTACTCTAATGGGCAGCAGAGACAAAGCAGCAATAAGAATAGTCTGACTCATGAAGAGCTCTGGCATTGGCTAATTAATCACGGTGTTCCTAGAAGTGAAATTGTTAGGAAGCCTACTGCATTCCTACTTAATTTATGTAAGCAGAAAACTTTCAGGTCGAATGGACTGAAGACTAATTTGAATTATAAAAACAGAGAATGACAGCACCTCAATCAATTTCCAGACTTGAGCCAGTTCACAGACCCAGAACCCCTTGAAGGAAGGGGAGTCCGGGTCCTCTTGAGGAAGGACCCCACTACATTACCGACAACTTATGCAGTGAATTTTTCTCCCACCCTTCCCCAAGGAGACCTCCAGCCTTTTACCAGGGTAATTGTGCACTGGGGAAAGGGAAATGATCAGACATTTCGGGGACTACTGGACACTGGCTCCAAGAGCTGACATTGATTCCAGAGGACCCAAAACATCATATGTGGTTCTCCAGTTAAAGTAGGGACTTCTAGGGGTCAGTTAATTAATGGAGTTTTAGCTCATGTCTGACTTACAGTGGGTCCCTGGACTCATCCTGTGGTCATTTCCCCTGTGCCATAATGGATAATTGGCATAGACAGACTTAGCAGCTAGCAGAACCTCTGCACTGGCTCCCTGACTGGTAGGGTGAGGGCTATTATGTTGGGAAAGGCCAAATAGAAGCCATTAGAGCTGCCTCTACCTAGAAAAATAGTAAATCAAAAACAATACCACATCCCTGGAGGGGCTGCAGAGATTAGTACCACCATCAAGGACTTGAAAGGTGCAGGGGTGGTGATTCCCACCACATCCCCATTCAACTCTTGCATTTGGGCTGTGCAGAAGACGGATGGATCTTGGAGAATGACAGTGGATTATCATTAAGTTTAACCAAGCACTGACTCCAATTGCAGCTGCTGTACCAGATGTGGTTTCATTGCTTGAGCAAATTAACATATCTCCTGGTACCTGGTATGAGCCATTAACTTGGCAAATGCCTTTTTCTCCATTCCTGTCCAAAAGGTTCACCAGAAGCAATTTGCCTTCAGCTGGCAAGGCCAGCAGTATACCTTTACTGTCCTACCTCAGGGGCATATCGACTCTCCAGCTTTGTGTCAGAATCTTATTCGAAGAGACCTTGATCGGTTTTTGCTTCTGTAATATATCACACTAGTCCGTTATGTTGATGGCATTATGCTGATTGGATCCAAGGAGCAAGAAGTCACTGGACTTACTGGTGAGACATTTGCATGCCAGAAGATGGGAAATAAATCTGACTAAAATTCAGGGATCTTCTACCTTAGTAAAATTTCTAGAGGTCCAGTGGTGTGGGGCCTGGCGAAATATTCCTTCTAAGTTGAAGGGTAAGTTACTGCATTTGGCCCCTCCTACAACCAAGAAGGAGGCACAACACCTAGTGGGCCTATCCAGATTTTGGAGGCAACACATTCCATATTTGGGTGTGTTACTCTGACCCATTTATTGAGTGATCCGAAAGGCTGCCAGTTTTGAGTGGGGTTCAGAACAGGAGAAGGCTCGGCAACAGGTCCAGGCTGCTGTGAAAGCTGCACTGCCACTTGGGCCATATGACTCACCAGATCCAATGGTGCTTGAGGTGTCAGTGGCAGATAGGGATGCTGTGTGGAGTCTTTTGCAAGCCCCCATAGGTGAATCACAGTAAAGGCCTCTAGGATTTTGGAACAGGGCCCTGCCATCTTCTGCAGATAATTACTCTCCTTTTGAGAGACAGCTCTTGTCTTGTTACTGGGCTTTAGTGGAAACTGATTGACTATGGCTCATGAAGTCACCATGCATCCTAAACTGCCTATCATGAACTGGGTGCTTTCTGGCCCATCTAGTTATAAAGTGAGTCGTGTACAGCAGCATTCCATCATCAAATGGAAGTGGCATATATGTGGTCAGGCTTGAGCAGGTCCTGAAGGCACAAATAAGTTACATGAGAAAGTGGCTCAAATGCCCATGGTCTCCACTCCTGCCACCCTGCCTTCTCTTCTCCAGCCTGCACCGATGGCCTCATGGGGAGTTCCCTATGATCAGTTGACAGAGGAAGAGAAGACTAGGGCCTGGTTCACAGATGGTTCTGCATGATATGCAGGCACCACCTGAAAGTGGACAGCTGCAGCACTACAGCCCCTTTCTAGGACATCCCTAAAGGACAGCGGTGAAGCCAAATCTTCCCAGTGGGCAGCACTTCAAGCAGTGCATCTGGTTGCGCACTTTGCCTGGAAGTAGAAATGGCCAGATGTGCAATTATACACTGATTAATGGGCTGTAGCCAATGGTTTGGCTGGATGGTCAGGGACTTGGAAGAAGCATGATTGGAAAATTGGTGACAAAGAAATTTGGGGAAGAGGTATGTTGATGGGCCTCTCTGAGTGGTGAAAAACTGTGAAGACATTTGCATACCATGTGAGTGCTCACCAATGGATGATTTCAGCAGAGGAGGATTTTAATAATCAAGTGGATAACCCCTTCTGTGGATGCCACTCAGCCTCTTTCCCCCAGCCACCCCTGTCATCGCCCAATGGGCCCATGAACAAAGTGGCCATGGGGGCAGGAATGGAGGTTACGGATGGGCTCAACAAAATGGACTTCCACTCACGAAGGCTGACTTGACTACAGCTACTGCTGAATGCCCAATTTGCCACCAGCAGAGACCAACACTGAGCCCTTGATATGGCACCATTCCTTGGGGTGATCAGCCAGCCACCTGGTGGCAGGTTGATTATATTGGACCTCTTCCATCATGGAAAGGGCAGAGGTTTGTCCTCACTAGAATAGACACTTACTCCAGATATGGGTTTGTCTATCCTGCACGCAATGCTTCTGCCAAGACTAACACCCGTGGACTCACAGAGTGCCTTATCCACTGTCGTGATATTCCACACAGCATTGCCTCTGACCAAGGCACTCACTTTATGGCTAAAGAAGTGCAGTAGTGGGCTTATGCTCACGGAATTCACTGGCCTTACCTTGTTCCCCATCATCCTGAAGCAGCTGGATTGACAGAATGGTGGAATGACCTTTTGAAGTCACAATTACGATGCCAACTAGGTGACAAAACTTTGCAGGCCTGGGGCAAAGTTCTCCAGAAGGCCGTGTGTGCTCTGAATCAGTATCCAATGTATGGTACTGTTTTTCCCATACCCAGGATTCATGCGTCCAGGAATCAAGGGGAGGAAGTGGAAGTGGCACCACTCACCATCACCCCTAGTGATCCACTAGCAACATTTTTGCTTCCTGTTCCTGCGACATTACTTTCTGCTGGCCTAGAGGTCTTAGTTCCAGAGGGAGGTACGCTGCCACCAGGAGACACAACACTGATTTCATTAAATTGGAAGTTAAGATTGCCACCTGGACACTTTGGGCTCCTGCTACCTTTAAGTCAACAGGCTAAGAAGGAAGTTACAGTGTTGGCTGCGGTGATTGATCCAGACTATCAAGATTAAATCAATATACTACTCCATAATGGAGGTAAGGAAGAGTATGCATGGAATACAGGAGATCCATTAGGGTGTCTCTTAGTATTACCATGCCCTGTGATAAAGGTCAATGGGAAACTACAACAGTTCAATCCAGGCAGGACTACAAATGGCCCAGACCCCTCAGGGATGAAGGTTTGGGTCACTCCACTAGGAAAGAAACCACAGCCTGCTGAGGTGCTTGCTGAAGGCAAAGAAAATATCAAATGGGTAGTAGAAGAATGTAGTCATCAAGACCAGCTACTACCACATGACCAGCTGCAGCAACGAGGAATATAGCTCTCATGAATATTTCTCCCTTCTTTTGTTAAAAAACATGTTTGTGCGTGTATACACTTCACTAAGAAAATATCCTCATTTTATTTCCTTTTCCTTTATCTTGTGACATAAGATTTATTGACTTCATGGCAGCATTTAAGTATCGTTAACTTTATGTAAGAGTATTTGGATTGGGGATTGGTGCATTTCCGGTTGTACAAAGGATAGTTGTATTATGTTAGGGGTAATTATGACCTTATTATTGTCTTTATTTGAAGATTATGTATGATCTCAAGAGATGCATATGGGTTCAAGTTGACAAGGGGTGGACTTGTGATGGTTAATACTGAGTGTCAACTTGGTTGGATTGAAGGATGCAAAGTATTGTTCCTGGGTGTGTCTGTGAGGGTGTCGCCAGAGATTAACATTTAAGTCAGGGGGCTGGGGAAGACAGACCTACCCTTAATCTGGTGGGCACAATCTAGTCAGCTGCCAGTGAACATAATGCAGGCAGAAAAACCTGAAAAGGTGAGACTGGCCTAGGCTCCCAGCCTCCATCTTTCTCCCATGCTGGATGTTTCCTGCTCAAACATCAGACTCCAAGTTCTTCAGTTTTGAGACTCGGACTGACTCTCCTTGCTCCTTAAGCTTGCAGACAGCCTATTGTGGGACCTTCTGATCATGTAAGTTAATACTTAATAAACTCCCCTTTATATATATATATATATATATAATATATATATTATATATTATATATATATTATATATATTATATATAATATATGTATTAAATATATATAATATATGTATAATATATAATATATATATTATATATATATTACATATATTATACATATAATATATATATATAATATTTATATATATATGTATGTATGTATCCTGTCTCCTATTAGTTCTGTCCCTCTAGGGAACCCTGACTAATACATCTGGTTTCCCAATATTGGTGGATTGTCTTCCAGGTGAGAATAAATCTAACTTTTCATTGGGAAAAGCCAGCAGTTTCTCCAAGTGCTGGGAGGTAGAATATAGTCTTAAAACATTAATAATCTATAAATAGAAAATATTAACTGTTGTCTCCTCACAGATTTGGGGAGGAATATTGCTAGAAATTAATTCACTTCTTAATTCAATTTTCAGTGAGCAGTGGTTTTCTTTTAGACCTAAACTGCTCTTATAAAAACAGCAAAACTCATAAGTGGAGAGGGAGGCCAGGGGATGGGGATGATAAAAGAAAATAAGAAAAAAACAAAACAAAACAACCCTAAAGGTTTCACATTAATAGCTTGTGACTTTTAAAATTAATATCTTTTTCCAAAAAGATATGATTTTGCATTAAGTATACGACTTCAAAACTTTTGCCACACTATTTAGTGTTGTTTTATCATACATCCTGTAGTTAATATTTTCCACGAAATAACAACTTTCTCATTTCAGTTCTCCAGCCTCAGCCTCCCCAGTAGCTGGGATTACAGGCGCCTGCCACCATGTCCAGCAAATTTTTGTATTTTTAGTAGAGACAGGGTTTCACAATATTGGCTAGGGTAGTCTGGAACTCCTGACCTCAAGTGATCCAGCTGCCTCGGCCTCCCAAAGTGCTGGGATTACAGGCATGAGCCACCGCGCCCAGGCTCAAGTACGCTTATTTTAGTCTAGATAAGGTTTGCCTTTTGCCTTTAAAGTCCTATTAATCAAGTGCCCTGATGAGCTACTGGGGGAAAATGAGAAGGTAGAGTATGTTCATATTCATGTGACCTGTTACTTTCTTAAAGAATGAATTTTCGTATTACGTTTTTATTGCTTCCGTGAATATCACGTGCTAAAAGCCTTATTGTGTAAAATGAGTACCTCTTTGCAGATTATATAATATTATTTGAATCTTAAAACTCTGAAAGTACTAATTATAAAGTGTGGTCATGTGATGAGAAAATAAAACTGCTTCTCTTATTACTGTATTGCATTGCTCACAACATTATAAATTGATACAACCCTTTTAAAAAAGCAAGTTTGCAATACTCCAAAAATGATTCAGCTTTTACAGCTCCATGAGCCAGTAATTCCACTTTTGAGAACTGAAATGAGGAAATAATCTAAAATATGGAATGCTATGTTCATGAAAATGTCCATTGTCATGTTATTTATAATAATATAAAATTGGAAGCAAGAAGAAAAAAATTGGAAGCAAGGTAAATGCTAAAAATAGAAAACTTGTAACTTTAGTTATAATATAAAACAGGAAGCAACCTTTATGTTTGAAATACAGGGGCCAGGCATGGTGGCTCATGCCTGTAATCCAAGCACTTTGGGAGGCCGAGGCAGGCAGATTGCCTGAGCTCAGGAGTTCGAGACCAGCCTGGGCAATGCGGTGAAACCCCGTCTCTACTAAAATACAGAAAAAAAAAAAAATTAGCCAGATGTGGTGGCGTGTGCCTGTAATCCCAGCTACTCAGGAGGCTGAGACAGGAGAATCACTGGAACTCGGGAGGCAGAGGTTGCAGTGAGCCAAGATTGCACCACTGCAATCCAGCCTGGGTGACAGAGCGAGATGCCGTCTCAAAAAACAAACAAACAAACAAACAAACAAAACAAAGAAAAGGAATGGGGGAATGATATACAGAAGGTCCCCAACATCTTAGTTATATTTAGATGTTAAAACCAATCCATGTACCAAGGACATTTTTTTTCTTTTTTTTTTTTTGAGATGGAGTCTCACTCTGTTGCCCAGGCTGGAGTGCAGTTGCACAATCTCTGCTCACTGCAACCTCCGCCTCCCAGGTTCAAGCGATTCTCCTGCCTTAGCCTCTCAAGTAGCTGGGACTACAGGCGCGTGCCACCATGCCTGGCTAATTTTTGAATTTTTAGTAGAGACGGTGTTTCACCGTATTAGCCAGGTTGGTCTCAAACTCCTGACCTTGTGATCTGCCCACCTCGGCCTCCCAAAGTGCTGGGATTACAGATGTGAGCCGCCACCACACACACACAGTTTTAGAGGTAGTATTTGGTTCACTATAAAAAACACAGGGGACTTTTATTGGGGTGGGTTTTTTTCAAGTTAAAAAAGAAGTTGACCTGAATGTACATTTGCTATTAAAACACACAATGGGTTAGCCGTCTTCCACTGAATTAAATTACTTTAGTCTATAGAATTTGCATCAAATGTAGTATAAAAGCTGCATAAAAGTTCATGCTGCTTTTTGCATTCATCTGTTTTGTTTTGCTTTTTTCTGACATGGAGTCTGACTCACTCTCTTGCCCAGGCTGGAGTGCAGTGATCTTGGCTCACTGCAACCTCCGTCTCCTGGGTTCAAGCAATGCTCCTGCCTCGGCCTCCTGAATACCTGGGACTACACGTGTGTGCCACTATCCCCCGTTATTTTTTTTTATTTTTAGTAGAGTCAGGGTTTCACCATGTTGGCCAGGCTGGTCTTGAACCCCTGACCTCAAGTGATCCACCCACCTCAGCCTCCCAAAGTACTGGGATTACAGGCGTGAGCCACTGCACCTGGCTGCATTCATCTGTTTTAATTCAGTATTTTGACTAACCAAGCTACTTTCATGGCACTCTTATCAAATGCTCACCCTAAACATGTCTGTGGGTTATCATGTTTATACTTTCAGTTATGTTAAACTCTGGTTGTAGCCTACATTATTGTGTATTTTGCAAATGAGGGGTTGGTTATATCTTTCTACTCTCTTTTCTGTTATGTAGAAACTAATGCTAAAAGAACTGTTTTCCCCAAACCCAAGGTCAAGAGCAGCTTGCTTTTACAATAGAGATCCTGAAAATTCCCCACGAAGGTAAATGGTTCCAAACCTAAATATCTAAAATAACTAGATATATTTGGTTCTTTCACATTTTCCTCAAATTTGTTTCAGAGTAATGCGATATGAGTCACACTTCAAGTTAATGAGAAGTTAGTTTTATCTTGCTTTCAAACAACTAAATTAGGCCGTGATAGCTCATACCTTTGAGTACATTTATTTGCAACTCAAAAGTACTCGGACTTAGTAACATGGAAATATGTTAGTTCACTTAATTTATTATGAAATAAGGAAAGAAAAAGATTATGTATCTTCTTAAGATCTTTCATTGAGCATTGTAGACAGCTACTCTCATTTCCTGAACAAAAGACTATGCCAGAAAACAGAACTGGGGCATCAGTGCTGTATCCATACAGCTAGTCATTCAGTTCCCCAACTTCCCATGCTCCTTCCCACATTAACACCTTGGTCAGAAGAAGGTGACATTTACAGCTTAGGTGACACTACCATGTTGCAGTTGGTTAAGCAAGCACAGGGTCTGCCAGTATTTTTTTTTTTTTTTTTTTTTTTTTTGAGACAGAGTCTCGCTCCTTCGCTAGGCTGGCGTGCAGTGGCGCGATCTCGGCTCACTGCAACCTGCACCTCCCAGGTTCAAGCGGTTCTCCTGCCTCAGCCTCCTGAGTAGCTAGGACTGCAGGCACATGCCACCATGGCCAGCTAATTTTTGTATTTTTAGTAGAGACAGGGTTTCACCATGTTGGCCAAGATGGTCTCGATCTCTTGAGCTCATGATCTGCCTGCCTTGGCCTCCCAAAATGCTGGGATTACAGGCGTAAGCCACTGTGCCTGGGGCCTGCCAGTATTTTTTTAAGCAAGTATTTCTTAAACAAATATTTTATTTGGGGATATTTAAATTATTCAAACTTCCAAGCACAGGAAAAATTGTATTAATATTTTCATATGGCCTAATATATAATTTGCTTTATTCAAATTCATGTTAAATGCATCCATATTGTACCCATGTATATTAATCTATTTATGCATTTTTGTCTTAATAATACAAACAGATCACATTCAACAGTCATTTGGTTTTTTTCAGGGAACAGAGTTGAACCAAATTCTTTGACTAGATGCCATAATCTATTTAATTACACCCCGATAATGGAGGAATTGGTTGTTTTGATATTTATTTATTTACTTATTTTTTGAGATGGAGTTTCACTCTCGTGGCCCAGGCTGGAGTGCAATGGCGCAATTTTGGCTCACTGCAACCTCCACCTCCTGAGTTCAAGCAATTCTCCTGCCTCAGCCTCCTGAGTAGCTGAGATTACGGGCGCATGCCACCATGTCCAGCTAATTTTTGTATTTTTAGTAGAAACGGGTTTCACCATGTTGGCCAGGGTGGTCTCGAACTCCTGACCTCAGGTGATCTGCCTGCCTCAGCCTTCCAAAGTGCTGGGATTACAGGTGTGAGCCACTGCGCCTGGTCCAGTGTTTTGGTGTTATAAACAATGCTGTTGTGAACATTCTTGTGAACATTTATATATTTGAATGGTAAATACCATGAAATCAGGGAATCAAAGGGCATATGCAGATAACATTTTGTTCAATATTGTGAAATTGCCTGCCAGAGATACACTAATTTATACTCTGGTCAACATCACTCCTAAAAAAGTGCCCATTTCCCCATATTTGGGCAGCAGGGGCTGACTGAGACATCCATTCAATATCGTTTTAGACCTAGAACCAAACCCTGATTAGAAATATCTGCTTACCAAGCAAAAAGAAGAGGGATGTACCATTCCTGCCTTTTTGACTTTTTATTTATTCAATTAAAAAATTTTGAACACTTTATTTATTTATATAAAAGGCTGTGAGAACATTGCTAAAGTGCATTTCAGTACCTCTCCTGTTGTTTCATATGTTCCTTCTCTATTTTATTTTTCTCCTTTGCACTTAGTAACTACTATCTTTAACTTATTTGTTAATAGAAGTATAGAATATAGGAATATAGAATAATATACATTTACTTTTACATTATTAAGCTCATATGCTTAAGATGTTATTTTATAAGTTTTTCTTCCTCTTAATATTTCTTTGAGATAGCTTCTTGGCTGTACAGAAATTTCCTCCTCATTCATTTTAACTTCTACTTAGCCTGACATATTTCAGATGTACCTTCATATATTTATCCCTTCTCATATTAATATCCATTTAGGATTGTCTTTGATCATTCCTGACTTTTAAGACAGCAAATTCCAAGCTTTTGTGCATGTGTGTGCATATGGATATGTATGTAGGCACAACATGGCTTAAATATGCCACTACTCTATTGAATCTAGTTGTTTTGGAGCCCCAGGAGCTAAGTGCAGTTCTGAGTCCTGTATCCTGGCATTGGGCTTCAAGAGATCAGACAGAGTCCCATTTTGTTGATTAGCTGAAGCCCCAAGCAAAGATGCTTTAGCAACCTGGCTTATGTAACTCTGAGACATGCTCATTGTATTTGCAGTTTTAGTAGCAATGTTTGGCATTTCAGGAAAGTATTAATAAGTGAAAGACATTGACCAAAAAGAGACCCAAGGTTAAAAACAAAACAAACAACAATAACAATAATGGTGTTCTAAGGGTCAATCTCAATTGGCAGAAATTCATTCACTGAAGAAACATTTATTGAGTGTTTCAATATGCCTGACTCTGCCCTGGGAGATAACAATGGTGAAAAGAACAGTAAAAATCCCTGTCCTCACTGAACATATTGGGAAGGGAAATGGACAATAAATTAAATGAGAAAAACATATTGTGAGTTAGATAGTGATCAGTGCTAAGAAGAAAAATAAGGCAGGAAAAGGAAATAGAAAGAGCCAGGATTTACAGATGAGTTCTCCTCAAGTGATAATTGAGTAAAGATCTGAGGTAGTTAGGTGCATGTTGGAGGAAAAGCATTCCAGGCAGAGGGAACTGCAAAGGCAAAGGACTCAAGCTGGAGCATGCCTGGTGTTCAGGGATTGGCAGAGGCCAGTGGCCAGAGTGTGCTGAGGGAAAAGGAGGGTAGCAGGAGATGAGGTTAGAGAAGAACAGGGGCCAGATCATGCAGGGACTTGAAGTTTGTGGTGACAAATTTAGCTTTAACTCTGACTGAGATAGTCACTGAAGGGTTTTGAGCAGACAAGTCTCAGGAGCCTTTGAAATGATCACTTCCCAGTATGGAGCATGACACTACTGTTTTACGGGGAGAAAGACATTCCAGAGAGAAGAATTTTAGAAAACTGAACAGTTTTCATGAGTTTTATATTCTTTCATGCATGTATGGGTGAGCAGAATGCTTCAAGAATAATTATAAAAGTGGTTTGATAGTAATTACTGGAATTTATACAGAAAATGGACTTATGATGCTTAGAAGGTATAGTACAGAGGATTCAGCTAAAGTAGGATGTTTTAACTTTTTATTTATCTATTTGCTTATTTATTTATTTATTTGGAGATGGAGTCTCGCTCTGTTGTCCAGGCTGGAGTGTAGTGGCATGATCTCAGCTCACTGCAACCTCTGCTGGGTTCAAGCAATTCTCCTGCCTCAGCCTCCTGAGTGACTGGGACTACAGGCACCTGCCGCCATGCCCGGCTAATTTTTTGTATTTTAGTAGAGACAGGGTTTCACTGCGTTGTCCAGGCTGGTCTCGAACTCCTGAGCTCAGGCAGTCTGCCTGCCTCGGCCTCCCAAAGTGCTAGGATGACAGACATGAGCCAGGAAGTTTATACTTTTTAACCCTTTTCCTGTTTGCCCTAAAAATACTCACTGGTGGGGCTTGTGGCTTTGGTGTTTACTGGAGATAAGTTTGCCACAAAATAGCATGCGTTTATTATTTTCACATTGCTCTAGCATATTGACTTTGGAAACAAAAGACATAATTCTATTCATAGCATTCTGTTTTTAGTAGTGGTATTTCCACTTATAAAATATAGTAATTCTCGATCGCCGAAAACATCAAATGCTAAAAAGTGTAGCATTCCTATCATGGTAACATTGTTCTCCAACAGCTATTGGACAACAATTCATTTGATTAATCCAATTTTTCTGAAATAGACGATTCTGATGATTCAGACGATTTGGATGTTAGCTCTGTTTAGAAATAACTTCACTAACAGTTTTTACATTTCATTTTCACATTGAAAATCGGTCAGATTTGCTTCAGCCTCAAAGAGCGTGCTTACGTAAAATTAAATGAGTGCTGGTAGCAAGCTGCACTGTTTTTCTTTCTAAATGGGAAAGGGGTTGACTTTTTAAAATATATCTAGAGGATACAAGTGCAGATTTTTTTACTTGTGTATATTGCGTAAAGTCTGAGCTTTGAGAATGTACTCATCACCCGTAGTGTAAACATTGTTCCCAATAGGTAGGTAACTTTTTTTTTGAGACAGAGTTTCCTTCTTGTTGCCCAGGCTAGAGTGCATTGGTGTGATCTCGGCTCACCACAAACTCCGCCTCCCGAGTTCAAGCAATTCTCCTGCCTCAGCCTCCTGAGTAGCTGGGATTACAGGCCTGTGCCACCATGCCTGGCTAATTTTGTATTTTCAATAGAGCCGGGGTTTCTCCATGTTGATCAGGCTGGTCTCGAACTCCCGACCTCAGGTGATCCGCCCTCCTCAGCCTCCCAAAGTGCTGGGATTACAAGCGTGAGCCACCGCGCCCGGCTGATAGGTAACTTTCCAACCCTCACCCTACTTCCACCTTCCCACCTTCTGTGGTCTCCAATATCTGTTATTCCACTCTGTGTGTCCATGTGTACTCATTGTTTAGTTCCTACTTATGTGTGGCATTTGACTTTCTGTTTCTGAATTATTTCACTTAGGATAATGGTCTCCAATTCCATCGTGTTGCTGAAGAAGACATGATTTTATTTTTTCTGTGGCTGAGTAGTATTCCATGGTGTGTGTGTGTGTGTGTATATACATATATATGTCGCATTTTCTTTATGCAGTCCTCCCATGATGAATACTTATGTTGATTCCATCTCTTTGTCATTGTCAATAGTGCTGTGATAAACATAGGAGAGCAGGTATCTTTTTGATACAATAATTTCTGTCCCTTTAAGTATATACCCAGTAGTGGGGTTGCTGAATTGAAAGGTAGTTCTATTTTTAGTTCTTTGAGAATCTCCATATAGTTTTCCATAGAGGTTGTATTAATTTATATTCCACCAACAGCATATAAGCATTCCCCTTTCCCTGCATCCTCACTAACATCTGTTGTTTTTAGACATTTTTATAATAGCCATTCTGACTGGTGTAAGATGGTATCTCAGTATGGTTTTAATTTACATTTCTCTGATGATTAGTGATGTTGAACATTTTTTTATATGGCTCTTAGCCATTTGTATGTCTCCTTTGGAAAATGTCTGTTCATGTTCATTGCCCACTTTTTTTTTTTCTTTGAGATGGGTTTTTGCTCTTGTTGCCCAGGCTGGAGTGCAATGGTGTGATCTCGGCTCACTGCAACCTCTGCCTCCCGGTTCAAGCGATTCTCCTGCCTCGGCCTCCCCAGTAGCTGGGATTACAGACACGTGCCACCACACCTGGCTAATTTTGTATTTTTGGTAAAGATGGGTTTTCACTATGTTGGCCAAGCTGGTCTCAAACTCCTGATATCAGGTGATCTGCACGCCTCGGCCTCCCAAAGTGCTGGGATTACAGGAGTGAGACACTGTGCCTGGTCACAGAAGCACTTTAGTTTAATTAAGTTTCATTTCTATTTTTGTTTTTATTGTGTTTGCTTTTGAGGATTTGGTCATACATTCCTTGCGTGGGTCAATGTTCAGAAGAGTTTTTCCTTTTTATAGGATTTTTAGTTTCAGGTCTTATGTTTAGGTCTTTAATCCATCTTGAGTTAATTTTTGTATATGCTGAGAGATAGGGGCACAGTTTCATTCTTATGTGTATGACTATCCAATTTTCCCCAGCACCATTTACTGAATAGAGTGTCATTTCCCCAGTGTATATGTTTTTTGACTTTGTAAAGATCAGTTGGTTGTAGGTTTGTAGCTTTATTTCTGGGTTCTCTGATCTGTTCCATTCATCTATGTGTCTATTTGTATGCCAATAACATGCTGTTTTGGTTAATATAGCCTGGTAGTATAATTTGAAGTCAGATAATGTGAGCCTTTAGCTTTATTCTCTTCACTTAGGGTTGCTTTGGCTATTTTGGCAAATATTTTTTGGTTCCATATGAATTTTAGAATTTTTTTGCTAATTTTGTGAAAAATGATGTTAGTAATTTGATAGGGATTTTATTGAATCTGTAGATCGCTTTGGGCAGTATGGTCATTTTAATGATATCAGTCCTTTCATTCTATGAGCATGGGATCCTTTTCTATTTGTACTGTCTAGTGTGTGTGTGTGTGTGTGTGTGTGTGTGTGTGTGATGGAGTCTCTGTCACCCAGGCTGGAGTGCAGTGGCACGATCTCAGCTCACTGCAACCTCTGCCTCCTAAGTAGCTGGGACTACAGGCATTCATCACCATGCCTGGCTAATTTTTGTATTTTTAGTAGAGACAGGGTTTCACCATGTTGGCCATGCTGGTCTTGAACTCCTGACTTCAAGCGATCCACCTGCCTCAGACTCCTAAAGTGCTGGGATTACAGGCATGAGCCACCATGCCCAGCCGTCCTATCTACATTTCTTTCATCCATGTTTTGTAGTTCTCCCTGTAGAGATCTTTCCCCTCCTTGGTAAACTATATCTCTCAATATTTTATTTATTTATTTTTGTAGCTATTGTAAATAGGATTACCTTCCTGATGTAGTCCTTGGCTAGATTGTTATTGGTGTGTAGAAATGCTACTGTATCTGTATGTAAATTTTGTAGCCTGAAACTTTACTGAATTCGTTTATCAAATGTAAGAGTTTTTTGGTGGACTCTTTAGGGTTTTCTAGATGTACAGTCATATTATCGGCAAACAGGAATAATTCGACTTCCTCATTCCCATTTTGGATGCCTTTTACTTTTTTTCCTTTTGTCTGATTGCTCTAGCAAGGACTTCCAGTACTACTATGTTGAATAAAATTGCTGAAAGTGGGCATCCTTGTCTTGTTGCAGTTGTGAGAGGGAAGGCTTTCAACTTTTCCATATTAAGTATGATGTTGGCGGTGGGTTTGTTGTATATGGCCTTTATTATGTTAAAGTATGTACCTTCTATGCCTAGTTTATTTTTTATTATGAAGAGGGTGTTGAATTTTATTGAATGCTTTTTCTGCATCTATTCAGATAATTATATGGTTTTTGTCCATAATTCTGTTTATGTTATATATCATCTTTATTGATTTACATATGTTTAGCCATTCTTGAATCCCTGGGAAAAAACCCCACCTGATCATGGTGTACTATCTTTTTCATGTGCCGTTGGATTTGATTTGCTAGTATTTTGCTGAGGATTTGCTGAGGCTTTTTGTGTCATCAGGAATATTGATCTGTCATTTTCTTTTTTTATGTCTTTGTCTGGTTTTGGTATCAGGGTAATACTGGTCTTATAGAATGAGCTAGGGAGAATTAAGGATAAGGTTATCCTTAATTTTTCAGGAATAGTTTCAGGAGGATTGATGTTAGTTCTTTGTATGTTTGGTAGAATTTGGCTGGAAATCCATCTGGACCTGGACTTTTTTTTTTTTTTTTAAATGAGGAGATGTTAAATTACTTACTCAATCCACTACTTATTATTGACCTGTTCAAGAGTTCTATTTCTTCTTGGTTCAGTCTTAGGAGGTTGTGTGTTTTCAGGAATTTATCCATTTTTTCTCTGTTTTCTAGTTTGTGAGCATATGGTTGTCCAAAATAGTCTCTGATGATCTTTCGTGTTTCTTTGGTTTCAGTTTTCATGTCTCCTTTCTCATTTCTGATTATGTTTATTTGGATCTTCTCTCTTCTTTTCTTGGATAGTCTACTAATGATTTATCAGTTTGTTTATCTTTTCAAAGAACCAACTTTTCATTTTGTTGATTTTCTGTTGTCTCTCTTTCATTTAGTTCTGCTCTGATCTTTGTTATTTCTTCTCTTCTGCTAACTTTGGGTTTGGTTTGTTCTTGTTTTTCTAGTCCTTGAGATGTGACGTTAGGTTGTTAATTTATGATCTTTCTACTTTTTCGATGTTGGCATTTAATACTATAAACTTCCCTCTTAGCACTACTTTTTCTGTATCACACAGGTTTTGGTATGTTGTACTTTTATTTTCACTCATTAAAAAAATTAATTTCTACCTTCAATTCTTTGTTAACCTAGTGATCCTTCAGGAATATGCTGTCTAATTTCCATGTATTTGTATGGTTTCTGAAGTTCCTCTTGGTATTGATTCCTAGCTTTATTCCCTGTGGTCTGAGAAGATACTTGATATGCTTTTGACTTTTTAAAATTTGTTGAGATTTGTTTTGTGGTCTATCTTAGAGAATGTTCCACGTGCTGATAAAATACTGTGTATTCTATAGTTGTTGGGTAGAATGTTCTGTAAATGTCTATTAAGTCCATTTGGTCTAAAGTCCAATTTAAACCCAATGTTTCTTTTTTAATTTTCTGTCTCAATGATCTGTCTAGTGCTTTGAGTGGGGTGTTAGAGTATTTCACTATTATTGTATTACTGTCTATCTCTTTCTTTAGGTCTAGTAATATTTGTTTTGTGAATTTGGGTGCTCTGATATTGGATGCAAATATACAAAGGATTGTTATATCCTCTTGCTGAATTAACCCCTTTATCATTATATAATGACCTTCTTTGCATTTTTTACTGGTTTTTATTTAATGCCTGTTTTGTCTGATATAAGTATAGCTACTCCTGTTTGCTTTTGGTTTCTATTTGTGTAGAGTGTGTTTTTCCACTCCTTTACTTTCAATCTATATGTATCTTTATGGGTAACTGAGTTTCTTGTAGGGAGCATATAGTTGGATCATATTTTTAAAATCCTTTCTGCCAACCTGTATCTTTTAAGTGTAACATTTAATTTATTTACATCCAAGATTAATATTGACATGTGAGGCTTTGCTCCTGTCATATTGTTAACTGTTTTCAAGTTCTTTTATAAATGCTTTGTTGTTTTTTCTTTTTCTCTATTTTTTTGTCTTTGTGGTTTGATGAAATTCTTTTTTGTTGCCATTTCATTCCTTTTCCTTCCTCCTTTATGTGATTGTTTTATAAGAACTGTGAGTTTGATCTTTCAATGTATTTTCATGATAGTAAATATCAACCTTTTGTTTCCATGCTTAAGACCCCTTTGAGCATTTTCAGTAGGGTTGGTGTAGTGGTAACAAAATCCCTCAGAATTTGCTTATCTGAAAAATACTTTATTTCTTTATTTCTTCTTTTTTTTTTTTTTGCCTGCTTTTTCTCCTGAGATTTTATTTCTCCTTCATTTATGAAGCATATTCTTGCAGGATAAAAAATTATTCGCTGATAGTCTTTTTCTTTCAGCATTTTGAAAATGCTGTCCCATCCTCTTCAGGCTTATAAGATTTCTGCTGAAAAGTCCACTGATTTCCTTTATAGATGACTAGGCACTTTTCTCATGCTCATTTTAAAACTCTTTCTTTCACTTTCACTTTAGACATTCTGAATATAATATGCCATGGTGAAATTCTTTTTACAATGTATTTGCTGGGCATTCACTGGCCCTCCTATATCTGGATATCTAATTCTCTTAACAGACTTGGGAAGTTTTCATCAATTATTTCCTTAAACAGGTTCTCTAAACTTTTAGATCTCTCTTCCTCCTTGAGAATACTGATAATTCATAAGTTCAGTCTCCTTATGCAGTCCCAGATGTCTTAAAGGCTTTATTCATTCTTTCTTATACTTTTTTCCTGTTACTTTTTTTTCTTTTTTGGGGACAGGGTCTTACCTTGTTGCTCAGGCTGGAGTGCAGTGGGGTGATCCTAGCTCACTGCAGCCAAGTTCTGAGATCCTTTCTTTTACTTGGTCTAGTCTATCATTGAAGCTTTTGAATGTATTTTCTATTTCCTTCAATGAATTTTTTAGTTCCAGTATTTATGTGTTATTTTTTCTTTTAATTTGAGACAAGGTCTCACTCCAATGCCCAGGCTGGAGTGCAATGGTGTGATCTTGACTCCCGAAGCTCAGGTGATTCTCTCACCTCAGTGTCCTGAGTAGCTGGGACTACAGGCACACACCACCATGCGCAGCTAATTTTTGTATTTTTTATAGGGACATGGTTTTGTCATGTTGCCCAGGCTGGTCTTGAACTCCTAGGCTCCAGTGATTCATCCATCTCTGTCTCCTGAAGAACTAGGATTACGGGCATGAGTCACTATGCCTGGCACTCTACTTTTTTTCTTTAAAGGATATCTATCTCCTAGGTAAATTTCTCATTCATATTCTGAATTGATTTTCAGATTTCTTTGTATAGGTTTTCAGGTTTCTCTTGCATCTCATTGAAGTTCTTTAAAATCAGTATTTTCAATTCCTTATCTGGTATTTCAAGGAATTCTTTTTGATTGAGATCTGCTGGTGGACAATTGTTGTGGTCCTTTGGTGATGACATAGTTCCCTGCTTTTCTATGCTTCCTGTGTCCTTCCATTGATACCTGTACATGTAATGTAGCAGTTGCTTGTTCCATTTTTTTGAAATTATTTTTGCAGGAGATAATTATTTCCTGAAAATATATACATGTTGTTGATTAAGTAAAATGCTTTGGCTTTGATTTTGGGTGCCTGCACTAATGTGATTTTTGTGTGACTTTTTAGGCAGTATACAGGGTCAATGGTATCTGTGATTTCCTCAGTGACACAGGATACAGCTATTAGTTTAGGTTGTAGTGAAGTTTAACTGAGGACTTGGACACCAACTGAACCAGTCTTCAGGACTTAATGGTGGCAGCTATGGGGTAAGCGTGCCTGTTTTTAGGCCCCAGAGCAGCTTATACTGGCTCTTGCTGTTGGTGGGTCCTGATTCTTGGACTTCCAGGTGGCTTGTTTAGCAGTGAGTAGTGGGAGCAGTGGGCCTGGTGTGTAGATGGGTTCTTAGGTGCCTGGTCAGCTGGTTTGATGTGAGTGATGGTGGTTGCAGTGGTGGAACAACCCACTGGGAGCCAATCAGTCCACACTGGTGTTGCAGAAAGCTGCAATGGGTTGAGCAGGCAAGTTCCCAGCCCTTCAGCTGCCTGTAGCAGGGTGGTGGGTATTGTCCTAAATGTGCATAGGAGAGCTCGATCTCTCCTGTCTCTCCCATGGCTCAGTAGCAGCTGCAGCTTCATTACCTTGAACTCACACCAAGGGTAGAGTACAGCCCAGTGTTAAACTCTCAAAATGGTGCCAGCTCTGGGCTTGTGATCAGAGAAGGTGGGGCCCCTATCAGGTGAGCAGCATTGCAAGAAGCTGCGAGGAGTGTGGTCTGCTTGAGTCTACATCTCACAGCATCCCATAGCAGGGAGGAAGGTATTTTCCTAGGTGTGCATAGAAGAGCCTGGTTTCTCTGGCTCTCCCTGTCCAGGTGACAACTGCTACCATGTCAACTCAAACTCAGCCCAAGAGCAAGGTGTGGCTCTGCAAGAAACTCTCAAAATGGTGCCTTGGGCCTGTGACCAGGAAGGGTGAGGTCCCTTCCAGGCAGGCAATGTAGGCAAAAAGCTACGGGGATTGAGGTCTTGTCTCACAGCAGCCCATTGCAGTGCAGTGGGTATTGTCCTAGATATGTATGGGTGAGCTTGGTTTCCCTGATCCTACTTGTCTGGGTGGTGGCTACAGTCCCATTGGCCTGAACTCAGCCAAAGTGGAGGGCACAACCTGGTGTTAAACTCTGAAAATGGCATCTTGGGCCTGGGACCAGAGAGGATGGGGCACCTCTCAGTTGAGCAGCATAGGCAAGAAGCTGTGGGGAGTGTGGCTTGCTCTTGTCTCAGTCTGAGCAGCCTGCAGCAGGGAGGTAGGGACCCTCGTAGGCGTGTGTGGGAGCACCTAGTCCCTCCATCTCCTTCCCTGGATCAGCGTAGTGGCAGCAGCAGTGTCTGTAGATCCAGTATCTAAGCTCTCAAAATGGCACCTAGCTGAGGCAGCTCTAGGCGTGGATGCCTGTGGGATTCTGTGTGGGTTTCCTTTCTGGAACAATGTCTCCATGCAATTTTTAAGCAGCTTCATATATCAGGCCCAAGGCCCTACTGGGTCAAGAGTTTCTCCCATAGCCAAGATTGTAAAAACCCATTTCGGAGCCCTGGGAATTTCTCTTTTACTGTTTTCCCATGTCCAGGAGCCTCTTTCGATTCTCAGTCAGTCCCCAGCTGGGCAAGCTGCCTCAAAGCCTCTCCTTACTTCTGGTGTTTCCTGTCTCTTCTTTGGTGAATCCTAGCATTCTCTCCTAGATGGTCTGTTTGTAATGCATCTACTTGCTGTTCTGGTTCCTCTCTGTGGAGGAAGTTTATACTGCTTGCAGCTAGTCAGCCATCTTTACCCCTTCTGGATGTTTATACTATTAATGGATAATTAGAGTTTATAAAAAAAAATACTTCAGACGGGATGACTGTTCTCATGGTCAAAAAAAAATATATTTTCTCTTCTTTTGGTTTTGAGAGACAGGGTGTAACTTTGTCACCCAAGCTGGAGTGCAGTGGCACGAACATGGCTCACTACAGCCTCGACTTCTCTGGGCTCAGGTGATCCTACCACCTCAGTCTCTCAAATAGCTGGGACTACAGGTGTGCAACACTATGCCTGGCTAACTTTTGTATTTTTGTAGAGACAGGCTTTCGCCATGTTGCCCAGGCTGGTCTGGAACTCCTGGACGCAGGTGATCCATCTGCTTCGGCCTCCCAAAGTGTTGGGATTATAGGCATGAGCCACTGCTCCCAGCCTTTATTTCCTTAACCATGAGATTGTTGTCACAAATGAAAGGCTAAACATAAGAAACAAATGTTGTTGCTAAATATGAAGGAAACTAGCAAGTGTATAATATGATGAAGTTAATATTGATTAGAAAATCCAATTATTTCTATGGTTTATTCTGATATATCCCAAGATAGCTGTTTGTCAGCAGGTGAACTTCCTATTTAATTGGCATTATTGAGTAATTAGATGTATTCCCAGAGCAGCAATAAAATGAAATTCTCATGTGTCAGTAACATGGTTGAGGTTTTTGTTTTGTTGTTTTACTCTTGAGTTTATCCAACTGAGACCAAGTAGACTTGTTTTATCTGGAAATAATTTTTAATTTAATATTTGGTAAGTGTGTGGTTATATAATTATTTTCATCATAAGAATTATGGAAAAAATTTACAAATGACAAAAATTTGTGATAATTTACCTTTTTCTCATACTAAATCCTTCAAGGCCTCACTGTCTTTTTCCTGGGGTCCTGGAGCCTTCTGACTGGCTTCTCTCTGTGCATTGCAGGACTTTTCCTCAGGTCAACTTATCTTCTAGAAGAGAAATTTGATCTTTGTACCATGTAACCTATATCAGTAATGCATTCATCTGTAAATAACAGAGAACTGTACTACAGTGGCTTAAACAAATAGGGGTTTATTTGTCTCATCCATTACAAGGTAGGGGTAGGTACAGTGGCTTCAAACTGCTTCCAGAGTTCCAGTCTCTTTTCATCTTTCTGCTCTGCCATCCTTATTATATAGACATTCACCCTCATGCTAGCTGTGGCATGAATGGAAGATGGCTGCTTCACCTCCAGGCCTCGCTTCTACATTCTAGGCAGGAAGAAGGTAGAGGGTGAAAAGGACAAAAAGGATTAAAAAGTCTCAAGAAGACTTTGCCTTTTTCCATAAAGGGAAGCCCTCCTTGAGCACTTTTGACTAGTTGCAAAGGAACTGGAGAAATTAGGTACTTTGGTTTTTTTAGCCTTAATAGTATAAGTAGTCAAAGAAGAAGGTAGATATTATTGGTTTTTCAATAGCCAAACCACAGTTTTTATCATATACTCTCTATTCCATAAAAGATCTTCAAAGGTTCATCATTGCTTACAGTGTGAAGTCTATATGTCTTATTATTGTGTAGTATGATGTTGTAGAATGATTTCTTACCTAACTTCAAGAATTTATAGACAACTTAACTTCATTTTTGCTCATGTACCTGTATTAGTCAGGGTTCTCCAGAGAAATAGAACCACTAGGATGTGTAGATGTATAGAAAAAGGCTTATTTTAAGGAACTGGCTCACCCAATTATGGAGACAAGCAAGTCTAAAATCTGCAGAGTGGGCTGTCAGGCTGGAGACTCAAGAAGAGCCAACATTGTAGTTCAAGTCTGAAGGCCATCTGCTGATAGATTCTCTTTAACTCAGGGGAAGTCAGCCTTTTGTTCTATTTAGACCTTCAACTCACTGGGTGAGGCCTATCTAAATTATGAAGGGCAAGCTGCCTTACTCAAAATCTACTGATTTAAATATTAATCTCATCAAAAAACGTCCCCCTGTAAACATCCAGAATAACATTTTATCATACAGTTACACACTGTGGCCTAGCCAAGTTGACAGAAAAAATTAACCATCACAGCACCTAAATTAAGCATGACTGAGGGCTGGGCATGGTGGCTCATGCCTATAATCCTAATACTTTGGGAGGCTGAAGTGGGAAGATTGCTTGAACTCAGGAGGTCAAGACTGCAGTGAGCTATAATTGCACCACTGCACCACTGCACTGTAGCCTGAGTGACAGAATGAGGCCCCCTCTCTCTCTAAAAAAAAGCATGCTTGAACACCAGGAAAGAATGACTGAGAAAGATGAGCCCAAAGGGGTGACAGAGACAATACCATGCAGGGTAGTATAGGCCCTGATGAGGAAAGAGCAGCCTTTATATGAAGAGCAATAGAGATTACTGAAGGGTTTTAAATCACTTCAGACAGGGATTCCCGACCTCCAGGTGGCAGACTGGTACCAGCTGGTGACCTGTTAGGAACTGGGCTGCACAGCAGGAGGTGAGCGGTGGGTGAGCAAGCATTATTGCCTGAGCTCTGCCTCCTTTCAGATCAGTGGTGGCATTAGAGTCTCATGATCCCTATTATGAACTGTGCATGCGAAGGATCTGGGTTACATGCTCCTTATGAGAATCTAACTAATGCCTGATGTTCTGAGGTAGAACAGTTTCATCCCAAAACCATCCCCCTCCATCCATGGAAAAATTGTTTTCCATAAAACCGGTCCCTGGTGCCAAAAAGGCTGGTGACTGCTGACTTAAGATGTTTGCTCACCTATTTCCTCCCATCTTTATTCTGACCCTTCTTCCAACCAATGTAGTTTGTATGGAATTGACCTCAAATTGGCTTAAGACATTTAGCAAACCTAATCCCATTGGCCACAGTGATTAGTTCAGGGATGGGTCAATAAGACACAGTATGCCATTTGCTGGAGCTTCTGAGAAAGTGTCCTCTTTTGCTGTGTTTGCTAGAGTAACTATGTGATGCTTAGAAACTGCTGCAGCCATGTTGCTATCACTAGAGGGGTAATCTTAAGGTAACACTGACACACGGAGAAGACAGAACTGTGAAATGGAGCTTGGTGAAAGATTATAAACAGATTCCTGTATCAAGCTGTAACTGAAACTCTTCTACTCCTAAATCTCCAGTTGAGACAGAAAATTGCCATTTATTAGATTCAAAACCATATGACTTAGGCTTTCTATGCCTTGCAACATGAATATTGTTAATTAATATATGTCAAGTAATCACATTTTCATTTTAGAAAGCTTATTTTGGTCTGTAGGGATAATGGATTGAAAGACATAAGGTAGGGAGACAAGTCCCAGGAATATTAAGTCACAGTTTAAAAATTTCCTTGGTTTACAAAGATGGTGCACCTCCATTTCCAAGTTCTGGGCTCTTGCTGTTGCAGGGCGGAGTGTGGCTGCCAGGAAGCCACCCCCCGACAGCCTGTCAGAGGAGAGCAGTACTTTGGACCTGCCATAAGCCTGTATGTGAAGGATTATGTCCTGCAGAGATGCAGCCAAGAGGCCAACAGCAAGGCTTTTAGTTCTGTGAAATTCCATTCTTTTCCTTGCTTTTCTGATGTGGATCCAGACACCAGGAGCCTAAATACTAAACAAAATGACTCTGGGACCACTGAGAACTTTTGATTTCACCTTTCTGTGTAAGGCCAATCAGAGACCGTAGAAGAGGATAATGGACTTCAGAAATCTCTGGATAAATTCTATGAAATGTTTGGATATCCAAAGCTAGCCTCTGGGAATCCATTCTCTGCATCTGTCTGCCAGTGCCTGTCTCAGAAAATCCCTCAACTAAGAGTCCAGGAGAGCCAAAAGTATGCCCTCTATAGTTTTCAAATGTCCCAGGTCATCTTTAACTGCGATGGCTGCTCAGTCTTGCAGAGGGACATCCACTTCTACTCACTGGAGGAAGGAAGTACATCTGTAGATGATGAAAAACCAACCCAGAACTTTCAAAAGATATTAATTTTCTCTTATGGCAGAATTCAACGAAAGACCCAAAACTGGTGCCTGGCGGTGAGCAGGGAGTATTGGAGGTATAGGTTGTGACCAGTACTGTTTGCAGCCACCCAGATCCCCTAGGGTCTCTTGCCAGCTCACTGTGTTCAATCTTAACTAAGTGATTTGTGGTTAAAGGCTGGCACCTGTGACCTGGTGTTGGAGCCAGTCAGTCCGTATAGAAACCAGCAGGGTCTGGGGGTTTTATGTGCCTGTGGCCACTCCACCTCCCACTCCCCTTGGCTGAGGCCATGGACTGACAGGGTTAGGAGTCAAAAGCCCAGCTCCCTTCACAAGGAGGCACACACTCTGAGGCATAATTTATACTCCATAGGTCCCTCCCCTGGCAGTCAGGCCAATGCTGGGACTTACATGAAATCACACTCTTGCTGGGCTTCATCCCTTTCCCCATCCTCCTCCCATTATTTATGGGTGTGTCTGTGAGCCTTTCCTTAATAAACCTCTTATATCTGAAAAAAAAAATTCCTTTGTTCAATATTGCACTATTCACCCACAGACCTCATATTTAAAATCCATTTCCAGGCAACTGCCTTTGGGTCCCCTCCCTTCGTATGAGAGCTCTGTTTTCACTCTATTAAATCTTGCAACTGCACTGTTCTGGTCCGTGTTTGTTACAGCTCAAGCTGAGCTTTTGCTCGCCGTCTACCACTGCTGTTTGCCGCCATCGCAGACTCGCTGCTGACTTCCATCTCTCCAGATCCGGTAAGGTGTCTGCTGTGCTCCTGATCCAGTGAGGCACCCATTGCTGCTCCCGATTGGGCTAAAGGCTTGCCATTGTTCCTGCATGGCTAAGTGCCCGGGTTCATCCTAATCGAGCTGAACACTAGTCACTGGGTTCCATGGTTCTCTTCCATAACCCATGGCTTCTAATAGAGCTATAACAATCACCGCATGGCCCAAGATTCCATTCCTTGGAATCCGTGAGGCCAAGAACCCCAGATCAGAGAACATGAGGCTTGCCACCATCTTGGAAGCAGCCCGCCGCCATCTTGGGAGCTCTGGGAGCAAGGACCCCAGGTAACATTTGGTGACCACGAAGGGACTTCCAAAGCGGTGAGTAATATTAGACCACTTTCACTTGCTATTCTGTCCTATTCTTCCTTAGAATTGGAGGAAAATACTGGGCACCTGTCGTCCGGTTCGTCTGTCTGGAGCCAGCTTCCACTTTCAATTTTCTTGGAGAAACCAAGGGCCGACTAGAGGCAGAAAGCTGTCATCCCGAACTCCTGACATTAGCCGGTTGAGATCATGGCACAGCCAGAAGTCTCTACAGTCGCCCATGCGTGTGCCCCTACCTTTCCCTCTGACCCATACCTCCTGGGTCCCGACCACGACTTTCTTGAAAGTGTAGCCCCAAAATTCTCCTTACCTCTGAATCTGCTTCCTCTGATCCCTGCCTCCTAGGTACTAATGGTTCAGACTTTCATTTCCTCTAGCAAGCTGTATCTCGAAAGGGATCTAAGGAAGCTCTACGCTGTGTCCTGAGGCATCTAGACATAAACCCAGGGAGTCTTATCCCTGGTGTCCCTCCTGATTTAGGTATACAGCTCTCGATATGGGCAGTTATGTGGGACCCGTTCCCCACCACCCTTGCCAGGGCCCCAAGTTTGTAATGGCTAAGAGAAGAGAAAGAGTGACAGAGGAGAGAGAGATGGAAGAGAGAAAGAGAGATGGAAGAGAGAGAGAGAGAGAGAGATGGAGGAGAGACAGAGGAGAGAGAGACAGAGGAGAGACAGAGGAGATAGAGAGAGAGAGATAAAGAGGGAGTCAAAGAGAAAAAGAAAAAGACAGAAATAGTAAACAAACAAACAAACAAAAACCAGTGTGCCCTATTCCTTTAAAAGCCAGGGTAAATTTAAAACCTATGATTGATAATTGAAGGTCTTCTCCCTGACCCTATAACATTCCAATACCACTTTGTTGTCAGTGTAAATAAGGGCGTAGCCGAAAGCACTGAGGCCACCGACAACCAGTAGCCTTCCTATCAAAAATCCTTAACCCAGGAACCCGCGGGTGGCCCAAATGCATTCAATCTGTAGCAGCAACTGCTTTGCTAACAGAAGAAAGTAGAAAATTAGCCTTTAGAGGAAACCTCATTGTGAGCACACCTCACCAGTTCAGAACTATCGTAAGTCAAAAAAGCAAACAGGTAGCTTACTAACTCAAAAATCTTAAAGTATGGGTCTATTCTGTTAGAAAAAGGTAATTTAACACCAACCACTGATAATTCCCTTAACCCAGCAGATTTCCTAACAGGGGATTTAAATCTTAATTACCATACAAAGGTCCGACCAGACCTAGGAGGAACTCCCTTCAGGACAGGACACAGGGTCTCGCTCTGTCACCCAGGCTGGAGTGCAGTGGTACAATTATGGCGCTCACTGCAACTTCAACTTTCCAGGCCCAAGCAATCCACCCCCCTCACCCCCACAATTAGTTGAGGGTACAGGTGTGTGCCACCATACCTGGTTAATTTTTCTTTACTTTTTGTATAGACAGGATCTCACTGTGTTGCCCAGGCTGGTCGCAAACTCCTGGGCTCAAGCGATCCTCCTGTCTTGGCCTCCCAAAGTGCTAGGATTACAGATGTGAGCCACCACACCTGGCCCTGACCGATAGATGGTTCCTCCCAGGAGACTGAGGGAAAAACCACAACGGGTATTCAGTAATTGATAGGGAGACTCTTGTGGAAGCAGAGTTAGAAAAATTGCCTAATAATTGGTCTCCTCAAACGTGGGAGCTGTTTGCACTTAGCCGAGCCTTAAAGTACTTACAGAATCAAAAAAGACTATCTCAATCCTGACTCAAAAGGTTACCCACACCCTCTCTGAAACAAATTTGCATAAGAACTGTTGTTTATGGGAATGAATCTTGATGGGGCAGCTGGGTTGTTATGAAATACTCAGGAACCCAGCCCAGCTCTAGGACTCACCCCTGAGCACAAATGCAATGTTGGGCACGCTGGTAAAGGACCACTAGAATCCAGCAGCCCGGACCCATTTCTTTGTGGTCAAGAAAGACGGAAAAAGGGGTGCAGGACTGCTACATCGGTAAGCGTAACTAATCCGATAAGCAGAGGTCCATGGGTGGTTACGCACCCTGGAAGGGAATAAACATTAGGACCATAGAGGACGCTCTAGGACTAATGCTCATCAGAAAATGACTAGGGGTGCTGGCATCCCTATGTTCTTTTTTCAGATGGGAAACATTCCCCCCAAGGCAAAAACGCCCCTAAGATGTATTCTGGAGAATTGGGACCAATTTGACCCTCAGATGCTAAGAAAGAAACTACTTATATTCTTCTGCAGTACTGCCTGGCCACAATATCCTCTTCAAGGGGGAGAAACCTGGCCTCCTAAGAGAAGTATAAATTATAACAGCATCTTACAGCTAGACCTCTTTTGTAGAAAAGAAGGCAAATGGAGTGAAGTGCCATATGTGCAAACTTTCTTTTCATTAAGAGACAACTGGCAATTATGTAAAAAGTGTGATTTATGCCCTACAGGAAGCCCTCAGAGTCTACCTCCCTACCCCAGTGTCCCCCTGACTCCTTCCCCAACTAATAAGGACCCCCCTTCAACCCAAATGGTCCAAGAGGAGATAGACAAAGGGGTAAACAATGAACCAAAGAGTACCAGTATTCCCCGATTATGCCCCCTCCAAGCAGTAGGAGGAGGAGAATTCGGCCCAGCCAGAGTGCATGTACCTTTATCTCTCTCAGACTTAAAGCAAATTAAAATAGACCTAGGTAAATTCTCAGATAACCCTGATGGCTATATTGATGTTTTAGAAGGGTTAGGACAATCCTTTGATTTGACATGGAGAGATATGTTACTGCTAAATCAGACACTAACCCCAAATGAGAGAAGTGCCGCCATAACTGCAGCCCGAGAGTTTGGTGATCTCTGGTATCTCAGTCAGCTCAATGATAGGATGACAACAGAGGAAAGAGAATGATTCCCCACAGGCCAGCAGGCAGTTCCCACTGTAGACCTTCATTGGGACACAGAATCAGAACATGGAGATTGGTGCCGCAGACATTTGCTAACTTGCGCGCTAGAAGGACTAAGGAAAACTAGGAAGAAGCCTATGAATTATTCAATGATGTCCACTATAACACAGGGAAAGGAAGAAAATCCTTCTGCCTTTCTGGAGAGACTAAGGGAGACATTGAGGAAGCATACCTCCCTGTCACCTGACTCTATTGAAGGTCAACTAATCTTAAAGGATAAATTTTTCACTCAGTCAGCTGCAGACATTAGAAAAAAACTTCAGAAGTCCTCCTTAGGCCTGGAGCAAAACTTAGAAACCCTATTGAACTTGGCAACGTTGGTTTTTTATAATAGAGATCAGGAGGAACGGGACAAACGGGATAAAAAAAAAAGGGCCACCGCTTTAGTCATGGCCCTCAGGCAAGCGGACTTTGGAGGCTCTGGAAAAGAGAAAAGCTGGGCAAATCGAATGCTAATAGGGCTTGCTTCCAGTGCGGTCTACAAGGACACTTTAAAAAAGATTGTCCAAGTAGAAGTAAGCCACCCCCTCGTCCATGCCCCTTATGTCAAGGGAATCACTGGAAGGCCCACTGCCCCAGGGGACGAAGGTCCTCTGAGTCAGAAGCCACTAACCAGATGATCCAGCAGCAGGACTGAGGGTGCCCGGGGCAAGTGCCAGCCCATGCCATCACCCTCACAGAGCCCCAGGTATGCTAGACCATTGAGGGCCAGGAGGTTAACTGCCTCCTGGACACTGGCACAGCCTTCTCAGTCTTACTCTCCTGTCCCGGACAACTGTCCTCCAGATCTGTCACTATCCGAGGGGTCCTAGGACAGCCAGTTACTAGATACTTCTCTCAGCCACTAAGTTGTGACTGGGGAGCTTTACTGTTTTCACATGCTTTTCTAATTATGCCTGAAAGCCCCACTCCCTTGTTAGGGAGAGACATTCTAGCAAAAGCAGGGGCCATTATACACCTGAACATAGGAGAAGGAACACTCGTTTGTTGTCCCCTGCTTGAGGAAGGAATTAATCCTGAAGTCTGGGCAAGAGAAGGACAATATGGACGAGCAAAGAATGCCCGTCCTGCTCAAGTTAAACTAAAGGAGCCCGCCTCCTTTCCCTACCAAAGGCAGTACCCCCTTAGACCCGAGGCCCAACAAGGACTCCAAAAGATTGTTAAAGACCTAAAAGCCCAAGGCCTAGTAAAACCATGCAATAGCCCCTGCAATGCTCCAATTTTAGGAGTACAGAAACCCAACGGACAGTGGAGGTTAGTGCAAGATCTCAGGATTATCAATGAGGCCGTTGTCCCTCTATACCCAGCTGTACCTAACCCTTATACTCTGCTTTCCCAAATGCCAGAGGAAGCAGAGTAGTTTACAGTCCTGGACCTAAAGGGTGCCTTTTGTGCATCCCTGTACATCCTGACTCTCAATTCTTGTTTTCCTTTGAAGATCCTTCGAACCCAACGTCTCAACTCACCTGGACTGTTTTACCCCAAGGGTTCAGGGATAGCCCCCATCTATTTGGCCAGGCATTAGCCCAAGACTTGAGCCAGTTCTCATACCTGGACCCTCTTGTCCTTTGGTACGTGGTGATTTAATTTTAGCCACTCGTTCAGAAACCTTTTGCCACTAAGCCACCCAAGCACTCTTAAATTTCCTCGCCATCTGTGGCTACAAAGTTTCCAAACCAAAGGCTCAGCTCTGCTCACAACAGGTTAAATACTTAGGGTTAAAATTATCCAAAGGCACCAGGGCCCTCAGTGAGAAACGTATCCAGCCTATACTGGCTTATCCTCATCCCAAAACACTAAAGCAACTAAGAGGATTCCTTGGCATAACAGGCTTCTGCCAAATGTGGTTTCCCAGGTACGGCGAAATAGCCAGGCCTTTATATACACTAATTAAGGAAACTCAGAAAGCCAATACCCATTTAGTAAGATGGACACTTGAAGCAGAAGCAGCTTTCCAGGCCCTAAAGAAGGCCCTAACCCAAGCCCCAGTGTTGAGCTTGCCAACAAGGCAAGACTTTTCTTTATATGTCACAGAAAAAACCGGAATAGCTCTAGGAGTCCTTACACAGGTCCGAGGGATCAGCTTGTAATCTGTGGCGTACCTGAGTAAGGAAATTGATGTAGTGGCAAAGGGTTGGCCTCATTGTTTACTGGTAGTGGCAGCAGTAACAGTCTTAGTATCTGAAGCAGTTAAAATGATACAGGAAGAGATCTTACTGTGTGGACATCTCATGATGTGAATGGCATACTCACTGCTAAAGGAGACTTGTGGCTGTCAGAAAACCGTTTACTTAAATATCAGGCTCTATTACTTGAAGGGCCAGTGCTGCGACTGTGCACTTGCGCAACTCTTAATCCAGTCACATTTCTTCCAGACAATGAAGAAAAAAATAGAACTTAACTGTCAGCAAGTAATTGCTCAAACCTGCGCCGCTCGAGGGGACCTTCTAGAGGTTCCCTTGACTGATCCCCACCTCAACTTGTATACTGATGGAAGTCCCTTTGTAGAAAAAGGACTTCGAAAAGCAGGGTATGCAGTGGTCAGTGGTAATGGAATACTTGAAAGTAATTCCCTCACTCCAGGAACTAGCGCTCAGCTGGCAGAACTAATAGCCCTCACTTGGGCACTAAAATTAAGGGAAGAAAAAAGGTAAATATATATACAGACTCTTAAGTATGCTTACCTAGTCCTCCATGCCCATGCAGCAATATAGAGAGAAAGGGAATTCCCAACTTCCGAGGGATCACCTATCAAACATCAGGAAGCCATTAGGAGATTATTATTGGCTATAAAGAAACCTAAAGAGGTGGCAGTCTTACACTGCCAAGGTCATCAGAAAGGAAAGGAAAGGGAAACAGAAGGGAATCGCCAAGCAGATATTGAAGCCAAAAGAGCCGCAAGGCAGGACCCTCCATTAGAAATGCTTATAGAAGGACCCCTAGTGTGGGGTAATCCCCTCCAGGAAACCAAGCCCCGGTACTCAGAAGAAGAAATAGAATGGGGAACCTCATGAGGACATAGTTTCCTCCCCTCAGGATGGCTAGCCACCAAGAAGGAAAAATACTTTTGCCTGCAGCTAACCAATGGAAATTACTTAAAACCCTTCACCAAACCTTTCACTTAGGCATTGATAGCACCCATCAGATGGCCAAATCATTATTTACTGGACCAGGCCTTTTCAAAACTATCAAGCAGATAGTCAGGGCCTGTGAAGTGTGGCAAAGAAATAATCTCCTGCACTGCAGGCCATATATTTCAATCCCTCTATCTTTAACCTCCTTGTTAAGTTTGTCTCTTCCAGAATCGAAGCTGTAAAACTACAAATCATTCTTCAAATGGAGCCCCAGATGCAATCCATGACTAAGATCTACTGCGGACCCCTGGACCGGCCTGCTAGCCCATGCTCCAATGTTAATGACATTGAAGGCACCCCTCCTGAGGAAATCTCAACTGTACAACCCCTACTATGCCCCAGTTCAGCAGGAAGCAGTTAGAGTGGTTGTTGGCCAACCTCCCCAACAGCACTTGGGTTTTCCTGTTGAGAGGGGGGACTGAGAGACAGGACTAGCTGAATTTCCTAGGCCAACTAAGAATCCCTAAGGCTAGCTGGGAAGGTGACCACGTCCACCTTTAAACACGGGGCTTGCAACTTAGCTCACATCTGACCAATCAGAGAGCTCAGTAAAATGCTAATTAGGCAAAAACAGGACGTAAAGAAATAGCCAATCATCTTATCACCTGAGAGCACAATGGGAAGGACAATGATCGGGATGTAAACCCAAGCATTCGAGCCAGCAACAGCTACCCTCTTTGGGTCCCCTCCCTTTGTATGGGAGCTCTGTCTTCACTCCTGCAACTGCAAAAAAAAAAAAAAAAAAAAAAAAAAAAAGCCATTTCCTCCCTCTCCCCAACTCAGGTCTCCTCATCACAGCTCAATGGAAAAGATAATGATTCTGTCTCTTGAATCACCCAGACATGGAGTTTCCCATGGTAATCTTAGGGCTGTTGGACCAAACTGTGGAAACCCTCACTCCAGGGTGCACGCAGAAATTCTAGAAGCCCTGAGGTTGAGGCTGACATGCAAAGCTTCAATGATCACAGCACTTGATTCTAGTATTACAGAATACTGTCTACTGAGAGCTCTAGCTCATTCTTTGAAGGCACTGTGAAGAAACCCTATGACAACAGTGTTGATGAAATTCATTCATGTTATTGTGTGTAGCTGTACTTTGTTAATTTTCATTGCCATATGATATTCCACTGTATGAATATTGCCCCCTAAATTATTAGACTATTGATTGATTAGACTATTGATAGACTATTAGACTATTGATACTACTGTATGAATATGCCCCCTAAATTATTAGACTATTGATTGGTAGACTATTGATAGATTAGACTATTGATAGATAGATATAAACAAATGGGTTGTTTCCCATTTGGAGTAATTATATACAATGCCGCAACAGACATTATTACTATTATTATTTTAAGACAGGGTCTTGCTTTGTTGCCCAGGCTGAAGTGCAGTGGTGTGATCACAGCTCACTGCAGCCTCAACCTCCTGGGTTCAAGCAATCCTCCCCCTCAGTCTCCCAAGTAGCTGGGACTATGGGAGCACACCAACATGCCTGGATAATTTTTAAATTCTTTTTTGTGGAGATAAGGTCTCACTATGTTGCCCAGGCTGGTCTTGAACTCCTAGCCTCAAGTGATCCTCTTGTCTCAGCATCCCAAAGTGCTGGGATTACAGGTGTGAGCCATGGCACCAAGCTGGCATTATTTTACATATTTAAAAAAATGGAACAACACCCTGATTCTCTGGATTAAGCTATCATCCTTATAATAAGTCCTTGAAGTCCTATGTTACTTCTCTGATGTAATACCTACTACTCTCCCCCTTGGTTATTCCATCCAATCACACCAGACTTTGAGTTACTCATCAAAAATGCCAGGCACCCTCCTGTCTTTGAAGTATTGCACTGTCTATTCCTTCTGCTGGGAATGTTCTCCCCAAGATCTGCACAAGGCTGTCTCCCTTCCCTCCTTTAAATCTGCTTCCATGTCCCCTCCATAAGACCTTTTCTGACCACACTACTGTAATTTCAATTTGCTTCTGTAACAGTCATCCCCCTTTATTCTGCTCTAGTTCTTTTCTTCATACAATTAGGTATAAATTTACATACAATATATTTTATTATGTTTATGACTTAATCTCCCTCCCCTGGCTAGATGAAAAGCCTAGAGGACAGGAATCTTTAATTTTTGTTCACTGATGTAGTAAGTGCCTACAAGAGTGCCTGGCACATAGTAGGAGTTCAAGTGATACTTATGGAAGGAAGGAGGAGAAGAAGGAAAAAGGGAAAAGAGAGGAGGGAGGGAAAAAATAGGGGAAGGAGGGAGGCAGACAGGGAAGAAGTAAAGAAGATAGGAACAAAGGAAAGAAGGAAGGGAGGGAGGAGGAGGAGAGAGAGGAAAGATAGAAAGAATTTTGCCCTGAATAGGAAGACATAGCAGGTTAGTAGATAGACTCAATCAGTGAAAGAATTTTCTAAGATGGGAGAGATTTGAACATATCCCACTTCTGAAGAAGGGAACCAGTAGAGATTGAAGGTCCAAGAGCATAGACTGAGCCAATTCTGAGAGTGTGTGAGGAAATAAGATCCAGAGCACAGGCAGTGGAAGTAGCATTAGACAAGTCCAGGGCTGCAAAAAGCTGCTTTAAATTCTGCTGAAAATTTTGTCAAGTTCCCAGCAAGGGTGGACAGGCTAAACATTTGCCATGGGATTTCTGTTGCTACAGAATTGTTGGCTCTTGGGGTCCTGAGCTTCCTTCTAGATGGCTGGGCCTGGTAATTTTTAACCAAGTCCTCCTTACTCTACTGCCACCCCTAACCTGTCGGCCTTGGACAAGTCAAAGGATGAATGACCATTATAACTGGAGGGAAGGAAGGATGGATGATGATGCAGACAAGTCACAGGCTTATTGGTACGATCCTAGTTGGAAGTGCTGGTTTGGTAGCTTGTTTTTTCATTATATTTTTCACAGAAGTGGGGTTGAAGTTATTTGCTATGATTTAATCATGCTACTGTGGTAGGCTTTGAGGTGAGAATGGAGGTAGCATATTTTTGTTATTAAAAATAGGAGAATCAGCTGGGTGCGGTGGCTCATGCCTATAATTCCAGCACTTTGGGAGGCTGAGGCGGGCGGATCACTTGAGGCCAGGAGTTTGAGACCAGGCTGGCCAACATGGTGAAACCTGTCTCTACTAAAAATACAAAAATTAGCTAGGTGTGGTGGCGCACACTTGTAATCCTAGCTACTTGGATGGCTGAGGCATGAGAATTGCTTGAACCTGGGGGGCAGAGGTTGCGGTGAGCTGAGATTACGGCACTGCCTCCCAGCCTTGGCGATAGAGTGAGACTCCATCTCAAAACAAAACATAAATATAGGAGAATGGTAGGAATTGCTGCTGTGGTAAAAGGTAGGGGAACATAGACTTATGTCTAGTTCGTGTCAGTGACGTGAATTCATGGTTGCTAGAACCTGCCCAACTGTGCAATGTACAGCCCAGGTACAGGCATGGAGCTCCAACCCCAGGGTTGAGTTCTTTCTTTTTGATCAGCTGAGATAGAACAATGGTGCAAATAATTCAAGGCAGCAAAAGCAACTTGTCTGAAGTGATAGACAATGAAGTCAAGGCTAGATGAGAAAGGGAGTGAAGATTTAAGGGAGCCGATAGAAATAAAATGGAGGATTCTACAAACTACAACAGTAATGATCAAACTTTCATGTGTGTAAGTATCACCTGGAGGGCTACATCCTGAAATTATTATTCACCAGGTCTGGGGTGATGACCAGAATCTCTGTCTTCAACAAGGATCTTAGTAGATTCTAATGAAAGAAGGTCATAGACCATTTTTTTGTGAAATAGTGGATTTGAAATTGTAGTAAGTTTAAAGAAGTGATTTTTTTTTTTTTTTTTTTTTTGAGATGGAGTTTCACTCTGTTGCCCAGGCTGGAGTGCAGTGGCACAATCTTGGCTCACTGTAGCCTCTATCTCCCAGGTTCGAGCAATTCTCCTGCCTCAGCCTCCCAAGTAGCTGGGATTACAGGAATACGCCACCACGCCCAGCCAATTTTTTTTTTTTTTGTATTTTTAGTAGACATGGGGCTTCACCATGTTGGCCAGCCTGGTCTCAAACTCCTGAATTCAAGTGATCCACCCGCCTCGGCCTCCCAAAGTGCTGGGATTACAGGCATGAGCCACTGCACCTGGCTAAGAAGTGATATTTTGAAAAGAGCTGAGGAGAAGGAGATGGAGGAGAGAGAGAGACAGAGAGAGAGAGAGAGAGAAAAAAAAAAGGGAGAGCATGTGCACAAGACAGCAACAATGAGCTGGAAGAATAGGTCATTATAGTGGGAGATGATGAATTTGTGATCTCAAAAGGTGAAGCCGACTTGAATCATAAAAGCCTCAGGGAGCGACCAAGGCAGCGGTGGCTGAAGTGCAGTGGAGGTGAACATCACCAGAGGTGAGGATGTCAAAGTATGGAAAGCCTGGCTAATCTATGTGGACCTGAAGCCACCGCAAATAACAGCAGTACTTGGGGTATGAAGCAAAACTGTGAACAGAGTTCAAGGCCATTGGTAAATGAAGGGGAGGAACTACAGGTGGGTACACAAAACAAATAGATGTGGTTGAGGGGTGGAACTGGTTAGGAGTTTTTACACAATGGTGGAAACATGAAACCGGCTAAAGTCAGATGAGTGTTTATTGTTTGCCAGGCTTTTTGCATACATTAGTCCATTTAATTCTCAGAAACGACCTTCATATGAAACAGGTACTGATTTTATTCCTATTTTATAATGAGAGAACCGAGTTACTGAGAGGTTAAACATCTCACATTTCTTATCCACTATGTTATGCTGACTCTTATAAAATGATTGTGGAAGGTGTGTTAATACATTTCAACTGGAAAAAAAAGGTCAGATCCCCCGAAAATGTTGTTAGGAGTTGGGTTAACTGCTTTGGAAAAACAATGGAAATATTTAAATTCCAGTTGTACTGAAATACCTTTTAACATCCAGCAGGTGGCAGCACTAAGTAACAATTCCATACTAGGTCATCTAACAGAAACATTAATCCATTCTGCACAAATCAAGACTTCTGTACACTCCATGCCTTGATGATTTCTTCAGCAGCATCCAGTGTGCTGTCTTTCTGTAAATTAATGAAATAATCATCATTATTACAGATATACATAAATTCAAGATGAAGCAAAGATTTAAATATACAACATAATGAAGATTTAAGTGAATATCTGATCTCAAGTGAAGAAAAATTTTCAAAGTGAAAAAGCAAAAGCAGAACCCAAAACAGGAAAACAGTTAACCAAATGAATTATAATTACAGAAACAGGTCAAAGGGTACAGAAGAGTTTACACTGAAAAATAATAGCTGTCTGCTCCACCCCTTCTTCACCCTTCCTATGACTCCCTCTACCTTCAAGATAACCTTTTATGGCAATTTCTGGATTTAGTTCTAATGGCTACCACCAAAATCTAATAATGTGCTTATGCTTCTATTTCCTTATTTGTGAACTTCACATATTATCTACTATATCTATACTTTGCTCTGAACAAAAAAAAATTAGTTCATTCACACTACTCTGCCCCTTGCTTTCAAGGTTTCATAGTTGTAATTATTGAAAAATAGTTTATTTTTTGAATAGGTGATTCATACATATAGCATAAAATTAAACAGAGGTGTAAGCAGAGAAAATCCAGCCTTCTGTTGTTCATCTTCTGTTTCTCTACTTCTTTTTCTTTGTCTTCTCTCTCCATCAGAATGATTCAGTCTGAAAGCCAATAGGTGAGGCTGAGCAAAGCGGCTGTCCATGTATAGGGCTGGGAGAGCCTTGGCAACCCTAGTGCAGGACACTGCAGCCAGAGTGGAGTGAGCAGGCTGGTCAGCATGGGTGTCATGAGGTGATAGTGCTGGCTGGAACAGGATGTCAGAGTCTGAGTGGGGTAAGTGAGGCACCTGTATGGTAGGGTGGCCTCATGCAGGGTCCTGGAGCCTGGATGAGATGAGGCAGGCATCTGGCATGGTGTCAGTGCCCAAGAGGGGCAAGGAGGGCTTCTGTGTAGTAGGTGACAGTGGTGGCCTGGTATGGGGTATTGGAGACCTAGATGGGGGCACCTCTCCAGGAGGATGACAGGACAGGTCGGCATGGGTGATAAAGCCCAGGTCGGGTGAAGATGTAGTGTAGCAGCCTGGCACAAAATGTCAAAGCCTGAACCGGGAAAAGGGTATTCTCTCAGGGACTGGGAAGGTGAGGGATGCACAGTGGCTTTGACAGGAGATTGATCCCATACAGAAGTATTGATTAAATTAGTAGTTACATGACTAGTGGCCAAATCTGGGAAAATCTAAGTATCAAAATAAGTAATAATAATAATAAATTATAGCCCACTGTACTACAAAATAAAAATCCAGAAGTCCACATTGATACATATGAATAAGTTAATAAATAAATTGCTTAATGAGATATGGAATATTTTCATAGTACCTTACTACAAAATATTTACTATTTAACAAGAAAAAGTATAACTTTATAGTAGAAAAGACTGGCAAACACCACCTTAATCAGGTGGTTAAAGTTAACATCACTGGTAATAGGAATAAATGAAATCATGTGCCACCTGATACAATGAAAAGGATAGAGTATCATCACTTCTGTGGTTTCCTGCCGAAGTGCATAGCCTGAGTCTAAGCATGAGGAAACATCAAACTTAAATTGAGGTACTTTCTTAAAAATAATTCATTGATAATTTTCAAAAGTATCAAGATCATGAAAGTCAAAGAAAACTGAGAAACCATTCTAGCTTGAAGGAGACATGACAACTAAATGCAATGCATGATTCTAGCCTGAATTAATTAATTATTATAAAAAGGACATTATTGGGACAATGAATGACATTTAAATCAGATCTGAGGATTAGATGGAGTATCAAGGTTAACTTCATGATTTTGAGGGTTATATTGTGGTTTGGGAGGAGAATGTCTTGTTTATGAAGAATACACAAGAAAGTATATGGGGGTGATCGGAGCATCCTCAGTAATTAAGTTGACAACTTACTCTGAAATAGTTTAGAAAAAAGTTCTTGAAACTTTTAGGTTGAGAGCATTTAAAAATATTTGTTTTAAAGTAAGTCAGCTTCCCACCTATCTTCCTCAGCCACTCAGTTTTTCTCTCCAGAGACAACACTGGGATTTCATTATATATTTTTCCAGAGATTTTCATCCATCTTTCTTTTTAAAATTGTATATTTTTTATTGTTCTTGTTTATTTATTTTTAACTTTTATTTTAGGTTTGGGGGTACATGTGAAGATTTGTTACATAGGTAGACTCATGTCACAGGGGTTTGTTGTACAGATCATTTCATCACCCAGGTATTAAGAGCACAGCACCCAACAGTTATCTTTTCTGCTCTTCTCCCTCCTCCCACCCTCCACCCTCAAGGAGGCCCCAGTGTCTGTTGTTCCCTTCTTTGTGTTCATGAGTTCTCATTATTTTTGGCTCCACTTATAAGAGAGAACATGTGATATTTGGTTTTCTGTTCCTGTGTTAGTTTGCCAAGGATAATAGGCTCCAGCTCCACCCATGTTCCTGCAAAAGACATGACTTCATTCTTTTTTATGGCTGCATAGTAGTCCATGGTGTATATGTACCACATTTTCTTTATCCAATGACAGCATTGATGGGCATTTAGGTTGATCTGAATGTAGCATCATTTATTCAAGCAGCCCCCACTGGTGAATAATTTTGTTGTTTACAATATTTTGCTATTACAAATGATGCCTCAGTGAAAATCCTTGAATATAAGTCATTCGAAATGTGCAAATAAATCCACAAGAAAACACTTGTAGAGGTAGAATTGTTGGATCAAAGGGTATGGGAAATCACATCTGAACAGAAATTTTCAAACTAACCACCATAGAGATTTTACAAATTATACTCCCACTCTCAATTTGTGAGAGTGTTTTATGAAACTTTTAGTTGTTTTGGTTGTTTCCAATCTAAGAGATAAAATTTCTTTGCAGTTCTATTTTTCATTTCCCTTACTATGAAATAAGTTTGACAACTTTTATAAGTTTAACAACTACTAAGGATCTTACCCATAATATTATAAAGTGCTATTTTTGCCTTAAATTTATTTACTTTTATCACTTTTATTTTGCTCTGAATTCAAACTGCTTTCTTTCAATTTCTATTTTCTTGGTATGTTTTTGTCATTCTTTGATTTTTAGTCTTTCTAAGAGGTGGAGTTAGGTGTGTCCACTTTCCCTAGAAACTTCCAGCTACTTCCACACTATCTGCCAATATTGACTGCTGATGTAAGAAGAGTCTGGGTCCATACTGATCCTCCTCTTCTGGCCCCTCTGGAGGCCTTGATCTTACTGTCTAGGTGACCAAAGGAATTGTCTTTGAAGCCCAATATATCAAGCGAGGTATATCTCAGTGTTAATAATTGTGTGACAATTATTATTATATGCAGGTTCCATTTGTTCTGCTCTTATTTTTTTCTGGCAACTCCACATATTTTATTTTTCCTCTGCATCAATAATTTTTCTGCCTAATATTTTAAAAATTATTTGTTCCTTTCTACTTCCTTTTGCTCACTTATCTCCATCCTTAATGTCCTTACAGAAGTATTTAGTGTTCTTTGTGGTGTTTCTATTAATAATGTCACCATAATTTCCAATAGCTTTATTTTTTCTTTTCAATTTCCTACCTGAACTCTGATAGCTCCCATTTGATCTTCTTATAATATCTTACTCTATCTTCCCTGAATTCGTAAAATCTCTGCTTTCTCATTTTAAAGGTTTTAAATCTGAAATAGCACTAATTTTATTTGCTCCATGGCAACATTTTTTTTGGGCGAATATTCTCTAACACTTGTTTTTCCTTGTACCTTTCTCTTTTCCTTATACTGTCCTATATAGATTCACAGTTGGTTCCTCTTTTATTATTATTATTATTGTTATTATATTTTTTGAGACAGAGTCTGACTCCATCACCCAGGCTGGAGTGCAGTGGAGCAATCTCAGCTCATTGCAACCTCTGCCTCCTGGGTTCAAGTGATTCTCATGCCTCAGCCTCCCAAGTAACTGAGATTACAGGCATGTGCCACCATACCCACCTCAATTTTTTGTATTTTTAGTAGAGATGGGGTTTCACCATGTTGGCCAGGCTGGTTGTGAACTGCTGACCTCAAGTGATCCTCCTGCCTCGGCCTCCCAAAGTAATGGGATTACAGGTGTGAGCCACCGCACCTGGCCCCTCCTCTTTGATTATTAATCATTTTTGATTGAATTCTTTGTTTTCCACTGCCAAAGCATGCACTATACCTATTGTTCTGAGTAATAAGCATGCTACCTGCTGGCTTTGTCTGTGATTTGAAGATAGATTTGCTGATTTGTATAAGGGAGAAGCTGGGGCAGCACCAGAAAAGAGCAGAAATTCTCCTTGTCTCATAGTAAAATTTAATACAGTTGATGTAGGGTTCAGTGGGTGGGAGTTCTTTTAGACCACAGTTCTTACCAAATAATTAAATTGGCTATCCCCAGTTTAATACATCTCTTCCGCATTGCTTCAACATAGCTTTTAGCAAAATGACAGGAGTAAATGAGGAAATCTATAGACCAACCAGAGTCTCCTTTCCACCTTGCCTTACATAGTTTCCAGATGACATGACTGTATGTTTTTGCCGTTTCCTCCATCATGCCAAACGGTCTAGAGAAGTTCCTGCTGCCAGTGCAGCGACTGCTCCTACTGTTCTCAATAATGAGTATGCTGCCTGCTGGCTTTGTCTGTAATTTGAAGATGTAAAAGCAGGATCCTTTCTAGGGATCTTCCCTCTACCATCACCTTCACAGTATTTAGCAGCCTTTCCTTAAACACTGGGGAATTTGTTTTCTATTCTCTTAGTTGTTTTTAAATAATTTCTAAAAAGAGATTAGGGGAGGGCTGGGTTTACCATTTTAAAACTGGAAGTCCTACGTTACTTCTTTCTTCTGTTAGTTTTGTTTACAATTTCAAATAATATACCACTATTTCTCAATCCAGTGTAAGATGAAGGATATTAATAGCATTACCGTTCTTTAAAATTTCAGTCAATTGAATGTTTACATTGTTAGGTTGTTAATATTTATATTCTATTCTGAGCAAGTCTGGCTATCGGTTGTCTCTGAAAGTTGAAAACAGTGTTTATGTTATTCTCATTAGGTTTAAAGATGAGTGAGTTGATAGAGTGTCTTGATCTCAGTAAGACTATTTTCAGTACCAACAACATTTTGAAAACAGCAGTAACACACTTGGAACCTTTTAAAAAAGGAGAAGTTTGATAGTGATAAATCTCTCAGCTTTCATTTGTCAGGGATATCTACTTCATTTTCATTTTTAAAGGCTATTTTCCTAGATATAGCATTCTAGGCTGTTATTTTTTTTTTTTTATGTCAGTGCTCAGATGATGTTATTTCATTGTATTCTGGTCTCCGCTGTTTCTGATAAGAAGTTAGTTAACATTTCTACCTGGACGTGCTGGGCTCATGTGATCCTTGTACCATAAACTCCTGAATAGTGAGTACCTCAGGCATGTGCCAGCAAGCCTGGCTAATTAAAAATATTTTTTTATAAAGACAGGATCTCACTATGTTTCCCAGGCTGGTCTTGAACTCCTGGACTCAAGCAATCCTCCCGCCTTGGTCTCCCAACATGTTGGGACTATAGGCATGAGCCACTACACCTGACCTCTGGCTGCCTTTAATATCTTATCTTCACTTTTGTTTTCAGCAGTTTATGATGTACCTAATTGTGCTTTTAAAATATTTATCCTGTTGTATTTCATTGACCTTTTTAGACATAAGTTGCTTTTCACCAAATATGGGAACATTTTGACTATTATTCCTTAAAATATTTTTTCTGTCATATTCTCTCTCTTTTTTTTCTTGGTTCTCCAATGACACATATATTATCACTTGGTATTGTCTCATAGACCTGAGGTTCTGTTCACTCTTTAAAAATAATATTTCTCCTTTTTTCAGATTGGATAATTTCTATTAATCTGTATTCAAGTTAACCCTTTTTTTCTGACATCTTCAGTACTCTCTTAGCACCATAAGTATTTCATAGCAGATATTAGACTTTTAAGTTCTTGAATCTCCATTTGGTTCTTTTTTTTTTTAATAGTTTGAACCTCTCTGTTCACTTATTATTACCACGTTTTCATCTAATTTCTTAAACATACTTCAAATGTTTGCTTTAAAGTCCTTGTCTGCTAATTTCTAGATCTGGGTCACCTTTAGGCCTATTTCTATTAACTTCTTTTTTTCTTTGCTACAGGTCATATTTTCTTGTGTTTTCTTATGTCTAGTAATTTTTCATTGTAAGCTAGAAATTGTCATATTACATGGTAAGGGGTCTGTATTATGTTGTCTTCTTTCAAAAAGTGTTGAATTTTATTTTGGTAAGCAGTTAATTTTTTTTTTTGAGACGGAGTCGCGCTCTGTTGCCCAGGCTGGAGTGCAGTGGTGCGATCTCGGCTCACTGCAAGCTCTTCCTCGCGGGTTCACGCCATTCTCCTGCCTCAGCCTCCCTAGTAGCTGGGACTACAAGTGCCCGCCACCATGCCCAGTTAATTTTTTGTATTTTTAGTAGAGACGGGGTTTCACTGTGTTATCCAGGATGATCTTGATCTCCTGACCTCGTGATCAGCCCGCCTCGGCCTCCCAAAGTGCTGCGATTACAGGCATGAGCCACCACGCCCAGCCAGTAAGCAGTTAATTTTAAAGCCGTAAGCCAAAATTTAAAAACTGCATATGAGCATATCATTTTTAGAAACAGAAGAAAATAGTACTTTAAAAATTGAAATGAAGATACTATATATGTGTTTTCAATAGAGCAGGGAACTTACTTTAATGAAGCAAAAACGCACAAACTTCTCAAACTGTGATTTAGTCTCTGAGTTACAGAATGCTGAAACGGGGATGGCTGATAGTTTCTGAAAAATAAATAGAAACATATAATAAGAAAACTACTTACACTTCAAATATTAATTTTGGTACTACAGATACTAGAGGCAACTAGATACTTTTAAATAGTCACAATAATTTCCAAAAAGAAAAATGCTTTTAAAAGCCACAAGTGGAGTATCATATAACAACATTACATTTGATCGATTTCAAAGCATACCAGCAGATTTCCTTCAAAAATTAACTATAAAATATAACAGAATCTTGCAAAGAACAATAAACATTACCTTATGTTTAGTCATCCATTTCACAAACTTATAGTCATAAGGCTCATTATTCTTCATATCAGAGAGGTCTGGATCTAAAACCACAATGAAAATTAGGTGGCCTATGAATTTCATCTGATGCAACATGTATTTCATTTAAGTCTATCAAGATTCAACATTTTCTCCTATTTAAATTAGCTTGGTTTAGAATTTTCTCAGAACATAGTCACAGAATATGCTGGAGTCTCACACTGTACGGTGGGGTGGGAAGTGAATTCACAGAGCTTTACTGATAGTCTAAGGCAGTACTCACATATACATCAGGGTGATTAGGCTTATACGTGCAGCTTTCAGCACAGGAAGAGAGTAGAAAAGGTGAAGGGCAGAGGAGGGATGCCTTTCCATTGAGAAATAAGACTCTATGATCATTACTAAGGAAATAACTGCTAAATTTTTAAGTATTCATCAGTAAGATTATATCTCCACATAGCCACTCATTCGACTATAAGTTCCACAAAAGTAAAGTGTCTGTTTGGTAACCTATCGTATTCCCAACCCCTAGGTCAGTGTCTAGCACATAAGTGACAAAAAGTATATTTGTTGAATGGATAAATTAATATTATGCATTATTTATAAATACAGGATATCTGTTTAGATCTTCCAAATGCTACTCTTATTTTTCATCTCTTGCTCCCATATATTATACCTTTTTTTAAATTTGTGAAAAAGTCAAATATATACTCCTGTTTGCTCTTGCCTCAATTTTGCTTTAAGGTCTGGGCAAGATATATCTCTGGCATTCAGTTTCAGCAATCCACATTTCATATTGTTTCAACTTTATTGACTTGTACTCTTTGATCTTCTTGAATGCCCTAAAGCAACTAATATTGATGGTTATCGTCATCCAGGAAATTTTATAATTTATTGCTGAAAACAAATTGAGGCAGATATCTTACTTCTTTCTTCTATACATTAAATACTAGTGGTTCTTTTCAAATTAATCATGTAAAACCTTTGACACTGAAGAAAGGTTCACCTGTATTTTTAAAACAAAGCCCTAATATCCTTTTACCTGATATTTTAATCTCCATTCTCCCCTGTGTTTTAAGGAGAACATAAAATTTCCAAGTAATAATGCCAACAACAAACTGCAATTTATTGAACACTTCTTATTGGTTAAGCATGTTACATGATCATCTCATTTAGTTGTTACCACAATTCTGAGAGGTAATGATAATCCTCTGTTTACAGATAAGGAAGTTAAATTATTATTTCAAGGTATTTATATGTAATTCAGGTTTGGCCCTAACAAAAATACCAGCTAAAAAACTTAGTCTAATTGTAAATTATGTAAAAATTCCATGTGACAGGTATACAACAGCAGTGTATTGAAGGTACACAGGTAGGCAGAGAAAGGAGTGAATACCTAAGGGAGTAGAAGAGGATTATTGACTAATTCTAATTGACACTGTACTACTCATTTATTCTTGTAGAGCTTAGACAAAAGGAATTTATTTATTTATTTATTTTTTGAGATGGAGTTTCTCTCTCGTTACCCAGGCTGGAGTACAATGGCACGATCTCGGCTCACTGCAACCTCCACTTCCCCGGTTCAAGCAATTATCCTGCCTTAGCCTCCTGAGTAGCTAGGATTACAGGTATGCGCCACCACACCTGGCTAATCTTTGTATTTTTAGTAGAGGTGGAATTTCACCATGTTGGTCAGGCTGGTCTCAAACTCCTGACCTTAAGTGATACACCCGCCTCGGCCTCCCAAAGTGCTGGGATTACAGGCCTGAGCCATGGTACCCTGCCAGAAAAAAGTAACGTAATACCATGATGTTGAAAAAGGAAAGAAGGGAATAAATATAATTATAAAGGTTTTTTAGTCAGAAGGAATTTGGAATCTATTTCTTTTGACATGCCTCAGCCAGACATCCTCAAGGGAACTAAAGTCTTTCTTTATTGACAGTAAGAGTTTAAATCAAATGTGTGAGCATATCTAAGTAATCTATGAAGGCCCAAATTTGTTTTTGCATTCTTACTATCTCCTCCATAATTTTGGATCCTATTATTTCACTAGAAAAACTGTAATAATCTCATTTGAAATCTTGTCTTCTAATTACTGGATTCAGAGGCCAGCTTTGATACTTATTAGTTGATTAACTTCAGTAAATTACTTGATTCTCTATCTCCTCTTCTCTATCAATAGTGATATAATAGCACCAATTTCATATAGCTTTTGTGAGAATATATTTGCAAAGCTCCTAATGTAATTCATACTGTATCATAAATTCTCAATAAATATTAACTAGTCAGCCCTTGCTATTAATTGTAAAGGGAAGTCATTACTATTTTCATGAATATTATGGTTTACTTTTATTCTCAAGCTACGATTAAATAAGAGTTTTTGTTTTTATCTCTAGTTTATGGGCCAACTTTTAGTATATGGAAGAATTATCACATTGCAAATGAAGCAGATGAAAAGGTAAAACAAAACATAAATTTCTTTATATGTAGGAAGGTTTTGTGGACATTAACATTTTTCCACGAGTGAAGGAAGACCATAAAAAAAATCTTGTTTTCATTATCAGAAAAGCTTTCCTAACCAAAATCCTTTTTGCTCCTATTATCACCACACTAGTTCAAGATCTAAGACCTAAATTAGTATTGCATATAGAATGGATTGACTGAGGAAAGAAATGGAAACTAATTAGGAGCTTAATGTAATATTCTGAGTTTTATCACTGTTCTTTTGATAGTTAATGTCACAATGTGATAAATCGAGTTTCATATCTGGAAAAGTTTGGTTCCAGGAAAGAATTGTTCTTATCTAAAAAGCTAAGTTTCTTTTTATTCAAAAACTACGCAACTAATTTCATTTTTCTGTTTGCCTTTACTGTCAGGAAGTTTAGTCTCAAGTTAATGCTAATTACAATACTATGTGAACCTAGGTGACTGAAATATTTGCTTTCTTTCCCTCCTATGTGTAACTGATTTTTTTTTTTTTTAATTTAAGAGACAGGATCTCACTATGTTGCCCAGGCTGGTCTTGAACTCCCGGGCTCAAGCAATCCTCCCGCCTTGGCCTCCCAAAGTGCTGGGATTACAGGCAGGAGTCACTGTACTGGCCATGTATCATTGATTTTTGATTTAGATACAATCATTTCTATTTATATATTACTGCATAGAAAACTTTTAATATGAGAAGGCTCACATTCCTTTTGGAAGCATATAAAGTACAAATGTTGTTCTTTTAAAAAAATAATAATTCATATGGAAATCTTGGGGATTTATGATTCAAAGGCAAAAATATAAGTGATGACAACTGTGCTAATTTTTTTTATCATTTCATAAAATGAACTGCACATTTAGACTCAATATAGAAAAAGCACTTCCCAAATCTCAGAGTCTAGAACACCTTAAGAGGTTCTATATAAGCATAGAGCTTGGGAGCCTGCTAAATACAGCTCTATGGCAATAGCACTGCAGGAATCTTTGCTTGTCAAAGCCTCTTCTCTCACAACAAATGAAGAAATAAGCTAATGTGAAAGGAAGGAGAGTGTTTCAGTTTGAGCCAAACCTCATGTAATGAATTCTTATGACTGTATGTTGTCTTGGCATCCATTGTGAATATAAGTTGGTCTTTCTTATACCAGAAGCAGGGCTTAGTCACCCTTGACACAATTTCCACTTCTCTTCCTCCTCACAGTTCCTCAATGTAGTTGATTCAGATATCTGCCTGAGACAACCACCTCCTGGCGAGCACCTCACTGTGGTACAGCTAGATACAACCTACTTGACTCGCCCACTGACCCCCACCCTCCTCATGGACTGCCTAGATATGCCACAGTGACCACCTCTCAGTCACAGCCTGACACCATGAGCTTGTGCCTGCTCGCTCTAAACCCATCTGTTAGAAGTCTCTGCAGGAAACCTGCTTGGGTAACACCTTGGGCCCCCAAAAAGGCTTTGGCCCACAGATCCCACTCTCTCTCTGTTCCCCACCTGCTGGTTGAGTGTGTATATCCTGGACCACTCCTCACTTCCCATTGGTCCCGGGAGGCCTGCTGCCTCTTCTGTGTCCCAACTGACCAACACACCGGAACCTAACTCTCCTCCTCCTAGAGAGTGGCTATCTCTGTGGAAATAAACTGGATACAGGTCAGATGAGAGCCACAAGGATGTCTGCCAGTATAAACCAGTTTCCAGGGATGTCTGGTCATGGGTCAGACACTTAACATCAGGCCATCTGCCAGGATAAACAAGTAGCCCATGAAAGGCACACTGCAAACATCCAGGACCTCCCCTGGAGCCCCATCAGGGAACAGCTAGAGTTTACAGCCACTTTCCAGAGAGACAGACCTGAAGACCAAATTATAGGAAAATCATAACACCTTACTTTTCTGAAATTTGCTAAGATGATAATGAACTATTACAAGTAAAAATTGCTAGCATCAAATGCTTATAGTAAGAAAGAACTCAGCCAGTGGCTCATGCCTGTAATCCCAGCACTTTGGGAGGCTGAGGCAGGTGGATCACTCATTAAGCTCAGGAATTCATGACCAGCCTGGGAAATGTGGCAAAACCTCGTCTCTAAAAAAAATTTAAAAATTAGCTAGGTGTGGTGGTGCATGCCTGTGGTCCCAGCTACTCAGGAGACTCAGGTGGCAGGATGGCTTGAGCCCAGGAGGCAGAGGTTGCAGTGAGCTGAGATCACGCCACTGCACTCCAGCCTGGGTGACAGGGCCAGACCCTGCCTCAAACAAAACAAAACAAAACAAAACAAAACAAAACAAAACAAAACAAAACAAACTCCTATGTGAAGGATGTAAAGTTAAAAAATATGATCAATGTTTTGCTATAAAATTGAAAATTTCCTTTACTCTTTCCAGCTTTATACAATTTAGTATAAATAAAACACTTCAGTTTTTCAAGTTCATTGGCATATAACTTCATTGTAATAAAATTTTAAAACATTTAAAACTATATTTAGAATGGCTGTAATTTCTGTCATGATAAATTAGGCTTCAAGGTTTACTATTACTAATTTTTTTAAAAGAAAAGTTATATATGACACATTATCATGCTTCTAACTTTAGATTTGTATGGCATGTCAGAATTACATATAACAGCTTTAGGTAATATAAAAAACAATGCTTTTTGGAAACAGAACTATTTAGAATCTAGCTGTGTGACTTCAGGGAAGCTATTTAAAACTTTCTAAATCTTTTTACCTGCAAAAATGGAGCTAATGTTTTCTTCAAAAGGGTGTTTTGAGTACGTGGCACAAAGTAGACCCTCAATAAGTGTTATTCTCCCATTTATTTTATTTCAGTACATTCTAAAATGGCAAATATTCCCTGATAGCTTCAAAATTTCTAGATATTTTTCTAATGAAATAGTACATTTTGTTAAGTAAAAAGGAAACTACAATTTTACTCAAATGAACACTGAGTATATAATATTATTTCACACACTTGTGTTTTAAAATTACACACCAGAAGAGAGTGATAGCAAATCCTATGTTTAATAGACTAACTAGAACAACACTGACTCCATAACCATTTAACAATGGTCACATTTAAGGTAAAAGGCCTAAAAGTAAAGATAATTATAGAAAATGTAGACATTGCAAAAATCCATCCTTCTCCACAGATAAAATGCTGCTGTGGCTTTGACACCAATCTTTTCTCCATAATTCTGATATAATTTCACACATAAGTTTCCGTATAGTTGAAATAATAAAAGCCTTTACAAACCTAGCAAAGACACATCAGCGATGATGAAGTATCCTCCATCAGGAACTATGGGTTTTAGGCCAACACTTTCAAGTAAACGTACCATCCGATCTCTTTTTACTTCTAACTCTTTTGGCAAAGAATTAAAGTAACATTCTGGGTCATCCATGCGCTTGATGTCAATCCAGAAAGCTTGAGCCAAGGCTTCCTGTTTGTTAAGAATCAAAAAATATGAAAAGGCATATGGCAATGTTATTTATTGCTTAGTTTATTGGTATAATAAATAGAGATGATCTGAGTAAAATTATTGGCAAAGAAGTCACTCAGGAAATAACAGTTGAATTCCTGTGAACCTATATTAAACTCTATAGGTTAATGGAGGAATCAGTTATACCTAAATGATTAAATCTCATGTGAAGAACTGAGAAGGAGTCCTGAAAATTCAAATTGAAAAAGAGCTGTTACTTAAAGGTGGCTTGCTTGGAAACAAAAAGACATTAAGATATTTTCTGCTGAGGTGAGTTGTAGAATGACTTGCTAAATCTAAGTCAGAAGAACAACCAGAGAGTAGTCAGCCTCTCACCATTACATTTGGGGACAGAGTGGAAATGAAAGCTCACCTACTGTGCAAAGGAGAAATGTGCCTTTCTTATTCTCCATAGGTGTGGAAATCCTTGCTGGAATTATTCATATGCCAGGAAGTTGGTCAAAGTGTAAGAGGGACTAGAAATGAGTTTCTGGAACATCTACAGTAATTCCTCTATCTTTCTTCAAGAGCCAGGACAGCAAACTGGGCCAAGGAAAAAGCCAATGTTGTTAAGTATAGTGGACTGAATGTTTGTGCCCACTCTCATATTCATATATTAAAATAGTAAACCCCAAGGTGATGGTATTAGGAGGTGGGGCCTTTAGGAAGTGATTAGGACAGAAGGGTAGAGCCCTCAGGAACAGGATTAGTGCCCTTACAAAGGAGGGTTAGCTTGCTCCTTCCACCATGTAAGGACACAGCAAAAGGCACCATCCGTGAAGAAGCATGTCCCCACCAGACACCAAATCTGCTGGTGCCTTATCTTGGACTTTGCTGCCTCCAGAACAGTGAGAAATAAATTTCTGTTGTTTATAAGCCACCCAGTCCAACTAAGACATTAAGGACCAGGCAGGTAAGAGAGACTGTGTGGCAAGAGATGAGACTGGAGACAGAGAGGGGCAAGATCACAGAGATTTTATGCCAAAAGAATGCAGTAAAACAGAATTAGTAATAAATCTCCAGTACTACAAAATCTTGGAAAATAAGGATCGATTGCCTTAGCCTGGAAATCTGTGGTTTCCTGGAACCAAACATGGTTGTCCCAGGACAAAACAGAGCACCTAGCTGAAATGGAGAATAAGAGTGTTCAGAAAAAGATGTTCTGCATTCTTAGCTATATCTTTTTTTTTTTTTCTCTTGGCAACTTGTTCATTTACTATAGGAGATACTGCCTTAGAAAATTCCAAGTATAAGGAGACATAAACATCCATCCTAACTACAGCATTATCCTGGACTCCTTTCTTTTTCACATATCCCATATGTAACCTATTGACAAATAATGTTGGCTCTACTTTCAAAATATATTCAGAGTCCAATCACTTTTTACTGCTTCTACCACCCCCATCTTTGTTCAATGCACTGGCATTTCTCTCTTGGATCACTGTAACAGCTTTCTCACTCAATGAGGCAGTCAGAGTCCATTTGCTAACACAAGCCAGACCAAGTCACTCCTGAGTTCAAAACTCTCTAGTGACTTCCTATCTCACTCAGTCCTTACAGTGACATGCATGCCCCAGCTCCATTGGACTCCCAGCTACCTCTCTGATCTTAGCTTTTCCTACTCTTCTCTCAATCATTCCATTCCAGTCTCTGTGCTGTTCTCTGATATTAACATGCCAGCCAGGCTGTCTACCACTGGGCCTTTCCGCTTGTTCTCTCTGTCCAAAGGGGTTTTTCTCTAGGTAACCATGTGGCTGCTTAATCCCCTTCAGTTAGTTGTTCAAATGTTACCTTATCAGGGAGGCTTTCAAAGATTACCCTATTTAACACTGTATATCTCCCACCTGGAGCTTTATATCCTTCCTCTTCCCTATTTTATCTTTCTTCTTCATATCTATCAACATCTTTTTTTTCTTTCTTTTCTTTTTTTTTTTTGAGACGAAGTCTTGCTGTTGTTGCCCAGGCTGGAGTGTAGTGACACGATCTCAGCTCACTGCAACCTCTGTCTCCTGGATTCAGGCAATTCTCCTGCCTCAGCCTCCTGAGTAGCTGGGATTACAGGCGCCTGCCACCATGCCCAGCTAATTTTTGTACTTTTAGTAGAGACAGGGTTTTGCCATGTTGGCCAGGCTGGTCTCGAACTCCTGGCCTCAGGTGATCCGCTCACCTTGGCCTCCCAAAGTGTTGGGATTATAGGCGTGAGCCATTGTGCCTGGTTCTTTTGCCCTTTTAACTGCCTTCTAGAAAAATACTATTTTTTTCAGCATTTTGATTATCCATAGAATGATGGTAACTAAATCCCTATTTCCATAATATATATTAAAAATATTAAATATTAAATAATATTTAAATAGTTTTTCTTTTTTACTTTATGATGTATTCTAGAAATCTTTTTTATCTCAGTACAGTAATTATAGTATTTCCCTATTTTCTTTCTTGTTTCTTTTCTCTTTAGCAGCCAGTAGACAGAGTAATGGGTCCCAATGACTTCTAGGTCTTAAAACCCAGAACTTGTAAATATGTTACCTTGCATGGTGAAAGGAACTTTGCAGATGTGATTGAAATTAAGGAGATTATCCTTAATTAATTGGACAGATTATCCATTGGGCCCAATGTTATCTCAAAGGTGCTTATAAGGGAAAAAGGGAGGCAGGAGGGTTGAAGCCACAGGAAATGTGTTGACGGAAGCAGAGGACAGACTCTCCTAGAGCCTTCAGAAGGAACACAGCAATGCCAGCACCTTGATTTTAGCCCTTTAAGACCCATTTCTGACTTCTGAGCTGAAGAACCGTAGGATAATAAATTTGTGTTGTTTTAAGTCACTAAGTTTGTGGTAATTTGTTATAGCACCAGTAGGAAACTTAATATGGTCATATAACATTTCAATGTTTGGATAGATCATGGTTTATGTAATCAATCGTCTGTAGATGATAATGGATTCTCCTCAATCATCTGCAATGAATAGCCAGGTAAGTACGTAACTTCTTACATGTGCAGATAGCTTGATATGGTTTGGATCTGTGTCTTCATCCAAATCTAGTGTCCAGTTGTAATCCTCAATGTTGGAGGTGGGGCCTGGTGGGAGGTGATTGGATCATGGGAGTGGTTTCTCATGAATGGTTTAGCACCATCCCCTTGATGCTGTTCTCATGAGAGTGAGTTATTGTGAGATACGGTTGTTTAAAAGTGTGTTGCACCTCCCCACTTCTCTCCCTCCTGCTCCAGCCCTGTGAGACATGCCTACTCCCTCTTTGCCTTCCACCATTATTGTAAGTTTTCTAAGGCCTCTCCAGAAGCAGAAGCCACTATGCTTTCTGTACAGCCTGTAGAACCATGAGCCAAGTAAACCTCTTTTCTTTATAAATTACTAAGTCTCAGGTATTTCTTTACCTAAGTGCAAGAACGGACTAAAACACAACTTTAGGGTAAATTCTTAGAAGATGGATTGCTTTCATGGGGCAAACACATGTGTAATTTTGTTTGGTGTTGCCATTGTCCTTCACAGAATTTGTAGCACTTTAGATTCCTGCCAGCAATGTTTAACACAGCTAAAATTGTGTTTAAAAAAAAACCCAAACCATGCTTGATAACAGTGAATATGTATCTGCTCCCCAAATTCCAAATTATATTAGAAGGCCCTGCAACAGAAGGATAGAAGGAGAATTAAGTCAATTCAAATATGCAATATAAAAGTAATACCTTCACCAAAAGACAATGCTTCTACCCTGAGTTACTATAACACTTACCTGTAAAGGAGTTGCACAAGTATAAATCGTGTTTTGTTGAACTGTCTGTAAATGTTTTATCAAATGATTTGGACCAATGGACCAGCCAAGCTGGGAAAGGAAAAGATAAAAGATTTCAGAAAATCTAATTGTATATAACAAATCTGAGACAGCAGTTTAAACTTAGTGCAATTGTTAAATATATACAATCCTAAAATGTTGGCTGGGTATGGTGACTCACACCTGTAATCCCAGCACTTTGGGAAGCCGAGGTGGGTGGATCACTTGAGGTTTGGAGTTGAAGACCAGCCTGGTCAACATGGTGAAATGCTGTCTCTATAAAAATACAAAAAAATTAGCTGGGCATGGTGGTGGGCACCTGTAATCCCAGCTACTTGGGAAGCTGAGGCAGGAGAATCACCTCAACCCAGGAGGCAGAGGTTGCAGTGAGCTGAGATCACAGCACTGCACTCCAACCTGGGCAACAGAGTGAGACTCTATCTCAAAAAAAAAAAAAAAAAAAAAGTTCACACTATGAAAGTAGTACAGTATTAGTACTTAGAATCATTTCAATGGTGTTCTTTTCAAGGAACAGCTTCCAAATGGAGTCATTAAACTCTGCTTTCATCACTAAGCTCTGCCTTTCTGAAGGTAAACAGCCGGCGATCATTATTAGCCTTTTCCTTTCTAATAATTTGCTACTTCTGATATTCTGGAAGATTAAAAACTGGTAACAAAGCTTGTTTGAATTACAGATTAAAGTAACTCTGAAAGAGGGCCTAAGGGACTTGTAATTAAAACATACAGACTTGATTCTCCAGGCCTAATTTTTGTTTTGATGCTCCCTCCTTCTTCTTCTTCTTCTTTTTTTTTTTTTTGAGACGGAGTTTTGCTCTTGTTGCCCAGACTAGAGTGCAATGGCCGGATCTCGGCTCACTCAACCTCCGCCTCCCAGGTACAGGTGATTCTCCTGTCTCAGCCTCCCAAGTAGCTGGGATTACAGGCATGCGCCACCACGCCCAGCTAATTTTTTTGTATTTAGTAGAGATGGGGTTCCACCATGTTAGGCTGGTTGAGAACTCCTGACCTGAGGTGATCTACCCGCCTCGGCCTCCCAAAGTGCTGGGATTACAGGCGTGCGCTACCACGCCTGGCCGATGCTCCCTGCTTCTTACCCATGCTCAGGAGAGGTGAGGCTGGAAGAGAATTGGGTTTTAACTGGATAAATTATTGTAATAAATAATACAGTGGTTAAGTGCATGAATTCTGGAGCCAGACTTCCTGTACAGGCTTGAATTTATTAGCTGGGTAATCTCAGGCAAGTCATTTAACTTCTCTGTGCTTTAGCTCTGTCATCTGTAAAATGAGGACACTAATCATACCCACCTTATAGTGTGGTTATGAGAATGAAAGAAATTAGTATATGTAAAACATTTAGAACCTGGTATATATTTAGAACCTGCCAAAATATTAGCTACTATTATTTTTCTCCTTTTATATTAATATGCAGCAATCTGAACACTTTTTTGCAAAGAAAAAGGTGTCATTAGTTGATCACTTATAAAAGGGAAAATGACCTAATTTTTCTTATGTTTAAAGAAATAATTAGGTCTCAAAAAGGATAAAACTCAACATGAAAGCCAAATAAGTCAAGAGATAAGCAAAGATCACCAGGTATAAAAATCTATATAAACTGAATATGTATGCAATGATTCATTTATTTGTTTACTTATTTATTTCATTATTTTTTTAAAGATGGTCTTGTTCTGTCTCCAAGTGGCTGGAGCGCAGCTCACAGCAGCCTCAACTTCCTGAGCGCAAGTGATCCTCCCATTTCAGCCTCCCAAGTTGCTGGGACTGCAGGCATGCACCACCCTGCCTGGCTAATTTTTAAAAAATGTATTTGTAGAGACAGGGTCTCACCATGTAGCCAAGGTTGGTCTTGAACTCCTGGCCTTAAGTGATCCTCCTGCCTTAGCCTCCCAAAGTGCTGGGATTACAGGCATGAGCCACCATGCCTGGCCAGCATTTAAAACACAAACCACTCAACAAAAAATAAATAATATACAGGCCTATTTTTAAGCAATTAAATTCTTACTCATCTTACCTTCCAGCCAGTTACACTGAAAGTCTTTCCAGCACTTCCTATTGTTATTGTTCTCTCCCACATACCTGGAAAAGTAGCTAAACAGAGGAGGAAAAAAGGGTAAATATTGTTTTCCAATTAATCACATTTAGTATAATCTAAAAACATAACAAAGATACATAAATTCAATGAAAATAAGTGTGTTATAATTTAGCCAGTATAGTTATTTCTAGTTTTTTTTTTAGATAATGTAACTTTAATGCAAAACACAGACGAAAAGTTTACAATACTGTAATGTTGCACCAAGATAGTATATAAATAGATTTAATAATTTTAAAATTAGTTCTGGGGCAGGAGTGTCAGGGGCACCAGCAGGCAGTGTTCCAGACTGCCTTAAGTGGCAGCTGTCACAGGAGCTGTAGCATTCAGTGTTCAATGTTAGCAGTGACTGCAGGTTCGATAAAATAGGCCAGTGGCAGGGCTTAGGTTGTGATCCTGATTATTGTTTAGGCCCCTTTATTTTGCCTATTTTCTGAGTGTATTTCTCCAGGCTTCCTAGAGCAATGGCTCTTAAAATGTGATCTCACACTAGCAATATCAGCATCACTGGGCAACTTGTAAGAAAGGCAAATCACTGGGCCTCATCCCAGACCTACTGAATCAGAAACTCTGGGAGTGGGACCCAGTAATCATGTGTGCACATGTGTGTGTGTGTGTGCATGTGTGTGTGTATGTGTGTATGGGCGTGTGTTTTGCTAACAACTTTATTGGGATATAAATCCCATAAATTCACCAATTTAAAGTATGCCATTCAGTGATTTTTTTAGTATATCTATAGATCTGTGCAACTATCACCATAACCAATTTCAGAACACTTTTTTTATCTCAAAAGAAGCCCTGTACCTTTTAGCTATCACTCTTTAATATCCTCATGGCCATTGTGCCTGAATGAAACTTATCAAACACACATATTTTCTCCGTAAGGAACATCACAGCCTTCTTGCACTTAGGAATACTAGACAGCACTTCAGCACTAGGCTTGGGGGCCATTTTAAACAGCAAAATCACTGTACAGAGAACAATTGCTTATAGTGTGAATTGAAACAGAAGCATAATGTTGCCTTGTTTGACCTCGACTGGGAATGTGTGTAGGGTGACTCAAATTTCCCCTTTATTGATTTTGGAATTACACATATATTTTAGGAAGTAGGCAAATTTGCAAATACAGAACTCAAGAATAATGTGAATTGGCTGTATAATGGTTTTCAAGTTGTTTAACATCTTTAATAAAGACATTGATTCATTCATACATCAAATATTCATTAGCAACCACCAGGTGCTAAGGACTAAGGTCTAGAGGAACCAAAAATGAATAAGATGCAATTCTTCAAAAAATTTAATGTCTAGTAGGGACATGAGCCACATACAATGACAACTGTAATGCAGTGTGATAAATGCTGTAGTAGGAGGCATGGAGGGTGATGCAAGAATAGAAGAGGGTGTTGAGGGTGGCTTTCTGCAGCCAGTAATTCTTAAGCTGAGACATAGAAGACCACATAGGCTGTAGCCAGGCAGAGAAGGGGAATGAAGATATTTTGGGCTAAGAAAATGCAGGTAACAAAGGTCTAGAGGTCTAAAATGCAAGAGTTTGTAAATTTTGCTAGACATTGGTAATAACTGGTAAATTACCATTCTGTCACTCTTCTGACAATGCCACCCACAATACTGCTTTGTGGATTCCTCAAGTAATTTACTTGTGAAGTTCTTTCCATGCAACCCACAAGTTTTTCCACTTGTTTTTCAGAAGCACAAGTGGGGGCTCTTGTATTGTCCTTAGAGTGTTGGTACACACAAAGGGAAAATAAATGCTCATCTCTGGGAATCTAAGCTTCTGCTTTCTTGAAGTAATCTGCTCATAAGCAAGTAAAGTGCCTACTAAAATGTAAGGCAGCTACAGAAATTTCCAAAACAACGTATAAGTAATTTCAGTCTACCCTGAAATACCTGCTAAATTTGAAACAGTAGGAAAAGCATATAAATCAGAAAAGTTATAATTTTATTCTCTGTGGAATATGACAAAACCCAAAAAGATAAATGAGAAAAATAGTTAGAATGTCCACTTGAAGAAGGAATACTTTAAGATTTGATATAAATAATTATATCCCTTCTGAGACATTTCTGGTCTTCCAAAATACTCCAAAAGAACACTATGACACATGCCCCACTTTTCTATTTGATCAGAGAAAATCTAAACTACGTATAATGCAGATTATCACTTCCTTTAAAGTAAAGGATACATCATATATTAAAGGACTACTGTTGCACTTTGCAAATTGATGTAATGGCCATTTTGTAGCCATTTTGCATCTTTAATGTAACAAAGACTATTGTATTCGATAGAATACCTAAGTTTTAATGCAAACAAATTGCACTTTCTAAATAATGAAATAGTGTATCCATTTTTTGGTCTTATTTAAACTTTATGGGCTGCTACAAATAAAAAAATCTAAGTTCAAAATATACATCTTGCATATCTTTAGTAAATACTGTTGCATATCTTTAGTAAATAATGTTACCAGTTATGCTTTACCCTGAAGGGCTTAAAATGAGTAGATCTAAACAATAAATTTCAAGATGATCTAAAGTGATTTTTTGGGATGAATATTGCTACACTGAGTTAATTACAACAAGAAAGTAATTGTTCATGTTAATCTGATTTTCCACTGGGAAACAGTTCAAATTACTTGAGACAGAGGTCACCAACAAGATGGGCAATTGTGGCCTCTGATACAATTTAAAACATGATAACATTTTGGTGTATTAAGGTGTCACACCCTGCAAATCTCTGGCTGCCTTCTCTGTTTATATATTCCCCTTGAGAAAATTCATTCTCTTCCATGTGTCCAGCTACCACCAACATTTTGATGACTGCCAAAAATATATCCCATTATAATTTGATTCTGACGATCAGGCCTATAATTCCACTTGTCCCCAGATATCTATTCTTCTATGTCCCACAGACACCCAAACTCAGCAAGTTTAAAGCATGAGAAGCAGGAATTCCCTTTGCTCAGCCCTTCCATACAAATCTGCTCCTCTCCATATTTACCCTGGTTAAAGGTCTCATCACTGCTGAGTAGTTCAGGCTAGAGATCTTAGTAGCATGCTTGTTTTCTTCCCACCTTCAAATGCTATACTCTATAGTTTCTAAATAGCCCCGATGTACCATCTTCACTGCTAGGTTATCTGATTTGCTTAAGACCCTCCTCTGTGGCTGGCTCTCATCTTTGTAAAAAAAAAAAAAAAAAAATCTAGTCATGGAACCATTTCTCCTGTTTTGTTACACCTTTTGCAATAGTTCTCAAAGTAAGCTCACTGGCACTCTGGTGATCAAATTAATGTGCAGAATTTTAAAAAATCAATGTTAAGTTTTCTACCACACAATTTTCTTAAGCCTTTAGCAAATACTACCACTTATCTGATAGTGGATGCTCCAATAGTGAAACAGATGAGCATTTAGTAAATGCATATTAATGGCAAAATCAGAAAAACTCAAATGTGTTTATTTCAATAGCTTTTTGTTGTGGACAAGTATGAACAGAAGTGTGATTTTTATATTGGCTTCTAATTGTTGGATTTCTTTTAGGAAAATTGCTATTACTTTCAGGATGGAATTCACAATATCACCATTTCATGATGTAGAACACTGTGATCTCATGGTGATCTACCACTAAAGTAAGTTTCAGAACCACTGACCTCCTCAACAAAGTTTATACTCTATCTCATATTCAAAGTCCTTTAGAATCACCCTAGTTTTCCACCCTGATCTATGCCAGTTACTAAAACACACCCTCATAAATCAAACTGAGGCGAGGTTCTATGGCTTATGCCTGTAATCACAGCCCTTTGGGAGGCCAGGGCAGGAGGATCGCTTGAGTCTAGGAGATTGAGAACAGTCCGAGCAACATAGTGAGATGCTATCTCTACAAAAATTTTTAAAAAATTAGCCAGATGAGGGGGTGCAGACTTGTAGTCATAGCTATTTGGGGGGCTGAGGTGGAAGGATTGCTTGAAAGCAAAAGTTTGAGATTACAGTGAGCTCTGAGCCACTGCACTCCAGCCTGGGTGACACAGCGAGACCCTGTCTCTTAAAAAAAAAAAAAAATTAAGGCTGGGCACGGTGGCTCACACCTGTAATCCCAGCACTTTGGGAGGCCGAGGTGGGTGGATCACGAGGTCAGGAGTTTGAGACCAGCTTGGCCAACACGGTGAAACCCCATCTCTACTAAAAGTAAATTAGCCAGGCATGGTGGCATGCACCTGTAATCCCAGCTACTTGGGAGCCTGAGGCAGGAGAATTGTTGGAATCCAGGAGGCAGAGGTTGCAATGAGCTGAGATCGCACCACTGCACTCCATCCTGGGCAACAGAGCAAGACTCTGTCTCAAAAAAAAAAAAAAAAAAAAATTAAATAACTTATTTACCTTTCTTCTTCTTTGTTTTTAAAATTTCAATAATCATTTACCTTTCTTAAGTGTATCTTGATCTTTCATACCTCCTTATCTAAGTACATGCTAGTTTATGTTTTAGGAGTTTAGTTTCTATTTCTCTGTTTAGCTAATTCTCTATCTTTTGGCCACTCCTTTTTTATTCCCCTCAAACAGTCGCTTTCTCTTCCCATCTCTATAGCAACTTGTAATATACTATAGGAATAATTATGGCACATGCAACAATGCAACAATTTAATATATAAGTGCATTACATTTCTTATTTTTATTTTTCTTAAAAAAAATTAGCCGGGTATGGTGGTCTGTGCCTGCAGTCCCATCTACTTGGGAGGCTGAGGTGGGAGGATTGCTTGAGCCCAGGAGATGGAGGCTGCAGTGAGCCAGTGGTGCCTGGGCTCAAGGGATCCTCCCACCTCAGCCTCCAAGTAGCTGCGACTACAGGCACAGACCACCATACCTGGTTGATTTTTTGAATTTCTGTGTAGAGACGGGGTTTCTCCATGTTGCCCAGGCCAGTTTTGAACTCCTGGACTCTAGCAATCCACCCACTTTAGCCTCTCAAAGTGCTGGGATTACAGGCATGAGCCACTGTACCTGGCCTAAATTTTAAAATTTATCTATCTCTGCCACATTTTTTAGTCATCCTTCTCTTAATCTTTTCATCTTTCATCTTCATTTATTCAACAATTTCTTTCTAATTCTCTACCATGTACAAGATTCTATGGAAAATGGGGATGCAGAAGAGACTAAAACAAACAAAATCCCTCCATTACTGTGGTTTAGAAGTAAAATATATAGATTCTGATATTTACTATAGAGGAAAAAACAAAACAAAACAGAAAAAGGACAAAGCAAATGCTGGAGGGAGAGGTGTTAACTATTTTCAATGTGATGGTCATGAAAACTGACATTGGACAAAGGCCTGAAGGAGGTGAAGGATATTTGAAGTCAGGTGGATACCTGGAGGAAAAGTGTTTCCAGGCAAAGGAAAGGGAGGTGCGAAGACCCAAAAGTTGCAGCCCAGTTTGTAATCCTATAGTTGACATGGTTTGGACTACCCCAGCAGACAGTACGGCATTCATGAGATAGCCCAGTAGTAATGGCTGAATCTCAAGCAAGGGCCAAGCAGCATACCTGACTACCCCTGTAATTTCTTTCTGTTGACTTGGCATTTTGGTAAGTTGTTCAGCATAGACCGTCTAGAACCTTTTCAGGCACAAGAAAGCTCCCTGTGTCTTATGTACCAAGTAATTGCTGGATTTCTGCTAAGAAGCCAGGGATATATGGGCAAAAGAACTACTTTTCTGGTATCATAGCTTTATAGTATGATCCAAAATCTCTTACTCTTTGTCCTTTGAACTATTCATCAATTCACTAAAGTATTGCTCATTTAAATACTATTTTAAAGTGTTCATACAGACAGATACCCATTACAAAGACTGTTTTAGAGTTGGTCTGGGATGCTTTCCAATCAGTTCTTCCATATGTGCCCAAACACATTTAGATATGTGACTCTGTGTTATAGTTGGTACCTATTTTTAAGTGCTTATTTCCAGAATATACAAGCCATTCATAAACCTCATCGCTGATGCAGAGTGTGTCATATTTGATGCAAAGGTCAGCAATTACTTGCAGTTCCTCTCTGTTATACACCTACACATAATAAAGGAAAGAGCACAGCCAATTATTCAACATGTGAGAAAATGATAGGTCAGAAGACTGTATAAGGAGATGAGACTTGCTTACCTTGCCAAGTGGGTTATGTGGAGTATTTAGTATAATAGCTTTGGTTTTGGAATTAAATTTACTTTCCAGTTCTTGAGGATCTAATGTCCAGTCAGAACTAGACCATCTTTTTCCATAAACAGGTTTCTAAGCATGAAGAATGAAGATATAATTTAATTCAATTAAGTCATGTTTACTGTCTTACAAACGAATAACCTAATAAGGAAAAAAACATCAAAGAAAGTCATGGCAAAGGAAACTGAATAAATTACCAACAAATGCTTTCCTGCAGTAGGAACAGAAAAAAAACTAGAAAAAGACTAACAAAGAAGATAAACAGAAATAACTGGGCTGTAGTTCTGCTTAAGAGCCTAAGAAAACCTAAGTCTTATGCTCACACCTGTTAAATGGAAAAATAAGCCCTGTCAACATTAACTGCTGCTAATATTACTTCACAGGAACTAGCTATAACTATGGTTAACATGTCTGATATTGTAAGGCTAGCTGAAGATTTTGTGACTCACCTTAGTGTATTACTTATGTTAAAAATATTTTAAAAAGACAACTAGACAAATAGAGATATACAGGAAATCTCCAAATGCAATCAAAGTAGAAACTTTATCATGACAAAGTAATTGGTATTTTCAAGACTTCTTAAGTCTTGAAACTTTGCCATATGAACCATACTGGCAAACTTACAGATCTCAGGGGAATAAAAACAGGTGTTGCTCCAGCCATTCTCACCATGGGCTCATAGCAGTCATAGAAAGGCACTATTAGTATGACCTGCAATAAAAGCAAATAAGATCACAACCTGTCAATCATTTATTCATGTTAATAATACTGTGTACCTACTATGGGCTAGGCACTGTACTATGTGTTGGGATACAGCAGTGAAAAAGGCAGGCTTTGCCCTTGTGGAGCTAACATCTGAGGGGAAGAGACCTCGGAGACAAACTTGTCCAGGTAGTCTTAATTGGACTCCTTGGTATCTTAGGGAGATCTATAAATAAGCATGCAGTGGGAGTATTTGAAATTACATATAAAATTTCATATATGCATAGATAGATTTACCTGGAGAATGGGACTATCACATTCTCAAAGGGATATTCCAGGCAAAACGATTAAGCATTTCTTCATATTTCAAATCAGAAAATAAAATCTAGAATATAAGTGATGTATAAGCAGTGACAGACAGCAGGCTATGTGGGAAGAGAACACTGTAATGTTCCCTGGTATAAAGTGCTAATTTAAAAGCATTATCTTGAGAGTAAAGATGTTTCTCTCTTCTCAAAAGCACGGTTAATTTTTGTATTTTTAGTAGAGATGGGGTTTCGCCGTGTTGCCCAGGCTGGTCTCAAACTCCTAACCTCAGGTGATCTGCCTCAGCCTCCCAAAGTGCTGGGATTACAGGCCTGAGCCACCACACTCAGCCTCATCTGTGAAGTTCTCAGGGACTAAGACAATCTATCTTTGTAACTCTAGTGGGAAATATAAAGCTTAATACAAGGTGAGAGCACAATAAAGGAAAATAAATTGGAGAGGCAGGGCAGTAGAGTGGGAGAAATATACCTGTTACTCTTCGCCTTGATTTTTTCACTTTTATGATGTGAACAATTCCTCTCTCTCTTTTTTTTTTTTTGAGAATATTTATTGCGTCCTCACTATTTTAGGTGCTGGCAGTAAAGCTATAAAGTTCTCCTAGAACTTATATCCTACTGAGAGAGGCTTATAATGAACGGAGAGACAAATAAGGACATTAGATAATTTCAGATAGTAATAAATGCTATAAAGAAACAATAAATAGGTCAGTATGATAGCAAGTGACATGTATGTGGTTTCAAAATACTAGATAAGTTGATGAAGGAAGAAAGAATAGAGGAAAGAAAGCTAAGGGCTAAGCCTTATAATACTCCCAACAGAGTGCAGAGAAAGAAGCAACAAAGGATTAACAACATCGAAGTATGAGACAAAACTATGTATAGGATTAAAGGAGTTTATGTATATGAAACTGTGAACTTCATTAACATGTTTCCTTAAACATCTTGTCTGGCATAGTGAAGGGAATCAAAGTTGTAAAAGAATAACATAACACAAAGCAGATAGTGGCATCTTTCATAAAAGTGGTATGATAAAGGGTTATGAGAGTTTAAAGAAAGTTAACAATATAGATCAGGATAAATATTCGTTCTGCAGTCCCAGCTTAAGCAATGTCTCTCTGGAGCTTTCCAGACTTAGCAGAGGTGATTGCCTCTTCCTTTTGTCACTACCATAGTGTTCCTCGTAATCCATTTGCAAGTCTGTGTTCTCTACTAGACAGGGAACACCTTCTGCATAGAATCTATCTTTAAAACATCTTCTATCTCACAGTGCTTAGCATATATTGGATCCTCAGTATTTTCTGAATAAATGAAAGAGGCAAAAAGTATTAAAGTAAGGCTATTGGAATGCTAATGGGAAATACGGGTAGAGATGACTGAGGTAGTTGCAAAAGTTGGTCATACCTCACAGTACTAAATCGCAGAAATCATTTTACCTTCCTATTATATTAATACATTCTCAGCTGGGCGTGGTGGCTCACGCCTGTAATCCCAGCACTTTGGGAGGCTGAGGCAGGCGGATCACCTGAGGTCAGGAGTTCGAGACCAGACTGGCCAACATGGCAAAATCCCATCTCTACTAAAAATACAAAAATTAGCTGGGCTTCGTGGCGGGCGCCTGTAATCTCAGCTACTCAGTAGGCTGAGGCACGAGAATCACTTGAACCCGTGAGGTGGAGGTTGCAGTGACCAAGATCGTGCCACTGCACTCCAGCCTGGGCAACAAAGTGGGACTCCATCTCAAAAAAACAAAAACAATCACAAAAACATCCTCACATGGGATGGCTTATACAATTACTGGGCACACAAAGACATTGATCAAAAACTTGTAGACCAAGTTAAGAGTAAAGGTTATTTTAGCAATGAAAACAAAAGATTCTTTTTCCCTGGCAGTGTTAGTCCCTTCCATCTGCCCTTATTTAAATAGGCTATAAAAATAAGAATAAATTATATGCAACAAAATGGATGAATCTCACAGACACAAAAATAAATGAATGGATCTAGACCCAAGAGTATACACTGTATAATTATATTCATATTAAGTAAAAGAGCAGTGAAAACAAGCCTATGGTAATAGAAGACAGAAGAGTACTTACCTCTGGGAGAATATAGACTCTGAAGAGGAACAAAGAAGTTTTCTGGGTACTGGAAATGTATCATATCTTTGTCTGGTTGTAGTTGCACAGAAATTTACACAGTAATTTATCCAGCTGTACATTTAAGATTTGTGAACTTTACTGTACATGCATTATACTTAAAACATAATTAAAAATAAAAAGAGAAAAGAGTAGAATATAAGCGAAAGATTCAAAGGTGGGACAAATGATAATTGATTAATATGGGTATTACGATAATGTTAATATACTTACTTCATCTCCCTCATCAATTAATGCTTGAATGGTGTTAAAAAGAGATCCATATGCTCCTACTGTCACAAGGATTTCTTTATTTGAATCAATTTGCTTTTGATAAAGCTTTTCATACAGATAGGACAGAGCTTTCACAAGTGATGGATGGCCCTGTTGGATTAAAAATAAGAACAAAACCTTGAATTTAAATATGGGACCTACTGTTTGAGGTAATATGGCTCTAAAATGTAAGAATTTTTAAAATTTGGATTTGATGTTTATAATTACCCCAAGAAAATTTATATTTTTTAATGGCAATAAATTTTTTAAAATTTCCTACATTTAGAGTATTCCCACACTATTTGTCATGAAGGCTTGCTAATGATTAAAACTTCTTACTAAATAAAGGGTTTGGGATTATATAATTTCAAAGTATTTGCTTTGAATAAAAATCAACCATTTGTATTTTTTGACAGTAATTAAATCATATTGAAAAGAGTTGGATTTGTTTCCCAGTTAAAATAAGTGAAAAAAACCCACTTTAACTGTATACCCACTCCTTGGCTCTTCCTGATTGCTGGAGAGATGGTTATGCCAACCAATGGACTAGGGAAAGAGAACAAAAACAAATTCACCAACGACACGAACACTAGTGTTGATGTGATAGCAAATGTTAGAAGGAAGTGAGACACTACTCACACTGACAGTCAAGAGAGCAGTGGTTATCCAAGGTAACTACTTTCATAGGAGAAGTGAAGGGATTATGAAGGTACAGCCTGAGGCAAGCAGGGGGTCTGAAGACTCCTGGATTAGCTCTCCCTAAGTTCTCTTCTAGGCTCTCTCCCCTTCCTTCCTTTTTTTTCTTCCTTTTCCTTTCCCCCTCCTTGTTTTATTTGGTATTTAGGTCAATATTTCCTGTTGTTTTCTGTCCAGCATCTACCTCCTCATTTTGCTTTTGAAGTACCATCCTGATTTTCTATCCCTTGAGAGTAAGAGTGCAAGTGCAGGTCATGTACCTTTGTTTGAAAGCACTTTGGGCTCTGGAGCAATAAACTGAGTTCCTTTGAATTTTACTTTAATAGCAGGTCTAACAAATTCTAGCAAGAGGAGATCTGAAAAGCAACTATAAACACTATATACATTTCTTAGAATGATAAGTGTTTGTGCTTTTAAAATTAAAAATTTAAATACAAAAATAATTTATGCTTCATGCAATAAGTAAAACTAGGCAAAGATGTATAAAAATTACAATCGCTCCTCAATATTATTTCATTCCCATCCCCCTGAGGTGATGAATGTCCACAGCCTGGTGATAGTGCAACACCACTCTCAGTGCTTATACCAATATAAAAACACATAGACATGTATATACCTATGTATTTACAAAAACTAGAATATACATATTAATAAATAAGTGGGTATGGTTGTGTTCTAATGAAACTTTATTTACAAAATTTGACATATTGGGTCCATAGGCCATAGATTGCAAAACCCTGCTATAGACCAATTTGGGAAAACTGACATAGACAATATTTAGTCTCTCAATCCATGAACATCATTCCCAATTTATTTAGGTATTGCTTAATTTCTCTCAGTAATGTTTTATAGATTTCATCGTACAGATCTTGGATATATTTTAAAAAATTTATTCTTAAATGTTTTGTGTTTTGGGATACTACTATAAATAGTATTTAAAAAATTTTACTTTCTAATTGTTCATTTTAATATATAGAAATACAACTGATTTTTGTATATTGGCTTTGTGTCCTGTGACCTTGCTCAATTCATTTATTAGTTGTAGTAGGCTTTTTTTTCTTTTAGAATTCCTTAGGATATTCTATGTACACAATCATGTTTTCTGAAAATGAGTTTACATTTTTCTTCTTTCTAATCTATGTATCTTTATATCTCACAGGACTCCAGTACACTGATGAATAACAATGGTCAGAGTGGACATCTTTGCTGTCTTTTCAATCTTACTATATTATGTGCACTACAGGTGTAATCTGTAGGTTTCTCATAGATTCCTTTTATCAGAGTGAGAAAGCTCCATTCTATTTCTAATTGGCTGAAAACTTTTATTATAAATGAGGGTTGAATTTTGTCAGATGCATTTTCTATATATACTACATAAGATGATCTTTTTTTTCTGATAATATAGCATAATTGCAATGATTAATTTTTGGATATTAAAACTAATCCTGCATTCCTATGGTAAACCTTACTTGGTCAGGATGTATTACTTTTTATATCTTTATACACACAGGCACACACACATGCACACACACATATCTGGATTTGATTTGCTAAAATTTCATAATCTTTGTTTCTATGTTCATGAGAGATATTGAACTGGAGTTTTCTTTATTTCTTTCGCTGGCATTTTTTAAATCAGTTTTTGTATCAGGGTAATGCTGAAACTAATTTTATGAGACCAGCATTACCCTGATACAAAACCCCTGATTAAAAGTTCAGACAAAACCATTAGGCATTTCTTTATTTTTCAAATTACAAAAATTGTTGATCAATAAGTAAAAGTTTTTCATCCTGCTCCACTTTCTGAATAAATGTGTGCAGAACTGGTATTATTAGGTTTGTGCAAAAGTAATTGCGGTTTTTGTCATTAAAATTAATGGCAAAACCGCAATTACTTTTGCACTGACCTAATAGTTCTTCCTTAAATACTTGATAGAATTCACTAATAAGCCATCTAGGTATTGAGGTTTGTTTGCAGGAAGACTTTAATTACAAATTCATTTTCTTTCATTGACATAGGGCTAGTTGCATTTTTCATCTCTCCTTGTGTCAGTTTTGGTAATTTGTATCTTTTAAATAATCTGTTCATTTCATCCAAGTTGTCAATGTACTGACATAAAATTATCCATAATATTATCCTATTATTGCTTTCATGTTTGTATGATCAGTAATGATATTCCTTCTTTCATTCTTCATATGGTACTTTGAGTTTTTTCTTTTTTATTGGTCAATCTAGCTAAAACTTTTACTTATTGATCTTTTCAAAGAACCAGCTTTTGGTTTCATTAATTTTCTCTATTGTTGGTTTGTTTCTAGCCTTTCATTATGGATTTGTATAGGCTGGGGAGTGAGTTATGTTGAGTAGGTCTGAGATGGGGGTCTGTAGGGTGGGCCAGGGAGTGAGATCTATGAAGAGCAGGGATTCTCACCAGTGTCAAACCCTGTGACACAGGTAAGTTTCACTGCTTTTCCCTGTGCTATTCCCAAAGCAAAACCCTTCTATGGATTTTTATAGTTAGACCACTATAGAAGACAAAAAACAGGCTTCCTCCTATACCATTCCCCTCCCCATTTCCCACAATATCATAAAAGGAAAAGACAAGTGGTCAGACATATGATAATTGTATGGCTTTTGGCACAACAGATACAAGTCTACAGTTCAAAGGTACGTCTGATCTAGAAAATCTTTGGCTATCCTAGGCATTTCATTACAGAAGGATGGGAGTGAGCTGGCACAAGGAGGAAAAACGTAGCTAGTTGGATATATTAAATAAAGGGTCAGTGCTCAGGCTGCATAAATGTTGATGAGATAGAAAAGACATGTCTCAAGAGAATGTTGTTCCTTATCGTGTTGCCATAGGATCCTATCTTGGAGCAACAGTAAAGTAAGGGCCAAAAGAAAGAAAAGTGTAGAGGGGCTGGAAGTAGGCGAAGGCTCATCTCAGGACATAGGGCAAGGGCAGAAGTTTCTGTGGTTGCTAGGATGGGACAGCTGGTCCCAGAAAGTCACTTATATATGAATGACAGAAGGGCACATGCACACACACAGACACACACCCCAGTATAAAATAAAAGCTCATGGCCCATATGGTCTTGATATACTTACAAAGCCTCGTGTATACTGATTCAGGCTATCGATTGCTGCAATCTTTGATAATTCTTCTTTTACATATGTAGGAGGGGATATATCTGGAAAGCCTTGGCCAAGATTCACAACAGAAGGGTCTGCAGCCAATTTGGTAAATTCAATCCTAAGATTGAAAAAAATACTAATATTAATAAGTTCTACAATTATAAAGTTCGCTTTTTTATATCTTATAGTCTTACCACAAAACAGACAAATAAGACCCTAGTTTAGTCCTATAGGTTTTAAAAAATGAGTTTCCAACAAAAATTTACCAACCACAAATCAGTTTACCAAATAGAATGATGGCTGAATTTATGAACCCAATGTCCCTTACAAACCTCAGTTTCACGCTACCCATATTTTAACCACATATATATATTTTCTCAACAATTCCAGCTGCTGCTAAGTTCTTTCATCAACTATTAGAGAACAGAACTAATAAGAAAAGTTCCTGGATTGGAGGTTAAGTTCCATGAGGGCATTAACATTTGTCCTTTTCTCTGCCATATGTCCAGTGTCCAGCAAAGGGCATGGCACATGTGCCAAATGAACAATTCAGTATATGGATTGCTAACTTCCTTCCATTTTCATTTAATGGATGAATTAAATGAGGACCTTTATTTATAGACCATGGATGAGGCAAAAAAAACTCCCATCTAAAGATACGAAAATATGTAGGAAACCCTCACTAAATTATTATTTATTTTAAGATACTCACCACACATTACTATCAAGTCCTTCAATCCGTTTTGCATTTGTGAATTTCAGTGACATTTTCTGAAATATATAAATATTGAAAAGGAATTGCCTTAGTCAAAATTTTAAAAGCCAGTAAATCATGGGTCACTCTTCTTCCTTTTCCCTACTGTTACCATGTAAATAGTAGTTCCATAAAGATAAATCTTAGACTCCAACACAAAATTCTGAAGAGGAATTCATCTCCCACCTACTACTGAAGGAATGCCTTTTTTTTTTTTCTCAGACGTGGTTGCCCAGGCTGGAATGCAGTGGTGTGATCATGGCTCACTGCAGCTTCAACTATCCAGGCTCAAGTGATCCTCCTGCCTCAGTCTCCTGAGCAGGTGGGACTATAGGCATATCCTACTGTGCCAAACTATTTTTTTTGTTGTTGTTTGTTTGTATATTTTATAGAGACAGGGTCTTGTGGTGTTGCCCAGGTTGGTCTCAAACTCCTGGCCTCAAGGGATCCTCCTACCTTGGCCTCTCAAAGTTTGGGATTACAGGTGTGAGCTACCATGCTTGGCTGGAAGGAATGCTTTTTCAAATGAAATTTAGATGTTCATCTTCTCACCTAAGGACAAAAAGTATCATCCTACCCTAGAAAGCTAATCTGTTTTAAGGCTTGTAATGTAGTAAAGAGAACAATAATAATATTTAAAAAGTTAGTTTCAAAAAATATCTTAAGCCATGCTCTGAACATCATTTTAGGTAAGATGTACTAAGAGTTTCACAAGTAAGTTCCTTGTATGACATACAGGAAAGACTCAACAAATGGTTTTAAAGCTACTCAGTAAGGGGTTCCATAATTATTGCTAACATTATTGAGTACTGAGTATGTCCTAGGTACTGTTCTAAGTGCTTTACATAATGAACTCATTATTACTGTATGTTTACAAAAATATGTAGTAGTTCTATTACATAGTTAGAACTATGAGGTACAGAGGTACGGAGAGGTTAAGATCACACAACTTTTCACATCTGCTCAAGTTTATGAAAGCTAGTAACATTTAAACCCAAACAGGTTCAACTCAGGATCTGAACCCAGACAGTCTGACTCCAGAATCCATACTCAGAACTATTATATAATTTTATACTGTGTTTTATATAATAAGACCTTCTAAAAATATTACTAGAATGCTGCCTCTTAAAAGTATATTATAAATTTAGGATAAGCCTACTAATACCAAGCAAGCTAAGGCTGTAGTAGAAAAATAGGAATTAAAATTATCACATAGCATACAATTTTTTAGTTCTTTAGATTCTAAAATTGAGTTTTATACTATCTCCCAAAAGTATTGAATTAGCTTTGAGTTCATTGTTAACAAGCTGGTAGAAATAAAAAAATGATTGACAGCATTTTTGCAGAGAATTTTCTAATGGAATATTAATGTAATTTTAATTCAATCTGGGAAGATAACGATAATGGTTATTAAATAGACCATTGTTCTCATTCTATTCTAAATAATGGGACCAAGAAAAATACCTTTTTTAGTGTCATATTTTGTCTTTGAAACTCCAGTGAAGTAAATCACATGAAAATTCTCCAGAGGTTAAAAAGCTTGCTGGAATAGCATTATAATTACCCACCTGAACATGATGCCATTCTAGAGACAACAGTTGTACAACTACCAAGTTCTAGCATGATAGGTTGAAATATCTATCTTAACAAATGCTCTTGTCTATCTCTAACACAATGTTTAAAGCTTAATTCATTCAGTAGAGACCACAAACACAAAGGATGATTTATACATAAAAAAGTGAGTTTGATGTGCTGTAGATAATTTAGACACAAAATCCAACTTTAAATTATTTAGATAATTGAGGTTGAAATGCACTTTCAGGTTTAATTTTCTTTAAAATTTGTTTCTAGACTGGCCTCTTCTCTCATTGTTCTTCCTGCTTCCTCTTCCCTCCCAATTCTATGCCACACCCATTCTAATTTTTCAAATAGTCTATGTTCTCTCTCATTTCAGTAGTTTCATGTGTGATCTTTCCTATGCCCAAATGCTCTTTCTATACCAATGTTTCTCAATGTTTTTTTTTATTATTGCCCACCTAAGGAGACCTTCTTAGAAATTCTTTCCTAGTCATCTTCCCTCCCCTCAATTAAATATTAAGAGGAATACAATTTTGTCACATAGGATTGAGCTTTGGATGGTGACAAAACAGTGTGATAGCTAAGATTTATCTTGTCTGCCAAGCACCCATTTTCTTCTCCTGGGGGAGATCATGCCCTTGTTGAGAGTGCATGTTCTCTACTCAGTCCAATTCCTGGTCCCCACCACCCTTCCTTGCACTTGGCTAACTCCTATTCCACTTGCCAAGTGCAGTTCTCAAATTCGACTTCATTCCCTCCCAAAAGCCTTCTTTGGTTCTACGAGTCAGGGTCAGGTGCTTCTCCTATGTGCTTCTATTAAATGCAGTACAGCAAGTCATCACTTAAAAGTGTCATATAGGTTCTTGGAAACTGCAGCTTTAAGCAAAATGATATACAGCATGACCAATTTTACCATAGGCTAATTGAGATAAATAAGAGTTCAGTTTCTACAGCATATTTCTGGTCACAAAATCACTACTATACTTCTAAATAAAGAATGAAACACTTCTAATATGAAACATTGAAATAAATGTGAGCTATACATACATTTATTTTAAGGAACTGGCTTATGTGTTTGTGAGGGCTGGCAAATCTGAAATCTGCAGAGCAGGTTGGAGACTCAGGGAAGAACGGATGCTGCAACTGGAGTCAGAAGAACTCCCTCTTCCTTGAGGACCTCAGTCTTTTCCTCTTAAGGTTTTCCACTGAATGAGGCCCACCCATATTATGGATGGTAATTGGCTTTACTGAAAGCCTACTGATTTAAACGTTAATCTCATCTAAAATACACCTTCACAGCAATACCTAGACTGATGTTTGGCAAATATCTGGGTACCAGGGCATAGCCAAGGTGACACCATCACAGTGTCCAACATATAGTTATGCCTAGCACATAGTTTCAAATAATTATCTGATGAATGAATTTTTTTAAAAAAACCTCACTCACATTACAGGGTGAACTTATGGTGTCAGTTAGCTCTATCAGTCAGCTAAAGTTCGTTTATGCTTCAGTGATAAATGACCCCAAAGTCTTGGTGGCCTAAAATCATAAAGGTTTTCTTGTTCATACTACATATCCACTGAGGTTCAGCTGCTGCCCTGGTCTGTGTCACTGTCATTCTGAGACATAGGCTGATGAAACAGCCTTCACCTGGAACACTGCCTGTTTCATGGCAGAGGGAAGAGGCTCTTAAAAGGTTCTGTTAGGATGTGCACACATCACTTCTTTTCATATTTTATTGGGCAGAGCAATTTCACAGCTAAGCTTCACATCAGTGGGGCAAGGAAATGTAACTGTCCAGCAGGGAACAGCAGCAAATAATTGTGAAAAACATGGTGGAAATGAAGTCTGGAGGTATAATGAGATACGTGGTTGCTATGGGTTGGACCATGCCCCCCTTAGTTTCATATGTTGAAGTCCTAACTCCCAGTTCCTCCGGATGTAATCTTATGTGGATATAGGGTTACTGCAGATGTAATTAGTTAAGATGAGGTCATTAGCGTGAACCCTAATCCAATATGACTGGTGGTCTTATAAAAAGGTGAGATCTGGACATATACATAGACCCTGTGTGAAGATGAAGGCACAGACTAAGGTGATGCTCCTACCAGCCAAGGAATGCAGAGATTTCCAGGCAATCACCAGATGATAGTGGGGGTGGGGTATAGAACAATCTTATTCACAGCTCTCAGAAGGAACTGGCCATGCTGATACTTATCTCAGACTTTTAGCCTCCCAAACAATGAGGGAATAAACTGCTGTTATTTAGTAAGCCACCTAGTTTGTAGTACTTTGTTAAGGCAACCTGAGGGAACTAACACACTGGTGAAAGTTTACAAGACACTATACAATGTTCGGAGTCACCAAGATTCTGCAGTAGATGCAAATGCTCACTGTCTAAGTAAGAACTACTTCCCAGAGCAGATCCAGTATCAGGTAATTAAAATCAACCTAGAATCCTACGGGGAATCAGGGCATGAGTCCCAGGCAAGTAAGGGAATGTCTATAAGGCTTGTATAACTTCTGGATCAGCTAACCCTGTGATATGACTTTGGCTACCAGGGTGATTAAAGGCCTATACTTCCATGTTATTAACGCAAAACTGCTAGTGAAATCAAAGGTAGCATCTTTTAACCTTACTTATGCTCACTTGAGGCTAATTTCTAGAACAATGAAGTTCTAGAAATTCACCACCAGGTGGCAAGCTTGACAAAGATAAGGAAAAGATTAAGTCTTTAAAAAAGTTTGGACAGATCGAAAAAAACTAATACTGTATGTTGAACCCATGATCTTAAGACCCTAGTCCATCAAAGTTTCAATTGTATATATTTTTAGGACTCTTCCCATAAGATCTGAGGCAGGTGAGATGGGACAGGTACAGAAAAAGTCTTCCTAAATGATGGGCTGAAGCTGGGAGAATTGAGGCTGTGGATATCTGTGTAGTATGGGCTGTGAATCAAGTCTTCATCCAGAGAAGTCAAGGTCACAGCCAAAAAGTTTAATATTAGTAACAATAATAATAACTGCAAGAAAAGGCCAGAAATAGGAAATGCAAAGCTCATGGATGGAGAGGTGAAAACAGAACCAGGCTTGGGAAACAGATGGATACCACACTTCGGGACCAGGAAAGAGCAGAAGTGGGCACCCTTTTCATGGGGGGCCTGGATGCTGGAGGGCCCAAATGTTACTGTCTTTTAGATCTATGAAGTGGGGATTTGTAGTTGCAATCATGTGTCATTTAAAAATATTTTTAATTGTCTCTTAACAAAGTACTGTATCTTAAGTATTTTATGAATTTTCTGAGTCATAAAAATTTCACTTTTAATTACAACGTATGTTTTTGGTTGTTTTTGTGCCATATTTTACTCATTCATTCCCCTGTTGCTGGGCATGTTATTTCAGTGTCTTGTTGTCTTGCAATGCATTTTGGTGTCTCTCTCTTTTTTTTTTTTTTTTTTTTTTTTGAGACAGAGTCTTGCTGTTGGCCAGGCCGTAGTGCAGTGGCATGATCTCGGCTCACTGCAACCTCTGCCTCTTGGGTTCAAGCGATTCCCCTGCCTCAGCCTGGGACTGAGAGATGAAGCCAGGTGGACTTCCTGGGTCGAGTGGGGACTTGGAGAACTTTTCTGTCTAGCTAGAGGATTATAAATGCACCAATCAGCGCTCTGTGTCTAGCTAAAGGATTGTAAATGCACCAATCAGCATTCAGTAAAAATGCACCAATCAGCGCTCTGGGTCTTGCTAAAGGATTGTAAACGCACCAAATCAGCACTCTGTGTCTAGCTAAAGGATTGTAAACACACCAATTAGCACTCTGTAAAATGGACCAATCAGCACTCTGTAAAATGGACCAATCGGTGCTCTGTAAAATGGACCAATCAGCAGGATGTGGGCAGGGCCAAATAAGGGAATAAAGGCCGGCCACGTGAGCCAGCAGGGGCAACCTGTCCGGGTCCCCTTCCGTGGTGTGGAAGCTTTGTTCTTTTCACACTTCATAATAAATCTTGCTGCTGCTCACTCTTTGGGTCCGCACCACCTTTAAGAGCTGTAACATTAACCCGAGGGTCTGTGGCTTCATTCTTGAAGTCAGCGAGACCACGAACCCACTGGAAGGAAGAAACTCTGGACACATCTGAAGGAACAAACTCCAGACACACCATCTTTAAGAGCTGTAACACTCACCACAAGGGTCTGTGGCTTCATTCTTGAAGCGAGCGAGACCAAGAACCCACAGGAAGGAATAAATTCCGGACACAGGACTACCGGCACGTGCCACCATGCCTGGCTAATTTTTTGTATTTTTAGGAGAGACTGGGTTTCACCACGTTAGCCAGGATGGTCTTGATCTCCTGACCTCGTGATCTGCCCACCTTGGCCTCCCAAAGTGCTGGGATTACAGGCATGAGCCACAGCGCCCAGCCCCACATTTCAGTGTTTCTACTGTGCATTTTAATTATATGGTCTCTGCTCTTTTCCCCTGCATTTTAAAGTTTCACGTGGAAGGTGAGTGCTGTATTGTAACAAAACTAATTATCACAAGAAGGATAATATCCTCAATATTATAGTCATCTGGTTCTATCAAACTAAACACATTTAACTTTTGATTTACTTTTATTGAAGCTTTACATTATATATACAACACAGAGTCATGTGCTGCATAAACACGTTTTGGTCAATGACAGATTGCATATATGACGGTAGTCCCATAAGACTATATGGAGCAGGCCGAGCATGGTGGCTCATGCCTGTAGTCTCAGCACTTTGGGAGGCTGGGGTGGGTGGACCACCTGAGGTCAGGAGTTCAAGACCATCCTGGCCAACATGGTAAAACCCCGTCTCTACTAAAAATACAAAAATGAGCTAAGCGTGGTGGCAAGTGCCTGTAGTCCCAGCTACTCAGGAAGCAGTGGCAGGAGAATCGTCTGACCCAGGAGGTGGAGGTTGCAGTGAGCCGGGATCATGCCACTGCATTCCAGCCTGGGTGACAGAGCGAGACTCCATCTCAAGAAAAAAAAAAGAGTATATGGAGGTAAAAATTTCTACTTGCAGCCAGGTGCAGTGGCTCACGCCTGTAATCCCAGCACTTTGGGAGGCTGAGGCAGGCGGATCACAAGGTCAGGAGTTCGAGACCAGCCTGGCCAATATGGTGAAACCCTGTCTCTAATAAAAATACAAAAATTAGCCGGGTGTGGTGGCATGCGCCTGTAGTCCCAGCTACTCCGGAGGCTGAGGCAGGAGAATTGCTTGCACCCGGGAGGCAGAGGTTGCAGTAAGCCGAGATCACGCCACTGCACCCCAGCCTGGGTAACAGAGGTAGACTCCATCTCAAAAAAAAAAAACAGTTCCTACTTGCCTAGTGGAGCCATTGTAGCTGTTGTAACATTGTGGCATGATGCATTAGTCACGTGTTTGTGGTGATGCTGGTATAAACCTATTGCAGTGCCAGTCATATAAAAGTCTAGAACATACAATTATGTACAGTACATAGTACTTGATATGATAACAAGCAACTATGTTACTGGTTTATGTATTTACTATACCATACCTTTTATTGTTATTTTAGAGTGTACCCTTACTTATTAAAAAAAAGTTGACTATAAAACAGCCTCAGGCATGTCCTTCAGGACATTCTGGAAGAAGACATTGTTATCATAGCAGATGACAGCTCCATGCATGTTATTGTCCCTGAAGACCTTCCAGTGGGACAAGACGTGGAGGTAGAACACAGTGATACTGATGATCCAGTTCATCGGTAGGTCTAGGCTAACGTATGTGTCTTAGTTTTTAACACAAAAAAGTAAAAAAAGAAAATTACTAAAAATAGAAAAAATTTATAGAATGACATAAAATATTTTTAAATATTTTGTATAGTTTGTGTGTTAAGTGTTATAGAAGAGTCAAAGATTAAACATTTAAAAAGTTTATAAGGTAAAAAGTTACAGTAGGTGAATTGTCTTCAATTTATTATTGAAGAAGAAAGGTTCTGTTCTGTTTTGTTTTTTTGAGACGGAGTCTCACTTCGTTGCCCAGGCTAGAGAGCAGTGGCACGATCTCGGCTTACCACAACCTCTGCCTCCCGGGTTCAAGCGATTCTCCTGCCTCAGCTTCCTGAGTAGCTGGGACTACAGGCACGTGCCACCATGCCCAGCTAAATTTTGTATTTAAAAAAAAATTGATTTTTATTTTTTTGAGACGACGTTTCGCTCTTGTTGCCCAGGTTGGAATGCAACGGCGCAATCTTGGCTCATTGCAACCTCCACCTCCCGGGTTCAAGTGATTCTCCTGTCTCAGCTTCCCGAGTAGCTGGGATTACAGGCACCTGCCACTATGCCCAGCTAATTTTTGTATTTTTAATAGAGATGGGGTTTCACCATGTTGGCCAGGCTGGTCTCGAACTCCTGACCTCAGGCGATCTGCCCTACTCGGCCTCCCAAAGTGCTGGGATTATAGGCGTGAGCCACTGTGCCCTTCCTTTATTTTTGTACTTTTAGTAGAGACGAGGTTTCACCATGTTGGCCAGGCTGGTTTTGAACTCCTGACCTCAGGTGATCCACCTGCCTCAGCCTCCCAAAGTGCTGGCATTATAGGCGTGAGCCACTGCACTTGGCAGAAAAAAGTTTTAATAAATTTAGTATAGCATAAGTATACAATGTTCATAAAGTCTATAGTAGTGTACAGTAATGTCCTAGGCCTTCACATTCACTCTACTCACTCACTGACCCACCCAGAGCAATCCTGCAAGCTCTATTCATGGAAAGTGCTCTACACAGGTGTACCATTTTCTTATCTCACTGCATTTTTACTGTACCTTTTCTATGTTTAGATATGCAAATACCATTATGTTACAGTTGCCTGTAGTATTAAGTACAGTAACATGCTGTATAGATTTGTAGCCTAGGAGCAATAGTCTATGCCATATAGCCTAGGTGTGTAGCAGGCTATATACCATCTAGGTTTGTGTAAGTGCACTCTATGATCACAGAATGTATCCCAGTTTTTAAGTGAAGCATAACTCTATTGTATATAGATATGTATGTATATAATATATACACATATGTATATATGTATATAATATACACATGTATGTATATGTTATGTATATTTTGATGTTCCAACCATCACAGTGATGACATTTAGTATTAATTCATTCCTTAGCACTTGTACCACTTCCTAAGTGTCTTTGTTTAAACACAGATCTTAAAAAGAAACTGTTATGTTCTTTCCTAGCTTTTTTGCTTTTTCTTTCCTGCTATAAAATTGTGTTGGCTGCTCATGCTTCTTTGAGATTTTATTTCTTCTCCGGGTGGAGTTGTGGTGTCTTTTTTTTTTGAGACAGGGTCTCGCTCTGTCACCCAGGCTGTGGCAGTGCCACCATCATGGCTCACTGCAGCCTCAACCTCCTGGCTAAGGTGATCTCCACCTCAGCCTCCCAAGTAGCTGGGATGACATATGTGTGCCAGTATGCCTGGTTAACTTTAATTTTTTTGAGACAGAGTCTTGCTCTGTTGCTCAGGCTGGAGTGCAGTGGTGCAATCATGGCTCACTGCAACCTCACCTGCCCAAGTTGAAGTCATCCTCCCACCCCAGCCTCCTGAGTAGCTGGGACTACAGGTATGTGGCACCACACCTGGCTAATTTTGTTCTTAATTTTTTTTTTTTTTGGTAGAGATAGAATATTGCTATGTTGCCCAGGCTGGTCTCAAACTCCTGGGTTCAAGTGATCCTCCTGTCTTGGCCTCTCAAAGTGCTGGGATTATTGGTGTGAGCCTCCATGCCCGGCCTTAATTTTTTTTTTTTTCAAACATTCATTTGTAGAGAGGGTCTTGCTTTGCCCATGCTGGACTCGAACTCCTGGCTTCACACAATCCTCTTGCCTTGGCCTCTCAAAGTGCTGGGATTGCAGGCATGAGCCACCACACCTGGTGGAGTTGTGATTTTTGCTAAAGGGCAGAGTACATGCTTCAGATTGAACAGTGGGGAAGAGACAAGTGCATAAGATGCCTTAGAAGCTCCGAAGCTATAGTAATCAGATCTCTTAGTTATGTGAGAGAAACTCAATCTGAAACAGTTTAGATGAAAAGGGAGAATTCATTAGAAAGGTCATGTTACCATGGGAAAGGCAGAGGTCCAGCCAGACTGAATGGTAACAGAAACCAGGAACTTGAACATCACAGGGCTTTGCTTCATCTCCATTTGTACCCATTATCTCAGTTTGCATTTCTTTACTTGAGACTAAACAGAGTCACATCTCCCACCTTCATGGCCATAGAGGGACTGAGAGATGAACACTCAAAAAATGTTAATTATTATTAAGGCTTGACTTAAAAAAACTATAAGATCTATATATCATTCAGTGGGCTCAAGTATCTCTTAAAAAGTTGCCAGATTCTGAGCCATATAATGAAAGAAAAGTATTTACGAACATGTGTCTTACAAAGGACTTTAATACAGTATATATAAAGAACTTTTACAACTCAATAAGACAAACAATCCAATTAAAAGTGGGCAAAAGATTTGACAGCCACTTCACAGAAAATATACAACTGGCCAAAAAGTACCTTAAAAGATGCTTACCAGCATTAGTCACCCGGGGAAATGAAAATAAAACCACAATGAGATACCACTAGATTCCCATCAGAATGGCTGAAAACTGAGTGTTGGCAGTTGGAACTCTATACAACCCTGGTGGGAATATAAAAGGGTATAGCCCCTTTGGAAAACAAACAGTTTGGCAGTTACTTTATTAAACATAAATCTGCCATGCAACCCAACCATTTTACTGGTAGGTATTTACCCAAGAGAAAGGAAAACCTATGTCTACACAGTGGCTTGTACACAAATGTTCCTAACAGTTTTATTCACAGTAGCCCCAAACTGGAAACAATCCCAAGGTCCATCAACAGGTGAGTAGAAAAACAAATAATGGCATATTCACATAATGGGACACTACTCAGCAATAAAAGGAATAAGCTACTGATACACTGCAACCTGGTGAATTTCAAAGTCATTGTGTGTGAAAGAAACCATAAACAAAAAAGTACATGCTACACAATCCCATTTATATAAAATACTAAACACCACCACAAAGCAAACTAATATATGGTGACAAAGACAAATCAGCAGCGTGAGGGATGGACTGCAAAGGAACTTGAGGAATCTTTTGGGGGCGATGGAAGTGTTCTGCATGTTGATGGTGACAGTGGCTTCATGGCATATACATCTGTCAAAATAACCATTGAGTTGTAATTCTAAACAGATACAGTTTACTGTAACTTGATAAAGCTGAATTTAAAAAGCTGCCAGAGTATTCTGAAATCATGCCTTCTTTTCTCCCTCTGGACCAAGCACCCGCCCAAGCAAGCCAACTTTAACAAAATTATCTCATAGATTTTGGATTTTTTTTTTTTTTGCCATGTTAAAGTTGTATTAAGTTTCAATACAAAACATTCCAAAAAGTGAAAAGTGATCTATAATACCCAAGTTCTATGTTCAACTACCACTTAAACAAGGAAAACATTTTCTAATATCATTCTGTTTTACAACCAGTATAAACCCAGAAGAATCAAGATCTGATTCTTTTTCCACACGTCTGCTAGTTCAGTAAACTATTTATCAAACAGGTGTCTGGTCATTTTAACATACTCCTTGCTTTGAACAATATTCATTCATATTTGGTACAAACTCTATATCCTATATTTAGGATATCTAAATATTTTAAATATTTAGGATATCTTAAGAGCCAAAAGGTCCTCACAGAAGCTTTAACCCAAGTAATCATAAGAATATGGAAGGATTCGGCTAAGACAACTATGGAAGTGTAACAACCACATAAATTTGGTCATTACCCTTGTGGTCTGTGATTAGTAGTAGTCTGCCAAATGAGAGTTAAAAATGTTGTACTTACTATCCCTAGTTGCAAATGTTAAAACATGACAGTGCCATAATTACAACAAAAAAAATTAGAAGTTGAGTTAGTTCCTCTAATCCAACAACTCAAGTCTGTTTCCTTTGAGAACATTACACTATTGGCTCTAGTCTCCAAAGCAATAAACTAAAACTTGTTTCCAAGACGGGGAGGTAAAGCAGGCTTATAAAACAATACAGCAAAAGAAAGCCAAGTGGCCCAATTGTTTCCAGTGTGTTTGCCATCTTAGCATGGTTGTTACTTTCCAGATGTCACTCATAAGTTTTATTCTACAACTAAACTGTTTGTGGATAAGCCACCACAAAAAAATGTTTCACTTACTGACAAGACACTTCACCAGATAGAGCTACCACTTATATCCATCATTTTTATAATTCATCTTAAGTTCTAAATTGAAGAGTTGTCCCCATGACTTTAGCTAAACAAAATGAAACCCAAAGCTGTAAAATCTGTGTAAAGGACCACGAGAACCTCCTGACTACCTCCACTTACCAATTTCCTTAATTACTTCCCCTTTTCCATTTGGTCAATTACTTAAGTAACTACCACTCACTCCCTAGTTATGAGTGTTAATCAACACTGATGCCTTCCTGAGATCCACAGGAACCCTTGAAGGCAAAATCTATTGCCTGCACCAAACCAATTCTGACAGCACTGCTTATGCAACTGCACTGACTTACCAACAATCAGCCGCCTTCTGCTTCAACAACTCTTAGCATTTGATTTCTCTTACTGCCAGCGTTATCTACTGTGAATCAATCAGCACTCCACAAACATAATGAGCACAATCTTCAACCATCTTTGCTGTTTCACAGGCATTTGATGCTTTAAATCTGATGTGGAATGCTGATAGATTCACTTTTTAGAAGTCATAAGCCTTTAGGAAGTTGGAGATAAATTCATTGCTTATCTATTTTCTCCTTTGCAATCAAGCTGTTCCTTTAAAAGTGAGACATTAGAGTTGCAAAAATTTGAAAGAGTAAGAGCAAGCACCTTTGCAGCTTCATGGTTGGTTTTGGCCAAACTTTTTATTTAGTATTCCGTAGTTGTTTAGCACACACTTAAATGGTCTTATTGTGGGAGGGGAAAGGGGAGGTTCTTGCAGATTCCCAAGGAAATGTCAGAAAGGCAAAATGGCCAGCATTATCCATTTGCTTTTTTTGGGTTTACTGGGTGAATAGCACTTTCCTTACATAGGCATCTGATTTCAGGTTTTGCATACTGAGAACAGTGAGATTTCAGTTAGAAAACACCCTGAAATCTTATGAGTAGCATACTCCAACCACCCTCTAATAGCTAGCTTGTTTGTATAGGCAGAATGATTCATCTCTCCATTTTAGTTGGCTAGATGTTTTGTGGAAGATCTTAGAATTGCTTGCCTCATTTACTGGGAAAAACCAGATAGGAAGTGGTCTTTAGGGACACCTTTACTTGGAAAGTTACAACACTAGTACTACAAGGCTTAACACATTTAACATTTGCTTGTTGAAAAGCAATGTCATAAAGTCAAATAAAATTAAACATGTTTTACTTTTTTCCTCACAAGAACATAAAAATTACGGAAGGGACTTAACAGGGAATTTAAAAAAGGTAACACAATTTTTCCTTTTAGTAGTCCTTGGGTAGTTATGATAGAATAGTTTCCACTCTTTTTTTTGTTTCTTTGAACTGGGATTTTGGTCCAAAGTTTTGTTTGTTTCTAGTATCTGCTTCTGCCTCCCCCTCTATCAGATCGGCTTCCTCCAGGGCCAGCACCTCTTGGTGCTCCGCGGCTTGAACTGCTGTAGGAATCACGTGAAGAAGGGTACCCCCTTTCTACAGAAGGGGGAAGCCCTCTTTCTTGTCTGCCAACCCTGTCACAACTTGAGTAGAGATCACTTCGGCTGCTTGAGTAACTGTCTCGACTTCCACCATATCCATCACGTGAGCTGCTATAATCATCATAGCGACTGCTTCCACCATAAGATGGCGGGGGCCCTCGTGTAAGTGGAGCACTACGTGAGTTACCATAACTCTCATATGAATCTCTGTAGGAACCTCCACTTGGATGATCTGAATAGTCACGATCACGACCATATCCATCTCTATCGCCATAGCCTCTTGATGGATAGTCATCACGTGAACTGGAATGACCATAATCACGGTAAGTATAATCTCGTGGTGGTGGTGCATAATCTCTTGTATCACGAGAACTTGGGTAATCTCTGCTTGAATAGCTGTCTTTAGTAGAATACCCATCATCTCTTGGGGACAAATAAACATCTCTACGAGAGGGGAGCGGTTCCCTTCGAGGTGGACCTCCATAACTATCTCTTCCACGTGATAGAGGAGCTCTTCCTCCCATTCCACTGCTGCTGCGAACTAGTCCTGAAGGTGCAGATCTCTTAGGAGAAGGACCCCCACTTCTTGGTGGTGGTCCTCTTTTTACTGGGAGTGGTCCCCTGGAAGAACTCATGTTAAAATTCATGGAATATCCACCATCATCCATGTGTCCTCCTCGTGAAGGAGGTCCCCTGGTTCCTCCACTTCCTCCTCTTCCAGCTCCAAAACCTCTTGGAGGACCTCTACTTCTTGGAGGTGGGGGCGGTCCATGTCTACCTCTTTCAAATGATGGTTTGGTGGCTTGTTCCACCTTGATGGCTTTTCCATCTAATGACTTTCCATTCATGTCTCTGGCTGCATCCTTAGCGTCTGCTGGGCTTTCAAAGGTGACAAAAGCAAATCCTCTTGATTTGTTGGTTTCACGGTCTTTTATCAAGAGTACTTCCACTATTCGTCCATATTTGCCAAATACTGTTTCAAGAGCTTTCTCATTTGTTTCCGTATTAAGCCCACCAATGAAGAGCTTTCCTGGGCGATCTGCTTCAACCATTTTTTTTTTTGCCGGTGAGTCGGAGGGGTGACAGTGGGTTCAAGCTCCAACAAGCTCGCCGACAGGGGCTTCCTAGCAGCTCAGCACCAGTGGCGGCTGTCAGTTAGGAGGACTGAACCGCGAAGCCGCTAGCACTACTGCGCAATCTGGATGCTTTTTAAGGTATGGCTATCCATTCAAAAAACCAGGAAAATTACTTTCTTTTGCCACTAGATGGCAGAGGAAAACAACAGAATGTTCCTGTAATGGTGGAAGAAATGAAAGTAAAACTCAGAAGTGGAAATGTAAAGCAGGGAAAGATGCTTAAAGATACATAAAAAATGCAATTATATTAAGCTCAAAAGTGTGTATAATTAACAGGAGCCCTTTTTTTGTTGCTTTTTTTTTTTTTTTTTTTTTTTTTTGTAGACAGGAGTCTCACAGTGTTGCCCAGGCTGGAGTGCAGCGGCGCAATCTTGGCTCACTGCAACCTCTGCCTCCCAGGCTCAAGCCATTCTTGTGCCTCAGCCACCTGAGTAGCTTGGATTACCGGCATGCGCCACCACACCTGGCTAATTTTTGTATTTTAGTAGAGCAGGGTTTCACCATGTTGGCCATGCTGGTATGGAACTCCTAGCCCAAGTGATCCGCCTGCCTCGGCCTCCCAGTGTTGGGATTATAAGGGTGAGCTACCACGGCTGGCCTTAACTGGAACTTTGAAACAACATATAGTTTGTTACTTTATTTTATAAAGAATTATTTGTGCCTGATACGCTGTAGCTATTTAACATCTGTTGACTGAACAGATCTGCTGAGTGAAAGGGAAGCAATTTGGACTCCCTCTGAGAGATAATGTATTTGGGGAAAAAATTGTACTTCAATAGAAAACTATGCACTGGCCACAGCACAGCTTTAGGGCTGATATTTGCAGGGCTAGAATTTGCCTTTGAGTTATTCTGGGCTTTTGTAAATTGAAGCTAAGTGACAGGCATGCAAATTCTGGTTCTAGCATTTTGATTATCTTCCCTCCACCCTGTAGAAAAAACAGTTTTGCCTTCATTTGCAATCCAATTCCTTTACTACATATGAATTTGTGCTTTTTGACTTTCCATATGTACTGGTTATAACTTCTGTCTGGTTACTTCATATCACATGAGTGAAATAAAAATCTTTAGCACATGTTCATTTTTATATTTGTATGAGTCATGATTTAACCTTTTTCTGAAAATTATATTTTAACAATTACTTCAGAGAAACAAGCTTATTGGAAACAAGGCTTTCTCTAAATCTGAAAGCTGATAACAGCTAAATACATGGCTGGAATGCCAGAAATGGAGTCAGGCCAAGTGGAGAACAAAAAGCCTGGTTTATTCTCTCAAAAAAAATTGGGTTCAAGCCAAGACCTTGGAAGAGTGAGTAAGTGAAGGGAGTGCGTGAGTATTGTCCTCACCCATATCAATAGGCCTGGGGCCCTTCTGCCTGCCTACACTGTGTAATCTCAGCTCCCCCAATCACAGCTATAAATCAGAGTTGGACAGTCAGGCTGAACCAATCAAGACAACTAGAAGTTTGGGTTTGAGGCTGAGAAACAGGCTGTTTCTTCTGGGCACATGAAACAGAAGATTGGTAAGTTTGAATCTGGGCAAGTCTGTGTTCAATCCCTCACACACATGCCATGTTCTGTGCCAAAAACACACCTACGTTCCAAGTATATTGTTCAAGGTTGTTTAATGCAAAGAGCTTTCAAGCCAGATAGATCTTAGTTCAAAATTAAACATCAAAACTCCTAGTGTGTGAAGTAGGCAGGTTACCTGACATCTCTGAAATTCAGTTTCCTTATTTGCTAAGCAGGAAAATGAATACCTGCCCCATGTAAGTGCTATGGCAATTAAATGAGGCAAAGCCATAAGCAGAAAAATATAGTTCATGGCATACAATATATATACTCCAAAACTAGTGCCCACTCAGAAAGTAGGAAAGATTCTCTTAGATACAAGTAAGGATGAGTAACTTTGCACTAAAGGAGGCAAAGAGATATTGGGTATGGACTAAATGTACAAAAGGTGATACTTTCACATCAAAAGAGAGGGTTGGGCTGGACGCAGTGACTCATGCCTGTAATCTCAGCACTTTGGGAGGCTGAGGAGGGTGGATCACTTGAGCCCAGTAGTTTGAGACCAGCCTGGCCAACATGGCAAAACCCCGTCTCTACAAAAAATACAAATATTGGCCGGGAGTGGTGGCGGGCACCTATAGTCCCAGCTACTCAGGAGGCTGAGGCAGGAGAATTGCTTGAACCCGAGAGGCGGAGGCTGCAGTGAGCCGAGATTGCGCCATTGCACTCCAGCCTGGGCGGCAAGAGTGAGAGACTGTATGAAAAAAAAAAAAGAGAGAGAGAGAGAGACAGAGAGAGTTGATTTCCTTAAGGAAGGACAGACCTAAGGAAAAGGTTTTGTCCAGTGTTGCTTTTGCGCTTCTCTGGTGGACATTTAAATTTTAGACTCTCTTAAAAAAAAAAAAATTAATAGACTATTTTAGGGCCAGGCGCGGTGGCTCACGCCTGTAATCCCAGCACTTTGGGAGGCCGAGGCAGGTGGATCACAAGGTCAGGAGATTGAGACCATCCTGGACTACAGGTGTGTGCCCAGCTAATGTTTTGTATGTTTAATAGAGATGAGGTTTTGCCATGTTGCCCAGGCTGGTCTTGAACTCCTGGTCTCAAGCGATCCACTGGCCTCAGCCTCCCAAAGTGCTGGGATTGCAGGTGTTAGCCACTGCGCCCCGCCTACATTTTTCCTTTAGCATTCAAAACATTCTTTAAAATTAGAGAATATGTAAAATGTTTTTGTAAAAAAGCAAGTAATACAGGAAAATACAGCCTATCCTTCATTCTATTCCCTTCCCGGCAGATTTTCATGACATTAAGGATGATGTGGATGAAACGAATATTCTAAGTAAGTTCACAGTAACTTATCTGGCTGGTTCTGACAAGTCTTTCTTGATTTAAACTTATCACTATTGCTTTTGTAACACTGGCCAGTGTTTTTCATTCGTCCAGCAATAGGAAGAATATTTATCTTTATCCCTGTGCGACTATTTTAAATGCAAAGCCTCTGATGAACTGTAGACACTTTTCCAATGTAGTTAAAATGATACAAACACTTTGGCAGTTACTTAATTAAACATAAAGCTACCACACAACCCAACCATTCCACTGCTAGGTATGGAGAGGGGTTAGTGCTATCCCAAATAGTCCACAAGTTTGAATAATGCATTGTCAGTGGTTTTTGCCTGGGACATACATCAGAATCAGCTGGAAAGATTTTTCAAAATACATTCCAGATATGTAGAATTAGAATGCATAATGGTGAGCCCTGGCATACGTAGTCTAATAAAAGTTCCACAAATGAGGATTGTGCACACAAATGCCCTTTTAGTGCCATGGTTTCATATGTTCACCTTGGGGAAGCACAACCACTTCCCTGGCTTCAACCGACTTCTATGTTGGGAGAGGGCCTGAAAAAGGTGGTCACGGTGGCATAAAGAGGAGAGAATTCAAGACAGTTATGAGGTAGAATTCATAAGATTTACATATAGAAGACACTGATGATGGTTTTTATGAAAATTTTAAACCACTGAGAAAATTTTAAACCAGTTGAGAGATTAGAATTAGGTTGAATACAAAATTGTCAATATTCAACCAGTTATGACAAAAATGGTACTTCATATGCCAAAAATGGAATTTTCATACAAAAATAGCAATTTCATATACTTTAACCTAATATAAAACACTCATATGCACACTACCCAGATTCAGTAATTCTCAAGATTTTGCCTCTTTTTTTCTGTAATTGCTGAGTAACTTTAGAATAAATCTTAGACCTTAGGTCATTACATCCCTACATACTTGGCATATTATCTAAAAAATATTGCTACTTATATAACTGCAATTTCATTACCACACCTCACCAACAATAATTTCTTGTTAACATCTAATACCCAGTCCACATTCGTATCTCTCTGATTGTCTTTAAAAAATGTCTTTCTGCATTTTGGTTGACTGAATCAAGTTCCTAAAGCAGATGTACGTATTGTATTTGGTGGTTATGGGTTTTAAACCTTTTTCGATCCCTGAGCAGTCCTCCTGAAATATCCTCTTCTACTTTTTTCCCATGCCACTGGACCTATATTCATAACTTGAAGGGTTTTGTGAAGACAAAATGAGGTAATGAATATATAATGACCAGCACATGGCCTGATCCACAGACAGGCAAGCAGTTGCTCAGTGAATGTCAATTCTAGTCAATGACAAGAGACACCTTCAGCATATGTAATAGAAATGTTCATTTCAATAAAGTATTTGTAAAAAAGCATCTGAAAAATTACATATTTTTTGGACAGTGCAGAATATGTACAATAATTTATCTGTAAGTAAGCAATACCTACAGCAGAAGTAGAGAATCCGAGGATTTTGGAAGAAGAAATTGTCTTCAGGAATTTTGCTCTACCGCTAAGAGAGCAGAGGCTCCTCTGGGCCAAAAACATGCTATTAAATAAAAGAAAAATTGAGAAGAGGAATAAATATATGATGGGTACATCACTATCAGACACTTACAGCTAGCTGATGTATCATAAGCTTACGTAAAATCCAAGTAAACATTTTTGATAAGTGAGTTTGCTTTCTTTCAAGTTTTCTTTCTATGATATAATCTCTCATCACTGGAGGCATTCTAATAAATGTATTCTTCCTACACAAATTTATATTCACATCATTTTAAACTAGAGAGCTTTAAGAATATTCTTAATTAAAAAAATAAGGCTTTAATTTAGTCAAGAGCATTAAATTTCAGAAAGTGAAAGTTCCATTTCTAGCAGCTATAAAATCCAGAGTATTTCAATCTAGGAACTACTCAAATTTCAGAATCCTCTGGATAACAGTCACTAGTAAAAGCATAGTTTGTAACAGTAAATTAAAGTTGTTAGAAACAGTTATTTAAAAAGTTGTTTGAAAAGACGAATGATAGTAGGTCCTTGATAAATATAAAGAATATATGAGTGAATCTTAGGTTATTCTGAAGGTACTTCCTCCAACAATTCCCACAAGCCATTTTAGTGGATTCCAGTGGCATGATAGGCATGCATTCTGAATTGCTTCTCTACCTGTAAGTATAAAATTGATATCCGTCATGGGTAAATGGAGGAAGATCAAGGCAATGAAACTATTACAATACTGCCACTTAGAAGTGGAAAGAAAACCCAGCTTTCTAAAAACATTCAGGCAAATAGATATTTCTCATAAGGTTTTACTCTGAGAATGTTGTTCTCTTAAGTCTACTGTATAAGGCTGCTGTATCAGTGGATGGCATGTCGTCTAACAGTTATCAAACCTTAGAGAAAAAGAGACCTAATCTATGGAAACTAAATAGAGCTTCTATATAAAACGCTAACAAATCAAACCCAGTAGTATACAAGAAGGATAATACATCATGACCAAGGGGGGTTGGGTTTATATAAGAAACCTATTAATGTGATTCACCACATTAAGAGATTAAAGCAGAATTCAATCTTAAAAAAAGTTTCTATCTGTAGTCAAGTTATGGACTCTTGCTGGGCCTCAGTTTCTCCATTTTTCACAATAGGTGAATAAATTAATAAGGTTTGAGTTAAAGCAAGCAAGTAGCGGGAACCCTCTAACGACATAAAGATACAATGGAATTTGCTGATTATGGCGCAGCTGTCCCAAAAGACACAGCTGAAACTTTGGAAAATGGAAGAGAAAGGAAGACCTGGGTCAGTTGCCAGGAATTACATTGCATGATGGAGGTAATGTGCTAATAATAAAAGCAAGTAAGCTTGGAGTGCAGCTTCTGGGAGATTTCACCCCAGACTGGGTGAGCCATACTCTCTAGGTACCAGGCCTCAATGCCCACCTTCCTTCTTAGGGAGCTGCCCCTAAATCTAAGTCTACTTGTTTTCATCTTGAAATCTCAAAGCCTAAATCCCAAACCCCTCTCTCCTATCTGTCTTCTACAGCACATTACCTCCATCATGCAATGTACTTCCTGGCTGTGGACTGCTGGAGAAAGTCCCACGGGATATTGGTTTCACCACAGATTTGTGGTCATCAGTCTTAAATTGACCCCCAACACTGCAGCATTTCTACTATATTTTGTAGGTAACACTTGTCTCCCATAGTCCAAAATGATTCTTTAAATTTTTCCCACACTCCTTTAAACTAAATCCCTCTACCTTCTTCCTCAGTCCAAGCAGATTGCGCTCTCTACTTTCCCAAATCTAAAAAATCCTTGTTTTTTCCTTCCCAGTATAATAAAGGAAATTACCCTCCTTTAAAAGGATCGCCTCTCCTCCACGACTTAGATCTCATTCCCTCTACGGATACCTTGCTTCACTGATTATTACCTCTTTACTCCTGCATATTCAACTTTGTTTGTCTCTCCCGGTTAAAAAACATAAAAAACAAACAAAAAACACAAAAAATAAAACTCTTGACTGTACCATCTCCCTGTTGCTCATTTTACTAGCTCTCTCCTTTTCCTCAATCTACGCTCCTCAACCCAGTGCAGTCTGACTTTTCACCCATTACTCCATAATGGCAACTCTTGCTAAAGTCAGTTTTGACCTTCATATTGTTAAATCCAGTGGACATTTTGCAATTCTCACTTTCCTAGAGCTCTCTGCAGCTTTAGATACTGGCAGGCAAGCCCTTTTTCCCCTGAGAAACACCATGTCCCCTTGGCTTTTGACATCTTACAATCTCTCATTTATCTCCTGCCTCTCCCACAATCCGCCATTGAATGATGGAATTCCAAGACCTAGACCTAGGCTCTCTTTCCATCTCACTTATGACCCTCTCACTAGGTAATCTCATTGTGTAAGGAACTGTGGGAGCATAGGTGAAAAAATGGCTCTGAAGAAATCTAAGCAGGCTGATAAAAAATGCAGACTCAGAACCTTTGAATCAAGCTAGTTTACATCTGCATTTTATTAAGTATTTTGAGCAGCATTTTCTAATGCAATCAACATTGCATATATATATATTCACAAATGAGATAAATACATTAAATTTAGATGTCATCGAAAAGTTGGAGAAAATAAAAAGGTATATGGCTTTTAATTCTAAACAATATTTTCATTGTATTTTTCTAGTTTCTCCCTAAAAACAATTTCTGTGAAGAAAACCTGGCAACTTATGAATCAGGATGATCTACGTGATCTAATTATAGCATATTATGCATAAAGTCCATATTCCAAAACGCATGATCTATAGAAATGAAACTGTCGATTTATTATCAACGGTTTAGACTGTTTAAAATGAAGATTCAGAAAGTATGCTTGGCAGATTTGGGGGTGGCCCGAAGCTGAGAAAGCTGGTGAATTTTGGGGGGCCGAATATAAAGCTAAAAGGCAGACAAGCCCGTCAAAATAAATCCTAAGAAACTTAAAGCTCTAGACTTAAATCCAAATGATCAATTTATACTTCACACATGGGGAGGAGAGGTAGTAAGAGATTTAATTTGACAAAGTCCAGAACATCTGGGTTAACTGCAAGTTCAAGCAAGATTAACATGAGGCAAAAAGGGCTACAGCTAATAATGCGCCGCCCACACTGTTACAAGAGTCCGACCACTGTAAAGATGATTTTCCTTTCACACTCTACCTTGTTAGTTTGCTTCTAGAATGTTTATAAGGTTCACCGATACAACAGAGGGTATCTAGACGGTGAACAAAGTCCTGGACGGGGGAGTACAGTGGAAGGATGCGCTTCAAAGCCACGTCTTTAGAACAAGAGCGGAAAGAATTAGCCAAAGTTGGGCAGCATATGCTTTAAGGAGACACGAGCCTGAAATTGCTGAAAAACTGTTCTATGAAAATGGATTCGTGTAACTATAAACTTCTCCAGAAGGAAAGCAGTGCGGCTGCCTGGCTGATAGCAGGAATTCGGTTTTGGCTCCCGAAGTCAGACTTGCTAAGGGCTGACCTGCAGCCCCAGTCCCCCTCAGGTGGCCGCCAAGGAGCCACGCGTGGGCGAAGCGAAGGAAGGATTTCTGCGCCACTCGACTCCAAAAGCAACAGACTGCCTTTCTGTTTTAACTACAAATGTTGGATTCTGCTAAGCTTCATTTATAAGGCAACGTAACAGCCTTGGTATTCTTTTGGTTTTTTTTTTTTTGAGACGGAGTCTTGCTCTGTCGCCCAGGCTGGAGTGCAGTGGCCCGATCTCGGCTCACTGCAAGCTCCGCCTCCCGGGTTCACGCCATTTTCCTGCCTCAGCCTCCCGAGTAGCTGGGACTACAGGCGCCCGCCACCACGCCCGGCTAATTTTTTGTATTTTTAGTACAGACGGGGTTTCACCGTGTTAGCCAGGATGGTCTCGATCTCCTGACCTCGTGATCCGCCCGCCTCGGCCTCCCAAAGTGCTGCGATTACAGGGGTGAGCCTCTTTCGTATTTTTAAATTAAGAGTCCCAAAGTCATTCTTCTCAGACTGCCTTCTAAAAGCCCAAACAGCGAAATCAAGAGTAAAAGCGCCAAGACGGTGACCCGGGTCTAGGGGATTCCCCCCTGGAGGCCAGTCACCTCGGCGCCTTCCCCTCAAACTGCTAATCTAGGGCCGACTCCCTGCAGCCACCCCCGCAGGCGGCCCCGCAGCGACTCCGGCAAGAGGAGCCCGACCTCCGTTCCCTCGCCCCGTACGCCGGGACGGCCCTAGTCAGTCCGCACGGAAGCGCCGCGCCGCGCCGCGCGCCCGCCCCACTCACCTATCCGGTGCGGGAACCTCGCCTCCCTAGGCTCGAGTCCCGACTGGGCTTGAGGGCCCGGCTGGGCGGGATTCGGACGCGGGGGGCGGAGCCGGGACAGGGATTGACTCTGGGGTTTGCACTCAGTGCGCGCTTTGGCGGAGGGGTAGGCCAGGATCTCTAGGCTGGAAGAGACTGGATGAGGGGTGTTTTTTTGGGAGGGGAGGGGCGGGATTTGGGCAGTTCCGGGCTTGCGGGAACAAGGGGGCGGGGCGGGGGCGAGCCCGGATGTGGCCAGGGATTGGCTGTGGAGTGTGACTCACGGCGCGCGATGACGGTGGGGTCCGCCGCGATCGCGGAATGGATGGAAATGGAGGAGGGAAGGGGTGGGGGCCACGGGTTGGGCTTGAGTGAGGAAGGGGACAAGATGGAGGATGGCCTGGACGTGGCCGGGGATTGGCTATGGGTGTGGACTCAGGGAACTCCATTGGCTGTGGAGTCGGCCGGGATCACATGCTGGTTCAGGCATGCGTAGGTGCGGGCTCGAGTTAGTGGGGCGGGGACTTGGATATGGGTATGGAATTTGGCCCCAGGGCTCGAATCGGATGTATGCGACTGATCGGGTTGGGGCAGGTTATAGGACGAGGACTGGTTTGCAAGGATGGGCAAGCTGTGGGGCCGCTGGGCTTGTACAAGTGGAGGGATCGGGTTGGAATAACTTTGGAAGGTGCCTGAGAGAGGGCAGGGCTAGAGAGAGTGTGAAAAGGGGTTCCTAGATGCATTTGTCATTTGAGATGGGGGTGTGGGGTTAAAAAGCGTAAAGGAACTTCACTTTCCTGGATATGAGTTTGATCAGCAAACTAAGAATGAAAGGGACATGTGAGACTGAAGAAGGAAGAAAAATGACACTAAAAAGCGAAAAAGAAAATTCTCTAGGAAAACAAGGAAACCACTGGTGACTTCTTTGGGGAGGGCAGTGTCAGCGAAAGGAGAGTTTTTGTTAAAAATTGAATTTTATGTTTGGATATTTTTCCTCTTCTATTTTAAGAGGATGAGAGGCTAGAGGGAGTGGGAGAGGCGTTAGCATTGTTATTCAGTTCTAAAGGAGGGAACAAAAGTATACATTGATTAAAGGAATATACTCTTCAACTAGGTACAGGAAGTTTCAGAAGACGGTTAGGTGCATGGAGAAATTATTGTGTACAGGTAGGGGCGAGCCTGGATGTGGCCTGGGATTGGCTGTGGAGTGTGACTCAGCGCGCACTGGCTGTGGGGTCCCCCGCGATTGGTGATCATACTACATCTCACCTTTAGGAGGGAGGAAAAGTGCAGGGCTAAAGCTGTAATCGGCAAAGAAGCAACAATCATATTAGCTGGGGGAGGAGGAAAGGTGTAGGGCTAAAGCTGTAATCGGCAAAGAAGCAACAATCATATTAGCTGGGGGAGGAGGATAGTTTGGTATTTTTGTAGTTTGCACAGTGACCTTTTTAAAAATCTGGTTAGGCAAAAATAGTGTGATCTTGTTTGTTGTCTCACTTCATTATGATCACAGAATGACCTGGTATGATGTTAGTGTTTTATGAGAGTGTTATGTTTTAACAGGGGAACACCGCAGTCAATTCCTAACAACACTAAAGTGTCAGTTCTGTTCGTGACACCAAGGGCTGTTTTTCTTTTTCTCATATAATGTTGAGGCAACTGGGAAGAATGAGGTAGAGAAAACATGTGTCTTAAACCTTACATTCTGGTAGGGAGAGACAAGCAATAGACAAGTAAGTATAAAAAATGACTTTAGAGGGTGGTAAGTGCTATGAAAGAAGCAGTGATGGGTGGAGATAGCTGCAAATTTAAATAGGATGGTCAGGAAGTCTTTTTTGAGGAGGTGACATTAGAACTCAGAATTGAATGGTAAGGAAGCAGCCTTGCAAAAATGATTCTGGAAAGGGAAATAGGAGTTGAAAAGGCCCTGAATGTACAAAAAGGCCGTGTAAGTGAGTCCTTGAAATTACTAGCTAATAGGCCGGGTATGGTGGCTCACGCCTGTAATCCCAGCACTTTGGGAGGCCAAGGTGGGTGGGTGGATCATCAGGTCAGGAGTTCGAGACCAGCCTGACCAACATGGTGAAACCCTGTCTCTACTAAAAATACAAAAAAATTAGCCAGGGGTGGTGGTGCATGCCTGTAATCCTAGCTACTCAGGAGACTGAGGCAGGAGAACTGCTTCGACCCGGGAGGCAGAGGTTGCAGTGAGCCGAGATTGTGCCACCGTACTTCAGCCTGGGTGACAGAGTGAGACTCCATCTCAAAAAAAAAAAAAAAAAAAAAAGAAAAAGAAATTACTAGCTAATAGGTATATTGCCCTTTACCCTTTTATCTTGTTTTCTGAATACAAAAATTACCCTTATACCCTAATATTACCCTTATATTACCTTATACCCTTGTTTTCTGAATAAAAAATTACCCTTATACCCTTGTTTTCTGAATAAAAAATTATGTAGATTAGGCCTTTTTCCTTGCCTCTTCTAAAGAACTAAAAATATTTTGAAATATAACAGAGAGAAAGGGGTATAGCATAATGGATAAGCCAAATTGCCTGGTTCAAATTCCACCTCTGCGATTTTCTAGCTGTGTTACCTTGGGCAAGTTATTTCATTTCTCTGTGCTTCAGTCTCCTCAATTGTAAAAAGTGAATAATAGAACCCTACTCAGAGTGTTATTGTAAGGATTAAATGATTTAATGAATCAATCAACCAAAACAAAACCAACAATATTTAGGAGAGTACTCAGTCCTTAGTAAGTACTATAACATTGGTCGTTACGAAAAAGGGAAAGAGAAACTTTAGGATGGGGCTGCTATTTATCCCCCACTATTTGATACTCTCTTCTATTTTTTTAAAAAAACTTTTTTTGGGTCACAATCTGTTTTTAAATCTATAGTAATAGAGTCCCCAAGTTTCAGCAAAGTACATGGGTGCATTGTATAAAGAATGCATTTCCACCCTCTGTTATGGCTAGGTTGGCTGTATGACCAAATTGTGGCCAATGGCATATAAATGGGAGCTGTACGTGCAGCTGCCATGAAATGTCTTAAAGGAGTGGTAGGCCCTTCTTGTTCCCTTGGTTTGCAGTTTACCTGCCAGTTTGGGTGCATGGTACAGGTCTAAGATGCCTGCAGCCCTCTTGGACCACCATATGGAATCTACAAGTTCAAGATGATCTAGTGCAATAGAATGAGAGACAAGGATCCTGAGCCCTGACATCATGGAGCCACCACTCCAGCTCTGGACCAATTATCTATATTTGCAGATAAATAAATCAACTTCAATTTTGTTTAACTCTTTTACATTTGTTTCCTGAAGTGTAGCCACAGTTTGCCTGTAATTGTTTACTGACTACTATTCTAGTTGATTCCCAAAGGCATTCCGCTTTCCTTTTACATGGGTCTTCCAGGTGACAATAGAGGAGTGAGGGAGGAAAACAAGTTGGAAGATAGTAGCAATGCCTCATTATCTGAAAATGCTGCTGAAGAGGTATCTGTGACTTCTAGGTACTAAGAGTCAAGGAGGCAGGACTACATTTTCCTTTATCTTATAACCCTACAGTAGTACTAAGAAGGACTGCTCTAGGAAACAAGACAACTAAGTGTGGGGTTGTAAGTTCCTAAAGACTTTTCCACCTTATAATCCTGCTCTAGAGAATTATGTTCAGTTTTCAGTCTCACGTAAGTATTTTAAATGCAATATTTATGTGTGTGTATTAGAATATTAAACTAATGTTTCCTAGCCAGATAATAATAGCTATACAAACATTAGTTCAACTATTTCAAAAACCATAATAGAAATTGTACACTTAACCCATGGAAAGGCTGATCAGGGTAAATGTGTGTCTCATTTATCTGTTGTCTGTCTATTCACATACACGTTTGGCTGTATTGATAGCAACTTAACTGTTAGAATTTGTGATTTGAATCAGTCAGATAGTCTTTACAGTCTTTGAACAATTTTTAAAAAGGGAAAATGAATTTTGACTTTACAAATCAGTTTGGCGCAGAATATACATTCCTCTCATCTGCACATGGCACATACTCTAAGGTTGACCACATGCTCAACCATAACGCAATTCTCAACAAATTGCAAAAAACTGGAATAATACCAGCCACACTCTAGTACTACAGCACAATAAAAATAGAAATCAATACCCAGAAGATCTCTTAAAACTATAAATTACATGGAAATTAAACAGCCTGCTCCTGGGTGATGTTTGGGTAAACAATGAAATTAAGGCAGAAATCAAAAAAGTCTTTCAAACTAATGAAAACAAAGATACAACATATCAGAATCTCTGGAACACAGTTAAAGCAGGGGTAAGAAGAAAGTTTATAGTGCTAAACGCCTACATCAAGAAGTTAGAAAGATCTCAAATGAACAACCTAACATCACACCTACAGGAACTAGAAAAACGAGCAAATCAACTCCAGAACTAGCAAAAGAAAAGAAATGACCAAAATTGAGCAGACTGAATGAAATCGAGATGCAAAATCCATACAAAAGATCAATGAAACCAAAAGTTGTTTCTTTGGAAGAATAAGATTTAAAGACTATTAGATTAATAAGGAAAAAGAAGATCCAAATAAACACAATCAGAAATGACAAATATGACATTACCATTGACCTTACAGAAAAAAAAAATACCCAGACACTATTATGAACTCCTCTGTGCACACAAACTAGAAAACCTGGAAGAAATGGGTAAATTCCCAGAAACATATAACCTCTCAAGAATGAACTAGGAAGAAATTGAAATCCTGAACACACCAATAATGGGATCCAAGTTGAATCAGTACTAAAAAACCTACCAACAAGAAAAACCTGTGGACCAGATGGATTTACAGCCGAATTCTACCAGATGTATAAAGAAGAGCTGTCAATAATCCTACTGAAATTATTCCAGAAAAATCAAGGAGGAGGGACTCCTTACTAACCCCTGAGGGTCAGCATCAGTCTGATATCGAAACCTGGCAGAGACACAGCAAAAAAACAAAACTTCAGCCGGGCGCAGTGACCCACGCCTGTAATCCCAGCACTCTGGGAGGCCGAGGCGGGCGGATCACGAAGTCAGGAGATCGAGACCATCCTGGCTAACACGGTGAAACCCCGTGTCCACTAAAAATACAAAAAAATTAGTCGGGCGTGGTGGCGGGCGCCTGTAGTCCCAGCTACTCGGAGGCTGAGGTAGGAGAATGGCCTGAACCCGGAAGGCGGAGCTTTCAGTCAGCCGAGATCCAGGCACTGCACTCCAGCCTGGGCGACAGAGCAGGACTCCGTCTCAAAAAAAAAAAAAAGAGAAAACTAAAGGCCAACATCCCTGATGACTACAGACACAAAAGTCCTTAGCAAAATACTAACAAATCAAATCCAGCAACACCAAAAAGCTAATCCACCATAACCAATAGGCTTTATTTCTGGGATGCAAGGTTGGTTCAAAATATGCAAATTACACATAAAAACTACAATGAGATATCATCTCACCCCAGTTAAAATGGCTTACATTCAAAAGACAGGCAATAACAAATGCTGGCAAGGGTGTGGAGAAAAGGGAAACCTCGTACACTGTTGGTAGGAATGTAAATTAGTACAACTACTATGGAGAATAGCTTGGAGGTTCCTGAAAAAAAAAAAAAAAAAAAAAACACAAAACAACAAAAACTAAAAACAGAGCTACCATATCATCCAGGAATCCCACTAGTGGGTAAATACCCACAAGAAAGGAAATTAGTATATCAAAGGGATGGCTTCACCCCCATGTTTATTGCAGCAGTGTTCACAATGCTGGCCCAAAGATAGTGCTAGATGCTTCATGCCAGTTAGATCCCTAGAGCAATGTTAGGAATATTAATCAACACCAGCTTTTCTAGGTCTTTAAAGAAGGGATACTGATGAAATCCTTTGTGGGGAGTAGAGGGAGAAGATTCTATTATAAATAGCACAAGAATATAAATAATTATCAAACTCGTGAAATAATCAATATGATGTTTAATAATTGTAAACTTTCAGGGAGAAGTGTTAGGAATGGAGTTGGGATAATAAAGTGTATATAAGATGTTCATTCATTTAAAAAAATTATTTATTATATGTATATGTGCCTGGCAACCTTTCTAGACTCTACTGATGCTGTGAGGAACAAAAAAGACAAAGACCCTGCCCACTGGACCTTATTTTCTAGTAGGGAGGGGAGACAGGCAGTAAGTTTGAACAAACTCATCAGTAATGTAAGGTAGTGATTAAATATTGTGAGGAAAAATAAAAATTCTGGCCACTAGATGGTGCTCATTGCTTTCTTAATTTCTTTCACTTACCCAGTTCATTCAACTGGGTAGGGATGCTGACTGCATGTTGCTCTATTAAAGTTGTGTTTGGGGCCAGGTGCAGTGGCTCATAACTGTAATCCCAGCACTTTGGGAAGCCGAAGTGGGAGGATCGCTTGAGCCCAGGAGTTCAAGATCAGCCTGGGCAACATAGCCAGGGCTCATATCTATTATTATTATTATTATTATTATTATTTTGAAGTTGTGTTTGGGTCAAAGTAATAGGTTCTTTCTTTTCCCGTCTCCCTTCTCCCAATTTTGATTTGTTTAAATTTGTTTTTTATTTTTTAGAGACAGGGTCTCATTGCTGTGTTGCCTAGGCTGGAGTGCAGTGGTGGGATCATAGCTCATGGCAGCCTCGAACTCCTGGGCTCAAGCAGTCCTCCTGCCTCAGCCTTCCAAAGTGCTGAGATTACATGCGTATGCCACCATGCTCAGCTTCCTTAGAGATTTCCAAGGATTTTTTTTGTTTTGTTTTTTGTTTTGTTTTTGTTTTTCTTAAGAGGCAGGTCTTGCTCTGTTGCCCAGGCTGGTCTCGACTTCCTGGCCTTATGCAATCCTCCCTCCTTAGCTTCTCGAGTACCTGGGACTATAGGCACACACTACCATGCCCTACTGGATTTCTCTCTTTCTTTCCTCCCTCCCTCCCTCCTTCCCTCCCTTCCTTCCTTCGTTCCTTCCTTCCTTCCTTCCTTTCCTTCTTTTCTTTCTCTCTTTCTTTCTTTTCTCTAATTAACTGATAAGGTGAAATAGGGCTAAGACATACTAAAGAGCTGTGTGAACTATCTTGTTATAGGGGGATTAGATTAACTCCTTCCTAAATCATAGATGTGCTCTCCCCTCAATTTCCTGGGTATTTAATTTTCTTTCATTTGTTTAATATATGTATTCAGCATAGACTTTAAGCTCTTTAAGAGAGAAACACAACCATGTTTCCTAGTCCTTGGCGGAGAATCTTGTAGATAACAACTATCTTGAATGAATAAATTCCTCTAGCCTAAGCAATTGCTGTTTTCTATGTAGTCTTACCTAACTTCCTAAAAGGACTGTTTTAGAGTTAGACTGGGGGGGAAATCTATATAATAAAACATGGGAGAACATTAAAGTTAGTCTTTGTTAAGGCTAACTCTAGAAAGAAGGTCTTGAGCCTTCTTTTCTATTGTGAGTAGAAGGAGCATTATAAGAACTACAGGGTGATGGAATCTAAGGAGATACAGGAATTGTGATCCATCCTGACAGTCTCTTGGTCTTAGAGTAGTTTTAATATACAGATCCTGTTCATGCTTTGTTAGATTTATATCTATTTGTTTCCTTTTTTTGTAGCTATTGTAAATAGTATCATTTTTAAAATTTTGGTTTCCAGTTTTTCTTTGCTTATATATAGAAACTGTTGAAGGTTGATTTTTGTGTGCTGACCTTGTATCTTTTGACTGTATTAAATTCATTTATTAGTTCTAAGAGTTTTATTGTAGATTACCTGGGATTTTCTACATAGGCAATAATGTTGCCTGCAAATAAGGACAGTTTTATTTGATGCTTTCTGATCTATATGCCTTTTATATCCTTTTCTTCCCAAATTGCACTAACACTTCCATTGTACTAACAATTCCGATGTAATGTTGAATGGGAGTGGTGAGAGTGAACATTCTTGTGTTGTTCCTAGATCTGAGGGGCAAAAGATTCAGTGTTTCATCAAGTATGATGTTAGCTGTAGAGTTTTTGCAGATGCCCTTGATCGGTTTGAAGAAGTTCATTTCCACTCCTATTTGCTGAGTTTTCATATGAATGACTGTCATATTTTATCAAGCTTTTTCTTTATCTATTTATATAACCATGTGATTTTTTTTCCTTCTTTAGACTTTTAGTGTGGTGAATTACACTAGTTGATTTTTGAACTGCTTTACATCCACAGGATGAATCCCACTTGATTGGTGTGCATTATTTTTCTATATTGCTGGATTTGATTTGTTAATAGTTTGTAGAGGATTTTTGCATCTATGTTTATGAGGGATAATGGTCTGTAGTTTACTTTTGTACTGTATTTGTTTAATTTTGTTATCAGGATGATGCTGTGCTCATAGAATGAATTGGGAAATGTTCCCTTTTATATTTTCTGAAAGAAATTATTAAGAATTGGAATTATTTAAAAAATGCTTAGTAAGGTTTGCCAGTCAAGAGGAACTATCTGGATGTGGAGATTTGTTTTTCAGATTCTTAACTTTTTTACTCCATTTCAGTTTCTTTAGAAATTATATGACAGTTCAGGTTATCTATTTTAACTTGGGTGAGTTTTAGTTGCTTGTTTGTGCTTTTTTCAGAAATTAGTCCATTTGAGTTGCAGAAGTTATACACATAGAGTTGTCAGAATGTTGAAATGTTGATTTTTAGTTTTACTATTTAATGCATCAAAGATTAAAAGTATTTCTTAAATCTTGATGTTTTTTAAAATTTTTTTGGTAGAAACACTTTATTTGGCTTTGTTGATTCTTGAGCCTGGTCATTTGTAAGACTGATTGGACAGGTTTCACTGAGGGATTTCTGCCTTTTTTTTTCTTTTTTTTTGTCAGGATCTCAGTGTTTGATGTGCTCCTTCCCTGTGGATCAGAGGAGCTTGTATTTCCTTTCACTAAACTCAGAGAAGGAAAACTAGCAACTTATTACTTAAACAAGAGAAGAAATACTTCTGTAAACTGAAAATATTTTTGGCACAGAGACACATACCATACAGGCCAGCAATTTTAGGCCTTAAGCTATGGTAGCTTCAGCAAACAGGAAATGAATAAGGGAAACCTGAAGCACCTTGTCATACAGATAGTGAGAAGGCTACAGGGTCATTCCAAAAGGATTCCAGAGCCAACTTATTCAGGCTCCCAATGGCCAGTACTCCTGGTTGTAGATCCAGGAACAATGCAAGAAAATCATAGCATTGCATTGCCATTTTCTTGTCATTGTTGCACTCAATGACACTCTCAGACCTACTATGTCAGAAAGTCAGAGGAAGGGTAGGGGCCAGGGAATCTTTATACTTAATAAGGTGATTTTAATGCATATCAGGATTGAGGAGCACTGGTGAAAGCAACATGCCTCCTTGGACAGTGAGCTTTATTTGATTCCTGGAGATATTAAAGAAAAGCACTAAATCAGAAGTCAGATGATATGGATTTGGGTCAGGACATTGATGCTACCAAACTAAGGAGGAAGTAACTTAATTTTGCTGAGTTTATAGTAGCCTTGAATGATCTTTTGTATTTCAGTGGTGTCAGGTTTAATACCTCCTGTTTTGTTTGTTAGTGAAGTTATTTGGATTTTCTCTCTTCTTTTCTTAGTTAATCTTGCTAATGGTCTATCAATGTTATTTTTCTTTTCAAAGAACCAGCTTTTTGTTTCATTTATCTTTTGTAGTTTTTTTCAATTTCATTTATTTCTCTGATCTTGGTTATTTCCTTTCTTCTGGTGGGTTTGGGTTTGGGTTTGGTTTGTTCTTGTTTCTCTAGTTCTTTGAGGTGTGAACTTAGATTGTCTGTTTGTGCACTTTCAGACTTTTTGATGTAGGTGTTTAGGGCTATGAACTTTCTTCTTAGCACTGCCTTTGCTGTATCCCAGAGGTTTTGATAGGTTGTGTCATTATTGTCATTCAGTTTGAAGAATTTTTTAATTTCCATCTTGATTTTGTTTTTGACCCAATGCTCATTCAGGAGCAGGTTATTTAATTTCCATGTATTTGCATGGTTTTGAAGATTCCCTTTGGAGTTGATTTCCAGTTTTATTCCACTGTGGTCCGATAGTGTGTTTGATATAATTTTAATTTTCTTAAATTTATTGAGGCTCATTTTATGGCCTATCATGTGGTCCATTTTGGAGAAAGTTCCATGCACGGTTGAATAGAATGTGTATTGTGAGGTTGTTGGAAGAAATTTTCTGTATGTATCTGTTAAGTCCATTTGTTCCAAAGTATAGTTAATCCATTGTTTATTTGTTGATTTTCTGTCTTAATGACCTGTCTAGTGTTGTCAGTGGAGTATTGAAGTCCTCCAGCATTATTGTATTGCAGTCTATCTCATTTCTTAGGTCTATTAGTAATTATTTTATAAATTTGGGAGCTCCAGTGTTAGGTGCATATATGTTTAGGATTGTGATATTTTCCTGTTGGACAAGCCTTTTATCATTATATAATGTCCCTCTTTGTCTCTTTTAACCACTGTTGCTTTAAAGTTTGTTTTGTCTGATATAAGAATAGTTACCTCTGGTCGCTTTTGGTGTCCATTTGCATGAAATGGCTTTTTCCACCCATTTACTTTAACTTTATGTGAGTCCTTATGTGTTCGGTGAGTCTCCTGAAGACAGTGGATAGTTGATTGGTGAGTTCTTATCTGTTCTGCAGTTCTGTATCTTTTAAGTGGAGCATTTAGGTGATTTACATTCAATGTTAGTATTGAAATGTGAGGTAATCCTTGCGTTCATCGTACTCTTTGTTGCCTGTGTACTTTGTTATTTTTTTGTTTTTGTTTTTTGCTTTTGCTTTTTACCTTGTATTTTTGTTTTGTAGGTCCTGTATGATTTATGCTTTAAAGAGGTTCTGTTTTGGTGTGTTTCCAGGCTTCGTTTCAAGATTTAGACCTCCTTTTAGCAGTTCTTATAGTGGTGGCTTGGTAATGGTGAATTCTCTCAGCAATTTTGTCTGAAAATGACTGTTTCTTTCCTTTACGTTTGATGCTTAGTTTTGCTGGAAACAGAATTCTTGGCTGATAATTGTTTTGTTTGAAGAGGCTAAAGATAGGGCCGCATTGCCTTCTGGCTTGTACGGTTTCTGCTGAGAAATCTGCTAGGTTAGTCTGATATGTTTTCCTTTATAGGTTACCTGGTGCTTCTGTCTCACAGCTCTTAAGATTTTTTTCCTTCATCTTAACTTTGGATAACCTGATGACAATGTGCCTAGGTGAAGATCTTTTTGTGATGAATTTCCCAGGTATTCTTTGTGCTTCTTATATTTGCATGTGTAGGTCTCTAGCTAGGTTGGGGAAGTTTTCCTCAATTATTCCCCCAAATATGTTTTCCAAGCTTTTAGAATTCTCTTCTTCCCCAGGAACACCCATTATTCTTAGGTTTGGTCATTTAACATGATCCCAGACTTCTTGGAGGATTTGTTCATATTTTCGTATTCTTTTTTCTTTGTCTTTGTTGGATTGGGTTAATTCAAAGACCTTGTCTTTGAGCTCTGAATTTCTTTCTTGTACTTGTTCAATTCTGTTGCTGAGACTTTCCAAAGCATTTTGCATTTCTAAAAGCGTGTCCAAAGTTTCCTGAATTGTGGATTGTTTTCCTTTAAGCTGTCTATTTCATTGAATATTTATCCCTTCACTTCTTGTATCATTTTTTTGGATTTCCTTGCATTGGGCTTCACCTTTCTCTGGTCCTTCCCTGATTAGCTTAGTAACTAACCTCCTGAATTCTTTTTCAGATAAATCGGGATTTCTTCTTGGTTTGGATCCATTGCTGGTGAACCAGGATGATTTTTGGGGGGTGTTGAAGGGCCTTGTTTTGTCATATAACCAGAGTTGGTTTTCTGGTTCCTTCTCATTTGGGTAGGCTCTGTCAGAGAGAAGGTCTAAGGCTGAAGGCTGTTGTTCAGATTCTTTTGTCCCATGGGGTGTTCCCCTGATGTAGTACTCTCCCCCTTTTCCTATGGGTATGGCTTCCTGTGAGCCAAACTGCAGTGATTGTCGTCTCTCTTCTGAGTCTAGCCAGCCAGTGTGTCTGCCCAGCTCTGGGCTGGTATTGGGGGTTTTCTGTACAGAGTCCTGTGATGTGGACCATCTATGGGTCTCTGAGCCATGGATACTAAGGGAAGAAAACACCCCTCATATTGTCTTATGCCCAATTTCTGCCTCCAAAGAAAGAAGAAGTAAAAATTAAAAGGCAGAAATGAAATCCACAAGCAGACAGTTCAGCGCCACACCCTGGGCCTGGTAATTAAAGATTGACCCCTGACCTAATTGGTTATGCTATCTACAGATTACAGACATTGTATAGAAAAGCACTGTGAAAATCCCTGTCCTGTTCTGTTCCGTTCCGTTCTAATTACCAGTGCATGTAGCCCGCAGTCATGTACCCCCTGCTTGCTCAATCAATCACGACCCTCTCACGTGGACCCCCTTAGAGTTGTGAGCCCTTAAAAGGGACAGGAATTGCTCACTCAGGGAGCTCGGTTGTTGGAGACGTGAGTCTTACCAAAGCTCCTGGCTGAATAAAGCCCTTCCTTCTTTAACTCAGTGTCTGAGGGGTTTTGTTGGTGGCTTGTCCTCCTACAATACCAGTGCCTGTTCCAGTGGAGGTGGTGGAGGGTGAAATGGACTTCATGAGGGTCCTTGGTTTTGGTGGTTTAATGCTCTATTTTTGTGCTGGTTGGCCTCCTGAAAGGAGGTGGCACTTTCCAGAAAGTATCAGTGGGAGAGGGACTGGTGGTGGGCAGGGTCCTAGAACTCCCAAGATTAAATGACCTTTGTCTTCAGCTACCAGGGTGGATGGAGAAGGACCATCAGGTCAGGGCGGGGCTAGGAGTGTCTGAGCTCAGACTCTCCATGGCTGGATCTTGCTATGGCTGCTGTGGGGGATGGGGGTGAGATTCCCAGGTCACTGGAGTTGTGTACCTAGGAGGATTATGGCTGCCTCTCCTGAGTCATGCAGGTTGTCAGGGGAGTGGGAGAAGCTGGCAGTCACAGGCCTCACCCAGCTCCGATGCAAACTGGAAGGCCGGTCTCACTCCCACTGTGCCCTTCTCCCTGCCAACAGCTCTGAGTCTGTTTCCAGGCAGAGGGCAAGAGGGGCGGGCTTAAAATTTGGCTGAGGCTTTCTGCTCAGCCAAAAAGAAAAGGACTTTAGTTCTTCACCAGCCTGTGAAGTTTGCATGCTGGATTTGTGCCCTCCCCGAGTTCTGGCAGGAGGCTTCTCGCCCCATTCAAATTGTTACAAAGTTTGGTTGGAGAATTTCTTCTTTCTGTGGAGTTTTACCTGTTGCTCCTCTGGCTGACCTCCCGATAGATCCCTGTGGTGCCAGGCAGGAATGGCCTGCCTGGGGACACAGTGAGCTCCCAGGGCCTTCCAACTGCTTCCTCTACCCCTGTATTTTGCTCGGCTCTCTAACTTGACTCAGCTTCAGGTAAAGTCGGAAACTCCTCCTGCACACAAACCTTCAGCTTCTCCAGTGGGGGTGTGTGTTCCAGAGAGGAGGGTCTCCCTTTCCCACTTCTGCAGTTGGGGCAGTCAGAATATTTGGAGTGTTTCCTGGGTCCTGCAGGAGCAGTCTGCCTCCTTCAGAGGGTCTGTGGGTCCTCTTGGGATTCATCGTGTAATATTTTGAAACACTACATAATTATTTCAAGATTCTAACATATACAATCTAATCCTTATGATTCTTATAAATGTAAGTAAAATAAGGCAGATATAAAATGAAACTTTGACCAATGTTTCTATAAACAAAGGTCTGCAAACTATAGCTTGTGTGTGCCACCTGGTTTTGAAAATTAAGTGTTATTGGCACATAGCCCCACCCATTTACTTATGTATTGTCTATGGCTGCATTTGTACTGTATGCAGAGTTTAGTAGTTGAGACAGTTGACCTGCAAAGCCATAAATAATCACTATCTGGTATTTTACAGAAAAGTTAGCCAACCACTGCTATAAAGACTCAAACCTTATTATTTGGTGAAAAACTAAAAAAAAAAAAATGGAAATAAAAAAACTAGTGAAACTTATTTTATTTCTAGTTTAGTTTATTTCTAGTTCAAAAATAATCTGTAATTGCTGTAAGAAATGTCAACCACTTACCTAGGATGTTTGACAATTGGGATGAAGTCTACATATACTAAGTAATGGCAAGACAATTATTTTATTGCTCAAAAGAAAGTCAAAAAAATTCCATATTCCCTTTGGGGAAAATTGGCAGGATTTCAAGTATGACCTTTAAGAATCAGGAAAAGACTAACTTATGCTTTAGGATTAAAACAATCAAATAATTAAATTAGTTCAATTTTCTAACATAGTCTCTATCTTCAGTTAAAGTGCATCATTGCATGTTATACATTACTAAAATTACACAGTGCATAATTGTTACCATGTGACTATTTAATTCAGGGTCAACTGTCTAAAGGTCTCAGGTGTCACATTAAGGTTATAATCTAGATGAATTGAACAAGAAAGAAAAGATTTCTTCATTAGCCAATTTGTTTATGATTCAATTCCTACTCTTGCTAATGATTTCTTTACCTTCCTATGGAAAATATAAGATTCTAGATCTCTGTATAAGATGGTTTGCTTTAGCTTGAGATCCATCAGTGAGAATTATCCATGGGCAATGTCCAGAAATCACATTATTGCTCATAGACCTTGTAGCCTTGATATAATGGAGAACTGTACACTGTCTTCCCTAGGAAGCTAGGATGGTTGTTTCTGATATTGGGACCCATTGTACACTTGGCCAAACCAGTGCCCAAATATGTCCCAAGATTTTTACCTAAGACTTTCCTCAGTATCCACTGGTCGTCTGGAAGAATAAACTTCTGAGTGGTGGCAACTCATGATCCCTCCTCTGTTGGTACAGAGGTAAATGCATCTTTGTTGCACAATTTACAATCTTTTTAAGGAAAAAACATGATTTTGATCATTGAACTGCATGTTCTTGTAAACTTTTAGTGTTATGATGCAAGATCTAATTATTATCAAATATAGTGACACTTGTTCCAAATTCTAAAATTGTTTCAGTTATGCCTTGGGTTAGGATGACAGAAAAGCTCTGTTGTTTAGATCTTTAGCTTATGCGACATATATCTCTTGGTTTTTTTTTTCAGGGTCTTCTGTAGCTTTTGTATCTCATTTTGAAGTTGGGTACTTTCACCTTGGCATCTCTCCTTTAGTACTCGGGCCTGTTCCTAAAAAGGGACAAATGGAGGCTAAATAAGTGTAGCATTAAGTAAATCTCTGTAAGCTATCTAGTTTCCACATGCATTGATTTATTTAGTACTTAGTTTTTTTCTTGAAATTTTCTCTACCCTTGATTTTAATTATAGTTTTTCTGGGCATTTGGGCTGTGTGATTATTTCTCCTGGGTTTTCTATAGCCAAAAGAGTTTCAGCGTATGCCTTCTGCTCTATTGATGAAGGTCTTGCTTTTTTCCCCCTATTAATTATACAAAACCTTTGTGGGAAATCTTAACAATATATTTGACTTCAAATCTTCCCTATGCATTATAGACTTTTTAACACACCTACCTACACACATATTATTATTATATACACATAATACAGAGATAAGTTACTCTCAAAATCTGATTAGGTATATGAATCTTAGATCAGGAAATTTGATCTAAGTCTCTACTCCCTGTTGGCAGGGGTAGCAGAAGATAGGCAAGGAAATCCGAGTGCCAGACTTACCATATAGAATTTCTGCACATAGCTCCCAACTCAACACAAACTGTGAGTAGGGCACAGAAAACAGGCAGGAGTGGTAGACTGCCCTACAGGTGTGAGGGTTAGGGAGTCCTTCTGCTCATAAAAGTTCTCTTAGAGCCAAAGTCATACTAGATGGGATAGAAAAAATATTACTATGGATTCCACTAAGTGATGAAGATGGGTCAGATATTTACTAGCTGTGTGACACTATAAAAGTTATTTAATATTTTCTGAACCTCTGTTTCCTCTCCTAAGTAATAGGGATAAAGTTCTCGCTTCATATGGTATTAAGCAAGAGATATAGATAAGGCATTTTTATGATGCCTAGCATATGACAGCCGTAAGTGGAAGGATACACTAAAACGGGACTGAATGTGACACCCTGCAAATAAACTTTTAGTGACCACATGTAGGCAGTGGCCATTTCAAGTCAGACAGACAGAAACAAGAAAGTACAAGTGAGCAAGCAAAATCCTTCCCCTGGGCTTTATGTTCGCTCTGCCATACTAAGTTTGTGATCAGGAAGAACAGAGAGAAAACAGAAAAACGAACCACAAGGTGATGCATTTGGATACCTGAAGTTTACTAGTGAGGGTCTTCTCTTGCTCTTCCAGCAACTGGGCCCTCTCCCTCTCCATCTTCTCAGTCAATTGTTTCACATGTTCTTGATAACTCTTCTCTTTCTCTTCCATCATCTGCTGATACTTTATTTGCATTTCCTCCACCATTTTTGCTGAAGCCTGTGCAGATTCAGCTTTTACACATTCCACTGTGGAGGAAGAAGAAACATTTGTGTGGAGTTATCTTGTTGCCTCATTCTTAGTTATACACTTACCCTCCATTGTTGCTGCTGACTGCATATGCCCTACTCAGAGATGACCTCAACAAGTAAGACATGTCTTGCTTTAGTTTATGGAACTTAGGTTTATCCAGTCAAATTATTTAAAATTTTAAAATTTGAAAAATTATTTAAAATTTGAAAAGCTTTAGGATAATCTGATCCTTTGACTTGCTCCTCACCTTCAATCTCCTTTTCCTTTTCTGTGAGAATCTGGTCTGTCTGTAGAATTGCATCGGTCACAGACTCCTTGGATTTCAAGTATGTCTGCAGAATCTCTTCAGCCTTAGGACCCAGAGAACACAGAGTGAGAAGTAGGAAATGGCTGTAAGCAGGTTTTCCTGTTCTTCTGCCCACCATCTTTTCTTCTGAGAATTCTTCCTCTTGGCCCTGGTGTGCCTGGTGGTCAAGATTCCCTATCACAGGGCCAGATACATGCTCCAAGCTGGCCAATCAGATGACCCTACTTAGCAGAGTCTTATTTAGGAGGATGATACAGATACTGGGAAATAAGATTCCCTGTCCTTTTCAAATTGAGGGCTCTAAATTTGATGCTGTGGTTCCATATGGGCTGAGCTGACTGGAGAATGAAGCCCTCCTTGAGAGAGCAAATCAGAGTGATTCAGATAGAGGGAGGAAGAGAGGGAGAGAACTGTGGGGATGCAGGGAGGATATCAGGCAGAGAGACAGATCATGACATTATTTGAAATCTTGGATCCAGATGTCCTTTAAATCCAGTTTGAAACCTAAAACGATGAATTACCATTTTTTTTAAGCAACCATCATTGGGTTTCTGTCTCTTGGAACAGAAAAAAATCCAGCTGTAATGATCATGACAACAACGTGGTGGTTAATCTGATAATTGAATTTATAACTCAATAGTTAATTGACTGCACTCTCTAATTAATTAACTAATTTTTTTTTTTTTTTTGAGACAGAGTCTTGCTCTATTGCCAGGCTGGAGTGCAGTGGCGTGATCTTGGCACACTGCAACCTCCGCCTCCTGGGTTCAAGTGATTCTCCTGCCTCAGCCTCCTGAGTAGCTGGAATTACAGGCGCCTGCCACCACGCTCAGCTAATTTTTGTATTTTTAGTAGAGACGGGGTTTCACCATGTTGGCCAGGATGGTCTTGATCTCCTGACCTTGTGATCTGCCTGCCTCAGCCTCCCAAAGTGCTGGGATTACAGGCGTGAGCCACTGCGCCCGGCCTAGTTAACTAGTATTTGAAAGACAGGGTCTGGCTCTGTTGCCCAGGCCAGAGTGCTGAGGTGCAATCTTGGCTCACTGAACCTCCCGGGCTCAAGCAATTCTCCTGCCTCAGCCTTCTGAGTAGCTGGGACTACAGGCATGTGCAACAGTGCCCAGCTAATTTTTATATTCTTACTAGAGACATGTTTCACCATGTTGCTCAGGCTGGTCTTAAACTCCTGAGCTCAAGCAATCTGCCTGCCTCTGCCCTCAAAGTGTTAGGATTACAGGCTTGAGCCACCGCACCCGCCGACTGCACTCTCTTTGATGAGCACCTGGGACATACCTGATATAACAGTCTCCCTCCCTGCATATGTTATTGAATGAAAGCATGAATGTTATACAGACAAAAAAGCACATCTGTGTGCAGTGAAGCTTGGTCACTTTGGTGTTCGTAGGAGGTAGGTCAGCAGGTTTCCATAATCGACAGATGAATCTTGGTTACCTGTATCCCCTTCCTTGGTTCCTCATAGTACTTTTTCTCCAGGTCTTGTAGCTTCTGAATAAAGAGACAATAGCCCCCTGGTTTCGAATAAATTCCCGCCTTCACTTCTTCTTCTAGAGGACTGAAAATGACCTGAAGTAAAGCTGAGCAACGATCTGATGATGCTTCTTGATTCTGTTTACAAAAGTCATCCCGCTTTTTGTCTAGCTGGGCCTTTAATGTAAAAATAGGAAGTAAAAAGAGTAACAGGGAAAGGATGTTAGCTTGACCTCAGAATTTTGGGAAAGACTTCCGAAAATAAACAGTCAATGATGCCGGAGAAACTGACAGACTCCTCAGCAGGACCACGCTCTTACTCCTGACCCCACTTTCTACTGAAATCGCTTTCTCTTTAGAGGTGAGGTTCAGGGCTGAGATTGACAGCTTTATGTCAACTGTTAGAGGAAAGCTCTGCTTTTGCATATTGGACTAATGATTTCATATGGAATAAATGTGGCTGAACAGAAGCCTGCTCAAGATAACTAAGATGAAAATTTTCTTTGCATTTGGCTAGAATATCAAATCAGTCTGAGAAGAGTGGGCATGTAATTTGATTAGAAGCCCTGATTGTCAGTTATATGAATTTAATAAAGGGAAGACCATTTATTGATAAGCAATGTTTTTAAACTTTGAGTCTGAAGTAATAAAATTGTTTTTGTCTGATTATTATGATTACCAAGAACTAGTTGTCACCATTTTAAAATCTAGAATAATTATTTGTCTCAAAATAAATACCAATTTCATTTCTTAGTAGTACTTTGCCTTCCAAAATCCAAATCCATGTAAATGTGATAGAAAAATTACCGCTAATTTCTTTTGAAACAGATGGTCCACATCCTTGAAAGAGTTCTTCATATAGACTTCAGTGGCCTCCCTCTCACTAACCCTGTGCAGGTCCAGCAGCTCCTGGAGGGTTTCTGCGGGCAGCTGCACCTTCTGGCCCATCTGCTGGTCATAGTGGGCAATAGCCTTTTGCACTGCGGCTGAGTTCTCTATCTGGGCCAAGGCCAGGACTGCGTTCTCCATGCAGGGCAGATCCCCTCTGCTGATAGCATTGATATAGGTCAGCACTAGGCTCTCTAGACCTACATACAAAGAAGAAATGATAATGTTTCTTGTACTAAAGAAAACTCTCTATTCTGTGTAATTCTGAACATGTCAATTTCCACCTATTTTCCTCACAGCATCAAGGTCCTCAGAATCATCTGGAAGCTTGCTGGAAATGCCTATTGTTAGCCTCTGTCCCAGATCTACTGAATTAGAGTTTTTTCTTTGGGTAAGATCCCTAGATGATATGTATGCATATCAACATTTGAGAATCCTTGTTCTAGATGACCTAGTCCTGTGTTAGTTGAATGTTTGCATCCATTTCAACCCCAAGCACCATCAGGAAAGGAACCCATAGCTATTCCATATATGACTGTATCCTCAGCTTATTCACAGTAGCATTTGATCAATACTTATGGAACAAATGATACTCTCCTAATCAAAAGGAGCCCTCCGTTTGGTTTATTTTAGCACAGCATTGTCCAAGAAAACTTTCTGTAATGGTGGAAGTGTTCTGTATGTGCTGTTCAGTATGCTAGCCACTAAGTACATGTAAATATAAGCCTTTGAAATATAGCCATGTGAATTGACCTTTAATTTTTCCTTATTTTAATTAATTTACATTTACATTTAGATAGCCCCACTTGTCTAGTGGCTACTGTACTGTACAGTGCAGGCCCAGTTTACTGTGGCAATTTTAAGTAATAAAACTTTTTTCCTTTGCTTTTCCTATCTTTTCCCACCAAGAAGGTTGACCAACAAAATCTATTAGAAATGTTGGTGTCATCTAGAATTTAGCACAAATGTAGCAGTAGATTGGGATTTTTCAATGCTGATACTAGGTGGAGTTATTCTATGCTCCTTTCATATTTTTTTTTTCCTCTGTCACCCAGGCTGGAGTGCAGTGGCGTGATCTCGTCTCACTGCAACCTCTGCCTCCCAGGTTCAAGCAATTCTCCTGCCTCAGCCTCCCAAGTAGCTGGGATTACAGGTATGTGCCACCATGCCTCATTTATTTTTGTATTTTTAGTAGAGACATGGTTTTGCCATGTGGGCTAGGTTGGTCTCAAACTCCTGGCCTCAAGTGATCTGCCCTCCTCGGCCTCCCAAAGTGCTGGGATTACAGGCATGAACCATCATGCCTGGCCATCCTTTAGTTTTAACAATGAGTGGAAGTACTACGAAGGGGACTTACGAGGCCCATTGACCTTGATGCCTCCTGAAAGAGTTTTAGTTTTGGAATTGCTAAAGATGTAGGAACAGAAGTCTGCTACTTGTTGCACAAATTCAGGGTCCAGCTCTTCATCTTGTAGTTTCTCAAGCTGGGCAAGCTTCCTGCGGTGAATGGGCAGATCGAAGACAAAACATTTTTTCTTTGGGAAGAACTTCCGGATACAGAGTCGGGGCAGATTAAAATTTTTATCTTTTTGACTGGTACCTAGAGAAACATAATAAAGAAATTTGCCTAATATAAGTGTTTCCGTAAAGCGTCAAATAGTAAATATTTTAGGCTCTGCAGGCTAGGTGGTCTCTTTTCCAAGTACTCAACTTTGTTATTGGAGCATGACAACAGCTTTAGACAATATGTAAATGAATGGGCATAGCATTCTTCCCAAAAAACCTCACTTAGAAAGACAGCTGGCAGGCAGAATTGGCCATCATTTGTCTTAGGCTGCAGTTCGCCAGCATTTGGACTAGTACACTGTTCATGTTCAATCTATGTTCTTTAAGTAAATATCCATTGTCCTTCATATTTTACAGGTAAATACAGAATCACGAACCCTACATAAGGAGATAAAATTTACCTAAATTGTAAAATAGGAAAAAATGAAAGAAAAAGAAACTTATTTTAGAACACAGGAGAATATAATTTAAAATCTAATCTATTAATTTAGATATTCAGCAAGCATTCATTCCTTTTTTCCTTTTTTCAAAAAACCTTTTCTATTGCTAATAGCAAGCATTAATTCTTAAGAATAGCAAGCTAGAGATATAGAAAACTGTAAATGTGAGAAAACTATCAATAGTAAACTAAAAAATGATAATTTCTAGTGTTTTGTCGTCCTCATTTATCAATGGTACGTCTCTGTTACCTTGCGTTAGCTTCAGGGAATACTCCAGGTACTCATCTGGTGTGAGGGGTTGTCCATCTGCTTCCAAGTCCAGGGAGAAATCTCTCAGTGTCCACACAAAATCTGGGAAGAAGCTCACAAAGTCAGCTGAATCCTCATTCTCATTCTCATCAGGTGAGGATTTTGATCGGATTCGATGTGTCAGCTCTGTCACATAGCTGAGTAGCTAACTAAGGAAATGTGACAAAATGAACAGGAACCTCATCCCATATTAGTTCAACACATTCCCAAACCTTCCATTTTCCTTTGATCCTAACCTAAGTGTCAATTCTAAAGTGGATACATGGGATCTCTCCTCTGTACTTGCATTATTTTTTGTTTTCTCCTTTTGAGCTTGATTCATCAGGATTCACAGTCAGGCAGCTGGTTTATGAATACAGGTGTCCCCTCTGACCTTGGTGCTGTTCTGGGTCACAAAAGGATACTACAGTTGGTCCATAGCCTGCTGGTTGATGGTTCCCATGCTATTGTACACGAGAGTGCTGCTCAGGAGGACGGCCAGGGTGAAGATCCAGGAGTCATTCTGGTTGTCACCCTGGAAGTCAAGACACACTGGAGTCAGGAGCAAGTTTCATCATCACAGCACTTTCCAGAGTGACAGTAGTAAAAGTATATCATAAGTTAGAGTTTTCTTTTAAGACTAATGACCTATGAAAAGAACCCAAATCCAAACAAAATGATTGTTACTCAGCTGTGGAATGTGTATAGTTTTTTGATTAGTGTTTTTTGGTATACACTGATTCTCACCAGGTCCTCTTATGATCATTGGCAGACAATTGCAAAATAAACATTCAAGGTTAATGGGCATTCTAAGGCCTGAAGTATAATTTAAACTTGCTCAGGCTACTGAATTATAAGTTCTTTGCAGGATAGGACTCGTGACATTGGATTTATTTGTGCTCCCTTTATGCATCTGTGTTAACTCACATAGCTTACAACCTATGGTTAGTAGAATACTGTGTGTTGACCACCATGCTTTGCTAGGATTCTGTCTTATGAATATTTTTCTCACTTCTGGTTGCTAAGTTTGGCCTTATGACATGTACACAGAAATGAAAAGACAAATTATAGTTAAATGCAAACTCTTCTTTAAGAAAAAACTAAATGGTGCTTAAAATATTCAGAGATGAGGGGCTTATTTCAAAATTGAATCTTTGACCCTTACCTTCTTTACATCTCCCAGGCCCTCAGTGTCAAGCAGGACTAAGGTGTGTTCTGGCTTTTTGGGGTGAGGCACACACCACATCCAGATTCCTTTGGTGTGAGATTTCACTGTGGAGCCCAGAGAGAAGCCTGTAAAGGAGAGATGGGATAAGAAGGGCTGGAGGTTTAATAGCAGGTACTTCAGGAAATTGAGGCAAATGTAGCATCATGATTAATGTTAAGAGAGATAACCAAAACCACAATCAGTACTTACGTTACTTATAATCAGAAAAATAGAAAAATTTGAATATCCAGTACATAAATGGATTCAGGACCTTTCATGATAAAAACAATCAACAAATTAGAAATAGAAAAAAACTGAGGAAGGAGAATCACTTGAACCCAGGAGGCGGAGGTTGCAGTGAGCTGAGATAGCACCACTGCACTCCAGCCTGGGCAACAGAGCGAGACTCTTGTCTTAAAAAAAAAAAAAAAAAAAAAAGAGGGATAGAGAAACAGAAAAAAATTACCTCAACAAAACAAAGGACATACATGAAAAATCCACAGCCTGCTTCATACTCAATGGTGAAGACTGAAAATTTTCCTCTAATATGGGAACAAGGAAAAGATGCCCACTTTTGCCACTTCTTTTCCACAAAGTACTAGAGGTCCTATCCAGAGTAATTAGGTGAGAAAAGGAAACAGAAAGCATCTAAATTGGAAAGGAAGATGTAAAATAATCTCTATTTACTGATGATATGATCTCTGCAGAAAACTTTAAATATTACACAGAACTGTTAGAACTAATAAAAAGAATTCAGCAAAGTTGCAGCATACAAAATTAACATGCAGAAATCTGTTGCATTTGTATACAGTAGCAAAGAACAATCCACAAAGGAAATTTTGAAAGCAATCCCATTTAACATACCACCAAAAGGGCAAACTACTTCAGAATAAAATTGGCCAGGCACAGTGGCTCACGCCTGTAATCCCAGCACTTTGGGAGGCTGAGGCAGGTGATCACAAGGTCAGCAGATCGAGACCATCTGGCCAATGTGGTGAAACCCTGTCTCTACTAAAACTACACACACACACACACACAAAATTAGCTGGGTGTGGTGGCGGGCACCTGTAATCCCAGCTACTCGGGTGGCTGAGGCATGAGAATTGCCTGAACCCAGGAGGTGGAGGTTGCAGTGAGCCGAGATTGTGCCACTGCACTCCAGGCTGGTGACACAGCAAGACTGTCACAAAACAAACAAACAAAAAACCCAAAAAACGTAACCATAGAGGGGAATGACTTGTATAATGAAAATTACAAAATTTTTTTTTTTTGGAGACAGAGTCTCACGGTGTCATCCAGGCTAGACTGTGATCACTGATCACTGTAGTCTTGACCTCCCAGGCTCAAGCAATACTCCCACCTCAGCCTCCCGAGTAGCTGAGACTACAGGCACGTGACACCAGGCCTGTCTAATTTTTGTATATTTTGTAGAGATGGGGTTTCCCCGTGTTGTCCAAGTTGGTCTCAAATTCTTGAGCTCAAGTGATCTGCTGGCCTCAGCTTCTCAAAGTGCTGGGATTACAGGTGTGAACCACTGTGCTTGGCCAAACATTCTTAAAAGAAATTAAGGAAGAGTTAAATAATTAGAAAGACATCCTGTAAAAGTGACATACAGATTCAATGCAATCCCTATCAAAATTCCAATGATTTTTTTATAAATAAAAACATCAAAAATATCCACACTAACTTTCATATGAAATTTCAAGAGATCCCCAAATTGTCAAAATAATCTCAAAAAGGAAGAAGAAAGTCAGAGGCTCACAGTTTCTGAGTTCTGAAACTTACTACAAAATCAGGATAATCAACACAGTTTGGTATTGGCTTAAACACTGTTATCAACTAATGGAGTAAAGTAGAGAGCCTAGAAATGAACTCTCACATCTATAGTCAAAAAATTTTCAACATGGATGCTAAAATCATTCAACGCAGAAAGAGGAGTCTCTACAACAAATGACATTGGGAAAACTGGATATTCACATGCTCACATGCCAAAAAAAAAAAAAAAGTTGGACTGTTAGCTTACACAATCCAAAACGTAACTCAAAATGGATCAAAGAACTAACCATTAGAGCTAAAACTATAAAACTCATGGGAGAAAACAAAGGGGAAAAACAGACAGTAAAAGGAAAAACAGATAACTTTGACTTCATCAAAATGAAAAACTTTTGTGCATCAAATGACACTATCAACAGAATAAAAAGGCAACACATGGAATGGAAGAAAACATTTGCTAAACGTGTATCTGATAAGGAATTGATGTCTAGCAAATATAAAGAATTCCTACAATGCAACACAAACAGATTAAAAAGTAAAGAAAGAACTTGAATAGACATTTCTCTAAAGAATGGCCAATAAGCACCTGAAAAGATGCTCAACATTACTAGTCATTAGGAAAATGCAAATTAAAGCCATAGTGAGATACTACTTCACATCCATTAGTATGGTGACTATCAAAAAAAATTGAAAAGGGCTGGGTGCAGTGGCTCAAGCCTGAAATCCCAGCACTTTGGGAGGCTGAGGCAGGTGGATCACCTGAGGTCAGGAGTTTGAGACCGGCCTGGCAAATATGGAGAAACCCCATTTACACTAAAAATACAAAACTGAGCCATGCATGGTGGCAGGTGCCTGTAATCTCACCTACTTGGGAGGCTGAGGTAGGAGAATCGCTTGAACCCGGGAGGTGGAGGTTGCAGTGAGCTGGGGTCGTGCCACTGCACTCCAGCCTGGGTGACAGAGTGAGACTGTGTCTCAAAAAAAAAAAAAATTAAAATAACTGTAGGGAGACCCCGTGAAACTATTGCTATGGAATAAAAGATGAAATGCTCCTGATTATTGTAAATACAAAATTGCATGCAGGATTGTGCAAAGACAGTGCCAGGTTGGACTGCCAGAATGAGCCAACGGGACGTGATGTGCTTCCCCCTGCAGAGAGCCTATGAATGGATGTGCAGTCAGGGAGGTTTCACATCACCAAGATTCCTATCCCAGAAAAGCAGATGTTCATAGCTCTGGGAATGGAATGAGACCCTTGTGGAGAGAGGGGGCACCTGTCCATGTGGATAAGATAGGGCCATAAACGCATTCATCTTGCCATGGCTCTTCTAGGCCTCTTTAGGGTTAAGGCATACTCCCTTCTGAGAATTTCTGGTCTAACCGGTTGTCTAGCTTCACGTCTTGTTTCTATGGATTGTTTGTAACCAGCTTTTGCTGCAACTGTTACTGCTGATTAATATCTTGCTAATCATAGGTTATGAAAGACTGCATTTCTGTTTTAAGGCTCTGTTAGAAATTACTGATGCACACACTATATTGTAAATTCTTATCTCTGTATACTGTACTTCTGCATACAGATGTTATGTTAAAGAATTACTTCATCCCCATGTGACCATCTCACCTCATAATCAAACGACCCTAAATCCCTCACTAACCTTCCCCCACCCTCACTAAACTTAATAATAAATGCTGGCATATCCAGTGCATTGGCAGCACCACGGGACCAGAAGGCTGTGACCCCCCTGGACCCAGCTTTCACTATCTTGTGTGTATCTATTATTTCTCGACCTGCCGGTCTGCCTGGGAACAAAGAGAGAGCCCCGTTGCATTGCAGGCTGCTGGCCAGATCCCGCAATAAATAACAAATGTTGGTGAATATGAAGAGAAATTAGAACCCTTGTGCATTTCTGTTGGGAATGCTAAATGGTGCAGTCACTGTGGAAAATGATACAGCAATTCCTTAAAAAATTTAACATGGAATGACTATATGAGCCATCAGTTCCACTTCTGGGTGTATACTGAAAAGGAGTGAAAGCAGGGACTCGAACAGATATTCAGACACCCATGATCCTATCAGCATTATTTGTAATAGCCAAAAGGTGTAAGCAACCCAAGTGTCAACTGACAAGCGAACAGATAAATTAGTATACACATATAATTACTTAGCCTTGAAAAGGAAGAATTTTTTATTTCTTTATTTATTTTTGAGATGGAGTTTCGCTCTATGCCCAGGCTGGAGTGCAAAGGCACGATCTTGGCTCACCGCAACCTCTGTTTCCCAGATTCAAGTGATTCTCCTGCCCCAGCCTCCTGAGTAGCTGGGATTACAGGCATGTGCCACCATGCCCAGCTAATTTTGTATTTTTAGTAAAGACGGGGTTTCTCCATGTTGGTCAGGCTAGTCTTGAACTCCCGACCTCAGGTGATCTGCCTGCATTGGCCTCCCAAAGTGCTGGGATTACAGCCATGAGTGCCCAGCCAAAAAGGAAAAATTTTGACACATGCTACCACACTGAACCTTGAAGACATTATGTGAATTAGAATAAGCCAGTCACCAAAGGACAAATATTGAATGACTCCACTTATATAACATTCCTAGAGTAGTCAAATTAATAGAGATGGAATGTAGAATTGTGGCAGGAGATGGGTGTAGGTGGGGCTTTTGTTTAATTGGCACAGAGTTTCTTTTGGGGAAGATTAAAAAGTTCTGGAAATAGATGGTAGTGATGGTTGCACAACAATTTGAATTTAATTAATACCACAGAACTACATACTTAATAATGGTTACAAGGATAAATTTTATGTTTATATATTTTTTAAAACAATAAACAAGAAAATCCAATACAGACTGAAACATTTTTTCAACCTTAAAGATCAGTGTAAACTTGCTGTTACTATGTGAACATGGGCAGGCGATCTCTTGAGCCCAGGAGCTTGAGACCTGCATGGGCAACATGATGAAACCCTGTGTCTACCAAAAATACAAAATTAGCTGGGTGTGGTGGCATGCATCTGTAGTCCTACCTACTCAGGAGGCTGAGGTGAGAGGATTGCTTGAGCCCAGGAAGTCAAGACTGTGGTGAGCTGAGATCTTGCCACTGTACTCCAGCCTGGGGAAAGAGCAAGACCTTGTCTCAAGAAAAAAAAAGACTAGTCAAGTGCAGTCAGTAGTGAGAAGGGTGAGGAGAAAGAGTAGAACAAGGAGTTCAACTGTAACTCATGGTGAACAGTCAATTGAGATAACTCACTACCCTCAGAACAGCTGTGAGCTGATGCTTATCCCCTAGAAGAGTGAAGATAAGGAGCCCAACTGTGAATGGAAAGTTAGCTTATTCCCAGTGCCAGCTTTCTCTCCTCACATCCTCATAATGGATGCTGACTGTGTTGGGGGACAGAAGGGACTTGGCAGAGCTTTGCTCATGCCACTCACCCTTATTCTTCCCAGCTAGCTTGTTCATCAGGTAGGATTTTCCTGTGCGGTAGAGGCCCACAATTGCCACCACCACCACAGGCTGTGTAATGGCAGACAGGATTTTCAGAGCTTCTGGATTCGCCACCAGTTCCCCATTAGTGTTCTCAATGAGGCACATTGGGCCTGTCATGTGGATCTCTGGAGCCATGTCCAGGGCATTGTTCTCTTGTCTGCAAGGGAAGAGTTGGAATGAATTAGAATTTCCAGTCTTTTGCATTTAGAGGATAGAGTCACAGAATTCCCCAGGATGGCCAAAAGTTTTGTGTGTGTCAGTGAGAGAGATGAGGGAAAATGTGTATCATTTTAAAAAATTATGGAAGTATTATCATCAAATTAAATATTGGTATGACAGTAACTTATCAACAGTCAACTACTCTTGCAACCTAGAACTTTCATTTAATTTATTATGGAAAAGCTTCCCTTGGATTCTCATTAAAAAATTTACACTAGACAATAAATGGAAGATAAAATAGGATATAGAGAATTTTTTTTACATCCTGGCTATATGTAAGAAATTAAATATTGATTTGTTTATTCATGAATTCTTATGATGAATAAAGACCCCCATGAGTAAATGTTTCATTGTTTGACATATGCCCTTAGGACAATTTCCAGAGATTTATAAATGTGTTCCTTCCTCCATTTTCAACTGGTTATGCTTATTTCACTGTAATGAGGATCCACAAAACTTCTCACAGTGCCATTCTGGAAGTGGAACCAATGTAACATACTTTTGCAAATTCTATACAACTACATAACCATGTGAAACACATGGCTAGGGACCTTTCCAAGGGCTTTGAAGGGGCACGTGCAAGAGAGGGGCCCTGAAACTTAAGCTTCATTAGCGTCATGATAAGGTAGCCTCTAACTCAGTGTGGGTATAAATGCAAAACTGCCAATACTGAATGTTGCTAAGAAACACGCATGCGCGCGCGCGCACACACACACACACACACACACACACACACACACCCCAAAAAAACCAAACCAAACAAACAACAGCAACAACAAAAAACCCCATGAAATAAGGACTGAAAGACCAGGAAGCACATAAAGAGAGCTACATGGGAAGATGTGAAAAGAAAATAAATTTCCAGCAATACAGCTTTAGGTTTTCTGTTTTGTTCTGTTTTTCCATTTTGTAGAGTAGGAGAAAGAGAAATGGGAAGAGGAGAAATAGAAGTGAGGAGGACGAGGAGAAAGGGCTGGAAAGATGAGAGAGAGAGAGAGAGAGAGAGAGAGAGAGAGAGAGAGAGAGAAAGTGCCAGCAAGGGAGATGTCAGACAAGGTGATGAGTGAAGCTAGTGTTTTGCCAAGGAATTCAGGGGAGGAGTTTTCAGAAGGTGGGATCTAAGTCGTCTGAGTGCGTGGGAGAGGTTAAAGTAAGCAAAGATACCGGCTTTAGTAGTGATGCATTACAGGAAATTCTCCTGTAAATTCTCCAGAGGAAAAACTAGGCCACCGCCCTCTCTCTCTCTCAAAAAAAAAAAAGAAGAAAAAAAAGGAGAGGAAGCTCTTTAGCCTGGATTATTTCTAGAGAAACAATCTGAAACAAAGTTCAAATGTGTAATAAAAAGTATACTGTTTTCATGAATGTTCCTCTTTGATGCTGGGTTTCAGTTTTTTCTTTGTCTATAACCGTGTCAGTGGGCTGCTAGTACTCTGCATTACCTTTGCTGTTCTTTCCTTCTGGTGAAAAGAACCCATTTGTAGCTCTTTCCATTTCTTAGCTGCATAGGAGCAGGATTCAGCAAGCTCCATCACTGACAATGGAAATGTAATCATGTCCCTAGTCAACACAGACAATGTCAACAAAGAGAAAGACTATCCTAGTGCATTTCAAACTCTCAGTTTAGTTGCTGTCTGCTGGTGCCTAATTCAACACAAGCACTGTAGTGGCACTTAGAGCCATGGTACTTCTGATAACACCATGATTTTATCTGACCTGTGTCTCACATCAGGCTCAGCTGCAGCCTAATTTGGTCCTGGTCATTTTTAAGAAAATGAACTGACTTATAAATTCCTTCCCATCCTTGCCACAACGTTATAGGCTCCACGTCCCTGAGCTGAGGTACTTCAGAGCTGGAGAGGAAGCAATAGGAGTTCTTACCTGTGCTTTTATCTTCAGTCCAGGTAAAGTTGTTTCTGTCACTTCTCTTTTCTTTCGCTGGATCGCTGGACTTTTATTTCACCCCTTCAGTGTTGTGTAGCTTTCTGGATTTTCCTCAGTGATCAAATAATTAGAAGTTAAGCAACCTTTGTAATGGCTTCAGAGCCTAATGAAACTGAAAGTACTTCTTTCAAGGAAGTGACTCAGTAACCATAAATGCAATTTCTGGATTCTGCTAGTAGGAGGGTTTAAAGTCAAGTTTCAAAGTTTTTTTGTTGGAAGAGATCTTAGAGACCATTTATTGTTTTAAAAACATGTCCATTAGGTATTGAAAAAAATGGAATATATTTTAAGATTGGAGATCTGTTTGAGAATTGTAGAATTAGGAGGCATCACATTAATTCTTAGATATAATTTCCTATAACAGGAGACAATTCACAATGGAGCTGCCTATTCTTTTAGAGGTGCAGTAGGTGAGGAAAGAGCATGTTTTACACACTCATGAACACCTAGTCCCTGGCACTTAATGCCCAGCACACAGTCAGGAGGGGGCTCCATGCATTGTACTCAAGTTCCAGGCTCAGTGCTGACTGCTTTACATGAATTACACTACTTAAATCTCATAACAAGTATTTCCCTATGATTTTATAGAAACCAAGGCACAGAAAGACTTTATCAGTTGTCTAAACTCATAGCACTATAACTAATCTGAACCCAGGGATTCCTGATCCCAAACTCTCTTCTTGAACCACCTTACTGTGCTGCCTCTGTTTGGTGAGTGAATAATTGTAAAAATATTTAATTTATAGATGTTTTTCCTCTTTTTATTTAGTATATTATAATTTGATTTTTCATAAATTGTTTTCTAAGAGCGTCATATGTTATGTATCTATTTCATTCATGACTACTTACATGCAGAATAGGTGGTATTAACTCTATTTTACAGTAAAAACAAATTGTAAAAAACCCTTGTGAGCATTTATTTGTTAATTTAGTTACACACACATAAAAAATTATACATTATGTATATATGAAATGAAATATATTGTTCTATCTTACTCATATTTTATAAAATAGTTTTATTCAAACTCTTCCTATTCTTCCTGAACACTGTAGCTTCATCATTATTAAAACTACTTTAGAGTATTTTTTTTTTTTTTTTGAGACGGAGTCTCACTCTGTCCCCTAGGCTGAAGGCTGGAGTGCAGTGTTGCAATCTTGGCTCACTGCAGCCTCTGCCTCCAGGGTTCCAGTGATTCTCCTGCCTCAGCCTCCCAGGTAGCGGGGATTACAGGCACATGCCACCAGGCCTGGCTAGTTTTTGTGTTTTTTAGTAGAGATGGGGTTTTATCATGTTGGCCAGGCTGGTGTCACACTCCTGACCTCAAGTGATCCACCCACCTCAGCCTCCGAAAGTGTTGGGATTACAGGCATGGGCCACTACGCCTGGTCAAAATCTTTTAACCTATTTTTTCAGAGTATATCATTGTTACTTTTGTCATAATCATTTGAACCATTTAAAATCTCTGCAAATTGTTGTAAAAACATATATCAAACAACAAAACATCTATTCAAGAAGACCCCTACAATTATGGTAGCAATAGCAAGAGTCGATGGTACTTGTTCCACAACCTGCTTCTTCCCCATCTTCAATTCAGATTGTCAAACGTTCCACTACAGCTGGGTATGGCCAAGAAGCCTGTTTTCCCTCTTCTTTCATCTTCCAGTCAGGGATAAAATATCCCATTAGGAGGGGCAGTCTATGAGCATTTCTCATTCCGTCCAACACCAAGTTGTAGAAACTAAATTCCTGGTGAGTGTGACCAGAAGTCAAGGGCTTTCAACCTCCCCTGCCCCATTCATACAGTGGAAGGTCTAACCCAGGCTTGTCAGCCTAAGAACACGGGATCTCTTCACTGTGGTTCATGTGTAGAGTGGAGTTTCCATGCTGAGAGAGACAAGCAAAGAAGACCAGAGGCTCCCACCCCTGTCCAGTGGAAGGGGCCATGGCTCAGAGGTTTTGCCCAGGAAAAGAGGCCATCCATAAAATCAAAGGGCTTGAAAGCTATTCCCCAAAATACCGACTTTGGTTGAAACAACATGTGGAAAAATTCAAGCATAGAAACTTGAAGAAAATTATTGCTAGCTGATCTACTCTATGAGCAATACTAAAAGCTGATTTCAAGCAGAAAGCAAGTGACCTTTTCAAATGGTAATACAAATCCACCTGGACAAATAGTAAGGGAGTTATGTAATTATAAAAGACAGCATAAATGTATATTTTTTCCTTTCTCCTTGTAACTTATTTTAAAAAATAAGTATTTTATTGTATAAAAGAGTATGTATATAAGTGTATTTCAAGGCCTATAACATATAGAAATGTATTACACTTAACAAGAATGACACAAGGGGAAAAGGTGGGAGCAAAGGTATATTGGAATGAAGAAACAATAGCAGATGTTAATTTGAACCTCTAGAAATAAGGAGAACTTGTAAGTAAGAAAATAAAAATGAAAAGCTCTATAAATGTATACCTTTTTCTTCTGCTTCCTTAAAAGACATAAAATACTATGAATTAGTAATCATAACAGTGTATTATTGAGTTTGTAACATATATAGATGTAATATATGTAATAATAATAGCACCAAAAGAGGGAAGAGCCAATAGTTATAGAGTTATTAGTATAATAATTCAGTATCTCACAGGAATTAATTTGGCATAAATTTCAGGCATCCTTTGGTGAGTTATGTATATGATAATGCCTAGAACAATTACTAAGAAAATAATGGGTCTCAAATCAATAACCTAGTCTTTTACATTGAGACACTGGTAAAAAACCAAACTAAATCTGAAGCAAGCAGAAAGAAGAAAATGAAAAGTTTTGGAAATTAACAGAGTAGAAACCAATGAAATAAAGAATAGAAGAAAAAAGTAGAGAAAGTCAATAAAACCAAAAGCTGTTTTTAGAAAAGATCAACAAAATTGACAAAGCTTTTAGTTAGACTGGCCAAAATGAAACAAAACAAAACAAAACAATCCTGAAAAACAGCAGAAGACTCAAATAACTAAAATTGAGAAGGAAACAGGAGGCATCACTACTGACTTTACAGAAATAAAAAAGATTGTAAGTAATACTATGAACAACAGTATGTCCACAAATTAAATTATACAAAATAGGTAAATTCCTAGAAAGACACAAACTACCAAAACTATCTCAAGAAGAAATAGATCATCGAGTAAAAGTAACAAGTAAAGAGATTGAATTATGTATTCATCGATTTTCATGCTGCTATGATAAAATACCTGAGACTGGGTAATTTGTAAAGAAAAGAGGTTTAATTGACTCAGAGTTCTGCATGGCTGGGGAGGCCTCAGGAAACTTACAATCACGGCATAAGGCGGGAGAGAGAATGAGAGCAGAGCAAATGGGGAAGCCCCTTATGAAACCATCAGATCTTATGAGAACTCACTCACTGTCATGAGAACAGCATGGAAGCAACTACCCTGTGATTCAATGATCTCCACCTGGTCCTGCCCTTAACACTTGGGGATTATTACAATTTAAGGTGAGATTTGGGGGGGGACACAGAGCCAAACCATATCAATTATTAATCATAAAACTACCACAAGAAAAGCATAACCCCAAATGACTTCACTGGCTACTTCTACTAAACAGGTAAAGAATAATTTATACAAGTTTCTTACAACCTTGACCAAAAATAGAAGAGCACAATTTCCCATTCAGTTTGAGGCAATATTACAATGCTATGAAACCCAAAGACATCATAATTAAAGTGTAGACCACTACGTTTTATGAAAAAGGATGCAAAAATCCTCAATAAAATACTAGCAAACCAAATCCCACAAAAGTATACCAAACTTATATGAAGTGGGATTTATCCCATGAAAGCAAGTATGGTTTAACATGTGAAAATCAATTAATATAAAACACCATGTCAACAGAATGAAGGACAAAAACCATATAATCATCTCAATATACACAGGAAAAGCATTTGATAAAATTTGATACCGCTTCCTGATAAACACAGTCAACACACTGAGAACAAAAGGGAACATTCTCAACTTTATAATGTCCTATGAAGTTTTATTTTGATATAATTTTAGACTTCAGAAAAGTGGCAAAATAGTACAAAGTTTCTGTACAGTCTTCCCCTCAGTTCCCCATATGTTATCATTTTAAATTTATTTTCTTTCTGTCTGAACTATTCAAGGGTTAGTGACAGACATAATGGCTTTTTATACCTAAAAACTTCAGTGTGTGTTTCTTAAAAAAGAGAAATTATTTTACAGAGCCACAGTATATTTGTGTAAAGTCCTTCTTAGGCCATAGACTTTTTTTCTAGTTTTTTATTTATTTATTTTTTTATACTTCAACTCTTAAGTTCAGGGGTACATGTGCAGGATGTGCAGGTTTGTTACACAGGTAAATGTGTGCCATGGTGGTTTGCTGCACAGATCATCCCATCACCTAGGTATTAAGCCCAGCATACCTTAGCTACTCTTCGTAATGCTGTCCCTTCCCAAAATCCCACCCCAACAGGCCCCAGTGTGTATGTTCCTCACCATGTGTCCATGTGTTCTCATTATTCAGCTCCCACTTATAAGTGAGAACACAGGGTGTTTGGTTTTGTGTTTCTGTGTTAGTTTGCTGAGGATAATGGCTTCCAACTTCCATCTCCATCCATGACCCTGCAAAGGACATGATCTCGTTCCTTTTTATGGCTGCATAGTTAACAGCTGGAATTCTGTGTCTCCTTCTTGGAGGGAAAACAATATGTAACAGACTCTTTAGACCTGTTCTTGCAAGTGTAACATGGATATGTGTCCTTAAGAAGCAAATATTAGTAGTTAATATCTGAATTTCTCTGCCCATCTACTTTACTGGGAAATGATAGAAGGTTGATTCAGGATTGGTGGAATCCTTTGGTGTCATTCTTGAAGCTCTTTAAGGTGAGGGACTGGAGCACTCGGTGTTGGGACTACCTACTCGTGCATTTGTCCCTGAGATAATAAACACTATTCACAAATTTTAAAATGTTCAAACTATTATGAGATCTTGGTTGGCATATCCCAGAACTAAAAGTCTGCATATGGTGTTTAGTTGGTAAATAATATTTACAAGAACAGATTTATTTACAAGGCATGGTTTTCCAACTGAGTGAATATAGAAGAACTCTCAAAATATGTTAAAGACTCCACGGAGCATATGAAGGCTTGAGTTTTTTTAATTCAATGTAAATCAAATAAAAGCACTTACCAAAGTGTTGAAGAACATTTGTTATCATTTTGAATGAATAGTGGCAATTATTGTATTTTAATTGAGGCTTGGTCTACATGAGGTTATGATTGAAAGTGACATTCCTGGAATAATGGATATTTCATGAGAATCATGAAACTATTTGCTGAATTTGATTCATTTTTACATGACTATCTGGAAAAAAGCCAAAATCAAAAAAAGACAAATGTGTCATCTGTATTCAAAATAGAGTAGAATGAATTAATCAAAACAAAAAATATAAAAATATTTGGAAAAAAACCAGACCCCCAAATACTAGTCCAGTATTGTAAGTTTTTCATGAGATTGGACAAATACTAATCAATTAACGATTATTATGAGTTGAAGGTATTATAGAAAACCCTGAAAGTTTGTAAATGTTTTCATTTCTTGCCACCTGAAAACAATCTTTCTGTGAGAAAGTGGAATATACTCGTTCTGGATGTTTGCAACATTCTATTGGACAGTATTTGTGGACAGTAGTATAACTATATCATATGACAATATAGCTATTATGAAAAGTAAAGATAAAGGATTGCATGCACTTTTTAAATTATACTTTAAGTTAGAGGGTACATGTGCACAATGTGCAGGTTTGTTACATAGGTATACATGTGCCATGTTGGTTTGCTGCACCCATTAACTTGTCATTTACATTAGGTGTTTCTCCTAATGCTTTCCCTCCCCCTGCCCCCCACCCCACGACAGGCCCTGGTGTGTAATGTTCCCCACCCCATGTCCCAGTGTTCTCACTGTTCAATTCCCACCTATGAGTGAGAAAATGCAGTGTTAGATTTTCTGTCCTTGTGATAGTTTGCTTAGAATGATGGTTTCCAGCTTCATCCATATCCCTGCAAAGGACATGAACTCATCCTTTTTTATGGCTGCAAAGTATTCCATGGTGTATATGTGCCACATTTTCATAATCCAGTCTATCATAGATGGACATTTTGGTTGGTTCCAAGTCTTTGCTATTGTGAATAGTGCCGCAATAAACACATATGTGCATGTGTCTTTATAGTAGCATGATTTATAATCCTTTAGGTATATACCCAGTAAGGGGATGGCTGGGTCAAATGGTATTTCTAGTTCTAGATCCTTGAGGAATCACCATACTGTCTTCCACAATGGTTTATCTAGTTTACACTCCCACCAACAGTGTAAAAGCATTCCTATTTCTCCAATCCTCTCCAGCAACTGCTGTTTCCTGACTTTTTAGTGAACGCCTTTCTAACTGGTGTGAGATGGTATCTCATTGTGGTTTTGATTTGCATTTCTCTGATGACTAGTGATGATGAGCATTTTTTCATGTGTCGGCTGCAAAAATGTCTTCTTTTGAGACTTCTCTCAAAATAAGACATATCCTTTGCCCACTTTTTGATGTGGTTGTTTGTTTTTTTCTTGTAAATTTGTTTAAGTTCTTTGTAGATTCTGGGTATTAGCCATTTGTCAGATGGGTAGATTGCAAAAATGGTCTCCCATTCTGTAGGTTGCCTGTTCACTCTGATGGAAGTTTCTTCTGCTGTGCAGAAGCTCTTTAGTTTAATTAGATCCCATTTGTCAATTTTGGCTTTTGTTGCCGTTGCTTTTGGTGTTTTAGTCATGAAGTCCTTGTCCATGCCTATGTCCTGAATGGTATTGCCCAGGTTTTCTTCTAGGGCGTTTATGATTTTAGGTCTAACATTTAAGTCTTTAATCCATCTTGAATTAATTTTTGTATAAGATGTAAGGAAGGGATCCAGCTTCAGCTTTGTACACATGGCTAGCCAGTTTTCCCAGCACCATTTATTAATAGGGAATAAATAGGGAATCCTTTCCCCATTTCTTCTTTTTGTCAGGTTTGTCAAAGATCAGATAGTTCTAGATGTGTGGTGTTATTTCTGAGGCCTCTGTTCTGTTCCATTGGTCTGTATCTCTGTTTTGGTACCAGTACCATGCTGTTTTGGTTACTGTAGGCTTGTAGTATAGTTTGAATTCAGGTGGCATGATGCCTCCAGCTTTGTTCTTTTTGCTTAGGATTGCCTTGGCAATGTGGGCTCTTTTTTGGTTCCATGTGTAATTTAAAGTAGTTTTTTCCAATTCTGTGAAGAAAATCATTGGTAGCTTGATGGGGATGGCATGGAATCTATAAATTACCTTGGGCAGTATGGCCATTTTCATGATATTGATTCTTCCTATCCATGAGCATGAAATGTTCTTCCATTTGTTTGTATCCTCTTTTATTTCATTGAGCAGTGGTTTGTAGTTCTCCTTGAAGAGGTCCTTCACATCCCTTGTAAGTTGTATTCCTAGGTATTTTATTATCTTTGTAGCAATTGTGAATGGGAGATCATTCACGATTTAGCTCTCTGTTTGTCCGTTCTTGGTGTATAGGAATGCTTGTGATTTTTGTACATTGATTTTTGTATCCTGAGACTTTGCTGAAGTTGCTTATCAGCTTAAGGAGATTTTGGGCTGAAATGATGGGGTTTTCTAAATATGCAATCATGTTATCTGCAAACAGGGACAATTTGACTTCCTCTTTTCCTGATTGAATACCCTTTATTTCTTTATCTTGCCTGGTAGCTGTGGCCAGAACTTCCAACACTATGTTGAATAGGAGTGGTGAGAGAGGGCATCCCTGCCTTGTGCCAGTTTTCAAAGGGAATGCTTCCAGTTTTTGCCCATTCAGTATGATATTCGCTGTGGGTTTGTCATAAATAGTTCTTACTATTTTTAGGTACGTTCCATCAATACCTAGTTTATTGAGAGTTTTTAGCATGAAGGGCTGTTGAATTTTGTTGAAGGCCTTTTCTGCATCTATTGAGATGATCATGTGGTTTTTGTTGTTGGTTCTCTTTATGTGATCGATTATGTTTATTGATTGCCGTATTTTGAAACAGCCTTGCATCCCAGGGATGAAGTTGGCTTGATCATGGAGGATAAGCTTTTTGATGTGTTGCTGTATTCGGTTTGCCAGCATTTTATTGAGGATTTTCGCATCGATGTTCATCAGGGATATTGGTCTAAAATTCTCTTTTTTTGTTGTGTCTCTGCCAGGCGTTGGTATCAGAATGATGCTGGCCTCATAGAAAGAGTTAGGGAGGATTCCCTCTTTTTCTATTAATTGGCATAGTTTCAGAAGGAATGGTACCAGCTCCTCTTAGTACCTCTGGTGGAATTCGGTTGTGAATCCTTCTGGTCCGTGACTTTTTTTGGTTGGTAGGCTATTAATTGTTGCCTCAATTTCAGAGCCTGTTATTGGTCTATTCAGAGATTCAACTTCTTCCTGTTTAGTCTTGGGAGGGTGTATGTGTCCAGGAATGTATCCATTTCTTCTAGATTTTCTAGTTTATTGGTCTAGGGGTGCTTATAATATTCTCTGATGGTAGTTTGTATTTCTGTGGGATCGGTGGTGATATCTCCTTTATCATTTTTTATTGCGTCTATTTGATTCTTCTCTCTTTTCTTCTTTATTAGTCTTGCTAGGGGTCTATCAATTTTGTTGATCTTTTCAAAAAACCAGCTCCTGGATTCATTGATTTTTTGAAGGGTTTCTTGTGTCTCTATCTCCTTCAGTTCTGCTCTGATCTTATATTTTTTGCCTTCTGCTAGCTTTTGAATGTGTTTGCTCTTACTTCTCTAGTTCTTCTAATTGTGATGTTAGGGTTTCAATTTTAGATATTTCCTGCTTTCTCTTGTGGGCATTTAGTGCTATAAATTTGCCTCTATGCACTGCTTTAAATGTGTCCCAGAGATTCTGGTCCGTTGTGTCTTTGTTCTCATTGGTTTCAAAGAACATCTTTATTTCTGCTTTCATTTTGTTATTTACCCAGTAGTCTTTCAGGAGCAGGTTGTTCAGTTTCCATGTAGTTGTGCGGTTTTGAGTGAGTTTCTTGATCCTGAGTTGTAATTTGATTGCAATGTGGTCTGAGAGACAGTTTGTTGTGATTTCTGTTCTTTTACATTTGCTGAGGAGTGCTTTACTTCCAATTATGTGGTCAATTTTGGAATAAGTGGGATGTGGTGCTGAGAAGAATGTATATTCTGTTGATTTGGGGTAAAGAGTTCTGTAGATGTCTATTAGGTCCGCTTGGTGCAGAGCTGAGTTCAAGTCCTGGATATCCTTGTTAACATTCTGTCTCATTGATCTGTCTAATATTGACAGTGGGACGTTAAAGTCTTCCATTATTATTGTGTGGGAGTCTAAGTCTCTTTGTAGGTCTCTAAGGACTTGCTTTATGAATCTGGGTGCTCCTGTATTGGGTGCATATATGTTTAGGATAGTTAGCTCTTCTTTTTGAATTGATCCCTTTACCATTATGTAATGGCCTTCTTCGTCTCTTTTGATCTTTGTTGGTTTAAAGTCTTTTATCAGAGATGCGGATTGCAACCCCTGCTTTTTTTTTGCTTTCTATCTGCTTGGTAGATCTTCCTCCATCCCTTTATTTTGAGCCTATGTGTGTCTCTGCATGGGAGATGGGTCTCCTGAATACAAGACACTGATGGGTCTTGGCTCTTTATCCAATTTGCCAGTCTGTGTCATCTAATTGGGGCATTTAACCCATTTACATTTAAGGTTAATATTGTTCTGTGTGAATTTGACCCTGTCATTATGATATTAGCTGGTTATTTTGCTAGTTAGTTGACGCAGTTTCTTCCTAGCATTGATGGTCTTTACAATTTGGCATGTTTTTGCAGTGGCTGGTACTAGCTCTTCCTTTCCATGTTTAGTACTTCCTTCAGGAGCTCTTGTAAGGCAGGCCTGGTGGTGACAAAATCTCTCAGCATTTGCTTGTCTGTAAAGAATTTTATTTCTCCTTCACTCATGAAGCTTAGTTTGACTGGATATGAAATTCTGGGTTGAAAATTCTTTTCTTTAAGAATGTTGAATATTGGCCCCCACTCTCTTCTGGCTTGTAGAGTTTCTGCTGAGAGATCTGCTGTTAGTCTGATGGGCTTCCCTTTGTGGGTAGCCTGACCTTTCTCTCTGGCTGTGCTTAACATTTTTCCTTCATTCAACCTTGGTGAATCTGACAATTACATGTCTTGGAGTTGCTCTTCTCAAGGAGTATCTTTGTGGTGGTCTCTGTAGTTCCTGAATTTGAATGTTGGCCTGCCTTGCTAGGTTGGGGAAGTTCTCCTGGATAATATCCAGAAGAGTGTTTTCCAACTTGGTTCCATTCTCCCTGTCACTTTCAGGTACGCCAATCAAACATAGATTTGATCTTTTCACATAGTCCCATATTTCTTGGAGGCATTGTTCATTTCTTTTTACTCTTTTTTCTCTAAACTTCTCTGCCCACTTTATTTCATTAATTTGATCTTCAATCACTGATACCTTTTCTTCCACTTGATCAAATCAGCTGTTGAAGCTTGTGCATGTGTTACATAGTTCTCGTGCCATGATTTTCAGCTCCATCAGGTCATCTAAGGTCTTCTCTACACTGTTTATTCTAGTTAGCCATTCGTCTAATCTTTTTTCAAGGGTTTTAGCTTCCTTGCAATGGGTTCGAACATCCTCCTTTAGCTCAGAGATGTTTGTTATTACCAACCTTCTGAAGCCTACTTCTGTCAGCTTGTCAAAGTAATTCTCCGTCCAGCTTTGTTCTCTTGCTGGCGAGGAGCTGTGATCCTCTGGAAGAGAAGAGGTGCTCTGGTTTTTAGAATTTTCCATTTTTCTGCTCTGGTTTCTCCCCATCTTTGTGGTTTTATCTACCTTTGGTCTTTGATGTTGGTGACCTACAGATGGGGTTTTGGTGTGGATGTCCTTTTTTTTTTTTTTTTTTTTTTTTTTTTTTGGTTGATGTTGACGCTATTCCTTTCTGTTTGATAGTTTTCCTTCTAACAGTCAGGTCCCTCAGCTGCAGGTCTGTTGAAGTTTGCTGGAGGTCCACTCCAGACACTGTTTGCCTGGGTGTCACCAGTGGAGGCTGCAGAACAGCAAATATTGCAGAACACTAAATACTGCTGCCTGATCCTTCCTCTGGAAGCTTCTTCCCAGAGGGGCACCTGGCTGTATGAGGTGTCAGTCAGCCCCTACTGGGAGGTGTCTCCCAGTTAGGGTACACGGGGGTCAGGGACCCACTTGAGGAGGCAGTCTGTCCGTTCTCAGAGTTCAAACACCATGCTGGGAGAACAACTGCTCTCTTCAGAGCTGTCAGACAGGAAAGTTTAAGTCTGCAAAAGTTCCTGCTGACTTTTGTTCAGAGGCAGCAGGCCTTGTTGAGCTGTGGTGGGCTCCACCCAGTTTGAGCTTCCCCAGCAACTTTGTTTACCTACTCAAGCCTCAGCAATGGTGGATGCCCCTCCTCCTGCCAGGCTGCTGCCTTGCAGGTCAATCTCAGACTGCTGCACTAGCAGTGAGCAAGCCTCCATGGGCATAGGACCCACGGAATCAGCTGCGGGATATAATCTCCTGGTGTACCGTTTGCTAAGACCATTGGAAAAGGCAGTATTTGGGTGGGAGTTTCCCATTTTTTCCAGGTACAGCCAGTCACAGCTTTCCTTGGCTAGGAAAGGGAAACCCCCTGGCCCCTTGCGCTTCCCAGGTGAGGCAATACCCAGCCCTGCTTCAGCTCGCCCTCTGTGGGCTGCACCCATTGTCCAACCAGTCCCAGTGAGATGAACCATGTATCTAAGTTGGAAATGCAGAAATCACCCATCTTCTGCACTGATCACGCTGGGAGACGTAGACTGGAGCTGTTCCTATTTGGCCATCTTGGAATGGAACTTCTTCGCGTGCACTTTTTAGAAATCATTTATAAGTAAATAGACTGTGTCGTATGGTACTCATTCCATGTAGCTCTCTCGTTTTTCTTTTTTTAATTTCAGATTATGTCTTGTATTACGGAAATCATTCAATTTTTCACCAGAGAATAAGGTGAGTTTCTTGAAGTTGTTGAATAATTCTGTTTCTTTCAAGTTATGTTTTCTTTTTGTGTTAGTCTTATAGAAGGAGTGCTTTAAGCACACAGCTCAAGTTAAAAAAAAGTCTAAATGGGATAACTGCTTTTGGCAATGACCAGGAGAGGAAAATCTGGAATGGATGGTAGAAGAGAGAGATGATGAATATCAATTATGGCCTTGAGACAAGTTGCAGGAGTGAAGTCTGGGGCGTGTGCTGTTAACTCCTGTGTGTTAGGTCCTGTATAAATTGCAGCTGGTCACTAACATGAAGAATTGACAACGGATTGAGTTTAATGTAGGGCACAGTGATCAGAGTGGTGAAGGGGTGAACTGTATCAGATGCATGTGATGCACTGACTCATTCTGTCAAACTCTCTTCTCATCTCAGTTGTGGCAGTGCTGGGCAGTTCAAAGGAGGCCTGGACTCATCTCAGGCTTATAGCATGTTGTATTAGGTAATAAACCTGTATCTGCATAAGAGATTACAGGGTTTATGGGATTGGTATACCCACTCTGTAACCTGTCCCTCCTGGCCTCTCTCAAACATGCTGAGCATGTTCATATCTTAGGCCTATACACCTGCTGTTCCTTTTGCTACTTATGCTGTTTCTCCAGATATCCAGGCGACTTCCCCCCTTACTACTTTAGGTCTTCCCTGAACTGCCACCTCATTGATGCTATTTCTGTTCCCCTGTGTCAAATTGCTATATTCTAAATTGACAGCTCTTTCGCTCCCTTATCGCTGCTTCACTTTTCTTCATGACAGTTGTGGTTATTTGATATTCTGTATGTTTTACATTTTTGTTTATTACTTGCTAGAATGTTTTGTCCCTTGAAGGCAGATATTTTTTGTCTAACTGCTTAATCCTCTCTAGCACCTCAAATCAGTGCCTGACACATAATGAGCCTTTAATAAGTATTTGTTAATTGAATAAATCAAAACTGTGGAAGTGAACATGTTGGTTCGTTATGCTCATTTTCAAGATTTTTGAGATATGTTATAGAATTTTCCTCTGTAAATATATGCAGTCCCTCCCACTCCTTCAAGTGTTTATCACGTCTTTCACCTCCTCCCCCACCAGGTGGAATCAGTATTTTTAATCTTACCTCCATTAATAGGTATAAAATGACATGTTTTCTAAATAAGCAGTTTTAACATTTCAACTCAAAAAGAATATATATTTAGATAACTATCTTTTTTTTTTAGTAAATAATGATTATTTTATTTTATTAAAAAATTTTTTTTATTATTATACTTTAAGTTTTAGGGTACATGTGCACAATGTGCAGATTAGTTACATATGTATACATGTGCCATGCTGGTGTGCTGCACCCTTTAACTCGTCATTTAGCATTAGGTATATCTCCTAATGCGATCCCTCCCCCTCCCCCAACCCCACAACAGTCCCCAGAGTGTGATGTTCCCCTTCCTGTGTCCATGTGTTCTCATTGTTCAATTCCTATCTATGAGTGAGAACATGCAGTGTTTGGTTTTTTGTCCTTGTGATAGTTTACTGAGAATCATGATTTCCAATTTCATCCACGTCCCTACAAAGGATATGAACTCATCATTTTTTATGGCTGCATAGTATTCCATGGTGTATATGTGCCACATTTTCTTAATCCAGTCTATCATTGTTGGACATTTGGGTTGGTTCCAAGTCTTTGCTATTGTGAATAGTGCCGCCACATTTTTATCTTGTAGTATATAGGCTTCCTTGAGGCGATGAAGCCTGAGTTAGATAGAAGGAAAATGCATTTGGTATCTACTACATGGTAGTCATTGTGCTAAATTCTTTACAGGTGTTATTAGTTAATTCCATTCTTCAGTACAGGCTTATGATGTAGGTAGTATTATTTGCATTTTAAAGACTAGTAAATACAGTTTAAATATGTTTAATGGCTTTTTTTTATTTTTATTTTTTGAGACGGTGTCTAGCTCGGTAGCCCAGGATACAATCTCGACTCACTGCAACATTTGCCTCCTAGGTTCCAGCGATTCTCTTGCCTCAGCCTCCCGAGTAGTTGGGATTACAAGCATGTGCCACCATGCCTGGATAATTTTTGTATTTCTAGTAGAGACGAGGTTTCACCACGTTGGCCAGGCTGGTCTCAAACTCCTGACCTCAGGTGATCCGCCCATCTCAGCCTCCCAAAGTGCTGGGACTACAGGCGTGAACCATTGCGCCCGGCTGTTTAATGGCTTTTTAATACCAGTTTATCAGGCCACAAGGCCCTGACAGTTGATTGATTTGAGGTTTCTTCAAATGATGAATCGGCGTGTTTAAGAGGATCAAATTGGGTTCGTAGGTGGTTCTATATTCTGCCAAGGTGGACTGAAACATTCTGGTGCTATATGTCTCTCTCTTTACTCTTTCTAACTGTGAAGTCTGATTAGTACTTATAAATGAAAAGTCTCAGGCTCTCTTCCACTTTTTGTTGTGAGTGAAGGATTTCTGATATCAATTCAGAACAACTTGAAACTGTTTTTATTTTGAACACATGTCAGATTGAAAGTGGAAGCAGGGACTAGTTCTTCATTTTTGGGAGATAGCCTAGATGTTAAGAAAACTGCTCTTTTCTGTTTATTACGATGAGGTGGGAACAGTTTTTGTGCATTTGGTTTTTACATGAGACTGCTTGAAAAATTTTCTAGGGACTTTTTCTTTTAAATGGTGGGTAGACAGAAGCAACATTTCCACTTTCCAGTTTACTTGGTTTGTAGTCTATGGAATCCTTGTATCCTTCTAATAGATGGTCACAGAACAAATTAATTCATAATTTAGTATTATTATACAATAACTTATGTATGTATGCTTAGTGTTTCAAAGATTGTCCCAAATATGAAGAATCCCATGAACAGATTCTGAATTTCAGGTATGGTATGTTTTTATATAAAGCTGCTTTTTACATAAAGAAGACTCTGAATTTCAGGTATGGTATATTTTTATATTAAGCTGCTTTTTACATAAAGAACTCCAGGCAGTATGCTGTAGGGTACACAGCAGCAGAGATCCATTGATTCAGCTGGGGTTACTTAGTCTCATATAGAACGGAGGCATGACCTGCAAGTTACGAAAATAATGAACCATATTCAAGTGTGTGTAAGGAGAGCAACGCTCTGTGTGCACAGCCCTGGGCTGGATGCTGAGGGTATGAAGACTAATTAGACACAACCACTGCCCTCAGTAGGACTTACTCCAGTGGGTAAGAGTGACTTGCACCCAAATTATAAAATCAAAGGATTAGAGAGAATAGGAAGAGAAAAGCACTGAACACTAAAATATGTAGCCTCAGATCACAAATTGGAACATTTGAAACTTTTGCTCATGAGGAATTTACCCTGATGTCACTTATGTGAAATGGATTAAATTTTAGATTTCTAAAAAGTGACTTGACAATAAGAACAGACACATAGACCAGTAGAACAGAAGAGAGAAATCAGAAATAAATCCACATATTATAGCCAACTTATTTTTGACAAGGAGACCAAAAACATACATTGAAGAAAGGACACCCTCTTCATAAATGGTGCCAGGCAACCATAAAACTATTAATACTAGAGGAAAACATGGGGGAACACTTCAGGACATTGGTTTAGGCAAATATTCTATGGGTAAGACTTCAGCAATGCACCCAACAAAAGCAAAAATAGACAAATGGGACTTTGGTACTTAAGTGATCCTCCTGCCTTGGCCTCCCAAAGTGTTGGGATTACAGATGTTGAGCCACTGTGCTTGGCCCCATAATAGACTTGTTTCTAAGATCCACTCCTTTTCCATTCTAGCAGAACAAGAGCCTAATTTTTTTAATTTTTATTTTTAAGTTCCAGGGTACATGTGCAGGATGTGCAGGTTTGTTACACAGGTAAATCTGTGCCATGGTGGTTTGCTGCACCTATCAACCCATCACCTAGGTATTAATCCCAGCATGCATTAGCTATTTTTCCTAATGAAGAGCCTGATTAAAAATATAAAACCTTGGTACCTAAACCTCAGAGTCCTCCAAATACATAATTTAATTTAAGCTGCATGCCTCTGTTTTTTTTGTGTGTGTATGTGTCATCTATTTTGCTGTAGAGTTTCCAAACCAACTGTGTCTGTGCACTATTTGGAACTCTCACAGGTTTTATACAGTTTCCTTTTTTACTTGTAGCAGAACGGTTATTGGGCTGGCATATTATAAAAATGCCAAAAAAAGTTATATGTATTAGTGTCTTGTCCCAAAATTTCTGATAGAAAGGGAAATATGTGTATTTGTAAGCAGATTTAAAATGACTGTTGAAACAGAGATGGGACTCCAAGAATTTAAGTATCAGCAGAAACCTAAGCAAGAAAAAATGACTGTTAAATTTCTTTGTGAAAGAAATTTTGTTTGTTTTGAAAAACCAGATAGTGAGTAGAGGGAAGAGGATAGAACATGGGAGAGGACTGTTGGGAACTAGCAAGGTAGAAGTGGGCTGGGCTGGGCTATTGTGGAGTGAAGGCTTGTGGTTCTCCTCCAGGTTACGAGATCAAAGAAATCTTTTTTTTTTTGAGACGGAGTTTCGCTCTTGTTGCCCAGGCTGGAGTGCAATGGCGCGATCTCGGCTCACCACAACGTCTGCCTCCTGGGTTCAAGTGATTCTCCTGTCTCAGCCTCCCGGAGATCAAAGAAATCTTGGGGAACAAACTTTCCACGCCCACATCTTTAACAAAATCTCCTACGCTCGAATGTACTGTTTCAATTGTCTTACACTTGGGAGTGAGGGATAGATGAGGCACCATGTCCAGCTCTATCTCAGATTAAACTGCCAGCCCCAAACTGAGAGGTCTTCTTCATCATGATTGGAAAAGGCATATCGGAAGGGATCAGTCGGTGACACAGCATTTTCTCAGCTAGCCCTGGAAAACCACCCAAACGTCATAGAAATATAAGGGAAATGTCTGCTTAACCTACTCTTTCTTTTGGGAGGGCATGCAGTTTAGCTATTTGAGTGAGTATTTTGTTTTTGTTCCAATACTTGATTTTAGCAGAGCAAATGAGTCCATCATGCATTAGCAAATAAAGTCAGCTCTGAAAGTGAATTCTCAGGGAAGGGAATGGAGGCACATGCTAGAATTCTTGTACTGTTCTAAGTTTGTTATTATGTCTCATGTGGAAGTCAGAATGTCCTGGAGACTGACTCCTGGTTTGGCTTTGATATAAGCACTGGAAGATGAACAAGAGATGAGGTGGTGGCAAAAAATAGGGATGATCTTAGACAAACTGAAACACTAAAAACAGCCTAAGTATGTTTCTTTTCTTTTTCTTCCTTCCTTCTCCCCTTCCCCTTTCCCTTCCCCTTCCTTCCTCCCTCCCTCCCTTCCTCTTTCCCTTTCTTTCTTTCTCTCTTTCTCTCTTTCTTTCTCTCTTTCTTTCTTTCTTTCTTTCTTTCTTTCTTTCTTTCTTTCCTTCTTTGTCTTGCTCTGTCACCTAGGCATAGTACAGTGGCATGATCTCAGCTCACTGCAACCTCTGCTTCCTGGGCTCAATCATCCTCCTATCTCAGCCTCCCAGGTAGCTGGTACCACAGGCACATGGCTAATTTTTGTATTTTTTGTAGAGAAGGGTTTTTGGCATGTTGCCCAAGATGTCTTGAACTCCTGGGCTCTAGTAATCCATCTCCCATGGCCTCCCATATTGCTAGGATTGCAGGCTTGAGCCACCATGCCTGGCCTGCCTCCATACGTTTCAATGCAAAAGCACAAATGTTGTATCCATATTAAATAGCTATTCAAGTACACACATACACACACATACAAATGATTATGTGGGAAAGAATATTAAGAGATTGCTGCAGGCCATTATCCTTAGCAAACTAACACAGGAACAGAAAACCAATTACCCCATATTCTCACTTATAAGTGGAGGCTAAATGATGAGAACACAGAGGGGAACACACACACTGGGCCCTATCAGAGAGTGGAGGGTGGGGTGGAGGGAGAGTATCAGGAAAAATAACTAATGGGCACTAGGTTTAATACCTGGGTGAGTAAATAATCTGCACTAAAACCCCCCATGACACAAGTTTACCTATTTAACAAACCTGCACATGTACTCCTGAACTTAAAATTTTTCTTAGAAAGGAAGGAAAAGAGGAAGATGAAAAGGAGGGAGGGAGGAAAGGGAGGAAGGAAAGAGGGAGAGAGAAAGGAAAGAATGGGAAAAATAAAGAGGAAGAGAAAAATGAAGAGATACATCCATACATAGATAACATAATTTTTCTTAACAAAAGTAAAATAAGATTATAAGAATGTGGTCTGTAAATAACACTACTGAGTCAAAAAATTATTAAATATATGAGTCATGAAAAACCACAATGTGTTACCACTACACATCTGCCAAGTGGAAAAAAGGCAAACTATATTGAGGCTTGATGAGCTTGTGGAGCACCTAGAATGTTCATATAGTACTCATGTAAATATAACTTAGTACCGCTATGAAACTGACAGTATCTTCTAAAGCTGAACATATACATTTATAGAAATCCATTTCTAAATACACACACACGAAGAACTGAACATCTGTGAACTAAAAGATATGCACAAGAATGCTCATAACACTACTGTAATAGACATAAAAGTGAAAGTACTCAAATGTTCATCAAGAGTTGAGTGGGGCTGAATGTGGTGGCACATGCCTGTAATTCCAGCACTTCGGGAGGGAGGTCAAGGCAGGTGAATCTCTGGAGGCCAGGAGTTCAAGACCAGCCTGGGCAACATAGTGAAACTCTGTCTCTACTAAAAGTACAAAAATTAGCTGGGTGTGATGGCACACGCCTGTAATCCCAGCTACTTGGGAGACTGAGGCACAAGAATTGCTTGTACTGGGAGGCAGAGATTGCAGTGAGCAGAGATTGTGCCACTTCACTCCAGCCTGGGTGACAGGGTGAGACTCTTCCTCAAAAAAAATAGTTGAATAGATGATTTATGATATAGTCATATAATAAATAAATACTATACAACAATGAGAATAATTGACCTACAGCTAAACACAAAAATATTGACCAATCTTGCATTTACTCAATCTTATATTTACGCAATCTACTATTGAGTAAAGGGCACTGGATACTAAAAAATACATATTTTATGATTTCATTTATATAAAGTACCAAAACAGGATAGTAATCTTCATGAGCTTAGGAGGTGGTGGTAGTCTCTGCTTGGGAGCATGACAAGGGCTTCATGGCAACTGTTATATTCTGAATTTTCTTTCAGTGCTGGCATTCTGGATATGTTTCATTTGTGCAAATACATAGAGCTATATATTTATGATGCCCACTTTTCTACATGTGTATTTATGCTCCAAAGTAGTTTACTTAAGTCATCTAACAATATCTAGAAATAAGTCTAACAAAATATGCAAGGACTATACACCATGAACTATGCAGTATTTCTGAGAGAATTAAAAGGGCTAATAAATGGTAGGACATGTCATGATTAGGGATTGGAAGACTGATTATTTTATGAATCTCATTTCTCCACAAATTTATCTATAGATTGAATGTAATTGCAAGACTCATACATAGAACGAGTTGATTTATAGAAACTATAGTGAAAGGATAATCTTTTCAATAAACGGTGTTAGTATCATGGGATTCTTGGGTTATCACTTCACCAGCTGGAAACCTCTGTGGCCAGTGGATCCTTTGCCTGAGTTTTTCTTGGGCTCACTGGGCTTGTTTCACCCCTTCAGTCTGGCAGGCTGCGCTTGGCTTACGCTACCCTCCTGGATCCCGTGCCTGCCAAGAGTGAGCTGAGTGGGGAGGGGTGTGTGAATGAGTGAGCATGGGGCCCAGCCACTGCTCATAGCCAGGCATGCTGGCTGTGGCAGGGTGGGCAGCTCCAGGCACTGGCATGGGCGCTGGCTCCCTGCGAGGCTGAAACTGGACCAGGCGAACCATAAGCAGCTTCCATGGCTGGCACCAGGGAATGCGGTGGTGCCCAGAAGCTTGGAATCACCAGAAAGTGTGAAGCCCCAAAGAGGTTATCACAGCCCTGGTTTGGGGAACTTCTAGGTCTGGGATCCCCAAAGGGCCACAGCTCTTCTCTCCTTCTCTCTTCTCTCCTTCTCTCTTCTCTCCTTCTCTCTTCTCTCCTTCTCTCTTCTCTCCTTCTCTCCTTCTCTCTTCTCTCCTTCTTGTTGCCCACAACATGGTGAGCAAGGGGGGTGTTTCAGCCTTGTTTGTGTTACAGCTCTTTCAGCTCTGCCATTTGGCAAGTCCCTAGTTTTTGTCCTGTGTCCAGGAAGAATGAGGTACCTAGACAAGTGGAGGGTGAGCAAGATAAAGACGAGCTTTTTTGAGCAGTAGAACAGCTCAGAGGAAACCCACAGTGGGTAGCTTCTCTCCTCAACTGGGATGTCCTGATGAGTGTTCAGCTCTCAGCAGAGAGGAGACCCTGGAGTAGGTAGCTCCTATCTGCAGCTGGTAGTCCCAATGTCTGCTCAGCTCTCAGCAGAGAGGAGAACCCAGAGGGGGTAGCTCCTCTCCACAGGCAGGTCATTCTGTCATCTCCTCAAGTCTGGCTGAGCCCAGGGTTTTTATGGGCTTCAGCGGGGAGGAAGTGTGTGCTGATTGGTCCATGGGTGGCCATGGGTGGGCCTGGAAAAGGCAACATAAGTTCCCACTCTAGTCTGCAGGACTGGCAGCCCAGCTCCCAGGCTTCAGGCCTTCCCTGGCTTGAAGGTGGGGCTTCACCAAGGGCCTACCTGTTTCCACCCTGGAGCCTGTCTGCCTCCTGCTGCTGCTTATGTAACCCAGGCTTTTACTGCTGAGGGGTGCCTATAAGCCAGCATTGAGCTGCCCTCAGCCCGGCCTCAGCCTCCCTCTGGTGCTCGGTGGTGCACAAAGTCTAGACGGGGACAAGGCAGCAGGGGCTAGTGTGTCAGGGCTGCCCTAAGTGTGTGCACACCTGGCCAGGTTGCAATAGTACCTAGTCTTGGCCTCAATTTTGCTCCAGATCAGAGCAGGCACAGGAACAGAGAGAGGCCAGGAAACAGGAGCAGGCATTTCCAAGCCTGCTGGGACAAGAGGGACTTCCTGGGCCCCTGGGAGTGCAGAGATGCCTGGGTGTGCAGCTGCAGCTTGGGTGGCTGCAGCTGCGGCTTGGGTGGCTGCAGCTGCAGCTTGGGTGGCTGCAGCTATGCCTGGAGCTCATGCCTGCTCCCACTCCTCAAGAGCACAGGGATGTCCAGGCTTGGAGCCATGGCTGGGCAGCTGCAGCTGCGCCCAGGGAGCATGAGGCTCCTGCCCTGCCAACTCAGGAGCGGGCTGGCCTTCCACCTGTTTCTGGCTCCCTCCGGCTCCATGGAGCATGCAACCCTGGCCACACCTCCCCAGTGAAGCCAGTGTCATGGCAGCAGCCACTCTAGATGGGCCATGGCTGCCATCATTAGGGCTTTACTATACACATGTTAAAAAGTAATTAAACGTGGTTTCTACCCTCCTGACATTAAAAACTGATCAATTCCAGATGGATTATAGATATAGTTGTGGAAGACAAAACAATCAAACTTTTAGAAAAAAGTCAAAGACATTATTTTCAGGTTTTCCAAGTTGGGAAATGTGATACAAAACTATTCAGTTTAAATAAAAAATCAATACCTTTAACTATTAAAATTGAGGACTGCTATTTATCCAAAGATACAATGAAGAGACTGAAAGGCAAAGATTAAAAAAAGACTAAAGATTTAAAAAATTAAATATGTATACACACATGAATGGAATATGTGAAAAAGTCTCCAAGTAAAGAAAAAAGGACAATTCACTAGAAATAGAAGAAAAGTCTTAAACAGTCTCATCCCAAAGAAGATATCCTAATGAACAGTGGACATGAACAGGGGCTCAACTTCGTTAATTATCTCTCATTCTCAAGGAAAAGCAAATTAGACTGTGAATAAAATCTCCATGTACCCACTAGGATGACTACAATTCAAAAGGCTGACCTATCCAGGTGAAGATGAGAGTGTGCAGCATTGGAAATTCTTACACATTGCTGGTGAGAGTATAAATGATGACAACTGTATTAAAAAACTATTTGATATTATCTACTATAAGGTGAAAAATGCATACTATATGTTTAATAATTCCACTCCTAGTTATCTATAGTGAAATATTATTACAGAACCCAAAAGCTTGCATGAATTTTAACACATAATATTGAGTTAAAGAAGTTAAACAAAAAACAAACCATGGTATATATTTCAGTTTATATAAAGACAAAAAGCAGACAATAACAATCTGTGATGTTCCAAGTCAGGTAACATTTCTGTGTTAGTATCTGCTATTGCATAAGAAATATGCTCCCAAAGTAGTGACTTGAAACAGCACTGATTGTCTCATATTTTCTAAAGTTCACAAGAATCTTTTAGGTAAGGTTTAGCTGTGTCTTCTTGGTGGTTTCTCACAGGCTGCAATCAAAGTGCCTCCTGGGCTTTAGACATCTCAAGGCTTTTCTGGGGAAGAATCCACTCCTCAAACTCAGTCTCATGGTCATTGGCAGGATTCATTTTATCATTAACTTGTTAGACTAAAGTCCTCTGTTCCTTTATGGCTGTCGACTAAAGGTCATCCTCAATTGTTTGCCATGTGAGATTTCTGCCATGATAACTTCCTTCATCAGTATGAGCAAGCCATGAGAGAGAGAGGGAGATAAAAAAGAAAGGGGAGGAGAGAGAGAGAGTGAGAGAGTGTGTGAGCTAATGAGAAAGAGAGAGACACATAGAGAGAGAGTAAGCAAGCGATAGAGCACATGGGCTAGCAAGATGGAAATTTGGATGATGCTATGACTAAGATTCTGAGGGTATTTGCCAAAATTTAGTTCCTTGAATTCGTTCCTTACATGATAGTGTGAGAACAGATGTACTTCTCAAAAATCATCCACTGTAAGATTATAATTTAGCTATTATTCCTTTTTTATGTTGTTTTTCATTTTATTTTTAAAAAAGTAAAAGTCACCAAGACTGGAGTAGATCTAGAAGGGCAAAAGTGAACACAGTAAATTAGGAGTCTAGTGTGGAATTCCAGGTGAATGACAATATGGACTTAGACTAGAAAGGGTGAGGTTCTATTCAACTCTAGATGCATTTCCAATTTAGAGCTAACAGGACTTGCTGTTGAATTGATTTTGAGGACAGAGAGGAAAATAGGGATCAAGGATGGGGTTAAAGGAATTATATTTACCAAGATAGGGGAGACTGTGGGAGGATGAAGTTTAGGATCACAGGAGAAATCAAGAGTTTTGCTTTGGATATGTAAAACTTGAGATTTTTATTGGACATCAGTGTGGGAATGCTAAACAGGCAGTGAAGTTAGAGCCGTAAATTTGGACATGTTGAATAGAGATTTGCTGAAGCCAAGACAGTGGATTAAAGAAAAAAATGGGCTCAAAAACTGAAGAGCTATAATATTTAGAAATTAAGAAGTAGGAAGAATTCAGAAAAGGAAATTGAAAAAGAATGGCCAATGAGATAGAGAAAAACAAAGACTGTGTGCTACATAAGCAGCCCGAAATATGAAATGCCTGAAGAAGGAAGGGATGATTATCTTTGTCATATTGCTGAGACATAACATAAGATGAGAATGGAGAATCGACAATTCGGCATATCAGCATGGAACAGGCAGGTCATGAGAGGGGCTAATTGTGTGGGACACTTGATATTGAGATTATGGAGGGAGGTTTAGTTACTGGTAAAGAAAAGGTTGAAGCTGAGGTGAGATGATAGAAAAGACTTTCTCAGAGGTCAAGTAGCTGAGAGGCTGGGGTATTAGATGCTTGTCTACCACATGCAAAAAGTCCCAAAGGTTAATAACAAGAGTAGTGGTAAAGAGAAGAAGAGTCAGGTGCTAAAATATTCAGTGAATAAAGGGGTTGGGAGATCCAGAATACCTAGAGCAAGGGAGTCGTGAGTAATATAGCCTGATGACATGTGTTTCACTTTATGTGTTTTGTTGTTTTGTGGGTTTCCAGGAGATTTAGAAGCTAAAGAAAGAGGACAAATGATTTGGAAGCAAAGATAAGAAGGAAGAAGGGTATGTTATCTACGTCACTTCGAGCTCTGTCACATGAGGAATAATAGAGGAAAAGCAGGGCATTGCCCCTAGAGGGAGGTGCTAGCATCTCTGCCACTCCTCAGTTTGTGAACTTTCTATGCCTTATTTCATCATCTTCTCAATGAGCACATCAATATCCAATTCATATTGTTTTGTGAGGCTGAATTGAGATAATGTACATAGAAGTCTTATCTTATTTTGAACACTGAAAATTTGGTAAAACTTTCCATTAAGTGTTAAATATCAACACATTTCGTAAACATGATATTTAAATATATGTTCTTTCTAAAAAGGTTTCCAGAGCATAAAATTTGTAATAAGGTGTGAATGTGTGATCTTTTATGTAGCTATCATTAATATTTTTCATAATTTCTGTTTTGATTTTTTTTTATGAGACAGAGTCTGGGTCTGTCACCCAGGCTGGAGTGCAGGGGTGCAATCTCAGCTCCCTGCAACCTCTGCCTCTGCAGCTCAAGTGATCCTCCTGCCTAAGCCTCTTGAGTAGATGGGAACACAGGTGTGCACAACAACCTCTGACTAATTTTTTTTATTTATTTTTATTTTTTTCTGTAGAGATGGGGTCTCGCCATGTTTCCCAGGCTGGTCTCAAACTCCTAGATTCAAGCGATCCACCTGCCTTGGCCTCCCAAAGTGCTGGCATTATAGGCATGAGGCACCATGCCAGGCCTGTTTTGAAATTTCATACATATTTATAAAACATATTTTCAGGATGAGAGAATATACGAAGAAGTTACATAGCATTGTGTATCTGTATAGAATAAAAATGATCTAAATCAATGTCATCAGACCATGGCTTTATAGACACCATCTTCTAGTCAAATCACTCATCTGTTTTTACCCAGTACTCATACTGTGGGAAAAGTGTAGGGGCACAGAACAGTGAACACTTTCGGGAATGTTGGAATCATTCTGTATTAGAATTTTATTCTTATAAAAAATGTTGGTGAATCAGTCTGGATTAGGTCATGGAAACAACACACCATCAATCATCACGGAAAGAAGGTGTTTCATGTGGGAATTTTAAGAATATAGGACAAACAGGATGTGGGAGAGATGGGGTTTCAAGGTCTGATAAGGGAATATTTGGTGGGATAAAGAAATAGTGACGAAGCACTTCAGCCTGAAGAGACTTCTTAGAAACCTATCAGGCCCATATTTCCTTCTCCCAAAAGGCAAAAATAGTACTTAAGTTATCCTCACCAGGAGATTTGGCTACAGAAATGAATAACCCAATTTTTAATCTATTCAGCTAGTCTCACCACTGCTACCCAAAGAGCTACCTGAGAGTCTTGGAGACACAACTGAACACCAATGATAATCTCTTAGATTATAGCTGGGGATATTACCAAAGATGTGATTTACCCAGAAGGATTAACTCTAGTGAAGCAGCTAGATCAGGAAGGTTACTGGGGTCCGAGTTTGGACTATGCCCTGCTTGGAATGAGAATATGGTCAGAAATCTTGTACTGTTAATAGAATGACTGCTCCACTGGCCAAACCATCAGAGCACAGCAGAAGTCCCAAACTCCCTTGCTCATGTGGTCCTAGACAACTACATTGTTTTTGACTGTCTTCTTGCTGTACAGGGTGATGTTTGTGCTGTTGCTAACATTTGCTGCTGCACCTGGGTAAATACATCTAGTTAGATTGAATTGGACACATCTAAGATCCTAAAGTTAGCTAAATCTCTGAATGGGACACCTTCAAAAAGCCTCCTGGCTGGACTTCCTGGCTTGAATTTACAATTTCCAGATATTTTCAGCTGGCTTTTGTCTCTAGTCTAGGATACCTTCTGTGTTCCATCCTACAGATCTTAATGATCCTTCTATTTGGGCTAATCATTTGGGTACTCTTTTGAATTGTTCTAGCCTGTTTTTTTTGTTTGTTTGTTTTGTTTTGTTTGGAGATGGAGTTTCACACTTGTTGCCCAGGCTGGAGTGCAATGGTGGGATCTCGGCTCACTGCAACCTCCACCTCCTTGGTTCAAGCGATTCTCCTGCCTCAGCCTCCCGAGTAGCTGGGATTACAGGCACGCACCACCACACCCGGCTAGTTTTGTATTTTTAGTAGAGATGCATTTTCTTCATGTTGCTCAGGCTGGTCTCAAACTCCTGACCTCAGGTGATCCGCCCACTTCGGCCTCCCAGTGTGCTGAGATTACAGGTGTGAGCCACTGCGCCCAGCTCTTCTAGCCTGTTTTAACAGATATCTGCAAGAGGCTTGGATCATGCTGACCTAACCCAGGAAATTTTAAATTTACTCCAGACAGGAACCAGAATCAACATAACCTACGAGACTTTGATTAGAATCTAACAGGTACCTGAGTGCCTTTTGTAAGTAAATGGCTCTAGTTGCTCAATTGGCCACTGCTCTGCCACCAGGATCCCTAGAAGAGACCAGATAAACCTGAAGCACGTAGCTAATCACTTCCATGCCGTGATGGAATGCAGTGCTGTCTGCCAACAAGTTTGAGCCAGTCTTTCAAGATGCATCCTGAGTGGCTAACTGGGCCTGCATTTCAAGTTGAGCCAAGGGACCATTTGCTAACGAGGGGACACACACATGTTCTGAGTTCACCCAAAACACATACCTTATTATTTTGGGGCTTTTCAGCCCACCTGCCTCTGCTAATCAGGGCTCAGCTGTATTGACCCATTAGAACTCAGCTGGGTTGACCAATCAGAACTAAGTGAGTTTGGAGTTTTAATTCTCAATTGAATGAACAGACCTGATTGGGAACCTGCGTGGGAACTTTGGCTATTAAACCTGAGCATTCTTTCTGTTCTCTGGAAGAAATAATGTTTAAGTTGCTAACACTTTATGCATTTTCCTAAAATTGAATCAAACAACTCCTTTTGAAACATAACCCTGATATCAGGGAAGTCGTACAACACCGTGCTAAATAATTTTATACCTCTAACCAAGGTCTGTGCCCTAATCAGCAGGAAGTGCCAGAGTGTCTGTCACCCATTCTCCCTCAAGATTGAGAAATGAACAATGAAAAAAGGGGGATTTGAAAATGCAGAACCAGCCCAATGTGGTTCAAGTTTGTGTAATAAAATAATGCGTTGTTTTACTGTTGCCACGGTCTCCTGGTTTCAAGTTATGTTACCTGAGCATGCCCAGACACACTCTGCATGCAACCACGGTGGAACCTAAGTACTTGGACCAAGGAGCAGGGCTGATTTAAGAAGGAGACACCTCAGGGCTTAATCTGTGATCTGATCAGATCCAGCCCTGACATCACCTCATGGCACGATGCAGTCAGATCTTACCTCATTACCCTCTGTCTATAAAACCTGCCCCAACCCCCAGATCTGAGAGACAAATTTTTAGATATGCTTTCCCCCATCTCCTTCCTAGTTGAATAAAAATAAACCTTTCCCTCTACAAAACCCTTGTGCTTCCTTGTTTGGCTTTCCATTGCAATCAGGCAAACGGCCTGCATTGCTTTAGGTAACTGACACTCCCAAGACTCAAGGAGCTGCCGCGCAGCACTATTTTGAAAGCCCAGCCCCCATCAGACTGTATCTTGCTCTGGGGCCCAACAGCCCCAGCATCTCCACTTCCCTGGAGCCCTGCGGACATCTCTTCATTTCCACCCAGAGGGCTGCAACTTTGTCCCGTGGGCTGAATCCAGTGGTGCAGTAAGGAACAGGCAGTGCACCACACCAGGGAGACTGCCCCCAGGACAAAGGGAGCCCAAATGCACACTCCTCAGTTTCTGAAAGCCACTTGCCCGGGGCCACTGCCACCGACAGCAACCCTCTCAACTTTCCACCCGAAGCAGGGCCACCAAGCATCTGCATGTGCCTCCCATGGTCCTGGAGCTGGTCTGCCCAGACGCAGTTCTGTGTCCTGAGGACAGGCTCTCACACCACCCGTCACGCAAACATGGTGCCCAGGGCCTGGGGATCATGCTGCCTCAACTGTAGCTGCGGGCGTGTGCCCACAACATCAGGAAGTGTGACAGCAGGCCCAGGTCACCTGCCACTGGCACCCAAGCATGCCATCCAGGAGCTTGGTGATTGTTCGGCCACACTCGCCATAGCCTGCACCCTTGCACGCCATTGGAGGGCCTAAGGACGGGAAAGCAACATGCCTCCCTGGAGAGAGCTTGATTCTGTTCTGGCATATGTTAGAGAAAAGTACTAAACCAAGTCAGATGGTTTGGAATGTGGTCTAATTTTTTATTTTTTTTTAGACGGAGTCTCGCTCTGTCGCCCAGGCTGGAGTACAGTGGCGCGATCTCGGCTCACTGCAAGCTCCGCCTCCTAGGTTCACGCCATTCTCCTGCCTCAGCCTCCAGAGTAGCTGGGACTACAGGCGCCCGCCACAACGCCCGGCTAATTTTTTGTATTTTTAGTAGAGACAGGGTTTCACCGTGTTAACCAGGATGCTCTCCATCTCCTGACCTCATGATCCGTCCTCCTCGGTCTCCCAAAGTGCTGGGATTACAGGCGTGAGCCACAGCGCCTGGCCAGAATATGGTCTAAATATTAATACTACCAAACTGGGGAGGAAGTAACTTAATTTTGCTGATTTTTCATTTTCTTATACTTTATTGGTTTACAAAGAAACCATTATTTGCTTTTAATGGCAGAGTTATTCTTTTCTACTGTGAAGTTACTTCAACTCATAAAAATGTATTTTATTTACACCTTTGTAGCAATGGAGCTTGGAAGAAAATATAAAGCATATCTACATGAACATTTCATCTAGTATTCTGTGTTCTCACCTGGTCTTCTATAAAGTTTCAGTTCAAGTGAAGAAACAGTGCTTGGCAGCACCATGCTCTATTGTGAAAGGAGGCATTTGCCGTGTGATTGGATCACAGGTAGTTCAAGGTAACAAAAGGCCTCAAAGCAATTAGGAAAGACAGGATTATTAATGTGGATTTAATGGCATTAGCTGCTTCCTTGCTTTTTTCTCACTGTGTTATTTTGAATAACCGCATAGTTTTTTCAAGATTGTAATATATATAGTCTAATCCATATGATTTTTATACATGTGAGTAACACAATGCAGGTATATAAAACTCTGACCAATGTTTCTGTAAAACAGAGTTCTGCAAACTATGGCTTATGGGTGCCATCCTGTTATTGAAAGTAAAAATTGATTGGAACATAGCCACACCTATTGGTTTATGTATTTTCTATGGCTGTGTTTGCACTACATGCAGAGCTGAGTAATTCAGACAGAGACTGTATGACCTGCAAAGCCATAAATCGTTACTATCTGGTATTTTACAGAAAAGATTACCAGCCATTGCCATAAAGAGTAAAACCTTATTTTCTGATAAAAATAACTGCAAAAAAGAAAATCAGAAATAAGAAGCCTAGTGAAATACATTGTATTTTCAGTTCAAAAATAATTTTTAATTGCTATAAGAAACATCAACCACTTTCCTAGGACTTTTCACACATAAGACAAAGTCTACATATACTAGGTAAACACAAGAGCATTATTAAATGAGTCAAAAATGTCAAAAAAAATCCCATATTCTCTTCTGGGGAAACTCAGAAAGTTTTCAAGTATGAGTGTTAAGAGTTAGAAAAGACTATCATAAGCTTTAACATTCTAAATAATAAGTAATTGAATTATTTCAGTTTAGTTACACAGCATCTTTTAAAGTCCATCTTTGCAAATTATACGTTGCTATAAATACATTGTGTATTTGGCATTATGTGAATTTGTTTAATCCAGTGTCAATTGTCTAATGGTCTAAAGTGTCCCATTGAAGTTATAATCTGGATGAACTGAACAATAAGAGAAGTTTTCTTCATTAGCCCAATTGTTTATCACTCAATTCCTACTCCTGCCCATGGTTTCTTCCACCTTCCTCTGGAGAACATAAAGAGATTCTAGATCTCTGTATAAGGTGGTTTGCTTTAGCTTGAAATCATCAGTGAGGATTATACATGGGCAATGTCCAGAAATCACATTATTGCTCATAGACCGTGTAGTCTTGATCTAACGGATAACTGTACATTGTCTTCACTAAGAAGCTAGGGTGGTTGTCCTTGATATTGGGACATTGTAGACTTGGCCAGACCAATGCCCAAATATTTCCCAAGACTTTTACCTAAGACTCTGCTCAGTATCCATTTGTCTACTGCTGGTCATCTGGAAGAATAAACTTCTCCTGAGTGGTACCAGCTTATGAGATTTCCTGAGTTGATACAGAGGTAAATGCATCTTTGTTGCACAATTTACAGTCTTTTTTTTTTTTTAAGAAAAAACATGATTTTGATCATTGTACCACATGCCTTTATAAACTTTTGGTGTTATGATGCAAGATCTAATTATTATCAAATGTAGTGACGCTTGTTCCAAATTCTAAAATTGTTTCAATTATGCCTTGGTTAGGGGTGACAGGAAGGCTCTGGTCTTTAGCTTATGGTACATGCCTTTCGTCGTCTCATTTTCGTCTGGAGATCCTGTATCTCATTTTTCATTATTCTGCTTTCTTTTTGAAATCCCTCTTTTAGTAGTTGCTCCTGTTCCTAAAAAGGGACAAACGAAGGCTGAGTAAAGTGTAGCATCAGGCAAATTGAAACATTCTATCTGGTTTCCACATTAAATGATTTGTTATTTAATTTTCTCTGAGTCACGCAAGACGTAAATGTCATACTTTGGCCTATCATTGACCAAAGCACAGCCATGTTCCTTACCCTATTATGTATATGACATAACACCGAAATAAGCAAAGTATCCTCAAAATCTCATAAGGTGTATGAATCATGGATTAGGAAATTTGGTCTAAGCTGCCACACCTTGGTGTCAGGGGTAGCAGAAGACAGGTAAGAAATCTGAGTGCCAGACTGACCATACTGAGTTTCTGCACATAGCTCACAACTCAAAACAAACTGGGAGCAGGACATTAAAAATAATCAGAATTAGCAGAGTATCACACAGGTGTGAGGGTTAGGAGCCTTTCTGCTCATAAAGGTTTCTTAAATCTAATTTCATAGTAGGTGTCACAGAAACAAATAATCATTGTGGATTCCGCTAAGTGATGAAGACAGCTCTGATATATTTACTAGCTGTGTGAACTTAATTATTTATTCTTTTTGGAACCTTTGTTTCTTCTTCTAAGTAATAAGGATATAGTTCTTGCTACATATGTTATTAAGCAAGAGATACAGATTTTTTTTTTTGGAGTCTCGCTCTGTTGCCCAGGCTGGAGTGCAGTGGTGCGATCTCAGCTCACTGCAAGCTCTGCCTCCTGGGTTCACTCCATTCTCCTGCCTCAGCTTCCTGAGTAGCTGGGACTACAGGTGCCCGCCACCACATCTAGCTAAATTTTTTGTATTTTTAGTAGTGACGGGATTTCACCGTGTTAGCCAGGATGGCCTCAATCTCCTGACCTCGTGATCCGCCCGCCTTGGCCTCCCAGAGTGCTGGGATTACAGGCGTGAGCCACAATGCCCCACCGAGATACAGATATTTTAATGATGCCTAGCAGATAATAGCTTCCTTGAAATGAAGGATATATTGATAAAGGACTGAATGTTACACAACTGCAAATAAAAAACTTTCAGTGACCAGACTTGGCAGTAGCCAGTCAGGCTGGACAGACAGGAATTGAAAAGTACAAGTAAGCAAGCAGGGTCCTTACCCTGGGCTTCATGTTCTCTCTGCCACACTAAGTTTGCGATCAGGGAGAATGGAGAGAAAACAGAAAAACAGAAACCTCAAGGTGATGCAATTAGATACCTGAAGTTTAAGAGCGAGGGTCCTCTCTTGCTCTTTCAGCAACTGGACCCTGTCGTTCTCCATCTTCTCAGTCAGTTGTTTCAAGTGTTCCTGATAACTCCTCTCCTTCTGTTCCATCATCTGCTCATTCTTTCTTTGCATTTCCTGCAACATTTTTGCTGAAGCCTGTGCAGACTCAGCTTTCACACGTTCCACTGAGGAGGAAAAGGCAGAAGAAAAATTTGTGTGGGGTTATCTTGTTGCCTCATTCTTCCTTATACACTTACCTGTCGTTGTTGCTGACTGCATATGCCCTACTCAGAGATGACCTCGGCAAGTAAGACACACCTTTGTGGATCTTGCTCTAGTTAAAGGGTCCCATGTTTATCCAGTCAAGTTATTTCAATTTTTGGAGCTTTTGAGGCCATCTAATCTCTTAACTCACTCCTCACCTTCAATCTCCTTTTCTTTTTCTGTGAGAGTCTGGTCTGTCTGGAGAATTGCATCAGTCATAGACTCCTTGGATTTCAAGTATGTCTGCAGAATCTCTTCAGCCTTAGGACCCAGAGAACACAGAGTGAGAAGTAGGAAATGGCTGTAAGCAGGTGTTCCTGTTTGTCTTCCTGCCATCCTTTCTCCTCTGGGAATTCTTTCTCTTGGCCCTATTGTCCTTGGTGGTCAAATTCCCTGTCGGAGCGACAGACACATGCTCCTGGCAAGCCGATCAGAACATCCTACTTAGCAGTCATTTTTAGTAGGCTAATATAGATACTGGGAAAAGGAGAGTCTCTGTCCTGTTTAGATTAAGGGCTCTAAGTTTGGAACTGTTAATGCTGTGGTCCCATATGGGCTGAGCCTGCTGGGGAATGAAGCCATCATTGAGAAAGCAAATATCAGAGTGACTCAGATAGAGGGATGGTGGGAGGGAGAAAACTGTGGGGATGGGGGAACACTGGACAGAGAGCCAGTTCATGATGTTACTTGAAACCTTAGACCCACCTGACCTGTAAAGCCAGTTTGCAGCCTAAATCAATGAATTACATTTTTGTTTAAGCAGCCATCATTGGGTTCCTGTCTCTTGCAACAGGAAAAGCCCAGCTGTAATGATGACAATAATAACTTTGTGCTTCATCTGCTAATTGAATTTATAACTTAATAGTTAATTGACTGCACTCTCTTTGATGAGCACCTAGGACATATCTGGTATAACAGCCTGTTTGCATATGTTATTGAATAAAAGCATGAATGTTATGCAAACAAAAAAGCACATCTGTATGCAGTGAAGCTTGGTCACCTTGGTGTTTGTAGGAGGCAGGTCAGCAGCTTTCCATAATTGACAGATAAATCTTGGTTACCTGTATCCCCTTCCTCGGTTCCTCATAGTACTTTTTCTTCAGGTCTTGTAGCTTCTGAACAAAGAGACGATAGCCCCCTGGTTTCGAATAAATTCCCGCCTTCACTTCTTCTTCTAGAGGACTGAAAATGACCTGAAGTAAAGCTGAGCAACGATCTGATGATGCTTCCTGATTCTGTTTACAAAAGTCATCCCGCTTTTTTTCTAGCTGGGCCTTTAATGTAAAAATAGGAAGTAAAAAGAGTAACAGGGAAAGGATGTTAGCTTGACCTCAGAATTTTGGGAACGATTTCTGAAAATAGAAGTCAATGATGCTGGAGAAACTGACAGCCTCCTCACCAGGACCACACTCTTCCTTCTGACCCCACTTTCTGCTGAAGTCGCTTTCTTTTTGGAGGTGAGGTTCAGGGCTGAGATTGATAGCTTTATGTCAACTGTTAGAGGAAAACTCTGTTTTTGCATATTGGACTAATGATTTCATATGGAATAAATGTGGCTGAACGGAAGCCTGCTCAAGATAAGTAGGATGAAAATTTTCTTTGTGTTTGGCTAGAATATCAAATCAGTCTGAGAAGAGTGGGCAGGTAATTTTATTAGAAGCTCTGGTTGTCAGTTGTATGCATAAGTAAAGGGAAAATTATTCAGGAAAAAATGTTTTAGAACTTTGGGTCTGTAATAATACAGTTGGTCCTTCTGACTGATGTGATCACAAATCTGTTGTTTTCACCATTATGGAAGCTAGGAGGAATTACTTCCGTCAAAATAAATAATAGTTTTCTTTCCTTGTGGTACTTTAGCTTCTATGACCCTAAACCGTATACATTTGAGACAAAAATTACCGCTAACTCCTTTTGAAATAGATGGTCCACATCTTTGAAGGAACTCCTGATGAAGACTTCAATGGCCTCTCTCTCACTGTCCCTGTGCAGGTCCAGCAGCTCCTGGAGGGTTTCTGTGGGCAGCTGCACCTTCTGGCCCATCTGCTGTTCATAGTGGGCAATAGCCTTTTGCACTGCAGCTGAGTTCTCTATCTGGGCCAAGGCCAGGACTGCGTTCTCCATGCACGGCAGATCCCCACTGCTGATGGCATTGACGTAGGTCAGCACCAGGCTCTCTAGACCTGCATATGAAGAACAAATGATAATGTTTCTGGTGGTAAAGAAAGTCTCTATTCCATGTAATTCTGAGCATGTCAAATACCACCTATTTTCCTCACAGCATCAATGTCCTCAGCATCACTTGGAAGCTTGCTGGAAATAGACTCTCAGACCCTGTCCGAGATCTATTGAATTAGACTTTTGTGTTTGGTAAGATCCTCAGAAGATATGTATGCATACCAACATTTGAGAGTTCTTGTACTAGATTACATAGACTTGTGTTAATTGAATGTTTGCATCCATTTTAACCCCAACCAACATTAGGACAGGAACCATATCTATTTCATTTATATCTGTATCTTCAGTCTATTCATAGTAAGCATTTGATCAATATGTATGAAACAAATGACACTATTCCAATAAAAAAGAGTCATCCATTTAGTTTATTTTATTGCAGTATTGTTCAAAAGCGCTTTCTGTAATGCTGGGAATGTTGTATATGTGCTTTTCAGTGTGCTAGTCACTAAGTACGTGTAAATATTAGTCCTTGAAATACAGGCATGTGAATTGACTTTTAAATTTTCCCTATTTAAATTATTTACATTTATGTTTACATAGACACACTTGTCTAGGGGCTACTCTATTGCATAGTGCAGGTCCAGTTCACTAGGGCAATTTCAAGCAATAGAACTTTTTTCCTTTGGCCTTTTCCTAGACTGGAAATGTGACTAACAATATATGTTAGAAACATTGGTGCCATCTAGAATTTAACACAAATATAGCAGTAGATTGGGATTTTTCAATGCTGAAACTAGGTGGAAGTTATTCTATGCTCCTCTAGTCTTAAACAATGAGCAGAAGTACTAGGAAGGGGACTTACGAGGCCCGTTGACCTGGATGCCTCCTGAAAGAGTTTTAGTTTTGGAATTACTAAAGATGTAGGAACAGAAGTCTGCTACTTGTTGCACAAATTCGGGGTCCAGCTCTTCATCTTGTAGTTTCTCGAGCTGGGCAAGCTTCCTGCGGTGAACGGGCCGATCAAAGACAAAGCATTTTTTCTTTGGGAAGAATTTCCGGATACAGAGTCTGGGCAGGTTAAAAGTTTCATCTTTTTGACTGGTACCTAGAAAAACATTTAAAAAATTATAAAATTGCCTAATATAAGTGTTTCTGTAAAGGGCCAAATAGTAAATATTTTAGGCTCTTCAGGCTGGATGGTCTCTTTTCCAAGTATTCAACTCTGTTATTGAAGCATGACAACAGCTTTAGACAATATGTAAATGAATGGGCATAGCATTATTCCAAAAAAACCTTATTTACAAAGACAGCTGGCAGGCAGGATTTGCCATGATTTGTCTTGGGCTGTAGTTTGCCAATGCTTGGACTAGCACACGGTTCATGTTTTAGTCTATGTTCTTTAAATAAATATCCATTGTACTCCATACTCTATGGCTAAGTAGAAGATCACAAACCCTAGGCAGGGAGATAAAATTAACCTAATCACAGCATACACAAAGGTGAAAGAACAAGAAACTTGTTCTAGAACAATGACAAATGTAATTTAAAATAACATCTATTAATTTGGATATTCAGCAAGTATTAATTTCTAGGAATAGCCAGCTGAAGACATAGAAAACTGCAAATGCTGGAAAACTAGCAATAGTAAACTGAAAAATGATAATTTCTTGTGTTTTCTCATCCTCATTTATCAGTTGAAGCTCTCTGTTACCTTTCTTCAGCTTCAGGGAGTATGTCAGGTACTCATCTGGTGTGAGGGGTTGTCCATCTGCTTCCAAGTCCAGGGAGAAATCTCTCAGTGTCCACACAAAGTCTGGGAAGAAGCTCACAAAGTCAGCTGAATCCTCAACCTCATTCTCATTCTCATCAGGTGAGGATTTTGATCGGATTCTATGTGTCAGCTCTGTCACATAGCTGAGTAGCTAACTAAGGAAATGTGACAAAATGAACAGGGACCTCATCCCATGTTAGTTCAACACATACCCAAACCTTCCATTTTCCTTTGCTCCTAACCTAAGTGTCAGTGTCAGTTCTAAAGTGGATACATGGGATCTCTCCTCTGTACTTGCATTATTTTTTGTTTTCTCCTTTTGAGCTTGATTCATCAGGATTCACAGTCAGGCAGCTGGTGTATGAATACAGGTGTCCCCTCTGACCTTGGTGCTGTTCTGGGTCACAAAAGGATACTACAGTTGGTCCATAGCCTGCTGGTTGATGGTTCCTATGCTATTGTACACGAAGGTGCTGCTCAGGAGGACGGCCAGGGCGAAGATCCAGGAGTCATTCTGGTTGTCACCCTGGAAGTCAAGACACACTGGAGTCAGGAGCAAGTTTCATCATCGCAGCACTTTTCAGAGTAACAGTAGTAAAACTATGTTCATATGTTAGAGGGTTTTTTTTTCTTTTCTTTTTTTTTTTTTTTTTTAACACTAATGACCTATTAAAGGAAGACAAATACAAAAATTATTCTCAGTAGGATGTGGCTTTTGGGTAGTTTTTCGACGAGTGTTTTTGGGTTACCATGATTCTTACTAGGTCTTCTAATGATCATCAACAGATAATTGTAAAATTAAAATTCAAGGTTGGTGGGCATTTTAAGGCCTGAGTACAATGTAAATTTAAAATTTTCTCTTCTTTTTTTCAATAACAGAATTCACATATAAGATTGGTACTATTAGTTGCTATTTTATTGAATAATTAATATACACCTGTAATGTATTATCTTATTAAATATTCAAAATAATACTATATGGCCAACATAGGTCTTTTCCATACATTTTAAAGATTAGAATGCTGAGGCGAAAATAAGTCAATTTTCTCAGGCTACTGAATTAGTGACAGAATTTAAATTTAAATACAAAGTCACATGGCTTTAGCACCCAAATTCTTAACTAAAGTTCTGTGCAGGATAAGACTTATGACACTGGGATTATTTGTGCTCCCTTTATGCATCTGTGTTAACCCACACATATTACAGCCTGTAGTTAATAGTTAATAAACAATTAACCGCTGCATAAAATATTCAGAGAGGAGGGGCTTACTCCACAACTGGATCCTTGAGTCTCACCTTCTCTACATCTCCCAGACCCTCGGTGTCCAGCAGAACTAGGATGTGGCCTGGCTTCTTGGGGTGGGGCACACACCACATCCAGATTCCTTTAGTGTGAGACTGCACCGTGGAGCCCAGAGAGAAGCCTGCAAGGGAGAGAGGAGACCAGCGATGGGGATTTAGTAACAGGCAGTTCTGGCAATTGAAGGAAAAAGTAGTATATTTAAGGTTAAGAGAGAGAACTGAAACAACAATCAGTATTCACCTTACGTACTTACAATCAAAGAAATAGGAAATTTGAATATCCAATGCATGGAAACATTCAGGAGGCTTTCATGATAAAAATAATCAACAAAGTAGAAATAGAAAGACAGCACCTCAACATAATAAATGCCATGTATTAAAAACCCACAGCTAACTTCACATTTAATGATGAAACGTCATAGCTTTTCCTATAACATCATGAACAAGAAAAGGATGCCTACTTTTGTCAATTGCATTCCACAGAACACTGCAAGTCCTATCCAGAGTAATTAGACAAGAGAAGCATAAAGGAGGCATCCTAATTGGTAATGAAAAAGTAAAATTATCTCTGTCTGCTGATGATAGTATCTAATTTGTAGAAAACATTAACTATCCCACAAAAAACTATTAGAACTATTAAAACAATTCATCAAAGTTGCAGCATGCAAAGTCAATATGGAGAAATCAGTTGCTAGTGTAAAAAATAGAAAAGGAAATTTTGGAAACAATCCAATTTAACAGCATCAAAAGAATAAACTACTTAGGAATCAGCTTAACCAAGCAGGTGGAAGACTTGTAGAGTGAAAACTTCAAACACCCTTTAAAGAAATTATAGATGACATAAGTTATTAGAAAGACATCCTGTGTTTATGGATTGGAAGACTTAATATTCTTAAGATGTCACTACTACCCAAAGTGATGTACAGGTTTGATATAATCCCTACCAACATTCCAATTACTTTGTATAAATAGAAAAATCCACCATAAATTTCATATGAAATTTCCAGAGATCCCCTAATTATAAAAATAAAAAGGAAGAGCAAAGTTGGAGTCTCACAGTTTCTGAGTTGTGAAACGTATTACAAAACCATGTGTGGTACTGGTATAAAGACTGACATATAAACCAATAGAATAGAAAAGACAGCCCATGAATAAACTCTGATATATATGGTCAAATGATTTCCAGTATGGGTGTCAAGATCATTTAATGAAGAAAGGAGAGTCTCTTTAACAAATGATGTTGAGGAAATGATATATCTCCTTAAAAAGTTGGGCTATTACCTTATAACTTACAAATATGAACTCAAAATGGATCAAAGAACCAAACATTAGAGTTGAAACTATAAAAGTTGTAGAAGAAAATAAAGGGTAAAAGTTTTATAATATTGGATTTGGAAATTATTTTTTGAATAAGAAACCAAAACTATAGACAATAAAAGAAAAAATAGATTAGTGGGACTTCAGCAAAATTTAAAACTTTTGTGTATTAACGGACACTATCAACAGAGTTAAAAAAGGCAACACACGGAATGTAAGAAAATGGTTTCTAAACATGTATATGATAAGGGATTGATATCTAGAAAATATAAAAAAATTTACAAAGCAACAGAAATAAACAACCAGATTAATAAATGAACAATGGACTTGAATAGACATTCTCCCAAAGAAGATATACAAGTGGCCAATAAGCACGTGAAAAGATGCTCAACATCACTAGTCATTACGGAAATCAAAATCAAAACCACAACGAGATACTACTTAACTTCCATTCGTATGGCCACTATAAAAAAAAAAAACCACTGAAAATAAAAAATGTTGGTGAGGATGTAGAGAAATTAGAACCCTTGTGCATTTCTGTTGAGAATGTAAAACGGTACAGTCACTGTGGAAAATGGTATAGTGATTTCTTAAAAAAAGTTAACATGCAATGACTGCATGAGCCAGCAATTCCCCTTCTGGGTATATTCCCAAAAGAAGTGAAAGCAGGGACTTGAACAGATATTCAGACACCCATGTTCCTATTAGCATTATTTATAATAGACAAAAGGTGGAAGAAATCCAAGTGTCCATTGACAGATGAAGAGATAAACAAATTAGTATACACGTACAATTACTAAGCCTTAAAAAGGAAGAGTTTTGACACATGCTAACACACTGATGAACCTTGAAGACATATGAATTGAAATAAGCCAGTCATAAAAGGACAAATATTGAATGATTCCACTTATATAAGGTTTCTGTAGTAGTCAAATTCATAGAGATAGAATGTAGAATGATGGCAGGCAATGGGTTTATGTGGAGCTTTTGTTTAGTTAATACAGTTTCTGTTAGGCAAGATGAAAGATTTCTGGATATGGATGGAGGTGACAGCTGTATAACAATGTGAATTTCATTAATGCTACAGAGCTGTACACTTAAAAATGGTTACGAGGTTAAATTTTATTTTTTTTACAACAACAAAAAATAATATCCACTACAGATTGAAACATTTTTTCAACCTTAAAGATCACTGTGAACTCTGTTATTGCATAAAAATTGTAATAAACATTGTATAGTTTATTATAGTTATTATTATGTACATTAATTATTTTTATTACTGTCTTACTCCTTTTAGGAGAGGCATAATTTGTGCTTTTGAAATGGAAACTAAGGTATCATGGGAATAATTAATGAATTGATTCTTATCCCCTAGAACAGCGTGAAGATAAGGAGCCCGACTGTGAATGGAAAGTTAGCTTTCAGTATTCATCCTCATCTCTTTCTCTCCTCACATCTTCATAATGGAGGCTGACTGTGTAGATGGACAGAAGGGACTTGGCAGAGCTTTGCTCATGCCACTCACCCTTTTTCTTTCCAGCCAGCTTGTTCATCAGGTAGGATTTGCCTGTGCGGTAGAGGCCCACAATTGCCACCACCACCATAGGCTGTGTAATGGCAGAAAGGATCTTCAGAGCTTCTGGATTCGCCATCAGTCGCCCATTAGTGTTCTCAATGAGGCACATTGGGCCTGTCATGTGGATCTCTGATGCCATGTCCAGGCTGTTCCCTTGTCTGCAAGAGAAGAGGTGAAATACATGAGAATTTCTAGTGTTTTGCAATTATAAGGGAGAATCATAAGATTCCCCAGTATGGCCAAAAGTTTTGTGTGTGACAGCAAAAGAGATGAGGCAAAATCTGTATCATTTGAGAAAGTTATGGAAGTATTGTCAAAGTAGCTCATTATGAAAAATGTTAGCATGACAGTGACTTATCAACACTCAACTACTCTCACGACCCAAATATTTCATTTAGTTTATTGTGGAAAACTTTCTTTTTGGATTCTTATTAGATATTTTCACTAGTCAATTAATGGAAGATAGAATAGGATTTAGAGGATTTATTTGCATCCTGGCTGTATGTAAGGAATTCAATATTGATTCACTTATTAATTCTCACAGTGAATAAACATCCAACACAGTGAATCAGTATTCATAGTTTGATGTTTACCCTTAGAAAAATTTCCAAAGATTTTTAAATGTGTTCCTTCCTCCATCTTCAAATGATTATGCTTATTTCACTGCAATGAGGATTGACAAAGCTTCTCACATTGCCATTCTGGAAGTGGTAACAATGTAACATACTTTTGCAAATTTTATAAAACTATACAACCATGTGAAACACATGGCTAGGGAACCTTCCAAGGGCTCCTAAGGGTCATGTCCAAGAGAAGGGCCCTGAAACTTAAGCTTCATTAGAGTCACGATAAGATAGCTTCTAAGTCACTGAGGGTATGAATGCAAAATTGCAAATACTGAATGTTTCCTCCAGATAATAAGGATTAAAAGATCAAGAGGCAGATAAAGAGAGCTACCTAGGAAGTTGTTCAAATAAAATATATTTCCAGCGATACAGCTTTAGGATTTCTGTTTTGTTCTGTTTTCCATTTGGTAGGGTAGGAGAAAGAGAAATAGAAAGAGGAGGAATAGTAGGAGTGGAGAGGAGGATAAGGGGCTGGGAATGTGTGTGTGTGTGTGTGTGTGTGTGTGTGTGTGTGTGTGTGAGAGAGAGAGAGAGAGAGAGAGAGAGAGAGAGAGGAGCTGTCAGACCAGAGGTGATGAATGAGGCTAGTGTCTTGACAAGGCATTCAGGGGAAGACTTTGCAGAAGGCAGGATCAAAGTAGTCTGAGTGCATGGAGAGGTTAAAGTAAGCAAAGATATTTTCTGTAGAGATGCATTACAGGAGAATTAAAGAGGAAACACTTTTGGCCCTGCTCTCTACTAAAAGAAGACAAAATTGGAAGCACTTCAGTGAAGCAGTGGGGTTGAATTTCACTTCTAAGGGACAGGGATCAGTGGGCACTAGGAAATTAGTGAGTCTGGACTATTTCTAAAGAAAGTAATCCATTCTGAAACAAAGTTCACAAGTGTAATAAAAAGTATACTGTTTTCATGAATCTTCATCTTTCAGGCTGAGTTTCAGTTTTTTCTTTGTCTTTAACCGTGTCAGTGGGCTGCTTACTCTGCTTCTCATTTGCTGTTCTTTCCTTCCATGAAAAGAACCCGTTTGTAACTCTTCCATTTCTTAGCTGCATAGAAGCAGGATTCAGTCCATCACTGACGATGGAAATGTAATCATATCCCTAGTCAACATAGATAATGTCAACAAAGAGAAAGACTATCCTAGTACATTTCAAATGCTCAGTTTAGCCCCTGTCTACTGGTGCCTAATTCAACACAAGCACTGTAGTGGCACTTAAGGCCATGCTGTCCCTGATAACACCAGGATTTCATCTGACCTGCGTCCCACTTCAGGCTCATCTGCAGCCTAATTTGGTTCTGATGATGTTTAAGAAAATGAACTGACCTTTATAAATTCCTTCCCATCCCTGCCACAACCTTATAGGTTCCATATCACTGAGCTGAGATCCTTTGGAGCTAGAGAGAAAGCTGCTTGATGAGAAGTAGTAAAAGTTCTTACCTGTTCTTTTTCTCCTTAGTTCACGAGCACTGGCTTCTAGCACTTCTGTGTCTCTCACTGGATCCCTGGACTAATATTTCACTGTTCCGAAGTTGTAGGGCTGGGATTTCCTCATTGATGAAATATTTAGAAGCTAAGCAGATTTGTAATGGATTTAGAGTAATATGAAACTGAAAGTACTTCGTTCAAATCACTGACTCCACTACCATAAATGGAATTAGTGGAGTGTGCCAGTGGGAGGGTTTAAAGATTTCTCAACCAGAAGCTTCAAATTTTTTTTGTTGTTGTTGGAAATCTTAGAGACCATTTGTTGTCTAACAAAATGCCCATTAGGTTTTGAATACAATGATACATGTCTCATGGATTGAGTCAATTTGAGAAACCTAGAATGAGGAGGCATCATGTTAATTTTCAGCTACAATTTCCTAAAATAATAGACACACTCTCAATGGAGCTGCCTATTCTTTGAGAGGTGCAGTACATAAGGAAAGGACATGTTTAACACACTCATGAACACCTAACCCCTGGCACTTAATGCCCAGCACACAGCCAGGAGGGGGCTCCATGTGTTGTACTCATGTTCTAGGCTCAGTACTGATGGCTTTACATGAATCGCACAACTGAAAACTCATAATATTTCCTCATGGTTTTATAGAAACTGAGCACAGAAAGACTTTATTAGTTGTCTAAAATCATAACACTGTAACTAATCTGAACCCAAGCACTCATGATCCCATACCCTCTTCTTGAACCACTTCACTATGCTGCTTATTTACTAAGTGAAAAATTGTAGAAATATTTTATTTATAGGTTTTTTATTTTTAAATTTATTATAGTGTGATTTTATTTTTATAGATTGTTTTCTAAGAGCTGTTTGTGTTTTATGTCTAATTCAGTAATGACTTCTAGCATACAGAATAAGTGGCATTATCTCTATTTTACAGCAAAAGCAAATAAAATAGTAAAAAGCCTGAGTGAACATTTCATTTAAAAATATATTTATAGTGATGTGGTTTCACTTTGTTGCTTAGGTTGGTCTTGAACTCCTTCCTTCAAATGATCCCCCTGCCTCGGCCTCCCAAATTGCTGGGATTATAGGCATGAGCCACCAGACCCAACCTTGTGTGAGCATTTCTTTTTTTTTCTTTTTCTTTTTCTTTTTTTTTTTTTTTTTTTTTGAGATGGAGTTTCACTCTTGTTGCCCAGGCTGGAGTGCAGTGGCACGATCTCGGCTCACTGCAACCTCCGCCTCCTGGGTTCAATCAATTCTCCTGCCTCAGCCTCCCAAGTAGCTGGGACTACAGGCATGTACCACTATCCTGGCTAATTTTGTATTTTTAGTAGAGATGGGGTTTCTCCATGGTGGTCAGGCTGGTCTCGAACTCCCGACCTCAGATGATCCACCCACCTTGGCCTCCCAAAGTGCTGGGATTACAAGTGTGAGCCACCAGGCCTGGCCAAGCATTTCTCACTTACACATTAAAATTATATATTAGATGTATATAAATTGCAGATACAGTGTCTTTTCTCATTCATACTTTGTAAAATAATTTTATCTAAACTCTTTCTATCATCCTTCCTTAACACTGTAGCTCCTTTATTATTAAAACTACTTTAAAGTCTTTTACTTTTTAGAGCATAACATTCTTACATCTGTCAAAATTATTTGAACCATTTAAAATCTCTGCAGATTGTCCTGGAAGTGTAGGGGTGGGTTGCCCCTCCACACCTGTGGGTGTTTCTCGTAAGGTGGAACGAGAGACTTAGGAAAGAAAAAGACACAGAGACAAAGTAGAGAGAAAGAAATAAGGGGAGCCGGGGAACCAGCGTTCAGCATATGGAGGATCCCGCCAGCCTCTGAGTTCCCTTAGTATTTATTGATCATTCGTGGGTGTTTCTCCGAGAGGGGGATGTGTCAGGGTCACAAGACAATTGTGGGGAGAGGGTCAGCAGACAAACACGTGAACAAAGGTCTTTGCATCATAGACAAGGTAAAGGATTAAGTGCTGTGCTTTTAGATACGCATACACATAAACATCTCAATGCTTTACAAAGCAGTATTGCTGCCCGCATGTCCCACCTCCAGCCTTAAGGTGGTTTTTCCCTATCTCAGTAGATGGAACATACAATCGGGTTTTATACCGAGACATTCCATTGCCCAGGGACGGGCAGGAGACAGATGCCTTCCTCTTGTCTCAACTGCAAGAGGCATGCCTTCCTCTTATACTAATCCTCCTCAGCACAGACCCTTTACGGGTGTCGGGCTGGGGGACGGTCAGGTCTTTCCCTTCCCACAAGGCCATATTTCAGACTATCACATGGGGGGAAACCTTGGACAATACCTGGCTTTCCTAGGCAGAGGTCCCTGAGGCCTTCCACAGTTTTTGTGTCCCTGGGTACTTGAGATTAGGGAGTGGTGATGACTCTTAAGGAGCGTGCTGCCTTCAAGCATCTGTTTAACAAAGCACATCTTGCACCGCCCTTAATCCATTTAACCCTGAGTTTGACACAGCACATGTTTCAGAGAGCACGGGGTTGGGGGTAAGGTCACAGAATCTCAAGGCAGAAGAATTTTTCTTAGTACATAACAAAATGGAGTCTCCCATGTCTACTTCTTTCTACACAGACACAGTGACAATCTGATCTCTCTTGCTTTTCCCCACAGGAAGCATACATCACAATGAAACATCTATTCAAGGAGAGCTCCTATAACTCCGGTAAGAATAACAAGAATCTGTGGCACTTGACCCTTGGGCCTCTTCATCCTCATTTTCAGTTCGGGTTGACAAAAGGTCCACTACTGGGGGCTATGGAAAGAAGGTGGGGCTGCCTCTTCTCTCACATTCTGAGCAGGGATGACATATCCTATCAGGAGTGCCAGTCCACCAGAATTTTTCATCCCCTCCAATAGTGAGTTGTAAAGACTAAATTTCTGGTGAGTGTGACCAGAAGTCAAGGGCTCCCAAACTTTCCCAGTCCCACTCATAGAGCAGAGGCTCCATAACTGCCCAACAGGTTCTCCTTGCCTGTTGCCTAGGTAGAGCTGATTTATCAAGACAGGGGAATTGCAGTAGAGAAAGCGTTTAATTCACGCAGAGCTGGCTGTATGGGATTCTCAAGTTTTATTATTACTCAAAAGATTCTCCCTGATAATGTGGGTATGGGGGTTTCTGAGGATAATTTGGTGGGTAGGAGGTTGGGGAGTGGGGAGTGCTGATTGGCTGGGTTAGGGATGAAATCACAGGGCATCAAAGTTGTCCTCTTGCATGAGTTGGTTCCTGGCTGGGGGCCACAAGACCAGATGAGCCAGTTTATTGACCTGGATGGCAATTGGAGAGGTCTGGAATCTTGTGGCCTCTAGCTGCATGACTCTCAGACCACAGTTTCTAATCTCATGGCTGATTTGTTAGTCTTGCAAAGTTAGTCTAGTTCTCAGGGAAGAAGGGGTTTTATTTTGGGAAAAGGCTGACTAAATTCCTTCCAATGTCAGTTTGGCCTATGCTCAGGGATGAACAAGGACAGCTTGGAGGTTAGAAGTAAGATAGAGTCAGGTCAGATCTCTTTCACATAATAATATTCTCAGTTATAATTTTTGCAAGAAGATTTCAGCTTTAGCTCAGGAATGGCAGAATGAGAAACCCTGGCCTGTCACCCTCACTCTGGTTCACTTGTAGGGTGGTTTTTCCGTGTTGGGAGGGGCAACTGGCAAAGAGCAGAAGCTACCACCTCTGCCCATTCGAAGGGGTCATGGCTCAGAGATATTTTCCAGAGAGAGAGAGGCAGTCCATAAAATCAGAGCTCCAAAGCTTTTCCCACAGAAACTGACTTTATTTGAAAAAGAGTGTGGGCCGGGGGGAGATTCAAGCCTGGAAACATAAATAAAATTTACTACTAGATGACTGACTTTACAAGAAATACTATTAATAAAAGAAGGTTTTCAGGCAGAAAGCAGATGACTCCAGATGGCAATACACATCCACATGGACAAACAAAGAGCACCAGTAAGATAATTATATAGTTATAAAAGACTGTATAAATGCATATTTCTTCTTATTTCTCTTTTTAACTAATTTTTAAAAGACAGTTGTATAAAGCAATATGTATATAATTGTGTTTCAGGCTCATAACATATAGAAACGTGATATACTTAAGAACAGGACAAGAGAGGACAGTAGGAGCGAAGCTGCATTGGAATAAAGAAATGACAGCAGATGTTAACTTGAACCCCCAGGAATACATTAAGAGAACCTGAAACTGTAAGTTAACATAACAAGCTCTATACATTTATACCTTCCCCTTCAGCTTCTTTAAAAGACATAAAATTATGTGAATTAATTATAACAATGTATTATATTGTTTGAACATATATTTAACGTATTTAATAGTATCAAAAAAGTGAGAAAACTAGTATTTTTAGATTTATAAGAGTAAAAATTTTCTCATTGGAATTGATTTAGCATAAATGTGATATACATTCTCATAAATTACATATATGATACACTCTAGAGAAATTAGTAAGAAAATATTAGAACTCAAATCAATAACCTAATCTTTTACCTTAAGACGCTGGTGAATGAAGAGCAAACTAAACCCAAAGCTAGCAGAAAGAAGAAAATAATAAAGAATTTTGGAAATAAAGAGTAGAAATTAATGAGATAGAGAATATAAGACAAAAGTAGAGAAAATCAATAAAATCAAAAGCTGTTCTTAGAAGAGATCAACAAAATTGGCAAAAAAAACCTGTTTTGTTAGACTGGCCAAAACAAAACAAAAAACCCAGCAGAAGAACAGGAGACTCAAATTACCAAAATCAAGAATGAAAAAGGGGACATTACTTCTGACCTTACAAAAATAAAAAAGATTTTAAGGTAATGCTATCAACAACTGTATGCCAACAAATTAAATTAGACATAATGGACAAATTCGTAGAAAGACTCAAACTACCAAAACTGCCCCAAATTGAAAGTGAAAGCAGGGACAAGCTCTTCATTTCTGGGAAATAGACTAGATATTAAGAAAACCACTCTTTTCTGTTTAGTGCAATGTGTTGGGGACAGTTTTTGTGCTTTTTGTTTTTATGTCAGACAGCTGGGAAAAAATATTTAGGGAATTTTTCATTTAGATGGTGGGGATGAGGAAGCATCATTTCCTCACTTTCGGTTCATTTGGTTTGCAGGCTATGGAATTCTTCTAGTAGATGGTCACAGATCAAATTAATTCACAGTTTAGTATTATTACATGATGCAATAATTATTGTATATATGCCTAGCAGTCTCAATATCAGCATCCAATGAACAGACTGAATTTCAGGTGTGGAATGTTTTGATAGTAAGCTTATTTTCACACAAAGAGCTCTATGCAGCTGCCCGTAGAGTGCATAGCAAGAGGGATTCAGTGATTCAGCTGGGGTCACTGAGTCTCATATCAAATGGATGCAAGACCTGCAAGCTAGAAAAACAACCATATGCATGTGTGTGTATAGAGAGCAAATACACTGCATGCACAGCACTGTACTAGGTGCTGAGAAGTGTATGAAGATGAATTAGACACAGGCACTGCCCTAAACTGGACTTACTCTAGTGGGTAAGATTGACTTGCACTCAAAGCATAAAAGCAAAGGCCTGGAGAGGAGTGGAAGAATGGAGCACTGAACACTGAAATATGTAGCCCAAGATTGCACATTGGAAGATTTCAAACTTTTATCCATGAAGAATTTCCTTTCATGTCACCCAAGATTGCACATTTTATGTAGCCCAAGATTGCACATTGGAAGATTTCAAACTTTTATCCGTGAAGAATTTCCTTTCATGTCACTTATGTGAAATGAGTTGAGTTTTAATTTTATAAAAAATGACCTGTCAGTAAAAAACAGACACGTAGACCAATGGAACAGAATAGAGAATTCAGAAATAAATTTACATATTTAAAGTCACCTTATTTTTGACACAAAGGCCAGCAATATACATTGGGGAATGTATGTTCATAATTGATGCTGGGAAATGTGGATATTAATGTGCTGTATGAAAAATCAATTCAAAATGGATTAAATATTTAAATGTAAGACCCCCAGCTTTAAAACTATCACAGAAAAACATAGGGAAAACACTTGTGGACATCAGTCCAGGCAACAATTTGATGGGTAAAACTTCAATAGCACACTCAACAAAAGCAAAAATAGACAAATGAGACTGTTAAACTAAAAGGTTTTTGTGCAGCAAAGGAAAAAACCAACAGAATGGAGAGTCATCTTATGTAATGGGATAATGTATTTGCAAGCTATTCAACTGACAAAGGACTAATATTCAGAATATACAAGAGTCTCAACTCAAAAACAAACAAACAATCTTATTTAAAAAATGGGCAAAATATATGAATAGACGTTTCTCAAAAGAAGACATACAAATGGCTAACAAGTATATAAAAAATGCTCAACATGTCTTAGATCTGGCAGAATGACCGAATAGGAACAGCTCTGGTCTGTAGCTCCCAGTGAGACCAACACAGAAGATGATTTCTGCATTTCCAACTGAGGTACCCTGTTCATCTCATTGGGACTGATTAGGCAGTGGGTACAGCCCATGGAGAAGCAGGGTGGGGGCGTTGACTTACCTGGGAAGTGCAAGGAGCCAGGGTCCTCCCTCTCTCAGCCAAGGGGAGCCCTGAAGGACTGTGCTATTCAGCCCAGATACTATGCTTTTCCCACGGTTTTTGCAATCCACAGACCAGGATATTCCCTCCTGTGCCTACACCACCAGGACCCTGGGTTTCAAGCACAAAACTGGGCAGCTGTTTGGGGAGACACCGAGCTAGCTGTAGGATTTTTTTTTTTGTACCCTAGTGGCACCTGGAACCCCAGCGAGACAGAACTGTTCACTCCCCTGGAAAGGAGGCTGAAGCCAGGGAGCCAAGTGGTCTTGCTCAATGGGTCCCACTCCCACACAGCCCAGCAAGCTAAGAACCACTGGCTTGAAATTCTCACTGCCAGCACAGCAGTCTGAAGTTGACCTGGGACAATGGAGTCTAGTTGGGAGACGGGCGTCCACCATTAGTGAGGCTTTGAGTAGGCGATTTTTCTCCTGCTAAGGAGGCTGGGAAGTTTGGACTGGATGGAACTCAACACAGCACTGCAAAGCAGCTATGGCCAGACTGCCTCTCTAGATTCCTCCTCACTGGGCAGAGCATCTCTGAAAGAAAGGCAGTAGCCCCAGTCAGGGGCTTATAGATAAAAAAAACTCCCATCCCACTGGGACAGAGCACCTGGGGCAAGGGGCGGCTTTGGGCACAGCTTCAGCAGATTTAAACTTTCCTGCCCGCTGGCTCTGAAGAGAGCAGTGGATCCTGACAAGGAGGATTCTCCCAGCACAACGCTCGAGCTCTGCTAAGGAACAGACTGCCTTCTCAAGTGGGTCCCTGACTAGGAGAGACCTCCCAACAGCGACACCTCATACCAGAGAGTTCCAGCTGTCATCAGGCCGGTGCCCCCCTGGGACATAACTTTTGGAGGAAGGAGCAGGCAGCAATCCTTGCTGTTGTGCAGCCTCTGCCGGTGATACCAGGCAAACAGGGTCTGGAGTGGACCTCCAGCAAACTGCAACAGACTTGCAAAAGAGAGACCTAACCATGAGAAAAAAACTAACAGAAAGCAATAACATCAACATCAGCAAAACGGACCCCCCCTCCACAAAAACCCAGTCCAAAGGTCATCAGCCTCAAAGATCAAAGGTAGACAAATCCACAAAGATGAGGAAAAACCAGCACAAAAATGCTGAAAATTCCAAAAACCAGAATGCCTCTTCTCTAAATGATCCCAATTCCTCTCCAGCGAGAGCACAAAACTGGACAGAGAATAAGTTTGACAAACTGACAGAAGTAGGCTTCAGAAGGTAGGTAGTAACAAACTCCTCTGAGCTAAAGGAGCATGTTCTAACCCAATGCAAGGAAGCTAAGAACCTTGATAAAAGGTTATGGGAACTGCTAGCTAGAATATTCAGTTTAGAGAAGAATATAAATGACCTGATGGAGCTGAAAAACACAGCACGAGAACTTCCTGAAGCATACAAAAGTATCAATAGCCAAATCAATAGTGGAAGAAAGGATATCAGAGATTTAAGATTAACTTACTAAAATAAGGTGTGAAGTCAAGATTAGAGAAAAAAGAATAAAAAGGAAGGAACAAAGCCTCCAAGAAATATGGAACTGTGAAAAGACCAAATCTACGATTCATTGATCTACCCAAAAGTGATGGGGAGAATGAAACCAAGTTGGAAAACACACTTCAGGATATTATCCAGGAGAACAGCAAGACAGGCCAACATTCAAGTTCAGGAAATATAGAGAACACCACTATGATACTCCTTGAGAAGAATAACTCCAAGACACATAATCTTTAGATTCTCCAAGGTTGAAACGCAGAAACACACGTTAAGGGCAGCTAGAGAGAAAGGTCAGGTTGCCTACAAAGGGAAGCCCATCAGGCTAACAGTGGATCTCTCTACAGAAACCCTACAAGCCAGAAGACAGTGGGTGTCAATATTCAATATTCTTAAAGAAAAGAATCTTCAACCCAGAATTTCATATCCAGCCAAACTAAGCTTCATAAGTGAAGGAGAAATAAAATCCTTTCCAGACATGCAAATGGTGAGGGATTTTGTCAACACCAGGCCTGCCTTACAAGAGCTCCTGAAGGAAGCACTAAATATGGAAAGGAAAAACAGGTACCAGTCACCACAAAAACATACCAAAATATAGGGACCATCAACACTATGAAGAAACTGCATCAACTAAGGTGCAAAATAACCAGGTAGCATCATAATGACAGAATCAAATTCACACAGAACAATATTAGCCTTAAATGTAAATGAGGTAAATGCCCCAATTAAAAGAAACAGACTGGCAAATTGGATAAAGAGTCAAGACCCATTGGTGTGCTGTATTCAGGAGACCCATTGCACATGCAAAGACACATATAGGCTCAAAATAAAGGTATGGAGAAAAATTTACCAAGCAAATGAAAAGAAAAAAAAAGCAGAGATTGCAATCCTAGTCTCTGACCAAACAGACTTAAAACCAACAAAGATCAGAAAAGACAAATAAGGTCATTACATAATGGTAAAGGGATCAATGCAATGAGAAGAGCTAACTATCCAAAATATATATGCACCCAATACAGGAGCACCTGACCTAAAAAGAGACTTAGACTCCCACACAATAATAGTTGGAGACTTTAACAGCCCACTGTCCATATTAGACAGATCAATGAGACAGAAAATTAACAAGAATATTCAGGACTTGAACTCAGCTCTTGACCAAGCAGAGCTAATAGACATCTACAGAACTCTCCACCCCAAATCAACAGAATATGCATTCTTCTCAGCATCACATAGTACTTATTCTGAAATCAACCACATAATTGGAAGTAAAACACTCTTCAGCAAATGCAAAAGATTGGAAATCATAAAAAACAGTCTCTCAGACCACAGTGCAATCAAATTAGAAGTCAGGATTAAGAACCTCACTCAAAACTGCACAACTACAGGGAAATTCAACAACCTGCTCCTGAATGACTACTGGGTAAATAATGAAATTAAGGCCGAAATAAAGAAGTTCTTTGAAACCAATGAGAACAAAGAGGCAACATACCAGAATCTTTTTAGCTGGGACACAGCCAAAGCAGTGTTAAGAAGGAAATTTATAGCACTAAATGGCCAGATCAGAAAGCAAGAGAGATCTAAAATTGACACCTTAACATCACAATTAAAAGAACTGGAGAAGCAAGGGCAAACAAATTCAAAAGCTAGCAGAAGGCAAGAAATAACTAAGATCAGAGCAGAACTGAAGGAGATAGAGACTCAAAAAACCCTTCAAAAAATCAATGAATCCAGGAGTTGTTTTTTTGAAAAAGTTAACAGAATAGATAGAACACTAGTCAGATTAATAAAAAAGAAAAGAGAGAAGAATCAAATAGACACAATAAAAAATGATAAAGGGGATATCACCCTTTATCTGATCCCACAGAAATACAAACTACCATCAGAGAATACTATAAACACCTCTAGACAAATAAACTAGAAAATCTAGAATAAATGGATACATTCCTGGACACATACACCCTCCCAAGACTAAACCAGGAAGAAGTCAAATCCTTGAATAGACCAATAACAACTTTTGAAATTTAGGCAATAGTTAATAGCCTACCAACCAAAAAAAGTCCAGGACCAGACAGATTCACAGCCAAATTCTACCAGAGCTACAAAGAGGAGCTGGTACCATTCCTTCTGAAACTATTCCAAACAATAGAAAAAGAGGGACTCCTCCCTAACTTGTTTTATGAAGCCAGAATCATCCTGATTCCAAAACTTGGCAGAGTCACAACAAAAAAAGAAAATTTCAGGCCAATATCCCTGATGAACATTGATGTGAAAATCCTCAGTAAAATACTGGCAAACCAAAACCAGCAGCACATCAAAAAGCTTATCCACCAAGATTAAGTTGGCTTCATCCCTGGGATGCAAGGCTGGTTCAACATATGCAAATCAATAAACGTAATCCATCATATTAACAGAACCACATAATTATCTCAATAGATGCCAAAAAGGCCTTCAATAAAATTCAACACCCTTCATGCTAAAATTCTCAATAAACTAGATATTAATGGAACATATCACAAAACAATAAGCGCTATTTCTGACAAACCCATAGCCAATATCATACTGAATAGACAAAAGCTAGAAGCATTCCCTTTGCAAACTGGCACAAGACAAGGATGCCCTCTCTCACCACTCCTATTCAACATAATATTAGAAGTTCTGGCCAGGGCAATCAGGCAAGAGAAATAAATAAAGCACATTCAAATAGGAAGAGAGGAAGTCAAATTGTCTCTATTTGCAGATGACATGATTATTTATTTAGAAAACAGCATCATCTTAGCCCAAAAATCTCTTTAAGCTGATAAGCAACTTCAGCAAAGTCTCAGGATACAAAATCATTGTGCAAAAATCACCAGCATTCCTATTCACCAATAATAGACAAGCAGAGTGCCAAATCATGAGTGAACTCCCATTCACAATTACTACAAAGAGAATAAAATACCTAGGAATACAACTTACAAGGGATGTGAAGGACCTCTTCATGGAGAACTGCAAACCACTGCTCAAGGAAATAAAAGAGTACACAAACAAATGGAAAAACATTCCATACATACTTATGGATAGGAAGAATCAATATCGTGAAAATGACCATACTGCCCAAAGTAATTTTCAGATTCAATGCTATTCCCATGAAGCTACCATTGACTTTCTTCACAGAACTAGAAAAAACTACTTTAAATTTCACATGGAACCAAAAAAGAGCCTGTATATCCAAGACAATACCAAGCAAAAAGAACAAAGCTGGAGGCATCGTGCTATCTGACTTCAAAGTATACTACAAGGCTATAGTAACTAAAACAGCATGCTATGGTACCAAAACATGTATATAGACCAATGGAAGAGAACAGAGGCCTCAGAAACAACACCCACAACTACAACCATCTGATCTTCGACAAACCTGACAAAAGCAAGCAATAGGAAAAGGATTCCCTATTTAATAAATGGTGCTGGGAATACTGGCTAGCCATATGAGGAAAACTGAAACTGGACCCCTTCCTTACACCTTACACAAAAATTAATTCAAGATGGATTAATGACTTAAATGTAAAACCCAAAACCATAAAAACCCTAGAAGAAGACCTAGGCAATACCATTCAGGACATAGGCATGGGCAAAGACTTCATGACTAAAACACCAAAAGCAATTGCAACAAAAGCCAAAATTGACAAATGGGATCTAATTAAACTAAAGAGCTTCTGCACAGCAAAACAAACTATCATCAGAGTGAACAGGCAACCTACAGAATGGGAGAAAATTTTTGCAACCTATCCATCTGACAAAGATCTGGTTTCCAGGATCTACAACAAACTTGAACAAATTTACAAGAAAAAAAACAAAAAACCCCATCAAAAAATGGGCAGAGGATATGAACAGACACATCTCAAAAGAAGACATTTATGTGGCTAACAAACATATGAGAAAAGGCTCATCATCACTGGTCATTAGAGAAATGCAAATCAAAATCACAATGAGATACCATCTCATGCCAGTTAGAATGGTGATCATTAAGAATTCAGGAAACAACAGATGCTGGAGAGGATGTGGAGAAATAGGAATGCTTTTACACGCTGGTGGGAGTGTAAATTAGTTCAACTATTGTGGAAGATAGCGTGGCTACTCCTCAAGGATCTAGAACCAGAAATACCATTTGACCCAGCAATCCCATTACTGGGTATATACCAAAAGGATTATAAATTATTCTACTGTAAAGACACATGCACACCTATGTTTATTGCAGCACTATTTACTATAGCAAAGACTTATAACCAATCCAAATGCCCATCAATGATAGACTGGATAAAGAAAATGTGGCATATGTACATCATAGAATACTATGCAGCCATAAAAAAGAATGAGTTCTTGTTCTTTGCAGGGACATGGATGAAGCTGGAAACCATCATCCTCAGCAAACTAACACAGGGACAGAAAACCAAACATAACATGTTGTCATTCATAAGTGAGAGCTGAACAATGAGAACACATGGACACAGGGAGGGTAACATCACACATTGGCCCTTGTTTTGGGGGTAGTGGGCAAGGGAGGGAGAGCATTAGGACAAATACCTAATGCTCGCAGGGCTTAAAACCTAGATAATGGGTTGATAGGTGCAGCAAACCACCATGGCACATGTATACCTATGTAACAAACCTGCACGTTCTGCACATGTATCCCAGAAATTAAACCTCACTAATCATCAGTGAAATGCAAATCAAAACCACAATGATATATCATTTCTCCTCAGTTAGAATGGCTATTGAAAAAATTAATGCAAATACTAATAAAGATGAGGAGAAAAGAGAACTCTTATATGCTATTAGTGGGAAAGTAAATTAGTAAAGCCATATGAAAAACAGTGTGGACCTTTCTCAAAAACACTAAAAAGATGGAACTACCATATGATTCAGTTTTTTCCACTATTAAGTCTTTATCCAAAGGAAAGAAGGAAACAACAGACATTGGGGCCACATTGAGGGTGGAAGTTGAGAGGAGGGAGAGGATTGAAAAACTACCTGTTGCATAGCATGCCTATTACCTGGGTGATGAAATAATTTGTACACCAAAATCCCATGACATGCAATTTAGCTATATAAGAAAACTGCATATAACCTAAAAGAAACCTAAAATAAAAGCTAAAAAGGAAATTAGTATATAGAAGAAATATATGCACTCCATGTTTATTGTAGCACTATTCAAAATAGCTGATACTGCATCAACCTAAATATCCAACTACAGATGAATGCATAAAGACAGTATAGTGTAGCTACACATTGGATTAGTATTCAGTCATAAAAGTGAAATCCTGTCATTCAAGACAACATGGATGGGCCTACATAATTAAAATGAAATAAGCCAGGCACAGAAAGATAAATGTTCACACATATGAAAGCTAAAATAAGTTGAGCTTATGGAAGTAGAGATTAGAACTGTGATTATTAGAGGCTGGGAAAGGCAGAGGGGAGAGGACAGTAGGGAGAGGTTTGTTAACAGCTACAATATTATAGCTAGATGGGGGAATAAGTTTAAGTGTGCTATAGTATTGTAGGGTGAATATAGTTAACAATAATTTATTGTATATTTTCAAAATGCTAGGAGAGAGGATTTTGAATCTATCTAACACAAAGAAATTATAAATGTTTGAGGTGATGCATGTGAGAAACACGCTCACCTGTCCAAACCCGAAGAACTGACTTAGAGGCACGAAGAACAGTGAAAGTGAGACTTAATAATGGTGTTGCAAGATCGGGCACATGGTAGACAGGCACACATGGGGCAGTTACAACAGGTAATTTATCTCCTAGCATGCAAGTCCCTACCCCAGTTCCTTGATGGTTGAGTACTATGGGGTTAAAATCTTCCCAGACATCGCCTAAGTTTCAATATCCCCCTTATAAGGTTATACTCTCTCCCCTTCCCCGCTTAAGTTTTGATTTCCCAATAACGAAACTTTATTCCCTTTTATGTGCTGACCCCTCATCTACATTCTGTTTGCTTATTGTGACCTTCTAGGTGCATAAGCCATGCGGTTTGTTCCATTTGCCTGCCAGTACTTACATTTATTGTGTCTTGAAAGTGGACCATTTAAAATGTTTTCTCACAATGAATATGCTAATTACTCTGATTTGATCATTACACATTATGTATATGTATCAAAATATCACTCTATGTCCCATAGATATGTATAACTATTATGTGTTAACTAAAAAAAAATAGCCTGACGGTTGTTCTTATATACACTTAAATTTGTTTCTCAATCATCTATTCTGTTCTATTTTCTGTTTATTATAGTAAACTCAGTACTACACTAAAATGACTTATTTATGTTGTGTTTTAACAATGGAGCTAATTCTTTTCCAATACATTGTTTTGGCTCCTATTATTAACTGTTGTGGGAAGTCAGGGACCCCAAACAGAGGGACTGGCTGAAGCCATGGCAGAAGAATATAAATTGTGAAGATTTCATGGGCATTTATTAGTTCCCCAAATTAATACTTTTATAATTTCTTACACCTGTCTTTACTGAAACCTCTGAACATAAATTGTGAAGATTTCATGGACACTTATCACTTCCCTAATCAATACTCTTGTGATTTCCTATGCCTATCTTTAATCTCTTAATCCCGTCATCTTCGTAAGCTGAGGATGAATGTCGCCTCAGGACCCTGTGATGATTGCATTAACAGCACAAATTGTTTAAACAATATGAAATCTGGGCACCTTGAAAAAAGAACAGGATAACAGCGATGTTCAGGGAACAAGGGAGATAACCTTAAAGTCTGGCTGCCTGTGGGCTGGGTGGAACAGAGCCATATTTCTCTTCTTTCAAAAGCAAATAGGAGAAATGTCGCTGAATTCTTTTTCTCAGCAAGGAACATCCCTGAGAAAGAGAATGTGTTCCTAAGGGGAGGCCTCTGAAATGGCCGCTTTGGGAACGTCTGTCTTTTACAGTTGTAGATAAGGGATGAAATAAGCCCCGGTCTCCCGTAGCGCTCCCCAGCTTATTAGGACAAGGAAATTCCTGCCTAATAAATTTTGGTCAGACCAGTTGTCTGCTCTCAAAGCCTGTCTCCTGATAAGATGTTATCAATGACAATGTGTGCCCGAAACTTCATTAGCAATTTTAATTTCACCCTGTCCTGTGATCTCACCCTGCCTCCAACTGCCTTGTGATCTTTTGTTGCCCTTGAAGCATGTGATCTCTGTGACCCACAACCTATTCATGCACTCCCTCCCCTTTGAAAATTGCTAATAAAAACTTGCTGGTTTTATGGCTCAGGGGGCATCACAGAACCTGCCAACATGTGATGTCCCCCTGGACACCCAGCTTTAAAATTTCTCTCTTTTGTACCCTTTCCCTTTATTTCTCAGACCAGCTGACACTTAGGGAAAATAGAAAAGAACCTATGTGAAATATCGGGGGTGAATTTTCCCCAATAATTAACCAATTTTTCTGAGTGAAAATCAGGATCACTTTGTGAATTGCACCAGCACTGGATTTGTACTGGATGTGTGCCAAATATACACTGATTTATAGACACTATTTTTAGTTAACTGCCTTTGTTTTCAATCATGGCTTCTTGCTGTATGTATTCAAAGCTCTTTTTTAGTCTCATTATTATTTGGTAGTTTTCTACATTTCAATTCAAATGTAAATTTCATAATCAATTTGTTGATGTATTAACTTTTTTCCTTTTAAATTTTTCTCTAACGAGCTTTACATATTACATACAATTTACCATCATAACAAGTTTTAAGTGTACAGTTCAGTAGTGTTAAGTGTATTCACATTGCTGTACAACAGCCTAGGGCTTTTCCGTCTTGTGGAACTGAAACTGCAGGCCCAAAAAATCCCCAGCTTCCTAAAATGACCAGCCTCTTTGTAAAAAGATTTCAAGAAGTGACTGCCTTAAACACTTGCTGTTGAAAACAACAGCAAAAGGAAGGTGTTTCTCCTCTGTCCCCAGCAAGTTGCACACACTTCCAGTCATTGTGTTTAAAACGGTTTTGTATAAGGTCTTGCATAAAGAAAAGCTCTTTGGTCAATCCAAGGCAGCTGGAGATGTTGTTTCCTGTGATTGTGATTGAGATTAAAACTGAAATCAATGAATAGCTACTTACATAATAGGCTTATTTCTAAGATCCACTCCTTTACTGTTCTTGTAGAACAATAAGTTGATTTTTAAAAATATAAATCTATAGAATTCTTCATGAGAGCCATCTGCTAATGATTAAATAAACCACTGTACCTGAAGTTGCCTTCAGACCCAATATTCTTCCACTGGGGCTGTTTCAACTGCCAGGACATTTCATGGCATGTGCAGCTGATGCTCTGGTAAAAATTCACCTAAACCTCAGGGTCCTCAAAATGCCTAATTTGATTTAAGCTCATGTCTCTGTTGTGACATATTTTGCCACAAAGTTTCCAAAGCAATGGTGTCTGTGCACTATGTGGAACTCCCATAGGTTTTCTGTAGAATTTCCTTTTCACTTGTAGTGGAATGGCTATTTGGATAATGTATTACAAAAATGTAAAAAATAAGGTTCATTGTTTAATATTAATGTCAGACTCCAAAATTCCTGATAGAGAGGGAAATGTATGTTCTTGGAAACAAACTTGAAATGCATATTGGAGAAGAGGCATAGCTCCAACAATTTAAGTATCAGCAGATACCTAAGCAAGAAAAAATGACTATTAAATTGCTTTGTTAAAAAATTTTGTTTGTTTTGAAAAACAAGGTAGTGAGTAGAGGGAAGAGGATAGAATATAGGAGAGGACAGACTGAAACTAGCAAGGTAGAAGTAGGCTGGGCTCTTGTGGAGTGAAGGGCTGTGGTTACCCTCAAAGTTATGATGGTCAGAGAAATCCTAGGAAGAAAACTTCCAACACTTACATCTTTAACTAATTCTACTACACTCAAATGTGCTTTCTCAATTGTCTTACATTTGGGAGTGAGGGTAGATGAGGCACTATGTCCAATTCTATCTCATGTTAAACTGCCAACCCAAAACTGAGAGGTCTTCTTCATTATGGTTGGGAAAGTCCTATTGGAAAGGATCTGTCAGTGACACAGCATCATCTCAGCTGGCTCTGGAAAACCACCAAATGGCATAGGAATATAACGGAAAACTCTGCATAACCACAGACACCAGAGTTAGACATAAAAGTGAAAGCACTCAAATGTTCATCAAGAGTTGAGCGTTAAATAATTCATGATATATTCATATAATAAACACTATAGAGCAATGAGAACAATTGACCTACAGCTAAACCCCAAAATATCTACCAATCTTACATGTTTATTATTGAGTAAAAGACACTGGATACTAAGAAATATGTACTCTAAGATTCCATTTGCCTAAAGTACCAAAGCAGGATAGTAGTCTTGATGGGTGTAGGAGGAGGTGGTAGAGCATGAAGAGGGCTTCATGGAAACTGTTGTATTCTGAATTTTCTTTGGGTGCTGGCATTCTGAATATATTTAGTTTGCTCAAATCCACAGAGCTGTATATTTATGATGTGTCCACTTTTCTATATGTGTATTTATGCTTCAAAGTAATTTACTTATCTAACAAAATATGGAAATAAATATAACAAAATATGCCAAGGACTATACACTGAAAACTATGCAATATGCCAAGGGCTAATAAATGGTGGAACATATCATGGTTATGGACTGGAAGACTGACTATTTTGTGAGTCTAATTTTTCCACAAATATATCTATATATTCAATGTAATTGCCAGACTTATACATATAGTGAGTTGATTTATGGTAACGATAGTGAAAGGATAATCTTCTCAATAAATGGTGTCAGGCCTTCTATACACGTTAGAAAGAAATAAAACCTGGTTCTTACCCTCCTGACATTAAAAATAAGGCAATTCCAAATGGATTATAGATCTAAATGTGGAAGATAAAACAATCAAACTTATAGAAAAAAAAAGTCAATGACATTATTTTCACATTCTCCAGATTGGGAAACTGATACAAAACTATAATATTAAGTGTAAAAAAAAAAAGTCAATACATTTAACTACATTAAAATTGAGAACTGACAAAGATATAATTAAGAGACTGAAAAGGCAAATCAAAGATTAAAAACATATTATATATATAATTAGAATATGTAATGCAGTCTTCAAATCTACAAAAAAATAGAAGTAAAAGTCTTAAATAAGCTCATCCAAAAGAGGATCTCCTAATGAACAGCAAACATGAACACATGTTCAACTTCCGTAATTGTCTTTTATTCTCAAGGAAAACCAAATTAAACTGTGAATGAAATCTACATGTACCCACTAGAATGACTATAATCCAAAAGGCTGACATATCCAAATGATGGCAAGAATGTAGAGCACTGGGGAGCCTTAATATTGCTGATGAGAGTATAAATTGTGACAATCATATTAAAAATCTATTTGATATTATGTACTATGAGGTGAAAAAATGCATACTATATATTGAATACTTCTACTCCTAAGTATCTGTAGTGAAATATTATTACAGAACCCAAAAGCTTTCACATATATTTTAATACATAATATTGAGTTAAGGAAGTCAGTCATACAGCAAAACATTGTGTATGTTTCAGTTTATATAAAGAATAAAAAGGAGACAATAGCTGGATGCGGTGGCTCACGCCTGTAGTTTCAGCACTTTGGGAGGCCGAGGTGGGCAGATCACGAGGTCATGAGTTTGAGACCAGCCTGGCCAACGTGGTGAAACCCCGTCTCTACTAAAGATACAAAAAATTAGCCGGGCGTGGTGGCATGTGACTGTAATTCCAGCTACTCGGGAGGCTGAGGCAGGAGAATCGCTTGAATCTGGGAGGCGAAGGTTGCAGTGAGCTGCGATTGTACCATTGCATTCCAGCCTGGGTGACGGGGAGAGATTCTGTCTGAAAACAACAACAACAACAACAATAACAACAAAACAGACAGTAACAATCTATGCTCTTCCAAGTCAGGTAAAAGTTTCTGTATTAATTATCTGATATTGCATAAGAAATACCCTCTAAATGTAGTGAACTGAAACGTTTATTGTCTCATAGTTTCTAAAGTTCACAAGAATCTAGGAAGAAGGGGGATAATTATCTTTGTCATATTGCTGAGACATAAAATAAAATGAGGATGGAGAATTGACCATTCGACCTATCAGCATGGAGCAGGCAGGTCATGAGAGGGACTGATTGTGTGGGACTCTTGATATTGAGATTATGGAGGAGGTTTAGTTACTGGTAAGGAAAAGTTTCAGGCTGAGGTGAGATGATAGAAAAGACTTTCAGCTATTAGGAGGTCAAGGAACTGAGAGGCTGGGGAGATGCTTGTCTACCATATCTGAAAGGGCCCAAAGATCAACAAGAGTAATGGTAAGGAGAGAAAGGGTCAGTTGTTAAAATATTCAGTGAATAAAGGCATCCTGGGAGATCCAGGATGCCTAGCACAAAGGAGTTTTGAGTAGTACAGCCTGATGACATGTGCTTCACTTTATGTGTTTGTTTTGTTGTTGTTTTGTGGTTTTCTGGTGGGTTGAGGAGCTAAAGAAAGAGGGTAAGTTATCCGGAAGCAACAATGAAGAGGAAGAAGGGCATTTAATCTGTCACTTCAAGCTCTGTCAAATTAGGAATATGGAGGAAAAGCATGGTGTCAACACTTGAGAAAGGTGCTGGCATATTGCATATGGAAAGCAACTCTGCCAGTCATCAGCTTTGTGAGTTCTCTATGCCTCCTTTCATCATCTTCTCAATAAGCACATCAATACCTAATTCATATTATTTTGTGAGGCTGAATTGGGATAATGTACATAAAAGTCTTAACACATTATTAGAGGCTCATTTTGAACTTTGAAAACTTAGTAACACTTTCAATTAAGTATTAAAACACATTTCCCAAACTTAGTATTTGAATGTATGCTCCTTCTAAAAATGTTTTCAGAGCACAAAATATGTAATAATGTTATCTTTTATGTTGGTATCATTAGTACTTTGCCTAATGTCTCTTTTGATATTTCACATATGTCTATAAAATGTCTATTCAGGATGAGAGGACATAAAATAAATTACATAGCATTTTGTATCTGTATAAAATAAATATGGTCTAAATAAGTATTGTCAGAATACTATGCAGCCATAAAAAAGATTGAGATTGTGTCCTTTGCAGCAACATGGATGGAGATGGAGTTCATTATCCTAAGCAAACTAACACAGGAACATAAATCCAAATACCACAAGTTCTCGCTTATAAGTTGGAGCCAAACATTTATTACATAGGGACACAAAGAAAGGAACAGCAGACACCAGGGCCTTCTTGAGGGTTGAGGGATGAGAGTGAGGGTTGAAAACTACCTATCAAGTACTATGCTGATTACCTGGGTGATGAAATCATTTATATACCAAATCCCTGTGACATGCAATCTACCTATATAATGCTTGCACATGTACCCCTGAACTTAAAAGTTGGAAAATAAATAAAAATAAATGTTGTCAGACCATGCTTTATTGACACCATATACTAAGCAAATGACTTAACTGTTTTTGTCTAGTGTTCATACTGTAAGAAAAAGCTAAATAAAGAGGATAAATGATTTGGAAGCAAAAAATAAGAATAAAGGGCATCAAATCTGTGACTCTGAGCTTTGTCACATCAGGAATATGGAGGAAAAGCATGGTGTCACCACTAGAGGGAGGTGCTGTCATATCACATATGGAAAGCAACTTTGCCACTCCTCAGCTTTGTGAGCTCTCCATGCCTTATTCCATTGTCTTCTCATTGAGCACATCAATATCCAGTTTGTATAGTTTAGTGAGGCTGATATAAGATAATGTACATAAAAGTCTTAGCTCATTTTGAACATTGAAAATGTAACACTGTCAATTAATTATTTAATATCAAGATACCTTTCCCAAACATATGTAAATATATGCTCTTTCTAAAAATGTTTTCAGAGCATAAAATTTGTTATAATGTGTAAATGTGTGATCTTTTATTAAGGAATTTTTTTGCCAATCATTTACATATTCCGCAGTTTGAACAGAGGAGTGTAAAGCAATTCCAGCAGCCGCAGCAGTACCTGTGACTGTAATAAGGCCCATAATGACCGTTATAAGGGTAAAAATAAATCTTTTTGTTTTGGTAAACAGTCCCCTTAACATTTCTGTGACAATATGAATGGAAGGAGAGGCTCCCCAAGGTCTATTGAGGGAAACCGGTATCCAAACTCCTTCTCTAGCCCTCACCAGCAACACAGATGTTTTTACACCAAATGTGCAATCAATACAGATGAAAAGGCAACAGTTTTGACAAGTAATGGTTTGAGAATTTGGTCGAATATTAATATTTCTGACAATTAACATTAAAGGAGGCTTGACACAACTCTGAATGGGTATTGTTTGGCTGGAACAAAACTGATACGTAAATTGATGTCTCCCACCTTCTCCATTAATATAATTTTTTTTTCCAAACCCGAATATGAGATTGGGCCATCATTAACTTTCATAATTCAGGATGTTTAGGGTCTATGATTGGATTACTCATTTTTGGATGTGGGTCGGCCATACCAAAATTGGTCCAAATTATGGGAAAATGAGCACGTTTTTCAGTGTAAATGGTGTCATCTCTTTGATAATATAGTTCTTGGTTTAGTCCTATCTTGCATCTATCATTCTGATTGGTACAATTAACTGCAAAGGTCCCCTTAGGGGCCCAATCAATGATGATTCCATAGGGATTATTTTGCAGTACCACAGTGTGATCAGTGATGCAATCCTTCCAAATCAATGTTTCTAAATCCTTTGACCATTATTGAGGTTGTTGACACCTCTCTTTTCTGGGCTTAAACTGTTCCAATTGAACCAAACTTTGTAAAATAAATGACAGGATACTGGTCTTTGATTATGACCTGGAATCTTAACTAGCCAATGTTGTCGGTAGCCTTTTAGGCAACAGATAGCCAGCCCTATGCAAACAGGGGGGAATTGATAACCCACGGACACATTTATTAACATTCCTTCCTCCTCTGGGTGAGAGGGCCCACGAGAATCTGTAGGCTCAGGCATCCAAACACTACTATGAACGTAAACCTCAACCGGGGTTTCCAACCATGTGACAGGCCTAATTAAAGGCAGGAATGGGACATATGCCCAATAGGCATAATTAGCTGCAGTTGCTCCTGCAGGCCTGGGGAGACTTACCACCGTTGACACAATCATCAAGGCTGCAAGCTGCATATTCTCTGGAGTTTGGATTACCCTTGTGTTCTTTAGGCTTTTTTCAGCTAACTGTGTCAGCTTCTTTAATTGTGCCCAAGTCGGCGGCTCCGCTTTCTTGGTGGATGACAACTTTATCTGTAAGTTGTAGGTACCTAAACTGGAAGGTGTTTTTTTCCTGGGGAAATACAAGCAAAACCTCTCCCACATGTCATCACTTTCCGTGTTTCCCATGTTTTATTTTTATTATCTTTCTACCAAATCAGTTTTCCTTCATGTGGGCTGTTCCTTTTACCAGTTAGATGTTCTGCAGGGGTAATGGTCTGATTTCTATAAATGTTCAAAAAATTTAAAGTATAGAGTATTAGATTAAGTTGCATCTGGGGAGTGTTAATACTCCTTACTGTTTCTTCCTTTTTTTTTTTTGTTTAACCAATTGAGCTTTCAGTGTTCTATTAGTTCTTTAAATTATGGCCTGTCTTTGGGAATTATAGGGAATTCCTGTTTTATGTGTAATTTTTCACTGATTTAAGAATTTTTGAAAAGCTTTACTACAGTATCCTGGCCCATTGTCCATTTTAATTTTTTTTTTTAACTCTCATGACAGCAAAACAAGATAATAAATGTCTTTTAACATGGGAAGTACTTTCTCCTCTCTGGCAGGTTGCCCATATGAAATGTGAATAAGTATCAACTGTCACATGGACAAATGACAATTTTCCAAATGAAGGTACATGCGTGACATCCATTTGCCATAACACATTAGGACTTAGACCTCTGGGATTAACTCCTGCCTCCTGAGTGGGCAGGTGTAGAATCTGACACCGGGTGCAATCTTGTACAATATTTTTTGGCTGTTTCCATGTGATATCAAATTTATTTTTAATCCTGCTGCATTTACATGAGTCAAGGCATGAAGTTCTTGTGCTTCCATGAATGCAGATGATACTAGCAAGTCAGCTTGTTCATTTGCTTTAGCCAAAGGCCATGGTAAATTAGGGTGTGCTCGAATATGAGTAATACAAAATGGGAAATTTCTTTTTCTTACAGTTTGTTGTAACAAATTAAACAGCTCGTTTAACTGATAATCCATACTATATTTGAGTAGGGCTGTCACATGGTTGGAACCTCCGGTTGAGGTTTATGTTAATAATAGTGTTTGGATGCCTGAGCCTACAGATACTTGTGGGCCTCTCACCCAGAGGAGGAAGGAATGTTAATAAATGTGTCCATGGGTTATCAGTTCCCTCCTGTTTGCATAGTTCCCTTGGCTGCGGGTGGGAGGTCCCCGGCTTCTTGCACTTCCTGGGTGAAGCAACGCCCCACCCTGCTTCTGTTCGCCCTCAGTTGGTTGAACCCACTGCTTAACCGTCCCAATGAGATGAACTGGGTACCTCAGTTGGAAATGCAGAAATCACTTGCCTTCTGCGTGGGTTTCACGGTGCTGCAGACCGGTGCTGTTCCTATTCGGCCATCTTGGTCCCTCCCCTCAACTGGCACTCTTTAAATAATAAAAATCTTATGAGAATCATCAAACCGTTTGCTGAATTTGATCCATTCTCTCATGAGTACTTGGAAAAATGGCAGTGTGTGAAAATAAATATGACAATTGTATCCAAAATAAATTATGAAGACTTAATTGAAATAGAAATAGGCACATAGAAAGTGAAATGTTAAATAAATAAAGCAGGTTCTAAAAACTACTTCCTTATTAGATTTTATACCAGATTGGATAAATACTGATCCTTGATTCTTACAAGCTAACACTATTACAAAAAATCTTGAAATATTTTTTCTAACTCAAATTATTTATCTGACTATATTCAACAAATGAAACAAATTCTAGTTGATTGTAACATGCCATTGAACAGGATTTGTGGGATTAGTCTGACTCTGTGCTATGATAATATAGCTATTATGAAAAGTAAGGATTAAAGATGTGTGCACTCTTTAAAAACATCACTAAATAAACAGAATGTGCTATATGGATCTTATTCTCTTTTATAAGGGAATAAGCTGACCTCATAGTACTGAAAATGTTAAATACTAAGGTATTTTCAAGTTATATTTTCTTTTTGGATTCATCATGAAGAAGAGTGTATTATGCACACAGATCAATGTGCATTTTCTTAATTTTTATTCTTTATGGATACATAATAGTTGTATGCATTTATGGGTTACATGTGATATTTTGATACAAAAATAAAATATGCAATGATCAAATCAGGATAATTGGGATATCCTTCACCTCAAGCATTTATCATTTCTTTGTGTTCGGAATATTCCAATTCCACTCTTTTAGTTTTTTGAAATATGGGTACAAAAATATAGTTAGAAGAAATAAGATTAATGTTGTTAAAAATAGTTTAAATGAAATGTCTACTTGTGATGACAAAGGGAAGGAAATATAAAATAAGTGGTAGGGGAGGGATAGGATGAACGTCAATTCTGCCTTTGATTGAAGTTGCAGGAGCAAACTGTGGTATGTGCCACCAACTCCTGTGTATTAAGTTTTTTGTAGAACTGTAGCTGGTTATGAACTTGAGGACTTGGTAACAGACTGAATTTAATGTAGGGCAGGCACAGTGATCAGAGTGCTGAAGGGGTGAACTGTGTCAGATGCATCTGATACACTGACTCATCCTCTCAATGTCTCCTCTCATCCCAGCTGTGACTGGAATGGAGAGTTCAAAGGAATTCAAGCTGATAGCATCTTGCTTTAGGACAGATGTTTCTTGTCTTTCTGTTCAATCCTAAGGCCATTTCTATACAACGGACACTTTTTTTTTTCTGTATTAAGAGTCTGTTTATTTCAGTATTAAGGTAAAAGAACCTAGTTATAATAAGTGTTTTTCATATCTTTCTTCATCATTCTCACAACAAATATATGAGAAGAATGACGCTTAAAAGGTATGTAACTTTCTGAGGTGAGGCAACTAGTAGGTTGTAGAATTGGTTTTTGAATGCAGATTTCTCTCCTTCTTTCTCCACTGTTCTTTCTCACCCTTGTTTGCACTAGTGATCCTATCTTCTTTCTACAGCAGCAATATTTATTTTAACAAACCTACATAATTTATAGACCACGCTAATTTTTTTGTCTTTAAAGTAGTAACTTTGTGTGAATATTCCAATAATATTATTTTTTATAAAAGAAATTTAGGGCACCCTTCAGCGTTTACCTTCAAAGGCAGGTTATGAGTCCTGGGAGAAGAGTTTTACTTCATATCTTGTCACATTGTATATGTCTAAAATTGATGGTGAATTGGTTACTGACAATTATCATAAAGTTTGGTAGTGGATAATTTAAAAAGATTCTTAATGGATAAAAGATATGAGACATCTCCGTTGACTTTAGGGAAAAAAAAGTGTGTTAAGGGCTCTTAAGGCTATTTAAGAAAAAAGCTTGAAGTGTGATATCATAGCATTTCAGAACTGAAACAGATCTTTGTCTGTCTTCTTTTTTCAGCCCAAAGATACTTTTAAGTGGTTTAAAGATAACATACAGATTATCACATTAGAAACACAAAGTTATTCAAGAAAATGTTCACCAAAAATATTTTTTTCTGTGTTTACACATTCATAAGACATTTAATTCCAAGAAGGAGATTTAATGTCTACCACTAGAGCTAATGAAACAGTGAAGACAGATTTCTATTTAATCCCCTTGAACTAAAGAAAGCTATTTTTTGGTGTTTTCTTTCTTTTTACTTTAAGTTCTGGAATACATGTGCAGAACCTGCAGGTTTGTTACATAGGTATACATGTGCCATGGCGGTTTGCTGCACCTATCAAGTATTCCATGGTGTATACGTGCCACATTTTCTTTATCCAGTCTATCATTGATGGGCATTTGGGTTGGTTCCAAGTCCTTGCTATTGTAAATAGTGCTGCAATAAACGTATGTGTGCATGTGTCTTTATAGTAGATTGATTTATAATCCTTTGGGTATATACCCAGTAATCACAGAAACTTTTATTCATCAAGGACTTATTTTGAGAAATGAGATCAGCGAGATGATGAAATATATTTCAGGCTTCACTCTCTCCTTCAGAAATTTCAACTAGCGATTAACCATAGACTGGAAGATGTTTGTGAAAGTCCCAGTACAGTACTTGGAAACAAGCCTAAAACACCTGAGGGTCCACAGAACTGAGTAAAACTGAATTAGAAGGGTAAGAAAAATGGTCTCACTTTGACCACGCTGCCCCTCCTATTCCCTCACGTCAGCACAATACCACACAGAGGGGATTCCTTGGGTCCATTTTGTTTTTTGTTTTTTTTTTTTTTTTTTTTTTTTGAGACAGAGTCTCTCTCTGTCGCCGATTCTGGAGTGCAGTGGCGCGATCTCGGCTCACTGCAAGCTCCGCCTCCTGGGTTCACGCCATTCTCCTGCCTCAGCCTCCCGAGTAGCTGGGACTACAGGCGCCCGCCAGCATGCCCGGCTAATTTTTTGTATTTTTAGTAGAGACGGGGTTTCACCGTGTTAGCCAGGATGGTCTCGATCTCCTGACCTCGTGATCCGCCCGCCTCGGCCTCCCAAAGTGCTGGGATTACAGGAGTGAGCCACCGCACCCGGCCTGGGTCCATGGTTTTTACAGAGGAAAAAGAAAATTGGAGGTGGTCTGTCAGCTTCCCTAGCATTCTGAGAGTCTTCCCAAGTTCACTCTGGTCTAACCACATGGAAAACACTGAGAGTAGCAGTCTTTGGTGGTACCTCTGTGTTCCTGCCAGCTGTGTTACCCAATTGGAGATATCAGCCACCAGCATAGCCCATGCATAAAGCTGAGCTGGTTGCTTTTAGAAGCACGGTGTGTAGTTCACAGTGACCAGCTTGCAGTCTTTGGTGGTACTTCTGTTTCTGCTAGCTGTGATGCCCAGTTGGAGATATCAGGAACCAGTGTAGCCCATGTAGAAAGCTGATCTGGTTGCTTTCAGAAGCCTGGTGGGACGTTCAAACTGGCTTGAGTCCCTAGATGGCTTGTCTTCAAGCCCATTATCAGAGCCGATCCCAAAGACCTGCCTAGGCAGGGAGACACCATCTTCTGTGCATTTTGGTGAAGAATAACAGCTAGTTTTGCTTAACTCAGGAGGACAAACAGTGGTTCCACTCAGCCAGAACGCCTTCCCCATGGTCTCACCCAAGGGAAAAGATGCCCACCTTGCCTATTTAGGGGAAGCATGTGAGCTATTTTTAAATAAAACTATTAATAACAACTACAGCTAAAATACATTATCAAGGGATACGTATTACAAAATGATGAAAATTCTGACATCCAAAACAAAATGTGTGTATGGTGGGGTGAGTAAAGTTAGAGTTGTCGCATGAAATCAAAGTTGTTATCAGCTTGAAATAGACTGTTATAAGTTAAATGTTTTATATTCATAGTAATCACAAAGCAAAAGTCTGTAATAGATGCACAAAACAAAAACAAATGATTCAATACATACTACTACATAAATTCATGAAAACTCAAAGAAAGACAGCAATAGAGGAAGAAAGAAACAAAAAGTATTTCCAATAATGATGGAGATGTTTATGATTATCCACTTCTACTTAATGAACAGTAAATAAATTTTTCTTCTTTATTATTTTCTTAAAAAAATTTAAGAGACAGGGTCTTACCATTCCCACGGCTGGAGTACAGTGACATAATCAGCTCACTGCAGCCTTGAACTCCTGGGCTCAAGTAATCCTCCTACCTCAGCCTCCCAAGTAGCTAGGACTACAGGCACACACCTTTGTACCCAGCTAATTTTTTTTTTCTTTGTAGAGAAGGGGTCTTGCTTTGTTGGCCAGGCTAGCGTTGAACTTCTGGTTTCAAGAGATCCTCCCATCCTGGCTTCTCAAAGTGTTAGAATAATAGGCATAAGCCACCATGTCCCCCCTTCTTATGATTTTCTTAATAACATTTTGTTTTCTCTAGCTTACTTCATTATAAGAATACAGAATATAATACGTATATAAAAATGGGTTAATCAATTCTTTATATTATTGGTAAGGCTTCTGGTCAATAGTAGGATATTAGTAGTTAAGTTTTGGGGAAGTCAAATATTATACATAGATTTTTGTTTGTGTGGTGAGACGGTGTCCATAGCCCTTGTACTGTTGAAGGGTCAACTATATATTCACTCAACATCAAAGCATCTAAATGTATAAAGCAAATATTAAATGATCTGAAGGTAGAGAAAGATTGCAATACAATAACAGTAGAGGACTTTAGTGCTCCGGTTTCAACAATGGACAAATCATCCAATCAGAAAATTAAGACTGAAACATTGGACTTGAATAATACTTCGGACCAAGTTAACTTAATAAACATATACAGAATATTCCACCTAACAGCAACATAACACATATTCTTCGCAATGACACATGGATCATCACTAAAATAGATCACACATTAGGCTACAAAACAAGTCCTAACAAATTTAAGAAATTTTAATCATACCAAGTATCTTTTCTGACAATAATGGTATAAAACTAGAAGTCAATAACAGGAATAATTTCAGAAAATTCCCAAATACATAGAAATCAAACAACATGCTCCTGAACAACCAATGGGTCAATGATCAAATTAAAAGAGAAATTTAAAAATATCTTGAGACAAATAAAAATGGAAACACAACATATTAAAACTTATGGAATCCAGCAAAAATAGTTCTAACAGAAAAGTTTATAGAAACAGAAACCATATCAAAAAAAGATCTATAATAAACAACTCAATGTTACTCCACCAGAAAGTAGAAAAAGCAGAATAAACTAAGCCCAATGTAAGCTGAAGGAATTAATAAAGACCAGGCAGAAATAAATAAAATAGAAACTAGAAAAGCAATATAAAAGATCAATAAAACTAAGAATTGGCTTTTTAAAAAGATAAAGAAAATCAACAAATATTTATCTATACTAAAAAGAAGAATCAAAATCACAACGAAAGAAGAGACATTACAACCTATAGTACAGAAATACAAGGGATCAGAAAAGACTACCATGAACAACTACATGCCAAAAAAGTGGATAACCTAGGAGAAATGGATACATTCCTAGACACATGCAACCTACAAATATTGAATTATGAAGAAACGGAAAACCTTAATAGACCAATAACATGTAAGGATATTGAATCAGTAATAATAAGTCTCCCATCAAAGAAAAGCCCAGGATGTGCTGTCTTTAATGTTGCATTCTACCAAACGTTTAAAGAAGAAATAATACTACTTCTTCTCAAACTCTTCCAAAATATTGAAGGGAAGGGAATACTTTAAAACTCTTTTTACAAGTCCGGCATTACCCTGATACCAAAGTTGAACAAGGACATTACAAGAGAAGAAAATTATAGGCCAATATCCTTGATGAATACACATGCAAAAGTCCTCAACAAAATATAAACAAACCAAATTCAACAACACATTAAAAGTATCACTCAACATGACCAAGTGGGATTTATCCCTGAGAAGTAAGATGGTTCCATATATGCAAAACAATAAATGTGATACATCTCATCAACACAATGAAAGACAAAAGCCATATGATCATTTTATTAAATGCAGAAAAAGTATTTGATAAAATTCAGCATGCTTTCATAATGAAATTCTCAACAAAGTAGGTATAGAAATAATGTAACTCAATACCATAAAGAACATATTAATATACCATAATCCTGTAGCTTACTTTATACTCAAGCATGAAAAATTGAAAGCCTTTTATCTAAAATCTTGCACAAAACAAGGATGCTTATTCTCACCATTTGTATTCAACACAGTATTGGATGACCTTGCTAGAGCAATTAGGAAAGAGAAAGAAATAAAAAGCATCCAAATAGGAAAGAATAAAGTGAGATTTTTTCTGTTTGCTAATTATTCTATGTATGTATACCTAAAACTTCAGCAAGACACTATCAGAAGTAATAAATAAATACATTAAAGTTTCAGAATACAAAATCAACATCCGAGAATTAGGTAGAATTTCTATATATTATCATCAAACTATCTAAAAAAGAAACCAAGAAAATAATCTCACTTATGATAGCTACAAAAATAAAATAAAATAAAATAAAATAAAATAAAACAAAATACTTAGAAATAAATTTAACAAAGGAGGTAAAAGACTTGTACACTAAAACCTTAAAAAATGTTGATAAAAGAAATTGAAGAAGACATAAATAAATGGAAAAATATTCCATATTCATGGATTGGAAGAATATGGTTAAAATGTTCAGATTGCTACCCAAAGTGATCTACAGGTTCATTGCAATTCTTATCAAAATTCCAATGTCTATTTCACAAAAATAGAAAAAAATCCTAAAATTTACGTTGAGTTACAGAAAACTCCCAAATAGCCAAGGAAATCATGATCATAAGAAACAAATCTGGAGGTATCACACTACCTGACTGCAAACTATACTACAAAGCTATTGTTATTAAAACAGTATGGTACTGGCCTAAAAATAGACACTTTGCTCAATGGAACAGAATAGAGGATCCAGAAGTGAACCCACCCATGTACAGTCAATTCATTTTCAACAAAGGTGCTAAGAATACACAGTTGAAAAAGAATAGTCTCTTCAATGAAGAGTGTTGGGAAAGCTGAATATCCACACGCAGAGGAACAAAATTGGACCCTTATCTCACACCATATAACAATGAACTTAAAAAGGAGTAAAGACTTAAATATAAAACTTGAAATTGAAAAGTGACTAGAAGAAAACGTGGGACAAATGATATGACATTGATTAGAACAATGATTTTTTTAATTTTACTCACAAAATTCAGGCAACAAAAACAAAAATAGACAAATAAGACTACATCAAACTAAAAGCTTCTATACATAAAGTGAAACAACGAACAGGGTGAACAAACAACCTATGGATTGGGAGAAAATATTTGGAAAGCATGTATCTGGTAACATCTTAGTACCCAAAACATATAAGACAATCAAACAGCTCACTAGCAAGAAAACAAATAATCCAATTTTAAAAATGGGCAAGGAACCTAAATAGACATTTCTCAAATGAAGACATACATATGGCCAATAGATACATGAAATAATGCTCACCATCACTAATCATCAGAAAAATGCAAATCAAAACCACAATAAGATATCACCTCACACCTGTCAGAATGGTTATTATCAAAAAGATGAAAGATAACAATTGTTGGTGATGATATGGAGTAAAGGGAACCCTGATACACTATTGATGGGAATGTAAATTAGTACAGTCATTAAGAAAAACGATATGGATGTTTCTAAAAAAATCAAAAAATAGAATTACCATATGGTGCAGCAATCCCACTTTTGAGTCTGTATCTAAAGAAATTGAAATCAGTACATTGAAGAGATGTCTGCACTTCCATGTTCATTGCAGCATTTATTCACAATAGCCAAGTTGTGGAATCTACCTAAGTGCCTCTCAACAGATGGATGGATAAAGAAAATGTGGTATATATACACAATGGAATATTATCCAGCCTTAAAAACAAGTCATTTCTGCCATTTGAGACAACATGGATGGAACTGGCAAAATGAGCCAAGCGAAGACTGACAAATACCACACATTCCCACCTGTATGTGGACTCTAAAACAACTGAATTAATAGAAGCAGAGAGTAGAATGGTAGTTACCAGAATGTGAGCGTGGGAGAAATGGAGAGATGATGGTTAAAGGATAAAGAATTTAATTTAGACAGGAGTAATTAGGTTTTGTGTGGTTTTTTTTTTGACATTTATTGCACTGCATGGTGAATATGGTCAATAATGGTATATTGCATATTTCAAACTTGCTAGGTGAGTAAATTTCAAATGTTCTTATCACAAAAATGACAAATATTTGAGGCGATGAGTATGTTTATTAATTTAATTATTCCACATCGTATTCATGAACATAACATTACTTAGCACTTTATAAATATATACAATCATACATTGTCAATTTACAATAAGTTTTCTTATTAAAAAAATTTAAAGTACTTATTTTAATGTCAGTTATGTACAATAGATTTTTTTTTAATAATGGCTAGAGAGTTGTTCTTATTTGTATTGAAATGTTTTCTGGATCATCCATTTAGTCCCATTGTCTGCTGATTTTTATTATACTCAGTGCCATACTTTAAAATGATTATAATTTACATTTTGTTGTGTTATCTGGTACTATAATTTTTTCCAATACATTGTGATATGGTTTGGCTCTGTGTCCCTGCCCAAATCTCATCTTGTAGCTCCCATAATTCCCATGTATTGTAGGAGGGACCTGGTGGGAGATGATTGAATAATGGGGGCAGGTCTTTCCCATGCTGTTCTTGTGACAGTAAATGGGTCTCATGAAATCTGATGGTTTTAAAAATGGGAGTTGCCCTGCACAAGTTCTCTCTTTGCCTGATGCCATCCATGTAAGATGTGATTTGCTCCTCCTTGCCTTCCGCCATGACTTCCCCAGCCACGTGGAATTGTAAGTCCAATTAAACCTCTTTCTTTTGTAAATTGCCCAGTCTTGGGTATGTCTTTATCAGCAGCATGGAAACAGACTAATACACATTGTTTTGGCTCATCCTTCCATTTTTGAACAGAAACTAGGATCATATTATGAAGTTCCTACAAAATTTTCATTGGCATTGTATTGGATACAGTAGGCCAATATAAATTGATCAATAGATATTTAATATTTTTACTTCTTTGCTTTCACTTTAGATCATGGTCTGTTGCTCCATTTATTCTAAACCCTTTTTTTAGTATTGGCAGTTCTTCTATGTTTGTATTCAAATTCACATTTTATGATCAATTTATAGATGTATTTAAACATTTTAAATTTATATTTGATTGAAACTTTCCAGTGAATTTTTTAAACTAGATATTGTTGTTCTATAATGGAATGACTTCAACCGGGAGCCTAAGGCAGATTCTGTCATGTAGAGTTCCATGAGCATATGTAGTATTTTTAAATGAATTAAATTTGCATAATTTTTGACATGGCATTACCGTTCAGTTCAATTCTCTGTTATCTTACAGATAGTCCACGCTTTTGGACTTACAGATAGTGTATTGGACTTTTCTGGCCTCACAGAGTGGTGAGTTTTCAGTCCTCATGGAACTGGCATCCATTAGGACAAATTTTGCTATGGGTCAGTCACCAATAAAACCAGATGAGCGTCTTCTTCCATTTAAATTTTTGTCCTCAGAGCCCAGGCTTCATCCATAGAACATTTTTTTTTTCTAATGTTCTTCCTGCTGGATAGTGAAGATTACTGGGTCTACATTTGGAGAGGGTCAGCTTTCAGGTTGGAGGCACCAGACATGAGGTGCACAGGCATTACCTTCTTACAGACTGTCACCAGTCTCATGAAGTCATCTTGTTACTGCAGCTTGGACCCTGATTTCTTGGCTCGTGTGTAAATAGAAATTAACACTGGACCAAACAGAAATTTTTATCAGGCAACATTTAATAGGCTTGCAGCCTGAGCAAGTCAAGGGAGCAACATACAGGAAAGGGATCCCCGCTGCTAGCTCTCCAAAGGGCTTAGCTCTTGTCATTTAAGGAAGTTGAGGAGAAAAATAACTGATATGTAGGCATGTAGAGGTGGGGAGTTTTTAGCACCAAAGATGACTCGGTCCTTCAGAAGTCACTCTGAGGAACATTTGTCTTGAATAAAACTTCATTTTAGAGGCACCTTCAAAAAGAAAGAGTATAAAATTTCTCTGGCCCAGTGGGTAGCACTTTTGGTTGATATGCAGAAGTCTCCAAATGCAATTCTGAATAAAAAACTGCTTCACTAACAAATTCATTGGTCAAAGCCAATGAGCAATTTGAAAAAATTAAGTAGTAACAAATGACTAATTTTATTAGTAAATCCTGCTCTTCTTTGCCTACATCTACCTCCCCATATTCAGCTTTCTCTATTCCCCCTTATATTTCTGATTTCCCTGCTTCAACACCTCATACTCCTTCCTCCTCTTACTCAGACCTCTAGCTTTTCCCAACTCTCCTGAAACCCCCAAATGCCAAGGACCTCTGATACAGGTCACATTTGACAGTTTACTTTAAAAGTAAACGGGCTTCCAAAGGTACCCATGTTGGGGAGGTCTTGTAATTCATGGCAACATCCTGTCCCTGAGTAAAAAATACTAACATGAAGAGTCCTCTTCCCTTCTTCTAAACTTTCCTATATGTTCCTATAAAAGCCTTCCAACTTGTAGCAGATTCTGGAAAACTCCCAACTGTGTTGGTATGTCTTCCAGGATTTATCCTCATATTTGTCTTCCAATATACTTTTATCAAATTTTTTGTCTCAGCCTTATTTTGGTGGATACTTCTAAAAATTCTTTCTCATGATCCAGGTACGAAGGGAACTATAAAGTTTAAACTTTGTACTGAATTAAGCTGAATTAAGAACTCTAATAAAAGATTTCCCTAAACTCAAATAAGGTTGGCAAATATTCATAGAATTTAGAATTCTTTTGGATGAACATGACCCAGGGTTACCTGATTGTTATAGATGGAATGTTTTTGCTTTGTTCCCCCAAACTCAACTGTTGAAGCCCTAACTTCCAGTGTGACAGTATTTGGAGATGGGCTCTTTGGGATGTAATTAGGGTTAAATTAGCTCATGAGGGTGAGGACATCCAGATGGAATTAATGACCTTATTAGAAGAAGAAGAGATCTTTCTCTTCTTGTCTGTGAAAAAGCAGAGAGGAAAGGCCAGATGAGGACACAGTAAGTAGGCAGCCATCTGCAGCCCAAGGAGAGAACACTTCCCACCCTCTAGAACTGTGAGAAAATAAATTTCTGTTGTTTAAGCCACCCAGTATATGGGTTTTTTTTTTCGGACAGCCCTAGTGTTGCAGGACTTTTCCTTAGTTCAGCTAAAGACGGGGTTCTTGTCCACCCCACGGACATGAAAATTTAGGCTTCCAGGAGGTTTAAAGGGTGAGTGAAGCAGGGTTTTATTGGGTGAAAAGGGAAAAAAGAGGGGAAATAGGGACTCTCGCAAAGCCAGAGTCCCTCTGCTAGAGGGCTTTCCGCCAGGCACTTGAATCTGAGGTTCCACCCAGGAAGAGGAGGGGCCAGGCTCGGGCTCCTCCCTGCTGCAAAAGTCCTGAATTTCCCCAGGCTCCACCTCAGCTTGTTGGAGCCTGGCTTGTTGGAGTTTCTCCAGGACCCCCTCCCACCTGGCTGTCTCACTAGCAGTCTAACACACTGACCTATGTGTGACCTATATCAACTTGTAGTCATGTTGGTTAAAATCTGAAATGCTAAATCCTGGATGACAAAAGCTGGTTATGCTTTCCTGGAAAGGGAGCTACAGAATCCTTCTTTCCACAGTAAATCTGAGGGTCAAAAAAAAATTTTTTTTTAAAGGCTGTAAGAGTAGGTTGAAGTCTCCTAAAAGCCAGACCTGAAACATTTCCAACAAAAATTAATTGGGCCGTAATTCAGTCATTCAAACTGATGAAACTATAGGAGATTTTCAGAATAGACTAGAAAATACCTTCCAACATTTGTAAGCTAAGGAAGATGTCCATGTAATAGCTACTCTTTCATCTCATTTCGCCAATGGAGTTAAGCCTGAAATTGGAGACCACATTTGAAAACCAATTAGAATGGAAATAGCCCCTTTATCTGCAGTACAATACCTGGCACAGCATTTTGAAAGGGCTTTAGAACAAAAATGAAGCAGGTTCCAAAATAAACTTGTAGCACTACTAATCCAACAGCTAGGTTACCCATTTTATAACAAGTGACTTGTTGACAAGGACATGTTTGGATATTGTTAATAGGACATAGGAAAGAAGATTGTCCCATCTTACAAGAGAAAAACAAAGATGGAAAAATTCCTAATTCAGATCAATCGATGTTCTCACAAAAACCAGAAAAGGAAAAACCATCCAATATTCTGCCTTATGCTAAACATTCACAGTAAATACAATACTAATATAGATGGTCAACTTCATCAATTCCTGGTAAATAAGGTTGCTACTCTTTCTACATTAAACCCTGCCATCTTTGCTCAACCTTTTCTTTGGAGTAAGCGTATTACACAGGTGGTATTTCCAATACTCCACAGATTTTCCCTGTATCTCAGCCCTTAACTGTAACTATTGGGGTTTGACTGCATAAACATTCCTTCCTACCTTGTGATACCACCCCTGCATGTTTAATAGGAAGAAATTTACTTTGCAAATGGAACTACAATATTAAATGCACTTCAAAGGGACTATTTTTTAAGGTTGCAGAGAACACTTCTATTCATAATCAAGTTGTGTCTGCTCAAGATGCAATTTTGCCTTCTCCATTATATTTGATACATATTCCAGATAAGGATCTTGACCTTATATCTGGCTGGATCTTTGTGTTTTTATTTCACCCCTATAATGTCCTGGAGCTTTCCAAGTTACCTTCTGAGAACAGACAATTAGAAGGAAAGATAACAAGAAACTTCTGCAATAGACTAGACAAACTAAATCTGAAAGTCCTGAGTGCAAAGCAGTGGATTAAAACTATAAAGAATTTTCTGGGAGCTGTGCTAGTAGTTGCATTAACATCTTCAAATTTTATTTTTGGAAGAAATCTTAGATACCATTTGTTGTTGTTTTTAAAAGTCCATCATATCATGTGAAATATAATCTCACTTACTTCAGGTTTGGGTGACATTTTGAAAAGCCAAGAATGAGGAGGAATCATATTGTTTTTAAGTCTAACTTCCTCAAATATTTGACATACTCATATTGGAACAGGTTAGTCACTTAGAGATGCAGCAAGTGAAGGAAAGGACATGTCTTATATACTGATGAGTACCTAGCACCAAATTAAGGATGTAGCCTTCCATATGTATTTTGATTAAAAGAATGAAACTGGGAGTGGAGCATGAAGGTCAGAGATGATGTTCTTATTAAAGGCTTTTGAGATGTATTAATAAATTTGCCTCCATCCCTTCACCACCCCCCGAAACAGGTGGAATAAGGCTTTTTAATATTAACTAAATTGAGAGGTGGAAAATGGCATGCTATTTTCATAAGTTTTTAAATATTACTGAGATGAATTATATTTTCATGTAGTAATTTTTAAATCATACTTTCACCTTATAATACATAAGTTTCATTGCAGCATTGAACCCTGGGTTAGTGTTATAATAAAAAGTATATTGCATTCAGGCTGGGTGCAGTGGCTCACGCCTATAATCCCAGTGCTTTGGGAGGCTGAGGCAGGCAGATCACTTGAGGTCAGGAGTTCCAGACCAGGCTGGCCAACATGGCGAAACCCGTCTGTACTAAAAATACAAAAATTATCTGGGCATGGTGATGTGTGCCTATCATCCCAGCCACTTGGGAGGTGGAGGCAGGAGAATTGCTTCAACCCGGGAGGCAGAAATTGCAGTGAGCTGAGATTGCGTCACTACACTCCAGCCTGGGTGACAGAGTGAGACTCTGCCTAAAAAAAAAAAAATATATATATATATATTATATATATATATATTACATTTAGTGCCTATTATACAGTAGATATTGTGTTAAATTCTTTATAGGTATTATTTATGAAATTTAATTTATTCCTCAGTACAAGCTTGTTGATGTAAGTTATCATCCTCATTTTACAGCAAATATACTACTAAGACTTTTTTTTTAAAGTCTTCCAACAGTTTATTAGAAAGAATGTAGGCATTTAAAAAAATCCCCACTGTCATGAACATAAATTGAGGTTTTCAGCCCTGGTATAAGCTGAATCAAAAAAAGAAAAAATCCGGCCGGGCGCGGTGGCTCATGCCTGTAATCCCAGCACTTTGGGAGGCTGAGGGGGGCAGATCACGAGGTCAGGAGATCGAGACCATCCTGGCTAACACGGTGAAACCCCATCTCTACTAAAAAATACAAAAAATTAGCCGGGCATGGTGGCAGGCGCCTGTAGTCCCAGCTACTCGGGAGGCTGAGGCAGGAGAATGGTGTGAACCCGGGATGTGGAGCTTGCAGTGAGCAGAGATCGGGCCACTGCACTCCAGCCTGGGTGACAGAGAGAGACTCTCAAAAAAAAAAAATACAATAGTGTATTAAACATTTTTCACTCATTTGCCATACTGACAATGCAAATACAAATCTGGACTAAATGTACAGACTCTCAAGCAACAATGTACAGCTTTCTTCGTCTTCCATGCTAAGAGATGTAAAAGCTTAAGGGTCAAACAATACCAAATGTACAGGCTTCAAAAACCATCTAAGTTAGGGCATTCTCTAATTTTAGCTAATATACACCTGGAACACTGACAAGTGATCACTTACATAGAATAATGTGAAGTAAATTTTTTGAAAAATAAATTTTAGTGGAACAATCCTGAAGGATAACACCAGAGGAATAGCAGGTTACCAGTAAGGTGTCAGCCAATTTGTTCAGCCACTTTTGAATCCATGTTCTATAATCTAAAATTTAGCTCTCTTTCCCTAAGCTGAGAGCTTCCTATCATCATGTCAGTATCTATATTATGAAGAAAAGGAGACTTAGGTGAGATGTTTTTATTTATCACAACTGCCGCATTAATTGCCTAGGACCTCAACAGCTTCATGAAAGTCTGGGAAATGTTCATGCATAAGGTTATTGCCTTAGCTGACTTAAAATTGCCCCCTACAATGGTACATATCAACCCTTAGTGAAGCCCTTTAAAAAACAAACAGGTTGAAAAATGGGTTAAAGTAGGCAGCTACAGCATCTGCTTTTAGATCAACTCAGGAATTCTCTCAATCATGAAATCTTGCAGAGAAGTTATTTTTCTTTCTCAAAACCCAGGTGATGACAATATTCCTTACTGCAGATCTGGCATTTTTTCATCATCACTGTCTTGTGAATCATCATCTGCTCCATCTACTTCTGGTAAATCTACATCCTCATCACCACCCATGTTATTCATCATCTCAGAGAAACGATCAAAATTAGACATGTCTTCATCTGAATCATCTTCCCAGTCTTTCCAATTATTGAAGTCAACACTAAGCCAATTAAGCTTTGCCCTTTCTTTTGTTAACCTTGGCCATGACTGTCCAGATTCTCCTTTTCGTAAACAACATAAAATTGATCTGTCCGTTCTTTTATGCTTGGAATCGTTTGTATCAATACAGTGAAAAAGATCAATTTCATTTAAATGCTTAAAATTATCACTTCCTCCGAGACAACTGAATGTAAGTTTGGATTTTTCAAAATTTACATTAACATCCTTACTGTCTTCAACACAAAATTCAATGAAGACATAGTGCCTTTGATCGTACCACTTTGCAGAAGCAGGCTGCATTGTGAACGGGGCAGGGGGAGGGGCGAACGGGTGGGCGGGCCTCTCTGGCGGGGTCTGCTGCTATGGAGTCCACTTCTCTCCAGTGGCGACTCAGCGTTTTCTTCCCGGTCGCGGCCTCTTCTCGCTTCCCTCAGGCGACGGCAGCAGTGGCTGGCTCGACCTCGGTCCCCAGAATGCACTGCGCAGACTACTAAGACTTTTAACCACATTTTATGACAGTTCATAATGCCACAAGGTTCTGGCACTTGGTTCAAATGATAACTCACTTTGTTGAAAAAAAGAAGGTTAAATTATGTTTAATAACTGCTCCTTGTTCTTCAAAGTAGGCTAGGAAAGAAAGTGGACTAGAACAATCTGGAACTAAGTATGTGTATCTCTACCTTTCCCCTCCAATTATGAATGTTTGATTATTCATTTTCTAAAATAATAGTACTGAGAGATTGTGTAAGTCTTACACCAAGTTGCATCTGGGGCATATAAGATGAGTTAAAGAGACTGATCAGAATAGATTAGCAATGGAGAACTCTTTTGAGAGACTTATTGGTGTGCATTGATATCCACCCTCTCTTTATCTCTGCTCATTTTCCCCATAGGGCAATGAGAGGTGCTTCTTTCTTACTATCTTTACAAACTAAGTAGCATTGGGCACTTAAAAGATCCTCTTGAAAAGCTGATATGTGCTCTTTGGGGTTTGGGGACACTAGTACTGGTGCCCAACTTATGCCTAAAAACATCTAAAAGTGATAGTCTGGGATGGAATGGTTTGTGGCAAAATAGGAAAGAAAAGAGAGTTGGGGGAATCCTGTTCCTACGGTGTATGGCTAAACTGGTGCGCATGAGTTTTTCTCATGGGTATAATCACTGGGGTGTTCTGGACTTGGGTCATATTGAAGGAAATCCTGCACAAGATGTCAACATGTCAAGAGGCATTGATCTCAACACCAAGAATATATTGAATGAGTGGATCTCTAGAAGAGAGAATTTGAGGAAAGGAATCAGAAGTGGACTACAATAGGGACGTGCTATTGGGAGGTCCTGGCAAGGGGGATCAGCAAAGAACCCAAATCATCCTTAAGGACTTAAGCCACCACCAGAAGGTGCCAACACCAGATCAGTTATGTATCATGTAAGGTTTCTTTTCCTTAATTCCCTGCACTCTAGTGTTAACAACTTGAAGGTATCATCAACATGAGCTAGTGTACCCAGTGGGAGGGAGAGCTGGAAATGAAAATAAAAAGTCGTACACCTTTCTCACTGTGTGCCTGTAAGGCTGAATCAGGCCTGGGCTGTGTGACTGAGTGGAATCTGAGGGGGAGCAAGATACAAGGGGAGGAACTTTAAATCAAAACTCAGACATTTAAAAATTTAGGTCAAATGTTATTTTTTTTTTTAGAAAAAGAGACTATTCATTTATCTGAGAGTGACTAATGAACAAACAGGAAAGAAATGTTCCGATTAAGTAAAAGGGGAATTGTAAGAAAGAATAAAGTTGCTTTTTGCTTTCACAGAACTAGATACAAAATACTAACTGTTTGAAAGGTAAGAGCAATAACTAAACTGAGGCATAAACAAGATAGATCTTAAATACAAATGAACTAATATGTTAAATTGTGTTCCCAGGGTTGGGGAATAGGGAGTACCTATTCTATAGTCCTATTAAGTCTTTCTTAAGTATCATTGTTAAAAACTAAGAATAACTTAAAGAATATTAACAAAGTGCATGACATGAAACAACAGTGGAAAGATTAAAACAACATTGAAAAATAATGACAAAAAAGATGAGAAGAGTGTTGTATCTGATGTACACAAAAATACTAACTCAAGTCTTAGGTTATTCCTACTATAAGATTTATCTCCATACATCTGCATGGAAAAACTGGTTGACTAAACATACAGGAAAATTTCCCACGTTATTAGTTTCTTCCTCCAAAAGTAGAAGACAAAAATACTCTAATTCTCAGACTTTCCCATGGGTAGGCATATGATTTAGATTCTTCCCTGCAGATTGACTTTTGTGAGGCTTAGCTGGAGATGTGAGCAGCTCAAAGATGCAACTTTTCATGGGGTAGGGGAGTATTTGTTTACTGAAAATGTGAAGGTGGTGGCATCCATTTACTCATAGCTGACACTGCAGAAGCTTCCAGCATTTCATCCAGAGATCATGGTGCTGGTTCATGGTAGCTGTGTTGTTTTCCCGTGAGATGCCTTTACAATGGTAGTATTATCCTCGGTGGAATAGCTGTAGAGTATGGCTCCCTCACAATTCTGGAGCATCGGTGTGCAACCTAATGGTATTAAAAAGTAAATTACTTTTTACTTAAATTGCTGAGCAGATTGTTATTTGCCATGAAGAACTCTGAATAATACACATCCTGAAACAATTGTAGTAGGATAATGTTTTGTATTAATGAATTATTCTTGATTTTTCAATCTGTCATTTTTTTTTTTTTAGTAAGTCATTTACCCTGAGTAGCTTTGAGGATATAATGTCATAGCAGAGGAGCAGAGAGAAAAATGCAGTCAAGTTTTAGGCTTTATAGGATTATAGTCCTGGTCCTCAGAAGAATGGAAAGTAATTTGAGTTTGAGTTAAAGCTTTCCTTTCTGTGATTGTAGAAGTTATTTTCTAAACTTCAGGAAAGAGAAAAGACTAAGGGAGACTAGAGAAGAGAGATCTAGGTGGCCTGGGAATGGGGCAGTAATTACCTAGAGGGTTTACATGGACAGAGAAGGTGGAGCCTCTACTCATAAATGCATTCTGCACAGAGGCAACCACTTTCTCTGCTAGTGCCCACAGATCATGCAGCCTCCACCCAAATGAGAACTGTGCACTGTCTGTACTTTAAAAGCCTAGTTAAGTGTCCCAGATCTCCTTTATTTGCAGCCAGCATGCCATACAAAGACCACTTGGCAGGAGTGATGCTCTACTGTGCCCCATGGTTTGTTTGGTCTCATCACATTTTCATCATATTCACAACACTTCAGCCCTATGCTACGACCATAGTTAAATCCCTGAATAAGAGTATAGGACTGAATATACAGTAAGGGTGGTGCATATGAGAGAAAAAAATCTACCCAGAACAGAAACTGCAAGATATCTCATTGGAAAATGCATCCTAGTTACACAATATCTCTCTTGAGTCCTTGTGTATGATTTCAAATATAGGATTTAGTTAAAGATCATATTAAAAGTTAGTACTATAAATAAGCATGAGTTGAATTGCTCTGTAGGTAAAACATTGACCTCATACTTAACCTTTACTTTGCAAACTTTATGGTTCAACAAAAATGCATGCATCATGATTTTGAGTTAAGTTTAATGGCAGTTGTTTGACACTCTGAAGTTGCTCATTCATGTTGTTTCTTGGGGAGAGGGAGCTGGACAGGCAAATTTTGCTCCTTGGACTTTTAGAGTATGTTACATATTGGCTCCAATGATTTGCTTCTCATCTGGATATCCCATATGTCTTTTTGAAGTCTCTTGCTCTCATTCTCGAATCCCTCCTTGAGAAGGCGTTCCTGTTCCTAAAAGGGAAAGTGGAGACTAAGCCTATCCAGCTTAACACATTTCCACCAGATTAGTTCCCCTTTTGGTACTTATATTGATCCTTCAAGAATTTTTGACTATCACTCTCTTCTGAGTCTCCTATACCTGCCAATAATTTTTCTATGATTTTTTTAGCTTCAAAAATGTTGTTGTTCTACAGTTTCTAAAATATTAGTGACCCAGCGTTTTATTCCTTGGTCCCTTCACCATTTGCACTCATGCAACACAGTCTTTCTGGAAAAACCATAACTTTCTCTTGTTCTTTTTGTTGTTGTTGTTCATTTCTGATCTATATAGAATGGACTCTTAAATATATATCTAGGAAGGTATGAAAGATAGATGATTTCCAATTGGTAGGTTACTATATAACTCAAGACTAGGGCAAGTGTTTGATCAGGGAATTTAGTACAGGTCTCCAAAATTCGGAGGTAACAGAAATAAATTGAGGAGATCAGGGCTTACAGTGGCCCATAGGCTATTTCTGGGCAAACGTAAATGTGGAAAAGAGCCCAGAGAACAAGAAAGTATTGGCACCATGGGCACTTAACCAGTGTGCTTAAGTGGGTAGATGGTTAGGGAATCTTTCTTTTTTTTTTTTTGAGATGGAATTTGACTCTTGTTGCCCAGGCTGGAGTGCAATGGCGCCATCTTGGCTCACTGCAACCCCCGCCTCCCAGGTTCAAGCGATTCTCCTGCCTCAGCCTCCTGCATAGCTGGGATTACAGGCATGCGTCACTATGCCCAGCTAATTTTGTATTTTTGATAGAGACGGGGTTTCTCCATGTTGGTCAGGCTGGTCTTGAACTCCCGACCTGAGGTGATCCGCCCCCGTCGGCCTCCCAAAGTGCTAGGATTACAGGTGTGAGCCACTGCACCTGGCCTGGTTAGGGAATCTTTCTACTCATAACAGTGCTTCCAGACATAAAGTCTTAGCAGGCATAACAGAAACAAAATCCCCATGGATCCCTCTCAGTAGGAAAGACTGGCTAGATATTTCTCTAGGTAGTCTGATGCAGAAAAGTTACTTACTGCTCATGAGATTATAATTACTTCATTTAGCAAATGAGAAACTAATAGTTCCTCTACCATTAAAGGAAAATTTGATCACATAATGTAAAATACTTGTGCAGTGCCTAGCAATGTTTATTAGTGATAGCATAATAAAGAATTCCATGTGATTGTATCCTGCAAGTAAACAGTCTTTACTAACCAGAGATGACTGGCATAAAAATAGTTAGGGAAGGAAAAATGTAGTAGTGTCTGGGCTAGAAAGTTTTTTTGGGAGGCATTAGGTTCTCAACCTTATACTTCATTTTCGATATGGGGCACTGGAAGAGAAAATTGAGATGATGCAATTGAATACCTGAAGTTTAAGAGCGAGGGTCTTCTCTTGCTCTGCCATTAACTGGGCCCTGTCCCTCTCCATCTTCTCAGTCAATTGTTTCACATGTTCCTGATAACTCTTCTCTTTCTGTTCCATCATCTCCTCATTCTTCTTTTGTATTTCCTCCAACATTTTCTTTGCAGCTTCTGCAGATTCAGCCTTTATACGTTCCACTGTGGAAGAAAAATAAGCAGAAAAAGATATGAATATTCAATTGTAGGTGTTCCCTTTTCCTTTCCCTCGTTTTTGTTTGTCTTATCCTTACATCATTGAGAAAACTTCTTGTAATTTTGCCTTGGGTAACCAGAAAACCAATGATCATACAGATTAGTTAAGAAAACTCTCATAGAACTATGAATGATACTTGCCATTCTTTCTCTACAATAATAATTCCAGGTGGACCAATATTGCTAACTAACATTTTGAGAGCTTTCCGACCATGTAGAGTGTTTTCAGCTGTTCTCACCTTCAATCGCTTTTTCCTTTTCTGAGAGTGACTGATCAGTCTGTAGAAGTGCATCAGCCACATCCTCCTTGGACTCCAAATATTTTTTCAGCACCTCTTTGGCCTGGTTATACAGAGAAAGGTAGAATGAAGAAAGAGTGATTGTGGGTTAGATCCAGCAATCCCACCACTGGGTATCTACCCAGAGGAAAATAAGTCATTACACAAAAAAGATACTTGCATACGCATGTTTATAGCAGCACAATTCGCAATTGTAAAAATATGGAATGAGCCCAAATGCCCATCAATTAATGAGTGGATAAAAAATTGTTTCATATATATGTAAAACATATAATACCCCCCCACACACACCATGGAATACTACTCAGCCATAAAAAGGAAAAAGACAATGGCATCCATAGCAACCTGGATGGAACTGCAGACTATTATTCTAAGTGAAGTAACTCAGGAATGGAAAACCAAACATCCTATGTTCTCACACATAAATTGGAGATAAGCTATTATATGAGGCCACAAAGGCATAAGAATGATACAGTGGACTTTGAGGACTTGTGGGAAAGGAGAGGGGGCAAGGGATAAAAGACTACACACTGGGTACAGTGTACACCAAAATCTCAGAAATCACCACTAAAGAACTTATTCATGTAACCAAACACCACCTGCTCCCCCCAAAACCTATATGAAATGAAATAATTTTAAAAACTCTACAATATCTCTAATGAAAATTGATGCAAAAGTCCTCAATAAAGTACTAGCAAACCAAATTCAACAATACATTAAAAGGATCACTCATCATGACCAAGTGGGATTCATCCCTGGGATGCAAGGACGGCTCAACATATGCAAATCAATCAATGTGATAAATTCTATCAACAGAATGGACAAAAACCATATGATCATTTCAATTCAAGCTGAAAAAACATTTGATAAAATTCAATATCCCTTCATTAATAAAACATTAAAAAAACTGGGTATAGGTGGAACATACCCCAACATAATAAAATCCATGTATGACAGACTCACAGCTATTATCATACTGAATGGGAAGAACAACAAAAATACTTTCCTCTGACATCTGGAATACAACAAATATGCCTACATTTACCACTGTTATTTGCCATACTATTGGAAATACTAGCGAGAGCAATCAGTAAAGAGAAAGAAATAAAGGGCATCCAAGTTGGAAATGAAGAAGACAAACTCTCCTTTATTGCAGATGGTATGATCTTATATTTGGAAAAATCTAAAGATTCCACACCAAAAAAACTATTAGAACTGATAAACAAAAATAAGATCTGTTATTTGCAAGAACGTGGAACTTGAGGTCATCATGCTAAATGAAATAAGCCAGGCACAGAAAGAAAACCATTGCATGTTCTCACTTATTTGTGGGATTTGAAAATCAAAACAATTGAATTCATGAAGATAGAGAGTAGAAGGATGGTTGTCAGAGGCTGAGGGGGTAATGGGGTGGTGGGGGGAGGGAGGTGGGGATGGTTAATGGGTAAAAACAACTAGAAAGAATGAATAAAATCAAGTATAGCACAACATACTTGAGAGCATAAAACTTGATGGCACAAAAGGGTGACTATAGTCAATAATAATTTAATTGTACACTTTAAGATAACTAAAAAAGTGTAATTGGATTGTTTGTAACACAAAGGATAAATACCTGAGTCGACAAATACCCCATTTTCAATGATGTGATTATTGTGCATTTCATACTTATATCAAAACATCTCATGTACCCCATAAGTATATACACCTACTATGTACCATATGTACCCACAAAAGTAAAAAAATAAAAAAATTACAAATTTCGGATATTAGTAATACATATTTTATAGAATTGCTCTGAGTATTAAATGAATAACGCTCTCAGCCCAGTTCCTGGAACACAGTAAGTGCAACATAAATGTTAACTGTTATTATTATTTGTTCATAAGCTATCATTTGCTAATTGCCTGTGTGTACTTTGACAGAGCTTGAACTTTTTTTTTTAACTGCCGTATCCCCAGCAACTTGACAAGTTCCTGGTATACAGTTAGGTCAAAATAAATAATTGTTGAATGACTAGATGAATAAATAAATGAGTCAATTCGATAAACCTCTTTTTGAGGGCTACATCTGTGCTTCTGAGGAGGAATTCCTGTTATGGTGGGCTCTCTTATTGAATGAATCAGTAAATGGAAAAATGAAAGGCAGAGGCCCTAGGCACCAGTTGCAGTGCCATTTACCTTCTTCCCAGTGGGCTTTAAAAGCATCCCCTCAGCGAGTCCCAAGAAATGGTACCCACCGTGTAGTTTACCTGTATCCCCTTCCTTGGCACCTGGTAGTACTTATTCTTCAGCTCCTGCAGCTTCTGAGTAAAGAGACGGTAACCTCCTGGTTTAGAAAATGTTCCCTGCTTGACATCTTCTTCTAAAGGGCCAAATATATCCTGAAGTAAAGCCATGCAACAATCTGATGATGCTTTGGAATTCTGCTTACAAAAGTCATCTCGCCTTGCTTCCAACTGGGCCTGTGAAGTGACAAAACAGCACAGATGTTTCAGTAAAGCCATGAGGAGGATGTTAACTATGTGGAGACTGGAAAATGCTTCTCCTTCAGAAATTGTGGCCCTCTAAATAGGGCCATGCTCCTCACATTGCTGTTAGATCCTAGAATATCCCTAAGTTGTGCTTATTGCAGAAATTTATCTACTTCTCTGTTTGTGATTTCCTAAAGCTCCTTTCTCCCAGTTTTCCTGTTTCAGAGAATGATTCTCAAAGCACATACACTATTTCATACGAAACTTTTATCTTTCCAAGTCTCTCATTTCAGGAATAGTTCTGAGCACAAACACTGGAGTCAGGCAGCCTGCCTGGAGTTCCCGGATACACTACACTGTGGCTTGTGACACTCAGTCTTTGTGAACTGAGGATTCCTTGTCTGTGCAGCAGAGGAACAATACCTATCTCACAGATTTCTCTGCAGGGTTATATGAGGTGATGTAAAGTATTAAGCCCGGGGACTTTTTAGAAGTGCTCAGTAAGGAGTACATGATTATTTAGTACATTCTTTAACATAAGAATATTTTTGTGTATTTTCTCAGCATAGGGCTAATGAAAGTAATGAAGATTGTGCCATAGGTATTTTCAGTATTTGGAAAGTCTCATAGAACAGCACATTTATCTACATTAAATCACTCAAGATAACTTAACTATGAAGCTTTCTCTTTCCTCCTTAGGTTGGAAGGGTGACAATTGCTGACATCGGCTATCTAGCTTCACCAGAACCTCTGACTGTAGCAACGTATCATTTATAAGATCCTGCCTTCCTAGCTAGGGAAAGGACTTTCATTTGTCAAGTGGTCATTCTGCATGCAAAAATACTTTGTTCACTTGGAATGAGGCAGACATTAAAAACATTCTCTAATAAAATTTATATAATTAATTTCTCTTTCTTGGCCTTCTGAATATTTTACCATTGGCTCACATTTAAAAAAATTATTAGGGTTATTTAAAAATAATTTAGTCCCCACTGATAATTACCAGGGAACATAAAAACAATGTATTTTTTAATTTAAAAGGACAAAATAAGTTAAAATAGTCTTTAACAATGCAGTTGTACCATCTACTTACTTTCTTAAAATATGGGACCCAGAGAGGAAAAACTAACAAAAGCAAATTTTAGTAAAAAATTAGGTGTCTTTTTTTAAAGGTCTAAGGCTATGCACATTCTAGTCTTTTAATGATTATTTCAAATATGTACACATAACTGAGTGTAACTATTTTGGGGTCTAGAAAGAATTATTTTCCCATGAAGGGCCCATATTTTTCTGCCTCTCATGACGTAGAACACCAAATATACCCCTAATTTCCTCTGGAACATTTGGTCCACATCCTTGAAAGAGTTCTTCATGAAGACTTCAATGGCCTCTCTCTCACTGTCCCTGTGCAGGTCCAGCAGCTCCTGGAGGGTTTCCGTGGGCAGCTGCACCTTCTGGCCCATCTGCTGTTCATAGTGGGCAATAGCCTTTTCCACTGCGGCTGAGTTCTCTATCTGGGCCAAGGCCAGGACTGCGTTCTCCATGCAGGGTAGATCCCCACTGCTGATGGCATTGACGTAGGTCAGCACCAGGCTCTCTAGACCTGCAAAAGGGAATTTTTAAAAAAATGTGACTATCAGTTGGTGGGACAGAATATTTTGTGTGCTTTTCAAGTGAGTGTCACAAATAATACTTTTAAATAAGTTTTGGATAAAGAATAGTAATGGAATAATTTGTTAACCTCTAATCACAGAGGAAATTGAAGTGGCTCTTTCCTATTTCCTTCACCCAAAAGGAAGATATTGAAATGAATAGGTTAGGATATTTTGGGGCTGAGATACTAGGTCAATGTGTTTTCTTACCTTTCTTTTCTCTCACCTCTCCCTCTATTCCCTTTCTCTCTTCACTACTAATTTATGAAAAAAGTCAATGAGAAAACTTAGCCTTTTTATTTTTATTAATTTTAGTGGTGCAGACCACTAGTCACTAGTCTGGTGTCTGGCTTAGGTAAATATGTCTTCTTAGATATTCTCTCATCAGAACTACAGATAGGATAATCAACTCATCGAGTTTGCCAGGGCTTTGCTGGGTGTAGCACTGAAAGTCTCACATGCCAGGAAAACCTCATCTTAGGCAAACTGGAGTGGTTGATCACACAACAAAAGATGATTCTTTTTGACTCAATCCTGGACCTTCTCATCTCTCTGCGGTTTTAAGTACCATCTGTATGGATGGCTGGTGTATTTTGTTTCCTGCTTTGACATTTCTTTTAAGCTTTGGATTAAAAATAAGTTTTGCACCTTATTTTTAATGCCTATCTTATATTCCTTACTGCATAAATCAGAAGAATCTCAATATTAAATAATCTAAATATCAAAACTTCATCCACTCTGAAAAACTATTTCTCCTCTTGATGCTACTATCTCATTAAATAACACAGCCATTCAAGCAATTGCTAAACTCGAAACGCTGGAGACAGGCTTGGCATTTCCTTCTTATTCCCTTCATAAATCCATATTCCCTCTATCAACAGGCCTTTTAGATTTAATATCCAAAGTATGTTCGGATCTTGTCCATTTTCACCATTTTCACTGTCATAATCTGAGACTAACCCAATGCCCATTTATGGCTCAACCACTGCAAATAGCATCCATCCTCTCATTCCCTCCCTTTCACTACTCCAACAAATTATCTACAAAATATTCAGAAAGATATGTATAAACATAAATTAGATAACCTTACCTCACTGCCAAAAATTCTTCAAGATCTTCTCTAGAGCTTAGACAAACTCTAATCTCCTCAAAGTCCTCTGCCAGTCCTTTCAAGACCTGACCCCTTTATACCCCTCCAATTATGACACCACTCTTATTCAGTCTTCTCTTGTTCCAATCGCCTGTCTTTCTTCTATTTTCGTTTAAAAAATTGAGATGGAATTCTGGTCTGTCACCCAAGCTGAAGTGCAGGGCATGATCATAGCTCACCATAGCCTTGAACTCCTGTGCTCATGCTGGGTCCTCCTGCCTCAGCCTCCTGAGTAGCTAGGACTCTGGGCAAGCACCACTGCACTTGGCTGATTTTTAATTTTTTCATAATGATGAGGTCTTGCTACTTTTCCCAGGCTGGTCTTAAACTTAAACTCCTGGGCTCAAGGAATTCTCCCACCTTGGCCTCCCAAAATGCTGGGATTACAGGCATTAGCCTCCTGTGTTCTATTTTCTTGAAGTTGCAAAGTTCTATCCTGCCCTATGCATTTCCACATTACATTATTTGCTATAAAGCTATTCCTCTATATGCTTTGGTTAGCTCTTAACCATTTATTTAATATATATATATATTGGAGACAGGGTCTCACTCTGTCTCCCAGGCTGGAGTGCGGTGGTGCAGTCTCCGCTCACTGCAACCTCTGCCTCCCAGGCTCAAGTGATCCTTCAGACTCAGCCAGCTGAGTAGCTGGGATTACAGGTGTTAGCCACCATGCCTGATTAATTTTTGTGTTTTTAGTAGAGGAAGGGTTTCCCCATGTTGCCCAGGCTGGTCTCAAACTCCTGAGCTCAAAGTGATTCACCCACCTCAGCCCCCCAAAGTTCTGGGATTATAGGCATTAGCCACCGTGCCCAGCCAACTCAATCATTTTTAAGTTCTCATCTTACAGGTGACTTTCACAGACAAGCATTCTCTCACACTCTAAATTATATCTCCCTGCCTCTCCCTTTACTCTTTCATAGCAGCCTATTATTTTTATGCATTGTGTTAACCACTATTTATCATTATACTTTTTTTTTTTTTTACTTTTTACAGAAGTATCTTTTGCTCCTATTATGCTGGAATGAGGATAAAAGTCACATTTCTTTTATCCATCATTATACTCAGTGGTTGGTACATTACATTATAGGCATTCCCTAAATATTTTAGAATTGCTGAACAAGAGAATTGTACTGCAGTTAGTTAGTGGCAAAGTCTCACTTACATATAGTATTTGCTTTTTTCTTTGTTGCTCAGTATATATATCCTGGATGTTTATTTGATAAAGAGGGAGCTGAGAAGTTGGTGGAGAAGTTTACCATAATAGAATTCAATTCTAGTTCTTTTCTTTTTTTATTCTCCTTGCAAGGAATATGAGATGATACTATAGCTTTAGTTTTCATGTAAAATTTATAATATGATTTTCATGTTGTATTTTCCTTGCCATCAATAGACTATGCATTTGTCAGAAGTGACCCTTATGCTTTCCATTTTATCCTCTACAATGGGCAGAAGGAGAAAGTCCAGGTAGGAAGTGGGTAGAGAGAGTGACTCACGAGGCCCATTGACTGGAATGCCACCTGAAAGAGTCTTGACATTGGAATGGCTGAGGATGTAGGAACAAAATTCTGCAACTTGTTCTATGAAATCAGGGTTCAGCTCTTCCTCCTTTAGCTGCTCTAGGTGAGCAAGGTACTTCTTAGGAGCGGGCCAATCGAAGACGAAGCACTTCCTCTTGGGGAAGAACTTTCGGATGCACAACCGAGGATCATTAAAGCTTTTACTTTTCTTATCAGTACCTACAGGAATGAAAATTAGAAGTAGTAAAACTTCAAATTAATTACTTCAAATATGATCTTTCAATTTTATAATTTTCACAAAGCCCATGTAAGGAGGAAATTTATTAGGAAGAAGAAATAAAAAATTAAAGGGGTAGAGAAAGGAAAGTCTCCAAGAAGAGGTAGGTAATGCAATTTAAAATTGGTTCCAACTGATATAGTCAAGCAATGTTTCCATTTCCTCTAGCAGAACAGTCAGAAAAATACAGTTAAAAATTATAATTTTTAGCACTGCACAGAAATGGTTATTTTGATATTATTTGCTCTCTATTTATTACCCAACCAAGCATCAGACCCAGTAACCTTTTCTTAGCTTTAGCGAAAGCTCCAAGTAGTCATCAGCAGTGATGGGTTCTCCATCTACTTCCAGTTCCAGGGTGAAATCTCTGAGAGTCCACACAAATGCTGGAAAAAAGCTCACAAAGTCAGCTGAGTCGTCTACAGAATTGTTACCAGGTGAGGAGTTTGCCTTGATTCGATCTGTCAGCTCTGTCACATAGCTGAGATGCTAAATTAAGAAAACTACAGAAAATGCCACTCTTTATACTACATTTTATCCTAATGCTTACCTAAAATAATTTGGTTTCTTTTTATTAGCTCATTCATTCATTCACAAACATTTATTTACAGAATTCATTCACTCACAAACATTTATTGAGCACCTACTATGAACCAAGCACTGCCCTAGGGACTAAGAACGCTGTAATGAATGAGACAATGCTACCACTATAGAGCTTACATTCTAATGATGGAGACAAACAATGAACAGGTAAACAAAAATAAATTATCAGGTATTGATAACAATTGTCTTGAAGGAAAACGAACTGGGCAACTAGCTCCTAATGTATTTTTAGAAACTAGCAACCAATAGACATTCATCTAATACTCTGGTGTCTCCCAAATCTACCAATAAGGAAAGCAGAGAATAATTGTGTGTATCTGCATGTGGTGCTGGTTCATGTAGTTTTCCAGGTAAATTATCTCTGACATTGTAGTTGAGCAGTGATCTGAATGAATTGAAGAAACCAGTCATGTACAAATCCAATGGAGGAACATTGCAGACAGAGATCACAGACCCTTCAAGGCCCTTAGATAGGAAATTACTGAGTGTGTACAACATATATCAAGAAATCCAGTGTGGTAGGGCAGAAGCCTTAAAATAAATAGAGGTTGGGATATGCAAGCTCTGTAAACCAAAGTAAGAAGTTTGAAATTTAATAGAAAGTTAATGGGAAGTCATTGGTGGGTATTAAGTGAAGAGAGGATATAGTATCGTTTTTTGTTTTTTAAATCATACTGGCTGGCATTGCATCTGTGAGTCAAGTGTGTATGCCAAAACAAACAAACAAACAAAACTAATACAAAAAGCAATTAGGTAGTTGAAAAGATAACCAAGATGAGAGGCAATGGAGCAAGTAGTGAGAATTGGCTAGTCTAGAGAAATAACTTTGATAGTGGAGCTGAAGGAGTTTGATGATTAATAATTTCCAAAACATAAGGAATGGAATCATCCAAGATGATTCCTAAGTTTTTGATCTGAGCACTTCTATGAATGATGTGGGAATTTATTGTGATTAGAAAGACTGGGAAGGAGTTGTTTTGGACAGGAAAATTAAGTTTTGTTCTGTACACTTTAGGCTCAAGATGTCTCTTACACATCTGAATGGAGATGTTGCACCAGAAGCTGGATACAAAAGTTTGAATTTGCTCATGCTTGGGAATACAGATTTGATGGTGATAAACATATTGGTGCTACTGAAAGCCTTGAAGCTGGATGTGATCATCTGGGGACTGAAAGCAGAAAAAGAAAAGAGGCACAAGAACTTAAGTGTTATAATATTTAGAGGCTAAAAGGAGAAAGAGGATAGAGTAATCTGAAAAAGTCTACCAATAAGGAAGGTGGAAAATTAGGAAATGTGGTATTCTAATAGGAACCAATTCCAAGTGAAACAGGCATTTCAGAAAGGTGGAAGGGATCAAATTTATGTAATGCTCCTAGAGAAATAAAAGGCTTATGGAAGATTGGAAGATCAAATGAGGTGAGAACTGTGCATTACATATAGGAATATGGGGGTGATCTTGATGAAATCTAATTCAGTATAATGCTTGAAACTAAGCTAATGGAAATGGTGAGGTCATTGATAATGAACTAGGTTAAGTAATGTGTGAGAGTGGAGAATGACAATAAGGGTGGAGAGTTCCAATAAGGTGATGGAACTGAGACACCAGGGTGTTAAATAATTGTCTATTGGTTGCTAGTCTCTAAAAAGACACTAGGAACTAAAATCTTTAATGAATGAAGGATGTATTTATTGGAACGTTGCTAGATAATTGCAACAAAAATAGTGGTGTAGTCTGAGGGCATATATATTAAAGAAGATTCTCTTTTTAATGGTAAAGGAATGAGAAAGTGTCCAGAACTCTAATATGGAGCAAGGAGGATACCTAACTCATCTCTTACACTTATGATATGCAAGGTATGGGATTAAAAATAGTCATCACATAAGACCACTGGAGAGGTCTGTAGGAGAAATAGTATCTATAGTGTATAGCTAGGTATCATTTAGAAGGCAACACTTAGAGCAGATGATAAGAATATAGAGAGTTGCAGAAGTGAGAACATGAGTTCTAGAGGACATTGAAGGTTTGGACAGGCATAGGAGATTAAGTCAGATAGAGGATATACAGAGTCTTGGGTGGCTGAGTATCTAACGAGACATGTAACTGGGAAGACTTGAAGTTCAGATGGAGATTGAGATAGAATGAGATGTTCAGCATAATGAGATTTATTAAAGAGAGGACTTATGAATTCTTCAGTACCTGTCTGTCTGCCTCTGTACTTGGTGAAAAAATGAAGCTGTTATTTTCTAGGTTTACTGCTGTTCTGGACCACAAAAAAGGATACTGAAGTTGGTCCATGGCCTGCTGGTTGATGGTTCCCATGCTATTGTACACGAAGGTGCTGCTCAGGAGGATGGCCAAGGCAAAGATCCAGGAGTCATTCTCATTGTCACCCTGTAAGTCATTGTAGAAGCCACAAAGAAGAATGACTAGCAGAATGTACAATCAATTCAGATAGCTGAAGACTGACTGAACTCCAACTCTGTCTCTCATTAGTTCTGAAAACTTAGGTAACTCACTTCCTTATGCAGTATTTTTTTCTACCTGTAGAACAAATTTATAATATTTATGATGTATAATTTAAGGTGTTATATATAAATATATGTCAGCAGGAAACACATGAGCACTTGGTAGGAGAAGCTATTTTGATCAGCTACTAAAATTCAAACTGGTACCCTAAACTTAGTTTATGACCCTATTCCATTTCCATGGCACATCATAGTAAGATATTTTTTACACAGTAGTTAAAATAAGCTCCTTTAATAAAAGCTTTCTATGTCTAAGATTTATAACAGTAGTAATATATTATCCTTAATGAGCAAAGATGTTATCATTAGATTTTACACTTTGCTTCTCTTTCTACTGGTGCTGGTGTGGATGTGAACATTTTTACTACCTTTGTGGGATCCCACTGTAAAAAGTCAGACATGTTTGTAAAACGTCTACTGAAGTTTATAAGCACCTTCAGCAGCCTCACCAAAACATTTTACTATAATATGAAAGAGAAATAACTGAAAACATCATTAGCCATTATTTCATAGGTTTACCCATAATTAATCAATTGAACTTATTGTGTACTCTGAATGCTTATACCACACAAATTTTAAGAAATAATATATTAATATAATTAACTAGAGCCCTAAATCAAGGAGTAGGAGTGATTGTGCAAAGATGGTTATCGATCTGACCTGGTTTATGTAGATTTTAATCTACCTAAGTGAAATTTTTAAAATACTTATTTTTTTTACCTTCTCTATATCTCCCAGGCCCTCAGTGTCGAGCAGAACTAGGGTGTGTTCTGGCTTCTTGGGATGAGGCACACACCACATCCAGATTCCCTTGGTGTGAGACTTCACTGTGGAGCCTAGAGAGAAGCCTGTAGAAGGAGAGGATAAAAGGGAAAAGAAATTACTTAGTAGGTGTTTCTGGAAATTGAGATAAAAGTTAACATAATTGAAGTTAAAAGAGATAAAAGAAAATACAACTGGCATAAATCTTAATTACAATCCTGGAAACAGGAAAATTAGATATTTAATACACACTGAAACATTCATATTTTTCTTAAAGTTCATTGAAAGCTTGCTGTCACTACATGAACATTTTAATAAATGTTTTATAAGTCATTATTATAGAAGTTAATTTTCTTTATTAACATTGTGTTCCTTCCAGAAAGGCACATTTATACCCTTAGTATAAAATAAAAGTAAAGTGGGAAGAGTCAGTTGACTGTAATCCTCCAAAGTCAATGTAAAGAGCCCATTAATGGACTGAAAGTTAGCTTTCAACATTCATTCTCATCTCTTTCTATGCTCACATCCCTAAGCTGGATGTTCGCCGTGTGTACGGACAGAAGGGGCTTAGAGCTTTGCTGGTGTCACTCACCGTTTTTCTTCCCAGCCAGCTTGTTCATCAGGTAGGATTTGCCTGTGCGATAGAGGCCCACAATCGCCACCACCACCACAGGCTGCGTAATTGCAGATAGGATCTTCAGAGCTTCTGGATTCACCACCAGCTGCCCTTTAGTGTTATCAATGAGGCTCATTGGGCCCGGCAAGTTGATCTCTGGAGCCATGTCCAGGGTGTTGTTCCCTTGTGTGCAAGGAAAAAGATGAAATGGAAAGCAGTTTTTAGGTAGTTAGCTATGCTGAACTTTACAATATGGGTTAAATTTTTGTTTTCTATGCTTGAACATTTTTTCATATACGTTTTTTAAAGCCTGGTTTCTCTTTAAGGCTGTCTTACAAATTGGGTCACTGGCTTTCTTTAAAAATAACTTTATTTTGAAATACACTTACAGAAAAGATGTACAATGGGTATGGAAAGTTCCCATATATCATTTCCCCTAAAGTTAAAATTTTCCATAACCATAGAACAAGGATTTTAACATTGGTAGAGTGATAACTAATTTACACTCCTTATTCACATTTCACCAGTTTCCCACTAATGTCCTTCTGCTCCATGACCCAATCCAGGATTCCTCATTGCATTTAGTCATTATGTTTCTGTATTTTCCTTGCATCTTTGATAGTTCCTTATTCTTTCCTTGTCTTTCATGTCTTTGACATTTTAGAAGTTGACTGGCTATGATTTTGTAGAATATCCCTCAATTTGGGTTTTTTGATGTTTCCTTATTATTAGATTGAAGTTATACATTTTTTTTTGCAAATGTCACCAAAGTGATGTTCTGCCATTTTCAGTGTCTTGTATTAAGGGATTCATGATGTTGACATGACTTTTTCTGGTGCTGTGACCTTAACTTTGATCACTTGGTTAAGGTGTTCTCTGCCAGGTTTCTCTACCACAAAGTGTTATGTACCATTTTGTCACTAAAAAGTACCATTTGAAGAGACAGTTTGAAGACTATGCAAATAAAGATTCATCATACTTCCATAATTTTTTCAGTCACTATTTTTAGCATCTGTTGATAATTCTTGCTTATAACTTACTGTGATGTTTGACTAAAAGTAATTTTCTATTTTCATTCCTTCTACATTTATTAGAGTTCTAATGTGAGCAAGAACTGCCCTTTCTCCTCTATTTATTTTATTTACTTATTTAATCATTTAGTTGTATCAGTGTAGATCTATAGTAGATCAGTGTAGATTTATCATATGGGTAACACTTTACTATCACTATTTATCTCATTGCTCAACTCGTCCCAGATTAGTTCACTGAGAGCTCCTTCAAGCTGTAGCCCAGGTACTATGGACGTGCTTCCATCATATTTTCAGTGCGTCTTTCCTTCTGACATTACAATATATGCCAGGCTTATCTAATATTTTTTCTGCTTCAGCCTTAGAATCGACCATTTCTCCCAAGGGCTCTGGTTGCTTTCATTGGATAATGGTAGATAGACAACAAGATTATCACACTAGGTGTAGTCATTACTTCTAGGCCCTCTCAGGTGGAAAGTTAAGAAATCTATGTTTATATACCAGCACATGAATACACACATCTACATTTATTTCTCGTCTATCTGTTTCTATATATAAGCTTAAGTTTCTTCTGATATTTCTAATTCCAATTCAACAAAACAAAACTTATTCATGTTTTCCCCTTGTTTTTAAAATCTTTTCTCTGAGTGTGTCATTATACATAATAAATTTAGTTATTTGCTCAATTCTAGTACATATAATTTGTTTTAAAGTTACTAACTCATAAGTGTTTGAAAGATAAATTTGCTAACTAGAGTGCACTATTAGTTAAAAGTTCTTGTCTTTGGTCTTACACATACAGTCAAAACACTGTATTCCAAAGTTGCTTAGACTACTATTTCCTTCTCCATTCTCTTTGGTGTAGTTAAATTATTTATTTGTAATATAGTTAGGTTCATTTGTTGGTTGATTTTAAGTATGCATTTATTTTTGAGTATGCGAAATATCAGAGTTCTGAAAGTCAGAGCTTTACAACAAGCTGTAGTCAGAGAAGTGTCACTTTCCCTTCATCTTGGCACTGCATTCCCATTCCATCTGTCTTTCTATTCTTTCCACTTCATGCCCACTTATCCTCCATAGATATCCAATCTTGTTAGTTTCTAGTTTACCTTTCTTGGACTTTTTTTCATTAATGAGCATATACATGTATATTTTCTTATTCACATTTTCCAACAAAAAGATCACATCACTTAGAAATATGGGAGTCTTTCCCTATCAGTTCGTAGGAAGATTTCTCAATTCTTTTGACAGGCATCTACTCCATTTATGTGGACATAGCACAGTTTATTCAACCGTTCTTTTATGTATAGACTTTTAGATTGTTTCTAATATTTAGCAATTACAAACAATGCTGCAATGAAAACCTCTGCTAACCTTGTGAGTGTTTATTTTTATATTGCTATAGGAGTAACTTTAGGATAGCATCCTATAAGTGAGATTGCCAGGTCAAAAGGTAAGAGCATTTTATTTTGTTGGATATTGCCAAGTTCCTCTCCAGAAGGATGTATCAGGTTGAATTCCCACCAGATCATCTTGTATCTCACTGTTCAGAAAATGGATTTTTTTTCTAGATATGTCACATTTTCTGACTTAATTACAAAATTTTCTTTGGAAACTTTTCACATTCACGTTTAGATATTTGGACTGAGCAAAGCTGAGCTCACTAAGCTCATGTACACAGTAATAGGAACTTTTACCTGGGGAATCTTGTGTCATACATATCTCCATACTTTGAAACATAGATACCATTCTAACCCAGCCTTGGTCCTGATTTCTTCCAAGCCCCTCTACGGACAGGGTCTGGTCAGACTGTGGGACTCAGGTTACCCAGTGGCTTCTTCCTATCACTATGCAGGAAGCCCTTTGAGCTACCACAGGACATCACTTGTTCTTAATATTTGCTGTGAATCAGCATTCACCTGTTATTCACTCAAGCTTGGTATCTCAAATCTGACATGTAGAAAATCTGCTGATTTTTTACTCAATTATGTTACCAGATTTTAACCTCTCTGTGTTTTAAGACTGATTCTTTATCACCTGCATGTATATCAGTTTGCATATTGCTTTCAGTTATTTCAGGTAATGAAGCCAGCATCAGGAAACATTCTCTGATGAACCAGGGCTTGTTTTTTTCTGACTTCTGCTTCATGGAGAGCAGTATATACACAATTGTAGGCATATCCTGTTTAACCAGGCCTTGATAATTTGATAATTTTGTAAATTTAAAATGAGCAAGAAGCCTTCCTGTAGTAACATCTTAATTTGTGTTTTTGCCTTGAATGTCTCAATCCCTGTAACTTAAAATGATCATGATATAACATTTATAACTTCTTTAACAAACAATCATAGACTGTAAGCATTACAGCTTTCCTTCTTCTATAATAAAGAGTGCTTTGTTTATAATATGGAGTCGATTACTTCTGACTTGCTCTGATGAAGGCTTATATCTAATTATCTGTTTCCCATCCCTTCAGGGGACAATGGCAAAAAAACTATTTTTCTGTGGTCAGGACCCATTTTCTCTTACAACAATGGCTCACAGACACTTCTGGCAAGACTTCTGTTTCATTTTATAGCATGATGTAAACCACCTTAAAATGGGAATCAATCAATGACTGACTCAGAAAAGTAGCTGCACAAAGACTGTATAAGCTCCCTAATTATAATAACGTGTTCCCTCTCTTTGCAGATCCCAAGTTGCCTACCTTCATTTACCTAGAGCTCTACAAGTGGCAATAATGAATGTGATGGAGCCCTAACTTTATTAAGCAGATACTAATAATGATAAAGTTAATTTAAGATAGTGTCAAGAAAGAAATAACAATTTAGAAACATTCCCATCTCTCTATGCTGGAGACTAGTTCACAGCAGGAGCAGAGAGCACTAAGGAACCTGCAGCCACTTGATAGGGCCAGGATAGTATGTGGACTTGTGTCCCACAGCAGGCTCAGCTGCGGCCTGTTGTGGGAATGGTCAATTTAGATAAAACTGATGAACCCTGGTAAATATTTTCCCACCCCTGCCCCAGTCTTACCCAGATCAGAGATCCTTTAGCACTGGAAAGAAGGTTGTTCCAATGTGAAAGTCGAGTCCTTTTCCTCCTCTCTTTTCTTCCGAGTTTGGCTGCACTGCTTTCTCCCTCTTTTTTCTCTCACGGTAACTGTGGACTTTTACTTTACCCCTCCAACGTCCTGGGGCTTCCTCCAACGTCCAGGCTCTGTCAATGTCAGAGACCTGACGAGAGACAAGAAAAAGAGGTAACCTCTGCAAAGAAATGCACTAATATGAAACAAAGTATCAACTAAAGCAGTGACTCATTCACCATAAAAGGAATTGTTGACAGCTGTGCTGGTAAGAGGGTTTGTCATGATTTCTCAACCAGGAACTTTCCACTTTATCATTGGAAAAGATCTTAGAGACTGCTTGCTATATTAAGTTTTAAAAACCCCTTCATTGGGTCATTTAAAATAGTGCTATTTATCTCATGTTTGTGGGCCAGTTTGAGAAGCATGTGGATGAGAAAGCCTCATATAATATTTTCTTAGGTCCAATTACCTTGAATATTAGCTTGAGCACTGTTAAGTGCCCTGAGGGAATATCTATGTCTTATATACTTTTGAATTATCAGCACCTAACCCAGGTCCTGACACTTAACATTTAATAAATAATAAATAATGATGAAGGTAACTCTCATTTATGGCACACTTGATACAGACACAGTGATAACTTCTTTATATAAATCATACCATTGTATTCTTATTTTGTATTTGTTTATTTTTTAGAGACAAGTTCTTGCTCTGTTGTCCAAGCTGGAGTGCAATGACAATCATAGTTCACTCTAACCTCAAACTTCTGGGCTTAAGTTATCCTTTTGCCTCAGCCTTCTGAATAGGTGGGACTACAAATGAGGCATCATACCAGCGTGTGTGTGTGTGTGTGTGTGCGCGCGTATGTGTGAGATATGAAGTCTTACTATGTTGTGAGGCTGGTCTCCAACTCCTGGTCTCAGGCGATTGTTCTGCCTTGTCCTCCCAAAGTGCTGGGATTACAGGTTTGAATCACTGCACCCTTCCCCCTTGCATTCTACAGTAATTTCACCACAATGTTACCAAGAAATTTAACAACTTGTTAATATTACAAAGCTACCAAGTAAGGTTTGAACCCAAGTCTTCCTCTAAAACCCATATTATTGTGTCCGGAATTGGTGGGTTCTCGGTCTCACTGACTTCAAGAATGAAGCCGCGGACCCTAGCGGTGAGTGTTACAGCTCTTAAGGTGGCGCGTCTGGATTCTGTCCCTTCTGATGTTTGGATGTGTTTGGAGTTTCTTCCTTTTGGTGGGTTGGTAGTATTGCTGGCTCAGGAGTGAAGCTGCAGACCTTCGCGGTGAGTGTTACAGCTCTTAAGGCCGCGCATCTGGAGTTGTTTGTTCCTCCCAGTGGGCTCGTGGTCTGGCTGGGCTCAGGAGTGAAACTGCAGATCTTCGTGGTGAGTGTTACAGCTCATAAAAGCAGCGTGGACCCAGAGTGAGCAGTAGCAAGATTTATTGCAAAGAGCAAAAGAACAAAGCACCCACACTGCGGAAAGGGACCCGAGCGGGTTGCCAATGCTGGCTCCAGCAGCCTGCTTTTATTCTCTTATCTAGCCCCACCCACATCCTGCTGATTGGTAGAGCCCAGTGGCCTGTTTTGTCAGGGCACTGATTGGTGCGTTTACAATCCCTGAGCTTGATACAAAGGTTCTCCACCTCCCCATCACATTAGTTAGATACAGAGTTTGGACACACAGGTTCTCCAAGGCCCCACCAGAGCAGCTAGATACACAGTGTCGATTGGTGCATTCACAAACCTTGAGCTAAACACAGGGTGCTGATTGGTGTGTTTACAAACCTTGAGCTACATACAGAGTGCCGATTGGTGTATTTACAATCCCTGAGCTAGATACAGAGTGCCGATTGGTGTGTTTACAATCCCTGAGCTAGACATAAAGGTTCTCCAAGGCCCCACCAGAGCAGCTAGATACACAGTGTCCATTGGTGCACTCACAAACCTTGAGCTAAACACAGGGTGCTGATTGGTGTATTTACAATCCCTGAGCTAGACATAAAGACTCTCCAGGTCCCCACTAGACTCAGAAGCCCAACTGGCTTCACCTAGTGGATCCCGCACAGGGGCTGCAGGTGGAGCTACCTGCCAGTCCCCTGCCGTGCGCTCGCATTCCTCAGCCCTTGGGTGGTCCATGGGACTGGGCGCCATGGAGCAGGGGGTGGTGCTTGTCGGGGAGGCTGGGGCCGCACAGGAGCCCATGGAGTGGGTGGGAGGCTCAGGCATGGCGGGCTGCAGGTCCGGAGCCCTGCCCTGCGGGAACGCAGCTAAGGCTCGGTGAGAAATAGAGCGCAGCGCCGGTGGGCTGGCACTGCTGGGGGACCCAGTACACTCTCCGCAGCCACTGGCCCGGGTGCTAAGTCCCTCATTGCCCAGGGCCAACAGGGCTGGCCGGCTGCTCCGAGTGCTGGGCCGCCAAGCCCACGCCCGCCCACCCGGAACTCCAGCTGGCCCGCAAGCGCCGCACGCAGCCGCGGTTCCCGCTGGCGCCTCTCCCTCCACACCTCCCTGCAAGCTGAGGGAGCCGGCTCTGGCCTTGGCCAGCCTAGAAAGGGGCTCCCACAGTGCAGTGGTGGGCTGAAGGGCTCCTCAAATGCCGCCAAAGTGGGAGCCCAGGCAGAGGAGGTGCCAAGAGCAAGCGAGGGCTCTGAGGACTGCCAGCACGCTGTCACCTGTCATTATCAACAACTTGACTAAAATACCTCTGTGTTTGGTGAGTGAACAACAATAACGTTTCTTATTTATCAGTTACTTTCTAGGCCAGATTATTTACATATATTATTTAAACAACACAATACTGCTTCAAAATATGGGGTGTTTGTTATTCCCTTTGTCCAAGGAGGAAAAAGAGAAAGAGATTAAGTAATGTTTAACTAAAACCATTGAGCAACTTCAAACTAGCAAGTCATTATGTGAGATTCTAACTTGAAAAATCAATTTAATTAATATCACGTTATATCTGTGTTCCACGCTGTCTCTAAAAGAAAGAGAAAAAAATAAACAGTGAGAGAAGAGAGTAAGATCGTGTGTGTGTGTGTGTGTGTGTGAATACTGGTGACAATGAAAGTGAAAGTAGAGCAGGGTTATTTCAAAATAGAAGCAATTCTAGGAAATCAGCTGCTTTTTTTCTTCTCAACAATAAAATCTATCGTTTATATCGGGGAACCATAAAATAGCTCCAGGGACAACTGAATCTTTGTGAATTATGTATAGTTTAAGGGTAAAGATGAATACTTGTTTATTAGCTAAAAGAGCCCTTTTTTCTAAGTTTCTGGCCCTTCCTTCACTATGCTAAACATTGTAATTGCCCTGTGAGCCAAAGGCAGTAACTTCATTCCAGGGTGATTATCATAGGTGAGAAACTTGATGAACACAGGGGCCATGTGGTGTCCAGTCCCTCAGAGAGAACAGGGTAAATTCAGACAAGTGTGCATGTTCTTTCTAATTCAGTGACTCCCTTCTGCACTAGTTTCTAAACTTGTGTCCTTTATTTTGAGAGCTCTAGAAATTGGGAATACAGTGAGGTTATGGTAAATTGGGGCCATACTGGAGGGTAGCTTATGTACTTAGCTCACACCTGAGCTTATGTGGTGGGTTTTGTGCTTGGAACTAAACCTAAGTTGATGAAGAAGACCTAGCTCCTGAGATCAAAGGTGGTAGACGGGTGTAAATAGGCATTTTCAATGTTACAATTATATAACATCTTCAATGGTAGGAGTGACAAGATGGTGCCATGGCAAAACTGGGAAGGGCATCTCATCCAGCCTTGGAAATTTAGGAAGTAGGACACTTTAAGGATGAGCGGGGGCTGAGAAATAACAGATATAGTGTGAGGAAGCAGGGTTTTAAGAAATCTTTGCCCCTTTTGCAAAGGCCCTCAGTCAAGAGAATATGCCCAGCTTATGGACTTATAAGGAGTTCATTCGAGTTCATTCAAGTACTGAGAACTAGAAAGCCAAAACAAATTCCTAAAATGTTGAGTTGAAAAAAAAAATTTCCTTCTACTTCATCGTCTTATAAATATGGGACAGCATTTAGAGACCATTCCAAGCAACATCCCAGGGGACTTTGTATCTGAAAGTATACTTTGGAATAAACTTTGAAATCTTTATTGAAAGGTCACAATAAAAACGAAATTAGGATGCATGTCTTGTGCCCTTTTTAGTTCCTTGTTCTGATGAGCAAGCTTTTCCTGTTGAGCTGACTTATGCTATTTCTAGTGGTATTAATCACTTTCTTCCTATCATGGGAACTCTCCCATCCATTCATTATTATTTCCTTTTTAATTTTAGTAATAATTTTTGTCCATGTTTAAATACATATCAATAATAAGTTCGTATAAAATATTAAAGACACAGAAGATCACGAAGTATGATTTTTTTTTTGGTGGATTAGTATATAGAAACTGCTTTCGGCTCCCTGAGAGGCTGGATGGAGGTGGAGGCTATGTGCTTGCGGTGCTGGTAGAGGTGCTACAATAGAATGTAATTTACTATGGTGCTGAGGTCACCCTGGTTAATGCTGCCTGCGCGAAGAGGACAAATGCATAGAAAGACTCAAGAGAGTGTGACAAAACCATATTGACAAAAGAGTGAAAGACTTCTGGAGTGCACACATCAGAGGAGCTTCCTTCTGGCTTCATAATGCCTTGGAAGAGGAAAGAACAAGAGATTTTCATAAGAATTTGCAATCACTGCTTGGCCTCCCAAAATCTTGAACAAATCAGATCAAAGATCAAATCCATGCTGTGGCAGCAATTCTTTATAACTAAATGGAGCTCCCTATATGGAATACAAGAAAGTAAGACTTTCTAAGTAGTTTAAAATCCTTTAATGTATCCTTTTTTTCAACTAAGTATATTATATTTGTGTTCATCTTGACAATCTTATCTTTGTTTTGCTTTTGATATGTCTGACAACCCACTTTAAGACTGATTATTCCAGTCCTTGATAATAGAGTCTATGTAGTGGATTTGGAGTTATGAAACACAAGTTGAGGTCATAACTTGGCAACCTAACGGATGATCTTGGGCAAATAGATTAATCTCACTATCTTCCTTTTATTATCCATAGATAATAACATTTGCCTTTCAAGGTTATAGTAAGAACTAAAGGAAATCTGTATTTGTTAACCTAAAGCACTCAACAAAGATAATAAATATAACATTAATGTAATCAATTTTTATTAAAAAAAGGCACAGAAGAATATATGATGTGAAATGAGTTATTTTCTAATTTCTCACCTCAACTATTCAGGTTCATTCCTGCTGTGACCATGTATACTAGATAATTTTCTATTTTTCCAGAAGGAGATAATAATATATGCATACATTTATTATTTTCTAAATTCAGTGGTAGTAATTATACATGCTTCGTGCATCATTTTTTTTTTTTACTTATGATACATCTTGGAGACTTGTCATTGTTAGTTCAAATAGAGCTTCTCCCTTCATTTTAGTGGCTGTAGAGTATTCCTTTATGAGTGTTTCCCAAGATTTCCCTTATCAGTACCTGAAAGAGGGGCTTTAATGTTTTTTTCAGTCTTTTGGCATTACAACAATGCTGCAACATAAGTACTATTTTATATATACCATTTTCAATTTGAGTAAATCAATCTATATGATAGATTTCTAAATGTGGAAATGCTAGATCAAAGGTATGTGCACTTAAATATTTCATATATGATTCCAACAGTTCACACTCTCACTAGCAAATATGAGACACTGACAATATCCTCAAACCCTTGCCAGCTCAGTGCCCTGTCAAACTGTTCTTTCAAGCCCATGATAAATTGAAGCAAGAACCTCATAGTTTTTCTTTGCACAACTTTTATTGTCAGTAAAATTAAACATTTTTATTATCATATTTTTGCCTGTTTAAAATATGTGGCGTTACTCTCTTCTCACTGATTTGCAAGAGCTAATTATAACTTAAATTATCTCTGTGACTATAACATTAATTGAAAATAATTTCTTTATATTACCATTTGTCCTTTTGCTTTACTTAAATCTTTTCTAGGAATAATTTTATCTTCTAACTTGTTCCCCATTTCTATTAATTATTACTTTAGTCAAAATTAAGTTTGTTTTTATGAACTTCAGGCCATAATATTCTTTGAAATTTGCTTTTTAATTTTAAACTTTTCTTAAATGAAACTGCAATAACACATATACTTTTAAAATGAGCAACAGCGTTATACCATTTTAACAAAAGAAACCTCAGCTTATAATTTTCTTACCAGGATTTCTCAGCCTATTACATAATGAGCTAAGAATTTTCATTCCTAAATCAACTAGCTTAGCAGCCCCAGGTAGTGCTGCAATAAATATACTGCCAGCCACATCAAGAATCTGTGAAAACACTGAGGGCTCTTCATTTTCAGCTGCTTCAATTTGTTCTTTCAGTCGATTAATCTCTTCATTTAACGACTCAAATATCTCTTTAAATCCTTCAGTAAGCAGTTCTTCTAGGACCTATAAAAGTAAAAGAGCCTACTTTTGAAAATCCCCAATTTTTAAGAGACCGAGGTTTGTATTTAACAATTTCATTAGTTAAACATGTGTCCATTTCTCTAACATCTTAGAAAATCTTTGATGAGTTGGTCTGACATTTCCAGATGACTGGACCTAAATAAGGGGAGTATCCATGATATACACCTTTGTGACATTTCCTCAGCACCATCTCACTGGAGGTGGGGAGGAATTTTGTTCCAGCACAATGAATGCCCTTTGAGAGGGAATGCAGATTTAATTCTAATTGATTCCCCTTTCCACCGATATAGCAAGGCCATGCTCATCTAGCAAATAATGGGGACTGCTGACCCTGTATAAAACACTGGTTGTCAAGCTCCAGTTTGGGACAAGGAATATGTTTTACTCTAGTTGTATAGGATGAGTCAGGCAGATACAGAAACAAATGGAGCAATTTGAGATCATTCAGTATCATTTCATATCAAGCCAAATCTGATACTTTCATCCAGATGGATGTATTTTGGGTCCTTTTGATGGTTGTGCCAAGAATCCTAAGGGCTGGTGGACTAAGGTCCTAATTAATTGGGGCACAGTGAGACCATCCTATAATCACCACAAACAGCAGCCCAGCACCCTGGGGGATGTCATGTGTACTCTCCAAAGTCTAACATGACAGAAAGTGCTGAAGTCTTGTAAACTTACAGGCTTCAGTAGAATTCATATGTATTTGAAATTTAAGTGAAATATATCTTTTGTGTTTCCTTCTGAAATCTTGACTGAGCTTAAAATTTTGGCTCTTCCCTAAATGAGGAACTGGCATTGTGCCTCAAGCACTGCCAAGCTTCATCCAGACTCACCTTCATCTTGTGACTCAACATCTTTCTCAGTTCTCTCATATAGTTTTCCCTTTCCCTCTCCATCTTCTTCTTGAGTTGAGCTATGTTTTCCTGGAAACTTCTCTCTTGAGCCTCCATCATTTGCTGCTGTTCCTTCTGTTTTTGTCTTAGCAGCTCCTGTTCCTTTTCAGCTGCCTCCTTCTTAGCCTGCTTAGCTGTTCCACCGAGGTTTTACAGAGGGAAGAAAATAACAGTCAGGTGGGAGAAGAACCATCATGGCTAAGTAGATGGAGTCAGGAAGAGCTTCTCCCACTGAGAGACCAGACCGTAAAGAAGACTGATAAACTCCAAGCAGGACTTCAGAAGGAAGGCATTGAGAGTTGATGAAGGAAGGATGCAGACCCAAGGCTGAAGGGAGAGGAAGCTGGGAACCTTGCACAGGTTGCCAAGCACCAAGACTCATTCCTAATCCTGAGCAGCTCCTGGGGAAGGGGTGAGGTAAATTGGTGCGAAGTGGCCCACTCTTGCCATGGACCTCTGAAATCCTAGCTTTAGGAGACCCCACAACTCCCATAGATGTTTGAGCTGGCAAAGAGAGCTGCTTGGAGACTTGGTAGGGACAGGACTCTGGCCAGTGTGGAGCCTAGATATTTGGCACAGGAATGGCTGCAGTGGAGCACAACCAGGAACTCCCATCCCCCAAGGCTTGCCATGCCCAGATACATGGCCTTGGCTTTTGTCGACTATTGGTCCTGGATAGAACTGGGCTATCTTGCCTGTGGGACAGATCCAGTATGGTCTGAGCACCTCCCAGTCTGCTAGCCTCTCTCATGGTCCCTGCCTGGCTGCATCCACTTAAAGTGCAATGTCAGATGCCTAACTGAAGCACTTCCCAGCAGCCATCACCATATCTTCTTTGCTGACATACCCTACCTAACCATCATAGAGCTTCAGCAGATGGGCTCACACCAGTGTGCACTCAATGCACCCTCTCCCCACTGTTTTGCTGGCACACACTCGCTTGCAGCCTCTCACCACCGCTTTGCTGGTACACATACCTGTGCAGACCCTGTCAACCTGCCACCACCAATGCACATGCACAGAACCTGCAGCACTACTGCCCTGCTGCTGCTGCTCACCAATGACCTTGGACCCCACTGCCACTGCTCTGAGAAAGTACTTTTGCCAGCACTCCTCATCGGTGTGTTGTTGCCAGTTAACCAGTAGCAAGTTGGCCCCTGCAGCACAGCAGGTGCTTAACCTAGAGGGGCCAGAGAACAAAGCCATGGGCCTGGTCCCAGCCTACTAAGGTTCAAGCCCCCAGCTCAGGAGTGCTGATCTGAGCCTTGGCCCCTTGAAATCATCCAGAAAAAAAAAAAAAAAACCCAGTCAGATGAACCCAACTTATACCAGTTGAATCTTCAAGAGAATAAAACAAAATAAAAGCCAAAAACCCCATGAAAGAAACAGACACTTCAAAGACTAAAGGAATATCAGCCCACACAGATGAGAAAGAAACAGGGACAGAACTCTGGCAACTCAAAAAACCAGAGTGTCTCTTACCTCCAAATGAGTCCACTAGCTCCTCAGCAATAGTTCCTAATCAAACTGAAATGGCTGAAATAGTAGATATGGAATTCAGAATCTGGATGGCAATGAAGATTATCGATATTTAGGAGACAGTTGAGATACAGTCCAAGGAACTGAAGGAATTCAGTAAAATGACTCAAGAACTAAAAGATGAAATAGCCATTTTAAAAAAGAGCCAAACTGATTTGATAGAGCTGAAAAACATGCTACAAGAATTTCATAATACAATCAGAGTATTAAATGTAGAATAGACCAAGATGAGGAAATAATCTCAGAGCTCAAAAACCCATTTTTCAAATCAACTTAGTCAAACAAAAATAAAGAAAAAAGAATAAAAAAGAATGAACAAAATCTCAGAGAAATATGAGATTACATAAAGAGACCAAACCTATGACTCATTGGCACCCGTGAAAGGGAGAGATAGCAAGCAATTTGGAAAACATATTTGAGGATAATGCCCATGAAAATTTCCCCAACCTCACTAGAGAGGTTGACATTCAAATTCGGGAAATCAGAGAAGCCCTGTGAGATCCTATACAAGATGACCATCCCCAACACATGAAATGGTCATCAGATTTTCCAAGGTCAGTGCAAAAGAAAAAATATTAAAGGCAGCTTGAGAAAAGGGGCAGGTCTTCTACAAAGGGAATCCCATCAAGCTAACAGTGGAACTTTCAGAAGAAACCCTACAAGCCAGAAGAGACTGGGGACCTATATTCAGCATTTGTAAAGAAAAGAAATTCCAAGGAAGAATTTCATATCCAGCCAAACTAAGGTTCATAAGAAAAAAAAAATCCTTTTTAGACAAGCAAATGCTAAGGGAATTTGTTACCACCAGACCTGCCTTACTCAAGCTGCTGAAAAGAGCATTAAACATGAAAATGAAAGACCATTATCAGCCACTACAAAAGCACACTTCAGTACATGGATCATTGACACTACAGAGCAATAACACAATCAAGTGTGGATCAAATCCACACATATCAATATTAACTTTGACTGTAAAAGGGCTAACAACCCCAATTAAAAGGCACAGAGTGGCAAGTTGCATAAAGAAATAAGACCCAACTGTCTTCGATGTTCAAGAGACCAATCTCATATGCAATTACACCAATAGGCTCAAAGTAAAGGGATGAAGAAAAATCTATCAAGCAAATGGAAAACAAAAAGAGCAGGGGTTGCTATTCTTATTTCAGACAAAACAGACTCCAAACCAATAATGATCAAAAAGGATAAAGATGGGCATTACATAATGATAAAAGTTTCAATTCAACGAGAAGACTTAATTATACTAAATATGTATGCACCCAATACTAGAGGACCCTAGATTCATAAAACAAGTTCAAAGAGACCTATGAAGAGACTTAGATAACCACACAATAATAGTTGGAGTCTTCAACACTCCACTGACAATATTAGACAGATCATTGAGGCAAAAAACTAACGAAGATATTCAGGACCTAACTTGACATTTGACCAGATGGACCTAACAGACATCTACAGAACACTCCACCCAACAATAACAGAATATACATTCATCTCATCTGCACATGGCACATACTCTAAAATTGACTCCTTGCTCTGCCATAAAGCAATTCTCAACAAATAAAAAAAAAACCCAAATCATACCAATGCTGTCAGACCACAATGCTGTAAAAATAGAAATCAATACAAAGAATATCTCTCAAAGCTATACAATTACATGAAAATTAATTAATCTGCTTCTGAATGATTTTGGGGTAAACAGTGAATTTAAGGCAGAAATAAATTATTTGAAATTAATGAAAACAAAGATACAACCTACCAGAATCTTTGAGACACAACTAGAGCAGTGTTAAGAGGAATGTTAATAGCACTAAACGACTACAGTAGAAAGTTAGAAATATCTCAAATTAACAATCTAACATTACACCTTGAGGAACTAGAAAAACAAAAGTGAACCAAGCACAAAGCTAGCTGAGACAAGAAATAACCAAAATCAGACTTGAAGTGAATAAAGTGGAGACAAGAAAAACCATACAAAAGATCAATGAAACCAATGGTTCTCTGGAAAAATACATAAGATGGATATACTTCTAGTTAGACTAAAAAAGAACAAAAAAAGAGAAGATCCAAATAAACACAATAAAAAAATGGCAAAAGGGACATTGCTATCAACTCCACAGAAATACAAAAAATCCTGAGAGACTATTATGAACACCACTATGCACACTAACTAAGAAACCTAGAAGAAATGGATAAATTCCTGGAAACATACAACCTACCAAAAGTGAACCAGGAAGAAATTGAAACCTGGAACAGACTAATAACAAGTTCCAAAATTGGGTCAGCATTAAAAAGCCTACCAAGCAGAAAAAGCCCTAGACCAGACAGAGTCATAGTCAGTTCTGCCATACATAGAAAGAAGAGCTGGTACCAATTCTACTAAACTATTCCAAAAAAAATGGGGAGCAGGGAATCTTTCCTAATACATTCTATGAGGCCAGCATCATTCTGATTTTAAAAACCTGGCAGAGACACAACAAAAAAAGAAAAATGCAGGACAATATTCCTGATGAACATGGATGAAAAAATCTTCAACAAAATACTAGCAAACCAAATCCAGCAGCACATTAAAAAGCGAACCCACCACTGTCAATTAGGCTTTATTCCTGGAATGCAAGGTTGATTCAGCATATGCTAATAATAAATTGATTCCTCACACAAACGGGACTCAGAACAAAAACCAGATGATCTTCTCAATGGGCACAGAAAAGGCTTTTGATAAAATTCAATATTTCATGTTAAAATATCTCAACAAACTGGGCCTCAAAGGAACATACCTCAAAATAATAAAAGCCATCTATGAAAAACCCACAGCCAACATCATACTGAATGTGAAAAAGCTGGAAACATTTCACTTGAGAACCAAAAACAGACAAGGATGCCCACTCTCAACAACTCTTATTCAACATAGTACTGGAAGTCCTAGCCAGAGAAATCAGGCAAAGGGGAAAAAAAAAGTTATCCAATAGGAAGAGAGGAAGTCAAACTCTCTCTCTTCATAGACAATAGAATTCTGTAGTTAGAAAACTCCATAATTTCTGCCCAAAGTCTCATCCATCTGATAAACATCAGCAAAGTTTCAGGATAAAAAAGTAAATGTACAAAAATAAGTAGCATTTCTACACACCAATAATGTCCAAGCTGAAAGTCAAACCGAGAACACAATCCTATTCACAATAGCTATTGTGAATAACCAAGAATAAAATACCTAGGTTTACAGCCAATCAGGGAGGTGAAGCATCTCTACAATGAGAATTATAAAACACTGCTGAAAGAAATCTGAGACTGCACAAACAAATGGAAAATTATTTCATGCATATGGATAGGAAGAATCAATGTTGTTAAAATAGCCATACTGCCCAAATTGATTTACATATTCAATGCTATTCCTATCAAATTATCGATGACTTTTTAAAAATAGAATTAGTAAAAACTATTCTAACATCCACATGGAACAACAACAACAAAAAAACCCCGAGTAGCCAAGGCACTCCTAAGCAAAAAGAACAAAGCCAGAGACATCACATGACTTGAGTTTAAACTATATTACAAGACTACAATAACCAAAATAGCATGGTGCTGGTCAAAAAACAAAACAAAACAAAACAGACACATGAACAAATGGAAAAGTTTAAAGAAAGCAGAAATAATACCACACACCTACAACTATCTGATCTTTGGTAAAGCTAACAAAAAAAGCAATGGAGAAAGAATGCATTATTCAATAAATGGTGCTGGGTTAACTGGCTAGCTATATGCAGAAGATTGAAACTGGACCCCTTCTTCTCACTATATACAAAAATCAACTCAAGATGAGTTAAAGATGTAAATGTAAAATTTAAAACTATAAAACCACCAAAAGAAAACCTAGGAAATACCATTCTGGACATAGGCACTGGCAAAGATTTCCTGATGAAAACTTCAAAAGCCACTGCAACCGAACAAAAAGTTAACAAGAGGGACCTAATTCAACTAAAGAGTTCATGCACAACAAAGGAAACTATAAACAGAGTAAACAGACAACCTACAGAATGGGAGAAAATATCTGCAAACTATGCATCTGAAAAAAGTCTAATATCCAGAATCTATAAGGAAGTTAAAGAAATTAAGAACAAAGCAAACAACCCCATTAAAAAATGGGCAATGGACATTAACAGACATTTATCCAAGAAGACATACACATGGCCAGCAAGCATATGAAAAAATGCTCAACACCAAAACAGAGATATAGATCAATGGAACAGAACAGAGCCCTCAGAAATAATGCCACATATCTACAACCATCTGATCTTTGACAAACCTGACAAAAACAAGCAATGGGGAAAGGATTCCCTATTTCATAAATGGTGCTGGGAAAACTGGCTGGCCATATGTAGAAAGCTGAAACTGGATCCCTTCCTTACACCTTATACAAAAATGAATTCAAGATGGATTAAAGACTTAGATGTTAGACCTAAAACCATAAAAACCCTAGAAGAAAACCTAGGCAATATCATTCAGGACATAGGCATGGGCAAGGACTTCATGTCTAAAACACCAAAAGCAATGGCAACAAAAGCCAAAATTGACAAATGGGATTTAATTAAACTAAAGAGCTTCTGCACAGCAAAAGAAACTACCATCAGAGTGAACAGGCAACCTACAAAATGGGAGAAAATTTTTGCAACCTACTCATCTGACAAAGGGCTAATATCCAGAATCTACAATGAACTCAAACAAATTCACAAGAAAAAAACAACCCCATCAAAAAGTGGGTGAAGGATATGAACAGACACTTCTCAAAAGAAGACATTTATGCAGCCAAACAACACGTGAAAAAATGCTCATCATCACTGGCCATCAGAGAAATGCAAATCAAAACCACAATGAGATACCATCTCACACCAGTTAGAATGGCGATCATTAAAAAGTCAGGAAACAACAGATGCTGGAGAGGATGTGGAGAAATAGGAACACTTTTACCCTGTTGGTGGGACTGTAAACTAGTTCAACCATTGTGGAAGTCAGTGTGGCGATTCCTCAGAGATCTAGAACTAGAAATACCATTTGACCCAGCCATCCCATTACTGGGTATATACCCAAAGGATTATAAATCATGCTGCTATAAAGACACATGGACACATATGTTTATTGCGGCACTATTCACAATAGCAAAGACTTGGAACCAACCCAAATGTCCAACAACGATAGACTGGATTGAGAAGATGTGGCACATATACACCATGGAATACTATGCAGCCATAAAAAATGAAGAGTCATGTCCTTTATAGGGACATGGATGAAACTGGAAACCATCATTCTCAGCAAACTATCGCAAGGACAAAAACCAAACACCACATGTTCTCACTCATAGGTGGGAATTGAACAATAAGAACACATGGACACAGGAACAGGAACATCACACTCCGGGGACTGTTGTGGGGTGGGGGGAGGGGGGAGGGATAGCATTAGGAGATATACCTAATGCTAAATGATGAGTTAATGGGTGCAGAACACCAACATGGCACATGTATACATATGTAACAAACCTGCACATTGTGCACATGCACCCTAAAACTTAAAGTATAATAATAATAATAAAAAAAACTGAAAAAAAAAAGAAAAATGCAGGTAGAAAGCACATGAGATATCATCTCATACCAGTCAGAATGGCTGTTACTAAAAAGTAAAAAAATAACAGATGCTGGCAAGGTTGCCAAGAAAAGGGAATTCTTAAACACTGCTGGTGGGCTTGTAAATTAGTTCAGCCACTGTGGAAAGCAGTTTGGAGAGTTCTCAAAGAACTTAAAACAGAACTATCATTTGACCCACCAATCCCATTACTGCTTATATACCCAAAGGAAAATAAATCATTCTACCATAAAGACACATGAATGTGCATGTTCATCGGTGCACTATTTCCAATACCAAAGACATGGAATCAACCTAAATGTTCATCAGTGGTGGACTGGATAATGAAAATGTTGTACATATATGCCTTAGAATACTACACAGCCATAAAATGAATGAAATAATGTTCTTTGCAGCACTGTGGATGCAGCTGGAGGTCAATATTCTAAGGGAATTAATGCAGGACTAGAAAACCAAATATCACATGTTCTTACTTATGAGTGGGAACTAAATATTGAGTACACATGGACACAAAGGGACCAATAGACACCAGGACCTACTTGAGGGTGGAGGATGGGAAGAGGGTAAAGATTGAAAAACTACCTATTGGGTACTATGCTCATTATCTGGGTGATGAAATAATCTGTACAACAAATTCCCATGACACAATTTACCCATGTAACAAACCTATTTGTGTACCCTCTGGACCTAAAATAAAAGTTGGAAAGAAAAAAAAAAAAAGAAAGTAACAGTCTTGTCTGAGTTCTACTCTCCTGAGTTCAGAGGCCAAAATGACTTTGAAAAAAGCACCAAGGTGGGGAATTGAGAATCTCTGAATTCTGTCACTAGCCATGTCAGCAAGAGCATGTTTAAGAATGTTGTGGGAAGAAACTAAGTGGCTGGATGTTCAATCCCAACTCCCCTTGTTATTTTCAGTTTTAGCAGAGCATGTGTTCCCTATGAGAAGAAAGCTCCTGGTATAAGGAAAATCCTTTTTTCTGAACATCAAGAGAGTGTTGCAAGAACCTACCCATTTGCCTGAGAGCTGAGCCCTGCCCCTGTACCTGCTATGGCCTTCTCTCCAGCAGTGAGGGCTTTGTCTGACTGCAGGATGGATTCCTCTATAACCACCTGTGACTGCAGGAAGCTCTGGAGGACCTCGTCTGCCTGAAGAACCAAGAAGGAGCAAAGACCTGTCAGGCAGCAGAAATCTTGTCTTGTGATGAGGAAATTATTGTTCAACAAAGCCACAAATCTAACCTTGTAAACTTCACATTATTCTTAAGATTCCACAGTGGTTTCTTTCCTTCCACAGCCACAATAAAAAGTCCAAGCTCTTTGTTGAGACATGAAAACCCTGTGTAGCAGCCTCCCTCCTGCCTGTCCAGCCTCTTCTCCCAGGGATGCTGCTCACCACCCACCCCCGGTGCAGACAACCAGATTTCTATGCAGTTCTACAAACACACATCCTCCATAGTTTGCATTATTTGCTTTCTTTTTTCTTTTGCCTGAAGGCCTGCCTACCCTTTTCAAATTAGGATAACATCTATTGATACTTTACCTAATAGCTCTTACCTCACTGGAAGCTTTTCTAGGCTAATTATTTATTTATTTATTTACTTTTGATCACTGTTAAGAATGTTGATAATAGTTCATTAAAAGTAAACAATGTATTCAAATTTAATTTAAAAAGTTAAAACCTTAAAAAGACCGAACAGGTAACTGTTTAGTCTATTTAGGAGTAGTGGTGAATATAATGGAAAATTGAACAGTTGAGAAACTTTTTTTTCTCTTTTGAGACAGTCTCACTCTGTCACCCAAGCACAAGTTCAATGGTATTATCACTTCAACCTTGAACTCCCGGGCTGAATGCTGCTGCCTCAGCCTCCTGCATAGCCAGGACTACAGATGTGTGCCACCGCAGCTGGCTAATTTTATTTTTTACTTTTGTAGAGATGGAAGTCCTGTCATGTTGCTCAGGATGGTTTCAATCTCCTGGTCTTAAGCAATCCTCCTACCTTGGCCTTCCAAAGCGTTGGGATTATAGGTGTGAGCCACTGTACCTGGCCTGAGAAACTTTAAGAATTTGAAACTTTAAGGGAGTAACATGGCTGTCCAAAATGGGAAATTACCAATCAAGGAAAATACAACACTGCATAGACTTAACAGTCACACATGGGAAGGAAAAAGAGGCATAAATACCTCAGCCAATAAGTGATTAGTGACTGAAATTTGGGTGTGTGGGGCACATCACAGAAGGAAGGACCTAGGCATTTTTTGACGGTTATTTTCCTTGTTCCCTTCTTTCAAAAAAAATTTAGATTCATGGGTGTATTAGGACATTCTTGCATTGCTACAAATACCTGAGACTGGGTAATTTTTTTTCTTATTGTGTGATTGTAGCTTATTCACTTTCATTGTGATATAGTACGCCATTATGTGAATACACTAGTTTACTTGTTCTATTGTTGATGGACATTAGGGTAAAATTTCAGTTTGGTGCTATTGTGAATGATACTGTTGTGACCATTTCTGTCCCAGTCTTTTAAGTGAATGTATATATCTAGGAATGGATTTGCTGGGTCATTTGGTATTTGTTTTTCAATTTTAGCAATTAAAACCAAACAGTTTTCCAAATTGATGTTCTGATTTATACCTCATTAGCAATGTGTGAGAATTCCAGTTGCTTCATATTCTTGTCAACACTTGGAATTTTGATTTCTTAAACAGTCACCTTCTTTTCATTTTGTGAGGAAATTGAAACTCAGATAAGTGAAATTACCTGACCTGTACTAGGCTTTGTTCTGAGAATGCAAAGGACCTTGCAGTTCAGAATTAAGCACTTTTTTCTGTTTAACTGGTAGTGACTTATGAAGTAAAAAATCATACTCAGATTTGATATATGTATCTTTCCAAGGAGGATTACAAGTAGCTATTTATTTTTATCTGATCTGAATTTAAAATAGTTTTTTGGACACTACTGTTTTAGGGTGAGTGAGCAATAATGATTTAGGTATAGAGTTAGGATCTACATTTAATTTTTTTTATTTAACTTTTATTTTAAGTTCGGGGTAATTTATAAAGCAAAGAGGTTTAATGGGCTCATAGTTCTGCAGGCTTTACAGGAAACATGCCTTCTGGTAAGGCTTCAGGAAGCTTTTACTCCTGGTGGAATGTGAAGCAGGAGCTTGCATGTCACATGACAAAAGCAGGAGCAAGAGAGAGTGAGAGAGAGTGGAGGTGCCACATACTTTTAAATGACCAGACCTCCAGAGAACTCACTATCACACAGACAGCAGCAAGCCATAAAGGATCTTCCCCCATGATCCAAACACCTCCCACGAGGCCCCACCTCCAGCACTGGGGATTACAATTCAATATGAGGTTTGAGTGGAGACAAATAGCCCAACTTGATCAATGGGGTTCGCATGCAGGTTTGTTACATGACTATATTGCGTGATACTGAGGTTTGGGCTTCAGTCAAAACAGTCACCCAGATAGTGAATGTAGAACCCCAAAGGTCGTTTTTCAACCCTACTTCCCTCCCTGCCTCCTCCCTCTTGTATTCCCCAGTGTATATTGTTCCCGTCTTTATGTACATGTGTATTCATTGTTTAGCTCCCACTTACAAGTGAGAACATGGAGTATTTGGTTTTCCGTTTCTGCATTAATTCACTTAGGATAATGGCCTCCAGATGCATCCATTTTTCTGCAAACGACATGATTTCATTCTTTTTATGGCTGCATAGTGTCTCAAGGTGTATATGCACCACATTGTAAAAATCCAGTCTACTATTGATGGGCGCATAGGTTGATTCTGTGTCTTTGCTATTGTGAATAGTGCTGTGATAAACATATGAGTGTGGGTGTCTTTTTGGTAGAATGTTTTATTTTCCTTTGGGTGTATACCTAGTAATGGGATTGCTGGGTTGAATAATAATAATAATTCTATTTTTAGTTCTTTAAGAAATCTCCAAACTGCTTCCCACAGAGGAATTTACAATTTGCAATCCCACTAGCAGTGTATAAGCGTTCCCTTTTCTCTACAACCTCACCAGTATGTGCTATTTTTCCCTTTTTAATAATATAGGCTAATTTCTAATTTTGTTTTACAAGTTTTTTGAAGTTGATTGATAAGTAAAAATTATGTTTAAGAGGAACAGCATGATATTTTGATACATGTATACATTGTGAAATGATTATTATAATCAAGCTAATATATCTGCACCTCATGCAGTTATCTTTTTTTTGTGTGTGTGTGGTGGGAACACAAGGGACCTACTCTCTTAGCAAATTTCTAGTATAAAGTACATTGTTTTAACTATAGTCACCATGCTATACACTAGGCATCCAGAACTTACTCATCTTATAACTGAATGTTTGTACCTACTGATCACTATTTCCCCTTTCCTCCTACCCCTCTCTGTCTGGTAACCACCCATTCTACTCTCTGTTAATGTGACTTTCACTCTTTTTTTTTTTTTTTTTTTGAGACGGAGTCTCGCTCTGTCACCAAGGTGGAGTGCAGTGGTGCGATCTCGGTTCACTGCAACCTCTGCCTCCCAGGTTCAAGTAATTCTCCTGCCTCAGCCTCCAGAGTAGCTGGGACTACAGGCATGCACCACCATGCCAGGCTAATTTTTGTATTTTTAGTAGAGACAGGGTTTCACCATGTTGGCCAGGATGGACTTGATCTCCTGACCTTGTGATCCACCTGCCTCAGCCTCCCAAAGTGCTGGGATTAGAGGTGTGAGCCACTGTGCCTAGCTGACTTTCGCTCTTTTTAAATAATTTCACATAAAGGTGCGTCATGCAGTATTTGTCTTTCTAAGAATGGCTGATTTCACTAAGCATAATGTCCTCCAGGTTCATTCATGTTGTCGCCAGTGGTAGGATTTCTTTCTTTTTAGGATTCAATAATACTTTATTTTATATATCTATATTTACATATAGATATGCATATATATCACATTTTCTTCACTTGCTCATTTGTGGATGGACACAGGTTGTTTTCATGTCTTGGCTATTGCAAATTATGCTGCAATGAACATGGGAGTGAAAATATCTCTTTGAGATAGTGACTTTAGTTCCTTTGGAAATACAACCAGAAGTCCACCAATAGCTGTTAAACTAATAAATTCAGCAAAGTTGGAGGATACAAAATTAGCATACAAATTCAGCTACATTTCTATGCACTAAGAACAAACTATATGAAAAAATAAGAAAATCACATTTATAATAGCATCAAAATTATAAAATGCTTAGAAATAAATGTAACCAAAGAGGTAAAAGATTTGTACTCTGTCAATCATAAAATGCTGATGAAATTAACTGAAGAAGACATAAAATAAATGGAGAGATATTCCATGTACATTGACTGGAAAAATTAATATTGTTAAAATGTTCATACTATCTAAAAAAAATCTACAGGTTTACACAATTTCTATCAAAATTCCAATGGTGTTTTTTCACAGCAGTAAGAAAACCAATTATAAAATTCATATGGAACCATAAAAGACCCCAAATAGCCAAAACAAGAAAAACAGAGCCAAAGGCATCATACTATCTGACTTCAAAATCTACTACAAAGGTATCAAGTAGTGTAATGCTGGCATAAAGAGACATCTAACTGCATGGAACAGAATAGAGAGCCAGGAAACAAACCCACACATTTACAGTCAAAGACTTTTCAAAAAAATGTGTCAAGAGTACACCATGAGAAAAAGATAGTATCTTTAATAAATGGTGGAATGGTGGTGGGAAAACTGGACCCTTGTACTACACACAAATGTCAACTAAAAATTGGTTAAAGATTTGAACATAAGACCAGAGACTGTAAAACTCCTAAGAGAAAACCCAGGAAATACTCCTTGACACTGGTCTTGGCAATGATATTTTTGAATTTCACACCAAGAGCACAGGAAACAAGTGCTAAAAGAAACTAGTGGGACTACATCAAACTAAGTTACCACTCAATGAAAAAACAAAGAAAGGAAAAAAGAAAAGGCAACATACAGAATAGAACATATTTGCAAACCATATATCTGATAAGTGCTTAATATCCAAAATATATAATGAGCTCATATAACTCAATAGCAACACAACAAAACAAAATACAACAAAACTGATTTTTAAAAAAATGAGCAAAAGACCTGAACAGACATCCCTCAAAAGAAGACATTTAAATGGCCATCAAGTATGTGAAAGCATGTTCCGCATCACTAATCTTCAGAGAAATGCAAATGAAAAACCATAATGAGATATCACCTCACACAGAATGATGATTATCAAAAAGTCAAAAGATAACAAGCGTTGGCAAGGATGTGGAGAAAAGGGAACCCTTAGACACCGTTGGGAGGAAATTAGTATAGGAAAGTAAATTAGTATAGTCATCATAGAACACAGGACAGTTTCTTCAAAAAGGAAAATCCTGAGTTTCCAGTGGCGTTCAAGTACATAGATCAGCCCATCAGCTCCACCACTTGGTGATTGTGTCATAGGAAATTTATTAGCCTCTCCATGCATTCACATTTCTCAATTGCCTATGTGGAAGATAGTAGTAACTAATTTACATTATTAGAATGAAATTGATAATCCAACAAAATCACCTAAAATAATATCTGATACACAAAATGAATGCTCAATGTCTATGAACCATTCATTTCATCATCACCATCATTATCACCCCTATCAATGTATACCAATATGATAACCACAATCACACCATATCCAATGAGTATTAATTTGTCCATCTTGTGTAAAATCGTAAGATTCTGAAAACAAAGTTTTTCCTTTCATAGTGTATTTCTGTACTTAGCACAAAAACTATCACATTATTTGATAAATAAAAGAAATGGTTTGTTTCATCCGGACTTCTGATTCTAAATCCTCTTTGGGAAAAAAAATAGTTCTGTTTTAGTAAGAGTAGCTAAATAATTGTGGATTTTAAGATTTAAAATATCAAGGTATTGCCATGCTTCAATTTTTGTCGATAAATGGTGCTGTGTTCTTAGATTTTCAGAAGAGGCAACGAAGACCCTCTGACTATCCTCTGTCATCCATCCCCTTCTCCCCTTATTCCTCACCTTAACTCCTTTTCTGGGCACTAGTGTATAGTCCTGTTCAATCTTCTTTTTTGCTTCTAAGTAGATATTGTGCCCCCCCGGAACAAAGAAAGTTCCTCTTGAAATACTTTCTGTCAAGAGCTCTGAAAGCCGCTTAAGCTCAGCCTGACAATATTTGGCAGATGCCTCTTCATTCTGCAGCACAAAGTCTTCCTTCTTTTTCTCCATGGTGTCCTGCCAGAAAAGTGTAGGGAAAAACAGTAGAAAGAAGCTGTTAGAAGGGAAGGTCCAACTGTGATCCTCTTGGAAGAAGTAGTCTCATGGCCTCAGAGCAGGCTGAGTTACGGTGTAGACTAAGAGTCAGAAGACTTGTTTTAGTTCCAGTTCTGGTCAATTCTCTGCATGACCTGTAGAAAGTTCATGAACTCTATCTTTCCTTCAGCAAAAGTATGATTAACAGTGATCTAACTATAAACAACAAGCAAGGGACAATTCAGTTGTGGCAGTAGTAGTGTCCTTAGAGAACACAGATTGCTATGGATAAAATGTGCACACAGAAAATCAACCCTTCTGGATAATCACATCCCAGTAATGACTTGATTGTACCCTGAACAGAGCTTGGAACTCTTTTGAAATTCTTCCAAAAAGGATCTTAAAATGTGAAGATATGGGAACATTATTATCTTTTGCTTACACTTCTAAGCTATGATTGCATCTGGGTTTTCTCAATATGTACTAAGGGATTTCTGTCACTTGTGGACTGGTAATAGACAGACTGAAAGAAGGCTATTCAATAACAGTGCCAATGGCAGATTTAAGATATCCCCCAGGATTTCCCCTCCGAGGTTTCCACACTATCCATAGTCCCTGGGCTTATTAATATGATGGAGTGTACTCCAGTGTTTAGGTAACATTATATGATATCTGTTGACTTTAGAAATGGAGAGTATTCAAGTAGTACTGAGTACACTCAAGAAAGTATTTAAGAATTACCAAATTACATGAGCTCTTTGAAAGCAGAGCTTTTTTGTTTACCTTGAGGCAGAAGAGGAAGCCAGAGAAATTAGAAACAAGAGAAACATTTGATGCATTATTGCTGACTTGAAGATGGAGAGAGGTTCCCCTGAGCATACAGGTAAGAAGTAAGCTCAATCAACACCTTGTTTTCAGCTTGTGATACACTGAGTGGAGCACACAGATGCCCTAAAAAGAACTTCTGACTTACGGAGCTGTGAGCTTAGGCATTTTTTCCACACTCAGTCAGGCAAGTGCTTCTTTATTTTACCTTTTTAAAATAAAAAAAAATTCTATATGTATAATGCTTACATCAGGTTATTTTGAAATGTAACATAATCTGTACAAGAATTCTGTTTAACTTGTATGGATTATGAAATTACTAAATCAAGCTAATTAACATATATATTAACTCAAATATTTGTCATTCTAAATACTATTCTCTAAGTAATTTTCAAGAATGCAATACATTGTTATTAAATGTAGTTAGTATGTTGTATAAATGTGTTGTTAAATGTGCTACAATCATAATTTCTTATGCATGATAGAAAATTAATAAATTTCCCATATTTTAGAAAAATAAAAAACTGTAGCCCATTAAATTCAGTCACATAAAATAATCCAATCTCCCTTTACTACAAGAAGGAGATGAACCATGGCATTAAAAAGGTGGACTATAAGTATCATTCCAGAAAGGCAGGAATCAAGAAAAAAAAAAATAACAAAGATTACCACAAGCTTCTTCTGAAATTCCTGGCTTTTATCTTTGAAGGAGTACTCCATGAAGACTGCAATGGCTTCCCTCTCACAAACTGCATGCACGTCCAGCAGCTCCTGGAGTGTGTCTGTGGGGAATCTCACTTGCTGGGCCATCTGCTGGCTGTAGTGGTTGGCTGCCCTCTGCACGGCTGCTGAGTTCTCACACTGGGCCAGAACTGCCATTGCATTCTCCAGACAAGGAGTCGCTCCACTGTTGATGGCATCCAGGTAGGTCTCCACCAGCATCCCCAGCCCTGAATGATTTAGGAAATTTAGGGAATAGATAGAAAGTTTTCACTCATTGTTTTACGAGTGGTATGTATCAGCATTCTAAAAATCAGAAAAAATTCCATTTAACATGAATTTTCCCTCCTTCTCCTTCTTTCAATTCTACTATTACTACTACTACTTTTTATGGAGTCACTTTCCTACGATAACATGACTGTTGTTCCTATTTATTCTTTCTATTTTGTTCTCCAGCTCATCACATTACAAAGTTAATTACTAATCACAAACAATATGTAGCAAGGGTTTCTTGAAAAAAAAAAACTTTTCTGCTTAAGTAAAAATTTAAAAGCGTTTATTCAGCAAAGTAAATTATATCATTTGTGGATCATAATTCTGAATGTAAATGCAGGTGCTTTTATAAAAACACTTAAGACAGTGCCAGAACATCAAACCCTGTGAGAAGCTCTTTTCTATACAGAGCACTAAAAGACTGCACAGGTAACATGTTCATGAAGCCAGCTTTGTTTATAAGATTACGCTGAATTTTGTATCTCAAAATCTCAATAGGCTTGCAGAAACTCATGACATGCTACTTACTTTCTGTTTTGTGTAAATTCACAATACAGCTTTTATACCCTCACTGAGAAAAAATCCTTCACTTATCCCACACCTCATAACACAGATGTTATCTCCTTACCAGTTGTTCGTGCTCATAAGCTTAGTTTACTAGTTTTTGAGATACAGTAGGCCTCAGTAAACACCCATATAGGGAAATAGACTCACGGTTTCCAGTGACAAGGATTCCCTCTCTCAGGGTCTTGGTCTTTGCATGGGTGAAGATATAAGAACAGAAATTTTCTGATTGCATCTGGAAATTACTATCCAGTTGGTCTTCTCGTACTTCTTCAACATGGAGTAAGAGTTTTTTGTCATTTATTGGCCGGTCAAAGACAAAGCACTTCTGTTTTGGAAAGAAATGCCTGATCCACTCCCTGGGCTTGTTAGAATTTTGGATTTGGGGATTCTTGCCTGCAGAATTAGTGAAAAAGTGACTACTGAAGAACAGGTTTTAAGTGAGCCTGAAGATTTTCATTTCCAAAGTTCCTTCCATCAATCACTACAGTCTCTTGTGTCTGTGAATCTACTCTATGTAATCAAACCTCTCATGCAACCAAACTTATGCTAATCTACTTAAGGTATGAAAAGTCAATTTCTGCACAAAGCAGAGTCAAAAAGGTACTTCTGGAAATGAAGGGAATGCATCCACCTCAAGTGAAGGAATTTGTGGTTGGTTTCCTCAGCCACTGTATGATGTCCCGTAGACTGACGATTTTTAAAATGTTTGTTGAATTATGATTAACTAAAATATGATAAGAAGTACTTTCTTTAAAAATTGTATATATTTAAGGCGTTATAACATGATGTTTCGATATACATGTACATAGTGAAATTACTACTAAGTAAGCAAATTATATATCCAATACTTTCTATACTTTTCTTCCCTTTTTTTGTGGTAAGAGTACCTAAAATCTAATCTCTGTAAATTTTAAATGTAAAATACAATATTGTTAAGGATAGTTCTCCTGCAGTATATTAGAGCCCTAGACTTTCCCACCCTATATAACTTCAAGTTTGTACCCTTCACCCACATGTCCTCATTTCCTCCCTCACCATGCCCTGGTAACCACTGTTCTACTCTCTGTTTCTATGTATTTGACGTTTTGAAATAGAATCCATATAGAAATGAGGTCCTGTCATATTTTTCTTCCTGTTTCTGGCTAATATTACATAGCATCATGGACTTTCTCAATCTTACTGTCCCCATGTCAGAAATGAAATGTTGGGCTTAAAATTTAAATGCTAGAAACAAGGACAAGATGTGGCTGGGAAAAATGTTTGAAAGAGACGGAAAATACTCAGGTCAGATTATATTAGGTCTAACATTGTCTTGCAGAGGGATTCTGTGACATATATCAGTTATTCAAAACAAATATTTGTTGAAAGGATGAACAAATGAACAAAGATGGATATTGATTGTAGGTGCCAACAGGTATCCACTCCACTAAATATAATCTGTTTAACAAATGTATAATAGATTGACAACATATTATATGAGACTGTAGAATGAAGTAGGTGATGTTATGAAAATGGTAAAATAAAGGATTTGACAGTCCTACTGGAAGCATATGTCTGTGTATTTTTTTTTTAATTTCCTGAATCATTAACTGTATGAATCTCCTTTTTCTCTAAAGGTTATAAGTATCCAGGCTAATAAAATAGACTGAGTGAAATATATTTCCAAAATTGGATCATTTGACTTCTTGCGATTCTGTGTTTACCAGCTTCCAAGCTTATTAGTTAATTTTCTCCAAATAGAATAGGAGGAGCACTTGAAGTTAATAAGTAACACAAATATATGAGTCTTAGGATGTGATAATACTAATTGTAATCCTCAATATATTTTTCATGGTACTTATTGGTCTAAAATCATTTGATAGAACTTTGAGATTTAAATTTCCTCAATGAATTTGAACCTCAGCCTCTGGGAAATTTCAAGCAAAAATAACCACAAAAATCATAATCACTTATCAATCACCAACCACCATGAGCAAGGGCCTCAATCCAGTCCAATATAAAAATTTGTGTCAGGTGTTGAACGGTAGGTCCTAGTTGATCCCACCCGCTACTGAACCTTCTCCCATCTAGGCCATGCTCTGATACCTGAAATCAGCTTCAAGGCATTCTCCAGGTACTCATCTTCTGTGATGGGGTGTCCATCTAACTTCAGCTCCAGGGTAAAATCTCGAACAGTCCAAATAAAGTCTGGAAAGAAACTCACAAACTCGCTGGAGTCCTCAACTTCATCAGGTCTGGGGCACGATTTTGCCCTGATTAGCTCTGTTAGCTCAGTCACGTAGCTGGGATCTCAGCTAAGGAAGGATAGCACCCTACACCATCATTTCCACATCTCACTTAGAAACAAGTTTTATACACATTCCCTTTTGCACTGTTTCTCTTCTTACTCAACCAGGACAACTGAGTCACAACAAAGAAGACACAGTATCAGTTTCCATTCCCCTAAACTCCATAAAACCTGGCTCTTCACTTCCTGGAAGGATACTGCAGCTGCTCCAGGGCCTGGTGGTTGATGGTGCCCATGCTGTTGTAGACAAAGCTGCTGCTTAGAAGCACAGCCAGGGCAAAGATCCACGAGTCACTCTTAGGGTCACTCTAGTGTTAAAGAAAAAAAAAAAAAAAATGGAAGCCACAGTTTAGATACATCTCAAGGTCAACTACTTGTATCCATGTAACCAAAACTGAAGTCATTCCAGTTTTCCCAAAATGCTGTGTCTAAAGGAAACACAAATGTAAGCTTTATATGCTTGCCAGCATGATTCAGTGAAATTAAATAAATCAGCTATAGAAAAAGCACCTAAACATCTCTATTTGCCCTAAAAATATTGTTAATGTATAAAGCCAATCACACGATAAGTAAATATATTTCTTCCTTTATGCTTTATCAGTGGTGCTGTAACCATTATGAGGAGAGCATCTTGGTATGAAGTCTCCTGAATGATGCTCTCTACTTTTTGTATGCAATAAACTTAAATTTTTCCAAACTTAATCTGATATTGTTTGTGACACTAGAAAGCACATTACAGATAGGACTTAAGAGTCTCCTTTTGATTCATTCACTTATTAATTCATTCATTTGGTTGTTCATTCACTATTTCAGCTGTAGTATATATAGCTGAATAGTAGGGCATGTAATATGAATTTTGAAGATCATGTTAAAGTCAAGCTGTATTTTTGCCATTTATATTGATTTTCTCAGGGCTTCTCTTTCTTTAGATATTAAAAGTAGCAATTGACACTGTCAATGTGTAAAATATTTAATGCAGTGCCTACAGCATAGTAAGTATGTAGTAATTAGTGAACAATAATCCTTTTGCAAATTTTCTCAATCATGCCTATATTAGGAATGCCAATGTTAATCAATTGAATTCACCAAAAATTGTTCAGCTATGTACAAAATGCAGATGCTGCCTTTGATTTTGTGGATGCAAAGTTCCATAATCACAAGAAGATGACTTTCAGGAGTGGCAGATAGCATTGTCAACATAAAAATGCAACCAAGATGATAACTTCTGCCAGGAGTGGAACAAAAGTCGTAATGTAAAAAACAAAACAGACAACAATCCAAAAAATGGGAAGTGAGAAGGAAGGAAAATAAAGAGAAACAAATGCTCTATGAGTTCAAGCAAGAAGTTACTATGTCTAACTCAAATAAGATGGCAGTAGGTTGAAACGAGCTGGACGTTAAGGAGTACATAAAATCAGGACTTGTGGAAATGAAAGAATTAAAAAGGTGAGAGACCCAACAGAACCCAAGTCAAAATTGTTAGGGTATGATCATATAATGACATTACAGAGTTATTTAATTCAACTGAATGAGTGAATAGGTATGTGGAGAAGACAAGGCTGGAAATAATATTCAGGGCAAGACATGAAGGTCCCTTAAATAGAATTAAATGCTGACCAAATCCACAAATTCCAAGGCCAACAAGTAATTTTGCTTCCATCAAGCATGTATATATTTGTATATTTTGGTCCCTTGAACAGTCATACTTTTGCAAATAAAAAAGTTTATGCCCATTACAATCTATTTCAAATCAATATTTTATCTTTGTTGTACACTGAAATGATGATTGATAACTTTAGTACTGTATGTTTAAATTCACTGTTTCTAAATGAGACCCCACACACATTTATAATTTTTGCAGTATGAAAGCCAAAAATTCTATTTTCTTTTTTTCTTTTTTTTGAGATGGAGACTTGCTCTGTTGCCCAGGCTGCAGTGCAATGGTGCAAACACTACAACCTCCACCTTCTGGGTTCAAGCAATTCTTCCACCTCAGCTTCTGAAATAGCTGGGATCACAGGCACCTGCCATCATGCCCAGCTAATTTTTGTATTTTTAATAGAGATGGGATTTCACCATGTTAGCCAGGCTGGTCTTGAACTCCTGACCTCAGGTGATCCACCCACCTTGGCCTCCCAGAGTGCTGGAATTACAGGTGTGAGCGACCACACCTGGCCTCTATTTTCCTTTTTTTTTTTTTAACTTTAAATTTAAGTTCAGGCTTACCCCCAAACTAAATAAAATAAAATAAAATAAAATAAAGAAGTTAAAAAATATTTTAAGTCCAGTGGTGCCCCTGAACTTAATGAAATACCATGAAAGTTAATAAAATTTAAAAAAAATAAAGAAAACATTCCTGTCTGACAGCTTTGAGGAGAGTAGTGGTTCTCCCAGCACAGAGTTTGAGATCTGAGAATGGACAGACTGCCTCCTCAAGTGGGTCCCCGACCCCCGAGTAGCCTAACTGGGAGGCACCTCCCAGTAGGGGCCGACTGACACCTCAAACAGCCGGGTGCCCCTCTGGGACAAAGCTTCCGGAGGAAGGATCAGGCAGCAACATTTGCCATTCTGCAATACTTGCTGTTCTGCAGCCTCCACTGGTGATACCCAGGCAAACAGGGTCTGGAGTGGACCTCCAGCAAACTCCAACAGACCTGCAGCTGAAGGCCCTGACTGTTAGAAGGAAAACTAACAAACAGAAAGGACATCCACACCAAAACCCCATCTGTGCATCACCATTGCAAAGACCAAAGGTAGATAAAACCACAAAGATGGGGAGAAACCAGAGCAGAAAAGCTGAAAATTCTAAAAATCAGAGCACCCCTTCTCCTCCAAAGGAATGCAGCTCCTCGCCAGCAATGGAACAAAGCTGGATAGAGAATGACTTTGACAAGTTGAGAGAAGAAGGCTTCAGACAATCAGTAGTAACAAACTTCTCCAAGCTAAAGGAGGATGTTCGAACCCATCACAAAGAAGCTAAAAACCTTGAAAAAAGATTAGACGAATGGCTAACTAGAATAAACAGCATAGAGAAGACCTTAAATAACCTGATGGAGCTGGAAAGCATGGCACGAGAACTACGTGATGCATGCACAAGCTTCAGTAGCCAATTTGATCAAGTGGAAGAAAGGGTAACAGTGATTGAAGATCAAATGAATGAAATGAAGTGAGAAGAGAAGTTTAGAGAAAAAAGAGTAAAAAGAAATGAACAAAGCCTCCAAGAAATATGGGACCATGTGAAAAGACCAAATCTCTGTCTGACTGGTGTACCTGAAAGTGATGGGGAGAATGGAACCAAGTTGGAAAACACTCTTCAGGATATTATCCAGGAGAACTTCCCCAACCTAGCAAGGCAGGCCAACATTCAAATTCAGGAAATACACAGAATGCCACAAAGATACTCCTCGAGAAAAGCAACTCCAAGACACATAATTGTCAGATTCACCAAAGTTGAAATGAAGGAAAAAATGTTAAGGGCAGCCAGAGAGAAAGGTCAGGTTACCCACAAAGGGAAGCCCATCAGACTAATAGCAGATCTCTTGGCAGAAACTCTACAAGCCAGAAGAGAGTGGGGGCCAATATTCAACATTCTTAAAAGAATTTTCAACCCAGAATTTCATATCCAGCCAAACTAAGCTTCATAAGTGAAGGATAAATAAAATACTTTACAGACAAGCGAATGCTGAGAGATTTTGTCACCACCAGGCCTGCCTTACAAGAACTCCTGAAGGAAGCACTAAACATAGAAAGGATCAGCCAGTATCAGCCACTGCAAAAGCATGCCAAATTGTAAAGACCATCTATGCTAGGAAGAAACTGCATCAACTAACTAGCAAAATAACCAGCTAACATCATAATGACAGGATCAAATTCACACATAACAATATTAACCTTAAATGTAAATGGGCTAAATGCTCCAATTAAAAGACACAGACTGGCAAATTGGATAAAGAGACAAGACCCATCAGTGTGCTGTATTCAAGAGACCCATCTCATGAGCAGAGACACACATAGTCTCAAGATAAAGGGATGGAGGAAGATCTACCAAGCAAATGGAAAACAAACAAAAAAAGCGGGGGTTGCAATCCTCATCTCTGATAAAACAGACTTTAAACAAACAAAGACTGAAAGAGACAAAGAAGGCCATTACATAATGATAAAGGGATCAATTCAACAACAAGAGCTAACTATCCTAAATATATATGCACCCAATACAGGAGCACCCAGATTCATAAAGCAAGTCCTTAGAGACCTACAAAGAGACTTAGACTCCCACACAATACTAATGGGAGACTTTAACACCCCACTGTCAACGTTAGACAGATCAATGAGACAGAAAGTTAACAAAGATATCCAGTAATTGAACTCAGCTCTGCATGAAGAGGACCTAATAGACATCAGAGCTCTCCACCCCAAATCAACAGAATATACATTCTTCTCAGCACCACATCGCACTTATTCCAAAATGGACCACATAGTTGGAAGTAAAGCACTCCTCAGCAAATGTAAAAGAACAGAAATTATGACAAACTGTCTCTCAGACCACAGTGCAATCAAACTAGAACTCAGGATTAAGAAACTCACTCAAAACCACTCAACTACATGGAAACTGAATAACTGTCTCCTGAATGACTACTGGGTACATAACATAATGAAGGCAGAAATAAAGATGTTCTTTGAAACCAATGAGAAGAAAGACACAACATACCAGAATCTCTGGGACACATTTAAAGAAGTGTGTAGAGGGAAATTTATACCACTAAATGCCCATAAGAAAAAGCAGGAAAGATCTAAAATTGACATCCTAACATCACAATTAAAAGAACTAGAGAAGCAAGAGCAAACACATTCAAAAGCTAGCAGAAGGCAAGAAATAACTAAGATCAGAGCAGAGCTGAAGGAGATAGAGACACAAAAAAACCCTTCAAAAAATCAATGAATCAAGGAGCTGGTTTTTGGAAAAGATCAACAAAATTGATAGACCACTACCAAGACGAATAAAGAAGAAAAGAGAGAAGAATCAAATAGATGCAATAAAAAACGATATAGGGCATATCACCGCCGATCCCACAGAAATACAAACTACCATCAGAGAATAGTATAAACACCTCTACCAAATAAACTAGAAAATCTAGAAGAAATGGATAAATTCCTGGACATACACACCCTCCAAGACTAAACCAGGAAGAAGTTGAATCTCTTGATAGACCAATAGCAGGCTCTGAAATTGAGGCAATAATTAATAGCCTCCCAACCAAAAAAAAAAAGTCCAGGACCAGACAGATTCACAGCTGAATTCTACCAGAGGTAAAAGCAGGAGCTGGTACCATTCTTTCTGAAACTATTCCAATCAGTAGAAAAACAGTGAATCCTCCCTAACTCATTTCATGAGGCCAGCATCATCCTGATACCAAAGCCGGGCAGAGACACAACAGCAAAAAAAGAGAATTTTAGACAAATATCCCTGATGAACATCAGTGCAAAAATCCTCAATAAGATACTGGCAAACCAAATCCAGCTGCCCATCAAAAAGTGTATCCACCACGATCAAGTTGGCTTCATCCCTGGGATGCAAGGCTGGTTCAACACATGCAAATCAATAAACGTAATCCATCATGTAAACAGAACCAAAGACAAAAACCACATGATTTTCTCAATAGATTCAGAAAAGGCCTTGGACAAATTCAACAGCCCTTCATGCTTAAAACTCTAAATAAACTAGGTGTTGATGGGATGTATTTCAAAATAATAAGAGCTATTTATGACAAACCCACAGCCAACATCATACTGAATGGGCAAAAACTGGAAGCATTCCCTTTGAAAAGTGGCACAAGACGGGATGCCCTCTCTCACCACTCCTATTCAACATAGTGTTGGAAGTTCTGGCCAGGGCAATTAGGCAAGAGAAGGAAATAAAGGGTATTCAGTTAGGAAAAGAGGAAATCAAATTGTCCCTGTTTGCAGATGACATGATTGTATATCTAGAAAACCCCATTGTCTCAGCCCAAAATCTCCTTAAGCTGATAAGCAACTTCAGCAAAGTCTCAGGATACAAAATCAATGTACAAAAATCACAAGCATTCTTATACACCAATAACAGACAAACAGAAAGCCAAATCATGAGTGAACTCCCATTCACAATTGCTTCAAAGAGAATAAAATACCTAGGAATCCAACTTACAAGGGATGTGAAGGACCTCTTCAAGGAGAACTACAAACCTCTGCTCAATGAAGTAAAAGAGGACACAAACAAATGGAAGAGCATTCCATGTTCATGGATAGGAAGAATCAATATCGTGAAAATGGCCCTACTGCCCAAGGTAATTTATAGATTCAATGCCATCCCCATCAAGCTACCAATGACTTTCTTCACAGAATTGGAAAAAAAACTACTTTAAAGTTCATATGGAACCAAAAAGAGCCCGCATTGCCAAGAGAATCCTAAGCCAAAAGAACAAAGCTGGAGGCATCACACTACCCGATTTCAAACTATACTACAAGGCTACAGTAAGCAAAACAGCATGGTACTGGTACCAAAACAGAGATATAGACCAATGGAACAAAACAGAGCCCTCGGAAATAATACCACACATCTACAACCATCTGATCTTTGACAAACCTGACAAAAACAAGAAATGGGGAAAGGATTCCCTATTTGATAAATGGTGCTGGGAAAACTGGCTAGCCCTATGTAGAAAGCTGAAACTGGATCCCTTCCTTACACCTTATAAAAAAATTAATTGAAATGGATTAAAGTCTTAAATGTTAGACCTAAAACCATAAAAACCCTAGAAGAAAACCTAGGCAATACCATTCAGGACATAGGCATGGGCAAAGACTTCATGACTAAAACACCAAAAGCAATGGCAACAAAAGCCAAAATAGACAAATGGGATTTAATTAAACTAAAGAGCTTCTGCACAGCAAAAGAAAGTACCATCAGAGTGAACAGGCAACCTACAGAAGGGGAGAAAATGTTTACAATTTACCCATCTGACAAAGGGCTAATGTCCAGTATATACAAAGAACTTAAACAAAGTTACAAGAAAAAAATCAAACAACCCCATCAAAAAGTGGGCGAAGGATATGAACAGACACTTCTCAAAGAAGACATCTATGCAGCCAACAGACACATGAAAAAATGATCATCATCACTGGCCATCAGAGAAATGCAAATCAAAACTACAGTGAGATACCATGTCACACCAGTTAGAATGGCAATCATTAAAAAGTCAGGAAACAACAGGTGCTGGAGAGGATGTGGAGAAATAGGAACACTTTTACACTGTTGGTGGGACCGTAATCTAGTTCAACCATGTGGAAGACGGCGTGGTGATTCCACAAGGATCTACAACTAGAAATACCATTTAACCCAGCCATCCTATTACTGGGTATACACCCAAAGGATTATAAATCACGCTACTATAAAGACACATGCACACGTATGTTTATTTTGGCACTATTCACAACAGCAAAGATTTGGAACCAACCCAAATGTCCATCAACGATAGACTGGAGTAAAAAAACATGGCACATATATACCATGGAATACCATGCAGCCATAGAAAAGGATGAGTTCATGTCCTTTGCAGGGACATGGATGAAGCTGAAAACCATCATTTTGAGCAAACTATCACAAGGTCAGAAAAGCAAACACCGCATGTTCTCACTCATAGGTGGGAATTGAACAATGAGATCACTTGGACACAGGGTGAGGAACATCACACACTGGGGCCTGCTGTGGGGTGGAGGGAGTGTGGAGGGATAGCATTAGGGGATATACCTAATGTAAATGACAAGTTAATGGGTGCAGCACACCAACATGGCACGTGTGTACATATGTAACAAAGCTGCACATTGTGCACATGTACCCTAGAACTTAAAGTATAATAAAAAAAATGTACCTTAACTTCCTCATATGTGAAGATTTTAAAATTTCACTTAGGGAGGAAGCAAAGTGAAGAACACAGATTTCACAGATGGGATGCCTGGCTTAGATTCCAGCTTGACTGCTGGTAGCTGTGTGACCGTGGGCAAGTTTCTTGACCTCTCTCTACTCAGTGTCCTTATCTGTCGAGTAGGGATAATAATAGTACATATTTCATAGGGTCGTTGTATGATTAAACAAGTTATTATTTACTGAGTGCTTAGAATAGTTCCTGGCACATAGTTAGTGCTATATGTGTTTAGTAAATAACTAAAATTAGAAATAGAGGTGACAAAAAAGAAATAATTTCGTCACAATAAAGGCTTATTTCTTTCCTTTCCAAATGCTTAAAAACAACACTTAAAAAAATTTCTTTTGAAAAAAATAGAATTAGTATGTTTTGGCTTTCATACTGCACAACAGGGATTTGTTACATAGGTAGACTTGTGTCATGGGGGTTCGTTGCATATATTATTTCATCTCCCAGGTATTTAGCCAAGTACGCATTAGTTTTTTTTCTTGATCTTTTCCCTCCTCCCATTATCCACCCTCAGATAGGCTCCAATGTGTGTTGTTTCCCTCTATGTGTCCATGTGTTCTCATCATTTAGCTCCCACTTATAAGTGAGAACATGTGGTATTTGGTTTCCTGTTCCTGCATCCATTTGCTAAGGATAATGACCTCCAGCTCCATCCATACCCTGCAAATGATCTTGTTCTTCTTTTATGGCTGCATAGTATTCCATAGTGTATATGTACCACATTTTCTTTATCTAGTCTATCATTTATGGGCCTTTAAATTGATGCCATGTCTTTGCTATTGTGCCATAATGAATATTCACGTACACGTATCTTTATAATAGAACAATTTATAGTCCTTTGGGTACATACCCAGTAATGGCATTGCTGGGTCAAATGGTAGTTCTGTCTTTAGGTCTTTGAGTAGTTGCCACACTGTCTCCCACAATGGTTTAACTAATTTACACTCCCACCAACAATGGATAAGTGTTCCTATTTCTCTACAACCTAACCAGCATCTGTTATTTTTTGACTTTTTAATAATAGCCATTCTGACTGGTGTGATCATGATAGTATTGTGGTTTTGATTTGCATTTCTCTAATGGTCAGTGATGTTAAGCTTTTTTTTTTCCATATGATTGTTGGCTGCATGTATGTCTTCTTTTGAAAAGTGTCTGTTCATGTCTTTTGCCCACTTTTTAATGTATTTTTTTGTGTGTGTGAATTTGTTTACGTTCCTTATAGATGCTGGATATTAGTCCTTTGTCAGCTGCAGAGTTTGCAAATATTTTCTCCCATTCTTTAGGTTGTTTGTTTACTCTGTTGATGGTTTCTTTTGCTGTGCAGAAGCTCTTTAGTTAGTTCCCATTTGTCAATTTTTGCTTTTGTTACTATAGCTTTTTTGGTGTCTTCATCGTGACATCTTTGCCCATGCCTATGTCCTGAATGATATGGCCAGGGTGGTTTTCCAGGGTTTTTATAGTTTTGGGTTGTATATTTAAGTCTTTAATCCATCTTGAGTTAACTTTTGTATATGGTCTAAGTAAAGGGTCCAATTTCAATCTTCTGCATATGGCTAGCCTGTTATCCCAGCACCATTTATTGAATAGGGAATCTTTTCCCCATTGCTTTTTTTTTTTTTCAGGTTTGTCAAAGATCAGATAGTTGTAGTTGTGCAGTCTTAAATTCTGGGTTATCTGTTCTGTTCCATTGGTCTATGTGTCTGTTTTTGTACCAGTTCCATGTATTTTGGTTACTGTAGCCCTGTAGTATAGTTTGATGTCGAGTAGCATCCAGCTTTGTTCTTTTTGCTTAGAATTGCGTTGGCTATTTTTTGCCTGAGCTCTTTTTCTGTCCCATATGAATTTTTTAAAAACAGTTTTTTTCTAATTCTGTGAAGAATCTCAATGGTAGTTTAATAGGAATAGCATTGAATCTATAAATTGCTTTGGGCAGTAAGGTAATTTTAACAATATTGATTCTGTCTCTCCATGAGGAAGGAATGTTTTTCCATTTATTTGTGTCATCTCTGATTTCTTGGAGCAGTGGTTTGTAGTTCTCCTTGGAGAGGTCTTTTACCTCCCTAGTTAGCTGTATTCCTAAGCAGCAATTATGAATGGGAGTTTGTTCCTGATTTGGCTTTCAGCTTGACTGTGGTTGGTGTATAGGAATGTTAGTGATTTTTGCATATCGATTTTGTATCCTGAGACTTTGCTGAAGTTGTTTATCAGCTTAAGAAGCTTTTGGGCTGAGACTGGGGGGTTTTCTAGACATATAATCATGTCATTGACAAACAGCAAGAGTTTGACTTCCTCTTTTCCTGTTTGGATGCCCTTTATTGCTTTCTCTTGCCTGATTGTCCTGGCCAAGGCTTCCAATACTATGTTGAACAGGAGTGGTGAGAGAGGGCATCCTTGTCTTGTGCCGGTTTTCAAGAGGAATGCTTCCAGCTTTTGCCCATTTAGTATGATGTTGACAGTGGGTTTGTCATATATGGCTCTTATCATTTTGAGCTATGTTCCTTCAATACCTAGTTTATTGAGAGTTTTTACCATGAATGGACTTTGAATTTTATTGAAAACATTTTCTGCATCTATTGAGATAATTGTGTGGTTTTTGTCTTTATTTCTGTTTATGGGATGAATCACATTTATTGATTTGCATATCTTGATCCATTCTTGCATTCCAGGGATAAAGCCTACTTGATCATGGTGGATAAGCTTTTTGATGTGTTGCTGGATTTAGTTTGCCTGTATTTTGTTGAGGATTTTTGCATTGATGTTATCAAGGATATTGGCCTGAAATTTTCTCTTTTGTTGTTGTATCTCTTCCAGGTTTTGGTATCAGGATGATGCTGGCCCCATAGAATGAGTTAGGGAGGAGTGCCTCCTCCTCAATTTTTTGGAATATTTTCAGTAGGAATGCTACCAGCTTTTCTTTGTACATCTGGTAAATTCAGCTATGAATCCATCTGTTTCTGGGCTTTTTTTTTTTTTGGTAGGTGGGCTATTTATTACTGCCTCAATTTCAGAGCTCATCATTTGTCTGTTCAGGGATTCAATTTCTTCCCAGTTAAGTCTTGAGAGGGTATATGTGTCAACAAATTTGTCCATTTTGTGTAGATTGTCTAGTTTATGTCCATGGAGGTTTTCTTAATATTGTATTTATGTGGGGTCAGTGGTAACCATCCCCCTGTCGTTTCTGACTAATCCTATTTTCAATTTATACTCAGACTAATATAAATAAAGGAAAAGACTGCACTTAATACTATAAAGCAAAATTATCTAGAATTAGCCAATTTGCAAATTTTTGTGTGGGGCTAGCTCACACTATTCTAGAAGTCAGTGATGACTACATTGCCTAGCCCAGTAAATTGGGTAAAAATTTTATAAATGTTCCCGGTATAGCTGGTGGTTTTCTTTTCTTTTTCTTTCTTTTTTTTTTGTTTTTTGTTTGTTTGTTTGTTTTGTTTTTGAGATGGAGTCTCACTCTGTCACTCAGGCTGGAGTGCAGTGGCATGATCTCGGTTCAGTGCAACCTCCACTTCCCGGGTCCAAGCGATACTCCTGCCTCAGCCTCCTGAATAGCTGGGATTACAGGTGCCCGCCTCTGCGCTGGGCTAATTTTTGCATTTTCAGTAGAGATGGGGTTTCACCATGTTGGCTAGGCTGGTCTCGGACTTCTGACCTCAGATGGTCCACCCGCCTCGGCCTTGCAAAGTGTTGGGATTACAGGTGTGAGCCACCGTGCCCGGCTAGCTAGTGCTTTTCTAGACATTTAAAAACAGGTTATTTCAGTGAAACTCTATTTTCCTGATTCTACCTTCAAGCCTACAAACCCCACACACCTTAACTAGTAGCACCCATTAATCCCACAGGTTACAGCTTCTTCCAGGAAGCTTTCTCCTAAATTGTATCATTAGGTTAGGCCCTCACTTTCAGCATCTGAGCACTCTAAATGGTCACAATGTTGTCTTCGCCACTAGGCTCTGAGCATTTACCTGGTTCATTGATTAGCGTAGAGCTTTGAAATTCAGGATTCTTTATTAATATAGCACACAGCCCTAGACTTCTGCCATGCAGTATTTATTAAATTTTATAATTCATCCAACTGTTAAAAATAAGAAGATGTATCACCAATAGTCCAAAATATTTGTGCTTACCAAGAAAGTAAGTTCCAGAAAATGAAATTTAGCTTTGTTTCCCATAATCAGATTTGTGATTCAGGAATAGGCCAGAGAAGTTGGATTGATACTATGCATAAAAACATAAATAGAGAATCAAAGGTAAAGAAGATTTCTCTATGTCTCTTTCTTACCTTTTCCATATCACCCAGGCCCTCCGTGTCCAGAAGGATCAGGGTGTGGTTTGGCTTGGAGGGGTGGGGCACACACCACATCCAGATGCCTTTGGTTTCAGACTTCACTGTGCAGCCCAGAGGGAAGCCTTCAAGGGAAGAGGAGAAACAACATATAGTGACAGCAGAATCCAGGCAGACAAGGCCTATACCAGTTAAATGTATAGGAACGTTAAGTTCCTGGCAGGGGAAACGGGTTGCTTCCATTTCAGCAAAGACAATCAATCAAATCTTTATTTGTATAAATGACTTTCTCAGGAGGTACTTGGGTCCCTTATTCACTTCATATCTATATGGGCTCAAATAAGTTATATTACAGAATTAATGTAAACTCTATTAACCTGTTGCTATGGTCTGAAGTTAGTCCCTCCAATCCTCCTTTCATACGTTGGAACTTCAGTGAAGTCTGAAACCAAACCCCAAGGTGATGATATTAAGAAGTCAGAAGTGGGCTGGGTGTGGTGGCTCACACCTGTAATCCCAACACTTTGGGAGGCCGAGGCAGGTGAATCACAAAGTCAGAAGATAGAGACCATCCTGGCCAACATGGTGAAATCCTGTCTCTACTAAAATACAAAAAATTAGCCAGGCATGGTCGTGCACGCCTGTAGTCCCAGCTACTTGGGAGGCTGAGGTAGGGGAGTCGCTTGAAACCAGGAGGCAGAGAGATTGCAGTGAGCTGAGATTGTGCCACTGCACTCCAGCCTGGTGACAGAGTGAGACTCCGTCTCAAAAAAAAAGAAAAAAAAAAAAAGCCAGAAGTGATTAAGTCATGAAGGGTCATGTCCTCAGTAATAAAGTTAATGCCCTTATAAAAGGCCTTGAGGGATGAGTTCATGTCCTTTGCAGGGACATGGATGAAGCTGGAAACCATCATTCTCAGCAAGCTAACGCAGGAACAGAAAACCAAACATCACATGTTCTCACTCCTAAGTGGGGGTCCAACAATGGGGACACATGGACACAGGGAGGGGAACATCACACAACAGGGCCTGTTGGGGGGTGGGGGCTAGGGGAGGGATAGTATTAGGAGAAATGCCTAATGCAGATGATGGGTTGATGGGTGCAGCAAACCACCGTGACACGTGTATACCTACGTAAGAAACTTGCATGTTCTGCACATATATCCCTGAACTTAAAGTACATATATAAAAAGACCAATTTCATTGTTCCTTCTGCCCGTTCTGCCATATGGGGACAGTGGGAAACCCCCTCTATGAGTAACAAGCCCTCACTAGACACTGAATCTCCTTGTGCCTTAATCTTGGACTTCCCAACCTCCAGATCTACGAGAAATAAGTTTTTATTATTTCTAAATTACCCTGTCTAATGTATTTTGTCATAGTGGCAGACACAAACTAAGATACCTGTGTATTTTTATGCAACACTCAAGAGGAAGAAAAAAGCATGCATTCATAAGTAAAATTAGAGAGAGGGCTGATACAAGAGGTCCGGGTACTGGGTTCATCTTCATGTAGTGATTCTTTTTCCTTATGCAGGTCCCACGTTAACAGAAGGTTATCCAAATAGAGGAGATTCTGACATGGGAAGGACAGTATAAAGCATCCACTCTAGTACAGTCTGTTGAAATGGCTTCCAGGAGTGGAGTAGTGAGAATAAAATCTTGAAATGTAGTTGAGGAGTCTGTGATTTGAACCCCTGAATATGTAGCCCAGTAAGACCAGATTTGTTAGTAACAGAACCCACTGAAGTGTTTCAGATGGATGATGACAAAAATCAGGAAAATATTTAAGAAAATCCATGAGGTATTAGAATACCGCAGGAATTAAAAAGTTATACCTTGGACTAGTAAAAGAGTTCTAGAATTTTAAAGGCGGAAAGTGTGAAAGTTGTCAGCATCAAAATGCCAAACTTGAATGAAATGAAGTCAGCAGACCATGAAGGAAAAGCTCTCGCACACACTTTCCTGTGATGGGAACTTCCATTGAAGATGTTGCCAATCCACAACCTTGCAACAAAGGCTAATGTTCTGAGGACATCTTTCCAGTAATAGCCAGTCCTAACTGTAAACTTGCAAGTGGTCTAACTTGCAATCAGAGTCCCTGCAATCAGGGTGCCTTCTGTGAAGACTCTCTCTTGGCAAGAGCCAGCACACATATTAAGTCCTGTGAGTAAGCTCCTGTAAACAAATAAACTTTTGTTTCAGAACACCCTGCATGTACTTCTCCTTTCTGTCTTTAAACTTTCCCACGTCTCAACCACCCTGGATGCACCTATGATTTATTATAATGTGCATACCTGAATTTGGTATGCATATGGTCCCCTGCTCATTCTTAAATAAACTCATTTCTTTGGAGAACTACTTTCTCTCTTGTTATTTTAGCTTGACATAATCTGGCATCAGAAGTAGGACCCAAAGTGAGCTCATCTTGGAATGATCATCAGCCCCTGAAACCATGCATGGTATTCACTTGTTGAGCCCTTTGATTTCTTCATTTCCACAGCTGACCTTTTCTACTGTGTTGAGTCTCCCCTTGGGTTAAAATCCCTTCTTTTTGTCTAGTTCAGGATCTTATTTGGATAAGGTCACCTCAATAAAAGGCCTTGAATCCCTTCTTAGCCTAAAAACAACTTTGTCTTTTCTGGGAAGCCCTTCACAAGATAAGAACATTGTCCTTCTGGTGAGTACTCTGTGTTTTTTTGTTTGTTTGTTTGTTTTAACTTCTGCATGCCTGGTTTAATATTTTGTTTGGTCTGCCTGCTTGATTTAAAAATTTGGTGAATTGAGTGTTTTCTTACTTCTGAACATCTGCCAAGAGCAAAAATAAACGTACCAAACATAGGCATGGGTTGACCAATTTAAAGCAATTAAAGCAGTGCCATCATTAATGAGGGACTCCAGTCTCTGAAGATAAAGTATTTTGTGTGAAGGTAAACTGGCCATGGATGGGCAAGGTTACCATTAGAGCATCTGCCACACTTAAGAAAATGTCCATGCAGCAGGGAAAATGTGGTCATGGGTTGGACAACTAAGGCAATGACTGTCCACCAACTAAAATAAATACCCTGGACCAGGTACATTGTGAAACAAAACACGAGTCCAAACTCCTGACATTCCCAACCAGATTCATAGGATTTTATTTTTTTCTCTTCAGAGATTAATGAGAAACAAAATGAGATACTCAAATTTAAAGGCATGTCAGAATAATCTTTCTCCTGGGACTCTAGCCAGCTATATTTATGGTCCATCTCATGCACACTTCTCAATTGATGGGGAAATTACACCAACAGTAGTTTAGAATTACAATGGCCATTATGTGGAACATTCCAGATGAACTTTCAAGAACTGCACTTTAAGAAGAGCATTTAAAATTGGAAGGGATCCCAAACATCTCAGAAACAATGAGATGTATTTCTGATTGGCATATAGAGGCTTCTAACTTCTCTATTTTTGCTCTATTTTTCCTCTTACTTTTTCGCTTGGTTACCTACCCATTCCTAAGGAGAAAAAAAAGGAAAAGAACTAGATAAGTATTTATAAAAGTTAGGCTCTCCAGTCAACTAGGTCTGCTTTTTAACCCCTTTGTGCTTTGGCCAAAATCTAGAGCTCAGAGTAATAATAGGTCTCTCTGTGAGTAGAAAATGTCTTCACTTCCATATGGACCAGAGAAAACAGAAAAACTGAAAATAACCTTTTAAAAAATATTCCTAAAATATTTTCCACCCATGCTGACTAGTTGAGCAAAGCAAAACGCAAACAAAAGAAAGGTAAATTTGTTACTAAATTCAAGACTGCTTGGAGCATGTATTTTTCCACCAGCTCTAGCTAAAATATAAACACCTGATGAATTAACCACTATACTCATTTGAGACTGATTTTTTTTAAAAGGAAGACAAATATTTTTATACTTAAAACCAAACTGGCCAGGTGTGGTGGCTCACACCTGTAATCCCAGCATTTTGGGAGGCCAAGGCGGGTGGATCACCTGAGGTCAGGAGTTCAAGACCAGCCTGACCAACATGGAGAAACCCTGTCTCTACTAAAAATACAAACAACAACAACAACAACAACAACAACAACAAAAAACGGTAGCCAGGCATGGTGGCGGGCTCCTGTAATCCCAGCTACTCAGAAGGCTGAGGCAGGAGAATCGCTTGAACCCGGGAGGCGGAGGTTGCGGTGAGCTGAGATCTCGCCATTGCACTCCAGCCTGGGCAACAAGAGCGAAACTCCGCCTCAAGTTAAAAAAAAAACAAAAAACAAAAAAACTCCTGTGGAAGCTGCAGTTTACCCCAAATTTAGTCCACAGCCTCCATAGAATTAACAGTTAAAGGCAAATGGAAAATCTCAAAAGGTTAGCCATTTGAGCAAGTAACCTTAACTTATTCTGTTTTTTCAGAAAAATAAGTTTGGATTTAGCTGTCCTTTTTACAAACAAGTGAGTTTGTATCTCTGTTTTACCATGTTATGACTAAAATTTTTAAAGTGAAAAACCCTGTGACCTTTGCTTGTGTATGTATTTATGTTTGCATGTTTTGTGTATGTAATAATTTTCCCAAGATATGTGAAAGAGCTCTATTTAATTGGCTTAAAGTGTCAACGAAGCAAACTTAAAAGAGCCTCATGACTGTTCTTGCTGTACTTGTATAAATAATCAGGCTTTGTTTGATGAGGTTAAATTTATTCTGCAAACAAAGAAACCTTATCTTGGTAATAACTGGAACGACTAGAGGAGAAAATTTATGATTAAGAAAGGAAAACTATAGTTCATCTGTCATTAGATTGCAGCCCTATGCATTACTTTTGAGTTTATTATTATTTATCTACAACCTGGACTAAATTTTGAATTCTTCTAGGTTTGTCCAACCCAATTTTCTGGCCTGGAATTGCTAAAATAAAAAACTGCTCTGTTCCTGAAGCTCTATACACTAAAGCTACACAACTCAATGTAAATTTCAAGAGATGAGTCTCATGTCTCATGTTTGGGCCACACAAAAAGTTCACCAAACCACTCAATGCCATACCCAAAGACATTTAGTGTGTAAACCAGTATGAGAAGTTGATGGCTTCATGCTATGGACAGCTTTTTCTAAGAATGATAGAACAATACTTATAAAAATGAGACTCTTATCCTTCTTAAATTTTCTTTGCTTGTGCCTTCTTTTTCACTTGACAGGATAATGCTATAGTTATAATTTCATAATCAGCAGCTTCTGTGCGTACTTGATGGAATGTTGGATCTGTCATGCCAATCCCAAATCTTTACCTGACCTAACAGATGCTTTCTTCCATGTAGTGAATCACTTTGGCAATATTCCTAACACAACTTTTTGTTCAAATTGTACCAGTGATCCCTTTTTACAGAGTTAGCACTCTCGGCTTTAATTTAACCAAGTTATGAGATGCTAAATAATAGAATCACTAATCAAACTACATAAAAGACTCAATGCCTATAAAAAATCTTACCCAGTTCCACATGGTCTTTTAATTTGTTTAATTGGCCTCTTGGTTCAGAACCATCATCCAAAATGAATTTGTTATGCTCCTGTTGGTTTTGCTTTGCATTATTTTCTTTAAGCTTTGTACCTGTTACCTGTCTGACTTCTGCAGAAACGACACTCCTAACAGAATAATGCTGGCTCAGCACTTAAAGAATATGCTGAAAATGTGGAATTGAAAAAATTGACTTAATAATGAATTCCAGGTAGAATTAGCCTGAAACCCACTCCTTCCCAACCTCCTTGTTGCTCAAATGTGGCTAAAATGGTTTTGAAAATGACTCCCAGTCACCAATCACTTTCCCCTGACTTGGGACCAAACCAACCAAATCAAGTGCATCCAAGCACTAGGGAACACAAAGTATAAAACTACAGGATGATCGATCAGAGATGCTTTCAGAGAAAGATCTTGATCAAAGGGGGAACTGCAAAAGTTGTCAGAAGCAAAATGGAGTCACTTATGCCAAACCCTAACAAAATGGAGTCAGGAGTTCATGAAGGAAGGGCTTTCATGTATACTTTCTTGTAGTGGAAACTGCCATTAAGACATTGCCAAACTACAACCTTGCGACAAAGGCTACTTCTGTACTTCCAGTAATAGCCAGTCCTAACCACAATCTTGCAAGTGGCCTTACTTGCTGCCATCAGGGTCCCTGCAGTCAGGGTTCTATGCATAAAACTCTCTCAAGCAACAGCTAATGCACATGTCCCCACCTGCAATATGATCCTGTAAACCAATGAACTTTCATTTTACATCAACTGGCGTATATGTCTCCTTTTTGCCTTTAAAAGTTTCTCACTGCCTTAACATTTCCAGATGAGTTTATTATTTGTTATAGCATGCATTTCCAGAATTTATAAATCCCCTGCTTATTCCTGAATATATTCATTTCTTTGGAGAGTGACTATCTGTTGTTATTGTGAGTTAACAGAGGAACTCAAGATATGGTAGTCAAATCACTCATTTCCTGAATGATGAAACTGAAGAGTAGAAATAGTAACTGATTGGCTTAGTTAGAAAGACATACAAACTACACTTTAACATCAGCCTTCTGACTGGTAGCTTGGTGCTTTGTAAGCCACACTGAGCCCCTGACACTGGACAACAGTCTCATGTAAAAGAGATAAGAGAAATTATAACCAATAGTGACCTTAATTACAAAAAATAGAGAAATTAGAATATCCAATATGGATTGAAACATTCATTTTATCTTAAAGTTCTGTGGAAACTTGCTATCACTACATAAATATTTTAGTAAATATTTAATAATGCATTATTATTTAATTTTTTTATTAATACCTTATTTATATATGAAATGTGAAAATAAAGGCAAAGTGAGAAGAGTCAGTTGACTCCAATCCTCCAGAGTGAATTTGAAGGGTTCACTGATGAATTCAAAGTTAGCTATCAATACTTATCCCCAACACTAACTTTCTCTCATCCCATCTTCATACTAGATACTGACTGTGTAACTGGACAGATGGGGCTCATCCATGCTTTGCTGGTGCCACTCACCTTTGTTCTTCCCAGCCAGCTTGTTCATTAGGTAGGATTTGCCTGTGCGGTAGAGGCCCACAATTGCCACCACTACTACAGGCTGTGTAATGGCAGACAGGATTTCCAGAGCTTCTGAATTCACCACCAGATGCCCTTTAGTGTTCTCAGTGAGGCACACTGGGCCTGGCATGTGGATCTCTGATGCCATGTTCAGGGCGTTCCTCTGTCTGCAAGGAAAAAATGAAATGGAAAGTAATGTCTGGTAAGTCAGTTGAGCTGAAATCTATAATAGGGCATAAATCTTTGTTTTCTATTCTTGAACATTGTTTCTTGTGCATTTCTAAGGAGACCTGTGGCCCTTTAAGGCTGTCCTATAGACTGGGCCACTGTCTGCCCTTTAAAATAATTTCATTTTGAAATAGACTTACAGAAGCATGATAGGTATGAAGAGTGCCCATACACCACTTCCCTGGCTTCCCCTAATGTCGATATTTTACTTAACCATAGAACAATTACTGAAACCAGGGTTTTAGCATCAATACAATGATAACTAATCTACACTCCTTATTCACATTTCACCATTTTCCCACTAATGTCCTTCTGCTTCATGATCCAATCCAGGATCCCTCATTGCATTTAGTCATTATGTTTCTGTAGTTTTCTTGCATCTTTGATAGTTCGTTATTCGTTCTTTGTCTTTCATGTCTTTGACATTTTAGAATAGCACTGGCCTGTGATTTTGAGGAATATCCTTCAATTTGGAGTTTTCTGATGTTTCCTCATTGATTGAAGTTATGCATTTTTTTTTGCAAATGTCACAGAAGTGATGTTCTGCCATTTTCAGTGTCTTGTATTAAGGGATTCATGATGTTGACATTACTTTTTCTGGTGCTATGGCCTTAACTTTGATCACTTGGTTAAAGTGCTTGCTGCCAGATTTCGCCACCTTAAAGAGTTATGTGCCACTTTGTCACTAAAAAGTTTCCATTTTGAGAAACAGTTTGGAGACTATGCAAATACAATCTCATCATACTTTTTTTTTTTTCAGCCACTACTTTTAGTTTTTATTGATGATTCTTTTTGTGGTGTTTGACTAAATAGGATTTTCTATTATAGTCATTCTTTCTATATTAACTGGAGTTCTACCGTGAGCAAGGGCTGTTCCTTCTTTATTTATTTTGTTTGCTCATTTAATCATTTACTTGTATCAATGCAGACTCAGAGATATTAGTTTTATTCTGAGGGTTTCAATACTTTACTGTCAATATTTGTTCTGTTACTCAACTTGTCCTAGATTTTGTCATTGAGAGCTTCTTCAAGCTGGATCCATTTTTTTTTTACATGCTTCCATCATATTTTCAGCGCTTCTTTCCTTTTTGGCTCCACAACGTATTCTAGAAAAAATATCTGTATTTTTCCTGCTTTATCCCTAGAATCTAACATTTCTCCCAGTATCTTTGGTTTCTTTCAATGGATAATGGTACTTTGACACCAATATATCACTCTAGGTGTGTTCATTATTTCTAGACCCACTCAGGGGCAAAGTTAAGAAATATATGTATGTATACTAGGACACATCTATATTTATTTTTATCTGTACATTTCTATAATAAAGCTTGAGATTCTGTTGATATTTCCAGTTCCAATCCAACACATCTGAGCTTATTCAAGCTTTTGACTTTCCTTTTTAAACTATTTTCTCCAAGTAAGCTAGACTTTGGTCTTCTAACACATAATACATTTGTTTCCTTGCTCAGTCCTAGTATATTCATATAGTAGTTTCAAAATTGATAATAAGTCTGTGGAAAAATAAATTTACTTCCTATAGAAAATTATTAGTGTACAGTTCTTTTGGTCTTTAGCCTTATATACACACTCAAAACATTGCATTCCAAAGTTGCTTAGGTTAGCTTTTTCCTTCTCCACCTTCTTCAGTATGGTTAAATTATTCATTTGTAAAACAGTTAGTTACATTTGTTACTGTTTGTGTTTCAGTTTGGCCTCCTTCACATCTTGGTATCTTGGTTGATTTTAAGTATGATTTATTTTTTGAGTTTGTGAAACATCATGGTTCTGAAATGCAGAGCTTTTCAAAAAGTTACAGTCAGAGAAGTGTCACTTTTCCTTCATCTTACCACTCCACTCACATTGCAGTGGTCTTCTATTCTTTCTACCACATTCCCACCCATCCTCCATAGATACCCAATCTTGTTAGTTTCTGGTTTACGCTTCTTGGATTTTCTTTTCTCAAATGAGAATGTACATATTTTCTTTTTCACATTTTCTAACACGAAGATCACATCATATAGAAATTTGGAAATCCCTCCACATCTGTTCATAGAAAGCTTTTAAAATCCTTTTAACATGTATCTACTCCTTTATGTGGATTATACCCCAGTTTATTCAATCACTCTTCAATGTATGGGCATTTAGATTGTTTCAAATATTTTGCAATTACAAACAATGCTGCAATGAATAACTCTGCTAACGTTATGCATGTGTATTTTTATATTGTTACAGGAGTAATTTCAGGATAGAGTCCTACCAACGGGATTGCTTGGTCAAAAGATGAGAGTATATAATTTTGTAGATATTGCCAAGTTCCTCTCCAGAAAGTTGTACAAGGTTGCATTCCCACCAGCTCATCTTGTATGTCATTTTCTAGAAAATGGAATTTTTCCTAGGTGCCCCGCTTGCTCTTCTGAATTAATTACAAAATTTCCTTTGGAAGCTTTTCACGTTCACATTTAGATCTTTGGACTGAGCAAAGCTGAGCTCGCTGAGCTCATGTATATAGTAGTAGTAATCTTCACCTGGGAAACATTGTGTTATACATATCTCTATACTTTGAAACATAGATACCATTCTAACCCATTCTTGGTCCTGATTTCTTGCAAGCCCCTCTGTGGGCAGGGTCTGGTCAGACTGTGGGACTCAGGTTACCCAATGGCTTCCTCCTCTCACTGTGCATCAGCATTCACACGTTATTCATGCAAGCCTGATAGCTCGCACCTGACACTTACTCTGTTGATTTTTGACTTGATTATGTTAACAGATTTTGAATTCTCTGCATTTGAAGATTGATTCTTTATTACCTCCATGTATATCAGTCTGCATATTGTTTTTAATTATTTCATGTAATGAAGTCACAGCATGAAACATTCTTTGAAAAACCATGGCTTGTTTTTTGTCTGATCTCTGCTGTATAGAGAGTAGCATATGCACAATTGTAATCATGCTATCTTTATCCAGGGCTTGATAAATTAAATATTTTGATAATTTTGTAAAGTTAAAAGGAGTGAAAAGCCTTCTTGTAGTGATGCTTTAATTTTGTGTTTTTAAGTTGAATGTCTCAATCCTTGTAACTTATGTGATCATGATACAAAATATATAATCTCTTTAAGATACAAGCAAATATAGATGATAGATACTGCAGTTTTCTTTTTTATCCTATAATAAAGAGTGGTTTGTTTCCACTATAGAGTTGGTTACTTCTGACTTGTTCCTCTGGAGGTTTATATTAAATTATCTGGCTTCCCATCACTTCAGCAGAAGATGGAAAAAAAGCCGTTTATTTTTCTGTGATCATGACCCATTTCCTCTTATAGCAATGGCCTACAGGATCTGCTGGCAAGCAAGAAGGGCAAACCAGAAACTAAAAAGATTGGGTATCTATGGAAGATGAGTGAAAACAGAGTATGCGTCTGTCCAATTCTGTAGCATATACTATGCTACCATAACATAGGAATCAATCAGTCACCGGCTCAGAAAGGTGGTGGCACAAAGATGTTATAAGGTCCTGGATTATAATAATGTGTTGCCTCTTTTTGCAGATCCCAAGTTGCCTACCTTCATTTACCTAGAGCTATAAATGTTGGGCCCAATAAAGAAAGTGACAGAGCCTATTAGGCAGATATTTAAAGATAACAGTAATTTAAGATGGTGTCAGAAAAGAAATAACAATCTTAGAACACTGGCTTCTCTGAATATCTGTTCCACCTCTGCTGAAGCCTAATCTGACACAGCAGGAATTAGAGCACACTAAGGTACACACAGCCACCTAAGAGGCCAGGATTTCATCTGGACTTGTATCCTGTAGCTGGCTCAGCTGCAGCCTATCTTGGGGATGGTCAACTTAGAGAAAACTAATGGATCCTTATAAATCATGAAATCCTTATAAGTCATAGTCTTACCCAGAGTAGAGATCCTCTGGACTTGGTAAGAAGGCAGCTTCAATGAGAAAGTTATGAGTCTTTATTCTCTTCTCTTTAGTTCTGAATTTGGCTGCACTGATTTCTCCCACTTTTTTTCTTGCTGGAACTTTGGACTTTTACCTTACCTCTCCAATGTCATGGGGCTTTCCAGACTTTCTAGAGACCTGTATTTATACATGTAAAAAACAATGCAACCTCTGCAAATAAATAGAGTAATATGACAGTCCATGATTTAGCAACAATAAAAGAAATTGCTGACAGCTGTGCTAGTGAGAGGATTTGACATAATTTCTCAAACAGAATCTTCCAATTTTATTATTGGAAGAGATCTTAGAGACAGCTTGCGATTATTAAAAAAACTTCAATGAATCGTTTAAAATAATGACATTCATCTCATGTTTGTGGGCCACATTGAGAAGTACAGGAATAAGAAAGCTTAATATAATATTATTTAGGTTCAATTGGCTTGAATATTAGACTCTTAAAATGGAACTCATTATTTGTGTTTAATAATGAGGACTCTAAATGCCCTGAAGGAATGTCCACGTCTTATACATGTTTGAATTATTAGCACCTAACTCAGGTCTTGGCACTTAACATTTAATAAATAATAATGAAGATAGTACCCGTTTTGTTTACATAGATTATCCCATTGTATTCTTATCACAAATACTTTTACCACAATGTTAAAAGAGGGATTTAATAATTTATTACAATTACAGAGCTACTAAATAAGATTTGGGCCCAAGAAGTCTTGCTGTCAGTCACTTCATTAAAATACCTCTGTGTTTGCTGAGTGTACAATAACAATGTTTTCTCCTTATCAGTTCCATTCTAGGCCATATTCTTTACACATACCATTTTAAATATCAAAATACCTCAAGATAAAGGTTGTTTATTATCCCCATTGTCCAAGGGGGAAAAATAATCAGAAAACGGGTAATTAATATGTCTAACTAAAGCCATTGAGCTACACACCAAGGTAGCAAGTAATTGAGCGAGATTCAAACTTGAAAATCCATTTGGTTAAAACCACATTGATTCTCTACTGCACATTGTCTCTAAAAGAGAGGAAGGTGGGAAGCGGGGAAGAGAGAGAGAGAAATGGAGAGCAGAGAGTAAGACTTCTCTGTGTGTGTGTGAATATTGATGAGATTTAAAGTGAAAGTAAGGCAGGGTTATTTCAAAACAGAACTATTGCTAGGAAATCACCTGCTTCTAAGTAATAAAATCTATTGTTTATATCATGCAAACAAAAAATAGCCCCAGGCAAAATTGAATCTTTGTGAATCATGTATAATTTAAGGGTACATAAATTTATAAGAAAAAAAGATCCCACTTTCCCAACTTGTGTTTTTTTTTTTTGAGACAGAGTTTCTCTCTTGTTGCCCAGGCTGGAGTGCAATGGTACAATCTTCGCTCACTGCAACCTCCACCTCCTGGGTTCAAGCGATTCTCCTGTCTCAGCCTCCTGAGTAGCTAGGATTACAGGCATGAGCCACCAAGCCCGGCTAATTTTGTATTTTTAGTAGAGATGGAGTTTCTCTATGTTGGTCAGGCTGATGTCGAACTCCCAATCTCAGGTGATCCACCCGCCTCAGCCTCCCAAGGTGTTGGAATTACAGGTGTGAGCCACCATGCCAGACCCCAGCTTGTTTTTAGAGTGTTTCTTTAGAGACAAGTGGGCCAGAGTCCTTTCTTTAACCTTTTGAATACAAATAGAGCTTTCTAGGGGCTAAATATCAGTGCCAGCTTTACAACCCAGAGATGTCTTCAAGAGTCTGGGCTCCATGCCTTTTGAAATGGAAATATCCAGAAAGACAGAGACCCAGGCTTCCTGACACTTTGGGAGCTTAAGCCCGGTGCCTATCCTGTCTATAGCCATTTCTTCCAAGGGAGATAAATTTTAATATTCTTTTAGATAAGCAAATGGCTACCACATTTCCAAGGTGAGCATAGGATGAAGAATACAAGGAAGGTATAGCAAATTTGAGGATGTACCAGCAAATTGTGTTGTCAATTCTCTAATGGGAAAACAGGATGGCATTGATCCTAGGGAAACATGTTATATATAAACCAGCTAAAAATAGTGCAGTGTAAATGCTGGGCGAGGTGGCTCACACCTGTAATCCCAGCACTTTGGGAGACTGAGGTGGGTGGATCACTTGAGGTCAGGAGCTTGAGACCAGCCTGGTCAACACAGTGAAACCCCGACTCTGCAAAAATACAAAAAAATTAGCCAGGTGTGGTGGTACATGCCTGTACTCCCAGCTACTAGGGAAGCTGAAGCAGGAGAATCGCTTGAACCTGGGAGGCAGAGGTTGCAGTGAGCCGAGATAGCACCACTGCACTTCAGCCTGGGTGACAGACTGACAGTCTCTCTCAAAAAATTATTTTATAAAACATGAATAAGAAAAGACATTAAAATTAAAATTAAAATGACTAACAGTCACCATTATTACATGTAATTGAGACTACTAAAATAGTTTTACATGCAAATTGTATAAGAAGAATAGAATGTGTTTTTTTTTTTTTTGTAAAACGTTATAAGAAGGTATGGAAAAGTAAATTATTGCCTAGGGTTAAACAATTGTTTTAAATTAAGATAAAGCTAAAAGTTCAAATAAGTGGTGGAAGGTTTCTAAAAATCTTGCAAAAGAAATTCTCTGTGTGAACATATTGACTAAATTCAGAAAGGTATTATATTGTTTTTCTGTAAACTGAGCATTAAAAGTACAATAAGGTTTTCTTAAGGCACTAATTTGCTCTTCGGCAAAATTTGTAAAGGGTTATAAAAGGCTTTTGCTTCTTTAATATTTCTGAGTCAACCTTTTGGCAAAATACATCATTCATGGTAATCTGGAATTCTATTTCATAGTATCAAGTGTTTTAAACTCCGAACATATTTAACAGCCTTCCCAAAATCAAACTTCAGTTTCAAAATTGTCTTTCCCGATGCCTGGCTTTTTGGAAGGATCAGGGGGCCCCTGAATCACCCAGAGAAGAGGTAAACAGGATTATTTAACATGTTTAGGTACATAGTATTGCCAAAATGTTGTTCAATCTTTAGGTTATATTTTTGTGAATAATGCTAATATATGTCCCAAAATTGTATGAGATTTCTAAAATTTTTAATGTCTAAGTACATGCTGTCAATTATAATTATAGTTATTATATTAAGTTATAGTAGACCACATAAATAACCAAATTTCCTTGTATAAAGCTACTAATCTAAGTAGAACAAAAAAATTAATTGAATAACCAGGTTTTGTTTTTCCTCTTGCAAATGTCTGTAACGAGCATTCTTAACAGCATAGGTATCCACCTCCTGAAGTTCCAGTTAAATCTTTTAACCAAATTCACTTTCTCTCACCTAGAGACCATCAAGCTTCAGAAGATCATGTGACAAATGTTCCAGCCAGTTCCAGTTGAAGACACCACCCCTGGCCATCAAGAAGCTACTCTGCCTCCACTAGACAGAGCAGGGTGACAGTTCCGTGATCCCCAATAGGTAGGGACTTTGCTTCAAGCCAGCATGAGGCAGTTACAGAAGAAAGACCATTAGTCACTCCACCTCCCATAAAGATTTATGGGGATGACATCTCTCAGGGAGGAAATGAGGCAGGAAAATAGGATCTGGAGGCATAGAACATAAGGCCTATTCACACTTCAGCTATGCCGGGAAATATTATCTCCATTTACATAGGGCATACACAAAGTAACCAATGGAAACCTCTAGAGGGTATTTAAATCCCCCAAAATTCTGTAACAGGACCCTTGAGCCCCTATGCTTGGGCCCACTCCCACACTGTGGAGTGTACTTCCATTTTCAATAAATATCTGCTTTTGTTGCTTCATTCTTTCCTTTCTTTGTGTGTTTTGTCCAATCCTTTGTTCAAGATACCAAGAACCTGGACACCCTCCACTGGTAACAATAAGCTTGAGGAACATAAAGTCAATGGAGTGTCCAGTCCCTCAGAGAGAACAGGGTGGCAGATTAAGACAACTGGGCATATTCTTTCTGACTCAGTGAGTCTTTTCTGCATGACTTCCTAAGATTGTATATTTTATGTTGAGAGCTCTAGAGATTGGGAATACAGTAAAGATATGGTAAATTGGGGACCTACTGGAGGGTAGAATATGTATTTAATCAACCCAAACTTGAGCCTCTGTGCTGGCTTTTGTAGTTGGAACTAAAGATAAGTTGATGAGGAAAATGAAGCGCCTGAGATCAAGAGGTGGTAGAGAGAAGTAAATAAGCATTTTTAATTTCACAGTTATATAAAAAGTTCAATGGTAGGAGTAACAAGTTGGTGCCATGGCAACCCAAAAGGGGCATCTCACCAAGCCTCAGAAAGTCAGGAACCAGGACATCTTAAGGATGAGCAGGATTTGGTAGACAAAGGATAGAAGGTGAGGAAGCAGGGTTGTTTTAAGAAGTCTTTGTCCCCTGCAAAAGGGCCCTCAGTCAAGAGAATACTAGTTGACAACCCAGGGAACGTTGTATTTGACCATATATTTGGGGATAAACTTTGAAATCTTGTTGAAAGGCCATAATAAAAACAAAATTAGGATGCATGTTTTGTGCCCTTTCTAGTTCTCTGTTCCAAAGAGAAGATGTTTCCTGTTGAGCAGACTTATGCTATTTCTAGTAATATTAATTACTTTCATCCTGTTGTGGGACCTCTGCCATCCATGTATTATGATTTCAATTTTTAATTTGAATAATTGTATTTATCCATTTTTGAATACATGATGAATTTACATAAAATGTTGAAGACATATATGATGTAGAGTTACCCTCTCATTTCTCACCTTAACTATTCAGTTCCATTCCTGGTATGACCAGGATACTAGTATATTTTTTATTTTTCCAGAGGGAGCTAATAATGTACACACATATTCATTAGTTCCTAAATTAAGTGGTAGCAGCATACTTTCTGCATCTTTTTTTTTTCTAATGCTATATCTTGGATACTTTCTCATAGTAGTACAAATAAAGCTTCCTTTTTCATTTTAGTGACTGTAGAATATTCCTTTGAAAGTATGTCCCAAAATTTACCTCATCGGTAAGTGACAGATATATATATATTTATATACCAAATATATACCAGATATATTTATATTTATATACCAAATATAAAAATAAAATATATATATTTAGTTTCACTCGTGTCTGTGTGAAGAGACCACCAAACAGGCTTTGTGTGAGCAATAAAGCTTTTTAATCACCTGGGTGCAGGCTGGCTGAGTCCGAAAAGACAGTCAGTGAAGGGAGATAGGGTTGGGACCATTTTACAGGATTTGGGTTGGTAAAGGAAAATTACAGTCAAAGGGGGTTGTTCTCTGGCGGGCAGAGGTGGGTGTCACAAGTTGCTTAGTGGGGGAGCTTTTGAGCCAGGATGAGCCAGGAGAAGGAATTTCACAAGGTAATGTCATCAGTTAAGGCAGGAACAGGCCATTTTCACTTCTTTTGTGATTCTTCACTTGCTTCAGGCCATCTGGACGTATGTACATGCAGGTCACAGGGGATATGATGGCTTAGCTTGGGCTCAGAGGCCTGACATTTAGTATATTTACTAAATAGATATAAAATATATTTACTAACTATAAGTATATATTTACTAAACATATACATTTATATTTATATGTACTATATAAATACCCAATAGTAGAATTGCTAGACAAAATGTATGTACATTAAAATTTTGATATACAATTCCAACAGATCACTCTCACTAGCCAATATGAGACACAGTCAGTTTCCCTAACTCTGTGCCAGCTCACTGTCCTGTTCTTCCTATGACAGAGTTGAAACAAGAACCTTATAGTTTTCCTTTGAACAACTTTTATTGTTAGTAAAATTCAACATTTTTAATCTCATATTTTTGTCTATTTAAAAAATGTGGCGTTAATAACATTAAGCCAAGAGCCAAATCAGGAATGCAATCCCATTCACAATTGCCACAAGAAGACTAAAATACCTAAAAATACAGCTAACCAAGGAAGCAAAAGATATATATAATGAGAATTACAAGATACCCCTGAAAGAAATAAGAGATGTCACAAACAAATGGAAAAACATTCCATGCTCATGAATAGGAGCACAGCTTTGTAAATAAAGGACATAGGGTGAGGAAGCCGGGTTGTTTTAAGAAGCCTGTGTCCCCTGTGAAAAGGCCCATGGCATATCTTGTAGAATTACAAGGAGTTCATTCTGTAGCAGGATGAGCTGCAGACAAAACTTCTCAGACACCGAGTTGGAGAAGGAAGGGCTTTTTTCAGCTGGTGGCATCAGCAAGCTGCTGCCTTAAAATCCAAGCTCCTTGAATGCACAATTTCTGTCCCTTTTAAGGGCTCACAACACTAAAGATTTCACATGAAAGGGTCATGATTGATTTGAGCAAACAGGCGGTACATGACAGGGGCTGCATGCACTGGTGGTCAGAGAGAAACAGAACAAGGCAGTGAGTTTCCAAATGTTCTTCTATACAATGTCTGGAATCTATGAATAACATCGGTTTCTAAGTTATGAGTTGATTTTTTTTTTTTTTTTTTGAGACGGAGTTTCGCTCTGTCGCCCAGGCTGGAGTGCAGTGGCGCGATCTCGACTCACTGCAAGCTCCGCCTCCTGGGTTCACGCCATTCTCCTGCCTCAGCCTCCCGTGTAGCTGGGACTACAGGCGCGTGCCACCATGCCCGGCTAATTTTTGTATTTTTAGTAGAGACGGGGTTTCACCGTGTTAGCCAGGATGGTCTCGATCTCCTGACCTCGTGATCCACCCGTCTCGGCCTCCCAAAGTGCTGGGATTACAGGCAATGAGTTGATTTTTAACTACTGGGTTTAGGCCAGGCAGGCCCAGGCCTGGTTTTGGGCCTGGCGCTGGGCTGCCTGTCTTTGGTTTTACTTCCTTGTTGTTTTTTCTTAAAACAGGTACTGAGTATCAAACAATATAAAACAATATAAGAAGGTCTCTCTCTTCCCTCAATTCTAGCTGCAAGTTTTGAGCACTAGACAGCAGAAATAAATTCCTAAAATGTTGAGTTGAGCAAATAGTTCAATGCTATCCCTATCAAACTACCAATGACATTCTTCACAGAATTAGAAACTACTTTAAAATTCATATGGAACCAAAAAAGAGCCTAGCCAAGGCAATCCTAAACATAAAGAACAAAAGGGGAGGCATCAAGTTACCAAACCTCAAACCATACTACAGAGCTACAGTAACCAAAACAGCATGGTATTAGTAGAAAAACAGACACACAGATAAATGGAACATAACAGAGAGTCCAGAAATAATGCTGTACACCTACAATCATCTGATCTTGGACAAAGCTGACAAAAACAAGCAATGGGGAAAGAAGTCCCCATTTAATAAATGGTGCTGGGATTACTGGCTAGCCATATGCAGAAGATTGAAACTGGGCCCCCAGCTTACTCTGCATACAAAAATCAACTTAAGAAGGATTAAAGACTTAAATATAAAACATTAAACTATAAAAACTCTGAAAAATAACCTAAGAAATACCATTCTGGACATAAGACTTGGCTAAAATTTCATGATGAAGATAACATAAGCAATTGCAGCAAAAACAAAAACTGACAAAGGAGATCTAATTAAATTAAAGAGCTTCTGCACATCAAAAGAAACTATTGGCCAGATGTGGTGGCTCATGCCTAAATCCCAGTACTTTGGGAGGCTGAAGCAGGCAGATTGCTTGAGCTCAGTAGTTCAAGACCAGCTTGGGCAACATGGAAAAACACATCTCTACAAACAAATACAAAAAATTAACTGGTCTTGGGTGTAAGCACCTGTAGTCCCAGCTATGTGGGGGGTTGAGGTGAAAGGACTGCTTGAGCCTGGGAGGTTGAGGCTACAATGACCCATGTTTGTGCTACTGCACTCCAGCCTGGGTGTCAAAGTGAGACCCTGTTTCAAAAAACAAAAACAAAACAAAATGAAACAATTAACAAAGTAACAGACAACCTACAGAATGGTAGAAAATATTTGCCAACTATGCATCCAACAAAGATCTAATATCCAGAATCTATAAGAAGCTTCAAAAAATTTACAAGCGAAAAACAAGCAACCCCATTAAAAAGAAAGTGGGCAAAGAACATGAACACATTTCAAAAGAAGACATATATGCATTTAAAAAGCATATAAAAATCACTCATCATCACTAATCACTACAGAAATGCATACCATCTCACACCAGTCAGAATGGCTGTTACTAGAAAGTCAATAAATAACAGATGCTGGCAAGGTTGTGGAGAAAATGGAACACATACACTGTTGGTGGGAGTGTAAATTAGTTTAGCCACTGTGGAAAGCAGGTTGGTGATTCCTCAAAGAACTCAGAATTACCATTCAACTCAGCAATCCCATTATTCCCAAAGGAATGCATATCCCAAGGAAATATAAATCATTGTACCATAAAGGCACATGCACGTGTATGTCCATTGCAGCACTGTTCACAATAGCAAAGATAAGGAATCAACCTAAATGTGCATTAATAATAGGCTGGATAATGAAAATGTGGTATATACAAACACCATGGAATACTATGCAGCCATAAAAAACAACAAGATCATGTCCTCTGTAGCAATATGGATGGAGCTGGAAGCCATTATCATAAGCAAACTAACACAGGAACAGAAACCCAAATACCACATGTTCTCACTTATAAATGGGGGCCAAACAAAGAGAACACATGGATACTCAGAGGAGAACAAGAGACACTGGGGTCTACTTGAGGGTGTAGGTTGGGAGGAGGGAGAAGATCAGAAAAAAACCTATTGGGTATTATGATTAATAATTGTGTGATAAAATTATCTGCACACCAAACCCCCATGACATGCAGTTTACCTATGTAACAAACCTGCACATATACCCCTGAATCTAAAATAAAAGTTAAAAAAATTAAAAATTGTGGAGCTGCTCTCTTCTCATTAATCGGCAAGAGCTAGTCATAACTGAAATTATTTCTGTGACTATAATATAAATTGCAAATGGTTAATGGCTTCTTAATCTTACCAGTTGTCTTTTTGCTTTCCTTAAATCTTTTCTAGGAATAATGTCACTACTTCTGACTTGTTTCCCATGTTTATAAATTATTAGTTCAATCAAAATTAAGTTTGTTTTTTGTGGATGTCAGGCCCTGATATTCTTTGATAATCACTTTTTAATTTTAAACTTTTCTTGAATGAAACTGCTATAACACATATACTTACAAAATGAGCAACAGTGTTATGTTATTAAAATAAAATAAACCTCATTTTATATTTTCTTACCTGGAATATTCAGGCTCTTAAATACGTGAGCCAAGATATTTTGTCCCTACTCCAAGTAGCTTGGAAGCCCCAGGTAGAGTGACAATCATTATGTTGCTAGCCATGTCAAGGATCTTTAAGAGCCTTAACTGTTCATTTTTAGTGCTTTCAATTTTTTCTTTCAGTTGATTAATCTCTTTATTTAACTGCTCAGATTTCTTTTGAAATTCTTCCTTAAGCATTTCTTCTTGTACCTATAAAAGGGAAATAGTCCACTTTTGAAAATCTCCAATTTTCTTCAGGAGTCAGAGTTTTGTATTTAACTAATTCAACGTTTAAGCATATGTGTCTATTTCTCTATTATCTTAGAAAACGCTTTGATGAATTTGTGTAACATTTCCAGATGATTGGACCTGAATCATGGGAGTATACATGGTTTACCTTTTGTGACATTCCCTAAGCAACATCTCACTGGAGGTAGAAAGAAATTTTGTTCCAGCACAAAGAATGCCCTTCGAGAGGGAATGCAGGTTTAATTCTAATTAATTCTAATTTCCACTGGTGTAGCAAGGCCATGCTCATCTAGCAAATAACGGGGGACTGCTGACCCTGTATAAAACATTGGTTGTCAAGCTTCAGGTTGGGACAAGGAATATGTTTTACTCTAGTTGTATAGGATGAATCAGGCAGATACAGAAACAAATGGAGCAATTTGTGATCTTTCAGTATCATTTCATATCAAGCCAAATCTGATACTTTCATCCAGATGGATCTATTTCAGGTACTTTAGATGGTTGTGCCAAAAATCGCAAGGATTGGTGGACTAAGGTCCTATTTCATTGGGGCACAGTGAGACCATCCTGTAGTCACCACAAACAGCAGCCTGGGACCCTGGGAGATGTCATGTGTACTCTCCAAAGTCTAACAAGAAGAAGATGGTGGATTCTTGTAGACTTTCGGGCTTCAGTAGAATTTAGATGTATTTGAGATTTTAGTGAAACATACAACTTTTGTGTTTCCTTCTGGAATCATGACTGTGCCTAAAATTTTGGTCCTTCCTTTCCTAAAGAAGCAGGGCATTGTCCCTCAGGCACTGCCATTCTTCACGGAGACTCACCTTCAGCTTGTGTTTTAGCAGCCTTTCATGCTCTCTGAGAAGGTTTTCCCTTTCCTCCTCCAACTTCTTCTCCATTTGGGCCATGTATTCCTGGAAGCTTCTCTCTTGAGCCTCCATCATTTGCTGCTGCTCCTTCTGTTTTTCTCTTAGCAGCTCCTGTTCCTTCTCAGCTGCTTCCTTCATGGCCCGCTCCGCTATTCCACAAAGGTTTTAGAGAGGGAAGAAAATGACAGTTATTCCTGAGTTCTACCCTCCTGAGCTCAGATCAAACTGACTCGGAGAAAAGCACAAAGGTGAGGGATTGGGAATCTCTGAATTATCTCACTAGCCATGTCTGGAAGAGAATGTTGAATAATGTGATGCGAAGGCACTGGCTGGAGGTTCAACCCCAATCTCCTTGCGATTTTGAGATTTAGCAGAGTATATGTTCTATAGTGGGAGGAAGCTCCCTCCTCTATAGTAAGAGAAAGCAAATTCCAAGTATACAATATATTTTTTAACTATAGTCGCTGTGCTGTACATTTGGTATCCAGAACTTATTAATATTTTAACTCAATGTTTGTGACTTTTGAAGCTCCTTTTAACTGGAATATCTTTCAGTGTGATCAGCAAGAAGGCATTGCAGGAAACTCCCAATCCCTCTGATAGCTGAGCCCTGCCCCTGTACCTGCTATGGCCTTCTCTCCAGCAGTGAGGGCTTTGTCTGACTGCAGGATGGATTCCTCTACAACCACCTGTGACTGCAGGAAGTTCTGGAGGACCTCGTTTGCCTGAGGAACCAAGAAAGAGCAAAGACCTGTCAGGCAGCAAAGGTCTCATCTTATGATGGCGAAATTATTGTTCAATAAAGTCACAAATCTAACCCTGTAAACTTTGCATAATTCTTAAGATCCAGTGGTTTCTTTTCTTCCACAGCCACAAGAAGTCCAAGCTCTTTGTTAAGTCATAAAAACCCTGTGCAGCAGCCTCCCTCCTGCCTGTCCAGCCTCCCTCCTGCCTGTCCAGCCTCCTCTCCCAGGGATGCTGCTCACCACCCACCCCCGGTGCAGACAACCCGACAACATAAATGGGCAGTTCTACAAATACACATTCTCAGTTTTTGATTTGACATCAAAAGCACAGGCAACAAGTGCAAAAATAAGTGGGACTACATCAAACTAAAAATTTCTGCAAAGAAAATAATCAGTAAAATGAAAAAGAATTTTCTTCCATACAGAATGGAAGAAAACACTTGCACACCATAAATCTGATACTGGGTTAATATCTAAAATACAAAAGGAAATCATATAACTAAATAGCAAAAATAAACACTCAAAAAACCAATAAATATATTAAAAAATGAGCAAAGAAACTAAATAGACTTTCGTCAAAAGAAGACCTGGCCAACAGGTATGTGAAAGCATGGTCAACATCACTAATCATCAGGGAAATGCAAATCAAAACCACAGTGACATTTTATCTCACACATTTTAGAATGATAATTATCCAATAGTCAAAAGATAGCAAGTGTTGGCAAAGATATGGAGAAAAGGGAATTCTTGGAAACTGTTTGTAGGAACAGAAATTGGTACAGTCCTCATGGAACACAGGACAAAAGTTTCCTCAAAAGGAAAAATTCTGAGTTTCCAATGGCTGTCAAGTACATAGGTCAGCCCTATCAGCTCCACCACTTGCTGGCTGTGTTGTCTTAGGCACTTTATTAACCTCTCCATGCATTACATTTCTCAACTGCCTATGTGGACGATAGTGGTACCTAATTTACATTATTCCGAGAATCAAACTGATAATCCAACAAAATCACTTCCTCTGATATAGGAAGTGAATCATCAAGATCATCATCATCATCATCATCATATTAGTACATACCAGTACGATAACCGTAATTGTACCCTATCCAGTCAAATATTAATTTGTCCATCTCAGGTAAAATAATACACTTCTGAAAACATAGTTGTTTGCTTCATAAGGTATCCTCTGCACTTAGCACAAAAACTATCCCATTAATTAATAAATATAATAAATGGGTTGTTTCATCTGGATTCATGATGTTAAATCCTCTTGGAGAAGAAATATTTCTGATTTCTTAAGAGTGTCTAACTAACTGTGGATTTAAATACTAAAAAACTCAAAATAGCATCATGTTCTGCTTCCTCTCCACAAATGGTGCTATATTCTTAGATTTTCAGAAGGGGCAACAAAAACCCTCTGACTATCCTCTGTTATCCATCCCCCATTCCCCTTTTCCTCACCTTAACTCCTTTTCTGGGCACTAGCTTATAGTCCCACTCAACCTGTTTCTTTTCTTCTAAGTAGAGATTGTGTCCTCCAGGAACAGAGAAAATTCCTCTCAAAATGCTTTCTGTCAGGTGCTCTGAAAGCCGCTTAAGCTCAGCCTGGCAATATTTGGCAGATGCCTCTTCATTCTGCAGCACAAAGTCTCCCTTCTTTTTCTCTATGGTGTCCTGCCAGAAAAATGTAGAGAAAACAGTAGAAAGAAGCTGTTAGAAGGGAAGGTCCAACTGTGATCCTCTTGGAAGAAGTAGTCTGAAGGCCTCAGAGTGGACTGGGATATGGTGTAGACCAAGAGTCACAAGAATGATTTTGTTCCCAACTATGTGATCTGTGTGACCTGTGGAAAGCCCTTTAACCCCCCAGGGGTCAGGCTCAATATCTGTAAATTTATGTGGTTAGAAGACATAAACTCTATGGTTCTTTTAGGTATAGTATGATTAATAGGGATCCAACCTCCAGTAATGAGCAGTAAAAAGTTGAATTCTGGCTGGAAGCAAAATTTCCCCAGAAAACATAGGTTGCTATGTATAAAAAATATACATATGGCAAATCAACTTCACAGTAATGAATTAAGCATATTCTGATGAGAAAAATGAACCATCTGTGTATTTCTTCAATGAGAGTTTGGATATGTGAGGATACAGGAACAGAATTTTCTTTTGTTTGTATTTGTAAGTTACAATCCAGTTGCATTTTATCACTATGAATTAAGAGATTATTGTCACTTTTAGGTCAGTCTGAGACAGACTGAAAGACAAACTTTCAGTAAACATGCCTATGGTAAGTAGATTTAAGATGTCCCATAAGGTTTCTCACTCCTTGGTATCCACACCTGCATAGTTCCTGGGCCTATGAATATGATAGATACTAATCCTGTGATTAGATTATGTTGTGTAGCACAAGTTGACTTTGAGAAATGGAGTGTGCCCTGTTGGGCATGACCTAATCACATGAGCCCCTTAAAAGTGGTTTTCTCTAGCTGGTGTGAGAAGAGGAATTCAGTGAAATTAGAAACATAAGGATTTCATGCATCATTGCTGACTTGAAGATGGATGGGTTTACCCAGAGCCTCTATATGAAATCTAAGCCTCTTTGACACCTTGTTTTCAGCCTGTGGCACACTGAGCAGAGTACCCAGACACCCTGATAAGGACTTCTGACCTACATAACTATGAGCTAATAACGTGTGTTGTTTTAAGCTGCTAAACTCATGATAATTTCTTTTGCAGCAATAGAAAAAAAAAGTGACAATCCTCTAGAAGAAGGGTGACCTATAGCCCATAGAGCCCTGTTATTCACAAGAAACCATGGTCTTTCCACAGTGGTAAGGAGATGAACCATGGGGTCAAAAAGCTACACTTTATGCATCATTTCGGAAGGGCAGAAATCAGGAAGGATAAATGCTAAAAGTACCACAAGCTTCTTCTGGAATTCATGGTTTTCATCCTTGAAGGAGTGCTCCATGAAGACTGCAATGGCTTCCCTCTCACAGGCTGCATGCACGTCCAGCAGCTCCTGGAGCGTGTCTGTGGGGAGCCTCAGTTGCTGGGCCATCTGCTGGCTATAGTGGTCGGCTGCCCTCTGCACAGCCGCTGGGTTCTCAAGCTGGGCCAGTGCTGTCACTGCATTCTCCAGACAAGGTACTGCTCCACTGTTGATGGCATCTACATAAGTCACCACCAGAGTCCCCAGCCCTGAATCACATATATTTAGGGAAAATTTACAGTTCTTACTCATTATTTATACAAGTTTTAAGAGTCAGCATTCTAAAAATTACAAAAATTCTAATTATCTTGAAGTTTCTTATCACTCCTTTATTCTCTTCCTCCTCCTTTTTCATCTTCCTCTATGAATTCAACTCTTTATAATAACATCCCTATTTTTCCTATTCACTCTTTTTTATGGCTCTTGGATTCACATTACAAAATTAAATTACCCATTGCAACCAATATGTTTTTGTGTTTTATGGAAAAATACATTTCCATTTAAATACCATATAAATGAGTTTGTTAGCAGGGAAAGTAAGTTATATAATTTGTGAGTCCTACTTCCAAATAAAAATGCAAGTCCCCTCATTTCTTATTCTTTACAAGGGAACTTGCATTTTTATTTGGAGACAAGAAATTTTTATTTGAAGACAGTAACATAAACCATTGAACCAAGCACAGGCCCATCTCACCATAGGGAGTGGACGACTACACAGGTTGCATGCCATGAAGCTAGCCCCGTACTTAATATGACATTTAAATTTGTTTCTCAAACTCTCAATGAGCTTGCATGGAACTCATGGCCTGATGTTGATTTCCTGACTAATGTAAATTTATAAAATATATTATATATCTTCACTGAGAAACACTAATCCTATAGGACTTTTCCTCATCATGCAGATTTCTCTCCTTAGGAGTTTGTGTTTATGCCATTAGTGTATTAATTTTGTGAGACATATTAGGCCTCAAGAAAGTTTCACATGAGTAAACTTTAATTAAGAAACATTCATTTCTATGTGTGCAATGAACATCTCCTTCTCTGCATTCCTATACAGAAGCAAACAATATTATTGAAAAACTTGCAGTCATTACAGCTTCAACACATCCTGGACCACAGACAGACATGCTTTGGGACAAAAAAAGACTCACGCTTTCCAGTGACAATGATTCCCTCTCTCAGGGTCTTGGTCTTTGCATGGGTGAAGATATAAGAACAGAAGTTGTCTGATTGCATAAGGAAATGCCTTTCCAGATTTTCTTCTGGCACTTCGTCCATATGATTTAAATATTGCTTGTCATTTGTAGGCCGGTCAAAGACAAAGCACTTCCGTTTTCGGAAGAAATGCCTGATACACTCTCTAGGCATGTTTGAATTTTGAATTTTGGGATTCTTGCCTGTGGAATTGTAAAAAAGAGGGCTCATTGAAGAGACAGCCTGCAGGCAAGGGGGCTGAGGACTTTTCCAGGGATCTTTGCATCCCTGCAGCTCCCCTGCCTTGTAAATCTTGTTTTATGCAATCATACAAAACAGCCTTGTGCTAATCCAATGAAGGCATGGAAAATCCATTTTTGTACAGGAGCGAGAGTCAGGAAAGAACTCTTGGAGAGGAAGGGAAGACATCTACCACAAAATGAAGAAACTTATGACTGGTTTCCTTGGCTTTTGTATGCTAGCCAGTAGACTATGTATTAAATGTTTTTGAATGATTAATTAAATGAAGCAGTTGTCAGAAATACTTTCTGATATTACAGTCCTATGTCAGAAGTGAAACATGGGCCCTAAATTAAAGCAACGCTAGAAATAAGAAAAATATGTTTCTTAGAAAAATATCATGAAGGTGAATGATACCCAAGTCAGTAATAAAAATAAAAAGTATTTCAAAACCAGAACCCCAAATTATAAACACCATAAATATGTTTAGAGATTCCTTTATCTGAAAAATCCAGAGTAAAGTTAATACAGATATAACTTGGAGACCTCACCACCTTTCAATGTCAGATTACATTAGGTCTCACATTGTCTTGCAGAGGGATTCTGTGGCATATATCAGTTATTCAAAACAAATGTTTGTTGAAAGGATGAATAAATGAACAAAGATGGATATTGATTGTAGGTGCCAACAGGTATCCACTCTGCTAAATATAGTCTGTTTAACAAACGTATAATAGATTGACAACATATTTTATGAAGCTGTAGAATGAAGTAGGTGATGTTATGAAAATAGTAAAATGAAGGATTTGACAGTCTTACTGGAAGCATATGTGTTTTTTTTTAACTTCCTGGATCGTTTGCTGTATAAATCTCCTTTTTCTCTAAAGGATGTAACTATCCAGGCTAATGAAATAGATAGGGTGAAATATACTTCCAAAGTTAGATCATTTGACTTCTTGTGATTCTGTGTTTACCAGCTTCCAAGCTTATTAGTTAATTTCTCCAAATAGAATAGGAGGAGCATTTGAAGCTAATAAGTAACACAAATATATGAGTCTTAGGATGTGATAATATTAATTGTAATCCTCAATATATTTTTCATGATACTTATTGGTCTAAAATGATTTGATAGAACTTCGAGTTTTAAATTTCCTCAATGAATTTGAACCTCAGCCTCTGGGAAATTTCAAGTAAAAATAACCACAAAAATCATAATCACTTGTCAATCACCAACCACCATGAGCATGGGCCTCAAATCAATCCAGTCTAATGTAAACATTTGTGTCAGGTGCTGAATAGCAGGTCTTAGTTGATCCTACCCCCCACTGAACCTTCCCACATCCAGGCCATGCTCTGATACCTGGAATCAGCTTCAAGGCATTCTCCAGGTACTCATCTTCTGTGATGGGGTTTCCATCTAACTTTAGCTCCAGGGTAAAATCCCGAACAGTCCAAATAAAGTCTGGAAAGAAACTCGCAAACTCGCTGGAGTCCTCAGCTTCATCAGGTCTGGGGCAGGATTTTGCCCTGATTAGCTCTGCTAGCTCAGTCACATAGCTGGGATCTCAGCTAAGGAAGGATAGCACCCTACACCATCATTTCCATATCTCACTTAGAAACAAGTTTTATACACGTTCCCTTTTGCACTCTGTCTTTTCTTACTCAACCAGGACAACTGAGTCACAGCAAAGAAGACACAGTATCAATTCCCATTCCCCTAAACCCCATAAAACCTGCTCTTCACTTCCCAGAAGGATACTGCAGCTGCTCCAGGGCCTGGTGGTTGATGGTGCTCACGCTGTTATAGACAAAGCTGCTGCTTAGAAGCACAGCCAGGGCAAAGATCCACGAGTCATTCTTAGGGTTACTCTAGAAAGCATATAAAGCAAAAGACTTAGGAGTATTCTCTTCATTCATTCATTCATTCATTTGGTTGTTCATTAGCTATTTCAGCTGTATGATAGTTGAATAATAGGGTAAATAACAAATTTTGAAGCCAATGCTGAATTCAAACTTCATATTTAGATTTTTACATTAATCCTTTTCAGGCTATCGGTTCATTTAGCAGAAATGAATGACATTGTCAATGTGAGTAACATTCAATAAAGTGCCTAGAACATAATAGGTGCCAAGTAATCAGCGTGCAATTATTCCATTGCAATTTTGTTCTCACTCATGGCATATTAAGGCCACAAATGCTATTCAGTTAAGTTCAAAAACTTTACATTGTGTATCTGACAAAATGCAGACCCTGCATTTGGTTTTGTGGATATAAAGTTCCTCACGACAGTCCCTGCCTTCAAGAAGATGGCTTTCTGGTGCAGCAGATAAACATGTCAATATACAAATTCAATCAGAATAATAATCACTGCTGGGGGAGGAAAACCCAAAGTTATAAAGTATAAAACAAATAAAAAGAAGGGAGGGGGAGGCACATAAATGTGAATAGTTACTCTGTGAATTCAGGAGCAAGAAGTGATTATGTTTGACAGGCATATGAAGGCAGCAGTTTGAAAATAGTTGCACTTCAAAAAGTTGATAGAGTGTGGACTTGTGAAGAAGGACGGATAAAGCAGGTGGAAAGATCAATAGAAGCCAAGTCAGAATTGTCACAGCATGGTCATAAAAGGGCATTACACAGTTATTTCATTTGCCTGAAGCAGTGAGTATGCATGTTGGTGAAGTGGAAGAGGAGGCTGGAAACAAGATTCATGGCAAGACATGAAAGGGTTTTTAAAAAAATTTAGATGGTCCCCAAATCACATTACAAGTTCTAAGGTCAGCTAGTAGTTCTGCTGCTGCCATCAGTTTATGTTTTGATATGTTTTGATCGCTTGACAAACGTAATTAGACACAAAGAAGTTTATGAAAACTACAACATATTAAGAATAAATGTTTCACTTTGATATTACACTAAGAGAATAATTCAGACCTTTAATACTGAAATTTAAAGTTCAGAATTGCTAAGTTGGTGCTTCCTTCCCTCAACTCCCTTTTTTCAATAATGGAAGCCAAGGATCTACTGCTGCTACTTTCAATTCAGACATAAGACTAATGCAAATAAGAAGAATGGACTGATCGCACCTAACACTTTAAGACAAAATACCTAAAGTTATCTCACTTACAATATTCTTTGTGGGTCTAATTCATGCTATTAAAGAAGTCAGTGGAGAATTAATCTCCAAAGCTCAGAGAGTTGAACCAAAATGTTAGTGATAAAATTAATGCTTTTCTGAAAACTACTGAAATAGATTCCTTCACTAAAACCCTATTTTTTCATGGTCCCCTCCTCCAACCCCACACGCCTTAAATAGTAGATCCCATTGTTCCCATGGGTTACAACTTTCTCCAACAAGCCTTCTCTAAGTCGAATGACTGAACTAGCTTCTCACTTTTTGCATCTGTGAAACCCTGTACTTATCATACCCCATATTTCTTGTCTTCACAACTAGGCTCTTGGCCTTTACCTTGTTTACTGTTTTATCTGTAGTACTCAGTACAGAGCCCTGGAATTCATCTCTTCAATACATATTTATTAAATTATATCATTCACTCCAGTGTTAAAAATAAGAAGATCTACTCTTAAATATGCCTCAATACTTGAAATTAATAAGGAAGTCTGAGGAAACAGAATTTAGCCTCATTATTCATAATTAGATTTGAGTTTACAGAGATATGTACAGAAGTTGAAGGGAGCTGAAAAAATTAAAAGATGAGAGGTCAACCATGAGCGGTGAAGTTTCTCTGCCTTACCTTTTCTACATCGCCCAGGCCCTCGGTGTCCAGAAGGACCAGGGTGTGGTTTGGCTTAGAGAGGTGGGGCACACACCACATCCAGATGCCCTTAGTTTCAGACTGCACCGTGGAGCCCAGAGGGAAGCCTGCAGGGAAGAGGAAAAATAACAAACAGTAACAGTGGATAGACCAGGATGTCCCAGGATTACACCGGTTAAACTTGTAGGAATGTTTAAGTGGCTGACAGGGGAAAAGGGTTGTTTCCATCTCAGGCAGGACAACTAATCTGACCTTTATATGTATTAAGAATTTTCTCAAACTTGTTTTCTTTCTTAAACTTGTTTAGTAGACAGCGGTTCAGTCCCTAATGGTGCCGAGCTGCTGAGCCAGAGAGGAAGTAGGACATTAGGGGGAAGAAATGGCTGCATGGTCTTTCTTTAAAAACAGAAGCACCTAACAGAGCCATAGGTAGATTGTCTTAAAAGTCAGTAAGAACCAAAAGAGAAACCTGGTAGGAAAAAATAATTTAAAAAAAAAGCTTTCACAAAATAAGAAATGAAAATGGCAATTGATATGTGAAAAGGTACTTAAACTTACTCATAGTGAAATAAATGGCATGCAACAATACATTCTACAGGGCAGCACAAGTTAAAAGGCTTTATGTTACTGAATTTTTCGCAGGATGTAAAATTCTCAGTCACTGCTAATAAGCATGTAAATTGCATTTGAATTTTGAAAAGCTATTGGACTTTATCTAGAAATTTTATGTACTCTCTGATTCAGAAATCCCACTTCTGAGAATATTACACAAAGGAAGATTTTGTACATGTGCACCAGGATATAAATAATAAGAGTATTAATGACAGCCTTATTCATTAAAGATAAAAACTGGAAAAATACCAATTTTCAACAATAAATAAATGTACTGTCCTTAGGTAGTGGCATACTGTCTGAGGGTATAAATAATGGGTACACATAGTAACTAGAGAAAACTTATAAACTTCTTATTGAGCAAAAGAAGCAAGACATCCAAAAATACACACAATATAATTTCCTTTATGTAAAGTTTAAAAGCAGACCAACCTAAACTATGTTTTAGAATGCATATATATTATGTAGAACCATTTTTAAAAACCAAGAGTCAAAGAAGTGTGCCCTGAAAACAAAAACACTGGTGAGTTCTAGTGAAGGTATGACAGGGTATGATTTTTGGATGTTTAGGTTTGGTAATGTTTTATTTCTTGATCTGGATAGTGATTTCTCATGTATTCACTTTATTAACTTCACTGTAAAGGTATGTTGTACATACTCTTCTTTATGTGTCATAGTTCACATATTAGAAAGACTAACTAGAAGGGAATATAATTTATCAGAGTTTTGCCATGAAATGAAGCAAAAAATTAGAAATGGTAGCCCAATTTAAATAGAGGATACACAAGAATTATAATGCCTGTCCTTCTTCATATTTATTTTTTAAAACAGGATCTATTAAACTATATTTGTGTGCTATTTGAAGTGACCAGGTATCCTACACAAAAGTGATGAATGAGAAAGAAAGGGAATAATTGCTGGGGCTGAGCCCCTGAAGAGGTGAGCATAGATGGGATGAAGAAGACCCATGGAACGGATCTTTCGATAGGGTTGAGATGATTCTTTACTATTGGACTAAAGAGTGATATATATTTGAGATTGTAAATTTAGTGGTGAGAATTAGAAGTTTTCTTCATTGGGAGAAGTCATGCCCTTCTTTAGGATGACCCTAGAGGGGGTGTGATCAGCTGTGTTATCACTGGTTCCAAGTAAATGGCTCCTGTCCTAGGACCACACTCACCATTGCGCTTTCCTGCAAGACGATTCATGAGATAGGATTTTCCTGTGCGGTATAGCCCTACAATGGCCACCACCACCACGGGCTGAGAAATCTTGTCAAGAATCTCTAATGCCTTTGAATTCACTGTCAGCTGCTCTTCCTGGTTTTCCACTAGACAAATGGGGGCCATCATGATGGATTCAGATTCTGGATAACCTGTAACCCAGAAAAAAATACTCAGTAGAATACAAGATCTTGAAGTCATCCCTAAGGGCTACCTAAGGCACATACATATTAGCTTTTTGCTTGTGGAATGGTATATAAAATTTCTACATTTTAATGGTATATAAATATATTTCTACGTTTAATGGTATATAAAATTTCTATGTATATAAAATTTGTACATTTCAAATGGAAAAATATTTAGTTTAGCATGTCAAAGACTAGTACAGATCTGTTATGTACATTATTTATGATTCTTACAAGAACGCTAAAAATGCCTTGTCAAGGTGATGCATAAAATAAACAGAATTAGAAAATCAAGGCACTGATGGCAGAATAATTCCACTCCTGGAATAAATAGGGGCAGGATGTTACAAAAAGGAGATGAGGAGTGGTTAGAAAAGGCTCCAGGCATTCCAGAAGAATTTGCTCTCTCATTAATTTAATAAAGAGTATTGCGTACCTACCATGTGCTAATTAACACCGTTCTAGATTCTCAGCAACAAGCAAGGAACATAATTGATACAAACTTCTGCCTCTTGGAGCTCTATTTGTTGTAACCCAGCGAGTTACAGAGAAACGCCACACTCTGAGACGAATTCAGGAGTCCTTTATTAGCCGGCGACCGAGAGACGGCTAGTGCTCAAAATTCTCTCGGCCCGAAGAAGGGGCTAGATTTTCTTCTATACTTTGGTTTAGAAAGGAGAGGTTGGGGGGAGGGGTCTAGTTAAAACAATCCTACAGAAGTAAAGTAGGCAAAAAGTTAAAAGGATAAATGGTTACAGGAAAGTAAACAGTACTAGGTGCAGGGGCTTTAATTCTATCACAAGGTGATAGAAGCGGGGCTTTGGGCTTTATCAACCAGACACAAACGCGGGGGGCTCTGGGTGCTGTTAACCGGGCGAATTCCTGGGAACTGCGGGTATGGCTTGCCACAGTACCTTATCAGTTAATTGCATTCTTGGATGTGCTGGGAGTCAGCTTGCACAAGTTAAGTCCCTGAGGAAGCGGGTGGGTAAGGGGCTGCAAGTGAAGGAGCCGAGATGCAGACTGTCTGGCTCTTTCAGCTAAGGGAGAGTCAACTCAGGTTAAAACAAGGTAGGGTATCACATATTCTAGTGGGGGACAGAAAATTAATAAAACAAACAAGCAAAAAATGTGTATATGTATACTAGATGATGGTATTTCGCAGGAGAAAATGCCACAGCTCTGGGAGGAAGCCCGAGGAGGAGCAGCGCATCCTGGAGACACCGGTGCGCCTCTGGTCGCCGCCTGTGGACCGTCTAGAGACGCTGGGCCACACGGAGCAAAGCACTCAGGGGTTCAAGCAGCATCAGACTTCCCCGCGAGGTTCCTCCACTGCCTTTGTCACCCGCCAGTGTGAAGTCTCCAACCCTCCCCGTGTGCAGTCTGCGCTTGGGAATTTGTTGTTGTTTGTTATAACCCAAATATACTTGAAAGGTAAAGCTTAAGAGCAAACTTACCTGGTGTGGGCACTGCAGCGTGAAGAGTTCTCTCACCCATTGCTCTGTCCTCCTGCGCCTGGATCCTCGAGAAACGGACTGTTCTTAGAAGCTGAAAGTCCAGCCGGATTTACAGACATCCAAGTAAGAGTCTGTGAGAACCGAAATTGAAAGGACATGCACTTTGTGGGGAGTTGACTGTTGGGGATTTTCCTGTTTATCAAGACAGGAAACTAAAGGAGCTTGAAAGTGCTGGTTCCTCCACACCAGACTCCTGAAACTCAGGTTTGTTTGTCCCTCTTCCACCCTTAGCTTAGGTATCTTTCGCCTCCAAAATGAATATAGAGCAGCAGACATGAATGTTGTTTCATCTACCTGTCTCTCAGGGGTAATTTTGTCAGGGAAGAAATTTGAGTTTTTGTTTGCTTTTATTTTTTTTTACATGCTTATATGTTTCTGTTTCTCATCTCTTTTCTTTATTTTTTCATTAACCATAAAATATGTGTGTGTTTGTGTGTGTGTCTATGGATATCTATGTATCCTCTAACGTTGTTGCCCAGAGGTGCGGTGGTGGCAAGTAAATACTTCTCTTTCAAAACACAAACATCTCATTGAAACTGGATCTTTTGGAGGACAGGAGGATGATTGGACCATAAAAAGCATAATTTATAATTAGGAGTCTTACCCAGGCTACCAGAAAAATGGACTCAGTTCCTAAAATGACTAGCCAGTTTGTTAACAGAGTTTGGGAAATCTATCTGAAATAAATGGGTAATGATTCCCCATTTGTGCCTATCCCTTAGATCTTCCTATTTGTTTAGTAATGTCTGATTAAACATTTGCAAATTAATAAGTACAAAATTTTAGGCACTTAATCAGGTAAAATTACTGGTGCCGATTTTGATTCAAAACTTAACATTTATTTCCTATAAGCAATATTGAAAGTGAAAATAAAGCTAAGTCAAGTTTTAAATAGGACCAGTAATAAGAAATCAGGTGCTTTTTTCTCTTACCATTTTTTAATGTCAGGAAGTCCCTCTCTCTTAAAAAAAAAAAAAAAGAAGAAGAAGAAAAAGTACAGGGATGACTGAATCCAGGTAAATGTGTTTGAAACACCTGAATTTCACCAGTGGCACCCCTTTCCAGATAATCCAATGTTACTGACTTCAGATAATCATGGAAATGTTAATCAAGAAGAAATTTAGGCTGGGTGTGGTGGCTCACTCCTGCAATCCAACCATTTTGGGAGGCCAAGGTGGGCAGATCACTTGAGTCCAGGAATTGGAAACCAGCCTGGGCAATATGGGGAAACCCCATCTCTACAAATAATAATAATAATAAATTAGCTGGGCATAATGGCATGTGCCTGTTATAATAGTCCTAGTTACCTGGGAGTCTGAGGTGGGAGGATGACCTGAGCCCAGGAGGTCAAGGCTGCAATGAGCCATGGTGGTCCCACTGCACTCCAACCTGGGCAACAGAGTGAGATACTGTCTCAAAAAAAATTGTTAATTCACAGTTGTATGTATAATGATTGCACATAGCAATATGTCTATGCACATAGAAAATATACATAGCAATATGTCTGTGTTACACAGATAAAAGTCTATAAGTGTTCCCCCAACCACTACCTCCTTAAAATTAGTACTTCTAGCTCAGGTGATTTTTTTAAAATGTCTTTCTGAATTATATGAATTTTTAAAGACTTTTTTTATAATCACAGATATGCACACACATACTCATAAAAAGGAAATAACTTTTATTTTGATAAAAAGACTCTGAACATTTTTTGAATATTTTTCCATATCAGATTTTGAGCTTCTTATTTATACATTTTTTGAATATTTAAAGTGCAATGTCTATATGTTTTTGTATTTTGTGGTTAACTTGTAATTCATTTACAAGATGTATCAAATAAAACAGTTTTTTGAAATGAGGGTGTTTTACTGGCTCACTGATTTTGGAAGGAAACTGGAGGAAATGAGTTGCAGATGTTTTTAATCTCACTGAGCAAGGCAAGGAGACAGAAAGTTATGACGTTAGTAGATCATACAGGGCAAGTGATAATGTTATCTGTGTGTACTTACTTTAATATAGTTCAGAATAGTCACTGTCGTGTGTGTGTCTGTGTTTTTACAAATTGACATTCTGGAGGTAGTGATAAGCATATGAATGGCCCAATCTGGAATGATCTCCTGAAGAAGAGGTACCCTGTTCTGTGTCAACACCAAATTCTTATCAACTGGCATAAAGGATGTAGAAGTAATAATAACACCATTGTTGTTTAACAGAGGTGATTGGCTCAAAAAATAAGCATGAAGAAGTGTCTTTGTCTGTTTGGGCGTCTATAAAAAATAAGTAAATTGGGTAAGTTATACACAACAGAAATTTACTTCTCACATTCTTGAAGGCTGAGAAACACACGATCGAGGCATGGGTAGATTGGGGGTCTGATAAGGGTATGCTTCCTGGTTCATGGTTGGTGGCCCCTTGATGTGTACTCACATGGTGAAGGGCAAGGCAGGTCTCTGGAGTCTCATTTATAAGGGCACTAGTCTCACCAGTTTCATTCTCATGACCTAAGTTCATTCTCACTTCCTAAATGACCCACTGTCTAATACTATCACACTGGTGATTAGGTGTCAACATTGGTGATTAGGTGTCAATATACTTTGGGGTGATGGGGAGGTGCAAACATTCAGACCACAGTAAGAATGAATAAAATCAGACAAGCCTCCAGGCCTATGCCATCTGTGCAGTGTTCCAGTTGAAGAGCCCTGCTTTTCACACTCCATAGAGGATTTTGCCACTTGGTCTAACTTCAAGGCCAGTCACAGAGCCTCACCATATTCAACTTGGAATGAACTCTGGCTTCAAAGGAGCAGCGTCCATAGGCTAAGAACACATTACATGACTATTTGCAGCTACTTGCTATTGAATTTTTGACACAATTTAATCCAGGATTTTTTTAGTGTCATGTAACTGAAACAAAAATGGTATCAAGTATTGGGGGATGGGGATTTATGACTTCTCTGAGTTCTAACCACAAGGGGCATTTCACACTTTTAAAAATGATTCTATAACGCTTCACATTACTATTTAATTACTGATCAAAGCCAATCTACTCAGTAGTACCCAGGAACAACACATTTTCTTTGAAATTAAACAAAAGAGAGTATATTAGAAAGATGAACTAAAGCATTCAAATGAAAATGTGGGGCTCGTCGTTAAAAAAATCATCAAGAAATTCAATATAATAATTTCAAATCAAGCATTGACTTTTCTGAGGCTATGGTACTACATGACTGCATAATTTGCTTATCCATGAAGACAGAGCTATACATAAGATTTTTTTTTCTGAAAAACACTCTTTTCTCTCTTTTCCCTCTTTCCTTTTCTCTTTTCCTCTTTTTCCTTCTTTCATTTGCAATAATGCCAAAGATCTGTTGTTAGTTTTGATTTAGACTCAGAGTAATGTAAAATTAGGAGAAATCACACATTGCCCTTAATACTGTGAAGATCGAATACCTAAAATTATCTTATTTACACTATTTTACATAGGTTAAGTTCATGCTTTCAGAGAAGTCAGTGAAGAGTTAATCTCCAAAGCCCTTGGAGTTGGAACAAAACCTTTATGATGATCCTGATGTAGCTGAAGCTTTTATGGAGATTATTTAAATACATAACTTCACTGAAACCCTGTTTTCCGAGGCTTATGTTTCCAAATCGATCACTCTCGTGTGCTTTAACTGATAGCTCCCGGTGATTCCACTAGTTACGGTCCAGATGTTATTTCCTCCAAGAGACTTTATTTGGTTTATACAACTGAACTAGATCCCTACTTCTCTGCATCTATGGCACCCTGTTCTGATCACACTGTATGTGTGGTCTCCCTAATGAGGCTTTAGGCTTTTATCTTGTTTACTGCCCTTTTATAGTATTTAGCACAGAGCCCTGGAATTCAGCTGCTCAATAAATATTTATTAATTCTATTGTTCACCCCAGTGTTAAAATAAGATCTTATCTTAATATTCCAAAGTATTTGAGCTTACCAAGGAGAAAAGTTCAGGGAAACAGAACTTAATCTCATTCTTCATGATTCATATTCACATTTTGCAGAAATATTACAGATAAGCTGAATCAAGGTAGCCAATTAAATGTTGAGAATCAAGAGTAAAGAAGATTTCTTCATGACTCTGCCTTAACCTTCCTGCATAACCCAGACCCTCAGTGTGGTTCTGCTTGGAGAGAGTCCTACATCCAGAACCCTGGGTTCCAGACCTCATAGCAGAACCCACACAGAAGCCTGCTAAGGAAGAAGACAAAGCAACAGTACAGTGACAGCAGATAGGACAGGCAGTCCCAGGTATAAATTTGGTTGTAGGAATTGGAAATTATTTTATAGAGAAGAGTTGGTCTCTTTCTTATAATAACCTTAGAGTTGGTGTGATCAGGTGCATTATTATGATTCCGAACTAATGGTCTCTGTCTCAAGACCAGACTCACTATGGTTCTATGCTGCAAGATGATTCATCAGGTAGGATTTCCCTACACACTGTAGCCTTACAATAGTCACCATCACCACAGGCTGAAATATCTTGTAAATAATCTTTACTGTGTCAGATTAACCATCAGCTGCTCTCTCTGGTTTTCCACTAGACAAACAGGGGCCATGGTAAGCTGCAATCAGAAGAGTCTCTCAGTGGATAAGATTCCAAAGTCATTTCTAATGGTTGTCAAGGCATGAGCATATCAGCTTCCTGCTTGTGGAGCCTTTGTATCAACTTCCAAGGGAAAAGTATGTAGAATTGCACTGACAGATCATAGAGCTCTTTCTCCAGTATGCCCATTACTGTTGGTAAAATTGATGATAATAGGATATAATTGGTGTCTAAAGTCTCATTCTTCTAAAAATAATATTCTAGCTAGTGAATTCCTCTCTATATTAATGCCTGGTGCAGATGCTTTATGTACATTATGCATTGATCCTTAAAAGAACCATAAATTAAAGTATTTGATCTCTTCTACTAGATGAAATAAAGGCAGTAAAGATATAGGCAAAATGATTGGTTACATATTTCATAGTCAGTGGTTGAAGCAAGAATTGAACGGTGATCTATTTTTCTCACTGTATTACTTGCAAAAAACTAACCCGTCAGAATCAACTTCCTAAAATAAACTCTTTTACATATATAATAAGTGATATGGTTTGGATTTGTGTCCCTGTCCAAATCTAATGTCGAATTGGAGGAGGGGCCTGGTGGGAGGTGATTGGATCATGGGGGCAGATATCCTCCTTGCTATTCTCATGATAGTGATTGAGTTATCATGAGATCTGATGGCTTAAAAGTGTGTGGCAATTCCCCCTTTCCTCTCTCTCTCTCTCCTGCCACCGTGTGAAGAAGGTGCTTGCTTCCTCTTTGCCTTCTGCCATGATTTTAAGTTTCCTGAGACCTCCCATTCATGCTTCCTGTTAAGCCTGTGGAACTATGAGTCAATTAAATCTCTTTTCTTCATAAATTACCTAGTCTCAAGTAATTCTTTATAGCAGTGTGAGAATGGAAATACAGAAAATTGGTACCAAGAGTGGGGTACTGCTATACCTGAAAATGCAGAAGTGACTTTGGAACAGGGTAACACAGAGGTTGGAACAGTTTGGAGGGCTCAGAAGAAGACAGGAAGATGTGGGAAAGTTTGGATATTCCTAGAGACTTGTTGAATGGTTTTGACCAAAATGCTGATAGTGATATAAACAATGAAGTCCAGGCTGTGTGGTCTCAGATGGAGAGGAGGAACTTATTGGGAACTAGAGTAAATGTCACTCTTGCTATGGTTTAGCAAAGGGACTGGTGCCATTTTGCCCTTGCCCTAGAACTTTGAATTTGAGAGAGATGATTTAGGGTATCTGGCAGGAGAAATTTCTAAGCAGCAAGACATTCAAGATGTAACCTGGCTGTTTCTAAAAGTGTACTTTCATATGCATGAAGAAAGATAATCTGAAACTGGAACTTATATTTAAAAGGGAAACAGAGCATAAAAGTTTGGAGAATTGCAGCCCAGCCATGTGGTAGAAAATAAAATCCCATTTTCTGAGGAGAAATTTAAGCCTGCTTCAGAAATTTGCATCAGTAAAGAGAAGCTGAATGTTAATAGCTAAGACAATGGGGAAAATGTCTCCAGGGCATTTCAGGGAATTTTATGGCAGCCCCTTTCATCCCAGGCCCAGAAACCTAGGAGGGAAGAATGGTTTTGTGGGCCAGGTCCAGGGTCCAGCTGCTCTGTACAGTCTTGGGACATGGTGCCCTGTGTCTCAGCTGCTTTAGCTCCGGTCATGGTTAAGAGGGGCCAAGGTACAGCTCAGGCCACTGCTTCAGAGGGTGCAAGCCACACGCCTTGGCAGCTTCCATGTGGTGTTGGGCCTACGCATGCCCAGAAGGCAAGAGTTGAGGTTTGGGAACCTCTGCCCAGATTTCAGAAGATTAATGGAAATGCCTAGATGTCCAGGCAGAAGTCAGCTGAAGGGGCAGAGCCCTCATGGAGAACTTCTAATAGGGCAATGCAGAGGGAAAAAGTGGGGTTGGAGCTCCCATACAGAGTCTCCACTGGGGCACTGCCTAGTGGAGCTGGGAGAAAAGGGCCACTGTTCTCCAGCCCCCAGAATGGTAGATTCACCAACAGCTTTCACTGTGCAACTTGAAAAGATGCAGGCACTCAACATCAGACTGTGAAAGCAGCCATAGAGGCTTTACCCTGCAGAGTGATGAGGGCAGAGCTGCCCAAGGCCTTGGTAGCCCACCTCATGCATCAGCACATCCTGGATGTGAGACATGGAGTCAAAGGAGATTATTTTGGGCTTTAGGATTTAATGACTTCATGCTGTATTTCAGATTTGCATGGGGCATGTAGCCCCTTTGTTTTGGTCAATTTCTCCCATTTGGAATGGGAGCATTTACCCACTGCCTGTACCTCATTTTATCTTGGAAATAACTAACTTGTTTTTGATTTTACAGGTTTGTTGGTGGAAGGGACTTACCATGTCTCAGACGAAACTTTGGACTGTGAACTTTTGAGTTAATACTGCAATGAGTTAAGACTGGTGAGTGTTCAATAGCAAAGACTTGGAACCAACCCAAATGTCCAACAACGATAGACTGGATTAAGAAAATGTGGCACATATACACCATGGAATATTATGCAGCCATAAAAAATGATGAGTTCATGTCCTTTGTAGGGACATGGATGAAACTGGAAACCATCATTCTCAGCAAACTATCGCAAGGACAAAAAACCAAACACCACATGTTCTCACTCATAGGTGGGAATTGAACAATGAGAACACATGGACACAGGAAGGGGAACATCACTCTCCGGGGACTGTTGTGGGGTCGGGGGAGAGGGGAGGGATAGCATTAGGAGATATACCTAATGCTAAATGACGAGTTAATGGGTGTAGCACACCAACATGGCACGTGTATATGTAACAAACCTGCACATTGTGCACATGTACCCTAAAACTTAAAGAATAATAATAATAATAATAATAATAATAATAATAAAAAGACTGGTGAGTGTTAAGAAGGCATAATTGTATTTTTCAATGTGAAAAGGACATGAAATTTGGGAGGGACCAGGGGCAGAATGGTATGGTTTGAATTTGTGTCCCCACCCATCTCATGTCAAATTGGAGGAGATGCCTGGTGGGAGGTGATTGGTTCATGGGGGACAATTTCCTCCTTGCTATTCTCATGACATTGAATGAGCACTTATGAGATCTGATGGCTTAAAAGGGTGTGGCACTTCCCCTTTCTCTTTCTCTCTCTCCGCTGTCACCATGTGAAGAAGGTGCTTGCTTCCCCTTCGCCTTCTGCCATGATTGTAAGTTTCTTGAGGCCTCCTAGTCATGCTTCCTGTTAAGCCCGTAGAACTGTGAATCAATTAAACCTCTTTTCTTCATAAATTACCCAGGCTCAGGTAGCTCTTTATAGCAGTGTGGAATGGACTAATACAACAAGGTTCTTGATAGACAACCTACAAATGTTCTCTATTGACTAATCACATGTAAACTTATTATAATTCATAGTATTATTTGAATGGATCTGTTATTCCTGCAGGATCGTCAAACCACTGATCTGTTTTCAGACCAACCCATCTATTTACAGATATGAGTCTAATTGGAAACTTCAGTACATCTTATATATTATGACATGCATAATCTTGACATTCAGTTGTTATCCTTATTTTTTATTCATTATATATTTTATGAGCCCAATGCTATGCCCACTGTTGGCAATGTGAATTAATAAGACAGAATGACAACCTTCAAAATGCCATAGAATCTGCATCAGCTGGATTTAGTTAATCTATGAGTAATAGAAAAACCTAAGTAAATGGTGGCTTAAAAAGCTGAAAGTTTATTGTCCTTTCTTATATAAGTACTGAGATAAAGAGTCCTTTGTTCCATTTCACAAAGTTATTAGAATAATGGTTCTCTCTATTTCCTGCTTCAGCCATCCTTTAACGTGCCACCTCACTGTCCCAGATGGCTTCCCATCACATGGACTTTCCGTCCAGCAGAAGAATGGAGGGAAGAGGCTAGGTCCTTAAAAGGGCATCTCCTGGATACTGATCATGCACACATCACTTCAGCTCACATTCAGGTTTCTAGAATTACATCTGATGGCTGCCCTAATGCAAAGAAGTCTGAAGCATTTTCTGTCTCTAATGGGTTGCCATATATCCCTGTAAAAATCAGGTTTTCTATCACAATAGAAGAAAAAGATGGATACTGGAAGGTCAATGCCAGCTTTTGCCATGGTAGCAAATAATATCTCAAGAACTTATGGTATATTGGACAAAAAAGACAATAAATCACTGGTTGCCTTATAAGCAGGAAAAGTGCCATGATAGATATATGCATAATATGGTGTCAAAGTAAAAAGAATGGTGAACTAATATAGATTGAAGGAAGAATGAGTCAACAGAAGTTTCTAAAGTGGCACAGAAGCAGAAGATAGAGATAAGAATAAGCAGAAGCAGGCTAAGTAAAAATGTTTCAAGGAGAGTGTTAAAAGTGAGAAAAACATAATATACAATTATTATTATTAAAGTGAAAAAGAAATATCAAGAAAGACTTCCAGTATTTCATCTTGCGTAGCTGAGTAGATGTCAAAAAATAAAAAATACAGGCGCAAAAGTATCTCAATGTTAAGCATGTAATGAAAAAATTAGTTCCTTAAAAGAAAAAAAGATGGACCATATTGTTTATTCTAACAAAATGTGGAGAGAAAATATAATGCCGAAAAATTATGCAGGGAGCCATTCTTTATCCAAAAGTTATGCTTGGTTACTGTTAAATATTTCATTCAGTGTTTCAAATGAGGTAAGAGGGTTGGTATGCATACTACCATTCACTTGCTCCAGGTGATACAGAGCTCTACTTAGATATTACACAGACTCACAACAATGACACCTCCCTCTATAGTGAAAACACCTCCCTCTGGTGAAGTAGAAGAAGCTCAGATGTTCCTAGAGACCTCGGCTTTGACTTGTAGGAAGACTCTGCTCAGATCCCTTCCCATTAAGCACCAGGATGGCCTGAATGACTGTACAAAGCAACCCCACCTTAGGCAGAAGGCTGGAAGCAGTTTGAGGACACATGAAAGATGCTTAGCATATTTTAGAGAAAATGAACAGACAAAGTGTTTTGAAGGTTATCCATCTCTTGGTATCAAGAAACACTCTACCCATTGAGATGAAAACAATAAGCCTATATGTGTCTTGGTGTCAAGAAACAGCCTACCCACTGAGATGAAAACAATCAAAGTAGAGCTTTTCCCAAATGTAGGGCTCTATGCCATTTAGACAGACCATCATACTCCCTCACTACCAGCTTTCTTCTTTGCCAGCCTAAAAACAGTATACTTTTCTTCCAGTTAGATACATTAATTCCTGAACAAAAATCTCTGTCTAGGCACTGTAAAGACAGGTTCAGCTCTGTATTGAGAGAGAGCTACGTTTTTTATCTCTCTTGCTTCTCTCACTGTCACTCCTGCACTGGTTCCTGCTCCCAACAATACATGAAATCTATTCTCATCAAGGTCACTGATCCCTCCATTGCATCTCTCAAAGACACCTTCCCTGACCATCCTATATATAAATGCAACCCCCAACACTCTATATCCCCATCTCCCACTTATTTTTCCCCACAACTCTTACCAACATCTAACACATATACTTTTACATACTAAGTGATATATGAGTATTTGATTTTTTAAAAATCAGCTGTCTAAGAAGACAGGGAGGATGGAATTCCAAATGAAGATTAAAGACTGACTTCGGACAGAAACAGTGACACTGTTCTCATGGATGCAAGCAAGTGCAGAGCATATCCCATAAAGAGGACAAATAGGCAAGAGCTGACCCAATGGGAAGAGGTGATAGGGAGGGAACACATGGATGATGTCAGGCAAGAGGAGCCCAGAGCTGTCCTGGGATTGTTACAGAAACACCAGGGGTTTGGTCTCAGTCTTGCTGATTGCTGCACAGAAAGGCAATCATCAGATGATTATTGCCAAGGAAGACTGTTCCTTGTTGTGTCAGTGATTGGCTTTCTGTGTGATGAGCAGCAGAACCTAGACTGAACCCATGGTGTTTCCATAACAGAATTTGGTTCCCTGACTGGGAACACCTTGCTTGTGGCTCCGCTGCTGAAGGCTATGAGTCTCAGAAGCCCTGCTAAGCAGCTGCCTGCCCATTTCTGGCTGGAAGTGAGTTTTGGTTTCTCTCTGGTCCTGCCACAGCCAGACCCAACCAAGTTCCTGATTGTCTAGGAAGAATTGCCTCTGAAATTTGACATCTGCATCCAGATAGGTGAGTGTCCTTTGAGGGCCCACACAGCAGGATCTCCTCCTCTCACCTAGGGAAAATTTTAAAGGGTATTTCCATTTGCAGGTTGAGCAAATCCAACTGCCTGGGAGAGGGAAACACTCTGACTCTTTCATTATGGACACTCTTGTGGCTTGTTTGTTGCTGCAGCAGTTGGATTGTATTTTGGTGATAGTGTGGGTTTGACATAGTCATGGGAAATTAGAAATTGATAAACTGCTATTCTTTTCTAATACTGTTTAGCCCCAGTGTTCTTTGGAATCTGAAGTTTGATGTTAAATGGGAAAGCAAGATGGCGTTCCATGTATTCAGGCTTTTATATTGCTGTTTGAAGCAGGGTTGGGCTGATTAGTAGGTTCCAGGTGCTGTTCGTCTGTGGTGTTGTTTGTCTGTGGGGCTGTTTGGCCTCAGTGCTCTTTGGAGTCTAGGGAGGTTTGGCCTTTAAAAGTCAAACTGCCATAGAAACTGCTTACCCAAAATTTTGGTTCATAGCTTTCATTGGATTACCTCTCAGGTCAGGGCTAACAAAGTTCAGCCATGTGAACATGTTTGTAGACTGGTGAGTTTCTTTGTTATCTCATGGCTAGAGTACCAAGGTAAGAGGTATTGGATCTTTGTGTGCATGTATACATGTCTAGATGCGTTTATGTGTATGTACATTTATTATGTAGTATATGGTGTCTACCAAATTAACTTATAAATAATAGAGTACTCATAAATTAAGTAAATAAGTCCAAGCAATTGTCAAGTTCATGTGACTTAAGTGAATCTTTACTGAACAAGTTGGCTTTAAAATTGTAGGTAAAATAAAAATAGAAATGTCTTAAAATGTCCATGCAGTTAACTTTAAGGTTCTTCTTTAAGTGAACACCTGATATTCACAGGTTATAAAATGGTAAACAAGGAAATAAGTGATGCATAAATAATCTAGATATGCTAAAAATAAGTAAAGTAAAATAATAAAGTAAAATATAAAGAATAAGTACCTTGGGTGAACTTCTTGTGCAATGTAAAATCTTAAAATTATTTTTGATGCTCATTAGATGCCTGAGTAATTTCCAGTTAAGAAAGGGTTATGATATGGGAAATATGTTTCCCAAGATTGTGGAATTGTTTTCATCTATAAATTGCTAATATCTGATAGTTCAGGATTTCTTGTTTCCTAGGGTTTCACTAAAATTTAAGGTTACTAAGGATAAGAATTATGGTTAATATATAATTCTGTATATAAAATATGCCAAAGAAGCTGAGCTCTTATTGAGAAAAAATTATTTTGTCAAATTCAGAAGTTATCTAAAGGCTAATTTATAGACTTAAAACAGTTATTTATGAAACAAGGTAGAAAGGAACTAGTAAGTAGCAGAGAGAGATGTGAAGAAAGCTATGGATGTGAGGATATATTTTTGATAATGAAGGTTATAAAGAAAAGATAATAATTTTATATGAAAATGGATCTTATATGGTGTATTTTTGTCCTAAAATGAAATGACTGGTTATTTAAAAAGAAAGGAAAATTTAGGACAGAACAGAAAGTCTAAGCATGCCATAGATGATCTAGGTAAGTCACATGTCATTTCTTCCCTGTTTCTCTGTGTGTCTACCTTCATGCTTATACAGGGAAAACAGAAAGTTGAAAAAATTTAGATAGTAAAATATTCTTTAAAACCTGATAGAAACTTGAAGAAATTTGGCTAATTAACATTGCTCATGGTCAAAGTTCTTAAACTTGGTGAAGATAACTTAAGAAATATTGTAATGAAATATATTAGTAGTTTGGTAATTCTTTTTAGTATAGTTAAGCATGAGCCCAGATTTAACATAGAGCCAAATTTTATGTAAATGCTTGCATTGCTTTGTTTTATACTGTGTTTGCTCTTCTGCATAGAATATACTAGCACTAAAATACTTACTGGTCATGGTGCCTAAAGTGAACCAGTTTTTTTTTTTTTTGAGATGGAGTCTCGCTCTGTCACCCAGGCTGGAGTGCAGTGGTGCGATCTTGGCTCACTGCAAGCTCTGCCTCTTGGGTTCAGGCCATTCTCCTGCCTCAGCCTCCTGAGTAGCTGGGACTACAGGCACCCGCCACCACACCTAGCTAATTTTTTGTATTTTTAGTAGAGACAGAGTTTCACCATGTTAGCCAGAGTGGTCTCAATCTCCTGACCTTGTGATCCTCCCACCTCGGCCTCCCAAAGTGCTGGGATTACAGGCATGACTCACCATGCCCAGCCACCTAAAGTGAACTTCTTAATTGCACACAATGTATAGTGGTATTGGTGGACTTAAAGATATTAATTTGTGTACCAGGAACAAAATACCTATTATGTGTTCATTTTTGGCTCTGAGTAACACTTTAGCCTTCAAGGTTAACTGAGTAGGAGAGAACTTTGGGGTTAGTTTCCAGTTTATTTGCTTTTGCTTTTAATTTTCACTTATTTTTGTTTGTTCTCTTTTGGGTTGTACTTATATACACACACATATAAAACCATTGATGCTTTTTGGTTTCTAATGGAAGGCTTTTATTTGGCTCTATGACCATGCATTTTGTTTCCTATACATTTCTAACAAATCATCATTTGTTCTATTTATCTATTTATCTAGAATTCCTAAGCTGCCTTTGTCAAGCAAATATTGATAAAGCACACCAGCCATTTAAAATTTGGTAGATTTGCTTACCTCTAATGATCTAGAGAGCTACAGGAGCTTTAAGGTTCCTGGAAAAAAATTACTTAATTTTATAAGTTCTGAGCACTAAGTGTACTTTATTAATTTTGTTATTTGAAAAAGTAGGTGAGAATAAAAATGTTTAAATGGTGTTTATTTTCAAGGTAATTCAATTCAACCAATAAATTGAGTTGGTTTCAGATCTTTTCCTTTAGTTAATGAAGAAAAACTGTGATATGGGTACAAAGTTTTAGGAAAGATTGGCTTTGTCCTTAAGGAAATTATATTGATTGGAATTTCTCTCTTAGTTGTGTTTACCATTATTAAAATTAAGTGACAGTCACTTGGATGAAGTAGTAAAACAATGTGAGACTTTCTAATGATCTTTGATCTCAAGCCATTTATCATGGGCCTTGATGTGTGTACTTGAAAACAAAATATGTGCTAGTGTTCCACTGATTTGAAGATTTTATTGGTCAAAGTCACCTAATCATTTGTCAGTACTGTATCTAGAAAGCAATCATGGAAATATGTGATGATGCCCTTTTAAAAGAGCTGAAGGAGACATTACTGTGTGCTTACCCTTACTTTGTTTATATTTTGTTGTATAATATTTAAATGCAAACAGTTTGTTTATTCATCCTCATATTGAATTTCCCAAACTGATTTTTTTCCCTTACCATTCTTTTAAATGATGGAGAGGAAAGTTACTTGTCTTACTTTGATAAGTTTGGCATAGAGCTTATCATATTTCTGATGCCTTTGGTCACAGTTATGTTACTAGAGTGCTAGCAATTAGACATATGCAGTGAGTAACCTAACTACTCTAATACAGTGGTTTGAAGTGCTACAGGCAGTAGCTGTTAGATACCAAATCACAGTGTTTTAATTTGTAATATGTTAGAGAGAATGATAGAACTTTCCATAGTATAAATATTCTATTAACTAATCCTTGTGCTGTTATCTTATAGGCCTTTGACCCCTGGGTCTGAAAAAGGCACTGACTTCTGCCGAATCTTAAGCTTTGACATCACTCAAAGCCTCATTTTCAGACCTGGGAGAAGGTGACAATCAAAATGAACTGCCTTCATGAGACACAGGACCAGAAATTAAAACTGTGGTATCCCCCTAGGCCCAGGGACTATTGCAGAAGAGGTTGGCAAGTGAGATTGTAAGGGCTGATTTTGAGGGGTAAGATTAGTTCAGAGGTTTTCTGTAAGTTAAACATTAATATCAAAAGCACGTTAATGCAAGCATCTGGGCCTTGCATCAGACTAACAGAGGTTTTCTTGGAGCATTGATCTGCTCTTTAATAGAAAATTGTAATAGGCTATAAAATACTTATGGAAATACCCTATGGTCAAAAAAATTAAAATTAGATAGATTTGTTGATAAGGTTTTATTAAAGTTAGCTTTAACATTAAAAATACACCATACAAAGGTAAAATATGGCTTTCTCTTTTGAACAAAATTTTCATGTAAAAGATAAGAGAGTTTTGTTTGCCTTTTGAGTAAAACTACAGAAGAAAAAAATGGTGGGAGAAACACAGATTTAGTTGGCCTCATGCTGTCTTTCTTGGGTCTTATTGTTTAGGAAACTGAGTCTCCTATCAAAGAGAAAACATTTTTGTATCATAATTTTGGCAAAATGAATGACTGTTTTATGGTATCTTGTGATCCTATTTTGTGATATCAAGTGTTTTAAACCTTTGATATTTGACAGACTTTCCAACAGCAAAATTTCAAGTTCAAATTAAGTCTTTTTGACCTTAAACTAACTTTTTTTGGATATTAGGTTTCCTGAAGTCCAAGAAAGACATATTAGGTTTATTTATGTTAGAATTATACAGGAAGCATTGTCAAATTTGAAGTGGTGTTTAACTTTGGGTTTTATTTATATAGAAATATTGTTAATATGTGTTCCAAGATTGTATGACATTCCTGAAATTCTTATATATATTAATATATGTTGTCAGTAATAATTATGATTATTATGTTAGATTATTGTACACCACAGAAATAACCAAAGTTCCATGTCAACTGTGTGTCTCACTATGGTTGTCCTAAGGCTTTTGTCATCCACAATTGTTTTACTTTGATTCTTCTCAAAAAGTGACTTATAATTAGCTGCAGTCTGGGCCTTGCTTCTTTGGGGGAGTTCATGAAAATGACTCTTGAATGCAGGTTTCTGATAGCTTTGGAGATGGTGCCACTGGATTAGAGAGAAAACTTGCTGGACTCTAATTAAAAGGCTAATATGTTCAAAAAGTTTGCTAACATAATATGAAGCAGAGCAAGAGTTGATTGCACGGACGGAATAAAGGGAAGACTGAAATAATTTTATGGATTTTTTTGTTTGAAATATTACCAATTCTTTTTCTTTTGTTTTTCAGTCTGGAGAATTTTTTCTTTTGCACTATTTATGGCCTTCAAACATACTTTTATGTATATTGAATAGAGTATACTTTTGTAAACCAAATTTGAGACATATTTCTCTCTCTGCCCAATTTCTCAAGAATTTGCAAACTGTAAATTTTCTTAATTTATGGCAATGTGTTAGTTTGGATATGTTTAGTAAGAACCTGTTTTATAATGGGACACAGTTGGAGGAACTGGTTATTTTCCCAGAGCTTTGACTGAAATGGCCTTGTGAGAGGTTTCAGCAAAGCTAATTTAGGAGAGCCTATGTGGTCAATGATTCTTGCTGTACTTTGTGTGGGTAATCAGACCCAGTATATGAGCCTGAAGTTTATTTTGCAGGTAGGTTGGTCCTGCCGTGATTTGTCTTTAGTGAAAATAGGGGACTGGAGAGAGAAAAAAATGTGTTTTAGAAGAAAATTATAGTATTGAGTTAATCTTTGATTCTTGGGTGGCCACGTAGTCACCCTGAATAGGGAGCTGTCTATGATGCCCCTCCTCAGCAGGAAGCAGCCAGAAAGATCAATGACCAGATTCCCCATGATTGAGGAACTGATAAATAGAAAGGGGGGACTGAAACTGGCCTAATAGTCCCATAGACAGGTTTTTATGATAAACATAGAAATTGATCCTTCTGGTCTTAAAGCTTGAAACTTACATGTTTTATCTGAGTTTGTTCCTCTGGAAAGGATCCCAAGACCTCTCAAAAAGTATCAAAGAACTGAAACTCAGCAAATCATGGCATCGAGACAATGAGACACCAGGCCCCTCATTTATCCTGATTGCCTCCTTACTCCTTTCGAGTTCTTGTTTTCTCACACATAGTTACATCCTTCCCTGCTATATAAACCCCTAATTTTAGTTAGTCAGGGAGATGGATTTGGGACTGATTTCCCCTCTCCTTGGCTTCAGCACCCCGGTAAAGCTTTTTTCCTTGGCAATAATCATTGTCTCAATGATTGGCTTTCTGTGTGGTGAGCAGCAGGACCTACGTTTCTGTAATAGGATGTTACAGCACAGATTCTGGAGACTGCCAGAATTCAACCCCTTGGGTTCAAATCACCTATTTCCTATAAGACCATGGAGGTGAGCTTACCTCTCTAAGCCTCAATTTTCTAATCAATGTTATTGGTAAGCAGTAATGATTGCCTGATTTATTACTATACAGGTTAATAAGAAGTGGGCTCTCAATAAGTTTTCCTTACTTTGCCAGTATTAATATACTGTTTCTAGAATGGCCAAGTTGGGTAATGAGTTAATACATTCTGTAAGGGGTACATTACCAAGAAAAATTTTTTTAGGGGAAAAAACTCTCAATTGGGCTTTTAACAGACTCTCTTTTTTTCTTTATTTCTTCTAAAAAAAAAAAAACAACTAGATACACGTGCAGAAAGTGCAGGTTTGCTACATAGGAATACATGTGCCATGGTGGTTGGCTGCGCCTATTGACCCATCCTCTAAGTTTCTTCCCCTCACCCCCCACTCCCCCAACAGACCCTGGGGTTTGTTGTTCTCCTCTCTGTGTCCATGTGTTCTCAATGTTCAAGTCCCATTTACGAATGAGAATATGCTGTGTTTGGTTTTCTGTTCCTGTGTTAGGTTGCTGAGGATGATGGCTTCCAGCTTCATCCATATCCCTGCAAAGGACATGATCTCATTTTATGGCTGCATAATATTCCATGGTGTATATGTATCACATTTTCTTTATCCAGTCTATTGATGATGGGCATTTGGTTGGTTCCATGTCTTTACTTCTTTTCTTTACTATTGTAAATACTACTGCAATAAATGTACATGTGCATGTATCTTTATAATAGAATGATTTATATTCCTTTGGGTATATACCCAGTAATGGGATTGCTGGGTCAAATGGTATTTCTGGTTTTAGATCATTGAGGAATTGCCATACTGTCTTCCTCAATGGTTGAACTAATTTACATTCCCGCCAACAGTGTAAAAGCGTTCCTATTTCTCCACAGCCTCACCAGCATCTATTATTTCCTGACTTTTTAATCATCACCATTCTGACTGGTGTGAAATGTCTCATTGTGGCTTTGATTTGCATTTCTCTGATGATCAATGATGTTGAGATTTTTTTCATGTTTGTTAGCTGCGTAAATGTCTTCTTTTGAGAAGTATTTGTTCATATCCTTTGCCCACTTTTTGATGGGATTGTTTTAACAGACTCCTTCTTCCAATTTCTTTTCTTTTATTGCTGTGGACAGGAGAAATTGTAGAGGTTTTTTAAACATATCTAAAAAAGCTTTAAGAGGGAGTAGACGTGCTTACAAAGTTTTTTTTTTCTTTTTTCTTTTCTGCAAAGCAGGATGAAGGTATCCAAGGTAAGAAGCTTTTAACTCTAAAGGAAACAAGTAAAATTAGATAGCTCTGTTAGCTGAGGGTAGACCATCAGTGGCTTCCAAAACTTACTGTCCATGAGAATTATCTGCAGTGATGGTTACAAATGCTCCAAACCTGTAGTTTCAAAAAGTGCCACAAGTTATTCTGATGCACTTTAGTCATGGACCACACATTTATGAACAGTGCTCCATAAACAAATATGCTTATACCTTATTGTTATTTTTAACAATTTGTAAGTGTGACATTGAATTATTCCATATAATACAGCTTTGTAGTATCTACAGAATATTATTCATTGTGGATAATTAAAAAATAATTGAGCCTCTGTTTTAGTATTTAAATTTTCTTAAGGTAAGGACCATTTTGTTGTTGTTGTTGTTTCTCCAATGCGATGGCAAAAGACAGTCAGGCAATGTCTAAGGAAGAGAGATGAAGCAGGCTGGGGGTAGGGTGGAGAAAGCTATTCCACCCAGACCCTCTGTGAGGGGGCTGGATTTGGTCTCTTTGTTTGAGAAGTGACTACAGCTCTTGTTGCACAGAGAAGGGTAGGATGCATTCTTCCATGTCCTAGGTAGGGTTCTTTGCTACAGCCCTGAGTGGATACCCAAGGAGGAGGAGGAGCAGTGCATCCTGGGGATGTTGGGAGTGCACTGTCACCTCAAAGCCAACTCTGGACTAAATGGACATACTGGTTCTCTAGAAGCAAAGCACTCCACAAGCCATACAGCACAGGGCCACCTGCATGGTCCTCCAGCTAACTTAGCCCACCCTCTAGTGCAGTCTGTGTTTGGGAATTCATTGTTGTTTGTTAACCCAAATGTACATGAAAGGTAAAGCTTAGGAGTGAATTTACCTGGTGTGGGCCCTGCAGCCAGGGGACAAGTTCCTAGCCGCCCTTGCTGAGCCCTTCAGCTCTCCTGTGTCTGGCTCCCTGCAAATGAAATGTTCTTTTTAGTAGCTGAAAATCAAACCAGATATTGTTACCAAAACACCAGGGGTTTGTTCTAAGCCCTGATGCTCACTGCACATAAAACCAATCACCAAGATGATGAGGATTGCCAGGGAAGAAGGCTTTAATTGGGTGCTCCAGCTGAGGAAATGAGAGCTCAGTCTCAGATCCATCTCACTGACCAACTAAAATTAAGGGTTTACATGGCAGGGAAGAAATGTAACTATGTGTGGAGAAACAGGAACTAGGGAAGAGTAAAGAAACAATCGTAATTAATGAGGGTCATGGCATCCTATTGACTGGATATGATGATCTGGTGAGTTTCAGTTCTTTGATACTCTTTGAGAGGACTGGGGGTCCTTTCTTGAGGAAGGAACTCAGATAAAACAAATGTAAGTTTCAAGCCCTAAGACCACAAGTGCCAACCTCTATGTTTGTAAGAAAAAACTGTCTATGAGATTATTGGGTTGGTTTCAGTATAAGCCATCCAATTAAGAATCCAATGAGGAAAACTGAAATTGAAAAGACATACATTTCTTGTGGATTTTTCTGTTCACATTTTCACTGTTTTTGCTGAGGCAGGAGGTTGTGTGGCATGAGACAGTGTGTCCAGAATTGGTTCCTTCCAGTGGGTTCTTGGTCTCGCTGACTTGAAGAATGAAGCCACGGACTGTTGCAGTGAGTGTTACAGTTCCTTAAAGACGGTGTGTTCCTTCAGATGTTCAGATGTGTCCAGAGTTTATTCCTTCTGGTGGGTTCACGGTCTCGCTGACTTCAGGAGTGAAGCCACAGATATTCGTGGTGTTACAGCTCATAAAGGTAGTGTGGACCCAAAGGGTGAGCAGCAGCAAGATTTTTTGAGAAGAGTGAAAGAACAAAACATCCACAGTGTGGAAGGGGACCCGAGCAGTTTGCCATTGCTGGCTTGGATGTGGCCAGCTTTTATTCCCTTATTTGGCCCCGCCCATGTCCTGCTGATTAGTACATTTTATAGAGCACTGATTGGTCCATTTTACAGAGTGCTGATTGGTCCATTTTTACAGAGTGCTGATGGTGCATTTATAAACCTTTAGGTAGACACAGAGCACTGATTGGTCCATTTTTACAGAGTGCTGATGGTGCATTTATAAACCTTTAGGTAGACACAGAGTGCTGATTGGTGCATTTTTACAGAATGCTGATTGGTGCATTTGCAAACCTTTAGCTAGACACAGGGCGCTGATTGGTGTGTTTACAATCCTTTAGCTAGACAGAAAAGTTCTCCAAGTCCCCACCTGAACCAGAAGCCCAGCTGGCTTCACCTCTCAACAGGAAGAAAGTCAGCTTCTTCCACACTGGGCTTTAGAAACCAAGATTTGCCCCTCCTTTAGCATTGGTAAAGGTTTCCTTGATGATCCCAAGAAATACAGTGCATTCCCCTTACAGTGGGAATGTAAACAAAGCAATGGTATGCTGAAAACATAAAACATCCTGGCTCAGGAGTAATTCTGTGAGGGAAGAAGCTTGTTTTTTAAATTAACATTTTTTTTAATTCCTCATTTTTTCTTTTTATCTTCTTTTTTTGAATATATATATTTAACACAATGTTATTTTCACTAGCAATCAAAATACTCATATGTGTGTTTGCATGTACACATTCATGTATATTTTTCTATGTGCATACTTAACTTCATGGCCATATATTGCAGCGGGATAATTTAGGAATCAGAGAGACTGAGGAGTTGAAGAGGATACTTATTATTTATTATTTAGGTGCACCGGCCCAGTCAGATTAACATCCAAAAAAACTGAGCTCCAAACAAAGAGTCTGGTTATCTTTTAAGCATTTTGTGGGGTGGGGGAGATCTGTGCAGGGGGAAGCATATTACAGAAGCAAGAAACAAAGACAGTTATTTAATTGAGACATGCATTACATCATTTCTTACTTTTCAAGGAAAAACATGTTTTACAACTTGAGTTTATCTGCCTAGTGGCCTTGCAGCTGCACAGCTAGAAAAACAGGGTCTTCACAATGCCTGGGAAAGGGAGAGATAAGGCTCACTAGCCACAGGAAAACAGGCAGTTAAGTTTTAAAGGACTTCATCTCTTTCTCTTCCTCAGGGGGAATTGGGTTTTCTTACATACAACTGAGTTTTTGCTTACACATTCTTTAATTTCTTTTAATTCCTGTTTCAATATAACAACAAAAGCAGCTAGATAAATATAAACCTTAGCTAAATTGCCAGTGGTTTATCTAGTAAAATTTAATCATACAATATTTAGACCTGAAAGATACATTATAACTCTAAAAGTACGTGCAATAATATTAGAATTTTTTTGAAATCTTGTAATTAAACTTGGCAGACTCAAGACACAAACCTAATCTGAGATAATTATAGTGGTCCCATACTTTCTGAGTCATGAAGATTGATTTAGAGGAAGAATGAGCATATGACCTAAGACCAAATAAAAGCAGTCCTTCTTCAGTTACCTAGATCCAAAAAGTTTCTCCCTCTCTCCCTCTCACTCTTTCTCTTATTCTAGATAACTTCCTTTTTCTCTCATCTCTCTCATTTTTTAAAATGAGTGTATAAAGATGTGAGTCTAGAGACCCAGAATGTAAAGCCAGTTAGTTTTTTGCTCCAAAACATGATTTATGTTATTTTCAATGGAGGAAAAATAAATAAATTTGGAGTCCTACTTCCAGCTTCCATGACTTGTAAATGCCACAAGGAAAAAAATATTTTAAAATCATATTCCATAAGTCTAATCCAAAAAATATGAACAGGTAAAAGAATAACTATTAAAATGGTTTCTTACAATAAAGGAGTTTAATGAGCCTTGATTTAATGAAAATGACTTTTTAAGTATTCTACTAATTTAACTCCAGAACCAGTGATTTGGAACAACTTGTTCATTACAAATTCTTCAGTCAGGAAAAATGTAGAGACAAAGAAACAATGGTCTTTTAAAGATAAGATTCATAGCCTTGGGGAATTCTAGAATAGGAAAGTATAGTCACTGTGAAAACCAGTAAAAATAAGGCAAACTAAAACCACCTAGGATATTATTGGGCATAGAAATAGACAGGATAAAGACAAGGCTTTTAGAACTACCCAAAAAGTCAGGCAATGGAACTCACTTGTTGAGTTGGCTGTGATGTCACTTTTTCAAGAAATTGGAGATGCATCACTTGAGAAAAGTATACCCTCAATTCAGTCTTATTGTACCTGGAACATGGAGCTTAAAGGGAAAACTGAATTTAACAGATCTTTTAATTTGCAGAATAGATCAATGGGAAGAAATTGTCTCAAGTTAGGCTATTATATTGCAATCCTAGTATAGCATATTTATGAGTTTATAAAAGTCTACAGTGTCTCAGGCTGCTTTTGGAGAGACAAAGGCTAGTCTTCTGTGCCTCATGTCCAAGTTGGTTCAGGCTATGCTGCCTCACTTCATACTTCCACCCTTCCAGGAAGTAAGTGTTAGCTTTGTGACACAGCACAGATAGAGACTACAGACACCACTCAAGTTATAGCTTTAGACGTTTGTTTATTTATCTCATTGCCTTTATCTCATTACATATTCATTGCTCTGGCTCCCTTAGAGAACAGGTCCAGTGACTTGCAAAGGAGACTCTTGGGAAAAAGCATGTCATTCTTCTTCTGGAGATCCAATTGGGAAATACCTTAACCAGAGGGAAACACCTTAACAAGAGTTAGCTGGTTTGGTCCCTTCTGACTCTCAACACCTCCAGTTTAGTATAGGGAAGACATATGTATGTACATTGTTTTTAGGCCATAAGTCAAAAACTACCCCCTTTAACACACAACACTTGTCAGAGATTATCTATTTTAGATTTGTTACTTGGGAGTCAGGTCTCACTTCCCACCAACAGTGCTCAAACTAAACCCTCACTTTGCACTAACAGTGCTCAGACTAAACCTCCTCAGATTCTATTTATAAAAGCAAAAAGTTATTCCTTGCTTAACATTTCCTTTTACCATTTGCAGGAGTTGGGGGCTTATCAAAGAGTTTACATATTCAAAGTTTATAGACATTAATATTGTATCTTGTGTGTGGGAGTCTTTGTGTCCATTAAAACTACACTGGACAACCATCCTCAAGACAGAGAGTCATCAGATTGCCCAAGGTTAATGTAAAATAAAAAATCTTAAAGGCAGCTAGAGATAAGGGGCAGGTCACTTACAAAGGAAACTCTATGGAGCTAACAGTGGACCTTTCAGCAGAAACCTTACAAGCCAGATGAGATTGGGGGTGCATTATCAACATCCTTAAAGAAATAAAATTCTAAACAAGAATGTAATATTCCATCAAAGTAAGTTTTAAAAGCAAAGGAGAAATGAAATCCTTTTCAAACAAGCAAATATTAAGGGAATTTTTTACAACTAGACCTGCCTTACAAGAAGCCCTACAGGGAGTGCTAACCATGGAAGTGAAAGAACAATACCTGGCACCTAAAAAAACACGCTTAAGTACATAGGCCATTGACACTATAAAGCAAAAATACAATCAAGTTTACATAGCAACCAGCTAACAGCATGATGACAGGATCAAATCCTTATATACAATAATGATTTTGACTGTAAATGGGCTAACCGCCTAACATAAAAGGCACAGAGTGGTAAGTTGGATAAAGAAGCAAGACCCAATTCTATGCTGTATTTGAGAGATCCATCTCACAAGTAATGACACACACTGGCTAGAAGTAAGGGGATGAATAAAAATCTATTAGGCAAATGGAAAACAAAAAAGAAGATCTAATATATTCTTATATCAGACAAATCAGACTATAAACCAAAAACAAACAAAAAGGACAAAGAAGGACATTAAATAATTATAAAGACTTCAATCTAACAAGATGTACATGTCTTAAATATAAATACACCCACCACTGGAGCACCCAGATTTGTAAAACAAGTTCTTAAAGATCTATGAAGAGATGTAGACAAGCACACAATAATAGTGGGAAGCATCAACACTCCACTGATGGTGTTAGATAAGATCATTAAGGCAGAAAACTAACAAAGATATCCTGTACTTAAATTCGACCCTTGACCAATTGGACCTAACAGACGTCTACAGAACACTCTACTCAACAACAACAGAATATATATTTTTCTTCTCTGCACGTGGCACATGCTCTAAAAATGACCACATACTTGATCCTAAGGCATATTTAAACAAATTCAAGAAAATCAAAATCATACTAACTATATTATTGGACCACAGTGCAATAAAATTAGAAATAAATACAAAGAAGATCTACCAAAACAATACAAGTACATGGAAGTTAAGCAACCTGCTTCTGAATGACTTTTGGATAAAGAATGAAATTAAGGTAGAATTCAAAAAATGATTTGAAACTAATGAAAACAGAGACCCAATATGCCAGATTCTTTGCAACACAGTTAAAGCAGTGTTAAGAGGAAAGTTTATACCACTAGATACCTACATCAAGCAGTGAAAATGATATCAAATTAACGACCTAATGTCGCACCTAGAGAAATGAAAAAAACAAAAGTAAATCAATCCCAAATCTAGCAGATAAGAAATAACCAAAATCAGACCTGAACTGAATGAAATTAAGATGAAAAATTCATACAAAGGATCAATAAAACCAAAAGTTGGTTCTTTGAAAGACTAAACAAGATTGATAGAGCAATAGGTAGATTAGTAAAGAGAGAAGATCCAAATGCAATCAGAAACAACAAAGCTAAAATTACATCCAACCCCACAAAAATACAAAAAATTATCAGAGACTATTACAAACACCTTTCTGCACACAAATGAGAAAACCTAGAAGAAATAGGTAAATTCCTGAAAACACACAGCCTCTCAAGATTGAACCAGAAAGAAATTAAATTATTAGGCTGAATAAGGAGTTTTGAAATTGAATAAGCAATAAAGACTACTGATCAAAAAAGCCCTCAACCAGGCAGAGTCACAGCCAAATTCTGCCAGACATACAAAGAAGGACTAGTACCAATCCTCCTGAAATTATTCCAAAAGATCAAGGAGGATAGATTCTTCCCTAACTTATTCTGTGAAGCCAGCATCATTCTTTTAAAAAACATTTAATTTTATTTTAAGTTCTGGGGATACGTGTGCAAGATGTGCAGATTTCTTACATGGGTAAATGCTTGCCATGGTGGTTTGCTGCTCCTATCAACCCATCACCTGGATATTAAGCTCCACATGCATTAGCTATTTATCCTGATGCTCTCCCTCCCACCATGACACTGACAGGCCCCGGTGTGTGTTGTTCCCCTCTGTATGTCTATGTTTTCTCATTGTTCAGCTCCCACTTATGAGAGAGAACATGCAGTGTTTGGTTTTCTGTTCCTGTGTTAATTTGCTGAGGATAATGGCTTCCAGATCCATCAATATCCCTGTGAAGGACATGATCTCATTCCTTTTTATGACTGCATAGTATTCCATTTCTTCATCCAGTATATCATTGATGAGTATTTGGGTTGATTCCATGTCTTTGCTGTTGTGAATAGCGCTGCAATAAATATATACATGCGTGTATCTTTATAATAGAATGAATTATATTCCTTTGGTTATATACCCAGTAATGGTATTGCTGGGTCAAATGGTGTTTCTGGCTGTAGATCCTTGAGGAATTGCCACAGTCTTCCACAATGGTTGAACTAATTTACATTACCACCAACAGTATAAAAGCATTTCTTTTATTTTTTTTATTATGCTTTAAGTTCTAGAGTACATGTGCACAACATGCAAGTTTGTTACACAGGCATACATGTGCCATGTTGGTTTGCTGCACCCATCAACTCGTCATTTACATTAGGTATTTCTCCTAATGCTATCCCTCCTCCAGCCCCCCAACCCATGACACACCCCAGTGTGTGATGTTCCCTGCCCTGTGTCCAACTGTTCTCGTTGTTCAATTCCCATCTATGAGTGAGAACAGGCGGTGTCTGTTTTTCTGTCCTTGTGATAGTTTGCTAAGAATGATGGTTTCCAGCTTCATTCATGTCCCTGCAAAGGACATGAACTCATCCTTTTTTATGGCTGCATAATATTCCATAGTATATGTGCCACATTGTCTTAGTCCAATCTATCATTGATGGACATTTGAGTTGGTTCCCAGCCTTTGCTCTTGTGAATAGTGCTGCAATAAACATATGTGTGCATGTGTCTTTATAGCAGCATGATTTATAATTCTTTGTGTATATACCCAGTAATGTGATCTCTGGGTCAAATGGTATTTCTAGTTTTAGATCCTTGAGGAATCACCACACTATCTTGCACAATGGTTGAACTAATTTACACTCCCACCAACAGGGTAAAAGCGCTCCTGTTTCTCCACATCCTCTCCAGCATCTGTTGTTTCCTGACTTTTTAATGATCACCATTATAACTGGTGTGAGATGGTATCTCATTGTGGTTTTCTTTTGCATTTCTCTGAGGGCCAGTGATGATGAATATTTTTTCACGTTTTTGCCCATTCAGTATGATATTGGCTGTGGGTTTGTCATAAATAGCTCTTAAGCTCTTAGTATTTTGAGATACGTTCCATCAATACCTAGTTTACTGAGACTTTTTAGCATGAAGGGCTGTTGAATTTTGTCAAAGGCCTTTTCTGAATCTATTGAGATAATCATGAGGTTTTTGTCATTGGTTCTGTTTATGTGATGGATTACGTTTATTGATTTGTGTATGTTGAACCAGTCTTGCATCCCAGGGATGAAGCCAACTTGATCGTGCTGTATAAGCTTTTTGATATGTTGCTGGATTCGGTTTGCCAGTAACTTATTGAGAATTTTCGCATCGATGTTCATAAGGGATATTTGTCTAAAATTCTTTTTGGTTGTTGTTATGTCCCTGCCAGGCTTTGGTATTAGACTGATGTTGGCCTCATAAAATGAGTTAGGGAGGATTCCCTCTTTTTCATGTGTCTGTTGGCTGCATAGATGTCTTCTTTTGAGAAGTGTCTGTTCGTATCCTTTGGTAACTTTTTGATGGGGTTGTTTGCTTTTTTCTTGTAAATTTGTTTAAGTTCTTTGTAGACTCTGGACATTAGCCCTTTTTCAGATGGATAGATTTCAAAAATTTTCTCCCATTCTGTAGGTTGCCTGTTCACTCTGATGGTAGTTTCTTTTGCTGTGCAGAAGCTCTTTAGTTTAATTAGATCCCATTTGTCTATTTTGGCTTTTGTTGCCTTTGCTTTTGGTGTTTTAGTCATGAAATCCTTGCCCATGCCTATGTCCTGAATGGTAGTGCCTAGGTTTTCTTCTAGGGTGTTTATGGTTTTAGGTCTAACATTTAAGTCTTTAATCCATCCTGAATTAATTTTAGTATAAGTTGTAAGGAAGGGATCCAGTTTCAGCTTTCTACATATGGCCAGCCAGTTTTCCCAGCACAATTTATTAAATAGGGAATCCTTTCCCCATTTCTTGTTTTTGTCAGGTTTGTCAAAGATCAGATGGTTATAGATGTGTGGGGTTATTTCTGAGGCCTCTGTTTTGTCCCATTTGTCTATATATCTGTTTTGGTACCAGTACCATACTGTTTTGGTTACTTTAGCCTTGTAGTATAGTTTGAAGTCAGGTAGCGTGATGCCTCCACCTTTGTTCTTTTTGCTTAGGATTGTCTTGGCAATGCGGGCTATTTTTTGGTTCCATATCAACTTTAAAGTAGTTTTTTCCAATTCTGTGAAGAAAGTCATTGGTAACTTGATGGGGATGGCATTGAATCTATATTACCTTGGGCAGTAAGGCCATTTTCATGGTATTGATTCTTCCTATCCATGAGCATGGAATGTTCTTCCATTTGTTTGTGTCCTCTTTTATTTCATTGAGCAGTGGTTTGTAGATGTCCTTCACATCCCTTGTAAGTTGGATTCCTAGATATTTTATTCTGGATATTTTATTCTCTTTCTAGCTATTGTGAATGGGAGTTCACTCATGATTTGGCTCTCTGTTTGCCTGTTATTGGTGTACAGGAATGCTTGTGATTATTGCACATTGACTTTGTATCCTGAGACTTTGTAATTGGTTTTGTTTATGTGGTGGATTATGTTTATTGATTTGTGTATGTTGAACCGGGCTTGCATCCCAGGGATGAAGCCGACTTGATCGTGGTGTATAAGCTTTTTGATGTGCTGCTGGATTTGGTTTGCCAGTAACTTATTGAGGATTTTCACATCAATGTTCATCAGGGATATTGGCCTAAAATTCTTTTTTGTTGTTGTTGTGTCCCTGCCAGGCTTTGGTATCAGAATGATGTTGGCCTCATAAAATGAGTTAGGGAGGACTCCCTGTTTTTCTATTGATTGGAATAATTTCAGAAGGAATGGTGCCAGCTTCTCTTTGTACCTCTGGTAGAATTCGGCTGTGAATCCTTCTGGTCCTGGACTTTATTTGGTTGGTATTTGACCTTATTTGGTATTCAGAGATTCAATTTCTTCCTGGTTTAGTCTTGGCAGGCTGTATATGTCCAGGAATTTATCCATTTCTTCTAGATTTTCTAGCTTATTTGTGTAGTGGGGTTTATAGTATTCTCTGATGGTAGTTTGTATTTCTGTGGGATCAGTGGTGATATCCCCTTTATCATTTTTTATTGCATCTATTTGATTCTTCTCTCTTTTCTTCTTCATTAGTCTTACTAGTGGTTTATTAATTTTGTTGATCTTTTCAAAAAGCCAGTTCCTGGATTCATTGACTTTTTGAAGGTTTTTTTTGTGTCTCTATCTCTTTCAGTTCTGCTCTGATCTTAGTTCTTTCTTGCATTCTGCAGCTTTTGAATTTGTTTGCTCTTGCTTCTCTAGTTCTTTTAATTGTGATGTTGGGTGTCAACTTCAGATCTTTCCTGCTTTCCCTTGTGGGCATTTAGTGCTATAAATTTGTCTCTACACACTGCTTTAAATATGTCCCAGAGATTCTGGTCTGCTGTGTCTTTGTTCTCATTGGTTTCAAAGAACATCTTTATTTCTGTCTTCATTTTATTATGTACCCAGTAGTCATTCAGGAGCAGGTTGTTCAGTTTCCAGGTAGCTGTGTGGTTTTGAGTGAGTTTCTTAATCCTGAGTTCTAATTTGATAGCACTGTGGTCTGAGAGAGTTTCTTGTGATTTCTGTTCTTTTATATTTGCTGAGAAGTGCTTTACTTCCAATTATGTGGTCAAGTTTAGAATAAGTGCAATATGGTGCTGAGAAGAATGTATATTCTGTTGATTTGGGGTGGAGAGTTCTGTAGATGTCTATTAGGTCCACTTGGTGCAGGGAAGAATTCATGTCCTGGATATATTTGTTAACCTTCTGTCTCATTGATCTGTCTAATATTGACAGTGGGATGTTAAAGTCTCCCATTATTACTGTGTGGGAGTCTAAATCTCTTTGTAGGTCTCTAAGGACATGCTTTATGAATCTGGGTGCTCCTGTATTGAGTGCATATATATTTAGGATAGTTAGCTCTTCTTGTCGAATTGATCTGTTTACCATTATGTAATGGCCTTCTTTGTGTCTTTTGATCTTTTTTGGTTTAAAGTCTGTTTTATCAGAGACTAAGATTGCAACCCCTGCCTTTTGTTTTGTTTTGTTTTTCATTTGCTTGGTAGATCTTCCTCCATCCCTTTATTTTGAGCCTATGTGTGTCTCTGTACATGAGATGGGTCTCCTGAATACAGCACACTGATGGGTCTTGACTCTTTATCCACTTTGCCAGTCTGTGTCTTTTAATTGGGGCCTTTAGCCCATTTGCATTTAAGGTTAATATTGTTATGTGTGAATTTGATCCTGTTATTATGATGTTAGCTAGTTATTTTTCTTGTTAGTTGATGCAGTTTCTTCCTAGCATCAATGGTTTTTACGATTTGGCAAGTTTTTGCAGTGGATGGTACCGGTTGTTCCTTTCCATGTTTAGTGCTTCCTTCAGGAGCTCTTGCAAGGCAGGCAAAATCTTTCAGCGTTCACTTGTCTGTAAAGGATTTTGTCTCTCTTCACTTATGAAGCTTAGTTTGGCTGGATATGAAATTCTGGGTTGAAAATTCTTTTCTTTAAGAATGTTGAATATTGGCCCCAACTCTCTTCTGGCTTGTAGTTTCTGCTGAGAGATCCACTGTTAGTCTGATGGGCTTCCCTTTGTGGGTAACCCGACCTTTCTCTCTGGCTGCCCTTAACATTTTTTTCTTCATTTCAACCTTGGTGAATCTGACAATTATGTGTCTTGGGGTTGCTGTTCTCCAGGAGTATCTTTGTGGTGTTCTCTGTAGTTTCTGAATTTGAATGTTGGCCTGCCTTGCTAGGTTGGGGAAGTTCTTCTGGATAATATCCTGCAGAGTGTTTTCCAACTTCGTTCCATTCTGCCCGTCACTTTCAGGTACACCAATCAAACGTAGGTTTAGTCTTTTCACATAGTCCCATATTTCTTGGAGGCTTTGTTCATTTCATTTTACTCTTTTTTCTCTAAACCTCTCTTCTCACTTTATTTCATTAATTTGAACTTCAATCACTGATACCCATTCTTCAACTTGATTGAATTGGCTACTGAAGCTTGTGCATGCATCATGAAGTTCTCATGCCATGGTTTTCAGCTCCATCAGGTCATTTAAGGTCTTCTCTACACTGTTTATTCTAGTTAGACATTCGTCTAATCTTTTTTCAAAGTTTTTAGCTTCCTTGCGATGTGTTCGAACATGCTCCTTTAGCTTGGAGAAGTTTGTTACTATCGACCTTCTGAAACCTTCTTCTGTGAACTCATCAGATTCATTCTCCATCCAGCTGTGTTCCATTGCTGTTGAGGAGCTGAGATTCTTTGGCAGAGAAGAGGTGCTATGGTTTTTAGAATTTTCAGCTTTTCTGCTCTGGTTTCTCCCCATTTCTGTGGGTTTATCTACCTTTAGTGTGATGTTGGTGACCTACAGATGGGGTTTCCGTGTGGATGTCTTTTTTCTTGATGCTGATGCTATTCCTTTCTTTTTGTTAGTTTTCCTTCTAACAGTCAGGTCCCTCAGCTGCAGATCTGTTGGAGTTTGCTGGAGGTCCACTCCAGACCATGTTTGCCGGGGTATCACCTTGGAAGGCTGCACAACAGCAAATATTGCAGAACAGCAAATATTGCTGCCTGATCCTTCTCTCTTGAAGCTTCATCCCAGAGGGGCAACTGCCTGTATGAGGTGTTAGTCAGCCCCTACTGGGAGGTGTCTCCCAGTTAGGCTACACAGGGGTCAGGGACCCACTTGAGGAGGCACTCCGTTCTCAGAGCTCAAATGCTGTGCTTGGAGAACCACTGCTCTCTTCAGAGCTGTCAGACAGGGATGTTTAATTCTGCAGAAGTTTCTGTTGCCTTTTGTTCAGCTATGCCCTTCCCCTGGAGGTGGGTTCCATATGGGCATCAGCTCTTGCTGAGCTGTGGTGGGCTCTGCCTAGTTCAAACTTCCTGGCCGCTTTGTTTACCTACTCAAGCCTCGGCAATGGCTCATGCCCCTCCCCCTGCCAGGCTGCTGCCTCGCAGGTCAATCTCAGACTGCTGTGCTGGTGGTAAGCAACACTCCATGGGCATGGGACCTGCTGATCCAGGCGTGGGATAGAATCTCCTGGTCTGTCGTTTGCTAAGACCATTGGAAAAGTGCAGTATTTGGGCAGGAGTGTCCCATTTTTCCAGGTACAGTCTGTCATGGCTTCCCTTGGCTAGGAAAGGGAAATCCCCTAACCCCTTGTCCTTTCTGGGCAAGGCAATGCCCTGCCCTGCTTCAGCTTACCCTCTGTGGGCTGCACCCACTGTCCAACCAGTCCCATTGAGATGAACCTGGTACGTCAGTTGGAAATGCAGAAATCACCTGTCTTCTGTGATGATCTTGCTGGAGCTGCATATCAGAGCTGTTCCTATTCGGCCATCTTGGAACGGACCCTCCAAAAGCATTTCTATTTCTCCACAGCTTGGCCAGCATCTGTTGTTTGTTGTCTTTTTGATAATTGCCATTCTGACTGGCCTGAGATGATACCTCATTGTAGTTTTTATTTGCATTTCTCTAATTATCAGTGATATTGAGCTTTATTTCATACATTTGTTGGCCACATAAAAGTCTTCTTTTGAGAAGTCTCTGTTCATGTCCTTTGACCACTTTTTGATGAGGTTGTTTTTTTCTTGTGAATTTGTTTAAATTCCTTGTAGATTCTGGATATTAAACCTTTGTAAGATGGGTAGATTGCAAAGATTTTCTCCCATTCTGTAGGTTGTCTGTTCACTCTGATGATAGTTTATTTTGCTGTGCAGAAGCTCTTTAGTTTAATAGATACAATCTGTCAATTTTGGCTTTTGTTGCAATTGCTTTTGGCAATTTAATCATAAAATATTTGCCCATGCCTATGTCCTGAATGGTATTGCCTAGATTTTCTTTTAGGGTTTTTATGGTTTTGGGTTTTACATTTAAGTCTTTAATCCATCTTAAGTTAAGTTTTGTATAAAGTGTAAGGAAAGGGTCCAATTTCAGTTTTGTACATATGGTCAGTGAGTTTTCCCAGCACCATTTATTAAATAGAGAATCCTTTCCCCATGGCTTGTTTTTGTCAGGTTTGTTGAAAATCAGATGGTTGTAGATGTGTGGTCTGATTTCTTATATATCTAGCCTGTTTCATTGGTCTATGTGTCTGTTTTGGTACCAGTACCATGATGTTTTGGTTACTGTAGCCTTGTAGTATAGTTTGAAGTTGGGTAGTGTGATGTCTCCAGCTTTGTTCTTTTTGCTTAGGATTATCTTGGCTATACAGGCACTTTTTTGGTTCTAGATGAATTTTATAGTAGTTTTTTCTATTTCTGTGAAGAATGTTAATGGTAGTTTAATGGGAACAGCATTGAATCTATAAATTACTTTGGGCTGTATGGCCATTTTCATGATATTTCTTCTTCCTATCTGTGAGCACAGAATGTTTTCCCATTTGGTTGTGTCCTCTCTTATTTCCTTGAGCAGTGGTTTGTAATTCTCCTTGAAGATATCCTTCACATCCCTTGTTGGCTGCATTCCTAGGTATTTTATTCTCTTTGTAGCAATTATGAACAATTGTGAATGGGAGTTCCTTTAAGATTTGGCTCTCTGTCTATTGTTGGTATATAAGAATGCTTGTGATTTTTGCACATTGATTTTGTATACTGAGACTTTGCTGAAGTTGTTTATCAGCTTAAGGACCTTTTGGGCTGAGATGATGGGGTTTTCTAGATATAGGATCATGTCGTCTGCAAACTGAGATAATTTGACTTTCTTTCTTCCCATTCAAATACTCTTTATTTCTTTCTCTTGCCTGGTTGCCCTGGCAAGAAATTCCGATACTATGTTGAATAGGAGTGGTGAGAGACAGCATCTTTGTCTTGTGCTGGTTTTCAAATGGAATGCCTCCAGCTTTTGTCCATTTAGTGAATTTGTCATAAATGGTTCTTATTGTTTTATGTTCAATCAGCACCTAGTTTATTTTAACATAAAGTCATGTTGAATTTTATCAAAGGCCTTTTCTGTGTCTATTGAGATAATCAGTGATTTTTTCATTAGTTTTTTTGTGTGATGAGTTACGTTTATTGGTTTGCATATGTTCAACCAGCTTTGCATCCCAGGGATAAAGCCAATTTTATCATGGTGGATAAGCTTTTTGATGTGCTGCTGGATTTGGTTTGTCTGTGTTTTATTGAGAAATTTTGCATCAGTGTTCATCAGGGATATTGGTCTGAAGTTTTCTTTTTTCGTTGTGTCTCTGCCAGGTTTTGATGATGATGCTGGCCTTATCAAATGAGTTAGGGAGAAGTCCCACCTTTTCAATTGTTTGGAATAGTTACAGAATGAATGGTGCTAGCTTCTCTTTGTGCCTCTGGTAGAATTTGACTGTAAATCCATCTGGTCCTGGACTTTTCTGGTTGGTAGGCTGTTAATTACTGTCTCAGTTTCAGAACATGTTATTGGTCTAGTAAGGAATTTGATCTTCCTGGTTTAGTCTTGGGAGGTTGTATGCATCCAGGAATTTATCCATTTCTTCTATATTTTCTAGTTTTTTTTTTGTGTAGAGATGTTTATAGTATTCTTGGATGGTTGTTTGCATTTCATTTTTTATTCTGTCTATTTGATTCTTATCACTTTTCTTCATTATTAGTCTAGCTAGTGTTTTATCTATTTTATTAATTTTTTCAGAAAACCAGCTCTGGGATTCATTGATTTTTTAAGGGTTTTTTTCTGTCTCTATCTCTTTCAGTTCCACTCTGATCTTCGTTATTTCTTGTCTTCTGCTAGCTTTTGGATTTGTTTGCTCTTGCTTCTCTAGTTCTTTTAGTTATGATGTGAGGGTTTTGATTTGAGATCTTTCTAGCTTTCTGATGTGGACATTTAGTGCTATAAATTTCCCTCTTAACACTGTTTTAGCTGTGTCCAGAGATTCTGATACATTGTCTCTTTGTTCTCATTGGTTTCAAAGAACTTTATTTCTGCCTTAATTTCATTATTTACCCAGGAGTCATTCAGGAGCAGATTGTTCAATTTCCATGTAGTTATGTGGTTTTGAGTGAGTTTCTTAATTTTGAGTCTTAATTTGATTGCACTGTGGTCTGAGGGACTGTTTGTTATTATTTCAGTTCTTTTGCATTTTCTGAGGAGTGTTTTACTTCCAATTACGTGATCAATTTTTTAGTAAGTGCCATGTGGAACTGAGAAGAAAGTATATTCTGTTGTTTTAGGGAGGAGAGTTCTGTAGATATCTGTTGGGTCCACTTGATCCAGATCTGAGTTCAAGTCCTGAATATCTTTGTTAATTTTCTCTCTTGATGGTCTGTATGGTATTGAAGATGGGGTGTTAAAGTCTCCCACTATTATTGTGTGGGAGTTTAAGTCTCTTTGTAGGTCTCTAAGAACTCGTTTTATGACTCTGAGTGCTCCTGTATTGGGTGCGTATATATTTAGGATAGTTGGCTCTTCTTGTTGAATTCATTCCTTTACCATTATGTGATGCCCTTCTTTGTCTTTTTTGACCTTTGTTGGTTTAAAGTCTGTGTTGTCAAAACTAGATTGCAACCCCTGCTTTTTTCTGCTTTCCATTTGCTTGGTAGATTTTCCTCCATCTCTTTATTTTGAATCTATGTGTGTCTTTGCACATGAGATGAGTCTCTTGAATAAAGCACACCCATGGATATTGACTCTTTATCCAATTTGCCAGTCTGTGTCTTTTGACTGGGGCATTTGGCCCATTTACATTTAAGGTTAATATTGTTATGTGTGAATTTAATCCTGTCATCATGATGCTAGCTGGTTATTTGCATACTAGCTGATGCAGTTTCTTCATAGTGTCATTCGTCTTTGTACATCAGTGTATTTTTGCAGTGGCTGGTACTGGTGTTTCCTTCCCATATTTAATGCTGCTTTCAGGAGCTTTTGCAAGGCAGGCCTGGTGGTGATGAATTCCCTCAGCATTTACTTGTCTGGAAAAGGATTTTATTTCTCCTTTGCTTATGAAGCTTAGTTTGGCTGGATATGAAAATCTGGGTTGGAAATTCTTTCCTTTATGAATGTTCAATATTTCCCCCCACTTTCTTCTGCCTTGTAAGGTTTCTGCTGAGAGGTCCATTATTAGCCAGATAGACTTCCCTTGGTAGGTGACCTGGCCTTTCTCTCTGCCCTTAACATATTTTCCTTCATTTCGACCTTTGAGAATCTGACGATTATGTGTCTTGGGGTTGAACTTCTTGTGGAATATCTTACTGGGGTTCTCTGTATTTCCTGAATTTGAATGTTGGCCTGTCTTGCTAGGTTAGGGAAGTTCTTCTGGATGATATCCTGAAGTGTGTTTTCCAACTTGGTTCCATTCTCCTCGTCTCTTTCAGGTATTCCAATCAATCATGGGTTTGGTCTTTTTACATAGTCCCATAGGTCTTGGAGGTTTTGTTCATTCCTTTTTATTCTTTTTTCTCTAATCATGTTTACCTGCCTTATTTCAGCAAGACAGTCTTCAAACTCTTATATTCTGTCTTCCTCTTGATCAGCTTTGCTATTGATACTTGTGTTTGCATCATGAAGTTCTTGTGCTGTGTTTTTCAGCTCCATCAGGTTATTTATGTTTCTCTTTAAGCTGGTTATTCTAGTTAGCAGCTCATGTAATCTTTTATCATCGTTCTTAGCTTCTTTGTATCGGGTTAGAACATGCTCGTCTAGCTCAGCAAAATTTGTTATTACCTGCTTTCTGAAGCCTACTCTTGTCAGTTTATACATCTCAGCCTCTGGCCAGTTTTGTGCCCTTGCTGGGAGAGTCTTGTGATCATCTGGAGAAGAGGCACTCTGGCCTTTTGAGTTTCCAGTGTTTTTTCATTGATTCTTTGTCATCTTCATGAGTTTGTTTAGTTTCAGTCTTTGAGGCTGCTGACCTTTGGATGGTGTTTTAGTTGGGAATTTTTGGTTGACGCTGTTGTTGTGGCTTTCCGTTTGTTTGTTTGTTTGTTTGTTTGTTTGTTTTGTTCAACAGTCTGGACCCTCTTCTGCAGGGCTGATGCAATTTGCTGGGGGTCACTTCAGGACCTATTCATCTGGGCTCCTTTGCACCTGGAGATGTTACCCAAGGAGGCTGGAGAACAGCAAAAATGGATACTTGCTCCTTCCTTTGGTATCTCTGTCCTCGAGGGTCACTGTCTTGATGCCAGTAGGAACGTTCTTGTATAAGGTGTCTGGCGACCTCTATTGGGAGGTGTCACCCAGTTTGGGGGTATGGGATCTGGGATCCACTTACCAAAGCACATTGGCTGTTTCTTGGTGAAAGGGGTGTGCTGTACTGCAGGGAGACCCATTTGTCTGGGCTGCCCACATTCCTTAGTGGCAGCAGGAGGAAAGACTATGTCTGTTGGAAACCATGGTCACTCTTCCCTCTAGGGGCTCAGGCTCAGGGCAATCAGAGTTCTGTCCCTAAGCCCTTGGCTGAAGTTGCTGGAGTTCCTGCGTGGAGGCCCTGCCCAGTGAGGAGAAAAGGGCCATGGGCTGACCTAAAGAGGTAGTCTGGCCACAATCTGCCACAGCTGGTGTGCTGCTTTATGTGGAATACCTCTTGGGACCAAGCTGGCCAGTCTCCCCAGCACCAGCAGGGTAAAAAAGGTGGCCTGGAGCTGTAGTGATGGCTGCCACCCTAGCCCCATGCCAGGAGTTCAGCATCTAAGGCAGCTAGCGGCCACAGTGATGGCTGCCGTCCCTCGCCTGGGGAGGTCAGTTTTCTTAGGTTACAGGTAGCTGCAGTGATGATGGCCACTCCTCCCTTGGGGAACTCAGTTGTCTTAGGCAGCAGACAGCTGCAGTGATGATGGCCGCCCATCCCCCTGGGAACTTGGTAGTCTTATGCAGACTCCAAATGAGTGGCTGTTGAGAATCTGTGCGGCTCTGTGATTGGGACCCAAGGCCCTGGTGGCATGGGCTCACTAGTGGGATCTCCTGATACGTGGGTTACAAAGATTCATAGAAAAAGCATGGTTTTCCAGGCTGGGTAGCATGCTCACTCAACGCCTCCTTTGGCTGGGGGCGGGAGCTCCCCTTGCCCCATGTGGCTCTCAGGTGGGCCGATGCACCACCCTGCTTTTTCTTGTTCTCTGTGGGTCATGCCAACTGCCTAGTCAGTCCTGATGATAGAAGCTGGATACCTTGGTTGCTGGTGCAGGATTCGTGGGGTGTTTTGGTTCTTCTTGGTGGGAGCCTTCAACCATAGCTGCTTCTAGTTGCTCATCTTGGCCCTACCTTGGCAGCATCATTCTAATACCAAAACCTGGCAGAGACCATGAAAAAAAGGACTTCAGGTCAATATCCCTGATGAGCACAAATTCAAAATTCCAGCACAAGTACCATCAACCATCAGGCCCTGGAGCAGGTGTATAGTATGTTTCCGAGAACCAAACCACCACATCTCATTGAATTTACAGAAATTTCAACCAAGAGTGTTTCTTCTTTCCTTCTACCCAATTGTCGTAGTTGAAAAGAAGAAGATAGATGGCAAAAGTTGATGTTTAAAACCATGTTTCTGGATGAGCATGGTGGCTCATGCCTGTAATCCCAGCACTTTGGGAGGCTGAGGTGGGCAGATCATGAGGTCAGGAGGTCGAGACTATACTGGTTTAACAGGGTGAAACCCCATCTCTACTAAAAATACAAAAAAAATTAGCCAGGCGTGGTGGCATGCACCTGTAGTCCCAGCTACTGGGGAGTTGAGGCAGGAGAATCACTTGAACCTGGGAGGTGGAGGTTGCAGTGAGCCAAGATCGCGCCACTGCACTCCAGCCTGGGTGACAGAGTGAAACTCTGTCTCAAATAAATAAATAAATAAATAAATAAATACAAATAAAAAGGTTTTTCTAAGTGAGTCTTGGAAATTGTGGTGAAGGGCATTTCTCATTCTTTGGGTAAGATCCTAGCTATGTTACTCAAGTAAAAGCTCTAATCCGGGCAAAATTCTCTTTGACCCCTGATTAAGTAGATCACTTCACAGGGTTTGTGGTCTTTCCAGACTTTGCTTGGGCTGTATGAGATGTCATGCTGGAGCTGAAGTTAGGTTGACACTCCACAACAGAAGATGAGTATCTGGAGAATGTCTTGAAGCTGATTCCAGATATTAGCATGGACTGGGTGGTGAAAAGTTTAGCAGGAGTGTGGAATAAACAAAGGCCTGCAATTCGGCACCTGACATATATGTTTGTATGAGCCTGGATCGAGGCTTATAGTAGTGGTGGTTTGTAATTGACAGATGGCCATGATTTTAGTGGTCGTTAATACCTGAAAATCTCCAGTGACTGGGGTTTAAATTCACTGAGGAAGTTTAAGACTCAATGTTCTATTCAACAATCTTAGACCAATTTGTACCATGAAAAATATATCCAGATTATAATATATGCTATAATTTCCTAAGGCCCAGATACTGTTTTGCTTATTAAGTGCTTCTCCTGTTCTTTGTTGAGAAAAATATCTTAGCAAATTTGAAGTGTATAAACATAGAATCATATGAAATAAAATGACCTAATTTTTAAAACACATTTTACACAATATATTTTAGTAGTACCTGGTTAGTTATATCCTTGAAACAAAGGATATTTATACAATAAATAATCAAGAAAAAATAATGACATATCTTTTCAGTTAGATTGTCAAATCATTCATTTTACCTTTCTCATAATATCTCCCTTTTTATTCTACAGCCTTACGTACTAGGTAATCATTTCACTATTTTACATTTCTTATATATACTGTTATTTAGCAACATGGATAACTGATAGGATCTAAAGAAAATATCAATTTTTTCTTTATCCATTCATTTATTCAATCATTCAACAAATATTTACTGAATACTTTTGTTTGCCCCTGGATCACTCTATAAGTTTCTGTCAAATCTAAAAAGCTCTGATATTGGAAAGCAAAGAGGTCTTCAAATTACATCTGACTCTTCAGAATTTTAATAATTAACATTACTCTATAATTCTATTAGTTATAGAATTTTAGAAGTTAACATTACTCTTTAGGATTTTCAGGTAAAGGAATATTTATGGTGTGTGCCTGTTGGGGCTGATATTTATAAAAGTTTTTCTTAATGAAGTTGGGTATCATCTGTCCTTTTATTGTAATTTTTTCCAACAGTATCCTATCCTTTTTTGGTATCTCTTTTTAAAGTCCTACCTCTTATTTCTTACAAAGATACAATAAAACCAGAAAAGTGCTTCTAACCCTTTTTCTTCATTAGTGAATCATTCAATAAATGTTTGTCAAATACTTAATCCGTGAAGTCTATACAACTACTGAGGAAACCAAACGTAAGTTGATTCCCCACACCACATTGGATAGGTACCCCTTTTGTTTTCCAAAATTACCTTCTTGTCTGTTGTCTCTGAACAGAAATGGATTTTGCTTGCCTTAGACGAATGGCACGACATTGATTTGCAATGAGGTATGACATTATTGGATTAAAGGAGATTTACAGGAAAAGGAGGTACAAAGATGCAAAAATCTGCAAATGAAAATCCTCAGCCCCTTGACTGGCTGATCTGCTGTTTTTGACTTTTTAATAAAAACTATTCTAACTAGTTCGATATGGTATCACACTTTGACTTTGTTGAAGAGCAGGTGGTTGTAGGTATGCAATGTTGTTTCTCGGTTCTCTATCTTGTTCCATTGGTCTACGTGTCTGTTTTTGTATCTTTACCATGTTGTTTTGGTTACTGAGCCTTGTAGTATAGTTCGATTTTGGGTGGTGTGATACCTCTGCTTTGTTCTTTTTGTTTAGGATTGCTTTGGTGATTTGGGCTCTTTTCTGGTTCCATAGAAATTTTAGAATAGATTTTTCTGCTTCTGTGAAAAATTACATTAGTAGTTTGATGGAAATAGCATTGGATGTGTAAATTGCTTTGGGCAGTGTGGCTATTTAACAATATTGAGTCTTCCTACCCATAGGCATGAAATGTTTTTTCATGTGTTGGTGTAGTCTCAGATTTCTTTCATCAGTGTTTTGTAATTCTCATTGTAGAGATCTTTCACCTCCCTGGTTAGCTGTATTCATAGTTAATTTATTCTTTTTGTGGCTATTGTGAATGAGACTGCATTCCTGATTTGGCTATCAGCTTAGATGTTATAGGTATATAGAAATTATACTGATTTTTGCATGTCAATTATGTGTCCTAAAGCTTTATCAAAGTTGTTTATCAGTTCTAGGAATATTTGGGCCACAGACTATGAGGTTTTCTAGGTATAAAATCAAATCATTTGCAAAGAGACATAGTTTGACTTCCTCTCTTCCTGTTTGGATGTGTGTCCCCCCACCCCCACCCCCAACCTTGCCTGATTACTCTGGCTAGTACTTCCAGTACTATGTTGAATAGAAGCGGTGAGAGTAGGCATCTTTGTCTTGTTCTGTTTCTCAAGGAAAATACTTCTAGCTTTTGCCCATTCAGTATGATCTTGGGAACGGATTTGTCATAGATAGCTCTAGTTATTTTTAGGTATGTACTTTTGATCCTTAGTTTGTTGAAGATTTTTAACATGAAGGCATGTTGAAAGACTTTTCTATGTCTATTGAGATGATCATGTGGTTTTTAGATCTTTTTATGTGATAAAACACTTTTACTGATTTGTGTATGTTAAACCAACCTTATATTCAAGGAATAAAGACTACGTAATCATTGTGGATTAGCATTATTATGTGCTGCTGGATTTGGTTTGAGGAATTTTGTATCTGTGTGTATTAGGGATATTGACCTGAAGTTTTATTTTTTCATTTGCCTCTGCTAGGTTTTGGTATCAGAATAATGCTGACCTCATAGAATGAGTTAGGGAGGAGTCCCGTCTCCTCAACTTTTTGGAAGAGTGTCAGTAGGATTAGTATCAGCTCTTTTTTATACAGCTGGTAGAATTCAGGTATGAATCCTTTTAGTCCAGGGCTTTTTCTGTTTGGTAGGTTTTTTACTACTAATTCAATTTTGGAACTCATTATTGGTCTGTTCAGGGTTTCAGTTTTTTCCCTGTTCACTCTTGGGTGGTTGTATATTTCCAGGAATTTATCTATTTCTTCTAGGTTTTCTAGTTTGTGTGCATAAAAGTGTTCGTAGCAGTCTCTAGGTTATTTTTTTCTTTTACATATATGTTGGTTCTATGGTAATGTCATCTTTGTCATTTCTGATTGTGTGTATTTGGATCTTCTCTCATTTTTTCTTTATTAGCCTAGTTATCACTCAATTTATCTTATTTATTCTTTAAAGAACTAACTTTTGGTTTCATTGATCTTTTGTATGGCTTTTCTCATCTCCATTTTGTTCAGTCAGGTCAGATTTTGGTTTTTTTCTTCCATCAGCTCTGTGATTGGTTTGCCTTTGTTTTTCTAGTTCTTCTAGATGTGTCTCTTAAAGACATCCTACACTTGGATGTTGCCTCTTCATTCGACTTGCCACTCTATGCCTTTAAATGGGGTGTTTATCCCATTTACTTTCAAGATTAACATTGTTATGTGTGGATTTTGTCCTGTCATTATGTTTTTAATTTGTAGGTTGTTAATTTGAGAGCTTTCTAACTTTTTGATGTAGGCCTTCAGTGCTATGAACTTTCCTCTTAACATTGCTTTAGCTGGTTTGCAAAGATTCTGGTATGTTGTATCTTTGTTTTTTTTGGTTTCAAATAATATTTCGATTTCTTCTTTAGTTTCATTGTTTACCCAAAAACCCTTCAGGAGAAGATTGTTAAATTTCTATCTACTTGTATAGTTTTGGTAGATCTTCTTTGTATTGGTTTTTATTTTTATTGCACTGTGGTTCAATAGTGTGGTAGGTATGATATTGTTTTTCTTTTCTTTGTTGAGAATTGCTTTATGGTTGAGTGTGTGGTCCACTTTAAATGTGTGCCTTGTGCGAATGAGAAGAATGTATGTTCTCTTATTGTTGGTTGGAGTGTTCTGTAGAGATCTGTTAGCCCTTATTGGTCAAGTGTCGAGTTTGTCTCAAATATCGTCATTAGTTTTCTACCTCAATGATGTAATACTGTTCATTGGATGTTGAAGTCTCTCACTATAATTGTGTGGTTATCTCAATCTCTTTGTAGATCTCTTAGAACTTATTTTATGACTCTGAGTGCCCTAGTGTTGGGTGAATATGTATTTAGGATAGTTAAGTTTTCTTGTTGAATAGGACACTTTATCATTATGTAATGCCTTTCTTGTCCTTTTTGATCATTGTTGGTTTAAAATTTGTTTTGTCAGAAATAAGAGTAGCAAACCCTACTGATATGGTTTGGAAATGTGTCATCACCCAAATCTCATGTCAAATTGTCATCCCGACTGTTGAAGGTGGGGTCTGGTGGAAGGTGACTGGATCCTGGGGGTGGAGTTCTCAAGCATGGTTTAGCACTATACTCCCTTGGTACTGTATAGTGAATGAGTTCTCATGAGATATGTTTCTTTAAAAGTGTGTGGCACCTCCTCCTTCTCTCTCTCTTCCTCCTGCTCTGGCCTTGTAAGATGTGCCAGCTTCCTCTTCACTTTCTGCCATAATTGTATGTTTCCTGAGGTCTCCCCTGAAGTGAAGCAGATGCTGCCAGAATTATACTTCCCATACAGACTGCAGAACTGTGAGCCAATTACACGTCTTTTCTTTGTAAATTACCCAGTCTCAGGTATTTCTTCATAGCAATGTGAGAGCAGACTAATACACCTGCTATTTTTTTTGTTTTCGATTTGCTTCATACATTTTTCTCCATTCCTTTACTTTGAGCCTATGGGTGTCATTGCATGTGAGATGGTTCTCTTGAAGACAATACACAGTTGGATATTGCCTCTTTTTTTTTTTTTTTTTTTTTGAGATAGAGTCTCGCTCTGTTGCCCAGGCTGAAGTGCAGTGGCATGATCTCGGCTCACTGCAAGATCTGCCTCCCAGATTCACGCCATTCTCCTGCCTCAGCCTCCCGAGTAGCTAGGACTACGGGCACCTGCCACCATGCCCAGCTAATTTTCTGTATTTTTAGTAGAGATGGGGTTTCACCATGTTAGCCAGGATGGTCTCAATCCCCTGACCTCGAGATCTGCCCGACTTGGCCTCCCAAAGTACTGGGATTACAGGTGTGAGCCACCGCGCCCAGCCTGGATCTTGCCTCTTTATCCAACTTGCCACTGTGTCTTTAAGTGAGATGTTTAGCCCATTTACTTTCAAGATTAATACTGATATCTGTGGATTTTATCCTATCATCATGTTGTTAGTTTGCTGTTATGTAGAATTTATTGTGTAATTGTTTTATAGTGTCAATGGTCTATTTACTTAAGAGTGTTTTTGCGGTTGCTGGTACTGGTTTTTCATTTCCATGCTTGGCAGTTCCTTAAAGAGCTCCTGTAAGGCAGGTCTGGTGGTAAAAAATCCCTTAACATTTGCTTATCTGAAAAGGATGTTATTTCTCCTTTGCTTATGAAGCTTACTTTGACAGAATATTAAATTATTGGATGGAATTTCTTTCCTTTAAGGATGCTGGATATAGGTCTCCAATCTCTTCTAGCTTGTAGGATTTCTGCTGAAAGGTCCACTGTTGGCCTTATCCGTTTTTTGTTTTGTTTTTTACCTGCCTCTTCTCTTTAGCTGCCTTTGATTTTTTTTCTTTCACATTGACCTATGAGACTCTTATGACTATGTGTCTTGGGGATGTTAATCATGTATAGTATTTCACAGGGGTTCCCTGAATTTCCTGAATTTGAATGTTGACCTCTGAATGGTGAGGTTGGGAAAATATTAATAAACAATATCCTCATATATGTTTTCCAAGTTGCTTGCTTTCTCACCCTCTATTTTGGGGATGCCAATGAGTCATAGGTTTAGTCTCCTTACATAATCACATATTTCTCAGAGGCTCTGTTCACTTTTCAAATTATTTTTTCTTTATTTTAGTCTGACCGAGTTGATGCGAAGAACTGGTTTTTGAGCTCTAAGATTCTTTCATCAGCTGGGTGTATTCTGCTGTTAATGCTTCCAATTATATTATGAATATTTTTATATACTTTAAGTTCTAGGGTACATGTGCTTAACATGGATGTTTGATACATAGGTATACATGTGCCATGTTGCTTTGCTGCACCCATCAACTCGTCATTTACATTAGGTATTTCTCCTAATGCTATCCCTCCCCCAGCCCCCTACCCTCCAACAAGCCCTGGTGTGTGATGTTCCCCACCCTATGTCCAAATGTTCTCATTGTTCGATTCCCATCTATGAGTGAGAACATGCGGTGTTTGGTGTTCTGTCCTTGTGATAGTTTTCTGAGAACGATGATTTCCAGCTTCATCCACGTCCCTGCAAAGGACATGAACTCATCCTTTTATATGGCTGCATAGTATTCCATGGTGTATATGTGACACATTTTCTTAATCCAGTCTATCATTGATGGACATTTGGGTTGGTTCCAAGACTTTGCTATTGTGAATAGTGCCTCAATAAACATATGTGTGCATATGTCTTTATAGTAGCATAATTTATAATCCTTTGGGTATGTACCCAGTAATGACATTGCTGGGTCAAATGGTATTTCTAGTTCTAGATCTTTGAGGAATCGTCACACTGTCTTCCACAATGGTTGAACTAATTTACACTGCCACCAAGAGTGTAAAAGCACTCCTATTTCTCCACATCCTCTCCAGCATCTGCTGTTTCCTGACTTTTTAATGATCGCTATTCTAAGTGGTGTGAGATGGTATCTCATGGTGGTTTTGATTTGCATTTCTCTAATGACCAGATGAGCTTTTTCTCATGTGTCCACAGGCTGCATAAATGTCTTCTTTTGAGAAGTGTCTCTTCGCATCCTTTGCCCACTTTTTGATGGGGTTTGTTTGTTTTTTTCTTGTAAATTTGTTCGAGTTCTTTGTAGATTCAGGATACCAGCCCTTTGCCAGATGGGTAGATTGCAAAAATTTTCTCCCATTCTGCAGGTTGCCTGTTCACTATGACGGTAGTTTCTTTTGCCATGCAGAAGCGCTTTAGTTTAATTAGATCCCATTTGTCTATTTTGGCTTTTATTGCCATTGCTTTTGGTGTTTTAGTCATGAAGTCCTTGCCCATGCCTATGTTCTGAATGGTATTGCCTAGGTTTTCCTCTAGGGTTTTTATGGTTTTAGGTGTAAGATTTAAGATGAGAGTGGGGGCTGGGCATGGTGGCTCACGCCTATAATCCCAGCACTTTGGGAGGCTGGGGTGGGTAGATCACAAGGTCAGGAGATTGATACCATCCTGGCTAACATGGTGAAACCCTGTTTCTACTAAAATATAAAAAATTAGCTGGGCATGGTGGCAGGCACCTGTAGTCCCAGCTACTCAGGAGGCTGAGGCAGGAGAATGGCATGAACCTGGGAGGCAGAACTTGCAGTGAGCCGAGATCATGCCACTTCACTCCAGCCTGGGCGACAGTGTGAGACTCTGTCTCAAAAAAAAAAAAAAAAAAAAAAGAGAGAGAGTGGGTGCCAATATTCAACATTCTCAAAGAAAAGAATTTTCAACCCAGAATTTCATATCCAGCCAATCTAAGCCTCATAAGTGAAGGAGAAATAAAATCCTTTACAGACAAGCAAATGCTGACAGATTTTCTTACCACCAGGCCTGCCTTACAGGAGCTCCTGAAGGAAGCACTAAACATGGAAAGGAACAACTGGTACCAGCCACTGCAAAAACATGCCAAATGGTAAAGACCATAGATGCTATGCAGAAACTGCATCAATTAATGGGCAAAGTAACCAGCTAACATCATAATGACAGGATCAAATTCACACATAACAATATTAACCTTAAATGTAAATTGGTTAAATGCCCCAATTAAAACACACAGACTGGCAAATTGGATAAAGAGTGAAGACCCATCAGTGTGCTGTAATCAGGACATCCATCTCACGTGCAGAGACACACATAGGCTCAAAATAAAGGGATGGAGGAAGATCTACCAAGCAAATGGAAAGGAAAAAAAAGCAGGGGTTGCAATTCTAGTCTCTGATAAAACAGACTTTAAACCGACAAAGATCAAAAGAGACAAAGAAGGCCATTACATAATGGTAAAGGGATCAATTCAACAAGAAAAGTTAACTATCCTAAATATACATGCACCCAATACAGGAGCACCCAGATTCATAAAGCAAGTCCTTAGAGATCTACAAAGAGACTTAGACTCCCACACAATAATAATGGAAGACTTTAACACCCCACTGTGAATATTAAACAGATCAATGAGACAGAAGGTTAACAAGGATATCCAGGACTTGAACTCAGCTCTGCACCAAGTGGAGCTAATAGACATGTACGGAACTCTCCACCCCAAATCAACAGAATATACATTCTTCTCAGCACCACATCACACTTGTTCTAGAATTGACGACATAATTGGAAGTAAAGCACTCCTCAGCAAATATAAAAGAACAGAAATCACAACAAACTATCTCTCAGACCACAGTGCAATCAAATTAGAACTCAGGATTAAGAAACTCACTCAAAACTGCACAACTACATGGAAACTGAACAATCTGCTCCTGAATGACTACAGGGTAAATAACAAAATGAAGGCAGAAATAAAGATGCTCTTTGAAACCAAGGAGAACAAAGACACAACAGACCAGAATCTCTGGGACACATTCAAAGCAGTGTGTAGAGGGAAATTTTAGCACTAAATGCCCACAAGAGAAAGCAAGAAAGATCTAAAATCGACACCCTAACAACACAATTAAAAGAACTAGAGAAGCAAGAGCAAACAAATTCAAAAGCTAGTAGAAGGCAAGAAATAACTAAGATCAGAGCAGAAATAACTAAGATCAGAGCAGAAATGAAGGAAATAGAGACACAAAAAACCCTTCAAAAAATCAATGAATCCAGGAGCTGGTTTTTTGAAAAGATCAACAAAATTGATAGACCCCTAGCAAGACTAATAAAGAAGAAAAGAGAGAAGAATCAAATAGATGCAATAAAAAATAATAAAGGGGATATCACCACAGATCCCACAGAAATACAAACTACCATCAGAGAATACTATAAACACCTCTACACAAATAAACTAGAAAATCTAGAAGAAATGAATAAATTCCTTGACACATACACCCTCCCAAGACTAAACCAGGAAGAAGTTGAATCTCTGAATAGACCAATAACAGGCTCTGAAATTGAGGCAATAATTAACAGCCTACCAACCAAAAAGTCCAGGACCAGACAGATGCACAGCCAAATTCTACCAGAGGTACAAAGAGGAGCTGGCACCATTCCTTCTGAAACTATTCCAATCAATAGAAAAAGAGGGAATCCTCCCTAACTCATTTTATGAAGCCAGCATCATCCTGATACCAAAGCCTGACAGAGACACAACAAAAAAAGAAAGTTTTAGACCAGTATCCCTGATGAACATCGATGCAAAAATCCTCAATAAAATACTGGCAAACTGAATCCAGCAGTACATCCAAAAGCTTATCCACCACAATCGAGTCGGCTTCATCCCTGGGATGCAAGGCTGGTTCAACATACACAAATCAATAAACACAATCCATCACATAAACAAAACCAACGACAAAAACCACATGATTATCTCAATAGATGCCGAAAAGGCTTTTGACAAAATTCAACAGCACTTCATGCTAAAAACCTCAGTAAACTAGGTACTGATGGAACGTATCTCAAAAAAATAAGAGCTATTTATGACAGTCCCACAGCCAATATCATACTGAATGGGCAAAAACTGGAAGCATTCCCTTTGAAAACCAGCACAATACAAGGATGCCCACGCTCATCACTCTTATTCAACATAGTGTTGGAAGTTCTGGCAGGGGCAATCAGGGAAGAGAAAGAAATAAAGGGTATTCAATTAGGAAAAGAGGAAGTAAAATTGTCCCTATTTGCAGATGACATGATTGTATATTTAGAAAACCCCATCGTCTCAGCCCAAAATCTCCTTAAGCTGATAAGCAACTTCAGCCAAATCTCAGGATACAAAATCAATTGCAAAAATCACAAGCATTCCTATACACCAAGAACAGACAAGCAGAAAGCCAAATCATGAGTGAACTCCCATTCACAACTGCTACAAAGAATAAAATACCTAGGAATCCAACTTACAAAGGATGTGAAGGACATCTTCAAGGAAAACTACAAACCACTGCTCAATGAAATAAAAGAGGACACAAACAAATGGAAGAACATTCCATGCTCATGGATAGGAAGAATCAATATCATGAAAATGGCCATATTGCCCAAGGTAATTTATAGATTCAATGCCATCCCCATCAAGCTACCAATGACTTTCTTCACAGAATTGGAAAAAAACTACTTTAAAGTTCATGTGGAACCAAAAGGAGACCGCATTGCCAAGACAATCCTAAACAAAAAGAACAAAGCTGAAGGCATCATGCTACCTGACTTCAAACTTTACTACAAGGCTACAGTAACCAAAACAGCATGGTACTGGTATCAAAACAGAGATATAGACCAATGGAACATAACAGAGCCCTCAGAAATAACACCACACATCTACAACCATCTGATCTTTGACAAACCTGACAAAAACAAGAAATGGGGAAAGGATTCCCTATTTAATAAATGGTGCTGGGGAAACTGGCTAGCCATATGTAGAAAGCTGAAACTGGATCCCTTCCTTACACCTTATAGAAAAGTTAATTCAAGGTGTATTATGAAATTTTTGTAGTGAGTTTTCAGTTCTCTGAGATCAATTTTGTTCTCTTTGAAAACGGCTATTTTATCTTTCAACTCTTGAATAGTTTACTGAATCCTGCCAGGACTTCCCTGCATTTTAGTGCTGAACTGGACCCAGAGCCAGTAGACTTGTGGGGCATGTGACCTACTGAGATACCAGCTAAGGTGGCTAAAGGAGTTCTGGCATCACCCCTTCCCTAACCCTAGTCTGCACACAGCTCATGGCAACAAAAGGGACCCCTTCCTTCCAGTTAAAAAGAGGAGAGGAAAAAATAGGGAGGACTTTGTCTTGCATCCCAGATACCAACTCAGCCATAGCAGAATAGGACATTGAGTAGAGTTGTGAGGACCCTTTTCCAGGCCCTAACTCCCAGATAGCATTTCTAGACACACCATGGGCCAGAAGGAAAACCACTTCTGTGAAGGGAAGTCCTTGCAGGATTCATCACCTGCTAATTTAAGAGCCTTTGGACCCTGAATAACTAGTAGCTATGCCCAGGTACTACGTCAAGGGCCTCAGAAGACTGAGACTTGCTGGCTTCATGTGAGACTCAGCACATTCACAGCTTTAGTGGCTAAGAGACAAGACTTCTTCTGCTTGAGAAAGACTGAGAGAAGAGTACCAGAGACTTCGTCTTGAACTTTAGGTACCAGGTCAGCAACAGGAGGGAAGAGCACCAGGAAGGTTCTTGGGGTCCCCGATTCAAGGACATGGTTCTTGGATGGCATTTTTGGATCTGCCCTGGGCCAAAGGGGCACCTTTTGCCTTGAATGGTGAGTCCCAGGGCAGGCAGCATTCACCATAAGCTGATGAAAGAGCCCTTGGGCCTTAAGGGAATATTAGCAGTAGTCTAGCAGTCCTCCCTGTAGGCCTGTGGTGGTGGCAGCCATGTGGTGAGGCTCATCTGCCTTTGGATATATGAAGCAAGAGTAGGAATGACTGTGTCCTGTGGGTTGAGTGCTAGCTCAGCTGCAGTATGATAGAACACCAATTAGACTCCTAAGATTCTTGATTCTAGTCCCTGGCTCCTGGACTGTACCTTCAAACCTGCCTGGAAGCCTGGGGGAACTCACTTCCTAGAAGGAAAAAACACAGGCCTAGTTGACTTTGCCACCTGTTGACTGTAGAACACCAGGGTCCTGAGCAAACATAGACAGTAGCCCAAGAGTAGCAGGCCCATGCTGTGCTGGCTTCAGACCTGACCAGTGCAGTAATAGTGGTAGTGGGCGCAGTGGTGCTGTGTCATTCCACCTTGAGCTTCAGTTGGCTCATAACAGACAGAGAGACTCTATTTGTTTGGGAAAAAGTGGGGGAAAAGAACAAGAGTCTCTGCCTGGTCATTCAGAGAATTCTAGATCTTGTCCAAGATCATCAAGGCACTACCTCTACAAGTCTGGAAGAACCACAGAATTATTGGGTTCTTCCACATTTTTTTCTACAGCACCCATATTTTTTCTGAAATATCTGGAAAGCCTTCCATAGAAGGATGAGTACAAACAAGTCCAGATGGTGAAGACTGCTATAAATACCTAAATCTTCAATTTCCCAGAAACAAACATCTGCAAGTATCCAGACAATCCAGGAAAACATAGTCTTACCAAACGAACAAAATAAGGTACCAAGGACCAGTCCTGGAGAAATAGAGATGTGCGATCTTTCAGACAGAGAATTCAAAATGCCTACGTTGAAGAAACTCAAAGAAATTCAAGATAACACAGAGAAAGAATTAAGAATTCTATCCGATAAATTTCACAGAGTTTAAAATAATTAAAAAGGATCAAGCAGAAATTCTGGAGCTGAAAAAAATGCAATTGGCATGCTGAAGAATGCATGAAAGTCTTTCCCTAGCAGAACTGCACAAGCAGAATAAAGAATTAATGAGCTTGAAGACAGGCTAATGAAAATACACAGTCAGAGAACACAGAAGAAAAAAGAATAAAAAACAATGAACCATTCCTACAGGATCTAGAAAATTACCTTAAAAGGGCAAATTTAAGATTCATTTACTTCAAAGAGGAGGTAGAGAAAGAGACAGAGGTAGAAAGCTTATTTAAAGGGATAATAACAGGGAATTTCCCAAACCTAGAGAAAGATATCAATATTCAAGTACAAGAAGATCATAGAACACCAAGCCAATTTAACCTGAAGAAGACTACCTCAAAGCTTTTAATTATCAAAGTCCCAAAAATCAAGGATAAAGAAAGGATCCTTAAAGCAGCAAGAGAACCTAAACAAATAACATACAATGGAGCTCCAGATACATTTGGCAGCAGACCTTTCAGTGGAAATCTTAGAGGCCATGAGAGAGTGGCATAATGTATTCAAAGTGCTAAGGAAAAAAGATACTTTTACCCTAGAATAGTATATCTGGTGAAAATATCTTTCAAACATCAAGAAGAAATAAAGACTTTCCCAGACAAACAAAAGTTGAGGGAGTTCATGAACATCAGACCTGTATAAAAAGAAATGCTAAAGGGATTACTTCAATCAGAAAGAAAAGGACATTAACAAGTAGTAAGTAATCATCTGAAGGTACAAAACTCACTGATAATAGTCAGTATACAGAAATACAGAAAAACACAGAATATGATTACACTGTAACTGTGGTGTATAAACTACTCTTATCCCAAGTAGAAAGACTAACTGATAAACTAATCCAAAATAATTAACTACAACAACTTTTCAGGACATAGTCAGTATGATAAGATATAAATAGAAACAATAAAAAGTTAAAAAGTGGGGGGACAAAGTTAAAGCATAGAGTTTTTATTAGTTTTCTTTTTGCTTGTTTGTAGTTTGTTTATGCAAAAGTTTTGTTATGAGCTTAAAATAGGAGATTATAAGACAATATTTGCAAGACTTATGGTAACCTCAAACCAAAAAACATACAACAGATAACACAAAAAAGAAACAGCAAAAAACTAAATCATATAACCAAAGAAAATCACTGTCACTATAGAAAGACAGGAAGGAAGGAAAGAAGTAAGAGAAGACCACAAAACAACCAGAAAACAATGAAATGGCAGGAGTACTACTTATCAATAATAACATTGAATGAAAATGGACTAAACCTGCCAATCAAAAGATGTGGCTAAATGCACAAGACCCATTGATGTGCTGCTATAAGAAACACACTTCACCTATAAAGACACTCATAATCTGAAAACAAAGAGATGGACAAAGGTATTCCATGCCAATGGAAACAACAAAACAAGCAGGAGTAGCTATACTCATATCAGGCCAAAATAGATTTCAAGACAAAAACTATAAGGAAAAACAAAGCCAGTGAGTATATCATGATAAAGGGGTCAATTTAACAAGAGAATATAACAATTTTAAGTATATATGCACCAAACGCTGGAGCATCCAGATATATAAAGCAAATATTATTAGAGCTAGAGAGAGAGACTGCAATACAATAATGGCTGGAGACTTCAATACCCCACTTTCAGCATTGAACAGATCTTCCAGACAGAAAAGCAACAAAGAATCATTGGGCTTAATCTGCACTATAGACCAAATGGATCGAATAGATATTTACAAAATATTGCATCCAATGGCTGCAGAATACATATCCTTTTCCTCAGCTCATGGATTATTCTCAAGAATAGACCATATGTTAGGTAACAAAACAAGTCTTAACACATCTAAAAAATTAAAATAATATCAAGCATCTTCCCTAACCACAATGGAATAAAACTAGAAATTAACAAGACAGTTTTTGGAAACTATAAGAATACATGAAAATTAAACAATGTGGTCCTGAATGACTAATGTGTCAATGAAAAAATTACGAAGGAAATTGAAAAACTTTTTGAGACAAATGATAATGAAAATACAACATAGCAAAACCTATGAGATACAGCAAAAGCAGTACTAGCAGGGAAATTTATGGCTATAAGTGCCTACATTAAAAAAAAGAAAAACTTCAAAGAAACAACCTAATGACTAATCTTAAAGAAGTAGAAAAGAGCAAACCAAACCTAAAATTAGAAGAAAATAAATAATAAAGAGCAGAGTAGAAATAAATGAAATTGAAATGAAAGTAACAATACAAAAGATCAATGAAACAAAAGTTGTTTTTTAAAAAATTAAACAAAATTAACAAACCTTCAGTCAGACTAAGAAAAAAGAAAGTATTCAAATAAACAAAATCAGAGATGAAAAAGGAGACATAATGGGTACTGCAGAAATTCAAAGGATCATTAGTGGCTACTATGAAAAACTATATGCCAATACATTGAAAAATCTGGAAGAAATGGAAAAATTCCTAGACACATACAACCTACCAAGATTGGACAACGAAGAAATCCAAAACCTGAACAGACCAATAACAAGTAATGATAGTGAAGCCATAAGAAAAAGTCTCCCAGTAAAGAAAAGCCTGGGACGCAACGACTTCACTGTTTAATTTAAAGAAGAGGTTATACCAATTATATTCAAACTATCCTTAAAAATAGAGTAGGGAGGAATACTTTCAACCTCAGTTAATGAGGCCTGTATTACCTTGATCAAAATCAGACAATGACACATAAAAAAGAAGAAAGCTACAGGCTCATACCTCTGATGAGTATTGATGTAAAAACTCTCAAGAAAATACTAGCAAACCAAATTCAACGGTACATTAAAAAGACCATTCACCATGACCAAGTGGGATTTATCTCTGGGATTCAAGTATGGTTCAACCTACGAAAATTAGTCAATGTGATACTTCATATCAACAGAATGGAGGACAAAAGCCATATGGTCATTTCAGCTAATGCTGTAAAAGCATTTGATAAAATTCAACATCCCTCCATGATAAAAACCCTAAAAAAACTGGGTAAGGAAGAAACATATCTCAAGATAATAAAAGCCATATACAACAAACCCACAGTTTTTATGACACTGAATTGGAAAAAAACCTGAAAGCCTTTAAGAACTGGAACATGACAAGGATGACCACTTTCACCACTGTAACTCAACATAGTATTGGATGCCCTAACTAGAGCAATCAGACAAGAGAAAGATATAAAGGGCATCCAAATTGGAAAGCAAGAAGTCAATTTATCATTATTTGCAGATTATATGATCTTATATTTCAAAAAACCTAAAGACACCACCAAAAAAACAATGAAAACTGATAAGCCAACTTAGTAAAGTTGTAGGATATAAAATCAACATACAAACATCAGTAACATTTCTGTATGCCTACAGTGAACAATGTGAAAAATAAAAGTAATCCCATTTCCAACAGCCACAAATAAAATTAAATACTCAAGAATTAACTAAAAAAGTGAAAGATCTCTATAATGAAAATTATAAGACACTGATGAAGGAAATTGAAGAGGACAGAAAAATATGGAAAGATATTCCATCTTCATGGATTGGAAGAATCAATATTGTTAAAATGTTCATACTGCCCAGAGCAATCTACAGATTCAATGCAATCTCCATCAAAATACTAATGACATTCTTCACAGAAATAGAAAAAAATAAAGCTATCCCAAAATTTATTTGAAACCACGAAAGACCCAGAATAGCCACAGCTATCCTGAGCAAAAAGAACAAAACTGGAGGAATCACATTACCTAACTTCAAATTACAGATCAATAGCAACCAAAACAGCATGGTAGTGGCATAAAAACAGACACATAGGCCGGGCGCGGTGGCCGACGCCTGTAATCCCAGCACTTTGGGAGGCCAAGGCGGGCGGATCATGAGGTCAGGAGATAGAGACCATCCTGGCTAACACGGTGAAAAACCGTCTCTACTAAAAAAATAAAAAATAAAAATTAGCCTGGCATGTTGGCGGGCGCCTGTAGTCCCAGCTACTGGGGAGGCTGAGGCAGAAGAATGGCGTGAACCCGGGAGGCGGAGCTTGCAGTGAGCTGAGTTCGCGCCACTGCACTCCAGCCTGGGCGACAGAGAGAGACTCGTCTGAAAAACAAAACAAAACAAAACAAAAACAAAAATAGACACATAGACCAGTGGAACAGAATAGAGAACCCAGAAAGAAATCCACACACCTTTAGTAAACTCATATTCAACAAAGATGTCAAGGACATACACCAAAGAAAAGACAATCTCTTCAATAATTTATGCTGGGAAAACTGGATATCCATATGCAAAAGAATGAAACTAGGCCCCTATCTCTTGACATATACAAAAATCAAATCGAAGTGGATTAAATACTTACATCTAAGACTTCAAACTATAAAACTACTACAAGAAACATTGGGGAAACTCTCCAGGACATTGGTCTGGGCAAAAATTGTTTGGGTAATACCCCTCAAGCACAGGGAACAAAAGCAAAAATGGGTAAATGGGATCATGTCAAGTTAAAAAGGTTCTGCACAGCAAAGGAATCCATAAACGAAGTGAAGACACAACATAGAGAATGCAAGAAGATACTTGCAAACTACCCATCTGACAAAGGATTAATAACTAGAAAATATAAGAAGCTTAAACAACTCTATAGGAAAAAATCTAATTATCCAATCAAAAAATGGGCAAAAGATTTGAATAGACATTTCTCAAAAAAGACATATGAATGGAAAACAGTCATATGAAAAGGTGCTCAACATCATGGATCATCAGAGAAATGCAAATCAAAACTACAATGACATCATCTCACTCCAGTTAAAATGGCTTATGTCCAAAAAACAGTCAGTAACAAATGCTGGCAAGGATGTGCAGGAAAGGAAGTCCTTGTACATTGTTGGTGGGATTGTAAATTCGTACAACCACTAAGGAGAACACTTTGGGGTTCTCAGAAAACTTAAAAATTAAGCTACTATATGATCCAGCAATCCCACTGCTGGGTATATACCCAAAAGAAAGAAATCAATATACCGAAGAGATATTCCCACTCCCATGTTTGTTGCATTGCTTTTCACAATAGCCAAGATTTGGAAGCAAGCCAAGTATCCATCGACACATGAATGCATAAAGAAAATGTGGTACTTTTACACAATGGAGTTCTATTCAGCCATAAAAATAATGAGATCCTGTCATCCGCAACAACTTGGATGGAACTGGAGATCATTATGTTAAGTGAAATAAGCCAAGCATATTAAAACAAACATTGCATGTTCTCACTTATTTGCAGGATCTAAAAATCAAACCAATTGAATTCATAACTGTAGAGAGTAGAGGATCTCTACCAGAGTCTGGGAAGTGTAGTGGGGCAGGGTGATAGGGGTGAGGTGAGGATGTTTAACGAGTACAAAAAATATAGTTAGAAAGAATGAATGAGACCTAATATTTAATAGCACAAAGGGAAGATTATAGTCAATAATAATTTAATTGTACTTCTTAAAATTACTGAAAGTGTATAATTGGATTGTTTGTAATACAAAGAGTAAATGCTTGAGTAGATAGATACCCCTTCTCCATCTGATCATTATGCACTGCATGTCTGTATCAAGGCATCTCATGTACCCCGTAAACATATACTCCTACTATGTACCCACAAAAATTAAAAATAATAAAAATTTAATAAATAAGAAAAGCTGGATATCCATTCTCTAAGACTTCAGTGTTACAGAGGGAATTTTATATATACATGCACAAGTGTATATGTTCGAGAATGTTCCGATCGGGCGCGGTGGCTCATACCTGTAATCCCAGCACTTTGGGGAGCCGAGGTGGGTGGATCACCTGAGGCCAGGAGTTCAAGACCTGCCTGTACAACATGGTGAGACGCTATCTCTACTAAAAATGCAAAAATTAGCCAGGCATAGTGGTGTGTGCCTGTAGTCCCAGCTAGTTGGGAGGCTGAGGCATGAGAATTGCTTGAACCTGGGAGGCAGAAGTTGCCTTGAGCCGAGATCATGCCACTTCACTCCAGCCTGGGTGATAGAGTGAGACTCTGTCTCATAAAAAAAAAAAAACAGAAAAAAAAAAGAATGTCCTTAATAACATTTCATAAGGTAAACCTGAAAATCCAGATATGTATTAATAGTAGAATGAATTGTTATCTTTAAACAGTAGAATATATATAGCTTACAACTACACACAATGAACTAGATGAATCTTATAAAGATTTTATTAACAAATGAAGCAAGGCATAAAAGAATACAAACAATGTAATTCCATTTAAATAAAGTTTGAAAACAGGCCAAACAAAATTACATTACTTAGGAGCTCACATGTTTATAATAAAATCCTAGAAAATAGTTGTGAAAGTTGTGATATTAGTTGGCTCTAGCAGGGTTGTCAGAAGTTGTCATATACACCTATAGAATTTTAGTAATGCTGAATGTATGTACCTGGGTTGTTACTTGTGCGTTCATCTTGTAATTTATTTATATTGAATATTGTACATTTTATGTTTTTTGTACTCTTCAGTATGTGTCACATTTAATAATTTTGAAAAACAGAGAATGGGATGTAACTAACTAAAATATTGCTTTGAAAGGGAACAAAGATTGTGTTGAAACTGACTGAGACATGGGGTCAAGAGAGATTTCAAGAGTTTTGAGTCACATTTAGAAAGGCCCTCTCCTCTACAGGTTTATGAAGAACATAACCTTGATTTCTTCAAATGCATTTTCATAGTTTTACATTTTATATTTTATCAATTTGGGTGTGGTTCCTTTTTCTTATTTTAGTGTATTGTGTGTGAGGTCTGGTTACAACTTGATCTTTTCCTATATGGCCATCCAGTAGTCCCAACCTACTAAGAAGTCTATCTTTACCCTGTATTATTCCTATAAAGTCTATTTTTTGGACTTTCTATTCTGTTGGTGATCGTTATACACTAGAGTCATTACCACATTTTCTCTACTTCATTTTAGAAATTTCTTTACCTGCTTATTTTGTGCTGAATTCTTATACATTGTTTTGAATCTATGCTTTTGATTTCAATTATTTTAGTAATTCCTTCTAAATTTTAACACATTATTCAGTATTTCTATGTTTTCCTAAGTATATTAGTCCATTTTCATACTGCTATGAAGAAATACTCAAGACTGGGTAATTTATAAAGGAAAAGAGATGTAATGGACTTGTAGTTTCACATGGGTGGGGAGGCCTCACAACCACAGCAGAAGATGAAAGAGGAACAAAGGCACATCTTACATGGTGTCAGGCAAGAGAGCATGTGCAGGGGAATTGCCCTTTATGAAGCCATCAGATCTCAGGCGACTTATTCACTATCATGAAAAAAGCACATGAAAACCCACCCCCATGATTTGATTACCTCCCACCTGGTCCCTCCCACAACACGTGGGCATTATGGGAGCCATAATTCAAGATGAGATTTGAGTGGACACAGCCAAACCGTATCACTAAGCAAGATAAGAAAGTACCACAAGATGGTTATTAATGTGGGTTCTAAATTCAAAAGGCCTTCTGTGGTACTGACCTTAATTTATTTAATTTCAATGCTTTAACAATAATAACTTTAATAATGATAACACTAACATACATTGATAATATTGTTTAAAATAACAATTGCCATAAAACAATACTAAATGTTTATAAGGTTTTTATGAGCAACAGGTGAATTACTACAGTGACCATAATAAAGTGATCCATAATAAATTCCAAATATCTCTTAGCTGGTATGAATAACTATTCATAGTATTAACTAATAAAGATTTTGTACTTGTTTCCTATTGCTGCTATAACAAATTATTACTAATTTTGTGGCTTAAAACAACAGAAGCTTATTATCTTACAGTTTTGGAAATCAGAAGTCTGTGAAGCTTAAATCAAGATGTTAACAAGGCTGCATTCCATCTGCAGGCTCTAGGGGAGAATCTATTGCTTTGCTTTTCATTACATTTAAAACTAGATCAGTTGATTTCACAACAGTAAGACAAAGAAAGTCAGAAAATATAAGCTACTTACTGGTAGTTTCAAGAAATCATCAATGTTTACCTTACAGTGCCTTTTCTTGTTCTTTTGCACCCAGTGACAGATCTCTAACCTGTGAGATCAGAGTATTTGGGGATGAGTGGGATCCAGGGAAGCTGGTGGGGAAGAATATCTGTGGATCACTAATGAAAGCAGCATGCCTCTCTGGTTTTTGGTGGGGGAGATATAATAGCAAAAGTTAAATTAGACTAGAAATCAACTACTTTGTAACATGGTCTAGGTTAACAGTAACAAGGTGTGAAACCTTAAATGACTTAATTTTCTGAGTCTCAGGATTTTAAAAAATTTCTTTAAGATGGGTAATAAAGATATCAATATTTAATTTGGAGATAGAGCTATTCTTTTTACTGATAACATTTCCTTGGATGATAAAATGTATTTTTTTCTTTATAAATTGCACAGCTTGAAAAGGTAATTGTAGGGTATTGCTAGACAAATGCTCAGTTGAATATGCTGGTACCTTCTGAACTTCAGTTCAAATCTAGAAATACTGCTGAGTAGCACCACATCCTATCTGATATGAAAAATTCCTCATATTAAAGCTCTTCAAAGAACAGTAAAAAGAGCAGACACTAAAATTTTTCGGCTTTTTTCTGTATATAAGTAAATCATATTTTGGGTGACTAAAAAAATTCAAGCTCCTATCATATTACCTAAGTGGAAAATTCCTTATATGAGTAAGTACTTATAAGGGAGAAAAACAGAGCTTTGTGTAATGTTTCTATAATTTAAACAAAAAAAATTTTACTGGAGATATACAAAACAAAGTAACAAAAAGTACATAAAAAGATGTAATAAAGTGTGTTTTAATTCTAGTCTTAAAGCAATTCTTAATCTCCTTAGGGAAATTCAGTCTTTCTCTATAGACTTTTAACTTTGAGAAAAATACAAACAAAGGAACTGATTTATGGTTTTCCAAAAATGTTTTTATGGTTAAAATCTGTACAAACAGATATATTTATATAAGTTACATATTTTAAGAAAAATCAGTCATTTTTCATATATAATTGCAAAGAATTAAGATCATTTAACTTTAGCACTATAAGCAAGCATTAAATTAAATGCACTCAGATTTTTGGCACATTATATGGCATTCCTTATACCACATATTTATAAGATCTAAAGGATTATAAACATATTACACATAATAATTAAGTCCAATATAAATTGTGTTCAGGTTATAAAATGCCCTATTTAAGTTGTGCTCTTGGTGAGGGTGAACAGAAAAGAAAAGGCTTCTTCTTTAGCCCTTAAGCCTATGACACAATTTCCATGCTGGTAATTCCTTTCATCTTCTGAAGAATCTCTATTTTATTATAACATTATTGGCTTTCAGCTTGGAATTTCTCTACGCAGATTGTCTATTGACAGTGCCAAGGAAACATCTCACTGTCCACAGAATAGCAGCCTCCACCCAGTTGAAAGCTGCACATTGTTTCCACTTTACCATTGGTACTTCCCTCTGATGGCATCCAGCACACGACCATTAGCCTGAGTGATGCCCAACTGAGCCCAGACTTTGGTCAAGTTCCTTCCGACTGAGCCCAGTTAGGGACACCCTGCCCCCAGAGGAATATAACAAGCCCCCTCCCCTAGCTGCCCTGCAGCTTATTTTTCGTCCAAAAGGTCGCCCCCACCGCAAGTTCCCAGAACTTAGGTGCCACTATAACCACCCCTAAGCTAAACCACATCCTGGTACCCTGAGCCAGGCGGGGGCAAAAACTGACAAACTGCAGGATGTGGCCATACTGGGAGGAAAAGTCTCCACAAATGGCCTTGCCCCCCCGACACCCCCGCACACACACACAAAACCCCTGCAGACCTACTTATACCCCTTAGCCTGTAAGCCCGGTGTCTGCCTCCTCAGATTTCTGTAGAGCAGCCCAGCAGGTTAATAAATTTGCTTGCCGACTTTGGGTCTTCTTGTCCTTTCTCTTGGCTAACCTTATAAGCCCATGTGCATAACTCCCTCTAGGTCAGCGGTCCCCCAACCTATTTGGCATCAGGGACCAGTTTCGTGGAAGGTAATTTTTCCACAGAGGGTTGGCGGGGGTTGGAGGTGGGGTGGCGTTATTGGTTTCTGGTTTATATTGTTCCACAAGGATCACACAACCTAGATCTTTTGCATGCACAGTTCACAATAGGGTTCCCACTCCTGTGAGAATCTAATGTCACTGCTGATCTGACAGGAGGTGGAGCTCAGGCTGTAATGCTCACTTACCTGCTGCTCACCTCCTGCTGTGTGGCCGGGTTCCTAAGAGGCCACAGATCAGAGCTAGTCTATGGCCTGAGGGTTGGGAAGCCCTGCTCTAGGTAACATAATCCCCTTATGAGAAATTAGACAGATGACATTGAGATGCAAGGAAAGCATCTCCTGATGAAACCATCCCAATATCACGCATAAATGAAGGCAGTGATACAATGTCCCTTATACAATTTATAATCTCTTAAAGGAAGCAATAAACATTTAAACTATTGGACTACTGGGATGTACATTTTACCAGATACCAGCATCATAATCTTATAACTCTATATGAAAGTTTGAAAAAATAATTATAAAGTTTATTTAAATGTTGATTGTCCCAAGGTCTACAGTTTCTTTTCTGTTGTGTCATCAGTGACAAAGAGTAAAAAAAGGAAACTCCCATATTTAGCACTTTAGAGTAAAACACATGGATCATCGTTATTAACAGTCCTCTGGGCGTGCTGGAGCTCACTGAGAAGGCTTCTATTTTGAGCTTGGAATGTTGTGCTGAGCTGTGCAGCCTGTTCCTAAAGAGTGATAAATAGAAAGTAAGATCAAGCTTCTTACTGATTGCCTAAATCACTCACTTGTCCTTACTTCTTTTCATCTACAGTAGCAGTAAACAGTTCCTGAATATCTCTCTTCCATTCACGTGCATCTAACCTATTTCTGTAATTATTCACCCTCCTTGTCTTTCTCTAGCTCCAGAAATGGTCATTTCTCATCCCTGGAATATTGGTGTCCCTAGGATTCCAAACCAAAGCTCCCTTCCCCCTTAAACCACACGATCTCCTTGGGCAATCTTAGTCACATCTTGACTTCAATTCTCATACACACACAGGAGACTCTCAGATATATTTCTAAGAGAAGAGGCTGATACAAAAACAGTGTATCTAAGTGACATCGGAATCAGGTGGGCTGTCCAATCTTTACATACATAAGAGAATTTGTTCCAGGTCACCACAGAAGTAGGAGAAAAGAGTGAATACATAAATAACCACATGCTGCTCATACTGCTCTTTAGGAAGGAGCTGCAATCAGAAATATTTTAGAGTAACTTCTGAAAAACTAGTACCTACAAACTGGCAAGCCAAGGGGAAGAATTAGGATGTCATTTGTCTCATTAGGGTGCTGACATAGGAATTTTACACCAGGTCTGAAGAAGCAAAAACACTGCAGATTCCACTCATTTGGAAGGCAGTTTTGTTAATGTGCTAGGCTTGTGTGATATTTGCATTGATTATCTCTTTGAAACCCCACTTATCTCATCTGAAAAATGAGGACACAGTAGTTCTGCTTTACAGTGAATGGATTAGATGAGATAATGCATGTAAAGTGCTATGACAGTGACTGATAAATAATAACTACTGGAGAGTGCTTGGTAACTACTGACAGTGATTGGTAAATAAAAGTAAAGGACCGGATGAAACAAACTGGCAAATTAAAGGCCTTCAGAACAGAGATGATCAAGGCAAGAACAGGGGCATAGACACAGTAACATGAAATCAGATTAACAAAGTATCTATGACCAAAGCAAAAGATCATCCAGGACAATTAACAAGTCAACAGGAAAGACCAGTTACTGCAGCCCAGAAATGCCTTGGTTTTTATTTAACAACATATAGTGCTTACTCTGTATCGGGCACCATTTAAACACAAATATTAACTCATTTAATTATCAAAATAACCCTATAACATAGATATCATCACTGTGTCCATTTTACACAAGAGGAAAATTAGGCACAGAGGTGATAGATAACTTGCCTAAACCATATACTTACTAAGAGGTGGAGCTTGGATTCATACCCAGACTTTCTGGCTCCAGACTCCCTGCTGAGAGCCACAAGATCTTGCTGCCTCTCCCTCTTTGCCACTGCTACATACTCTCATCGTTACAGGCAGGGGAGAGATGAAACAATTGATGAATACCTGCATCTGTTGTTCCTGCATTTTCTGTTGCTCTGCCAGCCAATTTTGTTTGGCTATCTCCATTTGTCTCACTTGTTCCTGATGGAGTCTCTCCCTCTCCTGCATCATTTGCTCGTTCTGCCTTTGAATCGCCGCCAACCTTTGCGCTTCAGCCTTTTCAGCTTCTGCTTTCACTTGTGCCTCTGAGGAGAAAAAGATAATCTTCTCTAGGATTAATGTGCCTCTTCCTTCTGCCTCCCACTTTTGTTTGTGATTGTTCCAACTTCCTGGATAAAATTCCCAGGGGTTGTTTTTCCCTTCCAGGTAACCACAATGCAGGATCATGCCAGTCAGATATGCTTGAGGAGCTAAGAAGCATCTTTGCCATTCTTGCTCTAGTTTAACATCCCATGAGGGCCAGGCCAAATTTATTTAAAATTTATAGATTTCTTTCTATCTTGCATAATTTCCACTTTCTTCTCACCTTTCTTCTTTTTTTCCGTCTCTGTGAGAGCCTGGTCAGTCTGTAATATTGCATGACTCACAGACTCCTTGGACTTTAAATATTTCTGCAGAACTTCTTCAGCCTAGCAACCCGGAAAACATGCAGTTAGATGCAGGAAATGGTGATTAGGAATGTTGTAAACATCTTTGTCTTGTTCCTTCCAGCAGCATCTATTCCTCATAGGAGAGGCTTGCCATAGGAGAGGCTCCATAGGAGAGGTGGAGCCTATACAGGCTTCCACCCTGCACTTGGTGGAACTGCCAATTGAGACTGGAGAGGCTTGTGGAACACCTGCTCCTGTCACAAGTTTGGCCATGACTCCATGGTCAGTCAGAGCATGCAAGTCCACTAGATGCAAAGGACTTGTTCACAGGGAGAAAAATACTGCAAAGAGTATGAAAATTGATGATGCTTTTGTGTTTGAATGACAGATATATGCTGGAGAAAAGATGCTCTCTTTCCCCTGAGACTGAGGGCAGTAAGGACTAGTTAAGCTTGGACCTGTTGGTGTCACCTTTATTGTCATGTGGGGTGAGCCTGCCTGGAAATGAAGCCAATAGTCAGGAAAATGAAACAGAAAAATGACAGAAAGAAGGAGGAAAAGGGATAATATTGTTTAAAATTCTGAATGCATCTATACTTGAAACTAAATTAAAATCTTTTGCTTTTAGTTTGTGTAAGCCAATGAATTACTGGTGTTTCTTAGGTTAGTTTCAAGTATTGGCATTCTGTCCAATGTAACCAAAAAGGCCTCTTTGTTGCAATGAATGTTGATGGTCACAAAGCAAGTCTGGTGATTATGGTGATGGTTCAGTTTAACCCCACTGCTACCATTAGATATAAATTCTGTGCGAGGAACACCAACACCAGGCACATTGTTTTTCCATAAATGCTTATTCAAGAAAAGGATTACTACTAGACAGAGACATAAACCTCATCTGTGTGCCTGTATACATGGCAATTTTCCTGTTCTCACTGGTTTTACAAAGAGGTCCCTCAGCAATTCTCCACAATAGGTAGAACTAGGGATACCTGTATTCCTTTCCGAGGCTCCCGATAGTACTTTGCCTTCAGTTCTTCTGTTTTCTGAATGAAGAGATTATGGCCTCCTGGCTTAGAATAAATTCCCTGCTTCACTGCTTCTTCTAGAGGACCAAAAATATCCTTAAGTAAAGCCGAGCAATAATCCGAGGATGCTTCCAGGTTCCGTTTACAAATGTCATTCTGTTTTGCATCTAGTAGAGTCTTCAAAGAGACAAAAACCCATGGAAAAGATGTTAGCAATACTTCAGTATTTCTGGAAATAATTCTGAAAAAGAATCTATATTTTTTTCTACAAACTTAGAGCAAGACACATATAAGCAAGACTATATCCTTCCCACCAAACCTGGAAAAATTCCAAGGATGATACTCTATAGAAAAATGACATTTACTTTTGGGTTTGAATCTCTTGTTATTTCTGCTATAGGTGTAATCTTCATGCCACAGACCTCTAGCTTCATGCTTTAATTTTAAATGCAGCCTACTAGTTTACAACATTCCTTCCAGTATTTCAGTGTTTTACTCGGGATTTCCAATGATAAAGTTCGAAGCAGAATAGTTGGCTGGAATGATACCAACTTATTCTATTAATCCTGGATACATCATATTTTAGTGGATTAAACTGGTAATTCTATATGCTTAATAAAAAAGAAAATTTAATACTTTGTAAATGCAACTGGCCAAAGACAGAAAATTAATTAAAATTCAGTTCATGGGTATAACATGGTAAATGTATGCATATGGGAAAACTTCAGAATCTACAAGGTCCAGAGTAATTACATGTTTGCTCATTTGTTTTCAGAATAAAAGTGGTGTCATGGCTATATATTATTATTTTCCAATCTAGTATTTTTTTTCTTAGCTAAGTCCTATTTTATCATTCAAAGCAATACTTTGCCTTCTTGACCTTAATCCCCATGAACTAGAAACAAAAATATCACCTCCAATTCTTTCTGGAAACTTTGGTCTACATCCTTGAAAGAGTTTTTCATGAAGACTTCAATGGCCTCCCTCTCACTGGTCCTGTGCAGGTCCAGCAGCTCCTGGAGGGTTTCCATGGGCAGCTGCACTTTCTGGCCCATTTGCTGGTCATAGTGGGCAATGGCCTTTTGCACTGCAGCTGAGTTCTCTCTCTGAGCCAAGGCCAGGACTGCATTCTCTATGCAAGGCAGATCCCCACTGCTGATGGCATTGACATAGGTCAGCACCAGGTTCTTTAGACCTTCATGGAAGAAAGAAACATTTATATTATTTGCAAAGGAAGAAGACATGATTGATACAGTAATTTCTGAGAACGTACATTTAATAGTTGCATTGCCTGAAATTGTTTAGCATTATGGACAGTAGTCAAGTGGCCCAAATAAGTTTATTTGGGAAACTGTGCTATCAGGAAGCCAAGTGTTTCATTCTTTGGGAAAGGAAACTGTGTTCAAATAAGAAAATAGAGGAAATTTCAAGGTGTTTGTGATAGTCTACAGTTCATCCTTCTCTGATGGAGAAATGAGAAGATGATCATATAAAAGTCAAACATATTCATTTGACTACAATGCTATAGGCTTCTGTCTCTTCAATCTTCCCTTTTTCTCTCAGCTTTCTGTTCTCTTCAGAATTCCTTTTTCTTTTTATTTATATATATATTTATTATACTTTAAGTTCTAGGATACAGAATTCCTTTTTCTATTTCACTTTAGTATAGTTAAGCTAGTATGAGCGCTACCCTCCTCTAAAAAAGTGCAAAGTTTGGGAGGCTGAGGCGGGCGGATCACGAGGTGAGGAGATCGAGACCATCTTGGCTAACACGGTGAAACCCCACCTCTACTAAAAATACAAAAAATTAGCCAGGTGTGGTGGCGGGTGCCTGTAGTCCCAGCTACTCAGGAGGCTGAGGCAGGAAAATGGTGAGAACCCAGGAGGCGGAGCTTGCAGTGAGCCAAGATCGTGCCACTGCACTCCAGCCTGGGCAACAGAGGGAGACTCCACCTCAAAAAAAAAAAAAAAAAAAAAAAAGTGCAAAGTAAGCAATTTAAACCAGGTTTCTCTTAATGTTTGTTTGAACTTTCCTGTTTTACGTCCTTGTCATTTGCACACTTTTGTTTCCAGTCAACTTCCTTCTATAATGTAGCAATTATTTACACAGAGTTCTTAAGAAAAACTAGGCCCAAAAGTCTGCTTAGATTTCATTTAGGGTTTTAGACAATTTGGGCCTTTGTTTAAAGTTTGTTATCAACCACGTTTCACTTATACAGGGAACATATATGTCTTGTTCATCTTGTGCCTATCAAATACTGTGACACATAATAAAAATCCAATGTATTTGTTGAACAAATGCTGCCAGCCCATGTGGATTAATCCAGTTCAACAGATCTTTAATTTTATCTTATCTTCAGGTTTTGTTCCTGTTTTATGTAACTTTAAAGGTATTACTACACACACTTAGTAATATGTGATACCCACTGAAACTTAATAAATATGATACATATGATTTTCACAGTAGCAATTGCCTATGCATTTGTCAACATTGACAATGCAAGGATAATCTTATAAAAAGTGTCCCTTATAGTTTACATTAAATTGAAGGAAAATCCTAAAAATAATACTCACGAGATCCATTGACCATGATGCCACCTGGAAGAGTCTTGGTCATAGAATGGCTAAAGATGTAGGAACAGAATTCTGTCACTTGTTGCACAAATTCAGGCTCTAGCTCATCATCAGGCAGTGTTTCAAGTTGGGCAAGCTTTTTTTGGTGAGCAGGTAAGTCAAAGATAAAGCATTTCTTTTTTGGAAAGAACTTCTGTATACACAGACGGGGCAAATTGAAATTTTGAACTCTTTGATCACTACCTGGAGAATAAAAAATAGGATTTATTTAGCATAGACTTTGCACTCATTTTCATTTATTTACCTTGAATAAATGTCCTTCCACCTGATGTCACTTAGATTAATATATCTTCATAAACCCTAAGTAAAAAGCAAAATGGTAACTAATCAGGGAAAGTAAAAAAGAAAATTTGTTCTAAGAATGAGGAAAATGCAATTTAATATTGAATCTACTTGTTCATTATAAACAAAAATATTTATTATTTATTTTTTAGGAGAGCTGGGTGAATATATATATATATAGAAAACCATAAATTTAACCACCTAAACAAAAGAGATAATTTCTTAGATTACTTTTTTAAAAATCTTTCTAAAACTGAAGTCCCTGTTACCTTGCTTTGGCCTTAGGGAATTCTCCAGGTATTCATCTGGTGTGACAAGTTGCCCATCTATTTCCAGGCCTAAGCAGAAATCTCTCAGAGTCCACACTAAGTCTGGGAAGAAGCTCGCAGAGTCAGCAGGATCTTCAACCCTGTCAAGGTCGGGTGAGTTTCTTGCCTTGAGCAGATCTGTCAGTTCTGTCACATTGCTGAGATGCAATTAAAGAAAACTGGCAGAAATAGGACCACATCTAAACCCATACTTAATTCCATTTTCCCCCAAACCTTTATTTTCCCCTACGAGTCTTAACCAAATCATCATTTTATCAGTAAATATAAGGGCTCCTTTCTTTGTACTTTCAATGTTTATCACGTTTCCATTTTTGTGATTCACAAGGTCTCACAGACATGCAGCTGGTAAATAGAGGAGTTCTGTCGGACTTTGGTGCCATCCCATACCACAAAAGGATACTGCAGTAGGTCGATAGCACCCTGATCAATTTTGTTCACAGTATTGTACACAAAGGTGCTGCTCAGTAAGAGTGCCAGTGCAAAGATCTGGATATCATTCTTGTTGTCAGCCTAGAAGTCAGACCAAATTTAAGTCATGTCTCATGGGATTCCCAGATGAGCGATATTTAAAAATAGGCTCTTGTCATAAATGTTTAACAAGACAAAAGAAAAAGATTGTTAGAAATATTAACTTTGAATAGTTCTCTTGTTAACATTGATAATTTTATACTCATCCATATCTTATTAACTCACCAGTCCCTCTACATATTTGCAAAACGGATAGTTAAAATTAGTGGGGTGATCAGAGTACTTAAAACCAACATTTTCCAGCACATAAAACAAAATTGGCCTATATACCCAGTACATATACCTATTTTATTGAATAACCAGTATCAATAATGCAGTTCACATTAATGATCTTATCGAATTCTAAAAAATAGTGCTGTGAGATGGGTTTATAGTTACTATCTCCATTTTGTAGGTAAGGAAACTGAGGCTCAAATTGTGGCTTGTCATCTTTAAGTCCTGGCAAATCAAAAACAAAGACAAAAAACACACACACAGAAAAAAAACAATGGAAGTTCAAGAGAAAGATCCAGTTGTGTGCTGGAGCCAACTCATACCAACTCATGACAGCAAATTGTGTGCATGTCTTCCCAAGTCTGAGTTTAGTGAATTAACTTTGGTAGCTTGAAATCAATTATGATGGGAGTATTCAGAAAATAGTCAAGTGCTACAAATCATGGTTGTTTTTGTTTTTGTTATTTTGTCCTTGAGCTGGTTGTTAAGTACTTACCAGCATATAACTAGGAAAGGCCCATGTATCTACTGTTTTTAAGTAGTGAGTTGAATAAGAAAGACCAAAGAAAAAATAAAACATTTGGAGAGACTTACTTCTCTTATCAAAGTCAGAAAGCTACAAGTGCTAGAGCTCTGATTGGAACACAAGTTCATTTAAGAACAGAACCCACTATTAACTAGTATAATCTACAGGATCAGGCTTGTAACAGTGATTTTATATGCATCATGTTTATGCATTTGCGTTAATTGCCTAGCTCAACATCAACACTGCTCTTCTAATACTGATTCTGGCTTATAAATGTATTTTCTCATGTCAGGCTTCCAAACTCTGAATATTAAAAATACAAAGGAAAACAATGGGGGTATACATTGGTCAAGTGGAACTACAAATTTAGAAAAATAAACCTAAAATCTCCCTGTGAAAAGACAGTTCAGAGATTAGGAGGTTAAAAAAAGGAATCCTTCCTTACCTTCTCTACATCTCCCAGGCCCTCGGTGTCAAGCAGAACTAATGTGTGATTTGGCCAGTTGGGATGAGGCACACACCATATCCAAATTCCCTTGGTGTGAGACTGCACCGTAGATGCAACAGAGAAGCCTGTCAGGGGGAGTGAGAGGTTGTAATAGAAGAGAAACTCTGGAAATTGGGGATTTGCTTGATCATTCAGCTAGAGTTTAAGGAAAGCAAGATGAGGAGATAGCAGAATGTACAACCAGTATTGATTTGAATGATGATGCAGAAATGGAAAAACAATATCAAATACCATAGGTTGGAACTTTGATATTAAAAAAATATTATGCTACTAAAATGTTGCTAGTTTATAATTATGTATACGGGAATTACTTCATTGATGTCTTACTCCTTACAAGGAGAATATATTATACATTTTACAAGAAGAAATCAAGGCAAAGAAAAAAAAAAGAGGTGATATGTCAGGAACAGAGAACTGGTCTTCATCTTCCAAAAGATAAAAAGACCAGCTGTAGCCTAAACATTGGCTTTTAATATTCATCCTCATGTCTTACTCTCTCCTTGCTTCCTCGTACTGGATGGTGACTGTGTGAATGGACAGAAGGGTTTGGCAGAGCTTTGCTGGTACCACTCACCCTTGTTCTTCCCAGCCAGCTTGTTCATCAGGTAGGATTTGCCAGTGCGATAGAGGCCCACAATCGCTACCACAACTACAGGTTGCGTAATGGCAGACAGGATCTCCAAAGCTTCCTGATTAACCTTCAGCTGCTCATTAAAGTTCTCGATGAGGCACATGGGGTCTGACATGTGGATCTCTAAAGCCATGTCTAGGATGTTACTTTGCCTGCAAGGGAACAGATGGGATAGGCTGGAATTTCTGGTGTTTGTTTAATAAGCAAAGGAAGTCATTTTGCTTACTGAACCTGGGGACATACTACTCCCCAGCACTGCCTAAGTTTCTGGAAAAAAAAAGTTTTAAAATAAAAAGAGTCCTGTAAAATAGAGAGACTTTATTTTAAAACAAAAGTAAGTCCTAGGCCCTTTATATGTCTACTATAGGCCATTCTACTGGTTCTTAAATATTTGATAGGCATACGAAAATCCATTTCCTGCGTCTAACCTACTAGTTTGAATCTAACTCTTATTCCATTGGTTTTTGGCTTAGTTATGTTTTTTAGTTTTTACCTCCCTGGGTTCCTATATTAATTCTTTATGATGTTCTTTATTAATATATTACACTGTTCCTTTTACTTTGTGTCAACTTCATTTTTTTCAGTTAGATCTATGTCCAGTCAAACTGCATTACATTAAATACTACCAAGTCATTATGCAGCATTATCTAACAAATCATAGCTGTTTGCTTCTTAGTGATATACTTGAAATTTTTTACATAGTTACTAATGTGCTTTATTAAACCAAAACTTCAAAGCATGATTATTTTATGATTGACTGAATGAGTAAAACAACTTCCTTTAATAATACTTAACCTATTTTTTTCTAACTTCTGAGCATCAATCCCTATAACCTAAAGAGTCTCTGGTTAAAAAAAATGTTTGAGCTATATGAGAAAAAGCAAATGCCATAAAAATATGCTTTTCTACTTTGCCTTATCATAAAGGATAGTTTTCTTCCATTTTAAAGGTGGTTATTTACTAAGGATGCTAAAACTTCACTATCCGCTTGACGAGTTCTTTCACTAAAATCTTACAATGAAAAGGTTTGGATTCTCCATCTCTTTACTAGCAAATTTCAAAAACTGTCATTTTACAATTATGAAGACCCATTCTCCCTGCTTCCTCATAGCTAATGCCCTGGAAATCATTATGTTGACATAAATTAAAACAGAAACTGCTTGGCAGCAGAAAATAGGATATCCATTTGCAAATGGTGTAGCACTAGGACATGGGAGTCAGGAAATGCCTAGTGCAAGCCTGACCCAGAAAGAGGCAATTTTGCAACAAATTTAGAGACTCAAATGGCAGGTCTCTTCTCATTCTAATCTATTTTCAATGTAGTATTAGTACCTTATATATGTAGAATTCTGGTTGCCTGATTTGTATGCAGCGGAGGCCAGAATAATTTTTCCACTAGAAAGATATGGGCACCTTGAAGTGATGATCTACAACAATTAGCTAGAAAAACAAAAGATACATAAGCCAAATCTATAAGCAGATATTGAGAGCTTACAAGATCTTATGATTTGGGATGATGTCACTAAGGAAGAGGGAATGAATGTGTCTGAGTGTTCAGACTCTCTTATGAATGACAATAGCATTGTATATCTACATTAATAATAGTATTTGACATGTTGTCCCCAATGTCATCTGGATAGCATCTTTAATGCTTTTAGTAAAGCCAAATTTCTAAAACATTATTGCAGATTTAATGTGTTCAAGCCACAAACATAACTGTTGCTCTGTTATTCATAACTTAGTGTTCTGGGATGCATTCTCCCTAACTGCTTGAGCCCTATAACCTTTGCAAATAAAAACAATGCAAGAATGGTTCAAAATACACACACAAAATGCACATTTTGCCCTTGCCTTAAATTAGACTTGATTTCCAACCCCAGCCCTACAACTGGCTATCTGTATCTCTCTGGCATTTCACTCAATTCTTTCAGCTTGTTTTCTAAAAAAGCAAAAGTAAATAAACAACTATTTATTAACATCAGTATAACTGCTGGCTTATGAAAGAGAGTGAGCGAGCTGCAGGAGATTTTAAAAAGTGCAAAGAAGGAAAATGCCCAAAAAAAAATACTAAGAGAAAATGCTCAGAAGTGGTAGTGGAAGGATTTCTGAAAGAAAACATCTGTTTTCAGCCATATGATTCTAGTTTGGGTTTTGCGCCTGCATTTGTATATGTAGTTGTTATTGCTTGCTTTTGCTTATTTTGCATAGTTTCTGGTTTGAATTTCAAGGAAAAGGAAAAGGCTCTTATTAAGGATATAAATGGAAATCAAACTAGTACAAAATGCTTGAAGTATGTGTCATGGTAAGAAATTCAAAGGAGAGAATTTCAACGAGTGAACAGTTGCCAGACAGTATTGAGGGATCCAGTTGGGCAACTGTTAAATTAGGTGATTCATAATAGTAAAGGCAATAGAGTAGTAGAAGCAGAACCCAACACAAAAGGGGTTAGTTAAGTGAGTAGATGCCAAGAAACCAACATGAATTAAGTCAGGGCTATTGCTAAAGGAAGAAATCTACTTTCAAACAAAGTACAAGACTATGACTAAAAATACATCACTGTTTTCATGAAACTTCTCTCTGGGCAACATTTTTTTCTTGTCCTTAATGTTTGCAAGCTACTTACATTGCATCATATTCATTGTTCTTTCTCATGAAAATAATAGCTATCATAGTTTTTGAAACTTTCATGCTGAAGTTCGAGTCAGTTTAATCAGATTTTATGAAGGACGAAGGTAACTTAAGTGGAAATTATGATCCTGAATAAGTCATAAAATTGCAAAGGAAGAAAAATAATTTGAAGGCATTTCAAACTCTTAGTTTAGTCACCACACACATTGATGTCTAATTCAGCAAGAGGCAGACACAGCTGGTACTTGATGAATTCTGCTGCCTGTCTGATAAGAATACAATTTATTCTTTACTGAGGTCTGATATACCACATCAGGATAAGCTGCATCCTATCCTTTGTAGAATGTTTCTAAAACCAAATGAATCTTGCAAATCTCTTCCACCTCTTGCCCCAGTCTTACCGTGTCCGGAATTGGTGGGTTCTTGGTCTCACTGACTTCAAGAATGAAGCCGCGGACCCTAGCGTTGAGTGTCACGGTTCTTAAAGGTGGCGTGTCAGGAGTTTGCTCCTTCTGATGTTCGGATGTGTTTGGAGTTTCTTCCTTCTGGTGGGTTCGTGGTCTGGCTGGCTCAGGAGTGAAGCTGCAGACCTTCGCGGTGAGTGTTACAGCTCTTAAGGCTGCGCGTCTGGAGTTGTTTGTTCCTCCTGGTGGGTTCGTGGTCTCGCTGGCTTCAGGAGTGAAGCTGCAGACATTCCCAGTGAGTGTTACAGCTCATAAAGGCAGTGTGGACCCAAAGAGTGAGCAGCAGCAAGATTTATTGCAAAGAGTGAAAGAACAAAGGTTCCACAGCCTGGAGGGTGACCTCAGTGGGTTGCCACTGCTGGCTACTTCTCTTATCTGGCCCCACCCACATCCTGCTGATGGGTCCATTTTACAGAGAGCCGATTGGTCCATTTTACAGAGAGCTGATTGGTCTGTTTTGACAGGGTGCTGATTGGTGTGTTTACAATCCCTGAGCTGGACACAAAAGTTCTTCATGTCCCCACTAGATTAGCTAGATACAGAGTGTGGATTGGCCTATTTACAAACCTTGAGCTAGATACAGAGTGCTGATTGGTGCATTTACAAACCTTGAGGTAGATACAGAGTGCTGATTGGTGCATTTACAATCCCTTAGCTAGACATAAAGATTCTCCAAGTCCCCACCAGATTAAATAGATACAGAGTGCTGATTGGTGTATTTACAATCCCTTAGCTAGACATAAAGATTCTCCAAGTTCCCACTAGACTCAAGAGCCCAGCTGGCTTCACCCAGTGGATCTTGCACCGGGCGGCAGGTGGAGCTGCCTGCCAGTCCTGCTCCATGCACTGGCACTCCTCGGTCCTTGGGCCATGGATGGGACAGGGTGCTGTGGAGCAGGGGTCAGCACAGGTTGGGGAGGCTCAGGCAGCACAGGAACCCATGGCGGGGTGAGGTGGGGAGCGGGAGAGGGGAGGAGGCTCAGGCATGGCAGGCTGCAGGTCCCCAGCCCTGCCCCACCGGGAGGCAGCTAAGGCCCTGCAAGAAGTGGAGCACAGCAGCTGCTGGCCCAGGTGCTAAGCCCCTCACTGCCTGGGGCCGCTCCGAGTGCAGGTCCCTCAGAGCCCAAGCCCACCCAGAACTCGCGCTGGCCCTCAAGCACCGGGCGCAGCCCCAGTTCCCACCCCTGCCTCTCCCTCCACACCTCCCAGCAAGCTGAGGGAGCCAGCTCCGGCCTCGGCCAGCCCAGGAAGGGGCTCCCACAGTGCAGCGGAGGGCTGAAGGGCTCCTCAAGTGCCGCCAGAGTGGGTGCCCAGGCAGAGGAGGCACCGAGAGCGAGGGAGGGCTGCAAGGGCTGCCAGCACGCCGTCACCTCTCATTACCTTGATTATAAAATCGGGAGAAGAGGTATTTTAGAGCTAGTAAGAAAACTGCTTCCATGAGGGACTGGGCACGGTGGCTCACGCCTGTAATCCCAGCATGTTGGGTGGCCGAGGCGGGTGGATGACGAGGTCAGGAGATCTAGACCATCCTGGCTAACACGATGAAACCCCGTCTCTACTAAAAATATACAAAAAATTACCTGGGCATGGTGGCGGGCGCCTGTGGTCCCAGCTACTCGGGAGGCTGAGGCAGGAGAATGGCTTGAACCTGGGAGGCGGAGCTTGCAGTGAGCCGAGACTGCACCACTGCACTTCAGCCTGGGTGACAGAGCGAGACTCTGTCTCAAAAAAAAAAAAAAAAAGAAAAGAAAAGAAAAAAGAAAGCTGCTTCGATGAGAACTTGCTGAGTTCGAACTCTCGTCTTTTACTTTCACTGTGGTGATTTCTCATTTATTTTCTTCACTCAGTCCTGGGGTTTTTGTTCTTCCCACCCCATTTTCCCTGCTCGAAAAAGGAGACAATTTGAATACAAAATATGGAATAACAGAAAGGGGGATTTTTGAAAGTTCTCTGTAGGAAATAGAAACCAAAAAGGAAATTCAGTGACTAAGCCAGATGACAAAGGGAATTGCCCAACTGTTACCTAGTGTAGATAGGCTGGATGTATTTGACCTGACTTCTTTGAAACTGCATGTTTCCTAGAAACTGCAGAGAATCCTTTCAGTGCCAGCCATACTCCTCCCTGCTTCCATTGTTGTTGTTACTAGAAGAGAAATTTGAGATCTTTCACAGTTGTTCAAAGTATGTGGTATTTCAAACCTAGCTTGAAATACGTTGACATTCATCTCCAGTTTGGGAGTAGGCCAGGGGAAGAGCTCATATGATTTTTGAGGTCTATTGTTGTGAAATGTTAGAGCTGCTCACACAGGACTAAGTTTATTACTTTCGCAGTAGGTTCAGTAGCTGAGAACTTTAACTCACAGGCAAGGACAAAGTTTTTGGCACTTAGTACATGATGAATGATAACAAGGATATTATTTATTAGACATTTGTAATGCCCTGGACAGGTTTCACTACTTTGTGTGGATTATTCTATTTTAATTCTCCCAACAAATGCTTTCTCCCAATTTTACAAAAGCTAAGACACAGGGAGATTTAGTAACTTGCCCAAAATCACAGAGCTACTAATAAATGGATCTTAAGACTGAAACCCAAGCACTTTATTGTAGTCCTTTTGTGTTTGTTGAGTGAATCATCATAATAATCATCATTATTATTGTCCCTTTTTAATAAATGGATTCTAAGATCTGGACACTAAATATCTCATATTATCCTGGTTTCAATCCTACAAGACAATTTTTTTTCTATCTTTATTTTACAATGAACAGAGTGGCTGTTAGGCAGTATTTTTGGAGCTTTAGTTCCTAGACAAGGATTTGTGAGCAAGGGATATTTATTTTGAAGGTGCTCATAAGAAACGGGGTAGGACAGTGGGAAAGTGAAAACTGGAACGGAATGAAGCCAGTGACTGGGAACATATCTAGCAGGTTTTGTTGTGGGAACCAGGAGTTAGATCTCCTCAGGTAACTCTAGGAAACAATGTAAAATCTGCCTCCAATTTCCCTCTTGGGTGGGTTAGAAACCTGGGGTACTTTTCTTCCAACTTCCTTTCATTTCTGGATAAAGACTGGTCCTGAAAGCATAACCCCCTTGCACTCCTGACCTGGCCCACGTGTGGGCTGAGAAAAAATGCTTAGATGAAGGATCTCTGATGTTTGCAGTGAGATGCCATTGGAATGTGCAAGGTTGAGTGATAAAGGGAGATGGCCTTCACAGATGTTGTGGGTATCCCATCCATATTGCCCCTATCTTATGCAAAGATCAACCTTTCCTTAATGGCTTCTTCAATTTTGTGGCTGGTCGTTAGTTTAAATATATATATATACACACACACACACACACACACAATAGGAAAGTCTAAGCTATAGTCCTCTTTGCTGCAACTGATTTTGTGATCCTAACTGATATTCAAGATCTTCTCCTCTATTACCCATTCTAGGTTTTGCTCATACTTGATCAGGAGTTCTCCTTGTCTAGGTTGCCTTCTCAGTGGAGAGAAACATTTCTTCATTTCTGAGAAACCAGAAGACCTATTTCTGTGCTTTAATAAGGCTGTAGTTACTTCCAGTGCATCTTAACAGGCCATGCAAGCACCAAGAGTATCCCAGGGAATCCTTTGAGTGCCAGCCATACTCCTCCCTGCTTCCATTATGTACTATTTCCTCACAGAAACCATAATCATTTAAGCTTGCCAGTAGATCAATCCTTTTAATTGCCTGCTGGCTTGTCTACAAACATGAAATTCATAAAATGACCAGGTGGCAGCTATAGTTTCAGATTTAGTAGAACTTTACTATGACCCCTGGTAGAAAAACTGCTTAACTTCACCCTGAGAACTGGCCCTCTAGTCCAGCAGACTAGACAATGGATCACAAATTCACAAATAATTCAACGGAGAATACTCCTACTTTAACGCTTTGGTTCCCAGGCTCATATATTCCAGCTAGCATATAATATCCTTTAGTTATCCAATTATATACTGCATATTGAATGACAGTCCCCAACCCCACAATGGTCTCTACTGGCCATTCCAGTTTTGTTAGGCTGGCAGCTTTTAGATGATGTATAAGGACTAGTGGATTCCATGGTTACATTCGCATTGTTGTGCCTCTTTACTGTAAAGTAAAACTTTCAAAACTTTCTCTAAGCTGATGTTTAGTAGGATTTTAGGACATTTAAACAGACACTGCAAGTCCTCGAATAGGTGCTGGCTGAACCACTCTCAACAGGGGAATATCCATACCCAGAATTTATGTCAATTTCAGTAAAAAAAAAAAAAAATCACAGACTCCTCCAAGGTGCAAAAGGACTGATTTGATCACCTTGACATCTAGTGGTCTGGTTGGTCTTCTTGAAGGGTGGTATTATACTGAAGGCTCAGTGTCAATTTTTGTTGTCTTTGGGCCAATATTTAACGTGTAGTGAGATTGGCCTTGGTGAGAGGAAGCCCAGGTTGATGGGTCCATGCAAAGATTTCATCCCTGCTACCGTATCTGTTCTGTGCAAACACTAGGTAGCTGAGGATAAAGCCTGGCTCAAATCTACTGGATAAGTCATTTTAGCCACCTGGTTTGTTCAGTGTCTCTCTAAAACCTATATACTCTGGTTGACATTGACTTAAGACATAAAGATCCACACACTTTATGCACTTATTCCTATAGATTTACCTACAGACCTGTTTATTTCTGATCCTACAATTGTGCCAAGGCCAACTACATAAACCATTCTCCACTGCTCAAGATTCTGTATATAGCCTTACTTCAGGCCACTTCTTCCTTTACACAAAATTGCTTACCTGTTAACTGTTTAAAATCTGTCCACAGAGAACATTTCACAACAATATTTTTGGGGGCCATCCCTAGCTGCAGCAGCAATGTATTTCAATTTGGTTTCTATAAATAATAGACATTGGAGACTACAGAAGATGGGTAGGTAGAAGTGGGGAGAGGGTTGAAAAGTTACCTATTAGGTACGATGTTCACTATATGGGTGATGGATACAGTAAAAGCCAAGATTCCACTGCTATACAATACAGGCATGTAAGAAATCTGCCTTTGTACTCCCCAAATCTATACTAATAAAATTTTTATGAATAAAAATAAACAAAAACTAATCCAACTAAAATTCTAACTATTGTAAAAATTAATTAGTATTAAAACTAAAAGTAAAGATATTTTCAGACAAAAAAGTAGGAAAACCCAAACACTGGAATTAGAACAGATAATTTTATGCCTGGAGTTATGCTCTCAGGTATGTTGAAAACTTCTTGTATACACTTTCAAAATTCCACTGGCCTCATATCTTACTACATCCTCTGCTGACATCACCATTTCAGCAGCTTTGCACAGGCATCACTGGGTTGGTGCTTCATATTTTCGATGCTTCTGCAGCTAGTATTCCAGCAAGAACTTGCTCAACACCTTTTCATGTACAACACAGAACTGTGAGAAAGTTATCATGCATGATAGAAGCCAATGAGGAAATGGCTTTCTTTCTTGTTTTCTGTGTGTTCCATTCTGACGTGCCTCTCATAACATGTTTTAGAGAACAGTGGTGAAATGGAATAGCGGTGACCCACAGTGGTGACCAAATCAATAACATTATTTCATTGGCCTATCCTCCTTTCCTGTTTTACTTCCCTGATCCTCTCTCCTGTTTCTTTATATTTTCTTTTAGGGTCATTTTTCTAAAGAAAACTCTTTTTAGCCAGGCCTTTCTCCCAGGCTCTGAATTTGGGAGAACATAGAATAAGACAGATGGTAATGGAGATCCTGGCACGCAACTCCACAGGGTTGGAATTTTAGAGTGAATCACTAATTGGCCAAAGATCCATAAAGTCTATACAGGCAGTAATAAGTGGAAAGATGGTAACTTCTTACATGTAGGTGAACTGGAATGAGACGCAAGTGGAAAATGAAGTGTTGGGTTAGGCTGTGGGCCTTTAAACGGTATATGGGTCTTTGGTAATTATAAGGATGTTAGAGTCAGCTGACATTTGTTAATTGCCTGAAAAAGCCATGGAAAAAGAAAATAATAAGCTATGAATGTTCCTTGGGGTCCCTAATCTGCCATGTAAGAAGTCCACCTACCCTAAGACTGTCATGCTGAAGAGACAAGACCAAATGTAAGCACTATAGTTGATATTCACAAATGGGCTCAAGCCTCTAACCATTGTCAACAAGGCCACAGTTATGTGAGTGAGGCCATCCCGGCCCACAAAATCAGTGCATCTGTTAACGAAATACCCAGGATCTGCAGCTGGAACCATTTGGAGTTAAAGCGTCACCCAGTCAAGCCTAACCTGAGTTTCTGACTGGCATAGTAATGAAATCATTGTATGTGTTATACAATATTGTAGTTAACTGCAATAAAATATTTTTTATTTAAAGCCACTAAATTTTGATGTATTTATAAGTAGCAATATGTAACCAGAGCATGGGTAAGTATAATTTACCTTGACCACAATAAGGAACTAGAGTTGTTTTTAATTTTTTGGAACACAGGGCATCGCTTGTTTTTTTCAAGCGATGAAACCACGGTAGCAGCAACCATAGGGCATCGCTTGGTTTTTCAAACGATGAAACCACAGTAGCAGCAACCACCACAGTTAAAAAAAAAATGAAGGTAACTTAAGGGTTTAAACTTCTTAGGGTGAGGTTTGGCTCAGTTTACAAACAAATTGCAACATCCAAAGTGCTGCCTGAGGATTAAAGAAATCTCAAATAAGTGGTGCTATGGTTTGAATGTATGTGTCCCTTCAAAATTTATACACTGTAACTTAATACTGAAAGTGATAGTATTAAGAGGTAGGCCTTTTAAGAAGTGATTACATCATGAGCACACCACCCTCACGAATAGGATTAGTGTTCTTATAAAAGAGGTTGAAAGGGGTGCCCTAATCCCTTTTGCCTTTTTCCTCATGTCAGGACACATACATTGCACCATCTTGGAAGCAGAGAGTGAGCCTTCACCAGACATCAGATCTGCTGGTGCCTTGATCTTGGACTCCCCAGCCTCTAAAACTGTGAAAAATAAATTTCTCTGATGTATAAATGACTTAGTCTGTGATATTTTGTTACAGCAGCATGGAAGGACTAAGATAAGTGGTATAAGAGGCAGATGAAAAAGGGATAAAAGACTACAAATTGGGTACAGTGTATACTGCTGTGGTGATGGGTGCCCCAAAATCTCACAAATCACCACTAAACAACTTACTCATGTAACCAAATACCACCTATTCCCCAAGAACTTATGTAAATAATTTTTCAATGACACATGCCATAAAAAACATTCAAACCCCTATAATTAAAGAGTTCAGATGTCTTCATAAAAACAATCAATCAAAGTCTCAAAATCTGCTCTTGTAAGCAGGAGATAGTTTTTCCTACTAACCTTTTGTTAAATCTCAACAATTCCCAGCTGATAAGACCTTGAAAGAGATTCTATGATGGGCTGTCCCACTGGAGAGGGCAAGTGGATTGAATGATATTATGAGTTGGACTGTACTAGCACTCCTTGTATACCACTTCAAATGTATCATGGATCTACTTCACACTCCAGGTTCTGTTATTGGAACCAGTCCTACATGGGCTGGGATAAGCTTCATGCTGATGAGCACTTTGCTTCAGTCCAGTGCCCTGTGGCATTTATTTCTTGCCATGAGGCTTTTCAGATCCTGCAGCACAGATCTCACACTAAAACACACTTAGCACTCATTCTCTCAAAAATTGAAACATAAGCCAAACTTTATCAATAAAAGATGAGAGCTGATGGATAAATTCTTTCCTTTCTCAACTTGTTGGGGGAATGGTTCTGAAATACATTCTGTAACATTTCTCAAGACTCCATTTGAATTGACATCTCTATCACAGCAGTGCTGAATTGATAACCCATTCTTTGATTGACTTTCCTTCCTTCCCTGTTTCATTCTATTTCTCATTTCTGCTCCGTAGAATCATATTCCCACTTAAGCCATCTACAAGCAAGCCTTTATTTTGGGCATTTCAGGCTATGCTTTGAGGGAAATTAAAGCTAGACAACCAGGAATTTATTATTTTATATATCAGAATACCAATATTAATCAAGTTTATTAAAGTGAACTTAGGGTATTCTTTTATTCCTACTCTACTTTCTGTTTGCAATTTATTTCACTTCTAGTAACAATTTGGATTCCATACTGGACATCTATGTACTTAGTTATCTAATTATATATATATTATATATATATAATTTTAATATATAATATATATAATTATAATATATTATTTATAATATAATTATATATATGTAATATATATAAAGTGACACCTCTACTTTTAAAATAGACCCAGACTCTGACCACTTTTTGGCCCCTTTCCTGCCACCTTTCCAGTATGTCACCATTATCTCTCATTGAGATGATTACAGGAAACGCCAATATGACTCTCTGCTTCTATTCTTTCTCTATTTCAGCATTTTGTGTGGTTCTTTTTACATCATAAGTTAGATAACGTAATTGCAATGCCCCAAATTTCCCAATGACTTGTAAATCTTTAAAAGATCCTTAAAAACGAAAGTCTTAATATTGGCTTAATAAATCTTTCTCCTAACCTCTTCTGCACCTCACTTCCTACTGCATGCTGCTGCCTTCTTGCTGTTCCTTGACAGGATTTGTCCTGTCCAAGATGTTGCACATGCTATTCATAGTACTTACAAAACTCTTCCTTCAGATATATACTGCTACTCACTCTCTTCTTTCAAACGTTTTCCCATCAATGGTGTATGGTATCTTGTATGAACACTCAAATTCATAAACTTCTCTCTTCCTCTGACTCAAATTTTTATTTCTCCCCTCTTTTTTTCCATAGGACTTATCATCATCTGATGTATTTTGCTGATTTATTTATTTATTTATATCCTCTATAGCTCCTTTAGAAAGTTTCATGTGATGGGTCTTTGTACCTGTTTTGTTCATTGCTATTATCTCTAGCACTTCAAATACTACATAGTATAAAACAGATACTTAACAAATACTGTTTAAATGAATTAACAAATAGGTGAGTAAACAAATGACCTGTGGTATATTCAATATTTGTAAAATATGACACAAATTCAAGGTAGAGACTTAACTCAGTTACAGTCTCTAACAGATCATCTCCCCGCTGACCACAGTTCACTAGTACAATGGTGTGCACCCAAACCAAGCTAATATAGTGGTGCTTCCTCAACTTAGGACAAGTGATTTGGACTCTTAATGATATGAGAAGACTGGTCAAGCAAACATACAAATATATACTTAGACACATGTAGTAAATCAGTAGTTCAGAAGATCCTGACTAAGCTAAGCAATCAGGATAAATTTGCCAAATTGAAGAAGAGATCATATTGGGAGCAGGACAGCTATTTAAGGAGTTTTAAGTCATATCCTATATGAGAATAGATGTACCTTTGCTCTGATTAAAAGAGAAGTCTCTCCTGATAAAAGGAACATCTTGTGAACACTAACATGGTGAATTAGTTTGTTTTCACACTGCTGACAAAGACATACCTGAGTCTGTGCAATTTACAAAAGAAAGAGGTTTATTGGACTTGCAGTTCCATGTGGCTAGGGAAGCCTCACAATCGTGGCAGAAGGTGAAAGTCACATCTTACATGACGGCAGACGAAAGAAGAGCCTGTGCAGGGAAACTGCCCCTTATATTACCATCAGATCTCATGAAACTTATTCACATATCATGAGAACAGCATAGGAAAGACCTACCCCAATGATTCAGTTACCTCTCACCAGGTTCCTCCCACAACATGTGGTAATTCAAGATGAGATTTGGATGGAGACACAGCCAAACCATATCATCTGGTCTCAAAAATGAAAAGATGCAATTATTTGGATATAAAATCAAAACAGGTACTGAATGAGAAGAATGAATGCTGCTCAAAACTGATTAATGTTAAGAAAATTAGATCAAGAAATTCTCCTCAAAAGCATAGTAAATGAATATAGACCCACCATGAAAGAAAACACACAGAGAATAAATCCAGGAGGTGCATTATCTGCATTATAGGAGTTCCAGATGGAGGAATAGAAGCAAAAGGATTCCCAAAAATAATTAAAGAATACCATAAGAACATTATCTTAAAAGACATATTTATATCTATCCTGGTGCAGTTTCCAAAGTCCAAAGATAATTAAAAGTTTTCCAATGGACTATTATTTACCTATAATGTAAGGAGTATCAAGCTTCTCATCCCTAATGCTATAGAAAACATGATCTGGTGATGTAGAATTTTATTATTATTATTATTATCATCATTATTTTGAGATGGAGTCTTGCTCTGTCACCCAGGCTGGAGTGCAGTGGTGCTATCTTGGCTCACTGTAACCTCTGCCTCCAGTGTTCAAGTGATTCTCCTGCCTCAGCCTCCCTACTAGCTAGGATTACAGGTGCACACCACCTTGCCTGGCTAATTTTTGTATTTTTAGTAGAGTTGGGGTTTTGCCATGTTCACCAGGCTAGTCTCAAACTCCTGACCTCAGGTGATCCGTCCACCTCGGCCTCCCAAAGTGCTGGGATTACAGGTGTGAGCCACCACACCTGGTCGAATTTTATGTAAAGAAAAAATGCCATTTATAGATACATGCAAAATAAATACTTTTCCTAATAATGAAGAACTTGTAAAGTTTATGATACATGACATTCTTGACAGAGAAATACAAAAACATATGATCATTACTGATGGCAGTAAAAGTATGGTAAAACCTAAGTAACACCTGGTAATGTATTTGGAAATACATTACAAATGCTAAAAATATTTTTTTCTTAGAAAATGTCTATTTAGTGTTTAAGTTTCCTTGTCTGCAGAAGGGGATATTGAATAGGTGATCTCACTGCAAAGCCCTGCTCTGCTGTGTTCCCTTCTTCAACCTGAACTTTCTCTAGCTGGGTCAGTTGGCCCCAGTCTCTTTCTCAGGCCACTATTTGTTCTCAAAGTACACTGGGACTTGTAGACAACACTTCAGCCTCTGAAGACCAACACACTGTAGTTCTGCAAGATCAACAAATTGACTCCTACCTAATTCCTGAGCTCCTATAACCCACTGAGTAGTCATGTCTTATGAATGGGCTTCTGTGTCCCCCATTTCTGAGTCCATATACTGTTAATGGCATCTCAGCATCTTACCACCTCTTTGTACTTGGCCCTGGCTTGTTTCATGGTAGCTCACCTCTGAGGCACTGGAGCCCTGGCCATAAATTCTTCTCTGAACACAATGCCCTAATTGCTGTACCAAGTTTGGAACTTCCTAGAGACTTGTTGAATGGCTTTGCTCAAAATGCTGATAGCAATATAGACAATGAAATCCAGGCTGAGGTGGTCTCAGATGGAGATAAGGAACTTATTGGGAACTGGAGCAAAGGTGACTCTTGTTATGTTTTAGCAAAGAGATGGGTGGCATTTTGCTCGTGCCCTAGAGATTTTGGAACTTTGAACTTGAGAGAGATGATTTAGGTATCTGGCAGAATAAAATTTTTAAACAGCGAAGCATTCCAGAGGTGACTTGGGTGCTGTTAAAAACATTGAGTTTTATAAGGGATGCAGAGCATAAAAGTTCAGCAAATTTGCAGCCTGACAATGTGATAGAAAAGGAAATCCCGTATTCTGAGAAGAAATTCAAGCCAGCTGCAGAGATTTGCATAAGTAATGTGTAGCTGAATATTAATCCCCAAGACAGTGGGGAAAATGTCTCCAGGGCATGTCAGAGGTCTTCTCAGCAGCCCCTCCCATCACAGACTCTGAGGCCTAGGAGGAAAAAGTGGTTTCCTGGGCCAGGCCCAGGGTCCCCATGCTGTGTGCAGCCTAGGGACTTGATGCCCTGCCTCCAAGCTGCTCCAGCCATAGCTAAAATGCGCCAATGTAGAGCTCAGGCTGTGGCTTTAGAGGGTGCAAGCCTCAAACCTTGGCCACTTCCACGTGGTGTTGAGCCTGCCAGTGCACAGAGGTCAAGAATTGGGGTTTGGGAACCTCTGCCTAGATTTCAGAGGATGTATGGAAATGCCTGGACGTCTGGGCAGAAGTTTGCTGCAAGGGTGGGGCTCTCATGGAGAACATCTGCTAGGGCAGTGTGGAAGGGAAATGTGGGGTCAGAGCCTCCACACAGAGTCCCTACTGGAGCACTGCCTAGTGGAGCTGTGAGAAGAGGGCTACCATCCTCCAGACCCCAGAATGGTAGATACACTGATAGCTTGGACCATGCGCCTGGAAAAGCTTCACTCAATCCCAGCACATGAAGGCAGCTCAGAGGGAGGCTGTACCCTGCCAAACCACAGGTACAGAGCTGCCCAAGACCATGGGAGCTCACCTCTTGCATCAGCGTGACCTGGATGTGAGATATGGAGTCAAAGGTTATCATTTTGGAACTTTAAGATTTGACTGCCCTGCTGGATTTTGGACTTGCATGGGGCCTGTAGCGCCTTTGTTTAGGCCAATTTCTCCCATTTGGAATGGCTGTATTTACCCGATGCCTGTACCTCCATTGTATCTCAGAAGTAACTAACTTGCTTTTGATTTTACAGGCTCATAGGTGGAAGGGACTTGTTTTGTCTTAGATGAGACTTTGGACTATGGACTTTTGAGTTAATGCTGAAATGAGTTTAGACTTTGGGCTATTGTTGGGAAGGCATAATTGGTGTTGAATGTGAGGACTGGATTTGGGAGGGGCTGCAGTGAAATGATATGGTTTGGCTGTGTCCCCCACCCAAATCTCATTTTTAATTCCCACGTGTTGTGGGAGGGACCCAGTGAGAGATAATTGAATCATAAGGGCAGGCCTTTCCTTTGCTGTTCTCATGATAGTTGAATGGGTCTTATGAGATCTGAGGGGTTTTAAAAAGGGAGTTTCTCTGCACAAGCTCTCTCTTTGCCTGCCGCTATCCACGTAACATGTGACTTGCTCCTCCTTGCCTTCTGCCATGATTGTGAGGTTTCCACAGCCTTAGTGACTAAGACATAGTCACTGTCTTAGACTGTTTGTGTTGCTACAGCAGAATCCCTGTTTTATTAAAAAACAATTGAGAGACGTTTACTTGGATAATGATTCTGATGTCTAGAAAGGCCAAGGTTGGGCAGATGTATCTGATGAGAGCTTTGTGTTATGCCCATTCATGGAAGAAAGAAGAAGCAGGGGTGAGTGTGTGCAAAGAGATCACGTGGGGAGGGAGAAAGCAAGGAAGAAATACTGAGGAAGGTAAACTCTTTTTAACAACCTGCGTCCTTGGGAACTAATCTACTCCTGCAAGAGTGAGAATTTACTGGCCCCAGTGGAAGGTCACTAATCTATTCATGAGGGATCTGCCCCCATGACCTAAACATCTCCCACTAGCCTCAATTCCCAACACTACCACATGCGGTATCAAATTTTAACATGAGCTTTGACAGACAGAAACCACATCCAAACCATAGCAGTCACCTACTGAAACAAAACATATTTTCTACCTCAAGCATACCATCTCAAACTGCATGCCCTCCCAAAGGAAAAGAAAGCAAATTGAGGACTGATTCTTATTATTTTCCTGTAATATTTGGGTGGTTTCAAGGGCATGCTGAGACCACGCTGGGCCACTGCCGATTCTTGCTGTACGACTATTGTAGTAATGATGAAGGTGACCTCATTTTCTGATGGTTGGGGTAATTATTTAATCTGAGAAAGCAGGATATAGCACCTTCTGTAGCCTTCACTCTCAAATGGAAGACAATCAAAAAAGCACATATGGGTGTAATAAATTTTACTGAAGATATGCATATGGGCAGCCGTGTTTTTCCTATGTTTCCTTTGCCCATCACAAATTGAGGGGACCCTCAAGCTCTCACTATACTGAAGAATATCCCCTTTCCGCATTTCTACCTTCACTCTGTCCTCTTCCTCATTCTATCTTCTTTTCTCCTACCCACTACTTTGCTTTTAGGAGCAAATAAAAATTCTCCCACAGAGCAATTTGGCATAATTTGTTATTAGGTTTCCTCTAGTACTTCAATCCTTATATTTTCTCTGTCCGCTCCAATAGACACATCATGAGGTTTTACAAATATGAGCATTTCCCTGTCTGAGCGTGTTGGGGTCAAATGTTCAAATAATAAAACTCAGCTTTACCTTTTATAATATGTTATTTCAGTAGCTATTTTGCTGCAGGAGAGGAGGAGACTGCCAAAACAATGACAGTTGCAAATAGTGCAGACACTGGACTTTGGAAACTCTGTGGAAAAATGTACCACAGGAAGACAGAAGCATAGGGTTTAAATTGAATAGACATTTTGAGAAGTCTAGGAAAGTTCCTATCTAAGCAGTAGCTGCACATGCCATAAAATTTGTCTGGACCTTGAAGCACAGGTGGCCCCAATGGAAGAATGTGATATCTGAAGAGTGTCTGCAGAAGCACCCAACAGAATAGTGGTTTAGTTATCCTTGCATAATTTTTTTACGTGGTGTGCTGCAAGTTTAGATTTTTTTTAAAAAATCATGTTTTTGTTTTTCTAGAACAGAAAAGCAACTGATTTCCTAGAATCGAGCCTAGTATGTAGGTAGCTCTTTGTTGCTTTCAGTTTCAATATGAATTATATTTCAGGAAATGTTTTAAGTAGACTTGAATTGGCCCAAGAGGCTGCTTTTCTGGCTGCAAAACTGTTACACTAGGTCATTTTAAAGCATAATGTCTGAAAGCATATACAATTTGGAGGGAATAAGGGAGAAACATCATTATTTTAGACTTCCAGCACCTCCTTGTTTGTTGTTGTTTTTCAAGTGCCATGCACTCAGCCCTTAAAAATGTTTGTACAAACAAGTTTATCATTATAAGAAGCTGAAGACAGGCCTCTTCCCAGGGCTGACTTAATAACTTGGTCATCATTTTCAGTGGTCTTCAATTCATTCTCCATGTGCTAGACTCAGTGATTTAAAACACACACACATAAATTGAATTATGTCACTTTTTTGCACAAAAGTCTAAAAATATTCCTATTGCACTTAGGCAAAAATCCTGTCTCCACACTATGGCCTGCAAGATTCTACACGATCTGGTTCCTGCCTGTCCCTCTCTAAACCCAGTCTATTTCAGCTTCACTACATGAACTTTCAGTCTGGATCAAACATGCCAAGATATTCCCTAATCAGGAACTTTGCACAAAATCCCTCTGCCTGGCACTCATTTTCCTTTCCTGACTAAACCGTACTCACTAAAACCTCAACTCTGCTTTCCTCAGGGAAATATTTCTGACCTGCTAATCTAAATTAGGTCACTTTTCTACATTTACTTGTGACATTCTGTGCTATTCCTTTACAATGCTTATCAGAAATTAAAACATATTTGTTGATATGACAAATTGTTAATGTCTGTTTTCTGGACTAAAAACATCTAAGAACCATAGCAGTTTTGCTGATGTCATCACCTTTCCCTAGTGTCCAGCACGTGGTCAGCGGTCAATGTTCATTTATTGAATGATTGAACGCAATCCATGTTTAAAAGTGCTTACTTTGTTGTCATTCAGCACATATGAGTTTGGTTCTTTGCATCGCGGCCTTTTGATCTCATAGAACAACTATGGAAATCCCAACTCAAAATGCTCAAACATGATTTAGTGAATATGAGCCCATGTTACTCTTGTATTTGTTACTGTTGTTGTCATCATCATTGTCATTCTATCATGTTAGGTTTCATTTTGATGGTTCTGTGACTTGAAAGAAATCCTTGTTTCTATAAGATAAATGTGTTGTATAAAGAGGCAGTAAGCTTAGGGGTTTCACTTGGGCTTGTTTCATAATTTTAGCAATGGTACTGGATTTCATTCTAATATCAATTATTTACTTGTTATTATTCTGAATAGAAAATACAAATAATTACAAGAGACTTCTGATTCTGGCAGCATTTTGAACTAGATTAGTTAAAACTTTATTATAAAACAATGAAAAATTAATAAAACAGGGCAAACATCTTTTCTCATTGTTTTCCAGGGCTGACACAAGTAAATACCACATTCCTTCCTCAGTCCCCACAAAGGTCATGTCCTTCTCACATAAGAAATACATTCATCCCAACCCAACATCCTCAAAAGTATTAACCCATTCTAGCATCAACTCGAAATCCAAATCTCATCTAAATCAAGAATGGGTAAGATTACAGGTATGAATCATGCTGGGGAGAAGTTCATCTCCAGCTGTGAACCTGGAAAAACAGACAAGTTATCTGCTTCCAAAATACAATGGTGACAGGTAAAGGATAGACATTCTCATTTCAGATGAAAGAAATTAGAAGGAAGGGGATCTTGTATCCCAAGCAAGTCAGAAACATAGCATGACAAATTCCATTAGATTTTGACGCTTGAGAATCATCCTCTTTGCCACCTTGCTCTGTTCTCTGGGCCCACACTGGGGTGGTGGACTGATCCTACAGGCCCACCCAGGCAACAACCCCACCTTCTCAGGCCTGGGTGGTAGCTCCACTTTCCGGAGCCAAGGAGAAGATAGCTCCATCTCCTGGGCCTGTGTCCTCTGGGCCCATGTTGGCAGCCCAGCTGGACTCTACATTCGTGGTTCTGCAAAGTTATTCTTCCTTCATTTCATCCTGTCTCTGTCTCTTTTCCTCGAGACTAGCAATGTTTCTGCTTGGGTAAAATTCTCAAAAATCTTGTGCAATTTACAAGGGTTTGCACCATCAGAAAAAGTCTTCTACAGATCATTTCTGACTAACTACATCTCTATTACTGACTTCTACTGAGATCGATTGATTGGATTCATGAGTCACATGCCTAATATCTTTAGCAAATGATTGTCCAGCCACCCCCTTGTCACTGTGTCCAGAGCATGCTATCTGGATAGGCTGAGAATCTTCCAAATCATTAAGTGTTACTTTTTTTTAGTTGCTTAGTTGTTTCTTCTTCCATTTATCTGTCTCCTTTCATTTTATCACAGTAGCAAGAAGAAAACTGGCTGTACCTTTAATTCTTTGTTTAGAAATCCCCTCAGCTAAATATCATCAAAAGGTCTAATTTCCACAAAACACTGGAACACAATTTGGCCAAGTTCTCTGCCACTTTTATTTATTTATTTTATTTTTTTATAGTTGGATTATTTTTTATTCTAATGTTACTTGAATAAGAACAAAATTAAAATAAACACACAAAAAAATGCCTCTGTGAATCAGTCACAGGGTTCCTGTAAGTCTGGGCTGGTGTCCTTTCTCTTCTGCTTGCCTAGCTCTTTGATGGTCTCTGTCTCTGCAGGACTAAACTTGGAGGTTAGCGTCACATTGTCATAATCAAATTCCTCATCAAGTGAGAAGGGTTGAGCTTCATCTCCACATATCTCTTCCATCTGTTTGTCCATTCTTTTTACAGTAGGCTTTGGCTTCACTTCACAGGTGGGAGGCTGGGCCACAGAAGGATACAGGAAGGAATGCTGGTGCTTACATCCTACTCCACTTCTCCTGGGAGCAGCAGCAAATCCTCACTTTTTTGGGGTTTATTCTCTTCATCCATGTCCAAATCTTCCAAATCTAGGAAATTGTCTACCTGTTCTTCCAAACATTGTGATGAAGTACGAAGAAAAATGGTTTTATTTCTAAGATGGTAGTCATTAGCTTCATTTTTATGAGTAACTTTTGCTTAGGTAAAAATGTTTTCCGAAGAATCAGTTCCAAACACTCCCCTTTTGGACACAAGATCCTCTTGTGAAAGATGAGTAAAAGTGTTCAGAAATTCTTCATCATATGTTTGCTCATGACAATTAAGGAATTTATCCAGGACTTCTTTGATTAATTGATCTTCATGCATTATTTTCAATCCTGATGTATGAGCCCACATTCCTATTCACGAGGCCACAGTATCTATGAGTGAAAACATGTAGTGTTTGTCTTTCTGTCCATGCAATAGTTTGCTCAGAGTTATGGTTTCCAGCTTCATCCATGTCCCTACAAAGGACATATTTATTTATTTTTTAAAGTTTTGTTTTTATTTGAAATGGTGGACTATATTGCCCAGGGTGGTTTCAAACTCCTGTATCAAGCTATCCTCCCACCTCAGCCTCCCAAAGTGTTGGGATTACAGGCATAAACTACCATGACTGGCCTCTACCACTTTATAATGAGAATTGCCTTTCCTCAAGTTTCCAGATTACAGATTACTAATTCCTGGAGATATTTCAGCTGTGTCTTTTATTTTCATCAGCATAGAGAATACTCAAAATCCTTGCCTCTCCCATGACACAGGTGCCTAATTTCTGTGATAATTATGGTATATTAATCAGTGTTCTCCCGAGGAAGTGTGTGTGTGAAGGTGTGTATGTGTGAGGAGGGACAGACAGACAGAAAAAAAAGAGAAAGAGACAGAGACAGAGAAAGATTTGTTTTAAGGAATTGGATCAGCTGTGGGGCTGGCAAGTCTGACATCCAGAGGGCAGGTCTGCAGGCTGGACATTCAGGTAAGAGTTGATGTTGCAGTCTTCAGTTCAAAATTCGCAAAGCAGCGGGTTAGAAACCCAGGGTAGATTTTTACATTTCAGTCTTGAAAAGAACACCTTTTTCTTTAGAGAACGTTTGTCTTTTTAAAGATCTTCAACTGATGAGTTGAGTCGCATTCACATTATAGAGGGTAATTTGCATTACTCAATGTCTGCTTTGAGTTTAAATATTAATTACATCTAAAAGCTACCTATATAGTGCCATCTAGATGGTGTTTTACCAAAGAACTGGGCACATTAGGCTAGCCAAGTTGATACATAAAATTAATGTCAAGAAAATGACACCTGTTACCACCTCCAGGGGAGGAGTCCCACTAAGTGGAAGATAGAAAAGTGTATAAGAGTGCCCACCATCAGGAGCAGCAGTCCCCAGATGTCTTCCCACTGCCTGGTTTGCAAGGTATTGTAATTGCCAAGAGACACATGACTCACATAGGTATTAGATGGAGCAACTCTTCACTCACATAGAAATAGTGCAAGATCAGCTTTAATAGTGCCTATGGCCGGTGGGTTTGTTCCACAGCCAATACAAGGAGATGGGGTCTGTACACAGTCGTCTTGTGCTACAGGTAAAGCACCCCATTCTGTCCCTATTGGGAATAGATATAACAGTGAGGGTGGCCAGGTGTTATATGACATACACACTTTAAGTAGAACAAAAAGCATCTATCAAGACCAGAATAGAGAGACACACTCCCGAACACAGTGATATGCCCATCAAAAGGCTATGAGGGCTCCTTATCACCCTGTAAGGAAGTGTCCCAGGCCCAAAGCCACTCTTATGTGGTCATGAAGGGGTTGAAAGACTGTGCACATGAGACCACCTTTCCCAATAGTCCACCCCTCCCCTGACCCCTTCTGGGACACTGTAATGACAGATAAAACCTATTAAATCTGACAAGACCACTACCTGCCTCAAATTGAAAGATGGAGCTGGGTTTGAGTCTGCTGTGCCTCTGAACAACCTGTATGCATGCAGTTTGCTTTCAGAGCCTCCTTGTCATTTTGAGACAGCACTTCATCAGGTTCACTGGAAGAACCAGACCCAGGAGGATGATCAGGCCTTCCTGGAAAATGGTCCTCAACCAACAACATGAGTGCTTGGATTAAGCCAACTAAAGAGGTAAAAAAAAATGAGTGTAGAGAGAATGCAGGTGTACAGCTAATAACCATCCAGTTGAGCACCCCACCTTCTCCAATTCAGTTTCTACATTCCCTAAATTATTAAGGTATAAACAGCAACAAGTGTTGGCAATACCTACCTGTTTGGCCAGCACATAATTGAAGGCTATTCAGTTATCTATCACTATGGTGGTGAGTGAGTTCAGTGAGACTTACTGGTCTTGAAGCATGAAGAACATCCAAGTTGTCGTGTACAAGTAATTCTCTTACAACAAGATTGTAGGACAAGACAGTCTTCACTCTGGGATGACAAATCCAGCATTGTTTGAGTTTATCTCCTCTCTCCATAGCTGTGCTGATTCTCTTCAGGGTGTTGTTATGCCAGGCAGGGCAGAGGCTTCTGCAGCAATGAGATGAGGAAAGATTAGTGCTTCCTCACTCTACTGTTGATCCACAAACCTTCAAAGGCTGCAGACGCTCTTATCCAATTATCTGGGTGAGGATTGCCTGGGATAGCCACTCAAGCTGTCTATTTGAGTCCTAAGGTTACAACTTCTGCAGGGACATGCTGCCCTTATTGCTTGACCCAAATCCTTTGGCCTTGGTTGTCCAATTCAGGAAGAGGATCACATGTTGAACACATTTGTTATATTCTATAATATCACCCAGCTGTATTGAGGGGCCTGGAATCCCAGGTGTGATCAGAGGAATGCTGGTTCCTCAACATTCTGTTGCTCCTTTCTCCATCCACATTGAGAGGCACCAGAAGGTAGCATTGCCTCCAGGTTTGAATTGGGAGGCCCTATTATGGTGCCATTGTAGCCCAGATCACAACCACCTTTGGGGAGTACTTTCCTGTAGGAAAATAGATAAAGAATGATTGGATATACTGAGATTGGGATTTTGAAGGTGCAGCCCAATCAAGAAACTCCCTGGTCCCCCACCTCCTCCCAGCTCAGTATTTCCCAGCATGAATTGCAGTGCCACGTTTAATGTCAAAATGGATTTTCTTAGTGTATTAGTCTGTTCTCATGCTGTTAATAAAGACATACCAGAGAGTGGGTAATTTATAAAGGAAAGAGGTTTAATGGACTCACAGTTCCACATGGCTGGGGAGGTCTCAAAATCATGGCAGAAGGCAAAGGAGAAGCACAGGCACATCTTACATGGCGGCAAGCAAGAGAGCATGTGCAGGGGAACTCCCCTTTATAAAACCATCAGGTCTCATGAGATGTATTTGCTATCACAAGATCAGCATGGGAAAAACCTGACCCCATAATTAAATTACCTCCCACCAGGTTCCTCCCACAACACGTGGGGATTATTACCATCCAAGGTGAGATTTGGGTGGGGACACAGAGCCAAACCATATCAGTTAGACAGGAGTGTCATCCTGTAGTCCTTCCTGATGATCTTTGTCTAGTTACTGCTTGAGCCACACATTTTATCATTTTATTACCCCATTTCTCTGGGTGAAATAGGGAAAATGCAAGATCCATCTTATGCCATGGGAACATGTCCACTGCTCTGTAGCTTGAGCAGTGAACACAGTGCTTTCATCAGATTGAAATTTTGCTGAACATATGCAAAGGTGCTTTTATAAAGCTACAGCAGTAGTTCTCTTGTCTACATGCTACACTGAAATGGTAGTCCCATATTCAGAACATGCATCAACAGTGGTGAAACACCACCAGAATCAGTGACTGGAAACTAGTGGTTTGATGTGGTCATTTTGCCATATTCATGTGGGTCCTAAACCCTGGTTAATTCAGGCTAGTTTATCACATTGCACAGCCTGGGTTACTGACAGAAATCACACTGCTGTGTTCTATCTTTGGCTTTTATTTTTCCTAGGGCAGGTCCTTATGATCTGGCCCATTCTTGCATCTGAGGTGGGCTCTGGGTCACATTCTATGGAGAACCCAATGAGCAACTGTGACAATTTTCTGAGCTCATGCTGGGTCAGCTCATGAGTGCCATCCACATTCCCTTTTGAATGGTCCTCTGCCATAGGTGTCAACACAAGTGATGAATAGGTGTCTTTTCCAGTCCATAAGCTGCTTCTACATTCCTGGTTTCTGCAGAGAAGCTCTTAATGGTCCAATCATTAATCTGCCAGTCACTGGACCATACGTAAATAAGTAGGAGGGAGTTGCTGTTGGAATACCTACACAAGTATTATTACCATGTAGAGCTTGGCCCATCAGGCCATGCATCCTTTTCTGGTCTGTCAAAACATGGCCATCCTTGGGGCATATGGCCACAGTGGCCCAGTGGACTCCAGCAGCTTTGAGTTTCATGGAACCATCCATTAATTAAGCCATATCATCAGCTGAAACATCTTCAAACTGAGGACCACATTTAGCTAAGGGAAAGGAGGGAGCATCCCATACAGGCCATTCAGCCCCCTCTCTAGCAAAGCAGCTACTTATTTACTCTCATTTGTAAAATTATTCTTCTATAACTTTCAGAAGGGTATCCTATAAGCTTATTTTAATGTTTTTCAGATTAATGCAAATTTGTTTTTTTCTTCTCCTCTGTATTCTAAACAACTGTTTACATTTCACTTTAAATTAATGAATCCAGCCAACATTTATTCTATCTTTTGTTTGCCAGGTATTGATATCCCATATTAGATGCTTTTTCTATTTTCATATTAAAATTTTGGTGAAGGACAGAAAAATGCATACAGACATAAAAATAAGTCAGAACAAAAAAGCTGTATCAAAAATGTTTTAAATTGCTTTAAATTATTATTCAAAGGAAATAAATTCAAATAGTAACAACATACATTTTATAATATCAACAGAGGGTAAAATTAAGACATTGCAAGCCATTGTGGTTGTTTTTCACAAATTTTTTCCTTTGACTTTGAAGTACAATTGTTTTAAGTGTTTTGCACATCGTCACTCGCTTTTCTTAGTTATTCAACTTGGTTATAAAAATACAGCAATAGGAAAGTAAATGGTAAACTTCTTAACATCTTCATTTTTTCAAAAATATGACTTTATATTAACAGCTTGTAACACTGTCTATATTTTTCTTTTAAAAGTGTTTTCATCATGAGAGGATGTTTGCAGCAGGAATATATCCTGGTTTGACTGGGAAAGTGAGAGGAAGCTATCAACACTTCCAGATAAGAAAAAAGAGAATTCTCTCTATGCTGTGTGCTTGTTCAGGCAGGCTATCTTCACCTGGAGACAACTGCCACTAGATTAGCTGTCAGTTCCCTGCATTTCTGAGTGTGCATATCTGCTAATTTTAGGTCAGTGTGGGCCTATCTTAGGATCTTTGTGTGGTAGGAGGGTTTCCGGTTTTAGGAAACACACTACCACAAAAAGATAACCTTGGCAAAGATAACCAATTGCTGCTTATATTAGATAACCCTAGTTAGAATATCCACCTGGTAAACCTGGGAACCCCATTTAATATTGGCTCCATGAGATCATCTGGAGTAATTCAAAACAGCACAAACCCTGGGAAAGTTATTTATATTTTATAAATAACTTTATAAAATAACAGTATTTTATAAATAACTTTATAAAATAACAGTATTTTATAAATAACTTTATAAAATAACAGTATTTTATAAATAACTTTATAAAATAACAGTATTTTATAAATGCTTGAGTTACCAGAATCTTAACAGAACTCTCCAAAGACACACTGTGAACAGAACTTAGAGGCCATGAATAAACCATTAAAAAAAAAACAGTTATTTAGGTTTGAATATAATACATGACAACGATGTCCTCTCTATGCCTTTGCTTTAATTTTCACCCATCCTATCCTGAAGTACCATGGCATTGCCCAGAAAGCACTGCCTAGATCCAGGCCAGACTCATCTCAAGCTTCAGAGTCTTCTGATCCTGCTCTCTCAGTAGGTTTTCCTTTTCTTTCACTCCTTTCTCAGTTGGGCTTTGATTTCCACAAAGCTCCTCTCTTGAGCCTCCAAGTTTTGCTGCTGTTCTTTACACCTTTGCTTGAGAAGCATTTTTTTCCTTTTCAGGTGATTTTTTTTTTTTTTTTTTGGCTCGCTTTGCTGATCCGTGAAGGTTTTTGAGAGGGAAGAAAAAGAACAGTCAGACGTGAGTGCCATACATCCCTTCTCAGATATCAAACTGCTGTTGAAAAGGCAGATGGGAAATATTTGAATTCATCCAGTGGCCATACAATAAGAGCAAACTTCAGAATGTGATGGGCAAGACACAGCTGTCTGGCTGACGCTCTACCACAACTCTGTTGTTATTTTCACATTTAGGAAGCTCCTTGTTTCAGAAAATCCTCCCATCAGATCTCTCAAACAGCCCTGCAGGAAACTACCCACCCTGATGGAAGCTGAGACCTGCCCCTGTACCTTGCAAGGCCTTGGATTTCCACAGGTTGGATTCTATCCACATCTGCTACAACCACAGCAAGCGCTGGAGAGCTCAATTATTTTGAGGAACCAAGAAAAGGCCAAGACACATCACGCAGGTCAAACTTAAACTTCCAATGAAATACTCTGAGGAGAAATTCTGTTCCAATTAATGTTTCCTTATTCTTTGCCTGCCCACACAAGTTTTCAAGATCTTGCTTGTATTGCTCCCCCTCCAACCTCCCCTGCCAATGTTGCTTCTCCCCATCAATGCTAGGTTCCACCACTTAGAAAAATGCGTACCTTTATAAATGCATAACTTCTGGTGCTTTCATATTTTCACATGTTTTTTTCTGCCTATGGGTCTTCTCTTTAGAAGTTAAAGAGGCAGAAAAACATCTGCAGCTAGATTAGCTGTCAGTTCCCTGCATTTCTGAGTGTGCATATCTGCTAAATCTAGGTCAGGATCTCCGTATGGTGGTAGGGTTCCCGTTTTTAGGAAACATACTACCACACAAAGATAACCTTAAAATAACCAATTGCTGCTTATATTTAACCCTAGTTACAATATCTACATGGTAAACCTGGGAATCCCATTTAATATGGCTCCATGAGATAATCTGGAATAATTCAAAGTAGCAGCACAAACCCTGGGAAAGAAAAAGCATCTAAACTTGGAGAGCATGAACACATTCTTCAAAATTTACATCACACTCCTCTTTCAGGAAGTTTTCCTAGCCTGCCTTCCCTTCAAGAATTGAATGTGCACTTTAAATAGGTAAAATATATAGTGTGTAAATTAGATTTCAACCAAGTCATTAAAATAAAGCAAAATCTAACAAAAATAAATTCGAATCACTCCCAACTTGGAAAAGTGCTCTCTATAAGACTATTGATATGTTTCTTACTTCCTTGGGCCTCCCTGTGTAATGTTGATTTTACAGCACATAATCTCTATGGTATCTTGCTGCTGGAACATCCTGGGAATCCACCTACAGGATAAATAACAGTGGTGTTATGGTCCGAAGGTTAGTGTCCCCTAAAATTTATATGTTAGGACCAAATATTCAATGTGATAGTATTAAGAGGCAGGGCTTTTAGAAAGTGATTTGAATGGGATTAATGCACTTATAAAAGAGGTTGAAAGGAGTGACCCTTCTCCTTCCATCATGTGCAGATACAGCAACAAGGCACCATCTTTGAAGCCAAGAGCAGCTCTCACCAGCCACCAAATCTGCCAGCACTCTGTCTTGGATGGCCCAGCCTCTAGAACTGTAAGAAACAAATTTCTGTTTACAATTTACCTGGTCTAAGGTATTTTGTTATAGCAGCCAGAATGGACTAAGACAAGTGATATAACTAAAAGCAAAATAAATATAAAGAAAGACTAGGCCAGGTGCAGTGGCTCACACCTGTAATCCCAGCACTTTGGGAGACTCAGGTGGGTGGATCATTTGAGGTCAGGAGTTCGAGTCCAGCCTGGTCAACATGGTGAAACCCCACCTCTACTGAAAATACAAAAATTAGCTGGGCGTGGTTGTGGGCACCTGTAGTCTCAGCTACTTGGTAGGCTGAGGCAGGAGAATTGCTTGAACCCGGGGGGTGGAGGTTGCAGTGAGCTGAGATCACACCACTGCACTCCAGCCTGGGTGACAGAGTGAGACTCTGTCTCAAAAAAAAAAAAAAATGACTTGGTAAGAAAATCTTCCCAGAGAAACTTGGGTTGCTATGAATGGAAAAGAGTCCACAGAAAACATGACAAATTCAAAATAACTAAAATTACAAGCACATAAGGTGACTTTTCAAGTATTCACTAAAGGAGGATATAAGAAGGTCAGTCCTGAATTTGCTTCAGAAGTCAGACAGATTTCCAGATAAAAATTATCTGGAATTTATAGAGAACTGTGTTACTCTATTTTATCTCCAAGTTTGGAGGAGAAAGAGATAAAATAGAGTAATACAGTTCTCTATAAATTCCTTACTCAGAAGAATCTCCTATGAATGATAGGTAATCTTATTGCCTATAAAGTGGCCACTAGCTATTATTCTAAAATTAAGGTAACAGAGCCAACTACTAAGACAAAGTATCATGAAATGCTTGTCATACTAGAAGGATGCTATATGAAAGCTTTGAAATGAGCCAGGTAAGGCATCTGCAGGACTTGTCTGTGAGAACATCACTCTGTAGGGCCAGTGTGTTCTCACTCTGAGTCAGAGGTGTTTCTGCATTTTCCAAATAATGAAACCATTCCACTGTTGATGATATTCACATAAGTCACTACCAGAATCCCCAGCCCTGAAAGAGGCAGGAAATTTGGGACATCAATGGGATTCAAATATTGGGACTACAGTTCTAAAATCACAAGCAAACTCTACACAGTGTGAATACCGTCATAAGTCCTATCTTTTCTTACTAAATTCACCTTTATCTTCCTATTCACTCTTGTGTGTTTCTCAGGTCACTGTATTTAAACAATTAATTATTTTTTTCTTTAGTTAATATGCTTGAGATATCCTGGAAAAACAATTTCCTGGTGAAGCATATTACAAACAAACTAGACTAGAGAGGTGAATACGTAGGCAGGGTAAATTAGATTATTTGTCCTGTTAAAATTCCACTTATGAATTATTCGAAATTTAGTTTGAATTAAGATATATCCATATCCATATTTCACATTCTTAGTGAAGAGGGCACTTATCATATCCAACATCTCTTCTTGGAAATTATGGTAGCCTTCATGTTATGTTTACATAATCTTGCTATAAAAATAGAGATATAGAGAACCATTTAAATATATTGAGAGTCAAGTATTTGCTTGTAGACCCATGGAATAATTGTACTGTTAACACTCAACTGTATGAAATGAAACTTTTATTTTGAATGTAAATGGAGAGCTCCATATGTATAGAACACATATGACCGGGCACAGTGGCTCACACCTGTAATCCCAGCACTTTAGGAGGCCGAGGCGAGTGGATTGCCTGAGCCCAGGAGTTCGAGACCAGCGTGGGCAACATGGCAAAACAAAGTCTCTACTAAAAATATAAAAATTAGCCAGGCTTGGTGGCGCATGCCTGTAATCCCAGCTACTCAGTAGGCTGAGGCAGGAGAATCACTTGAATCCGGGAGACAGAGGCTGCAGTGAGCTGACAATAGAGTGGAAAAAAAAAAAAGAAAGGAAGAAAACCACATATATGGCAGAATATCACCACGGGTGAATTTTAATTTATTAATTTATTTTATTTCACTTTTAGTTGTATGACTTGTCTTAGTCTATTCTGACTGCTCCAACAAAATACCTTAGAGTGGATAAATTATAAACAATGAGTGTACTTGCTCCACAGCACTGCAGGTGACTGTGCTCAGTACTAACTAGTTCTCCGTAGCTGCCAACTCACCCTTGCTCTGTTTCCTCCCTCTAAGGTTTTGCTTCTAATTTATAAACACTGAAAACAAACTAAGAATGTTAATCATTCCCAGAAAGGAAATGGAGTGAAAACTGAAGCTGAAAGTAAAATTAGCTCGTGGGGTTTTTAAATATTTAGAAAAGGCATGCTGAGTTAATATCTAGAACATGACAAAGTATAGATGCAATGAAGGTTACAAAATTCCAGTAACTATTTACATTAGCAAAGACTTGGAACCAACCTAAATGCCCATCAATGATAGACTGGATAAAGAAAATGTGGCATATATACACCATGGAATACTATGCAGCCATAGAAAGAATGAGATCATGTCCTTTGCAGGGATGTGGATGAAGCTGGAGACCATCATTCTCAGCAAACTAAAACAGGAACAGAAAACCAAACATCACATGTTCTCACTCATAAGTGGGAGTTGAACAGTGAGAATACACGGACACAGGGAGGGGAAAAACACACACTGGCACCTGGCACCTATCAGGGGGTGGGGGACAAGAGGAGGGAGAGCATTAGGACAAATACCTAATGCATGCAGGGCTTAAAACCTACATGACAGGTTGATAGGTGCAGCAAACCACCATGGCACATGTATACCTATGTAACAAACTTGCATATTCTGCACATGTATCCTGGAACTTAAAGTAAAAATATATACATACAAGTATATAGAAAATTCCAGTAACTGCAGTTACAACTTAGTACATGTTGCCTGACTAGCTTTCTTGTTATTACCCCATCTTGCCATTAGCAGATGAGTACGGTGTATTTTAGTGGGAATTTTGCTGTGTTTATATTTTTAGACTTCATATAGATTCCTGAAGGTGTAGATTAATGTTTTTAATCAAATTCTGGGAGTTATGGTCATTTAATTATTTTTATGTGTTATTGAACTTCTCAATGCCAGAGTTTCTGTTTTTTATAACTTCTATCTCCTTATTGAAATTATTATATCATGAGTCAATGTCATCATATTTTGCTTTGATTCTTTGAACAATGTATTAACGTTAATTACTTGGTATCTTTGTTCTTTAGTTTCTTTGATGTCTTGCCTAGACTAAGTCTCTACAGTCTGAGGTCCTCCTATGTGCAGCAGCTGGTGGCTCTGTTCAGTTATACTTTTTTTGAGATTTTTAAGATTTTATTTATAGTAGACACACAATAATTGCAGATGTTTTGAAGATACAGTGTGATGTTTCAATGCATGTATGCATTATATAATGATAAAATCAGGGTAGTTATGTCAATCACCTCAAACCTTTATCATTTCTTTGTGATGATAACTTTCAAAGATCCTTTATTCTAGCTATCTTGAAATATACAACACATTGTTATTAGCTACAGTCACCCTACTGTGTAATCGAACATGTAAGTTATTCTTCCTAACTGTAACTTTATACCCATTGACCAACTTCTTGCCATCCTCCGCACCTCTCCCCACTTTCCCATGCTCTGGTAACCACTACTCTCTACTTTTATGAGATCAACTCTCTTAGATTCCACATATGAGTGAAATCATGCAGTATTTGCCTCTCTGGGCCTGGCTTATTTCACTCAACACAACATCCGCCAGTTTGATCCATGTTGCCACAAATAAAGGATTTCATTCTTTTTTTAAGGCTGACTAGTGTTCCATTGTGTATATGTACCACATTTTCTTTATCCATTTATCCATCCATAGACACTTAGGTTAATTCTGTATCTTCGTTATTGTGAATAGTGCTGCATTAAACATTAAAGAGCAGATATCTCTACAATATGCTGATTTTAATTCTTTTGGATATATATACACAATAGTGGAATTTTGGACTCTATGACACTCTATTTTTAATTTTCTGTAGAACTTCCATACTGTTTTCTATCATGTCTATGCTAAATTTCCTTCCCACTAACTGTGTGAATAGTGTGTAAGAGTTCTCCATTCTCTGCATCCTTGCCAGTATTTTTTTGTTGTTGTCATTTCGATAATAGCCATTCTAACTGGGGTGAGGTAGAGTGTGTGGAATTGGTGGGTTCTTGGTCTTGCCGACTTCAAGAACAAAGCTGCGGACGCTCGCGGTGAGTGTTACCGTTCTTAAAGACGGTGTGTCCAGAGTTTGTTCCTTCAGATGTTCACATGTGTCTGGAGTTTCTTCCTTCTGGTAGGTTCGTGGTCTTACTGGCTCAGGAGTGAAACTGCAGACCTTCGTGGTGAGTGTTACAGCTCATAAAGGTGGTGCAGACCCAAAGAGTAAGCAGCAGCAAGATTTATTAGGAAGAGCGGAAGAACAAAGCTTCCACCACGTGGAAGGGGACTCCAGCAGGTTGCCAGTGCTGGTTCGGGCTGCCTGCTTTTATTCCCTTATCTGAACCCACCCACATCTTGCTGATTGGTCCATTTTGCAGAGAGCAGATTGGCCCATTTTACAGAGAGCCAATGGGCCCATTTTACAGAGAGCTGATTGGTCCGTTTTGATAGGGTGCTGATTGGTGCATTTACAAACCTTGAGCTAGACACAGGGTGCTGATTGGTGCATTTACAATCCTTTAGCTAGACATAAAAGTTCTCCAAGTCTCCTCTAGATTAGGTAGACACAGAGCACTGATTGGTGTGTTTACAAACTTTGAGCTAGATACAGGGCACTGATTGGTGCATTTACAAACCTTGAGCTAGACACAGAGTGCTGATTGGTGCATTTACAATCATCTAGCTAGACATAAAAGTTCTCCAAGTCCTCACCAGATTAGCTAGATACAGAGTGCTGATTGGTGCATCCACAAACCCGGAGCTAGACACAGAGTGCTGATTGGTGCATATACAATCTTCCAGCTAGACATAAAAGTTCTCCAAGTCCCCACTAGACTCAGGAGTCCAGCTGGCTTTGCCTAGTGGACCCTGCGCCAGGGCTGCAGGCTGAGCTGCCCACCAGTCCCACGCCCAGTGCCTGCACTCCTCAGCCCTTGGGTGGTCGATGGGACCTGGTGCTATGGAGCAGGGGGTGGTGCCCCTAGGGGAGGCTTGGGCCTCCTGGTAGCCCACCAGGGAGGGGGGGCTTGGGCATGGCAGGCTGCAGGTCTCGAGCCCTGCCCCGCAGAGAGGTGGCAGAGGCCCAGCGAGAATTTGAGCGTGGCACGGGCAGGCCGGCAGTGCTGGGGGACCCAGCACACCCTCCACAGCTGCTGGCCCGGGTGCTAAGCCACTCACTGCAGAGGCTGGCGGCACCAGCTGGCGGCTCCGAGTGCAGGGCCAGCTGAGCCTGTCCCCACCCAGAACTCACGCTGGTCCCCGAGCACCGGGCGCACAGCCCTGGTTCCCACCCGTGCCTCTCCCCCCACACCTCCCCGCAAGCAGAGGGAGCCGGCTCAAGCCTCTGCCAACCCAGAGAGGGGCTCCCACTGTGCAGCAGTGGGCTGAAGTGGACGCCGAGGCCGAGGAGGCACCGAGAGCTAGCGAGGGCTGCTAGCTTGTGTCTAAATGTAGTTTTTATTTGCATTTCCCTTATGATTAGCCAAGTTGAATATTTTGTTCTATACCTGCTGGCCATTTGTGTGTTTTCTTTTGAGAAGTGTCTAATTGGATATTTTTCCTTTTTTAAATCAGATATTTTTGTTTTATTGAGTTGTTTGAGTTTTGTATATAACTGGGTGAACTCCAACTGCTTGCTGCAGAGGCTGAAAACATGAGAAAGAAGGCATGGTGAAAGGAAAGCGACTTTATTGATCCAGTGCTAGCAGGTGGGAGATGGTCAGGCTTCAGCCTCAAAGAAGTCGTCTCTGCCTTTTGGGCTGAGTGAAGGAGTTTAAGAAGGAAAAGTTGTGGGAAATAGATGGCAATGGTGCAGGAAGATGCAGATCTGCACGTCTTGTTCCAATGGATATCTTGAGTGATTGTTTGTCTCGATGTCTGGTTTGCATTATCCTGACTTCTGCCCAGTAGGCGTGGGCTAACTGTTCCTAACTCCCCCTTAGTGGGAGGATTCCAGCATTGGGTCTCTCTACCTGGTTGATTTCAAAATTGGCTCCTGGAATATCTAAGCAAGCATATAATTAGATAAATGAGCACTGTTCATGGAAGTGGCTGGTGAGAAAGGGAGAGACAGAGTTTCAAAGTATGTTTCAAGGCTGGAAGCAAGCAAGAAAGAATAATTTAAATGCATTTGAGGCTGGGAATACCTGCTTATGCTTGTATATTTTGGATAGTAACATTTTGTTGAGTGCATAGTTTGCTAATGTTTTTTCCCATTCTGTAGGTTGCCTCTTTGCCCTGTTAACTGTTGCCTTTGCTGCGCAGAAGTTTTTTCATTTGATGTAATCCCATTTGTTTATTTTTGCTTTTGTTGCACATGCTTTTGAGGTCCTATCCAAAAATTCCTTGCCCAGACCGTGTCATGAAGTATTTCCCCTATGTCTTCTCCTAGTAGTTTTATAGTTTTGAGTCTTATATTTAAGTCTTTAATATATTTTGAGTTGATTTTTGTATATGGTGAAATACAGGGGTCTAGTTCCATTGTGCATATGGACATTCAGTTCCCCAGAACCATTTATTGAAGAAACTGTCTTTTTCCCCAATATGTTTTATTGGAATTGCTGTCAAAAATAAGTTAACTGTAAATGTGTGAATTTATTATTGGATTTTCAATTGTGTAGTCTGTGTTTCTGTTTTATACTAGTACCAAGGTGCTTTGGCTACTAGGGCTTTGAATAAATAGTATATACTGAACTCTGGTAGTGTGATGCCTCCAGCTTTGTTCTTGCTCAAGATTACTTTGACTATTCATGTTATTTTGTGGTTCCATATACATTTTTGAATTTTGTTTTCTATTTCTGTGAAGAATATCATTGGTATTTTGATAAGAATTGCATTGAATCTGTAGAGCCCTTAGGGTAGTGTGATATTATCTCACACACACACACACGAATATGTATATATTTGTTTTCGTCTATGGTTCCTAGGTCATAACTCCAATACCCCTTGTTCTTTCTCCACAAAGCAGGTCATAGTCATAGAAATGAAAAATATATGTGCCCCCATCTTTCTGTCTTGGCTGTGACCATATGGAAATTCTGTGATCTACCTTATCTGATTGTAGGTCATAAGACTTCTATTTCAGAAAGGATTCTGCCCCATACCCTGGAGGGAACAATGCCACACAGAGAGGCCAAGAAGAATGTGGGATAGGTTTTGAAGTTGCTGCATCTGAACTACATTCAATTGAGTCATACAGGCCTTTGCAGATGAGAAAACTTTGGAGATGGTCTTTTTGGTCTTATTTAGCATTTCCTAACACTGGCAGCACTTTAGAGTCACCAGGAAAGAGGAGAGCTTTCTTACAAAATAAAGATGTGTGGGCCACCCTTCAACCCAATTAAATCTGATAGCGAAGAAAGAGGGAATCATCAATACTTCTTAAAATCTTGGGAGGTGACTTTAATATGCAGCCAGATTGAGACCCAGTAATAGGTCTCTCCTAATGCATGTTACAGTGAGACAAGTTGAGGTCATGGATAAAAATGCCCCCCTCTCCCTTAAAAATCAAACCAAAACAAAACAAAAAACGGAGAAGAAATGAATCTCTTCATGCAGGGTTCTTTCCTTTCCACTTGCTGCTGTCCCAAGTGAGGTGATGGGGTAGGAGGCTGTCACCTTGCAGCTCCCTCTGGTCTACATGGAGAAGTTGAGCTTCTCCAGAACTAACTGACCCCTGCAGGCCAGGTCATCAAGCAATCCTCCCTCTTATATCCCCAATTCTTGACTGCTGTTTTAAATCAGAAACTGAGAAGTCTAGTTCAAGACAAAGTTGCACGTAGAAGAAAGTTGCTGAGTGAGCAGTTTTGCTCCATGGATTCGCAGGTCAGTGACTTCAAGCTCTCAATTGCCTCTCTCCTGCCTCCTTTCCTCCTACATCTCTGTCTCTGCTTTATGGAAGCTGGAAAACACTGGGGATAATTATCATTACCACAAAGAAAATGGGACAGAAAAATAAAACCCTAAAGTAAAAGCAATTAATGGTATATATTTTTTTAATTTAGGAAAAGCATGTCTGAACCAGGTGGCCAGATGGGATCAGGGGTTTGCAGTGCAGGAATGAGGGAAGGTTAAGAGAATTCACAGATTCAACACTTACCTACCAGCTTTCCTCTACACCACCCACCACGCACACCCCTCCCCAGGAACTGCTTTTTAACTAGCAACTATTTCTCTGCTGCAGAAGGCATAGTCTTACTCCAAAACCCAGGAGACTATGCCAATATTCTTGTTAAGGTTTGGTAGACTCTTCTAGATGCATCAGATATTTTGGGTCATATGGCATAGGCAGAAAGGCAGCTGTCACTGCAGCTAGATCTGCTTAGAGTGCCCACTCACTCTGGGTCCCACTCAAATAGGAAGCTTTCCAAGGCAACAAATAAAGGGGTTGTAGCAACATTTCCCAAATATATTATCAGCAGATTCCAGCATAAAAGGCTCAGTATGCACTGGTAGAATGGATTCTGTGCAACAATTTGTGCATTATTTTGGAGGATATGTCCTGACATGCCCTAGAGTATTGGCCTCTGAATCGGAAGTTCTATAGAACATTCAGATGATCAAAGTTCCTGTGTTCTTCACTGTGTCAGTGTAAGATACAATAAAATTCTTCTTCAAAGGTTTAGACTGTTCCCAATCAGCACTGTGATTGTGACTTGTGAGAGCCCACAAAGCAGAGGACCCAGCTAAAACCACACCCAGATTCCTGGCCTACAGAAACTATGAATTAATAAATGTTGTTTCAAGCCGCAAAATTTTAGGGAAATTTGATAAGCAGTAATAGATAACTACTACAGAAACTTTTATCTGACTTTTAACACCATAGATTACTACTGTGTGTTTTGTGCCTTAGTATAAATCAAATTATACAGGATGTTTCGTGTTGGCTTCTTTTATTCAACATTATGATTGCAATTCATTTAAGTTGCTGGTCTCAGTGATACTTTATTTGTGCTTACTGCTGTGTAACACTTCATTTTATGAATATACTATAAATGTGTTATTCATTCTACTATTGAGAAGAATTTGTGATGTTTTTGGCACTCAGCACATAGGTATGCATATTAGCCGGGCATAAAGGTAGAAGTGAAATTAGTTAACTCCACTGTATACATTTATTCATTTAATAGTAGATACTATGCAACAGTTTTCAAATATAAATGTCTCAATTTATATTCTCAGCACAAATGCATAAACATTTTAAATGTTTCATATTCTTACCATGCAAAAATCCCAGACTGTATATTTGTAATCATTCTGATGAGTATGTATTTTTAATTTCACATGTAATTTGATTTTCTTTGAAAATAGTAATAAACAGGGAAATTGGGCATCTTTTCATATCTTTTGCTTATTTGAATATTCTTTTTCACTTGCCTATTCAAGATTCTTGAATATTTTCCTAATGGCTTGTCTGTCTCTTTTTTTCATGACTTGATGACTGCCAAATATATTCTGAGGTTGAGTTTGTGTGTAGTTCTATGCATGTCTATGTATATACTGGTAACTTTAGTTTGCCTTTTCATTATTTCATGGTGTGTTTGGAGGAACAAGAATTCTTCATTTTAAGTAGTGAAATTTTTCCATGTGTTGTTTACACTTAGTGCTTTTGTGTCCTGTTTCCAAACTTGAAAAAGATGAAAATCATCTCTGACATTTTAAAAAATGTTTATTGTTTTGTCTTTTACATTTGAATCTACAATCCATGTGGAATTGACTTTTGTGGATGACAGGATGCAAGAAACAAGTTTTTGTTTTTTCTTATGCCTATAACATTGGCCTAGTGCCATTTATTGAAAAGACTATTGTTTCCCTATAGTTACCATGAATCAACTCCCCATACATATGTCAGTCTCTTTCTGAGCCCTCTAGTTTATTGCATCTATATATTACTTCATGCATGCACCAATACCATGCTATCTCAATTACACTAGCTTTATAATAAGTTTTGACATCTGTTTTTTCATTTGGTTTTCTTCTTCAGAATTGCCTTGGTTGTTCTCAGTTTTTTGCTTTTCCGTATAAATTTTAGAATAAGTTAGCCATTTCCTAAAATTATTAATATACCCAACTTGGCTTTTGCTTGGAATTACCTCAAATCTATAGATAAACGGTGATGTAATTTGGTTATATGTCCTGTTCAAATCTCATGTTGAAATCTGATCTCTAATGTTGGAGGTGAAGCCTAATGCGATGTGTTTGGGTCATGAGATCGAATCCTTCATGAATAGTTTCATGTGTCCTCATTGTAATGAGTGAGTTCTCACTCTATTAGTTCCCATGATAACTGACTGAAAAACAGCCTAGCACCTTCTCCTCTCTTTCTTCCTTCCTCACTCACCATGTACTCTGCACACACTGGCTCCCTTTACCTTCCACCACTAGTGGAAGCACCCTGATGCTCTTGCCACAAGCAGATACTGGCACCATGCTTCCTGTACAGCCCTCAAAACAGTGACCTGAATAAGCCTCTTTTTTTTTATAAATTACTCAGCATCAGGTATACTTTTATAGCAAAAAAAGAGGGGCTAAGATAAATGGCATTTTAAAAATAAAAAAAGTTCCTTCATTTATTAGATTTTTAAAAATCTCTCAGCAATACTCTAGTTTTCAAGGTATAGTCCTTATGTGTGTTTATTTATTCCTAGATATATTTTAAGTAAACTCCCTTGAGCACAAATATGCATACAGAAAAGTACACACCTCACAAATTTATAGCTCAATAATTTTTCACAAACTGAACACATCCACATTGCCAGCATTCAAATTTAAAAAAAAATCATGGGACTCCAAAAGTATTCCTCATATTCCAATTCAGGCATTACCAATTCCTTTCTCTCCCAATCAAGGACAACAACTATTCTGCTTTAGTACTTCGTTTAAATAAAACAATAAACAATGCAATTTTTAGCTTTCAGTAAATTGTTTTCAATATTATGCTTGTTAGATTGGTCTATATTTTTGTGTGTAGCTATAAATCATTAGTTTTCATTTATATTAAATTGTATAAAATATTCCATTCCGTAAATGAAAATGTGTGCAACCAAAAGATATGTGCAAGAATTTTCATAACAGTTTTTCTCATAATAGCCAAAGACTAGACATTACCCAATTGGAATTACCATAAATGGAATATTTTCTCTATAATTTATTTATCCAGGCAAGTGTTGGTGGACATTTGGGTAATGTCTAGTTTTTGGCTATTATGAGAAAAACTGTTAGGAAAATTCTTGCACATACCTTTTGGTTGCACACATTTTCATGTATAAATGAATACAAAAGTATTGCTGGAAAGGCATATGTTCAGGGTTAGAATATATTTAAAATGGTTTCATAGTTGAACTAATTTACATTCACACTAGCAGTGTATGAGCATTCCAGGTGCTCCACAAGCTCATCAAACTTTGATATTATTTGCCTCATTTTCATTTGGCAGATGTGTAGAGGTAACATACTATGATTTTAACGTCATAGAATTGAGCAGATTTTCATATGTTTATTAGCCATTTGGACATCCTCTTTTGTTATTTTGTCATTCAAGTATGTAACTGTTTTTAACAATCTTTTGTCACAGTGATTTTTTAAAGATCTCTGTGTGTGTGTTTGCATTTTCTTGAATAGCTTCTTATATGATTATGGATATAATATTTGCATTTGTCCATTGAAAGACATTTAGGTTGTTTTCAATTTTTCAATATCTCTATGAACATTCCTATCTTTCGACAGCACATAATCTGTAGCTCATCCTTCAATACTTATCTCAGAGCCAAACTCATACACAAACCCAGTCTCCAGGACACTCTGTCTTAGCCCACGAGACATGTTAAAGACCTTAGAACAGTTTATGAACAGAGCATGTAGCATCGGCCTCCATTTTCTTCCCTAGGAATTCACTTTCAGAGTCTCTTTCATAGGCTAGTTCATGATGGACTTCTTTACTATGCTAGATCATTTATCAGAATAAAAATTTGTTTATCTCATTCAAACATATCATCTCACACTACATGGCCTCACAAAGAAAACAGCAGATCAAGGAATGATTCCTATTATTTTTCTGTAATATTTGGGTGGTTTTCAAAGGGTGGCTAAGACTATGCTGAGTCATTGTCTGATCCTTTTGCAGTCATGATGATGATGGAAGTGATCTCTCACCTGTTGTATGGTAATACAAACTGAGATAGAGATTGTCATAGCAGCTTCTATAATCTCCACTTTCAAATGCAAGTTATCCAAAAAAAAAAAAAACCATGTGTCAGTGTAGTTGATTTTACAGAGGACGAGAGGGTATCTTTTTTCCTAAGTTTTATTTGCCCATCACAGCTTTGAAGGGAACCAAGAGCTCTTTACTCCACTGAAGCTCACCCCCTTTCTATCTTCCTGGCACTACTCTCTCCTCTGCCTATTCTATTTTCTTTTCTCTACTCACTATCTTTGCTTCCAGAATGAATCAAAATTTCTCTATCAAAACAATTTAGCATCTTTTTTTAATTACTTAGATTTCTGTTGACATGTACATCCTTGTATTCTCCCTTTCTGTTCCAGCAGACATATCAGTGAACTTAGAAATGTGCACCCTTTCCTCCCTATCAAGAATTGGGGATACTATGTTAAAAAAAACCTTTGTTTTATCTTTTTATAATATCTTGTCCATATATTTATTATGCTATAAGATAGAAGGGGCCATGTTTGGAAAATGAATTCAAATAGAGCTCAGACACCTTCGCTTTGGAAACTCTATGGCAAAATATAACATTATTTTGCTAGAACAGAAGCTGACTTCTTAGAAATGAGCCAATTATAAAAGTAGCTCTTCATTGCTTTCAGTTTCAATCTGAAGTATGTTTACAGGAAATGCCATTTCAAGTAGCCTTGAATGACCTAAGGGATTGTTTTTCTGGCTGGAAAACTTTTATACAAAGTGATTTTCAAACATAATGAGTGGAAATGTGTGCAATTTGGAGGGAATAAAGGGAGAAACATTATAGTTAAGAGCCTCAGCACCTCTCATTGCTGCTTTTCCAGAATAAATACATAGCTTTTAGCATTTTAAATCTTTCTACAAACAGCTGGCCATTTAAAAAAGCTGCAGCAGGGTCTATTTTGGGGGCTGATGGCATGGCCAGGAATCATTGTTTTTGGCCATCTTCAATTGATTTTCAGTGTAGTAATCATGGTGTGTGCTTTTTTAAAAACACAAACTAAGCCATTCACCTTTTCTGCACAAAGGTCATAGAAGTTTCCTACTGCAGGTAGGGTAAAATCCTTTCCTCTCTGATTGCCTGCAAGATCTTACACAATCTGGCTTTTGCTCACCCCTCTCCTCATCCCACATAATCTCAGCTTCACCACATGAACCTTCATTCAGGACCAAACACATCAAGCTCTTTCTCAATAATTTTCCTTCATTTATTTCCTAATTGTGCTTTTAGTAAAATTCATCTTAATTCTCATTTCCTGAGAGAAGGATCATTGGCCAGCTAATCTCAATTGGGCCAACACTTTTTCTCCTTTCTACACTTACTCATGGCACCCTGTATTAGTCCTTTACAATGCAGATAAGAAATTCAAATATTTCATTTGTTGGTGTTTAATTTGTTTAATATTTTATTTCTAATCTGAAAACCACATTATACTCAATGCCTTCCCATGCCTTTCACAGTGACCAGCAACCCATGGTCAATGGTCATACCTATGTATTTATTGAATGACTCAATGCAATTAGTTTAAAAGTGCTCTCTTTGAGTTTGCCTTTATTGTTCTGTGCCTCAAAAGAAATCTCTATTTCTAAGAGATAAACGTGTAAGGGATAATTGGAAGGATAGCTGAAAAAGGAATGAGGCCAGTAGACCTAAGTTCAGGCAAGCTGATTTATTGTCAGCCCTGCTGGGCTACTTCCTGACAAAAGCAGAGGAGGCAGCCCCACTTACAGACTACAGCAGGGCTTTATAGGGCAAGGAACTGGGTCAGGGTAGGGGAGTTGAGTTGGGTGTACAGAAGGGCTGAGTCGGGGTCGGGGAGCCGAGTTGGGTGTGGAGGTGTCTTGACTGCATCCTGGGAATGCTTTTGCCAGCTTTGTTATGCAAGGTGAACAGACACATTAACCACATCCTGTAACTGCCTGGACAAACAGTTACTGGCGGGGTCAGTGAAGGGTTTTTCTTTAGCCCTGGGGGAGCTGTGCAGAGGTCACAAAGGACTGCATCATAAGACCCACTGGAAGGGAGGGGAACAGTCTGGTTGGGGTGACCCTAACAAAATGTATTATATAAAACCAAGTAATTTTAGAAACTTTTCTTAGATTTGTTTTGTTACATACTAGAGTTTTGAATTTTATTCTGAATAAATTGAATAAATAATTTATTGAATTATTAACATTATCCTGAATAAAAATAAAAGGAGAATTATAATACACTTCTGAATCTGGAAGCACTTTGAATTAGATGACATGAAAATGTTCTAACCAGAAAATATTGAAAAAGATTAATAAAAATAGATACACTTACCTACCCATTGATAAAGCAACATCAAACAAGAGACTGGGAAATTACCGTATGAGACAATGGATTAGATCACGTTAACTTTATCTTCTCCACAGAGAGTTAAGCAATTTAAACATTTTTTACGATAAAGAAGACATGGTCCTTAGACATTTTTAAGTGGCTCTCCCCTCAACCCTTTTTCCTAGCCTTTATGGCTGCCTAGACTCCAGAATACCTATTTTGAGACTAGCCATGTGATTGAATAGAGATGGTTCTAATTATGCCATCTCAGTGGTTTCCAATAGTAAAAGGGGGATGATTTTGCCCCCAAGTGACATTTGTCAATATCTCAAGACATATTCTGTTGTCACAACTGGGTTGGTTAACACCACAAGTGTTGCAAAACTTTCTCATTAGTTCAGCTAAAACTAGTCTCTTGACACACAGCCAGGAAAGACTAGGCTCACAGACACATAAAAGGGTGAGGAAAACAGAATTTATTGGACAAAAAGGAAAAAGGAAAAATAACTCTCAGCAAAGAGAGAAGAGTCCTTCTAGTAGGTTTCTCACCTCTCAGATTGAATCCCAGTTCACTACATGGGAACAGGAGGGGCCAGGCTCCTCCCCACTGCAAATGGCATGAACTTCCCAAGGCTCTACCCCATCCTCCCAGTTCACAGGTGGACATCATTTAGAAATAATTAATTGGGAAAGGACGGGCTTCATCTGGGACCAGCAGTCTGGTTTTTCAGCCTTCAGGCTGTTTTAGACTTGAAGGCAGGGTTTCACTGTGAACCCTTGGCTGTCTCATTCCCCCGTCTAAAGAAGTACATCTAATTGCCTTTAGTATAAGGATAAGAACAAAGACCAATCTTAACTGCTTCCTGATGACAAGGGATGCTGTTTTGGGAAAATGGCAGTCAGATCTCCCCAAGAGACATATCTGAGGGTTCACAGCAAAAGGGGCCATTATCCGGGGCTCCAGTTGCAGGATCATTTGGTATTTGATGGCCTAAAGGTGAGAAGAGACAAACTGGATTATTAGAAAACATGTATCAAAATGAAATAAGGGGGGTGAGGACAGCTAAAAAATCCTGAGGCCTTTTACCAGCTTATACAGGGAGACGGGGTCCAAAAGCCCAATTGTTAAAAAAAAAAAAACTTTTACCATTTTGCTGGCATGTTGAGTTGCTGGGTTCCCATGCCCTGAGCCCAATCCTAAGCCAACCAACTTAAGGTTTGGGAAATTAACTTTTCCCAGTTTGTAGGATGTGTTGAGGGGAGTGTCCCATAGTACAGAGACCCAATTATCAGTGAAGAGAGAACAGAAGGAGAAAAAGGAAAAAAAGGAGTCTTTTTTTCAAAGGATTCCCAGGGGTTCAGGATGCATTCAAAAGGGGTACAGGCTGAAGATGAATGGCTTCTCATCTAGAATGAGGTGAGTGAGGCATCCCTGGTTCCCTTCCCTTCCTAGCAAATACCTGGTGTACCTAAGGTAGGGAAAGTAAAGTGTTCCTCTTTCTTTCCTCCATCATTGTATCCTCGAGCTCCATTGACCATGACAGTGTGCCACCCATGGTTGTCAAAGTGGCTATCACCCATGTGAACAGGTGGCCTAGGGGGTGTGGGGTATCCACTTTTACCCATGTATGCCCTATCTCCCCTACTGTCAGTAGCCTTTGAATTTTCTAGACCTCATGTATGCCATGAATACTAACTTGACCTATATCCGTGAAATGGGAGGCTTGGCTTAATCGATAGGAATCAGTCATACTCACCTGTGCTGCACCTTTTAACTTCCATCATTGTCTACCTCTGGATTCCTCAGATCCAATTTTCTTTCCTAGGGATTTGACCTGAATCTTGGAATTGAGTTTGGGACAAAAATGTGTCTCAGGGGGGTTGCATGGGCTCCTTATCATAAGCCAAATATTAAGGTGAAGCTGTGGACTTGAGTCCTCTTCCAACAAGGGAGAGAAAAGAATGTCTTGTGAAATGCCCAAATAACTGTTGGCTATAGTTGTGTTTGCTAAGATGAGGCTTGGCTTTGGTTAGCTCCCTTTGGTTTAGTATTATTGGTCTTTCCCAAAAAGGAAACCTCCATATGATGGGCAGTCTATTTATTCCCATCACCTGGCAGGGTTTGCGAGATAATTGCTCAGAACTAGAATACTGATCCAGATTATTACATTATTCATCCCTCTTGTTCCTTCTGAGCTGCAGTTGGAGATGACTTTAGCCTTATACTTGGCCTGTTTATTTGCATAAAGTGCAGCAAGAATAATTGTTTCTAAATAGGCCTATTTAGACTGGCTTTGCTAGAACTCTGTTCCACAAGGAGTCTCAGATAAAACCTTTTAAAGCCAAGCCTAGACATGAGTTTTTATCCTCAAATACCTGTGAGTTGAGTGATCCTCTCCTCTTAAGGTCCCAAGATAAACTTGGAGCCCCTGGGTCTGTTAGAAATTGACATTATTTACTGAACATAGGTCAGGAACCCTGTACAGGGACTGCATAGACATGAGTATGAGGCCAGTTTCCTCAAGGGGCTTTTATTTGTTCTGCAAGTTGAGCTTGACTCTTTAAAGGGAAGCATATCCTTCCAGCCAAAGCCTTGGTAAAACAACCAGGTTTTCCAATTGTGTCCTGTTGCAAAAGAAAATGGATTCTTATTGCACTGATTCAAACAACGATACTGCCATAAATTAAGAGTACTCACAACTTGTTTCCAAATTCTGGAGAAGCCAGGTGGAGAAAGAGAGAGAAATACGCTCCAAATTTTGTTCACAAGAGTATACCTTACTCAGTTATTAAGGGTTGTAAATAGTTCAGAATAAGTTTCCTTGACTCTGAAAAACAAAACAAGGATCAGCAATATTCCAAGCAAAAGTCAAAAAGTTGCTTCAGTTTTCTATGAGTTCAGTCCATTTATTTAACTATCATTTTGCTTGATATTCACTAACATTTCAGCTCTTCATGAGTTCTGTAAGTTTCTCCTTTATTCCAATGTCACAATCTCCAAACTTATCAAAATGCTGTATGTGAGAGCATCTGTCAAGAGTTTTCTATAGCTGATTATAAACCATCATTTGAAAAAATTGGAAAGATGCTGGGGGAAGAACAATTGCTGGTGAATAACAAAATGTTCAGGGTAGTTACAGTCAGAAACACATCTGACAAAGAAGTGCGGTTATCTCTGTGGTTTACAATAACTTAACATAATAACCTTAATTATGACTGATAGCATATATTTTAGACATTAGAATTTTAGAAATCCCATAAAATTTTGGAACATATTTTAGCATTATTCACCAAAATATAACCTAAAGAAGATTGAACACCATTTTGGCAATCCCAAGTAACTAAACATGTTAAATAATCCTGTTTACCTCTCTTTTGGATACTTCAGGGGCCTTCTGCAGCATCCAAAAGCCAGGTGTCAGGAAAGACAATTTTGAAAATGAAGTTTGAGTTTGGGAAGCCAATTAAATATGTTAGAAGTTTAAAACCCTTGATGTTATGAAATAGAATTGAGTTGTCAGGTGTGGTGGTTCACACCTGTAATCCCAGCTCTTTGGGAGGCTGAGGCAGCAGGCGGGTCACCTGAGGTCAGGAGTTTGAGACCAGCCTGGCCAACATAGTGAAACCCCGTCTATAATAAAAATACAAAAATTAGCCAGGCGTGGTGGTGGGCACCTGTAATCCCAGCTACTCGGGAGGCTAAGGCAAGAGAATTACTTGAACCCAGGTGGCAGAGGTTGCAGTGAGCTGAGATCATGCCACTGCACTCCAGCCTGGGTGACAGAGGGAGACTCTGTCTCAAAAAAAAAAAAATGAGGTTGCCATAAGTTATTTTTTTGCCAAGATTATGACTTAGAAATTTACAACACCAAAAACTTTTGATAACCTTTTATAATTTTGTTAAAGGGCAGATAGTCCTTAAGAGTAACTTGTGGGGATCTGGAAAGATGGCCAAATAGGAACAGCTCTGCACTGCAGCTCCCATCGAGACCAACACAGCAGGTGGGTGATTTCTGTATTTCCAACTGAGGTACCCTGTTCATCTCATTGGGACTGGTTAGGCAGTGGGTGCAGTGCAGAGGGTGAGCAGAAGCAAGGTGGGATATTGCCTTACCCAGGAAGTGTAAGGAGTGGGGGGCCTCTGTTTTCCAAGCAAGGAAGCCATGAGGGACTATGCTAACCAGCCCAGATACTACACTTTTCCCATAGTTTTGGAAATCTGCAGACCAGGAGATTCCCTCATGTGCCAACACCACCAGGGCCCTGAGTTTCAAGCAAAAAACTGTGCAGCTATTTGGGCAGACACTGAGCTAGATGCAGGAGGGTTTTTTTTTTTTTTCATATCCCAGTGGCACCTAGAACCCCAGAGAGACAGAACTGTTCACTCCCCTAGAATGGAGGCTGAAACCAGGGGGCCAAGTGGTCTCATTCAGTGGGTCCCACTCCCACAGAGCCCAGGAAGCTAAGAAATACTGGCTTGAAATTCTTGCTGCCAGTGCAGCAGCCTAAAGTCAACCTGGGATGATCAAGCTTGGTGCAGGGAGGGGCATCCGCCATTACTGAGGCTTTGATAGGTAGTTTTCTCCTGACAGTACTAAGGAGGCCTGGAAGTTCAGACTGGGTGGAACTCAACACAATGCGGCAAAGTGGCTGTGGCCAGACTGCCTCTCTAGATTCCTTTTTACTGGGCAGGGCATCTCTGAAAGTAAGGCAGCAGTCCCAGTCGGGGGCTTATAGATAAAACTCCATCTCCCTGGGACAGAGCACCTGGTGGAAGGGGCAGCTTTGGGCACAGCTTCAGCAGATTTAAATGTTCCTGCCTGCCAGCTCTGCAGAGAGCAGCAGATCCTGACAAGGAGGATTCTCCCAGCACAGTGCTCAAGCTCTGCTAAGGGACAGACTGCCTCCTTACTGGGATAGACCTCCCAACAGGGGTTCACAGACACGTCATACAGGAGGGATCTGGCGAGGATCAGGCCGGTAACCCTCTGGGATGAAGCTTCCAGAGGAAGGAGCAAGCAGCAATCTCTGCTGTTCTTCAGCCCCAATGGGTGATACCCAGGCAAATAGGGTCTGGAGTGGAGCTCCAGCAAACTGCAACAGACCTGCAGAAGAGAGGCCTGACCATTAGAAGAAAAAGTAACAAAGAGAAAGCAATAACATCAACATCAACAAAAAGACCCGCACACAGAAACCCCATCAAAAGGCCATCAGCCTCAAATATCAAAGGGAGATAAATACAGAAAATGAGGAAAAAACAGTGCAAATATGCTGAAAATTCCAAAAACTAGGATGCCTCTTCTCCAAATGATCACATCTCCTTTCCAGCAAGGGCGCAAAACTAGACAGACAATGAGTTTGATGAATAGACAGAAGTAGGCTTCAGAAGTAGGTAATAACAAACTGCTCTGAGCTAAAGGAGCATGTTCTAACCCAATTCAAAGAAGCTAAGAACCTTGACAAAAGGATACAGGAACTGCTAACTAGAATAACCAGTTTAGAGAAGAACATAAATGACCTGATGGAGCTGAAAAACACAGCATGAGAACTTCGTGAAGCATACACGAGTATCAATAGATGAATCAATCAAGCGGAAGAAAGGATAGAAGAGATTAAAGATCAACTTACTGAAAAAAGGCATGAAGATAAGATTAGAAAAAAAAGAATGGGAAGGAATGAACAAAGCCTCCAAGTAATATGGGACTATGTCAAAAGACCAAGCCTACAATTGATTGGGGTCCCTGAAAGTGATGGGGAGAATGCAACGAAGTTCAAAAACATACTTCAGGATATTATCCAGGAGAACTTCCCCAACCTAGCAAGACAAGTCAACATTCAAATTCAGGAAATACAGAGAACTTCACTAAGATACTCCTTGAGAAGAGTAACCCCAAGACACATAATCATCAGATTCTCCAAGGTTGAAATGAAGGAAAAATGTTGAGGGCTGCTAGAGAGAAAGGTCAGGTTACCTACAAAAGGAAGCTCATCAGACTAATAGCAGATCTCTCTGCAGAAACCCTACAAGCCCGAAGACAGTGGGGGTCAATATTCAACATTCTTAAATAGAAGAATTTTCAACCCAGAATTTCATATCCAGCCAAACTAAGCTTCATAAGCAAAGGAGAAATAAAATTCTTTACAGACAAGCAAATGCTGAGGGATTTTGTCACCACCAGGCCTGCCTTACAAGAGCTCCTGAAGGAAGCACTAAATATGGAAAGGAAAAACTGATACCAGCCACACCAAAAACAGACCAAAATATAAAGACCAATGACACTAGGAAGAAACTGCATCAACAAATGTGCAAAATAACTAGCTAGCATCATGATGACAGGATCAAATTCACACATAACAATGTTAACCTTAAATGTAAATGGGCCAAATGACCCAATTAAAAGACACAGACTGACAAATTGAATAAAAAGTCAAGATCCATTGGTGTGCTGTATTCAGAAGACCCATCTCATGTGCAGTCACACATAGGCTCAAAATAAAGGAATGAAGGAATATTTACCAAGCAAATGGAAATAAAAGAAAAAAAAAGCAGGGGTTGCAATGACAGTCATGATGAATGATCTTTCAAATTTGATGTTGAATTTGCTTTGCTGGTATTTTGTTGAGGATATTTGTATCAATATTAACCAGAGATATTAGCCTGTTGTTTTCTTTTTTTGATGTTTCTTTGCTTTTGGCATCAGGGTAATACCGGCCTTGTAGAATAAGTTTCATAGTATTCCCTCTCCTTCTTTTTTGGGGGAATAGTTTGAGTTGGATTGGTATTCTTTTTTAAATGTCTGGTAGAGTTCAGCATTGAGACCATTGGGTCCTGGGCTTTTCTTTGCTGGGAGACTTTTTATTATGGCTTTGATGTCATTACTTTTTATTGCTCTATTTAGGCTTCAGATTTCTTAATGGTTCAATCTTGGTAGGTTGTGTATGTCTAGGAATTTATCCACTTCTTTTAGGTTTTCCAATTTGTGGACATACAGTTGTTCATAGTAGTCCAGTGATTCTTTACATTTCTGCAGTATAAGTTGTAATGTCTCCTTTTTCATCTCTGATTTTATTTATTTGGGTCTTCTGTCTTTATCAGTTAGTCTGGCTAAAAGTTTGCCAATTTTCATTATCTTTTCAAAAAACCAACTTTTCTTTTTGATGACATTTAGTATTGCTTTTCTCATTTCAATTTCTTTTTTTTTCCTGCTCAGATCATTATTATGTCTTTTCTTCTACTAATGTTAGGTTTGGTTTGCTCTTGCTTTTCTAGTTCCTTAAGATGCATCATTAGATTATTTGAAGTATTGCTCCCTCTTTGTTGTAGGTGCTTATTGCTATAAACTTTCCTCTTAGTACCACTTTTGCTTATCCCATAAGTTTTGGTATGTTTTCTTTCCATTTGCATTTGTTTCAGGAATTCTTAAATTTGATTCTTGTTTTTTGACCCACTGGTCATTCAGGAGCAAATTGATTAATTTCCAAATGTTTGTGTTCCTTTTAAGTTTTCTCATATGCTTGATTTCTAGTTTTATTCCATTGTGGTCAGAGAAGATACTTGATATGTGTCAAGTATCATATTTACCTTTTTTGTATTTTTCAGACTGATTTTGTGGCTTAAAGTATAGTCTATACTTGAGGATGATCTATTTCCTGAGCAGAAGAACGTGTATTTTTCAACCCTTGGATGAAATAATCTGTAAATATCTATTAGGTCTTTTGGTCTATAGTATAGATTAGGTCTGATATTTTCTTTGTAATTTTTGTTTGGCTGATCTGTCCAATGCTGAAGGTGAGGTGTTGAAATCTCCAGCTGTTATTATACTGTGGTCTGTCTCTCTCTTTTGAACTAATAATATTTGCTTTATATATCTAGATGCTCCAGTATTGGGTGCATATATATTTACAATGGTTATATCCTCTTGCTATATTAATCCCTTTTACTCGTTACATAGTGACATTCTTTGTCTTTTTTATAGTTTTTATCTTGAAATGCTTTTATCTGATATAAGTATAGCTACTCCTGCTCTTTTTTTGGTTTCCATTGGCATGGAATGTCTTTTTCCTTCTTCTTATTTTCAGTTTGTGTGTGTCTTTATAGGTGAAGTGTGTTTCTTGTAGGCAACAGATCACTGGATTCTGTTTTTTTAATCCATTCGGCCTCTCTGTGTCTTTTGATTGGAGAGTATAGTCCATTTGCATTCAATGTTATTGTTGCTAAATAACAACTTACTCCTGCCATTTGGTTTTGTTTTCTGGTTGTTTGTGGTCTTCTCTTTCTTCTCTTCTTCCTTCATGTCTTTCTTTTTGTGAAAGTGATTTTCTTGTTGGTATGTTTTAAGTTCTTGCTCTATACATTTTTTGTGTATCTGTTGTAGGTTTTTTGATTTGTGGTTACCACAAGGCTTGCAACTAATATCTTGTAACTCATTATTTTACACTGATGACAGTTAAACTCTAATTGCTAAAATCTACAAAAAAAAACTGACAAGCAAAGAGAAAACTAATAACATTCAACACTTTAACTTCATCCTCTCTGCTTTTCAACTATTCGTTGTTTCTATTTATATCTTATTATACTATGTCTTAAAAAGTTGTTGTGGTTATTATTTTCGATAAATTTGTCTTTTACTCTTCCTATGCAAGGTATGAGTAGTTTACATACCACAATTACAGTGTCATATTATTTTATATTTGTCGGTATACTCACTGTTACCAGTGAATTTTATGTACTCAGATGATTTTTTTTTTGCTCATTAACATGCTTTCCTTTCAGATTGAAGTACTCTCTTTAGCATTTCTTTTAGGACAGGTCTTATGTTGATGAACTACCTCAGCTTTTGTTTGCTGGAAAAGTCTTTACTTTTCCTCTATGTTTGAAGGATATTTTCACTGGTATGATATTCTAGGATAAAAGATTTTTTTTTAGCAGTTTAAATATATTATACCACTTACTCCTGGCTAGTAAGCTTTCCACTGAGTAATATGTGCTAGACATATTGAAGCTCCTTTATATGTTTTTTTTTTTCTTTTCTCTTTTTGCTTTTAGTATGCCTTATTTATCCTTGACCTTTGGGAGTTTGATTATTAAACATATTGAGGTAGTCTTATTTGTGTTAAATCTGCCTGGTCTCCTATAATCTTCTTGTTCTTGAATATTGTTATCTTTCCCTAGGTTTGGTAATGTCTATTTTTATCCCTATGAATAAGATTTCTAACTCAGCCTCTCTTTACCTCCTCATTAAGGCCAATAACATTTAGATTTGCCTTTTTGAGGCTGTTTTCTAGATCCTATAGAGATGCTTCCTTTTTTTATTCTTTTAACTTCTATCACTGTGTATTTTCAAATAGCCTGTCTTCAAGATCACTAATTTTTTCTTCTCCTGGATTGCTGTTGTGAGATTCTGATATATTCTTTAGTTTTAGTTTGTCAATTGAATTTCTTCAGCTCCAGCATTTCTGCTTAATTCTTTTAAATTATTTCAATCACTTTGTTAAATGTTTCCGATGGGATTCTGAATTCCTTCTCTGTGTTACCTTGGATTTTATTGAGCTTCCTCAACACAGCAATCTTGAATTCTCTGTGTGAAATGTCACATATCTCTGTCACTCCAGAATTGGTCACTGGTACCATATTTAGTTCATTTGGCGATGTCATGTTTTCCCAGATGGTCTTGATGTTTGTGGATGTTTCTTGATGTCTGGGCATTGAAGTTAGTTATTTATTCTAATCTTCATGGTCTGGGCCTGTTTGTACCCATCCTTATTGAGAAGGCTTTCCAAGTATTTAAGGGGAAATAATTCTTGTCATCTAAGTCTTTAGTCATTGCAACCATATATGCATTAGTGGGCACCCCAAGCCCAGTGACACTGTGACTCTTGCAGAGTTGTAGAGTTATTGCCTTTTTCTTGGGTAAGATCCAGTAGAATTCTCAGGATTACTAGGCACAAACTTTTGTTCTCTTTCCCTCCTTTCCCCAAAACAACAGAATTGCCCAGGAATTGCAATTCTTGTAGCCTAGACTGCATTTCTAGTTTATTTAGAACCCCAGAGCACTTTAGATATTAGGTCCTCTTATTTCTCTTACTAAATATAGCACAAAGCCATGTGTTTCTTTCTATTTCTATTGTATCATCCACGGTGGTGGGGCTGGCTGTAGTTCAAATTCTACCACTGGGATACATGAATTATTCCCCCTTGGCTAAGATTGCTTTAAATGCTTCCTCCATGGGTGCTGGCCAAATTCTGCCCAGTGTTATTTTCCACTGTGATGGGACAGCACTGAGTTCCCATGCAGAATCTCACAATAACTTCACTCTCCCTCCCCCAAGCACACAGATTCTCTCTCCATGCCATGCTGTGCTGCCTAGGGATTGAGGAGAGGTGCTGTAGGAAGTTCAAGGCTGTCTTTCCTACCCTCTTCAGTGCCTCTTTCCTTGATATGATGTTAAAATCAGGTATTGTGATTGCCACCTGATTTTTGGTTCTTATGGAGGTTGCTCTTCTGGGGATAGTTATTCAATTTTGTGTTCCTGCTTGGAGAATGAACGCTGGAGGGTTCTATTTGGCCATCTTGTTCCACCTCCCCCTCCTCTTATTTTTCTTGCTCAGTATAGCACAAATCCATTTATTCTGCTCCATTGATATTGTATCATCTTAAGCTGTCTTCTTCATCTTTTGCTTAAAATACTTACTAGCATACTATCTTTCTTGCTTCCACTTTCTGGCTTTCACTCTGTAATCAACTCTTTTCAAAGCAACAAGAGTGATCTTAAATCTAGCTTCTTTAAATACCCTCCTTAAACTTCCATTAGATTTATATAAAATCCATACTTCTTGTAGGTTCATTATGATCTATTATTTTCTATTTATCCAAACTCATATTTTATATTTTCACCACTCCTGTTAATATTATTGCAAATCACAAGCCCCTTCCTGTCCCCAGGTATTTATACTTGTGCTTCACTCTGCCTGCAGTGCTTACTGGTTCTTCACACAGCTCATTTTCTTTAAGGCTCTGCATAAATGTCCAGTCTCCAAAAGGTTTTACCTGACTCTCCTTTCTCATGTTGCCCCTGAACTTAACACAATAAGAACATATTTTGTTTATTTTTATCTTTACTTGTTTGTCTTCTTATAACAAAATATATACCTATAAAGTAGGAAGCTATCTGCCTTATTTGATGCCTAATTTCCAGCAACAAATACAGTGTATAGAACTTAGTAGCACATAATACATGCTTTTTTGCTTGAATAAAGGAAAAATTAATCAGAGTGTTTTTTTAACTCATTTATATCTTTGTGTAGCTTTAATGAAAATTCTAATTAGGCCACAGTACCTTGATGTTGCAGAATACCTTGTAGACTAGCATATTGAAATCCTACTAAGTCCATGACTATGGTTTGATATAAAGAGCATATGATATTGGACATTTAGAAAAATCACAAGAATAATAGAAGCTTACCAAATGCAGTGGCTCATGCCTGTAATTCATTTACTTTGGGAGAATGAGGTGGGAGGATTGCATGAAGCCAAGAGTTCAAGACCAGTCTGAAAAACATAGTGAGATCCCATTGCTACAAAAAATAAAAAATAAAAAAATAGCCAGGCATGTTGGCACATGCCTGAATTCCCAGCTGCTCAAGGGGATTGTGTGAGCCCAGAAGTTTGAGAGTTTGAGGCTGCAGAGGACTATGTTTGCACCACTGCACTCCAGCCTAGGTGACAGAGTCAGACACTCTTGAAAACAAAAATAATGGTAGATGACAACATATTGAGTCTCAAGGGCAGAAAATGGGAATATACAGGCAGCATTAACCCCTATCAATATTTCTATCCTTGTCCTAAACAGGGCTCTCAGAAACAAGCATGGTCCCAGACACCATGCTTGTTTCTGTCGATACCAGCTGTACATTTCTTTGCCTGGTGCAGATATTTCCCAAAATTTCTCTCTAGAGATATTTCACTGGTATGAGCTTGATTTGTAATAAGTATTAAATGAACATATTAAAGGAGTTCTATGAGCATAGAAGATGCCAAAGATAAAAAGTCCTCAGAGATAACAATCTTTAGCTGGCTTGTACCAAGATTGTCCTTACTGTAACACTGCTTTACCTCTTCATTAGGTGACAATCTCAAAGCTAAAACTTCCAAAACCATCAGGGCATATATCAGGTATTTCTTTCTACAATGAAAGTGTTTTGTCTTTGACTGGCCAAAATGAAAAGGAGCTCCTAGCTCATATTGAGGATGTGTTGGAAAACCAACTGGATTCTAAATTCCAGGAATAGTCAAATAATTTCTGTTCTTACATCTTCACCCAGGCAAGGACCAAGACCCTCAGGGAAGGAGTCAATGTCACTGTGAATCGTGAGACTCCTCTTCCAAAATTATATTTCTGTGTGGCTTAATATGTGTTGGATATTTATTACAAAAGTTCTTAAGTAATATTGTTTCATTCTATACAGAAGCATGCATTGACAAATACTCATATCCCAAAGAGAAATGTGTGTGTTTTAGTCACTATCTCCCAACACAGGGATTATAAATTCTTTTCCAAAAGCTCAAATATTATCAGGGACAGTGGAAGCTCCCAGATATGTGAAGACCTCATCATTGATAATAAAATCAGTGACTGGGTATGAAAACAGAATACATGGTCTTCTCAATGGAAGTCCTATAAGATAAGCATTTTTCTTAAGGAGATTATGTGGGAGTTTAGCCATGTTCAAAGCAAACATTAAGTGATGAATCCTTGAGAATGCATGAAAAGAATAGGAAGAGCTCCAGTCTACAGCTCCCAGCATGAGCAACGCAGAAGATGGGTGATTTCTGCATGTCAAACTGAGGTACCAGATTCATCTCACTGGGGAGTGTTGGACAGTGGGTGCAGTGCACTGAGCGTGAGCCAAAGCAGGGTGAGGCATTGCCTCATCTGGGAAGCACAAGGGGTCAGGGAATTCCCTTTCCTAGTCAAAGAAAGTGGTGACAGATGGCATCTGGAAAATTGGGTCACTCCCACCCTAATACTGCATTTTTCTGATGGTCTTAGCAAATGGCACACCAGGAGATTATATCCTGCACCTGGCTCGGAGGGTCCTATTCCCACGGAGTCTCGCTCATTGCTAGCACAGCAGTCTGAGATCACAGTGCAAGGCAGCAGCAAGGCTGGGGGAGGGGCGCCCACCATTGCTGAGGCTTGAGTAGGTAAACAAAGCAGCCAGGAAGCTCAAACTGGGTGGAGCCCACTGCAGCTCAAGGAGGCCTGCCTACCTCTGTAGACTCCACCTCTGGGGTCAGGGCACAGCCAAACAGAAGGCAGCAGAAACCTCTGCAGACTTAAATGTCCCTGTCTGACAGCTTCGAATAGAGTAGTGGTTCTCCCAGCATGCAGCTTGAGATCTGAGAATGGACAGACTGCCTCCTTAAGTGGGTCCCTGACCCCCGAGTAACCTAACTGGGAGGCACCCCTCAGTAGGGGCAGATTGACACCTCACACTGCCGGGTAATCCTCTGAGAACAAAACTTCCAGAGGAACAATCAGGCAGCAACATTTGCTGTTCACCAATATTCGCTGTTCTGCAGCCTCCACTGCTGTTACCTAGGTAAACAGGGTCTGGAGTGGACCTCCGGCAAACTCCAACAGACCTGCAGCTGAGGGTCCTGACTGTTAGAAGGAAAACTAACAAACAGAAAGGACATCCACACCAAAATCCCAACTGTACATCACCATCATCAAAGACCAAAGGTAGATAAAACCACGAAGATGGGGAAAAAACAGAGAAGAAAAACTGGAAAATCTAAAAATCAGAGCGCCTCTCCTCCTCCAAAGGAATGCAGCTCCTTACCAGCAATGGAACAAAGCTGGATGGAGAATGACTTTGACGAGTTGAGAGAAGACTTCAGACTATCAAACTACTCCGAGCTAAAGGAGGAATTTCAAACCCACGGCAAAGAAGTTAAAAACCTTGAAAAAAAATTAGATGAATGGCTAACTAGAATAACCAATGCAGAGACGTCCTTAAAGGACCTGATGGAGCTGAAAACCAAAGCATGAGAACTATGTGACGAATGCACAAACCTCAGTAGCCGATTTGATCAACTGGAAGAAAGGGTATCAGTGATGGAAGATCAAATGAATGAAATGAAGCGAGAAGAGAAGTTTAGAGAAAAAAGAATGAAAAGAAACGAACAAAGCCTCCAAGAAATATGGGATTATATGAAAAGACCAAATCTACATCTGATTGGTGTACCTGAAAGTGACAGGGAGAAAGGAACCAAGTTGGAAAACACTCTGCAGGATATTATCCAGGAGAACTTCCCCAATCTAGCAAGGCAGGCCAACATTCAAATTCAGGAAATACAGAGAATGCCACAAAGATACTCCTCGAGAAGAGCCACTCCAAGACACATAATTGTCAGATTCACCAAAGTTGAAATGAAGGAAAAAATGTTAAGGGCAGCCAGAGAGAAAGCTCAGGTTACCCACAAAGGGAAGCCCATCAGACTAACAGCAGATCTCTCAGCAGAAACTCTACAAGCCAGAAGAGAGTGGGGGCCAATATTCAACATTTTTAAAGAAAAGAATTTTCAACCCAGAATTTCATATCCAGCCAAACTAAGCTTCATAAGTGAAGGAGAAATAAAATACTTTACAGACAAGCAAATGCTGAGAGATTTTGTCACCACCAGGCCTGCCCTAAAAGAGCTCCTGAAGGAAGCACTAAACATGGAAAGGAACAACCGGTACCAGCCACTGCAAAAACATGCCAAATTGTAAAGACCATCAAGGCTAGGAAGAAACTGCATCAATTAATGAGCAAAATAACCAGCTAACATCATAATGACAGGATCAAATTCACACATAACGATATTAACCTTAAATGTAAATGGGCTAAATGCTCCAGTTAAAAGACACAGACTGGCAAATTGGATAAAGAGTCAAGACCCATCCGTGTGCTATATTCAGGAAACCCATCACATGGGCAGAGACACACATAGGCTCAAAATAAAGGGATGGAGGAAGATCTACCAAGCAAATAGAAAACAAAAAAAAGGCAGGGGTTGCAATCCTAGTCCCCGATAAACCAGACTTTAAACCAACAAAGATCAAAAGAGACAAAGAAAGCCATTACATAATGGTAAAGGGATCAATTTGACAAGAAGAGCTAACTATCCTAAATATATATGCGTCCAATGCGGGAGAACACAGATTCATAAAGCAAGTCCTTAGAGACCTACAAAGAGACTTAGACTCCCACACAATAATAATGGGAGACTTTAACACCCCACTGTCAACATTAGACGATCAATGAGACAGAAAGTTAACAAGGATATCCAGGAATTGAACTCAGTTCTGCACCAAGCAGACCTAATAGACATCTACAGAACTCTCCACCCCAAATCAACAGAATATAGATTCTTTTCAGCACCACACCACACCTATTCCAAAATTGACCACATAGTTGGAAGTAAAGCTCTACTCAGCAAATGTAAAAGAACAGAAATTATAACAAACTGTCTCTCAGACCACAGTGCAATCAGAGTAGAACTCAGGATTAAGAAACTCACTCGGCCGGGCGCGGTGGCTCACGCCTGTAATCCCAGGACTTTGGGAGGCCGAGGCGGGCGGATCATGAGGTCAGGAGATCGAGACCATCCCGGCTAAAACGGTGAAACCCCGTCTCTACTAAAAATACAAAAAATTAGCCGGGCGTAGTGGCGCGCGCCTGTAGTCCCAGCTACTTGGGAGGCTGAGGCAGGAGAATGGCGTGAACCCGGGAGGCGGAGCTTGCAGTGAGCCGAGATCCCGCCACTGCACTCCAGCCTGGGCAACAGAGCGAGACTCCGTCTCAAAAAAAAAAAAAAAAAAAAAGAAACTCACTCAAAACCACTCAACTACATGGAAACTGAACAACCTGCTCCTGAATGACTACTGGGTACATAACGAAATGAAAGCAGAAATAAAGATGTTCTTTGAAACAAATGAGAACAAAGACACAACATATCAGAATCTCTGGGACACATTAAAAGCAGAGTGTAGAGGGAAATTTATATCACTAAATGCCCACAAGAGAAAGCACGAAAGATCTAAAATTGACACCCTAACATCACAATTAAAAGAACTAGAGAAGCAAGAGCAAACACATACAAAAGCTAGCAGAAGGCAAGAAATAACTAAGATCAGAGCAGAACTGAAGGAAATAGAGACACAAAAAACCCTTCCAAAAATCAATGAATCCAGGAGCTCGTTTTTTGAAAAGATCAACAAAATTGATAGGCCTCTAGCAAGACTAATAAAGAAGAAAATAGAGAAGAATCAAATAGACGCAATAAAAAATAAAAAAAAGGGGATATCACCACTGATCCCACAGAAATACAAACTACCATCAGAGAACACTATAAACACCTCTACACAAATAAACTAGAAAATCCAGAAGAAATGGATAAATTCCTCGACACATACACTCTCCCAAGACTAAACCAGGAAGAAGTTGAATCTCTGCATAGACCAATAACAGGCTTTGAAATTGAGGTAATAATTAATAGCTTACCAACCAAAAAAAGTACAGGACCAGATAGATTCACAGCCGAATTCTACCAGAGGTACAAGGAGGAGCTGGTACCGTTCCTTCTGAAACTACTCCAATCAACAGAAAAAGAGGGAACCCTCCCTAACTCATTGTATGAGGCCAGCATCATCTTGATACCAAAGCCTGGCAGAGACACAACAAAAAAAAGAGAATTTTAGACCAATATCCCTGATGAACATTATGCAAAAATCCTCCATAAAATACTGGCAAATTGAATCCAGCAGCACATCAAAAAGCTTATCCACCATGATCAAGTGGGCTTCATCCCTGGGATGCAAGGCTGGTTCAACATACACAAATGAATAAACGTAATCCAGCATATAAACAGAACCAACGACAAAAACCACATGATTATCTCAGTAGATGCAGAAAAGGCCTTTGAGAAAATTCAACAACACTTCATGCTAAAAACTCTCAATAAATTAGGTATTGATGAGACGTATCTCAAAATAATAAGAGCTATCTATGACAAACCCACAGCCAATATCGTACTGAATGGGCAAAAACTGGAAGCATTCCCTTTGAAAACTGGCACAAGACAGGGATGCCCTCTCTCACCACTCCTATTCAACATAGTGTTGGAAGTTCTGGCCAGGGCACTCAGGCAGGAGAAGGAAATAAAGGGTATTCAATTAGGAAAAGAGGAAGTCAAATTGTCCCTGTTTGCAGATGACATGATTGTATATCTAGAAAACCCCATCGTCTCAGCCCAAAATCTCCTTAAGCTGATAAGCAACTTCAGCAAAGTCACAGGATACAAAATCAATGTGCAAAAATCACAAGCATTCTTGTACACCAATAACAGACAAACAGAGAGCCAAATCATGAGTGAACTCCCATTCACAATTGCTTCAAAGAGAATAAAATACCTAGGAATCCAACTTACAAGGGATGTGAAGTACCTCTCTAAGGAGAACTACAAACCACTGCTCAGTGAAATAAAAGAGGATACAAAGAAATGGAAGCACATTCCATGCTCATGGTAGGAAGAATCAATATCGTGAAAATGGCCATACTGCCCAAGGTAATTTATACATTCAGTGCCATCCCCATCAAGCTACCAATGACTTTCTTCACAGAATTGGAAAAAAACTACTTTAAAGTTCATATGGAACCAAAAAAGTGCCCACATTGCAAAGTCAACCCTAAGCAAAAAGAACAAAGCCAGAGGCATCACGCTACCTGACTTCAAACTATACTACAAGGCTACAGTAACCAAAATAGCATGGTACTGGTACCAAAACAGAGATATAGACCAATGGAACAGAACAGAGCCCTCAGAAATAATGCCACATATCTACAACCATCTGATCTTTGACAAACCTGATAAAAACAAGAAATGGGGAAAGGACTCCCTATTTAATAAATGCTGCTGGAAAAACTGGCTAGCCATATGTAGAAAGCTGAAACTGCATCCCTTGCTTACACCTTGTACAAAAATTAATTCAAGATGGATTAAAGGCTTAAATGTGAGACCTAAAACCATAGAAACCCTAGAAGAAAACCTAGGCAATACCATTCAGGACATAACCATGGGCAAAGACTTCATGTTTAAAACACCAAAAGCAATGACAACAAAAGCCAAAATTGACAAATGGAATCTAATTACACTAAAGAGCTTCTGCACAGCAAAAGAAACTGCCATCAGAGTGAAAAGGCAACCTACAGAATGGGAGAAACTCTTTGCAATCTACTCATCTGACAAAGGGCTAATATCCAGAATCTACAATGAACTCAAACAAATTTACAAGAAAAAAACAATCCCATCAAAAGTGGGCAAAGTATATGAACAGACACTTCTCAAAAGAAGACATTTATGCAGCCAAAAGACACATGAAAAAATGCTCATCATCACTGGCCATCAGAGAAATGCAAATCAAAACTACAATGAGATACCATCTCACACCAGTTAGAATGGCAATCATTAAAAAGTCAGGAAACAACAGGTGCTGGAGAGGATGTGGAGAAACAGGAACACTTTCACACTGTTGGTGGGACTGTAAACTAGTTCAACCATTGTGGAAGTCAGTGTGGTGATTCCTCAGGGATCTAGAACTAGAAATACCGTTTGACCCAGCTGTCCCATTACTGGGTATTTACCCAAAGAATTATAAATCATGCTGCTCGAAAGACAAATACACACGTATGTTTATTGCGGCACTATTCACAATAGCAAAGACTTGGGACCAACCCAAATGTCTAATAATGATAGACTGGATTAAGAAAATGTGGCACATATACACCATGGATTACTATGCAGCCATAAAAAATGATGAGCTCATGTCCTTTGTAGGGACATGGATGAAGCTGGAAACCATTATTCTCAGCAAACTATCACAAGGACAAAAAACCAAACACCGCATGTTCTCACTCATAGGTGGGAATTGAACAATGAGAACACATGGACACAGGAAGGGGAACATCACACACTGGGGCCTGTTGTAGGGTGGGGTGAGGGGGGAGGGATAGCATTAGGTTATATACCTAACGCTAAATGATTAGTTAATTGGTGCAGCACACCAACATGGCACATGTATCCATATGTAACAAACCTGCACGTTGTGCACATGTACCCTAAAACTTGAAGTATAACAAAAAAAAAAGAATTATGAATACAAATTATCTGAGTTACTTTGCTTCACCTATCTATGTATCCTATTTTTCCCTTAATTTGTGTTAATGTGAAATGATTTTCCCCTGACAACCCTGACTATGTTAAATGAAGGTAGGTATTTACATTTTTAATGTTATGGCCTGGAAAACAATGGAATAAAGAGTAAATGTGGAAATGAAGTGATGATAGCAGAAATAAGTAGGGAGGTGTGTGTGTTTGTGTGTGTGTGTGTGTGTGTGTGTGTGTGTGTGTGTTATTTTAGAATCTTCATCTCATAAACCTGGATCCTATTGAGTTTGAAATTTATATAACTCTCTAGTTCATGTCCTATCAGGGCTGGGGAGTCTGGTGGTAACTTATGTGGATGCCATCAACAGTGGAGCAGTACCTTGTTTGGAGAACACAGTGATGACTCTGGCCCAGCGTGAGAATTCAGTGGCCTTGCAGAGGGCAGCCAACCACTACAGCCAGCAGATGGCCCAGCGAATGAGGTTCCCCACAGACATGCTCCAGGAGCTGCTGGATATGCACACAGCCTGTGAGAGGGAAGCCATTGCAGTCTTCATGGAGCACTCCAGGGGTGAAAACCAGGAATTTCAGAAGAAGCTCATGGTACATTGTCTTAGCATTTTTCCTTCCCATTTTTGGGCCATTTGGAATTATGTCTAGAATTTGACACATTGCTCCCATGGCTTATCACCTATTCATGGTAAAGAAGTGTGAATTCTCATCACAGAGAGAGTTCTAGAGAACTTTGTTTCCTTTATTTTTTAACCACAAAGTTTGGGACTTTTATTCAGGATTGTCTGATCTGTCAAATTCATCATTGCCCATTGCCTCCTCCTATAGTGCATACTGGCATGGTTCCAGAACTCCCCTAAGTCGTTACTTACCTGTTGCTAATCTCTGTGTATGCATCCATTCCTAGAATCTTGATTTTCTGGGATGGAATCCCTTAACATGTTATTGTTTACATTTATTTTGTTACTGAAGATAGAATTACAGGAACACTACAGCTGCTAAGGAACCATGAAGATTACATATTGCAACCTCAGCATTTCCTGGATGAAGAATCTTCAGCACAGGGAAGTTAATAAGCTTTCCCTACGCCTTGCAGAGTGGTTTCAGAGTTGAGAGTAAATTAAGTCTCTTGATTCTTGCTACATTGCCTGTGCTGCTCCACTAAAATGTTCTCAAAAGGACCACAGTTAGACTACCCATCGAATAAGATTGTTTGAAATTTCATCACCACATCCCTTTCTTCTGGTGACTTTCATCTACATTTCCCTTGCAGGAAATCCTAAAGAATAGGAAGGAGGATTTATGGCTGCAGAACGAACAGGCATCTGTTCAATATTGCAGACTAAATTTAATTGTCTCTTAAAGGCTCTAATGGAAAGATTTTCAGCAGGAAGGCTCTATATTCCTGGAGGACACAAACTCCACAAGGAAGCAAAGAAAAGAATCAAATGGGACTATTAGCTAGTGCCCAGAAAAGGAGTTAAGGTGAGTTATATAAGGAGCATGGGAAAGCTTACAGAATAGAGTCAAGGGGATCTCCTGAAAATCTGGAGCACAGTACCAGCTGTGGATAATACACAGAACATGAGGATATATTATACTTTTAGCTTTTAATGGCCACCATTTGTTGTTAATTCCTCAGGAGAGTAGAAATATCAACTCCCAAAAGAAACAGTACAGGGAAAGAGAACAGATTTCTTCATCCAATGTTGTATCAGGCATTCTGTCAAATGCCAGTGATTGACAGGTAATGTTAGAGTATTTGCAGTCAAGTCTGATCAAAGTGAGACAGAATTGAATAAATAGACAATTGCATATAGAGTTATCATGCTTATGGACCTGTGATGCTGGGCTGTCATAATGGAAGTATTAAGCATAATAATAATAATGCAGCCAGGCGCGGTGGCTCACGCCTGTAATCCCAGCACTTTGGGAGGTGAGGAGGGTGGATCACGAGGTCAGGAGATCACGACCATCCTGGCTAACACAGTGAAACCCTGTCTCTACTAAAAAAATACAAAAAGAATAGCTGGGTATGGTGGTGGGCACCTGTAGTCCCAGCTACTTGGGAGGCTGAGGCAGGAGAATGGTGTGAACCCAGGAGGCAGAGCTTGAATGAGCAGAGATGGAGCCACTGCACTCCAGCCTGGGCGACTGAGTGAGACTCTGTCTCAAACTAATAATAATAATAATAATAATAATGCAACTAACATATGTTGAACAATTATTACCTTTGTGGCAGGCATAGTGTTATAGATGTTTTCATTTAATTCTTCAAATAATGTTATGAAGCATCTACTCTTATTTCCCACATTTGATACATGTGAACTGGAAGGCTCAGGTAGCTTAAAGAACTTGCCTAGAGTTACATATCTAACAAGTGGCAGGGGAGAGTAGCAACAGAGTTTGGGGCTGCATTTCATACTGGGTATGTGGTCTAGGAAACCTTCCAGGAAGAAAAGGGTGACAGAAATTTTAAAATGTTTGTACCTTACCTTAGTCTATTCAGGATGCTATAACAAAATACCATAAAGTGGGTGACTTATAAACAATTGATATTCATTTCTTATAGTTCTGAGGCTGAGAAGGCAAAGACCAAGGCACCAGCAGGTTCAGCGTATGATGAGGGTGCACTTTCTGGTTCATAGACAGCACCTTCTTTCTGTGTCCTCACATGGTGCAAGTGAACTCTAGTCTCTCAGCCCCTTACAGGGGCATTACTCTAATTCATGACAGCTCCACACTCAGGACCTAATCACTTCCCTAATGCCCCACTTCTAATGCCATCACCCTGGGAATTAGTGTTCAACATATGAATTTGGGAGGACACATATATTCAGACCATAGTGTACATGTTGTACAGATTGAGATGCCATCCAAGAGAACAAGCCCCAGATAAACATGCAAATATATAAAAGCATCAGAGATTTTGGATTGCACAATTGGACATAGTTCTGACTGGCTCGTACCTAGAGCAGGTGGAAGGAAGTAGTACAGGGAGTAGAACAGGAGGAAGACAAGAAGCAGAAGACCGGGTTGGTCTCTCATCACACTAAGGAGCTATCATGAATTATAAGGGATTCCTGAAGCATTATAAGCAGAAAAAAAAAATGACATGGATGAACCTGTTTGTAGAGAACAAATCTTCCTAGTGGAAATCTAAGTTCTTTGCTCCATCTTGTTTCTTCAGGCAAATAAGTTCCTTCAGCATTTCCTGAAGTCACAGTTGGCAATGGAGGAATGCATCCTGCAGGCTGATAAAGACCTGAACTATAGTAGTCAATCCACAATCCCTGCAGGAAAGCTTAAGGGATAATGCCCATGAACCCTAATAAAGGCATAGTCCCACAGGTCTTCTCTGTTTCTTGCTTTCTTTCCCCCAGCTCACTGGTTGAGTTCTCTGCCACTTCCAGACTTCCCATCTGACTCCTAATAGTGGCCTATCCTCTCTGTGGTCTGTAAGTAATACATTTCCCCTGTTTTATGCACTTTGGTTCCACCTCCTCATTACATCTTACTTCCCTGATATACCCAAACCCAACTCCCCACTACCTTCAACCCACTGAGGGCTCTCCTAGAGAGTGGCTATCTTGGCTTATGACTACTCTCAACAGAGAATAGTCAAGGTCAAATTAGAGAGAAACCAAACAACAAAAATCAGAGAGAAAGCAGAGCAAGATGGTCAGTTTGAACCCTCCAGAGACCATTACCCCTACCTAGCAACACCAAATTAAACAACTATCCACACAAGAAAGCACCTTCAAAAGAACCAAAAATCATGTGAATGATCGCAGTGCCTGGTATTAAAATCATATCAAGGAAAAAGACACTGAAGAGGGTAGGAATGATAGTCTTTAACTGCTGACATCAACCTTTCCCCATTCCCAGCAGTGGCCATGTGGCACAGAGAGAGAATCTATGTGCCTGTGAAAGAGAGAATACACACAGCCCTAAAGAAAAGGACAAAAGCCTGGCTGGATTTGTCACCAGCAGACTGAAGAGCCCTTGGGCCTTGTGTGAACATCAGCAGTAACCAGACAGTAGTTGCTGCAAGTCTTGAGCAAGATTCAGTACTATGCTGGCTTCAGGTTTGACCCAGTGCAATCCTGGTGGTGGTGATAAGGATGTTTGTGTCACCCTTCCCACAACTCCAGACAGCTCAGCATGGAAAGAGATATTCCATTTGTTTGGGAAAGTAAGAGAAGAGAACAAAAGTCTTTGCTGGGTAATCCATGAAATTGTACTGGATCTTACCTAAGACCACCAAAGCAGTGATGAAGGAGTTTTCTCTTGACCCCTTTGTTGGATTTGCACCAGGGGTGCCTGATATGGTTTGGCTGTGTCCCCACCAAAATCTCAACTTGAATTCTATCTCCCAGAACTCCCATGTGTTCTGGGAGGGACAAAGGGGGAGGTAAATCATGGAGGTCTATCTTTCCAGTGCTATTCTCATAATATGAATAAGTCTCATGAGATCTGAAGGGTTTATCAGGGGTTTTTGCTTTTGCTTCCTCCTCATTTTCTTTTGCTGCCTCCATGTAAGAAGTGCCTTTTGCCTCCCGCCATGACTCTGAGGCCTCCCCAGTCATGTGGAACTGTAAGTCCAATTAAACCTCTTTTTCTTCCCAGTCCCGGGTATGTCATTATCAACAGCATGAAAATGGACTAATATAGTAAAGTGGTACCAGTATAGTGGGGTGTTGCTGAAAAGATACCCCAAAATGTAGAAGTGACTTTGGAACTGGGTAACAGGTAGAGGTTGGAACAGTTTGGAGGGCTCAGAAGTAGACAGAAAAATCTGGGAAAGTTTGGAACTTCCTAGAGACTTGTTGAATGGCTTTGCCCAAAATGCTGATAGTGATATAGACAATAAGGTCCAGGCTGAGGTGGTCTCAGAGGAACTCAGAGGAGATGAGGAACTTGTTGGGAACTGGAGTAAAGGTGATTCTTGTTATTTTTAGCAAAGAGGCTGACAGCATTTTCCCAATGCCCTAGAGATTTGTGGAACTTTGAACTTGAGAGAGATGATTTAGGGTATCTGGTGGAAGAAATTTCTAAGCAACAAAGTATTCAAGAGGTGACTTGGGTACTGTTAAAGGCATTCAGTTTTATAAGGGAAACAGAGCATAAAAGTTTGGAAACCTTGCAGCCTGACTATGTGATAGAAAGGAAAACCCCATTTTCTGGGGAGAAATTCAAGCCTGCTGCAGAAATTTGCATAAGTAGCAAAGAGCCTAATGTTAATTCCCAACACCATGGGGAAAATGTCTCCAGCCCATGTCAGAGACCTTCAGAGCAGCCCCTCCTGTCACAGGCCTGAAGGCCCAGGAGGAAAAGTGGTTTCTTGGGCCAGGCCCAGGGTCCCAGTGCTGTGTGTAGCCTAGGGACTTGGTGCCCTGTGTCCCAGCCACTCCAGCTGTAGCTGAAAGGGGCCAACATACAGCTTGAGCTGTGGATTCAGAGGGTGGAAGGCTCAAGCCTTGGAAGCTTCCACATGGTGTTGAGCCTGTGGGTGCCCAGAAGTCAACAATTGAGGTTTGGGAACCTCCACCTAGATTTCAGAAGACGTATGGAAACTCCTGGATGCCCAGGCAAAAGTTTGCTGCAGGGGTGGGGCCCTCATGGAGAACCTCTTCTAGGGCAGTGCAGAAGGGAAATGTGGGTTCAGAGCCACCACACAGAGTCCCTACTGGGGAACTGCCTAGTGGAGCTGTGAGAAGAGGGCCACTGTCTTCCAGACCCCAGAATGGTAGATCCACTGACAGCTTGCACTGTGCACCTGGAAAAGCCACAGACACTCAACACCAGCCAATGAAAGCAGCCAGAAGAGAGGCTGCACCCCGCAAAACCACAGAGGTGGGGCTACCCAAGACCATGGGGACCCACCTCTTGCATCAGCATGACCTGGATGTGAGATCTGGAGTCAAAGGATATCATTTTGGAGCTTTAAAATTTGACTGCCCTGCTGGATTTTGGACTTGCATGGGCCCTTTTTCCCCTCTATTTTGGCCAAATTTCTCCCATTTGGAACAGCTGTACTTATCAGTCCCTGTACCCCACTATATCTAGGAAGTAACTAGATTGATTTTGATTTTACTGGCTCATAGGCAGAAGGGACTTGCCTTGTCTCAGATGAGACTCTGGACTGTGGACTTTAAGGTTAATGCTCAAATGAGTTAAAACTTTGGAGGACTTTTGGGAAGGCATGATTGGTTTTGAAATGTGAGGACATGAGATTTAGAGGGGCCAAGGACAGAATGATATGGTTTGGCTGTGTCCCCACCAAAATCTCAACTTGAATTGTATCTCCCTGAATTTCCACATGTTATGGGAGGGACCCACGGGGAGGTAATTGAATCACGGGGCTGGTCTTTCCCATGCTATTCTCATGATAATGAATAAGTCTCATGAGATCTGATGGGTTTATCAGGGGTTTTCACTTTTGTTTCCTCCTCATTTTCTCTTGCTACACACACTGCATCTAACAATCACACAGGGTGAGAATAAGCTGCAGCCGCCACCCAGGCCTCAGGGTAGTCTTGGGGGCCAGCTCTTTCCCCTGTTAAAGGAATTTATTTGCATAGAACAAGAAGATTTTCTCTCCAGGCACCTCTGCCAACACTTATGCTTAAGCCGTCTCATTTTTCCTTTTCTCCACCATGTCAGGAAGTCATAGCCCTGCAAATACAGGGAATTTTTCTATGTGAGAGGGTTTTCTTTTTCCTACCTTAACACTCTGCTTACCATAGGGATGAAACAGAGGGGTGATCCCACCAGCGGCTGGCTGCAAATTTGGCAAGGGCCATCTGGGACTTAATCTAAAGGAATCCATGCACTCCCCTGAGACAACTTTTTGTCCCAAATTCAATTCCAAGCTTCAGGTTGAAGTCCTAGGTCTGAGGGATTCAAAAACTAGGTCCGAGGGATTCAAAAGCAGGTAACAATGGAAGATACGTGCACAACTTAGGTGGGCAAAACTAATCCTGCCAATTAAGCCCCTGTTTCATGGATAGAGGTCATGCTAGTATCCATGGCATAAATGAGGTCCAGGAAACTCAAAGGTTATCAACAGCCAGGGGGATAGACAGTGTAGGTAAATGCAAATAACTCCTGCCTTCTAGGCCCCCTGCTTCATGGGTGCAGGTCACACCAGGTCTGTGTCACCAGGACTTGGGGATGAAAAGATGGAAGAGAAAAGGGGACATTCTTCTCTCTCTCCCTCACACACCCTGAGCTTTTGCTGAAAGAGAGAAAGGAATTAAGGAATGCTTATTTTTCTCTCTTTCAGATGGGTAACTAGCTATCATCAGTCTATACTCCTCTGAAGTGTATCCTGAATCATTGGGACTGCTTTGACCCTCAGACTCTGGAGAAAAAATACCTCATGGTCCTTTGCACAAAAGTTTGGCAAAATTTTGATTTGCAGGATGGACTGGCTTGGTCTCAGGAAGGAGCCGTTCATTTCGACACCATCCTGCAGCTGGATTTTTTCTGTAAACATAAGGGCAAATGGTCTGAGGCTTTCTATGTGCAGGCTTTCTTCACCTTACAGTATAATTCGGACCTTTGCCAACATTGCAGGATTGATCCAGCCCTCCTGTTTGTCATCTCAGGAGAGGCTGCCAAGGGACAATCCCAGGGAACTAAAGGAACAAACCCCAGAGGCATGTCTAGCAGGGGAACAAGCTTTCTCTGGCCCTGCTCCTCTGGGTCCACCCCATCGTCCCCCTCCAGTTTCTCTCTCTTGTTTGCCCCCTCCTAGAAATCCTCACTCTAGACAGGCCCCAGTCTCACTCCTGCCCCTACAACAGATGCCTAGTGAATACGGCCTCAGTAAGGTCCAAGTCCCCTTGTCTCTACAGGACTTAAGGCAAATGAAGGGGAATCTTGGCAAATTTTCAGATGACCCTGACAGATACATAAAGGCTTTCCAGAATTTCACCCAAGTATTTGAACTGTCCTGGAAAGACGTTATTACTTTTGAACCAAAGCCTGACAGATACTGAGAAGCAGGGTGCTCTCTGCTTCTCAGAGAGAAGAGAAGCAGCAGAGAGATTTGGGGATAGCATCAGGGAAGGCGGCAAACTTTATTCAACTGAAGAGAAGCAGTACCAGTGGATGACCCTGGATGGGATCCCAATGATGAGATGGGAGACTGGAAGAGGAGGCACTTTCAGGCCTGCATAATGGAGGGCTGATGTAGGGCTAGGACCAAGCTTTTCAATTATACCAAGTTCTGCATGATAGACCAGGAATTTGATAAGAATCCCACTGCCTTCCTAAAAATGCTAAGCACACCTTTCTATCTCCTGATTCGGCCGAAGGACAACTTATCTTGAAGGATAAATTTATTACCCAGGCATTCCCCGATATCAGGAGGAAGTTTCAGAAACAGACCCTGGGACCAGATAGAATTTAGAGAACCTCCTGAAAGTGACCACCTATGTTTTTTTAATAGAGACAGGGAGGCCCAGCAGAGAGAGAGGTAATACAGGAAAGAGACAGAGGCTTTAATGGCCACCACGAAAGCCCTGAAACCCCATAATTCCCAGGGTGCACCTGTTAACTGCTACAGATATAGAAAGCCAGGACATTTCAAGGATTACCCAGGCAGCATGAGGAAGCCACCTCAAGCCTGTCCAGTCTGCATCGGGGGAAACTGGAAGGTGGACTGTCCCCAGGGATGTTGGTCACTGGGTCCAGAACCAATCACCCAAATGGTCCAGCAGCAAGACTGGTGGGACCCTGGGCTCCTCTCCCCACCTCCAGTGGTCCAGACCTCCATTACCATCCAGGGACCCTGGGTGAATTCTAGAAATGGAAAGGAGGAAATTGGACCTCCTTTTGGAACACCAGGGCTGGTCTCTCGCTTCTCCTCTCTAATCTGGGCCCCCTCTTCTCTCTTAACATGACCATGACGGGTGTCTCAGGAAAGCCTTTAACCCGATATTTTTCCCAACCACTTAATTGTAGTTGGAGAGACCTTTTGTTCACCCATGCTTTTCTAATTATGCCTGAAAGCCCAGCTCCTTTGTTGAGAAGAGATATTCTGGCCCATATGGGGACCACCATCCTCATGGCCCCTGGGAAAACTCTTTGTCTCCCCATAGTACAAACCAATATTAACCCAGAAGTTTGGGCAACTTGAGGGAAGATTGGCTAAGCTACAACCACCATACTGGTCCAGGTCCACCTTAAGAATCCCACCTCCTTTCCTAACGAGAAACAATATCCCCTGAAACCAGAGGTTAGGAAAGGACTAGAAGCCACTATCAATAACTTGAAGATGCAGGGCCTCCTCAAACCCTGCAACAGCGGTCTAATACCCCAATATTGGGCATACAAAAACCCAACAGGGAACGCAGGCTAGTTCAGGACCTGTGCCTCAATTCATGAGGCTGTGGGTCCAATACACCCGGTGGTTCCCAATATGTATACCCTGCTAGCTCAAATACCTGAGGAAGCTAAAATGTTCACAGTCCTGACCTAAAGGATGCCTTCTTCTGCATACCATTACACCCTGACTCCCAGTATTTGCTTGCATTTGAGGATCCTTCTAACCAAATCACCAAGTTAATCTGGTTGGTGTTACTTTAGGGGTTCCAAGACAGCCGTCACTTGTTTGGGGAGGCATTACCAAGAGACCTCTCTGAGTTCCTTTACTCTCAGGTTAAAGGTTTGCAACATGTGGATGACCTTCTCCTCTGTGCTCCAAATGAGGAAATCTCTCAGGAGGGCAGTAAGGCTCTTCTAAATTTTCTGGCTAATCGAGGATATAAAGTTCCAAAATCTAAAGCTCAGTTCTGTCAGACTTTAGTGAAGTACCTAGACCTGGTCTTGTCAGAGAGAACCAGGGCATTGGGCAAAGCAGGATTAAACCCATCTTCTCCCCTGCCCGCCACCCCCCTTTCCCGACCCCAAAACCCTCAAGAAACTGCAAGGCTTCTTAGACATTACAGGATCCTCCAGACTATGGATACCTGGGTATGGTGAAATAGCTTGTTCCTTATATCACCTAATAAAGGAGACTCAGGCAGCTAAAACTCACTGTCTTATTTGTGAACTGTAGGCTAGAAAGGCCTTTGACCAACTAAAATAAGCTTGCTTAAGGCACCAGCCTTTAGTCTCCCCATGGGGAAAACATGTAATCTTTATGTGTCAGAAAGAAAGGGAATGGCACTGGGAGTTCTACCACAGGCCCAGGGCTCAGCCCAGCAGTCTGTAGGCTCCCTGAGTGAGGAACTAAATTTGGTAGCCAAAGGATGGCCAGCCTCACTCCTGGTAATCACAGCAGTAGCCCTGCTGGTACCGGAGGCAACTAAGTTAACCATGAGGAATAACTTAACCATTCATATCCCACATAATGTGGGAGGACTACTGCCTTCTAAGGGAAGTCTCTGGCTAACATACAACTGACTCCTCAGGTATCAAGCTCTGTTATTAGAAGAATCTTCAGTTCAATTAAGAATCTGTCCCTCCCTAAATCCAGTCACCTTCCTCCCAGAGGAAGCCGAGGAGCTTGAACATGACTGCAAGCCAAATAGTAGTACAAACCTATGCAGCCAGAGAAGACCTCAAGGAAACCCCCTTAGAGAACCCAGGCTGGATTCCCTTTGCAGATGGAAGCTCTTTGGTAGAACAAGGAACCCATAAAGCAAGGTATGCAATAGTTACTCTGAATGATATTGTTGAGAGCACACCTCTCTTCTCAGGTACAAGAGCTTAACTAGCCAAACTAATCACCCTCACAAGGGCATTTGAATTAAGCAAAGGAAAAACAGCCAACATTTATACTGATTCTAAGTACACTTTCCTAGTCCTACATATCCATGGCACTATCTGGAAAGAGAGGATCTTCCTCACAGCTAATGGGTCTCCTATTAAATACCATCAGGAGATAAATAGACTATTATCCTCCATTTTCCTCCCATGGAAAGTGGCAGTAATACATTGTAAAGGCCACCAAAGAGGGATAGATAAAATAACTGACAGAAATAGGCTGGTGGGCTGAGCAGCTAAATCAGCAGCAAGGGGGTCCCAGATCTCTGACCCACTTGAATCCCCACTAATCTGGGAAGGACCCATCAGAGAAATAAAACCTCAATATTCTTTTGTGAAAATAGAAGGGGCCACCTCTCAGGGATACATCTTTCAATCCTCAGCATGGCTACAACTGGAGGATGGCAAGCTTCATCTACTGACTGCCAACCAGTGGAAAGTTCTTAAAAGGATAAAATCTATCAACTGGCCCAGAGATTGTTCTCAGGTAAAAAACTGATAGAAATGGTTAAACAGGTTGTTAATGCTTGTGAGACCTGCCTTAGAAACAATCCTCTTAATTGACAGCTTCTTCCCTCAGGAACCCAAAGTATAGGAGGCTACCCAGGGGAAGACTGGCAAATGGATTTCACTCATATGCCAAAAGCAAAGGGCATCCAGTACCTCCTAGTATGGATAGATAATTCACTAACTGGGTAGAAACATTTCCATGCCAAACAGACAAAGCCTCTAAGGTGACAAAAGTACTAATCAATGAGATAATTCCTTGCCTTGGACTCCCTAACTACCTCCAGAGCAATAATGGTCCCTTGCTCAAGGTGGCTGTCACCCAAGTGTTCTCAAAGTCACTAGGCACACAGTACCATCTTCATTGTGTCTGGAAACCACAATCCTCAGGAAAGGTAGAAAAGACAAATGATATTATCAAAGGCATCTCAGGAAACTATCTTAGGAGACTCACCTCCCCTGGATTACCCTTCTCCCCGTAGCCCTACTGTGTATTAGAAACACTCCTTCAAAGATAGGTTTGTGTCCCTTCAAAATGATGTATGGACACCCTTTTCTCACCAATGATTTCTTGCTGGACCAAGAAACCTCTGATTTAATTAAACACATAACCTTTTTGGCCCATTTCCAACAGCAACTGAAACAACTGTCAGAGGCCCAATCCCATGAACCAAGGCCACTTCTATTAAACCCAGGGGTCCTAGTGCTAGTAAAGGTACTTCCTTCCCTCTCTCCCTCTATAGGTCCAGGTTGGGAGAGACCTTTCACTGTACTTCTTTCTACTCCTATGGCAGTGAAGGTCACTGGAATAGAGTCTTGGATTCATTATACTAGATTAATGGCCTGGAAAGCCAATGGAGTCACCTGAGGTGACTCTGTCAACCCAAAAGAGCACTCAAAGTACCAATGTGAAGAGATTGGGGACCTCAAGCTAAAAATCACAAAAGATAAGTGTTAATAATTAACCTTCCATGGATATCCTCTTTATAGTCTTTCCCATGCTTGCTGTTCTTACCTTTGTTCTGTTCTATACAGTGAGGCACAATATTTTTTTCAGAATGATTAGTATATTTCACTTCTTATTGCTGTAATATTTGGCAGTAGATTCCTTCCTTGTATAATACACATGTTTAACCCATGCATACTTAACCTTATAAAAACTTACTTTTTTTTCCTCTCACCTAGAGGCTATCAAACTCCAAATTGTCAGGCAATGGAACCCCAGAAGAACGGCTCCCTTCTGCTTGGGACCCCTAGATAGACCTCTGGGAGAAATCTGACTGCTGTTTTCCCTGAAACAATGCCCCTTATTAGCAGGAAGTAGCTAGGATTGGTCATTGTCCATATTCTAATGGCAGTTAGATGTGCCTCTTCAGAGGGGAGAAATGATACAGACAGGAAACAGGGAAATACTGGTTAGAAGAGGGTGGTTCCCCAGGAAAGACCCTGCCCTCAAGCCTGAAAAACTATGGCCCTAAATGAGAATAGGCATTCTGTTTTTGCAACAGAAAGTTGTCTTTTGGCCCACCACACACCCCTATTTTGTACCCATATAAACCTCAAACCCCCAGTTCCACAAGGAGACATACAGGAGAGCAGAATGGCAGAACAGCAGAGCAGAGAGGAGAAGGAGCATCTGAATATCGAGAGTTCAGTTGGAAATGGTTGGAGAGATTGGCCACTAGACAGGCAAACTCCAGAAGAAGATTATCTTCCCACTCCATCCCCTTTCCAGCTCCCCATTCATCCCACTGAGAGCCACCTCTACCACTCAATAAAACCCCCGCATTCACCATCCTCAAGTCTGTGTGTGAACTGATTCTTCCTGGACAATGGACAAGGACCTGAGTACCAAGGGGGCACTAAGCTGGTTAAAACATAAGCCATCTGCAGATGGCAAAGCTAAAAAAAGTGTACTGTAACACACACCCATTTGGGCTTTAGGAGTCACAGGCACCCACCTCTAGATGCTACCATGGGGCCGGAGCCCTAAAGTGCATATCCCAGCTCCTGCACCTGCCTGACTGCCTGCTCATGTTCCTGTAAAGGGATTGAGCACATACGATGGCTGAAAAGATGAGACATACCCTGTCACACGTCCTGTGATGGGGGTCACGGGACTCTCCCATTTCACTACCGGACACTGGCTCTGAGCTGACATTGATTGCAAGGGACCCAAAACATCATTGTGTTCTTCCTCTTAAAGTAGGAGCCTATGGAGGTCAGGTAATTAATGAAGTTTTAGCTCAGGTCCAACCTACAGTGCGTCTGGTGTGTCCCTGGACTCATCCTGTGGTCATTTCCCCAGTTTCAGCATGCATAATTGGCAAAGACATACTTAGCAGATAGCAAAACCACCACATTGGCTCCATGAATGGTAGAGTGAGGGCTAATTATGGTGTGAAAGGCCAAATGGAAGCCATTAGAGCTGCCTCTACCTAGAAAAATAGTAAATCAAAAAGAATATTGCATCCCTGGCAGAGATTAGTGCCACAACAAGATCTTGAAAAATGCAGGGGTGGTGATTCCCACCACATCCCCATTCAACTCTCCACTTGGCCTGTGCAGAAGACAGATGGATCTTGGAGAATGACACTGGATTATTGTAAGCTTAACCAAGTGGTGACTCCAATTGCAGCTGCTGTACCAGATGTGGTTTCATTGTTTGAGCAAATTAACACATCTCCTGGTACCTGGTATGTAACCATTGATTTGGCAAATGCCTTTTTCTCCATTCCTGTCCATAAGGCCCACCAGAAGCAATTTGCCTTCAGTTGACAAGGCCAGCAATATACCTTTACTGTCCTACCTCAGCAGTATATCAACTCTCTGGCTTTGTGTCATAATCTTGTTTGGAGTGATTTTGATTGCTTTTGTCTTCTACAAGATATGACACTGGTCCATTACACTGATGACATTATGCTGATTGGATCCAGTGAGCAAGAAGTAGCAATCACACTGAACTTACTGAAGTCTGTTGAGATATTTCTTCCAAGGTGAATGATAAGTTTCTGCATTTGGCCCCTCCTACAACCAAGAAAGAGATGTAACGCTTAGTGGGCCTATTTGGATTTTGGAGGCAACACATTTCTCATTTGGGTGTATTACTCTGCCCCATTTATCAAGTTACCTGAAAGGCTGCCAGTTTTGAGTGAGGACCAGAACAGGAGAAGGCTTGGCAACTGGTCCATGCTGCTGTGCAAGCTGCTCTGCCACTTAAGCCATATGACCCAGCATAGTGCTAGAGGTATCAGTGGCAGATAGGGATGCTGTTTGAAGCCTTTGTCAGGTCCTCATAGGTGAATCACAGTGGAGGCCTCTGGGATTTTGGAGCAAGGCCCTGCCATCTTTTGCAGATAACTACTCTCCTTCTGAGAGGCAGCTCTTGGCCTGTTACTGGGCTTTGGTGGAAACTGAACATTGGACTATGGGTCATCAAGTCACCATGCGACCTGAACTGCATATCATGAACTGGGTGCTTTCTGACCCATCTAGTCATAAAGTGGGTCATGCACAGCAGCATTCCGTCATCAAATGGAAGTGGAATATTAGTGATCAGGCTCGAGCAGGTCCTGAAGGCATAAGTAAGTTACAAGAGGAAGAGGTTCAAATGCCCACGGTCACCACTCCTGCCACCCTGCCTTCTCTCCCCCAGCCTGCACTGATGGCCTCCTGGTGAGTTCCCTATGGTCAGTTGACAGAAGAACAGAAGACAAGGGCCTGATTTACAGATTCTGCACGATATGCAGGCACCACTAGAAAGTGGACAGCTGCAGCACTACAGCCCCTCTGTAGCACTGCAGCCGGTTTCTGTCCCTGAAGGACATTGGTGAAGGAAAATCTTCCCAATGGGCAGAAAATTAAGCAGTGCAACTGGTGTGCACTTTGCATAGAAGGAGAAATTGCCAGATGTGTGATTATATACTGATTGATGAGCTATAGCCAGTGGCTTGGCTAGATGGTCAGGGACTTGGAAGAAGCATGACTGGAAAATTGATGATAAAAAAAAATTGGGGGAACAGGTATGTGGATGGATCTCTCTGAGTGGTCAAAAACTGAAGATATTTGTATCACATGTGAGTGCTCACCAATGGGTGACCTCAGCAGAGGGAGATTTTAATAATCAAGTGGATAGGATGACTCGTTCTGTGGACACCACTCAGCCTCTTTCCCCAGCCACCCCCGTCATCGCTTAATGGGCCCATGAACAAAGTGGATATGGTGTCAGGGGTGGAAGTTATGCATGGGCTCAGCAACATGGACTTTCACTTACCAAGGCTGACCTGACTATGGTCACCACTGAGTGCCCAATTTGCCCATGGCAGAGACCAACACTGAGCCCTCGATATGGCACCATTCCTTGGGGTGATCAGCCAGCTACTTGGTGGCAGGTTGATTATATTGAACCTCTTCCATCATGAAGAGGGCAGTGGTTTGTCCTCACCAGAATACACTTACTCCAGAGATGGGTTTGCCTATCCTGCACACAATGCTTCTGCCAAGAATACCATCAGTGGACTCATGGACTGCCTTAATCACTGTCATGGTATTCCATATAGTATTGCCTCTGACCAAGGCACTGACTTTATGGCTAATGAAGTGCAGCAGTGGGCTCATGCTCATGGAATTTCCTGGTTTTATGATGTTCTCTATCATCTTGAAGCAGCTGGATTGATAGAACGGTGGAATGGCATCCTGAAGTAATAATTACAATGCCAACTAGGTAACTATACTTTGCAGGGCTGGGGCAAAGTTCTCCAGAAGGCCGTGTATGCTCTGAATCAGCATCCACTATATAGTACTGTTTCTCCCACAGCCAGGATTGATAGGTCCAGGAATCACGGGGTGGAAGTGGAAGTGGCACCACTCACCATCACCCCTAGTGACCCACTAGCAAAATTTTTGCTTCCTGTTCCCATGACATTACATTCTGCTGGCCTGGAGGTCTTAGTTACAGAGAGAGGAATGCTGCCACCAGGAGACACAACAATGATTCCATTAAATTGGAAGTTAAGATTGTCACCTGGACACTTTGGGCTCCTTCTACATCTGAGTCAACAGGCTAAGAAGGGAGTTACAGTGTGGGCTGGGGTGATTGAGCCAGACTATCAAGATGAAATCAGTCTACTACTCCACAATGGAGGTAAGGAAGAGTATGCATGTGAGATCCCTTAGGGAATCTCTTAGGATTATCATGCCCTGTGATTAAGGTCAATGGGAAACTACAACAGCCCAATTCAGACAGGACTACAAATGGCCTAGACCATTCAGGAATGAAGGTTTGGGTCACTTCACCAGGTAAAAAACAATGACCTGCTGAGGTGCTTGCTGAAGGCAAAAGAGATATAAAATGGGTAGTAGAAGAAGGTAGTCATTAATACCAGCTACGACCACGTGACCAGTTGCAAAAATGAGGACTATAATTGTCATGAGTATCTCCTCCTTATTTTGTTAAGTACCTGGTTGTACATGTGTACACTTGTACTAAGAAAATATATTCATTTTATTTCCTTTTTTTCATTTGTCATGTGACATAAGATTTATTGACTTCATGTCAGCATTTAAGTGTTGTTAACTTTGTGTAATAGCATTTGGATTGGGGATTGGAGCATTTCCGATTGTACAAAGGATAGTTAGTTGTATTATGTTAGGTGTAATTATGACCCTATTATTTTCTTTATTTAAAAAATATGTATGATTTCAGGAGATGTGTATGTGTTCAAGTTGACAAGGGGTGGACTTGTGATGGTTAATACTGAGTGTCAACTTGATTGGATTGAAGGATGTAAAGTATTGATCCTGGGTGTGTCTGTGAGGGTGCTGACAAAGGAGATTAACATTTGAGTCAGTGGACTAGGAGAGGCAGACCCAACCTCAGTCTGGTTGGGTAGCATCTAATCAGCTGCCAGCATGGCTAGGATAAAAGCATCCAGAAGAACATGGAAGGACTAGACTAGCTAAGTCTTCTGGCATCCATCTTCTTCCCGTACTGGATGGTTTCTGCCCTTGAACATTGAACTCCAAGTTCTTCAGCTTTTAGACTCTTGGACCTACACCACTGGTTTGCCAGTGGCTCTCAGGCCTTCGGCCACAGACTGAAGGCTGCACTGTCGACTTCCCTACTTTTGAGGTTTTAGGACTCGGACTGGCTTTTTTGCTCCTCAGCTTGCACACGGCCTATTGTGGGACTTCACCTTGTGACTGTGTGAGCCGATACTCCTTAATAAACTCCCTTTCATATATACATGTATCCTATTAATCCTGTCCCTCTAGAGAACGCTGAATTTCATTTACTGAGTGTTTTGAATATTCTTTGCTCTCATATGCTAACATAACGGGAAAACTTAAAATGGAAGTATTCTCTTTGTCTTCTAAGGCCAATAACTTTTATTAGAACTTAAAATTAATAAATCTGTTTTGTTATTTATTAGCATTCAGTACCAATTTACATTTATAATTCATAAAACATTTTCTTAGTCATTACAGAATTTGATTTAAAAAATAATAATCCTGGCCGGGCGGGGTGGCTCACACCTGTAATCCCAGCACTTTGGGAGGCCAAGGTGGGCGGATCATAAGGTCAGGAGATTAAGACCATCCTGGCTAACACGGGGAAACCCGTCTCTGCTAAAAAAAATATGAAAAAATTAGCCGGGCGTGGTGGCAGGCACCTGTAGTCCCAGCCACTCAGGAGGCTGAGGCAGGAGAATGGCATGAACCCAGGAGTCGGAGCTTGCAGTGAGCTGAGATAGTGCCACTGCACTCCAGCCTGGGTGACAGAGCGAGACTCCATATCAAGAAAATAAAAAATCCTTCTAGGTATCACCATTATACACATATAACCAGTAAGGAAGCATACTCAGAGTTTAAGCACACAACTAGTGCACGGCAGAGCTAGGACTCAAACTCATGTCTTCCAACTCCAGCATCTATGCATGATAAGGGCTTGATGAAAGAAGCAACTTTGGGGACATATACAAATTTAAATTATTCCTATTACTTTTAACAAGTTAAAATGATCCTACATATTTCAAAATGTCTAATTAAAACATTTTGATAATGTCTTTTTAAAATACACCATCTGTGATTCAAATATTGTACATAAATAACATTAATGATTAATCTGTGGTTCATTTTTAGTATCTACATTATTAACTCATAGTCAAAGTGAATTGCAATCCTAGTCTAAAAAGTTCACCAACAAATACATCTATCATTAAAGGAAAAATTTCTCAAAGTTGTTCTTTTAGCTAATTATTAATAAGATCTTGAAAGTAAACTTTTTCAATTCTACCACGTTGATATGTAATAATACATCAGGTTGGGGAAGTATTTTAACTACAGCATTGTCTTTACTCATAAACTCTTACGTTAGCATATGGAAAATTACATTTAAGAAGACCTTCCTCCCTGCCCCTGTCAGCAATTGATAACTGTGTTACAAAGATTTCTTCCACTGTTATTCTAAAATACAAACCTGATTTGTAACCAACAAAAACTAACTGGAGAGAGAGTGACGCATTATTACTGTTATGCAAATGGAGATTCAATCCTGATTCTCAGAATGTGTTTCTATAAAGCAGACAATTATACTAGGTGCAAAAGCACCATGCTGGGTTTTTTGAACTGAGCAGAAGTAGCGCTGCATTTTAGGGACCACAAAATAAACCCAGAGACTGTTTCACTAATCAAAGAACAATGCTCATTTACCACTACAAAGAAGAGGCCAAAATATTTTCTAATTCTCTTTGTAACTTTTTTGTGACACATGGGTCATTTGAAACATGTGGATATTTTTCTAGTTCTTTCTCATTACTGATTCCTAGCTTAATTTATTGTGTCCAAAGATATACTCTGTATGACTTCACCCCTTTGAAATTTGTGGAGAATTTATTTTAAGGCTCTGATATTTATATACATAAGAATTCAGAAATATTTTGTCTTTCTCTTGAATTAAAACATTTATCATTTTGAAATGACTCTCTTTATCTCCTTTCTTTTCTCCTGCTTGTCTTCTTCCCCTCCTGCTTCTCCTTTCCTCCTCTTTCTTCCTTCTCCTTTCACATACTATACATACATTGCTCTAGACAAAGCAAAAGAGGTTGACTTTTAATTTATGAAAAATGTTAATCCAATTGCTCTGAAAGAAAGTTGAATGATTTACAAAAACTATGTCAATCTCATTTTAAGAAAACAGTGTATATTTCATATGACTTCATGTGATGGGTGCATTCAGGTGGCGGGAACTTAATGACACCGCCAGTTTGCTGTGGCACACAGTTCTTTCCTTGTGGATGAGGAAGTGTCTGCTAACCACCAAATACCTTCATTTACCAATATCACAGGGGATATCACTGGGAAGACTGCTTTGTATGACCTGTCCTAACACAAATTTTCTGTTAATTTGATCTGGGTTTTTCCTTCCCACAGCAGGTTCAATATTACACTAAACTTCACTGAGGACAAAAGGATTCTTCCCTAGCACAGAAATGCAGGAATATGGTATTAGGGTTTCAACACCAGTTGATGGACTGGCTATTGCCCTAAATGCTGTTACCCATGACTAGAGCATTTGTTACATTTATCTTTCTGAACAGATATTGATCAATGGCTATTTTCCTACCAACAATAGAAAATACGTGTTTATTGAGCCCTCATCCTCTGCCAGCATTATAGAAGTGTGTATCATAGAGGTATTTAGTCCCCAATTTGATATAATCATCCTGTTTAAAGGAGCTAAATTGGATGACACAAATGGTCATTGCTCAAAGGAAGCTGAAATACTCCTGTCATTTGTATGTTCATAAACACTTGCAAAATACTTCCTAAGACTTCTCTAATCCTCAGGATGACTTCATGGACAGCTATTATAATAAAGAGCTTCTAGTAGAGGGAACTGAAGTTTAGAGATGTTAAGTAATTTATCCAAGTTCCCTTTAGTGGTGGTAGAGTAGGGTGCCAGGGCATAGTAGAAAGGGCATGGTGTCAGAGTCCTGAATTCAAGTTCCACCATCTCCATCATTTCCTAACTGTGGTACCTTGGACAGGTTTCTTAAATATATCTGAGCCTGTTTTTGATATGTCTTGGCTTTGACACGGGGTTCTTGATGGTTTTAAATTAATGAGTGTGGAAGTGTCTGGAACCTGAAAAGTGTTGTCAGAGTGTGAGTCACTATTATTTAATCTTGATGTAAGTGATGACAGTGTCACAGACCACATTTCAAGTCAACAGAACTGGCTCTAATTAGCAAGTGCTCCATGAATTTGAGTGTGTTACTTGAGCTCTCTGGGTATCTGTCCCCTCAGCTGTAAAATATGTATTATAATGCAACCTTTTATGTTGTGAATATTGACCAACACAGCAGAGTGAAGTGTGGAGCATGGCTCACAGGAGGTACTTGATGAACGTCAAGGCTCCTCTTTCTGGCTTCAGACCACTGTCTGTTAGGACAGCACCATCTACTCAGGAGAGCACTGCCTGGCTTAGTGTAACACAGAACAGCTGTAATGGACCATGCACTATTCCATGGGTGAGAAATCTTACATAGAGTGGTGTGTATCGTACATATCAGAGCCTTTTTCAGGTCACAGAGCTAATGGCAGAGTTGAGAGTTGAACTCCATTCTGATTTCAAATCCAGTACTTTTGAACAGTGTTACAGTAATCTCAGTAACAGCATTCTTTTTACTATCCTTGCCCTATAGAAGTGATTCATATTAAGAGCACCTCAGTATATGTAGATAGCATTGCTAGTGCAGTTGAATCAAACCTGAATTGTTCTACATCACAAATAGCCAGTATAGGAGTTTAAGCACAGAAAGGGTTTCTCTGTATATCTTCTAGTATTCACTGCAACCGAATCACAGAAATTATTTGGTTTCTATGCCTGGTGTTCATGCCTGTGCTCCCTTGGAAACAAGTTATCCACTTTTAATGTCTATGTTTTACTTGTCTTTTAAATTCCCTGTACCTATCATTTCAGATATTTTATACTTATTATTATTATTATTATACTTTAATTTTTAGGGTACATGTGCACAATGTGCAGGTTACATATGTATACATGTGTCATGCTGGTGTGCTGCACCCATTAACTCGTCATTTAGCATTAGGTATATCTCCTAATGCTATCCCTCCCCTCTCCCCCCACCCCACAACAGTCCCCAGAGTGTGATGTTCCCCTTCCTGTGTCCGTGTATTCTCATTGTTCAACTCCCATCTATGAGTGAGAACATGTGGTGTTTGGTTTTTTGTCCTTGAGATAGTTTACTGAGAATGATGATTTCCAATTTCATCCATGTCCCTACAAAAGACATGAACTCATCATTTTTTATGGCTGCCTCCAGGAGCTGGTTTTGTGAAAGGATTAACAAAATTGATAGACCGCTAGCAAGACTAATAAAGAAAAAAAGAGAGAAGAATCAAATAGACGCAATAAAAAATGATAAAGGGGATATCACCACCGATCCCACAGAAATACAAACTACCATCAGAGAATACTACAAACAACTCTAAGCAAATAAACTAGAAAATCTAGAAGAAATGGATAAATTCCTCGACACATACACTCTCCCAAGACTAAACCAGGAAGAAGTTGAATCTCTGAATAGACCAATAACAGGCTCTGAAATTGTGGCAATAATCAATAGCTTACCAACCAAAAAGAGTCCAGGACCAGATGGATTCACAGCTGAATTCTACCAGAGGTACAAGGAGGAACTGGTACCATTCCTTCTGAAACTATTCCAATCAATAGAAAAAGAGGGAATCCTCCCTAACTCATTTTATGAGGCCAGCATCATCCTGATAACAAAGCCGGGCAGAGACACAACCAAAAAAGAGAATTTTAGACCAATATCTTTGATGAACATTGATGCAAAAATCCTCAATAAAATACCGGTAAACCGAATCCAGCAGCACATCAAAAAGCTTATCCACCATGATCAAGTGGGCTTCATCCCTGGGATGCAAGGCTGGTTCAATATATGCAAATCAATAAATGTAATCCAGCATATAAACAGAACTAAAGACAAAAACCACATAATTATCTCAATATTTTACACTTGTTGACTGTAAGATGCAATGGAAAGAGCCTAGCACTGAGGAAATCAAGAAATGCAAATTCCGTTTTCAAATTTGGCATTACCTAGCTGTTGCACCTTATTAGAAACATAACTACTACTCCTACAACAGCTTGAAATGTTACAGGTAGATAGATAGGCATGAGTGGGACAGGAGAGGCCTCTCCCCCAATGCAGTAGAAATGTTTGGTGATAGGTAAGCCATTTTCACATTGCATTTCTAAAAGTGATAAATTGGCAGCTGGTGTCAGGGAGAGACCCTTTCCTGATGGCCCATACCTGTTAACATTAAAATGTTAACTAAATGCAGACCCCAGGGAGAAGCAACTTCCTGGGCGTGCAGTTAAGAGACAAAGTGGTGAAATATGACCTTCCAGTTACACTCCACCAGAAAAGGGAAGAAAGCCTCAGATGGGCATGCACACGACTTCGTAAACACACTGCATGTGCTCAATTCCCAAGGTTAAGAAGAGCACTGCACATGCAGGCAGCCCACCCTAAGGGAAGAATCCTGGGAAAGAGATCAGCCTATCAAGCTCTGGGATCAAGGTTAAAGGCTCTTTTTCTCTCTTTGATCTTCAGGTGCCCACTTGGATTTCTTTTGGATCAAGGTTAAAGGCTCTTTTTCTCTCTTTGATCTTCAGGTGCCCACTTGGATTTCTTTTAGATCAAGGTTAAAGGCTCTTTTTCTCTCTTTGATCTTCAGGTGCCCACTTGGATTTCTTTTAAGAGTTCTTTCCTTTCTTTCCTCTTCTAAAGCCTTTTTAATAAACTTCCCCTTCTGCTCTGGAACTTGCCTCAGTCTCTTTTTCTGCTTTATGCCCCTCAGTCAAATTCTTTCTTCTGAGAAGACAAGGGCTGAAGTTGCTGCAGACCCCCATGAATATGCTATCAGTAACTCAGGGTAACTCAGATCTCTTCCACCACTAACAGAAATACCACGAAGTGAGTCTGAATTATTACTAACTATATTAGTTTCTTGTTGCCACTGTAACAAATTACCACAAAGTTAGTAGCTTAAAAGAACACAAATGTAATCTCTTAGTTCTAGAGGGAGGTCAAGGTGTTGAGTCCTCCTGGGGACTCTAGAGGAAAATCCATTTCCTCACCATTTTCAGCCCTTAGAGGCCCCTGCACTCCTTGATCATGGCCCCTTCCTGGGATCACTTCCACCTCTTGCTTCATTATCATGTCTCCTACTCCTCTCTGACTTCTCCTACGTCCTTCATATAAATACCATTGTGATTTCATTGTGCCCCCTTGAGTAATGCAGGAGAATCCCCTCATCTCAAGATCCTTGACTAGGACACAATTGCAAAGTTTCTTTTACCATACAAGGAAATATTCAGAGGTTTTGGAGGTCAGGATGTGGGCATATCTAAGGAGCATCATTCAGCCTACCAAAGAAACTGTAGTGGTCAATGATGGAGAACTAGGGAATGGAGTTAAAAAAAAAAAAAAAAGAACTTATTTTTGGTAGCTTCACTTATTTCTTAATATGTGAACAGATAGCAAGGAATATAGTGTATGAGATTCAGAGTTATACAGACCTGCATTCAAATCCCAGCTATGCCACTTACTAACTGTTTGACCTTAGGCAAATAACATAAACTCTCTGAGTTTCTGCTTCCTCATGGGTAAAATGAGAATAATAATATGGCTAGTATATGTGCACATGCATTATGTATTTGTTTTTAATTAAATGGGATGTACAATACATTTACAACTTTTTTTCACTCACTATTGTGTTGTTCAAGATTTGTCCATCCAGCATGCTAGTTATCCACTCTGTAGTGATGGCCATCTAGGATGCTTCAATAACCCCTGGCAAAGATGCATATGCATGTGTGTGTCCCTGTACAGGACTTGGAAACAATTGCTCTGGCATAAACATCCAGTAGTTGAAAGTACAGTTATGGGATAAGTATTGCCAGATTGCTCTCTAAAAAGAATACACCATTTCTTCTTTCACCGGAGAAACAAATGTTCTTTTTCAGCATCTTTTTGCTGACACTTAATGTTTTCTGACTCTACTTTTTCATATGATGGGTACAAAGTGGTGTCAGACTTGTTTTTTAATAGTAGTAGGGTTGAACACTATACATTGACCAGTTTTCAGGTTTTTTCATTCTATGAATATAAAAATATATGTAATTTATATTAACATAAATTTGTTGCTTATCACTGTTTTAATTAGTTTTTTGTTTTTATTGATTGTAAATTTGTTGGTGTCCCCTGAATGTTCTAGATACTACTTCTTTGCTGGGTTAATACATTTAAAATTTCTTTCAAAATCTCTCAGCTTTTTGTTATCACATATGCATGTGTGTATATATATTATAATGTTGAATATTCTACATATACCGAGATGTAGACATTACATCAATTTTACGTGCTATAACTAGCTTTGCCAAATCACCTGTATTTTGTGGATCGGGAGATTCTCTTAATGAAAAGAAATTCAACAATTTTCCCTCTATCATGTGTGATTTTTTGGAGTCTTCTTAAAAACATCTTTCCCACACCAAGATAACAAAGATGCTCTCCTATATGGTTTATTTGGCCTTTCTGAAAAGTAACCAGTTGCAGAAGAGACTCATTCAGGCTAAATCAATAAATACAGAAGAAGCATCACTTGATTACTACAGCAGCTCAACACTAAGGAATATGATGGTTGTTTTGGTTAAATTTTACTCAAAGTGATTCAACTTAAGCTTCGAAAATAAAAAGTTTAGGCCAACAATTACCCAGCACCTAGTCTCTGCCATGTGTGGACTGAATCTCCAAAGCCATGTTGGAGTTGGAAAGAGCTAATGGGAGGAATGAAGCGCGAGTCATGCTGAGTTCAACTCAGGATTCTTGGCATGCTCTACAAAACCCTGCTGTCCGGACTGCCCACAGAGTCACTGGGGCAAAATGACCAACAAAACTGTAAAAGTGTGTCTTGTGGAAACAGCCATTTTAAAAAACGCTTTGATGGTGACAGGAATGCATGTGTCAACCGTGGATCAAGAGAAGAATAATCACACTTTGTAGCAGATCTTAGACACACACTGCTTGCTTGTGGTGAAAGTCCTAGAAAGCTACTTGCGGAGCTTAACAGCTTCTACTTTGTAACTATCTAGTTACCTGGAACCTTTTTAAAGGTAGAGATCATGTATTACTTGTTTGACTTCCTAACACGCAGCACAGTGCCCATTGCAGAGTAAATGCTTAGCTAATATTTGCTAATGGGATAACAGCAGCAGATTAGTGCAGGGAGCAGCTTCATCATCTGTCTATGCAGCAAGGCCCATCATTCTGCAAGGTTGTGTTGACATAAGTTCACTGGAAAAACCCTAAGGTCTTCCAATGAATAGTCAGTCACTTTCATGTTTAAAAACCAGAGAAGAGTGCAAAGCACCTAAAGCCATAGATAAGTTTATCAGCCTAGGTAGCTGTCACCTAGCATTGGCTCCAAAGGAATGACATTATATAAGACAGTAGAAATTGGGGATGAGGGTGTGGGCCTAAGGGCAAAGGTAAAAGAAGGAGACAGGTTAAAGGAAAAAGAAATCAGAGTACCTTAGGGGTACTTTTTTGGAGGACAAAAAAGATGGTTCTGTATCAGTGGATATTCAGACTTCTGGGCCTGTTGGACTATGAGAGCGTTTCCTGTGTATCTATTGCGTACGGCAGTTCAGAAGCAGTAAGTAAATGGTCTTTGTTGTTGTTTTTTTAACATACTATTTTTAGAGCAGTTTTAGGTTCACAGTAATACTAAGCAGAAGGTACAGAGATTTCCCAGGTACCCACTGCTCCCACGCAAGTATAACCTCTCCCACTATTCATATCCTGCTCTAGCGTGGCACTTGTGTGACAATTTACGGAACTCCATTGACACATCATTATCACACAAAGTTCATAGTTTACATTAGGTTTACCCTTGGTGTTGTGCATTCCACGGGGCAAATGCATAATGTCAGGTATCCACTATTATAGTGTCATACAGAATAGTTACACTGCTCTAATAATCTTTACTCTGCCTATTCACGCCGTTCTCCCTTCAACTCTTGGAAATCATTATCCTTTTACAGTCTCCATGGTTTTGCCCTTTCTGCAATGTCATATAGTTGGAATCACATATATCTAGCCTTCTCAAATTGGCTTCTTTCATTTAGTAATATGCGGGTTCTGGGGGATTCAGATTTCCTTACCTCTTTCTTCTACTGCCTTTGGATTATTTTCCCTGAATCTCTTCCTGTAAACTTTCACGTTTATAAACTTTTTTTCCCTAAATAACTTTCACTCACCTCTGGAAGCACTCACTGTGTTTTGCCTCTTGGAAATCCAGCCTTGTCCCAAAACGAGAATATGTAAACATAGCTGTTTATTAATTCTTTCTCTTTTTCTGTCTTCCTCCCTCTCTCTGTCTCTGTCTCCCTCTCTGTGTTTCTCTCTGTTAGTTCTGTAGAGAGCGCTTCAACTCTTAAAATCCCTCTGCTGCCCTCACGTGGACATCTGCTGAGAAGCACGATGTCCTCGAAACTGAAGGCCAAATGGGGGAATTGGTGGAATTATCACCTGTCTCCCACCAATGGGCTCCTGGTGCTGCAGCCAGGACTTTGACCCACAGTCACAGCTTTTCCAGGTCTTTGGCTTAATTTGATAGACTCAGCTCGTCTCCTGGGGGTGCTGGTAGTACATGAGTAGTTCTTCCTTATGTTCTTGTCTCAGTACCAAGGTCTGGAGTCAAAGGAGAAAGCAAAAGCAATTTCTTCATTAAAGTGCATGAAGCTTCTCCATGTAGATAGTTGATAGCTCACTTTGGAATGGAAAGAGCTGCCACCTGTTGGACTGTTTCTAGCTGGGATCAGGACGGTCCTTGTCTGGTGTCCAGATTGACCTTCATCCTGGGCACGAGAGAGTTCCTGTGGGCCCTTTCTGCTGTTGCTTTATTTTTCCTCCAGGTGTGAGACACCATGCCAGGTCCCCTCTTAAATGTTTTTAACACGGCAAGAATGTCTTTGTGCAGTAGGACAATTCTTTTCTCCCTTTCAACATTGTAAATAGAAATATTTTAAACATACAGTACAGTAAAAAGAATAGAGCGATGAACACCCACATAACTTTGATCAGGATTAAAAATGTGTTAATATTTTGGCAAACTTATTCTGTCTCTGCACACTTTCTATGATGAACCATTTAAAAGTAATTTGAAGACTTTGTCATACTTCATTATTAAATATTTCAGCATGCATCTTCTTAGGATGAGTATATTTTCCTAAATAAACACATTGCTATTGGCATACCTAGGAAAGTTAGTAATAATAATAATTCTCTAATATAACTTAATAATCTGCCCATATTTAAATTTCCCTTTTGTCTTTAAAGATACTTTTGTAGGTACTTGGTTTACACATATTAATAGTTTTGAACCAGGATAAAAACAAGGTTTATACTTTGTATTTGCATATCTATTAGAATTCAATCCAGAAAGCTAGTTTAAAAAATTATTATTCATTTTCAAGTCACATTGATGGTCTCAAAAATGCAGACCAGTTTTTTTTATGTCCCTCAGGATCTGCTTCCCTATTTCCACATGGTGTAGTTTGCCTTGTTTTTCTTTCTCCTCTGTTGGCCATAGACTGGCAACTGGATCTAGAACCTTGCTCAGGTTATGTGATTATAATCACTGATAGTCATGATTCTTTGTGATGTTCCCATTGTCCGGAATTTGTCTGCAGCGAGTGTCTGTAAGCTAGCTTCTGTCCCTTTTTCATGTGATCCTGTTAATCTCTGAGTGCGCTTTTGCTTCTTGTCACAGGAATATGTCACAGCCACACCTTGTGTTTTCTCCCTATTCCTGGAACCTGAGATTTCTCCAAGGAGCACTGCTTTGTTTTCTTTTTCTTAAAGTGGGTAAAAATTATTTGCAAACAAAAATATAGATGCTGGATTTACTCATTAATATTAGAGTGCTATTTCTTCAAGAATCTTTTAGTGGTCTAAACCAATATCTATATCTATACCCACATAGATATAGATGTAATTTTATTTTTCAACTCAAATTTATAAGGTTTCTTCTTCTTTTATTTTTCTATTTGTATTTTAAACATATAAAAACCAAAATACATGAGGAAAAATTTAGATGTTTTTTCCTGCTGCAGCAAGGAAGAATGCAACCATAGAGAACCATAGGGCATCCAAAAGTGGGGAGGTAGAAAGGATACAGGGGTTTGGGGTTAAAATAGGATGATCTTGGCAGGAACTGGTCAGAATTTATAAACTAAGTGAGTTACTGCCACAGTCAGGAGTTTCACCTTTAGAAATCATGGGTTCCTGATGAGTTGTTAGATCAGTAGACCTGTCTGCTCTTCAAGAAGCTATGTAGCTGAATGAGCTGGTGTTAAAAAAAGTTTGAGCTTGGCCAATTTGTTTTGCATGCTATGATTTGGTGCAGTTTATTTGTTTTGTGAACCGCAGAACAGTTTTGCAAGTTAAGGTTTTTATTTCAATTATCAATTTCCCCTACCTGCAAACAAGAATATTTATTTATCTATTTATTTTATAAACAGTTTCACTGAGGTATAACTGACATATTTTAAATGCATTAATTTATTATATATAATTTAATGAGTTGCATACACTTAAAAAATTGTCACCACAATCAAGGTAATAGATATACCCATCCCCTCCAAGTTTCCTCATGCCTGTTTGTTGTTGCTGTTGCTATTTGCTTATGTTTTGTAACAGCATGTAACATGGATCTAGCCTCTTAGCACATTTTCAAGTGTATAATACAGTATTTTTAACTATAGCTATGCCCTATGGTTCTTATGTTGTACAGTGGATCTCTAGAATTTACTTATCTTTATGACTGAAACCTTATACCCATTGAATATACTCCCCATTTCCCTCCCCCCGAACTCTTGGCAATCAGCATTCTATTCTCTGCTTTTATGAGTCTATTTTAGATTCCACATATAAGTGAGGTCATGCAATTTTTGTCCTCTGTAACTGGCTTTATTTTTTTAGCATAATGTCCTTCAGGTTTATCCATGTTGTTTCAAATGACAGAACACACTTGTTTTTTAAAGTTGAATAATTCTCTCTCTCTCACAGACACACACACACATACACCAAATTTTCTTTATCTATTTATCTGTTGATGGACATTTGTGTTTTCTCATATCTTGGCCATTGTGAATAATGCTACAGTGAACATGGGAGTGCAGATATTTCTTTAAGATTCTGATTTTTATTCTTTTGAATATATTCCTAGTAGTGGTATTGCTGGATCATGTAGTAGGTAATTTTTTGGGAAACCTCCATACTGTTTTGCAGCGTTGCCTCACCATTTCACATTCTCAACAGTGTAAAAGGATTCCGGTTTCTCTATATCCTTATCAATGCTCATCTATTTTTTTGTAATAGCCATCCTAACAGGTAGGAGGTGATATATCACTATTGTTTTGATTTGCATTTCTCTGATTATTAGTAATGTTGAGAACCTTTTCAATATATTTTCAAAATATTGTATTTTATTTCTGAGCTCTCTATTCTGTTTCATTCATCTATGTGTCTATTTTTATGCCAGTTCCATACTGTCTTAATTACTGTAGATTTGTTATACATTTTGAAATCAGTAAGTGTGATGCCTCCAGCTTTGTTCTTCATTCTCAGGTCACTTTGACTATTCTGGGTGTTTTGTGCTAAGCTCCTGGCTTGACTTCATGGACCATCCAATATATGCAACCCCATAATTAACACATTTTCTAGTTTCCCTATCTAAAGCTTTAGACATCTTGGGGCTTTGCTGATCCTGGAGAGACTGACCCTCCCTGGGCTTGCCAGTTCTTAGAGATACTACAGGATTCTCCTGCAAGTGTGCCTTTCATATGCAAACCAACCAACCTGGAGCCCACACCCCGCCACTTTCTCTGTTGGCTCTCATTCTCTGGGCCACTATCCATCTGCCCTACTCACCGAAAGGCCAAATATCAAAAGTAAGAACAATCCCTCTGCCCCAGAGCCCACTGAAATTATTCCAGCTAGCCAGTCCTAAACCTGCTTGCCCTGCTAGTTCTAGTTCACAGTTGCTCTCGACATTTACTCCAGTTCTTTGCCTCCTTGACTGCAATTGGAACCACCTGGAGGTGGGGCGAGGCTTTAAAAAAACACTCACACTCACCCTCAACTCTAGACTTACTAAATCAGAGTCTCTGGTGATGGATCAGAGCTCAAGTTTTTAAGGAGAACCTCAATTGATGTTTATGTGCAGCAAGTATTAAGAATCACTGGTTTAGTCTTATAACATCTAAAGGAGGCCTCCTACTAGACTCTTTACTTTAGACAAGCTCTGGTCTTTGACTTTTGGCCTCTTCATAAATGCCTTCCAAACTGAAGGTCACATTCCCTTGGTTGGCAAATGCTATTAGAAAAAAAACAGCTTCAATACTCCACTTAACTCTTTGGGCGTTCACCTTCCCTTGGAATTTGGTCTTTAAGATCATTCATGACAAATTAGTCAATTTTTAATATTGCTTTTGAAAATATTAAACATTTTTGAATCCAGAATTTTCCTTTTTTTTTGAGATGGAGTCTCGCTCTGTCGCCCAGGCTGGAGTGCAGTGGCACAATCTCGGCTCACTGCAAGCTCTGCCTCCCAGGTTCACACCATTCTCCTGCCTCAGTCTCCTGAGGAGCTGGGACTACAGGTGCCCGCCACCACACCCGGCTAATTTTTTTGTATTTCTAGTAGAGAGAGACAGGGTTTCCCCCTGTTAGCCAGGATGGTCTTGATCTCCTGACCTCGTGATCCGCCCGCCTCGGCCTCCCAAAGTGCTGGGATTACAGGAGTGAGCCACCGCACCTGGCCCAGAATTTTACATTTTTAACACAAGTCTTTGTCTGAATAGAGTATTCAGATTAGTCTACCACACTCCCCAAATCCTCAGCCTAAGTTATTGCCAAAACTCATGTCTGCTCATTCTGCCACTTGCTTCTGTTCTCAAATCCATTTAGCAGTGCAGCCATGGTAGACAGTCCCAGCATGCTGCTATGTCCTCTGTAGAGAGTCTTTCTCCTTTTCTCACTCAGATGTTTCTCCAAGCTGTGAAAGGGTGTCTATTTTGCCCAAGGGCAGCTTGTGAATTCAAAATAGTTAAAGTCCCTGGGGATAAGACTCAACCAATGGAAACTGTGGGTTGTTGGATAAATAGTCCACATCAAGGGTCCCAAACCCCCAGAGCATGGTCTGTTAGAAACTGGGCCACACAGGAGGTGAGTAGGGAGAGAGCACTAAGGCCTGAGACCTGCCTCCTGTCAGATCAGCAGCAGCATTAGATTCTCATAGGAGCTTGTACACTGTTATGCACTGCACATTCCACCTTCTATGTCCATGTATGCAGATTTTTTAGCTTCCACTTATGAGTAAGAATGTGGTATTTGACTTTCGGTTTCTGAGTTGTTTCACCTAAGATAATGAACTCCAGTTCCATCCATGTTGCTGTAAAAGACATGGTTCATTCTTTTTTTAAACCAGTAATATCTTTAGCTCTCTCTCTTTCTCTCTCTCTCTTCTGTGTGTGTGTGTGCATGTGTGAACACATTTAAAATATCAAAAGTTCTTCACTAACAAAAGACCCCAGAACTCAAGAATTCCCACTAAGAGAAAAATGCTTAAAATATTCTTGGTTTCTAAGGCTTTGCTTATGTGACTACTGTAGATTTCCTGTTTTTCTTGTGTGCCTAGGAAACTAAAGCCACCTGGGAACGGTATCAAGAAGAAAGCCTGTGAAGCCTTCTAAGATGGGAAAGACAAAAGAAAGCTGGCAGGATTGTGCTTGCTAAGGTGTGACTGTGCAGTATCTGTGGCTTTTTCTGACCTCCTCCCACCCCTGCACCCAACACCCATCCTCAAACTCACATCGGATGATTCAGGCATGGCTCTGCTAACACTTTATTAAAAGCATGGATTAATTTTACTTCCAAGTTTATTTTTACTGCACCATCCCATTTGTGGAAACAACTAGCTTACTCAGCTTTTTTTTCCTTTTATAAAGGAAAGAACAGAAAAGTAAAAGGAGGAAAGAAAACAAGAGGTGAGTGAGGCAACTGAAAACTGTTCTTGGACCTGCGGTGCTATAGAGCAGGTATGTTCACTTTCTTTTAAATGCAACTTAGTTCCTAACTCAAGACTTGGTTTCTGATTCAGAGTGGTAACTGAGGAATGGGCAGGAAGGGCAGGGTGCCTGCTGCCTGGCCTGCAGGAGTCTGTGGCTGGCTTTAGTTCTGGGGAAGCTCAGCTTCTCCACTTGAACCAGTGACAGCCGGGCACGCCGCGTCCCCCTGGATGTGCTGTTCCCTGATCATCAACTCAGGACAGCAGTGAGTGGCCTGGAATGAGCCCTGGTGGGCGCCTGCCTGGCTATCTCTCTCAGGTCCTGCGGCAAGCCCCAGAATGCAGAGAACAAGGAGCTTCCAGGCAATTATACCGGAAGGGAGAGTTTCTTGTCTATCTTTCTAGTGGTCACACTTAGGAAAGCTTCAGAATAAGAGCTCTATAAATCTCTATGTAGAAATAAACTTAGGCCCCACATCACTGGTCTTTATTACTTAAAAATAATTATATAGTCCAAACTCTGTGTGTGCGTGTGTGTGTGTGTGTGTGTATGTGTGTGTGGGGAGGGGGTGGGGGAGGAGGGGGGTGTTAGTTTCCCATAGGAACATCAGAGTCTCTTGTAGCTCTTGCTAAACAGATGGATACTTAGGCCTGGGAATCTGGGTTTGAACAATCCTCTCAGTTGATTCTTTAAAAAAAAAAAAGATGAAGAATAGACACTATGTTTAAAATAAAAAAGATTTTTTTAAAAACCACCATGTCCCATGGTGGTTTGCTGCACCTATCAATCCGTCATCTAGGTTTTAAGCCCCGCATGCATTAGGTATTTGTCCTAATGCTCTCCCTCCCCTTGCCCTCCACCCACTGACAGGCCCCAGTGTGTGAGTTTCCCACCCCCACCCCCAGCGCCAACCCCCCGCCGCCCGTGTCCACATGTTCTCATTGTTCAACTCCCACTTACCAGTTAGAACACGCAGTTTTTGGTTTTCTGTTCCTGTGTTAGTTTGCTGAGAATGGGATCTAATTAAAGAGCTTCTGCACAGCAAAAGAAACTATCATCAGAGTGATCAGGTGATTCTTATGTACATCAGAGTGTGAAAACCAGTCCTGAATAGGATTGAACAGCTGTATTTCATTTAGTAGAAGTTAAAAGGTCTGTGGTTCCCACACAGCTAAGAAACCAGAGACCTGGTTTATATAAAGTTGTTTGCAGGAGCAGCCACATCTTCCTAGAGCTGCCTTTATTGTTCACTTTAAAGAAGGGACTGTACAGTTGCAGTCACTGTAATGTGATGAACACGTTACACATCACATTACAATGCATTTCACTGTGGAAATCAGGACCTCGTGTTTGATCTCCATTTTCCTTACTCCCCTCAGTGAAGAATCAGACAAGAGCAGGTTGTACAGCAACAGCGTGCTTGAACTTTACAGTTTTGCTTCCGTGAAAAATTTATTTGTAGTTTTTGTTTCTTAGTAACTTATAGTTTGTATATTTTGTTGAAATATATAATCTAATGGACCAATTGTTATTGTAATTATTGTAGTAACCTCCATTTAATTCAACATTTACTGAAATCCTATTGTGTGGTGCATGCTATGCAAAGATATAAACTTATAATGTCTCGTTTTATTATCAAAACACCCTCCAGGTTGGATGTATGATTTAACTCACAGACCCCTATAATTAACAGGCTCAGCTAGCTTGACCTCCTTGGTCAAGGCCACATAAGTAGTGAATGATAGAGCTGGTATTTTTGGTGGCATTAGATGCATCTTGAGTGTCTGACATATCAATTCTAAACTGAGTATTTGAGGCATTTGAAGACAATATTATGTTTACATTTTTCTAATTATAAGGAAATACAGGTATCATAGAAAACCATTTTAATATAATGGCAATAAAAATGTGCCAGGAGACCTACAGAATAATTGTACTTTCAATACTAAATTTATGGAATTAAACTTCACCTCTAAAAATATTACAATTAAATCCCATATGCCTTTCACCTCGATTCACCCAAAAGTGACATTGACTTTATCTCTCAAAAAGAAATCTCTCTAACTTATCTATTAATATGTATGTACATAATTTCTCTCTCTCTCTAGATATCTATAATTTATCTCCATAAATAATATGCAATATTATATGTATTGTTATTCTTATTCTTTTTCTTATTCTTGTCTGTGGGAGTAAATTGCAGAGAACCTGACCCTTCTAGGCTACGTATTTCAGCCTGTACTTGAATTCTTTAGATTCTGGACATTCTCCTGCTTCCCTTTTGGAAAGATAGCCTGTATTCTCTAGAGTTTTCTCATCCCATAGTGGATCCTTTCCCTTCTCCCTTCTATTCCCATCACTCTTCCAAACCTGTAGATAAAAGACAAACATATAAGGTCACACTGATGCATTAGAGAACAAGTTTCAGTATATGATGATCATTAAAAAGTTACTGCAGGTTGTCGATCAAAAACCTTATAGCATAACCACTGTCTTTGAGGTAGGTTATTTTGACAGATAAGTGGTTGCAGTAGCATAACACAGAGGAATAGGTTGCCCGATTATCCAGGCTTTTGTCTTTTACTCTCTTTTTTGTTGGTAAAATATACATAATAAAATTACTATTTTACTAATTAAGAAAATACTTCGGTGACATTAGTTGTGCAGCTATCTCCAGAACTTCATCATTGTAAACTGAGACTCTCTACCTTTAAACAATGATTCTGCATTCCCTCCTCCCCCAGCCCATGGTAGCTACACTTCTACTTTCTGTCTCAATGTATCTGATTATTCTAGTACCTCATACAATATTTGTTCTTTTGCGCCTGGCATATTTCACTTGGCATAATGTCTTCAAGGTGATCCATGTTGTAGCATGTGTCATAATTTCCTACATTTTTATGGCTGAATAATAGCTGATTGTAGGTATATACAACATTTTGTTCATCTATTCATCTGTTTAGAGTCATTTGAGCTGTTTTCATCTTTTGGCTATTGTGCATAATGCTGCCATAAACATTGATGTACAAATATCTGTGTGAGTCCCTGCCTTTAATTTTTTGGAGTGTATATGTAGAAGTAGAATAGCTTGATCAAATGTTAATTGTATGTTTGGTTTTCCAAGGGACCATCATACTGTTTTCATAGTGACAGTACCAGTTTGCATTCCATGAACAGTGCACACAGGTTCCAAATCCTCAACATCCTAGCTAACACCTGTTTTCAGTTTTGAAGTTTTGGGCTTTTTAAAAAAAATAACAGTCCTAATGGGTGGGTCTAACATGTACCTCATTGTAGTTTTGATTTTCATTTACCTAGTGATTAATGATGTTGAGCATGTTTTCATGTGCTTATTGGCCATTTCTTCTTTGGATAAACGTCTAGTCTACTCTATCCATTTTTGAATTTTTATTTTTGGCTATTGTTGCTATTGAGTTTTAGGAGTTCTTTATGTGTTCTATCAGAAACATGATTTGCAAATATTTTCTCCCTTTCCATAGATTGCCTTTTTACTCTGTTGATAGTGTTCTTTGATGCACAAAAGTTTTTAATTATGATGAAGTGTGGTGTATCTAATTTTTTTCACTTGTTTCCAGTGGTTTTGATATCATACACAAGAAATCATTGTGTATGACATACCAGAAATCCAAGGTAGGCAGAACAGAAACCAGAACAGGTAGCTCCCAGTCAGGTTAGTGTGTTACAAATAAGGTCTTCTTTGCTCCCTCCACTTCAAGGGAGAGAACTGGGAAGTGAAAAACCACCTCCTCCAAACTAAGACTATGTCACTGAGTGGAGTGGGCAGAACTGGCAAACAAAATGCCATGAAATCGCCTACCATTTTGAATATGCCTTTTAAAAATATTGGACATTTGCCTGGTTGCTATAGACTTATGACTGTTTTCCAGAGCTCCTATAAGATCATTTTAGCCATTTTTTTAAAGTTGTTTTGTGATGTCTCCAAGGAGAGAAAGACTTAGAACTTCCTAGCCTGCTATTTTAATCAATTGTCCAGGTTTGTAAGCCGGGTTCTATGATTTCTGCATTCATCCTTTGTAAGACTCGTGATATCATTTGTGTATTTGTGGCTATAATAATCTACAACTTGCAGATTTTTGTGTCAGTGGGGTTGGATACTTAAGGCATGCATCACAGGACTTGGAGTATTAGTGGGCCCCCTATTATGGTAACAATTACTTGGATTTTAATAGTACTACTGAAGTAAAACTTTAAAGAAGATAATGTTCCATGTTTCATCACTTAATATCATTACAGACTTGGGAGAGTGATAAAAGAAGCCTTGTGCAGTCAGCTAATGCTAGATTACATGTTGTCCAGTAGAAACACAGAAGTCTCATTAGTCCTATGTTGATGGGTGCTTGGGAAACACTGAGACAGAGAATGACAATGTAACGTTATTTCTACTGGGAGGCTCTTCTAGGTTGGCAGTTGCCATGGAATCTGGACCCAAAATGTTGGCCCCCGTTTGCCTGGTGGAAAATAACAATGAGCAGCTATTGGTGAACCAGCAAGCTATACAGATTCTTGAAAAGATTTCTCAGCCAGTGGTGGTGGTGGCCATTGTAGGACTGTACCGTACAGGGAAATCCTACTTGATGAACCATCTGGCAGGACAGAATCATGGTAAGTGGTATCCTGGGACACAGGCCAGTTGCTTGATTCCAGCTATATCTCAGCTTCTTGATTCTCTACCCCAGAGCACATGAAGGTAGACTCCAATTCCTTTCAATAAACCAACCTTCTCATTCCAATTCTTACCACCAAACCACTACCTTACGATAATCCATTCTCATATTTTTTCCCTCATTCCCATTAAGGAAACTCTACATTACTAGTGCCCAGAATCCTACCTTCCCTTGTGTATTCAAGTCCTGGGCTCCTGTAATTGTGTCTCCTTTGTCTTATAACATATTTTGCTTTCCTCATGTAATATTCCCATCAACATACAAAGATGTTTTAATCTATGTAATCTTGAAAACGCTTCCTGAATTCCACATCCCATGTGGCCACCAACTTCTGTTTTGTTTTTGTGTTTGTTTTAGTTTTTAATCACTTTTCAATGCAAAAAAAGATCTCAATTTCCCTTTTTGAGTTTTTTCCTTCTCGTGTCTTTCTTCAACCCACTCTTCTCTGACTTTGAACCCCACCACTTTTCAAGATGTTCCTGTTATCAGTGACCTCCTCTTTGTCTGATTCATAGATTTCTCTTTGTCTCCATTTTGAGCCGTTACTTGGCATCATTCTCACATTTAATGTCCCTCGCTTTTTTATATAGATTATTCACAAAGTAAGCCATTCTTGAGGAAATACAGAAAGGACCATCATGTATGTTGGGGTAGTTACAATCCAACCAGTCTGATGCTGTGGCCCCAGGGCGGCTTGGCTGCTCTGCTGTCCCTGTGCTTAGCTTCCTCCTCTTCCCTGCAGGCTTCCCTCTGGGCTCCACGGTGCAGTCTGAAACCAAGGGCATCTGGATGTGGTGCGTGCCCCACCCATCCAAGCCAAACCACACCCTGGTCCTTCTGGACACCGAAGGTCTGGGCGATGTGGAAAAGGTAAGACAGAGAGTCATAGACAGGTTCCTTTTATTCCAGACGTGATCCTTGTAATTAAACTGTTGTGATCTATTTGTGCAAACTAGAAATCCAACTATAGCAAATAAGGCAAACTTTGACCTGTTTGAATCACACTTCTAGACAAGGTTAGATATCATGGTATATTAGGTAAAACATTCTTTTATTTCTTGGCACAGTGGTGAATGATTTGATTCAATTTGATAAAAGGTTGTTAAGCAGTTGAGTTCCAGGCCTTGGGGCTGAGTAGCATAGACATTGGTGAACAAAGTAAAGGTCCTGCCCACAAAGAGCCTTCAGGATGTAGTGTGACTGGGAAAGAAGCAGGTTGCTGAGAGGGAGGAGATGGGAATGCAATGCAATCCCTGCCCTCTGTCAATTCCATAGGGAACTCTGTGGCTGGAATGGCCCTTTTGAGTTATCATGTTTTGGGACAAGGGTGCTAGGCCTTCATCCCTGGTGCTGGTCAATCACTGGAAGTCTGCCCTGGAAAACTTTCTCATTAAGAGAGCTGACACCTGTGATCCAGGCAGCACCTCACAGCTTTCACCACATACAGTTGTGTATAACAGTGCTTTGATAAGAAAGAGAAGAGGTATTGACTCCAATCTCAGGAGATGAGGAGAGGCCTCTCACCCACCTTCTGAGCTACCATGTGAAGAGTACATTTGAGGGTTGGAATTAGGAGAGTTCAGTTTATATTTCTCATGATGAAGCTCATCAATTACCCACAGAGCATTCTGGAAGGCTTTGAGACATTTCTGATTGTGCTCATCATAAAAAAGTATTTGTTCTTCCTACAATAAACATTATAAGATGAATTTTTGATATTTAGCTTCTTATGAATGGGTGAAATAAATAATTTCTCTCTTTTATTATCTTACTTTGAGAGTTATTTGGGAATGGGTTCTAAATTTCTATACACTTTATTTTTGCCCAAACAGGCGTTAGAAATTCTGTTTATTTTTCTGCTTTAGTGTTGTATAATTGACAAATAAAAATTATATATAATTAAGCTGTACAACTTAATGTTTTGGTATGTGTATACACTGTGAAATGATCACCACAATCCAGCCAATAATATAGCTGTTACCTCACATAGTTACCGTTTTCTTTTTTCTATGCTCTCTTTTTATTTTTTGGTGTGGTAAGAACAATTAAGATCTGTCCTCTTAGCGGAAGTGAAGGTCACAATCAATATAGTATTGTTACTTATAGTCACACTGCTGTACGGTAGATCTCCAGAGTTTATTTATCTTTCATAACTGAAATTTTGAACTCTGTCACCAACATTTCTTCATTTCTCGCATCCCCAGCCCCTGGCAACCACTATTATACTCTGCTGCTATGAGTTTAACTATTTGACTATTTTAGATTCCACAAATAGGTGAGATCATGCAGTATTTGTCTTTCTATGTCTGACTTATTTCACTTAGCATAACGACCTCAGTGTTCATCTATGTTGTTGCAAATGACAAAATTCCCTTTTTTGAGATTGAATATATATAGACGGATTCGCAGCTGAATTCTACCAGAGGTACAAGGAGGAGCTGGTACCATTCCTTCTGAAACTATTCCAATCAATAGAAAAAGATGGAATCCTCCCTAACTCATTTTATGAGGCCAGCATCATCCTGATACCAAAGCCTGGCAGAGACACAACAACAAAAAAAGAGAATTTTGGACCAATATCCCTGATGAACATCAATGCAAAAATCCTCAATAAAATACTGGCAAACCGAATCCAGCAGCACATCAAAAAGCTTATCCACCATGATCAAGTGGGCTTCATCCCTGGGATGCAAGGCTGGTTCAACATATGCAAATCAATAAACATAATCCAGCATAAAAAGAGAACCAAACACAAAAACCACATGATTATCTCAATAGATGCAGAAAAGGCCTTTGACAAAATCCAACAGCTCTTCATGCTAAAAACTCTCAATAAATTAGGTATTGATGGGACGTATTTCAAAATAATAAGAGCTATTTATGTCAAACCCACAGCCAATATCAGACTGAATGGACAAAAACTGGAAGCATTCCCTTTGAAAACTGGCACAAGACAGGGATGCCCTCTCTCACCACTCCTATTCAACATAGTGTTGGAAGTTCTGGCCAGGGCAATAAGGCAGGAGAAAGAAATAAAGGGTATTCAATTAGGAAAAGAGGAAGTCAAATTGTCCCTGTTTGCAGATGACATGATTGTATATCTAGAAAACCACATCATCTCAGCCCAAAATCTCCTTAAGCTGATAAGCAACTTCAGCAAAGTCTCAGGATACAAAATCAATGTGCAAAAATCACAAGCATTCTTACACACCAATAACAGACAAACAGAGAGCCAAATCATGAATGAACTCCCATTCACAATTGCTTCAAAGAGAATAAAATACCTAGGAATCCAACTTACAAGGGATGTGAAGGACCTCTTCAAGGAGAACTACAAACCACTGTGCAATGAAATAAAAGAGGACACAAACAAATGGAAGAGCATTCCATGCTCATGGATAGGAAGAATCAATATTGTGGAAATGGCCATACGGCCCAAGGTAATTTATAGATTCAATGCCATCCCCATCAAACTACCAATGACTTTCTTCAGAGAATTGGAAAAACTACTTTAAAGTTCATATGGAACCAAAAAAGAGCCCACATTGCCAAGACAGTCCTAAGCCAAAAGAACAAAGTTGGAGGCATCATGCTACCTGACTTCAAACTATACTACAAGGCTACAGTAACCAAAATAGCATGGTACTGGTACAAAAACAGAGATATAGATCAATGGAACAGGACAGAGCTCTCAGAAATAATACCACACATCTACAACCATCTGATCTTTGACAAACCTGACAAGAACAAGAAATAGGGAAAGGATTCCCTATTTGATAAATGGTGCTGGGAAAACTGGCTAGCCATATATAGAAAGCTGAAACTGGATCCCTTCCTTACACCTTATACAAAAATTAATTCAAGATGGATTAAAGACTTAAATGTTAAGCCTAAACCCATAAAAACTCTAGAAGAGAACCTAGGCAATACCATTTAGGACATAGGCATGGGCAAAGACTTCATGTCTAAAACACCAAAAGCAATGGCAACAAAAGCCAAAATTGACAAATGGGATCTAATTAAACTAAAGAGCTTCTGCACAGCAAAAGAAACTACCATCAGAGTGAACAGGCAACCTACAGAATGGGAGAAAATTTTTGCAATTGACTCATCTGACAAAGGGCTAATATCCAGAATCTACAATGAACTCAAACAAATTTACAAGAAAAAAACAAACAACCCCATCAAAAAGTGGGCAAAGGATATGAACAGACACTTCTCAAAAGAAGACATTTATGCACCCAGCAGACACATGAAAAAACGCTCATCATCACTGGCCATCAGAGAAATGCAAATCAAAACCACAATGAGATACCATCTCACACCAATTAGAATGGTGATCATTAAAAAGTCAGGAAGCAACAAGTGCTGGAGAGGATGTGGAGAAATAGGAACACTTTTACACTGTTGGTGGGACCGTAAACTAGTTCAACCATTGTGGAAGACAGTGTGGCGATTCCTCAAGGATCTAGAACTAGAAATACCATTTGACCCAGCCATCTCATTACTGGGTATATACCCAAAGGATTATAGATCATGCTGCTATAAAGACACATGCACATGTATGTTTATTGCGGCACTATTCACAGTAGCAAAGACTTGGAACCAACCCAGATGTCCATCAGTGATAGACTGGATTAAGAAAATGTGGCACATATACACCATGGAATACTATGCAGCCATAAAAAATGATGAGTTCATGTCCTTTGTAGGCACATGGATGAAGCTGGAAACCATCATTCTCAGCAAACTATCACAAGGACAAAAAACCAAACACCACATGTTCTCACTCATAGGTGGGAATTGAACAATGAAAACACTTGGACACAGGGTGGGGAACATCACACACCAGGGCCTGTCGTGAGGTGGCAGGAGCAGGGAGGGATAGCATTAGGAGATATACCTAATGTAAATGATGAGTTAATGGGTGCAGCACACCAACATGGCACATGTATACATATGTAACAAACCTGCATGTTGTGCACATGTACCCTAGAACTTAAAGTATAATAAAAATATATAAATTATATATATATTCAATAAATATATATATGCATGCTATGGATAGTTTGGCTGTGTCCTCACCCAAATCTCATCTTGAATTGTAGTTCCCATAATCCCCGCATGTCGTGGGAGGGACCTGGTGGGAGGTAATTGAATCATGTGGGTGGTTTCCCCATGCTATTCTCGTGATAGTGAGTAAGTTCTCATGAGAGCTGATCATTTTATAAGGGGATTCCCCCTTTACTTGGCTATCATTCTTCTCTCTCCTGCTACCATGTGAAGAAGGATGTGTTTGCTTCCCCTTCCACCATGATTGTAAGTTTCCTGAGGCCTCCCTAGCCATGCTGACCTGTGAGTCAAACCTCTTTCCTGTGTAAATTGTCCAGTCTCGTGTATGTCTTTATTGGGCAGCATGAGAACGGACTAGAGCAATGCACATACATGTACTCTACATTTTCTTTTTCTGTTCATGCATTGATGGACATTCGGGTAGTTTCCATATCTTGGCTATTGTGAATAATGCTGCAATTATTATGGATATATTTAAATATTCATACTTCCATATTTAAATATAAATATAAATATGAAAGTACAGATATCTCGTTAAAATACTGATTTAATTTCATTTGGATTTATACATAAAAGTAAGATTGTTGGATCACATGGTAGTTCTATTTTTAATTTTTTGAGGGACCTCCATACTTTTTCCATAATAGCTGCATGAATTTACACTCCAAAAAACAGCAAATGTTCTCTTATTTTATATTCTTGCCGACAATTGTTATTTTTAACTCCTTTGGTAATAGCCATCTTAAATGTGTCAGGTGATATCTTATTTTTGTTTTAATTTGCATTTCCTTGATAATTAGCTATTTTGTACACCTTTATATATACATATTAGCCATTTGTACGTCTTCTTTTGAGAAATGTGTATTCAGGTTCTTTACTCATTTTTTTACTGTTTATTTTAACTTCAGCGGTACATGTGCAAGATGTGCAGGTTTGTTACATAGATAAACATATGTCATGGGGGTTGGTTGTACAGGTTATTTTATCACCCAGGTATTAAGCCTAGTATCCATTAGTTATTTTTCCTGCTTCTCTCCCTCTTCCCCTCCCACACCCTCCCCTAATCCCCAGTGTGTGTTGTTCCCCTCTATATGTCCGTATGTTCTTATCATTTAGTTCCCACTTACAAGTGAGAACATGCAGTGTTTGGTTTTCTGTTCCTGCATTAGTTTGCTAAGGATAATGCCCTCCAGGCCCATCCATGTCCTTGAAAAGGACATGATTTTGTTCTTCTTTACAGCTGCATAGTATTTTATTGTGTTTATGTACCACATTTTATGTATCCAGTCTATCATTGATGGGCATTTAGGTTGATTCCATGTCTTTGCTATTATGAACAGTGCTGTAATGAAAGCAAGACATACATGTGGCCAACAATCATATGAAAAAAAAGCTCGACATCACTGATCATTACAGAAATCCAAATGGAAACCACAGTAAGATACCATCTCACACCAGTCAGAATAGGGTATTAATAAAAAGTCAAAAAATTACAGATACTGGTGAGGCTGTGGGCTTTTACACCATTAGTGGAAGTGTAAATTAGTTCAACCATTGTGGAAGACAGTATGGCAATTCCTCAGAGAGCTAAAGACAGAACTACCATTCAACCTAGCAATCCCATTACTGGGTATACACCCAAAGGAACGCAAATCATTCTATTATAAAGACACATGCATGCATAAGTTATTGCAGCACCTTTGCTCATTTTTAATGAGGTATAAGGATTTTTTTTTGCTATTGAGTTATATAAGTTCCTCATGTATTTTGGATATTAGCCCCTTATCAAATATATGGTTTGCAAATATTTTTCTCCTATTCCATTGGTTGCATTTTCACTCCGCTGATTGTTTCCTTTGTTACCTGAAGCATTTTAATTTGACGCAGTCTCACTTGTCTAATTTTGCTTTTGTCACCTGTGCTTTCGGTGTCATATCCAAAAACATCATTGCCCAAACCAATGTCAAGTTTTTTCCTTGTATATTCTTCTGGTATTTTTACGGCTTCATATCTTTTTTTTCCCCTTCTATCTAACTAAAATTTTGTATCCTTTGACTAACATTTTCCAACCTTCCTGTTCCCCTCTCCACTAGCCCCTCGTAACCATCATTCTACTTTCTACTGCTATGAGTTCAACTCTTTTAGATTTCACATATAAGTAAAATCATGCAGTGTTTGTCTTTCTGTGCCTGGCTTATTTAACTTAGCTTAACATCCTCTAGATTCCTCCAGGTTGTTGCCAATGACAGGATTTCCTTCTTTTTGAAGGCTTAATAGTATTTCATTGTGTATAGATTTCACATTTTTTAAAATTCATTCATCTGTTAATGGAAACAGATTGACTCCATGCCTTGGCTATTGTGAATAGTACAGCAATAAATATAAAAGAACAGATATCTCTTTGACATAGTCATTTCATTTTCCTTGGATATATACACAGCAGTGGGATTTCTGGATCCAGTTTCTGGTTTTCCATTTAAGTCTTTAATCCATTTTCAGTTGTTTTTGTGTATGGTGTGCAATAGGATCAAATATTGCTCTTCTGCATACATGTGGATATCTGTTTTCCCAGCACCATTTATTGAGGGGACCATCCTTTCTTCAATATAAGTTCTCAGCACATTAGTCAAAAATGAGTTCGCTGTGGATGTATACATTTATTTCTGCATTGTCTAGTCTGTTCCATTGATCTATATGTCTGTTTTTATGCCAGCATCATACTATTTTGACTACTGTGGCTTTGCAATATATATTGAAATCAAGAAATATGATGCCCCCAGCTTTGTTCTTCTGGTTCAAGATTACTTTGATTATTCAGAGCATTTTGCGATTCTGTATTAATTTTAGGATTTTTTTATATTTATTTAAGAATATTATTGGGGCCAGGTTGAGACAGCGGAGGTGGCTTGAGGCTAGGAGTTAGAAACCACTGTGGGCAACATAGTGAAAGCCCATCTCCACAAAAAAGAATAATAATAAACAAAATGTCTTTGGGATTTTTATAGAAACTTTAAAGTCGTCTATCAAACAGTGATATACTCCTGTCTAAATAGTTTATTGTTTGTCACGAGTCCCACTTCTAAGAAGAATCCTCATTGATTACTTTTTTAAAAATTAAGGAGTGGGGGACATAAAAAAATGAATAGGCTATTCTTCCTACCTCCAAAATCCCATATAGAATCTCCTGGAATTATGTAGAAATCTCTAGATCTCAGTTTTTATATTTGCTTTAGGAACCAGTTACACATGCTTTTTAGGATAGAAATAATTCCTGGACTATGTATAATTTAGACATGCTATAGTTTATAAAAACAAATTTAGCCTGACCTTTAGTGTCCTTAATCAACCAGGTACTGGAGCTCCCTATTCAGTCTTATCTTCTGCACTTACCCTCTGCTCAGTCAGGCCAATAAACTCTATTCTTATTGCAAAGACTCCTGAAATCTACAATCTCTAATTTTGTTTCTGTGGGTCTTTCTACTTGCAGAATCACCTTCATTTCTTCAAATCCACATTCTATCGATTTTTTAACATTCAGCTCGTGACTTCCAGGAAACCCTCATATCACATACACTCTTCAATTTTCATAGCTCTTATCTTCCTGGATAGACTTGTAATTTTTAATTTAACATTATAGCTATGGGTTCCACTTCTTATGTACATTACTAAGATGTTATCTATAAATATTGCCATTTTTATTGAATTCATCATTATGAAAGTTTGTCACAGCTTTGAAATAGTCATCATGACAGTAAATTTATTAAATTTGCTTTTCTAAACATAAGAACAGTGAGAAACATTCTTCAGTTTCCTATAAGTGTTTGCTGAATTTAATTGAATATAATTACAATCCCCAGTTATGCATACTATGGTATGGTTTTTATATGTGATGCATGGCCAATAAATATGTGTAGACTGAAGAAGTGTTAACACTCATCATGAATATCCAACTGAAAACCAGATATTGTACTAGTTTTTCCATATATGCATCTTATTTCATCCAACTGAGGAAAAGAAAAACCCTATGAAGATTAGAATCCTTTTATATGTAAAGAAATTGTGATTAGAAGACATATTGTAACAAACTGTTGTTTACATTCATGTCTATGTTCTTTGTACAGCAAGTACATTAGCTGAAATCATAAGTGAAAGACTGACAAAATAAATGTCTCAGTGAATTTCTAAAGACTACACTCCTAAGTCCTTTGCTCTAATGTGCTTTTTAGGGTGACCCTAAGAATGACTCCTGGATCTTTGCCCTGGCTGTGCTCCTGTGCAGCACCTTTGTCTACAACAGCATGAGCACCATCAACCACCAGGCCCTGGAGCAGCTGCAGTATCCTTCCAGGAACAGAACAGAACCACCAGGTTTCATTGACTTTATAGGAATGGAGATCAAGTCATTTCCTCCTTCCCTTTGATGTAATTACCTGTGGTGCAGCACAGGGAACCCAAGACAAAAGAGAGTGTTTATAATATTTTTATAAAAGAAATGTGTGAATTGTGGGCAGACAGTTGCTTTTCCTTACCTAAGTCCTAGTTATGTGACGGAGCTCACAGAACTAATTAAGGCAAAGTCCTCCCCAAGGCCTGATGGAGTAGAAGATTCCACAGAGTTTGTGAGTTTCTTCCCAGACTTTCTTTGGACAGTACGGGATTTCACTCTGGAGCTGAAGTTGAACGGTCACCCTATCACAGAAGATGAATACCTGGAGAATGCCTTGAAGCTGATTCAAGGTATCAGAATGTGGCCTGGGCTGTGGGTGGTCCACTGGGTGTGTGATCTGCTAAACACTGCCCATCATCTCTGGGGTTTCATTTGTATTTGAGACTAGATTGAGGTCTGTAGAAACGGGGACTGAGGGGTATGTTGAAGAGCTCTAGGAATGGAGCCTAGTTCACTTAAGAAAAGTAGAGTCTAAAGTGCAGATAAATTATTCAAGACAGATTTGTTCTTTGTACAATTAGTACCTCAGCATTCAGATTACAATGGGTGCTAAGACTTTCTAATAACAAGATGCTTGTGATCTGTGTTTTGCCCTCTGCTTTTCTGTGTTTAGAAAATGATTGACCAGATAATTGTTAGACATGAAATTACAATGAAAAGCCTATCTAATAAAAATATAAATGTGTGTGTTAGTCCATTTTGCATTGCTATAAAGGAATGCCTGAGCCTGGGTAATTTATAAAGAAAAGAAGTTTATTTGGCTCATAGTTCTGCAGGCTGTACAAGCATGGCACCAGCATCTGCTTCTAGTCAGGACCCCAGGAAGCTTTTATTAATGGTGGAAGGTGAAGGGGGCAGCTGGTGTGTCACATGGTGAGAAAGGGAACAACAGAGGGGGGTGGTCTCAGACTTTTAACAACCAGATCTTGTGTGAACTCATTACCACAAGGATGGTAACAAGGTATTCATGAGAAATCTGCCCCTGTGACCCAAACACCTCCCACTAGGCCCACCTCCAACATTGGGGGGGGGGGGTCATATTTCAACATGAGATTTGGAGGGGACACACATCCAAAATACATCAACATGTTACACAGATATTATTCTTCTCATGGAGGGATATAACTTTTCAATATCCATATAGTTATATCATCTACAAAAATGATTTTGTTTTCTAAAGCAACCTGAAGAAGCACGTCTTTACAATCTGTGCCTTTTCAAAATTTCTGATAATTGTCGGAATATTCATTTTACTTTCTATGTTATGATTTTTCTCTTAAACCCAACATATGTATCCATGCTAGAATTTCATAATAATTGTTTTAATGGGTTACATTTATCTGAGTGTGTATCTGATAAAACCTTATGAGAAATATCAATTCCAGTGAACTCGTTGTTGCTTTCATTTTTCTATTTATGCTTTCTTGAAACATTTCTTAAAAATTCATAGGCAGAAGAGCAATACTGTCAAATCGAATACAGTCTTTTAAGAGTTTATAAAGAAGTGATGATTATCTTAAAACTACCTTCTTGGCTGGGCAAGGTGACTTGCACCTGTAGTGTCAGCACTTTGGAAGGAAGAGGTGAAAGGATTATTTGAGCTCAGGAGTTTGAGACCAGACTGGGCAACATAGTGAGACCCTGTCTCTATAAAAACTAGAACAAATCAGCTGGTGTCATGGTGCACACCTGTAGTCTCAACTACTAAAGAGGCTAAGGTGGAAGGATCACTTGAGCCTAGGAAATCAAGGATGCAGTAAGCCGTGATTGTGCCACTGCCCTCTAGCCTGGGCAATAGAGCAAGACCTCGTTTCGAAAAAACAAAACAATACAAGATTATATTCTTGTTACATTTAGTCTTCAGAGGATTTTACTAAAAAATAGCTAACATTATACAAATTCTTTTAGCATCAATGTGCACAGAAGTATTTAATTTTTATGTTAAAGGAGGTCTGTAAGCATAGAAGATGGCAAAAAGACAATACACCCTATCAAAAATACCTTTAGCTCCCTTATACCAAGACTGTTTTCACTATATTCTCTGTTTTTTTTTATCCCTCAGGCAATAATCCCAGAGTTCAAACATCCAATTTTCCCAGGGAGTGCATCAGGCGTTTCTTTCCAAAACGGAAGTGTTTCGTCTTTGACCGGCCAACAAATGACAAAGACCTTCTAGCCAATATTGAGAAGGTGTCAGAAAAGCAACTGGATCCCAAATTCCAGGAACAAACAAACATTTTCTGTTCTTACATCTTCACTCATGCAAGAACCAAGACCCTCAGGGAGGGAATCACAGTCACTGGGAATCGTGAGTCTCCTTTTTACTTTTCTGTGGGGCCTCATGTGTGTTGAATATATTGTATAATGTGTTTCTCAGAATTTTTGTTAGATTCCATATAGAAAAACTACGTGTATACAGGTATTCACACTCAGTGAAGAAATGTGTATAATTATCACACTTATTGCAATTTACAAATTCCTCTCCAATATTGCAAACTCTGTCACTGATATCTGTGGCTTCCACATATCTGAAAAAAATCCCCCACTGATAAAATAACTAACTGAATATAAAAACATCTATAATATTTTCTTAGGGGAAATATTTTCTAAGTCCTATGTGTTCAGTATTCTTTGCCAAGAGAATAGAAAAGATATGTTCAAGTTTAAAAACCTCTAGAAGGCTGAGGGTGGTGGTTCACACCTGTAATCCCAGTACTTTGGGAGGCAGAGGCACGCAGATCGCTTGAGCTCAGGAGTTTGAGACCAGCCTGAACAACATGGTGAAACCCCATCTCTACAAAAAATACAAAAACTAGCTAGTCATGGTGGCACATACTTGTATTCCCAGCTACTTAGGAGGCTGAGGCAGGAGAATCACTTGAGTCTGGGAGGCGGAGGTTGTAGTGAGCCGAGATCACACCACTGCACTCCAGCCTGGGCCTCAAAAAAAAAAAAAAAAAAAAAAGTCTAGAAATAAATAAATATTAGCCCATAATTCCCTGAAAATACATTGGTAGCTTCAGAATTAGGAATAAATGTGATATGATTTACCCTGCCTCATTTTATCTGTGTAAACTACTTTTCTTGTAATTTTTTAAATGAGAAATTGTACTTCCTGCATACCCTCTAGTATGTTAGATACAAGTAGATATTTAAATTTTTTAGCACTGTGGACTGGAGATCCATAAAATTGAAGAGTCATTATGAAAATAAGAGTGATAATAGCAGAAGGAGGTAGGGATGTGGGTGTATGTGTTTGCATGTGTGCACGCGCGTGTATGTAAGTGCATGTGTGTGCTCAGAAATGTAGCCTAGGATCCCACTGAGCTTTAATTTCATATTTAGCCCCTAAATCTCCTGGTTCATTTAGGTCTGGGAACTCTGGCAGTGACTTATGTAGAGGCCATCAACAGTGGAGCAGTGCCTTGTCTGGAGAATGCAGTGATAACTCTGGCCCAGCGTGAGAACTCAGCGGCCGTGCAGAGGGCAGCTGACTACTACAGCCAGCAGATGGCCCAGCGAGTGAAGCTCCCCACAGACACGCTCCAGGAGCTGCTGGACATGCATGCGGCCTGTGAGAGGGAAGCCATTGCAATCTTCATGGAGCACTCCTTCAAGGATGAAAATCAGGAATTCCAGAAGAAGTTCATGGTAATTTGCCTTAGTCATTACTGTTCATCATCCTTCCCCTTGAAGAATGAAGCCTATAGTTGCCTTTATTGTCACCAATGCTCATCTGTCACTGAGGAATAACTTATTGTGGATTCTCATGAGGGATAGAGTTTCAAAAGACTACATATAAGCACTTAACTAGAAAATCTTCTGATAACTGAGGTAAAATCAATACAGATCACTTAAGATCCTCAAGTGAACACTTCTAAGGATTCCAGGCCTGCTCTGAACACGCACAAGTCATCCCTGAGCAGTGCACTTTTTCTGTGCATAGTTTACCTTTCCCAGGAAACAAAGATTCTCTTACCAGATCGTAATTCCGGGCCATTGTTCAACTTACATTGCTCCTTCTTGTATCCTTGTACCATTGAGGACAGGAACACAGGATGATACCATTGCAACAAACCATAGAGATTATGGAATGTAGTCTCATCATGTCACAGATAAGGAACCTGAAGCTCAGGAAGATTAATGAACTTTTCCATAGCCTTGAAGAGAATTTCTAGCATTGTAAATGTATGAAGTTTTGTGTTTCTGATTCCACATCTACTCCACTAGAATGTTTTTCTCATGAGGACCACAGTTAGATTGACTCTACCACCAGATTCTTTAGAATTTCATCTCCTCCATGTTTCTTCTGGTGACATCTCTCTACATTTCCCTTGCAGGAAACCACAATGAATAAGAAGGGGGATTTCTTGCTGCAGAATGAAGAGTCATCTGTTCAATACTGCCAGGCTAAACTCAATGAGCTCTCAAAGGGACTAATGGAAAGTATCTCAGCAGGAAGTTTCTCTGTTCCTGGAGGGCACAAGCTCTACATGGAAACAAAGGAAAGGATTGAACAGGACTATTGGCAAGTTCCCAGGAAAGGAGTAAAGGTAAGGAATAAGGGGAGCATGGGGAAGTTTATAGGATAGAGTGAATGGAGTCTTCAGCACCAGCCGTGGGTAATAAGAGAGCAGAGGGATAGCATAACGCCTTAGCTTTCAATGTCCACTAATTAATATTTATTTCTTAGAATAAAAATTTTTATTCCAAAACAAAGAGTATAGTATTCAGAAATCCAGGAGAGACAGAATGAAAATTACCACCTAGGTGGTGGTAATAAACATAATAGTAGTAATAATACAACTAACTCACGAGCTGTTATTACCTACAGTATACTGTTAAATTCTTCCCCAGACATTTTAATTTCATCTTCCTAATGACTTTAAGAAGCACCTTTATTTGGAAATTTTACAGATCTGAACTTAGTACCCAAGGATGATTACATAACTTGCCTAAAGTTCTAGCCAGCAAGTGGCAGGAGAAAGCAACAGCATAGATTAGAGGCAGCATTGCACACTGGAAGACAGACATGTATAAGCATCAGAGATTGGGAGTTTGTACACCTGTGCACATAGTTCTGCCTGGCCGGAACCCAAAACGGGTACAGGGAGATATTACAGCAGTGGGAAAGGCACTGGAGGGAGACAGGAAGCAGGAATTGAGGAGGGGCTCTGGTCACCCTAAAGAGCCCGCACACTTTGTAGGGGGCCACTTTAGAATTTTAGGCATAAAGCAAAAGTTACAAGACCATAATTGTTCTTGCAACACTAATACCCAGAACATAGATTTTCAAAGAAATCTAAGTGCTTTTTCTTCCTTCCATAGGCAAAAGAGGTCTTCCAGAGGTTCCTGGAGTCACAGATGGTGATAGAGGAATCCATCTTGCAGTCAGATAAAGCCCTCACTGATAGAGAGAAGGCAGTAGCAGGTATGGGGCAGGGCTCAGCTTACACAGGAGGGGTACGTTTATACAATGCCCTCTAACAGATCTAACAGGAAAACCTTCCCAAAATGAGGAATTTCCTCTTCTGTGGAACACACACTCTGCTAAATCTTAAAATAACAAGGGGAGCTATGATTGTACATCAGCCAGACAGGCAGAGCCTTTCCCATCACATTCTCAAATGCGCTCTTAATGGTGTGGACCTGGGTGAATTCTGTGATTTCTCACCCTGCCTTTCAGATTTGGTTTAGTCTCAGCTCAGAAAAGTGGAGATGAATCTTCACCTATTATTTTCTTCTCTTTCTAATACCTTCATGGAGCAGTGGATCGGGCCAAGAAGGAGGCAGCTGAGAAGGAACAGGAACTTTTAAAACAGAAATTACAGGAGCAGCAGCAACAGATGGAGGCTCAAGATAAGAGTCGCAAGGAAAACATAGCCCAACTGAAGGAGAAGCTGCAGATGGAGAGAGAACACCTACTGAGAGAGCAGATTATGATGTTGGAGCACACGCAGAAGGTAAGTCTGCCCTTGGCCTCAGCAGGCCAGACGGTCCTCACCCAGGTACCTCAGGAAGGGCTGGTGAAGGTTACAGCAACATCATGAAAGGAAGCACATCACCATTTGCTGCTTGGCAATCACTAAAAGCCCTGAATCCTTTTTTTCTTAATTGTTTCAGTAAGACTTGGAATTCTTCTCTATATTCTCTATACTTAGATTCTGGAGAGGTAAGGTTGACTATGATCCCTACAAGTCCTTGGGGAATATAAATAGGGTCGAAGCTGCTGTTTTGGGAGATTTTAAAAGTAATCTCAAGAAGTTAAACATATGTTCCACACAGTGTATTTGATGTGAACAGCAGCTGGTTTCCTTCACCAAGACCACATATTACCAGGAGCTCTAGTACCATCCAAACACCCTGAGGTAGATCCATGCTGACATACAACTCTTAGAAATTTCCAGACTTAAAAGGACAGGAAAGGGACAGTTTCTAAACTTGCTGCAGTTGTCACCCTGTATAGGTAGCCTGCCCAAATTAGCACACAGTGTAGGGAGAATTCTTGCATTGTCCATCTGAAAGTTCTCTCATAAGGGATTTCTACATCAGCTTATAAGTTTTTGGTATTCCTACAATATGGGTGACCATGCTGCCCAACTGGGACTGAGAATTTATGCAATCAGACCAATGGCTACCTCCTAACTGGCATCTTTTGGGCAGGAACATGTAGAATTTGTCCTCATACCTAGGTTAGCACCATAGCAAAACCATAATGGTGGGTGGATATTAGTAAAGTTATAAACTATGCTTCCTCACAATGTCTAGGTCCAAATTCTCCTCTAATAACTGAGAAAATGTTTTTAGGAGTAAAATAAAGTTTCACACAGGTTTTAAATACAAAATGTAAGTCTTAAAAGAATAGGGATTTTTAAAAATTTACTTTCCTTCCTACATTGTCTTTAGGTCCAAAATGATTGGCTTCATGAAGGATTTAAGAAGAAGTATGAGGAGATGAATGCAGAGATAAGTCAATTTAAACGTATGATTGATACTACAAAAAATGATGATACTCCCTGGATTGCACGAACCTTGGACAACCTTGCCGATGAGCTAACTGCAATATTGTCTGCTCCTGCTAAATTAATTGGTCATGGTGTCAAAGGTGTGAGCTCACTCTTTAAAAAGCATAAGCTCCCCTTTTAAGGATATTATAGATTGTACATATATGCTTTGGACTATTTTTGATCTGTATGTTTTTCATTTTCATTCAGCAAGTTTTTTTTTTTTTTCAGAGTCTTACTCTGTTGCCCAGGCTGGAGTACAGTGGTGCAATCTCAGCTCACTGCAACCTCTGCCTCCTGGGTTCAAGAGATTCACCTGCCTCAGCCCCCTAGTAGCTGGGATTATAGGTGTACACCACCACACCCAGCTAATTTTTGTATTTTTAGTAGAGATGGGGTTTCACTATGTTGGCCAGGCTGGTCTCGAACTCTTGACCTCAAATGATCCACCCGCCTCGGCCTCCCAAAGTGCTGGGTTTACAGGCATGAGCCACCATGCCCAGCCCTCATTTAGCAAAGTTTTAAACATAAAAAGTGCTTATTAGAGGATATCAGTGCCTGGCCCACATGAGAGAACAGATCCATACACACTTTGAAAAACTTTGTTCACTTTTAGGAAATATAATTTTGAAAAATCATTTACATACAAGAGGTCCACTGAGGCATTGCTTTTAATGGCAAAATATTGCAATGTACTTGAATGTCCTTCACATTAGATTGGTAAGATAAATTTTAGTATGTGCATGTACTGGAATATTATATAGCCAGTAAACAAATTGACAATGAAGCTCTATTTGTACCAGTAAAGAATGGTCTTGAAGAGACATTGTAAAATGAAAAAAAAAAAAACCAAGTTGTAAAGCAATGTAGATTATCTTATCAGCATGGAAAAAATGCAATTATTATATGGAAGCATGCAAATATATCTCTGGAAAGATTAATCAAAATCTATTATTATTGGCTCCTTCTGGGAAGAACCAAGTGAATGTAGGGGTTGAAGGAACACATACTCTTCACTTTATACTCTTGAATTTTGTAAAGAAATCTTATTTTACCGATTCAGAAATAAATAAGAAAATGTAAGAGACAATGCTAATAATGATAACAATAAAAAAATAGTGAAATTGGCTATCAGATGATGAAATTCCTTGTTGCTTCTAGGAATTACATCAGCCAGCCCAATGAGGGGTCTAAGACTAAGATCTGAGTACTAGAATGCAAAAAATTTGCATCATATTCTTGTTTTCATTTTGGCCTGGTTTTTCGATCCCTTCTATTTGTTTCGAGACTAAGGCATACACTTTTCTGTGGCCTTTGAAATCTCAGCTACAGTAGCCTCTACTTCCTTTCTCTGAATTCAAGTTTTAAGGTGTTAGAAGCATAAATTACCAAACATTAAGATTAAGCACTGATAGGAAGGATCCTGCCAACCTTGTCAGTAGTGGTCTTTTTGCGGTAGCCTCAGATAGAAAGGACAATGTGCCTTTCCAGAACTGAACCCCCTGATGGGGGATGATAGACCCAGACACATAGAGGCCTGGTGTTGACCCTTAATTGTTAGAATCTAAGAAGATTCAGTTATAGTAATGAGTGGCAGACTGCAAGGCCTGATGGAGATAATTCTGAAGATGGTCAATACAATGGACCAGCCATAGGGTTAAATGGGATGGGGAGAAAACAATCAAGTGAAGTAAATGCTGTCTATCAGGATGTTGAGAGGTAGCCCTGATAAAGTGTCACATCCATAGCCTTGATCTGAGCTAATTTCAGACCCTGAACTCAGTTGGAGTGGAGGGCAGTACCCCAGGAAAGGACACTGCAACTCCAGGACCCAAATAAATGATAATGATTTCCCAAGTTCTCCTCCTAGGAAACGTCTGGAGCCATTTACTAGATATCCATATACTAGGGAAATACAAACACCCAAATATTTCAAGGACCCTTGGAATCAGGATCCAAGTTGCCCATGGTACCTAGATCATGGAGAGTCATCGTAAAATGCCTGTTAAAATAGGGAATTAGGGCCTCCAGGTTGTAATTATAGTCTTGGCACACATGAACTTATTGCAATATAGTATTTGTTTGAAATGTAAAGGTAAAGTTTGTTTGAAGACAGATACCTTATTTTTCTGTACATCTCCTTGGGAGTATGTTCAGGCATAGGTTGTGCTAAATAAGCTTCTTTTATAAAAACAATAGGCTGATGCATGGGTGATTATTTTCAATTGATAAAATATCATGAACTTTCCAGAGATCAGTGGTAATAAGTTGTTTGAATTTTCGACACCAGATTAAGGTCTCTGAGGTGGTTTAAAGGCTATGAGGCCAGGTGCAGTGGCTCACGCCTATAATCTCAGCAACTTGGGAGGCCGAAGCAGGCAGATCACTTGAGGTCAGAAGTTTGAGACCAGCCTGGCCAACATGGCGAAACCCTGCCTTTACTAAAAATACAAAAATTAACCAAGTGTGGTGGCACACGCCTGTCATGCCAGCTACACAGGAGGATGAGGCAGGAAAATCACTTGAACCTGGGAGGTGGAGGTTGCAGTGAGCCGAGATTGTGCCATTGCACTCCAGCCCGGGCAACAGAGCCTGGGCGACAGAGTGAGGCTCTGTCTCAAAAAATTAAACTAAATTAAAGCTATGAGAAGAAAATAAATTTTCCTGGTATAGTGTCCTTCTCTAGACCTCATGTCCTACAGTCTCTGTGAAACTGGGCCAAAGATAGAATTTTTTTTTCTGTGCTTTATACAGTGACTCAGACAAACCTATGACCTCACACAAATCTGTAACTTCATGTATCACAGTCTCTATAAAACTATATCAAAGAAAGAATTTTTCTCTGTGCTTTATAGAGTGGTTCACCCAGATCTGTAAAGAAATGAAGACAATTTTAGAGCTTTCAATATCCTGTATTGCATATCAGGTCAAATCTGATACTTTCAAAACTGGATAGATCTATTTCAGATATCTTTGATGCTTTTAACAAGAATCCCATTCAATGTTATCTAAGGACTATAGTTCAAGAAGACTAAGACACTATTCAGTCGGGGCACAATAAGACCACCTTATAAGCACCACTCATCCTTCCTTTTCTGAGCATGCTTTTGCCATGTTTCAATGATTCAGAGACATTCTAGTGAATCCCATTTTGACAACAAAGTGGGATCAAGAGACCCCAAGGCCATCCTCAGGTTCAATGACTCTTTAGAAGACATGGAACTCAGAAAAAAAATTTTTTTGGGGGGTTTTCTTCTTTTTTCTTTTATTTTATTTATTTTTCTTTTATTATTATACTTTAAGTTTTAGGGTACATGTGCACATTGTGCAGGTTAGTTACATATGTATACATGTGCCATGCTGGTGCGCTGCACCCACTAACTCGTCATCTAGCATTCGGTATATCTCCCAGTGCTATCCCTCCCCCCTCCCCCCACCCCACAACAGTCCCCAGAGTGTGATGTTCCCCTTCCTGTGTCCATGTGTTCTCATTGTTCAGTTCCCACCTATGAGTGAGAATATGCAGTGTTTGGTTTTTTGTTCTTGCAACAGTTTACTGAGAATGATGATTTCCAATTTCATCCATGTCCCTACAAAGGACATGAACTCATCATTTTTTATGGCTGCATAGTATTCCATGGTGTATATGTGCCACATTTTCTTAATCCAGTCTATCATTGTTGGACATTTGGGTTGGTTCCAAGTCTTTGCTATTGTGAATAGTGCCACAATAAACATACGTGTGCATGTGTCTTTATAGCAGCATGATTTATAATCCTCTGGGTATATACCCAGTAATGGGATGGCTGGGTCAAATGGTATTTCTAGTTCCAGATCCCTGAGGAATCGCCACACTGACTTCCACAATGGTTGAACTAGTTTACAGTCCCACCAATAGTGTAAAAGTGTTCCTATTTCTCCACATCCTCTCCAGCACCTGTTGTTTCCTGACTTTTTAATGATTGCCATTCTAACTGGTGTGAGATGGTATCTCATTGTGATTTTGATTTGCATTTCTCTGATGGCCGGTGATGGTGCGCATTTTTTCATGTGTTTTGTGGCTGCATAAATGTCTTCTTTTGAGAAGTGTCTGTTCATGTCCTTTGCCCACTTTTTGATGGGGTTGTTTTTTTCTTGTAAATTTGTTTGAGTTTATTGTAGATTCTGGATATTAGCCCTTTGTCAGATGAGTAGGTTGCGAAAGTTTTCTCCCATTTTGTAGGTTGCCTGTTCACTCTGATGGTAGTTTCTTTTGCTGTACAGAAGCTCTTTAATTAGATCCCATTTGTCAATTTTGTCTTTTGTTGCCATTGCTTTTGGTGTTTTAGACATGAAGTCCTTGCCCATGCCTATGTCCTGAATGGTATTGCCTAGGTTTTCTTCTAGGGTTTTTATGGTTTTAGGTCTAACATTTAAGTCTTTAAGCCATCTTGAATTGATTTTTGTATAAGGTGTAAGGAAGGGATCCAGTTTCAGCATTCTACATATGGCTAGCCAGTTTTCCCAGCACCATTTATTAAATAGGGAATCCTTTCCCCATTGCTTGTTTTTGTCAGGTTTGTCAAAGATCAGATAGTTGTAGATATGCGGCGTTACTTCAGAGGGCTCTGTTCTGTTCCACTGATCTATATCTCTGTTTTGGTACCAGTACCATGCTATTTTGGTTACTGTAGCCTTGTAGTATAGTTTGAAGTCAGGTAGTGTGATGCCTCCAGCTTTGTTCTTTTGGCTTAGGATTGACCTGGTGATGCGGGCTCTTTTTTGGTTCCATATGAACTTTAAAGTAGTTTTTTCCAATTCTGTAAAGAAAGGCATTGGTAGCTTGATGGGGATGGCTTGAACTCAGAAAAATTTTATGCTCACAGTTAGAGCTTATTATATCGAACAGTACAAATTGAAACCAACAAAAGCAAAAGGGACATGGACCAGAGTCTGAGACCCAGGATAGGCTTGCATTTGTGTTTTCTCCCTTGAGAGTTGCACAGACATTATCTAATTCTCTCACAAATAATGTGTGACATGTGTCAACCAGGGATGGTCACACAAACTTTAGTGTTTTTATTAGAGGGAAGTCATGTAGGAATGGGGTGCTCATGTGGCTGATATTATTTACTCAGACTCCTGTCCCTTCAGAGCTCAAACTGGTATGGTATAACTTAAGACTTCCACCACAAATCACATTTTTAGCATAAAGTACCTGGTGTCGACCAAGCCCTCAACATGTCCAAAGCATTATTATAAGGCTAGTTGTTCTAAGGGCTTACCTGTTATGTCCCAGGAACAAGTTGAGGGCCAGACCTTTCTTACAGAATTAACCTTTTATTAGATAGTGTTAAAGAATGAAGAAGGTGATAACATGAGAAAGACAAAATAAAGATTTTTATTGTCTTACTGGAAGAATATGTCTATTTTTTTCTTGACTTTTTAAAGTATCAATATTCTTTCTCTGAAAGACGTAACTGTCTAGGCTCTAGTAAAATATGCTGCAAGTACATGTTTTTAAAAGTAGTTTATTTTATTTCTTGTTATTCTGTGCTTAGCAACTTCCAATCTGATTACAGCTGACCCTTGAACAGTGCGGGTTTGAACTATGAGTTCACTTAACATGGACTTTTTTCAACTAAACACAGTATGAAAATACACTATTTGAGGAATGTGAAACCCACATATATGGAGGGCCATCTTTTGGTATATATGAATTCTGCAGGGCCACTGCTGGACTTGAGCATGCAAGGATTTTGTATGGATTATCCACAGTGGTCCTAGAACCAATTCTCTATGTATACTGAGGGATGACTGTAGTTATTTTTCTTGATATAAAAAAGAAAAAGTATTTAATAACGAATGTATGTACATGAGCCTTAAGAAGTTATCACAGTGATTGTAATCTGGATATGGTACAAATTTTATGGTACTAATGGGCCTACAATCACTTGATCCAACATTGGGCCTAAATTTCCTTAATGTGCTCAAACTCAAGCTGCTGGAGTTTCTCAAGGAATAGTAACCCATGAAAATAAATTATCAATCACCTTTCAACAACCAGAAATCACCACTGAAACAGGCTTTGATCAAGTCTTAAATAAAAATTGACATCAAATTTTTAGGTTGATTCCCACCTCCTGCTGAATTTTCTACCACCAAGGTCATGCTCTGTCACCTCGAATCAGTTTAAAGATATGCTTCAGATACTAATCTCTGGTAGTGGGGCATTCAACTGTCTTCAGTTACAGCACAAAATCCCATACAATTCAAACTAAGCTAAAAAGAAATTCCAAACTTAGTGGAGTTCTCTACTTCACTCTAAGTGAGGATCGTGCCCTGGTTAGCTTTGTTAGTTCAACCACATAGATAGACCTTATCTAAGGAAAGATAAGCACCCTATCTCACAATTTCCAAATATCACTTAGAAACAAGTTTTATGAACATTCTCTTTGGCCTTGTATCCTCTTATCTCCAATCTTGATTTTGAGTTATAAGAAAGAGGAACAGCCTTAGTTGCCACTCCTGTAAAATCAATAAATCATGGTGGTTCAGGTCCTAGAAGGATGCCACAGCTTCTCCTGAGCCTGGTGATTGATGGTGCCCATGGTGTTGTGACAAAGTGGCCACTCGAAAGCACTATCAGGGCAAAAATCCACAAGTCATTCTTGCAATCAATCTAGAAAGTATATGGCAGCAAGAGATTTAGGCATCTACTCTTCATTCATTCATTTGTTCTCTGGCTATTTCAGCTAGGCTATATACACTGGATAATAGGATAAAAAGACATACATTTTTGAAGACAGTCTTAAGTTCAAACTTCAGATGTGGATAAGTATTTTTTTAGCAAATTTTTATCAGTTATGGGCTGTATTCAGGATAAAAATGCTATAAATTAAACCCACCAAGTGTTTTATTGTTCATCCACTAAATGCCAGGCACTGCATTTTATTTTATGTATAACTCAATATACCAGTCTCTGCCCTCATAAAGATGACTTTCTGGTGAAGGAAATAAGCAAGTAAAAATATAAATGCAACCAGGGTGATAATGTTTGCCAGAAATGATATCAAAAGCTACAATGTAAAAGAAAATGTGGTAATTCCAACAAATGGGAACAAGTACTCTGTGAGTTCAGAACAAGAGACTATGACCATAAAAAATAGCCCTAGGCTTAAAATAGCTGGTCTTTTAAAAATTTATACAAGGTGTACTTGTAGAGATAAAGGGACCATTCAAGTGGAAAGACCAGCATAAGCCAAGTCAGATATATTAGAAAGTGTAGGTCTTACTAAAGGTACTGTAGAATTATTCCATTTGACTGAAGCACTGAATAGGTGTGTTGAAATGAAAGATGAGACTGGAAATGAGATTAGGGCCTGACAAGAAGGGACCTGAAGATCAGGAAAATAGAATTAGACATCTTCAAACCATACCAGAATTCTAGATTTGGCCTATAGTTTCACTGCCATCAAGAATTTATAATTTGGTATCATTTGGGGGTTTTTTGATCAAATTCTTAATAGATTCTATCTGGAAGATTGGAAATAACTTATATTTTAGGGACAAATCATATCCCCAGATCCCTTTATATTATTCCTAATCAATTTAAACTAAAAAACGAACAAAAATAGGACTTAGTCCAACAAAATCAATTTATTTTAACATCAGGAATTCATACGGGTGCTTTCTGAGATTATTATTGAAAATTCAAACTGGGTAAATCCATTTTTAAAAAGTATAGGAAGCCAAAGATCTATTTATGGACTACTTTCGAGTTATATTTAGAAAATGTATAATAAAGAGAAATGATTCATTGCAAATAATACTATAAAATTATCCCATGTATAATTTTTTCAATGAGTCAATTTTATAATATCAGACAAACAAAAGCTGAAGGATTTCATCAATAACAGACCTGTCTTACAAGAAATGCTAAAGGGACTCCTTCAATCTAAAAGAAATGGACATTAATGAGCAATAAAAAAATCATCTGAAGGTACAAAACTCACTGGTGGTAGTAAGTACACAGGGAAAAAAAGAATATTATAGCACCATAAATGTGGTGTGTAAACTCCTCGTATCTCAAGTAGAAAGACTAAAAGATGAACCTATCTAAAGTAATAACTATAACAACTTTTCAAGACATAGACAGTATAATAATAAATAGAAACAACAAAAATTTGAAAAGCAGGGAGATGAAATTAAAGTATAGAATTTTTATTAGTTTTCTCTTTGCTTGTTTGTTATTTGTTTATGCAATCAGAGTTGTCATCAGTTTAAAATAATAGGTTATAAAATATTATTTGCAAACCTCATTGTAACCTCAAATCAAAAAACATACAATAGATACACAAAGAATAAAAAGCAAGAAATTAAAACATACCACCAGAGGAAATTACCTTTGCTAAAAGGAAGACAGGAAAGAAAAGAAGACCACAAAACGACTAGAAAACACATAAAATAACAAGATTAAGTCCTTACTTATCAATGATTACATTGAATGTGAATGGACGAAACTCTCCAATCAAAAGCCATAGAGTGATCCCCCACTGATCAGGCCTCCAAGCACATTCCCCAGGCCCCTATCCAGGTCTTCATCTCTCCTTTTCCTGACACTGCCCCCTCCACCCTTCAAGAATGAGTTAACTAGGAATATGTCTCCTCACATCCAGAGGTCTGGCAGTCAGTTCTTCAGCAGAGGCAGAAGAGGTGGCAGAGTGGCCGTGTGCTTCCTAGGTGGAATCATTAGCTCCATCATGGAGGTGGCTACACAGCACAACCTGGAGCCCCTGCCTCAACACACACATTGCTCCAACACTGAGGCCAACAAGAGTGAGGAGGTCCATCATTTCTGGAGGCTCTTTGCCCGGTTGGCTGGAGATGACATCGAGGTCAGCGGCACAGAACTCATGAATGTTGTCAACAAGGTTGTGATCAGTAGGACTGAACTGAAGACTCATGGTTTTGGCATTGATACATGTCAAAGCATGGTGGCCATGATGGATAGTGACACCATAGGCAAGCTGGATTTTGAGGAATTCAACTACCTGTGGAACAACATCAAAAAGTGACACAATATACAAGCAGTTTGATGTTGACCGATCCGGAACCATTTGCAGCAGTGAACTTGCAGAGGCCTTTGAGGCAGCAGGGTTCCATCTGAATGAACAACTCTACAACATAATATTCTGACACTACTTGCATGAAGGAGAGAACATGGATTTTGGCAACTTTATCAGCTGCTTGGTCAGGCCAGATGCTTCGTTTCATGCCTGGAAATCTCTTTACAAAGATGACACTAGACCATTCTAAGTGAATATCCAAGAGTGGCTGCAGCTGACAATGTATTTCTAAATGGGAAACCCAGGCCTGCCCCTTCACTGCCTTGCTATAGGAGTCACCTTGGAGCCTCAGCCTCTCCCAGTGCTGATCCCATTTGCAGTCACATCTTCATGGGTCCTGCTGACCCATGGGCCTTTTGTTCTTCCAGCCCTTGGCACCCAGCTTCTCAGTCAAGATCCAGGGTCAAATGTGCCTCAACATGCCATGCCCTGAGTTGGCCCCAACTCTAAAACATGCTAACACGCTCTTCCAACAGTCACCCCACCCCACCATACCCATCTCACTCTCATGCCATAACCTCACTCTTGTATCTGTGCCAACCTCAACACTTGCATTGCTTGCATCCCCCAAGGGCCCTCTCTCAGTTCTGGGAGGATGACTCTGCTCCCTACACACCCTGGTCCACCCATTCACAGTTACCACCCAAGCAGTCAAACATCAGGCTATTCCAGTCCCACATGTTCCAGTGGTTTCGTCTATATTCTGCTCCTAGCCTGCCAGGCCCAGGAAGAAGAAAAAACATATGAGAAAAAGAAGGGGAGAGAGAGAGAGGAAGGACGGAAGGAAGGCAGGAAGGAAGGAAGGAAGCAAGCAAGGAAGGAAGGAAGGAAGGAAGAAAGGAAGGAAGGAAGGAAGACAGAGTGGTTGAATGGATTTTTAAAAACCAAGCCCCAATGATCTGTTGCCTACAAGAAACACACTTCACCTATAAAAATACACATCAAATTAAAATAAATGGATAGAAAAAATGTTCCATATTTCAACATAAATACTGGAAGAAGAGAAAGAGATAGTAATTATATAATAATAATGGAGTCAATTCAGCAAAAGAATAGCACAACTGTAAATATATATGCACCAACATTGACAGCTATTAATGTATTGGGGTCTATCTCTGTCTTCACCTCTAAAGAGATAATAGCTGGAGATTTCAACAGCCCACTTTCAGCATTGGACAGATCTTCTAGACAGAAAATTAACAACAACAAAAATCAGATTTAATCTGCACTAGACAACAAATGCAGTATAGACCAAACAGATACTTAAAAACTTTTCATCCAATAGCTGTACAATGCACATTCTTCTCTTTAGCACATGTATCATTCTCAAGAATAGACCATATGTTAGGCCACAAAACAGTCTAAAACATTGAAATTATAACTAGAAATTAATAACAAGGTGATCATTGAAAACCATATGTATATCAAAAAAGTAGAAAAATGTCAAGTAAACAACCTAATAATGCATCTTAAAAAACTAGAAAAGCAAAAGCAAACCAAATCCAAAATTAGTAGACATAAAGAAATAAGAAAGATCAGAGCAGAAATAAATGAAGTGAAAATGAATAAGAATACAAAAAATTAACAAAACAAACTTGATTTCTTGAAAGATAAAATTGACAAACCATTAGCCTAAGAAAAACAGAGAGAAGATGCAAATAAATGAAATTAGACATGAAAAAAGAGACATGATAATAGACACCACAGAAATTCAAAAGATCATTAGAGACTACTCTGAGGAGCTATATACCAGTAACTTGGAAAGCCTAGAACAAATGGATAAATTCCTAGACAAATACAACCTACCAAGATGAAGAAATCTGAAATCCAAATAAGCCAATAACAAGTAATGAGATTGAAGCCATAATAAAAAGTATCCCAGCAAATAAAGCCTGGCATTCAATAGCTTCACTGCTTAATTTTACCAAACATTAAAAGAAAAACTGATACCAATCCTACTCAAATTATTCCAAACAAAATAGAAGAAATGGGAATACTTCAAATTCATTCTACAAGGCTGATATTATGACACATCATGATACCAGATGAAAGACATCAAAAATAGAAAGAGAAACATACGTCAAAAATAGAAAACTACAGGCCACTATCCCTGAGAAATGTATATTTTTAATTTTTATTTTTAACTTTTGTGGGTACTAAGTAGGTGTATATATTTATGGGGAACATGGGATACTTTAATACATGCATGCAATGCATAATAATCACATCACGGTAAATGTGGTATCCATCCCCTCAAGCATTTGTCCTTTGTCTTGCAAACAATCCAATTACATTCTTTTAGTTATTTTAAAATGTACAATTAAATTATTATTGACTATAGTCTCCATCTTGTGCTATAAAAAACAGGTCTTATTCATCTTTTCTAACTACTTTTTCTACCCATTAGTCATCCCCACTTCCCCTCACACCACCCCACTACCCTTCCTAGCCTCTGGTAACCATGTTTCTACTCTCTATTTCCACAAATTCAACTGTTTTAACTATTGGCTCCTACATGTAAGTGGGAACATGTGAAGTTGGTCTTTCTGTCCCTGGCTTATTTCACTTAACATAATGACCATGAATTCAACCCAAGTTGTTGCAAATGACAGAATCTCATTCTTTTTGATGACTGAATAGTACTCCATTGTGTATATGTACCACATTTTCCTTATCCATTCATCTGTTGATTAACACTTAGGTTGTTTCCAAATCTTGGCTATTGTGAAGAATGCTGTAACAAATGTGGAAGTGCAGATATCCCTTTGATATGCTTATTTCCTTTTGGGGTGGTATATGCTCAGCAGTAGAATTGCTGGATCATATGGTAGCTCTATTTTTAGTTTTTTAAGGAACCTTGTGATTTGAGCTCCTTATATATTCTGGTTATTAATCCCTTGTCAGATGGATAGTTTGCAAGTATTTTCTCTTATTCTGTGGGTTGTCTCTTCAGTTTTTTAATTTTTTTCCTTTTTAACTTAATGTGATTTGACTTGTCCATTTTTGCTTTGGTCACTCAGGAAATCTTTTTCCATTCCAAGGTAAAGAGTTTTCCTAATGTTTTCCTGTGGTAGTTTCATAGTTTGAGGTCTTAGATTTAAAACTTTAATCCATTTTGATTTGATTTTTTGTATATGGTGATAGGTAGGGGTCTATTTTCATTCTTCTGCATATGAATATGCATTTTCCCAGCACTATTTGTTGAAGAGATTTTTCTTTCCTTCATGTATGTTCTCGGAACCTTTGTCAGAAATGAGTGCTCTGTAGGTTTATGGATTTGTTTCTGGGTTCCATATTCTGTTTCATTATCTACATGTATGTTTTTATGCCAGTAACATGCTGTTTGGGTTACATAGCTCTGTAGTATAATTTGAAGTCAGGTAATATGATTCCTCCAATTTTGTTCTTTTTGCTCAGGACAGCTTAGGCTATTCTGAGTCTTCAGTGGTTCCATATAAATTGTAGGATTTATGTGGAACTTAAATAGTTTTCTCTATTTCTGTGAAGAATGTCATTGATATTTTGATAGGGAATTCACTGAATCTGTAGATTTCTTTGGGTAGTATGGACATTTTTAAAATGTTCATTCTTCAAATCCATGCAAATGGAATAACTTTCCATTTTTTGTATACTCTTCGATTTCTTTCCTCAGTGTTTTGTAGTTTTCATTGTAGAGATTTTGTTTTTGTTTTGTTTTGTTTTTGTTTTTGTTTTGAGACAGAATTTTGCTCTTGTCACCCAGGCTGGAGTGCAATGGCACAATCTTAGCTCATTGCAGCCTCCACCTCCCAGGTTCAAGCAATTCTCCTTCCTCAGCCCCCCAAGTAGCTGGGATTACAGGTACCTGCCACCACAGCCAGTTAATTTTTGTATTTTTAGTAGAGATGGAGTTTCACCATGTTAGTTTCACCATGTTGGGCAGGCTGGTCTTGAACTCCTGACCTCAGGTGATCTGCCCACCTCGGTCTCCCAAAGTGCTGGGATTACAGGCTGAGCCACCATGCCTCAGACCTCGTTGTAGAGATCTTTCCATTCTTTTGGTTAATTCCTAGATATAAAATTTTATTAGCAGCTACTGTAAATGTGATTGCTTTTTTATTTCTGTGTCAGATTGTTTACTGTTGGCATATAGAAATGCTATGAGTTGTGTATATTACTTTTGTATCCTGAAACTTTACTGAATTTATCAGCTCTAATAGTTTTTGGTGGAGTTTTTAGGTTTTTCCAAATATAAGATCATGTTATGTGCAAACAAAGATAATTTGACTTCTTCCTTTCCAATTTGGATACCCTTTATGACATTCTCTTGTCCAGTTGCTCGACCTAGAACTTCTAGTACTATGTTGAATAACAGTGGTAAAGTGGGTATCCTTGTTATCTTCCAGGTATTAGAGAATGGGCTTTCAGTGTTCCCCCATTCAGTATGATATTGGCTGTGAGTCTGTCACATATGGCTTTTAGTGTGTTGAAGTATGTTCCTTCTATACCCAGTTTTATTAGGGTTTTTATTGTGAAAGGATGTTGAATTTTATCACATACTTTTTCAGCATCAATTGAAATGATCAAATGGTTTTTGTTCTCCATTATGTTGCTATAATGTATCACATTGTTTGATTTGCATATGTGGAAACAACCTTGAATCCCTGGGATAAGTCCGACTTAGTCATAAATTATTTTCAATGTATTGTTGAATTTGATATGGTAATGTAGTGTTGAAAATTTTTGCATCAATATTTATCAGAGATATTGGCCTGTAGTTGCTTTTTTTAAATAGAGTTTAAGTTGTAGGGTACATATGCAGAACGTGCAGTTTTGTTACATAAGTATGCATGTGCCATGGTGGTTTGCTGCACCCATCAACCCATCAACTACTTTAGGTATTTCTCCTAATGCTATCCCTCCCCTAGTCTCCCACCCCTAACAAGCCCCAGTGTGTGATATTCTCCTCCCTGTGTCCATGATTCTCATTGTTCAGCTCCCACTTATGAATGAGAACATGTGGTGTTTGGTTTTCTGTTCTTGTGTTAGTTTGCTGAGAATGATGGTCTCCAGCATCATCCATGTCCCTGCAAAGGACATGAACTCATCCTTTCTCATGGCTGCGTAGTATTCCATGGTGTATATGTGCCACATTTTCTTTATCCAGTCTATCATTGATGGGCATTTGGGCTGGTTCCAAGTCTTTGCTGTTGTGAAAAGTGCCAAAATAAACATATGTGTGCGTGTGTCTTTATAGTAGAATGATTTATAATCCTTTGGGTATATACCCAGTAATGGGATTGCAGGGTCAAATGGTATTTCTAGTTCTAGATCCTTGAGGAATCACCACACTGTATTCCACAATGGTTAAACTAATTTACACTCCCACCAACAGTGTACAAGCTTTCCTATTTCTCCACATCATCTCCAGCATCTGTTGTTTCCTGACTTTTTAATGATTGCCATTCTAACTGGCATGAGATAGTATCCCACTGTGGTTTTGATTTGCATTTCTCTAATGACTAGTGATGATTAGCTTTTTTTCATATGTTTGTTGGCTGCAAAAATGTCTTCTTTTGAGAAGTGTCTGTTCATATCCTTCACCAACTTTTTGATGGGGTTGTTTGTTTTTTTCTTGTAAATTTGTTTAAGTTTTTTGTAGGTTCTGGATATTAGCCCTCTGTCAAATGGATAGATTTCAAAAATTTTCTCCCATTTTGTAGGTTTCCTGTTCAGTCTGATGATGGTTTCTTTTGCTGTGCAGAAGCTCTTTAGTTTAATTAGATCCCATTTGTCAATTTTGGCTTTTGTTGCCATTGTTTTGGTGTTTAGACATGATGTCTTTGCCCATGCCTATGTTCTGAATAGTATTGCCTAGGTTTTCTTCAAGGATTTTTATGGTTTTAGGTCTTACATTAAGTCTTTAATCCATCTTGAGTTAATTTTTGTACAAGGTGTAAGGAAGGGGTCCAGTTTCAGTTTACTACATATGACTAGCCAGTCAACACCATTTATTTAATAGGGAATCCTTCCCCATTGCTTGTTTTTGTCAACTTTGTCAAAGATCAGATGGTTGTAGATGTGTGGTGTTATTTCTGAGGCTTCTGTCCTGTTCCATTGGTCTATATATCTGTTTTGGCACCAGTACCATGCTATTTTGGTTACTGTAGCCTTGTAGTATGGTTTGAAGTCAGGTAGCGTGATGCCTCCAGCTTTGCTCTTTTGGCTTAGGATTTTCTTGGCTATGCGGGTTCTTTTTTGGTTCCATATGAACTTTAAAGTAGTTTTTTCCAATTCCGTGAAGAAAGTCAATGGTAGTTTGGTTGGGATGGCATTGAATCTATAAATTACCTTGGGCAGTATGGCCATTTTCACAATATTACTTCTTCTTATCCATGAGCGTGAAATGTTTTTCCATTTATTGTGTCACCTCTTATTCCCTTGAGCAGTGGTTTGTAGTTCTCCTTGAAGAGGTCCTTCACATCCCTTGTAAGTTGGATTCCTAGGTATTTTATTCTCTTTGTAGCAATTGTGAATTGGAGTTCACTCATGATTTGGCTCTCTTTTTGTCTATTATTGGTGTATAGGAATGGTTGTGATTTTCGCACATTGATTTTATTTCCTGAGACTTTGCTGAAGTTGCTTATCAGCTTAAGGAAATTTTGGGCTGAAACGGTGGGGTTTTCTAAATACACAATCATGTCATCTGCAATCAGAGACAATTTGACTTCCTCTTGTCCTATTTGAATACCCTTTACTTCTTTCTCTTGCCTGATTGCCCTGGCCAGAACATCCAATACTATGTTGAATAGGAGTGCTGCAAGAGGGCATCCTTGTCTTGTGCTGGTTTTTAAAGGCAATGCTTCCAGTTTTTGCCCATTCAGTATGATATTGGCTGTGGGTTTGTCATAAATAGCTCTTATTAATTTGAGATACGTTCCATCAATACCTAGTTTATTGAGAGTTTTCAGCATTAGGGGTGTTGAATTTTGTTGAAGGCCTTTTCTGCATCTATTGGGATAGTCATGTGGTTTTTGTCATTGGTTCTGTTTATGTGATAATGTTTATTGATTTGCATATGTTGAACCAGCCTTGCATCCCAGGTATGAAGCTGACTTGATCATTTTTGATGTGCTGCTGGATTCCGTTTGCCAGTATTTTATTGAGCATTTTCGCATAGACGTTCATTAGGGATATTGGCCTGAAATTTTCTTTTTTTGTTGTGTCTCTGCCAGGTTTTGGTATTAGGATGATGTTGGCCTCATAAAATGAGTTAGGGAGGATTCTCTCTTTTTCTGTTGTTTGGAATAGTTTCAGAAGGAATGGTACCAGCTCCTATTTCTACGTCTGGTAGAATTTGGCTGGAATCTGTCTGGTCCTGGGCTTTTTTTCATTGGTAGGCTATTAATTACTGCCTCAATTTTAGAACTTGTTATTGGTCTATTCAGGGATTCAACTTCTTCCTGGTTTAGTCTTGGCAGGGTGTATGTGTCCAGGAATTCATCCATTTCTTCTAAATTTTCTAGTTTATTTGTGTAGAGGTGTTTATAGTATTCTCTGATGGTAATTTGTATTTTTGTGGGATCAGTGGTGATATCCCCTTTATGATTTTTTGTTGCGTCTATTTGATTCTTCTCTCTTTTCTTCTTTATTAGTCTGGCTAGTGGTCTATTTTGTTGATCTTTTCAAAAAACCAGCTCCCGTATTCACTGATTATTTGAAGGGTTTTTCGTGTCTCTATCTCTTTCAGTTCTGCTCTGATCTTAGTTATTTCTTGTCTTCTGTTAGCTTTTGAATTTGTTTGCTCTTGCTTCTCTAGTTCTACTTTTTTTTTTTTTTTGAGATGGAGTCTTCCTCTGTCACCTAGCCTGGAGTGCAGTGGCACGATCTCAGCTCTCTGCAACCTCCGCCTCCCAGGTTCAAGCAATTCTCCTCCCTCAGCATCCCGAGTAGCTGGGACTACAGGCGCATGCCCCCATGCCTGGCTAATTTTTGTATTTTTATTAGAGATGGGGATTCACCATGTTAGCCAGAATAGTCTCAATCTCCTGACCTCATGATCCACCCGCCTCGGCCTCACAAAGTGAGGGGATTACAGATATAAGCCACCACGCTGGGCCTAGTTATTTTAATTTTGATGTTAGGGTTTCAGTTGTAGATCTTTTCTGCTTTCTCTTGTGGGCATTTAGTGCTATAAATTTCCCTCTAAATACTGCTTTAAATGTGACCCAGAGATTTTGGTACATTGTGTCTTTGTTCTCATTGGTTTCAAAGAACATCTTTATTTCTGCCTTCATTTTGTTATTTAACCAGTATTCATTCAGGAGCAGGTTGTTCAGTTTCCACGTAGTTGTGTGGTTTTGAGTGAGTTTCTTAATCCTGAGTTCTAATTTGTTTGCACTGTGGTCTGAGTGACTGTTTGTTAAGATTTCTGTTCTTTTGCACTTGCTGAGGAGTGTTTTACTTCCAATTATGTGGTCGATTTTAGAATAAGTGCTATGTGATGCTGAGAAGAATGTATATTCTGTTGACTTGGGGTGGAGAATTATGTAGATGTCTATTAGGTCTGCTTTGTCCAAAGCTGAGTTCAAGTCCTCAGTATCCTTGTTAATTTTCTGTCTCCTTGATCTGTCTACTATTGACAGTGGGCTGTTAAAGTCTCCAACTATATTGTGTGGGAGTCTAAGTCTCTTTGTATGTCTCTAAGAACTTGTTTTATGAATCTAGGTGCTCCTGTTTTGAGAGCATATATATTTAGGATGGTTAGCCCTTCTCATTTTATTGATCCCTTTACCATTATGTAATGCCCTTCTTTGTCTTTTTTGATCTTTGTTGGTTTTAAGTCTGTTTTATCAGATATTAGGATTGCAACCCCTCCTTTTTTTTTTTTTCACTTTCCATTTGCTTGGCAAATATTTCTCCATCCCTTTATCTTGAGCCTATGTGTGTCTTTGCAAGTGTGATGGGTCTCCTGAATATAGCACACGGATGGGTCTTGACTCTTTATCCAGTTTGCCAGTCTGTGTCTTTAATTGGGGCATTTAGCCCATTTACATTTAAGGTTAATATTATTATATGTGAATTTGATCCTGTCATTATGATATTACCTGGTTATTTTGCACATTAGTTGATGTAGTTTCTTCATGGTGCCAATGGTCTTTATATTTTGGTATGTTTTTGCAGTGGCTGGTACCAGTTTTTCCTTTTCATATTTAGTGCATCCTTCAGGAGCTCTTGTAAGGCAGGCCCCATGGTGACAAAATCTCTCAGCATTTGCTTGTCTGGAAAGGATTTTATTTCTCCTTCACTTACGAAGCTTAGTTTCGCTGGATATGAAATTCTGGATTGAAGATTCTTTTCTTTAAGAATATTGAATATTGGCCCCCACTCTCTTCTGGCTTGTAGGGTTTCTACAGACAGATCTGCTGTTACTCTGATGGGCTTCCCTTTGTAGGTAACCTGAGCTTTCTCTCTGACTGCCCTTAACGTGTGTTCCTTTGTTTCAACCTTGGAGAATCTGACGATTATGTGTCTTGGGGTTGCTCTTCTCAAGGAGTATTATAGTGGTCTTCTCTATATTTCCTGAATTTGAATGTTGGCCTGTCTTGCTGTTCTCCTGGATAATATCCTGCAGTGTGTTTTCCAACTTGGTTCCGTTCTCCCCGTCACTTCTGGGTACACAAATCAATTGTAGGTTTGGTCTTTTCACTTAGTCCCATAGTTCCTGGAGGCTTTGTTCGTTCCTTTTTATTCTCTTTTCTCTAATCTTGTCTTCACGCCTTATTTCAGTAAGTTGATCTCCAATCTCTGACATCCTTTCTTCTGCTATTGATTCGGCTATTGATACTTCCGAATGCTTCATGAAGTTATCATGGTTTTTTTTTTTCAGCTCCATCAGGTCATTTATGCTCTTCTCTAAACTGGATATTCTAGCTAGCAGTTCCTGTAATCTTTTATCAAGTTTCTTAGCTTCCTTGCATTGGGTTAGAACATGCTCCTTTAGCTCAGAGGAGTTTGTTACTACCCACCTTCTGAAGCCTACTTCTGTCAATTTGTCAAACTCATTCTCTGTCCAGTTTTGTGCCCTTGCTGGAGAGGAGTTGGGATCATTTGGAGAAGAGGCATTCTGTTTTTTGGAATTTTCAGCTTTTTTGTGCTGGTTTTTCGTCATCTTTGTGGATTTGTCTACCTTTGATTTTTGAGGCTGATGACCTTTGAACAGGGTTTTTGTGTGGGGGTCCCTTTTGTTGATGTTGGTATTTTTGCTTTCTGTTAGTTTTTCTTCTCAAAGTCAGGCCTCTCTTCTGCAGGTCTGTTGCAGTTTGCTGGAGGTCCACTTCAGACCCTGTTTGCTGGTATCGCCAGCAGAGGCTGCAGAACAGCAAGGATTGCTGCCTGCTCCTTCCTCCAAAAGCTGTGTCCCAGGGGGGGCACTGGCTTGATGCCAGCTGGAACTCTCCAGTATGAGATCTCTGTCAACCCCTGTTGGGAGGTCTCTCCCAGTCAGGGACCTACTTGAGGAGGCAGTCTGTCCTTTAGCAGAGCTCAAGCATTGTGCTGGGAGAATCCTCCTCATCAGGATCAACTGCTCTCTTCAGAGCTGGTAGGCAGTAACATTTAAATCTGCTGAAGCTGTGCCCACAGCCACCCCTTCCCTCAGGTCTCTGTCCCAGGGGGATGGGAGTTTTATCTATAAGCCCCTGACTGGGGCTGCTGCCTTTCCTTCAGAGATGCTCTGCCCAGTGAGGAGGAATCTAGAGAGGCAGTCTGGCCACAGCTGCTTTGCAGTGCTCTGTTGAGTTCCACCCAGTCCAAACTTCCCAGCCTCCTTAGCACTGTCAGGAGAAAACCGCCTACTCAAACCTCAGTAATGGTGGACGACCCTCCCCCAACCAGGTTCAATTGTCCCAGGTCAACTTCAGACTGCTGTGCTGGCAGTGAGAATTTCAAGCCAGTGTTTCTTAGCTTGCTGGGCTCCGTAGGAGTGGGACCCGCTGAGCAAGACAACTTGGCTCCCTGGCTTCAGCCCCCTTTCCATGAGAATGAATGATTCTGTCTTGCTGGGATTCCACCACTAGGGGAAAAAAAAAAATTCCTGCAGCCAGCTCGGTGTCTTCTCAAACAGCTGCCCAGTTTTGTGCTTGAAACCCCAGGGTCCTGGTGGTATAGGCACGAGGGAATATCCTGGTCTGCAGATTGCAAAAACCACACGGAAAAGCGTAGTATCTGGGTGGGTAGCACAGTCCCTCAGGGCTCCCCTTGGCTGGGGGAGGGAGGTCCCTGGCTCCTTGCACTTCGCAGGTGAGTCAATGCCCCACCCTGCTTCTGCTCGCTCTCTGTGAGCTGCACCACTGCCTAACCAGTCTCAATGAGATGAACAGGGTACCTCAGTCGGAAATGCAGAAGACTACACCCACTGCCTAACCAGTCCCAATGAGATGAACAGGGTACCTCAGTTGGAAACACAGAAATCACTTGCCTTCTGCATTGGTCTCACTGGTAGCTGCAGACCGGAGCTATTCCTATTCAGCCATCGTGCCAGATCTAAGACATGTTAAGCATTTTTTTATATACTTGTTAGCCAGTTGTATCTCTTCTTTTGAGAAATGTCTATTCAGATATTTTGCCCATTTTTTAATAAGAGTATTTGTTTGTTTGTTTTTGAGTTGAGACTCTTGTATATTCTGAACATTAGTCCTTTGTAAGTTGAATAGCTTGCAAATACATTATCCCATTACGCAGGATGACTCTCCATTCTGTTGGTTTTTTTCCTTTGCTGCACAAAAGCCTTTTAATTTAACAGTCTCATTTGTCTATTTTTGCTTTTGTTGAGTGTGCTATTGAAGTTTTACCCATCAAATTGTTGCCTGGACAGATGTCTGCAAGTGTTTTCCCTATGTTTTCCTCCAGTAGTTTTATTGTTTGGGGTCTTACATTTAAATACTTAATCCATTCTGAATTGATATATGGCATATTAATATCCACGTTTCCCAGCACCAATTGTAAACATACATTCCCCAATGTATATTACTGGTCTCTGTGTCAAAAATGAGGCAACTTAAAATATGTGAATTTATTTCTGAATTCTCTATTCTGTTCCATTGGTCTATGTGTCTGTTTTTACTGTCAGGTCATTTTTTATAAAACTAAAACTCAACCCACTTCACATAAGTGACATGAAAGGAAATTCTTCATGGGTAAAAGTTTGAAGTCTTCCAATGTGCAATCTTGGGCTACATATTTCAGTGTTCAGTGCTCCACTCTTCCACTCCTCTCCAGGCCTTTGCTTTTAAGCTTTGAGTGCAAGTCATTCTTACCCTCTAGAGTAAGTCCAGTTAAGGGCAGTGGCTGTGTTTAATTCATCTTCATACACTTCTCAGCACCTAGTACAGTGCTGTGCATGCAGTATATTTGCTCTCTATACACACATGTACAGATGGTTGATTGTTTTTCTAGCTTGCAGGTCTTGCTTCCATTTGATATGAGACTCAGTAACCCCAGCTGAATCACTGAATCCCTCTTGCTATGAACTCTACAGCCGGCTGCATAGAGCTCTTTGTGTGAAAATAAGCTTATTATCAAAACATTCCACACCTGAAATTCAGTCTGTTCATTGGATGCTAATATCAAGACAATCTTTGAAATCACTAGGCATATACACATTAATTATTGCATCATGTAATAATACTAAATTGTGAATTAATTTTATCTGTGACTATCTACTAGAAGGATTCCATAGACTGCAAACCAAGTGAACTGAAAAGTGAGGAAATGATGCTTCCTCATCCCCACCATCTAAATGAAAAATTCCCTACTTATTTTTTTCCAGCTGTCTGACTTTTTATGTCAGACAATGTGTTAAATATGCCCTTTCCTTATTTACCGCACCTCTAAAAGAATAGGCAGCTCCATTGTGAGTGTGTCTATTATTTTAGGAAATTATAGCTGAAAATTAACATGATGCCTCCTCATTCTAGGATTCTCAAACTGACTCAATCCATGAGACATGTATCATTGTATTCAAAACCTAATGGGCATTTTGTTAGACAACAAATGGTCTCTAAGATTTCCAACAAAAAACTTTGAAGCTTCTGGTTGAGCAATCATTAAACCCTCCCACTGGCACACTCCAGTAATTTCATTTATGGTAGTGGACTTGAATGAAGTACTTTCAGTTTCATATTACTCTAAATCCATTACAAATATGCTTAACCTTTAAATATTTCATCACTGAAGAAATCCCAGCCCTACAACGTTGGAACAGTAAAATATTAGTCCAAGGATCCAGTGAGAGACACAGAAGTGCTAGAAGCCACTCCTCATGAACTAAGGAGAAAAAGAACAGGTAAGAACTTTTACTACTTCTCATTAAGCAGCTTTCTCTTTAGCTCCAAAGGATCTCAGCTCAGGGATATGGAACCCATAAGGTTGTGGCAGGGATGGGAAGGAATTTATAAAGGTCAGTTCATTTTCTTAAACATCGTCAGAACCAAATTAGGCTGCAGATGAGCCTGAAGTGGGACGCAGGTCAGATGAAATCCTGGTGTTATCAGGGACAGCATGGCCTTAAGTGACACTACAGTGTTTGTGTTGAATTAGGCACCAGTAGACAGGGGCTAAACTGAGAGTTTGAAATGCACTAGGATAGTCTTTCTCTTTGTTGTCATTCTCTGTGTTGACTGGAGACATGATTACATTTCCATTATCAGTGATGGAGCTTGCTGAATCCTGCTCCTATGCAGCTAAGAAATGGAAAGAGCTACAAATGGGTTCTTTTCATAAGGAAAGAACAGCAAATGAGAAGCAGAGTAATCAGCCCACTGACATGGTTAAAGACAAAGAAAAAACTGAAACTCAGCCTGAAAGATGAAGATTCATGAAAACAGTATACTTTTTATTACACTTGTGAACTTCGTTTCAGAATGGATTACTTTCTTTAGAAATAGTCCAGACTCACTAATTTCCTAGTGCCCACTGATCCCTGTCCCTTAGAAGTGAAATTCAACCCCACTGCTTCACTAAAGTGCTTCCAATTTTGTCTTCTTTTAGTAGAGACTGGGGCCTAAAGTGTTTCCTCTTTAATTCTCCTGTAATGCATCTCTAGAGAAAATATCTTTGCTTATTTTAACCTCTCTATGCAATCAGACTACTTTAATCCTGCCTTCTGGAAAGTCCTCGCCTGAATTCCTTGTCAAGACACTAGCCTCATTCATCACCTTCTGGTCTGATAGCTCTTTCTCGCTCTCTCTCTCTCTCTCTCTCTCTCTCTCTCTCTCTCTCTCTCACACACACACACACACACACACAAACACACACACACCTTCCCAGCCCCTTCTCCTCCTCCTCTCCACTCCTACTATTCCTCCTCTATTTCTCTTTCTCCTACCCTACCAAATGGAAAACAGAACAAAACAGAAATCCTAAAGCTGTATCGCTGGAAATATATTTCATTTGAACAACTTCCTAGGTAGCTCTCTTTATCTGCCTCTTGATCTTTTAATCCTTATTTCATTATCTGGGGGAAACATTCAGCATTTGCAATTTTGCATTCATACCCTCACTGAGTTAGAGGCTACCTTATTGTGACTCTAACGCAGCTTAAGTTTCAGGGCCCTTCTCTTGGACATGACCCTTCAGAGTCCTTGGAAGGTTCCTCAGCCATGTGTTTCACATGTTTGTATAGTTTTCTAAAATTTGCAAAAGTATGTTACGTTGTTTCCACTTCCAGAATGGCACCGTGAAAAGCTTTATTGATCCTCATTGCGGTGAAATAAGCATAACCACTTGAAGATGGAGGAAGGAACACATTTAAAAATCTTTGGAAATTGTTCTAAGGGTAAACATCAAACTATGAATACTGATTCACTGTATTATTCACTGTAAGAATTAATAAGTAAATCAATATTGAATTCCTTATACACAGCCAGGATGCAAAATAAATCCTCTAAATCCTGTTCTATCTTCCATTAATTGACTAGTGAAAATATTTAAAAAGAATCCAAAAAGAAAGTTTTCCACTATAAATTAAATGAAATATTTGAGTTGTGAGCATAGTTGAGTGTTGATGAGGCAGGAAATTAAAGAAAAATACAATTAAAAATAAAAAGAAATAAGTTTTCCTGTATTAGGCTGACTTGTCCCAGAGGCAGCAACAGGCACAGACCAGACCCAGGAAAAGTCTTGATAATACTATCTAAGGTGCTCTGGAGACTCTCCCAGCACTCCCTCAACATAGGAAGAAGAAAAATAAATTTTCCTTTGTTTTATGGAAAAGTTTGTAGATTCCTGTTCTCTGTAACTAGTGACTTCAAGTATTCTGTTTTATCTAAGAAGTAGAGTGAAGGTCATGAGAAGCCTGAATAGGCCTGAACTACAGCTGCCTGGGCACCATAGTGAAGGTTATAATATAAACCAGTGCAAGGCTCTTTAGAGCAAAACGTAGATAACAGACATCTGGGTTGCTTGGCAATGGTCATGTGTAATCCTGAGTTTGTCCTGCCTCTATATCCCTGCTTTCATGCCACTGTAAGCTTGCTTCAAGCTAGCCCACCTGCTTTTGTGAAGTGTGTATAAAAGTCAAGTGCTGTCTTTGCATGTGAGTGTGCTGGGGCCTGAGTGTACTCAATAAAAATTCTCCTGTTTTAACCCGAGGTCTCTCTCTCGTCCTCCTGGATCCCACAACATTGATAAGTCACTGTCATGCTAACATTTTTTGTAATGAGCTACTTTGACAATACTTCCATAATTTTCTCAAATGATACAGATTTTGCCTCATCTCTCTCGCTGTCACACACAAAACTTTTGGCCATAATGGGGAATCTTATGATTCTCCCTTATAATTGCAAAACACTAGAAACTCTCATTTATTTCACCTCTTCTCTTGCAGACAAGGGAACACCCCAGACATGGTATCAGAGATCCACATGACAGGCCCAATGTGCCTCATTGAGAACACTAATGGGCGACTGATGGCGAATCCAGAAGCTCTGAAGATCCTTTCTGCCATTACGCAGCCTGTGGTGGTGGTGGCGACTGTGGGCCGCTAGCGCACAGGAAAATCCTACCTGATTAACAAGCTGGCTCAGAAGAAAAAGGGTGAGTGGCATGAGCAAAGCTCTGCCAAGTCCCTTCTGTCCATCTACACAGTCAGCCTCCATCATGAGGATGTGAAGAGAGAAAGAGATGAGGATGAATATGGAAAGCTAACTTTCCATTCACAGTCGGGCTCCTTATCTTCACGCTGCTCTAAGGGATAATTTTAAATTCATTAATTATTCCCATGATACATTAGTTTCCCTTTCAAAAGCACAAACTGTGCCTTTCCTAAAAGGAGTAAGACTGTAATAAAAATAATTAATGTACATAATAATAACTATAATAAACTACAATTTTTATGCCATAACAGCGAGTTTACAGTGATCTTTAAGGTTGAAAAAATGTTTGTCTGTATTGGATATTCTTTTTTATTGTTGTAAAAAAATAACATAAAATTTAACCTCGTAACCATTTTTAAGTGTACAGCTCTGTGGCATTAATTAAATTCACATTGTTATACAGCTGTCACCTCCATCCATATCCAGAAATCTTTCATCTTGCCTAACAGAAACTCTGTACTAACTAAACAAAAGCTCCACATAAACCCATTGCCTGCCATCATTCTACATTCTATCTCTATGAATTTTACTACTACAGAAACCTCATATAAGTGGAATTATTCAATATTTGTCCTTTTATGACTGGCTTATTTCAATTCATATGTCTTCAAGGTTCATCAGTGTGTTAGCATGTGTCAAAACTCTTCCTTTTTAAGGCTTAGTAATTGTACATGTATACTAATTTGTTTATCTCTTCATCTGTCAATGGACAATTGGATTGCTTCCACCTTTTGTCTATTATAAATAATGCTAATAGGAACATGGGTGTCTGAATATCTGTTCAAGTCCCTGCTTTCACTTCTTTTGGGAATATACCCAGAAGGGTAATTGCTGGCTCATGCAGTCATTCCATGTTAACTTTTTTTTTTTTTAAGAAATCACTATACTATTTTCCACAGTGACTGTACTGTTTTACATTCCCAACAGAAATGCACAAGGGCTCTAATTTCTCTACCTCCTCACCAACATTTTTTATTTTCAGTGTTTTTTTTGATAGTGGCCATATGAATGGATGTTAAGTAGTATCTCACTATGGTTTTGATTTTCATTTTCCTAATGACTGGTGATACTGGGCATCTTTTCATGTGCTTATTGGCCACCTGTATATCTTCTTTGGGAAAATGTCTATTCAAGTCCTTTCTTCATTTATTTTTTTTTTTTAAATTCAGAAAAATTTTCTTCCACTTGAAAATGTTAAAACTCTTCATTAAACAACTATTAGATCAAGTAGAAAATACAAATCAAAATAGGTGAACATATAAACATCAAAATAGTGATATATATATCAGAATCTATGGAATATAATGAAAATAATTATCAAAAACAATTTGTAGTCTTTAAATCATATATCAATAGAATTATAAATTAAAATACATAAATCTAATGTGAAACACAGAAAGCTAGAAAAAAGATCAAGAAAATAAAGCAAAAGGAAACATAACAGACATAAAGAGATAAGAGCAGAACTTCAGTTAGTTCTGATTGTAAGCTATGTTATAAATTAATCAACATGCTAGTTCTTTGAATAGAACATAAACAAAATATGCAAACCAACATCCAACCTAATCAAGAAAAACAGGGAGAAAACAAAGTTACACAGAATAATACACGAAACAAGAGGAAATCATACTAAAACTAAGGACATTTTTAAACTTTTGAGTTAAATCATTTTACACAGCTCTAAGCAGGTAGATATAAAAGCCTACATAAAATGGGTAATCCCATAGGGAAATTATTAACAGTGATACCAATGGAGACAGAAAGTTTAAGAAAATGAGAAAGTTATTAAATTACTACTCCCACCCAAAAGTACAAGACACAGATGACTTTATAATGGAATTTTATGAATTTTTCAAATATTAGATAATACCAATGCTACATAGACTGTTCTTAAAAAGAGATTGCCAAGCTATGGCCAGTGGGACAAATATGGCCTGCCGGTTATTATTTTATTTTATTTTATTTTATTTTTTAAATCAATGTATATTTTATTTTATTTTATTATTTATTTATTTATTTATTTTTATTATACTTTAAGTTTTAGGGTACATGTGCACATTGTGCAGGTTAGTTACATATGTATACATGTGCCATGCTGCTGCGCTGCACCCACTAACTTGTCATCTAGCATTAGGTATATCCCCCAATGCTATCCCTCCCCCCTCCCCCCACCCCACAACAGTCCCCAGAGTGTGATATTCCCCTTCCTGTGTCCATGTGATCTCATTGTTCAATTCCCACCTATGAGTGAGAATATGCGGTGTTTGGTTTTTTGTTCTTGTGATAGTTTACTGAGAATGATGATTTCCAATTTCATCCATGTCCCTACAAAGGACATGAACTCATCATTTTTTATGGCTGCATAGTATTCCATGGTGTATATGTGCCACATTTTCTTAATCCAGTCTATCATTGTTGGACATTTGGGTTGGTTCCAAGTCTTTGCTATTGTGAATAATGCCACAATAAACATACGTGTGCATGTGTCTTTATAGCAGCATGATTTATAGTCCTTTGGATATATACCCAGTAGTGGGATGGCTGGGTCAAATGGTATTTCTAGTTCTAGATTCCTGAGGAATCGCCACACTGACTTCCGCAATGGTTGAACTAGTTTACAGTCCCACCAACAGTGTAAAAGTGTTCCTATTTCTCCACATCCTCTCCAGCACCTGTTGTTTCCTGACTTTTTAATGATCGCCATTCTAACTGGTGTGAGATGATATCTCATTGTGGTTTTGATTTGCATTTCTCTGATGGCCAGTGATGATGAGCATTTTTTCAAGTGTTTTTTGGCTGCATAAAGGTCTTCTTTTGAGAAGTGTCTGTTCATGTCCTTTGCCCACTTTTTGATGGGGTTGTTTGTTTTTTTCTTGTAAATTTGTTGGAGTTCATTGTAGATTCTGGATATTAGCCCTTTTTCAGATGAATAGGTTGCAAAAATTTTCTCCCATTTTATAGGTTGCCTGTTCACTCTGATGGTAGTTTCTTTTGCTGTGCAGAAGCTCTTCAGTTCAATTAGATCCCATTTGTCAATTTTGGCTTTTGTTGCCATTGCTTTTGGTGTTTTAGACATGAAATCCTTGCCCATGCCTATGTCCTGAATGGTAATGCCTAGATTTTCTTCTAGGGTTTTTATGGTTTTAGGTCTAACTTTTAAGTCTTTAATCCACCTTGAATTAATTTTTGTATAAGGTGTAAGGAAGGGATCCAGTTTCAGCTATCTACATATGGCTAGCCAGTTTTCCCAGCACCATTTATTAAATAGGGAATCCTCTCCCCATTGCTTGTTTTTCTCAGGTTTGTCAAAGATCAGATAGTTGTAGATATGCGGCGTTATTTCTGAGGGCTCTGTTCTGTTCCATTGATCTATATCTCTGTTTTGGTACCAGTACCATGCTGTTTTGGTTACTGTAGCCTTGTAGTATAGTTTGAAGTTAGGTAGTGTGATGCCTCCAGCTTTGTTCTTTTGGCTTAGGATTGACTTGGTGATGTGGGCTCTTTTTTGGTTCCATATGAACTTTAAAGTAGTTTTTTCCAATTCTGTGAAGAAAGTCATTGGTAGCTTGATGGGGATGGCATTGAATCTGTAAATTACCTTGGGCAGTACGGCCATTTTCACGATATTGAGTCTTCCTACTCATGAGCATGGAATGTTCTTCCATTTGTTTGTATCCTCTTTTATTTCCTTGAGCAGTGGTTTGTAGTTCTCCTTGAAGAGGTCCTTCACATCCCTTGTAAGTTGTATTCCTAGGTATTTTATTCTCTTTGAAGCAATTGTGAATGGGAGTTCACTCATGATTTGGCTCTCTGTTTGTCTGTTGTTGGTGTACAAGAATGCTTGTGATTTTGGTACATTGATTTTGTATCCTGAGACTTTGCTAAAGTTGCTTATCAGCTTAAGGAGATTTTGGGCTGAGACGATGGGGTTTTCTAGATATACAATCATGTCGTCTGCAAACAGGGACAATTTGACTTCCTCTTTTCCTAATTGAATACCCTTTATTTCCTTCTCCTGCCTAATTGCCCTGGCCAGAACTTCCAACACTATGTTGAATAGGAGTGGTGAGAGAGGGCATCCCTGTCTTGTGCCAGTTTTCAAAGGGAATGCTTCCAGTTTTTGCCCATTCAGTATGATATTGGCTGTGGGTTTGTCATAGATAGCTCTTATTATTTTGAAATATGTCCCATCAATACCTAATTTATTGAGAGTTTTTAGCATGAAGGGTTGTTGAATTTTGTCAAAGGCTTTTTCTGCATCTATTGAGATAATCATGTGGTTTTTGTCTTTGGCTCTGTTTATATGCTGGATTACATTTATTGATTTGCATATATTGAACCAGCCTTGCATCCCAGGGATGAAGCCCACTTGATCATGGTGGATAAGCTTTTTGATGTGCTGCTGGATTCGGTTTGCCAGTATTTTATTGAGGATTTTTGCATCAATGTTCATCAAGGATATTGGTCTAAAATTCTCTTTTTTGGTTGTGTCTCTGCCCGGCTTTGGTATCAGAATGATGCTGGCCTCATAAAATGAGTTAGGGAGGATTCCCTCTTTTTCTATTGATTGGAATAGTTTCAGAAGGAATGGTACCATTTCCTCCTTGTACCTCTGGTAGAATTCGGCTGTGAATCCATCTGGTCCTGGACTCTTTTTGGTTGGTAAGCTATTGATTATTGCCACAATTTCAGAGCCTGTTATTGGTCTATTCAGAGATTCAACTTCTTCCTGGTTTAGTCTTGGGAGAGTGTATGTGTCCAGGAATTTATCCATTTCTTCTAGATGTTCTAGTTTATTTGCATAGAGGTGTTTGTAGTATACTCTGATGGTAGTTTGTATTTCTGTGGGATCGCTGGTGATATCCCCTTTATCATTTTTTATTGCGTCTATTTGATTCTTCTCTCTTTTTTTCTTTATTAGTCTTGCTAGCGGTCTATCAATTTTGTTGATCCTTTCAAAAAACCAGCTCCTGGATTCATTGATTTTTTGAAGGGTTTTTTGTGTCTCTATTTCCTTCAGTTCTGCTCTGATTTTAGTTATTTCTTGCCTTCTGCTAGCTTTTGAATGTGTTTGCTCTTGCTTTTCTAGTTCTTTTAATTGTGATGTTAGGGTGTCAATTTTGGATCTTTCCTGCTTTTCTTGTGGGCATTTAGTGCTATAAATTTCCCTTTACACACTGCTTTGAATGCGTCCCAGAGATTCTGGTATGTTGTGTCGTTGTTCTCGTTGGTTTCAAAGAACATCTTTATTTCTGCCTTCATTTCATTATGTACCCAGTAGTCATTCAGGTGCAGGTTGTTCAGTTTCCATGTAGTTGAGCCGTTTTGAGTGAGATTCTTAATCCTGAGTCCTAGTTTGATTGCACTGTGGTCTGAGAAATAGTTTGTTATAATCTCTGTTCTTTTACATTTGCTGAGGAGAGCTTTACTTCCAAGTATGTGGTCAATTTTGGAATAGGTGTGGTGTGGTGCTGAAAAATATGTATATTCTGTTGATTTGGGGTGGAGAGTTCTGTAGATGTCTATTAGGTCTGCTTGGTGCAGAGCTGAGTTCAATTCCTGGGTATCCTTGTTGACTTTCTGTCTCGTTGATCTGTCTAATGTTGACAGTGGGGTGTTAAAGTCTCCCATTATTAATGTGTGGGAGTCTAAGTCTCTTTGTAGGTCACTCAGGACTTGCTTTATGAATCTGGGTGCTCCTGTATTGGGTGCATATATATTTAGGATAGTTAGCTCTTCTTGTTGAATTGATCCCTTTACCATTATGTAATGGCCTTCTTTGTCTCTTTTGATCTTTTTTGTTTTGACATCTGTTTTATCAGAGACTAGGATTGCAACCCCTGCCTTTTTTTGTTTTCCATTTGCTTGGTAGATCTTCCTCCATCCTTTTATTTTGAGCCTATGTGTGTCTCTGCACGTGAGATGGGTTTCCTGGGTACAGCACACTGATGGGTCTTGACTCTTTATCCAATTTGCCAGTCTGTGTCTTTTAATTGGAGCATTTAGTCCATTTACATTTAAAGTTAATATTGTTATGTGTGAATTTGATCCTGTTGTTATGATGTTAGCTGGTTATTTTGCTCATTAGTTGATGCAATTTCTTCCTAGACTTGATGATCATGCAAAATTTTGGCATGATTTTGCAGCGGCTGGTACCGGTTGTTCCTTTCCATGTTTAGCGTTTCCTTCAGGAGCTCTTTTAGGGCAGGCCTGGTGGTGACAAAAATCTCTCAGCATTTGATTGTCTGTAAAGTATTTTATTTCTCCTTCACTTATGAAGCTTAGTTTGGCTGGATATGAAATTCTGGGTTGAAAATTCTTTTCTTTAAGAATGTTGAATATTGGCCCCCACTCTCTTCTGGCTTGTAGGGTTTCTGCCGAGAGATCTGCTGTTAGTCTGATGGGCTTCCCTTTGTGGGTAACCCGACCTTTCTCTCTGGCTGCCCTTAACATTTTTTCCTTCATTTCAACTTTGGTGAATCTGACAATTATGTGTCTTGGAGTTGCTCTTCTTGAGGAGTATCTTTGTGGCGTTCTCTGTATTTCCTGAATCTGAACGTTGGCCTGCCTTGCTAGATTGGGGAAGTTCTCCTGGATAATATCCTGCAGAGTGTTTTCCAACTTGGTTCCATTCTCCCCATCACTTTCAGGTACACCAATCAGACGTAGATTTGGTCTTTTCACATAGTCCCATATTTCTTGGAGGCTTTGCTCATTTCTTTTTATTCTTTTGTCTCTAAACTTCCCTTCTCACTTCATTTCATTCATTTCATCTTCCATTGCTGATACCCTTTCTTCCAGTTGATCGCATCGGCTCCTCAGGCTTCTGCATTCTTCACGTAGTTCTCGAGCCTTGGCTTTCAGCTCCATCAGCTCCTTTAAGCACTTCTCTGTATTGGTTATTCTAGTTATACATTCTTCTAAATTTTTTTTCAAAGTTTTCAACTTCTTTGCCTTTGGTTTGAATGTCCTCCTGTAGTTCAGTGTAATTTGATAGTCTGAAGCCTTCTTCTCTCAGCTCGTCAAAGTCATTCTCCATCCAGCTTTGTTCCGTTGCTGGTGAGGAACTGCGTTCCTTTGGAGGAGGAGAGGCGCTCTGCTTTTTAGAGTTTCCAGTTTTTCTGTTCTGTTTTTTCCCCATCTTTGTGGTTTTATCTACTTTTGGTCTTTGATGATGGTGATGTACGGATGGGTTTTTGGTGTGGATGTCCTTTCTGTTTGTTAGTCTTCCTTCTAACAGACAGGACCCTCAGCTGCAGGTCTGTTGGAATACCCTGCCGTGTGAGGTGTCAGTGTGCCCCTGCTGGGGGGTGCCTCCCAGTTAGGCTGCTCGGGGGTCAGGGGTCAGGGAACCACTTGAGGAGGCAGTCTGCCCGTTCTCAGATCTCCAGCTGCGTGCTGGGAGAACCACTGCTCTCTTCAAAGCTGTCAGACAGGGACATTTAAGTCTGCAGAGGTTGCTGCTGTCTTTTTGTTTGTCTGTGCCCTGCCCCCAGAGGTGGAGCCTACAGAGGCAGGCAGGCCTCCTTGAGCTGTGGTGGGCTCCACCCAGTTCGAGCTTCCTGGCTGCTTTGTTTACCTAAGCAAGCCTGGGCAATGGTGGGCGCCCCTCCCCCAGCCTCGCTGCCGCCTTGCAGTTTGATCTCAGACTGCTGTGCTAGCAATCAGCGAGACTCCGTGGGCGTAGGACCCTCCGAGCCAGGTGCGGGATATAATCTCGTGGTGCACCGTTTTTTTAAGCCCGTCGGAAAAGCGCAGTATTCGGGTGGGAGTGACCCGATTTTCCAGGTGCGTCCGTCACTCCTTTCTTTGACTGGGAAAGGGAACTCCCTGACCCCTTGCACTTCCCAAGTGAGGCAATGCCTCGCCCTGCTTCGGCTCGCGCACGGTGCGCGCACCCACTGACCTGTGCCCACTGTCTGGCACTCCCTAGTGAGATGAACCCGTTACCTCAGATGGAAATGCAGAAATCACCCGTCTTCTGCGTCGCTCAGGCTGGGAGCTGTAGACCCCAGCTGTTCCTATTCGGCCATCTTGGCTCCTCCTCCTTTATTCATTTATTAATCTGGTTGTTTATCTGTGTTGCTTTGTAAATTTTTTTTATATTTTCTAGATATAAATCCCTTATCATATACATGTTTAACAAATATTTTCTTACATTCTGTGTGTTGCTTTTTTTTAACTCTGTTGATAGTGTCTGTTAATACACAAAAGTTTTAAATGTTGATGAAGTCAACTAATCTATTTTTTCTTTTATTGTCTATACTTTTGGTTTCTTATTAAAAAAAATCATTGCCAAATCCAATATTATATAACTTTTACCCTTGTTTTCTTCTACAAATTTTATAGTTTTAACTCTAATGTTTGGTTCTTTGATCCATTTTGAGTTCATATTTGTAAGTTATAAGGTAAGAGCCCAACTTTTTTTAAGGAGATATCTCATTTCCTCAACATCATTTGTTAAAGAGACTCTTCTTTCTTAATTAAATGATCTTGACACCCATCCTGGAAATCACTGACCATATATGTCAGAGTATATTCATGGGCTGTCTTTTCTATTCCATTGGTTTATATGTCAGTCTTTATACCAGTACCACACATGGTTTTGTAATAAGTTTCAGAACTCAGAAACTGTAAGACTCCAACTTTGCTCTTCCTCTCTTCCTTTTTAAGATTATTTTCATAATTAGGGGATCTCTGGAAATTTCATATGAAAGTTATGGTAGATTTTTCTATTTATACAAAGTAATTGGAATGTTGGTAGAATTACCTCAAACCTGTACATCACTTTGGGTAGTAGTGACATCTTAAGAATATTAAGTCTTCCAATTCATAAACGCAGGATGTTTTTCTAATGATTTATGTCATCTACAATTTCTTTAAAGGGTGTTTGAAGTTTTCACTCGACAACTCTTGCGCCTGCTTGGTTAAGCTTATTCCTAAGTGATTTATTCTTTTGATGCTGTTAAATGGGATTGTTTTCAAAATTTCCTTTTCTTTTTGTTTAGGAAGGAAATTAGAATTCCTGTTCTAATTCTATTTTTATACACTAGCAACTGATTTCTCCATATTGGCTTTGCATCCTGCAACTTTGATGAATTCTTTTAATAGTTCTAATAGTTTTTTGTGGAATATTTAATGTTTTCCACAAATTAGATACTACCGTCGGCAGACAGAGATAATTTTACTTTTTCATTACCAATTAGGATGCCTCCTTTATGCTTTTCTTGTCTAATTACTCTGGATAGGACTTGCAGTGTTCTGTGGAATGCAATTGGCAAAAGTAGGCATCCTTTTCTTGTTCCTGATGTTATAGGAAAAGCTATGACACTTCATCATTAAATGTGAAGTGAGCTGTGGGTTTTTAATATATGGCCTTTATTATGTTGAGGTATTGTCTTTCTATTTCTACTTTGTTGATTATTTTTATCGTGAAAGCCTCCTGAATTTTTCCATGCATTGGATATTCAAATTTCCTATTTCTTTGATTGTAAGTAAGTAAGGTGAATACTGATTGTTGTTTCAGTTCTCTCTCTTAACCTTAAAATACGCTACCTTTTCCTTCAGTTGCTAGAACTGCCTGTTACTAAATCCCCATCTCTGGTCTCCTCTCTCCCTTGCAGGCTTCTCTCTGGGCTCCACAGTGCAGTCTCACACTAAAGGAATCTGGATGTGGTGTATGCCCCATCCCAAGAAGCCAGGCCACATCCTAGTTCTGCTGGACACCGAGGGTCTGGGAGATGTAGAGAAGGTGAGACTCAAGGATCCAATTGTGGAGTGAGCCCCTCTTCTCTGAATATTTTATGCACTGTTTAATTGTTTATTAACCATTAACTACAGGCTGTAATATGTGTGGGTTAACACAGATGCATAAAGGGAGCACAAATAATCCCAGTGTCATGAGTCTTATCCTGCACAGAACTTTAGTTAAGAATTTGGGTGCTAAAGCCCCGTGACTTTGTATTTAAATTTAAATTCTGTCACTAATTCAGTAGCCTGAGAAAATTGACCTATTTTAGCCTCAGCATTCTAAGCTTTAAAATGTATGGAAAAGACCTATGTTGGCCACATAGTATAATTTTGAATATTTAATAAGAAAATACGTGTCAGGTGTATATTAATTATTCGATAAAACAGCAACTAATAGTACCAATCTTATATGTGAATTCTGTTATTGAAAAAAGAAGAGAAAATTTTAAATTTACATTGTACTCAGGCCTTAAAATGCCCACCAACCTTGAATTTTAATTTTACAATTATCTGTTGATGATCATTAGAAGACCTAGTAAGGATCATTGTAACCCAAAACATTCATCGAAAAACTACCCAAAAGCCACATCCTACTGAGAATACTTTTTGTATTTGGCTTCTTTGATAGGTCATTAGTGCTAAAGAACAAACAAACAAAAAACCAAAAACCCTCTAACATATGAACATAGTTTTACTACTCTTACTCTGGAAAGTGCTGTGACTACGAAACGTGCTCCTGACTCCAGTGTGTCTTGACTTCCAGGGTGACAACCAGAATGACTCCTGGATCTTCGCCCTGGCCGTCCTCCTGAACAGCACTTCCATGTACAATAGCATAGGAACCATTAACCAGCAGGCCATGGACCAACTGCAGTATCCTTTGTGACCCAGAACAGCACCAAGGTCAGAGGGCACCTGTGTTCATAAACCAGCTGCCTGACTGTGAATCCTGATGAATCAAGCTCAAAAGGAGAAAACATAAAATACATAAAGTACAGAGGAGTGATCCCATATATCCACTTTAGACTTGACACTTAGGTTAAGAACAAAGGAAAATGGAAGGTTTGGGAATGTGTTGAACTAATATGGGATGAGGTCCATGTTCATTTTGTCACATTTCTTTAGTTAGCTACTCAGCTATGTGACAGAGCTGACACATCGAGTCCAACCAAAATCTTCACCTGATGAGAATGAGAATGAGGATTCAGCTGACTTTGAGAGCTTCTTCCCAGACTTTGTGTTGACACTGAGAGATTTCTAGCATTACAGAAAGCGCTTTTGGACAAAACTGTGATAAAATAAACTAAATGGAGGACTTTTTTTTATTGGAATAGTTTCATTTGTTTCATACATATTGATCAAATGCTTACTATGAATAGACTGAAGATACAGATATAAATGAAATAGATATGGTTCCTGTCCTAATGTTGCTTGGGGTTAAAATGGATGCAAACATTCAATTAACACAGGTCTATGTAATCTAGTACAAGAACTCTCAAATGTTGGTATGCATACGTATCTTCTGAGGATCTTACCAAAGACAAAAGTCTAATTCAATAGATCTTGGACAGGGTCTAAGAGTCTGTATTTCTGAAAAAAAAAAAAAAAAAAAAAAAAAAAAAGAATTACAGGGAATAGAGACTTTCTTTACTACAAGAAACATTAGCATTTGTTCTCCATAGGCAGGTCTAGAGAGCCTGGTGCTGACCTATGTCAATGCCATCAGCAGTGGGGATCTACCCTGCATGGAGAACGCAGTCCTGGCCTTGGCCCAGATAGAGAACTCAGCCGCAGTGCAAAAGGCTATTGCCCACTATGAAAAGCAGATGGGCCAGAAGGTGCAGCTGCCCACAGAAACCCTCCAGGAGCTGCTGGACCTGCACAGGGACAGTGAGAGCAAGGCCACTGAAGTTTTCATCAGGAGTTCCTTCAAAGATGTGGACCATCTATTTCAAAAGGAGTTAGCGGTAATTTTTGTCTCAAATTTATATGGTTTAGGGTCATGGAAGACAAAGTACTACAAAGAAAGAAAACGAGTATTATTTTGATAGAAGTAATTCTTCCTAGCTTTCATAATGGTGACAACAACAGATTTGTAATCACATCAATCAAGAGGACCAACTGTATTATTACAGACTCAAAGTTTTAAAACATTTTTTCCTGAATAATTTTCCCTTTACCTAAATGCATACAACTGATAACCAGAGCTTCTAATAAAATTACCTGCCCACTCTTCTCAGACTGATTTGATATTCTAGCCAAACACAAAGAAAACTTTCATCCTGCTTATCTTGAGCATGCTTCTGTTCAGCCACATTTATTCCATATGAAATCATTAGTCCAATATGCAAAACCAGAGTTTTCCTCTAACGGTTGACATAAAGCTATCAATCTCGGTCCTGAACCTCACCTCCAAAAAGAAAGCGACTTCAGTAGAAAGTGGGGTCAGAAGGAAGAGTGTGGTCCTGGTGAGGAGTCTGTCAATTTCTCCAGCATCATTGACTTTTATTTTCAGAAGTCATTCCCGAAATTCTGAGGTCAAGCTAACATCCTTTCCCTGTTACTCTTTTTACTTCCTATTTTTACATTAAAGGCCCAGCTAGACAAAAAGCGGGATGACTTTTGTAAACAGAATCAGGAAGCATCATCAGATCGTTGCTCAGCTTTACTTCAGGTCATTTTCAGTCCTCTAGAAGAAGAAGTGAAGGCGGGAATTTATTCGAAACCAGGGGGCTATCGTCTCTTTATTCAGAAGTTACAAGACCTGGAGAAAAAGTACTATGAGGAACCGAGGAAGGGGATACAGGTAACCAAAATTCATCTGTCGATTATGGAAACCTGCTGACCTGCCTCCTACAAACACCAAGGTGACCAAGCTTCACTGCACACAGATGTGCTTTTTTGTTTGCATAACATTCATGCTTTCATTCAATAACATATGCAAAGAGGCTGTTATTCCAGATATGCCCTAGGTGCTCATCAAGGAGAGTGCAATTAACTACTGAGTTACAAATTCAACTAGCAGATGAAGCACCAAGTTGTCATTATCATCATTACAGCTGGGCTTTTCCTGTTGCAAGAGACAGGAACCTAATGATGGCTGCTTAAACAAAAATAGTAATTCATTGATTTAGGCTGCAAACTGGCTTTACAGGACAGGTGGGTCTAAGGTTTCAAGTAACATCATGAACTGTCTCTCTGTCCAGTGTTCCCCCATCCCCACAGTTTTCTCCCTCCCACCCTCCCTCTATCTGAGTCACTCTGATATTTGCTTTCTCAATGATGGCTTCATTCCCCAGCAGGCTCAGCCCATATGGGACCACAGCATTAACAGTTCCAAACTTAGAGCCCTTAATCTAAACAGGACAGAGACTCTCCTTTTCCCAGTATCTATATTAGCCTACTAAAAATGACTGCTAAGTAGGATGCTCTGATCAGCTTGCCAGGAGCATGTGCCTCTCGCTCTGACAGGGAATTTCACCACCAAGGACAACAGGGCAAAGGAAAGAATTCCCAGAGGAAAGGATGGCAGGAAGACAAACAGGAACACCTGCTTACAGCCGTCTCCTACTTCTCACTTTGTGTTCTCTGGGTCCTAAGGCTGAAGAGATTCTGCAGACATACTTGAAATCCAAGGAGTCTATGACTGATGCAATTCTCCAGACAGACCAGACTCTCACAGAAAAAGAAAAGGAGATTGAAGGTGAGGAGTGAGTTAAGAGATTAGATGGCCTCAAAAGCTCCAAAAATTGAAATAACTTGACTGGATAAACATGGGACCCTTTAACTAGAGCAAGATCCACAAAGGTGTGTCTTACTTGCCGAGGTCATCTCTGAGTAGGGCATATGCAGTCAGCAACAACGACAGGTAAGTGTATAAGGAACAATGAGGCAACAAGATAACCCCACACAAATTTTCCTTCTTTCTTTTCCTCCACAGTGGAACGTGTGAAAGCTGAGTCTGCACAGGCTTCAGCAAAAATGTTGCAGCAAATGCAAAGAAAGAATGAGCAGATGATGGAACAGAAGGAGAGGAGTTATCAGGAACACTTGAAACAACTGACTGAGAAGATGGAGAGCGACAGGGTCCAGTTGCTGGAAGAGCAAGAGAGGACCCTCGCTCTTAAACTTCAGGTGTCTAATTGCATCACCTTGAGGTTTCTGTTTTTCTGTTTTCTCTCCATTCTCCCCGATCACAGGCTTACTGTGGCAGAGAGAACATGAAGCCCAGGGGAAGAACCCTGCTTGCTTACTTGTACTTTTCAATTCCTGTCTGTCCAGCCTGAACTGGCTACTGCCAAGTCTGGTCACTAAACTGCAAATATTGCAGTTGTGTCACATTCAGTGCTTTATCTATATATCCTTCATTTCAAGGCAGGTATTATCTGCTAGCCATCATTAAAGTATCTGTATCTCTTGCTTAATACCATGTGAAGCAAGAACTATATTCTTATTACTTAGGAGAAGAAACAAAGTTTCCAAAAATAATAAATAAATAGAGTCACACAGCTAGTAAATGTATCAAAGCTGTCTTCATCACTTAGTGGAATCCACAATGATTATTTTTTTCTGTGACACCTAGTATGAAATTAAACTTAAGAAAACCTTTGTGAGCAGAAAGTCTCCTAACCCTCACACCTGTGTGATACTCTGCTAATTCTGACAATTTTTTATGTCCTGCTCCCAGTTTGTTTTGAGTTGTGAGCTATATGCAGAAACTCAGTATGGTCAGTCTGGCACTCAGATTTCTTACCTATCTTCTGCTACCCCTGACACCAAGGTGTGGCAGCTTAGATCAAATTTCCTAATCCATGATTCATACACCTTATGAGATTTTGAGGATACTTTGTTTATTTCTGTGTTATGTTATATACATACTAGTGTAAGGAACATGGCTGTGCTTTGGTCAAGGATAGGCCAAAGTACGATGTTTACATCTTGCATGACTCAGCGAGTCTAGAGCACAGGTGTATAACTCCACTTGTCATCACAGCCATGCAGACATAACATAGAGAAGCTCACCACCATAGCCATAACATAGGGAAGGCCATCACTTGGCTCTAAGCCACTATTGTCTATAAAAGGTATAATTCCCTGTTGACACTGTGCAGGTGCTGGCGCCCAAAGAGAAAGCCAAAGCTGTCCGTCTTTGCAGACAGAGAGGAACCAGGACACAGCTCAGGCCACTCATGCCTAGAGAGAGAGAAAGAGTTAAGCTGCTGACCCTGAAGGCAGGGAAGAGCCGGCTGCACAGCTGTGTGGGGGGCTGCCAGGCTAAGCAGCCAAGACAAGGCAGACAGTGTAGACAGCTAGTGTGAGAAAGCTGTTAAGAGCTGGTGCTGAATAAAATCATATTCACCTGCCCACGGCCCGCTGAGTATTCTTTCGGCTCATCCGCCCATTCCCTCCCGACCTCAGCATGACCTGTGGCATAGTCGTGAGCCTGACAAATAGTAAACATGTAGGTAGGTATATAAAAGAATGTATAATGCATAGATAAGAGTTGAAGCCAAACATATGATCAAGATTGCCCACCAAGGCTGTATACAATTAATGGGGGGAAAATCAAGCCTGGTAATTTAGGTTCATCAAACATAGCAAAATGTATGGCTGAAACTCTCTCTTAGCTAAAGGATTCGCAGGAGAAGAAATCACTGAGCCTGGATGCCCAAGCAAAAGTATAATGAAAATTAAGGCTAGAGAAAAGTTTAAGAGAAAATTAAATAACAAATCATTGAATGTGGAAACCAGATAGAATATTTCAATTTTCCCGATGCCACACTTTATTCAGCCTCCGTTTGTCCCTCTTTAGGAACAAGAGCGACTACTAAAAGAGAGATTTGAAAACGTAAGCAGAAGAATCCAAAATGAGATACAGAATCTCCAGAGGACAATGATACAACCAAGGACATGTACCATAAACTAAAGACCAGAGCCTTCCTGTCACCCCTACCCAAGGCATAATTGAAACAATTTTAGAATTTGGAACAAGCGACACTACATTTGATAATAATTAGATCTTGCATCATAACACCAAAATTTATAAAGGCATGCAGTACAATGATCAAAATCATGTTTTTTCCAAAAAAAAAAAGACTGTAAATTGTGCAAAAAAGATGCATTTACCTCTGTACCAACTCAGGAAGGTTCATGAGCTGGTACCACCCAGGAGTTTATTCTTCCAGATGACCAGCAGTAGACAAATGGGTACTGAGCAGAGTCTTAGGTAAAAGTCTTGGGAAATATTTGGGCATTGGTCTGGCCAAGTCTACAATGTCCCAATATCAAGGACAACCACCCTGGCTTCTTAGTGAAGACAATGTACAGTTATCCATTAGATCAGGGCTACACAGTCTATGAGCAATAATGTGATTTGTGGACATTGCCCATGTATTGTCCTCACTGATGATTTCAAGCTAAAGCAAACCACCTTATACAGAGATCTAGAATCCCTTTATGTTCTCCAGAGGTAGGTGGAAGAAACCATGAGCAGGAGCAGGAATTGAGTGATAAACAAATGGGCTAAAGAAGAAAACTTTTCTTCTTGTTCAGTTCATCCAGATTATAACTTTAATGGGACACTTTAGACCATTAGACAGTTGACACTGGATTAAACAAAGTCACATAATGCCAATTACACACTGTATTTATGGCAATGTATAATTTGCAAAGATTGACTTTAAAAGATGCTGTGTAACAGAATTGAATTAATTCAATTACTTATTATTTAGAATGCTAAAGCTTATGCTAGTCTTTTCTAATTCTTAACACTCATACTTGAAATCTTGCTGAGTTTCCCCAGAAGAGAATATCGGATGTTTTTTGACATTTTTGACCCATTTAATAATGTTCTTGTGTTTACTTAGTATACATAGACTTTATCTCATGTGTCAAAAGTCCTAGGAAAGTGGTTGATGTTTCTTATAGCAATTAAAAATTATTTCTGAACTGTAAATACAATGTATTTCACTAGGCTTCTTATTTCTGATTAAGTTTTCTTTTTGCAGTTATTTTTGTCAGAAAAGAAGGTTTTAGTCTTTATAGCAATGGTTGGCAATCTTTTCTGAAAATACCAGATAGTAACTATTTATGACTTCGCAGGTCATACAGTCTGTCTCAAGTACTCAGCTCTGCATGTAGTGCAAATGCAGCCATAGAAAATACATAAACCAATAGGTGTGGCTATGTTCCAATCAATTTTTATTTTCAATAACAGGGTGGCACCCATAAGCCATAGTTTGCAGAACTCTGATTTACAGACACATTGGTCAAAGTTTTATATACCGGCCTTGTGTAACTCACACGTACAAAAATCATATGGATTAGATTATATATATTAGAATCTTGAAAAAACTATGTGGTTATTCAAAATAACACAGTGAGAAAAAAGGAGGGAAGCAGTTAATGCCATTAAATCCACATTAATAATTCTGTCTTTTCTAATTGCTTTGAGGCCTTTTATTACCTTGAGCTACCTCTGATCCAATCACATGGCAAATGCCTCCTTTCATAATAGAGCATGGTGCTGTTTCCTCACTTGAACTGAAACTTCATAGAAGACCAGGTGAGACCACAGAATACTAGATGAAATGTTCATGTAGGTAAGCTTTATATTTTCTTCCAAGCTCCATTGCTACAAAGGTGTAAATAAAATACATTTTTATGAGTTGAAGTAACTTCATGGTAGAAAATAATAACTCTGCCTTCAAAAGCAAATAATGGTTTCTTTGTTAACCAATAAAGCATAAGAAAATGAAAAATCAGCAAAACTGAGTTACTTCCTCCCCAGTTTGGTAGCATTAATATTTAGACCACATTCCAAAGCATCTGACTTGGTTTAGTACTTTTCTCTAGCATATGCCAGAATAGAATCAAGCTCTCTCCAGGGAGGCATGTTGCTTTCCTGCCCTTAGACCCTCCAATGGTGTGCAAGTGTGCAGGCTATGGTGAGTGGGGCCAGGAAATCACCAGGCCCCTGGATGGCATGCTTGGGTCCCAGTGGCAGGTGACCTGGGCCTGCTGTCAGACTTCCTGATGTTGCATGCACATGCCCACAGCTACAGTTGAGGCAGCATGATCCCCAGGCCCTGGGCAGCATGTTTGCATGGTGGGTGGTGTGAGAGCCTGTCCTCAGGACACAGAACAGTGTCTGGGTAGACCAGCTCCAGGACCATTGGAGGCACATGCAGATGCTTGGTGGCCCTGCTTCCGGTGGAAGGTTGAGAGGGTTGCTGTTGGTGGCAGTGGCCCCAGGCAAGTGGCTTTCAGAAACTGAGGAGTGTGCATTTAGGCTCCCTTTGTCCTGGGGGCAGCCTCCCTGGTGTGGTGCACTGCTGTTCCTTACTGCACCACTGGATTCAGCCCACGGGACAAAGTTGCAGCCCTCTGGGTGGAAATGAAGAGATGTCCGCAGGGTTCCAGGGACGTGGAGATGATGGGGCTGTTCGCCCCAGAGCAAGATACAGTCTGATGGGGGCTGGGCTTTCAAAATAGTGCTGCACGGCAGCTCCTTGAGTCTTGGGAGTGTCAGTTACCTAAACCAATGCAGGCCGTTTGCCTGATTGCAATGGAAAGCCAAACAAGGAAGCACAAGGATTTTTTAGAGGGAAAGGTTTATTTTTAGTCGACTAGGAAGTAGATGGGAGAAATGTTCAAATTTGTCTCTCAGATCTGGGGGTTGGGGCAGGTTTTATAGACAGCGGATAATGAGGTAAGATCTGACTGCATCGTGCCATGAGGTGATGTCAGGGCTGGATGTGATCAGATCACAGATTAAGCCCTGAGGTGTCTCCTTCTTAAATCAGCCCTGCTCCTTGGTCCAAGTACTTAGGTTCCACCGTGGTTGCATGCCAAGTGTATCTAGGCATACTCAGGTAACATAACCTGAAACCAGGTGTCCATGGCAACTGTAAAACAACGCATTATTTTATTACACAAACTTGAACCACACTGGGCTGGTTCTGCAGTTTCAAGTCCCCTTTTTTTGGTTTTTCATTTCTCAATCTTGTGGGAGAATGGGCGACAAGCACTCTAGCACTTCCGGCTGATTGGGGCACAGACCTTGGTTAGAGGAATAAAATTGTTTAGCACGGTGTTGTACGACTTCCCTGATATCAAGGTAATGTTTCAGAAGGAGTTGTTTGATTCAATTTTAGGAAAATGCATAAAGTGTTAGCAACTTAAACATTTTCTTCCAGAGAACAGAAAGAATGCTCAGGTTTTATAGCCAAAGTTCCCACACAGGTTCCCAATCAGGTCCGTTCATTCAATTGAGAATTAAAACTCGAAACTCACTTAGTTCTGATTGGTCAACCCAACTGAGTGCTAATGGGTCAATACAGCTGAGCCCTGATTGACAGAGGCAGGTGAGCTGAAGAGCCCCAAAATAATAAGGTATGTGTTTTGGGTGAACTCAGAACATGTGTGTGTCCCCTCGTTAGCAAATGGCCCCTTGGCTCAACTTGAAATGCAGGCCCAGTTAGCCACTCAGGATGCATCTTGAAAGACTGGCTCAAACTTGTTGGCAGACAGCACTGCATTCCATCACGGCATGGAAGTGATTAGCTACGTGCTTCAGGTTTATCTGGTCTCTTCTAGGGATCCTGGTGGCAGAGCAGTGGCCAATTGAGCAACTAGAGCCATTTACTTACAAAAGGCACTCAGGTACCTGTTAGATTCTAATCAAAGTCTCGTAGGTTATGTTGATTCTGGTTCCTGTCTGGAGTAAATTTAAAGTCTCATGGGTTAGGTCAGCATGATCCAAGTCTCTTGAAGATATCTGTTAAAACAGGCTAGAAGAGCTGGGCGCAGTGGCTCACACCTGTAATCCCAGCACACTGGGAGGCCGAAGTGGGCAGATCACCTGAGGTCGGGAGTTTGAGACCAGCCTGACCAACGTGGGGAAACCCCATCTCTACTGAAAAATACAAAATTAGCCGGGTGTGGTGGCACATGCCTGTAATCCCAGCTACTCTGGAGGCTGAGGCAGGAGAATCGCTTGAACCCGGGAGGCAGAGGTTGCAGTGAGCCAAGATCCCACCATTGCACCGCAGCCTGGGCAACAAGAGCAAAACTCCATCTCAAAAAAAACAAACAAACAAACAAAACAAAACAAAACAAAAAAAAACGAACAACAAAAAACCAGGCTAGAACAATTTCAGGAGTACCCAAATGATTAGCCCAAATAGAAGGATCATTTCAGATCTGTAGGATAGAACACAGAAGGTATCCTAGACTAGAGACAAAAGCCAACTTAAAATATCTGGAAATTGTACATTAAACCAGGAAGTCTAGCCAGGAGGCTTTTTGAAGGGTTCCCTTTCAGAGATTTGGCTAACTTTAGGATCTTAGATGTTTCCAATTCAATCTAATTGGATGTATTTACCCAGGTGCAGCAGCAAATGTTAGCAACAGCACAAACATCACCCTGTACAGCAAGGAGATAGTCGAAAACAATGTAGTTGTCTAGGACCACATGAGCAAGGGAGTTTGGGACTTCTGCTGTGCTCTGATGGTTTGGCCAGTAGAGCAGGTCATTCTATTAACAGTACAAGAAAGATTTCTGACCATATATTCATTCCAAGCAAGGCATAGTCCAAACCTGGACCCCAGTAACCTTCCTGATCTAGCTGCTTTGCTAGAGTTAATCCTTCTGGGTAAATCACATCTTTGGTAATATCCCCAGCTAAAATCTAAAGATTATCATTGGTGTTCAGTTGTGTCTCCAAGACTCTCAGGTAGCTCTTTGGGTAGCAGTGGTGAGACTAGCTGAATAGATTAAAAATTGGGTTATTCATTTCTGTAGCCAAATCTCCTGGTGAGAATAACCTAAATATTATTTTTGCCTTTTGGTAGAAGGAAATATGGGCCTGATAGGTTTCTAAGAAGTCTTCAGGCTCATGTGCTTGGTCACTGTTTCTTTATCCCACCAAATATTCCCTTATCAGACCTTGAAACCCCATCTCTCCCACATCCTGTTTGTCCTATATTCTTAAAACTCCCACATGAAACACCTTCTTTCTGTAAGGATTGATGGTGGTGTTGTTTCCATGACCAAATCCAGACTGATTCACCAACATTTTGTATAAGAATAAAATTCTAATAGAGAATGATTCCAACATTCCCAAAAGCGTTCACTGTTCTGTGCCCCTACACTTTTCCCACAGTATGAGTACTGGGTAAAAACAGATGAGTGTTTTGACTAGAAGATGGTGTCTATAAAGCCATGGTCTGACAACATTGATTTAGACTATGTTTATTCTATACAGATACACAATGCTATGTAACTTCTTTGTATACTCTCTCATCCTGAACACACATTTTATAAATATGTATGAAATTTCAAAACAGGCCTGGCATGGTGCCTCATGCCTATAATTCAGCACTTTAGGAGACCAAGGCAGGTGGATCGCTTGAATCTAGGAGTTTGAGACCAGCCTGGGAAACATGGCAAGACCCCATCTTTACCAAAAAAAAAAAAAAATAGTCAGATGTTGTAGTGCATGCCTGTGGTCCCAGCTATTTGAAAGGCTTAGGCAGGAGGATCACTTGAGCTGGGGAGACAGAGGGTGCAAAGAGCTCAGATGGCACCACTGCACGCCAGCCTGGGTGACAGACCCAGACTCTGTCTCAAAAAAAAAAAAAAAAATCAAAACAGAAATTAGGAAAAATATTTGTTAAACTCAACTCTTTATTATGTTAAAAAGAATTTTGATAATTTCAACAAATGGTTTATTTGGAATTTCCTATAACACTAACTGTACACGGATATGTTACAATGCATTGCATTATTTTGTACTGATTGCTAATAGCAACTGGATGAGCAAAATCATAATTAAATTGCAAGAAAATTAATATTCAATACATAATTGATTAGATGAAACAGGAAAATCTTACAAAACAATGTATAATAATGCAGCTGCAAAGGAATCACTATTTTCTCACACTATTAATTTTTTTATTATATGCTCCAACAAGAACATTGTTTACTATGTTATACTTGGTTCACAGTGCAGTCTTCTCTTGATAATCATATCATGTTCTATTAAATGGAATTCTCTTGACTGGGGTTTCTACATTTTTTAAAATGTGAATTAATATTAGGAAGGATGTGAATCTGAGTAGTCATAGAAAGGGTTAGCATTGTGGACAACATTATTTTAATTCCAAGAGCTCTCTGTTTCTTGCTACTTCCATGATATTTGGCAATAATTAGGGGCAATTGTTTCCAAATGGTTCTTAAGTCCCCTACACTTCACCCAATGGTGGGAACAGTGACAAAACAAGAAACGGGTAAAGTCAGTGGAACTCCTGCTTCAATCAGAGCAATCCCACTTCTTATTTGTTTCCTATACTAGCATTTCATGCACGGTTTTATTTGCAAAAAATGTTCCGGTGCTACCGTAATTTTGAAAAACACTGATAAAGGGCATGGGTGCTAATTAGCTATTAACAATAAAGATTTAATTAACAAAACATGCGATCTTTGACTCAGAAAATAGTGGATATTCTAAAGATTTCCTATCTTTTTTTTACCTTCTATTATGCAGATATGTGGGTATATCTCATATTACATAATTTCTGGATCCTTGCTGGATTTCACATTGAGCCTTATTAGAAAATTAGTAATACATTTGTTCTGACCAAAAAATGGCTCAAAAATATAATGGAAATAAGCTTTACTCTATTTTAAAAGAAAGCTAGTATTTTCATTAAAATATGCAAATGCACTATGACTTTTAATACAATTAAAATACATAGCAATGAACTGACAGAATACACTGGATTAGAAAATGAGGGCAAACTCTGTGCCCATTAATTTGTCAGGACTGAAAACTCAAGCGGAGTAAACATATATGGAAAGCAGGCAAGATGACAGCGTCAACTGGCAGAACCAGGCCTCCAGTGTCTTGTGTCAGTTTCTGCTTCTTCCTGTCAACACGAAACTGCAGCACCATGGCTTCTCTAGAATTCCCAGAAAACACGTTAGTCCAGAGCTGGATTTAAACACAGAATAAAGAGAATTCCAATGAAAAAGCTAAGATCAAAAGAAGTTCATAATGAACTGCCTTCTGTATTTATACCCATTTTGTTTATTTGGTGGGTTTTATGGAGGGAAAGCAGGAAGACTGCTGAAAATAACCGAAACCCCAATTAAAACCAGGGTAAGCAATTAGAAAAAAAAATGTTACATTAGGGGAAGTCTAGGCATTGATTCAGCAGCCTAGTGATGTTAACAAGGACACCGCTCTTTTTATTTTTCTGCTCTGCTGCCCTTTCTTTTCCCTTCTTTCTGAGACAGGCCCACCCTGTGGGTATGCCTAATGGCAAGCACAACTGGGGCAATGGGCTTTACTTAATCACACAGAGAAGGAAAGAAAACATCTCTCCCAACTGTAGACTATAAAGTACTCATTCTGTCTAATGGGGCAAACCTGAAACACATACACCAATAAAACACGTTAGGCAAATTCCGTGTGCTGATTCTCATTTATACTAACCCAGATTCAGCTCCACAGTTTTGGATGAGAAGGATACATGAAAAAAAGGAGTTTCTCTGAAAAAGGCTAAAGGAGACATTTGATGCTAAAGAGAAAACAGATCAGATTCTCTACATGCCATCAGAAAATATGGGGAAAAATATTAATGATAACAACACAAAAGATCACACATTCACACCTTATTACAAATTTTGTGCCATGGAAACCTTTTTAGAAAGAATGTATATTTAAATATCATGTTTAGGAAATGTGCTGATATTTAATACTTAATTGAAACTTATTAAATATTCAGTGTTCAAAATAAGGTAAGACTTCGGTGTACATTATCTCAATCAGCCTCACAAAACAATATGAATTGGATATTGATGTGCTCATTGAGAAGATGATGAAATAAGGTATAGAAAGCTCACAAACTGAGGAGTGGCAGAGATGCTAGCACCTCCCTCTAGGGGCGACACCCTGCTTTTCCTCTATATTCCTAATGTGACAGAGCTCGAAGTGATGTAGATTATATACCCTTCTTCCTTCTTATCTTTGCTTCCAAATCATTTGTCCTCTTTCTTTAGCTTCTAAATCTCCTGGAAACCCACAAAACAACAAAACACATAAAGTGAAACACATGTCATCAGGCTATATTACTCACGACTCCCTTGCTCTAGGTATTCTGGATCTCCCAACCCCTTTATTCACTGAATATTTTAGCACCTGCCTCTTCCTCTCTTTACCACTACTCTTGTTGTTAATCTTCGGGGCTTTTTGCATGTGGTAGACAAGGATCTAATACCCCAGCGTCTCAGCTACTTGACCTCCGAGGAAGTCTTCACTATCATCTCACCTCAGCCTCAACCTTTTCTTTACAGTAACTAAACCTCCTCCATAATCTCACTGTCAAGCATCCCACACAATCAGCCCCTCTCATGACCTACCTGCTCCATGTCGATATGTCAAATTGTCGATTCTCCATTCTCATCTTATGTTATGTCTCAGCAATACTACAAAGATAAGCATCCCTTCCTTCTTCAGGCATTTCATATTTCGGGCTGCTTATCTAGCACACAGTCTTTGTTTTTCTCTATCTCATTGGCCATTCTTTTTCAATTTCCTTTTCTGAATTCTTCCTACTTCTTAATTTCTAAATATTATAGCTCTTCAGTTTTTGAGCCCTTTTTTTCCTTAATCCACTGCCTTGGCTTCAGCAAATCTCTATTCAACGTGTCCAAATTTACGGCTCTAACTTCACTGCCTGTTTAGCATTCCCACACTGATGTCCAATAAAAATCTCAAGTTTTACATATCCAAAGCAAAACTCTGATTTCTCCTGTGATCCTAAACCTCATCCTCCCACAGTCTCCCCTATCTTGGTAAATATAATTGCTTTAACCCATCCTTGGTCCCTATTTTCCTCTCTGTCCTCAAATTCAATCCAACAGCAAATCCTGTTAGCTCTAAATTGGAAATGCACCTAGAGGTGAATAAAACCTCACCCTTTCTAGTCTAAGTCCATATTGTCATTCACCTGGGATTCCATACTAGATTCCTAATTTGCTAACTGTGTTCACTTTTGTCCTTCTAGATCTACTCCAGTCTTAGTGACTTTTACTTTTTAAAAATAAAATGAAAAACAACATACATAAGGAAAAATAACCAAATTATAATCTTACAGTAGATGATTTTTGAGAAGTATGTCTGTTCTCGCACCATCGTGTAAGGAACTAAACCAAGGAACTAAATTTTGCCAAATACCTTCAGAATCTTAGTCATAGCATCATCCAAATTTCCATCTTGCTAGCCCATGTGCTCTATCACTTGCTTACTCTCTGTGTGTGTCTCTCTCTCATTAGCTCACATACTCTCTCACTCTCTCTTTCTACTCCCCTTTCTTTTTTTCTCTCCCTCTCTTTCATGGCTTGCTCATACTAATGAAGGAAGTTATCATGGCAGAAAGCTCACACGGCTAGCAATTGAGGATGACCTTTAGTAGACAGCCATAAAGGAACTGAGGACCTTAATCTAACAACTTAATGATAAAATGAATCCTGCCAATGACCATGAGACTGAGTTTGGGGAGTGGATTCTTCCCCAGAAAAGCCTTGAGATGTCTAAAGCCCAGGAGGCACTTTGATTGCAGCCTGTGAGAAACCACCAAGACACAGCTAAACCTTACCTAAAAGATTCTTGTGAACTTTAGAAAATATGAGACAATCAGTGCTGTTTCAAGTCACTACATTTGGGAGCATATTTCTTATACAATAGCAGATACTAACACAGAAATGTTACCTGACTTGGAACATCACAGATTGTTATTGTCTGCTTTTTGTCTTTAAATAAGCTGAAATATATACCATGTTTTGTTTTTTGTTTGACTTCTTAACTCAATATTATGTGTTGAAATTCATGCAAACTTTTGCGTTCTGTAATAATACGTCACTACAGATAACTAGGAGTGGAATTATAAAATATATAGTATGCATTTTTCACTTTATAGTAGATAATATCAAATAGATTTTTAATATAATTGTCACAATTTATACTCTCACCAGCAATATGTAAGAATTCCCAATGCTGCACACTCTCATCATCACCTGGATATGTCAGCCTTTTGAATTGTAGTCATCTTAGTGGGTACATGTAGATTTTATTCACAGTCTAATTTGCTTTTCCTTGAGAATGAGAGATAATTAGGGAAGTTGAGCCCCTGTTCATGTCCACTGTTTATTAGGGTATCTTCTTTGGGATGAGACTGTTTAAGACTTTTCTTCTATTTCTAGTGAATTGTCCTTTTTTTTTTTATTTGAAGACATTTTTACATATTCCATTCATGTGTATATACATATTTAATTTTTTTAATCTTTAGTCTTTTTTTAATCTTTGCCTTTCAGTCTCTTCATTGTATCTTTGGATAAATAGCAGTTCTCAATTTTAACATAGTTAAATGTATTGATTTTTTATTTACACTTAATAGTTTTGTATCACATTTCCCAACTGGGAAAACATGAAAATAATGTCTTTGATTTTTTTCTAAAAGTTTGATTGTTTTGTCTTCCACAACTATATCTATAATCCATCTGGAATTGATCGGTTTTTAATGTCAGGAGGGTAGGAACCAAGTTTAATTACTTTTTAACATGTGTATAGTAAAGCCCTAATGATGGCAGCCATGGCCCATCTAGAGTGGCTGCTGCCATGACACTGGCTGCACCGGGGAGGTGTGGCCGGGGCTGCATGCTCCACAGAGCCGATGGGAGCCAGAAACAGGTGGAAGGCCTGCCCGCTTCTGAGTTGGCTGGGCAGGAGCCTCAGGCTCCGTGGGCACAGCTGCACGTGCCCAGCAATGGCTCTAAGCCTGGACATCCCTGTGCTCTTGGGAACCAGGAGCAGGCATGAGCTCCAGGCACAGCTGCAGCCACCCAAGAATCTCTGCACTCCTGGGGGCCCAGCAAGTCCCCCTTGCCCCTGCAGGCTTGGAAATGCCTGTTCCTGCTGTCTGGCCTCTCCCTGCTCCTGTGCCTGATCTGATCTGGAGCAAAATTGAGGCAAAGTTCCCTCCCTCTGGAACTAAGATCTCTAGGAAGGCAGAACATAATGTTGTGGGAACAGGAAGCAAAAATTTTGCTAGTGGATCACTAGAGGTGATGGTGAGCGGTGCCACTTCCATTTCCACGACTTGATTCCTGGACCCATGAATCATGGCTATGGGAGACACAGTACCATATATTGAGTGCTGATTCAGAGCGTAGATGGCCTTCAGGAGAACTTTGCCCCAGCCCTGCAAAGTATTGTTACCTAGATGGCATTGTAACTGTGACTTCAAAAGGCCATTCTACCATTTTATCAATCCAGCTGCTTCAGAATGATGGGAAACATGGTAAGACCAGTGAATTCCATGAGCATGAGCCCACTGCCACACTGCTTTAGCTGTAATGTCAGTGCATTAGTCAGAGACAATGCTGTGTGGAATATCACGACGATGAATAAGGCATTCTGTGAGTCCACAGATGGTAGCCTTGGCAGAAGTATTGCATGCAGGATAGGCAAACCCATATTCAGAGTGTTGTGGGAAGTCAGGGACCCTGAATGGAGGGACCAGCTGGAGCTGCTGCAGAGGAACATAAATTGTGAAGATTTCATTTCATTTTGATATGGACATATATCAGTTCCCAAAATTAATACTTTTATAATTTCTTATGCCTGTCTTTACTTCAATCTCTGAATATAAATTGTGGAGATTTCATTTTAATATGGACATTTATCAGTTCCCAAAATTAATATTTTCATAACTTCTTATGCCTATCTTACTTTAATCTCTTAATCCTGTTATCTTCATAAGCTGAGGATGTACGTCACCTCAGGACCACTATTGTGTTAACTGTACAAATTGATTGTAAAACATTCGTGTTTGAACAATATGAAATCAGTGCACCTTGAAAAAGAACAGAATAACAGCGATTTTAGGGAACAAGGGAAGACAACCATAAGGTCTGACTGCCTGCAGGGTTGGGCAGAATACAGCCATATTTTCTTCTTGCAAAGAGCCTATAAATGGACGTGCGAATAGGAGAGATATTGCTAAATTCTTTTCCTAGCAAGGAATATTAATATTAAGACCCTAGGAAAATAATTGCATTCCTGGGGGGAGGTCTATAAACAGCCACTCTGGGAGTGTCTGTCTTATGCGGTTGAGATAAGGACTGAAATATGCCCTGGTCTCCTGCAGTACCCTCAGACTTACTAGGGTGGGGAAAAACCCCACCCTGGTGAATTTGAGGTCAGACCAGTTCTCTGCTCTCGAACCCTGTTTTCTGTTGTTTATCAAGACAATACGTGTACTGCTGAAGATAGACCCTTATCAGGAGTTTCTGATTTTGCCCTGGTCCTGTTTCCTCAAAAGCATGTGATCTTTGTTCTCCTTTTTGCCCTTTGAAGCACGTGATCTTTGTGACCTACTCCCTGTTCATACAACCCCTCCCCTTTTGAAGTCCTTAATAAAAACCTGCTGGTTTTGTGGCTCAGGTGGGCATCACAGTCCTACCGATATGTGATGCCACCCCAGGAGGCCCAGCTGTAAAATTCCTCTCTTTGTACTCTTTCTCTTTATTTCTCAGCCAGCTGACACTTATGGAAAATAGAAAGAACCTACGTTGAAATATTGGGGGTGGGTTCCCCTGATACCAGATAAGTGTCTATTCCAGTGAGGACCAATCTCTACCCTTTCCATGATAGAAGAGGTCCAATAGCAGTGGCTGTAACCAGATTAGCCTTGGTGAGTGGAAGTCCATGTTGCTGAGCCCATGCGTAACCTCCATCCCTGCCACTATGGCCACTTTGTTCATGGGCCCATTGGATGATGACAGGGGTGGCTGGGGAAAGAGGCTGAGTGGTGTCCATAGAACGAATCATCCTATCCACTTGGCTATTAAAATCCTCCTCTGCTGAGGTCACCTGTTGGTGAGCACTCACATGGAATACAAATATCTTCACAATTTCTGACCACTCAGAGAGGTCCATCCATATACCTCTTCCCCATATTTCTTTGTCATCAATTTTCTAATCATGCTTCTTCCATGTCACTGATTATCCAGCCAAACCATTGGATACACCCCATGAATCAGTATACAATCGCACATCTGGCCATTTCTCCTTCCATGAAAAGTGCACAACCAGGTGCACTGCTCGAAGTTCTGCCCACTGGGAAGATTTCCCTTCACCAGTGTCCTTTAGGGATGTCCTAGAAAGGGGATGTAGTGCTGTAGCTGTCCACTTTTGGGTGGTGCCTGCATATCATGCAGAACCATCTGTGAACCAGGCCCTAGGCTTCTCTTCCTGTCAATTGATCATAGGGAACTCCCCATGAAGTCATTGGTGCAGGCTGGGGGAGAGCAGGCAGGATGGCAGGAGTGGAGACCATGGTCATTTGAGCCACTTCCTCATGTAACTTACCTGTGCCTTCAGGACCTGCTCAAGACTGATCACGAATATACCACTTCCATTTGATGGTGGAATGCTGCTGGGCACAACCCAATTTGTGGCCAGATAGGTCAGAAAGCACCCAGTTCATAATAGGCAGTTCAGGTTGCATGGTGACTTGATGACCCATAGTCAAAGGTTCATTTTCCACCAAAGTCCAGTAACAGGCCAAGAGTTGTCTCTCAAAAGGAGAGTCATTATCTGCAGAAGATGGCAGGGCCTTGCTCCAAAATCCTAGAGGTCTCTGCTGTGATTCACATATGAGGGCCTGCCAAAGGCTCCAATCAGCATCCCTATCTGCCACTAACACTTCAAGTACCATTGGATCTGCTGGGTCCTATGGCCCAAGTGACAGAGCAGCTTGCACAGCAGCCTAGATCTGTTGCAGAGCCTTCTCCTGTTCTGGACCCCACAAAAAACTGTCAGCCTTTTGAGTCATTCAATAAATGGGCTGGAGTAACACACCCAAATGAGAAATGTGTTGCCTCCAAAATCCAAATAGGCACACTAGTAATTGTGCCTCTTTCTTGGTTGTAGGAAGAGTCAAATGCAGCAACTTATCCTTCATCTTAGAAGGAATATCTCAACAGGCCCCACACCACTGGACCTGTAGAAATTTAACTGAGGTACAAGGTCCACGAATTTTAATCAGATTTAGTTCCTGTCCTCTGGCATGAAATGTCTCACCAATAAGTGTTTGCTACTTTTTGCTCACTGGATCCAATCAGCATAATATCATCAATGTAAAGGACCAGTGTGATATCTTGTGGAAGTGAAAATCAATCAAGGTCTCTTCAAACAAGATTCTGACACAAAGCTGGAGAGTTGATATACCCCTGAGGTAGGATAGTGAAAGTATATTGTTGGCCTTGCCAGCTGAAGGCAAATTGCTTCTGGTGGGCCTTATGGACAGGAATGGAGAAAAAGGCATTTGCCAAATCAATGGCTGCATGCCAGGTACCAGGAGATGTGTTAATTTTCTCAAGCAATAAAACCACATCTGGTACAGCAGCTGCAATTGGAGTCACCCCTTGGTTAAGCTTACAATCATCCAGTGTCATTCTCCAAGATCCATCTGTCTTCTGCACAGGCCAAATAGGAGAGTTGAATGGGGATGTGTTGGGAATCACCACCCCTGTGTCTTTCAAGTCTTTTATGGTGGCATTAATATCTGTAATCCCTCCAGGGATGTAATATTGTTTTTGATTTACTATTTTTCTAGGTAGAGGCAGCTCTAATGGCTTCCATTTGGCCTTTCCCACCATAATAGCCCTCCCCCTATCAGTCAGGGAGCCAAAGTGGGAGTTCTGCCACCTGCTAAGTCTGTCTATGCCAAGTATGTATTCTGGCACTGGGGAAATGACCACAGGATGAGTCCGCAGACCCAACGGACCCACTGTAAGTCAGACCTGAGCTAAAACTTCATTAATTACATGACCTTCATAAACCTCTACTTTAACTGGAGGACCACAGTGACATTTTGGGTCCCTTGGAATCAATATCAGCTCAGAGCCAGTGTCCAGTAGTCCCCAAAATGTCTGACCATTTTCCTTATCTCAATGCACACTTAACCTGGTAAAAGGCTGGAGGTCTCCTTGGAGAAGGATAAAAGATTGATTCACTGCATAAATTGTCAGTAGTGTAATGGGGTCCTTCCTCAAGGGGACCCAGCCTCCCCTTTATTCAAGGAATTCTGGGTCTGTAAACTGGCTCAAGTCTGGAAATTGATAGATGGGCCATGCTTCTCTGTTTTTATACTTCAAATTAGTCTTTATAATTTGATGAGAAGTTTTCTGCTTATATAAATTAAGTAGGAATGCAGTAGGCTCCCTATTAATTTCACATCTAGGAACACTGTGATTAGTCAATGCCAGAGCTCTACATAAGTCAGACTATTCTGATTGCCACTTTGTCTCTTGTGTCCATTACGGTAGCTACACCCACCTTGCCTTTGACGGTTGAGTCCTGCCACTTGGCCCCTGCCACCTCAGGATCCAATTATTCCCATTGTATTTAAATTTTGTAGTTGAGTGACTGAAGTTCCCATTGTTATATCTGACAGACAGAGAAGAGCAATTATGAGGCTCTACAAAGATGCAGGTGCTGCCCTCACAAATCTTGCAAGGCATTGATCAAGAGTATATCTTCTGAACCCTCCCAGCTTGGTTGAGTAGGTCTAAAGTGACTAATCCCCTCCACCATCCCAATCTCCCTAAGCCTTTGGAGCCCTTCCCCTACATTAAGTCAAGGGAGATGAGGCATTTCCAGCTCACTGACAGTGGGCCATCTTTTACTCTATATTTCAGCTAACCAAGCAAATTAACTATTAGGACCTTTTTTAACTCCCCAAGCTGCAACATTAAATGCAGAGTCTTGACTTAGTGGGCACAAATCGATATATTCAGCCTGATCCAACTCTATGTTCCTTCCACCATTATCCCATACCCTTAATAACAATTCCTATGGCTGTTCTCCAGATTTTTGTTTATATAAATTAGAAAACTCAAGCAGTTCTTTTCGAGTGTAGCACACCTCCTCATGGGTCACAATCCCAACTTCACGTGTAGGGGCCTGCCAGGACTTTAACCTAGTTATAGGTCTGGAAGCAAACAGGTGTGTTGGGAGAGGCTCCTGAGGAGAATCAACATTATCTTGCCTGGCAACTGCCTCACGGAAGGCCATCACTGTTGCCTCAGGCAGCACAAGGTTCATCTCCTTAGACAAATGTGGAAAGGCTGATAGCAGCATGGGTTCGGGAAGGGATGTTGCCACTACTGGGGATGGGGAAGCTGTTTCTTCTGGCAAAAATGTTTCATCAGTGTTTACAAATTCAGTGTCTCCAGCTTCATCAGGGTTCACCCACATGTCCCCATTCCAAGTTGCAGGCTCCCATTCTTTTCCAATCAATGACCTCACTTTAACAATAGACACCTCATGAGGCTGTGCATGCACCTTTCATTGCAGGTCAGCCACTTGCATGATAAAAGCTTTGTCTGTTTTTCCACAGTTTCAGCTCTTTCTTTATAGGAGATAACTCTCTTACTCAGGGCAGTCTTAGCAGATTTGAGGCTCAGTATCTGCTTCTGAATCCAGGAGACAGAAGCCTTGAATTTATCATTTACTTTCATCACTTTGTCCACTAAACTTAGGAGCAACTAACCAGCTTCATTATGTTCCATGGTTCTCCACAAATGGTCAAAGTTATTATGCATAGAATCACTAAACTCCTTGCCTCTCATAAGGAATGAATCAGGAGTATCAAATGCATTTATTTTGCATAACTCTCTAAACAGTTCATGCCAAGGACTATCAGTGTTCTCCATACTATTAGAAGTAGAGTCCTTAGCATTTTGGGGTCTAATCATATTAAGCAGCCAACTCCAGAAACCTCAAAACCAAAACAGAACTCCATCCTTAATATTCTGTTCCTTTAGAACCACTCCTAGTACCAAAATCTGTATTAGTCAGGGTTCTCTAGAGGGACAGAACTAATAGGATGGATATGCATATGAAGGGGAGTTTATAAAGGAGTATTAAATTCACACAATCACAAGGTTCCACAATAGGCCATCTGCAAGCTGAGCAGCAAGGAAGCCAGTCAAACTTCCAAAGCTGAAAAACTTAAAGTCTGATGTTCAAGGGCAGGAAGCACCCAGCACAGGAGAAAGATGTAGGCTGGGAGCCTAGGCCAGTCTAATCTTTTAACATTTTTCTGCCTGCTTTATACTTAGGCCATTCTGGCAGCTGATTAGATGGTATCCACCAGATTAACAGTGGGTCTGCCTTTCCCAGCCCACTGACTCAAATGTTAATCCCCCTTGACAACACCCTCACAGCCACACCCAGGATCAATACTTTGCATTCTTCAGTCCAATCAAGGTGACAGTCAGTGTTAACCATCACAATAAGTATAGCTATTCCTGCTCTTTTTTGGTTTCCATTAGCATGGAATATCTTCTTCTACTTCTTTATTCTCATTCTATGTGTGTCTTTGTAGGTGAAGTATGTTTCTTGTAGGCAATAGGCAACAGATCATCGGGTTTTGTTTTGTTTTTTTGTTTGTTTGTTTTTTTGAGACAGAGTTTCACTCTTGTTGCCCAGGCTAGAGTGCAGTGGCACAATCTTGGCTCACTGCAACCTCCACCTTCCAGTTTCAAGCAATTCTCCCGCCTCAGCCTCTGGAGTAGCTGGGATTACAGGCACCTGCTACCACACCTAGCTAATTTTTGTATTTTTAGTAGAGATAAGGTTTCACCACGTAGGCCAGGCTGGTCTCGAACTCCTGACCTCATGATCCACCAGCCTTGGCCTTCCAAAGTCCTGGGATTTCAGGCGTGAGCCACCACGCCTGGCCTGGGTCTTTCATTTTTTTATTTTTTTGAGACGGAGTTTCACTCTGTTGCCCAGGCTGGAGTGCAGTGCCGCGATCTCCACTCACTGAAAGCTCCGCCTCCCGGGTTCACGCCATTCTCCTGCCTCAGCCTCCCAAGTAGCTGGGACTACAGGCACCTGCCACCACACCCGGCTAATTTTTTGTATTTTTAGTAGAGATTGGGTTTCACCGTGTTAGCCAGGATGGTCTCGATCTCCTGACCTCGTGATCTGCCTGCCTTGGCCTCCCAAAGTGCTGGGATTACAGGCATAAGCCACCACGCTCAGCCCGGTTCTTTTTTTTTTTTTTTTTTAAATCCATTCAGGCACTCTTTCTTTTGATTGGATAGTTTAGTCCATTTACATTCAATGTTACTAATAAGTAAGGACCTACTCCTGCATTTTGTTATTTTTTTCTGGTTGTTTTGTAGTCTTTTCTTTTCTTCCTTAGATTATTACTGTCTTCCTTTTACTGAAATTGATTTTCTCTGATGGTACAATTTAATTTCTTGTTCTTTACTTTTTGTGTATCCATTGTATATTTTTTTGATTTAAGCTTACTATAAGGCTTGCTAGTACTAGCTTATAACCCATTATTTTAAATTGATGACTACTTAACACTAATTGCATAAACAAAGAAGCAAAAAGAAAACTAATAAAAACTCTACACTTTATCTCCCCACTTTGTAACTTTTGTTGTTTCTCTTAATGTCTTAGTATACTATCTATGTCTTGAATAATTGTTGTAGTTCTTATTTTTTATTGGTAATATCCTGTGTTTTTCTGTATACCTCATATTACTAGTGAGTTTTGTAACATCAGACAATTTCTTATTGCTCAATAACATCCTTTTCTTTCAGATTGAAGAACTCCCTTTAGCATTTCTTGTAGGACAGGTCTGATGTTGGTGAAATCTCTCAGCTTTTGTTTCTTTGGGAAAGTTTGTATTTCTCCTTCATGCTTGAAGGATATTTTTACTGGAGATACTAATTTGGGTAAAAGTATTTTTTTTCCCTCAGCACTTTAAATATGTCATGCCACTCTCTCTTAGCCTACAAGATTTCCAATGAAAAGATTTCCACTGAAAAGTCTGCTGACTGAGGTATTGGAGCTCTACTGTACATTGTTTCTTTTCTCTTGCTTCTTTTAGGATTCTTTCTTTATCTTTGTCCTTTGGGAGTTTGATTATTAAGTACCTTGAGGTAGTATTGTTTGGACTAAATCTTCTTGGTGTTCTATAATCTTCTTGTACTTGAATTTGATATTTTTCTCTAGGTTTGGAAAGTTCTTAAATATTATCCCTTTAAATAAACTTTCTACTCCTATCTCTTTCTCTACCTCCTCTTTAAGGCCAATAACTCAGATGTGCCTCTTTGAAGCTATTTTCTAGATTTAGTAAGCATGCTTCATTCTTTGGCATTATTTTTTCCTGTGTCTCCTCTGGCTGTGTATTTTCAAATAATATGTCTTCAAGCTCACTCATTCTTCTGTTTGATCAGTTCTGCTATTAAGAGATTCTGATACATTCTTCAGTATATCAATTGCATTTTTCTTCAACTCTAGAATTTCTGCTAGATCCCCTTTAATTATTTCAACCTCTTTGTTAAATTTATCTGATAGAATTCTGAACTCCTTCTCTGTGTTAACTTGAATTTATTTGAGTTTTCTCAAAACAGTTATTTTTTATTCTCTGTCTCCACAGTCATATAACTCTTTCTCCAGGATTCGTCCCTGGCGCCTTATATAGTTCATTTGGTGAGGCATGTTTTCCTAGATGGTCTTGATGCTTGTGGATGTTTGTCAGTGTCTGGGCTTTGAAGAGTTAGGTACTTATTTTAGTCTTCACAGTCTGGGCTTATTTGTGCCCATATTTCTTTGGAAGGCTTTTCCGGTACTCAAAGGAATTTGGGCCTCAGCCCCAATAATGCTGTGATTTTTTAATACTCCAAGGTACCATCTTGATGGTCATGGATTAGATCCAGAAGAACTATCTGGATTGCCAGGAATATAATCTTGTTCTTTCCCCTTACTTTCACCCAAACAAATGGAGTATGTCTTTCTCTGTGCTGAGCCACCTGGAGCTAGGGGTGAGGTGACACAACTACCACCGTAGCTACCACCACAGGGATTGCACTGAGTCAGATCTGAAGCCAGAATAGCACTGAGTCTTGACCAAGGTCCACTGTAACCACTACCTGGCGACTATCTATGTTCACTTAAGGGCCTAGGGCTCTACAGTCAATAGGTGGTGAAGCCAGTCTGATTTCTGTTCTTCCTTTCAGGGCAACAAGTTCCCTCAGGTCCTGGGTGGGTCCAGAGATGCTGTCTGGGAGCCAGGGATTAGGATCAGAAATCTTAGAAATTCACCTGGTGTTCTATTCTACTGAGGCTAAGCTAGCCTTCAACCCATAAGACAAAATCCCTCCCACTATTCCCTCCCTTTCCATAGGCAAAGGAGCCTCTCTCAATAGCCACCACCACTACCAGCCCATGGGGAGTTCTTCCAGGCCACTGCCAATATTCACTTAAAGTCCAAGGGCTATTCAGTCAGCTTGTAGTGAATGCCAGGCCTGAGAATCACCCTTCAGTGCAATGGGCTCCCATCTGGTCTAGGGCAGGTCCAGAAATACTGTCCAAAAGCTTAGGCCTGGACTCAGGGATCCCAACAGCCCACTAGGTGCTCTGCCTCACTGGGGTCAAGCTGTACTTCAGGTACAAGACAAAGTCCTCTTTGCTTTTCCCCCTGCTTTTCTCAAGCAGGAGTCTTTCACCATAGCCACCACAGCTGGGAATATGCTATGTCTCACCTAAAACCAGGACATCTCCAGTCTTATCCAAGGCCCATAACATACTACCTGAGTATCACCCTTGGTTATTGAGGTCCCAAGGGCTCTTTAGTCAGCAGGTGATGAATCCTGCCAGGACTGGGTCATACTCTTCAGGGAAGCAGTTTCCCTTCTAGTCCAGGGTATATCTAGAAACGTAGTATGGGAGCTAGGGCCTGAAATATAGGGGTCAAGACTCTGCTTGTGTCCTATCCTATTGTGCTGACCTGGTATTGAAGATGCAAAATGAAGCCATCTTTACTTTCCACTCTCCTCTCCTCAAGGAGAAGGAAGGAGTCACTTTCATTGCTGTGAGCTGAGCTTCCTGGGGATGGAGGAGGGGAGGTACAAGCACTCCCTTAGCCGCCTGGCTGGTATCTCCTTGGATCACATGCCACTCTAGTCCACCTGCTCTAAGCCCAGCCTAGCACTAAGACTTGCCTAGGAATTGTAGCCCTTGTGTCCTAGACTGCCTTTCAAGTTTTCCTAGGACCCCAGAGCCCTTTAGCCCACAGTGGTGAGGCTTGCCAAGAAACTAAAGTTCCAACTGCTGGGATGGGCAATTTCCCTCTGGATAGGGTTTATCCAAATACTCCCTCCATGGGGCAGCCACCAGCTGAGTTCAACATGATTTTGCTTTCCACTATGACAAGGCAGCACTGAGTTCAATGCCAAGTCCCTTAGTCATTGTGCTTGCCCTCTTCCAAATACACAGATTCTCTCTCCAGAATCGGGGAGGTAAGGCATTGATGACTGATGATTGAAGACTGTCTTTCCTACCCTCTTCAGTGCCTCTTTTAGTGGTATGAAGCTAAAACCAGATATTGTGATTGCTTACCTGATATTTGGTTCTTATGATGATGGTTTTGTGTGTAGTTGTTAAAATGTGGTTGTTTCTGCAGTGAGGACAATCAGTGGAGAGTTTTATTCAGCCATCTTGCTCTGTCACTTTCTAAATACCCTGATGAATTGATGCTAAAATCTTCAACAAAACACTAGTAAACCAAATTCAACAATATATCAAAAAAAATAATTTATCATGACTAAGTGGGATTTATCCCAGAGATGCAAGGATGTTTCAACATATGCAAATCAATCAATGTGAAACATCATATATATTACATGAAGAAAAAAGCAAATAATCATTTCAATTGATGCTGAAAAAGCATTTGATGAAATTCAACTTCCCTTCACAATAAAAAAAATCTTAAAAAACTGAGTATAGATGGAACATAACACAATAAAATCCACATATGACAGACTTACAGTTAGTATCATACTGAACAGGAAAAACTGAAAGCCTATCCTCCAATACCTGGAACTGGAAAAGCATATCCACTTTTACCACTGTTATTCAACATAGTACTGGAAGTCCTAGCTAGAGCATTCAGATAAGCAAAGAAAAAAAGAGCATTTGAATTGAAAAGGAAGAAGTCAAGTTATTTTTGTTTGCAATTGATATGCTCTTATATTTGGAAAAACCTAAAGACTCCACAAAAACTTTCTTAGAACTAATAAACAAATTTAATAAGTTTGCAGAACACAAAATTAACATACAAAAATCTGTAGCATTTGTATGTGCCAATAGCAAAAAACCTGAAATTAAGAAAGTAATTTCATTTACAATAGCTACAAATAAAATAATATACCTAGGGATAAACTTAATCAAAGAAGTAAAAGATCTCTACAACACAAACCATAAAGCGTTGATGCAAGAAACTGAAGAGGACTCAAAAAATAGAAAGATATTGCATGTTCACAGATTTGAAGAATCAACTGTCCATACTCCCTAAAGAAACTTACAGATTCAATAGACTCTCTATCAAAATATCAAGGACATTCTTCACAGAAATAGAAAAAACAATCCTAAAATTTATATGAAACAACAAAAGATCCAAAAGAAACCAAGCTATCCTGAGTGAAAAGAACAAAACTGGAGGAACCACATTACCTGACTGCAAATTATACTACAGAGCTATATAACCAAAACAGCATGGTACTGGCATAAAAACATACACAGAGACCAATGGAAGAGAATAGAGAACCTAGCAATAAGTGTATACATCTCCAGTGAACCCATTTTCAGCAAAGGTGTCAAGAATATACATTGGGGAAAGGACAGTCCCTTTAATAAATGGTCTTGGAAAAACTGGATATCCATATGCAGAAGAATGAAATTAGACCCCTACTCTTGTTCTATATAAAAATCAGATCAAAATGGATTAAGATTTAAATTCAAAACCTCAAACTATAAAACTACTAAGAGAAAACACTGGGGAAACTATGAAGGACATTGGGCTGAGCAAAGATTTCTTGAGTAATACACCACAGGCACAGGCACTATAGTCAATAATTAATTGTACATTTTAAAATAACTAAAATAATGTAATTGGATTGTTTGAAACAAAAAAATGATAAATGCTTGAGAAGATGGATACCCAGTTTTTCAAGAGGTGACTATTACACATTGCATGCTTGTATCAAAGTATCTCGTGTTCCCCATAAATATACATACCTGTTCTATGCCTACAAAAATTAAAAAATAAATTTAAAAAATAAAATAAAATGGACACTGAGCATGAAAAATCCCTGAGCAAACAAATTAACTGGGCCTTAAAAATAGCCTTAACCTTACTTAAACTGCAAACATAAGTGAAAAGTTAACTTGGGTAATTTCTGGCAAATGCTTATGTTAGAAAAAAAAGCTTAAGCTCAGCCAACTGAAAGAGTTGAAATATGCTATTCTGCCATATTGAATGTTTAAGCTAAAGACACTAGAAAAAAAGCAGGGTTTGATCATAATGCTGTTTCTTAAAAGCAGAATATGAAACTCCCATGTAAAAGACACACTCTCTATACTAGAAGGAAAGGCAATATCCTTGTATTCAGGATGCGAAGTTGAAACCAAGAGAATTCTGTACAGACCTTGTTAAAATAGTTTTATCTTTTAAGCCTCTCCAAATAATTTAGCTACTTCTTCACTGCCAATTGTTCTTTGTTTAATCCACTATACAAGTAACTAATTCTAAACACTTCTTTGGGTCTTCATTTCTTTACATGGCTCTCATGCCATGTAAAACATCCTATGTGTCTTTCCTCTTAATCTTACTTATGTCAATTTTTCTCCCACCAAGGACTCTAAAAGGATGGAGGTAGAAGTTTTTCTGCCCCGACTCAGTCATAAGCAGTGAAATAAAGTATGATTACATGACTAGAGACTTTCCAACAAGGTAAACTAAAAAAGGCAATCTTGTAACTGCTAAAGTAATTTCTTTATTTTGCTTCCACAGTTGCCTTATAAATACTTGCCTCTGATGCTTTGTCATCCTAATGCTGAACTTCCTTGGGTTTGGTGCTTTCCAATTCATGTTTTCTTCCTCAAATAAACTCTAAACTCTAAACACCCATTGTGCCACAGATTTGTGTGTGTGTGTGTGTGTGTATATATATATGTTGTGTATATATATATATATATGTTGTATATATATATGTTGTGTGTATATATATAGTGTGTATATATATATAGTATATATATAGTGTGTATATATATGTATAGTATGTATTCATATATATATATGAATACATACATACGTACAAGTAGACCTCATTTTATTGCACTTCACTTTATTGTACTTTACAGACTTTGTGTATTTACGGATTGAAGGTTTGTGGCAACTCTGTGTACAGCAAATCTATCAGTTTCATCTTTCCAACAGCATGTGTCCACTTCAAGTCTCTGTGTCACACTTTGGTAATTATCACAATATTTCAAACGTTTTCATTATTATTATACCTGCTGTGGTGATCTGCAACCAGTGATCACTGGCGTTACTATTGGAATTGTTTTGGTGTACCACAAACAGAAACTTTAAAAATGTGTGTGTTCCCACTGCTCTACTCACCAGTTATTCCCCTGCTATTCTCCCTCTCCTTAGGCAACCATAGTTTCTAGGACACAACAATATTGAAATTAGGATAGTTAATAAGTCTATAATGACCTCCAAGTGCTCAAGTGAAAGAAAAAGTTGCAAATCCCCTACTTTAAATCAAAAGCTAGATATGATTAAGTTTAGTGAGGAAGGCATGTAAAGCCGAGATAGGCCTCTTGTGGCTGTTACTAACTTGTGAATGAAAAAGAAAAGTTCTTGAAGGAAATTAGAAGTGCTACTCCAGTGAACATATGAATGATGAGAACGTGAGACATCCTAATGACTAATAGCAAGAAAGTTTTTGTGGTCTTTTATCACTAACATTTCAGTGGAGACAGCTTTAGTAACAGTGGAAAGTTTAGTGATAGATCAAAGCAGCCACAAGTTTCCCTGAAGCCCAACCCTAATCCAGAACAAGGCTATAGCTTTTTTCAATTCTGTGAAGGCTGAGAGTGGTGAGGAAGCTGCAGAAGAAAACTTGGAAGTTAGCAGAGATTGGTTCATGACGTTTAAGAAAAGAAGTTGTACGTATAACAGAAAAGTGCAAGATGAAGCAGCAAGTGCTGATGTAGAAGCTGCAGCAAGTTATCCAGAAGATCTAACTAAGATAATTGATGACGGTGGCTGCACTACACAACAGATTTTCAAAGTAGAAGAAACAGCCTTGTATTGGAAAAGATGCCATCTAGGACTTTCATAGGTTGAGAGAAGTCAATGCCTGGCTTCAAAGCTTCAAAGGACAAGCTGACTCTCTTGTTAGGGGCTAATGTAGTTGGTAACTTTAAATTGAATCCAACATTTGTTTACTATTTTGAAAATCCTAAGACCCCTCCTAAAAATTATACCAAAGGTACTCAGCCTATGGTCTATAAATGGAGCAACAAAGCCTGTATGACAGCACATCTGTGTACAGCATGGTTTATGAATATTTGAAGCTCACTGTTAAGACATACAATTCAGAAAAAATACATATCTTTCAAAATATTACTGCTCATTGACCATGTACCTGGTCAACTGAGAGCTCTAATGGAGATGTACAGGGAAATTAATGTTGTTTTCATGTCTATTAACACAACATGCATTCTGTAGCCCATGGATCAAGAAATAATTTCAACTCTCAATTTTCATTACTTAACAAATACATTTTGTGAAGTTATAGCTGACATAGATAGTAGTAATTCCCCTGATAAATCTGGGCAAAGTAAATTGAAAACCCTTTAAAAAAACTTATCCATCCAGGTGCCTTTAAGAACATTTCTGATTCATGGGAGGAGGTCAAAATATCAATGTTAACTGCAGCTTGGAAGAAGTTGATTCCAACCTCCATAGATGACTTTGAGGGATTCAAGACACAAGTGGAGGAAGTAACTGGAGATGTGGCGGAAATAGCAAGAGAACTAGAATTGTAACTACAGCCCGAAGAAGTGACTGAATTGCTGCATCTCATTAGAAAACTTGAATGGATGAGGAGTTGCTTCTTATGGATGAGCAGAGAAAGTGGTTTCTTGAGATGAAATCTACTCCCGGTGAAGATGGTATGAACATGTGGCAACAACAACCCAGGGTTTAGAATATTACATCAACTTAGTTGATAAAGTAGTGGCAGGGTTTGAGAGGACTGACTACCATTTTTTTAAAAACTGGGTAAAATAATACCAAATAGCATCTCATGATACAGATAAATATTTTGTAATGGAAGAGTAAGTCAATGCATCAAACTTCACTGTCATTTTATTTTAACAATTTGCCACAGCCACCCTGACCTTCAGTGACCACCACCCCAGTCAGCAGCCATTGACATTGAGGCAAGACTCTCCACCAGCAAAAAGATTACAATTTGCTGATGGCTCAGACGATTATTAACATTTTTCAGCAATAAAGTATTTTTTAATTAAGGTATGTAATTTTGTTTTTAGACATAATGCTATTGCACACTTAGTAGACTACAGTATAGTGTGAACGTAAGTTCCATGTTGCACTGGGAAACCAAAGTTTTGTGTACTCACTTTATTGCAATATTCACTTAATTGAAGTGGTCTGGCACAAACCTGCAATACCTTTAGGTATGCCTGTGGTGGGAGGTAGGAGTCATGGAGACGGGGGAAACATATTTAAAATGTCAAAAGCTGTACACTAAAAAAATAACCCAGGAATTCTAACTAGAAGAAAATGCTTAAAAATATTCTTGGTTTCTAGAGCTTTATGTTTCTACTGTGGATTTTATCTTCTGTGCCAAAAAAAAAAAAAAAACTAAACTAAAAAAACTAAAGCCAACTGGGAGAGGTATCAAGAAGAAAGCCCGTGAAGCCTTCCAAGATACAGAAGACAAAAGCAATCTGACAGGACTGTGCTTGCTAAGGTGTGACTGTGCAGTATCTATGGCTTTTTCTGACCTCCTCTCACCCCTGCACCCAACACGCATCCTCAAACTCACATCAGATGATTCAGGCATGTCTTAGCAAACTCTTCAACAATAGCATGGATTAATTTTACATTCAAGTTTAGTTTTGTTGCACCATCTCATTTGTGGAAATAACTAGCTCCCTCAGCTTTTTTATTTTTTCTTCCTTTAATGGGGAACAAAGAAAAGTAGAGTGAGGAAAGAGACCAAGGGGTGAGTGAGGCAACTGAAAACTGTTCTTGCACCTGCGGTGCTGTAGAGCAGGTATGTTCACTTTCTTTTAAATGCAACTTAGTCCCTAACTCAAGACTTGGTTTCTGATTAAGAGTGGCAACTGAGGAATGGGCAGGAAGGGCAGGGTGCCTGCTGCCTGGCCTGCAGGAGTCTGTGGCTGGCTTTAGTTCTGGGGAAGCTCAGCTTCTCCACTTAAACCAATGACAGATGAGCGGTGACAGCCAGGAATGCTGCGTCCCCCTGGATGTGCTGCTCCCCAAACATCATCTCAGGGCAGCAGTGATTGGCCTGGAAAGAGCCATGGTGGGCGCCTGCATGGCTACCTCTATCAGGCCCTGCAGCAGGCCCAAAAATGCAGAAAGCAAGACCGTCGCTGTCAAGGAGCTTCTAGGCAATCATAACCTGAAGAGAGCGTTTTTTTTTTCTATCTTTCTAGTAGTCACACTTTGGAAAGCTTCAGAGTAAGAGCTGTATACGCTTCTATTAGAAATAAAATTAGTCCCTATCTGGCTGATCCTTATTACTTAAAAATAACTATATAGTCCAAACTCTGTGTGTGTATGTGTGTGTTTTATGGATATATATATACATATATATATATATATACACATAAAATATGATCTTTCATAAGTAGAGAAGAGAAGTCAATGCCTGGCTTCAAAGCTTCAAGGGACAAGTGAACTCTCTTGTTAAGAGCTAATTATATATAACATACCAATATATAAATATGAATGTATATACTCATATATATGTCTAGTTCAGCAGGTAATCATTTTACAACAAAATAATTAAAAAATAAAGACAAGTAAAGATAAAAATGACTAATCCTTAATTGCATATCTAGAGAGGCTCATCCTTAACATTTTGCTCAAACTCTTGCACTTTTTTCATGAAAGGCTAAATAAGCCAAGCATGTTATCATGCACCAGGAGTAATAGCTACTCTAGAGGCTGAGGCAGGAAGATCGCTTGAGGCCATCCACTACACTCCAGATGTAGGCAACTCCATCTCTGAAAAAATTTAAAAGCCAAATAGTAATATTTTAGGATTTGCATACCATAAGTCTCTGTCAAATCTATTCTTCCAGAGCAACCATAGACAATATGTAACAAATGAGTGTGGCTGTGTTCCAATAAAACTTTATTTACAAAAGTAGGCAGTGGGATAAATTTGGCCCATCTCTTGTTTGCTGACCCCTGGATTAGGTAAAGTTAATGGAACAATATGCAAGGGATTATTACCAGCCCAGGTATCTTACAAGTTAGTGGATCAGTTCCAGGCTCTCAGTCTAAGTGTCTACTTCTAAGGTGATTTGGATCAAACAACATATAAAAATTCTCATCGGAGCAGAGATACCAACAAAAAATGTGTTTACTCTGTCTATCTGACTATCAGTCAAGTGAATTTCTGCCTGGATTCCTGAGCAATGAATTGACATGTCTGCTCAATTAATTGTCTAACTCCCAACAGCATAGTGCTGCCCACAGCTCCTACATAAGCCACAGAGTAATACGTGGTGATGGAACAAAATCAGTAGTAAAGAGGAAGAACCTGGTCTGGCTAGGGGGACACCTGCCCAGGTCTGCAGGCCCCTGTGAGTGAGCAAGAAAGCCTAACATTTGGATGTATGTCATGATGACTCCGGCTAGTCCTAGCGGGGTGGACAATGAAGTTATAAATACAGATTTTGCAGAGATATTTCTGCTTGCATTTGCTAGATACGGCCTGTTCACCTCAAACACAGATTAAGGAACAGCAGTGTTATCATGGATGTATCATGCCTACACTGAAGAGATAAGCGCTTGCAGGCACTGCCATCATGTGGCTATGTTTGGTAATTTATTTGGTAATATACGAATGAATTTTCCTGTGGAAAGTGATATCAATATAGAATATATAGATATCAGTATAGAATTTATGGAAATTTATTGATGGCAATATAGAGTTTATAGAAATTCATAATAAATTATAAATTATGGTGAAATCAAATTTATTTTTCAAATATTTGAAATAAATTTTATATATAAAGTTTACTATATTAATATTTATTGTAAATATAAACTTTATATATGTATTATTTATTAAATATTGATTAAATGTGTTATAATGGTATTAATATAAATATTTATTATAAAATGAATTTTGGTAATATATTAATTATAAAATAAATAATAAACATATATTTGAAATATAAAATTCACAATAAAATTTGTTATAATAAAGTTGAAATCCAGCTACATAAATAAATCAAATTCATACATTGATAACACTGTATGCATTTTCTAATGTAAACATGACTATGATGGAGGTTTTTTAAAGGTTAATTGAAATGATGAAAGAAATGGTAAGGTCTTAGGTTCCCATGGGGATAATGTGTTTTTATTTGGTTTCTCTCTCCAACAAGGAAAGACTTGGATGTGTATAGTTTATTTGGGAAATGGTGACAGGAAGCCAGGGAAAGGGAGAGTAACACACGGACAAAGCTAAAAAGGCGAATTAATGAGTTGGTTACTATTGTGAGCAACTGGAGATCAATCCCAAAGTGGATATTCTGAAGAATTATATAGAGTGCATTTCATAATTGTCTCTTTGAGGGACAATGTGGAGTATTTATTTAACAACCCAGTTTCCATTGGTTGAGAGTTCCCCTCAGGGACTTTAGCTCCTCTGAATTTATAAGCTGTGCTTGGGCAAAAGAGGCAGCCTTACATAGCCTGAACAAAAACCTGAGTAAGTAAAGGAGAAAGACTCTCAACAGAGGACATAGCAGCTGCTGGAACTGTCTGCTATGGCCGCACTGCTAAATGGATTTGAGAATAGAAGCAAGTGGCAGAATGAGCAGATACGAGTTTTGGCAATAACTTAGGCTGAGGATTTGGGGAGTGTGGTAGACTAATCTGAATAATCTATGCAGACAAAGATTTGTGCTGAAAAAAAGGTAAAATTTTGGATTTAAAAATGTTTAATATTTTTAAAAGCAGTATTAAAAATGGACTAATTTGTCATGAATGATCTTAAAGACCAAATTCCAAGGGAAGGTGGGAGACCAAAGAGTTAAGTGGAGTTATTGAAGCTGTTTTTTTCCTAATAGCATTTGCCAACAAAGGGAATGAACTTTCAGGGATTTTTGTTTGTTTTGCTTTTTATTTTATTTATTTTTATTATACTTTAAGTTCTGAGATACATGTGCAGAATGTGCAGGTTTGTTACATAGGTATACATGTGCCATGGTGGCAACCTTCAGTTTTGAAGGCATTTATGAAGTAAGCAGACAGAGGTCAAAGACCAGAGCTTGTCTAAAGTAAAGAGTCTAGTAGGAGGCCTCCTTTAGAAGTCAAAAGACTAAATAAGTAATTCTTAATACTTGCTGCACTTAATCATCAACTGGGGTTCTCCTTAAAAATCCTTACACTCGAGCTCTGACCCATCACCAGAGACTGATTTAGTAAGTCTAGAGTTGAGGCTGAGTGTGAGTGTTTTAAAGCCTCGCTCCACCTCCAGGTGGTTCCAGTTACAGTCAAGGATGCTATTCAGAGCAACTGTGAACTAGAACTAGCAGGGCAAGCAGGTTTAGGATTGGCTAGCTGGAATAATTTCAGTGGGCTCTGAAGCAGAGGAATTGTTCTTACTTTCTGGTATTTGGCCTTTGGGTGAGTAGGGCAGATGGGTAGTGACCCAGAGTGTGAGAGCCAACAGAGAAAGTGGTGGCGTGTGGGCTTCAGGTTGGTTAGTTTGCATATGAAAGGCACACTTGCAGGAGAATCCCTTAGTATCTCTAAAAACTGCCTAGCCCTGGGAGGATCAGTCTCTCCAGGATCAGCAAAGCCCCAAGATGTCTAAAGCTTTAAATAGGGAAACTAGAAAATGTGTTAATTATGGGGTTGCATATCTTGGATGGTCCATGAAGTCAAGCCAAGAGCTTAGCACAAAACACCCAGAATAGTCAAAGTGACCTGAGAACGAAGAACAAAGCTGGAGGCATCACACTTCCTGATTTGAAAATGTAATACAAATTTACAGTAATTAAGACAGTATGGAACTGGCATAAAGACAGACATATAGACCAATGAAACAGAATAGAGAGCCCAATAAAACAGAATAGAGAACCCAGAAATAAAATATTTGGAAAATATATTGAAAAGGCACTCAATATCACTAATAATCAGAGAAATGCAAATCAAAACCACAGTGACACATCACTGCACACCTGTTAGGATGGCTACTATTTAAAAAAAAAAGGCCAGGCACAGTGGCTCATGCCTGTAATCCTAGCTCCTGGAGAGGCCGAGGTGGACAGATCTCTTGAGCCCAGGAGTTCAAGACCAGCCTGCATAACATGGCAAAACCCTATCTCTACTAAAAATACAAAAATTAACTGGGTGTGGTGGTTTGCACCTATAGTCCCACCTGCTCAGGAGGATGAGGTTGGAGGATCACCTGAGTCTGGGGAGATCAAGGCTGTGGTGAGCCCAGATCATGCCACTGCACTCCAGCCTGGGTGACAGAGTAAGACCCCATCAAAAAAAAAAAAAGAAACTTTAAAAAATAATGGTGTTGATAATGATTGTAGAAATTGGAACCCTTGTACACTGTTGATTAGAATGTACAAGGGTGTGGCTACTATGCAAAACACTATGAAGGTTCCTCAAAAAATTAAAAATATTACTACCACACGATCCAGCAATATCACCTCTAGGTATACATTCAGAAGAAGAAAAACCAGGACCCTGGAGAGATAGCTGCACTCCCAAGTTCATTATTCACAATAATCATTCACAATAGTCAAGATATGGAAATAACACAAATATCCAAAAATGGATAAAAATGTGTGTGAATATTATTTAGCTTTTAAAAAGAATGTTCTGTCATCTGAAACAATAGGGATAAACCTGAAGACATTATGCTAAACAAATAAAGCCAGTTACAGACGACAAATACTGCATGGCCTCACTTATATGTGGAATCTAAAATCGTGAAACTCATAAAAGCAGAGAATAGAATGGTGGTTGCCAAGAGTTGACGGAAGGGAAAATTGGGAGTGGTTATTCAATGGGTATAAAGTTTCAGTATCATACACTTAAAAATTTGTTAAGAGGCTAGATCTCATGTTATATGTTGCTACAAAATAAACAAAGAGGTACAAGGAAACTTCTGGAGGGGTGGATATATCTATTGCATTGATTGTGGTGATGATTTTATAAGTATATGCATACATTGAAACCTATCAAATTGTATATAATAAATATGTGCAGTTGTTATATATCAATTTCACCTCAATGAAGTTGTTTTAAAAATAAATAAATATTCCTGTTTGCAGCTGGTCAAAATGGGGAAATTGATACTTAAAATAAAAGCCATTACTTACAAAAGAGTACTATGGTTCACAAAATAGATGAACTGTACTAAATCACAGCCTGCAAGACAAACTAAGTTCAAATTCTTTTTAATACCATATTTAATTATGAAGTATTACAAAGTCTTCAAATTACTTTTAAATGGTTCATTAAAGAAAGTGTACAGAGAGAAAGTGTGCCAAAATATTAACCAACTTTTAATTTTGATCAAAGTTATGTGGGTGTTCATTGCTGTATTCTTTCTACTTATCTGGATGTTTAAAATGTTTCAATTTAAAATGTTGAGAGGAAAAAAAGATCTGTCCTACTGCACAAAGACATTCTTGTAATGTTAAAGTATTATAAATGGGCCTGGCATGGTGGCTCATTCCTGTAATACCAGCACTTTGAGAGGCTGAGGTGGGAGGATCGCTTGAGTCCAGGAATTCGAGGCTGCAGTGAGCTATGATTGCTGCACTGCACTCCAGCCTAGGTGACAGAGGAAAACCTTGTCTCTGGAAAACAAACCAATGAAACAGAATAGAGAGCCCAGTGAAACATAATAGAGAACCCAGAAATAAAATATTTTGAAAATATATTGAAAAGGTGCTCAATATCACTAATAATCAGATAAAATAATCAGAAAAAAAACAGTACAATTGAGATCTTGGCAATAAGAAATTGCTTGAATGCATTTGGTACATTGGTGCAGCAACTGAGTGGATTCAGTCTGTCAGTCTACAAATATCTACTGAGGAAATTATCTGCATCACATACTATTCTAATCCCTGAGGATGTGTCGTAATAAAGATAGAGAAGGTTTCAGCTCTCAGGAAGCCCATATTCTACACAGGGCAGAGCCAACACAAGCAAACAAATAAATGAACAAGATCATTTCAAAGGATGAGTGACTTATGGTATGGGAAATGACAAGTGGCAGAGACTCTTTAAATTGAGGACAAAGGAAGGCCATGCTAAGGTGGTGGTATTTGGGCTGAGGATTGCATGACAACAAGAAACCAACCAAAGGAAGACCTTTCAAATCCTCCTATCCTCAGAAAAGGAAATCCAAGTGCAAAAGCACCAATGTCAATATGAGAAATGCTGAACAGCATTAAAAACATGATGTCAATTATACATCATAGCATAGAAAAATTCTTGCAATATGCTGTTTTGTGTAGAGTGGTATAAAACCACTTCTAATCTGCAATGGGATACAATGATTCTAAGAAGTATATACACATATAGGATGACAATGCAAACTATTAACAGTATGACAGTATGTTGAAATTCATGGGTCACTTTTATTTTCTTTCTTTCACTATCTGCTTTTCTTAAAGGTTGTACAAATAAACACGTGTTATTTTTCTAACTTCAAAAAATGAATTCTGCCCAGTCCTAGAGGAAAAATAAAGCAACAGCAGAAAGAGCCCACCGAGACTCTCTGGTGCCCAGGATGAAGGTCAATCTGGACACCAGACAAGGACCATCCTGATCCCATCTAGAAACAATCCAACAGGTGGCAGCTCTTTCCATTCCAAAGAGAGCTATCAACTCTCTACATGGAGAAGCTTCATGCACTTTAATGAAGAAATTGCTTTTACTTTCTCCTTTGACTACAGACCTTGGTACTGAGACAAGAAAATAAGGAAGAACTACTCATATGCTACCAGCACCAGGAAATGAGCTGAGTCTATCAAATTAAACCAAAGACCTGGTAAAGCTGTGACTGTAGGTCAAAGTCCTGGCAGCAGCCAGAGATGGAGGCAACTCACCAGGAGCCCACTGGTGGGAGCCAGGTGATAATTCCACCAATTCCTCTTTAACCACTTGGCCATCAATTTCGAAGACATCATGCTTCTCAGCAGATGTCCACATGAGGACAGCAGGGGTATTTTAAGAGAGTTGAACTGATCCTTACAGAACTGACAGAGAGAAACACAGAGGTACAGAGGGAGACAGAGAGAGGGAGGGAGGAGGAAGACAAAAAGAGAAAAAGAGAGAGAATTAATAAACAGCTATGTTTACATACTTCTCTTTTGTGGAATAAGACTGGATTTCCAAGAGGCAACACACTGTGCTTCCAGAGGTGAAAGATTTTGCCTGGAGAAAAAAAGTTTACAAAGGTGAAAGTTTATAGGAAGAGATTCAGGGCAGATAAGCCAAAGGCAGTAGAAGAAAGAGGTAAGGAAATCTGAATCCACCAGAACCCGCATATTACTAAGTGAAAGAAGCCAACTTGAGAAGGCTGGATATATATGATTCTAACTATATGACATTGTGGAAAGTACAAAACCATGCAGACAGTAAAAGAATAATGATTTCTAGGGGTTAAAGGAAGGGAGGCACGAACAGGCAGAGTACAGAGGATTATCAAGGCAGTGATACTATTCTGTATGATGCTATAATGATGGATACCTGACATTATGCATTTCCCCATAGAATGCACAACACCAAGGGTAGCCCTATGCAAACTACGCACTTTGTGTGATAATGATGTGCCAATGGAGGTCCATAAATTGTCACACAAGTGCCACTCTAGAGGAGGATATGAATAGTGGGGGAGGTTATACTTGTGTGGGAGCAGTGGGTACATGGGAAATCTTGGTACCTTCTGCTCAGTACTGCTGTGAACCTAAAACTGCTCTAAAAATAAAGTTTATTAAAAAAAAAACAAAGATCATGTACTTACTGCTTCTGAACTGCCATATGCGATAAATGTAAAGGAAACGCTCTTAGAGTCCAAGAGGCCCAGATGTCTGAATATCCACTGATACAGAACCATCTATTTTGTCCTTCAAGGTACTCTAATTTCTTTTTCCTTTAAGGTACCTCCTTCCTTTACCTTTGCCCTTACACCCACACTCCCATCCCCAATTTGTACTCTGTCTTACATAACGTCATTCCTTTGAAGCCAGTGCTAGGTGACAGCTACCTAGGCTCATAAACTCATCTATGGCTTTAGGTGCTTTGCACTTTTCTACGGTTTTAACCATGAAAGTGACTGAGTATTCATTGGAAGGCTTTGGGTTTTTTCCAGTGAACTTATTTCAACACAGTCTTTCAGACTGCGTTGCCTTACAGCATAGACAGATGATGAAGGTGCTCCCTGCACTAATCTGCTGCTGTTATCCCATTAGCAAATGTTAGCTAAGCATTTACTCTGTGCTGGGTGTTGTGCTGCATGTTAGGAAGTCAAACAAGTAATACATGATCTCTTCCTTTAAAAAGGTTCCAGGTAACTAGGAAGTGACTAGAAGTTATTAAGCTCCACAGGTAACTTTCTAGGAATTTCGCCATAAGCAAGCAGTGTGTGTCTAAAATCTGCTGCAAAGTGTTATCATTCTCTTAATCCATGGTTGACACATGCATTCTTATCACCATTAAAACATTTTCAAAATGGCTGTTACCCCAACACACACTTTTACAGTTTTGTTAGTCCTTTTGCCCCCAGTGACTCTGTGGCCAGCCCTAGGCAGCACGGTTTTGTAGAGCATGCCCCAAATTCTGGGCTGAACTCAGCGTGACCCTTGCCTCATTTCTCCCATTGGCTCTTTCCAACTCCAGCATGCTTTGGATAGTTCAGTCCACACCTGGCAGAGACTAAGTACCGACTAATTGTTGACCTAAGATTTTTTCCCCCCAAGTTTAAGTTGAATCACTTTAAGTAAAATTTAACCAAACCAACCATCATATTCCTTAGTGTTGAACTGCTACAGTAATCAACTGATGCTTCTTCTATATTTACTAATTTCACATAATTGAGCATCTTCTGCAACTGGTTACTTTTCAGAAAGGCCAAATGAGACCATATAGGAAAGAATCTTTTTTATCTTGGGTGGGAAAGATCTTTTTAAGAAGACTCCAAAACAATTACACATCATAGAGGGAAAATCGTTGAATTTCTTTTCATTAAGGGAACCCTCAAATCCATAAAATACAGATGACTTGGCAAAGCTAGTTACAGCACCTAAAATTGATGTAATATCTACATCTGGGTATATGTAGAATATATAACATTATAATATATATATACACATATATATGTGATAAAGTTAGCAAAAGCCTGAGAGGTTTCAACAAGAAATTTTAAATGTATTAACCCAATAAAGAAGTAATATCTAGAACATTCAAGACATACCAACAAATTAACAAGCAACTAAAACAAAAAGCTAGTTAAGCCAATAATGAGCAAATAATTTATATCCATATAAATTATGCATACTATTTGTATCCATAGGATGGAAAAACCTGAAAACTAGTAAATATATAGTGCTCAACCCTACTAGTGTTAAAAAATTAAAAAATAAATCTGATACCACTTTGTAACTATCACCTGTAAAAAAAAAAAAAATCAGAGTCAGAAAACACTAAATGTCAGCAAACCAATGCTAAACAAGAACATTTGTTCTTCTGGTAGAAGAAGAAATGGTATAGTCTTTCTAGAGAGCAATCTGGCAATACTTGTACCATAAGCCTTCTTCCAACTGCTGAATGTATATCCCAGAGCAACTCTTTCCAACTTCTCTACAGGGACATGTAAATGCATAGGCATCTATGGCAGGGGATACTGAAGCACCCTAGATGACCATAGCCAGAGAGGAAAACTAACATGCTGGATGGACAAATCTTGAACAACACAAAAGTGAGTGGAAAAAAATAAGAAACATTAAATGTATTTTACATCCCATTTAATTAGAAACACACACGTATAAAATAATGCTATATGATTTTATATAAAATATGTACATTCAAAGACACATAGCAAGTGTGTTAAACAGGACTTATTGAAAAGGCAGGGGAAGAAATGGGAATGATAACTGGAGGGGAAAGATAAAAATATTAAAATTAAGGTAACAGTAAACAAAACTGGTCCCTTGCACAGATAAATATTGAGAAGTACACTGAGTTAGAAGCAAGGCTCAGCTTCAGTTGTGATAGCCTCATTTACTGAGACCTTGATCTGTACTAGTTATTGTACTAATCGCTTCACATATGTTATTTTAATCCTCACACAAAAACACGCACAGACATATAGAACTCATATTATTATTCCCATTTTACAGATGAAGAAGCAGAAACTCAGAGAAATTATATTTTTTGCCTAAGGTCAAACAGCTAGTAAGTGGTATAGCTGGGGTTTTAATGCAGGTCTACATGACTCTGAATCTCATACACTATATTATCTGCTATCTGTTCATATATTCAAGAAATAAGTGAAGGTACCAAAAATAAGTTCATTCTTTCTGACCGCATTCCCCAATCATCCATCATTGACCACTGTGGTTTCTTTGGTAGGCTGAATGATGCCCCTTAGATGTGCCCACATCCTGACCTCAAAAACCTCTGAATGTTTCCTTGTATGGTAAAAGAAACTTTGCAGGTGTGATCCAGTCAAGGATCTTGAGATGAGGGGCTTCTCCTACATTACTCAAGGAAGCACAATAAAGTCAAAAGGGTATTTACACGAAAGACATTGGAGAAGTCAGAGAGGAGTAGGAGACATGATGATGATGGAAGCAAAAGGTGGAAGTGATCCCAGGAAGGGGCCATGACCAAGGAGTGCAGGGGCCTCTAAGGGCTGAAAACGGCGAGGAAACTGATTTTTCCCTAGAGACTCCAGAAGAATCCAATGCCTTGATTTTAGCCCCATGAGACCCATTTTGGACTTCTGACCACCCTCCAGAATTGTAAGAGTTTATATTGTGTTCTTTAAACCACTAAATTTGTGGTAATTTGTTACAGTGGCAACAGGAAACTAATACACTTAGAAATCATTCAGATTCACTTCAAGATATTTCAAGCTGTCATAGGAGTAGTAGTTACATTTCCAACAGCGAACAATAGCTAAGTAATGCCAAATCCAGAACTAGAATCCAGATCTCTTGACCGCCTCAGTGCTAGGCTCTTTCCACTACACATAGCTGTCAACAAGTATAAGTCTCTGAAGTAATAGCTATAGAGAATTTAAAATCAAGTAAAATGTAGACATTAAAAGTGGACACCTTGTTTCCAAGGGAGCACTGTGGTTCTGTTACAGAGAATACCCCAAGATATACAAAGAAATCTTTCTGCACTTAAACTTCTATACTGGCTATTTGTGATGTAGAACAATTCAGGTTTGATTCACCTGCACTAGCAATGCTATCTACATATACGAATGTGTTCTTAATACAAATCACTTTTACAGGGCAAGGACAATTTTTAAAATGTATTATTGAATTTTGAAAATGTTAATAATGTTAAAAAAAATTACTGAATTTGAAATCAGAATGCAGTTCAACTCTCAACTCTGCCATTAGCTCTATGACCTGAAAAAGTCAGTTCACCTCTCTAGGTCAGATTACTTATCCATGGAATGGCCCGCATAGTCCATTACAGATCTCCTGTGCTAGACTAATGCAGGCAGTGCTCTCCTAAGGAGATGGTGCTGTCCCAATACAGACACTGGGCTGATTCTAGAAAGAGAAGCCTTGACATTCACCAAGTGCCTCCTGTGAGCTGTGCACCACAGCTTCACTTCTGTGGCTTTGGTCAATATTCACAATACACAAGGTTGCATTATGACACATATTTTACAGCTGAGGAGACACATACCCAGAGAGCTCAAGTAACACACTCAAATTCATGCAGCACATGCTAGTTACAACTAGTTCTGTCTGACTTGAAATGTGGTCTGTGACACTGTAATCACTTACCTAAAGATTAAATAAGAGTGACTCACACTCTGACAACACTTTTCAGGTTGCAGACACTTCCACACTCATTAGTTAATTTAAACCCATCAAGAACCCCATGTCAAAGCCAAGGAATATGAAAAACAGGATCAGATATATTTCAGGAACCTGTCTAAGGTAACGCAGGAAATGACAGAGACGGTGGAAGTTGAATTCAGGTCTCTCTGATGCCATGCCCTTTCCAGTATGCCTCAGCACCCTACTCTACCACCACTAAAGGGATCTCGGAAAAATCACTTAATATCTTTAAACTTCAACTCCCTTTACTAGAAGCTCTTAATTATAATACCTGCCCCTGGCATCATCCTGAGGGTTAGGGAACTCATAGAAAGTATTTTGCAAGTGTTTATGAACATACAAATGACAGGGTGTTTCAGCTTTACTTGAGCAATGACCATTTGTGTTATCCAAATTGGCTTCTTCTTTAAAAGTTTAGACAGAACTATCAAAACAAATTGGGGACTAAATACCTCTGTGATGTACACTTCTATAAGGCCTGGCACAGGATGAAGGCTCAATAAACGTGTGTTTTCTATTTTTGGTAAGCAAAGAGGCTTTAATCAATAGCTGTCCAGAATGACAATTGTAGCAAATCCTGATCATGGATAACAGCATCTAGAATAATAGCCAGTCCATCAACTCATGTTAAAACCACAAAACCACATCCCTGCTGTGCTAGGGAAGCATCCTTTTGTCCTGAATGAAGTTCAGTATAATATCGAAACTTCTGTGAGAAGGATAAATCCAGAACAATTAAAAATAAAAATTATTGTGTTAGGACAGGTCACACAAGTAGTTTTCCTGGTGATACCTCTGTGATACTGGTAATGAAGATATTATGTGGTTAGTAGACACATCATCAACCACAAAGAAAGAGCTGTGTGCCATAGCAAACCGGCCATACCACTAAGCTTCTACTACCTGAATGCCCCTATCGTGTGGAGTCACGTGGAAATGTAACATGGGTTCTTTTTTGTTTGAGACTGACCTGGGTTTTATAAATCATTAAATTTTCTTTCAGAGCAATTGGATTAACTTTTGTTGTAAGTAAAATGCAACTTCTTTTGGTTTGTTTAGAACAATGTATGTATGGTATGTGGGAGGAGAAGAAGGAGAGGGGAGAAAAGGAGAAGCAGGAAGGGGAAGAAGATAAGCAAAAGGGAAATGAGATAAAAATGGCCATTGTGAAATAAATGTTTTAATTCAAGAGAAAGACAAAATATTTCTAAATTTTTTTTAACTTTTATTTTACGTTTCGGGGTACATGTGCAGTTTTATTATGTGGTAAATTGCCTATCACAGGGGTTTTATGTGCAGATTATTTCATCACCCAGGTGATAAGCATAGTACGTGATAAGTAGTTTTTTGATCCTCTCTCCTCCGGCTCTAAATTGTTATGTATGTAATAACAGAGCCTCAAAATAAATTCTCAACAAATTTCAAAGGGACAAAGTCATATAGAGTATATATTTGGCCACAATAAATTAAGAAATCAGTAATGAAAAGGAGCTTGAAATAAAAACACATATTTTAAATGACCCATGTGTTACAAGAAGTCATGATGAGAGTTAAAAAATATTTGAACCCTTCTTTGCAATGATAAATGGATATATCCTTCTTTATTTTGTACAAAAGTCTCTGTGTTTATTTTGTGGTTTCTAAAATGCTGGGCATACCTCTGCTTGGTTGAAAAAAAAAAAAACAGCATGGTACTTTCATACTGAGTGTAATTCTCTGCTTTATAGAAACAAATTCTGAAAATCAGGATTGAATCTCCATTTGCTTAACATTAATAACCTCCCGCTCTGTCTCAAGTTAGTTGGTGTTGGCTACAAGCCAGGTTTATATTTTAAAATAACAGTGGAAGAAAGCTTTGTACTGTGGTTATCAATTGCTGAAGGAAAAAAAAAGTCTTTTTAATGAAATTTTCTATATGCCAAGATAGGTGTTTATGAGTAAAGACAATATTGTAGTCAAAATAGTTTCTTAACCTGATATAGTATTGTTAGCTTGCTAGAATTAAAATAATTTTACTTTCAAGATGTTATACATTAACTAGCCCCAAAGGAACAACTTTAAAAAAATTTCCTTTAATGATAGATTTATTTGTTGACAATTTTTTATACTAGCATTGTAGTTCAATTTGATTATGAATTAATAACCTGTGTATTTAAAATAATCATAAATGTTGCTGAAGAATCACAGGTGGTACATTTAAAAAATGTTTCTGGCCGGGAGCGGTGGCTCACGCCTGTAATCCCAGCACTTTGGGAGGCCGAGGCGGGCGGATCATGAGGTCAGGAGATCAAGACCATCCTGGCTAACACGGTGAAACCCCGTCTCTACTAAAAATACAAAAAAAATTAGCTGGGCGTGGTGGCGGGCGCCTGTAGTCCCAGCTACTTGGGAGGCTGAGGCAGGAGAATGGCGTGAACCCAGGAGGCGGAGCTTGCAGTGAGCCGAGATAGCGCCACTGCACTCCAGCTTGGGTGACAGAGCGAGACTCCACCTCAAAAAAAAAAAAAAGATGTTTCTAAAGTGTTTTAATTAGACATTTTGAAATATGCAGGATCATTTCAACTTATTCAAGGTAATAGGAATGATTTAAATTCATATACATCCCCAAAGTTGCTTTTTCCTGATGAAGCCCTTGCCATGCACACATCCTGAAGTTGGAAGACAAAAGTTTAAGTCCTACTTCCACCATGCACTAGCTGAATGGTTAAACTCTGAGCATGCTTCCTTACTGATTGTATGAGTATAATGGTGATACCTAAAAGGTTTATTTTTTTATCAAATTCTGAAATGACTAATAAAACATTTTATGAATTATAAATATAAATTAGGACTGAATACTAATAAATGACAAAACAGACACGTTTGTTTCAAGTTCTAAAAGAAGTTATTGACATTAAAAAACAAAGAGAATACTCACATTGTACATTTCTCTGTGTTCTGTTACCATATTGAGAAAGCAAAGAAGAATATTTAGAACACTCAGTAAATGAAAGGCATGGTTTAACCTGGAATAACTGAATCTGTGAAATAATGAGGAGCTTCAAAAATTGTCTCCAGATTATTTCTCATGCTGACTCTAGCTGGAATATGTTAGTACAGTTTAGCAAAAAAAATTATGAATGCCCTGCCACATGAAGTTGACAGATAATGTTGTGTGTTAGAGAAACTATAAAGATGAATAAGGTAAAATTTCTGTCTTCAAGAGCAAAGAGTAATGAAGGTCTTAGTTATGCATTATCAGCTGGGATAGTTGGCTCCAAAATTATTTACCCCTTACCTCTCTCTCATTATCTCCCTCTCTCTTTCTCTCTCTCCCTCTCTCTCGTTATACATCTGCATATATTAAATCTATGCATGTATACATGAACAATTGAATATATGCTCATACATATTCTTAACAGCCTCTAGAATCATTCCTTGCAAAATTACATATTTTTGTCTCATTCCTTCTATTTTAGTAAAGGGCATCATCATCAACCTGGCTGTTTAAACTACAGGGAGCCTAGGAAAATACAAGTTAAAATAACTATTATGTTATAAATGTGCTTGAAATCATAAGGGAAGATAATAATAATAGTTCATAATAATTGAATGCTTATAGACCTTATATTGCCCATCTCATTGCAGCTTCAGAACAATGCTGATGGGGTGGTAACAAACCACCCCAAGCTATATATAATAGGTAACCGAAACACCTAGAAAACTGGTTCCCATACTATATTTCACATTGAGCTACAGGAGCAAAAGCCATGAATGTATAATCACTTGCTCAGTTTTTTAATCAAGTTGAAGCTAAATAACAACATCTTATTGTTTGCAGCTTTGTGGTGACTATAAATCTTTTGTTAATATAATGCCGGTAGTGATTTATTTTTGCTGTTTAAATTCATAAATTGCAGGATTCTAGGCAAACATCGCACTTACCCCTCAAGGGTAATATACCAAATTTTAAAAGGTTATGATAAAAATCCTGAGTCTTTCAAGAGATATGACTGAAAAACTGGGATACCTAAACAAATTATAAATAGAAAATGATTCATCTCGAAGTCTTTTTCAGTTTATTTAGTTTAAAACATCATAAATTAAATTTAGTGAAGCTGGAGAGTTTGAGAAAAAGAATAAGAAAAGACAAACAAAAATCAGAAATTGTTTTACAATAGCTGGAGACAGAGTGAGATTAATTTTTTTATTTTAATTCGTGCCAACCTGGGAAAGAGATGAATAAATGAGCTCCAAAACCTACCTTCATCCACAGAGTGGGCATTCATTTTTACCTTCTCCTCCACTAAAGTTAAACAAGAGCTACTTAGGTGAGCAGTATTTCCCTGGGCTGCATTCCAAATTCCAACCAACCTTCCATGGTCATCTGGTGAAATTAGAAATGGCCAGAATATAGACAAAACCAAAGACTAAGAAAGATTCCTGAATATTAAGAGACATTTTAAATGCACAAAATGTTTACTCCAAAAACCTCTGCAGAAATTCTGGAAATAAAAGCCTTCTGTCTGCCTCATATGTCACTCTATTTATCTTTAGAGCTGATGGTTGACTAGGATGGTTTGAGAGTCCTGTCTCCTCTAAGTCTCATGTATTGCTGCCAGTGCTACGAGGTCAACCCATGAGGACAATATTCCTCTCCAAGCATACATGAGTAACTGCAGTTCCCTAAACTTTTCTTCTCTAAAAAAGGTCTATTTGTATCAGAGTATTCAGGAAATATCTTGAAATTCTATTAAATGACAAGGAACCTCACATTCCAAAAATCTCTAGCTTTTTGACCCTTCCAAATCTATTTATGTATTAATCTAACAAACCTAAGTGATATAACAAATTTAAGAAATAATCAATGTATGCCCTAAGCTCTGAGCTAGAAAACAAATGTTAAAAGTAAAGAAAACATGGACACAGGGAGGGGAAAATTACACACTGGGGCCTGTTGGGGGGTGGGGGTCTAGGGCAGGGATATTATTAGGAGAAATATGTAATGTAGACGACGGATTGTTGGATGCAGCAAACCATCATGGCATGTGTATACCTATGTAACTAACCTGCACATTCTGCACATATATCCCAGAACTTAAGGTATAATAATAAAAAAAAAGAAAAAAATGAGACAATGAACTTTCTAAAAAATAAAGAAAAGCAAAGAAATTTGCCAACTATATAAATCTTTATCTGTAAAATTAATTATTTAGATAAGAATCTCAATCATTACAATCAGCACAAAAAGTGATTTTGCTGAATGGAGTTCTCTGATACAAAATGAAATAATAATATACTATATTTTTCTTAAATTCCAATTTGTTTTATCTTTAGTAGTTAACATAAGCATGTGGTTCAAAATTCAAAAGGTATATAACATAAAAAGTCAAATTTCTAACCTGTCTTCCCTCTATCCAGTTTCTCTGCCTACAGTTGCTTATGTACTCTTCTCAAGATATTTTATGCCTTTACAGGCATATATTCCCCACCCCTACCACCACAGGTTTTTAAAATATAAGTGGCTGCCTTATATTTGTATATTATTCTACAATGCACATTAAGATAAATGTGCACTTATGTTTTTAAGTTTCAGATCTCCTTGAGGTAGTCATTTGTTCGCATTTTACAAATAAAGACACAGAAAACATTTAAAATACTTGTCCACGGGCAGAGATCAACACTCCTTGAGGTAGCCATTTACTTCAGTTTCACAAATAAGGGCACTGAGAAAACGTTAAAACACTTGCCCAAAGGCAGAGACAACAAGTAAACCTACCTCTTCTTATTCCAATTAACATTCCTTTCACTGCACTCCAGCATCTTTATTTATTATTCATTCATCCATCTATTTATTTTCCAAATATATACTAAGTTCTCATTCTATGCAAAAAAAAAAGTTAGGTATTTTGGAATGTGTATATTTTGGTAATACACAATTTCTTCTTCCTAAGCTTAATTGTATAGCAGAAATAAAACAGATATAAACCACATAGATGGTTACAGTGATTTTAAGACTGTAAAATAAATATGGAGATCCTAAAGAGAAAACAACTATTTTGCCTGGAGATATCAAAAAAAGGCTCATGGTGAAAATAACATTTTTGTCAAGTCTTGAACTACAAATAGAATAGGAAAAATTAAAACATACCTGTACAACTAAAATGTTTGTTTGCAGAGCATTATACACAAAACAGAGGTCTTTAATTAAGTAAATAAAACATTGTCCAGAGAAATAAAACGTGAAACCCCCATATTTCATTAATTCATTCAATAGTCTTCCCTTATTCAAAATCAGAATAGGTATAAATATGGATTTTTTATAGAGAGTATACCATATTTTGGACATTCAATAAAAAAGTAAAACACACTCATCTAGTAATGGCAAAGTAATCAGACCAATCATTCCACTGAGAACAGATAAAAAGAAGTGAAAAAGCTTATGCAAACATGGATCTCACAGCATCTAAGGACTAAAAATATAGAGAAAAATTAGGTGGCCAAATTCTGGGAGAAACCCAGAGTTAAACCAGGTACCTCAGGCTGATTTTCCCCTAGGGATATCTGCCAATTCCAGGAGACACAAGCTAAGCAAGGATGTAAACAGATTTCATAGTTAGTAGGACAAAATTGGGGTTCAAGACCTGCCAAGGATTGAGGATCCTGATGGACTACAGGTCTTTTGTTAGAACCCTAAAGGGCACTACAGTAGGAGGAAGGTAATACTAGAAATTGACAGGGCTTTGCAGGGACTGATATTCAGCTTAATACACTAATTCCTGAATATATATCTGGATTTGTAAACATAAATCATTTCTAGAAGAACATGACATCATTCTAAACTTCTAACAATCTCTATAATTTTCAAATACAATTTTGAATGACCAATAATTGAAAGTAATAAGACATATCATGAGGCAAGACACATACGCAAAATAAGAAAGTAGACCCACATGAGATACAAATAATGGTTACTAAACATGTACTTTTTAAAAAACCATGATGAATATGGTTAAGAAAATTGTTTTTAAAGATTTGGAAGGTAGAACATCAGGGAGGGTCCAAGATGGCCAATTAGAAGCAACTGTGGTCCACAGCACTCACAGAGAGTAACAAAAAAGGTGAGTGAATACAGCACCTTCAAATGAAATACCCAGGTTCTTGCCAAGGGAACCCCCATCCCTAGCCAAGGGAAGCCATGAGTGATTGTGCAACCCCAGGAAACCAGGCTTCTCCCATGGATCTTTGTAATCCATGGATCAGTAGATTCCCTTTGTGAGCCCATACCACCAGGGCCTTAGGTCCAACACACTGAGCTATGTGGAGTCTTGGCAGAGCAGCTGTTCAGGCATGCACAGAGACCCAGGTGCTTTACGTACTCCGGCACTGGGATTTCCAACAAACATGTTTGCAACTCAGGCAAGGCAAGAGGTCTGCACATACCCCTAGGAAGTGGTCAGAATCCAGGGAGCTGAGCAGCATTGTTCTGCAGGCCACACTTCCACGGCACCTGAAAAGATAAGACCCACTGGCTTGGAATTCCAGCCAGCTACCAGCAACAGGGTGGAGCTTGCCTGAGACCAGATGGAGCCCCAGGGGGAAGGGTGGGCACCATCTCTGCTGTTTGGTCAACAGCTGTTCCAGCCCATAGGCTTTGGAGAGTCCAAACAGTTGGGACAAGTAATGGTCCCCCTAGCAGCACAGCATACTGGCTTTGCCAGATCATGGCCAGACTGCTTCTTTAAGTAGGGCCCAATCCATTCCTCCTCAATGGGCAGGACCATACAGCCAGGCCCTCCAGCCAGCCTGCCCTCACCTCTTATGGACAGAGCTCTGATCTCCCCATAAGATGGAGTACCCAGGGGAGGGGAGGGCCACCACCTGGGTTGGTTGAATAACTCAGCCATTCCAGCCTGTGGGCTTTAGAGAATCCAAGCAGACAGGAGCAGAGGAAGTTCCCCAACACAACACAGCTGTTTTGTTGAGGTGTGACAAGACTGATTCTTTAATCGGGACCTTGATTCACTCCTTCTTACAGGGCAGGCCCTCCCACTGGTATTCTCCCAGCTGGGGCCTCTAGCCACCCCCACCCATATTCTACCAGCCAACAGAGCCCTAATTTCTCCCTGGGACAGAGTGCCTGAGGGTCAGGGCAGGCTGCCACCTTGGCCATTCAGGCTTCTCAGCCAGTCCACCCTGTGTCCTTTGGAGAGCCCAAACCAATTGGGAGCTGAAGGGATCCCCAACACAGCACAGCTGCTCTACTAAAATGCAGCCAGTCTGCTTCTTTAAGGGAGTCCCTAATCCTGTTCCTCCTAACTGGGTGAGATCTGCCAACCATGGTCTCCAACTACTTCCTACAGGCACCCTTGGGCCAGCAATAGGTCAGTCTCACCTGGAACAGAGCTTCCAGAGGAAGGGGCAGGCTGCCATCTTTGCCTTTTTACAGCCTTCACTGGTGATACCCCCAGGTACGGGAAAAACTAAGGCAACTAGGGTCAGGAGTAGCACCCCAGCAAACCACAGCAGACCTATGGAAGAGTGGCCAGACTGTTAGAAGAAAAACAAACAAACAGAAAACAATAACCACCACCACCAAAAAAAAAAAAAAAATCTGAAAGTCAGCAACCTCAAAAATCAAAGGCAGATAAACCCACAAAGATGAGAAAGAATCATTGCAAAAATGCTGAAAACTCAAAAAGCCAGAGGGCCCTTTTTGTTCCAAATGACTGCAACACTTCTCCAGCAAGGGCTCAGAATTGGGCTGAGGCTGAGATGGCTGAAATGACAGAAGTAGGCTTCAGAATGTTGGTAATAACTAACTTCACTGAGCTAAAGGAGCATGTTGTAATTCAATGTAAAGAGGTTAAGAATCATGATAAAATAATGTGTGAGCTGACAGCCAAAATAGCCAGTTTAGAGAGGAATATAACTGACTTGTTAGAGCTGAAAAACACACTACAAGAACCTCACAATGCAATAAATCATGAGTATTAATATCAGAATAGACAAAACAGAGAAAAGAATCTCATAACTTAAAGACTATCTTTCTGAAATAAGACAGGCAGACAAAAATACATAAAAAGGATGAAAAGGAATGAACCAAACTTCTGAGAAATATGGGATTATGTAAAGAGACTGAATCTACAACTGATTGGGGTACCTGAAAGGGACAGTGAGAATGGAACCAAGTTGGAAAACATACTTCAGGATACCATCCAAGAGAACATCCCTGACCTAGCAAATCAGGCCATCATTCAAATTCAGGAAATGCAGAGAACCCCGGTAAGATACTCCATGAGAAGATCATCCCCAAGACATATAATCATCAGATTCTCCAAGGTCGAAATTAAAGAAAAAATGTTAAGGGCAGCTAGAGAGAAAAGCCAGGTCACCTACAAAGGGAAGCCCATCAGACTAAGAGTGGACCTCTGGGTGGAAACCCCACAAGCCAGAAGAGATTGGGGAAAGACTTTCAATTCTTAAAGAATTCTTAAAGAAATTCACAAAGAAAAGAATTTCCAACCCAGAATTTCATATCCAGCCAAACTAAGCTCCATAAGTGAAGGAGAAATAAGATCCTTTTCAGACAAGCAAATGCTGAGTGAGTTCATTACCACCAGACCTGCCTTGCAAGAGCTCCTGAAAGAAGCACTAAATATGGAAAGGAAAAATTGTTACTAGTGACTACAAAAACACACTGAAGTACACAGACTAGTGACATTATGAAGCAACCACATAAGCATGTCTATAAAATAACTAGCTACCAACATGATAGGATCAAATCCACACATAGCAATCCTAACCTTAAATGTAAATGGGCTAAATGCCTCAATTAAAAGACCCAGAGTGGCAAGCTGGATAAAGAGCCAAGACCCATCAACATGCTGTCTTCAAGAGACCCATCTCACATGCAAAGACACACATAGGTTCAAAATAAACGGATGGAGGAAAATCTACCAAGCAAATGGCAAACAGAAAAAAGCATGGGTTGCAATCCTAGTTTCTGAACAGATATTAAACAAACAAAGATCAAAGAAGACAAAGAAGGACACTACATAATGTTAAAGGGTTCAATTCAACAAGAAAATCTAACAATCTTAACTATATATGCACCCAACACAGGAGCACCCAGATTCATAAAGCAAGTTCTTAGAGGCTTTTATAGAGACTTACACTCCCACACAATAATAATAGGAGACTTTAACACCCCACTGACAATATTAAACAGATCATTGAGACAGAAAATTAACAAAGATTTTCAAGACCTCAATTCAGCTCTGGATGAAGTGGACCTGATAGATGCCTACAGAACTCTTTACCCAAAAACAACAGAATACACATTCTTCTCATCCCTACTTGGCACGTACACTAACATTGATCACATAATCAGAAGTAAAATACTCCTGAGCAAATGCAAAAGAATTGAAATCATAAACAGTCCTTCAGACACAGCACAATCAAATTAGAAACTAATATTAAGAAATTCCCTCAAAATAGCACAACTACATGGATATTAAACAACCTACTCTGGAATGACTCTTTGGTAAATGATGAAATTAAGGCAGAAATCAGTAAGATTTTGAAACCAATGAGAACAAAGAGACAGCACACCAGAATCCCTGGGACACAGATAGAGCAACGTTAAGAGGGAAATTTATAGCACTAAATGCAGAGACATCAAAAAGCTTTGCCCACATCAAAAAGCTAGAAAGGTCTCAAGTTAACAATCTAACATCACAACTAAAAGAATAGAGAACTAAGAGCAAACAAACACCAATGCTAGCAGAAGACAAGAAATAACCAAAATCAGAAATGAACTGAAGGACATAGAGACACACACACACTCTTCAAAAAATCAACAAATGCAGGAGTTGGCTTTTTGAAAAAAATAATGAAATAGACCACTAACCAGACTAATAAATAAGAAAAGAGAAAAGACTCAAATAACACAATAAGAAATAATTTGGGGGTATCACCACTGACCAACATAAAAGAAACCATCAGAGAATACTATAAACACCTTTATGCACATAAACTAGAAAATCTAGAAGAAACTGATAAGTTCCTCAACATGTACATCCTCCCAAGACTAAACCAGGAAGAAACTGAATTTCTACATAGACCAATAATGAGTTCTGAAATTGAGGCGGTAGTAAATAGCCTACCAACAAAAACAACAACCAAAAAAAAAAAAAAAAAAAAAAAAAGCCCAGGTTCAGACAGGTTCACAGCTGAATTCTACCAGAGATACAAAGAACACCTGGTACCATTTCTACTGAAACTATTCCAAAAAACTGAAAAGGGGGGACTTCAACCCTAACTCATTCTATGAGGGCAGCATAATTCTGATACCAAAACCTAGCAGAGATACAACAAAAAAAGAAAAATTCAGGCCATTATCTTTGATAAACATTGATGCAAAAATCTTCAACAAAATACTTGCAAACTAAATCCGGCAGCACATCAAAAAAGGCATATCCACCACAATCAAATAGGCTTATCCCTGGGATGCAACGCTGGTTCCCCATACACAAATCAATAAACGTGATTCATCACATACACAGATCTCAAGAAAAAAACACATAATTATCTCAATAGATACAGAAAAGGCCTTCAATAAAATTCAACACTCCTTCATGTTAAAAACTCTCAATAAAGTAGGTATCAAAGAAACATACCCCAAAATAAGAGTCATATATGACAAACCCACAGCCAATATTATACTGAATGGGCAAAAGCTGGAAGCATTTCCCTTGAAAACTGGCACAAGGCAAGGATGCCCTCTCTTAGCACTCCTATTCAACATAGTATTGAAAGTCCTGGCCAGAACAATCAGGCAAGAGAAAGAAATAAAGCATATTCCAATAGGAAGAGAAAAAGTCAAATTATCTTTGTTTGCAGATAACATGATCCCATATCTAGAAAACTCCATTGTCTCAGCTCAAAAGCTAATTAAGCTGATAAGCAACTTCAGCAAAGTCTCTAGATACAAAATCAATGTACAAAAATTACTAGCATTTCTAGACACCAATAACAGGTGACCTAAGAGCCAAATCAGGGATGAACTCCCATTCACAATTGCTACAAAGAGAATAAAATACCTAGGAATACAGCTAACAAGAAAAGCAAGCGACCTCTTCAAGGAGAACTACAAACCACTGCTCAAAACAAACTGAGATTATACAAACAAATGGAAAAATATTCTGTGCTCATGGATAGGAAGAATCAAGATTATTAAAATGGCCATACTGCCCAGAGCAATTTACAAATGCAGTACTATTCTCATTAAACTACCATTGACATTTTTCACAAAATAAAAAAAAACTATTTTAAAATTCATATGGAACTAAAATAGAGCCTGAATAGCCAAGACAATCCTAAGCAAAAAGAATCTACAGGGAGGCATCACGCTACCGGACTTCAAACTATTCTATAAGGCTACAGTAATTAAAACAGCATGATAATGGTACAACAACAGACACATAGACCAATAGCACAGAATAGAGAACCCAGAAATAAGACCACACATTAAACACCACTTGATCTTCAACAAACCTGACAAAAACAAGCAATAGGGAAAGGAGTCCCTATTTAATAAATAGTGCTGGGAGAACTGGCTAGCCATATGCAGAAAATTGAAACTGGACCCCTTCTTTACACCATATACAAAAATCAGCTCAAGATGGATTAAAGATATAAATGTAAAATCAAAAACTATAAAAACCCTACGAAAAAATCTAGGCAATACCATTCAGGACATAAGCACTGGCAAAGATTTCTTGATAAAGATGCGAAAAGCAAAGATTGACAAATGCAATCTAATTAAACAAAAGAGCTTCTGCACAGCAAAAGAAACTATCATCAGAGTGAACAGACAACCCACAGAATGGGAGAAAATTTTTGCAATCTATCCATCTGAAAAAGGCCTAATATCCAGCACCTACTAGGAACTTAAACAAATTTACGAGAAAACAAACAACCCCATTAAGAAGTGGGTAAAGGACATAAACAGACACTTCTCAAAAGAAGACCACATGCAGCCAAAAAGCATATGAAAAAAAATTCAGCATCACTAATCATTAGAGAAATGAAAATCAAACTATGAGATACCATCTCACATCAATCAGAATGGCCATTATTAAACAGTCAAAAAAACAATAGATGCTGGTGAGGTTGTGGAGGAAATAAATGCTTTTACACTGTTGGTGGAAGTGTAAATTAGTTCAACCATTATGGAAGACAGTGTGGTGATTCCTCAAAGACCTAGTGGCAGAAATACCTTTTGAACCAGCAATCCCATTGCTGGGTATATACCTAAAGGAATATAAATCAATATATTATAAAGATACATGCGCATGTATGTTCATTGCAGCACTATTCACAATAACAAAGACATGGAATCAACCTAAATCCCCATCAATGATAGACTAGATCAAGAAAATGTGGTACATATACACCATAGAATACTATGCAGCCATAGAAAAAATGAGATCATGTCTTTTGCAGGAACATGGATGGAGCTGGACACCATTATCTTCAGCAACCGAACACAGGAACAGAAAATCAAATATCACGTGTTCTCACTTATAAGTGGGAGCTGAATAAGGAGAACATATGGACATATTGAGGGGATATGGCTATGCATATGGACACACTGGGGCCTGTTGCACGGTAGGTGGTGGGAGGAGGGAGAGCATCAGGAAAAATAGCTAATGGATGCTGGGCTTAATACCTAGGTGATTGGGTTATCTGTGCACCAAACCACCATGGCACACATTTACCTGTGTAACAAACCTGTGCAATCTGCATATGTCCCCTAAACTTAATATAAAAGTTGGAAATCAAAAAATAAATAAATAAAAAGTAACATTTAAAAAGATTTAGAAGATATTCAGAAACTCAAGAAAATTTTTTAACTAAAATGGATCTCTAGAAAAAAGAATGAAGTTCTGACACATGATACAACATGGATGAATCCTGAAGACATTGTACTAAGTGGAATAAGCAAAGAATAAAAGGATAAATATTGTATAATTCCACTTACATGGCATACCTTTATTAGTCAAATTCACAGGGACAGAAGATGGAGTGGTAGTTCCCAGGGGTTAGAAAGAAGGTGGAATGGGTGTCATTGTTTAATGGGCATGAAGTTTCAGTTTTAGAAAATAAAAATGTTCTGGAGATGGATGGTGGTAATATATGCACAACAATGTGAATATACATAAATATATTAGTAATTATATTAAATATTAGTCCATTTTATGCTGCTGATAAAGACATACCCAAGACTGGGTGATTTACAAAAGAAAGAGATTTAATGACTCACAGTTCCACGTGGCTGAAGAAGCCTCACAATCATGGCAGAAGGAGAAAGGCAAGTCTCACCTGGTGGCAGACAAGAAAAGAGAATGAGCGCCAAGTGAAAGGGGTTTCCCCTTATAAAACCATCAGATCTCATGAGACTTATTCACTACCATGAGAACAGTATGGGGGAACATGTCCCTATGATAAAATTATCTCCGGGTCCCTCTCACAAAACCAGAGAATAATAGGAGCCACAGTTGAAGATGAGATTTGAGTGGGGACACTGCCAAACCATATCATTCTGCCCTGGCCCCTCCCAAATCTCATTTCCTCACATTTCAAAACTAATCATGGCTTCCCAAAAGTTCCCCAAAGTCTTAACTCATTTAGCATTAACTCAAAAGTCCATAGTTCAAAGTCTCACCTAAGACAAGGTAAGTCCCTTCCACCTATGAGCCTGTAAAATCAAAAGCAAGTTAGTTACTTCTTAGATACAATGGGGGTACAGGTATTGGGTAAATACGCCTATTCCAAATGGAAGAAATTGGCCAAAACAAAGGGGCTACAAGTTCCATGTAAGTCTAAAATCCAGCAGGGCAGTCAAATCTTAAAACTCGAGAATGATCTCCCTTGACTCCATGTCTCACATCCAAGTCATGCTGATGCAAGATGGATTTCCATGGTCTTGGGCAGCTCCACCCCTGTGGCTTTGCATGGTACAGCCTCCCTACTGGCTGCTTTCACAGGCTGGCATTGACTTCTGCAGGTTTTCCAGGTGCATGGTGCAAGATATCAGTGGATCTACTATTCTGGGGTCTGGAGGATGGTGGCCCTCTTCTCACATCTCCACTAGGCAGTGTCCCAGCAGGGATTCTGTGTGGGGGCTCTGATCCCACATTTCCCTTCCACACTGCCCTAGCAGAGGTTCTCCATGAGGGCCCCGCCCCTGCAGGAAACTTCTGCCTGGACATCTAGGCATTTCCATACATCCTCTGAAACCTAGGCGGAGGTTCCCAAACCCCAATTCTTGACTTCTGTGCACTGGCACGCTCAACACCACATGGAAGCTGCCAAGGCTTGGGGCTTGCATCCTCTGAAGCCATGGACTGAGCTGTACCTTGGCTCCTTTTAGTCACAGCTGGAGCAGCTGGGATGCAGGGCATCAAGTCCCTAGACTGCACACAGCAGAGGGACCCTGGGCCTGGCCCAAGAAACCACTTTTACCTTTTAGGCTTCCAGGCCTGTGATGGAAGGAGCTGCCGTGAAAACCTCTAACATGCCCTGGAGACATTTTTCCCATTGTCTTGGGGATTAACATTCAGCTCCTCATTACATATGCAAATTTCTGCAGCCAGCTTGAATTTCTCCTCAGAAAATGGGATTTTCCTTTCTATCACATTGTCAGGCTGCAAATTTTCTGAACTTTTATACTGTTTCCCTTTTAAAACTGTATGCCTTTAACAGCACTCAAGTCACCTCTTGAGTGCTTTGCTGCTTAGAAATTTCTTCTGCCAGATACCTAAATCATCTCTCTTAAGTTCAAAGTTCCAAAAATCTCTAGAGCAGGGGCAAAATGCCACCAGTCTCTTTGCTAAAACAAGAGTCACCTTTGCTCCAGTTCCCAACAAGTTCTTCATCTCCATCAGAGACCATATTAACCTGGATTTCATTGTCCATGTCATTATCAGCATTTTGCACAAAGCCATTCAACAAGTCTCTAGGAAGTTCCAAACTTTCCCACATTTTTCTGTCTTATTCTGAGCCCTCCAAACTGTTCCAACCTCTGCGTGTTACCCAGTTCCAAAGTCACTTTCACATTTTTGGGTATCTTTTCAGCAGCGCCCACTCTACTGGTACCAATTTACTGTAGGAGTCCATTGTCCTGCTGCTGATAAAGACATACCCAAGACCGGGCACAGTCGTGGTGGAAGGCAAAAGTCACATCTCACCTGGTGGCAGACAAGAGAATAGAATGAGAGGCAAGCAAAAGATTTCCCCTTATAAAACCATTAGATATCATGATACTCATTCAGTACCATGAGAACAGTATAGAGGAAACTGCTCCCATTAATCAATTACCTCCCACTTGGTCCCTCCCACAACATAAGGGAATTAGGGGAGCTAGCATTCAAGATGATATTTGGGTGGGGACACAGCCAAACCATATCAAAATATAAATGGATTAAGTGTCCCAAATGAAAAACAAAGATTATCATACTGGATAATATTACAAACCTATCTATATTCTGCTTACAAGAGACACACTGTAAAATATTAGAATGAAATGTTGAAATTAAAATAATAGAAAAATGATATACCATAAAAATTTTAACCAAAAAAAACTGGTACAGGTATATTAATATTAGAAACTAGGCTTTGAAACAGAGAGCATTTTTTAAAGATAAAGAGGCTATATATGCCGAACATGATGGAACACTATAGAGCAATTAAAATGGAAGAACTGTAGCTCATCACAACATAGATGAATCTCTCAAACATAATGATGTACGAAAGAAACCAAATGCTAAAGAATACATACTGTGTGGTTCCATTCGTATAAAGATTAAAAGCTGCCAAAATGGCACAAGAAGTCAGAATAATGTGTTCCGGGATTTTGTGCAGGGTCTTTAGTTGTAGCTGACTTCTTGTCTTTAGTTTCTCAGAGGAGTATGTTACCAAGTATTTCTGGTGTTGAAGCTTTGGTATGTGATTCAGTAGGTGGCACTGATAGTTTATTGAGCTGAACACATAATTTATTCATTTTCTGGATTGACATATTTAATTCTAATTTTTTCCATTTTAAAAATAGGAATATAAAAAAGCAGGTCTTTATTTTGTTTATTATGCTTCCACAGTGGAAAGTAGGAGTTGGTAAAAATTATTTTGAGTTGACAAAGTGTGATGATGATATGTAGCACCTGCTGTGATAATCTTAGAAACCTATTAGTAAATGAGCATATTACGGACATCTAAGTTAGATGTTTAGGAAGTGCCTCTTTCATCAACATCACAAATCACTATCAGATAGTGTTACTTTTCTAATTATATTATTGGCTTCTGATATATATTAATATAAGTTGCTTCACCTCAATATGACAATTGAATGATTTATGAAATTATTGAGATTTTATTAATAAATATATATCTCCAAGTAATATCTCTCCAAGGTCATAATTTTGTCAACATACATAATCAGGCATTTCTTATATTTCTGCTTGTAATAATCATACATTGGGACAAAATGAAAAGGAAACAAGCCTTGAGTTCTATACAGACTCTAGTACAAGGAAGAAACAGTAACAATCTCCAACCACTCGGTGATGATAAGGATGTCTTGATGTCTTGATTCCTACTGCTGGTAAGCACATAAAGCAGATAAATTCATGATAAATAAGGTTCCCACTTCTAATGAGTTTCTTGTGGGAGGAAGAAAGCAGTGAGAAACAATCCTTTATTTTTGATGTAACTCTAGAAGAGGAATCTGTGAGAAACAGAATTTCTATAAGTAGATGAACTCTGGCCACAAGAGGGCGATACGAGGCTTGAAGCACACTGATTCCAAGGCTGTGAGATCTATGGCCACACAGTCAGTACTACAATAGAAATCACTAACATCACCTTAATCACTAGCTGCATCCATTCCAAATCCTGTGCAATGTTCTGCCCTTGTCCAAGAAGGATAAAAGGGGTACTCAGTGGCAGTTCTTTTTCCTGCTTCTTGATTGTACTTAATAATAGATTTCTTCCATGTTCTTAATAATAGAACAGATTTCTTCCAATTCAAACAGCCCATATATTAGGGAAAATTGAATAAGCTCTTTATTCCATCCTCAATTCTCCTAGTAAACTTCATTCTGTTCCTACCAGAATAACATGACAACAGAACTGTTCTAGAACCATTCCAGCCTTTTACGCCATTGAATGCTATCTATATTTATTAGGCTAATACTAATTAGTTGACTAATACTAGTCTAATAGTTAATACTAGTCTAATGCTATTAGACTAATACTAGTACTACTAGACTAATACTAAGACTAATATTCTGCTCTACATCTATATGAAAAATAAAATAAAGGGAGAATGAAAATGAAAGTTGGCAAGGTTCTGTAACAATTACATACATCTCTAAGAAGTACAACTATATTATGTCTGTAATAATATTTAATGGCAGCTTTTTATTTTATAAATTTATAAATGTTCTCTATAAAATACTTATTTAGGTTGGAATGGATTGACTTTTCAAAGTTAACTAGAAGTCAACAAAAAGGAAGTATATATAATGACAAGGTAGATGATGAAAACCCTTTGACCGCATATTTAACCACACATCTGAAGACACTTTAAGATAAAGCCATCAGCAAGAGTTGCCCATTTTCACTGCTATGGCAAAAAGAGGCTAATTGATGTCAATGGTTTATAACTTAGCCACAGATGCAAGATATTTTCCTTTTCACCTGAGCTATAGCATAAAATTTAATGACTTCTTCCTTTAGTGCCTTCATATAATACTACTACTTAATTGTTTACTTCTGGGGGAAGTTGGGTTACCGTAAGATATTTTATACATAAAATTTTATATTTTACATCTTAAAGTCACACTGAAAAACAAAGAAGTTAAAACTATCTAAGACTATTTTCTTAAGTCAGCATGTTGCCTGTGGTGGTTTGGAAAGTATGTCCACAAATTATTTGACTCTCCTCCCTTTAAGAGGTATAGCCTAATTCCCCTCCCCTTGAGTATAGGTTGGTTTTAATGACTAATTCCTAACAATTTGAATACACTGAAAGTAACAATATTCACTTCTAAGACTAGGTTATTACAAATCTACAGCTTTTACCCTTGGAATCTGCTTTCTTTGTCCCTGGGGGAAGCCATGTCATGAGCCTTATGGAGAGGCTGATGTGAAGAGGAACTGAAGCCTCCTGCCAACAGCCATAGCTGTCAGTCAAGCAGCTCCTCCAGACTCAGTTAAGACTCAGATGGCAACAGCCCTGGAAGATACCTTGACTGAAGCCACATGAGAAACCTTGAACCACAACTATCCACCTAAGCCTCTCTCATATTCCTGACCCGCAGAAACTATGAGACAATAAATATTTATTGTTTTCAGCTTATATATTTTAGATAATTTTTACACAGCAATAAATGAGGAACATATTGACATATGCTGAATTGGATGGACACATTTCACAGAAGCTTAAGCAAACAACAGACTGGGCCCCTCTTGTTTTTTCAGATGTTTAACAAAAAGATGTTACAAAAATAGACTACATGCTTTTTCTAGTACTACTGCTGTCGCTCTATGACTGTTCATGGCTAACAAAACAAAAGGTACAATTTAATTCGAAAGTTCTCTTAGCTTAACTTTATTTTTTTATCCATATAATAAATTAAGATTCTTCAAGGACTATGAGGGCAACAAATCCCACAGAGGAACACAGAGTTCACCTTCCTATCTAATAGACTGACAAAAATTTATGATTCTAGGTCATTTTAACAGCCCATGTGGGGAGACGGTACTGCCAGACATGGAGCATGATAGAACTGACGACTAGTGCTTATAAATCCTTTTGTTTTAAGAGTGGTTTTTAAATCATTTTTACTAGTTTTCATCTTTATTAGTTAAGATAATTGGTGTTTTTCCCATTTTACTGATAAAGAGCCTGGGAAAGAGGAATACTACATTCCTAAGCCAATCAAATATCATGAGAGTCTAAGTAGAAATCCATATCTCTTTAATTTAGATTAATAAGCATTTATTGAGTTTCCACAATATTCTAGACACTGTGCTAGGCACAGGAGGTACAAATAAAAATAAATATATCTCATTTTCTCCAGAAGCTTAAAATCTAGTAAATTTAAAAGCAAATGGTAAGAGCTATGATAGTAGCAATATATAAAGTACAGTGGAAGCAACGAGGAGGAGCACTTATCATATTCTCTTATGATCAGGGGATGATACCTGGGCTTCAGTTTCTAATGATGAATAAGGATACTTATTTTTCCTATTTCTTTTGTATGCCAAGGAACTCTAAATTACCTGTATCCTAATTCTCATTTGTTTATGAGAACCTTTTCGATTGATCTATTTTGTTGTATGATAGGATTTCAAAGAGGAATTTTTGTCTCACACATCAAGATACAGTAGATACTGAATCCCAAAGTGATTGTCAGACTCTATATAAATTTTCAAATAAAATTATGAGAACCAGTTTTGATACATTTAAAACCTGTCATCCACATCGAAGACATAAAAGGTTGAGAACAGACACAGAGGGTAGAATTACAAACTTACCTCTTGAAAAGAGCTTTGTCCTTCAATTAGGTCTAGGAAGTGTTTCAGGAGACCCTTGAAGACCTTAATCAGTGCTGCCTGCAGTTAGGGAGCACACTGGACTGGTGTGGAACACAAATCTGAGCTCTCTGTGGCAGGATGCTGTGACTGTTTGCCTGAGGGATCCAGAGAGAGACATCCAAGACATTTGCTGGTTTTACAGGAAATGGGATCTGGGAGGATCTCTACCTGGAATCATTATGGCAGTGAGCCTGCCAGGTTAACCAGAGCTTTGGGTAGATGGCAGGAGGATTCTAGCAGAGTCTGGGCTTGGCATGGGCTGTGTAAAATCCAGAAGCTAAGTGGGGAGTGGTGGTGATCAGTAGAATGAGGACACTGCCAACGCTGTGTCAGGTATGGTCAGAGGGGCCCAGCAGGCGAGCTGTCAGAGAATCCAGACTGGCCGCACAGAGAAAAATTTACCTTTAAACGTCAGTCAGGCTCAGAGAGTAAAATGGCAGAATTAAAGCATCAGTCAAGTAAGAACTTTCTAGTCCCTCTCCTTTCCTTTTGTCCTTCCCTGAGCTCTATACTTGGAGAGACCTGACGGTGCTTACGTGGGAAAAGCAGCCCACTGCTCTCCCTGCCAAGGCAGTTTATAAAGCAGCAAGGGATAGAAGGGGGCAGGAGAGAGGAAGGAAGTTTACCTTTAAATAAAGATTAAAATTTGGACTAGAATTTATAATTTCTGAATCAAATTCTGTTTTACAACTTAAACCAACCATGGGATTTTTTTTGTCAAGTTCCGTTGGGCTTTTATCCAGCAGCAGAAAAAACCTTTACTCCACTAAATACACTTGAAAGTGACATTGGGAGACAAAATTAAAATTGTTTTCCTTATTACATTGCTCAACCCCTATTTAGCCAATATATCAGTTCTATTTACATGAATGGAAATATTATTTAGGTTAGCTTGTGAATAAAAACAGGAATTTAAATGAGATATTTCATTGCTATCATGAAAAAAATATGATTTTAAGTAACAGCCACAGGCCAGGTATGGTGGCTCATGCCTTAATCCCAGCGCTTTCAGAGGCCAAGTCAAGAGGATTGCTTGAGCCCAGGAGTTTGAGGCTAGTTTGGGCAGCATAGTGGGACCTTGTCTCTAGAAAATAAAAATAAAAAATAAATAGCTGGGCATAGTGGCACATGCCTGTAGTCCCAGCTACTCAGGAGGACGAGATGGGAGAATTGCTTGAGCCCAGAAAGTCAAGGCTGCAGTGAGCCATGATGGCACCATTGCATTCCAGCCTGGTCGATAGAACAATACTATCTCTTAAACAAAGAAAGAAATAAATACAAGCCACAATGCCTTACATCTAAAAAACTTTTTAAAAACTTAAAAGTCACTTTTACATATATATTTCATTATCTCTACAACACTTCACAGTAGTAGCAGAATATATTAAGCACCACATAGAGATCCACATACATAGAGCCAACAAAACTCTTCTAGGAAAATAGCCTGTTGCATGTCAAGAGTAATGCTATCTTGAAGCAAAACCACCATCATGGCCAGTGTTTGACCCCCACATACCAAGGTGTTCTGCAGTAAGGTCTTTACACAATGTCTGTAGCATAGATAACTCCTCATAAAGATGCTTCTCTAACCTCTCCACGAGTTTTGGCAAGAAAGTCTGAAACATGACCAGCTGCACATGTTTTACCCTAAAATCTTGCTTTATAAAGAATACTTTCTGGAAGGCAAGTATGCAGATCCACCATCTAGTGACTGCTCAAGACATTGCTTCTATTTTTATATCCCGATTAAACGTTCTTTTCTGAGAAACTGGACTTGTTAGCCTCTTTCTTCAGTCTGTCAGCTCCCTCAGCATTTTGGAGTAGGTTTGCATAGACCTTCTCATTGTGGAACATTTGGTGGTTTGGGTCCTGGGGCACCTGGTAGCAGAAGCTGCATTGTGGTTTAGACATTATACTCATATGTTTTTTATGGTCTTGTTTTTGGCTTTACTGTTACTGTGGAAACTGCCTCCAATGGAGCCAATGCACTGCTGTTAAGCTATGCAAAATTAGGCACATTTCCTCTAGACCCAGGAACTATTGAGGAAGAAGTAAAGGAGTAAGACTGTAAGGGCCAGTTTGGGGTGGGGGTGAAGTGTAAGGAAACAGCATGTTGCATGGTAAGAGTGATGCCATCTTGAAGCAAAACTGATGATTGACCCCCACATACTTACAAGTTCTGCAGTAAGGTGTTTAAACGATTGCTATAGCATGGATAATCCCTCATAAAGATGCTTCCCTAACCTCCCAAGTGGTCATGAGTCTTTGCAAAAAACTCTGAAGATGTGACCAGCTGCATAGGTTTTACCCTAAAACCTTGCTATATAAAAGATACTCTCTGGATGGAGAGGAGGAGCCAGATGGCTAAATAGAAGCCTCCAGCTATCATTTCCCCCCATAAGAACACCAAATTGAACAACTATCCCCACAAGAATGCACTTTTATAGGAACCAAAAATCAGGTGAGCAATCACAGTACCTGGTTTTAACATCATATAATGGAAAGAGGCACTGAAGAGAGTAGAAAAGACAGTCTTCAATTGCTGACACAACCCCTCTCCCCTCGCCAGCAGCAGCCATGTGGCATGGAAAGATATGTTTGCTTAGGGGAGAGAGAACACAGTGATTTTGAGACCTTGCATTGGAACTCAGTACTGCCTGTCACAGTGGGGAAAGTAACATGGGGCAGAATTCAGCTGGCACCTGTGGAAGTAGTATGTAGACCAGCCCTAGCCAGAGAATTGCCCTTTCCAGTAGTCAGAACCTGAGTTCCAGCAAGTTCCAACATTGTGGGCTAAAGTGTTCTGTGGTCCTAAATAAACTTGAAAGGCAGTCTAGGCCACAAGGACTGCAATTCCTGAGCAAATCCTGATGCTGTGCTGAGCTTGGAGCCAGTGGACTTGGAGGGCACACAACCAAGTGAGACACCAGCTGGGGCAGCCAAGGGAGTGCTTGCATCACCCCTCCCCAAACCACAAGCAGCACAACTCATAGCTCCAGGAGAGACTACTTCCTTCCATCTGAAGACAGGAGAGGGAAGAGTGAAAATAACTTTTTGTTGCAACTTGAATACCAGCTCAGCCATGGTAGAAAAGGGCACCAGGCAGAGTTTTGAGGCCTTCCCCCATTCCAAGCCCCAGCTCCTAGATGACATTTTTAGATATGTCCTGGGCCAGAAGAGAACCTACTGCCTGAAAGGGAAGGATCCAGTCTTGCCAGGATTCATCATTGGCTGACTAGAGAGCCCTTAGGCCTTAAATAAATATCCGTGGTACCCAAGGAGCTCTTACTGTGAGCCTTGGATAAGACCCAGGGCCATGCTGGCTTCAAATGTGACCCAGAAAATTCTCAGCTGTAGTAACCGTGCAGGGAAATGCCTTCTGCTAGAGCAAAGGGGAAGGAAAAGTGAAGGGGACCTTGACTTGCAGCTTGGGCATCAGCTCAGCCACCATGGGATAGAGCAGCAAGCAGACCCCTAGGGTTCCTGATTCCAGGCTGTGGCTATTGGACAGTATTTCTAGACCCACCTTGGGCCAGAGGGGAGAGACCTAGTCCTGGTAACATTAATCATAAGTGAATTGAAAAGCCCATGAGCCTTGAATGAACATCAACAGCATCTAGGCAGTAAGAGCCACTGGCTGGTGTGGTGGTATCCACAGAGCAAGACTCTTTCTGCATGAGGAAAGGAGAAGGAAGAGTGATAAGGACTTTGTTTTGTGGCATTGGTGCCAGCTGAGCCGCAGTAGAATAGAACACCAAGTAGATTCATAACATTCCTGATTCCAGGCTCTGGTTCCCATCTCCAAGCCCTCGCTCCCAGACAGTATTCTGGGACCCACCCTGGGTTATGGGGGAGATCACTGCACTGAAGGATAGGACACAAGCCTGGCTGGATTCACCAACTGCTAACTGAAGAGCCCTTGGGCCTTGAGTGAACATTGGCAGGAACCAGGCAGTGGTTGCCTCGGGCCTTCATCAAGACCCAATGCTGTGCTGAGTTTTGGTCTGACCTGGTGCAGTCCCAGTGGTGGTGGCCACAGGGGCTCTTGCATCAATCCTCTCCCAGTTCCAGGCAGCTAAACATAGAAAGAGAGACTTCATTTGTTTGGGGAAAAGCAAGGGAAGAGAACAAGAGTCTCTGCCTGGTAATCCAGGGAATTCTCCCTGATCTTACCTGTGTCAGTCCATTCTCATGCTGCTGATTAAGACATACCTAAACTGAGAAGAAAAAGAGGTTTAATGAACTTATAGTTCCACAGGCTGCAGAGGCCTCACAATCATGGTGGAAGGCAAGGAGGAGCAAGTCACATCTTACATGGATGGTGGCAGGCAAGAGAAAGCTTGTGCAGGGAAACTCCCATTTTTAAAACCATCAAATCTTGTGAGACTTATTCACTATTAAGAGAACAATGTGGAAAAGACCTGCCCCCATAATTCAACTACCTCCCACTGGGTTTCTCCCACAACACGTGGGAATTGTACGAGTTACGATTCAAGATGAGATTTTGGTGGGGACACAACCAAATCATATCATTCTACTCCTGGCCGCTCCCAAATCTCAAGTCCTCACATTTCAAAACAATCATGCCTTCCTAACAGTCCCCCAAACTCTTAACTCATTTCAGTATTAACTCAAAAGTCTGCAGTCCAAAGTCTCATCTCAGACAAGGCAAGTCCCTTCTGCCTATGAGCCTCTAAAATCAAAAGTAAGCAAGGCCGAGCCAAGATGGCCGAATAGGAACAGCTCCGGTCTACAGCTCCCAGCATGAGCGATGCAGAAGACGTGTGATTTCTGCGTTTCCATCTGAGGTACTGGGTTCATGTCACTAGGGAGTGCCAGACAGTGGGCACAGGACAGCGGGTGCAGCGCAGTGTGCGCGAGCCGAAGCAGGGCGAGGCACTGCCTCACTTGGGAAGCACAAGGAGTCAGGGAGTTCCCTTTCCTAGTCAAAGAAAGGGGTGACAGACAGCACCTGGAAAATCGGGTCACTCCCACCCTAATACCACGCTTTTCTGACGGGCTTAAAAAACGGCACACCAGGAGATTATCTCCCGCACCTGGCTCGGAGGGTCCTACGCCCACGGAGTCTCGCTGATTGCTAGCACAGCAGTCTGAGATCAAACTGCAAGGTGGCAGTGAGGCTGGGGGAGGGGCACCTGCCATTGCCCAGGCTTGCTTAGGTAAACAAAGCAGCCGGGAAGCTCGAACTGGATGGAGCCCACCACAGCTCAAGGAGGCCCGCCTGCCTCTGTAGGCTCCAACTCTGGGGGCAGGGAACAGACAAACAAAAAGACAGCAGTAACCTCTGCAGACTTATATGTCCCTGTCTGACAGCTTTGAAGAGAGCAGTGGTTCTCCCAGCACACAGCTGGAGATCTGAGAACAGGCAGACTGCCTCCTCAAGTGGGTCTCTGACCCCTGACCCCTGAGCAGCCTAACTGGGAGGCACCCCCTAGTAGGGGCAGACTGACACCTCACAAGGCCGGGTACTCCTCTGAGACAAAACTTCCAGAGGAACGATCAGACAGCAGCATTCCCAGTTCACGAAAATCCGCTGTTCTGCTGCCACCACTGCTGATACCCAGGCAAACAGGGTCTGGAGCGGACCTCTAGCAAACTCCAACAGACCTGCAGCTGAGGGTCCTGTCTGTTAGAAGGAAAACTAACAAACAGAAAGGACATCCACACCAAAAGCCCATCTGTACATCACCATCATCAAAGACCAAAAGTAGATAAAACCACAAAGATGGGGAAAAAACAGAGCAGAAAACCTGGAATTTCTAAAAAGCAGAGTGCCTCTCCTCCTCCAAAGGAACGCAGTTCCTCACCAGCAATGGAATAGAGCTGGACGGAGAATGATTTTGACGAGTTGAGAGAAGAAGGCTTCAGATGATCAAACTACTCCGAGCTACAAGAGGAAATTCAAACCAAAGGCAAAGAAGTTAAAAACTTTGAAAAAAATTTAGACGAATGTATAACTAGAATCACCAATACAGAGAAGTGCTTAAAGGAGCTGATGGAGCTGAAAGCCAAGGCTCGAGAACTACGTGAAGAATGCAGAAGCCTGAGGAGCCGATGCGATCAACTGGAAGAAAGGGTATCAGTGATGGAAGATCAAATGAATGAAATGAAGCAAGAAGAGAAGTTTAGAGAAAAAAGAATAAAAAGAAATGAACAAAGCATCCAAGAAATATGGGACTATGTGAAAAGACCAAATCTACATCTGATTGGTGTACCTGAAAGTGACGGGGAGAATGGAACCAAGTTGGAAAACACTCTGCAGGATATTATCCAGGAGAACTTCCCCAATCTAGCAAGGGAGGCCAACATTCAGATTCAGGAAATCAAGAGAACACCACAAAGATACTCCTCGAGAAGAGCAACTCCAAGACACATAATTGTCAGATTCACCAAAGTTGAAATGATGGAAAAAATGTTAAGGGCAGCCAGAGAGAAAGCTCAGGTTACCCACAAAGGGAAGCCCATCAGACTAACAGCGGATCTCTCGGCAGAAACTCTACAAGCCAGAAGAGAGTGGGGGCCAATATTCAACATTCTTAAAGAAAAGAATTCTCAATCCAGAATTTCATATCCAGCCAAACTAAGCTTCATAAGTGAAGGAGAAATTTACAGACAATCAAATGCTGAGAGATTTTGTCACCACCAGGACTGCCCTAAAAGAGCTCCTGAAGGAAGCGCTAAACATGGAAAGGAACAACCACTACGAGCTGCTGCAAAATCATGCCAAAATGTAAAGACCATCGAGACTAGGAAGAAACCACATCAACTAACGAGCAAAATAACCAGCTAACATCATAATGACAGGATCAAATTCACACAGAACAATATTAACTTTAAATGTAAATGGACTAAATGCTCCAATTAAAAGACACAAACTGGCAAACTGGATAAAGAGTCAAGAGCCATCAGTGTGCTGTATTCAAGAAACCCATCTCACATGCAGAAACACACATAGGCTCAAAATAAAAGGATGGAGGAAGATCTACCAAGCAAATGGAAAATGAAAAAAGGCAGGGGTTGCAATCCTAGTCTCTGATAAAACAGATGTTAAAACAAAAAAGATCAAAAGAGACAAAGAAGGCCATTACATAATGGTAAAAGGATCAATTCAACAAGAAGAGCTAACTATCCTAAATATATATGCACCCAATACAGGAGCACCCAGATTCATAAAGCAAGTCCTGAGTGACCCACAAAGAGACTTAGACTCCCACACATTAATAATGGGAGACTTTAACACCCCACTGTCAACATTAGACAGATCAACGAGACAGAAAGTTAACAAGGATACCCAGGAATTGAACTCAGCTCTGCACCAAGCGGACCTAATAGACATCTACAGAACTCTCCACCCCAAATCAACAGAATATACATTCTTTTCAGCACCACACCACACCTATTCCAAAATTGACCATATACTTGGAAGTAAAGCTCTCCTCAGCAAATGTAAAAGAACAGAAATTATAACAAACTGTCTCTCAGACCACAGTGCAATCAAACTAGAACTCAGTATTAAGAAACTCACTCAAAACCGCTCAACTACATGGAAACTGAACAACCTGCTCCTGAATGACTACTGGGTACATAATGAAATGAAAGCAGAAATAAAGATGTTCTTTGAAGCCAACGAGAACAAAGACAAAACATACCAGAATCTCTGGGACGCATTCAAAGCAGTGTGTAGAGGGAAATTTATAGCACTAAAGGCCCACAAGAGAAAGCAGGAAAGATCCAAAATTGACACCCTAACATCACAATTAAAAGAACTAGAAAAGCAAGAGCAAACACATTCAAAAGCTAGCAGAAGGCAAGAAACAACTAAAATCGAGCAGAACTGAAGGAAATAGAGACACAAAACACCCTTCAAAAAATTAATGAATCCAGGAGCTGGTTTTTTGAAAGGATCAACAAAATTGATAGACAGCTAGCAAGACTAATAAAGAAAAAAGAGAGAAGAATCAAATAGACGCAATAAAAAATGATAAAGGGGATATCACCACCGATCCCACAGAAATACAAACTACCATCAGAGAATACTACAAACACCTCTACGCAAATAAACTAGAAAATCTAGAAGAAATGGGTAAATTCCTTGACACATACACTCTCCCAAGACTAAACCAGGAAGAAGTTGAATCTCTGAATAGACCAATAACAGGCTCTGAAATTGTGGCAATAATCAATAGCTTACCAACCAAAAAGAGTCCAGGACCAGATGGATTCATAGCCAAATTCTACCAGAGGTACAAGGAGGAACTGGTACCATTCCTTCTGAAACTATTCCAATTAATAAAAAAAGAGGGAATCCTCCCTAACTCATTTTATGAGGCCAGCATCATCCTGATACCAAAGCCGGGCAGAGATACTACAACAAAAAAAGAGAATTTTAGACCAATATCCTTGATGAACATTGATGCAAAAATCCTCAATAAAATACTGGCAAACCAAATCCAGCAGCACATCAAAAAGCTTATCCACCATGATCAAGTGGGCTTCATCCCTGGGATGCAAGGCTGGTTCAATATACACAAATCAATAAATGTAATCCAGCATATAAACAGAACCAAAGACAAAAACCACATGATTATCTCAATAGATGCAGAAAAGGCCTTTGACAAAATTCAACAATGCTTCATGCTAAAAACTCTCAATAAATTAGGTATTGATGGGACGTATCTCAAAATAATAAGAGCTATCTATGACTAACCCATAGCCAATATCATACTGAATGGGCAAAAACTGGAAGCATTCCCTTTGAAAACTGGCACAAGACAGGGATGCCCTCTCTCACCACTCCTATTCAACATAGGGTTGGAAGTTCTGGCCAGGGCAATTAGGCAGGAGAAGGAAATAAAGGGTATTCAATTAGGAAAAGAGGAAGTCAAATTGTCCTTGTTTGCAGATGACATGATTGTAAATCTAGAAAACCCCATTGTCTCAGCCCAAAATCTCCTTAAGCTGATAAGCAACTTCAGCAAAGTCTCAGGATACAAAATCAATGTGCAAAAATCACAAGCATTCCTATACACCAACAATAGACAAACAGAGAGCCAAATCATGAGTGAACTCCCATTCACAATTGCTTCAAAGAGAATAAAATACGTAGGAATCCAACTTACAAGGGACGTGAAGGACCTCTTCAAGGAGAACTACAAACCACTGCTCAAGGAAATAAAAGAGAATACAAACAAATGGAAGAACATTCCATGCTCATGGGTAGGAAGAGTCAATATCGTGAAAATGGCCATACTGCTCAAGGTAATTTATAGATTCAATGCCATCCCCATCAAGCTACCAATGACTTTCTTCACAGAATTGGAAAAAACTACTTTAAAGTTCATATGGAACCAAAAAAGAGCCCGCATCGCCAAGTCAATCCTAAGCCAAAAGAACAAAGCTAGAAGCATCACCCTACCTGACTTCAAACTATATTACAAGGCTACAGTAACCAAAACAGCATGGTACTGGTGCCAAAACAGAGATATAGATCAATGGAACAGAACAGAGCCCTCAGAAATAACGCTGCATATCTACAACTATCTGATCTTTGACAAACCTGAGAAAAACAAGCAATGGGGAAAGGATTCCCTATTTAATAAATGGTGCTGGGAAAACTGGCTAGCCATATGTAGAAAGCTAAAACTGGATCCCTTCCTTACACCTTATACAAAAATTAATTCAAGATGGATTAAAGACTTAAATGTTAGACCTAAAACCATAAAAACTCTAGAAGAAAACCTAGGCATTACCATTCAGGACACAGGCATGGGCAAGGACTTCATGTCTAAAACACCAAAAGCAATGGCAACAAAAGACAAAATTGACAAATGGGATCTAATTAAACTAAAGAGCTTCTGCACAGCAAAAGAAACTGCCATCAGAGTGTACAGGAAACCTACAAAATGGGAGAAAATTTTCACAACCTACTCATCTGACAAAGGGCTAATATCCAGAATCTACAATGAACTCAAACAAATTTACAAGAAAAAAACAAACAACCCCATCAAAAAGTGGGCAAAGGATATGAACAGACACTTCTCAAAAGAAGACATTTATGCAGCCAAAAGACACATGAAAAAATGCTCATCATCACTGGCCGTCAGAGAAATGCAAATCAAAACCACAGTGAGATATCATCTCACACCAGTTAGAATGGCAATCATTAAAAAGTCAGGAAACAACAGGTGCTGGAGAGGATGTGGAGAAATAGGAATGCTTTTACACTGTTGGTGGGACTGGAAACTAGTTCAACCATTGTGGTAGTCAGTGTGGCGATTCCTCAGGGATCTAGAACTAGAAATACCATTTGACCCAGCCATCCCATTACTGGGTATAATACCAAAGGACTATAAATCATGCTGCTATAAAGACACATGCACACGTATGTTTATTGCGGCACTATTCACAATAGCAAAGACTTGGAACCAACCCAAATGTCCAACAATGATAGACTGGATTAAGAAAATGTGGCACATATACACCATGGAATACTATGCAGCCACAAAAAATGATGAGTTCATGTCCTTTGTAGGGACATGGATGAAATTGGAAATCATCATTCTCAGTAAACTATTGCAAGGACAAAAAACCAAACACTGCATGTTCTCACTCATAGGTGGGAACCGAACAATGAGAACACATGGACACAGGAAGGGGAACATCACACTCTGGGGACTGTTGTGGGGTGGGGGGAGGGGGGAGGGATGGCATTAGGAGATATACCTAATGCTAGATGACGAGTTGGTGGGTGCAGCACACCAGCATGGCATGTGTATACATATGTAACTAACCTGCACATTGTGCACATGTACCCTAAAACTTAAAGTATAATAATAATAATAAAAGAAAAAAGAAAAAATAATAAAAAGTAAAAAATAAATAGGTCAGGAATTGGTGAAAAAAAAAAAAGAACAGGGAACCAAAGCAAAACTGGACAAATGGGATCACATCGAGTTAAAAAGCTTCTGCACAGCAAAGTAAACAATCAACAAAGTGAAGAGCCAACTCAATGGGACAAAATATTTGCAAAGTATGCATCTGACAAGGGATTAATAAGCAGAATATATAAGGAGCTCAAACAACTCTGCTGGAAAAAATCCAATAATCTGATTTCAAAATGGGCAAAAGATCTAAATAGACCTTTCTCAAAATAAGATATACAAATGACAAACAGGCATATGAAAAGGTGCTCAACACCACTAATCATCAGAGAAATATAAATCAAAACTACAATGAGAGATAATGTCACCCAAGTTAAAATCGCTTTTATCCAAATGACAAGCAATAATGAATGCTGGTGAGAATGTGGAGTTGGTCAGAGTATAAATTAGTACAACTGCTACAAAGAACAGTTTGGAGGTTCCTCAAAAAACTAAAAATAGAGCTACCATATGATCCAGCAATCCCACTGCTGAGTATATACCCAAAAGAAAGAAAATAAGTATATTGAGGTGAGAGCTGCATTCTCTTATTTATTGCAGCACTATTTACAATAGCCAAGATTTGGAAGCTACCTCAGTGTCCATCAACAGAGAAATGGATAAAGAAAATGTGGTACATACACACAATGGAGTACTGTTAAACCATAAAAGAATGTGATTCTGTTATTTGCAACAACATGGATAAAACTGGAAGTCATTAGGTTAAGTGAAATAAGCCAGGGAGAAAAAGACAAACATTGTCTTTTCTAACTTACGTGTGGGAGCTAAAAATTAAAATAATTGAACTCATGGAGATAGAGAGTAGAACAATGGTTACTAGAGGCTGAGAAGGGTAGTGTGGGGGTGTAGGGGTGGAGGGTGGATGGTTAATGGGTACAAAAATATAGTTAGAGGGAATAAATAATATCTAGTATTTGATAGCACAACAGGGTACAATAATTTGTTGTACATTTTACAATAACTAAAAGAGTATAATTGGATTATTTGTAACACAAAGGATAAATGATTGAGGTGACAGATACCCCATTTATCCTGATGTGATTATTATGCATTGTATGCCTATATAAAAATATCTCATGTATCCCATAAATACATATACCTACTATGTACCTACAATTTTAAATTTTTTAAAAAAGAATACTTTCTGGAGGGTTAATGCATGGATCCACCATCTCACAGCCGCCTGAGACATTCTTTCTTCTTGTAAGTCCCTATTAAATATTTGTTTCTCTCTGAAAAAACAGATTTGTCCACCATTTTCTGTATTCTTCAGCTCCCTCACCTTTGGAAGTATGTTTGCATAGACCCTTCACCGCAGAACAGTCATTGCATAAAATCTAATATAGACTAATAAAAAAATAGATTTATAAAGGGCCCTGGGTCTAGCTCAACCCAGTTCCTGACCTCTATATTCTTCCCCACCCAGAATCACTGGATCTGTATCCAGGTTCACACCAGCCAGCTCAGTCCCTAGGCCTAGCTTGAGACTGCCCCATCCCCACATCATCTCAGAGCTCCACGTGGCGACCTTCATTCTTAATCCGACCCTGGCTCCAGGCCCCACTTCTGATAAGTGGGACTTCGCTGCATCACCAAGCTTTGGCATCTACCTCTGTGGCTTGCCTAAATATCCACCCCAGTACACGCATCCAGTTGCAGCTCCCTTTTAGCAGTGTACTGATGAGTCCTAGCCCCTCCTATGAGCCTATTATCATGGAAATAGCTGATATGCTCTTCTGAATCCCAATAATAAAGAGTAAACATGTATCAATATCTTATTAAGTTCCAGTCACTGTGTGAAGTATTGTATTATTTCAGTTTGTTCTTACAACAACCCTATGAAGTACATATTATTGCCTTTTACAAATGAGGAAATCGAGACACATACAGGTTATATAATTTTCCCAATATTAATTGCTTATGACTAGTAGAGACAAGACTTGAATAAGCTATGTTGTGGTTTTTAGTACAACTGCTAATTTAATGCATACACATTCTCCAGGGGGAAAAAGAATTAAACTAATTCAAGAAATGCCATTGAAAAACTTAAACCATGTATGCAGGAAGGCTAAATGCCCTTTAGAAAAAGGAAAGACATGTAACAACAAATGGCTTTACGTCTGTTGATACACAGGTGAGAAGAGCTGGAAAGAGATATAAAAAGCTTAAGTTGAATATGCAGACTTGGCAACTGGACAGTATTTGATGAGAGACACAAGAGAAAAAGACTGGCTTCTGAGGAAGGACCTTTGATTGCCAAAACCCTAAAGAGGGAAGGAGCCTGAAGTCAGTCCTACTTGAACAAGAGCTGGACCTGCTCCAGAGAGCTGCGGGAAGCTGTTGGATCTGTACCCCGGGCACTTTAGCTGTCTATCCAGGAAGGTTTTTCACTACCTCATGAGAAAATAAAGTGTAGTGTAGCTGAGTTTGGAGTCCAGTCGAATTAGGGTCCACAGAATCCCGGCTCAATCGTTTACTTTGAGATCAATGATTTTTTATCTGTCTCACCTTCCTCAATTATAAAATGAGGATATTAGTACTTATTATCTAAGATTATGATGAAGATGAAAAATAGTTATGTAACTAATCACCACAGTGCCTAGACCAGCATAAATGCTTAGCAAATACTTAACAATCATAACCATTGTGATTTGTGAGGGGAAAAGTGGAAAGACGATCATGATGCCAAGAAAAAGACTGTGAGCTCTCTATAGGTAGTCTATTTTTTTTTTAACTGTCATATTTCCAGCTCCTGGCAAAGTTCCTGGCACATAGCAGGCAATCAACAATATCTGAAAGCAAGGAATGAATGAACTCTAGTGACTTCATCTCAATGGCCCAGTACACAGCTACTTGCAGAAAAGAAGGAAGGCAGCATACCCAAAGTTCTGTCCTTCTCTGTGTCTCATGAGGTTTCCAGGTCCTGCAGGTTCTGAGGCAGGATCCAGGGCTGCTGCCACACTGGGTTGTTGTAGGATGTTCTAATACTTTTCTTCAGCATATAGGATTCATTCAAAGTAAGACATGTCACACCTACATCACTTCATAACTCTTATGTGTTTAATGAGTGTTTTTTAAGGCTCTACTTTTACCCTGGAGGTGGAATGGGTCAAGAAAAGGATAAACCAATCATTCCAAAGCCTAGATCCCTCAATTTCCTGACTAACCTCCTTGTCTGTATTCGAGTAGTGGCAAAAGGATGGTAAAGGGAATTATTGAATACAGACAGAAGATATTCTAGAGTGGCAAAAATGTGACATCCTTACCTTGAAGAAGAATTGAAAGCTGGTGGAAGCAATGTAAGGAGTTCCAGGAATAGGCAGGGTAGGTGAAAGGAAAGTTAGTATAGAATGAAATCATACAAGAAAAATGTGGTAGTCATATCGTAAAAATCGTTCCCCATATTCTGAGAGACTGGCTATGCTTGCTCCACTTTGAGAATGAAATAAAATACATCATAACAGGCCAGAGATTTTGAACCTTGTGATCCCTTCATAAACAGAGAACAAAGAATTATTTATATTTATGGCATTTCAAAAGTATTTGAAACTACTGAATCATACCAGTACATACTGCAATTAATAAAATATCCATGGTCTCTGATATAGAAGGGGAAACCCAGATGCCTTCAGGAACCCACCCTTTGTGTGAGGATTGAATCTCTAGAGCAGTAATAAGTGCTAATGAAGAAAACTATGATCAAAATAAATGACTTGAGTCATCATATGGTAGTTAGTTCAAATCTAAGTCAAACGTCAAACCAATCTTTGGCACTCTAAGATCCTTCCTTCTACAGGCTGGCACCATGCAACAAATAGCCCATCTGTATTGCTGGGGATAGCACCAATGAGAACTGACTTCCATTTACATAAAGACAGACTTCAATGGCTAATATGACCCTATATATAGTATGGCTTACTTATAAAAACTGAGCATTAAATATGCCGGTAGGCTATAATGCATACAATGAATCATTTTCTTACAAGCATTTTCAGTCTTTTTCAAAACGCTAAATCCACAATTTGAAAGGGCCTAAATTGCCTTAGCTTAAAGGTAGCTAACTAGAAAAGACAACCTTTTTACATGCACTAGAGTATAACAAGCTGGCCCTTTTTACTAAATATATATACATATAATTTCATTCCAAAACAAGGTTTTTTTAGTTGTACTTTTTATGGTTGGAGAAATAATTTTTTTAAGGAAGGGTAAACTTTGGAGTCATATGGGCCTTAATTCCTTAATTCTTACTAGCTGTATAGCTATGGTTACCTGTAAGCCTCTGTTTCTGATCTGCAAAATAAGGATAGGAACATCCATCTCAAAAAATTGTTCCGAGGCTAAATGGGTTGCTGAGAGAGCACTTAGGAAAGAGTCTTTAAAAACTAAGCATTAAGTAAATATTAGTGATACTTGTGTTTCTTTCTTCTACCCTCCATGTTCCAAGAGAAGAAAATATATTTTTGAAATTTAAAAAGTAATCTCACCTAAATTTAGCACCACATCCGAATGGATATATTTTTTAGGAAGCGGCTCAGATAAATACATCTGATGTATTTATCTGATGTGTAATGGTAGCAGGCACATCCCTAAAGCCAGTACACAAGTTAAGTTTTTAAAATCTAATTATTAATTATGTTTAAATCACAGTTCACAATTTAAACGAACCCTGTGAACTATCCTTGCATAGAATAAATAACCACTCCTAATTAGCCATTTTTATAATTCTGTTTGTGATCTCTATATGAATAGTTTGCTTAAAATGAGATATATCTCCACTTAGTTCTTTGTAAGCCAATAATTTTATATTCATCCATCAATGGCAGTAGACTTTGCAAAAGAGTATTCTATAATGCTTATTGGAATTCATATCTAAAAACAAACTATTATCAGGAAGAAAATAAGATTTGATTTATTCAAAATCATGAGACCATTGCTACATTTCAGTATTCCACGGACATGCCTCTCCAGGGTATGTGTGTGTTATAACATGTGCTACATATGTCACAACTATGGCAGAGCACCAAAAATTAACAAGAGGAAAAATAACATTGAATGCATCAAAAGGGCCTGGTCCCCTTTATTGAGAGGTAACTTTATCTTGACTTGTGTGGGCATTGAAGGAAAAAAAAAGGTCATTAAAGTCAAATTCACTACAAAACGAATACATCTGAAAAAGAAGCATAGAAACATTAGACATTGGTATATGCAAAGTATAGGCTAGATTGTTCTAGTTGCAATAAAAATTCAAAATAGCTGGGCACAGTCACTCATGCCTGTTATCCCAGCACTTTGGGAGGCTGAGGCAGGAAGATTGCTTTAGCCCTGTGCTCCAGACCAGCCTGGGAAACATAGTAAGACCTTGTTTCTACTAAAAATGTTTAAAACTTAGCTGAGCGTGGTGGGTGTACACCTGTAGTCCCAGCTACTTGGGAGGCTGAGGCAGGAGAATTGCTTGAGCCTGGGAAGTCAAGGCTGCAGTGAGCCGTGATCACACCACTGCACTCCAGTCTGGGAAACAGAGAGAGACCCTATCCCACACACACACACACACACACACACACACACACACACACACACAAAATCAAAATAATGATAACAGTAAACTGCAGGCTAGTATGATTTTGTAGGGAATTAAGTATCACAATTGGTCATCTAGCAGCAGATACCAATCATTAATACCACTGCTTCTCACGTCAGCTTAAGCCAGTTGTGATCTGAATCTATTTCCACTGGTACAGATAAAGAATCACTTCCTAAGGAGAATTTAGTTGTCAGCTCTTCTAGAATCTGTTCTAAAAAAAATCTTAAACAAAGATTGAAATGCCATCTGCTAAAAAATATTCTGGCATAACAAATTTAAACAATGTGAAAGCCAGAGATTAAAAATGTAGCTCAATCACATTACCATTCTTTGGCTGGCAATGAGAAAGCAGATGTTATAGGAAACTGAAAAGTATTCCATTTGAGCATAATAGGTCTCAAATGTCCTTGTTATAACTCCCAAAATATTCATATTCCAATGGGGTCTTTGTGATTTTGTTGTTGGAGTTATTAACTTGTCAGATTGCTCTGGTTTTTCTGGGTCTAAAATCATACATTCTGTTTTAGGAGAATAGACGATTATCGTTTTATGATTAAAATCACCACTTTCAAATATTTCTATGATGTTCAAATGGCACATTATTTGGAGTAGTGGCTACTCTACTTGAAAACTGTTTGAGAGTTACTTATTTGATAATATATTTTGAACGAGCAGAAAAAAAAGTGAGAAAGAGATTTCTCACTTGAATTACATGTTCACCAAGGTATATGAATTTAGTTAGGTACCTAAGTTCTTATTTCAGTGAAGTCTTATTCTTACTGAATGGATATTTCTCTTAAATTTAATCTTAAAAAGCAAAGGTTTTGAAATGGTCTCTAGGATCTACTTCACGAAACCTCTTCAGTGAAAGAAGAAAGCAAATGCTTATCCCACACAACACCCAGTATACCTCAGTCTGTAGTCGCCCTTCATTTTCTTCATATTAACTACATCATATTGTCACTTATTAAAGAGAGAGTAGGCGCATGCTCTATTCACAAAATATAGCTCCTCTTCAAGAAATCCCTGCAGGGTGCTGTTGAAATTGCTGTTCATGTAGCACCTAAATATCTAGCACTTGACTTAGAGGCATGTAGCACCACTTGAAATCTCTCCACTGTCATTTAGTTTGAAGAATATTTGCCATGCAAGGGTTCTTGCTTTGAGGAGACAGCCCCTACTCATTTCTAAATGAAATAATTTAAGGATCTTGAATGGAAAATGGACCTATATGCAATGCTGCCAAAATTCTCATTTCTTGGATGATAATGACCAAGAGATCTCAAATTGTTGAGCTGTGACAAGGCTAACCTCAGAATGCTTAGGACAAAACCAAGGGCATTTGTGCTACTGAAGGGCCACTGGGACAATCATCGGTCCTGCCCCAGAGCTCCCATGCATGCCCTTGCTTTTTGCTCACTATTTTATTCTCTTGTCTATTTCCTTTTCTTCACTCTCCTTTCATTTCTCTCTTTCACCTCTTCCTGGAAGACTGTGCGGGTAATGGACAGAGGCAGACCTTAGAGTCAGAGAGGTTGCATCTGAGACCAACTCTAGCACCAACCTCAGTGACCTGAAATAAGTAAGTTAACATTTCATTCTCTTCACCTAAATAAAGGGGTGACATCTAGCTTACGATGTTGTCACAATAATATGAATTAATAAGTATAAAGCTCCTAAACAGATAGAAAGTGGCAAACAAAAGTAGCCATTATATTATTTTGATTGCTATTATGCAATCAAAAATGATGCTATTATGACAATTATTATTATGAGGTAGGATTAGATTCTTGCAACAGCTGTTTTTGACCTCCATTCTGAGAGTCTTTACCAGGCTACAGTATCCATCTCTAGCCACTGTGGGTGCTGGCTGCTCTAGACTCACACCACCTTCCTCAAGAGATGCTTGGCAACTTATGTCCCCAACTGGCAACTTATGTCCCCAATGTCACTATTCCTTTAAAGCTTTCTTCTGAGAAGACTCCCTCAATAGATGACGTACAGAAGAATTCCCCTGTTGGGATTTGCTTCTGAGACACTAACCTAAGAAAGTTATTATTATTACAAATACATCTTAGGCCTTTCTAATAACCAAAGATACTTCAAGCACTCAGCTGAAGACAATGCTAATCTCTTCTGGATCAAAATTGCCCCCTTTCCAATTCTACTTCTGGCATGACAGTGTGAGAATCTCAGTGGTATCACTCTTCAGCAAAACTGGTGAAAATTAATTTTAAAACAGTCACTTAAAGTCTCTGAAAAATAGCCTATGTGCATACAGCAAATGAGGAAACATTTATTCGAGAAAGTGTACTAAAACTCCATAAATCTGCGAGAGTCTGTGGTATTTTAACCAAAACCCACAACCTCCCTCCTAATTCCCAGTTCAGTATGATGGCAACTTCACTCTACACTAGTGTCCAAGGCATTCGAACCAGAGCGACTCCATCTTGAGTAAGGGCTAGGAAAAATGAGGCTGGAACTTGCTGGGCTACATTCCCAGAAAGGTATTCCTACCCTCTAGATGTTAATGGTTAAGGGAACAGATTGATAATGTTTGCTAAGCAGACCCAGACTTAGAAGTGTCCTGATATTCTGATATCAAGAACAGATGTATTCCTAATTTTACTTTAGAGATAATAATATTGATTCTTACAAAATATAGTAACTAAGAAAATTAATCGTTTATCAAAAACCTTTGTAGCAGAGCACATCTCCCCATATATAAACAAGTATTGTACCTAGGGTGGATGCATTCCTCCTCTCACTTTTGAGAACACCCTACTCTGTTTATGGAGTAGCTGTACTTTCACCACTTTACTTTCGTAGTACACTTGCTTTTGCTTTGTACTGTGGACTCACCCTAAATTCTTTCTTGTGCAAGATCCAAGAACCCTCTCTTGGGGTCTTGATTGAGACCCCTTTCCTGCAACACTGGTATAGCCAAGAACACAAGGTTCTGTCTCCCATCTAGAGAGTTACATTCCTGGGAGAAGTGGGACATCCACATTTTCCTGACTGCCCCCAGTTACTTGTTGCTGAGGCAAGGTTCCTGGCAAATGCAACCAAAAGAGGGGAGCTCCATTCTCCCACTTAGCTGCCACTCATGGAATCAAGGCTGCACATTGGGCACAGGGCCACTTAGAACACTAGGGTCCCCACTGTCCTTGCCATGATGCCTGGGGCAAAGGTTCTATGCCAAGAGAGACTAGCCAAGGACATCTGCATCCACTGAACACTTAGTTCTTTAAACTGAGTGTCACTCACAGAGAGATGCACAATTGTCCCTCCCTCAGCCCAAGGTGTAGGTCAGATATTTCACCTTGGGAGAAGCAGACCATAGAACAGAGAGCTTGAAATCTCTCCCCAAAGAAACTGACTTTGTGACAGAATGTAAAATTCAAGCCTAAGAGTGTTCTCAGAAACAGTGTAAGTTGGTGAAAGGCAATTGGGAAAAGAATGATGAATAAATGTATTGGAGGTATAGGCTAAACTGTAAGCCCACTAGTTGCTAGAGAAAAATGAGGAAAGTCTTGGAAGACCCCTTCTACAGTCTGAATAAACCTCAAACACTAAACAGAGGAACCATCCCTTCAAAGAAGATTAATTTGATTGGATTTGTGTGTGAAGCAACTTATGCCCCACAGCATTATTGCAAGCAATAGAGCAATCAAGCAGCAATTAGTGGAGTTTCACAAATGTATGTCCTCAGATAACCAGGTATGGTGCTTTGGCATACTGAGCACTTATGAATTAAAGGAAAACGGAAGACCTTAGAAGTTGCCTCAGAACCAAAGACTTCCTAACTTTCTCTTGTTATCCCCTCACTGCATCCTCCAGTGCAGGCATGGAGGGTCTCTCTGAAAGTTCCCTTATCTGAAAGAAAAATTTCTTTAAACACATATGCAATTGTCTTAAGACCCATTCCCTAGGAATCTCATCAAATAACCAGAAAAAATTAACCACTGAAGAGAAGAAAAAAGTCTTTGCCACAAGGCCCAGAAGACTTCTGGTTTCTTCTACTGAGGACAACTCCAAAAAATTACATGGGAGATATCTACATATTATATGGTAACTCTATGTTCAAAATTTTGAGAAATTGCTATTCTATTTTCCCAAGTGGATGCACCATTTTATAATCCCCTCTGCAATGAATAAGGGTTCTTTCTCCATATCTTCACTGAGACTTGTCATTGTCTTTTTATTTGAATCATCCTAATGAGTCTGAAGTAGTGTCTGGTTATGAGATTTTTTTTAAAACATTTATTTTTGGTTTGGGGGTACATGTGAAAGTTTGTTACATAGGTCAACTCATGTCACGGGGGTTTGTTGTACCAATTATTTCATCAACCAAGTATTAATCCCAGTATCCAATAGCTATCTTTTTTGTTCCTCTCCCTCCACTCTCCACTCTCCCTCCACTCTCAAGTAGACCCCACTGTCTGTAGTTTCCTTCTTTGTGTCCATAAGTTCCCATCACTTAGCTCCCACTTATAAGTGAAAACATGTGGTATTTGGTCTTCTGTTCCTGCATTGGTTTGCTAAGGATAATGGCCTCCAGCTCCATCCATGTTCCTGAAAAGGACATGATCTTGTTCTTTTTATGGCTACATAGTATTCCATGGTGTATATGTACCACATTTTCTTTATCCAATCTGTCATTCATTTGCATTTCCCTAATGATTAATGATGAGTGTCTTTCCATGTGCCTATTGCCATTTATATATCTGTTTTTGGAAAAATATCTATTCAAATCCTTTGCCCACTTCCCCCCAATATTTTAGTATGGTAATAAAATTTACCATCTTAACCATTTCAAAATGTACTTCAGTGATATAAAATGTACTCACAATGTTGAGTACATTTGACTCACAATGTTGTGCAACCATCTCCATAAATCTTTTTATTTTATAAAACTGAAACTCTATACTTATTAATTAATAAGTCCCTGTTCCCCTATCTCTGCAATCCCTGGCATCTACCATTCTATTTTGGGTCTCTATAATTTTGACTATGCTAAACACCTCACATAAGTGGAATCCTACATTATTTTTCTCTTTGTGACTAACTTCACTTAGCATAACATCCTCAAGATTCATCTGTAATATAGCATATTTCAGAATTTTCTTTTTAGGCTGAACAATATTCCATTATATGTATCCTATTTTGCTTTTCCATTTATTTATCAGTAGACATTTGGGTTGCTTCTATGTTTTAGCTGTTGTGAATAATGCTGTTATGAACATGGGTGTACAAATATCTCTTTGAGACCATACTTTCAATTCTTTCAGGGATATACCCAGTAGTGGAAGTGTTGGATCACACAGTAATTCTATTTGTAATTTGTTTAGGAACTGCCATACTGTTATCCACAGTGGCTCTACCACTTTACATTCCCACCAAGAATGCACAAGGGTTCCAATTTCTCCACATCCTTGTCAATGTAATTGCCTTACGGGTTCATCTTGCCCACTGCCTAGAAATGCCAATGCACTGAGAAGAGCAGGTTTCTGCCAGAAAGAAAGAGTTTAATAATCTCAGGACCAACCAAGCGGAAGAATGGGAGATAATTCTCAAATCCTTCTACCCAAAATCTCAGAGGTGAGGTTTTTGAGGATAATTTGGTGGACAGGGAGCTGGAGAATGGGTGTTGCTGATTGGTTGGGTATGAAATTATAGGAGTGTCCAAATTGGTCTTCATGTGTTGAGTCAGTTTCTGGGTGGGGGGTCACAGGATCAGTTGGGCCAGTTCTTTGGTATTAGTCATGGGTCTAGATGACATCTGCTGGTCTGCCCAAATGCAAAAGTCTAAAAATTACCTCAAAGCGGGTGGATCATGAGGTCAGGAGATCGAGACCATCCTGGCTAACAAGGTGAAACCCCGTCTCTACTAAAAATACAAAAAATTAGCCGGGCGCGGTGGCGGGCGCCTGTAGTCCCAGCTACTCGGGAGGCTGAAGCAGGAGAATGGCGTGAACCCAGGAAGCGGAGCTTGCAGTGAGCCGAGATTGCGCCACTGCAGTCCGCAGTCCGGCCTGGGCGACAGAGCGAGACTCCATCTCAAAAAAAAGAAAAAAAAAAAAAAATTACCTCAAAGACCAACAAGAAAAACAGAATTTTAGATCAATATCCCTGATGAACATGGATGCAAAAATCCTCAATAGAATATCGGCAAACTGAATCCAGCAGCACATCAAAAAGCTAATCTACCACGATCAAGTTGGCTTCATCCCCAGGATGCAAGGCTGGTTCAACATATGCAAATCAACAAACGTAATCCGTAATATAAACAGAACCAAGGTTTTAATAATAGTGATGTTATCTACAGGAGCAAGTGGGGAAGATACAAATCTGACCTCTGGAACCGTGGTTGGTTATTGTTTATGGCTACATCTTAGCAGAATTCAGGCCTCTCCCATAATTCTAATTTTGTTGCCTTTCATTAGTTTTACAAAGGCGGTGTCAGTCCTCAAACAATGAAGGGGTAGTTTTGGGAAGGGCTATTATCATCCCTACTTTAAGGTTAAACTACAAACTAATTCCTCCCATAGTTAGCTTGGCCTATGCTCCAGAATGGGCAAGGGTAGTTGTTAGCTTGTGAAGTTAGAAGCAAATTGGTGTCAGCTATGTCAGATTTTTCTCATTGTCATAATTTTTGCAAAGGTGGCTTCTCTACTACTTGTAATTTTTTGGTTTTTTCAATACTAATTGTCCCAATGGGTATGATGTGTTATCTCATTGCAGTTTTGATTTGCATTTCCCTAATGGTTGGGTGATGTTGAGCATCTTTTTATGTATTTGTTTACTAGTCATTTGTATAAATTATTTGGAGCAATGTCTATTTGAGTCCTTTCCCCTTTTTTAAAATCAGTTTGTTTTTCTGTTTTTAAGATACAGGAGTTCTCTACATACTGGGTATTAATCCCTTAACAGATATATGGTTTGCAAATAGTTTCTCTCATTCTGTGAGGTGCTTTTTAAACTCTATTGATAGTGTCTTTTTGGTGCACAAAACTATTTACTTTTCATACTGTTCCATTTGTCTACTTATTCTTTTGTTGCCTGTGCCATTGGTGTCATATCTAAGAAACCATTGCCAAATACACAGTCTTGAAGTTTTTACCCTATGTCTTCTTTTTTTAATTTTTTATTATTATACTTTAAGTTCTAGGGTACAAGTGCACAATGTGCAGGTTTGTTACATATGTATACTTGTGCCATGTTGGTGTGCTGCACCCATTACCTCAACATTTACATTAGGTATATCTCCTAATGCTATTCCGCCCCACTTCCCCTACCCCACGACAGGCCCCAGTGTGTGATGTTCCCCACCCTGTGTCCAAGTGTTCTCATTGTTCAATTCCCACCTATGAGTGAGAACATGCGGTGTTTGGTTTTCTGTCCTTGCGATAGTTTGCTGAGAATGATGGTTTCCAGCTTCATCCATGTCCCTACAAAGGACATGAACTCATGCTTTTTTATGGCTGCATAGTATTCCATGGTGTATATGTGCCACATTTTCTTAATCCAGTCTATCATTGATGGTACCCTATGTCTTCTTAATGGTGGCATTATTTTAGGTCTTACATTTACTTCTTTGATTCATTTTGAGTTAATTTTTGTATACGGTGCTAGGTAAGGGTCCAACTTCATTCTTTTGTATGTGGTTATCCCATTTTATCAGCACCATTTGTTGAAAAGACTGTCCATTCCACACTGAATGGTCTTAACATCCTTGTCGAAAATCCTTTGATTGTATGTGTGAGAGTTTATTTCTGAACCCTTTATTCTATTCCATTAGTCTGTCTGTCTGTCTTTATGCCAGTGCCACACTGTTTTGATTATTATAGATTTATAGTAAGGTACAAAATCAGAAAACATGAGTTCTTCAGCTTTGTTCTTCCTTTGCAAGATTATTTATGCTATTTGGGTTCCCTTGCTATTTCATATAAATTTGAGGATGATTTTTTCTATTACTGCAAAAAAAATCTTTGGGATTTAGATAGAGATTGAATTGAATCTGTTGATTTCTTTCGATAGTATTGACATGTTAACAATATTATGTCTTCCAATCCATGAACATCAGATATGTTTCCATTTATCTCTTCTTTAATTTCTTTTGGCAATGCTTTGTAGTTTTCATAAGCATTTTTTTCTTTCAATGCTATTTTCAATGGAAGCTTTTGTAATTTCCTTTGCAGATTGCTCATTGTTACGATATAGAAATGCACCTCCTCATTTTTGTGTAATTTTGTATTCTGCTACTTAACAATAGAAATTATTTATTAATGCTACCAGTTTTTTTGTGACATTGTTAGTTTTTTTCATATATAAGATCTTATAATTAAAGAGCAGAGAAATTTTTACCTTATTCTTTTCCAATTTGATTTTTAAAATTTCATTTTCTTGCCTAATTCCTCTGGCTAGAACTTCAAGTACAATGTAAAATACAACTGGTGAAAATGTGCATCCTTGTTTTGGCGCTGATCTTTGAGGAAAAGCTTTTATTCTTTCACTATTGAATATCATGTTCACTGTGGGTTTCTATTTATGGCTTTTATTATATGGGAATTTCCTTCTATTCCAAGTGTGTCAACAGTTCTTATCATAAAAGCATGTTAAACTTTGTCAAATGCTTTTTCTCCATTAATTGAGATGATCTTATGAATTTTTTCCTTTAGTTTGTTGATGTTGTATATTACATTGATCAGTGTTCTTATGTTGAAATATCCTTGCAGAAGAAATAAACTCTACTTGGTCATGATGTATAATCTTTGTAATATGCTGCAGAATTCAGTTTGCTACTATTTTGTTGAAGATATTTGCATCAATGTTAATAATTAATTAATATTGGTCTGTAGGGTTTTTTTTTTATTCTTGTAGCATCTTTGGCTTTGGTATCAAGGCAACTGAAACTCATAGAATGAGTTTCAAATTATTCATTTCTCCTATTCAATTTTGTGGAAAAGTTTCAGAAGATTGTTTTTTTGTGTTGTTCAAGTCCTCTATTTTCTTTGTCTAGTCGTTCTATCCATTTTTGAGAGTGGCATATTGGAGTATTCAATTATTATTGTAGAATTGTCTATTTTTCCCTTCAGTTCAATTAGCTTTTGCTTTGTAGCTTTTGATAGTCTGCCATTATGTGTGTAAATATTTATAATGGTTTTATCTTCCAGCTATATTGAATATTTTATTAATATATCTTTGTCTTTTGTCATCTTTTTTACTTATTTGTCTCATATTATAATAGCTACCCCTACTATCTTTTTGTTGTAGTTTGCATGGATCATCTTTTTCCATCTTTCACTTTCAATCTACTTTTGTCTTTAGATCTAAAGTGAGTCTCTTATAGACAGCATGTATTTGGATTCTGTTTGTTAATCCATTCTGCCAATCTCAGTATTTTGACTGGAAGTATATTCCACTTACCTTTAAAGTAATTACTAACTAGGAAGAACTTAATTCTGTCATTTTGCTGTTGGTTTTCTATATGGCTGATAGCTTGCTTTTACTTCATTTTCTGCATCATGGTGTTCTGTGTTTCATTGATTTTTTTTGTAGCAAAACATTAAATTCCCTTATAGTTTACTTTTGTATATATTTTATAGCTATATTTTTGTGATCACCATGGGAGTTATATTTAACTTCATCAAATTAGAACACTGTAATTTGAATTTAAGGTAGCATAATTCAATAATATACAAAAACTCTGTTCCTTTAACAGTTCCATCCTTGCCCATTTTTATTGTGATGTCACAAAATTACCACTTTATACGTTGCATAACCCAAACATAAACTAATGATTTTTTAAAAATGTATTAGTCTCTTGTATCACATAGACAACAGAATGTGGAGTTACAAACCAAAACTACAATTTGCTAGCTTTTAGTCTTTCAGGAAAAGTTTTTGTTGACTTTTTTTCCTTCAAATGGGCCATATTTTCCTGTTTCTTTGTATGCCTTGTAATTTTGTTGTTGTTGTTGTTGAAAACTGAACATTTGAATTTAATAATGTGGTCACTCGGGAAATAAAATTATTTTCCTTCCCTAAGATTTGTTGGGTTTTGATATTGACTTTGTTTTTGTGTTCTTGCAGGCTGTTTCTGTGCCAAGAATCAGCCTGAGGCATAAAATTAAGGTCCTTCAGGTTTTTAACTAAGCATGCCCCTTGCCCTGGGCATGTTTGGTACCTTTTTAATTTCTCATTTTCCCTGTATATACAGTTGCTTTTGAATCTTCCAGCCATTAATGTCTGGCTCTCAAAAGGGAAGAAAAAAATGAAAGAGGGGAAAAGGGCACTGGATCCTTAAAGCACCTGCAATTCACTTCTGTTGGAAGTAAAGGGGCTAGAAACAATGTGGGAGATGTAATACCAATGGCCACCTGAGTCTTTGTCTGCACCTCTGTCTTCAGAAGGACCAATCAGGGACCAGAGCACAGATGCCCAACATTTGGAGGGCAGGGTTCTTTTTGCCCACCTTGGCTCTCACCAGCTGTGTGTAAACTGCTCCTGGAACAAATTAACAGCTATCTGCCATGGAGGAAGAGGGGTAGGAATAGGGGTGGTGTAACTGCTACTGTGCTAAGAATTGAAATAACTAAAATTAACAGCAATTTGTTGTCCAAGCCTTCCCCTAAAAGCCACAAGCCTTCAATAGACTCCAGAGTTTCAAAATAGATTAGCACAATTGTTGCCTAGATGCTTCCTACTCTGCTTCCCCTCTCTGTGGTTGGGAACTTCCCAGAACCCTCTTCCTTTGTCCATTTGTCCATTTTTTTAGTTGAGTCATTTGACTTTTTATTTTTGATCTGTGCTTTTGTATTAGGCCATTCTTGTGTTCCTATAAAGATAATATTCGAGACTGGGTAATTTATAAAGAAAAGAGGTTTAACTGGCTCACAGTTCTGCAGATTATACAAGCATGGCACCAGCATCTGCTCAGCTTCTGGTGAGAGCCTCAGGGAACTTTTTCTCATGGTAGAAGGGAAAGTGGGAGCAAGCATGTCATGTGGCAAGAGCACGAGCAAGAAAGCAACAGGGGAGGTGCCATGTGTTTTTAAACAACCAGATCTCATGAGAACTCCCCCACTACCACGAGGACAACACCAAGCCATTCATGAGCGATCCACCCCATAACCCAAACACCTCCCACCAGGACCCACCTCCAACATTGGGAATCACATTTCAAAATGACATTTGGAGGGGACAAACATCCAAACTATATCAATTTTTATACATTCTGGATACAATTCCCTTATCTGATATGTGATTTGCAAATATTTTCTACCATTCTATGGCCTATCTTCTCCCTTAACATTAAACTTTTAACTAATGTTGTCCCTCTCTTTCTACTTACAAAGACCAAGAAAGAATACCACATTTGTACAAATGTATGGATGCAAGAACTCAGAAGGAATGGCAGAAATACAAAGCAAATAAATGAGACTTGGCATATGAGTGAAAATCATGTCATCCTCAATGCTAAAACAAATTTTAACTTGCAACACAGCAAAATATGTCTACTTGCCATATTCTATTCCTAAAGTCCACAATTTCTGAACACAAATCAGAATCTGCCTTCCAAAACCAATCAACTAAGAATTCCTACAGTGTGAACATCTCCAGCAGAGAGGACTAATGTTGTTTAAAATATTTGTGTTAGAGGCTTTAAATTTACAAAAGGCTTAGGAAGCAGTTATCACACTTTCCCATCCCCACACACCTAGGCATACAAAATAAAAAAGCATTTATTTCATGTTAATTAACAGTTTATTGACCGCCCACTATCCCAAGGTACCATGTTAGGCTTTGGAGTATCAAAGGGGGGAAAAGACATACTCAAGAAATTTAGAGTCTAGTTAAGAAGCTTGCCTCAATTTCCTAATCACCTTTCTTCCATCAATCAAGGAAAGCATCTAGTAACTAATCATTCACTTCTCTAACCATACACATATATGTAGAAAAATGTATGGATTAATTGTCCTTGTTTGAAAACAGTAGGTTCAGGAGGTTGCTATAGTTTGAATGTTTGTTCCCCCAAAACTCATATTAAAATTTGATCTCTAATGTTGCAGGTGGGGTCTATTGGGAGGTGTTTGGTACATGGAGATGATTCCCTCATAAAGAGATTAATGCCTTCCTTGCGGCTGGGGAGGTAAATGAGTTCTCACTCTTACTAGTTCCTGCAAGAGCCAATTGTTATAAACAACCTAGCACCTCCCTCCCCTCTCTCTTGCCTCCTCTCTCACCATCTAATTTCTATATTCTGACTCCCCTTCACCTCTGTCATGAATGAAAGTAGCCTGAAGCCCTTACCAGAAGCTGAGCAGATGCTGGCACTATGCTCCCAGTACAGCCTGCAGAACTGTGAGTTAAAGAAACTCATGTTACCCAGCCTCCGGTGTTCCTTTATCAAAAAACAAATGGACTAAAACAAGGGCCTTAGAGACAAACTAATCAAAGCCTCTCATTTTAAAGATGAAAATTATAAATACAAAGCAGGTAAGTGACTTATTTGAGATTATTATTATAGCTAATACTAATATGGGACTTATTATGTTCCCAGAACTGCCTTAACCACATTATATATTTGAATGATCCTCACCACAATCAGTTCCTCAAGCAGCAAACTAAGGCACAGAGAAATTGAGTAACTTGACAAAGACCAAACAGTTCATAAGGACAAAGCCAAGATTTGAACCCAGTAGTTTTGCTTCAGAATCCAAGCTATGCTTAGGTAGCTATTTCTAAAGATAGGCATGAATTTTTGACACATGTTCATACACTGGCTTGCTATTTGATACTAATCATCATGGTTGTTTCCAGCATCTCCAAACCTAATATCTCATGATATTATGATACTTAAAAGTCACAAAACACACAAGTTGAAAAGAGTAGTGTGATTGCCAACGTGGATGAGGATGCTACCAGGAGGAGGAAATGAGGACATCCAAAGTCATGACAAATATATTTATAATAAGCTAACTTTGGCAAATATTGCCACTGGTGTATTATTCCTTTGTCATCCCTAATCACCCCCATGTACTCCCTCCTATCTCCAAACCCTGGTCTTCTATATGTGTTTTCAATCAAGTAGGAACAGGTTAAGCTGTAAAACCTAAAGTGGATGGAGTTGGGGTTAAATCCTGGGATGACTGGAATACCCAAGATAGAGAAAATCTGTGTTTCAGAAGTCTCAGACCTCATTTCATTTCATACATTCACTCATCAATGAATAAATATTTATTCTGTGCCCACTTGGTAAAAAGCACAGACCCAGTTACTGGAAATACACCAGTCCATGTGATGAATTTGGCCTTTTCCCTCCTCACACACACAGTGTCGCAGCATTCCTCCAGAGGAGGTAAGACATCTGCAGTTAAGCAAGTGTCATCTTCCAACCTCGTGGACCTCTGAATGGTGCCTGAGCTGCAGGAGGTTTAACAGAGTGACTCAGCAAGGCGAGGGACTGCTAATAGATTATTAGTCACTCTTAGGTATACAGGCCATGGGGTAAGAGAATGTTGTTTAGAAATGGCTATAATACATTATTTGAGTGATTTGTATGAACTACAAACTAGTTTATAAGTAAAAATTGCTCGCTTTGTTATTGTATTTTGTTAGAATGCACATATCCTTTTTGTCCTTGGGGACCCTGAATAGCAAAATATTATATCTGCTTATTGAATTGATAAACTAAGTAATTCCAGAAATTTTGGAAATTGAGTTCACTCAAAGATAGATATGAAACTGCAAAATTTCCACCACCTATATATCTATTTTCATCTTTTAGTATGAGTCCCCACTTCTTTCCTTGTAATCAAGCTACCATAACTTTCCCACCTACACTGAGGTCTTTGTCAGCCACCAAAATCTGTTCTGCTTACTAAAACAACAGGCTTCCTCTGAAGCCCTAAGTTCTTTAATTCACTCAGCATGATGTTATTTCTAAAAATGTTTTTCCCACTTTAACCCAATCTCTCCTGTATCAAGATAATAACTAATTAATTATCGTTGTCCCTCAATTTTGTAATGAGGTTTAAAAAAACCCATTATTTTCATACCCTTTATCATAAGGTAGCCAGGCTACATTCAGCTATTACAAAGCACATTTGAGTTATAGGTGTAAATCTATATACCTTGTATATAGCTTGTGTTAGGGGATTTTACTGGACCCCCATATCTGCTCACATATCTGGCTACATATTTACTTGCATATTTTACGTTTTAAAAACTTCAAGCTTCTTATGAGCAAGTGTCCTGTTGCCTTTATATGCTCCAGAAACAGAAATTTGATGGAGACAAAGAAGTGGATAAAAAGAAGAACAAGCAGATAATTGGAAGGTGTGTTTGCATTTAGGTGTGTAAGATTCAGGGACAAGGCCAATGAGGCTGGTGTTTTTAAACAGACTGAAAGTCTGGTTAGGTACAGTCTATCGAGTCATCACATCCAACCCTCACATCCTTCTTAGAAATCTGCAGGGGCCGGGTGCGGTGGCTCACACCTGTAATCCCAGCACTTTGGGAGGCCGAGGCAGGTGGATCACAAGGTCAGGAGTTCAAAACCAGCCGGGCCAAGATGGTGAAACCCCATCTCTACTAAAAATACAAAAATTAGCTGGACACAGTGGCAGGCGCCTGTAATCCCAGCTACTCAGGAGGCTGAGGCAGGAGAATTGCTTGAACCCGGGCTTCAGAGGTTGCAGTGAGCCAAGATTGTACCACAGCACTCCAGCCTGGGCGACAGAGTGAGACTCCACCTCAAAAAAAAAAAAAAAAAAAAAAGAAAAGAAATCTGCAGGACTGTAGGCTGCAGGAGAACAAAGGCCACATAAACCACACAGACTCATGTATCTCCGAAAACTCCTACAATGCTTTTCACATCATAGGCATAGAATAAATATTTGTTGTATAGTAAATGAATAAATGAAACAAAATGAATTCTAAGAATTCTGAAACATCTTATATAGTCCAGGATAGATATAAAAACACATTGAAAAAAGAAACTCCTATCTAGACTATTAATGGCTTGCCCCAGGTCTCATGGCCAACAGAGCCACCAGTTGAATCCAAGAGAAGACCCCATGTCCAGTGCTCTTTCTAGCATACATCTTTTCCTTTCTAGCTCTATCAAATTCTGAATCTTGTTCTTTTATAACTTATTTTGAGTTTTTGCAAATTCTTAATAAGCCACAGACATATATCAGCTCCTACTCTTAGAGAATCAATTTGAGAATGAAATCTAGTGTTCTAATGTATTATAATTAACAGATGGTTTTATATTAGGCTGAGAACGTAAAAGAAAAACCCTACAGCTGCCGAGAAAAAAAAACGGAAAATCAAGGTCTAGCTAGTGTCAGACCTGAGTTACTCCAAACCCAAGAAATGGATGCATTCAGTATGAGGAACCTCAGAAGGCCAGCTGCTTTCACAGCACCAAGAAACCTCTGGCCCAGATTTCAACAGAGTTCAGGGAACACAGATTGAATCCTCCCAGGGATCCCAGCAAATATCTCAGTCACTAGCAGAACTCATGAGGGCTTTTTTTAGACCACTTCAAGGAGCAGAGGAGCACCAGTTCTGCTTTAATTGTGGACTTTCAGCCTGGCTTTCTTACAAATATTTTCTTGGAAGTCATTTCCTTTTTACAGATATGAAAAGGACAAGAGTCAATAACTGCCTAGCTGCTCCATGGTGGATTCCCATACGTGACCCAGATGACAGCATATATTCTTTCTTTAAAAGGGACGCATGGGAAATTTTCAAAGAAGTTTTTGGACGACTTCCCAGAAGACACATCAACTGAGGATGTCAGGCATCCCGCTGCAGGAATTGGTGTTTTTCCTAGGAGAAAGGTCTGGAAGGTCACCTTCATAGCACTTGTTTGATAAGGAAGGGCATAGTATAGTTCAGGCAGAGTGGGCAGTCACCACAGTGGGTAGTGATCAATTCTGTGTGAATTGATCCCCAATCATAGTCCCAATTTGAAATGGTCACAACTGGTTATTCTATGTTCTTGCAGTCTGTGCTCCTATTCAGCCAGTCTTGCACAATTGCAGTTTGAATTTCTAGATCAAGCTACCTTAATCTGAACACATGGGCAATATCCAACTCACCCCATCTTCAGAATTCTCACCACTGAGCTCATTCTCCAGGGTCATTCTCAGAATTTGTCCCAGGCCCAAAGAAAACTCATTTTAAATCTCTGCAACATGTCAGAAAAACACGACAAACTGCTTAACCAAAAATAAATAACTAAACATTCCTCATCAACAACAATGTGCTCAATCATACACAGCTGAACCACTGGGACTCTGGCAAACTTCCTGAGAATGCAATTTTTTTTTTTTTTGAGACAGAGTCTCGCTCTGTCGCCCAGGCTGGAGTGTAGTGGCACGATCTCTGCTCACTGCAAGCTCCAGCTCCCGGGTTCATGCCATTCTCCTGCCTCAGCCTCCCAAGTAGCCGGGACTACAGGTGCCCGCTGCCACGCCCGGCTAATTTTTTGTATATTATTTAGTAGAGACGGGGTTTCACCATGTTAGCCAGGATGGTCTCGATCTCCTGACCTTGTGATCCGCCTGCCTTGGCCCCTCAAAGTGCTGGGATTACAGGCGTGAGCCACCGCGCCCAGCCAAGAATGCAAAATTATGGGTGGCCTTGATTCATAGACTTTGGTTCTTTTCTTCTGATCTGACACTTCATTAGAACAAACTTGATCCACGATGCTGAGACAAAATTTAAACACCATGGCTAGGCATGGTAGCTCACGCCTATAATCGCAGCACTTTGGGAGGCTGAGGCAGGTGGATTGCTTGGGCTTAGGAGTTCGAGACCACCCTGGCCAACACAGCAAAACCCTGTCTCTACCAAAAATACAAAAATTAGCCAAGTATGGTGGCAAGCGCCTGTGATCCCAGCTACCCGGGAGGCTGAGGTGGCAGGATCACTGGAGACCAGGAAGTTGAGGCTGCAGTGGGCCATGATTATGCCACTACACACTAGCCTTGGTGACAGAGCAAGATTCCATCTCAAAAAACAAAAAAAAAAGTTAAAAAATAAAATGTATATCATTAAAGAAACATTTTAATTTAGAACCCTGAAGGTAAACTTCCTCAGATCTCTGTTCAGTGTGATTCTCCCTCAGTCCTGCACCAACCTCAACTCCCCTGTAGGAGGCTGTGTTCTCTATGGTTATGCCTTCCCCACCAGAGTACAATATATTTAAGAAGAGGAATTACTATATTTATCTTGGTATTCTCCCTCACCTCTGTCAGGTCCTCAGTGCTTTTTTTATGTGTTGTAGGCATTCAATGTTTACTTAATAGATATAAATTCAATGTTTAATACATTTATTTCTTTAAAGAAATAGAAGATTTTCATTCTCATATTTTTCAAACACTGAATCGAAAAAAAACTTTAGTATTGGATAAGATTGTCTTCCATTTATCATAAAAATTTTCTCAAGACTCAGAGAAAATCAAACTCTTATCAAGGTGGCCACATGGAGCATAGCTTAATGTTGATGACACTCAGAGATTTTCTTTAAATTTTGGTTGTTTTTCAGGGAATCAGCCCAGAAGACACCTGCCAAACCCAGGAGTTAGGTGGTTATTTCATGTGGGTCATGGAATTCAACCACCAGAAGACCAAATTGTAGTGATTGTTTCATTTTCTATTACTTGTGACTTTGCTTGTGTCACTGGATAGAGGAACTGGCCACACTTACTGTTCATTCTCATCCCCTTTATCACCTGAGTGTAAAGACCCTATTGAGATGTTGTAGAAACAGAATATTTTCATATTGGCTTCTTCACCAGATTCTCAGCTTGCCAAAAAGAGCCAGGAGGCTGGACTGGTTATTTTAAGATAAAGTTTAGGGCCAATAAGGCAAAGGTAAAGGATGTAGTCCTTCTAAATCCTGCTTCTGTTTCAAAAGTTTAAGTTCCCTTCTCTCCATAATGCATTTTCTGACTACTTCCACCCATGTTATTCAATCTTCATTTCCTTTGAGCAGAAGATGCCCTTGATTGTTTTCCGTGTTCAACTAAGTTGTGGGCTGCTGGGGTCAGGGACCAAGTTTTATGCTTCTTTGGTATCACCCATGATGTCTAGCACACTGCTAGGCACAAAATAAGTGCTGTGAAACAAAAATGGAATCTCTGGACCCCAAACTGACTAAGCCAAAAGAAAAGCTAAGCTTGGGAACTGAGTCACTAAAAAAACTGCTTTCTGTTATTGGAAAAAACTACTTTAAAGTTCATATGGAACCAAAAAAGAGCCCACATTGCCAAGTCAATCCTAAGCCAAAAGAACAAAGCTGGAAGCATCATGCTACCTGACTTCAAACTATACTACAAGGCTACAGTAACCAAAACAGCATGGTACTGGTACCAAAACAGAGATATAGATCAATGGAACAGAACAGAGCCCTCAGAAATAATGCCACATATCTACAACCATCTGATCTTTGATAAACCTGACAAAAACAAGAAAAGAGGGGAAACGATTCCCTATTTAATAAATGGTGCTGGGAAAACTGGCTAGCCATATGTAGAAAGCTGAAACTGGATCCCTTCCTTGCACCTTATACAAAAATTAATTCAAGATGGATTAAAGACTTAAATGTTAGACCTAAAACCACAAAAACCCTAGAAGAAAAGCTAGGCAATACCACTCAGGACATAGGCATGGGCAAGGACTTCATGTCTAAAACACCAAAAGCAATGGCAACAAAAGCCAAAATTGACAAATGGGATCTAATTAAACTAAAGAGCTTCTGCACAGCAAAAGAAACTACCATCAGAGTGAACAGGCAACCTACAGATTGGCAGAAAATTTTTGCAATCTACTCATCTGACAAAGGGCTAATATCCAGAATCTACAATGAACTCAAATTTACAAGAAAAAAACAAACAACCCCATCAAAAAGTGGGTAAAGGACATGAACAGACACTTCTCAAAAGAAGACATTTATGCAGCCAAAAGACACATGAAAAAATGCTCATCATCACTGGCCATGAGAGAAATGCAAATCAAAACCACAATGAGATACCATCTCACACCAGTTAGAATGGCGATCATTAAAAAGTCAGGAAACAACAAGTGCTGGAGAGGATGTGGAGAAACAGGAACACTTATACACTGTTGGTGGGACTGTAAACTAGTTCAACCATTGTGGAAGTCAGTGTGGCGATTCCTCAGGGATCTAGAACTAGAAATACCATTTGACCCAGCCATCCCATTACTGGGTATATACCCAAAGGATTATAAATCATGCCGCTATAAAGACACATGCACACGTATGTTTATTGCAGCACTATTCACAATAGCAAAGACTTGGAACCAACCCAAATGTCCAACAATGTGGCACATATACACGATGGAATACTATGCAGCCATAAAAAGGATGAGTTCATGTCCTTTGTAGGGACATGGATGAAGCTGGAAACCATCACTCTCAGCAAACTATAGCAAGGACAAAAAACCAAACACCGCATGTTCTCACTCATAGGTGGGACTTGAACAATGAGAACACACAGACACAGGAAAGGGAACATCGCACACCACGGCCTGTTGTGGGGTGGGGGGAGGGGGAAGAGATAGCATTTGGAGATATATCTAATGTTAAATGACGAGTTACTGGGTGCAGCACACCAACATGGCACATGTATACATAAATAACTAACCTGCACGTTGTGCACATGTACCCTAAAACTTAAAGTATAATAAAATAAAAAATAAAAAAATTTTAAAAACCTGCCTTCTGTTGTTACCAGGTAGCTGCAACAATAGAAGGCCACATATCTCCCCAGATAGCCTCCCTCACAAATTGCTTACAGTGAAATGCCTTGTGGGTCCCTAAATCTTTCAGAATGCATATCCCTCCTATAAATGAGCCCTAAAACACAGTTCTGTTGAATCTCACTCTGACAATAACAGCTCATCTTCATATGTATGGTATAAGGACAAGACTTGGAAATCATCCCTCTGCCCACCCCAAGACAAATTCATAATTGACTTTCCCCCTATTTTCACATTTATCTTATGTAAAATGTAGATTTACTGAGCATGAGAGGAACACATAATCAGTATTCCTCTACCCACTCTTCACACGCAAAATGTGAATTCACTGGGCACTAATCAAAGCCTCACAAGAATGTAACTTCTTCCCTCATTGCCTACCTTCCCATTTCCCTTTTTTTTCTTTCTTTTCTCCTTCCCCTCCTGCTGGCTCTTTCCCCTTTAAATACTGAAGTCCTCAAAAACTCTCTTTGCAAAAGGCACAGATCACAGATGTTCCTGTATTTGTGCTTTCTCCTGGGGAATGTCCTTAACCTTGGCAAAATAAACCTCTAAAACGATTGAGACCTGCCTGTCATTTTTTTGGTGCTTAAAATCCATGATGGAATTTTTAATCACTATTTTAGACTTGGGTAAATCTGGCTGTGAAAGTAGTGACAGAGTCTTTTAGAATTTTCTTCTACCAAAAATAATTAATCAGAAAGTCCCTGAGAGAATTTCAGATACTCCTGTAAGGATCAAACCTAAATTTAAATTAGACTTGTAGATCTGTGCATACCCAGTGTCTCACACATATAAACTCAATAAAAATTTATCGAATGACCAAGTGAAGAAATGTTCTTTCAGCTTTTCCTTCAAGACTCAGAAAAAAGATATCTGCAGTTCCAGAATGGACTGAGTGAACAAGAAAAGAACAGATCAGTGACACAAAGACAGCCTTCTTTTTCCCTTTCAGGGTGACTCAAATTGTAGTCCTCATCTGAACAGTCTGAGACACAACTCTTGTCTCATATTAACTCGATAGGGCATTTGCTATACTCCCATTTACACAAACTGCTCAGATGCCCCAAATGCTGAGTCTGTTCGTCTTCATTTTATTCCTTTGGGAGATGCCGGTACAAACTTGTTTTTTCTTTCTTTTTTTAAATGGAGATGTGACCACCATAGCAACTAAAAGACATAAATCTTGCCTAATTGAATCAGTGTGCTCAAGATAATAGCCAGGGCAGAGACTGAGTTAAAACTGGGGTAAGGGTGAGAGTGGGGAAATGGATGAGGATGATAAAAATATTTATGTCCCTAGAATTTGTGGGTTTGGATTAATTCTGTTTCGTAAGGAATATTGTTGGCCTTCAAATGCAGTGCCACTTGGGAGAGAAGCAAGCGGGCAGTAGTTGAGGTGTCTCTGCAGTTGAATCGCAGTGAAAGGCAGGTTATGAGTATAGGGACCGCCCCTCGGCCATGTGGTCCCCTCCCTATCCTGAGGATAACGACATTTGAGAGAAGCCAATGGTATTGGAAGGCCAGAATCGAACTTAAGCCGCTTAGTTGGTACAACTGTAAACCCTCCCTCACAGAGGCTGGGCCCTGCAATCTTTCTAAGCAGGGTAAAGAAAAGTAAGGGGACTTCCTTTTCGAAGAGGAGGTTCCCGCGTGCTGCACCCGACCTTTCCCTCAGGGCCCAACACGCGTTATATAAATGCCAAGTTACTCAGGGACGCACACGTGAGAAGGCTGGGGCCCGACACACGCGGTGTAGTGCCGAAGTCACCGGTGTGGCGCGCCTGGGGGACACGCCGAAGCCCATTTCCCTCCCGCTTCTGGAAAGCAGTCCCCGCTCTTTCCAGCTGCTCCGCGGGGCGTATGGCTGTGCGCTACCTCCTGCGGACCCCAGGCTGGGCGAGGGGGCAGCGATGGCCACATGGCGCGCTCGGGGAGATGGCAGCTGCGCTTTGTTTCCAGCAGTGATAGGTGAGTCACTGGCTCCCGCAGCCCCAGAGCTGGGCAAACACTCAGGCCCAGGCAGCTGAAAAATTCACAGCAGGAGCAGCTACCGAAGCGACTGCAGCCTCTTCCTCCTCTTCCTCCTCCTCCTCCTCCTCCGCCACTGCTACCGCCACCACCGTGGTAGCCGCCTCCGCGCCCTGCCTCCGCCCCGTCCCCTCCTCCTCCACCCGCGAACTTAGTCAGCGGTTCGCGCCGCCGAGCGCCCATTGGCCAGCGGAACGCGTCGCGTCACAATGGAGCCGGTCGGAGGCGGCGAGCCGGACAGCGCCGGGGCTTCCCGCTGAGCCCGCAGCCTCCGGCAGCCGGGAAAGTGCGGGCGCGGGGCCGCAGCCTGCCCGCCCGGAGCGGCCCAGGAGCACGCCGCGGGGAGCGCGGGCGTCCGGGGCTGGAGTCGCGCAGGTAGGTCGGAGCGTGACACCCCGGTTCCAGGAGGGCGAGCCGCGCCGACCGAGGTGGTGGAGGAGGAGGACCGGATACGGGGACGCAGCAGGTGGGGCTGGCCGAACAGGTGCGGTTACCTGTTCACGCCTCACCTGCGAGCCAGGCTGCGGGCCGGTAGCGCGGCTGCAGAGACGAGTGGCCGCTTCGTTGTGCTCCCTGCCTTCGGGAGAGACGGAGTCCCACGCTGAGAGGACCTCTCCTGTGTGCTGGGGTCATTTGGAGCAAGAGGTGTGGGCGGTCGCGCCGAGACGGTCACCTCTCTTTCCCCCGGGAGTCTCGGCGTTGCACCTGAGCGTGAGTCCTCGGGGCGGGGCGGGAAAGGGGTTCCGCTTTCCCAGGCTGGCGTCTCGCTCCAGATGAGCGCAACTCCCCTGAGGGTGCCCCCATTTGGTCGCTCTGTTTTGCCCCCTGCGCTGGCGCTGTTGGGAACTATTTTATGCTCTTGGGAACTATTTTATGCTGTTGGATACGCGTTGGTTGCCTATAATTTGGTGGTGGTGTTGGGCGTTGATTTGTTTGAGAAAGAAAGGGCAAGCGTTACCAATTTAAGAAGAAGACTCAAGAGTTTCCCCTGAGCTTAGTTGAGCAGGTGCTGAGAGGTCAGAAGGGAGGAGGCTCAGTATTGGCTCATTAATCTGTGTGCTCAACTGACTTCCTAAAGTCCATAGATTGCCTTTAGTTAGATGACATTTGTGGAAAACTTTTTTTTTCTTTGTGGTCAAAAAGACACCCCTCTAAAAGAACAAAACCGACATGTGAACTTCCTTGAATAAATTCACTTCGCCTAAAGACTTCAAACAAACAAACAAAAAAACACTCCACTGGTAAAAGATAACAGTATGAACATTTTAAATTGTAGATATATAGCCAAATTAAAACAGGCAATTTGTTCAGCGTATATTAAGAAGACATTACGTAGCATGATTTTTATTAAAAGACAACCTATTTGCAAATGATATAGTAGTCTTTGCAGAACACCCCAGAAATCTTAAAACAGATTTATCTTTATCAGATGGTTCTGTCCCCTAAACCTAGGTGTAGGAGTGAGGATGGAAAAGAAGTCAAACTGCAGTGTAATTTTTTAAACAATTCCAGTACCCTCTATGTGTACAGGCTACACCTCCTGAGAACCCCAAATGCTCTTTGTTTTGTTTCTTTGTTTTGTTTTGAGACGGAGTCTCACTCTGTCGCCCAGGCTGGAGTGCAGTAGTGCGATCTCGGCTCACTGCAACCTCCACCTCCTGGGTTCAAGTGATTCTCCTGCCTCAGCCTCCCGAGTAGCGGGGACTACAGGGGCCCGCCACCACGCCCAGCTAATTTTTATATTTTTAGTGGTGGCGGGGTTTCACCATGTTGGCCAGGCTGGTCTGAAACTCCTGACCTCAAGTGACCCACCCACCTCGGCCTCCCAAAGTGCTGGGATTACAGGTGTGACCCCAAATGCTCTCTGAATTGTGGGTGCCGAGGTGACTTTCTTTTTCTCCTGGCTTTCCTTGTCAGCAGCTCTACTCAGAGAATATAAAGTGACAGCCAACCCCCAAGGTAATTGGGCCTGTGTAATTTTAGAATATAAGCCCTAACATGTCTGATATTTCTGTAAGCTAAAAAGAGGTCTCTTGAATGGGGGTGATGTTGTCATTGAGTGCACCCTTGGGTCATGGCACTTTCCTTATACTTAGTATCCCCAACAACATTTTTAAATCTGCATGTCGGAATTAAGTTTACCATTCTTTGAAATGTGTTCTCTTTTTCCTCAATTGGTAAGGTGTTCCAACATGTTCAGCCTATTATGAATCTTTTCACATTTTGAATGATTTCATTTGACTAGTTGAGATTTGCTTTTTTAAACCTCTTCTCTACCACTATCACCATTTCCCATTGCTATTTTAATTTTCAGAATCCTCAGAGTGAAAACACCAACAGTAAGTAAAATGAAAAGGGGCTTAATAAAACTTAAAGGATACTAAGCCTTCCAAGTTTTTTAGACTAATCCATGTATTTTCCTGTAGTGGCCTGAAATTTGTTATTTTTTGTTGTTTTCTGAAGTTTAAGGGGAAAAATATTTTACAATTTAGAACATCCTTGTTTTAGCCAATGTTTTTCTTATAAACAAGGGTTTTTGTTTTTGTATTTTAGTTTTCAAATTCTTCTAATAGTACCTGAGTATTTTATGTTTTCTGGACTTTTTACTATTCATAGCCTGTTTAACCCAATCCCGGATTTTCATTTGGTGTCTCTAAAGTTGAATTCTCTAATTTTACTCTTATTTCTCCTTCCCAGCATCCTTCTACCACACCCTGATATTATTAGAAATGAATGCATTCTGATTCTGTCATGTTATTACACACTTGGTGGCATGATTTGCATTGCCTTGCATGGAGCAGGTTCTCCACTGCTATCCTGACTCCCAGAGCACTGGGTACATCAGCAAACAGTTCAGACCTGTGACCATTCAAGAGGAATTTGGGAGACCCAGTTATAGTGTAGAATTTATTTAACCATTTGTAAAATACCTTCTAATTTGTGTCATATCTGTTTTCATATTGCTGCCTTTTATTGCTATTGCCTACTTTCATTTTATTCCCCATCTGTATTTTCTAAACTTCCTACATGCCTTTATTATGACTTAATTTCTCTGGTGTTTAAAATAATGCCTTTGGCAGACATAATAACCTATTTTTCTTTTTCTGATCATTAAGGTTGATCTTAAGTAAAATTAGGCCTAGCTCCAATCACTGATCTCTCTCCTAAGTTCTTATCACTGTGGTTCATTTAGAAATTGAACAAAGGGTAACAATAAACTCCCTGTTCTATGACTGCCTTTCCTTTAGGATTCTACTCAATTGCCACACAATTTACATTTACTCCTTCAGTGCTGCTGTGAACCTGAGTAAAGGAAATGAATAAAAATGAGTTGTCAGGGCTTCAACCTTGACCTTTCCTTTTTGCCTTTCTGACCTTTTTGCTGCTTTTGATATGGGTCATGTGATTCTGCTTGTTTCTTTCTAGACTGTATATATTTAAACTTCATCTCTTGCTTTTTTTAAATTTCAGAATCCCTTTAAATTCTTTCTTCTCATCTGTCATCCTGTGACCATTTCCAGGGCTCCATTCTGCAATGCCTATTCTTCAGCTAACAAGCACAGCATATTTCACAGACGCTGCCAGCTGCACAGCTTCTATTTCTCTTCCGTATCCAGCTCCATGCAGGTGACTGAGATCTTCCTCTGCTCATCTCTCATGGAGACCACATTCTTTATTGTTGAGTAGCATATTCCTTTTGATTTCTTCTCAGGTAGCAGATTTAAGAGCATATTCAAACTTTCCTTATTTTCTTCTGTCAAATTCCTTTTCAGCATTTTGAAACTTTTCTCTTTTCAAAATCTCTTGCAAATTACAAGCAAGAGTTCTTCAAGGTTTTACCTAAGAGAACAAACTTCATAGACTGACAGGCCTGATTCTGAACTCTGTGCCATCACTTTGGATGAGTTGTGGATTAGTTAAAATTAGTTGCCAGCTACAGAGACTGCAAAGAACAATGGCTTATTCAAAATGATGCTTGTTTCTCTTTCACATTAAACAAACTTGCAGAGAGGCATTCTATGGCTGGTATGATGGTTCTACAGTCTTCTGAGAACTAGGCTGATTCTACTTTTTGGATTATCTACCATATATAAGATGAGGCCCTCAGCTTCATGATCCCAAGATGGAGCTTCAGCCATCACCCCCAAGTTCCAAGTAGCAGAAAGGAGGAAAGAAGGAAAAAGGAAGGAGGGGAAAGGCAAGAGCCCATGGTCTCTGAAGGAAAATTCCTGGATGCTGTCATATACTTCTTGTTATATGTCATTGCCTAGAACTTAGTAACATGACCTCAGGTAGCTGGAATAGAGACTGGGAAATACTATCCTTATTCCAGACAGTCTTATTCCTAGCTAAATAAAAAAAAGTGGGAGACTCAAATCCTTAGAAAAAAGTGGGGAATTTTGGAGGTATCCAAACACCATAGCTATCCTAAATCTCTTTTTTCTTGACTAGTATTGTCTTTCTCACAGGAGTCTTAGGATTAAAATAAATGTTATACATTAACATATCTAATATAGTATCTGGCGTAAAACATGCTTTCAGTAAATCCTGTTTATATTCCTCCTTACTTCTTTTCCTTTAATTGTCTAGTTTCCCTGCTACAACATCACTGGCCCCCAAATCCTATTAATATTTTAAATACTTGGGCATTTACCCCACTTGGTGTTACGAGACTGCTGTGTTGTACCTTGTCATGGGAGGAGATGAGGTTTTTGAGTGTCAGGGAGCAAGACGTTATTACTCAATGTCAGCATTTATTCTTAGCCTAAAAACATGGCATGTGAAATCAAATAGATCTGGACACAAATCCTCCCTCAGTATGCAACCATAGTCTCTCTCTCTCTCTCTGTTTTTTTACCTGTAAACTGGATAATAACTGACCATTAGAATTGAAAGAAAAAAAGTATATAAAGTGCTTAATACTGTCCTCAGTAAAGTGGTAGCTTTTCTTTTTTAATTTGGCCTAACTTGTGTGAGCCTTTTCAAAAATCAGTACTTATTCTATTTTTTAGAAAGTTATAAAATTATCTCTAAAATCAGTTTATCACCCAAGTGACAGCAAAATTTTTTCTATATATTTTGTTATAAAATAACAAAATATGGAATGGTTAATGATACAGAATGGTTAAGCCTTAACCTTCCTCAGCCTTGAATTATTTTTGGCTGACCCACTCTCAGAAGCTAAACCTTACCACCATTTAATTTATTTCACAGTATTTTTTTTTTCAGTAGCTATTAAGCATATAGTTTGTGCCAGGCACTGTACTATATTCTGGGGATGCAATGATGATGAGCAAAAATGCACATGTTCCCCACCCTCGTGGAGATCTGGGACCATACTGGGGAGGACAGGTGAATCACTCACTCACTGCAAACAGATGAGAAGTTGTCACTGTGAGGTTGTTATAAAGGAGACATGGGTCGGGCATGGTGGCTCACACCTGTAATCCCAGCACTTTGGGAGGCTGAGGTGGGTGGATCACCTGAGGTCAGGAGTTCGAGACCATCCTGGCTAACATGGTGAAACCCCGTCTCTACAAAAAATACAAAAAAAAAAAAAAATTAGCCGGGCATAGTGGTGGGCGCCTATAGTCCCAGCTACTCGGGAGGCTGAGGCAGGAGAATGGCGTGAACCCGGGAGGCGGAGCTTGCAGTGAGCCGAGATTGTGCCACTGCACTCCAGCCTGGGCGACAGAGCAAGACTCTGTCTCCAAAAATAAATAAATAAATAAATAATAAATAAATAAATAAGAGTATATAATAATATAACTTCTCAATATGACACTCAGGAATAATCTAATTCTTTTACAGTTTATTTGGGCTATATTAGCAAACTTTAAATACAGATGCTGTCTTGATACAACAAGCAGATGCATCTGAGACAGGGCACTGTAAAGTAGGATATTTTTGTAGAGGGCCAGAGGGTTGATCTGCATCATCCTTAGCAAATGGAATTTGAAACCATATGGCTGAATGAAGAAAGACTGTTGGCAAAAAATCAGTAGCGCATAAAGCAGCAGTGGAAAATGACCACAGGATGGGAAGTATGAGCAGTGTGTTTCAGAGGGTTGGGTGACTGGACTATGCATGGGATGGCCTTCTCAAAGCGGGTGGACAACCCCAACGGCCGGTCCCTCCGTACCTTTCCATTTTGCACAGACAGGAACCAGCATGGCAGGGGGTGCTATTGACAGGTGCTTTGGGAGGTGCCGTTTCTCCTTGCCGTGTCCTGCTGAGCTATTAGGGGAGTTTGTGGGGAAACAATGCCTCTCTAATCCCTGTAACAGCCTTGGAGGATGGCAGGGAGCACTCTACTTCCATGCATCTTCCACGTATTGTGGTATTTTCCATGTATTGTGGTATGGCATGACTGAGCCTTGGGGGTTGAGCCATCAGCCATTGCACTGAAGAATGTTTCTTGCTCTGAGTGGACAAATTTAAGATAAATTCTGTTCATCTAAAGATTTTAAGTTCATTTCTTTTAACAAAACTGAGTTTATTCCTGGCCCTATTTCAATGCTAAAATAAGCAGTCCTAAGCTAAGCAATGACTTGTCTTTCAGAAGCATTTCTGAATCATGTAGGGAAGTTTAAATTTTTCCCTGAAGGTTTGATAATTTGAGTCTATGAAACAAAGTGATAATAGCTTCACAGGAAAAAAAGCCTGATAAATTTTATTATGTGCACATGTATGCACAGGAGTCATATAAAATATTTTAAAAACTCAAAGAAATGGCCAGATGGTTAATGCTTATATACCATCTTGAGGTAACAGAAAGAACAGGGGCTGAGAGCATGGCCAAAAACAGGTAATGGTGGTAAATCAGGTTATGGTGGCAAGACAGGTTATGGGAAGGAGAGAAGAGGAGGCCTGGCTAGCAAAGGTGGTCTTGTTATCTAGATGATCCTCTCTGGTAGCAGCCCTCAGATAGAATAGATGGTAAATGTTTCTTTCAGACCTTTAAAGCTGTCAGATTCTCAGTTAATCTTTCCTAGATCCAGACAGACAAGGTGGGGCCTCAGAGAAAGCCTGGCTGCATCAGTGCAGATACTCTACAGACACAAATCTCCCGAACAAATGACAGCTTTACTGGCCTACTTCTGTTTTGCCCTCCGAACAGCCATCTCAAAATATGTCAAAGAAGTATATTTTGGGGTGCAATATTTTGGTTTCCTTCAATCATAATGCAGTTTCTCAGAGGCCTAGTGTTGTGTGTGGTGGTCAGGTTCGCAGGCAATCCCAAGAGAGTTTATGTTGGCCAGTGGTGCCCTAAGGTGCCAGAGTCTTTCACCCTCCCTTTTCCTGGAATGACCTTGTAACTTGGACTTCCTGCTTCAGATTTGCCTGGGTATTTGCAGTTCCTCCCTCAGTGGCACACCAAGCTCCTTCCTACCTTAGGGGCTTCTCAGTTGCTGTTCTTTCTGCCTGGAATGCTCTTCCTTTATAAATTTCCATGACTACTTTCTTCTCAAGAGTCAGCTCAAATGTGTCCTCAGAAATACGTTCCCTGGCCACCTTAGGTAAAGTACCCATACCCCCTACCCATGTTCCCGTCATAGTCTTTCAAACCTTGGTTTATTGTTTGTTTGCTTGTTTATGCTCTATTCCCCTCACCCCCACCAGAATATAAGTTCTGTGAAAGCAAGAACTTTGTCTCCCTTGTTTAACTGCTCTTAAGCCTGGTGTGTAGTAAACGTGCCAAAACCGCTGCATGTGATAGTGGGTGAATAATATTACCTCATTGATATAGTTTGGCTGTGTCCCCACCCAAATCTCATCTTGAATTGTAGTTCACATAGTCCCCACGTGTCGTGGGAGGGACTGGGTGGAGATAATTGAATCATGGGGGCAGTTTCCCCCATCCTGTTCTTGTGATTGTGAGCTAGTTCTCACAAGATCTGATGGTGTTATAAGGGGCTTCCCTCTTCACTGGGCACTCATTCTGTCTCCTGGCACCCTGTGAAGAGATGCCTTCCATCATGATTGTAAGTCTCCTGAGGCCCACCCAAAGCCATGCAGAACTGCGAGTCATTTAAACCTCTTTCCTTTATAAATTACCCAGTCTTGAGTATGTCTTCATTAGTGTGAGAATGGACTAATACACCAATTAGTCATAAAATGGGGATAATAATGTCCATGCCACCTACCTCACAGAACAAATGAGGGCCTGGAGTTAGTGGATTGAAGATACTTTCCTCAGAATTTGCTGTTCACCTTTAGATTCTGTATTTTTGCCAACAGCAATACTATTTACCCAGTTATGTATCCCAAGTTTCTTGGAACTCACTCTGGGCTTCTCCTTGCTTTATTCTCCCTACAGTCCTCTTAAAGGATTGGTAACCAATTTGTCTAGAGTCTATAGCCTTCAGGTCCTTCTATCAGTGCCCTTCCTCTACAGCCCCTTTCCTGCCGTGAGTCTTCCAGGAACACTGCCAGTTATCTTCTAACTGATAATGATTTTGTAGTCTTGAGCATAGTCTATCTGCCAGCATCACCTACAAATTTATTGTCCACACTGCAGAAAGTAATCTTTCTAAAAGACAAATCTCATCCCATAATTGCCTGGGTTTAATAACCCTTTAATGGCTCCCTATGCCCCAGGATTAAGTCCAAACACCATGGTGTGGCATGTGAGAAAGTCTTCCTTTGTCTGGCTTCTGCAGCTCTTCAGCTTCATCTCTTGCCACTCTGTCATCTCTGTGTCCCCAGTGCATGTCCCATGGACACAGTGTGCAGTCATACCCCCATACACCAGCTGTCCTAAACTATTTGCAATACAGGGAGGAAGGTTCTAGATAGCCAGATGGCTTCATTCCGTAGCTTTGTTCCTTCCCTCTGTTTGGGATCCTCTTGACAAGCACAGAACCATCTTTCTAGGCTCCATTAAAGCATACCTTTTCTGAAAGACCCTTCCTGACACCTTCTGTCTGCCTCTCACCCCCACAGCTCCTCATTCCCTCTTCTGTGCTGCTTCTAAGCTATACCTATCATAGTACCTAGGCTAGAGAACAGCTTGGCCTCCTCCTGGATGCTTCTTCATGAAAAATAATATATTTTGTTCATTTCCTGGGATTCCTGGGCCAGACTTCGTACATGGCATACCGTGGGCATGCAGTGGATATCCAGGAGAGAATTAGGGAATACAATTAGCATAATTATTACCTAGTCTAGGGTTTCATTTCAATAACGTACTTTTGACTGGTATTTGCATAAAATTTTAAAGAATATCTCCTTGAAGGTTGGAAGTAACAAGGTACATTATACATGCTGTTGATAGGTATCAGTTGAATAGCTAAAGTACTTTGTCTATGAGCTAGTGTTTATTGAACATTTACTGTTTTCAGAGTTCCAGATTTAGCAACTTGTAGGGGATGCTTGAAATGGCTTTTGTACTTCAATGAAATAATCCTGACTTTGGCTTTCTATTAGAAGTCAAAATTTTACGTGGTTAACACAGGCTCTTCTTGGCTTTCAAGTAGTTTATAACAGTATCTCTGAATGTTTTTGAGTATCCTCTAAAACGATTTTGAAAAACGACTTGTTCTCATATATTTTTAAAGTTAATGTCTGAAATTTTTCATCATAATTTTGAATAGTTGCAGACAGTCACATTTCTATTATAACTATTGGGTTTTAAAAATCACTCTTTTAAATGTACCCAATGGAAGTTAAATTAAATACCAAAGTGATTTGATATCTCACATCATCCGTTTAAGAAACGTATAAATAAGCTCTTTTAGAAAAGTCAGGAATTTTACGTAGATCTTTTTTCTCATGGAACTCATTTTATTCCTCTTCTGTAAAACTTAATCCCAGTGTAACACTGTTATGATTGAAAGTTTTTCATTATCATGTCTTTTGTGACATACACACACACACACACACACACACACTCAGTATACTTGTTTTTTAAAAAGTGCTTGTGACAATAAGGCTCTAAATGTTGAAAAACATTTCTTTTGAATTGTTATTATGATTTTTCACTAGTACACGATTGACCAGAACAACACGTGTAATCAAAGCAAGTGTTTCTTTTTAAATGGAAGTGCTTAAGAAATCTTGCCATATAAATATATGGGAATGAAGTCAGTATAATTCCATTCTATCTTCTAAACCCCTGAGTTATATGCCCAAAGATATCTAGTGATTTATCACAGAAACGATTTTTCAATGTTCTGTTGCTTGACATTTGATTAGGTCTTCCTCCAGTGTTGATCTAAGCAAAGAAATAGAAACTTTACTCTGACTCCCAAAAGGATTTTTCTCAGGCCTGAAAGTCTTTCACTTTGTCAGTATCTGTAATCCTATGGGTATTTCAAAATGGCCTTCTGCTTGGGGCCTGGAGATTTTTACACCCCAAGGCAATGCACCATAAGTGGACTCCTGAGAAATAAGATGTTTGCCTTTCTTTTTTGCTGCAGTAAAAGGGTGAATTTGAAAAGGGGAAAAAGAATATGGCTGGAAAGAGCCAGCAGAAGGGCAGTATGTATTTTGAAGGAGGTCCTCTTAGGCAGGGTTAATTGAGTTAGAAGTAGATTCCACCACATTGTCAATTACTCCCAATAAGACTCCCAAAACCCCATACCCCAGCTTGAAGATCACTGGTTTGGATGCTAAAGAAAATTTTTCAGTCAAATTAGCTATCAACTGTTAGGTCCCTAATAGGCCCATTTAAAGATTCCCCCTTGGTGTACACAGGGATATCCGATAGGGAAAGAGCATGGTTAGAACATATCACTCTTTTGGACCCAGGCATGGTGGCTGGAGCCTGTAATCCCAGCTACTCAGGAGACTGAGGTGGAAGGATGCAGTGAGTTACGATAGCACCACTGCACTCCAGCGAAGGTGACAAGCAGCGAAGAGCAAGACCCTCTTTTATAAAAACAACAATAACAAAAAAGAACATCACCTTTATAAATATACCTAGTAGAAACTAATTTGATACCAAATTGATTTAATTACCGTCATCCATTTTAAGAATGTACAAACTCACCTAGAATAGTAAGAAATTGTACACAATTCTTTGATACCCATTATTAGACTAGATACAAAAAGAACATTAGTTAAAGATAACCAGCCGCTTGACTGACAGTCATCTGGGTGAGTGAGTGACTGGTTTCTAAGAACAAGTCTTAATCCCACTGGAAAAAAAAATGCTTAAGCATTTTATCAAGAAAGCTAATTTCTTGGAAGAGTTTGTGAATTCCAGCATGCAAGAAGGTTTGGTCCTAAGCTAGATTTGGGATTTTTTTTTTCTTTACAAATAAATGCAATTGAGAGGGAGAGGACAACAGTTTGGAGTTGGGCCTGGCCATCACCTTACTGAGTTCGGAGCCTTTCCTGGGGCCCTCTGGGTTTCTGGATGTTCTGTTCCTGTGTAAGAGGGTACTGTATAGCTGTCCGCTGCTCTCTTGCCTTCATATAGCAAAACAACTTGTAGCAAATCTCTGCAGAAACCCCCACCCAACACATCACTTACTATGATAGACATTTGCCCATCAATGCTAACATATTAAGTGTTTATATTCACATTTATTCTCCTGATGACCTGCAGTAGAGGGGACAAGCATTATCCCCATGATACAAACATGGAAACTGAGTTCCTCAGGGGATATGTGGCTTATGTAAGTGAACCACAAAGTTACCAGCAGATATGGCACTCGAATCCTGATAAAGCAGCTTTTTCTATAATTATTGCCTGGCTCCTTTTCACAGGTGTATTATTTTAGAAAAATCTCTAAGGATTGGGAAACTTGCCTTAAAGTGATAGTATGAAGATTGAGATAGATAATTTCATAAAATACCTAGTAGAGTGCATGGCTCTTAGCAGGCCCTAGAGTTTTCATTCAATACATTTTTTTGAGCAGCTAATATGTGTCAGGCACTGTTTACAGGCACAGGGAATAAATCCAACAGAGAAAACAGAAAAAACCCTTTTTGCATGAAGCATATATGCTAGAGGAGGGGAAATAAGCAAATGCAAGGTGTAATGTCATGCAATAAAGTGCTATGAAGAACAGTAAAACAGAGTGAAGGACTAGAGAATGGTTCTTGTTGGGGATTAGGTAGTATACAATCAGGGACAGCATTTCTGGGGTGGGCACTTTTGATACCGAGTATGATGCTCACCTGAGTCTGAGTTCAAACTTTGAGTTTATTTGAGTAAGCTGATTCGAGTCATGGTATTCCAAGTTGTGTGAAAGAAACCTCAGAGGGTACTTTTAATTTTTAACTTTTTTATATTATAGATATACTTGAAGGTCTTTCCCAGAATACACACATACTCATGTGTGTACAATTTCAACATGCCTTGAAATCATCCTTAGAATCCTCAAGCTCATACCCCTGTTCTATTTCAGTCATTCTTTTAACTGGTAAGATACTAAGATTGAGAAAGGCAAAGTAAAAATTTTCCACTGTGTCACAACTAATTAGTGACTGAATCAAGGACCTAAGATTATCACAAAGTCATTTATTGCTTTTTCTATTGAAATGTGTAAGTAACACCAGGTCTGGTAGGGGAGGCTTGAGGCTTGAGTTCAAGGCTGTGGCACTACGATCATGCTATAAATAGCCACTGCATTTCAGCCTGGGCAACATAGCAAGACCCTGTCGCTTAAGAACAAAATGTGCAAGTAGCTAGAGTGTTTCTCCTGATTATTTTGTGTATGCATTGCTATGGTCTGAGTGTCGGTGTTCCAGCAGAATTCAAGTGTTGAAACCTAATCCCAAGGTGACAGTGATGAGAGGTAGGACATTTGGAAGATGATTGGATTGTAAAAACAAAGCCCTCATGAATGGGATTGGTGTGTTTTTTGTTTTGTTTTGTTTTGTTTTAATTTTGAGACAGCGTTTTGCTCTGTTGCCCATGGTGGAGTGCAGTGGCATGATCTCGGCTCACTGTAACCTCTACCTCCTGGGTTCAAGCGATTCTCCTGCCTCAGCCTCCCTAGTAGCTGGGATTATAGGCACACACCACTACACCGGGCTAATTTTTGTATTTTTACTAGAGACAGGGTTTCACCATGTTGGCCAGCCTGGTCTCGAACTCCTGACCTTAAGTGATCCAGCCGCCTCAGCCTCCCAGAGTGCTGGGATTACAGGCATGAGCCACCACGCCTATCCAGGATTGGTGTTCTTATAAAGGAGGTTGGAGGGAGCTTGTTTGCCTCTCCCACCATGTGAGGATACAGCAATAGGGTACCATCTATAAGGAACTGGACCTCACTGGTCACCAAGTCTGCTGACATCTTGTGATCTCAGAATTCCTAACTTCTGGAACTGTGAGAAATAAATGTTTGTTGTTTATTAGCCACCCTAGTTCATGGTATTTTGTTATAGGAGCCTGAATGGATTAAGACATGCATCATTTTTATTTACACAGAGTAAAACCTCCCCAAGTATGTGGCTGGTAGGGCTCCTTGTCCTGTTTACTCTGAAAGAAACTTCACTCTGAAAGAGCATGGTTAGAACATACCACTCTTTTGGACCCAGGCATGGTGGCTGGAGCCTGTAATCCCAGCTACTCAGGAGACCAGTATCACAAGATAAAGAACATTTCAGGTATTCCAAATGTCCTAGAAAATTATGAGCAAGGAGAACTCTGGCTGGTGGCAGGAGAGAAAAAAAGCAAAATAAGAAACAGAGGTCTTGAAGTGGGAAGATTTCTCTTTCCTTATAGATGAAATTTTGGCATGGCAAAGAACAGTTAGGAACTGATAGTGCCTTTGAAGGTCTGAACCAGTAGACAGGAGAGAATGTTCCTCTTTCTTTCATAGAAGCAGTGACTCCCTTAGAGTGAAGTGACTGTCATCCCCCACCCCAACCCCAGTGATTTCCTTTGGGGACATTTTATACAGAGACTTGGAAGATAAACTTGTCACTTTTAGGGAAATACTCATTGTAGTAAGTTATCTTCCCAACCACACTTCCTTAACGGATGTGTCAACTTTTAGTACTACAAAGTAACTAAATATTTTAAGTAGCAGTCATCCACACTGCAGCATGAGTATGTCATTTCCAAAACTAGATGCTGTTTAAAGGTTTAAATTAGCATCTTCGAGGTTTTTTTTTGTTTGTTTGTTTGTTTTTTAGACAGAGCCTCACTTTGTTGCCCAAGCTGGAATGCAGTGACATGATCTCAGCTCACTGCAACCTCCACCTACCGGGTTCAAGCGATTCCCCTACCTCAGCCTCCCAAGTAGCTGGGACTACAGGCACCCACCACCACACCCGGCTAATTTACGTATTTTTTAATAGAGATGGGGTTTCGCCATGTTGGCCAGGCTGGTCTCAAACTCCTGACCTCAGGTGATCCACCCATCTTGGCCTCCCAAAGTGCTGGGATTACAGGTGTGAGCCACCGCACCCAGCCCCTTCAAGGTTTTTAATACATCTGGCTTTAAAATCTCAGAAGCCTAGCAAGACTACCTCCTAGAAACATTGATATTTATTGACATTTTAGGGTATTTTCTATTGTTGCTCTCTTAAAGGCAAAGAAAACCTATTTTTCTAGTTAGAATTACCCCTTAATGCATTGACAACTCTGAAAGAAGAAATTCTAGCCTTTTCTTTCCTAATCAGTGAAAGGCCCTTTCCCCCATATTGCCCTCTCCGCCCCCCATATTTGGGTATTTCTAGCCTACTTTTTCATCTGTATGCCCTGTTACTATGGTGACAGGCACCATAGAAATAGAGAACAAAGCAGATGTAATAAGCATCTCCTACATGGTTTACAATGCTAAAAAGAGATCTAGGATTTTCAGGCGTTGCTTTTTCTTCACTGATGATAGAACTGGACCAGCCCAACATTGTGGGGGTATAGGGACTGGGGTTATGGGCTGATTTGGACCCTACAATTCCCATCGTCTTTTACTTTATCAGTCCTTATTCTACCCAGGAGTCATGAAGGTGAAGAAAGACTAATGGGAGTCTGCATGGAAAGTGTAATATAGAAATTAGGGCCACAGAAACAACACATTGCAAAGGACAGATACTTCTGCTGAAGCATATTCCATTGGAGGGAATCAAGCCAGCTGTAATGTTCACCAGTCATTGATCCTTTTGCTTGATTTTGCATTGTTCAACTTAACCTTTCAATAGAAAGATTTATCAGCTAGGTTTCTCCCACTTCAAGGTACTTAGCCTATGTTAGATTTTTTTTAAATTAAATAAAAATAAATCTGGATTACTAATAACTTGCAATATTTGCTCCTGGCCATTGGGGCCATTGAACTTTTAAAAATAAGTAGTTGAACAGCTAATGCATGCTTATTTTGTGCTTGTTTTAGAATTATAATTAAATATTCAGCAGATATTGTGAAAGTTAGCTTTCCATAAGATCCAGGAGAAATTTTCCATAAATTGTTTTTAACCTTCTACATGCATGTCTATTATTTTATTTATTACATCTTCACGTATCATTTCTGGATATCTTTAATCAATTACCTAAGATTAAATAAAGTGTTCCAGCTACTCAATTCCATCACCTGGACAATTATTTTTAAGTTTATTATTTTTTAAGTTTTATGTTGCTTATATTTTTATGTTTAGGGACCTGTATAGTTTTAAAATAATACTATGTTTAGAATATAAGTTGTGATACATGAATCAAATATTTGGAGCTATAGAAGCTGAATGATCCATGTGTCCATTACATTGTAGTATGAGGGCCTGAAACTCCTTCTACCTCTAAATTCTTGTTTCTTTGCCTATGTGGCTCTTTTCTTTTTACTTGACGAGCAAAAGAAGTATACTTTGCCAATTTTGTTATCTGTTGTAATGGCCCTAACAGTGATGTGAAAATATGTCTGAATCAACCCCACGCTTTGAGTTTTAAAAAACCCACACAGTGTAACCTTCCCCAGTCATGTCAGCTTTTCCCCTTTGTGACACGAATGAAAGAACAAGAGCATTGGAGTGGGAGTTGGAACAGCCAGTGCTGACCGTGGCACAGCCTCTGCCAGGGGTGAGCTTGGAGATACATTTATATCTCTATACAAAGCATACAGCTTCCTCAGGAAGAGCCCAGGAGCCCCAAGGAAGGTTTTGAGAGATTATATCAGATTAGTTTTGGGAAGTAACACTGGCAACTGTGTGGAGGGTGTGCTGAAGATGAGAGAGATCATATTGCGAGACCAAGTAGGGCAGTGGGATGAAGTAGAGGAGACTAGTAGAAAAGTTAGTTTAGAAAAAAGTCATAGGATTAAATATTCTATTTCCTTTTATCAGAAGATCCTATGGTAATTACTTAAGTCAAACTGTGATTACTGACATTTTACTAGTTTTACTATAGCTTCTAACTTTTTCAGAGAAGGAGTGGATTAAGTTTTGAACCAGATGATTTGGGGTCAAATTGTCAAATTTCAGGTTACCAGTGAGTGTGCTTTATATTAGCACAACTTTTTAAATTATAGCTTCTAAACATTTATGTCTTCTGACTGGAAATGGGAAAAGATTTGGGGGAAGTACTATTTGTTCTATGGAAGAATAATGACACTTTGCACAGGAGAGGTTTGCTGAAACCAGGTAATCCCTCCAGGCAGCTTAGCTCATTGTCTTCCAGAAAGCTAAAAAATTATGGGCTCATTGGGTAAGGTTTCTTGGCCTAGAGAGAATAGAGGTTGTATTTGTGAGGAGCTTATTCTTTCATGGATTGCTGTTCTCTAAAACCTCCTGGGCAGAGAGAGTTCCCATCACTTTTGATGTTGTCATCACTGTGAACATAGAAAGTAGACCAGGTAGAGTTATTTCTATTTTTATCAATTAAAAAGCTGGCTTTCTGGCCGGGCGCGGTGGCTCACGCCTGTAATCCCAGCACTTTGGGAGGCCGAGGCGGGCGGATCACGAGGTCAGGAGATCGAGACCATCCCGGCTAAAACGGTGAAACCCCGTCTCTACTAAAAATACAAAACATTAGCCGGGCGTAGTGGCGGGCGCCTGTAGTCCCAGCTACTTGGGAGGCTGAGGCAGGAGAATGGCGTGAACCCGGGAGGCGGAGCTTGCAGTGAGCCGAGATCCCGCCACTGCACTCCAGCCTGGGCGACAGAGGGAGACTCCGTCTCAAAAAAAAAAAAAAAAAAAAAAAAAAAAAAAAAAAAAAAGCTGGCTGTCTGAGAGACTCCATAACTTGGCTAAAGTTAAGGCAGATGGTAGGCAGGATAAGAGTTCAGTCTCCTCCATCTTTTTGCTGACTTCTACTCTACCACATGCCTGAAGTAGCCACCTTCACACATTCTTCAGAACAGAAAGCATTGACTATACCAAGAATGAAATTTTCCTGATAATTTTAGTAACTGTTCTCTTGATATAATGTACAAATTATATTATTTAAATGACTAATTCACAGATTAAAATTTTTTAATGTAATATATGGCTTTTACCTTTAAAAGTTGTAAAATCCTGGGAGCATTTGAAACTTGAACACAAACCCAAGGCTACTCTCGTGTACCAAAAATATGGAACTAGACAGAGACCTCCTGGCCTTGAACATGTCTTGCTTTCATGACATCTTGGTTATTATTTATTTCTGCACCTACCTTTAGCTAAGGGACTAGAGAAGAGTGTCATCTGCTAGGGCAAGCTTTTGAGCTCTCTGGCTCAGTTCTCACAGTGGCTCAGTCTCCTATGAGTTTCAGAGTCTTCAAGGTGGTTCCTCTACCTGCCCCACAGCATCTGAAGCACTTACTGTGATTATAATAAAATAACTGAGGATTTGTTTAATCTTTGTCTCTGTCACCAGACTATAAATTCCATGAGGTAGAGATAGCACCTGTTTGAGGACATCATGGGTTTTGTTTATTTTGTTGCTTCTCCAGGGCCATTTACCACATAACAGCCACTAAATATTTACTGAATGACTGAGTGAATGAATGAATGAATGAATGAATCCATGTTTAGCCTGTTGTTCATTCCATGGAGCTAAGCTACTTTTTATTTTTCTCAGAGATCTCTTTGAAGAATATTCATATTGATGCTCGTTTTACTATTATGAATTTACTATTTGTGCATGTTTAGATAAGTCACATAACTGTCTCAGTTGCCAATCTGTAGTGGAGAAAATCTCATGGGGTTGTTGAGAGTTTTAAATAATTTATATAAGCACTTATAAAAATACTTAACATAAAGTTATCTCATCATGAGTATTGGCATCCATTATGGTTATAATATACAAGCATATTCAACTACTTCAACCTCACATCAGCTACTTGTTAGGGCCTATGTGTCCTCACACTAGACTTGTTTTGTCTTATGTACTGGGGGGACCTATTAAGGCAAGCTCCACCTGATTTATCTTTTGTAAGTTGTCAGTTCAGTTAACTAGACTTAAATTTACTTTTTCCTGGTAATTTTTAAAGTAGGGTCAAATTACTTAATGATGAAAAATTAGACTTGCATAGTTGTTGATCTAATAAAAGCACTATTGACAAAATAGAAAAAATTATAGCTGTCTCAGGACCAGATCACAAAAGCCCCTAAATTTTCGTTATAGCCTGAAACTTGTTCAATCTTCACATTTTCTGAAATTCAGCCTTATTCAGTAAATAGACAAGTAAAAGAAAACTATGGCCCTTCACATTTTTAATGTATATTTTGAGACATGTAGACTATAACCTTGAAAAGTCTTTTATGCTAATTGGTCATCATGGGTAACAATACTCAAAGTATTCAAAGTAACATAAGTCTAAGGTATAAATTCATATTTCATTTGTTAGGAGTCTAAAACTTCTTTGATTCTTTTTCTGTTGTGCATGAAGGTAACAAACGCCAGTGAGTGGTAGTTTTCTTATTATAAAACAATCTATTATACAAGAAAAAATTTATTCTAATATTATCTAAGTTTTGAAAAACTGATTTTTTTTTTTTTTAAGTTGGAGTCTTGCTCTGTCACCTGGGCTGGAGTGCAGTGGCACAATCTCAGCTCACTGCAACCTCTGCCTCCCGGGTTCAAGTGATTCTCCTGCCTCAGCCTCCTGAGTAGCTGGGAGTACAGGCACATGCCAGCAGCCCTGGCTAATTTTTTTTTTTTTAGTAGAGATGAGATTTTGCCACATTGGTCAGGCTGGTCTCAAACTCCTGACCTCAGATGATCCACCCACCTTGGCCTCCCAAAGTGCTGGGATTACAGACATGAGCCACCATCCCTGGCCATTTTTTTTTGAGTTGGGGTCTTGCTCTGTTGCCCAGGCTGGAGTCCAGTGGCACTGTCATGGCTCACTCCAGCCCCGATCTCCCAGGCTCAGGCTATCCTCCTGCCTCAGCTTCCTGAGTAGCTGGGACCACAGTTGCATGCCACCAAGCCTGGCTAATTTTTATTATTATTAATTATTTGTAGAGATGAAGTCTTGCTATGTTGCCCAGGCTGGTTTTGAACTCTTGGACTCAAGTGATTCTCCCTCCTTGGCCTCCCAAAGTGCTGAGATTACCATCATAAGCCACTGCGCCCAGATGATTTTTAAAATCTCTATAAATGTCTGTTTATGCAGAACAAGGTGTAAGAATACATAGTTATTTGGTGTGTGCAGTAGGGTTTCATGAGAAGGGAAGGGAAATGAAGGAAGCTATTGTTCAGTAGTTTACACTTTTGATTCTTATTGTTTTCCTCTCTAGTAACATCCCAGAGATGTTACACATGGTAAAGTCGTAGTAAAAAAAAATTATTTCTAAACAAAATGTTTCTTTCCCTAATGAGATTCTGGTTTGGGTGCTTTATTGTCAGTGTGCTGGGAATTTTGGAATGTTCTCTGTGTATTTCTATGATTTTGACCTAATAATCTCATTTGGATTTACCAGGCTCAGCAGCTGTTGTTTTTATCGACTATTGCTAAGTCATATTAATGTCCAAAGTTGAAAAATCCTTTTCCTATGTTGGCCTAGATTATTCAGAGTTTTACAAAATTTAAGCCTTTTCTCCAATGCCTGTAATTTTTATTTGCTTGTAAGAAACCTTATAATAATAATAATATCCCAGTGGGTACTTTAGATGGGCTAAGCCTATTTGCAGATCTCTCGCAGGATGGTAGTGAAGTTTGCAGGATGGTTTGTAGAACAGTGCTTTCTTGATAAATCCATCTATCCTCTTTTCTACTGGAGGAAGAAAAAACCTCAATTATATTGACTTTAAGTACTGTTTGATGTAACATGATAGATCTTTGCAGTTTGATATGAATGATTTTCCTTTGGAAAAGCAGAATGCAAAACTGAGAAGTCAAAGACATTGAGAATGTCCTAGGAGAGCATAAACTCAAAATTATAACCATTTTATTGGATACAATTGGAAAGTTTTATTTGAAGAGGAAATCAGATGTTGAATTTTGCCTTTTAATTCAATTTTTAACGTAATAGGAAGTTTTCTTACATAGTTGAAAACATATATTGCTTTCTTTGTAATTTCTAATTTGTTTAATTATAAGGCAGTGGTTTTGAGGTCTAAAAAAGATACTAGGTATGCTGTTACATTCCTCCCAGGGTGAGTTTTCTTGATTCTTAATCCCATCTGATCTCTGCACTATCACATTCCCTTTTTTCCTGTTGGGAGTTTAAATTTATTCTCCTTATACATTTAGGATTCAAACCAATAGCTCTTCTTGTTGTCTAGTGATATGGTCAATGATTTCTGCATTTACAGGTAAAGATGAGCATCAACAGTGTACTTTATCAGTTATAAAATCATCTTTACATAATAATCACATTTGATTCCGACAATTTAGAGAGGGAGAGAGGAAGAATGACTGAAATTAATTCCTATTCCTCAGAGAAGTTACACAATATACCCAAAATAGCATGTAAACAGAAGGGCAGGACAAGAACCAGGCCTTTTAGCTCTGTGTCCAGTCTTCTTTCCACCCTGTCATACTGTGTCTGCATGCCCTGTCCAAGGCATTTACCAAGACATTTCCCACATACAGAATTTGGTTAATATGCTGAATAAAATTGTTGTGTCAAATTTTAATAAACTCTATAAAACCAATTGGATATCCTTTGGTTCTTTCCCTGTTAAACGTGAATTCTTGCACTATATGTATGGTGAGAGAGGTTTCCTGCTTTCAAGGCCAATGACAGTGAGTGTTCAACTTAAGAGTTAAGAACAAGAAGACAACAATAAGACAGATGTCCCAAGAAGGCATATGACTCACAAGTTCAGTGGAAACATCGTAGGAGGTGAGGCTTGCAGGATGTGATAAGATATGGAAAGTTGAAGAAGGGGGTGGACGGGAAATGTTTGAGCAGAGGTGTATAGGAAAGAATGTATGCAGTACTGAAATCATTGCGGATGAAACGATACATCCAGGATTTGCTTCAAGACACCTGGCATGGGTGTGATATGAATTGATCATTGTTGGAGCTGGGTAAATGGTATATGGGGGACCCTTATAATATTATTCATACTTCTATATACATTAGAAAATTTCCATAGTAAGAATTTTTTTTAATAAAAATGGTATATTATGTGTTTTTTGAACAATAGGTTAGGCTAGCCTATCAGAATAGAGAGCATGTTCAAAGGCATAGTAGGAAGGGTTGGAAAAGCGGCCTGGTACCAAATTTGATGGTGGGGGAGGATTTGTGAATGTATGCTGTGGAGCCTTGGTGAGTGCTAGTAGGCACTGGTTCATTGGTTGGACTTGAGTTCTGCTTGACTGTGAGCCCAAAGTGGAGTTGCAGTCCAGTGTTGGCATCTTATCAAGAATGGCAGTAACTCCACTTTACCATCTGCTTCAGGAGTGTCAGATCTAATGTGCCATATTCAGTTCTGGAAGGCACATTTAAAGAGGACTTTTTGCGAACCAAGTTTCAATGGTGGGATATATCAAGCACGGAAGAGTAACTCACATCTTCTTAGCCATCTTCTTTCTGTCAGAACACTCCATCAGCTCATGGTTGTCTACCTGGAATAGATGTATTTTCCCTTCTTCCAAGTCTCTCTACTACTCCCTTTCAAACTCTTTGTCTTTTGAGAGCCAAAGAATAGGCAATAAAAAGCAAATTAAACACATTGCTGTGATTCCTTAGTGATATGAAGGTACATAATCACAAAGGCATCTGACTCAACCTCCTGGCAACAGACTAACAGCTGACTGAGCTATACCCAGAAAGGAGCCCTCAGTGTAGCTTTCTGAAGCAAAGTTCCTCCTCCTTCTTGCTGAAGCTATTTCTCTATAGCTAAGTAAAAAAGACAAGAGATGTATCAGAAATTTGGTTAATTGATAATATTAAGGAATTGTTAATTATTTGTATATGATTCAGTAATGATTCTAGAGCTGACACACATAAGCTTGTGAAAACTGATTGTTGTGTTATAGGAATTTTCAAGCTAGTTAAACATAGTCATTAAAAACTAAATTGTACAAACTTAAAGTACTAAAAGTAAAATAAATACTCAAAACTCTCACTTCCTAATTATTTTGCTATAATTTGTTGTTATCTATGCTCTTAAGGTTATTTATGTCTAAGGTATCTGCAGAGTAGAAGTGCTGTATAATGATGTGTGACACATCTCTTCTCAACTCCACATTCAGTGACATCATGTTGGTACTTTGAAATTGGCCATGGTGGGAATCATGGAAAATGGCAAAGAACCAGGGTCCTTTTTTTTTTTTTCTCAGAAACCTGGTTGTTAAATATTTACCAGCATGCCACTGGATATTATTATGATATTATGGTTATATCTTAAAGACTCTTTCTGTTTTAGAGATCCATACTGAAATAAGACAGAATATATCTAGAATCTGTTTCAAAATAATCCAATGAGGGTGAGTATTGTGGTGTTGAATCAGAGTGGTGGGCAGATGGGTTTCATTGCACCACTCTCTCAACCTTTGTGTATGTTTAAAATTTTCCATAATAAAATGTTAAAACAGCAATTATGGAATGTTACAATGAAAATAAATTGCCTGTACCTAGTAGACATAGATAGCAATCCAGTCTGGCACCTGTCTTTCCTTCAAACTTTGATGCCAACATTCCTTTGATAAAATCATATTCTCAAATTTTGGAGCACTTATTTTGTAAATGGTTCACATAGGTCATTGATTTTAAAGATCTGTTTCTCATTAAATAAAATCAAGAAACCACCATGTGCAGTTTATCATGCCCATCAGGGCAAAGGAATCCACTAGAGCCTTCCCAAGGACAGCAAAAAGCTTTCTTCATAGTGGGCGGGGAGGGGAGGGGGTGCGGGGCATTCATTTGTTGGATTGCAATCCTGTTTGCAAAACCAGTTGTACAAATAGGGAAAAATGAATCAAGTAATTGCTCAGAAGGCTACTTGCAGCTACATGACAGCTGTGTACCCTTTAGATTTATTTTCAGTCTAGCTGATTTGAGTCATTGCCCAAAAAAGGAGTGCTGTCAAGTGAATTGTCTTTTATGCAGATGATGACAGCCTTTCTAAATATTGCCTGGCTGATATAAGTGATTTGTTTGGAATTATTGGCCTATGAATTAAATTAGTCCTAATCCAAATGATTTTAAAAGTTCTCGCTTAGATTATATATTGATTACATTTCACAAAGAGCACAAAATAACTATATTTTTTTCTAGCATATATTTAGACATCAAATGGAAAAGCTATAGCATGAATTACTCAGAATACATCTTTTTTTTAAGTTTGAAGTTTTAATTTCATTCTTAATATCAATTTGGAGTATGGTAATAGTTTCTCCTTGGATTTGATTATGCAATAATGCATACAAACTAAATCCAGTTGACATGGAAAAATATTTATGTTGTGTAATGAATGCAAGTGGTCACTATGATTATCCCATCAAACAGAGTAGTGAGGAAATTATTAGGTTTTATAATGAGGACAGAGAAGGACAATCAGAACCTTGAGGGGGAAAGTAGTCTATTCTGTCTTATAATATTAAGTTAATGTGAGTTTCTGGTCTGTGTAGAAATACAGGCTTATTCTCTTAAGGTAACGACAAAAAAATTCAAAGCCTCAAGCAATGAAAACAGCAGATGCAAACTCAGGTTTGTTTTGACCCCTCAGTTTTGTTTCACCCTGGGCTGAAACAGATACTGCAAATAGGAATTGAGATCAGGGAAGCCAGAAGTCAGAAGAGTGTGTGTAGGAGAAAGATCATTATAACTTCTCCTCATAAGACAGAGCTGGACAGAAAAATCACCTGGAGAAACTGGGAGCCTTTGTTGACACTTTGCTGCAGTTTTTCCCATGTTAATTCCTTTGTACCAATACCCTTCAGGGCTCTGCAGGGTCCCACCACAACATACATTCTGAGAGTTTGTTTGAGGCGTATAAATACAATAGAAGTCATAGTTCCAAATTAAGTTGGAGCATGAAGATTGGGGTGTGATTGCTAAGAAAAAAGGACATATTAAGTTCCTGAAGTGAGATAATCACAGACTTGTGATTATTCACTCAAAAACTATTTACTGAGCCCCTACTATCTGGGCTAGGTGATGGGATACCACAGTGAGCCCTACAAATAGAAGCCCTGTGCTACCAGAGCTTACTGCTTACTGTGCAGAGAAAAGTGATAAACAACATAAGTATATAGTACATTAAACGGAGACAGATAATGTAGGAAAAACAAAACCAGAGCAGTTCTTCAAAATTAAATTCCCAAAGGATAACATTTTCCAACTCTATCAAAGCTAGCAAAGAGAGGAGATTGGTATTTATAAAAATACAACACATACCACATCAGAAATTCCTTCATGTTTCTATTAACCCTGTTGATATGCTAAATATATTCACTATCTCTACAACCATTAGAGAACAAAGTAAAGATGAAGTAGCTTGGAAAGGGAGCAGCTCTTTAACACTGAAGTGAAATGAAAAATATGCCCTTATGTTTTGTTAGTGAGTTGACAGTTCATGATCAGGAAGACAATGAGCACCTGCAATAGGGAGGCTGCAAGTTATTTTTAAAAAGAATGTCTTTGATTGCTTCCAATTCTATTTATCTCCAGTTGGACAATCAAGTAGAAGTCATTTGAAGAGATGTTTTGTAGTTATGTGGATGCGGATTTGCATATGTGGGTGTTTTCGAACATATAAACTTTTAATGAATTCAGTCATCTTCATAAAAAACTAAATTGTCCCAACTTTAAATGGAAATATTCTGGAAGGAAGGTATTAAATGAGTTCTTTTATATGGGAGATGGACTGAGGCTGCATTGAGTTATTTATTTTAAATAACTTTTAAAATTTTACCAAGTGCAGGTCTTTAAGTCCAACATTGGCCCAAGTCTTCAGCAAAAACAGCTTAACAAACTCATTTATATTTTTTCCTCTCCCTAGGGCTCCAGTTTGTGTTTTCAGCTGCCTACTAGACCTCACTACCTGGATGGCCCACAGGTACTGCAAACTCAGTGTTTTAAATAACACACTCATTAGCCCCCTTCATCATTGACCCTGTGGCCAAAGCTAGGATAAGTCACTTGTCCTTGAGTCCTGACTCTCCTTAACATCTAATCTGCTACCAAGTCCTTCTAAGGGATACCTAAGGAGCCCTAGAGTCTATGCCCATAAGCTAGTTAGCAGAGAACCTGCTCGAAAGCACTTAAAAGTAATAGTAGTACTTTTGCTTCTATCCCCTCTTCTCTTCACACTCAGGCACATCTTAGTTCAAGCCACCTTTCCTGTTTATCATCTGGACAATTGATCTATCCTGATCTCCTCCCTATGTGTATTTCTCCTTTTTAACGAGTTGTTCATGCTGCTACCAAAGTGGCAAATTCTAACTTTTTAAATTTAAGATTTGACGCTGACTGGATTAAGTCACTCCCTTTCACAAATACCTTTTTGGGTTCAATAGAATGGTACCTGTGTCTCATTAGGTCTGGACCTAAATGGCCTTTTCATCTCACCTTCTTCAGCTTTCCCGCTAGGTTCACTTGCGAGAACAGTACTCAGTCAAACCTTAGCTATGCCAAACCTTTAATAAAGCATAAAAGATTAATTATGTTAATTATTAGCCTTGCTTTGATATGAAAGGGCAAAATTCACCAGTTAGCTCCTTGGTCTTCCACTGAATATTGGAATATTAACTAGCACTTTATAACAGAGCCTTTCACCAGCCCAACTTTACTGCTCTTCCCTTTTCCCAGCTCTCTAGTCAGCCAGAACCCACAGTTCTGCCTAAATTCCTTCATTCCTGGTCAGTCTCACTGATACTACCATGGTCTTCACTCTCACTGCTTCAGCATTGAATGACTGCAGTAGGTTCCTGCCTGGTTTCCTTACCTTCATTTCCCCCGGCCCCCGATCCTGCCCCATTGTATCTCTCATGCCTTACCAGGTTAGTTTTCCTAAAATATTGCTTGCATTCTATTTTAGAATCTATAATTGTTCTCTTTTGTAAGTCAATTCAAGCCATACTCTCATATTCTGGAATCTCCAACCGTAAATGTCCTCACTGCCTCATTTATTTGTGAAGTCGTCCCCCTCTGGCCGTGAAGATCCTCTGCAGCCTCACTGCTCTTCCTCAGGCAACACCCCTCTGCTCTTTCCCTCCCCACTACCCCGCTGGAGATTTTTTTCCTGCTCCAGCCCCTGCATATCCCTAACGGCTCAGAGATACCTTATCTATGTTGCCTTCTCCATTCCCTGAGCTATACCTGTTCATCTTACAAGAGGAAGCTTTGGATGGTTGGAAGAGCACCATGTTTGGTGTCAGTTATAGGATCAAGCTCTTGCTCACCAGCCATGTGTCATCAGCAGCTAATTTTTTTTCTCTCTGAGCTTGTATCCTTATCCTAAAGTCAAGTGTATGATTTAAATGACTATGAAAAAAATGCTCCATAAACTTTTGAGCATTATATAGATGTTCAGAGTTGTTCCACTCCACTATTTAATCCTTCATTTTTTTCCTGTTCACTTTTTGTACAAATTTCTCATTTTCCTAACTTTATAAGTGTTTTAAGGATAGATAGAAAATGAAATATACTTTCTTATCTTATTCAGCCCATACCACAGCAAATGCTCAATGAATTCTCCCTGTCAAGAGAATTCAATGAATATAAATATAAAGGATCAGGCTCTGTGGTGAAAGTGCAGTATTTGATAAAGTGAGTGAGGGAGTAACAAGAAAAGAGGGTCCCCAAAGAAAACGGGACTGACTAGCGGTCTGGCCTGCCTCAATACTTTTGGTGCGTCCACAGACAAGCTCTGAATGAGACCCACTAGCCAGGCTCTTCAACCTCTTAACACCATGGCAATAGAATTGACTCAGTTTCTTAAGTGTGACACTGTTCTTAAAACATAGTAGGCTCTCAAGTGTTTCTAGAATTCACTAGCCACATGATTTGATTATTATATATATTTATATACATGCATGTACCGTGCTAATAGATTTGTCTGTCACTGCTTATTTATTCATAGTTTTTTTTCCTTTTACATTTCATTCTTATACAGAGCAGCAGTATGTCTGCTTTGTCTGCAGAGTAGCACTAATATTCAGATTTGCATTGTGTTTGTGCAGTGTCTAATAGGGGCTACCTGATCACTTGCTGAAGTCATAGGTAGTTCAGGAACTACCTTCTTATTTAGATTGCTAGGACATTTTCATAAGAATATTGTACTGTATATAATACTAAGCTTACTCAAATCCTGCTTAAAATTAAAAATAAGTATAAAGAATAATAATTAGTAAATGAGAATATATTCTGTTTTTGCATGGTGTCTTCTAGCCCCTTCTCCCACACCCAATCTCCTTGGAATAAGAGATATGGTAATGGAGCCCAGAAATTCATGATCCTACTTAGTATCCATCTTAGCAGAAAAATGTAAACCATAGTGAGTTTTGTTTGCTAACACTATCCTTAGACAATAAGAATAATCGTTAGGTACTTATAATAACTCTCACTATGTTTAGGTTACTGAGTCAGTTAAAAGCAGACTAATCAGTAAAATACATTTTCTGGTTTTAGAGAGCTTATAATTTACAATAGATTAAAGGGAATGACAGTAACCACAGAAAAATAATTAAGAGAAATGTGATTTACTTGTTACCTAAGAAGCAAAAGATACATTTTTCTCCAAAGTAAGTCATTAAAGATTGCAATCGTTTATACCAGAGTTGATTTACTAGCATGAAAATGATTGCTTAACCCTGCTCCCTGTGTTCACCAGGCGGGTTGGTGAAAGCTTGTGTTTCAGATGAGCCAGCCTGGCTACAGGAAAAGATATTTGCATAGAAGACTGGGGACACTGCCACACAAGAAAATGAAGAATTATGCTTTTGAAATTCCTTTTATTACTTCCTTGATTAAATTGTTGTTTCCAAGGGAATTGGATTTTCAGATGAAATTTTAATAATGCTTCAGATAATTCCAATTGTGTTCTTTCATTTTACTCTGCTTTCACAATATGATCATATTTGGTTTCACTTCCTGGTTAGTGCACACAAGCCTGTTGCTGGGAAATATTTGAATAAAATGTTTATGAGAGAAGACTATTGTTTCAAAGTAGAGGAAGGCATTTTTGTTTGATTTAGACTTAGTTCATGTAGTAATTTTTATAGAAATAAAATTTCTGACATGTAAATTGGTTAAAAACACTCTTTAAAAATAATTTAAAAGACTTATTTCGCACTGAAATTAAGTTACCTTGTGGTGAAATCATCTCTTCTACAGAAGTGTTTGATTAGGTACCAGTTGTGCAACAAATGAAATGTTTGTCCATAATTAGAGTAATTGTAACTTGATTTTAAACAGAGGTTTGATTGCATGGTGAGTGTCATAATGCCAAATGATTTTTCCATTGATTCAGGGCCCAGTGTATTCTTAAGTTGATGTTTGATCTCAGCATGTTTAACCTGGCCCAGAATATATCTGGCACCCTTTTGTGTGTGTGTTGTAAATGACTGTTCTTCTGTGTTACAGCTTCATACAAAATCTTTGCCTATTCTAAAAGTGGTATTTTTACCATTAAGTATTTAATTCCACCAGAGTACTCAGGTATTACCTAGTCTAAAAAAGTACAAATCAAATTTATTTCTCTTTGGAAAAAGTCAGTTAAGAATTTCAGGAAACGTCTGCTTCCTTAAAATCTAATTACTTTGTCCATTTGCATCAGTTTACTGGCTAAATCTGAAAGTTTAATTTTTTAAAGCGTAACTATTTTTCTACTCAGAATTTTAATTTTGAAGTCCATTTATGTTTTATTTCTCAAGGTACCTAGATATATACCCTAATATAAAATTAGGCTTCCTGCTGTCAA